>NC_000006.12:150070790-155070790 GCF_000001405.40 Homo sapiens | reverse complement strand
TCTACCACCACCTCAGGGTATCACCATCCTACCATAAATTTCCACTTAAAGGACTAAGATGATCAGTTTACAGCAATGTTTTTAAGGCCTTTTGCCCTGAGTTACTAATCATTACTATGTTTAATTCATCATAAGGAAAATTCCTGAGGAACTGCCTTAAATTCAGGAAAGATGCTTACTAGAAAAATTTTTAAATGAATTCTGACTACATGGTATAGGATTAAAGGCAAACAGCCAAAGTAAATCAAATTTCAGCTTCAAAAAGAAATGTCTGGGCCAGGCACGGTGGCTCATGCCTGTAATCCCAGCCCTTTGGGAGGCCAAGGTAGATGGATCACCTGAGGTGAGAAGTTTGAGACCAGCCTGGCCAACATGGTGAAACCCCATCTCTACTAAAAATACAAAAATTAGCCAGTAATCCCAGCTACTGTAATCCCATCTACTCAGGAGGCTGAGGCAGGAGAATCGTTTGAACCCGGGAGGCAGAGGTTGCAGTGAGCCGAGATCGCCCCACTGTACTCCAGCCTGGGCGACAGAGTGAGACTCCATCTCAAAAAAAAAAAAAAAAAAAAAAAAAAAAAGTCTGGCCAGGCGCGGTGGCTCATACCTGTAATCTCAGCACTTTGGGAGGTGGGGCAGGCAGATCACCTGAGATCAGGAGTTCAAGACCAGCCTGGCCAACATAGTGAAACCCTGTCTCTACTAAAAATACAAAAATTAGCTGGGTGTGGTGGTAGACGCCTGTAATCCCAGCTACTCGGGAGGCTGAGGCACAGGAATTGCTTGACTGCCAGACATTGCAGTGAGCCAAAATCGAGCCACTACACTCCAGCCTGGGTCACACAAAAAGACCTTGTCTCAAAAAAAAAAAAAAAAAAAGAAAAGAAATGTCTGTCCAGATAGCACATTCCAAAGCTACACAATACCCAGGGAGGCAGAACTCATGGCACAGTTAGAGAACAGCATGACAACTTATTTCTTCAATATCTCCACTGCTGCCATTTTCTTTACTTAAAGAGTAGGAAGCTACATACTGACTCAAATCTGATGACAAAGCAAATCATCTGAATTTGTTGTCATTTTTCTAATATATTTTAGCTGCTATGCAAAATACTAGTGTAATGTTAGATACTATACTAAAATTACTGTATACAATGATCAAGCTTTTCCTATTATTTTACAGTATAATTCCTTATGTCTACTTCTTATTTGGGTGCCCACCTTCAAACAGATACAGATGATTATATTTCACCAAGATTACATGCAAATGTATGCTGCTTTATAGAATCTTTATAGAATAACAGTTTCTCCAAAGGCATGCCATGAATGAAACCCTGGTCGTTCTTTCATTCAGCTTGAATCAAACAATGGAAAATCTACTATAAAGTTTACTAACAGGCTGGGCGTGGTTGCTTACCCCTGTAATCTCAGCATTTCGGGAGGCTGAGGTGGGAGGATCGCTCAAGCCCTGGAGTTCAAGACCAGCCTGGGAAACATGGCAAAACCTCATCTCTACTAAAATACAAAAATTAGTCAGGCGTGGTGGCACATACCTGTAATCCCAGCTACTTGGGTGGCTGAAGCAGGAGAATCACTAGAACCTGGGAGGCGGAGGTTGTAGTGAGTCGAGACTGCGTCACTGCACTCCAGCCTGGGTGACAGAGCAAGACTCTGTCTTAAATAAATAAATAAAATAAAAAATAAAAAAGCCAGGTGTGGTGGTGCATACCTGTGGTCCTAGCTATTTGAGAGGCTAAGATGGGAGGATCACTTGAGCCCAGGAGGTCAAGGCTGCAGTGAGCTGTGATTTACATCACTGCACCCCAGCCTGGGCGATGGAGCAAGACCCTGTCTCAACAACAACAAAATTTACTAACAGCTACCAGGGGCTATAAAGGGTTATAAGATGCTAAGCAGCTTCTCCTCACTCAGCATTTCCTGAAGAAGGAAATGGATCTAAAATAGAATACCTAGTCTGGGCAACATGGCGAGATCCCATCTCAAAAAAATAAAAAATAAACAATCGCAGCACGAAAAGTAAAATGTTATTTAAAACCAAAACTACCAGCACTCTGGGAGGCCGAGGCGGACGGATCACCTGAGGTCAGGAGTTCAAGACCAGCCTGGCCAACATGGTGAAACCCGATCTCTACAAAAATACAAAAATTAGCCAGACGTGATGGGGGGGCGGGTGCCTGTAATCCCAGCTACTCCGGAGGCTGAGGTAGAAGAATCGCTTGAACCCAGGAGGCAGAGGTTGCAGTGAGCTGGAGGTTGCAGTGGGACAAGATCGTGCCATTGCACTCTAGCCTGGGCAACAGAGGAGACTCTATCTCAAAAAAAAAAAATTAACTGTAACCACTTCTGTCTCCTGAAGAGGAAGCACAATTTACAGTGTGGAGAGAGAATCTGTATACTTCTCCTTTTCATCTATAGAGATTGATAAAAGACAGAGAAAGGAAAAGGCAGAAATTTCCACTCCCAGATATTCCAGGCACATAAAGGGTGGGTAGAGAGTTTTTTGCCTTTAGCATTCATTGATGCAGAGAGGCTCCAGAAAGGCAGAAGGCCAGGAGACACACACGCCAAATGTGAAGGGAGAGGGGCCCAGCAATAGGGCAAGAGGCTGGAAACTCTGGCGCCTGTGGCAGTGACATTCCCAGCACTGCAACAGCCACAGGTCTTTAACAACTGATGGGTGTAACTGTCTATACTAAGATGTTACACTGCTGCATATCACCCCTTCTCCCAATTCTTAGCCTGAAACTTGACTAAGTGTAATAAAAATAGCAACACTTGTACGTGTGGTTGGGTGGAAAAGAAAAACGTAAATTAAAAAACAAGGAAAAAGTCGGGCTTGGTCATGCACGCCTGTATTCCCAGCACTTTGGGAGACCGAGACGGGTGGATCACTTGACCCCAGGAGTTCGAGACCAGCCCAGGCAACATGGGAAAAGCCCGTCACTACAAAAAATACAAAAATTAGCCAGGCGTGGTGGTGCATACCTGTAGTCCCAGTACTTGGGAGGCTAAGAGGTGGGAGGACCACCTGAGCCAGGGAGGTGGAGGCTGCAGTGAGCCATGATGACGACACTGCATTCCAGCCTGGGCAACAAAGTGAGACCCTGTCTCAAAATCATCATCATCAACATCATCATCATCCCTAACCCTCATCTAACTAGGTTAGCACAAAGCAGACAACAGGGGAAAGGGAAGCTTAGGAGGGAGTGGAAATGAGAGTCAGGAGGGGCAAGAACTCAGAGCCAGAGCTGAATATAAGAACATGCATCTCCCTGTGGGAACTTTCCAGATTTCTTGGAGACATGGACCTCTTCCAGAGACAGGGACAGAGAGCTCAAGTCAATTTTATTTAAATATCAAAGGAGAAGGAGCCCTCAGCAGACATGTGAGTTCCGACTCTAATAAAAGGCTGAAGGTGGTAACTTAAGTATAACCAACATATTATGGGAGTTGGGTGGAGAGAGAGGACGCTTGGGGTGAGAAAGGTTCTAGGTAGGAGGGACAGTCACAAAAGCTTCCCCTCCACAGCCCACCAATGAAAAGAAAACTAATATGCTCTGTGCCATCCCAGAATGAGCTCCCCCACAGCCAGACTGGGTCTTCAGGATCCTGCTGAGTCTGGGGTCCTACGATCCTGCGGCTGTACCACAAAGACCCTCTTCAAGGTCTTTAATGTAACCCTGCAAATCCAGCAGGCTGGGAAGACTGCAAATAGAAATATTTGTAAAGAACTTGTCATCGTCTCAGCTCTCTGGAAGACCGAAGCGGGCAGATCACTAGAGGTCAGGAGTTTGAGACCAGTCTGGCTAATATAGCAAAACCCTGTCTCTATTAAAAATACAAAAAATTAGCCAGGCGTGATGGTAGGTGCCTGTAATCCCAGCTATTCAGGAGGCTGAGGCAGGAGAATCGCTTGAACCTGGGAGGCAGAGGTTGCAGTGAGCCAAGATCGCACCACTGCACTCCAGCCTGGGCGACAGAGCGAGACTCAGTCTCAAAAAAACAAACAAACAAACAAACTTGTAATCAACAAATCTTTCCTTCAACATAGCAGTTAGCTATCAGGAAGGTATGCCAAAAAAATTATATATATACACACACCAAAAGAATTTTAAGTTTGTTGTTAAAATCTGGGCTTGCTTCCCAGTTCTAAGGATGAAAACTAAAGGAAAATCAGAGCCAAACAGGAAAGACACACCAGAAATATGATGCAGAAAGACCATAAAATTGTTGAAGTCCATCCACCAAAAGCGGCTTCCGGCTGGCCCCTCTGAAAGTTTGTACGAACACACATAACCTCCACATGCTAGAAGCAACTCTTCCCAGCGGTGACACGGTACAGGCAGAACCACACAGATGTGTGTCTGTCCACGCTCCAGGACTTCACAGACTCACATGTAATGTGATGTAAACAATGAACAAGGAAACAAAATGTAAATACACAAGAGCCTGACAGAGATGAGCAAAATTAGAAATGGTGAAGAGTCTTCATTGTGAGGCTGAAAGTGGAGATGGAAGTGGAGGCTTCAAAAAGAAATGTCTGGGCCAGGCACGGTGGCTCATGCCTGTAATCCCAGCCCTTTGGGAGGCCAAAGGCCCTTTGGGAACAGGAAAATTGAGAAGGGGACAAGAGCGGCCGTCTCAGTGGAGAAGGCCCAGGACCAATTTAGCTGGCGGAGAAACAGCCCATTTTTCCGGGAAGGCTTCAGAGTGGAGTTAGAGTTTCAAAAGTTAAATGCTACTCATTCTAACAAACAAAAGCAGGCCCTTCAGGTATGCATCAAATACCTTTATACCTCCAAATACCTCCAAATACTAATACTGGATCAGCATACAACTTGGGAGTTACTAACAGAAATCAGCAGCACAACCGGCTTCCCAGCAGGCTTGAACAGTGCTCCTGCCCAGATTTCCAACCAGGGACACCATGCTGAAAAGGAGCAGTTTCTCTTGTGCACTGTCATTATTTTTATTCACATGTAAAATCACTTTTTTGGTGGGGAGAGACAGTCTTATTCTGTTGCCCAAGCTGGAGTGCAGTGGCGCACTCTGGGCTCACTGCAACCTCCACTTCCCAGGTTTAGGCTCATGCCTCAGCCTCCCATGGAGCTGGCACTACAGTCACCACCACACCTGGCTAATTTTCGTATTTTTAGTAGAGACGGGGTTTTGCCACGTTGGCCAGGCTGGTCTCGAACTCCTGAGCTCAGGCAATCCACCCACCTCCGCCTCCCAAAGTGCTGGGATTACAGGCATGAGCCACTGCGCTGGACCTAAAATCATATTTTTTAAAACTTGAAATCCTTGTATCTAAAAAAAAACACAGTTGAAATTACAAAAAGGAAGTTATCCTTTTGTATTAAGAAAAACAGTTATTTTTCTTTTAGAAATAAAATGATCACATGGGGCAGGAAGAAAGGAAATGCACGATGACTTCCACAGGATTATTTTTAGTTAAATTTGCATTACTTAAATATAAGCACAACTAGAAATCAATGGTTTCACACTGTATATATGGCCGGGTATGGTGGCTCACGCCTGTAATCCCAGCACTTTGGGAGGCCGAGGTGGGCAGATCACCCGAGGTTAGCAGTTTGAGACCAGCCTGGCCAACACGGTGAAACCCCATCTCTACTAAGAGTACAAAAATCAGCCGGGCGTGGTGTCGGGTGCCTGTAGTCCCAGCTACTCAGGAAGCTGAGGCAGGAGAACCTTGAAACCGGGAGGTGGAGGTTGCAGTGAGCTGAGATTGCACCACTGCACTCCAGCCTGGGAGACAAAAGCAAGACTATCTCAACAATGACAACAAAAAATACTGTATATAGGAACAAACTTAATTTTGCCGATATCCTCCTCTGGGGAAGAGGAGAGGAGAGAGGAGGGGAGAAAGGAAGGGAAAAGGGTGGACAAAAGGAGTGGGGAGAAAACTACAGGCGATGAGGAGGGAAGGGAAAGGGAGAGAGATGAGATGTTTGTCCTCAATGCAGCAGTAACTAGAGCTGGGAATAAATATGCGGCCTGAAAGAAGGATGCCTTGTTCTTTTCAATATGCATGCACACAAGTTATTAGTCAAACAAGCCATGGAGCATAATTATGTAATCCAGCTTTAAAGTTCCAACCTTGTCAACCCTCCACCTGGAATTACTCAAAAGCATTTTGCCCTCATTGAGAAACCAAGTCTCTGCCACAGCCATAAAATCCCAGAGCAAGACACCTCCTGTGGTGCCGGGTGGCTCTCACACTTCTCATGCTTCTGGGCCAAACCAAAAAGTTCTGGGAAGGCCAAATTCCAGCTCAAACTATATTCACAATTCACAATTAAGGCATAGGCAAGCTGGATACATAAACCCAGATACACCAGCGTTTTGATTTTTTAGCCACGTTTATGAGATTGTGTGCTTTTCTTTGAGTGATGTCATTTTTCATGTTCTAGAGCTGTAAAAGCTAGGCTCCAAGTTTCATGTTTAGTTCTTAAATATAAGATACTGTATTATTTTATTCTAATGCTCACCAACAACATCCAAATTCCTACACTGGCATAGGAAATCTGGTAGGTAATCAACAAATCAGCAAAGGGTAAAAAGAAGCCAAGTAGGAATTTACAGGTAAATGTGTAGATTGTCAATAAAACTCTATATCAACTTAATCATTCAAAATTATCAAGAGAAAACTATCAGTTTTCAAAGCTGTAAGACATCTAGCCTTTACATATGATGCATATGCTGGTCTATCCTCTGTCCTAAGCTTCCCCATGGTCTTCCATGGGATAGTCATACGGGACTCCATATAAATATTTGGCTACATCTATCCATCCTTTCATGCTACATAATTTCTGCTTTCTTCTTTTTTTTAATCCAAGGCTATTATTGAGCTTCACTATCTTACATCCACATGCACATTGTTTATTTTTTAATTCAGTTATAATATACATGGGATAAAGTGCACAAGTCTTAACAGTTCCATAACTTTTTTTTTTTTTTTTTTTTTGAGACAGAGTCTCACTCTGTTGCCCAGACTGGAGTACAGTGATGCAATCTTGGCTCACTTAAACCTCCACCTCCTGGGTTCAAGAGATTCTCCTGCCTCAGCCTCCCAAATTGCTGGGACAGCAGGCATGTACCACCACGCCCAGCTAATTTTTGTATTTTTAGTAGAGACGGGGTTTCACCATGTTGGCCAGGATGGTCTTGACCTCTTGACCTTGTGATCCGCCCACCTCGGCCTTCCAAAGTGCTGGGATTACAGACATGAGCCACCATGCCTGGCCAACTTTTTACAAATGTGTATATACTCATGTAACTATCACCCAGATAAAGCTATACTGCAGGAAATATACACACATAATTGTACGTGTTCATATTTACATGGACACACATACCCACACACGCACAACATGTACTCTCCATCCCTGGGATTGCATGAAAGCTGTGGTGTACACACAGGGAAGAGGTCTACCACAATATGATCAACTGCTAAAACACTGCTTTTTAGTTGATTGTGGAAAAAAATAAAGTATTTAAAGTATCATTTAAACTTTGTTGCAGAGATCTTGTTACTGCATTTCTAAGTCTTGACTCACTACCCTGTTTGTGAAATCATGTTGCCTTGCCACTAAATCTGAACCAGTTATTTTCTTAAAAAAAAAATGACAAGTCACATACTAGGAGAAAATATCTGCAAATCGCATATCCAATAAAGAACTTATTCCCAAAACATATGTAAAGAATAGTTGTTAAACCTCAACAATAAGAAAACCAACAACCCAGTTTTTTAATTGGCAAAAGATCTGAACAGACACTTCATCAGAGAAGACATACTGTTGGCAAATAAGCACATGAAAAGGTGCTCAATGTCATTAGTCATTAAGGAAATGCAAATTAAAACCACAAGGAGAGGCCAGGCATGGTGGCTCACGCCTGTAATCCCAGCACTTTGGGAGGCTGAGGCGGGTGGATCACATGAAGTCAGGAGTTCAAGACCAGCCTGACCAACATGGTGAAACCCCGTCTCAACTAAAAACACAAAATTAGCTGGGCATGGTGGGTACCTGTAATCCCAACTACTCGGGAGGCTGAGGCAGGAGAATCGCATGAACTCAGGTGTAGGAGGTTGCAGTGGGCCGAGATCACGCCATTGCACTCTAGCCTGGGCAACAAGAGCAAGACTCCGTCTCAAAAAAAAAGAAAAGAAAAAGAAAAGAAAAAAAAGAA
The DNA here is from genome assembly GCF_000001405.40 of Homo sapiens. NCBI lineage: Eukaryota > Metazoa > Chordata > Mammalia > Primates > Hominidae > Homo > Homo sapiens. The sequence goes on along the minus strand of NC_000006.12, from coordinate 155,062,558 downwards.
ACCACTAGGAGATATTACTATACACTTACTAGAATGATAAAACAAAAATAATAAAATAAAATAAACTGGTAACTCCAAAAGCTGGTGAGGATATGGAGCAACAGATGTGAATACAAAATAATACAGTCACTTTGGAAAACAGTTTAGCAGTGTCTTATAAAGCTAAAACATACTCCTACCATACAACCTAACAATTCTACTCCTAGGTATTTACCCAAGTGAATTAAAAAGATTATACTTGTGCAAAAACCTGCACACAATTGTTTATAGCAGCTTTATTCATAGTTGCCAAAAATTGGAAGCAACCAAAATGATCTTCAGCGATCAAATGGTTAACAAAGAGTGACTGCATACATACAATGGAATACTATTCAGCAATGAAAAAGAGCAGTCTACTGATTCACCCAGTAACCCAGATAAATCTTCAATCCCTTTTCCTAAGTGGGGGGTGGTGCGCGGGGGCGGTGGGGGGGCGAGATGCAGGGGCGGTGGCGAGGGTAAGCCAGACCAGAAAAAGGCTACATACTTTATAACTCCATTTAAGAGACACTCCAGAAAAGACACAATTCTAGGGACAAAAATCAGTGAGGGAACTACACAAAGGAATTTTTTGAAGGATAGAACTGTTCAGTACAGCACTGTGGTGGTGGCTATACGACTCCATGCATTTGTGAAAAACCCATAAAACTGTACACCACAAAAAGTGAATTAAACTGTCATACAAATTTTTTTAAAAAATCAATCCTAGACTCTCTGGGATGTCAGGGACCCTCAGGATAGAACGCAAACTGTCAGCATGGCAAGTAACTTCGCTGGAAATATATGACACAACTTCACTACAGTAGGTAGGGAAAAGGAGCTGATCTAAATAACTCTGGAACCCACTATTCAGACTGGACACTGTAAGCTAAAAATGAAAAAACACAAACTACACAAACACTGCCCTGTAGACGGTAAATTTATTGCATCAGAGGTACAAGCTGGAAATTCCAAAGCTGCTTTACATGTATAGTAGGGATGAGCACATTTATAATAAATCGTAAACAACGCGACTCAAGATTTTCACTGTCAGAAAAAGAAGTTATAAATACGAAAAGCGGGAAGGCTAAACTAACTCTGGTACTGGATTCAAGTTGCAGATGTAAGTAGAAGCTCATATTGGTTTTAATATATATATAGGTAAATGGATACAAAAAATACAGATACATGTGTGTATCTAGAGATACATGTGTGTATTTAGAGATAGCAGTATGAACTCATGTTTAATATATATATGTACAGATAGATACAGAAATATAAAGTCTAGTCAGTGATATCATTATGAACATGTTTATTTTGATTGAGAGATAGACACACAGATATAAATGTGTGTACACATGGATTAGTATGCATACAAAAACTTCCTAGCTCTATTCATTGAGAGGGCCTAGAAGACGTAGTAACACTCCAATAGCAACGGGCACACCTGGCACCCAGAACTTGGTTTCTAAATATCATTCTCCAGTGAAAGGAACCAGGGCTCCTTGGAGAAATGGCTGATTCTGGAACTGGAATAGAGAAAATTGAAGATGAACCAGGTACCTGTAGTACCAGGACACTAAAAGAACACAAGAGCTAGCCCAAAAGTGCTTTTGTGGGATTTTGTTTTGGTTTGGTTTGGTTTTTGAGACAGTTTTGCTCTTGTCGCCCATGCTGGAGCGCAATGGCACGATCTCGGCTCACTGCAACCTCCTCCTCCTGGGATCAAGTGATTCTCCTGCCTCAGCCTCCCAAGTAGCTGGGGTAACAGGCATGCGCCACCACACCCAGCTAATTTTGTATTTTTAGTAGAGACAGGGTTTCACCATGTTGGTCAGGCTGGTCTCGAACTCCTGACCTCATGTGATCCACCCACCTCGGCCTCCCAAAGTACGGGGATTACAGGCATGAGCCACTGCACCTAGCTCCCCAAAAGGGCTTTCAATCACCAAAGCTGGAGTAACTGGAGCAACATAATAATGATAGTATTGAGTTCTAACTCAAAGAATAAAATAATGGCTATGACTCCATACTTATATAAGTAAATAGCTGAATAAAAAAGTAATTGAGGGAGAAGAAACAATCTTTATGGCAAAAGAATTCCAATTATTAAATGGTTTTTTATTTGTTTGTTTTTTGAGACGGAGTTTCGCTCTTGTTGCCTAGACTGGAGTGCAATGGCGTGATCTCGGCTCACCGCAAACTCTGCCTCCCAGATTCAGGCAATTCTCCTGCCTCAGCCTCCTGAGTAGCTGGAATTACAGGCACGTGCCACCACGCCCGCTAATTTTGTATTTTTAGTAGAGACGGGGTTTCTCCACGTTGGTCAGGCTGGTCTCGAACTCCCAACCTCAGGTGATTTGCCCACCTCGGCCTCCCAAAGTGCTGGGATTACAGGCGTAAGCACCGCACCCAGCCTATTAAATGTATTAATAGAAGGAATGGAGGAAAGAGAAAGTCATCATTAAAACAGCACAGCCATAATTGCCGCAGTCTAATGAATAATAAAGGTAGTAGGCAGCGGGTGAAACTTTAAGGAGAAACAAGATATTTACAATGCAGTATATCTGTATGTCTCCCAAAATCTGCTGAACACTATGTTAGTTTTCAGATATGACCACAAATTATTTCACACTGCTCCCTCCAGAATTTGGAGCTAAATACTCTCCACTTGAGTGTGAGCTGGACTTGGTAACTTGCTTCTAATGAATAGAGAAAACAAAAAATAGTGACTTGACTATGGCTGACACCAAGCAGGCTGACACCACACTAACCAACTGATCAAGGTTAATGTCACCAGTAGTAAGTCGTGTTAATATCATGTGCCCCTACCATGTGCAAGGAGAGGGGCTTATCACCTTTATGATATTCTGTCCAAAATCCATAACCTTAATTTAATCTGATAAAACATCAAACACAAATAGAGGCTGGGTGTGGTGGCTCTCATCTGTAATCCCAACACTTTGGGAGGCCGGGCTGGGTGGATCACCTGAGGTCAGGAGTTCAAGATTACCCTGGCCAACATGGCGAAACCCGATCTCGGCTAAAAAAAAATTTGCTGGCTGTGGTGGCACCTGTAATCCCAGCAACTTGGGAGGCTGAGGCAGGAGAATCGCTTGAACCTGGGAGGCGGAGGTCCCAGTCAGATGAGATCGTGCCACTGCACTCCAGCCTGGGCAACAGAGTGAGACTCTGTCTCAAAAACATACACGCGCACACACACACACACACACACACACACACACAGACACACACACAGAAAGGGACATTCCACTAAATTCCCGATCATTAATCATCAAAAGTGTCAAGGTCATGAAAGACAAAGAAGAAACAAGAAATGGTCACAGGAGGATACTAAGGAAATACAACTAACTGCAATGTAGAATCACAGACTGAATCTTAGAACAGAAAACCTACATTAGTGGAAAAACTGGGGAAAGTCCAAATAGTATGGGGCTTAGTTAATATTATTGTATCAATGTTAATTTCCTAGTGTTGATGCCTGAAACATCTTCTCCCTTTCCATGTTGCATAGTTAATTCCCAATAATCTTTCAAATTACAGGGCAGATGCCTTCTCCTCTGGGAAGCCCTCCATGATCACCCTCTCCTCTCCAGTTTACGTTAGATACCATTCCTCTGTGCTTCTATCATAGCATTTATCACTTAGTATCATATTGTATATTCCTAACTATCAGCCTACAGGGGCTTCTAGAACGAAATGTATCTCATCTTAACATAATTATCTATTGAGACCGCTGAGAAACACAGTATAGTGGGTAATGATCATCATCATGAGCTTTGGAGACTCACAGATGTGAGTTCAAATCCCAGCTCCAAGACTTAGTGATCACAGGTAAGTTACTTAAATCATTCAGAGCCTCAGTTTTGCTCACTGGTGAAAGAGACTTAAGGTAAAGAGTTGTTTGAGGATTTAATGGAATACTGTTACATAAAGTAATTAGCTCAGTGCTTACATATAGTATGTTGTCAAAAACGATAATGACTGTTACTCTTCATTTTTATTAACGTCAAGGGCTCTTTTATTTCAGTGCTTTGTATAGCACCTGGCAAGTGACGGGGACTCAAAAAGTGTTTGCCAAATTTATCCAATATTTACTTCCCTTTACCCTCAAGAGTTTTACAGGCTGGAATTGCTTCTCTGGATGCATGTTAAAATCATCTGGGGAACTAACCATATACTAATGCCCAACCCCATTCTCTGAAATTCTGATTTAATTGGCCTGAGATGGAGCCACTTGACACTCACACATCTAGTTAGAAGAACAGGAAATACACATTAAAATACATGTAGACAGAAATACCAACATCCCATTAGCAATGATTACACCTTACACCCAGATCTTGGTTTCTAATAGCATTCTAACACCAAGGAACCAGGGCTCCTTGGAGAAATGGCTTATTTTGGCACTGGGGCAGGAAAAACCACAATGATAGGGGTATGTCAGAGATTCAAGAGCCACCTGAAAGAGCTCCAATGGTCAAAACAGGAACAATTGGAGCAAAAGTAGTATTAGATTATAACCTAAAGTATAACATAAATAGCCATGAATCCATCTTGATATTAAGGATTGAACAGATAAGTAAATGGAGAACAGACACTCTCCATGTAGAATTATAGATAACTTATGTGTGGACTGTGCGGAGTGACTTTCTTCCAAAGAGTACATTATGGGGCCAGGCGCGGTGGCTCATGCCTGTAACCCCAGCATTTTGGGAGTCCGAGGCAGGTGGATCACCTGAGGCCAGGGGTTCCAGACCAGCCTGGTGAACATAGTGGAACCCCATCTCTACTAAAAATACAAAAGTTAGCCGGGCATGGTGGCATGTATCTGCAATCCCAGCTACTCAGGAGGCTGGGGCAGAAGAATCACTTGAACCTGGGAAGCAGAGGTTGCAGTGAGCAAGATCACGTCACTGCACTCCAGCCTGGGCAACAGCGCGAGCCTCTGTCTCAAAAAAAAAAAAAAAAAAAAAAAGTACATTATGGAAAGAAAAAGAGTAACTTTACAGTAGAAAAAGGGTGACAAATACTACCTTAAATCAAATGATCAAGATTAACATCAACAGTGACAAATCATGTTAATAGTATGCACCTGTGATATCACGTGATAACAATGGCACTTTGCCACTGTGGTCTTCTCAAAAACATATTAGCCCAGTTCAATCAGAAAATTGAGGTGGCCAGCTGCAGTGGCTCATGCCTGTAATCCCAAAACTTTGGGAGGCTGAGGCGGGCAAATCGCTTAAGTTAGGGAGTTCAAAACCAGCCTGGGCAACATGGTGAAAACCGGTTCTAATTTAAAAAATAATAATAAAAAAACATTAGCTGGGTGTGGTGGCATGCACCTATAGTCCCAGCTACTCAGGAGGCTGAGTTAAGAGGGTCGCTTGAACCTGGGGGGCAGAGGATGCAGTGAACCGAGATTGCACCACTGCACTCCAATCTGGATGACAAAGCAAGACCCTATCTCAAAAAAAAAAAAAAAAAAAAAAAAAAAAAGAAAGAAAACTGAGGAACATTCTACTAGCAAACTATCTAATACTCCTCAAAACTGTCACAGTCATCAAAAACAAGGAAAAGTCTCAGAAACTGTCACAGCTAAGAGGAGGCAAAGGAGATATGATGACTATATGTAATATGATATGCTGGATGGGCTCCTGGAACAGAAAAAGGACATTAGGGACAAAGAGAGGAAATGAGAATCGAATATGGGCTTTAGTTAATAATAAGGTATCAATATGGTTCATTTATTGTAATGAATATACTATAATAATATAAGATGTTAATAATAGGGGAAGCTGGATATGGATCATACAGAAACTCTTTATACTATTTTTTGCAAGAATTCTGTAAATCTAAAATTGTTCTACAATAAAAACTTTATTAAAAGAATAAGTTAGTCAAGAGATAAATGAATGGTATCATTATACTATCATTGGTCAGAGTGCAAAAAAACTGCAAAAGAGCAAGACTCGGATACAGAAAACAAGCAGGTGTGAGCAAAAAAATTTCTGAATTCCCAGGACTCAAAAGAAGAACCATAAGGGCCAGGCGCGGTGGCTCACGCCTGTAATCCCAGCACTTTGGGAGGCCAAGGCAGGCGGATCACTTGAGACCAGGAGTTCATGATCAGCCTGGCCAACATGGTGAAACCCCGTCTCTATGAAAAATACAAAAATTAGCCGGGCATGGTGGTAGGCGCCGACAGTCCCAGCTACTTGGGAGGCTGAGCCAGGAGAATCGCTTGAACCCAGCAAGCGGAGGTTGCAGTGAGCCGAGATCGCGCCACTGCACTCCAGCCTGGATGACAGAGCGAGACTCTGTCTCAAAAAAAAAAAAAAAAAAAAAAGAAGAACAATAAGGAGATCCATTAGAACCAATTAGACAGCATCATAGAGCATACAGAAAAAAATTTAAAAATTAAAAAAAATTAAAAGGTAGTTTTAATGAACTATTTGTAAAGTAGAAACACCCTGGAAGAACATGGTTAATTCTGAATAGATTTTTCTGGCCATAGAGGCTCAACTCTTTTGTTGTTGTTGTTTTGTTTTTTGAGTCAGGGTTTCTCTTTCTGTCACCCAGGCTGGGGTGCAGTGGCGTGATCACATCTCAATATAGCCTCAAACTCCTGGGCTCAAGGGATCCTCCCACTTCAGACTCCCAAGTAGCTAGGATACAGGCATGCACCACTATGCCTGAAAATGTGTTTTATTTTTAGGAGAGACCAAGCTCTTGCTATGTTGCCCACGCTGGTCTTAAACTCCTGACCTCAAGCAATCCTCCCACCTTGGCCTCCCAAAGCACTGGGATTACAGACGTGACCCACCACACCTGGCCTGATGCTCAACTTGTTATCAAACACTTCTTTCTCTCTAATACCTTCATTCATTAACACTCGCCAATTTTTGTCCCCTTATAGAAAAGATCTTTACAGTTTAAACATGTGCATTAAGGGAGCACAGGCACAAAAATCTCACGTACGAAACCAAAAGTCATTTCCTATTTCCAAAGACAAACCCTCAAACTTATACCAAGAAGTCAATATTTTAATGATTTTGTTTTAGTGACTGAAGACATAACATGATAATAGAATATATTTATTCAATCTTCTATAATCTTGCTTTCTAAAATGGATTCCTCAGGAACTTCACAAGTAATCGGCATGTCCTTATTAGTTTTCTTTGGAGAACTTTTGTACAGCAACACGATAATATTTGTGAGATGTGAGAGGACGCTGGAATGTCTAAACTGCTGTTATAGTATGGTACTTTGATTTCAGCAAGTGCCACAAAAGGAGTAAGACAAAAGCTTAGAAAATATACGTGGCCCAGAAAGACACCCACGCTTCTTGCTTTAATGAATTACGTTCTGCAATGAACAGTGATCCAGACAAATCTCTTATAACACAAAACACACCCAAACAGTGACTCCCCAAGTGAAGGAAATGGCTCCAGATCGCAGTTCCACAGCCAAAAATCATGTCCCAGGGCTTCCTGCAGCCACAGCACGTTCCCATCTATCACACACAAAAACTAGGAAAAATAACATTACAGATCATTTCCTCAATATGTATGTCGACCACAGAAAGTAACCCAGTGTCCGTAATTCAATCATAGACTTTAAGCTGTGCATCCCTGCCTTCTCTTTCACCAATGTCATAAAAACTCAAATATTCTGTCCTCTCCTGGAACATTCCAAAATGACACTTTACAACAAACCGACACAACCTTAAGTACTTTATTGACCAATATCACGGCAGATCCTTGAGGTCACGATTCTATTATTGTAGTTTTTAAAACTCTGTACTTCTAGGAGGCTGAGGCAGGAGAATCACTTGAACCCAGGGGGCGGGAGGTTGCAGTGAGCCAAGATCTAGCCACTGCACTCCAGCCTGGCAACAGAGTGAGACTCCGTCTCAAAAAAAAAAAACAAAACAAAACAAAACAAAACTCTGTACTTCTACAGAATAGAAATCCCTCTCATTGTAAATACTCATGGCATGCCTCTACCAAATAATTTCCCAATTCCCTTTCTTCTTTCTCACATACTAATTTCCTTCTTCCCCCTCACCTAATTTCTATATCTGAGATTGTCGCTGACTATTACTTAGTGCCAAGAGACAGTAATTGCTTTAAAAAGCAGCTTTCATCAAAGAGGCTTCATTGGACGCCATCATCCTACTGAATTCCCCACCAACCAGAGCATGGCTGTCACCTGTAAGGTGAGAAGGATTAGAGGACAAATGACATCAGTGCACAGAGTACGAGTGCCTCTCAGGGGGGATGCACATAACCAAGCTCACAGAGACCAACAGTGGTTTTTGTTTTGTTTTGTTTTGTTTGTGAGATGCAGTCTCGCTCTGTCACCCAAGGCTGCAGTGCAGTGGTGCCATCTCAGCTTACTGACACTTCCGCCTCCCAGGTTCAAACGAGTCTCCGGCCTCAGCCTCCCAAGCAGCTGGGACTACAGGTGCCTGCCACCATGCCTGGCTAGATTTTGTATTTTTAGTAGAGACAGGGATTCACCATGTTGGTTGGTCTCAAACTCCTGATCTCAGGTGATCTGCCCGCCTCAGCCTCCCAAAGTGCTGGGATTACAGGCAAGAGTCACCACACCTGACCCTAACAGTGTTTTAATGCTGACTATAAAAAGTGTAACCCTCCAGCAGGCAAGGTTATTTGCACCAGTGTGAGTTGCACAGCAGATAAACATGGATTACAAATCATAATCAAAAGGGTGTTTGCTAGGCCAGGCGTAGTGGCTCATTCCTGTAATCCCAGTACTTTGGGAAGCTGAGGCAGGCGAATCACTTGAGGTCAGGAGTTCGAGACCAGCCTGGCCAACATGGCAAAACTCCGTCTCTACTAAAAATACAAAAATTAGCTGGGCATGGTGGCACATGCCTGCAATCCCAGCTACTCGGGAGGCTGAGGCATGAGAATCTCTTGAACCTGGGAGAGGGAGGCTGAGTGAGCTGAGATTGTGACACTGCACTCCAGCCTGGACGACGGGGCAAGACTCTGTCTAAATTTAAAAAAAAAAAAAAAAAAGCTGCAAGAATAGGCCAGGAGCGGTGGCTCACGCCTATAATCCCAAGTCTTTGGGAGGCCAAAGCAGGAGGATCGCATGAGATCAAGAGTTCAAGAGCAGCCTAGGCAACGTGACGAGACAAAAACAGAAAACAGGTGGCAAGAATAGTTTAAAAAGCTCCCACGTACCCCCTTATCCAGAAATCCAATTCCTCCAAATGCCACCATCTTACCTATCTGTTGCCTTCCTCCTTTGCTCTTTCTGCAAATATATACTTTACTGTAATGTCTTAATAAACACTTGTATTCTTACTATCTAAACTTTCTAAATATTAATATTTCCTTAATGTTTCAGTACTTTGGATGCTCAAAGTCATAATGGTCCATTTTTATCCTATTATATCATAAAAAGTACGAAATATTGGAATGAATCTGCAATACTAGGATATACCCTGCACGTTGCTTTAAGAAACAAATTTGATTTATTCATACACATTCATTCAACAGATACTCATTAATAACGCAATTCTCCTAGATTCTAAATTAATAGCAGTCAACAAAACAAACATGGTCCTAGCATTTATGGAACTTATGTAATATTTTCCTAAGATTTACTTCTACCATAAAACGTATGGCTAATCACATTGCAGAGAGGAGAGATTTTCCTATGTTGCATATCAGGCTATCAATTTCTTTCTTTTTTTTTTTTTTTTTGAGATGGAGTTTTGCTCTTGTCCCCCAGGCTTAGAGTGCATTGGTGCTGGTGCAATCTTGGCTCACTGCAACCTCCACCTCCTGGGTTCAAGCGATTCTCCTGCCTTAGCCTCCCGAGTCGCTGGGATTACAGGCACGCACCACCATGCCCGACTAATTTTTGTAGTTTTAGTAGTGACAGGGTTTCACCATGTTGGCCAGGCTGGTCTTGAGATCCTGACCGCAAATGATCAGCCTGCCTTGGCCTCCCAAAGTGCTAGGATTACAGGTGTGAGCCACCGTGACAGCCCAGGCTATCAATTTCTTAATCCTTTGGTTATTCAGAGTTTATTAAGCATAATCAGGAGATAATCAGGATATCAAAGAGTTCTGCCTATAACTAATATATCAAGTAACTTGTATATAATTTCAAATTGTATGTTAATATGAAATATTATTTTGCCACCTAAAATATAAATAAATCATTGATATTATGCTAATGGTACAAGTAAAAGTAAAATCACGATAGATAACTCCTTGGTGGTTTTATTAGATTCTGCATTTTTGTTTTGCATCTTCATGAAGTATGTATAGCAGCACTAAATAGTTAATACATTCTTCTCCCACTGCCCTTCTCTTCTCTTCCCACCTACCTCTTCTTCCTTCCCACAGAGACCACAGGTAACAAGTGCTAAAGGAGATCAACTTTCCATAGTGGTAACTGCTAGGTGAGTTTTGGAAGCTACCTCTAAATTGAACAGGCTTGGGGAAACTGCTACCTCATTTTAAACGTTTGCTAAGGTCTTTAAAAGAGGGGAGATTTCAGAAATCATTTGTTAGAAAAAAGCCACAGCCGGCCAGGCGCAGTGGCTCACGCCTGTAATCCCAGCACTTTGGGAGGCCTAGACGGGCAGATAGCCTGAAGTCACGAGTTCGAGACCATCCTGGCCAACATGGTGAAACCCCGTCTCTAATAAAAAAAATTAGCTGGGCGTGGTAGTGTGCGCCTGTAATCCCAGCTACTTAGGAGGGTGAGGCAGGAGAATTGCTTGAACCTGGGAGGCGGAAGTTGCAGTGAGCCAAGGTTGTGCCATTGCACTCCAGCCTGGGCAACAAGAGCGAAACTCCATCTCAAAAAAAAACAATAAGAGCCACAGCCAAACAAAAGAGCATTTTATGCCAAAAATATCTTGCAAGCAGACTTACAGGAAACGCAATGGCTTAGAAGAAAGAATGAAGGTTTTGGAACCAGGTGGATTTGGGTCTCCGTCCTGGCCTACTCATTATTAACAGTGCATTTTTACCCTTGGGCAAGTTACTAAGATTCTTTCCTTCTCTAAGGAAAATAAATGTGGAGAATAAAACCTACCTTGAAATGTTTAAAAGATTCAAAGTAACAAATGTATTGGGCCTGCTACTGCACCCAGCACGTATGATGCGCTCAAATCACGGGCACCCATGGATGGGAGTAAGCGGGCTCTGCTCCCAGGGCACAAGCTCTGCACAAAGCTCTCCCTTTCCATTACGCGCTGTGCCTTCCGGACTTGGCCTCTGAGACCCACCATCTCCATTCTTCTTATTCTCCACTGGAGACCAAGTGCTTCCGTTTCCATGTTTGCTTTCCACCTACTCTCTTAGACTTGCCATGTCAAACCTTCCCCTACTTCCCAGCTTGTTCTCAATCAGAACCAAAAAACCAGCTTTTCTTTGCTCCAGGCCCACTAGGTACCAGTCAGGGCCACCTTCTTTCCAATCCCTTTGCTCTGTGTCAAACACTTTAATTATTTAACTCAGGATGCAGAAAAAGAAATGAAGAGAACGGAAGTTGATAAAATTCTGTTACATCTTGAGAACAACTATGGTGATTAGATAGGCCAATGAATAAAACAATGCCCAAGAGAGATGGGGGACTCTAAGGAATAGGTCCAGGCAGCAAGACTGACTAGAATGGGACATCTGGGTAAGGAATAAAATAGATGCCTACACTAATTCAAATAAGAACAAAGTTGTACATTTAGAAAAAGACACCACTGTAAAAGCAGAAAGGCTTACCCACGGACACTCACTCACTGAAGACCTAATCACAGACTGGGTGGAACAGTGTTTGAGGATCTCTGGCCAATGCGGCTGACCACGAAGCTTCTTAGGTCACTGCAAGGAAATGAGAAGCTAGGAAAGCACGCAGCCTCTCAGCCTCTCGCTTGGCTGCAGGTGTGACCCCTCCAGTAAGCAGACAGGAGCTCAGGCTCCTGAGAGCATGTTTCTTTCTTTTCAAAAGGATTGTCTCAGTCTATATCCAGACCATGACTAATTTTTTGAGATGGTGACATGATCCATAAATGAAAGAAGTCAGCAGCAGGATGTGGTTTGACACCTACAGCTTAGAATACCGTTCTTCACAAGACCTTCCCTCAAAAAGTTAGGCCAGCACCAGCTCCAAAGTCATTGTTTTGATTTTAAATATACTGAGGCCAGTTGTGGTGGCTCACACCTGTAATCCCAGCACTTTGGGAGGCTGAGGCAGGTGGATCACTTGAGGTCACGAGACCAGCCTGGCCAACATGGTGAAACCCAGTCTCTATTAAAAATACAAAAATTAGTCAGGCATGGTGGCGAGCACCAGTAATCCCATGCCAATACTGTCTAAATTCTAATGTCAAAATCAATTATTGAAAAAACAAAAATAAATATTGTTGAGATAAATTATTACCAGGAGGATCCATTTTATGTGATGAGAAAAAAATGAAATCTCTTACCTTCTGAGAATTTTAGTTTCAGCCTCACTTACTCTGAACCTAAAGCAAAAATATTTGTACTCTCAACTTTCAGAGAGAAGGTAAGCGGTGAGCTGCAAAAGTCCTACTGCCAAGACTATCAATAACTACTCAGCTTTTATCCAACTCAAACTTTCATCATGGTGCTATTTCTCTTATCATGACATGTATTTCAGATACATTTTTGCCTATAACTACCACATTCTTTTTCTGGAAAAAAAAAAGATACTTTTGTAATTTAAAAGGAAAGTTTTAAATGAAAGTATCTTCCTTGCCCTGAAGTCAACTACCCTATTTTCCTTTCTAACTAACCATTTACACCAAGTTTTTCTTAATTAAGGACTGCTATTATTTCAAATTAGAACCATTTTAACAATTATGAAACATGGGGTTAGAACAGACTGGTAAAATGTACCCTCAGAATAAGGTTAGCCGCTGTTAATGCAGCAGGCACGCCAAGACTTAGCTGCAAGTAAAGTCAGACAAACTTTCCAGAACCAGCCAAGTCACAGTTACTACAGCACTAATGACCCATTGCTAATGAGCAAGCTTGGCAACTCAGTGGGCAAAAATTAGGAAAACAGAGACTAAACAGAGCCAATTTCCATTATCTAATTTTATTTTAAGGCTGCAATAAAGTCCAGGTATGAATGACCTGCAGAACCAGCCTTCTGTGAAAACACACTCCCTCCTGACCACCACGGAGGCCATTAACCGTCGAACCCTCTCACCCAGGAAGGTGACAAGCAGCAATGGCTCTCACTGTGCTCCGCATCCATGGCAAGAGTTCCTGGAGGTCACATGATAAAAGGCCCCAGCCCACTTCCGCATGTGCATTTGGTAGCTAGGTTCGAATCAAAGCACAGCCTCTGGTTTTGTGTTTAAACAGGGGCCGTGCTCCCTTTCAAAGAGTGGATTAAGGCTGGGCATGGTGGCTCACATCTGTAATCTCAGCACTTTGGGAGTCCGAGACGGGCGGATCACTTGAGGTCAGGAGTTCGAGACCAGCCTGACCAATATGGTGAAAACCCGTCTCTACTAAAAATACAAAAATTATAGGTGCATGGTGGCATGCACCTATAGTCCCAGCTACTCAGGAGGCTGAGGCAGGAGAATTGCTTGAACCCAGGAGGCAAAGGTTGCAGTGAGCCGAGATTGCACCACTGCACTCCAGCCAGGGAAACAGAGTGAGATTCCATCTCAAAACAAAAAAAAAAAACAAAGAGTGGATTGAGGATTTCAAGATCTCCTTCTGTTCAAACATGCACTGAGTTTGTTTCTTTGTTGCACCATTGACCACACTATGAAAATATTATTCTGGAATATTTCAAACCAAATTCTCCCACAGTCCTAATGCGGCCTCCCGAGTCTCCTTCACTCCACCTTCCTCATCCTCGAGCCACCAGGCCTGCCACTCTAGGCTGAATCCCGACTTCTTTATCCCAGGACACCCCTGACCCCCATTCTCCCTTCTCTTGCTCTGTCCTCTTCCTTCCACGGCCACACTTGTCCTTGCAGCCTTGTTTACTCGTTTGCTGTTTTCTTCTCTGTGTATGTTCTGCTCCAAATAATATCTTGTTACAAAGGACAGTGGCAAAACATACAATCCATATTTTAAAATGACCCTTGGCCAGGCGTGGTGGCTCACGCCTGTAATTTCAACATTTTGGGAGGCCAAGGTGGGAGGATTGCTGAAGACCAGCCTGGGCAACATAGTGAGATCTCATCTCTACAAAATAAAAATAAATTTTTAAAATTAAAAAAAATAGGGCAGGAACAGTGGCTCACACCTGTAATCCCACCACTTCAGGAGTCCAAGTCAGGCAGATCACTTGAGGTCAGGCGTTCAAAACCAGCCTGGCCAATACAGTGAAACCCTGTGTCTACAAAAAAAATAAGTATTAGGTGGCTATGGTGGCACATGCCTGTAGTCCCAGCTACTTGCGAGGCTGAGGCAGGAGAATCACTTGAACCCAGGAAGTAGAGGTTGCAGTGAGTGGAGATCGCGCCACTGCACTCCAGCCTGGGCGACAGCAAGACTGTGTCTCAAAAAAACAAATAAATAAAATAAAATAACCCTTGCTGAGGCCCACTGACATCAGTGCTTACCATTCAGCCCTACAGGACCCAGCGGTCAGCACTGGCAGAGTCTATACCCTTTTGCATTCACTTGCAAGGTCCTCCTATTTGTTCCTTTTGTTTCCCTCCCCGAAGTGAAGAGAGAAAAAGTAGTGGGAGCACCTGGGGGTCCTCACTCAAGTCTTCTGTGCGCTCGCTCTCTCTCTCTCTCTCTCGCTCTCTCTCTCTCTCTCTCGCTCTCTCTCTCTCTCTCCTCTCTCTCTCTCTCTCTCTCCTCTCTCTCTCTCTCTCCCCCCACCCCTGCCTTAGAAGGGAAAGTGCTTTCTGTCCTCTTTAAACAGGGTGTTTCAAGACATCAATGGGCTTTTCCAAAGGTTTGTGAGAAGAAAGAAGAGGTGGTGTGGCGATAGGATTTCTCCTCCTCACTAAGTCACGTTTAAGGCTTAAAGAACTTCAGGTGATGGCCAAGCACAGTGGCTGACACACGTAATCCCAGCCCTTTGGGAGGCCAAGGCGGGTGGATCACTTGAGGTCAGGAGTTCGAGACCAGCCTGACCAACATGGCAAAACCCCATCTCTACTAAAAATATAAAAATTAGCCGGGTGTGGTGGCGCGCAGCCTGTAATCCCAGCTACTTGGGAGGTTGAGGCAGGAGAAGCGCTTGAGCCAGGGAGGTGGAGGTTGCTGTGAGCTAAGATCGTGCCACTGCACTACATACAGCCTGGGCGACAGAGTGAGACCCCATCTCAAAAAAGTAAAATAAAAAGGAACTTCAGGTGCTGGACAATCAGGGACTGCTGCCTTCTGGATGAGTATGGGACAAGGAAACGCTGAGGGGAACAAACACTACATAGGCGGGATTAAAAAAGCACATTAAAGACGTTTTCTGTCCTGGCCCCAGACCAAACCTGAAACTTTGGAATCCTCAACTCTTTCCCTCTCGCTTCCTTACCCCAAACATATATCTTCACAAATCTGAATAAAAGGCATCTCCATAGATGTATCTGCAAACTTCTCCAATTCCGACCTGCATCTCTCATCTCACACTGAGCTTCCAACAAGAATAAACAACAGCAGCAAATCAAAACCCAAGAGGCAGTGGCAAGTCTGGGAGGGGCAGCTGCCACACAGACAGGTGGCCTCTCCTGCAGGTAGTAAGGTCTCTCTGTCTCCCCGAGAGAGGCACAGAGGGATCAGGAGGGAGTTCCCAGAGAAGCACAGAAGCTCCTGGAAGTCAAACCCCAGAACAGTATGTGAGCAGGTTCCTTGCGATCCAATTCTCCCTGTCTGTTAAGATAGAGCAAAGAGCCAGGCATGGTAGCTCATGCCTGTAATCCCAGCACTTTGGGAGGCCGAGGTGGATGGATCACCTGAGGTCAGGAGTTCGAGACCAGCCTGGCCAACATGGCGAAACCTGTCTCTACTAAAAGTACAAAAATCAGCCCAGCGTGGTGGCACATGCCTGTAGTCCCAGCTACTCGGGAGGCTGAGACAGGAGAATCACTTGAACCTGGGAGGCGGAGGCTGCAGTGAGCCGAGATCACGCCACTGCACTCCACCTGAGTGGTACAGTGCAACTCCATCTCAAAAAAAAAAAAAAAAAAAAAAAGACAGAGCCAAGAGTGCCCTTCCTCTAAGGCTAGCCATAAAATTACAAGGAAAATGATTACCTTAAAGAAAGAAAATAAAACAAACAGCAATGCTGGAAACAGGAAGAGAAGCCAGCAGTGAACCAGAAAGTTCGAGGGAATCCTAGAAAAGAGAGGGCAGATAAAATCATACCAACAGCAAAGACACAGGGAAAACCACAGCCCAAACCTCGGGAGGTGGGAAGCCTCCTTCCACGGGAGTGTGGGTGTCAAACTCGGAGTTAAAGGCAATGGTGTGGGAGCAGGCAGTGGGGCAGTCACAGGGTGATGGACAATAACTACAAGCAGGAGGAGCCCTGCCCTGCAATGCTCTCCCCTGCTACCTCCCGCCCGCCCCTCCTCTTCCTCATTAAAACAGAACCCTTAAAGCTGGGCACCACAGCAGTAGGTTGTACCCACTGGCTATGGCTAAAACAAACAAACAAAAACCAAAAAAAAAAAAAAAAAAAAAGAGGGCACTATGTCCAAGAAAAAAATATGAGTGAGAAAGTTGGAGAAGAGTTAAGGGTAGTTCTGAACCTCCACACAAAGGGCGGCTCCCCACAGGGGTAAAAGCACTGTGGCACCACCCGCTGTCTTCAACCACTGCAGAGGCAAGGAGGGCCTGCCTGCTACTCACACAGCCCTACTTTGGAAACTCCACAACTACAGAGAAGATCAAATGGAACCCTCCCAATTTATCTATGGAGTTCTTAATTCAGTAAAACAAACCAACCACCTAAAATCACAACTTATTTGAGGAAAACCCATTTCTTTCATGTTCGAAAGAAAATGGCCATAATGAACAAACAGAACAAAGGAAACAATTTATGGAACAGAAGACAACTTAAAAAAAATTCTAATAAGTATTTTAAGAAAAACTCGAGAAAAATGTGCCCATAAAGTAAGACCAAGCTGTTTTGAAGAAAACAGCATAGAAAAAGGGCTTTCTGCCGGGCGTGGTGGCTCACACCTGTAATCCCAGCATTTTGGGAGGCCAAGATGGGTGGATCACGAGGTCAGGAGTTTGAGACCAATCTGGCCAACATAATGAAACCCCATCTCTACTAAAACTACAAAAAGCCAGGTGTGGTGGTGTGCGCCTGCAATCCCAGCTACTACGGAGGCCGAGGCAGGAGAATCGTGTGAACACGGAAGGCAGAGGTTGCAGTGGGCAGAGGCTGCAGTGAGCCGAGATCGCGCCACTGCACTCCAGCCCAGGCAACAGTGCTAGACTCTGTCTCAAAAAAAAAAAAAAAAAAGAAAAAGAAAAAGAAAAAGGGCTTTCAGTAAGAGAAAAAGAAAAAAAGAAATTTAAAACAAAAGATGAAAAGAAACACCAATGGATCGGAGAAATAAAATGCACCGTGCTAAATACCAAAGCTGTGATCTGAAAGATAACACTGAAAAACAGAGAGCAAAACACAAAGTTAATAGAGAGGGATAATATATTCGGAGACATAAGATGAGCTATTTTTTTTTTTCGAGACAGAGTCTTGCTCTGTCGCCCAGGCTGGAGTGCACCGTGGCTGGAGTGCGGTGGTGCAATCTCGGCTCACAGCAGCCTCTGCCTCCCGGGTTCAAACAATTCTGCCTCAGCCTCCCAAGTAGCTGGAATTACAGGCACCTGCCACCACACTCAGGTAATTTTTGTATTTTTAGTAGAGACGGGGTTTCACCATGTTGGCCAGGCTGGTCTCGTACTCCTGACCTCATGATCCACCCACCTCTGCCTCCCAAAGTGCTGAGATTACAGGCGTAAGCCACTGCACCTGGCCACAAGATGAGTTTCAAAAGCAGCTAACTAAGACAATAATAGGAAGAGAAGAAAAATTATACATGAAGAAAGTTTCCCCAGCTGACCAAAGATGTTCAGACAGGGTTCAGCTAAACGAATAAAAAACAGTCCAGTTGTATGAATGCAGCATCCTCAATGGTCATCTCTACACCCAAAAGGACTCTGCAGTATGGTCCTATCGTGTGCCCTAGAAATCAAAGATAGCTGCGTGATCCCGTGGCAAGAGAACCAAATCGTGAATGAGAACACCTGGCTTCTAGTCTTGGCTCCAGGAACAACCTGTGTGACTGGGCAGGACGAGTGACCTCTTGTATTTATCTTCTGTGAAAAACAGTGAAACTTTCACTGGCTATGTTGATGATGACAGATATGTGAACAAACTAGCAGGCAGGAAGAGTCATACAAACTACTATCATATTTGTGAACATATATAGGGATATAATCTAAGGCAAGCTTCACATTTACTGTAACATATTCATGTTTTGGCCAATATCCACAAGATCGTATTACAACCATCTGATTTTCTGCAATCCTTCAAAACTATGCCATGGCCCTCAGGTACCCAGTGGCATGTGTACACTATGGGGTAAGAAGCCTCTCGGATGAAGTTTCCTGTATCTAGACTTGATTGTCAGGAATAAGAAGAGACCAAGGGAGCTGTCAGAAGATTGAGGGTCAAGTCCCCGCTTGTAACTAAGTAGCTGATTAACCTGCAAGAAATTGATGGGCTTCAGATTCTTCTGAAAACTGAAAGATTGGGACCAGATCACCCTGGGTGCATGGCAGAATCACTGGGAGTGGGGGTGCAGGGGGGCTCCTAAAACACTGCAGGGCCTGGATCCTTGCCTTACAGATCCTTTTTTTTTTTTTTTTTTTTTTTTGAGACAGGGTCTCACTCTGTCACCCAGGCTGGAGTGCAGTGGCACAATCGCTGCTTACTGCAGCCTCAAACTCCCGGGCTCAAGCAATCCTCCTGCCTCAGCCTCTTGAGTAGACAGCATTACAGGTACGCACCACCATGCCTGGCTAAGTTTGTTTTGTTTCTGGTACAGACAGGGACTCACTAGGTTGCCCAGGCTAGTCTCGAACTCCTGGACTCAAGTGATCCCTCCCACCTTGGCCTCCCAAAAAGTGCTGGCATTACAGACATGAGCCACTGCACCTGGCCCCTCTAGAGATTGATTAACTGGCCTGGAAGGAGACCAAAGGCATCTTTGTTTTCAACTCCACAGACGATTCTCATGTGTAGCCAGTGCTGAGAGCCACTGGATGAGATGATCTCTAAAAGCCCCCTGGCTCTGTGGAAGGCACAGAGGGCAGCAGGTGAGTGCACAGTCAGCAGAATCTGATTTAAATCCACTTCCAACCTCTTCCCATCTATGTAACTCTTAGTAAGTTTCTTATCCTTTTGGAATCTCATCTTCCTCACCTGCATCACAGAGGTCATAATGCATCCCCCCAGCGTCATAATAAAATTATGCAAATGAAGAACTTGAAAACAGTAACTGGCACTCAGCAGGTGCTCACACAAAGTAATTATCATGACGATTACTACTACTATTATATAAGTAAAGTAACTGAGGGAGGCTGGAGGGAGGGAAGATTGAGGAGATGGTGCTCAAAGAAAAGTCCAATTAGACGGGAGGAGTAAGTTCAAGAGCTCTATTGTACAACATGGAAACTATAGTTACTAACAATGTGTTGTATACTTGAAAAATGCTGAGAGTAGATTTTCAGCGTTCTCACCGCAAAAAATAAGTATTTGAGGTAATGCATATATTATTTAGCCGCTCCACAATGTATGTATATATATGTATAAACAGTACGTTGTACACCATAAAATATATACAATTTTCATCTCCTTAAGTTCCTTGACAGAATGGATTGACCAATGGATCCTGCTTGCTATTATTTATTTGAGACAGAGTCTCACTCTGTCACACAGGCTGGACTGCAGCGGCGCGATCCCAGCTCACAGCAACCTCCGCCTCCGGGGTTCAAGTGATTGATTCTCTGGCCTCAGCCTCCCGAGTAAGCTGGGACTACAGGTCCCACCATGCCTGGCTAATTTTTGTATTTTTAGTAGAGATGGGGTTTCGCCATGTTGCCCAGGCTGGTCTCAAACTCCAGACCTCAGGTGATCCGCCCGCCTCAGCCTTACAGGCAAGAGCCACCGTGCCCAGCCCCTGCTTGCAATTTAAATTAAGGGATGGGCTTTGGAAGTTGCATAGGCCAAACTTACCAAGCCCTGGAAGACAGGTTTCTAGTCTTGGCTCCAAGAACAACCTGTGTTGTTCCTGGGGGCGGGGGCGGGTCTGCGGTGGTGTAGCGGAATGAGGATTATGACACCTGAGGCAGCCGCCTGAAAGGGACCGGGTGCAACAGTCCACAACCCCTACAACAGGACCAGAGCACACCAGCCAGGAGGCCACAGGAAAAGGCTTTCCTCTCCCATAAAGAACAAACACTCAAAGATTAAAAAAAAAGAAAAAAAGTCTGGTTGGAGGATGGGAAGTCGAGTAAAACTGCAACGCTGGCTTTGAGCCAGCCTGCCAGAGTGAGGGAACAGATTCCAATACAAAACTGTTTCAACTAAGGCTATTTGTAAATTTATCTGAAAGCAAGTAGGTGCCAGCAGACCACTTATTTTCCTCTCATGCTAAAAATAAAAATTTCCAAACTGACCTAATTGGGTCTACATCGCACTGGCAACGCGAACACCTCAGATGAAGAGAGAAAACCTACGGAGCTCACTGTAAAACAAATCTTATTTTTCATATATTAACTAAAGTGTTTTAAGAACTTAGGGCTAAAGAGTGTTTACCAAGTATTCACAGGTAATAAAGTTCATGAATTTTAGGCATCTGTCTATAAACAACTGTGATCAAATCAAAGCTGTGACATGAACGTGACAACTAATTTTTGTAAGACTTTCTTCTTTTTTTAATTCCTTTTTCTTTTGCTGATCACACTCAGAAATTCAGAACAATACAGAATTCTTCCTTGTTTTACTCGCTCTCAATATTGCTTTTTCCACCACACTCTTTTTCTTTGGAGTGAGTATGAAGCCAGCCAAAAATAATTTGGCAAAACTCAAACCCATGGAAATGACTGTCACACTTAGAAAAACACAGTTTGAACCCCCATTAAATCTCATTTCTCCAAGGACTAAAATAAGTAGAGCAACTTTCAATTCACCACAGACATGAACAAGTTTTATGAAGTTCTCCCCCAGCCCCTGGGGGGAAAAAACAAAAATCTTTCAATCATTTTCTATAACTCAAGTGGTCAGAAACTGTACAAAAGCCCTACTTGAATGGTAATGGAGCTTAATGAGTTTAGAGACTTGTTTTTCACCTTTAATTTAGGATCCAAATTCTGGCTTTGTCCAAGAAGCCAATGAGTTTGGCAAGCATATCCAAGAGCCCCTGGCACTTAGAACAATGGGCAGTGTGGACACTGAAATCTACATCCAAAAAAAAATAGGGAACTTGCCTGAGCTGAAAACCCTGAATGGTGGCTGCCCTCCTCCATCAGGCATTACAAGTACCCAGCTCCCTCATTATAATAAATTCTCTTATGACAAAGAATGACACTCATTCTTTGACTTTTGCCATCATTTTCATGATATGAAGACCTGTTATTTTACTTCCAAAAGCTCTGTTTTTTCCTACCAAAACAAAGAACTGTGCTCTTAGCCAGGCAGGGTGGCTCACACCTGTAATCCCAGCACTTTGGGAGGCCAAGGCGGGTGGATCACCAGAGGGCAGGAGTTTGAGACCAGCCTGGCCAACACGGTGAAACCCCATCTCTACTGAAAATACAAAAATTAGCCGGGTGTGGTAGCGCATACCTGTAGTCCCAGCTACCCGGGAGGCTGAGGCACGAGAATCACATGAACCTGGGAGGCAGAGGTTGCAGTGAGCCGAGATGGTGCCACTGCACTCCAGCCTAGGAGAGAGAGCAAGACTCCGTCTCAACAACAACAACAACAAAAAAAAAGAATTGTGCTCTTGCTGAAGATAAAGCACCACCATTACCAAAACCAGGATTCCACTCTTGCCTACTCAGCTTGTGTTAGGCTGTTAGGCTTCATTAAATGTCTTCTTCCCTGACATTCGGCAAGTTGCTTCCAATGGGGCCATCTGGTCACTAAGTGGTGCTTTCAATGATAATGGCTCCCCTAACAGCTCCATTACAGCCCTGAGCCACATGGAAGAATTCCCAAAAGTAATGAGATTATTCTAAACCCTGATTGATGAAGTATTTATCTGAATAGGGAAACAGCTATGAAGACTAATCAGAGAGGGGGAAAGATGAGAAAGTAATTGCCAAAGAAGAGAAGATTATGCATCTTCTTTGACACAAGGATACCTCAAGGTCCTAATTAACATGGAAATTTCATATAATTTCTCAGAAAATGCCTCTAAAACTTCATAATGTAACAGTCTAGGCAAGAAATTCAAAGTTAATTGGTTTTGGTCAAGGGTCACTTTGTAATAACAAATTACAGTACAAATTATTGCCAAATTGAAGTTTGGAAAAAATGGTTACATTAAACAGGAACTATAGTTGAGTTTCAACTGCATAAACCATTTTCCGTGCCTAGGCGCTTCCTAGCTACTTGTCAAGTCTTCTGAATTTAACACACTTTTCCAACTCTTTTTGCTTCTGAGCATAAAGCTTAGAGGCAGTAAGTAGTCTGCCACAGGCACACCCTGCTTTATTCTGCCTCTTATTTAGGAAGAGACAAGTTACATTAAACTCATGAAGCTTAAGCTTCAGGGCCCCTCCTATGGTTCTGGGAAGGGCCCCAACAATGCAGTCAGAAGAAAGATCTTTTTGTATTTTTTTAAGAGCCCCCCCACCAACCACCCCCCAGCCCCCAACGCCCATTCCCATTCAAATTGTAAGAGCATGAGGTCCAACAAAACCTAATCCCCCCAGACCTATACCCCACTTCTGGCAACTTTTACCTAGCTATCCAAACTTCTGGGAAATTTCAGTGCAGACAAAGAACCTTCTCGTACTCCTCAGGAGGCCACCTCCTCCCCACCATGGCCATCAGCATTTTGTCTTCCAGACAAGACCCATGCAAGATCTCAAGAAATTTCTTACATCTCAGACTCAGGGGAAGACAGAGAAAGGGGTGGAGTGGGCTTGATTACTGCTAAAGGGGGATGAAAGCACAATTCTGGTCATCAAAACTTTCTCATGGGACCAAAACATATTTTTTTTTCTTTTTAAGAGACAGGTTCAGGCATAGTGGCTCACATCTGTAATCCCAGCATTTTGAGAGGCCAAGGTAGGAGGATCGCTTGAACCCAGGAGTTCAAGACCAGCCTTGACAACATGGCAAACCCCGTCTCCACACAAAAAAATGAAAGTTAGCCAGGTGCGGTGGCACACACCTGTAGTCCCAGCTACTCAGGAGACTGAGGTAGGAGGATCACCTGAGTCTGGTAGGTTGAGGCTGCATTGAGCCAAAATCACGCCACTACACTCTAGCCTGGGTGACAGAGTAAGACCCTATCGCCAAAAAAAAAAAAAAAAAAAAAAAAGGACATGCTCACAGGCTCTCGCTCCGTCACCCAGGCTGGAGTGCAGTGGTGTAGAGTGTGGTGGCACAGTCACAGCTCACTGCAGCCTCAAACTCCTGGGCTCAAGGGATCCTCTCAACTCAGACTCCTGAGTTGCTGGGACTACAGGTGTGCACCACAATACCTGGCTAATATTTTTATTTTGGTAGAGATGGGATCTCACTATGTTGCCCAGGCTGGTCTCGAATTTCTGGCCTCAAGCAATTCTCCTGCCTTGGCCTCCCAAAATACTGCAATTACAGGCATGAGCCACTGCACCCAGCCAGGCCTACTCTTCATTTTTAAAAGTCAAAGTCTAGTATTTTCATCTTAATCAAAAACACAGTGCTTTTTCGTACCAGCTTCTGATATCAGCATTGTCTTAGTAGTTTCAATACTTTGTTGAACAGAGACCGAAAGCAAAGGGAGCACGCACACAGTGCTTGGCGCAGCACCTTCTCTGCATCATGTATCCCACCTCCAACTAGCCCCAAGAGAAGACCATTTAAGGGAGAGTGGAAATACAGCATCCTGTGTCTCTCTTCTTACCATCTACTGAAATGCAGGCAGGACTGGGAACAAAGAGCCAGTCTCTCTAACCCCAGGCATCCCATCTGGGGGAAGGAGCAGGAGGGCAGGGCAGGCCAACCAGACCCTACAGAACTAGCCGGCAGATGGTGGTCAGAAGGCACTAGGTGGGTCATCTGAAGGATAACGGGCGAGAAGGCTTAGGAAAGCTCAGGCCATCAGAGACTTTTCTTAAACTTATTACCATCCTCATTACATGGTGTGTTCACTTTGGGAAAATTCATCAAGTTCCACACCATGATTTGTGCCCTTCAATAGAAGGTTTGTTTTAATGCTCCTTATTTAACAACTCAGCAAGAAGGAAAATCTTAAACTCTGTTTTCTCCTACAACTGGAGAAAAGAAACTGCCTCTTTTGATCCTAAAAGTGAAAACAGAGAAACAAAAGAATTCCTTAGGGTCGACCAGGTACTCCAAACACAGAATGAAGAGCAAAGGCCCAGCCAACAGCAACTTCAGATAAAAATGCAGAACAGCAGTGGACACAGAAGAAGTAAGGACTCAGAAACAAGCTCTGAGGGCTGGACGCGGTGGCTCACACCTGCAATCCCAGCACTTTGGGAGGTGGAGGCGGGCAGATCACTTGAGGTCAGGAGTTCAAGACCAGACTGGCCTACATGTCAAAACCCCATCCCTACTAAAAATACAAAAATTAGGCAGGCGTGGTGGTGCGTGCCTGTTAATCCCAGCTACTCAGGAGGCTGAGGCAGGAGAACTGCCTGAACCTGGGAGGCAGAGGTTGCAGTGAGCAGAGATTGCGCCACTGCACTCCAGCCTGGGTGACAGAGTGAGGCTCTGTCTCAAAAAAATAAAAAAAGAAAAGAAACCAGCCCAGAGGAGCACACTGAAAACTATTCATGCTGACCTGCAACTTTAAGGGAAAAGTGCATTTAGTTCCAGGTGATGAGAGGAAGTGGGGATTTTTTTTTCAGAACAGAAATACAGAAAAACTTTAAAGCCTTAATCATTCAAAACAGAAAACTGCAGAGCTATTGAACTCAAGGGAAAGGAAAGATGGTCACCTTCAGAGTTTACTTAGGACCTTCTATACGCTAGTTATGCTGCCAACTTCTTTATGTCATTGAAGCCTCACAACTCTATTCGAGGTCAGTATTTTACTGCCCCCATTTTACAGATGAGAAAATTGAAGCTCAGAAAATTTACCTACATTGAACATTTACAAGCAATAGTTCAAGAAGAAAAGAACGGAATCAGAGCTAACGCCAAAGATGTTCCTCCTGGGACACTACAAGTTGCCAAGGCAGCTTAGAAGAATGTTCTTGAACTACAGGACAGGAAACCATGAAGTAACAATTAGGTGAAGGGAAACTGAAAAAGTTATAGAGAGCCGTGCCTAAGGACAAAGGCGAAATTCCCTGGGCCCTGACTCTAACAATAATTTTAAATGTCTGAACTTTAAGAATTTCTCCAGGCCAGGCGCGGTGGCTCATGCCTGTAATCCCAGCACTTTGGGAGGCCAAGGCAGGCGGATCACCTGAGGTCAGGAGTTCGAGACCAGCCTAACCAACATGGAGAAACCCCATCTCTACTAAAAATAAAAAAATTAGCTGGGCGTGGTGGTGTATGCCTGTAATCCCAGCTGCTCAGGAGGCTGAAGCAGGAGAATCGCTTGAACCTGGGAGGCGGAGGTTGCAGTGAGCCGAGATCATGCCATTGCACTCCAGCCTGGGCAACAAGAGTAAAACTCCATCTCAAAAAAATAATAAATAAATAAATAAATAAATAAATAAATAAATAAATAAATAATTTCTCCAAACTTTAGAGCCAACAAGGACCTTTGAGGTCAACACACTCTTTTTTTTTTTTTTTTTCTTTTTTGAGACTGGAGTGCAGTGGTACAATCTTGGCTCACTGAAACCTCCACCTCCCGGGTTCAAGTGATTCTCCTGCCTCAGCCTCCCAAGTAGCTGGGACTACAGGCGTGTGCCTCTACGCCTGGCTAATTTTTTTGTATTTTTGGTAGAGACAGGGTTTACCATATTGCCCAGGCTGGTCTCAAATTCCTGACCTCAAGTGATCTTCCCGCCTTGGCCTCCCAAAGTGCTGGAATTACAGGCATGAGCCACCACACCTGGCCTCAACACACTTTTTAAAGAAAGAAACCAGGAACAAATGACGCATTTCAGCACAGGACATTACTACCCTCCTCCCTTCCTTTATTCATGCGACATTCTTTTAACACACAATTGCTGGATGGCCACTCTGTTTGGGGTATCTTTTAGAGTCTAATTAATATCTCCCTTAACTTTCCACCTCAAAAGCCTAAATGATACATACTCTGTACACAGGGTTTTTCTTTCTTTGCTTAATCTGTCCAGAAAGATTTACCCAAAAAGGGATCAACAATTGTTAATGAAGCATTAAACACAAGCTCCAAGTCCAGGGAAAATTAAAAATTATACGTATAGAGACATTCATGTTTCAAAAAATAAAGAGATACAAGTTACAGTCTTTGTATCATCGCAGCCTTCCAAGGGCCATTTACATCAACCCAGCAAGGGCTGTGTGCATGACCCTGTCCCAGAATTAATTACCATCTACCGAGTAATCGTTTGTATTAATGAGAATCAAATGTTTTCATTAACATACAAGTCTGAAAAGTACAAGAACTTACAGCCTTTTCCAGAAGCCTCTACTGGATCTCAATTAGGTTTAATTTTCCTAATCATGGAAAAAAAGAGGCTAAGTTACATTTCAAATTGCTTAGACCTTACAGTTTCAATGATGATGATCAGTACACATACACACAGGAATAAGATGGTGTTTGCAAAACTCCAACATTAGTCTGAGTCTCGTGAACTAACAGGAAAAGGCTGGGTAGTCTCACGCCTGTTAATCCCAAACTTTGGGAGGCTAAAACGGGTGGATCGTCTGAGGTCAAGAATTTGAGACCAGCCTGATCAACATAGCAAAACCCCATTTCTACTAAAAATACAAAAATTAGCCGGTATGGTGGCACACACCTGTAGTCCCAGCTACTCGGGAAGCTGAGGCAGGAGGATCGCTTGAACCCGGGAGGTGGAAATGCAGTGAGCCAAGATCACGCCACCGCACTCCAGCCTGGGTGACAAAGCAAGACTCCGTTTCAAAAAAAAAAAAAATAGGACGATACATGTAAGGCGAAGAATAAAAAAAACAGCAAAACAAAACTTACATCACTTGCACATCCATTCAGCAAATAAAGAATCAGTGCATACGTGGATCAAACGAACTATAATAATCAAGTCATTCCCTCCAAACCATATTTCTACCTTTTCCTCCTTAACTGTGAAAGCTTCGTGGACCCATATAGGTTTTACTGAAATACAATTTTAAATTTCCTTAGATTTATTATGGTGGGTTTTGGTTTCTGTTTTTTAATAGGGATCCTGTAAACATTAAAAAATATTAATTCATAATCAGCTAATGAAAAATATTTTTCAACTCTATTTTTAAAAACTTCACAATAAACAGGATCTTTGAAAACATCTGCGGCTAGCATCGTACTTAATGGTGAAAATTGAATGCATTCTATTAAGACCAGGAATAAGCCAATATATATTGTGTTGGAGGTCCCAGCCAATGTGATAAGGCAGGAAAAAGAGGTTAACTAGCCTAGCCAGGAATCAAACATGGGCTCTCAGACTCCAAAGCACATGCTCTGAGGCAGGAGCTCCACAGAGAGATGCAACTCTGAGGTGAAAAGACTTCATTCACTTCTGAAGCACTCAGTTGCAGGAAGGCAGCAAACATCTAGATGAAGACATCCAGTTGAAGGTTAAAATACTGGACCTAGCCAGGCGCTTTGGCTCACGCCTGTAATCCCAGCACTTTGGGAGGCCAAGGTGGGCAGATCACCTAAGGTCAGAACTTCAAGACCAGCCTGGCCAACATGGTGAAACTCCATCCCTACTCAAAATACAAAAATTAGCCGGGCATGGTGGTGGGTGGCTATAATCAATCCCAGCTACTTGGGAGGCTGAGGCAGGAGAATTGCTTGAACCTGGTAGGCAGAGGTTGCAGTGAGCCAAGACCGTGCCATTGCACTCCAGCCTGGGCAATGGAGCAAGACTCTATCTCAAACAAAACAAAAACAAAAAAACCAATGGACCCCAGAAGAGAGGTCTCAACTAGAGTTATATTGACTGGGCAGAAACTGGCATGTATTCTGGTAGATGAAGGCAGGGGCAAAGCAAAAATTATCCACTGAAGAGAACCCAGGTTGGCACCCTAGGGAGAACCTCACTGTTTGACAGTGGGATAAGGAAGGAGACTCCAAAGGGAGGCAGGAAAAAAAAAAAAAGGTAAGCAACAGAGAAGAAAGCCAAGAGAGGCCGGGTGCGGTGGCTCACGCCTGTAATCCCAACACTTTGGGAGGCTGAGGTGGGCAGATAACCTGAGGTCAGGAGTTCGAGACCAGCCTGGCTAACACAGTGAAACCCCGTCTCTACTAAAAATGCAAAAATTAGCCGGGTGTGGTGGCACGCACCTGTAAGCCTGGCTACTCAGAAGGCTAAGGCAGGAGAATTGCTTGAACCCGGGAGGGGGAGGTTGCAGTGAGCCGAGATGGCACCACTGCACTCAAGCCTGGGTGACAGAGCAAGACTCTGTCTCAAAAAACAAAAAAAGAAAGAAAGAAAAGAAAGCCAAGAGAAAGGAGCTGGCCCAGGAGCCAATGGCAGAAGTTACTTCTAGGAAACAGGCAGGGCGGCTCTGAAGAAGACACTGCGTGTGAAATATTTCTGGGGCAAACTTTTTTTTTTCTGAGCATAACTCATACTTGGCACGGCTTCCTTTCTTAACTAAGAAACTAAACCTTTCTATTCTTGAGTTTTATCTTTAAACCTGCGAAACCTGCTGTGCTTCTACTCTAAATTTCAGAGCCAAAGTGCTATATCAACTACAAGATTAGGGAATTTCATAAAATAAAACAAATATTGGAGACCACAGATAAAGTTGCTCAAAAGCAAAACAGGACTATGTCTTATTTTTCTAACAGTTGTTTTGGGGAGACAAGCCAGCTCCCTTAAGGAATTAATGTAACCTAAAACGTAACCATGCTCCTGAGAGATCACGGAAGTAGCCCAGTGGTTACATCACCAAAGTAGTATCTTTGGGCCGCATTTAAGTAGCGCGCAGGCAGGGCTGCAGAGGGCCTGGGGCCGTCATGGCTGCAGTGAATACATATGTACTCAAAATGACATCCAGGTGTACTAACCTTCTCCAAATGTTCAGGAAGGCAACGAGAAGACCCGGGAACAAGGAAAATCTAGACCAGTTTGACCACATGTGTTTAACATACAGTCTAACAGGCACATAGGCAAGAGCACCAACATGGACAACAGAAAGGAAACTTCAATGAGCTGTGGTCGTAGAATTAACACATAGCTGTTTTCAACTAAAGGCAGAAAATTTCAGGGGGAAATGATTCTTTTATATACCCCAAATTCCTTTGGAGTATTCCTTTGCTCTATATACAACACAAATGTTCAAAAGAAGAAAAAAACAGGCCAGGCGTCGTGGCCCAGGCCTGTAATCCCAGCACTTTGGGAGGCCGAGGTGGGCGGATCACCTGAGGTCAGGAGTTCAAGACCAGCCTGGCCAACATGGCGAAACCCGTCTCTACTAAAAATACAAAAAATTAGCTGGGCGTGGTGGCAGGTGCCCGTAATCTCAGCTACTTGGGAGAGTGAAGCAGGAGAATTGCTTGAACCCGGGAGGTAGAGGTTGCAGTGAGCCGAGATCACGCCACTGCACTCCAGCCTGGGCAACAGAGCGATACTCTGTCTCAAAAAAGAAAAAAACAAAAATCCCTGCAGCCTAAAGAGGGTTGGAGTGCAGCAGAGATGAAGAACACAAACCCTGCTCATTCTCAGACGATTCCTACTGCATTCTTTTGACAGATGCCTCAATTCCCCGTTTGATGTGATGCTTGTGTGGACAGGGATTTAGTGATTAATGCCACGCATGACATAGATTGCTATCAGCATCTTCATGCTCCAAATGTAGGTCCACCGAGCGTTGCGTTCCATGAACCACACTGTGAGTGGCAAGTGGGGAAAGGATCACAATGGAAGCTTTCCAAACTTTAATTCCTGTGCACAGACAAGCAGGCAGGTTCGCACAGGCTTAAGACGTGTGTATGCACCAGGAGAAAACACACAGGAACATTGGGGAGAACATTTTGGCAAGTGGCTTAGCTTGTTCAATCTGAACATAATTTCCTTTCTCACAGTAGCATGACCTCTCCCACCTTTTTTCCCTCACAGATCTTCCATCGTATAAAGTACACGCTATACTTTGAGAGGTTCTGCTCTGCCAAAGCAGTACTTACAGGAACTGTAAATTTCTTACCTTTTCAAGCCCCTAGTCGCAGTTGATATACATCTTCAAAATACGAATTAAAATAGCTTTCATAGATACCTCAAATTAAATAGACAATGTGCTTTTTGTTCCCAAGAATTTTCCTTACTTTTGATTCTACCCAAAAGTAAGAAAAGCAAGTAAGATAATTCAAATTAATATGTTATGTTTTCATCTTTAAGCCCATCATATGGAAGTATCTCCTAATATATTTAGTTCCTTTTATTTAAATATAAGTTCTGCAATTTGTTTAGTCTTAAAAGGCCAGAGACACACACTCTGTGCCCAGGCTGGAGTGCAATGGTGTGATCTCACCTCACTGCAGCATCCTCCTCCCGGACTCAGGTGATCCTCCCACCTCAGCCTCCCGAGTAGCTGGGACTATAGGTGCGTGCCACCACACCCAGCTAATTTTTTGTGTTTTTTGTAGAGATGGGGTTTAGCCATGTTACCCAGGCTGCTCTCAAACTCCTGGGTTCAAGTAATCTGCCCACCTTGGCCTCCCACAGCGCTGGGATTAGAGGCATGAGCCACCACTCCCAGCCTCATCTCTTCATTTTCAAAACAAAAACTCTTTTGCAATTTGAGACAGCTACTAAAAAATATTACAGATAAATTATAAAATAATAGCAAAAGTTATGTGAAGTATCAGCAACAGTGTCTGAGTCATTTAGAAAGACTCACCTGGATTTATATTGACTCATTCTAAAATATGCACAACATATACAGAGAGGCACATATGTATTTAGTCTTTTAAAAACAAAGAAATTGACAAGAAGTGAATAGGTGTTACACCTTTAAGGAGTTAATTTAACACTGAGAAGTATTTATGACCATGCATGTTCACATTGGAATTTTCAGAATACTGTCAAAGGGTTAAATAAGACACAAAGTGTCTTGTGAATACCAATTCCATAGAATTTCATAAAAACTCTTAGCCACACACAACAAAGAGAACAGCAGTCAGGGAGGGCAAACAGCCTCACAGGAACTTATTTCACCAAAACTATGAACGCATTCTCAAATTATTAAATCTTTTGGCACCATTACTATGCCAGAGGAATCCTTACCTTTTATTTCCCCAAGTCTTCTAACGAGAGACAGTTGAGATCCTGATTTAAACACAGGAAGATCACTAAAATGAAAGATTTAATCTCATTGTCTGGAAGGCTATGGAACCTCCCTGGTTGAGCTCAGGGCCACACTTACCAAAAAATTTCTATAGTGAAAAGCAGAATCCAAAATATAATTTCCATCATGATAGAACAGCAGCTTTCCTCCAAAATTTACCAGTTAGTATTATTCCACAGGAGCAAGACGGAGAAAGTAGCTAACATTCTTCCACAATCACATGAGGAAACCAATCAAATCATGGATTGGCAAGCATTCCCCACAGAATGGAATTTCTGAGCAGACACCCCTTGAGCAGTGGGGTGAACAATACCAGGAGGCTTGCGGTTTGGACGCAGGTTAAAAGCAGAGATCAACAGCTTGTTCCTCCTAACAACCAGACGAGGTCAAATCCCTGCCTATTGCTCCTTCTCGACCTTAATCTCTTCGGGAGATCATAGTAACAAAATGTGAGCAGCTATCACAGGACTGTTAAAATCAACTTCTCACCAACAGAAGGCAGTTCAATTGTAACAACCTACGTCATTTCCTTGTTTTCTAGGAAAAAGGCACTAAGATTGATCACAACTTGGTTGTGAAGTTCTCTTTCCAAGATGTTCAACTCTCCATCTGCATCTGGCCTGCCTCATCCCATGCTCTATCTTGCCTCCCTCTCCTCCCTCCCCAAACTCCGTAATTTCAGAAAGTTATCATAAGGTAATATAAAAATCATTTCAAGCCCATTTGCTTTACAAGTGATAACTATGAAACTTTCAAAGAACAACAAAGGCACAGTGGCTCACACCTGTAATCCCAGCACTCTGGGAGGCCAAGGTGGGAGGATGGCTTGACCCCAGGGTTCGAGACCAGCCTGGGCAACATGGTGAGACCCCCATCTCTACAAAACATACAAAAATTAGCCAGGCATAGTGGCGCATGCCTGTGGTCCCAGCTACTTGGGAGGCTGAGACGGGAGGATGGCTTGTGTCTGGGAGGCGGAGGTTGCAGTGAGCCGCGATCACACCACTGCACTCTGCCTGGGCAACAGACTGAGACCCTGTCTCAGAAAAACAAAACAAAACAAAAAAAACACAAAAAGTCTTTAGGTTTTTTTCTACATATATATATATATAGTTATATACTATATAGTTATATAACTCTGTATATAGTTATATATCTCTATATATAGTTATATAACTCTGTATATAGTTATATAACTCTATATATAGTTATATAACTATATATAGTTATATACATATATACAGAGTTATATAACTATATATACTATATAGTTATATATACTATTATATAGTATATATTTATACTACATAATATATATTATTATCTATACTATAATATATAGTATATATTATATATAATATATACTATAGTATATATACTATAGTATATATTATATATAATATATACTATAGTATAATATATACTATAGTATATATAGTATATATTATATATACTATAGTATATATATAACATAGTATATATAGTATATATTATATATAACGTATATATATTATATATAACACATAGTACATATAGTATATATAACACATAGTACATATAGTATATATAACACATAGTACATATAGTGTATATAACACATAGTACATATAGTGTATATAACACATAGTACATATAGTGTATATAACACATAGTACATACAGTGTATATAACACATAGTACATATAGTGTATATAACACATAGTACATATAGTGTATATAACACATAGTACATACAGTGTATATATAACACATAGTATATACAGTGTATATATAACAGTATATATAGTATATACAGTGTATATATAACATAGTATATATAGTATATACAGTGTATATATAACATAGTATATATAGTATATACAGTGTATATATAACATAGTATATATAGTACATACAGTGTATATATAACATAGTATATATAGTATATACAGTGTATATATAACATAGTATAGATAGTATATACAGTGTATATATAACATAGTATAGATAGTATATACAGTGTATATATAACATAGTATATATATAACACAGTATATATATTATATATAGTATATAACACAGTATATATATTACATGTAGTATATAACACAGTATATATATTATATGTAGTATATAACACAGTATATATATTATATGTAGTATATATATAACACAGTATATATATTATATGTAGTATATATATAACACAGTATATATATTATATGTAGTATATATATAACACAGTATATATATTATATGTAGTATATATAACACAGTATATATATTATATGTAGTATATATGTAACACAGTATATATATATTATATGTAGTATATATGTAACACAGTATATATATTATATGTAGTATATATGTAACACAGTATATATATGTAGTATATGTAACACAGTATATATATTATATGTAGTATATGTAACACAGTATATATATTATATGTAGTATATGTAACACAGTATATATATGTAGTATATATGTAACACAGTATATATATTATATGTAGTATATATGTAACACAGTATATATTATATGTAG
Source organism: Homo sapiens (assembly GCF_000001405.40). Lineage (NCBI taxonomy): Eukaryota > Metazoa > Chordata > Mammalia > Primates > Hominidae > Homo > Homo sapiens. The sequence continues at coordinate 155,028,325 of NC_000006.12, read as the reverse complement.
TATATATGTAACACAGTACATATATGTAGTATATATGTAACACAGTACATATATTATATGTAGTATATATGTAACACAGTACATATATTATATGTAGTATATATGTAACACAGTACATATATTATATGTAGTATATATGTAACACAGTACATATATTATATGTAGTATATATGTAACAGTACATATATTATATATAGTATATATGTAACACAGTACATATATTATATATAGTATATATGTAACACAGTACATATATTATATATAGTATATATGTAACACAGTACATATATTATATATAGTATATAACACAGTACATATATTATATATAGTATATATGTAACACAGTACATATATTATATATAGTATATATGTAACACAGTACATATATTATATATAGTATATATGTAACACAGTACATATTATATAGTATATATGTAACACAGTACATATATTATATAGTATATAACACAGTACATATATTATATATAGTATATATGTATCACAGTACATATATTATATATAGTATATATGTAACACAGTACATATATTATATATAGTATATATGTAACACAGTACATATATTATATATAGTATATATGTAACACAGTACATATATTATATATAGTATATATGTAACACAGTACATATATTATATATAGTATATATGTAACACAGTACATATATTATATATAGTATATATGTAACACAGTACATATATTATATATAGTATATATGTAACACAGTACATATATTATATATAGTATATATGTAACACAGTATATATATTATATATAGTATATGTAACACAGTATATATATTATATATAGTATATATGTAACACAGTATATATATTATATATAGTATATATGTAACACAGTATATATATTATATATAGTATATATGTAACACAGTATATATATTATATATAGTATATATGTAACACAGTATATATATTATATATAGTATATATGTAACACAGTATATATATTATATATATAATATACAGGTGCGATGGCTCATGCCTGTAATCCCAACACTTTGGGAGGCCCAGGCAAGTGGATCACCTGAGGTCAGGAGTAAGAGACCATCCTGGCCAACATGGTGAAACCCCGTCTCTATTAAAACAGAAAAATTAGCTGGGCATGGTGGCATGTCCCAGCTACTCAGGAGGCTGAGGCAGGAGAATCGTTTGAGCCCAGGAGGCAGAGGTTGTAGTGAGCCAAGATCACTCCACTGCACTCCAGCCTGGGTGACAGAGCAAGACTCCATCTCAAAAAAAAGGTAAAAAATATTTAATAGTTTGCTAATGAACAGAAATATTCAAAGTCCAGAAATAGACACAAATTATATGGACATGCAGAATATCATAAAGGTGGCATTTCAAGTAGGTAAAGATGTGCACTATAACAAATGAACAGTTTTTCTCTTCCCAACCAGTTGCTCCGTTACACCGTCTCACCATGTGTAAAACCAGCAGTAGCCCAGTCTCCCGTAACTACATACAAAAGCCAAAAGGTGTGTGCATTTCTTCTAGCTTCTCACCAAGTCCCTAACCAAAGGTGAGCCCCACTCCAATCAAACCAGAAGCCTCACCGCATATTTTAACTCTCAAGGTCTCATGGGAGAGGTGAGCACCAGCTCCAAACTTCCAGAGGCTGGCACCAGGGCCAAGGGGCCACCCAGGCTGCCATGTGAGTCATGGATGAGTCAGTCCCTCAAGGACTGCCAGTCCCCACTGGGATGCATCTACCTCCAGCATGCAGCCTCTTTATTACAAAAACATATCCAGCCCTCCCCCAGTGTTCTGTAGTTGTCCATGCCCTTCGAAACATGATGATAAACCACAGTGAGTTTTGCAAAGAAAATTAACTGCTTAGCGTTGAAACAGTCTACCCCCACCAGGAGGGAAAAAAAATTGAGAAACTCAATTATCATTGCAAAAAGATGATTCTTAATGGAAACCTTGGGAAGAACCTGGGGGAAGCATTCAGAAAGAACGCCAAGATCATCTGTATTTGCTGAGGAATCAACAGAGATTTTGAACATTTGAAATTCTGAACAGATCCCTAAGGGGAATACTGTTTAACATTTTATGGTGTGACAGCTTACCCAGGTCTTAAAATATTCCTCTCATTAGAAGTTCTTTTTTTATCTAGTACCTAGCCAAAGCAATGCGGCAATTTAAGAAGACAAAGCTGAATGCCTGGATTTGAGCTGTTTTATGTTTCCATATAGAAATCCAGCCTATCATTATCAGAGCTCTGGCTGGGCTGCAAAGTACCTCTGAGCAAGAAAGAACCATTCAAGAAGCCCATTCTATTTGTGAGATGTGTAGACTAGCGGGTGTTCCATGTTCTGAGACCCCACAACTGCTCAAGGAGGCTTTTGTCCCACTGCTCAACAACACCTTTCCGAAGCATCCAAATGTTTCCTTCCCTTCTTTCTTTTCTGTGTGTGTGTGTGTGTGTGTGTGTGTGTGTGTGTGTGTGTGTGTGTGTGTGTGTTTGAGGGGGAGGTGCTCACATGTGTTTTTATGTATGGGTATGAAAAAATCTATTTTTTTAAATGTGATTGGTAAAATTGGCGGGTACTACCCAAACCTCAGCCGTCAAAGACACATGAATTTTCAAGGAAATTAATTTCAACTTTGATGAAAAAATGTTACAATGTATATAAGCAGACACTAAATAAAAATAACCTCCTCTTTGCCCGGGTGCAGTGCCTCACACCTGTAATCCCAGCACTTTAGGAGGCTGAGGTGGGCGGATCACTTAAGGTCAGGGGTTCAAGACCAGGCTGGCCAACATGGTGAAACCCCAACTCTACTAAAAAAATACAAAAATTAGGCCGGGCGCGGTGGCTCATGCCTGTAATCTCAGTACTTTGGGAGGCTGAGGAGGGCAGATCACGAGGTCAGGAGATTGAGACCACGGTGAAACCCCGTCTCTACTAAAAATACAAAAAATTAGCCGGGCGTGGTGGCAGGCGCCTGTAGTCCCAGCTACTCAGGAGGCTGAGGCAGGAGAATGGCGTGAACCCGGGAGGCAGAGCTTGCAGCGAGCTGAGATCATGCCACTGCACTCCAGCCTGGGTAACAGAGCGAGACTCCGTCTCAAAAAAAAAAAAAAAAATACAAAAATTAGCCAGACGTGGTGCCTATAATCCCAGCTACTCAGGAGACTGAGGCGGAAGAATCACTTGAACCCAGGAGGCAGAGGTTGCAGTGAGCCGAGATCATGCCACCGTACGCCAGCCTGGGTGACAGAGCCAGACTCCGTCTCTAAAAATAAAATAAAAATAAAAAATAACCTCCTCTTTAAATAAAGTCAAATAAAACCAGGTTCTATGGAATGCTAAATAACTAAAATGACATTTAACAAATTACAAGCTGAGTGTCTGTTTTCTGGATTTCTCCCTTCTGGATCTGTCACTTCATCTAGAGCAGGAGTGCTGACAGGGACAAATGCCAACACTCAACCACCTGTAAATAAAAGCTGTGATCCTAATTTCGAAACATTTGCATTCCCCACTCTGTCACTGCAGGACACAAAAGGGAAAAGAAAGTCAAGGACATTTGCTCAGTAAAATGAAATCCTTTCTTGGCTCTCCTATGATTTCATTTACTTTTTATAGCTTGGCTTTCAAACATAGTAATTGCTTTTTTTTTTTTTTTAAAGACATGGATTTATACCACATTTGAGTGTCCCTATATATAGATTTCAGTCTACAATAATAGCAAATTCACAAGATCCCACCCCTAAAGACCTAAATATCACAGCGATTTAGGAATAGGATCTTCTTCTCCTACAAAGAAAAACTATTAAAGAAGGCAAAGATAACTTACCCCATCTGCCACCAAATGGCAATTCCTAAACCCAGCTTTTATGACACTCTCAGGGAAAAAAAAAATGCACAATTTCTTCCAGGAAATTTGTTGTCTGAAAATCCTCTGAATTTTTAAAAATTGTGTTGTTTTATTTCTGTTAATACTTATAATCTCTGGTTCATCCATTAATAATTAAATCTTACAGTAAGAAAGGCAGTTATTCCAGCCTCTTTCAGTTCTCCTAAAGCAGATATAGAATTCATTTTTGTTCTTCAATTACCTGTTTCTTACCAAAGAAACGTGGCCGTAAGTACTTTTCCCAGAATCATAAAGCTGTAGAGGCCAGCAAGACGCAGTCTGAAGAACAAGTGCTTTGGAGTCAGACAAGGTCAAAACCCAGCTCAGCTCCTTAATTCCTCACCCACCCTCTCTAAGCCTGTGTCCTCTGCAGAGTGGGAGGGAATCTGTCCTGGAGAGCCGCATGCAGAGTATTAAGTGGGATGTTGATGAAGTGTCTGGTACAGCCTCTGATCAACAGGTTCCTATGATGTCAAGAAGATGATGATGTTGCTGATGATAAAACAGAGTCTTGGAAATACTCTCTCCAATCCCTTCATCTTGCAGGCAAAGACGAGTAAGGACCCGATAAATTAAGTAATGTACAAACCAACCATCTGCGGCTCAACAAGTGGTTTACGGAGCGCACAATTTAAGGTTTCAATTAGGACTTCTATATACGATGAACAAAAGCACAAAAATACTCAAGTTCAATGAGTATTTCCTTGGAGGCTCCGCCTGCAAGGAAAGCTGACTAAATCTCATTATTGCTGACCTTTCCCCGCAAGAGAAGACCTCCAGAGGATAATGGGTAAAATCTGCCTTTATCCAACTGCAAATAACTCATCATTGCTTGGTTACTTGCAGCTGGTTCCAGGCCAGGCTGCTACCCAACCTGTCAGGGCTGCAAAATCAAGAGCAAACGCACAGACATGGTATAGTTCGGTCAGGCACTAGATCCCATTCTCATTCACAGAACATACAAATTTAGACGCAGCCGAAAAGGACCAGGGTTCAATATGCAAAGACAAACTCTGTTATTAAACTGCAAAGTTTAATAAGAACACTTTTTGCCCCAAATCACAAAGGTCTCTCACATTGACCCATCAACAACCGCCCTCGTGGCAGAGTTTTGTCCGTCTAGACTTAACTTCATCCTGAGACTTGGCCTAAAGGGAGCCAGGTGCCAGGTACCTGCAACTTCTAGAGCAGAGATTCCCACCTGGCTCAGATTTTCCTTCAAAGTCAATTTCCTGAAGTGGCTGTAAGTAAATCCAAGTCAAACTCAGATATCTTGAACAAAAAGGAAAGGATTGCAGATTTCAAAATGAAATAAATTCATTTGCCAAGAAAAAAGATGAAATAAATTCACTTGCCAAGGGAAAAAAAAAAAAAAAAAACAGAACAAAAAATGAGTCCCTCCTTCTCTCTCAGTGCCCTAGTTTAAAAAACCTCTCTACAAAAACAGAAGCCGGAAAGGAGAAACCTAAGATGGTTACAAAAAGGAATTCACTTTATCCACGTCCATGGCTGCCAAGCCCAGCGCTATGACACAAGCAGGCCCTCGAAATGCTTTACTAAGAAACCATCGTTAGCCCTCTTCCCTACTAACTCGAACCTATATTTAAGTAGCAACCATATCGTAACTTCAGTAAGCTTTAACTTCTCATAACTCAAGGGACTTGTCAACAATAAGCATTGCATTGCTTCTGCAAGGTGGCCACAGGCAATGTTCCCTACAAGGTGACAGTTGAACACAACTCAGGCCCCCTGTTGCTTGTGAGTTTCTCCTTAGCATTAAATACCCGTATCAGAGATGAGCTCTTCAAGAATCAGACAGACAGGCCAGGCGCAGTGGCTCACGCCTGTAATCCCAGTACCTTATGAGGCTGAGGCAGGTGGATCACCTGGGGTCAGGAGTTCGAGACCAGCTGGCTAACATGGTGAAACCCTGTCTCTACTAAAAATACAAAAAATTAGCAGGGCATGGTGGTGCACACCTGTAGTTCCAGCTACTCAGGAGGCTGAGGCAGGAGAATCACTTGAACCCAGGAGGTGGAGGTTGCAGTGGGCCAAGACTATGCCATTGTACTCCAGCCTGGGCAACAGAGTGAGAGAAAAAAAGAAAAAACAGTCAGGCACACATGGACACAAGAAGGCCCTGCAGTGGTTAATCACTTTTAAATATGGCTCCACTTTCTACAGCTGTTGGTACAGAGCTCGGCGTCTCTGTACCCTTCCCCTCTTATCTCATTTTTATCAATATTTTCTTCTCAAATGATTTTATAGAAAATTATCAAGTTGTGAGAGCTATATCAGGACGAGTGAGTTCATTTTCCTAAGCTCCTTTGGACTGAAAACAGAGGAGGGAAGTAAAAAGCAAATTACTTAACACCAAGTACGAAGCTGCAGATGCTACTAGTTGGCAATTAAACTGAGAGGTAAACTGTGAGGTAAACAGCACGAAGCAGCTTTGGGAAAGCCGCAGAAAGAGGCAGGAGGTCAGGACAGGGGCTTTATCTGAACCATCTTTGTAAACTCCTGCACCTCAAACAGCACTGATGTGTGCACTGTGTGTTGAGTAAAGAAATAAATGCATGACCAGACTGCGTCTCACATGCAACAGGGAAAGCAGGGAGATTTGAGTTTCAGTCCTACCTTTGACAGTAACAAGCTAGGCCGTCAAGTCACTTAACCTATCTGGAATGAAGTTTCCTTATCTGTTTAAATGAGGCAACTGAGGGGATGGTTCAAAAAACCCTAGCACTTTGCAGAGGTAAAGAAACCAGAACCCTTGTGCACGGTTGATTGGAATGTAAAATGGTGCAGGGGCTGTGAAAAACAACATAGTGGTTTTTCAAAGAATTAAAAATAGAATTCTGGCTGGGCGCGGTGGCTCGTGCCTGTAATCCCAGCACTGTAGGAGGCTGCAGCGGGCGGATCACATGAGGTCAGGAGTTTGAGACCAGCCTGACCAACATGGCGAAACCCCGTCTCTACTAAAGATATAAAAACTAGCCGGGCACGGTGGCAGGCGTCTGCAATCCCAGCTACTCGGGAGGCTGAGGCAGCAGAATCGATTTAACCCGGGAGGCAGAGGTTGCGGTGAGCCGAGATCGTACCATTGCACTCCAGCCTGGGGGACAAGAGCGAAACTCCATCTCAAAAAAAGAAAAAAGACATAGAATTCCACTTCTCAGTTTATATCCCCAAAGACTTGAAAGCAGGGTCTTGAAGAGATATTTGTACAGCCATGTTCATAGCTACCATATTGACAGTAGCCAAAAAGTAGAAAAACCCAAATGTCTGTGGACCAATGGGCAGACAAACAAAAGATGACATACAGAGACAAGGGAATATTATTTCGCTTTAAAAGGGAAAGACATTCTGATACATGCTACAACATAGATAAACCTTGAGGACATCACGCTAAGCAAAATAAGCCAGTCACAAAAGAACAAATACTGTATGATTCCACTTATATGAGGTGCCTAGAACAGTCAAATTCATAGAGACAGGAAGGTGGTTGCCAGGGTGGAGGAAGAAGAAATGGGGGGTATTGTTTAACGGGGTACAGAATTTCAGTTCTGCAAGATGAAACAAGTTCTGGAGATGGATAGTGGTGAGGGCTGCACAATAATGTGAATGTACTCAACTATATACTTAAAAATGGCTAATATGGCCGGGCACAGTGGCTCATGCCTGTAATCCCAGCACTTTGGGAGGCCGAGGCTGGCAGATCACTTGAGGTCAGGAGTTTGAGACCAACCTGGCCAACATGACGAAACCCTGTCTCTACTAAAAATACAAAAAATTAGCCTGGTGTGGTGATGCACTCCTGTAATCCCAGTTACTCAAGAGACTGAGGCAGGAGAATCATGTGAACCCAGGGGGCGGAGGTTTCAGTGAGCTGAGATTGCGCCACTGCACTCCAGCCTGGGAGACAGAGCAAGACTCCATCACAACAACAAAAACAACAACAAAAGGCTAATACAGTAATTTGACCACAATAATTTTACCATATTTTTTAAAGTAGGTGAAAAAAGGGGGACAATGTTTATAGCATACAAATTATACCTCAACGTGTCTAGTTTTGGGGAAAAAAATCTTTCAGAAGTTCCCCCTGACGGTTATCCTTTCATTCTTCAAGTCAACAGATATTTATCCATCACTCTGTGACGTGGATCTAATTTCCACAGGTTTCTTTAGAGGGTCCTCTGGCAGGAACAGGAAACTCTTTTTCACTCCCACTCTGGAAAGCATGGGAGAAGTTCAGGACTTAGGCAAGGCTGCACAGCCGGGAAGTGATGATAGCCGGGTGCAGAACCTGAAGAACCCAGCCTGACTCCCAGGGACATGTCTACCACCTACCTCGCTGCCTTTTTTTTTTGCAGACGGAGTATCACTCTGTTGCCAGGCTGGAGTGCAGTGGCGCAATCTCGGCTCACTGCAACCTCCGCCTTCCAGGTTCATGTGATTCTCCTGCCTCAGCCTCCCAAGTAGCCGGGACTACAGGCGCCCAGCACCACGCCTGGCTAATTTTTGTATGTTTAGTAGAGATGGGGTTTTACCTTGTTGGCCAGGATGGTCTCAATCTCTTGACCTCGTGATCCGCCCGCCTCGGCCTCCCAAAGTGCTGGGATTACAGGCATGAGCCACCATGCCCGGCCCCTAGCTGCCTTTTCTAATTTGCTCCACTAATTCTGCAAACGAGGAAGCAAAAGCTCAGAAAGGTTAAGAAAATTCTCCAAGACTAGCCAGCTGGCCGGTAGGCCCACGAGCAAGAAGTCAGGCCAACCAACTATCAGTCCAGTGTTCCTTCCATTCTACAACAAAAAGCCGTATTTGGGGAGAAAAGGAACCACAGCAGTCCCACTGGAATTTCCAAAGCAGCCCACCCCCACTATTTGCAACCTTCTACCCAAAACTAAGAGTTTCATTTAATCATTCGTTTAACACATCATTTACAATAGCTTAATTTTTCTTTTTAAAATAATCCTCTGGACACAAGTCTCCCCTTACAGTTACCCATTCACTATTCGATCAACTGATATCTACTAATCACCTACTAATTTGGATCCTTTTTTATTTTTTTTCTTTTCTTTTTTTTAGATGGAGTCTAGCTCTGTGGCCCAGGCTGGAGTGCAGTGGCCCAATCTCAGCTCACTGCAGCCTCCACCTCCCCGGTTCAAATGATTCTCCTGTCTCAGCCTCTCGAGTAGCTGGGATTACAGGCATCCACCACCATGCCTAATTTTTTTGTATTTTTAGTAGAGAAGGGGTTTCACCGCATTGGCCAGGCTGGTCTTGAATTCCTGACCTCAAGTGATCTGCCTGCCTCAGCCTCCCAAAGTGCTGGGATTACAGGCATGAGCCACTGTGCCCAGCCTATTTTTTTTTTTTTAGATGGAGTCTCACTCTGTCACCCAGGCTGCAGTGCACTAGCACGATCTCAGCTCACTGTAACCTCTGCCTCCCAGGTTCAAGCGATTTTCCTGCCTCAGCCTCCCAAGTAGCTGGGATTACAGGTGCCTGCCACCAGACCCAGCTAATTTTTTGTATTTTTAGTAGAGATGGGGTTTCACCATGCTGGCCAGGCTGATGTCGAACTCGTGACCTCAGGTGATCTGCCTGCCTTGGCCTCCCCATCAAAAAAAAAAGTGATGGGAAGGGGAGGGAAGGGGAGGGGAGGGGAGGGGAGGGAAGGGGAGGGGAGGGGAGGGGAGGGAAGGGGAGGGAAGGGGAGGGAAGGGGAGGGAAGGGGAGGGGAGGGGAGGGAAAGGGAGAGAGAAATGTGAGTCATGTATGTAATTTTTTTTTTTTCTTGAGACAGTCTCCCTTTGCCACCCAGGCTGCAGTGCAGTGGCACAACCTTGGCTCACTAAAAGTTCCGCCCCCCTGGTTCAAGCAATTCTTGTGCCTCAGCCTCCTGAGTAGCTGGGATTACAGGAGCTCGCCACCATGCCTGGCTAATTTTTGAATTATTAGTGACACGGGGTTTCACTGTGTTGGCCAGGCTGGTCTCAAACTCCTGACCTCAAGTGATCCACCTGGCCACTGTAATCTACAGTAAGCCACTGCACCTGGCCTGTAATTTAATTTTCTAGTGACCATATTGAAAAAAATAAGAAGCAAGTGAAATTAATTTATATATACATACATATATATATCTATCTGCACACACATATATACACCTTTTTTTTTTTCGAGACAGTCTCACTCTGTTGCCCAGGCTGGAGTGCAGTGGCAGGAACACAGCTCACTATAGCCTTGAACTCATGGGCTCAAGTGATCCTCCCGCCTCAGCCCTCCAAAGTGCTAGGATTACAGGCGTGAGCCACTGTGCCCGGCCCATAATGTATTTTAATCCAATACATCCAAAATATCATTGTTTTGACATGTAAACAATATAAAAATCGTATTGGGATATTTTACATCTGGCTTTTCATATGAAGTCTGCAAAGCCTCCTGTGTATGTTACACTCACAGCACACCTCAGTGGTGGTGACCACATTTCAAAGTGCTTCACAGCCCCATGGGGCCGGTGGCTACAGATCTGGAGACATGGGTCTTTCAGAGGGGTAAACACTTAAAACGTCAGGCTAAGTTTGGACTTTATCTACAAAAAGACAAAAGGGAGAGTCAGGCGTGGTGGCTCACACCTGTAATCCCAGCACTTTGGGAGGCCGAGGCAGGTGGATCATGAGGTCAGGAGATTGAGACCATCCTGGCTAACACGGTGAAACCCCGTTTCTACAAAAAATACAAAAAATTAGCCGGGCGTGGTGGCAGGTGCCTGTAGTCCCAGCTACTCGGGAGGCTGAGGCAGGAGTATAGCTTGAACCCAGGAGGCGGAGGTTGCAATGAGCCAAGATCGCACTACTGCACTCCAGCCTGGCGACAGAGTGAGACTCCATCTCAAAAAAAAAAAAAAAAGACAAAATGGAGTAGGTGATCTTGTAGAAGCAGTAGTGACAGGAAGCAAGGACTTATATCAACCACTGAAGCTGCTGCCCCACCCAAGCTCTCAGCTCTCAGGGACCCTAGACCCCATGTCATCTACCCTGGTCTCCCCAGCCCCTTTCACAGGGGTCCTTCTGAGACAATGTGTCTCCCTCTACCAGCTGCAACCCATTTATCCCCACTCATTTCCACAATCACGTCATTACCAACCTGAAGCCCCTTGCCCCTCAGTTTTCCTGGATAAGCCTTATTAGCCTATAGAAAGTAAACTGCCAAAGTCCCATCATTCCATCCCTGCTCCTGGACCAGCCAGACTCCTCGGGAGACTGCCTTTCAATATCACCGAATGCGGTGGGCAAGGAGGGAAAACTAGGAATTCTAGTCTCGAACTTTCCCACAGCCCTGCCTGTGAGTTCCTGCTCTGTTTACTGACATATTAATTCTCTGTCATCTACATCAGATCAACTTTTTGAATGTACTCAAGTATCCGAAGCCACTCCAAGGCCCCTTCATGCTCAGGTGATATCCCTGCCTCCCAAGTTATTTTATTTATTGATTTTTATTTATTGATTTTTATTTTGAGATGGAGTCTCGCTCTATCACCCAGGCTGGAGTGCAGTGGCATGATCTTGGCTCACAGCAACTTCCGCTTCCCAGGTTCAAGCGATTCTCCTGCCTCAGCTTCCCGAGTAGCTGGGATTACAGGCACACATCACCACACCTGGCTAATTTTTTTGTATTTTTAGTAGAGACAGGTTTCACCATGTTGGCCAGGCTGGTCTTGAACTCCTGACCTCAAGCAATCCACCCGCCTTGGCCTCCTAAAGTTCTGGGATTACAGGCATGAGCCACCAAGCCCAGTCGAGCAGTCTGGTTTTTTTAATTTACCATTTAAATGTAAATACCATTTAAATTTAAATGTAAATACCATTTAAATTTAAATTTACCATTTAAATGTAAATACCATTTAAATGTAAATACCATTTACATTTAAATTTAAATATAGTATTCCCATACTACCAATCTCTCTCCTCCCAAGCACCATTAACATCTACACAATAATTTTTTTATCCTTTTATGTTCTACAAAAATGGGATTATAGTATACAAGGTTCTTGCCTTTTCTTTTCTCATGGGAATCCTTCCAGGTCAAGTGCAGAAATCCAAGGCATGGACGTGTGACATCTTATCCAACTGTTCCTCTGTCGAAAGCATCCACTTAGTTTCTAATTCTTTGCCACTACAAACAATGCTGCAATAAATATTCTTGTGCAAACAAATTACATACAGCTGCTTTTATTTCTATGGGAGAGAGTCCCAGGGGAGGAACTGCTGGGTCAAAGGCTATGTGTGTTTGAAATTTTAATAGACTCTGCCAGAACTCTTTCCAGAATGGTTATTCCCACCAGCAACGCTTGAAGATCCCCTGCCAGCAAGTATTGTTGCCTTTTAAAATTTTTGCCAGTCTTGATGGTCTGATGTACATTACATAAAGGTTTGTTTGGAGTTTTTTTTTTTTTTTTTTTTTTTTTTTTTGGTTTTTTGAAACAGGGTCTTGCTCTGTGGCCCAGGCTAGAGTGTAGTGGTGCCATCTTGGCTCACTGCAACCCCCGCCTCCTGGGTTCAAGAGATTCTCCTGCCTCAGCCTCCCAAGTATCTGCAACTACAGGTGCCCACCACCATGCCCAGCTAATTCTTGTATTTTTAGTAGAGACAGGATTTCACCATGTTGGCCAGGCTGGTCTCAAACTCCTGACCTCAAGTGATCCATCTGCTTAGGCCTCCCAAAGTGCTGGGATTACAGGCATGAGCCACCGCGCCCGGCCTAAAGTTTAAAAACTCTCCCTCACCTCCCATCCTGCTCAAAACTTATTTAATAATTCTCTTTTTCGACAATTCTTTCTGAGTCCCCTTCTCTGCCTCCTATTCTTCTTCCACCTCCAAAATTTAAGCAGAAAACAAGGCTCTTGCCTGTCTTTTTTGCCTCTCTTTGCACATCCTTCTTTGACAATTTCATTATTTCTCATGGTTTCAGTCATCCCCTCTAAGAGATGAATCTGAATCTACATACCCAGCCCAGACCTGTCTCTCTTGAGCTCCAGATTTCTAACTGCTCACGAGGCACTTCCCATAGAGCCTGCTGACACCTCAGAAATCAGAAGAATCAAACCCAAACTCTCCTTGACTTGACCCAAATGTAATCTTCCCCCAACTCCATTAGTAGAGTAGCATCATCCTTACCACAGGTACACAGGCTTGAATGCCCAGTGTCATTTTTTACCCCTCCCTATGCTTTGCCCCCATATCCAGCCAGCTGCCTCATCTGGACGGTTCTCTCTCCTCTTTCTTATCCCCCCTGTGCGGACTCTCTGCACAGATCACCAGGACTCCTGCAGTAGCCCAGCTGGAACCCCCAGCTCCAGCATGCACACCCTACTCTGCCAGTCCAACCCTCCAACACCTCCCCACTTGCAGACCAAGTTAAACCCAGACATCCTAACCACACTTTCAAGCCCTTACCAGCTCTTGTTCCAGTCTGCCTCTCCAGCCTCCTGACGGACAACTCATACTCCAAACTCAACATGAGCCTGCCCCATTGCTTGTAGCCTAAAGGAAATTCTTTTCTCATAGGAGAAGAATTTGCAAAGAAGGAATCAGAAAGGTAAACAGATGCTTACTGCAATTCCCTCTGCTGCTCTGGCCCTATCTCTGCCAAGGAAATGTCTTTCTCTCTCATACTTTTAAAAAGGAAAAATATTTGGCAGGAAAAATTAAATAAGTAAATGAACCACATAATATAAAATGACAAGAACTCACAATTGAGTGTACGTAGATACTCACAAAAAGACCAAAAACTAAAGACAAAAGAACAGGAAAACCATCCACCAGAGTCAAAAGCATCCTATATTGATACAAACAGCAAAGAATCATCTTACAATTACATCTGTCTTGTGATTGAGTTTCATGTATCAGATATTCACAAATGACTAGCATTAAAACTCAGCAAGATTTACATTATAATAGAAAAAAAAGCACTACGGTGAACTAAACAAAACTTAGAGACAAAACACAAAAACTACTTAACATAATACTGTAGTAATTTGAGAAAGAAACAATAAAAAGACTACTTTATAGACATTTATTTGATGCCTATGAATTAAACCCTATCCTGCATAATGAGGGAAGATAAAGACATAAGAATAAGGTCAATGACCTCAAATAGTATAAACACTAGCTAAACAGATGAAACAGTTCCACCAAATAAGAATAGACAAAGAAAAATATATTTTCAAGGACAAACAGTTAATTAAAAATGGAATACAAATGAGTAGCATGAGAACAGACAAAATAGATTTACTGGAGTAAGGTACACAGAAAAGGTCCACATATTTTTTGTGTGAAAGCAAAGAAAATAACAAAATGACTTTAAATTATGGAAGATCTCTACTAAAAATACACATCACCTTAGTTTTTCCTTCCTTTTCTTGCTGGTAGACACAAAAATACAATGATCTACCCCATCTCAGGTGTGTGTGTGTGTGTGTGTGTGTGTGTGTGTGTGTAGACAGATACATAGACATATATCTGCCTAACAGTATCTTCAATGCTTTCTAACCCAGCAATAATAATTAGAATCCAAGTTTCAATTATACTTACTCAGCACTTAGGAAAGACCCTGTAAGTGCTCCTCCACGGACTGGGACTCCAGCCTTTTCTGATGGAGACTGTCAACAATCCATCATCCCTGCTAATGGTGGGATGCAGTGTCACAGATAATTTAAACAGCTGTCAGAGCTGAGCAGCTCTTCAGACTTCCATATGGCTCATAAAACGCACATGGGCTCTGTGCCCTTCCCCCTCCCTAGAAAGAGTTGGGAGGAAGGATATGAAGTCAGACAAACTGGGATTCAATCCCAGCTCTATGCTTCAATATCCTCGTGTACAATATGGCTTTCCAATATCCCTTTTGTGTAGCAGAGGGGAGCAAGCACTTGGAAGTACCTAGCACAGCGCCAGATGCAGAAAAGGTATGTAGTAAATGTTGGTAACCATGCCTTTCTTCTCTTCCCTTGAGTTCCTCACCTCTCCCAGCAAGCCGTCTCCCAAATTTCGAGTTCTCCAAAGCAAAAGAGACAAAACTCCACATCAAACTCGGAATACAGAGAACTTACAGATTATCAAACACAGAAATAAGCAGACAGAGATTTTCTGACCTGCTTTCTGGATCGTCTATGGCACACACACCTGCAGGAGCACAGACTAAGCCAGCTGTAGACCCCAAACCTCAGCTGTACTACAGGAGCCATGGGGACTGGTAAGCATCTATGTGCAGAGAAAGCCTGGGTCCTCCAGCCCCAGTTAGGAGGAGCAACAATGTGCCACAGGTAGGGGACAGGTGAGGAGCAGGAGAAGAAGTGAGAGGACGCTCAGAAGCCCGAGCATAATGGCCAGACTTACGAGATGGGAGAAACTGGGCAGGTTACTTAAACTCTCTCACCTCCATCTTCTGAAGTGAGTCTGAACTCACTCTAAGGTCTCTCCCAGTATTTTATGATTTCAATATGATTCTAATGCTACATTGTAAGATTTTAAGATGTCTGTTTTTAGTATTTCTAAAATAGCATCAGAGGATGGGGCATAGTGGCTCACGCCTGTAATCCCAGCACTTTGGGAGCCCGAGTAGGGCGGATCACTTGAGGTCAGGAGTTCGAGACCAGCCTGGCCAATATGGTGAAATCCCATCTCTACTAAAACTACAAAGATTAGCCAGGCATGGTGGCGGGAGCCTGTAGTCCCAGCTACTCGGGAGGCTGATGCAGGAGAATCGCTTGAACCCGGAAGGTAGAGGGTGCAGTGAGCCAAGATCACGCCACTGCACTCCAGCCTGGGCTACAGAGTGAGACTCCGTCTCAAAAAAATAAAATAAAATAAATTTTAAAAAATAAAATAGCATCAGAAATTGCCCTGTGATTAATTCTGTAAGATACCCTATATCTTACAGAATTAGGAATTAATGGGGTTTGGTAAGTTGGTTGGTTGATTTTTGTTTTTAAACCTCACTCCACCCAACACAAAAGTAGCAAATGTGCTTTCTGTAAGACTACATTGAGTCAAAAGCTCAAAAGTGAGAAAAATCAAAATACTGTTAAGGATTATCATTCCCTTCCTGCTCTGTGGACTTACTTTTGCTCAGTGAACTCTCATAGTAAAGAACAGGATAAGAAATGTGGGCCGTACAGTACAAAATGAAATATGACAACGCAAGGGGTGGAGAAAAACAAGGTTTGAACATAAACTGTTTGTAATAAACTGGCCATAAGGAAAGATGAACTCTTTGAAATTGTAGGCTCTATTCAAACACTGTATGTTATTTATTAACTACTCCTTTTTTTCTTTCTATAAAGAAATTCAGTACAGCATCAGCTTTGATATATTTACAATACTTCTCTTGGAGGAAATCCAGAGTCTACATTTGGTCTTAAAAGAAGTTTCTTCCTACATGGAAGCTATCTCAAAAAGCCAAAACACACACTCAGAAAAGCTGAGCCTCTCGTTAACATTTTCCAAGCATACAGTAGCTACGCACCATCTGGCACCCACCAAAACCCCTCCAAAAGTATCAAAAGACTGCCAACGCCTCTCTGCATTTACAAGAATAATTCCTGAAAAAGTGTCTGTTTGCAGAAGAATTTCACTTCCAGTGATATGCTGATCAAAAGTTTACTGTCTCCCCATAAGAGAGTTGACTGGTTTTAGTGACTTGGCCAAATATCAAAATAGCTGTAATTAAATGGAATTGTGAGAGCCAGATGAGGTATAAAAACTGAGGGTGATCCCAAAGGAACTAAAATTATGCTTAGCACATGTTTAAATTATATACCAGTCACAGGGCAAACCATTGTCAGACACTCTGAGGAGAAAAATAGATCAATATGACCGAAGGAAGTGTGCATTGAGACAAGCTGTTTCATTGTTCAGAACTAAGACTGACTGAAGTGATCGTCTAAGTTTTTCAAAATAAATATCTCACACTCAGTTATTTTGCTATGATATGAAAATTGAGAAGCCACAGGATCTCAATACTGTTCATTAGGATTATAAATGGAAACAAACTCATGGAAGGCAGCAGCTATGTAGGTCAGGTCCAAGGGAGAAATTTTCTAATTCAAAAGATAAGCACAGATTAAATGATCGCCTGTCCAAAAGGTCTCCTAACCAGTGTCAATTCCATAACTACCCCTCCACTCCTGAAAGTGAGGAGTTGTAAAGACCCCTAGAGTCTTACAAATTGCATAACCGCCTGAAATATCCTAAGAATCCCTTTGGTTTGGCTTGGTTTTGGTTTTGGTTTTGGTCATTCCATGTTACAGAGGACTCACTCAACATTACCAAGGACTGAAAAGAACAGCTCCTAAATTTAATTTTTTTTTTTTTTGAGACAGAGTTTCACTCTTGTCACCAAGGCTGGAGTGCAATGGCTCGATCTCAGCTCACCACAACCTCCGCCTCCCGGGTTCAAGCGATTCTCCTGCCTCAGCCTCCCGAGTAGCTAGGATTACAGGCGCATGACACCACATTTGGCTAATTTTTGTATTTTTAGTAGAGACAGGTTTCACCATCAGGCCCAGCACTTTGGGAGGCCGAGGCGGGCGGATCACCTGAGGTCAGGAGGTCGAGACCGGCCTGGCCAACATGAGCCACCGCGCCTGGCCTAAATTTAATTTTTGTAAGCTGGGCGCAGTGGCTCATGCCTGTAATCCCAGCACTTTGGGAGGCCGAGGCGGGCGGATCACCTGAGGTTGGGAGGTACCAGCCTGACCAACATGGAGAAACCCCGTCTCTACTAAAAATAGAAAATTAGCCGGGCATGGTGGCGCATGCCTGTAATCCCAGCTACTCGGGAGGCTGAGGCAGGAGAATGGGTTGAACCCAGGAGGCACAGGCTGCAGTGAGCCGAGATCGTGCCATTGCACTCCAGCCTGGGCAACAAGAGCGAAACTCCATCTCAAAAAAATAAATAAATGAAAATTAAAATGGGTTAAATTATTTCAATTCAATTACACATACCAGCTGCACACAAAGATCACAGCCACATCAGTGTTACCCAAACCCTTTACCCCATTTCTTTTCTTACTAGAATTTCCCCAGTTCTACTAGAAATGAGCTGTGGATCTTTTATGAGCTGTTGCTACCATGAAAATCTCAAGCTAATTTATTGCCTACCTATTTATATATCCTAAACATAGCTTCTTATATCAAAAGGCACAACCTCAAAGTCATAAGTCTTCCGCTTAGATTCTTTCCACTCTCTAACAGTCTACAGTTTCAAGAGTATACAGAATCTGGCCAGCCGTGGTGGCTCACGCCTGTAGTGCTAGGACTTCGGGAGGCTGAGGCACACAAATCACTTGAGGCCAGGAATTCAAGACCAAAACCCCATCTCTACTAAAAATACAAAAATTAGCCAGGTGTGGTGGCGGGCGCCTGTAGTCCCAGCTACTCAGGAGACCGAGACACGAGAATGACTTGAACCCAGGAGGTGGAGGTTGCAGTGAGCCGAGATTGCACCACTGCATTCCAGCCTGGGTGACAGAGTGAGACTCAGCCTGGAAAAAGAGAAAAAAAAAAGAGTATACAGAATCAGAGAAAGCTATGGGTGCGAGGGACCTTAGAAATCCTCTCTTCCACTGGATTCACAACTGTATTAGGTCCTTCAGAGGGGCCCAAGGGGCCTTCTGTCCCTTACAACTGCGTAATTAATATAATTTCCATTTCATCCCTTTTGTATATTATATATTTGGGTCTTGGTTTCACGTAAGTCGTAGTTTGGAACAAAGGATTCCTCTGATTTTCAAGAAAATCACTAATACTGCCTGGACCAAGAGGTATATACAAACCCAGACCCTGAGAAGCTGAATGACGTCTACGGATCCACATCTCCACTCAGTATAGACCAACACTGAGCCTCCAGAACACAGTCTCTCCAAATGCGGCCCCAGATCAGCCACAGTGGCAGCATCACCTAGAAACATCATAGAGATGCAAATTATCAGGCCGAACTCAGATCTTCTGAGTCAGGGCCAGGCATGGTGGCTCACACCTGTAATCCTAGAACTTTGGGAGGCCAAGCCAGGCAGACCACCTGAGTTCAGGAGTTCAAGACCAGACTGGGCAACATGGTGAAGCTCTATCTCTACTAAAAATACAAAACCTAGCCAGGCATGGTGGCTCACGGCTGTAGTCTCAGCTACTCAGAAGGCTGAGGTGCAAGAATCGCCCGAACCCTGGAGGTGGAGGCTGCAGTGAGCCAAGATTGTACCACTACACTCCAGCCTCGGTGACAGAGCGAGACCCTGCCTCAAAAAAAAAAAAAAAAAAAAAAAAAAAAGATCTTCTGAGTCAGAAACAGAGGACAGGACCCAGAGATTTATGCGTTAGCAAGCCCTCCAGGTGATTCTGATGCCCTGAAGTTTGAGAACCTCTGTTCTGGAACAATACCTAATGTGCTTTCCATTATGCTCTTCCTCTCCTATTTCAATCCTACAACTCCAAGGCAGTACATGCTAAGCAACTGCCCCAAAACACTGAACCTAACTACAGATTCACCCACTGAAAACACAAACACATCACAGTAAGGTTTCCAAACACTGCTACAGTACAGTCAGCGCATTTTTCTTTTCTCACAATACAAACATCCACATCCAAAAGGGTCAAATAAAAGTTTGAGTTTCAAGGAATAATTCAAGAGAGTGGAATATACGTACATTCCAGACACTGAGCCTCAGAAGAACTGAGTGATGCTGAGAAATTTACTTCCAGCTTCTCTGGGCACACTGCCTGCGGGGTAGCCCTGCTCTGCAAGGAGCAGGTTAAAAAAAAAAAAATTATTTCCAGAAAAGGAAGGTCCCTTAGACTATCAGTGACCACCAGTGAGTACCAAAGAGACAAAACTTGGCAATATTACTAAATGGAGACAGCTCCTTCCAGGAAAACCTGGTTCAGAGACCTGGAAATGAGTAGGAAAGTGACTGTGTTTCACCCCTAGCCTGAGGCAATTGATTTCTCTGTGCCTTATATTTCTTGAGGTTTGAGGTATATGTTCGTCATGTGCACAGGTGATTTTGCTGACTTTCTGCGTAATATATACATAAGAGGCACTATCCGGACTAACCACTAACTGTAAGCCACATCTCAGTGTCATGCTATTTTAGCAAATTTTAAGAATGCCAAATGAGAAATTACAACAAACACAGTTTTCAAGTGTGTCATATTATCATCTATCACACACAGAAATATAAATGTACTTTTATATCTTGAAATTATTCAAGAATTTTCAATGCACTCTATAAATGTTTAGAGATTTTCCTTTAGACAATGGAAAAAGCCATATGATGTATTATTTAAGGTCGACAATTACATATGTACGTGTCCACATATTTCGGAACAACCCACTTGTTGGTTTGCCGAAAATTCCAACTGTTGGCTGCCAACTCTGTACACTCCACGCCTTAGTGAATTTTCTAATGTGATTTATCAAGCTATCAAAATTTAGCTTCAGTGACAGACAGCTTTTCAGAAAATGCCACGCTGCAGTGACATTCTCTTCTCGACACACACCAAGACTCCTGCAATGGCAACCATCCGACGGGCTCAATTTCCTCACACGTTTAGACTAATGGCCAGGGTGAAACTGATGACAGTCTGACTTAGTGACATCCCCAGATTTTTTAAGACAGGTCATTTTAAAATTCCAATTACATGGTAAACTGAAATAGAACTAAGCAAAGTCCTGCCTGTTGGTATCCCTCAGGAAATGGCCTTTATTGAAGAGACAGAAATGCTTTCTCACTAATATTCATTACAAAATGATGTTTTTAAGTAACCTGACATTTTACCTAATCGTTTTCACTGTCAGTATGCTTATAACTAATATATTCAACAAACCTCTTCTTTAGAAACCAGATGTTTTCCTTAAAAATTTCCTTAAGAATGGCGTGAACCCGGGAGGCGGAGCTTGCAGTGAGCCGAGATTGTGCCACTGTACTCCAGCCTGGGCGACAGAGCGAGACTCCCTCTCAAAAAAAAAAAAAGAAAGAAAGAAAGAAAAAGAAAAATGGTTCCTGTCAAACCATGGATCACCCTGAAATAAGAAAACCTGTGCTGCATTTATATGTGACTGGCCTACAAATCTCTTGCCCATCTCTGGCAAGTTAACTAACATGGTTAGATCCTCACAATCCTATGCAAGCCTATGCAAAGGGGCATCATGCAGGGAAAAGAGACGGGAAGAGAGACCTTGACTCCACTCCCCCACACCCTCCACACACTGAATGCCCTACAAGCGCAAGTCTTACTTTATTTAGGGCAGTTTCTCAAAGTACGATCAAAAAGCCAGTAGCAGACCAGCCGCAGTGGCTTACACCTGTAATCCTAGTAGACCAGCCTGAGCAACATGGCAAGACCCTTTCTCCACAAAAAATACAAAAATTGGCCGGGCACAGTGGCTCATGCCTGTAATCCCAACACTTTGGGAGGCCAAGGCAAGTGGATCACTTGAGGTCAAGAGTTTGAGGCCAGCCTGGCCAACATGGTGAAACCTCATCTCTACTAAAAATACAAAAAAATTAGCTGGGTGTGGTGGTGGGCACTTGTAATCCCAGCTACTCAGGAGGCTGAGGCAGGAGAATCGCTTGAACCCGGGAGGTGGAGGTTGTGGTGAGCCGAGATCACGCCACTGCACTCCAGCCTGGGCAACAGAGTAACACTGTGTCTTTTTTTTTTCTTTTTTTTTTTTTTTGGTGGGGGGAGGTGGGGGAGACAGTCTCTAAAAATGTCGCCCAGGCTGATGTGCAATGGCACAATCTCAGCTCACTGCAACCTCCGCCTCCAGGGTTCAAGAGATTCTCCCACCTCAGCCTCCTGTGTATTTGGGATTACAGGCATGCGCCACCACACCCGGTAATTTTTGTATTTTGAGTAGAGACAGGGTTTCACCATGTTGGCTAGGCTGGTCTCGAACTCCTGACCTTGTGATCCACCCACCTCAGCCTCCCAAAGTGCTAGGATTACAGGCATGAGCCACCATGCCCGATCGAGACTCCGATTTGAAAAAAAAAAGTGCCTTGAGCCCTGGGTGTTACTGCAGCTCTGCCACAGGACTTATGTCCTCTGCTGCCCTGATTATAAACATCTTCTTTACTTGTTTGTCCCTACCACTAGAGTGTGGGCAGCATTAGAGTGTATCTGGTTCCCCACTGACCTCAACGTCAGGGACTTGGTAGGCACTCGGTCACTGATCACCAGCTCTGCCGTGGGTCGGCCTCCCATCTGTAAAACTAATCAGGCAGCACTGCCTCCAGGACCCCGGGGGGCTACACGTGGGAGCCTCCCTGCCCTCTACTCCTCGAGGCTCGAGGACCCAGAGGCAGGCGGCTCGATCCAAGAACTAGTCAGTCAGTGGCTCCTCCTTACCCACCCTTTTCTCCAGTGACTTTTTCAAATGATTCAAATTCCTTGAAAGTAAAGAATCTGGCCAGGTGCAGTGGCTCACGCCTGTGATGCCAGCACTTTGGGATGCCGAGGCAGGCAGATCACCTGAGGTCGGGAGTTCAAGACCAGCCTGACCAACATGGTGAAACCCCATTTCTACTAAAAATAGAAAAATTAGCTGGGCGTGGTGGCAGGCGCCTGCAATCCCTCAGGAGGCTGAGGCAGGAGAATCACTTGAACTCGGGAGGCAGAGGTTGCAGTGAGCCGAGATTACACCATTGCACTCCAGCCTAGGCAACAAGAGCAAAACTCCATCTCAAAAAAAAAAAAAAAAGTAAAGAATTCTCACAGTGCCAGGTGAGGTGGCTCACCCCTGTAATCCCAGCACTTTGAGAGGCCAAGGTGGGTGGATCACTTGAGGTCAGAAGTTCAAGACCAGCCTGGCCAACATGGTGAAACCCCGTCTCTAGTAAAAATACAAAAATTAGCCAGGCATGGTGGTGCACACCTGTAGTCCTAGCTACTCAGGAGGCTGAGGCAAGAGGATTGCTTTAACCTAGGAGGTGGAGGTTGCAGTGAGCCGAGATCGTGCCACTGTACTCCAGCCTGGGCAATAGAGCTAGACTCCATCTCAAAAATAAAAAATAAAAAACAAAAACAAAAACAAAAAACTCTCTCAGGGTCTCTCCAAGATTCCTGGCCCTCTGGCATAGCCTGTACTCAGGATGCCTGGCCTGCTTCCAGACGGAATTCCTCATTTTTATTGTGGAAAGACAGGCAGGCCTCCAGGGTGGAGGTGAAAGGGGAAATGAGGGACAAGCTGCTGATGAGCTACTCCTCCCTCCTCAGGCTGCCAGGCTAATTGGAGAGAGCCTTGCCTTGGGCAACCTGACCTCCATTACCATCCTCCAAGCCTTCTACTCTGGTGCAACTGACCATCCACTGGCTCATCATGGGTTACTCCATGACTGCCTTCTGCCTCTTCACATGGGGCAAATGGCTTAAGGTAAGTGAAGGCCTGCCTGGGAAGCTGAGAGGGACTCACTGCAAACTCTGGCAGTGAGGGATGCTCCAGACTGTGTGCCCACCTCAGCGACCTCTCCCCACTCTATAAATCCATCTTGGGCACATCTTCTTTTGGAGCCTACTATATTTACAAAGCAATGGTACCAAAGAAAGAGGAGTTAAAGGTGATGCAATAGTCTATTCGCCTGGTAAGTAAATGTCCTACAGCTAAGCTCAAAATACCAGGTTACATAACAGAGTAACAGACTTGGAAAAAAAGATGGTATTAAGAGGCCGGGCGCAGTGGCTCATGCCTATAATCCCAGCACTTTGGGAGACCGAGGCGGGCAGATCACAAGGTCAGGAGATTGAGGCCATCCTCGCTAACACGGTGAAACCCCGTCTCTACTAAAAGTACAAAAAATGAGCTGGGCGTAGTGGCGGGCGCCTGTAACAAGTCCCAGCTACTCGGGAGGCTGAGGCAGGAGAATCGCGTGAACCCAGGAGGTGGGGGTTGCAGTGAGCCAAGATCATGTCACTGCACTCCAGCCTGGGTGACAGAGCAAGACTCCATCTAAAACAAACAAAAACAGAAAGATGGTATTGGAAATTTGGGGTGAACTCCAAGGATTAGCCTGGCTACTACATACAGAGTATGGGCCTTGACTACTCTGACTTACTGAGGCACACTAGGAAGACTCTGGAAAGACTACAGACCAGGAGCTAGAAGTGACTCTGACCAGCCTTCCAATCAAACATCTTGTCTTGCAGGTAGCCTACAGCAGGACTGGTGCAGAAATTACTCATCACAGCTAGGCACGGTGGCTCATGCCTGTAATCCCAGTACTTTCGGAGGCCGAGGCAGGCAGATCACCTGAGGTCAGGAGTTCAGGACAGCCTGGCCAACAGGGCAAAACCCCATCTCTACTAAAAATACAAAAAGCAAAGGCACTGATAAAAGTCACATAAGTGCAAAACATCTCACACAACAGACTCAACAGAATGCACTTTTCTGGGGGGAGTTGGGAGAGATGGAGTCTCGCTCCGTCAATCTTGGCTCACTGCAACCTCCATCTCCCAGGTTCAGGTGATTCTCCCTGCCTCAGCCTCCTGAGTAGCTGGGAGTACAGGCAGCTGCCACTACACCCAGCTAATTTTTGTATTTTTAGTATAGACAGGGTTTCACCATGTTGGCCTCCTCCCTGCCCCACCGTGGCAGCTGCGGTGGTAGCAGCACATACACAATCACAGTAAATTGGCAGAGGAAACACACAACCGATTCCTGGCTAGAGGGGGAGAGATAAGGCAGTGTGCATGGGGGAGCCGAGAGGGGAGATGTGGGCCCCTCTGCTCCTCCCACAAGAGTGTCCCCTTTGGCCCCGGTGGAGACTTGGCCCACAGCTGAGGCACAGCTGGGAGCGTCGAGTCTTCCACCTCTCTGACTTTTCTGTTCTCTGGGGCCAGGGAGGCTGTGAAAATGGGGACAAGTAATTTCTTTTCTTTTTTGAGACAGAGTCTCACTCTGTTGCCTAGGCTGAAGTGCAGTGGTGTGATCTCGGCTCACTGCAACCTCTGCCTCCCGGGTTCAAGTAATTCTTGTGCCTCAGCCTCTTGGGTAGCTTGGATTACAGGCGTGCACCACTACACCTGGCTCCCTCAAATGTTTAGGTGACCTGCCAAATGGGTAAAAGGTATATTCCACAACAGAATCTAGAGCTGTTAATATCCAATACAATAACCTTGCCACAATTCCACGCTTCGGAAAAAAACGGATCAACCTTTATGTATTTTAACTTTCAGCACTTTGTTATTGATAAAGTCCATTTAGAGAGTCAAATATTTGGCAAAGGGTCTCTCAATCTCATAATCATATTATAATACTTTTAAAAACAATTTCAATGAACACTTCACACATTCTGTCAACCACCATTTAAGAGTGTTCACTAAAGCACCAGGCTGGATATAAAAGTGGTACAAAAATAAAACAAGCATGGCTGGGCTCAGTGGCTCACACCTATAATCCCAACACTTTGGGAGGCCAAGGAGGGCAGATCACCTGAGGTCAAGAGTTCGAGACTAGCCTGGTCAACATGGTGAAACCCTGTCTCTACTAAAAAAAAAACACACACACACAAAACTTAGCTGGATGTGGTGGTGGGTGCCTGTAATCCCAACTACTTGGGAAGCTAAGCCAGGAGAACTGCTCGAACCCTGGAGGCAGAGTTCGCAGTGAGCTGAGATCATACCACTGCACTCCAGCCTGAGCAACAGAACGAAACTCCGTGTCAAAAATAAATAAATAAATAAATAAAACAAGCAAAGCACTCCCTGTGTGATGGAGAAGTCATCAAGAATTAAATATTATATGATGAATGCAACAATTGATATAGACACAAGTACCTAAGAAGCAACTCAGATGGAAGGCTTTTCTGGGTCTCCGTGGATGACTGGGGGTTAACCAGACAGGGAATAATGCAAGGAAAAAAATGACAGAAAGAAATAGAAAACACTTAGTGAACTTTCTCATTTCGTCAGGCCAGGTTCTAAGCATATTATGCTAATTTTATTTTATTTTGAGACGAGGTCTTGCTCTGTCACCCAGGCTGGAGTACAGTGGCGTGATCATGGCTCACTGTTGCCTCGACCTCCTGGGTTCAAACAATCCTCCCATCTCAGCCTCCTTAGTAGCTGGGACTACAGGCATATGCCACTATGCCCAGCTAATTTTTGTATTTTTTTTACAGAGACAGGGTCTTACTATGTTGCCTAGGCTGGTCTCAAATACTTGGCCTCAAGTGATCATCCCGCCTCAGCCGACCAAAGTGCTGGGATTATGGGCGTGAGCCACTACACCCAGCTGTATTATGTTAATTCATTAATTTCTCAATCCTCAAAACAATATTCTAAGAAGGCGCTGCTGTCATCCTTCTTTTAGAGATGAAAATCTTAAGGCACAGAATGCTCTTTACTAGACAACAACAATATAATTTTTTTGAATTTTAAAATAACACAAAATATTGCACTAAAATTCATCACTATATTTTAAAAGCAATGAGAATCCTTCACTTTCACCAGCATAAGGAAAGATTTGCAAGCTTATTTATTAAGCCATTTCCCAAACTACTGACAAAAGAAGCTTCAAAATTCGAGTTTTACATACTGTTCCCAATGCAAAGAAATCACTTAGTAATGGGAACTCATGAAGAACTATGTCCAAAAGGCACATTCAGAAACCTAACCATGAATTTAAAAGAAAGCTTGTAATCCAACACCATGAAAACACAATGAACACTGTAGTCCAGATTCTGTTACTCAATCTACAAACCTCATAAATGAAAACAAAGCAGACCAATTTCCAGCTCGATGGAATGCCTGGAGAGGAGTGGGCCAGGGCCCAGGCCATGTAACATCCAGGAGAGGAAATACATTATACGCTTCTGGCAGGGAACCTTCTCAGGGCACCAGCCTATGTCTGCTGGCGGTAACCATCCGTGGGCATTTTTTTTTCCTTAATGTTATGAAAAAACATTTCACAAAAAATAAAAGCTTTCAAATGCTAGATGATTTTTATTAAGATCCTTTATTTGTTTACAATTAAGGGCATGCTAACCATTGGGTCAGGATAGAAGAGTGGAAGGATCATGTGGTCAGACAGACCTGGATTCAAATCTCAGCTGTGCAATTTCAAACTACGTGAACTTGGGTAAAGGATCCCACAGGTCTCCAACCTTCTCCTTCTAGGTTGTCATATGGGTGAGCAGCCTGGGTGTCATCCTTTACTGGATGTGATTCTCCCTGCCCTCCATTTTCTCAGTCACCAAGTCCACTGCACTTCCTTTATATTTCTGGAATCTTCTTCCATGTCTGTCCCCACTATTCTACTGCCACCACCTTTGATGATCTACACTGTTACCACTGACTTTCTTTCTTCCAGGCTTGCTTCCCTAAATCTACTCACAACAATCTAAAAAGAAACTGGTTTCTTTTTTTGTTTGTTTGTTTGAGATGGGGTCTCGCTCTGTCGCCCAGGCTGGAGTGCAGTGACGCAATCCTGGTTTACTGCAACCTCCACCTCTCGGATTCAAGCAATTCTCGTGCCCCAACCTCCCGAGTAGCTCGGACTACAGATGTGCACCACCACACCCAGCTAATTTTTGTATTTTTAGTAGAGACAGGGTTTCACCATGTTGGCCAGGCTGGTCTTGAACTCCCAACCTCAAGTGATCCCCAGCGTCGGCCTCCCAGAGTACTGGGATTATAGGCGTAAGCCAAGGTGCCTGAACGGAACTGGTTTCAAATGCAAATCTGACCTATCACTCCTCCACCTAAAACTTAAGGAATTTGCTTTTGTGTCACTTAATGTCACTTACTGTTCTCTACTTAAAGTAAGTTCTCTTACTGACCATCGTGTTGAGAGCGTAACAGTTTTTTGGATGCTTTTTTTTTTTTTTTTTTTGCAACAGTTTCCCTCTTGTTGCCCAGGCTGGAGTGCAATGGCGCAATCTCAGCTCACCACAACCTCTGCCTCCCGGGTTCAAGTGATTCTCCTGCTTCAGTTTCCCAAGTAGCTGGGATTACAGGCATGTGCCACCACGCCCACTAATTTTTGTATTTTTAGTAAAGACGGGGTTTCTCCATGTTGGTCAGCTGGTCTTGAACTCCCGACCTCAGGTGATCCGCCCCTTGGCCTCCCAAAGTGCTGGGATTATAGGCGTGAGCCACCGCACCCAGCCCAGCTTAACAGTTCTTAACACATCATAGGGGGCTCACTCGATACATGTTTAACATTGAGGGAGTTGTTTAAGCATGAATTTCTTCCTTATTCCACAAAAGTCTACTTTTTTTAAATTCAGAGGAATAAATGAGATGATGTATGCACAGGCCAAGTAGTCACTGCCACAGCTTCTAACTCCTCTTACTGTTCATTGTTCCAAAGTTTGCAAAGTGCTTTCATGCACTTCAGCTCATTTGATCTTTGTAACAACTCTAAGATTTAAGGAGTTACAAGAGGTTGGGCGCGGTGGCTCACACCTGTAATCCCAGCACTTTGGGAGGCCGAGGCGGGCGGATCACAAGGTCAGGAGTTCAAGACCAACCTGACCAACATGGAGAAACCCCGTCTGTACTAAAAATGCAAAAATTAGCTGGGCATGGTGGCACGTACCTGTAATCCCAGCTACTCGGGAGGCTGAGGCAGGAGAATTGCTTGAACCAGGACCCGGGAGGCAGAAGTTGCAGTGAGCCAAGATGGCACCACAGCACTCCAGCCTGGGCTACAGAGTGAGACTCCGTCTCAAAAAAAAATAAAAAAAGAAGTTACAAGAAACTGAGGCCGGTGACATTTATGGTCTGCAGAAGCAAAGCTAGTTTTCAGACAAACTTAGTGATTCCAAATCCTGAGCTTTTTCATTACGCTTTTCTGTTAGGAGTTCTAACTTCTCCTATAGAAAATAATAAAGAAATAAAAATTATTTTTCCTGGCCAGGAGCGGTGGCTCACGCCTGTAATCCCAGCACTTTGGGAGTCCGAGGCAGGTGGATCACCTGAGGTCAGGAGTTCGAGACCAGCCTGGCCAACATGGCAAAACCCCATCTCTACTAAAAATACAAAAATTAGCCAGGTGTGGTGGTGGGTGCAATCCCAGCTACTCGGGAGGCTGAGGCAGGAGAATCGCTTGAACTCAGGAGATGGAGGTTGCAGTGAGCTGAGATCGCCACTGCACTCCAACCTGGGTGACAGAGCGAGACTCTGTCTCAAAAAAATTAATTAATTAATTAATTAATTTTCCTATAGCATATCAAATGTCTTTGAATATATAATAGAGATGCCCATCTTTCCCATAAAGTTTAACCAATACTTTTTATGGCATTTAAGAAATACAAACACATGGGCCAAATTCCACTCCAAATGGACTTTGCATCATTTCTTATCAATTACTTTAAATAAGGAAGTTGTCATCGGGTTTGTTCATTCATTCCTCCATTCAGCAAATATTTATCACATGCCTACTTTACCCAGGGCATTGTGTTTGGCACTGAAAATCTTTTCTTTCCCTGAGATCTTAAAATTAAGCCTATACTTTCAAGATTTCCCAAGTGAGGCCAATGATGGAATATACAGAAGGCTGTTCTTATAGGTACTTGAATATGAAGTCGAAGCCAGGAAATCTGAAAGCTCGTCCTGGCTATGCCTCTACACAAGCTCAGTGACCCTGGATAAGTTCCTGGGACTCAGTTTCCTTACCCATAAAATGGGAGAATTGATCCATATTATCCTTAAAGTTATTCCAATGTTATGAATTCTAGAGATTCCAAGATTCCATATAACTAGCAAACACTTTTGACATCTACAAGTATATAATTTTATATCACAATCTTATAAATGCTTGCATGATAATTCACATATTGATTGTAGCTTGAAAAATGCCACCAGATCACCCCACAAATTGTTAATTTTTAACTACATACAAAATTTGGAGCATTTTTACAACTCTTGCAGCCAATTCAGCTTGCAAATGGCCCCTTCCCAATGAAAACTGCATTTTTCATGCATAAAACTGTGATATTAAATACTGATCTCATTGGAGATCCTAAATAAATCAGACTCAAACCCTTCTTACTTTCTTAGTTTAATTCTGTGACATCTCACTTTAGGATGGCTTAAATTCTTATATACAAAACGGCACTCCAATGCAATTTATTAGCACATGTTTATGCGAGCAAAGCTCTTTAGGGCCTTACTTGCAAGTTTCTTGCCCCCTTATCTCTCTTAGCAAATCACGATTAGACACGTAAACCTGAGTGGCTAGAAAAGTCATCAGCTGACAAAGCACCACATGTTGACACAAATCCCTGACGCCCACCCATGAATTCACACTCGCAGATTCTTCCCTGTAATCAAGGAGAAGACATCTGTCTAAGCATCATTTGAACAGCCCAGACATAAGATAAAGCAAACTGAAGCAGATTTCTGTATACTGACTTATACAAAAAAAATCTGCCCCCAAACTCTTACTTCTTTCTAGAGTTCGTGAGAAGTAATCTTTTCTGGCCGGACACGGTGGCTCATGCCTACAATCCCAGCACTTTGGGAGGCTGAGGAGGGTGGATCACTTGAGCTCAGGTGTTTGAGACCAGCCTGGGCAACATGGCGAAACCCCCTCTCTACAAAATGTTTTTAATTAGCCAGGTGTGGTGGCACGCGTCTGTAGTCCAGCTACTTGGAAGGCAGAGAAGGAAGATCAATTGAGCTGGGGAGGCTGAGGCTGCGGTGAGCTGAGATCATATCACTGCACTCCAGCCTGGTCAACAAAGGGAGATCCTGTCTCAAAAAAAAAAAAAAAAAAAAAAAAAAAAATCCATTCTTTCTTCACTCGTTCACGGAACCTAGGAACCTTAACTGAGCTCCTATTACATCAGTTGAAGTGATGGATGCTAAGTACAGTAGTGGGGATAGGCTTAGGGTCACTACTAACCCATACTGTACTTTTGGTTAAATTGCCAAATGTATCCTCTCCAATGGAGAGGAGCGCACTAGAGGCTTGGCAAGTGGAGTGTGAATCGGATTTCAGCCTCCAATTGCCTGTTGGACAAGATGACCTTGTGTAGTGAACAGCCTGAACAACTGTGCAAGGTGGCAGTGCCAGAGGTATATACAAAAATGTGTTCTAGTAGAAGCACTGACTACTGGAGGAGGAGGAGCTTAACTTCGCCTACGGATAAGGAAGAAAAGCTTCCTAGAGAAGGTATTTGACTGACACATTAAGAATGCGTGGGTAATTGACAGATGGGCAAGAGGAGTAAGAACAGTGTAAGCAGAATTTCATTCATTCCAAACAATGGTCTGGAAATAACAACTTCTGAGTAGCTTGGTGTGTCTAGAGCAGGCAGTGTGCAAGCGGGGGAGAGCCAGGAGGCCTGGGGAAAGTCAGTAGATGGAACTGGAAAGGCAGGCAGGTGCCACATTATGAAGCATCTTAGTATGGTATGTGAAGGTGTTGAAAGCTGATTCTGAGGTCATTAGGGGCGTGTTTTGCCACAGTAAATAATAAACTCTTCTTCAGTTATACCTTGCCATGTTCTTTTACATTTACCCAACACAAAAACCTCTGACACCCTAAAGCAACAAGTTTTATTTTCCTATAAAGTGAGCAGGTAAAATCCGGTGGAACAAAAGTTTGCTTACAAAACTGCACCAATCATGATACTATATTTTTAAAACATAACAATCTTAAGCACATCAGGAAATACTTCTAAGAGTGTATACACACAAGTTCTACTGGTTAAGCCCAAATTATAAAACCATGGACACTTTTTTATCCAGAGCCTAGGACTGAAACATTTATAGCATATGATCCGCACCTGTACGAAACTTGGTAAGATTTTAGAGACACTCTGGCTTAAATCTATTGGAAAGAGAACTGGAGATAGCCGGTGTTGTCTGTTAAAATAAGGTGGTCAGCATCATTTGGGGAGCAAAAGGTAGAATGTGTGAATAACCATGAGAAGAGAATCCCAGGCCCTTCATCGCATAGTAAATAAAGGTCTCACCATTACCCAAGGAGGCTGAGGAGTGTCACCAAGTGGCCTCTTGCCTGAATTCTGCAGAGAAAAGCAGGAAAACCTCCCCCTGAATGAAATTATCTTTGGAATCAAGCAGCCTTCTCCCTCTTTAAATAAAGTTAACCTATTTGTCTATTTTAAAAAAACGGCATGCAAGCTCATCAATATTAAATTTCGCCGCTCCTTAAAGATAGAAATACCTCGTGCAATGTTACTCCCAGACCTTTCCAGCGGCTGTCAGCAACGAATGGCTGGAAGAATGGACTCTTTTCTTTCTGAACTGTTTTTGGTAAATAGGATCCATTAGGGGCACAACGTGTCGGCTTTCACAGAAACTTGGCACCTCAGCCCCCCCAGGAGCCGCGCCCGTCCGGGATGGCTCCCGCGCTCGGAAAGGCCGGAGGGGCTGAGCAGGGACCGCACGGTCTACACTCGCTGAGCCGACCGCCTGGGATCCTGCTTCGCCGCAGCGCCTTTCTGAGGCTCCGAGGTCGCCGGGCGGGCGTGGGCGCAGCGGGCGCTCCCCTCCGGGCACCCACGGCTCGGCTTTGGGCGAGAACCTCGGTATCAGGAGGCCGGGGCGCCGCCTCCTCCCATCCGGGATGGGACCGGGGCTGAAAGTGGGTCCTGGCGTGTCGCGCAGCGCGAGGGGACCAGGGGACCTAGTTTCAGAGCCTTCTGGAAAGTGCTTCGTCCCCCGTGCCAGGCTGTGCCCGGACGCTGCCGCCCTCCGGGGAGAGGGTGCCAGGCCGCGCCCCGCAGCCGCGACCTTCCGCGGGACTCCCAGGAAAGCGGGGGCAGAGAGGGGCGGCCAACAAAGGGGAAGGGAGGGGACCGCCGGCCGCGCGCCGCCCCGCCCGCAGGGGACCTGGAGCCGCCGCCAACCAGCGCGGGTCGTCGCCCTCCTGCGCCCTCACCCGGGCGCCCCTTACCTCGGGTCGCGCGCCGGGCTCGGTGGGGCCGGTCGCGCGCCGCCCTCCGCTACCCTCGGCGCGTGGCCCTCGCGGGAACGCCGGGAGGAGTTGGAGAAGTTCTGGGGGTCACTTTGTTCTCCACTTGGACGCGCGCTGTGCGCCTGCGGCGGCCGCGGCCACAGTTACGGTTACCGCTGCCCCAGCCCCGCGCGCAGCGCCTGCCAGGCCCGAGCCGCGACCGCACCTCCCGCCCCGCCCCGCCCCGGACACGCCCCAGCCCCGCCCAGCGTCAGGCCCAGGACCCCCGCGCCAGCTCCCGGCTGGTCCCGGACCATGTCCCTCGCGCTTTCTTTGGAACAACACAAATAAAACAATTCAAGAAACATCGAGCACGCGCTCACTGTGAGCTGGGGGCTCTGCCCGCTACCGGGGATGCGATGCGCCAGTGCGACCCCGTCCCTTCCCCAAGGAATTTAAAGACGGCTCTTCCCGGGTCCCACCGAGGAAAGGCACGCAAAACTGAGGTCAGCGGCCGCAGAGACTTTCCATCTCCTTCCCCTTCTGAGAGGAGATGGCTTCGCAGCGGAGATGGCAATCGAGTCGGCACTCCAAGACCCAGTCGAATTGGGACTTTCCAGGTGGAGAAGCTGCGATTTTTATTATTATTTTTTCAGACTGAGTTTCGCTCTTGTTGCCCAGGCTGGAGTGCAATGGCGTGATCTCGGCTCACCGCAACCTCCGCCTCCTGGGTTGAAGCGATTCTCCTGCCTCAGCCTCCCGAGTAGCTGGGACTACAGGCACGCGCCACCACGCCCGGCTAATTTTGTATTTTTAGTAGAGATGGGGGTTTCATCATGTTAGTCAGGCTGGTCTCGAACTCCCGACCTCAGGTGATCCACCCGCCTCGGCCTCCCAAAGTGCTGGGCTTACAGGCGTGAGCCACCGCACTGGGCCAAAGCTGCGATTTTTATTAGAAAAGCCTGAGTGGCCCAGTGGGCCCAGATGCTGGGAAGGGCGAGGGAGCTAAGGAGACCCAGGAATGAAAGCTGCCTGGAATCACTCTCCTCGCCTTGAAAAAGGCTGCACCCTGGAGAGGAGAGGGAAGGGAAGGTAGATGCAGGCCATGTGTTAGGGTGGGTCCTACGAGAAGCAGCGCCCACTCAGGACTAGATGCGGAGGGTTTTCTTGGGGGAAATGGCCGTGGAACTAAATGAGGAGGGAGCCGTGAGAGCTGGAGAGGGCCGGACCTTCTGCAAATCAGAGCCCAAGTGAAGGAGGGAGGGAAGCACCCATCCCGGCCTCCCTGCAGTCTAAGAAAAGCTCAGCAAGATCATCCGTGAGCCCTTCAGCCAAAATTACGCATCATGGGGATCCCGATTCTCCCCGGAACCTGCCTGCCTTCGTGTCCATGCCGCCACCAGTCCTTGGCTGGGAGCGGCCAGGTGGGAAGGGTGGCGTTGGGCACAATCCCAGTGCTGGAGTTCAGAGCACAGCAGCCAGGGCCCTGGTCAGTTAGGTGCAGTGCGTGAATACGACCCAGTCTCCGTAACGGGAGATCCGTGGAGAACTGTGAGTCAAAAAGACAAATGAAATCAGCTTTCCCACAACACACCCAGTATCAAAAGGAAGCCTCCAGGCTTTGCGGGGATCGGACAGACCTGCTCTCCACCCTCAACCACCACAGGCTCTGTACACACCGAACTAGTAGTGACTGGCCCCTCCCACTCTGTAGGCCCTCCCCTGGTCTTGTCTGCATCTTTGCGCACTTGGCTCTGCCTAGGAAAATATCTTCCCACTCCACTCACTCTTCCATGCTCAATTCAAGCATCACCTCCAAAGACCTTTTCTTCCTTGACATTTATTTACTGTTTTGTGGGTGGGGTGGGGGGGGGCGGTGCTTGCTTTGTTTTGAGATGGAGTCTGTCTCTGTCGCCCAGGCTGGAGTGCAGCGGCACGATCTCAGCTCGCTCAACCTCCACCTCCCGGGTTCAAGTGATCCTGCCTCAGCCTCCCAAGTAGCTGGGACTACAGGCATGCACCGCCACACCCAGATAATTTCTGTACTGTTAGTAGACACGGAGTTTCACCATGTTGGCCAGGCTGGTCTCGAACCCCTGACCTCTAGTGATCTGCCCACAGCCTCCCAAAGTGTTGGGATTAGGGTGTGAGCCATGGCGCCCGGCCAACACTTATTTACTTCTTACTTCTGACTCACACCTACCACACTGAGACGGGGGGTGGGGGGGTGCTGGTATGTGTTTATTTTTCTTGCTTCTTTTATTGCATTTTTCGCACTATTTTAAAATATTTTTCTGATTATAAAAGTAACATGTTTGTTGTACAAACTTGAAAAAATATATAGAACCCAGATGGCTCTAATTCCTCTCCTCTTGTGAGACACCATCCCTTGACAGCCAAGTAACCAGAGTCTGAGCTCCCATACCACCCACGTGTGTACATATGGGTCCAACCAAGAGAGAGGCTACACAATGATTTCAACAGTGAAAGTTTAATACAAAGAATTATTAACTATAACGGGACTTGGAGTAGTGGGGGATTGACTAGGTTAGTAAGAAAGACAAAAGAAAATGGGAAGAGCAGGCCAGGCGCAGTGGCTCATGCCTGTAATCCCAGCATTTTGGGAGGCCGAGGCGGGCAGATCACCTGAGGTCGGGAGTTAGAGACCAGCCTGACCAACATGGAGAAACCCTGTCTCTACCAAAAATACAAAATTAGCCGGGGATAGTGGCATATGCCTGTAATCCCAGCTACTTGGGAGGCTGAGGCAGGAGATTCGCTTGAACCCGGGAGGTGGAGGTTGCGGTGAGCCAAGGTCACGCCATTGCATTCCAATAGGGAAACTCCGTCGCAAAAAAAAAAAAAAAAAAGAAAAGAAAAGAAAATAGGAACAGCAGATGGAAGGACTGAAGGAGCAGTCATTGCCCCAGGGCTGAGAGAGTGCACCCAAGGGAAGCTTCTCCTTCCCCTGGGGTTGAGACCCAGACCCTGTTGGGGAGGGCACAGCTATGGTTCACTAAATGGCAGAGAGGTCACTGAGGTGTCTTCCAGTGGAACTTGCTGGTAATCCAACCTTTAGAACTTGCTGGATATCTACCCTTTAGAGTATGAAGAAAGCTGTTCACAGGGAGGCGTCTCATGGAGGCTTTTCACTACAAATGCACCTACAAAAGCAGGGTTCTGGAAGAAACAGGTGGCTTCTGGATGCTCCCAGAGAAGCCTCCCAAGCTGCAGGAGCCTGCTGAGCAGAAGCTTGGCAACCCGGAGGCAAAGCTCTGTCCTCCTGCAGTGTCTCTCCCATGCCCCATGTCCACTATGCTTAACAACAAGCCAGCTGGCAAAGGCAGTTGTTTAAAAGGTCTAGATCTGGCTGGGTGCAGTGGCTCATGCCTGTAATCCCAGCACTTCAGGGGGCCGAGGCAGGTGGATCACCTGAGGTCAGGAGTTCAAGACCAGCCTGGCCAACATGGCAAAACCCCATCTGTACTAAAAAAACAAAAATTAGCCAGGCATGGTGGCGCGCGCCTGTAATCCCAGCTACTCAGGATGCTGAGGCAGGAGAATCCCTTGAACCCGGGGGGTAGAGGTTGCAGTGAGCTGAGATCACACCACTGCACTCCAGCCTGGGTGACAGTGAGATTCTGTCTCAAAAAATAATAATAATACCATCCTGGCCAATGTGGTGAGACCCCATCTCTACTAAAAATACAAAAATTAGCCAGCTGTGCTGACGTGCACCTGTAATCCCAGCTACTCGGGGGGCTGAGGCAAGAGAATCGCTTGAACCCAGGAGACAGAGGCTGCAGTGAGCCGACATCATGCCACTGCACTCCACTCCGGGCAACAGAGTGAGACTCCATCTCAAATAATAATAATAATAATAATAATAATAATAATAATAAAGCCCAGATTCATTTTTACAGAGAAGGTGAAAAGGATGAACCTGGGGCTAAGAGACCATGATCCACTAACCAGCATATTCTACAGGCTCAGGAAGTCCAGGCATCATCCAGTTTCCCCTCCCAAACTCTTCCAGCACATTCCAGATGAATACTAACATTGCTACACGTCTCTCCTTGCTGGCACGTGTCCCTCAGCCGGCAGTTTTGTTCCTGTCCATGACTCCCTTGGCTGCAATTGTCTCTATGCATTCCTACCCCAAGGGCTTCGCCTCACCTGGAGGCACAGGGTGCCTCCTCTCCTAGTTTTCACAGGTAAGACCAAGAGGTGAGAGTCAACAAAACTTGACAGAAGGCTAAGGAACCAGAAGGGAATTACAGAAGAATCTACCCCCAAAGACAAATTCAAATTTCTACCCCTTGCAAAGACAAAAAGAGCAGCATGTTTTAAAAGGCAGCCCCACTTTCCTCAACATCCACTCACTTGATAACCACCAAGGCTTCAAAACTACTCAGCTACAGTATCCTATTATGTCCTAAAAAATTTAATAATAATAGGCTGGACGCGGTGGCTCATGCCTGTAATCCCAGCACTTTGGGAGGCCAAGGCGGGTGGATCATGAGGTCATGAGTTCGAGACCAGCCTGGCCAAGATGGTGAAACCCTGTTTCTACTAAAAATACCAAAAATTAGCTGGGTATGGTGGCGTGTGCCTGTAATCCCAGCTACTTTGGAGGCTGAGGCAGGAGAATCACTTGAACCCAGGAGATGGAGGTTGCAGTGAGCCGAGATCACACCACTGCACTTCAGCCTGGGCAACAGAGTAAGATTCCGTCTCAAAAAAAAAAAAATTATTAATAATAATATTAGCTGTAATCTCACTATCAAGAGGTAAACATTTTGTCATATTCTCTTGCAGAGTCTTTAGACCTGGATTACCCAGATCTAAACTCTGTGAGGGAAGGGATCATGCCCAACTCATCTGTCTATCCCTGATCACTTAGTATATTTCCTGACATATATGGAAGGTGCCTATCAGTGTTTGGGGCATTGAATTGGTTTCCAGAAGCTTCCCAGGACCAGAAAGTATTCAAGTACTTGTCTCTTAGTTTCAACAGACAAGTTATCCTTCCTCTGAGTTCTGCCTCAAAGAGAGGTTCCTTAACACACCACCGTCACTTTTGGACAATTCTTTGAAGCAATATTAACTCTTGTTCACAACACCTGAAGGAAGAGTCTTGCTGCCACGTAAACTCTCTGCCTCAGCCTGGGCACCGCCGGCTACAGAAAGGACCTTCACCACACCCACACAATGGCAATACCGGCAAAAAATTATGCCATTCAATGCCTGTCTCTAAGGAGCTCAAATACTGTCCTGTTTCTGTTTTTTTGAGACGGAGTTTCACTCTTGTTTCCCAGGCTGGAGTGCAATGGCGCGATCTCCACTCACTGTGAACTTCGTCTCCCGGGTTCAAGCGATTCTCCTGCTTCAGCCTCCCCAGTAGCTGGGATTACAGGTGTGCACCGCCACAACCAGCTAATTTTTTGTATTTTTAGTAGAGACGGGGTTTCACCATGTTGACCAAGCTGGTCTCAAACTCCTGACCTCAGGTGATCTACCTGACTCGGCCTCCCAAAGTGCTGGGATTACGTGTGTGAGCCACCGTGCCCGGCCCCTCTCAAATACAGTCTTACAGCCTGTTTGTAGAAGAGAACTAGGATCCAGCAATGGTTACTTTTACTAACTGCATTTCTACTGCTTAATTCCCCATCATGGTAACAGGCTACTACACAGTCTGCCTCTCCCACGCCTCAAGATCTAGCCAAGGGGTGAAGATTGCACAGGCTCAAGTCCAGCCGTCTCTCCAGCAGAGGCAGACAGTTCTGCCAATGGGTCAGGCTACTTCTGTAGTTGAAATTCCTAGAGCACAGCCTCTTGGAGGAAGGCTGCAATTCTCCCTCCTGAAGATCACTTGGCCCAATACAAATGAGCCTCTCAGCTGGCGCTCAGGAGCCCGCTTGATTCACTTCACCGCATTTTTCAAATCCCTGAAAGAAAGAGGTAGGTGTGACTGGAATTCCAAAAAGCTGCGTTTAGCCCAAAATTCGATCCACCCTCCATTGCCTTCAAACCATTTGCATGTGCATATGGTGTGTAGTTGAAGGAACAGGCATGTGGGTGCACACAAGTGTTTTCTTTCTTTCTCTTGGATTTATTTTACCAGCTGTCCTTCCCACCAACAAATTACTAGAGTCTAATATATGTATCTTTGAAGGAATACTAAAAAACGAAAGGTTACCTGCTAGGATTACTACACCATGATAAAAGATCTATGTTTTGTTTAGACAACTGCTCAAGATTCCAGAACTAAAAACCTTGGATGGGACTACAGAGACTCCTGGCCAGGACCAGTATTGTCTCTATCCGATTCCTTAGCTGGAAAGCATCTCCAGGCATCTCTGAAGAGGAGACAGTGGTCCTCAGTGCTTCCTGGGAAGCGTGCCATTCTTAAATTTGCGAGGGAGTTTTGGGCGCAGCAGCCCAAGTTGCTCATGCACTAGCCTGGCTCCTGTGTACCCCACATGCAGATACCCTACGGGACATAGCAAAAGACTTTTCACCTTGGCCTTTACCCTCAAAACATAAATCCTTTTAAAAAGTTACCTGTGATGGAAGGGGAAGAGCACACACGGGGGCCTGCTGTGGGGTGGGGGGAGTGGGAAGGGATAGCATTAGGAGAAACACCTAATGTAAATGATGAGTTAATGGGTGCAGCACACCAACATGGCACATGTATACATTATGTAACAAACCTGCACGTTGTGCACACGTACCCTAGAACTTAAAGTACAATAAAAAATATATAAATAAATAATCTTCCACCCAAAAAAAAAAAGTTACCTGTGATATTGGTTGTTTTAAGTTGATAAAAACTGATGTTAAGTTTGCTTCGTTTTTCATCATTTATAGTTAGTAATATAGTTTGGATCTGTGTCCCCACCCAAATCTCATGTCAAATCGTGATCCCCAGTGTTGGAGGCAGGGCCTGGTGAGAGATGACTGGATCGTGGGGCAGAGTTCTCATGAATGGTTTAGTACCGTCCCCCATTAGTACTGTGTAGTGAGTGAGTTCTCACAACATCTGGTTGCTTAAAAGCGTGTGGCACCTTTCCCCCATATCTCTCTTTCTCCTGCTCCCGCCACTTAAGACTTGCCTGCTTCCCCTTCGCCTTCTGCCATGATTGTAAGTTCCCTGAGGCCTCCCCAGAAGCCAAGCAGAAGCCGCCATGTTTCCTGTACAGCCTGCAGAACCATGAGCCAATTAAACCTCTTTTCTTTATGAAGTACCTAGTCTCAGGTATTTCTGTATAGCAGTGTGAGAACGAATCCAGTTAACTTGATAAACATATCTGAAAACACAGAAGTCAATACTTTCTAAATCAAAATGAAGTACCTATTATGCTATATACCTTAAAGATATTACCTCTAGGCCAGGTGCGGTGGCTCACTCCTATAATCCGAGCACTTTGGGAGGCCGAGGTGGGCGGATCACCTGAGGTCGGGAGTTTGAGACCAGCCTGACCAACATGGAGGAACCCCGTCTCTACTAAAAACACAAAATTAGCCGGGCGTGGTGGCGGGCGCCTGTAGTCCCAGCTACTCGGGAGGCTGAGGCAGGAGAATCGCTTGAACCTGGGAGGCGGAGGTTGCAGTGAGCCTAGATCGCGCCATTGCACTCCAGCCTGGGCGACAGGAGCAAAACTCTGTCTCAAAAAAAAAAAAAAAAAAAAGATATTACCTCTGTTCACCAAGTTACATCGTTGGTATTTATTTTCATGGGAGCCCTCTGTATAGGAAATGTGTTTGCTGAACTAATAAACTTACTGTGAAATGCAAAACTTACACCATATGAGCGCACCTTTTCTCTCAAATTTCCCTTTATGATGCTAAGCTCTAGTTTTCCAATTCCTTCACCCATTAAACTTGTTCTTGGACTTCGTGGAAGCTTTCTCCCGTTGGACTTGTCCTGAATTCCTTTGACTTCCTTCCAAGCCTCCACACTTCTACTCAGTCATTTCTTTTTCTTTTTTCTTTTTTTCTGACATGGAGGAGTCTCGCTCTGTTGCCCAGGCTGGAGTGCAGTGGCATGATCTCGGCTCACTGCAACCTCCACCTCCTGGGTTCAAGCAATTCTCCTGCCTCAGTCTCCTGAGTAGCTGGGATTACAGGCACGTGCCACCACGCCCAGCTAATTTTTTATATTTTTAGTACAGAAGGGGTTTCACCACGTTGGTCAGGCTGGTCTCAAACTTGACCTCATGATCCACCCACCTCGGCCTCCCAAAGTGCTGGGATTACAGGCATGAGCCACCGCACCCAGCCAACTCAGTCATTTCCACTCTGCCCTCAGCAGCACAGTCTTCCTAACTTACTGTTCTATAAATGCTTCTTATTATCATGGAAAGTATTGGAG
This sequence comes from Homo sapiens, assembly GCF_000001405.40. Lineage (NCBI taxonomy): Eukaryota > Metazoa > Chordata > Mammalia > Primates > Hominidae > Homo > Homo sapiens. The sequence continues at coordinate 154,987,118 of NC_000006.12, read as the reverse complement.
TCTGGAGTTTGGACCCCAGTACTTTCGGTGGTCACATTTCTAAGTGTGTAGGAAGGGAAGAAAAACAGTCAATACTTCTGCTTGCAGACAAAGATAACTTTAGCCACATTTGAAGTTAAGGGTTGGCATAGAGCCATCTGGATTACAGACAGGATCTTTTGAAGGGAAGTAATTTTTGAAATTAAACTACCTAGACAATGGACTTCAGCCAGCTTTTACCTACTTGTAAAAGAGCTATGAGGTCTGTTTCGGTGTCATGGTGTGTGGTTGAATTGGGACACACGAACCATCATGGACTTCCTCAAAAAGTGTTATGATTTGGCAATGATATAGAATTTGGGGGTTTTCATTTCAAAGCTGGGGTATTAAATGAGCTAAACCTGAACTTGAGCTCGTATTTATATGAAGTCCAATTTCTTCTGGGTTTAATATATCTTAAAAGGAAGAAAAATAAAGTCTCAGGGTATCATGTAGCAATTATAGTAAATATTCATCAAATGTATCATATATACCTATTATGTGAAATAAATAATATTTGCATGTCAATACATATAGACTTACGTGGTTCTCTTAATAGCCTTATACTATTTCTTTTTTTTTTTTTTCTTTGAGACTGAATCACACTCTATTGCCCAGGCTGGAGTGCAGTGGCATGATCTCGACTCACTGCAACCTCTACCTCCCGGGTTCAAGCGATTCTCGTGCCTCAGCCTCCCAAGTAGATGGGACTACAGGCAAGAGCCACCACACCTGGCTAACTTTTGTATTTTTAGTAGAGACGGGGTTTCACCATGTTGGCCAGGATGGTCTCGAACTCCTGACCTCAGGTGATCCACCCACCTTGGCCTCCCAAAGTGCTGGGATTACAGGCGTGAGCCACCACGCCCGGCCTCATTTTTTTCTTAATTTTACAAACTTTAGTGAAAAAAATGGAAAAATGGCATCATGCAGAAAACAAAAATCTGCTTTTTAAATTTTGTCTTACCAGATAGTATAAATACTTTTGAATTAATGGAGATATGAATTAATGAATCGTTATTGTCTTCAGTTTGAGTAGCAATACCTTAAACTTGCAGCTGTTGTTTGCTTTTTACCAAACTTTCTAATTATAAGCTTTAAAGAGGTCACACATTCTAAAATCCAAATTCAAGCTTTTAAATTAGATATAGTTTTCTATAGGACTGGCTCAAAGGTTAGATTTGTATCATAACACTGTAAAGCACAGTGTTCCATAAAAAATAATTTAAAATCGCTCGACATTAAAACGTACTCCTCAGTGGGGCATGGTGGCTCACTCCTGTAATCCCAGTACTTTGGGAGGCCGAGGCGGGCCGATCACCTGAGGTCAGGAGTTCAAGGCCAACCTGACCAACGTGGAGAAACCCTGTCTCTACTAAAAATACAAAATTAGCTGGGTGTAATGGTGCACGCCTATAATCCCAGCTACTCAGGAGGCTGAGGCAGGAGAATGGCTTGAATCCGGGAGGCGGAGGTTGCGGTGAGCCGAGATCACACCATTGCACTCCGGCCTGGGCAACAAAAGCGAAATTCTGTCTCAAACAGAAAATAAAAAATAAAATAAATAAAATGTGGTCCTCTAGATTATTTAAAACTCCCATTAACACCTGCAGTGGCTTCCCTACTCTTTCCATATTTTGTAAGTCTTTCATGTCATTTAGGATGAGACTCTCAGCAAACACCTTTCATTTATGGAATTCCCCAGCAAAAACAGACAACCTGTTTTAAAGCAGCAGCCCTGAGAAGGAGAGGCTAAACAGACACTCAGTGCAGAGAGCTCCTTTCCTCCCCTCTTCTCACCTCAGGCTGTCTTTTTCCATCATCTGCAAATGCACACTCCTAGCAATGCCATAATAGGATGCAAAAGCAATTTAGGATTTGGTTAAAGAGCTTAACCCAGTCTACTGTACATTTTAGAAAATTTATTTGTTAAACTACAATTTTCTTTTTTTCTTTTTCTTTCTTTTTTTTTTTTTTTTTTGAGATGGAGTCTCGCTCTGGCTGAGCCACCCAGGCTGAGTGCAGTGGCACGATCTCAGCTCACTCCCACCTCTGCCTCCTGGGTTCAAGTGGATTCTCCTGCCTCAGCCTCCTGAGCAGCTGGGACTACAGGTGCCTGCCACCATGCCTGGCTAATTTCTGTATTTTTTAGTAGAGACGGGGTTTTACCATATTGGCCAGGCTAGTCTTGAACTCCTGACCTCATGATCCACCCGCCTCGGCCTCCCAAAGTGATGGGATTACAGGCATGAGCCACCACACCTGGCCTAAACTACAATTTTCTATGACAAGAAAGGATATTATTGGCCGGGCGCAGTGGCTCACATCTGTAATCCCAGCACTTTGGGAGGCCGAGGCAGGTGGATTACTTGAAGTCAGGAGTTCGAGACCAGCCTGACCAACATGGTGAAATCCTGTCTCTACTAAAAATATAAAAATTAGCCAGGCGTGGTGGCACAAGCCTGTGATCCCAGCTACTCCAGAGGCTGAGGCACGAGAATCCGCTTGAACCCTGGAGGTGGAGGTTGTGGTAAGCCAAAATCACACCACTGCACTCCAGCCTGGGTGACAGAGCAAGACCCTGTCTCAAAAAAAAAAAAAAAAAAAAAAAAAAATATATATATATATATATATATATATAAAAATCCGATCCCAGCTGGGCATGATGACTCATGCCTGTAATCCCAACACTGTGGGAAGCCAAGGCAGGAGGATCCCTTGAGCCCAGGAGGTTGAGGCTGCGGTGAGCTATGATGGCACCACTGCACTTCAGCCTGTGTGACAGAGCAAGACCCCATCTCAATAAAAACAAAAAATTAATCCCCTTTTTTCCTGGCCAGATGGCTATCATCCCATATGTGATTACACTAAGAAATGTTTACAAAGCTCTGACCACCACACATTTGCAAGAACAGTGAAAGTCAGCATAATGAAAGGCGAAGCCTCCGTGTGCACACATGAGCGCACAGAGCACGGCGCAGTTAGCCCCAACTGGAGTCACAAGGTCTGGTTTAAATGTTGGCTTTACTTTTTTCCTTAATTTTTAAAACTTGATATGTAATAGATGCACATGTGATAATTTAATACATTCATATAATTTGTAAAGATCAAATCAGTGTACTTGGGAATATCCATCACCCTTTTTTTTTTCTTTTTTTCTTTTTTTTTTTTTTGAGACAGAGTCTCACTCTGTCATCCAGGCTGGAGTGCAGTGGTGCAATCTCGGCTCACTGCAAGCTCCACCTCCCGAGTTCACGCCATTCTCCTGCCTCAGCCTCCCGAGTAGCTGGGACTACAGGCACCTGCCACCATGCCTGGCTAATTTTTTGTATTTTTAGTAGAGATGGGATTTCACCGTGTTAACCAGGATGGTCTCAATTTCCTGACCTCGTGATTCACATTATTTTCTTCCAGTAATTCTGAAATATGCAATAGATTATTGTAAACTATAGCCACCCGAATGATCTATCAAACACTAGGTCTCATTTCTTCCATCAAACTGTGTACTTACACCCATTCATCATCTTCTCTTCACTGGCTTCACTTCTTATGCTAGGTTCGTGACCTCAGGAAATGGCTTAACACTCAGTGCCTCAGTTTCCCCATGTGTGAAATGGGGATAATACAATTTACCTGATGGAAACATATGGGAATGAAATGAGTTAATATTTGTAAAGCCACAGTAAGTACGATCTGTTATGTAAGATAAAAACAATTTGCTAGGCATGGTGGCTCCAGTCAGGCACGGTGGCTCATGCCTATAATCCCAGCACTTTGGGAGGCCAAGGCAGGTGAATCACCTGAGGTCAAGGGTTCAAGACCATCTTGGCCAACATGGTGAAACCCCGTCTCTACTAAAATTACAAAAATTAGCAAGGCATGGTGGCAGGCGCCTGTAATCCCGGCTGCTCGGGAGGCTGAGGCAAGAGAATGGCTTGAACCCAGGAGGCGGAGGTCGCAGTGAGCCAAAATCCCACTACTTCACTCTAGCCTGGACGACGAGAGCGAAACTCCATCTCAATAAAAATAAAATAAAAACAGTGAAAGAGTTTCTGTCATCCTGATTCTTTATTTCACTTTGGCATATTTTTTTTAAATTTTTTTATAGAGACGGGTTCATGTTATATCACTCCTGGGCTCAAGTGATCCTCCCACCTCAGCCTCCCAACATGCTGGGATTATAGGTGTGAACCACTGCACCCAGCCTACTTTAGCATAGTTTCTTTTTTTCTTTTCTTTTCTTTTTTTTTTTTTAAGACAGAGTGTCACTCTGTCACCAGGTTGGAGTGCAGTGGTGCGATCTCAGCTCACTGCAAGCTCCGCTTCCCAGGTTCAAGCAATTCTCCTGCCTCAGCCTCCCGAGTAGCTGGGACTACAGGCATGTGCCACCACACCCAGCTAATTTTTTTTTTTGGTAATTTTAGTAGAGACGGGGTTTCACCATGTTGGCCAGGATGGTCTCGATCTCTTGACCTCGTGATCTGCCCACCTCGGCCTCACAAAGTGTTGGGATTACAGGCGTGAGCCACCGTGCCTGGCCTTTATTTTATTTTATTTTTTTTGAGACAGAGTCTTGCTCTGTTGTCCAGGCTGGAGTGCAGTGGCGCGATCTCCACTCACTGCAAGCTCCTCCTCCCGGGTTCACGCCATTCTCCTGCCTCAGCCTCCCAAGCAGCTGGGACTACAGTTTCAAATGTGAAGAACACACACTATGTGGGAACTTGAATGCTCTTTTTTTTTTTTTTTTTTTTTTTTTCAGAGACAGGGTCTCGCTCTGTCACCCAGGCTGGAGGGTGACACATTGGCACAATCACAGCTCACTGAAACCTGGAACTCCTGGGCCCAAGCCATCCTCTCCTTTTGGCATCCCAAAGTGTTGGGATTACAGGTGTGAGCCATCATGCCTGAACTGAATGCGTTTTGATGAACTGATCCCTTACTTCATACTAACAGCATAGCTCTGAACACTGTGGAAAAACACAATTAGCATGAAACTGCCACTACACGGAGAAGCTCACTATGTATTAACAAAAGGAGAGAACATTCACTAATGTTTATTGAGTGTTTGTTCCATGCCAAGCACTGGGCTCAATTCTTTAGATAATTTATCTCGTCTGCATCTCATAACGTCCTAATGAGATAGGTAATATTATTATCCCATTTCACAGTGAGAACTACTCCGAGGCTTGAAAAAGAGAAGCACATATACAGAGACTGCAGCTCATCACAGAGTAGATGGGCCTGACCTCCAGCCCTGTGGGAAACATAAGACTCTTCATTGTATTAATGAACTCCTTTCTATTTTGAAATTAAAGCTGAAGATTTCCAAGTTAATTATCACTGTTGCTACATGGATGTTTATTAAATCTTGGCTGTCGATGATTACGATGGCCTAGTCCTAGGCCACGTTGGGAAGTTGGTGCCGTCTCCCTTTACATCTTCAGCATCTCCTCCAGGTCCCAGGATAGAATCCCCACAGTAAACAACAGTTGGCTGTTGCTAAGAGCTTAAGCTGTGAACTTTCTCGGGGGATATTTGTGCTTTAATTGAAAAACTGACAATGTCTTTGAGAGCCGAAGGAATGATGATGCATGCTGTAATCTCAGACACTGTTAGAAGCAGAGAAGGCAAGTTAATCGAGGAGGAGGTCCCAGAGCCCTTCCATCGCACAGAAGATCAGCACTGATGATACACATTTATAGGAGAAAATATTGTAATTGCATAAAGTACTTTCAGCAATTCCCTTCCTGGTGAGACCTTGGCCTGAGTTATTTTTCACTGCAAAGTACACATGGCTGTGAGCTGTATCTAATTCCTTGGTCCCTGTAAATTCTGACTCCAGCCAGCTTCAGCTTGCTTAATGAAATAGAACCAGAAGAGCAAACGCCTCCTAACACTTCCTGTATTAATGTACACAAGGCAGCTGATACCTGTGCATATCGAAACTTGGGGAATTCCCAGGTGGAGAGAGGCAAGTCAGCACACTGCGGACAAGGTCACATGAATCCAAAGGTGATACGAAAAGAAAATGTAGGTTCCAAGCCAGAGTTTAATAGGTGGGGACAGGCACAGAAGTGTGATTGTCTTGCTTTTTCCATAACTGAAAATTGAGTTCACCAGCCTCCATTTCCAGTTAGGAGTTGTATGAGTTTGCTAGGGGTGCTGCAATAAATTATAGCAAACTAGGTGGCATAGAACAACAGCAATGTACTGTCGCACAGTTCTGCAGGCCAGAAGTCTGAAATCAAAGTGTCGGTAGGGCCATGCGTTCTCCAAAGGCTCTTGAGGAGAACCTGTTCCAGACCTTTCTCCTGGCTTCCAGTGGTTGCTAACTGTCGGTGTTCCTTGGTTTGTGATGCGCCACTGCAACCCGTCTCTGTAGTCACATGGCATTCTGCTCTCCATGTGTCTGTAATGCTGTGTTTTTTGTTTGTTTGTTTGTTTGTTTGTTTGTTTGAGACAGGGTCTTGCTCTGTCATCCAGGCTGGAGTGCAATGCTATAGTCATAGCTCACTGCAGATTCCAAAGCCTGGGCTCAAGTGATCCTCCTGCCTCAGCCTCCTGAGTAGCTGGAACTGCAGGTGGGCCCCACTGCACCCAGCTAGTTTCTGTATTTGTTGTAGAGAGGGGGTCTCGCTATGTTGCCCAGGCTGGTCTCAAATTCTTGGCCTCCAGTGATCCTCCTACCTCAGCCTCCCAAAGTTCTGAGATTACAGGCGTGACAAGGAGATTGAGATTACAGACAAGGTCACATGAATCCAAAGGTGATATGAAAAGAAAATATAGGTTCAAAGACAGAGTTTAATATGTGGGGACAGGCACAGAAGTGTGATTGTCTTGCTTTTTCCATAACTGAACTCAATTGAGTTCACCAGCCTCCATTTCCACTTAGGAGTTGTATGAGTTTGCTAGGGGTGCTGCAATAAATTATAGCAAACTGGGTGGCACAGAACAACAGCAATGTGCTGTTGCACAGTTCTGCGGGCCAGAAGTCTAAAATCAAAGTGTTGGTAGGGCCTCTTCTCTTCTTACAAGGACACTGGTTATTTTGGATCGGGGCTCACCCTAATGACCTCATCCTAACTTGATTACATCTTCAAAGACCCTATTTCCACATAAGGACACATTCACAGGTATGGGGGTTAGGGCTTCTGTTTATGTTTTGGGGTGACACAGTTCAACCTGTCATCAGTGGTAGAATACTAAATACTCACTCCCAAAGAAACGCAGTCCCTTTCCCTTGAAAACTCTAGTCTTTTTTTTTTTGAGATGTAGACTCACTCTGTGGCCCAGGCTAGAGTGCAGTGGGGCGATCTTGGTTCACTGCAACCTCTGCCTCCCAGGTTCAAGCAACCCTCCTGCCTCAGCCTCCCAAGTAGCTGGGATTACAAACGTGTGCCACCACACCTGGCTAATTTTTATATTTTTAGTAGAGACAGGGTTTCACTATGTTGGCCAGGCTTCTGGTCTCTTTTAGATAGTCATCCCGTCAATTCAGGATTCTCCCCAGTTCCTTGATCGTTCTCCTCTTCTCTCTAGGAGGAGGTTGTGTATGGAGTGGGTGAGAGTGTTCTTAAGAACCAGGGTGGCTGGGTGCGGTGGCTCAAGCCTGTAATATCAGCACTTTGGGAGGCTGAGGTGGGTGGATTGCCTAAGGTCAGGAGTTCAAGACCAGCCTGACCAATATAATGAAACCCTCTCTCTACTAAAAAATACAAAAATTAGCTGGGCATGGTGGTGTGCACCTGTAGTTCTAGCTACTTGGGAGGCTGAGACAAGAGAATCGCTTGAACTCGGGAGGCAGAGGTTGCAGTGAGCTGAGATTGCGCCACCACTACACTCCAGCCTGGGGCGACAGAGCAAGACTCTGTCTCAAAAAGAAAAAAAAAAAGGCTGGGCGCGGTGGCTCAAGCCTGTAATCCCAGCACTTTGGGAGGCCGAGGCAGGTGGATCACGAGGTCAGGAGATCGAGATCATCCTGGCTAACGTGGTGAAATCCCGTCTCTACTAAAAATACAAAAAATTAGCTGGGCGTGGTGGCGGGCGCATGTAGTCCCAGCTACTCAGGAGGCTGAGTCAGGAGAATGGCGTGAACCCAGGAGGCAGAGCTTGCAGCGAGCTGAGATCGCGCCACTGCACTTCAGCCTGGGCGACAGAGTGAGATTCCGCCTCAAAAAAAAAAAAAAAAAAAAAAGAACCAGAGCAAAGCTGGGCACAGTGGCTCACGCCTGTAATCCCAGCACTTTGGGAGGCCAAGGCAGGCAGATCACTTGAGGTCAGGAGTTCGAGACCAGCCTGGCCAACATGGCAAAACCCTGTCTCTACTAAAAATACAAAAAATAGCCAGGCATGGTGGCACGCGCCTGTGGTTCCAGCTACCAAGGAGGCTGAGGCAAAAGAATTGCTTGAACCCGGGAGGCAGAGGTTGCAGTGAGCCGAGATCACGCCACCGCACTCATGCCTGGGTGACGAAGTAAGACTCCATGTTAAAAAAAAAAAAAAAGCTAGCTGGGCGTGGTGCCACATGCCTATAATCCCAGCTAGTCAGGAGGCTGAGGCATGAGAATTGCTTGAACCCAGGAGGTGGAGGTTGCAGTGAATGGAGATTGTGCCACTGCACTCCAGCCTGGGTGACAGAGCAAGACTCCGTCTCAAAAACAAAGAAAGAAAGAACCAGGGCAAGGCCAGCCTGATGTGAGGGATATCTGATTGGCATACTTGCCTCACTCCTCCCTGTGGTCCGGACTGCCTGGACTTGGCATCTACTACCAGCCCACCATGGGCTCCCATCAATAGGCCCCTAAAGGCTCAGTCCTCCTATCTCAACCTGGAGGCTTCTTCCAGGCTCTCAGGCCATTTTCAGCCTAGCTCTGTGGCTTGCTTTAGGGGGCAGACTGGTTCTGGAAGCTCCCCTTCCACAGGAACAAGACTTGACAGGTAGCCTCTGGCTCTTAGTCTAGCACTGGCTTTTTTTGTTTTCTTTTTTTACTTCACCATTCTACTAGATGGGGCTTCCCAAAGAGGCCCACAGTATCACAGGACTAACCTTGCGATATTGCTTTGGGATCTTCAAACTTTTCTCTAGTTATATTATCTCCATCCCCTTGGACAAGGCCCAAGGTCACAGGACAGAACCCCACATAGCGATTGTCTAAACTCTTCTTGTCTTCTCCTATTCCAGCTCCCACCCTTCAGTCCAGCCCAGAAAAAGAGTTTACCTCTGTTTGTGCCCAGCATACCCTTAGGATATCACACATACTTCTCCATTCTATGACTTTCCTTTGAAATGTACCATCCATGAAATTATGCTTCATGAATTATGCTATTATGGAGATGGAGGAAATGCTTATATTAGACCAACCCTTATGATGCAGAAAACAAAGAGGAAATCTCGATAAAATATTAAGCATACACAATGCGGGCCGGGCACGGTGACTCATGCCTGTAATCTCAGCACTTTGGGGGGCCAAGATGGATGGATTACTTGAGGTCAGGAGCTTGGGACTAGCCTGGCCAACATGGTGAAACTCCATCTCTACTAAAAATACAAAAATTAGCCGGGTGTGGTGATGGGTATCTGTAGTCCTAGCTACTCGGGAGGCTGAGGCAGGAGAATCACTTGAACCTGGGTGGTGGATGTTGCAGTGAGCCGAGATCACACCACTGCACTCCAGCCTGGGTGACAGAGCGAGACCCTGTCTCAAAAAAAAAAAAAAAAATACACAATTCATATGTTTGGGAGTCATTAAAGAGCTTACTCAGACACTGTGATCTTGGACTAAAATCCCTGGGAAAAGGGAAGTCTGGCGAGGGGACCCCAATGCTCAGCTTGTTTCCTCTAGAGGCTTTTCCCAACCACTAAGCTGCCAAGACAGCCAGAGAGAAGGTATCTCAATAATTATACCCAGTAAAGGTCTGGCATCTAGAATACGTATAGAACTGAGACAAATCAATTAATTTAAAAATCCATCATTGCAATTTTTAAAGATTGGAACAGTTACTATTGAAAAGAAGATGCCACTAAACATGTGAAAAGATGCTCAACCACAATAGCCACCAAGGAAATCAAAACTAAGACCACAGGCCAGACGCGGTGGCTCACACCAGTAATCCCAGCAGTTTGGGAGCCAAGGTGAGAGGATTGCTTGGAGCTAGGAGTTTAAGTCAGGCTGAGCAATATCGTGGGACCCTGTCTCTACAACAAATATTTAAAAATTAAAAAACTAAGGCCACAAAGAGACCCCACAGCATGCCCTCCAAATGGCTAAAACTAAAAAAGGACAACATAAAGTGTTGGCAAGGGGCCAGGCACAGTGGCTCATGCCTGTAATCCAAACACTTTGGGAGGCCGAGGTGGGCAGATCACTTGAGGTCAGGAGTTCGAAACCGGCCTGGTCAACATGGTGAAACCCCGTCTCTACTAAAAATACAAAAATTAGGACGCACCTAGTACGTCCTATTTTATCTCTAGCTTCATTGTCTCACCATTATGTTTGTAAGATTCATACAGGAGTTTGTCCATTTTCTATGCTGTATACTGATCCGCGATGTGAATATACCACAGTTTATACATTTATTCTACTGTCGAGGGCCATTTGGGTTGTTCCTTGTTTGGGCTATTGCAAATAATGATGTTGTCCAACATCCTTCTACATTCTCAGTGTGCATTTACCTCTGCTTCTGCTGGGCATGTAACTGGAGTAGAATTGCTGGGTGATGGAGAGTGCATTTGTTCAATTTTAGTAGTTACTGTTTTTCCAAATTGCTTGTACAAATTTATACTCCCACCAGCAATTTATGAGTCTTACACACATCCCTGACAACACTTTATTTATTTATCTATTTATTGAGACGGAGCCTCGCTTTGTTACCCAGGCTGGAGTGCAATGGCACGATCTCGGCTCACTGCAAGCTCCGCCTCCCAGGTTCAAGCAATTCTCCTGCCTCAGCCTCCCGAGTAGCTGGGATTACAGGTGTGCGCCACCACACCCAGCTTATTTTTTGTATTTTCAGTAGAGATGGGGTTTCACCGTGTTAGCCAGGATGGTCTCGATCTCTTGACCTTGTGATCCGCCCGCCTCGGCTTCCCAAAGTGCTGGGATTACAGGATTGAGCCACTGCACCCGGCCATGCTCTTTTTCTTGAACTGGAAAGTGGTCATGTAGGTGTATCCGTCTGTGTCAATCCACAGAGCTGTATCTGACCAGGGCACTTTTCTGTATTTGTAAGTGTAATAAAAATATTAAAACAAACACCTATCATACAGATCTTTTTTTTGAGACAATGATGCTATCATGGCTCACTGGAGTCTCAACCTCCTGGGCTCAAGCAATCCTCCTGCCTCCTAAGTAGCTGGGACTACAGGCACACACCAACATGCCTGGCTAATTTTTGTATGTTTTTATTTTTGCAGAGACAGGGTCTTACTGTGTTGACCAGGCTGGTCTTGAACTCCTGGGCTCAAGTGATCCTCCCACCTCGGCCTCTCAAAGTGCTGGGATTACAGGTGTGAGCCACTATGCTCAGCTTAACACAGACTCTTGACACGGAAAGCTACAACTATGATTTTACTGCACCTGTTCTTTGTATAAAACAGGATATAAAAATCAGAAGAAGGAAATTGCTTTTTAGGTCTAATAATGAGATCAGATAATAGTTGCCTCCGGATCACCTTTAGATTGAAGGTCTCTGAGATACAATTTGTAAATCACCGCACCTTCCTGAGTTAACCTCCCTCCAGGTGTTTCTCCTTTTACTTAGATATGAATCTTCTATAATTCCTACTGTAGTCAATCAACAAAGGAATTACTCAACACACACACACACACACACACACACACACACACACACATTAGAATTCAGTGTCCACACAAAACACAAAGCGGGCCAATTTGTCTTCAGGGTCGTGCTCAAGGCCAAGGGTCATCACTCCCAGACCCTGACCCCTCCAGCCACCTTGATCTCTCCCTTCTCTTAATACCATTTTCCTCTGTACCACTCAGTTGCCACTTAGAAACCTCCTGGTGCTGTCAGCTCCCTTTTATTCACCACGACCCATCTTAACAACCAGGCAGAGTCCTTATAGGCAGGGATCATGCTTGGCTTTTTTTTTTAACATTTCTTTTTATTTTATTTTTATTTTATTATTATTATTATTATTATTATTATTATTATTATTATTATTATTGTCGCCCAGGCTAGAGTGCAGTGGCGTGATCTTGGCTCACTGCAACCTTCACCTCCAGGGTTCAAGCGATTCTTGTGCCTCAGCCTCCCAAGTAACCAAGGCTACAGGCGCACCACCATGCCTGGCTAACTTTTGTGTTTTTAGTAGAGACGGGTTTCACTATGTTGGCCAGGATGGTCTCGAACTCCTGACCGCAGGTGATCTGCCCGCCTCAGCACCCCCAAGTGTCAAGTGCTGGGATTACAGGCGTGAGCCACCGTGCCCAGCCAACACTTCTCTTTAAATGCTGCATCCTTGGCATAGTAATCTTGAGCAAAGTAATAGCTCATAAATATTTGCTGTTGGATGGGTGACACATTTTTCCTTCCTGGCTTCCTGAGGGGCTGAGGGTGGGGAAGGAATGAAAGGAGCAGCCTGAAATTATGGTTTAATCTTTTTAATGTAAGAATTTGTCATGCTCAAATTACTCAATGGTTCTTTACACAAAGCTATCAGCAAGTCACACTGGCTCCACAACATGGAACAGCGACAAGGCAGCATTGCAGAATTTCTCCCTACGAGGAAAAACGTAGGATCAAATCTCTGTCCCACTCAAGAGCATCATTCCTGATAATGTTAGACTTTATTTATCCGCTGTCACGGTGGGCCAGGCCTCATGCTCAGGATTTGACACACGCTATCTCACTTGATCCTCAAATCAACCCAAGGAGGTAGAAACTGTTATTCTTATTTTGCAACTAATGCTAAGGGAGATAAAATAACTTGTCAAAGTTTTCATGGCTACCAGAAGTAGTAAAGCCAGGATTCAGGTCCAAGTCTTCTGACCTCTAAAGTGAGGGCTCCAGGAAACACACACATAAAGAATGAGCAAATATCAAACACGGTCTTAGATGATGAGTTGTGTATGCAAATGATTATTTTACCAAAGAGTCTGTGCTAAGCTCCGTGGAAGAGAACAGGCAGAGTGGCGTGATCCCCACTGGCAGCAGGAGATTCTGCCAATAGTAATCAGGTAAAAAGTTCATCTCTACATTACAATGTTATGAAAGTCACTCAGAAATTTCAAATTGGAGACCTCCTCTATAATGACACGTTAGAGCTGGGCTGAGAGCAAACACTTTCAGAATTCCTCCTTCAAGAGGAAAGATCTTGGATGTAGATGTCAATGGAACATAGTCCAAAAGTTGGAGCTGGCCCTAGGAAGTCCCCTCCTGATGCTGCCCTCATGGCGTGATCATTAAATGCCTCATGGACCATGATGGGTTTCCCTTCCCTCCCCTCCCCTCCCCTCCCCTTCTCTTCTCTTTTAGATGGAGTCTGGCTCTGCTGCCCAGGCTGGAGTGCAGTGGCATGATCTTGGCTCACTGCAACCTCTGCCTCCCGAGTTCAAGCAATTCTCCTGCCTCAGCCTCCTGAGTAGCTGGGATTACAGGCACGCGCCACCACGCCTGGCTTATTTTTGTAGTTTTAGTAGAGACAGGGTTTCACCATGTTGGCCAGGCTGGTCTTGAACTCCTGACCTCAGGTGATCTGCCTCCCTTGGCCTCCCAAAGTGCTGGGATTACAATGATGGTTTCTTTCATTTTAGAGATGAGGTTTTGCTGTGGTGCCCAGGCTGGTCTCAAACTCCTCGCTCAAGCGATCCACCTGCCTCAACCTCCTGAGTAGCTGGGACTGTAAGTGTGTGCCACTGCACCCTGCCTTTATAAATTTTCATTGCCAAAAAAAAAACAAACCCACAAATAAATTTTCATTGCAGCATAGACAATACCCATCATGCAAAGATCCATCACACCACTTACCCACTTGCCATGTTTGAAGGAAAAGCAAAATGACAGGGACCACTTTGACAAATGATTATGAGGTATGTTATTACTCACAGTAAAACCGTAATTTTCTTCTTAAACAAAAAAAATGGCTTCAACGTTATTACCAACTGTCATACACCATTTGTTGAAGTTGCTACACATTGTCCCAGTATATTTTGATATTTATCTCAGACATATTTATGTGCAGCTACTATGGTTTACTTAGTTTGGCTCACACCTCCGCGTGGCTCTTGGGGTTGGAAATTCTACAGACTAGAGTCCACTTAAAGTACCAGGAATTTGGTACTTGGGGGAACACAAGAAAGACTACTGTTCAAGCAATGTTTTCAATTTATTTGTGCAGAGAAATCTTTCTTGGAAACCTCCTAAGTTTCATATTCTTTTATTGAGGCTCTGTTTCAAAGTTTGGCTCATGAGTTCCAAACCTATGAGCTGAAACATTCTTCTACTGCAACATTTTCAGGAAAATAGTGTGAGATTGAGAATCATGGTATCTGCCACGTGCTTCGACAGCACACATTCCTTAATTCCTTCATGCATCGACTCCTAAGTGTGTACTCTGTGCTGGGCATAGTGCATGTCCCTGAATATACAAAGACACAGTTCCTGCCTTAGAGAAAGTTCCAGTCTAAAGCATGATCCCTATGAGGCACATCCCACCCCAGACATTTCGGAGACCAGGCTGAGGAGTGGCTAAACCTGATACTTAGCATCCTATCATCCAAGAGGAAAGCAAACAAGCCCAGCCTAGGGGTTTGGAGTCATCTAGTCCCTTTTCCGTCAGCCGGGTGGCTCTCAGACAGCTACAGCCATTAGGAAGGACTTACGGATACTTTGTTAAATATCACCTTGCATCAGGGTCTCCATCAAAAGGAAAACAGAAAATTATGTTGAATTTGAAAGCTTAACTCTGCAATGCAATTTCCATCATAATACCTTATTTAGCCAGGCAAGGTGCCTCGTGCCTGTAATCCCAGCCTCTGGGAGGCTGAGGTGGGCAGATCACCTGAGGTTAGGAGTTCAAGACTAGCCTGACCAACATGGTGAAACCCTGTCTCTACTAAAAATACAAACATTAGCCGGGCGTGGTGGCACATGCCTGTAATCCCAGTTGCTCAGGAGGCTGAGGTAGGAGAATGGCATGAACCTGGGAGGCGGAGGTTGCAGTGAGCCGAGATTGTACCACTGCACTCCAGCTTGGGCAACAAGAGCGAAACTCTGTCTCAAAATAATAACAATAATACCTTCTTTATGTTCTCTTACTTCATGCAGCTTTGTTTTCTGATTACTCCAAAAATGTACAGGCGTTATTTAAATGAAAGGGATAAATATGGCTGTTGATTCAATGATTGTGGGAAGGCAGTCACAAGGAAATTAGATGCTAGGGAACAACATGAGGAGCAGAGAATTCCAGGGAATAACAGGACAAGCAAACAGCCTTCCTTTAGCTTCTCTGCACATGTCCTGCTAAGGAAACTCCAGAGTGTTTGGATAAGGTTCCATATAAGTGCTAATCAAAATAAATACATGGACCCTATTATGTGAAACCTGTCCTCAGGTGCATAGTCCATCATTAATTAAGGTGGCTGTTTTTATAATTTATAGTGAGGCCACACAGCACAAGCTCAGTGAGATTATGAGCTCTGGAATCACTATGAAAGGGTGGGAATCCTGCTTCCATTACTCTCTAGCTGTTTGACTTTGGACAACTATTAGCATTCTGGTGGCCACAGCTTCCTCATGTGTAAAGGGGATAGTAGGTACCTCATGGGGTTGTTGCAAAGAGGTATTGGTCTGGCACAGAGGCTCATGCTGTAATCCCAGCATTTGGGAGGCCAAGGTGGGTGGATTGCTTTAGCCCAGGAGTTCAAGACCAGCCTGGGCACAATAGTGGGACCCAGTCTGTATACAAAAATTTATTTATTTATTTATTTTATTTTATTTATTTTTATTTATTTTGAGATGGAGTTTCACTCTGTCGCCCAGGCTGGAGTGCAGTGGCATGATCTCGGCTCAGTGCAACCTCCGCCTACCAGGTTCAAGTGCTTCTCCTGCCTCAGCCTCCCAAGTAGCTGGGATTACAGGTGTGTGCCACCACACCCGGTTAATTTTTTATACTTTTGGTAGAGATGGGGTTTTACCATGTTGGCCAGGCTGGTCTCGAACTCCTGACCTCAAGTGATTCGCCCGCCTTGGCCTCCCAAAGTGCTAGGATTACAGGTGTGAGCCGCCATGCCCGGATGTATAAAAATTAAAAAAATAATTATCCAGGCATGGTGGCACATGTCTGTAGTCACGGCTACTTGGGAGGCTGAGGTGGGAGGATCACTGGAGCCCAGGGAGGTTAAGGCTGCAGTAAGCTGTGATCACACCACTGCACTCCAGGCTGGGTGACAGATGAGTGACAGAGCGTGACCCTGTCTCAAAAAAAACCAAAAAAACAAAACAGAGTTACTAAGATAACACACGTAAGGCATTTACTAGATTCCCCAGGCCTATAACAAGCACATCTTTAAAAAATGTTAACATCATTAATGTTTAAGTATCAACTTTTTCAAATTTTCCAAAATTATAAGTAGGCTTTATATGTAATTTACTATATATATAAAACTGAGAATTCACGAGGGTTTTGAAGGAGGTGATTTTTCAATTTTAAAATAAACTGGCCTGTATGGGCTTTCAAAAATTGCACTGCATATTAAAAATCAATAAAGTCCTTAAAATGGCCTATTAAAAAAATTGCACTGTATCATGCTGTGTCCTGGACTTCCCGAATTTCTCTGTGGAAATTGGAACCATTTATAAAAATTAAATGCAACTGTGCCCTAAACACCACTATATCTCCCACACATAGGTTTTTATACTTTCTCAGCCGTCTAGTTAGTCGCTTTGTGAAAAGCTTTCTTAATTACATGAAATTAGCCATTTACCATGTGAAGAATGCACCAGAAAAAAAAGCAGTCAGGATTTCCATTTCACAGGAAATTTTCTGAAAGGCCTGAGATCAGAACCAGGAAATAAGTGCAATAAAGAAAGCCAAGACATACCATAAGGAGGCTCTTGTGTTGCTTGTACAGTCTCTCCACAGCCAGAGAGGCTGCACGCTGCAGCGCGTTCTAGCACTGGTATTTCCTCCTCACAGACACAACAGTTTGTCTTATGAAGTAATTATTAGTTCACATTTCTGCCAACTGTCTGTGAAAAATGTTTCAAGCTGCCCCTTTGGACAGGAGACATTCCCTCCTTCTACTAGCGTCACACGTGTAGTTTAGCTCACTGTTAATCTTGCCCTCCAAATTCTTTGGGTGGTACTCTATGCAAATAATGAAATAAAAAACAGTTTTGTTGTGTGTTGTTCTAACTTAGTGACAACCACATGGAAGTTTCTAGTGATGGAGAAATGCATGTAGAAGACCAGACGGATCCTTTTAGACATAAGGAAGAGAAACAGCTGGGTGTGGTGGCTCACGCCTGTAATCCCAACTACTGGGGAGGCTGAGGCAGAAGAATCGCTTGAACCTGGGAGATGGAGGTTGCAGTGAGCTGAGATTGCGCCACTGCACTCCAGGCTGGGTGACAGAGTGAGACTTTGTTTAAAAAAACAAAAAACAGCATTCCCCCCTTCATTATTGTACAAAATAAAGTTTAAGAACATTATTTTCAGAGCGTTCTTGTCAAAATCAGTGCAAAGACAATCCATCAGTTGGTCAAAACCAACCAAACCCGATCCAATGTTTGGGGCTGGGAGGCTGATATCAGGCAGGTCTATGATTAATTTTACTTAGAAACACATAGTCTCTGCCCCTAAAAGGCAATAAACAATGATATGATATACCTGTTCAATGTTCAGCTGGCTGTGCCAAGGACCTTCCTCAGGTCATTGGACTGTTCTAATTTCTGCTTCCCTCATCTGCAAAATGAAGGGTTGGACTCAATGATCTGTAAGTAGCTTCTCAGCTTAAAAAAAATCATGCAACTTGGCTGGGCGCAGTGGCTCACGCCTGTAATCCCAGCACTTTGGGAGGCCGAGGCGGGTGGATCACCTGAGGTCAGGAGTTCGAGCCCAGCCTGGCCAACATGGTGAAAACCTGCCTATACTAAAAATACAAAAATTAGCTGGGCATAGTGGCGGGTGCCTGTAATCCCAGCTACTCAGGAGGCTGAGGCAGGGGAATCACTTGAACCCAGGAGGCGGAGGTTGCAGTGAGCCGAGATCACACCATTGCACTCCAGCCTGGGCGACAAGAGCGAAACTCCATCTCAAAAAAAAATCATGCAACTCGTACCACCTAACTTTGTTGACATAGACATGTTAAGCAGGTACCCGCAATGCTGGCCAGTACTTTTATTCTTTCTTGTCTGTGCCACCCTCCCAAATATTACACAAACATTGTCCACCAGTTTAGATGCAGAAGGAAAGAAGAAATGAGTAGTAAAACAGAAACATGTCTTAGGTAAATTATATCTTTAAACTCTAGTTTTAATTATTTTTTTCTTATCTTCTTCCTTCTGTTGAATAATGTTCTGCTTTCTTCTGTTACATAGTGATTGAGTCCATCATCTTTAAGGCATTTGTTTATTTATTTATTTTTATGTATTTATTTATTTTGAGATGGGCTTCTCACTCTGTCACCCAGGGGGAGTGCACTGGCGTGATCTCGGCTCACTGCAGCCTCCGTCTCCTGGGTTCAAGTGATTCTCTTGCCTCAGCCTCCCAAGTACTGAGACTACAGGTGCACACCACCATACCCGTCTAATTTTTTTATTTTTGGTAGAGACGGGGTTTCACCATGTTGGCCAGGCTGGTCTTGAACTACTGACCTCAGGTGATCTGCCCGCCTCAGCCTCCCAAAGTGCTGGAATTACAGGCATGAGCCACCACACTCCGCCATTTGTTTATTTATTAATTCATTTATTCAACACTTAGGAGTGTGCAGTATATTTTGGGAAAGGGCTGAGTGTTGAGAATGTGGAAATGTGCAAACACCCTGACCTCATGTGGTTTTCCCTCTACTAAAGTCTACATTTTATCTGAAATAGTTCATTCACAGTGTTTTCTAGGCTCCTCCTCCTGAAAGGATGACGTAGAAAACATTTTAAAAACATAAAAGCCAAAACAAAGCCGTATCTGATTGCTAAATCTCAAACCTAAATTTTTGAAAGGCAAATTTTACCCAAAGAATATTTCAGGCTGTGCTCAGTGGCTCACACTTGTAATGCCAACACTTTGGGAAGACTAGGCAGAAGGACTACTTGAGCCCAAGAGTTTGAGACCAGCCTAGGCAACATAGAGAGACCTCGTTTCTGCAATTTTTTTTCCGAGATGGAGTCTCACTCTGTCGTCCAGGCTGGAGTGCAGTGGTGTGATCTCAGCTCACTGCAACCTCCGCCTCCTGGACTCAAGCGACTCTCCTGCCTCAGCCTCCCCTGTAGCTAGACTTACAGGCACGCACCACCATGCCCAGCTAATTTTTGTACTCTTTTTAGTAGAGACAGGGTTTCACCATGTTGGCCAGGCTGGTTTCGAACTCCTGACCTCAAGTGATCAGGCTGCCTTGGCCTCCCAAAGTGCTGGGATTACAGGCATGAGCCACCGCACCCAGCCTTCGTCTCTACAAAATATTTTTTTAAATAAAAAATAAAATTTTTGCCCTCCCCCTCCCCCTCCCCCTCTCCCTCTCTCTCCCCACGGTCTCCCTCTCCCTCTCTTTCCACGGTCTCCCTCTCATGCCGAGCCGAAGCTGGACTATACTGCTGCCATCTCAGCTCACTGCAACCTCCCTGCCTGATTCTCCTGCCTCAGCCTGCCCAGTGCCTGCGATTGCAGGAGCGCGCCGCCACGCCTGACTGGTTTTCGTATTTTTTTGGTGGAGACGGGGTTCCGCTGTGTTGGCCGAGCTGGTCTCCAGCTCCTAACCGCGAGTGATCCGCCAGCCTCGGCCTCCCGAGGTGCCGGGATTGCAGACGGAGTCTGGTTCACTCAGTGCTCAATGGTGCCCAGGCTGGAGTGCAGTGGCGTGATCTTGGCTCGCTACAACCTCCACCTCCCAGCCGCCTGCCTTGGCCTCCCAAAGTGCCAAGAGTGCAGCCTCTGCCTGGCCGCCACCCCGTCTGGGAAGTGAGGAGTGTCTCTGCCTGGCCGCCCATCGTCTGGGACTTCAGGAGCCCCTCTGCCTGGCTGCCCAGTCTGGAAAGTGAGGAGCGTCTCTGCCCGGCCGCCATCCCATCTAGGAAGTGAGGAGCGCCTCTTCCCGGCCACCATCACATCTAGGAAGTGAGGAGCGTCTCTGCCCGGCTGCCCATCGTCTGGGATGTGAGGAAACCCTATGCCTGGCTGCCCAGTCTGGAAAGTGAGGAGCGCCTCTTCCCGGCCACCATCCCATCTAGGAAGTGAGGAGCGTCTCTGCCTGGCCGCCCATCGTCTGAGATGTGGGAAGCGCCTCTGCCCCGTCGCCCCGTCTGCGATGTGAGGAGCGCCTCTGCCCGGCCGCAACCCCGTTGGGGAGGTGAGGAGCGTCTCTGCCCGGCCACCCCGTCTGAGAAGTGAGGAGACCCTCCGCCCGGCAGCCGCCCCGTCTGAGAAGTGAGGAGCCCCTCTGCCCGGCAGCCGCCCCGTCTGAGAAGTGAGGAGCCCCTCCACCCGGCAGCCGCCCCGTCTGAGAAGTGAGGAGCCCCTCCACCTGGCAGCCGCCCCGTCTGAGAAGTGAGGAGCCCCTCCGCCCGGCAGCCGCCCCGTCCGGGAGGGAGGTGGGGGTCAGCCCCCACCAGGCCAGCCGCCCCGTCCGGGAGGGAGGTGGGGGGTCCAGCTCCCCGCCAGGCCAGCCGCCCCGTCCGGGAGGGAGGTGGAGGGGGCCAGCCCCCCGCCCGGCCAGCCGCCCCGTCTGGGAGGTGAGGGGTGCCTCTGCCCGGCCGCCCCTACTGGGAAGTGAGGAGCCCCTCTGCCCGGCCACCACCCCGTCTGGGAGGTGTACCCAACAGCTCATTGAGAACGGGCCATGATGACAATGGCGGTTTTGTGGAATAGAAAAGGGGGAAAGGTGGGGAAAAGATTGAGAAAGCGGATGGCTGCTGTGTCTGTGTAGAAAGAAGTAGACATGGGAGACTTTTCATTTTGTTCTGTACTAAGAAAAATTCTTCTGCCTTGGGATCCTGTTGATCTATGACCTTACCCCCAACCCGGTGCTCTCTGAAACATGTGCTGTGTCCACTCAGGGTTAAATGGATTAAGGGCGGTGCAAGATGTGCTTTGTTAAACAGATGCTTGAAGGCAGCATGCTTGCTAAGAGTCATCACCACTCCCTAATCTCAAGTACCCAGGGACACAAACACTGTGGAAGGCCGCAGGGTCCTCTGCCTAGGAAAACCAGAGACCTTTGTTCACTTGTTTATCTGCTGACCTTCCCTCCACTATTGTCCTATGACCCTGCCAAATCCCCCTCTGTGAGAAACACCCAAGAATGATCAATAAAAATAAATAATAAAAAAATAAAAAAATAAAATAAAATTTTTAAAAAGAACATTTCAAACTAATTTTTCCCCTAATCATACTGGAGGGTTTTTAATAACAAAATTAATGAAAGGGTTATTGTATTTTCAAAACTTCTTCTTGTCCCATTGATATGGCTTAAATATTTTAAAGGGATTACCTGGATGTGTCAGCTTCTACCTATATCTTGGATTTTAGCATTTGGATTTATCTTTGGGATCAAATTTGTATTCAGGAAAGAGCTCTAACATAAGGTTGCTTTGCCAAACAATTGTTCATGTCACATGATTTGAGAGGATTTTTAGTTAAGAGTTGAAGATGAATCTCCATAAAAATGATGCAGACATTTTTTCCCCAAAGAAGAGCTCATCAGACTCTGCGCTTGTTTTATATGGCGAGAACTTTAGTTAGTATTGGAAGGCCTCCCTTCGCTACACCTAGGTGTGAGACAGGCTTTCTATGCTGTTTCTCTTCCTTATGTCTTTTTTTTTTTTTTTTTTTTGACAGAGTCTTACTCTGTCAGCCAGGCTGGAGTACAGTGGCACAATCTCGGCTCACTGCAACCTCTGCCTCTTGGGTTCAAGCGATTCTTCTGCCTCAGCCTTCCAAGTAGCTGGGATTACAGGCATCCGCCACCATGCCCAGCTAATTTTTGTATTTTTAGTAGAGACGGGGTTTCACCATATTAGCCAGGCTGGTCTCGAACCACTGACCTCAAGTGATCCGCCTGCCTCGGCCTCCCAAAGTGCTGGGATTACAGGTGTGAGCCACCGTGCCCAGCCAGAATGCTTGTTAAAAATGCATAATTCTGGCTGGGTGTGGTGGCGGGCGTGTGTAATCCCAGCTACTCAGGATGCTGAGGCATAAAAATCGCTTAAACCCAGGAGGCAGAGGTTGCAGTGAGCCTAGATTGCGCCACTGCACTCTAGTCTGGGTGACAGAGCGAGACTTTGTCTCAAACAAACAGAAAATGCATATTTCTGGCCCCACCTCCTGAGATTCTAATTCTGTGGATCTGAAGCAAGGGTAAAGAATCTGAATTTTGACAAACACATCCAGGTGATTTGGATGCGAAACTGAACATTGAGAAACAGGGTCTCAAAGCGTCTCTCCTCCACTCAGACCCACCTCCCAGGAACAGGATGGAGAGCACCACTGACGGACAGGCGGAGCTGCTGAAATGAAGTCTGACACGTGTCAGTATCATGTGTGTATCATGCTTTGAAGAATCCTTCTGCATCGTCGCTATTAGAATAACATATACATGATTATAAATAATGGCATGCAGGTGACAAGTGCTGTATTCAAATCATTTATTTTTCTTAACCATTTCATGCTTTGTTAAAGTCAAGTTCACTTCTCAAGACCAAGCTAAATGCCATACTCTTAACATGACACTAGAGGCTGGGCGCGGTGGCTCACGCCTGCAATTCCAGCACTTTGGGAGGCTGAGGCAGGTGGATCACTTGAGGTCAGGAGTTGGAGAACAACATGTCAAAACCCCATTTCTACTAAAAATAAAAAATTAGCAGGGTGTAGTGGTGCGCGCCTGTAATCCCAGCTACTCAGAAGGCTGAGGCGGGTGAATTGCTTGAACCTGGGCAGCGGAGGTTGCAGTGAGCGGAGATTGGGCCACTGCACTCCAGCCTGGGTGACAGAGTGAGACTTATCTCAAACTAAATAAATAAATAAATAAAATAAGGGCTGGGGGTGGTGGCTCACGCCTGTAATCCCAGCACTTTGGGAGGCTGAGGCGGGCGGATCACGAGGTCAGGAGATCGAGACCATACTGGCTAACACAGTGAAACTCTCTCTCTACTAAAAATACAAAAAATTATCTGGGTGTGGTGGCATGTGCCTGTAGTCCCAGCTACTTGGGAGGCTGAGGCAGGGGAATCACTTGAACCCAGGAGGCGGAGGTTGCAGTTGGTCTAGTTTTGCCATAACTGTATCCCTAGCACCTGCACTTGCTTTGCGCATAATCGGTCTAGGATAAATATGTTTATAAATGAATTCAATACAAAGAAATATGAAATAGTGTGAACATTTGGATAATGCTTCTGTGGAGGTAAATGTCAAATTCTTGCCATTATAACATTGATCAATCCTTTATTGGAAAAGTGATCATTTGTATGTTTAAGAATGAGTCAACTACATTGTCTACACAGAAATGGAAGGCAAGAAGTCCAATGCTTTAGAGAAAATTTGGCCCTTCTGCCTAGGATCAGTCTATACTTCTGAATTCCCAATTTTCCATTACTCGAAACCACAAGTTTCTGCAAGGCTTAGTGTATTTTAATTAAACTCCAATGACAAGCACAGGCTTTCCAAACTTCTTACTGGTTTACACCATTATGCTTCAAAGCAGGGTTTAAAGAAAACAGGGAGGAGGGAATAATATTAACCAACTCATTAGAAGTTCACATTATACATATGCAAAACAGAACCACAGAAGAGTGAGGTTGAGAGTTATCCTGAGTTCATTCAATGGCACTTAGCAATGATCATGTCATTGCCCTTCAGGATTGGTGTTTTGTTCCTTTATTTCCCTGTTTTGTATTCACAAAGTAAAGCTCTGTCTATGTGACTCAGCCTATGAAAATGCTTAGCTTGGCAACCAACAGGGGTATTCCCCACACAGGCCTTAGCAAAAGTCTAGGAGAAACAAGAAGGCCAGCACTTGCACCACCTTCCCCATGTGCCCTCTGTGGTGATCCCAACAGCCCCTGCCAATGGCCACAGTGGGAGGCGGGGGCTGGAAGGGAAAGTTGTGCTGAGCTAAGCCTTGCTTAGAGAAGCCGCTAGAAAACAGATGGGATTTTCTGGGAGACTGACTTTTCTTCCCTTCCTTTCTCCTCTTTCTTTCTTTCCGTTCTTCCTCTCTCTTTCTTTCTTTCGTTTTGTGTGGTTTTTTTGTTTGTTTGTTTGTTTGTTTTGAGTCAGAGTCTTGCTGTGTTGCCCAAGCTGGAGTGCAATGGCTTCATCTCGGCTCACTGCAACCTCCACCTCCCAAGTTCAAGCAATTCTCCTGCCTCAGCCTTCCGAGTAACTGGAATTACAGGCGTGCGCCACCACGCCTGGCTAAGTTTTGTATTTTTAGTAGAGACGGGGTTTCACCATGTTGGCCAGGCTGGTCTCGAACTCCTGACCTCGTGATCCGCCCACCTCAGCCTCCCAAAGTGCTGGGATTACAGGCGTGAGCTACCGCGCCCGGCCTTCTTTCTTTCTTCCTCCCTCTCTCCTTCTACCCTGCCCTCCCTCCTTTCTTCCTTTTCTTTCCTTCTTTCTTCCTTTTTCTGTGGGCCTCTTGTAAGAATAACAGGATCGACAATCTCAAACAAATATTTAGCTAGCAAAGCTTTCTGTGGATAGCTTTGGTCTTCTCTCAAGTCTGTCACTGTCTCAAACTTGGCCCTTTGCAATCAATGTAAGAGATGCAGGTAAGTTATTTTAAAAAGCATAAAGAAACAAATAGAAACTTCAATAATGAACCCTCGCTAAGATAGCTGCACTTAACCGTTAATCTGAAAAGCATCACCCGACCCGATGGGAACCTGCAGAGAGTGTGACCTGCCACCCACAGTATCAGGTATTAGCCTCAGCCACCAAGATAATCTTGGTTCAGGACATTGAGCCATCATTATACTTGAAATATATGCTATGGAATGACTTTTGGACTCTGAACACAATTATAACATTCACCAAGTCTGACGAGTTTACCACAAGAAAAACATGTAGTTTAAATATTAAACAACTCAGGCCAGGCACGGTGGCTCATGCCTATAATCCCAGCACTTTGGGAGGCCAAGGCAGGCAGATCACCTGAGGTCAGGAGTTCAAGACCAGCCTGACAAACATGGTGAAACCCCGTCTCTACTAAAAATACAAAACTTGGCCAGGCATGGTGGCTAACACCTGTAATCCCAGCTACTCAGGAGGCTGAGGTAGGAGAATCACTTGAACCTGGGAGGCAGAGGTTGCAGTGAGCCGAGATGGTGCCATTGCACTCCAGCCTGGGCGAAAAGAACGAAACTCTGTCTCAAAAAAAAAAAAAAAGGAAAAAAAATTAAACAACTCAATTTCTTGGATAATCCCCTCCTGAAGTATACCTAGAAATTCACTTGCAATCTGCAACCATTCATTTCACAAACGAGAGTGTGTTTCTGTTAAGGGGTCTCAAAGGTTATTCACCCCAGTAACAATATGGTCCCGTGGAAGCACCTTGAAGAACTGGATGGCTGCACTCCAGCCACAGAGCCATAAAGATTAAAGTCCAGGAAGTGAGTTGATATCTCCATTTTAGTGTGCTGTTTTCAAATTCCCAGGTCAGCATTTGCTGGTGAGTTTCAAAGGAGAATTCAAGAAGATTTGGAAGAAGCTCCAGGCTTGCTGCCTCTTGACTGTTTCAGAGTCATTCTGCTCCTGAGTGTCCAACATCTCCAATCATCCTCAGTGTCCCCATGCTGCCATCTGTGAATAAGCGCATTGATCTGTGGTAGGTAAATGCCAAGCACTCAATCCAGGAAATTGTCATCTGAATGATTTACACACATGCCCTGAGCCCCATCGGGCACTAAAGAGATGGATGCTTTGCGAGTAAATCTTGCATGCATTAACATTAATTTAAAATAATCCGAGTTGGCAGTCAAAAGCATACTTTTCAATAAGCAGCCAACTTTTCTTCTATTAAATCTTTAGGAGAATATATTACCAACTTCTGGGAAATAGTATTTGCAAGAAGCTGAGCTTGAGTAGGTTTAAGAATTTAGCAGTGTTAAGCTGCCTGCCACAAACGTGTGAAGTCCACCTGTATACGTGTGATCAGCACATCAGACTGTGTCAGAGCTTCCGTGGCCCCCACAGCTGTCTCTGTCCAAACACAACCACCAAGAGGGCTCAGGCCGCTCTGATGATGGTGCTGTCCTGAGAGGGGGACTGAGGAGCACTGCAGGGACAGAGGACAGGTTCAAAGTCTATGCAGAAGAAACCTGGACTGTGTGCTCTTGGAGATCGGAATCCAGTGAAGCGATTAGATGGCATGAGTGAGAGTGTCAAGTAACAGCGGGTGGCCAGGTGCCAAAAGATTGGACAGAGCTGTGAGGAAGGAGACAGCAACGTGATGGCGTGAACAGGGAAGGTGGGACGGAGGTGACCTAGGCTCACCCTGAGCCAGGCAGAGGCCCAGGACCTGGAGAGGACAGGCGGGGCATTGAAGGGAGCAAAGGCTGGAACAGAAGTCATGATGGGATGTGGAGCTCCCTGAAGGTCAGCTGGGACTGCCTGTTCTCTACTGGAAAGCCCGGAGACCAGAGGTCTCAGAAGAAGGGAGGAGAAGAAGCCAGTGTTTTATAGGGATGAGCACAGAGGCTGGGCTCTGTAGGAAGGAGGAGCGCCAGCCTGGCAGTGGACAAAGCCTTCGGGATGCTGCTGACCTCTGGGTCCCTGGGCTCGCTGATGGGGGGGCCCTCTCAGCTCTGCTTAAGGTCACCCACTGGGATATGAGAAGAAGATATCAGAATTTTGATTTGGGCCAGGTGTGGTGGCTCATGCCTCTAATCCCAGCACTTTGGGAGGCCGAGGTGGGCAGATCACTTCAGGTCAGGAGTTCGAGACCAGCCTGGCCAACATGGTAAAACCCTATCTCTACTAAAAATACAAAAATTAGCCAGGTGTGGTGGCATGAGCCTGTAGCCCCAGCTACTCGGAGGCTGAGGCAGGAGAATCACCTGAGCCTCGGAGGCGGAGGTTGCAGTGAGCTGAGTTTGCACCACTGTACTCTAGCCTTGGTGACAGAGAGAGGCTCGGTCTCAAAAAAAAAAAAAAAAAAGAATTTTGATTTGTTTTTACTTTTAAAAATCTCAACTTTTTGAGTTTCTATTTTACATATTTATTAGGTGGATGTAAAAGTGATTGCCATTTTTGCCATTACTTTCAATGGTAAAAACTGCAATTACTCTTGGAGCAACCTAATAAATGAACACATTAGTTTAAGAGAAAGCGTATGTGAGGCTGGGTATGGTGGCTCACGCCTGTAATCCCAGCACTTTTGGGGGCCGAGGTGGGCAGATCACTTGAGGTCAGGAGTTCGAGACCAGCCTGGCCAACATGGTGAAACCCTGTCTCTACTAAAAATACAAACAAACAAACAAACAAATTAGCTGGGCGTGGTGGTGTGTGCTTGTAGTCCCAGCTACTCAGGAGGCTGAGGCCGGATAATTGCTTGAACCCAGGAGGCGGAGGTTGCAGTGAGCTGAGATCATGCCACCGCACTCCAGCCTAGGTGATAGAACTAGATTCCGTCTCAAAAAAAAAAAAATATATATATATATATAATATGTAAACAATCAAAAATTGGGAGAGTGGAATATCTCTCAAATAAACTTTAAAAACTGGGGGAGCACATGCAAACATATTTAGTTAATGTTCATGAACAGAATAGTCTGGGGGAAAATACTCTGCATGTAGGGGCCTGAACTAACAATGCTAGCCGGTGAAGGGGTGAGAGCTACGAGAGGAAAAAGAAACTCCGTGAGCCCGGGGGTGCAGGAAATGGAAGGAAGCGTGGTATGAACCCCATCTCTCGGGCATTTCATCTGGGAAATCAGGAGGGATATCCCTACCCCTGTCAGAGATGAGGATGGCGGGAGTTGATCCCACAAGACAGGTCGGAGACCCCAGGACCAATGACCCCTGTGGAGGGCCCTCCAAACCAGAAGGGAAAATGTCAGAGAGGTGAAAGAAAAAATGGGAAATTCAGCATCCCAGAGGTCGAGGGAAGAGAGACCTTCAAGGGGACAGGGTGGGCAGCAGGATGAAGGAGCTCAGAGGGAATGATCCCGAGAGACGCCTCTTGGAATTCCACGAGAAAGTCACTGAAGACTTTTCATAAACGGCTTCAGCAGAGGGAAGAGTGTGGAGGCTGGACCGCAGGGGGTTAAGAAGGGAACAAGTGGAGAGGAAATGAAGGTACAAGGTCGTGTTTAGTTTTCAACTATTAAAATGTCAGTGTCAAAGTCAGAACTGTAGGGGTGGAAGGGTGTAATGTGAAGCTTTTTCTTTCATCTGGGACCCCAGAGGAATTCCCCATTACTATTTTAACAGTGGTAAGTGGTAGCTGTGGCTAGGGCAGTGGGACACAGTGTGGGAAATGGTGAGGCCATAAAGTGCCCCGTCCTGTCCCAGAACCCTCCAGATGGCTCAGGTTTGGTCTGTGAGTTTATGTAGTAGAGAATATACAAGAGCTTGGGCCAGGTGCGGTGGCTCATGCCCGTAATCCCAGCATTTTGGGAGGCTGAGGCAGGTGGATCACGAGGTCAGGAGTTAAAGACCAGCCTGGCCAACATGATGAAACCCCGTCTCTACGAAAAATATAAAAAGTTAACCGGGTGTGGTGGCATGCACCTGTAATCCTACCCACTCAGGAGGCTGAGGCAGAAGAATTGCTTGAACCCGGGAGGCGGAGGGTGCAGTGAGCCGAGATCACGCCACTGCCCTCCAGCCTGGGCGACAGAGTGAGACTTAATCTAATAATAATAATAATAATATAAGAAGAGCTCTAATTTTATAAAGGCAGAAAGGAATACTTAATTCTCAAATCCATACATGATTAGAAGTCTGAAAACTTTTCCCAAATATCATATCCTATTTGATACTTTAATGTCAGAAGATCTGAATAGAAATAAGTGGTAGGAAGAAGTGTTAATTATTTGCCATCAGTATCAGACTCTCATCCACAAGCAGTTGGACATCTGGTCCCTCTCAGGTGAGATGTCTGCAGAAGTGACCAAGGTTTTTGACTCTTCTGATGGGTCTCTGGAAACCTGGGAGACACCACTCCAGTATTTTGGCTTTACCCAGGTACGAAATTGTTTATTATGCATTTGACAAGTGGGAAAATAGGTTCAAAGCCAGATGTGAGAACTAATTAATGCTTATAAAATTATTTGAGAGCTACAGATGAAAGGAGTGATTTAAGTGCAGAATATTATCGTCTGCTAACGATGGAGTGCACTGAACTAACCAGATTCTCCCAGAGAATAACCTATATCCTAGGAATAAAATCAGGAATTTGTTTGTTTGGTTGGGTGTTTTTTTTGTTGTTTCTTTCTTTTTTTTTTTTTTTCAGATAGGGTCTCGCTCTGTCACCTAGGCTGGAATGCAGTGGCACGATCACGGCTCACTGTAGTCTCTGCCTCTTGGGTTTATAAGATCCTCCCGCCTCAGCTTTCCAAGCAGCTGGGACTACAGGTACGTGCCACCATGCTTGGCTAATTTTTGTATTTTTTGTAGAGACAAGTTCCCACTATGATGCCCAGGCTGGTCTCAAACTCCTAAGCTCAAGTGACCTGCCCAACTCAGCCTCCTAAAGTGCTGGGATTACACGTGCGAGCCACTGTGCTCAGCCAAGTCAGTAATTTTGGAAGCTGCATTACACATTTTAGGTGAAAAGCAATAATTACTGATAATTATTCAGTAGCTGTTCTTTCCATTTCTAGAACTATCATAACAGTTCACATCCTTGGACACCCATGGGCCTCATAGACTCACAGACTCTCAGGGCTGGAAGGGTTCTGGTGCTTTGCTCCTTCAACTCCCTTCATGAGTCTTCCTCCGCGGCTGCCCAGGCACGTGTGATACCTCCAGCAGGGGTCTCATTACCACCCATTCCCCTTTTCCTCTGTCTAAATCAGCTTTAAAAGTCTCATTTACCCTCTTTTGCATCTCTGCAAGCAGAGGCACATTTTAGGCTACTGCGCCCTAAATCTCCTCTCATATCCATCCCTGGTCATTCACGCCTCTTTTGCTAGATTTTTTGCACATCCTTTAAAAATCTTATTCACTGGCAAGGCTCCAGATTTTCTGCAATAATAACTTAAACATTTTTTTTTTGCCACTGAGTGCTAGACTGACGAGGTCCTTTTTTGATCAGTGGAATCTGATGTTGTGATATCATTATTGACTCAGGCAAATCATGAACTGCTAGTACCAGTGAGTGCAGCTGGTAAGAATAAAGTAATGATGGGGCCGAGTGTTGTGGCTCAGGCCTGTAATCCCAGTACTTTGGGAGGCCGAGGCCGGTGGATCACCTGAGGTCAGGAGTTCAAGACGAGACTGGCCAACATGGCGAAACCCCATCTCTACTAAAAATACAAAAATTAGCCAGGCATGGTAGCAAGAGCCTATAGTCCCAGCTACTCGGGAAGCTGAGGCAGGAGAATCACTTGTACTCAGGAGGTGGGAGGTTGCAGTGAGCCAAGATGGGGCCCACGGCTGGCTGCTTGTCCAGGCCTTGGCTCTCTCCTGCCAGATGGTCCTACAGACTTGCCTGTGCCTTGGGTTATGAGGAGGGAGACATAGTGTGGTTGGCTCAGCATAATCACAACATGGACCCATGGAAAAACAGGAGCATCCACAAGAGGGATACCTGAGGCTGGAGCTCTGCCGGGGAGAAAAGGTGATGACAAAGAAAGATAGGAGAGCTGGGCATGGTGGCCCATGCCTATAATCCCAATACTTTGGGAGGCTGAGGCAGGAGGATAACTTCAGCCCAAGAGTTCAAGACCAGCCTGGGCAACATAGCAAGACTCCATCTCTAAAAAAAAATAAAAAATTATCCAGGCATGGTGGCTCATGTCTGTAGTCTCAGCCACTTGGGAAGCTGAGGCTGCAGTGAGCCAAGATCTCACGACTGCACTCCAGCTTGGGTGACAGAGCGAGACCCTGTCTCAACAACAACAAAAGAAGAAAGGAGCCATAAGAAATAGGGCTTCATGGAAATATGTCTTGTCAAAGGGAGAAGAGGGAGAGTAAAGTGCAAAGACGAAGGAGAGAGGCCAGGCACGGCAGCTCACACCTGTAATCCCAGCACTTTGGGAGGCCAATGCAGGCGGATCACCTGAGGTTGGGAGTTTGAAACCAGCCTGACCAACCTGGAGAAACCCCGCCTCCACTAAAAATACAGTATTAGCTGGGCATGGTGGTGCATGTCTGTAATCCCAGCTACCCGGGAGGCTCAGGCAGGAGAATCACTTGAACCTGGGAGGCAGAGGTTGCAGTGAGCCAAGATCACACCATTGCACTCCAGCCTGGGTGACAAGAGCGAAACTCCATTTAAAAACAAAACAAAACATTAAAAAAACGAAGGAGAGAATGCCGTTTGGGAATTACTCAAGGCAGCTCTTTCCCTTTTTTTTTTTTTTTTTTTTTTGAGACCAGTTCTTGCTCTGTCACCCATCCAGGCTGGAGTGCAGTGGTGTAACCATGGCTCACTGCTGCCTCAACCTCCCCAGGCTCAACTGATCCTCCCATCTCAACCTCCCAAGTAGCTAGGACTACAGGCATGCACTGCCACACCCGACTAATTTTTGTATTTTTTGTATAGATGGGTTTTGTCATGCTGCCCAGGCTGGTCTTTAATTCCTGGGCTCAAGTGATCTTCCCACCTCAACCTCCCAAAGTGCTGGGATAACAGGCATGAGCGACTGCTCCCAGCACCCTTCCCATCCTTGATCTCTCCATGCGGATGCTCAATGCGCTTTGAGGGAAGCCTCAATGTGCTCTGCAAACCCTTAAGTCTGTGAGTGCGTGTGTGGCTATGGAGTAGGGGTTGCAGGCGAGTTTGCACGCCTCGGCAGGAAGGGGCTGGCACTTACCTGCTTATTCTCCCTGGGCTCAGATGCTCAGGTGAGGGAGAAAACCCAGGCGGGCTGCTGTGGGGTTTGTACCTAATACTAAGGGGTCTACCCCAGGTGCACACTCACAAAATCTCATTCAGAGTTCAAAGAGGTAACAAAAGGAACGTGTGTGTGTACCGCATGCGCGCCCACAGTGTGAGTTTGGCACACATGAAGACATATGCCCATATGTTTACCCTCTCAAATTTTCCAGTGCAAATTAGGAGGCTGGTTCTAATAACATGGCAATAAAACATCAAGCGTCTGTGCTACAGTCTCTCACCAGGCATGGGAAAATGGTTTATCTTGGATCCCGGGGCAGCCACTAATGTAATGAGAAACTAATAGATGGAGGAACCATCCAGACACAGTTTCAAGGCCACAGAATTTTTCTTCTTATCCACAACAAAGTCTCAGGAATGCAAGACCACAGGCACAGGCTGGAAAACTGCACAGAAGTGGAGTTCTCCTGATGGGAGAGATTCACACGGCAGCCTCGGTTCACAGAGGTTTCATATGGAATTTCTCTGTGGAGGGTTGTACAGGAAGCAGCTGAGTGGAACTCTTAAAATGAGAGCACGTTACAGAAAGACTCCAAAACTATGACTCTCATCTCACCTGAAGACAACCGCTCCTTTTTCATGCATTTGACAAGACCATTTTCATATCAGTCAGGCATTTAACTTTCATGTTCATATAAAAATTCAGTACTTTTACCAATAACAAGAAGTTTTGGTTCTGGGGTTGTTTTTTGTTTTTGGTATAGTTGGGGGTTTTGCTGTGTTGTCCAGACTGGTCTCAAACTCTTGACTTCACACGATCCTCTAACCTTGGCCTCCCAAAGTGCTGTGATTATAGGCAGGAGCCACCACATCTATCCTAACAAGAAGTGTTTTTGTGGCGTTTTTTTTCTGTTTGTTTTTTAAGACAGAATCTTGCTCTGTTGCCCACTGTGGAGTGCAGTGGCGCTATCATAGCTCACTCCAACCTCGATCTCCTGGGCTCAAGCGATCCTCCCACCCTCAGCCTCCAAGTAGCTGGGACCACAGGCACGCACCGTCACGCCCAGCTAATTTTTCTTATTTTTAGCAGAGACAAGGTCTTGCTTTGTTGCCCAGGCTGGTCTTGAACTCCTGAGCTCAAGCAGCCCTCCGGCGTTGGCCTCCCAAAGTGTTGCGATTACAGGCATGAGTCATGGTGCCCCATCTAACAAGATGTTTTAAAAGAGCTTTTTCAAAAATATAGAAATTCAGGCAAATTGTTACCCCCCACCCCCGCAAATTAATGAAAAGGAGGCACTCTTTCCTCAAAAATCAAACTGTTTTGAGGCTGGGTGCGGTGGCTCATGCCTGTAATCCCAGCACTTTGGTGGATCACCTGAGGCCAGGAGTTTGAGACCAGCCTGGCCAGCATGGTGAAACCCCATCCGTATTAAAAATACAAAAATTAGCCAGGCATGGTGGTGTGTGCCTGTAATCCCAGCTACTCGGGTGGCTGAGGCAAGAGAATCGCTTGAACCTGGGAGGCAGATTGCAGTGAGCTGAGATCGCACCACTGCACTCCAACCTGGGTGACAAAGTGAGACTCCATCTCAAAAAAAAAGAAAAAAGAAAAAAGAAAATAAATCAAACTGTTTTGAGAAAAGTAGTTTTATTATTTTACTAAAAAATTTGTTTTGAATAATTTGGTACATTGTCACAAGAATTCATTGGCTGTGTTGTGAACAAAATGGCTTAAGAAACACAGCTATGTTTCATGTTGATAGGATGTCACAAGCCACATGTATGATATGTCTGACCTAATGGTACTCTTCTCTGTGCTCCCGTGTCACATGACCTGCCTGTGACAATGCCACTTACATCGTCATTAGAGTTCCTGTGCCTAGCTACATGCCCCACCTCCAGCTTCCACCTCACTGAAAAGGTCTTGAAGGAGAAGACCAGGCTTCCTCCTCCTTGATTCCCCTAGAACCTGGGCCAGTGCCTTGAAGAGCTGTTCCATGAATGTCTGGGGAGGGTGTGGGAAATATGGTTGGACATGGGTAGGTTGGTGCCAGGTTACATGGGGATTTAGAACCTGGACTTGACCCATCCTGGGCCAGAAGGAGCCACTTAAGGTTTTTGAGCAGAGGGTGATGTGGTGGGTGTGGTGGCTCATGCCTGTAATCCCAGCACTTTGGGAGGCTGAGGTGGGTGGATCACGAGGTCAGGAGTTCAAGACCAGCCTGGCCAATATGGTGAAACCCCATCTCCACTAAAAGATACAAAAATGAGCCGGGCGTGGTGGCACAAGCCTGTAGTCCCAGGCTGAGGCAGGAGAATCCCTTAAACCTAGGAGGCGGAGGTTGCAGTGAGCCGAGATCGCACCACTGCACTCCAGCCTGGGTGACAGAGTGAGACTTGGTCTCAAAAAAAAGGAAAAGAAAAGAAAACAAATTGTGTTGAAGTCCAGAAATGGGGCACTGGAGCGGGAGCCCAGAGCAGAAGCTATTGCCAGAGGTCACAAGGACAGAGACTAGAGGCAAATCTAAAGGATTTTCAAGGAAAAGCAGAACTTGGTGTCCCTTTCCAGGGGAAGAAGGATATGGAAGGGTCAAAGTTGGCTCTAGAGGTTGGAGGGCTGAAAGAGGTGCCCTCCTAACAGATACTAGGGTGAGGATTTGGGGCAGGACAGAAGGTGGGGGAGACAAGTTCACCGTTGGTCATGTTCAGTCTGAATAGATCCCCCAGGGTGCAATGTCCAGGCAGTAATTATAACTCAGAAGAGGAGTCAGGGCTGAAGATTCAAATCAGCAAGTCACCCTGGCTTGCAGTGACTTCTCTGAAAAGAGAAAATGCTTCACCAGAAGAACAGGGGAGAGCTCTTAGGTATGTCCCCAAAATCTGCTTGCTAGGATGGGATGAGTCACCCGGAAGGACCTGCCCAGGTGCTAAGGAAACTGGAAAGGGCTAGGTCAGGTGAGCCTGAGGGAACAGTTTCCTGAACGGGGGTGGAAGAGGAGGTCCACGGTGACAACTTTGGAAGGAAGGAAAAGGAGAAGGACCACGGAAAGACAAGGCGGTGTTTTTAAGGAAGTCATTCATGCATGGATGGTAGACAAGACGGCAGCAGAGCAGCTGGGGCAGATGCCAAACCACAGAGCACAGACAAAGAAGAAAGAAAATGTGAAAGAGCAGGAAGCAGTGGCTGCAGGTGACACTTCTGAGGAGGCCGTTTGGAAGCTACAGGAAGCAGTGGCTGGAGGTGACACTTCTGAGGAGGCCGTTTGGAAGCTACAGGAAGCAGTGGCTGGAGGTGACACTTCTGAGGAGGCCGTTTGGAAGCTACAGGAAGCAGTGGCTGGAGGTGACACTTCTGAGGAGGCTGTTTGGAAGCTACAGGAAGCAGTGGCTGGAGATGACACTTCTGAGGAGGTGGTTTGGAAGCTACAGGAAGCAGTGGGATAAAGGAGGGGGTGATCTTCATCCTGAGCATGCTTGCCAAACACACTCATGCCCATTGCACACGCTGAGATGTGCACCCAGCTCTCTTCTCCAGAGAGGTCCACATGGCACACATGTGAATGGCCCAAACTTCTGGACGTGTGGTCCTCTGTGCCCAAAGCCTCCGGGGTACCTAGGGAAACACGCTGGCTGCCTTATGAGCACGTGAAAGAAGCCCAGGTGCCAGACCTGAGCACTGAGCAGTTCTTGGCACTCATGCTGCTCATGGGGATTGTGTACAGAGAGCAGACTGGGCTGGAGGACCAGCAGGTGCACACAGAGGCCACCTCAAAGGGACATGGCAGCAGTACTGTGGGTCCCTTGCTCTCCCTATGAGTGAATGCAGCTTTGGGCAGCGTGACTGAGTCCACCCAAATCTAAGCACATCTGGTGAGATTGCTGGGGAGCCAGTCACGGAACACAGACTCTGACGTCTCCTGAGTCGGCAGAGATTCAGGCTCAGAAGCTCCATCCTCAGCACCCCCTTCACACTCTGGAGGAAGCTGGAGGAATCTTCTCCTACTGCTATCTTCACGTGGCATGGATACTGTAGAGGAGTAGGAATGGGGGTCCATGAAGGAATCTATTCTATCGCCAGAGCTTTGGAAGCCTTCAAATGGCCTACGAGCCTAGAGGCATCTGGAATCAAAGCAGTAATGACACCTTCCTGCCTTGGTGATTCTATTTAATGAAGAATAACTATAAAGAGAGCAAGATGGCCAAACAGAACCCTCCAGCTATCATCCCACCCTGTCCCCTCCAACCTCACCCCTCAAGAACACCAAATTGAACTATTATCCACAGAAGACAGCACCTTCAAAAGAACCAGAAAATAAGGTGAGCAATCACAGTACCTGGTTTTAACATCATATCAAGGAAGAGGCACTGAAGAGGGTGGGAAAGACAGCCTTGAATTGCTCACACTACCCTTCGCCCTTCCCCTAGGAGCGCAGCATGATGCAGAGAATCTGTGTCTTTGGAAGAGGGAGAGGGAAGTCATTATGGAGCTTTGCATTGCAACTCAGTGCTGCCCTGATACAGTGGAAAGCAACACAGGGCAGAATTAGGCTGGTGCCCATGGAGGGAGCATTTAGACCAGTCCTAGCTGGAGGAGAAGGGTTCGTCTTGGTAGTCAGAACCGGAGTTCTAGCAAGCCCTGCCACTGCAGGCTCAAGTGCTCTGGGGTACTAAATAAACTTGAAAGACAGTTTAGGCCACAAGGACCACAATTCCTGGGCAAGTCGCAGTACTGGGCCGACCTTGGAGCCAGTAGGCTTGGTGTGCATGCAACCCAGTGAAACACTAGCTGACATGGCCAAGGCCTGTCCCCCAACCCCAGGCAGCACAGCTCGCAATTCCAAGAGGAGAGGAAAGAGTAAAGAGGACTTAAAGAGGACTTTATCTTGCAACTTGAACACCAGCTTAGCCACAGTAAAATAAAGCACTAAAGTCCTGAAGCCCCCATTCGAGGCCATAGCTCCTGGGTGACATTTCTAGACCCACCCTGGGCCAGAAGGGAACCCACTGCCCTGAAGCAAAAGACAGTCCCAGAAGAATTCACCACCAGCCAACTAAAAAGCTCTTGGGCATTGAATAAATATCAGGTCACCACAGGCCTTGGGTGAGACCCAGTATTGTGCTGGCTTCAGGTGTGACCCAACACACTCTCAGCAGTGATGGCGATGTAAGTGCTTGTGCCACCCATCCCCCAAATCTAGACAGCTCAGCATGGAGAAAGTGATTCCATTTGTTTGGTGGAAAGTAAGAGAAGGGTACGAGAGACTCTGCCTGGTAATCCAGGGAATTCTCTTGGATCTTATCCAAGATCACCAAGGCAGTACCTCTACGGGTCTGCAAAAGTTACACCGTTACTGGGCTTGGGTTGCCTTGTAATGCACATATGACTGCAATGACCAAAGACTTAGATCACAACACTCAATTCCCTTTGAATATTTGGAAAGTTTTCTCAAGAAGCACGGGTACAAGGAAGTCCAAATTGTGAAGATTAGAATAAATACCTAAATCTTTAATATCTAGACATCAACAAACATCCACAAGTATCAGGACCATCCAGAAAAACATGACCTCACCAAATAACTAAATAAGACACCAGTGACCAATTCCAGAATGATAGAGATCTATGGCCTTTCAGACAGAGGATTCAAAATAGCTGTTTTGAGGAAACAGCAAAATCCAAGATAACACAGAGAAGGAATTCAGAATCCTATCAGATGAATTTAACAAAGAGATTGAAATAATTACAAAGAATCAAGCAGGAATTCTGGAGCTAAAATAAAAATTCAATGGACAAACTGAAGAATGCATCAGGCTCTCAACAGCAGAACTGATCAAGCAGAAGAAAGAATTAGTGAGCTTGAAAACGGACTATTTGAAAATACACAGAGGAGTCAAAAGAAAAAAGAATAAAAAATAATGGAGCACATCTACAGGATCTAGAAAATAGCCTCAAATGGGCAAATCAAAGACTTATTGGCCTTAAAGAGGAGGTAGAAGAGATAGAGAGACTGGGGTGGAAAGTTTACTTAGCAGGGTGTGGTGGCTCATGCCTGTAATCCCAGCACTTTGAGAGGACGAGGTGGGTAGATCACCTGAGGTTAGGAGTTCAAGACCAGTCTGATCAACATGGTGAAACCTCATCTCTACAAAAATACAAAAATTAGCCAGGCAAGATGGCGTGTGCCTGTAATCCCAGATACTCAGGAGGCTGAGGTGGGAGAATGACTTGAACCCGGGAGGTGGAGGTTGCAGTGAGCCAAGATGGCGCCATTGCACTCCAGCCTGGGTGACAGAGTGAGACTCAGTCTCAAAAAAAAAAAAAAAAAAAAAAAAAAAAGAAAAAAAAAGAAAGTGGGGCTAGGTGCGGTGGCTCACGCCTGTAATCCCAGCACTTTGGGAGGCTGAGGCGGGAGGATCGCCTGAGGTCAGAAGTTGGAGCCAGCCTGACCAACATGGAGAAACCCCGTCTCTACTAAAAACACAAAATTAGCCAGGCGTGGTGGCTCATGCCTGTAATCTCAGCTACTCGGGAGGCTGAGGCAGGAGAATCACTTGAACCCAGAAGGCAGAGGTCACAGTGAGCCGAGATTGCACCATTGCACTCCAGCCTCGGCAACAAGAGCAAAACTCTGTCTCAAAAAAAAAAAAAAAAAGAAAGAAAGAAAGTTTATTCAAAGAGATAATAACAGAGAACTTTCCAAACATGGAGAAAAATATCAATATTCAAGTACCAGATTACAGAACACCAAGAAGATTTAACCCAAAAAAGATGACCTCAAGACACTTAATAATCAAACTCCTAAAGGTCAAAGATAAAACAAAGTTCCTAAAAACAGCAAAAACAAACAAAAAAACAAAACAAAAAAGAACTCTAAGGGAGCTCTAACATGTCTGGCAGCAGTTTTCTTGGTGGAAACCTTACGAGCCAGGAGAGAGTGGCATGACACATTTAAAGTATTGAAGGAGAAAACTTTTATCCTAGCATATTATATCCAGTGAAAATATCTTTCTTTTCTTTTCTTTTTTTTGAGACAGGTTCTCACTCCATTGCCCAGACTGGAGTGCAGTGGCACGATCTCAGCTCACTGCAACTTCCACCTCCCAGGCTCAAGTGATTCTCCTGCCTCAGCCTCCCGAGTAGCTGTGATTACAGGTGTGCGCCATTACCACCCGGCTAATTTTTGTATTTTTAGTAGAGACAGGGTTTCACCATGTTGGCCAGGCTGGTCTTGAACTCCTGACCTCAAACGATCCACCTGCCTTGGCGTCCCAAAGTGCTGGGATTACAGGTGTGAGCCACAGTGCCCTGCCAAAACAATCTTTCAAACGTGAAGGAGAAATAAAGACATTGCCAAACAAAAGCAGAGAGATTTCGTCAACGCCACATCTGTCCTGCAAAACATGCTAAGGTGAGTTCTTCAATCTAAAGCGGGTGTTAATAAGCAGTAAGAAATCATCTGAAGGCATAAAACTCACTGGTAACAGTGAGTACACAGAAAAATACAGAATATTATAACATAATTATAACGTAATTGTGGTATGTAAACTACTCATATCTTGAAAAGGAAGACTAAAATATGAACCTATCAAAAATAACAACTACAACAACTTTTTAAGACATAGAAAGTATAATAAGATATAAATAGAAACAACAAAAAGTTGACTGGGCATGGTGGTTCACGCCTGTAATCCTAGCACTTTGGGAGGCCAAGGCAGGTGGATCACTTGAGGTCAGGAGTTTGAGACCAGCCTGGCCAACATGGTGAAACCCCATCTCTACTAAAAAAATACAAAAATTAGTGGGGTGTGGTGGCATGAGCCTGTAATCCCAGCTACTCGGGAGGCACAAGAATCGCTTGAACCCAGGAGGCAGAAGTTGCAGCCAGCCCAGATCACGCCACTGCACTCCAGCCTGGGTGACAGAGCAAGACTCAGTCTCTAAATAAATAAATAAGAAACAACAAAAAATTTAAAAGTTGGGGAAGTAAAGTGTAGAGTTTTTATTACTTTTCTCTTTGCTTGCTTGTTTTTGTGATCAGAGTTAAGTTGTCATCAGTCTAAAATAATGGGTTATAAGATGTTATTTGCAATCCTCAGGGTAACCTCAAATCAAAAAACCTACAATAGGTAGGCAAAACAAGAAATTAACATATGCTTCCAGAGAAAAACACTTTCAAAAAAAAAAAAAAAAAGAGAGACAGGTTTGGGTGGCCAAGGTAGGCAGATCAACTTAAGGTCAGGAGTTCAAGACCAGCCTAGCTAACATGGTGAAACCCTGTCTCTACTAAAAATACAAAAAATTAGCCAAGTGTGGTGGCACACGCCTGCAATCCCAGCTACTCGGGGGGCTGACACTCAACAATTGCTCCAGCCTGAGCAGTGGAGGTTGCAGTGAGCCGAGATTGTACCACTGCACTCCAGCCTGAGCGACAGAGCAAGATGGTCTCAAAAAAAAAGAGAAGAAGAAGAAGACAGGAAGGAAGGAAGAAAGAGAAGATCCCAACACAACCAGAAAACAAATGACAAAATGACAAAATGGTAGTAGTAAGTCCCTATTTATCAACAATATTCAGTGTAAATGGATGGAACTCTCCAATAAAAAAAAAAAAAAAGAAAAACAAAAGAAAGAAAAATAAATCAAAAGAAAAACAAAAACAAAAAAGAGAGAGTAGAATGTTGCTTACCAGAGGCTGGGAGTGGGGAAGGGGAGGGTGGAAGGATTTGGGGATGGTTAATGGGTACAAAAATAGAGTTAGATACAATGAATAAGATCTAGTATTTGATAGCACAATAGGCTGACTACAGTCAGCAACAACTTGTACATTTTAGAATAACTGAGGAGTACAATTGGAATATTTGTAACACAAAGAAATGATGAATGCTTGAGGTGATACTCCGTTTACCCTGATGTAATCATTATTGTATGCCTCTACCAAAATATCTCATGTGCCTTGTAAATGTATACACCTACTATGTACCCATTTAAATTTAAAATATTTTAAATTAAAAAAAGTAAGCATAGAAACCCTTAAGATGTCAGAAAATAGTACAGTTGCATTCAACTTCCTTCAGCAAAACTGTCTAAAAGTTCGAGAAGATGTCCATGAGAACAATCATTGTTGCAATTTGCATGGCTCTGATCTTCAAGGACAAAATGCAGTTTCATTCAACTTAATCTTCGGTATGATGAGCACTAATGAGGCAATAGTTACATAGCCTTTTCCTAGCACTGGCCCTCGGGCTCCATACACATCACTCAACAGGCATGGAACCTAACATGAGAGGTATTTTCCTTACCTCCATTTTATAGATGAGGAAAGCAAGCTAGGAGGAGACAGAGTCTAAGAGCTGACAGTCAGTAAGTTGTAGAGCCAGGGTTTGAACCCTGCGCCAAGGATGAGGAAGTCCCTGACCTAGAAGGGTGCCCAGTGCAGCGAAAGGGAGGAGAAAGCAAAAATGTCATGTCGCCATGGTGAGTGTGGGGACCAGGTGTGTTCAGGCACTCTGGGTACGGGGAGGCGTGCAGCCCGGGGCAATGAGTCCCAGAAAGGCTGCCTGGAGGGGCTGACACATGATCTGGGTCCTGCATGGTAGACCGGGGCTGGAGGGGCTGGTGGTTGTGCCAGACAGAAAGGACAGCAAGAGCGAAGACATAGAGGGACCCAATAGAGGATGAGTTCAAGGAAGACGAAGGGGCATCAAGCAATGGGGCTGAGGGGACTGTGGGGCTGGAGCCTGGGCTAGGACACCAAATTTTTTCCCCGAGGGAGACGGAGACCCATTCAGAGTATTCCCAGGGGAGTGACATGGTTGGACATGAGTTTTATTTTAGGTGGAAGATGGTGAAACTGGAGAAGGGAAAGGAAACCTAAAACAAGGTTAACGCAATGGGCAAAGATGAGCAATGGAGAGTGAGTGAGTTAGAAGGCGGTTTCTTTATTTTTTTATTTTTTATTTTGAGACAAGAGTCTCACTTTGTCGCCCACGCTGGAGTGCAGTGGCGCTATCTCGGTTCACTGCAACCTCCACCTCCTGGGGTCAAGCAATTCTCCTACCTTAGCCTCCCGAGTAGCTGGAATTACAGGTGCCCACCACCACACCCAGCTAATTTTTGTATTTTCGGTAAAGACGGGGTTTTGCCATCAACTTGGGGCTGGGGTTTCACCATCTTGGTTGGCCAGGCTGGTCTTGAAAACCCTGATCTCAGGTGATCCGCCCGCCTTGGCCTCCCAAAAAAGTGCTGGGATTACAAGCATGAGCCACCACACTCAGCCTAGAAGGCAGTTTGTTATAGTGAACTTATTTTCTCTCTATACAAGCAATGATGTGAGAGCCCCTGCATTGTACAGAAGCTGTGAACATTTTGAAAACAACAGAGGGAAGGGAGTCCCTTTTGAAATCTTTTTGAGGGAGCTTAGCCTTTCAAGTTAAACCATTTATTATCTAATTTTCTTTTCCACAGAATCTCTGCAGGGGCAATGCCGAGAAGGAGCAGATGAGCAGCTTCCACATCGTGAAGCTGGTGGTGGAGAGCTGCACTGTGAACCTCACCACACCAAGCATCTCACTTCTCACATCTGAGAAAACCTCGGCTTTAAGGCCAAGGTAGCTAGAGGAGTCCGATGCAGGTGAGATGTTCCCGATCTCCCTGCTAACCTCAGGATAGCCTGCTCATTAGGAACTTCCAAAGACATGGGTACAAATGGAATTCACCACTAACCTGCTTAAACTTAACCCAGGTAGCTGAAGACGAAAGACTTCATATTCTGCTAGAAGCTTCGAAGCTCCGTTATCTTCCAAGTCATTCTGTCCTAGAAGAAAACAACAAATAGGCTCGTTAAATTACCCACAGGTAAGCGATCAATCGACAAAACATTAAATGAAAAGCTCCCATTACATGGACAAGACGAGGTGCAATTCAGAGTGAACTACTATGATACTTCACGCAAAACCTTGGTTTTTGAGATTTTATTTACACAAGTAACAGCTAACCTGACTCTTCACTGGCTCTAAGGCTGGCTGAAGCATCATTTAATCTTTCTACATGATAGGAGCAAGAAATGATTAGAGAGAAAATGTTGTAGGCATTGCATTTGATTAGACTCTGCAATTGAGATGTGTTCATTGAAATATTATCTCCTCATTGGTTAATACCTTACAGTGAATGTAAAACAAAGGACTCTAAGGTTCATATTTGGGGTCACAGAACTTTGGAGATGAATGGGATACTCCTCCTCAAAGATGAAGAAATGAGATCCAGGGAGGCTGTCCCACCCACAATCTAGCAGCCAGTTAATGACCAAGTCAGAAGTTCATCAGCCAGGGCTCTGTCTGCTACATCAGACTTAACTTAGGGTCACAATTTTGAAACAACGGCTCTTATGAAGGCTTTTGATTCAGAAAACATTCCAAATTTCACGCTGACTTTAAACTTTTTTTTATTTCTTATTTTTATTTTTTTGAGACGGAGTCTCACCTTATTGTCCAGGCTAGAGTGCAATGGCGCAATCTCGGCTCACTGCAACCTCTGCCTCCCGGGTTCAAGCAATTCTCCTGCCTCAGCCTCCCGAGTAGCTGGGATTACAGGTGCCCTCCACCATGCCCATCTAATTTTTTTTTTTTGTATTTTTAGTAGAGATGGGGTTTCACCATGTTGGCTAGGCTGGTCTCGAACTCCTAACTTCAAGTGATCTGCCCGCCTTGGCCTCCCAAAGTGCTCAGATTACAGGCATGAGCCACTGCGCCTGGCCTAAACTTATTTTATAATCTTTCTAGATGTGGAAGTAATTTACATTTTTGCAATAAAATGCTAATAATCAGCTCAAGTCACACTTTTTCATGGAGAAATGAAAGGACTCTGCCCCATGACCTCTCACATTTTTGGCCAGAGCCTGACCTGTGTGTGCTGAGTTTCAAGAAGAAATTGCTGTCCTTGAAGGGCAATTTGCCTCCAGGCTCCATAGCATCCTGGAAAACCTTAGCGCACCTAAGTGGGTTGGGATCTGAGGCTAATAGAGTTCAAACCTCTCATTACACTTAAAAAAAAAACTGCAGTGGAGTCAAGCAGTCAATCCAAGAAAGAGCTAGGTGTAGAAATCCAGAAAGAAATGTAGATTCATCGAGCAGCTATTAGTGCTGGGCTCTGTGCCTGCTGCTGTAGGTGCATGATCTCATTATTCTCACAACTGCCCCCCGAGTGCACATGGCCACTTCTCCACTTTACAAATGGGGGCACGAAGACCCAGAGAGGCTGAGTTCTTTGGTTCAGTTAATATTTATCTGTGCATCTCCTACGTGCCAGACACCAAGGTAGGTGCTGAGTATATAAAGGAGAAATAGATACACTGTCTGCCCTCAGCGAGCTCACAATCTAGCAGGGAGGAGAGAAGGAGATTCAGACATTTTAATCCAAACTCAGTTTTCTTTTCTTTTTTTTGAGGAAATTCTTCTAGATCCTGAAACAGAACTAGAACTACGTTGTTC
The DNA here is from genome assembly GCF_000001405.40 of Homo sapiens. Classification (NCBI taxonomy): domain Eukaryota; kingdom Metazoa; phylum Chordata; class Mammalia; order Primates; family Hominidae; genus Homo; species Homo sapiens. The sequence continues at coordinate 154,942,443 of NC_000006.12, read as the reverse complement.
AAAGTGCAGCTTTCAACGTATTAAAAGGTCTTGAGATTCATTTAGTGGGTCTTGATTACCATTAAAAATACATGTGTGTGTGTGTATATATATATACATATATATATATATATATACGTATATATATATATATATATATACGTATATATATATATATATATATATATTTTTTTTTTTTTTTTTTTTTTTTTTTTTGAGACAGAGTCTTGCTCTCTCAGCCAGGCCACATCACGCCCAGCTAATTTTTGTGTCTTTAGTAGAAACAGGGTTTCACCATGTTGGCCAGGCTGGTCTCAAACTCCTGACCTCAGGTGATTCTCCCACCTCGGCCTCCCAAATTGCTGGGATTACAGGTGTGAGCCACCATGCCTGGACTGATTAGCATTAAAAATATATAAATGAACAAACAAAGCAGAACAGAATAGCATAGGCTAGAAAATAGTGTGCATGTAGTAAAGGTAAGGAAGCTCACAAGGGCATATGTCTATGTATCTATATCAACCACATAAACCTCTGTGTGTACTGGTTTGCGATGTAAACTATATTTCCTTTTGTAGGCCATGGTGGAAAAAAGTGTGAAAGCTCTTGAGTTAGAGACTCATACAAAATGGTGAGGGCCAAGAGGAATGAGTGTCTGCCTAGGGACTAACTAGCATCTAGCTGGAGTGAACTGGTACAATTTTGGTTTGTCACCAAGAGAAGGCTTTTAAAGGTGAGATGCCCAAATCGAATACCCAGAGATAGGAAGAGCTGGAGAAGGACTGTTAGGCAGTTCTAGGGATGAGAGAGGAAAACAGAGTCAGGGCTCCTTTCTCTTGTAGCCTGGGACAGGGGGTGGGCACCTATCAGGCCATGAGGAGGCACCATGACACCAGTTCTGCGTTTGCATGAGAGCCCCAGACTCAACAAGATGGGCCCCCAATTCTAGCTCTAATTGCTAGAACTGTGGGAGCTGATGGAAGTCTACAAAACTGGCTAGGTCTGGAAGGAACTTCCTACCATCCCACTGCCAAAAGAGTACAGGAGAGCATCAGAGTCCGGAAGGCCAGGAGGTTAAGCAGTCAGACTCAGGACCCTTCAAACTATCTTTTTTTTTTTTTTTTTTTTTTTCTTGAGACGGAGCCTCTGTCGCTAGGCTGGAGTGCAGTGGCACGATCTCGGCTCACTGCAACCTCTGCTGCCCGGGTTCAAGTGATTCTCCTGCCTCAGCCTCCCGAGTAGCTGGGTTACAGGCGCCTGCCACTGCGCCTGGCTAATTTTTGTAGTTTTTTAGTAGAGACAGGGTTTCACCATCTTAGCCAACCTGGTCTTGAACTCCTGACCTCGTGATCCACCCACCTCAGCCTCCCAAAGTGCTGGGATTACAGGCATGAGCCACCGCGCCTGGCCCCTTCAAACTGTCTTAATCCCCAGAACGGAGCCTCCTTTGGGATGGCAGGTTATTGTGATCTCCCTTAGAGGATATAGTTATGAAATTTTCTGTTACTTTAATAAAACTTCCTTCAGACATCTTCTGGGTACCATGTTGGTAAGCTGAGGATTCAGGGCAATCCACTAGATTGTCACATGGACACATTTTCTCAGCTTTCTGAGTACGGATTCCAGGCAGGAGAAAAAAGGTCCACCCACAGAGTAACCTGTGTCACTCATTCGTACTGTAAGGCTCTCTGACGTGCAGTATGCAATGACGCAGCCATATCGGGGCAGTCATATTTTGGTACCTTGATTATTGAATATTTATCTGTTAACAAGCAGTAATATGAAATGACATCAAGAAAAATTATCTTATCTATGATTTCATCCATATTTTCCCCATACAGGATTATGATGATGATGACAAGAACTGGATGTTATACAAAATAATCAGCCCCAGAAACATAGAAAAATAACAACCAGATATTTATGTTTTCTGTTTCTTCACCCATCATGTGTGTCAGACTGTAAAAATAACAGGGTCTTTAACAAGTTCTCCTTCACTGTAGGTTACAGCCAAGGAGAAAACACTAGTGTATGTTGAAATAGAATAATTACGCTGGGCGCCGTGGCTCATGCCTGTATCCCAGCACTTTGGGAGGCCAAGGAGGGGAGATCATGAGGTCAGGAGATCAAGATCATCCTGGCTAACATGGTGAAACCCCATCTCTACTAAAATACAAAATATTAGCCAGGCGTGGTGGCGCACACCTGTAGCCCCAGCTACTCAAGAGGCTGAGGCAGGGGAATCGCTTGAATCCGGGAGGCGGAGGTTGCAGTGAGCCAAGATCGCACCACTGCACTCCAGCCTGGGTGACAGAGCGAGACTGGAGTGCAGTGGTTCAATCATGGCTCACTGCAGCCTCTATCTCCTGGGTTCCAGTGGTCCTCCCACCTCAGTCTCCGGAGTAGTTGGGACTACAGGCATGTGCCACCATGCCTGGCCAATTTGTGTAATTTTTTTGTAGAGACGGGGTTTTGCCATGCTGCCCAGGCTGGCCTCAAACTCCTGGGCTCAAGCAATCCACCTGCCTTGGCCTCCCGAAGTGTTAGGATTACAGGTGTGAGCCACGGCACCTGGCCAGGGCATGATTTTTTATCTCATTTAGAAACAAAGGTAATAGTTCATGAGAAACTGCTTCATGAACCAAAAGGTATCCTGTAAGTATTCACCATTTTCATTATTGTCAATGCTAATACATTATTTTCAAGTAAAATACTAAAAGTAACACACCTGTAACCCTAGCACTTTGGGAGGCCAAGGTGAGAGGATTGCTTGAGTCCAGGAGTTTGAGACCAGCCTGGGCAACATAGCAAGACCCCATCTCTATTATTTTTACAAAAAAAATTAAAATAAATAAATTAAAAGTAAATGAAAGTGTATTCAATGTTTCCTGATTATGTGGTTTTGTACACATCTTAATTCCAAACCAAGGACTCAGGTTTAACTAACATGTTCAAGGATCAACATTCATAATAAGGCAGAGAGTTTAATCACAATTGTTCTTTGTAACAGAAGTGTGGGTGGACTCTGGTTACTAAGTAAGTCCTATTGTCTTCATCTGATGGATGAAGTAAGAGGAGCAGAGAAGCTAAATGACTTGCCCAGGGTCACACAGTAGCAGAACCAGAGCAGAAAATCAGACCCTCCTGCCACTAGAGCCCTCGCTTTTTATTCTAAGCTTGCTCACAGTTTGGGTTGTTGGTTTGCTCTTTCTTACAAAGTCATAAGCTGGGCCTGGTGCAGGGGCTCATACCTGTAACCCTAGCACTTTGGGAGGCTGAGGAGGGTGGATCACCTGAGGCCAGGAGTTCAAGATCAGCCTGGTCAATATGGTGAAAACCCATCTCTACTAAAAACACAAAAATGTAGGCGTTGTGGCGGGCACCTGTAATCCCGGCTGCTCAGGAGGCTGAGGCAGGAGAATTGCTTGAACACGGGAGGCGGAGGTTGTACTGAGCCGAGATCGCGCCACTGCACTCCAGCCTGGGAGACAGAGCCAGACTCCATCTCAAATAAATAAATAAATAAATAAATAAATAAATAAATAAATAAATAATAAAAAAATAAAATAGGCCGTGGCTCATGCCTATAATCCCAGCACTTTGGGAAGCCGAGGCAGGCGGATCACCTGAGGTCAGTATTTCGAGACCAGCCTGACCAATACAGAGAAACCCCGTCTCTACTACAAATACAAAATTAGACGGACGTGGTGGCGCATGCCTCTAATCACAGCTACTCAGGAGGCTGAGGCAGGAGAATTGCTTGAACCCGGGAGGCAGAGGTTGCGGTGAACCGAGGTCGCTCCATTGCACTCCAGCCTGGCCAACAAGAGCGAAACTCCGTCTCAAAAATAAATAAATAAATAAAAATAAAATAAAATGTTTCATATCCAAAATGCACAAGTTTTTCAGCTTTGTTTCTTACTTTTAGGTTTTAATGAAGTTCAGAGCAACTCAAAATGTCCTTTCCCAGCAGGAGTAGTCAAGATAAACCCCAGGTAAATTCTACCAAACGGCGAGGCAGAGCCAGCAGTGCCATTCACTGCAGAATACCTGAGTCTGGGCTCTGGGCCATCACTGGCTAAGGACCCTACTGTACCTTCTGGCTTCACTCCAGCGGCAAGAAAAGAAAGCGCGCCGCCGAGCACACAAGCCAGGGTTATGCGATTCCAGCTCTCCAGAGTCTAACTTCACTCCTTCTTCTGTAGCTGAATAAAAAACGTTGCCCTTTTCTGTTTATTTGCACAGAGGCCCGTTTAACATAGAGCACAGAGAGTGGGGGAACACCACAGCCACGTGGACTAGAATGATTTCCAATCACAATAAACACTCCCAAAGAGGGAGGAAGATGGTAAGCAATATATTTCCTCTCTAACATTCTTTAAAATAAATGCACAGCCTTGGAGGAGGAGGCCTGACATGTTTCCACTAGACGAATGTGTGGGGAGAAAAACAGATCTTTGTACACTACCTGCGCTGTGCCCAGGCCCCATTCCAGACCACAGTTTGGCAACTGGATCTCAAGGGGCTGAGAACCTGGAGATTGTCTACAATGCAGTTTGTCTGGGCTGCTCTGAAATCAACAAGGCTTCATTCCTTTCCACTAGGTCTCAGCAGAGTAACGTCCAGGAGGGCGCTGTGCTCTGACACAGAGCCTTCTGCATCCTCCCGGCTGAGTCTCGGGCCGCTGAGAACTGCTGTGATGGTTCAGAAACCCCAGTCACAGCGGGCCATAGCCAGGAGCCAGCCAAACCTAAATTCTGGGCTGTCACATTTTGGAGCTGTTCCCCTTGAAGCATGTGAGCAAAATCCACAAAAATTTTAAAGCAACATATGATTGTTGTGAAAGAATATCAGGGATCCTATTTTCTTCATCCACTTCTGTGAATCCATTCCTTCTAATGGCTGAGTCCACGTGTCATTCTGCATTACTCACTTTGAACAAGACACAGAAACACCGAGCATCATTGCGTGGGGCACGCTACACACTAGGAAGCCTTAAAACATCACCACCAACAAAAACGCTTGATTCGGCCACTGTCATCAGAAGGGGGTAGAAGAGGCCAGGTGCAGTGGCTCACGCCTGTAATCCCAGCACTTTGAGGCCAAGGCAGGCACATCACCTGAGGTCAGGAGTTCAAGACCAGCCTGGTCAACATGGCGAAACCCCATTTCTACTAAAAAATTAGCCAGGCGCCATGGCGCATGCCTGTAGTCCCATGTATTCAGGAGGTTGAGACACCAGAATCACTTGAACCCAGAAGGCAGAGGTTGCAGTGAGCTAGGATCGCACCACTTTACTCCAACCTGGGCAACAGAGCGAGAGTCCGTCCTTTATGGGTGGGCACTGTGGCTCAAGCCTGCAATCCCAGCACTTTGGGAGGCTGAGGTGGGCGGATCACCTGAGGTCAGGAGTTCGAGACCAGCCTGGCCAACATGGTAAAAACCCGTCTCTACTAAAAATACAAAAATTAGCCAGGAGTGGTGGTGGGCTCCTGTAATCCCAGCTACTTGGGAGGGTGAGGCAGGAGAATCGCTTGAACCCGGGAGATGCAGGTTACAGTGAGCCAAGATCACGCCACTGCACTCTAGTATGGAAGACAGAGTAAGATTCTGCCTTTTTTTTTTTTAAGTCTTTTAGAAGGAGAAAAACTTCTCTCATTTTTTAAAGACGTCCTCTACTCCTAATCAACACACACCTAACACTAATGACCTGACCATAGAAGCTTCTATCAGATGATTAATCCTCACAAGGTTATCAAATTCCCATCCTAAACATCTTTATTACTCAAAGCAGCAGTCCATGAACTTGTTCAGCTGAAGGATAAAAGGGACATATGGGGTGTAGGTGACCTATTGCTATTATTAATGCTGTGCCCTAGAGTTGTGCAGTGCACAACCTGTGAGACCACATGCAGCAGCCCTGATAATACTTATTACACCAGCATATACTTTTCACTCATGTATTTATAAAGCATGTATATTATAAAAGCAATATGCATATTCTGTTTCCTATAAAGATCAGTTCTTTTGCATGTCCATGTAAATCTTATTGGTCACCCAATGCTTATTTACTAAGTGTCATTATTCTAAATGAACATCAATCAGTTATGTTTAGTGTCCAATTGCTAAGATCTCTTTTCCTTTTCCTCTTTGAATATAAATATACTTGAAAATCATACTTAATTTCACTTGAGGCATCAATGATCTTTTTTTTTTTTTTTTTTTTGAGACAGGTCTCACTGTTGCCCAGGCTGGAGTACAGTGGCATGATCATGGCTCACTGAAGCCTCAACTTCTTGGGCTCAGATGATCCTCCCACCTCAACCTCCCAAGTAGCTAGAACTACAGGTGCACATCACCACACCCAGCTAATTTTGTTGTTTTTTTTTTTTTGTATTTTCTCTAGAGACAGGGTTTCGCCATGTTGCCCAGAGTGGTCTCAAACTCCTTGGCTTAAGCAGTCCTCCCACCTTGGCCTCCCAAAGTGTTGGGATTACAAGCATGAGCCACCACACCCAGCCAACGATGATCTTTGATTTCACCAAAAGTTGGGGCTGGGCTCTAATACTGCCTTGTAAACTTTTATTTTATTTCATTTTATTTTTGAGACAGAGTCTCACTCCATTGTCCAGGCTGGAGTGCAGCGGCCCCATCTCGGCTCACTGCAACCTCCGCCTCCTGGGTTCAAGCGATTCTCGTGCCTCAACCTCCCGAGTGGCTGGGACTACAGGTGCATGCCACCATGCCCGGCTAATTTTTGTATTTTTAGTAGAGATGGGTTTTTGCCATGATGGCCAGGCTGGTCTCAAACTCCTGACCTCAAAGTTATCCGCCTGCCTTGGCCTCCCAAAGTGCTGGGCTGACAGGCCCGCGCCACCACGCCTGGCCACATTCTGCCTTATAAATGTCTCTCTCAAGTCTCTATTCTCTCGGGCCTTCTCTTATCTCCTCTGAGCCATTATATTAGTTTCTTAACCGTTGTTACAACTTCTAGTCTCTCACAAACCAATCTGTCACATTATAGCCAGAATTACTTCCTAAAACACCGATAGGTTTAGGTCACTCCTCTGTTTTAGAAACTTTAATGAATATGTATTGCCTAGGAGATAAAGTCCAAACAAATCACCATGGTATATAACCCATTTATAGTCCGCTCAGCTTGTCAGTCTGAGCTAACTTGACTTCCAATACTAATCGATATCCACTCAGTCATCCATTCAAGAAAAATCTACCGGGCCCTTGTAAAAACACCATGGAATTGAGGAATTACTGGAAAAAGTCAGTAAGACCCATTCCTAGATATCAGGGTACAAACAAGTGGGAGATACAGACACATAAATATATCATGATAATTGACCATGGTGAGTGCAAGTTGGTCCCGATCTGGCGCACCAGCCTTATATCCAGTAAATTCCCACTCATCCCTTTTTCCTACATTCCAACAATGGTAAACTTTCTGTTATCCAAAAATTTGCCATGTTCTTAGACACCCGCACATGTTTACTTCCTCTCCAGTGCTTAGAATGCCCTTCCCTATGTTACTGTCTGGCGTTCTCTTCGCACGTGAGTGGGTTAGGAACCCAATGGCAAAGTGGTAAAGGTCAGCAAGAGGGAAGTCAGACCCTGGAGCAAGAGGCCTGAGTCACACCGCATATAAAGCAGCCAGCCTCTTCGTGCTGATCAAGCCCGTCTCACCCCCATGCACCTGTCCCCTTTCCCAATGTGAGGGAAGATGGTCTCTGTGTGGCTGAGTTTAGCCCAGACCCCAGAAAACTGTGGTCTCAACAAGGGAGGTGGCAGATGGCAAAGTGGGCACAGGACGGTGGCACTCTATGTATAACGTGACTTCTTTGGGGTGCCTTGCACAGCAAAAGATCCCCTGCAGCTAAATTCAGTATCTCCTGCTTCTTTAGGACTTGATAACTGAGTACTGGGGCTCCGTAAAAGTGGCTTCTAGAAGTATTTAATTTTGCTTGGGATCAATATGTTAAGGCCACTGGTGTAAATACCAAAGAAGAAATGAGGAATTCCTATTTGAAATGAAGTACAAATGACTTTCCTCCTTCTCTTCCTTTTATCCTTCCATCCTTCCTTTCTTTTGAAACAGGGAGAAACTTACTTGTATGACTGGTAGATGTCATTATTGTATATATCTGAACACATTAAGCAATCCATTAAAAAATCCATTTCGACAAAGTGAAATTAACTTTAGAGTTATTCATCTAGTCTTTACTTACCCAGCAAAAGAGGGTAAGATGTGGAAACTGCCCTCAAGAAATTCATAACTAGAGGCTACATTTTAGCTAGTTAGTCCTGCCATCTCCCTCAAAGTAAGATATTCCAACCTACAGATATTTATTAGGGAGAAATGTAAATAAATAACTTAATTATTTAATCAAATAGATCATAAGTCCACAACTCCCTCTAGGCTAAAACTGGTGACTTTCTCAAGAAAAAATGACTTAGCTAAAGCCCAAACGACAGAGAAGTAGACTAGAGTGTGTATGTCTGCAGATTCATTTCTGTACATGAATATTCACCGGGAGAGGCGGATGAGCATGGATACAGATGCTTGTCACTGCTATGGCCACATCCAGGTGAGCCAAGAGGCTGCAGAGCAGGTGGAAACTGCTAATGAAGTTTCCTGGCCAAAGATGATGTTGGGGTGGGTCTGTTGTCTTCCCCCACACCTGGGATCCACTGGCTCACCCACTCTGTGACTGGGGCTCCCAGGAGGCCCAGTCCCCTTCTCCCTGGAGCCTCTGCTGGCCCCTACACTAAGCTTCCCGGCACCCCCATCCCCATCCTGGAGATGGCCTGCTGTGATGACAGGACTGGTTCTAGAAAGCAGGGCTCGTTCCACATCCTTCTTACACTAACTCCATCTTTTCCCTGGGAGATGCTCGCAGGCTCTGCAGTTCAGTCAGGTTTTGTGTCTTGAAGTCTTCAAACTTCTTCAGACAAAAACCTCATGAAGTAAGCGCTGGGGGATGTTATCTTCATTTCACAAAAGAGAAAGCTGAGATGCAGAGCGGCTCACCAAAAAGATATTTAGTCAGTAAAAGCCATTCCAGTAAGTTATGAGAAAAACCAAAGATATGCCATGAAAGTTTGAGGAAAGCACATTCCAGAGTGGCGGTTTCCCCCTCTGTAAAAGGCAAAGGCCCATCCACGCTCCCACAACGGCCATCGCCATTTCAGAATCTGAAACAAAATGTGCTTCCCAGCTCTTTTCTTGCATAAAATAAACAGCACCACGTTTGAAATCATTATGTAAAATTAACTTCAAAGAAACAAGAAACACAGCCTAATAAAGGGGGGGGAGTTTCAGAAGTACCATTTTCAGAAGTACCATTCTCTCATATCCAACCCCCACCACTTTTCCAACTGAATGCAATTTTTGCCCAGAGAGCAACTTTGTCTGCAGAGACTACCCTATACTTGGGAAGGAAGAATGTAAGTAACAAGGTGCAAGCATCAGCATAAGTTGCAACTTCAAAAGGAATATAATCACCGTTTCTGTAAACTCTCCCTTCCAGATAAACAACTGTGTTCCCAGGTTGAAGATGAGTCATGTCCCATCCCCAGAGTCCTCCAAACCACACATTCCTCTTCCTGTCCCTGGCAGTCATTTGCATACATCCTAACCTAAACCAGGGCCGCTTATAAAAGAGCTTGTGTTGAACTTTCTTCTATTTAATTCCAGTGCTTTCTTCCAGCTACCCAATCTGTATGTAATTAAAATCATATTGCAGCAAATGTTGAATGGTATGAAAAGTTTTACCATATGTATACAATTGACTAGTTGTAGAATTTGGCATGTCTGCAATGATCCCATTAACAAGGAGCGAGCCTGGCTTATTTTGGAGTGCACGTTATATGCTTTGGATAGGTTCTGTTTTTAACTTGTTCTAACACTGCCCGTGATGTTTAACCCTTTGTTAGCGGTCAACAAGAAGTGTTCCTGCATTTCAACAATGAGGACCACTGTACCCTGATCAAAACCTCAGGTCAAAAACAATTTGTCTAGTGGAGGAAGTTTCCTTTGAAAAATTTCCATTTTCTAAACTAAAATTAGCCTGCTCAGTCTTGACAAAGGCTGAGCAGATACCATCAGAGCCTCTGGGATCAAGCTGAACCGAATGGAGAAAATACAGATGTAATCATCGCTTCCAAATACTGAGACCCAGGGTGCTCCTTGAAGCTTGAAAGAAATGATTTTAGGACAAAAAGAGGAAGTACTGTACTACTGCAGATAATAAGCATTTGAAACTTATGTCCCAAGAGGTAGCAGATAAACTATAAATAAATTCAAGAAGGAGTTAGCAAAGGTCATGCTGAAGATCTACCTTTGAGGAACATTCCTGACATTCTGTGACTGACACAAGGGAAGGAAAACATCTTTCCGCCTCATCACCCTCCCCACCCCACCCACCTTTCCCACACAACAATTGAAAAAACTGGGGCCTTTGTCAGAGGAAGAATACAAGGTCAGATAAGCCTTTGGTCTGACTCTCTGGGTCAAGACTTGATAAAATTTGTAGATAATAGAGCTGACCAGTTGCAATTTTGCTTTAAAGACATTCTTCAGTAAAGACTGCAGAATGAGTTGAAGTCTTTCTCAACATGTGCCATGAAGAAACATATGTTCTTAATCTGTGGGTTTAAAATTGTTTTAGAATTACATCGATGAGACATATCCTCAAAAGAAAAATCAGGCCACCAACCCCAAACACAAGAGTATAAGAGCAGTGTAGGATAATACTTCTTTCTAGCTTAACGTCTTACAACAAATCTGTTGTAAAAGTTCTTTAAAAAGGAACGTTCATCTGGAGCTTAAAAATATGCATACAGGAGATTTGACAGAGGGTATTAGTTTCTCGCTACAGGCAGGAGCCCCACTAAGCTGATCTGAGGATACAGTAAAGGCAAAGGTACGCAGCACCTCCAGGAAAGGGAGGTGGAGAAAGAAATGCCTTCATTACATTCATCAGATCAAGTTCTCAAATCAGAATTCAAATCCTCAGTTCTCAGTGCTGAATGTTAAGCCACGGAACGTTAAGATTAGAAAACCGCCAAATGAACCTAAACAATTCATCCCTTAAAAAGGAGATGGTATTGTGACCAAACTTTCTTCTTTAAAGTTGGGTACCTGGGTCAGGTATGGTGGCTCATGCCTGAAATCCCAGCACTTTGGGAGGTCGAGGCGGGTGGATCACTTGAGGTCAGGAGTTTGAGACCAGCCTGGCCAACACGATGAAACCCCAACCCTACTAAAAATATCAAAATTAAAAGAGAAAAAAAAAATTAGCCTGGCGTGGCGGCACATGTCTGTAATCCTAGCTACTTGGGAGGCTGAGGCAGGAGAATGGCTTGTATCCAGGAGGTGGAGGTTGCAGTGAGCCGAGATCATCCCACTGTACTTCAGCCTGGGCGACAGAGAGAGACCCTGTCTCAAAAAAAAAAGGAATTGCTCTGAGACCAGTCCAGACAGTGCTGCCTCCATCACCACGCATGGCTTAACTGACACAGAAACACAAGATGCTTTCACCTAAACAAGGCCTCTGTGTTACCCAGACAGAGCGTTCACAATGTGGGAAGCCCCCATTTTCTCAGCCCCGGAAATCTGTTAAATCCTATCAATGCAGGAAATTGAAAAATTCTCTTCTCAGGAGATGGTTAGGCTGAGAACTGATAAGTGGTGCGGTGAGGGGAATCTGCCTGGAGCTAGGAGGATGAGGCTGGTCCTTGTGTTTCCATAATCCTATTAAGCAGTCCTAGCCGAATTTAATCTGGTCCTGAAGTGGATGGCTGGAAGATAATAGGTCTTGGACTTTAAGTGTCACTTAACTATATAGGTAAAACTCTAATCTCTGCGCTCAAGGGCCCATCAGTGTAATCAAACTGAGGACTCTCAGAGGAACCTGCTTCCCCGGCAGCCTGGGGTTGTAGCAAACGGTAGTTACAAAGTGCTCCTTGGAGATAGGTGCCTTATTTGAGTGGAAGCAATTTACTCTGTTCACTAGAAACTCATCCTGTCTAGACGACAGGGTTGATCTCAAGTGTTGGAGTAAAGAGGAAATCCTCCATAACTTGCTTGCCAAGGTAAAGACTCAGGTTCACCCTTGGAGTAACTGTAATCAATCTCAAGACGTCCTCTGGGTAACAAAGGATGCTGAGACAGCTGCTTCTTCATTAGCCAGGAACACGAAGTAGAAACCATCGTGAGCAGAGTACCCATTAGCTGACTGCAGCTCAGCCCCCACCATGGATGGCCAATTTAGATGAATAAATGTGCTTTTGTCTAGTTGTTCTATCAATTACTAACAGAGGGATGTTAAAATCGCCAACTGTGATGGTGGATTTATCTATTACTCCTGTAAATTCTGTCAATCTTTTGTTTTCTTTCCTTTTTTTTTTTTTTTTTTTTTTTTAAGACAGGCTCTCACTCTGTTGCCCAGGCTGGAGTGCAGTGGCACAGTCATAGATCACTACAGCCTCAACCTCCTGGGCTCAAGAGATCCTCCTGCCCCAGCCTTCTGAACAGCTGGGACTACCGGAGCGTGTTGCCACGCCCAGCTAGTTTTTAGTTTTTTGTAGCAACAGGGTCTCACTATGTTGCCCAGGCTGATCTTAAACTCCTAGGCTTAAGCGATCCTCCCGCCTTGACTTCTCAAAGTGCAGGGATTATAGATGCGAACCATGGTGCCTGGCCTGTCAATATTTCTTCACGTATTTTAAGCTCTATTACTGGACATACACAGTTTTATGCCTTATATGTTCCTGGACAATTGTCCCTTTTACCTCTGGTAATATCATCCTGAAGTCTATTTTATTGTATATTAATATGGCCATTCGAGCTTTCTAAAACATACTGTTTGTGTGACATATTCCATCTTTTTTCTTTCAACTTATCTGTATTTATATTTAAAGGCAGCATAGAGTTGGGTTTTTATTTCTGCAGCCTAACAATTTCTGTCTTTAAATTGGACCGTTTGGTCAATTTATATTTAATGTTAACTACTGATGTGATTGCATTTAAGTCTGCTGCTCGAATTTATTTTTAGTTTCTCTCATCTGTTTTTTAAATTCCTCTGCTCCTTTCTTACCTTCTTCTGGATTAATTAAACATTATTTAGAATTCCATTCTTATTTCCCTATTGCCTTTTAGCTGTGCCTCTTTGTATTTTTTTTAGAAGAGTTAATATGATATTTATTTATTTATTTTTTAGAGATGGAGTTTCGCTCTTGTCGCCCAGGCTGGAGTGCAATAGAGTGATCTCAGCTCACTGCAACCTCCGCATCCCAGGTTCAAGCGATTCTCCTACCTTCAGCCTCCCAAGTAGCTGGGATTACAGGCGTGCACCACCACACCCAGCTAATTTTTGTATTATTAGTAGACACGGGGTTTCACCATGTTGGCTAAGCTGGTCTTGAACTCCTGACTTCAGGTGATCCACCCACCTCGGCCTCTCAAAGTGCTGGGATTACAGGCATGAGCCACCTCACCTGGCCCTAATATGATTTTTAAAAGAACAAAAACAAATACCCTAATACCATCTGCCTCAGGATATCAAATCAATATATTAAATGATGTAATTGGTTATCTAGAAGAGCTGAGAATTCTCCCACCGTCACTCCTACCAAGTCCTTAAAAATAGAGAAAAGCAATTCTTCTAGCCCTTCTATGATTCTATACAGGAAAAGAATTGAGAGGTTTTTCTTTAATCTTTATAAAAATTGAAATCCCTGAAACTTCACAACTTCCATCCTAAAGACTCAGATTTCTGCACTTCTGTTATGTTTCCTCATGGCTCTTCCATGAATTTCCTCTGTACTCATGCAGGATTGCAATGCAGTCTCTGAAAATACTCTCCAAAATCAAGTGTCAGGCCCGGAGAGAACTAAACAACTCTACGGCTTGCAAGGAGCGCCCTCTTGAGGTAGCCTTTATACAAATGTTGAAATCTGTATGCTTTGGCTGAATTCACACTTCCAGCATGGCAGGGTAATAAAATCAATCAATCCAGAAGATACACCAGCTAAATTACGGATGTAAATATCTTCTTATTAGAAGTGAGTTCTAACTCCTGAAAGTCAAGATACTCTCTAGCAGAAAAAAAGCAAAAGCAAAAACAAAAAACAAAACAGTGCTTCACTAAATGTATTCCTTAAATATAAAGTAATACAAAGCTAGAAATACACTAACAATCAGAAATATAATATGATTCCAGCATTCTGGTGCTCCTGTTCATTTTTGATATTGTTCCTTATCTTGAACACGAAAAGGTAAGCTTTCTCCAGGGAGACAGCTGGTGGGTGTGGATGTGTCACACAGTGGTCAAGAGAAAGACTCCTGATCAGAGGCACCAGAGCTTCGAGACTGATTCTGACACTTCCCAGTTTGCGTGAACCTGGGGAAGGTTTTTGTTTGTTTGTTTTGAGAGTGCAGTGGCACAATCATAGCTCATTGCAGCCTTGACCTCCTGGGCTCAAGTGATCCTCCCACCTCAGCCTCCCAAGTAGCTGGGACCACAGGCACACACAACCACACTAGGCTAATTTTTCAGTATTTTTGTGTGGAGATGGAGGTTTCCGCCATATTGCCCAGGCTGGTCTCGAACTCCTGGGCTCAAGTGATTCACCTGCCTAGGCCTCCCAAAGTGCTGGGATTACAGGTATAAGCCACCACGCCTGGCCTTGGGGGAAGTTTTTTAATCCCCTTAAGCCATGTGCAAAATTAGGGTGATAAGAGAATCTACTTCAGAGGGTTGTGAAGAGAATTAATAAAATGCACACAGAGCCTGGAGCACAGGACCCAGTGCAGAGGGAGCCTTTGTGCGTGCTGGTGCTACTGATACTATCTATGCTTGTAAGACTCTAATGGGGCCAGGCGCGGTGGCTCACACCTGTAATCCCGGCTCTTTGGGAGGCCGAGCCGGCAGATCACGAGATCAAGAGTTCGAGATCAGCCTGGTCAACACAGTAAACCCTTTTCTCTAGCAAGAACACAAAAATTAGCTAGGCATGGGGTGGCGCACCTGTAATCCCAGCTACTCGGGAGGCTGAGGCAGGAGAATCGCTTGAACCCAGGAGGCAGAGGTTGCAGTGAGCTGAGATTGCACCACTGCACTCCAGCCTGGGCAACAGAGCAAGACTCCGTCTCGGGAAAGAAAAAAAAAAAAGACTCTAATGAAGAGCAGGACACCAATAAAAAGAACAAAAAACACTAAATCTGCTCCTTGTGTCCCTGATTATTACACTCTTTCAACTTTAGAAAAAAAATTCATTTTTTTCTTTTTTTTTTTTAAACCATCATTCAGGACGTTGTATGCTAACTTAAAACAACAGCAAATTTAAGGTGTTGTGCATATGACACTTGAACAAGCACAGTCCAGAGGATGAGTTGATTAAGTCACTTGCCCGATTTTCATGGTTCAGCCAAAGCTACCCGCACAGTTCCAATGCCCGCTCTCCGCCCTAAGCTATGGTGAGGCTGCCTGTCTGACTTGATGCTGGAAATGTGGAAGGACCATGTTCTGTTGAGATTGGTGATCTTGTTCCAAACTTCCCCTAACTACCAGCCTGGCATCAGAACAGAGGTCATGCTTACACCTTTGAACCTGCAGCCCCCGAGGTAATGCTGTTGCAAACCTCTCTGGTCAGCTCTGAGTCTTCTATTTGTTTTTGTTTGTTTGATTACTTGTTGGGCTTAGGTCTCCACCTCTGCCCAGAACACTGAAACGGCAAACAAAGCTGGGAAACTGGCAGGAAAGTCTGCAAGACTTGAACGATATTGGAGAAACACGAAGGAACAAGAGGCAGAGAGCTAATGACCTTGTTTTCCAACAGATGCAATGGTGCTGTTAGGAAAACACCCAAAAGGAAGCACCCACGTGGGAGGATGGAGATTATGACAAGACCGGAGAAAGTCATGGAAGGTCAAACACCATCGGGCAGTCAGGAGTTGTCTGGAAGTTCCAGCAGGGCACGGCAGAAACAACTTTGCCCAGCACCCTGTGCACTTGGGCAGGGCAGGCCCGGGGGAGAGCTCAGGGCCACCACTGATGCTTCTTCCCCAAGTGTGAGCTGGGGAACATCAAGTCACACAGAGCCGTAGGACAAACCCCAAGCATCCTCCCATAGCCTCGATTTTATTTAAAAATTCCTAGGAGGTGCGGTCGGAGAGTTAAGTAGTTTGATATAGCACAAATCATGACTTGTATATTAAAACAAACCTATAGGTAGGAATAAAGGGTAAAGTTCATACATAGTTTTATGGCCACACAGGGGTTTGTGATAAAACAGGCTATTTCATGCTTTTGGCAAATCTCTGCTGTGCCCTTGGCCCAGAGGACAGGGGATTTGTTTTTCTCCTTTGCCAGTAAGAGTAACTGGGTGGGGGCTGGGTGCAGTGGCTCACGCCCGTAATCCCAACACTTTGAGATACAGAGGGAGACCCTGTACCTACAAAAAATTTTAAAACTTAGCCAGGCACCAGGCATGGTGGCACGCACCTGTGGTCCTAGCTGAGGTGGAAGGATCGCCTGAGCTCAGGAGTTTGAAGCTGCCGTGAGCTATGACCTAGCCACTGCACTCCAGCCTGGGTGACAGAGCGAGCCCCTATCTCAAAAAAGGAAGAGAATAGAAGAGAAGAGAAGAGAAGAGAAGAGAAGAGAAGAGAAGAGAAGAGAAGAGAAGAGAAGAGAAGAGAAGAGAAAAAAGAAAAGAAAAGAAAAGAAAAAGAGAAGAGTACCTGGGTGGGGAAAAAGTCAGAACTGCTGCTCTAAAACATCAGAAAGCCCCCCATCTTAGCTGTGTGGTTTTGTGAAACCTCTTTGAGGCTTACCTATTGACCATTCCAAGTGCTTCTGTATCCCGAACCCAGTTCAACTGACTAACCATTACAGCAGTAACATTAACCGTGTTACAGTGATGCAGAGCCAGAATTGCCCAGGCATGGGCAAAGGGAAAAGTTTAACCTCCTGACTGTTCCCACTACAAGCCTGGCAGACCCGCTGCCATGGCATCACCTGGGACTAGTTAGAAAGGCCACAGAGGCTCGCGCCACCCCAGATCGGGGAACAGACTTGAGCACTGCTTGCTGTCCCCTGGCCAGTCAACTCGCATTAAAGCTTTATCTTTTCTTATCATCCGGTACCATCACATTGGCTTCTGTGCGAGAAGCAAGCTCCGTGCTGGGTAACCCTTCTGACATGCAAGTCTTCACCTAGGTAGCAGGGATGCTTGGGGGACATGTAGAAGCTTCCAGAGAGTACCAGATGTTGTCCCATGTGGGGAATCCAGACTACCCCCATGCCCTTGCTACAGAGCAGGCCACCAGCCCCTCTACTGAGAGTGGCTCAGCCGGCTTTAAAGGTGAGCCGACTTGGAGGCGCGGCAGGCTTACAGGGTAGAGGGGAGCAATGTGCTGGGGACCAGCTGGACTTCTCTCTCCTGCTGAGGATGAACCACAGCAGGAGACTGCGTTATCCCACCTTCCTCTTGGGACCTGGGAAGGACTGGAAAGGTCCCAGAGGTGAAAACAGAAGCTATGCATAGCATTTCCCAACAGCCTCACCACAGCATCTTTTCAGATCTTGATCTACCCTGGATAGGAAACTTAAAATGGAAGGTGATAAGCCAGAAGCTCTTAAAATTAGGAACGTGTTACTCAAAGACCCCCTTGGCTTTTGTCTTGGCAGATATCACAGCCACCTTGAGGAGTTTTCATTAGGATTGCTAGTGAGGCTTGTGGAAATGCTGTCTGTGGCCTCCTGAGGAAAGGAGGTGTGTGTGTGTGTGTGTGTGTGTGTGTGTGTGTGTGTGAGCATGAGAGAGAGAGAGAGAAGAGGTAGTCTGAAGTTCAAAAGCACTGGCAGGAAATACCAAGTTCTATTTTTAAAAAATTAACTTTCAATAATTATAGCTGACATCCTATGAAATAGGTAAATATAATTATCCCTTTTCTTATCAGAAAACTGGCACTGCAGAGTTCTTTTCTTTTTTTTTTGAGACAGAGTCCCACTGTGTTGCCCAGGCTGGAGTGCAGTAGCATGATCTCAGCTCACTGCAACCTCCACCTCCTGGGTTAAAGCGATTCTCCTGCCTCAGCCTCCTGAGTAGCTGGAATTACAGGCATGCTCCACTACCCCCAGTTAATTTTTGTATTTTTAGTAGAGACAGGGTTTCACCATGTTGGCCTGGCTGGTCTCGAACTCCTGACCTCAGGTGATCCATCTGCCTCAGCCTCCCAAAGTGCTGGGATTACAGGCGTGAGCCACCGCGCCTGGCCTCAGATTTCTAATATTAGTGCTCTTCCCCAAGATGAAGTGTCTGACTCCATAGAGCTCAACTGGGTCTGACTCCTATTTAAAGTCAATAGAAATCTATTTTGAGAGCAAAGATTTTAGATCAAGGTCCTCTTTCAATTTATAAGTTTTAAAAAGCAAATGTTTTTAAATTGCATGTGTATTTTGATACAGGAATAATTGGAATGACGGAAAACCTTTTGGCCTCAGCAGGTCACACTGTGTGCTGTGTTGTCACTATCCTGAGTCTGAGAGGTTGGGGGAGCTGAACAAAGGGAGGGGGAAGGGGGATCAAAC
This sequence comes from Homo sapiens, assembly GCF_000001405.40. NCBI lineage: Eukaryota > Metazoa > Chordata > Mammalia > Primates > Hominidae > Homo > Homo sapiens. The sequence continues at coordinate 154,923,856 of NC_000006.12, read as the reverse complement.
AGGAGGGGAAACTGCAGACGTCCCCAGGGAAGGAATCTTCTGGAGAAAATCTCTTCCATGGAAAGGAGCTTAACACAGTACGAGGGGAACTGCTCCCTGGCTTGCTAATGCTGAGGACAGCAAGACCCAGCCCCCCACTGTGCTCAAATGCTGCTGGAGCAGCTGCAGGCGAGAGTCAGATCCAGAAGCTTCCAGCCCATGCCTCCAGCCTGGAGAACACATGTGCCTCCCAACAGAGAGGGATGCCTAGGTCCCACTGCAGGTGTTCAGGGATGGAAACCCCACTCCATCCTGACCCTGCTTTCTAGTTTTCCCTTGGTGATCCTCAGAGAACACACAGCACTTGCAGGGGAGACCCAGGTTACCTGGCATGCCTCACCCTGTCCTTTCCTATTCTGTCTATTCCATCCTGGCTCTTATCAGGAGTCTGGCCCATTCCTAACAGGAGAGCAGCTATCATGTATTGAGTCATCACCGTGCTCCTAGCACTGTGCTGAGGGCTTTATCTAACAAACCTCATTGGCTTAACTCTTGGCAGAGCTTCCATCTCTGCATTTCCCTACATCACCCCTGACCAGTGCATCAAAGGGATACCATGCGCTCATCCCCCTGGCTCTTCAAGACCCCCCAGATGACCACCACAGGGCCCCTTTGCTTTGATGACTACTTCCTTGTCTCAGAAAACGGCGCCATGCCCAGCCCGTAGGAAACCGGGGAGTCACCTTTGACTCTTCCCTCCCCGTAACCTCCATATCTGGCCCTCCAGGAAGTCCTACTGAGGATCTCTCCAAAAATATGCACCCTCCTTGCTCATTTCTACCTCTGTCTTCTTCCTCTTTGGGCAGCTCCCTTGGCCTATGGGAAGAACCTCCTAGCTGATCTCCTTGGCTGCCTTCTACCTTTCACCCACGGCACAGAAGTGACACGATCAGAAAGACATCATTCTCTCACTTAAAATTCCTCAGGCCTTCAGCCTCTTGTTTGTTTTCATCGTTGCACTTATTAAAACTTGAAATTATTTTACCATTCTTTTTTTTTTTTTTTTTTTTTTGAGACAGAGTTTCACGCTTGTCATCCAGCCAGGAGTGCAATGGCACGACCTCGGCTCACTGCAACCTCCACCTCCCAGATTCAAGTGATTCTCCTGCCTCAGCCCCCCGAGTAGCTGGGGTTACAGGCACCTGCCACCACACCGAGCAAATTTTTTGTATTTTTGTAGAGACAGGGTTTCACCATGTTGGCCGGGCTGGTCTCGACCTCCTGACCTCAGGTGATCCACCTGCCTCGGCCTCCCAAAGTGCTGGGATTACAGGCAAGAGCCACTGCGCCCAGCCATTCTTTTTTTTTTTTTTTTTTTTTTGAGACAGGGTCTTGCTCTGTGGCCCAGGCTGGAGCGCAGTGGTACAATCTAGGTTCACTGCAATGTCCACTTCCCAGGCTCTGATGATCCTCCTGCCTCAGCCTCCTGAGTAGCTGGGATTACAGACATGCACCAACACATTCAGCTAATTTTTTAAAACAAAATTTTCATAGATACAAGGTTTTGCTATGTTGCTCATGCTAGTCTTGAACTCCTGGACTCAAGCAATCTACCTGCCACAGCCTCCCAAAGTGCCGAGATTACAGGCATACGCCATTGTGCCTGGCCCTATTTTATCCATTTCTTGGTCACTTTTCCTATTAGAATATACAAAACATGCATGTTGCTCATGCATTAGAACATATGTCCCATGAGCAACAGTCTGTGCTTGTTCATGATCTATATTCCAGTGCCTCAGTCAATATTTGTTGAAGGTTGAATAAATGACCCACCTGGTACTCAGACTTTTGTCCTGCCCCCTCTTCCCACCCCACCTCATTCAACTCTCAACTCTTCAGCTCTCTTGGTTTTAGTGGAAACACTCCCACCAATGGCCTTCCTGCCAGAGGAGATCAGACATCCTACAGAGACTTCTGGTCTGGTCCTCAGTTCCCCGACACCTCCCTGAGAACTGCAGCACCTGGAGCCCGAGGTGGAATTCTTGGGCTACATTTTTGTCTAGTCGATGCAGCCCAAGAATGAGAAAGGGCATCTGAGATTCCCTGGGTTTGACCATTTTTTTTCAACAACTCATTCATCATTTCCTCTTCCAGACTGCCCAGATACCTGGCGTCTCAGAAGAGGAAGTGAGTTAGTCTTGGCTGGGAACTTCCTCCAGCATGTGAAGGCCTTCCCCCTTCACCCGACTCCTGGCCTATTCTGGCTCTGAGCCTCAGATGCTCACACCTCCAGCTGTTGACCTGTCCTTCCCTCAGATTCTGCCTGGGTGATCCCAGGCTGGAAGGTCTGCAGGTGCACAGACATGGGGCTAAGCTCCAGTCCCCCCAGCTTCCACTAGCCGAGACACTGGACAAGTTACCCTCCCTTTCTAAATCCCACCAGCCGATGAGAGAGAACCCTTCACAGATCTGTTTTAAGGAGTAAGTGAGGAAACATCTAAAATGCTATTAATATCTAAAAGGAATAAGAGCTATTCTTTCTGTGTGTTTGTGCTACTAGCTGGGTATGTGTGAGGGGGAGGGGAGACATGGTGCCTCCTTTCACAGAAAAAGCCCCAGTCCTGGTGCCCTCTATCCTGAGCCTACTTTTGTAGAAGGCTGGTCTCTGTTGAGGTCAGTTACCTCCAAGTGGTCCCACATCCCCCACTCGCCAGTTACTTTCCCCATTCTCTTCCCCAGTGGGGAGGGGAGGAGGAATTGTTTCAGAGACCAATCATCTGGCATTTAACCCAAGAACTTCCATTCCGTTTTTGTGGGCACATTTTATAAATGAGTCAAGGCCATTTGCATTTTTATTAAGGTCTTCTGAGGGATCGGCCAGCACCCTGAACCAGGGACCCTGTGAATTTCATGAGTAAGTCATGCTTTCCATACCCAGACTGATAAGGACAGAGAGGAGGGCTGGTCCTGGGTTTTGGGTGAGTGATGTTGTGAGCAGATGACTTCCATAAAAATAAAAATTTAATTGAATTCCATTAAATGAGCACGCATCTTTCTTCAGGTCTGACGTGGTAACTGCACCATCTTCCCCACACAAGCATGTGGATTCTCGAAAGATGGTGGAAATCCCAAACCTAAAGTCATCAGGAAGCAAGTGCAGGCAGCCCAGCCAACGTGAAGGAGAAGCTGAGGACACAGCTGATCTGATTACTCCCAGGTGTGTGGCCCAGGGCCATCTATTTCCCCTACTCTCGTCCCACTTTCCACTTTCCAAACATTTCTCTGCACTAGGATGAGTAGATACAAGAGGAAAATGTGACATGTAAATCAGTTAAAAAAAAATTATATTGACTCAAGGCAAGCTTTTTAGCATCCTCTAAGGATTCGAAATCCCTGTCTTCTCCCTGGGTCCCTAATATACAAGGAGGCTTTGTTCTGTGAAAAGAAAGGAAAAACCAGGGTTTCTTGAGGGTAAGAAGAGCTCCCTAGATGCAAACTGCTGCCGGGTGCCTCCTGACAGCCATGCTGAGAAATGGAAGCCCGCTGCAGAAACGGCAAGAAAGTGCAGAACGCTGCCTTTGCTCCATGCTTGGTGCAAACATGCCAATGGCTGGGTCTAAAATGAGCATTAGTTCTCTAACCATCAGTCCAAGACTTGTCACCGTCCTGGTAACAAATGCCTGAAATGGATCTGGCTTGAATGACACCTTTTCACTGGCATGATCCTGAGACAGTCAGGCAGTGTCTTGCAGTCCCTCAGGTTCCCTGCAGCCTGTCCTCGACAGGCACGCTGGGCCTCACATCTGGGAAATCAGGGTCCCCTCCCCACCGTGCTTCAAGCCAGGGGTCCTTGTAATGCTAGGCAGCTTCTGTCTCCTTAAGGCCAATATCCTCTGGGGCTTTTAAAAATCATAACAAGGTACTTGGAGCTCCCACACCACTTTTCATCTCAGCATCTCAAAGTTCCCGGTATGTGGCTCACGCCTGTAATCCCAGCATTTTGGGAGGCTGAGGCAGGAGGATGGCTTGAGCCCAGTAGTTTAAGGCCAGTCTGGGCAACAAAGTGAGACTCTGTCTCTACAAAAAATAAAAAAATTAGCGGGCCATGGTGTGCACACCTATAGTTCCTGTTGTTTGGGAGGCTGAGGTAGGAGGATTGCTTGAGACCAGGAGGTCAAGGCTATAGTGAGCTGTGTTTGTGCCACTGCACTCCAGCCTGGGCGACAGAGTGAGAACGTGTCTCAAAAAAAAAAAATTAAAAAAATTTTTTCAAAAGCTCCTTGTATGTAAGTGGAAATTATTAAAACCAAGCCTCAGTAACTTAATTAACCCTGGTTGTCATTTAGGAGGAGGCAGTTTGTCACGTGCCTCTGTGATTCTGCCACAAAGTGTCTTTTGGTTAAATATACCAGCTAATTATTTTGTATTTTTTGTAGAGATGAAGTCTCGCTTTTTGGCCAGGTTGGTCTCAAACTCTTGGCTTCAAGCAATGCCCCTGACTGGGGAGACTGAGACAAGAGGATTGCTTGAGCCCAGGAGGTCAAGGCTACAGTGAGCTGTGATTGCACCACTGCAGTCAGGTCCATGCAACAGAGTGAGACCCTGTCTCAAAATATAGACAAATATTAGGGACCACATACTTGGCACATTTTACCTCTGAAATTCAAAGCTACTATTAAAAAAATGGGCTATTGCTGATCCTTACTTTAAAAAAATTGACTTTATTTTTATTTTCTTGTTTTTTAAACTTTTTATTTGAGACGGTGTTTCACTCTGTCACCCAGGCTGGAGTGTAGTGGCACAATCACGGCTCACCCCAGCCTCGACCTCCTGGGCTCAGGATCCTCCTGCTTCAGCCTCCTGAGTAGCTAGAACTACAGGCCTCTACCACCATGCCTGACTAAGTTTTGCATTTTTTGTACTGATGGGGTTTTGACATGTTGCCCAGGCTGGTCTTGAACTCCTGGGCTCAAGTGATCCGCTCGCCTCGGCCTCCCAAACTGCTAGGATTACAGGCAGGAGCCACCGTGCCCAGCCCTTACTTCTTTTTAATGCAACTCTCATTCTTGTAAAAATGGAATTTGAAAACAATGATTAAAAAACATTAGGGAGGCCAGGCACGGTGGCTCACGCCTGTAATCCCAGCACTTTGGAAGGCCAAGGCAGGTGGATCACTTGAGGTCAGGAGTTCGAGACCAGCCTGGCCAACATTGTAAAACACGTCTCTACTAAAAAAATTGAAATTCAAAATTAGCCAGGCGTTGTGGCCCACGGTGGTAGTCCCAGCTACTCAGGAGACTAAAGCACAAGAATCGCTTGAACCCAGGAAGCAGAGGTTGCAGTGAGCTGAGATCACACTACCACACTCCAGCCTGCGTGACAAGAGCGAAACTCTGTCTAAAAAAAAACAAACAAACAAACAAAAAAAAACTTTAGGGAAACATTAAATAAAAAGCAATTCATTTCCTGAGACTTTAATAAGACATTTTCCTCTATTGGAAAACTTTCTCCACTTTGGCTCTTTCCCAGATGAATTTTAATCAATAATTCACTTCTCCATCAAATACTTCTCTATCCCTCACCACATGTAAAGAGCACCGCGCGGAACACAAAGATCAAACCCATCTTTTGCCCTTATGAGTACAACAGTCATGGACTCTCCAGTGGCCATAGATGGACCGCAGGAGGTGAGTGAGTGCTAAACAAAACCTGAGAGCTGGACACACCTTTGGGCCACACCCTCACTGCACTGTTCCTGCTGCCACTGCAATGACTACTGACATTTATTGAAGACGACTTTTGTCACAGGCAATGAGCTGAGACTTCAAACGTATCCATCTGATATAATTCTCTCAACAACCCTGTGAGGGAGGCATTATCATTCTCTTCATTTTAGAGATGTGTAAAGAAATAAAATAACATGCTGGCCGGGCATGCTGGCTCACGCCTGTAATCTCACCATCTGGGGAGGCCGACGCGGGCAGATCATCTGAACTCAGGAGTTCGAGACCAGCCTGGGCAACATGGTGAGACCCCCATCTCAACTAAAAATACAAAAATTAGCTGGGCATGGTGGTGGGCGCCTGTAGTCCCAGCCACTTGGGAGGCTGAGGCACAGAATTGTTTGAGCCTGGGAGGCGGGGGTTACAGTGAGCCGAGATGGCGCCACTGCACTCTGGCCTGGGCGACAGAGCCAGACTTCATCTGAAAAAAATAAAATAACATGCCATGGTCACAGAGCTCGTGATAGGAGAGGTGGATGTGAGACCCCCTTTCATGTGATGACTCCAAAGCCAGTCCTCTTCCTGCTTACAGACGCCCACATAGCACCAGCCCTCCCAGCAATGCATGGAACTCACAGTAGTGCTGCTCCCACCAACTCAGCACAGCCTCCTTTCAAAGCTGAACTCTAAGTGGTCTTTAAAAAGTTCCTGGGGCCAGGCGCAGTGGCTCATGCATGTAACCGCACCACTTTGGGAGGTTGAGGGGGGCGGATCACCTGAGGTCAGGAGTTCGAGACCAGCCTGACCAACATGGTGAAACCCCATCGCTATTAAAAATACAAAAAAATTAGCCGGGCATGGTGGTGGGGGTGTGGGGGTGGGTGCCTGTAATTCCAACTACTCGGGAGGCTGAGTCAGGAGAATCGCTTGAACGTGGGAGGCGGAGTTTGCAGTGAGCTGAGATCATGCCATTGCACTGCAGCCTGGGCAACAAGAGTGAAACTCCATCTCAAAAAAAAAAAAAAAAAAAAAAAAAACCACAAATGTTCTTGGGACAATGAGAAAGAAAACCAGTATACCATAAACCACTGAACCTGACCCAGTCGTGCCAAACAGCTGATTGAACTCAGTATTTTTTCAGTGATCAACCATGGCTTCCTTCCTATATCCTTCTGATCTCTATGCACATAGACCTCCCCAGTGAGGTCTTCCCTGACCATCACATATAAAATATTAGCCATGGCCTCCCCACTGCTGTCCATTTCATCCTCCCTGCCCTGCTCTGTTCTTTATGGCACTCATGTTCAACCAAAATATTACGTGAATGTCACTGTCCTTCTCTTCCCACGAGATGAAAACCCCTATGAAAGCAGAGACTACAGCTCCTTCATGGGCTGAGAAGGGGAAACCAGGATCTCCCCTAACCAAGGGCCTATACTTTTATTTTTCAACTCTATTAACTGAACTATGCTTGGAGACAGCCCTCAATCCTTTAATTTTAATGCCATCTTAGGCCTGGAAGTTAAAGATAGAGTGAGGGAAATGAGCTTGGCTTCTGGGACTTAGTGTCAAGTTGAATTTTCTATCATTTAATTTCAGATCCTAGCTCAGCCTACTTACTTGTAACTATTAACCTTTCTAAAAGTTTTCATCGCCTTGATAAAGCTCTAGAAATGGACGATGCTAATGACCGCAAAATATTGTGACTGTACTTAATGCCACTGAACTGTACGCTTTAAAATGGAAAATTAGTATGTATTTTTACCACAATAAACAAAAAAGCCCTAAAAAAAAAAAAAAAGGGAAAGCAGAGGCTTTGTTTTGTACATTGGTGTATTTCTGGTGCTAGACAGTGTCTGCCACAAGTTAGATGTGATCCATTAAATACATGGATACATTTTAAATTAACATAATTAAAACATCATGGATCCCCAAAATGTTGTAGAGCTCAGGGTTTAAATAGAGTCCTGCGGATGGTTGTAAAGTTCCTTCATTCTGCCAAAACTTTACGTACCTCTTGAGCCTACATAAAAATTACAGTAAAGAAAGAAAAAGGAAATACAAACTATCCTTGTTCTTTTTTAGGCCTTTGCCTACTTTGCACTTATGGGTTTTTGTTGTTGTTGTGTTTGTTCTTTTTTTTTTTTTTTTTTTTTTTGAGACAGAGTCTCGCTCTGTCGCCCAGGCTGGAGTGCAGTGGCGCGATCTCGGCTCACTGCAAGCTCCGCCTCCTGGGTTCACACCATTCTCCTGCCTCAGCCTCCCGAGGAGCTGGGACTACAGGCGCCCGCAGGCACGCCTGGCGAATTTTTTTTTTTTTTTTTTTTTTTTTTTTTTTTTTTTTTTTTTTTTTTTTTTAGTAGAGACGGGGTTTCACCGTGTTAGCCAGGATGGTCTTGATCGCCTGACCTCATGATCCACCCGCCTCGGCCTCCCAAAGTGTTGGGATTACAGGCGTGAGCCACTGCGCCCGGCCTGTTTGTTTTTTTGTTTTGAGACGGAGTTTCGCTCTTGTTGCCCAGGCTGGAGTGCAATGACACGGTCTCGGCTCACTGCAAACCTCCGCCTCTGGGGTTCAAGCGATTCTCCTGCCTCAGCCTCCCGAGTAGCTGGGATTACAGGTATGCGCCACCCACACCCGGCTAATTTTGTATTTTTAGTAGAGACGGGGGTTTCTCCGTCTTGGTCAGGCTGGTCTCAAACTCCTGACCTCAGGTCATCTGCCTGCCCCAGTCTTCCAAAGTGCTGGGATTACAGGCATGAGCCACTGAACCTGGACTGCACTTGTGGTTTAAATTCCTTTATGTCTGTCCAGATTCCTGTTAGCCCCCAAAATTCTGACTGATGTTTCACTGTAGGTTAAAATAATGAGAATTTCCAAACAGCGACAGAAGTTCTACCTTCTTCCTAGGACCTTCAGCAGACATAATGTCCTTAGCTAAAGAAAAATGGAAACCTCATTTGGTAGCATGCCAGCAACCGTCTGCTTGGGGCTGTGATTATCCAGTGAATTAGTTGAACCTGTGGCTTAAACAGTCCCTTGCCACAGTTAATGCTTCAGACTTGCTATAAAACTGGGGGAGTGGAGGTTGGGGAAAAGTGTGGTCACCTGAGTTCTAGTTCTGTTTTGCTTCTAACTGCCCACGTGGCTTTGAACAGTTCCTTTGACTCTGTTTCCTTATTCATAAACTCGAGTCTTTGGTATTGGAGGGCTAGCAAGCTCTTCTTGAATCAGACGAGAAGCCATGGCTTCTCGAAGAAAATGTTAAATATGTCGAAGGTGTTTCCTATAATCTCAGAGTGTTCACCGTTAAGAACTCCTGGGGCTCAGGTGATGGTCTGAGTTCCTTTCAGCTCTGACATTCTATCTCTCTCTGATTCTAAAACACCACCAACCTCCCCTTATTATGCCATCGTAAGAGACCGCTCACCAAGGACAAAATGAGATAGACTTTCTATCCTTCCCCAAGTCTGAGTATAGGAGTCACATTCACCCCAGTGAAGTGCGATCAGCCATGTGCCCACCAAACTCATGAAGTCAGTCAGCCCTTGTCAAAGAGTCCACTTCCCAATACTCCTCGGATTTATCTGCCAGGCAGATCCTGTTCACAAAGCCCTGGGCAGACCCACCGCACCCTGGAAAAACAGATGAACACAATAGCCTTATCTCTGAGTATGAGGTGGTATCATTCTTTCCAACAAGCTAGAAATAGATGAACAACTCAATTGTCTCAGGGAAAGAAACCACATCCCATGTGACAGTGAGCCTGGTTGTCACCTACTTGTTTTCGTTTCCATTAAACTGACCTCACTTAATCATCCACAGTGTTTCCTTGCCTTTATTTTACCTTAGGGATACAGGATGGCTATCATTTCCCGAGTGCCCAGCCTGTGCCAAACCCATTACATGTGCTATTACTAACCACCTAATGTAAACATGATTTTCATTATGCAGATGGGAAAACTGCCGGCATAACTATCTTCATCGTACAGAGAAACCAAGGCTGGGCAGCGTTAAATGACTTGCTCCAAATCACACAACTCACAGGAGGCCCAGGCCTTCGAAAACTTCCCTTTCTTCCCTGTAGCCCAGGGATTCCCAAACTTGTCTGCATATTAGAATCCACCTGGAGAGCCTCTAAAACTCCCAATACCCAGGGCACACTCTAGCAATCATAATCTTTGCGGAAGGGACACAGGATTCAGGATTCTCGAAGCTTCCCAGGTGATTCTAATATGCAGACACGTTTGAGACCAACCATGGAAGCGACAGCAAGCATCTTCAGCTGCACACATTTACCAAATAATCCAAGTGGAAACCAAGGGCAAGGAATAAAAAAGAAGCAAACTGAAGACTGAGCTAAGAGGAGCTGAGGAGACACACCTGAGTGAAAGAATGTGCTTTCTTTACAGGCGATGTAAGAAATTTGGTAAGAGAAGAAACTTCCTTGATGTAAGCCTAGACAAATCCAATGGGATGCCGGTATTTAGTGACTGTTTAAGGGATGAGCTAAAATACACTAAGCACATCTGTTTCATTAAGTGGGTTTCCTTTTTGCGCTGTCCTTGGGAGGAGAGTGACTGTTGTTAATGTCAATTTATGTTAGAAGCTGGTGCTTTATGAACTGAGCTCTGTGCCCGGTGCTGCTGCGGTCCCCAGTCCAGCATGGTGAACCCCATGGGCATTAACCCAGACCCGGAGCACCTCAAGGTCCTGATGGCCTTTGCAACAGCAAATACTGTTAGGATTATATCCAGTAGAGCATTTATGTCAGTTCATTTAAAACATGTATTCAAATTCCTGAAAAACTGGAGATCCATTGGAAAAACCTCAAGCCCCAACTATGCTAGAAAATAGTCTGTTGCTGTATTATCTTGGGGATCCTCAGCTTGAAGATTTTGATGGTCTGGTTGAGCACAATAAGGAATTACTACTTTTATTTGGAATGTAAGTAGGATTTTAGTTGAAGGGAAGGAACATCAGTTGAAGTCCAAGAAACAATTATTAGTAAATGATTTGGGGGTGGTCATGCTTGTACTTATTCGAGTTAATAATCTGCTTTAAGCAAGAAGTACTTTCTATAGTCTTCACCTCTAGACAGATGTTTGGATTTCCAAAGGAAACCTACATATCATAAGTCTTATATTCCATTTAGTTAAATTCCTGTACTTAGATCTCATGTATCCTTCTGCCTGAGAAAAAGATAGGAGCTAATGTTGAATTAAATCCACAATTCTCTGATTATCTATTGGCTTTAGTTTCCCCCTTTGTATGTTAACATCTTTCTAAGTCAGATACAACTAGACTGAGAACATTCAATCAACCCTACTTCTATGCAACCATTCATTGTGATGGGGATCTGGGAAAACCAACCTTGCTTCTGTGTACTGCTAAGATGGCCCCAGGAAAATCAAACCAACTTCAGAAAAGAATAACTTTCTTTCTATCCCACTCTCTTGCCATAGTCTATCCTTATTTCATGAAATACACTTTTTTTTTTTTAAATAAGAGATCTCTTGAGAAACTCTGAATTCTTTTGGTTTGATAGAAATAGTTTCTTGTGTTCTGTAATTTTCCAAACGTTGTAAAGTCAAAGTCCTTGTGTTTGAAAGTATTTTGAGTTCCCCCACCCCGTTTACAGGTGAAACGGGTCACTTCTCATGTTGAATTAAATGGCAGCATTCATGGATGGTGGGACCTGCATCCTTGCTAGAGTTTCAGGGTTTAGAAAAGAGGTGTTCACCAGTATAAGTCAATATAATCTCTAGGTTCTCAAATCCAAATAAAACTATAAATGTGTTACTGGCTAGGAAACAGCAAAAGACTAAACAGTAAGAACTGTTTTCTTTTTTACGATAGTGGAAAGTTGAGCTGATAAAGAACAAGTCATTTTTAGGTAAACTACTGATTTGCGTCTGCCTCTGTGAGCTTCCTTTGCATTCATCTTGTGCTTAAGATGCAATACACACCTGTATTCCTATTGAACATGCACGTTCTACTGATGTGCTCAAGCATAATTCTAATGCACTGTTCCATCTCTATCTCAAGCACAGCACTGTGTATTTAGTAAGCACTAGATACATACATGTTGGATGAATGAAGGAATATTGGTATTTGGAGACAAATTTGCAAGATTCTAATTAAAAAAGCCAAGCGCAGGACCTGCAGTCAGTATGAAGAAGGCGGGGCTTCGGTTGTGGCCACACCTGCCGTACATGAGGTGAGAATCTGGGAATCACTTTCTGGGGCACTGGAGCCCCAGCTCTTGTTGCAGAACCCAGAGCTCGCCTCTTGGTCCCTGCGCTCTCCTGGCAGTCCCCAGCCAGGCCTCACCTTTGAGAGTTTTGCCTTGAGAGTGGCCTAAGAGGATTCTGGTCACTCTGCTTATGGCCTCCAGTCCCATGATGTGTGTGCTCTTGTGAGTGCACTCACATTACACAGGCTAAAGAAAGCCCTTAGGCTGAGTGTGGTGGCTCATGCCTGTAATCTCAGCACTTTGGGAGGTTGAGGCGGGTGGATCACCTGAGGTCAGGAGTTCAAGACCAGCCTGGCCAACATGGTGAAACTCCATCTCTACTAAAAATACAAAAATTAGCCAGGCGTGGTGGCAGGCGCCTATAATCCCAGCTACTTTGGAGGCTGAGGCAGGAGAATTGCTTGAACCTGGGAGGTGGAGGTTGTAGTGAGCCGAGATCGCACCATTGCACTCCATCCTGGGCGACAGAGTGAGATTCCATCTAAAGAAAAAAAAGAAAAAAAAAAAGAAAGCCCTCTAGTGCATGGACATTTCTGTACTCACATTACACAGGGAAAAGAAAGCCCTTGATTGCATGGACATTTCTGGCAAAAGTTGCTTCCTTTTCCTCATTAGCTTTTTTCTTTTCTGTTGTAATGAGAGGATGGGAATGATGCAGTAAGAAGCAGTGAGGTCCCCCTTCCATTTCTGACTGCTGTGGCTCGTGGCCTGTGTGACACCGTGTGTGGGAACTTTTAAATATCAGTGCAACTCTCCATACAGGGTCCTTTAAGATACAAAATAATATTTGCCACAGTCTCCATAAAGCTTTGAAAAAATCTTTGGAGTAGCAATTACTTCCACTCAATAATATCGTTCCCACCCCATGATCAAGTGGACAAAATTGAAAAGAGGCATATTCAGGTTCTTTCCCAGTTGTGCAAGCTGAGAGTCGCAGCCATCTGAAAGCCACATTTATTTCTAGCACTATGGATCCTTTAGTGGATTTTAAAATTTGCATTAATTTTATGAATGATATCTTTTTAGAAAATATATCTGAATACAGTACTTGTATTTTTAAAAGTTTGGACTAAAAATGCATGTATATTTTTTCTAGTTTACAATCTTCTTTCCTAAGTCATCTACAATAATAGGCAATTGATTTGTATCTTATAGGATTGAGAAATGATTTAGTTTTGTAATAATATAAGAATGGATGAAAATGAGCATCATTTTATTTCCTTATAGCTCACAGGTAGAGTATGTTTCTAAGATATTAAAAAACGTTTTGAAAGAGATGTGTGCCTCAGAAGAAATAAAAGGAATATTTTTCACAGATACTAAAAGGTACAGTAAACATCTATAAAACAGTAACTATGAACCAATCTACACACTGTGCCAAGCTGCCTCTCTCTGTAACCTTTAAAGAGTCCTCCAAGAGAAAGCCCCGCTATAAAAATGATTGGATTTGATGCCACCGCCATAGTCTGGAATGTTCTTCAATTTTCATACATAGATGCAGAAATAGTGGATTTGGAGAAATCACTAATAATGAATGAAAGGAGGCTTTCTTCTGAAGCATCAAACTTCACGACTTCCTTAACTGCTTATACTTTTAAATCATTTAAAACACAAATTACTCCGGATAAAAGTAATCATCTACGTGTAATTCCTTTGTGGAGGCCATTCTGAAATAGTTTTTCCCCCTCTATGAGGAATTTATGAACCGCAAAGAAATTGCATAAGACCACCCATCTCATTTGAATGAGATCTCTGTATTGGAATTCAAGTGAGAGGCCAGCATTTACTCACAAAGCCAAACAACCCCCATGGGGGATTCTTTCTAATTGTGCAAATACCAAATAGCTCCAGTTTGTCAAAGTCACTTAATACTGTTTTAAAAACCAGCTCGAAATGCTTAACGTCCCTGGAGAACGGTGACTTTCGAAAGCTTTCCTTTGCCATGGACTGAAGCAGGGAGGGAGTGTGGACTGTTCAATATTCATGCCGATTCACACAGAGAGCCTGTCCAGATGCTCAGGTCGAGGGGAGCAGGAGCTTCTGAAGAGGGAATTCATCCAGGGAACAAAAGCATCAACCTCTGCCCCCATTATGCTGCCTTGGGATTTTAAAAAGATTACTCTTCCAACAGATGGGCCTTCGTGTGCACCTGGTCATTGGAAAAGCACCTCCAGCTAAGTGCTGACTGGATATGCACCCAGTGCTGAAGGAATGATCCTCTTTTACCTTCATTTGCTATTCTGTTTCTCCTCTCACCCTATCCAGCGAAAAGAACCTCAGAAACTTCTATTTGTTTTTTTTTCCAATTTAATTTCCCAAATCATTTGCTCATATGTGCACAAGAATGGTGAGGTTAGTCACAAATCCATACTGTTCCTTTGTGGGGGGTAGAGGCTTGAGGGGGTGGGAAGTGGGAGCTAGATGGATGTTTGCCAATTGTAGGTTTAGTTACAAAAGAATAGAAGGAAAGGGATCTTTTCTCATTGCCATATCAAATTTGGTAGAGGTGCCAAGCAAGATCTAAGTTTTCTACATAGGCTCACATGTCTGTGTTTCTCTGGAGCTGTTTTATTTCTAACTGCAATATGATGGAATACATAAAACAATACTCCAACACTACCGGGCAGAGAGTCAAACAAAAAAGATCCTATTGAAAAGCCTATAATTGCCACTATATTACCTATAGCCTTCTCTAGTTTCCTACTTACTACTTAATAGAAAATATAATCAATTTAATAGAAAATCTGCTGTAAGGAGAAACTCAAGAAAGCTTAGGTATAATCCTCAGGAATTAATTTTAATCTGTGTTATAGAATGCATATTCAAAAAGGCCTTGGCATTCAAAAATCTCTTGGCCTTTCAATAAATAAAAAGAGTGGTTGTTCAAATATAGAAAACAACAGTGAAAGGCTTGAACTATGAATCTATCTCTATATCTCTATACATACAAACTGCTCAGTTACTAGGCACAGACAGACCACAAAAGGTGCACTAAGCTACACAGCAAAATAAATGACTAACACCCAAAATTAGTTTCAATTTTTATTATGAATGTCCAAAGTGACAGCATACTGTGAAAATGCTAAGTTCTCATTGATTAAATTTCAAGAGACCACAGACTACAGCATTCCAAGCACTTTAATTTTTGACAGAGCCAAAAACAAATAAAAGAATGATAAAAATATTCTTTTGGGTGTAAAGAGTATTCATATTTGAGTTTTTGTATTTTTTTCTTCCCTGCAGGTATTGTGAACACTGATAATTTCCAAAACATAAATTCTGGTCTGGATACTTGCAGCAAATTTTTATAATCTCTACCTGGATAAGAAGCTAATAAGAAATGTACTTATAAAGTATGTTTACGATACAGTGTGATATGTTTGTTTATCTTCATTTCCTTATCTATCCCATGAGGCTTCTTGTCTACCACCCGGGTACCTGCTGTTGGTAATAACAGGACAGGGAGGCTGAAGTGAAACACTCGAAGACTGTACAGAATCCTGGATTTTCTGAAAGCTGCATTTACTCTTTTTTTTTTAATGAAAGCTTAAGACTTTCAGTGTTTGAGAACGTTCAAGGAGATACCTAATGATAATGGATTAAAGCCACCAATCAAGAACTACACAGTCTACACAGATTGTGTTCAAGAAAAAAAGCCTTGGTTTACTAAAGCTATGTTTCTAGTAATCTGTAGGTCCAACACAATATGACTTTCTTTTTCCCCCCGAAAGGGTTTCCTTGCCATCTGTCCTTTCCATCACTGGTACTGGATGAGCTACAGATGGAGTCTGTTGCCACTGATATTCCAATCAAATCTGGTCCTGGGAAGTGGGTATCTCTTACAGATGCAATACTGTTCATCTGAGTGGATCCCCAAAAAGAACAATTATGAACTAGAAACTCATAGAGTTTGTGTTTAAAATTTATAAAATTAAACCTGCTCCAACAGGTAATACAGGAAGGCATGCTTGCAACCTCTGGATTCAATCAGAAACAATGCCTGAGAGTACAGAGCCTTCTCAATAGGTAACGGCGGGTTCCTTTTAACGCTTCCTTAAACAAGATCCGATGTGATGCACATTAGAACTTTGAAGCACGTCTGTCTCATTTATTTCTACAAGGCCTGGGACACAGGAAGCTGCCAGGACTTCATTCATCATCATCTTGCCTGTTGACAAAAGGAACAATAACTGGTCATCACTGGTCAATGGAATAACTTTTCCTAGTTTTTTCCAAGATCATTCCTAAAGAAAAGATGGTGTCAATACAACAGCAAATGTTTCAATGTTTGATGAATTTCTGTGCTCTAAAATGCCATGCCTTCTTCCAACAGAGCAGGAAGAACCACGTCATGCAGTGTTCATTGCTCTCCAAATGCTGGAATGGTTCAGGAGACAGCCCCGTCCTGGAAGTCAGCTGACCCAGGCTCCACACATGATTCTGCCAATGACTAACACAGTCACCTAAACTTGTTGGGCCTTGGTTCCTTCACATGTAGACTAAAAGGCTTCAGTGGAGCACGTCTAAAAAGAAGGCCATCCAGTGCTACCTTTTAATAGGATCATATGGTCCTGCCTTCTTAGCTCCTTACAGAGCATAACCAGGTATGACCATCTCAAGCTGTGGCTTACAAAATACCTACACCTGGGTGTCCGTGGTCCTCGTTCAGCTTGGAGTTGAGAACCAGGTGAACTTCCAGAGAATTTTCAAAATATTAGCATCTTGAAGTCCATTAAAATCTTAAATGATAGAGTGATGGGTAAAGAATTCTGAAAATACACATCTCCATGTTTTCACATCTTTTGCTGTATTAAGGTCAAAGAAGTGTCTTTTTTTGTCCCTGCTGGCTTTCTTAAATTAACAAATAATCGCATAAAAGCTGAAAAATACATTCATAAGTATAATGACATGGAAGCATTCTGTAAGAGCCTACTATCTAGTTATATAATTCAACTAGTTGGACTAGTTTAAGTAACTCCGCCAAGTAACTTTACCAAGACACATGTCTGGTAGCAGACATGGGACCTAAACATAGTTAAGTCTCACCCTAAAATGAATACTTTTTTTTTTTTTTCCTTTGAGATGGAGTCTTGCTCTGTCGCCCAGGCTGGAGTGCAGTGGCACAATCTCGGCTCACCGCAACCTCCGCCTCCCGGGTTCAAGCGATTCTCTTGCCTCAGCCCCGAGTAGCCGGGACTACAGGCAGGCGCCACCACGCCTGGCTAATTGTTTTGTATTTTTTAATAGAAACAGGGTTTCATCATTTTGGCCAGGCTGATCTCGAACTCCTGACCTCAGGTGATCCACCCACCTTGGCCTTCCAAACTGCTGGGATTACAGGCGTAAGCCATTGCGCCCAGCATCATTTATTTTTAAGGCATCCTGTCATGTGTGACAAGAAAGGTGGCTGAAATATTTTTCATCTTTCTACTGTGCTTTAGGCATCGAGGGAAACGTGTGAATAATCCATACAAAACAAAACTGGTGCCAAAATATCATCTATTACTTTGGATTATTCTAAGTGTTTGCTAATGAGTTTATTCTTCAAACTTAAAAGCTACTTAAACAAAAAACTTGACTTAAAAGCTACCCAAGAAAGAAAAAGGCAATGAAGATAAGCTCAGTCATTTGACTCTCAATAGCAACAAGACTAAAGTTACAGAGTCATTTTCTTAAATCTGGATAAGATTTGCCAGGTTGTAACCGGATTGGGCAGTTGTCCACAGCAAATCAATATTTAAGTAGTAAAGGCACAGAGATCACAATGGTGAACAAAAAGAAAATGATACAAATTCACTCAAATTATGGAGTGGGGACCTGTAAAATGATCTGTAAACACAGGCACATATACTAACACAGACTAAATGTGTGTTTCTTTGTTGCCAAATAAGAGAAATAAATGTTTCTGTCTCGACAAATGAACTTAAAATGTAAGTAAAATTTATTATGGGATTCTGGCCAAGTATTTTTATGACCATGGCTTTCTGGGATGATTTTTTGTTGTTGTTGTTTTTGAGACAGGGTCTCACTCTGATGCCCAGGCCAGAGTGCAGTGGTGCGATCACGGCTCACTGCAACTTCTGCCCTCTGGGTTCAAGTGATTCTCGTGCCTCAGCATCCCGAGTAGCTGGGATTACAGGCACACACCACCATGCCTGGCTAATTTTTGTATTTTTAGTAGAGAAATGTTGGCCAGGCTAGTCTTGAACTCCTGATCTCAAGTGATCTGCCCGTCTCGGCCTCCCAAAGTGCTGGGATTACAGGTGTGAGCCACCATGCCTGGCCTCTGGGATGATTTAGTATATACTGTAAGTGCCTGATGGCATCACTACAAGTACGCGTGAAATGATTCCTCGCTGAAGAATGTGGGTATTGAAAAGGAGAAATGCAAGGAACAGTACAGAGGCATGGAGATGACGGGCTTGACAATGTCTCTTGGAGAGTGCTTTAGTTTGCAAAGGCTTCTCATGTTTGTGCTCTGGTCCTTACAACAAGGGAGTCAGCTTCCGCCTGGGGAGGCAGCTGAGATGAGCGAGCTCAGGCGACCTGCCCAAGGCTGGTGCTCACTTTTGAAAAAACAACAACAACAACAAAAAACACTGTCTCTTGCTCCCAACACTGAATACTGATGAATTTATTATTTCCTATGTTCTTCATCTCTTCTGCATAGTGTTATTACTACTATTGGCACTCATATATTAAGTGCTTTATAACGAATTCTTGCAAAATGGATTTAACAGAACATGACGACTAGAGCTTGCATGATATGTGATTAGTGTCTCTGCATAATCAGGACTTGCAAAATAGATATAACTATCTCCACAAGGAAAGAAACTGAGGGTCAGGTATGTGCTTTGCCCAGTGTCTCATGGCAAAGAGCAGAGCTAGAATTCTATTAGCTTTCAGTCCCCAGTTCCTGCTTTCTCCATTGTGCATGGTGTTTTGGCGTATGCTGAGCCGCTAAGCAGACACCCGCTGTTATGTGCTACGCAACTCCATTTTGAGGTGTGAAACCCAACATGAGCTGCTGCATCTAAAGCCTACTCAAGTGGCTCATGCCTGTAATCCCAGCACTTTGGGAAGCCGAGGCAGAAGGACTGCTTGAGGCCAGGAGTTCAAGACCAACCTGGCAACACACAGGGAACCCATCTCTACAAAAAAACAAATAAATAAAGCCTAGTCTCTCATACACACTCAAGCTACTCCAGAGATCTGTGAAGTATCTGGATCAGAGATCCATGCTGAGGGGACATGACAAACAGGTGGGCTTATTTCAAACTCCATAAATAGCTATAGTTCTTATGAAGAAGTGCATCCTCACAGAGTCAAGGATCACCCTTTATAAGCAATTACCAGTGTGCACTGAGCTCCCATAATACTAGCTCTAATTTCATAGTAAATAAACAGTAGGAGGTCCAAATCCCTACTTTTCAATGGGAATATGGTGCAAAGGATAAGACCTCTTTGAAATAAATCTGAGAAGTGGTAGTGTCTGGAGGTAGAAGTAATACCTGGAGGAAAATGAAAAATTTTAGAACCAGTTTTCTGCAGCACAAACTGCCATAAACAATGTATTTGCTATAACTGTCCTTGGTTTCTAAATGCATAGTACAGTGATTCTTTCATAAAATGGACGACAATGAAGGCAAATGGAAATGAAGGTGCTGCTCAAACAGATGTCACTGGCTAGCAGTCCACTGGTGTCAGGTAACTTACATCGCTTATTTAATACTGCCAAACAGCCCTGAAAAGTATTAGGCTGGTGCAAACGTAATTGCGGTTTTTGCCATTGAAAGTAATGGCAGCTGGGCGTGGTGGCTCACGCCTGCATCTCAGCACTTTGGGAGGCCGAAGTGGGCAGATCACGAGGTCAAGAGTTCGAGACCAGCCTGGCCAACATGGTGAAACCCTGCCTCTGCTAAAAATACAAAAATTAGCTGAGCATGGTGGTGCATGCCTGTAATCCCAGCTACTCGGAAGGCTGAGGCAGAAGAATCGGTTGAACCCAGGAGGCAGAGGTTGCAGTGAGCCGAAATGGCACCACTGCACTCTAACCTGGGTGACAGAGCAAGACTCCATCTTGGGGGAAAAAAAAAAAAAGGAAGTAATGGCAAAACCGCGATTACTTTTGCACCAACCTAGAGGTATTCATTAATCTCACACTGCAAATGAAAAAACTGAGGTTCAAAGGGGTTAAATAACTTAGCCAAGATGACACACCTAGAAAGTGGCAGAGACTGGATTTCAAGCTAAGTATGCTTGACCCCAAAATTATATGCCTTTTCTTTCAAAGGCTGCTTCCCCTACATACCTCAACAACCAGACATCTGGGCAGTCACCCTACACTGCAGCCCACGAGACTGTTTCTTTTTTTTTGAGATGGAGTCTCACTCTGTGACCCAGGCAGGAGTGCAGTGGCGTGATCTCGGCTCACTGCAACCTCCACCCCCTGGGTTCAAGTGATTCTTGTGTCTCAGCCTCCCAAGTAGCTGGGATTACAGATGTGCACCACCATGCCCGGCTAATTTTTGTATTTTTAGTAGAGATGGAGTTTCACCATGTTGGCCAGGCTGGTCTTGAACTCCTGACCTCAGGTGATCTGCCCACCTCGGCCTCCCAGAGTGCTGGGATTATAGGCATGAGCCACCATGCCCAGTTGAGACTGTTTCTTGATGAGGGCCCAGCAGTGCTCAGGATTGCAGGGAGGCCCAACTGCTTCCAAAACAGCGACATCCCCTCTCACCTACAGAAATCCAACTAAGGGACAGTGGCCAGGCTTCCAGGTCAATTTCATGAGGTCATAGAAGAGGGACAGAGGAAAAGGACCTGGCAGAGTGGCTCCTCAGAGAAACAACCACAAGGGGCCAACTGCATGAAGAAACATTGAGTTACCTTCAGTTTTTGTTTTTTAGAGTCAGGGTCTTGCTCTGTCACTCAGGATGCAGCAGAGTGGTGCAATCACAGCTCACTGCACCCTGGAACTCCTGGGCTCAAGCGATCCTCCCATCTCAGCCTCTTGAGTAGCTGGGACTACAACAGTGCACCATCACACACTGCTAATTTTTTTTTTTTTTTTTTTTTTGGAGACAGAGTCTCTGTCACCCAGGCTGGAGTGCAGTGGCGCAATCTCGGCTCACTGCAACCTCTGCCTCCCAGGTTCAAGTGATTCTCCTGCCTCAGCCTCCCTAGTAGCTGCAATTACAGGTGTGTGCCACCATGCCTGGGTAATTTTTGTATTGTTAGTAGAGACAGAGTTTCACCATGTTGGCCAGGCAGGTGTCGAACTCCTGACCTCAGGTGATCCGCTGGGCCCAGCCAACTTCAGTTATAATGTAAAGGTTCCTGTGATCTAGTTATCATCTGCCCCTCCTAGCTGATTTCCAAATGACCTATTAGCAGGCTGTAAACTGCATACAGCCTGAAGAATCATCTATAAATTACAGCTGAGAAAGAAAAGGCTAGGAGGACAATATAGAGATACCATCTACAGAGAGGCTCTGACTCTTTTAAAATTAATCTCCATTTTCCCCCGGTGAAGGTCTTATCAGAGCTGCCCTGCCAGTAATCAGCAAAGCTGGCAACTGGCATCCGACGTCCTCCTCTTCCTTTGCGCTCCACAGAAGATGAAGGCGTGTGATTAAGAAGCCAAGAGACAGAAAATCCACATGAGTGATTTGTTCCAGCACTAATAACATTGGATTAATAACCAGTGGGCTAAAAACATGATGGAGCAGTACCAAGGAAACTCGGTTTGAACGAGGGCCTCTCCCAACCACATTCAGTTCCAAGCCTCAGCCAGCCTGCCCTGCCATGTGGAAGGGAAGGTGCCAGAGTCACTCATGGATGCCAGAACCCAAGCTGCCTCCTCCAGCTGATCTGTTTGGTCAGCCCATATGGGAGCAGAATGGCTGGCACCGAGCTGAAAGTATCAGTGTGTGCAGACACGTTTGAACATAATTTGCTAAATGTTTTATTGTTCTGTAGTTAAAAACCTACTTAAAATGTGTGGGGCTATGTCCCATTAGATTAGAACAATATGAAGTCATGTCTTTTCAAGCACCCAGTGTTAAGAATAATTACAATAACATCAAGGCAATCATTTCCTATTAGGGAAGTTTATTCCTGTGATGGGGGATACCCAGGACTCCTCTGTTAACTGAGATCATGTTTCCTGCCTCCTGTCCACACGTGCATCACTCACACGATCCTTGAGAGTCCCCAAAGAAGTGACCTAAGTCTACCACTATGGAAAGAGGGATCCTATGAGCACTAAATCAGACCTTAGGAATTGCAAGGCACAAGGCTCTCATTTTAATACCAGAAAACAAGCTCAGAGGTTTTACACTTGCCCAGGAACATACGACTGAGAATCCAAGTGATGCTCGGACTCTTGGTCCTACAATGCCCCTTGTTCATTTTGTTCAAATATCTCAGATATTATATCCCGAAAAATTACATCATTTGGCGTGAATAATCCAAATATTACATGAACTTTGGGACCATGATGGATTGAGCCATTTCCATAAGTGTTTTCTGTTTTTGTTTTTAGACACTTATGGCGGCAAGTTTCCTTAGGTATTGGGAGTCCGGTGTCGTGAGCTGGTGAGAGCGAGGCATGGGGTCCCAGAGCATAGGGTCTCAGGGCATTGCAGAACCCCTCCAGCAGGCCCATACATGGGGAGGCAGGTGAGCACACAGGGGAGAAGCGTGCACTGGGGATCTGGAATCAGATGCGCTGGGTTTGCATCTTTGGTTTTGTTCATTAGGCGTGCACTCCTTGGGCAAGCTCCTTAGCTACTCCCACTTTCCTCAGTTGTCAAATGGAGATTAACACCGCCCCTGAGGCTAACTGTGGGGTTGAGTGAGAAACTGGAAGGGTACCCATTCTTCCTTCTGCCAGCCGCGTTCTCAGGCCGCCCTGGGGACCAAGGGGACAGCAGAGATGACACCTTCAATGACACCTGCAGTTACAGGAGCAAGGCCGGGGTTTCCCATTTCCTCCTTCTGGGATGCTCTGCCCTCTGCTCTACCTTGAGGGGGCTCAACCAGCCACACCTCTCTACCTAATGCTGCCTCCTCTGCCAGGCCTTCCCAGTAGGTAAGGATGCCCAGTCACGAGTCTCCCTTGGTCATGTCTCCGAGGAGAGCCCTGTTCAGATCCCCATCTTCCCCCTCCTTTCCTTGACTGGGAGCTCCTCTGTTATTGATTTAAAAGGTGATGAAAGAGGCCACCACCTTCTCACAGGTCCGGTGGCAGTGAGTGTGCTGACCACACACTCTCCACCTCCCTGGCCACTAGGGAATCAGGATATGCCCTTTCTCCACCCTGCTCCCCAGCCCCAGAAACTAAACAGGCTGCCTCTTTCCCCCTCCACCTCCCAACACTCTCCCTCTATCTCTGGGCCATTCCTACTTGGATGAGAGAATCACAGGTAACTAGGAATCAAGACACCTGTGTTCAAAGAGAAAGTCAATATCCATGCTCCTGTCGAGGTACAAGAAAAAAATCCAAGGAATTTCTGCTAACAGCGCACAGAGAACCACACCTGATTGTTTTTGACTACGTATGACCTGACAATTCTGCACTTTGACACCCTGACACTTTGACACTGGCCTTCAGGTCGGGGGTTGGCCGATAGGACAAGAAGCTGCAAGAGAAAGAGGACAAAAACAGGTTGTTCAAGGCACCAACCACTCTGTCACCTGACAGCAGACTGCCACGTTGACAGGCTAGGAAAGTGAGAATGTAGACTCCCCACAGCTAGGGCCAACGTCTGAATTCATCTTGGTAAGATTAGACTCCCGGGCATGGGGCTTAATGGCCATTCAACATTCAATGAAATGGAATAACACTAAATAGCTATCCTGGAAGAGGAAAGTCTACCTGCTCAGCACGTAATCATTCTAGGCCATTTGTACAAGGCAGCTTCATGACACTCATTCCATTGGCAGTACAATCACCTCGACTGCTTGGAGGCCTTCAGACTGCAGGCTGATGCTGAGAGCTGATGCATTTTACATGAGAGCTGACTTCAGATCCTTCTCCTTCTAGCTTAAAGGTGAAAAGGTTTGACTTTAAGTTTCCAAGAACAAATACTGTAAGATTAATGCATGGCAGGTCACATGATGTGCTGCTGCTCTCACTTTAAAATCTGGCATGTTCAAAATTTTTTTTATTTAATTCAATTTAATTTTATTATATTTATTTTAAGATACAGTCTCATTCTGTCACCCAGGCTAGAATGCAGTGGCGTGCTCTCAGCTCACTACAACCTCCGCCTCCCGGGTTCAAGTGATTCTCCTGCCTCAGCCTCCTGAGTAGCCGGGACTACAGGCACATACCACCACGCCCGGCTAATTTTTGTATTTTAGTAGAGATAGGGTTTCACCATGTTGACCAGGCTGGTCTCGAACTCCTGACCTCAGGTGATCCTCCTGCCTTGGCCTCCCAAAGTGCTGGGAATGAGTCAAAGTGGTGGCATGAGCCACCGCACCCAGCCTCAAACTATCATTTAGTAGGATGTATTCTTACCCCTTGAAGACTAGAGTGAAAACTATCAATATTTTTTTTAGCAGAATTGAACCCATCAGATGAAAATTTTTAATAATTTTAAATGTTAACTTTAAAAAACTTTCAATATTTCTTACAGGCATGCCACATTTATGCATAAAGTATGCTCTAGAAACTCAAGGCATTAATTAAATCTTATTTTTAGTGTGCTGGAAGAAGTCAATGTTCGAAGAAATCCTATTGTTAATCTTTTTGTAGGCAAAGAAACCTTTCAAAAAGTGAACAATCACCCATTTAAAAAAAATCTTCAATTTTCATATATCCAGTTTGCCGAAACAAACTCAATCTGGTGTCCTCAGCTGTCTCCACAACTGAATTCGAGAGACTATATGGCCGCCCATTTGAGCAGATGCTATTTTTTTTTTTTTAAATAGCTGAAGAAACTCATTTGCAAACTGAATTAGTGGCAGAGAATTGACATGACTTAGTCAAGGAAATGACAAGCCACTCACTTTTCTGGGATGCCAGAAAATGCAGCCCAAGGGACAAGTGACCCCTGGAATATCTAGGACAGGAACACCTACCCACAGCCCTGGGTGGTGCAAGGTTAGCAGGGGACAAACGGCCAAAAAAAGTTCTTGCAGGGACCATGCCCAGCTGCCCTCGATGGGAGGACTCAGCTATGCCTTCACTAGATCTTTACTTGTATGCATATACTTACAGAAACCAGGGCTTCAAGTCTGTAAAGTGGGCACAAGGTAGCAAATACAATAATTAGGGTTATTTTTACACTTAAAACCACAGAGCAAGGACGACTCAGCTAAGGTTCCTACTATCTCTAACATACCTAACAATCACGTTAGTGAAAGACTATACTTGAATTGCATGTCTCTCTCTATTTTTTCTTTAGTGGAATAATAGTTTTTAGAAAGGCACAGTGTTGGCCGGGCGCGGTAGCTCATGCCTGTAATCCCAGCACTTTGGGAGGCCAAAGCGGGCGGATCACCTGAGGTCAGGAGTTCGAGACCAGCCTGACCAAATGGCGAAACCCCGTCTCTACTAAAAATACAAAATTAGCCGGGTGTGGTGACGCATGCCTGTAACCCCAGAGACTCAGGAGGCTGAGGCAGGACAATCGCCTGAATGGAGGGAGGTGGAGGTTGCAGTGAGCCGAGATCACGCCATTGCACTCCAGCCTGGGCAACAAGAGTGAAACTCTGTCTGGAAAAAAAAAAAGAAAAGAAAAGAAAAAAAGAAAGGAACAGTGTCTTATTTTAACAAGCTCACTGAGAACTCCAAACATGATCCAAATTAATGAACCACTAATAGATACTCTTTTTCTACAAACACAGCAGATTCACGAACAGTTGTCTTGGGCAGATCCAAAAGGAAAGAATAGAACAAGACATGATTTTTTTAAAAAAATGGGTGGCTTTCCATAATCATATTCCTCAGAGGTCTCGGCCAGGATTTGGGGCAAGAAAATCGAGGCCCGGGCACAGTGGCTCATGGCTGTCATCTCAACACTTTGGGAAGCCGAGGTGGGCGGATCACCTGATGTCAGAAGTTTGAGACCAGCCTGGCCAACATGGTGAAACCCAGTCTCTACTAAAAATACAAAAAAATTAGCTGGGCGTGGTGGCGGGCGCCTGTAATTCCAGCTACTCGGAAGGCTGAGGAAGGAGAATCGCTTGAACCCAGGAGGTGGAGGTTGCAGTGAGCCAAGACTGCACCATTACACTCCAGCCTGGGCAACAAGAACAAAAATCCGTCTCAAAAAGAAAAGAAAAGGAAAGGAAATCTCTTCCTTTGAAGTGTTTGAGAGCTGAGGTATGCTGAATCTGCAACCCAGAGAGAATTCCCTCGCATGCTCAGAGGTGAAGAGCACGCAACATCCGCAAACACACCTCATACACAACACCCCTGGCAGGGCGCGTGCACTCCATCACTGTCCAGGCCTGTACCTCTTCACGGAAGCCGTTGACATTTGTGAGGGACACATCTCAGATATTAGCAAATCCCCAAATTACAAATCCCATCATAGTATGTAATACCCCCCTCTTAAAATAGGTATGCAATGATGATTTAAAAAGGCTGAGGTGGCCAGGCGCGGTGGATCATGCCTGTAATCCCAGCACTTTGGGAGGCCGAGGCGGGCGGATCACTTGAGGTCAGGAGTTTGAGACCAGCCTGGCCAACAAGGTGAAACCCCGTCTCTACTAAAAATACAAAAGTTAGTTGGGCATGGTGGTGGCACGCCTGTAATCCCAGCTACTTGGGAGGCTGAGGCAGGAGAGTCACTTGAGCCTGGGAGGCAGAGGTTGCAGTGAGCTGAGATCACGCCACTGCACTCCAGCCTGGCGACAGAGCAAGACTTCATCTCAAAAAAAAAAAAAAAGGCTGCGTGGGGTGCGGATGGCAGCAATCAACGAGGCTGATTCACCCACCTGAGTGACGCATGGCCACCCACCCGCCTTGCAGTCAATGCTATTCACATGTGTGCCTTAGCAAAATTAGAGTATTACATTATGTGTTGGTTTGTAATAGCTGAAGCCATAAATGTTGGCGCCAGGAATGCCAAGGTGCTCAGGCATTAGTTTGCAATTAGTTCCCTATTTTTCAAGCTAAGAGTCCAACGTGTAAAACATGAGTAGCCAGCAGCTTGGGTGGATGCTGAGTTGGCCCAGTCCCTTAGAGGGCCCTATATGTTCCTGCGTCACAGCCTCTGCGATACGGGTTGAAAGCCACTCATCTAATATATAATGTATAATTGTTTGGAAAGGCTCGTTCCGAAATGATTTGAAGCACTACCGATGAATCTGCTCAAATCAGGGAGCAGTACAGATGCAACATGCCCCTGGATCCGCACAAGAAATCCCAGAGATTCCCTAGGATGACACTCTCTTCTTGTGAACTATGGGACATTTTCTTAATTGAAGTGTAATGCACTTCAGGACTGCTCGTTGCTTTTTGGAGCCAGATCCCTGTCAACATCAGGCACCACATTCTGGTAGACTGAAATGTTTCCCTGGGCATGAAACTGTAATGTGTATTGTAGGAGAGCTCGATCCACTTTACAAACACTAAGTCAAGATGAAATGACCGCCTCCATTCAGTGTCAGGTGTTGTAAAAATGTCAGAAACACAAGTTGGCTCTTTCTCTCCCTTCATCATATATACACTGAGAAATGGGCCACAAAAAAATGTTAAGTTGTAAGTACAGTTATCATTTGTATGCAAATGCTAAACAAACCGCATAGTAAATGGACTCCTTTGTGTGCCAGTGGAAAGGCCGACCCTTTACCCGGCACTCCATCCACCACAAGGGACTGCGAAACTGGGTGACACTGGATTGCAAGGAAGGACAGGGTTTGGCCAGGCATGGTGGCTCATGCTTGTAATCCGAGCACTTTGGGAGGCTGAGGTGAGCGCATCACCTGAGGTCAGGAGTTCAAGACCAGCCTGGTCAACCTGACAAAACCCTGTCTCTACTAAAAATACAAAAAAATTAGCTGGGCATGGTAGTGCACATCTGTAATCCCAGCTACTTGGGAGGCTGAGGCAGGAGAATCGCTTGAATCCGGGAGGTGGAGGTTGCAGTGAGCTGAGATCGTGCCATTGCATTCCAGTCTGGGCAACAAAGTGAGACTCCATCTCAAGGGGAGAAAAAAAAAAGGGGCACGGTTAGGTGTTCTTCCCTTAAGTGGCTTGGCTGGGAGACAGAGGACTAAGAAAATATTCCAACAGGTCCCAGGACAGCTTCAGCACAGCCCTGACTGCAAACTGTTTATAAGAAAGTGTTACACAACCAAAAAATTATGGACATTTTCTTTTTTGTGATGTTTTCTTAACAGAGAACTATGTATCCCCCAACAAGGGGCTCTATTCTAGTGTGGCTATAGCTGTTTGTGGTCTTCTCATTGCAGGTCAAATGGAAGGAACCGTCTGCAAGGGTGTAAGATGAACTCAACCCGGCAAAGGGCTCCTTTGCACCCATGACCCACAGTTGGGTTTGAGCTGTCAGCAAAGCTCATGTGGGGAAATCATCTCGAAAGGGCCTGATGGCCAAAACCTTTGTCAAAACTTTTGGCTGTCTTTCTCTTCAGAATAATGACAAGCTAGAATTTCTTCCCCTTCTGTAGCTCACTCTTTGGAACACCTCCCAGGATGCTCAGTAGGTAATGCTTTGGAGAAGGTGGACATAGCAGGAGCTGGACTTTGGCAGACACAACACAGGGCAACAAGGGTGCACAAAGCGATGAGACAGGAAAGAGGAAGCCCACTGCTAGGAGTCACAGAATAAAACGAGGAAGGCCCAGGGAACAGGAAGTCAGCATTTGTGTGCCACAATTTCATCTGCATTATTTATCTATTTATTTATTTATTGAGACAGAATCTCACTCTGTCACCCAGCCTGGAGTGCAGTGGTGCAGTCTCAGCTCATTGCAACCTCCACCTTCCGGGTTCAAGGGATTCTCCCGCCTCAGCCTCTCAAGTAGCTGGGACTACAGGAGCACACCACCTCACCCGGCTAATTTTTGTATTTTTAGTAGAGACAGGGTTTCGTTATGTTGGCCAGGCTGGTCTCAAACTCCTGACCTCGGGTGATCCGCCTGCCTTGGCCTCCCGAAGTGCTGGGATTACAGGCATCAGCCACCATGTCCGGCATTATTTATTTATTTTTTGAGACAGAGTCTCACTCCGTCGCTGAGGCTGGAGCGCAGTGGCATGATCTCAGCTCATTGCAGCCTCCGCCTCCCAGGTTCAAAGATTCTCCTGCCTCAGCTTCCCAAGTAGCTGGGATTACAGGCACGCACAACCACATCTGGCTAATTTTTGTATTTTTCTGTAGAGATGGGGTTTCACCATGTTGGCCAGGCTGGTCTCAAACTCCTGGCCTCAGGTGATCCACCCGCCTTGGTCTCCCAAAGTGCTGGGATTACAGGCGTGAGTGACCGCGCCCAGCCTCGTCGCATTATTCTTAACATCATGTATAACCATGCTTCAGGAGTCTCAAAACTGCTGGCAATAAGTTCTTGAGTGGAACCAAGGGATTCATATAAATATTATGTCTATTCATTTATTTCTTTCTTAAGAAAAGGAAATTAAACTCGAGGTATAATTTAGATGGGGCAGTATGTTAGCGTTTGTCTTTAAAAATTTTGTATCAAATCCTCAATTACATTTCAAAGTAATCATTTAAAGATTATCTCAGTGGATTTATTTTTGGTTTACTCTGTGACTCAGGCCTCTAATGTCTCTGGTATTTCTCAAACTGCCTAGGCAATTTTTATAGCAAAGTAAGAATAAAAACGTGGTGGTGAATATTAACTCTGAAAAGATAGACTCATTTCTCATTTTGTACTTTCAAAAAGATTTTCACTACAACTATTTTTTTTTTCACTACAACTTTTTTCACTACAACTTTTTTTTTTTTTAAATCCAGGACATGTTCTCATCTGGTCACTACAACCACTTAAGTGGCTCTCTCAGTGGAGTTAAAATTTTACTTTTGCTTTGTTACATGTAAAAATGAGACTGTTAACCCACTCTTAATAATATACATGTTTTGGGTTGTTTTTCTAGTAATGAGGTGTGCTTTTACTGAGCCATCTCTATCTCTTTAGAAAAGTCCTCTTTGGGTCCAAGATATTTTTTCTCTTGCAAAGAAAGCAACACATCTCTTACGTAAAATAAAATCCACAATCC
Organism: Homo sapiens; assembly: GCF_000001405.40. Lineage (NCBI taxonomy): Eukaryota > Metazoa > Chordata > Mammalia > Primates > Hominidae > Homo > Homo sapiens. Next base: position 154,893,677 of record NC_000006.12, on the reverse strand, counting down.
TCATTTTCTAGCAGTAAATTCTAAGCCACCCCCCGCCCCCAACTTCCACATGCATCTGCAGGGTAATGCCAGACCATCTGAGAGGGGTGTCTCAAGTCATTCGCTAAGCTTGGTTGCAATGATAAAGTCTGAACTTGCAAATGATTTGTTTCAAATAATAAATCAGAAGGGCTCAAGGTTATTCCTGTAATAGTCATTCTTATTTATATTTAATGTTTTCTTGGGAGGGAGAAAAAGAGGTGGAGTTTAGGGGAGAGTTGTGTATACAAATGCAACTCCCCCCTAAAGAGTTCATGATACGAATTTCATGATATGTATTTCAGTCCAAAAAAAGTTCTGAATGAACCTCAGCTCTAATCAGCAGTACTGTATTACCAGGGGCAAGGCTGACATTAGAGCTCAGATTTCTTTTAGGAAAACTATAGAGAACGTTGAAAGGTCCTTGCATATGGCCAATGTATATCAGGAAACTAGGGGGTATGGTTGCCAAATGTAGCAAATTAAAAATATGAGAAGTAATTTTCAGCATACATGTATTCCAAATATTGCATGGGACATACTTATACTAAAAATTACCTGTTGCATATCTGCAATTTAAACTTAACTGGGTATCCTGCATATTATCTAGCACCCTACTAGGGAGTCGAGGACCAGATACCTCAAGGACACTGAACTAGCATAATAGGTTGTGTTCATTTCTACGGCAGGATGGGGGTGCTCCAGAAATGAAGATGGTTTTCAGAAGTTTATCCTTTACTATTTACCCCTGACTGTAAAAATATGCCCTTTACATGTTCTCTCCTTTTTTCCACCAGATAATAATCGTTAGCTTACGATACACATGCCTGGGACTGTCCTAGAAGCTGGAAACAAAAGGTGAATAAAGCCCCACCTCTGACCTCTGGAGTGGACACACAGGTGGACAGACAGAGTGACACCAAGTGAGCAGAACCACGCTGTAAGAAAAAACTGATCAGGGGAAAAGAAAGGATGGGGGCAAGGCATGGCCCTGATTTGAGGTAGGGTGCTCTTTAGGGCTTTCTCTAACAGAGAAAACGTGCAAGCGCTTGAGGAGTGTGAAAAAGTGAAAGGAGAGGAGAGAGAAGGGAGGAGAAGAAGAGGAAGAAGGAGAAGTGGTGGCTGACCTGTGCAAAGTGAAACACTCTGGAGCCATCTAGTATCGAAAACCAAGGGCCTTCAGGCCAATGCCATAACGCATAAAATGAGCAACCTAGGCAGTGGAGATGGGTGTCTCCATTTAGGAAAGAAAGCCTGGCCTAGAGTGTAGTTTTGGAAAGTCAGTAGTTAACATTGCTTTCAAATTGTGTTAAGAAGGTAAACCTGTGACCTGGAAAAATATTCCCTGATTTCCTACAAGCATTCCCATTTTGGGTGGGAAGGAATGTGTGTACAATGACTAGTCCAACATGTCCCCAGCAGAGTAATCAGCAGATCCCTGTCTCTTCCTGAGAATATGTCAGAAACAAAGTTCCCATGGCTCTTGAATCCCTTCCCCTGTTCAAAAGGACAAGGACAGACACCTGACTGTAGGTTGTGGTCACAGCAGCACTGACGAGAACCAGGAAGGCTGCCATCATTTATCAGTTATACTTAATGACACTGCACCTCTGGTTTGTACAAAGTTCTAAGGAAGGACTTTGATATTAACAATAATTGGCTGGGCACAGTGGCTCATGCCTGTAATCCCAGCACTCTGGGAGGCTGAGGCGGGCGGATCACTTGAGGCCAGGAGCTCCAGACCAGCCTGGTCAACATGGTGGAACCCAGGCTCTACTAAAAATACAGAAAAAAAAAAAAAAAAAAAGCCGGGCATGGTGGCAGGTGCCTGTAGTCCCAGCTACTTGGGAAGTTGAGGCACGAGAACTGCTTGAACCCAGGAGGCAGAGGTTGCTGTGAGCCGAGATCAAGCCACTGTACTCCAGCCTGGCTAACAGAGCAAGACTCTATCACAAACAAACAATCAATATTTAAAACAATAAACAAATCCTCAAAAACTTAAAAAATATTAAAATGTCTATCCTTATCACCTTATCTGAAAAGAAGAAGATTTTAAAAGCTTTAAGGAAAAAATACAGCTCACTTTAACCTATAAAAAGGTGCTCTGGGCCAGGTGTGGTGGCTCACGCCTGTAATCCCAGTACTTTGGGAGTCCGAGGCAGGCAGATCACAAGGTCAGGAGATCAAGACCATTCTCAACATGGTGAAACCCCGTCTCTACTAAAATACAAAAAATTAGCTGGGCATGGTGGTGCATGCCTGTAGTCCCAGCTACTCAGGAGGTTGAGGCAGGGGAATCTCTTGAGCCCGGGAGGAGGAGGTTGCAGTGAGCCGAGATCACGCCACTGCACTCCAGCTTGGCAACAGGGCAAGACCTTGTCTCAAAATAAACAAACAAACAAAAAACTGTGCTCTGCTCTCTGGCACCCAGGAGTGTGGGCATGCAAATTAGGCCTATGGTCTCCTTGCAGTCTCCTTGTGCTGCCTCTCTTCCTGGGGCCTCTCATTTCAATCAAGTTCCTCCCTGAAGGATTAGAATGGGTCTCATGGAAGAAACTAGGTTGAAACTGATACCTTTGTCATACAAGATAACCCAAACTTTCCAGTTCGAATCATACCCCTAACAAGGAGACAATCTCAAATAGCACAGCTTTTATACCACCAATGCGGAAGGAGCATGTGATGATTTGAGTACCCACACTACACAAACATATAAATGATAGAATGAGGACCACATAACCTTAGCTCCAAAGGGGCCTAGGTGTCTTCAGATCAACGTCTCCTCAGATCCCTGAGTTGTCTCTCTAACTTCCCTGAAGGTGACCTTTGTCCAGGGGGTGGGTGTCTCCAGGGTCAGGGTCTCTCTCCCAAGGCCTCCTTTTTTTTTTTTTTTTTGAGTCGGAGTCTCACTCTGTTGCCCAGGCTGGAATGCAGTGGTGCTATCTCAGCCCACTGCAATCCCCGCCTCCCAGGTTCAAGCGATTCTCCTGCCTCAGCCTCCTGAGTAGCTGGGACTATAGGCATGAGCCACCACACCCGGCTAATTTTTGTATTTTTAGTAGAGACGGGGTTTCACCACGTTGGCCAGGCTGGTCTCGTGACCTCAAGTGATCCACCTGCCTCAGCCTCCCAAAGTGTTGGAATTACAGGAATGAGCCACCAAACCCGGCCCAAGGCCTCCATTTTCTTTTCAGACAGCGCCAAAGGCTAAGAAGCTCAAACCTACGCCCTATGGTGTTACCAAAGATACATCCAATCCCTCAGGTGCACGTCGCTTATTTCAAGCCAGTGGCCTTAAAATCCCTCAAATGCTCTCCAGGGTGAGCATATTAATCCATATATATATATGAATGAAATCTCAAAGTATCTACGGCATTCTCCAATGGATACACTCAAGATTTGCCCTTCAGTGATGGAAACTGGAGCTCATTTTAAAATTTCAGATGTGGTCTGACTTGTGGGGGACAGAGAAATATTGTTAAGGTAAGGCTTGTTACCCATCTCAGCTTGAACTATATTCTTCTGCTACAGAGGTCTAAGTCTTCCTTACGCTTTTGTAGCCACGTTAATCTGTACTGACTCTCCAGCCTCTACCTCCTCCTCACGGGTCACGACTAAATAGCATTTTATCACACACTCAGAACAACTGAGTTTTTTGGACCTAGGTACCGAAGTCATCCAACGTTTTAGTTCTCTCTTCCACCTTCACATCACCTGCAGGCTTAATGAACATGTCTTATATCCACGTCCTCATTCACACTGGTAATAAATCAGTTGAGGAGGGCAGGTCTGAGGTTACAAATCTCTGTCTCCTTTCAGCCCTTTTAAATGGATCTGTGACAATCTCAAGAGTGCACTGAGAATGACAAACCTCCACAAGCGATGGTGCCCCGCCTTTGAAACCCACCTGCCTGCCTCCCCAGGGCAGACCTGCAGCCCCTGGTTCTCAGCTGTCCTCAGTGTCCCTTGCTCCCCACCCCCCATTTTGTCTCCATGCTCCTTTTTTTTCATCCAGCTGGGCTTGTTTCCCTCCCTCTGACCAAGGCTGTGGCTTCTGATCTCTGCTCTACAACTCTTAAGCCATGGCCAGGTAAGGGGGTGTCTTGCCTCACTCACTACCTCATTATGAGATTGGGGTCTGAGGTCCACCCTTGCAGCCCTCCACCCCAGGTAGACATAGGTCCATTAATCGGTAGTTTGAGTAGCATGGTGGGTATGAGCCTGTGGGACTGCACTGCCATCCAAGCCCTGTTTCTCCTGCCTTTTCACAAAGAAATGTAGTGCCTTTCTCAAATACCTTACCAAAATCCTGAGACAGCATCTACAACGCTTTCTCATTCATCATTGAAGTAACCCTCTTTTTCAAAGCTGCAATCATTTTTTTTTGGCAGGAACTGTTATTAGGGATCTCTGCCAGTTCTGCTGGGGCAGAGGATCCCTTTTTAACAGCTGAAAAATCATTTAATTAATTCTTTTCAGCACTCTCTGGGAATGATGACAAGTTCACTGGCCTGTAATTCTAGGAAGCTAGCTTTTTCTTTGCTTGAAAATCAAAACATTCGCCCACTTCCAAGCATCAGAATCCTCTCCGGCTTGCCACAGTTCCTGTTTGGCAGCAAGTTTGAGGCCAACCTGGATGTTCTGGTTCCCAGGGAAGTCATTTTTCAAGGTAACAGCAACTTTGAGAACAACTAGGGACAACCTCATCATCTTCCCACCTATTTTAGGCTTTAGCTCCTTCTGACATGGAGTTCTGGCTTTGTCATTTATTAACATAATGCCACAGGCACTTGTTTTTACATAAGCTTCATCCTCAAACCAACTTCCAGCCTCCTGATTTGCCTTTACAGTTCTGTACCTCTCTTCCACATTCTTCTTGAATTAGGTAGGAGTCTGCCTCTCCTGTGCTGGTCCTTTCAGATTTGGCCCGTCAGAGAGTAGACTGGGGGCACAAGAACCTCCTTTCTTTTTCATTAGGATTATATGTCACCTTACACATACTAGCAAGATTATACTGTGAGTTTATCATCCCTCGTGTCAGCTTTTGCAATGATTGGAATGTCCACCCATCTGAAACTCATGCTGAAACTTAATCCCCAACGTGGCGCCATTGAGAGGTTGGGCCTTTAAGAGGTGATTTGGTCATGAAGGCTCTGCCCTCATGAATGGGCTAATCCATTCATGGATGACTGGATTAATAGGTAATCATGGGAATGGGACTGGTAGTTTTACAAAAGGAGGAAGAGAGACCTGTGCTAGCACACTCAGCCCCCTTGCCCTGTGATGCCCAGGACCACCTCAGGACTCTGCAGAGTCCCCATCAGCAAGAAGGCCCTCACCAGATGCAGCCCCTTGACCCTGGACTTCTCAGCCTCCATAACTGTAGGAAATAAATTCCTTTTATTTATAAATTACTGTTTTAGGTATTCTATTAAAAGCAAACTAAAACAGCTTTCGGATTCAAAACTCTGTCCACTAAATTCATCTCAGAACCCTTTGAAATCTGTCTTCCAAAAAATGTTCTAGTAAGAGCAGCACTTTAGGTATATGTGATCAATGACATGTATTATGCACAGTCTTATACTTGATAACACCCACCCATTTGCTTTACACTCTGCCTCTGCGATGGATTCCCATCAGCACCCTGGACAGACGGGCATCATTATCCCCATTTTCGAAGAGAGTAGGCCTATGGCTCAAGGCAACATATTGTGTAAGTGGCAAAACCAGGCTGAAAGCCCAGCTCTGGGGACTCCAGAACGAATGATGCCTCCTCTACTCTACACTGTCTGGTACTCTTTAAAACAATTTTCTTTTTGCAGTGTTTTATTCTGTATGGCAAACAGAATTCTCCTGTTTTTTTAAGAATAAAAAATGCTCGGATTTAGAATCATGTGATTTATTTTTTCCATACTTACCTCTATCTTATACTATTTTCTACAGTATGCATTATTTGTATGATTTAAAAAATAGGATCATAATGAAAAAATAAATAGGAATATTCTGAGACCCAATTTTATCTATATAAAGGGACAGATAAAGACTCTTAAAATTTAACAAAAGTTTAAAAAATTACAAAAGGAAAATTTTGCAAAATTGAGAAGCTTCATAAGTGGAATTTTATTATAAAAATGGGAGATACACTTGCTTATTTTTTAAAGAGGCATCTAGTTGGGTGGATTGGGTGGGTGTGTGGACAGGACTGGCTAAACTTAGGTCTCCGTCTCATACCATGTGGCCACAGGTCCAGGGAGCCTGGGCTGACAACTCTCTTGTGTGCACCCATTTTAAACAAACCCCCAAATAGATGGGGTTTAGAGTTGACAGACAGATATGTCCAGGACTGGAGTCTAGCTTCTAAAGGGAACAGGAGCGATGTTCTGTTTATCACTCCTCTGCTATTCAACTCCTTCATGGGAGCAAGTATGACTAATGTATGTGGGCACATAGTGGACCTGGGCCCATGTGCTTTAGTAAATTCATTACCTAATTAATGTGAACACGTGGGGAGTTTTTCTAAATATATTCTAACAACATACACTGATTATATGTGCATCGTATAAATCTCATATGTACAAACTCGAAACATGGTTTTAAAGGAATGTGGAAAATTCTCAGGCATGCTGAGACCTATCCAGTGTTAGTTAGTTAAAGGAGAAAATCAGGACTAAGACCTAAACCCTACTCTAAAAAACTTAATCTAAATTGTTTTTAGACTACTGAGTTAATCTAAGTAGCTTAGTTCTAGTCAAGGCAAGTCTCAGTTTGGAAATCAAGTGTTCATGGTATACACTACAAACAGGAACATTTGTCAATTGAACAGTTATGTAGATTCATATGTATATTTCATATTTTAAAAAGTTACATAGATCAATGATTTGGCAGCTGGCTGAAATAATTCCATATTTAAAAATCTGCTGGGTGCATCTGTTAGCAGTTTTGAGTTTCTAATGCAGACTAACAATTTGGTGATAGCAAGCTGTCTTCTTATTAATGTTCCAAAAAACACTGTATTTCAAGATTTTTAGAAGGGGAGCCAACATTTTCTGGGATTTAGTTAAGTGAAGCATCACCATATCTTTTGCCTTTCATAAGTCTCTCATGTCTAGGATTAATAAGCAGTATGTCTTGAAAAGTGTTATCTGACTTTCTAAAAAAGATGAACTGGGACTCATAAATAGGTGGCTGACCTGCATTTACTCTTTCCCAGCCTAAAAGATAAAGTCATTTAAAAGATGTAAAACTACCATCACATTATATTTACATCATTCCCTTTCTCAAAATTATGGGATTTCCCTTGTCCTTTGCCCTTAGCCAAGTTTGAATCAAAGACTTAGGAAACATTCACCCTCCCAAAGAGGTCTATTTAGTTTCCTTGGCTTGCTTCCCCACCCCTCACAGCCATCTTTTTGTAAAATCACATGCCCTACCATCTTCAAAAGCCTTGAGACTAACCTTCCTGATGAAGCTTTTTAGCTGGATCCCTCTTAGCCACCAGATGGGGCCCAGGGAGTCGCAGACAGTATACCACGCACATGCGGTTTCCATGCCTTCCTGCCTCCTGGACCACTGCACCCGAGCTTTCAACTGGAGGAGGGCAAGGTCTTTTCCTTAACTTCTCAAGCATCCAATACAATGCTTGGCCACTCAATTATTTGCTGGGTTAACAAATAAATGAACAAAGCCTACACCCCAACTGATGACCAACATGTGCTCATTTTTTAGTTTCAACATTTCCTTTTTCTACACTATATCAAATAATAATGTAGAACATCTGAAATTCTACACGAATGCATTTTTAATTTGAAAATGAAAAAAAGGAGTAGAAAAAGTCTCTTATAGTCTGACACATTTTCTACTTCATCTTACAGTTTTTAGTTTATAAATTGTCATGTCTGTGAGAGTACAAGCTTTATGAATGTAGAACTAATGTCGTATCCAAACTTTATCGACTATAAAACCAGTGTAGTGTCATGCACAGGCACCCGAAAATTATTGAAGGAATGCCTAGAAGGCTGGGCAGGATGTTCTTTACGTTCCTTTGGTGAGAAAGAAAGAAGAGGCAGGTAATTAAAGAGAATATGTTTATATGCAAAAGGCTATCCTTGGGTGAGAAGGAAGATGCAGACAGTTAAAGAGATTATGTGTATGTACAAAAGGCTATTACTAGAATTACTATCAGAACAAGCAGTGAAAAAGAGGAAATGAGGAGCACAAAGTGGGCATTATCTTGGCAAGAAAACATGGGAAGTGAAGTATCTTTCTTACATGCTGATCTAGGTAGGTCCCCACACAGGCCACCGTATGACAGCATAGTGGCTTCAGGGAGGACTGGGTGAAGAAACAGTAGTAGGTCAGTGATCATTCAGTCTCTGGGACAGTCAATGGACAGACGTTTACAGCTCTGAGTGCTAAACTGCTACTGTGTGAAGCCAAATATAGGCAGTTAAAAAAACTAATCATTTTTGCCAGTTTTGCTGATGTTAAAATTGTTGTCTGATACCAACCATGCCAGTAAAAAAAGAGCATTAGGTGAATTTTACTTTTTTCTATATGTTTTTGTCACTTCAGTAGAACTAGAATCTCTACTGAAATTATTTATTTTTTGAAATGGAGTCTCTCTCTGTGACCAATGCTGGAGTGCAGTGGCACGATCTCGGCTCACTGCAACCTCCCCCTCCCAGGTTCAAGTCATCCTCCTGCCTCAGCCTCCCAAGTAGATGGGATTACAAGTGTGAGCCACCATGCCTGGCTCATTTTCCTGTTTTCAGTAGAGACAGGGTTTCACCATATTGGCCAGGCTGGTCTCAAGCCCCTGGCCTCAAGTGATCCACCCTCCTCGGCCTTCCAAAGTGCTGGGATTACAGGCATGAGCCACTGTGCCTGGCCTCATCTACTAAAATACTTTAAGTATATGGTGGGTACCTAAGATCTATTTGCTGAATGAATGAATGGTTTCTCACCAAGTCCTTAATATTTAGAATATTCTAGAACTACGTCAGGTTGCCACGGTGGAAGTATTCTTGCATTCTGCTGCCAAAGATGTTCTGCCCTTGTACACGGATTATAAAAAGCAGGATTTAGTGCTGACATGCTGGCTATAATTCAAAACCTTGACTAGTCTCCAGAACCTAGAACTCTAGAAACCTAGAGTCTCTAGAAACTAGACTAATTTCTAGACTTGACTAGTCTCTAGAAACCTAGAACTGTCTCCAGAACAAGGTACCCTTTTATATTCCCATTTCTGCAAGACAGTTATTAAGGCTGCCTTGAGTATGAGAAACTGATTCAGGGGTGACAATAGTCTAAGGCAATATGGCCCAGCCAAAATCTGATCCCCAATTTTCCAATTCCCGCTTTCTTTGAAACCCAGCTGTGACATCTGTATAGAAGAATGCTACTTCCTCATCTTTAACTGTTAAGTAACGATTCAATCAAAATTATACACTGCTGCTTTGCTCCGAACTAGAGAAATCATGGCTAAAATGCCTTTTTTTTTTTTTTTTTTTTTTTTTTTTTTTTTTTGAGACGGAGTCTCGCTCTGTCGCCCAGGCTGGAGTGCAGTGGCGGGATCTCGGCTCACTGCAAGCTCCGCCTCCCGGGTTCACGCCATTCTCCTGCCTCAGCCTCCCAAGTAGCTGGGACTACAGACATGTGCCACGACGCCCAGTTAATTTTTGTATTTTTAGTAGAGATGGGGGTTTCTCCATGTTAGTCAGGCTGGTCTTGAACTCCAGACCTGAGGTGATCCGCCCGCCTTGGCCTCCCAAAGTGCTGGGATTACAGGTGTGAGCCACCACGCCTGGCCTGAAATGCTATTATTGAGAAAGCAGAGAGTATTGAGAATCCCACAGTCAGTTCATTACCTTAACTCCCTCGTCCTCGAGTGGCTCTTTCCCTCTAGAAGATTATAAAGGTAATATTGCCACCAACATTGAACAAACCCATAACCTGTGTCCCAGTCATTCTTCAAGCCCTCACTCTCAAGGCTTTACTTACTGTGTGCTCACACTCAATCCACACATCTACACCTTGGTCAGTCCTCACCCCACTGGGTCCTCACCTTCCCCTGAGGGTGCACTAGGAGTGGCTGAGCCAAGTCTTCTCTCCTGGCCCCACCCACTGCCACCTGCCCTTTGCTTAATCCACTCATGATTATCCCCAGCTGAGTCTTGCTCCCAGCCCCACTGAGGCTCTGGTTTCTGGATTCTACAAAGACATGCAATATCCTTTAAAAAAAGAAAAAAAGAAAGACAAAATTTCCCACCCCAAACACAAACATACACAATCCTTCCAACATTTTCCTTGTGCCATCGAGTGGTTTTCCTCATAAAGACAGGAGTACGATTACTAAGTGCTCCCTTACACTTAACGCAAATGTGTCTGTGCCTAAGTTTTACTGTATACAAATATTCAACCTAATTGAGTACTTATGATGATATGTGATGAATATTTTCAGCTCAGTATAATAAAGAGTGGTAATTACAGACAGGATTTCCTTGCGGAACATCGGGAATGTTCCAGACTTTCCCCAAAAGTAGGTTTTATCACCTGCTTGCTGCCAAGTGTTTTTGCTGTGGAAGGAATGCTGCAGCAGCTGCATGGAAGGGTGCTGGTGGTCACTGGCAGCCTGCTTAGGAGAGCACAGGTATCTGGACTTTGGAAACAAGTCAGAACACAACCACATGCATTCCTCATTGAGATTCTTGCAGAACCTTCAAGTCTAATATACAGAAGATGCTTTCAGTTTGTTCCTCAGATAGGAATATCAACACTATATACATACACACTATAAGGCTGATATAAAATGAAAAATGAAATATCCACCCAAATAATTGTAGTCTAGAGCTGTGTGAGACCTACTGTAGGAAAACAGACTGCTTCCAGACAGGGCTATTGGAGGTCAGCAGTGATCTTTTATTATTTTTTATTTTTTTGAGACAGGGTCTTGCTCTGTGACACAGGCTGGAGTGCAGTGGTGTGATCACAGCTCACTGCAGCCTCAAACTCCTGGGCTCAAGCGATCCTCCCACCTCAGCCTCCTAAAGTGCTGGGATTACAGGCATAAGGCATGGTGCCTGGCCAGCTGTGATCTTTTAAGGAAAATTAAAAGTTGCTATGGCGTATGTCATTATTCAAAGTAAAATCCAAGCCCTTTTCCTTTAATAGCTACTGTTGAGTGTACATTTTCCCTATCACCCATTCATCTCTCCTGAATACTCTGTGGCACTTCCCTGTAGGCCCAGATCCCTACGTCCTCGGGCAGCACAGTGATCCTCCTCCTTTCCTCCCTCAAGTCTGGGCCAGCTTGTGGATTGGCAACAACTGTGGATTGGCAGGAGTGCAGGGAGTACAGAATGGCTCATAAGACAATCTTTAAAGAGATGACTAAGCCTAGAGTATACCTGGTCCTTCGAAACAAATACAATAATGACAGTCATGACTACTCAATACATAGCAGATGCTGTGCTGGGAACTGATGTGAATTACCTTATGCAATCCCCAAACAGCCCTATGAGGGACACACTGGTATTAGCATTCCTGTTTTATAACAGGGAGTTTAAGTTTAGACAATTTAAGTAAGTAACTCCCCTGAAGTCTCATGCTGTTGTGTGGCAGAAAGTGGATTTTAATCAGATCAACTTTAAAGGCTCATACTTGCACCTGACATCAGACTGCCTCTTTCTTATCTTTTTTTTTTTGAGATGGAGTCTCACTCTGTCACCCAAGCTGGAGTGCAGTGGCGCAATCTCGGCTCACTGCAACCTCCGCCTCCGGGGTTCAAGCGATTCTCCTGCCTCAGCTTCCCATGTAGCTGGGACTACAGGCATGCGCCACCATGCCCAGCTAACTTTTTTGTATTTTGAGTAGAGATGGGGTTTCACCATGTTGACCAGACTGGTCTCGAACTCCTGACCTTAGGTGATCCGCCCACCTTGGCCTCCCAAAGTGCTGGGATTAGAGGTGTGAGCCACCGCGACTGGCCTGCCTCTTTCTTTTTTTATTTGAGATAGAGTCTCACTCTGTTCAGCCCAGGCTGGTATGCAGTGGTGCAATCTCAGCTCACTGCAACCTCCACCTCCTGGGTTCAAGCGATTCTCGTGCCTCAGCTTCCCAAGTAGCTGGGACCACAGGCACGTGCCACCACACCTGGCTAATTTTTGTATTTTTAGTAGAGACGGGGTTTCACCATATTGGCCAGGCTGATCTCAAACTCCTGACCTTGTGATCTGTCTGCCTCGGCCTCCCAAAGTGCTGGAATTACAGGCGTGAGCCACCGTGCCCAGCCATAATTGTGGTTTTTGTCATTACTTTTAAATGGCAAAAGCCGCAATTACTTTTGCACCAACTTGTTTGCAACAAAAAAGTCAAGGCCATAGCCATATCCCTCATATTTCTAAAACATAAAAAAGATAAGTTGGTTCCTTGAAAATCAACCAGAAAAAAAAAGTCAGGCTTCAGCATTCAAAGTGAATTTCTGGTTGTGTTTACACATAAAAACTAACTTGGAAATTAGATAATTTGTCTACAATAAGCATTAAATTTCAGTTTTTGGCAATGTTGAGTAATGAGATATTCCACATAAGATAATTTTTCAGAACTTCAATTACAACTGCAATACAAATCCAACTCAGTCTGCAGTGGCAAATTTGGACATAGTAAGATACCAGGCCTTGGCTTGTCTTTGGTCTTTATTTGTTAAGAGTTTTCTGTCTTATTTCACAATGTAAAGCTGTTACTGCTTGCTGCTGTCAGCTCTGCACTAGATGCTGGTATAGTCACTGGACTAGATGGTGGAGTTTCTTGCTCTATGGGACACACTGTTAGCCTCATCTCTGTAATTACTGTGAACTAGAAAATCAAATGGGCTGGGTGTGGTGGCTCACACCTGTAATCCCACCACTTTGGGAGGCCAAGGTGGGAGGATCACCTGAGCCCAGGAAATCGAGAGCAGCCTGGGCAACACAGCGAAACCTTGTCTCTATTAAAAATAATAAATATCGGAATGCTGTGACAGGAAAATTGCTGGAACCCAGGAGGCGGAGGCTGCAGTGAGCCAAGATCACACCACTGCACTCCAGCCTGGCGACAGAATGAGACTCCGTCTCAAAAAAATTAAAATAAAATAATAAAATATAAAATAATAAATAAATAGGCAGGGCATGGTGGCTCACGCCTGTAATCACAGCACTTCGGGAAGCCGAGCAGGTGGATCACCTGAAGTTAGGAGTTTGAGACCAGCCTGGCTAACATGGTGAAACCCTGTCTCTACTAAAAATACAAAAATTAGCTGGGCATGGTGGTGCATGCCTGTAATTCCAGCTACTCAGGAGGCTGAGGCAGGAGAATCACTTGAACCTGGAAGGTGGAGGTTGCAGTGAGCTGAGATCATGCCACTGCACTCCAGCCTGGGTGACAGAGTGAGACTCTGTCCCCCCTGCCCAAAAATAAGTAAAAAATAAATAAATAGAAATAAAATAAAATGACTAAGATTCCTAAAAAGGTGTCTGAGAGATAAAGCTGAGTTCATTCTCGAGTGCATACATTGCACTGGACTTCACACGTGGGCTTCGGAAGAAACCTGTCTGCAATCATGCTGACCAGGAGGAAGCCGGCCCTGCTGACCCTGTCCATCTATCTGCCTGTCAACACCTGGGAGCTCTTGCCCACTCATACACACATCCCACCAACACTCAGAAGGCCTGACACACCCTAACAAGCCCCTGGACCTGGTTGCTCACACCCTCCTTGACCGATTCCCCAGGCCACAATCGCCTGGCTTCCCCAAAAGGCCTGCCTCTTTTAATCCTCTATTTGCTCCTCCAAAACCCATCTTGTCACAACGTCTTGGCTGTGCAGGAGCCTCTGGTAGTCACTTTCTGGTTTTTACCAGCCATGTTTAGGAATAAAGGAAAGTCCTGGGCAAGTGACTTTAAATAAGTACCTGACTGTTTAAATGGTTCTGGAACCAAACCATCGGTTTGTTTTGTTCTCAAGTGCTCATCACAATGAACATTCTGATGGTCTCTTTGAAGGCTACGATGCTAGCAGAGTAGGCATCAGCCATTCCAAATGCATAGCTGACTCATTGGATCACAACTCCCAAGCTGTTTCCTCACGCAGAAGCACCACACTGAATTTAATGGTCCAATAAAGAGATGTGTTAAGGATATGAGGTTGGGGAGAATATAACTTAGTTTGCACACTGTACACGTGCAGCCTATGCCTCTGGTTTAAAAGTAAAATTAAAGTTTTACAGTGACCTGTTTATGTAGTTTGGACAAGGCCGATCAACTCCATGAGGGCGGGGCCACATCTCCTCTGTCCACTGTTGTATCTACTGCTCCCCATGGCACCAGGTACCTACAGGCACTCAACAAATGTGTGTTGAAATAGATGTCTAATTCAAGGTTAAGAGCCATTCTGGGGCATCAGCTACCTATCAATCCTCCTCAAAGAAACCAGAAAGTTGCTACATCTGACTTCCACTTCAGAGTTGGCTGATACCCACGCCATACTTGTGTATATAGGGACACACGTCTGCCAAATTCTGACAACTCCTGTCTCCTTTCTAAATGGTTCAAATTTCATGTGTTGTTGTATGACTCGTGATTACTGTATTGTATTCATCTGATTTCACTAGTTAAAAGTGTGATGACCATACAATGTATTGTGCATGGAAGAGTGACAGGCATGCTAGAGTGACAGGCATGCTAGAGTGAGGCAACCTGGGACATTCAGTCATGCTAATTTTAAGTAATGTGATAAAGAATCTCTGCTTGACCAAAGTGAATTTTACCTACTTATCTTGGGCCTTAAATAAGAATAGATAAATTTTGAGTAAAAGTTCAACATAACAAAGGCACAGGAGTGACCCTGTTCTATTTCAGGTTATACCATCAGAGGCACAAATGCTAATGGGAGGAAGGCTGGCAGATTCCAAAGGCACCACTAAGAGATTGCTTAAAGATAAAACAATTTACCTTCATTGGAAGCAGAAAATGTGGGTTGGAGAATTACAAGATTTTTTCCATATAACTTTAAACTTTTCTCAGTAACCAGGCAAGATTCTCGAGCCAGAATCTTTTAGCCAAAAATGTCTCTGTACAGTACCCTCATGGAAGTCAAATTAACAGGAAAATAAAAAGCCAGGACAACCGGACTCAACACTGTTAGTTACTGTAAAAAAAACTTCTATACCCATGCAACAAACCTGCGCATGTACCCCATGAACCTAAAAGTTGAAATTTTAAATGGTAATAACAGACACTCAATAAATAGTTATTAAACAAACTACTGAGTATAAACACATTTTCCAAAATGCTTTGCTGTTTATATTCAGTGGGTCTATTCTTTGAGACACTTTGCTCTGTAGATATAACTCTTACTGTAGGGGAACATATTCTAGTAAAATTCACTATACCTCAAATTTTATTTTATTTTTTTCTCACTGATTTCAATTATAAAAGTGGGATTTCCCCTATTGGAAAAATACAGTGGAAGAAGATGACTCTGCCAAAATCTCTCTCTAATATTGAGTTGGATGTAAAGTTTTATTATGTCATTTTATGGAAACAGGATCTCACTATGTTGCCCACGCTGCTCTCAAAACTCCTGGCCTCAATCTATCTTCTTACCTAGGCCTCCTAAAGGGCTGAGATTACAAACGTGAGACACTGTGCCTGGCCCCACTGAAATATTTCAGAATCTCAAATTTTCTATTCCTACATTTCTTAAGGAGGACATGTAAAGTGAAAAGAAATACCTTTTTATTTCCCTTTTAAATTATAAGGAATATGAACACTCCCACCAGGCCATTTAATTTCAGTTCAACAATATTCACTGAGAGCTAGGCATGGTCAGGCATTTTGCTAAGCACTGGGGATATCAAGTTGCTACCAGCAATATCTAAAAATTAGCTCATGGATATACACAGCCAAACTGGCAAAACTGGCTTCATAGGTTCCCAAATTGATAAAGGACTCCACAATAATTAGTGCAAAAAAATGATCTAGCAAAGCAACAGCAAATACCTCTGACCATGACAACAGTTTCAAACCTTAAGGCAAAATTATTTATACATGCATGGAATTCCTTCACTTGCTCTGCCGTCGTTAATTTGCAAACTTTCTCTCCTGATCATTCTCCAATGAATTATTTATTATTATTATTACTACTATTACTTAACGTAATTCTACTTAAGAACCTACATATAAATGGGTTCTGCAAAAATGGTACCAAACATGTATATTTAATTTCCTAGATTTCACAATTTATCTACTTCAAATTTACAGCTGTCACTTTATATTTTGAGTTTCTATTGGAGAATTGTATTGAACTGCATTGGAATATTTCTCAGGCATCTTACCAAAATGTTATCAAAAGATACTAAACAATATTGGATCCTTTTGTCCTTGCTCGTTCATTTTATTCCTTGTTTAAAAGATACTGAATGCAAATGCTTTCAACTGAAAAAATTTTAAAAGATATGGTTTTCTTATATATTTAAATTGGCTACTAAACCCCAAATGCCAGATTTTGAAAGCAATTTCCCAAATGTCACATGCAGCTGTCAAGTGTAGATTTAAAAATGAAAAAGATGACAAAGACAAAGCCTTGCAGGACACAGAGCACACAGGAGCTCTCAGGAGCTTTGAACTTGGTCCAAGAGACACAATTATTTGGGGAGAAGAGGGCTCACATGGTGAAAGCTGGTCAAGGTACACATGAGTTTTAACATGAGTTTTAGTTGCACTAAAAATCTCTCTAGAAATTCAATACAGCTGAAATCTAAGCTATAATCACTAGGAAAACTAAAAATGTTCCAGACTGAAAAAGCTTACTGGGTAGACACTGGCCATACAAATGAGTAGAACATTACATTCTTTTAGTTTGTCAAACTTAAATCGATGATCTTGAATACAAATAGATTCTGTGTTTTATAGTCAACCAACTGTCCCCTTTTTTAAAATCTTCAAGAACACGGCAGAAGTGAAATCAGATGGAGAAGTTGGTTACATGTCAGTGAGCTGAAAGAACATAAAAATAGCTTTAAACATAATTTGGTTGATAAAATATTTTTCAACAAGGATTTCCATTCTTTAATTTGATATAACTCATTACAAAATCTGTGTATAGTCAATAGATAAATGCTGGATCCAGACCCACATAGGATTTTGTACGTCCCTACATACTTTTCCAGGTTATTAAGAATGCATCTCATGCTGAAATCTACAGGCTTCATTAGCAAGATGAAGTATTATTTTAGGCAAAGTGAAATAACTCAAAATCTGAAAAGACAAATGGCAGAGCCTGGGATCTGAACACACAGTCTGGTTATGAAGAGAAATTCACATCACAGATCATGAAGAAAAAGGACACAAGCCCTCAATGAATTTCCATCATAGGGTCAGCTACAAACTCTCTTAATCCAAACCATGTAGAACGGATGTTAAGAACACAGGAGTTGCCATCAGACACTCCTCAGTTAGAACCCACCTTTTGCCCAAATTAGCTGTGTAACTTGGGCTAAACTGGTTGTTTCCTCATCTGTGAAGTGAAATAATAGTGCCTATTCTCATGTGGTTGTTATAAGGATAAATTAATTTACGTAAAGCATCCAGTATAGCAAGTACTCAATACGTAGAAATTATTACAATTATTATACAATATCACTGACACCACCACAATGATCAGTAACGCCTTCAAACCTTTTGTAGCCACACTCCACAGTACTGGGATGAGGAGAAAGAGAGCAAGCCGCCACTTGTAGATATCTAGAAAAGTCCAGCGAGGCCCAGGGCACAGGTGAAATCCATAAACATTCTAGGACATTGAGCCATCAGTCCGTGTCCTGGCTCTGCTGTGATTTTAGGTTTCTAATTGGGATGCAAGATAAAATACAGGATGCCCGGTTAAGATGAAATTTCAGACATATTTATATTTAAAAAATTATTCATTATTTATCTGAAATTCAGAAGTAACTGGGTGTCCTGTATTTTCATTTGTGAAGCCTGGCAACTCAATCTCTAATGCCCCTTTTCTCTCGCTCATTCACTTAAAAAGAACCCGAGGGAATTCTGTTTTATCTTCAACTCCCTGACACTGAGAATGTGATTTCTAGCAACAAAACAAACAGCACCATTCATTTGCAAAAGCTGTATTAAGTTTCCCCAAATTTCCAAGGAATTTTTGCCCTATCATGTCATTTGATGCTTACTGTAAACACCTATCTTCACTCCTGCTTTATAGATGAAACCATGCAGAGAGGCGAGCTGTCATCATTTCACAACTGTTGCTAACCTAAGTCCCCTACAATCATTTGCCACATTATCAGATTCCACATATCTTCCCTCAACCATGACGATTTTAAAAAGCTTTATTTTGCATTATGAAACAAAGCACGTTAAATGTGCTTTTCAAATTCCCTCCTCTTCTCCCCAATTTGACATACTGAGTTCTTATTCATGGGCTGGAAAATCTTTCACTGCCTTCTGGCTCTAATTTTCTTTGATCTATGACCCACAAAGTTGCTAAATCCCAAGGCCAATTCATTCAAGAATCTCCGACAGACTTTGTGCCTCCAGACTCAGCCTCACAGCCTGCTATTATTTGCCCTTCCTCTTGCAAGACAAACTCTAATAAAAGAATGTGAAGGTTCCACAGAGCTTGGAGCCTCTCACTACAACCATGTTGCTCATCACCTGCAGCACACGACTGCATTCAGCATCACACTCAGGGGTATCCACGGCTGCATTCAGCATCATGCTCAAGGGTATCCAGGGCTGCGGGGAGCTGCTTCAGTTCATTTACCTCCAAGTCACCTCCCTCCCTAGCATGAGCCACTTCTTCGAGGGCAATCTTGGCTTCTCTCAGCACAAGGCGCCCTCCTTTTCCTCCACAGAGACTTGTCTCTACCTCTGCCTCTTCCAGCACAGTAAAAAGAGCACATGAACTCTTGAGTAGTAACACCCTCAAATAATATCCCTACACAAATATGTTCACCCAGTCCTTGCTACTGGTTTATTTCTTGAATGGCTACTTTTTTTCCCTCCTTACTTTTCTACATGTTTATGCACAACAATGCTATCTGGTTTTCTTCCTTTCTTTCTTTTTTGAGACACAGTCTCACTTTGTCACCCAGGCTGGAATGCAGTGATGCAACCTCGGCTCACTGCAACCTCCACCTCCCAGGTTGAAGCGATTCTTGTGCCTCAGCTTCCCAAGTAGCTGGGATCACAGGCATGTGCCACCATGCCCCGCTAATTTTTGTATTTTTAGTAGAGACAGGGTTTTGCTATGTTGGCCAGGTTGGTCTCAAACTCCTGGTCTCAGGTGATCTGCTCGCCTCAGTTTCCCAAAGTGCTGGGATCACAGGCATATGCCACCATGCCCCGCTAATTTTTGTATTTTTAATAGAGACAGGGTTTTGCTATGTTGGCCAGGTTGGTCTCAAACTCCTGGTCTCAGGTGATCCGCCCGCCTCAGTTTCCCAAAGTGCTGGGATTACAGGCATGAGCCACGGTGCCTGGACAGAAAATTAGAACCATGTTTCTACCTGGTTTTGGACCAGTTATTTTGCTTATTTTTCTTAGAGATGGGGTCTTGCTCTGTCACTGGGCTGGAGTGCAGTGGGGCAATCATAGCTCACTGCAGCCTCAAACTCTTGAGCTCCAGAGATCCTCCCATCTCAGCCAACTGAGTAGCTGGAACTACAGGTGTGCACCACCATGCCCAACTAATTTTTATATGTATTTTTAAAAGATGGGGTCTTGCTATGTTACCCACATTGGTCTTGGACTCCTGGCTTCAAGCGATCTTCCTGCCTTGGCCTCCCAAAATGCTGGAATAACATGCATGAGCTACTGCGCCCAGCTGCTGTCTGGTTTTGAATAAATAATGCAAGACGGCAAAGGCGTGGCTTTCATTAGTTTTATCCCATATCCAGCCCATTAGCAATACACACATATTGTGAAATGTATGCTTTCCTGAAATTCAAGTACTGCTAAAAAGAGAGGGAGACTTTTAAATCTAAAGCTTCCCTCCCCAATTCCATTTCCATATATCTTCTAGGATACTCAAATCTTAAGAATGAATATTAACAACAAGAAGGGTCTGATACTCCTAAAGTCTGTAGTCTTCATTTTTCTCTAGAATCTAGATCATGAAAAAAAAATAGTTACCATGTATTAAAATGCTTACCATGTGCCAGTTCTATTCTAAGTATCATCACACTATTATGTGATGTTATAACCTTCTGAAACAGATGTAAAACTGAGGCACAGGGCAACTGAGTAACTTGCCTGATGCTGTAAGACCAGGGACAGACAGAAATTAGGCTCCAAAGATACGCTCTTTACCCATACAGCATCCAAATGCCCTAAATTAAAATGCTGTAGCTAAAATTTTACATGTGGAACAGGTCTGGGCAGAAGGAAGGGGATGTTCGCGTAAAATAAAAAAGGTAAGGTAAAATCATTCTTTCTCCCTTTGACCTTGCATATGATCCTTTCTGATCAAGGCTGGGGAGGTGATAAAGGCTCTGGTGGTTAAGGAGATGATGTTCCAAAATGCAGAAAGGGGTACTGGGACCCAAAATAGAGGGGGAATTGAAAGACAATTTCTGGCTTTCTCAGCCTTTTTCCTGAGACCACTCCTGTTTCACATGACTCTGCTAGTTAAGGAGGTAAGAATGTATCTGTAATCTGAACCAGGGCACCTGCTGCTGATAGACTCCTACTGCCTACAAGAGAAACTGCAAGCTCTTAGCTGGGCAGTGAGGGCCCCTCACAACCGGAGGGGCCAAGCAGAGCTACTCCCTGCCCTCCATTCACTCCATACCCTTTCATGCCTTCCAGTAACCCCTGCAAATGCACTTCACTTCCAGCAAGCTGCAGGACGCCCGTCAAGTGCCAATTTCTCTAATCGCCTTCCCTACTCCACCCCTTTCCACGGTTCATGGATGCATTTCCACAGCACGCTGCCACATCTCTGCCATGGCGCCAATCACTCTGTCCAGTAATTACCTTCCTGACTGCATTGTGGATTCCTCAAGGGCAGAGACCTTGCTTTCTTTTAGCGTGTGCCTGGTGCCTATGTGTTTGCTGAATAAATGAATGCATTCAGTGTAGGGATGATACATTCATTCAAGTCTTAATCAGGTTAAAAGTTTAGAATTTTAAAATGATACAGAGTATTTTCCAAGCTTAGAGCTTCCATATACCCAGAAGAAATGCCAGTCATCCCCAAGCATAAATTTAAGAAATTAATTTTTGCCTTCAAATACTTCTATTAATATGCAATAAAATTACTGTATTATTTAAGCATTTTAAAGAAGGAAAATATTGAGTAAAAATATTCCAGCCGGGCATAGTGGCTCAAACCTGTAATCCCACCATTTTGGGAGGACGAAGCAGGTGGATCACTTGAGGTCAGGAGTTCGAGACCAGCCTGGCCAACATGGCAAAACCCCAACTCTACTAAAAATACAAAAACTAGCCAGGAGTGGTGGTGCATGCCTGTAATCCCAGCTACTCGGGAGGCAGAGGCAGGAGAATCACTTGAACCCGGGAGGTGGAGGTTGCAGTGAGCCAAGATCATGCCACTGCACTCCTCCCTGGGCGACAGAGAAAGACCCTGTCTAAAACAATAACAACAATAAAAAACCTTAATATTCCAAAAGTTACAAGAGTTTATCATAGTGGAAAAAAGTTACTGAAAAGTGACCTAAATAGTGTTCTATTTCCTGAGCCTCCATAAACAAATTATTTGCAAAATATATCTCAATACAATGTCACTCTGTTAACTAAAATAAGTTCTCTCCAATAGTCTTAGTTATTAAACTTATAAAATACCTGGAAAGCAGTGAAAAGTAATTATTCTTTTTTTTGTGGGGGATGGAGTCTCACTCTGTAGCCCAGGCTGGAGTGCAGTGGCACGATCTCGGCTCACTGTAACCTCCGCTACCCGGGTTCAAGCGATTCTCTTGCCTCAGCGTCCAGAGTACCTGGGATTACAGGCGCGTGCCACCACGCCTGGCTAATTTTTTGTATTTTTAGTAGAGACGGGGGTTTCACCGTGTTGGTCAGGCTGGTTTCAAACTCCAGAGCTCAGGCAATCTACCCACCTCGGCCTCCCAAAGTGCTGGGATTACAGGTGTGAGCCACCTGCCCAGCCGATTTTTTTTTATCTTGTAAAAAAACCAACCTGTAACTTAGATTTATAAAACAGGTGGTGATGCCATATATTCCAGGAGAAGTTCCTTCTGTCTCCTAGCCATTAGACCACCTGGATTATTGGACATAATTCAGCATTCTGGACTCACTACACATAACAGACCCTAATATAGCTGGGGGAAACATACAAAAAAGAGGCCTACTTCTGTCTTTGATAGCTGATTTATAGAAGTTAAAATACAATCATGTTTAAGAAATAGCTGGTATCATATTGTACTACGGAATGTTTTATTCCAGGCTGTTTCACCTTTGTGTGTGTGTGTTTTGGGGTGGGGGGGAGGTGGTGAGAGGGAGTATTCACACATGTGACTCATTTAAAAATCTGAGCACAGGCCGGGTGTGGTGGCTCATGCCTGTAATCCCAGTACTTTGAGAGGCCGAGGCAGGTGGATCACCTGAGGTTAGGAGTTTGAGACCAGCCTGGCCAACATGACAAAACCCCATCTCTACTAAAAATACAAAAATTAGCCGGGCATGGTGGCACATGCCTGAATCCCAGCTACTCGGGAGGCTGAGACAGAATTGTTTGAAGCCAGGAGGCGGAGGCTGCAGTAAGCCGAGATCGCGCCACTGCACTCCAGCTGGGCAACAGAGCAAGACTCCATCTTTAAAAAAATAAAAAAATCTGAGCACGGATTTTTGGGTATTATGGTAATACGGCATATAATTTCAAGGAATACCATGGTCAACCTTATTAACACCCTTGGCCTAAGAAATATATGGCTCTTAAGTTAATCAGAAAGTTGGTGTAGTTCATGGCCTTCCATCTAGTCTAGGGAAACCTGACCATCCCTAAAGAAAGGCCAGATGTTTATGAGACATCACATTTGGGTAATTTTTCTGCCAGTTCACCTACCTATAATAGATGATAGCAAGTTGGAACCAAAATGTCTCACTACAGTTGGTTTATCCCACCTACATAGAGGCAGTGACTATGTAGATAATTGCTTAGGGATACGGGGTTTAAAAGTATATAGTGAACATAAAAATTTTAGCTAGTATCAGTCTCACCTTTCAAGACCAAATTTATACCTACAAAAATGTGTCTATATATTTCTGTGCCAGATATTGGTTTCCCTCACTACGAATTGGTATGTGGGTAATAAACTTTGATTACATAGAATTTGAAAGTTAAGCCAGGCATGGTGGCTCACGCCTGTAATCCTAGCACTCTGGGAGGCAGGGGCGGGCGGACTGTCTGAGCTCAGGAGTTCGAGACCAGCCTGGGCAACATGGCGAAGCCCTGTCTCTACTAAAAAAATACAAAAAAATTAGCCAGGCACGGTGGCGCACGGCTGTAGTCCCAGCTACTCAGGAGGATGAGGCACAATAATCGCTTGAACCTGGGAGGCGGAGGTTGTAAGCTGGAGCGCACTGCACTCCAGCTTGGGTGACAGAGCAAGACTCTGTCCCCCCACCACCCCCACCAAAAAAAAAAAAAAAAAGAAAGTTAATAAAGTTAATAGAGAGTCCAAATACGAATAATCAAATTACTGCTTTAAAATTTTTAATGGGTCTGTTGAAGACAAATGCACAAATGCCTTATAAATGACCTAACAGATTTCTAATGTGAAAAAATACTATAAAAATTGGAATGCTATAGAGAAATACTGAAAAAAATACTGTATTTTGTGACTTTCACTGAAACTAGGACATTTAATTGCAAAAAAAGCATCAATATGAGTCACTAAAAACAGCAACTAAAAATGTGATTATGTACTCCACAGAAAAAATTCCAGATTTAAAAAAAAAACTCATTGTACAAGAATGAGCACAGGAAGAGCTTTAAATAAAAAAAAGTAGAGAAAATTTAAATCATTAAAGATTCTATACACATCTGGTTCCTTGACATAGATGTTATTCATTAAGAGTTAGTGAAAACACAGAATATACTCTGTTTTGATCCTCAGAGAGCAGTCAATAGAGTGAGGTTTAAGAATTCAGCTACCATATCCCAGCATGAGTTCTATTTAGGAAAAAAATGGGTATGCAATTATAGCAGATTGAGTATTTACTACATTCTATGTACTATTCTAAGTACTTTACCTATATAACTCAATGACTGCATACCACAATGCTATGAGGCAGGTACTAGTATCAAGCCCATTTTACAGATGTCGAAACAGGTGCAGAAAGGATAACTATAAGATAACCTCATGACTACTAAGTGGCAGAGTCATAACTCAAATCCAGGCACTCTCTCCAGGACCCATGTTGCTAACCACTGCAATGTGCCCTCTGCACTGAAGATGAGAGTGTTAGAGCTGAAGGGAACCATGAAAGCACCTACATTGTATTCTCCTTCTGTAAACTGAGGCCCAATCACATTGGTCTATGATTCCCCGCTGCTTGCTCCATTCACGACATTCCTTTATCACCTTTTACAGCCACCTTCACAGGAACTTGGGTCATTGCACAAGGCTGATTGGAGATTTACACATTTGTTTTGACTATCTGGTAAGGGCACCATTGCAGTTTTATAACAAACCAGCATTTTGTTCAGTTCTCACATACTCCTCTGTTATCAGAAACCTCTGTGGCGATAATCATATAAAACAATATTCTACGAATATTTTGTTGGACACTCAGAGAATCAAACACTATGTAGCATGGACACTATAATACTGTAAACGTCTAAACAGTTTTAATAAGTAAAATCTCATTCTTAAATGGACGACAGTACTGAAAAGAATACCTTTGAAACAATTTTGGATTTGCAAATTAAATGTTAAGAATAGATGAAAAAGTCTCCAACCCCATCTCAGATGCTGAATCTGATGAATGTTAAAGTTCTTTCAAACTCTGAAACTGAGAGTTTGAATGGCTGCTTCTGTGAAATCATAGTTTCTGGTGCTTTGGCTGATTCACCTAAGTATACTATGAGACAGTGTGCCGGGGCTCTACTTAACCTCATCAGAATACGCTTCCATTATGTGGACAGACAGTAACAGGTGACTCTCAGGTGATAGATAACAGGCAAGTGATTTTGTTAAGAGGTGAGGTGGGAGTGGGGTGGGAATTTGGTTACGTTCCCAGAAATATCAATGATTGTTATTAGTTATAACATTCTAGGATAACTAGCTCATGTTATTAGTTATAACATTCTAGGATAACTAGCTCATCCCTAGAAGCAAGCACTGGGTTTCCTTTTATAGGTGCACAGTGACCTCTACTGGTACAAGTATAGAATCCCGAAGTGCAATTTGCTCCGTAAGTGATTTTCGGAGGCACAACTAAGAATATTTATTCTTTGAAAAGGACACCAAAAAGAAAAGATACAATTTTAAAAATACTTACTTTTTGAAACCTTTTATAATTTTCAATTAATGAGATCTCCTCCTCTACCAGAATTAGACATTTCAATTAAAGTTGTCCATACACATAATATCACAGAATGCAAAGAACTAAACAGTACTTTAATTTAAAAATCCTGCTGCTAAGTGTTATGGTGTCAAAAGTGCTATAAAATATAATTATTTTGGAATAACTCCAATTTACCCAAAAAGTACCAAAGACACCAATTATAGAAGAATTATAGCGTATATTTAAAATTTGCAAAATGCTTTGAAACTTTGCATTGTTGAATGCTAAGTAGCTCACCTTCCCACAGATATTTTGCTTCCTTGATTTTAAAACAATTAAAGTATTGGTTTTCTCTCTTAAATCCCAAAGGCTATCAGAAATAAACTGTAGGTAGGTTTATTACATTTAAAGAAACTTCCAATAGGCAAGTTTTACCTGCATGTGAAACAATGCCAAGTGAGATGCTGACGTCAAAGACAGCCTCCATATATGTCATTATTTGTCATGCACATCAAAATACTGTACAAGAGTTCAAAGGAAAATCAGTTTTTAAAAACCCATGGCAATATTTTTAATTATTGTAGGCTGAAATTATTTCCTTCAAACTGTATTTCCGTAACTTTCCACTGCAGAAAATGAAGTAGAAAAGAATTTAAAATGATACTTTTCAGTGATGAACACTCAAACCAAATTTCATTCCAAGAGCGGGAGAATACAGCATCCTTAATCTTGCCCATTTTGTTTGTTTTAACAAAGTATAATAAAAATAGCTGTGAACTAGTGAGTTAGCCAGTTTTTGCCCAGAATACATGTAACAGAGTTCCTTTTCAAGAAATTATTCATTGCTTAGTAAGAGTAATGAATTGGGAAAAATGAAGACATTTTTATTTAACTTTGATAACTAGGACTTGCATATGTGTATGGCACATCTCACTATTTCTGTTTATTAATTAATCAGCCCATATTTGCTGTACTACATGCAAGGCACTGCTGGGGATACAAGGGTGACAAGGCATAGTCCTTGCTCCTAAGGAACCAGCACTTAGGGAAAATATGACTGCTATACAAGTAACTATAAGAACATATTTTATTTCATTATTTTATTTTGAGATGGAGTCTTGCTCTGGCACCCAGGCAGGAGGGCAGTGGCGCGATCTCGGCTCACCGCAACCTCTGCCTCCCAGGTTCAAGCGATTCTCGTACCTCAGCCTCCCGGGTAGCTGGGATTACAGGCGTGCACCATCATGCCCAGCTAATTTTTGTATTTTTAGTAGAGACAGGGTTTCGCCACGTTGGCCAGGCTGGTCTCGAACTCCTGACCTCAGGTGATCTGCCCACCTTGGCCTCCCAAAGTGCTGGGATTACAGGCATAAGCCACCGCGCCCAGCCTATAAGGACATATTTTAAATAATTCGCCCTTAAAAGATGGAGTTTTTACTAAAAAATGATCTAAACTTTTCATACAACTCCCTACTGCCTCCCTCCCCTACCCCTGCCCCACATAATAATATCTGTAGCCACCTTGTGGGGCCCTGCTTCTGCAGACCTGTAAATGTCTTCTCTTTCCTTTCATATTTTGGGCATCAGATGGGGAAAATTATGCTTCTGGCTCAAGGAATATCCGTATTAACCACTGTTAAAGCAATTGCTGGGCCAGGCATAGTGGCTCATGTCTGTAATCTCAGCAATTTGGGAGGCCAAGGTGGGAGGATCGCCTGGGCCCAGGAGTTTGAGACCAGCCCAGGCAATATAGCAGGACCTCCCCTCTACAAATAATTTTTAAAATCAGCTGGGTATGGTGGTTCCTTTCTGTGGTCCCAGCTACTCAGGAGGCTGAGGCAAGAGAATTGCGTGAGCTCAGGCAGTCAAAGCTGCAGTGAGCTGAGATCATGCCACTGCACTCCAGACCCTGTCTCAACCCCCTACCCCGGCCCCGCCAAAAAAAACAACCCACAATTGCCACCACACAACTCCTACTCAAATAATCATATCAGTAAAATATGTCCTAGGATCACATAGTGAATAGACACATACTAACAGCTTTCAGTAGTGAAAGGTGAAGAGAAAGAGTGAAGCCTCATGGTGAATCCATCAGGGCCTGGCCTCTGTTTTGTACTCTCTACTCTCAGCCTACAGGATAATGCTTTACTCACATAAGGATAACACAGGACACTACAAAAGCAATTTTCTAAAAGTTAACTCTAATTCCCTGAAAACATTCATGGGTTTTAAAATTATAAACATTAAATCACAGCCGGGCATGGTGGCTCACACCTGTAATCCCAGCACTTTGGGAGGCCGAGGTGGGTGGATCACTTGAGGTCAGGAGTTCGAGACCAGCCTGGCCAACATGGCAAAACCCCCTCTCTACTAAAAACACAAAATTAGCCAGGTGTGATGGTGGGCACCTGTAATCCCAGCTACCTGAGAAGCTGAGGCAGGAGAATTGCTTGAACCCAGGAGACAGAGGTTGCAGTGAGCCAAGATTACGCCACTGCAATCCAGCCTGGTTGACAAGAGTAAAACTCTATCTCAAAACAAAACAAAACATTACATCAAGAAATTCCATGTGACTACTGAATCCCTGAGAGTGCTCTAAAATAACATGTCTAAGAAAAGAAAAACATCCTTCCAAACTCTGTCAAGACTGGGTAGAACAGAGAGAACAGGAAACAGCTGAAATGCTCCTCAGTAGAGGACTGGAGCACCATGGGAAACTGCAGATACTGGGTACAACAGAAAAACAGGAAACGTGTTTCTCAGGAGAAAATTGGTTAACTAGGGCCAGGCACGGTGGCTCACACCTGTAATCCCAGTACTTTGGGAGGCCGAGGTGGGCGGATGACCTGAGGTCAGGAGTTCGAGACCAGCATGGCCAACATGGTGAAACCCCATCTCTACTAAAAAAAAAAAAAAAAATACAAAAATTAGCCGGGCATGGTGTCAGGCGCCTGTAATCCCAGCTACTCGGGAGGTTGACGCAGAAGAATCGCATGAACCTGGGAGGCAGAGGTTGCAGTGAGCCGAGATCACGCCATTGCACTCTAGCCTGGGAGACAAGAGCAAGGCTTCATCTCAAAAAAAAAAAAAAAGAAAGAAAATTGGTTAAGTAAATTATGGTTAAGCAAATAGCAGAATATTATGCAGGCATTACAAATGATGTGCAGCTTATATGCTTGGGAAGCATCTAGAAGAACACATGAGGAACTAATAATGGTTGCCTCTGCAGAAGAAGAATTAGGCTGGCTGGCTAATTATGAATTTTTTACTTCATCTCCTTTGTTATTGGTTGAATAAGTTATGATAAACATGTATTATTTTAAAATAAAACAGACAAAAATGTGAAATAAGCACCATTTTGAATGACAAGAAGAAAAAGGAAAAACGACTGTGCTGTAGATGGTAGAAAGAAAACAGGTATTAGGAGATCAGCGTGAGAGATGTTCACGACAAAAGAATAGGACAGAGTACCGAACTTTTAAAATTTTTGGTCAGATGAACAATCTGATAAACTCATTTGTCAAAACAAACTAATATTAATTTGAAAAAATAAAAAATCACTGAATTGAGTAAAGTGACAGCATTTCTGAAAGGAAATAAACCTTTACATGAAAAGTCACTCAGTGTGAGAATGTTAAAATTTTTATATTTTCTATTTCCACAGCTATCCTCACATATTTTCTTGTCTGCTTTAAACAAGGTATCACCCCAAACAGTGTTAACCACTCCAGGAATTAGCAGTGAACAAAACTACATTGTCGTTCACCCATGGAAGCTTTTGTTGCACAAATTTCAAAAGCCTTGTCAAAGGCAGAAACCAGTTAGCACAAAGAATTGATGTCACAGGATAAACAATTTGTACAAATCCTCAAGATACTCGAATGACAAGTTCTGTGCTTAGGACAACATTCTCCATGAGGACAAAGAAGGCAGTAAAACAGTTTCAAGAACCACCACAATTCAAACATGTAACACTGCTTTTAAATGCTGATCAAATGTTAAGGCTCCAAAATGCTATAATTAAGAGATTCGTTTTTTTCCTTTATTTTTTGAAAGCATTGTTTAAAAAACAAGAAAAGTAACTATGTTATCCAATATGAAATTCCACAACATGAATTTTCAGCTTAGCAACTAGTCTAGGTAATGATTAACTGGAATAAGGCAATGACAGGAAGAAAACCCAAACCAGGTGGAGCTGTGGCTACAAACTACAGAATGCTCACCTGCCTAAGGGGGACACAGAAGGGAGAGTCTGGGACCGAAGAGCAAGAATTCCATGTGGACTTGGAGTTCCTGACCATTCAGCAGTCATTCATTTCAGTTAAAGGTAGACTTCGCTCTCGTGAAAATGTGCGTGTGAGTGAGAGTATATGAGGAACCTCAAGAAAGAGAGAAAGATAACTTTTTAAAAATTCCCTGGAAGATATTGGGGTAGGCTAATTTAAAAATCAATAAAAAGAAGCAGAAAAGAAAGCCAGGACAACGAAAACTCCACTTATTTTACAGTTTCCTCTGAGACTGGCAACACATTTTACAGATTACATTCCCAAAGTGTGTGTGTGTGTGTGTGTGTGTGTGTGTGTGTGTGTGTGTGCACGCATTCATGCATGTATGCAACTATGCATTTAAAGACTCAATTTTATCAGCAATGAGAATGATTTTACAATTTTGCTGTCTTTGTGGCTGTAACCTTTACTGAGTCAATTCTCTTATCCACTTTCAAAGACTTATCATCTTGGGAAACTGAAATAGTAATACTCCTAATCTTCTGGCAAAGCTAACCATCAAATGATCAGTAAAGAATTTGCCCCTCATGAGTATATAACAAAGTCAAATTCCTGCACTAGTTAAATTATCTGGCAATGGCAAAATTCTGTTGGTGATTACAAAATGAGAGAAATGTAATAACATTCCAAATAAGTCCTTTAAAATTAAAACTACAAGGAACTTTAAATTAACAATTAAGAGTATGCACCAAGGGAGATGCATCTAATACCACATAACTAATAAAATGAATTGACAGTCCTGAAGGTATGAGCGTTTATCCTTTAAAGGTGTCAAAATGTTTTATATTCAGCTAAAAGATTTCATGCTACTATGACCAAATTTAATGGAGACATCTTCATTTCTGAAGCAGAGCATCTATAGCAGAGTCTCCAGATGCTCTATTTCAATAAAAGCACAATGCAATCTAACAGCAGATTTGAAAATCAAATGATTTCCAGAAAACCGGTAACCGGAAAAACTGAAAACTGATTTTTGCTATAGCTAATGAATTTTTTAATTTTTTCACTTGGTAGTAAAGCTGTGTCAGGAACATTTTGTCTTTTGGCAGCTAGTAGGAATTTCAAAATCCCGCTTTCTCCTTGGAAACGTATTGATTAGGTCTTTTTTTTTTAAGAGGGAGTTTCGCTCTTGTTGCCCAGGCTGGAGTGCAATGGCGTGATTTCGGATCACCGCAACCTCGCCTCCTGGTTCAAGTGATTCTCCTGCCTCAGATGGGATTACAGGCATGCACCATCATGCCCGCCTAATTTTGTATTTTTAGTAGAGACGGGGTTTCTCCATGTTGGTCAGGCTGGTCTCGAACTCCTGACCTCAGGTGATCCACCTGCCTCGGCCTCCCAAAGTGCTGGGATTATAGGCATGAGCCACTGCACCCGGTCTGATTAAGTCTTTTATGGCTGAGGCTGTACTTAACACCCACCTTGATGGGATCCAGTTAGTCACTTGTTTCTCATTTAAATATACAACTAAGTTGCAAACTACAAAGCTACACAGTCTACATCCAGCTAACTACACTATATATAGTTTGATGTATAATCAATGTACATTATGACGGAATCTTGAAATACTACTAGCTACAAAATGCTTTCTCCTTTCTTTGAAAAAGACTTGCATTTTTAAAGCCAGTGGAAAACAATCCAAATTAAAAATCAACACAACAGATATACAGAAAAAAAAGAGCTAGGCACAAATTTGCCTTGTTAAAATGCTTTTCTTAGAAAGATGATAGCTTGCACATTTCCAACTAATCCACCTGATGCACAGAGCATTACTGCTGCCTCTGTCTCTTCTTGAACAAACACAGGCCTTGGGCTTTACAGACTAATTCAAATGTGTATAAATCAATTGCTTCCTTCCTGCTGTTGCTCTTTTCAGATAGCAGACAAGAGGCTCTAGTTTAAGGATGGCAGTCAGGATGGACACATTAGAAAGAAACATTTTAGTTTCAATGTTACCATAAAACCAGAACGAAAAGCAGCATGCTGTATTATATTTTACAATTTAGGTTCCATTTCTAACTCCACCTAAAATGAATATGAACAAACTCATTTTTAAGTGTTTGTCAGTCAAATACAATAATAGTCTAAGTTTATTCACATATGTACCAACCAAAGCCCAATAAAGCTAAAAGGAAGCCAAGTGTAATAAAAAGGCAGCTATAAGGTCTTGTGTTTGAATTTTTACCCAGCAAGAAATAAATGATACTTAGTAATCCATCTTTCCCCCCCACTGCCATCCCTGCACACATCTAAAATAGGCTAACTTCACCTATTCTAACTTCTGAAATTGTTTTGGAATTCCTGTTTTAATTTTTTTTTTTTAAGACTGGATGGTTAAGTTACTAGAATTTTTAGATACAGGTTCGATGGTCATTATAATATACTCTAAGGAGGGGTCTAATTATTATAGGGGATTTCAAATTTGCAGTCCAACAGGCAGAGTAGAAATCATTCAATTCTAGAAATTGGTATCATTAGCATTCTTATAGAAGAAAAATTTAATGAGATTTGACAGATTAAACATATACACCACAGGCTGGGGTGCTATGTGAACAATATTCAACCCTTCAAAGGGGGAACCGTTTTACTAGGTAACAAGAATTGCTTGCACTGTGAGAAATAGTGCAAAACTAACCCAAAAACACCAGCAGATTATTTAACGTTCTTTTGGCTTCCACCTAATAAGATACCATAAATAATATGGTCTACTGGGAAATGTTCCATATAGAAATAACCTAATACATAAGAAATGAGAAGGTTCCTTGCTAGAGTAACTCTATAGAAAATTAGAATTCTTTCATCAGTGGGTCTCAAAATGTAGTATGCATATAAATTACCTGGATTGCTGGGTAAAGATGCAGGTTTCCTCCACCTACTCCCAAAGCTTTTAGCTCTATTAGGTCTTGGGAAGGGCTCAGCCTGAATTTTAAACAAATCCTTTGGGTATTCTAATACAGGTATCCATGGTCCACACATTGAGAAACACTGATCTTAAAGGTGTGAGACATCCTTTATAGCTGGCCTCTTCTGTAGGGTGATTCCACGGGGGCGGTGCGCTCTGTCCAAAAGTGTGAATTACCTGCCATTTCATCATTAACCTATAATGAAAATTTGACAAGGAAAGCTCTTGGTTTACAAAAGTCACTTATTAAAGTGAGAATTTGTGTTTTTTAAAAAAGAGATTATTCCCCAAATCACAAACTCACTGAATAACAGCTGATTGTCTAGAATCTATTATGATAGCTAAACAATCTACTATAATATTAGGGTCTATGGGGACAATGAAGAAAGACATGGGGGAAAACAGAGGGAAAAAAAAGGCAAAAGGCAATAATCTATTTATAATTCTGCCTAGACCCAGCCTTATGTGTCATATAAAAGTGTACACCCGGCCGGGCACAGAGGCTCACACCTGTAATCCCAGCACTTTGGGAGGCCGAGGTGGGCGGATCAATTGAGGTCAGGAGTTTGAGACCAGCCTGGCCAACATGGTGAAACCCCATCTCTACTCAAACTACAAAAAATTAGCAGAGTGTGGTGGCGGGCACCTGTAGTCCCAGCTACTTGGGAGGCTGAGGCAGGAGAATCGCTTGAGCCCAGGAGGCGGAGGTTGCAGTGAGCTGGGATTGCGCCACTGCACTGTGCCTCAAAGAAAAAAAAAGTGTATACCCCACACAAGGGCACTATGGAGCAAACCCATTAATGAGTCTCTCCAACCCCATTTTCGCACCATACACAAAACTACCAAATTAATCTCTCCTTAAACATCAATTCATTTTTCGGTTAGAGAACCTATACTAAGTACCCTGACTCCTCCTCTCGAAGTCTATGTGAACTATGAACTACTCTGCTTCTGACGCTGAAGATTCTGTATAACCCCATCTCACTTAATCAATCCAACCATAACATAAGTCTGTCACTTTCTCCTAAAGTGGATTTCCCAGCTCCAGTCAGATGGAGCTCACATTTCTTCAACTTTCGAGGGGCTGACTCTCAGGCTTTATACCTTTGCTCTAGTTTGTCTCCTAACTGATCAATATCCCTACATGGAAATACCTTTCACCCTGTCTCAGCCTTTAAGATAGTCCTTCGAGGCCAACCCCAAATCCCATTTCCGCCATAAATCTAGTCACTACTGCATTCTTTTCTCTTCATATGGAGCATTTCGCACCTTCACCAAGTACTGAAGCACTTGGCTATATTCAACCTTGCATTTTTTACACCATTCTTTAGTATCTTCCCCATCGCCCACCACCTTTCTAAGTTCCTTGAAGGCGGTAACACTTACAGAATTTCCTGGTATCTCCATCCCCACCCAATCTCTCACTCAAACAAAATGCTAGTGTAAAAAATTGGCTTGACAAATAGTTATCACAATTTATGCATTTAATTATCATCAAATTGCATCCCAATGAATACCTGTAAATTAATTAAACAAATATCTGAGCAACCATCATACATCAAGAGCCATTCATAGGCACTGGGGCTATCCTTAGTGAATTCTTTGTCCTCAACTGTCTTATGTAAGCCCTTAAAACAATTTGTCCTCAACTACCTTATGTAAGCCCTTAAAACAAAAACTATCTTTTTTCTGCTACTAGCATCACACGAAGATCTATAGCAGCTCTTTATTCCAGATTCTGCGAGTTAACCAGAGCATTTTCTACTCTATAAGTTACTGGCACCACTATGACAGCTGAGAAGCGAAGCTAAAACATCACTTTCCCCCAGACCAACAACACTGAGTGTTCTATTTTATCACACTAACAACATGAGATTAATTTAAGGTATGGAATTTACTTCCCGTGGGTGCCCTATTCAGTACCTAGTAGATACGTATATTAGATATCAGCTGTAATAATTTTCATTTTAAAAGCCACAAACTAAAGATACATATAAACTGCCATCATTAAAGATTTCTATCACTATGATTACCTTTTTCTGAAATAATAAAAAGGACAGGACAATACACAGAGAAAGAAGGCTTCTCAAGGATTAAAAGCTCTTACAAGACTTAGTATTTATTATTTTTAAAAATATGGTAAAATGTATACAACATATAATCTGCCATTTTAATGGCTTATATATTCATATTAAGAAAAGTATTGAAATAGTACTGTAATACTGACTAAAACATGGGATTCTTTCTTGCAAAAAACTCACTATGATTACCTGAATTTGGAAACTAGTGTTAGTAAATATCTTTTTTATATTCTACTGCTGAAAAAGTAATTAAAATATGCCA
Organism: Homo sapiens; assembly: GCF_000001405.40. Classification (NCBI taxonomy): domain Eukaryota; kingdom Metazoa; phylum Chordata; class Mammalia; order Primates; family Hominidae; genus Homo; species Homo sapiens. The sequence goes on along the minus strand of NC_000006.12, from coordinate 154,858,590 downwards.
TTAGTGGTTAAATTATTTGTATTTCAGGTAGTAAAATAAAATACAATACTAAATATTACACTTTCCAGTTTTTCTTTTCTTTTCTTTTTTTTTTTTTTTTTTTTTTTTTTTGAGACTGAGTCTTACTCTTGTTTCCCAGGCTGGAGTGCAATGATGCGATCTCAGGTCACCACAACCTCCGACTCCCGAGTTCAAGCGATTCTTCTGCCTCACTTTCCCGAGCAGCTGGGATTATAAGGCGCCCGCCACCATGCCCAGCTAATTTTTGTATCTGTAGTAGAAATGGGGTTTCATCATGATGGCCAGGCTGGTCTCGAACTCCTGACCTTAGGTGATCCACCTGCCTCGGCCTCCCAAACTGCTGGGATTACAGGCGTGAGCCACCCCGCCCAGCCTATACTTCCTAGTTTTTCTGCATTCTTTTCTTAAAATTCACAAATGGTTCCTAATAACTGTAGCCAAAAATCTTTATAAAGACAGCTTATTGAGACAGCCTGGCCAACATGGTGAAAGCCTGTCTCTATTAAAAATACAAAAATTAGCCGGGCACGGTGGCGCATGCCTGTAGTCCCAACTACTTGGGAGGCTGAGGCGGGAGGATCGTTTGAACCTGGGAGGCGGAGGTTGCAGTGAGCTGAGATTGCACCACCACACTCCAGCCTGGGTGACAGAATGAGACTCCGTCCCAAAAAAAAAAAAAAAAGCTTATTATGTAACAGGTACCTGCTAAGTACTTTACATGCATTACTGTTTTTCTTCTTAGTGAGGTATCAATTCGCATATGATACATTTCACCTTTATCAAGTGTACAACTCAGTAGTTCTAAGTATGTTGACAAAGATGTATAACCACCACCACCACCACGAATTTCAGAACATTGTCATCATGCTGAAAGGGAACTGTACCCATCGGCAGTCACTCTCCATTCTTTCCCACCCCCTCACCCCTAAGCCACTGGTAACCACTTATCTATTTTCTGTCTCTACTGACTTGGCTTTTCTGGACATTTCATATAAATAAATCGTAATATGTGATCTTTTGTGTCTGTGTGTGTGTGTGTGTGAGATGGAGTTTCAGTGTGTGTGTGTGTGTGTGTGTGTGTGTGTGTGTGTGTGTGTGTGTGATGGAGTTTCAGCTCGTCGCCCAGGCTGCAGTGCAATGGCACGATCTCGGCTCACTGCAACCTCTGCCTCCAAAGTTCAAGCGATTCTCCTGTTTCAGCCTCCCAAGTAGCCGGGATTACAGGCGCACACCACCACGCCCAGCTAATTTTTTTGTAGTTTTAGTAAAGACAGGGTTCCACCATGTTGGTCAGGCTGGTCTCAAACTCCTGACCTCAAGTGATCCACCCACTTCAGCCTCCCAAAGTGCTGGGATTACAGGCGTGAGCCACCGCGTCCAGCCTGTGTCTGGCTTCTTTTACTTAGCACAGTATCATCAAGATTCAACCATGCTGTGGCATGTGTTAGTACCATGCATTACTCTTTAGGTCTTCAAAACAAACACTTAAGCTCAACACAATAATTGGCCCATTTTACATTAAAAAAAAAAAAAACTGAGACAATGAGACATGAAGTAACTGGCCCTCTTTGAGTCTCTCTGAATTCAAATTTGTTCATTGCATTTCTATAGAGATGTGTAAATTGTAAACATTATATACCAACTTATATGGAATAAAGTATACATTAAAAAAGAAAACTGCTACGTAGGCCCATGACTATAAGTCACAATTTCTTTTAAATTTTTTCTTTTCTAAAAAATACAGCCAGTGATCTCTATGGTGTTTTCAAACTCCAAGATATTGTTAAAACATTAAAGGCTTATTCACTTTCTCTTCAACTCTGATCTGGTGCCCAATCTTTCAGAATAAAAGACTAATTACTAAAGATCATTGATATCATGATATATTGTTGAGAATATGGCTTCATAAAGTATACAGTGAACTCAACAGGTCAACATAGCAATAACGTAGTTCATAGTATGAAAAGGAACTCAGTATTTACTTATATTGTCTGTAAATATTACCTGTTTATATTGCAACAAATCAAAAAGTAGCAAACATCATTTTTAGGGTTACAGAATTTTTTTAAAAGTCTCTCTGGAAAGATCCTGACAGTTGCACATGAGGACACTTCCAGGAAGAATTATGGATGAGTTCTTGACGAACTGAGCCAGAATGTTATATATAACTGAACACTTCAAACTCAGTGTAAAATCTGCCCAGCAGCAGTCAGTAGATAATCTTTCTGGTCTTTTGGTAACCTTAAGGATGGACTGACTGACTTAAAATTGTCTGTCAGCATGTGTAGGTGTCTGCCATAGGTAATAACATAGATGTAAATGGCAGCTGGTGTATGAAACACCCTAACTGAATACTGTATTTGGAAAAAGCAAGCTGAATTGCTCAGAAAAGGCAAATATAATACATAAAAGACTGAAGAAGAAAGAAGGGAGTAAAGCAGTCTATATATTTATTGTAGAGCAGAATACATATTTATCGCAACATTATGTTACGTTATCTTTAATCAGAAATAGCATTTTAAAGATGTGACTTAAAAGAGTCTGAAAACTTCACTGAATTATATTTGAAAAAAACACCCCAAGACATTTTAGTAAGACTTAAAACACAAATTGAAATACCAATGTAGAGTTTATATTTATAAAAATAAGAATCAGCATTGTGAAGCATGGTAACTCCTTAATGGAAACTAACCAGAAGTGAGAATTAAAAAAAAAAAAAAATTTAAATATAGTTTGGGACAGAGAATTCTGAATCATATAATTTTAATTAAGGTAAACAGCCTATGTTATCAGCAATTGCTCTTCTAGAGTAACGCTATAAAATAGGACCTCCTGGAAATGTTCTGTACTTGTGCCGCTCAATTTGGTAGGCACTAGCTAATGTGGCTGTTGAGCATTTAAGTGTGACTGGTGTGACTGAGGAACTGAATTTTTAATTTTTTATAAATTTAAATAGCAATAGGTGACTAAAGGCTACCATACTGGACAGTACAAGTCTTGAGTAACACGTGACATCATGCTGTAAAAGGACCCTACCATTACTGTTCCGGAAACTTTCAAAAGTTAAAGAGGAGACTAGGGTTATTCATGTTGGGTGGGCAGGGAAGGGACAATAGGAGAAAAGAAATGTCCAAAGAAACCTAAATTTTACCTCCATGATTTTAGCAATGTTTCCTTCAAATCCATGGACTAGGGCTACGAATATTAAAAATAAAATAAATAAATAAAGAAGAAAGGGAAGCAGAAATCACAAAGACAGAAGGAAAGATTTCCTAAGTAATGGCCACTAAGTATTAGCAGCAGTCAACATTTATTATGCAGTCTGTTTTATGTATTGTACTAAGCACTGCACATGTATTTTCATTTGACCCTCAAAATGAGTCTTCCAGGTACTTTTTATTTCTAGTTTTATAGATGAGGATATTGAGACTTAGGAAGTTAATTTGCTGAAACAAAAATGCATCTTCTAATGAAAATCTAGCAACTAGCATCCTTTCTCTATGTTCTAGCTGTATCTTACGTACCCAATCTGTTACAGCAATTCATACATTATATTGAAATAGAATTTACTGGTTGTTTCTCACTAAAAGGTAAACTCCTTGAAGGCAGGAACTGTGTTCTGTCAATAACGTAATATCTTTCTCAATTACCTACTGTCACCAATTTTTATCAAGGCATCTGAAATATATATATTATTCAATAAGTATTTGCTGAATTGAGTATGAATTTGTTTCTACATTCCAATGATAAACATGTGGTAACACACTCTCTTTCTCTCAACCCTCAGGCATCTATATTTGAGTTTTGAAACAGGTTGAAAGTCTGTTTAAAATAGCATTTTGTAAACTATTTCAAATAATCTAGAAAGAAACTTGGAACTCTTATAATCCGATAAAAACATTTAACTTTAAGCTATTTTTTTCAGGCCCATTAATTTAAAATGTCACATTTCCCATATTTTTAGAAATATTTTAATAGAAACTTTAATACTGTGACTGAAACATTTCCTACACAAAAGTTGTGCCATATAACAACATTAACCTCTGTATGTTGATGTGTAAGCACGAAGACATACCTCTTAAGGTACTTGAGCTGAACATAGTGCCTACGTTAACTTTTAAGTAATAAAGCTTTGATGGTTTCCAATCTTTTCATCTTATTTATCAATGACACTTTTTAAAAACCTTTCACATTTTACTGAATTCTATTCTCTCCTAATGGGCACATTGCCAGTATCTACTAAGGTAGAGTGAGGCCTAGGACAAACTTAGGGAAGCCTGTCAAAAAATCAGAAAGAACCAAAGAAGGTATTCCCTCAGTCCTAATCCACAGACTTCCACCTCAACATTTCATGAAATTCAATCTATAGGCAAAATAAAAATATTCATATGAGACATGCTCTCAAGGCTCTAATATTACCAGAGATGGTATCAAATAAAACTCTTAAATACACCATGGAGCAGCTCTAGTTAAAAAATGATCTCACCTTCAGAAACAACTGTACATATGACTTCTGCTAACTGTTGTCTTAGGAGGAAACAAAATCATTATTCAGTTTAACTGCTATTTTTAAATTTGTTTCACTTTTCTTGTCACTAAGCTTATTTACAAAATTCTTTTAATCTATAGTAACATCAAAAATAAGACTTCGAATATATGAAAACTTGTGTTTGTTGGGGAAAAGATAAATGAACTACAACTAAATTTTATCACACCTATGAATCACTTGAGGATCTTTTAAAAACGCAGATCCTGATTCGGTGACTCTGGGATGGAGCCTAAGATTCTGAGCATCATAAGCTTCCAAGTGATGCTGAAGTTGCTGGTGCAAGGCTTTGTGTAGCAAGTAACTAATTTTTCCAGATTTCAGTGGTTTGATTCTTCTAGGTTTTGTTTTGAAGACAGGGTCTTGGGCTGGGTGCAGTGGCTCACGCCTGTAATCCCAGCACTTCGGGAGGCCAAGGCAGGTGGATAACCTGAGGTCAGGAGTTCAAGACCAGTCTGGCCAACATGGTGAAACCCCGTCTTCAGAGAAAAAAAGAAAAAAAAAATTAGCCAGGCATGGTGGCAAGCACCTGTGGTCCCAGCTACTTGGTACTGAGGCGGAGGTTGCAGAGAGGTGAGATCATGCACTCCAGCTTGGGCAACAGAACGAGACTCTGTCTCAGAAAAAAAAAAAGACAGGGTCTCGTTTTGTCGCCCAGGCTGCAGTGCAGAGGCGTGAACATAGCTCACTGAAGCCTTGACCTCCTGGGCTCAACTGATCTTCAAGTGATCTGCCTACCTCAGCTTCCCAAGTAGCTGGAACCACCAGGGCACACCACCATACCTGGCTAATATTTTTAGGTTTTTTGTAGAGATGGAGTCTTACGTTGTTGCTCAGGCTGGTCTCGATCTCCTGGGCTTAAGCAATCTTCCTACCTCAGCCTCCCAAAGTGCTGGGAGTGTACTGTGCCCAGTCTCTTCTCGTTTTTTAAATGTTCATTTATGCTTTCAACAAATTTTTACTAAATGTGTACTATGAGTCAGACATAAGCATTAATAAGATCTCTGTCCTCAAAGAGCTCATTTGCTTAAAATCAAAAAAGCAAACAGGTCAACAAGTAGGAGTCTATACGGTATAGATGGGGACAGCATTTCAGGGAGAAGAAACAGTCAAGCAGTAAAAGCACTCTGGAGGAACTGCTAAGGGTATCAAATTGCTGAAACACATCGTATTTACAGCAGAGATCAGATAAGAAACTGGAAAAGTAAACAGAGTTAGGTCATGATGAGTCCAGCAAGTCAGAATAAGCAGTTTAAATTTTATTTGGTAGGTTACCACAGAAATGAAGAACTTTTGGTAGGTGTGTTCAGATGTGTATTACAACATTAATGATCGTATAAACTAATAGCAGCTAACATTATTTACCCAGAAACTGTTTCAAGAGCTTTACATGTACTCAGTCACTTAACTCTACATCAACCTTATAAAATTGGTACTAACATGTTCATTCCCACTGAGAATTCTGAAGCACCAAAAAGAAAAATGATTTGCCCTCAATTCAAACTCTGGCAACGTAAGCTCCAGATGCTACGCTCTCTCTTCACCTAGGAAAATTCTGGAAAAATTACTCTGGTAAGCATTGCAGAAGTTGTGTTTGTCAGTGTTGAGCCTGGAAGATAGTTTTGAAGCCACTGGAACTGTCAACGAAGGACTGAATCAAGGCCGGGCGTAGTGGCTCACGCCTGTAATCCAACACTTTGGGAGGCCAAGGTGGGCAGATCACGAGGTCAGGAGTTCGAGACCAGCCTGGCCAACATGGTGAAACCCTATCTCTACTAAAAATACAAAAATTAGCTGGGCATGGTGGCATGCGCCTGTAATCCCAGCTACTTGGGAGGCTGAGGCAGGAGAATCGTTTGAAACTGGAAGGCAAAGGTTGCAGTGAGCCAAGATCATGCCACTGCACTCTAGCCTGGGCAACAAGAGCGAAATTCCGTCCCCCGCAAAAAACAGGACTGAACCAAGGCAAAGGCAATGGAAATGCAAATTTCAGTTATGTTTAGTGAGTAAAAATCCTAACCACTTTGTTACTAAGGGATGAGAGCAAAAGAGAATAGTTTCCTAGTCTCTAACTTGGGAGATGGAAAGAATGGGAATGTCAACCACTGGGAAAAGAGAAAACATTTTTGGCGGGAATTAGGAAGAGAAAATATAGAGATTAAGCCTGAGATACTTATAAGCTATCTAGGTAGAAAGTCAGGCAGACCTGAGTATCAATGGTGTACTCACTGGTATGTTGGTCCTAAGTGAGCTCATGTGGGCATGAACATGTGTGAACAGATGGAACCACATGGGAAGTTGTAGAATTCAAAAAAGAAACACTGACGATGGGCACAGGAGAGTGGTCTGCAAAGTCAAGGGAGTAGTTTCAAGAAAGTAGTCACTAACATTAAATCTGTGGTGCTATCAAGTAAGATAAGCAATGAAAATGGCTGCTAGATTTGGTCAATAGATCACTAGTGACTTTGGAAAGAAATTTCAATGGATTGGTGGGGTCAAAAGTCAACGACAGTGCACTAAGGAATAAAAGATGAAGAGACTGGGATAAATGAAAACACTCTTCCCAAAGATCATTCTACAAAAGAATAAACAGACCAGTAACTAGAAAAGAGAGAGGTTTTATTCTTTTTTATAAGTGAGAGATTTGAGCACATTAATAGCAACACCTGGTGTCAGTGAAGAGAGAGAGTTTTAAAAAAATACAGGAAGGCTGGGCGCGGTGGTTCACGCCTGTAATCCCAGCACTTTGGAAGGCCGAGGCAGGCGGATCACCTGAGGTCGGGAGTTCAAGACCAGCCTGACCAACATGGAGAAACCCCGTCTCTACTAAAAACACAAAATTAGCCAGGCGTGGTGGCGCATGCCTGTAATCCCAGCTACTCGGGAGGCTGAGGCAGGAGAATCACTTGAACCCAGGAGGCGGAGGTTGCAGTGAGCTGAGATGCACCATTGCACTCCAGCCTGGGCAACGAGAGTGAAACTCCATCTAAAAATAATAATAAAAAATTAAAAAATACAGGAAAGAGAAGACATTTGATGATGCAGTGTTCTGAGTGAACCAGGATAATTAAAAATTTGCTCAGGACCTACAGCGTGTTATGTCTAAAACTAGAGCAAGGTTTCCCAGCCTGGGCACTCCGGACATTTGGGGACAGTTCTTTGTTATGGGGTGGTGCCACCCTATGCGCTATAGAATATTTAGCAGCACCCTAATCTCTAATATTCACTGGATGCCAGCAGTACCCCACACCAAGTTGTGATAACCAGAAAGTGTCTCCAAAAACTGCTAACTGTCCCCTGGGCGGAGAAAAAGCAAAATCAACTCTAGCTGAGAACCACTGGTCTTGAGGCAGAGACCAGATCATTTAAATGAGTTGAGAGGTTACTGAAACAAATTACTATAGTCCCATCTACTAGTTACATAAGGAAAAGAGGCAAGTTTCTCTGCTGGGAGGGGAGTAAGATGGTAAAGGTGGCATGTGTTGTGGTGAGTAGAAAAGTTTTGAAGTAACTTGGTGAAATTCACCTACGGGAAGGCAAAACTGGGTATCAGAAATACTTTTCCTCCTCCCAGACTTAAAAGGCAAGTGTATGTCTCGTCTCTTTATGGGCTCTCCACAAAACAGTACACAAAAGGAACCTGAGGCATGAAGAAGGAACTGAAGGACCTTATCAAAATATTATTTCCAACAACTTAAGAAATGGGGTCATCCTGAAAAGTGTTCTGACCCTGAGAACCCACCTTTTTGTTTGCCCAAAGAAGAGTTTTAAGGTTAGAAATTGAATCTATCTTTTTTTAACCAGAGTATACAATTTGATGATAATTTTGTAAAGTCTTCAATAGGAAGGCTTCTATATTTTATTTACCCCAAACCCTATCCATTACAATCAAAACTTTGATTTTTAAGACACAAAAATAATCTGGTGTTTAAAATTAGGCATCATCTTTGAAACACTGTCACATTAACTTTCCTATACTTTTGGAGATGAGTCCGTATTATTACTAGTATTTGTACCTTGTGTCCTGAAAGCTTAATTACTGCACACTGTAAGAAACAACGGATCCAAAGATGTTGTAACTAATTGAATCTCCCTTCAACTTTATCTTCTAAATACAGTCTTTACTTCTTAAAAATTTGTTTTAACAATCTTAAACTTCCTGAGAAGGTTGAAAATACACTTGCTCACAATACAGCTTATGAGTTCCATGGCACTCATAAAAGTGAAGAGACCAGATGTAAGATAACAACTCCTAGCATTTGTCAGCATTATTAACAAGGAAAGTGATCTGAGAGAAACTTATGTCTTTAAATATCTCCCAGCCAGCACAGTGGCCCCCACCTGTAATCCCAGCTACTTGAGAGGCTGAGGTGGGAGGATCACTTGAGCCCAGGAGTTCAAGGCTGAAGCAAGCTATGATTGTACCACTGCACTCCAGCCTGGGTGACAGAGCGGAATCATTAAAAACAGTAACAACAAACCAAAAACCTCCAAAGACATAAAACTATAAAACCATGCCCTAGAAAGTTCTCTTTTTCCTACAATCACAAAGTGACTGAAGCACCTTTATGTGCAGCTCACAGAACTGAATTTGCACTTAGCAATTTTCCTTAAGAGATCTAATGCATCTCAACGTGAGTATCACTCTAAAATATGCTGAAACAACAATCTCAGATAGGACAGATTCTCACCTGTGATAAACCTCAAAATCTGCACATTTTCAAAAATGTAACATTTGTTATTAGAAGCCAACTGTTGGTCATAATCAGTTTCATTATGGCTAAATAAAATCCCTGTAGGCTCTACAACCATTTGAAGTTAACTTGAGTATGAAAAGAGAAGTGCTTTGGATACATTACCAATTCTCTTCCAAACAGAGAAAATTCAAGCTGAATTCTCTTTCAGATCTGCTACATGTACTAATGAAAGGACAAAAAAAAAAAGATTCCACATTCCAAAGACCAATGTGGGCGACATCATTCAAATGTATCTCTAACTGCAACCTGACCTGCACACATGACGCCTCATTTGATGGTCTAAGATAGGGAGCATTTTAGAAAAAGTCCATGAGCTTTACCCAAAATCTGACTTCAAAAATAATATGCAGGCCTACATCCAAGTAGGCAAACACATTTACTGAAGACAAACTTGTTCACACAGCAATCATGGTCATCCCTACAGCTGTTATGTCTCTATTCTCCCAAAGGAAACAAAAATGATTTGGAAACATGCCAAGGAGCAGTCTAGACACAAATAATTCAATTATAGTTAGCAAATCTAAGGCTTTCAATACCCAGCTCACTTCTTAAGCTACAGACAGAAAAACAACTCTGTATCTATTGTTACAAGTTATTAAGTCAAATTACTTCAGAGCCAACATTAAGCAAATCAGATTTTATTATACTAGACACTTCAATTAATTGAAAATACTAGGTTTGAAATCACTGACTGGGTCAAGTTCCAAAGTGAAAATATTTATGAGACTGTTCTTTTATTTTGTTGTGTTTTGAGACAGGGTCTCACTCTGTCACTCAGGCTGGAGCCCAGTGGTGCCATCGTAGCTCACTGCAGCCTTGAACTCCTGTGCTTAAGCAATCTTCCCACCTCAGCCTCCCAAACAGCTGGTACTATAGGTGCACACTACCACTCCTGGCTAATTTTAAAGTTGCTTTTAGTAGAGACAGGGTCTCACTATGTTGCCTAACCTGGTCTTGAACTCCTGGCCTCAAGTGATCTGCCTGCCTTGGCCTCTCAAAGTGTTAGGATTACAGGCGTGAGCCGCTGTGCCCAGGCTGTTTTTACATTTCTTAACAATATGGATCCAATCTTTGAAAGTGCTCAATATTAAAAAGTCAGAAAGGCCATATGCATTGATTTCCATGTTCACAGGATATTTTAGTCTAATATATTTGGATCACATTGGATATTCATTCCTGGGCCCATTATTTCATAAACACGAAAACTTGATTTCAAAAAGAATCTGGATATATTAAGGTGGTAAACAATGCTTGTGCTTTTCTAAAACAATCTTTTTACTGGGTTCTCACTAGTTTTGTTTTCTTTTGGAAATAACACAAATGTATGAGTCCTTTTCTTTTTCTGACTTCTTTTCAATTCTGTTCCCTTATAAAATTTCTTCCTTCAAAGCAGTTCAATAAAAATAAATTGCCCCTTTAACATTTTTTTAAAAATAAAGTTTTAACATCTGAAAAAAATTAACTGGGTTGAAAGGCCATGTAGTAGTATGTTTTTAACAATAATTTAAAACAATTTTGACAAGGTCAAACCTAAAACAATTGGCAAAAGTTGTAGTTATTCCATTTAACAACTCCATTAAGGATTCCTTTCCCTATACAGAGGTAAAAAGAAGGCTAAAATATCATTAGGGCATTATGACATCTATAAAATTTAGAGCTAATAAATGTTATCTGTATTCCTCTCTGATTAAAAATACTAACTCAGGAACATAAACATGTGAATGATTAAATTGCGCAAGATGTGATTTTGCATCTCAAGGCAAGTGAAGACAAAGAATGGTATTGGTATGGTGTTAATCAAGGGGCAGTAACATGTAACAATTCACAAATCATCCTAAGTACTAAATTGTATAGTACAAACTAAAAAGACACTGCAAACTAACATTAACGACTGTTAATAAAGGCATACAATTTTATGTGGTAAATTGCTCCATGACCAGGGATGAAGAATAGGTTTCAGATCTAATGCTAAAACTGTGACTTACAGTGGCTGCCTGGAGAAATGTGAAAAATATTGGGTAAGCAGTAGAGTCCTGGGATAGATTAATGGTATATGCCACACCTGTGAGATAGAGCATGTGTCTCTTGGGAGAGGGAGAGGAATGTTGGTGCACCTTTTATATTTTTTTTTTCAAGGATCTAGACAGAAACTGGAGTGTGGTAGCACAAGAAGGTTAAGTTCCAATACTGATGGACATTACAATGTTAACTTTCCCCAGGCTCAAGGTTTTTTCTATCGTTCAACTTGTGGGAAAGTATGTGAGTCTGTCCTCTGGGGCTTGAAAGATTCTTAATTACAGATGAAAACTAAGAACAGAAGGATTTGGGAAACCCAGAAGCAAAGGTGTTAGGGTCTCAATAGTCCTTTTACAGAGGTAAATTACAGATTGTACTGTCTTTTGAAAGCAGAAAGGTAGAGCAATCATTAGGGTGGCACGAGGGCATTGAGAGTGCTATGCATTGTCATTTACTCAATAAGTTGTAGTATTAAAGACGGCCCACGGGTGTGCATCAGGCTGTATGGGTAGGAATATTCTAGAGGTTTTTCTTTCCTGGGCTTAATTCCCCAACCAGATAAAATACCTGATGTTTAAAATTTTGGGTTTTTAAAAAAATCACCCCAAGAAACCTTCTGTTTAACATGTCCCTATATGTACTCTTAATATACAATTAGCCGAACGTTATTTTTATTCCAATGAATCAATCCTGAACATGCACACTGACTCACTGAAAAAAAGCACCTCACTTTGCATTCATCAGTATGATATAAAGGATTTTAGAATAGTGGTTAACAAACCAAAAGTCACAAAAAAGCACAACAGAAGAAAGGTTTCTCCTTGCTTAAAAAGGTCAAAGGCCAATAGCGGACACATGCCTGTCCACTGCTGTACCACTCTCAGCCATGGGTACATCTGCTCTCTCTTGGAAGCCTTGTACAGTCTCAATTAACTTTTGGCAGATGGTCTAAACAAAGTAGCTAAAGCAAATCCACAAAATGAACCACAGTACCCAAGCGACTAAGAGCAATGGGTACTAATTTGAAACAGCACTGTTAGGTTATAATAAATCAGAATATGAATCAATGACTCAAAAATGACTGAAGGTTAGTATATTTTTCAGCCAGCTCTCAGTAATATTACTGCTTTGAAAATTACAGGTGATTCTCTTGCTTACTCTCCTCTACCCTGAGTATACATTTAGTATTAATCTCTGGTTACTGGAGAATTTACAGATATCATTATCCTATATTTTATTTATTGAGACAGGGTCTCCCTTTGTTGCCTAGGCCAGAGTGTAGTGGCACAAACATGGCTCACTGCAGGCTCAACTTCCTGGGCTCAAGTGATCCTCCCACCTCAGCCTCCCGAGTAGTTGGGACTACAGGTGCACACCACTATGACTGGCTAATTTTTATATTTTTTGTAGAGATGGGGTTTCGTCATGTTGCCCAGGCTGGTCTCAAACTCTTAAGCTCAAGTGATCTGCCCACTTCAGCCTCCCAAAGTCCTGGGATTACAGGCATGAGCCACCACCCTGCCCAGATGTCATTATACTAATGAAGACTGAGTTGTTCCTGATGAGAAAACGTATCAGTCTTCAACGATCCAGTTCTTGCTCTCCCTGTAAGTGGACTGAGGTGAAAACGGTTTGATAGTCTCTTGATCCGGAAAATGCCACAAAACCATGCAAATCAAGAGGTTCAAGTTGTCATGTTCACTCAAGAACACTTGTGAAAATGCCCAGGCCATTAAAGGTACGCATGTACAAAAAGATCACCAAGTTATCCGAAAGATGTCACTTTACAGAAACAATGTGTACCATTTTGACATTACAGGGTGGAGTTGGTAGGTGTGCCCAGGCCAAACAGTGGGCTAGACACAGGGTTGGTAGCCCAAAAACAAAGCTAAATTCTTCCTGAACATGTTTAAATACACAGGGAGTAACGCTGAACTCGAGGTTTAGATGGAAATTCTCTGGTCACTGAGCACATCCAGGTGAATCAAACACCCAAGATGTGCTAGCCACTGTCCTTTCAGAGCTCATGGTCAGATTAATTTGTATGTGAGCTCCCTCGGCTACATGGAGATGATCCTCGCTGGAAAGAAATTATTCCTAAGCCATAATTGTTCTGTGGCTGCACAGAAAAAAAAAGATATCCCAGAAGAAACTGAAGAAACAAAACTTACGACAGGGGCATAAATTCAGAATAAAATATATGCATACATAAGTAAAAAAAAAAAAAACCTAAATGCTAAGAATTTGGTAAACAGATGTGAGACTTATGCAGAGAAAGAAGATACTGGTTTTAAGTTGTCTAATTCCTGAGAGAATACTCAAGGTACCATAATAAAAAAAAAAAAAAGATCAAAAGAAAATCTACAAGGCTTACTTGAAGGTTCTTTTAAGGTATAGAATACGCATATGCACGCATGCATATATGTGTATGTATCTACACACGTTATTTCCAACTATGAGCTGTATTAGAATATTAGAAACTAATTTGAAATGTTAAGCTAAAAATGTAAATAGCCAAGAGAGAAACAAAAGTAAAGTCAGATTACTCATTGAGCAATTAAAAGTCCTTATCATGAAAAATTAACCTGGCTCAGGCCAGGCCAGGCATGGTGGCTCACACCTGTAATCCCAGCACTTTGGGAGACCGAGGTAGGCAGATCACTTGAGGTCAGGAGTTTGAGACCAGTCTGGCCAACATGCTGAAACTCCATCTCTACTAAAAATACAAAAATTAGCTGGGCATAGTGGTGCACACTTGTAATCCCAGCTACTCAACAGGCTGAGGCACAAGAATCTCTTGAACCTGGGAGGTGGAGGTCGCAGTGAGCCAAGATTGCACCACTGCACTCCAGCCTGGGCGACAGTGTGAGACTCCATCTCAAAAAAAAAAAAAAAAAAAAAAAAAAATTAACCCTGCTCATCCATTCCCAGCTGGAATAGATGCTCTTGTTCAGTGTGCCTAGGTAGGTATTTTACAACCAACTAGACAAAAGGCAGTGTTGCATAATTACTTTCTTTTTCCACCAGGTCACCAACCACTTGAAGCTACAAAAAGGAATGAAGAGCTATCGTAACTGCTTATAACAAAGGGAAAAGTAGCAAAGTATTCCTCTAGAAAAGCAAAAAAACCCAAAAAAAAACAAAAAAAAAAACCCACAAAATACCTGAAAGGACTTAATGACTAACCACAAAGTGTTAGCCTCATTCAATTATCTGAATGCAGATATCATGACTGTGCAAGATATAGCTACACTATTCCTATATATCCTCTTAAAATCACTTCCATCTGATGTTTGGTGGCTTAGAAAAAAACTAAGGTCATACTCGTGTTTACAGTCACAGGATAACTACAATACTAACATAGCTAAAGAGGTTGGTTGGGACAAAATTATTTCTATAACTTGTAATGAACTCTCCCCCGCATCAGAATTTCTCCTTATCCATTAACACACACACCCTACTATTAAGAGAAATGTGAGGGCAACAATATTATCCCCTAAAAAGTCCATCTGTTATGTTTTTAAGCTCTGATAAGAAATTAAATGACTGCTTTACATTTAAAAGTTCAGATAAGTATCACCGTTGTGGCGCTTGTGGTTCCCACTGGGGCCAAGATCCCTACTGTTTTCCTAAACTGGCTATTACGAATGACTAGATTCCAGAATTAGAATATACATATCTAGAATCCCTACATTCCATAACTGCACAGATTTTGCTATCAGTCCTAGTTAAGTAAGTTCATTTCTCTCCCCCAAATAGATATTTCTTTTAAGGTCTCAAATTTTATTTGACAGACTTTGGGATAAAATGGCTTTAAATATGCTTTTCAAATTCTCTGTATCATATGGAGAAGTATAACAATCTTTAAAAATTGTCTAAATATGGTGTTTCATACAATGGACTGAGTCAGACACAATTTAAGGAAATGGTTAATTTATTTCAGTGATAACTTTTTTATCATGAATATATTCATGGGAAAAAGATATCTTTTTCCATTTCAAAAAAATTGGCCTCTTTCAAGTCCCATGGAAAAAATCTACTCTTAAAACTTTCCTACTTAATTGAATAAGAAAATCAGCTACACTGTCTTTAACCAGTTAATTATTACTATCTCGACATATTTAGACAATTAATAAAAGGAAGGAAACTTTCTAATCATTTTTCCTGAAATTAGATCACAGTCATCTCTCCGTGACAGACCCACCATCTGGGACAACAGGAAGCATGCCAATAGCCTAGTGAATTAGACAGCTGTGTTTAAAGGTTGGTACTAAGGACCAGAAACTCAAATAGAGCTCAAAAAGTTGAGGCTTTGGAGACAGAACTATACAACTCCATTTTTCCCCAAACTTTGGGTTGTATACTCAAATTTGCAAAAATAATTTAATTGATTGCAATTAATCTACAACACTAACTTAGATGTCCCAGTCTCCATTAGCCATTATTGACAATTAAAGCAATAGTGAATACCTATATAGTTCCACGTGCCAAGCAGTGTTTTAATTGCTTTGGTGCTCTTCAAAAACAAAACAAAAACCAGAATTCTCCATTCAGATTTCTATATAAGTTATAGGGGGCCAGGCGCGGTAGCTCACACCTATAATCCCAGCACTTTGGGAGGCTGAGGTGGGCAGATCACAAGGTCAGGAGTTCGAGACCAGCCTGGCCAATATGGTGAAACTTCATCCCTACTAAAAATACAAATATTAGTGGGACATGGTGGCACACACCTGTAGTCCCAGCTACTTGGGAAACTGAGGCAGAAGAATTGCTTGAACCCAGGAGGCGGAGGTTGCAGGGAACCGAGATTGAGCCATTGCACTCCAGCCTGGGAGACAGAGTGAGACCATCTTAAAAAAAAAAAAAAAAAAAAAAAACTTTTGGAGTCCTTGTTATAAGGCACCTACTTAGTAAGAACCTATATACTTATATAGTTGGATTTCAGTCAGACCCAAAGCTGTTTTTTACTTAATCAAATAGATTTTGCTAGTTAATACTGTGAGAAAATTTTAAAAAGTATTAGACGTCTAATAATATATAAAATACTGAACGAATTGGTTAATTTATTTGGTAAATAAAACAACCATTTCTAATATGACACTGAAATGGCAAAATGATAGTCACATCACACTAGGGAGAAAATTTTAATAAGCAGACAAAACAAAATGATAACATTGTCCATTCTTTCAAAGCACTGACATACAAAAGTGAAAAGATACAACAGTGCACATTTTCAGGGTACCTATGTTTACTGAAGTCTAAAAACTCCTCCACCTTTAAAAGTCAGCATTATTTCTTGATGGAAGAAAAATACACAGTAACTTTTTGATGTAATACTAATATTATTGGGTTTTCTTTGCAAATTCCTTTAGTTCAAGTATTACTAAAGAAACATAAACATATGGACATTACAAATTCAGCTAAAAAACTAGGTAGTGCTGACTATCCTGTTTAATGGTAATATATGTATTAGGTATTTAAATTTGATTATTATAACACAAAATAATTTTAACATGGAATTTCTATAAAGATGTATTTTGTCACTCTACAGTGCCTGCCTCTTCCACTGTGTTTTTTTTAAGATGTTCATCAATTTACCCAATTTTGTCATAGCTGTTACCAACTGAATTGTGTCCTCTCAACCCCAAAAATATACGTTAAAGTCTTAACTACCATGTCTGAAAATGTAACCTTATTTGGAAATAAGGTCATGGTAGATGTAACTAAGATGAGATCACACTGGAATAGGGTAGGCTCCTAAACAAATATAACCGATGTCCTCATAAGCAGAAGAAAACTTGAACACAGACGCAGAGGTAAGATGATGCAAAAACATATGAGGAAAGACAGCTGGGGGGTGATGGAGGCAGATATTGGAGTGATGCATCTACAAGCCAAGAACACCAAGGACTGCTGAGAACTGCCACAAGTTTGGAAGAGGTAAGGAAGGATTCTCCTCTAGAGCCTTCAGAGAGCATCGCCCTGCTGACACCTTGATTTTGGACTTCTGGCCTCTGGAATTGTGAGAGAATAAATGTTACGTTACCCATTTTTTTCTATGTTGTTGCAGGAGGCCCAGGAAACTAATTACACAGACCATCTATTAACATCTACCATTCTAAAAAAGCATCTTTTAAGGTAAAGCATTGAAGTCAGCAAAACCTGGGTTCGAATACCTATGCAAATCAAAAGCTGTGTAACCAACCATAGGCATCTTTTGAATTCGCCTCTTCACTTGTAAAGAAAAGATAACAAAGCCTACCACATAGGGTATTTCTGAAAATATATTTTGTAGAATGCCTGCCACACTACAGGTTCAAGTCTCTCCACCCTCAAAACCCTTCTCTCCTTGTAGTGAGAGTGCATTAAACCTATGGTCAAAGACTATTTTGCTAGCAAAAATACATGAAAGCAGAGGGCTGTAATTAAAATACTCAATAAATTTTATTAAAAATACCCTTCTAAATGGAGTCCTTGATGGTTTTGCCAACTAAAAACCTATATCCTGACCCTTGGTATGACCGCAGCGATATAAATGCAACCCTAAAGCAATTTTTATCACCACAGAATACCACTTCTGAAGATTATTTAACACAAATCTTATTTTACTGAAACCCTTGCTAACGTATAAACTTAGTTCAGTAATAAACAGACTCATTATTAAAAAATGCTTGTTCACGTGCAACATTTATTTCATGTAATAATAAGCAAGATAATTACTTTTACGAAGATTAGTGGAAATATAACTCATAAACTTGATAAACACGTTCTCCAATGTGTGGATTAGGTAAGAATATGGCCACAATGGTCACAGTCATCTGTCCAAGGACTCTTGAAAAAAGTTATCAAAGGCCAGCATCATGACATGCTGTGGATTAAACCTTATATGAATATAAAGTTTAGTGACTTGAATAGAAGACTTAAAAAAAAAAACAACAAAATCAGGTTATATATTCTAATAAGGTAAAAGTACTGTAAATTATCCACTGCCGCTAAGGACAAAGATTAGTTTCTAAACTCTTCATATGAATGGAAGTGGTGAGTAAACACTAGCACTAAATGCTTACTACGTGTAAAAATAACTTTACACATTGTTTAATTCAAGCCATGGAATATTCCTAAAATAGGAGTTTTATGCACAAGAAAATGGTACTAAGTTTTAGTTATACATGCAGTGTATAAATGTTAAATTTTGGAAAGAAGCTGCCAAAACCAAATCCTAAAATATAAATTTGTAAGCAATCACTGGCTCTGCTTTACAAAGCATTTTAAAAGATATAAGGAATTTTAAATTTTATTTAATTTGCAGGAAAAAGCGTATTCAAAAAGAAATCTTAACATAAATGTCTGCCTCCAAAATAGCCAGTTATTAAGAAATTTAAAAATATTATGCCATGGTATAACCTTAAGGAAAAAAAAAACCAATCATGCAAATACGGGCCAGGTGCCTATAGGGGCTCACACCTATAATCCCAGCATGTTGGGAGGTGGAGGCGGAGGCAGAGGCAGAAGGGATCACTTGAGCCCAGGAAGAGTTCAAGGCTGCAGTGAGCTATGATCGCACCACTGCACTCCAGCCTGGATGACAGAGCGAGATCCCATCTCAAGAAAGAAAACAAAAAAGAAAAAGAAAAAGAAGAAAGGGAGATCTAAGAAAATCAAACTTAATTATTTAGCCATAGGAAAAGGAGATAGCCCGATATATGTTTGTAACAATGGAAACAATTTAGTGGTTAACTGTGGCTATAAACATATGGCTGGTTGGGTTATGTTTTTCTGCATATACATTGCCTAATATCTGGTGAGCCTCTATCATGTCAGGCACTTTATCTGATGGTACACACTAATTTTTGAATCTGGTACACAGTGTTTAAATCTTCACTACAGTGAGTCTGCAAAGTAACTTAAATCTGTGTCTTGGGTTTCTCTTCAGAAAAATAGTGAAGTAATAAGTACCTTATAGGACTGTCGTAAGGATTATATTGTGCAGGTAATACAATTATTCCAGTTCCTGTCACAGAGCATGTGTCCATTTAGTATTAGCTAATATTATCTTTAATAATGAAAATTTACCCCTTCAGATTAGCTAATAACAAACGATGTTTAGAGGCTCAGTAACTTGTCCAAAGCCACACATCTAGCTATTGTTAAAGGCAGTTTTAAAAACCCAAGGGCAATAAAATTTGTGCTATTTTTAAAAGTGTTCCAATAATGTTAAGTCTTTCCATTCCTCTTAGTTTTCTTCCTCAACTGGTCATTTACAGAAAAGAAAGCTTATTTCATAGACTTGAGGTAATTAAATGCTAGAAGTGATGTCAGAAATAATCACTTAGTGAAGGGGCAGCAAATGACTTTCAATGCAAACAACAAATCCAATTGATGGTCCCTGCCTGGAATGATGGGGTCAAAAAGGAGCCTGGAGTGCTCTATGAGAAGGATTTGGAGGCTAATTCTGAGAAAGGCAGAAAAATAAAACAAAACAATGATAGCTGCCCACAGGGGTGGGGATGGAAGTCGGGGGAGAGGGTAGGGAACAAAGAACACAGGACAACCAGGTGCTATATTTCCACCATTGCGATTCAAATACAATATACTTGAACTATCTATTGAGCTCCACGCAAAAACACCCTCAATTAACTGAGGCATCTAATGTCTCCCATACAATATGAAATTAGCCCATTAGCACAATTCTATCCCTTGATATACAATATATATTTTACAAATTACTTAGAATATTTGTTCTGTATCTTGAATAAACTTTAGAACAAGAAGCCCGAGTCATTCTAAGTATACATATGGGAGCAAAAGAGCCTGATGAAAAAGGAGGAACTTAAGTGGAGGGGATGAAAAATGCCTAAGCAAAGCTCATGCACAAATAATTCACTGATTTGCATTAGTTTTGACATGCACATCTAAGGAGTCTTACTAATAACATTGCTTCTAGACCCTGAACACCTACAATATTGGTCCAAAGAGATTCTTTCTATAATCAAAACACTTAATTACATGTATCAAGTAAATTTTCCTTGAGGTAATAATCCATGAACAAGTTTCACTTGCATAAAAAAAAAAAATACTTCCCTACAAAACCATCTCATATGCTTCCTGCCATCCCTTTCTTCCTATAACTCATCTTTAGATTAACGCTTAAATTTAAGCTGTGATAACTGACTTCTCTACTTTTGAATCATCCTCCAACACCAACTGCCACAGTTAACTGCATGCTTTGTTGAAACACTAAACATAATCTCATGTAACTAAAATATTTGGATTTTTAAAAATCTTAAGAATCTCAAGAGTATGGTATAATAAAGATGTACATATTTTAATATATCTGAAATGGTGGTATGTGGGGATTTAAAAAACCATATATACACAGGAAGGTGCATGTATGCATATATTTTATATATATATCACCCTCAGGAGATTCTGTATTAGTAACTCTGTGGTGACCACCCTCTACTCCCCATACCCCCACCAAAATATTTTCAGAGAGCTCCACAGGTGTTTCTGTTATACATTTCCTGCCTGGGAACCAGAGAGAGGGGACATCTCAAATTGCTTTCAATATTTATGTGCCCATATTTAAAGTATGCCTTTCCACCAAAAAAAAAAAAAAACAAACAATCTGGGCCCTTAATTTTAAGTTCTAGTTTTAGAAAGTTTTGCTGGATATCAAGATATCTTGTTTTTAAATCTTCCATTAAAAATTATAATAATCAATATTTCTCTTCAGAAGTAATAAATTTTCAGTGTCTACAATTTGTTAGTTTAAAAGATATCATATATGAAACCACAGCATGAACAATATTAAGATTTATAATTCTCTGCCACACCATAGTATGACTACTTAAAATAATTTAGACCTTTATTTTGCCTAATGAATATAAAGATACTTGCCTTTCTATATATTATGTAAGTAAAATATTTTTAAAGAGAAATATGTTAGTTTTCTTTGTAAGTTAAAAGCCAAGTATTTTATTAATATAGCACCCAATAAAGTAATGATGATGAAGGCACATAAGGTATAACAAAGTTTTAATATGAGAATCTTCTTGTTCATTAAAGGTTGTGCCCATCATATATATATATAATATAATCTGTTAGATATATATTTGTTAGATATCTAATATATATACACAGAACAGAAAGCTTATTAGATATCATATATATATTAGACATAATAGTGAAGAAAAACAAAATATTCTCTAAATCACTTGAGGTGATATGTGTGTGTGTGTGTGTGCGTACGAAAGTTTAGACTGGGACGGGTGCTGTGGCTCACACCTGTAATCCCAGTACTTTGGGAGGCTGAGGCGGGCAGATCACGAGGTCTGGAGATCAAGACCATCCTGACCAACATGGTGAAACCCCATCTCTACTAAAAATACAAAAAAAATTAGGCGGGGCGTGGTGGCAGGTGCCTGTAGTCCCAGCTACTTGGGAGGCTGAGGCAGGAGAATGGCCTGAACCTGGGAGGCAGAGCTTGCAGTGAGCGGAGATCACGCCACTGCACTCCAGCCTAGGCAACAGAGCGAGACTCCATCTCAAATAAAAAAAAAAAAAAAAAACAATGTTTAGACTGGTAGAAAATTTATTCAAATTAACTGATTAACAGTAATGTTCATATATTCTCACTAAACTGAAAGTCCATTTCAATAATAAATATTGTATTTATTTGATACTAGGAAACTTCACGTTTATCTCTGAATTAGGAATGTATCTATAAACACTAGCATGTCATATTAGAAGTATTTTCTATTTCTGAATGGTGTTTCTTACAATCAATGGCACCTTATATCCCACGAAATACAGTGTTTATTTAAAAAGCACTTTTTCAAATTAAAAAGATGACTTCTCCTTTTTAAATTTACAAAACGTCCCCTAACCCCCAAACAACCCTAAATGTGTGGCTCCTTAAACTATAATCTTTTATATGAGTGAAAAATGGCAAATAAATTTAATGAAGAAACTAAACTCTCAGGACAAAAGGAACTGGTCTGGTAAGAATGCAATAGCTTAAATAATGAATGCATTTTTATCTATTAAATATTATATGGAGTTACTTCCAGAGTTTTAAGTAATTTCATACTTCTAGTATTTTCATCTTCCAATACTTTCAAATTATTTGTCTACCCTTTATTGAAATAAAATTAAAATAAAGGAACATATGATGCAGATTACTCTGCTGTAAACTAAGTTTCTATCAGTGCATGCATTTATGCTAAGAACACAAGCTAATGTTTAATGAAATGTTTAAATACAGATAAAAATTAGGTGTTCGCTAATACTGCAGAAAGGCATATCATTCTAACATGTCACAAATTAAAACACTACATGATTTGGTGTCTAGTTATCACTGCTTGCAACACTTCAAACCAATGTATTAAAGTGGTTAGGTTACTCCTTGCACATTTCTAATTGCTAGTATTCTAGTGACAGAACTGTGACCAAAAGCATAAAAAATGTGATAGGTCCTATGCCAAATTTATCAAAGTAAGATAATTAACTTTTCTCTCCATCATTTAAAAAATGGCAAATGCAATTATGACTTTTGAAAATTCTGAATGAGGATAATCTCTTTTCACTTAAATTCTATACAACAAAAAACAAGGACAAAGAACGAGCACATGATAATTTCTTTTAACTATTTTAAAAGAGTGTCATCACACATTTCCAAGATTGGTTTCTAGATACAGTACCGATAACTGGTTAGGTAACTTTCACTACTAGAATCTTCAAACCAGTGCAATGCTTGTACATTTTTTTTTTTCAAGTACACACGTGAAGGCCCAACAGTGATAAGAAGCTTGGCATCAAAAATCACTAGAAAGTCTCATGCTTTTTATCGCTATTTAATCCAAGTGACTGTCACTTAATTTTAATAATGCTAAACAAACTAGTTTGAGAGAAATCTCAGCCAATATAATTTCCTTAAGGGCAAGGCCAATATTTCCTGAACATTAAAACTTTGTACCCATGTAATAGTTTTTCCTCATTACCCTAAGGAAAAAAGAGTTGAAACCAATTCAAATTACTGATTGAACTGAATTACCTTGGAAGTAAATACCATTGAAATATTTTTACTCTTTACTTTTCTAAATAACAAAATAAATACTGTACTATCCCTGTTCAGAACTTATAAGAAGTCTTTCATTTTTGACGAGGAACCTTAAAGTTCTTATAGCTCTCTAGGTCATCAGAGGTAGGCAAGACCAATCCAATTTTAAATGTCTGGTGTGTTCTATCATTTTTTGGAGCTATCTTTGCTTAGAAATTTTAGATAAACAGAGCAAATGATAAATTGCTGGTAAGGCATTGGAAACAAAATGACTACTCATAGAACCAAATAAAAGCCTTCCATTAGAAACTAAAAAACACCAATGGTTTTATATCTGTGTATATAAGTAAAACCTAAAAGAGAACAAATAGCAAATAAAAATTAAAAGCAAAAGCAAAAACAAACAGGAAGCCAACCCCTACTTTTTTCCCTACTCAGTTTACCTTGCAGGCTACAGTGTTACCCAGAGCCCTACAAAACACATGATGGGTATTATGTTCCTGGTATACACATTAATGTCTTTAAGTCCACCAGCACCACTACACATTTTGTGCAATTAAGAAATTAACTTCAGGCACGTGACCAGTGAGTACTTTAGTGTCAGTACTATCTACGCAGAATAGCAAATATAGTGTGAAACAAAGCAATGCAAGCATTTATGTGAAATTTGGCTCCATGCTAACTCTGGCTTCATGCTTACCTATATTAAAAATAGAACTGCCAAACTACCAGTGTATCTCTTTA
Organism: Homo sapiens; assembly: GCF_000001405.40. Classification (NCBI taxonomy): domain Eukaryota; kingdom Metazoa; phylum Chordata; class Mammalia; order Primates; family Hominidae; genus Homo; species Homo sapiens. The sequence continues at coordinate 154,834,445 of NC_000006.12, read as the reverse complement.
TAATATCTCTTATTTTACCTTCATCAAGACCAAGAGCTTTAACTATAACCCATGTTAATTAGCCAGATTTCTCCAATATTCTACCAGATTTAAAAGAATATTTTATTATCTAAACTTTTTCAACTTTCTATTTTCTCTGTATGTGCATGAAGACGGACATACAGAGAAACAGAAAAAAACTACACGACTTCCACAATAAACATACACAGATATTATACACATACTGAGGAGGCTGCATGATTTTTATATCAAAGTACATGCTTTTTCCACCACATAGTTCATTGTTGTTATGATAGAAAGCTTTTGCAAAAAATAAGCACATGCTAATAATAATTCAAGGTTTTAAGAATTTATAGGTTAAAAAAATACAATTCCTAGAACACTGTTATCAAACAAATAAGTTTTATTGGCATCTAAAAACAAAATTCACCCAACATTGAAACGTACTTTAATATTTATGTTGTTGTTTTCTTGTTTCTTTTTTACTCACTGCAGTATGAGGAACAAATCACAAACACTTACTTTGGAGAAACAGAGACCGTAGTGTAGATTTTACAAAATCACTTTTTAAAATCTCTGTATTGTGCTCCTCAAATACCTAGAGCCAGTCTTTGCATAAAATATCACAGCTTTATCTATAACCTTAAAATTCTGCAGCAGCCTAAAGATATGGATAAGATATACCACCACTTGCTATTCTGAAATATATCTATTACCATATCCAACCTAATGATAGTATCTAAAAAATTCTTTCTTCCATAGGAAGTCTCTGACAAGCTGTTATTCATTTCCTTGACGTTAAAAGAATCTGGGGCCAACATTTGTATTTTATCAGAAAAAAATAAAAAAAAAGTTTACCTACCATGTTCATATTAAGAACAATGTCTATACAAGTCAGTTGTACAATTATTTTAAGAGAAAGGTGAACATGAACATCAGATTAACTTAATTCTGGCAGACAAAAGTGAACAACTATGGTCCAGTCAGCCATTATCTATTACAGAGAGATGACAACTTTACAAAAGGTATCTTTTACCTACTGAGTGATGATTATGTCCCCTCAGTTTCTGTGCTTTCTACCACTGGTTCACTTTCTATATCAGCAACTGTGTCACTCTTCTCCTTGTTTATTTCATTTGAAGATGTCAGTTTTTCATAAAGTTCAGGATCATTCTGTACTGGTATAGGTGGTGGCTGAGCATGTCTCTCTGTATTTTCACCATTAACCTGAGGCACATTATCACCTTTTCGTTGAGAAGTGGCCCCTTCAAAATAATCAAAAACCCGAGCATGAGGAGGGGGAACCCAAGTGTTTTGAATTCTGTCTCGTCCAAGACGATTTCCATTCATTTCTCTGCAGAAATCAAAATCTCTGTCATCCCTATCCCTTTGCCTCTCCCAGGGTCTTCTGCGGTCATCAAAATCTCTGTGAACTTCTTGTCCAAATCCTCGGTTCCAAGGACCACTTCTAGGATCAAATCGATAGTTTCCAGACCGAAATCTACCTCTTTCTTCATGTAAGCCTTTTGGACCACCATAGACCGGTAGAACCCGATGCTCTCTCTCATCAAAATCTCCTCTATGCCCCCAGGGCTTCTCTGGATTAAAGCCAAAGTGGTCTCTTCGACCAAGATGATCTATACCTGGCCTCACAAGATTCTCTCTTATATCTACAGGAGGTCTTCCAAAATGATCCCTACCATCTAGTGGAGGCCGTCCAGGACCTTCTCTTGGATCTATAGGCCGCCCAACCACATCTCTAACATCCACAGGGGGAGGTCTACTAATGCTTTCCCTGGTTTCTATAGGAGGAAACCGGTAATCTCTATCTCCTTCCTGTTGAATGTTATCATTCCCAAGTGGTATCCTTTTTTCTGGGTTAGTAACATTGTCTACGCTTTGTCTTCCAGGAGCTAAAAAAGGTCTTTCTGGTTGACTAAAAATATCTCCTGGAGGAAAAGGTCCACGGGGTGGTGGATGAAGAGCTGAATCAAGTACCGATGGGGGTGGGATTCCCCGTTGGGGTGGAATTCCAGGCTGTATTAAAGGGAATCTTGGCCCAGGTGCCTGTGGTATTAGTCCCGGACGAATGTCTAACATTGGCATTGTGGGCATCCTTTGATTAGGGATACTTAAAGGGGGTAAGTTTTGAGGTCCAGCTGGTGGCTGTGTTCCCAGAAGTCCAGGAGTATTTGGAACATTTGGTGGCTGTACTCCTACAAGTCCAGAATTGTTAGGTATATTTGGGGGTAGCACTCCCAAAAGTCCAGAACTATTTGACACACTGGGTGGCTGTATTCCCAATATTCCAGAGTTATTTAGAATATTTGGTGGTTGGGCTGCAATAATCCCAGAACTACTGGAAACATTAGATGGCCGGACCCCAAGAATTTCAGAATTACTTGATACATTTGGTCTTTGGACTCCCAGAATTCCAGAATTGCTTGTCACATTTGGCGGCTGTCCTCCTAAAATTGCAGCATTACTTGAAATATCATTTGGAATCACTAAAAAAAAAGAGAGAGAGAAAAAACTCAAAATAACAGTCAAAAGTTTCCAATAATTTTAGCTTAATCAGCTACTTGTATCCCCCAATAATCAAGGTACATTAGCTACTACATGACATCTTTTTAAGTTAAACAGAAATGTCAGGTATTATACTGATTTTCCACCTTTAATAAAAGCCTTTCTAAACCATAATTCTTTTTTTTTTTTTTTTTTTTTTTTTTTTTTTTTTTTTTTAAGAACAGGAGTGGAGGTTTAAAAGGCTTTAGGACAGGAAAGAAAGGAAAGAAAAGTATGCTTAGAAGAGACCCAAACAGGCATCAAGGTCAAGTGCCTCTAAACCATAATTCTTAATGTACCAACAGTGGGACCATAGAAAAAGGACTTACTGCTTTCAAACACCATATTTATCTTCTAGAGCTAGCTGGATAATACCTATTAGAAGTAAGTTCCCGATAGAAGTTACTCACACCCAATACTTGTTCATTTTTATCTTCCTATAAGTATACAGATTTTGTGCAGTATTATTTTGACAACACACTGAAGTAGTCCCAATAGGACAAAAAAAAGGGGGTGGTGGTGTGAGGGTCTTAATGGAAACATATTGAAATCTAGATTATCCTGAACAGAAGGCCACTTTTTCAAATAGAAATTTTAGGACATAGTGATCTCTTTTAAAAAAAAAGTGCGACATTTCAGCATCTGTAGATTGAAGTGGTTACAAACGCATGCCACCCCAGAATTAAACACCAAATACAGAGAGGCAACCTCTTTTTTTAAATTTTATTATTATTATTTACCTGATCTGGTGTTTTCACCAGAAGAAATCTGGTGGTCTATAAGATGAGGTACTTTTTCTTCAGGCTCTGCCTGTTTAGTTGGAGCATTAAAAACATTTCCAGCTGGCAGAGCGGAAGTAGCAAGATTGCTGGCAACAGAACCGCCTGGTATAACAAGGCTACCAAATCCAACATCTTTCACAGTTTCCGGTGTCATGGATAATGACGGCTGCACTAAAGCTGTTTAAAGAGGAGAAAAATATATTTCAGATTTAATGAGTCAATTCATGTGCTAAGTTTTCTGGCAGTCTGAGTATTTAATTTAATGGCATCTCTGTATTACTAAGCACATTATATAATAACCAATGCTCAAATGACAAAAGGAGTCATCATGAATAGGCTAAATTACATTTAGAAAGCTTTATCCAAAAATAGGGAAAACTAACAATTTTCAGAAATATTTCACCAAAGATGTTAGGACCAGCACTCAAAAAAAGTAAATTCTAGTAACAAAAAAATTAATAATTTTCTAGGAATGCCAGATAAAGTGAATGTCTAAACATACAGAAATGACTAGTGCAGACTGAAATGTATGAGTATGAAAATCTGCCCAATCCCCCTGCAATTACAATGTACTAGGGTCCTAACATTCATTTAACATTACCTTTTGTCAGATGAAGTTAGAAACTCATCAGTTGAGAATACATAAGGTGGACTACAAATATGAAGCTATAAACTTTCCATCTTAAAGAATGGGTATAAATATCCCTAAGTGCATTTGTCACACATATTAAAAAACACAACCAGAGGAATACAAAATAATTACACAATTAAAATTTTTAGCCCAATATGTCACTTAGAATGCCGTAAAATCATACTTGGAGAACTTAGGAAATGTTTTATCTTCATATGTAACTCTAGATTACCTGAACAAACTGTTAGCATACAACAGAGCTACAAAAATAAAAACACCTGTGGTCATGCACAAGAATTAAGAGAATTAAATGAGACAGCAAAGGCAATTTGGATAGCATCTGGCACACAACTATTTCTCTTTTTCCATTAATTAACTGCAGATTTTCCAAAATTAGTGGACTAGGAAAAAATTGGGAGGTTGGCCCTAGGGTAAGCCTCTGTGAATAGTGAATTCAGAAATGACTTCTGAACACTTTGTCTAATTTTCAGAAAGAATAAACAATTCTTCCTAATGAACCAACAATAACAAAAAGAAAGACTTTTAAACCTATCTTTTTTTTGAGACAGTCTCTCGCTCGGTTGCCAGGCTAGAGTGCAGTAGCGTGATCTCGGCTCACTGCAACCTCCACCTCCTGGGTTCAAGTGATTCTCCTGCCTCAGCCTCCTGAGTAGCTGGGATTACAGGCGTGCGCCACCACACCTGGCTAATTTCTGTATTTTTAGTGGAGACGGGGTTTCACCATGTTGGCCAGGCTGGTCTGAAACTCCTGACCTCGAGTGATCCACCCACCTCAGCCTCCCAAAGTACTGAGATTACAGGCATCAGCCACCATGCCCGGCCAAATTTTAAAGCTATGTAAACACTGAAAGGGAGAAAAAGTTTAAGAATACAAGGAAAATGAATTAGATAATCAAAAGTTAAAACCTTTATATATCACATACACTCTTCAGGTCTAATTTTTGAGGTAGGCTTGCCTGAATTACTAAAGGTTTTTTCAGAAGCTTGGAGAATTACTGTACATAAAGAGTACACTAGAATGAAAAAATTATTAAAAGGGTATATTTAGCATTTCTGTAACGTCCAATGATAGAAAAAAGGAAATGAATAAATGTCTATATTTACTGTTGCATTACATTACTTTTGAAATGTCTATTCTAGTAAAGAAAATACAGATATCAAAACCAAGTAAGCTAGAGTGCATATCCCATAAAAATGTAAAAAAAAAAAAAAAATCACTTATGAAACTGGCACCACATCTACAAAGAAAAGATTTATTTCAGGTAACCCTGATACACAATAATTTGATTATACATTATTTATTAAACTTTTATGTTCAGGGGTACATGTGCAGGTTTGTCATATAGGTAAACTTGTGTTTGTTATATAGGTTACTCATGTAACAAACAAATATTTATAGATACCTGCACATGTACCCCTAGTTATGATTATACACCTTTGGGATAAAAAAAAAGTGGCAGAAAAATCTTAGTGTCATCTGGTAGCCTTGTTGGCAGTAACACTACTTTCAAACTACTATGTGTATGTCTATATTGTATGAAAATGAAAAGCAATCACGTTACTGTTTTCAGTATATGAGAACACAAGCAAATATAAAAATCAAAGTAGCTAATTTCTTTAATAATACTTCATATTCATTTTTTTCTGTTCAAAATGCACATTTTCTAGTTTTGTCCACTAAAAATTCCTAGACTCGACGAAAACCCAAGAGCAAAATGAGAATCTAGTACCCAGACTGAGTTCTCTAGATACCATACCCCAACTGGAAAAATGGCTGATTCTCAGATTGGAGGGAGGAAAACACAAGATTTGTCTGGGATATACTGGGCCAAAAAGCTAAGTAGCTCTCAAAACTAATGTGACAGGGAGGCAACACAGGTCTCCCACCGTCCAAAGATGAAACAATCTACACTTCAAAAAAAGAAAAATGCAACTGACTAGAAGTAAAAATCCATTAATCCATAAATACTAAAGAAACTGAAGGAGAAAAAAAAAAGGGAGAGAGGGACAAGGGAGGAGAAGATGAAGAGAAATGAGAAATCTCTCTTTGGTCACTGGGTATCACTGGAAATACCTATAGATCTCATGACTCTGAGAAATGGCAATTAAAGAAAAAAATAGCATCTACCCTGACTTTGCTGTACCAACCACACTTCAAGGTAACTAAGTACCATTACCTGATTAAGGAAAACTTTTTCTTCATTTAAGTTAAGAAACATGGAAGGAATTATACATTTAGAAAGATCACCACTCTGCAACTAATAAAAAGTAGATCTAAGAAACAATGATCAATGGATGAAAGGAAATGTTTTTAATGACCAGGTTCTACTGTTCCACTAAATGTTCTGATCAATCTTAACATCATTAAAAGGGGAACAAAACACCAAGAGTGAATCAAAATGCAAACTAAGGACTTTGGGTGATAATGATTTGTCAATATAGGCTGGCTAATTGTAATATACGTACCACTCTGGTGGAGGATGTTGATAATGAGAGCCTGTGCAAGTGTGGTGGGTGGGGGCTTATGGGAATCCTCTGTACTTTTGGCTCCATTTTGCTGTGAACCTAAAAAACTGCTCTAAAAAATAAAGTTTTACACCGCCCCCCCCCCCGCCCCGCCCCAAAAAAGGTGTGGGGCAGGAGGACAAAAAGGCACTGCAAGACTTCTGATGTGATAGATAATACCAATCCTACAGCATTTTGCTTCTCAAGTATTCTTGCTAAAACAGGTGAACCGGAATCTAAGCAAGCCTTTGGTGCTAACTTCCATTTTACAGGAAATGCAAAGACAGTAATTTCAGTACCACAAAGAAGCAAAAAACCAAATCCATTATTTAAGCTCTTATATACAGAATGAACTGTTTCTTCAACAAGTCATGAAGCATTAAGAAAAGGAAGGGAGGACTGGGGCAGGACTGCACTAACATTAAGACATTTAATACACATAGCAAAACAAAAAACACACAAATAGGATGAGAGGACCTTCTCTGAATTTTGACTAAAATAAAACCAATCATAAGAGTTTAAGACAACCAAGCAAATTTCAATAAGAACTGTCATTTACCGTATTTTAGAAATTATCTAACATGCATTTGTCTTAAAGCTTTCATAATAAAAATATTAACGGTAATTCACAAGAATGAGAACTGACACACTAAAATTAACACTACCATGAATAAAGAAAACTCTAAAAGTAGAAAACTTACATGTTGGTACTACTGGTGGAATCGTAGGGGGTGGCACAACAGGTGGGGGAACTGGAGGCGGCATGAAACCTAGACAGAAAAAAAAACCCCAAAAAATAGCACAAGAAAAATTACTTATTTTAAATCAAAGATTCCAACAGCTACAAATGAAACTTCATATTCTTAAAATGGACTACAACCTCATATTTATATATATTTTTTCTATTTTAGAAATGGCTTTTATATACGCTGCCTTATTTGATCCCTAATAAGCTAGGTAAAGCAAAGAGGTCCTGATTTATGAGAACATCCTATTTATTTACTCATTCAAGTCCCGTAGCATGCTCTATGGTGCTGTAAAATCAAAAATTAATAGGAGCCAGGTAAACTGTTTATATATGCCATTTTACTTATTTGATACGTGTGTTTACTCACTAGATCAAAATATTTCCGTTAACTCTGGATAACACTATATTATGTTTTAAGCACTGAAGTAAATCTTCAATTTAATATTGGCTTTTTAATGATTTCAATTAAATTATTAATTTTAGATACCGAGTCTATGTTTCCCAGGCTGGTCTCAAACTCCTGGGCTCAAACAATCCTACTACTTCAGCCTCCCGAGTAGCTGGGACCAGAAGCACACACTATGGCACTCGGCTTCTTAATCATTTTAAATACCACACTATAAATTTGCTTCTTTGCATTTTTTGAAATATAAAGCTACCATTACATTCAACTAGAAAATAGTGACTAAAATAATTCTAAACTATAAAATCTACTTTGGTATTCGAGGTTTGTTCCTCCTCTCACAATCCTAATTATAACTCAATTTTGTGGTAAATTACATGATACACATATTTAATTTTATTTTTAATAAAATATACCTTTTGTACATTTTAAAAAGTGGCTAAAAATAAGGAAAGAATAAAAATACATGATTTTTCAACAAGTTAATAAGGAACAATGACTTTATAAAGCCTATATGGTTATGATTTTTGAAATAATCACTTAAAAATATCTTCTGAAATATTTAATTTTGAAATCACAAATACAGAAAATTAAACTTTTCAATATTTAAAATAAAGTTATTAAAATCTGTATCAATTTCCAATTACACATTAAACTGTAATTTAGAACACTTACATGACCTATAAATTACAACCATTCTCAAATTTATTTTTTAGTCTTGCTAAAAACTCTACCCAACATCTAAGAACTTAAGTTACAGAAGTCAACATACCGTATTTCTTCTCTTATAATATGCAAATAATTCATGAATTCAAATGCATTTTAATTTGGAAAAACTATATATATATTGTTTTGACCTAATAAACTTTGATAACAAAATTCTTGAATTAGAGTTTCTAGGTAAAGACTATAACTTAAATGCGTATCTCATCAATATGCGTATATAATTGCTTATATAGTTTAAGATGGGGCTTTTAGGCTGTGCGCGGTGGCTCATACCTGTAATCCCAGCACTTTGGGAGGTTGAGGTGGGAAGATCACTTGCTTCCAGGAGTTCACAAGTATCTCTCCATCATTCTTCTAACCTAACCTCCCATGGTCTAATAATAAAAGCTTTTTTTTTTTTTTTTTTTTTGAGACAAGGTCTCACTCTGTCATCCATGCTGGAGTGTAGTGGTGCGAACACAGTTCACTGTAGCCTCCACCTCCTGGGCTCAAGCCTCCTGAGTAGCTGGGACTACAGGTGTGTACCACCTCACCTGGCTACTTTCTTATTTTTTGTACAGACAGGGTGTCACTCTGTTCCTGGGCTGGTCTTGCACTCCTGCACCCAAGCAATCCTCCCACCTCAACCTCCCAAAGTGCTGGGATTACAGGTGTGAGCTACCATGCCCGGCCTAAAAGCTCTATCTTAAACTATATATGTAAGTTGTGTTTAAGTAATCTATAGTTTTTACCTGGAAAATCTAATTCAAGAAACTTTTTTTGTGTATCAGTAATTTATTAGGTCAGTACTTGCTTTGGCAGCACATACCCTAAAACTGGAATGATACAGAGATTAGCCTGGCTCTTGTGCAAGGATGACACACAAATTTGTGAAGTGTTCCATATTTAAAGAATAAAAATAATTTATTAGGTCAAAACAAAGTATTACAAATTCAATTAGCCTTTTAAATATAATTTCTAATGTCAAAATGGAGCCTACTGATTCTTAGGAGGGACAATGCAAATTTTCTGATGAAATGCTGATAATTATTAGAGAACTTTCATATAAAAACTGCAATGGAAATTTTACATTACTTTAAGAGTAATAATTCTTTTTTTTTTTTCACCTTTTTTTCTTTTTGAGACAAAGTAATTGCTCTGTTACCCAGGCTGGAGCACAGTGGTGTGATCTTGGCTCACTGCAACCTCTGCCTAACCAGGTTCAAACCATTCTCCTGCCTCAGCCTCCCGAGTAGCTGGAATTACAGACCTGTGCCACCACGTCTAGCTAATTTTTGTATTTTTAGTACAGATGGGATTTCACCATGTTGGCCAGGCTGGTCTCAAACTCCTGACCTCAAGTGATCTGCCCACCTTGGCCTCCCTAAGTGCTGGGATTACAGATGTGAGCCACCATGCCCGGCCATGGTTTTCAATTATTCTAAAGAAATTCAATATTTCTCTGTCAGTGCTGCTTCTCCCACCAATCTGCATCCTGAGAACAAGTTAGAAAATAAAATTCTCTGGCCCCTACCACAGACTGAGTAAAGCAAAAACAGTGGAGGCTGGGCCCAGCAATCTGCGCTTTAACAAGGCTATGCATGCTAAGGTCTCAGAACCACTGCTCTATGGTACTTAAATCTGGAAGAAACACAACTTAAATGATAATCTAAATAGAGTTCAAATATTAAAACAAAAATTCCTTACCAGGTGGTGGTTGTGAAGGGTTAAAACTTGCTCTTAAAAAAGGAGGTGGAGGGATTGGACTGAATCCAGGAGGAGGAACCGGCATCGACACAGGAAATGCTGGTGGGACTAAACTAACTGTAGGCACGGCTGGCGCCACTGGAATCTTTTGTGGATAGACAAAAAAGTTCACTCATCAGTTTATTCACCTGCATCTTGGAACAACTAAAGGCAAATTATTCTATTTCTCTTTCAGGATGGTAACAAATACTACTAAAAAGGGTTTTATGCCCCCTTTTTGTATACTTGCAAGTGAACCTACTTAGGGTAAAAACAAGGCAATGTTATTCAACAGATAGTTTTTACTTGGAGATTATGAATTTGATCTTACATTCAAGTGATGTAAACTAATGGTCACCTAGTTCAACACTGAATATTATGCTCCATTTTAAACTGCCATCTCCCACTCAGTAATACCTGTTATGCAACCTAACCACCATTAGGAAACATGTCAATGACAGCTTTAGAATGGCCTAAATTTCTCATAATTTATTTTCTAATCCTAGCATAAGTACCTTTTACTCACTCTAGGTAAAGTCGCAAGTATTCATCTGCACCACAGCTTTACCTCTCCTGTAAATTTCACATTACATCAAGTGTCTATTCAACATCCCAATTGTGCTGACAGAAAGATACTTCTACCTAACAACATGTATGAAACAACTGATTTTCCAGTCGTCCTTCCCAAAAGAACTCTTCTCACAGTCTTTCCCAGTCTCAGATAATGGTAACTCTATCTTTCCAATTTCTTGGACCAAAAACCTTGCCTCTGCTTTTGCTCATAATAACCCCAAATCCAATCGTACCAGGCAAAGTCCTGTTGGCTACAACACCTTCAAAATACACCTAGTATCTGACCATTTCTCATTACCTCCACTCTTTTCTCATTACCTCCAGTGCAATAGACACTCCAGAAGTCTATTCTGAGCCACCACCAGCTCTCATCTGGATTGCTACAACTGTCTTTTAACTGGTCTCCCTGCTCAAAGCTCACTACAGCCTATTCTCAAAATAGTAACCAGTGCAATCCTTTAAAACTGTAAGCCAGATCAAGTCACTCCTCTGCTCAAAATCCTCCAATGACTCCTCATCTTTCTCTCTCTCTTTTTGTCACATGTAAAGACCCACCATCCATCTCATTCCAAGTGAAAGCCAAAGTCCTTAGAGAGGACTGGCTTTATTCTAGCCCACTTAACACTCCTGGACCACACCAACCATATTCCTGGTGTGGGACCTTTGCACTGGTTGTTGCCTCTGAACAGAATGTTCATTATCAGATATCCACATGGTTAACTCCCTTGGTGCTTTTAAGTCATTGCTCAAATTTCTCATTCTCAATTAGGTCTATCCTCACCATTCTGTTTAAAATAGATCAGCCTTACGCTACTTTTTTCCTTCCATAGGATCTCACAATCATATTTATTTTACGTTTTCTGTCACCACTATTGAGAATAAAAGCTCCAAAAGGGCAGAGATTTCTGGGGGTTTTTCACTGATACCTAGAAGAGTGAGTGTCACAGAGCCAGTACTCAATAAATATTTGTTCAATAAACAAACATATTTAAATATGAATGACATCATTTCTAAAAATAATTTTTCAAAAAATTTTAATCAAACTCATTAAAATAACTTACTGTTCTATCAATTTGACTCCTCAGAAAAACATGAACCTAAAAAAATCCTCTGAGTTTTCAGAAACAATATTTCCATATTTACCTTTATTTTAAACCTAAGGTGTTTATAGCACAATGATACCACAGCATTAGCAGACTTTTTTTTTATTTAAAAGAAATATTCTTTTCCCTAACACTACTGACAAACATTTATTCTAATATGGAGATTTTCATTCCGGTTTTATAAAGTAAATACATGATTAAAAACAGAAATGTAAAACAACACAAGAAAAAAAAAACCCCACTTCAACACTAACCTGCAACATAGCAACAGGAGGAGGGAAAACCTCTGCCTGGGTTGTGACCACTGTCTCCTTTTCAACTGGAGTTGGGCTCTGAGTTGTCTGGACCGTCTCTTTAACAGGTTCTGAGCTTTTCACAGTTTCCCACTCTAAACAAAATAGTTGAAATTGATTTCCTTTGGATAGGTGCAACTTTTCATTTTCTTCTTTGTATTCATTTATTTCACATCTAAATCCTTCATCTACCTTGGCACATCTTTAAGATATATCCACAACCGTAGGTGCCACTCTAGATTTCTGCCCAGATTAATCTGATTAGGATACTATGGAGTTCAAAAAACCATGAAACATGAGACACAAAGGAAAGACACTAAAATATTTCATCTAAAGAAAACACTTAGAAGAGATACAATAGATATGTATCTCAATGGCTGGCTGATGTAAGAGGAACTAACCGTACTCAATTTTTTATCACAAAATACAACAAAGGAAGACCAACTAGGAGAGTATTAATCCAATACAATAAAATCCTTCTGAAAACACAGCTATGCAAAAAGAGAACAAAGAAGCTCTAATGGTTCCTCTCTCATGCTTCTCCATCTTATTCAAAGTAAAGATCAAGTAAGACAAATAAGATTTACATGACTTTGCTCCTCTGTACCTATCTGCCTTGATCTCCTACTACTCATTCCTCACTCACTCTGCGCAAGCTATAATGGTCTTCTTATTTTTGAATACAAACATGGCACTTGCTGTTCCCTCCATATAGAATACTCTTTCCCCAGATGGCTGCCTGCCTTACCCTTTCGAATATCACATTCTCCATCAGATCTTCTACAACCACATAAAAACTGCAATACCTCCACACCCACACTGCCCATCTCCCTTCCCTGATTTTTTTCTTAGAACTTATTGACACTAAAGTACTATATAGTTTATCTATTTTGTTTATTATCTGTTTTTTTCACAGATAATAAATGTGTGAAACATAGGCTAGTAAACTTTACAGCATTTGAGGCTTTATGGGTCATGTGTTCTCTGCTGCAAGTGTTCAACTGTTATTGCAAAAAAAAAAAAGTAAAACAGAATAGGAAAACAAGTGAGCATGGCTATGTTTCAATAAAACTTTATTTACAGAACAGGCTACCAACAGAAAACTTTATTTACAGAACAGGCTACCAACAGGATTTGGACCATGGGTATTAGGTTGCTGACCTCTGCGCTACACTCTACAAGAGGAAGAATTTTTGTCTATTTGTCTCACTGCCATAATTCCAGTTCCTAAAATTGGGCCTGACACACAGTAGAAACTAAAATATGTATTAAGTGAATACACTGGAATAAGCAGCCATTGGCGGGGTGGGGTGAGGAATAGGCCTGACAGGAAGAAAAAAAATGGTTCAAAATTTTACCTTGGTCTGAGAAACAAATATTCTGAAAATTAGCTAACTCTGATAAAAGAGCTAAGGTGTGAAGAAAAAAGGTGTATGCATCTATTTCAGTTCTTTTTCAAATGTTTAGATTTCCTATTGGTTATAACTGCAAATCATTTTGTCAATTTTTAATTGAAATCTTTTAAAATAAAAAGATAATTTTGGGGATTAAAAAAAAGCAGGCTGATGATTATTTGGTATTGTAAAAGGCATCCCAGAAAGTATATAACATTGTATGCATCTGAACTCCCTAAACTACGATTCTATTGCTGCTATTTTCAACATGGATACTACTCAAAATAATCTGCAAAGTGTTTCAAAAAACCTTCTCAAGTTCCCACTTAAACTGAAGCAATTAGAAATATTTAGTTTCAAAAATCCCTCCCACACATAACTCTCAAGTATCAAATTGAAAAAAACACACATATATTTTAAAATGCTACATTTATATAGACTTCTATACTTTCTAATCTATACTTTGACATCTATTAAAATAGGTCCCATTAAGCATGTACACTAGGGCATAGTAATGTATCTTTTCTCTTTTTTGGGAGATGAATCCAGGATACACAGTTAACGCTGTCATCCCAAATTCACTTCAGCTACAACCTTCTAAGCATACTTTTTTTTAACAATAAAAAGACCTTAGAATTCTTACCAGTATTTACAGTCTCCTGATCAATCATGCCTCCTTCTGCAAAACCTTCCAAGTCATCCACTTTAACTTTTTCCCATGGTATATATGTAACTCCAAGATCCACATCCCAGAATTGTTTGTATTCTGTTTTTACACCTTTGTTTAAAGCCCAAGCGATCTATTGTAAATGGGAAGAGGAAAAAAGAAAGGTTATACATACATACTATAAAAACAAGGTAAAAAGTTCAAAATTTTATTTAAACAATGTAAACACATTAAAATTGGTTTTAGAAAACAGCTGGAAAAGCAAAGCTGAAAAACTAACAGTAGCCAAAAGAATTTTTTTCCAGTTGTTTCCCTTTGTCTGAGACAGGGTCTCACTCAGTCACCCAGGCTGGAGTGCAGTGGCATGATCATGGTTCACTGCCTTGACCTTCCGGGCTCAAGCCATCGATATTCCTGCCTTAGCCCTGCAGCAGCTGGGACTGCAGGCAGGCAACACCATGCCCAACTAATTTTTGTATTTTTTAGTAGAGACAGGGGTTGTCCTTAAGTGCTGGACAGGTGTGAGCCACTGTGCCTCACCAGTTTTGTTTTTTAAAATAAAACTTACATTAGACATAGTATTTACAATAAAGGATTTCCACTTCTTTTTGTAACTCTAATAGTGCAGTCCAGTTCCAAAGAAAATCCAAATCCACTTTTCACCATAAAAATGTCAACCTACATGAGGGGTGATTAGAATAGCATTTTCTTCACTTTTTGAGACAGGGTCTCACTCTGTCGCCCAGGCTGGAGTGCAGTAGCATGATCATGGCTCACTACAGCCTTGACTTCATGGGCTCAAAAGATCCTCCCACCTCAGCCTCCCAAGCAGCTGGGACCATAGAAGCATACCATCACACTCAGCTAATTTTTAAGTTGTTTTGTAGAGATGAGGTCTCGCCATGTTGTCCAGGCTGCTCTTAAGACACTCCTGGGCTTAAGTGATCCTCCCACCTCAGCCTCCCAAAGTGCTGGGACTGCAGGTGTGAGCTGCCACACCTGGTCTGTTATTTTAGAAAAAATCTTTTATTCCAGAGGAGACTAGGGACACTTTAGTTTACACAAGAAACTCAGTCATGAATGAAAAAAGATGAGCATATATTAACTTTAATGAAAGTAGTTAAAGTTTTTAATTCAGTTGCAGAAACTGATAAGATAAATAAACTTCAAATAACAGAAATCAAACTGAGTTAATCATAGAAAGTAATGGAAAGATATTAAAAAAACTCTCAGTATAAAGATTAGGAAGAAAATAAAAATATTCTGATAGATAATCTCTTCACAAGGGCCTGGTTTATATTTTAAAAAGATGTCAAGAAAAAAGAAATCAATAATATAATTAGAAGGTATAGTTAAGGAGTACTGGGAGGAAAAGTGAATGAAAGACAATACTATAAAATGAACACGTTGTACTCATAGAATGGTGCCCTAGTTGACTCAGAAAGCTGTGCAAGTGTAATTTCAAGGAAGTAATTGACTAAAGTTCTCGTTATTGGACTTATTTTTACCTACATCTAATTCTATAACTCAACGAACTGAAACAATAAGTTTCTGATGAGGTTTGTCCATAACATTTAAAAAGAATATAATACAGAGACATTCTAATAATCCAATAAAAGAAGAGCTTGTGACCCTCTTGTGAAAAACTCAGACTTTAACATAACAGACATTAAAAATACTGCCCCCCTACCCCAAGTTCCAATCCACCAAATCTCACCTTAATGACCTTGGACCCAATTTTATATGATCCAGAACTGAGTTTCTGAAGAGCTCGAAATGCATCTTGTCGATGAACCATGCAGACATAAGCACAGCCCCGGGGAGGAATCATCTAATAAAAAAAATTGTTTTAAGAAAAGGTATAAGAACAGAAACTCATTCTGGTATTTTATGGTTTAAATGACACAAAACATTGACTACTTACTAATACTTCAATTCTGATAGATTACTGACTTATTTTCCCCTTTCTTCCTCCAGCTGTTTATTAGTAGGTACAATTCATGTACAATTAATAACTCAATTTTTAAAATCCCAAAATTCAGAACTCAATTAGGTATCATAAGCCACGATAAATGTGAAATCTTAAATATCACATGGCAATATTTTCTGAATACAGAAAAAGAACTATTAAAAACAAAACAAAATGTATAACTTCGTATACATAATACCACCAGATAAAAGGAAAGTAGTATTATATGGCCAAAATATTTGAAGGCAACAATTTATTCCTAATATTACTTCAATTTTTCCAAATGTTATACTGAGTAATGCAAAGAGGATTCTTCTTTTGGGGAATTATCTTATCCTTAATATAAAATCCATAATCTGAAACAATTGATGATAAAAATTTTCAGTCTTATAAAACTTTATTTTGTTCAAGTGCTTCTGGCAAAGTTTTAACATAAAGAAAATAGCCTCAGTGTTAAGATCTGAGACTGATTTATAAAGCATTTAACTATTCTACACCAGACCATACAATTATCCTTAATATATTAACTCAGAAAACTATTCACAGCATTTGTTTCTTTCTGAGAAACTCAAAAGGCATTCTATCATTTTATTTTCACTCTATACCTAATAAGCCATATCTGTTATTAAAGCTTACATAGAAACCTTTTCCTCAGCCTTGCTAACACTTCAAGCTACTGCCTCTTTAATATTAATATCAAACTTATTAAAAGAGAAATATATCTAAACCTTGACATTCTTCTTTATCTATTACAATCTAGCTCTAATTCCTCACCAACCCACTGGAAAATACTTTACTCTCTTCAAGCTCACCAATGACCTACTAAATGCCAAACTGAATGGACTTTGTCTTTGAAGTCCCCAAAATTAAATGAGTGGATTATGAATCTTCATTTCACAAAATAACTTAGTGCTTATTATTTATAAGTACTATGCTCTCAAAACATAATACAATAAAGGAGAGGGATAAGGCAAACAGATGCTCAAGGGACCGTGATACAAGAAAGATTACAAATACGATCATCAAACAGGAAAATCCAAAATGCTACTTGGATGCAAGGTCTGTTCAGAGCAATGATTCCTGCTGTGCGTCAGAACCACCTATGCAGCTGTGACACTTTGCTAAAAATTTGAAGACATCGAGCATGGGCATCCCTAATTTTTCAAATGTCAGGACATATTACTGATATGCAGCTAGAACTGAGAATCACTAGTTTAAAGGTAGGGGTAAATCAGAAAGAAACTTCAGAGAAAGTATATGATTATAGACTCTGAAAGACAGTGATGTTTTGACAGGTAAAATCTAAAAAGACAAAAGAATAAGAGAGGTCGACAGCACTCTTGTGGTAAAGAAAGAGAAATCTGAAGTACCCAAGTTGAAATCCATAACCAATCATCTTTTTATCACCTGTGTAACTCAAGCAAATCACTTAGTTTCCTCATTAGAAAACAACAGTATTTGAATTACTTAACCAGCTTCTTATGAGGCTCCAAAAAGATCACACACAGTCAAAAGTAAGATGCAAAATGGTTCAACTCAACTCAAATAAAGAATTCTGTTACTATTACAGAAAAGTCAAGTTTGGCCATTTAAGGAAGACTGGGAACTAAGACTAGAAAGGAAAACTGGGCAATTTTCTGATAAATAATGATAAAAAGATCCCACAGACATAAAACTGTAACCACAGGGAATGAAATCAGACGCCTGATGAATTAAGTCTCCTCATACTTCCTGTTTACCAGGATGGATGGATGGATGGATGGATAAATGTCTCCCCAAACAAATGACTACAAAACATTTCACCACACAGCAGGAGGAAGAAAGACAGCACGTAATTTTTAAATAAAAGAACAATTAAAATAGCTAACCAAAGATGTCTGACCCTCAGGGAAAAGCATCAGGCCTCATGAAGAATAAAACACAGACTCAAAGGAGGAGACTGAGTGGTGCAAAACTAGTGCAAGAATCAAGAGTGAAAGAGTTATGCTCAACTTACTAGCAATTCGCTGGCCATACTGATTTTCTTACCTAACATTTGCTCTGTTTGATAAAAAAGAGAGTAAAAGAGCACGAGAGGGTGAGAGAGTGAGAAGAAAAAGGCAAAAGAAACTGGGATCCTAAGTCCAGCTGTGTCTCCACGACTGCTTCTGTGGTCATGTGCAAGTGACTACAATTCTGTGGAACTCTCCATTTCCTCAGAGACAGTTTTTTAAAAAAAGGAATTAAACCAGACCACACATAGGGTTCCTGCTAACTCAAACATTTGATGATGTCAGGAATCAAGCATGGTACACTGCTATAAAACTCAAGAACATTTTGTTAGAATTCCACTAAAAAATAAAAATAATTAAGGAGAGAAACAGCACCAAAATAAACACAGACATTATCAAAGTAAAGCAATCCTTTTAAAGATGTGTATTATTTAAGGCAGACATTACTGGGCTAATTAGGAACAGAAGTGATTCTTTGTATTAATAAAAACCTCCTTTTTTAAAACCTTAAATTATTAAGAACTGATACTTGCATTAATGGATTCAATCTGTCCAAACTCTTCAAACAGGTTGGTTAAGTCTTGCTGTGTTGCCTTCTTGTCCACTTGCCCAACCCAGAGAGTAGTACTACATACTGTCAAGACACAAGAGACAAATGACCTAAATCATTTAGACATAGTTACTTCTTTGAAAAGTAATTGAGGAAAAAGCAGTAATACACATAATAATTAAATTTAAGATAATATATTTAAAAATAATTGTCAATGAACACTTGCATCTGTTATGTTTAAAAACAACTAAAATCACAAGTATTAATTCACATCTCTGCCAAGTCAACCACTTACATGTCACCTGTTTTCAAGCTTGGCTGCACACCTGAACCATCTGTGGATGCCAGGGTCCCATTCTAAGAGGATGAGTGGCATGCAGTGTCAAAGACAGGAACTGAGAGTTGTAAAATTCCCTAGGTGATTCTAATGTGCAACAAAGTTTCAAACCCACTTCTCACCGTAATCCCATTTGTGAACCTTTTATTTATTTATTTATTTTTTTGAGACGGAGTCTCACTCTGTCGCCCAGGCTGGAGTGCAGTGGCACAATCTCGGCTCACTGCAAGCTCCGCCTCCCAGGTTCATGCCATTCTCCTGCCTCAGTCTCCCGAGTAGCTAGGACTACAGGCGCCCGCCACCACACCCGGCTAATTTTTTGTATTTTTAGTAGAGACGGGGTTTCACCATGTTAGCCAGGATGGTCTCGATCTCCTGACCTCATGATCTGTCCGCCTCGGCCTCCCAAAGCGCTGGGATAACAGGCGTGAGCCACCGCACCCGGCCTGTGAACCTTTTAAGCGTCTTTCTGTACTGGAAGGATTAAGTGAATGTGTCTCCCTAATCAAGAGATAAATCTAAAAACAGCATCTTATCCTTAAGGAAACAATCCTTTCTGGGAAGATACAAAGGGAAAATGGCCAAATCAGAACCCCTTAACCCCTTGAAAGACTTAAAGATACTTAACTGTTGAAAGCCACATCCCCTTAACAAATATTAAACATGAGACACCTTGCCTACTTTCAGCTGTACAGTTCATGCCTCCACGAATGCCTCCTTTTACAGAAGACATTTATTTAAAAAATATTTATAGCTGACACCTTTGCAGAATTTTCATATGTTATATTTGGATTTATGTCAATGTCCACATTTCTGGCTACCTTTGATCTATAATAAGACAGGTTTCAGGCAGGTTTTACTCTATGGCTAATTTAGCCCCACATGAAGGTACCCTTGGCAAGATCACTACTGAGTGCCCTAGGCTTTTCAACCAGGTCTCTCCACTCTGGCTAGTCAGAACTCTAACATCTTCTAGACCTGTGTAAGCTTTAGGAATCACTTAGCTAACACAGAGTCCCTGGTCATTGTTCTTTCCCTGCAAGCTGTTTATCTCCTGTAAGTCTTACCCTATGCATATTCAATTTAATCTTCAACCAAAGTCTCAAGGAGCTCTGCATTAGGTTTGTTTTTCGTTTGTTTGTTTCTGAGACAGGTCTCACTCTGTTGCCCAGGCTGGAGTGCAGTGATGCGATCTCAGCTCTCTGCAACTTTCACCTCCCGGGCTCAAGTGATCCTCAGCCTCGCGAGTAACTGGGACTACAGGTGTGCGTCATCATGCTCAGCTAATTTTTGTTGTATCTTTAGCAGAGATGTGGTTTCACCACGTTGCCCAGGCTGGTCTCAAACTCCTGGTCTCAAGTAATTTCAAAGTGCTGGAATTACAGAGGCAAGCCACCATGCCTAGCCTTGTAACAGTTTTTTATTGCTGCTATAACAAAATAACATGAAGTTAGAATAAAACAAATATATTCTCTTATAGTTCTGAAGATCTACTATGGGTCAGCAGGTACGCATTCCCTCTAGAGGGCTCTAGGGGAGAATCTGTTTCCTTACCTTTGCTAGGTTCTACAAGCTGCCTGCCTTCCTTGGCTCATGGTCCCGTCCTTCGTCTTCAAAACCACCTCCACATTTCCCAAATTCTCTCTCCTTTCATTATCACATCACCTTTTCTCTTCAACGTACTTGCTTCCCTCTTATGTACCCGTGTAATTAAACTGGGCCTT
Organism: Homo sapiens; assembly: GCF_000001405.40. NCBI lineage: Eukaryota > Metazoa > Chordata > Mammalia > Primates > Hominidae > Homo > Homo sapiens. Next base: position 154,813,738 of record NC_000006.12, on the reverse strand, counting down.
CTGGATAATCCAGGTTCATCTCCCCACCTCATGATCTTTAATTTAAAAGGGCCTGAAAAGTCCCTTTTGCCATACAATGTAACATATTTAAAAATCCCAATGATTTAAATGTAGATACCTTTTAGGGGGCCATTATCCAATCTACCACAAAACCTTAACAGAAGTCTGGGGCTCTGTCATGGAAAAGATCCCCCCGCCCCTTTATTTTTGGAGACGAGGTCTTGCTCTGTCACCCAGGCTGAGGCTAGAGTGCAATGTCCTAATTATAGCTCACTGCAGCCTCCTACTCCCTGGATTTAAGGCCTCCTCCTGTCTCAGCCTCCACAAAAGCTGAAACTATAGGCACACCATCACCATGCTTGGCTAAGTTTTTATTTTTAGTACAGACATGGTTTTGCTCTTCCCAGGCTGGTCTCAAATTCCTGGCCTCAAGCAATCCTCCCGCCTTGGCCTTCCAAAGTACTGGGATTATAGGTTTGAGCCAGTATACTCAGCCTTAAGGATTCTTCTGTTTTTTGTTTTGTTTTGTTTTGATATAGGGTCTTGCTCTGTTCCTCAGGTTGGAGTGCAGTGGCACAATCATATCCCACTGCAGCTTCTCAACCTCCTAGGCACAAGTGATTCTCCCACCTCTTTCTTGAGTAGCTGGGACTACAGAAGTGTGAACCACCTTGCCGAACTAATTTTTTTTTTTTTTTTGGCGGTAGTGATGGCATCTCACTTTGTTGCTCAGGCTGGTCTTAAACTCCTGGCCTCAAACAATCTGCTGGCCTGTGCCTCCCAAAGTAGCTTGGATTACAGGTGTGAGCCGCTGCACCTGGCATTCTCTTTTTCCTCTTTATTACTGGTTCTGCATATTCCAGCTGCCTTAATCTCCCTGAACTCTGTTCTGTATTTCCCATCTCTTTCAATATTATCTCTCTACACATTTTTCCCATAGGAAACTCCATTATTTTCCCCAGAAAGCATTAATGATTCTTGTCATCCCATGCAGAAGGGACACTTGATTCCTGGAATGTTATTATTCACTGGTGCTTTATATCCCCTAGACTATTCACGAAAACCTTATGTTCTAAAATCCATGCTAAAGACCAATAAATCGTATGAAAACACTACCATATGTTTAAAATGTGTTAAGAAAGAATACAAACCACAGGAAATTGATACTGCTTTTGAATAAGGAGAGTTGTGAGGTAAACAATCAGAGATTATTTTTCACTGTATAGGCATACCTTGGAGCTACTGCAACTTTGGTTCCAGACCACCACAATAAAGCAGATATCACAGTAAGGTTAAGGCACATAAGTTGTTCTTCCCAGTGCACACAAAAGATATGTTTACACTACACTGTAACCTATTAAGTGTGCAACAGCATTATGTCTAAAAACAAAAATGTACATACCCTAATTTTAAAATACTTTTTGCAAAAAAAAAAAAAAAAAAAAAGCTGACATAGAGACAAAGTAGGCACCTGCTATTGGAAAAATAGTGCCAAGAGAGGTACTCAACATAGGGTGGTCACAACCCTTCAACCTATTTAAAAAAAAAAAAAAAAAAAAAAAGGCAGTATCTTCAAAGCACAATGGAGTGAAGTGCAATAAAACAAGGTATGCCTGTATTTGGTTATGCGTTTTTTATTCACGTGCTTTTTATTTTCTTTTTTGCTGTTTGTTGTGCCCATGAAAATAAAACAGAAATAAAAAATAAATTCCACAGTTAAAAACTATGTAAACAGCACACGTATTTACTGCGGCACTACTCACAGTAGCAAAGATTTGGAACCAATCCAAATGTCCATCAATGATAGACTGGATTAAGAAAATGTGGCACATATACACTATGGAATACTATGCAGCCATAAAAAAGGATGAGTTCATGTCCTTTGCAGGGACATGAATGAAGCTGGAAACTACCATTCTCAGCAAACTATCACAAGGACAGAAAACCAAACACTACATGTTCTCACTCATAGGTGAGAATTGAACAATGAGAACACTTGGACACAGGGCGGGGAGCATCACACACTGGGGTCTGTCAGGGGGATGGGGGGTTGGGGGAAGGGTAGCATTAGGAGAAATACCTAATGTAAACGACAAGTTGATGTGTGCAGCAAACCAACATAGTACATGTATACCTATGTAACAGACCTGCACTTTGTACACAAGTACCCTAGAACTTAAAGTATAATTTAAAAAAAAGAAAAAACTTAGATGACGGGTTGATGGGTGCAGCAAACCACCATGGCACCTGTGTACCTATGTAACAAACCTGCACGTTCAGCACATGTATCCCAGAACTTAAAGGAAAATGAAATAGAAAATTAAATGGTTAAAAAAAAAAAAACTGTGTAAACAGTGAAATCAACAACATGACAAATTAAGTGAGAAATTAAATGAGAGCGACTCCATATAAAATCCTTACTCTAATAATGGCAAATAAATAGATAATTCTGAACGTCTTAATGGTAATCATGCGAGAAAGCACAGTAGAGATTTTTGTGGTTAAACGTTTGACATTATTTCTTTTATCAGCCAGCACTAAAATGTTTAGATGTATACCATCACCCTAAGGGACAAACAAACTTCTAGAGCAAGGATAATCAATATTATCAGGTTGACACTAGCTCTCACAACCAGGTAAAATTCATGCAAGATAGCCAAGGCCTACAAGAACTCCCAAAACTTAGTAAGAAGATGGCTATTGCCTTTTATTATAGGCCTGGGTTTCCAAGACGCTCTAGTAGCACAAATTATACCAATTATTTTTCTAACTCCCTGGCAGAGGGAATTTACGTGGAAGTCTTCAGAAATTAGATAACACAATCAATGTTTAGCTCTTTGGAAAGAATGACAATTTGTTCGATTTTATGTACTTCTTTGCCCATATGTAAACTCTTAGTTCATCTTAAAAGTCATAACCCACCAAGAATACCCTAGGCAAAATTTGGCACTAATTAAAACTTATTTTGCTGTGCTTAACATTCCTACCAAGTGAACCCTCCCCACACCTGCTCCAAAACCAAACCCCACCACTACCGAATCTGTTCTAATCATACGTAATTGACTAACATGTAACCGTGCAAGGTTTGTACAGTAGGAATTATCCTGTAGTGCTAACCCATTAACATTATAATTACTTTAAAAATTAGATATAGCTAAGTATATGCTTCCTTTAATAATTATTCCTACAGACCTGGTGGCCATAATTGCTAAGAATACTATAGACAGAAGTCACTGTGTCCATGCTACAGATACCAGCCTAGTCTGCTTTTTCAGTCAATATGTATTTTCTAACTTGCATTTGAAAAACAAACAAAAAATCAACCCTCAATGACCTTGGTATTTGAATGGAATCTGTTCTTCCTTCTTCTTCTCTTCTCTATCATGTTACAAAAACCAGAGACATTACTCATTTACCAAACCACTTTTAACCTTAATCTGAAAATAAAATTTGGCTGAGAGACTTTGTAGCAGATAACTATTTTTTAAATATTAATTGAAACCAAAGCGTTGCAGATATATGTTACTTACCACTTAGTGTTTTAGATCTAATTGGAGGTAATCCCTTTTTCTGTCGTTCTTTCTCCCTTTCTCTGGCTCTCCTTTCACTTGAATACGACCGTGATGATTTCCTCTTTCTTTCTCTTGAGCGGGAGCGTGATCGCTTTCTGTGTTTACGCTTTCTAGAGCCAGACCGTGACCTAGACCTTCGTTTTCTTGGTGATCTACAAAAAATTTTCATTTTACTTCTAATGACAATGTTTTCTTTCTACCAAATCTGTCACTTCTAAGTGAGGGAAAAAACAATAACAAAAAAGTTGTCTTATATTTAGTGACAATATGTTAAAATATTCTGAAGTAAAATCAAGTCTCAAAAATGCATTTTACTTAAATCCGTGTGCTGCTTAGGTCCATATTAGTTGGCAATGATTCTGAGTATGGGTGACTATTCACAATGAAGAGGAAAAAGATTCTAGAAAGGGCCTCACTTTCTCTTAGTGCATTCCAACTCATTTTTCAAACAGAAGAACAGGAATGAAAGACCAAAGAAAATTAAAAGACCATTTAAGTGTCAGAGCATTAGGCCACTACATAATTCTGCTTAGTAGTTTCCAACTTATAAAATTTTATGGTGCTTGTAGAAGGTGACACTGAAACACTTTCTTTTTTGCCTGTCAACCACATGCCATTGAGCTCTCTTCAAAATGCTTAGTAAGATGCTGCTAATGACAAATGAAGATATCTTCAGCATTAAGATTGTTAATGCTTCAGGAAAATAATTCAGTGATACGCGGTGGGTTTAGAGAAAGTTGAACTGACAGGCTCTCATTTGCAATAGATAAATATAAAGAACTTTGTGACAAGAAAAAGAAATGACTGAAAAACTCATCAAACGTACTGCCCCTCTTACACCATTTACTGTTCAGATTTTCAGGGGCATTCATACGCAAAAAATAGGATACAAAAATGTTAAAGACTGATGTCTTTAAGTTAAGCTCATAAAGAAAACTGTTTCCTAACGGTTTGGTATTACAGTTAATGTTTATAAAAATAAATTTTGTAGTTTCATTTTTATAACCATTTTTGGTATCACTGTGAGATGAGTGGAATCCAGGAAATATGGCCTGACTTAACTGTTGTTCAGGGGCAACAATATTCTAAATTGGGTGTCATCATAATATTAACTAAAATAAAATATAATTCAAAATCCCTGTCTCATGATATGGCTGCCAATCTTATGTAAATTACTGAAATAAATAGCCACAGATATACCAATTAAAACAGAACAAAGGTTATCTTGTTTTTGGAATAACTTTTTTTCCGAGAGACTGAGAAAAAATATGTCATCCCAAGGAAACATTTCCTTTCATCCTGATGCAAAGAAATAAAGCCAACATTTTAAAGTTCACACACGGCTATTATTAAATATCATTGTAGAACCTTGAACGAGATCGTGAATGTGTTCTTGATCTTGAGCGAACCGCCACTTTCTTAGCTTCTTGTTCAAAGACCTCCTCTTCCACTCCATCTTGCCCTTCATCTATATCCATATCCTTGAAAGTCAAAAGAACAGCAAACAAACAGAAAGGCTGGTTGAGACAGAGTTATACATTGACAATTCTGTTTTTAAAAATATTGACGATGGGAGCATTAATGCCTAATACAGGGGTGTCCAATCTTTTGGCTTCCCTGGGCCCCATTAGAAGAAGTAATGTCTTTGGCCACACGTAAAATATACTAACACTAATGACAGCTGATAAGCTTAAAAAAAAAAAAAAATCGCAAAAACAAATCTCATATTGTTTTAAGAAAGTTTACAAATTTGTGTTGGGCTGCATTCAAAGCAGTTCTGGGCCATGTGCTTGGCCTAGGGGCCATGCTTAGGCCTTGGACAAGCTTGGCCTAATAGGTGAAACAATTACAAAGTGGAGCTTAAGTGTGGGAAAAATATATTCAGGGCACTGCTAGTATAAAATATTTTATGATTTCTTTAGCTACTTTTAGAAATTTATGACCCAGAAAAACATTTACTTTTACCTGTTGCTGAATATCTATGGAATCATCCAAATTGACTTCAGGTTCAAGAAAATGCTGCTGACTACTCCCTTGTGATGGTGACGCTGAATGCTCTGACCCAAAGGTTCCTTCCTGACTATCCTGAGGAGTGGCCTATTGAGAACATATACAAACACACAAAGATTGGGAGATACTTTTTGTTATGAATGAAAATGTAAACACAGCAAACATCACAATTACATGTTTAAAAACATGAGCCATACATAAAAGAAATTCCATGTTAAATCATTTATAAAGTAATCAATCCAAAATTAAACATTTGTATAAACTCATTTTTATATAAAAGCAGAGAACAGCTCCATAAAAGGAAGGGACTAAAATATTAAAATGGTAAAATCAAGTAAATTTTCAATTGTGAAAATATAAACTACAGAGGACTAATAAATAAATTATAGCATGAAAAATACATAATGGCAGTCAGTTAAATGAATCTAGATTTTCACTGATAATTGGCATTAATAAAAAATGCTACAAAGAAAAAACAGGCCAGGCACAGTGGCTCACGCCAGTAATCCCAGTACTTTGGGAGGCTGAGGCGGGTGGATCACGAGGTGAGAAGTTCAAGACCAGCCTGGCCAAGATGGTGAAACCCGTCTCTACTGAAAATACAGAAAAATTAGCAGGGCACGGTGGCGGATGCCTGTAATCCCAGCTACTCAGGAGGCTGAGGCAGAGAACTGCTTGAACCTGAGAGGCGGAGGTAGCAGTGAGCCGAGATCTGCATTCTAAATCTCTCATAGGTTTTATACTATCTACCTTATAAAAACAGTTCTAGTTTTACCACTCTCTTTTCTTCATTAGATTCATTTTTGAACAATGAGGTTTTTCAGAACTTCTATTCCTTTCAAAGGGATCTTATTATTCTAAGCTGTGAAATTTTGGAACTGATATATAGAGTAATTAACTAAGCCCAGAGTTCTCTCTTTTTGGTAGGTGAGATTCTTACAACAGACTCGCTCTCTCTCAAGTTTATTTTTACTTCAATAACATGGTGCTAATTACAAGCTTGTTAAGACTACTTGATTCTGCTAAGAGAGAGACCATTAAAAACATAAAGTACTACGATTACAGTGCTTCTGCTAAACCTTCTAAAATGAAACTATGACTAAAGCAATTCACAAAGTGTTACATTTATAGCTCAACAAATCTGTTGTTTGGATAAATTCTTCCATCACGACTACCTCCTGCCTCTCTTAGCAGTTCTGTGATTTTTGTATTATTACATCACTGACGAGCTGTTTGTTTTGAGTTACAACTTTGTTTTTTCTTTAAACAACATCTAAATGTTCTTAATTGTGTTCTATCTTCAACTTCTGGGTTCTCAGGCAGATACATTTGCTTGACATAAAATACTGCCCCTACTCTGGCCACTTATATCAGAATTGTTTCTTCAAAAAAAAGGTATGAAATTCCATTCTCATAATTCTAGGCATGAGTTCCAATGCAGCAAATATCATTAACATCCATTTTATATTACTGTTTGCATTAAAAAGTCAAGTTCAGACCCCAATGTCTCAAGTTTGCTATCTCTTCCATCTAAAATAACTGTTCCCCCCTCCATGCTCCTAGAATCCTTCAGCTGTACCTCTATGACAAAAATAAAGAATTCTGCCAGGTGTTCATACAGATGTACGTGCTCCATTAGAGAAGAGGTTACCTGATGCCACAACCTCATTTCTGTTCATCTCTGTATGTAACACTTGCCTAACAAGTAACACATACTCAAAAATATTTTGTGATATTTTTGTTAAACTCATTAATGCCAAAACTTTTTTAATATTAGGATGTATGCTGGGGAGGGAAAGGGGGTTTCCTAATACTTTTATTCTGAACAGTTTACATGCGTAACCATTTCTCACATACAGCAGAAAAAGGCTTTGAAATAAATTTAATCCTAGCTCTACAACTTAACATATTTTATCAGTTCTAAGGTGCAATATTTTGTCAAAGATTATCAAATTCGTAAGATGAACTTAAAGGATCCTTACAACTCAAAAGGATGTTACATTTAGTTATCGATGTTTTAAAATTCTTAGCTATGCATAAAATAACCGCACATCTTGAGTCAGATAATATATAACACTAGCTGTACACTGCTGCATGAGATGTTTAATCTCACCAAGCTTCCACTTCCTCTGGGATAAAATGGGAGTCATAATGCCCATCGCCTGAGGGTTAAATGTATACAAGCCTACCACATACCTAATAAAGCTCCTGCTACATGCTAACAGCAAATACGTTTTAAAAATTAAAGATAGCAATCTACATGGCCATCATCATTGTCACCATTAACATAATCATCAACTTGCTTGATAGGGAACAGAGAGAAAAACACGTTTAGTTTTAAGTGGTAATTCTGAAACCCCCTCCATCCTGTTCTCTACTTCCAGTACACTGAAATTAATTTCTACAATGTGCATTCATAAGTTACCAGAACACAATTTGATTACAGAAAAAACCATAAAGGTCCTGAAAAAAATGGTCTTACTAATAAGAGTTGAAAAAATATCACCATAACAAACTTTAGAAAGAAATAAAGTAGCTGGTAAAAGCTAAATAGTTGAGAAAATATTCTATTAAGACCAATTAAAAAAAAAAAAAGCCAACCCACAAAAATGCCAATTTATAGAATATAAATAGTAATAACTCTAAAGACCACAAGATGGGGTTATAAACCTTTTGAGGCTGTTGCTGCTCCAAGAGCTGCTGTCTGAGATGTTCTAGGTTTTGCTGTTGTAGTTGTTCTGCTATCTGATGAAAAATGGAATTGTTCACAGATTCTGAAACGTGAGAACTAAAAGGAAAAACAGGTGGAAACATATTTTAAAACCCACTAAAGATACTATGAAAATAACTGAGTATTCAAAGAAAACAAAAAAGTCAATTCAATAAAACATATTCTACTGCATGTTTTCTTTTGCAATTTTAATACTTAAAGTAGAATACTTGAGAACATTAATTATTAAAAGAAAAATACATTCTTCAATTGTACATCAATAGATGGATAACGTGTCAGAGATGCTCTGCTGAAGATCTGATATTACCATCTCAGGCTGTTAAATACATATAAATTACTGCTTTTTCATTAGAGCATATTAAGAAAATCTCAATATTTATAAAAAGTTTAAACATTTAAACATTGTTACTTTAACTCCTTCTCTTACTATGAGATAGAAAAACAGTCTATCAATCAGTATGTGTGAAATCTACCATTGTAATTGACCATAAAATTTATAAAACTAATATTCTTCCTTTAGAAAATCATATACATTATTAGGTATGTTAACAGAGACAGATACTGTTTAAATAAGAAAAAATAATAGTTTAACTATATTCTTGGAAATTCACACCTGGAATACACCTGGGATTCTGGGTGCCACAAGGTAAGACATTAACAATAAAAAGGGCATCCCAAAAGAGCCAAACAGGATGGTGAGAAGTCTTGAAACAGTTGGAAAAAAGTGTACTTCATCTGAAGCAAATAAACCTAAGGGGAAGAATGATACCTGTCTTCAAATAATGAAAAGCTACATCTCTAAAGATAGCGGAGTAAATTTGATTCCTTGCTTCAGAAAGCAAAACATGGGTCAGTGTATATTAATAGAAAATAAAGGAAACAGGATTCAGCTCAACAAAAGAACACACAATAATAACAATTAGTTAACTTCTCATTACAGAAAGCATTAAAATACTGGATAAATAAACTGTATCATCAGGACTGTTAAAGGAGATTCTTACATTGTTTAGGACACTGATCAACATGATTTCAAATGCTGCTTGCAAGTTTGCAATTCATAATCTAAAATACTAGTTTTTAAATTTTGTCAAGGGGAATCATTTTACTAAAATGATACATTTGTATCTAACATATTCTAAAATTATGTTTTTGTTTATTACCCCAATATATACAACTAATAACTTCTGTTTGAAACAAGAGACCCACAGACTTTCACCATTCATCCTTCTTCCATTCTCCCAACTTCTACCCCTGCCTCCTCCAACATCTTCCCCCTACTAGTCCATTCACATACCCTCACAGAACCTTGGGCACTGCAGAATTGTTTAGGGAAAAAAAAGTAACTGATTTAATAAAAACATACAACACATTTCTTTACAAAAAAAAAAATCCTCATAACTCCAATCCTTAATTCTCATTAGGTTGATGTGTTTCCACAATTTCATATGCTTTCTAGAAGTGGCCTCTAAGCACTAGAAGCAAGCTTCATTCCTAGTATTCCAACCACTCTTACAATTAAGTTAAATAACTTAAAGCCTAATATGGAAAATATTACAACCAGATTTACCAATATGTATCAATGTTCTTATAGGTAACTTTGATACAGTCTATTTGCAAAGATCTGAGAAAAGACTCAAAATAATACAAAGAGACAACAAGACATATCTCTACCACCTTTGTATAATGTTAGAGGTTCAACAGCTTGAAATAATAATCCCAACTTACTAAGTATACTTAGTAATTCAGATGGCAACATCCCACTAAATATAAAAAAACTATGGCTATAAAGAAAAAATTCTTACAGTTGTGAAGCTGGAATTTCCTTTTTGGGTTCTTCACTATGCTCAGAGTCTTCCCCAAAATCAAACCTATCCATCAACTTCTGGGGGAAAGAAGGAGAAACAGACATATTAAAAAGTGCTTCACACAAATACAAGTTACAAATGCTATTTTAAATGTCAATGGCATTCCGTTATATCTATCATTTAATGTGTAAATAAACATTTTGTATCACTTTATACTATTATAAAGTGTTTTGAGTAGATCTTTTCTTTAAAGCATTTTGATATGTATTATCTTACATAACAAAACAAATTATGATAGAGGCAGGATAAACACTAATACTCAAATTTTACAGAAGACTAAGAATTAAAATAATTAGGTGGTTTTTCCATGGTAATAAGCTTGATAAAACATCTAGGGCCATATTCAATGGATCTATTCCTAATATGGTTCTCATCTTAGAATGCTGTTATTCTTCTGAATGCTCAATTTAAAGGCTTTTTATGTGGTCTAGCTATTTAGTGTTAGACTATATTAGACTTAGAAGCTGCTGGCCAAAACAGTCTAAGTAATAATCCAATAAATCAGTATCTACTTTCCTATAAAAAGTACAAATTTTAAAAATATGAACACCACTTCCAAGTAGTATGATATTCCCATAATTAATAAGCATACTAAGAATATCACACACTAAATTGTACATGAAAGATTTTAAGTTTTAGAAACACTTTAATTATTAATAATTTAGGCATCAACTTATTATAGTTACAGTATAGTGACTAGTTGTAGAGAAGTTTCCTTTAAACATTTTACATATTGATTAAAGAATTTTAATTTTTGCAGGTCCAAATTACAGAACCCAGAGCATCACAGTAAAATGTGGCACCCATGAAAGAAATCAGACAAGCTCAGAAAGTAATCACTTGCCTCAGTGGTGAATACAAGATTTTACTGACTAGTTATTTTTAGTCAAATGAAAATATTTTAAATGTTTCAAAAATGTTTCAAAAAAAATTTTTTTTTTTTGAGTCAAGAGTCTTTCTCTGTCACCCAGGCTGGAGAACAGTTGCTCAATCTTGGCTCACTGCAACCTCTACCTCCCAGGTACAAGCAATTCTCCTTCCTCAGCCTCCCCAGTAGCTGGGATTACAGGCACGCATCATCTGGCTAATTTTTGTATTTTTAATAGAGATGGGGTTTCACCATGTTTGCCAGGCTGGTCTCAAACTCCTGGCCTTAAGTGATCTGCCTGCCTTGCGCTCCCCCAAAGTGCTGGGGATTATAGGTGTGAGCCACTGTGCCTGGCCTAGGAAAAATTTTTTTAATTACTTAATTTTTTTCAGAAGTTTGAACCTTTTGTAAAATTCAGACTGTCTTATACAGTGTACAGGAGATACTGAAAGTCTACAATAAAATTTATTTATAGAATTAAAATCCATGATAGTATATAATATTTAATAATTCATATAGACTTGATCCGATATTTTAATTTCTACCTTGTTAAAGGAGACTCCCTGTTCTAAGGGAGTAAGAGTGTTGGCAGCTGCAGCTGCAGCTGTAAGTTGTGCCGTAAGAGCTTGCAACTGAACAACAAGACCAGCATCTAGGGCCTGCAGAATGGAAGGCTGGGGCTTCTGTTGTTGTATCTGTAAGGTTTGTATTAATTGTTGAAGCTGGAGAGAAAAAAATATATATTACAAAACAGGTGTTGGGTTTTTTCTGTAAGAGTGGCCACCTAAAACTTTTAGTCAGTAAAATTAATCATTCCACACTCTCTTTGAAAAAAATACACACTATTAATAAGTTAATTTTTTGAAGTTTTTCTGTGTACCTTATATAACACAGTCCTTAATAAGTTTGTCTTACTTCTGGAAAGTCAGCGAACTTTAAACAAAATAAAGTGATCTGTGACAACCAGATAAAGCGCTCATCACAAGCTGACACCTTTTTCACTAAATTTCTCTACCTTGTTCAATTAACTCTTTAAACTCAGTAAAAGGACGAGTACTGAAAATAGCAGCAGCTTTTGCTGTTATTCAGAATTACCATCTGAGCACGTACTTCCTGAAAGTTGGAGAGTCATTAAGAAATCTGTTTCTCAGAGTAGAGTCTGGCAACTAGTTATTAATAATAGTGTCATCTAGAGTTGAAGGCAACTCTTGTTCCCACCATGTACCCACCCCTGTTAAAAAACAGACACAACAGTGAGATCTTTAAGAGATTCTATAAATAAGAAAACCCTATATACATTCCAGAAATAAATGATAATCAATCTGGTTATAAGCCTGAGTTAAATCCAAAAATTATTAGTTTAAAAGAGAAAAATAAAGACAGCAAAGCTACTGATAACCAAGACAACTGTACTCTTGAAGTTCAACTTCTAGGATGAAAGGACACAAAAACTATGTAAGATGACAGTAAAGTAATTTCATGCCTACTTAAAACAGTAACACTAGGAAACAAACTAGAGTCACTTCACTATCAACTAAACATTTTCTATAAAACTATTAAAATGATAGAAACACCGTATTTCCCCTTTACACTTTTTAACTGCTCCTTTTGACATCTCCATTTTTCCCATGGCACTGTTATTCTTTTGGTCACCCAGGTAAAAAACCACTGGAGCATCCAATTTTCTTCCTCTACTCTGACTTCGCAGTCTATCAATTACTGTCTTACTGACTCTGTTTGTACTATCCCTTTCAAAGTTTCTTCTGTCAAAAATATTTATTTTAATAGGCATCTTTTAAAATAAGAACACTTGCTTTATGAATTGTTTCCAAAATATTACCACAAAATAAAATTACTAATTCTATAATTTCACCTAATATACAGCTAATATTCAGTTTCCCAACTGTCTCAAAAATGTAGAAAATAGATTCAACCTAAGAGTACACATCGGTTTTTTAAAATATTTTTAAGTCTAGAATGGCCCCATGTTTTCTATTGTATTTTCAGAAAGTATACAACCTTACTATTTTTCATAATCATTACCCTCCTTTCCAAAACCACTACTACCAAAAGAAAGATATTCTGTCTCTAGACTTCTCCTCTCTCTAATCCATGTAAAGTACTGTTAAGATCATGTGACTTCAACATTAAAAAGTCCCTGGTGATTCCCCATTGCTTAGCAAATGAAACCTTTTATTTCTGAGCCCACCATTTATAGTTTTCACAGCCCAGGTCACACTTAAGTCTGCCATTTAACTTTGTCATTAATAGCTTACACAGACTATCTTTTCCTTCAAACAACTCAACTCTACAATATCCTTTGTATCTCCAACACTGTAATGCTTTTGTACATCATTCATTCATTCCACAAAAACATATTGAACACCATCTACAACCTAGACATTGGACAGGCAGCTGTCAACAACCACAAAAAATTCTTGCCCTAGTTTAGCATACATTCCAGTGGGAAGAGGTAGAAAAAAAACCAAGTAATTATATAACATAACAGAAGGTAGTAAGTGCTAAGGAAGGAAGTAAGCAGAGGCGAGAGAGAACGGGAGTGTAAACAATGACAGGTAAGAGTTTACAGTTTTAAATAGCAGTCACGGCCAGGTGCGGTGGCTCATGTCTATAATCCCAGTACTTTGGAAGGCCGAGGCGGGCGGATCACTTAAAGTCAGGAGTTTGAGACCAGCCTGGCCAACAAGGTGAAACCTTGTCTCTACTAAAAAATACAAAAATTAGCTGGGTGTGGTAGCAGAAGCCTGTAATCCCAGCTACTCAGGAGGCTGAGGCAAGAGAATTGCTTGAACCCGGGAGGCCAAGGTTGCAATGAGCCGAGATTGCGCCAATTACACTCCAGCCTGGGTGACAGAGCAAGACCCTGTCTCTAAATAAATAAATAAATAAATAAATAGCAGTCACTGAAGGCCTTATTAAAGTGACATTTAAACAAAGACAAGAGATGAAACCATATGAATATATGAGGGAAGTGGGTTTTCAGTATAAAAAACTTCAAAAGCAGAGATCTTGGGGCAGGATTATAGGTAGTTTATTTAAGAAACAACAAAAAGGATGGAACAAGTTACAGGAGAAAGAGGTGAGAAAGCAAAGCAAAGGATAATATAAAACCAGGGTTGGGGGTGGGCAACATAAGCAAGTCTTATCATTAGTTAGAGAAGTCTATGAACTGGTGATAGAAAATGTTGGGAAGGGAACAATAGGTCAAACTGAGAACATACAAGGACCAATGAAGTGACTGCTGAAACTTGGGATTTTAGTGCAGGCACGATGGCTTGTGCCTGTAATTCCATTGACTTGGGAGGCGCAGGTGAAAGGACTGCTTGAGGCCAGGAGTCTGAGACCAGCCTGGGCAACATAGTGACATCCTGTCTCTATATAAAAATAAAAAATTGGCCAGGCACGGTGGCTCATGCCTGTAATTCCAGCACTTTGGGAGGCTGACGTGGGGGGATCGCCTGAGGTCAGGAGTTTGACAACAGCCTGGCAAACAAGGTGAAACCCCGTATCTACTAAAAATACAAAAATTAGCTCGGCGTGGTGGCGGGTGCCTGTAATCTCAGCTACTCGGGAGGCTGAGGCAGGAGAATCACTCCGGGAGGCGGAGGGTGCAGTGAGCCGAGACAGCGCCATTTCACTCCAGCCTGGGTGACAGGCTAAGACTCCATGTCAAAAAATAATAATAAAATAAAATAAAAATAAAAAATTAACCAGGCATGCTGGCTACAGGTGTAGTCCCAGCTACTTGGGAGGCTGAGGCGGGAGGATCGCTTCAGTCCAGGAGTTCAAAGATGCAGTGAAATACAACTGCACCACTGCACTCCAGTCTGAGTGACAAAGCAAAACCCTGTCTCAAAAACAAACAAACAAAACATCTTGGGCTTTTACTCTGAGTGAGACAGGGAGCCACTGGAGGATTCTGAGCAGAGGAGTTGCATGAACTCTCAGGTATTTAAAGGGTCATGCTACCTGAAGTATTGAGAACAGACTGTTGTGGGGTAAGGGTAGAAGCCCCATTAAGTGGTTTCGGCAATAAACTAGGTAAGAAATGATGGTGGCTTGATTCTAGGAACTAGTGATAGAGGTGGTGAGTTAGTGATTCAGAATATATTCTGAAGGCAGAGGATTTCTTAACAGATTGGATATGAAGAACAAAGGGAAGAAAGGAATCAAGGATGACTCTTAAGCTTTTGGGTATGAGCAAATGGAAAAATCGCATTTCCATTAACTGAGATGAAGATGCAGGTGGAGCAGGTTTTGTTTGAAAGACTCAGAATTCACTGTTTACTCTCAATTGTCTCTGTCTACGTAGCTCATCCTTAGCATCCATTTCTTACTCATCCTTTAAAAAACAAATTTAATTGTCATCTGTATAACAGAACTTTCCTGAACCAATTGTTCAAGCCAAAGTATTATCTCTAGTTCTGGATTTCCAAAGCCCTTCTTTTCTAAACTTCTCCCATGATTCTTATTAATTTTAAATTTAATTACATTTATGTATTGCAATTAATCTTGATTATTAAACTTTAGGCTTCCAGAGGCCCGAGAATGTTTCTTGCTCGTCTTGTATACTCCAGAACAAGGTACAGGGCCTCAAACACTGCAGGTCAAAGTAAATGTTTGCTGAAGGTTGAGTGAATGAAAAACAACCAATGAAGTGATACAGTATCACTGGACTTCAGACACCAAACTCTAAAAAATTTTAGTTTGATTTGAATAGTGAAGGGTGAGACGTATGAAAATTGGAGAAGTAGATGATAAAGTAAAAGGGAGTGCAACACAAGCAAAGAGAATACTTACATTAATTTAGAGAAATCTATGAAACTTTGTAATCTAAGTAATGAAAAATGTTAGAAAAATATAACAGGTTACATTGAGAATAACTCTAAATACCACAAAGTTGGATTTTATTCTATGCATAATATGTAATTATTGCATGTTCCTGAGCTTAAGTTTAAAACATACAAGATCATTGATAGGCTGGGCACGGTGGTTCACACCTGTAATCCCAGCACTTTGGGAGGCAGAGGCGGGCAGATCACAAGGTCAGGAGATCAAGACCATCCTGGCTAACACGGTGAAACCCTGTCTCTACTGAAAATAGAGAAATCAGCTGGGCATGGTGGCAGGTGCCTATAGTCCCAGCTACTCGGGAGGCTGAGGCAGGAGAATCACTTGAACCTGGGAGGCAGAGGTTGCAGTGAGCCAAGATTGCACCACTGTACTACAGCCTGGGTGACACAGCGAGACTCCGTCTCAAAAGAAAAAAAAAATCACTGATAAAGATTAATCTTGCAAAGAATTAAAATGATGGATCAAAAAGGAAAGAGAAGCAGCAAAGGGATCAAAAGCTATTTAGAGGAGTACATCAACAGTCCAAAAATGAAGAACTAGGGTAGTAACAGAAAGAAATAAAAAGCAAGCATAAACTTCAATAAACCTAAATTTAGAGCAAAAAACACAACACAAAGTCAGATGTGCATGCCAAAGTTAGTTTTTAAAAAAATTACGTACAACTATGAAAAACAAAACAGATGGTTTCTAATCATAAATATTTATTATAAAATTTATTCAGGAAAGGTAGCGTAAGTGAATACAAATAACCAAAAAAGAATTGAAAAATGTTATCGAAAATTAATCTCCCAGAACACACCAAACCCTAGAGGAGTTTGTGGTTCTTTTTTTTTTTTTGAGATTTTTGTTTTTGAGTCTCACTCTGTCACCCAGGCTACAGTGCAATGGCATGATCTTGGCTCTCTGTAACCTCCACTTCTGAGGTTCAAGCGATTCTCCTGCCTCAGCCTCCTAAGTAGCTGGGATTACAGGCATGTGCCAAGCTGCCTAGCTAATTTTTGTGTTTTTAGTAGAGACAGGTTTCACCACGTTGGCCCGGCTAGTCTTCAACTCCTGGCCTCAAGTGATCCACCTACATGGGCCTCCCAAAGTACTGGGATTACAAGTGTGAGCCACCGTGCCTGGCCCCTAGAGGTTTTTTGATTAAGTTCACCCAAACCTTCCAGAGGCAGAAAGCACTCAGGTTGTACTGCACAGAATACAGAAAAAGGTAACCATTTCTAAATTGATCTCACAAAGCAAGCAATAATCCTAATTTGAAAATAGAGTAGGGTGATAAAAACTAGGAACCCATCTCAGTAGAGGTGCAAATAGAAACTAGTTGTGAAATAGTTTACACTTCAAAGCAAAACAAAAATTACAGAATATTTAAATGTACTGCCTCAAAGGATAGCGTGAATTTGAGGGTCAGAAAAAGAGAGAGACAGAGAGAGAGAGAGAGAGAGAGAGAGAGAGAGAGAGAGAACAGGATTGCAATGCTGAATCATTATAATGAAGTCTAGTAATCAGAAAACCATACTATTATCTTCACTAATAAAATTTTTAATCAAAACCTCATAAAACACTATCATCTAGAAAAAGGAGAATATGCCCCTCATAAAAAATACATATCTCGAAACAAAACCAACATCACAGTGGGACAAAAATGAGGTATTTCTATGAGTCTGAAAAAAGTAACAATGAGTACACTATCATTATTTCTATTATGATCTCTTCCATAACTTAGTGCAATACATTAAGAAAACTATATGTAAGTACTTAAACTGAGGACACAGAATTATCATTAGTTACAAATAATATAACGGAAAATGAAAGAAAATCAGCTGAAAACTAAGAGAAACTGGTATTGACTATAAAAAGCCAAACTATTCAAATATATTCATGGAAATAAATCTAAGAAATTTGAAGAATCTACATTTAAAGAGCTACAAAGCTTAATTAAGAGACATAAAAGATTTGAACAATAAAAGTATATGTATAGATACAATGGAAAAACCTGGTATTATAAAGACAGCAATCCTTCCCATTCCTGAATCAATTCGTACATGTTTTGTGATTCCCCTCTATTCCTGAAGTTCTAGCCACAGAAGCCTTCTTCTATTCCTACAATACACCACATTGCTTCCCACCTGAGGACCTCTATACTTGCAATTCTATTTCCTATCCTCCTGTCCTGCCATGACTAGTCCATTTCATGTCTCGATTCAAATGTCACTTCCTCAAATACACCTCCTGTTGGCTATCCGCTCTACTCCTGACCCCTTCCCCCAAATCTAGTCACTATAGATTTACCCTTTCTTAATGTCATTAATCACTACCTACGATAATTTTGTCATACTATTTTTTACCATCTGTCCCCCTTAAGATAGGAGGAGGTCTCTAAGATAGGACTCCTGTCTTGTTACTGGAGTGTGATAGCACCTAATAATATTTGGCAAAACTATGTGCTAATTCCGTATTTTGGTACAGAATAAATTTTTATAAAGTAATTTTTAATGACATGAAAGCATTCATGATGCACTATTAAATGACTTAAGTAAGTAACAAAGTATACATAATGGTCCCATTTTTATAAAACTAAAAAAAGCACATATTCTCTAGGTGGTATGTTACAAAGTAATACATTAGGAAAATATTAAATTCTAAATTATTCTTGATATAACAGAAAAACCGCTCACCTGCTGGCCTTGAGGACTTTGCAAGATCTGAGCTACAGCCGCAAGTGTATCTGTATTTGTTATCTGAGATACCCACGGATCAGGTAAGCCTTGGACCACATTGGCCGGAGTAACAGGTGTCACAGGAGTTCCTTTTAAAAAGAACATCACACCCCCCAAATAAATATGTAAGTAAGTAACTAAGACTAGAAAAAGCAGAATAACTTGTTTTATTACTTTTATAAAACACATGCACGCATATTGTTTTTATTTTATTGTGTCCACTTTGAAAAAATCACTTAAAATCCTTTACAGAATTAGGTACATTAAACACACACACACACACACACACACACACACACACACACACACACACACACCCCCCACACCCCCCCCCCCCCACCAAAAGGATCTGTCCAAATTTGTCCTCCTCAATTAACTAAGTTACTATAGTGTCCCCACTTATGCTTGGGAGATGTGTTCCAAGAACTCCAGTGGATGCTTGAAACCAGAGCTAGCACCAAACCCTATATATGCTATGTTTTTTTCTGTACGTACACATATACCTATGATAAAGGTTAACTTATAAATTAGGTACAGTAAGAGATTAACAACACTAACTAATAATAAACTATACTGTGAAAAAAGTTATGTGAATATGGTCTCTCTCTCTTTTTCCCTATCTGTCAAAATATCTTATTGTACTATACTCACCTATTTTCAGACTGTGGTTGACTGCAAGTAATTGGAATCATGGAAAGCAAAACTGTGGATGTGGGGAGACTACTGTACTTCTAAAGCCTACAATACTTAACAGCCATTAAAAATCTTACTTTAGAGACAAAAATTCAGTAACATGAGGAAATATTCAAAATACAATCTTCAATAAAAAAATTTTATAGTAAGTACACATAATATAAAACCATGTTTGGGCCAGGTACAGTGGTTCATGCCTGTAATCCCAACACTTTCAGAGCCCAAGGCAGGAGGACTACTTGGGCCCTAGAGTTCGAGACCAGCCTGGGCAACACAGCAAGACTCCGTCTCTAACAACAATAACAACAAAAAAAAATTAGCCAGGCATGGTAGTGCATGCCTGTAGTCCCACCTACTTAGGAGGCTGAGATGGGAGGATCACTAGAAGCCAGGAGGTCGAGGCTGCAGTGAGCTATGATCACACCACTGCACACCCGCCTGGGTGACAGAGCAAGGTCTCAAAAAACAGTACATCAATTTTTGTTCATACACACACACACACAAAATACATACAAAATTATGAAATGCTAACCAATTTAATTCTTGGAACTATGATTTAAAAAAATTTTTTTTTTTTTTTTTTTTTTTTGAGACAGAGTTTTGCTCTTGTTGCCCAGGCTGGAGTGCAACGGCGCGATCTCGCCTCGCTGCAACCTCCGCCTCCTGGGTTCAAGCGATTCTCCTGCCTCAGCCTCCCCAGTAATTGGGATTACAGGCACCCACTACCACACCCAGCTGATTTTTTTATTTTTAATGTAGACAGGGTTTCACTATATTGGCCAGGCTGCTCTCCAACTCCTGACCTCAGGCGATCTGCCTGCCTCGGCCTCCCAAAGTGCTAGGATTACAGGTGTTAGTCACTGCGCAGGGCTGGAACTATGATAAAAATTTTTTCATAAAAATTTTTGAAAAAATTATTTAAAAAATTATGAAAAAATTATGAAAAAAATTTTTTCATAAAAATTTCAAAAAATTTTTAAATTACTTTGATAAAAATTTTTTATCATAGTCATTTAAATGCCTCAAGAGAACACGATTTTGAAATTTTGGTTTTGTTAAATAATTGTTTCAGGGTTTCTTAAAAAATATTAAGTCCCCCTAGTATCCTATAAATACCAAGTTGATACAAATGCAAGTATAAGAAGTTACAGACAACTTAAATCAGGAAAAATCTAATTGACACACCAAATTTCTAAGGTTCATTATATTTATGTTTCTGTGGATTAAATGAAAATCAGTTTTCTACATTTTAGAAATAATTACACACAAACATAATATCTAATTTTATTTTTCTCTACAAATATTTTCTTTCAATTATGTAATGCTGGACAAATTTTCCTGCACTGTCGAATTATTTTTTATATGAACAGTCATCCAAAAAGTATGAGTAGAATATTTAGACAACAAATCTATATTAAAGCAACATACCTGGAGTATTGCTCATAGCAGTGGTAGTGCTGGCCAAAACAGGTGTGACAACTGGAGGCGGAATCCCGGCTGCCATATCCAAAAGGGGCTGAATAATCTCACTCTTAAATACATTATTCTTCTGCCATAAGTTTAGTACTCTCACTATTTTACTCTAGAGAAAAAAAGAAACATGACATTTTGGTTTTTACTCTCAAAACCTTAGTACAGTCATTTCATAGAGGCTATCTGGGCCCTGGATGGAAAGGAGAAATTAAAATACTTCAATGGTACTTTCTAGCCCTAAAATTCTATGTTTCTATCATTTTTGCATTTGCTACCCTTAACGTGCTTGAAAACATGTTAATTTGGATAGAGGTACAAAGTAAATGAAAGCTCCACTTAGCTGAAGGCGGAGATGACATCCAGGCTTCCTCTCTTATGTCACTTCTAATGATATGGATGGTAAGGCTGGCTGGAGATCTGTCTTAAGGATTCTGAGGATGAGCCAGGATTCATCTCAGTACTAACGTTATATTTATAGTTGATTTTAACTTTGTCTCACACAATGTCTATCTTTTGAACAAATACGTAACTTGTAGGACAAAGTCCTTATCTAATGTGACATTTTAAAACTTTCATTTTACAATCTACTTGAGGAGAGGGCATTTCCTCATGTAAGAATTTAATCAAATTACTTCCTTTTTTGAGCATCCTGCCATGAATGCTAATTCCCTACTGACACTTTGAACCAGAGATGGACAAACTTCTGTACAGACAGAATCTGAAGCGTAACCATTTCTTCTCTCTTCATTCCCTCTTCTTTATTCTTTACTATTCCCTTTCCCCTTGCAGAATGTCAATGTCATACTGGCATTACTTAATCTGGCCCTCAGAACGATGAATCATCCTCTGTATGAATAATGTTCTACATTATTTCATTTCCTAAAATTTGAATCCTTTACCATTTTGTAAATTAAAAAAAATAATAAAAAATAAAAAACCTGCTTGCCACTGGCAAGCAGACTTTTGACATCTGTGAACCATCTCATTTACTCTTCTTGATATGCCCCTGAACTGCAGCACTGCATCCAATTTTATATTCCTCATAAAGAGTCTCAACATTGCCCATCCCAACCCACACTCTAATCATCTTACCACCAAATAAATCACATTTTTGTTTTAGTCTCAACCTCTTTCTGGATTACTCAAATAGTCAGAGTTCTTTGTATTTTTTGTAAGGTTCCAGTCAGTCATATGGCAGCTGCTATAAAATTCATGAAATATTTACGATCTATATAACGTTGCTGCTGATCCTGGTCTCAGGCCAACTATGTCAACACATTTTTTAAAAAAACAAAAAAACTTTAGCATCCTCATTTATAAAATAAGACAGTATACCAGAAGGATTCTCGGGTCTCTTTTCTGAACCTCCAAACTGTATCAGACTGTTTAAGCCAGCTAGTATTTTAAATGTCTAGCCATTCTCAAATTTTGAGCATCTTGGGAGGGAGATATATGCCTTGTTACAGCTCTTCTTATAGCGATACTATAACGTACTTCTATTTAATTACTTATACCCTAATCTCAGTCATTTCATATGAAAATCTATTTAGTTGGGAAATTCTATTTAACTATTGCCTGTCTCTTGTTATATTCTGTGTATTATAAACTTGAAAAGACTAGTTATTAGTGACTTCTATTTCTTGGGTAATTCTGAAATCTAGTAACATAATTAGCAGTATTTAGAGAAAACTTGGTAACTAGAAAAATTCCTACTTATATGTCTTCCTTGGTTGTATTAAAGTTTTACAGATCCTGAAAGCTTCAAACTTAATAGGCAGAAAAATATGCCCAATGAAGAATAATGTCTCAAGATGTCCTACAGTATTTTGTAAGAAGTATCAGCAGTTCCATCTATTATACCTTGCTTCTTGAAATAAACATTTCACCCAGAGAACACTTATGTCAGAGTAACAATATCCTGAATTCATATTATCACTAATAAAAGCAGAGTGATTATGTAATAACTATTTTCTTGGTACTATCACCAAACAATCTGATTCACAACTGTTTAACACATAACTATTCTGCAAACAAGTACTAAGTCCTAGTTACTACTATCGTGATGCCACTTATTCCATTAGGAAAAAAAAAGACAGAGGCTAAAATCAAGTACGAAAAAAGAGGCCAGGTGCAGTGGCTCACGCCTGTAATCCCAGCACTTAGGGAGGCCAAGGCGGACAGATCACAAGGTCAGGAGATCGAGACCATCTTGGCTAACATGGTGAAACCCAGTCTCTACTAAAAATACAAAACATTAGCCAGGCGTGGTGGTGGGCGCCTGTAGTCCCAGCTACTTGGGAGGCTGAGGCAAGAGAATGGCGTGAACCCAGGAGGCGGAGCTTGCAGTGAGCCGAGATTACACCACTGCACTCCAGCCTGGGCAACAGAGCGAGACTCCGTCTCAAAAAAAAAAAAAAAAAAAAAAAAAAAAAAAAAAAAAAATTCTGTTAAATGTATATGTTTTACAAAGTAAAATAGCAATTTTCAGAATAAAGATCTGGTTCAACTTTAAATCCCTCATAATATTACACTGACATATTTTTAAACTATGTCCAAACTACATTAATGTGCAAATTTGTGTATTTCAAATGAAGCACAAGAAAATTAGAGACTGCTTCATACTTTCTGATTTGACTATTTCTCCACTCTAAAACATGAGCACTTGGAAAATGCCTTATGTTCTTCTGCTTTATATAAAAATCTTTCCGTTTCCAAGCCACCCATCATATACTTTAAAACTGGCCAGCACCTAACAACTATCATTCCATATATCTACATACGATGTCCTTCATTTATGATTGAGATTACAATGTTAATCTACTCTCTCCTCCTATGGTTAAAAGAAAGCCCTATTCCATAAGCCCTAGTATGAGATATTATATTATGAAATCTACACATTCAAGAAAGATTTAATCACCAGAACTGACAGAAATCCAAGTCCAAACTAGTGAAATTTCTAAATCACAGTAAAGTGACTTCTAAAAAATGCATGTATAAAATTTCAGATTAGTACATTACTTCAAGTGGTAGTCTAAGGTACCTATTTTAAAAATCAATTATGACAGGTCATTTAAAAGAAGCATTCTAGGCCAGGCGCGGTGGCTCACGCCTGTAATCCCAGCACTTTGGGAGGCCAAGGCAGGCGGATCACGAGGTCAGGAGATCGAGACCATCCTGGCTAACACGGTGAAACCCTGTCTCCAATAAAAATACAACAAATTAGCTGGGCAGGGTGGCATAAGCCTGTAGTCCCAGCTACTCAGGAGGCTGAGGCAGGAGAATGGCGTGAACCTGGGAGGCAGAGTTTGCAGAGAGCCAAGGTCGCACCACTGCACTCCAGCCTGGGTGAAAGAGCAAGACTCCGTCTCAAAAAAAAAAAAAAAAAAATTAGAAGCATTCTTTTGCCTGCACAGAATTATTAAAGTACTAAGGTAATTAAAAACAAAAATCAAAAACTTTCTGTCTCAAGGAGTATATTCAAGAATAGTTCACAAAGAATACAGCATAATAAATTTATCTCTGGCCGGGCACAGTGGCTCACACTTGTAATTCCAACATTTTGGGAGGCCATGGTGGGCGGATCACAAGGTCAGGAATTTGAGACCAGCCTACCCAACATGGCAAAACTCCATCTCTACTAAAAATACAAAAAAAAATTAGCCGAGTGTGGTGGCGGGCGCCTGTAATCCCAGCTACTCAGGAGGCTGAGGCAGGAGAATCACTTGAACCCGGGAGGCAGAGGTAGCAGTGAGCCAAGATCATGCCATTGCACTCCAGCCTGGGCGACAAGAGCAAGACTCCATCTCAAAAAAATAAATAAATTTATCGCCATAGCTATCCATTATAACAAGATTTTTTTCTGATTCAAGACTATATAATAGTTATGAAAAATAACTACTTAATCTTGTTATACTCAATATAAAGGTGAATAATTTGTGGTGAGCTTTCAAGTTTTGTGGTTCTTCCATAAAACAAACATGAATCTTCATCTATTCTCATCTTTTCATACTTAAATCAACACTGCAATCAACCCTGTCAGAAAAAGCACACCTAAATTTCCAACATCCAAAATAAATAAGCTAACCTCTCAGAGCAAATAAAAGGATAAGCAACTCCTTTTTATGCTCGCTCATGATCCAAAGCTTTTTTACTTGCTATTTATAGAATATTTACACATTTGGATCTTACACATACCAGACTTAGTAGTGTGATTAATAAAATTCTACCATAATAGAAGAATTTTAATATGCAGTTAAATATCAACTCATGTCAAATAATCACAATTCTGAATTGACTGTGTGTGTGAATAAGTTTCATGTAATTCCAAAAGCTTATTTTAGCCATTTTATTTAACACCAATTGCTTCAACAAATTAAAAAGTAGCAAATCTGCTACATCTTTCTATACTCTCTGTTTGAGAAATTCAAAGAACAAAATGCAATATGGATACCGTAATAATTAAATATTCAAATTTGAAATAACTAAGAGCAAATGAGAATATACAGTCCTGTGCCACTTAACGACAAGGATATGTTCTGAGAAATGGCGTCATTAGGAGATTTCATCATTGTGTGATGTGTACTTACACAAACCTAGACGGTATAGCCTACTACACACCTAGACTATATGGCATATTCCATTGCTCCTAGACTACAAACATGTACAGCATGTCACTGTACTGCATACTGTAGGCAATTTTAACACAGTGGTATTTCTGTACATAAATGAGAAATGGTAAAATAAAAATATGGTATTACAATCTTAGGAGACCACCACTGTATATGCGGTCTGTCATTGAAACATCATTATGTGGCACATGACTGTACTAAGATAATCTGAAGACTAATTAAGACCAAGAGGCTACTGTATCTACTTTTAAAAAAACAAAAAAAAAAAACCAGTAGCATACCTTGTCATCCCCAGGGCAACGATATAAATTCTGGAAAGTGCTAATGATGTTATTACTAAATCTGGGTGCAAACACATCCTTTTCTTGACCAAACTGATGTCGGGATTGTCGCACAATGGAGTCAATAACATAAAGTCCAGGTACTTTGTATTCTGGTTTACACTGATGAAAAAAAGAAGAATGAAAAGGAAAGGAAACGGAAAGGTAAAATTCTTGATAGACAAAAATCATCAAAAATCCTGTGTAAATACAAAGACATTGCCTATGCTATGGTAATGAATATTCATACATTGACTACTCCAATATCATCAGTTTCTGGAATGGCATTTTAAAGAATCTACTTTGGCTACTCTATACAATCAGAAGTTCTAAAATAGTACTATGTAACTGGCTTCAATGACATAAAACAAAGTGATAAATAAGGTACCATTATAATTTTTAAAATTTGTTTAACCACTGTGAAAAGCTACATGGAAGAAAGAAGCAAATTCAGGAAAGAAGGGCTCTAGCAAACACACTGCCAACATGCCTCAGACTTCATCTGGAACACACAACAAAAGGGTTCCTACGCAAATGAAAAGAACAATGCCAAATGGCAAATTATAACATTGTTAAATACAGAGGCCAGAGTTTCCATTTTTTTTCTCAAATATAACATCTATAATCCTGGGGATCTATCCTATGTCATCCAGCCTGGAGTGCAGTGGTGCCATCATGGCTCACTACAACCCCGACCTCTCAGGCTCAAATGATCTTCCATCTCAGCCTTCCAAATAGCTGTGACCACAGGTGCACAGCACCATGCCCAGCTAATTCCTGTATGTTTTTTTGGAAGAGACTTGGTTTCACCATGTTGCCCAGGCTAGTCTCAAACTCCTGGGCTCAAGCAATCCTCCTGCCTAGATCTCCCAAAGTGCTGGAAATACAGGCACGAGCCACCGTGCCCTGCCTCCCCTACTTTCTCAACACAAGCTTTTTTAGCCTATGTAGTTAGGGAAGCACAATGAAGAATCCTTTTACTTGCAAGCTTACTGCACAGTATCTTTAGATACACATACATTAACATTTTGTGGGACAGAATTTCCTTCACTGGTACATTAGCATTTTTGCTACATAAAATGGCAAAAAAAGTTCTTTAGTATGATTTAATGTTTTAAATAATTTTAATACTTGGAAAACTTGGCTAAGTCATCAACTAGAAACCTGAGAGAAGAATCAAGACAAAGAAATCTGAAATACTTTAAAATTTTCCTCTTTACGTACCATTAGACTCAAAACAAGAATTCCTAAGACTCTCTAATTGAAACCGCCTTTGCAAAAATTGTAACTGAGGAAGTTATGACAGTGAAAGCGAGCAGACCTAACCAACTCCATCTTGCTTCTAACCTTCAAGCTGTCCTTGTCATTCCTGGGCCTGGGCCGAACTAACCTTGGGAGGGAATTTAGTTTACGGTTTGACTCAGAAACAAAATATTTAATAATAGCCCTTTCCCAAAAAGACCCTCTTCTTGCCTGGGTACCAGTCTGCCTTTGTAAGACTAACAAATTAGCTACAAGATTAGAAATTACAGTTTAGGGTCACGCAGCCTCTGGCTGCAAGAGTCTGAACCTCCCCAAATTGCTCCTGAGTATAACATCACTATCTTAAAAGATCAGTGCTTGAGATATTTTGCAGACCTTTCACTGGATGGATCAGCTGATGTCACCCAGGCTGGTAATCTGGCTCAACCAGTTCTGCGATCCCACCCAAGAAGAGAAGACAGCAAGAAAACCTCACTTGGACCTCCCTATGATTCCATCTCCAACCTGACCAACAGCACTCCCCACTTCCCGAGCCCCTACCCACCAAATTATCTTTAAAAACTCTGATCCAACCCCGAATGCTCTTGGAGACTGATTTGAGTAATAATAAAACTCCAGTCTCCTGCACAGCCGGCTTTGCGTGAATTACTCATTCTCCATTGCAATTCTCCTGTCTTGATAAATTGGCTCTGTCTAGGCAGCAGGCAAGGTGAACCCACTGGGCAGTTATACAATGGCATACGGTATTTTTACTCTAAATAATTTCCTAAAGCGTATCACATTAAGTTTTTATAGATATACCATTTTTCAACTATATTCTAGTAATTTCCAATTTCTTATTTTATAGAGAAATAGCCTTTTTAGGGGGAGAAAGGTAAGAACGAATAGGG
The DNA here is from genome assembly GCF_000001405.40 of Homo sapiens. Lineage (NCBI taxonomy): Eukaryota > Metazoa > Chordata > Mammalia > Primates > Hominidae > Homo > Homo sapiens. The sequence goes on along the minus strand of NC_000006.12, from coordinate 154,785,830 downwards.
AGAATGCACCTTTAAGTATATTTGCATGATTTTTCATTTTGTCATCCAAGTTGTCATCTGCAGGTTATCATCAGTTATGGTTATTTGTCAAAGAACCTTCTAGGTAAGTTGGACCATATATTTTGCAATATACAAATACACCTTAATTATCCTATTTTTAGAATTTGTGCTCCCACCTGCAGCTACTAAAAAGTGATATTAATTTAAAGACAACAAAGCTAGAGTGGTAGAAACAGAATCATGTGGCTGTACCTGCAAAGCACTGAATAATACTAATGGTGGCATGTAAGAAAGATGGCTCGACAGATTAGAAAAATTTAAATCTAACAATACCAAGTGCTGACAAAAATGGGGAGCACCACAAACCCATGCATTGCGAGGAAGAGAGTAAATCAGTACAATCATTATAAAACTAATTTAGTATTATCTAGCCATGGTGAAGAAATGCATATCCTGTAACCAGCAATTCCACTCCTACAGAAATGCAAGCTGTATGAGGATATTTATTACCTTACATATGTAAATATTACACTGTTCACAGCAATACTGTTCAGAATTGCAAAAACTAGAAAACACACACAATGTCAACAGAAGTGGGCAAGCTGCCGTCTATTCACATAATGGAAAATATACAGCAACAGATAGTAATGAATACTGCTACACACCACAAGAATGAATCCTAGACACATGATGTTGAGTAGGAGAACTGTATAAAAAGAATACATACCATAGGATTACATTAAAAAATTTAAAATACATTAAACCACTTTAAGAATTCATTTTATACAAAGTAAAACTATAATGTCAAGCAAGGACGTGACACAAAATTCAAACTGGTTACCTGGGTAGGGGGTATGCAAGACATGATTAGGAAGAGGCACTTGGGGCTTGTGGGCTTCAAAGTTCTACTTCTTGAAATGAGTGGGAGCTACATAGGTCTTCTCTTTATAAAAATTTGGCTGTATATGTTGTTTTCTGTACTTTTCTACAGATGTACATAGAAATTTCAGAATAAAAAGAAATACAGTTGTCCTTCAGTAGCCTTGGGGGATTCGTTCCAAGACCCCTGAAGATACCAAAATCCGAGGATGCTCACGTCCCTTATATAAAATGGGCAGTATTTGCATATAACCTACGGACATCATCCCATCTACTTTAAATCAGCTCTAGATTACTGTGAATACCTAATACAATGCCTACACATCACTTCATTCACATTCTACTCAGTGTATAGGAAATTCAAGTTTTGCTTTCTGGAATTTCGTGGAATATTTTTTCCCCAAATTTTGATCCCAATAGGCTGAACCCATGGGTTGGAACCCACAGAAACGGAAGAGTGACTGTAATTATATAAACATCCCTGGTTTCTTAAATAAAGCAAGAGGCAAAAGTTTCTCTAATCATAATGATTAAGAATGACTGATAAGCTTAAGATATATTTGAAATGTAAATTTAAAAAGTGTGGAACTTGTGTTGATCTAAAATATCCTAGGGAAGAGGAACTTTAATAAAAATACATATGAAAAGTGAGAATCTGGAAATATACTCCTTTCAAACTATTTGTGCCCATGTACAAAAATCTCTTTGTATCCTACCTCCAAGCATAAAGGTATACTCATGATAAAAGTCCAGTTACAGAATACTGCACCCTACATGAAAAATAAATAAATAAATATATATATATATATATATATATATATATATATATATCTCAAGACACCAGAGATAAGTAAATATAACAGCCATCTTTCTTTTTATTTTTTTGAGACGGAGTCTCGCTCTGTCACCCAGGCTGGAGTGCAGTGGCATGATCTCGGCTCACTGCAACCTCTGCTTTGTGGGTTCAAGCAATTCTCCTGCCTCAGCCTCCTGAGTAGCTGGGACTACAGGCATGTGCTACCGCGCCTGCCTAATTTTTGTATTAGTAGAGACGGGATTTCACCATTTTGGCCAGGCTGGTCTCAAACTCCTGACCTCTCAAGTGATCTGCCCACCTCGGCCTCCCAAAGTGCTGGGATTATAGGCGTGAGCCACTGCACCTAGCTAACAGCCATCTTTCAATGTGGACTCAATCCTTCCTCTGGAAAAATATCAAAGAGAAGAATAAATGTTTCGCTTCTTTGAAAAATATATACATATCCACTGCAAAATATCAACCACCATTAACAACCATGTACATACAGCTACCAGATCAACTTTCTAGAAAACAAAAAACTTTCATGATGATAATCTCTAGACAGTTTAGCACCATCTTTTCATTTATTATTTACAAAGTAAATGTAACTTGAAAATCACCACAAATAAGCCACATTTCCTGCTCTTACTAAATATGTAGCAGGAAATTTGAAGAAGGTAATCATAGCCAAAAGCTTACAGATTAAGGCAATAGTAACTCATCTACAGACCACTTTCAGAGCCAGAAAGATGAAATTTATTCCTGACCTCACCGTATCTAAGAGTAGCCACAGTACCATAGAATGTATTTCACTGTAACAAAGCATCTAGATTTTATCAAAATAAATAGTTCTGAATGATAATATTCGATCTTATTCTGAATCTAGTAGACACATTTGCTTGTAGTACTCATGCAAAAAAAGGCAAGGGATTTCATACAGACAAAAAGAGTTGGGTAAACTCTACATATTTTTGGAACAGAGCTGAGGATTTCATTTTTGCATTTCAAACCAGCAAATGAGAACAGAGCTATGGATGGTAGAAAAGTCACCAAATCATGAGGTCTCTGGCTCAAAATAAAATTTATTGCCTTTAGGATTCAGGATAACTAAGGTAAGTTAGTTATTTATAATGCAAATATAGGGATCTATGATGGTTAATACTGAGTGTCAACTTGACTGGATTGAAGGACATAAAGTATTGATCTTGGATGTGTCTGTGAGGGTGCTGCCAAAGGAGATTAACATTTGAGTCAGTGAGCAGGGGAAGGTAGACCCACCTTTAATCTGGGTGGGCACCATCTAATCAGCTGCCAGCAAGTATAGAGCAGGTAGAAAAATATGAAAACGAGAGATTGGCCTAGCCTCAGAGCCTACATCTTCCTCTTGTGCTGGACGCTTCCTGCCCTCGAACACTGGACTCCAAGTTCTTCAGTTTTGAGACTCAGACTGGCCGTCCTTGCACCTCAAGCTTGCAGACAGCCTGCTGTGGGACCTTGTGATCGTGTAAGTTAATACTTATGTTAATATTTAATAAACTCCCCTGTATATATGTATACCCTATATATGTGTGTATATATACACATATCCTATTAGTTCTGTCCCTCTAGAGAACCCTGACACAGGATCATAACAAGTTCTAAAACCTGTCTTCTGAAGTTTCCTTATCTGTTTCTAACTCCCGCCTCTGCTGCTGCTGCCGCCCCCATTTTTTCTGTTTGTTTGTTTTGTTTTGTTTTGAGACAAGCTCTTGCTTTGTTGCCCAAGCTAGAGTGCAGTGGCACAATGATGGTTCACTACAGCCTCAACTTCCTCCTGAACTCAAGCCTCAAGCAATCCCTCCACCTCACCCACATAAGCAGCTGGGAACACGGGCACTTGCCACTTTGCCCAGTTAATTTTTGTAGTTTTTAGGCTGGGACAGGGTTTTGCCACGTTTGCCCAGGCTGGTCTCAAATGCCTGAGCCCAGCCTTGGCCCCTCCCAAACTGCTAGACTGTAGGCATGAGCCAGAGTGCCCAGGTGCTTCTGTCTTATAAAGCTAAGACACAATCAGCATATGAACTGATTTTTGGCAAAATTAATTAGGACAAGGCCAGAGACCAGAGTATTCTTTAGAGTAGTTTTCTTGGCCTAAAGGAAATCATATTTACTGTTAATTTTTCATTTACTGTCATTTATTACTCCATAAATCTTTCATGACTAAAACATGGGTTCACGGATAATATATGACCAAACTGCAGCCACACTTCTCCCTCACACAATTTATGGTATATGAAGAGAATATAAAATGGTACCGCCATCTTGGAAAACAGTTTGGTAGCTTCTTATAAAATGGAAACATGTACTCACTATCCCAAAGAAATGTAAACTTACATTCACACAAAAACACTCTGGGTATACAAGTGTTCCTAGCAGCTTTATTCATAATAACCAAAAACTACAAACAACCCAGATGAACCCCAATGAGTGAATGATTAAACTGTGGTAAATTCATACCCTGAAATACTACTCAGAAATAAAAAGTAAGGAAACCATATGTCTCTTCTGGTTACTGTAGCCTTGTAGTATAGTTTGAAGGCAGGTAGTGCAATGCCTCCAGCTTTGTTCTTTTTGCTTAAGACTGTCTTCGCTATACAGGCCCTTTTCCTATTCCATGTGAAATTTAAAGTAGTTTTTTCTAATTCTGTGAAAAATGTCAGTGGTAGTTTATGGGAATACCATTTATTCTATAAATTACTTTGGGCAGTATGGCCATGTTCACGATATTGATTCTTCCTATCCATGAGGATAGAATGTTTTTCCATTTGTTTGTGTCCTCTCTGATTTCCTTGAGCAGTGGTTTGTAGATCTCCTTGAAGAGGTCCTTCACACTCCTTGTTAGCTATATTCCTAGGTATTTTATTCTCTTTGTAGCAACTGTGAATGGGAGTTCATTCATAACGTGGCTCTCTGCTTGGTGTATATTGTTGGTGTATAGGAATGCTTGTGATTTTTGCACATTGATTTTGTATCCTGAGACTTCGCTGAGGTTGCTTATCAGTTTAAGGAGTTTTTGGGGCAAAACAACGAGATAAACTCTCACACCAGTCAGAATGGTGATTACTTAAAAGTCAAGAAACAACCGATGCTGGTGAGGCTGTGGAGAAACAGGAACACTTTTATACTCTTGGTGGGAATGTAAATTAGTTAAACCATTGTGGAAGACAGTGTGGCAATTCCTCAAGGATCTAGAACCAGAAACACCATCTGACCCAGCAATCCCATTACTGGGTATATACCCAAAGGAATATAAATCATTCTACCATAAAGACGCATGCACACGTATGTTTACTGCAGCACTATTCACGATAGCAAAGACATGGAATCAACCCAAATGCCCATCAATGATAGACTGGATAAAGAAAATGTGGTACATATACACCATGGAATACTATGCAGACATAAAAAGGAATGAGATCATGTACTTTGCAGTGACATGGATGAAGCTGGAAGCCATCATCCTCAGCAAACTAACATAGGAACAGAAAACCAAAGATCCCATGTTCTCACTCGTAAGTGGGAGTTGAACAATGACAACACATGGACACAGGGAGGGGAACAAAACACATCAGGGCCAGTCGGGGGTGGGGGACGAGGGGAGGGAGAGCATTAGGACAAATAGCTAATGTATGTGGGGCTTAAAACCTAGATGACAAGTTGATAGGTACAGCAAACCACCATGGCACAGGTATACCTATGTAACAAACCTATGTGTTTTGCACTTGTATACCAGAACTTAAATTTAAAAAAAAAAAAAAAAAAGGAAGGAACTATTTGATACATGCAACAACTTGGTTAGATCTCAAAAGAATTACGCTGGGCAAAATAAGTCAATCTCAAAAGGCTACATTTTGTATGATTCAATTTATATAACATTTTGAAATGTAAAATAGAGAAAGAGAACAGGTTAATGACTGCCAGGCATTAGGGATTAGGGATGGGGAGGAGGAGGTGAGTCGAGTATGACTATAGAGTATATAAAAGGGAAACACAAGGCATCCTAGTGGTGAAGGAACTGTTCTGTACCTTGACTATGGTGATGTTTATATGAATCTATATATGTGATTAAACGGCATGGAACTAAATGCATACATATACAAATGAGTGCATGTAAGACAATTAAAATCTGAATAAGGTTAGTGTGTCAACAGGTGACTGTATCAATGTCCTGATTGTAATATTTTACTACAATTCTACAGAACGTTACCACAGGGGGAAACTGAGTGAGGGGCACATGGGATCTCTACATGATTTATTCCTACTGATTTAATGACATGTGAATCTACAATTAGCTCAAAAGTATAAAAAAAAAGTGTATATATATATATATATATACACACACACACACACACACACACCTTATTTTAACCATTACACAAATCTGTTGCTGGATCTCTGATTTAAACAGGGTAATAGCAAAGCATTTAAGTTTTTCCCCATACACTGATTGGCTTCTTCAGATTGACTGTAATTATCTCACGATAGAGTAACTTTGCTCATTCCAGGTCTTCCTAAGATTCTGACACATTTTATTCAAAGTACCCTACCACAAATCAAATCAGTCAACAAGCATTTATCCATAAATTCACTTTTACCTTTTAAACCTTTACTACTCAAATTGTGGTTTGTAAAGAAACATCATCTAGGAGCTGTTACAAATGCAGAATCTCAGGTTCCTCTCCACACTCGGTGAATTAGAATCCACATTTTTAACAAGAATTCTAGGTAAATTCCTATTCATCAAGTTTATGAGGCATAGTGTAAGACATTAAAACTTTATGGCTGGGCGCAGTGGCTCACGCCTATAATCCCAGCACTTTTGAGAGGCCAAGACACATGGATCATTTGAGGTCAGGAGTTCAAGACCAGCCTGGCCAACATGGTGAAACCCCCATCTCTACTAAAAATACAAAAAAATTAGCTGGGCGTGGTGGCGCATGTCTGTAATCCCAGCTACAGGGGAGGCTGAGGCAAGAGAATAGCTTGAACTCGGGAGACAGAGGTTGCAGTGAGCCGAAATCTTGATACTGCACTCCAGCTTGGGCGACAGAGTGAGACTCCGTCTCAAAAACAAAAACAAAAAAACCAAAACAAAACAAAACAAAACCAGACATTAAAACTTTTAAAGAAAGATCTTTAATCAGAACAATCTCTGAGAAATGCTTTTAAAAGCGTTAGACCAAATAAAATTTTCTAATCACTAACATTTTTAAACTTTAAGTGAAACAGACAGCATACTTGTTATTCAACCCTTTATCTTAGCTTCAAGTTACCTAAACCACTTAATCCCCAAGTATGTTTTATCTACACACACACACACACACACACACACACACACACACACACATTTTTTGAGACAGGGTCTCACTCTGTTCCCCAGGCTGGAGTGCAGTGGTGTGATCTCAGCTCACTACAACCTCCGCCCCCTGGGTTCAAGCAATTCTTGTGCCTCAGCCTCCCAAGTAGCTGGGATTACAGGCATGCACTACCAGGTCAGCTAATTTTTGTACTTTTAGTAAACACACAGTTTTGTCATCTTGGTCAGGCTAGTCTTGAACTCCTGGCCTCAAGTGATCCACCCACCTTGGCCTCCCAAAGTGCTGGGATTACAGGTGTGGGCCATTGTGCACAGCCTATCAATACTATATTTTAAATACTGAGAAAACAAGAATTTTAAAAAAGAAAAAAGAACTCAATGACATAAAGGCTAACTAACTTATTCAAAGTTACCTAGCCAGTTGAATGACTGAAATCTCACTTCAAATCCCGCACCCTTCTCCCAAGTGGAACATAAACACACTGCAACCTTGCTGAATCCTTAATACCACATGACACCGATTCTCAAACTGGCTCTGCTTACATTTAGGCACATGAACATAGGCAGAATACAAACCTAAGTAAAATTATCTGAAAGGCACTTTTATTTTATTTCTTAATTGGAAAATAAAATAACTGGAATCACTTTTTAACAGTCCATCAAAACAATTTAAACTTGGGTATTTGATCTAAAGGAGAAGAGTACAGGCATTAATCTACAATTACAGCACATGTATGGAAAATTATATACTTACTTTCTGAATAAACTTCTCAACACTCTGTACCACATGTTTATAGAACTAAAAGAGGAAAAAAATGAAGTATGGTTTTAAAATCAGTTTGAGGAGATTGAAATTTCCTGCTAACCATAGGTTTTACATGCTCCAAAGGTCTATCAAAACAATTATCTTAACCAAGAATTTTGAGACAAACATTCTTGTCACTCACCTTTATATGCAACTAGCTGTGCTATATAATTAGTAAAGGGCTTCTCTAAAGTAGATGTGTGATCAGCATGTCCAAAGTGCATTACCTTACCACAGATATAAAATAATGCTATTGAAGACTTTCTGAAAGCATACTTTAACAAACAGTTGTGTTGACTTCAAAATACTTCTAATAAGTACTGGTGGGTGTATATTCTTATATTCATGAAAGGAAAAGTACAGATTTCATACAGTATGATTTTATCAGTTAAATCAAGGGAAATTTGAAAAATCAAGTAACTACAAATAACATTAATAAATGTATGTAAGGTAGTTTTCTACTTCATTTATCTCCTTCTGCTTCTCCTGGAAAATGAACTGCAAGAATACAAAATAAAACATAGAAATGTATAATATCCTAATGGATCAGACAAAATGAATCAGCGGAAGTGAACATGTAGATTAAAAATTAGTAATTGGCCACTATCAATTTTAAGAAAACTTAGAAGATTTAAGTTTCATAAAATATAGCACTATGAATAAACTTGAAATAAATTATAAATTTAGCGTATAGTATATACATGTGTGCCTAATAAATTTTAATGCCACAATAACAATACCATATTGGCGTATGATTTCTGTTTAAAGAACCTGAATTGTGCTTCTCTTTATACTTTTTTTTTTTTTCCCCTTGGAGACACACTCTCACTCTGTCACCCAGGCTGGTGTGCAGCGGCACAATCTCAGTTCACTGCAACCCTCGCCTCCCGGGTTCAAGCGATTCTCCTGCCTCAGCCTCCCAAGTAGCTGGGACTACAGATGCGTGCCAGCCACCACGCCTAATTTTTGTATTTTTAGTAGAGACGGGGTTTCGCCATGTTGGCCAGGCTGGTCTCTAACTCTTGACCTCAAGTGATCCACCCACCTCGGCCTCCCAAAGTGCTGGAAGTATAGGCGTGAGCCACTGCGCCCAGCCTTCTTTATACTTTTCTTCTCGTGAATTATGCTTTTTAAGGACATTCCCTTAGACTGAAGAAATAGGAACATTCAACTAAACCTCAGCACTAAATCCAGTATTTATAATAACAAAAAGAAAAGAAAACATCATGAACTCATATTCACCAAATCAAAACCTACAAGTTTAAGTCTGGCTAAAGTTACTTACAATAAAGTAAGTTTACTCAATGGTTTAAGTTACTTAAGTAAAAAAGCCAAAACAACTAAAGTTATTAGGCACTTTAGAGGCCCCTAAACATTTAAAAATCAATATGCAAAATATTAAATAACTACACATTGAAGGAACAATTCTGGAAGACACCTTGACAGTGTTCTTTGTTTTGTTACTATACATAATTAAAATAAAACTACTTCATAAATCTTAACTGAAAGTTTATTAATTCTCATAGGCCTTCTTCCACAATAGGTTTTCTGGGAGGTTTTGTTGACAATGCAATGTTAACCATCACTCACTAATCATTTCTATATAAAAAACAATGACTTACCTCAATATGAAACACAGTATCATTTAAATCTGATTGATAAAATGTAGTGTTTATATATATACATATATATATATACATATATACACACTAAATGCAGTTTAAAGTAATAAAGTAGTGAAAAACAACTGGTCTAGACGCTTCAAAAATGTCAATGTCACAAAAAAAAAACTGCTGGGTGACAGGACAAATAAGTATAATGTGTGATCTTGACTGGATTATGAAAAAGCAGGGTTGACAGCAACAGCTACTAGTCAACAATGCAACAACGTTAAAATGTTAAGGATGAACTCTATATTAGATAATTCTATCAAAGTGAAATTTTTTGCATGTGATTGGTATATTATGGTTCCCAAGGAAAATGTCTTTATTCTCAGGAGTTTCAAATTCAAGTATGTATCAAGGATTAAGTGTTACTATGAATGAAGTCTGAAACTAACTTCCATATGTAGCAACATGTTAATCAGCAAATCTAAGGGAAGAATATGTCCTGCTCACCATAATAATTTGCAACTTAGGTTTAAATTTTTTCAAAATTCAAAACATTAAAAACAGTAAGTCAAAATAATAAAATATATAATAATAATAAAGATTCTCTTTTTAAAAAACATTACTTCTTTTTTTAAAAAAACTTTAAGAGCCAAGATCTTACTGCGTTGCCCAGGCTGGCCTCAAATTCCTGGGTTCAAGTGATCCTCCTGCCTCAGCCTACCCAGCAGCTAGGACTAACGATGTGTCCCACTGTGTCCAAAGAGTTAGACTCTTGACTGACAGAATTCTGGCTTAAAATTCTAGCTATATTTACTCCTACTACTGCAAATTACTTAATTTCTCTCAGACCCGTCTGACATCTGAAAATAGAAAATACTGTTTGCACCTATACCTCATTAACTCTATTAAGAAAGTACTCTGCTCAACAAGTTATGAAAAGTGCATCAATTACTAATTTTCACAGAAAAAAATACACGTTTCCACACTTTCAAATGATCATGATCATAAAAATCACATAATGCAGAGTAAAGTACAAGAGAATAAAATTATTCCACAATGAGCCTATCAAATCCTCTAAATAATCATGTCTTTGAAACATTTCCTGGCTTCAATGTGCTTATAGTTACTGTCGTTCTCTCTGATTTTCTGCCATGGAAGTACACTGATTTTAACTATTGATGTAAGATACTAACAAGTCTGAAAACTAAGCTTTAGCCACTAGAAAACTGCAAAATCAACGAATCATCTGAATTTTCACCCAGTAGTAATTACTAGTAAATAGGAATCTGTTAAATTTAATACACTGCTGTTATTTAAAAGATAATTTAAATAGTTGGTGCTTTTGGTTACGGTTAATAATTTAATTCAGGGCAGGAAAACATATCACTGAATATTCATAGGTTAGTACCTACTTAATTAGAAATAAGTACTCATTCATTCTCAATTTTAAGAGGCCTACTAATTCAGGGAATCTTAGCCTAGGGGACAAGAACTTCTCGGGGAAAAATCTATGGCTGAGCTTGAAAAGATCCTTTTGCCAAAAAGTTTCTATAAAATTTTGCGCATATGTTTATTTCTCCAGAGGATCCAACCTTTTCCTGAGATTTTCAGAACTATTCATGAGTTAACATAGGTTCAAAACCTACTTTATGAGAGCAAAGGTTAAATGTCTATGGCCTTTTCCCACAGTTCAAATACCTGATACAATGAGTCACAACTGTTTTCCTTAATGGCCTATTTTCAAATCTATAATATTAATAGAATCAATAAGAAAAAATGAATATATCAATATATAGAAACTTTTACCAACTCAAATTTCAAGGTTCTGCCAAGAACCTTGTGGCAAAAGACAGTGTGGCAAAAGACAGTGTTAAACACATTCTCCATAATGTGGATATATGCAAAATATTATCTAAGAAAGGTGAGGAAAAATGACTGCTTCAAAAAATTTATGGAAGAATGTTTAAGGAAGAACATTTATCAAAATGTTAAATGTTCAGGAGGCTGAGGCAAGAGGATCACTTGAGCCCAGGAGGTCGAGGCCACAGTGAGCTATGATCGTGGCACTGCAGTCCAGCCTGGGTGACAGAATAAGACATTGTCTCTAAAAAAGAGTAATAATAAACATTAAATGTTTATCTCTAGGTGGGAGAGTCTACAGGTGACAGATTTTCTTTTTTGTGTTTTTCCACAATATGTGTTAACACTGTAAAGTGAAAAAGAACATATAATCCATAAAAAAATTATCCCCCATCCAAACTATTAATATAGTTTTTTCTTTTGAAAATAGAAGAGTAAAATTTATTACTCACCTTAATAGCTTTGATGGCTGCCTTAGTAATTTGGGTCATTTTCGCTTTCGAAATGGGTGGTTTATAGTCATTCAGGGAATACAACTGATGAAAAAAGAACAAATTTACATACAGCAAAACTCTCCAAGCAATTACATGAAACTACCAAACATGTTCATTTTTATATTCTCAATGAAACCAACATACTGCTTTTCTTTTACAAATCAAGCTCAACATCACTGCCCATAAGGCAAATGCAAATCAAAACTATAATGAGCTACCACTTCACACTTACTTGCTTATAATCAAAAAGACAGTAACAAGTGTAAGCAAGGATGTGGAGAAACTGGAACCCTCATACAATACTGGTGGGAACGTAAAATGTTGCAGCAGCTTTGGAAAACAGCTTGACAGTTCCTCAAAAGATTAAACACAGTTAACGTAAGACCCAGCCAATTCCACTTCTAGGTATGTACCCAAGAGAACTGAGAACATGTATTCACAAAGAACTTGTACATGATACTTTTTCCCGTCTGAGGGTTCAAAAAGAAAGAAAAAATAATAATAACCTGTACACGTGGTCATTGTAGCCCTATTCACATAAAATTCATTTAAAATTCATAAAAAAGCAGACACCCAAATATCTGTCAGCTAATGAGTAAACAAATGTATCTATTCGACGAAATATGAGCCATAAAAAGAAAAAAAGTACTGATACATGTTACAACCTGAATGAACCTTGAAAACATTATGCTAAACTAGAGAAGTCAGGTGAAAAAGGCAGCATATTATATAATTCCATTTATATGTAATATCCAGAAAGGGCAAATCTATTGGTGGTTGTCTAGGGCTGAAAGAGCTGGAGATAAATGAGGAATCATTGCTGATGAGTAGAGTGTTTCTTGTTGGGATGATGAAATTAGTTTAAAATGGAACGTGATGATGGTTGCACAGAACCACTGAATTGTATACTTTAAGTTGACTGATTTTATGGTATGTATCTCAATAAAACTTTTTTAAAAATCAAGGGCTCTGGCCAGGCAAGGTGGCTCATGCCTGTAATTCCAGCACTTTGGGAGGCCTAGACAGGTAGATCACCTGAGATCAGGAGTTCAAGACCAGCCTGGCCAACATGGGGAAACCCTGTCGCTACTAAAAATACAAAAATTAGCTTAGTGTGGTGGCAGGCGCCTGTAATCCCAGCTACTTGGGAGGCTGAGGCAGGAGAACTGCTTGAACCCAAGAGGTGGAGGTTGCAGTGAGCAGAGATTGCACTACTACACTCCAGCCTGGGAGACTCCAGAGGGAGACTCTGTCTCAAAAAGAAAAAACAAAAAAAGGGCTCTAATGTTTAACAATAATCCCACCCCATCCCCCACTTTATTGATTGATTGATTGATTGATTGAGACAGGGTCTCACTGTGCCACCCAGGCTGGAGTTCAAGGGCATGATCACGGCTCACTGCAGCCTCTACCTCCTGGGTTCAAACGATACTCCCACCTCAGCCTCCCAAGTAGCTGAGACTACAGGCACACGCCACCACATGGGCTAATTTTTATATGTTTTGTAGAGGTGGTGTTTCACCATGTTGCCTGGGCTGGTCTTGAACTGCTGGGCTCAAGCAATCTGCCTACTTCAGCCTCTCAAAGTGGTGAGGTTACAAGCATGAGCCACAGTGCCCGGCCTACCTCCAAATCTTTGTTTTGAAATTTCTCATATAAGCAAAGGGAAAGAATCCTACTTTAGTGTGAGGGAATCAGGCAACAGACAATTACTGATTAAAACTTCTATTATATGCAGAGATGCTGATTTTTAAGTATAACACTGTAAGATATTAATTAGAAGTCGAAACTAAACTTTGGCCATCAGAACACTGCAAAAACAACTTCAACAGATTTTAAACGCAATTCAAACAGAATTTCTTGGTTAATTAACTACAAACTTAGGGAATCTTGCATAGCTTTTACTTCAGCACCACTTATAGCATTCAATTCTACTCATTTTTGCCCTTCGTATCTCAGAAATCTGCCCAGTTTTTCCCCATATTTGTCTCCTCTCCCTCTACCAACTCGTATTTCAAAATTCTAACCACCATACCATGACCACAGTCCAATTTACCTTAATCTCTCACCTGAAGAACAACGTCTAAATACATGCGGTATGTTCTCCCTACCATGTTTAGAGCTATCTTTTCTTTTTTTCCCCCCCAACTTCTATTTTAGAATTCGGGGGTACATGTGCAGGTTTGTCACTGGGTGTATTTTGTGATGCTGAGGTTTGCGGTACAAAAAATTCCCATCACACAGGTACTGAGCTTAGTGCCCAACAGTTTTTCAACCCCTTCCTCCCTCCCTCTTCTAGCAGACCCCAGTATCTACTGTTGCCATCTTTATGTCCATGAGTACCCAATGCCTAACTCTCACTTGTGAGAACATGCATTTGGTTTTCTGTTCCTGCATTAATTCACTTAAAATACAGCTATCTTTTCAAAAACTAATCTGATCAGGTAACTGACACTCACCCACTCCTACTACCCACCCCCCTTAAAATGGTCGATGCCTTCCCACTCTTTGGATAAATACAAAAAAACCTGTATATTTAAGGCCCTGTCCATTCTAACTCCTGTCTACCTTTCCAGCCTCATCTTACACTATTGTCCCAGCCTTCTATTCTAGACACACAGTCGTCTTTTTTCAGGTCCCTGCCACAGGGCCTTTAAAATAGGCTTGTTTCCTCTATTTGGAATACTCTCTACCAGGGTCTCTCCAATAGTTAATGCATACCCATCCATCTTAAAGCATCACCTAATGAGGAAAGGCTTCCCGACCTCCCCAATCAGATCAATACTCCCTCTTTTATGCTTTCTTTGTGCTATCATTTATAATACCTGTGAAGCATTCACTGCTGTAATCTGATGTTTACTTGTATGATTATTTAACTAATACTTGATTTTTTAAAAGATATGTCACAGGGTGATGCTGACTGACAGTAAGAGACAAAGGACGCAAGTTCCTTTAATGAAATTTAACTTAGTAAGAGTTTAACCAAGGTCAGGCATAGTGGCTCACACCTGTAATCCCAGCACTTTGGGAGGCCAAGGCAGGTGGATCACTTGAGGCCAGGAGTGTGAGACCAGCCTGACCAACACAGCGAAACCCCATCTCTACTAAAAGTGCAAAAATTACCCAGGTGTAGTGGTAAATGCCTGTAATCCCAGTTACTCAGGAGGCAGAAGCATGAGAATTGCTTGAACCTGGGAGATGGAGGTTGCGGTGGGCCTAGATTACGCCACCGCACTCCAGCATGGTGACAGAGCGAGGCTTTGTGTCAAAACAACAACAACAAAAACCAGTTTAACCAAAGACCAACTGCTGCCCAAATGGAAATGAATCCTGGTAGAAGTGCAAACATGCTTCCTCCTTAAGTTCTCATAAAGGCACCCATCTGTTCATGACAATGGTCGACAAGAATTAGGATCCCATCACATACTTTCTAAGAATTTTTTTTTTTCTCCTTCTTCAGACAGGGTCTTGCTTTGTCACCCAGGCTGGAGTGGTACAGTGGCATAAGCACCGATCACTGCAGCCTTGACCTCCCAGGCTCAACGGGTCCTCCTACCTCAACCTCTCAAGTAGCTGGACTATAGGCACGGACCGCCACACTCAACTAGAGAGAGAGAGAGAGAGAGAGAGAGAGAGAGAGAGTGTGTGTGTGTGTGTGTGTACCTCAACCTCTCAAGTAGCTGGCACTACAGGCACAGATCACCATACTCAACGTGTGTGTGTGTGTGTTTTCTTTTTTTGTAAAGACGGGGTTTTGTTATGTTGCCCAGGCTAGTCTTACACTCCTGGGCTCAAGTCATCTGCCCGCCTCGGCCTCCCACATCTCCCTGCTGAGATTACAGGTGTGAGCCACCACACCCAGCCTACTTTCTAAGAATTCTTAAGCTAAGATCCTTAAACTATTAAACTCTTGAAGTTAAGATCTGTGTCAAACTCACAGGGAATTTTAATATATTCATGCCCTTTATTCCTACCTGCTTTAGAAAATCTACCGGTATGCCCGTCTTCTCACCAAGTTCAAAATAATGTTACCACATTACTACAGTGCTTACAGCAAATTATGTAAAGTAAAGGTCAATTTCCCAAAATTTCCCAGCAGGCCCATTTGAAATCCATTCCTGTCCTCTCGTACTGGAGAATAAGGTCTAAGAACAGAAAGCCTGTATTTTCAGTTTAGTTTTTTTAATTTGCATTGTATCCTCAGTGTCTGGCAGAGAATAGATATTTGTTAAGAATGAACAAAAATAAACAAATACATATAGGACACAACACCAAACAAGCTTTGTACAGAAAGATCTAAATTTTAATTCCAACTATATGTCCCCTTATTAAAAGTTGTTAAACCAATTAACCTTAGTTTTCTATTTACAAAACAGAAATAATACTGTTTTCACAGAAACATCGTATAGAAAACTTTTAGAGCACACTAGAACAGCTCAATAAGGGTTAGCTATTATCAAAATAAAAAGCTTTCTCTTTGATAGGCATTCTCCATTACAGTGAATAATAGTAAAGGACCAATCAAATCATATTCACTCAGCCATGTGAAAGTACATCCTACTGCTGTTTATATTACTAGGGTAATGAAGAGGCATCAGCTCACTCTGTGCTTGACAACACATTACTTCTTTCATTTTCTGTGGTAAAGTATGGAAGTTTCAATCAAGCACTAGTCCATATTGTAGCAGACCAAAGCTTTGTTTTCTTTTGGGAGGTTGGGAAGATGGGACGGAGCAAAAAATATAATTTAGACTTCTAAAGCATTTTCAACAGTCTTAAAAGCAACTCTTATCTAAGACTCTTCCTTAAAAATGTACCCACTGCAGACACTCAAGTTACTATTCAAGGAAATACTGGATAATACATTATGTTTCAAATGCTCACTTAATACAGTCAATTCTTGAACAAGATGGGTTTGAACTGCGCAGGTCTACTTATATGTGATTTTTTTTTTTTTTTTTTTTTTTTGAGACAGTGTCTCACTCTGTCGCCCACGCTGGAGTGCAGTGGCGTGTTCTCAGCTCACTGCAACCTCCGTCTCCTGGGTTCAAGTGATGCTTGTGCCTCAGCCTCCTGAGTGGCTAGGATTTTAGGTGCACACCACCACACTGGGCTAATTTTTGTATTTTTAGTAGAGACAGGGTTTTGCCATGTTGGCTAGGCTGGTCTCAAACACCTGGGCTCAAGCAATCCACCCACCTTGGCTTCCCAAAGTGCTGGGATTACAGGCGTGAGCCACTGCGCCTGGCTTACTTTTATGTGAACTTTTCCAATAAATATTAGAAAATTTTTGAGAGATTTTTGACAATTTAAAAACACATGCAGAGGAACTGCATAGCCTAGCAATATTGAAAAAACAAAAAAGGCATGTCATGAATGCATACAATATATGTAGATACTAGTTTATTTTAGTTTATCATTTACAAACATACATAGCGCCATTCACAGGAGAGAGAAACATAAACAATGTTAAAGATGAAGTATTAATCATAACCACAAAAACCTCTAGTATAATAATTTCATAGCCACCTTCTCTTGCTATTGCAGTGAGCTCGAGTGTGAGTATCCACTTAAAATGCCATGTGATGTTAACCATTTCTGCATGAGCAGTTCATCTCTCTAATAAATTGCATATCATAGTAAAAAATGGTATCTTGCAGTTCTCGAAGGTTTTTCATTATGTTTAGTGGAGTAACATGAACCTTGAATACCACCACAGACCCATGGGAAGTGGCACTAGTGATGCTGAAGGTGCTCTCAAGAAGCAAAGTCATGACATTAAAAGAAAAGCGCTGACTTGCTTGATATGTATAGTAGGTTGAGATCTTCAGCCGCAGTTGCCCACCTTTTCAAGACAAATGAATCTGGCCTATAAGGACCACTGTCAAAAAAGAAAAGGAAATTCATGAAGCTG
Organism: Homo sapiens; assembly: GCF_000001405.40. NCBI lineage: Eukaryota > Metazoa > Chordata > Mammalia > Primates > Hominidae > Homo > Homo sapiens. The sequence continues at coordinate 154,768,116 of NC_000006.12, read as the reverse complement.
TCACTGCAGCTATCTCAAAAGGCCAAAAACCTCAAACTTTTTATGAAATACCTTTTTATCTTGTATTGAAAATGCAGCCTCTGTGTGGGTACAGAATTGTTATAAGAAAGGCATACCTACAGACTCTAATATGATTAGAGAAAAAGGTAAGTCATTATGTGATCCTTAAAGCAAAAGAGAGGTGACAGATCTAAAGCTGGACAATTTAATGCCAGCAAAGGATCACTTATCATTTTAGAAAGAAGTATGGCTTAAAAAATGTCAAGATACCAGGGGAAGGTCAGGCATGGTGGCTCATGCCTATAATCCCAGCACTTTGGGAGGCCAAGGCAGGCAGCTCACTTGATTCCAGGAGTTCAGAACCAGCCTGGGCAACATGGCAAGACCCCGTTTCTCTAAAACATACAAAAAAATATTAGCCAGGCATGGTGGCCTGCGCCTGTAGTCCCAACTACAGGCTGAGGTGTGAGGATCACTTGAGCCCAGGAGGCACAGGTTGCTGTGAGCTATGACTGTGCCACTGCACTCCAGCCTGGGTGACACAGTGAGACGCCCATCTCAAAAAAAAAAAAAAAAAAAAAAAAAAAGATAACAGAAGCAGCAGCTTCTGCCAAACAAGAGGCAACACATGATTTCCCAGATATCATTAAGAATTTAAGAATATCGTTGAGGAGAATGAGTATCTCCCTGAACAGGTTTTTGCAGATGAAAGTACCTTATTCTGGAGAAAAAAAAAAAAATACCACAAAGAACACTTACTGGTAAGGAAGAGAGGCAAACACCAGGATTTAAAGCAGGAGGGTATAGACTAACTCCACTGTTTTGTGCAAATGCAGTCAGGCTTATAATCAGGACTGCCCTTTCTATAAAGCTGCTAACCTGAGCCTTGATAGGAAAAGACAGAAGACACTGGCTGGCTACCAGTCTTTTGGTTGCACAGAAGGAAGGCCTGGGCAAGAAAAATGCTTTTTTTTGGACTGGTTCCATCAATGCTTTGTCCCTGAAGTCAGGAAGTACCCTTGCCAGTAAGGGACTGCCTTTTAAAATTCTTTTCATACTGGACAATGCCCCTGGTCAACCATAACTCCATGCAACAATGAAGGCATCAAAGTAGTCTACATGTCCCCAAACGAGACATCTCTTAATTCAGCCTCTAGATCTGGGGGTCATAAGGACCTTTAAGGCTCATTATACACTGTAGCCTATAAAAAGGATTGTCAATGCTGTGGAAGAGAACCCCAATAGAACATCATATAAGTCTGGAAGTATTATACCACTGAAGATGCCACCACTGCCACAAAAAAAGCTTTGAAACCCGTGAAGCACAAAACAATAAATTCCTGCTGGGCAAAACTGTGTCCAGATGTTGCACATGACTTCATAGGATTTATAACAGAACCAATGAAGGTAATCATAAAATTGTGGATATAGCAAAAAAAAAAAAAAAGGGGGGGGGGTGCTGCTGGAGGGAGGTGAAGGGTTTCAGGATATGAATCTTGGAGAAATTCAAGAGCTAATGGACACGTCAGAGGAATTAACAGAAGACAACTTGATGAAGAAGAGTGCTTCCAAACCAGTGCCAGACGGTCAGGAAGCAGCAGAAGAAGCAGTGCCAGAAAACAAATCTACTTTAGACAATCTGGCAGAAGGGTTACAATTATCCAAGACTGCTTTTGATTTATTTTTAGGACACAAACCCTCCTATGACACAGGCACTAAAATTAAAGCCAACGGTGGAAGAAGAATTGGTGCCATGGTATAGAAACATTTTTAGAGAAATGAAAAAGCAAAAAAGTTGGACAGAAATTATTATTTCTGTAAAGTTACACTGAGTGTGTCTGCCTCTCCTGCCTCCCCTTCCCTCTCCTCCACATCTTTTGCCTCTGCCATCCCTGAGACAGCAAGACCAATCACTCCTCTTTCCCTTCCTCAGCCTACTCAACATGAAGACAAGGGTAAAGATTTTTATGATGACCTACTTCTACTTAATGAATAGTAAGTATACTTTCTCTTCCTGATAATTTTCTTAATAACATTTTCTTTTCTCTTACTTTAAGAATACAGTATATAATATATATAACATATAAAATATGTTTTAATCAACTGTTTATGTTATTGGTAAGGTTACTGGTCAACAGTAGTCTATTATTAGTTGGGGAAGAGTCAAAAGTTATATGATTTTCAGCTACACGGGGGTTGGCGCCCCTAAACCTCCCATTGTTCATGGGTCAGCTGTACATATGCCTCCAACTATTTCTCTAGAGTCTCTAAAATCTAATTTGTTAAATCTGATCATCAGAAAACATCATTTCATCTAATTCTTCAATGAATGCCTTTACTATTAAGTTCTCAACTTTAAAGAAGGTTGATAAAAATTTCCCCTACAATAGTGTCATTTACTGATCCTATTAAATAATCTACTTAAATCCAGAAATTAGAGAGTGATTCAGTTAGCTTGGTGCTTACTTTTTATCAAAGATATGTGACTTAACAAGTTTCCTGCTTCTTTCCTTGGCTTCTAGGGATCTTGCTGATATGTTTATTCTACTAATCTGAACACACATTTCAAATGTCTACTGACATCTACTTCTCTGCTATATTTAACTAGTTTCGTTGGATACAAAAATAAACTGTTTTCTATTGTGTTTAATTTTGTTAACTAAGCTGTTTTATGGCTCTTTATAAATTGGTTAGAGTACAAGTTTATTCAACATTTACTGAACTAATGTGAACCCAGCACATGACTTCAGAAGCACTCTGTCATCATGTAGTTTCCAAATAAATTTGTCCAAAATTTAGGTGTTCTATACAGTTCACTACCACTCAATCCCAAGCATCAAACTTAATCCTCCAAAGACCTCCATCTGATGGTGCTGGTGGTATAGTGGTGAGCATACCTGCCTTCCAAGGACCTCCATCAAAGACCATTTGTTGAGAATTTTATGAATGACACTATAACTAACAACCAGTACTTTAGAAAAAGAATATGATGATGATGCTGGCCCATTAGAAGCTTTTAATAAACTTCCTTAAATAATGTACATAAAGAGACTATATTTAATGTACTTACATCTACAAGACATTACAATGCCTGGTACACAGCAAGCACTCAATAATAAACCTTCATTATCCAATGGATAATTTATTAATATTGCTGTAACCCACTGCTATTAGGAACTACCAAGCTTCATTCCAATTCTCATTCTAATCAGATAATGTTAACCTGCCTCCAAGAATTGGGAATGTTATTCTCTTCATATTCTCAAAATCTGATCCAGGATAAAAAATCATGGTTTTACGCTGAAAAACGCTGAAAAAGAATGAAAGCTGATTCTGGGACCTTACTTTTCTCCTTTGCCTGCTGATTCCATCTCTATGCTTGGGTGAGAAGACCATGGCTACATGCTGCGAAGGCTTGGGCTCTCCAGCTACCCAGTGTTCTCTACAGGTTTCCATCTTATCAGTCTACTTCTTGGGATCTGGCTCCCTGCTGCCATGTTTTCCAAAGTCTTAAGTGGCTGCTGATCCCAGTTAGTTTGTTCCATCAAATTCTACCTTTTCTAGGGCTACTGGTGCCTGCTATGCTGTTACTCTCTCTGAACTTCCTAAATGCTTCCTAAATGAAAAGTTTATTCCCCACATATGCCATGTTCTAATATTATCTAATGTCAAATGACGAAACCCTTTACTTGTGCAAATTCTCTATGCTCATCTGACCTCAGAGATTGAAATAACCTACCAGTCTTCACCTGTCCTTTCCTTTGGCCACTCAAGACTTATCATTTCAATGAAAATATACTAAACAACAGAGCGAGACTCCGTCTCAAAAAAAAAAAAAAGGAAAGAAAATATACTAAACAAGAGCCTTGGTTTTCAGTGTAATTAATTCATTCTTTATGTTTCAACTCCCATCATGTACATTAAAGAACGTTCCTTAAACTTGTAAAATTTTAAGTTTCTATACTATCACTTGTAGGCACCACAGCAAATGCATATTTTTAATCTGAAGACTTCTATAAGTCAAATCAATTTCTAATTCCTCGAGGTTTAAGGAATCTTTTACCTAAACTGAGATGGCTACTCCATCACAAAACTTATCTCTAATCAAGATCTCAAAAGCACTCATCAATTAGGTCCAGCATCAGCAAACCTTTTCCTCAAAGGGCCAGATAGTAACCATTCTAGCCTTTGCAGGTCATACTGTCTCTATCACAACTCCTCAGCTCTGCCCTTTGTAGCAAGAAAACAGCCATAAACAATTTGTATATGAATCAGCACAGTGTGTTCCAACAGAACTTACTTACAAAACCAGGCCAGCCCCTGGATTCGGCAACATTCTCCATTCTACAGATGTGGGTTTTTTTTTTCTTTTTTGATAAACACTGCAATCTCACACCCCTGGAGAGCATATTTATGTCCTCCCCTCCTCTATGCATTAAATGAAACTCATTACCCAAAACCCAAAATTTAACAAAATGTTGTACCTTCATGCTTGTTATTTCAAGTAAGTGTATTCACTTCAAACATTTTTGTGCCTTTCCCAATTTCAGCAATATGAAATGAATTCTACTATGACCTTAAAGGGCCCAACAAACAGCTTATTATGAGTTACATCCCAGAGAACCATCAACATTTTGCTCATGTACAAGGTTGCTGGTTCTATGATCAAAGGAATTAACCTTAAGAGTGAACCTAAAATAACTAAATGTAATCAACCCAGTCCATCTTTCTTAACAATGGTCCTTTAAGCCCTTGAGAGTACTGATTAGAATCCCCCAAATCTTCAAAGAAATCAGAAACTTCATGAAAGTTTCTGCAGCCAACACAATCTTCATACTTTGAATTCAAGACAGCATGCTAACCAGATATTTTTCTTTTCTTCCTCTTACTGGGAGGACAATAAAGAACTCAAGAAAGAAAAAGGTATAAAAATTCACAATGAAAAGCAGAATGAGGAGGGGAGAAAAATCAGCAGAGATGTGACAAACTTCCAGAAAATGGAAACGTGATAAAAAGATTGGTAAATGATGAAATAAGAAGAAAACCATAAGTTATAATACACACAAGAAAATACAACCAAGGAGGAAAACACTTTATCATGGAGAATTCCAAAGTCTCACCACCCCAAATAGAGGTATTACAGGGCAGGAATGACACAAGTGAACTAGTGCATCACCTGCTGCTGCAAAAAATCAATAAATAATGTCTAAAACTGACCATTCCAGAAACAGCAATATAAAATTATTATTTTGGGATATGACGGTAACCACCACAACTAAAATGTTAAGAATTAAAACTACACTACAGATACTTGAACTCTCAAATAAAATCCCTTATTTTATAATCAGAAATAATATGGGTATATTTATAAGTGATAGTAATGAAACTTCCAAAGCCTCAAGGTAAAATATTTGTATTATAAATAAAAATGGTAGCTCACAAAAAAATATTAAAAGGAAATACTACAAAATTATCATTGGTTTGGTTAGAATAGCTTTGGCAGGCAGAATTCTAAGATGGCCCCCAAGACTTCTACCCTGTACAAGCCCTATATAATCCCCTCTATCTAATGACCCCATCCTTCAGTATGGGTGGGACCTATGAATATGGTGGGACAGTCACTCCGATGATAACTATTGTAGTAGACCAGAAATGGGACCAATGGCTACTAGGACATGAGGGTAGCCACTAGAAACTGAGAGTAACCCCCAGCCCACAGCCAGTAAACAAAAAAAGAGACCTCAGTCCTACAACCATAAGGACCTGAATTCAGCCAACAGCCTGAATGAATTTGGAAGAGGGCCCGAAGTTTCAAATGGGAGCCCAGCCCTGGAAAACACCTCCATCACCCAAGTGAAACCATTAGCAAAAGACCCAGCTAACCAACGCCTAGATCCTGACCTATGGAAACTGTGAAACAAGTACATGCTGTTTTTAGCCACAAGCTAAGTTTGTGACAATTTGTTACACAGCAATAGAAAACTAATACAGTAGAAGAAATAAGTGAATGCTTTTATTTTCTAGTATGTGTATAAACTTGAAAGTTTTCATATTTTTGTGAAACTTTTTATTAATAACTCAAAGTAGAAATTAAATTTAAAAACAATATCTGCTTTTTCCTAAGTTTACAAGTGAAAATAAAAATTCAGTATTTTGCATACAGGAGTAAAAGGTAAATAACAGATTTGTTTCATTAATAAACTGATTTTGCTGATAAAATGGGACCAAAGAACAGAAACTTTAGAAATAACAGCAGCAAATTCCATATTAAGAAAAGCATGTTCTAAAATAATACGACAAATAGTGACTTTTATAGTCCCTTAAAATAAAAACTCCTTTCAAAACTTTATCTTCCTAAGGTTTTCAAATTTATTTATAAAAAATATTTAAAATAAAACTTTAAATATAAGCTTTGGTTAACTTCTAATGACACAGCAATATTCTTGAGTGATCAGAATTTTTAAAGATAAACAGCACAGGCCAAAAGGAGATGTTACAGACATACTGAGGGAATCCTCCCAGATCAGGTTTTTGATAAAGCCAAAGCTCCTCCCTTTTATACTAAAAAAAGGACCAGTCTGAAAACTTCCAAAATGATTTTTTGGTTTTGTTTTGTTTTGTTTGGAGAAGGGGTCTCTCTCTATTGCCCAGGCTGGAGTATGGAGTGCACTGGTGCAATCTCAGCTCACTGTAACCTCCACCTCCAGGATTCAAGCAATTCTCCTGCCTCAGCCTCCCGAGCCGCTGGGATTATGGGCACCCGCCACTATGCCCAGCAAATTTTTGTATTTCTAGTAGAGATGGGGTTTCACCATGTTGCCCAGGCGGTCTCGAACTCCCAACCTCAGGTGATCTGCTTGGCTCAGCCTCCCAACAAACAAAGTGTTTCAAAAGCATCTTTGAAAAAAACATACCACATGTAACTGCAAACAAAGCACATAAAATCTGAAATGTTATACCTAATAACTCACTATCAAATGTAAGAAATAATCTTTTAAGAAAAATGCTTAGAGCCAAGCACAATGGCTCACACCTATAAATCCCAACACCACTCTGGGAGGCCAAGGTGAGAGGATCGCTTGAGGCCAGGAGTTCAAGACAAGCCTGCACAGCACAGCAAGGCCCTGCCTCTACAAAAATTTAAAAAAAAAGAAAAAAGAAAAAAATCAATGGGACATGGGGGTGCATGCCTGTAGTCCCAGCTACCTGGGAGGCTGAGGCAGGAGGATCATTTGAGCCCAAGAGTCCAAGGATGCAGTGAGCCTTTACCATGCCACTGCACTCCAGCCTGGGTGACAGAGCAAGACGGTCTCTAAAAAAATTTTTAATAAATAAAAAATTCTTAGAACTTTTTTGTGGCATAAAATATTTTAATATGAAAAAATTGGAAAATACAAAAAAAACACAAAGAAAAAATGTAATCTATCTATAATCCCACAATTCATCACTCATTCAAAATATATTCATTAGCACTAGGCCTCTGTCATGAAACTTAATCTGCTTTTAGAGACAGACAATATTCTACTAAACTAATAGACACAGTTAGCAGAGTGTAGTTAAGTATGCAATAATGTGGTGAAGAGTGTGCGATACTGTATGTATTTCTCAGAATTTCAAATCTAGAACCCTTTTTTAAAAAAAAGTATGACATTACAAAGGGAAGTGATGTTTATTTTCCTAAAATTGTAAGTCTGAAATATGCAAACATCTGTCTAGCAAGATTAAATCTATCTAATCTTTGTAAAGGAGAAAAAAGAAATCCTCTTTAATTTTTAAAAAAAAGAAGAAAAGAAAATGAGCCAGAATTTTATTTTATCTATTTAGAGACAGAGTCTTGCTCTGTTGCCCAGGTTGGAGTGCAGTGGCACCATCTTGGCTCACTGCAGCCTCCACCACCCGGGTTAAAGTGATTCTCTCACCTCAGCCTCCCAGGTAGCTGGGATTACAGGCATGCACCACTACATCTGGCTAATTTTTTACATTTTTTGGTAAAGACAGGTTTTTCACCACGTTGGCCAGGCTGGTCTTTAACTCCTGACTTCAAGTGATCTGCCCACCTCAGCCTCCAAAGTACTGGGATTACAGGCGTGAGCTACTATGCCCAGCCCAGAATTTGATTTTTTAAAGTGCTTATAAAATTATTATGATGGCCAGGCACGGTGGCTCACGCCTGTAATCCCAACACTTTGGGAGGCCGAGGTGGGAGGATCACAAGATCAGGAGATCAAGACTATTCTGGCTTGATCACGGTGAAACCCCATCTCTACTAAAAAATACAAAAAAATTAGCCGGGCGTGGTGGCAGGCGCCTGTAGTCCCAGCTATTCGGGAGGCTGAGGCAGGAGAATGGCGTGAACCTGGGAGGCGGAGCCTGCAGTGAGCCAAGATCGCACCACTTCACTCCAGCCCGGGTGACAAGAGCGAGACTCCATCTCAAAAAAAAAAAAAAAAAATTATTATGACATCTGGAGATTCTAATATCCAGATGTCATATTAGTATGAATAAAAATAAATAATTTTTTAAAGATTATTGTGACGAATCCAAATGCTCATACGCTTTCTCATTATCTTTGCCTATGGGCTACAACTGTTTTCACATAAATAATTAACATTTGTATTATTAAGCAGGATATGCCATTTTTCAAGCATGGCAACTGTCTAGGATTAACATTACAGTTTTGAATACTGTTAAAAAAGAAGAGATCTATTTTTGAAACTTAGTTTAAAACTGCTTTGAAACAAAGAAAAATTGTAATCAACTCTCCCCTAAAACCAAAAACTCATCTGCATAAGTCCTTTAATTCAACACACAAATTTGCACATCCTTTCTAAACCCTTGGAATAGAGGGAATTAAAAAATACTCCAAAAAAGGTACATACGCTTTACAGTGCCAGCCAAGATCGAGTAAACCAAACTACGAGGCCTTGCTTTCGCACTGATGACAACTCAAAATCCCCAACTCAAGACAAAAAGCAACTACCTGAGTAATCCGGAAGCAAAAAACAGCAGGCAAACTGGAAACCAGAGTCAAACCTGAAAAATGACCAGTGAAAGCTAAGGGGACGGGGTGGGTGGCTGTGCATGGGAGCTGAGGTAATTTCGTAGTGTTTAGTATCATCTATGATCTCCTAGCTTTGATCTCAGTGCTAGGAGAATACAGAAAGGTGTAGCCAATACTAGTGGGAAAAACACTAGGAGAAACCCCATTCAGCCAGAATACTAGGAAAAAGGACTCCTCCATGCTGTAGAGGAGGAGGGAAGGAAAAAAGAAGAAAATTTCCCCTTCTCCCTTCTGGCCTTGCCAAGAGTTTGAAGGCAGACCCTGTTACCACACTGGTACCTAAATCTCAAGAAGATCCATCTGTGGCTAACGGAAGAGGAAACAGAGGTCTCTATTATCCAAAGAAGAGGGGTGGGAGTTCCTATTTTTCTTTTTCACTACTTCATTCTGAAGGCTGAGCTTGGAAAGAAACATGACTTTTTGGCCAGAGAAACAGAGAAAAAAGAACACTGGCATCTGGAGAATGAATGGGAATCCTAGAAAGAGAAAGAGAAGAGGATCCCCTAGTTTTGTGCATGAACTACGTCCTGGGCTCATACTAGAATTACGCCTGCATGAAACAGACCCAAAGAAGCACAGCAAAGGCTCTAAGAACTACAATCCATGTAAACCACTGCCCAATTCCTAGACTAACTGGAGTGGAAAGTATGCTGTGCGCACCTCAAAAGAAATGCTTTGAGAACTGAACTGACACTGGAACCACCACAAAAAGGCAAGACAGAACTCGCATCCTGACGTTAACCAAACTGACTGCCTGATAAACAAAAATCAACATCCTTCAGAGGATTTTGATGAAGTCTTACAACATAATATTAAAAATGTCGCCAGCATATAAGTGAAACTTGGCCAGGCACGGTGGCTCAAACCTGTATTCCCAGCACTTTGGGAGGCCAAGGCAGGCAGACTGCTTGAGACCAGGATTACAAGACCAGCCTGGGTAACATGGTGAAACCCTGTCTTTACCAAAAATACAAAAAATTAGCTGGGAGTGATGGCACACACCTGTGCTCTTAGCTGCTGAGGAGGCTGAGGTGGAAGAATCACTTGAGCCTGGGAGGCAGAGGTTGCAGTGAGCCAAGATTACGCCACTGTACTCCAGCCTGGATGACAGAGTGAGACTCCAACTCAAAAAAAAAAAAAAAAAAAGTGAAACTTACTTCACATACCCCAGGGAATCTGTCCACTGCTCGAGGGAAAAAACAATCAACAAATGCCAATCCCAAGATGACACAGATGATGGAGCTATCAAACATTTTAAAGCAGTTATAATCATCCAGAGGCATATGTACATGTATATGCCTGTGTGCACACATATGCAGATACACAGATCTATCCATCTTTCCATCTATCCCTCCTATCTTTCCATCAATCCACCCATTTTGGAAAACTCTGACTTTAACTGATAATCTTCAATAAGTAGCAGCCAATAAAGGTATTTTTTTCATGTCTTCCACAATGTGTTACATATTAGGTATCCAAGCATGTGATGATTTGACTTTCATACAGTAGTTTAGTATAAGGTTTCAAAGGTAACAGGCAACCAAATACGAGCTAGCAAAAGCAGTTTATCCAGCTTTCTCACACCTAAATTCACTTGAACAGAGCAGATTAATTTTACTCAAAAAAGTAGAATGCCAAAGCCATAACTGATGATATAAATTTCTCTTAATTTTTCCCTCAGAACTTTACTTTTGACAAGTTTTGCAATCATGTATCTATAATCCTATGCCAATATTCATAGGTATAAAAAGTATATTTATTGGCTGGGCACGGTGGCTCATGCCTATAATCCCAGCACTTTGGGAGGCCAAGGCAGGCAGATCACTTGAGGCCAGGAGTTTGAGACTAGACTGGCAAACATGGCAAAACCCCATCTCTAGTAAAAATAAAAATTAGCTGGGCGTAGTGGCGTGCACCTGTAGTCCTAGCTGCTCAGGAGGATTGCTTGAACCCAGAAGACAGAGGTTGCACCACCGCACTCCAGCCTAGGCAACAGAGTGAGACTCAAAAAAAGACAACTTATTTATTTATTGAGACAGGGCCTCACTCTGTCACCCAGGCTGGAGTGCAGTGGTGCAACCTCAGCTCACTGCAACCTCCGTCTCCCAGGCTCAAGCGATCCACCTCAGCCTCCCGAGTAGCTGGGACTACAGGAATGCACCAACATGTCCAGCTAATTTTTGTATTTCTTGTAGAGACGGGTTTCGTTATGTTGTCCAGGCTGGTCTTAAAACTCCTGAGGCTCAAGCGATCCGCCCTCCTCCGCTTCCCAAAGTGCTGGGATTACAGGTGTGAGCCACCGCGCCCAGCTTAAAGAACGTATTTCAATGCAACAGAATGTTTCACTCTGAAATAATCCCCAACATCATTTGTTATAGTATAAAATAATCATCCTTGTATACAATGTATAAATTTGAGAGTTAATCATCATGTTCTAACTCAAACAGTTTTACTATCAAGGTATAATCAACTAAAAACAACTAGACAACTGGGGAATACAAAACCAAATTCAACTGATTAACAGTTCAAAGCTAAATGGTAAACAGGCCAAGCCAACATTCGTCTAACTACTGAACACCAGCACTATATTCTGCCCTTTAGAAAACAAAAAATAACATTTAAACCCTCACCTCCATTTATCTAACAATCTACTGAGGTAGAGCGGGAGAGTGATATACATATCATTATAAAATAGTGGGTTCTCAGCCTTCTGAGATTTTTGACAATTCAATAATGATCTTGAAGATCTCTAAAATGTAATCACAGGTTATTCTGCAGAGACACTAATTCAAAATATATGTATTAAACTTAACTATTGGTGACGGAGCATCTTTGTTATTCTCTCCTCACACTCCCATATGCATTTAACAGAGAAATAATACTGTACACAAAAGTGGTATTTAGGACCTCAAACTTTTCCTCATTAACACAAGATCTAATGACATAATTTAGTGTCAAAATAAAAATACTGGGGGAGGGATGTATAAGTGAAATAAACATCCAGTTAGAAACCACAAGCATAAAGTTTAATAAGAAAATGTAAGTGAAATAGACTGGGAAAAGAGCATTCCAGTTACAGCTATGATTCCGCTTCCAGGCTATTTACATTTATAACATACTCATCAATAACTCTCTCTTTACAGTGATTTACAAAAAGCTAAGAGGTGGCTATTTCCCAATGGAAATGCATTAGAATCTCAAAAGAACTCTGTGCTTTCCTACTACAAAATCACTGAGTTCCTAAACCAACAAGACACACAAATGGGAATAATGGGAATATATAGTGCACAGCTTTGCATACAGTAAATCTTCCCGTTTCACAGCATCTTTATATGCGATGTATATAATAAGCATATTCCTATTTACAGTCTTATAAAATAATCTTATGTAAAGTCTCAAATCCATAGCTCAGGAACCTGTACAGCTGAAGGCAAGGGGAAACTGAAAGGTTTTTAGAAATACAAAATGATTCAAGCAATATCACTATTAAAACTAATAGTAATAAAAATTAATCTAATAATCTGGGTCAGGCATCCCAGCACTTTGGGAGGCCGAGGCGGGAGGGTCACTTGAGGTCAGGAGTTCGAGACCAGACTGGACATGACAAAACCCCATCTCTACTAAAAATACAAAAATTAGCCGGGCATGGTGGTGTACATCTGTAATCCTAGCTACTCGGGAGGCTGAGACACGAGAATCGCTTGAACCCAGGAGGTGGAGGTTGCAGTGAGCCAAGATTACACCACTGCATGCCAGTGTGGGCGACAGAGCAAGACTCTGTCTAAAAAAATAATAATAATCTAATAATCTAAAATACCTAGTTCTACTATATGAACTAGAGAAAAAGAGCATAGTAAATTAGGAGCCAATTAAAAACTGACTGCAACAAACCAAAGGAGAAGCGATGAGGATAAGAGCTAAAGTGTTAACACTGAGAATAAAAAGAATGAGAAGGATGCAGAATATACATTTTTTAAAAAATAATTCATTAGCTTTCATGACTGACAAAAGTATGGATGAAAGAGTAGCATCTAAAATAATTCCAAGTTTTCAACTTTGAGTATTTATGAACATGATTTTACTACTGATATAAACAGAAGTCTAAAAGTAAGTTTGTGGAGGAAAGGCAAGTTTAGACATGAGGTGACAACAATGATTTCAAATGCACATGTACATAAAATACCTTGAAGATATGAGACTGAATCCCAAAAGAGAAAATTAAAAAATACAAGTAATTTCTGAAGAGATAATAGTTGAAAAGATAAGGAATAAATACTGAAAACTAAATAACAAAGGGAGAATAAGTAGAAGAAGAGCCTACAAGGCCTAAGGAAGGATAAAACCATTTCAGAAATGAGACTAACCAACACAAAAATTTGAAAGAGACAGGGAGCTGCATGAGAAAAACAATAAAGACAGTAATATACTTTTCATCTGTGAGGTCCACTGTCAATTATTAAACACTATCACAACTGTTTTTGCTTTCAGAATGGCCTGATAAGATTGATATTTACTATTCTCGTTTTATAAACGTATAAAATTAGGTTAAGTGACTTAACTAAAATCAAACTGCTTGTGAGTTATGGAACTGTGTCTCAAATCCAGTTCTTCTCACTACCTAGGCACTCAGATGTAGCCCAGTTTCCAAAAACAAAACAAAAAGTTCACTAGCTAGCAACGTCACTGAATCAGATGATGGATGACTGTGGTGACACACCATTTAGTAGCACCAACGAATAACCAAGAAGACTTTAAAAACAAAAGATTATAAAGCTTTTGAGTCTACTGATCAAATAACACCTAAATAAACTGCATTTAAACATGAATTTTAAGCATGAATTATTTAAGCATGATCAAGTAACAGCTAAATAAACTGCATTTAAACATGAATTTTAAGTCTTCAATAGGGCTTAAGGATCTTCAAACTCTTAAGCTCCCTTTCTCTAAGTGATTTAATTCAAGCAGTATTAAAATAGACTAACTCCACCTTTCTCCTAATGGCTAAGACACATACTGTTTGGGTTTGGAGAAAATATTACAAAAACAATATGGAGACCAGGCACAGTGGCTCGCGCCTATAATTCCAACACTTTGGGAGGCCGAGGAGGGAGGATCACTTGAGCCCAGGAGTTCAAGGCTACGGTGAGCTATGATCATGCCACTGCACTCCAGCCTGTGTGACAGAGTAAGAGTTCAACTTAAATTAATAGTAATAAGGTAATAAATGCTCACTGTGAAAAAAATCAAACTATTAAAAGGTCTCATTCCTGCACCCTATCCACCTACTGCTTTCTTCAGAAATAACCACTGTTAAACGGCTGGTAGGCCACCTTCCAGCGTATTCTACATGCATCTTTCTTCATAAATATGTATAAATATTATAAATATGTACATTGTATACATGTATATATATAAAATAGACACTTTATACATGTATTTATTTATTTTTGAGGCAGAGTCGCGATCTTGGCTCACTGCAACCTCTGCCCCCCGGGTTCAAGTGATTCTCCTGCCTCAGCCTCCCGAGTAGCTGGAATTACAGGCGCCCGCCACTATGTCCAGCTAATTTTTTTTTTAATTTATTTTTTTGAGACAAAGTTTTGCTCTGTCGCCCAGGCTGGAGTGCAATGGCACGATCTTGGCTCACTGCAACCTCCGCCTCCCAGGTTCAAGCGATTCTCCTGACTCAGCCTCCCGAGTAACTGGGATTACAGGTGTGCGCCACCACACTTGGCTAATTTTTGTATTTTTTAGTAGAGATGGGGTTTCACCGTATTGACTAGGCTGGTCCCAAACTCCCAACCTCAGGTGACTGACCTGCTTTGGCCTCCCAAAAGTGCTGGGATTATAAGCATGAGCACCACACCGGGCCTTAATTTTTGTATTTTTACTAGAGACAGGGTTTCATCATGTTGGCCAGGCTGGTCTCGAACTCCTGACCTCAGGTGATCTGCCCACCTCGGCCTCCCAAAGTGCTGGGATTACAGGAGTGAGCCACCATGCCCGGCCCACTTTATACCTTCTGGTAAATTAAAAAAAAAAACAAAACAAAAACAAAACTGTACTCCTTTTTACTGCTTAAAACTGGTTCTTGAAAGCCTTGCTGGATTTAACGGAACAATGAAATTCTTTTAAATGATGACCAGTAATAATATTAGTCTAAAATACTGGCCGGGCATGGTGGCAAGTGCCTATAATCCCAGCTACTCTGGAGGCTGAGGCAGGAGAATCACTTGAACCTAGGAGGCGGAGAATGCTGCAAGACATGACTGCACCACTGCGTGCTAGCCTGGGCGACAGAGTGAGACTCCATCTCAAAAAAACAAACAAGCAAAATACATTATAGTCTGTATTTTATAACTGTCTGCTGTTTGTTCAACTATTTCCCCAACTTGAAATATATGCTGAACATAATCTAGCACATTCTTTACAACTCATAGTCTCTATAACTTTTACCCACTATTAAATTATGTTATAATATGAAGATACTTTCCAGGGCAACAGAGATATCCACAATGACACTACATGTTCCGCAGTTGCAGCCTCTTAAATAAAAAAAAAAAATTAAAATTCCCAGTATCCCCTAGTAGAAGAATAAAAGTTTAGCTTTCCAAATACTTTATAAAATCATTAGATTTTTTTAAATATTCAAACCAACTGAGAGGTAGTCAGGAAATATACCATTATCTCTATTTTTTAAATGAGGCTAAGAAAAGATTAATTAGAAAACTTGCTCATCAGGATTAGTATGTAAGGGATCCTAAAGGTCATCTTATCTAATCTCATTTTGTAAATGATAAAACCACCATCTCCTTCCTGGCGGCCAACTGTCATCTGTCACATGTTACTTTACAGCAACCATATTAATTTTGAAGCCTTTTCAGGCTTTAAAAGGCCTCTAGAGACTAGGAACCTTCTAAACAATAGTTTGCAAAAATCTAAATGTAGTAGTCACAAAGTAGCCATCATTGTTCAAATGTGAAAATTAGAAACATACTACAGATACATTAAGGATATAGACTTAAAGAATAACCACACTCCTCTCTTTAAAAGTGGGTACAAAATACATGAGCTTTGGACTCAAAGGCTTTTTAGTTTTCTGCAGAGTGAGTTGCTGGAGAACTGTTGGCCAAGTGGGTGCTCTGTGCAATACTTCCTTGCCAAGGAAAGCGTATTTTCTGTGGCATCCTGTTCTACGAGGAGGAGAGGAGCAGCACAGTAGTATGCTCCTTATTCTGTCCCAGAGTTAACATGAAATATTAATAATCTATTAAGAATTACCAATTCCCACTCCTCTCCTCCCTCCACCAAACATAAATACTACCAAGATCACACTCAATAAATCCATAGTAAAAATAATGAAAACAGCAGTAAACAAAGAGAATATAAATGTGTTCTAATTAGGCCACTAACTATGTGCACCTAGTAAAGGTATGACTGAACAAGTTTAATCATTTCTGAATCTTGATTCCTCATCTGTAAAACGAGTCTTTCAGATATGTCTTTCAGGTCTAAAATTCGTAGTTTTGGCCGGGCGCGATGGCTCATGCTTGTAATCTCAGCACTTTGGCAGGCCAAGGTGGGTGGATCACCTGAGGTAGGGAGTTCGAGACCAGCCTGACCAACGTGGAGAAACCCGTCTCAACAAAAAAATACAAAATTAGCCAGGCAGGGTGGCGCATGCCTGTAATCCCAGCTACTCGGGAGTTTGAGGCAGAACAATCACTTGAACTTGGGAGGCGGAGGTTGCAGTGAGCGGAGATCACACCATTGCACTCCAGCCTGGGCAACAAGAGCAAAACTCCGTCTCAAAAAAAAAAAAAATGTGGTTTTTAGATATCAGGTTTAAGCAAGACAGTTAACAGGGAACCCAGTTACAGAACCACAACTAGCTCTTCCTATAGCTACAAATGCATAACATGTTTGTGATGGCCTTTAGCCACCCTATTCTAAAATCAAAGAAAACAGAAACAATTCTCCATGGGAGAAAACAAAACACAAAAATACACTGGTGTATAAATGAAAATAACTTCATTTTAATCTTCCTGGGATCCACACAGTCCACCTTCCTTTAATTTCAATTCATTCCCATGTCTTTTGTAAACATCAAAATGAAAACATGTTACCTTTTAATATAGTACTATTAACAATGAAATGGCCAAAATGAGAACAAGAAAAAGAATAATTCATTTATAAAGCTTTTTTGCAAAAAAAATACCAGAATTGTATTAGTTGGAATTTCCCAAATAAATATGGGTTCTATATCTAATGATGGAGTCTTTAAATGCACAATTCCATGTACACAATAAATTGCTTACAGTAGACTTAAGGCAAAGAATTATGTAACTAAGAGTAAATAAAATGCTGAATAATATGAGTGAGCTTAATGATAAGAAATTCTAATAAAATCTCATTAAACAAAATTTGAATCCTTAATTTTATTCACAGGCCATTCAATTTACTACTTAAGTTTTAATTACATACAAGAACATCTGGTTGTATAGGCAGAATTTAAAATCAAGCATACTTCACACAGAGTTGCTTTTAAATGTCTTATACTCACAAACCCAACATGATAGGGATGGGGGAAAGGGAGGGAGGGAGGACAAACCTGAGGATGAAAAGATTCTACAAGATCTTCCTCTAGGCTGGCTTCTCTTCTTTCCCTACATTATCACCCTAAACAACTACACGGTCCCCTCAATCTTCATTTCTAGCCTGTTTTCTCCAGGTACCCAACCCATATATTTAGTTAGGTATCTCCACCTTGATGTTCCACAGACAACAAATATTCAAGATGTACAAACTACTGTACTTAACAAAACAGTAACCATAACAGTCTTTGGGTGGTTGAGATAAAGGTGATTTTAAGCCTCCGTCCACAGTGAGGATCTTTCTTTTATTCTTGGTGAGAAAAAAAATCCCCCATCCACCCTATCCCCCCCAAATTATCATTCTCCTCAATCTTCTTTCTCTCCCTGATTTGCCCATCTTAGTGACTGGTACCATACTCTTAAATCAACCTTAAACCAAAGCCCTGGCAACACCCATCTTCCTCATATCCAGCTCCCTATTATTACTAAACTTCTACTGCAGTCATCCCTTCCTCTTCTCCCTATTAGTATTACTTTAATTGAGCCCCTCATCCTCTCTAGACTAATTTAACCTTCCTATCCCAAACTCATCCCGCCATTGCCATTCCCTGCTCCACAAAGATGCTAGTCATTTTTCTAAAACAAATTTAAAACTTGTGCTTTCATTTAAAGCCCTTCAGACTCTCAATTCCCTTTTGATTTAGAAGGAGGTCCTATGCATGCTATATAAAGGCCCTTCATCAGAAAACCCAGGCTCAATTATCCAATCACTCCTCCCTACCCTATCCCCTACCCAAAGCTGCAATTTCCTTGACAATGAGCTTTTACGTTTTGCACACAATGCCTCCACCCTTTCTACTGTATACATCACAGTGTACACAAACTATACATAGGTGACATCACTACTCTTCATATCATAATGCTCCTCATATTACTTTTCATCATATTCCCAGCCCCACCCCATCAGAAAGAGCTTGCTGAGGAAAAGGCTGTGTAGGTATCTAATGTTGCGGACTACCCTGCAGAATGGCTGACAGATGGCAAGCAAGTAACAAAGCTCAAACAACCAGCAACTTTCCGTGCACTCTTTCCAACCACCAGATGCTATTACTATTAAAACCTTCATAGGCTATTATTGTATTAAAGCAATCTCAAAAATTATTTTGTAATTAAAATGAAAAAAAGGACAATTGTGTAGGACTAGCAAAATAAGAGATTTTAGGCTGGGTGCGGTGGCTCATGCCTGTAATCCCACCACTTTGGGAGGCTAAGGCGGGCAGATCACCGAGGTCGGGAGTTCGAGACCAGCCTAATAAACCAGGAGAAACTCCATCTCTACTAAAAATACAAAATTAGCCAAGGATGGTGGCGCCATGCCCATAATCCCAGCTACTCGGGAGGCTGAGGCAGGAGAATCACTTGAACCCAGGAGGCAGAAGTTGCAGTGAGCCAAGATGGCGCCACTGCACTCCAGCCTGGGCGACAGAGAAAACTCCGTCTCAAAAAAAAAGACATTTTATTCATAGGCCTTCACCCATAGGATTATTTGGAATTAATAAACTGTTACAGCTCTAAGAGAACTCAGACATTTAATTCTTTGCTTTTGCAAATAAATCAAAGTACTGATTAGGAAATTTTGCACAAGAATGATGCTGCAGCCTCTAAACAACTCCTTTAGGATTTTACTACTCTTCAGCTAAGTTGCTCACAACTTTCATTCTTGAAATTACCACCAAAACAGAGACAGGCTTCTAAAAACTTCTGAGTTATCTCATAAAATGAGAATAAGGATTTGGAATTTCTTGTTCAACAGAAATTGCTATAAAAATTAAACCTTATTTCTTGATGTTAAAGAAAAGCCAAATATATTAATAATCTTTACAAAGGCAAATTTAAAAACCACTTATAGAAGTCATTTCAGCAAAAAAAAAAGTAACATGGTAAAAATTCATCTCGACAATTTTTATTCAAAGGTGCTCATATTCAGCCAGAGACAAGATGGATAATCTGCAAACAGTTCTTGAGCTTTTATTAACATTTAGTAAATAAATACTAGTCTTATTAGTAAACTTTGTCCCTATTTTAAGAAAACCACATAAGCAACTATATCCACAGCGGCTCCCAACTTTGGATAGTAATTATTCTCCTTCTCATTTATTCATTAAAGCCTTTTTATGTATGTGAATAATATTTTTTAAAAGTTCCATAATGCACATGTACTTATCACTAAATTAGGTCTGGGTTGTTTGTGCCAATTAGTGCAGTTTTATTTTATTGTCTTCCCTTAGCGAGTGCAGTAACACATTGAAATCATAATGACTAAGAATCACTTTCAAATAAATATTACACTTCACAAAAAAGGAAGAGATAGAAAGCAATGAGCTAACCTTTTAAAATTTTGTCCCCTTTGCTTAATTTTTTAAATCAACTTTCCCAACAAGAATCCTCTCTGCAATTAAAATGTAAACAACTTTCAATAAATAAAATGGCACTAAATGAGGAAAAACAAACATGCATTTCTAGTACACACACACACACACACACACACACACACACACACACACAGAAATGAAATGTAAACTCCATGAAGGCAGAGGCTTGTTTTGGTTTTTCATTTGGTCTGTTTTGTACTGTTGAATCCTAGTGCCTAAAATAGTATCTGCACGTGGTCAATGCAAAAAAAAATGTGTTAAATGAATATTTCCACCAGGCAGCTTTTCAAGTTGTTTTGCTCTGTTTTTGATGTTAAAATAAGCACTATAAGGCCTTTATGAGCTATACTGTTCTGCTCGATTATAATTCTTGTTTACAAGTAGCAAGTTATTAATCAAGTTCTCGGGTTTCTAAGTTTACTGCTGAGCCCAGCAAAGCATAGCCTTTGGCCTGTTTTGATAGGCCCTCAAACTAAGGATGGTATATGTATACGTATATGGGTTTTTTTGTTTTGTTTTGAGATAGGGTCTTGCTCTGTCACCCAGGCTGGAGTAAAGTGGCACAACCTCAACTCACTGCAACCTCCACCTCCCTGGATTAAGCAATCCTCCCAAGTAGCTGGGACTATAGACATGCATCACCATACCCAGCTAATTTTTTTGTATTAATATTTTTTGTAGAGACATATTGTTTCACAATATTGCCAAGGCTGGTCTGGAACTCCTGATCTCAAGCAATCAGCCCGCCTCAGCCTCCCAAAGCGCTGGGATTACAGGCCTAACCACCACACTCAGCCGCACGGTTCTATATTTTAAGCTTTGTAAAAGACGAAGAATATACAAAGAGGCCCACAACACCTAAAATATTTACTAATACTCTACAAAGTTTGCTGCCCCCTGGACTGGAGATTCCACTCATAAGAGAATAAATTTTCTCTAAATATATACTTTCTTTCACCCATCAGTAGAATCTGCACTATTGGATCTCTTACCTAAATCCTTTTCCATATCTAAGCCCCTGAATTTTAGAATGTTATCTGAAGAATGTTAAATAAATGCTTTGCTGTTTTGGTTTTTTATCAGAGCATAAGTAGTTATGACGTTGAAGCTAGGAAAAGTAAATGATTAAAGTTAATTTATCTTTAATGTTTCACATACTAAAAAAATAGCAAACAAGGATGAAAGAGGAAAAAAGTCAAAATGGAATATAAACAGAAAAACTTGAACCTAACTCTATTTCAAATTAATAGCAAAACCACTTTAAGTGGGGGAGAAAACTAACCAAGTAATGTTTGTACATAGTATTTTAACTACATGCCCTTAGACAAAAACAAAAAATGAATTATAAACAAACTCTAATTAATAGGTTTGTTTACAGATATATGCTTTAGCAATTCTGAATCTACTTTCTATGTATTTCAGGAATGAACAAATAATAAGTAAATATATTGTAGATAACAAAAGCCAGGGTTCTTGCTGTCGAAGACAAACTTGGAAAGAGGGAAAGCTAGAACGAACCCTACTGTGTTTGACTGGAATTGAAGATACTATGATGAATTCATGGCTTTTTAGATAAACGGATACAAAACAGATGAGAAAGAGAATGTATGTATATATATAATTTACAGTTCTATCTATTGATAGATATACACACACTAAAAGAAACTAGAGAAATGGCTGATTCCCAGGCTGGTGGGAGTTATTTTATTACACTAGAGAATAAGACAACTCAAAAAATAATGAGGACTTGTCAAAAGGACAAAGGAGCCAGCTTGCCTAGTCAAAACTGAGACAATCAGAGTATAAAGATAACTCAGTGAATTAAGAAAAAAATCCATGAGTTTAGCTGGGTGCGGTGGCTTAAACCTGTAATCCCAGCACTTTGGGAGGCCAAGGCAGATGGATCACTTGAGGCCAGGAGTTCAAGACCAGCCTGGCCAACATGGCAAAACCTCGACTCGACTAAAAATACAAAAATTATCCAGGCATGGTGTTGTGTGCCTGTGGCCCCAGCTAGTCAGGAGGCTGAGGCACGAGAATCGCTTGAACCTGGGAGGTGGAGGCTGCAGTGAGCTGAGATCAAGCCACTGCACTCTAGCCTGGGTGACAGTGACAGAGTGAGACTCTGTCGCCAAATAAAACAAAAAACAAAAAACACCACGAGTTCATACTAATATGCATATACACCTATATATATAAATGGGAAAGCTTGTAGAGAATGCAAACTAATAAATACAAAAATGATAGACTCCGAAAATCACCATGTGGCAATCACCATTAGTTCTGATTCAGATAAGACGACACCAAAACAAGTGGTGAAAATTTGACAAGTAGCAAGGTATTTGCATCAAAGTATCTCCCCAGAAGATACTATTAATAGTTACAAAGGAAAGACAGTAACTACACAGTAGGGAAACCCTGCAGATAAAAATTAACACCCCAGCCTGAGCAACATAGCCCGACCTCCTCTCTACCAAAAATCTAAAAAATCAGGCAGGCATGGTGGCATGCACCTGTAGTCCCAGCTACTCAGAAGGCTGATGTCAAAGGACTGCTTAAGCCCAGAAGTTCGAGGCTGCAGTGAGCCATGATCACACCACTGCACTCAAACCTGGGCAACAGAGCAAGATCCCTGTCTATTTAAAAAAAAATAATAAACAAAAGCTCTACATCCCTATTAATGGAATATGTGGACAACATGATTCCTGATATGGTGTGCTGAGAGGAATACAATATTACTCCTGGAGTGTTTCTGCCAAAAATATAGAACCCAAACCTAATCATGAAGCAGCAGCAAATCAATATTAAAGCAATTCTAAAAATACTGGCCTATTTTAATCAAATATCATCTCAAAGGTCATACAAGAGAAGAGGAGTAACCAATTGATTCACATTAAGGGAGACTAAGACAAGTGAATGTAAGGTGTGATGTAGAATTTACTCTAGTAAGGACATTATTGGTATGATTAGTGAAATCTGAATATGATCTACAGACAACAGTACTGTATCCAAGTTAGTTTCTTGATTTTGATCATTGTACTATAGTTAAATAAAATGCGCTTGTTTTTAAAATACACAGAGTTATTTAGAGGTAAAGGGTACCATGAATTGCAATTTATTCTCAAAATGTTCAGAAAAGAAATTATGTGTTCATTTGTATGTGAAGAGACAGTAAGAAAGCAAACATGGTTACAGGAGGCACAGAAATCTGGATGAAGTATACATAAAAATTATTCATCATTCTTACTATTTTTCTATGAAGGTGAAGTTATAAAAAGAATGAGGAAAAAATAAATTTGTATTTGGACATTATACCAGTAAAAACAAAACAACCAACCAAAAAAACCTATGAAAAATTGAATGATGGTTCCCCTTTACACCTAGCACCAGAGGTTGAGAACTAGGTCCTTCTAATCCCTGCTCTAATGCTTATAGAACTGCATTTCCTTGGAAAAATCACAACTGTTGGGCCTCAGTTTCCTTGTCTGTAAAATGGGATGACACCTATCCAACCATTCTCACAAAGTTAATACTAAAGATCCACGGAAACATGGTAATGGCTGCAGAAAAAGAGGGCAGAGTATAAAACACTACATATTATAAAGTGGTTCACTTTTTTCTAATACCTCCTTTTTTTTCTTTTTAATTTTTGTGAGTACACAGTAGGTACATAGACTTGTGTACATAAGATGTTTTGATAAAGTGGTTAACTTCCCCTCACCAACCCCCACCCACACCCAGCCAGAGTCTTGCTCTGTTGCCCAGACTAGAGTGCAGTGGTGCAATCTCAGCTCACTGCCACCTCTCCCTCCCCGGTTCAAGCGATTTCCTGCCTCAGCCTCCTGAGTAGCTGGGATTACAGGTGCACGCCACCACGCCTGGCTAATTTTTATATTTTTAGTAGAGACAGGGTTTCAACATGTTGGCCAGGCTGGTCTCAAACTCCTGACCTCGTGATCCACCCACCTTGGCCTCCCAAAGTGCTGGGATTACAGGCGTGAGCCACCGTGCCCAGTAAAGTGGTTAATTTCTAATAAATGTTTGGTAAATTAAAAGTACTTCAAAAATATGTAAGAGATTTTTTTCATCATAGTGAGCAGCTGTTACAGAAACTAGACATTTGCTACATCATGTTTTGATATGTAAAAAACAAAATTACTTATTCAAAACTCACTTGAAGGGCAAAAAAGATTTTAAAAAATTTTTTTACTCCAGAGGATTTTACTCATATATTTAAAATATTTCAACAAACTCAAACACTTATGTCTATTTTTTCTTAACCATAAAACTTTATGGTATCAAAAACATTGCTAGATCAAAGAAAGCCATTAATTAGGATTTGGTCAACCTCTGAGACATTGATCACTGTACAGAAATCTTTATTTCCCAAGTTCTACACACTAAAGTACATGGCAAACTATTTCATCTTTCATTGATAAGCTACTCAAATGAACCCTGAGGAATCACATCAAATTCAGAAAATATTTACAAAAAGGACATCAAATTTCTCAGGTACTTAAAAAAGTTTGCTTTAAAAATGAAAATACTTATTAGTTTATTCTTCTAAATTCATAAGGTTTGGTCTCCACTTAAGAATAGTTGCTTTTTAAAATCATGCATGTGGAGACTAATGATTCTCACGGACAAAAGAAAACATTCTTAAAGCTGTATTTTACAAGAAATAGTTAAGATTCCAAAATATCAAATGGAGATTTTAAAACATATATAACAGACAATTTTGTATAAAACAATGTAGCTAGTCATATTTTCCCACTGTTTGAAAAATCATTTAACTAAGTCTACCTGTTCAGTCTCTATTTTGAACAGTGGACAGGCAATCTGGACTCTAAGAGGCAAAATGCTAAGAACGGATCAGGCTGCAAACAACATAGTCCCTAGCAAAGAAGCAATGCTGGAGTCAGTAATGCCTGCACAGCCTCCCCAGCTCTGCAGCAAGTTCAATACACAAACTGCTAATGAGACAAAAGGAAAAGAATCACAACAACATAGGCTCCAAGAGGGCATGGTTTTTGCTTGTCTGGTTTACCACTATATCCCAGGAGATGGAAAAAAAAATCCCTAGGCCGCGATACATGTTCATTAAATATTAGTTACGTGCATGAACAAATTAATGAAAGAATGAAATCCTACATCTTTCAAGTCAATCTATATAAATCACATTAAGTTGCAGAATTATTTTAAAAACAAATTTGTCATACATCAACTTAATAGTCAAAATTGTCTTTAGAGAACATGAGCAACATAGTCCCCATTCTGAATAAATAAAGAAATGTCAAAGTTACTGAGATTTTTCCTGACCTATAATAGGTATTTTAATACATTTACATAGCCTTCCTTAAGTTTAAAGGATGGCTGTATCAGAAACTCTTATAAAACAAAATTAGAAAGACAAAACAAATGCATAAAATCAAAATCAGAAAAAGCAAATGCATCATGTTTACCATCAAATATGAGACAGAATCCATTTAGGTACGAAATCACAAACTATAGAAACATTTCTCATCAGCATTTATTTCTCATAATCAATAGTACCTCTACCACAATCTGCTGCCTCTATAATTAGAAAATCAAAAATTCAATTCTTTATTCCTATAGCATATATGTCAATAATTTGTCATCTTATAGTTCAAAGAAATTCTTCAAAAGGTGTATTTTATTATTCAATTAAGAGGTCTGCAATTCACTCAAATAGTTCTATCTCTTTTGTAAAATCACATGGAGCAGAATACAAGTAAACATAACAAAAGTTTATATATATATGATTTATGCTCACTATTGAGCATAAAACTTTTTTCTCCAATTAACCTTTTTGTGAAGCAATTCAACTTATTCCCTAGACGCTCTCTTTTAAGACTACCAATCTATTCTAAGTGACAAACTTCATTCTGCTTCCCAAGTACTAACCATATAATCAAATACACTATTCCACTACCAATTGAAACCTAACATATTCCAAAGGGCCTGCCTTATGTGGGTTATCATCATCTTACTATGCTTCTTGTGTCCATGCTGCTGGAAAAGCAGTCTGTACAAGCAGGAGTAGAGGCACAATCCTGAGAGAGAGGAGTAGAGAAAGATGTTGAGAACACAAAACCAGACAAAATGAGCTCACTTAAAAGTTCAGGAGCTCAGCCAGTGTTCAAGGTCAAGGTTGATTACATTCTTTCACACCATTATGAGTTAGAAGTTGTCCAAAACAGCGTAACTGGCCTTAGAAAGAGATATCTGAAATTGTACATACAACTAGTAATACTATCACTAATTCTAAGCCACTGATACCCCTTCTGAAAAAGATGCAAACGGGCCGGGCGCGGTGGCTCACACCTGTAATCCCAGCACTTTGGGAGGCCGAGGCGGGCGGATCACTTGAGGTCAGGAGTTCGAGATCAGCCTGGCCAACATGGTGAAACCCCGTCTCTACTAAAATTACAAAAATTAGCCGGGTGTGGTGGTACATGCCTGTAATTCCAGCTACTGGGGAGGCTGAGGCAGGAGAATTGCTTGAACCCAGGAGGCGGAGGTTGCAGTGAGCCAAGATCATGCCTCTGCACTCCAGCCCGGGCGAAGAAGCAAGACTCCATCTCAAAAAAAAAAGAAGCAAATGATCATAGAATATGACTCTTTGGGACACTGGGGCTATAAAGTCCCCTAAATGTTAATCACAATTACTATAACAAATTCAATGCTAGTCTAGAATGAAATAATTGAACTCCACGAAACATGCATTTCCATCATGCCTAAAATTTTTTTATATTTAATGATGTGTGATTAACACTCTCAAATCATGCAGTCTCTCAAAACCATTATCAGTTTCAATTATCCTTGTATTCTATTTTTAATGTAAGAAAAAAACTTCTATATGTCATTTCAAACAGAAAAACAGCAAAATCAGACTTGAAAATAACATAATTACTAGACAACATAAAACTCACAATGGACTTAACCTAACTGAAATCTTCAATGGACTAGTTCCCTCTCCAACTCTCCTCCCCAAAGTAATAACCAGATGTTCAGAAATGTTAACTACCTTGGCCAAGGTCATTTAGCTACCTAGGATTGCATCCATTCATTCAAGAAATCTTTACTTAGCGGCCAGGCACGGTGGCACATGCCTATAATTCCAGCACTTTGGGAGGTCAAGGTGGGCAGGTCTCTTGAGACCAGGAGTTCTACACCAGCCTGGGCAATATGGCAAGACCCCATCTCTATTCAAAACACAACAATTACCCAGGCATGGAGGTGCGTGCCTGTGGTTCCAGCTACTCAGGAGGCTGAGGTGGGAGAATTGCTTGAGGCAGAGGCAGAGGTTGCAGTGAGCCCTTGATGGCACCACTGCCCTCGAGCCTCGATGACAGCAAGACCCAGTCTCAAAAAAAAAAAAAAGAAAAAGAAAAAGAAAAAGAAAATCTTTACTTCACATATATACTGTATATTGAGATACTGTGCTATGAACCAAGGACATGAAACAAAGGAAATACAGTCACTGTCCTCATAGAGCTTATTATCTAGTGGTAAAGACTATTAAAATTACTTAAAATTGCTATGATCACTGGAAGAAACAGCACAGTATTTTAAGACAGTTTAACAGGAGACCTAAATCAGTGATTCTGGACCAGGGTCACTGTGCCCCCAAAGAAACATTTAATAATGTCTGGAAACATTTTTGGCTGTCATAATTGTGGAGGGTGCTAGTGGCATCTAATGCATAGAGGCCAGGGATGCTGTAAACATCCTGGAATGCATAGGACTGCTCCCCAAGCAAACAAGTATCCAGCCCAAAATATCAATAGTTCCCAAGATACTTAGCTCTTGGGTTCTCATATGAGCAGAAAGGGGTTAGTGAAAGACTTCCTTCCTTTATAATACTAATTAATATGCTACATCTTTAAAGGACTTTCACAAGGTAAAAAGAAAAAAATATAGCCTGACTGACAGAATTAACCAGAACTCCCTCTAGAAAATGATAATAGGAAAGGAAAACCAGAGACAGATTCCCTGGTAGATGAAAATAAAAGACAAATGCAGTGTTTTATAGCTGCTTCCCATAAATTCCCTATCCTGAACCATCAACAAAGGAAAAATAAACTAAAAACAAATTTCACATGTTTATATTATTCCCTCTACCTTTTCCACTTTTCTCTACCAAGCCATGTCTACTACTAGATGTTGGTGAGATTATAAAAAGTCCTATAGTTAGACAAAATACCCACCCTGGATACAAATTTGGAAGTAAAATAAAGTGGAGATGGGAGTTCACTTTATAGAACAGAAAAATGTAGTGGATATTAAATTGATTCTGGAAAGCCTGCATCCTGGAACAGTTTAAAGATTAATCTATCCAAAAGGATCCCAAAGACAAAAAATACTAAGAATTTAGGTATCCTAAATATAACTAAAGGTAACAGAATCCTCTCAATTTATGAACTAAGGTAAATCCAGAAATTAAACTGAAATTATTATTCTGACATATCTCAAACCTACATATCCGGTCCTACATCTTCCCACTCAGCCTATTCAGAGCAGCAAGAGAAATAGATCATGGGGGAAAGGCTACATTGTAATACACTAGCTATACAAAGGACCTGAAAAAAATAGATCACTGATTGGTATTTTATTATATTAAAGATTTACTGTTAACTTTTTTGAAGTGTGATTAATGGTAAAGGAACTACGTTTGTTTTTTGTTTTTTTAAAGTACTTAAAATTTAAAAGAATCTGGCCAGGGGCAGTGGCCCACACCTGTAATCCCAGTACTTTGGGAGGTCAACACAGCAGGATCATTAAAGGCCGGGAGTTCAAGAAAAGCCTGGACCACATATTGACACCCCCCACCCTTCCCTACAAAAAATTTAAAAATTAGGTGTGCATAGTGGCACATGCCTGTATTCCTAGTTACTCAGGAGGCTGAAGCAGGAAGATCACTTGAGCCCAGGAGTTCGAGGTTACAGTAAGCTATGATCCTGTCCTTGCACTCTAGCCTGGGCAAGAGAAACTCAGTCTTAAACAATAACAACAACAATCTGCTGTATTTTAAAATGCCCTCTCAAACTAAAGGAAAGAATGGGTCATGCACTGCCACTGTCTCACGACCCCTTTTCAAAGAAACAAAAAAGGAAACAAAAAAACAATAGAACAAGATCCTACCAGAATGACCTCCACATAGTGATCATTCTTAAGTACAGAGTATAGATATGCAGCTCACATAAAACTGCTGCATTCCAGCAATCAATGCAGTCCCAAAGTAATCCACAGATTTAGGCAGTTCAATCTGCGACCCTTTTCACTAGGAAGAAATGCTAAATCATTACAAGCGCCACCATCTTAGAGCAGCAGCAACTGCAATAGCTTGCACTCATAATTCTCTTATGGTTAACTGCTCACCCATTGCCTCTGAGGAAATCTTGTATTGTAATCTGAACTTAAGTCTTCCATCATTTCAGAATTGAAAGTAGTGGTCATGGGATTAAACTTTCATCACAGTGATGATGTTTAAATAGAAATTATTTTTCTCCCACAAAATTAGCATGGGGCACTTAAAAAATAAATTATTGAGCCTAAATCTCATTTAACTCGTGAGAAGAAAAATTTACCACATAATTCCTGCACAATTAAAGGATCTTCTGACATAGTAATTTTTAACACAGAAGTGAAAGGTCAACTCCTTTGAGAAATTATGGTAGGGAGGGTAGACATGACAAAAACAACTCATACATATCTTGCATGAAGTCTGGGATTTTCATAGCTGAAACTCATCCACAGTTTGCAGATTAAAAATCTGTATTATTGGGGTTTTCTTTTCTTTTTTTTTTTTTTGAAGCAGAGTCTCACACTGTTGCCCAAGCTAGAGTGCACTGGCTATTCACAGGTGCAGTAATTGCACTCTATAGCCTCGAACTCCTGGGCTCAACAGATCCTCCCACCTCAGCCTCCCAAGTAGCTAAGACTACAGACACACACCCACAATTCACAAAAATCTGTATTCCTAAAGTCTCTGGCATCTTCCTGGTTTTCAAACCAATGATCTCCACAAAATTAAAAGATGGGGGTGACAAAATTCAGTCTGGAAAAACCTGAGCCTTAGCAAGCCATAAAAGGTTAAGTATTTTGTATTTTAAACATTTAATTTGGGGCAGGCACCACGGCTTAGGCCTGTAATCCCAGCACTTTGGGAGGGGAGGTGGGCAGATCACCGGAGCTCAGGAGTTCATGACCAGCCAGGGCAACATGGCAAAACCCCATCTCTACAAAACAAAAACAATTAGCCCGGCGTGGTGACCTGTCAACAGCGAGTACCTGTCTCAATTTTTCTGATTCAGGGTCGCACTGTTGCCCGGGCCAGAGTGTAGTGGTGCAGCTCACTGCAGCCTCCACCTTCCTGGGTCATGAGATCCTCCCACCTCAGCACCTGCCCCCTCCTTTACACCCCCTTCACCCATGTTGGGACTACAGGCACATGCCACCGTGACCAGCTAATTTGTGTTGTTGTTGTTGTTTTGTAGAGATGGGGGTTTCGCCATGCTGGCCAGGCTAGCATGGAACTCCTGAGCTCAAGTCATCTGCCCACCTCGGCCTCCCAAAGGGATGGGATTACAGGCATGACCCATCGAGCCCAGCCTATTTTAAATATTTTAAGGTGAAGTATCAAAATATCTTGTTGACAAACGTTCCTGATTATTCTTAGAGCTAAATTTTGATTCCTTACAAAGCAAATGGAATTGACAATTCAATGTTTCAAAGATACCTTTAAATTTAGCAGAGAAGTTGTGATGGATTAAACCCAAAGATAAACACCTTTAAAAGCCAAACTATGAGCGTCGAAAACATCCTTTTCTCCTAATCCTGCAACTAGAATTCCTTTTTAATTTTTGTAATTTGTAACACATAATTTAATGGAAAACAATCATTACTGAACTACTTCTCAGCATATACTTATTTGCAATAACAATGTTTACTACACATCAGCAAATATTACAACATTCACAGAAACTGCATTCAAAATAAAAAACAGTATTATGTATTGTTTTGTGTTTAAAAAAAAAAGTATTTTTCTGAATCTTCTTCAAATATATTTCCCTTCCTCAACTCCCTGACTCTGTACTGCTATTTTTAAGCTAACTCCACTTTGAAACACGGTGAAGTTAGAGCATATAAATAAATAAGGAAGTTACAAGACTTAAGTTCTTTGAAATCCATATGGGGAAATGGGAGAGTGCTACATACACTAAAATGGGACTAAGACAAACCTCAAGTTCCTGTAAAATGAGAAAACAGGTGAAACACCTATCTACACATGTAAATGTTAGGCCCCCTTATCCTTAATTAATATTAAAACGAAAAACTGGAATTAACATTTCTTCCCTACTGTGACCAACCATAGTGCACTAACCACTTGTTTACATCTAATATTTGGGAGCTACTGTTTAAAACGTCATGGATGGGCCAGGCGCAGTGGCTCACGCCTGTAATCCCAGCACTTTGGGAGGCCGAGCCGGGTGGATCACCTGAGGTCAGGAGTTCGAGACCAGCCTGGCCAACGTGATGAAACCCCATCTCTACTAAAAATACAAAAAACTAGCTGGGCATGGCGGTGGGTGCCTGTAATCCCAGCTACTCCGGAGGCTGAAGCAGGAGAATTGCTTGAACCCAGGAGGTGGAGGTTGCATTGAGCCAAGATCTCGCCATTGCACTCCAGCCTGGGCAACAAGAGCAAAACTCCGTCTCCAAAAAAAAAAAAAAAAAAAAAGTCTTGGATGGCCCTTTGAGGGGGAGGACCACATTATTAGGAACCCCCCCAAAGACAGACACCCAACAAAGTGTGTGTGGGGAAGAGGGTGGCGGCGGGAATTAAATCCAATGAGGGCAAAAAACAAAACAAAACGAAATCCCCCAGGCGTGGTGGCTCACATCTGTCATCCCAGCACTTGGGATGCCAAGGTGAAAGGACCGCTTGGGCCCAGGAGTTCAAGAACAGCCTGGGCAACATAACAAGACCTCCTCTCTATAAAAAATAAAAATGACGGGCATGGTGACACTGGCCTGTAATCTCACCTACTTGGGGGGCTGAGGTGAGAGGAGGACCCCTTGGGCCCGGGAGGCAAAGGATGCAGTGAGCCAAGATCACACCACTGCACTCCAGCCTGGGTGACAGAATGACACTCCTCAAAAAAAGAAAGATAGCTATGAAAAAAAATGAAACACCAGGCGCAGTGGCACACGCCCATAATCTCAGCACTTTGGGAGGCCAAGGCGGGTGGATCACTTGAGGTCAGGAGTTTGAGAACAGCCTGGCCAACATGGTGAAACCCCATCTCTACTAAAAATACAAAAATTAGCGGGGCGTGGTGATGTGCGCCTGTAATCCCAGCTACTCGGGACACTGAGGCAGAAGAATCGCTTGAAACCGGGAGGTGGAGGCTACAGTGAGCTGAGATGGTGACACTCCAGCCTGGGTAACAAGAGCGAAACTCTGTCTCAAAAAAAAAAAAAAAAGAAGATTCCCAAGTCTATTGCTCTAATTTATCAATGTTAAAAATAAAAAATGTAGTATTAAAAAAGAAAATGCTTTCCAAAAAAAGTTATGTATCACTGCTATTGAAAATAGCCCAAATATTATCTACCGTTTAGCCTCTTAGCTAAGATTCCCAAATACTGTTTTTCTTTTTAAAGAAATTAAAACAAGATAAAACTATGCAACGGCATTTAAAAGTACTGTCCTATTTGGGCCGTCACAGCAAAAAGCCTCGTATTTTAAGAGGTAAATATTAAAGATACTCTTTAACAATCATAGTATCGAATAAAGTATTGGCACTTTAAGAGTTCATAAAATTTATGCTAATTTAGTTACCAGCATAATTACACTTTTTCTTTTTCTTTTTTTTTTTTTTGTAGACAGAGTCTCACTCTGTCACTGGGCTGGATTGCAGTGGCGCAGATCTCGGCTCACTGCAACCTCCGCTTCCCAGGTTCAAGCGATTCTCCTGCCTCAGCCTCCTAAGTAGCTGGGATTACAGGTGCCTGCCACTACGCCCAGCTAATTTTTTGTATTTTTAGTAGAGACAGGGTTTCACCACGTTGGCCAGGCTGGTCTTGAACTCCTGACCTCGTGATTGGCCCGCCTCGGCCTCCCAAAGTGCTGGGATTACAGGCCTGAGCCACTGTTCCCGGCCATAATTACACTTTCCAAGGCGTACGGGTAGGGATACTAATGCTGACTGTGCAGATGTGTACTTGCTATGTTTGATGTTTACATTAAGGCCTATTGAAGTCGGAGTTTAAAAAGAAATTGAATACATCAAAACCTGTCTTCTTCCAGACTAGTAAATTCAACTACACAGTGAAAATGGAATCTGCTTTTTAAAATCTTGTTTGACACGTGAATGAACCAGCGAGAAATGTTTCCCCCATAATCTTCCATCTCTCGATGCACAGATCTCTCCCTACCATTTGTCTTTATGTCGTGATGGATTAGAAGAGGAGCGAGTAAAAATAAAAGATATTGCAGAATAACCTTTGCCTGCCTACCAACCATCCAATTAGCTCAAGTCCCTAGCTGGCAAATTACCTAGTCAACAATGCCTCAATTATAAACACTACGTGTAACGTGACCACAGATCAACACCCCGTAGGTTCATTTCCCCCACCGCCCCCAATCGGTGTTAGCCTCAGTGAGGACCCGGGAAGGTCTGGAGAGTCATGTCCAGCGTCCACTTAAATCCTCAAAGGCCCAGGAAGGAGGTGGGCGGGCCAGGCCTCGGCGGAACTGACCTCGAGGGACCTGTCGGGAGTCTCCGGGTGAGGGCCCAACCGGGTCTTTCCCTCCGAGCTCGCAGCCATTCCATAGGACGCCGGAGACGCCAGAACCTCCCTCCGCCCCAGGGCGGCCCTCCCCCAACCCTCCTCCCGGACCCGGGGGAGGGGCACCCAGAGGAGAAACACCCCTCCCCCACGGGCACTGCTAGGCCACCGCTCACCCCACCCTTAAAAAACCCGCAGGCCCGCGCCCACCCTCCGGGCCCCGGCCTCGACCAGGGGTGGGGGCGGTGCGGGCAGGAGCAGGGGAACCCGGCTGCCATACCAACCTCGCTATTGAAGGTCTTCACGGCCTCCATGTTGTCGCTGCGGAGGCCCCGAGCCCGGCGGCGGAAGAGGCGGCGGCCACTGCACTGGGTGGGGAGAGCGAGACGCGGGCTGCTGCGTGGCCGCGAGGAGGGGGCGCTGGCGGGAGAGCGGGCCGCTGCGACCTCGGGGCGGAGTGGAAGGGCACGCGCTGGCGGGGAAGGGCTCCCTCAGCGGCAGAGCGGCACCGGCATGGCCGCTAGGGCGGGGGGAGCGCCGTTCTAGGGAACAGAGGCGCTGCCGGGGCGGGTCGGCGGCGGGCGGGGGAGGGGCTGGGCCGCGGCGCCTTCTCTTCTCTGCCCCGCTCCGTTTCGGTCCCCCTCCCTCTAGCCCCTTCCCCTACACTCTCCACTCCCTTCTGCCCCTTCCTCCGACGGGCTCCTGTTTCACCTCCCCGCCGCTCGGGCCGCAGGAACCAGCCCCGCTCGGCGAAGACAGAGGAGGAAGCGCTGGCAGCAGCGGCTGCGGCATCCAATATGGCGGACTCGAGTCGGGCCGCGCAGTTCGGGGATCCGCGGCGCCGGCTAGCGCGCCCCCTGGCGACTGGACCGTGCGAGCCCCGGCGGCCGCGCGGAAACCATCGAGCGCGCTGGGGCCAGAGCGTCGCCGCCCGTAGGCCCGGCTGGGCTCCGCTGCCCTCGCCTTGGCTCCGGGGCCGCCCGCGCCTCGCCCCCTCCCCGCGCCCCGCGGACGCGGGAGTGAGCGCTGCGGCATCCGGGGGAACGCCGCGGCGGGTTTGTACAGCAGGAGGAGGCAACTCCAAAGCGCGGCTCTAATAAGAGCCTAAACGTGCCCAAGAAGCGGCAAGTTGAGGAAATGTGCGCGTTTCCCTTGTTTCCCGGTGGATTGGTCCTTTTGCACAAGCGGCAGGGTTTAGTTGCTTTTCACAACTTTACTGGACAGTGCCCTAAACATCCGCAGCCTTCGCCAAGAAAAAGTTCCTGGTCATCTATTTAGTAACTGAACTCAATTGTTTTAACTGCACAGGGAGGGAACATTAGAAACCAAAGCCTTGGATTCGGGTTGGGGCAGGCGGCGAGGGAAACAGGCATGCAGCAGCTCCTTGCAGGAAATGCCCGCTGCATAGGATCCAGGGACTGGAGTGGCACAATGAGCGCATTTGTCTGCAAGGCGGGAAGGGGACCCTAGAATGCACAACACTTGAATAGGTGAAAAGGGAACCCGTCTGTTTCGGAAGATGAATTGTTCTAAAGGAATTTTGCCCTAGGATACTTGGAGTAAAGGTAAATACAGTATTTCTTAGATGGATTAGGAGATGCTGCTAGTAAAAAGCCTTCTCTCTCGTGCAGCGCAAAATAAGGTACCAATTTAAAAATACTTATCGATGTTAAAAGATAGGGATGTATCGTGGAACCCCGAACACTGCTGTCCTCTTGTTGAAAGTCATTTTTCAACAATCATTCCCAAATTCACTCAAAGGGAGAGAGGAACATAAGGGCAGGATCGTACTTTTGGAGAGTTTTGGAATCAAGGTAGTTCCTAAGAGCTGTGCGCAGAGCCCCGTGAAACTGGGAAAGTAAGGCCCTTCTTGAGGTTTCAGAGCCTTCATTCTACTTCATTGGCAGCTTTAGTATAGGGCCTGGCTACTGAGAAGGTAACAGGGATAACTCACCAAGTGCTTTTATATTTACTTTCAAAATCTCAAATTCTGTCACAGATTTCTCCACCGTCTCCCATCTTCAGGCCTAGCCATGATCTTTTACTGACACTTGCAGTAGCCTCCTAACTGGTCCCTTGCTTGTCTTCCTACAGTTCATTTCCAGACAGTAGCCGAGGGATGTTTTTCTTAGATAAATCAGATCAGGTCACTCCCTTACTTAAATCCCTTAAATACTTTCTCATTGCCCATTTGATACCATCATAACTTCTCACCATGGCCTGAAGGCCCAGCCCAGCCTGCCGCAGCTCACACCACCTTCCCTTGCTCCCTGACTCTCCTCCTGCCACACTGGCCTTTCTGTTACTTGACAAGAAGCAGTGTTTTCATAGGTAGGACAATTGTGTCTCTTCACACAGGGTGCTGTTGCTCTTGTCCTTTCCATAGCTGACTCCTCCTCCTTCAATCTTCCTGAAAGAGGTCCCCTAATCACTCCATCTAAAGGAGCATTTACTGTGGCTTGAGAAAGTACTGCACTCAGTTCTGTGCATGCCAGGTTCTCACAATCAGAAGTCACTGCTTTGAGGCCGGGTGTGGTGGCTCTCGCCTGTAATCCGAGCACTTTGGGAGACCGAGGCGGGTGGATCACCTGAGGTTAGGAGTTCGAGACCAGCCTGGCCAACATGGTGAAATCCCGTCTGTACTAAAAATACAAAAAAAGTAGCCAGGCGTGGTGGCACGCCCTTGTAGTCCCAGCTACTCGGGAGGCCGAGGCAGGAGATTCGCTTGAACCCGGGAGGCGGAGGTTGCAGCGTGCCGAGATCGCGTGACTGCACTCCAGCCGGGGCAACAAGAGTGAAGCTCTGTCTCAAAAAGAGAAACAAAAAAGAAAAGAACGGAAAAAAAAGGCGCTGCTTTGGCCTGTGAGGGATTATTTATTAGGTCATACATGAAATGAGTGTTGATGGAATTACTTAGGCCTGAGAAATTAAAATGCAATACAAGCTAAAGGATAAAATCAGTGGTTAACATGCTTCACAATTTGATTTAATAAAGCTTCCGCATTCAGAATGGTAACAGAGGGCATAGTTTGATCAGGGTAAGCAGAGGGGGAAGATACAGAGAGCAGCCTAAACACAATCTTTTTTTTTGCGGGGTGTTGGGGCGGGGCTGGACGGAGTCTCGCTCTGTAGCCAGGCTGGAGTGCAGTGGCACGATCTCGGCTCACTGCAACCTCCACCTTCTGGGTTCAAGCGATTCTCGTGCCTCAGCCTCCTGAGTAGCGGGGATTACAGGCACGTGCCACCACACCCAGCTAATTTTTGTATTTTTAGTAGAGATGGGGTTTCACCATGTTGGCCAGGATGGTCTTGATCTCCTGACCTTGTGATCCGCTTGCCTTGGCCTCCCAAAGTGCTGGGATTATAGCCGCGCCCGGCTTTTATTTTTTATTTATTTATTTTTTGAGACTGAGTTTTGCTCTTGTCGCCCAGGCTGGAGTGCAATGACGCGATCTCGGCTCACCGCAACCTCCGCCTTCCGGGTTCAAGCGATTCTCCTGCCTTAACCTCCCAAGTAGCTAGGACTACAGGCAACCGACGCCACGTTCGGCTAATTTTTGTATTTTTAGTAGAGACGGGGTTTCACCATGTTGGCCAGGCTGATCTCAAACTCCTGACCTCCAGTGATTCACCCTCCTCGGCCTCCCAAAGTGCTGGGATTACAGGCATGAGCCACCTCGCCCAGCCTAAACACAATCTTAATATAAGAAGGCGATAAAGCAAGAGAAGGGTTAGAGGGGAGCCTGGGGTTCCAGTGCAATGACTATATACAAAATTTATACACAACTACATAC
Organism: Homo sapiens; assembly: GCF_000001405.40. NCBI lineage: Eukaryota > Metazoa > Chordata > Mammalia > Primates > Hominidae > Homo > Homo sapiens. The sequence continues at coordinate 154,730,420 of NC_000006.12, read as the reverse complement.
AGAGTGTGAAAACAGTACCCGTGTGTGTGTGTCTGTGTGTGTGTGTGTATGTATGTACGCTAGGATTCTGATTGCCAGTATAACCAGCCAATTTGAGCTAGTTTAAGCATAAAATAATAATTCATTATTACAGTACAGGTTTTTCTCATGTAACCAAAAGTCAGAAATGTAGCTGAGTCCAAGGGAGGGACTTGAACCAAAATAGAAAACCTAAGAGGCAATGTAATCTCTGCTTATCTGCTTAATTTTTCTATTGCTTTACCCAATTCTCTGTTTTATCTAGTGGAATCTATTACTTTTGGTTTTATAGTTCTAGACAACTTGAGGACCTGAATGACGACCTCTTCCTTCCCAAATCCAAATTCCCAAGGAAAGAAATAAGGAATTTCATTGACCCAGCTTGGATTAGGTGACCATCACCAAGAAACTGACCACTAATTTGGTTCTCAAAAGACTGATAGGAAATAGTGGTCAGGAGTACTTCAGTCATTGGAAGAGATATTTCATAATCTAAAGTTTCTGGTGTTCTCCTGTAAATGTTATCATCAGATTGTCCCTGAGGACTAAATAGTTTCTGGGAGTAACTTATAGAAATGAATTCAGCCATGGCCAAGAGGTCAGAGTCAAAAATAGTCTAGAGCAGTAGTCACCATAGAACTTTCTGGGGTCATGGAAATGTTCTGAATCTGTGCGGCCCAATTCAGTAGCACTAGCCCTGTGTGGCTACTGTGCACTTGAAATACGGCTAGGGCAGCTGAGGAAGATAATTTCCAATTTTATTTTACTTTAATTGACTCATGTTTAAGTATGTGGCTAGTGGCTACCATATTGGAAAGCATAGGTCTAGCTAGAGGGTACTCGCTCCCATGGACAGGGCACTTCTTAGATAAGGGATAATTGTGAGGTAGCACTAAGCAAAAAAAAAAAAAAAAAAAAAAAAAAAAAAAACAACGTGAATTATCAGCTATTAGAAGGAATAATATATGTTTATGAGGTACTTTTAAAACGGGGCAAAAACCTGGAGCATTGTCTAAATTAAAACTAATTCCCACCCAATTGGAAAAAAGAAAACTTAGGAAGCAAACATTCCAGAATGCTTAGTAAATTAGGGTATAGAGACAAATGAATTATTATACTACCAATAAAATGATTTTTAAAAGATTGTGGGAAACTATTTGGCAGTTCCTCAAAAAACTAAGCATAGAATTGCCATATGATCTAGCAAGTTCACGTATGTGTATGTAGCCAAAAGAACTGAAAGCAGAGACTTGAACATGCATGTTCAGAACAGTGTTACTCACAATCGTTAAAAGGTGGCAGCAACCCAAATGTCCATTGATGGATGAATGGATAAACAAAATGTGGTACAATGGAATATTCAGCCTTAAAAAATGAAGGAAATTCAAGGCCCAGCACGGTGGCTCACGCCTGTAATCTCAACACTGTGGGAGGCCAAGACAGGCAGATCACCCGAGGTCAGGAGTTCGAGACCAGCCTGGCCAACATGGTGAAACCCCATCGCTACTAAAAATACAAAAATTAGCTAGGCGTGGTGGTGCGCTCCTGTAATCCCAGCTACTCGGGAGGCTGAGGCAAGAGAATTGCTTGAACCTGGGAGGCGGAGGTTGCAGTGAGTCAAGATCATGCCATTGCACTCCAGCCTGGGTGACAAGAGCAAAACTCCGTCTCAAAAAAAAAAGAAGGAAATTCTGATACATGCTATAACACAGTTTTACCTTGAAGACATTGTGCTAAGAGAAAAAAAGCCAGTTACAAAAGAACAAGTACTGTATGATTCCGCTTATATAAGCTACCTAGAATAGTCAAACTCAGAGAGACAGAAAGCAGAATGGTAGTTTCCAGGGGTTGGGGGAGAGAGAAACCAGGAGTTGTCATTTAATAGGTACAGAACTTCAGGTTGGGAAAATGAAAATTTCTGGAGGTGGCTGGTGGTAACGGTTGCATGACAGTGTGAACGTACTTAATGCCATAGGGCTGTACACTTAAAATTGGTTAAAAATAAGTTTTATATGTATTTAATCACAATTTTTCAAATTTAAAGAAATGGTTAGAATAGGACTAGGAATATAAAAGAAATGTATATGAGAGACTATTAAGTACAAAGGCGTAGAAAACAAACTGTTAATGTATTTTAGCTCTAAAAGTATGTATGTAAGGCCTGAAAATGATATGAAAAATAAAAATTGTATTAGTATACTAGGATTATGAGATTTTTAAAAATATTTTGTCCCTTTCTAATAATTCAGTAATTTCCTATCTCATTTTTTTTAATGGGCACCATATAATTCACAAAGTCGCCAAACTTGATACCCAAACCAGGCATCCTGAGAGAAGCATAAGATATTAAAAGTAAACATTTTACTTTTACCAACTTCATTTAAAATAAGTAGGAATTTTGGGTTTGATAAGTATTTTGTTGCCTGATGAAGAGGGAGTTCTTCCTGGGTGCAGTGGCTCATGCTTGTAATCCCAGCACTTTGGGAGGCCAAGGCGGGTGGATCATCTGAGGCCAGGAGTTTGAGACCAGCCTGGCCAACATGGTGAAACCCCATCTCTACTAAAAATACAAAAATTGGCCGGGTGGTAGTGGTGCGCACCTGTAATCCCAGCTACTCAGGAGGCTGAGACAGGAGAATCGCTTGAGCCTGGTAGGTGGAGGTTAGCGGTGAGCCGAGATTGCACCACTGCACTCCAGTCTGGGTGACAGAGCAAGACTCTGACTCAAAAAAAAAAAAAAAAAGAGGTAGTTCTTCAAATGGCTAGAGGTAAAACAGCACACATCACTAGTAGTAGTAGTCAGAGATCAAGAAAATTTAAATTTATACGCTTTATAGTTTAAGTACTGATTTAGTGTTAAATTTAAATAGTGATTTAATATTAAACTTAAATACTGATTTAGGTTTAACATTTGTTCCCCAATGAGTACACTAGCAGATTCATGACTTTCTCTTTATGATGAATCTTTTTTTTTTTTTTTTTTGAGACAGGGTCTCGCTCTCACCCGGGCTGGAGTGTGGTGGTGTGATCTCAGCTCACTACAACCTCCGCCTCCCAGGTTCAAGCGATCCTCTCACCTCAGCCTCCCATGTAGCAGGGACCACAGGCATGTTCCACCATGCCCAGCTACTTTGTGCATTTTTCTGTTTTTGGTAGAGATGGGATTTTGCCATGTTGGCCAGGCTGGTCTTGAACTTTTGAGTTCAAGTGACCTCCCCCCCTCAGCCTCCCAAAGTGCTAGGATTACAGGCCTCAGCCACTGCACCCACCCAATGAATCTTTTCTTACTTCTAACACATGCATCTAACACCCACTCTAACACCCACTGTAACACATGCACATCTAACACCCACTCTACAAACACGATTTCTTCCCAGGCTTTCCAAATCAACACTACTACAAGTTGCTTGTGAGAAGGTGATATTTTGCATACATTAAAGTCTCATGCTGTTTTTGTGAGCTAATAGATTATGCTTAGTATAAAAATTTGGGGCTGGGCACACACAGTGGCTCACACCTGTAATTGCATTGTTTTGGGAGGTCCAGGCGGATCACTTGAGGCCAGGAGTTCAAGACCAGCCTTGGCAACATAGTGAGACTCCCATCTCTGTATAAAAATTTAAAATTAGCTGGTCGTGGTGGTGCACACCTATAGTACTAGCTACTCAGGAGGCTGAGGCAGGAGGATCACTCGAGCCCAGGAATTTGAGGCTACAGTGAGCCATGACAGTTGATATGATTTGGATGTTTGTCCCCCTCCAAATCTCATGTGGAAATACGATTCCCAATGTTGGAGGTGGGACCTGGTGGGAGGTGATTGAATCATGGGGGCAGAGCCCCCGTGAATGGTTTAGCACTGTCCCCTTAGGGGCCAGTGAGTTCTCGCTGAGTTCACTAGAGATCTGGTTGGTTCAAAATCTGAGACCTCACCCTTCTCTCTCTCTTGCTCCCTCTCTTGCTATGTGACACCCTGGCTCCTCCTTTACCCTCTGCCATGATTGTAAGCTTCCTGAGGCCCTCACCAGAAGTAGATGCCGGCACTATGCTTCATGTACAGCCTGCAGAACTGTGAACCAATTAAACAGCTTTTCTTTATTATAGCGATGCAAAAGTTGACTAACACAATCATGCCACTGCACTGCAGCCTGGGTGACAGAGCAAGACCATGTCTCAAAAAAAAAAAAATTCATTTTTGGTTCATTTCAGATTATCATTGAAAAAGAGAACAAATTATTGTGTTACAATAGAATGAAATAAGTCTCCAGTGTGATAAAAGAGGGCCTACCACCCAAAAGCCATTTCCTTATTTCCTTAGACTCAGTCTAACTTGCTGCTACAAACACATTATAAATCGAGGGCACAATTATATCGAGAGCACGATTATAGGAAGCATTGAGATGCTCAGCAAATAAGGCCTCACAAGGTTACAATATTTTGAGACCATCATGGTCTTCGTATCTTTGCATATTAGCAACTCAATTTGACACATTTGAAGTAGATCAGAGCCTTGTGAGCAAACTAATGATAAACACTCAAAAGGTTGATATTTATCCCTCCAAATGCAAGTGTACTACTTTACTATATGATTTATCTCTTTGAAGTGACTGGAATTCCCCCATCTCCTCTTCAAGATAAGTCTTCAACATCAAAGTACCTGGGAAACAAATAATCCAAAGTAGCTTTTATTATTATTATTATTATTATTATTATTTGAGACAGAGTCTTGTTCTGTGGCCCAGGCTGGAGTGCAGTGGCCTGATCTTAGTTCACTATAACCTCTGCCTCCTGGGCTCAAGCGATTCTTGTGCCTCAGCCTCCCAGCTGTAAGTAGCTGGGATTACAGGTGTGGGCCACCACACCTGGCTAATTTTTTAAAATTTTTGTAGAGACAGGAGTCTCACCATGTTGCACAGGCTGATCTCAAACTCGCGGGCTCAAGTGATCCTACCTTAGCCTCCCAGAGAGCTGTGATTACAGTCATAAGTGACCACACCTGGCCTGGATTTCTTTTTGAGAGTAAGTTACTCTTCCCTTTGTGTGTGTGTGTGTGTGTGTGTGTGTGTGTGTGTGTGTGTGGAGGGGAGCTATTTTTATTTATAAGGGTAAACTTACAATTGTATTCTGAAATAAAGATCAATAATATGAAGCATTGTTCCACTGCACTGTAAAAATTTAAACTGTGTCTGCATTTTAGACAAAATAATTAAGTCAGCTTGGAGTTGGGATAAAATTTTGCGTGAGGATAAAATAGATTTTCACCTGTTTCTGGGCCTAGAGAAGATTGTAGTGTCTTGACTTGGCAAAGGGAAGACATAGTCAAAGGCTCTCCCATTGTTCAGAGGTAACCTGAACCCTGTAGTCTAGTATTTGGCTGGGGAACTACTAGAATTCTTGCCATTCTGTTAGTCTGGCACAGTGAAAGACAAAGTTTTGCAGGCAAGTAAAGTGGAGGCTAAAAATAATGGTATTTGTAACTTAAAGGAAATAAAGTCATCTTGGTTGCATGATATAAGGTCATGGCAGTCAAAAGTATCAACTGTTGCCCTAAACTACCTATGGTTTAAGATTTAGGAGTTTGCATTAGATTTAGTAAAGGGGCTTCAGTGGTGACTTCAGTGATAACTGCATCAGCGTAATGATAGGGGAAATCAAATTGCTTTGGGATGAGAGTAATTTAAAATTTTTTCTTTTTCTTTCTTTTTTTTTTTTTTAGACGGAGTCTTAGTCGCCCAGCCTGGAGTGTAGTGGCGCGATCTCTGCTCACTGCAAGCTCTGCCTCCTGGGTTCATGCCATTCTTCTGCCTCAGCCTCCCGAGTAGCTGGGACTACAGGCACCCACCACCACACCCGGCTAATTTTTTGTATTTTTAGTCGAGATGGGGTTTCATCGTGTTAGCCAGGATGGTCTCGATCTCCTGACCTTGTGATCCGCCCACCTTGGCCTCCCAAAGTGCTGGGATTACAGGCATGAGCCACCATGCCCGGCCTTAAACTTTTTTCAAAGGTTATAGAGAGGAGATTAAAAAAAAAAAGTTGGGCCGGGCGCGGTGGCTCACGCCTGTAATCCCAGCACTTTGGGAGGCCGAGGCGGGCGGATCACGAGGTCAGGAGATCGAGACCATCCCGGCTAAAACGGTGAAACCCCGTCTCTACTAAAAATACAAAAAAATTAGCCGGGCGTAGTGGCGGGCGCCTGTAGTCCCAGCTACTTGGGAGGCTGAGGCAGGAGAATGGCGTGAACCCGGGAGGCGGAGCTTGCAGTGAGCCGAGATCCCGCCACTGCACTCCAGCCTGGGCGACAGAGCGAGACTCCGTCTCAAAAAAAAAAAAAAAAAAGTTGTAGAGAAGAGAAAGAGAAAATAGTAGTTAAAAGGGCCAAAGGGTTAAGAGCATGGTTGCTAAACTATGCTCCAGTGTGTCCTGAGGCACAGCAACAAATTCAAAGGAATGAACCATAGAAGGAACAGAGAAGATGTCCAGGGAAACATACCAATGCTTCAGACACCACAGGAACTACTAGCTCAAGGGAATTCACAATTTCAGCATCAGATTGTACTATGTTCACTCCTTTGTGAAGTTGGGTTTCTGACAGTTGTTGGGATAAAAGGGAAATAGTGAGTGAAAATTGATGTGTGCAGAAAAAAGAGTGGAATTGTTCAATCTGATTTCAAGGCTTTGAGAGTTGTGAAGTGCTGGACAGGCATACACACTCCATTGTTATGTCATTGTGCTTATTTAAAAATGAAAAAAATAGGCCAGATGCAGTGGCTCATGCCTGTAATCCCAGTACTTTGGGAGGCTGAGGCAGGAGGATCACGAGGTCAGTAGTTCAAGACCAGGCTGGCCAATATGGTGAAACTCTGTCTCTACAAAAAAAAAAAAAAAAAAAAAAACCACACACACGAATATTAGCCGGGCGTGGTGGCACATGCCTGTAGTCCCAGCTTCTGGGGAGGGTGAGGCAGGAGAATCGCTGGAACCAGGGAGGCGGAGGTTGCAGTGAGCTGAGATGGCACCACTCCACTCCAGCCTGGGTGACACAGCGAGACTCTGTCTCAAAAAAAAAAGAAAGAAAGAAAGAAAAAAAAATTATTTTCTTCTATTTACGTGTATTACTTTTTTCAAGTGGTTACTAAGTTGCTAGGACATAAGTACTTGTTAAATTGTTTGGACCTTGGCAGGCATCATTTAAAAAATGGTTTGAGGCCAGGCGCAGTGGCTCACGCCTGTAATTCCAGCTCTTTGGGAGGCCAAGGTGGGCAGATCACAAGGTCAGGAGTTCGAGACCAGCCTGGCCAACATAGTGAAACCCCATCTCTACTAAAAATACAAAAAATAAGCCAGGTGTGGTGGCGGGCACCTGGAATCTCAGCTATCTGGGAGGCTGAGGCAGGAGAACTGCTTGAACCTGGGAGGTGGAGGTTGCAGTGAGAAGAGATGGTGCCACTGCACTGCACTCCATTCCAGCCTGGGTGACAAGAGTGAGACTCCATCTCAAAAAAAAAAAAAAAAAAAAAAAAGCATACATCTTACCACCTTGTCATTTTTGTTTTGATTTATTTTAAAAGATTTGTAGAGAAGAATGGATTAGTAATCACAAAGAGTTATAAAAGAGAATCGAGTGTGGACATTGAAAGAATTAGCATTTGAAGCACAAAATGATGGTGAAATGGAACCTAATCTTATCTCTGGGGTCAGGACACCCTGCATAGTCTTTAGGATCTACAATCATGGCCCTCTTAACTCCCGGGGACAGTTGACACCTTAAAATGATAGATTTCTGGAAGAATGGCAGACCAGAGTTCCTAAATACTTGTGTTGTATAACTATCAATACTAATTAAAATACTTACTTTCTTTTGTACTTTTTCTGTTTTGTTTGTTTGGCTGTTTTATTTTTTTTCTTTCATGTCCATCCTAGTGGATGAGAAGGGGCATCTCACTGAGTTTTGTTTTGCTTTGAGACAGGGTCTTGCCCTGTCACCCAGTTGGAGTGCAGTGGTGTGATCATGGCTTACTGCAGCCTCGACCTCCTGGGATCAAGCAATCCTCCTGCCTCAGCCTCCTGAGTAGCTAGGACTACAGGTTTGTGCCACTACACCTGGCTAATTTTTTTTTTTTTTTTTTTTTTGGTAGAGACAAGGTCTCACTATGTTGCTCAAGCTGGTCCCAAACTCCTGGGCTCAAGCACTTCTCCCTCCTTGGCCTCCCAAAGTGCTGAGATTACACGTGTGAGCCACTGCGCTTGGCTAAATTTTCTCTTGTTAGAGACATGGTCTGACTCTATCAAACAGGCTAGAATGTAGTGGCATGATCATACCTCACTGCAGCCTCAAACTCCTAGGCTCAAGCAATCCTCCCACCTTGACCTCTGGAAGTGCTGGGATTACAGATGTTCACCACCATGCCTGGCCAAATTTTCTTTTTAAATTCATCTTTCATTTGATAGAAATGAAAAAGAATCCTCAAAGGCCAAGCAAGTGGAAGCAGGAATCCAGAGAAATAAGGAAGACCTGAAATGTCAGAATACTGTGATCATCTACCAGTCCCTGATGTCACCAAGCTTTGATTCTGATAGCCATCAAAGACAAGTATACAGGACATGAGATGACCAACTTATGGAGGACAATACACAAAGCTCGTCTGTAGGTGTGGGTGGGGAGCAGCAAAGAAATGTGCCTGTCTCAACATCGGAACTAATGGAGAGAGAGGGGAAAAAAATTCCTCTGAACCACAAGTCATACCTCATGCAAGTTTGTGGTCCAATTCATAATTCTTGGGTGACGCGAAAAACCTCAAGCAAAGAAAGTCGTTTGGTACTGGGTTGCCATGCCTCCAGGCAATTGACAGAGGATCTGCAAATTCTCTCAGAGGAAAGCACCTTTAGATGGGGCACAGTAGCTCACGCCTGTAATCCCAGCACTTTGGGAGGCAAAGGTGGGCAGATCACCTGAGGTCAGGAGTTCGAGACCAGCCTGACCATCGTGGCAAAACCCCGTCCCTAATAAAAATACAAAAATTAACTGGGCATGGTGATGCACTCCTGTAATCCCAGCTACTTGGGAGGCTGAGGCAAGAGAATCACTTGAACCTGGGAGGTGGAAGTTGCATTGAGCTGGGATCACGCCACTGCACTTCAGCCTGGGCGACAGAGTGAGACTCCGTCTCAAAAAAAAAAAAAAAAAAAAAGGAAAGCAAATAAAATTACAATTAACTATTTAACAGGAAAACAAAGCATCATGAGTAAAAGCCAACAGAAGCAACAGACAGCAGAATCAGACCAGCAAAATGTTCAGCTGGTGGAACTGACAGATTCAGAATATAAAATTTTCAATAGATTTCCTGGAATATGGTGGACTGGGTTATTCAGACCAGCCCCATTACTGAAAAAAACAACAAATGCTGGCTAAAAGGAAAAAAATCTGGCCAGGCAAGGTGGCTCCCACCCATAATCCCAGTGCTCTGGGAGTCCCAGGCAGGAGGATCACTGAAGCCCAGGAGTTCAAGGTACTGTGAGCTCTGATCACATCAGTGTACTCCAGCATGGGTGACAGAGAAAGACTTCATCTCTAAAACAAAAACAGAAATAAAGAATAAAGGCCAGGTGATTGGCTCACGCCTGTAATCCCAGTACTTTGGGAGGCTGAGGTGGGGGGATCACCTGACGTCAGGAGTTGGTGACCAGCTTGAGCAACATGGTGAAAACCCATCTCTACTAAAAACATATAAATTAGCCAGGAGTGGTGGTTCACACCTGTAGTCCCAGCTACTTGGGAGGCTGAGGCAGGAGAATCGCTTGAACCCAGGAGGCAGATGTTGCAGTGAGCGGAGATCACACAACTGCACTCCAGCCTGGGCAAGAATGAAACTCCAAAAAAAAAAAAAAAAAAAAAAAAAGAGAGGAAGGAAGAAAGGAAGGGAGGGAGGGAGGGAGGGAGGAAGGAAGAAAGGAAGGAAAGAAATCTTAAAAACTTTGAAATCACTAAAAGCAGGACAAATCCTAAAAGTAAGAACTCAGACAGGCAAGTAGAACCTGAAACTGACTGTTCCTCGAGAGCAGTTTCCATTTTAGACAAACTTGAACTTTGGGTTTTGATAGTCTCCTGGGGTAAAGGGGGCAAGAGTCAAAGCCTAGGGGGACTACATGTTGGGAAGGCTGATTTGGGAGTCTCCTCATATCAAGCTGGCCCCCTCAAAGGGCTACAGCCCAGGATTAGGGCAAAACAGAAGTAAATTCATTCCTTTCTCTACCCTAGGGGACTCTGAGAAAAATTTGTTTGTCTAAAGAGAGCAAAGACGGGACAGTGCTGAGAAGTATAACACAGCCTAGCCTCTGCATGGATTTGCAGCTCAAAAGTATATTACCTGGCCAGGTGTGGTGGCTCATGCATGTAATCCCAGTACTTTGGGAGGCCAAACAGGAGAATCACTTGAGCCCCAGAGTTCAAGATTAGCCTGGGCAACATAGGGGGACCTCATCTCCATAAAAAATACAAAAAATAGCCAGGCTTGGTGGTCCCCATCTGTGGTCCCAGCTGCTGGGGAGGCTGAGGTGGAAGAGACCAGCGGGTAGAGGCGGCAGTAAGCTGAGATTGCACCACCACACTCAGCTTGGGTGCAGAGCGAGACCCTCTCAAAAAAAAAAAAACAAAAGTGCATTACCTTAAGCCCTAAATGTAGTTTAAAGTGTTCTCAGAATAGTGCCCTTAGGCACCTAGGATAAGTCAATGCAAGACCTCTCTGCAGGACTGCTCCTTCATCTAAAGCTATAAGGAAATCCTGCAAATAAATTCTCAAGGATAATGAGTGTGTTAATTTTCCATTGTTGCTGTAACAACTTACCATAAACTTGGTGACTTAAAATAACACACATTTATTATCTTACAGCTCTTTTTTTTTTTTTTTTTTTTGAAACAGAGTTTCACTCTTGTCACCCAGGCTGAAGGACTGCAAAGGCGTGATCTCGGCTCACTGCAACCTCTGCTTCCCAGGTTCAAGTGATTCTCCTGCCTCAGCCTCCTGATTAGCTGGGATTACAGGCGCCCGTCACCACGCCCAGCTAATTTTTTTTTGTATTTTTAGTGGAGACAGGGTTTCACCATGTTGGCCAGGCTGGTCTCAAACTCCTGATCTAAGGTGATCCACCTGCCTCGGCCTCCCAAAGTACTGGAATTACAGGCATGAGCTGCTGTGCCTGGCCTATTATCTTACAGCTCTTGAAGTCAGGAGTCCATACTCGTCTCATTGGACTAAAATCCAGATGTCATCAGGGATGCTTTTCTTCTGACAGGAGCTTCTAGGGCAGAATCCACTACCTTGCCCTTTTCCAGTTTCTAAGAGCTTCTTGCATTCCTTGGCTAGTGGTACCTTAATGAATCTTTAAAGCCAGTAAGGATGGCTCAAGTCCTTCTCACATCAAGTCTCTCTGCCATAACTTCCCTAGTCACACTTCTTTCTCTCACATCTCCTGCCTCCCTCTTTCATTTATAAGGACTTATTTATGTGATTACATTGGGTTCACACAGGTAATCCAGGATAATCTCTGCAACTCAAGACCCTGAGTTTAATTACATCTGTAAATTCTCTTTTGCCATTCATGCAGATTAGGATGTGGACATCTTGTGGGGAGGGCATTATTCTGCCTACCAAAATGAGTATTACATATTACATAGTAAAAATAATTAAGCTGATGAGGAAGTCATATACCATGAATGAGAATCAGCAGAAAAGACAGATGAAACATACATACATACAGATATAGATCATGAGCCAGTTGGACTTCATGTAGGAATGTAGAATTGCTTTGACATTAGAAAAATCCATTGATATAATTCACATTAAGAAATTAAAAGAGAAAAATTATATCAGTAGATGCAAAAAATGCATCTGATGTTGTATTAGTCTGTTCTCACACTGCTAATAAAGACGTACCCAAGACTGGGTAATTTATAGAAGAAGAGGTTTAATTGACTTACAGTTCTGCAGGGCTGGGGAGGCCTCAGGAAACTTACAATCATGGTGGAAGGAGAAGCAAACATGTCCTTCTTCACATGGCGGCAGGAAGGAGAATTGCTGAGCAAAAGAGGGAAAAGCCCCGATAAAACTGTCAGATCTTGGCAGAACTCACTCACTATGAAGAGAACAGCATGAGGGCAACCACCCCCGTGATTAAATTACCTCCTGCTCTGTCCCTCCCATGACACATGGAGATTATGGGAACTACAATTTAAGGTGATATTTGGGTGGAGATACAGAGCCAAACCATATCAGATGTGATTAAGCATCATTTATTAAATCAAAATATTAGTTGTCAGTGGCTGCTATAACAAATTACTATAAATTTGGCAATTAAACAGAATTTATTTTCTCAAAGTTCTGAAGGCTAGAAGTCCAAAATCAAGGTGTTGGCAGGGTCAGCCTCCCTTCAGAAGCTCTATGGGAGAATCTGTTCCTTGCCTTTCTCAGCTTCTGGAGCATTCCTTGGCTTGTGGCCACATCACTCCAATCTCTGACTCTGTCTTCACGTGGCCTTCTCCTCTGTGTCTGTCTGTGTAAAATCTTGCTCTGCCTCTCTTTTAAAAGAATTTGTGGCTGGGCTCACATCTGTAATTTCAGCACTTTGGGAGGCCGAGGCAGGTGCATCACTTGAGGCCAGGAGTTTGAGACCAGCCTGGCCAACATGGTGAAACCCTGCCTCTACTAAAAATACAAAAATTAACTGGGCTTGGTGGTGCATACCTGGAATTCCAGCTACTCAGGAGGCTAAGGCACGAGACATGCTTGAAACCAGGAAACTGAGGTTTTGGTGAGCCGAGATCACGCCACTGCACTCCAGCCTGGGCAATAGAGTGACACTCCATCTCAAAAAAAAAAAAAAAGAAAAGAATTTGTGTGACCATATTTAGGGCCCACCCAAATAATCCAGGATAAACTCTTCCTCTGAAAACCCTTAACTTAGTCATATCTTTTACTACATAAAGCAATATTATAGGATTTTTGTTTTGTTTTGTTTTTGAGACAGAGTCTCGCTCTGTCACCCAGGCTGGAGTGCAGTGGCATGATCTCGGCTCACTGCAACCTCTGCCTCCTGGGTTCAGGTGATTCTCCTGCCTCAGCCTCCCCAGTAGCTGGGATTACAGGCACATGGCACCACACCTGGCTAATTTTTGTATTTTTAGTAGAGACAGGGTTTCACCTTGTTGGCCAGGCTGGTCTTGAACTCCTGACCTCAGATGATCTGCCTGCCTCAGCCTCCCAAAATGGTAGGATTACAGGCTTGAGCCACTGCATCTGGCCAACAATGCTGTAGTTTGAACATGTGACTTTCCAAACCTCATGTTGAAATTTGATCCTTAATGTTGGAGGTGGGGCCTAGTGGGAGGTGTTTGGTCATGGGGACAGATCCTTCATGAATAGGTTAATGTCCTCCCTGAAGGGGAGGGGAGGAAGTGAGTGAGTTCTTGCTCTACTAGTTCCCATAGGAGCTGGTTGTTAAAAAGAGCCTGGCACCTCCCGCCTTGCTCTGTTTTTTTTTTTTTTTTTTTTTTTTTAATTGAGACAGAGTCTCACCCTGTGGCCCAGGCTGGGGTGCAGTGGCACAATCTTGGCTCACTGCAACCTCTGACTCCCGTGTCCAAGCGATTTTCTTGCCTCAGCCTTCCCAGCAGCTGGGATTACAGGCACCCGTCACCACACCTGGCTAAATTTTTTGTATTTTTAGTAGAGACAGGATTTCGCCACGTTGGCCAGGCTGGTCTCAAACTCCTGACCTCAGGTGATCCACCCACCTCGTCCTCCCAAAGTGCTGGGATTACAGGCATGAACCACCACGCCCGGCTCCAACTTGCTCTCTTGCTTCCTCTCTCACCATGTGATCTCTGCACATGAGGCTTCCCTGTGCCTTCTGCCATGAATGGAAGCAGCCGAAGGCCACACCAGAAGCCGAGGAGCAGATGTCAGCACCACACTTCTTGTACAGCCTGCAGAACAGCAAACCAAATAAACCTATTTTCTTTATAAATTTCCCAGCCTCAGGTATTTTTTTAAATATTATTTTTTTTTTTTCCTACCAGGAACCTCAGGTATTTTTTATAGCAACACAAAATAACTAAGACACGTAATTTTGCTCTATTTGCCGTGTAAGATAATATTCACAGGTTCTAGAGATTAGAAAGTAAATATTGGGCTGGGCGTGGTGGCTCATGCCTATAGTCCTAGCACTTGGGAGGCAGAGGCAGGAATATCATTTGAGCCCAGGAGTTTGAGACCATCCTAGGCACCATGGTGAAACCCCATCTCTACACAAAATGCAAAAAAAGCCAGGTGTGGTGGCTCACACCTGTAATTTCAACACTTTGGGAGGCCAAGGCAGGTGGATCACTTGAGGTCAGGAGTTCGAGACCAGCCTGGCCAACATGGTGAAACCCCATCTCTACTAAAAATACAAAAATTAGCTGGGTATGGTGTCATTTGCCTGTAATCCCAGCTACTCAGGAGGCTGAGGCAGGGGAATTCCTTGAACCCGGGAGGCAGAAGTTGCAGTGAGCCAAGATTGCATCACTGCACTCCAGCCTAGGTGACAGAGCAAGACCCTGTCTCAAAAAAAAAAAAAAAAAGCAAAAAAAATTATCTGGATATGGTGGTGCATGCCTTTGGTCCCAGCTACTTGGGAGGCTGAAGTGAGAGAATCACTTGACCCCAGGTATCAAGGCTGCTATAAGCTGTGATACCATCACTGTACTCCAGCTTGGGTGACAGAGGAAAAGAAAAAAAAAATTAGAAAAAAGAAAAAAGGAAGTAAACATAACTGGAAGGAGGGGGATTTTTTTTCAGTTTACCGCAAAAATAACCCATGAACTAATTTTAAAAGACAACTTATTTAATCTATTTCATTGGGATCTAAAAAAGAGCTATAGCAAACATCATGTGTGATATTAATGCTTAAAACATTCCTTTAAAAAGCAGGAATAAGAAAGAATATCCACTATTACCACTTCTATTCTACATTATTGTGGAAACCCAAGCCAATACAGCAAGAAAAAAATTAAAATTCCAAAGCAAAAAAGAAAAAATATTATTTTTGACACAAATGTCTATATAGAAAACTTATAAAATGTCTACAGATAAATTATAGAATTAATAAGAGTTCAAGACAATTACATTTCCATATGACCACATATGGAAGTTATATTTGAAAATGTAATTAATTTTGGAAAATACCATGTGAAATAGCAACTAAAACAGTAGAGGGTGTTATACTTCCTGCCATGACAGAATACCTGGAACTATATTTGCCCTCTGTCTTAATCCGTTTTCTGTTGCTACAACAGACCATAGACTAGGTAATTTATAAAGAAAAGAAGTTTATTTGGCTCATGGTTCTAGATGTTGGGAAGTCCAAGAACATGGCACTGGCATCTGGTGAGGGCCTATTTGCTGTGTCAGAACATGGCAGAGAGCATCATATGGGGAGAGAGCAAGAGTGTGTATATAAGCTCAAGTCTTGCTTCCTCTTTATTTTTATTTTATTTTATATATTTTTGAAATGGAGTCTCACTCTGTCACCCAGGCTGGAGTACAGTGGCGCAATCTCTGCTTACTGCAACCTCCGCCTCCCAGGTTCAAGCGATTCTCCTGTCTCAGCCTCCTGAGTAGCTGGGACTACAGGCATGCGCCACCACACCCAGCTAACATTGTATTTTTAGTAGAGATGGGGTTTCACCATGTTGACTGGGCTGGTCTTGAACTCCTCACCTCAGGTGATCCACCTGCCTTGGCCTCCCAAAGTGCTGGGATTACAGGCATGAGCCACCATGGCTGGCCATTGCTTCCTCTTCTTATAAAGCCATCAGTTGCATCATGGGGCCCTCACCCTGATGACCTTACCTAATCCTCATTACTTTCTGAAGATACCACCTTCAATCAACGTATGGATTTGAGGATTAAGTTTCCAACGCATGAAATTTGGAGGACACATTCAAACCACAGCACCCTCTTGTATAAATAACCAGAAAATGTACACACACTATATGGAACAACTAGATATTGGACAATTGGACATTGAAGAATAGAGCAGGAAAACAAAGATGTTATCACAACAATACTTCTGCTTTCTGCCTAGTAGCTCTTTCTGAATCACATTATAGGAAGGGGGAACCCAAACAAAGCATAGAAGTCTTGCTGAATTAAGGAGACAGATCAGATTTTGGAAAGGTTGAGGTGGCCGGAATTTGCAGAGCAGAGTAGTAGAGAGGAGTTAGTTATGCAGAGAAAGGGCTCTGGAAATCTGCACAGAGGCCACCTTGAGTTTCTGGCTGAATATAAAGCAGCACATGCATAGCATGGAACACCACAAGGTCAGGCAAAGAAAACTAGTTAACGGCTGCTGAAAGCTGAACAGT
This sequence comes from Homo sapiens, assembly GCF_000001405.40. Lineage (NCBI taxonomy): Eukaryota > Metazoa > Chordata > Mammalia > Primates > Hominidae > Homo > Homo sapiens. Next base: position 154,714,003 of record NC_000006.12, on the reverse strand, counting down.
TCCCAGAGCCAAAAGATGTTTGAGAGTTGTGATTAGCCACAACAGAGAAATCTTGTTGAATACTTGAGGTTACATTTAGCCCTTGAACAACTAGACCTACCCTAACAAAGCAAGTGACTCAACTGCCTGCCAAAACATAATTCAACATTCTTTTAAAAAAAAAATACAGAAATCCAGACACTTATCAAAGTAACTTTCAAAATAACTAGCATTCAATATATAATCACCAAATATAAAAAATTAAGAGTAGGTGAATATCGGAGGTCCCCTCAAACCACTCTTGGGTTTAATTATTAGCCAGAAAGACTCACAGAATTCAGAAAAGCCACCATGCTCACAGTTATTATTTGTTATGGGAAAAATAGATGTCAAATCAGCAAAGGCAAAAGGTACATGGAGGAAAGTCCAGGAATGAGCTTCCAGTTGTCCATTCCCACTGGGGCCATGTGGACAACACTAAATTCTCCCAGCAACAATATATCACAAGAAGCACAAAATATTGCTAGCCATGCAAGCTTACTTGAGTCTTAATATCCAAGGTTTTTTGAGGGAGGTAGGGGTGGTCATGTAGGCATGGAGTGTCCAATAGCTGACCTTAGTTATTCTTGCTCTAGCCCCTCCAAAGGTCAGACTTTAAAAGCCTGGCCTAAGGCACCCACTATAAATTATATTATTAACAATGCTAACAATGCCTGGGTTGCCCCAAAGCCCTAGGTAAAGGGCTTTGCATATTTCAAGGGCTTAGAAGTCATCCTCCAGGATCCCATCAAGGGCCAGAACTTTCTTTGGAATGTGCAAGGTTTTTTTGTTTGTTTGTTTTTGAGTTGGAGTCTTGCTCTGTTGCCCAGGCTGGAGTGCAGTGGTGTAATCTCAGCTCACTGCAACCTGCACCTCCTGGGTTCAAGCAAATCTCCTGCCTCAGCATCCCGAGTAGCTAGGATTACAGGCACCCGCCAACATGCCCAGCTAATTTTTGTACTTTTAGTAGAGATGAGGTTTCACCATGTTAGCCAGGCTGGTCTCGAACTCCTGACCTCAAGTGATCTGCCCACGTCGGCCTCCCGAAGTGCTGGGGTTACAGGCGTGAGACATCATGCCCAGCCAGAATGCGTAAGGTTTGAACACCCAAAACTTAAGTAAGTCAGCCCTTCACTTCACAGTGACACGAAGTGGGAGAAATATAAATCAACAGAAACAAGCCCAAGCCTGGGCAACATAACAAGATCCTGTCTCAAAAAAAAAAAAAGAAAGAAAGAAAGAAAGAAACAAGCCCAGAAATGACAGGCATAATTATAACAGCTATTCTAAATACATACATGGATTTAAAGAAAAACCTGAAAATAATGAAGAGGAATGAATGGAAACTATAAAAAAGAGCAAGAGCTGGGTGCAGTGGCTCATGCTTGTAATCCCAACACTTTGGGAGGCCGAGGTGGGAGGATCACTTGAGCCCAGGAGTTTGAGACCAGCCTGAGCAACACAATGAGACCCCATCTCCACAAAAAGTAAAAATATTTGCTGGGCGTGGTGGCACACACCTGTAGTCCCAGCTACCCAGGAGGCTGAGAAGGGAAGATCACTTGAGCCCAGAAGGTCAAGGCTACAGTGAGCTATGATTGCACTACTGCACTCCAGCCTGGGTGACAGTGAGACTCTTGTCACACACACACACACACACACACACACACACACACAAAAGAATAAAATGAAACTTCTAGAGCTAAGGAATAAAATATCCAAATTACTTCAAAAATTCAATTACTTTGGAAAATTAAGTAAATGGAGGATGAGGGTAGCCAGGTTTCTCACTGGTGGAGCGGGAGTTTACACATAAGCAAGTGAAGGAATACAGTAATATGTATATTTCCTTCCAAGGGTCTATTTCCTTAAGATGACCTAGAAGCAAAGATACCCCAGTATACTCAATAAGCACACCTAATGCCCAGATCTTGGTTTCTAAAACTACCGTCCAGTGAAAGAAACCAGGTTTCCTTGGAGAAATGACCGATTCTAGGACTGGGACACAGAATATATAAGATGAACCTGGAACATCTTGTAGTGCCAGAAAAACAACGAGGTGCTAAACACACATATCAGCACGCAATGAAGGGTACGTCAAAGCAACACAGGCGCCAACTGAAAGTGCTCCCAGTGGCCAAAGCAGAAACAATGTAAGAAATAAAAGTGGTTTTTGTTTTTGTTTTTGTTTTGAGACAGGGTCTCACTCTGTTGCCCAGGCTGGAGTGCAGTGGCACAATCTTGGCTCACTGCAGCCTTGACCTCCTGGGCTCAAGCGATCCTCCCATCTTAGCCTCCTGAGTAGCTGGAACTACAGGCACACATCACCATGCCCAGCTAATTTTTTGATGTTTTGTTGAGACGGGGTTTCACTATGTGGCCTAGGCTGTTCTCAAACTCTTGAGCTCAAGCAATCCTCCCTCCTTGGCCTCCCAAAGTGCTGGGATTACAGGCATGAGCCACTATGCCTGGTAGTTTTGAATTATAATCAAAATAATAATCACATTCATAGAATGAAGAATCAGTATTGTTAAGATGTCAGTTTTTTCCAAAATGACTTAAAGTTTCAATGCAATCTTTAAAAAAAGCAGTTCCTTTCCCCTAGTAATTGATTGGCTGATTCCAAAGTTTATATGAAAATGAAAAGGATTTAGAATATCTAAAACAATTTTAAACAAAATTCAGAGGATTTTACTACCTGATCTAACAGATTATTATAAAGGTAAAGCATCAGGACAATGTGGTATTACAGCATGAACAAACCTATATATCAATGTAGGAGATTGGAAAATCCAGAAACAGATACAGCCAGAAATATATCCCATAAATATAGATATAGCCATACATGTGTAGTTAATTTATTTTCTACAAAGGTAATAAGGTAATTCAATGGGGAAAGGATAGTCTTCAGTAAATGGAAATAGAAAAAACAGCTCTCCATATAAGGAAAAAAATGTGCCTCAATCCTTACAATACACAAAATCAACAGGCACACAAGCAGGTACAGGGAAGGAGGATGGGGCTGGGAACCAAGAGGACCATCTCATGGAGACCACAACCATTGCCACTTCTGACTACAGTAGTCTCCCCTTTATCTGCAGTTTCACTTACCTGCCATCAACTGGAGTCAGAAAATACTAAATGGAAAATTCCAGAAATAATTCACAAGTTTTAAATTGTGCGTTACTGTGTTGTAGTATAATGAAATCTCATGCCCTCCAACTCTGCCCTGCCACACCCACCACAGTGATCATCCGTTTGTCCAGCTATCCACACTGTATAGGCTACCTGCCTTTCAGTCAACTTAAGTAGCTGTCTCGGTTAACAGATTGGCTGTCAAGGTATTGCAGTGCTTGTGTTCAAGGAAACCTTTTGTTTTGTTTTGTTTTGTTTTGTTTATTTTGTTTTTTGAGATGAAGTTTCTCTCTTGTTGCCCAGGCTAGGAGTGCAATGGTGCAATCTTGGCTCACTGCCACCTCTGCCTCCCGGGTTCAAGCAATTCTCCTGCCTCAGCCTCCCGAGTAGCTGGGGTTACAGGCATGCACCACCATGCCTGGCTAGTTTTTTGTATTTTTAGTAGAGATGGGGTTTCTCCATGTTGGTCAGACTGGTCTTGAACTCCTGACCTCAGGTGATCCACCTGCCTCGGCCTCCCAAAGTGTTGGGATTATAGGTGTGAGCCACCGCGTCTGGCCTATAAATTATAATTTATCATAGGTATGTATGTATAGGGAGAAAATGTAGCATATATAGGTGCTATCTGAGGTTTGAGGCATCCACTGGGGGTCTTGGAAAGTATCCCCTGTGAATAACAGGGGACTACTGTTCTTCTCTGGTTTCACCATTCCTTCTCATTCCCCTGTTCATTTCCAGTTCTCTTCATGTGATTTTCTTTGGTTTGATTTTAGACATTGCTATACTATTTCTTTTTGTTGTTGTTGTTCACAGAACTTCAATTCTCTATTAATCACAGCTTGCTCACAAGAACATACAGGAAAATTGCACTAAGAGTAAATACGCAGGTGGCTACCTTCAGGAGTTGGGAGTTGGGTACTTTTAGTGGGTAACTGGTAATTCCCTTAGTTGGCATGATATTCTGCCCAGCCCCTTAACGGCTCAGCCCTCACAGATAATTTTTTTCAACACTTTTCCTGTTTGCTCCGAGAATACTCACTGGCAGTGCTTGTTGCTTCAGCATTTATCCTGAGATAACTTTGCCAGGAAATACCTCATTTTTATTATTTTCACATCATTCTTTGGAAACAAAAGACATCATTCTATTTATAGCATTCTGTTTTTAGTAGTGGTATTTCCATTTACAAAATATAATAATTGGCCATCACTGAAAATGTCAAATCCTAGAAAACATAGCATTCCTAGGAGTGAGGTTCACATCTCTGGAACAGTTGTTGGACAAAGATTCATTTAGTGAATCCGATTTTTCTGAAATAGATGATTCTGATGATTCAGACAATTCTAATGTTAGTTCTGCTTAGAAATAACTCCAAGAACAGTTTTTATATTTTATTTTTACATTGAACATCAGTTAGATTTGCTCCAACCTCAAAGAGCATGTTTATGTAAAATTAAATGAGGACTGGCAGCGAGCTGCACTTTTTTCTCTAAACGGGAAAAGGGTTAAAAGGCAGGACTGCTTCACACTGGGGAAGAAAGACCAGCTTGAGTAAAAGTCTGCAGTGTTTTTTATCTTGTTTGTGTGTGTATTTAATGCAACAACCAGCTCACAGTTTCAAAGTGGGAAAATATTCAGTCGCATCATGTACTTGTACTATTGGTAAGAACTTAAAATGAACATCATCAATCATGGAATCCACAAATAAGCTACCTGACACCATAAGTAATTCATTCCATCAGAAGAATGTAAACAAGAGAATTCAGCCCAGTTGATAAAGAGCAATTTCACAGATGCTTGAAACATTAAGATTTGGATTTGTGTTCAGCACTTTTAAGGTTCACCTCTTTGCTTCTACCCAGACTGATCTTAGATCAGTCTTTTTGTCCATCCCTTTCTAAAGCCAAAGCACACTGGTTGCACATAATCTAGTAGAAGCAGAAGTGCTATGGTTGGTGGTTTTATTATTATTATTATTATTATTATTATTATTATTATTATTATTTTGAGATGGAGTCTTGCTCTATCACCTAGGCTGGAGGGCAGTGGCACAATCTCTGCTCACTGCAAGCTCCGCCTCCCGGGTTCACGCCATTCTCCTGCCTCAGCCTCCCAAGTAGCTGGGACTACAGGCACCCGCCACCATGCCTGGCTAATATTTTTTGTATTTTTAGTAAAGACGGGGTTTCACCGTGTTAGCCAGGATGGTCTCGATCTCCTGACCTCGTGATCACCCGCCTCACCTTCCCAAAGTGCTGGGATTACAGGCGTGAGCCACCATGCCCAGCGTTTATTATTATTATTTTTGAAACAGAGTTTTGCTCTTATCACCCAGGCTTTAATGCAGTGGCGTGATCTCAGCTCACTGCAACCTCTGCCTCCCGAATTCAGGCGATTCTCCTGCCTCAATCTCCCAAGTAGCTGGGACTACAGGTGCGTGCCATCATGCCCAGCTAATTTCTGTATTTTTAGGAGAGACGGGGTTTCACATGTTGGCCAGGATGGCCTCGATCTCTTGACCTCATGATTCGCCTGCCTCAGCCTCCCAAAGTGCTGGGATTACAGGTGTGAGCCACCGCTCCCGGCCTTGTTTTTTTGTTTTTTTTTTTTGTTTGTTTGTTTGTTTGAGATAGTCTTGCTCTGTTGCTGAGGTTGGAGTGCGGTGGCATGATCTCTGCTCACCGATACTCTGCCTTCTGGGTTCAAGTGATTCTTGTGCTTCAGCCTCCTGGGTAGCTAGGATTACAGGTGTGCACCACTATGACTGGCTAATTTTTGTATTTATAGTAGATACGGGTTTTCGCCATGTTGTCCAGGCTGGTCTCGAACTCCTGACCTCAAATGATCCGCCTACCTTGGCCTCGCAAAGTGCTGGGATTACAGGTGTGAGTCACTGCATCCGGCTCCACATTTTTTTTTTTTAATTTTAATTCTGCTTTGTTAATGAGTCCTTTGTAAACTATGTCATACATTTCCCATACCGATACTGCGTGACTCATTATAATATGGGCAGTGGGTTTACTGATGGTGCAGCATGCCGTACCCTCCTCCACTTCAGCCAGACTGTTGAGTCTGCGCGTCCTTGTTCCTGCGCACCTCCGCGGCGTGCCTCCTTTTCCTTCAGACATAGTAGCAGCTAGATTAGCCTCCTCATTTTCCTTAATTTTTTCCACTTTCAGGATCAGCTTTTCCTCCACGATTCTGCTGAAGGTGTCGTTTTCCAAAGCCTTCTCAAAGACTTCTTGCTTGTATTCCCTCCTCTCTGCCAATGGCTTCAGCACCTGGACCTCCTCAGACTTCCTTCTTTCCTCTGCAGCCTCCAGTTTCTTCTGGATCTCCTTCAGGGACAGGTCTTTCTCCTTAGTACAAGCTAAAGTTCAACGGGCTTCCCAGAATGGAGGTGGTGGCCTTAAAATCAGCTTAAAAGCCTGGCCAAAGGCACATTTGTTGATTTGCTTCACTTTCTTTCTTTTTTTTTTTTTTTTTTTAGATGGAGTCTCGCTCTGTCACCCAGGCTGGAGTGCAGTGGCCCGATCTCGGCTCACAGCAACCTCTGCCTCCCGGGTTCAAGAGACGCTCCTGCCTGTGCCTTCTGAGTAGCTGGAATTACAGGTGTGTGCCAACATGCTTGGCTAATTTTTGTATTTTTAGTAGAGATGGGGGTTTCATCATGTTAGCCAGGCTAGTCTTGAACTCCTGACCTCAAGTGATCTGCCCACCTCGGCCTCCCAAAGTGCTGGGATTACAGGCGTGAGCCACTGTGCCCAGCCTGATTTGCTTCACTTTCATTTCAATTAAGTATAGATGTTGATGTTGCAAGATTCCAGGTAAAAACAAGAGCAGGGCCACACCTGGTGGTTCACACCTATAATTCTAGCGCATTGAGAGGCTGAGGTGGGAGGATCACTTCAGGCCAAGAGTTTGCAACCAGCCTGGACCACATAGTGAGACCCTGTCTCTACAAAACATTAAAAAAAATTAGCTAGACATGGTGGCAAACGTCTGTCATCCTAGCTACTCAAGAGGCTGAAGCAGAAGGATTATTTGAGCCCAGGAGTTAGATGCCGCAGTGAGCTATGATCATGCCACTGCATTCCAGCTTGGGCAACAGAGCAAGACTCTGTCTCTTAAAAAAATGTAAATAAAAGCAGATCACTGATAAGATGGACAGCTTCTTTAGTTTGCTTTGTAGGCTAGACCTCATCTTACTCTTAATTCCAGTTAAAGCCCCTGCTGTGTTTAATGAGAATTCCACTATATCATACAGGTCATGTCCTTATTTTCTTTCCCCTATTGCTGTTTTAGCCATTGTAGGAATGTGCAGATGCTGGTGGTGCAGATGGTGGTGAAGGCAACAGATCTGCCTTTAGCAGCCGTTGCTATGTCCACATTCTACTGGACTACATTTCTATACAACTATATCCTGTCTTTATTTGGGTACCTCCTATTCATTTTTCCTTTTGTCTTCCTTTTGGTTAACTGGTAAATACATACAATAAAGAATTTACCAGATATAATAGGTATTTTTTTTTTTTTTTGAGATGGGGTCTCATTTTATCACCCAGGCTGGAGTGCAGTGGTACAATCTCGGCTCACTGCAACCTCTGCCTCCCGGGTTCAAACGATTCTCCTGCCTCAGCCTCCCAAGTAGCTGGGATTACAGGAGCCCACCATCACGCCCGACTAATTTTTGTATTTTTAGTGGAGACGGGGTTTCACTATGTTGGCCAGGCTGGTCTCGAACTCCTGACCTCAGGTGATCCACCCACCTTGGCCTCCCAAAGTGCTAGGATTACAGGCATGAGCCACCGTGCCCAAAAAAATGTTTAAAAGAACACCTATAAAACCCACTTGAAGGGGATCCCTAAGATCCACCCCTTACGTTCAATACAGTCTTCACTAGGAGGACTCGCAGGACTCAGCAACTGAGCACTTGGCTGTATTCACAGCTAAGATTGATAACAGTGAAAGGATACAGAGCCAAATCAGCAAGGGAAAAGGCACACAGGCAAAGTTTGGAGGAATCCAGGCACACACTTCCAAAATTCCTCTCCCAGCGGAGTTACAGGGAATGCACCTAATTCCCTCAATGCCGAGTTTTAAAAACATGTGTGAAATGTTGCCTATCAGGGAAGCTCATTAGAAATTCAGTACCCATGGTTTTTAGACGGGGCTGGTCACATAGCACCCCCTGCCTTCTACATAAAAATTCAAGACTCTCAGAACAGATGTTCGGCATCCACCACAGTGCCTGTACAAATAGTTCAGGCACAGTGAGATACTCTTATTAGGCAATGGTGGAAATCCTCCCAAAATTCAATTTCCCAGACACCAGCCAAGATCCAACCTTGAGAGCAAGGCTTTCTAAGGATAGCAGTCTCAGGTCTTCTGTTAATTTGTTCTGCTACCCACTTAACATTTATGTGCCTCCCAAATCCTATCACCCTCCATCCCAAACACCTCCCTCGTATCTCCCAAGGAACCGCACTATTAAATGCATATCTATTATTTTCTTGCTTTTTTCTACAGGCTTATTACACACATATACATATTTTCACACATGCATACTGTATGTATGCCTATGTTTGGTTTTGCAATGCTTTTAATCACATAACTGAAATAATGTTTAACTTTTTATTATTTTTTATTTTATTAATTTTTAATTAATATAATGCTTACAGATTAAGCCAGTGTGATACCTTTGTATTCAGGTATGTGTGTATACATATTATGTGTATTTATGTATTGAAAATAGGATATAATTTTTTTTTTTTTTTTTTTTGAGACGGAGTCTCGCTCTGTGGCCCAGGCTGGAGTGCAGTGGCGCGATCTCGGCTCACTGCAAGCTCCGCCTCCCGGGTTCACGCCATTCTCCTGCCTCAGCCTCCCGAGTAGTTGGGACTACAGGCGCCCGCCACCACGCCCGGCTAATTTTTTGTATTTTTAGTAGAGACGGGGTTTCACCGTGTTAGCCAGGATGGTCTCTATCTCCTGACCTCGTGATCCGCCTGCCTCGGCCTCCCAAAGTGCTGGGATTACAGGCGTGAGCCGCGGCGCCTGGCCAGGATATAATCTTTAACTCAGAAAAGTATTATCTTAAAATTTACTCAATGATGTATTTTTTATGTAAGTGAAAAGGATCTGAATTCCATCAGTAAAATATTGAAAAATTAAATTCTAAGTCAGAATATAAATATTATGCTTTATCGAATTGAAGATAATATTCTATCTTCAACAAACATGTATAGAGAACCCATTATGTTCTAGGGAGGGATGAACATGAATGTAGGTAAATTTGCCTGTTCACATGTTAAGTCCATAGTTTTTGATTACCATAGATTTACATTAAGTTTTAATATCTGATAGTATTAGTTTCTTCCATTAGTAGTATACTTTTCCAAATTTCTTGGCAATTCTAACTCATCTAATTTTCTATTTGGAATTTAGAAGCATATTGGATAGTTCAAATCCAACAAAATTGTCTTTTGGAATTTTCACTGGAATTGTCGCAAATTTACATATTGCCTTGGAATTGACTCTACTTTTTTTCCAGATGGCTACTGAATTGTCTCTGAATCATTTATTGAAAAGTTTACACTTTTTTCCCCAAAGATTTGAGATACAACTTTCTCACATGCAAAATTCCCATATGTTGTTCTATTCTGATCCACTGATTTGTCTACTAATATTCCCATACAATAATACTATTTTAATGGTTATTATTATTATTATTATTTTTTGAGACAGGGTCTTGCTCTGTTGCCTGGGCTGGAGTGCAGTGGTGTGATCATGGCTCACTGCAGCCTCAAACCCCTGGGCTCAAGAGATCTTTCCACCTCAGTCAGCCTCCCGAGTGGCTGGGACCACAGGTGTCCACCACTATGCCCAGCTAATTTAAAACAATTTTTTGTAGAGACAGGGTCTCACCATGTTGCCCAGTCTGATCTCAAACCCCTGGGCTCAAGCAATCATCCCGCCTTGGCCTCCCAAGTACTGAGATTACAGGTATGAGCCACCACACCCAGCCATGACTGAGGATTTTAAAATATTTTCTTATATGGTATGGTTGGTTCCACCGTATTGCTCTTCTATTTCAGAGATTTCCTGGCTGTTATTTTCTTGATTATTTTTTCATATGAAACTTCAGAATCCACTTGCCTACCACCAGAAATATCTATAGACATAGATGGAGTTATGTCCAGGTAAGCCTATTGTAGCTTGAGGATCGACTGAATGTGGGTCCTCAAGGAGGACACAATGAGGGTGTGGGTCCACAGGTGGACCTTTGCTAGGAGCACAAAGAGTTCATCCACGTAACAGGAGAATAGGGAGAGTGGATGGCAGAGATGCAGGTCGATGGGGAGATATGAAGATAATCTAGTGTAAATGGCCACCTGCTTTCTCAGTGCCACAGGAAGCCGAGCAAGGATCTGGGAGGGAGTGTTCAGAAGAAAAGCCATGCATTGGTTTCAATGAGAATATGAGAAGAATGTGCTAGGGGACCGTGGTATTTAAAGTAGGCAGCATTAAGGGTCTATTCAAGATTAGTGCCTGGGAATTCAAAGTGAGAACAGTCAGCATGCTGTGTGCTTTTCTCTCATCCCATTCAGTCATGTGGGGAGAGGCACAGAGAAGGCAGGGACTTGGATGAACTTGGTATTAAAAGCTGAATCGTGTCTCCTGCAAATTCATACCTAACCCCTGGGACCTCAGACTAGGACTGTATTTTGAAAAAGGGTCTCTAAGGAGGTAATTAAGGTTAAGTGAGGTAATTGGGGTAGATCCCAACCGAACACATTGATGTCGTTTAAGAAAAGGAGATTAGAAGGCCAGGCACAGTGGCTCACGCCTGTAATTCCAGCACTTTGGGAGACTGAGGCAGGTGGATCACCTGAGGTCAGGCGTTCGAGACCACTCTGACCAACATGGTGAAACCCCATCTCTACTAAAAATACAAAAAGTAGCCAGGCATGGTGGTAGACACCTGTAATCTCAACTACTCAGGAGGCTAAGGCAGAAGAATCGCTTGAACCCAGGAGGTAGAGGTTGCAGTGAACCGAGATCGCGCCATTGCATTCCAGCCTGGGTGGCGAGTGAGACTCTCTCAAAAAAAAAAAAAAAAAAAGAAAAGAGAAAAGAGAAGGAGATTAGGACATAGACATACACAGAGGGAAGACCACTAGCAGGTAAGAAAAAAACAAACAAACAAACTAGAAGACAAGGTAGGACAGAAGTGTGTTGATGGCTGAGGTGGAGCTCAAACTGCAATGGTACGATGGGGTAGCAGCGTGGTCAGGAGACCAGCAGAGTTTACAAATCAAAGAGAGTGGGAATGCAAAGTGGCTGAGAATGCAGGACAGTTGTGCTAGTCTGCTCCCAACTTTCCTACCTACCTAACTGCATCACAAAAAAGCACAAATAAAAAAGCCTGATTTTGAAAGAAGTTAAACAGTTTGAAGACATGTTCTCCAAGGTGAGTACTGGGTTTGACTCCTCGCTTCTAACAACAAAGCTCACCAAGCCGATTACTGTTCCTCCCACATGTAAAGACTTCCCATTTAGGAAAGAGGCTCCTCTGGAGGCAAGTGTACTTATGTAATAGAAGGAGAAACCCATCCCAGCTACATGAAATAACCCATCAGGTCTGTCATTTTCAAAATTGAAGGTGCACAGTAGAGAAATTACAGTTAACAATAATTTCTTGTATATTTCAAAATAGCTACAAGAAAATAATTGTAATGTTCCCAACACAAAGATAAATGTTTGAGGTGATGGATATCCTAATTACCCTGACTTGATCATTACACATTGTATACATGTATCAAAATATCACATGTACCCCCTACATATGTACAACTATGATACTCACATTTTTAAAAATGAAGATACTATCAAGGACCAGCAGATGTATAAGAAAAAAAGAAGGAACATGAGAGAGCTAGACCAAGATGCAAACACACAAAAATAATCCCAGAGGGGGAAAAGAAGAATTCAAGAAACAGAAGAGAGCTTAAAATAAAACTAATTACTCTAAAAAAATACAGTACATGAAGAAATAAAATTTTCTGAAAAAGAAACAGTACCAGAATGGGCTACTAGAAACTAAAAATACGAATGCCACAACAAAATTTCAATAGAACTGGAAAGTGAAGTTGAAAAAAATCCAACAGTACCTCTTAGACTTTAATGTGTATAAGAATCCTGGGGGTCTTGATCTCGTTAAACCGAGGAATCTAATCCAGTAGAGGTTTGAGGTGAGGGCTAAAGTTCTACGTTTCTAACAAGAAGCTACCAGGTGATGTCAATGCTGACAGTCCACAGACACTTTGTGTAGAAAGGCCATGGAGACAGGAGAAATAAAAGAATCCAGAAGTATAAAACATAAAATGGGAGAGAAAGACAATCCAGGAAAACCAACATGTGCAACTAACTGGATTCTCAAGAAGAGAAAACAAAAAACTTGGAGACAATATTGCCAAAGAAACAATAGGAAAAAATGTCCTAGAATTGGAAAGGGATTCAAGTCTTCAGATTCAAAGGGTTCATTGAGTGCTGAGCAAGATGAATGTAAAAAAGACCCATTCCTAGACACATTCACGTGCAGCTTCAGAGCGTAAAAACAAATGGAAGATCTTAAAAGTTTCCAAGAGTAAACATTAGGACAACTACAAGGTAACTTGGTAGAGGCTAGCATAAAACCTCTCTTAGAGGCAAGGAAGGCAATGCCTTCCAAATTTTGAGTGTAAAAAATTGGAGCTTGAACTGTTAGATCCAGTTGTTCTCGGCCGTTCAAGTAAGGGCACGACAAAGACATATCCATGATGTGGCAGACACTGGAGATTGGCTAACCCAAAATCAATCCCAGCATCCTTTTCCCTTGCTTGTCTCTGAAATAGGGGCTGGTAAATTAAAATATTTACAAGCTTTTTGCAGCTGCTAGTGGCAGTTAGATACACTTCTGGTCAGTGAGATGAAGGCAAAAGCCAGCCGAAGGTGTTTCTAGGAAGTTTTTGTTCAAGTTCCATGAATGCTTCCTAAGAATATACGGTTTGGGGACCGGGCGCGGTGGCTCACGCCTGTAATCCTCAGGCTTGAGTCTGGGAGGCTGAGAGGAGTGGGTCACGAGGTCAGGCATTCTAGGCCAGCCTGGCCAATATAGTGAAACCCCGTCTCTACTACAAATACAAAAAATTAGCCGGGCGTGGTGGCCGGCGCCTGTAATCCCAGCTACTAGGGAGGCTGAAGCAGGAGAATTACCTGAACGTGAACCTGGGAGGAGGCGGTTGCAGTGAGCCGAGATTGCGCCACTGCACTCCAGCCTGGGCAAAAGTGTGAGATTCCGTCTCAAAAAAAAAGAAAAGAAAAGAAAAAAAGAAGAATATGTAGTTTGTTGGTTATGTAGCTATATATTTGAGTTTATTAATCATGTTACTTAAAGCATCCATATCTTTGCTTATTTTTAGTAGGTTTTATCAATACATTTCTGAGAGGGTCTATAACTATCTCCAGCTAGACTTGTCAGTTAATCTCTCCTTGCAATTTTACTAGTTATTGCTTTGTATTGCTTAAGTCATTAGGTTGCATCTTGATTATATTGTTACTCCTAGTGCTCTGCTTTCCTTTAGAATTCAAGGTGAAAAATATTATATTTTTTCCTATTAAAATTACTCTCAGCCAGGCACGGTGGCTCACACTGGTAATCCCAACACTTTGGGAGGCTGAGGCGGGTTCATCACCTGAGGTCAGGAGTTTGAGACCAGCCTGGCCAACATGGTGAAACCCTGTCTCTACTAAAAATACAAAAATTAGCCGGGCATGGTGGTGGGTGCCTATAATCCCAGCTATGCGGGAGGCTGAGGCAAGAGATTTGCTTGAATCTCTTCAAGCAAAGGAGGTAGAGGTTGCAGTGAGCTGAGATCATGACAATGCACTCCAGCGTGGGTGACAGGAGGAGACTCCGTCTCAAAAAAAAAAAAAAAAATTACTCTCCTGGCTTTGTTTCTTTATTGTCCAATGTGTATCTACTTCCATATCCTTATTTTCAAACTTTCTGCACACGTCTTTTTTGTGGGCAGTTTACTTTTTTATCCAATTTTAGGAATGTTTTAATTTGAGGCTTTAAACTCATTTACATTTAATTCAATACAATAACACTTTAGGACTTTATACCATTTTATAGGTAGTATTTATTTCCCTTTTCTGCTTTTATTAAATAGATCCAGAATTTTTTGCCAGATTGAGGGCTATTTATGTAATTTTATTTTTTAGGTAGTTGCCACTAAATTAGTAAGACCAATACTTATATTATTTTCTCTATTAATTTCTTAACCTTATCAACATATAGCATACTGTCATCTTGCACTGACTCAATTCCTCCTGCCTCACCCCACCCTGCCCTTACTATTTTAAGAATTTATGTTTTGGATTATTATGGATACACTTTTGATTTCTTTCTATTTTTTTATTTATTTTTTTTTTTTGAGAGGGAATCTCACTCTGTCGCCCAGGCTGGAGCACAGTGGTGTGATCTCAGCTCACTGCAACCTCTGCCTCCTGGGTTCAAGCAATTCTCCTGCCTCAACCTCCCAAGTAGCTGGAACTACAGGCACGTGCCACCACTCCTGGCTAATTTTTGTATTTTTAGTAGAGAAGGCCAGGCTGGTCTCGAACTCCTGACCTCAGGTGATCTGCCCGCCTCGGCCTCCCAAAGTGCTGGGATTCTTTCTCTTTTAGAGTATGGAATATATTACTAAGTTAATTGTTCACCTGTACTTCCATATATGTTCTGGCATTGTCCTGTATTTATTTTTCTCCTTGCTGAAACACTTCCTCCAAGAGTGTGTTGAAAGAGGTGTTTTTTTTTTTGTAACAAAGTTCCTGAGACTTTCTATACCTGAGTGTATCTTTATTGTACATCTACACATCCATGACAGTTTAGCAAAATACAAAATTACAGGTTTAAAGTTTGTTTGTTTGTAATACTTTGACAATATTTGCCTACTGTGTTTTCTGTATCCAGTGTTGCTTTTGAGAAACTTGACAGTAATCTGATGCCTGTTCCTTTGTAGGTCTTTCTCCCTGACTGGATGCTTTTATAATTTTCTCTCTGTCTTGGGTGATTAAAATAAACATGTCATCCTCTATGGCAGTTTAGGAGCCTTTCAATCTTATATCTTCCAACTTTAATTCTGGAAAAATTATACAGTTATATTTTAATACATATTTTTAAATACATATGTATTTAAAAATACATAAATGTACATAAAAATACATAAATGTATTTTAAATACATATGTATTTTAAAAATATATATATTAAATATATACATATATATTTAGAAACAAGATCTTGCTCTGTCACACATGCTGGAGTGCCATGGTGCAATCTTAGTTCACTGTAGCCTCCAATTCCTGAGCTCAAGTGATCCTCCTGCCTTAGCCTCCTGAGTAGCTGGGACTACAAGTTCACACCATCATATGTGGCTACCTTTGTTTTTTTAAGAGACATTGCCTTGCTAGGCTAGTCTCGAACTCCTGGCTTGAAGTGATTCTCCTGCCTCAGCCTCCTAAAACGTTGAGATTACAGACGTGAGTCACCATGCCCAGCACCCAGCTTCAGTTATTATTTCCTAACGTATTTCCTCCTCCTGGGTCTATTATATGAGTGTTGACAGTTTACTTCTAGCTTTTGTAACTTCAAAACATTTCTAACTTATTTCTTCCCAATGCCTTCTGAGAGATTTCTTATCTTCTTGATAGGGTGACCAAGTCTGAGTTTGCGAGGCCTTCCTGGTTTTAGCACAGAAAGTCTTGCATTCCAGGAAACTCAGCCCAAGGCAGACCAAGATGGTCGCTCATCTTCCTTCCAGGTAAGATGGGCTGAACCCATTCTGTGTCTTTGCCACATATTGAGTTCCTGAATTCAATTATTATTATGTTTCATATCCTATATTTCTATGACTGTTTTTGCATCATGTTGCTAAAATTCTTCATTTTCTATTTGATAGAGGCTTATTTGGAAACAGTGGTGGCTGTATTCCATTCATTCTACTTTAAGGGGTTATGCCTTTAATGGCTGTTGTGCCTCTGTCCTCATGTGTTTAGTAACAGTTCTGAGGACATCAGCTACTTTGATGGGGAATGTGAACTAGAGAAACCCACACTCTACTTCCCGCCCCCAGGGTGACTTTAAGATGTGTGTGTGGCCGGGCATGGTGGCTCACGCCTGTAGTCCCAGCACTTTGGGAGGCCAAGGTGGGCAAATCACGAGGCCAGGAGTTCGAGACCAGCCTGGCCAACATGGTGAAACCCTGTCTCTACTAAAAATGCAAAAATTAGCCAGGTGTGGTGGTGCATGCCTGTAATCCCAGCTACTCGGGAGGCTGAGGCACGAGAATTGCTTGAACCTAGGAGGTGGAGGTTGCAGTGAGCCAAGATCGCACCATTGCACTCCAGCCTGGGTGACAGAGCAAGACTCCATCTCAAAAAAAAAAAAAAAAAAAGATGTATGTGTGTACAGATACATCTCAGGCCTCTGGTGCCATAGTTTATGCTTGACCGCTGCCTTGGGCCCCCTTTCCCCACTCCTCACCTAAGGCAAACATGTTCAAAGGAACTCTTCTGATATCTGCCCAGGCTCTGCTCCTTTTCTTTCTTTTTTCTTTCTTTTTTTTTTTCAAGATAGGGTCTCACTCTGTCACCCAAGTTGGAATGCAGTGGCACAATCTCAGCTCACTACAGCTGTGACCTCCTGGGCTCAAGTGATCCTCCCATCTCAGTTTCCCGAGTAGCTGGGACCCCAGGCACCTGGCTAAGTATTTTTTGTAGAGATGGGGGTCTTGCCATGTTGGCCAGGCTGGTCTTGAACTCTTGAGCTCAAGTGATCTGCCTGCCTTGGCCTCCTGAAGTGCTGGGATTACAGTTGTGAGCCATTATGCCCAGCCTTCTCCTTTCGAGTGTGTTTCTCTCAGGTCATACCCCTGTACACCACATGTGAGGGCAAGCTCACCATGGGGAGGAAAGAGGGGATGTTCAAGGGCCACAGGTTGGCCACCCAGGGCTTTTGAACTTTTCTCCTCAGAGGCCCCCACTGTAATGTCACCCTACCAAGCTGGCCAGCACAGGCATCTTCCACTCCTTCCTTGCTTTGTAGAGAGATGCCATGATCAGGAGCATTCTAGGGCAACACAGAGAGAACAGAGTTCAAGTCAAACTATCCCCGACTCCTCCCTGACCCCGCGCTCAGCCTGCCTCTGTCAAGAGCTGCTACTTTCTCTCAGAGGGAATCACAGCTGACTTCTACCTCCCTAAGGGTTTCTTAAAATTTTACTTCATTTTCTCAGACCCAACAATTCTTTCTTCCTTCTGAGTTATGTTTTGGGTTGAGTTTGAGAAGATAAATTAGCAGCCTACGCTAGGCTGCCATCTTTCTGGAACTGGAATTTTGGTTTACACAGTGAGAGTCTTTTTTTTTTTTTAATGTCAGCACATCGATCATTTAAGAGTTTCTTTATGTATAATAAAGAAACTTTTTTTTCTTTAAGAGACAGGATCTCACTCTGTTACCCAGGCTGTAATGCAGTAGTGCGACCTTGGCTTACTGCAATCTCAAACGTCTCAGGCCCAAGCCGTCCTCCCACCTCAATCTCTCTAGTAGCTGAGACCACAGGCTTGTGCCCCTATACCCGGCTAATCTTTAAAATTTTTTTGTAGAGAGAGGGTCTCACTATGTTAGTCAGGCTGGTCTCAAACTCCTGGGCTCAAGGGAACCTCCTGCCTCAGCCTCCCAAAGTGCTGGGATTATAGGCAAGAGCAACCAGGCCAGAACATTTTAGATTAATAAATATTTCAAAGATTTTCAAATTTGCTGTTGGAGGTTCATTGCTCTTTTAAATTCATCTATATGCTTCTTTCCAGACATCCTTTATCCTTGTTTATTTTTTGCCCATCAGTTACTGGAGAGGGCAGTTTGCATGTGCCAGTCTTTACAGCTTTTGTAGTCATTATTGTGATAAGTATTTTGGCTCAATGCTACTTAGTAAAGATTCATGGAAATTATAATTTATTATGAAATATACCTTTACTGGTCTAACATTTCTTGTGTGTTTTTTTGTTTTTTTTTTTTGCCTGAAGTCTATATTTCATGATATACTTTATTAAAATAATATCATTTAATAATATATCCATTTAGAAAATTATTGTTATTTATGTTGTCTCATATTAATGTAATGGTAACAACTTTTCTTTTGTTTTTGTTTTTTTCCTTATTAAATGAGACGGAGTCTCGCTCTGTCACCCAGGCTGGAGTGCAATGGTGTAATCTGAGCTCACTGCAGCCTCTGCCTCCCAGGTTTAAGCGATTCTCTTGCCTCAGGCTCCCGAGTAGCTGGGATTACAGGCACAGACCACCATGCACAACTAATTTTTGTATTTTTTGTAGAAACGGGGTTTCACCATGTTGGCCAGGCTGGTTTTGAACTCCTGACCTCAGGTGATCTACCTGCCTCAGCCTCCTGAAGTGCTGGGATTACAGGCATGAGCCACTGCGCCCAGCCATATAATGGTAACAACTTTATCTCTGTATTTGACTAATATTTTTTCTTTATCCTTCGACTTTAATCATTTTGTGTCATTTCATTCTTTGTGTTTTTTTCTTCTTTAATCCCATAACAGATTTTTTTTGTTGTTTTTTTTTGAGACAGAGTCTCCTTCTGTCCCCCAGGCTGGAGTGCAGCAGCATGATCTCAGCTCACTGCAATCTCCACCTCCTAGGTTCAAGTGGTTCTCATGTCTCAGCCTCCCAAGTCACTAATTTTTGTATTTTTAGTAGAGACGGGGTTTTGCCATGCTCTCCAGGCTTGTCTTGAACTCCTAGACTCAAGTGATCTGCCTGCCTTGGCCTCCCAACGTGCTGGGATTACAGGGGTGAGCCACCATGCCCAGCCCAGATGATCATTTTTTGTGTTTATTAAAAAATAGCATTTAGACTGTTTTAGAACCCAATATGACATTTTCTTAACATGGAAATTCTCCTGTCTCAGCCTCCCCAGTAGCTGGGATTACAGGCGCCCACCACCACGCCTGGCTAATTTCTTTATTTTTAGTAGAGACGGAGTTTTGCCATGTTGGCCAGGCTGGTCTCAAACTCCTGACCTCAGGTGATCCCCCTGCCTTGGCCTCCCAAAGTGCTGGGATCACAGCAGGAGCCACCATGCCCAGCCATGAATTATATTTTCTTTGCAGTATCCTCACGAATGTTTTGATAGGGAATAAGATATAACCATTAAGAGTTCATGGTCTGGAATCAGACAGGCCTGGCTTTTAATTTCTGTTCCCCAAATAATTTGCTGTATCAATTTGTATATGTGCCACACACTCTTTAAGTTGAAGTTTCATCATCTGTGAAAATGGGAAAATAGGCCAGGCATGGTGAGGCTCACCCTTGTAATCCCAACACTTTAGGAGACTAAGGAAGGAGGATATGCTTGAGGCCTGGAGTTCCAGACCAGCCAGGGCAACATAGTAAGACCCAGTCAGCTACTCGGGAGGCTGAGGCAGGAGAATGGTGTGAACTTGGGAGGCGGAGCTTGCAGTAAGCCGAGATGGTGCCACTGCACTCCAGCCTGGGCGACAGAGCGAGACTCCGTCTCAAAAAAAAAAAAAAAAAAAAAAATTAGTGAGGCATAGTGATACATGTCTGTAGTCCCAATTACTCAGGAGGCTGAGGTGGGAGGATCTCTTGAGCCCAGGAGTTTGAGGCTGCAGTGAGCTATGATACCATTACTGCACTCCAGTCTGGGTGACAGAGTAGGTCCTTTGAACAATGATTGGCAAATAGTTCATGACCAATTTTTTTAAGCAGTTATTGTAATATATTACTCTATTGTTTTGAAGTTTACTAGAACTGACTATTAATTTTTTCAAAAGCAAAATTTAACCTATACTTCTGTAATGGTTGGCATCAACAATGTGACAAAGTATTTTTAATCCCTCTAGTTTTTGACAAGCAGTTTGACCACACATTGTTCAATCTTCTCTCCCCTCCCTCTTGCCCCTTCTTTTCTTGTTCTAATATAATCTGAAATTAATTCAGATAATTCTTAAATTACTTTTAATATTATCTAATCTCATTTTGAGAATAATCTTTAGTATTTTCTTTGTTTTATAATAAACTTGAAGTTTATATTTTTATGTATTTCAGCTTGTTGCAGTTCTTACAACTTATTATTGAGCCCTTAAGTCTATCTTGTCTGGACATGTAGCAGAAAACAACTTTACGACTTAGTAAAGTATGAGGAAGGTAACTACAGGCTGACATTAAAGGAATTTGGTGTAAATTTGTGTGTTTCTTATGTATTCCATTTTATTTTATTTTTAATTTTTTTTTTTTAGACGGCGTCTCACTTTGTGGCCCAGGCTGGAGTATTATGTATATAATAATATTATACATTATTCCACTTTGACCTTAGTCAATGAAGAGCGAAATTAGGAGTGTCCTCTTATTTACCCTTGGGTATTTTTATATCCTTACCATACAAGATGGGAGTTCACTGGCTACCCACTACTTTTTATTTTTTTAAAGACAGAGTCTTACTGTCACCTAGGCTGGAGTGCAATGGTGTGATCTCGACTCACTGCCACCTCCGCCTCCCGGGTTCAAGCAATTCTCCTTCCTTGGCCTCCCAAGTAGCTGGGATTACAGGCTTGGGCCACCATGCCCAGCTATTTTTTTTTTTATTTTTAATAGAGACAGGGTTTCACCATGTTGGCCAGGCTGGCCTCGAACTCCTGACCTCAGGTGATCCACCTGCCTCGGCATCCCAAAGTGCTGGGATTATAGGCATGAGCCACTGTGCCTGGCCATTATTTGTGACTTCTGACGGTTCCAAATAATCTCAACTATAGATCCTATAATTTTTGACTCTTGACATAGCTGAAAAGTTGGGGGTGAAAAACCTCCTTGGGTTTCAATTTAGGGTCCAGATAATGATCTTCCTAGTCTTTAGCACTGAAAAACTGTTGATGGGCTGTGTGCTCCCTCCCCATTTAATTAAAAATATAAAAACCTCCACTCTGTAAAATAGATGTTAGACAATCCAGTACAGTGCTGGCATTTCTCCTGGTTACTTCAATGTTTTAACAACATATAGATTTCAAAAACAATCTCCGTGGTTTAATGGCCCTATTTTCAGGGCCCCTTAGACACATGCCTAGTTGGCCTGTTGGATTACTGAGCTCTGGTCATGTTTCTCCCTCAAAACCCTTGCGTTGGAGTGGCAAAAATCAAATGCCTACAGGGATGAGGACCAAATCACTGGCTGAAGCACTTAGGTTTAAGATTATAAATATGGTTGGGGACTGTGGCAAGCTACAAGAAGATACCCCTTCAAAAGGGACAGAGGCTATTCAGCTCAAGCCAATTGCTGCTAAGAATCAATGTGGGCCTGGTTGGGCATGGTGGCTCATGTCTGTAATCCCAGCACTTTGGGATGATCCCAGCACAAGGTGAGCAGATGGATCACTTGAGTTCAGGAGTTTGAGACCAGTCTGGCCAACATGGTAAAACCCTGTCTCTACTAAAAATACAAAAATTAGGGCCAGGTGTGGTGGCTCACGCCTGTAATTCCAGCACTTTGGGAGGCCAAGGCGGGCGGATCACGAGGTCAGGAGTTTGAGACCAGCCTGGCCAACGTGGTGAAACCCCATCTCTACTAAAAATACAAAAAAATTAGCCGGGCGTGGTGGTGCACCCCTGTAGTCCCAGCTACTCAGGAGGCTGAGGCAGGAGAATTGCTTGAACCTGGGAGGAGGAGGTTGCAGTGAGCTGAGATTGTGCCACTGCACTCCAGCCTGGGCAACAGAGCGAGACTTCATTAAAAAAAAAAAAATTAGCTGGGTGTGGTGGTGGGCGCCTGTAATCCCAGTTACTTGGGAGGCTGAAGCATGAGAATCACATGAACCCCAGAGGTGGAGGTTGCAGTGAGCCGAGATCATGCCACTGCACTCCAGCCTGGGCAACAGAGTGAAATTGTCTCAACAACAACAACAACAAACAAAAAAAATCAGCATAGGCCAAATAGTGCCAGATCTTCTGATTTTGTAATAGAAGCTTCAAATAAGCTTTATGTGAAAGCTTCCCATATTAATTCTGGCAACTACTTACAAACTTTTTAGTAGTTAATAAATTGTTTATTTGCAATATGTACTTTGTGGGCCAATAAAACACACCCAGGAATTAAACCTAAGCTGACGGGCCCCAATTTGTGACCCCTGTTACATATATGGGTCTAATGTTTTTTGATATTTAGCATGATGACAATTCAGATTAAATTTTTTTTTTTTTTTTTTTTGACACAGAGTTTTGCTCTTGTTGCCCAGGCTGGAGTGCAATGGCATGATTTCAGCTCACCGCAACCTCTGCCTCTCGGGTTCAAGCAATTCTCCTGCCTCAGACTCCTGAGTAGCTGGGATTACAGGCATGAGCCACCACGCCCGGCTAATTCTGTATTTTTAGTAGAGACAGGTTTCTCCATGTTGGTCAGGCTGGTCTCAAACTCCCGTCCTCAGGTGATCCGCCTGCCTCAGCCTCCCAAAGTGCTGGGATTACAGGCATGAGCCACCGCACCTGGCTGACAATTCAGATTAAATTTCTTACCATTTGGTGAGATGAGGTTCCCAGAAAAAGATTTAAGGAAAGTGGGGAAATATACTAGTTTTTACAAGCTGGGATGTGTTCTACTCACAATAACTCCTACACAGATAATAGCTTAGTATCCGGCTGTGCCTCCTTTTATTAAGAGTTCAAAGTTCTGCAGTGAAATATATGATGCATACCAAGCACCACCCCAGGGACCAAGCCTCCAATCAGGATATGATTAATCATACGACTAAATTTAAATATTTTTCAGTATTTATTAAGTATACCGATTGATTCCTCTCAGTACTGACATAGGCATTAATATGAAGCCAATTTCCTTAACTATTTTGTTTCAAGATCTAGTTACCTATTCATATGGCCTTAGTCTTTTTAGTTTTTTCTCTAGAGTCTTGTTAGTGTGTGTGTGTGTGTGTGTGTGTGTGTGTGTGTGTGTGTATTGTTTGTTTGTTTGTTTGTTTTTGAGATGAAGTCTTGTTCTGTTGCCCAGGCTGGAGTGCAGTGGCATGATCTCGGCTCACTGGAACTTCTGCCTCCTGGGTTCAATCGATTCTCCTGCCTCAGCCTCCCGAGTAGCTGAGATTACAGGCTCCCACCACCACGCCCAGCTAATTTTTGTATTTTTAGTAGAGATGGGGTTTCACCACGTTGGTCAGGCTGGTCTCGAACTTTTGACCTCGGGCGATCCACCCTCCTCGGCCTCCCAAAGTGTTGAGATTACAGGCATGAGCCTCTGCTCTTGGCCTTGTTAGCATAGTTTGGAGAGAACAAAATTGTTTTTCATCTCACTTACAGAATAGTTTTCTAACAATTACATAGAACATTTTAATTGCAAATGCAGCTGACTCCGAATAGCTAGGCAAATTAGCATAAATACAAAACTGAAAGCTGCTAGGATAGTCCTAAATTAAGTCAGGCTACAAGAAGAAATTTTAGGTAACAAAAAAGATTAAACATAGATAACTCACAAAATTGGCGTTACAGTTCTTCTGGCCGTTGGTGCTTACAACTGTGCGTACTTCTTACTTAGCACAAGGCATTTCTGAGAATTTGAGTGCTCAATATATACTTGCTAAGTGAATGAATGAATGCATGCATGGATGCATGAATAAATGAATGAGTAGCCTTGTCCTCCTGGTTTTCACGATACATATATCTTAAATGCCTCTGCTTGATTAATGTTGCTAAAAAGCTGATCTCATCCCTTCATTCCTCAACTCAAATACCTTTGCCCTGTCTACAAAATAAAAGTGTTCTTGGCCTGAATAAATGCTTGATTAAATTTTGTTTCACTTTTGACTCTTGCTATGTCTAAGATGAATCCTACAGCTCCAGCCAAACACATCATCTAGCTTTCCTCTTTTTAAAATGCACACACACTACTTCCTTTTGCTTCTCAAACCTAATTAAATCCTTTTCAGGGTATTAGGTTCAGCTGGTCGGTCATTTCTTTAATGAAACACACCTTGGGCAAACCAGCTCATTTTGCTTTGGCTTTTATCTTAATAATAGCAGCTGGCTCTTATAAATTCAGATTCCTGGCTCCTTCCCAGATCTCATCAATAAACTCTCTAGAGGAGTCTAGGAATCTCCTCCAGGGCCTACTTTTGATAGGAAAGTGTAGCAAAAAGACTTAATGACCTCTCCTTTGTCATGGATCATTGATAGCCTTATATTATTACTTGCCTGTTTCCTCTGTATTCCTCCTCATTAAGATAATATATTCCTCAGGTATGGGGACTATATTTATATTTATTCTGTTTGCTACTTCATGCCTAACATTATGCTGATAGTAGATGCTTTACAAATTCCTACTACATATATGGATCACCTGGTAAAAATTTTGCTTAGACAAACCTTTTCAAAAAATGCTATTTGCAATGTTGGTCCCTAGTAGAAATATTTATGAAGAACAAAAGCTTTTTAGTTTAAGATGCTCTTGTTTATTTGGTTAGGAAAGTAATAGAAAAGTAAATTAACAACTTCAATGTTACAAGTGAAAATGGGCATGAAGGATTGTTTAGGAGTAAATTCTGGTTAAATGCTTGCTCCTCCAAGAGCTTCTATATTTAAACACTGGTGTTGGAACCAATTCAAGAAAAAGAAAATCCTTCATTAATATTTAAGTAAGGCAGGAATAGGAAATGAAAAAGTGAGGTCTATGAAACAGGAGCCCAATATCTTAAATTTCATTATCAATTTTGATTTTTTAAGAAGTTCAGTGGCCGGGCGCGGTGGCTCACGCCTGTAATCCCAGCACTTTGGGAGGCCGAGGCGGGCAGATCATGAGGTCAGGAGATCGAGACCATCCTGGCTAAAACGGTGAAACCCTGTCTCTACTAAAAATACAAAAAATTAGCTGGGCGTGGTGGCGGGCGCCTGTAGTCCCAGCTACTCGGGAGGCTGAGGCAGGAGAATGGCGTGAACCCGGGAGGCGGAGCTTGCAGTGAGCTGAGATTGCGCCACTGCACTCCAGCCTGGGCCACAGAGCGAGACTCCGTCTCAAAAAAAAAAAGAAGTTCAGTGGCTGAGACCTTGATTTAATGCTAAAATGTCTTCTTCAATTTCAGTTCTACCAGCAACTCATTTGATCTTGAAAGTTTTTACTCTTGAGTGTCTTTTAGTGAATTTGTTAATCTCCAGAATGCATAGAAGATAATGAGAAAACAGAGGCTACCTCTGGTTTCTTAAAATGGGAAAGGAGTGAATAACTCCTATATTTCCACTTGAAATCGAATGGAATGATCTGTTTTACTACCCTACAATCTATTAATCTGATCAAAGTAATAAATGGCCATTTAGAGTTTTATAAAAACATAGCTATGACTGTCTGACAAAGGATGGAGTGTGTGAGAAGTTAGTCTGACCTTCCACCTATTTCCTAAGGGAAGGAGAAAATACCATTTCTAAAGGAAGAAAACCCAACCAAAGTAATTTTTTTTTTTTTTTTATTGATCATTCTTGGGTGTTTCTCACAGAGGGGGATTTGGCAGGGTCATAGGACAATAGTGGAGGGAGGGTCAGCAGATAAACAAGTGAACAAAGGTCTCTGGTTTTCCTAGGCAGAGGACCCTGCGGCCTTCCGCAGTGTTTGTGTCCCTGGGTACTTGAGATTAGGGAGTGGTGATGACTCTTAACGAGCATGCTGCCTTCAAGCATCTGTTTAACAAAGCACATCTTGCACCGCCCTTAATCCATTTAACTCTGAGTGGACACAGCACATGTTTCAGAGAGCACAGGGTTGGGGGTAAGGTCACAGATCAACAGGATCCCAAGGCAGAAGAATTTTTCTTAGTACAGAACAAAATGAAAAGTCTCCCATGTCTACTTCTTTCTACACAGACACGGCAACCATCCGATTTCTCAATCTCTTCCCCACCTTTCCCCCCTTTCTATTCTACAAAACCGCCATTGTCATCATGGCCCGTTCTCAATGAGCTGTTGGGCACACCTCCCAGACGGGGTGGTGGCCGGGCAGAGGGGCTCCTCACTTCCCAGTAGGGGCGGCCAGGCAGAGGCGCCCCTCACCTCCCGGACTGGGCGGCTGGTCGGGCAGGGGGCTGACCCCCCCCACCTCCCTCCCGGACGGGGCGGCTGGCCGGGCAGAGGGGCTCCTCACTTCCCAGTAGGGGCGGCCGGGCAGAGGGGCTCCTCACTTCCCAGTAGGGGCGGCCGGGCAGAGGCGCCCCTCACCTCCCGGATGGGGCGGCTGGCCGGGCGGGGGGCTGACCCCCCCACCTCCCTCCCGGACGGGGTGGCTGCTGGGCGGAGACGCTCCTCACTTCCCAGACGGGGTGGCTGCCGGGCGGAGAGGCTCCTCACTTCTCAGACGGGGCGGCCGGGCAGAGACGCCCCTCACCTCCCAGACGGGGTCGCGGCCGGGCCGAGGCGCTCCTCACATCCCAGACGGGGCGGCGTGGCAGAGGTGCTCCCCACATCCTAGACGATGGGCGGCCGGGCAGAGACGCTCCTCACTTCCTAGATGGGATGGCGGCGGGAAGAGGCGCTCCTCACTTTCCAGACTGGGCAGCCAGGCAGAGGGGCTCCTCACATCCCAGACGATGGGCGGCCAGGCAGAGACGCTCCTCACTTCCCAGACGGGGTGGCGGCCGGGCAGAGGCTGCAATCTTGGCACTTTGGGAGGCCAAGGCAGGCGGCTGGGAGATGGAGGTTGTAGCGAGCCGAGATCACGCCACTGCACTCCAGCCTGGGCGCCATTGAGCACCGAGTGAACCAGACTCCGTCTGCAATCCCGGCACCTCGGGAGGCCGAGGCTGGCGGATCACTCGCGGTTAGGAGCTGGAGACCAGCCCGGCCAACACAGCGGAACCCCGTCTCCACCAAAAAAATACGAAAACCAGTCAGGCGGGGCGGCGCGCGCCTGCAATCGCAGGTACTCGGCAAGCTGAGGCAGGAGAATCAGGCAGGGAGGTTGCAGTGAGCCGAGATGGCAGCAGTATAGTCCAGCTTCGGCTCGGCATGAGAGGGAGACCGTGGAAAGAGAGGGAGAGGGAGACCATGGGGAGAGGGAGACCATGGGGAGAGGGAGAGGGAGAGGGAGAGGGGACCAAAGTAATTTATTAAAAGAAACTGAGAGACAATCTAACCAGAGTTCAAAGAGGCTGAAATATGAATTTGGCTTAGAAGAAAACACTAAGTTTTCTGTACCATTTTTAAAGTGTTTTTGCAGGTTGATAACAACCTTCTTTATAAAATACTTCTGTCACAGCAACTGTCCATGTCACACTAATTTGCATTTGCTGCATGTGGTGCCAACTTATAATTATTCTCTTGTGACACTTCATGCTCCAAAAATATCAAGCCACTTGTAAGTTCTCAGTGGTACCATGCTCTCTGAACACCTTGTTTTTTACATGCTGTTTACCCAACTTGTATAGGTTCCAAACTCCTACTCTTCTAAGTCGAGGCAAAAACATCACTGCTTCTATAATTATTTCCCTGTCTCAAGATAAACTTGAGTTCCCTCTTTCCATGGTGTCATGGTATCTCATGTAGTACCTGTATCTATTTATCTCTCCTCTTCACCGTTAGACTGTAAACAATTTCAGGTCAAGAATATGAGAATTGGCTGGGCGTGGTGGCTCACGCCTATAATCCCAGCACTTTGGGAGGCTGAGGCAGGTGGATCACGTGAGGTCAAGAGTTTGAGACCAGCCTGGCCAACATGGCAAAACCCCGTCTCTACTGAAAATACAAAAATTAGCTGGGTGTGGTGGTGCGCACTTGTAATCCCAGCTACTACAGAGGCTGAGGCAGGAGAATTGCTTGAACATGGGAGGCGGAGGTTGCAGTGAGCTGAGATCATGTCACTGCACTCCAGCCTGGTCGACAGAGCAAGACTCTGTCTCAAGAAAAAAAAAAAAGAGAGAATATGAGAACTTTTGGAGGGGTCTCACTTTTTTTTTTTTTAAGTCAGAGTCTCTGTCACCCAGGCTAGAGTGCAGTGGCATGATCATAGGTCACTGCAGCATCAACCTCCCGGATTCAAGAGATCTTCCATCTCAGCCTCCTAAGTAGCTGGGACTACCAGTGTGCCCAGCTAATTTTTTAAATTTTTTTGTATTAATTCCAGCGTCCCACCATGCCCAGCTAATTTTTTAATTTTTTTGTATTAACAGGGGGTCTCACTATGTTGCCCAGGCTGGTCTCAAACTCCTGGCCTCAGGCAATCTGCCCTTGTGACCTCCCAAAGTGCTGGGATTACAGGTGTGAGCCATTGCACCCCTCCAGTCTCATGCTTTTCAGTGCTTTGAGCAGTTGTACTTGCTATGTGGTAAGAAGTCAGTGGTAAATATATAGTGAATGAGTGCAAATCAGACAATCAACAGTGATCAATAAATCCTCTACTAATTCAGAGCCTCTGTCATATCTTCCATATTAAAAAAAGAGGTGAGGCATGGTGGCTCATGCCTATAATCCCAGCACTTTGGGAGACCGAGGTGGGAGGATCACTTGAGGCCAGGAATTTGAGACCAGCCTGGACAACATAATGAGATACTGTAACTAGAAAAAATAAAAAATAACCAGCTGGGTGTGGTGGTGTAGGCCTGTAGTCCCAGCTACTTGGGAGGCTGAGGTGGGAGGATTGCTTGAGCCCAGGAGGTGGAGGCTGCAGTGAGCTGAGATCACACCACTGTACTCCAGCCTGGGCAATAGGGGTACTGCTAAGAGAGAGCCAATCCACTCTGCAGTACTTTGGAGAGACTCAAAATTTGCAGATATCAGGTATAGTGGATGATGCTTAAGTTAATGTAAGGAATAATAGACTTTTTTTTCATCTTAAAGGGGATGTTTCCCCCTCATCTGAAAGCTCTATATATGACCACCAACTGGTCTTAGTGAGTAAATTGAGTAAATCAGGTGTCTAAAAATGACCTAAAGAATTATTCCTGGCCGGGCATGGTGGCTCACACCTGTAATTTCAGCCCTTTGGGAGGCTGAGGCAGGCGGATCACCTGAGGTCAGGAGTTCGAGACCAGCCTGGTCAACATGGCAAAAACCGTTCGCTACTAAAAATATAAAAATTAGCTGGCTGTGGTGGTGCACACCTGTAATCCCAGCTACTTGGGCGGCTGAGGCAGGAGAATTGCTTGAACCCAGGAGACAGAGGTTGCAGTGAGCCAAGACAGTGCCACTGCACTCCAACCTGGGTGACAGTGCAAGACTCCGTCTCAAAAAAAAAAAGAACTATTGCTAATAAACTGAAGTAGGCTAGTATATTATGATTGTGGCTGTTATCTGCTATGAAATAAAGTCCCTCCCTTTCCCATCCCCATGTGTGCCTTGTTATAAACTTCTTCATTCTCTTTCCGCAATCACCAGCCAGAGACAGAAACTGACACTTCCTTTTTTGAAAGTGAAAAAGATGTATCAAGTGAAACTCTTTCTACTTTCACTCTTCAATGCCTTTTTGCCTTCCACTTAAGTATGAGCTACCAGAATCTAAATTTGATGAGTATGATTTCCCTGTAGTTAATACGGGGAGGAAGTTTAGAGTGGGGGGTAGAGAGCACATTGATACATTTACACAGTAATCAATCTGTTTGTTTGTTTTTTAATATATCCTCATTGAATATTGCTGTCCTCACTTGCTTTAGTAATTTACTGCTTGGGGTGGCCCCTGTCCAGTCTCTACTAGTGATTTATGGGCTCTTCATTCAGTCTCAGGTTTAAATTGTACTTAAATAACAACCACACACCTCGCCACTCTTGAGATCTGGATGTGTTCAAACTTCTCAACTCCTTCCTGTGGCCATGAGCTAGGTTTAATTATACTATATTTTCTCTTTTTTATTTTTTTCTGTGAGCAAATCTAGGAGGCTCTGACTCATTTCCTTGTCCCTGGAATCCCTTTTATATGTGGTTCAGCCTTCTTTTTCTGTTTCTAATTGTCTTAACCTTATCTGCCTTTTCTTTTTTCTCTGCTTTTCTTATGGGGTATAACTCAATTGTAACTGAGCAAATAAAAATTCAAATGTATTTGAATCTATTTGTGACCACTTATAATAATCAACTCATGAAGTATTGATATGAAGTATTGATATTTTCATTCACACTAGTAGTCTTCAAACACACGCTTACATACACACACACAGCAGTAAGGAAAGCTCAGTCCTTTCAATAAATGATGCGAGGTCAGTTGTAAAGCTATATGGAACAATAAAACTTTTCCTATACCTCCCATACTTCCCACCATTCAAAAAAACTAATTCCAGGTGAGTTGTAATTTATGAAAGAGAAAGCAGTAAAGCTCCTGGAAGATAAAATAGAAAAAATATTCATAACTTTGGATGTGGAAATATGTCTTAAACAGGACGTAGAAGGCCCTCTCAAAGAAAGTAATTGAGAAATTGTTAAATAAAAAATAAAAACAAATATTGGAGAGGAGACTGAGGGCAAAAATAAGGAAAAACTAAAAACAAAATTGAGAAATTATACTTCATTAACTTTCTGTTTTTCAACAAAACACAATTAAAGTTATGAAAAGGCAAACCAAGCAGTAGGAGAGGGTGTTTGCAATTGGTGTAATCGAGTAAATACTTATATTTATAATATACAAAGAACCTCTCTACAAATTAGACAACCTCATAGAAAGTGACCAAGAGACTTGAATGATAACTTAACGACCAATAAACGTTTGAAAGGGGGTCCAAATTCATTAGTCAAATTATAATGCAAATTATAATGGCAATGAGATACCACAACATGCCCAAGGGACAAAGTTTAAAGAGTAAACAATACCATTCTGGGTAAGGACAAGAAGAAATGAGAAATCTCATACACTGTGAGTGTAAACTGGTAGAACTATATCGGGAAACTTAGGCATTATCTGCGGAAGTTGAGTGTGTGCATACTCCACGACCCAGCAGCTTAACTCCCTCTACGTATGTATCTAACGGAAACGCATGCTCACATACACAAAAGACATATACAACAGCGGTCCTCAACCTTTTTAGCACCAGGGACCAGTTTAGTGGAAGACAATTTTTCCATGGACCTGGGAGATAGTGTGGCAGGGGATGGGTTCGGGATAAAACTGTTCCACCTCAGATCATCATTCTTATAAGGAGCATGCAACCTAGATCCCTCGCATGCACAGTTCACAGCAGGGTTCATGCTCCTGTAAGAAAGAATCGAATGCCTCTGCTGATCTGACAGGAGGCCGAGCTCAGGCAGTAATGCTCGTGTGCCTGCCACTCACCTCCTCCTGTGAAGCCTGGTTTCTTTTCTTTTCTTTTCTTTTTTTAAATGGAGTCTCACTCTGTTGCCCAGGCTGGAGTGCAGTGGCACTATCTCAGCTCACCACAACTTCTGCCTCCTGGGTTCAAGTGATTCTTTTGCCTCAGCCTCCCGAGTAGCTGGGATTACAGGCGCGTGCCACCACGCCTGGCTGATTTTTTTATTTTTAGTAGAGATGGATTTTCACTATGTTGGCCAGGCTGGTCTCGAACTCCTGATCTCGTGAACCGCCTGCCTCGGCCTCCCAAAGTGTTGGGATTACAGGCGTGAGCCACAGCGCCTGGCTGTGAAACCCAGTTTCTAACAGGCCATGGACAGGTACCAGTCTGCAGCCTGGGTGCTGGGGACCCCTGAGAATGTTCTGAACAGCATTACTCACAAGAACCAAAATCTAGGGACAAATACACATCTCCAGTAGAATCAGTAAACAAATTGCAATATATTTGTACCTTGGATCCTATATAATGAAAAGAGTCAATTACTGCTATATGCAAAACTAGGTTGGATCGCACAAACATGATGCATAGCATAAATACCAGGCATGAGATAACATGTACCATATGATTCTCTGTAAATAAAACTCAGAAACAGATAATAGAAAACCGAATAGTAGAATGTTTGGAGGAAGGGAGCATAGCATGATTGGTGGGGAGCATAGAGAAGGCTTCTGGGGTGCTGTCTGTGTTCTATGTCTTAAGCAGGTGATGGTGATTGAGGCTGTTCACTTTGAGACAACAGACTGAGCATTTACGATTTGTGCACTTTTCTCTATGTATGTCATACCATGTATGTTGTAGGAAAAAACTGTCTCAGAAAAAAGGTAAATGTATAAATATTGAAATGGGCATAAGGTGAGAGCAGTAGCAAGTTAAGGAAGACCCCACTGAGTTCTATACTGTTAGACTACCTAACATGCTTTAATAGATCCTACTGAAGGACAGAATTGGTCCTAAGGGTAGTGATATGATCTTGGGATAAGGTTCAAATAGTCATAGCTGGCTGGGTGCAGTGGCTTACACCTGTAATCCCAGAACTTTGGGAGGCTGAGGTGGGAGGATTGCTTGAGCTCAGGAGTTTGAGACCAGCCTGGGCAACGTAGCAAGACCTTGTCTGTACAAAATTTTTTTAAAATAGCCAGGCGTGGTGGCACATGCCTGTAGTTCGGGCACTTTGGGAGGCCGAGGCGGATCACCTGAGATCAGGAGTTCTAGACCAGCCTGGCCAATACGGCGAAACCCCATCTCTAGTAAAAATACAAAAATTAGCCGGGCATGGTGGCATGTGCCTGTAATCCCAGCTACTCGGAGACTGAGGCAGAGGTTGCAATGAGCCGAGATCGTCCCACTGCACTCCAGCCTGGGCAACAGAGTGAGATTCTGTCTCAAAAGAAACAAAAAACCAAAAACTGAGCTCTATTGAATTGGGATGGCAAGGTGAAAGAACACTCAAGAATAACAAAGTGTTGGCTGAGTGTGGTGGCTCACACCTGTAATCCCAGCACTTTGGGAGGCCGAGGCGGGCGGATCACTTGAGGTCAGGAGTTCAAGACCAGCTTGGCCAACATGGTGAAACCTTGTCTCTACCAAAAAAATACACAAAAAAATTAGCTGACTGTGGTGGTGCACAACCGTAGTCCCAGCTACTTGGGAGGCTGAGGTGGGAGAATTACTTGAACCCGGGAGGTGGAGGCTGCAGTGGGCGAGATCGCACCATCGCACTCCAGCCTGGGTGACAGAGTGAGACCATGTCTCAACAAAACAAAACAAAGTGCTTCAAAATGTTGTCCCCTTCACAGTTTGTGCTTTACATTGCAAAAAAGACACACACAAAAAGAAGAATAGCTTCTAATTTCAGGAATCCAAACCTTTCTATTTTCTGTTTGCACACTTCACAACAATCAGCCTTTCTAAAGTAATATAAAAATTCTCCTATGCTCTCTCATAGTTCTAACAGCCTCTAGAGTCTTGTGGGAAAATTCCTGGTTACTTTGTTTCCAACTTCTAAAATCCGTGTCCTTTATCCTTCAGAGGCCTTTGATGGTTCAACATTTTTCCGTCAAGCTAGTTAGGTTTTATCAGGCACCGTGTGCCTTGGCATAGCAAATTTCACATCTCCAGAGAAATGCCAATGCTGACAGGACTCAGGAGATTTCTGGTGAACAGTGTTTGAGACTGGACGGTGCTATCAAACAGGAATTGAAGGTATTTTCTCAATTCCCCCAATGAGGCTTTAGCTTAACTTCATAATTTTTGCTGCTCTATTGTTACAGGAAAGAGGTCCCGATCCAGACCCCAAGAGAGGGTTCTTGGATCTAATGCAATACAAGATTCAGGGTGAATCTGCAGAGTAAAGAGAAAACAAGTTTATTAGGAAAGTGAAGGAATCAAGAATGGCTACTCCATAGACAGAGCAGCCCCGAGGGCTGCTGATTGCCCATTTTTATAGTTATTTCTTTTTTTCTTTTTCTTTCTTTCTTTTTTTTTTTTTTGTTGTTGAGATAGAGTCTTGCTCTGTTGCCCAGGCTGGAGTCAGTGGTGCAATCTCAGCTCACAGCAACCTCCGCCTCCCGGGTTCAAGTTGTCTCAGGTTCCTGAGTAGCTGGGACTACAGGCACGTGCCACCATGCCCGGCTAATTTTTGTATTTGTAGTAGAGATGGGGTTTCATCATATTGGCCAGGCTGGTCTCGAACTCCTGACCTCATGATCTTCCCACCTTGGCCTCCCAAAGTGCTGGGATTACAGGCGTGAGCCACCGCACCTGGCCAAGTTATTTCTTGATGATATGTTAAACAAGGGGTGGATTTTTCATGCCTCTTCTTTACGGACCATATAGGGCAACTTCCTGACATTGCCATGGCATTTGTAAACTTTCATGGCACTGGTGGGAGTGTAGCAGTGAGGACGACCAGAGGTCACTCTCATCGCCATCTTGGTTTTAGTGGGATTTGGCCGGTTTCTTTACTGCAAACTGTTTTATCAGCAAGATCTTTATGACCTGTATTTTGTGCTGACTTCCTATCTCATCCTGTGACTTAGGATGCCTAACCATCTGGGAATGCAGCCCAGTAGGTCTCAGCCTCATTTTACCCAGCCCCTATTCAAGATGGAGTTGCTGTGGTTCAAATACCTCTGACACTATCAGTATGAATTCTGCGTTTCCATGAAAAATTTTGCAGTTGACCAATGTTCTTCTCCCACCCTTTAGTCCCCAAGTGTCCTTAACGGTACTCAGGTAAGCCTTCTCTCCGAGGCACAGAGGTATAATGATGGGAAATAGTTACATCTAAAGCCATAGCAGGGTCTTAGGAGGTGCTTTGAGGATACACTTGGATTTTACATCCTTCTAGATCTTCTCAGATCCTCTGTTCCGTGCAACAGACGTTACTAAATTCATACATGTCTGAGACAGTAACCCACGTGCTGGGGATGCAGAGACAATTAGTTCCTGTTGTCAAAGGGGTCACAATCCAACACAGTGGTCCCCAACCCTGGAGCATGCTACTTACCAGGGAAGATTTGAAACACGAATAACGGAAGCCACCTCAATAGCCTTTTTTTTTTTTTTTTGAGATGGAGTCTCGCTCTGTCACCCAGGCTGGAGTGCAGTGGCGCGATCTCAGCTCACTGCAACCTCCGCCTCCTGGGTTCAAGCAATTCTCCTGTCTCAGCCTCCTGAATAGCTGGGACTACAGGCATACGCCACCATGCCCGGCTAATTTTTGTATTTTTGGTAGAGTTGGGGTTTCACCATATTGGTCAGGCTGGTCTTGTACTCCTGACTGCAGGTGATCCACCTGCCTTCCTTCCCAAAGCGCTGGGATAACAGGTGTGAGCCACTGCACCCAGCCTCAACAATCTTTTAAAATAGGTCTTGGGTAGGGCCTGGACATCAGGTTTTTTTGTTGTTGTTGTTTGTTTGTTTTTAAATATCCCCAGTGATTCTGATATACAGTGAGGAACAACCTATCTAGTAGGTAAACTAATACAAAGTTAACATTTTATGGAGGACTGTTTTATGCCAGGCACTGTTCTGTTGTCATATTTTATATTATTTAATCATCCCAACAATCCAATAAGATAATATTGTTACTTTCTTTTCTTTTCTTTTCTTTTTTTTTTTGAGACAGGATCATTCTGTCACCCAGGCTGGAGTGCAGTGGTACGATCACATCTTGCTGCAGCCTCGACCTCCCAGGCTCAAGCAATCCTCCGGCCTCAGCCTCTCGAGTAGCTGGGACCACAGTCATACACCACCATGCCTGGCTAATTTTTAAACATTTTTGTGGAGATGTGGTCTCACTATGTTGCCCAGGCTGGTCTTGAACTCCTGGGCTCGAGTGGTCCTGCAGCCTCAGCCTCCCAAGGTGCTGGGATTACAGGCCTGAGCCACCACGCCTGGACCTGTTGCCTCCATTTTATGGATGAGGACACAAGGCAGGGTCAAGTTTAATGACGTACCTGAGACCACACAGCTAGTATGTGGAAGAACCAAGAATTAACGCCACCGTCTGCTGCTGGAGCCTGTGTTCTTAACCCCTAAGCCCACTGCAGCAAGTCACCTGCCTGACAATGACTTAATTGATAAACTCTTTAATAATGGCACTTTGTTCGCTTTTATTACTATGGGATAGATTTTTACAAATGATGGCAATTTGTAAAACATACTGAGGGGTGAGACGTTGGAGCTGTTGATTCTGACCGTGGTTGAGGAGGTTGGAGAATATTTTACAGGGGAGGAACTATTTAAATTTAACGTTAGGCCAGGCATGGTGACTCATGCCTGTAATCCCAGCACTTTGGGAGGCCAAGGAGGGGTGGATCACTTGAGACCAGGAGTTCAAGACCAGCCTGGCCAACATGGCAAAAGCCTATCTCTACTAAAAACAGAAAAATTAACTGGGCATGGTGGTGTGTGCCTGTGATCCCAGCTACTGAGGAGGCTGAGGCAGGAGAATTGCTTGAACCCGGGAGACGGAGGTTGCAGTGAGCTGAGATCGAGCCACTGCACTCCAGCCTGGACGACTGAGCGAGACCCTGTCTCAAAAACAAAAACAACAACAACAACAAAATCAACAACAACAACAAAAACTTTAAATGATGAGTAGGATTTATAGGCAGAACAAGGAGTTAGAGAGAACAGTTCAAGGAGAAGGGAAGTCCTCTACAAAGGCATTCAGAAGATGTGCACAAACAAGTCCAGATATGTGTTCTGTCTCTTGGGTTGAGCTCTCTGGTTCCTTTAAATCTTTCTTCTATGAATGGTCTAT
This sequence comes from Homo sapiens, assembly GCF_000001405.40. Lineage (NCBI taxonomy): Eukaryota > Metazoa > Chordata > Mammalia > Primates > Hominidae > Homo > Homo sapiens. The sequence goes on along the minus strand of NC_000006.12, from coordinate 154,677,171 downwards.
TCTAAGTACCCCAGCCTGCCTAAAAAGTGGTTTTCCTTAGTGCTTTCACCTTTCTCGGTTTACATCTCAAGATATAAAAGTATATGTTAAAAAAGATATACTTTAAATGTATATATATCTTTAAAAAGACATACTTTTAAAACTAAAATGAGTAAAAATTTTTAAACTAAAGTCAGTAAAAATACAAGTAGAAGTACTTGTTGCTGGTCTCGGTCATCATTCAAGATGTGACTGTTGCTCTCAGTACTTGGCTCTGAGAAGCGCCACTTATTAACAGTCTCTACAGTGTTGATAAAGGGGGGTAGGTTTTACTTGCGGTAAAACAGAATCTTCAGGTCGAGCACGGTGGCTCACACCTGTAATCTTACCACCGAGGCAGAAGGATTGCCTGATCCCAGAAATTCGAGACCAGCCTGGGCAACATGGCGAGACTCCATCTCTATTAAAAAAACAAAAGGCAGAGTCTTCATAAGTGGAAATATAAGTTTTAATTATTCCAGCTAAATCATCACAGTAAAAAGATGTTAATATTTATCTCCATACTCATCCTTACCAGATAGCCTTGTGCTCTTGGAATGTCGTATTTGTGAAGTGAGCAAGCAGTATGTAGAATAGCATGAGATAGACCAGTCACCAAAGGTTGTTGATTTCTAGGAATGTCTCATGCTGGTTGCATCTGTGTGTGAACTGGGAAGTTGAGATCGCTTTCCACAGAAATTAAGCAAAATCCTGGAGGTAAGTTGTGGATAGGGATGCTGTAGACTCCCTGACAGCATAGGAACTAGAACTCTGAAGCAAGCCACTGGTGCCTAACAAATTCTTTATAAAGTTGTAGAGTGGATCCATGGGGGCTGACGTGGCCTCCAACGCCTAACATGGTTGAAAAGGCCATGGACTTGTGTTCTGGGTTCCTCTAGAATAACCAAGTCCTCACGTAACCTGGTGTGTATTGACCACCTCTCTTGACCGCTGATCTTGGGGAGCACCTTGCTGAGGGCCAATGGAAAATGCTGGAAGCCATGAGCCCTCCTTGTATCCCTGATCTTAGATGGGTCTATGGTTTTTGGTGGAAGCCATCCAGAAACAGCCTCAAAATCCAGTCTGAGTTTTCATTCCTGTCAATCAATCCTCTTATTTTTTTCCTTCACTACCTTATTTCTAGCAACACATCTTACTTATTCTGTTTTCCCAGAAGATGAGTTGTGTATGAGTTTTGGGTGGACTATCTTGACAACCAAATAGCGTTATATTTAAACGTTTGTGAAAATAATAAGCTTAGCATAACCTGCCTTGACAGATGTGGTATGCCTAGTGAAGTTGCTTAGCTATGGCTCAATCTCAGGATCTGTGGGACTCTAATGCCATCTGCTGGTCACACTGATGGCTGCTGCCATCACTTTCTTGGCCTACTCTGCTGTCTTACTCTATAAGACTAACAGGACCCCATAGTTAGGAGAGCGACCTCTAGCGAGCAGGCCTTGGCATTTTTCTTTTTAATTGAATTCATAAAGGCTTAGAATGCCATTTAGACAATTTGTAATGGTGGGGGGAGGTAAGAGTATAAATATTGAATGTATTCAAACCTGTCAATGATGTTCAACTCTTTTCACTGTGGATAAAGATCTTCTAGATGCAATAGAATTAGATTTTGGCGATTACATCCTATTTTATGGGTGTATCGTTTTGCATTCATGGGCTGTTTGATATTGAAATACTATATAATTTTAGTAGTAAGAGCACAGGATCTGGAGTCGAAGCAGGGTTAAAACAAAGGCTTTGTGGCCAGGCATGATGGCTCATGCTTGTAATCTCAACACTTTGGGAAGCTAAGGCAGGAGGATTGCTTGAACTCAGGAGTTGGAGGCCAGCCTGGCAAAATGGCGAAACCCCAACTCTACAAAAAGTACAAAAAAAAAAAAAAAATTAGCCAGGCATGGTGGTACACGCTTGTCGTCCCAGCTACTTAGGAGGCTGAGGTAGGAGAATTGCTTGAGCTCGGGAAGGCTGGGGCTGCAATGAGCCATGATCACACCATTGTACTCCAGCCTGGGTGACAGAGTGAGACCCTGTCTCAAACAACAACAACAATAGCAACAACAAAAACAACACAAATGCTTTGCCAATTACTAAGTTTTTGCTTTGAGCAGGTTACTTAACTTTTCTGTGCCTCAGTTTCCTTGGCTTAAAATGGAGATAAATGTACCTAAACCACAGAGATTAGAACAATACCCAGTGTGAAGTAAAACACTCAACAACTGTTAGCTATTTGATTTTATTTCTTTGAGATGGAGTCTCGCTCTGTCACCCAGGCTGGAGTGCAGTGATGCGATCTCGGCTCACTGCAGCCTCTGTCTCCCAGGTTCAAGCAATTCTCCCCGTCTCAGCCTCCCAAGTAGCTGGGATTACAGGCGCCCACCACCACACCTGGCTAATTTTTGTATTTTCAGTAGAGACGAGGGTTCACTGTGTTGGCCAGGCTGGTCTTGAACTCCTGACGTCAACTCCTGATCCACCCACCTTGGCCTCCCAAAGTGTGGGGATTACAGGCGTGAGCCACGGTGCCTAGCCCAGCTATTTTTATTAAAACAAAAATCTTGTAGTTTATATCATTCTGGGATAGGAGTAATCTCTGGACCATCTTTCTGGGCCATCTTTTTGTTGGAAGAAAGCTGAGGACAAATGACTCTTGTTCCAAGGATTGGGGAGAGGTTCTGCAAGATGGAGGATACAAACTTGTGCTTGTGTAATCTGGATGGAGAACCCACGGAGACAAAGGTATTCTAGGGGTGTGAATGGGGGTGGTTGTGGCTGTCTCAGAGGGTTTTGTGAGTAGAGATGTAGCCACAAGGATGGTGTTAGATTAATGAAGCGGGGGCAGTGGGAGGTGACAGAAAGCTCAGTGATAAAATCCCGTGTAGTCACTGGATATTGGCTGGGGCTGGAGGAGGCCTCCAGGCTGCTCCATGTGGTCCTTGAGTTGGGGACATGCTCTGCAAGTCCTCAGATATGGTCAACACCCTCTCTGAGCTGCCAGGAAGAATTAGGTATGTGCAAAGAACAAGATATTGAGCAACCCAGTGTGGGACAGGAGGCTACAGACACCGAAGCTGGTCACAGAACTTGATGAACCTTGCACAGTTATCATTTCTGCAAAGCTGGTGGAGTTGCTGTTATGGCCTCGGTGCAGCAGGAATGCAATGGTTTCTGTTGTCTGATGATAGAAATACAGGTTCCAGCTAAGGAAGTCAAACCAGAGTTGGGTTTTTGTGGAGAGATTTTTGATTCCTTTTTAATTTTTTTTCTTAAGGTAATAACAAAATTTAAACAACAAAAAATAGTATAAATAATAAAAACTATAGTCTTTCTTACGCTGTCCTTAAAGATAACCACTTTTAACTCATTCAGCTTTTTGTTCTTTCAGTTTTCTTCACAGGTCTAAGTACTGTGCTAAAATCACTATCTGTAAAGGCATCAATTTAAATAAATATTTACTGACTTTCTGCTCTGATACATGAGTTTTCAGCTCACTATTTTTGTGTCTGTCTTGTAGAGGGTATAGATGGGTAGTGTTGTTTGGCCTGCATGCTGTTGAAAAAACGTTTGAGCCAACATTTAAAGGATCAAGTTAAATAAAAAAATATAGATTTTCCTACTTCTCTTGAAAAATCCTCAAATATTTAAATGAGGTTTGCATTCTTTTATGGCAGCTGTTGACCTGAGCTGAATAACGACTGTCGGTCCCTCAGATTTCCAGTTTCCCCAGATGTCCCCACTCCTTACTGCTCTTTAGTGCTGAGGCTGAGTGTAAATTGACATTTCTCATCATTGGTCTCTTTCTTTTCTTTTTTTTTTTTTGAGATGGAGTCTTGGTCTGTCGCCAAGGCTGGAGTGCAGTGGCGCGATCTTGGCTCACTGCAACCTGCACCTCCCGGATTCGAGGAATTCTCTGCCTCAGCCTCCCGAGTAGCTGGGATTACAGGCGCCCGCCACCACGCCTGGCTAATTTTTTGTATTTTTAGTAGAGACGGGGTTTCACCATCTTAGCCAGGCTGGTCTTGAACTCCTGACCTTGTGATCCACCTGCCTTGGCCTCCCAAAGTGCTGGGATTACAGGCGTGAGCCACCATGCCCGGCCTCTTTCTTTTCTTATAGCAAACAAAATATTTCCCCGTACCCATGTGGGAAAATTACAAATTGACAAAGCAAGTCCAATAGTCTTTCTCACATCAGAGTGTGTTTCATGCATGGGTTTAGCTGCCTGCCATGGTTTGCATTTACATTTGAGACCGTTGGTTGTTCTATTTGCTGTAATCATAACCTGAAGCAATGTACTCCTAACAGTAGGGAAAGTGGGATGCTTCCTCTCTTCATTTTGACTGAGGTGCCAGTAAGATATATGCCAAAATGGATGTGAAGCCAAGTCCTGTATGCAGATTACAAAGGAAATGGTCAACATCCGGTTTAATGACTCTCAAGCTCCTCTTTACCCACTACTTCATGGAGAATATAGAAGCGCTGGAGTGGAGAGGATGAGAGCATTGTTCGAGGAAGGTTTCTTTGGAGAAGGTTGACTGTGAGCCTCATCCACATATCCCACCAAGGGGCTGAGACAGAGATCGCCTGCCTCATTTCCTCAAAATAAGCATGGACTTTCCCTGGACCAAATGGGGAGGCTCCCAAAGTATCCCCGGGGATTTGAGGGACAGAGTGGACTAGTATCTAATTCCTATTCCTATCAAGTCTGAAGGTCAACAAAGGTTAGATGGTGAGCCAGAAAGCAGCTTGGATGATGGAATCCGAGAGGGTGGCTGTTGCGCTCAGGAATAACTGCATTCTCCTCCAGTGGCCACTTAATAGGAGCATGAGTGTTTGTGGACCACATGGCAGAGTGAACCCTGGAGCCACTTAAAGTCCTGCCTAAGAGGACAGACTGGGAATGTGATGGATGCAAATAATCAGCCTCCTTGTTAAGTGAGTTGCTAGAGGACCAAGGGTTGAGTGGAGAGAGGTCAGCTGAAGGTGACGCACCACTCACATCCTAGGTACTTCACCCAGAGAGACCCTCCTGGGTCAGCCTCTGCAAGTGCCATGAAAGAAAGAGACAGTTTTAGGCATCTACCAGAACCTGTTGGGCAGTTATAACAGTGGTAAGTCTATTACCTGGCAGTGAACAGAAATGTCACGGGATTAGTCCAAGATGTCATCTGGAGCAGGAGAAGTGGAACATCACTGAAGACATTTGCAAGGAGCAATGGAAAAATAAAGCACATTTTGATCACATCCCATGAATTGTGCTAATTTAGCATATTAGTAACTTGCTTTTACTTTTCTTTCTAGAATCATCACAGGTCACTTTATAAAATGAGGCTATTAGCACTTCCTCTCTTCCTCGGAACCGCTGCCATCTGCATTTAACTCCTGAAATGCCAATGTTAAAAACATAACATAACTTCTGTAAGCATTACTATGTCTTTAATGTCTTTTTGTTGTTGTTGAGACAGGGTCTCACTCTGTCACCCAGGCTGGAGGGCAGTGGTGTGATCACGGCTCACTGCAGTCTTTACCTCCTGGGCTCAAGGAATCCTCCCACCTCAGCCTCCTGAGTAGCTGGTGTGCCCAGCCAACTTTTGTATTTTTTTGTAGAGACAAGGTTTCATTATGTTGCCCAGGCTGGTTTCTAATTCCTAGGCTCAAGTGATTCACCCGCCTCGGCCTCCCAAAGTGCTGGAATTACAGGCGTGAGCCACCGCGCCCGGCCAATTTTTGTATTTTTTTATAGAGACAGGGTTTCACTATCTTGCCCAGGCTGGTCTCTAACTCCTAGGCTCAAGTGATTCGCCCGCCTCAGCCTCCCAAAGTGGTGAGATTACAGATGTGAGCCACTGTGCCCAGCCTAATGTTTATACCTTGATGAAAATATTCCTGATTTTGGCTAGAAGGGTATAGTTTGTAGCAGACCATGCTCCCATCAAGGAAATCTAGAAAAACCAGATATAATATCAAAAACATCTGCTGGAAGGCACTGAGGCAGTAAGGACTCAAGGGAAGAATATTGGAGATAAGGGTGGGTCACTGAGATGAGCGTCACCCTCTGCTTGCAGTTTGATCCCTGAGTCAATGCCAGTTCTTGGCACTAACAGAGGTTTCGAAGTTGGTTAGAAGGTGAATGCTAAGAGGCATCAAAGTGGTAGAACTTCCATCAATCTCACGAGGCACAGGAGGTGAACATTGGAGTTTTGGGGCTGCCAGAACAGCTGAGACTTGAGGGTACAAACTCCAGGGAGTGCAGAGAAGTAAGCCCAGTAAAGGCTGCATACCCATTTCCTCCTTGGGGCCTCTACTGATTCTTAAGCTGAACAAGGTTAGAGTTGGAGAAATCGAACAGAAAAGGTTGAAAAGCAGAGTGGAAGCCTCATGGCACTGAGGTAAGGAGTCAAAATTTGGAGCCAAGGAGGAAGTGTTCTAGTAAACACACTAGGCTTCATTTGCAGGGCTAACTCCTAGGAGTGGGTTCAATTTAGAGGAAGGCTAAACCTTAAAAAGATTGCAAGACAGCTTCAAAGCTCTATGCACTGAATGTACTGAGGTGATGTACACCCACTCCTGCTGCCTGCCAGAGAATAAGGAGAAACCTCTTGATAGAAGATAACATCATCCAGAGCCTCTGCAGTTTTTCTATAGAATGTCTGACATTCAATAAAATGTTGCTGACTGGGCGTGGTGGCTCACACCTGTAATCCCAGCACTTTGGGAGGCCCAGGTGGGAGGACCACTTATGCCCAGGAGTTCAAGACCAGCCTGTGCAAGATGGTGAGACCCAGTCTCCACAAAAAAAGGAAAAAGTTAGCCAGGCATGGTGGTGTGTGCCTGTGGTCCCAGCTACATAGGATTCTGAGGTGGGAGGAGGATGGCTTGAGCCCAAGAGTTCGAGGCTGCAGTGAGCCATGTTCATGCCACTGCATTTTGCCTTGGGCGACAGAGCAAGACCCTGTCTCAAAAAAAAAAAGATTGTGATTAATACATAGAAAATATGGAATTGAATGGTTGCTTTAAATTGGAAGTATAACTTACATAGAGAAAGGGGCACAAATCTTAAGTGTGAATTTTACATATAATAAAATTTCATAAATGCATATACCTTCCTAACCAGTGTGAAGATCAAAATCTGGAACATGTCCGGGACCTCAAAGGGCTCCTTCCCTGCCTGTCTCATCTAGTATTCCACCGATGGAGCAATTATTCTCACGCTTATCACCTTGTATTAGTTTTGCTGTTCCTAAGCTTTATTTAAGTAGAATCATACAGTATGCACTCTCTTACTTTTGACTTCTTTCATTCAACATTATGTCTGTGAGATTCATAGTTCTTTCTACTGACAGTGCAGAATATACCACAAATTCTTTGTATTAATATTCACAATTTATCATTTTTACTCTTGGTAGACATTTGAGTTGTTTCCAATTTTAGGCTATTTTAAATAAAGCTTCCACTAGCTTTCTTGTACATGTCCTTTGGTGGACACAAGCACTCCTTGCTGCTCAGCGTATATTTGGAAGTGAAATTGTTGCATCAGAAGGGGTATGTAGATTTAGCTTTAGAAAGTACTGCCAAGCATTTTCCAAACTGGTTGTACCTACTTATGCTTCCAAGAGCCATTTAAGAGAGCTCCAGATGCCTAATTTTCTTACCAAAATTTGTTATTGTCAGTCTTTTTTTTCTTTTTGAGGTGGAGTTTCGCTTTTGTTGCCTAGGCTGGAGTGCAGTGGCACAATCTCGGCCCACTGTAACCTCCGCCTTCCGGGTTCAAGGGATTCTCCTGCCTCAGCCTCCCCAGTAGATGGGATTAAAGGCACCCACCACCACGACCGGCTGATTTTTGTATTTTTAGTAGAGATGGGGTTTCACCGTGTTGGCCAGGCTGGTCTCGAACTCTTGACCTCAGGTGATCCACCTGCCTTGGCCTCCCAAAGTGCTGGGATTACAGGCGTGAGCCTCTGCGCCCAGCCAATTGTCAGTCTTTAAAAATTGTAACTATTCTGTTAGTAGATAAAAGGTACTGAATTGTAGTTTTACTTTGAATTTCTGTGGTGACTGAGTGTTGGCACCTTTTCATATGTGTGTTATTTTAACAACCTCTTTGGTTAAAGTGTCTGATTAAGTCTTTTAACCATTTTAAAAATGTGATTAACTGTCTTTTTCTTATTTATTTATAGGAGTTCTTAACATATTCTGGATATGAACCCATTGTCAGTTGTATATAATGCAAATATCTATTCTTTCAGTCTTGCTATTTCATTCTCAATTTTAATGAAGGTCAATTTATCAATCTTTCCCCCCGCCTTTCCCACATGTTCTTACAATATATCAATCTTGATGGCTAATTCTTTTTGTGTCCTGTTTGAGAAATATTTTCCTATCTTAAGGTCACAAAGATACTCTACTCACTTATGTTTCCTTCTAGAAATTTGATTGCTTATGTCTATGATCTATCACAATATAATTTTTGTGTGTGACATGAGACAGAGGCAAGGTTATTTTTGTTTGAATATCCAAATATCTCAGCTTCATTTATTCCAAGACCATCCTTCTTCAGTGAATTACAGAGGAGTCAGGTGGCCATTTAGGTTTGTATCTGTTTCTTCACTCTATTTAACTACACTGGTCTAGGGACCCATCCTCGTGCTAATACCACACTGCCTTTTGACCTGTGAGATGTGTACTTCCCTCAGTTTTCTTCTTCTTCTTCTTCCTCCTTCCTCCTCCTCTTTCTTCTTTTTCCTTCTTCCTTCTTCCTCCTTTCTCCTCCTCCTCTCCCTCCTCCTTCTTTTTCTTCCTCCTCCTCCTTCCTCTCTTCCTCCTCCTCCCACTCCTCCTCTTCCTCCTCCTCCTCCTCCTTCATCATCTTTGTCTTCTCCTCCTTCTCCTTCTTGTTCTTCCATCCCTGCTTCTGGTTCTTCTTCTTTCTTACTTTTTTTTTTTTTTTTTTTTTTGAGATGGAGTCTTACTCCGTTGCCCAGGCTGGAGTGCAGTGGCATGATCTTGGCTCACTGCAACCTGTGCCTCCCAGGTTCAAGCAAGTCGCCTGCCTCAGACTCCTAAGCAGCTGGGATTACAGGCGCCCACCACTACGCCTGGCTAATTTTTGTGTTTTTAGTAGAGACGGGGTTTCTCCGTGTTGATCAGGCTGGTCTTGAACTCAACCTCAAGTGAACTCCCGAATGCCTGCCCCAGCCTCCCATAGTGCTGGGATTACAGGCGTGAGCCACCACGCCTGGCCTTGTGATTGTGCTTAATGCCACTGCACTGTACATTTAAAATAGAAAGTTTTGTGTTATGTATATTTTACCACAATAAAAAAAATGAAGCACCAAATAATAATCAGGAGTGGAAAATAAATAAACAAATTAGTAGCAAGTCTTCTAATAGAGACTAAATGAATATAATCAGATTTTACGTTATTATAACAATATTTTCAACATGATCTTGTTTTTTCACATCCAACAATCTAAATCCATTGTTAAGTACACTACCATGAGGTGGTAGTAGTCACAGAGAGGCTTTTGGGGTCAGGAAGGCATCCTCAAATCACATCGCGAAGTGGGAGAGGAAGGCTAACCTTTAAGGGAAACCTACCGTCTTCCCCAGGAACTTTATCTTTGAGATGAGGTTATTAACAATCCTCATTTTATATATGAGGCCAGCAGAGGTTTGGTATTGCCCAAGGGCATATAATTTAACTCCCAAAGGGAGTTAAATGTAAAATGTAATATGGCATGTAATTTAACTCCCGAAGGGAAAGACGTGCTCTACTTTAGTTTTTATTTATTTTATTTTATTGATTGATTGATTGATTTTTTGGGACAGTCTCGCTGTGTCGCCAGGCTGGAGTGCAGTGGCTCCAGCTTAGCTCACTGCAACCTCCATCTCCTGGGTTTAAGCTATTCTCCTGCCTCATCCTCCTGAGTAGCTGGGACTACAGGTACGCACCACTGTGCCCAGCTAATTTTTATATTTTTAGTAGAAATGAGGTTTCACCATGTTGGCCAGGATAGTCTCGATCTCTTGACTTTGTGATCCGCCTGCCTCGGCCTCCCAAAGTGCTGGACTTACAGGTGTGAGCCACCGAGCCCAGCCTAGTTTTTATTTATTTATTTAAGAAACGTTTTTAATTTATAAAACTTTTTTTTTTCGAGACTGGGTCTCACTTCGTCACCCAGGCTGGAGTGCATTGGCATAATCACAGCTCATTGTAACCTCTGCCTCCCAGGTTCAAGTGATCCTTCCACTTCAGCCTCCCAAGTAGTTGGGACCACAGGCACATAAGCCCTTGCACCCGGCCTATTTTTATTACTTTATTTATTTATTATTATTTTTTGAGACAGAGTCTCACTCTATCTCCCAGGCTGGAGTGCAGTGGCTTGATCATGGCTCACTGTAGCCTCCAACTCCTGGGATCAAGCAATCCTCCTGCCTCCGCTTTCCAAATTGCTGGGATAACAGGCATGAGCTACTCTGCCGGCTGAGTTTTGATTTTTAATGTCTGGTGTATAGAAGGTGCTTAATGACTCTCCTTTCAGACCTTATACTTACTATTAGCTCCATAGAACTGAATTTGGGGCTGGACACCCTCGATATGGAGTCCTGGTTCTTTCTGCCGAGTCCTGGTTAAAGCCTCACAAGGAGACTCGTAGGTTACCATGGGGTTTATTCTCCAAGAGAACCAGAAATAACATCAGACTCCAGGGCTTCCAGTTTGCGGTATCTCCCACTCCATCTCTTCTTCCTCTTTTACCTATACCTTTCTTTTATGAGAATTTTGTTTTAATCCTAAACTTTTGGGATCATAAACCATTTAATCTGTGAAATATCTAATCTTTTGGGAAATAGTGGGTAAATTTATGACCTCCCCACCCTGTCCTGGGGGGCAGAAAATAACTGAAGGTGTAGGTTGTAGGAGGTCTGGCCATGGATGTGCTGTTTTAGAAATGCAGGTGTGGGCTGGGCATGGTGGCTCATGCCTGTAATCCCAGCACTTTGGGGGGCTGAGGTGGGCAGATCAGGGTCAGGAGTTCAAGACCAGCCTGACCAACACGGTGAAACCCCATCTCTATTAAAAATATGAAAATTAGCCCGGTGTGGTGGCAGGTGCCTGTAATCCCAGCTACTCAGGAGGCTGAGGCAGGAGAATCGCTTGAACCCGGGAGGTAGAGGTTGCAGAGAGCCGAGATCGCACCACTGCACTCCAGCCTGGGCGACAGAGCGAGACTCAGTCTCAAAAAAAAAAAAAAAAAAGCAGGTGTGGCATGTTTCTCCTTTTGGACTTTTTATAGCTGAAATGGAAGGCACAATATTTCTTTAGGTCTTAAATACTTTTGAAGTATAAAAAAATGATCACTTTAATACTCCTGTGAACAATGCCCTCTTTTTAAAAAAAATCCTGGATTTTATACCACATGCAGCATATTTCTGAAATCTCATTTCCTTTCTTGGCAGGGTTATTTATAGCAAGTTATCTCTCTCTCTTATTTATTTTTTTGCCTTTTCCCAAATCTCCACTTCCACCCTTGTCTCTTATAAAAGTTAATTTAACTCTAGTTTCAATAAACTAAAATATGTACCTACAAAGGAAAACAATTAACCACAAGAAAAGTTTGTACCATAAAACAATTTTATTTTATTGAATAATCCAATCAATATATATCAGAACCTGGCTCCCAATGTTCTGATAGTCATTATGAAAAAGAATTTACACATATATAGATTTATTAGGTATATGTATAAACGTACAAATATATGTGTATGTCTCATAAATAATTATTAACAGTCATCTTAGGTCAGTGGCCTGAATGATACAAACTAAGCCATCCATATTTTATATTCTCTCCGGGAAGGGTCATCCTTTTCTTTTAAACAAGAACCCCAGCTTCTTTCCTTTAAATACTGCCAACTCCAGGCACGGTGGCTCATGTCTATAATCCCAGCACTTTGTGAGGCTGAGGGGTGTGTATCACCTGAGGCTAGGAGTTCGAGACCAGCCTCGCCAACATGACGAAACCCTGTCTCTAATAAAAAATACAAAAAAAAAAAAAAAATAGCCAGGAGTGGTGGTGCATGCCTGTAATCCCAGTTACTTGGGAGGCTGAGGCAGGAGAATCACTTGAACCTGGGAGGCAGAGGCTGCAGTGAGCCGAGATTGCGCCATTGCACTCCAGCCTAGGTGACAGGAGCTAAACTCTGTCTTTAAATAAATAAATAAGTAAATACTGCCGACAATACCTCACTTGAGCATTTGCAATATTCCTCCCAGGGCTGCCTCATTCTGCTGTACAGGTTGTGCACTGAATAACCCTAGGAAACCCCTTTTACACTGGAGTAGGGCCCCGCAATCCAGTAGGACCTCATTTTAACTTGATTATATCTGTAATCTAAATAAGTCCATGTTTGTATGTGCTGGAAGTTAGAGTTTCAACATATCTTTTTGGGGAGACACAATTTGACCCTTAACAGCAGCCTTGATACGGAGTCCACACAGGGGAATCCAAACAAAGAGGGCAAAATTCTCTCCAAAATGCAGAGCAACTCCCATAGCAACGCCCACTTTTATGTGTATGGCCCTGTGATTTAAAGTTCACCCTCAATCTCTCAGTCTAGACTAACAATAGTCAAAATATTCTTGTTTAACCTTTTCTCCATTAACATTTTGGATCTCTTCTGTCTCCCTTCTACATAAATGCCAGTCAGGGCCTACTTATCTCTCTCCAAATCATCTTTCAATTTTCTCACAGTAATCCCTTTCTTCATCATCTTTATTAATTTGGTTATTCACATGACTCATAGAAATCTATCAACAGAGCAATAAATTGGCTGGGCACGGTGGTGCATGCCTGTAATCCCAGCACTTTGGAGGCAGAGGCAGGAGGATCACTTGAGCCTAGGAGTTGGAGACAAGCCTGGGTAACATAGTGAGACCCCATCTGTACAAAAAATAAAAAGTATTAGAGAGGCATGGTGATGCGCACCTATAGTCTCAGCTACTCGGGAGGCTGAGGTGGGAAAATCGCTTGAGCCTGGGAGTTTGGGGCCGCAGTGAACTATGATGATGCCACTGCACTCCACTCCAGCCTAGGTGACACAGCAAGACCCCATTGCTAAAAAATTTTTTAACAAGTTTAAAATAAGTAAATTAAAATTGTTATTGAAACCATCCAACTTTCCTTTAAAATGTCCCAAGCAGAAATAATCCTAGATGAGTGGTATAATTTTTGCAGTATTGGGAAGACTGTTGTCTGTGATTACTTCCTCTACTTTTGCCTGCTTCCTTGATATCTGAACTTGTTTTAAGAAGTAGTACATCTTATTTTGCTATTAGAGAAAAGGCAAATATCTCTCAGAATGGTAACACATTGATTTAATTTTATTCTGAGTGTAAAAGATGGATTTGAGACTAGGGTTGATGAGGTAAGGAGAGAATAGCACAGCACTGGGATTCTGCAGGGAGAGAAAAAGGTCCTGGAAAGGATAGAACATTCCCTTATTGAAAAATCTGTCCTGTCTCATTATTATTTACTCATTGACTTATTCTCCGCATTGTAAAAAAGAATTCAAGGCTGCTTCTAAAGATGCACCCAATTTAGCAAGATAAACTGAAAATAAGTAAGAAAATAGGCAAATGGAAAATATGGGAAGGAAGGTAAGGCGAGCCAGGAGTGATGTTAGCATACCAGCCATGTGCTGGGCCACTGCTCGTACACACCTGACTCGGGGAGGGGGAGCAAACCTAGCCCCTAGTGTTCTGACAGCCATTGTGAAAAATAAGCACGTGACCACCAATAACATTTGTAGGGAATTAGAATCTTGGGGGATGAGCCCCAGACCTATTGTCGAAGCCAAAGTAACTTCATCTTGGAAGCTGATCCGCCATGTTTGCTTTTGATGAACTCCTGTTCTAGGAATGCTTCTGATATTTCCAGTTTATCTATTGTTTCTTGTTGAAGAACATGTACTTTGCATAAATCCTACCCTTAGGTAGGAACTCATATTTACTGTAAATCCTGCTCTTAAACAAATTCCTGCACATTCCCTCTGAAACATTATTCCTTTTCCCAATGGTACAAGAGCCCTTGGGTTGGAGGGTAACAGTGCAGAGATCTACCTATCTTGCGGCCATCCAAGACCATGCATCTGTCTGTAAATTCCCCAATAAAATCAGCCTATAATGACAAACTGAATTTGTTGCCTCATTCTTTGGTTTCTCGGCTCTTTCTGCATGGGGATTTGCTTTGCATATGTGGCTCTTTCATGGAACACCTATATTTTGAAATGGCTTTTCATGTTATTCTGATGTGTTTTCTTCATTAAGGCCCAAGTTCCTAAAACATTCATTCTCTTCCTCTTTTCTAGAAAAGAGGTCTTGCCCGCCAGCAATTCCCACATGGGTATTGGGGCAACACCATGATACATATTCAAGATAAAGTACAGGAAAAGCTTTTTGCAGTGGAATAAAATGTTAAAGGGAATTGCTTTCCTTGATAGCAATCAGGTCACCAAAGTGAGATGAAGAAAAATTTTTTTGAGAATGCAGGATAGAATAATATTATTTCCCTTATTTCTAAGAGTTAAACAATTTAGGATTAAAAATTTTAAATATACTAGAGGGGTCCATGAATTTTAATAGTAATAAAATGGTTATTTAATACTGCACAATCCTCAGCTTTTAAGGAAAAACATGTTTGACTTATTAATTATTTAGGACAAATTTTGGTGAAGTTATTCCAACTTGCATGGCTTAGGAATGACAATTTGGGGATTTACATTTCCTAACTGCCTAATGAAGTCTGCTCCTTCCTTCCCTAGACTATATGTATTTGCTGGTACTCTTAATATCACATTTTATAAAACAAATGAGATCACAAGGGCATATATGTTTTTTTCTCTGTGTGTGTCTGTGTGTAGCATTTCTGAGTATGTATGAATATGAAGTATGCTTTGATTTTTATGCATTGATTTACATGAATAGGAAAATGTTTGAATTTATAGTAAATGGTTTTGGCCACCTTCTCTGATGTTACTGTAACTGAAATAGCTCAAAAGCACAAAAGGTCATGGGAGGCATTTATGTAAAACTTACTAGTGCTGTTTATAAGGGTATCTTGTGTTTTATTACTTTGTTAATGTACCTTTCAGGAAATCCAGTCATGCCATCATTTCCTTCCATATTTCATCTGTTCCTCATTATAAATAAAAGTGTTTATTGCTAACGCTTTCTCTGAGCCATGTGGGGGCGATAGGGGCAGCATAGACTTCTGTTGCATGTCGTTTATTCTTTGGCGTGATAGGCTCACCCAATCTTGAGTGTATTATGTGTGGTAAGAGTGGGCTGAATTTTACATTCTTTTTTTTTTTTTTTTTTTTGAGACGGAGTCTCACTTTGTCACCCAGGCTGGAGTGCAGTGGCGCGATCTCAGCTCACTGCAAGCTCCGCCTCCCAGGTTCATGCCATCCTCCTGCCTCAGCCTCCCGAGTAGCTGGGACTACAGGTGCCCGCCACTACACCCGGCTAATTTTTTGTAATTTTTAGTAGAGATGGGGTTTCACTGTGTTAGCCAGGATGGTCTCGATCTCCTGACCTCGTGATCCGCCCGCCTCGGCCTCCCAAAGTGCTGGGATTACAGGCGTGAGCCACCGCGCCCGGCCACATTCATTGTTTTGCCATGCTCTCAGCATGGCATCTGAGGTGTCATCAATAGCCTTCCAAAGAAAAGATTTTATATACTGAGTCACAACTGTATCCACTCACCTATTGTTAGTCTGCGTCTCCATGGGTACCACATCTAAACTCTGCTCTTGGTTGGGCGCGGTGGCTCATGCCTGTAATCCTAGCACTTTGGGAGGCCAAGGTGGGCAGATCACTTGAGCTCAGGAGTTCGAGACAAACCTGGGCGAAACATGGCGAAACTCTGTCTCTGCAAAATATACAAAAAATTAGCTAAGTATAGTGGCATGTGCCTGTAGTCCTAGCTACTTGGGAGGCTGAGGCAGGAGGATTGCTTGAACCTGGGAGGTCATGCCACTGCACTCCAGCCTGGGTGACAAAGTGAGACCCTGTCTCAAAAAAACAAAAACAAACCATCTACTCTTTATGTGAGAATGGGCATTTATCTAGAAATTTGTTGCATAGACCTTTAATAACGGCCTCAGTTATTAAAAAAACTTCCCACTTCTCATAGAATTCTCTTTATCTCCATTCCACATCAACAACCTATAGATGTGGTCATACTTGACAAGATCTTGAACTCTGTAATTCCTTTCTCTGACCACCACTTCACTTATAAGCCTCAAGTAGGAGGCAGGACTGGATAGACTATGTTGTGGAAATCAATTAAACACTGAAATCCGTTTCTCACTCATGTCACACTCTGGTGCTGGCCAGGCAGCTCTTCCCCAAGTGGGGAGTCAAGAACATATATAGTTTATATAAATGAGTGGTTTCAAGATGTTTCACACTCATGTTTCTATACACAATTTTGCATTTTGCAAGGTAGGGAAGGAGGCAATAAGAGAGGAAGAAGAGGATGGAAGCCAATATTTCTGGGTAATTACTTGAAACCACTGCTGGTGGTTGGTTAAGAAGCTGGGAATGGTTTGCTCCAGAGAAAGTCTATTCCTTAAGGTTCCTTAAGAAATAAAGCTGAGGAATACGTTTATTTTTATTTTTTTAAGTGGACAGGAAGTAGGATTTATTGGTGGGTATTAGGAGGCGGAGGCACAGTGGAAGCCCTCATGATTAATAATATCCAATTAAACATGAAGTAAACATGGGTTGCTTTTGTTTGTATAATAAACTATAATAATAATAAATATAATAAATAGTTTTAAAGTTCCAAAGAACTTCACATTTCAATTTTTATCCTCACTACAGCCCTGTGAAGTAAGCAGCAGGCATTTTTAACCTTTGTTTTACAGATAAGGAAACTGAGGCTCAGAGAAAAAGTCAACTCAACAATTTCTAAGTGAGATGTTGGAATTAGAATTTATCTCCTTTGCTTCCACGACTCCATCTTTCCTCCCTACATTCCTTTCACTTTACTGGATTTACCGGTGGTGCAGAGATCGACCCTGGGACTGTTGTACATTCCTTTTTTATCATACAAAGTCAGCCAGACTGATGTCGAGGCCTGTGCTTTGCAATTCTTCCATCAGACTGAGGCCCTGCAGCCATAGGATGGAGGGCGCATGTCTTTCACTCTATTACTATTATTATTATTATTATTTTATTTTTTATTTTTCTTTGAGATGGAGTTTTACTCTTGTTGCCCAGGCTGGAGTGCAATGGTGCCATCTCGGCTCACCAGAACCTCCGCCTCCTGGGTTCAAGCAATTCTCCTGCCTCAGCCTCCCAAGTAGCTGAGATTACAGACATGCGTCACCACACCCGGCTAATTTTGTATTTTTAGTAAAGACGGGGTTTCTCCATGTTGGTCAGGCTGGTCTCGAACTCCCAACCTCAGGTGATCTGCCTGCCTCAGCCTCCCAAAGTGTTAGGATTATGGGCGTGAGCCACCGTGCCCGGCCCATTGACTCTATTATTGCCATTCATGTCCAGCTAGTTGGTAGGGACTTTAAAGTCTCAGTGTCTCCAGCACTGGCAGAATCATGTCAATTTCTCTTGAACCTCTTTAGTAGAGAATTATGATTGTGTGTGTGTGTTCTCTAATCTTCCTTCCCACGAACATAGTCTGCCTTTCTATTTGTAATCTGTTTTCAAATATCTTAGTGTTTTAAGATTTTCTTCATATAGGTGTTACACATTTCATCTTTAATTCCTAAGTGTTTTATTTTTGTTTATTTTAAGTAAAACAACTTTTTTATTGCATCTTCTAAATGATTATTGCCTATATAAATAAAGACTTGATTTCTGCATGTTAATTTTTATATCTAATCAACCCTATGGCCTTCTCTTATTTGAAATAACTTTTTAGTTAATTTACTTGGGTTTTATGGGCCAAGAATCATTTAATCTTCAAATAGTGATACTTTTATATCTGCCATTCAAATTTTTATAACCATTATGTTTTTCTCTTGTCTAGTTGTACTATCTAGTGCCTCTAATACTGCGCTAAATAAAAACGGTGGTACGGCCAGGTGCGGTGGCTCACGCCTGTAATCCCAGCACTGTGGGAGGCCGAGGCAGGTGGATCACAGGGTCAGGAGTTTGAGACCAGTTTGACCAACCTGGTAAAACCCCATCTCTACTAAAAATCCAAAAATTAGCCAGGCATGGTGGCGCGTGCCGGTAATCCCAGCTACTCAGGAGGCTGAAGCAATAGAATCGCTTGAACCCGGGAGGCGGAAGGTTGCAGTGGGCTGAGATCGGGCCACTGGACTCCAGCCTGGGCGATAGAGTGAGTCTCCATCTCAAAAAAAAAAAAAAAATGATGGTAAAGGACAACCTTGTCTTTTTTCCTGTTTTCAGCAGAAATCCTTTTAGTGTTTTCCTCTGAAGGCTGATCTTGGCTTGTTGGTTGAGCTGGACAGTGTCTTGTTGAGGAAGCATCCACCTAGACATGTTTATTTTCTATTTTATTAGACTTATGTGTTTTGTGCAGGCAACAAAAGTAAAAATAGACAAGTGGGACTACATCAAACTGAAAAGCTTCTTCTGCACAGCAAAGGAAACAATGAGCAGAGTGAAAAGGCAACCTACAGAATGAGCGATAATATTTTCAAGGTATATATCTGACATGAGGTTAATATATAAAATATGTAAAGGACTCCTACAACTCAATAGGGAAAATAACAACAACAACAAACAAATAACCTGACTGAAAAATGAGCAAAGGACCTGAATAGACATTTCTTTTTTTTTTTTTTTTTTTTGAGACGGAGTGTCGCTCTGTCCCCCAGGCTGGAGTGCAATGGCATGATCTTAGCTCACTGCAAGCTCCGCCTCCCGGGTTCACGCCATTCTCCTGCCTCAGCCTCCCTAGTAGCTGGGACTACAGGCGCCCACCACCATGCCCAGCTATTTTTTTTTTTTTTTATATTTTTAGTAGAGACGAGGTTTCACCATGTTAGCCAGGATGGTCTCGATCTCCTGACCTCGTGATACACCCACCTCAGCCTCCCAAAGTGCTAGGATTACAGGCATGAGCCACCGCGCCCGGTCCTGAATAGACATTTCTCAAAAGAAGACATACAAATGGCGAACGGGTGTATAAAATAATGCTCAACATTACTAGTCATCAGGAAAATGCAAATAAAAACCACAATGAGATATCACTTCACATTTGCTAGGGAGACTATTATTGAAAAAGAAAAAAAGGATCACACGTGTTGGTGAGGATGTGGAGAAACAGGAGACCTTGCACACTGTCGGCAGGAATGTAAAATAGTGCATCTGCTATGAAAACCTTATAGAGGTTCTTCAAAAAATTGAAAATAGAACTATTATATGATCTAGCAACCCCACTACTAGGTTTTTATCCAAAAGAATTAAAAATCAAGATCTCGAAGAGATATTAGCTCTCCCATGTTTACTGCAGCACTATTTACAATAACAAAGAGGTACAAACAACCTAAATGTCTGTTGATGTATGAGTGGATTAGGAAAATGTGGCATGTACATACAGCGGAGTATTATTCAGCCTTAAAAAAGAAAATCCTGCCATATGTGACAACATGGATGAACTTTGAGGACATTGTGCCGAGGGAAAGAAGCCAGTCAAAGAGGGACAAATACTGCATGATTCCACTTATCTGAGGTATCTACAGTAGTCAAATTCATGGAAGCAGAGAGGAGAATGGTCATTGCCAGCTGCCAGGGGGTAGGGGAAAGGGAAAATGGGATTTGCTGTTCAACAGGTATAACTTTCAGTTCTAGAGATCTGTACAACATTGAGCCTCTGCTTAACAATATTGTGCACTTAAAGTTTTGTTAGGAGGGTAGATGCCATGTTAAGTTTTCTTACTAAGGTAAAAAAAAGTAATAGAACAAAGCGTATGCACTGAGCGTAGGGTACCACCCAGGCTGGATAGTTGTATGGACCAGCACAGCACTCCAGGGGCATTTGGTAAGTTCATGGAGACAGAGAAGTGCCCTGCACACCCCCTTCAGGCCCTCATCCCAGTTTTTCATGAGACAATATTTGCGTGAAAGTCCTATCTGTTACATGCTTAATGTAGTCAAGAGACTGAAACAAATTGCAGCTGCCTTCCTAAAAGTAGTAGAAAGATAGTTGCAAAAAGGGCTGTAGCCACTTTAAGAAAAGGTAGTTTTTTAAATCCTATTCCACAGAATTATCACCATCATCATCATCATCATCATCATCATCATCATCACTGTGCCTGTGCCTGTGGGGAATGAGGAATATTTATCTAGTTTTAAAATTTTTTTTTGGAGACAGGGTCTCACTCTGGTGCCCAGGCTGGAGTGAATCATAGCTCACTGCAGCTTCAACCTCCTGGGTTCAAGACAGCTCCCGCCTCAGCCTCCTGAGTAGCTGGGACTACAGGCACACACCACCATGCCTGGCTAATTTTTCAGTTTTTTTGATGGGATCTCACTGTGCTGCTCAAGCTGGTCTCCTGGGCTCAAGTGATTCTCCCACCTCAGCCTCCCAAAGTATTGGGATTATAGGTGTGTATTAGTCAGGGTTCTCTAAGGTGATGCAACTAATAGGATCTATCTCTCTATACATAAAGGGGAGGCTGTTAAGTATTAACTTACAGGATCACACGATCCCACAATAGGCCGTCTGCAAGCTTGAGGAGCAAGGGGAGCCAGTTCGAGTCCCAAAACCAGAGTACTTGGAGTCTGATGTTCAAGGGCAGGAAGCGTCCAGCACGGGAGAAAGATGTAGGCTGGGAGGCTAGGCCAGTCTCTCCTTTTCACGTTTTTCTGCCTGCTTTATATTTGCTGGCAGCTGATTAGATGGTGCCCACCAGATTAAGGGTGGGTCTGCCTTCCTCAGCCCACTGACTCAAATGTTAATCTCTTTTGGCAACACTCCCACAGACACAGCCAGGATCAATATTTTGCATCCTTCAGTCCAATCAAGTTGACAATCAGTATTAACCATCACAAGGTGTGAGCCACCAGGCCTAGACAATTTATCTACTTTCTAAAGCAGCAGCAGCAGCAGCAGCAGCAGTTCTGATTCTGGAGAAAGTTACAAATTAGGCAAAAACATTGTTTTGTTTTGCTTTGGGGCCCTCTCACCTTCCCTCTTCTTAGTCCTGGGGTACTTTCTCCTTCTACCCATCATCACCTCTCTTGTTCTGCTCTCCCTGGAGAATTTATTCATTTATTTGTTCATTCATGTAAGAGACATTTATCGATTACTTTCTATGCCAGGCATAAGAAATACAAAAATAAATAAGATATAGTCCTTACTCTCCAGGATGGTCTAAATAAGTGAGATTATGAGAGCAAGCAAAAAATCTTAAGAGAGAAACCTTTGCCAAAAGCATTCCATCCTTCAGTGGTTAAAGACCACCAATATTCTGGATAAAAGCCGAAAGTTAATTAATTTCACCACAGAGGCATCCAATTTCCCAGATGGTAAGCGCTGAAGCTGTTACTCAACTCTGGAGTATTTACACTATTACACTCTGAAAAGTAAGGAGGGAAAATAATATGTAACGAATTCCTATTGTCTCACTGATTTCACATATATCCACCCCTGTCCCCCACCCTTTTTCTTTTCTTTTCTTTTCGTTTTTTTTTTGAGACGGAGTCTCGCTCTGTTGCCCAAGCTGGAGCGCAGTGGTGCGATCTCGGCTCACTGCAAGCTCCGCCTCCCGGGTTCAGGTGATTCTCCTGTCTCACCCTCCCGAGTAGCTGGGACTACAGGCGCGTGCCACCACACCTGGCTGATTTTTTTTTTAATTTTTAGTAGAGACGGGGTTTCACTATGTTAGCCAGGATGTTCTCGATCTCCTGACCCCGTGATCTGCCTGCCTCGGCCTCCCAAAGTGCTGGGATTACGGGTGTGAGCCACCACGCCTGGCCCTTTTTCTTTAGACAGAGTCTCACTCTGTCACCCAGGCTGGAGTGCAGTGGTTCCATCTTGGCTCACTGCAACCTCCATCTCCTGGGTTCAAGTGATTCTCGTGCCTCAGTCTCCTGAGTATCTGGGATTATGGCACCTTTCACCACGCCCAGCTAACTTTTGTATTTTTAGCAGAGATGGGGTTTCGCCATGTTGGCCGGGCTGGTCTCAAACTCCTGAGCTCAAGAGATCCGTCTGTCTCAGCCTCTCAATGTGCTGGGATTACAGGTGTGAGCCACCGCGCCCAGCCATGTGTCCCCTTTTAACTGATATGGAGGCAGAGGTTTGCAAATGAAGTGACATGGTCAGTGGAAGAGCTGAGATTTGAACTCAAGTCTGCTGACATCTGAGTCCAAGCTTTTTCTGCTTCATCACGCTGCATATGCAGGAAGAATTCTCTAATTGTAGTGCCTCAAACCCGGAACAGGTCAAGGACCAACATTTTTGGACAAAGAAGACCTCCCAGCATCATTTTGTCATCAAGGCAGGCAAATGCATTTAAGGCTGGCTGTGTGTAGCGATGGCTGAACTATCACATCCTACTCTGTTAAGGAAGCAAACTGGAGGACCAGCAAGTTGAGTGGACAGGCTGAGGGGCATAGCTTTTCATAGACCCTCATTCAGTGGGGGCTGCAGAGAGGAAGTTAGGTGCAGTGAGTTTCAATGGGGTCTGCTCAAGTCATCAAACCTCAGTTCTCCATCAGCTCCCACACAACCCATGAAAAAGTCTAAATTCTTTCAGGGCAGCAGAGATGCTTTGTATTTGGTTTACACCTGCTTTTGTACTTAATATACTGGCATTTGTGTAATATAGCTCTACAAGAGATTAATAAGTAGGCTTTGTTTTTACAAAAAGCAGGAATTATTTGAATATCAAATTTTAAAACTTCTTCAAAGATCTTTTGGCCAACTCTGGACATGCTATATTCTATTTTCTTCCAGAATGTTCTTTGCTGTACTAAACAGTTGGAACTGTTCTTTCATGACTAAGCTGGCTTCTCTCATGTACGGGACATGGTTCTTCAACTCCACCCTGAACGTACTGTTGCCGCTGACAGGAAGGGTTGTTGTGATAACAAGGAAATACATGATTCACAGGAAAATCTCCCTTCATTCCTCACCTACCAACCCTCCGTGGTCATGTGCTTTGAGATCCTTGAACATTAGGGGAGTTTCCAGGATTGTTTTGATTTCCTTTCCCTGAATCTCCCTCCTACCCAGGCTCTCCTCCACTTTTAAATCAAAACCAATTAAAAATCTACTAAAAATCATTACCAATTAAAAATCAAAACCTATTAAAAATCAAAACCAAACAAAAATGACAATAGGATTACACATCACAAAACCAGAAAGTCTTAACGAGCCCACAGTTATCATCTTAAAATCAAACACACACATGCACTCAATCCATGTAACATTCCTGTCACATCCTTTGAGACTTCAAAACTCGAGACTAGCAACATAAATTCCAAAAGCTTCTTTTGGCAAGCAGACACCAAACATGCATTTTCTAGCTCCGAGAGAAAGAAATGAGAAGCAGTGTTTTTCTTTTCTGTGTTCAGAGTTGCTGGGGCTATTCTTCTGCCCCCTGCTCTGGTTCCCAGGGCTGGGCCATGCTTCCAGCTCCTGTGTTGTGCTGGCCTGGCCAGGGCTTTTGGCTATTGCTACAGTCACCTGCTTCTGGACTGTGAAGGTAGCAGTTTGCAGAATGTGATTCAGGCTCCCCTTTCCCAAAGTACTGTTCTTCCTCCTTATCTGTTCCCAAACCAGAACCATTTGATTCTTGATTAGTGATATAGGTGGAGGCAGAAGGCCCCACAGGTGACAGGTCAGGCCTTTATTAGCATACATGATTTTATCAGGCCAGTTGACTGGCAAGTTGATAAATACAGAAAGCCACATCCTGAGGTGTAAAGATATAAAGGACTGTAGAGAAAATAACAAATGTCAGTTGACTTCAGGCACCTCAATTAGAATCAAAGAAAAGGAAGGGGCTGGACATGGTGGCTCACTCATGCTTGTAATACCAGAAGTTCAGGAGGCCAAGGCAAGGGGATTGCTTGAGCCCAGCAGAAGTTTGAGGTCAGCCTGGACAACACAGTGAGACTCCATCTCTTTAAAAAAAAAAAGCCAGGTGCAGGGGCACCTGCTTGTAGTCTCAGCTACTCTGGAGGCTGAGGTGGGAGGATTGCTTGGCCATGTGAGATCATGGCTGTAGTGATTTATGACTGTGCCATTGCACTTCAGCCTGCACGACAGAGACCCTGTCACAGAAAAAAAAAAAAAAAAAAAGGCACCCAGAGGAAGAGAGAGATGTCTGGAGGAGAGAGAATGAAGCTTACAATTTTGCCTTGACCTGACATCTCCTATAAGTTGTATCGACTAGTTTCTGATTCTCTAAATAGAGATGAGGAAAATTAAAAAGAGAAAATAAAAAGCAGAAACTGTAGACCAGCGTCAAAAACAATTTGACTCAAAAAAACCGTAAGATACTATAATCTGTGTTGCCTCACAACAAATATCCATAAACAAGTGATCCCTCTAATAAAGTCACTCAACTGTTTAACTGTTTTTTTTTTTTTTAAGATGTAACATCACTTTAGAAACTGACAAGCCTCAGAGTGAGGCAAAGCAACTGTTATTAACATTTCCTAATCCACACGTTTATGGTCAATTGATTTTTGACAAAGGTGACAAGAACACACAATGGGGAAAGGATAGTCTCTTCAACAAATGGTGTTGGAACAACTGGATATCCAGAGGCAGAAAAACTAAATTAGCCCTTTGTCTCACACCATATACAAAAATTAACTCAAAATGGATTAAAGTCCTAACTGTAAGACCTGAAACTGTAAAACTAGTAGAAGAAAACACAGGAGAAAAGCTCCATGACATTGGTCTGGCCAATAATTTTTTTTGGATATGACTCCCCAGAAGCACAGGTAACAAAACCAAATGTAGACCACTGGGATTGTAATTTAGCTTGTAATCAAACTAAAAAGCTTCTGCACAGCCAAGGAAACTATCAAGAGTGAAGAGACAACCTACAGAATGGTCAAAAACATTTGAAAAGCATACATGTGATGAGGGGTCAATATCCAAACTATATAAGGAACTCAAACAACTCAATGGTAGGAAAACAAATAACCCAATTAAAAGAAGGGCAAAGCATCTGAATAGACATTTCTTAAAAGAAGATATACGAATGACCAATACGTACACAGAAAAATGCTCAACATCACTAATCATCAGAGCAATGTGAATTGAAACCACAATGAGATATCATCTCTTACCTGTTAGAACAGGTATAATAAAAAAGACAGAAGATAACAAGTGTTAGAGAGGATATGGAGAAAAGGGAACCCTTGTACACTGTTAATGGGGAGGTAAATTAGTATAGCCATTATGGAAAGCAGTATGGAGATTCCTCAAAATTATAATTACCTTAAAAATAGAATGATGATCTAGCAATCCCCCTACTGAGTATGTATGCAAAATAAATGAAATCAGTGTGTTGAAGTGATAGCTGTATTCCCATGTTCATTGTAGCACTATTCACAATAGCCAAGATATGGGATCAATCTAAGTTTAAATCAATTTTTAAAATGCGGTATATGGAGGTGATATGGTTTGGCTGTGTCCCCACCCAAATCTTGTCTTGAATTGTAGCTCCCACAATTCCCACATGTCATGGGAAGGACCTGGTGGGAGGTAATTGAATCACGGGGGTGGGTCTTTCCCATGGTGTTCTCATGATAGTGAATAAGTCTCATGAGGTCTGATGGTTTTATAAAGGGGAGTTCCCCTGCACCAGTTCTCTTTCGCCTGCCACCATGGAAGACATGCCTTTCGCCTTCTGCCATAATTGTGAGGCCTCCCCAGCCATGTGGAACTGTGAGTCCATTAAACGTCTTTTTCTTTATAAATTACCCAGTCTCAGGTATGTCTTTATCAGCAGTGTGAAAATGAACTAGTACAATACTACACAATGGGGTACTATTTAGCCTTAAAAAAGAAGGAAATTCTGTTTTTTGCAACAGCATGAACGAAACTGGAAGGCCTTAAGTGAAATAAACCAGGCACAGAAAGGCAAATACCACAAAACCTCGCATACACAACACATCTGTTTTCATTGTGTTTTGCTGTATTGTGCTTCACAAATATTGTGGTTTTTATAAATTGATGGTTTGTGGCAACCCTGTGTCAAGCCAGTCTATCAGTGCCATTGTTCCAACAGCATGTGCTTACTTTGAGTCTCTGTGTCACATTTTGGTGATTCTTGCAATATTTCCAATGTTTTCACTATTATTATATCTGTTCTATGGATCTGTGATCAGTGATCTTTAATGTTTTTACTATTGTAATTATTTTGGGCCTCCACGAACTGCATCCATATAAGACAGTGGATTTAGCTGATAAATGTGTGTGTTCTGACAGCTGCAACAACTAGCATTTCCTCATCTCTCTCTCTCTCCTCAGACCTCCCTGTTCCCTGAGATAACAATATTGAAATTAGCCCAATTAAGAACCCTCCAGTGGCCTCTAAGTGTTCAAGTGAAAGGAAGGGTCACATGCCTCTCACTTTGAATCAAAACCTAAAAATGATTAAGCTTAGTGAGGAAGGCAGGTCCAAAGCCGAGATAGGCTGAAAGCTGGGTCTCTTGTGCCAAACAGTGAGCCAAGTTGTGAATGCAAAGGAAAAGCTCTTGAAGGAAATGAGAAGTGCTACTCCAGTGAACACACAAATGATAAGAAAGCAAAACAGCCTTATTGCTGTTATGAAGAAAGTTTGAGTGGTCTGGATGGAAGATCAAACCAGCCACGACATTCCCTTATGCCAAATAACTTTTCCATTGATTCTTTCAAACGCGTTCTTCCTGAGTTGGACAGGCTGAGTGAACAATAGGACAGAAGAATCAATACTGAATCTGAAAGTATATAACTGCAGGCAATTAGATGATGGTTAACGAGTTGGAGTCAGAAATTATAGACAGAATTTTGGGAGGATTTCTTATGGTATGTTTGTTTAATATGAAAGACGCCTGAACTTTTTTGTAGTATATGTACATTGACTCAGAACATTTTCTTTCAAAACTAAGTATAAATTTAGGGCTCATACATTTGAAGGACAGGAATTTCCACCTTTAGAAAGACTACGTGTTACACAGAGTTTTAAAAATACCGGTTTTGCGTAATAGCTGATACTTTCCAGGAAAGAACTGGAGAACTTTCTGTGCTCACGGTTGGAACTACCCATTTTATCTATTTTTAGCACAGAAAATGATTTTAAAAACATTGTTTTTAGGAACTTGAAATGTTGGGGAAGAAAATTTGGATTTAAAGGACTGACTTCTGGATAATTGTGAGTAGTGGTAATGCCATTTTTTTTTTTTTTTTTTTTTTAGACGGAGTGTCGCTGTGTCGCCCAGGCTGGAGTGCAGTGGTGAGATCTCGGTTTGCTGCAAGCTCCGCCTCCCGGGTTCACGCCATTCTCCTGCCTCAGCCTCCCAAGTAGCTGGGACTACAGGCGCCCACCACCACACCCGGCTAATTTTTTGTATTTTTAGTAGAGACGGGGTTTCATTTTGTTAGCCGGGATGGTCTCCATCTCCTGACCTAGTGACCGCCCGCCTCCGCCTCCCAGAGTGCTGGGATTACGGGCGTGAGCCACCGCGCCCGGCCGGTAATGCCATTTTTCACTTCTTGTACTTCTTGAGCTCAGGTAGGAAGTTGAGGCATTTTGGCGTTTAGATGCTTACACATTGTAACAGCCTAGGAATTTTGTTCAAAATACAAAACAAACATATCATCTTTTCCAAGTGTTGACATTGCCATAGGAATGTCTATTTATTTATGTTTTTGAAAGAGGGTTTTAATATCCTGTACAACACTTACTGACAGTCCTATCAGACTTGGTAGCAGTTTCCAGGAGTAGAATAACTATCAAGATTAGAAATTTGCAGGAAGACAGAGGAACGCATTCTGCATGGCTACGAGTAGCTGTTTCAGAGTTTAAAATAGTGAAAGGAAGTAAAGGCGGTGATATTTCACAGACATTTCAGACATTAAATGACTTGTAGATTTTTTCGTGTATGTGCGTGTGCGTGTGTGTGTGTGTGTGTGTGTGTGTGTATAACAATCCAGGCTACACAAATAGATTGTTTCCTGGGGCAATGTGATGTATAAACACAGTTTGGTACTTGTTCCACTGAACTCGTGGCTTCTAATTCTAACAAGATTCTTTATCGGGCCCTTTAGAAAGACTTAAGATTTTTCTCATAGATCAAAAATACTTGACTGCTGATTGACATTACTTCTTTCTAACAGATGGTGCTATCTTGCTGCCAACGATTCCATGGCAAACCCTCCAGATAAGTCCCTTCCTCTAGTTATCAAATTTGCCTATTCAGTACATCTGGCCCACAAGCCAATTTGATATCATGATGTCTTCAAGAAAGTCTCTTTAAAAACTCTCTAATAATGCAAGTATTTAATTCCTCAATAATTTTATTTCATTAGTTTTTTCTCTTTATTAAGAGCTAGACATATCATAGATATATCACTTGCTTCTGGCTTCTGAATGTATTTTGTTTATCTTGGCTGTTTTTATGTTAAAGGAAGATATTCATTAACATGGCCAAATTATGTTGATCTAAAATACCAAAAAGATTTTGAATAACTCTGCTATGTACAGCTCTAAATATTTAAAATGGAAAAGTTAGCTTTATTGTGTGAGACACTTTCAGGAGCTGAGACCATCTGGTGACCACTCCAGGTCTCTTTTAGCTTTGTGATTTCTTGACACCGTGATTTTTGAGTTGTATTAGGCCTATTAAAGTTGTCAGGCACAACATATAAATATAGATCTAGCTAACAGCAGTCATTTGCATCTCCTTGGCCAATTTTCTGTTGAATACTGCCACCTTTAATGGAATGGCTTAAAAATTAAATGTACATATAATAATTATATTGGATTATATTAAATAGTTAATCAAGTGTGTCTTTATAAAGCAATTTTAATTTCATAACTCATTATCTTTTAACTTTATACTATGAAAAATTTCAAACATATATAGAAATAGAAGGAATCGTATAATAGTATATAGGCACCTTGGGTAGGTACCTAGTTGTCAAATTACTCCACAATTCCATCACCCATCCTCCGGCTTCAATCATTAAGAATCTATTGCTATCTCGTTTTATCTATGCCTCCCTACCTCTGACCCCACATAGGTTTTTTTTAATAGCTTTACTGAAGTATAATTTTACTTTATTATTATTATTTTTAATAGAGGTGAAGATCTCACTATGTTGCCCAGGCTGGTCTTGAACTCCTGAGTTCAAGTGATCTGCCTGCCTTGGCCTCGCAAAGTTCTGGGACTACAGACATGAGCCACTACACCCAGCCTATAATTTTACCTTCCATATAATTAATCCGTTGTGAGTGTGTAACTCAGTTATTTTAGGTTAATTTCTAGAGTTGTGAAATGATCACCACAATCTAGCTTTGGAATATTTCCATTACTCCCACAAGTTCCCCTGTGTCTGTTTACGGTCAATCCCTACTCCCATACCCAGGTCCAAGTAACCACTAATCTACAAATGTATAGATTGCCCCTTTCTGGGCATTTCATGTAAATGTAATCATACAGTATACAGCCTTTTGCATCTGGCTTCTTTTACTTAGCATAATGTTTTTGGTATAATGTTCACCCATGCTACAGCATGTAGTATTAGTTCATTCCTTTTTATTGTTGAATTGTATTTCATTATATGGATATATTACATATTCATTATCCAATCATCAGTTGATGGAATTAGCATCGTTTCCAGTCTGGGGCTATTATGTTATGTATAATGCTGCTGTAAACCATTCATGTGAAAGTTCTTTTGTGAACATGTATTTTCATCTCTCTTGGGCAGGTACCTAGTTGTGGAATTGCTGAATTGCTTGGTAAGATTTTATTTATCCTTTTAAGAAGCTGCCAAACTGTTCCCCAAATGGCTGTACCATTTGTATTCCCAGCAGTAAACACATTCTCACCACCATTTGGTATTATTTGTCTTTTTTAGATAACTGTGCTAATCGGCGCATAGTGTTATCTTGTAGTTTCGAATCATCTTTTTAAAATATCTATTAAATTTGTTGAATGAGGCTAGTTTTTTTCTGTCCCAGATGACTTTTCTAATTTCTAGGTATTACAAAAAATCCTGATTTAGTAATTAATGTGTTCACCCTCATGCATTAATCAAAACTTTCAAACTGATTTAAATTTGAGGCACCTCTGTCTTCCCCCTCCACTCCCTACCCCCACACGGGAACTCCCTTCCCCCTAAGGCGGGAGCCTGGGGGAAGGCCCCCAGGTGACTAGAAGGTGTGGCTGGCTTTCCTTCTTTTCCTCCTTCCTCTTTTTTTTTTTTTTTTTTCTTTTGAGATGGAGTCTCGCTCTATCACCCAGGCTGGAGTGCAGTGATGCGATCTTGGATTCCTGCAACCTCCACTTCCTGGGGTCAAACAATTCTCCTGCCTCAATCTCCCAAGTAGCTGGGATTACAGGCGCCTGCCACCACGCCCGGCTAATTTTTGTATTTTTAGTAGAAATGGGGTTTCACTATATTGGCCAGGCTGGTCTCGAATTCCTGACCTCAGGTGATCCGCCTCCCTCTGCCACTCAAAGTGCTGGGATAACAGGCATAAGCCACCACGCTCAGCCCCCTCCTTACTCTTAACTTCTCCCCTTAATTTGCTACTGTGAAGGTGAGATAGGGAAGAGGCAGGGAGCAAACAAGTCTTTTCTCATCAGGGACTGTCACGAGCGGCACAGCATTTCCTGGGCTGTCGGGTTTTAAGACTCACTCTATGTCACCCTCACTCCATTCTCCTCTCACACGTAGAGAATAAATCTCCAGGCTAGCTGCTTGCTTATTCCCTTGGGGGCTAGAAATCTGACAATTACTTCTTTTCTTTGTGGAGCTATTTTTGCCCCTGTAGTTTACCCTTCTGGGTAGGACCTAAAATAACCCCCTCATATGAGGCCCACATCTATGCCTTAGAAAACATGAACTCATCTTTGCTCCCTAAATTCTGTAACCACTGGTGACCCAACCCCACCACCACTTCTTTAGCTCTTCCATCTTAGCCAGCCATCTCTTCTCTCTCACTTGAGATTTCTCAGCAGAGATCAGAAAACAGTCAGCTGACAGCCCAAACTGGGAGATCCCAAGGGGCTTGGGGAGAAGGATGGGCATCTCCAGTGCTGCCACTTGGCAGCTTGGCAGGGGGTGGGAGTGGGCAGAGGGAACACCCACATCTGAAATATTCCAATCTCCTCTCTTTTAAATCCTTAGAGAGGTGAGGGATTCAAAGTTATATGCCTGTTTTTGTGTGAAATCCTTTAGAAATCTGTATCTTGTTTGATACTTCACTCTGGCATATCTATTATATCTTGAGATAAGTCTGGGTGATAAGATAAGTCACTCTGGCATATCTATTATATCTTGAGATAGGTCTGGCTGACCTAGCCAAAGATAGGTTGTGTGTGTGTGTGTGTGTGTGTGTGTGTGTGTGTGTGTGTGTGTGTAAATATATATATAGTACTATATATATATACATACAATACTATATATATATATATACACTACTATTCCTATTCTATCTTCCTAGAGCTGTAAAACACAATTATTCTGACTGCAGTCATTTGCCCTTTATTTAATTGAAAAAATTATTTTTTCTATGTTGATGAATATATATCTGCATGTATGTGTATATATACATGCATATATGTTACATATATTAATATATATGATATATATGCATATACATATATAAATTCCCCAACAGAGAAATTTTTTTTTTTCAGTCAAGTAAAGGGCAGTGATTGAAGTCAGAATAACTGTGTTGGACACTTGTAGGAAGATAGAATAGGAAAGCAGCAAGTCATGAGCTTTGAGTTTGCTGTCTAGTTCTATGTGACTTAGACACACTTCTTAACCTCTCAGGGTCTAGCTCTTTGTTTGTAAAATTGAAAAAATCATACATTTCTTTTTGGATATTGTGAGGAATTTTTTTAAAAGCACATGAGGCTCATGCCTGTAATCCCAGCACTTTGAGAGGCTGGGGCAGGTGGATCACCTGAGGTCAGGAGTTTGAGACCAGCCTGGCCAACATGGCAAAACCCAAACCGTCTCTACTAAAAATATAAAAATTAGCCGGTGTGGTGGTGCACACCTGTAATCCCAGCTACCTGGGAGGCTGAGGCAGGAGAATCACTTGAACCCAGCAGGCGGAGGTTGCCGTGAGCCAAGATTGTGCCACTGCACTCCAGCACACAACTCCGTCTCAAAAAAAAAAAAAAGGACGTGAAAACTACTCAGCCCAGTGCCTGGCATGTAGTATGTGCTTCAATTACTGTGAGTTACAAAGTCTGATGACTGTATTAGTCATCCAGGGCTGCCATATGAAGGACTAAATACTGGATGGTTGAAACAACCAAAATTTATTTCCTCAGAGTCCTGAAGGCTAGAAGCCCCCACCTCACTAAGGATATAAAAGGATAAGAAGAAAGCAGACTCAACGATCTTAGATGTGGGTAGTCCATGTGCCTCCCCACGCCCTGCTGAGTGGAAGTCTCGGAGATGCCTGTCCCTCTCGCCAAGCTTCCTAAGCGGGGGCCTCAGTGGGGTCTCTCAGTTTGGGCTGTCAGCCGACTGCTTGTTCTGTGATTCTCAGTTGAGAAATCTAAAGTCTAAAGAGAGAGAAGGGATGCCTGGCTTCTGGATGGAAGAGTCAAAACAGATGAATTTTGGGGGAATACAATTCAGCCCATAACAACGATTAAAAAGGAAGAAACAATCTGTCGTTGTTCATGGACTACATGGTTGTTTAATAACAGAGCAAAAGGCTCTGTGGTTAAACTATTAGGATTAATAACAAATTTATTAAGTTGCTGGATATAAAGTCAATATACAAAAATCATTTATATTTCTACAAAACAGCAAAAAACACAACTGGAAAATAGAAACAAAAAATAAGATTTACATTAGCATAGAAACTACCAAATGCCTTGTAATAAATTTAATAAATGAAATACAAGACTTTCTCACCAAAAGAAAAAAAATACAAAATATTATTCATAGAATTGAGAGAAATGAAAGAAGGTCTAATATGTCCTGTTAGTGGATTAGAAGACTCAAAATTGCTGAAATATAAATTCTTCAAAATAGACTTAGAGAGCAAATAACATTCTAATAAAAATCCCTGCAGGTTTAATTTGGTGGAAATTGAGTTGATCTTAAAATTGATATGGAAATTCAAGGGGAAAAAATAGGCAGGGCCATCTTAAAGAAGAACAAAGTTGCAAACTTCCACTGCCAGCTTTCATGACTGTAAAGTTATAGTAACTAAGGCAGTATGGTATTGATAATGTGTTAAGATTTCCTAAGGTCAAGACCAGGGTTCTCAGGTTGGGTAATTCACTAGGAAGACTCAGCGTCTAGTTGTACTCATGGTTATGATTTACTACAGCAAAAGGATACAAAGTAAAATTTTGTATTCCAGTAAAAGGATACAAAATAAAAGGACACCGAGAGCAAAGCGAAAATGTGCATGGGGTGACATTTGGGGGAAACTCCGAACAAGCTTCCAAGAATTCTCTTCAGTGGATGCACCAGGGGTCACACTGCATGTGTTTAACTCTCCCAGTGAGTTATGACGAATGTGAAATATTGCCATCAGGAAGGCTCATTAGGGACTCAGTGCCTAGGGTTGCTGTTGTTTTTCTTTTTCTTTTTTTTTTTTTTTGAGACTGTCTTCTTCTGTCACCCAGGCTGGAGTGCAGTGGCACGGTCTCAGCTCACTGCAATCTCTATCTCCTGGGAACAAGTGAGTCTCCTGCCTCAGCCTCCTGAGTAGCTGGAATTATAGGCGCCCACCACTACGTCTGGCTAATTCTTGTATTTTTAGTAGAGACAGGGTTTCACCATGTTGGCCAGGTTGGTCTTGAACTGTTGGCCTCAAGTGATCCTCCCACCTCGGCTTCCCAAAGTGCTGGGATTACAGGTGTGAGCCACCACGCCCGGCCCCAGGGTTCTTCCTAAGGGCTTTTCACGCACCCAAGTTCCAGACTCTCAGAAGGAAAGCAAGTGTTCAGCAAAAACTGTATTGTTTGTAAAAACACTTTAAGCAGAGTGAGCCAAACTTATCTATTCTGAGAATGGTGGGAACCCTCCCCAAATCTAAGTTCCCAGATTCTAGCCAAAGGCCAACCTTCCATGCAGGCCTATCAAAGGGTAGCATTCTCAGGCCAGCTTTGTTAACTCTTTTATGAGGAGGTGTGAAGATGGAAAAGTAGATCAATAAAACAAAGAGTCCAGAAACAGATCTATACATATGTGGTCACCTGATGTATGACAAAGGTCACTGTGATACAGTGAGGAAAAGATGCTATTTTAAATAAATGATGCTAGATCAATTGAGTATCTATATGGAAAAAAGGAAATCTTGCCACTTACTTTGCATGAGACCCAAATATCGATTTCAGATGGGTTAAGAAAATAAAGTTTGAAGAAAACAGCATGCAAATGTCTTTACGACCTTGTAGGACGGTGTTCTTAAAAGCGTGGAAAAATCTCTAACCGTAAAGGAAAAGATAGATACATTGGACATGATTAGAGTTGAGAACTTATCAAAACATACTATTATGAGAATAAAAGAAATCAGCAGCGGAATGGGAGAATATAAGTATCATCTATAAAAGATTGAATGAAGAATATGCAAAGAACTTCCATAAAGCAAAAGAAAAAGAAAGACAACGTAATTTTTTAAAGTGAACAAAAGACTTAATCAGGCAAGCTTCTAACAAAAGAGGATATCCATGTGGCCAATAAACATACAGAAAGGTGATTCTATTGTGTTTCCTATGCCGTTGTAACAAGTTACCACAAACTTAGTGACCTATGGCTGACTCCTTAGGATATGCCTGATAGCAATGTGCACCAGTGTTCATCAAGGGGCATGTTCTAGAGTATACACCGTGGCCCTATGTATAATAACTCCAAACTAGAAACTGTCCAAATGAATACATCATCAGTAGAGTAAATAAATAAATAAATAAATTGTGCCATGTTCATACAATGGAATACTAAGCAGTAATAAGAATTAAGGAATTGCCACTATTACATGGATGAATCTCCCAAATACAGTCATGTGTCAATAAATAATGAGACTGTATTCTTTTGAGATGGACTCTCACTCTGTCGCCCAGGCTGGAGTGCGGTGGTGTGATCTTGGCTCACTGTAACCTCCATCTTCCGGGTTCAAGCGATTCTCCTGCCTCAGCCTCCTGAGTGGCTGGGATTACAGGTGCCCGCCACTACACCTGGTTAATTTTTGTATTTTTAGTAGAGACGGGGTTTCACCATGTTGGTCAGGCTGGTCTCGAAGTCCTGACCTCGTGATCCACCGGCGATGAGGCTATATTCTGCAAAATGCATTGTTAGGCAATTTCATCATATGAAAATCATGGAGTGTACTTAAACCTAGATCGGATAGCCTACTATACATCTAGGCTATATGGTAAAGCCTATTGCTCCTAGGCTACAAATCTGTACATCAGGTTACTGTAGTGAATACTGTAGGTAACTGTAACACACAATGGTAAGTATTTGTGTGTTTTTTGAGACAGTCTCACTCTGTTGCCCAGGCTGGAGTGCAGTGGCACGATCTTGGCTTACTGCAAGCTCCGCCCTTCAGGTTCACGCCATTCTCTTGCCTCAGCCTCCCGAGTAGCTGGGAGTACAGGCGCCCGCCACCACGCCCGGCTAATTTTTTGTAATTTTTAGTAGAGACGGGGTTTCACTGTGTTAGCCAGGATGGTCTGCATCTCCTGACCTTGTGATCTGCCCGCCTCGGCCTCCCAAAGTGCTGGGATTACAGGCATGAGCCACTGTGTCCGGCCAAGTATTTGTGTTTCTAAACATATCTAAACATAGAAAAATACAACAAAAATATGGTATAAAAGATTAAAAAATGGTACATTTGTATAGGGGACTTTCCATGAATGGAGCTTGCAGGGTTGGGTGTTGCTCTGGGTGAGTCAGGGAGTGAGCGGTGAGTGAATGTGAAGGCCCACGATGTGGCTGTAGGTTTGGACTGTAGACTTTATGAACACTATACACTTAGGCTACACTAAATTTATACAATTTTTCTCCCTTCAATAATAAATTAATTCTAACTGCAACTTTTTTACTTTATAAATATTCAAGTAAAAAAATTTTTGACTCTTTTTGTTTGTTTGTTTTGAGATGGAGTCTCTCTCTGTCGCCCATGCTGGAGTGCAGTAGCGTGATCTTGGCTCACTGCAACCTCCACCTCCCCGGTCCAAGCGATTCTTGTGCCTCAGTCTCCTGAGTAGCTGGGGCTATAAGCGTGTACCACCACGCCTGGCTAATTTTTGTATTTTAGTAGAGATGGGGATTCGCCATGTTGGCCAGGCTGGTCTCAAACTCCTAGCCTCAAGTGAACTGCCCACCTCGGCCTCCCAAAGTGCTGGGATTACAGGTGCGAGCCAGTGCACCTGGCCAACTCTTTTGTAACAACACTTAGCTTAAAACACTAACACATTGTACAGCTGTACAAAATATTTTCTTTCTTTATATTTGTACTCTACAAGCTTTTTCTATTTAATTTTTTTAAATTTTTGGTTTTTTACTTTTTAAACTTTTCTGTTTTAAAAACTGAGATACAAACACACACATTAGATTAGACTTACGTAGGGTCAGGATCATCCACATCATTGTCTTCCACTTCCACATCTCGTCCCACTGGAAGATCTTCAGGGGAGCTGTCATCTCCTGTGATCACAATGCCTTCTTCTGGATGCCTCCTGAAGGACTTGCCTGTACAGTCACCTTCTCTTTTCTTTTTTTTCCAAATAAGTAGAAGGAGTGCAGTCTAAAACAAGAATAAAAAGTATTGTCTCGGCCGGGTGCAGTGGCTCACGCCTGTAGTCCCAGCACTTTGGGAGGCTGATGGGGGCGGATCATGAGATCAGGAGATCGAGACCATCCTGACTAACACGGTGAAACCCCATCTCTACTAAAAATACAAAAAACTAGCCAGACATAGTGGCATGCACCTGTAGTTCCAGCTACTTGGGAGGCTGAGGCAGGAGAATTGCTTGAACCCGGGATGCGGAGGTTGCAGTGAGCCGAGATCGCACCACTGTACTCCAGCCTGGGTGACAGAGTGAGACTCCGTCTCAAAAAAAAAAAAATTAAATTAAAAAAAGTATACTAAGTACATAAACTAGTCACATAGTCGTTTATTATCATTATAAGGTATTCTGTACTGTACATAATTGTATGTGCTATCCTTTATACAACTGGCATCAGAGTAAGTTTGTTTATACCAGCATCACCACAAACATGTGAGTAACTTTTTCTGCTGTGACATTATGATGTCACAAGGTGATAGAAAATTTTCAGCTCAATTATAATCTTACGGGACCATGGTTGTACATGTCATCTGTTGCTGACCAAAATGTTGTTATGGGGTGCATGACTATAGCATGAAGCAAAAGCATTCTGACACGCAAAAGAACATACTGCAGTTATATAACGTTCAAAAGCAGGCAAATTTAGTATATGGTATCAGAGGTCAGAGTAGTGGACCGTTGGGAAACGGTGATGAAACGGAGGGAGCAAAGAAAATGTGGCACATATACACCATGGAATACTACGCAGCCATAAAAAAGGATGAGTTCATGTCCTTTGCAGGGACATGGATGACACTGGAAACCATCATTCTCAGCAAACTAACACAGGAACAGAAAACCACACACTGCATGTTCTCACTCATAAGTGGGAGTTGATCAATGAGAACACATGGACACAGGGAGGGGAACATCACATACTGGGGCCTGTCGTGGGGTAGGTGGCTGGGGGAGGGATAGCATTAGGAGAAATACCTAATGTAGATGACGGGTTGATGGGTGCAGCAAACCACCATGGCACGTGTATACCTATGTAACAAACCTGTACGTTGTGCACTTGTACCCTAGAACTTAAAGTATAATTTAAAAAAAAGAAAAAGAAAAGGAGGGAGCAATGGGGAGTTTTGGCAGTGCTGGTGATGTTCTACACCTTGATTTGGGTCTGGTTACACAAACGTGTTCATTCTAAAAAATTCCTCAAGTTCACTCAGGAATTGTGCACTTCTCTACATGGATGCAATACTTCAGTAAAAAGATGTTTACTTACAAAACACATCATAAGTAAATAAATATGCATAAAGTCTTTTTGAGAAATCTTTGAAAGGGAAGCAAGTCGTTATCAAGTAAACTTTTCCCCTTCCCAGCCCGCCCTGAGGTTTTTTACTTGAAGAAAAAAATTATTTCCTTTTCGGAATCCTCATACTCTCCAGTTGAAGGCTGAGTCCAATTTTAAGTTTGCAGAGTAGCTGGAAAGTTGAGAATATCCTTTCAGGAAATGGGTCCTGAGTTGTTTGAATGTGTCTCACAGGTTATAAAAACAGTCTTGGTGGGAATTTTAGCTTCAGCATTTAGTCTACTGCCAACTGCACTTGACTTAGAAATTCCAGTGACTAATCATCTAAGGTCCTGACAATGAGATTAAGATGAGTTTGGAAGTTCAGACAGAAAAGGGATTAGTTACTAGTAAGCCAGTTTCTCTTTGTTGCGGCTTTTCAATAATGCAGACATGCCCAGTGGGTTCCCCCCATGTATGAATGAAGATGTTCTCTAATTACAAGGTTCCACACAACACTTTAAAGTTCCTTTTAATCTCACTGCACTTAATTGTTTTCTTGTTTATTTATTTATAAATATACCATAAGAAATCATGTGGTGAAAGAGAGAAAAAAAAAAAAGACCAAGTTTCTTTTCTTTTTTTTTTTTTGAGACGGAGTCTTGCTCTGTCGCCCAGGCTGGAGTGCAGTGGTGCGATCTCGGCTCACTGCAAGCTCTGCCTCCCGGGTTCACACCATTCTCCTGCCTCAGCCTCCCGAGTAGCTGGGACTACAGGCGCCCGCCACCATGCCTGGCTAATTTTTTGTATTTTTAGTAGAGATGGGGTTTCACCGTGTTAGACAGGATGGTCTCAATCTCCTGACCTCCTGATCCGTTGGCCTCGGCCTCCCAAAGTGCTGGGACTACAGGCGTGAGCCACCACACCTGGGCAAGGCCAAGTTTCTTTCTTCTGGAATCATGGAATCTAAATTTATGGAAACATTAAGAATCATTTAGTCAGCCATGCCTATGCCTCCAGAGTGTTGGGGGAACCATATTTCTTTCTTTTCTTTTCTTTTTCTTTTTCTTTCTTTTTTTTTTTTTTTGAGATAGGGTCTTGCCCTGTTGCCCAGGCTAGAGTGTACTGGTGCAATCACAGCTTACTGCAGCCTTGGCCTCTGGAGCCCAAGTAATCCTCCCACCTCAGCTTCTTGAGTAGCTGGGACTACAGGTGTGCACCACTATGCCCGGCTAACTACTTTAGTTTTTGTAGATATGGGATCTCACTATGTTGCCCAGGCTGGTCTTGAACTCCTGGGCTGAAGCAATCCTACCTCCTTGGCTTCCCGAAGTACTGGGATTACAGCCATGAGCCACACATTTGGCCTGGAACCATATTTCTAAATCTTCGTGTTTGCGCATAAGAAAACTTGCATTTCAGTTCCTTTAAAGGGAAGTTTAGAAACATTAGGAGGATAACTTCTGCCCTTTTCTCATCCACCTTCACCTGGTGCCTTATCTGTCTGGTGAGACTGGGAGAAGCACTGAGTGCTCAACAGCCTGGTTCCCTGTCCCTGGAAGCAGTGTGTCCTGAAGCCGCATGCCTTTGTCGCTGATGTGGTGAAGTGCTTCCTGACAAGGGTGCTGTCTCTGCAGGGAGGTGGGTTTACAAGTGTGTGAACTGAACTCATGGCCATCGGTACTTGGAGGTGGACTGGGGCTGCAGATCCAAGCTGCCTTCTCCAATCTGCTGTTGTCCGTAATAAAAGCGTCCATTTTAATATCTTTCCTCCTGACTTTGTGTCTCGTTCTCGACTGGGCTCATTCCACTCCGATTTCAGATGGCCATACAATGCCCAGCCACTGGAATATGCTGCTCCTTCTATAAGGCTTAGGAAGCATGTATGTATTGCCCTCACAGTGAACAGATTACACTGCTAGAAAGAAAAGATTTGCTAAGTATTAGGGAGGAGAAAAAGGAGAGCAAAAAATATACAAAGAAAAACAAGAAAAATAAAGGAGTTTGTCTTAGCTCCAGCTGCTATAACAAACTACCATAGCCTGGGTGACTTTTTAACAATGAACTTTATTCTCTCACAGTTCTGGAGGCTGGGAAGTCTGAGATCAGGGTGTCAGCACGGATGAGTTCTGGTGAGGGCCCTATTCTGGTTTATAGACTGCCAACTGCTCGATAGGTCATCTTTCATAAGGGAACTAATTCCATTTATGAGGGCTCCACCCTTATGACCTCCTTTTTTCTTTGAGATGGAGTCTTGCTCTGTCACCCAGGCTGGAGTGCAGTGGTGCGATCTCGGCTCACTGCAACCTCTGCCTCCTGGGTTCAAGCGATTCTCCTGCCTCAGCCTCCTTAGTAGCTGGGACTCCAGGTGCCCACCACTAGGACCAGCTAATTTTTGTATTTTTAGTAGAGACAGAGTTTTGCCATGTTGGCCAGGCTGGTCTCGAACTCCTGACCTCAGGTGATCTGCCCGCCTTGGCCTCCCAATGTGCTGGGATTACAGACATGAGCCACCACACCTGGCCTGACTTAATCACTTCCTAAAGACCCCACTCCTAATGCCATCACACTGGGGGTTGCGATTTCAACATATGAATTTCAAGGGGTGGACACAACATTCAGACCAGAATAGAGTTAAACATTGAAATGCTGGATTCAGGCATTCAGCTGCCTGAAGTTCTCAGTAGTACTGCTGTCCAAAAAGTCTACAAAAAGGTGGCTTTATTATTTTTTCTGATGATACAAGTAATACTCATGAAGAAAACTTGAGCAACAGAATAGTATAAAGAAAAAACTGAAAATGCACCTAAAATCTCCTCAGTAGGGTGCCCACTAAATGTTCTGTGAAGGATTCTTCAGAGAAGGGACTTGAGAAAGTCTTCCGGAGTCCTGGAAATGTACTATATGTTTATCTTGTTGGCAATCACATGTGCATATACAAAGTAAAAATGTATCAAGCTGAATACTTCAGATTGGTGCACTTTACTGCATTTATTTTATATGTGTTAATTAAAAAATACCCCAGATATTTCACTCTCTGTGTACAGGAATAGAATTAAATTATCCATACCGTTTTGTTAAGTGTTTCCCAAGGAATCATATATTATGGGACATTTACTCATACATCTTTGTCTTAGATAGGGATATTTGGTGGCAAGTTTCAGAATCTTACTACAGCTATGCTATATAATCTGAATTTTTGTGTCTCCCCACCCCGAAAAAATTCATGTTGAAGTCCCAAGCCCCAAGATGATGATATTAAGAGGTGGGGCCGTTAGAGAGGTAATTAGATCAAGGGGCCAGAGACCTCACAAATGGGAGTTTTTAGGGCCCTTAAAAAAGAAGCTCAGTTGGCCGGGCACGGTGGCTGATGCTGGTGGATCATCTGAGGTCAGTTGTTTGAGACCAGACTGGTCAACATGGTGAAACCCCGTCTCTACTAAAAATACAAAAAATTAGCCGGGCGTGGTGGCGGGCGCCTGTAATCCCACCTGCTTGGGAGGCTGAGGCAGGAGAATTGCTTGAATCTGGGGGGCGGAGGTTGCAGTGAGCCGAGGTCGTGCCATTGCATTCCAGCCTGGGCAACAAGAGCAAAACTCCATCTCAAAAAAAAAAAAACAAAAAAGGAAGCTGAGGGAACCTGTGTGCCCCTTCTACCATGTGAGGACTCAGTAAGAAGACACCATTTTATTTATGTATTTATTTGAGACAGAGTCTGGCTCTGTCACCCAGGCTGGGGTGCGATGGTGCCAGCTTGGCTCACTGCAACCACCACCTCCCTGGTTCAAGCGATTCTCGTGCCTCTGCCTCCCAAGTAGCTGAGATTACAGGCACCCGCCACCAGGCCTGGCTAATTTTTTTTTTTTTTTTTTTTTTGAGACAGAGTCTCGCTCTATTGCCCAGGCTGGAGTGCAGTGGCGTGGTCTCGGCTCACTGCAAGCTCCGCCTCCCAGGTTCACGCCATTCTCCTGCCTCAGCCTCCTCAGTAGCTGGGACTACAGGAACCTGCCACCACGCCCGGCTAATTTTTGTGTTTTTAGTAGAGACAGGGTTTCACCCTATTGGCCAGGCTGGTCTTGAACTCCTGACCTCAAGTCATCCGCCTGGCTCAGCCTCCCAAAGTGGTAGGATTACAGGCATGAATCACTGTGCCTGATAGAGAAGGCACCATTTATGAGAAAGTGGGCCCTCACCGGACACCAAGTCTGCTGGTGCCTTGATCTTTGACTTACCAGCCTCACGAACTGTAAGAAATACATTTTTGTTGTTTTTTTGTATACACCTAGTCTATAGTATTTTGTTGTAACGACCCCAACAAACTAATACAAGCTAGTTTAAGAAAATAGAGGTTTTAGGGAATTAATCTAATAGGCGTTCTCACAACATCTTAGCCTGATTTTATTTCTTATTTTTTCTATTTCTTAATTATCTTTTAACAAATCTTCTGAGCCTTCTCCAATTTATCTTTGAGGAAACTTAGGATTTGATGATGATCTCAGGGTAGCTTCATGGTTTCCATCAGGCTGTTTGCTCACTGAAAAGGTCATTTAATGAAGTTTTGATAAACCCATGGAGTTCGCTGTGTGCACAGTCTGTACTGCACAATATGGCTATGCCTGCGAAGTGCAAAGCAGGAGGGTAAATATCAGAGAGGGTGACTGTGTCTTACCAACACATCAAAATTGTTTGTCTAATTATGTGGGCAAATGGCAAAAGTACATTTGTTACTGTCATTGAAATTCATCCAGTGAGTATTGGATTGAAAATCTAATATGTATGACATTGTGATGGATTCTGGGGATACAACAATGAACGTGACGTTTATACTGATCCTCAGTGAGCAGGGTCCAGAATAAAGTGGAATGCAGAGTCTAGTGTAAAGTGAAATGCCCCTGTTGAAATAAGTTCCCAAGTTGGCTATTTCTTGAGTTTCTGCTTGGCAACAGGTGAGGGCTGCACCAGGGTAATCTCACTGACCATAGTGGTAGATGCCAAAAAGGAGGGAGATGAGTGGAGGTAGAAAGAGTGCAGGAAGGTAGAGGACTGGAAACCAAGCGAGACATTTGGAGGATGGCATAAGGTGACATGGGCCAGTAGCAGATCATGAAGCCAAGCATTGATGCTAGAAATTTGAGACTTGGGTGAGAAAAAGAAGTGAATCTGGGGTATAAGGTGATAAGGAATTAAAGTCCTATAAGAGAGTATGAAGAGTACAAAGGAGTAGGGATGAAGCCAAGGTAACTGCTGGCATCTGAGATAAGAGTGTCAGCGTGGCTGGGCTCTGGTGAGGGCCCTCTTCTGGTTTACAGACTGCCAACTGCTCATTAAATGATCTTTTATAAGGGCACTAATCCCATTCATGAGGGTTCCACCCTTATCACCTCATCACTTCCCAAAGGCTCCACCTGCTAATGCCATTACATTGGGGGTTAGGATTTCAACATATGATATTGAGGCTGAATACATTAGGCTTAATGGCCAGGGAGAATAAAAGAGAGAATAGACACTAAAGATGAAAAAAATGTGCATAGTAAATGTGGTGGTACTTCTGGAACCAACAAGAACCTGGTTAGGTCTAGCTGTATCATAACAGCAGACCAAGATAAACTGTGTTTGATTGTTTTAAGTACCACATCTATTGGGATAAAAAAAGATAGAAGGTTTAGTTGCTGGGTACTGGATACATAAACAAGGTTAGTCATCCCTTCCAAACAAAATATTGTATATTCTGGTATTTTCCTAGGCACCCACTCCTGTCCACTTAGGTTACATCTTGAACAGAAATGACAAGAAACTTGAGTTTTTTCACGATCAGGGTATAATTGCTACTGAAGATGGATTAAATATACAACATAAGACCGGGCATAGTGGCTCATACCTATAATCCTAGCACTTTGGGAGGCCAAGGCAGGCGGATGGCTTGAGGTCAGGAGTTCGAGACCAGCCTGGCCAAGATGGTGAAACCCCATCTCTACAAAAAATACAAAAATTAGCTGGGTACGGTAGAAGGTGCCTATAATCCCAGCTACTTGGAAGGCTGAGGTTTGAGAATCACTTGAACCTGGGAGGCGGAGGTTGCAGTGAGCCAAGATTGTGCCACTGCACTGCACTCCAACCTGGGCTACAGAGTGAGACTCTGACTCAAAACAAACAAACAAACAAAAAACATAAAATACATCAAAGTACAACTCAGAGTTAATGGCAGTTTGTGGGTGGTCTGGTTTGTTAATTGTTGTAGAATAAGTCTGTTACTGTCAACATGAAAAATGTGAAAACCAAACCAAAATCGTGGTCCAAAATAGGATACTTAATGCTGATCATTAAGAATGAGAAAGAGCATTTGAAGAAGTAAAACACAAGTTGATGACTCTCTGGTGAACGTTCATGTTTAGTATAATGGTCATGGACTCTCTTCTCCTAACCCCTAACCTGATATCTAAGCCAAATACCTAGCAT
Source organism: Homo sapiens (assembly GCF_000001405.40). Classification (NCBI taxonomy): domain Eukaryota; kingdom Metazoa; phylum Chordata; class Mammalia; order Primates; family Hominidae; genus Homo; species Homo sapiens. Next base: position 154,632,403 of record NC_000006.12, on the reverse strand, counting down.
GAAAGGGATGCTAATAAGCTGTGTTGAGCTTGATCCCAGTGGAAATTTCATTTCTATTGTTTCTTAGCATAAGTAGATTTATCTTGGCTTCCATTGTTCAAGGAAATGCTTTGATTCCTGCATTCTTTCCAGCCAAAGGCACAGGGAAGAATTCCAGAGTAGGAAGCAAACTGTGTGTGTGTCTCTGTTGCAGACTTGGACACGTGTTAGGAATTTTCAATTCAGAACTGATGTGGGAAAATGGAAGACATCTTATGATGAAAGAAGCAAGTAAAACCCAGAAGCCTGCCTCTCCAGCCGGCTCAGTCAGGGCCAGTGATACTGAAGTTTTAACTCTGTTGCTTTCGGTGTTCCATAGATGAAACACATGCATTTTAATTAAATTTCTCATTCACAACATCTTATCAGAGATACAGAGAAAGAGATAAAGAATGACTGGTAGATAATTGGATAGACTTCTATTGTATTTCTATTACTGATGAAGTAATTTTGATATTATTAAACATGGATACTTCCTAATATTTGCTTTGTAGTCAATTTGTTATCACCATATATATAGCAGGTGGCTGTATCCAGTGCTTTAGGTACATAAGAACAATAACATGCTCACTGGAAAAATACTTGACCAAAACACAGGAAAAATAAAGACTTCATTCTATGCTTGGGAACATGCTGGAAGATCACTGGTGGCTGGAGTGTCCTTGCCTGCCACGAAAGTGCTTGAAAGATCCATGGTCATGAAATATGCATGTTAAGAACCCCCGTTGTGAAGAAGTAGAAAAAGAACAAACAAAGTGAGCTGCACACGGTGACTTGCTCCTGTAATCCCAGCACTTTGGGAGGCTGAGGCAAGAGGACCGCTTGAGGCTAGCAGTTTGAGACTAGCCTGGGCAACACAGTGAGATCCCGTTTCTACAAACAAATATAAAAAATTAGCTGAGCATGGTGGTGTGTGCCTGTGGTCCTTCCTAGCTACCAGGGAAGCTGAGGCAGGAGGATCACGGGAGCCCAGGAGTTTGAGATTTCAGTGAGCTGTGATCATGCCACTGCACTCCAGCCTGGGCAACAGACCCTGTCTCAAAAAAGAAAAAAAAAAAACATAAAGAAAAGGAAGAGGCCGGGCGGGGTGGCTCACGCCTGTAATCCCAGCACTTTGGGAGACCGAGGTGGGCAGATCACCTGAGGTCAGGAGTTCGAGACCAGCCCAGCTAACATGGTGAAACCCCGTTTCTACTAAAAATACAAAAAATTAGCTGGGCATGGTGGTGCGCTCCTGTAATCTCAGCTATTTGGGAGGCTGAGGCAGGATAATCACTTAACCCAGGACGCAGAAGTTGCAGTGAGCTGAGATCGCACCATTGCACTCCAGCTTGGACAACAAGAGCAAAACACCATCTCAAAAAGAAAGGAAGAAAGAGAAATAAATAATTAACTCCCTTTAGTGGAATTCCTGACACAGACACCTCTGGGCTTTTCAATGCCAGCTCAGATGTCGCCTTCCCCTCAGGCTTTCTATTCTGTCTCTAGTTCCTTTGTGTGTCTGCTGCATTTACAGTTATGGCCAAGAAAATTAATAGGTCGGGTGTAGTCGCTCACGCCTGTAATCCCAGCACTTTGGGAGGCTGAGGCAGGTAGATTATTTGAGCCCAGGAGTTCAAGACTAGCCTGGGCAACATGGCAAGACCCCATTTCTACAAAAAATACCAAAAAGTTAGCTGGGTGTGGTAGAGCACACCTGTGGTCCCAGCTTCCTGGGAGGCTGAGGTGGGAGGATTGCTTGAGCTCAGGAGGCTGAGGCTGCAGTGAACCATGATCCCACCACTGCACTCCAGCCTGGGTGACAGAGTGAGACCCTGTCTCCAGAAAAAAGAGAAGAAAAGAAAATTAATACATGGTGGGTTTCTAATGTGTAATATCTGGTAGCCTTCTATGTCTCATAGACTGTAGCTTCATAAAGGCAAAAAATTCTTCCTGTTTATCACAGTGCCTGGTAATAATATGTCAGCAATAAGTACTTAAATGATCTACAACTTTTGAAAAGTGACACTTTATTTTTCTTGTTCCCCAGTCATGCAGTTCCCCTCTTCAGAGGCAACCATGACCAGTTTCTTCTGTATCCTTCCAGAGATATGGTTGGCATTTTCAAATAATCACATATGTAATTCTTCTCCCTTATTTCAACTTAAATAATGGTATTCTACATCTTACTTTTTTTACTTCTGAAAATATACCTTTTTTCTTTTTTTTTGAGGCAGGATCTAGCTCTGTCATCCATGCTGGAGGGTAGTGGTGTGAACACAGCTCACTGTAGCCTCAACTTCCTGGGGTCAAGTGATCCTCCCACCTCAGCCTCCAGAGTAGCTTGGACTACAGGCACATGCCACCATGCTGGCTAATTTTTAATTTTTTTGTAGAGACAGGCTGTCACTATGTTGTCCAGGCTGGTCTCAAACTAGGCTCAGGGGATCCTCCCACCTCAGCCTCCCAAAGTGCTGGGATTACAGGTGTGAGCCACTGTGCCTGGCCTATGTTAATTTCTGCTGCACATTAGAACATAAGGAGCCTCCTTAATTGTAGTTTGTTGGTTTAAACAGCTCTTTTGCATTCCATTCCATTATATGGAGTGCCATAATTTATTCAACCTGCCTACTCCTGATTGACTTTTAAGGTACTTCTGCCACTTTGCTACTTTATATTATAATGTAATTAATGAATAGTCTTAACTTTATCACTTTATAAATGTGTGGATATAAATGTGGGTTGTGTGTGTATGTGTGTGTATAGTTGGTTAGGTTTAAAAGTATGCACATTTTAAATGTAGTAGTTATTATTAAGTTGCTTCTATATGGGCATTGATTACATTTCAATCAGTGATATACAAGAATGTACCGATATACTACATTATTACACTTTTTATTTTTACAAATTTGACCTTTGGGAAAAAGTAGCTCAGTAAAGTTTGAATGAGTGTTTCCTTCACCTCAAGAGAGTCTGAACATCTTTTCATGTGTTAGAAAGCTACCTGTATTTCCCTTTCTGTGAACTGTCTGGTAGCACCTTTTAGCCATTTTTCTGCTGACTTGTTTTTTTTCCTGTTCATTTCTAGGATATTCTTATATATGAAAAAAATTAGCCTTTTGTCAATGATAGGAATTACAAATATTTTCCAATTAATCATTGTTTTTATGCAGTCAAGTTTTTTTCCTTTTTTTCCAGCTTTATGGAGATATTATTGACAAATAGAAAAATGTAATATTTAAGGTGTGCCATGTGGTGATTTGACATAAGTATGCCTGTGTAATGACTCCCACAATCAAGCTAACTAACATATTTATCACCTCACATAGTTACTTTTTTTATGAGTGTGATGAGAGCACTCTCCTTGTGTGAAGATCTACTCTCTCAGCAAATTTGAAGTATACGATACAGTATTAACTGTAGTCACTGTGCTGTACATTAGATGTCTGGAATGTAGTCACTCTATAAGCAAACATTCGTACCCTTTGACCAACATCTCCCAATTTTCAGTCAAGTTTAGCAGTTCTTTGTTGCATGATTTCTAGATTTTGAGTCACATTTGAAAAAGCTTTCTTCTTTTCCCCAGAAACCCATTGCTTGCTAAAAAAAAAAAAAAAAAGCCTTCTTATCTAGAGATCCAATGAGCAACAGGAGGACTCTAATTATAATATTATACTGTATACTGGAAACTTGCTAACAAACGAGATTTTAGGTGCTCTTACACACACACACACACACACACACACACACACACACACACAGAGAACTTGTGAAATAATGGCTATGCTAATTTGCTTGACTATAATAACTATTTCACTATGTATATCAAAACATCATGTACATCTTAAGTATATATGATAAAAATTAAAAAATAAAAAGGCCTTTTCCACTATGAATTTTATTTTTGAATTCTTTCACATTTAAAATCTCTCCCTCTTACAGTATTAATTACCTTGCCATTGTGTCTATTGTCATGAAGCTAGTTGCTATGTAAGTGATATGTGTGGACCCACTACGGCTCTTCGAAGTAACAGAAAATTAAATCTCATAACAGAAACATATCAGTGTGCCCAAGAAGGTCACGAAACATTTAAAGTACTACCTAGCAGATTGTTAACTGTGTAAATGTTGTTTTACGTAGTACAAGGTCTCCATTAGTTACTTTAAAAGAGATGTTTATATTACCACTTGAAAAATCTGTTCTGCATAATTTAAAGCTGAATGTAATTACACCTTTCAAAAGTAAACACGTTTGCAAAATCTCAGTGTTTCACATATTGGGTAAAATGATTCCTTTTTTTTTTTTGGAGACAGAGTCTCACTCTGTTGCCCAGGCTGGAGTGCAGTGGCGCAATCTCAGCTCACTGCAACTGCTGCCTCCCAGGTTCAAGTGATTTTCATGTCTCAGCCACCCGAGTAGCTGGGATTACAGGCGTGCACTACCACATCTGGCTAACTTTTTGTATTTTTAGTAGAGACAGGGTTTCACCATGTTGGCTAGGCTGGTCTTGAACTCTTGGCTTCAAGTGATCCACCCGCCTTGGCCTCCCAAAGTGCTGGGATTACAGGTGAGAGCCACTGCGCCCGGCCAAAATAATTCTTATTCATGTATTTTAGGATGCTTTTCCAAGTGAAGGAGGTCATTTTATAAGTTCAAATAATACAGAAGCTTTTTGGAACTTTTAACTCCACCAGTGTGGGAACGTGGAAAGGATTCCACAGAGGAAAGACAGAAAAGCTCAAAGATTTTGGGGCCAAATTCAGAATGAAAATTATTAATTTTCTCTGGCATTTTGATTACTTTTGCAGAAACGAATTAAGGACTTTGAAGTAATAGCAGATAATTCAACTGAGTGAAACATTTTGGTGTGTGTCCACTGAAGAGTAACCTTGATATCTACTGTGTCTTTCCTTAAAGTGTAGTGTAGGACAGACATGGAGTACGTATGGTAAGGACTTAAATAGGATTTCCACTGAAAGTTCAGTTTAACTACAGAAGTTAACTTAGAGATCATCTTTAGTCAATCTTCTCATTTTGTTGATTAAAACTCAAGAATCAAAAGATCAGATAACATGTAGACAATATTACTAGTGAATATCTTGTAAATGAAATATTTATGGATTCATAGAAGTGCATAAAATACATAAAATAAAAAGAAGAAATAAAAATGATTTAATCCATCATTCTTCCTAAGGGAAGGTAAAATGGGTTACCTTATAAAGAAAACATTTGATTACAGGTGGTGGCCCACGCCTGTAATCCCAACACTTTGGGAGGCAGAGGTGGGTGGATCACTTGAGATCAAGATTTTGAGACCAGCCTGGCCAACATGATGAAACACCATCTCTACCAAGAAATACCGGGTGTGGTGGTGTGCAACTGTAGTTCCAGCTGCTTGGAAAGCAGAGATGGGAGAATTGCTTGAACCCAGGAGGCAGATGCTGCAGTGAGCCGAGATCGTGCCACTGCACTCCAGCCTGGGCAACAGAGTGAGACTCTGTTTCAAAAAAATAAAAATAAATAAAACATTTGAAATAAAATTTCAATATAAAAAAATGTAAAGCCATCTTTGAAAGCTCAACTGAGTTATTTTAGAACAAACAAGAATGATTTTACTAGGTGAAGAGTAAGTACATGGAACGTATTTTTTTCAGAAAGTGCTCTCTGTTAAGTTTCAAAGAGATTAAGTTTACGAAGGATTATAATTTTCAAGAAAACCTAGGGCTTTCTGAGTACATTTTTGAGTTCTGAGTTTGACTTCATGGAAGTCAACCATGGCTTTCCAGATAACATTCTTGTCAGGAGAGTATAAGAGCCTGGTTTAATACAGTATGAGGTTTCCTAATGAAAGTCAGTTTCAATAGAAATAACATTATGTCCTTTCCAGTCATCTAAAACTGCCTTCCAGAGTATTTACCCTTAGAAATGAAAAACAAGTATCGGGAACAGTCAGAGATGCATGGAATTCTTTTGGCCCAGTGTCCAGATTATTAGAAAACCAATAAAGTCAATTGCCCATTTTGACTACTGGAATGGTATCAAGAAGCAAATTCAGGGAAATTCATCTTTGTGGGATTATTAAAAAAATAAAGTTTTGAGAGCCAGGGTGCTGTGGTAAGAACTAAAACTGATGAAAATATTTAAACACAAAAAAGACTGTTTAGAATTTGTCACTAAGTTTCATTATTTATATTGGTTGCTTTTCTTCTTAAAAAGAAAAAAAAAGGAAACTTCTCCACAAGTCATTGGCCCTAGGCTTTAAATTAAAGTGGCCCTTGGAGCTTAGGGGTTTTTAAAAACGCAAGTGAAGATTATTGAGCCACTGATTTCATGACTTGGGTTTTCTCTTTATCATTTGTTTATTAAATGGAGAGCAATGACAATTCAGGAAATTGAGGATAGATTGTGTGCTAAATACGAAAAAGGAAATAAGAGAGCAGAATTCTTCTGGGATGCATTCCTAGTTTTGTGTTTTTTTTTCCTCTCTCTCTCTTTTTTCCAACAGAGTTGAACCAGCTCCTGTGGCATGAGTCGCTTTAAATTCAAATTCTGGATGTTACTAAGCCAGACTTCCTTCTGTGAGAAAGATACTGTATATTTAAATAGACTTTTATATACCTGTTTATATACTTAAAGAAAACATTAAATTTTCTTTCAAAATTTTGTTCTAATGAATTGAAGTCTGCAGTAAATGAAATAGGTCTTCATTTAAAAAATAACTTAAAATTACCTTTTCCCCCTGCTTGCATTCCTGTCCCTGCTACCAAAATACATTAATATTGTATATATTCTATTGTAAATTGTATATTGGATACATACATTCGAAAAGTAATTTGGGAATAACATAATTTCTCTTTCTCCATGTTTGGGAACAAAATAAGAAATTCTAGTCACTATTTCTTAGGGTTGAGCAATGTGAGCTTTGGTAATTGGGTATTCTCTGTTTACTGGCTAGTGCTACTATTGGAATATAAACTCAAATAGCCTATACAGTCAGGAAAATGCTAAGGGAAGAGACAAAGACAGGGGTTCTCTGGTTGCAGTTGTATCTCTCTATCCCTTAGAAAGAAAAGATAAACTCAATTTGGCTGGCTTAACAATACATCCATAATATACTCATTCTTTCCTTCTCCTCCAAGCTAGAGATATAGAGAAGAATAAAAATATGTTTGTTTCGTTTTGTTTTTTCTTCTTGTGTGTTTAATAAAACCATCTCTGAGTTAATGTTGTGTATAATATCTCTTGAAAATCATTTAAATATTTGAGAAGTAGAATGGAGTAAGGACGTTGTATTAGTCTGTTTTCACACAGCTGATAAAGACATACCTGAGACTGGGTAATTTATAAAGGAAACAGGTTTAATGGGATCATAGTTCCACATGGCTGGGGAGGCCTCACAATTATGGCAGAAGGTGAGGGAGGAGCAAAGTCACGTCTTACATGGCAGCAGGCAAGAAGAAAATGAGAACCAAGCAAAAGGGGCTTCCCCTTACAAAACCATCAGATCTCATGAGACTTATTCACTACCACAAGAACAGTATGAGGGAAACTGCCCCCATGATTCAGTGATCTCCCACCAGGTCCCTCCCACAACTCATGGGAATTATGGGAGCTATAATTCAAGATGAGATTTGGGTGGGGACACAGCCAAATCATATCAGACCTTTTTATATTTGTTGATTGAGGACTGAAACCAGAGAGCTATCTTTCACCAGCATTACCTTGGTACAAATTTAAAAAGAGAGAAAAGGAAAAATATAATCCTTGATCTTAATTTGTCTTCCCACAAACTAGAGCAAAATAGTGAGATATTTCTAGGCTGAAACAAATATTCAGAATATAGCTGAATATAGGAAATCATAATATACCTTGAGGATAATTAGACTATTTCTTCTCAAGTTTGGATCTTTCACTTATTTTACTTACTCCCTGTCTCTCTCTGTAGTCTTTGGAGTGATATTTGTAAATTGTTCCTTGTCAGCATTTCAAGTCCCTTGGCATGTCGGAGAGACAGGCACATGTGAGTTTTGGACACTGCAAAGGTCACATTTGTGCTTTTTTTTTTTGACTCCTGGCAGTTAGAGAACAGGCCATCAGCTCAGGAATTCAGAGGCTCCTGGACTTGGAGAGACAGACGATGGGGTGGAGTCTGGCTACCTGGGCTTGCGTACCAGCTTCCCCACTTACCAGCTCTATAGCCTCAGGCAAGTACCCAGCCTCTGAGAGCCTCACTATCCCAACCTGTCAAACGGGATAATTACTTTCTTTTCTTTCTTTTTTTTTTTTTTTTTTAGATAGAGTCTTGCTCTGTCGCCCAGGCTGGACTGCAGTGGTGCGATCTCTGCTCACTGAACCTCCGCCTTCCAGGTTCAAGTGATTCTCTCACCTCAGTGTCCTGAGTAGCTGGGATTACAGGAACCTGCCACCACGCCCAGCTAATTTTTGTGTTTTTAGTAGGGACAGGGTTTCACCATGTTGGCCAGGCTGGTCTTGAACTCCTGACCTCAAGAGATCTGCCCACCTTGGCCTCCCAAAGTGCTGGGATTACAGGTGTGAGCCACTGTGCCTGGTCAAGGGACAATTAGCTTCTTCAGAGGGTTATCATGTGATAGAGTTTGGGTGTCCCCTCCAACTCTCATGTTGAGATGTAATTCCTAGTGTTGGAGGTGGGGCCTGGTGGGAGATGTTTGGGTCATAGGGGTGGATCTCTCATGGCTTGGTGCTGCCCTCACGATACTGAGTGAGTTCTCGCGAGATATGGTTGTTTAGAAGTGTGTTGCAGCCCCACCCCCCACCACTCTCTCTCTTGCTTCTGCTCTGGCCATATGATGTGCCTCCTCCCACTTCACGTTCCACCCTGAGTAGACGTTCCCTGAGCCCTCCCTGCAAGTGGAGTAGATGCAGATGCCATGCTTGTACAGCCTGCAGAACCCTGAGCCAACTGAACCTCTTTTCTTTATAAATTACCCAGTCGCAGGTATTCCTTTATAGCAATGCAAGAACACCCTAACGCATCATAAGTATGAACTGAGATAAAGGTAGCTTGCTTAGAACTGGGCTTCATAGGCAGTATGCTCACAGTAGGTGTGAACTCTTAGTGCTGAGGCAGGCAACGCCACAAAAGAAGGACACTTCAAAATTCATCCAGATCTTGGCAATGTCTTGTACCTGATATCTGGTGGTGACTTTGCACCCAAGCAGTTCCTTGTATGTGATCCTGGTTGTGAAAACCTTGGGTTTTGTGTTGTTTTCCAAATGTAGTCCTTCAGCCTTCCAGTTAGTTTTGTGAGCTACTCAGTAACTTTCCAGAACATTCTCTTTCTGCTTTATGCTTGCCTCTATCCATCCAGATGTGTACAATGTGTGACAATCAAATAAATGCCTGACTATTGTGTCAGACTGTTTTATTTCATGTATATATCAGCCTTTTCCTGATAAAAAGCGAGTTAGCTTCTCAACAACAAAGACTCTATCTTACCTTTTGTTTGTATCAGCCATAGAACCTTGGACTGTACTAGGCCCCAAGCCAGCACTGTGCCATGGTCTCCTAGCACCTGGGCTGGCACAGAGGAAGCCCAAGGGCATATCTAAAGACATGTTGGATGAAGAATGAATAAAGTATTCACTGGATATTACCTGACTCAGAGCTGAGACTGCTGAGCTATTGTATCAGCCTTATACCATCCTACCTTGTAACAGACTTCTGGTTAGGTGAGATAGAAATTCCTATATTACTTGTTATTTTTGATTGGGTATTCGGTAATTGTAGCCAACACATCCCGACATTAAGGTGAAACATTGTTTCCCTAGACTCTAACCTTTCTTTCTTGTTATCCATTTACTGCCAAAGAAGTACTTCTTTCCATTTTTTTTTTTTTTGAGAAGGGATATATTCACTGAGTGTGCTCTACAATGTTATCTTGGAAACAAATATTAACTTGCAAAGATTTTGTGTCATTCATCAAAATGAACTCCATCTCCTTTAATTCAGGAGAATCTCTTTTCTGTGTGATGGGCAAACATCACAACACATGGAATAAACGTAGATGAAAAACAAGATGGAGGCAAATGCTTTTATTTTGGAATAGAACCTTTTATAATGATTTTGCATTAGGTTTTGCACTAGTTAATTATCCCATTCATTAAGGGCTAATAAAGTGATTTAAATTATACATTGTCAGAAAGTGAAAATAAATGAAAAAAAATTTTTCTATTTAATTCTGAACTGCCTCAATGGCCTGTTTTTACAGAGGTACTTTAGCTTGAAATAACGGCTTGAATCAACACAGAAGAAGAAATTTGAGCGTGCACAGAAAATCCTTGGAAAGAGTTCTCTCAGAGCTTTTATCTGACCACCAACCTGAAATACTGATCACAAGACAGATCATCTCTCCATGTTGTCTCTCTTCAAGGGGTGTTAAACCGCAGCGCAGCCAGGTTGGAAAAAATTCAGATTTTAATAATATCCAGCTTTAGATGCCATCAGCAAGATGACATTTCCTGGAAAGAACTATGTTATTAAAGTATTATTATTTGGAGTGATTTGCTTGATATGATCAACAAAGAAAAAGTAAATTATCCAAATGGGACTTCTGGCAAGGAACTGCATTCTCATTAAAGGGGAAGTATTAGTGGGCCAGACAATTCAGACACATTTGAATAAACACTAAAGACGAACTTTTTTTTTTTTTTTTTGAGACAAATTCTTGCTCTGTTGCCCAGGCTGGAGTACAGTGGTGCGATCTTGGCTCACTGCGACCTCTGCCTCCTGGGTTTAAGCGATTCTTCTTCCTTAGCCTCCCCGGTAGCTGGGATTACAGGCAAGTGCCACCACACCCAGCTAATTTTTGTATTTTTAGTAGAGACAGGGTTCCACCATGTTGGCCAGGCTTGTCTTGAACTCTTGACCTCAAGTGATCCACCTGCCTCGGCCTCCCGAAGTGCTGGAATTACAGGTGTGAGCCACTGTGCCTGGCCAGAAGATGAACTTAATGTTAGAGAAGAGGAACTGTTCATGGAGACCAAAATAATTTGTAAGGCCAGTAATTCTGGTTTCGCCCACTTAGAAAGAATCAAACCAGGCTGACCTTTGCCAAACTTCTTGGCAGCCTTAGCTAGGGTTTATATTTAAGGAGAATTTAAAAGTCAAAAGAACAGAGTGTATACGATGTCATGTGCTTTATCATCGCCGTCTTTTAGATACTCAGACATAATGGCATAAAATCTGGAGCTCTGGCATTTCAGAAAAATACCAGAAAGTGTGTGTGTTTGTGGTGGAAGGGAAGGCAGACAATTTCAAATTCATTACCAGGGTGTCATCGAGCTTCAAATATACTAAGTTAGAGCTGATAGGCTTTGAATATATTACCAAATCTCATTTTGCCAACGAGAAGAATACAATACAAAAACTTTAACAATGACATTGTTGGGTTAGTTATAAAAGAGGCTATAGATAATTAAACAAAATGTATTCATTTTCATTTTTATAGTTTGGACAATTACTTTTGAAAAATATATAGATGAAAAAACAAGGAAAATTTAAGTTAGGTAAATGAAGTTCTGATACAGTTTCTTGACAAATTCCTGCCAATTGCTCTTGTATTAAATGCCAATATTATTTCCTTAATTATTGTATAAACACAAGATTTCTAAGTCTTAGATGTTCAATGATCTAACTCCAGTAGTATTTGATCCAAATTATAAGTGAAAGACATTAAACCATTTAGAATTACTTGAAGTAGGGTATGAACAGTATTATTGAATAATTATGAAAGTACTGAGATATAACTATTATTTTTTCCTAAAAAAATTATTTTTAGTGGATAAAATAAGATACACTTTATAATCTAATTTAAAAAATACTGATGAATTATATGGCTACTCATCTTCCAGGTTTTTTTATTTTATTTTTTTATCTTTTTTTTTAAATTTTTTTGAGATGGAGTCTCGCTCTGTTGGCCAGGGTGGAGTGCAGTGGCATGATCTTGGCTCACTGCAAGATCCGCCTCCTGGGTTCAAGCAATTATTCTCCTGTCTCAGCCTCCCGAGGAGCTGAGACTATGGGCGCACACCACCACGCCCAGCTAAATTTTTGTATTTTTAATAGAGATGGGGTTTTACCATGTTGGTCAGGCTGGTCTTGAACTCCTGACCTCAGGTGATCCACCTGCCTCAGCCTCCCAAAGTGCTGGTATTAGAGGCGTGAGCCATTGCGCCTGGCCTATCTTCCAGGTTTTATACTAAAAAAATGAACGTCTTGAATTATATTCTTCATCTGCAAAAAAGTGGTAGTTTCACTCAGGAACTTGCTCAAAAAATTAAACTTTATGCCAAAATGCCCCCAAATCTAGCCGAGGAGATGGATCCAAGAGTCACATTTTAACAGAAGGGGTGTGTTATGAATTTACCAATTGGCTATAGGCTGCAGGTGGTGATGGTTGAGTACATGTGAGGTGCAAAGAACCTTTGGCCAATCTTCGAAGTTTCTTTCAAATTTGTGGTGAATAGATTCCAGTGGATTATCAGAAGACAGTCTTTCCTACACTTCTGTGTAAAATTCTTTTTAGAGCAGTCCAAGACACTAAGAAAATTGAATTATGTTTACAGATGTCAACCTCCCTCTGCCTCTCTCTCTTTTTCTCTCTCCCCGGCTCCCTGCCCTGCCTTCCTCTGTCATATTCCCTTCATCCCCCTACACAGGATGGAGTGCCAGGTGATCCTAATTCAGAGTCTCTTTTTTAGCCCTTGGCACAAAACTCTCTGCACCTGGGTTCATTTTTCTTTTAAACAATAACCTACACATAGTCCAGAGTCTTTGACTAATATTTGTTGAGTTGAAATATAAAAACAAATTGTTAAAAATGGGATCTGAGCCTTTAGGGCTGATTCGTTTGCATTTGTTAATGCTGTTTGCAGCGAGTCTTGGCTCTGCTATCGTTAGGTGAGGAGCAGCCTGTCCAGGTTTCAGTAACTGTGGTTGTAGTCCAAGACTGGAGCTCCCGGAAAATCAAAGGGCAGCATGGAAAAGAGAGGTCTGGGAGTTCTTTTTTGCCTGGTTGTTTCGCTTTTGACTGGAACAATGTGTTCTTTCCATAGATGGAAAAAGATTCTGAATTTCAGAATTCACTTGGGGAGTTTTTTAACACCTGCATTAGGAAACATTTATGCATACTCAAGAATTTCCACATTCTTCTGCATTTCTTCACCTCCTATATAAAATATGGTCTCCCACTGGGGCTTTCCCCTGCTCGCTGTGCTGAACTCAAAGCTCAGTTGTTACCTTTATAATGGAATCCTGGGAAAGTTTCCCTTTTCATGAGTGAGGCTCCACCTAGAAGGCGAAAGAATTCACCAAAGCTAGAAGCTGGATGTCGCCATCTAAACTTCTGTGACCATATTTCATTGATTTGGAGGCACACACTTTTTCAAATTATTATTTCCAAAGCTGGGATGTGTGTTTCAATTGGTGGCATCTTACGTTCTATAAAATACAGTATAACAGCCAACAATTTCTGTTAACAGCGATAATTTCATCTCTTTGGAGGTTTCCAAAATCACATTGAGATCCACAGCTATGGAACTCTAAAACGCCTCTCAGTAGCTGTCTTTGTCCTATATACTTAGAGCCCTGTGAATCACTATATGGCTTTCAATCCTCTTAAGATCCTATGACTTGGCTGGGTGCGGTGGCTCACTCCTGTAATCCCAGCACTTTGGGAGGCTGAGGCGAGCAGATCACAAGGTCAGGAGTTCGAGACCAGCCTGACCAACATAGTGAAACCCCATCTCTACTAAAAATACAAAAATTTAGCTGGGCGTGGTGGTGTGCGCCTGTAATTCCAGCTACTCGGGAGGCTGAGGCAGGAGAATCGCTTGAACCTGGGAGGCAGAGGTTGCAGTGAGCCGAGATCGCCTCACTGCACTCTAGCCTGGGTGACAGAGAGAGACTCCATCTCAAAAAAAAAAAAATATTCCTGCAACTTTGGTTAGGATGGTGGTGTATCATTTGAATCAATGAAAGCTGGTTTTTATTTTGTTGTTTGTTTATTTTTGAAGACTAGTTCCTCATTCTTTGCCTGTTACACACAAAACCCACACAAAATAATTATGGTTAATACTTACTTAGTGTGGACTATATAGCAGGCAGTGTTCTAAATATTTGAAATATATTGTTACTGACTCTGCGCAACAACATGAGAAAGTTCCAATTATTATCTCTGTTGAACAGATGCTGAAATGGAAACCTAGAGAGATTAAGTAATCATGTTTAATAATAAGTATTGGAGCAGGGGTTTCAGGCCAAGCAGCCTGGCTCAAGGGCCCATCCTCTTATCATGCATTTATGACAATGTAATTGATAAGCACATAGGCTACAAGGAGACAAACCTCAAGCTAATACCGCCAAGAGCGATTACAGTTGTATTATTATCATGTTATTTGATTTAGTTCTGAGCTCTGAACTTCAGGGATACAATGAAAACTCAATAGAGTTTACTGTCCAGCTGAAAAAAAACCAATATAGAGATGCTCAGAGATAGACAACTGGGCCAGGATGTGAAAGGCAGGATATAGCGGCCATCTTTGTTTTAACTTCTCTATGCTTGAGTATTTTTGTAAATTACCTCACATGTGTCATTGCCTTAACTATCCAACCCTATCATTCCGTTTTCCTCAGACTTGTCTGAAAATAGGTGTTGGCTGTTTTTGAAGGTCGAGGCCAACCTCAAAGAGTAAGGATTTTTCACCACTGAAAAATTTCAAAAGAATATGCTGTGGTCTGTGAAGGTAATTCTAAAAGAAGCTCTCCTACATTTTTAAACAATGGAAAGCTCACTGGAAAAAGCGGATGTTCTCCGGGACTGACCTCTTTAAATGGAGACATGCTCTTTAGATGCTCTAGTCATGGATATTTATTTTTAAATATGGTGTGTTTTATGGTTAGAGTTCATAGATTACTTAAAACAGGATTAACCTCTTAATACATTGCAGAGATGATTAAACTACATGCCTATCCTTTGCTTGCATTCTTCAAGAAAAGTGATGCAATATATTTTCCTTTTGGTTTTGAATCCACAGTTGGTAAGGATATCATTTGGTTTTCTATCCTAAAAGTCTATTTGTATGTCATTATTCTAGATCAAGATTGTGCTATAGAATAGATTCTCCTGACAAAAGGAAAATTCCAACTTATCCCATGAATAAAAAATAGATTCTATTTGAATAATCGAACAACATGCCAATATTTTCCCTTTATTTCTCATTTTACTTTATTAATCTATTGATCTATCAACTAGACTCCCAAAAGGTCAATTAAAATGTCAATATATTTTTGTGTAGTATTGTCATTATTATTTCTTTCTTTCTTTTTTTTTTTTCTCGAGACAAAGTCTCACTCTGTCCCCCAAGCTGGAGTGCAGTGGCATGATCTCAGCTCACTGCAACCTCTGCCTCTTGGGTTCAAGTGATTCTCCTGCCTCAGCTTCCTGAGTAGCTGAGAATACAGACATGTACCACCACGCCCGGCTAATTTTTGTATTTTAAAATTTTGTAATTTTTTGTATTCTAAAATTTTGTAATTTTAGTAGAGATGGGGTTTTGCCATGTTGGCCAGGCTGGTCTTGAACTCCTGACCTCAGGTGATCCGCTCGCTTCGGCCTCCCAAAGTGCTGGGATTACAGGCATGAGCCACCACACCCGTCTGTCATTATTATTTTATACAAATGTTAATCTTGCCCTCCAGGTGCATTCAGAGAGGCAAAGTATTCTTTTGGTACCCAGTAAGGCTCCACTCTTTCCTGTGGGCCACAGTACAGGATTATGGAGATGGAGTTGTGTTGGAATTGACGGTGGCTAGTTGAAGACTGGACTGTGGCCCAAGCTCCTTTCTTCCTATTCCGTAAACCTATATGTTACTCCTACATGTTAAGTGGGTATTCTGGGTTCCAAAAAAATTATGTAAAAGTCACAAAAACATTTTTAAACATTCAACAATCAGCCATTTTGATTCTTGAATTGGGCATTATTTCCAATCAAGTAAATTTTGGCAAAAATTTTTTTAGTTGTGAAATGTTTATTAAATACCCACTATGTAGGCCAGGCATAATAATTGCATTTTATCCTTATTTCTCTGCCTTTGGAGCTTGGATGTTGCTGTGAATCTGAAGAACATTTTAGATTTCCTCACACGTGAACTGGAGGCTAAGGTGGGATGGATAGTGAGCTATTTTTTTTCCATATTAATTTTTAAGTTTTAAAGAATTTAAGTTTTAATCAACTATAACTTTATATGAAAATGCTCCTCATTAGGGTAACCAAAAGCCCAGCTGTTTTAGGCCTGAAGAGAGTGATTTACTTATCTCATGTAAGTGATTTATTGAGAGAGAAGCCTCTACCGAAGTGAGGAAACAGCAAGAGAAGAAGCAAAGACGCGGCTTTTGCGGAAGCCCAAGGGTGGCTCTGCAACGTGCGGGGCGCCCCATACGTGGCCCCCATCCAGCAGGGGGGTTGTGCTCTGCAGCTCCGCCAGGGCCTTGCCGGAGGCACATCACCTCCTGGAGGCAGCAACCTCCCAGGAGCTGAGCACGGTTCTTCCGAGAAGGAGGCAGCTGTGAGCCACCAGCAGCCGCCACTCACCACAGCAGTGGGGTGGAGGCACTGCCTGGTGAAGGAACTGGGCAAGACGCCAACAGTGTCCACAACAGGCTCCAAGGAAGCCGGAGAGGGAGCAATCAGCAGTGATCTCAAAGAAATGAGAAACTGCCATTTGGCTGCCTGTTGACTTCTGGAATTATCCAGTTTAGGTAATAAAGAGACGTTGTTTATTGATTGGGAAAAGTGAATCTGCACATAACTGTGTTTAAAAATCAAGAAGCAAAGGGGACTTGAATACTCTTACCATAGACTTTTGAGAAGTTGAAGTTTATTGCTAATTTAGTAAACCTGAGATCAAGTTGTCCATCTTCTCCTAAACTGCTTTTGGTACCTTTCTGGGGGAAGTGGAGTCTAGTTGAAGATAAAAAAAAAATTCCCAGCAACCAATATCTGTTTTATTAGCAACTGAAAGGAAAATTTTTTTTTCTTTTTAAAAAGTAATGATTTGATTTATTTGATAAAATACCAGAACAACTGCATGCTCATTGGTATCATTCAGAGTTCTAAGAGGTAAAGAAAGACAATCATTTCATCTCTACACACCCTCCTGAGGTTACCACCATTAAGGGTTTAGTATTATTTTACCCATTTCACAATGTGAATATAAACACAGAAAACATACAACATTCTTAGGGCTTCCTTTTCTATTTTTTAATAAAAGAGAGTACTTTTTTTTTTTTAAAGTAGATATATGACATGGTCTGACCCAGGGTTCAGTGAGCAGGCTTTGTGCTTACTCTGCTTTCAAATGATTAAAAATAAAATTCCATGCGTAGGGACACAGAGGTAAGGGTCATAGGATATCACATCTGGTCAAGAGGAAACGTGGCCCTCGGTCAGGGGAAGAGGACTGAAACAGCGGCACTGTGAGGTTGATGCCCTTGACCACAAGATCAGTCTTTAGGGTTTTGAACTACTTAAGATCCTGACTATTTTGAAGTCACTTTGGCAGTGAGCTGACATGTTTTATTTTTATGTTTTGGACCATATCTTTGGCAGGCTATCTGTTGTTCTTCCCTATGACTCTATGCAGAGGCAGCATCAACATTTCCCTTCTTGAAAACAAGCTGGTGTTTTACTTTAGTAGACACTACCCTGAATCCCTGAGTCAAGGAACTGTTTAGAACTGAAAGGGGACCATGCAGATATGGCCACCCCACTCTAGGCCAGTGAGTGTGAGACACGTGCCCTTGTCCACGCAGCACGTCGTTTTGAGGTTCTGATAGCTTGTCCAACCTCCTGGCACTTCACTGGCCCCACTTGTGTTTTACTATTTTACTGATGAGGAAATAGAGGCTCAGAAGTTTGCATAACTCTCCCGAGGTCACACAGTTAGACCGTGGGATGCTCTTGAGTCTGGGTTTGTTTAACTCCAGATGCCATGTGTCTTTCACTGCATCATATCCACCCATAATCCTGTGCCCGGATGTTTTACCAAATGGTGGAAATGACACATCTATCCACATGAAACAACTCTATCCAGATATTGAGTTGAGAGAAACAAAGTGAGTCAAGATTGAAGTGGATATGATTAAAAGAAGGTAGGATTGCAAGCCACTCGATTTGAATTCCAGGGCAGCTATGTGGTCCTAGACAAGTCACCTAACTTCACTGGCCTCAGTCCCTCATTTGGTAATTAAGGGTGTGAGCAATAGAGTAGAAGTTCCAGTGCTAACATTTCTGATTCTGGTTGAGGAAGCTGGAAGGAAAGCCATATGAACTTGGTCTTAAAGGGAGAAGTGAAGGAATGGCTGACGGACAGTCCGGATTGAGGGAGTAAAGTAAGCAAAGGCTCAGAGATGAGTTCAGACACACTATATTCCTGGGACTGTGATAGATCTCATAGCATTTGTTCACAAAGTAAGTTAGTGTGCTTGGATAAAGGGCTAGACCTATGCCAAGTAGGAAGTATTTGGAGACACCTACATACCCCACTCATTGTTGTGGATCTCATATCTATTCCCCACCCTGCCACCCCACCATAAAAGCTTTCTTATTATCCACTCTGAGAAGGTGAATTGGAAGTTTAATAATTCTTAAGAGAAGCTTTTTCTTATTGACAAGGAAAAAGATCTAATGTGGACTAGGGATTTGGGAAACTTGTGCACATGTGCTGAGTCAGGAGGTTTGAGCTTATCTCTCCTACTATCTGGTTGGGTGTCAATTCCATTGAAGCAATAATTATGAAGGGCTGATTACACATATGACGTTATGGCTAAAAGCAGCCCACAGCCTAATGAGTCATGAGCTAAAGGACTGTGAAACTCCTAAGAGCTGTGAGCAGGAGCTATGGGAAGTGAGTGGCTAAACCAGGCCAGAGGCACCGGAGAAGACTTCCCATAGCAAGCGTCATTTGAACTGTACCTTGAAAGAAGGAAAGAGGAAGGAGGGAAAAACAAACCAGATGAAGGGAAGAGCATGAGGAAAAGCACAAAAGCATGACGTGCACAAGGTGATCAGGAAATGACAAGCCCTCTCTGACACTGCAGGATCCGCCACATGGAGGGTTGGAGAAGGCACGTCGTTGAACATGGGCTAAGGTCTCATCCTGGCTCTTCATGTTCTGAGCAAATGTTTCTGAACTGTTAAGGCACGTGAATGGCCACACCATGTCCTGTGGCGTAGCGTGGGATTCTGCAATTGTACCCAGATTGTCGTCACATTATGGTTGCAGGACAGAAAAAATGGAATAAGGCATCTGACTGAAATCAAATGGCAAACTGAGCAGGTTTATTGAGGTTAATGGGCTAAAACACAGAAGGGTGTGGAACCAAGTAGGGAAAGAACTAAAATGTGGTTTTCGTAAACACTTTGGAATAAAATTGTATTGTACAAATAAATTCAGATCCAGTCAGAATCATCAGAGATGATTCAGTAGTTCAGGAAATAAAAAAATCGATTTTTATTATGTTGTTCTATGTTGAAACCTTGTTAATTGGTCTTTAAATTAAAACTAATTAAATGGACACACCCTACTTCAAAAAAGGCACAGTTAAGTGATGGGTGTTTCTTAAAGTGGGTTTAGTACTATTGTTCTTGGACTGGAGGGTGAGGGGTGCCCCCTTATGAAAATAATTTCAATACATACTTAAAAGGTGATTCATTGTTTAAGAGTAGAAGTTTGCACATTTATATTTTTCATCTGAGGGCTCGGAAAATTATGTATTATATGTATCTAGGTTGGTGCTCATTCATTCATCAACCATTTATACCAAGTCCTTACTATCCTTGGTACTTTGCTGGTAGGAGGAAGAAAATTTCTGGGTAGAATACCATGGGGTTGCTTAAGAATCTCAATAAGAAGACCAAACAACCAAGCCGCAGTTTAAAAGTATTATGTAAGCATACGCAAATTTTAATTTTATTAAATATTTACATATGTAAATATTGGAGAAGCTGGGGCAAAAAATCGCACAGTTCCCCGAAATAAAACTCTGAGAGCTATTTTTAGCTCTTCTTTCTTCCTTCATCTGCTCCCAAACCACCCCATCCAACCCCACACTAATTCAATCTGTCACCAGTTCCTACCAAGGTTACCTCTGAAGTGTAATTGATTGGTTATTTTTTCTTCTCTTCTATCTCTGCTTTGGGCCTATTGTCTAACGGGAATTTGGTTACCTGATGAGACATATAAAGCCATTAATCTCCTTATTTGTAGACATTTCTGGGTTTGCATAAAATAGCATTGCTCAGCACAGTTTTACCCACTTTGTTCATCAAAGTATGTACCAAATGGCTTTTGGTCTTTTTCAGTCATATATCCAGATCAATGGTTCTCAAAGTGTTCCCAACATCCCTGGCATCCTTGAAACCTTTTCAGGGGGTCTGTGATGTGAAAATATTTTCATAGTAATAGTAAAACGTTATTTTCCTTGTTTACCTTCATTCTTTAAGAAGTAGAAAGTGGAGTGTTTTAGAAGCTACAGGACATGGGATGTCCTATCTCTGATGGCTAATGGAAAGTGTCCTTAGGCATTCTTGTGTTTTAAATTTGTCTCAAGTTATACTTATAATGTATTAAAAATAGATATAACCCACAACAGTGAAAACTCTCCGGGTTCCCAGTAGTTTTTAAGAGTGTAAAGGGCTCGTGAGAGAAACTGTTAGGATCGTGGGCCTACGTGAATGCCTTCCATAACTGGGCTTCCTTCTTCTCATGCTTCTCTGATCTCACCTTTATTCTGATCATCCTCTACGTGTCATCCACACTGACAACAGAGTCATCTTCCTGAATCTCAGGTCTGGTAGTTGCTATGAGTTTAGAAACTTCCAACAGCTTCATGTTTTTTGTGGTTTTTTTTTTGTTTTTTTTTTTTTTTCCCCACAGAATGATGCCTTAGATCAGCACTGAGATGCTGTCACAGTCTGGCCTAAACCTTCTTTTTTTCCAGTTTCAACTTTCACTACACATCATCTACACTATCCCCTAGACATATGCAGCTGAGGTTGGCCAAAGATAGCAATTCAATGAGTATCCTTTCTTATACCTTCCCAGTTAAGATGAAAAATTCCAGAATCTATAGTCCCAAAGTATAGTGTTTACACCTTTATTTGTCACTTACTATAGTTTGACTAGTGTGATAACTGTGTAGCTCTTCTTCCACCCCTTGAATGTGAGTTCCTTAGGGACAGGACCTTGTCTTTTTATTCTTGCAATACCTCAGACCTAGACAGTGCTAGGCTTATTACATTTAATAAAAACAACTTTATTGAATACATGGTTGAACAAATTATTGCGATAACCAGATTCTATTGTCTACATATGTAAGCATTTTGTAATAGGTATGAATTTAGTTATACAATATTAAGACTGATTTTTGAACCTGTTTTCCTGGTGAGACATATAAGACCATTCATCTCCTTAGCGGTAGACATTTCTGGACTTGTATAAAATAGCATTGCTCAGTGCATTTTTACCCACTTTGTTCATCAAAGTAGGTACTAAATGACTTTGATCTTTTTCAGTCACATATCCAGCCTCAAAGCATTGAGATTTGCCAGCACTGAGATTATGAAAAGGAATATGTCTTATGACTTTGGACTTAATTACAGTTCTGTTCTATCCCATTCAATTCAACAGGCACTTATTGAGCTAGCAGCTCTGTAGGCAGCTCTGCGGATATGGAGACGAATGATACAAGACTCCTGCCTTTGAGAAGCTCACAGGCTAATCTAGAGAACAACGAGATAAACACGTAGACACAGCTCATCATGATAAGGGTAAAAATAGGGAACAAATGCAGGACCAAAAAATGATGAATTCTCTCTCAGGGAGGTGGTGATATGACGGTAAGAAAAGGGTTTTCAGGGAACGTGTCTCTGAAGATAGGATTTTATGGAGGAATTGGAATTTCTTAGATGGATGAGGAATGGGAGTAGAAGGGGGAAGGTTTCCAGCAAGAAGACATTTGTCTCGAGGAAAGTGGTTTAGAGGAAACAGTTGGAGGCCTCGATCACGAAGGTCTCATTTTACATGTCTGGATCTGATCCTGTAAGTGCTAAAAAATTTTAAGTGAACAATTCTAAAATTATCTAGAGTAGTAACATCAGGGTTGAATGAAGTGTGTGCCTGCCAGGAGTACTAATTTGGAAGGCTTACACTGATTTGAGTATACGAGCTCTGATATATTTATTTTGAAAATCAGTTTGTTTATTTTTTATTTTCTGTATTTTTAATGGACCATTAATAATTGTGCAGTTACAGCATTTTAGACCACATTTCATACAACAGATATCTTTTTAAAAGCTAATTTCTTACTTATGGCTTTCACTTAATTTTACAGATATTTATTGATCATCTACTATGTGTCAGACACCTTTTCTGTGAACTTGGGAAACACCAGTGAACAAAACAGACAAAGATCCCTGCCCCCATGCATCACACATTCTAGTTTTCTTACTCTATAGTCCCTTCTTGAGGGTTTGTGTGAAGAAACTGCCCAGATATTAGGATGGGAAAGATGCTAGTGAAGTTAAAGCATAGTGACTTCTCTTCCCTTTCTTATTAAGAAAACCTTGAAAGGTGCATTTGCAGGTGGATAGGTGAGGAAAAGGACATATTGTGGCAATGGGTTACAATGGGTTACGACAGAAAACCCTTGCTTTTTCTCTTGACCCGTTTACCAGTGATTTAAAAATTGGAAGTCTTTAGGCCGGGCCCAGTAGCTCACACCTGTAATCCCAGTATTTTGGGAGGTCGAGGTGGGCAGATCACTTGAGGTCAGGAGTCCAAGACCAGCCTGGCCAACATGGTGAAACCCCATCTCTACTAGAAAAAAAAAAATTTAGCCGAGTGTGGTGGCACACGCCTGTAGTCCCAGCTACTTGGGAGGCTGAGATGAAAGGATTGCTTGAACCCAGGAGGCAGAGGTTGCAGTGAGTTGAGATCATGGCATTGCACTCTACCCTGGGTGACAGAAGAGAGCACATACCTCCCGCCCCACCTAAAAAAAAGTCTATATTTTTTAGAACAATTTGAGATTCACAGGAAAATTGAGAAGAAAGTACAGAGAATTCCCATTTACCCTCAACTGGTTTTCCCTATTATTAACATCTTACATGAGTATGCATATTTGTCACAGTTAATAAACCAATATCCATTATATTAGCTAAAGTCCATACTTTATTTAGATTTCATAAGTTTTCCCCTGATGTCCTTTTTCTGTCCCAGGTTCCCACATTACACTTAATCGTGCCTCTTAAGCTCCTTTTGGCTGTGACAGTTTCTCAGGCTTTCCTTATTTGGGGGAGTTTTGAGTAGTACTGTTGAAGTATATTGTAGAATGTCCTTCAGTTGAGATTTTCCTCATGTTTTTCTTATGATTGGACTGGGGTTACGGGTTTTTTGGGAGGAAGGCCACAGACGTGGAGTACCATTCTCATCAAATCATATACAGCGTACAGACTACCAAATGACTTAACACTGTCGATGTTGACCTTGATCACCTGGCAGAGGGGCCGTTGGTCGGGTTTCTCCACTGTGGAGTTACCCCACACCCGCTTTCCATACTCTGCTCTTTGGAAAGAAGTCACTATGGGCAGCCCACATTTAGGTAAAGAGTTTGCTTCACCTCCTCGATAGTATCTACATAAATTACTTTGAATTCATTTGCATAGGAGATTTGTCTCTTCTCCTTCATTTGTTTATTTATCACTGGTGACTTTTTACTGTTTCCATGAATCAAGTACTCAAAAGACATATTCACTGAGGGCTTACTATAAGAAGGCATTAGTAGTACATTGTTACTGAGCAATATTTTGTTTTATTTTTTTCAGAGACAGTTCACTTAAAAATGAAGAACTTGGATTTCTTGTCCCACCTCTGACACTACGAGGAGGCTTCAGACAATTAATTTCACGCCCAAGCCTCAGTTTCCTCTTCTGGAAAATTAGATGATGGAAAGGAATGAATTCTGACATTTTTTCCAGCATTGAAATTGTAGGGTTATATAATATATTCATAGAATAGGCTTCAAATAGTCTACAAAAGGAAATTATTAATATCTGTAGTGGGCAGGCCCAACTCAGTGAAATCTGTGTTTCAAATCTTCCTTCTCATTGCCTCAGGAAATGTATATTTTGTCTGCCATATTATTTTCTTATGACTCAGAGTTAAAATATATATACCCAATGAAAATATCAAGTGGATGAAGTTAACCTTGTTAGTAGCATATAATATTTTATGACAAAGAAAAAAATGCCAGACCATCTGCAAATGACTGTTTTATGGATTTAATAGAAACCACCACTTATGGAAAAAGCACCATGGAATAAAAACAAAACAAAGGAATTTGAAATCTGTTCTAACACCAAATGGAGGTGGTATGGCCATGACATGTGGGCTCTTCCTCACTGCCATCTCTGTTGGGAAAAAGAAATACGAAAAAGTGAAAAAAGCAGAGGAAACCTGGGGGATGAAAAGCATGGTTTAGACTCGAGAGAAAAACATATAAACATTCATTTCTTGCTTCTTCTGAAGCTCCTCTTTGGCCTAAAGAAAGGAGGCCCCAAGGAGGAGGTCTCAGTGTTGAGTGCCGGTTGGCACTTGGCTTTACTTTACGGAAAAGGCAAAGTAACTTTTTTTCTACTCTTGCCCTTTGCAAACTTCATCAGGCTTTTCTGGGCAGCTGGAGTCTCTCTTTTCACTGATGAATGTCTTTTAATGCATTTCTTGCAAATAGCATTTAGTGGATGTTCTTGCCAGTGGTTTCTGGGAAGATTTACTCTAGTCAACTCAATAGTTGTCAAGGCAAATTATAGTTCAATATAATTCAAAGAACAGAGCGCCATGACAATCCCTGCCTCTACGCCCCCTTTCCATTGCCAGCTGTCCCACCTGGGACAGGTCAGTTACCCTCCCTTGGCTGCGGTTGCCTCTGCGGTAACATTTTTCCTGCCTGTTCTGAAAAGAACGACACAGATGACCTCTTGAGGTCCCTTCCATGCCTGTGTTTCCTGGGGAACAGGTCCAAAGTAGCAAAAGTTGGGACTGAGGTGATGCAGCCAGTGTCAAATTGTCGCAAAGTGCCTGTGACATGCAGAGTGCTTTACTATGCATTATGGAGGAGAGGTAAGTAAAATAGACTCTCCAGGAACTTACACCTTGGTCAAAAATAAACAATAACTCAAAGCAGCCTAGAAGAGGTCTGTGGCAGGAGGACAAGCACTCAGGGAGCTCAGAAAGCCCTTCTGCCCCCTCTCCTGAAGGCCCAGCCTCTCTGCTCTGTCTGGAAGGGGATTGGAAGCCAAGGAAGGATGGGGGAGAAGGCAAGGAAGGAGATGGAGCTGGGAGGAGCACTGAAGGGTGCATATTTTCCATCTAGCAACGATTGTGGGGGCCCAGAAAAGTGACTCCAACCCCCTACACCAGGGTAGAAACTGGAGGTCAGGCTTTTCTCAGCCTTGTTTTTGGCTCAGAACTGAAGTTGCAGGAGGAAGGCTGAAGACAAGGGGCTGCCGCCATCAGACGAGGGAAAGTCCCTGCACGTCAGGCTTTGTCATGATCACTAGCCTCTCCCAGACACAGCCAGCAAATGGGTGGTTCCCCAACATGTGGGCATGAGAAGAAAAGACCTTCTGTGCTGATGTGGACCAAATTCCCCCACGAGTCTGCGTGGGAGGTGGGCGGGTGTGAATGACAGAGAGAAAAGAGGATGTCACCGCTGGGGGCTGTGAGGCAGGGTGCACGTCCTTTCTAGGTGGAGTAGGAGGTGAGGGAAAGGAGGAGGACTCCAACACTAAGGCATCCACTCAGGGCTGGGTGATTCCCATGACAACGAATACGTGTGTAATTCTCATGAGATAACAACAAATACAAGTAATTCTCATGAGATAACATTTCCATTGGATTGATGAAGAAACATGAGGTTCTGGGGCCCTAGATAATTTAGTTCCCAGAGTTAATGGCAAAACCAGGAATTAAAACAAGATCAGTCCAAATCCACAGCCCAAGCCTTTTCTACTGCTCTCCACTGCCTTGTATGATGACCGCCTCCACGTTGTTTGAGGGATGTGTCAGCCGTCTCACGCATGAGGGAAGGGGTGGTGCATTTCTCCCATCTATCCACCTGATGTACAGTTGGAAATTCCATTATGTGGCATTCATTTTTAAGGGGTGGTAGAAATAATCTCTCTTTAACTAGCCCCCTTTTTAACGTGCAAAGGCCGCCCCCGCCTCCAACTTTTCCTGCCTCCAGCTGATGCAGAAGTTGTACTTGCAATCTCTGCTTTCCCTCTCACCCAGTCCCCTGCAATCTTCCTTTCTATCTGGACCTGGCAAAAATGGTTTCTGAATAGTAAGGTGGCAAGAAGGGCCACCTGCCCTCAATGAGGTGGTGACCAGAGACTAAACCATCGACATTCACAAGCTCATTCGCAGAGTGGGCTTCAAGAAACAGACCCCTTGGGGCACTCAAAGAGGGCCAGAAATTTGTCCTGAAGGAGAGGGGAACTCCCATTACACACATTCATACTAAGCTCAGCAAAGCTTTCCGGGCCAAAGGAATGAGGAATGTCCCATGCCATGTGTGGTTCAGAAATGAGCCAAACAAGGTCTGTACATTGGTTACCTATGCACCTGTTGCCACTTTCAGAAATCTACAGTCAATGTGAATAAGAACTAAGTGCTGATTGTCAAATAAGTTATACAACTTCAAAAAAAAAAAAAAAAAAAGAAAGAAAGAAAAGAAAAGAAAAAGAAATGATCCTAAGTGAATGACGCGTCAACGTGATCACTCACTTTGCTGAATGTCAGCTCTTTCCTCCCACCGCTTCCTGGACCCAGTATCAAGAACTGTGATTGTTCTGAGGTTTTGCCTTTCCCACAAGTTAATGGGTTAGACTGTTATAGTTGTGTGGCTAATGGCAGAAAACATGAAATTTCAGGGTGAGGACAAAAGACTGTATTACTCATCGCACAATAAATAGTGTAAGCATCATTATGCTTGTGTGAGTTCCTTTGTCCCCAAGTCCCAGGGTAATGTGCAGGGTCCAGATAGATGCTACACAGATAATGGGTTTGTGTTCAACTGAGCAATAGGGAGGACCCCATGATTTTGTAGCAAGCAGTAAGTAAGAAAAATGCTTTCACTTAGATTGAGACTTTACTTCACTCCTCAAAGTTGCTCACGGAAATACACCCCTCAGAAAGGATTTGGGTAGGGTAGGTGTGGTGGCTTATGCCTGTAATCCCAGCACTTTGGGAGGCTGAGGCAGGCAGATCGCCTGAGGTCGGGAGTTCGAGACCAGCCTGTTTTACCAACATGGTAAAACCCCGTCTCTACTAAAAATACAAAAATTAGCTGGGCTTGCTGGCACACCCCTGTAATTCTAGCTACTCAGGAGGCTGAGGCAGGAGAATTGCATGAACTGGGAAGTCGGAGGTTGCAGTGAGCTGAGATCATGCTACTACACTGCAGCCAGGGCGATAGAGCAAGCGAGACTCCGTCTCAAACAAAACAAAACAAAACAAAACAAAACAGGAAAGATCTGGGTAAAGACAATTTAGGACCTTTCTGTGTTCTTGACTAGATCCTTTTCACTTAGGAAGTGAGGCTTGTTAGGAAGTGAGGCTTCCCATCTTGTTAGTTACTGAGTCTGAGGTGACCCAGTGCCAAATGGGAATTATCACAAGACCTCCAGCTTCAACAAGTGCTCAGTAGGAGGTTAATAGCTACTTTTTTGTTTTTAAAAAGCCATGTTCTTAGTGACTTCCCTTTTCCCGTCTACTGACCATCTGGGAGGGGACAGGGAGGCAGGCGTCCAGGTGGTGGTGGAGTGATGTCCCATTGGCACCTTTCTATATGCTGCCGACTCCGAAAGGGAGAACCCCTCTGACACTGGAGGGACTGAGAACTGCAAGCAGGTAACACATCCATTCTCTATACATTCAGATGTGGAAGCCACAACAATACATTGAATTGACCCAAGGGACCTCACGCACAGTCACTTTAATTTCACTTCCCCGCTGCAAGCCCTCTCCAAACTCTGAGTTGAAACTGGCACCGTTTCCCCCTGCAGGAGTATGGACAAAGGAGCATGTGAGTTAGTGGCTACAGCCGCAGTTGCTGGGAGACCAGTGCTATCCTATCTGGGAGTATAAGGAGTGCAGGGTGGAGGTGAGGCTGGGTGGCCTCCCTAACGGGGTGTCTTTTTTCTCCCATGACTCTTTGCTCCAAGGTTAGTGCCTGAGGACTGGCTCTGCTTCCTCCCCTAAGCGCCTCTGGGCATTTGATGGGTGCTTAGGGTCACAGGTCCCAGTTTTTCTGTGCCCCTGCATGTTGCCACAGTCCTTAGTACCTTTGGCCTCCACTGTACCCCGTACCCCATCCCTGTCCCTGGCCAAGTTGGGCTGTGGCAGGGGCCAGGCACATGAGCATGGCTAGCTTTGCTCTATCTGGCAAGGCCACGCATCCACTTTTCTTCTTGATCAGCTGCTTGCCGGTGGCTCAGAAAACAAACTTCCACTGTTTTTTATTTACCCAGAGCTCTATAATGAATGGCAAGGTCCTCATTGCCATTTTTTTTTTCACATTGAGGACTCCTTGACGCAGTTGTCCCAGTCACACCGCCTTTCATGGGGCCATGGGGCTTACTGTCTCATCGTCATGATACCATCTCTTCCTCTATCTGCCTGGAAGAGAGTGAGTGAGCCATGGGGTCGTGTGGGGGGTTTGTTTCAATCTCACTTCTCACCCCATCTTCAGTTACATGGTGATCATGGGAGACTCTTACTCCCTCACCTGCCTACTGCTTGGATGGAAGCATCCACACTACCAGCCCCATGGAGTCCTCTCATACCCCTGAATCCAGCCCGTGGGGGCCTTGTCCTCTTCTAGAAAGTCAAGACTCTGTCAGCATCTCATCCTCATTGCCATCCAGCTGAGATTAGGGCCGTGTGTGGATGCAGATTATTGATGGCGAAAATAAAGAGAAGAAGCTAAGTCAGGAAGGCCAGGCACTTTGGTGGGGGTGTAACTGCTGGCCCTACTTTGGGCTGCGCAAAGACATTCATATATGGGAATAGAATCGAAACATTGAAGATGGGGGTGAGAATCAGGAGTAGTCATTTGTCTAAACGCAATTCTCTTTCATCTTCCCTTGATCAAAACTTACCTTACTCCTGTAAGAGGATGCCCTAAATTAACTGTCTTATTAGGTTCTTTCATTGACAAACACAGTAGATGATATCCTCATTTGGAGATCATTTATTGACTTATTAACTTAAAAATAAACCACGGTCTCACTATGTACTAGACACTATGGTAGACACTAATGATAGAAGGAGCTTAGAGTCCATGAGGAGAGAGAGCCAAGAAAAGATGCAGAGATGAGTCAGGCTACTGTAGGCCTCATCCCCACCCAATCTGTACTCCTGGAAAGTAGCCAGAGTCAGACCAACCTCTGGGATAGGGATGGGGTTGGAATTGGAGTGTCAGGCAAATGATTATTCTCCTAATCACATCTTATTCCGTTTGGGATGTATTACACAGTGCTTACAATGAACTTAAAAACACAGTTCCTTATAATAAAATTTGTAAGAGTCATTCTTATTTATCTTCCTATTCAGGAAGTCCAGGGAGTCAAAGGCAGTGTTTACTGTTTGATGGAAAAATAAGGAGTTA
Source organism: Homo sapiens (assembly GCF_000001405.40). Classification (NCBI taxonomy): domain Eukaryota; kingdom Metazoa; phylum Chordata; class Mammalia; order Primates; family Hominidae; genus Homo; species Homo sapiens. The sequence goes on along the minus strand of NC_000006.12, from coordinate 154,602,613 downwards.
TCTTCAACCACAGGCAAAATAAAAAGCAATTATAGAAATTCCGTGGCTCATGAAGTAAAAACATTCCACAACATTGCTTCTCCTCCACACCAAGAAATCAAGTTTGAAAACTGACGTAAATGTTGGGAATGCTGCTTTGATGGGCCCGAGTTCTTCGCAGTGAGGTTAATTAATGAGTGACAGGCAGTGATGACAAATAAACATATCTAAGCTGACTGTAAAGAGAGGGTGACAGAATCCCTCTGGCTGGCAACAGACACGTTTGCAAACTCAGATTGGTCATGGAGAAGAAGATGGCAGATTTGGTCCAGAATAATAACTTCCAAAGGAAATCAGGAAACCTAGGGAAGCTCTCCTGGTGAAGTGCGTTCTTCTCTCACCATTTTCCTTTGTTCAGCTACGCAGGCCTGCTTGCAACTGTACCTCCTCTATGGAGCCGCCAGATACTCTGGTGCAATTGCCCAGAGCACCCTCTCCCCCAAACACTCGTTCTGTTTGGTAAAGGACTTTCAATCTTTCAATACTTACAGTTTTATCTCCTTAATGATGCCACGCCCCTAATGCTCCAGCTAGCAGACTTGCCAGACAAAGACAACTAGATTTCAATCCTGATTCTGCTCCTTGCTAGCTGTATGACTTGGAACAAAACTTGAACTCCTCAGGTTTCCTTTTTTAAATCTAGAAAATGGCTATAATAATAATACCTATTTCCCAGGTCTGTTATAAGAATGAGTGAGATACCCACTAAGAAGCATCCCGCACAAAGCAGTCATCGGATAAAAGTGAGTTCCTGCCCTCAGGGTGACCAGAACTTTCTCAGCATCTCTATTTTACATGGATCCCACTCCACAGTGATTTTTGATTGTTTCTTTTCATCAATGGATTGTAGGCTCCATAAAGGTAACAAATATGTTTTTATTTATTAATTTACTTACTTGAGGCAGGGTCTCCCTCTGTTGCCTAGGCTGCAGTGCAGTGGTACAATCTCTGTTCACAGCAGCCTTGACCTCTTGGGCTCAAGTGATCCTCCCACCTCAGCCCCCCAAGTAGCTGGGACCACAGTCCTGTGTCACCAAGCCTGGCTAATTTTTAAAAATTTTTAATTATTTTTGTAGAGACGGGGTCCCACCATGTTCCCCAGGCTGGTCTTAAACTCTTGGCTTCAAGCAATCCTCCTGCCTTGGCCTCCCAAAGTGCTGGGATTACAGGCGTGAGCCACCATGCCTGGCCTATTTTTAATCTTTGAATCACCTGCACTACCTAAACAAGCACTTGGCAGGAGTAGGGACTCAATAAATGTTTAATTAATAAAGAATAAATAAGTCAATAAATGAATAAAATAAATGAGTAATTAACTGAGATACCCTAATTCAGTAGTTTTTTTTTTTTTTTTGAGACGGAGTCTTGCTCTGTCGCCCAGGCTGGAGTGCAGTGGCGCCATCTTGAGCACTGCAACCTCTGCCTCCTGGATTCAAGCGATTCTTATGCCTCAGCCTCCTAGGTAGCTGGGACTACAGGCGCATGCCACCACGCCTGGCTAATTTTTGTATTTTTAGTAGAGACAGGGTTTCACCATGTTGGCCCGGCTGGTCTTGAACTCCTGACCTCAAGTGATCCACCAACCTCGGCCTCCCAAAATGCTGGGATTACAGGCATGAGCCACTGAACGCGGCCTAATTCAGTAGTCTTCAAGGTGTGGTTTTTCAAGGGACTGTTTGTTGAACTATTGCCTTCAGGGAGCCACATTGGTGTGTGTGTGTATGTGTGTGCATGCTTGTGTATGCATGTGCACACATGTATGTATATGTGTGTGTGAATGCATATGCACATACGTGTGTGTGCTGAAGACTCAGCCTTTAGAAGATGAGGTCCAAGACTTGTCTATGTCAAGGTATAAACTGGGTTGGAGAATTAACTTCCACTTGTGACACAGATGTAAAGAAAGGCGTATATGTTTTTATGGTTGGGCAGGGGACATCTAAGGGTGGTGATGATGAGATTTTTATGGTATCTGTTTGCTATTAAGAGATGTGTTTTGTTCTCACAAATATTGGGGAGTGACAATGACAATGACAATGACACCTGAGCTATGACAATAAACCCAGGCTGTCTATGACTAAAATTTGAATGCTCTATATACTAAGTAAGAATGCCTTAGACTGTTAATATCTGCTATGGGTTTTTGACTGTATAATCTTTTATTTAATGGTTTATAGCACTAGAGCTAGATCATCTGGGGGCATTTGGTCTCAGATGGCCCTATGGCTATCCCTTCCACACTCACTGCCTGTGGAGCCTGACAATGAATAAAATATACAATAATTTAATCCCATTAAACTACTAGAGGGAAAGCTCATGTTCCCCAATACCAAGGGTGGGTCTGGCACATTGTGGCACATTGGCCTTGCATTGGCATTCATGCATTCATTCCTGTTCTTTAAGCAAATATTTCTTGAGTCTATAATATGTCAGGCACTGTTTTGGGTGCTGAGCATATATGTGTGAACCAGGCAGCTAAGTTTAGAGGTTAGAGTTAAATATATTATTACTGAGCACCTACTAGGTTCCAGGCAGCATACTGCACTCTGCAGATATACCAAAAAACAAAAAACAGAGAGAGAGAGAGTTCCTGTTCTCCAGAAGTTTACAGTCTAGTGAGACGAGACAAAAATAGGAATAGAAAATTATTTTTAGGGCTGGGAATGGTGGCTCATGCCTGTAATCCCAGCACTTTGGGAGGCCGAGGCGGGCGGATCACTTGAGATCAGGAGTTCGAGACCAGCCTGGCCAACATGGTGAAACCCTGTTTCTACTAAAAATACAACAATTAGCTGGGTGTGGTGGCACATGCCTTTAATCCCAGCTACTCAGGAGGCTGAGGCAGGAGAATCACTTGAACCCAGGAGACAGAGGTTGTAGTGAGCTGAGATGGGACCATTGCATTCCAGCCTGGGTGATAGAATGAGACTCCATCTCAAAAAATAAAAATAAATAAAAATTATTTAAAAAATAGTTAATACAATGATTAAAGACATGTGCAGGGAGTAAGTGAAGGATGGAACATATTGACAGGTGGAGGGAAGGTGGGTATCTTTAGAAGAGAATATTCTGGTATCTTGGGTGTTAATACTTAACAAACAATCACTATATTGTCTTGTGTGGTTACTTTAAGCCTCTGCTTTTACCCCTAGGTCCCCAGGCATCACGTAAAAGTTTCTCCTGGATTTTCCAACTGTTCACAACTTTAATTTTGAAACACTTGCCTTGACTTGTTCTACACATTGCATTCTTTCCCCTTTTTGGTTTTTCAGTTTCTAGACTAGCTTTCAATCTTAAACTTGATGTTCAGATCCTGGTTTCTTCTGGACCACAGAAGTTTTCCCTCCATCTGCATTTAGATTGCTTTAGTTTAACTCCTGCCCCAGTTCAGCCAGGCCCAGGATTGGTGGTGGTCCAGCCCACAGCCATTCTCTGAGGCCACCCCAAATCCACGAGTAGGATTTGAACAAACCCGATTGATGTCAAATTTTGTTTCTCAAAATCTCTCCAAAACATATGTTTCCATTTTAGACTTATGAATATGGATATACAATATACTGAATTGCATCTTTAATAATCAAGGCTCTCATATTGTCTTTGGGCTTCATCAGTTTAAACACTTGTTCTTATATATTACAGTAAATCTATATAAAATGTTTATTATATGTAGAAGCCAGCCTATACTCCATCAAAATATTTATTAATACTTTAATTTAATTAATCAAAATGAATTTATTAAATGCCACTTGTCAACGAACTAAGGGGGTGGCTGTAAATGACATCAGAGCTCCAAGTAGGTTAAAAAGAGTAAGAAAGTTGATTTCACAAGAAAATCAGCAACCAAAAGCAACACACGATAGATACCAAATGAATGACACGAACAGCAAGCGCTCTCAGAATTCAGAGCTGTGAGAAAGATCCCCACCAGATGGGGTGGAATTTGAGCTGGGCCTCGAGGAAGAGCTGGGATTTCAATAGGAAGAGAGGAGGGGCGAAGCCACTGGGCAGACTGGATGGTATGAACAAAGATGGAGGGGTCAGGAGGTACCTGTGGCTGGAAAACATCAAAGAGCTCCAGTTCTATTGATCGGGCAACAGCCTGTATTGCTTTCAGGTGGTCATTGTGTTACAGTAAAATTTGAGTTCCCAGATAAGAATGACTGGCACTTTCTGAAGACCTATGTTAAAAAGCAGAAAGAAATATAATGGTGCTGGGAGGTAGTTCGTTTAACTACGCAAAGCTTTAATCACTTTTTCACCGTGAAGGAGAGGTATGGCCATCGTTAGGGATTGGACTTTTTATGTTTAGCTTCTCTACCAAGAAAAAAAAATCTCTTTGGTCGCCTTACTCAGGTCATTAGAGAGAGGCCTTCTCTGGAGAATTACTTTGTGGATAATTTCACTCACCGCCTAGTCAGATTAAGACTTAAACTGAAGATAATGACATTTTCCCTGACTTGTTGCTTCTGTGAACTCCATTGTGACAGCTTGTATTTAAAAGGTGAATTTTATAAACTGTGTGTCTGATGGGATTTTTAAGTTTGGTGTGAAATGTGTTCTGTACAGCTGTGACTCAGAGGGTTTTGATTCTCTACAATTTAGCAGCCAAATGATTTCCAGTTTTGTATCGAGGGAACTGTGGAAGGCCACATGACATAGATAATCTGGCTTTGAGGGCAGGTGACAGCCTGGAAGTCCAGACTTTTGGGTGGGTGCTACAGACACAAGGTCAGGGCCAAGAACACAGGTAGTGCCCCTCCACCGCAACCCCTCCCTTATCTTCCCCCTGCTCTGTCCTACACACGGGATTGTAGGCCCTCCAGCCACATGCTCTCCCTGAAAAGCAGTCCCCCACTGACCATTGCTCAGTGTTCAGAGTGTGCCCCCCAATAATAACATTTTTGCTCCCTTAGGAAAAGGCCTGTATTGACCCTGGAAGTAGGCTCAGGATCATTTGGGCAGGCAGTTCTGGGTCCTGAATGCCGGGTGCATAGGCTAGAAAGAGTGTATGGTGTGGGCTTAGAGTGGGGCCATCCCGTTTGTTCCCTGGTGTCCTCACCTGGTGAGGATGGGTGTGGACAGAGAAGGGCCCTGTCTTAGTCCGTTTGTGTTGATATACAGAAGTACCTGAGACTGGGTAATGTATAAAGAGAAAAGGTTGATTCGACTCATAATTCTGCTGCCTGGAAGATTGGGCGTCTGATGAAAGGCTTAGGGGCTTCATGGAAGGTGGAGGGGAGCCAGTGCATGCTGAGATCACATGGTGGGGATAAGGGAGGCCAGGCTCTTTTTAACAACCAGCTCTCACGGGAACTAGCTGAGCGAGAGCTCACTCATGACCGCAAGGCCGGCACCAAGGCATTCACAAGGGCTTTGCTCCCATGACCCAAACACCTCCCATTAGGTACCATCTCCAACACTGGAGGTCAAATTTCACCATGAGATTTGGAGGAGACAAACTTGAAAACTGTAGCAGGCCCAAATAGGACCCTCTAAAGCAAGGGCCTCAGAGGCTGGTTCTGTGGAAATACATGAAATTATAACCTTGAAAGAAAGGGATCACTGAATCTAGCATTGCTGCTTTGAGTGGCTGCAGGGAGGTAGGCAGATCTTATGCTCATGAGGTATCAGGCCCTCTTGAAATCATGTCTTATCCAAAATAGAGTTCCTGCTGTCACATGGCAGAAGTGGCTTTGGCAAGGTCCACAGTAACAGCTATGCATACAGGAATATGCTCTTAGAGACTCTTCCCTCCCCACCACCGCTGCCCTGCATCTGTTTGGGGAATTCCCCAATTTATAGAAATCTGCACCCCCCCTTTATTACAGAAGTAGAAAGTAAAAATTGTTATGTGTTTTCCCTGCTTCCGTTGCAAACAGGGCACGAAGTAACGCAACTGTTCAGGGCAGAGCTTCTTAACCAGTGTGCGTGGCCATGAATAGGTGAGGGGAATATTGAGATATGAAATTCTGCAGCCCTTGAAGAGGCCTGGTTAGGGCTTGGGGTGGCCAGTGCTCCTGGACATGTCAAAATATAATTCTCTATAGTACCACGGCATCAAAAAGGCTGGGACGTGTTTGACTGGGGCTCTGAACTCAGAGCTGCTGGCACATAAAAATAGAGGCCTGGGAAGATTCTCTCTCCGGCATGCTAGTGGTTGCTGCGAACGATGCATCACAAGCTACTCCAGGCTAAATTGTGGCATCTAGGACCAGCAGTATTTTCTCACAAAAGCAGTTCTGTGGCATGGTTCTCCACACTTTCTGGCAACATTTTAAAATTTCAATAGATTCGTTTTCTGTTTACATCATCTGGAATTGTATAATAGCTATACAACAATAGCTATTGTAATACATAGCCTTCAACAGGGAAAGGCTATGGGAGGGGAAGCTGTTCTTAGGGTGAATGCTTTTCTTCTTTGCACTCCTGGGTAAATCTTAACCAGCTGAGCCTCTTTGTTGGACAAAGATATCCCTGACAAGGTCCCACACTATAAAATGCAGAGCTTGAAGGACTGTGAGGATTCTTCTAGTTCAATCTTCTCATTATACCAAGAAGAAGCTGAAATGAAATGACTTGTATGTGGGCCCATGCAGTTAATTCATGGAAGAATCTCTGGACACTCAGAAACGTGCTTTTCCAAAAGCTTCCCATCATTTACAAAAATGGATTCCCTCCCCACTCCCCGCCCTAGAGCAGATGCAATCCAAACCAAGAATAAACTTTGAGCATTGTTTTCAAAGCTGAAGTTTCCAGTTAGTTAAAGTACTGCTGGAGAAGCTGCTCTATAATTGATAGCTTTGTGGAAACAGAAGGCATTCCACTCAGGTGAAATAGGATTTAATTCTATTATCTAAGAAGGCATTTCCTTTAGCAATGCCATCTCTCACTTTTTAATAAAAACTTGGACCATTTCAATGTCTAGCTGTTCCTGGCATTCCCTTTTCCATAGGAAAGAATGCTGTCAATGGCTTTAAGCTAAAGCAAATACTTCTTTTCCTTATGCTTGTTAAATAAGCCAAATACACTCTTTGCTCCCTTGGAATTTTCTTGTATTTTATTTATTCTTTTTTTTTTAAATGTGAAAAGTGTGCCAGACAACTAAGCAGATTGCTGGGTATGTTTCATATGGATTAGCAAGAAACCTTAGAGCTTCAGAAGGTTTCAATTAGGCAATTAAAAAAGAATTTGAAAAGAACTTTTTAAAAAGTTTCTTGTTTGTTTTGTTTTGTTTCAAGCCAAAAGAAAGATGGCTGGGGATGGGATCTGGGGAGCATGAGTGGGGAAAGGGAGGAATTACCAGGGGGCAGGAGAAGACTTTGGGGTGATGGATATGTTCATTATCTTGATTGTGTTGAGACTTCACAGAAATAAACATGCCTCAAAACCAATTAAACTGTAATTTTAAAAATATGTGCCATTTGTTCTATGTCCGTTATGCCTCAGTAAGGTTGTTCTTAAAAAATAAAACCAGGCTGGGTGCAGTGGCTCATGCCTGTAATCCTAGCACTTTGGGAGGCCAAGGTGGGAGGACTGCTTGAGGACAGGTGTTGGAGACCAGTCTGGGCAACATAGCAAGATCCCATCTCTCAAAAAAAAAAAAAAAATTATCCAGGTGTGGTGGTGCATGCCTGCAGTCCCAGTTACTCCAGAGGCTGAGGAGGATTGCTTGAGCCCAGGAGTTGAAGGCTATAGTGAGCTATGATCATGCCACTGCATTCCAGCCTGGGCGACCGAGTGAGACCCCTATCTCCAATACGTACATACATACATAAAAAATAAAACCAGTGAAACATCAGTTCAGAGTCTTCTGTAAAAGACTCAGGGAAGGAGAAAGGGCCAAAGGACCAGAAACTGCTGAACATGCTTTTCCGAATGGCCAGAGAGGATGGGGAAATCACTATTAGTAACATGCTGTCCACTCAGCTTATGGGTAGGAGCCAGATCTGATGACTGACACCATGGCCAAACGCCATTTTTTTAAATCTTTTTTGATGAAGTCTCGCTCTGTCATTCAGGCTGGAGTGCAGTGGCATGATCTCTGCTCACCGCAACCTCCGCCTCCTGGGTTCAAGCAATTCTCCTGCCTCAACTTCCCAAGTAGCTGGGACTACAGATGTGCAGTATCATGCCCAGCTAATTTTTTTTTTTTTTTTTTGAGACAGAGTCTTGCTCTGTTGCCAAGCTGGATTTCAGTGGCTCTATCTGGACTCACTTCAACCTCCACCTCCCAGGTTCAAGCGATTCTCCTGCCTCAGCCTCCCGAGTAGCTGGGACTACAGGTGCATGCCACCACGCCCAGCTCATTTATTGAGCTGGTTTCACCCTGTTGGCCTGGCTGCTCTTGAACTCCTGACATCAGGTGATCCATCCACCTACCTCAGCCTCCCAAAGTGCTGGGATTACAGGAGCCACTGCAAACGGCCGGAACTGGTTTCAAATGCAAATCTGATCTATCACTCAGCCTCTGCCTCCCAGGTTCCAGCGATTCTCTTGCCTCAGCCTCCTGAGTAGCTGGGATTACAGGAACATGCCATCACACCCGGCTAATTTTTGTATTTTTAGTGCAGACAGGGTTTCACCATGTTGTCGAGGCTGGTCTCGAACTCCTGACCTCAGGTGATCCCCTACCCCTGCCTCAGCCTCCCAAAGTGTTGGGATTATAGGCGTGAGTCCCCGCGCCAGGCCCCAAACACCATTTTCTCATGAGTGGTGCTTCACATGGCTTCTTCCCAGATCTGCTTTCACTCAACTCTTTGCCCTAGGTTTTCCGAGTTCCTTGATTACCTTTGCTTGGGGTGGGAGATGGGCCTTCCTTATGCTTTAAAAAATTACCTATTTATTTTTCAGACGAGTGCAACAAGGATTTATTAAATGTAATTATATAATTTATCTGAAGGTTCCTCGAACACATAAATTGTAGGCTAAACTCTCAACCATAATCTCTAGGGTGTTTCTCAAATTCTTAGGTTTTACTGGAATTCACGGGAGTTCCATCGTATAAGCTTCTCTGTGGAATAAATGGGAGAAAGGCTTGCAAGCAGAGGTAGAACTCCTGCTGAAGGTGGTTAGAAATTGGGATTTATATTGACAGCACAGACACCGCCTGGGACTGCGCCTGGTGAGGCAGGAGATCTGGTTACTCTAGCAGTAAGAGTCTGTGACCTTCATAAAAGTAGAAAGCAATGTGCCCAGTTCACCGTCTGCGTGTGTGTTAGAGGCATAAGCAAGGTTCTCAAGGGTAAAGAGAGCCAGATCTGAGTTTGCTGGCTGAACTTACCTTACATGGTGCTGGGGAGAGAGCTGGGGGAGGGAAGGCAGGCGGGGATTACTCACAAGGATTCAGAGTCCGCCCCATGACATAGATTGATAGCTCCCTATGGGGCTTTGGTGAGCCCTACACCTTTTAAAATTTCACATAAAGCTTCGACTGGAGAAGCATCTGAACCACATACCAGCAAATCTCTGGACACGGCAACACATTCAGACTCTTCTATTTGAGGAAAACATTGGCCAAAACAAGTAGGGCTTTTCTTCAATTCAGCTTCCTAGTGGTCATGATCTTTGCAGCCCAGAAAGCAAAATTTAAGCAGACTTCTTTTGGTGACTTGTTTTGTTTTGTTGTTTTAAAAATGGTATAATTATTTTTTAAAGCTTGTACTTCCTTTTTGGCACTCTTACAGAATTGCCACCAGGCCTAAGAGCTAGAATGGGAAAAGAAAGAGTAGGTGACAGTGTCACAGAGATGCGAATTAGGGAAAGGTCTTCAATACGGAAATATCTTTAATATCCTGCCTGGCTACGACAGTGACAGGACCTTTCTTGGATAAGCTCTCATGAACCTACGATAATTAGGTTTTATTACGTCATATTGAACAGCCTTTCCTAATACGGCAGCCTTTTCCTAATGCGGTGGTGCTCAAGGCTCTCCCTGATTTTATTCCTGCTTATCTCTCTAGCCCTGTCTCTCAAACTCGCTTCAGTCATAGTGTATGTTCTAGATATATTCAACCTCTTCTAGTGCTCTTCCCCCAACGCCCCACATAGAAGTCAGTAAAGACATTAAGAAGAGTTATTTTAGATCTCCAGTTCCTTTTAATTGCTATCTTCTCTGTAGAGAATGTTCTTCCTTTGACCTCACTCCTTCTCTGGTTTTAACTCTCAGTGGTCACTGCTTCCAGGAAGCCCTCCCAAACTCCCTCTCTTACTCCTCCCCAGGCTGAGTTAGGATTCCTTCTCTTTGCCTCCTTAATATCTATGTAGCTAGAACTTTGCGCTATATTATTTTATAACTACCATATACATTCATGAGTGGATGAATCAATGTTTGTCACCATTGGACTAAAAGCAAATTAATTTTTTTTTTGAGACAGGGTCTGGCTCTATCACCCTGGGTGGAGTGCAGTGGTGTGATCTCAGCTCACTGCAAGCTCCACCTCCCAGTCTCAAGCCATCCTCCCACCTCAGCCTCCCAAGTAGCTGGGACTACAGGCACGTGCCACCACTCCTGGCCAGTTTTTTGTATTTTTAGTAGAGATAGGGTTTTGCCATGTTGTCCAGGCTGATCTTGAACTGGTAAGCTCAAGTGATCTCCCTGCCTCAACCTCCCAAAGTGCTGGGATTACAGGCGTGAGCTACAGTGCCTGGCCTAGCAAATTAATTTTCTTAATGTATGAATTTCATCTAAACTTTATGTTTATTTTTTTTAAACATTTAAAAAAATGTATCCCTACCACGGCTCACTACAACTTCTGTCTCCCTGGCTCAAGCAATCCTCCCACCTCAGCCTCCCAAGTAGTTGGGACTGCAGGCACGAGCCACCACGCCTGGCTAATTTTTGTATTATTTGTAGAGACGGGGTTTCACCATGTTGGCTGGGCTGGTCTCGAACTCCTAAGCTCAAGTGATCTTCCTGCCTCGACCTCCCAAAGTGTTGAGATTACAGGTGTGAGCAACCATGCCTGGCCTAAACTTCATTTTTACGTTAGATTACAAAATAATAACTGTATGACATTAAAAAATTTAGAAAATTATGCTATTTAAGGAGTCACCCACTAAACAAAGGCATTCCTTCTCTAATGTTCCAGATTCTCCATTTTATCACCACACTCTTTAGAGACTTTGCTCCAAGTCTGCAGTAAACTTAAGCAAATTTATTGCTTAGAAGTCAAAGTAGAAAGTTGTTTACTGCTGTATCTCTAAAGACTAACACAGGCCTGACATACAGTGGGTGTTGAATAAATGAAGCTTTATCCCAGTTTTTCTATATGTGGTCCCATTTCTCTATTTCCTTTTTTTTCATTTTCATTTTTTAAAATCAAAATGCCAATCTGTAAGAATGAGGGAGGGGCCTTCAGAGAGTACTGTCTCAAAGGTGATAAAAGTCAACCTTTGGGAGACCACTGGTGCATTTGAAACAGTCACAGACTTGGTTTCCAAACCAGCCCTTTCCCACCTCCTCACTCAGAAACAAACTGGACTTTAATGGTTGGCACAGTGAATGTGGAGTAGGTGTTTCCAGGGCTCGATAAAATTGCACATGAACCTGAGAAAACAACTGGTTGACACATTTCCAAGAAAGACAGGTGTGCAAACGATTCCTGCTGAGCGTAGGTGCGATGCTGTTTACATTACTACTCTTGAGCCCAGCTTTGCTTTCCCATTTCCTCAGAGTAAATATGTGCACATATTAGATATAAGCAGATGCATGGAATTTACATGCAACTGTGTTATCAGATCTGAGTAACACAGGTTTTGTTGGCCCCACAATAATGGATCTGTATTTAACTCTCAGTTTATTACATGTCAGCTTTAGTTTTCTTGGAAATGAGAAATGCATGTATTTGAATGATTATTTTAAAGGAAAATGGTGATAACATAATGAATAGGAAGTGTCGCTTCCAAACTGCTATTAGTGGGCATACAAGGTCATTTTTTCCAATGTCCTTTTTAATTAAGCAAACACGGAAAGTATTTGAACAGCATCTTTATTTTTGAAGAAGTGCGTCATCTCAATTAGTGGAGGTCTGTAAATACTGAGGGAGAAAGTGGTTAGCAAAGTTCAAATATATTTTATTTTTCAATCTTCTGAAATATTGATGATTATTATATGTTCAAATGGTAAACTTTAAAAAATCATAATTCCAAAAGCTGGACATTAGGACTTAAAGTTTATAGAATCTGTTCCACAAATTAATATCACTAAAAAATTTAGCAAAAAGCAGGGTAACCTACCTTTTGAATTTCTGAATGCAGGCAAGAATGTGAAGCAGTCTGATCTATTCATTAAGCGCACATGAGTGTAATTATTTTTAGCTGTACAGATAAACCAATGGAATTTGAGATGGCTAGAATATTCAGGCTAGATTTCCTGCTTAATTATTCAAAACACAAATGAATACCCAAACAAAGGAAGATGGTTGTGATTATATCATTCAAAATATAATAGGGTTGAGTTTTGTCAAAGTTTTCTTCTGTAGAAGTCCAAAACTTGGGAATTACCAATTCAATGTACAATAAGGAGGTATCATTGGATAAAATCCTTTCGTAGCTATCCAAGGCTGAGGCACCTCTGACTTCTGATTATACATATATTGGACATGTTAATTACAGTGCCTCCTGTCATTTTTTTTTAAACAGTAGAAAACACACTGGCCATAGCCCCCTGCTTAGTGAGGCAGTATCTGACTTAGCTGTGCAGGCATGGCTTCTGATGGGGCCAACATTAAGCATCAAACCCAAGGTCAGATGTGAAGGTTTTGCCCTATAGCAGGTTAGTAATGAGCTAAGCCAACCTGATAAATTTCCTTCAAAACGGTTTCTCCTTCTTCTTCTTCTTCTTCTTTTTTTTTTTTTTTTTTTGAGATAGAGTCTCACTCTATCGTCCAGGCTGGAGTGCAGTGGCATGACCTCGGCTCATTGCAACCTCTGCCACCTGAGTTCAAGCAATTCTCCTGCCTCAGCCTCCCGAGTAGCTGTGATTACAGGTGCCTGCCACTATGCCCAGCTATTTTTTGTATTTTTAGTAGAGACGGGGGTTTCACCATCTTGGCCAGGCTGGTCTTGAACTCCTGACCTCTTGATCCGCCCGCCTCGGCTTCCCAAAGTGCTGGGATTACAGGCATGAGCCACCGCACCCGGCCCCAAAACTGTTTCTTGGGGTGTAAGTCCCCAAATTCCTGGGGAATACAGAGTAGATTCACAGAAAGATGGGGCAGGCATAGAGAGCAAAGCAGTGGCGCTTTGAAAGAGAGACCACATAGGCTGTAAGAGAAGTGGAGAGGAGAGTTGTCTCAAGTACTACTTAGTATTCTCATAGCTTTTAGGCTCTGGTACCCACCTATATTTATAATACATCCCCATTTTTATTAAGGTGGCCTGAGTAAATCTCTGCCCTTGGTAATCAAGGGTCTAATGACTGTACTCAACAGATAAAAATTAGCTGCATAAAACCCTACAGCCACTGAAGAGAGAGCACTTGCTAAGTAGAGTCTCTTAATAGAAGGATAAATGGAGAAAAGAGACAGGCTGGAAGTGCTAACTCCTTAAAAGCTCCAAACAAATGCCAGAGACTCTCCCCAGCCAATTCATGAGGGCCTCATGAGACAATAACCATATTGAGATCAACAATCATTGAAGAGGAGGTTCCTAAGATAATGAAATAAAAGTTCTAGCAATTATTTGTTTCTGTAAGAATTCCCTTCCCCATAATAACACATTTGGTCAAAAAGCTTTTGATTTTTTGGAACTGCTATTTAAAATTTCAAGTACCTGGGTATAAATTAGAGGTACTAAAGATTTAGCTCACATTGACAGTTTCAAACAGATAATTAACATATATTCCTTTAAAATTATTATTTTCTGGAAGGCAGTAAATATGCACTTGTAAAATCTTTCTTTGTGAAATGTACAAAGAAATATTTAATCAATGCTTTGCATGGTAACAGTGGTGGTAGATGAAGATTACAATGAGAGTGTAGATAATTATGAAGAAGAGCATAATTTCTGTCTTTTAAGTAGAGAACCAATTTGGCTGTCTAAATTAGAGCTATTGCCTAATCTGTCAAATCAAAAGCCAGAATGACAAGGGGATGGATATTTTGTTAATGGTGTCATAGATGTGTGCTAATCTAAAAATGCTCTTAGTAATGCAGGATTCTACAGAACTTAGAGAAGTAATGCATTGTAAAAAGAGATCAAAAAGATCACACAAAATTAATTGTGTACAGATTTATAAATTATATAGTAAGGCCATGTTCTTCAATTACATTGGTAACGTTAATTACACATAATCGCATTTCTAGTTCGTGTGCTTATGTAATTTTACTAAAGCTTTACTACAATGGAACAAGTTTCAGCACATGGAAATAATTTTAAAGTAAATATTTAATAATATTATATAATAAAAAATTTAAAAATGCTCTTGCAGTTTGACAACACTCCATCCACTTCCAAACAGTAAACACGTTCAACCAATTTTATAATCTACAAATCTGGTAAGTTTTTCCTAAAACCAACCAGAAATGGTATTTTTAATCGTACGTAAGTCATGCATCAGGATGAAAGCTGTATTGGTTTTTCTGAGTTAGTTCCTAAAATCATCCCTGCACAAAAAATTATTAGCTCTTCTCACATGTATGAATATGACAAAATATACACATGAATACAAGTATCCAGACATGACATATAACCTCATTATCTTGTGTTTTCAATTAAAAAAATTTGTATCCCCCCACCCCGCTTTTTTTTGAGACAGAGTCTCACTCTGTGGCCCAGGCTGGAGTGCAGTGGCACGATCTCGGCTCACTGCAAGCTCCACCTCCTGGGTTCACACCATACTCCTGCCTCAGCCTCCCGATTAGCTGGGACTACAGACGCCCACCACCATGCCCGGCTAACTTTTTGTATTTTTAGTAGAGATGGGGTTTCACCATGTTAGCTAGGATGGTCTCGATCTCCTGACCTCGTGATCTGCCCAGCTCGGCCTCCCAAAGTGCTGGGATTACAGGCGTGAGCCACCGTGCCCAGCCTGTATCCCCTTTTATATAACTTGGGTTCCTTCTGGCCAAGTTTGAATTTGAATCCCTTCAGACTTGGGACCCGCAAAAATCTGTGACCCCATGAACCTTGATCATCACAGTCTCTGTTGTAGGTGGACTCACTACTCATCAGCTGTGTGGCCTTGGGCAGCTCTCTATCTATTTCTCAGTTTCCTATCTATGATATAAAATGATGGGTTAAGTAGACCAGGTGTTCTCAAATAATGCTCCATAAGGCCTTGGTGTGTCTGTGAATACTCCCTGAGGACCACTGGGTCGGGTGGGGGCAGTGGGCACTAGCTGCTTGGGCTCTGGACTTTCTGAGGTACCTGCTCAAATGGAGTAGCTTTACTCATGCCTACTGGATTTATTGGACTTCTATATGAACTTTCATTTGATGAAAGAGCTAGAAGGCCAAAAAGAGGTTTGTAAACCACTAGTCTAGATAAAAGTTAAGACTCCTGCTTTGTCCTAGAATTAAATTATTCAACTTTGCATTGAAGTGATATAAAACACCTGAATGAGTCTAGCATGAAATAATGCTAAAAAAAATACCTATTGGATGAATGGAGTTCCTGCCCTTAAGGGATTTATAGTCAAATGGAAAACCTTCCTCATCCTAGAAAATACTATAGTTAAAATACTACTTCTTTTATCCTATTGCCATTATAATTTTAATTGTTTCTTAATATTTTAATTTTGTAAGTAGCAAAAGAGAATGTCTAGGGATTCTAGGAAGATGGCAGAGTGGAAGGCACCAGGCATTTCTCTCCCCATCCAGACAAGGATTGTAATGGCAGAATCTGTCTGATGTAACTGTTTTGGAACTCAGGAATCTATAGAAGGTTGCAAATTCCAGGAGAAGGCTTAGGCAGTAAATTGCATTTAATGTTGGTCAATTTCAGCTCTTGGCAGGTAGCAGTAGCACTCATCCTCCACCCCAGCTACACGACAGGCACCTGTGCAGGAGCTCCTGGAGCTCCCGGAGTTCCTGGAGTGACTTGTAGGCAGCTTGTAGGAGCTGGGGTGGGTAAAAAGGATCCTGTCCTCCAAACATCAGGGATCTGTATTTGGATCACTGATTGCTTCTTCTGATCACAGAGATACAGACAAAGAGGCTAATGGCCATTGTGGTTGCACCTCCCCGCCATTTTTGCAAGCACTTCCCCGCTAGTAGAAGTGATTTCCAGGAGATTTAAAAGGCTGGTGCCCTTTTCTGTCTCCCTTCATTTTTCTTTTTTCTCCCTTTTGGGTGCCAGACATTGAAGACTATAACATTTGAAAACCACTGCATATATGGGGAGCATTAGAAAGTGACTGCACATACCCAGGAAAAGACCCGCGTTCAGAAAAGACCTGCAAAGACCTAAGTTTACAACTGACACTGATCTTTGGCACAGAGACAGTCTACAACATCAGAAACACAAACAATAAAACATAAACACAAAACCCAGAAAATCCTGGGAAAGGGGGAGAACCTGAGTTCCAGAGTTAGCAGATTATTAGATTCAAATGCCTGGTTTTCAACAAAAAATTGCAAAGCATACAAAGAAGCAGGAAAATATGGCTTATTCAGAGGAAAAAAGAATAAACAGAAACTGTCTCTGAAAAAGACCTGATGGCATAGCTACTTGACAAAGACTTTAAAGTAACCATCTTAAAGATATTCAACAAACTAAAAGATGTGGAGACTGTCAAGAATAAGATGTATGTACAAAATGGCAATACCAACAAATAGAAAACATAAAAAGAAACAAAAAAGAAATTCTGGAGCTGAAAATACGATGACCAAAAATGAAAAACTCAGTAGAGGAATTCAAATGTAGATTTGAGCAGACAGAAGAAAGAACCAGCAAACTTGAAGATAGGATAATAGAAATCAAGTCTGAGGAACAGAAAAAAAAAAAAGAGTGAAGAAAATTGCATAGAGCTTAAAGGATCTGTGGGACCATCAAACAGACCAATATACACATTGTGGAAGTCTCAGAAGAAAAGAGAGACAGAAAGGGGGCAGAGAGAATGTCTGTAGAAATAATGGCTAAAAACATCCCAAATTTGATGAAAGACATAAATGTAAACTTTCGAGAAGCTCAAAGAACTCTAAGTAAGATAAACTCAGAGACCCACAGTGAGAGACATTATAATCAAACTTTCGAAAGCCAAACACAAAGAGAGAAAGCAGTATGAGAGAAGGAACTCATCATATATAAGGGATCCGTGATAAGATTATCCACAGATAATCACTGGGAACTTTAGAGGCAGATGGCAGTGGGCCAATATATTCAAGGTGCTAGAAAAAAACCCAAACAAATTGTCAGTCAAGAATCCTATATCTGGCAAAGCTGCCTTTCAAAAGTGAGGAAGAAATTAAGACATTCCCAGATAAATGCGGAGGAAATTTGTTATCTCTAGACTTGCCCTACAAGACCAAGGGAGTCCTGGAGGTTGAAATGGAAAGACACCAGATAATCACTTGAAGCTGCATGAAGAAATAAAGCTATAAATACAGGTAAATATATTGGCAATTATAAAAGCTAGCATTATTGTAATAATGATTTGTAACTGCACTTTCTGTTTTCTACATGATTTAAGAGACTAAAACATTAAAAGAAACAATTACTAGTCTAAAAGCTATTAGTATTGTAAACTGATTTGTAAATTCACATTTTGTTTTTCATATGATTTAAGAGGTTAATGCATTCTGAAGAATTATTAGTTTATGTTTTGGACACACAATATATAAAGATGTAATTTTGTGACACCAAAACCCAACAGGAGTGGGAATGGAGCTGTTAAAGAAGGAAAGTTTTTGTATGTTGTTGAACTTAAGCTGGTATAAATTCAAGTTAGAGTGTTACAACTTCAGGATGTTAAATATAATCCCCATGTTAACCACAAAGAAAATAGCTATAGAATACATATAATGAGAAGGGAATTTAAATAATTCACTATAAAAAATCAACTAAACACAATAGAAGACAGCAATGCAGGAAGTGAGGGACCACAAAAAGGTATAAGACATATAGAAAACAAATAGCAAAATGACAGAAATATCACTCCTTATCAGTCATTACTTTCAATGTAAACGAGTTCAATTCTCCAATCAAAAGTCAGAGATCAGCAGAATGTATTAAAAAACAGAATTCAACTGTGTACTGTCTATAAGAGACTTACTTTACATTTAAAGACACAAATAGATTGAAAGTGGAAGGAGGAAAGAGATATTCCATGCAAATAGTGTCCAAAAAGGAGCAGGAGTAGCTGTACTAATATCAGACAAAATAAACTTTAAATCAAAAATGTTTGCAAGAAACAAGGACATTATATATTAATAAAAGTTTCACTCCAGCAAGAAATAATAATTATAAATATTAATATTTACACACCTAATAAGCAACCATCATACATGAAGCAAAACTTCACAGAAACAAAGAGAGAAATAGTTCTATGATACTAGTTGGAGACTTTATTACCCCACTCTCAAAAATGGACAGGCCAACAAGACAGAAGATAAATATGGAAACCAAGCGTTTAAACGACACAATAAATCAACCAGATCTAACAGACATACAGAGCATTGTAGCCAACAATAGTATACGCATTCTTCTCAAGTGCACATATGACATTTTCCAGGATAGACCATATGTTAGGCCACAAATTAAGTCTCAATAGATTTAAGAAGATAGTTATAAAAAATATCCTCACTGACCACAATGACAAGAGAGTTTGGAGAATGCAGTTTGCAGAATTCCAGTTTCAGTGGTACAGAGGGCTGGGTGTGGAGCTGAGAGACAAAGGTCACTAAGGGACTTTTAGTGTGCTGCTCCTGGAAACTCCCAGTTTTGGAATCTACAGTGCTAAATATATTAGAGGTTTTTTTTTTCACAAAACAATAATGATTGACTAAAAGGCATAAATGTATCAAAGACTTTTTTTTGGAAATATCAAAGATATTTCACATCCTGCTAAAGGCACGTTAATCAAATTTATCCCCGACCCCAAACCAGAGGATAGGAGGCCACTATATAAAGTTCATCAGAATCGATATTCAAAATTATCTCAGTGGAAGAACTACAATTCACAAATCACCACGATAAAACCTAACAGGAATAGATAAATGCATAGTTTTCATCTGGGTTAAAAGAATCTTGTCTATTCACTTGTTTTACATATAGCAAACGTATGAACCATAAATGTGATATGAACCATATGATGAGGCTCCTAGAAAAATTAACTACAACTGTCAGCTGTATTAATAAGAATATACTTTCTATATCTAGGAGGGTCGTGACACTACTGTACTCAATGGTATTTGTAATACTAATAATTCCTTTGCAACTGCGAGATCTCTGCATACAAAGTTCAAATTTACAGAGGCCTACCTTAGTGTATCATTTTGACAAGTGGAGGAGTTTGTAGTGCGTAGATATGTGAAAAATCCTACTTCACTCGTAGGTTTTCCATCAGAGTATTGGTAAAGACAACAGGAACATCAAAACATTCCTTTGTGTTTCAGACAAGTGATTTCATACTCCATCAGATCCAAAGCCCCTTTTGATAACTAGCTTGTAATAATCTTTTCTCTGTCATGAAAAAAAATTTATTGATAGGGTAACTTAAACACAAAATGTTATACAATTAAAAATGATGTCATATATAATATGAAAGAAAAATAAAAGGTATTTCAGTGTAGAGATTCTCAGTTGCTATATAAGAAAATTAAGTATTAATTATTAAGTATTAATAGTTAGAAGCTTGCTCCTTGTTACAATGAATAATTTCAGATTTACAATAAGTAAGAACAATATTCTACTAAATGTTTTCCACACTCTGTCCTTATATTTGAAATTTAAAAATAAGGGTTAAATAAGTATATTTCTGTTATGACCCAGAATATAATTTATCTTCATGAATGTTCTATAGTTGGGTGGAGTGTTCCATAAATGGTGGTCAACTTTGCTTATAGTGTTGTTCAAATCTATTTTCTTACAGACTTTCTGCTTGTATCAATTATTGATAGAGGAGTGTTGAAATTGCAAAGTATTTTACTTCTTCTTTCGGTTCTGTCAAGTTTTTGTGTCCCTGGTACATAAACACTTAAGATTATTATGTCCTTTAGTAGGTGCATAGACATCTAAGATTTTTATGTCTTCTTGATGAATTGACATCTTTACCATTAAGAAATGCCTGATTTTGGCTGGGCGTGGTGGCTCACACCTGTAATCCCAGCACTTTGGGAGGCTGAGGCGGGTGGATCACCTGAGGTCGGGAGTTCGAGACCAGCCTGACCAACAAGGAGAAACCCCATCTCTACTAAAAAAATACAAAAATTAGCTGGGCGTGGTGGCATGTGCCTGTAATCCCAGCTGCTCGGGAGGCTGAGGCAGGAGAATGGCTTGAACCTGGGAAGCAGAGCTTGCAGTGAGCCGAGATCATGCCACTGCACTCCAGCCTGGCTGACAGAGTGAGACTCTGTCTCAAGAAAACAAACAAACAAAAAAAGAAATGCCTGATTTTTACTTCTAGGAATATTTCTTGTTCTGAAATTTACTTTATATGATATTAATGTAGCTCCTTCAACTTTGTTTTGTGTATTCATTGTATGTCTTTTTCCATCATTTTACTTTTAGTCTTTCTGTTACTTTATATTTAAAATGTTTTCCTCACAGACAGCACAGTAGTTAGGCCTTGCTTTTTTATCTGACAATCTCCATCCTTTAATTGGAGTGTCTTTGTTTTATTTTTTAGTAGTTGCTCTAAGGTTTATAAAACACATCTAACTCATAGTTTACCTTCAAATTATATACATATAGTATAAGCACCTTACAATAGTATGTCTTCATTTTCTTCCTTCTGTCCTTGTGCTACGGTTTCTTACATGTTATTGTCATACATTATGCTGTTTTGTCATACATGCCTCCACAATACTTGCTATTATTGTTGCTTTAAATAATCTGTATCTTTTAAAGAGATTAAAATTGGAAGAAAAAGTATTTTATATGTTCCTACACACTCATCATTTCCACACTCTTCACTCACTTGTGTAGAAGCAAATTTCCTTTTAGTATTATTTTCCGTCTGTCTGAAAGACTTTTTTTCACGTAGCTTGTAGTGCATTCTTCTGGTGATGAATTCTTTCAGCTTTTGTATATCTAAATAAGACTTTTTTATTTTTACTTTCTTAAGCTATTTTATCTGGGTATAGAATTCTAGATCAAAGCTTTTTTTTTTTTTTTAGTAGTTTAAAGATGTTGCTTCATTGCCTTCTGGCTTGCAAAATTTCTGATGAGAAGTCTGCTGTCATTTTTATCTTTGTTCCTCTATATGTAATGTGTCCCATCATCCCTCTCCTGGAAATTTTAAGATTTTTTTCTTTATGACTGATTTTATGGTCTTTCTTGGTTTGAATTTTTTTTTTTTTAATTTTTCTTGAAGTTCCTTGAGCATCCCAAATCTGAGAGTTCAGAGCTTTCATCAAATTTTGACAATTTCAGCAATGATTTCTTTAAAGGTTTTTTTCTGTCCTTCTCACCCACTCTATTTGCTACTCCAGTTATACATGGTTTAGACCACTTACCTTCTGATATTCCTCCATACAACACTGATGCTCTGTTAATTTTTTCTAGTCTTTTTCTCTTTGTGCTTTATTATTGCTATGTCATCAAGAATACTGATCTTCTCTTCTACAGTGTGTAAATTGCTATCAAACCTATCTAGTGTTTTTTTCTTCCCTATGAGATATCATATTTATTATTAGTATTTAGTCAAAGATTTGAGAGAACCCTTTGCAAATCTTGAGAGTGTGCTCTCTTTCTCTCTCTTTCTCTCTGTGCAGCTTTCTCCTTTCCAGTACTTTGTCCCACAAATCTAGCCACCTTGCCTTCCTTAACTTTGATCTCTGTTTCCTTAACTCAGTGAGACTGTTGGCTGCATGCTGTGGCTTGAAAACTGCCTCCAGGCAGGAAGCTGGGGCAATCACATCATTCAGCTCAATTGATTCTCTTCTTTCAGGGTTCACAGTCCCACAGCATTACCAGTTGTTTAATGTCTGAAAACTGTTGTTTCATATATTTTGCCAAATTTTCAATTTGTGCATGGAAGAAGGATAATTCCTGTAGCTGTTAATTTTTCATAAATGGAAGTGAAAGTCTAAATAAGTAAATTTGAAAGTTAATATGTTATCATCGTAAATGCAATAGTTACAAAAACTGAGACAGCTGCTCTTTTATTGGTGCCTCCAATACCATAAGCACTTGTTGATGGTGATTTTCTTCAATAGTCAATTACTTTTGGTAAATTTTCAAACAAAACAAGTCTCAATCTTTCCTCAGTTTACATGATATTTGCATTCCTGGAAATTCCTTATATATTAACACAGAGCAAAAATGCTTTGTGTTCATATGTAAAATGGAGTTAAGTTCTGGGCTCAGATAATATAAACAGGTTTTTCCTTACAGAAAATTCACGTAAGATGTGGAACCATAACTCCTTGGGTAAGACTGTGATATGGGATCCTTGACCCTTATTGAAAACCACCACCTACATAATTAGTACCTTTCACACGTAACATATTTTGTCTGTTGGATGCATAACCATGGAGTAATCCTGAGGCCCACATGCTCTTGGAAAAGCAATAAATAAGTTATGTCTTCATTACAA
This sequence comes from Homo sapiens, assembly GCF_000001405.40. NCBI lineage: Eukaryota > Metazoa > Chordata > Mammalia > Primates > Hominidae > Homo > Homo sapiens. The sequence continues at coordinate 154,579,877 of NC_000006.12, read as the reverse complement.
CTTTCATCATCAGGGAAAGGGGGGAGATACATGATGTTTTGCCAAGATAATTAACTTATTTTATAATAAGTGAATCTATTTTTAGTTAAGATTTAAAAGAAGTACCTCTTTCTGCCAAAAGACAATGTAAAATGTCACCACTATTCATACAACAGATAAAAAATATTTATTGAGTTCTATTATGTGCCAAGTATTGAGGATTCACGAGTGACTCAGACAAGAATCCCTGTTCTCATGGAGCCTACGTTTACTATGGTTTGTGGAGAAAAACTGGCAATCAAAGGAAATGCCCACACGTCCCTCACATTGTGAGAGTTGTGACATCACACCTTTCCATTAACTAGTAAAACAAGTTATGACAATTTTAGAGAGTATAACACAAAAGCAAAAGCCTCTATCAAAATCTTTCGGTCAGGGTTCCATACTTAAGGACCTTGAGGAAATGCATAAATAAAGTTGCAGATGATTTATTTCAACTCTATTAATAGGTTCAAAGACATTTCCAACTAATCCTGTTCAAACCACACTTTGTACTTTACTGAAACTGAGGAAAAAAGCCTCTCTCTTACTTTTGCCTAGTAAGAGAACACAGTTACCCAGGATCACCTTGGCTTTTGAGACTTTATTGGTTTGGCTCAGATCCCACTTTCAGACCTCATTTCCTTAGATTTGGCAACTTGAGTTCTGGACTGATGACCACTTAGCCTATTTGGACTGATTCTCTGAGCTACCTACTCTCCTATGTGGTGACGTGGCTTTAGCCCAGAGCCACAGGTAGAATGCACTTTGTCCCACTCCCACCAGGCAGCTGCAATGCCAATGTGGGACCACGTTTGTCAATTAAAGATCCGCAACAATATGAAATGTGTAGCCACAAAAATAAAACTTGGTGTCAGGAGCCCAGGGTCCAAATCTCTGCTCCCAAATCTATTTCATGTGGATCCTGGTGTAAATCAATTAATTTTTTTCTTCTGAGTCTCAATGGCCTCACCCTTAAAATGAGGACAATAATAACCTTGTTCATCAGATTGCGTTGAGGATTGTAACAAAACCGTGTGTTCCAGAATGCTTTGCAAGCCACACAGCACCATAATAACCTACACTGCTGCTGTGGTAAGTGATGACGAGGAGGAGAAGTGGCCTGTTGAAAGGACCCAAAGCCTGCAAAGGCTATAGATCACTGGCCTGCACATCTGAATGCAATGTACGTTTTGCTGCTTATCCTGATTAGACAACAACAAGTTTTTGCTCTTAATACTATTTCCAATTTTTACTTTTCTTTTGGATTTGTTGTCATTCCTTCCAGTCTAGTCTAAACATCATTTAGTTTGGTGCCCAGGAGATAGTGAAAAAGCTGGTGCCCAGCTTTTTCTTCCTTGGTGTGGGAGCTTCTGCCTGGGGCTGACCTCCTTCTCTGGGTTAAGGTCCTGTGGAGCTGTCTTAAACTGACCGACCTGAAGTAGACCCAGACACACCTGTAAACTACTTACCTTGCAGGGGTGGTGCCAGGCCTGGGGCTAAGAGGGCATGCCTGCTCCTGTGATCTGTGAGGCCTAGTAAAACATGATTAAGGCTCTGCTTGCTGTGTGGGAGTCAACAATGCCATTATAGCCTCCCTTGGCAGATGGTGGGCAAGAGTTCCTGCACTAATAAGAATTTCTTGCTGGATCATCAAAATGCATTTCCCTTTTTGGGTTGGACCTCGTAGAACATCCTATGTTTGAGGCTTCAGCATCTGTGTTTCATGGTCAGTCTGACCTCTCTCTAAACAAGAGATCTGGAAAGAAACACTTTTCCAGGAAATCATCCACAGGCAGTTGACTTTGACCTTCCGCCATACTCCTTTCATTCCACCCCCAGCAGTTTCTCATGGATACCAAATATGTGTCTTGGGATAATTGGACTAAACAGGTTTGTCCGATTATTTACAAGCTCCTTTCAGTTTATTTGTTTACTTGTTTCAATTTTGCATGGGCCATTTTAATATTTTTTTGTGGTTCAGACAAAACCCACATATATCACAGTGTTTTAGATTAGTTAGGATTCTCTATGATGTGATTAATATAATAATCCATTTTCGGCCTCTGTAGTGAATCAGATGCTTTATATACATGATCTGATTTCATCTTTGTAATGCTCCAGAGCAGGCATTATTATCCCCCTTTTAAAGATGAGGCTTAGAGGGGTAAAATCATTTGTTTAAAGCTATGTAGTTAATCATTATCGGAGCTGGAATTGGAGCCTAGGTGGATTTAAGTCCAAGTCTATGCTCTTTCCTCTATACCATAGTGGCTCTTGACTCTTTACTTACTCTTTGGCATGGCAGTGGAAATCAGTACTATTAATATATGAATTTCAGGTTAAGTTCCCTTCAGTTTTTCTGTGCAGGCATAGAGGATAGGATATAAATAGTTCCAGTTTTTTTTTTTTTTTTTTTTTTTTGGACGGAGTTTCACTCTTGTTGTCCAGGCTGGAGTGCAATGGCGCGATCTCGGCTCACTGCAACCTCTGCCCCCTGGGTTCAAGCGATTCTCCTGCCTCAGACTCCCAAGTAGCTGGGATTACAGGTATATGCAACCACGCCCAGCTAATTTTGTATTTTTAGAAGAAATGGGGTCTCTCCATGTTGGTCAGGCCGGACTCGAAATCCCAACCTCAGGTGATTCGCTCGCCTTGGCCTCCCGAAGTGCTGGGATTACAGGTGTGAGCCACAGCGCTCAGCCTTTTTTTTTTTTTTTAATCATGCCACATTGTTTTTAATTACATACAAAGATCTAACATGTCACCCAGGGACCACTTCACCCACTGCTTGGTTTGGCCGCCAGTCTTTGTCTCTCTCTTCAGCGATGGTGAGGCGGATATCCTGTCCTTGGGAAAGAGAAATCCATGGTTTATTGCTCTTGCCAATAACAAAAATGTTGAAAAGTCGAGTGGCAAAGCTGTTGCCATTGGCATCTTTAACATAAACTACGTCAAAAGATCCAGGGTGCTTCTCTCAGTTGATGATCACACCAATTCTTCCCAGGTTAGTACCTCTAGTCACCAGTGTCGAACTCGATGAAATCAATACTCTTGCCAGTCTCCAAATCAATCTGAATGGTATCATTCACCTCGATGAGGGGTCAGGGTAGCGGACGGTGCAAGCATCATGAGTCACCAGGTGAGGGATTCCTTTTGTGCCCACAAAGATTTTTCTCAGTTTGCACAACTTGTACTTGGCCTCCTCAGGTGTAATACAATGTACAGCAAAGCGATCCTTGGTGTCATAGATCAGACGGAAATTCTCTCTTGTCAATGCTGATGACATCCATGAATCCAGCAGGGTAGGTTGTATCAGTTCAAACCTTGCCATCGATCTTAATGAACTGCTGCATGCAAATCTTCTTTACTTCATCTCCTGTCAGGGCATATTTAAGTCTGATCCTTAGGAAAATGATGATGGGGAGAGACTCTCTCAACTTGTGGGGACCAGTGAATGGATGAGGAGCAAACACACCAGTCAATTTATCCAGCATCCAGTGCTTTGGAGCTGCTACCAGCTTCAGATGCTTCTTGGGACCACGAGCCATGGCTGCGTTAGGCAAGGAAAGAGGACCTCTGTCTTCTGGTGCGCATAGAAATTCAGTAGTTCCAGTTTTTACAAATCAATATGTTTCTTGAAAACATGCCAAGAAGCAGATTGTCATGAAGCATACCGAGCATCCAGGGCTATGTCCAGTTATTGATAGTGAGAAGTAAAGGAGAAAGCAATGAACAGTGTTGAATGATAGACAGACACCAAGCATCGACCCTCTTCAGTCCCTCTGCTCATAGTAGACATGTAATCATTAAGAAACACAAATTCGATTATGCCTTTACCACACTCTATAAATTTGCTTTGATCTGTGTGATTGTTTATGAAGTTAATGGCAGTCGCCCCAGCAGACTCTACGCTCTACAGGGCAGGGAGCATGTCTCTTTCACTTGCCACTGGATCTCTGTGCTTAACTGTGTCTGGCCCTGATCCTTTAACACAGCAGGGTTGTTCCTGACTCCAGATCTTTGCACGGAATTTTCCCTGGGTCTGGAAAGCAGTACTGCTGACTCCGCCACTGTCCGCCTACATGCTCCTCTGGCTCACTTCATTCAAGATTGTGCTCAAATGGCCCCTCATCCAAGCAGCCCTCACTGACTACTCTTCTAAAATAACACTCTGTGTCCCTACTCCACATTCATCGCCTCCTCATCCTTTGCCTTTCTTATTTAAATATTTTTTCTACCACTAATCACCTACCAACATTATATTATTATTAATTTTAAGAATCTGTCTTCTAGAATATCAGTTCATTGAAGGCAGAGACTTTACTGCTGGGTCCTTAGTACCTACAATAGTGTCTGGAAATAACACGTTTAGTAGATGTTTCATCTAATTGGTTAATATATAAATACTTAATTGAGTTAATGAACACCTCCTAAAATTCATCCCTCAGTTCTGTCCATAGCAGATGTTACGGTGCCCTGAGCCACCCCCTCTCAGCCCGCCTCTGCTTCAGCTGTGGCTGTGGTGGACGATTTCAGTGCATGCAGTGTTGGTTCACCTCAAGTGCAGGCAGAGTCCCTGGCTTTTCTCCACCAGCTTTCTCAGATGATGCCTGGGAAGTTGCCTCGCTGCCTGGAAATGCAAGGGAGTTACTGTCCTCAGGGGCAACACTCACCAGTAGGGAAAAGGAGTCAGTGGATAAATGGTGCAGGATCTCCACTTCAGAGAGGCAGGTGTGCACCATCTACAGAGGTGCTCAGAGTCCCCATCAGGATTGACCCGCAGGAATAAGGACAATAAGCTCTACTAGGTACCCTTCATGACCTTTCCCTTCTTCCCCCACCAACCACTCCACCTGTGCTGTTGCTCTGGTTTCCTTGGATCATTTTTTAAATTAACGATCTGCCTCCAAGTCTGCATGGAAAAAACCCAATCCAAGAGACTGTCCCTTCCAACACTATGATCAATAACACAGTTGTGAATAATCACCGCATATTTGTCTAATTTGTTTAAAAATATTAGCAATCGTTTATTTTTTTTCTTTTTTCTTTTCTTTTCTTTTCTTTTTTTTTTTTTTTTTGAGACAGAGTCTTGCTCTGTCACCCGGGCTGGAGTGCAGTGGCATGATCTCGGCTCACTGCAACCTCTGCCACCCGGGTTCTAGAAATTCTCATGCCTCAGCCTCTCGAGTAGCTGGGATTACAGGCATGTGTCACCTTCCCCAGCTAATTTTTTTTTTTTTGTATTTGTAGTAGAGATGGGGTTTCCCCAGGTTGGCCAGGATAGTCTCAATCTCCTGGCCTCCAGTGATCCACTTACCTCAGCCTCCCAAAGTGCTGGGATTACAGGCGTGAGCCACCATGGCCAGCTTAAATTTTTTTTTTCTTTTACTTTTGTAGAGATGACAAAGTCTCACTATATTGACCAGGCTAGTCTTGAACTCCTGGCCTCAAACAATCCTTCTGCCTTGAGTTCCCAAAGTGCTGGGATTACAGGCATGAGCCACTGTACCTGGCAAATAGTTTATGTTGCTAATGGGGTTTATGGTTTACCAAGTACAGAATCACGATTCAAATAAGATATTGAAAATATCTGGAAAAATGAGTTGAATTCAAGAAATAAAATCTAACAGGAAAAAGTATAAAAGCCAAGTCTTAGGTTAAAAAAAAAAAAACAACAACAAAAACCCACATACATAGAGGAAAGAAAGAACCCAGACCTCACCCTGGTAGTTTTTCTTCATTAGGCAGCCTTGACATTTTAACTCTTAAGACTTGGTAGTTTCTACAACCCAAGTGGCTCTTGAATCTTTACACAGAACTTGTTGCAGCAGGAAAGTCCAGCCTGAGTCCAGGCTGTCCAGAAAGCCTCACTGTGGCAAACATGCACCAAATGACATCAGCTTTCCAAACGGGGTGCCTGTGAATGCTCCACATCCAGCTGCCTGGGAAAATTAATCCCTGATTTGTAGCAAATGCCTATTCCCACAGTGTAAACTTCCACTGTAGCTAATTTTAAGCTACCAACATGACAACAGTAAACGTGGAGTTGGGAAGCGATACACACAATTGGCTCTCATGAACCTGTAGGGGCCAGCTCCAGCATTTTAAAAGTAGAAAGCATCATTTACTTCTTTATCAAGTACCGCCCCAGTTTATTAGGGAGTTGGAAAATAATACTGTAAAGTTTTGATCAACTAATTCAATGAATGGCCAACAACATGCATAAGTGTGGAAATAGCTAATGAGGCCGGGCACGATGGCACATGCCTGTAATCCCAGCTACTCGGGAGGCCGAGGCAGGTGGATCACAAGCTCAGGAGTTCAAGACCAGCCTGGCCAACATAGTGAAACACTGTCTGTACTAAAAATACAAAAAATTAGCTGGGCATGGTGGCACACACCTGTAATCCCAGCTACTCGGGAGGCTGAGGCAGGAGAATCACTTGAACCCAGGAGGCAGAGGTTGTAGAGAGCCAAGATCGTGCCACAGCACCCTAGCCTGGGTGACAGAGCAAGACCCCATCTCAAAAAAAAAAAAAAAAAAAAAAAAGAAATAGCTAATGAGTATGAGTTTGGGCAAAATTTGGTGAGTGAGTATGAGTTTCCCAAAGTTTGCCTGGTTTTAGGGACAGCCGTCTTTATAGTTTTTCTTTTGCCTAAAATCCATAGCCTCTGTGAGATACCCTAGATCTTTAAAAGTAGATAGTTCATTTACTAATTCGATATGTGAAGCCTGGGGTTGTGCAAACAAAACAGAGAATTCTCACATAGGAATTCCAGGAAAATGAGACACGTTAATGGAAAGTTAATATTCCAGTTCATTGGAACTTTCCATAGTACATATTCCTCAAAGGACCTGAGCTCGCTTTTCATAAGAGCACCCAGCGCTACAATGTCACTTAAGTATTGAAGGCTCTGTCCTAGCAACAGCTGTCCCTCTTGTCACTAACAGACACATTCTTTGGAACCTCTGGACACATGTTCACATGGACCACACCTCTATGTGTTTCCTGCAAATGAGCACATGAGTATGTACTTGGGGATACGGCCGTGGCTGTCACCGTGAACATGTGTTCCCGGGCCTGCCCATGTTGGAGAGTTATCTCTGAGCACCCAGACATGCCATGCCCTGTAGTAAACTGCCTCACGGTGACGAAAACCCCAAAGACAGATGTTTCCTCCTGAACACAGCATATCACAGAAAGTTGCACAAGAAACATAAATAAGCAGATTTAAAAACAATACTCAGTTTATGAAAGATTTCTCCAGAATATTAGTACCTCATTATTAAAACCAGAATGTGAAAGAAGGACAACTGTTGGAGCAAATGTTTTAATTTAGAAGTTTTCCTCATTTATCCCAGATTGAGAATGCAAGAGATATATAAAACAACAAAAACAGCTCATTGTAAGACCACCCAGATATAAAAATCAATGATTAAAAGGAGCCTTCGGAAGGAAGCTGTGAATATTCTTAATTATTATCAGGTCTCTAGGACTTTGTGCACTTTTCATTGAACCTGATGATGAACAAGAAGCTGATTGTTTAAGATACAGAACTCTCTTGACAAAGGTAACATTGATTTCTTCCCCTCTTTTAATAAAACACTTCTCTTGAAACTTTGAAAACCATGACTCTTTCACAACACCCTATTTAAATTTTTTTCCTGAAAAAAAAAAAAATCCCCAGTACAAAGCCTGCTAGTAAATGCAAGAGCAATACAATAATAATTCTTGGCAGGGTGCAGTGGCTCACACCTGTAATCCCAGCACTTTGGAAGGCTGAGGCGGGTGGATTATTTGAAGTCAGGAGTTCCAGACCAGCCTGGCCAGCATGATGAAACACTGTCTCTACTAAAAATACAAAACTAGCTAGGTGTGGTGGTGCATGCCTGTAAGCCCAGCTACTGAAGATGCTGAGGCAGGAGAATTGCTTGAACCCGGGAGGCAGATGTTGCAGTGAGCTGAAATTGTGCCACTGCACTCCAGCCTGGGCAACAGAGTGAAACTCCGTCTCAAAATATAATAAAATAAAATAAAATAAATAAAATATCCTTAACATGTTTGAGGTACTTGCCTCATGCATTACTCATTATTTCATTTAAAGTTCACATACAATTTCTAAGATGAATACTGTTCTTTGTAGACTCCTATTTGTTGCTAAGGAAGGTAAAGCTAGGGAGGTTAAATGACTTGCTCAAGGTCATCCAGGTAGTAAGTGGAAATGAGGAAGGTCAGATTTGAAAGCGTGCAGTTCCTTTTCTCAACTACTACACAAAGTCTCCATAAAAGCTTTAAGGAGCCCCCCCGAAATAACATCATGTGGGAGATCCCTTGTCCCTGTTTGTGACATTTTGTCCTGCTGAAATCTTGTTCAAATCAAAGGTAGCAATAGTGGGGGAAAGTAGCAGGGAGAAGGCAACGGAGTTTGAGTTGTCAGTGAGATTGGAAGAGTTAGAATTCAGACACCTCTAGCTGCTATTAGGTTGGTGTAAAAGTAATTGCGATTTTTGTCATTAGAAGTAATGGCAAAACATCGTGTTTGAATAAGATATTGAAAATGTCTTAGGTATCTTATATTTGAATAAGTATATTATTGAAATAAGGATATTTTGCCATTAAAAGTAATGGCAAAAACTGCAATTACTTCTGCACCAACCTAATATTAATATTTTATTCCATTAATTTTGTCTTTTTTTTTTTTTTTTTTTTGAGATGGAGTCTCGTTCTTTCACTCTGGCAGGCATGCAGTGGTGCCATCTCAGCTCACTGCAACCTCAACCTCCCAGGTTCAAGCAATTCTCCTGCCTCAGCCTCCTGAGTAGCTGGGATTATAGGTGCACACCACCATACCTGGCTAATTTTTGTATTCTTAGTAGAGATGGGGTTTCACCATTTGGCCAGGCTGGTCTTGAACTCTTGACCTCAAGTGATCTGCCTGGCTTGGCCTCCCACAGTGCTAGGATTACAGGCGTGAGCCACTGCGCCTGGCCAATTTTGTCATCTTCTGATCTCCTTCTCCCATCCCATACAGCTGAGCTATATCTTTGGCTACTGGGTTTTCTCAGGAGAGCATGGGTCCTTTACATCCAAAGGCCACTGGCATTCTCCCTGGCTGGCTGTACCCTGGGTCCAGCCCTCCCATCTGTAGTGTGACTAACTCACCCTTGGCTCCAGCAGCAGACACAGACTATCACCATGCCATTATTTTCTTCTGTTTCCTGAAGGATGTTATCCAGGGGCCAGTTTGGTGAATTAAATAATTCCACCATTGTTGAAGGCATCAAAGTTTCATTACCTAGAGACAAATGAGAATTAAATATAATTCTTGCTTGATAATGATAGTAATTGATAACTCCATTTTTTTCTGTGTCTCTGCAAAATTTGAGATAAGTTCTCCACCACCTAATTTGAAACTGGGTAGCCATGTCTCCAAGGCCTAGGAAACTCCTCACTTGATATCCTGATCACTGTGCCAATTATTGACCAAAATAATGTTTTCTCATGCTGTTGAGATGCCCAACTCTTGGCAAACAGGAATCACCTCAGTTTTTTAGCAGGTCCTTGGAAAGGTACCACACAGAACAGTGCAAGGCGGTTCAGAACTGGATAAGTAGAATAATTTTCTACTGTATTTTCTATAAATTGACTTAGTTACTGTGGCTGTGATTGAATTATCTCCACAGAGTAGCATTTGAGGGGGGGATTATGAAGCAATGGATTGTGGGAACTGTGTGTGTGTGTGTGTGTGTGTGTGTGTGTGTGTGTGTGTGAAAGAGAGAGAGAGAGAAACAGGATGGGTGAGGCAATGTCAGTAGGTATTTAATACAGAAAGCATGCATCGAAAGTTTTCCTAGTATGTACTACTTAAGCATCCCTTTTATCTTAAAATTGTTAGAATTAGAGGTAAGAATTGCTTTCCTTGGGAAGGTCCCACTTATTATTTCTCCTCTTTTTTTTTTCTTTTTCTCCTATGTATCCCTGCCACTTGGAATGCTAATTTACACTTCTAATAATTTGTAGTTGATAAATCACATCCACACTCATTATCTTATTGCTCTTTGCCCTGACCCTGTGAGTCAGGATAGACTGGCACCTTTGTACCCATTTAATAAATAAGGAAACTGAAGGTCAGAGATCTTGTGATGAGATTAAGCTCACGTACATAGCAAATATGCCACCCGCTGGAAGTCAGGTCATGTGAGTCTATCTCAGTCCACTTTCTCTTAGACACAGGGCCAGCTGGTCTGTTAATTGCTGGGTTTGGGGGATTTTGTTTTTGTTTCTTGAGGGATGAGGTTTTGGCTTAAAAAGTAAGAGCACAGTATCAGCCAGCCATAAAAACACAAACTGAAAAACAAGTATTACTTTCCAGGATGTTAGGAGAACAAATGTTCCATGCCACACAGAATTATACTGTTTGCAACTCCGTTTGGCACTTAAACTGAAATGTATTTTAAAATGATGGTATCATCACTCTCATGACATTAAAACTGACCAGATCTGGAGTAATGCATTTGGATAGCTCCAGATGTTGCTCATCTAGTGGGTCATTTCCCCTCATTGTATCCACAAAGTGGTTGCTGAACAACACTATCCTTGTGGATTTCTGGTACCTGATTGAAATTTTCCTGGACACTTTTCTACTTCCTGACTGCAATTTAATTGATGCAGAAATATAAACTGAATGTGGCTTCTGGCTTTGACATGTCCCCAAATAACAAGATGCTTTTCCCCTAAACCTAACAGCTGGCATCCACAGAAATATCTGAAAACATCCTTCAATAAAGTTTATGAAAAAATATCCACCACAAAATGCTATTTTGACAGCTGTTCAAGTCACAAGCATCTAAAGTGAACTTACTTAAGCCCCTAAATTTTATATTTTTAAATCGATGGATTGTATGAAATTGCCTCACCTGAGCTGATTTATCTTTTGTGAGTTCACACTTTCAAACGTAAATATTTGTCTTGAATTACAGCACAAAAACTTGTAGAAATGCTTAATTGTTCTTTTCTTGGGAGTTATGATGAATTTTAAAACATATTTTGAATATTTATTTTCTCACAGATTCATTAATCTACCTCCCCATTCATGATCCATGTTTGAACTTAGTATATAGAGCTTCGATCTTTGGTATTGTCAAAGACTACAGCTCCATGAAGTCTTTTTAAAAAAATTACAGGTTTATAGATACGTAATTTATATATCACACAATTCACCTATTTAAAGTGCACAATTCAATGGTTTTTGGTATGCGCATCCATAACCACAATCAATTTTAGAATATTTCATCACCCCCAAAAGAGACCTCACACCCATATGTCGTCGACGAGATAGTCTTTTTTTTTTTTTTTTTTTTTTTTTTGAGACAGAGTCTCGCTCTGGTGTCCAGGCTGGAGTGCAGTGGCACAATCTACAACTCACTGCAACCTCAGCCTCCTGGGTTCAAATGATTTTCCTGCCTCAGCCTCCTGAGAAGCTGCAATTATAGGTGTGCACCACCACGCCCGGCTAATTTTTATATTTTTAGTAGAGATGGGGTTTTACCATGTTGGCCAGGCTTGTCTCAAACTCCTGACCTCAGGTGATCCACACACCTCGATCTCCCAAAGTGCTGGGATTACAGGCGTAAGCCACTGCGCCTGGCCCCAGCAGATTAATACGTATGTTTATCTTATAGAAATACTCAGGATAATGTTTCATCAAATATCCGTGCACCTGTGGCCCAGGCAAGTCAACAAATAAAGTTACCATCACGAGTCCATCCTTTATTAACTTGATTCCCATATGCATCTCATTAAGCCATATTTAACCTCCAAACGAAGACAATAACAAGGTCATAATTCTGTTTAACATAACATAACTGTGATGTGTACAACTCAATATGCACCAATCCCTTCCCAGAGAGGAGGTAAAGTCCTTGAGTGATGTTTACTCTTCTCCTTCATATAACTTAAACACGATGATGTAAAATTAACAATACATAAACACTATAACAGAAAGTCAATATGTCTTATGTTACATGATAAGGAAATGAGAGGGAAGAAAACAAAGGTATTTGCTTTACTTTATACTCATACATTCATAACAAAATAAGGAGGAAATACTCATGGCAATTACAGTCCTTGTTTTTGTAGCTGGTCATGTGATCATAGCTGGTATTTATAACTACCCTCTTTTAGTACTCACATTTTGTATTTCCTTTTACCTTCAGCAAGCACCTTAGCTGGTCATGATATGTTACCTGGTGGGTGGCCAGGATCTTTATTCCTGAAGGATTTGGACCATTAGTAAAACTGCCTGGATTGGGTTGTTGTATCTTCCTGTTGAACTTAATCACAGGATATGTGATTGAGAGGCATCACCTTAAACGCTAAGAGATGCCCTAAGGAACCTGCCGTATTCCAGACAGACTCTTCCTTCCATCCATTATGGAGTAGCAGTCCAACTTCCTTGTGGTAGTCAGGATTATTCACTGTAACCAAAACAGTAACTCCCTTGTTTGTTTGTTGATTCAGAGGCATGAGGAGCCCAAAGTGGCTGGGTGGGCATCTTAACTTCTAGTTCAGTGGAATTGTTGTGTCTTCTGCTGGAAGCATTCCCTCCTTTGGAATCAAGACCTCTAGACCTTTAGATCATATGGTCTCTGGAATAGGAAACAAAAACTTTGCTGGTAGGTTACTAGGGGTAATAGTGAGTGGTGCCACTCCCATTTCCATCCCTTGATTCCTGGACCCGTGAAACCTGGCTATGGAAGAAATAGCAACATATATTGGATGCTGACTCAGAACATATATAACCTTCTGGAGAACCTTGCCCCAGGCCTGCAGAGTATTGCCACCTAACTGGCGCAGGAACTGAGTCTTCAAAAGGCCATTCTACTGTTCTGGCAAGGGAGCTGCTTCAGGATGGTGAATTCCATGAGCTTGGGTCCACTGCTATACTTCATTTGCTGTGAAGTGCATTGAGTTCCTCCATGAGAAGTAATGCTGTGTGGAATACCATGATGGTGGATAAGTCATTCCATAAGTTCATGGAGTGCAGTTGTGGCAGAAGCATTGCATGCAGGAAGGCAAATCTGTATCCAGAGTAAGCTTCTGTCTAGTAAGAATAAAACTCTCAACCAGGTATGGTGGCTCGTGCCTGTAATCCCAGCAGTTTTGGAGGCTGAGGTGGAAGGATCCCTTGAGCCTCGGAGTTCAAGATCAGCCTGGGCAACAGAGGAAGACCCTGTCTCTATTTTTTTAAAAAAAGAATAAAACTCTCCCCCTTCCATGATGGAAGGGGTACAATATAACCAATCTGCCACCAACCTGCTGGGTGATTACCTGGGGATTGATGTCGTATTGGGGGGATTGATGTCAGTATTGGTCTCTGCTGCTGGAAAATGGAGCACTCAGCAGTAGCCTGTAGCCAGGCTGCCCCTGGTAAGTGGAAGTTCATGTTGCGGATCCATGTGTTACCCCCTCCTCCTTACCATCATGGACACTTTGTTCAAGAGCCCACAGGGCTAGGGAAAGTGGCTGACTGGTATCCACAGAATGGGTCATCCTATCTACCTTATTATTACCCTCTGCTGATGTCACCCTTTGGTGAACATTCATATGGGACATAAATATCTTTACATTCTTTGCTCATTCGGAGAGATCTGTCCACATATCTCTTCCCCAAATTTCCTTGACAGGAATTTTCCAATCATATTCCTACCAATTTCCTGACCATTCAGTCAAACCATTGGCCACAACCCATGAATAGATATATAATCACATGTCTGGCTATTTCTCCTTCCAAGCAAAGTGCACAGCCAAGTACACTGCCCAAAGTTATGCTTCCTGGGAGGGCTGTCCTTCACCACTGTCCTTCAGGGATGTCTCACGGAAGGGCTATAGTGTCGCAGCTATCCATTTTCAGGCAATGCCTGGCTGTCAGGAGAACCACCTGTAAACAGCAGGTCAAACTCTTCTCTTCCTCTGTCAACTAGTCATTGGATACTCTCTATGAGGCCACAGGTGCAGGCTGAGAGAGAAACACAGTATCTTATAGTAGGGAGGGGGACCACAGGCATTTGGGCCCCTTCTTCATGTAACTTACTTGTGCCTTCAGGACTTGCATGGACTTAGTTACGTATATACCACTCCCATTTGATGGCGGTATATACGTGACTTCAGGTGGTCCTTATTGATAGGTACGGAGAAAAAAGCATTTGTTGGAACAATAGCTGCATAGCAGATTCCAAGATATGTGTTAATTTGTTCAAGCAATGAAACCACATCAGTAGCACACCCAACTTTATGACTTGATGTATTAGATAACACCCAGCTCATGATGGTAGCTCAGGTCACATGGTAACTTGGTGGCCCATGGTCAATAATTCAGTCTCTACTAGGGCCCATGAGCAGGGTCAGAGCTGTTTTTCAAAAGAAGGGTGATGATCAGCAGAGAATGGGTCATCCTATCTCATTTGATTGAAGCAATCAAATTGGGATTGCTTCAAATCCCAAGGGCCTGCACTGCGATTCACTGGCAGAGGCCTGCCAAAAGCTCCAAACAGCACCCATATCTGCTGCAGACACTCCAGACACCACCACATCTGCTGGCTCACATGGCCGGATCAAGTGGCAGAACAGCTGGCACCGCAGCCTGTTGCAGAACCTCCCCTTGTTCTGGATCCCACTCAGAACCAGCTGCTTTTTGGGTCACTTGGTAAATGGGCTGGAGCAACACACCAAATGAGGAATCTGTTGCCTTCAAAATTTAAAGAAGCCCATTGGGGGACTATGCCTCTTTTTGGGTTGTAGGCTGGGCCTACAACAACTTACCAGGTACAACAACTTAACCTTCACCTTAGAAAGGATATCTAGACATGCCCCATGCCACTGGACCCCTAGAAATTTCACTGACATAGAAGCCTCCTGAATTTTTGTCAAATTTATTTCCCAATCTCTGACACACAGATGTCTTACCAATAAGTCTAGGGTAGTTGCAACTTTTTGGTTGGTAGTCCAATCAGCATTATGTCTTCAGTGCCTGAAACAGTGTTGTTGACTGTTTGCGCACCCCACAAATTCATACATTGCACCCTAATCAGCACCCCAATGTGATGATATTTGGAGATGGGGCCTTTGGAAGTTAATTAGGGTTAGGAGAGGTCATGAGGGTTGGGCCGTCATGATGGGATTAACACCCTAATAGGAAGAGGAAGATGAGTTCTCCTCTCTCTCTCTTCATGAATGCACCAAGGAAAGGCCATGTGAGGCCATAGCGAGACCCTACTGGGAGTCAAATCAGCCGGCATCTTGATCTTGTACTACCCAGACTCCAGAACAGTGAGAAATAAATTTCCCCCACTTGAGTCACCCAGTCTACGGTATTTTGTTATGGCAGCCTGAGTTGACTAAGGCAAGTGTGTTATCTTGCAAAAGGGAAAGAAGATCACGATCCCTGCAGACAAAATTATGACATAGGGCTGGAGAGTCTTGATATACTCCTGAGCTAGAATAGTGAAGGTATATTTCTGGTCTTGTCAGCAAACTGAAAGCAAACTGCTTCAGGTGGTCCTTATTGACAGGTATGGAGAAAAAAAGCATTTGTTGGATCAATAGCTACATACCAGGTTCCAAGATATGTGTTAATTTGTTCAAGCAATGAAACCACATCAGGTAAAGCAGCTGCAATAGGAATCACTGCTTGGTTAAGTGTATGATAATTATGATAATTCACTGTCACTCTCTGAGATTCATCTTTCTTTTGCCCAGCCCAGATAGGTGAGTTGAATGGGGATGTGGCGGGAATACCACTTCTGCATCCTTTCAAGTCCTTGATAGTGGCACTAATCTCAGAAATCCCTCCAGGAATGCAGTATTTCTTTTGGTTACTATTTTCCTAGGTAGAGGCAGTTCTAATGGCTTCAACTTGGCCTTTCTCACCATCATAGCGCTCTTTCCACAGGTAAACAGAACCAATGTGGGGATTCTGCCAGATGATGTGTATATCTATTTCAATTACACATTCTGGAACTGGGGAAATAATTACAGGATAGATTCAGAGACCTAATGGGCTCCCTGTGAAATGGACTTGAGCTAAAACTACAGTGATTATCTGACTTTCATCTGATCTATTTTGACTGGTGGGCCACAGTGACATTTTGGGTATTGTGGAATTAGCATTCAGTAGTCCCTAAAATGTTTGATTATTTCCTTCTTCTCAGTGCACAATTGCCCTGGCAAAAAGCTGTATGTCCCTTTGGGTAAGACTGGAAAAAAGATTAACGTTATAAATTTTTGCAGGCCAGGAGTGATGGCCCACGCCTGTAATCCCAGCACTCTGGGAGGCTGAGGCAGGAGGATCACTTGAGCCCAGAATTTCAAGACTAGCCTGGACAACATAGGGAGAACTTGTCTCTACAAAAATTGAAATAAAAAAATTAACCAGGTGTGATGACATCTGCCTGTGGTCCCAGCTACTCAGTAGGCTGAGGTGGGAGGATCACTTGAGCCCAGGAGGTCGAGGCTGCAGTGAGCTGTGATCATGTCACTGCACTCCAGCCTGGGTGACAGAGTGAGACCCTGTCTCAAAAACAAACAAAAACCTGTTTTTTTTTTTGCAGTATACTTGGATTCTTCCTCAAGGGGACCTGGCCTCCCCTTCATTCAAGGATTCTGGGTCTGTAAACTGGCTCAAGGCTGGAAATTGCTTGAGGGGCCATGCTGTTGTTATGATTCAGGTTAGGCTTTTGTTCACTTGACTTAGAACTTTTCCGTTTATATAGATAAAGTAAGAATTTAATAGGCCTATTATCTATTCAATTCCAGAAGCATCATCTTCAATGAGCCAATGCCATAGGTCTGTGCAAGTCAAACCATTCTGATTGCTGCCTGGACCCTGTATGGTAACCATTCCCATCTTGCCTCTGGTGGTTGAGTGCTGCCCCTTGGCTCCTGCCACGCTGGAATCTACTCCCATTCCATTTAGGTTTTCCAGTTAGCGCTGTGGCTCCCATCATCAGGTGTGGACCACAGAGAAGAGCAATCGCAGAGCTCTTCAAGGATGCTGGGCTCCCCTCACAAATTTATTTCTCACAACACTGGTGAAAACTATATGTTTTGGTGAGTGAGCAGGTCTTAAATGACAAATCCACTATAACATTCCAGTCTCCTTACACCTTTCAATCCCTTCCTCTTCGTGAAACCAAGGCAGATCTGGCATTTCCCACTTGCTCACTACGGGTCACCTTCTGGTCCACATTTCAGCCATTCAACCAAACAAACTATTAGAGCCCTTTCTAATTTCCCAAGATACAACATTAAATTCAGACTCTGCTTTGTGAGTCCATATCAATAAATTTGACCTGATCCAACTTTACACTCCTTCCACCATTATCCCACATCTTTAATGTCATTCCAACATATGTTCACAGATTTCTATCTGTATAAATTAGAAAACTAAAGTAGTTCTTTTGGAGTATAGAATACCAACTCATGGATCACATTTTGTGCCTTATCTTTAGGGGTCTGTTGGCCCTTTAGTCTAGTTATAGGTCTAGAAGCAAAGAGAGGTGATGGGACGGGTCCTGAAAAGAATCAGCATTGTCTTCATGACAACTCCCTCAGGGACGTCATTACAGTTTCCTCAGGCCACACAGGATTAATTCTCTCAGACAGGGGTATGGAAGCTGCTGCTTTCACTGGGGTAGAGAGGCTGTTTCCACTCAAAGAAGACTTCAGAGAAGACTCATCAGAATTTAGGGGCTCAATGTCCCCATTCAATGTCTTCCCTCATGTCCCCATTCCAAATTGCAGGATTCATGCCTTCTCCATCAGTGTCCTCACTTTAACAGTGGACACCTTGTGATGCTGGGAGTTCAATTTGTGTCATAATCCAGTGAGTTGCAGGTTGAGATTCTGGGTTTGATTTTCAGCAATCTCGGTTCTGCTATAGGAGATAAGGGTCTCTTTCACAGCATACAGAGAAGCTCTTAGGTCATTTATGTGGTGTATGAGCTGCGAACTTGAATCCCTGGACTCATTCTACCCCACCCACCAGTTTGTCTAGCCACATTAAGAGCCATCCACCAATCTCACAATATTCATTATTTTGACAAAAATGTTCTAAAGTATCACATATACAGTCACATACAGCCTTGCTTCTTGTAAGTGGCTGATTAGAAGTAGCCAATGGTAATATTTTGTATATCTCTATTGCCAGAGCATGCCGTGGGCTATCAGTGCACTCTTTACTGCTGGAAATAGAGTCATGAGCATCTTTAAATCTAATTAGAGAAAATTGCAAATATCCCAGAAATCATTTAGAAAACTCGACCTTAAAACATTGTTCCTCTAGAAGCACGCTTGGCACCAAAATCTGTATTATCCTCGGTTCTCCAGAGAAATAAAACCAAAAAAAAAAAAAAGGATGTATCTATAAAAAGATATTTGCTATAAGGAATTGGCTCATGAAGTTATGGAGGCTGACAAGTCCTAAGATCTGCATTTAGCAAGCTGGAGATCCAGCAGAGCCGACAATTTAACTCCAGTCTGAGTCTGAAGGCTTGAGAACCAGGAGAGCAAATGGTATAGTTCCAGTCCAAAACTGGCAGGCTGGGGACCGAGGAAGAGCCAATATTTCAGTTTGAGTCTGAAGGCAGGAAAAAATTAAAACAATGTCCCTGTTCTGAACCCCTTCTCAGGCAGGAGGCGTTCTCTCTTACTTGCAGGAGGGTCGGTCTTTTTTTCTATTCAGGCCTGAGATTGGATAAGGCCCATCACATTCCAGAGGGGGCAATTTGCTTTACTCAGTTTATGGATTTAAACATTAAACTCATCCAAAAACACTAAGAACAATGTTTGATCAAATGTCTGTGTATCCTGTAGTCCAGTCATGTTGACACATAAAATTAACGCTCACGGTCACCCTATTTTGAAGCCCACCAGCACTGAGAACTTACAAGAAACATTTAGTGTTTTATGTCTAAATATGAATAGCCAGGGATCACTAAGCATCAGAGGCCAAGCCTCTAAGATGAAATGCAGAGCCCAAATAAGAGTAACTTGAAGGAAACAGAAGAAAATGTCGAAAACAAACTACTTGCTATTAGTTAATATCCTCAGAAAAGGTGAGAGTCAAGATGCATGTAAGAATGAGGGTGATAAAAAAATTAATATTCAGAGAACAAGAAAGAGCCTCCTGGATATTGAAACAAAGATGGCACAACCGTAAAACTAAATATGAAGGGTGACGTTGAAAAAAATCTTCCCCAAAGCAGAAGAGGACACTGAGACAGGAGTAGCAGCAAACAAGATAAGCAAATTAGAAGATCCATCAGTAATTATATCAGAGTGAGAAAACAGAGAAAGCAAGAGGAGAGGGAGATTATTTAACGATCAAAAAACCAAGACAGGCTGGGCAGGGTGACTCACATATGTAATCCCAGCACTTTGGGAGGCTGAAGTCAGGAGTTTGAAACCAGCTTGGCCAACATGGAGAAACCCAATCGCTACTAAAAATACAAAAATTAGCCAGGTGCGGTGGCGCACACCTGTAGTCCCAGCTACTTGGGGGCTGAGGCAGGAGGATGGGTGGAACCCAGGAGGTGGAGGTTGCAGTGAGCCGAGATCATGCCATTGCAATCCAGCTTGGGCAACAGAGGGAGACTCCCTCTCAAAACAAAAACAAAAACAAAACAAAACCCCAAAAAACCCAAGACAAACGATATGACTTTTGCTGAATTAAAGGATATGAATTTTCCTACTGAGTGGCCTACTAAGTGCTCAGCACAATAAATGCAGTGGGGGCCGGGGGGTGAGGGGGCATGTGACCCAAGCCAGAAGGACCCAAGCCTTCTAAAGGACAAAATTAGGATCAAGACAAGATGACTTTTTATGTGAAGTCAGGAAGGCATGAGCTCAGTGCTTCTGTTGGCTGTTTCTCTCCACATTTGGGGAAAGCCCATCTGTCTCATCCAGAGCAGAAATAAGAGATGGAAAGAGAGATGGAGAGGGAGGAAGAGAGAGAGAGAGAGAGAGAGAGAGAGAGAGAGAGAAAATACATTGTGTTGGAATCTCTTGTTTTCGTCATTTGTGAGACCAGACTCACCCTTCAGCACTTTCTTCTCTAGTGTGATGGGAACCAATACATCTTTCTTTTGGCCAAAACGTTTTGAGACTGTTTTCAACATGAGTGCGATGGGTGGTCTGTAATCCACAGACTGCAGGTGCTTGTCACTGTTCTAGCCAAACCCAAACCCACACACGCACACACATGTGCATGCTGTACTCCTCATCTGCAAACCACTGCTCAGAGGAAAGAAGTTCATTTAATCATTCATGAAAGCAGTTGCTCTTGACCACTTAGCGCATTGCAGACACTGTGCTGGTGAATGAATGAGGGTCAGTCTCTGCCTTTAAAGGGCTTCTTGTCAAAAAGCCTCCTGGTGAAGGCAGAAAAGCAGGCAATTTCATGTGGCTGAGATGTTGGGCACAGCACACTGAAGAAGGACATAGCAGGGGTGTCTAACGTGGCTTGGTGGTTAATGGTTAGGAAAAGCTTTCTGGGGATGTTTCTTTGGAGCTGAGTCTTACTGAGTAAGTAGGTGTTGCCCATGGGGTCAGGACAGGGAGAGGAGAGGGCGTCTTTGGAGAATTCCAGCAGTTCAGTGTGTCTGGAGTTGGTGGCAGGAGATAAGCCCGGGGAGGGCAGTGAGTGGGAGTTAGGTCATGAAGGAAAAAATAAATACAAATGTCAATGCAGTAAAGCTACCATTTAAGGAGATCACAAAAGGACAAAACTGCTCTTCTTAAATGCTTCCCTAGTACTCGGCGGCAGTTTGGCTGTGGTGAATATTGAACTGAGCATGACTTTTGGCTTTATTCATGTCCTGATATTTCAAAATGCCTTTTCTTTATGCCTTTTCTTCCTCAGCAGTTGCTTACCCAGTAGCAGCTAGACCCCAAGGGTAGGAAAACAGACAGAGCTTGGGTGAATTCAAAGACACTCTTGGCCTCCCCAGGTGCCCACTGGAGAATGCTGGATGACGGAGCTTTTTAGGACAGCCCGACTGGCCACACCAGGTGTAGTCAGGGTTCTGTCCTGAGAGAAGCAAGAGAGTGACAAGGAAAAGCTTATGAACCACGGTCAGTCTTGGGACATGCTCCTCCAGTGGCGCCATGGGCCTGTGCGTTGGTAAGCACCCTCCCAACACCCAGACCTCTTTTCTCTCTCTTTCTTTTTTTTGGCAAAACACTTTTTATTTTATTGTATTTTACATATGTAATGTGTACAACATGATTTTGTTGTTGTTTTTGAGATGGAGTCTTGCTCTGTCGCCTAGCCTGGAATGCAGTGGCGCAATCTCGGCTCACTGCAACCTCTGCCTCTTGGTTCAAGCAATTCTTCTGCCTCAGCCTCCCAGGTAGCTGAGATTACAGGCGCATGCATCACCACACCCAGCTAATTTTTGTATTTTTAGTAAAGACGGGGTTTTATCATGTTGACCAGGCTGGTCTCGAACTCCTGACCTCAGGCGATCTGCCCGCCTCAGCCTCCCAGAGTGCTGGGATTACAGGTGTGAACTACTGCGCCCGGCCTTGATGTTTTGATATTCATGAATATAGTGAAGTTATTACTACAGCCAAGTAAATCCCTCACCTTGCATAGCTACCTGCCTTTCTTTCCTCCCTTTCCTTCCTCCTCCCTTTCTCTCTCTCTCTTGTGATAAGAGTGCCTCAAATCTATTCTCTTAGCAAGTTTCTAGTATATTAGCTATAGTACTCATGTTGCACATTAATTAGCTTTCCTGATTTATTCACCCCTTTGACCCTTTGTACTTTTTTTTTTTTTTTTAGACAGAGTCTCGATCTGTTTGTTGCCCAGGCTGGAGTGCAGTGGCATGATCTTGGCTGGCTGCAACCTTCACCTCCCGGGTTCAAGTGATTCTCCTGCCTCAGGCTCCCGAGTAGCTGGGATTACAGGTGTGCACCACCACGCCTGGCTAATTTTTGTATTTTTAGTAGAGTTGGGGTTTCACCATGTTGCCCAGGCTGGTCTTGAACTCCTGACCTCAGGTGATCCACCCACCTTGGCTTCCCAAAGTGCTGAGATTACAGGCGTGAGCCACTGCACTCGGCCTACCATTTGACTCTTTGACCTACATTTCCCCATAGCTCACTCCTTCCAAACACCTGGTAATCATCTTCCTACTCTAGGTTCAACCAGATTATTGCAAATGGCAGATCCCTTTTCTTTCTTTCTTTCTTTTTTTTTTTTTTTTTGAGAGACATGTTACTGTCACCCAGGCTGGAGTGCAGTGGTGCCATCATAGCTCATTGCAGCCTCTAACTCCTGGGCCCAAGGGATCCTCCTGCCTCAGCATCTTGAGTAGCTGGGACTACAGGCACATGCCACCATGCCTGGCTAATTTTTAAATTTTTTTTTGTAGAGATGGAGGTCCTACTATACTGTCCAGGCTGGTCTTGAACTCCTGGCCTCAAGTGATCTTCCTGCCCTGGCTTCCCAGAGTGCTGATATTACATATGTGAGCTACTGTACCTAACCTGCCTGATAGAAACTTTAACAAAAAAGGTTTCTTATTGTATGAAGACTTCTGCAGCTTGCTTTTCTTATTCACCTTTAAGCTTCTAAAATGCCTGTTTTCATTAATAATATTTATCATTGAAGAAAACTGCAATGACTAGAGAAATAGTAAACCCATCTCAGCCACAAATTCAGCATGCTGGCCTATGGACATTTTCTTCCAGGGGTCCTAAAAGTTCTTTTTTTTTTTTTTTTTTTTTTTTTTTTTGAGACAGAGTCT
Organism: Homo sapiens; assembly: GCF_000001405.40. Lineage (NCBI taxonomy): Eukaryota > Metazoa > Chordata > Mammalia > Primates > Hominidae > Homo > Homo sapiens. The sequence goes on along the minus strand of NC_000006.12, from coordinate 154,557,046 downwards.
CGCTCTTTCACCCAGGCTGGAGTGCAGTGGCGCGACCTCGGTTCATTGCAAGCTCCGCCTCCCGGGTTCACGCCATTCTCCTGCCTCAGCCTCCCGAGTAGCTGGGACTACAGGCACCCGCCACCGCGCCCGGCTGATTTCTTGTATTTTTAGTAGAGATGGGGTTTCACCATGTTAGCCAGGATGGTCTTGATCTCCTGACCTCGTGATCCGCCCGCCTCAGCCTCTCAAAGTGCTGGGATTATAGGCGTGAGTGACCGCGCCTGGCCTGAAGTTCTAATGGGGCATAAAGATGCACATTTTCAGGCATTTACTTTGGACGGCTGATCATTGATCTTACACGTTGATAATTGTTTTTCTCCCTCACATTAAACCCACCTTTTTTTTAATTTTTAATTTTATTATTTTAAATTTTATTTTAAGTTCTGGATACATGCACAGAATGTGCAGGCTTGTCACATAGGTAAACATGTGCCGTGGTGGTTTGCTGCACCTATCAACCCATCACTAGGTATTAAGCTCCACATGCATTAGCTATTTATTCTGATTCTCTCCCTCCCCCCACTCTCCCACAGATCTGGGTGTGTGTTGTTCCCCTCCCTGTGTCCACGTGTTCTCATTGCTCAGCTCCCACTTATGAGAGAGAACGCGCGGTGTTTGGTTTTCTGTTCCTGTGTTAGTTTGCTGAGGATGATGGCTTCCAGCTTCATCCATATCCCTGCAAAGTACAGGATCTCATTCCTTCTTATGTCTGCATAGTATTCCATGGTGTATATGGACCACATTTTCTTTTCCAGTCTATGATTGATGGTCATTTAGGTTGATTCCATGTCTTTGCTATTGTGAATAGTGGTGCAATAAACATACATGTGCAAGTATCTTTATAATAGAATGATTTACATGCCTTTGTAAACCCACTTTTAAACGTGGAGAATGTTTTTTATTTGATGTCCTTCATAGAATCCTTACATAGCAGTAAAAAGTAGAAAACATTTAAATCTGAAGATTAATTATAAATTTTAAAACTCTGTTTTGCTGACTATATACGTGGTCAGAATATTTATATAGGCTGGGCACAGTTGTGCACGCCTGTAATCCCAGCACGTTTGGAATACCAAGGTGGGTATTGGGTGGATTGCTTGAGCTCAGGAGTTTGAGGCCAGCCTGGGCAATATGGTGAAACCCCTCTCTCAATAAAAACAAAACAAAACAAAACAAACTACTTATAGAGCAGTTTCTGCTCGTATGAAAGAAAGACAAGTAACAAAATCTTGTCTCTTTCCCAGAAAATAATGATAATTATAGGAACTGCCAGTTTAAACCCTAGAAGAAATTTTATAAGGACATGCACCTCCCCTCTCAGGTTCCAGGAGAACACTTTTTGGGTAGTGCCAGGCCTAGGGGTGGGATGGGTTTCCCAGGGTGCCCCAGCTATGCCTGAAGAATTCAGGAATGTTAGATTACACTCAGTTACCAAAACAGTCCTGTGTCAGCTAGGCCTGTGCAGAAAGGTGAATGAATGCTTGTGCTTTGGAATTCCCCCCCACCCCCACCCCACCCACCAGCCTTCTCTCTCGCTCAGTAATAAAACAGAGCTCATGCTTGCTATGGGTGTTATTGCTCTTCAGGATTACACATTAATCCATACTGTGTAATTACTTTACAGCAACTTTGTTCTCTTAATTGTGCTGAGGCATCTGAGGAATTTGACATTGCCGTGGTGAGGTTGGCATTTGTTTATACCAACAACACACACCATTAAGAAGCTTAAGCTAGCAAAAGCCTAATGCATTAGAGATGCCATGGCTCAAATATGAAATCATATCACGTAGCGTAGCTTAACCCGGGCACCAAGCTGTGATGTTTTATGAGTAAAAGGAGTCACTCCCCTTAGGCTAGGGCATGGTTAAGTTGAACACAGGAATGACATCATCTTGACTTTGCCTGGGCATTTGGCCGTGTATATCCTGTACGCTGCATCTTTAATAATGGGAAAAGTCATCCTGTGTCTTTCACCATGAGAAAGACAAGAAGTCAGGCTTAAATTGAATTAAATACAAATCATCTTCAAAATCTGAAAACTGTGCCTCACAGAATTGGACTAAAAATAGCCTTTATCTGAACCAGTGCAGAGAAGATCTGTGATTGTCCACATTTCCCCCATCCTTTAGCTCCGGATGACACTGTAGAGACCACTGAATGTGGTGCTTGTGGGACAAAGGGTGGGGCTGAAGCGTAGCTCCCCAAAGCCTCTGCAGAGATAGCATGGGAGTGAGGAGGAGGGCTCTGCAGGTGGACCTGTGGCTGTGAAGTTAAAACATTGACCCTCCGTGGATCACAAAAAATGCAGTACTGCTGTTTCCCATGTGCACTTTGCTCAGTAAAGTAAGGTCAGGGCGCAGGGAAGAAACTCGAAGGGGAGGCAGAACCCCAGAGCTAATCCTGACTCACTGTTAACTGGCTCTATGGCATTGGGCATGAAATGGAACCATTTGGGAAGTTTCAAAACATACGGATTTGCACCTTTAAAAAATAAATTGCACAGTACTCTCTTTCCAGAGACGTTAAGATAATGGGAAAACAACTGCTCCTGGGAATGGAGAGATGAGGATCTGAATCTTGGCTCTGTGATGGAATTTCTGAATTGCCCAGGCAAGTTACTTACCTCTTAGGGCTTCCATTTCTTCACTCTTAAATAATGCCAGCGACCTCATAGATTTAGTTCTGAATTAATGAGATGATATTCGTAGTGCAACTGGATCATTGCCTAACGTTTTAGTCCACTTGTGCTGCTATAACAAAATATCATAGACTGGGCGGCTTGAACAACAGATACTTATTTCTCACAATTCTAGAGGCTCATAAGTCTAAGATCAAGCTGCTAGCAAATTCGGTTTCTAGTGAGGGCCGGCTTCCTGGCCGGTAGACAGCCACCCTCCTTGCGGTGTCCTTACACGGACTCTTCTCTGTGTGTGCTCATGGAAAGGTGATCACTGTCTTCCTCTTTGTAGAAGGGCACTAATCCCATCAAGGAGCTCCACTTTGATAACGAAATCTAAACTTAATTACCTCCCAAAGGCCCCACCTCCAAATACTATCACATTCGGGATAAGGGTGTCAATACACTGTTTTTTTCTTTTAGATGGAGTCTTGCTCTGTTGCCCAGGCTGGAGTGCAGTGGTGCCATCTCAGCTCACTGCAGCCTCCACCTCCCCGGTTTAAGCGATTCTCCTGCCTCAGCCTTGAGAGTAGCTGGGATTATAGGCACCCACCACCACGCCCGGCTAATTATTGTATTTTTAGTAGAGACAGGGTTTCACCATGCTGGCCAGGCTGGTCTCAAACTCCTGACCTCAGAAGATCCACTCGCCTTGGCCTCCCAAAGTGCCGGGATTACAGGTGTGAGCCGCTGCGCCCGGCCCAATAGACCAATTTTGAAGGGGCATATTTAGCCCATAACACTTCACAAATAGGAAGTACTCAGTAAACAGTAAGAATTATTATTATCTGTAAAATGGGTAGGTTGGCTAACATGCTCTCTAGGGTATTTTCTAACTTAGAAAAAAATTCCAGGTAATGTTATTAGCAACTCCTTTGCCCCTGCGTAATATCTTCCTCGCTTCGGACCTCACAAGAACAGCACTCTCTTCCTTTCTGCCTTGGAAACTCCTTCCATGTCTGTGAATTAGCGCCACCTTTTATCCAGCCATTTAATCAAACACAACGTGCTTGTTCTATCTAATTGGTATCCTTCAAATCCATTCATTTCTCCCCATATCTACCCTACGAAGAACTAATGTTTAGACAATTATTATCCCTTGCATGAATTACTAACATTGCCTTTTAACTAGCTTCCTGCCTTCCAGAACTGTACTTCCTACTTTATCCACGGGTAACCATGAATGGATTCCAGGTGTGTTCATTCCCTCAACCCTCATGGCGGCTGGGTGGGGTCTGGGGCCACCTCTTCCTGTTCCCCCATTGTGCCATGTAATATTACCATTTTCCATGCATGTTGTGGGTGCAAAATCTGGGAGGCACTAGTGTCTAATCCACTCTGCACACTGCAGCCAAAATGATCTTTGAAAGGAAAAGTCAGTGGCTATCGTGTGCCTTTAAGATCAATTAAAATTCCTTAGGCTGATAGATTCAGTTCACTTCATCAGCTTTAATTTATATCAGGCTCAACAGGTATCTTGAGAAAATATTTTCCGAATTCCTTTAATTCTTTTTTTTTTTTAGCCTGCCAATAACTTAGCTTGGAGTGGTGAGCTTCTAGAATTTTCCCACAGTGTAGAGGAGACACTCCTGCCCCCAGTTATAGATGGAGTCAGAAAAGGGAACAGGATGTGGGGAAAGTAAAAGAGCCCACTGGGCTGGGCGTGGTGGCTCACACCTGTAATCCCAGCACTTTGGGAGGCTGAGGCAGGCAGCTCACGAGGTCAGGAGTTCAAGACCAGCCTGGCCAACATGGTGAAACCCCGTCTCTACTGAAAATACAGAAGTTAGCTGGGCGTGGTGGTGGGTGCCTGTAGTCCCAGCTACTAGGGAGGCTGAGGCAGAAGAATCGCTTGAATCCGGGAGGCAGAGGTTGCAGTCAGCCAAGATCGGGCCACTGTACTCCAGCCTGGGCGACAGAGCGAGACTCAGGCTCAAAAAAAAAAAAAAAAAAAGAGCCCACTGTACTTGGGTGGCTGAGGTAGAAGGATCACTTGAGGCCAGGAGTTCGAGGCTGTAGTGAGCTATGATTGCACCTCTGTTGTCCAGCTTGGGAGACAGAGTAAGACACTGTCTCTAAAAAAATAAAAAGAAATTAAAAAAAAAAAGAAAACCTACTGGTTTTCTGGTCCTGAGGATTCTTGGGAGGAGAAGGGAGAAAGAGTGTTTGTGCAAAATGAAAGAAGAGGGAGGAGAGGGAAGCTGCCAGTCCTTAAGTCTCTGGTGGTGGAGTGGGGTGGGGGCGGGGGACAGGGATGTTAATTAAATTAGTGGGTTACACCAAGAGGAAGGAGGGGAGCTATTGCCATACGTTTTCTAGGGCACAGCCTCAGAAATATATGGCAGTGTGAATATTTTTTAAGGCTCAACTTCAATTCCTATGTGGAACACAAGCCAGGTCCGTTGCGGGGCCTCCTGAGGCAGCGGGAGGTGAGCCTGGGGCAGAGGCTACTCGGAGGCTGGACACCAAGCTCAGGGGAAAACTGCCAGCAGAGCCAAAGTGAGGTGGAGTCCTGAGCAAGCTGGGAGGCCCAGCTCACAGGCTGCACCAACAGCTCACATGACAAGCAACTCCAGAATCATGCTCTGGGGTCTGAGAACCCGTGTCTCCCTGAAACCTCACAGGTACCTCTATTACACACCCTTCCTCCTGTGCACCTGGACAGCCTCTCAAAAAAGAATCAGGCCCGGACACAGTGGTTCACGCCTGTAATCCCAACACTTTGGGAGGCCGAGGCAGGTGGATCACCTGAGGTCAGGGGTTCAGGACCAGCCTGGCCAACATGGCGAAACCCTGTCTCTACTAAAAATTCTAAAAATTAGCCAGGCATGGTAGCAGGTGCCTGTAATCTCAGCTACTTGGGAGGCTGAGGTACGGAGAATTGCTTGACCCTGGGACGTGGAGGTTGCAATGAGTTGAGATCGCGCCACTGCACTCCAGCCTGGGAGACAGAGGGAGACTCCGTCTCAAAAAATAAAAAAAAATAAAAATAAAAAAGAAAGAAAGAATCAGAAGAGAGGAGGCTTCTCAGAGATTGAGCATTTTTTTCCAAGAGAGACTTGGCATTCCGTAAACAGTCTATTTAAATCATTGGACTGTATTATGCATTTAACAGACTTGAGCATTAACTTAATTAATTTTTCCTTCGACTGTTGAAGACTTAGGGAAAGGACTAAAATAAAGAAGTTACCATTTTCTGCACATCTCAATTTGAGTGTGTGACACACTTTGCAAACCTGTTATATTTGCAAAGCTCAAAGCAAAGCAATGGTTTAAGGTGGCATGCAAAACTGACAGTTCTCTTTTCCCATTTCTCCTCTTTACTTCTGCTTCTCAGGTTTTGCAAAGTCAGCAGAGAATGGAAGGCAATGTTCTGAGATTACACATTTGGGCAATTGATTGAATGATGCTGTAACACACAAGACTGGAATGGAGTTGAGACTGGGAACCTGATTATGAGCTACATTTTGGACAAGTTTAACTTGATGTAATTATGCATTACCAGTATCAAGCTATGTCTTGCAAATTGTGGGTATCTACTTGGAGCTAAAGAGATTGGGACAGGAGATATAGATTGGAGAGTTTTCAACATATGAGTGATAAATGAAGCTGTTGGGATGGATGAGATCCCTTCCAATGAACAGTAAGAACATATATTTTTGGTAGAGAAAAGGGCTAATGATAAAGACTGAGAAAAAAGAATGTTAGTAAAATGGCCAACTGGGAAAAAGTGACAGAGCTGTGAAAGGCAAAAGAAGGTTCTTTCTTTCTTTTTTTTCTTTTTTTTTTTTTTAAGATGGAGTCTCATTCTCTCACCCAGGCTGGAGTGCAGTGGCGTGATCTCAGCTCACTACAACCTCTGCCTCCCCAGTTCAAGCAATTCTCCCGCCTCAGCCTCCCAAGTGGCTGGGATTACAGGCACATGCCACCACGCCCAACTAATTTTTGTATTTTTAGTAGAGATGGGGTTTCACCATGTTGGCCAGGCTGATCTTGAACTCCTGACCTCAGATGATCCGCCCACCTTAGCCTCCCAAAGTGCTGGGATTACAGAAGTGAGCCACCATGCCCGGTGAAGAATCCGTTTATTTAGACATTCTCTTCTTAGGCATTTTTAAGTTTTTCCACTGCTGTAATACCACTGTGTATTTTTCACTTTCAGCCTTCTCTTCAAACACTTTTTTTTGGGAGAATCTGCATCACTGTCTCTGTTCCTGCTTCCTTATCCTCTCCAATGAGAAGATCCAATGTATCTCCCACTTTGACCATTCTGCTTTTCTTCCATAATTTTTCCCCATTCAGCCTGAATTCACCTTTGCAGAATGCATCTTCCACTTTGTTTCTTCCAATATCCAGGCTTGTCTTCAGGACAACGTCATCCTGAAAAGACCGCACTACTGTTTCCAGGTCTTGATAGTCTTTGCTATAGTAAGGCCATCCTCAAGCTCCTCTTCCTGCTCACTCATCTCGTTCTGATCACTTTCTGCATCAGAGTCCTCCTCATCTCCTATTTTTTGCAGATACTTTTTAGTAGATTTTGTAGAGCTTATATTACTTTTGAGTCTTATGGAAAATGGAAAAAAATATTCCAGAGATATTAAAAGCCCCGGGAGTCTCAGTGAGAAAATGTTATAGAAAAGTGTATTATAATTTGGTGCATGTAACTTGGTACTAGAAAAATACAAGTACTGATTCCAGGAAGTACAGAGTTTGTGTGATGAAGGTGTTCCTCAGAGAACACCCGAGAGTCCAATCCAGGTATCTGGCTTTCTTAAAACACCAGCATGCAATTTGACACTAGTCATAGCCATGGCACTTATAACCTGTATGTCAGGGCCTCCGAACAGACTCCTTTTTTCCTCTGAAGTCCACAATGCTTACTGTTGGAGAACCGTCTATTGGAGATGAGAGGAGACTCAGCGAGAAGAGTCAGGAGGCCCGCAGTGGGCGGGGCAGGAGCTGCTGGCGCTTGGACTAGCCCTAAGGTTTTGGCAGTGAAGATGCTGGGAAGTGGTAGAGCTGAGGACAGTTTTTGAGTGGAATTCCATCAGGACTTGATGGGTTTGGATGTGGCATTAAAGGGAAGCCTGGCTCAGAATAAAAGGGAAGTTGCAAGAGGATTGAATGATTGATAAAGAAGTCCCCAGAAGGGGTGGGAAAATGGATTCAGCATTGTTGTGTGTGTGTGTGTGTGTGTGTGTGTGTGTGTGTGTGTGTGTAGGGAGGTTAAGACTTGATCAAAGCCTGGGCAAAAAGCAAGATCCTGTCTCTGCAAAACATTTTAAAAATATTAGCTTGGCGCAGTGGTGTTCTCCTGTAGTCCCAGCTACAGGAGGCTGAGGCAGGAGGATTGCTTGAGCCCAGGAGTTCAAGGTTGCAGTGAGCTGTCATCATGCCACTGCACTCTAGCCTGGGCAGTAGAGCAAGATCCTGTCCCCCTCCTGAAAAAAAAAAAAAAGAAAAAGACTTGATTGGGATGCTTTTTTTTAGGCCCAGACAAGAAGGAATGGAACATGTAAACAGAGAAACAGTCTATGACTTTGACAAATTCCGGGACCTCTCTGAGCCTTTTCTGTAAAACAGAGGCTTGTTGTTGGGATTCACACAGCTCATAAGTGCCCAGGGCCTGGCATAATGCCCGGCACCATAGCAGGTAGGGAGAGAAAAAGAGCTTTGCAATGGGGACAGAAGAAGCTTGAGGGAGCCCCTTTCTCTGGATGATGTTCTCTTGGTGAACTAGGAGAGGAAATGATCCGAGGGCAGGGGCCTGGGGCAGGAGTGGCTTTGGGGGCAGGAGAGTGATAATATTTAGAAAGCTGCCGCCGAGGAGGCTAAGGAAGATCAAGGGCTATGACTTCTGAGGGCCTTGCTGTGATTCAGTTATGTTTTTTTCCCCCTTGAAGCATTTTTTTAAGCCAACTGTTTCATTGAAAACTGAAAGTCTCTCTGTACAGAGTCCAAAAACAACAGAAGTCCTATTACAATGATAAGACTTGACAGGAAAACAGCACTCAAGGGAGCTGTTCCCAGGCCGCCCTGGGTAGGAGGCTTCTCTAGTGACACTGTCCTTCCCCATCCACTGCAAAGACGGACGTGAGCCTGGTCCAGGCTGGGGACTCTGAATTGACTGTGCTGTGTAAAAGGGACAGAAGGGTTCCAATGCCAATTTACTTCCAATCCATATGTAGGTTTCCTTTACAGAGGGCCATGGGGTTAGGTCATATCCAATTTGAGGGAGTGAGGAATAGGCTGGCATGCAGTGTTTCGATATATAATTTATATGGCAGCTGGGCACAGTGGTTCCTATCTATAATCCCGCCAGTTTGGGAGGCAAAGGCGGGAGGATCGCTTGAGCCCAGGAATTCAGGACTAGCCTAGGTGATATAGTAAGACCCCATCTCTACAAAAAAATAAAATAAAATAATTAGCTGGGTATGGTAGCATGTGCCTGTATTCCAAGTTACTCGGGAGGCTTAGGTGGGAGGATCGATTGAACCCAGGAAGTCGAGGCTTCAGTGAGCCATGATCGGGTCACTATACTCTAACCTGGGTGACAGAGCAAGGTCCCGTCTCAAAATAGATGAATAGGCCGGGCGTGGTGGCTCACGCCTGTAATCCCAGCACTTCGGGAGGCTGAGGCAGGCGGATCATGAGGTCGGGAGATAGAGACAATCCTGGCTAACACAGTGAAACCTCGTCTCTACTAAAAATACAAAAAATTAGACAGGCGTGGTGGCGGGTGCTTGTAGTCCCAGCTACTCGGGAGGCTGAGGCAGGAGAATGGCGTGAACCCGGGAGGCGGAGCTTGCAGTGAGCCGAGACCGCACCACTGCACTCCAGCCTGGGTGACAGAGCGAGACTCTGTCTCAGAATAAATAAATAAATAAATAAATAAACGAAATAATGAATTTATATGGCACTAGGCCTCAACTAGGATTTATTTTAATAGATTTAGTTACCCAGTTCATTCTTTTTCTACCCATTAAGAAAACATATATTGACAGCATTTAGTATGCATAAAATATTCCTGTCCTAAAGAACTACTTAAAAATCCTAAAGAACTACTTACAAATTTCCCTTCTAGGTAGTTTCCTTTGCACAACTAATATGCATAATAGCACCATTGAAATACTGTGCTTTTATTTTCTCAATGTCCATGATTTTTGGATGACGTAATTAAGTGAATTAAACATATTTTGTACTTCTTAGTTTCTTTCTATAAGAAAATAAAATGGCTGGGAGCAGTGGCTCATGACTGTAATCCCAACACTTTGGGAGGCTGAGATGGGAGGATTGCTTAAGGCCAGGAGTTCAAGACCAGCCTGGTTAACATAGCGAGACCCCATCTCTATTAAAAAATAATAAGTAAAAGAAAAAATGTATAGTGTTTTCATGTAGCTATTAACAAAAGAAGCTAATTTAATCCATTGTGATACTGATTTCAGTTTTTCTTTTCTATAAATCACTGTAGCTTATTTTAATGAAACAACTTGTGAAATTTCCTGAAGGACTGTTATTTTTCCTTCCCTTTGTTAATTTCACATACTTTCAAATTTAATTTAGCAACTTGAGACTTCATTAACTTATTTCTTTATTTGTTAAAGTTGTTTATCCTTAAAAAGGGTTTGGCCAGGGCATGGTGGCTCACGCCTATAATCCCAACACTTTGGAAGTCTGAGGGGGGCAGATCACGAGGTCAGGAGATCAAGACCATCCTGGCCAACATGCTGAAACCCCGTCTCTACTAAAAACACAAAAATTAGCTGGGTGTGGTGGTGCGTGCCTGTAATCCCAGCTACTTGGGAGGCTGAGGCAGGAGAATCACTTGAACCAGGGAGTCGGAAGTTGCAGTGAGCCAAGATGGCGCCACTGCACTCCAGCCTGGCAACAGAGCGAGACACTGTCTCAAGAAAACAAAACCAAAAAAAAAAAGAGGGGGGGTTTGTTCCACAGAAATGAGATATCCAGAATGAATTTATGACTTTAGACTTATGTTTCAGTTAGGAAGTAATGTCTCTGCTGAAAGGGAGAAAAATACATCTTCAACAACACAGCTCTTTTTGGCCTATCTTGGAAAGTGTCCTTTTCCTGTTAATAGCAGTTAGTAGAAGACTCATAAGAAGAGATGGAAAGAGATTATGTGAGAGTTTTTTAGTGATGCTGTCTCCCCGATTTAAGGTACAAGAAATGCATCCACAATCCAACTGTTCATGTTCTATCCAGATTCTCAGTTTGAAAATATGAGCAGAGAGCAACATGATTGCAATCCTTGGAATATATAGTCTTCTCTGTGTTGCTGTGACTCTCTTTGGCAGTCCAGGTGATACAATTTTCCGTATTATTCCTGTTCAGTTAAAGTGAAGATATAAGTTATGTAGATGTTAATGACACCTCTGTATTGAGTTCTGTGTCTATCAATAAATGATGCCACACGAGCAAGCTGGAAAGCAGCAGACTTTGCCAATTGCCAATATTTTAATCTATATTAGAACACTATTTGCTTTAATAATTAAAGATAATTTCTTCCTGTAATCCCAGCACTTTGGGAGGCCGAGGTGGGCGGATCACCTGAGGTCAGGAGTTCGAGACCAGCCTCAACATGGAGAAACCCCGTCTCTACTAAAAATACAAAATTAGCCGGGCGTGGTGGTGCATGCCTGTAATCCCAGCTACTCGGGAGGCTGAGGTAGGAGAATTGCTTGAACCTGGGAGGCGGAGGTTGCGGTGAGCCGAGATCATGCCATTGTACTCCAGCCTGGGCAATAAGAGCGAAACTCCGTCTCAAAAAAAAAAAAAAAAAAAAAATTTCTTGCTGTTTTTTGGACTGTGGTCAAATCCATAGAGTAAACTCTGAGATTAATTCAGCTTGAACCTCCAAGCATGTTCAATTTCCATTCTTGAGGAAGTTAAAATGTTTATTTTTTGGCAATCTTTATCTCCTGATTAATTTTACGATTCCTTCTTTAAATTCTGCCTTCATGATCACAACCATATTATGGTTCGACATTTGAACAATGGTAGCACATTAGCCATTGTATAGAGCATAGGTTGGGGATGGAAAAGGGGGAAATAAAAGCATTAGGAATCCAGATGTTCTGGTCACCAGAAAATGGACTTATAGTATCTGACATGGTGACAATGAGAAAACTTGTTTAGCAGTCAGGCTCAGGGAATCATGAAATTTCTGAGCTCTAGAGAATCTTAAATTTGCATACTGTACAATCTAATACATCTCTCTTATGTTCATAGACAATGTAAGAGGAGGGGGTGGTGTTGTGGTTAGGGACAGAACCAGAATGGAATCCTCCAGGGTTCAATTCAATACTCTGTTTACTATACAACAGATCCTGTAAATAAAAGAATTGGGGCAGGATTTTGCAAACAAGTATCACCAAGTTCTCTTTGCTGATTCCCGTTTTGTTTGGAACTTGGAAACTCTGAACCAGGTATGGCTGCTCAGGTAGGGTCAAAGCGGGGAAGGAGTTGAGATTTTCTTTGATGTATTTCACGGTGTTAGAGTCTGCAAACTGGAACTAATTGAAGTTAAGAGACTTGGAATCTAATCTCAATTTTGACATTAACAATTTTAGGCAAATCACTAACTTGTCAGTAGTTTAGAGGCTTCCATTGTAAATTGGTGATTTGGCCTAAATCAGTGGTTCTCAAACTTTCTGGCATGCATCAGAATCACCTGGAGGCTTGTTAGAAAGGACTTGGCTGTGCCCAATGTCCCCTAAGTTTCTGGTTCACTAGGTTCAGGTGGGGCCTGAGAATTTGCCTTCCTCGTAAGTTTGCGTATTGTCTGAGCACCCCATGTTGAGAACCGGTGGCCTACAGATCATCTCAAAGGTCTTTTCCTGTATGAAAAATTATTAATTTTTTACCTCAACCTTTTCAGCAAAGGGAAGTTTATACTTTCATGGTGCTTGGAGTGGGTAGGGCAGGGAGGTGTTTACTTTTATTTTTTTTTGGTGAGACAGAGTCTCACTCCTTCACCCAGGCTGGAGTGCAGTGGCACAATCTCGGCTCACTGCAACCTCGCCTCCCGGGTTCAAGTGATTCTTGTGCCTCAGCCTCCTGAGTAGCTGGGATTACTAGGTGTGTGCCACCACACCCGGCTAATTTTTGTATTTTTAGTAGAGACAAGGTTTCACCATGTTGGCCAGGCTGGTCTCGAACTCCTGACCTCAGGTGATCCGCCTGTCTTGGCCTCCCAAAGTGCTGGGACTACAGATGTGAGCCACCGCGCCTGGCCACGAAGGGGTTTATTAATGAAACCAAGTTTTGTGAGATCTTCCGATGAGAGACACAAGTTATTTGAAGTATTATTTTAATATAGTGTTATGTAGAAAGCTACAAAGTTGTTGTAAGGGGAATGTGAGATATTCTACCTATCTGGCGAAAAGAAAATGTGGAGGAACTGTATCATACTGAGTGCATTATCGGCTTTAAAGTAGTGTCTTACCATGGAAACTCATCTCAAAACAAACTTTATTTATTTAAGTTGGAGTCAGTGGGAGTTGCCAACAAGAAAAAAATAGTTGTGAATCAGAACACTAAGTGAAAAAACATAAAACAAGAATTTGATGTTACTGCTATCTAAAGAATTCTTCAAGTAAGAATTTTTCAGTTACGTTTTATTGATTGATGTTCTTTCATAGTTAAAATAGCGTGAAGCCATGGTTTTAATCCCGCCTTACTCCTTTTTTGAGCTTGAATGCAAATATGCTTGGTTTTTTTTTTTTATTGCATTAAAGGCAATACTTTAATCATAACAAAGTAAAATGGGGAGTCCAAATGTATACAGTCAGTTCTTTGTTCCTGTTAGATATCACAGTTTGGCTTGTAGCAATCTCTCTTCAGGAATATGTATTGGCTGAGGTTAGCTGTGTATACTGGGAGTTTCAGGGATTACAGTTACTTTATGTACTATATGGTAACTCAGTTGCTGAGTGGACATACCACTTGCTTATTACACACTGCTTATTTGTTTTAGGCCCCGTTTTTAATAATAAATATTCCCAAGAGTTGGAACGCATCTTGTAAAAAGTAAAAATTGTATTTAAGATAGAAAAATATGCCCCGATATAAAATAATGTATTTTGCATTTGTTTAATCTAAAAATGACCACAGATCTTATGTAGGCCACTTAAAAAGGCGTGCCTTTTTTCTGGTCAAAGTTAAATGCGCTGGTGATCTACTTTTGTCTTAATGAGCTATGACCCTTGTAAAATGTAAATGTATAGAAAAGAAAGAAAATCAGCATACACCTCCCAGAGGCTTTCTGTTGGCTGAATAACAAAGCTAATGTTTTACCTTGTTTTCACTGACACAGCCGGGGGGAAGCCGTGGGAGGAAGGGTCTTGCCATGAAAGCGAGCCTGGTTGATCATTTAAAGACCATCTGGGAAACTTGTCTGCAAAGAGCTGGTGGGTGCCCTGGACACTAAGTGCCTGGTAGGGCACAACCATTGTCCTCACAGGAACACAAAGAGGAGCTCTGCAGCCTGTGTCGAGGTTCATCAGAGCTCCTTCTGGAGGAGAACAGGAATCTTTGGGAACTAATTCAGGAAGGTAAAGAAATTGTTTTCTTCAAAAGGATCTGGTCCTACCTCAATTGCTTTTGCTGCTTGTTCTTTTGTTTCAAATTTCACAAACGCAAATCCCTTTGGATCTCCAGTAGACTTATAATGTGGTATACCTACATAAACAACATTGCCCCATTTCCCAAAGACTCTTTCAATCCAGCTGTGATTAACATTTTTGGGAAGTAACTCCTATGATAAATTAAAAGCAATGTTAGAGTTTTTCACAATCAGAATGTCAATAAATTTTTAACTTAATTAAAAAAAGACTTTCTCTTTTAAGTCAGATTGATTTGACATGATTCGATGGTTTTGTTTGAGAAGTAATTATATCAGAAATTTAGAATGCATCTCATCACAGCTACAATCAAAATGTTAGAGAAGTGTTGGCGAGGATGTAGAGAAATTGCACCCCACACGCTTGGTTGGTGAAATACAAAATGGTGCAGCTGCTTTTGGGAAACAGCCTGGCCCTTCCTCAAATGGTTCAATACAGAGTTCCCATAGAGTGGGTCGGCAGTTCCGCTCCTCTTTCTTCCTCTCTCCCGCTTCCCACATACTTTCAGACCCTTCACACCGGAGTGTAGACTCTGTGAGAACCAGGTCTGGTCCTTTGCGTCACTGTCTCTCTCCAACATCTGGAACGAGTTCAGCACACAGCAGTGACTCAACATATTTTTAATCGAATAAATCAATAAGGAAGAGGCATACATACAGTGAGGTCATTAAGAGAATGGGCTCAGCCGGGCGCGGTGGCTCACACAGGTAATCCCAGCACTTTGGCAGGCCAAGGCGGGCGGATCACCTGAGGTCAGGAGTTCAAGACCAGCCTGGCCAACATGGTGAAACTCCGTCTCTACTAACAATACAAAAATTAGCCAGGCGTCGTGGCACATGCCTGTAATCCCAGCTACTCAGGAGGCTGAGGGAGGAAAATTGCTTGAACCCGGGAGGCAAAGGATGCAGTGAGCTGAGATCCTGCAACTGCACTCCAGCTTGGGCGACACAGGGAGACTCTGTCTCCAAAAAAAGATAAAAAGAGCGTGGGCTCTAGAGTTACCCTGCCTCGGTATGAATTCTGGCTCAACTTTTAACTGGAGGACCTTGCATTAGTTTACTAGGCCTCTTTGAGCCTCAGTTTGTTCATCTGTGAAATGGAATGGAAATAACACTTGGATTTTTGAGTGACAAGCGCTCAGCAAAAGCTTATTAAAAGTAAAGAAAATTCATTTCACAAAGGGTTAATAAGAATTGACTGCATAACCCTTTGTATCATGTAATATGGGGCATCATCTCTATAGATGAGTAAGATGTGGTCCCTGGCTACAAGATTATAATAAACTTTCACCCTAGTAGGAAAGAAATCTATAAAAGCCAAGAAAACGGCCTAGGTTTATGAAGAGTACACCAAGGCAAATGTACCACATTAGAAATCACACATTAGCAAAACTTACAATGTTCCCAAAAATGAACACAAAGGGAGACATAGTAATTTTGAAATAAATTTCTCTCTCAAAAATATTGTGTCACCGGTGAAAATGGTGATTTCTGTATGTTTCAAGTGGATAGGTTTTGGTCATCATGAAAATTTTATTTCATGCCTGCCTAATGTATCTCATTGGAAAACAATAAAAATTAGTACATTGAACTAAATATGTCAGAATGAATTCAAAAATACACTGCATTTTTGTCTTCCACTCTTCCTTTACAATGTATTCAGAGGGATTATTTTCCCTCCCATCCCTGGATCGTAACTTAGGCCGGTCCTGTGATTATGGGGCTCACTGTTAGATAATTGCAGTCCTAGTAGATTGCAACCCCAGTATCTCTACTAGGTTGTCTTCTTCCTCCTAGACTTAGGCTATAGAAAACACTATAGTAGGCCGGGCAAGAGTGGCTCACACCTGTAATCCCAGCACTTTGGGAGGTTGAGGCGGGCGGATCACAAGGTCAGGAGTTCGAGACCAGCCTGGCCAACATGGTGAAACCCCATCTCTACTGAAAAAAATACAAAAAAATTAGCTGGGTGTCATGGAGGGTGCCTGTAATCCCAGCTATTTGGGAGGCTGAGGCAGGAGAATCACTTGAACTCGGGAGGCAGAGGTTGCAGTGAGCCAAGACCACACCACGCACTCCAGCCCAGGCAACAGAGTGAGACTCTGGCTCACAAAAAAAGAAAAGAAAAGAAAAGAAAACACTACAGTAAAGAATTCACAGTTAAGAAACTTAACACCGTATGGGAAAACAAAATACAGATGGGAGACTGGGGCTATGACTTAATATATTGTATCCTTAGATTTACTAACTGTAGCTAATGACAACCAAATTAGGGAGAGTAGTTGGTACGAAAACTTCACAAGCTTCTGCAGGAGTTGAAAGATCAGTTATAGTTTGAGAATTGCAAAGTTTCTCAGAAAATTCTGAAAATCTACAGATGTTTTTGAATGTGTGGAAAATGGAATCATTGCAAGGTTTGCTAGTTAGGGTGCTCCTGATGTGGCTGTCTAACCACTGAGAAGTGTATCGCCAACATCCTTAAAGGAGAGGAGATTTCCATGAGAGGAAGGGGTGGAGGCGTGGGAGATAGCGTATTCTAACTCTCAGAAGATTAATATAGGAACTTTTGTAAGGAAATCATGGGTGTATCTTTACAAATAGTTTTTAATTTTTTTATTTCTTGTTTGTTTGTTTTTTTGGGACAGAGTCTCGCTGTGTCCCCCAGGCTGGAGTGCAGTGGTACGATCTCAGCTCATTGCAACCTCTGCCTCCCAGATTCAAGCGATTCTTGTGCCTCAGCCTCCTGAGTAGCTGGGATTACAGGCATGCGCCACCACACCTGGTTAATTTTTTGTAATTCTAGTAGAGTCGGGGTTTCACCATGTTGCCTCCTGAGCTCAGGAGGCTGGTCTCAAACTCCTGAGCTCAGGTGATCCTCCTGCCTCGGCCTTCCAAAGTGCTCAGATTACAGGTGTGAGTCACCATCCCCAGCCACCAACAATTTTTAAAAGATCCATTGAAGGAAATAGCTAAAGCAAAAGTTGACTGTTGTTAAGAAAGTCACTATAACCATAGGCTGTGTAAATAAGGGTTTACTATTGTCATGATCAAATATATATATATAGATATATATACATATATATATAAATATATATGGTGTATGTGTGTGTGTGTGTGCATATCTTTCTATAGTCCTAATATTGGGCAAAGGAGCCAAGTATCAATATTCTGCTCTCAACTTAAATAGTGGAGGTATTTTCACCACTCTTCTGTTAAGACTGGAATTTCAATGCTTTCCTTCTCTATAAAAGAGGCCCATAAGAGGCTTTTCTGTATAAAACAAGCCTAATTATGTGCAAACCCAAGAGAGATTCAGTTAAATGAAAACTTTTGTGTGATAAAAATTTACTTAGCATTTATATAAAAACATCTCTTTACATATTTTTACATTTAATAAAATAAGAGTACACCAAATAAAAATGTTTTTGTTAACATCTTATCCATGTTCAACTAATAATGAGTAACGAACCATTTCTTGTCATCAGATGCTCTTTCTCTCCTCCTTTCCTAAGATCTCAAATAAATTAGTTTTACTTAATTAAAAAAAATAGATCCTATAGTATTTTTTTCCCCTTTCTGGTCCTCCATGCATTTGTTCAGTGCCTCTCTGGCTTCACGACCCACAGCTGTTACAGTCTCTTAGCTTTCCAGCATGGTCCCCGGAGAGGCAGACCTGAATGCCTGAGATGGAAAAAGTTCAGAGAAATATTTACTTCAGCTATTCCATACAGTTAGGCATTGCTCAGTTTCCCGATCCTTATGTTTAGCTGCTCCCAGGACACAAGGTTGTGTAGCCTTGGCTCTGCCCACAATAGCTTCATGCCAGCATGAACAAATCTTTGTAATCCATCTCAGCTCCTGCCCTCCTAACATGCAGAAAGACAGCTTTGAGTATCAGGTTTGCTTTCCCATGTTCTCTAACATTATGTCCATGATCTATACAAGGCTTTATTACAAAACCCTCAGCTTCTGCTTTATCTATGTTTTCTCTTCCTAACTCACAGTATCTATTTTTCTAATTATTCCCCAAAAGATGTTTTATAATTCTTGTGCAGTGCACCCACGTTTTTTGCCACCGTATAAAAGTAAATCCACTGTACCAGAATCTAGCATAAGGAAAGCTGTGGTTGGGGAAAGAATTTAGTATTTAAAAGCTGAAAACATACAAAACAAAACAAGGAACTCTTATTTCACTGATGAGCTTCTTAAATATAGGATTTGCTATTTTAAAATTCTTAGTGATTATAGCTAAATCTGTTTGGCAGAGTTTAATAACATATGATATAAGCATTCTCAGTCCTCCTTTCCTTTTTTTAACCTAAAATTTTAATGAAAATAGAAAACTTTTTGTTCTGCAATTTCACAGTGCGTTGTTAAATGGGCAAAGGCCCTAACACCTTTTTTTAACCTAAAATTTGAATGAAAATACAAAACTTTTTGTTCTGCAATTTCGCAGTGCGTTGTTAAATGGGCAAAGGCCCTAACATCTCCTTATATCACAGCTACAGTGCTTGGGCTGCCTGACCCTTGGACTATGTTGTAATGCCTTTGAAATCTGGGCTGGATTTTATTTATTTTTGTATTTCCCCCTGGCTTTTAACTTGTCATAGAATTTATTAGGAGACAAAAAACCTTTCTTATTGCTTTAGTTTTCCCCTGCTGGAAGATGATTTATAACAAGTAGTAAGGTCATTGTCTGCATATACTCCAAAAAGAAAGAAAATTTAATTTGTGCCAATTAGTTATTTCAATAACATGTAAGATTGGGAAAAATAAGAAATGTAGTATCAAGACGGTCGTTCTAGATCCCTTTGTTACTAAAAATCACACAAAGGCCCTTTTGTTTAAGTGTTTTAGTTTGCTGCTGATGTTAAAAGAACTCTTAAATCACTACGTGAGATGCAGCTATTGTGGGCAAGTATTCAACACCCGCCAACCTTTGGTCTTCTTTTAACTGCAGCAGCTCAATAAAAGGGGGAGATAGAAGACACAGAGGAGAAAAACACATACTCACTCACACACCTCCCAAACGCATTAACACGGGCTGTGGGGCCTCTGCGACAGCCTTGCAGGCTCAGCTGGGGTTTTATGGCCTTTGCTGGTCTTGCTGGGGACAGGGAACTGATGAGCGCGGGGTAAGAGGAGCACGCAGATGCAGCTCTTTGCTGTTGTTGTCAAAGAAAACAATACAGTTGAGCTCACGCATCTCTAGTGAGCAGCATAATCATCACAGGGACACACGGTCATTAAGCATCTATGTTTAACATTTCATGTAAATTGCTGTAATTAATATCACTGTAAAAAAAGAACACACACACACACATACACACAGGTTCTTGCTTTGGTGTATTTGTTACCAATCCGGAATGTTCCCTGTGAAACCTACCATTCCTTTCTGTCATTATCATCACCACCAGTACCATCTCCCCCACATCACATGATCTAACTGCATTTATTCACAGAGGATTTGGGATCCCCTTGCCTTCTGCAGCATACCCAAGCTTAAGTTCTGCCCATGAACTCCTCCCACAGTCTGCCTCCCCCATCCTCCTGCACTGCCCTGGCCACCGGAGCCCTTACACTGTGCTCTGGTCCCCAGAACTACAGAATGGAAGGCTGCTGGTTGCAGACATTCGAAGTGTTGGGCTGTGGAGCTCAATACTGTGTAGGTAAGAGGATAACAATTCAATGGTGAAAAAGGGAAGGGAAGTCAAAGTTCAGGGACGGTCCTACAGGAATAAGAGGATCTATGGAGATAAAGGGCTGGATCCCCGAATCCTTGAGTGGTGATCAGGTATGTTGAAGGAAACGAGTGAGGAAGAAAGGAGAGAGCCTGACAAAGCCCAGAATAACCCTCTGGCCCAGCTTTTCCATCCACCCACACAATGCCACTGGGCTTCTGAACTGGTTCCCTTTCAGGACATCCAGGATGCCAGGGGCATTTCTGACACCCTCTCCTGGTGCGGGGTCTGCCTCACATAAATACTCTACATGGATATAAATGTTAGGGGGTTAATAATTTGACAGTTTTGTCTGGAGCTATATAATTTACAAAAAGTGTTTTCATTTAATCCTAATAACCTGGGGTGGCAGGCAGATTATCATTCCCATCTTATAAATGAGTAAATTGAGGCTCAGAGGAGATGTGCCATGGCTTAGGTCCTGCCGACAGCCAGTGGTTAAGTCAGAACCCGACTCAGGTCAAGAAAGCAGAGACTGCCGGGGGTTGGGAAGGCGGTGAACTCAGAGATAGAAACAGGGTGGGTGGGGGAAGGAGGAGCTGCTGAAGGTGAGGAAAAGGGAAAGGGAAGACAGGAAACCCCCAAGACAAACTTGCATCCTTCTTCATTTTGTTGTGTTAGACGGTTTATCTAACCGTCTCTGTGCAGTCGGTGAAAAGCTATGCACCAAGGTAATGTGGGCTCTTTGAGTGACTACTTTTTCATCTTAGCAAGAATTACTAGCTGCGAATTTTAAAACCTGAAAAAAAAATGTATCCTATTTTTGGAAATCCTTTCCTTTGGTTTTCATTCTAGAAATTTGATGATATGATCATCAATTTCTGTTTATAAATGAATTTGAAGGGACCATGCAAATCCTTCAACTGCACGAACATCTGGCATCCAATGTTGCTTTTCTGGGAAATCTTGGAAGACTCTCTCTTGGAATAGCTGAGTTCTGTTGTTTTTATATTAACATCATCTATAAAATATTCTGCCATAAATGATTAAATATTGGACTGCTTTTCTGCTAATCTTGCTTTTTAAATTTTAAAATAAAAAAGTTCATTTTAAAATAGGATAAAAAATCTATTGTTTTCAGCTAATAAAAGATTCTTGCCCTACTCTTAGCAGTTACAGAACAGTTGTTCTTCTTTGGGACTCTTTTCTTGCTTCTTGCTTTTGCCTTGTGGCTGCCATGTTCAGATCATTCTTCTATAAGTAGGGCCAAGATTATGCTATTTATAATGCATTAACTAGGCCTCTAAGTCACTACATCAGTGGTCCTCAAACTTCTTAGTCTTAGAATCTCATTACACTCTTGAAAATTATCAAGAACTCCAAAGAGCCCTTATGTGGGTTTATGTGGGTTATATCTACCAATATTTACCCATAATAGAAATTAAAACTGAGAGAGTTGTGAAATATTTATTTATAATTCATTTCCAATAGCAGTAATAATGTCAACTGAAATAACATATTTTTAAAAATAAAAGTTACTATACCAAACAAAAAAAATGCATGAGAAGAATGGCATTGTTTTGCACATTTGCAAATGTCTTCTGTCTGGCTTAATGGAAACAGCTGAATTCTCATATCTGTTTTGCATTCAGTCTGTTGCAATATCACACGTCATAAAGCGTCTGGAAAACTCCACTGCAAAAAAGACAAATACCGTCTTAGTATTATTATGAAAATAAATTTTGACCTTGTAAAGCTCCTGAGAAGGTCTTAGGGACCATGATGAGCCTCAAAACTATATACCCTTTGATAATTGCTACATTAAATCATGATAAGGCTCAAAGGAACCTGGAGCTCAAAGGAACTCTCCAGGTTCCCTTAACAGGTTACTGAAGAGAACACTCTAACAGGCAGGATCACACTTAACCCACTGCAAAATGTTGGTTATCTGTGGTAGATTGTCTTGTACTTTTTGTACAATATATAGTCTTTTTGTGACTGTGCCACTGAGTTTTTTTCTGTGATTTTTTTTCCCCCAGAGAGTGCCAGTAGAACTTCCTTAGTTGTGACAATCACAAATGTCTTCAGACCTTGCCAAATGTATTCTAGGAGGCAAAATCATCCCCTATTGAAAAGCACTGGTCTGGCCTTTATAAGTTCAATGATAATATATTATCAGAAGAGCTTAACATTTGGAAGGAAGAACTATAGTGCAGTGATTAAGAAGAACGAATTTACAAGGTGCAGAATATGGTCTGCTCTATGCTATCATCTGGATTAAAAATAGAAAGATTGGCTGGGCACAATGGCTCTGGCCTGTAACCTCAGTGCTTTGGGAGGCTGAGGCAGGAGGGTGACTTGAGACTAGGAGTTTGAGACAAGCCTGGGCAACATAGTGAGACCCTATCTCTACAAAAAATAGAAAAAATTAGCTGGGTGTGGTGGTGCACGCCTGTAGTCCTATCTACTTGGGAGACTGAGGTGGGAGGATCATTTGAGCTCAGGAGGTTAAGGCTGCAGTGAACCATGGTCGCATCACTGCACTCCAGCCTAGGCTAACAGAGTGAGATCTTGTCTCTTAAAAAATAAAATAAGCAAGAGATGATTTATAGACTTTTTAGAAGAATGTATAAAAAACTGATAATAGTGATTCCTTTTGGAGTAAAGACTGAGGAACAGAAAATCTGGAGTGGTTTGCCAGGTGTGGTGGCCCACATGTGTAATTCCAGCACTTTGGGAGGCCGAGGTGGGCAGATCACTTGAATCCAGGTGTTCGAGACCAGCCTGGGCAACATGGTGAAACCCCGTCTCTACTAAAAATACAAAAATTAGCCAGGCATGGTCGCACATGCCTGTAGTCCCAGCTACTCAGGAGGCTGAGGCGGGAGGATCGGTTGGGCCCAGGAAGTCAAGATTGTGCCACTACACTCCAGCCTGGGTGACAAAGTAAGACCCTGTGTCAAAAAAAAAAAAAAAAAATCTGGGGTGGGGGTGGGGTGGGAAAGAATGGTTATCATTCATTTATAGTTCATTATTTTTTAATGAGGCGCATGTATTTTGTTTCTCAATTAAAATACATAGTAAATTAATAACAAGAAAAAAGAATAAAGCCATAAGAATCAGAAAGATTTAGGTGAGAACCTTAGCCTGCCACTTACTAGCTACACAATCTTTGTCTAATTACTTGACCTCTTTCATCCCTGGGTTTTTCACCTATAAGATGAAATTATTGATAGTACCTACCTCACAAGATTAGTATCAGTATTAAATAGTGTCAGTATTAAATCAGGTTTTGATTTTGTGTGTATTCTTATAGTGAATGCATCATTCACTTCCTCCTTAACCTAATATCCATATGATTATTTGCTGCCTGCTTTCCGTCCCATTGTTCAGGTTTGATCCTTGTGGTCATCTCAGAGGTATTTGTCTCAGCTTCAACTGAGAAAATAGAATAATATATTGTTCCTGGCCCACAGAAGCATATGTTTTACTTATTGTTATTGCTAATTATAATTATCATTACTTTATAAATCAAAGGCTTATTTTGAAAGTCAATAATAATTTTTAAATTTTCCTTTTAGTAGGTGATTATGAATGTTCATTAGAATATTCAATTAAAGTCATGATCTGCTTGTTGAAGGTCATTCAAAAAGTCTAGACTACTCTACCAGTTTTTGACTGCATTTTCTGTTCACTCTGATGATAGTTTTTGCAATTGCTTTTGATGTTTTTGTCATGAAATCTTTGCCTGTGCCTATGTCCTGAATGGTATTGACTAGATTTTCTTCTAGGGTTTTTACAGTTTTGGGTTTTACATTTAAGTCTTTAATCCATCTTGAGTTAATTTTTGTATAAGGTGTAAGGAAAGGGTCCAGTTTCAATTTTCTGCATATGGCTAGTCAGTTTCCCAGTACCATTTATTAAATAAGGGATCCTTTCCCCATTGCTTGTTTTTGTCAGGTTTGTCGAAGATCAGATGGTTGTAGACATGTGGTCTTATTTCTGAGATCTCTATTCTGTTCCATTGGTCTATGTGTCTGACTATGTCTTCTTATTTTTCTGCCTAATGTTGTTTGTGCTAGACTTCCATAATCACACTTCTCCACCTTGCACCTGTCCACGGTGAACCTTAACATCGGCTACGGCTCCTAAATCTGTGGTTCCTTTGCCATTGAGACAGGATCCCTAGCTCAAGGTCAGCCAGTTTGAATTGGCCATGTGCCCTATCTTTTTGTGCTTGATCCATCTGCCCTGTCATTCCTATACTGGATTCGGAATCATCTGTTTTTATGAAACTTCTTATCTCTTGATTCTTCTGCTCAGCTGGGATAATGGTGTAAGTTCCGATCCCCCTGGTTTTGATTTTGTATGTATTCTTGTACTGAATGCATCACTCACTTCCTCTTTAACCTAATATCCATATGATTATTTGCTCCCTGCTTTCCGTCCCATTGTTCAGGTTTGATCCTTGTGGTCATCTCAGAGGCATTCGTCTCAGCTTCCACTGTTTATTCTTGGTGCCTAACAAATCTAAAAACTCTTATGTCAATAATGTATAGGTTTATATAAGAAGCCACTGATGGCTGGGTGCGGTGGCTCACGCCTGTAATCCCAGCACTTTAGGTAACCAAAGTGGGAAGATCACCTGAGGTCAGTTTTAAGACTAGCCTGGCCAACATGGTGAAACCCTGTCTCTACTAAAAATACAAAAATTAACCAGGTGTGGTGGCAGGCATCTGTAATCCCAGCTACATGAGAGGCTGAAGCAGGAGAATCACTTGAACCCCGGAGGTGGAGTATGCCATAAGACGAGATCGCACCACTGCACTCCAGCCTGGGCGACAGAGTGAGACTCTGTCTCAGAAAAAAAAAGAAAAAGAAAGAAAGCCATCGATGAACAATGGAGAACATAGAAACATCAGTCTCTGATATATGTGAAATGCGTAGTGTACTCTAGCAAAAATGGGTCTGGTTAAGGCAGTGTTATATAAAGGTGCTGTTAATTAGATTTTTCCAGGATCTTGATAGCAATTGTCATGAGTTCTCCTAGTACAGATATCAGTGTAAAATAATGGCTATGACATTATTCAGAAGAAGAAAGGATTTGTTGAGTATGGAATGAGAAATAAGTGTACTTTTCTATAGACCTGCAGTAAACACATTCTAGTGGGTTTACAGTGGTTCAGATATCAACCTTCAAGTCCTTTTCAATAAGGCACTGATGATAAAACTAACGAGTACAGTTTAAAAAATAGCCTCTATTTTAGTCTAGTTCAGTTTAACCTGGGCACTATTGACGTTTTCAATGGCTAATTCTACGTTGCTGAGAGTTTGTCTTGTTTATTGTAGGATAGTTAGCAGCGTCTCTGGCCTCTATCTGCTAGATACCAATAGCGCTCCCTTAGCTTTGACAATCACAAATGTCTCCAGACTTTGCCAGATGTTTTCTTGGGGGTAAATCCCCCCTAGTAAGAACTACTGGTCTAATCTTTACACATTTATTACAGTGTAGCCTAACTTTTGATTTATTTGTGAAATGGCTATAAGGACATTGCACTTAATTTTATTTAATTTTTTCATTTTTATGAAAATACTTTATTACTGTAACTTGTTTTCATTCTTTCATTTTTTCACCTTTACCAGAATATGAACTTGTCATATTTGCTATATATTCTTGTGTAGTTGTTTTATTGCTATTAGTTGTTAATGTTAATCATTATCCATTGTTCCCAGTAGACTTTTTTTTTTTTTTTTTTTTTTTTGAGACAGAGTCTTACTCTGTCACCCAGGATGGAGTGTAGTGGTGTGATCTCAGCTCACTGCAACCTCCGCCTCCCGGGTTCAAGTAATTCTTCTGCCTCAGCCTCTCGAATAGTTGGGATTACAGGCACCTGCCACCACACCTGGCTAATTTTTGTATGTTTTGTAGAGACGAGCTTTCGCCATTTTGGCCAGGCTGGTCTCAAACTCCTGACCTCAGGTGATCCGTTTGCCTCGGCCTCCCAAAGTGCTGGGATTACAGGTGTGAGCCACTGTGCCTGGCCATTCCTCAGTAGATTCTAAGTCCCATGAAGGAAAAAAACTTTTTCCAGACCAGTGTATCTCTTTGTCTATATTAGTGGCTGCCAACTGGTGGGTGTTTAATGGATATTTGTAAAGAGAGTAAAAGAATTAATTTTTATGCTTGGATCAAGAGGCAATCAATATGTTATTGTTTACGGAAAACTGGAATAAGAGTCAGGTCTGGATTCAAGTGTTGGCTGTACTGTGAGGACTTTGGCAAATCTTTTTACTTCACTGGCTCTTTTTGTTTGTTTTTGTGTTTGAGACAGGGTCTTGCTCTGTCACCCAGGCTGGAGTGCAGTGGTGCAGTCATGGCTCATTGCAGCCTTGATCTCCTGGGCTCAAGTGATCCTCCCACCTCAGCCTCCTGAGTAGCTGGGACTACAGGCCTGCATCACCACGCCCAGCTAATTTTTCAGAAATTTTTATAAAGGTGGGGTCTCACTATATTGCCCAGATTGGTCTCAAACTACTAGGCTCAAGCTGTCCTCCTGCTTTGGCCTCCTAAAGTGCTGGGATTACAGGTGTGAGCCACTGGCCAGCTTCACTGGCTCTTGATCCTCTCATAGGAAAAATGATGACCCATGAAAGGTACCGTCTTAGTTTCCTGGGCCTGCTGTAACAAAGTACCAAAGTACTGGGTGGCTTAAGACAGGAGTGTACTGTCTCACAGTTCTGGAGGCTGGAAGTTTGAAATCAAAGTGTCTGCAGGGTCATGCTCTCTCTGAAGCCTGCAGGGGAGAATTGTTCCTGGCCTCTTCCGGCTCCAGGTGTTCCTTGGAGTTCCAGCAATCCTTGGAGTTCCTTAGTTGCAGATGAGTCACTCCAATTGCTGCTTCCAATATCGCGTGGCCATCTTCCCCGTGTGTGTCTGTCTCCTTGTCTAAGGATGCCAGTCATATTGGATTGGGGTCCACCCTACTTATCTCATTTTAGTTCGATTACATCTGCAAATCTGTTCCCAAATAAGGTCACATTCACAGATACTGGGGTTTAGGACTTCAACGTATCTTTTGGGGGGACACAATTCAACCCATAACAGCTCTCATTCAGCCCCCCCCTTTTTTTTTTGAGATGGATTCTCGCTCTGTCGCCAGGCTGGAGTGCAATGATGCAATCTCGGCTCATTGCAAGCTCCACCTCCCGGGTTCATGCCATTCTCCTGCCTCAGCTTCCCGAGTAGCTGGGACTACAGGCACCCGCCACCACGCTTGGCCAGTTTTTTGTATTTTTAGTAGAGACGGGGTTTCACCATGTTAACCAGGATGGTCTCGATCTCCTGACCTCATGATCCGCCCGCCTCGGCCTCCCAAAGTGCTGGGACTACAGGCGCCCGCCACCACGCCCAGCTAATTATTTTGTATTTTTAGTAGAGATGAGGTTTCACCATGTTAGCCAGGATGGTCTCGATCTCCTGACCTCGTGATCCGCCCACCTTGGCCTCCCAAAGTGCTGGGACTACAGGCGCCCGCCACCGCGCCTGGCTAATGTTTTTGTATCTTTAGTAGAGATGGGGTTTCACCGTGTTAGCCAGGATGGTCTCGATCTCCTGACCTCGTGATTCCCCTGCCTTGGCCTCCCAAAGTGCTAGGATTACAGGCGTGAGCCACCGCGCCAGGCCTCATTCAGCCTTTGACTGTTTGAATATTGCTATTATGATTTTCTGTCTTTGCTCATTGTTCTTATGTTATAGACCATCTTCAATGTGGAGAACAGAATGATAGTTTAAATCTAGTTTAGTATTTAGGTTCCTGTGAAATGAACAGCTCAAATCTAATGGTGCTGGGGGAATGTCTGGAGACTGACTTTGTTGAACTGTCACCTACACTTCAACACTGCGTAGGCCACATTGCTTTGCCTCTGTATATGGCCAACACCAAACCATGACCATCCATAAAACTTCTTCTGACAGTGATTCTGGCCAGTGGCAAAATCTATGTTTGTTGCCTGACTGTACTACAGTCTGCAATACGTTCACTTAAACATTAATTACAAAAGAATATTGCAATGGTTAATTTTATGTGTCAATTTGACTGAGTAACAAGGTCCTAGATATTGGTTAAACATTATTTCTGGGTGTGTCTGTGAGAGTATTTCTGGATGAAATTGGTGTTTGAATCTGCAGACTGAGTAAAGCAGATTGCCCTCCAACCCCCACCCTGCAGTGTGGATGGGCCTCATCCAATTGGTTGAAGGCCTGAATAGTATAAAAGGCAGGGTAAGGAAGAATGTGCTCTCACTGCCTGACTGCCTGGGTTAGAACATTGGTCTTTTCCCCCTCTCAGATTGGAACTTACACCATCAGTGTTCCTGGTTGTCAGGCCTTTGGACTCAGACTGGAACTATACCACTGGCTTTCTTGGGTGTCCAGCTTGCCAGCTGCAGAGATTAGACTATTCAGCTTTGATACGGTTTGGATGTGTCCCCACCCAAATATCTTGAATTGTGGTTGCCATAATCCCCATGTGTCATAGGAGGGCCCTGGCGGAAGGCAGTTGCATCATGGGGGAATTACCTCATTGCTGTTCTTCTGATAGTGCATGAGTTCTCATGAGATCTGACGGTTTTTTAAGGGGCTTCTCCCTTTTGGTTGGTACTTCTCCTTGCTGCCACCATGTGAAGAAGGACCTGTTTGCTTTCCCTTCTGCCATGATTGTAAGTTTCCTGAGGCCTCCCCAGCCATGATGAACTGTGAGTCAATTAAACCTCTCTCCTTTATAAATTACTCAGTCTCGAGTATGTCTTTATTAGCAGAGTGAGAATGGACTAATACAAGCCTTCATCACACAAGTTAATCCTTATAGTAAATTTCTCTCTCTCTCTCTACACATATATACACACAGACACACACACACATACAAATTATATACAGATGTAAAAATATTATCTCCTATTCATTCTGTTTCTCTGCAGAACCCAGACCAATACAAGTACATATGTAATATTATCTGACCCAGTTAAGACTTGTAAAGCTAAAGTTGGACATATTCTTGTCAATAGTGAGTTATCGTAGTGTTGAAGAGGTCAAGCTTTGTAAAAAGATTGCCTAGACTTTAATTCCATTTCCATCATTTACTGTGTAGCTGTGGGCAAAGCACTTAACTGCAGTAAACCCACCTGTAAAATAGAGATAAAAATACCTACATCAAATAATTGCTTTGAGGACTAAATGGCATAGACACAATGTCAAAAGGACTTGGCAAGCCAGTCTGAAGCTCTCACTGGCCAAAGATGGGAACATTTGAACTTCTATAAGAATAAGAATTTCAATGGATTGAAACCTATCAAATATGTTTAAAACCATGACTTTGAAAATGGATACAATAAAAATAAAAAGTAAGAAACCTTAAAGACCCAACTTATTATCATGAAAACTTTATAAGGGGGAACATCAAGCACTTGTCCTGCTTTTCCCGTGTGAACCACAGCACTGGTAACCAAATAGACGAGAGGAAGAATCATCTTATAAAATTATTCCATTGCATAAATAAAAGCAAAGTAGTAGAATTAGAACATTACTAGTATGCAAGCCTAATTAATGGATAAATCTAGGCATTGAGCACCAGTAGCTGCTACCATAAAAAAAAAAAAAAGTGAAAACCAGATATTGCTGCTGATAGGAAACCAATACACACTTACAGATTTCCAAAGAGCTCTTCTCTTACCTGCCTCTGAGGTTTCCTGGGGCTGCCATGACAAAGTACCACAAGCTGGGCTGCTTAAACCACGGAAGTTTACTGTTGCACTGTTCTGGAGGTGGAAGTCCAAACCAAGATACCAGCAGGGTTGGTTCCTTCTGAGTGCTGTGAGAACTTCCTCCTTGGCTTGTAGATGGCCATCTTCTCTCATGTCTCTTCACACAATCTTCCCACACCTGTCTCCATGTCCAGTTTCTCCTTTTTATGAGGACACTGTGGTCATATTGGATTAGGGCCCACCCTAATGAGCTCATTTTAACTTTCTTTTCTTTTCTTTTTTTTTTTTTTTGAGACAGGATCTCACTCTCTCACCCAGGTTGGAGTGCAGTGGTTCAATCACAGCTCACTGCAGCCTTGACCTCCTGGGCTCAAGTGAGCCTCCTGCCTCAGCCTCACCACAGGTGTGCATCACCACGCCTGGCTAAAATTTTTTGTATTTTTTTGTAGAGACAGAGTTGCAATGTCATCCAGGCTGGTCTCGAACTCCTAGGCTCAAGTGATCCACCTACCTTGGCCTCCCAAAGTGCTGGGATTACAGACATGAGTCACAGTGCCCCAGATTAATTTTTTTTTTTTTTTTTTTGAGACAAGGTCTTGCTTTCTCACCCAGGCTGGAGTGCAGTGGTATGATCACAGCTCACTGCAGTCTCTAACTCCCTGGGCTCAAGTTAGCCTCCCGCCTCAGCCTCCTGAGTAGCTGGAACCACAGGTGAGCACCACCATGCCCAGCTAATTTATTTTTTATTTTTTGTAGAGTTGGAGTCTTGCTATGTTGCCCAAGGTGGTCTTGAATTCCCGGGCTCAAGTGATCCTTCTGCCTTGGCCTCCCAAAGTATTAGGATTGCAGGCATGAGCCACCATGCCCAGTCTCATTTTAACTTGATTATGTCTGTAAAGACCCTATTTCCAAATGAGGTCATATTCTGAGCTACTAGGGGTTGGACTCCAGTGTATTTTCTGCTGGGGGACAAAATTCAGCCCTTAACAGGAAGGAATTTTGGGATTCCAGCTCCTTGAAGCATGGCCTAGAAGGGGTTACATGGGATCCAGGTGGTCACGTCCTCTTAGCTCCCCTGTAGGGAGGGCCATGGCAGAGGAAGGCCATGGGCACCTTCAACTAGTGTGCCTCTGAATAAGGCATTCTGTAATGTAGCATCTATAATTATAAACTGTAGCAAACTCTGCCCCATCCTTTCCTCTCAGCCCTCACCATCTCAGAGCAAGCTGGCTCTATGACCTACTGCTAACGGCTACAACTCTTTGCCTGAGGGCTTTCTCTGGCCAAAACAGTTGCTCTAATTCAGGAAATTAACAATTCCTTGGAAGCAACTCTCAATCAAAGACTGCAGGGAATTGATGTATAAATACCCCAGCTTCCTCACTCCTTGAGAAGGATTATTCTGAGGAAAGGCAAACACGTGGACCAGTATCAAAGGCTTTCCCCTGTCATTTTAAAATTTCATTAGAAGATATTTGTTTAATGTGAGAAAAATTAATGAGTTGTTATATGTATAAACTCAATATTAATTTTATGTGTGTGTATATATACACATATATCCAATGTATGTGTATATATACACATATATCCATATGTATGTGTATATATACACACACATGTATACATACACATACACACGTATATATACACATACACACATGTATATATACACATATATATACACACATATATGTATATATACACATGTGTATACACACATATGTATATATACACATGTGTATATATACACATATATCTATATGTATGTGTATATATACACATGTGTATATATACACATATATCTATATGTATATATATGTATATATACACATACATATATCTATATGTATATATACACATACATATATCTATATGTATAT
Source organism: Homo sapiens (assembly GCF_000001405.40). NCBI lineage: Eukaryota > Metazoa > Chordata > Mammalia > Primates > Hominidae > Homo > Homo sapiens. The sequence goes on along the minus strand of NC_000006.12, from coordinate 154,525,366 downwards.
ATACACATACATATATCTATATGTATATATACACATATACACATATATCTATGTATGTGTGTATATACACATATATCTATATGTATGTGTATACACATATATCTATATGTATGTGTATATATACACATATATCTATATGTATGTGTATATATACACATATATCTATATGTATGTGTATATACACACATATATCTGTATGTGTATATACACACATATATCTGTATGTGTATATACACACATATATCTGTATGTGTATATACACACATATATCTGTATGTGTATATACACACATATATCTGTGTATATACACACATATATCTGTATGTGTATATACACACATATATCTGTATGTGTATATACACACATATATCTGTATGTGTATATACACACATATATCTGTATGTGTATATGTGTATATGCACACATATATCTGTATGTGTATATGTGTATATACACATATATCTGTATGTGTATATGTGTATATACACACATATATCTATATGTATATGTGTATATACACACATATATCTATATGTATATGTGTATATACACACATATATCTATATGTATGTGTATAAACACACATATGTGTATATATGCATACACACATATGTAGATACACACATACACACATATGTATATACGCACATGTATATACACACGTGTATATACACATGTATGTATATATACACGTGTGTATATACATATATGCATATACATACATATATGTATGTACACATATACACATATATGTATATACACATATACACACATATACACATATATGTATATATACTTATATACACAGACACATATGTATATATATAAAACAACTCCTGGACCTTGCTTTTTAAGGTGGTAGAGGCAGACAATAAATGCAGTACATGAAGAGGGGGGATATCCATGAGGACAGCAATTCTTGCCTGTTTGGCGCACCACTGTGTCCCCCAGACAACACGGGGCCTGGCGCATGTGTGCATGAGTGATGCCTATTGAAGAGGTTAACAGTAACAGAGCAGGGAACTGCAGCACCCATGGGGTGGGAAGGGGGATGAGGTGGTGCTATGGTTTGGCTATTTCTCCCCTCCAAATCTCATGTTGAAATGTGATCCCCAATGTTGGAGGTGGAACTTGGTGGGAGGTGTTTTGGTCATGGGGACAGGTCCCTCATGAATGGCTTGGTGCCTTCCCCATGGTCACGAGTGAATTCTCACTCGGTTAGTTCAACTGAGTGCTGGTTGTTTAAAAAAGCCTGGCACCTCCTCCTCCTCTCTCTCCTCTTGCTTCCTCTCTCCCCATGTCACACGCTGGCTTCCTGGCCATCCTGCCATGACTAAAAGCTTCCTGAGGCTTCACCAGAAGCTGAGCCGATGCTGGTGAAATGCTTGTACAACCTGCAGATCTGTGAGACAAATAAACCTGTTATCCTTTATAAATTACCCAGTCTTGACTATTCCTTTATAGCAATGCAAAATGAACTAACACAGGTGGAAGGGTCGAGATTACTTATGATGCTCCACTTCATCATCTTATTTTGTTCTTACCATGATTTTCCTTTCTCCCAATATTCTTTGTAAGCTGTCTATACCTGGCACGCCATGTTTCTCTGCATTTATTTTTTAAAACCACTGGACAAGGGAGAAAAGTGGATGTCACCTGACCAGACCCAGGCCAGTGACGACACATCTCACAAGCTCCTGCCTGCTGTTGCCTCTTAAACAGAAGAGTGTCAGACAATTCTTATTTTCATTGTCCCAGGTATCAGTAATTCATAAAACATTCAATCGTCATTTTTTCTATTAAAGGTGGAATCCCATTATTAAGTCAGTTTTTATGTCCCTGATTTATTCATGCGCTATTATTTTCTCTGTTCATTCTCTTTTTCTCTTTTTAATTTCTGGGATTGCTTTCTTTAGGACATGGAAACCAATCTGCTTTTAGCTCAAGCCACCCATACAGACCTGGTACTAACTTTGCTTCTGAAATGTTTACCTATTTCTGATTTCACTGAACTTCCGTAGTTTCCATCTCTGGGACACAATTCAGCCAGGAAGCTGAACTCATACATACTTTTACCAATTGCCTAATATAAGACTAGTGTGATAATCTTGTTCACTACGGTGCCATCTTTTTGTGGTGAATTGTATTTTCTTTTGGAAAAGATGATCTAATTTTCAAAAATGTTATTTCATTTACATCACCTAGAACAGTAGGAGCTGGTGGTAGACACTCAACTCCTTGTTGGATTGATCAGGAGATAACTACAGGCTTTTTAAGGCTGTTTTAGACCTGAATGGTAAAATACAGAATAGCCATTTACTAGGCACTTCTTTAACGTCCAGTGAAGGCAAAGAAAGTAAAAGATACAATGATGACCATGGAAGAACACAGAGGAAATTGTACAGCTTGAATAGAGAAGCAATTTAGTAGAGAAGGATTCAATTGGACATGGTGGAAAATAATTAGATTGATTAGATGGGTCTTTAGATGCAAATAGGAATGCTGCTGAAAGAAAGAAAACGTACTGACCTGTCTGCTCTGTGGCACACATAGGAAAGCAACAGCTTTGTGAGTGTTGAAAATGAACACTGCGCTATTTATTTTGGCTCGTAGAAGACTTACCACATTGTACTCATGTTACAGTCCCTTAATATTTTGAAGTTGTTGATAGAGTTCATCATGTAGAGACCTTTTAGTACACTTCCACACCAGACTCTGGGGTGTTCGTGTGTGTGTGTGTTATATGTGTGTGTTTGGTAATTGTTTTTCTATAATACTTTCTCTTCTCATACTTGTTAAACACTATGTGTAGAAATTATAGAATTTTATCTACAGTTGAATCTTTTCCTTTTGTCAACAAATAGATTTCACAGGTACTGTATCTAAACAACAAAATTAACAGTAGAAAGGTTATTCCAGCTTTCAACTATAAATATGATGACCTTTTAACCCCTTTGCTGAAGTTTATTTAGCTTACCACTGATGAAACACTAGTCTAAAAAGTTTTTTATTCTCCATTTTTTAATCTGATACAAATTATGGTAAACTCATCAAGTGATTCACACATTCAAGAAATATTTATTTATTTATCAACACTGTAAGTCTATGGCAATGAACAAAACAAACTTTCTTCTTTCATGCAGCTTACATTCTAACGGGATAGGATTGATAATGAATCTATTAACATATAGTGCTTGATAAATATAGTATTGTATATTTATGTGATAGAAATCATCATGTAGGGCCGGGCGCAGTGGCTCACACGTGTAATCCCAGCACTTTGGGAGGCCGAGGTGGGCGCATCATGAGGTCAGGAGATCGAGACCATCCTGGATAACATGGTGAAACCCTGTCTCTACTAAAAAAATGCAAAAAAATTAGCTAGGCGTGGTGGTGGGCACCTGTAGTCCCAGCTACTTGGGAGGCTGAGGCAGGAGAATGGCATGAACCCGGGAGGTGGAGGTTGCAGTGAGCTGAGATCGCGCCACTGCACTCCAGCCTGGGTGACAGAGAGAGACTCTGTCTCAAAAAAAAAAAAAAGAAAAGAAATCTTCATGTAGAAATGAGTGAAATATTCTACATTTGTTATCTCTTGCTGCATAACATACCCCCAAACTTAACAGCTTGAAACGATAAATGTTTATTATCTCCCCCATTCCTGTGAGCCAGGAGTGGCTTAACTGGACAGTTCTGCTCAGGGTCGTTCACAGGTTGCAGTCAAGATGTTGGCCAGAGCTGCGGTCATCTGAGTGCTTGACTGGGGATGAAGGATTGCTTCCAAGGTAGCTGACTCCCACGGCTAGCAAGTTAGCATGAGCCATCAGCAGGAGGCCTCAATTCCTCACCACGCGGACCTCCACGAAGGGCTGCTTGAGTGTCCTCACAACATGGAGGTTGGCTTTCTCCCCTGGGGTGTGATCCAGAAGAAAGATAGGCAGAAGCCACAATGTCCTTCATGACATAGTCTCAAAGTCACATATCTTTACTTCTGCCATATTCTGTTAGAAGCGAGTCACATCCTCATGGGGAGGGGAATTAGGCTTTACCTCTGAAAAGGGAAATATCAAAGAATTTGTGGACATATTCAAAAGTTACCATAATTACCCTGATGCATTAAAAAACAAATGGTGTGCTTCAGAGACCTTTAAATTAGCCATGACTTGTTTTATTCTTATTGTTTGTTAGCATATAATACCTTGTTATGCCTTGTTTTACATCTGTTGCTTATTATCGATTAATATTATTGTTGGACAAAGAATTATTGACAATTTTGATTTCTTGAGCTTCATTCTTCTAACTACTTTAGTCACTTCTAAGCTGCCACCATCATTTAAATTTTCCTTAATAAAAATATTTGAGATTTTTCTTTTTCATTTCTGAAATTGTGGATGAATTTAAGATCACTTGTTATTACTTTACATTTGTATCAAAGATTATTTGCCTAAATGACAGCTATACTGGAATTACATGCTCCAGGGTAAAATAAAATCCCCTCTTAGTTTGATTTAGCCATTCCACACTGTGTGTGTATATCAAAATATCATCTTGTACACCATAAATATTTACAACTTTCATTTGTCAATTTGAAAAAAATCCCCTCCAGTTCTCAAATAAGTTAATTTTGTGGTGCATATATTGTCTACAGAAGTCCAGCTCCTATGTGGAGACTACTCAGGATTGTTGGTACATAAATACTGTAAGATAAAATGAAACTTTCCATTTTTGGTCAGTTACATTTTAGCCCAAAAACCTGGTGGGGGATTGTGCATGGTTGTTCCGAGGATATCAATAACATCTAAAGAAATGTGAGTCAAGGAGTAATTTTTTGGCTACTTGGCTATAATATTTACATACTTAACCGGAACAGATAAGAGGTTCTCCTTTTGTGGCCCATATGTGATGACAGTTACAAGGCTTATCTCTAAGTGACTGAAATGCTGAATGTGGAATTCATCAAGCTCGACTTTTCTCCATGACTGGACTTCTTCTTTGAGCAGTCTTCCATGAGACGCCTTCAGGGAGTCTTTAAAAGTATGGCAGCTCTACTGGAGATTGACAACGATTTAGCCTTTGGACCTTTTAGGATAAAGGACTTTTGTGAACTACATAAGGCTCCCTTTTCCCAGAAGGGAATGCTTTTAAGTTTCTTAGTGGATTAATTAGTAACTGAAGAAAACACCATTCCTTGAATTGTTGCCACTTTTCCAACAAATAAAACAGCAGAAAAAAATGCTATCAGAAGAAATTTTTAAAACCATATAAAAGATAATCAGTCAAATTTCAGACCTTGTCAGTTATGTAGAGGTTTAATTCGTACTAGATCCCACATTCAATAGAAGAAGCTGCTGATGGAGCCAGATGTTAAAGAGAGAAGGAGGAGTAGGGAAAGCATTGGTGAGCGAGTTAGCACCCTAGTTTTATAGTGATATAGATTGAAGAGGATGGAAGCTCTTTGTCTTAGAAACATCTAATATTTTACACAAAGAGCCCTAAATAAACAAAAGCCAAGTGCTGATTAAAGCAATACTTACATTTGAGAATTCTTTTGAGTGAGAGGATGCATACCTAAGATGTATTTATGTTGATGTTAAGCAGCATTGCAATGGTTAAATTTATGATGACAGGGCTGAGGAAGACATTGTAGATGATTTAATCACAGATGAAATGATTTGGTGGATCATTACTTGATGAAGAGATGTGGGAGGGCTACTAGAACCTTCCAGTACACTATTCTGGAAAAAAACAAAAAACAAAAACAAAAAAAACTCCACTGGTTTTGGATTTTCAGTCTTTGTAAAATAACAACTTAATTAGAGGTCATTTTATAGTTGTGTTTTCATATGAGGAAAAAAGAAATGAGAACCACAGAACTAAACAGAATACAAACTGTAAAAATCCAGAGAAATGAAAGCTCAAACAATATTTGCCTGTAAGGTTTGTGGGGAAGACAGAGCAAAGGGGGCTGGAAGGCAGATAATGTTTTGGTCCTAAGTGAAATTGGAGCCCCTTTGTTTACACCAGGTGTATCAGGGTTCTTCAGAGAAAAAAACCCAACATATATATATATATATATGTATGTATGTATGTGTGTGCGCGCGTGCGCAGGCATGTGTATATATGTATGTGTGTATATATGTGTGTGTGTATATGTATGTGTGTGTATATATATGTGTGTGTATATATATATATATATATATGAACACTTTGTAAAATATTAGGTGTTTCTGAGACAAAGAGCTTCCAACATCTTCAGTGTGTGTCACTGTAAAACTAGAGATGTCTCAAATATGCAAGATGCTAACTCCCCCATATATATACACACATATACCTACATATACATACATATATATACACACATATACATACATATACACACATATACATACACGTACACACACAGACATATATAAGTATATATCAATATACTTCATTTTTTAATTTGTTATGGGAATTGGCTCACGCGATTATGAAGGGTGAGAAGTCCCACCATCTGTTCTCTGCAAGTTGGAAAAGCAGGAAGACCAATGGTGTAATTCAGTCCGAAGGCCTGAGAACCTGTGGGGGGGTGGGGTGGGGGGCGGGGGTGGTGGGGGATGGGGGTATGGGCTACTAGTATAAGTACTGGAGTCTGAATGCCAGAGAACCAGGAACGCTGATGTCTGAGGACAAGAGATGACAGGTGCTCTGGCTCAAGGAGACAGAGACAAAATCCACACTTTCTCCGCCTTTGGTTTTATTTGGGCCCTCAGTGGTTGGATGATGGTCGCCCACAGTAGTACGGGTGATCTTTACTCAGCCTACTGATTCAAATGCTAATTTCATCCAGAAACACTCTCACAGACACACCCAGAAATAACAATAACGTGTTACCAGCTCTCTGGGCATCCCTTAGCCCAGTCAAACTGGTACCTAAAATTAACCATCACACCAGATGGTGTCTCTTTCTTGGGGAGTCAGACCCTCAAGGGGAGCCTGAGTTGGCATCTGATGACCAATAATGGCAACAAGTATTTCTCTGTGGATGTAATATCTTTATTTTAATACTGACAGAAATGCCTCAGTTTGACATGCAAAGTATGATTTGCTATCATTGCATTATTGATAGCTTCTGATAAATTGTGTATCTTCATTCTATATTAAAATATATAAACAATATACGGAACCCTGAATCTCCTTTCTATCCCATTGTCACCAGGCCCTCCCTCCCTCCCTCCCTTCCCTCCTTCCTCTCTCTCTCTTTTTTTGGAGTCTCACTCTGTCACCCAGGCTGTGGCGCAATCTCAGCTCACTGTAAGCTCCGCCTCCCGGGTTCAAGTGATTCTCTTGTCTCAGTCTCCCAAATAGCTGGGACTACAGGCACTTGCCACCATGTCCAGCTAATTCTTTTTTTTTTCTTAGTAGAGACGGGGGTTTCACTATGTTGGCCAGGCTGGTCTCGAACTCCTGACCTTGTGATCCGCCCGCCTTGGCCTTCCAAAGTGCTGGGATTACGGGCGTGAGCCACCATGCCCGGCTTGCCTCTCTCCCTCCCGTCCTCTCCTCTCCCCTCCCCTTCCTTCCTTTCTTTCTGTCTTTTTCCCTCCCTCCCTCCCTCCCTTCCTTCCTTCCCTCTTCTTTTCTTTTCTCTTTCTTTTTGGAGACAAGGTCTCACTCTGTCACCTAGGCTGGAGTGCAGTGGCACAATCATGGCTCACCACAGCCTCGACCTCCTGGGCTCAAGTGAGCCTCCTGCCTCAGCCTCCTGAGTAGCTGGGACCAAGGCACGCACAACCACATCTGGCTCATTATATTTATTTATTTATTTATTTTGTAGAGACAGGGTTTCACCCTGTTGCCCCAGCTGGTCTCGAACTCCTGGGCTCAAGTGATCCACCCACCTCAGCCTCCCAAATTGCTAGGATTACAAGCATGAGCCACTATGCCTGGCCATTTCCAATTTTCAAACCTAATGTTTCCAAAACCAATTCAGCAAGTGAGTTTACACAACCACAGTAAGCCATGTGAACTCACGGCAGACAGGAAGGAATTCATTTGTTCTCTCATTCAAAAATGGCTTCTTGGTCAGGCAGTGTGGCTCACACCTCCCAGCACTTTGGGAGGCCGAGGCAGGAGTATTGCTTGAGTTTAGGAGTTTGAGACCAGCCTGGGCAACATAGTAAGACTCTGTCTCTACAAAAACAAAACAAAACAAAAAATCTTAGCCAGGCATGGTAGCACGTGCCTAAAATCCCAGCTACTCAGGAGGCTGAGGTTGGAGGATTGCTCGAGCCCAGGAGTTTGAGGCTGCAGTAAGCCATGATCATGCCACTGCACTCCAGCCTGGGTGACAGAGCCCTCTCAAAATAAATAAACAAATAAATAAATAAATAAATAAAATCCCCTTCCTTAGCTGCCCTCAACAACTGATATCTCAATATTAGAAAAGAGAATGTTACAGCTAGAAGGATCCTTAATGTTCCTTTCCACCCAAAGAAGCTGACTTGCTCAAGGTTACAGGGCCAGTTATAAACTGGGTAAGAGATTGGGATAATAAAGTTAGTTGGGATCGCGAAGTGTTCCTCTTGGAAACATGAATTTTCCAAGAAAAGGGAAATCTTAGGCCAGCACTTTAGTGGAAATGAAGTTATCTCACAAGAAGACATGGACGCAAAGGCAGAGGAGGTGACTCTGGAAAAGGAGTGACACAGTTGGCACACTTGGCCCCTTCGATGGCACTGCGTGGTCCTCCCAGGTGAGACCAGCATTGCATTTGTATTCCTGTCCTTCTTAAACCTTAAGAAGGTGCTTTATGAAGTGGGCCCTATGTCTCTTGTCCTTTCGTGCTAGGAGAAATATTAAATAGATAGAAACCCCATACTCCATCTGGCTGGCCGCTGAGCGGTACACCCAGGGGATGTAACTTGGAGCAGGACAGAAGTGAAGTCTGTGGCCTTAATTTCCCAGTGTTATTCAGGTTCTCCCTTGGGTTCTCTCCACTAGCAGCAGAGATTTCCTTGGACTCAGGTAACACTGGTTTAACCACCCAAGGGCTTTCTGTGGCTCCCTAAACTGAGGCTCCTCCAGCTTCTGAAATCCCTCTTGCCACCTGCCTGTTACTCCAGCTGTTTCTCTGGGACTAGGCCCAGGAGAATGGGAAAAAAAGTGGAAAAGAAACGGATAGAAGCCCATTCCTTTGTAACCAAAAGCAAAAGTTATACAGAACTCGAACGGAAAAAGAGATTTGATCTGGGAGTTTTCCCAGAATGGAATGCGCATGTATTAAAACAATTACTGTAAAACAATGACTGTCGCTATCATTTGTGAGCTGGTTGTGGATTTCAACAATCACTTTGCTGACTTTTTGGCAGTAAGTGTGAGTTTTCCTGTTCTATGAGACCTTTGGGAGTGTTCTCAAAATCCTATGAAATCATCTGACTGCCTACAGGAAACCCTGATTGGTATTAATTTTCATCCTTTCCCTTTTGATGTTGAAGTAGACTGAAACACTTCCTGCTTTTCTACGTTCTTTTTCTTTCCACCGCTCTCCCATCCCAAATGGTTATAGTATTTCCAAATGCAAGGAGCTAGTTGTGGAAAATTAAGGAATAGTCTCCTGTTACAGGCTCAAATGTCTAAGGATCCCAAAGGGGAAACATATATGTGCCTTTAGTAAAAATCTGGATGTGTTGATTAGCAATGGCTGCAGAATTTAAATACCTTTGGTAGGTTGAAACTAGAAGAAAGTCTCCTCCTCTGTATGGAATGGTAGCTAAGTAATGGAAGAGCAGACAACTTTTAGACTGAGCTCAAAGTTAATTAAAGCTCCTTAGTTATAGTCTGGGGCATTTGGGTATATATTTCTATTTTATTTGAAACAGGATTATTAAATATTTGTTATGCCAAACTGAAGTTAGAAAAATATAAAACAATACATATTTTTAAATTGTTATTATTTATTTTTACTAGAAGTGTCTTGAATACATAAAACAATATATAAACTATTTTTATGTTCTTGTTAACATTGTAGAGATTTTAAAAAATTTTAGCTTAGTGCGTTTAGGATACTCAAACCTGCTCTTTCTTTCTTTCTCTCTTTCTTTCTTTCTCTCTCTCTCTTCTTTCTTTCTTTCTTCCTTTCTCTTTCTTTCTTTTTTTTTTTTTGAGACAGAGTTTCACTCTTGTCACCCAGGCTGGAGTGCAGTGGCATGATCTTGACTCATTGCAACTTCTGCCTCCCGAGTTCAAGGGATTCTCCTGCCTCCCGAGTTCAAGGGATTCTCCTGCCTCAGCTTCCTGGGTAGCTGGGAATATAGGCACCCACCACCACACCCAGCTAATTTTTGTATTTTTAATAAGAGATGGGGTTTCACCATGTTGGTCGGGCTGGTCTCAAACACCTGGCCTCAAGTGATCCACCCGCCTTGGCTTCCCAAAGTGCTGGGATTACAAGCATGAGCCACCAACCCCGGCCAAATCTGCGTTTTATTTCCAAATGTTATATTTTTACATTGCCTAACTTAATTATTGTTTTATTTTTAGGTTTAGAGTGATGTTCATTAATCTTTTTTCACCCTGAGACTTTGTCCTTATCAGCATAGAATTTATGATTGAAGCAAAAATCACCGAGTCTGAAACTCTTGGTATTATATTGACTTGTTCTGAGATTATGAGTCCCATAAAGTTAAATTGGAACTGTAAGAACAGCTGGTGTAAATGGCATTCTGTTCTTTTTGGATAATCTGCAACTCGATAGGGGGTACAAAAAGTAATAAAAATCCACAGGAAAAAATGCAGGCTTGATTGTTCCCTCTTTGTCTGTGGCACCCTCCTTCGTTAGTAGCTTCTGCACTTCAGGGCAAGGACATCCAGTTCTTTTGTGGGTACTGCCTCATCTATCAACTCTTCCAAGGTACAACGATAAGGCCTTGAAAATAGAATTTAGCAACATCAATGTTTCTCTTTTTATTAGAAAAGATTAATCAACTTTTCCAAGTATGATTTAAAGTAGGTGAGGTTTTTGAATATTTATCTAATTGACATTGATCTTTGAGTTAGAGATAGGGCTCAGTAAAAGAAAGCCAAATACCAGCTTTCCAACTGTAGAATGACTTAACGTTCCTGAATGATCAGAAGAATTTGAATAAGTGAGGCAGCACTTGAAAAATAAAATATAATAAAGTTTGAAGTCTTTACTACCTGAATTATCTGATAGGGAACCTGGCATGTTCAGGGAGATAACTACATTACCGTGGTGTGAAGAATTCAGACCAAATGGAATTAAATGAAAGACAAGAACATGAGCAGTCTGGATAATTTAGTTAACCAGTGATGACTTTGCACTGATGTAATGTCATAGATAAGAATGCTTAGCTCTAACTGTAGGATATTTTCCAGGCAGAAAACTGCAGACGTTTTTGGTATCTCTCAAGATAAAAGATAACTTAAGAACATACACGAGACAATTATATGTGAAAAAATTAAATAATTTTGAATTTTCTGAAAATAGTTAAAAAGAAATGTGAGGGAAAGAAAATAAGAGAAGAACCTCAGATTGCGAAATAAAGTTGAATATTTAGAGCAACTTGCTTTCTTTCTTTCTTTTATTCTGGAAAACATTACATTGTTTTTAACTGGGGAAGGAGACTGGCTTTTTGCAGATTAATAATTTGCTTAAAAGTTTGCTTAATTTGCTCCTCTGTGTTTATCAAATTATAGGTATAACCACCAATCCAAAATACTCCATCCCTTGCTCTCACATAAAGAAGTAATAAATTTTGAACAAGCTTAAAACGTTAATATCACATTGGTCCTCGAACTCCCTTGTTTGTGTTTATTTACCAGGTCACTTTCCTTGGATGAAAGACTACAGAAGAAATCCACCTTTAGAAAGTCACATGGTGTTTTTGATCTAAAAGGCTACTCATCATTTCTGAATCCTCCTAGTGCTTAGTTTAGTGAGTACCTAATACGTATTTCATCAACTGAATAAATGACTTAAACATGCAAGAAGGGTCAAAGTCAGAAAAACGGAAGAGCTGGAAAGAAATCTAGAAGATCTGGGTTCTAGTATCTGTTCTACATATTAATTCAATTTTAAAAAGGCTTATTGAACTCCTTGTATGTGCGAGGAATTGTAGTAAACATTAAGACACAAATGAAGAGTTCTGATCTGGAAGATGGCATAGCTGCAGTTTGGTAATGTGCGTGAACATATGGTGTAATAGCTACAGATTTTAGCTAGCAGAGAAGAAAAGTTAGCAAATTTACAAATTATCCTTTTATATATACTTAATTTTTAAAGCCATTTACTTAAGATTCTGCCTTTATTAGCTTTGTATGCCATTAATAGCTTTGTATGTCCTCAAGTTTGCATTTCAGCTAGGAAGGCAGGCCTCCCTAAAACTTTCACGTGCTAACAGCTGTAATTAAGGTAGAAGGCTTTATTTAAATAGTAATTAGCTTCCAGAAGTTGAAGTGTAAACAGAATGCTAATTCATTTAGATAGTTAATTGGTCTTCCGGGTTAGAGATCTTAGCGTGGCCTTCCTCTTTAGCTATGCTGTATTTATGTACCAAGTATAGATAGTGTGTTGGCTCCGTGGGATGTTTTGCAAACTCTTGCTTGACTCGCAGAATTTTAGTGTTTTAGCTCTTCTGGTAAAGACTACTGCCAATGAATCTGAAGACGTGAAAACATCAAGTAAAATTCCACGGCAAAATCATTAATATTTGACCTTTCTTTTATAATTGTGGGGACCGTATGGCCCAGTTTATTCATGTTATTCCAATGTAATTCTTGATAGTTGCTTCTTTCATGCTCAAGAATATTTTGATTTGGAGGTAAGTTATGTGGTCACCCTAATCATAATCAGAAATCACACAACAGGCAGTGATTGCTGAAACAAAAGGTGTGCATCAGGTTGGTTACCCTTTCCAGTGAACCAGTGTCAAGGTCCTTCTCTCTGCTGACTGCTGTAAAGATGGTTAATGCTGGATGTCATTAAGTTTAAAGGTCTTTTTTTTTTTTTAAGGACAACTACTATATCAGGAATTTTGTCATTGCCTTTGCCAACTTGTGTGGTCTGCCAGTCACTTTCGCTAGATGAAGAAAAAGAATCACTATATTTGATAGTTGTGTGTCTCTGTGTTGCCCAGTCCTCTAGGGGAGTTGAATGGGAGGTGGGTCTGATGTTTTGCTTTTTAAAAATGTTTCTTTTGCTTGGATGCTCCAGCTCATCAGATGCTAGGCTGGCTGCTAGCTATTTTTCCACATGTGCGTCCAAACAGACCTGTGTAAGTAGCACATATCACACGAATTCAACAAATACTGAATGAATACAGTGGCTGGCACATAGGAAGCATTCCCGGATATTTACTGAATGAATAAATACCAACCTTGCCTTTGGTCCCGTGCTGGGTGCTACAAGTTAGGTGGTAGGAAGAAAGGGAGGAGAGAAAACTCTATATGAGATCAAGTAGGTTCTGCCCTCAAGGGGTTAATAGTCTCCAAGAGGAAGATGTAAATAAATAACCGTAATTGAAAGTAAGAATCATTCAGTGCCAAAAAGAGTGGGAGGAAGAGGTTGCTGGGCGGGGCGGGGCGGGGGTGGGGGGTTGGGGGGGGTGTTGGGGGGTGAGGGGAGGGGTGGTGGCGAGGGTGGCAGGGGTTGGGGGGGCGGTTAGGATGCAGGGAGAACTTGAAGGAGAGGCAGGCATTCAAATTAGATTTTCCCCCAGTTTAGCATTAACTCTGGCCCCAGTTGCAGTCCATGAATGTGGAAGGGCCCTCCCCTGCCAGGCGCTGAAATTGTGCACGAGCTATTTTTTTTTTCTTGGCTAACAGCTTTCCTCTCACGGTTAATGACTAATCCCAAGGAGCATTAGCTCACTCTGTAAATATGAAATTATAATATAGCAAAATATAACGCTAAAAGCCATCAATCTAATTTTAGTCGCAAAGTTGAAATTTCATAGCAATAGCATTAAAAGAGTTACATTGTTACGATTTCAGTCAACATATAAATGAAATAAAATTGTTCTGGCCTGGCGCGGTGGCTCAGGCCTGTAATCCTAGCACTTCGGGAGGCCGAGGCTGGCGGATCACCTGAGTTCAGGATTTCGAGACCAGTCTGGCCAACATGGTGAAACCCTGTCTCTACTAAAAATACAAAAATTAGCCGGGCGTAGTGGCAGACGCCTGTAATCCCAGCTACTCCGGAGGCTGAGGCGGGAGAATCGCTGGAACCTGGGAGGCAGAGGCTGCAGTGAGCTGAGATCGCGCCACTGCACTCCAGCCTGGGCGACAGAGCGAGGCTCCATCTAAAAAAAAAAATTGTTCTACTTTAAGAAACCTAAAATGACGGCTTAATGGCAGAGTAGTATTACGATATAAAGCATTTAAAATGAACAGAACATGCAGATCTTACTTTTTTTTTTCTTTTCTTTTTTTTTTAGTGTATTGTTGCTCACAGCGAGACAGAGTGTTCTGCTACCCACAGGGCCAGGGCCTCACACAAACCAGCGGGCTCTCCAGGGTGCGCGCGCGATCTACAACCCGCCCCTTGAAAAGGAAAGCGGGGCCCGGGACGCTGCGGGTGTGAGCCGGACCGGCTTAGAGAGGGAAAGTAACCCGAGTCCGCCGCTTCGGGCGGACCCGCCCCCTCCCACGAGTTTCCCTAGACCCTCGGCCCCGCCCTCTCTTTTATTCGGTTTGCAGCAACCGGAGCTGAAACTTTGCAACCCGAGCGCGCACGCTCTGCGCTCGGCCCTGCCAGGGCGGCACGGGAGGGCGGCGCAGGAGGTGGGACCTGCGCCGGGAAGGCTCCGGGACGCCAGCGCACGCGGAGCGGGGACCCCGGAGAGCCAGCAGGCGAGAAGACCGGCCGAGGGAGAGCCGATCGCGCCTCGAGAGATCCGAGGAAGTGGTCGCGGGCCGGGAGGCTCCCGTGCCGAGCCGAGGCCAGGGGTCTGGGGTCGCAGCCCGGCGTGCCTGCAGCTGCCGTCGCTCGGGAGCAGCAGCTGTGCCCGGGATCCCGGCGGCGGCGGGGGAAGGAGGAGCTGCAGCTGGACTGTGGCAGCTGGAGGGAGAGGGCCGGGCTCCCCTGGCGGAGCCGCGCTGGGACGACTGGCTGACCGCGGCCATGCAGTCTTGACGGAGTCGCTCGGGCGCAGGGGAGCAGCCGCGGGCGCGCCCTCCCGGGAAGGGGCACCGGAGCGCAGGCAGCAGCACTTTATCTGCGACTCTCCAGCCCAGCGAGAGGCGAAGCGGTTTACCATGGAACCCGTGACCAAGTGGAGCCCCAAACAAGTGGTGGACTGGACTAGAGGTGCGCGGGCCTTGGGGGGGTCCGGAGTCCTCCAGCCTCGGGGATGGGGCGGACGAGGAGCTGGGGAAGAGGGTACTTGGCCCTTCCTCCCGGCGAGAAGCGGTGAGGGCACAGCCCGGTGACAATGCAAACTTCTGCCGAGTGGCCTGTGCGCTCCTATCTCTCGTACCTGCTCCGAGCTCTTCCTTTCCAGGGTGCGGATTGTGGCAAGCCGAGGGGAGCCCTATCTTTAAACCAGGGAGTAGGGGTGGCCTTTCTGTGGCGGTTGAGGGCTGGGGATGCCGATCTCGGGACTCGGCACTCGGGCCGGGGGGCGCTCTCCCTGCCTGGCCCCGGTGCGGTGCCCGGCGACCCGGGGGCCCGAGTGCAGAGGCACAAGGTGCCTTTGTGTGGGTGACTCCCGCGGGACCTCGTCCATGCCGCCTGCCCAGAGCCGTCCGCAGGCGTGACAGGGCTGTCGGACAGGTAGAGGGAGACTCCGGCGGGTCCGCCGAGCCTGTCTGTTTTTGTTGGAGAAGGCGAGAGGGCCGCGCAAAAGCCAACACCATAGCATTTGCGCCAGGGAGAAACCTCGAGCCAGGACTCCCCGGGAGGCAGTGACTTTTGCTCCGGGAGGCGCCAGTATCCCCGGTGGCGCTGCATTTTCAGGCCACATGTAAGCACTGGGAAGGAGAAATATAATTGTTTGGAACCACTGTCTTGATTCATACAATATTTGGGATGAGGAAGGCAGTGGGGCTGGGGCGGTGGGGGGGTGGTGGGGGGAATGAGCAGAGGTAGAAGCTTGTCCTCCTAGCTGGCTCGCTTACTTTTCAATGTCTCCTACGATTTCGAGGGAAAGGTACTAGAGTTTACTCAACCCTTTTCTGTACTTTCAAGAGAACAAAGTCCACCAAGAACAATCTGTATTTTCATGGTTTCCCCCCACCCCCAACGACATCTCTGTTTCAAGTTACTATTTGTTTTTCTATCTGCTCTTCCAGGTGAGGAATGGTGTTCTTTCTCAGTAATAACTAGAATTGTGTAGCGCTTTACAGTTTGCTAAGAGCTCTCTCTGTTATTGTCCTTGGTCATCACAGTAAGCCTGTGAGGTAGGTAATACTGGTAAGACCAGGTCGTCTTTCAAACCGTCCCACCCATGGCTGCAGCATAATGAAAACTGATCACCGCTACATCTCATTTCTCACGCCTGTGACTTACACATAGACCACGTGGAATAGGATGTCCGAGGTGTGTGGGGTGTGTCAGTGGGTATGTCTGACCATTTCCTGCTCCTCTGGGAGAACTCCTTGAGAACGGGTTTGTCAAGTGAGCAGAATTTCCTGGACTCCTATATAAAATGAAGCTAAAAACAACACATGTTTCTGCCTTGGTGACTAGGTTTCCCTTGGTAAAGAGTAAGTGGCATTGCCAGTACTTGGTAGGAAGCATGAGCTTAAAAGCCATCCATGCCCACGCTAGCTTGAAATGAGGTGTGTTCCTCCATTCAAGATGCTGCCAAATTCCCTAGGCTGGCAGCTTCCTGAAACTGAGTTGATATGTATTTTATCTGTATGTCCCTCATAGAGCCAACTTGAGACACTGCAAATTTCAGCTACTGTTGACTTCTAGAGCCGCTCTGTCCAACTTAGTAACCAGTACCACTTGTGGCTCTGCAGCCCTTGAAATGTGGCTGGTTAGAATTGCAATGTGCTGTAAGTCTAAAATACACATGGCATTTGAAGACTTGGTATGAAAAAAAAGAACATGAAATATCTTAATACTTTTTATTACATGTGGAAATGATAGTATTTTGATACGTTAGGTTAAATAAAATATATTACTAAAATAAGCTTCACCTGTTTATTTTTACCTTCTTACATATGTCTCCTAGAAAATCTAAAATAACACAGGGCTCACATTTGTGGCTTCCATTATATTTCTATTGGACAGTTCTGCTGTAGCAGAAAGAAAGGGTTACATCTTATCACCCTGGCTTTTCTGAGCCTCTGCCAGCTTAGTTGATAATGTACAATCAGAAAAATGGTAACAGGCGCACAGGAAGATTATGGAGTGAGATCTTCACACCCTCAAGATTTGTGTCTGGTTTTGTTGTTGTTGTTGTTGTTGTTTTTGTCCCTCTTGGGATTGGAAAAGGAGAAGCGTAAAATCACATCCTGTTATGTTTGTTGAGTATTTAAAAGGGAAAGTAGATTAAAACGTTTTTGTTAGCCAGTTGCCTTGACGTTATCAGTTAGTTGAGTTACTTTCATCTAGGAAAAGTTTTCTCCTGACCTGAAAGAACATCTATGGCTGGCTCAATACCTACGATACTTACTAGGTTACATACCTGTGGTTGGCACTTGACTACGTTATACAAAATGCCTGTGCCCTTTTGGACCCTGAAATACAGCTTAGTAGAAAGACCTGGATACGTTCTGTGTTCGAATCTAAAAAAGATGGCTAAGATGATAAGAGGCTGCAATCTTCCAAGTTGCGTGACCCATTACTTGAATATTTCTCATAATAATGATGCTCAAGTATTGACTTTTTAATGAACTATCGACTTACAAAAGCTCGTCTGCTTATAGGACTATTTTTAGTGCTCTTTGCTAATCTCTTTACCCAACCTTTATTTTATAAATACATGCTACTGATAAGCAGCTCTTCATGTAGACTTTGCTACTCTTGGTATTGCATGAATCTGGGTAGGGCGATTATGAGAACCATAGAAGGCCTTAGATTTAAAACTGTCTAAACCTGGCCACAGTCGACAGCTGGATCTCACCTCCTTGTTATTTGACAGATGTGTGCCTTAGGAAAGAAGTTCTTGTCTACAGAATGAATTAACCTGTCTGGCTTTTATTATTAATGTTTAGCTACACTGTCACCAATTTTACCGTAATGTTAGTGGATCCTCAGTAATTATTAAGCAGTGTGTCAGGCACATGTCTAAGCATTGTACAAATATCAGCTCATTTAATAGGCACCACCACCTTTGAGGTAGGAACAGTTATTTCCATTTTGCAGTTGAGGAAACCGAGTCACACACAGATTGACCGATGTCACCCAGCAGAGCAGGTGGTTTGGCTTCACTCCACTCCATTTTCTCAGGAGTTTCTTCCCAAGGCCACATCTAGACCACACCGACAATCTTTACATTTATGAATAGAACTTCAGGATTCGGTCTGAATAGCATATGGTAGCGGAGGAGTCTCATCCAGTATATGTCTGTGTTATTCTCTATCTTTAGTTCATGTCAGAAAGTTATTTGTAAGTCAAATTAATTCCTAGTTCATGGCGCCTTGCCAGTCAGTTCAGTAAAGGCCTTTGCAAAGCAAATGATCTTTTACAACGTGTAGGGTTAGCCGCACATAACAGAAAACCCAGTGGGTTAACCAAATTGGGGTTCCATGGCGCTGCCATCTTGTTCAGCCATTCGTAGCACATGGCGTAGGGTATGGCCTGGCACATGGTGTTCATTTTCATACTTAATGCTTCAGTGCAAGGTGGCGGCTCCTGCATGATTGTCTTCCTATTCCAGGCAGAAGGGAGTCTCATGGAAGACAGAAGACAGGTAGCAGCCAAGTCTTCCCCTTTAAAGAGTTCTTTGAAAAACTGTCAAGTGACCTGGTTTACATCTCAGGTGCCAGAAATGTCACATGGCCACCTCATGCAGCAGGGAAGGCTGGTTGCTGTAATTTCTTTCTTTTTCCTTCTTTTGTTTCTTTTCTTCTTTCTCTTTCCTCCCTCCCTCACTACCTCCTTCCTCCCCTTTCCTCTCTTTTCCTTTCTTTTCCTTTTCATTTCTTCTTCCTTTTTTGCTTTTTCCCTTCCTTTCTTTTTTTTTAAGTTTGGTACATTGTGGCCCTGAAAAAAACTTGGAGTTTGGTCAGAAAGGAAAAAGGGGAGAATAGATATTGGTAGGCAGGCAACAGGGATTTACATGCACTGATTTTCATAGCTCAGTTCTCAGAGTACACATGTGCCACATTCCCTACTTATATCCAGCCCTGTTTTAGAAAAAGCATTATATCTTCATTCCTGTCCAACCTTCTTAGGTCAAAATCTGAACTTATATGAGGTCCTTTTCTCTAAGCTTGATTTAAATATGAGAAATTTCATTGTCAAATGCAGCTACCACAAGTCGTTTTTCTGCTTTAAAAAGGCCACTGGGGAGTGCCTTCGACGAGGAAGACGTGGGACTGGTTGTCCCAGCAGAACTGTCCTAGCCTTGGCTGTTGATCAGCCTCGAGTGGGTAGGCTCTCAACAATTGTGTAGTTGGCCAGGCGCGGTGGCTCACGCCTGTAATCCCAGCACTTTGGGAGGCCGAGGTGGGCGGATCACAAGGTCAGGAGATCGAGACCATCCTGACCAACATGGTGAAACCCCATCTCTACTAAAAAATACAAAAAAAATTAGCCGGGTGTGGTGGTGGGCGCCTGTAGTCCCAGCTACTCGGGAGGCTGAGGCAGGAGAATGGCATGAACCCGGGAGGCGGAGGCTGCAGTGAGCCGAGATCGTGCCACTGCACTCCAGCCTAGGCGACAGAGTGAGACTCTGTCTCAAAAAAAAAAAAAAAAAAATAATAATAATAATAAAATTGTGTAGTTGAGTCAGCACATCTCTAAAACCCACCTTTGGTCCCAGGACAGAAGTCTCTCTGGCCAGCTTCTGGTGCTGCTAGTGTTGGTAGCAGTCCCCATCACCAACCAAGAGAAAAGGGGGCTTTCTTGCTCAAGGTCTAAGCCACGGGACTTGCTCTTTCCCTGTCGTGTCTATTTGTTTATGACACATAGCAGTCTTAAGGTGCTTGACTATTTGGCCATGGAAAGTCTGGAATTTCCAAGTTAACTACAGAGATCTGATACATCACAGGTCAACTGCAATGTACTACCTTGCACTGTTAGGCCCTTCCTGCCACCGTCCAGACAGAGGCAGTTCTTTCTGTTACCTTGATTCCAGTTTAGGTTATACCTTCTCTTTTAGTCTCTGTGGTCCCTGGGAAAGGGAGGCCTTTTTGTTTTAGCAGCCGTAGGTCTACCATTTGGCCATAGTTCAGAAAAGCTCTTCATTCCACCCTCTCCTTGGTTCCATTCACTCTCCTGCACTCCAGTGATAAAATTCTCTTAATAACAGAAAAACATTGATTGATGCACTTATTATCTTGGCAGACGCTGTTCTAAGTGTTTATTTAGGCTCTCTCATTATAAAACTTCTTTACTTATTATTTTTTAATACAGAGATGGGGTCTCACTCTGTTGCCCAGGCTGATCTTGTCCTGAGCTCAAGTGATCCTCCCACCTCGGCCTCCCAGAGTGCTGGGATTACAAATGTGAGACATTGCACCTGTCCAGCCTCTTTGATTTCATCCTTAGAAAACCCAGTGAGGTGTTTGAATAATTTCCAGCCCATATTAAAGAAACTGAAGCAGAGAGAGAATTTGCTCAGGGTCCCCTAATTAGTAGTTGTGGTCTCCTTGGGGCTCTCCTGTACTCCATCACTTTGTCACTTTGATTACTTGTACCAGGGGGTGGAGCTGAATGGTTCAGAGCATGGGCTCTGGAGCCGGACTCAGTTTGTATCCCAGTTCTGCTTTTGACTGTGTGATCTTATGTAAGCTCTCCATACATTTCTACTCCTTGTTTTTATTGCTTTCTCTCTTCCTTTTTCCTATAGCTCCAGGACACAAACTGTTTTCTCTGAGCAGTGAAGTCTTTCATAAGGTGTATTCTTATCATCCAGGGGCACCTGTCAGTGTCAAAGAGATTTCTCTGCCGTTTACCAGCTGGTCAGAGGATCCGGGGCAGAACTTGCAGCTGATCAGGAAGGTTCTTGATTAGCGGAGTGATAAATGCCTCTTGCAAATTTCGTGAGCTTTCCTTGGGTAAATTAGTTTGAGCCATATTTCCTCACTTTTAAAAAATAGTACCTGGGCTTGCAGTGAGCATGGCATAGGATGGTTTTTGCTGTCAACTGTTGGCCCCTGTCTGGTACCTGGTCTGTGACCAGCAACTTCAGCATCACCTGGGAGCTTGTTAGAGATGCAGAAGCTTGGGCCTGCCGAATCAGAATCTGCATTTTAATAAGATCCCCTGGCGATTCGTGCACCCATCACAATTAGAGAAGCACTGTTCTAGCACGTAGCTGCAAATGTGTTTTCAAACTTTGCTAGAGTCCTGCTATTGTAGTATTGGGCTATCTGGTCTGGTATGTACTCCAGCTGTTTTATTTACATTCTGGAATGATGACACTTAATTTGAGAAGGCTTGTCTTTGCCACTAATTAAAGTAAAAAACCAGTCTTACGGTGTGTGCTTATATTTATAAGCACCACCTAGCAACAGCATCAGGCAATTCTTAGCAAAATAAGTGAGACATTTCCCTTGAGATTTCTTCCTTATTCCTTGAAGAGTTCTTATAACAGCCTTTTTTTTTTTTTTAAATAAGAGGCAGGGTCTTGCTCTCTTGCCCAGGTTAGAAAGCAGTGGTACGATCATAGCTCATTTTAGCCTCAAACTCCAGGGCTTGAGGCTTGAGTGATCATCCTGTGTCATCCTCCCAAGTAGCTGGGACCACAGGCACATGCCACTACACCTGGCTAATTAAAAAAAAAATCTTTGTAGAGATGGGTCTTGTGGTATTGCCCAGGCTGGTCTGGAACTCCTGGTCTGCAGTGATCCTCCCGGCTCGGTCTCCCAAAGTGTTGGAATTACAGATGGGAGCCACCATGCTCAGGACCAACCCCTGCCCCCCTTTAAAAAAAAATCTTTAACACAAGTAGTAAGAAGGGAGTTGTGGGGTGGTCAGTGGTCACTGTGGTTGAAGTTTGTTCTCAGGATCCTCAGTAGGACCTAGGAGGATGAGATGGGCTTTTGGCTAGTCACACTATCCTATAGTTGGTGACCACACGGGGTTTACCACACTTAACTGACTTTTGGTGGAGATTTTATTGTTGATGGGAAATGACACCAAATGTCATTTCAGGAATAAATAACCATGGCAGTTCTAAAAACTTGGCACAAATATATGAGTTGCGCTGAGACTGGGGTAGCTCCATCCTTTATCCATGGAGATTGGCAAGTGACAACTCCTGCTCCGGCTCCTTCGTGCATTCCCCTTATTGTGAGGAAGCGAGAGGGGCCCTCCCGTCTGTGTCCCCATGCCTGTGTCACTGCCTCTCTTTTCACCCAGCGTGTTGTCTTCTAGCTCCCGGACCTGAGCGTTCTTGCCTTGCTTTCTCTCTTTCCTCTCATTTATGCTATTTCTGGCGTGTCATCACTGGCTTACCCATTATGTAAGCTTTAAGTGAAAAAATCAGATGTTATTTTCATGAGCTCTGAGGGCACTTCTGCATTTGTTCTCATTTGACTCTTCTGAAGCCTGGAGATGCACAGGAAGGCAGTTTCCACTGCAGATGAGCAGCATGGAGGAGGCTTTTGGAAGTGAAATGAATTGTCCAAGGTCCAGAGGTGAGGAGCTGGGACCAGGCCTCACAGGCTTCTGTTCTGTGGTCCTGTCCCGTCCCTGGTTTCTGCTCTATCCAGGTGGTGCCTTCTAGTTCCTTCCTAACCAACAAGTGTGGGAGGCTGGGTGTGGTGGCTCACGCCTGTAATCCCAGCACTTTGGGAGGCCGAGGTGGGTGGATCACCTGAGGTCAGGAGTTTGAGACCAGCCTGGCCAACATGGTGAAACCCCGTCTCTACTAAAAAAAAAAAAAAAAAATTAGCTGGGCATGGTGGTGGGCACCTGTAATCCCAGCTACTCAGGAGACTGAGGCAGGAGAATCTCTTGAACCCGGGAGGCAGAGGTTGCAGTGAGCTGAGATCGTGCCACTGCACTCCAACCTGGGCGACAAGAGCAAAACTCCATCTCAAAAAAAAAAAAAGAAGAAATATAGGGAAAGCCCTTTGCATAACGTATGGCATATGTGTGGAATTAAAAGAGGAAATACAGGGAAAGCCCCTTGCATAACGTATGGCGTATGTGTTTACCCACTTATTATTCATGATCAATAATAACTCAAGTTAACTGGTGGTGTAATTGGGATATTTTTATTTAAATGTTTAATATTGTTGTGGCTGATTGTCACCCTTCATGTGCTTATTAATAATTTATGACAATTCCATTCACCCTTTTGTTGTTATACAGGAGGTAAGTTAAATCAAGTCCGTCTTCGGTCTTCTCATTGTTTCCTTGGACGCTTTCCCCCTGTTCTTAGGGGAATCTTCTCGGTTTTAGGTATTGTTCTAAGTGCTGGGAATCCATAGTCCCGGCTTTAGTGTGGTAGATGTGTGGGTGACAAACGCCACCACCAACCACAAAACAGATGATAAGAAAATTTCTACTGATAAGCATAAATCAGAAAATAAAGCAGAGAGGTGAAGGAGAGGGACTGGGTGGGGGACTCCTTTGGATGACGTCATCAGAAAGCCTTTCAGAGGTGACATTTAGGCATGAATGGTAGGAAGGAACCAGCCATCAGAAAATTAGGGAGAAGGGCATTCTAGGAGAGGGAATAACTCATGCAAAGGCCCTGAGGTGCGAACCGGCTTGGAGAGTTTGAGAAAAGGAAGTTGTGGTGGGGTCATGAGAGCGAGGGTGGGGGTGATGGGTGAAGAGCAGGTGAGAGAGACACACAGAGGCCAGATCATGTAGGTTCTTACAAGTCGTGGTCAGGGAGGTGCAATTTTTTATTTTTATTTTTTAATAGTTACGGTGGAAAGCAGAGAGTGACAGTATTTGATCTGTGTGTTGAAAGATCAGTCAGGGTTTTTGAGCAGAAATGAATTCAGGAAATCCAGCTGGAAGGCATTGCAGTATTCTGGAGGCGATGGTGTCTTGGATTCAGGTGTTGGCAGTTTCAGCCTTTGTGAAGCCAAGTTCTAGTTACAGTTGGGTCATTGACAGCTTCCAATCTCAGTAATGTAAACATTATATTTGAAGTTGGGATGTCTGCTCATTCTTTCCCCTCCTGCCAGGGCTAAGGTAGATGCTCTCCTCTGCCCCTGGCTCCTCTCTGGCCAAGTATGATGGTCATTTAGAATAGAGAGCGCCCTCTGTCTTTCTGCCTTGTTCACATCATTGTTATTTTCTGGCACTTTTTGCTGCGGCTAGTTTCTGAAGCTGTTTATTCATCTATGAATAGAGTTTTTGTGAAATTGGACTTAGCCTACTTTGTTTTCTTTGACATCAAATGGCTGATTGAACATTTTTAAACCTGGGATCAGAAGGGCAAATATGGTTGTTTATTAAAGCAAAGCAGTTCCTTAGAATGCGAATCAATAAGATGTAGAAATTAGAAAGCTTTCTATGTGAAAACTTTTAAAGTATTTGAGTAAAGAAACTGGTGTATCTGACTTAAAATATTTTGCCCTACTGAAAGACTATCCTAATGTTTGCTTTAGAAACTATAGCTCCCATACTTTTGGTGGAATAGATGGCATTTTGAGAAATTTTCAACAAGAGCTGGGCAGTTTTAAACACATAATATATCACTTCTCCATAGAGGGGAGGGAGTGGGAGAGGGAACTTAAGGAGGGAGGCTGATAATAAAATAACCTGGAAGCCTTAACCCCTTGCTCACACCCAGCTGTGAGTCCCCCAAAAGGAGACAGTCTGTCAGCTCCATCAGAGGAAAACCCCTACGTGCTTTCTATCAGAAAAGGCGGCGATTATGATAATCTGAATCATGCTTTCCTGAGGATAACCTTTTAGTGAAAGGAAGCATTCTATTTCCTATTTTCAGAGATTTGTGGAAAGGGGAAATTCAGTGCTTTGGGATTGGGAGTGGATGTGTGTGTGTGTGTGTGTGTGTGTGTGTGTGTTTCTAATTTTACTTACATATGCATTAATTGAACAATTTTGCATGTTCTCACAGTAATTTTATATTACATTGTCTTCAGGAGAATCAAGTCAAAATACTAGTTGGAATATGATCTTTGAAATAGAGGAAAACTAGCTTAATATGTAGGGTGGATCAGACTTCATGTAACACCTGTTAAAGTTGTCAGCACCATCTTAACAGAGATACCAACTGGAGTCTTAAACTAACCATGAGCAGATGACACAACTGTGGGTGGCATTTAGGAAACGACTCTGTACACTAAAGCCTTAAATTGTTACTAATAAGTATTTAAAAAAACATAAATACTCTTTGCTATTAAGATGCCTGGAGACACATGGTTTGAAGTGGTTTGATTCTAAGCACCCCAGGCCAATTTGAAGAATTTTACATAAAGCTGATTAAAGAAAAACCCTTCCTGGAGCTGGAGAAATTCTTCATTCTTACTTGGATCAAATCAGAGATGGACAGGCCGGGCATAGTGGCTCACGCCTATGATCCCAGCACTTCGGGAGGCTGAGACAGGAGGATGGCTTGAGCCCAGGAGTTCGAGATCAACTTGGGCAACATAGTGAGACCCTGTGTCTACCAAAAGAACCCCCCACATTAAAAAAACCCGGTAGAGATTGGCACCGTGGAATAGAGAAACTTAATGAGTGTTTAAACCAAGCTTTTCAAGAGACCGTTTCCCAGGCACATACATGCGGGGCGTCTCAACATCCTGTCACCATTGTTCTTGAACTCACTTCTTCAACACCAGCCTCACCTGGGAACATAGACATGTAAATTCCTGGGCCTCACCCCAGACCTGCAGAATCAGAAACTCTGGGGGTGGGATCCAGGAAGCTAACAGACTCCTCAGGGAATTCTGGTACAGGATAAAATGGGAGAATCAGGGGTCTACACCACTCATGTGGACTCTATGGAAATAGGTGACATAAGCCAGACTCTTCCTCATAATGCCTGTCCACAGTTTTTTGCTAATACATAATAACTGATTAAGAAAGACAATGTTTCCAGTAAGGACAGTGGTGACATATTTAAGTAGATGAGTAATGAACCTTGGCTTGTAAGTGTCCTTTCTGCAGAATAGGGAGGGAAGAGTTAAAGCTGGTATCCCCTCGGGCTCTTAGCCACCTGTTAAACCCCAGGCCCAGGGCATCCTTCCGTCCTGTCCCTGTGAGTGCTCAGCCCAGGAACACACAGAAGGGGCATGTTTCATGGGTCCGAAAGGACCTGTTTAGCTTTCATGTGGAATTTCCAGACCTGACTCGAATAGGGGAGCAGAATGTAACCCCCTCCCCTCCATTGCGAGAAAATAGTTGAGCTTCCTCACTTAGCACTCAGGTTTTGGCTTTGAACAAAGCATGGAGATGAGAAGTGAGGGAAAGAAAAATCAGAAAAGAGCAATACTGAGTCACAAACATGTTGCATTTCAAAGCAAAAAGCTCTTTTGTCTTAGTAGGTGGGCGTTGTGAACGTTGAATCAGTGTAGATGGAATTTGAACCTGTACTTTTGGCAAAACCCATGAGAGTCCAGAATAAAAAAGACACTGCAGAAGTGAACACCAAAGACCAGGAATGGCCCTGAGACTTGTAACAGGAATCACACTGAGACTTGTAACAGGAATTGCAAACACGGTTGCCTATAGGGGCCAGGAGGCAATGTCAGAAGTTGCAGTGTGGGGGCGTGACAGTAGGGAGTGGTGGAGACTGTGGCAAACCCAAAGCCATGTGTTGTCTGGTTTCTGCTGATTGTGGATGTGAAGTTTCCAGAGCTTCTGATTTTTGTCATTTTTTTGTTCTTGTCAAATGAAGCTGTAAATCTGGGTTTCTATGTGACATTTCCCAGTGTTCACAAAATTGTCTATAGCTTTTTTTTTTTTGACGTAGACCAAACAAAACATATCTATGGACCAGTTTGCAATTTCCTCTGTGGACAGCCATGGTCAGGTGTTAATTGTCCAGTGAGAAGCGCACCTGTAAGATGTGAATAAAATTGGCTGCATAGTAATTAATCAGCTATTCAGTAAACTTTTTTAATGTATAATTTGTTTTTCCTATTTACCTAATTCCGTTATTCCTAAAATTGCAACATGTAATTCCATGCAGGTATTATTTAGCCAGAAACACTCATGCCCTGATGTATTCAGCAAACCACTGAATAGTTACTCTTCAGGGTAAAAACAGGAATTCGGCTTCTCTTGGTTGAGTTTACCTCCCCATAGTGGCTATATAATATTGGCCTCTGATGGGAGCTGTTTGTGTTTGCACAGAAAGTTTTCACATATCACCTAAAATAGGGAGTGTGCCCCCATCTCTGTGCTGGTTAGTGGGGTCCTACGTAAATTAGTAAGTTATCTGTTGACTCAAGGTTCTTTCCATCTTCAAGGTGCTCTGCATCGGGAAATGAAGCAAACAAGAAACACCAGCTTCAGTTCTTAATCCAGAATGGCACTCACCCCAAAACACAATTCACAAAACTTCTTAAACACAGGAGAATATTGTAGTCTTTCAGTTTGCGTTGTAAGTATACAGGCTATAGAGATACATAAGTGTATATACACACATATACAGATAAACATACCATACATATTTATTGTGAATGACATTTTGATAAACCTTCATTAGATTTTTATTTCAACCATTAGCTCCCTTTCTAAAAGCTAAAACCAAAAAAGTACAAATTTCCTTTTTTGTACCAATTACTCTGCTTTATGCTAGGGACAGCCAGGTGAGTTAGGTGTAAATGAAATCCGTGTCCGGAAGCTGGCAATTTAGTAGGGAGGCAGCAGTGAGCAGCTGACATGTATAGCATTTCTCTCTCTCTCTCTCTTTCTCTCGTTTTTGAGACAGGGTCTTCCTCTGTCACCCAGGCTGGAGTGCAGTGGCATATTCAGGGCTCACTGCAGCTTTGACCTCCGGGGCTCAAGAGATCCTCCTGCCTCAGCCTCCTAAGTAGCAGGAACCACAGGCATGCATCACCACACCTGGCTAATTTTTTTTTTTTGAACTTTAGTAGAAACGAGGTCTCATTATGTTTCCGTTTCCCAGGCTGGTTTCAAATTCCTGAGCTCAAAACGATCCTCCTGCCTCAGCCTCCCAAAGTGCCGGGATTGCAGGAGTGAGCCACCGCGCCTGGCCTTTATCACGATTCTTTAAGGGCCAGGCTCTTGCTAAGGCTTCCCATGCATTATCTCATTTCGCCTTCACAATGCTTATTTGATATCGGGTGCTTTTATCATCTTCATCTTAGAGTTAAGGAAACCAAACCCTGATGTGTCTGAGCTTGCGTAGATAGCAAATAGGGTTTGAATCAAGAGGCATTAGAGCCTGACGTCTCCCCTAGAGGCACTTAGGTGGGTAAGTTTGGCCTGATAAAAGGTTTTGAGGATGAGGGAAAAACATTTACATCATTAGCATTATGAATCGCATTGATCTACTTAATTTTAACCTGTAATCTTACCACTCAAAATTCTAGAGAATAGTGTATCTACTTCTTTTCTCTTTTTAATATATGATTGGGCTCTTGTAAATGGGACAAGGTGGATTTTAAAATATATTTAATGGGGACTATTTGACCTTTGGGTAGTCCCTTCATGTTTTTAGGTTCTAATGCTCTCATACATTAAAATTCTGAGATGATATGACTGTATATTTAAAAAAGACAAGAAGGAAATACATCAAAATGCCCACATTGGTTATCTATAGAGGATAGAATGAAAGATGGCTTTATTCTCTTGTTTGCTCTTATTAAAGCAATCAGATGGTGCTTCTCCTGTACTCAGAGCCCTGGCTGCTTCCTGCCTGGCCTCTCCTGCGGGCTGCTGTGGAACCAGAAAAGCCTTAAACGGAAATGTGGGAGAGAAGGTTGGATTCACTTTCATGTCTTTCCAGGGTTGTGACCCCTCAAGTCCTGGTTGCCTTTGCTGTTCTCTATTACCTTCAAACAGCCAGCTCGTCTTTATTTCTTTTTTAGTTTTGTCGGGGTTGGCTTGATAGATGTTAGTCCATCATAGCCAGATGTGTCTAGCCTTGTCTTTTGAATGCAAGATTTAGGATGTGGGTACTTAGCTGTTAGTGGACATCAGAGTCACTAGTCAGGATGAAAGAGTTCTTGGCTTTAACTCCCAGAAATTCTGGTAACGTCATGTATAGTGACGGCCGCATGTCTAACAGGTGGCCAGGTAAGTCTTTTGGGGTGGTCTGTGAATCACAGTTTGGGAGACATTGACTTTTAGGGAGTTTGTTCTGAATTCACTAGATAATAGAGATATAATACAGAGCTTTGAAAGCTGGTGTCTTGATGACAGAGCCGTGGCAATGGGGAGGGTTGAGGAGGTGGCTGTTGGGCCTGTCTCCTGGTGAGAGTTGAAAGGGCCTGAACTCAAGCAGAGGCCTCAGAACCGAAAGGTGGTGGAAGGATGCAGCAAGAGGCGCCACACAGGAGTACTCTGCGCCCTGGCAGGGTCTGAATACACGTGGGAGTGGTGAGAGGGAGAACTTTAAGTCCAGGTTTTGTGCCTCAGTGACTTAGTGTGGCCATATCATTAGAAATGTGTTGAGGCCGGGCACAGTGGCTCATGTCTGTAATCCCAGCACTTTGAGAGGCTGAGGCAGGAGGATGGCTTGAGGCCAGGAGTTTAAAACCAGCCTGGACAACATAGTGAGAGCCTGTCTCTACAAAAAAAAAAAAATGTTAAAATGAGTGGGTGTGGTTGTGCACACCTATAGTCCCAGTTACTTGAGAGGTTGAGGCAGGAGGATTGTTTGAGCCTAGGAGTTCGAGGCTACAGTGAGCTATGATCACACCACTGCATTACAGTTTGGGTGACAGAAAAGCCCAAAAGCTATCTCTCTCTTAAAAAAAAAAAAAAAAAAAAGTGTTGAATTCTGGGAAGGAGCTGCTATGTGGGTTTAAGAGTGAGCACAATTTACAGATACCAATCTCAAAAGCTGTTCTAGTTTGTAGATGATACATCTTCCTTGATACCAACAAAGATACTTCCATGATTCAAACATTTAAGAAAATGCAGTGCCCTCTCTTATTACAGCATTCTAATTGTGTCATGTTGTAATGAGGTGCAAATATCATGCAGCCTGGCACGCGAAATGTGTTAGAATAGGGCAGTGTTAGTTAAAATTCAGGTCCTCAAGCTTGAGTGTGAAATGATGCAATGTACATGAATATGACACCCGGAATTATTTCTGTACAATGCAGCCTAAGTCATCGACTACAAAATAAAATCAGAGGATTAGAGACCTACAGGACAGCATGTCAATGGAGATCTAAAATCAGTGCTGATCAATGCAAAATGCATCTTGGCATAATCCCTGAAGTCTTGGCCAGTGCTTGGAGAGATAAGCAGTTCTGGCTAACATAACTGGCTGCAGTTGGTGTTTGGGTGGGTGAGCCACTTCCCTGGGACTTGTGCCTCCTTAGGGTTGCCAAGGCAAGAGGGTGAATAGAATACTGACAGGGGAGGAACGGGGGTGTGTAGGGCTCTTCAAGGTTTGGTGCTGAAGGAAGAGGGTGGCAGAGGGTGGAAGGGTGGCCTGTTTTCTTATTCATCATTGGCCCAATAAGCCCTTAGAAGTAGAGGTGATTTCTTCTATGCCTTCTCTCAGGTTAGGTTAATAAATCCTTTACTTAATAGGATTAGCTATAAAATGGTAGATTGTTTTTCTTATAAATTATTTTTCTTATATTTACCTTTCTCCGTGTTCTGTTTCCTTGACAGTTCTATTAAAACTTGCTAATTTCTCATGTCTGATTTTAAAATTAAAACAAACCCCATTGATACAGTTTGGCTGTGTCCCCAACCAAATCTCATCTTGAGTTGTAGTTCCCATAATCCCCACGTGTCATGGGAGGGCCCTGGTGAGAGGTTATTGAATCATGGGGACAGTTTCCCCTATGCTATTCTCATGATAGTGAGTGAGTTCTCATAAGATCTGATGGTTTTATAAGGGGCGTCCCCCTTCACTTGCCTCTTATTCTTCTTCTTGACCTAATATGAAGAAGGATGTGTTTGCTTCCTCTTCCACCACGATTGTAAGTTTCCTGAGGCCTCCCCAGCCATGTGGAACTGCGAATCAATTAAACCTCTTTCCTTTATAAATTGCCCAGTCTCAGGTATGTTGTCATAGCAGTGTGAGAACAGACTGATATATTAATTTACCTGGTATTCTGAAATGATGCCACTTATCTTTCTTATTAATCCTAGCTAGCTCTGGAAGTGAAGCTTTCAGTGGAGTTCAGTGTCACTGGAACACATTAGGGGGTGTGATGTGGTTTGGCTCTGTGTCCCCACTCAAATCTCATCTCGAGCTGTGATCCTTAATGTTGGAGGAGGGACCTGGTGGGAGGTGACTGGATCATGGGGGCAGATGTCCCCCAGGTGTTCTCGTGATAGTGAGTGAGTTCTCAAGAGATCTGATTGATTTGACAGTGTATCACTTTCCTCTTGGTGCTCTCTCCTCGCTGCTGCCATGTGTGCCTGCCTCCCCTTCGCCTTCCGACATGATTGTCAGTTTCCTGAGGCCTCCCAGCCATGCCTCCTGTAAAGCCTGCAGAACTATGAGTCAACTAAACTTTTCTCTGTAAATTACCCAGTCTCAGGTAGTTTTTTATAACAATATGAGAATGGATAAATACAGGCTAACTCCAACTCCCCTCACCCATTGCCTGTTAACTAAAGTGCCCAGTTAATTGGCACTTCCACTAAGGCTGGAGAAGGTTGCTATTCACTGTGCATTCATTAAACACATCTATTGAGTGCCTTCTGTGTGCCATGCACTGTTCTGAGAGCTGAGGATGTGGCAATGAATGAAAGAGACAGCAGTTCCTATCTTCTCGGAGCTGATATTCTGGTAGGGTAGAAAGATGATTGTAAAATTCATAGCACGTGAATGTGATAGAGGTCATTAGGAAGGGCCACAGGTGGATTTGGAGGAGTGGGGATGCAATTTTAACTAGGATGACCAGGGAACGATTTCACAGAGCAATGTGGCTAATGGGGGAAGAATGTTCTTGACAAAGGGAACAGCGAGTGCATGTGTCCTGAGACGGTCAGTGTTCCTGAGGCATCGTGACCAAGGGGAAGCTGAGGGTGTAGAGCCCTAGAGACCTGATCAGTACTTTGGCTTACAGTCAGTGTTTTGGGGAGCTATTGGGGGGCTTTGAGCTAAGAAGTATTATCAGATTTACATTTAAAAATGATAATGGTGGCTTTGCAAGGGTGGGATCAGGGAACTAGTTCGGATGCCATGGCAATAGTCACATGAAAGAGATTGAGAGGTGGCCAGGTTCCGGGTATTCTGAAAGGCCAGTAGGATTTACTGAGAGATTGAATTTGAGTGTGAGAGGATACCCTTGAAGTGTTTGGTCCAAGGAATTGGAAGGATAGAGTTGTCATCTCCTGAGAGGTGGGAGAAGCAGGTTAAGGAAAGATCTGTGTTGTTTTTTTTTTTGTTTTTTGTTTTTTTTTTTTTGAGACAGAGTCCCACTCTGTCACCCAGGCTGGAGTGCAGTGGCACAATCTCTGCTCACTGCAGTCTCCGTCTCCTGGGTTCAAGAGATTCTCCTGCCTCAGCCACCCTAGTAGCTGGGATTACAGGTATGCATCATCACGCCAGGCTAATTTTTGTATTTTTAGGAGAGATGGGGTTTCACCATGTTGGCCAGGCTGGTCCCAAACTCCTGACCTCATCAAGTGATCCGCCCATCTCAGCCTTGCAAAGTGCTGGGAAGATCTGGCTTTTAATTTTGCAGTGCCCATTTGCCCACCAAGTGAGGGAGATGGTGGGATATATGTGTTGGGATTAATCAGAAAGGTTGATACTGGAGACAAATTTGCTGGCCATTGGGGTGCAGATGGTATTAAATCTTTGAGACTGGATGACCTCACCAAGTGAGTGAGAGTAGGGAGACAAGGAAAGGAATCTAGGGCATCGCAGCCTTTAGAAATCTGGGAGCTGAGCAACCAGCAAGGATTGCAGTGAAGTTGCTGCCAGTATGTAGGAAGAGGAATAGGAGAGGGTGATGGCCAGAGGCAAGCGAAGGAGGTGTTCCCAGAACAAGGTAGTGATCAACTGGGGCAAATACTGCTGTGAGGTCAGTGAGAGGATGACTGAGAATTGACTATTGTATCTAGTTAGCTGTGTGCAGGTTGGTGAACTTGACAGGGTGGTTTTGGTGGGTTGGTGGGACACACAGCTGATGAGTAAATTCAAGAACAAACAGGAGGAGAGGAATCGATGTCCTAAGAAACCACCTGCTCGTGAAGCACCTCCCTCAATGCACACAGCTCTTTGTATTCTCAGGATGCTGAATGCGTTTTATTTTAATTCCTTTAAAATCTGTAATCAGCTGTTTGGTAACTAGATATCTGATAAATGGGGACATGTTATGCCCTCCCTGAACTGGGTAACAGGACACTGTAGATTATGCAATCCCTTATTTTAATACTAACAATGCCATTCATTTAGTGAATGACTATGTACTGGTGGCTTCTACAGAGAAGAGTTATTCAGCAGAAATTATCTCTTCATTTTTTTTTTTCACATTGTTTTGGAAATGAAGATCAGGAAATGAGTAAATAGCTCTCTCTCTGAGTTTGGTGTTATTCTATAATTACCCATGTAAGTAGAAAAGATTTGTAATGGACAGATCCAAAACCTTGGAAGAATTCCTTGTTATTAAGTATTTACCTTTATATCTTTTAAGATTTATCTGAAACATTCAGAATGCCATGAAATCATATGTATGTCATGTCTGGTACAGACCCTAGGTGGAAGGCATTTGTTAGCAGGAAAACTGGTGCAACTGGAGAGAAACCAATCAACTTGAAATAGAATTCACCAGCTGTTTATTGAGTACCTACCGTTTGTCAAGTTCTTTTCTAGGTGCAGTGAATAAGACAGGGGCTGTCTTTGTTTGGTGACTTCAGTTAAGTGGAATACAGACAAATCAACAGGCATTTAGACTACAGGGCATCATAGAAGTGCAGAGGGAGGAGTATCTCATGCAGTTATGAATGGGCGCCACAAGAGAAGGCTTCCTGGAGGAAGAGACATTTAAATTGAGACCTGGGCCGGGCGCGGTGGCTCACGCCTGTAATCCCAGCACTTTGGGAGGCCGAGGTGGGCGGATCACCTGATGTCGGGAGTTCAAGACCAGCCTGACCAACATGGAGAAACCTCATCTCTACTAAAAATACAAAATTAGCCGGGCATGGTGGCGGGCGCTTGTAATCCCAGCTACTCAGGAGGCTGAGTCAGGAGAATCACTTGAACCCGGGAGGCAGAGGGTTGCAGTGAGCCAAGATCATGCCATTGCACTCCAGCCTGGGCAACAAGAGCAAAACTCCATCTCAAAAAAAAAAAATTTAAATAAAATAAATAGAGACTTGTAGGATGAGCAGGAGGTAGCTCTGTCTAGGGCAGGAGAATGTTCTTGGCAGAAAACTGGGAGGCAAGAGACAGCATGGCATTTTGACATTGTCAGCCACTGAAAGAAGCCGATGTGGTGGCTCTGTTGTGAGGTGAATGGAAATAGATGAGGCTGGAGAGTCGGGAGTGGGATGTTAGATCACCAAGCCCCTCTGTAAGTCTCCAAGCAGGTGGGATCCAAGGAAAGAATGAAGATCTTTTCGTGGCCTTCCTTTGTGGAGGAACTGTGTGTGTATTTGTATCTATGTATTGTGTGTGCACACATATAATAGATACATTATACATATTAGATATATTGTATACGTATATACACACACAATACATGGATACATATGCATATTATATATCATATATACATGCATAATACATATGATATATATACTTAGATACATACATATAAATATGCATACATGTGTATTTATTTTTTAGGGCTCATTATTTGATTCAGAATTCTATCAGGCAGGCACTGTCCTCTCTTTAATGGGATGTAGCACTAACTGGGTTTTAGACCTGCAGTGGCCCAGTCACCCTACTGTAGGGGAAGCTCCTGGATCTCCAGGGGAAATGTCACTGAAAGGCTCTGTGCAAAAAGGAACTTGACTTACTGGGTATTTATTTCCTTTGATCTGTGAAATGTAAAACTGAGCTGACTTTAAGCATAAGAAAACATTAAAAACTCTTCATTAAAGAAAGAAGAAACTACTAACACATTGACCTGAGCTAAAAAAAAGAGATGGGAGTTTGGGCTGACAGGGAGTGGGAGAGGAAAGGGGAGCCATGATGAATGGAGAGGAGGGAGACTGGGGTGGGGGAAGGCGGAGGAGCCCAGACGGCGGAAGTTTGGAGGGGAGTGTTCCCCGGAGGTCACACCTTGAGGTGTGGGTGTTTTCTGTGTTATCACCTGTGATCTGCTGCCCCTTGCTGATGAACGATTAGGAATTGTTTCTAGCTTAGTATGTAATTTAGTCTTTATATGTTCAGAGACTTCACTCTGGTGGGATAAGCCAAAGCATAGCATTGGTTGGAATTTTTTCTCTGGAAGTGGTTAGAAATATCAATCATCTGAGGGTTAGGATTCCCTAACCCCACGCCCCCAAAGAAGGGTACATGTAAGATAAACAATATAATCCAGTATTTCCAACAGAACACTCCTCATCCCCCGATTTCAGTGTACCTAGTATTTATTAGTATTTATACCCATACGCTAATATACAATAGAGTGACTTTGTTTGTTTGTTTGTTTGTTTGTTTGTTTTGAGATGGACTCTCACTTGGTCACCCAGGCTGGAGTGCGGTGGTGGGATCTCGGCTTACTGCAACCTCCACCTCCCGGGTTCAAGCGATTCTTGTGCCTCAGCCTCCCAAGTAGCTGGGACTACAGGCGTGCGCCACCACACCAGGCTAATTTTTGTATTTTTAGTCGAGATGTGGTTTCACCGTGTTACCAAGACTAGTCTTGAACTCCTGACCTCAAGTGATCTGCCCACCTTGGCCTCCCAAAGTGCTGGAATTACAGGCGTGAGTCATCGTGCCCAGCAGCAATAGGGTGACTTTACACCGAAATCTTGAAAATACATACAGTGAGCATCTCAGACACAGGCCCAGGGGAATCATATATTTGTTGTACCAGATCCAGAAGCAGCCATGTGGGTATTTATTTCTGAGTTCCTGAACCCTGTAAGAACACACAGGTTATACTTGAAATGAATGGGAATTGATTAGGCAGAATGAAAAAAAACTCAAAACCCACAAAACCCCACCTCTGAAGGGTGTGGCCGCTCGCCCTCCCCTTTGTGTCATTTTCCAGATTGTTCATGTGGTTGAGGTTGTCGCATCATTCCTGGGGTTAAACGTACACTCAGTTCTGGGAAAGCTTCCATTTTCAACAGTCCAAAGTTAGAATTCAGTGGAATGTGATTTGAAAGTAATTTAACAAGGTACATTTTAAGTTTTTAATAGTTACCTTTTTAAAAAAGTCCCAATTTTTCTGCTCCTGTCACCCCTGACCCCAGTCATGATTTCTGAGTATATGATCTCTTGGAGGACATGGATAGCTGTTATTTTAACTTTGAATTTAGCATCCTCATCTGTATATTTTAGCAATTTGAAATTGTGTTTTGTAACTTTTTTTGGTATCAATTGTTTTCACATCCTGAGGGTGTTCTTATTTCTTTTCTTTTATCTTTTAAAAAGATCCATCCCTAGAATGAATATTGAAAAAATATTTCCTTAAGATAGCATGTGGATTAGTATCTTTTTCGTATTTTCAGATTTTAAGATGAACTTTAACTTGATATGTAATGTTCCAGTCATGCTGTAGAAATTCCATCTCCTAAAGTCATGCTCTCATGAATTAAGGAGAAAAGGAACATTTCCTAAGAGTAGTAACTAATAACAAAGAAATAAAAAAGTACAAATGTCCATAAGCAACCTTAGGAATTCAGGAAGAAATCTAAGAAGAATCTGCCTTGTTAAATGAAACTGTGGTAGACTTCCTGGGAGTGGTAAATGATGTGAAATCAATCTGTTATAATGACTTAATTGTCATCAAAAGATCTCACACCAATTTTGTGGGTTAAGGTTGGTAATTATCATCTTTGGTGGTAATTATGTAACTATAACATTATAAAAACATTATAAGACTACCTTACTTTTCTTATAAAAGCAGATTGCATAGTTTAGATCTTATCGTTGTTATTGCTAGTTTTGTTTGCGCTTTACAGATCTAAAGTTATAGTGAGAGTGACATACTGTTGATAAGATGTAAAGATTAGAGTTGTTTGGTTTGTTTTTTGTTTCATGTAGTTAACATTCTTTTTTCTCTTTTAAAAATAATTATTTTCATCTCAAAGTCAAGTGATAGTAGTGTTAACATTTGTCCTTGAGATGGTCAAGGATGGCATCTGTTTGTTCAAATTAGGGCCCTGGCAATAAAGGTCTTTGGTAAATATTTGACAGGGAAGAAGGTAAAACCCTAAAGTCTCTTTGTCCAACAAAGTTGGAATCAGCCTATAAAAACCATGGCTCTGGCTTCAGCGCGTCTGTTTTGGGTAAAGGTGGGAGCACATGCCTGTAGTTAATTGCCTGCAATAGAGAATAATTGTTTTACTTTTAGGGATTTTGCCTGGAGAGAAAATGTATTCATGTGTCCATTCATTCACAGTCTCTTCCTGTCTCTGTTGGGGCTGGATAAATCAGTGTGTTTGTGGGTGGGCCGTTCCTCATTCTGAAACATTGTGGCTGCTGCAGGGTGACACAGTACTGGAGAACCAGGGCTGTTCAGGAGCTGCCCAAGTTTGGATCCTTTACTCCTCTCATGGTTGCCTGACGTTGGCCAATTTATGTACATTGTTTAGTCAACTAGCTCATCTTTAAACTTGGAATCATGCTGTTACTAAACTTTCAGGATTTGTTTTCAGGGCTAAATGAGATAATGTGAGTGAAGCATTTATCATAATATCAGCCATATTTTAAGTGCTTAATAAAGCCTAGGTGCTACTTTTGTTGCATAGAACTCAGGCATATCCTGGAAAAAAAAATCACATCTTCCAACGGGGTAGTTTCAATCTCAAATCAAACAAGGATACTCTGCCTTTTATAAATAGTAAACTGCCCATTGGTGAGAGGAATGGTAAAGAGAAAACTGGATCCCACATCCTTTATGCAGTGTGTTAATATGAAATGGTGTTGAAACTAAAAATACAAAAATTAGCTGGGTGTGGTGGCACGTGCCTGTAGTCCCAGCTACTCAGGAGGCTGAGGCAGGAGAATCACTTGAACCCCCTCACCACCTGCCCCCGCAAAAAAAGAGGAGAAGGCTGGGCACAGTGGCTCATGCCTGTAATCCCAACACTTTGGGAGGCTGAGGCGAGAGGACTGCTTGAGCCCATGAGTTCGAGACCAGCCTGGGCAACAAAGTGGGATCCCTGTCTCTATTTTAACTTAAAAAAGTAAAAATTTTTAATTAAAAAATATTTTAAAAAAAGAAAAGATGGCCAGGTGTAGTGGCTTACGCCTGTAATCTTAGCACTTTGGGAGGCCGAGGCAAGCGGATCACCTGAGGTCAGGAGTTCGAGACCAGTCTGGCCAACATAGTGAAACCCCGTCTCTACTAAAAATACAAAAGATTAGCTGGGTGTGGTGGTGTGTGCCTGTAATCCCAGCTACTTGGGAGGCTGAGGCAGGAGAATTGCTGGAACCCAGGAGGGGGAGGTTGTAGTGAGCCAAGATCGTGCCATTGCACCCCAGCCTAGGTGACAGTGCAAGACTCCATCTCAAAAAATAAGATAAAATAAAATAAAATAAAATAAAATAAAATAAAAATTAGCTGGGCGTGGTGGCCCGTGCCTGTAATCCCAGCTACCCAGGAGGCCGAGGCAGGAGAAATCACTGGAAGCCAGGAGGCGGAGGCTGCCATGAGCCGAGATCGCACGACTGCACTCTGGCCTGGGAGACAGAGTGAGACTCCGTCTAAAAAAAAAAAAAAAGAAAAAGAGAGAGAGAGAAAAGAGAAGACAGTTGTACCTTTTTAAATGTCATGCTGTCGAGGGGTGATGGTAAGTGAGTTCTTAAATGTCTTTCCTCAGTTCTTCCACTAGCATAAAGAGACCTGAGGGCTGGCGATATTGACGTGTAGAGTAGGCATTACACGGCCGAGGGGAAGCATCCACAAAGGCACACCCTTGAAGGCCATATCTCTTGTTTTACCATAGTTAATACCCAACACTTACTACATTTCCTGCTTTACTGCTGCTTTTGATAACTGGTGGGTGTGGCAGTAATACATGGGTGTGTCCACGATGTAGTGGGTATGCCAGTGAGTTATTGTCCTGGCAGAACAGCCCCAGATGGAAGGTGTCCCGTCGCGCCAAGCCCAATTAAGGAAACCAGCCCGGTTCTTCTTGGGAGCCAAGAAGTTATTTGGAAAGATCTGCTCCTATAAGCACTGTTGGGAGTAACTTATAGAAGCAGATCTTACAGAAGCAACCACCAGAAGGGTGATTACCCCTGTTCCTTAGTCACCAGAGTTGCTTCTTCAGTTTCCAAATCACAGAAAGTCTCAAACTTCTCAAGGGACTTTTAGATTGCCTGTGCAGCGAGGAGAAAGAATGATGCCCACCGTGTCAAAGAGGCGCCTTGCAGGGAGTAACCTGGAGTGACGTGAATCACGCTGTTCGTATTAAGAACAGATTTGGTCTTATGGTGAGCAGGACTCATACCTGATGCGTTTTGGGAAATGCAGGTGTTAAATAAAAAACTTAAAAGTTGACCTGATTTGCCTTTTATAGATGAAGGAGACTTTTTGTAAGGCATCTTTGAGCCAGGGGAAAAAACTGTTTCTATATTTTATTCAGTGTGTGCCTGTTTCTGGAACAGAGCTTTAGTAAGTGATTAATGTAGAAAAGTTCTTTTAAAACTGGAAAATTCTGTATGCGCCAAAGAAGCCCCTTTCCAACCCTTTAGAAACACATATAATTTCTTCTAGATCAGTTTCCAAGTTAATATTTGTCTAATTTTTGTGTGTTGAGTAGTACTTTTCAAAAGATATTTGTAAGATACCTAGACCAATCCTCTCCTCCCAAACATTATAGGTTTGGAACTCTGTGTAGGGAGATGTGATTCATAATTAATGATTCATGTACATCATATTTTAGATGCTGTCAGTTTTCAAACTTGTACTTTGAACTTAAAAGTTGAAAAAATCCACCAAAAATTCCCATAAAGAGAAGTTAAAATCCAAGCTAATTGGCAGCTCTGCCTTCAGTGGAATTGGCAGTCTTGGTGTCTGAGAAAGCAGTGATGATGAATGAAGCTAAAAACCACCTCTCCAAAGGCCTGAGACAGGGAGGTCAGTAGCAGCTACCAGACCTGTGTGGCTATTCAAGCTTTCAAGCCTTAAGACCCAGCGTGGGCCATCAGTGTTCCCGTGCTGGTTAAACTCTCAAAGAAGCTTCGCCTCCATCCAGATGGTAACAATTGATTTTTATTTTCAAGTATTTATTCATTTTCTTTGGGGGAGGGGGAAGGGGATAATCATATTTAGGTTTGAGATGATAGAGACAAGGAGTATCTTTTTTTTTTTTTTTTTTTTGAGTCTTGCTCTGTTGCCCAGGCTGGAGTGCAATGATGCGATCTTAGCTCACTGCAACCTCCACCTCCTGGGTTCCGGCGATTCTTCTGCCTCAGCCTCCTGAGTAGCTGGGATTACAGGCATGCACCACCATGCCCGGCTAATTTTTGTATTTAGTAGAGATGGGGTTTCACCATGTTGGTCAGGCTGGTCTCGAACTCCTGACCTTGTGATCTGCCCGCCTTGGCCTGCCAAAGCGTTGGGATTACAGGCGTGAGCCACTGTGCCCGGCCAGGAGTATCCTTATAGTGAACAAATACTGGGTATGAGGCAGTGCTCAGATGCAAATCCTGTTCACGTTGGTGAACTGGATGACAGCCTGCGTATTAGGTATATTAAGATGTTTCTTGACTTCTGTTGGTTATATAACAAGAGCAGGCATTTTTCCTAGGACTGTGGTTTCAGCACTATGGATTCCATGTTTTTTCTTCCATCGTTAAGTCTAATTTTGAGGGTTGATAATGACCTTCGATCATTCAGTCCAAATATTTTATTCTTTTGTGTGAATAAGTTATTTTGTCGTTAATGACATTGTGGCCCAGAGATTTAAGTGGCAGGACCTAGACTAGAACCAAATTCTCTAGACTCCCAGTTCAGAAGGTTTGTGATTATACTATTTTTCCATCTTGCTCTGATTGGCCCCCTTTCCCCAGATCCCATAAAACCTATGGCTTTGTAGGTCCCATCCACCAGCAATAATGTGGCACATCCTAGCATTTTTCCTGTTCTGTAGTACAGTCCCAATCAAGAAGCCTTATTAACCTTCTGTGTGAGGGACTAGACTCAGTGTTGGGTTTGGAGGATCCACTGGTGAGGAGCATTCAGTCTAGCAGGAGAAATGTCAGCATTATTTATTACACAACAAGATCTGATGCATTCAGATGTACTTACAGGTCTAGGAACTGTTCAGAGGAGCACAAATGAATGAGAGAGAGAGGGAGAGA
Source organism: Homo sapiens (assembly GCF_000001405.40). NCBI lineage: Eukaryota > Metazoa > Chordata > Mammalia > Primates > Hominidae > Homo > Homo sapiens. The sequence continues at coordinate 154,483,712 of NC_000006.12, read as the reverse complement.
GGGAGATTGAGTGAGTTAGAGAGTTGTTGGTGCTCCACAAGGAGCAGTAAAGTATTTTAAAAATAAAAAATAATAAGGCTGACTCTGTGTCCTGCCTAGGGGTTGGCCATGCTCCACAAAAAGCAGTAAAGTGTTTTTTGTTTTGTTTCGTTTTTTTTTTAAAGACAGTTGCTTGAGGATGGTTTTCGAGGATAAGTGCCAGCCAGATGAGGGGTGAGGGTAGGGGACTTCTAGGTGAAGTGATTTAGAAAACTAAGAGGATTCTGCCCATTGGTAGTGCTGGGCAGTGAAGTTGGTTGTGCGTGGCATACTGTCAAGTTGTAGCAATCACTAGGTGTACTCGCACTGTTCCTCTTCTCCAGCCTGATTCAGAATGGAAAGAGGCTGCCGAGAGTGCATCAGTGATCTTCTGTTTTCTTACAGGTTAAAGAACGTTAAATGTCTGCATATGATGGCTGGCGTGATGATGAACAGGCTGTGACTAGTGTGGATTATTGGATACCTAGAGGCTCAGTGGCCTAGGTGTGATCAGGAGGAAGGGTTAGGGAGAATGCTTTGGTTAGACTCAAATAGAAAGACAGCAGGCTCTGTTTGAGACTTCCTGTCCTTCGTCCAAGATGCCACTGGGGTAAAGGTGTGGATGCAGCTTTGCATGTTTAGCTTCTGGAACCAGACAGAACTGCCTTTCAGTTTTCCTGGCCTTGGAGGAAACAGATAATGAATGCTAGGAAACAGCTGCTTCTAACGTGGCAGGCAGAAATGCATCCTCATGGAGCAAATCGGTCATCACAGGAATATTAGTGGAAAATCATCTCTGATTAAACATTCAAGAGCTATGGAATGTGATTTACTTTCATATATTCACCCTTCCCCCCATTATCTTTCCGTTGCCTGTAGATTTCATTTTTATTTGTCAAATAATACAGAAATACTTTCTTGTAAAAGAATATTTAAACAACAGAACTCTAGATAGGTTGGAAAAGATAGTCCCCTTTATGCTATACCCTTCTCCTTTCCCAGAGTTGGGGGTCAGCACCTTCTGGAACCCTTCCTAGACATTTGCATACATGTTTATTCTTATTTGCACATAATCATTGTCTTTTTGTAAATGGATTTCTGCACAGTTTGAATCTGTTCCTTTTTACATTGAATACTGTCTTAACGATTTCTCTGCATCACTATATTTAGATAAACCTCAAATTTTTAGAAGTAGGGCTTATGCAATCAAACTTAATTAACTTTATTAATCTAAAAAATAATCTAAAAATCTAAGTGCCTCTTAGGAACAGAAAGGTGTCATGGCCCACCCACTTTGGGACTGGATGGTGGATTTAGGATGTTTTGTGGCAGGCTGGCTTGCACCTGGCAAAATATCTTGGGTCAGTCTAACAAGGGAGAACTGATCTCCTGCCCTGAAAGTTTATTACTGTGGCACCAGTTCTGCTTAAAACAAACATTTAGTCTTCTTTTAAGGCCAGGCTTATATTAAAGTGCGAGGTGGCCTGATAAACAATCTCTGAGATCCCTTAGGCATAGGGAGAATGTGGGACTTGTATCTTTCTCCGAAGTTTGTTTCATAATTTTACAAAGCCTATTTGAGAGAAGTTGGTAAGGTTGACCCAAAGGGCAAGGTAACTTCTTTGAATTTTAGTGCCGAGAAGTAGGACACAGAATTAATAAGGGGGAACTCTTTGGAAGGGGTCACGGGGCAGATAATTGTTCTGTTACATTCATGGGCTGATGATGTCATTGGAAGGCACTTGATGACAGATTGGTAGAACTGTACTGTGCATTAGAGCTTGCCACCCCAGCAAACCCACTGATGGGACTTGGTGTTTTGGTTACTCCCTGAAGTACAGTGGCAGTTGTCCCGGGAGTAGAAGATGTTCTTGGAATGCTGTCATTATTACCTTGGCTCACGTTATTTAGAAAAAGAGGAAGATGCCTTCTTGGCCTGATAATGTGACAGCCACCTGCTGTCACTCATTTTTTTCAGTGCTCTGAAGATGACCAGAACCTGGTCATCAGGTCTCCTTTAAAAAGAACAAAACACAGACATGCATAAAATCATACAGCATAAAAGGATGATGTCATTCTCAGGGAGACAGGGCAGCATGTGCCTGTGTTCCTCATCTACTCTTGAAGGCATCAGGTCTCTTCTATTTCACACTGCCAGTTGCTACCTAAAAGAGGGAACTTCTCGAGGAGAGATGGACTTTCATGCTCAGTGACTTAGAAACTGTGTTAGAGCTGACTGCTATCAAATAAGCATAAGACTGCTATAAATAAAATAGATAAATATCAAACAAGCACAAATAAATAAGCAAATACATAAGCAAAATAAATAAATATCAAATAAGCATAAGACTGCTATCAAATAAAATAAATATCAAATAAGCATAAATAAGTAAATAAATATCAAATAAGCATAAGACTGCTATCAAATAAATATCAAATAAGCATAAATAAATAAGCCAAATAAATATCAAATATGCGTAAGACTGCTATCAAATAAATTAGAACTGACTGCTATCAAATAAGCATAAGACTGCTATAAATAAAATAGATAAATATCAAACAAGCACAAATAAATAAGCAAATACATAAGCAAAATAAATAAATATCGAATAAGCATAAGACTGCTATCAAATAAAATAAATATCAAATAAGCATAAATAAGTAAATATCAAATAAGCATAAGACTGCTATCAAATAAATATCAAATAAGCATAAATAAATAAGCCAAATAAATATCAAATATGCATAAGACTGCTATCAAATAAATTAGAACTGACTGCTATCAAATAAGCATAAGACTGCTATCAAATAAATAAGCATAAGACTGCTATCAAATAAATTTCTTAAAGATATGGGATCATGCCTGGCTTTAAAAGAAATAGTAATTGCGAGATATGGTGGCACATGCTCAGTGAACTGTTTTAATCTGGCTTTCAAGGAAACTGGGCTTTATGGGATTATAAGGAGGTCAAGAACGTGGTATATCTTCTGTTGGATGTAAAATTGATGTTTATAGTTCAGTAGTGTCACTTCTTTGATAGTGGGCAACCAGGGACACGCTCACATGATGGTTAATAAAGGCTCTTCAGACACTAGATTTAAATTCTGCATTCATCCATGTAGTAAGCATTGACTAATTTAATCGCATGGAGAATGAGCCAGGGAGACAGCTTTGTTTTCCTGTATCCATCCTGCTCATGAGACTCCGCCGCTCTCAAAGGCTTTACCTGCCTGCCTGCGGAAGTCACACACACCAGAACAGGTGCCCCACCTGCTGTAGGGGGAAAGCAGAGCCAGTCTGGGGCAAAGTAAAATAACCCGTGTTGAATCCTCACTCTAGCACTCAATGGTAGTATGACCTTGAGCATTTAGCCCTTCGGAGCTTGCTTTCACATCTGCAAAGTGGGCATAATAATACATCACATGGCTGTTATGAGCATTAATGAAACAGCAGGAGAGAGTGCCCAGCTTATGTTGTGGAATACAGAAGGGCTCAGGAAATGGTACTTGTTATTTAGACATTTAAAAGAAAACATTCCTTTTCATGAAATGAGACGGCCCCAGCACCAGACATCTGGTGCCTGGTTCTCAACACTGTACACCATAGATAACTTTCCGTTCCTGACAGCCAACAACGAGAAAGTTTACTTCCCCCAAAATTGTTCTTCTGGAATTACAGCCATTCTGTGATTTATTTGCCTCTGTTCCTGCCCCACAAGGGCCACTGCAGTGCAGTTAAACCCCCAGTCTGTTCAGGGGCAGAACTAATCTTAACCACCGTGTGAGGGAGTCTGGGGGCTGGGAGAAACTCACAGTGTACAGTTACAGTAAGTTGCAAGAATAAAATCTCACGTGACTCTGGGACAAGTTTTAAATTTTAAAGTCTCTTCCAGGTGCTTTCTCTGGAACAACAACAACAAAAAAGTTAAAAGCTCACGTAAAAGGACACTTTATTTTTTTTAAAAGAGCCATCTTGAAATATGTAAGCACAAACATTTCCCAATAGAGACGTCCATAATTTTCGTTCTGTGTTGCACATTCTCGTCTTGAATTGTAGTGGGGGGCCTCGATGTGTGCAGTAATTATTGTCAGTCCTTGGTTGACTCATGCATTCCTAGCTGTCGCAGTGAGATCTGTGTTTATGTGAAATATGGAAACGATTTTTACCCCCGCTTTCTTTTGTGCTTGAGTTTGGATGGAGCAGCTGAATGCTCTTTCTTTGTTATTTTTAGGGGGTCTTCAGTTTTGGAGCTCTAGTTTAGGCTTGAGGAGGGCCAGCTGTCAGCGTGGCTTGGGCTGGTCTTTATGAGATCTGGCCTGTGTTTCTGCAGTTAGAACCTGATTCTGAATCCAACTCCCTTCCACCGACATGGGAGGCTCTCACTTCTACAATTTTATTTGCCTCACATTGAAAACAGAATGGAAACTCAAGTAACAGTAGTGGAATCTGCACTGAAAGAATATTTTTTTTTTTTTTCTCTGAATCCATCTCCTTTATTGGGAGCCATTTGTCTTGAGTCCTGGCCACTTTTTTCCTTTTTACTTCCAAATGACTTTCTGTTTGGGTGTTCTAAGGATGGGGGGGTATAGGCTGTGTTTTTAAAGCTCAGAGTTTAACTACAGAAAAACAAAACCAGAAAAGAATATGTTCCTCCCCCTTTTTAAACAATTTGTCCTCCTTGGAAAGAAAGTTTTACTATGTAGAATTTAGGAAATGTTTGTGAAAATGATCACAGGCTGTAAAGGAGTGTCCAAGCTGCTTTCATTGTGGCCAGCATGGCATTCTCATGATATCTGTAGCAAGCCTTTAAGTGTCTTGGCAGATAGAGTTTCTTCCTTCACAGCATAATGTTTTTCCAACTGCAGTGTTGTAGCTGCTTCATGTGCCGTGATACATGGCTAGGTGTCAAGATAGTTTTACAGGGGGAAGAACCCAAAAGGACTTTTAAAAGATGCAGGTTTCAGGAAAAAAGGAGAGTGATTTTTACAAAGGGAGTTTTAAATAAAAAGGCATTTGTTTGTGCTTTCTTCATGGGCAGACCTTTTCAAAGATGGCATTGTAAAAAGAGGATGTGCATTTCATTCCTTTATTAACAGAGGCCCTAGAGGCACGGCTGTCTTGAAGGACCTGGGGCTGCTGCTATGGAGATGAGTGTCACAGCTCCGGGACTTTAAGGAACTCCACTTTGCTCAGGCGTCAGACACATGAATAAACACGGTGCAGTCCAGAGGGGCAGAAGGGAGAAGTGATGAATCTTGCTGGTGAGGAAGCTGGTGCGTGGTTGGTGTCCAGAGAAGGCCTCAAAAAGGAGGAGAAGCTTCTGGGGAGCCTTGGAGGATCAGGAGGAGTTGGCCAGACCAGATAGGTGTGTGGGTGATGCTGTAGGCAGAAGAAGAGCAAATGCAAATGCATGGAGTGTGGAAGCAGCGAGGTGTGTTAGGAGAAGGAATCCCAGCTCCCGAGGCTGGAGTGCAGGTTGCAAGAGGAGGACGGGCGGAGGAGGAGCTTGGCCAGCAGGCCTCGGGCCAGCTTTGGGAGGCCTTTGCTTGTCATATGGTCATGTCATTCAGGCTGTACTCACCTTTCTTGAGAGGACTTCTTGGATAAGTGCCATTCTGCAGCCCCGGTGCCTGCCTTAGCCTTCTTCCAAGCACTTACCGCCTGCCCTGTTCTGGGTTTGTGTGTTCGCTGCCTCTCTTCCGTCATAAGGACGGAAGCCCCAGCAGAGCAGGACGTTCTTCTGTGATGGCTCCCCTGGTGCCTGGCGGTGAGTGATGTTAGGGGATTTGGACTCATCTTTGTAGTGAATGATGGGAGGATCACTGAAGGTCTAAATCAGGGGAGTCACATGAGTGCATTTGGGTGTTTGAAGAGCAGTGTGGATGGCAGGAGAGCTGATGACAAGTATTTAGGGAGAGCCTCCATGCACATTGATTGGGAGTCCATTAGCAGTCCTGCTCTTCAGGCTACCTTGGGTGGGCCCAAGCTTTGCTGGCCTAGTTAATTACCAATAGCTAGTATCAATGTCATTCCATCAGTGACATTTTGAAACTACTAGAAATTACAGAGAAGCAGCCAGACACCGTGGCTCACTTCTGTAATCCCAGCACTTTGGGAGGCTGAGGCAGGTGGATCATCTGAGGTCAGGAGTTCGAGACCAGCCTGACCAATATGGTGAAACCCCATCTCTACTAAAAATACAGAAAAAAAAAAAAAATTGCTGGGCTTTGTGGTGTGCTCCTGTAGTCCTAGCTACTCAGGAGGCTGAGACAGGAGAATTGCTTGAAAGTGGGAGGCAGAGGTTGCAGTGAGCCGAGATTGTACCACTGCTCTCCAGCCTGGGTCACTCTGCTCAAAAATAAATAAATAAATAATAAAAATAAAAATTACAAAGAAGCTCAGAATTTTTTTTTTTCACTCTGCAAAGCTGATAGCTGCCCAGGTATTCCAATAAAAGCCATGATGTTATAATGTTACAATCATTTTTGATAGTTCAGTGATTGAAAAATCTGAAGGAATTGTCTTTTTTTGAAATGCTTTGAAATAAAGTTGGTTCTTTATGTAAAAATAGGTTTTTTTAGGTCCTTAAATTGGCTTCAGGACATCCTGACCTCACAGCCATGTGCATTTCATAGTTGGGCTATTTGCAAAGTTAAAAGAAGATAAGAAAGTAGACATTCTGCAGTTCTTCTGAGAGAATTGATATGATGTCTCATTCTGTTTGCTGGGCCCATGAGGGAATGAACTGTTTCATATATAGGGATTTTCCTGATAACCGAACCTTAAGACCTGGTTTAAGGTCTTTAAACCTGGATATTTTTAAGACCTGGATATTTTTAATTTTTCCCTGTAGTTTTGGATGGAAACCTTTCTAAAATAAATTTTTAACTTTTTGGGCTTACAGAGTACATTCAACCTGAGTTAATGATTTCTTCATTCCTTGCTTATGAAAGAATGAATTATTCAGAATCACTGAAGTGTGTGGTTACCATAATGACAGGGCCTACCGATACTCGTATGACTACTTTGCCGAGTGACCCCAGAATGCCATGTTTTCTAAGTTACTGTCCTTGGCTTTTAGGTAACCGATGCTCCAAGTAACACACACTGGCTCCTCTTTTGGATTTACTAAACTTGTCTCTCTTGAAGGCTGGGAAACAAAAGAACTTTTCTGCTTTCTAAAATGAGAACAAACAGGCCTTGGGTGAAGGTCTGTCTTTTTTTTTTTTTTTTTTTGAGACATAGTTTCGCTCTTGTTGCCCAGGCTGGAGTGCAATGGCACGATCTCGGCTCACCGCAACCTCCGCCTCCTGGGTTCAAGTGATTCTCCTGCCTCAGCCTCCCAAGTAGCTGGGGTTACAGGCACCTGCCAGCACGCACAGCTAATTTTTGTGTTTTTAGTAGAGACAGGGTCTCGCCATGTTCGCCAGGCTGGTCTTGAACTCCTGACCTCGGGTGATCCATCCACCTTGGCCTCCCAAAGTGCTGGAATTACAGGTGTGAGCCACCGCGCCCGGCCCGAAGGTCTGTCTTAGAAGGCCTTAAGTCAAGCGAATGTACTTGATGGCATAGGTTTTATCATATCTTTAACATTTCAAAGAAGGAGGACTCATTTTGTTTTTTCAAGTCTTTCTAACGCTGAACCATCCATATCCGAAAAAAAAAAATGATATTATTACTTCTGCTGGCATCACTGCTGGGTTTGCAGGGTAAAAACAACACCCCCAAGCCTTCTTACACTGTTTGCCTAGAGGTCCCCTGGCTTGCCTTTTGGTTCCAAGTTGTGTGAGGTGAGGTGTTACTGTACTTAAGGTTTTTTTATCATCTTTGACAATGGTGGTTATTTATTGGTCGTCGACCACGTGTAAGGCACTACAAACAGCACAGGGAAATGACTTCTTTCTAGAAACTTACATTCTAGTTTGGAGGAGGACGTAGTGGAGCAGAGCTAGCCACAGTACTTGGAATTTGTCAGAGGTGCAGCAGGGTGGCTCCGCCCCAGGAAGGCCTAGGGCTGGGGAGTCCTCCTGTCCCCAGAAGACTGACATTTGACTGAGAGTGCAGCTTTCAGGGGGACTTGGATGGAGCTGAGAGGGAGCAAGAGGCCCTGGGAAATGCCCAATAGCAGAATCAGCCCCATCTGTCAGCGGGTGGCATAAGGTGGCCAGAACACCACACCTGAGTTGAAGCTTGTCTATACATGCCGGTGGGTAGGGAGGACAGCAAGGGCCGCAGCAGATGGAGGAGGTGACCATTTCCACCGGGGAGGGGGCGTGAAAACTTCATGGATGAGGGTGGATTATTGCTGGGTCCTGCCTAATGAGCACAGTGCTGGATTGGAGAAGGGGAGGGAAGGGCGCCCAGGGGGAGAGATGGTGGCCAGGAGGGACGAGGTGGAGAAGGGCCAGGCGTGTGTTGTAACTCTGAGGTGCTGGCTTCTTAGCAGAACTTGTTCTACCTCCCGGCTTCTCTGGCTGAGCCTCCCAGTGGGAAGACAATGGGTTCTGGAGTCGGATGGGCCTGGACCTCAAGACCAGTTCTACCACTTTTTAGCTGTGTCATCTTCAGCAATGTCCCCAGTCCCTCTCCATCAGCTTCCTCGTGTACAAGGGAGATCAGGAGTGATCTTGCAGACTTTTCAGAAGGAAAAAACAAGACTTAGATTTAACCATGAACAATGTAAACATAGTATATGCTCAGTAAATGGTGATTTCCTTGGGCCAGCTCTTCCGCAGGGCCCTGGTCTGGAGCCTCCTGAGGCCCGCAGTCTCTGCCCAACTTTCTGACTCACTCACAGCCACTGTCAAGTCAGCAGGCACAGGAGGAAAGGCATGACCTCATCTTCTTCCCACACTTCTCCTCTCTCTTTTGTGCCACATTTTCTGTCTAGTGTAGAGTTTGAACCTGGTCCAAACCCTTGGCACCCTCTTTGGCTAGTTTTTGCCTTTCATGTGATGTCGTAGTCCATCATCTCATCCTGTCCATTTCTTTCTCCCATGACACTATAGTCTACGGCTGTGCCAGGGGCACACCACCCCACATCCGGATGGCCCAGCTGCCTTCCCAAGGGCATCTCTGACTCTAGCAAGCCCCCGTCTATCTTGCACATTCTTTAGACCCTGCTGAACTCAATCCTTCCACGGTCCTTTACTTTGGCCATATCTTTCCCATCTAACCTTGTTTTTGTTTTCCATTAGTTCCAAGAACAATAATAGCTAATATTGATGTGTGCTGGGTATGTTGAAGGACTTTATATTGCCCCCCCCCACTTTTTTTTTTTTGAGACGGAGTCTTGCTTTGTCACCCGGGCTGGAGTGCAGTGGTGCGATCTCAGCTCACTGCAACCTCCGCCTCCCGGGTTCAAGCGATTCCCCTGCCTCAGCCTCCCGAGTAGCTGGGACTACAGGCATATGCCACCATGCCTAGCTAATTTTTTATGTTTTTTAGTAGAGACGGGGTTTCACCATGTGAGCCAGGATGGTGTTGATCTCCTGACCTCATGATCTGCTCACCTCAGCCTCCCAAAGTGCTGGGATTGCAGGTGTGAACCACTGCTCCCAGCTGTCCCATTTTTTTTTTTTATAACCCCATGAGGTAGGTGTGATAACTATTGCCATTCACAGTGACTCACGCCTGTAATCCCAGCACTTTGGGAGGCCGAGGTGGACGGATCACAAGGTCAGGAGATCGAGACCATCCTGGCCAACATGGTGAAACCCCGTCTATACTAAAAATACAAAAATTAGTTGGGTGTGGTGGCACGTGCCTGTAATCCCAGCTACTTGGGAGGCTGAGGCAGGAGAATCATTTGAACCAGGGAGTCGGAGGTTGCAGTGAGCTGAGATCATGCCACTGCACTCCAGCCTGGTGACAGACCAAAACTCTGTTTCAAAAAGAAAAAAAAAATAGTGGAGAGAACTGAGCATGGGAAAATTAAGTGATTGTCTAAGTTGCACAGCTAGTCAGTGTTTGAATCCAGGCGACCTGACTCCAGACCCTATATGTCAGACCCACTCTGACTTCACTGTCTTCTAGATGCTCTGTAAGAGCCGGGCTCTGTCGTTCACCTCTACTCGTTACCCTGTAGAGTAGACACTCCCTAAATGCATGCGCTCACTGTACAACGTCCTCATTCCTCTTCTGTGCCTTGTTTATGCCATTCTCCCCCAGCATCGTGGCAGGAGGTGGAGGCAGGGGTCATTGCTCTGAATGTGAACTCAGACAGCTTGGGCTTCAGATTTCAACCACTTTCCAGGTCACTCTTTTAAGCTACAGTTTCACCCTAAAAAAATGGCGATAATCATTGTGCCCACCTCCTGGAGCTTGTATGATGAACACATCAAATTTTGCGAGTCAATGCTTTAGTCCTATGCCTAACGCATAGAAAATGATAAACTAACAATAGCCCCACTAGCTCTATCATCTAACTTTGTCCATTATTTTCTGGCCCCTTTCAACGTGTGTGTGCTCTCTGGCACTTGTCTAACGTCTTCAGCTCATAATGAACTAGATACTTGTTCCTGTTTGACCATAGATTAGCTGTGTGACTTTGAGCAAGTTACTACATTTTATAAGCCTAAGATGCACCATGGTGATCACGGAGGGTTCTTTGGGGACTGAAGGAGGAATGTGTGTATCATGGTAAGCACTCAGTCCATTTTAGTTTCTTTGCCTTCTTCCTTCCTTCATCACCAACTTCCCTCCACTGACCAGCAGGCCCTCCATAAAAGCTCATTGATAGACTCGATACCTCACTTAGTTTAGAAGAAAGGGAGGTTCCTATTGTATGGGATAGCCTGGGTTGTAGTCAGTTAGCAGGGAACTCTAGAAAGTTGTAGAGTCCTGCCCTGTACGTTTTTTTGTTGTTGTTGTTTTGCTTTTTTTTTTTTTTCCTTTTAAAGATGTACTCTTAGTGGTAGTTCTAAGTATGGCCAGACCTTATAAAATAAAAAAAAATTTATACAATTTTGACATCCTCTGAACTCATCCATTCAGCAAATAATTCTTGAATATCTCCTCTGTCCCAAGAACTGTTGTAGCTGTTGGCGGCATGATGTGGACCAAAACAGTCGTGGTTTTTGTTTTCATGGGGTTTGTTGTTGGGAGACAGACACCAGCCATCCATAGAGTAAACTACATAGCGAGATGTGCTAGGAAGGGAAATGATAGGTATCCCGAGATACGAAATAAGGGGGATTTAGAGTTGAGGGCCAGGGAAGTGTTCCCAGTGAAAAGGATGTGTGAGCAGAGATCTGAGGGCCCAGGAGGAGTACCCAGGTACAGAGGCAGTGGAGTACCTTCAGATTTAATCATCACTCCTTTTCTTTTAATGTAATATACTATTTAGTATTTTATTAAGCTTGGATGATGACAGATGATAATTATTCTTAAAATCTGGAGGCATCCAAATATGCTGTCACTGGCTGCTTTTATCTCACTATAAATAGTACGTGTGTTGGGCTGGGTGAGGAAGGCTGAATTGTATTTAAGCACAACCAGTGCATTGTGTGTGTGTTTTTTTTAAATTATACTTGGGGCCAGTTCTGTCAGTAAAGCCCATCCAGGCACTTTGTCACATTATGGATAGCGCTGTCTGGGCTTGCCTGCCCAGGGCAGGTGCTCTTTATTTTAATTTGTATTACGTATATTTGCTCTGAAAGTTGTTTTTGTTGAAACTTGAAAAGCCAGGTGCTTGCAGCTAGAGAATGGGCAGACTTATTGGAAATTTGCTGAACAAGGTTTGTTACCATGAAGTAGGGACACCCTCAGCCAAGTGTAATGGGCTATGTAGAGAATTGTCCATCAAAACCCCCAGTATGATGGCCACTATGGAACTGGACTTCTATTTCAGGACTGGCATTTCCTGAAGCGTTATGGCAGGGTCTCTCAAAGTGAGGTGCCTGGGATAGTAAAGAGATTACGTTATAAGAGACACAAACGTGACAGGGAACTACTGTGTCACTGATGGTTCCAGCACCTTGCTGTCCAGTCTGTTTGATGAGGTCAAGGAAAGATTCTCTCTGTAGCTGTCATTTTTCCAGCACCTTTTATTTGCAAATTTTTCTTTTAGCATGAATAAGCAGGCCCTGGGAGACAGTTCCATCTAGCTAAGTTTGCTTTGCTTTCATATTTATATTCATGTTATTTATTTATTGAGAGGGAGTCTTGCTTTGTTGCCGTGGCTGGAGTGCAATGATGCGATCTTGGCTCACTGCAACCTCCGCCTCCTGGATTGAAGCAATTCTCCTGCCTCAGACTCCCCAGTAGCTGGGATTGCATGCCTCTGTGCCACCATGCCTGGCTACTTTTTATAATTTTAGTAGAGATGGGGTTTCACCATGTTGGCCAGGCTGGTCTCGAACTCTTGACCTCAAGCGATCTGCCTGCCTCAGCCTCCCAAAGTGTGCATTCATGGTATTTCTATTTATGGCAAGCAACACATATTTATAGCAGTGACTTAAAGGTTCTTATAAAAATGAAATTAAAAATGAATTGATTTGTTAAACAAGTAAATAAGTAGAAATGACACTCAGATTTGGTAAAATCATGAGGGTAGTACTTGAATGACTGAATGACTGAAGTTTGGGAATACTGTCTTGGCGTAATATGGATTTTTTTTCTTCCACTGTCTGGTATTTAGTTTCTGTTTCTGAGGACCTACTTAAAATTTGGATGTTAAAATCTGATAACACAATAATACACTACTTCTTACCCACTATTATGGCTATACTAAAAACGATGGATGATAACTAGTGTTGGTGAAGATGTGAAGAAATTGGAATCTTCATAAATTGCTGGCAGGAATGTAACATGGTGCAGCTCCTCTGGGAAACAGTTTGGCAGTTCCTCAGAATGTTCAAGAGTTACCACATGACTCAACAGTTCCACTCCTAGGTATATCCCCAAGAGAACTGAGAACGTACATTCACCTAAAAACCTATACATGAATGTTCATAGCAACATTATTTATAATAGCCAAAAAGAGGAAACAAACCCAAGTGTCCATCAACTGATGAATGGATAAAAATGTGGTATATCTATACAATGGAATATTAGTCAGCCATGAAGAGGACTGAAGTACTGGTGCAGGCTGCAACATAGATAAACCTTGATCACCTGATGATATATGAAATAAGACAAAGATAAAAGGTTGCATATTGTATGAAATGATTTATATGAAATATTCAGAACAGGCAAATCATAGAGATAGAAAGTACATTCGTTCTCAGCACTTTGGGAGGCCAAGGCAGGTGGAGTTCCTGAACTTAGGAATTTGAGACCAGCCTGGACAACATGGTGAAACCCTGTCTCTACAAACACAAAAATTAGCTGGGCATGGTAGCTTGCATCTGTAGTCCCAGCTACTTGGGAGGCTGAAGGTGGGAGGATTGCTTGAACCTGGGAGGCAGAGGTTGCAGTCAGCTGAGATTGCACCACTGCACTCCAGCCTGGGCAATGGAGTGAGACCCTGTCTCAAAAAAAAAAAAAAAAAAAAAAAAAAAAAAGGAAAGAAAGTAGGTTCTTTATTACAGGAGTTGGGAGAATAAGAAATAAAGAATGATGGCTCGTGGGTAGGGTTTCTTTTTGGGGTGATGGAAATGTTCTCAAATTACAGTAGACCCTTGAACAATGTAGGTTTGAACTTCACAGGTCCACTTATAAGTAGATTTTTTTTTTCAGTAAACGTACTGGAAAATTTTTTGGAGATTTGCAACAATTTGAAAAAACTTTGTAGTCTCAAAATATCAGAAAAAATTAAGAAAAAGGTATGTCATGAATGCATAAAATATATGTAGATATAAATCTGTGTGTTAATAGACTTTATGTTATCTGTAAAACTTCTGGTCAACAGTAGGCTATTAGCAGTTAAGCTTTGGGAAAGTCAAATGTTACACATGGATTTTTTACTATGAGGGGGTTGGCATGCCTAACCCCAAGTTAGTTCAAGGGTCAGCTGTAGATAGTGGTGATTGTTGCATAACCTTGTGGAAATACTAAAATCCACTGAATTGTACACTTTAAAAGAGAAAATTTTATGGTACATGAATTACATCTTAATAAGAAAGATCTGGTAGCAAAAGAACATAGGACTGGTGATAGAAGGCTTTTTGTGGAGGTGTTGTCTAGCGTTGCCAATGGAATGGGACTGGTGTCATCGTCCCACTGTTTAATAGGATGGTGCTTTTCCTGATGGTGCCCACGTAGCCTTTGGTGCCAAAATCCTATTGTAGGCTGACATGAGCAAGCTCCAACTGGCTGGACAAAGTGTAATACTAGGTTTTTATCTTCACAGTAGCACTCTGAGGTCTCTGGATTATTCATATATTTATTATTCATATGCGATGATGATGGGGGAGGAGGGCTTAAAGTTGGGTGGTAGAGTAGGGGCCTGAACCCTGGTCTTTATACTTTCTTTCTACTATTATTTGTAAACAAACTATCACGCACTTGAGAGGTAGCCAATCAGTTGCAAAATGGGGTTGAAGATGAGAAAGTTCAGTCTTGCCAGATTAACTTGCTTATTTAAGGATTTATGCTAATGAATTTTTTCTTTGATGCCAGTATAAATATTGACTCAAGATGTCATTAACAGCAATAATAAAGTACTCTTTAATTTGCAAAGAACTGTCAAACACAGTACTTCGTTATTTTCTTACTTTATTTATTTATTTAGAGATGAGGCCTTGCTCTGTTGGCCAGGCTGGAGTGCAGTGGCACGATCTTAGCTCACTGCAGCCTCTAAGTCCTGGGCTCAAGCGATCCTCCCACTTTAGCCTCCCAAAGTGCTGGGATTACAGGCATGAGCCATTATGCCCACCCTATCTTAGTATAAAGCTGAGGAAACTGAGGTCTAGGGATTAAGCAACTTCTGTACACAGAGAGGAAATCAGGAAGTCAAGCTGGTTCTTAAGCCCAAGTTGTCTGACTCTGTGTCCGCTATATTTGAATTTTTCCATAATGGCTTCCTGTTGCTTTGGTGTGTGGGGAGGCGTTCGTTCTTCATTCATTCAGTAGTTATTTACTAAGTGCCTCCTAGAATCTGTTCTAGGAGGTGGAGAAGATACTGCAGGTAATAAGACAGATGAGATCCCTAATTCTACGGTGCAGATGTTTTAGAGGAGGTGACAGACAGGAAGCCATTATCCTAATAGAGTCGGTAATTTCAAAAAGTGTTGTCTTCAGAAGGAAAAAATTTAAAAGGCAGTATGATAGAAGTGACTGTGATACAAAGGTGGACTTTTTTAGGTTAGATGGTCATGGTGTGTGTGTGTGTGTGTGTGTGTGTGTGTGTGTGTGTGTATAAAATATATATGGGCTGGGTGCAGTGGCTCATGCCTGTAATTCCAGCCCTGTGGGAGATCAAGGAGGGTGGACTGCTTGAGGCCAAGAGTTCAAGACCAGCCTGGCCAACATGATGAAACCTCATTTCTACTAAAAGTACAAAAATTAGCTGGGTGTGGTGGTGCCTGCTTATAATCCTGGCTGCTTGGGAGGAGGCTGAGGCAGGAGAGTTGCTTGAACCCAAGAGGTGGAGGCTGCAGTGAGCCAAGATCGAACCACTGTACTCCAGCCTGGGCGACAGAGTAAGACCCTGTCTCAAAAAAAAAAAAAAGAAAAAAAAGAAAAAAAAAAAGCCTAGGCGTGGTGGCTCATGCCTGTAATCCCAGCACTTTGGGAGGCTGAGGCAGGCAAATCACCTGAGGTCAGGAGTTCGAGACCAGCCTGGTCAAAATGACAAAACTCTGTCTCTACTAAAAGTACAAAAATTAGCCGGGCGTGGTAGTGGGCACCTGTAATCCCAGCTACTCAGGAAGCTGAGGCAGGAGAATCACTTGAACCCAGGAGGCGGAGGTTGCAGTGAGCCGAAATTGCACCATTGTACTCCAGCCTGGGCGACAAGAGCGAGACTCCATCTCAAAACAGACAAACAAAAATGATATATATATATATATTTATAATGGGTCTAACCACATACTTTACATAGTTATATGGTATATGTATATAAGTAAAATGTTATGAAAATAAACTTGAAATTAAATACTTATTTTTCAATAGAAGACTGTCATTCTAATGTGTGATTTTCCCATCAAGGCATAAGCCTTGTGCAAAATCACTTCAAGGAGTTACCTCTTACGAATATGACCTATGCTTCTTGCTTAAGTCACTAAACAGCTGTGGCGATCGTAAGCAGAAGATGGCATCTCCAGTTGTTGGTGCTCTTCAGGACCACCTGTTGACAGTGTGTATAGTGAGAACCCCTGAAGGCATCTGTAAGCCCTCCATGAGGGAGTGTTACATAGTAGTAGCATCTAGTTGATGTATGTCCTGGCTAAATAAATATAAGTTGGTTTAGATGGAATAAATTCTTTGTTTTGGGGAAAGTGTCATTCTTTTAGGACGCCCAAGCAGAAAGCTTTTATATTGTTGGCAGTGCCGTGCCTCTCCAAAACAAGAAACGGGCCATGAGGGATGGAGGTGATTAAAGTATCTCTACTCCCGGTGGGTATCTGGGGAGGATGCGGTCGGTGGTTCCATGGGAAAGGTTTCAGTAGCTGTTGTTTTACTTAAAGACTGCTCTTGGGAATGGCTGTGGAGGCCATTTGAGGGCTCTAACTGGAAACAGTGGCCATCTAATCTGCTTTTCCTCTTCCCCAAAGTTTTGCCTCCCTCTTTGCTGCCTCCTGCCTGCCTGTCCTGTTTGTTTTCTCTTTGCTTAGCTCTCTTCCTTGGAGTGGTACTCCCACATTTTCTTCTCTTCCATAAAAAAATACAGGTGGGCTGAGCTCACTCCTCTAATCCCAGGACTTTAGGAGGCTCAGGTGGGTGGATCACTTGAGCCCAGGAGTTTGAGCAAGCCTGGACAACATATCGAGACCCTGTCTCTATAAAAAAAAAAAACAAAAAAATTAGCTGGGCGTGATGGTGTGCACCTGTAGCCCCAGCTACTCGGGAGGATGAGGCAGGAGGATCATTTGAGCCTGGGAGGTGGAGGCTGCAGTGAGCTATGATTGCGCCACTGCACTCTAGCCTGAGCGACAGAGCTAGACCCTGTCTCAAAAACAAAGCAAAAACCAAAAAAGCAATTGGAGGACAATAGCTCAAGAGGTCTTTTTTCACTCATCCTTCCCCTCCCCACATCCCCCCATCCCCAACATGTTTTCTTTAAGGGATCACCTAGTTGTTTCCATAAGGGCCAAGGCTGGGTCCTGGACTCTGGGAGTGTGAACCCTCAGTCAGGGTTTACAATATTTCCAAAATGTTGCCAGTATTGCTGCTCATGCTTGTGCGTGTTTCTGTGGGGCAGGCGCTTCCTTTGTTTTTGTTTTTGTGGTGAAACACAAGTCCGTACATGAGCCAAGGGAACTGGCCCTTCTCTACTTACAAGCCACTAGACAGGTATTTTGTTTCTGGAGCCCTTAGGATATACAGGTACATGGTGACCTGTGCTGACAACTACTTGACATTTTCTCTTTCTGTAGTACTGTTTCTCTCTCCCTGCTTTTGTCTATTTCTGAAATGTGAATGGCACACAGAAAACTTGAAGTACACAGCCTAAAGTACCATATTGTTATTTGGTTCCAGCAAGGGATAACTTGCCATTTTCTAAAGTTTTTTCAAAATAAATTTGGAACATATAGGTAGAGAGTTTGTGAATTCCACAAGTGTTTCATCCTTTGGAGGCAGTCAGTTGCATATGGCTGCTTAGGTCACTACCAGCCTGGAGGGCCAGTTTCTAGAGATACATTCAAACATGAAAGCCCTAGAAAAGAATTCCATCCAGATTTCCTAGAAAGAATATACAGAATCCCCCTCACCTGTATTTTTGAGTGTTATTTAGAAACTTGGGCTACCCAACTCATCACATACTGGCTTCTGATAATGTCTTTAAGTTAAAAGTATTTTCTCGTCTGACCCATCCAGGTGGGAGAGCCATTTATATCTACATGGCCATGAACATTTCTGATGGCAGTCACAGACAGTAAGCTAAGTTAGCTTAAATGATGTGTATAATTTCCTGTTATATAAAACTGTACTTTCCAGAGATCAGCTAAAGAGACATCTGTGAACGTTTCTGTGTTGGAGGATGGGGGTAGCATCTGGCAGTGAGAATGTGAGTCCCCTGGTGTGAGCCAGGCTCGGCGAGGCTGTGAGCAAGTCACCTCCCTCTGGGTGCCTCAGTTCCTCAGCTCCAGGTGGGACAGTTATAGTACACATATGAGGGGATGCTAGGAGACTTAAGGGGTTATATATATATATATTAAGTCTTAGAAAGCACCTGCCATGCAGAAAGTGACATTTACCTGTTTTCTGTAATTATACGTGTAATTTTATATGTGCATTTTCCCAAATTTTAGTAGATTCTTTTGAATATTAGAGGAAATTTGAGTTCTTCTTAACCATAATATTTGGTAAGATAGATCGACCCTATTGTATTTTGCATTAAAGACTTTAGAATTTTATTTAAGCTGTCAATTTTGCAGATCTGAAGATGGAAACTCTTGTATTCATTCACCAAACACAGACCCCCTTTTTTTTTTTTTTTTTTTTTTTTGAGACAGAATCTTGCCCAGTTGCCCAGGCTGGAGTGCAATGGCACGATCGCAGCTCACTGCAACCTCCGCCTCCCAGGTTCAAGCAATTTTCCTGCCTCAGCCTCCCGAGTAGCTGGGATTACAGGTGCCTGCCACCATACTCGGCTAATTTTTTGTATCTTTAGTAGAGATGGGGTTTCACCATGTTGGCCAGGCTGGTCTCGAACTCCTGACCTCTTGATCCACCCACCTTGGCTTCCCAAAGTGCTGGGATTACAGGTGTGAGCCACAGTGCTGGGCCCACAGACCACTTTGAAGTTTTCCCCTGCTCTCTCCCTCCTATGCCATGACGTCCCTCTTGAGAGCGCACTGGTGGCCTGGGCTTTATGGCTCACTAAGGCCTTTGACTTTCTTTTTTTCTTTTTTCTTTTTCCTTTTTTTTTTCTGAGACAGAGTCTTGCTCTGTCGCCAGGCTGGAGTGCAGTGGTGCAATCTCGGCTCACTGCAACCTCCACCTCTCGGGTTCAAGCGATTCCCCTGCCTCAGCCTCCCGAGTAGCTGGGATTACAGGTGAGCAACCACAACGCATGGCTAATTTTTTGTATTTTAGTAGAGATGGGGTTTCACCATGTTGGCCAGGATGGTCTCGATCTCCTGACCTCATGTTCCGCAGGCCTCGGCCTCCCAAAGGGCTGGGATTACAGGTGTGAGTCACTGCACCCCGCCCAGGCCTTTGTCTTTCTTTAACGTGCTGCTTAAATCCACGATGTGAATTGTATGTTAGTGTGAATGTTTCCGAGAGTAGAATTTTTTTTCCTTTTGAGAACCTCAGTGGCATTGCCTGCTCTTGCCCTCTCTGGGAAGGACAGCAGAGGGGACACTGCTGTCCCTGCTGTGACAATGTGCAGTGATCACAGGGAGGCTTTCACCCTCCACCCTAACAGTCAGTCCCAGCTGAGCCAACCCAGGATCTGGTTTTCTGTATATCAGATGCACGATGCACACAACTGTTTTATTAAGCATGAAACAAAACCAAGAAGTATAACAGTGCTTTACAGTTCTTCTCTTAATTCTGGCCTCGTATGATCTTATCATGTATTAACCTCAGAAACACTACTTTTGCACATGTCAGTTAACTGTACACAAATAGTGCCAATTCCTGCCCTGTTGATGGGAGCTGGCTTTGCTATTAGAGGACTTTCTGCTATCGGGGGTTTGGCATGAAGGTGGTGCCTGATTAGTTTGATGATGGGAAAAAACACAGCACCTTAAGAAGTACAGAATCATAGCAACGCAGGGCCAGTGGGAACCACAGGGTCACCTTCCCAGCTCCTGCATTTTACACTGCAGTGAAGAAGCCAAGTGATCTGATTGAGGTCACTTAGCTCATGAGAGCCAGAGCCAGAGGCCTAGATACTCTTCCCTCAGCACAGCAAAAAGGTGACTCTGTAAGATGAGAGGACCCTAGAGATTCATATCAAGCAGCATAGGATCTGGGAAATGTTGTCTTGGCCCCTAGAGTGTAGTGAAAACTGGGTTTTCTGGAGAACAAGAGAAAGCTTCAGTTAAGTCATTCTGGTAACCAGGGCTGGCATCCCGTGAAGCCGCGAGCATAGCAAACTTGTGGGAATTTTGTGTTGAAGAACTCGAAGGATTCTTCCCCTGCCGTACTGCAGGCTGCAGGATTGGGATCTCCTTTTTCTCATTTCCCACGGTGAATACCCCCAGCCCATGTGCCAGTGGGTTGCATAATAAATATTTGGTGATGTATATATGAAAGAAAGGTGAAGCCGGGCGCGGTGGCTCACGCCTGTAATCCTAGCACTTTGGGAGGCCGAGGCGGGCCGATCACAAGGTCAGGAGATATCTCAAGACCATCCTGGCTAACACGGTGAAAACCTGTCTCTACTAAAAATACAAAAAATTAGCCGGGCGTGGTGGTGGGCGCCTGTAGTCCCAGCTACTCGGGAGGCTGAGGCCGAGATTGTGCCACTGCACTCCAACCTGGGCGACAGAGCGAGACTCCGTCTCAAAAAAAAAAAAAAAAGGAAAGAAAAAAAGAAAAAGGTGAGAAGATGAGGGTCAGACAGGTTCACCGGAAAGAATACTGACAGGGTGGGGGGAAATTGTACAACTTTATTGATTTATGCATCTCCAAACTGCAGTCTTCAACCTCAGCTGGACTTTTCCTTCCTTTTTTTCTCTTTCATTCAACCAATCCCAAAGTGCTTCCTCTGTGCTGGGCAGTGCAGGTGGCGAAATGGTAAATAATGCGGCCATGCATGGTCCTGGCCCTCTGTGGCGGGAGGCAGGGGGCTCGCTGCAGCATAATGAACACATAAACAGTCACAGGTTTGGAAAGGCTTGTGAAGGGCACAGCGAATAACAGAATGCTGGGCTCCTTCATATACCGTGGCCAGCTGAAGCCTCCCTGCAGATGTGAAGGGAGCTGAGACTGAGCCATTCTAGGTAGATGGGACCTCACAGGGAAAGGCCTCGAGATAGGAGCCCGAGGTGCTTGGCCAGCATCCAGCATAGTGGTTAGGGGAGAATGTGGCCGGAGATGGAGATGCCTTCAGGAAGATCACACTGGACCTTTTTGGCTGTAGATTTTATCCCCAGTGCAGTGGGAAGCCAGTAGGGCTTGGAGCAAGGGAAGAGCATTGAAGTTGTGCATTAAGAAGGCTTTAAGGAACCTCAAAAACTTGATACTAAGTGAAAGAAGCCAATCACACAAAACCACATACTGTATGATTCTGTTTATGTGAAATGTGCAGGATCCATTATGTGAAACATCCAGGCAAATCCATAGAGACAGAAAGTAGACTAGTAGTTGCTTAGGGTTGAGGGTCAGACAGGTTCACCGGAAAGAATACTGACAGGGTGGGGGGAACTTATACAACGTTATTGTATAATTTCGGGGGGAGGGACTTCTAATGGGTACAGAATTTTCTTTGGTGAGGGGGTGTTAAAAATTCTAAAATTGATTGTGGTTAGGGTTGCACAGCTCTGTGGATATTCTAAAACCTGCTGAATTGTTTACTTTAAATAGGCGAATTGTATGGTATATGTATTATGTCTCAATAAAGCTGCTATTAAAACATTTTAGAAAGACTTTAATGCTGCCTGGCAAACCTGCTCCATTGTCCCAGGCGGCTGTCCCCAGCCGTTTCGGCCCTTTTCCAGCCTCCTTGTATTGGAGCACCCCTTCCTGCCTCCAACTCCTGCCACTTCAGGAAGTAAAAGGCATCGGTTGCGGATAATATGAGATTCCTGCCATCAAACCTCCAAATCTCGCAAGCCCATGCTGGGTTCATGCTCTCCTTTCACAATTCTGGGAAATGGCTTTAAATCCTGACTCTGCCTATTATTGGTTGTGTGACTTTAGGCCAGTTACTTATAAGCTGAGCCCCAGTTTCTTTTATTTTTTAAATAGTAGCGCTTACTATATACCTGGTAATTTTTGTAAGTGCTTTAAGAATATTAACTCATTTACACATTTTAACACATTTAATCATCCAGTTAATCCCATGAGGTATAGGGACTGCTGTCCTCTCCATTTTGTAGATGAGGAAAGTGAGGCACAGAGAGGTTAAGTAATTTGCACAAGGTCACACAGCTGGGAAGTGGTAGAGCTGAATCCAGGCCTTCTGGCTCCACAGGCCATACTGTTTCTCCTGGCCTGTATAGTTGGTGCAGAGCTTCTTCTTGCTTATTTTACAATTGTTTAATCTTCAGCTACTTGAACAGCAACTATAAATTATGCCATTTCCACAATGCATCCCGTGGTGCCAAAAACATAGTAAGTACTCAGTAATGGACTCTGCACATTAACGTACTTAACTGTCTTCCCCTCCACTTATTTCTTCATTGACCACCTCAGACCCCACAAGGATCTAGGTGCCCAGTTGAGGTCCGGGTTCTGTCTTAGCTTTGCCTTTTTCCTGATAGTCTCTGGGATTTGCTTTCCTTACCAATAAACTGGAGATGATGATAACCCGGCCAGCACCCTCCGTGGGGTCACTGCAGGGATCCATGAGCCACTGTGTGGGTGGGAACTTTGTAAATCAAGCCGCCCCCTATTCATGCGGGGTTTTAATTTAATACAAGACCTGGCTGTTTGGACCACGCACTTTGAAATGATGATGGCAGTGTTGGGAGAGGGTTGGCTGAATGGTTTTTCCATGGAAATCCTGATGGCTCAGGTGGAGCAGAAGTGATGGATGTGCTCACCTCCATACGGTAGAACTCGCCCAACTTGACACTCAAGCAATGGGTGCAGCTGTCGCGGCCACTGCATGTCTCTGTGCCGAGTTGGTTCTCCCCCGTGCTAAAAACATAAACTTGCTGTGTGGCAGGGGAGCTAGTTAATTCTACCCTTCATTCAGCGTAAGCATGAACTGAGGATAGTTTTGCCGGTGTTTGGTTTTTAGACCAAATCGAATTTACGGTTTTGGCAAAGTAGGCTGCACTAGAGGAGGCAAAAAGTACAGCTTCCTGGGTAAAATGCATTCCTTTCTTCTGTTTCATATGTGGCTTCTCTCTTCCCCTCCCCTCCCCTTGTTTGGTCCAAGGTCTGTTACAAAATTGGATACAATGGTGTGGTTACTGAATTACAACAAACAACCTTGGAAAGTACATGTTTACCAGAGTATTGCGTAGGTTTTGTGTTCATCCCCACAGTTGTGTTTTTGTCTTTAGAGTCTCTCATTTTGCATTTTTAATGTCTGCTGTGAGATATAGGTATATGCTTTTACACACACATGCACGCACACACACCTTCAAACATATAAGTCAATGTTGTGTTTCTTCCCTGCCCTCAGTATTATCTTTCAAGCTCCTCATACATTGTTTTTTGAGGGAGGAGCAAAGAAGGAGGACTCAAAGGAGAATATTGAGGGCTGCCATTATATTCTGAATTCTGATGATCTCTTCAGTTGACTTAAGATTTGCATGTCGGTTCTTTTTTTGTGATTTAGATCAGCATAAACTTCTCCCTCCAAAAATCCTTTCAGATAATACCAACTTCTGTTCTTTCGCCTGTCCCTGCTCTGGGTGCTTCTCCCTCCATGGCTAGACTTTTTTCAGCAGCTCAGGGTCCCAGGAGGGGGTGGGGGCAGGCTGGGTCCATTTCACAGTCGTCAGAAGTTGTACAGAATCTGTTGGGGTTGGGGTTGAGGCAGCGTAGGCTTGGGAGCCCTACAACTTGAGAGCCAGAGGTTCCTGGTTAAAGTTTTCAGCTGGGACACATTACTTACCCATTCAGAAACCTCAAATGAGGGCAGCCCGTCTGACTGTTGTTTTCTGGTTAACTTGAATCCTTGAGCTAAGGTATTCCTTCTATTTTTACTTTCTTAAATTATCCTGGCATGGATGTGTTTGCTAGTTCCAAATTTTGTTTAAATAATATGTCTTCTACTTATGTTGTGAAACTCAAAGTGTGGTTGTTCGTTGGTTACGTCTTCCGATGTCTTCAGGGTGACCTAAGTCTTAGAGAACATTGGTTACTAACAAGAAAGTTGAGTTTGCTTTGGGAACAAGAAAGCGCTTTAGGGTTGACTGTCCTTCCATTCCACCTGTTTTTGCCTTTTGTAAGAAATTGAAGCTGTGGGCTCATTACTACGTATTTGGTAGCTCTTCAGCAATGTGTAGATCAGCTTTTCCCAAATGGGTAAGAGTCTAAACTTTTATTTTCTCTTCTGCATTACTGTTCTTTCAGCTTGGTACCCCAAAAAATGGCCAGTGGGGTGTCCCTTATCCTCAAAATCAGTCATTCCATTTCAGAAACAAAGTGAAAGAACTTTGCTGGTTGTAAGTTGGGCTTCCCAGGGTTCTTGGTGGTTGGATCTTTATTATGTGTTTGGATTTCACAGGGCCCCTGCTTCCAAGGGAGCAGCAGTTCCAGCTCACAGCTCTGATCAGGGTCAAAACCCGACTTACATGCATCGTCTTTATATGGTTTTTTTCAAGACCAAGTTCATTCATTTGCTAGTCTTTCTTTCTTTCCTTTCTTTCTTTCTTTCTTTCTCTCTCTTTTTCTTCTCTTTCTTTCTTTCTCTCTTTCTTTTTCTTCTTTCTCTTTCTTTTTTTCTTCTTTCTTTCTTTTTCTTTCTTTTGTAGCTTTGAGGATATTTAGGACTTAAGTTTCTGGGCAGCTTATTTCCTTTTTCATTCTCTGCTCTTGTAAGTAAAGGTAACTTCTGAGTAGCTCAAACATATGTTGGAACTATGGATCTTTAGACCTGAAAGAAGCACGGCAGCTTTCCAATCCAGTTTTCAGACATTATGTTTCATCATGGTCCCCGTTCTTCAAATTAAATTTAACCACAAACCTCGAAGGATGACTGATAAAATCAGAGCTGCAATTAGTAGTGTGCGTGGGTGTCAGTTCTAATGGAAGCCTGCTAATCCACTGATGGGAAGCCTGAGAACCAGAACTAAGTGAGTTAGCCAGTGTTACTGGGGCAGGACAGGGAGTACAGCCAGGAGGAGAAATTGGGCTCATTTAGGTAGAAATCAGATTAGTGGCAGCTGGGGACGGGGCTGTAGGGAGGGAGTAGGCAGCAAAGGGGCCCGAGGGAACTTTTTTTGGGGGTGATAGGAATGTTTCTATCATGATTGTAGTGTGGTTGAATGACTGCCTGTTTGTCCAAGCTCACTGAGTTGTACCCTGGAAATTGGTGACTTTTAATGTCTATAAATTATGCCTCAAGAGAACTGACAAAAAGAAAATAATAAAGTGGCTCAAAAGTTGTAAGGAACCTCCTAAAACATTCAGGTCTTTCATTAGGGGAGGGGGGAGCATTTTCTATGGTTTTAAATTCAGTGTAACTGTATGAAATGATTCCTTAAAAAATACAACAAAAAAAGAAAAACTCACATTCCCTTAATTCCAGACTAGACTGGTGGAGTCTATTTTTCTGGTCGGCAGAGGTCATCATCACTCTGTACTCATCGCTGCTGTCAGTTATACCAAGGGCCTGTAAACCTGGGCCAGGTAGTAAATATTTTAGGCTCTGTGGGAGAGCCATACGTCTCTATCACAGCTATTCAACTCTGCCATTGTAGTACAAAAGCAGCCAGAGGCAATCTGTAAACCAAGGAGTCATGGCCGTGTTCCATTCAGACTTTGTTTGCAGAAACAGGCAGCTGGCAGGATTTGGCCTGGGTGCTGTTTTTGCCAACCTGTGCGTGACATTTTTGTTACTTTTGGAGAAACTCAGCAGAACAGGTGCTTACTGTGTCCTCACCAGTAGGGTGAGTTACAGGATGATGGGACTGCAGGGAGGTTTGGAAGAGGACGGGTCCCAAAGGACTTGAGATGCTGTGTTGAGCTAATGGACTGGGATCTGTAAAGGACAGGATGGTTTTGCTCAGATGGAATGATAGAGGATGAATTAAGAGGAAGAAGGGAGTGAGCATGGCCACCACTTTCTAGGTTATTGCAGAAATCCGGGCAAGACATAAGTTCAGCTGTGACAGTGACCACGAGCAGAAGGGGACATGGTGAAGGGATACTCTGCAGAGACAAATGACAGAACAGAATGCAGAGAACGCCTGTAGCTGGGATTACAGGCCACCACGCCCGGCTGTTTGCATTTTTAGTAGAGACAGGGTTTCACTATGTTGGCCAGGCTGTTCTCGAACTCCTGACCTCAGGTGATCCACCCACCTTGGCCTCCCAAAGTGCTGGAATTACAGGTGTGAGCCCCTGCATCTGGCCCACTGCTGGGTTTCAAACATAGTATTATTGAACAACCTCAAATTGCTATATTTAAATCAACTCTTTATCAACTAGTCCTGAAAATTAAGGCCTACAGACATCAACAAAACGAGCGACAGAAGAAAGGCATTTCCAAGTGATGTAACTGGGTGACTCATCTCACGAAAGGGCACTCGGAGGCCTACCAGTAGACCACCTTTCTGGCTTTTGGCATGCCCTGACATCAGCCTTGCTCCCTCCATTAATCATACTACGCTCACATAGAAGCCAAAACATGTCACGCTTCTGTTTGAAAGCTGTCTTTTTGTTCTTAGCAACATGTCATGTTTGGGGGAAGTTATAATATACTGGCCAGTGGTGTCAGTAAGTCGGGAAGGCTAAGGAGCTTTGATGTCAGGTCTTTACCATTTAATGTTTTTCAAAGTATTGGGAATTCTGAGAATATTGTGGTCAGGTGTAAATGTACCCCCCAAATCCTGTTTCCGTCCCTCTGGTTCAGATAATAATAAGCTGACCTACCCCTGAACCCCGTCTCCTTTGTAATGGAGGTCGATTTCCAGTAGAGAGTATCTTACATATAGTAGTTGCTTCCTAAAGTTTGTTGAATTAAATTGAATTTGTGTGAGTCTGTGATGATTCTCCTCGTGGAAGAGCATAGTCTACCAAAATCCTGTTGGAGCAAATTTTTGCATCACATGTCACTTTTTTTTTTTTTTTTTTTTTTTTTTTTGAGACAGAGTTTCATTCTTGTCACCTAGGCTGGAGTGCAATGGCATGTTCTCAGCTCACTGCAACCTCCATCTCCCAGGTTCAACTGATTCTCCTGCCTCAGCATCCTGAGTAGCTGAGAATACAGGGGCCCACCACCAAGCCCAGCTATTTTTTTTTTTTTTTGTATTTTTAGTAGAGATGGTGTTTCACCATGTTGGCCAGGCTCGTCTCGAACTCCTGACCTCAAGTGATCCACCCTCCTTGGCCTCTCAAAGTGCTGGGATCACAGACGTGAGCCACCGCGCCTGGCACATGTCACTTGTGATTCTTAAAAGTCTTGAGTGAGATGAGAGTCTACAAGCTTTAGCTAAACTGATTTCTGAATTTAATCATTAAAAAAACAAAACAAAACAAAACAAAAACCCAGAAAACAAAAAACAACCTGAAAGCACAAAACCCAACTCAGGTGAGAGTACTCAATGCAAAACATTGGAAGAACCACTCTGGGCTCCTGTATTTGAAGAATTGTAGCTTCTGCCAACTTGAGCTTGCTAAGCTGGAAGCAAAGCCACAGAAGGTGTGGTCTGTGGGACACTTTCCACTAAAGTGGTCATGATGACCATTTGCTTTCTGGGACCTAGTTCATCATCTGATTTTACTCTTTTACAGAAAATGAGAATAGCCATAGTTTTTTGTTGTTGTTGTTTTGTTTTTTGTTTGTTTTTTTTTGCATTGGGGCATTTACTCTAACTTCTTAGTCTTCATGTATATAATCCTTTCTACACTTAGGGGAGATTAATTAATTAATAAAAATTCTTAGTACAAGGCAGGTATCTTGTCAAAGACTGATACTGAGAGGCTTGGAGTTTTATTTTGTTTATGATATTTCTCTTTGTGCAGAAATGACCTCCTTTAATCTTGAAATGTTGAAATGTGCAGCAAATATCTGTAACTGATATCACAATCAATAGTTTAGTTGCTTATTTGTATAAGAAAATAAAAGCAGGCCAGGCATGTTGGCTTATGCCTATAATCCTGGCACTTTGGGAGGTCGAGGCAGGTGGATTGCTTGAGGTCAGGAGTTCGAGACCAGCCTGGCCAACATGGTGAAACCCTGTCTCTACTAAAAATACAAAAATTAGCTGGACGTGTTGGCGGGTGCCTATAATCCCAGCTACTTGGGAGGCTGAGGCAGGAGAATTGACAAGAGTGAAAGAAACTCTGTCTGAAAAAAAAAAAGGAAAGAAAATAAAAGCAGATGACTTCTGTGCATTGGTGTGATATTAATATTTATGTGGAGCTCTTTGTCTTTCTTCTTGCCTCATGTGTTTATTTTACAAATATTTATTGAACACCAGCAATGTTCTCCACACCAGTGGAGGAAGTAGTGAACAAAACAAAATCACTATTTTTTTTTTGGTTTTTTGAGATGGAGGCTGGAGTGCAATGGCATGATCTCGGCTCACTGCAACCTCTGCCTCCCAGGTTCAACTGATTCTTCTGCCTCAACATCCCGAGTAGCTGGGATTACAGGTGCCTGCCACCACGCCTGGCTAATTTTTTTTTTTTTTGTATTTTTAGTAGAGATGGGGTTTCACCATGTTGGCCAGGCCTCGTCTCGAACTCCTGACCTCAAGTGATACACCCTCCTTGGCCTCCCAAAGTGCTGGGATTACAGATGTGAGCCACTGTGCCCGTCCAAAGTCACTGCTTTTGTGATGCTTACGTTCTGATATAAATCATAAAAATTTTTTAGGTGAAACCAATGATGATTGCAGGCTCTCACATTTGGGAACACGTTCTGGGAAAGGTAATAACATAGCCATCTAAGCATTTGGGAGTTTCTGTGTCTCTTTAGCAACTTTTATTCTCTTTCAAAAATTTTATTATTATTTTTTTTTTTTCTGCCAGGTATAGTGGCTCACACTTGTAATCCTAGCACTTTGGGAGGCTAAGGCAGGAGAACAGCTTGAGCCCAGGAGTTCAAGACCAGCCTGGGCAACATAGGGAGACCTCGTTTCTACAAAAAAATGAAAAATTAGTTGGGTGTGGTGGCACACACCTGTAGTCCCAGCTACTTGGGAGGCTAAGGCAGGATCATCACTTGAGCCCAGGTATTCAAGGCTGCAGTGAGCTATGATCGTGCTGCTATGCTGCAGTGAGACCCTGTCTCAAACAAACAAACAACAAATTTTTTCTGTTAATAGAGATGGGGTCTTGCTATGTTGTCCAGGCTGGTCTCAAACTTCTGGCCTCAAGCAGTCCTTTTGCCTTGGCCTCCCAAAGTGCTAGAATTATAGGAGTAAGCCAGCATGCCCAGCCAGCAACTTTTATTCTGAACATTTAGAAAATTGAGGACCTGAATAAATCACATTTTAAAATTTAACTAAATTTACAGAGTATTTACTGTGTGTTCCATGGTGTTTTAAGTTCTTTATAAACATTAACATTAAATTTTCATTACAGTTCTATGTAGTGGGTAGTATTAGTATTCTCATTTTACAAATGAGACAGCTGAGTAACTTGCTCCAGGTTACCCGGTCAGTAAGAAGGGAGACTGGTATTGGATTGCGGGCTCTTATCTCTCTCTCTCTCTCTCTCTCTCTCTCTCTCTCTCTCTCTGTGTGTGTGTGTGTGTGTGTGTTTTCATCTTGCATTTGGGATTTCCTTGAAGGTTTAGGATTATATGCAGCCAGATTTCATGACAGTAGAGTAGGTCTGGGCCCTGTGGCTCCCTTTCTGTGAGAATTTCTTCTCTTTTTCCTTCACATTTAATTATGTGTTTAATTTGTATAAATGGAATGTGTTTAATCTAATTTTACTGAATTGTGTGTTTCTCTTGGTCCTGCTAGACTTTCTGTAAATTGCTTGAA
Organism: Homo sapiens; assembly: GCF_000001405.40. Taxonomy (NCBI): domain Eukaryota; kingdom Metazoa; phylum Chordata; class Mammalia; order Primates; family Hominidae; genus Homo; species Homo sapiens. The sequence goes on along the minus strand of NC_000006.12, from coordinate 154,453,853 downwards.
GCAAGAAACTGGCAGATAGATCCATCTGACAAATAAGTAAAAGAATATGGTTTATTGCAAATTCTAAGACTGTTAGATCAGTTTACTAGAAATTGAGGCTTTTCCCTCCTTTGTGGGACTGCGTAATAGTTTAATTTAGCTGTTTATAAATGTTTAATTGTATTCTAAACAATAGGACTGCCGAACAATAGGTCATAATGTATTGGAATAATAAAACTCTGGGGGGTGACACTATTTAAAACCTAGCATATTCAATATATGTGTGCCTTGAGGACAAAGTCTTCAGGCTACAATACATTCTATTCTTATGTGGGCAGTAACGTGATTTTTCTGCTTGATAATTCTACATCTCAGGGAACTTGTGATTATTTGAGGTTACAATGCTTCTATTCTCTCATAATCCTCAAGGAGATTCTGGTTAGTTTCTCAGAGAAATGCTCTGTATTCTTCAATTCTCAATCTCTAATCATTTGTTGCCTGCATACTGTCTAGAACTCTCACCATTCCTCCCATCTCAGCCTTTTCAGTGCTCCAAACATTTCCTTACTGTTCTAAAGCTACTTCTGAAATCCTACTCCTTCTGTGAATTTTTCGGTTCGTTAAAAGAGAAATGATCTGGCCTCATCTTTATGTTTCTCCTTAGCATTCAGGAATGAAGCTTAAGGAACATCCAATATACTTTTTCACTTTAGTTTTAATGAACTGATTTATGCTGTACATGAAAACGAATGTGAATCTCTCAGTGTTAATGCTTTGTATTATGAGCAGTGAGCTTGTTCAGCACAGTAAACATCACCTGACTGGGCCTTGTTTAAGACAGTCCATCACGTGTGGATTAATATGAAAGGAAATGTTATTGTATTTGTATTATGTTGCTTCGGCTGCCATAACAAAGTTCCATAGACTGGGAGGCCGGAACAACAGAAATTTATCTCATCACCATTTTGGAGGCTAGAAGTCTGAGATCGAGGTGTCAGCAGGGTAGGTTTCTTCTGAGGCCTCTCTCCTTGGTTTACAATGACCGTCTTTTCCGTGTCTTCACGTATCTTTCTTCTGTGTGTGTCTGTGTCGTTATCTCCTCTTCTAATAAGGACACGAGTCATATGGATTGAGCCCACCTTAACGATGTCATTTGAACTTAATTCCTTCTTTAGGGATTCTCTCTCCAAATACATTCCAGGGACTGTAACATATGAATTTTGTGGGGACACAGTTTAGCCATAACAGGCTTGAAATGTATAACATAGTTGTCCTAAACTTGTATGATGAATTAAAACAAAAAATTCTTTTTAAAGCTTAAAAGTAGGCTAGGGAAGACAGCGTCCCAAGAGAGAAGAGAAAATCATGATCAGGCTTAGAACTGGCTAAGTGATTCTGGGTAAACTTCACAGTAATTTCTGTTTTGTCTGTGCTTTCTCAATTTTTTGTACTCAGTGAGATCTGAAATGCCTTTTAAGTGTCTCTAAGATTCTGTAATTCTATTTTAATAACTGTCTTGTTGTTAGACCTTACTGTTGATTTAAGAAGTTGTTGGAGAAGAATTTTTATAATCCTGGGTTATAATCTCGTGTTTGCGAGAAAATGCAGAAGAGCGAGGCTGTGTCCAACAGACCCTTGATGATGGGTGCATCAGCCCTTCTCTTGGCATCTGACCAGCTGTATGACTGTGGACAGGTTATGTATCCTCCGTGAGCCTTAATTCTTTCATCAACAAAATAGTTAGGAGGCTGTCCTTCAATCTTGTCCCTTGTCATGGTTGCCTGCTACAGATAGATACTGCCTCCCCCGCAGACGATTGACTCTGAGTGTCCTGGTGCTGAGGTTGCATTTGCAGCCCAGGTAGGGTGTTGGTCTCAACACCTGTCGACTTGCCTGGCCTCCACTGCCTGCCTGACTCGCGTGCCACGAAGGCCACCTGTAGCTCAAGGCTGTCAGAGCGGAGCTGGGTTTATATCAGTATCCCCAGCCTCACTTGCTGCGTAATGTCTAGCCCCTGGGCTAGACAGATGTCATTTCAGGGAGGATGAGTTGGGTTCCAAATGGTTACCATAGTTTTTTTTATTACTTCCTCTTCCTATATTTAATAGCCCCAAATGGTTATCAGAAAACTACTCTTCTTCCTGTATCTTATTAGGAGGCAAATGGTGAACATTTGCAGGGCAGAGATGTAGTTTAGCCTCACACATCAGATTATAATATCCATAGACTTTAGTATTACAAAAAGTAAGTGCTGGGCCTTTTCTAGCTCAGAGAAATACCCACTGACACAGGTTTTGTGAGGATTAAATGAAATAAATGTGTGTGTGCATCTGTGCGTGTGCGTGTGTGCACGAGTGTGCGCGTGTGTGTGCATGTATGCGTGTGTGCGTGTGTGTGTGTGCGCGTTTGGTGGGGAGGGGCAGCAGCATGCTTTCTACATACTTTTCCCGTTAAATTGAGTGTTCACTCTTTGTGTTAGGATTGAGTTTATATAACTTTTAAAACACTTTTAAATCACTAAGTCTTTTAAAACACTAAGGTGACTTTTATTATTAGGCTTCAATAGATCAATTGATTCAGGGTAAAATGTTATTCCAGTAAAATTATTAAAACAAGTTCTCTGTACAGGAATAAGAATTCTCAAGTTCTATTTGGCTTACTCGTTTTAGTCATTATATACAAGCATTAAAATACGGCACTTTTGGCCATAGTGTTTGACCTGGAAAAATTCCCGTAAGCGAACCCATTTACCATGCCTTTCTATGTGGTACCACTGCTGATACCTGTCTCCTTTATAGTCTGTATTTATAAGAACTTTTTCAGTTGCAAGGGACAGAGATTCGACACAAACAAGCTTAATCTAAAAAGAAAACTTATTTAAACTTAAGTGAAATATTCTAGGGCTAGAAGTATCTTTATTAAGCAAGGTTAGATCCAGGGGCATATAGGATATTATTGGGGGCATTTTCTCTCTCTCTTTCTCAAATGGATTTATTCTCAGAAAACTGATGAGAAAAATGACTGCCAGCATTGCCAAGGTTTATCTTTTGACTTCTGATTGGAAAGTAAGAAAGAGCTTCTCAGTTCTTGTGTCCATATATCAAATATCAAGGAAGATTCTGATTGGTTCTGCTTGAGTCACATGTCCATCCCTAAACCTGTGACTGGCTGGTGTATAGAGCACTACGGGAGACCTGGCCATGTGCCACCCACTGTGGCAAGGCGTCTTGACTGGCAAGCTCCCTGGGATTACGTGGGATGGGAGGGATGATGTCCCAAAAGAAGGGTTGCTTAGCAAACAGACAGCATGTCTGGTCTAGATAATTAGCATTTTAAGTCAACAGGGGTTTGGTGTTTATTCCTTTAGTTTACAGGGAATGAGAAGGTAACTATCATAAAATTCTGTTGGATCACTTGAGAATGTTAAGCTGCCCTTGAAAACCTGTTTGACATGTCATGCAAAAGTGCCCATCAGGTGCAATAGGCCTCACATAGATAACCAGATAGTGGCATCATAATTGTTGATTGCTGAGATTGATGTGACATGTGGGCAGTTTGCAGGGGGTGGGTAAAGGAACAAAATGGCAATAATGGGACTTCTGATTGTTTTTGGCAGGGTTGGATGACTGCCTGCAACAATATGTCCACAAGTTTGAACGAGAGAAGATCAACGGCGAGCAGCTGCTGCAGATTTCCCATCAGGACCTGGAGGAGCTGGGGGTCACACGGATTGGACACCAGGAGCTTGTGTTGGAGGCTGTGGACCTTCTCTGTGCACTGGTTAGTTCAGGAAAAGACGGTCTGTACCGTGATGACGTTCTTTAGAGCCTTGCTCTCTTAAGCCGTCATTGTTTGTGATTTAGCATATCACTCTTTCCTTAATGCTCCATCAAAATAAAACATGAGCTGAAGATACTATAGGAAGGGGAAAAATAAGTTATTTTCTACATTAAAGGTTGGCAAACTATGGCCTGCGAGTTAAATCTGGCCCACTATCTATTTTTGTAAATAAAGTTTTATAGGAACACAACCATGTCCATTCACTTACGTGTTTGTGACTGCTTTCTTGCGACAGTGACAGAATTGAGTGGTTGTAACGGGACCACATGGTTCCCCCAAAGCCTAAAATATTTATTAACTTGTCCTTTACAGAAAGAGTTTGTCTTTTTCAGAAAATCTCTGTATTAGTCTAATTTTCTTTTATAAGGAAAAAATGATGGAAATACTCCTGAATGAAAATGTCACCTTCTGGCGAGGCGCAGTGGCTCATGCCTATAATCCCAGCACTCTGGGAGGCCGAGGCGGGTGGATTGCTTGAGTCCAGGAGTTTGAGACCAGCCTGGGCAACGTAGCAAAACCCTGTCTCTATTAGAAATACCAAAAGTTAGCCAGGTGTGGCTAGCACGCACCTATAGTCGCAGATATTCAGGAGGCTGAGGTCAGAGAATCACCTGAGCCTGGGAGGTGGAGGCTGCAGTGAGCAGAGATCGCACCACTGCACTCTAGCCTGGGTGACAGAGTGAGAACCTGTCTCAAAAAAGAAAAGAAAATGTCATCTTCTAAATTGAAGTGAGAAATAGGTTCTGATTTTCATGTCTGATTTTGTTACTATAAAAAGCGGTTGAGTTTCACAGATATTTGTGATATTTAAATAACTGATATTTGCACTTGACATGACCTATAAAATGGGAAAAAAATGTGGCCTTCATTACATTTTGTAGATGATGGGTTTTGGCTTTAACATGAATGAGTAAAATCCTGCTGGGTCCTGACACTAGAATCACATGGGTAGCTTCGTTAGGTGTGGGCCAAAAACACCTGTAAGGACATTTTGTTTATAAATTGGTTAGTGTGGGTGGGATTCAAGTCTGCCTGTCCCGGTGCCAGGCTAAAGATGCAGTTTACTTAACTGTCAGGATTTGGACAAACTCGACAGCATTCAGGCTGGGTTAGTAATGCCCTGAACCCCAGCCAGGGGTATATACAATTACATCACTGAGAATGGTGGGAAAGAATGTGCTGCTGATGATTTTGCCGTCGCTGGTCTGCGTACTGTTGATTATATAACACTTGCTGCATTGTGTGTATTCTTCTTCTTAAAATGGACAGAGCCTTGTCTTCTGCTCTGAGATGTGCTGCTCTTGTTTAGGAAAGTAATGGGGAAATTATTTGTAGTTGATAAATGAGCTGCCGCCTGGGAGACGCTATGGCCAAGTAGTCTGAGCACGGGTCTGGGAAGCAGGAATTTGCATTCTAATCCTGGCTCTGCTACATGCTACTCCCTCTGTGACCTCTGGGGAAATGGTGATGTCTGTTTTTCCCATCTGTACAGTAACGCTCACCTTAGATGTGGCTGTGTACTATTGTGTGTTTTGCACTGCCCAGACATCTAAGCATCCTGTTTATTACCGAAACTGTATTTTCTTTTTTTTTTTTTTTTGTACAAACGTGTTTGAGTTTACTTTTATTATACTTTCTGGGAACATGGCTTTTCCGTCTTTTCTGCTTGATGTTTTGCAAATTGTCTCTTTCACTTTGCAGTAATACTTTGAGGACAGGTAAATTTACTTGGAAATCCAAAGTAAGAGAGGCAGGAAGGGTCAGCTAGAGACGCATCACATGCATCAAGTGGGATGATAAACGTAACAGCTGCCTCTGGGCATTCTCTTTGCTTTTTCCTCTTCTCTACCTCTTAGAGCATTAGGCTAAAATGAACAAAGCTGGACAAATGCCAGAACCTAAAGCTGTGTTTTATCTCCTACAATTTCCTTCTAATTTCCTTTGTAGACCAAGCTTTGACCTCAGACTCATTCTGGACCTGCTCTGTGCCAGTGACTACATTGGACAGGGGGGGTCACTTAGGGGTTCACAAAAGAGTGTGGATTATTTTAGTGAGTTTTACTAAAATGTCTTTAGTCTGGATATAATCTCCTTTTTGAATATTCTTATTATAATTCATATACTAATTATACTGTCTTTTTAATCCATTTATAGCATATAGATCTTTGGATATATAAATTGGTGATGCTTTGAACAGAACATCTCCAGGGCAGTTAATGTGTAAATGCAGTTGGCCTTGGTGTTATAAAAGAGGTTTCTATGTAAACTTAGTTTAGTGGATGTTGATTTTATGATAGACAGGAAATGAATATAATTAAAAGTAAGGAAGGGGGAGGGGAGAAACAAAACCACTGGAAAGTATCAATGTAAGGAGAGGGGCAGATAGATGGGCAGGAACCTAAAATAGGAAACAGCTATTAATGAAGATTCCAAAACTGGTGAGCAGTGGCTCACAAATTAGCTGGTCATGGTTAGAGAGCAATGAGAGAAACCATCTTTTGTGAACATTGACTTTGGCTGGCAGTCGTGGCTTAGGAGAGTGATTTGTATTATATGATGAGACCAGGACCACTTTCCCAGATTGAATTAGAATCTGTACCCAATTTTTCTTCCTCTCTCTGGGTAGAGGGTACCTGAGACCGATTATAGAGCTGCTCTTTTCAGTAGGATAGCTGTTACCCAATGTGACTGTCTAAATGAAAATCAACTAAAATAAAAAAAAAATTCAGTTCCTCGGTTGTACTAGCAACACTTCAAGTACTCAGAAGCTCCATGTGGCTAGTGGCTACGATATTGGACAGCACAGATAAAGAACATTTTCATCTGTGCATAGAGTTCTGTTGGCCAGTACTGGTCGAGAGGGTGTGATTGAGAATAACCAGTAAGAATAACCAATAAGGATAAGTATGACTGTGGCCGGGTGCAATGGCTTACACCTGTAATCCCATCACGCCTGTAATCTCAGCACTTTGGGAGGCCGAGGCAGGCGGATCACAAGGTCAGGATATCGAGACCATCCTGGCTAACATGGTGAAACACTGTCTTTACTAAAAATACAAAAAATTAGCTGGGTGTGGTAGCGGGTGCCTGTAGTCCCAGCTACTTGGGAGGCTGAGGCAGGAGAATGGCGTGAACCCAGGAGGTGGAGCTTGCAGTGAGCCGAGATCATGCCACTGCGCTCCAGCCTGGGCGACAGAGTGAGACACCATCTCAAAAAAAAAAAAAAAAAAAAGATAAGTATGACTGTAACCTGTGTTCTTTGCCAAGTCAGTGAGGCCCTAGTTTACTGAACACCAAGGCATGGGCAGCTGTGTTTTGAAGGTTGAAGGAGGTTGAGAAATGAACAGAGTTGGAATTGATGCATGTGTTAAATGATGCTACCTAGACTTGGGGTTAAATGAAGTACCTGTCATGAATCTATGGGCCTAGAGTGCTTATGCGCACTGGTATACCTCTGAGATTATTTGTTGTTTATTATTCACCCAAGGCAAATCATTTAAACATGTTATCTTTTTTATGAGAAGAAATGCAGGAACAGGAATTTTTGCTGGCAAGTTGTATTTAACTTGATCTTGCTTATGAGCTTATTTAAAAATGCCTTAGGAAAATTGTGAACTATATTTCTTAGGTTGTCTCTTAATTGACCCAAGTCAATAAGATGGCTTTGATTTTGTGTCTCTGGCACACCTTAATCACACGTTAGATCACGAACAGAGCTAGTAGGAATGGAGAAGATGGTAGAGAAGAAGTTGTGTAAGGTGTGTCCTTAGCTAAATGTGTATAATTTTAAGACTTTTTGCTTTCCTTTTCTCCCATTTAGTGTATGGTTTCTCTAGCCAGATCAGGAAAGGATCCCGGATGGTGAACCCTAGGAAGTGAGATCTCAGTGGAAGGGTTTTAGTAGGTGAACAGATTTTCAGAAACTCATTGTGTTACTTAATTTGTATCTTTTTGATGCTTTATCTCAAAGCAGTTTCTGAAGGAGACAAGTTTTGGGGAAAAGACTGGTGAAAATAATTAATCTGGTCTGAGAAATTATTTATTTTCGGTCTTTATGGGGCACTTAAGTCAATAATCCTTTCCTGATTATGCTTCTACAGTAGAGGTTCTTTAGAGCTACTATAATCAGTTTCTTGTTCTCTCTTTAATGTGGAATGGGGTCGAAGGGAAGGAACTTTCCTTTCTTCTTCTCCTCCTTCCTTCTTTTAAAAATTCTATTCTAGCTATATTTATTCATCTTTCTAGGTCCATTATTTGTTTTGGGGAAGAAAAAGAGCAAACTGAGTGGAAAATGAAGAGAACCAGTTATAAGAAGCCACTCTACCCCTTTATTTCAGTATTAAAAGTGGTATGTTTTTAGAAGATTGAGGTTTAAAGTTTCTTGCAACAATAAAATGCTCTTAATCCTCTTTGAGTTCAATAAGTAAACGTTATGTATATGGTAATAAAAGTTCCAAGTAATTTATGGTGACATTGATTATTGAAAGCTGACTTTCCTGCTTTTAGTTCAAAACTCTTCATGTAAGTTGGCAGGCTGAGTGACCGAATGAGGGGACCTTTCCCTTTAATCATAGTTACAAGTCCTTCAAAACAAGCTCTGTCTTGTGGCCTCTTTATCCATTCAATTGTGAGTCTTTGATTCTTTGAATTTAAAAAGCTGTGATGCAAATCCATCTTATTTTTGTCTCTCTATTGAAGGACAATATTATTATATTTTAGTCTCTAGAAAATAACAAAAAATGAATATCACATTTAGATAGAAAAATACTGCTAATATAGAATATTCATTTATATTTTGAAATTCAGTTTTTTTCAAAAGTTTGGAAGAGAACATTTTCAGCTAATTTTTGCTTCTTTCAAAATTTCTAATTTTTTAAATATTATTTTTTGTTTCACTAGGAGGTAACATAAATTTAAACTTCAAGTAAAATCTATTTAAAATTAGAATTGTTTTGTTAAAGTTAAAGCCTTTTGTTGTTGTTTTTAACTTACCATTGTTCATCTTGCAAAAAAAAAAAAGTTTCTTACCTACTTCCGAGTATATTTATGCTTTATGTATCTTGATTTTGACACGTGACTTGCCTCTCTCTGGCCCACATAGCCAAAGCCAGCTGAAAGAAGTTTCTCCACAGCCGGGTGCAGTGGTTCATGCCTGTAATCCCAGCACTTTGGGAGGCCAAGGTGGGCGGATCATGAGGTCAGGAGATTGAGACCACCCTGGCCAACATGGTGAAACCCCGTCTCTACTAAAAAATTCAAAAATTAACTGAGCATGGTGGCACTTGCCTGTAATCCCAGCTACTTGGGAGGCTGAGGCAGGAGAATTGCTTGAACCAGGGAGTCAGAGGTTGCAGTGAGCCGAGATCACACCACTGCACTCCAGCCTGGTGACAGAGTGAAACTCCGTTTCAAAAAAAAAAAAAAAAAAAGTTTCTCCACTTCAGAGGGGATGTGTAGAATTTTGAGAAGCTGAATAGCTATTCAGCTTGTGCTGGATCCAGGATCACTGGACAGTTTTCCTTATTCTTGTCTAATGTCCATCTTGTCATCTGTCTTATCATGTGGCGCTTTTTTGGGCAGGTTGTATGGAAGGGGACATACACAGCAGAGTAATCAAAAGCTTGTGCCCTAGATGCAGATTGCCTTGGTCAAAAGCTCAGCACTACCGCTGATGAGCTTTGTAACTTTGGAGAATTTATTTACTGTTATCATGCCAGTTTCCTTACCGGCAAATTAGAGATAAAAACATTTCTACCTTCACGGGCTGTTTTCCTGAGATAATACATGTCAAACACTGAGTCCAGTTCCTGGCATAAAGTGTTCAATAATGTTAAGTATTCTGTTAGTTTCAGTTTTTAAATGGTACCAGATTCTTGCCTTGGGATGCTATTGAGATGGCATAATGTATCTCAAGAAATATCGTCATGTTTTTTTAAAAATGATGAAACAATTTAGGACATACAGAGGCAACTGAATACAGAAATTTATACCCCCACCTCTAATGTTGCAGATTTACATGTTGTTTCCTGGGATTGGCTCTTTTCTCTGAAAAGGAGTCTAGGACAGTATTATCTCATGAAATTGATTTTTTTGAAGCACCCACATAAGCTGAACATTGTTCAAAAAGAACACAGGTTAGAAGCACAAGAGCAAGAAATTAATTTTATTGATTGATTGAGACAGGGTCTCTCTCTGTCACTCAGGCTGGAGTACAGTGGCACGATCATAGCTCACTGCAGCCTTGACCTCCTGGGCTCAAGCGATCCTCCTACCTCAGCCTCTTGAGTAGCTTGGAGTACAAACAGGAGCCATATCTTCAAGCTCAGGAGATCACGCTTAGTGAATTGGTGTTTAGTTAGTGCTGCTGTGTTTTTTTTTGTGTGAGTGTCTCGCCTGGTGGAAATCCATGCATTCCATGACTCTATGATTGTCCACTGTGCTGGAAATACGGTAGTGGGCATACTCACAGAGCCCTGCTTCTGCAGCCCTCACGTCCCAGTGGAGGAAGAAGGCCACAAACACGGTGCTTCAGATGGGGCAGAAGTGGGTGATGGGCTAGAGAGTGAATCGAAGGGGCGATTCTGCCACCAGGGGACACAGGGCGATTTTTGGTTGTCACACCGGGGGAGGAGGTACTACTGCCATCTGATGGGTAGAGAGCAGGGATGCTGATAAACATCCTGTAAGACACAGGGACCCCCACCCCACAAGCGTTATCTGGCCCCAAATGTCAGTAGGGCTGAGGTTGAGAAACCTTGTTCTAGATTAAGTGGTCAGGGAAGCCTTGCAGGGGAGGGGACATTTGGGCCAGCACCTGAGTGATAAGAATGAGCCGTCGGCCAGGCGCGGTGGCTCACGCCTGTAATCCCAGTACTTTGAGAGGCCGAGGGGGGCATTGTGCCTGAGCTCACAAGTTCGAGACCAGCCTGGGCAACACGGTGAAACCCCGTCTCTACTAAAAATACAAAAATTAGCCCGGCATGGTGGTGCGCGCCTGTAATCCCAGCTATTCAGGAGGCTGAGGCAGGAGATTCACTTGAACCTGTGAACCTAGGAAGAAGAGGTTGCAGTGAGCTGAGATGGCACCACTGTACTCCAGCCTGGGCGACACAGTGAGACTCCGTCTCAAAAAATAAAATAAAAAAAATAAAAAAATAATGAGCTGTCTACGACAATATTTGTAGGAGGCGCATTTGGGGAAGAGGAACTATCAAGAACAAAGTCCCTGAGGCCCGGGTGGCTGTGGAAGGAGCAGAGAGAAGGCTGATATGGGTGGGGTGAGTGAAGTGGGCTGGGGATAGATCACATAGGGTTTTGTGGTTGTTGTAAGGTTTTTTTCAAGTGACTAACTGGGCTTTTGAGTTATCAGAGAGTTTGAATATTGGTGTTTGTTTATTGTTTTGTTTTTATTTTGAAACAGAGTCTCCCTCTGTTGCCCAGGCTGGAGTGCAGTGGCGCCATCTCGGCTCACTGCAAGCTCTGCCTCCCGGGTTCACGCCATTCTCCTGCCTCAGCCTCCCGAGTAGCTGGGACTACAGGCGCCCGCCACCACGCCCGGCTAATTTTTTGTGTTTTTAGTAGAGACGGGGTTTCACCGTGTTAGCCAGGATGGCCTCGATCTCCTGACCTCGTGATCCGCCCACTTCAGCCTCCCAAAGTGCTAGGATTACAGGCGTGAGCCACCGCGCCCTGTCGAATATTGTGCATTGTTTTGAATTTTTCTCTTTGATTTTATTTTCCACAGAATTATGGCCTCGAAACTGATAACATGAAGAACTTGGTTCTGAAACTGAGAGCATCTTCCCACAATTTACAGAATTACATAAGTAGCCGACGGAAAAGTCCCGCTTACGATGGCAACACCTCCCGCAAGGCCCCCAATGAGTTCCTGACCTCGGTGGTGGAGCTCATCGGCGCCGCCAAGGCCCTGCTGGCGTGGCTGGACCGGTAAGTTGGAGATGTGCCTTTTACTGCCCTGCAAGAGTAGATAGAGTCCAAGCTGCATGGAAGCTGTACTTTGTCTTAGGAAAAGGAACCATTGTTCTTTTCATATCATTTTTACCGGCTCTTAAGGAGTCCTCGATCAGTGGTAGATTTTAGGATTCCTTTGCCAGTTAACTTAAAAGGTTAATAGCAGGAACAAATTAACCTCAGCTTAGAGAAGAGTGAAACTGTGCTAAAGGTTGTGTTTTACTGAGATTAAACATTAATGGTTGAGGATTTGATTGGTATGAAAGCTGTTAGTTGACTTCAGAAGGGATGTTAACTGTCAATTTTTGTTTTGTTTTGTTTTTAATCTATTCCTTCTCTCTTTCTATTCAGATTGCTATTTTATGTGTCACTTGAGAGAAAACAGTTAAATAAAAACTAATTTAATACAAAATTTAGCTGGGCTTGGTGGCACATGCCTGTAATCCCAGCTACTCGGGAGGCTGAGGCAGGAGAGTTGCTTGAACCTGGGAGGCGTAGATTGCAGTGAGCCAAGATCATCCCACTGCACTCCAGCCTGGGCGACAGAGTGAGACACAGTCTCAAACAAAACAAAACAAAAAGGAATTTAGAGTAGCCCATGGGGTAGCTATGCTTACCAACATCCAGTGGGATCCCCGTGGATTCTCCCTACCCCTTTTTAAGAGGATTGTTGCTACCTTCTAGGGCTCCGTTTACAGGGATCACTGATTTCTCAGTCACGAAGAACAAAATTATCCAGCTTTGCTTGGACCTGACCACTACAGTCCAGAAGGTCAGTAGTATGTCATTTTCACTTTCTTTTTTTTTTTTTTTTTTTTTTTGCTTTTCCTCTTCTTGAAAGGATTTTCATGCAGGTATGAAGTACTACTCTCCTCTCCCCACCTCAGTTTTTTTTCCATCAGAGCTGGGAAGAGATGAAAGGCTTTAAATTAGATCATTGTAAAGATGGTTTCTCTGAAAACTGACCAGTGGCCTTTGAATTAAAGATTACCTTTTTGTGTGTGTTTTAAAATAGGCGAACTAATAGTTCCTGTACTTCCCCTAAAATGTTAGAGCACTTAATTTTTTTTTTTAATGAAAATTCTGGAGTAACTAAGTTGCATGATAGTCTTTGTTCTGAGTACTTTACTATATCTGCTTCTTAATTTTCTTTTCATTTTGGCCTCTTGTTGTTGGATTTACCAGTCAGGATGGGCTAGGTTGTGGTACAGGAACAAACAACCCCCAAACCTCAAACCTTAGCAGTTTATTCCTTGATTATTTACATCCAAATGGGTCAGGGCTAGAGGGCAATCACCTCCGACTCCTCATTTCAAGATGTATACAGGACATAGGTTGACAGAATCACTAGTATGTCATGTTGCCTTTCCCCAAGGCAGAAAGGTAAAAACCATGAAGGTCCTCACACTGACTGATGTTCTGGACTGCAAGTGACACATGTCAATTTCACTCATGGCTCATTGCCCAGACCTAGGTATCTTAGTAAAGGCTCAGGAAGTTTTATATTAGCCAGTCTGTAACTGATTGAGCTTCTGTGATCTTAATTTAAAAAAAAATTTCTTCTTGGACCATCAGCTCTTAGGACTACCTTCTGTCCTGTTACTTGGCATGCAGCAGATGCTTGTAAAATATTTTTGAATTGAATTGAGGCTATGAAATGTAAGGAAGAGCTTGTTGTTTTTTCACGTCCCACTTGGTTCTAAAATTCTGTTTCCACATTTGTTTCTACTGCTGATTTGGCAAAACATAAAGAACATCCTCCCTTCTGTCCTGACCATGCCATAACAGAGATGCAATTCTGAAAAGCCGTGCTTTTTCTGGTTGTTTCTGGAATGTGAATTGTGAACTTTGTCTCTGCACGTGGCAGTTGTTTGCTCTAGTCCTGAGCAGCCATTGTTCTCAAGGCACATGGAGTTTTGAGGTCATGATCTTAGAAAGGTGCTCAGAGCAAGTAAAGTAGCTTCTGAGTTTTTGCTCTTTTTTATGGTGCATAAAGTAATTTTGACAAAAAAGAGTCTGATACCAGTTGTGATGCATTAGTCATACAGCCATGAAGGCATGGCATTTGTGGTTGAAGGCATTTCCCTGATACCTACCTTGAGTGTCCATTTTCTCCCTTGCTTCCCTCTTCCCGTAATATTTTCCTCATATTTTGATTTTGTTTTATTTTTAAGAGACAGGGTCTCACTCTGTTGCTTAGGTTGAAGTGCAGGGGTGTAATCGTGGCTCACTGCAGCCTCGACCTCCTTGCTCAAGCAATCCTTCCACTTTAGCCTCCTGGATAGCTGGGACTGCAGGTGCATGCTACCATGCCCAGCTAATTTTTCATTTTTTTGTAGAGACAGGGTCTTGCTATGTTACCCAGGCTGGTCTCAAACTCCTGGCCTCGAGTAATTCCCCTGCCTCTACCTCCCAAAGCACTGAGATTACAGGCATAAGCCACTGCACCTGGCCCTGTTTTGATTTTTAACAGAGTTTACTAGCGATCAATTAAATGAAAGAGTTAAATATTGTGATTAGCAAATGGGAAAGTTTTGCTTGTTGGTACATTTGTGTTTTATTGTGAAGGGTCCTCAACTGTGTGGCTGATTCAGGCTGTCCCCACTGCAATGTAGGGAGAGGAGAGAAAGGGATGAAAGTGAAGGCAGGGGGGGTCATGTTTGTTTCACGGGGTGAACTTCTGCCTGAGCAAGTTGATGTTGGCTTCCGAGGTATTTGGACACTTCTTTCAATACATTTTTATTTAGCACTTATTCTGTGTCTGCTGCCCTGGGATACCAGAGTGAATAAACAGATAAAAAGTCCCTGACCTTCTGGAGCATACAGTCTCTGGAGAGAAAATGGATAGATAAGCAGACTTTTATATATGAATATATGTGGTTATATTAAGGTAGAGCAATGCTAGGGAGGGAAGGCGCACAGGAAGGAGTGAGGGGAGTACAGTTTGAGATACGTGCCTAGAGCCGCCTCCTTGAGAAGGTGACACTTGAGTAATTCAGCCAGGAGAAGTCTGTGCTTGTCTGATGGGATGGGCTTATGCATCATCTCAAGTGCTACTTTTCCTGGTAATTGTAGAGAGGGGTCGATCGTTATGAACTGATGATTAAATAAAAAAATCTTCCCATAGGAGGTACATGTCCTGGTCACATCAGAAAGGTACCTGTGAGCGTCTTCATTGCGCCTGCCCAGCTTATTGGGGCCTAAGAATGCCTGGGACATGATGAATGGTGCTTTTTAAATGTGTGTTATATGAACGAAATAATGCTTTGGACAGATAGGCTGCTGAGAATTTGACTTTTATCAGAACTCAAGGGACACAAGAGGTATTAGTTTTGTTTGTTTCCGCATTCATTTTCTGTTTCTCTTTTTCCTGTGGTGCTCACTGAGGGAGGTTAGTCTAGTGGTTAAGAGCATATTCTTCAGAGAGAGGCAGCTATAGGTTCAAATCCTACCTCTACCATTAATTAGCCCTGGGGCCTTGGACGAGTCACTTATAATTTTTGAACCTCAATTTTCTCATTTACAGAATGGGAATACAAATATTTACCTTACCAGATAATTTGGTGGGATTTCTACAAGTTAATGTTGAGTTAAAAAAGAAAAAAGGCAAAAAAAAAGTGTGGTATGAAGATAAATGGTTACCATAAATACCTAAAATGCATGTGTGTGTGTGTGTTTGTGTGTGTATATATAAAACACGCATCATCCTATACAAACTTGTATACGAAGTAATATGTAAATACAGTGGATAATTTAGAAAAAAAGTTGTGTTTACTCTGGCAGGGGGAGAGAGAGGGAGGGAATGTAGGAGCCAAGGCAAAAAAAGAGAACAAAAAATTTTATTTATAAAAATCATGTATATGACCACATTTATGTAAAATTAGATACAGATAAATAATATAAAATACTTAAAAAATAATACCTACTCCAAAAGATTGTTATGAAGATTAAATGAGATATAACATGTGGGCCAGGTGCGGTGGCTCATGCCTGTAATACCAGAACTTTGGGAGGCCGAGGCGGGTGGATCACGAGGTCAGGAGATCGAGATACAACATGTGAAAAGCACAGTGCCTGCTTCAGAAGGAGTAGACTGTGGTAGGAAATACAAAAATCTTGCCTTGTACTTGTTTTCTGGAATCAAATTTGATAGTTTAAAGAGAAGAACTGGACAAATATACTGCCCTTATTCTCTGGTATTTTTTTGTTTTAAATTTGAACAGTTTTGAAGGAGTAAGACTGATATGTAAATATATATCAGGATATCATTTTCTGAACTTAGATTGAAAAATATGTTTCTTGACAAGTGCTCTTGACAAGCGCATGTTCTGTAGTAATTGAAGAACATAGCTGGGAGAGGTGGCTCACGCCTATAATCCCTGAACTTTGGGAGGCCAGGGCGGGTAGATCACCTGAGGTCAGGAGTTCGAGACTAGTCTGGCAAACATGGCGAAACCCCATCTGTACTAAAAATACAAAAATCACCCAGGGCATGGTGGCGGACACCTATATATCCCAGCTACTTGGGAGGCTAAGGCAGGAGAATCACTTGAACCTGGGAGGCGGAGGTTGCAGTCAGCCAAGATCGCGCCACTTCACTCCAGCGTGGGTGAAAGACTGAAACTCCATCTCAAAAAAAAAAAAAAAAAAAAAGAACATAGGTGCTTTGCCAAATGGTGATATTTGTGCATCTGTGCGCTCAGATACATACAAATTAGAAATTACAAACTTGATAAATGAGTTGAGTGTGGCTTACCCCATGTGCGTTGTGATGGTAGCAATGAGATTGAACGTGCCAGGGGACTTCACATTCTCTTGCAGCTGCTTGACAGAAGATCTGTTGACTCTTTGGGAAGACATCTGTCTTTGCCATTTATTCCTTTTAACTGGGGAATTGGAGGAATAAAAGTTGTATCTCTTTCCAGTGACAAAGAACATGTTCTGTCTGAGCCTTTATTCTTGGTGTCCTTGTCTGTGAAGAGACATTTGCTTGTCCCATCTCTCTTCTACATCTTGCCGTCCCCCCTTCTTCTTCTTGTGGTGACATCCTTCCTTCCATCCATCTCTGCATCCTTCCTTCCAATAATAATTTATGAGTCCTCTAATTTGAAGGATACATATTGCTGCTTCTTTTCTCCTGCAAGGAAACTGCACATTTCTTTTAAGAAATTTCTTCATTTCTTAACATTTTTTCAGCTGTAGTCCTACACCAAGTACAAGGATAGATCTTCCCGTTCAGTGTTGAGGCTGTAATTTGAGATGAAGGACCCCAAGGTGGGAAGGGATTGAGATCTGTATTTCCAGTGTAGTCTCCTCATGTCGGATGCCATGAAAACTGAAATAGAGACGGCAAGAGAGACACAATGGCCCTGGCAGGTGCTGAGTTTCAGTCTGGAAAGAAATAGGAAAATGACGCCAGATGTGTTGGTGCACACCTGGAGGCCCAGCTACTAGAGGCTGAGATGGGAAGATCTCTTGAGCCCAGGAGTTTGAGACCAGCCTGGGCAACATAACAAGATAGTATCTTAACAACAACAAAAAAAAGAATTAGGAAAATGAGCAATATTTGTCCTTGAGAAAACTGAATGGAAAGAAAACAAGCCTGCCAGGCTCAATGGCTCAGGCCTTTAATCCCAGCACTTTGGGAGGCCAAGTTGGGAGGATTGCTTGAGACCTGCCTGGGCAATATAGTGAGACCTCTATATTAAAAAAAAAAATTAAGGAGTTAGCCAAGCGTGGTGGTGTGTGCCTGTAGTCCCAGCTACTTGGGAGGCTGAGGTGGGAGGATTGCTTGAGCTTGGGAAGCGGAGGCTGCAGTGAGCCATGTTCATGCCACTGCACTGCAGCCTGGGTGACACAGTGAGACCCTGTGTCACATACACGAGAAGAAAGCAAGCCATGGAAGCAGAAGAGGAAAAGACTGCTGCTGAGTGCTGACTGTGTCTCAGGTGTCTATCCACACTTGACACATGCCATCACACCGAATTCTCAGCAGGTGTGCATCCACGCTTGACACATGCCATTGTGCATCCACGCTTGACGCGTGCCATCACACCAAATTCTCAGGTGTGCATCCACGCTTGACGCGTGCCATCACACCGAATTCTCAGCAGGTGTGCATTCACACTTGACGCGTGCCATCACACCGAATTCTCAGCAAATCTCAGAGGTAGGCTTTGTTATCACCCCATTTTAGAAAGAAGGAAACTAAGGCTCAGAGAAGTTAAACCTACTGCACAAGACTGCTCAGTTCCTGAGAAGGCAGAATAGGAGGAGAGGCAGGGGGGTGCTGAGTGCCACCCAGGCTGGGCCTCTGCTGCCAGGTGACCCAGGGCTGTGAGAAGCTCAGCTCACTGTCCAGCCTGGGAGGGTCGGTGACTTGGTTTTGCACTCATTTTTCCATTCCATTGCCTTCATGCCAAAAAACAATGTGAAGTCATGCCTGCAGCTGCTTCCTCTCGGCAGGAATGGGTGTGGGAACCACGTTCACAGTGGCGGGAGGTGAGAGGGAGTCCTTTCACACGCCAACTGGAACAATTTGGGAGGCGGGAAGCTCCTTGTGTTGCTGTCTCCATCACCACCGCAGTCACCACTGCAGGGAACCGATATTCTTGGTGGCCTCTTGGATCCCTCAAGGAATCAAGTTGTAGGAACCTTGCAGTCACAAGTCTACCTTGTTCTTGGGCTCTGGTGTATTGAGAGTTGGTCTCTGCCTCTAGGTGATGGTCTCCCTGAAGTGACAGTGCTTGTATTAATTTAGAGATTTGTGGGCCGGGTGTGGTGACCAATGCCTGTAACCCTAGCATTTTGGGAGGCTGAGGCAGGTGGATGGCTTGAGTCTAGAATTCAAGTTCAGCCTGGGCAACATGGTGAAACCCCGTCTCTACAAAGAATACAAAAATTAGCCAGGTGTGGTGGTGTGCACCTGTGGTCCCAGTTGCTTGGGAGGCTGAGGCGGGAGGATCACTTGAGCCCAGGAGGTCAAGGCTGCCGGTGAGCTGAGATTGCACCATTGCATTCCTACTTGGGCGAGAGAGTGAGACCTTGTCTAAAAAAAAAAAAAAAAAGGAATTTGTAGTGAAAGATTATAGACACAAAGATAAAGTATTAGTTTTATTTCTAGCACACGATCACATATGTATACTGTGTTTCTAAGGTTGAAATGTGTTTAACAAGTCTGCCAGACAGTATTAATAGGGGATGAGCCATAATGGTAGTTGACAGTTTAGTTTTATCTACAAGATAGAATTGGAAAAGCACATTTGGAGCTATAATTATTCCTGTTTACAGAAGCCGCTCCTGTAGTTTAAGATAATATCAAATTCACACATGTAAAAATACATTTCTAAATTTATTTTTTTTAAGTCTTTTCTCTCTAGGCTGCTCTTTTCCTGAGAGTCAGTATAAATTTTAGGAGCAGTCATTATTATTGTTTCCTACATTTTTATTTAGTAGAAAAAATTTTAAACAAATGTAAGAAGACAATAAAAGTCTGATTATTAAATCATATAGAGTAGAAACTGACAGGCATCTTCCTCCTTCAGAAGTAGTAAAAAATGACCTAAAAATGACTTTTTGATTGACGTGAAAAATCTTCACCTGACAATTCCAACACAGTTGATTAACATTTTGTCATGTACATAAAAGAAATTAGCATTATCTTTAAGATTGTCCTAACTTGGGATTATAGTTAATAGGGCTGAATAAACTCTATAGAATCTAGTTGTATCGATTTTTTTTTTCTGCATGCATTCTGCAGTATAGGTTGAAATCCTTTGCTACAGATGAGTTCTAGAAGGTTAACTGTGAAAGTTTCACATTGGCAATTTCACTTTGGCAGCTTTTAGACAAGACAATGGTGATTCCTATAATCAGCTAACCCAGTTCATACAGTGTTCCAAGCCTTTTGTTCTTAAGCTGAATAAATAATGCTTTGCATTCCAGCCCTTTATTTCATGTCATCAATAGCATACCTCAAGACCACTTTTTTGTCAGTGTGTTAATGAATGTTTTGTTGAACCCTTTTCATCTATCAAGGACTGAAATATCTGATTTAATCTCAGTGGTGCTTAAAATAAACTTTTGTGGCTGAGTTTACTCAAGCCCTTATTTGAAAGCTATTCTTATAGGCAGGCCCAGAGCTAAAGACTGCCAGCTTGTTGGCCCACTGCTGTCTGTTCCTGGGGGCACATTGGGAGCCGTCGTCAGGTTTCTTGACTTGGACTTCTGACTTACTACTCTCTGGACAGTCTGGAGAGTAGGTGGATTTCAGTTCAGTTATTTTTGTAAGTTTTCAAATTAAGTAATTGGCCAAGTGGGTTCCTTGGATGAGAACTCCTTAGGTCAGGGGAGAGCAGGACCTTCGGAAGGTGCAAACGTCAGCTCTGTTCCCACTCTGCCCTCTCATTCCCATCCCAGTCCTGCAGGACTGTGCAGGCTGACGGGTGTGTCAGGGACCGTCTTGAGCTGCAGAAAATGTCTAGAAAGCTAGGCCAACAGTTCTGAACGTTTTTAACTCTTGTACTTAGTATTCATTTTCTCCATCCCCTTCTTTAGGATTGCTTTGTAGCGGAAATGGAGGATAAAGTTTTAACTGTGGTAAGTATACATTCTAAAAGTTATTGTAAAATTCATTTTCCAAAGGCAGTGGGAATCACATTAAGTAAATGCCCTGTGGCTAATTACTTCAGGAGATACTTTGAAATATTGGCTTTTGGGACATGAGTTTTTAAATTTAGGTGGAAGAGAAAGCATAAAAGTTATTTAACAAGACCAACTACTGTGAAAATTCCTGTGCTTAAATTAACTACATCGAGTCTCTGTTTTATTTTTTTTTCTGAACATTTTATCAGGATACAGTTATATGTATATTGCTAGCTAGCCTGCTAGTCAGGATTGAACTGATGTGCAAATTTCACTTTAGGACCATTTTGATTTAAGAAAAAAATTCTTGGCAAAAACCTTATGATGGAGGGGGGATGTGCTGTAACTGTTTAAGGAGCATTTTGTAACTATTCATCATCACTTCCTCCTTTTGACATACGCCAGCCTGTGCTCTTTTGATAAGGCCTTCCTCCTACTGATGTTGAGGAATTTAGCAATGAAACTGCTATAAATATATTTTCCATAAATAGGGAGGCCAAACAAATTGGAGGAATGTAAAAAGTATCACTTCTTGGATTCTCCCCCTTGGAAAGAAAAATCACTCTTTGGAATTTCCTGATTTCTTTGGTTGTTTAATTTTGAAAGGTTAGATGAGTCTGATTGGGGAAATACCACACGTAGCCACTGTGACTTCTATAAGGAGACCACTTAATAGGGATCCTCTCATTGTCTCTTTAGTTTTACCTTGTCAGTGTTTGGCATTCAAAGAATGTGAGTGATCACTAAAAAGATGATAGACCTAAATGTAAAATGCAAAACTATAAACCATCTAAAAGATAACATAGGGGAAAATTTGGGTGACTGTGTTTTGCAATGAGTTTTCAGATAGAACACCAAAAGCATAATTCATGAAAGAAAAATTGATAAGGTAGACTTCATTAAAATTAAAAACTGCTATGTGAAATGCACTGTTAAGAGAATGAAAAGACAAGCCACAGACTGGGAGGATATATATTTTCAAAACACCTATCAGATAAAGGACTTGTATCCAAAATATACAAAGAACAAGAACAAAATATACAAAAAACAAGAATAAGAAGACAAACAACCCAATTAAAAAGGAGACAAAAGATCTGAACAGGTACTTCACCAAAGAATACATACAAATGGCAAATAAGCCTATGAAGAGATGTTCAATGTCATTTGTATTAGGGAATTGTAAATTAAAACAACAATGAGATACCGCCATATACCTATTATATAGGCTAAAATATGAAACACTGACAACACCAAACGCTGCTGAGGTTGTGGAGCAACAGGAACGCTCGTTAATTGCTGGTGGAAATGCAAAATGGTGCAGGCAGTTTGGAGGACAATTTGGAAGTTTCTTACAAAACTAAACATATTCTTACCATATGATCCAACAGTTGTGCTCCTACATATTTACCCAAAGGAGTTGAAAATTTACATCAAAAAATGTGCACAGGATGTTTATAGCAGATTTACTCAAAATTGCCAAAAAAGTTGGAAGCAACCTTAATGTCTCTCAATAGATGAATGGATAAACAAACTGTTGTACATCTATAAAATAGAATATTATTCAGCAATAAAAAAGAAATAAGCTATCAAGTCATGAAAAGATATGGAGGAAACTTACAAGTATGTTGTTAATTGAAATAAGGCAGTCTGAAAAGACTACATGCTGCATAATTCTGACTATTTGACTTTCTAGAAAATCAAAACCACAGAGACAGTAAAAAGATCTATGTTTGCCAGGGGTTCATGGTGAGGGATGGGGTGGTGGATAATTAGGTTGCATACAGGGGATATTTAGGACACTGAAACTATCCTATATGATACTGTAATGAAGGATACGTGACATTAGGCATTTGTCAGAACTCATAGAATGTACACCACAAAAAGTGAACCCTAATATAAATTATAGATGTTAGTTGATAATAGTGTCTCAATATTAGTTCATAATTTGTTTTTGGTGGCTTTTTTTTTTTTTTTTTTTTTGACAGAGTCTCGCTCTGTTACCCAGGCTAGAGTGCAGTGGTGCGACTCGGCTTACTGCAACCTCTGCCTCTGAGGTTCAAGCAATTCTGCAGCCTCAGCCTCCCGAGTAGCTGGGGTTACAGGCACACGCCACCATGCCCGTCTAATTTTTGTATTTTTAGTAGAGATGGAGTTTTGCCATATTGGTCAGGCTGGTCTTGAACTCCTGACTTCAGGTGATCCCCCTACCTCAGCCTCCCAAAGTGCTGGGATTACAGGCATGAGCCACTGTGCCCGTCCTAGTTTGTCATTTATAACAAATGCACCACACCTAGTACAAGATGTTAATAATAGAGGAAACTGGGAATGGAGGCTGGTGGTGGAGGGGATATATGGGAACTCAATGTACTTTTTGTTCAATTTTTTTTTTTTATAAACGTGAAACAGCTTAAAAAAGTAAAGTCCATTGAAAAAATGGCTTAGTCTCAAAACAATTTTTTTTTTTTTTTACCTTGTCAATATTTGGTATTCAGAGACTGTGAGCAATCATTGAAAAGTCAGGTAGGTGGTTGGGGAGAGATGATTCCACTTCATTGCTGAAAGGGGATTTCTGCCTGGCCTGTGCTCTTCAGTGGCCATAAAGGAGCTAATATAAAAGCTGCCTTTTCTAAACAAAGCTGAAATAGTGGCACTATTCCCACAGATGGTAAACATGGAGTCTAAATGCCATGCATTCACTGAGCAGAATTATCAAAATGATTGCCAACCAGAACTAACAATTATAGGTGAAATGCATTTCTCTAAAAATCAGCTTGAGATAAACTTGGTTAATGATTGAACTTTCCTGACTATTTGCTTCTCCAATTCTAGGTCAAGGTTTTAAATGGCATCTGTGACAAAACAATCCGATCTACCACAGATCCTGTGATGAGCCAGTGTGCATGTCTGGAGGAAGTTCACTTACCAAACATTAAACCTGGGGAAGGCCTGGTAAGTTCTAATAACACTTGTTTTATTTTCAGATAACATACATCATCATTTACTAAATTTTTAAAAAAATTCCTTATTGCTTTCACTATAATTCTGAAAAGCAGAATTAATTTAGACTGCCTTCCATTATGTAATTAGGAATGTGCTATCTTGAATCCTGTTGATATGTTTTCTATCCACAAAGTATAAAAATAAATACAGTTTAAAAACTGTATACTCGTATTTTGAAGATAACACTTTATTTTTAGGACTTAGCAATGCAAGGAAATATAAAACACTTACACAAAGGAAAGATGGTCTCTGGGTACAAAAATAACATCTGCTCTGAAAGTATTAGCACTTAGGATGAATGTGAGAAGGGACTGGCTGAAGGCAGTGATTCTTAAGAAGGGTTTAGAAATGTTTCATAAGTAATATATGAGCTATATCATAACAGGCTGTGGGACTACATACAAGTGATCTCCTAGTACCTAGCGTGCATCTTATGGGATTAATTTGCTGAAATTTTCGTGAAGAAGCTGTGAAGCCCATTAATTAGCTTAGAGGCTTTGAGTCAGAGAGAGCTGGGTTTAAATCCCGGCTCTTGAGGGACTTAACCTCTTTACATGTCAGTTTCCTCAGAGGGTTGTTGAAAGTATTGTATTAGATTGTGAATGCCAAGTACCAGGCACCAAGCATATAGTACGTGTGCATTAATGTGGCTGCAGCTACAGTTGCTGGTATTGATGATGTTGAGGAGAAGGAGGAGGAGGAGACGGGGGAGGGGGAAAGTATCTAATGTATAGGTAGCTGTCAGGAGCTGTTAAGGCAGTCTCTGCTCTTAGAAAAAACAAAAATCAACCAATTGTTGACAGGCCCACATTCTTAGTGAGCAGAAAAATGCATATTGGTACTGCTTGGCTTCAAAGCAAATGATGGATTATATCAGATTAAGTTTAAACAGGGAGGACTTCCTGGAGGTAGGTTTATAGTCACATATTTAAGCAGATAAATGTCCTGAGTAGGCAGAAATGGAGTTGTCATTTCAGATGGTAAAGTTATACCAGCAATGCCCTGGGAGGGGGAGTACCATGTGTAGAGGAGAAGCTGATATAATCTGCGAGTGAAAGTAACAGGATAGGAGAGGAATCAGGAGAACCTGAAGGCGCTGGTGTTTGATGGGGCTCTCATCATAGATTAGCGTAGGTTGATGAGCAGGCTGGGTGCAGCATAATTTCTGAGGAGGGTCCACATTATTACAGCATAGATACCAGGATGAGCAACTACTTTTTACCTGGTCTACTTTTTGCTCTCTTTCCCCATCTTGTAACAGTTTAATTTAAAAAAAATGTACACGTGGTGAGTCCAACTGCAGAAATAGTTCCTCAATGATACATTCGGTGTATCACTCAGTGAGGCATTGGCCTCTGAGTTTACCTCTCAGGCCTCTGAGGAGAGAGAATATTCATTCATCTTTACATTTCCCTTAAAAGGAGGGGTGTCTGTTACTAATTTGCTACCTATGCTTTGTTATTTAACAATCTTTGTTCATATATCTTTGTCTGGATTATTAGTAGCTTTAATAGTCACTCTGAGGTTATTTCTGTTACCAAATTTAAATGAATATATTGTGTCCCTAGACAGAGAAATGGTCAAGAAAGAACTGTTCTTTGGCTGGGTGTGGTGGCTTACACCTATAATCCCAGCACTTTGGGAGGCCGAGATGGGAGGATCACTTGAGCCCAGGAGTTTGAAACCAGCCCGGGTAACATAGTGAGATCCTTTCTCTATTAAAAAAAAAAAATAATTAGCTGGGTGTGGTAGCACACACCTGTAGTCCTGGCTACTTGGGGAGGCTGAGGTGAGAGGATCACTTGAGCCCAGGAGTTCAAGGTTACAGTGAGCTGTGTTTGCATCGCTACACTCCAGTGTAGGCAACTTAGCAAGACCATGTCTCATTATTAACATAATAGAACAGTTGTTGTTTGAAGTGCCTCACTCATTCACTCATCCTGTAGGTCTAAGAACACTCCCACATCCTCGGAGTTGTGGCATAATTCTGTGTGCCTGGTACACAGATTATAGTATCAAAGAGATCACATGTTTTATTTCTTTCACCAGTATTTCAGTTTGCTTAGCTCCCCTTCACCACCCTTTGGATCTTGTTTCTCGATGTTTCAGGAGGCTGAAAAATGAGTATTGTTCTGAAGGGACTGTTGTTAATGTTTTATAAGTTTAAGTCTCACTCGGGGCTATGTCTCTAAACGTTGGAGTAATGAGTTAATCTATTTGTGATTCACTCCAGGGCATGTACATCAAATCAACCTATGATGGGTTACACGTGATTACTGGAACCACAGAAAATGTAAGTGTATATTCATTAAGTGTAAAATCTGTTGTGTGTTTAAACAGATTTGATCCACAGTCTCTATACTTTGAATTTAAACGTGTGCATGCTGTTTGATTATTGTGAGAGCGTGGGTACCTGCTTTGTTTATTTCTGTTGATAGAGTACTGCTTGTCACCAGCTGTTGTCAATCTATTATTTAAATTGTCCTTTATTGCTCTTGTTCATATACCTTGCCCAGTTTTTACCCCTACCCTTGTGTTAATTATTCCTTTTGCACACTGGAAGTGTTAAGCCATAAATACAAAAGCAATGATCTTTTTGTTTTTGAGAGTCACTCTTATAAGAACTGGGATTGGTGGCCATGTGTATAAAATATAATTTTTTTTATTTAATGGAATTTTTATGTCTCCAAAGCAGCTATTTCAGGATTTTTTACAACATATTTTTATAGTTGTGTTTCATAATATTTGGCATGATATTGAAGTTTAGTCCTCTCTCCCCAGCCCTTGAATAGGAAAAGCAGGTCTGTTTCTACTGTGAGAGACTTCTGTACACTGTGTACTTCCTTCTGGAAATTCTGCTATGTGTAGAGTTGTCTTTAGCCCCTCAAACATTTTGAATTTGTGAGAAGTAGAGCTGGTTGAATGCTTTCTTCTTGCAGCCTACAATGTGGCTTGCTTTTGAAAGACATTGATATGAAACTAAAAATGTTTGAATAGCTTCCCTGGGTCTGTGCAAAAGAAGCATGTATTTGGGGGAATTAACCTATTTAATCAGCTAAGACAGGAGGAGATAATTCCTAAAATTAGGGGAAATTTTAGTAGCTGCTTTTCTAATCTGTTTGGTAGAAATATGTGTCTAATTTTGAGCTTCAGATGCTAGATCTTTTGATAAAGGAAAATGGCATGATCTTTGAGTGTCTGTGATAAGCACTTGATGTTTGTAGTGAGAAAATGATACTGCTTAAGGCAGTCAATGAATTATAAATACATTGCATGGTTCTGGCAGATGAATGGGTAGGAAATGGTAGTGTGTTTCAGGATTCTCTGTTGAGCTGCAGCGAGGAAGCCCTGAGAGTCACTAGGAGTTTTTATACCATGTCACCTCCTAGACAATAACAGCACAGGAAGCTCTGCTTTTAGGCTGGGGATGGTGCGGAAGAAAAGACACAAGATGCAACACACGATTCTTCCTTCATCCTTGATCGAGACTCAGTACATTGCAGCTCAGCCGTGATAAGAACACAGTCATATCTGTTTGTATGGAAGAGAAACATGGTGAATGTCTTTTCAGTTTTTAGAGTTGAAGTTTTGCAATCTAGCAATTTGATGATTACGTTGTCTGTCTTAACCAGACCAGTGTGTTTTCCAACTCTATTGGGTCTTCTTGAAGCAATTTCCCTCTTGGATCTGGAGCACTACAGAATTACTACTGGAAGGCATAGTACTTCCTTCCTCTTGCACCACCCCCCGTTTTAAAGAAAAGACGGGCCGGGTGCGGTGGCTCACGCCTGTAATCCCAGCACTTTGGGAGGCTGAGGTGGGCAGATCACAAGGTCAGGAGATCGAGACCATCCTGGCTAACATGGTGAAACCCCGTCTCTACTAAAAATACAAAATATTAACTGGGCGTGGTGGCACGCATCTGTAATCCCAGCTACTCGGGAGGCTGAGGCAGGAGAATTGCTTGAACCCGGGAGGCTGCAGTGAGCCGAGATCGAGCCACTGCACAGTCCAGCCTGGGTGACAGAGCAAGACTCTGTCTCAAATAAATAAATAAATAAATAAATAAATAAAAGAGTTCAATGACAGACTAAACAAAGCTGCTTTTGAATTAAATGAAATGTCATATGCCATTAATGATATATTCCCTGAATTCCTACCAGAATTGTAACACTGGCTAACAGACTCAGGGGCTGTCCTGGTATTCCCATGTAGGACTGTATGGAAGTCGTCTCAGGGAGTGGTGGCTACCATCTTGTTAGAGATCAAAAAAGAAAACTTGTCTTCTTCCATCTGGTAATCCACTTGAAAATGTCACTCATTCCTTTAGTCATTCAATTCGCATTTATTGAGGACCTGGAATGTGCTAGACACTAGGCTAAGTAAGTCTAAGTCTTCTAGACAAGCATGGGAAGTTAGGTGAGAGCCCACTTCTCCCAGGCTCAATCTGGATATTTTATTCTTAATGTTGGGTATTAATACACTTGAATGGCAGTAGAAAGTGCCAGCTCCAGGTCAGCTTTTGGCTATCACTTAAGGTTGCTATGACTTCACTGTCAGAATGTTTTAATGGAAGAAGCCTAGTATGGTGGGTAGCAGTGGATGAAAATCACCCATTGTTTTCACAAGTGAATTATGTCCATATTCTTCAATCTTGGACTTGAGGCTGAAGCAAGCAAGGCCTTCAGTCCATTTCTTTGAAGGTTACCTGAGAGGCCAGGATCATTCCAAAGTCAGACAAGCAGTGTCTGATGTTTCTCTTATTTCTTTTTTTGATGTTATTTTAGACCTTGACAAGAGTCTTGACACAGCCTCATCCATACTTCTGTCCTCCACCCCTGAGATCCGGTGGGAGTTAGATTAGCCTCTGAAGAATGGGTGCATTATTCTCTAGGTCATGACCCTTCTGCAGCAAACCAACACAAGCATCATTTTTCAGTAGTCCTCCTCATGGTGAAGATAGGCAAGAGCTACTGCCCTGGGCAGAATTTTGGTACCAAGCTCTCTCTTTACCAGTGTTCTGCCAAACACAACTCTTAATCACTTGATTGGACATTTGAGAAATGAAGGCAAAAGGATCCTTAGGAAGGGAAGTCAATTCAGGACATCAGAGCATGTTTTTTAAGATTACACATCTAGAGACAGGGACTTCCTAGCCTTGGGGCTATCTTTTGTAAAGTGAAGCTTATCTTAAATGAATCCTTTGCCCAGGAAGATTAACTGGACTGGACCGATTAGGATCAGAATTACTAAAGTAGGCCTTTAACTGTAGGTTAAGCATCTGGCACACAGGGACAAAAAGGAGCATAGATAAATTCATTTTTTAAGTGATGTAAGAAATCTGAGATGAGCCGGGTGCGGTGGCTCACGCCTGTAATCTCAGCACTTTGGGAGGCCAAGGCGGGCGGATTACCTGAGGTAAAGAGTTCAAGATCAGCCTGGCCAACATGGTGAAACCCCATCTCTGCTAAAAATACAGAAATTAGCTGGGCGTGGTGGTGGGTGCCTATAATCCCAACTACCCGGGAGGTTGAGGCAGGAGAATGGCTTGAGCCTGGGAGGCAGAGGTTACAGTGGGCTGAGATCACACCACTGTATTCCAGCCTGGGTGACTGAGCGTGAGTGAGACTGTCTCAAAAAACAACAACAACAACAACAAAAAAACAAAACAGAAACTTGAGATGAACATGGGCTGGTCTCTCAGGTGAGCACTGTCGGGTACGGTAGCAGGTTAAATGTTTTCACAAATAACTCACAGTTACCAGGGCCTTGTATGAGGCCTAGATAAAATCAAAGGGAATATTTCTACAGTTTAGGGCTGCTTGTTAATTTCCCGTTGAGCCTGTCACAACAATTTAGAGAAACTTCAGCCAGTGTGTCTTGGGTCTCATTGCTGTCCCTCTCCCTGTGTTCAAAGGTGCTATTTTTTGGATATTTGGAAATTGTTTGAAGATTTAGCCAGTAATGTAAGTTAGAAAATTAAATCCTCTATTCTAGATAATGTTTGATTAGAATTTGAAATCCAAGGTTTATCTTTTCTTCTTCTCTTAGTCATATATGAGATACCTTCAACATAAAGAGTTCTAGGCTAGGTGGCTGATATGAACAAGAACACCATGAGCAAAATATTTGACAAATGGATTATATCCCTTTATATTTCTTTTTTCTTTTCTTTTTTTTTTTTTTTTTTGAGACGGAGTCTCGCTCTGTCGCCTAGGCTGGAGTGCAGTGGCGCGATCTCGGCTCACTGCAAGCTCCGCTCCTGGGTTCACGCCATTCTCCTGCCTCAGCCTCCTGAGTAGCTGGGACTACAGGCGCCCGCCACCATGCCTGGCTAATTTTTTGTATTTTTAGTAGAGACGGGATTTCACCGTGTTAGCCAGGATGGTCTCGATCTCCTGACCTCGTGATCCGCCCACCTGGGCCTCCCAAAGTGCTGGGATTACAGGCATGAGGCACCGCGCCCGGCCTATCCCTTTATATATATTGTTGTTGCAGTGATGGTAAATTAATAACCAGCCGTTATTTGAAGGAAAAAAAGTCTGGATTTTGTTTTGACACTGAAGACTCATTTTTGAATGTAATCTGAAAATGAAAAGAAAACTAAATTCATTTTCTTTAAAGCAATTTCTGTTGCCACCAACTTTCTATTTTAACAGCATTGCAATAATATGTAAAAGAAGATAGAATGAGAACAACATTTAGTTTTAATAAGGAAACGAGATGACAGACTTACAAAGATGATTTTCCACGTTGAACAGTTGGTCAGCTTTTATGAGATTAATTTTGATAAGGATATGTGTAAGAATTTTTTTAGATGAACCAATAGCTTTTATCAGCCAATCATTTTGACAGTATGTCCAGACTGGGCGCGGTGGCTCATGCCTGTAATCCCAGCACTTTGGGAGGCTGAGGTGGGCAGATCACCTGAAGTTGGGAGTTCGAGACCAGCCTGGCCAACATGGTAAAACCTCATCTCTACTAAAAATATTAGCTGGGCATGGTGGCAGCCACCTGTAATCTCAGCTACTCGGGAGGCTGAGGGGGGAGATCCGCTTGAACCCAGGAAGTGGAGGTTGCAGTGAGCTGAGATCCACCATTGCCCTCCAGCCTGGGTGACAGAGTGAGACTCCGTCTTAAAAGCAAAACAAAACAAAAGACAGTATGTCCAGTCTCTTCCCGATAGATTAGCTGAACCTGGCTGTTCTAACAGACAAATTATCAGTTATAACAGACACTAATAAGATAGATAACACAGGATTCATGTGTTAAGGTCCTATAGACTGTGTAGTCTCAGGGGAATAAAGTGCATTGTTTTATTTTTCCTGAGAAAATGTTATTTCAGTTGCTAATTGTCTACAGAAGAAAGAAGAAATAAAAGCAGAAAGAAATAGAAGGTTTAAAAGAATTAAGGCAGGTTATTTTGTTTCTGTACAGTCTCCTGCAGACAGATCTCAGAAGATTCATGCTGGTGACGAAGTCATTCAAGTTAATCAGCAAACTGTGGTGAGTTTGTTTATTGAGGCTCAATTTTCCTCCTTAAAACTTTTAATTAAATCTAAAACCATTTTGTTTAAATTTTTAAAATTTGCCGCTTATATCCTATTTTTCATTATTTTAGGTTGTGCTAACATGAGCATACTTACGCCTGCCTATTTTGTTTCTATGTATCTGCTCACAACCCTGACTGCCCTGAGATAAATTCATAGGTTCGGTTTTTTTCGTTATTCATGAGCAAGTCTTCCCTCCCCATTTGCTTTCTTTGAAGGTGGGATGGCAGCTGAAAAATCTGGTGAAGAAATTGAGAGAGAATCCCACCGGAGTTGTGTTACTGCTTAAGAAGCGCCCCACCGGGTCTTTCAACTTTACTCCTGCTCCCCTGAAAAACCTACGGTGGAAGCCACCTCTTGTACAGGTATCTGGGATTAACTGTAAACCTCCATCCAACAATGTTGAGTATCTCATTAGTCTCCAAACAAAAAGAGATTAAAATTTGAAGGTGATTGATTGGTTTCAGGAGTTTGTATGTAATTATCCTATACTCCTGCCTATGTGAAAATATGAATTCTAGATCTACATGGAACAGTATATATAGTAGCCAGTAACCATATATGACTATTTAAAGAATGAGGCCAGGCGCGGTGGCTCACGCCTGTAATCCCAGCACTTGGGAGGCTGAGGCGGGCGGATCACGAGGTCAGGAGATCGAGACCATCCTGGCTAACACGGTGAAACCCCGTCTCTACTAAAAATACAAAAAATTAGCCAGGCATGGTGGTGCGCGCCTATAGTCCCAGCTGCTGGGGAGGCTGAGGCAGGAGAATGGTGTGAACCCGGGAGGCGGAGCTTGCAGTGAGCCAAGATCGTGCCATTGCACTCCAGCCTGGACGACAGAGTGAGACTCTATTCTCATAAAAAAAAAAAAAAAAAAAAGAATGAAATGACATTAAAAGTTAATCTCTGCATGATCACTGGCTACATTTCAGGTGCAGAATATTCACATATGGCTGGTGACTCCCATATCGGACAGTGTGGATACGGACATTTTCATTATTGCAGAAAGTTCCTTCTAGTCCTTCTCCTCTCTCATTTCAAACACATACCTACATAACTGTATACAGTTTGAACACTAATCCTGGAGAGACCACATGAGGTTGAGTCATCAGCAGCGCTTTACCAGGGGAGGGTTGGGGGCGGTGAGTGCAGCCCACCCCATGGGGACAGTATCACACCATTATTTAGACATTATGTAGTATTGCCAATCTGCGCTGATAATAGAAGACTGACTGAGTTTTATTTAAATTCCTTTCAAACGATATACCCTCTTATTGCCGACACCTGGGTGGATCACACTCACTGGTCACACTCCTTGTTATGCCATTGGTCCTTAGTGCTTATTTCATAAAGCAAGAATGAAAAGCAATAACCTTATAATGCCCTTTTATAAGATTGAGATTATGGTTTATTTGTGACTATTTTTGATGTTATTGTATGTCTTCCTATGGAAGAACAGTAGTCTTAAACCATCAACTTTGAAACTTTGTGAGACAAGGTACTGGAGACATTGTAGGTGTCACAGAAGAGAGGTTAAAAATAAATAACTGAGAGGCCGAGTGTGGTGGCTCACGCCGGTAATCCCAGCATCTTGGGAAGCTGAGGTGGGTGGATCACTTGAGGTTAGGAGTTTGAGACCAGCCTGGCCAACGTGGCAAAACCCCATCTCTACTAAAAATACAAAAAGTAGTTGAGCGTGGTGGCCTGTGCCTGTAATCCCAGCTACTCAGGAGGCTGAGGCAGAAGAGTTGCTTGAACCCAGGAGGCAGAGGTTGCAGTGAGCTGAGATCGCGGCACTACACTTCAGCCTGGATGACAGAGTGAGACCCTGTCTCAAAACAAAAACAAAAACCAACCAACAAACAAAAACTCACAGTAATAAAGGTAGGGCAAGAGGGGAACATAATTACAATCAGTTTATAAATAATGACCAAACATATTTTAAAATTCACTTTTTAATTGACAGATACAAATTGTATCTATTTATATTGTACAACACAATGTTTTGAAATGTGTTTACATTTTGGAATGGCTAAATCAAGCTCATTAATACGTTTATTACCTCACATACTTATCATTTATTTGTGGCAAGAACACTTAAAATCTACAAGTGTTATAGCAACTTAGCAATTTTCTAGCATGCAATGCATTTTTTTTTTTTTTTTTTTTTTTTTTTTTGAGACGGAGTCTCGCTCTGTCGCCCAGGCTGGAGTGCAGTGGCGGGATCTCGGCTCACTGCAAGCTCCGCCTCCCGGGTTCACGCCATTCTCCTGCCTCAGCCTCCCAAGTAGCTGGGACTACAGGCACCCGCCACTACGCCCGGCTAATTTTTTGTATTTTTAGTAGAGACGGGGTTTCACCGTTTTAGCCGGGATGGTCTCGATCTCCTGACCTCGTGATCCGCCCGCCTCGGCCTCCCAAAGTGCTGGGATTACAGGCGTGAGCCACCGCGCCCGGCCACCAATGCATTTTTATTAACTATAGTCACTGTGCTATACAATAGATCTCTTGAGCTTATTCTTCCTGGCTAACTGAAACTTTGTACCCTTTGACCAGGATTCCCCAATCCCCTTCCTTCTAACCTCTGGCAGCCACCATTCTACTCTCTGTTTCTAAGAGTTCAATTTTTTTTTTTTTTTTTAGATTCCACATATAAGTGAGATCATGTGGTATTTGTCTACATGTGCCTGGCTTATTTCACTTAACACAGTGTCCTCCAGGTTCATCCCTCTTGTCACACATGATAGGATTTCCTTTTCTTCTTTTTTTGTTTTGTTTTGGTTTGAGACGGAGTTTCACTCTCGTTGCCCAGGCTGGAGTGCAGTGCCGTGATCTTGGCTCACTGCAACCTCCACCTCCCAGGTTCAAGCGATTCTCCTGTCTCAGCCTCCTCTGAGTAGCTGAAATTACAAGTGCCCGCCACTACGCCCAGCTAATTTTTGTATTTTTAGTAGAGATGGAGTTTCACCATATTGGCCAGTCTGGTCTCAAACTCCTGACCTCAGGTGTTCCGCCCGCCTCAGCCTCCCAAAGTGCTAGGATTACAGGCGTGAGCCACCATGCCCCACGAGCATTTCCTTCTTTTTTTAAGGGTGAATAGCATTCCCTTGTGTATATACACCACATTTTCCTTATCCATTCATCTGTTGATGGCTGGGCTGTTTTGAAAAATGCTGCAGTGAACATGAGGGTGCAGATATCTCCTCAGCATACTGATCTCATTTCCTTTAAACGTGTATCCAGTAGTGAGGCTGCTTTTTAATTTTTCAGGAAACCTCCGTAGTGTTTTCCATAATGGCACCACTAATTTACATTCCCACCAGCCGTGTGCTAGGATTTCTACATTTCCACATCCTTATCACCACTTACCTTTTGTGTTTTGATAGTAGCCATTCCAACAGGTGCCAGCTGTCATCTTACTGTGGCTTTGATTTGCATTTCCCTGATGATTAGTGACACTGAACATTTTTTCATATCTCTGTTGGCCATTTGTATATCTCCTTTTGAGAAATGTCTATTCGGGGCTGGCTGCAGGGGCTCATGCCTGTAATTGTAGTGCTTTGAGAGTCCAAGGAAGGAGGATCGTTTGAGCCCAGGAGTTCAAGACCAGCCTGGGCAACAAAGCAAGATCCTGTCTCTACAACAATTTTTATTTTTTAAAACCAACTAGCTGGGTGTGGTGGCACGTACCTGTTGTCCCAGCTACTTGAGAGGCTAAGGTGGGAGGATTGCTTGAGACTGGGAGGCTGCTGTGAGCCTTGATTGTACCACCGCATCCACCCTGAGTGACAGAGTGAGACCTTGTCTCCAAAAAAAGAAAAAAAAAAAAAAAAAGCAAGAGAGTAATGTCAATTCAGGTCCTTTACCCATTTTTAAAATCAGGTTCTTTGTGTTTTGTTTTTTTTTTTTTTGCTGTTGAGTTCTTTGAGTTCCTTATATACTTTGGGTATTAACCCCTTATCTGATGTATGGTTTGCAGATATTTTTTAGGTTGACTCTGCCTTGTCAATTATTTCCTTTGCTATGCAGAAGCTTTTTAATTTGATGTAATCCCACTTGTCTGTTTTTGCTTTTGTCACCTGTGCTTTTGCAGTCAGAGCCAAAAGATCATTGCCCATAACTGAGCCTATTGATTATACTCCAGCTGTTTCTGTTGGCATTGGTCAGTGTAAAATTTAAACTTGGTTAGATTTTTTTGGATTTCTCAGAATATGATGCTTAACATTCCAGAGGCGCTAATTCCTTGTAGGTAATTGATGGAGTGCCTGTCAAATGCTTGCTCTGCCCGCTAATTGTTGCATAAGATAAATGTTGGATTCTGAAGGAGAGAGAGGTATGGACTGTGAGGTGGGAGCCTGGGAGGGTAGGTGGGATTTGCATTGGCGGATGGGAGCATGTATGGTAGAGGAGATGAATGCTATTCTTCAAACACACTCGCCCACAAAACATAGATAGACCACCATCGGGGAAGGGCGGTGTCTTAGATAAGGTTTCCTAGAGCAGAGTCTTAGGTGTACATCCTTGTGAAAGCAATTTTGAGGGTATGTGCTCCAAGTAAAACTGGTAAGGGAGAGAGAAAGGCAGAATGATGACGGGGAGGCAGCAAGGATGCCTCTCAGGTGCAGCGTAGCCTTGACCTACTATGCAGGACGAAGCATCCTGGTGGAGCCACACAGCTCCGGGTTCTGGTGGCCCTGCTCGGGCGAGGCAGCTCCGTCAGCTGAGGGCCATTCTTCTGAGAAGGGGCAGCTGTGTGCTTTAGCAGCTGACATTCCCAGCAGCGGGGGGTGGTAGTGGCGGTAGTGAGACTCTAGATGGGCTCCAGAGCTTCTACCAGAAGAAATGAGTAGCTCAGACTCTGTGGAGCTGAGGGTGGGAGATAAAGTTGGACTGGTTGCCTGAGACTATATTGGCAGGTATGGAGTGCCAGGCTGGGGAGCATGGGCTTTCTTCCACAGGTGACAAGTTGACAGCTGCTTTTACATTAATACCTCTATTACTCAGCTAGGCCTGCCATACGGGGTGGTAGAAGTTCAAAGTCAAGGAGTCAGTGGAGATGGCTTCATTCTGAGGACCCTCTCCTTGGTGTGCAAATGGTGGTCTTCTTCCTCTGTTCTCGTGTGGTCTTCCCTCCATATATGTCTGTGTCTTAATCTTATGGGACACCAGTCATGTCAGATTGAGCCCACCCTAATGACTTCCATTTTAACTTAACCACCTCTTTAGAGACCCTATCTCCTAATACAGTCACATTCTGGGTACTGGGGGTGAGAATTTGAACACAGGAATTTTAGGGGACACAGTTCAGCCCATAATAACATCTAAACATAAGAACCACCAAAAGGGAGGCTGCTGTATAAGGGTAGCTACAGGGCGATGTGGTCCTGGGCAAGGCTGGTGATGGGTGATTCAGTGAAAGAAAGACTAAGAATGCTGGAGGCCACTGGGAAGCACATCAGAAGGCCTCAGGAAGCAGCACAGCCTAGTGGTTATGAATGTGGCCTCTGAGTTGAACCACTTCAGTTCAGATCCCAGCTCTGCCACTTACTAGCTGTTGTGGGACCCTTAGTCAAGGTATGTAATCTTTCCAAGCCATGCTCTTCTCTTTAATAGTGTTGACTATTCGAAAATGTTTTGGGGTAAGGGTGAGAAAGGCCAGCAAGGCTAGGGAGAAGCAAGTGTCCAATGTGACAGGGAACCTGCGTGGTGACAAAAATTGGAAAGTCAGAAAAGAGGCCATTTGGAAGGAAGAGATGTTAGGTATTTTGAGCATAATTGAGTTTGAGGCAATAGAGGAAAACTCACATGGTTATGTTCAGAACATGAGTGAAAATAATTTTTAAGTTCAGGCTAGCGTTGGTCCCTTGACTTCTGGAAATTCACTTAAGAAGAGACACTGCGATGTTCTCTGGTTTGCCTACTTTCCTGCCAAGTCCCTCTAGCTGCAGTTTGGGGAAGAGGTGCTGGTGAGAGACAGAGACTCCTAATTTTGCTTGTGACACAGGGAGATAATTACCATCAAAATGCAGACACCATTTTATAGCTTAGTTACCAGGTGTTCTTGCGATGTGCCCAGGATATTTTCAGAATATAAACTCTGGTAGACAAATACTCTGCAGACTTAGTCCCCAGCCCTGGGGGTTTCTCTGTGTTCCATTCTTCATTATTCTTTGTACCTGGGCACCCACCCTTCTCAGAAGAGAGCTCTAAGTTGTTCAACATCATTACTGTTGTCCTATCATAGAAAAGGCATTCACCACTCTGTTTTGATGCCACACTCCTGGGAAATGAGAGTTACTGATATAGAAGTAATTATCAATATGTGTGTTTTCAGGGAGCATCAATTTTGTGGAAATGTTCTAGTTTACTTTTGCTTCTAAGATTTGGAGAATCTGGATCCTGGCCTCATGTTTTCAGATATGGTCCGAAATTGACATGTTGAGATGTCAATCAATTACAAATTGAGTAGAATTGATAGATTATGCATTAATGGCCACGGTTTAAAATATGGGGGTTCTACTCTGGAAGACTGAAAGCTCAGTCCCTGCCCCTGTGACTTGGTATCTCTCCTGAAAATGAGCTGTCCTCTGTGAATCTCCTGGTGGCCATGTCTAGCTCCGTCACACTGGCTAGTCAGTCCTTTCAATCCTTAGAATCAGGTCACAGTTTCACTTCAGAGATCTCTTCCATTACAACCAGGCTGGGTAGGGTTGAAGGGTAGCTTTTTGTTTTCGTTTTTGTTTTTTTTGGTAGAGACGGGGCTTCATTATTTTCTCTAGGCTGATCTTGAACTCTCGAGCTCAAGTGATCTACCTGCCTCAGACTCCCAAAGTGTTGGGATTATTACAGGTGTGTGCCCACACGCTGGGCCTAAGGGTACCTTTTTATGTCTGCCCAGGGCTTGGCACAGTCTCACTGGCCTTCACCAAATATTTCCCTGCCTTGACTCCAAGATTTCCTTGCTGTTCTTTACCAACCAGAAAAATCATTGTTGTCATTGTTAGATTGTAGAAGGTAAGATTGAAGTTCTCACATGAGATATTAAAAACCATGTCCTTTGAGACCAGTATCATAGTTCAAACTCAGCCATGTGGATTTGAAGTTAAGATTAACTCGTATATATGAATGCATATATGTATAAATAGTACTAAAATAAACGGTATAAGGTTGTGTATTTTCTATGGGAAAGCAGTGTCCTAAGTTGTTTACATGTGTTACCTTACTTAATTCTCACAGCCACCCTATGTTGGTGCTATCCTTGTCCCTATTTATTCTCATTTTATAGATGGGGCACAGAGACATTGTGTGACTTGCTCAACAATAAACAGCTAATAAGGGCTGTGCGTGGTGGTTCACACCTGTAATCCCAGCACTTTGGGAGGCTGAGGTGGGCGGATCACCTGTGGTCAGGAGTTTGAGACCAGCCTGGCCAACATGGCAAAACGCCATCTCTACTAAACATACAAAAATTAGCTGGGTGTGGTGGCACGCACCTGTAATCCCAGCTACTTGGGAGGCTGAGGTAGGAGAATCACTTGAACCCAGGAGGCACAGGTTGCAGTGAGCCAAGATGGCGCCACTGTGCTCCAGCCTGGGAGACAGAGGCAGACTCCATCTTAAAAAAAAAAAAAAAAAAAATGGGCAGCTAGTAAGTCTAGCCAGGATCACATCCAGAGTTCCAAGCAATACTCCTAGTCAATAGTAGCACTGCTACTGATTGCTTTTTCTTTTCTTTTCTTTCTTGTTTTTTTTTTTTTTTTTTTTTTTTTGAGACAGAGTCTCACTCTGTTACCCAGGCTGGAGTGCAGTGGTACACTCTTCGCTCACTGCAACTTCTGCCTCCTGGGCTCAAGCAATCCTCCCATCTCATCATCCCAAGTAGCTGGGACTACAGGCGTGTGCCACCACGCCTGGCTAATTTTTATATTTTTTTCGTAGGGACTGGGTATCGCCATGTTGCCCAGGCTGGTCTCGAAGTCCTGAGCTCAAGCAATCCATTGTCCACCTTGGCCTCCCAAAGTGCTGGGGTAACAGGCAAGAACCGCCGTGCCCAGCCTTGCTAGTAATTTTCATGAACTAACTCATCTAATTCTCACTGCAGCTCTATGCAAGAGATATTATCAGTATCACTCCTTTACAGAAGAGGAAAGGGAGGCCACAGATGTTTAAGTGATTTGCTCAGAGCTAGAGTCATAACCCTGGCACCTGGCTCCTAAGCCTCTGCTTCTTGCCACTATACATCGTCATTCAAATCCCTCAGCTCATTCTAAGGTTTCAAAGAAGAATGTAAGTTAAATATTGCCAATATCTGTAAACACATGAATGACCTCAGTCCCTGTTCAGACACGGGGTTGGTGTTGGTTTGGGGGAGGGGAAATAAACACCAAGAATCATCTCTGAATTGATCTCCACTCTTTGCATTGCTGTGTTACTCCTGTTTCAGACCTCACCTCCACCCGCGACAACCCAGTCCCCTG
The DNA here is from genome assembly GCF_000001405.40 of Homo sapiens. Lineage (NCBI taxonomy): Eukaryota > Metazoa > Chordata > Mammalia > Primates > Hominidae > Homo > Homo sapiens. The sequence continues at coordinate 154,414,389 of NC_000006.12, read as the reverse complement.
AAAGCACTATGGATACCTCACTGAAGAAGGAGAAGTCAGCCATCCTGGATCTTTATATTCCTCCTCCGCCTGCTGTTCCCTACTCTCCCCGGTATGTTGCTGTCCATTGTCATGGTATGCTTGTCTCCTGTTGGTGTCATTTGTAAATGGTGGTGTGAAAAGAGGATCTTGAGAGAGGAAGTTGCTGAGCCACAGTGTGACAGGGCTGAATCTTGAACTGCCGTTAAAAGTATGATCAGCCTTATTTTATAGGAGTGTAGGGACATATCTGGGTTCTGTGGGGCTTGAAGCTATACAGTTTGGTGGGGAGGGCCCTTCTGAGAAAAGAATATGGCAGTATTGGCCAGGTGTGGTCGCTCACACCTGTAATCCCAGCACTTTGGGTGGCTGAGGCGGGCAGATCACTTGAGCTCAGGAGTTCAAGACCAGCCTGGGCAACATGGTAAAACCTCATCTCTATAAAAAAATACAAAAATTAGCTGAGTTTGGTGGCAGATGCCTGTAGTCCCAGCTACTCAGGAGGTTGAGGCAGGAAAATCGCTTGAGCCTAGGAGGTGGAGGTTGCAGTGAGCAGAGTTTGTGCCATTGCAATCCAGCCTGGGTGACAGAGCGAGACCCTGTCTCAAAAAAGAAACAAAAGGATATAGCAATACCTTACTTTTGAAAAACGAATGAAAACGTGCTCTCCTGGGGCCTTGGAAGGGTCTATTGGGGGCCCTGCAGGTTAAGTTTCATTAACTCCATGGTAAATTCATCTTGAGGGGGTAGATAATAAGTATTTCTGTGAGATTAATGAGAGTTGCAGCTTGATTTTGCTGAGAAAGATGTGTTCTTCATAGAACTTGAAAAAAAACCTATGTGGCCAGGTATGGTGTCTCACGCCAATATTTCCAGCACTTTGGAAGGCCAGTTCAGAGGATTGCTTGAGCCCAGAAGTTCAAGACCAGCCTGGGGAATATAGTGAGGCCCCATCTCTACAAAAAATTTAAAAAATTAGCTGGGTGTGGTTGTGTGCACCCGTGGTCCTAGCTACTCAGGAGGCTGAGGTGGTAGGATCACTGGAGCCCAGGAGGTCGAGGCTGCAGTACAATACACCATGATCATACCACTGCACTCCAGCCTGGACAACAGAGTGAGACCTAGTCTCAAAAACAAAAAAACAAAAAACAGAAAAACTCAGACCTTGTGAGTGTAGGTATGAACATTTCATATTTGTGTGTGTGTGTGTGTGTGTGTGTGTGTGTGTGTGTACCATAAATTCTTAAAAAGATAGTTGCTTTCTTCATGGCTAACTTGAATACTGTATGGTATAATGAGGGTGGTATATAGAGTGTACAGGATGATTTAGGTGTGATCTAGGCTTATTTTTATCAACTCACATATTTATATATGTTGATAAAACTAGACAATCTGGCTCATTTATTCAGCATATCTTTCCTGAGTATTGGGTCTGGGTTACCCTCTGACACAAAACAGACTCGGTCTTTGACCCTACAGAACTGCCAGGGTCTTATTCAACAATTCAAGCATATATTGAGAAATATATGATTAGGTTATAATATTTCATAAAACAAAGTTCAGGCTGGATTTTATTACAGTGACATTTTACTTTCTATCAGAATTTTTTGTTTGTTGGTTTTCATTTGAAGCTGAGGTATTTGCTTCATTGTATTTCTTCTGCATTGGGTGCAGAGATTCAACATTGTTTTCCATTTCCTTGAGTCTTGGCTTACTCAGAACTTATTATAGCGTGTAGAGAATGTACCTCAGGTGATCGGGGCATTCTGGTTTGCAGGATCTTAAGTGTGTTTAAAGTTACAGGTAGTCTTTCCCTCTGCATATAGAGAGCATGACATTCCACTACTAATGTGTGGATTGTTCTATCAGAAACTGGAGGAAGGCACCCTCCCTTGATCCAGAATATTCTTGTCTGGGTTCCTGGAGTAGTGGCAAGAAAAGGGGTGCTGTGTACATAGTGAGAGATAAAGGAACCTGGGGCTAGGAGGAGAGCTGGATTAAACTGCTCGGGAAGACGCTTTTGAGAGTGCACACACACCACTCATGAAGGATTTTCTGAGGAATGAAAAATGGGAATGGATTACTGAGAAACAAGTCATGAGTCATGAAAGCTTTGTGAATGGGGAGTTATATGCCCGGTTTAAAGGTATGGAAGGAGATATATTTGTGGGTGGGAGGGGTAGGTGGATGCCATCCCACCTGGGAATACCACACACAGACATGGCTGATTAGTAGATTGCTTTGGGACTCAGTTGATTCTGTATTTTGTCTAGCAGTTTTTGTCCTGATTTGCCTAATGGAATTTACCAAGTGCAAAAAAACTAAGCAGCTGGTAACTTGGACTCAAATTAATCCTACAGTTTAAACTGACATGTAGATAGAATTAGAATGGAATCAGTGATCCAACTTTTGCTGGTTTTTGTAGTATTTGATTCAGAAAAGAATCACTCTCCATTGGTTACTATAAAGGTTCCTTTGTATCTTTTGACATGGTTTTCAAATCTAACAACTTCATAATATATCAAGTCTTTTTTGCTGGATTTTGGCAGAGATCCGACTCTTGGCATGAGCAACGTGGTTCGCTAGAGCATACCTTAATGTGTGATTGCTGTAGTAAATAGGATATTCAGCTACACACAGAAGCACAGGAAAACTAGAGCTGTCTTTTCAAAGCTATATTTGTTTGGATATTAAAAAAAACCCTGCATTTACTCTTCTTTTTTTTTTTTTTTTTTTTTGAGATGGAGTCTCGCTCCATTGCCCAGGCTGGAGTGCAGTGGCATGATCTCAGCTCACTGTAACCTCCGCCTCCTGGGTTCAAGCACTTCTCCTGCCTCAGTCTCCCAAGTAGCTCCTGCCACCACACCTGGCTAATTTTTGTATTTTTAGTAGAGATGGGGTTTCACCTTGTTTGTCAGGCTGGTCTTGAACTCCTGACCTCAGGTGATCCACCTGCCTTGGCCTCCCAAAGTGCTGGGATTACAGGCGGGAGCCGCTGTGTCCGGCCTGCATTTATTCTTATTTCATCACGTCATGGTATTTTGCTTATTTAATAGGATCTGTATGTATTTGAGCGGCAACTGGGGTTGACAAAAGGAATGCTTTTCCTCCAGTGGAAAAGGAGAATTTAAATTATCTTCTGTGTGCTGGAGGTAGCAGCACTGCTGGAATTCTTCAGTATGAGAACATCTTTGTAAACAACTTAATTATTGTCCATATTATCTTCCAGGGATGAGAATGGCAGTTTTGTTTATGGAGGGTCCAGTAAGTGCAAACAACCATTGCCTGGTCCTAAGGGTTCAGAGTCCCCGAATTCCTTCTTGGACCAGGAAAGCCGGAGACGAAGATTCACCATTGCAGACTCGGATCAGTTGCCTGGGTACTCGGTGGAAACCAACATTCTGCCCACAAAAATGAGAGAGAAAACACCATCTTATGGTAAGTTTCAAGTGTTTGTTTTGTTCTGCCGTTGGCCTTGACTTCTCCTCCCCGCCCCCTGCCTTAGTTGGAACTGTTGGATGAATTTGGCAGACTTCAAGAGTAATCTGAGGAAAACATAAACCTCAATGAAATTCTAAGTATGAGACCTTTATTCATCTCTGTCAAGCGGATCCTTGTTGAGTCATTACTCTGCCTGGCATGAAAGCCCAACTGGGTGAGATCATGTTACAGTTTTAACTTTCAGTGCCTGGGTTTTAGCTTTGGAGTTGCTTTGCTCTGTAGACTCACAGGCTCAAGTTTAATGTGCCTCTATCTTAGTAGCACTCTATTTCCTGCTATGGAAATACAGTGCTTTAAAATACTTTTATTTTAAAATTTGTTATTGCTTCTGTCTAAGTGGGTGTGGTATTGTGAGGTCTAAGTTATACATAAAGGGAACGGTTCACTAAAGTTCCAGAACTCATCAAACTTGTCACCTTCTTTCTCGTCCCTCTGAAGGCAAGCCACGGCCTTTGTCCATGCCTGCTGATGGGAACTGGATGGGGATTGTGGACCCTTTTGCCAGACCTCGAGGTCATGGCAGGAAAGGTACGTTTCATCCAAGCAAACCAAGGAACAGCAAATGGGGAGTGAACAGCCCCAGGGCCTGGTTTCACCTCTGTTTCTAAATGTGTTATAATAAGTAGACTGAGTACTTGGCCTTTCTGAGTCCCGTTTTCTCATCTGTAAAATTAGGACTGCTGAAGATCTTTAAGATCCTACTTATTTCTAGAATGGCAAAATTATATAATCCTAGTTAGTGATTGTAAATATCCTAATTAGCATTGAGTGCTGTAAAAAGGCTATAGACTTTAATGGTCTAATTTTTATTCATTTACTTTTTAGAGACAGGATCTTGCTCTGTTACACAGGCTGGAGTGCAGTGGCGTGATCATACCTCACTACAGCCTTGAGCTCCTGGACTCAAGTGATCCTCCTGCCTCAGCCTCCTGAGTAGCAGGGACTACAGGTGCACGCCACCACGGCTGGCTAATTTTTTTTTTTTTTTTGGTAGAGACAGAGTCTCAATATGTTGTCCAGGCTGGTCTCAAACTCCTAGCTGTAAGTGGTCTTCCTGCCTCAGCCTCCCAAAGTGCTGGAATTACGGGGATGTGCCACCATACCCAGCCAATAGTCTAATTTTTTAATGAATAGAAATAAATTATTCATTAAACAATCTTTTTCAAAATTTATTTTTAAAAATTGAGATGGGGTCTTACTATGTTGCCCAGGCTGGCCTTGAACTCCTGGGTTCAAGTGATCCTCCCACTTCAGCTTCCTGAATAGCTGGTGTTACAGACGTGTGCCACCATGCCCAGCTTTCATTAAACAATCTTATTCTAAATTTTGTTGCTTTTATTTTTGGAGTCTGTTTGATTTCTGATGAACAAACATGGATTTTTTTTTCTTCCAAGTCCTTCTTATGTTAGAAGGCAGTTACTATTTGAAAAGAAATTTGTGTTTAATTCACCCTGTAATCAAAGTCCCTGGTTATTATGCTGGTCTTGAGTGAAATGTTTTAAAACATTCTCATTTTATTGCCAGATTGCATTTGATTGTCATCATTGGCAGAACATTATAACATTGTTTTTGCAGTTGTTGAAACAAAGGGCAGTTGAAAAGTTAAAGTACAATAGGCTTTAGATAGTAAAAGGAAGAAGAAAAAATTCTGGAAGCCTAACCTTCCAAAGGGATTGATTGACCCCTGACCCTTTCTAGGGACTTGGTAAAGTTTGTCACCTAAGTACCCATATCACCTGTATTATGCTAAAGTGAAAAAGGGAAAGATGCCTGGGTACCTACCATTCAGGATCCCCTTAGTTAACGTGTGAGTATCCATGGAGCAGTCAGCAGGTGGCAGGGCTGTCCGTTGTTTAGATTTAGACACGTTAACATCTTCCTTGCCGTTCATCTGAGCCAGGGTTGAGCCTTTTATTTATTTTATACATGGAGAGATGAAGTGTCAGGGTTATGGGGTGTGAAATTGGGAAATGGAAAAATACTTGTTCCCTCCACTCCTCCTTGCATATTTTTCTTGCATGATTGTTTTGGAATAAAGGTATCTATCTATACACAGCCACTTAAAAAAATAACAGTTTTATTGAGATATAACTCTTTGCATGAAATTCAGCTTTTTAAAATATACAGTCAGGTGGGTTTTAGTATATTCACGGAGTTGTACCCCAGTTGCCACTATTCCAGAACATTTTTGTCACTCCAAAAAGAAACCTTGTGCCTTTTAGCAGTCACTCCCAATTCCGTCCTTCTTCAGCCCCTGACAGGCACTCATCTACTCTGTGGATTTGCCTGTTCTGGACATTTCATATAAATAGACTTATGCAACATGTGGCTTTTTGACAATGGGCACTTTTTCAATGTGACTGTTCCCCTTTCATTACAAAAGCAAAGCAAGTACATTGAAAAACATGGAAGGCATGAGAAAATAAAACTCAGCTGGAATCTGTTTCTCTGACCTAAGAAATAATCACTGTGAATGTTTCGTGTGATTTCCAGTTGTTCCTGTATTTACATTTATATACTTAGAAAAATGTGCAAAATGGGAGAAGTTGGCCAGGTGCGGTGGCTCACACCTGTAATCCCAGCACTTTGGGAGGCCAAGGCAGGCGGATCACGAGGTCAGCAGTTCGAGACCAGCCTGGCCAACATGGTGAAACCCCGTCTCTACTAAAAATACAAAAATTGGCCAGGTGTGGTGGTGGGCGCCTGTAGTCTCAGCTATTCGGGAGGCTGAGGCAGGAGAATCTCTTGAACCTGGGAGGCGGAGGTTTCAGTGAGCCCAGACCTCTCCATTGCACTCCAGCCTGGGCAACAGAGTGAGACTCCGTCTCAAAAAAAGGGGAGAAGTAAATATTCAATAATACTATGTAAAAATGAATATTATCTACACCATATTTGAAAAGAATATAGCCGTATTAGAATGCCATCTTATGGCTCTAGCGCCTATTTATTCAACGTGCCACTGTTGGAAATTTAGGTTTTTTTTTTTTTTTTTTTTTTTCAAATTCTAAAATTTGAAAAAGGCTAAAATTTTCTAAATTCTAAAATTTAGAAAACTTAGAATTTAGAAAATTTAGAAAATTCTAAAATTCAAATTCTAAAATTTGAAAAAGGTTTCAGTAGGCTAGGTGTGGTGGCTCATGCCTCTAATCCCAACACTTTGGGATGCTGAGGCAGGTGGATTGCTTGGTCTCAGGATTTCGAGACCGGCTGGGTGTGGTTGTGCGCACCTGTAGTCCCAGCTACTTGGGAGGCTGAGGTGGGAGGATCGCTTGAGCCTGGGAGATGGAGGCTGCAACTAGCTGAGATGGCACCACTGTACTCCAGCCTGAATGACAGTGAGACCCTGTCTCAAAAAATAAAAATAAGCATAAAAATAAATGTTTCAGTAAGCATCCGTGAGTCCATAGATCTTTGCACATTTTGGGGTGTAGAATTTCCGCTTCACAAGGATGCTACATGTTACCAAAGTGTACTGTATTTTAAGTTTCTATTCAGTTTCTTAACATTCCAGCCACATCCCAGGGGGTCTGCTGGCAGTTAGGGCAGGATCACTCTTTTCCTTGTTCGGGAATGTTCCTGAATGCCCAGCTTGAATGCCCTGCATTAAACAATGCATAAACAGTTCTGTTCAGCCATCGCGGGGACACTACACTCTATGGTCCCCACCCACTAAAGGAGACCCGTGTGCTACCTCTCAGGCGCTAAAGCAGCCTAAAGTATGAGGGACCCTTCCCATTTCTGCTTCCAGAGCACCCATTGGTGGGCCCAGCCACAGGTGGGACCTTGTGGCCAATCCAGGGAGGAGAGCAGTAAAGGTATGGTGCCCACATTCAGGGTGGTGGCAGAAGTCTGGGCAGGCCGAGGGCCCTCCAAAGAGCACTGTGTAGGGGATTGTGATTTTTTTTTTTTTTTCCTGGAGGGGACAGAGTCTCGCTCTGTCAACAGCCTGGAGTGCAGTGGCGCGATCTTGGCTCACTGCAACCTCCGCCTCTCGGGTTCAAACGTTTCTCTGAGTAGCTGGGACTACAGGCGCCCGCCACCACGCCAGCTAATTTTTGTATTTTCAGTAGAGACGGGGTTTCACCATGTTGGCCAGGATGGTCTAGATCTCTTGACCTCGTGATCCACCCACCTCGACCTCCCAAAGTGCGGAGATTACAGGTGTGAGCCACCACGCCCGGCTGGGATTGTGACTTAATGGACTTTGTCTGGAAACAGGGGAGGATGCCCTTTGCCGGTATTTCAGTAACGAGCGGATTCCTCCGATCATTGAAGAGAGCTCCTCTCCCCCATACCGGTTCTCCAGACCCACGACCGAGCGGCATCTGGTCCGGGGTGCGGACTACATCCGAGGAAGCAGGTGCTACATCAACTCAGATCTCCACAGCAGCGCCACGATTCCATTCCAGGAGGAAGGGACCAAAAAGAAATCTGGCTCCTCAGCTACGAAGTCCTCGTCCACAGAACCGTCCCTCCTGGTCAGCTGGTTTACGCGCCTCAAACTGTTGACTCACTGAGAGGGACCCTGCTCAGGCCACCTGCCTGGCTCCTGCCCCAAGTGCCTTGCTTTTACAGTGGACAGCCTCTTCTCGTTTCAGCCTCAGTATTATGTAGGGACCTTATGCAATTTCTTTTTCTTTTGAAAAGTTATCTACTGCCCTTCTTGGAAGTTTGCAGGATTGGATGGGAACAAATTCAGAGGATCTTAGGTGCTGGCTTGTGGAGACAAAAGGAGGGAAATGGGTAGAGCCTGTTTGTCTTGCTTCCCCAGAGATAGAATGTGAAGACACGCGCTAGAAATCGCAGTCCTGGCCAGAGACGTTATGGTCATTGTGAGGGACTGGTGGCATTGTTCCTTTTTGAGGGGCTGGGGGGACTCAAATTGGTGGCTGTTTTCACACAGATGTGTTGGTTTGTGGTCCAACTTCTTTATCTGAAAAAGCCAGTGAGAAAACATTTTTGATTTGATTTTTCTAAACTATCTACCATATTTTAAGTGTAGCAGCTTTGACTTTGCAATAACGTGGCAAGTATCTGATTTCTCCTTTGAGGCAGAGGTTTAAGTGTAGGCCTGTTACACTTGTTTGATACCTTTTTCATGACAGTCTCAGTATAGATCAGTTGGTACAGAAATACATGAACACATTTTGATAGGGCTTATTTCACACAAAGAAGTTTATGGTTATTTGTGTGGGGTGGTGTTGTTATATATTATTGTCTTTAAGGGAAAAGAAGCTATAAGATTCGCTGACAGCCAAAGTATCATTTAGAAAAGTGAAGCAACAAGATTTAGGTTGATGAAAGATACATGAGTTTGCATTTTGACCTGTTCAGTGTCTGTCTTCCAGCACGGTGTGTACACTTCTTCAAAATTGTACACAGTTTGCTAATTAGAAATATCTTGGAAAGCCTCATGGTCACTAATTTTCAACTAGCATCAGGTATTTTGAAAACGTGTGTCTGGATATTAACTCTTGTTTAAACTGAATGTATGATATTTTGTTAGAATGGAAAAGTACTATCTTGTTAATTTAAGTATTTTAAATATAGTTGTATATTTTTCTTACTCTTAGTCACCTGTAATTGAAATATTTCTGTTTTGCGTCATACACGAAGCTAGTGAAAAAGAAAGTGCAAGGCATTTTCAGATGAGCAAGTGACTATCGTGGCTGTTGCCAGCAGGGCAGTATTGTTAAAAAAAATCAAAATAAACCCTCCCAAGCATTTTGGGATTTTATGGATTAGAAATGGAAGAACAGGAGAAGCATATGCAAAGTGAAATTGCACGAGGGGAATTTTCTGAGGTATCTTCCTAGGCAGAGCCGAAATCTCCTACTCCAAAATGCCCTTTCTCATACCACCGGAATTGTTGAGTTTGCTGAACTGCCTGGAATTCAGCCCATGAAAATCACTGGAGTTAGGAAACATCTTCCCTTTAAAATGCTTCTGGTGTGGTTAAAGGAACTAGCAACCACTCATGTATAATTACTGTGACTGAATTCAGTCAGGCTGGTTTTTTTTGTTTGTTTGTTTGTTTTTGAGATGGAGTCTCAATCTGTCACCCAGGCTGGAGTGCAGTGGCGCAATCTCAGCTCACTGCAACCTCCACCTTCCAGGTTCAAGCGATTCTCCTGCCTCAGCCTCCCATGTAGCTGGGATTATAGGTGCCCGCCACCATGCCTGGCTAATTTTTGTATTTTTAGTGGAGACGGGGTTTCACTACGTTGGCCAGGCTGGTCTCAAACTCCCAACCTCAACTGATCTGCCGGCCTCAGCCTCCCAAAGTGCTGGGATTACAGGCATGAGCCACCACACCCGGCTCAGTCTGGCTGTTTTCTTCTCTACCTCTAAGACAACTGCCATGAAGATCTGGTATTTCGGCCTGGCGCAGTGGCTCATGCCTGTAATTCCAGAACTTTGGGGGGCCAAGGTGGGTGGATTACCTGGGGTCAGGAGTTCAAGACCAGCCTGGCCAACATGGTGAAACCCTGTCTCTACTAAAAATCAGCTTCGCATGGTGGTGGGCACCTGTAGTCCCAGCTACTCGGGAGGCTGAGGCAGGAGAATCACTTGAACCCTGGAGGCGGAGGTTGTAGTGAGCCAAGATCAGGCCACTGCACTCCAGCCTGGGTGACAGAAGGAGACTCTGTCTCAAAAAAAAAACAAAAAGAAAAAGATCTGGTATTTCATGGAGACATGGAGACCCAAGGGTGTTTGGCAGATGGAGAGAAGAGGCTTGCAGTGTGTGACCACAGGGTGTTCAACACACTAGGAGGGTGGGGTGTGGGCTGGGGAGGTCTCGTGTAGGGCACTGGTGATGAGGAGGGAGCTGTGTACGAGGGGCGAGCCAGCCCTGCCTGTTTTACTCTTGTCTTGAGCTGGCTTTATGCCCAGGAAGTGGGTGGCAACATCTCCTCTTACTCCCCAGATTGTGGGGAGAACTCTAAGAGCTGTAGTTCCACTGGATGATGAGTTAAATCACTCTGGAGGCCTTAGCTGGCTGGTGAGCTCTTTTTCTGTGGGGAAAATGCCACTTGTGAATTGAACAGCCATCCTTTAAGTGAATATTCGGCAGTCAGTCTTCATTATAGGCAGTGGCCAACCAGATTGGTGCTTTTCAGCCTTTGTTCCCTGGAGTCCCAGGACCCGCGAGAGAAGTTCCTGGCTCCTCTACTTGCAGTCACCCTCCACAGCTTCATCTTTCTTTTTATTTGAGGTTTTCTCCTGAATTGTGTTTGAAAAATATATTGCTGCTAAAAAAAAAAAACCTTTGTAAACCTCTACTATGGACATACATAAATAATAGTTTAATATGGATTTCTTAGAAATTAATGGAAACTGCTTGCCTCAGTAGTAATCCAGGTTTAATTGTGGACGTGTGTTCACATATGAAGTTGCTTGATGATGCTTTTTGACAGGATTCTTTATTTTTATTTCTTTAAAAAAAATTTTTTTTTTTTTCTGAGACAGATTCTCACTCTGTCACCCAGGCTAGAGTGCAGTGGTACAATCTCAACTCACTGCAGCCTCTGCCTCCCAGGTTCAGGCAATTCTCCTGCCTCAGCCTCCCAAGTAGCTGGGATTACAGGTGCCCGCCACCACACCTGGCTAATTTTTGTATTTTTAGTAGAGATGGAGTTTCACCATGTTGGCCAGGCTGATCTTGAACTCCTTGACAGGATACTTTACAAGAGTGATTGTTAAAACTCTCCCAGACACAACTCAACACCTACCCCTATTATAATATTTTATAGCATCACTTTTCAATCTTCAAATGAAAATCATGGATGATGAAGCTTACCTTCACTCATAAAAACATCACTCCATTTACTATTCTGAAATGAAACTAGCAGGTAATATAACTAGCCTCTAAAACATACCCATCAGTGACGTTCTAACTGAAACAGATAAGATATTTTATAATGAAATAATTATTTTCATATGTACATATTCTAGCATGGTTATATTACAAGATGTAATTAAACTACTAAGCAGGGCACATACTTTGTATGTGTGTGTATAAATATAAATATGTGAAAAATCACCATGAATGTGGTAGTTACCAATTCAGACCTGCTGCATTGGCAGTTCAATACCAGGAAAGGGGTCGATGTCAGCAGTATGATTTTCTAAAATGTGGCCAATTCTTTAGATAAAGTTCTAGGCATACCTAGTCTGTAATGGCTTCACTCATATAGTGCTTGCTGTGTGCCTGGCATTGTTCTAATACCTTTCTAATAAATCTATGAGGTGAGTACTGCTGTTAGTCCCGTTTTGCATATGAGGGAGTTACCCAGGTTATGTGCTAGTCATCCTGGTTATGTGCTAATAATGGCAGAGCTGGGATTAAAATGAAAGCAGCCTGGCTCTGGCTTTCTTGCTCATAATCACTCAGTATATAGGCTTCCTTCCATTTATAGAATTCTCTCATTGCATTCTTGAAAAATCCAAAGCATATTAAAACTGGGCTGAAAATTCTGTGTGTTTATATATAAAATGAAATGAGATCATAGATTTGTTATTGTAAACTGAGTTCCCATCTATATGAATATTGGGCGGGGCAATTGAAAGTTGTGTTGATGAGTCAGCTCTTTGTTGTGAGGGCTGTAAGCTGCAGGGCTTGTGTATCACGCATGCTCCAACAGGTTAAATCTCAGTAGTGGCCGCCCATCAGTGGCACCCCTAACATGCTCACATTTCCAGAACTGCCTCTTGGGCGGAGGTGGGGGAGGGTACCATCTCTTTCAGAACAAGTATTTTAAAAGAAATCCTGTATCCTCCTTAAGTAGTATTTCAGTCTATATATTTGTCCATTTCCTATCTCTGCTTCTCTCTCAGTTCTTTCCCCACCAAACCTGAAATTTCAGAATCTATTTTGTGGGCTTTCTTTTTTTAATTTTTTCCCTGGAAGACCATGAACATTCCTCTTTAGGTTGTTAGTATTGCAGCAAACCCTGAGGTATTGACACAAAACTTTTCATCCGCCAAAGAGCTCGAGTAAGTAAATCTGTCTGACATTTGAATGTCACCAGCAAAGCATGAGACTCATGCTGCCTTTTGCCACCATAGGCATGAATGGTATGGAGAAGTAGGCCTGACTTGTTTTCTTCTATTGTAGATGAGATTAGTTTTGTAGACCATTAGTTCACATTTTGCTCCTACCCTTGTGCATAAAATCACTGCATCATTTCCGTGGGGATGAGACTACTGCAAGCTACTTCCTTGGAGATTCTGTGGAAGATGGACATCTTAAAAGTAAACTACTTTTGGTATGACTGCTCATTGGCTTGGCCAGTGATACTTGATGTTATTTATTTTGTGAGTTACTCTGTGTCTTAATCAGCTCAGGCTGCAATAACAAAATACCATACACTGGGTAGCTTAAATGACAGAAATTTCTCACCGTTCTGGAGGCTGGGAAGTCCAAGATCAAGGTGAGTTCCTGGTGAGCACCCTTACCCTGGTTTGCTGATAGCCATCATCTTCCCATTGCATCCTTACATGGCAGAGAGAGAGAAAGGAAGCAAGCAAGCTCTCCTTTCCCTTCTTGTGAGGGCGCTAATATTCATGAGGGCTCCACCCTCAGGACCTACTCACTTCCCAAAGGCCCACTTATGGTATTAGCTCCGCCTCCTAATACCATTGCTTTGGAGATTAGGGTTTCAACAGATGAATTTTGGGAGGACATAAACATGCAATCCATAGCACTCTGCTTTTGTATATTTTTCAAACCTTTCATGCTAATCAGCTGGAAGGTGAATATTTTAAAATCTATTTTAAAACTGGCTTAAGGAGCACACAAAAGCTGATTTCTGATGTTTCTTCCAATACGTGGAAAATTTTGCATGATGTATTAACCCCTAGTTAGGGTCCCTCAACCCCAGTTGAGGACCTCAACACACATTTGGTAATACCTAAGGGAATTTAAATATATATTTTGTAGCCTATAGCATATGGAATTAGAAAAAAATTAGTCTCTTTACTGTAAAATTTACCTTTTAATTATTTGGAAATTTCACAATTGCCAAGTTTCAACTTAAAGTTTCTATTTATTTGGGGCCAGAATTATTGCCAGAAGTGTGCTAATTTGACAAAGGGTACCTTTTACATAAGTAAAGGAAAAAGTGATTACATCATGTTCAGACCTGCTAGAGGGCCTTGTTTTTCCTCTAGTTTTAGGGGTGTGGAGTCTGTCCCAAACCCTATATATGTGTGCATTTGTGTATGTAAAAGACAAATTTTTTATACTCAAAAGTTTGTCTTAAATAATGGCCTATGGCCTACTGATTTGGATAGAGGAGAGAAATTTTGTCTATAAGCAACAAAAAATGCTACACAGCCAGGAGACTGTCACACACAGTTTTTCAGAACCTTTGGGCCACATACTGCACTCCCCTTCCATAGAAATACACATGGGGTCAGTGATTAAGGACTCAATTCTGGTTGTGACTTGGCCATCCATAGGCATATTCTAAAGTTCTATGGCAACCTTTATGAAGCTCGTCTTCTGAGTTGATCACCTGTTCATGCGCTGCCCATTTACAACATACCTCAGGGATTAAAACGTGAGGCTACACCTAAGGAAAGTCGGTCCTAATCCTGCGTTTCCTCCTGCATGTCACTGACCATTGGAGTCACTGCTCTCTGAGGAAGACAGTTTACAGCCTGAGCATTCATGTCACGCTCACAGCCAACCTGTTACTTGCTGGCCTCCTTTACCAAGCTCCTTGTTTCATGAAGAAGTTGTGAAACTGAAGTTGGAGGAAAAAAATTAAGAAATAAACCTCAAAGGTATTTAAAAGGGCAGTAGAGTAATTACTCCTCACACCCAGGGATAAGGATATTCTCATCATTTTCTCTCCTCTTGCCTGGAGCATAAACATTCAGATGTTTGTGAAGAAATGATTAAAAGGAGAGAAAATATCAGGAGAAAAATGATTAAAATGAGAGAAATGTTCTTCCACTGACTAGACCCATTAAAGGGGAGGATTTAACTTTATTGTTAGAGGGGTGAAAACTGGATTTTAAGATATTTCTTCACCATTTTGACATATCTTGGGCTGAACATTTTGATTATTTTAGAGAATCAGGGAGCTTCAGAAATGAAGTTTAATATAAAGTAAGATTGTCTCTGAAGGAAGAAATTGTCCTTTTAACTCAGTGTCAGGTTCCGTTTTCTTACTCATATCTAAACTTCCTGTCACTCCAACTGAGGCTGCACCAGGATAAGAGGAGGGATTTGAGGAATTAGCGCGAATTTAGAAGCCTTTGACTTTTGGGAATTTGCATCAAGCAGATAGAAGCAGGCGGGGGCTCAGCTTTTGAAGTTGGATCATCCAGCTGTCTCACTTTGCCACTTATGGGATCTGTGACTTGAAGCAGGTGACTGACCTCTCCACTCCTCAGTTATCTATGAAATGGGGATAATACTAGCATCTACTTCGAAGGCTTATGGTGATTAAATGAGATAATGTTTTTAAGGCCCTTTCTTCGCATAGTCTGGCACACAGCATTTAAGAGATGTTGACTCGTGTTCCTGTAGTAGCAGTACTGACTCCATCTCAGCCTCTAGTGAATAAGGTATTCAGAGCTGGCCAACAGGAAATTGCTCATTCTTTTGTCCATAAGCAGCAAAATAATGCCAGTGTGACACTGTCAGAGGGCTGCAGTGTGGTCAGTGGCCTAGAGATGCAGCTTTTACTGTTAGAAAACTCACTCGGATGTTTTAGCCGATTCAGAACTCAAGAAATGACAAAAGTCTGTGATTGGACACACTTTTTTTTTTTTTTTTGAGACGGAGTTTCAGTCTTGTTGCCCAGGCTGGAGTGCAATGGTACGATCTTGGCTCACCGCAACTTCCGCCTACTGGGTTCAAGTGATTCTCCTGCCTCAGACTCCCAAGTAGCTGGGATTACAGGCATGTGCCACCACACCCGGCTAATTTTGTATTTTTAGTAGATGGGGTTTCTTCGTGTTGGTCAGGCTGGTCTCGAACTCCCGACCTCAGGTGATCCGCTCACCTCAGCCTCCCAAAGTGTTGGGATTACAGGCGTGAGCCACTGCGCCCCGCCTAGAGTATTCTTTCAATATTGACTTGATTTGTCATCATCATATCTTTTCTATTAAATCCCTTCCACTTCCTTCAATGAAATCGTATATGAAAACAAAGGGAATCGGAGCATTTTGCCCACCTCCTAGTTGGCTGAATTATTTTTGCCTCCCATTCCCATCTTGAAGTGGTATTCCTCAAACTCGTTTCTATGTTTCCTGTGGTTTTAAATAAAGGAATAATGTAGAATGGTATCTATTTTGGACATTCTCATCGTGAAAAGGAACTCTTACACAAATACAAAGCCAAGAGATTGTGTTGCCATTGTTGAAGCTGAAAAGGACAGTCACTGGATGCCTCCCCACCCAAGGCCAAGGCTTTGGTAGGTCCAGGAAGTGAAAAGGAAAGAGAAGCTATGGGAGAGACAAAGGGAAGTAAAAAATGGTTGTTCGGCTCAGCATAACAATCACTTTTGTGGGGCTTATTGGTTGTGCATAAATTTCATCCATTTGGGCACACACACAGATGTGACACCCAGACCACTCAGACACTTGGCTAACACTGATGCCGTCATCCTGAATGTTGTTTCTGGAAGGACTTTCATGAATAGAATCTATTTCAGATTGGCCGTAAGTCTCGATTTATTGATCCGCACCACTGGACTGGGGTGGGGTTGTGTCCACTTTTTCCCTGCCCCTTCCCTGCTTTGGCTCTTGTGATTGTGTCCTCCGTGTGTCAGGCAGAGCCCTGTGAAGGTGTGGATATGTGGCCATATTTTACCTGCATAATCTGCAGTTCATATGATTCAGCCTAATGGGTTGCAATGCCCTGAGGACAGAGACCATACTTTTTCTTCCTTTGTCTTTTTAGCGAAATTCAATCCTGTTCTGCGCCTGCGCCACAGTTGCAGGCTGTACTGTCTGCCCTGTGCATCTCACACACCCCCACTGCACTGTGCACCTAGTGATGGCCGCAGATTTGCTTTTACTCATCTTCCAGGGCCTACCCTGTTAATTCCATCACAGTTGCAGGCTGTACTGTCTGCCCTGTGCATCTCACACACCCCCACTGCACTGTGCACCTAGTGATGGCCGCAGATTTGCTTTTACTCATCTGTTTGCAGGGCCTACCCTGTTAATTCCATCACAGTTGCAGGCTCTACTGTCTGCCCTGTGCATGCATCTCACACACCCACTGGACTGTGCACCTAGTTGATGACCACAGATTTGCTCTTACCCATCTATTTCCAGGGCCTGCCACTGTTAATTCCTAGGAAAAAAGAAAAAACAAGCATGGTGGATTGGTTAAATTGGCATTTTATATTGTTTGTGTTCATGGCCATGCCAATGATAAACAAGAGCTGGTCATGGGCATTCAGATCAGATGAGCAATTAAATCCCCTCCAAAAAACAGAAACCTACTTTTAGAGAAGAAAAGAATTAAACCAAGATCTTTCAGGGTTTTGCTTCTCCTTTTGTTTTTAAGGCACTTAAATAAATGGAAGAACATGTAAGCTAACCGTGTTTAGAGTACTATGTTTTACTAGAAAGTGCTACCCTTCTGCAGATTTCTCCTCAATGAAAGAATGCCACTGAAGCACCTTTAATGGTGCCTTTATCCTATAGTCTTATTGAATCATTCTCTTTAGCCAACATAAAATACAAAGCCAGGGTATAAGACTTCATGTAGGTGGTAATTTAAACTAACAATTAGTGAGGCCGGGCGCGGTGGGTCACGCCTGTAATCCCAGCACTTTGGGAGGCTGAGGCAGGTGGATCACAAGGTCAGGAGATCGAGACCATCCTGGCTAACACGGTGAAACCCCGTCTCTACTAAAAATATAAAAAAAAAAAAATTAGCCGGGCGTGGTGGCGGGCGCCTGTAGTCCCAGCTACTCGGGAGGTTGAGGCAGGAGAATGGCGTGAACCCGGGAGGCGCAACTTGCAGTGAGCCGAGATTGCGCCACTGCACTCCAGCCTGGGAGACAGAGCGAGACTCCGTCTCAAAAAAAAAAAAAAAAGAAAACAATTAGTGAATTTTTGCTGATGCTTTCCTTAAACCCCTTACTTAGCACTTAGTTCTGGATTCTTAAATCCTGATAATGGACTCATCCTTCTCGGTCTAGTTACCCCAGTAAGTCCCAAGGTCATCCATATGAGGTCCTCCTTGATCTTACTCTGAATAGAATTAACTGGTCTCTTCTGTTTTTCCATAGCATTGACTCATCGTGTTAGACCAGCTTGAATTGTGAGCCTTTCTAAAGCAGGGTCTGTATAATTTACCCTTATATTTGCTCTGTAGGCAGAGAAAATATTATTGAAGTAACTAGATGGTAAAATTAACTGTGCAATCAGAAAAGAAGTTAGAAAAAATTATTAAAATTTTCTGTGAAAATTGTTTTAATTTTATTAATATATTAAAGCATTTTGCAGACTATTCCATAAAGAATTTTATTACATTGGCTCTCATTTTAAAGAAAACATTATACCAGGTGTCAGAACTCAATCATATTTGTAGGAAGAATAAGCCTTGGCCATCAACAACGCTTCTTTGGTTACAGGATTACAGGAACTGCTGAGAATGTAAGCACTTTCCGAAGTCCACAAAGAACTCATTTAAAGCTCGTACAGGCAGTTTCAAATTAGCCAGGGAAAAGTTAATGGTGGGGAGGTAAGGTCATAGAATGCTCTATAAATGGAGGCGACGTGGAGGACAGTTGCAGTTGTATAACATTTGATTGAAGGAGAGGGATTTGGACCTGAGGAAACCAGGTCTATAAATACTAAGGCTGGCTGGGCACAGTTGGCTCATGCCTGTAATCTCAGCATTTTGGGAGGCTGAGGCCGGTGGATTGCTTGAGCCCAGGAGTTTGAGACCAGCCTGGACAACATGGTGAAACCCTGCCTCCAAACAAACAAAATTAACCGAGTGTGGTGGTGTGCACCTGTAGTCCCAGCTACTCAGGAGGCTGAGATGGGAGGATCTCTTGAGCCTGAGAGGTAGAGGCTGCAGTAAGCCCAGATTGCACCACTGCACTCCAGCCTGGTGACAGAGTGAGACTCCATCTCAAACAAACAAAACGTACATGCATATATAGGCTGTAGACTAAATAGTGAAATATTACTAAGAACCTTCATCCCAAGGGGTTGAGTGGTAGAACCACTGAGAATATTGTTGCTGCTCTTTTGGAGACAACAAACTGCATTAATAAAAGTCTGAGAACAAGAAAGTTGAGTTTTCAAGTAATGTCCTTTGCATATTGCTACATAGGGCTCATCTGAGTCTGTGATGTTCTACTTTGTTGATGAAAGAAAACAAGTGGAAATTCTGCTCCCCCACACATCCTGCACTGCAAAAAGATAACAAGTAGCAGGAGATACTCAATTATGATGCAGTTCAACAAAGAAAACAAATTAAAATAAAGAGATCCTGGGTGGTTAAATACAGAGTCTCCTTTGTAAACAGCAATGGATGATGATGATGACTGTTACCAGGGCTCTGTATGATCATTTTCCCAATTCTTTGGAGTACTTTTTTCAAAAGCACTCTTGTAGAATTAACTGGAAACATAGACTACCCTTCACTCATTACATGGGAAATGGGATTGAATTCTCTTCTTGGCAATGGAAAATACTTGATGCATGCAAATAAGAAAACTCTTACTTTTTCCTTCTCTCCTTGCAGGGGGAGCACGCGTCCTAAGCTTGCCAGGAAGCCCTGCTCTCCTGCCCTGGGCACCTCCGTTCCACTTGACCTTTTCCACCTGTACTCCCTGCATTTTGGTCTCTTGCTCTGGTCTTTAGCCTTCGCATTTTCCTGATGCAGCCCAAACCAGTCACCTCTCTCCTAGATTCATTCTCTGTGCTCAGACCATCTCTTTCCTTTAGTTCCTGTGACGAAAGAAAATGTATTTGGCCATTGGAGGTATAAGCAACAAAGAATCCAACCCACACAGCTTTATATATGCAGGTTCTCTATATGCTCTTCTTGTGAACAGCGTGGGGAGAGGAAAATAGACTTGGCAAGAGGACTAAGAACAGAATCGGACAGTTATCTGATGGCTTTCCTAAGGTTCAGGAAAGAACAGTGGTCCCTTTGTTGGGCCTTTCTGTTGTTTCTTTGTTTTCAATTTCACTGATTTCTGCTTTTTATTTTCTATTTTCTTCTGTTTCCTTTGGAATTCTTCTTTTTTTTTTTTTTTTTTTTTACTTCTTGTATTAGGCTCATGCTATAACAAACAACCCCCAAATCTCAGTGACTTTACACACTAAGAGTTTACATTTTCCTCATCAACGTCCACTTTGGATGTTCCAGGTTGGGTAATGCTCTGTGGCTGTCCTCTAGCTAGTGACTCAGGGACTTGGGTTGCTCCTGGTGTCTCCAGCGTGGTTATGGTGTCTCCAATTTTGGACTTCAAGGTGACCCAGGCATTATCCACCTGGTAAATTGGGAGATGGGTCCCAGGAAAGTGAATACTCAACCAACCTGGCCTAGAAGTGACAATAATAAGGCCATGTGTGGTGGCTAACAGTCAGAAACCCAACAATTGGGAGATTGAGCTGGGAGGATTGCTTGAGACCAGAAGTTCAAGACCAGCTGGGCACCATAGTGAGACCCTATCTTTCAAAAAAATATAACAACCAGGCTTGGTGGTGTACACCTGTGGTCCCAGCTATTTGGGAGGCTGAGGTGGGATAATCGCTGGAGCCCAGGAGTTTGAGGTTACAGTAAACCAGGTTTACACCACTGCACTCCAGTCTGGATGACAAAGCAAAACCCTCATCTCACAAAAGAAAAGAAATGACAATCACAGCCACTGCAACTTCAAGGAAGGTTGGGAGAGTGATATTGGTCAGGATGAGTGGTCTCTGACATGTTTCTTAAGTTGGATATTTAGCTTATTAATTTACAACTCTTTTCTAATATTAATACTCAAGACTACATTTTCCCCAAAACATTTATTTTGCCATGTTTTGCAAGGCTTGGTATATGGCATTTTCATTACTCTTTAATTCTAACTAATTTTTAATTTCTATTATGATTTATTATTTGATCTATGAATCATTTTGAAATTTGTTTTTGTAACCTTGGATAGGGAAAGATTTCTTATAGAAGACAGTAAAAGGGCTGAGTACAAAAGAAAAGACTAATAAATTCAGCTACGCTAAAGCTTAGAACTTTTCCTCATCATAGGACACCTTAAAGAAAATTTTTAAAAAGTTACAAATTGGGAGAAGATTAAAAAGTCCTAAGGGTTAGCAGTAAGAATATATACATATAATTATTACAAATTGGCAAGAGAATGACAAATCAACACAAAAACGAGCGAAAAGGCATTTTGCAAAAGAGAATCAGATGGTCCATATGCATGTGAAGCGATTTTCACTAGCGAGCAGGGAAAGTGAAGTCAAAATCACAGGGAGATGCTGCTCTCTACCTGACTGGCAAAACTGAAATGATTAGAAAATACTTGGAGGATATCCTAGAACGATCAGTGGGATCTGGTATATTATGTGTATGAGGTTAAATTAGCAGTGAGTATTCACATACCCTATGACTCAGCAGTTTCATTCCTAGATATATATCCTGGGGATTAGAAACACTAAGTAGGTGGGTGCAGTGGCTCACACCTACAATCCCAGCACTTTGGGAGGCCAAGGCAGGTGGATCACTTGAGGTCAGGGGTTCGAGACCAGACTGGCCAACATGGTGAAACCCCATCTCTACTAAAAATACAAAAATTAGCCAGGCGTGGTGGCGGGCACCTGTAATCCCAGCTACTTGGGAGGCTGAGGTGGGAGAATCGCTTGAACCCCGGAGGTGGAGGTTGCAGTGAGCTGAGATTGTGCCACTGTACTCCAGCCTGGGCGACAGAATGAGACTCCATCTCCAAACAAACAAACAAACAAACAAACCACTAACTACCTCAGAGGACAATGCTAACATTTCAAAGTGTTCTAGAAGTTGGTTTCCCAGAAAAGAAGTCAGGCTCTTGTGGAGCTCCATGGAAACTGGCAATGACCCATGACTTAGGGCAGTGAAGTCTCATCAAATGCAAGGCTTAGACCCCATTCTGCTGCTGCCGTCAGGGGAGGCAAGGGCTCCTTGTTCCCCAAACATCGATGCTAATGAAGCAAATCCTGCTGCTAGTTTGCAGTGTTGCCTAGCTGCAAACACAACCTCTGATGATGCCAATAGAGAGGCTGGTGCCTCCTTCATCATAGAGCTTACAATCCCCACAAGGTTTCGGGACCCTCTTTTGGATTCTGAGGGTGGGCTCCTTTAGCCATCTGTTTAGTGCCCCAGATGAAATTGACAGCAGGGGACCTGCACTCCTTCTACTGCTTTTTCTCAAGGCATCCCCAGCAGAGGGTCTCTAGGGTGCCTGTTATGTGTGCTGTTTGGCCATCTGCCTTTGTAGAACACAGCCCAATGTCTGTTGGCAAAAAAAGGTTTACATGTGGTATATTCTTACCATGGAATATTCTGCAGCAAGTAAAAATGAATAAATTACAGCTATTCATATCAAAGAGATGGATTTTATTAATATAGTGCTGAGTGGGAAAAAGCATCAGAAGACAACATATAATGGTACACTCTTTTTTTTTTTTTGAGATGGAGTCTCTCTCTGTTGCCCAGGCTGGAGTGCAGTGGCTCCATCTCGGCTCACTGCAACCTCCACCTCCCAGGTTCGAGCGATTCTCCTGCCTCAGCTGCCCGAGTAGCTGGGACTACAGGTGCGCACCACCACACCAAGCTAATTTTTGTATTTTTAATAGTGACGGGGTTTCACCATGTTGGCCAGGATGGTCTCTGTCTCTTGACCTCATGATCCGCCTGCCTCAGCCTTCCAAAGTGCTGGGATTACAGGCATGAGCCACCATGCCCAGCTACATTCTTTTTAAACATTCAGAAACAGGTAAAACTGAAAAATATATAATTTAGACACAACACTTATGTGAAAAGACCAAGTTTAGGATGTTGGTTACCTGTGACGGGGCAGCAAGATTGTGGGAAAGGAAGGAAGCTACAGGTATGTGACAGAGAGTTGCATTAGCCCAAATCTCTACAGAGCTGGTGTCAAGGATGAAACTATTGGTGTTTTATTTGGAAGATACAAGCCCAAGGCGAGGTGAGAAAAAAGAGAAGGGAAGCAAAAGAAGACACAAAGTGACACAAAATGGCATGAACTAAATTACGTTCTCTCCAAATTCACATATTGAAGTCCTAACCCCAGTACCTCAGAATGTAACTGTATTTGGAGATTCGGTCTTTAAAGAAGTGATTCAGGCTGGGCCTGATTGCTCACGCCTGTAATCCCAGCACTTTGGGAGGCCGAGGCAGGCGGATCATGAGGTCAGGAGATTGAGACTATCCTGGCTAACACGATGAAACCCTGTCTCTACTAAAAATACAAAAAATTAGCCAGTTGTGGTGGCAGGCGCCTGTAGTCTCAGCTACTTGGGAAGTTGAGGGAGGAGAATGGTGTGAACCCAGGAGGTGGAGCTTGCAGTGAGCCGAGATTGTGCCACTGCACTCCAGCCTGGGTGACAGAGTGAGACCCCGTCTCAAAAAAAGAAAAAAAGTGATTCAGTTAAAATGCAGTCATTATGGTGGGCTCAATCAAGGACATGTGGACACAGATATGTATGCACATGGAGGAAAGACCATGTGAAGTCGGGGAGAAGAAAACCAGCTACACACTAAAGAAAGAGGCGTCAGGCCGGGCGCGATGGCTCCCGCTTGTAATCCTAGCAGTTTGGGAGGCCAAGGTGGGCAAATCACTTGAGGTCAGGAGTTCGAGACCAGCCTGGCCAGAATGGTGAAACCCTCTCTCTACTAAAAATATAAAAATTAGCTGGGCGTGGTGGCATGTGCCTGTAATCCCAGCTACTTGGGAGGCTGAGGCAGGAGAATCACTTGAACCCGGGAGGTGGAGGTTGCAGTGAGCCGAGATGGAGCCACTGCACTCCAGCCTGGGCAACAGAGTGAGACTCCATCTCAAAAAAAAAAAAAAAAAAAAGCCTCAGAAGAAACCAGTGCTGCTGACACCTTGATCAGTCTTCCACCTGCAGAGCTGTGAGAAGACACATTTCTGTTGTTTAAGCTACCCAGTCTGTGGTATTTTGTTATGGCAGCCCCAACAAACTAATACACAAAATGATGCACAGCCTTGCTGACTATCACTTCAAAATGAGCCAAACAGAGACACAACGGGGCACTAGGCAATTGTGTCCCACTCAGTGAAACTTCTCTGGAAAGCTGTAAGGTATAGTCCAGAGACGAGAGGAAGGGAAGAAGAAATTTATCCTCTGGGAGCCTCCCATTTCCTGTCTCCTAATAGTGAGAATTTTTCCATGAGAAGTTAATGTCCCTATACTTTCACAATGTGTTACCTTCTTTTGTTGCTGTTCAAGATGCCAAGCCTATGCCCTGCAGTGTGGCCTTTTGTCAGAGTCCATAAAGGGCAGGAGGAACTAGGAACTCTGGGTGTGTATGGTTGGCCCAGCTGCAGAGTTGACAGTCAAGGGGATAACCAACTCTAATCAGCCTAGAAGGGAACTTGGTAGCCTAGGTGAGTTGGTCAGGCACAGGCTGGGGCTAAGGCAAGGCAAATGGCTGAGGTCTAAGACGTAGGTGGTGCTGAGAAAATGTGGGGAAGCATACAAGATTTGTGACTGATGAGTAATATTCTAGTTCTTGGTTAGGATAATGGGTACATGGGGTGTTCCTTTTATTATTTTCAAAATGAAATGAAATAAAAGAGGGATATGTGTGGACTGATGATGATGTATAATGAATCAAAGATTATGATTAACTTAACTCTGCATACTTGAGTTTGTTTATTTTTCTATAAAAGGAGAATAGCAATATTAAGTCTTACAGCCCAGGAATGAAATGTCTTTCCATTTGTTTGTGTCTTCTTTAATTTATTTCATCAGTATTTTGTAGTTTTCAGTATACAAGTCTTTCACCTCCTTAGTTAAGTTTATTCCCAAGTATTTTATTATTTTGGGTGCTATTATATATGGGATTGTTTCGCTAATTTCCTTTTTAGATAGTTCTGTGTTAATGTATAGAAATCGCAACTGATTTTTGTATGTTGATTTTGTATTATGCAACTTTATTGAATTCCTTTATTCTAACATGTTTAAAAAATGGAGTCTTAGGGCGTTCTATATATGAGACGATGTCATCTGAAGACAGGGACAAAACAATTCTACAGTCCATATGAAACCACAAAAGACCATGAATAGCCATATCAATCTTGAGAAAGAAGAACAAAGATAGAGGCATCACATTGCTTGATTTCAGAATGTATAACAAAACTACAGTAATCAAAACAGTATGTTACTGGCCAACAGATAGACATATATGTGAATGGAACAGAATAGAGAGTCCAGAAATAGATTCACATGTATATTGTCAACTGATCTTCAACAATGGTGCCAAGAATACATAATGGGGAAAGGATAGTCTCTTCAACACATGGTATTGAGAAAATCAGATATCCATGTGCAAAAGGGGGAAACTGGACTTTTATCTTACATCACATACAAAACCCAACTCAAAATGGATTAAAGATTTAAACATAAAATCTGAAGCTGTAAAACTCCTAGAAGAAAACATAGGCGAAAAGCTCTTTGACATTGGTCTTGTCAATGATTTCATGGATATGACCCCCAAAACACAGGCAACAAAAACAAAAATAAGCAAAGTTACATCAAATCACAAAGCTTCTCACAGCAAAGGCAACAATCAACAGAGTGAAAAGAAAACCTATGAAATGGGAGAAAGTATTTGCAAGCGATGTATGTGATAAGGGTTGACATCTAAAATATGTAAGGAATTCATAACTCAATAGCAAAAAAAAAAAAACCCAATTTTTACAAATGGGCCAAGGATCTGAATAGCATGGGCTCTGGCATCTTGAACAGCAATGAAAGAAGCTAGTTGACACATTGCGAGAGTATAGGGATATTAACCTCTCATGGGCAAATTCTCATCAATGAGAGGAAATGGGAGGCTCCCAGAGGATAAAAGGTGCTCATCATCACTGATCATCAGGGCAATGCAAATCAAAACCACCGTGAGATATCAACTCTCACCTGTCAGGATGGCTATCATTGAAGAACCAAAACACAACAAATATTGGTGAAGAAGTGGACAAATTGGAACCCTTGCATACTGTTGATGGGAATGCAAAATGGTGCAGCCACTAAGGAAAACAGTATGGGTGTTCCTAAAAAATGTAAAAATAGAACTGCCATGTGACCTAGCAACCCTATTTCTGGATATTTATCCAAAAAAATTGAAATCAGGATCCCAAAGAGGTATTAGCATTTGCAGGTTCATTGCCGCATTATTCACAATATCCAAGATACACAAACAATCTAAGCGTCCATCGGCGGAGAAATGAATAAAGAAAATGTATATACACATACAATGGAATACTATTTAGCTTTTAAAAAGAAGGAAATTCTGCAATTATTCAACAACATGGATAAATCTTAAGGACATTACGCTAAGTGAAATAAACTATTAACAGAAAGACTAATATGGCAGGATTCAATTTATGTGGGATATTTAAAATAGTCAACTTCATAGAACCAAAGAGTGAAATGATGGTGGCCAGGGGCTGAGGGGAGTGGGGAGTTACTAATCAATAGGCATAAAGTTTCAGTGAAGTCAGGTGAATAAGCTCTAGAGATTTGTGGTACAATATTGCACCTATAGTCAACAATACTGCAGTGTACACTGAACAATTTGTTAAGATAGATCTCACCTTGTGTTCTTACTGAAAAAAAAAAAGAAAGAAAATAGAACAGAAAAGCAATTGGATTTTAATTCTGGAAACTCCTTTCTCTTCCTTACATCCAGGAAATTTGCTGTTTATTTTGAAAAGCAAATTTAAACCTATTTAAGGGAGAGAGAGCTCTTGTAAAAATTCATTTATTAGTTCTGGACCAATGTTATTTATAAGCTATTATTTCAAATGATAAAAAATAAATGCATAATACATTTGATGATAGAACATTTTTCTTTTTAAATAAGGCCTGATTTTTCAAAAAGCATTGAATATGTTTGTTTCTAATTTCCAAAGCTTGACAGTTTCTTATGTTTCATTAAAAGCAGAAGAATTGTTATGTATGCATGTTCATATCACTTTTGAATGACTCATGTGGCTACAAATGCAGCAATCTGTGGTTATCATGGACCATGAACTAGATAAACATTCCTGCTTTTCTTAACATTCCTTTCCTGTGCCTCATTAACTAATGTACATAATAAAACATCTTTATTTCATTTTCTTTGCAGCAAAATGCCTAATACATTTTATTAGTTATGTAAAATTGTGCACTCTGCGGTTAGCTTATTATTTTCTTTTGTAGTTTCCTTTTCATTTGGAAAAGAGTGAAATGCTAGATGCATTGATGTGCAGGCTAAAAAAATCAGTCATGCAAAGTATGGTCATGGTCCCTGCAGGAAACAGATGATACCCTCAAACAGGGTCATCATTGAGTGTTGTGAAGGGGTTATTTACAAAAGTGTAGATAGATTTGGAGCTTCCACAAGGGACTGGTGAAGCATCCCAGCACCAGCAAGGAGGAGTGAACGGGTTAGGGGAGGAAGAGGTCCCTGGAACCCAGGGTGAACGCAGCAATAGAAGGGAGGGGATCCGCATTAGGAGTCATGATCTTTGGGTTTGTTTGTTTGTTTGTTTTTTAGAGACAGGGTCTTGCTCTGTTGCCCAGGCTGGAGTGCAGTGGTGCAATCACGGCTCACTGCAGCCTCAAACTTCTGGGCTCAAGCAATCCTCCTGCCTCAGCCTCCTGAGTAGCTAGGAATGTAGGCATGCACCACCATATACAGCTAATTTTTAGAATTTTAGTAGAGACAGGGTCTTGCTAAGGGGCCCAGGATGGTCTCAAACTCCTGAGCTCAAATGATCCTCCCAAGGTGCTGGGATTACTGGTGTGAGCCAGAATTACAGTGGACCGGGCTGGTCTTGAACTCCTAGGCTCAAGGGATTCTCCTGCCTCAGCCTCCCAAAGTGCTAGGGTTACAGGTGTGAGAGCCACCATGCCCGGCCAATAATTCTTTTTCAACTAGAATGAAGTAATTTACCCTTCATGTTTTGATAATTGCCCTATTTATTTGGAGACTTTTTCTTTTTTCCTTTGGAATGTTAAGTTTTGATAACTTAATTCCATTTTGTTTTATTTTATTTTATTTTTGAGACAGTCTTGCTCTATCACCCAGGCTGGAGTTCAGTGGCAGGATCTCGGCTCACTGCAACCTCTGCCTCGTGGGTTGAAGCCATTCTCCTGCCTCAGCCTCCCCAGTAGCTGGGATTACAGGAATTCACCATCACACCCAGCTATTTTTTGTATTTTTAGTAGAGATGGGGTTTCACCATGTTGGCCAGGCTGATCTTGAACTCCTGACCTCGTGATTCACCTGCCTTAGCCTCCCAAAGTGCTGGGATTACAGGTGTGAGCCACCATGCCCAGCTGCACTTAATTCCATTTTACAAGAGAAGAGCTCTACAGCGGAAGCTTGCCTTTGGACTTGTGGGCTGTCCACTGTCATTTTGATCCCAGGGATGGACAGATGAAGGGTAGTGGAGAAAATGTGTGCTCTGTGCTAGGGAAGAGGGACACAGGAGGGAGAAATAGAAATACGGAGACCCAGGAAATTGTGGATCTTTGTATTTATGTAATCCATAATGCTGTTTTTTGGGGGGGGGGGGTTTGTGGGTTTTTTTTTTTGTTTTTTTTTTTTGAGACAGTGACCTGCTCTGTTGCCCAGGCTAAAATGCAGTGGTACAATCATAGCTCACTGTAACCACAAACTCCTGGGCTCAAGCAATCCTCTCACCTCAGCTTTCAGAGCAGCTGGAACTATAGGCATGCACCACCACACCTGGCTATTTTATTTTATTATTTTTGTAGAGACGGGGTCTCATTATGTTGCCCAGGCTGGTCTTGAACTAGTGTTGGGAATACAGGTGTGAGCCACCACACCTGGATTCATAGTGCTTTTAAATCGCTTTTACATGGAAGGTTTTAGGACTGTCAGTCCGTAGTGTAGAAAGATGCCTTCAGGAAATTTGGACATTTCATTCAAGAGGGAATAGACTAAGTGATCTGCTTCATAAATCTAGCAGCTTATGTATTGTGTCTTGTTCTTTCCAAAGAATTATGAGTGAGTTGAGGGACGGGGAGGAGACACTGGGGAGTTGCCTCATCTAAATAGGATAAAAACGATCAAGTGGGTCCTTAGTTTGGATGGGGTAGGATGATGTTCTTTTCTTCCTCAGCAAAAGAAGAAAGGCCCTAGGATGTAGGAAGCAGAGCCCATTTAGAAGGAACCATTGCTTCTGCTGCTCTTCTTTCCCAGAAAGGTGGTGGCTCTCCTGACACCAGGACAGTGGCTCCTGGCTCTCCAGGCTGTGCTGCAGTGTAGGACCCTGCTGTGCAAATCACCAGGGGCTGAGATTTGCTCCAGGTTGCTGTTATACCACAAAACTGGAACACTGGCAAAATGAAGGGTCTAAGACCTGAGAGTGAAGCCTCAGCAGACTCACAGTGCATGCTGATTGGATTCGGAGAAAACTTAGAACTATTCTCTGAACAGACAAGATTGGAAAGGACAAACATTCCTGCTCCCAGGAAGGTAATGCCAGGTTGGGGAGAGGGGAGGAAAAAGGGAAAGAGTGAGGAAGAGACCTTCTGATCGAGTCCCTGTTCCACAGGATTTTATGTCTTTTATGTATTTTTATTATTTATTTATTTATTTATTTTTGAAGACAGAGTCTGTCTCTGTCATCCAGTCTGGAGTGTAGTGGCGTGATCTCAGCTCACTGCAACCTCTGCTTCTCGGATTCAAGCAATTCTCCTGTCTCAGCCTCCCGAGTAGCTGGGATTACAGGCACATGCTACCATACCCAGCTAATTTTTGTGTTTTTAGTAGACAGGTTTCACTGTGTTGCCCAGGCTGGTCTCGAACTCCTGACCTCAAGTGATCCGCCCTCCTTGGCCTCCCGAAGTGCTGGGATTACAAGGCATCATCCACTGAGCCTGCCAATTTTATGTCTTATTGCAAGTTCCTAAGGGGCATGCATATAACAACTCACTGCTCAGCCTAAAAGGTTTTCCACGCTGAGCAGAGACCTGCTGATTCCTTGAGGGCAAGATCTTTGCTTTCTTGATACCTCCCAGAAACCTGGGAAAATGTCTGGCACATGCTACTGGTAGATTCTCTCATAAATTCATCTTGAATTTGATTATTCATGAGGAACAGAGGGCTTAGAAAATATTACTAGATGGTGTCGATGCACCTTGTGGAAAAATCCACTTGTTCTTCAGGGGTTTGGCAACTAAACAAAGGTTTATATAAATATTTTTAAACTACTGCTCTGTTGAACTTTGCCAGGTTTCTGGTTGCTAACCTAGCAGTAACAAGGCTAACATTGTTTTATAATTAGACTTATGGCTCTCTACCTCGTTAGAAGATCATAAGGAAATTCCAGAAACTCTGTGGGTGCTGTCATTTTGGGCATTCCAGAAGGCAAAGTGAAACAAAACAAAACAAAAGGTAGTTTAGCATTATTCTATGATGACAGTTAGTGTCAGAAGTAGAAGGGCAAGAAAACTCTTCATTGAATGGAGCTTATTATTCTGTGACAATTAATAAAACCCAAGGACTCTCAAGAGGAAAACTTCAGAGCCTTTGAATAACAACTTTCTGCCACAGCCCCCCATTGTTTCTATCCACGCTGTTGTTCTTCACTCTTTAGTTATGAAATGTAATTTCATTTTTGGAATCTCAAAAAAGATGCTACGGAGTCTCTCAGAGCCTAATCTGAGCTGAGGAGGCTGCCTGTTTAAAAAACAAAACAAAACAAAAACAAAAACAACAAAAACAAAAAACACCATCAGCCCCCAAACTGTCAGATTTCTTGCCAAAAAAAAAAAAAAAGTGAAATCCATCTTCTTCTGCATAGGAAATGTAAAAGTTTACTTCCTGCCCTTTATTCAGTGCATTGGAGTAGTTTACAAACTATCAAGCTTCAGATTTGGGGATATTTGGCTTTGTACCCTTTCAAATGAAAAATATTTGCTGAGAGTGGTGGTCAGCCTTCGGGGGACCCCCAGTGATCCCCATCACTTGGTGTTCATTTTCTTCTGTAGATTCTCCCACATCGAATAGAGATGACCTGTGACACCAACAGGGATATTGTGGAAATGACAGGATATTGTGACTTTCGAGGAAGGTTTTAAAAGATGCTGAGGTGTCTGCCTTGCTCTCACAGCCGCCATGTTGTAAGGATACTCAAGCTGTCCTCTAGAGAGGGCCACGTGCTGGGGAGCTGAGGTTTCTCACTACACCCAGCACTGACTTGCCAGCCATCAGAGTGAGCCAGCGTGGCAGGGGATCCTCTATCCAGTCAGGTCTTTGGCTGACTGCAGCCCCATTTGACATCCGAACCTTGTATGAGGTCCCTAGTTACTCAACTAAGCCATTCCCCAGTTTCTCACTAACAGAAACGGGGTGAGAAAATAAATGTTTGTTGCTTTTTCACTCTGTTAAATTTCAGAGGATTTGTTACACAGCAATAGATAACTGATATGCCAGGTGATGGTTATTAACTAGAAATCAGAATTAGTCATCAAAAATAGTCAGAATAGGAGCTGATACGAGGCACAAATTCAGATAATAAAGTTCTTCATTGCGTCATTTTTGCTAGAATTTAGAAAATCAGAGCTGATTCAAAGAGATTAAATTTGGGGAGACTGATTTGTAAGCAGTGCATGAGGTACCGCAGGTCAGGAATGAATGAAGGAAGAGATAAGAAATTCGACGGGGAGAGATGTTTACTTTTTAAATGCCTGCAGCCAGTCTTATCAATGACTAAGGCTTTGCGGGTAGATCCAGGTAACCAAGGACCAATTCTTGAGAGTAAAGTGCCAAGCAATAGGTGGTCAGCTGAAAAATGCAGAGGTCAGACTTTCAACTGCCGCTGCCACTCACCACAGGCCTGGTCGTGGGAGAAACTGCTACTGGGTCAGAAGAGCCCTGAAAAACATTCTCAGTTTGCCAAGGCAGAATTTCAGGTACCCACTACCAATTATTTGAATCTACGCCAGGTTTAACAAACCTTCCCTTCCCTCCCCTCCCCTGCCCTCCCCTGCCCTCCCCTGCCCTCCCCTGCCCTCCCCTCCCCTGCCCTCCCCTGCCCTCCCTTGCCCTCCCTTCCCCTCTCTTCCTTTTCTTTTCTTGAGAGGGAGTCTCGCTCTGTTGCCCAGGCTGAAGTGCAGTGGTATAATCTTGGCTCACTGCAAGCTCCACCTCCCAGGTTCAAGTGATTCTCCTGCCTCAGCTTCCTAAGTAGCTGGGATTACAGGCGCACACCACCACGCTGGCTATTTGTGTGTGTGTGTGTGTGTGTGTGTGTGTGTGTGTTTAGTAGAGGCGGGTTTTCACCGTGTTGGCCAAGGTGGTCTCGATCTTCTGACCTCGTGATCTATCCGCCTCAGCCTCCCGAAGTGCTGGGATTACAGGCGTGAGCCACTGTGCCCGGCCACCCTTTTCAAGGGTAGCAGAATTGAAATAGGATTTGTTGTAATCTTTCCTTAGAATATAGCAAGAAGGAAAGATACTCTCCTAAGGCCAGAGGCAAGAATTAGGAAACTGCAGCCTTCCACTCAGAGCAGGATGGGCTCCTAGATACCACGAGGAACCCTCTCCTGCTACGCTACCACTTAATCTTGGACAAATCATTGTGAAGATATTTTATAAGGCATTGCTGGGTTTGTTAGGAATATACGGGACTAACAACCATGAGCTGAGAGAGATGCACCCTAAATGAACAGAAGAGCCAGTGCTCCTGAGGACAAATTCTTACTGCAACTCTGGGATGATGCGCCTTGCTCAGACAACACAAAGACTCACACATAAGACTCAATGGGGCAAAAGTGGCCCTATTTGCAGAGTAGTCATCTAACTCTGTAAATGCAAATACATCTGTTGGATGCAAATCCAGCTAACTCTGTAAATGCAAATACATCCGCTGGAAGAGGTTTAGAGGGAAGAAAGGGGATGGGATCAAGCAGGAACACATACGTAGCTTCAATGACAGCATAATATTCTACTTCTTGGTTTTTTTTTTTTTTTTGAGACAGCATCTTGCTCTGTCACCCAGGCTACAGTGCAGTGATACAGTCTTGGCTCACTGCAACCTCTGCCTCCCGAGTTCAAGTGATTCTCCTGCCTCAGCCTCCCAAGTAGCTGGGATTACAGGTGGATGCCATCACACCCAGTTAATTTTTGTATTTTTAGTAGAGACGGGGTTTCACCATATTGGCCAGGCTGGTCTCGAACTCCTGACCTCAAGTGATCCACCCGCCTTGGCCTGCCAAAGTGCTGGGATTACAGGTGTGAGCCACCATGCCCAGCCAATCTTCTACTTTTTAAGTTGCAGGGGGGATTGTGTGTGTACCTGCATCATTGCTTACATACGTTTTGCATCCACGTGTAACTTTTTTGGTTTAAATCAACTACAGAGGAATAAATAAATAAAACAACACAGTCTGCCTCCCTTACCAGCTTCTCCAAAGAATCCAGAAGACAGATTTAAAAGTTTGGGCAGGGGGGATCAGATGTAGGAGTTCAATTGCCTGGTTCAAATTGCTCAGCGTTAAAAGTGATTTTCTTTACTTGCTACCCTGACTACTTCCCTTCTGGGGAAAAATAAAACTCCAGGGTGGGGAGAGGAACCCGAACATAACAGGGCCAGTGTGATAGGGCTCCCTAACTGAGGGTAAAGGTCTTGAAAACTGCTGAGACAGACAAAGTTTATAGTTGGGAGATTTACTTAAAAGAAAAAATAGAGTTGGGGAACAAAGAAGCCTTGATTTAGTAATAATGGGAAATGTACTATTTATTTCCTTCCACTCCCCCTGCTTGACAGTCAGGCTCTCACTTCCTTACAGTTGTCAGGAGTTGTGTATTTGCTTCATTCTGTTGTATGACAAAGGTTAGTGAGAAACTTGTTTATTTTTTTGCACTTAGTTCCATTCAAATAAATATTCGGATTTTATGATTCCACCTCAACAACCCTGAACTCCTCTGTGCCTTATATCTTTTTAAAATTTAATTAAAAATTTTTTTTTTGAGACAGAGTTTTGCTCTGTCACCCTGGCTGGCGTGCAGTGGTGTGATCTTGATTCACTGCAACCTTCGCCTCCTGGGTTCAAGCGATTCTCCTGCCTCAGCCTCCTGAGTAACTGGTTTACAGGCCCCTGCCACCGTGCCCAGCCAATTTTTGTATTTTTAGTAGAGATGGGGTTTCACCATGTTGGCCAGGCTGGTCTCGAACTCCTGACCTCAACTGATTTGCCCTCCTCGGCCTCCCAAAGTGCTGGGATTATAAGCGTGAACCGCCGCACCTGGTGCCTTATACCTTTTAACTCTCTTCTTTCTCATGTACACTATATGAGTATAGAACACTAACAAGTATAGTTCTGAAATCATAATTTTTGCATCATCTTTTCTTTTTAAAAAATCTTCCTATAAATTGTCTTGCAGTCTCAGATATTAATAATGAGAATTCAAAATGATGCAGCTCCTATGGAGAATAATTTATCAATATTTAGTGTAATTATCCTTGCATTTACCTTTTGACCTGGCAATTGCATTTCTAGGAATTTATCCCAAAGCTGCAAAGGACAAAAGCATAAAATGCAACAAATATGCTCAATGCCATCGATTGGCAGTGTTATTTATGATAGCATTATAATAGAACTAGAAATATCATTAATGTCCACCAATAGGGGACAGTTTGAACAAACTACAGTGCATCCATATGATGAAGTTTTAAGAAGTTTAAGGAGGAATGAAGATCTCGCTGTACTGCTATGGTATAATTTCCTGATATATTTAATATCCCAATTTATTAAGTGTATTTATATACTTACTATATAAAAATTTATATATATATATAAATTTTTATATAGTAAGTATATAAATTTATTTATTTATTTATTTATTTATTTATTTATTTTTTTTTTGAGACAGGATATCACTATGTTGCCCAGGTTGGAGTGCCAGTGACACTATCATGGCTCACTGCAGCCTTGACCTTTCAGGCTGAGGCAATCCTCCCACCTTAGCCTCTCAAGTAGCTGGGACCACAGGCATGCACCACCACGCCCGGCTAATTTTTAAATTATTTGTAGAGATGGGGGTCTCCCTATGTTGCCCAGGCTAGTCTCAAACTCCTGGTGTCAAGCCATCCTCCTGCCTCAGCCTTCCAAAGTACTGGAATTATAGGTGTGACCCACTGCACCTGGCCAAGCATTATATATATACACACATATATATATATACACACATATATATACACACATATATATATACATATATATATACACACATATACACACACACATATATATACACATATATATACATATATATACACACACATATATACGTGTATGTGTATATATATATACATGTGTGTATATATATATATATATATATATTTTTTTTTTTTTTTTTTTTTTTCAGTTGAAGTCTCCCTCTGTTGCCCAAGCTAGAGTGCAGTGGCACGATCTCGGCTCACTGCAACCTCCACCTCCTGGATTTAAACGATTCTCCTGCCTCAGCCTCCCGAGTAGCTAGGACTACAGGTGTGTACCACCATGCCTAGCTAATTTTTGTATTTTTAGTAGAGATAGGGTTTCACTATGTTGGCCAGGCTGGTCTTGAACTCCTGACCTCAGGTGATCTGCCCGTCTCGGCCTCCCAGAGTGTTGGGATTACAGGCGTGAGCCACCACGCCCAGCCCCAAGTCTATTTGTAAAAAGTATGCCTGCTTCCTTTCCATTTCACTCTCCTTTGATGAATGAATTTTCATTCATCCGTGAGACTAGGATGAGTGGTGGTGGTCTTCTCAGGGAAAACTTTTCCTTTCCACTTGCTCTCTGGATAATGATAAGGCCCCTCCGCTTTGCTGTGGAAATATGCTGTCTCCATCCCTGTCACTGCATTCCCTGCATTGCACCACAATGATCTGTTTGTGTGTCTCTCAGCTAATGCATGTGGCTAATCTTTGAGAAAAGGGCCCTCAACTTGTTCATAACATGCACAGTTAATAAATTCTCACTGAATGAAGGAAAGAATAAACAAAGAATGTCAATTAAGGAGTTTGAACTTTATCTGAGGGACTGGGGACCAAGGAGAGGATGTTTTTTTAAAGCAGGGCAATCAATGATAGTACTTTTTTTTTTTTTTTTTTTTTTTTTGAGGCAGAGTCTCACTCTGTCGCCCAGGCTGGAGTGCAGTGGCGTGATCTCGGCTCACTACAAGCTCCGTCTCCCGGGTTCACGCCATTCTCCTGTCTCAGCCTCCCGAGTAGATGGGACTACAGGCGCCTGCCACCACGCCCAGCTAATTTTTTGTATTTTTAGTAGAGACGGGGTTTCACCATGTTAGCCAGGATGGTCTCTGTCTCTTGACCTCGTGATCCGCCTGCCTCGGCCTCCCAAAGTGCTGGGATTACAGTCGTGAGCCACCGTGCCCGGCAGATTGTACCTGTTTTTGAAAGATCAAGTATTAATCAGAACAAAGATAGGGGCGTACAAGTTGCAGAGGAGAAAATGCCCGGTCCATTTAGCGGAGGCAGGAAAGTCTCAGAGCAGGTGTGGTTGGAGGTGCGACTTGAGGATTCATTCATTCATTTCTTCAAAACAATTTACTGGACATATACTGTTTGACAGTGCTGTGGCAGAGCCTGAAGTTATAAAGATAAACATGAAAGGTCTCTGAGTTAGACAACCAGATAGTGGGAGTGGGGAAGGCATTCTAGGAAGGGGAAATGACCAAGTGGATACACCAGGCTCTGAGAGAGCAAGGCATCGAGCTATTCGCTGCTGAAGTATGAAACAGCCAAGTACAATATGTAAGACTAGACTAGGGGCAGGGTGGAATCCCTAAAATCCCTCATTTTAAGACTGAAAACCTGCATGAAAATGGCAGCGACACTACAGCTGTATTCAGCTTGCTATGAGAAAAGGTACTTACTTGGGCAGTGCCCAGTTTTAGAAATCAGTCTTCAAATTGCAGATAATCATTGTGGGGTGCTTACTGAAATAGTTGTTTTTACTTGTGAAATAATGATGATGATTGCTAAAAAGGAGGCATTCATTTTCAGCATGTGAAAGAGGTCAAGGCTCCAGTGAGCTGTGACTGTACCACGACACTCCAGCCTGGGCAGCAGAGTGAGACTTCATCTCAAAAAAATTAAAATAAAATAAAATAAATAATAAAATAGAGTACAAACAATCCTCACTTTGCACAGTAGTGCAGGGCCACAAAAATGACCATACAAGCCGAAACCGTGCAAAGCAATCTTAATCAATGGGAAAAATTAAGATTCTTCTGTGACCTTTAAAAATTTTGTGTCAAAACTCTCTTATTATCTATAAATGTATCAGGAAATAAAAAATAGTAAAACAAATGTTCATTTAGTATCAGGTAACTTAAAATGTTAGAAACGCTGAGAATTACAGTGTTTTATTTCTCTGTGAAAAATATCGAGATTAGTTTGTACAGTGATGTCTTCTTCTAATCATACAACTTACGATATGAAGCAGCATCTGTTTTGGCACCATCATGCCTCACTGCAGCCTCGACTTCCTGGGCTCAAGCGATCCTCCCACCTTAGCCTCCCAAGTACCTGGGACTACAGGCATGCGCCACCTCTCCTGGCTAATTTTTGTATTTTTTGTAGAGATGGGGTTTTGCCACATGGCCCAGGCTGTTCTCAAACCCCTAGGGCTCAAGTGATCCTCCTGCCTCGGCCTCCCAAAGTGCTGAGATTACAGGTGTGAGCCACTGCACTTGGCCGACAGTGTTTTTTTCTATGTCTTGGAGAATTGTCATACTCCTAAATTTGAATCAACTTCCAACATTTTATCTTTTGTGCTTGAATGAGAAATATTTCTGAGAGTTTCTTTAATGTGATTATTTTTATCTGCCCATGTCACTCCCTCTGGAACATCTTTATGCTTTGTGTCACAACTCATTCCCCACTTATGTGGCCAAGTTCATGTTCACCAAGTTCCTGGGCTGTACATCTAGTCTCTGGAATAGCAGTGGTGTCCACATATCCATGCTTGGCTACTTCTTCCATAACTCCATTTACATTTGATTGGAAAGGCACTGCTAGCCTGATTACTTTTCATTTATTTGCTGCACTTTTATTTTTTTTTACCAGATAATTCCCTCTTTTTAAAAATTTTATTTTTATTTCCTCTTCTACTAACTCGTTTTTGTATATACTTCGCTGTCTGTGTGTGAACTGAATAACAGATGTTCGGTGACCAACAGCAGACTAAGAAGTGACATAATTGGTCACTGATCACGATGTGCATGTTATTTGCATAGTGATTTAGGGACTGAAGAGCTAGGAGTCAAATTTATACTTTATCTAATTACTGTTAATATATTTTAGTAAATGCAATTTGCACCATGTTGCGTTGGGGGACGGGAAACAGAAATTTATGC
Organism: Homo sapiens; assembly: GCF_000001405.40. NCBI lineage: Eukaryota > Metazoa > Chordata > Mammalia > Primates > Hominidae > Homo > Homo sapiens. The sequence goes on along the minus strand of NC_000006.12, from coordinate 154,376,243 downwards.
ATATCAGAACTATGCAGGCTGGGCGTGGTGGCTCACACCTGTAATCCCAGCACGTTGGGAAGCTGAGGTGGGTGGATCACCTGGGATCAGGAGTTCGAGACCAGCCTGACCAACACGGTGAAACCCCGTCTCTACTAAAAATACAAACATTAGCTGGGTGTGGTGGTGCATGCCTATAATCCTAGCTACTTGGGAGGCTGAGGCAGGAGAATTGCTTGAACCCGGGAGGTGGAGGTTGCAGTGAGCTGAGATCACGCCATTGCACTCCAGTCTGGGTGACAAGATCGAAACTCCATCTCAAAAAAAAGAATTATGCGGAGTGTGACCTGACAATAAATGACTATAAGATACAAATGGATTCTATTTCTTAAATTTTGATAAAGACTTACTCATACAATAATGTCTTAATTTTTGATAATGACTTAATTAATAAGGTATGACTTAATCAGACAATAATGTCATCTATATATTATCTTAATATAAATTTTAAAATTTATTTGCAAAAAGCTATCATTACTGATAACCTTTTTTTTTTGTTTTTTGAGACAGAGTCTCGCTCTGTCACTCAGGCTAGAGTGTAGTGGTGTGATCTTGGCTCACTGCAACCTCCGTCTCCTGGGTTCAAGCGATTCTCCTGCCTCAGCCTCTCTAGTAGCTGGGACTACAGGTGTGCACCACCATGCCTGGCTATTTTTTGTATTTTTAGTAGTGACAAGGTTTTGCCAGGTTGGCCAGGCTGGTCTCAAACCCCTGACCTCAAGTGATCTGCTCGCCTTGGCCATCCAAACTGCTGGGATTACAGGCATGAGCCACCACACCTGGCCTCATTATTGACAAACTTTTTATTAGATTAATTAATCTGTGGCCGGATGTTGTGGCTCATGCTTGTATTCTCAGCACTTTGTGGGGGCTGAGGTGAGAGAGTCACTTGAGGCCTGGAGTTTGAGACTAGCCTGGGCAACATAGTGAGGCTGCAGTCTCTCTAAACAAGCAAACAAATAAATAAATACACATACATACATACATACATACACACATACATATGCAATCTCTGACACAATTTCTCTCCAAACTTTTTCTTTTTCTGGGTAAAAAATCATCCCAATAGTATCTTCCTACCTATACTCTTAATTTCAAAAGTGGTGGTGAAACTTACAAATATGATCTTAAATTTACATTCAACTTCATGTTAATTTATCCCTAAATGCATTTTGCTGTCAGTCATGGCCTTTTAGTTATAATCTTAGTATGGACTCAGTGTCTCAAACAGAGCCTTTGTCTTCCTTCTCCCAGTGCCTGTGAAGTTCTCTTTGGAAACTCCTGCCAGGGGCAGGATATGCTGGGGCATTCAGGAGAGGGGCTTACACCCTGCAAGAGGGCCGTCTGTTGTTGACAGCACAGCTCTGGGGAACCCATATACCCTTTGGTGGAAACAGAAGTTTGACCTCTTACTCAGTGGTGGTGCTTGGGTGTGTTTCGTGAGCATAGGCATGTACCTGTTTCCTTCCCTCAGAATAGAGTAGCCCAGAGGTATCTGAGGATGAAAGCAGGGAGTCTTCAGAAACATGCTCTGGTATTTTTTTCTCTTTGAAATGCAGAAGTTAGAGCAAAAGTCAAATATGTAAAAACAAAACAAAACAAACAACAACAACAAAAAAACAGGGCTATATTGACCCATCGTGAGGATGTTGATGATAAGGAAGGAGGAACTCTTTTTTTTTTCTTTTCAACTTTTATTTTAGGATCGGGGGTTACATGTACAGGTTTGTTACAAAGGTATATTGCCTGATGCTGATATTTGGGGTAGGACTGAACCTGTCACTTGGTTAGTGAGCCCATAGAACCCAATAGGTAGTTTTTCAGCCTTGCCCTTCTCCCCATCCTGTTCTTGTGTTCTCCAGTGTCTATTGTTCCCATCTTTATGTTCATGTGTCTAGCTCCCATTTATAAAGGCAAATAGGTAGAATTTGATTTTCTGTTTCTATGTTAGTTCACTTAGGACAGTGGCCTTCAGCTGCATCCAAGTTGCTGCAAAAGGACATTATTTTGTTCTTTTCATGGCTGTATGGTATTCCATGGTGTTCTTTTGTAAGGCTGTATAGTATTCCATAGGTTTTTAAAAATCCATTCCACTGTTGATGGGCACTGGGTTGATTCCACGTTTTTGTCATTGTGAATGGTGCTGTGATGAACATATGGGTGCATGTGTCCTTTTGGTAGGATGACTTGATTTTATTTGGGTAAATAGCCAGTAATGGGATTTCTGTCAAACGGTAGTTCAATTCTTAGTTCTCTCTTTTTTTTTTAAGTGTAAGCAAGTTTATTAGAGAAGTAAAGAAATAAAAAAATGGCTACTACCTAGGCAGAGCCACGAATTCTTAGTTCTTTGAGAAATCTCCCAACTGCTCTTCACAGTGGCTGGACAAATTGACATTCCCACCAACAGTGTGTAAGTTTCCCCCTTTCTCTGCAGCCTCACCAGCATCTCTTGTCTTCTAACAAAATAGCTTTTTAACAAAGACATTTCTGACTGGTATGATATGGTATCGCATTGTGTTTTTGTTTTGTTTTGTTTTTGTTTTTGAGACGGGGTCTTGCTCTGTCACCTAGGCTGGAGTGCAGTGGCATGATCTCGGCTAACTGCAACCCCTGCCTTCCAGGTTCAAGTGATTTTCCTGCCTCAGCCTCCCCGGTAGCTGGGATTGCAGGTGCATGCTACCACGCTGGGCTAAATTTTTGTACTTTTAGTAGAGATGGGGTTTCACCATGTTGGCCAGGCTGGTCTCGAACTCCTGACCTCAAGTGATCCGCCCCCCTCAGCCTCCCAAAGTGCTGGGATCACAGGCATGAGCCACTGTGCCCGGCCTCATGGTGGTTTTGATTTGTATTTCTCTGACAATTAGTGATGGTGAGTGTTTTTTCCTATGTTGGCCACATGTATGTCTTCTTTTGAGAGGTGTCCATGTTCTTTGCTCACTTTTTAATGGAGTTATTTGTTTTTTGCTTGTTAATTTAAGTTCCTTATAGATTCTGGATGTTAGATCTTTGTTGGATGCATAGTTTGCAAATACTTTCTACCATTCTGTAGGTTGTCTGTTTACTCCTTTGATAGTTTCTCTTGCTGTGCGGAAGCTCTTTATTTTAATTAGGTCCCACTTCGCAATTTTTGTTTTTGTTGTAATCGGTTTTGAGGACTTAGCTATATAAATTCTTTGGCGAGGCTGATATTGAAAAGAATATTTCCTAGGTTTTCTTCTAGGATTTTTATAATTTGAGGTCTTACATTTAAGTGGGAGGAACTTTTCTAAGTGAGACTTCATTAAAGACTGAGTCTCGCCCTGTCGCCCAGGCTGGAGTGCAGTGGCATGATCATAGTTCACTGCAGCCTTGAACTCCTGGGCTCAAGCGATACTCCCACCTCAGCCCCCTGAGTAGCTGGGAATACAGGTGCTCACCACCATGACTCGCTCATTTTTAAAATTATTGTAGAGACAAGGTCTCGCTATGTTGCCCAGGCTGGTCTTGAACACCTGCCCTCAAGTGATCCTCTTGCCTCGGCCTTCCAAAGTGCTTGGATTACAGGCATGAGCCACCACAGCTGTTCAGCAATTACTGACAGTTAACTGAGAGTTAAATTACTTTAAGTCCTGGGTTTTTTTTGTTTTTTGTTTTTTGTGGTTTTTTTGGCCATACTTGTAGGGGGTGCAGGGGGCGGGGCGTTCCAGGCTCCAGTCCCTTTCGGGGTATGGCCTTCTCTTTCTTCTCTGCTGTCTGGCTGATGCAGCCTGCATGAACCATGAACTTGACTAGTTTGGTTCTGACTCTCAATTTTTATTTCAATTATCATTAACTTATAAAAATCTTCCCCCTTATTTGAGTAAGAGATGTCATGTCAAAAAAAAAAAAAAAGTCGCAGCTACATTTTAGCTCATTTCAATCTTTGCTGCTACCTGGATTTCCTGGCTTCTTGACAACCCATATTTAGCACATATTGAGGCTGTAATTGCATAATCATGGAAAGGTCATAGGTGAACTTTTTGTGCTTCAGAAATTTCCTGAATTACTAGCTGTGTCTCAAAAGGAATTGACAACTTGCATTTTTAGCAAGTATTACAATTTGAATATACCACAATATTATTATAAACAATTAAAAATCCTAAGTAAGTCCAAACAAGAGAGTAGCAAAGACACAAAAGATAATAGGCAGGACCTGTGTAAAAGGGAAAATGAATGATGTTACCATTATGATGCTATGACCATTAGTTCGGTCAGTATTTTATAAGGTGTATATTAGCAGTTTGTAAAGAACTGCTGTTCTGGTATTCTGGTATTCCCAAGTAGCTTAGAGAGGCTATTCTACAGCTATTTCTTCAAGAATGACAGTTTCCAGCCTGTCTTTTTAAATGTCAGAAGAAGTGTCTGATGTAAAGTAGGAATTAGGATATGAGAATCAGAGTCACGTAGAGTTTCTCAAACAAGACCTCTAAGTCTTAAGCAAGAATCGGCATATCAGTTTTACAGATGGAAACATCGTAAGAGCCGTTTGTTTATACTCGGCATAATTAGAGATAATTACGTGTTTAACAATCTTTTAAGCTCATCCTCTGGTTTGTAAGGAACAGAGACTCATGTTAATTACCCAGAAAAAGGAGGCATATTGCTAAGCCACATAAACTAGAACAAGAGCAGAAATGGCATCAGAATGAATTGTGCAACCCAGCTCTCTACTTCTCTCTGACATGGACATCTCCGATTCCCCCTCCTCTTTACTTCTATCCCTAACCCCAACGCCTGATACAGGCACAGAAAACAGCAGTCAAACTAATGTCAATATATGATGTGCTATATTTGCTATCTGAAACAAATATGTACATTGCTTTCTGGTTTTTGTGTGTGACTTGATTAGGCTAAGTCGGCATCCCTGTGGACAGAAAATCCCAAGGCAGAGACAAAATAGAGTTTCTGTGCCTGCAAGGATGGGCCTGCCCCTGGACTGTGGTGAGTTTACACTCTGACACCAAATAAGTTATCCTTCTTGGCAGCTACTGGCCTTTCAGGCTGCACCAAGACAGACAGCACATCATTTTGTTCAAACTCCTGTGTCAGGGAGGCATCTATACATGCCCGTTATATGTGGTTAAATTTTAAAAATATGTTTTAGTTCTTAAAGACATCATCTTGAGTTACTTTGAAAATGACCTTCCCAAATGTCATACCCCTTTGACTGTCAATAAACAAGGCAACACTGTGTCTGTAAAGTTGAAATGGAAAGAAGCAGAAGGAAAAAATAACGAATTTCTATGGTGAAGCTCACAAGTATTTTTACTTCATTTTTCCTGCTTAGATATAAAAATCCTGTTAATTACTCCTCTAAACCTCAGCTCCTTGCTGTTCTGATGTGGGTCTTGGATACATTCCATAGCGTTCCTTATGCATCGGAGGCTGGAACAGAACAAATGAATGGAAGAAACTGTTGTGTCCTTGTGCTTCCGGGCTCCAATGATAACATTTGCCACTTGGTGGCAGTGATCGGTTTAGTCCAGGCTGAGGAGTTCATGTATTTCCTCTGTGATGTGCCTTTTAATCTTAGAAAGCTATTATTATAAATATGATTCATGTGTATTATACATGAATTAATTTGCCAGATAAATGGGCTTTCTTACAAAACTACCCACAGGTAGTGGGTGAAGTCCAATCAAAATAGTCCCTCACAAACGAGAACTGAAGTAGATCAAAGATAATAGGATCCGTTTTTTTTCAAATCAGTGTCTATTATCACCAATTCTGTTCAATAAATGTTTCAGCAAATATTTCTAACGGTGCTGTGCTTGGCTCCCAGGGAGTGATAGATTTGCTTTTTAAAGAGATTGCACAGCCTCTTGGAGGGAGGGGTGGGGGAAATTCACTTGGAGGTGGGGAAACTACCCAGGATGCTATTGCAATTCTGCCAAAAATGAGGCCTGAAGGTGAAGTGAGGCGGCAGGATGGGAAGAAGGAGAGGAGTCTGAGAAATATTAGATAGTTATGGTGATACATCTTGGTGATTTATTTGTGAGGAAAGTAAAGGATCTGGAAAAATCTAGTGTCTCCTCTGCTTTGACTCCATTGATATGAACTGAGCTAGGGATTTGGAAACATTATCTTGTCTTACATTCTGGGGCTTGACGATATCCAGCTACTCATGGACTGTCCAAGCAGGTAAGTATTATGAACTATTAGAATTAGGTAAGGGGAGAAAGTCTGCCCTGGTAGAGTGCTTGTAGGCCGAATAATGCCCCCCTCTACCACCCTGGGAAGATGTCCACATTCTAGAACCTGTGACGATGTTATTTTACATGGCAAAAGGGATGTTGCAGATGGAGAGACTATCCTGGCCTATCCCAGTGGGTCCAGTGTACTCACAAGGGTCCCTGTAAGAGGGAGGTGGGAACATCAGGGTCACAGGAGGAGATGTGACAGGCAATGGAAGCAGAGACCGGAGTGATACGGTGCCATCGGCCATGGCATGCGTGCGGGTAGCTTCTAGAAACTGGAAAAAACAAGGAAATGGATTCTCTCCTGCTACCTCCAGGAGCACAGCCTTGCCAGCCCATTTTAGACTTTGACTTCCAGAATGGTAAAATAATAAATCTGTGATGTTTTAAGCCATTGGTTCCCAACCTTTTTGGCATCAGCAACTAATTTCGTGGAAGACTATTTTTCCACAGACGAGGGTGGAGGAGATGGTTTTGGGAAGGTCGGTCTCATTACATTTATTGTGCACTTTATTTCTATTATTGTTACATTATAATATATAATGAGATAATTATACAACTTGCCATAAAGTAGAATCAGTGGGAGCCACGAGCTTGTTTTCGTGCAACTAGATAGTCCCATCTGGGGGTGATGGGAGACAGCGACAGATCATCAGGCATCAGATTCTCATAAGGAGCGTGCAACCTGGATCCCTCACATGCGCAGTTCACAATAGGGTTCTTGAACCTATGAGAATCGAATGCCGCCACTGATCTGACAGGAGGTGGAGCTGAGGTGGTAATGCCAGCGATGGGAAGCGGCTGTAAATACAGATGAAACTTCGCTGGCTCACCCGCTGCTCGCCTCCTGCTGTGACACCCTGTTCTAACAGGCCAGGGACCAATACCGGTTCGTGGCCCAGAGGTTGGGGATGCCTGTTTGAAGCCACTAAGTTTGCAGTAATTTGTTGGAAGAGCAATAGGAAATTAATACATATCCATTTACATCTTTTTCACTTCTTCCATCTTTACCGTTTCAATAATATTTATGAAGTGCCTACTATGTGCTATGCATTGTGAGATACCTTATGAACAAGATACTGACTCTCACTTCTAGCAGTTTACAGTGTAGGTGGAATTATAATCATGGAAATACCTCAATTTACAATATAGTAAATTGCTGGAACTGTAGAAATTGAAGGAGCTGTGAATAATTCCTCTTTACTTTTTGATGAATCTTTGATCTATAACACTTTGACTTCCTGTTAAACTAACCCTAGCTGCTAGTAACATCTTGAAAATCTGACAAATCATCTATACTGGAAACGCCATTCCAGATACGTACTTGAAAATATTTTCAGCACCTACTTCATTTACCTGTTTCCGATTCTTTGATCATCCAGTTTGTGCAAGTCTCTTCTTACCGTGCCTAAAGGATGATTCATGTTTGCAGGTTCCTGAAGTGCCTGGCTGGTGGCATTTGTGGTCTAGAAGGTGCAGGGAAGCTGATCCTCTTCTTAGGCCCTGTCAATGTGCACGCTCACTTGATGGTTCCCTGGGAGTGCCAGTCTACAACAAGCACAATCTTGTCTGGAAACGTAGATGCTGGGGAGAGAGTGCTTAGCAGAACCGCACTACATGTTGTAAGAAGGGATACACTAGGAGAAGCCTGTATGAGTGACAGATGAGATCCCTGCTGGCCAAAAGGCTGCTTCACTAACAAATTACAGCCTGACTCAGGGCTCATAGGTGTTGGTTGGGTCTTTACATCACCAGCAGAATCTTAGCTCAGTGATATCCTCAAGACCAAGGGAGGTAAAAACAGTCCAGATATTGCGCACCCCTGACATGGGGGTGGTCTTCTGATCATCTCCGAGTAAGGCTTGATTCAGAAATGGTAAAACAAGGATCTTACCCAACAGTATTGCACACTCTCTGGGATTTATTAGCCAACAGGTCAATGTTATGCAACAATCCATGCTAAAATTGCTCCAGTTACTATCTCATTTACTGAAACAGAAAGTGACTCTTTTAAACTTTGGCATTCTTGGGAATAGAGATACATTAGGCTGATACAATAACCCAGTGATATCAGAATGGAGCTGTTGTTTTTCCTAATAAGTGTATGAGGGGCAAAACATAGAGGAACACAGAGGAGGAAAGACTAAAATTTGTACTCTAGTCTTTAATTTTGGAAAATATAACGAATTCAAACAACATTCCTTGGCCATAACGTGCCATACATACTTTGCACCTGGAGGTTTAAAGTTTAAAAGAAAAGAAAGTCCTTGCCTTTGAGAATCTTGTTCCTTTTAACAAAAAGAATATTTCTGCATAGAGGAATGATAGAATGTTAGCAAAATACGTGATGTTCAGAATGCTTTTTCTTCAAGGAGGCTGGCATCCTACGCAACTCACTTTCATACTCCTGAGCTGAACACTGGGGTGAGTCTCAGCCTAGCCCTCAGCTGCCCTTACGTTTTAATTCTCACTTCCTGCTCCTTCATGTTAGCGTCAATTTTCAGCCAATGGTTCTCAGTGCTTCCCTTTCCATCATCAAATATATTTTGAAACACCCTCTTTACTATTTTGAAATAAAATTCATAAATAATATAATCTGCCGACATACAAACCAAACAACAACAACAACAATATAGTGAGATATAGTAATTTGGCTGAAAGCACGAGGCCTGGAGCCGGCCTGGCCAGGTTTGAATCCAGCCTCTGCCGTTTACTACCCATAGGATCTCAGGCAAGTGACCTCTCTGTGCCTTACTTTTCTCATCTCTGAAAAGGGGGTAACAATAGTACCTGCCTCATAGAGTTATTGAGAAGATAGGTAAGCAATATGCACAGCTTTTAGAATGTGTCTGGCACATAATATGCATTCTATATCCATTAGCTCTTACTGCTCTGAATAAAATACAAGGACAGGCTGGGCACGGTGGCTCACGCCTGTAATCCCAGCGCTTTGGGAGGCCGAAGCAGATGGATTACCTGAGGTCAGGAGTTCAACACCAGCCTGGCCAACATGGTGAATCCCCCAATTTACTAAAAATACAAAAATTAGCCGGGCGTGGTGGCGGGCACCTGTAATCCCAGCTACTTGGGAGGCTGAGGCAGGAGAATTGCTTGAACCCCAAAGGTGGAGGTTGCAGTGAGCTGAGACCATGCCATTGCACTGCAGCCTGGGCAACAAGAGCAAAACTCTGCCTCAAAAAAAAGAAATATATATATATATATGTGTGCGTGTGTGTGTGTATTTATATATATAGGAGAAATAAAAGTCATTTAGTAATAAAATAATATCTACAGTATTTTAATGTATAAATGCTTAGGCATGACCACACTAGGAAAACAAATGAAATAGTCAGACTCTAATTTATAATGCATAAGTTTTGATTTAAGGCTAAGATAATATTCAACTAAACATTGGTGATACTTCTAAAAATTATTGGCCAGGCGCGGTGGCTCACGCCTGTAATCCCAGCACTTTGGGAGGCTGAGGTGGGTGGATCATGAGGTCAGGAGACCGAGACCATTCTGGCTAACACGGTGAAACCCTGTCTCTACTAAAAACACAAAAAAATTAGCTGGGCGTGGGGGTGGGCGCCTGTAGTCCCAGCTACTCGGGAGGCTGAGGCAGGAGAATGGCATGAACCTGGGAGGCGGAGCTTGCAGTGAGCCAAGATCAGGACACTGCACTCCAGCCTGGGCGACGGAGACAGAGTGAGACTCCATCTCAAAAAAATAAAATAAAATAAAATAAAAGTAAAAAAAAAATTTAGCATTTGAGGTAACATTTAACTAACCGTATTCATATGTACATGTCAAATCACAGCAAATGTGACAACTACTATCATGCAGATTGTTACAAGACTCATACTATAATCAGGGCTATCATGCTAATGTGATTTCTGAAATGGTCAACAATTCTTTGTAAATTGCCAAACAAAACAAATTTACAAGATACATTTTAAACTATGAAAGTAGCATTCCTGGAACAATGTATATATAGTAAAACGATGCAAAAAGACTTTGTTTCTAGAGTCAGTTAAACCTTCCATACTATTCATATTACGCCTGACCCTTGAATCATATGGGTTTGAACTGTATGGCTCCCGTTAGAGGCAGATTTTTTTTCTGTGAAAGTTACACTGAGTGTGCCTTCCTCTCCTGTCTCCCTTTCATTTTCTCAGCACTTCCACCTCTGCCACCCTGAGACAGCAAGACCAACTCCTCTTCCTTTTCAGCTTATTCAATGAGAAGATGATGAAGATGAAGACTGTTATGATAATCCATTTCCATGTAATGGATAGTAAATACATTTTCTCTTTCTTATGATTTTCTTTTTTTTTTTTTGAGACGGAGTCTCGATCTGTCGCCCAGGCTGGAGTGCAGTGGCGCGATCTCGGCTCACTGCAAGCTCCGCCTCCCGGGTTCACGCCATTCTCCTGCCTCAGCCTCCCGAGTAGCTGGGACTACAGGCGCCCGCTACCACGCCCGGCTAATTTTTTGTATTTTTAGTAGAGACGGGGTTTCACCTTGTTAGCCAGGATGGTCTCGATCTCCTGACCTCGTGATCCGCCCGCCTCGGCCTTCCAAAGTGCTGGGATATGATTTTCTTAATGACATTTTCTTTTCTCTAGTTTACTTTATTGCAAGAATACAGTGTATTATACATGAAACATACAGAATATGTGTTAATTGACTGTTCACATTATCTATAAGGCTTCTGGTAAACAGTAGGCTATTAGCAGTTAAGTTTTTGGGGAGTCAAAAGTTACATGTGGATTTTCAACTACTCAGGGGATCAGTGCTTCTAACCGCCATGTTGTTCAAGGGCCAACTGAATACAGGTATCTGGCCGGATGTTAGAAGTTATGTGGGACATAGGATAATTCTTTGTTATGAAGGACTGCCCTTTGTTTTGAGGGGAATCAAACGCCCTTCACCACTACCACCATCACCACCCACCCATCCTACCCCCTGCAAATGCCAGGAACAACTCTCAATCTCTGTGACAAACAAAATCCCACCAAAATCTCTAAAATGCCCATTAGGAGGCTGTGCCAGCTCAGCAAGAACCACTGAGCTGATCGTCAACCAGCTGATCTGAGCCTCTATTCAGGTTAGCGGTTGTCATCTCCTGCTCCTTCTCCCCCTGTCAGTATCTCGTCTGTGCTTCAAGATCAGGGTCTATGCTGTGTCCTCCATGAAGGACAGCCTGCCAGATTCTCTTCTTCCATCCCCGACCTCTCAGGGTCCTTCTTTTTCTTTTTCTTTTTCTTTCTTTTTTTTTTTTTTTTTTTTTTTTTGAGATAGAGTCTCGTTCTTTTGCCCAGGCTGGAGAACAGTGGCGCGATCTCGGCTCACTGCAACCTCCGCCTCCCAGGTTCAAGCAACTCTCTGCCTCAGCCTCCCGAGTAGCTGGGATTACAGGTGCCTGCCAACACGCCTGGCTAATTTTTGTATTTTTAGTAGAGATGGGGTTTCACCATCTTGGCCAGGCTGGTCTTGAACTCCTGACCTCGTGATCCACCCGCCTCGGCCTCTCTCAGGATCCTTCTACGCAGCATCAGGCACACAGCGTTTGTCACACACTGCCCCTCCTAGTCTGCTTGGTTGTCTACACTCTCCTCCTTTCCTAGATGCAAAGCCCCCAGATTTTAGCACATGTTCCATAGATATATCCAAGAGTAAATAAAGCAGGGCAGGGTTTTTATACCTGATTAGTGGGAAAGATGAGAAAATGTTTCAGACATAAATTTGAGATGATATTACATGTGTTGGAGACTATAAATTTTTCAAGAAAATCTTGAATACTGATATATTTTCATGTATAACATTAAAATTTTCACTTTGCTGATTTATAGTGGCTGAGGCTCAGAAAGCTGTTTGAGTTATTTGTCTACATGTCTTACCACCGTCATCCCAAATCAGTAACAGCTGTGTGTTATGTGTTCAAAGTGTGAACTTAAAATGATTCGTCTGCTTTGGGGATGGGGATGTTTCTGTCTAAACTAAAGGGATCTGACAAATTCATATTCGTTAAAGTTCAATAGTGAAGCTTAAAGGCCACCTCTCCCAGAGAGACTGGCGGTGCAACAGAAGGAAATGCCTTAAAAAAGCAAGACTAAAACTGTAATTATGGCATTTCAGGCATCAGAGAAAGTCAGAGATGGTTTAGGGACGGTGTGAGAGAGGCTCCCAATAGCCTACAAACCATAGCTTTTCTGAGAGATGGATTATGTCCTTGGATCTTGGAGTATAAAATTACAGCCCTCACAAGAAAAATATAGATAAGTATCAGTTAGGGAAGATGGTCATTTTAGTGAGGGCCCTGTACTAGATCATGAGGATACAAATCTCAAAAATGATGCATCCTTGCTCTCAGAGAGCTGACAGTCCAGCTAGAGAGGCAAACTTAAAAACAGGATGGCTCCATAATTTGTGGGATCCAGTTCAAAATGAAAATAGGGGACCTCTTATTCATAAATTATTCAACATTTCAAAAGAGTGACTGCAGAGCATTAAACTAAGCACAGGGCCCTTCTAAGGACCGGGACCTTGAGAATGCATGTCGCATGCCCTGATTCACCATCATTATAATAACACAGGACAATGTGCACTGGAGACATGCACGGGATGCTGGGAGAACAAGGAGGGAGGGGCTAAATCTGAGGGATGGGGAACACTTCACTGAGGAAGTAACATCCTAACATCAGGGCTAAACCTTGAAGGGTGGACCAACTTTTGCTAAACAGGGACAATTGGAGATCCCGGGGGTCTCCAGGGAGGGGGAACTAAGAGGAAAGCCACCTTCTCCTGCTGCAGCTGTCTCCACTCCAAGCTGATCACACAGATCTTGTGTGTTATAATTAACTCCCTGGTTAGTGCTCGTCAGTTACTTGGGTAACTTTTAAAATAATATGGTCCCACTTGTTTCTTGTTTGTGGAGAATCTCAATCAATCCTCAAATTGTAAGTTGGCTCTCAAACCTCTCTTTCCACCTCTCATGTCCCCCAGGGCTCTCCAAAGAAACTTTCCAGATGAAGAGAAATGCTCCATGTCTGTGCTGTGCAAGATGGGAGCTTCTGGACACCAGTGGCTACTGAGCACTCGAACTGTGGCTGGTGCAACCAAGGAACCGAAATTTTTTTTACTTAATTTTTATTTTACTTAATTTTTTTTACTTAATTTTTATTTTACTTTATTCTAATTAGCTAAAGCTTAATTTTTAGTAGCTAGTGGCTGCCATCAGAGTCCAGCATACTTTAACATTTATATTGTCTTAATCTTTTCTCTTTTTTTTTCTTTAAAATATACACAGAGACAGTGTCTCCCTTTGTTGCCCATTCTTGGCTTGAACTCCTGGGCTAAAGCAGTCCTCTTGCCTCAGCCTCCCAAAGATGGGATTACGGGTGCGAGCCACCACACTCTGCCACTTACAGTATCTTCTTGTTTTACATGTTTTCTCCAGATCTTGATCCTCAAAATTGAAAATCAGTTGTGAGTATTGCATTATTATGCCTGTAAAAATTATCCTTAACTTCACAAGCCGAACAGTATAGAGTAATTCCATTCTGTTCCTTTACTGCTTTTATTGTTATTTCTTGATGTTTTCTAATTGTTTTTCTATTTTTCTTTCTTTGGCTGCGCTGCCCATATTGGTTACTCCATAATTTCAGGGGTGGTATCACGCTCTGTGATTCCATTTTCCCCTGAATACTTTGCTTTTGGAAACTTTTCCTCTCTTACCGAGCTCCATGCTGATGTTTGCTGTGTGGTTCAGCTGCCTGATTCCCATCCAAGGATTTCCCTTTGCAACGCTCCCAGGTTGAGTCTTCTGTTTCCCGGATTCCACCACTTCCATTTTTTAGTTTACTCCCTTATTTTGCTGGGGTCCATCATCAAGTAACTTCCTAAGAAGGTATGTGGAGGCTGGGTGCAGTGGCTCATGCCTGTAATCCCAGCACTTTGGGAGGCCGAGATGGGGGGATCACTAAAGGTTGGGAGTGCGAGACCAGCCTGGCTAACATGGTAATACCCTGTCTCTACTAAAAATACAAAAATTAGCCAGGCGTGATGGCAGGCGCCTGTAATCTCAGCTACTTGGGAGGCTGAGGCAGGAGAATCGCTGAACCTGGGGGGCAAAGGTTGCAGTGAGGTGAGATCATGCCACTGCACTCCAGCCTGGGCAACAGAGCAAGACTCTGTCTCAAAAAATAAAAATTAAAAAAAAAAAAAGAAAGGATTTGTGGGCAGTCAGCCTTCTGAGTCAGCTCTGATATATCTGAAAACGGGCATGTTCTACCTTCACACCTAATTGATGGTTTCATTCAGGGATCAGCAACCTACTTTCCACGGGCCGCTTTTGGCTTGCTGCCTATTTTTGCACAGCTGGTAAGTTATGACAGTTTTTTACATTTTTAGGTGCTTAAAAAAATCAAAAGAAGAAGATTTTGTGATGCGTGAAAATTATAGGCAGTTCAAATGTTAGTGGCCCTAGATAAAGTTTTATTAGAGCACAGCTGCTCTTTTACATGTTATCTATGGCTGCTTTGATACCACAATGGCAGGGTTGAGTAATTGAACAGAGATTGGCCCACGAAATCTAAAATATTTACTATCTGGCCTGTTCCAGAAATAGTTTGTCAGCTCCTGGTTTAGTTGGTCAGAGTCAAAAACCCAAGTTCTCACAACGATCCCCATAGGACCTAACCATAATCATGGGTTCCCCGGCTCCCCTCTCCATCTCTGACCCGCTCTGCTCTGTTCCAGCCACACCTGCCCCCATGCTGTTCCTGCGGCACCAAAAGGCTCTGGGGGTGGCAGGATGTTTGCATTTGGGGCTCTGTCTGCGGATTTCTCTTCCCTTAGCTGTCTACACAGCTCACGCCTTCACTTCCTCCAGGCTGTCACTCAGAGGTCACCTTTGTGAGTCCTTTGCTGGCCTCCCCATCTAATTTTTAGCCTCTCCTTAGACTCTATATATTTCCTCTGCTGATTTATTTTTCCTCCTTAGCACTTACTTCTACCTAACACATTATATTTTACTTTCTTTGTTTGTGTAGAGAGTACACCATCCTGATCTGAGCATGAGAAAAGAAGTTCCCTGAGGGCAGGACTTTATTTGGTTCACTGCTGCGTCCTCACTGCCTAGACACAGTGCTCAAAAATATTTGCTGAATGCTATGGCTAGGCTTTGTGTCCCCACCCAAACCTCGTCTTGAATTGTAATCCCCATAATCTCCATGTGTCAAGGGAGACACCAGGTAGAGGAAATTGAATCATGGGGGTGGTTTCCCCCATGCTGTTCTTGTGAGAGTGAGTTCTCATGAGATCTGATGGTTTTATAAGGGGCTCTTACCCCATTACTCAGCACTTCTCTTTCCTGCCACCTTGTGAAGAAGGCGCCTTGCTTCCCTTCACCTTCCACTGTGATTGTAAGTTTCCTGAGGCCTCCCTAGCCATGCTGAATTAAACCTCTTTAATTTATAAGAGTCAATTAAACCTCTTTCCTTTAGAAATTACCCAGTCTCTGGCAGTTCTTTATGGCAGTATGAAAATGGACTAATACACTGGATGAATGAACACAAAA
This sequence comes from Homo sapiens, assembly GCF_000001405.40. Classification (NCBI taxonomy): domain Eukaryota; kingdom Metazoa; phylum Chordata; class Mammalia; order Primates; family Hominidae; genus Homo; species Homo sapiens. The sequence continues at coordinate 154,360,406 of NC_000006.12, read as the reverse complement.
TTCTAGAGTGAAATATAAATCCTTCAGAACTTTGAAGGCTGTGCTCGCTGACCTTCTAACCCTTAATGCTACTTCTGTGAAATCTGGAGCCCTTTGATTCCTTGTTTCTGTGAAAGTGACTTATTTTCTGTGTTTGGGAGATTTTAAGATTTTCTCTTTATTTCCGGAGTTTGGAAATTTTGCAGTGACTTGAAATTCTTCATCCTAGGCACTCGATGAGACTTTTTAATCTAAATATTCTTGGACTTCAGGGGGATCCTTTATGTTATTTCTTTGACTATGTCATCAAATAATATTTCCTGAAAATTTCACTTGAATTTATCACCCAACCTATCAAAATCTTTATTTAACAATTATATTTGCAATATCCAAGGGGTCTTTCTTGTTTTCAGATTATCTATCTTTCTTAGCATCCTGTTCTTTTTAATGGATACAATATCTTCAGGACTGTCTCTAAGGATACTGATTAGAAGCATATCTAGGCCAGGCGTGGTGACTCATGCCTGTAATCCCATCACTTTGGGAGGCCAAGGTGCACAGATCACCTGAGGTCAGGAGTTTGAGACCAGTCTGGCCGGCATGGTGAAACACTGTCTCTACTAAAAATACAAAACATAGCTGGGTGTGGTGGCACATATCTGTAATCCTGGCTACTCAGGAGGCTGAGGCAGGAGAATCACTTGAACCCTGGAGGCGGAGGTTGCAGTGAGCCGAGATAATTAATGCCACTGCACTCCAGCCTGGGTGACAGAGCAAGACTCTGTCTCAAAAAAAAAAAAAAAAAAAAAAGCACATCATCCATCATCCAGCACATGCTAGATGAGGCTCTTATTGCCAGAATGTGGAGTTCTGACTGTGGAGTGCTCATATCCACATACAATGCCTGTATTCTCTGCATGATTTCACTATGTGTAGAGACGAATCCTCGGTATGCTGCCCGGGGTTGGAATTGTGTGTGTTTGCTGTGCAGAGGCTGGGCGGACAGAGAGATTTGAAAGAGGGGTATGGGAGGGGCTGAGTTCTTACAGACTTTGAATTACTCTTCCTGTTTTCAGTCCTGTCACCCTATCACTCATTTAGCTCTCTTAGCTTCTTTTGGCTTGAGTTCCGGTCCTCTCAGGGATTCAGCACCGCACACGGGCAATTTCCTCCAACGCCGTGTTCTCCTAACTAATGAGATATTGTGGTTCCCCTGCCTGCCTCCATCTGTTATTGCTCCTCCATCGGCTTTCAGGCTGCCAGAAATCTGTTGTGCTCTCCCAAGTTCTGATGCTTTTCCTCCTTTTTTGGGTTATTGTGGGTTTATATCTTTTTTTTTCTTTTGAGACGGAATCTCGCTCTGTCACCCAGGCTGGAGTGCAGTGGCGCGATCTCAGGTCACTGCAACCTCCGCCTCCCAGGTTCAAACGATTCTCCTGCCTCAGCCTTCTGAGAAGCTGGGATTACAGGCTCGTGCCACCAGGCGTGGCTAATTTTTTGTATTTTTAGTAGAGACAGGTTTCACCATGTTAGCCAGGATGGTCTCGATCTCCTGACCTCATGATCTGCCAGCCTGGGGCTCCCAAAGTGTTGGGATTACAGGTGTGAGCCACCGTGCCCGGCCCTATAAACTTTTTATACTTTTCTCATTTTAACGGAGTCTTTGGGGAGGGAGGGAGCAAATCTGTGGTCAGCCCGTCATCTTGAACTGACAGTCCGGCCGTTTTGAGGATTATTCTAATTCTACAAATCATCTTTGCTCAAAGAATTTAAGTGGCTCTATTCTGGCCCCATAAAGGTAAATAACATGTCTTTTGAGGATATCTTTGATGATGGCATCTAAATGTCTGGTGAGAAGCCAGGCCATGCTGTTGATACCACTAAATTCCTTTAATATCACCTAGTACCATTTTTTTTTCTACGTAAAGCAGGGAACTAGAAGACAACTCAATATAGGGAGAAGATGAGGCAGCACTTCCAGAAATAGAAGTGTACACAAACAAGAAGCCGCTGAGAGAACCTTCATTTTGTTCCTGCTCAAAATGTACAGCATCTTCTTTCATTTTTTCACTCCTCCACAGATTTAGTTTACATTTTATCTTTGTCTTAGTCATTCAGGCTGTTATATCAAAACACCGTAGCCTGGGTGGCTTACAAACAAAAGACATTTATTTCTCACAGTTCTGGAGGCTGGACATCCAAGATCAAGGCGCCAGCAGATTCATTGTCTGGTGAGGACCTGCTTCCTCGTTCCTAGGTGACTGTCTTCTGGCCATGTCCTCATATGGTGGAGGGGTGGGCAGATCTCCAGGTTCTCTTTAATAAGAAAATTAATACCATTCATGAGGGCACTGTCCTCATGACCTAATCACTCCCCAAAGGTCCACCTCTAAATACAATCACATTGGGGATTAGGTTTCTATATATTCTATATATTCTATATATATATATATATATATATATATATATTTTATATATATATTATATATATATATTTTATATATATATTATATATATATATTTTATATATATATTATATATATATATTTTATATATATATATATTTTATATATATATTTTATATATATATTATATATATTATATATATTTTATATATATATTATATATATTATATATATTTTATATATATAATATATATATTTTATATATTATATATATATAATATATATAATATATATATTATATATATAATATATATATAATATATATATTATATATAATATATATATAATATATATATAATATATATATTATATATATATATTATATATATATATACACATACATATTTATTTATTTATTTATTTTGAGTTGGAGTCTTGCTCTGTCTCCTAGTCTGGAGTTCAGTGGTGCGATCTCGGCTCACTGCAACCTCTGCCTCCCAGGTTCAAGCAATTCTCCTGCCTCAGCCTCCTGAGTGGTTGGGATTACAGGCATCTGCCACCACGCCCAGCTGTATTCATTTCCCTAGAAGGTATAGAGAAACAAGAAGCTGGTGTTGAAAGGGAGATTGGGAGGGCAGGAATTTGTAATGAGATGGAATATCTCTGACTTTCAGCCTGCCATTTTCCTTTTCCAATGTGGGAAAGAAAAGTTTTGTGGTTAGAGACTCTTCTATGTCTACTGCAAAAGATGGCAGGCTAAGACTTATTTTTATCCTAAAATACGTTTTACAAATGTGTCTGTACCCTCTCTTTATTAGAGCATTATGAACGATTAGGAAAGGAGGAAAGAGGGAAATCTGAAAGAAGATTGAACCTAAAGAGGTTGAAGTGGCATTTCACCCAAAAATGCTGAGAATGACTCTGCAGATCATCTCACCCTCCATGCCTGTAAATGAACATCCTTGCCTCCAAAACAGGAAAGCAGAACCATGAACTGTTCCACCAATGTGCTCGGCAAATGAATACACTGGGCAGTGCTTAGTGATCAATGAACTCAGGCAGATGGGGTGTGCTTGCCTTACATGTACTGTGTCCTGGATATGGGCATCAAGGAAGGGTTTCATAACAATGAGAAGGAAGAACGTTAGGATTGAGGAAGTGGAGATGATACTTCCTCTTCTTTCGAAAGAGCTTTACTCTCTGATCAGCTTTGAATGTTAGTTCTGGGTTGACTGAGTTTCCAGAGCTGAGGCTGCTTTAAGTAGAATCCTCAAGCTTGGCCTCAGAGTACTATGAGGCTTCTGAATCCAGGAATAAGACTGCTCTTGGATTTACTCTCTTTGTATTGCATGTAAGTAACGTCACTTCTTGGCTGATGTATGAGAGGTAACTGCTTGACAGATCAAGATGGCAAAGCAATGGATACCCTAGCACTCTCCTTAGAGTAGTGAGGTAGGAAATATGACTTTGGGGATGTAATATTCACTCAGCTCTCTGTAATCTGGGAAGCCAGGTGCTAAAGATTCTTTAATTCTGTGAAAGCTTTGAAAGAGGAGAGAGTTGTGTACTCACTCTGCTTTTATGTTTCTTAAATGGGTGTTGTCTTGATAGGTGTTTAGACTGCAGACCACAGGTTTGATTTAGAAAAGCACAATTCAGCATGTATTTGGGTCCTGAGGAGTTCATTTGGGGAAGCACTCTGGGGCCGCCCTCTTTCGAGAAAGTGTGTTCTTTGCAAGGGAGCTTCCTTTGCATGGAGGCAGCTGGGGGACATTTTACACTTTGATAAAGGTCTCAGGCTTGCCAAAATATCTCTGGTATAAAAATGAAAGCTAGGTGTTGTTGGTTCAGAGTCTTTTAGTAAGGGTGTCTGGGGCACTTGATTTTTCTTTGCTGGGGTATATGTGAAAGTATTTAATTATAGAAGTCAGAATTATAACCCACTGAAGCATCTTTGACTACAGCAGTGGGCTCTATTAGTCTTGAGTGGCCTATGTGTTCCTAGTGCTGTCCTTGATAAAGTCTAATTTCTATCGAGTTATTTATTTTATGTAGAAAATTGAAACCGAGGGCTGGGCACAATGGCTCACACCTGTAATCCCAGTACTTTGGGTGACCACGGCGAGAGGATCACTTGAGGTCAGGAGTTTGAGACCAGCCTGGGGGCAAAATAATGAGACCTCATCTCTACAGGAAGAAAAAAAAAAAGAAAGAAAAGAAAATAGAAAATAGAATGCCGGGTGCGGTGGCTCACGCTTGTAATCCCAGCACTTTGGGAGCCCAAGGCGGGTGGATCATCTGAGGTCAGGAGTTCGAGACCAGCCTGGCCAACATGATGAAACCCCGTCTCTACTAAAAATACAAAAATTAACTGGGCGTGGGAGCATGCACCTGTAATCCCAGCTACCTGGGAAGCTGAGGCAGGAGAATTGCTTGAACCCGGGAAGCGGAGGTTGCAGTGAGCTGAGATTGCGCCACTGCACTTCAGCCTGGGTGACAGAGCAAGAGTTCATCTCAAAAAAAAAAAAGAAAGAAAGAAAGAAAAGAAACAGAAATGGAAAGAACACACATTTCTTTCTGCTCACATCATGCAAGCAAGGAAGAAAAGGGTGTAAGTTTGTGTATGTGTTGATGAACTCATTCTTTAATTTACCTTATAATTTCCTTCCATTCCTCTTTTTATAAATCAAGTGTCTTTTCTGGAGTGGGTCCATGTATGAACTATTTCAGGCAAGCTGTGTTAAGCAAATATACATCATCAGAGTATGGAAATAGGAAGTTCTTTCCTGCGGTAGTTTGCTGTGGCAATAAGAGATAAGAAATTACTTCATCACTATTGCCTGAGACTTTCCTTTTGACTCGTGCATCCTTTTGAACAGCTCACTTCTGCTTTCCATCCAGCTTGGAGGCTCTGCAGTGTGAGCTGATAATTGCAGTACAGGTTAACAATTTGCAAGTAGGTCTAATGTGGCAAATGGTGTGTGTGTGTGTGTGTGTGTGTGTGTGTGTGTGTGTGTGTGTGTGTGAAGAAAAATCCTAAAAAATAAGCTTTTTAGCCTTAAAGAGAATCCTGCAAATGGAGGAGTTACTTGTGCTCCCAAGTGCTCAGAACAGTGCCTGCTCTCAGTAAATATTTGTTGAATGAATGAATAACTGGCATAATTCATAAAATGAATGTGGTAGGAAAGCCATTGCTTTATCTCTGTTACTCAGGCACTTTAAAAAGTGAATGTTAGAAAAGATCAGAGTGGAGGAGGAGAGGAGAATATGAAGGTGTGGAGTAAAGAAAGGGTGTGTAGAACGGGGATCAGAAAAATCCCCAGGTCAGTAAAGTGAAAGGGTTGGCGATACATGGTGGTGGAGGTGGAGGTGGAGATAAAGGGGGTGGTGTTGGAAGTGGTGGTCGTAGGGGAGGTGATGGTGGAAGTGACGGTGGAGATGGTAGAGGTGGTTGTGGAGGCGATGGTGGAGGTGGTAATGGAGATGGTAGAAATGGTGATTGGAGTGGTAGAGGTGATGGTGGAAGTGACGGTAGAGATGGTGGAGGTGGTTGTGGAGGAGATGGTGGAGGTGGTGGTGGAGGAGATGGTGGAGGTGGTGGTGGAGGTGGTGGTGGAGATGGTGGTTGGAGGTGACGGTGGAGGTGACAGATGGTAGAAGTGATGGTAGACATGGTGGAGATGGTTGAGGAAGTGATGGTAGAGGTGATGGTACAGATGGCGGAGATGGTGGTTGGAGGTGATGGTAGTAGAGGTAATGGTGGAGGTAATCATGGGAAGGTCAGTATAATTTAGCCAAGAGAAAACACAGTTGGGGGCTCAGACATATCTGTTCAAAATCTATATCTCTGAACCTACCAGCTCTGTGACCTCCGAACCTATAAAGTGGTGACTATAACATATTGACTTTTTGGGTTGTTGTGTGAGGGTTAAAAATATGATTGCATTAAATGGCAGTTATCGATATCAGTTTTCAAGTTGCCAGAGCCACGCTTAAAAATTTAATCTCTAATTTCTCTTTTTTTCTTTATGCTTTGTGCATTTTCTGAATTTTGTAAAGTGAAAGTGAGTTTTTAAAAGAATCATTAATTTAAAATAAATATGATAAGCCTAGTTATCAGAATGGTTGAACACATGGTGGTATATAAAGAAATGTCATCAAGAAAATGATATTTATGGAAATAGTCTCATGATGTAATGCTAAGTCCAAAAAGGAGGAACATAACTTTTTCAACTATGTAAAAATACTGCAGAGAAGCAAGATTTGGGTGAAATGCATTAAAATGTTAATATATGAGTAGTGGGCTTATAGCTCGTGGTTCTTCTTTCTTTGTACTTTGTACTCTATTTTCTTCCCAGATTTTTCATTAGTGGAACATACCTGAACTATTTTAATAATCTGAAAATAAAACAAACGTTGAAAGAAAGTAAATAGGCCCGGGTGCGGTGGCTCTCATGCCTGTAATCCCAGGACTTTGGGAGGCCAAGGCGGGCGGATCACCTGAGGTCAGGAGTTCCAAACCACTCTGGCCAACATGGCGAAACCCTGTTTCTACCAAAAATACAAAAATTAGCTGGGCATGGTGCGGGCGCACGTAATCCCAGCTACTCAAGAGGCTGAGGCACAAGAACCACTTGAATCCGGGAGGCGCAGTGAGCCGAGATCACGCAGCTGCACTCCAGCCTGGGCAATGAGGGAGACTTCATCTCAAAAAAAAAAAAAAAAAAAAGGAAAAGGAAAAGAAAAGAAATGGACAAAAATGTAACCCTCCTTAAATCTTCCACCAACAGGACGACAAAAGCAATGTTTTAGTGATAGTGTGCTGAAGTTCATGGTTCATTGCAGTCTAAGAAATGACACTTAAAATTTATGTTATTTAGTCTTTGTAGGGAAATCCCCTTTGAGAGTAAGGCTGGTGCAGAATCATGTGTCAACTCTGAAGTGAGAAAAAGGAAACGTGGTCCCACTGGGGCTGGCTGGTCTGATTAATTCCTAGAATGACATGAAAATGGGTTATTTTCTCTGGATGACTTATAACTGCGTCTAAACCTGAGTTTGATGATTTCCTAAAAAATGCAATAGTCAATTTGTCAGTTATTAATTATAAGTTAAATTTAAATCTCCCAATATAATTGTTAATACATTTCTTAGGGAATGTTGCCATATGTTTATCATCTTGGTACTCATAGGGAGAGGTCATAAAAACATTTCTATAGAGTCACAGATTATTTTATAGATTCAAGAATTATCATTCCTGTTGTTAGAATCTTGGCCCTGCCGTCTCACAGGGCCAGCAGGTCACCATGGAGTCCCTTATCAGGGACGTAACCAAAATAAAATATTTTGGCTTGTAGGCATTGAAAAGAATCTTCTGTCTTTGTCTTAGAATCAATCTTTGTCTTAGAAAGGAGAGATAGTCGGCAGACAAAAAGGCAAAGGGCTGAACAAATGTGAGCAAAGACAGGTCTCCCAGACTGACACAGGGATTGACATAGAAGCAGCTGAAAGGTGAAAAGTGAGCCAGCTTAAACTCAGCCCAAAGTTACTAGAATGTGGATGAGTCTTTCAAAAGAAGTCTGAATAAAAAAATGACCAGATCGTCAAGGAAAACTAAGTCAAGTTAGAAATGAAAGAATTAATTGAAGAAACAAAAACCCAGCATGCACTAAGCATTGAAATAGAAACAGCAGCAAGATAGGATTCCCAACAGATTCTATAGCATTTTCTGAATATTTCATACGTGGAATGCTGAATAAAAAACCAATGATATTACTGAGCACTTGCTAGGTTCTAGACACTGTGATCTGCACTTTTATTTTTACCTTTTAGTTTACATTTACATTTAGTTACATTTACAATTTCTTTTTTTTTTTCTTCAACTTTTACTTTACGTTCCAGTGTGCATGTGCAGGATATGCAGGTTTGTTACATAGGTAAATGTGTGCCATGGTGGTTTGCTGCATAGATCAACTCATCACCTAGGTGTGAAGCCCAGCATCCATTAGCTTATTCTTCCTGATGCTCTCCCTCTCCCCCGGCCCTCACAGGCCTCAGTGTGTGTTTTTCCGCTCCCTATGTCCATGTGTTCTCATTGTTCAGCTCCCACTTGTAAGTGAGAACATGCGGTATTTGGTTTCTTGTTCCTGCGTTAGTTTGCTGAGGATAATGGCTTCCAGCTCCATCCATGTCCCTGCAAAGGACATGATCTTGTTCCTTTTTATGCTATTTAAGCCACTTCTTAAAACAGTTCTGGGAAATAGTACTATTGTTATCTCCATGAAATTGAAGCTTAGAGAGGTAAAGTCCCCTGCCTCAAACCACCACAATAGGCAGGGGAGAGGGATTCAAACCCAGACCTTTGTGTCTCTGAGCCTGTGGTCTACCATTCTACACATTACATTGTTTTCATTTATGTTAAAGGTTTTGTTATATAAATAGTGATTTGACACCAAGGGCGAGTCTGAGCAGAGCAGATTTGCTCTCTACTTTAAAATCGCCCAAGTGAAATTCTTTTCTATTCCTTAGTGAAGAGATAGTGGAAAGGAGTTGTTCTTTTTTCCAGGAAACTGCCTGTGCCTTGACATGATTGCACATCCGTGATTGTCTTCTTAGGCAGTCAGGTGGTACCACGTAGGAAATGCTTCCAGCCAGCAGGGAACAAAAGGGGACTGGGGGGACCTCAGAACCATTCCTGGGTAGTTCACAACCACAGTCAAGATATGTGACTGTTCCGTCACCACAAAGATCCCTCATGCTGCTCTTTCATAACAATACCCAATCTAATTTTAAAATATTCAATTTCCATTTTGAGTATCATTGGACCCATATTGATGGGGCCTTCTATTAGGCTCAATTTTTTAGCGGGAACACCGCAGATCAAAAGGCTAGGAGACTTGAGTGTCCTGCCTGTAGTATATGATAGTTTTGCGCTACAAGCAAGCATTTAACTTCTCCACGCTTGAGTTGTCTCATCTATAAAAGCTGAGATAAAAATACCAAACCAGGCCAGGTGGGGTGGTTGATGCCTGTAATCCTAGCACTTTGGGAAGCGGAGTTGGGAGGATCGCTTGATGCCAGGAGTTGAAGACCCACTGGGCAATAAAGCAAGATCCCATCTCTACAAAAACAAAAAAATGTGGCCAGGTGTGGTGATGTGTGCCTGTAATCCCAGCTACTCAGGAGGCTGAGGCAGAAGGATCTCTTGAGCATAGGAGTTTGAAGCTGCAGTGAGCTATGATTGTGCCACTGGTGTACAGCCTGGGCAGCAGAGTAAGACTCTGTCTCTGAAAAAATAAAAAAACTAACCAATTGCGTTGATGTATGGGCCAAATGAAAGTAAGCGTATATACTTAGAAGAAAACAAAAATATTATAAACCAATGGAGCCCTTCTTGGAAGCTAATACAGGAGGTAAAGAATGAAAGTAATTTTATGTGCTAGTAATAAGCCCATCTGTATTGCTGGCAAGCACTTCTAGGGGCCAAATTGGACGTGACTCATTTCTATGAAGTTAACTTGTGGCATTGGGCCTCAAACAGTAGAGTCACTTCATCATTGAATGGGAGTGAATAAAGACACTCTCAACAATGAGACACATTTACAAAATGAAAATCAGGCTATTGTGAAATCTATAAAAGATTTTCTTTCATAAATGGAGTCTAGATAGTGATCCCAGATTATCATGACAATTTGGTTACTTGTTAGATATGGAACATCAGCGTCTATTTGGGGGGGATATTTATTTACCTCAGTTTGTATTGAAATAAAAGTTCAAATATTCTGAAAATGATGCAATGTGATGGAACTTTGATCCAAATATAAAATCTAAGGCTGCAATTTAAGTGTACAGCAAGTGGAAACTTCTCAATAAATGGATGTTAGATCATTTTAGTGGTTCATCTGTAATCGTTGATCACTTTGATCCATAAATTTAGGCTGGTACCTGCATAAGTACTTTAATGACAGCATAAATAGCCAGGATTTCAAGCATATTCTTGAGTTTCCCTGTGACATAAGAATCTCTTAAATCCCCTTTTCAGCAGAATTTGAATTACCCTAATTCCTATTACATGATTATCCCCAGCAGAACAACATTCTTTTAACAGGTAAATATCATTATAGGAAGCTAATACATTTAATCTATGTAAAACTAAAAATATCTTTTTTCTCCTCCTCTTAATTGATCCATATTTAATTTTCTTTAGACTTGTTAATTTTATATAATCTTTTTCTAACTATGCAGTAGAAATCTGTGACTGGATAGATTTTTTCAAATTTGGACAGGGTAGAAGTTCTTTTTTTCCTGACTATTGTGAAGGAAACTGCATTCTTCAGAGTTTTATGCACTGATCTGTAACGCCAGAGAGGAATAGAACATTTAACTACTTATAGGCAAATGTACATATATTAATAGAGACTGAACCTTAGTCTAAAACAGGAAAATAGGCCAGGCACAGTGGCTCATGCCTATAATCCCAGCACTTTGGGAGTCTGAGGTGTGAGGATCACTTGAAATCAGGAATTTGACCCAGCACTTTGGGAGGCTGAGGTGGAAAGATCACTTGAGCTCAGGAGTTTGAGAACAGCCCAAGCAACGTATAGCAAGACCTCGTCTGTACTAAAATAAATAAATAAATAAAATAAAATAAAATAAAATAAAATAAAATTAGTTAAGTGTGGTAGAGCATGCCTGTAGTCTCAGCTACTCAGGAGATGGAGGCAGGAGGATCACTTGAGCCTGGGAGATTGAGGTTGCAGTAGGCAATGATCGCACCACTGCATTCATTCCAGGGTGACTGAGAGTGACCCTGTCTCAATAATAATAATAATAATAATAATAAGATAAAATAATACAAACCTCTGAGAAAGGAAAAAAGATGAAACCAACTCAAAACATTTCCCAGGAACCTTAATTTAACATTATTCACTCCTAAAGAATATAATTCTTTGTAAAGTGTCACAGTTTATCCAGAGATAAGCTGTACTTTATACAAAGTTATGTTTGAAGGAGAAAACCTTTAATTATTTGAAAAACTAAGCAAACGGCTGTAAACATGAAAACCATGCATTTTAGGCTACTTGTTTATGATTATTCTGTTTGAATAGCTCAGACTACAGCACACTATTGGATAAATCTGTAATAGTTTTATGGACTGATGAGAATATATATAATCTCATCCATTTCTTGAACATGTTTGAAGATTCTACTATTCTAATAGATTAAATGGTTGTTGCAGGAACGTTGCTGTTTATTCGCTGGGAGTGCAAGTCATTTGTAACAACTTTGTTCTTTCCACCGATTAAAAGCCTGAAGCAAATGATATTAAAGACCTTATTTTCTGGTTCCTTGTTAAGGCACAAATCCCAACCTCTTTTTCCATCCTGACAAAAAATAGTCAAGCAGTTGTTCTTACTAGTGGTTGTGAATGCTGACCATATAATATGATAAGGACCCACTTACGAATATTCAACCTTCACCAAATACTTATTGAGTACCTAATATTTTCCACGTAATGTGCCAGGTATTTCACTGCAATTAAATGGACAAGATCACCTTTGAAATTCCCCTGGAATCGTGTGAATTAGTATTGCCTCTTGGTTAGACTCAGTTATAGCCAGTCTATCAAAGAGAAGTGCCTGAACTTGAACTCTCTTGGTCAAATACACTCACAGTTTTCCAGCTAGAGCTGGATTTTACTCTGGAACACAGCTACCAGAGTTTTCCACACTTGGATTTTCAACTTGATTAATCAACTAGAGCAGCTTTTGCGTAGGTAATGGGGACTTGAGGGAGGGACTGTGGAGCAAGGTTTGAGCCAGGCACTCGAGTACTATTCAGTTTTATTTTGTGAACACTCACAAACATTCCAAAGTTATGTACAAATTAGTTGCCTTGAGAGGAACGCTGGAGTCCCAGATATTCTGAGCTGAGAAGCCAGCACGGGGAGAGAGACACCGAGTCACCAAAACACAGTAAGTGGGCTGAGCAATGAAGGCTCAGCGACTCCTGATTGCCTTGAAGTGACTTTGCTTTCAAGTTGGCATTAGCTGTAGTCACAGGGTCCTAGACATGGGGTGTAGTAATTTCCACCGGGCATTGCATCCTCTTTGTGTTCTGTGCATTGGGAGCAAGTTAGCAAGCGATCCCTCTGTCAATCTCAATGGACTTCAGGCATTGAGCACCAAACCACTGTCCACTCCCCACGAGCTCACGTTTCCTATCATTGTGGAGGTGGCCTTTTGCCAATGGATGGATGCTCCTGGCCTATGAAATATTCTAGGCAATGCCTGGAACTTTCTGGGCAGTAGGAGCCACTGAGGTGAGCCTTAGAGCAAGGCAGAAAATAGAGTCCAAGAGGACCCCTTCTTTCTATAGGCTGGTGAAAAAGTAGTCTTTAATGGCAAAACCTGCAACTACTTTTGCACCAACCTGATAATTGCAGCTTTTCCAACAGGCCATGCAGGGCTTCCCCAGCCCCACTGGCTGTGTGGCACATGGAGGTAACATGTACTGTCCTCTTGCTGTCTGCAAGGGACGGTGTTAAAGGCTTTACATTCATTATCTAATTTTTTAATCAAATAGCTCTAGGAAGTGCTGTTATTATTAACTAGTTCCCTTTCTCTGATGAGAAAACACAGGTTCAGGGAACTTCAAACCTGGCTCAAGGTCACCCAGAAATAGTACAGTCAGGGTTCCAACCCCAGCAGTTTGACTCTGGGGTCAGAATTTGAGCCTAGGCTTATTTGACCTGAGCGTCCAGTATATAGCTGTCCTGAGGGAATATACTATAATATAAGGAAAAGGATGCTACATAATTTCTTATTTTTGGATAAGGTTGCTTTGTGCTTGTCCACCTTTCCATTCCTGGAGCTGAGAATGTGTATAATCCAACCCCAGAGAGGCCAGAGGAAGCCTGTTTGGGTGAATAATGATTTTAGGAGTGCTCAGCCCAGATTTGCCTGAGCCTTGAGGAAAATCTCATTCCCAAAGACACTTCCAGATCAAAGCTGAGGAGAATTGGGGTTGAGGGTGATGGAGCATTTGTTTCTAATAATATAGATTGAAAAGGGGAAGAAAACAGAGATTAAAAAATAGGAAGGCAGAGTTTTGAGAGGATATGCTTGGATAGGGATAGAGTCTGGCCACCCAAATCTTACGTTGAACTGTAATCCAAATTGTAATCCCCACGTGTTGGGGGAGGAAACTTGTGGGAGGTGATTAGACCATGGGGGCTGTTCCTCATGTTGTTCTCATGATAGTGAGTGAGTTCTCACAAGATCTGATGGTTTTATAAGAGGCTTTACCTTGCTTTGCTCTGCACTTCTCTCTCATGCTGCCATGTGAAGAAGGACATGTTTGCTTCCCGTTCCACCATGACTGTAAGTTTCTTGAGGCCTCCCTGGCCATGCAGAGAACTGTGAGTCAATTAAACCTCTTTCCTTTATAAATTACCGAGTCTCAGGTATTTCTTCATAGCAGCATAAGAATGGACTAATACAGATAGTCCATCCATTCTTTCTAATTATTATACAACCAGAAAAAGTTCTTGAATGAAAGAAAAGATTAGTATATGCCAATTTAGAAAAAAGGAGGGAAGAAATAATCTCTTTAGGCAAACACTTTGAATTCAACCTCATAGTAAAATGTGTTATCAACTTTCTTGATATCTAGAGCTTAAATTTTTTAAAATAATTATTTTTCCTTAGTACATATAGAATGCATTTTATTGCCAATGATACAGATAAGCAAGGAGAAGATAAATACTTTTCATGATCCTATAACCTTGAAATAATTATAGTTAACATTTTGATGTAAAATCTTCAATGTTTTTGCTTTTTAATAATGTACATGTGAGGCCAGGTGCAGTGGCTCACAGCTGTAATCCTAGCACTTTGGGACACTGAGGTGGGCAGAGGGCATGAGCTCAGGAGTTTGACACCAGCCTGGGAAACATGGTGAAACCCTGTCTTTACCAAAAAGTATACAAAAAATTAGCCAGGCGCGGTGGCACATGCCTGTGGTTTCAGCTACTTGGGAGGCTGAAGCGGGAAGATTGCTTGAGCCTGGGAGGTGGAGTTTGCAGTGAGCCGAGATAGCACCACTACACTCTAACCTGGGTGACAGAGTGAGACCCCATCTCACAAAAAAAGTGTGTGTTTACAAAAAAAATGAGATAAAAGTGTATTTTAATATATTAAAACCATATTCCTAACACATTATATATTTTAGATATAATAATTTACCATATGGGGTACAGTAACCAAAGTTTTTGAATGGATAAGTGAAGAGATTTCTTTCTTTATGATAACTGACCATAGGAAAGCTCAGATATTCAGAATTATTAAATACTGTGAAGAATTGACAAATCTAACACGTTTTCAACCAAAAAATGATGAGCAGTCACGTAAAACAAAAGAAAGCAGAAGTTAATGAAAGAACAAAAAGTGGTTGAGGCATGGTTTGGGAGGTGTCATAGCAGGTGGCAGCAGCTCTCTTTTGGAAAGTGGATTATTCTTAATTGGCTTGTATTTTTTTGCGATCTTATATTGGTGCTTCGTGGTCCTGGAGACTAGTAGGGCTCTGATCGCCATGTGATTTTAAGCTTGTCAATATCATCACACACACAAAATTTCTGAGTTTTCTGACTGTAAGAAAGATAATGTCTTAAGCCTAGAATTTCTGTTCAGTCCCCTGAGACATTCATCCCTATTCAGCAAATATTTGTGTAAATTTTCTCTGTATTAGGCATTGTGAAGAATATAAAATAAGTATTAGAAAATAATAGTTACTACAAATATCTTACTAATTTACAGTGACAACAAAACACACACATGAAACATTAAACAAAAGAACCGACTGGATACGGTGGCTCATGCCTGTAATCCCAGCACTTTGGGAGGCCAAGGCGGGTGGATCACCTGTGGTCAGGAGTTTGAGACCAGCCTGGGCAACATGTTGAAACCCTGTCTCTACAAAATGTATTAAAATTAGCTGGGTGTGATGGCGTGCACTTGTGGTCCCAGCTACATGGGAGGCTGAGGATGGAGGATCCCTTGAACCCAGGAAGAGGAGATTGTGCCACTGCACACCAACCTGGGTGACAGAGTGAAACCCTATCTCCAAAAAGAACAACAACAACAAAAGACCCAAAGTGACATGTGATTGTCATGGTAAACAGTGTAGAGAATAAGTATGCTAAAAGTTAGAGAGAGCATGATCCAGGAGCCTGTAATGGTGGAGAAAAAAGTTGAATAATAACTTCTGTTCTGTTGAGAAAAAAAGGGCAAAGTTTCAGGTTGGGGGAGAAGAGAGGGATGACCATGAAAGTCAGTAGGAAAATGCAGGCTCAGAGCTCTCCCCTGGCGCCATCTGTGATGGTAGTTGGTATTCGTGCTCCGGCATATTGAGCACTCCTATACCGGGAAGAATCCTGGACCACAGGAGGGAAGATCTTTATGCTGCCAGTTGCTAAACCTGTGAACATGGGGTTGTTTTCTTCATGTCTTAGTTTCTCCATTTGTGAAACGGGGAGCCTCATATCTTTACATGCCCCAAAGTCACTGGGGTTTCTATAAGATAATGTGTGTGAATGAGATTTTTCAGTTGAAAAACAGGATGTAAGTATCTTTGGTGATAATGATTTACTGGATATACAGATGGAAGAAAAGCACAAAACCAGGACATGAAAGGACAGTGAAGTAGTCATGATATGGCTCCGACGAGTGGAGGAACACCAGGGATCTTGACTCATGTGAATTAGATAAAACGACACGGACACACGTGGAGTGGTTTTAAGGAGCAGATGATTTAATAGGCAAGAGAAAAGGGAGAAGAAAGAAAGAAGCAGTTCCCCTGTACACAGACAGAGGGAGAGGTGCTCCAAAACTGAGAGAGGAGACTCGGAGTGTGGTGGATACCAGCCAGTTTTATGAGGAGGCTAGAGGAGGAGGTGTCTGATTTGCATAGGGCTCAGGGGATTGGTTTGACTAGGCATGTCATTCACGTAGCCTGCACAAAAACTGGCCCTCCCACCTTAGTCTTTTAATATGCAAATGCAGGGCGCCTTGATGTTCTACACACGTGGGGATATGTGAGGTCGGCCATGCTGCCAGGCACACCACGGGGCAAGGGCAAGAGGACATGTGGGAATCTCCATGTTGGGTGGACCCAGTTTCTAATGGCCTGCATTTGCATATCAAAGGTTGCCAGCCCAGTTCTAAGAGCCGGGCTTTCCTGTTAGACAAGAAACGTTTCTGGAGCTGCTTTAAAAGGGACGAAAACTTTCCAAGGACCTCTTTTCCTCTCTATCTGCCTAAAATAATTTCTCAACAACACCTACAGCAGTCACAGCACACCTGGGTCAATGTGAGTAATTTTAGAGACAGAGTGAGTGCATAATTGGGTCAGATTGGCGGAGGAAAGAAGGCTGGTTGATAGGTTGAGGCCACTGAGACTTCTCTGATCAACATGGAGAAATGGTGGGAAGTGAGGCGACTTGGGGAGGAAAAGCTTTCCCAGGGAAGTGGAGCATTTTGGAAGTTTGATGATAGGGAGAGTTTTCATACACTTGTATTGCACCTAATAAAATGGCACTTTCCTGAGTTTTGTAGGCAAAGCATGATGTTAAATCTTTTAACATCTTCTTTCCACTAATTGAATAGGAGGAAAAGGAAATTTCTTCTTTTTCTTCTTATTTCACTTATTTCCCTTTTGTAGCCCTAGAAGCACATGACATAATGCTCAACAAAAAGATGCAGTGGCTTTGAGAAAATATTATGATAACCGAAATGAGTGACTGAGGGAAAGGGCTCAATGAATTGAGGCTTATTAGGCCAGCTTTAGGGCGTTTCTGGGAAAAACTCGAGCCACAGACACACCTGTGGCTGTTTTCTCTATCTCTCTCTCTCTTTTATAGCGTCTGGCTCTTTTGCCGAGGCTGGAGTGCAGTGGTGGTATCTCAGCTCACTGCAGCCTTCAGCTCCTGGGCTCAAGTGATCCTCCTGCCTCAGCCTCCTGAGTAGCTGGGACTACAGGCCCATGTGACCAAGCCTTACTAGTTTTCTTGTGTATTTTCTGTAGAGACAGGGTCTTGCCGTATGCCCAGGCTGGTCTTAAACTCCTGGACTCAGGTGATCCACTGGCCTCAGCCTCCCAAAGTGCTGGGATTACAGGCATAAGCCACCATACTCAGCCTTGCAGCTGTTTTTCTGAAGAGATATTTAGGAGGTTTAGTATTTACACATTTCCTTAAACGGGGAAGGAGGCTAGACGCAGTGGCTCATGCCCGTAATCCTAGTACTTTCAGAGGCTGAGGCAGGAGGATCACTTGAGACCAGGAGTTTGAGACCAGCCTGAGTAACAGCAAAATCCAGCCTTGCCTGCCTCCCCCTCCTCAGCCCCTCACCCTGCCACTGTTTCTACAAAAATTGAAAAAAATTGCCAGGTGTGGTGGTGCATGCCTGTGATCCCAGCTACTCAGGAGGCTGAGGTGGGAGGATCACTTGAGTCGCAAAAGTCAAGGCTGTAGTGAGCTATGATCATGCCACTGCTCTCCATCCTGAAAAGGGGGAAGGCATGTAGGGAGAGGGGTGAGTAGGTAGTAAGAGGAATGGTTACATTCTTGTGAGACTTTAGTCAATGCCCAGAAATCTACATTTTACATAAGACAAGGTGAATAATAAAATTTAAAAAAGGGAGTAAAGGAAGACTCAGTTATGCAGAGGTCTTTGGGTAAGTGGAGGTATGATTGATCTTGTCTTTGTTCTGTACCTGGGAAAATAAGCTTGTAATGACGTTATTGGTGTGGAATCAAACAGACTTCAGGTTTAGGAGCTAGACTTAGACTGCAGACCTAAAGTGTAATTGGCATGTCCATGCTTATGGGAGGCCAGCAAAGAATTTACTTCAAATGATCTGTGGGAGCAGTCTCGGGAGACGCCTGAGGCCTTTTGCCTTTCTATGGGAGTCTGGGTAATGCATGCCAGTAACGGCTATTCATTTGGAAAAGGATGTTGCATGACTCAACCTCTATGCTTAACCTCTTTGACATAAGGGGTTTGGGAGTCCTGAGATACTTAAATTTTCCTTTACGTTATCAATCCAAGTGGGTAGCAGCTGAAGCTCAGGCAGCAGTTCAAGGCTTACACATCACACTCTTCTTTTTAGGTGAAGGCATACAGACATTATAAATTATTAAGGTTTAATATAATCAACTCAGAATGATGGTAATGATAAAACACATCCACACAATCTGTAAAGGTTCATTCCAACTTTAGTGTTTGTGTAATTTCTTCCCTAATCATTTAATAGATTTCACAATTAGTTTTATCTTTCCTTACGCATTGAACCTTCCAGTGGACACAGGAAAAAGAGCCAAAAGGAGGAAGAAAGATGAAAAAGGAGGAAGCTTGGGAAATTCACACACTCTATTAAAAGATCCGGAACTGATTTAGCCTGGCAAACTTCCTGCGTGTTTTGTTCATTGCACTCTATTCAGACCCCTCTCAAAGGTTCCATTTTGGTCAAATCTAGGATCTTTCTCATGCTAATCTTTCTGGATTCAGCATTCCTTTCAATATCAATCATAACCTCCATCCCCAAATGATCCCTTCTGTAGGCTTCAAGCCCCAAGGGCTTTCAGCCTCTTCCACCCTGGCGACTTGTACTCCATCTCTCTTGAATTTTTTCTTTTAACTATGGACTCTTATTTGATTTAGTTCTTGGCACCCTGTGTTGCTGTCCCTAGTGTGAAAGGAAAATATCTTGAGCCCCCAAAATCACTAAGCTAAGAGGAAAACTCAAGCTGGAAACTGCTTAGGGCAAACCTGTCTCCCAGTCTATTCAAAGTTATTCCTTTGCTCACTGTGATAAATGCATATCTGATGGCCTCCTTTGGAAAGGCTGATCAGCAACTCAGAAGAATGCAACAGCTTGTCTCTCACCTATCTGTGACCTGGAAGCCCCCTCTCCACTTTGAGCCTTCCTGCCTTTGCTTCAAGTTGTTCTGCCTTTTGGACCTAACCAATGTACTTCTTACATATATATACACTTTGTATATATGATATATAAATATAATATGTGTACATACACACACACACACATATATATACACACATATATATATTTCTTTTTTTTTTTTTGAGACGGAGTTTTGCTCTTGTTGCCCAGGCTGAGTGCAATGGCATGATCTTTGCTCACCGCAACCTCTGCCTCCTGGGTTCAAGCGATTCTCCTGCCTCACCCTCTTGAGTAGCTGGGATTACAGGTATGTGCCACCACGCCTGGCTAATTTTGTGTTTTTAGTAGAGACAGGGTTTCTCCATGTTGATCAGGCTGATCTCGAACTCCCAACCTCAGGTAATCCGCCCACCTCGGCCTCCCAAAGTGCTGGGATTACAGGCGTGAGTCACCGCGCCTGGCCCTTCTTACATATTTTAATTGATGTCTCATGTCTCTCTAAAATGTATAAAACTGGCTGGGCGCAGTGGCTCATGCCTGTAATCCCAGCACTTTGGGAGGGCTGAGGTGGGCAGATCACCTGAGTTTAGGAGTTTGAGACTAGCCTGGCCAACATGGCAAAACCTGTCTCTACTAAAAACACAAAAATTAACTGGGCATTGGTGGTGCACGCCTGTAATCCCAGCTACTAGGGAGGTTGGGGCGGGAGAATTGCTTGAACCGGGGAGGCAGAGGTTGCAGTGAGCCGAGATCACACCACTGCACTCCAGCCTGGGCGACAGAGCAAGACTCCGTCTCAAAAATAATAATAATAATAATAAATTAAAAAATAAAATCTATAAAACCAAGCTGTGCCCTGACCACCTTGGGCACATGTCGTCAAGACTTCCTAAGGCTGTGTCACGGGCGCGCATCCTCAACCTTGGCAAAATAACCTTTCTAAATTAACTGAGACCCGCCTCAAATTTTCGGGGTTCACTCTAGAGACTCGGGAAGTTCCCTAGCCTCAAGTATCTTCAGCTGCTACTCTGCAATATGTTGAGCACCCATCTTTCCAGCCTTGATCTAACTCTGGATCCCCACTCAGTTTCCTCTTGCTAGCAGGTTTCCCCCACTCCCATTACTGACGTTATTTACAACTTGAACATGCTTGAAATTAAATTATCACTTGGCCAGGAGCGGCGGCTCATGCCTGTAATCCCAGCACTTTGGGAGGTGAGGGGGGTGGCTCGCTTGAGCCCAAGTGTTCCAGACGAGCCTGGGTTATACATAGTGAGACCCCATCTCTACAAAAATATTTTTTAAAATTAGCTGGATGTGGTGGTGGTGTGCGCTTGTAGTCCCAGCTACTGGGGAGGCTGAGGTGGAAGAATCACTTGATCCCAGGAGTTTGAGACTGCAGTGAGCTGCGATTGCACCACTGCACTACAGTCTGGGTAACAGAGCGAGAACCTCTCAAAAAACAAACAAACAAACAAACAAACAAACAAAAAACGCCAGGCATAATGGCTCATGCCTGTAATCCCACCACTCACCACTTTGGACGGGAGCAATGCTTGAGGCCTGGAGTTTGAGGCCAGCTTGGGCAATATAGCAAGACGCTATCTCTAAATTAAAAAAAAAAAAAAATTAAAGATTAAAAAAAGATAAAAGTAAGTAAATAAAATAAATTATTACTCAATGTACTCTTGCTGTTCTTACACTATTTTGAGAATTCATGGACAGTTGATTGAACCAAATGAACTTGGTTGAATTTAATTTTTAAAAAATGATTAGGCTCTTCTCCTCTCTCATTTAGGGGTTAACACACTTTTATGTAATTATATTGGTCAAAATTAAATAATGAGATTCAGAAAATATGATCAAGTATAGAGTTTATTTGAACCTAAATCTTGAGAATGGCCACCGAGGAGCACAGATTCAAGTTGCCCTGAATATACACCCTGATTAGCAGCAGTTACAGGTGGGTTTTTAAAGGAAAAAAGAAGAGGCAGTTCCTAAATTGTTTACCAATAATTTACATTGAAATAACAAGCTATTCATGGGCTGTATGTTGTTTTTTGTGCATGAAGATAATGGGTGAGGCAGCTAGGCAGGAACAAAGTGATTTTATTTTTCTTATTTTTTTAGAGGCAGGGTTTTGCTGTGTCACTCGGGCTGGAGTGCAGTGTTGCAGTCTTGGCTCACTGAAGTCTCAGCTCACTGCAACCTCCACCTCCCGGGCTCAAGCGATCCTCCTGTCTCAGCCTCCTGAGTAGCTGGGACCACAGGTGTGCTTTACCATGCCTGGCTAATTTTTTGTATGTTTTTTGGAGACAAGTTTTCATCATGTTGCCCAGGCCAGTCTCAAACTCCTGGGTTCTAGAGTGATTCTCTACCTTGGCCTCTGAAAATACTAGGATTTTCGTTATTGGGCAGTTAACATTTAGAGGTCTAGATCAGACGTTTATCAGCCCACAGTTATGAGGTAGATGGGTCAGATAGTTTGGCAATCGCAATTCACCCTTAGTTAGAAGCATCTGACTGTCTAACTCATACATCAGTGTTAGTAACTCATAACAATTTAAAGACCTTCTCTTTTCAAACATATGCTCATTTTAACCCAGATATAACAGCATAAAGAGTCTAGCAGTAAAAAGTCTAGGCTGTGAACAGTTGTCACTAACAAGATGGACACATTTGGAAAATCACCGAAACTCTTTGGCTCTCAGTTCCCTATCCATAAAGTGGCAGGGTTAGAGTACATGAGGTCAAAATTTCTTCTAGCTAAAGTATGTTTGGTATCTATGACTCTATAAAGAAAGCCTAGCTATAAGGCATCAAAGGCAAGTGATAAGGTTCTCCCAACCCACCCAAGTGCAAGGCTAAGAATACATGCCCCATGTGATGACCCAGGCTGGGAGGCATGAAGGAGCAGAAGATCAATAGACTTGAATTCAAACTTTACCTAGATGATAAATCAACAGAGACAACTTATTGATGAAAGTCAAGCAATAGAATGTTCTAGAGTGGGGAAACCTTACATAAGGGACCTAAAGTTCAAGCCTCAGCTTAGCCATTGACTAGTAGGATGGCTTTGGACAGGCCACTTAACTCTTCTGAGCCACAGTTTCCCCAATGGGCGTATTACTATCTGGGATTACAGGCAGGAACCATGGTCCAAAGTGACTTTAAACAAGTGCCCCAGGGTAAGGGTGGTATGGATATGTCACTGAAGTCCTCTACTCGAGTCTTCCTGGGCCTGATCACTTTTGCATACACCACAAAGCTTAGACTGCTCAGAGCTAGTTTTCTTCTCACATTATATAGCACTGAGTTCATACATTTGCCCTTAGGTGAAAATAGCTTTGTTTCTTAACACTTTTCTTCCTAGCCAACCTGGTTCCTCCCTCCTCCCCTTTCTACCCCACAAATAACGGAAATTTGACTGTGGCCAAATCTCTTTCCTCGTTGCTGTGCCTCTTTTTTCATAATAACTCACATACATTGGCTAATTCAGCTGCTGAGGCCTGGCCTCTTTGCCTACCCTGTAACTTGTGTCTTGTCTCCTGGTATAAAAGAGAGACTCAGAGATTCTTTTGCTTATCTGAATGTCATTGCATGGTCTGGGGCTTTGAGTAAGTGTGACAAAGATTCAGGTTTAGCAACCTTTTTATTATTCAGACATTTCCATGGAAAGGCGGTACCTCTTTCTCTTGGAAAGACTAGAGAAGTTTCTTAAATTCACACTCAGTGTCTATATCTAAAGAATGGGAAAGTAGGAAGCTGTTTTCTCAAAAGTCTTTTTCTAGCCTTTTTCTTTCCGCTTTTGCTCTATTTTGAGAAGGAAATCTCCTTCTAAATTACAAATGCCTATTCGCATAGAACTTCTGAGCTCTGGCTGTTTTATAATTTATTGAGTATGTTTGTGCACATTTTTTCTTTTTTCTTGATATACAATATTTATACATATTTATGGATTACATATGATATTTTGTTACATGCATAGAATGTGTGAGGATCAAGTCAGGGTACTTAAGGTTTCCATCACTTCCAGTATTTATCATTTCTATGTGGTGGGAACATTTCAAGTCCTCTCTTACAGCTATTTTGAAATATATAATGCAATGTTATTAACTATAGTCACTCTACTCTGCTATTGAATATAAGACTCATTCTTTCTAGGCCAGGCATGATTGATCACGCCTGTAGTCTCAGCACTTTGGGAGACCGAGGTGGGAGAATCACTTGAGCCCAGGAGATCAAGACCAGCCTCAACACAGTGGGACCTTGTCTCAACAAAAAATTTTTAAAAACTTAGCTGTGCATGGTGGCACATGCTTGTAGTCCCAGTTACCTGGGAGGCTGAGGCAGGAGGATAGCTTGAGACTGAGCAGTCGAGGCTGCAGTGAGCCGTGATTATGCAACTGCACTTCAGCCTGGGTAACAGAGTGAGACCTTGGTCTCAAAAAAAAAGAAAAAAAAGAGAACTTTTCCTCCTATCTAACTGTATGTTTGTATATTTGTATCCATTGACCAATCTTTCTTCATCCTCCCAACACACATACCCTTCCCAGCCACTGGTATCTATCATTCTACTCTCTATCTCCACGAGATCAACTTTTTTAGCTTCCACATGTGAGTGAGAACATGTGATATTTGTCTTTCTGTGCCTGGCTTATTTCACTTAACATAATTACCTTCGGTTCCATCCATATTGCTGCAAATGACATGATTTCATTCTTTTTTATGGCCAAATGATATTCCATTGTGTACATATACCACATTTTCTTCATCTATTTGTCCATTGATGGACACTTAGGTTGATTCCATATCTTTGCTATTGTGGATAGTGCTACAATAAACATGCAAGCACAGGTATTCCTTATATATACTGATTTCTTTTCCTTTGGATAAGTACCTAATAGTGGGAATGTGGGAGCATATGGTAGTTCTATTTCTAGTTTTTAAAGAAATCTTCATACTATTTTCCACAGTGGCTATACTAATTTACATTTCCACCAACAGTATATGTGTTCCCTTTTCTCCACCTCCTCACCAGCATCTGTTACTTTTGTTTTTTAAATAATAGCCATTCTAACTGGCATGCGATGATATTTCATTGCAGTTTTTTCCTTCATTTTCATTGTGGTTTTGATTTGCATTTCCCCAATGCAAGTTAGTGATGTTGTGTGTTTTTTAATATATCTATTGGTCATTTGTATGTCTTTTGAGAATGTCTATTCATGTCCTTTGCTCATTTTTAATGAGATTATTTGATTTGTTACTGTTAAGTTGTTTGAGTGAGTTCCTTGTTATTCTGAATATTAGTCCCTTCTTGGATAAATAGTTTGCTGATATTTTCTCCCATTCAACAGGTTGTATCTTCTCTTTTTCTTTTACTTATTTATTTTTTTGAGATGAGGGTCTTGCTATGTTGCCCAGGCTCGTCTTCAACTCCTGGGCTCAAGCAATCCTCTCACCTTGGCCTCCCAAAGTGCTGGGATTACAGGCATGAGCCACCGTGCTCGACCTTCAACAGGTTGTATCTTCACTCTGTTGTTTGTTTTCTTTGCTGTGTGCACATTTTCTTATATTGATACTGTATGGGCCAAGGGGAACTTCTCCTTGGAAGGTTCACTGGAAAATCAACTCACAAAAGGCAGATTAACTGGAGAAAAGGCATACAGATTTTATTAACGTGTACACAAGGAAAGTGATTATCCATTCCCCATTGGGGTTCAGAAGCTCATGTCCCATCCTGGCAAAACATATTATGTGGCAAGATGGGGCACAGAGAAGAGGAGTTCTGTTGAGGGAATTACTAGGGAGAATAAATGTATCTGGGAAGAGAGATCAATATGTAAATAGTTATCTTTGGAACTGGAATGATCTGACAGATAGACATTATCTTTTTATTTTATTTTATTTTATTTTTGTAGAGACAGGGTCTCACTATGTTGCCCAGGCTGGTCTCAAACTCCTGGGCTAAAGTGATCCTCCCATCCTGGCCTCCCAAAATACTGTGACATTATCTTGTGACACGATCTGTTTAGGTGTGGTTATATTCTTGGTTTTACAGGGAGGGGAAGAAAAAAACAATTATTCTTGGTGGGTCTGGATCTTAGGCAGATAAAGGAACTTTAGCTTCATCTTATGCTTTGGGTGAGACAGTGAGGTTGGGAGGTGGGGGAAAATCAGAGAGACCTTGAGGCTTCTTTAGTTCAGTATATCAAAGGACCATATTTTGAGGTATCAGTTTCTGAGCTCCAACAATACAAATACTGAGTTGTCTATATGTGGAGCAGATAGTAATACACCCATTGGGGAAACTGTGGCTCAGAAGAGTTAAGTGGCCTGTCCAAGGCCATTCTACTAGTCAATGGCTAAGCTGAGGCTTGAACTTTAGGTCTCTTATGTAAGGTTTCCCCACTCTAGAGCATTCTGTTGCCTGACCTTCATCAATAAGTTGTCTCTGTTGATTTATCATCTAGGTAAAGTTTGAATTCAAGTCTATTGATCTTCTGCTCCTTCGTGCCTCCCAGCCTGGGTCATCCCATGGGGCATGTATCCTTAGCCTTGCACTTGGGTGGGTTGGGAGAACCTTACTCACTTGCCTTTGATGCCTTATAGTTAGGCTTTCTTTATAGAGTCATAGATACCAAACATACTTTAGCTAGAAGAAATTTTGACTTCATGTACTGTAACCCTTCCACTTTATGGATGGGGAACTGAGAGCCAAAGAGTTTCGGTGGCTTTCCAAATGTGTCCATCTTGTTAGTGATAACTGTTCACAGCCTAGACTTTTTACTGCTAGACTCTTTATGCTGTTATATCTGGGTTAAAATGAGCATATGTTTGAAAAGAGAAGGTCTTTAAATTGTTATGAGTTACTAACACTGATGTATGAGTTAGACAGTCAGATGCTTCCAACTAAGGGTGAACTGGGATTGCCAAACTATCTGACCCATCTACCCCATAACTGTGGGCTGATAAATGCCTGATCTAGACCTCTAAATGTTAGCTGCCCAATAATGAAGCTACGCCATGTGTTTTTGAAGATTGTTTCAGCTTTTCTCATTTCTGTGTCTTTCTCTATAATGAAGTGCTATCCGTTGTACATGAAGATGGTGGATATACTTTATTTATTTATTTCTCTCTCCTAATACTCATTTCTGTTAAGCCCTTGCATGTTGTATGAGATATTAGGGTGGAGGGGCAGTCTGTGACTAAAGAAATGTGTGAGTCATGGTAAATATGTATATATATATTTACACACACACATATATATACATATATACACATATACACACATACATATATACACATATATACATACACATATATATACATACACATATATACATACACACATATATACACAAACGCACTATATATACACATATATACATATACACACATATACACATATATGTATACATGTATACTTGTATACATATGTACGTATATATGTATACTTGTATACATATATATGTGTATATATATGTGTGTGTGTGTATATATATATGTATATATAAAGGGGAATTTATTAAGTATATTAACTCCCACGATCACAAGGTCCCACAATAGGCTGTCTGAAGCTGAGGAGCTAGGAGAGCCAGTTTGAGTCCGAAAACTGAAGAAACTTGGAGTCTGATGTTCAGGGGCAGGAAGCATCCAGCATAGGAGAAAGGTGTAGGCTGGGAGGCTAAGCCAGTCTTGCCTTTTCATATTTGTCTGCCTGCTATATTTGCTGGCAGCTGATTGGATGGTACCCACCGAGATTAAGAGTGGATCTGCCTTCCCCAGCTCACTGACTCAATTGTTAATCTCCTTTGGCAACACCCTCACAGACACACCCAGGATCAATATTTTGCATCCTTCAATCCAATCAAGTTGACACTCAGTATTAATCATCACAAAAAACAACTAAATGAATTGGCTTGTTTGAAGATCCAACTCAAGACTTCAGTTCCAGTAACACCCTGAAGACCATCAGGAAATGAAGTTAATCTAGCGTTGGGAGCCTAAGATGAGAGACAAGGCTAAGCTTCTAAAGTTTCCAGAAGGCAGGAGTAAATTGGGGGTAAAAAATGCTGGGTTTTCCGTTAGATCAATTGTTTTTCGATTCTCTCTGACCAAGATCCCCTTAGCGTTTCCATCAGGCCTGCTTCAAGCTCAGATGAGCATCAAGCTGTTGTAAGGCATTTTGAGGCCCTTCCAATCACACATATTTTTACTGACAGCTTTCTCTGACCTTGTAATGTGCCTATTTTACAACAGAGTGCCTGACTCAGTCTCTATTGCTCTCTTGAGCCTCATTCACTAAGTGACAACTAATCTTAGGCTTGGAGGATAGCTGTGCTGACATTCTACCTGGTGATCTCTCTAGTGATTTAGAAGTCTGCACAGATGGGACAGGGAGAGAGCACTCTTAATTAGCATAGGAGATGTAGGAATTCAAGCAGAACCTGTATAAAATGCTGGAATCCCCAGTTTTATGTGATGAAGGAGAGAATCTCTTCAGTTTTCAAGATTTTTTAATTGAAAGTTTTTAAACACAAAAATCACATAAAACTTGATTCTTGAAACATAGCATCTTCACATATAGACTTAAACTACCAGGTAAGTATTTGTCATTCACTGGTTTTCACCAGAAGATGAATTTGTATCATAAAAAGTTATCAACATGGGCCGGGTACAGTGGTTTATGCCTGTAATCCTGGCAGACTTTGAGACCAGCCTGGGCAACATAGCATGACCCTATCTCTAAAAAAACAGTAAAAAAAAAAAAAAAAACCACTCACACACAAAAAAACAGTTATCAACAGGTCAGATGCTGTGCAAGGAGAGAAGTATAAAAATATCATGATCCCTGATATTTCAGTTGCATTTGTTCTGCATGTGACTTAATAAAAATTATGGCGGAGTTTCATTGGTGAGAATTGCACTTTTTGTTAGCAGTGGCAACAAATCGGTTGTCTGTAGCAACCGATTCTTGCCTCCTCAGAGGAAAGAATTTGGCTGAGGGGCATAAGGGAGAGTGAGAGTGAGAGACTGAGGCAAGTTTTAGAACAGGAGTGAAAGTTTATTAAAAAGTTTCAGAGCAGTAATGAAAGGATGTAAACTTGGAAGAGGGCCAAGGGAGCAGCTTGAGAAAACCAAGTGCCCTATCAGACCTTTGACTGGGGGTCTTCTGCACTGTCATGGTTCTGGGGTTTGTGTCTCTCCTCCCTTGATTTTTTCCTTGGGGTGGGCTGTCCTCACCCACAGTGGCCTTTCAGCACTTGGGAGGGGCTGCATGCATATGTGTTTAGTAGAGCTGTATGAATGCTCATTTGAGGATTTTTGTTGAGTCGAGTGTTCCTCAAGGAAGGTCATATACCAGCTTAAACTCTGCCATTTTGCCTCTTAGTGCACATGCTTGAGCCTACTCTCCAATGCCTGGGATCTTATTGGGAAGCTGCTGATCACCAGCTTCGGGTGTTTTCTATCTATTGGGATACTGCCTTTCCTTGGTACTGACTGCAACAAATTATTATATTATTATTTCTTCCATTTATTGAAGTCATAAAACTGCTCTTTTTTTAAGTTTCTTTCTTTTCTTCCTTCCCCTTTCTTTCTTTTCCTTTCTTTCTTTCGTTCTCTTTCTTTCTCTCTCTCTCTTTCTTTTTCTCTCTCTTTCTTTCTTTCTTTCTTTCTTTCTTTCTTTCTTTCCTTTCTTTCTTTCTCTTTCCTTCCCCTTCCTCCCTTCCTCCCTTCTTCTTCTTCTTTTCTTTTCTTTCTTTCTTTCTCTCTCAAATTCTCAATTATTTATTTATTTTTAGAGTCTCACTCTATCGCCCCAGCTGGAGTGCAGCAGTGTGACCCTCAGCTTACTGCAGCCTCCACTTCCCGGGTTCAAGGAATTCTCCTGCTTCAGTCTCCTGAGTAGCTGGGACTTCAGGCACATGCCACCATACCTGGTTAATTTTTGTATTTTTAGTAGAGACGGGGTTTTGCCACGTTGGCCAGCCTGGTCTCAAACTCCTGATCTCAAGTGATCCACCCGCCTCGGCCTCCTGAATTATTATTTTAGAGAGACTAACAACTGCCTGACTATCACTTGACAGTTGTCTGACATCCCTGGGGTAGGAAGGAGCCCTCTCCTGCCCTGCTCATGTCTGCCTAGCTACCTCCTCCAACATTTTTAAATATGGAAGGAAAGAATTCCTTTGTTAAGGTTTTGCCTTTGACAGTAGGCTGTAGAAAATGCTGTGTCAACCACTAAGCCAGACTATTTTGCCTCTTGAAAGATTGGAAGTAAGGTGTCCTGATAAATTCAAGACAGAATCAGAACTTAGGAAGGCCCAGTTCCACAGCTGAACATACTTGTGAGGGGTGCTGTAAGAGAAAATGCTTGGATTGGTTTTAAATTTGCATATAAGACAACTTCCTTAGGCAGAGCATTAGTTGAAAGAGAGGCTGGCCAGACGTGGAGGTCATGGCTGTAATCCCAGCACTTTGGGAGGTGAGGCGGGTGGATCGCTTGAGCCCAGGACTTAGACCAGCCTGGGCAACATAGTAAGACCTTATCTCTACCGATCATAAAAAAAATTAGCTGGATGTCTGTGTTCTCAGCTACTCGGGGGACCGAGGTGGGAGAATTGCTTGAGTCCAGGAGGTTGAGGCTATATAGTGAGCTATGATTGTGCCACTGCACTCCACCCTGGGTGACAGAGAGAGATCCTGTCTTAAAAAAAAAAAAAAAAAAAAAAAAAAAGAGGCTATAATTGTAGAAGTCCCGTTGCTCCTGCTGGTATTCTGTTAAAAGGAAAGTTGTTTCCCACCCCATTTTCTTTCAGGGGAGTGTACTGAATTGGATCTCTTTTGTCCTATATGTGTTGTTTTTTTAAATTGGATTTTGCATTTGTTGTTGTTGGTCATTGCTGTGCTCTATCCGAGAAGATTATCCTTATAAGGAAGTAATCTGGTGGGTAATAGTGAATTTCAGTTGTTCTAAGCCCACATGTAGTCTTCTCACTTTCTTCTTGCCATGAGACTGAGAGAGTGCTCCTTGGGACGGAGGTAGGTTGTGCTGTATTTTCTCAGATGGCAGCTTCAGGTTAGCTACAAACTAGTAAGAAGTTTGGACAGCACGGAGGCCAGAGTGGGGCTGGGAAGTACTTTGGAGTTTGCTGAAGAAAAACAAAGATTCAAAACAAAGACTCTCCTGATTTGAGCTCAGATGAGCATTTCCTGATGTCAGGTGATCCAGTCTTTTCTAATTTGCTCTCTCACTTTTTGGAAGCATGTGAATTCGCCACTAAGCTAGTGCCGAGCTGTTTGCGAGGAAAATGAGTAGAGAATTGGTGAAAAAAAAAATTTCACTTTCTTTTTTGCATGACGAATCTAGGAATTCATAACAAAACTGTTTTTTTTTTAGTTTTTGGATCTTTCTTTCTTTCTTTCTTTTTCTTTCTCTCTCTCTCTTTCTTTCTTTTTTTTTCTTTTTCTTGCAACAGGGTCTGGCTCTGTCACTCAGGCTGGAGGGCAGTGGCGCGGTCATGGCTCACTGCAGCCTCCTGGGCTCAAGTGATCCTCCCACCTCGGCCTCCTGAGTAGCTGGGACTACAGGCATGTGCCACCACACCTGGCTAATTTTTTTTATTTTTTGTAGAGGCAGAGTCTCACTTTGTTGCCCAGGCTGATCTCAAACTCCTGAGCTCAAGTGATCTTCCTGCTTCAGCCTCCCAAAATGTTGATATTACAAGTGTAAGCCATTGTGCCTGGCTGACATAGCTGTTCTTGTGAATAGTTACCTAAAAATATTACTCTCAGCTGATTAAAAAAAAAATTCTTAGAGACAGGGTCTTGCCATGTTGCCCAAGCAGGTTTCAAACTCCTGGCCTCAAGTGATTCTCCCCCGTCGACCTCCCAAAGGGCTGGGATGACAGACATGAGCCACTGCACGTGGCAGATTTTTAAAATGTAATTTAAAAACTTTTTTTCCTGTGTCCTGGAAACATTAGAGTCTGAACTAACACCTTTTTGACTGCGATTATTTTTTTCTGCCATCTTTTAAGATTTATACTAAGTTGCTTTGAAAAAAGATATAAATTTTTTTCTTGGTATTCATGAATGCACCAGTGATTTGAGTATCACTTCATATGACATTAATCAATCATACAGAATACTTTGAAGTTCAGTAATAGCTGATGATTATTTATTTGGCTGGGTTTCAAAGCAATAACATCGAATGCTTCAATTGCTTAATTTTTCTAAAGTGAGACCGGGAACCTGGAATGATAAAGTAGAATAGGAACCATTGACTTCATCTGGTCTGAGCTCTTACATTTTAGAAACGAGTACACTAGGCCTGAAGAGAGTCTCAAATGAAGTCAAAGGACACACTTGAGGCAGAGAGAGGAGAGAAAGAGGAGAGAGAGAAAGATTAAAAAGTTAAGCAAAAAAAGTTCTCCATTGAAGGATTTCCTTAACATTTTTTTTTTTTTAATTTTCTTTTTAGAAAATAGATTTGGGGTCTTGCTATGTTGCCGAGGCTGGTCTTGAACTCTTGGGCTGAAGTCATCTGCCTGTCTTAGCCTCCCAAACTGCTGGGATTACAGGTGTGAGCCACTATGCCTGGCCTCCATTGAAGAACTTCTTAGGGCTGCTAATACGTTAACAGGTGTTGTAAATCTCCAAGGTGGGGAATATTTTTTATTTAGGAGAAATTTAATAAGCAGTATTTCCCAGTTGATTGGCCAAGGATCCCTTTTTTGACAGAGCACTGGGCAAGCCTAGTGTTCATCAGCCACGCTTTAGAATTTGTTCTAATTTAGTTTGACTTGTTCTTTAACCAAAATGTGTATTTTTTTCAACTTTTAAGTTCAGGGGTGCACGTACAGGATGTGCAGGTTTGTTACATAGGTAAATGTGTACCATGGTGGTTTGCTGCACAGATCAACCCATCACATAAGTATTCAGCCCAGCATCCATTAGCTAGTCTTCCTGATGCTCCCCCTCCCCCAACCACCCTCCTCTGACAGGCCCCAGTGTGTGTTGTTAGCCCCCATGTGTCCATGTGTTCTCATCATTCAGCTCTCACTGAGAACATGTTGTATTTGGTTGTCTCTTTCTGCATTAGTTTGCTGAGGATAACAGCTTCCAACTCCATCCATATCCCTACAAAGGACGTGATCTCCTTCCTTCTTATGGGTGCCTAGTATTCCATGGTGTATATGGACCACATTTTCTTTATCCAGTCTATCATTGATGGGCATTTAGGTTGATTCCATGTGTTTGCTACTGTGAATAGTGCTGCAATGAACATATGTGTGCATGTATCTTTATAATAGAATGATTTCTATTCCTTTGGGTACATACCCAGTAATGGGATTGCTGGGTCAAATGGTATTTCTGCCTCTAGGTCTTTGAGGCATTGCTACACTGTTTTCCACAATGGTTGAACTAATTTACATTCCCACCAACAGTGTAAAAGTGTTCCTTTTTCTCAGCAACTTCACCAATATGTGTTGTTTTTTTGCCTTTTTATTAATGGCCATTCTGACTGGCGTGAGATGGTATCTCATTGTGGTTTTGATTTGCATGTCTCTAATAATCTGTGATTTTGAGCTTTTTTTCCCCATATGTTTTTTGGCCACATGTACATCTTCTTTTGAGAAGTGTTTATTCATGTTCTTTGTCTACTTTTTAATGGGCTTGTTTGTTTTTTTCTTGTAAATTTGTTTAAGTTCCTTGTAGACTCTGGATATTAGACCTTTGTCAGATGGATAGATTGCAGAAATTTTCTCTCATTCTGTAGATTTTCTATTCACTCTGATGATAGTTTCTTTTGGTGTGCAGAAGCTCTTTAGTTTAGTCAGATCCCACTAGTCAATTTTTGCTTTTGTTGCAATTACTTTTGGCATTTCCGTCATGAAATCTTTGCCTGTGACTATGTCCTGAATGGTATTGCCTAGATTTTCTTCTAGGGTTTTTATGGTTTTGGGTTTTACATTTAAGTCTTCAATCTATATTAAGTTAATTTTTGTATAAGGTGTAAGGAAGAGGTCCAGTTTCAGTCTTCTGCATATGGCTAGCCAGTTATTTCAGCACCATTTATTGAATAGGGAATTCTTTCTCCATTGCTTGTTTTTGTCAGGTTTGTCGAAGATCAGATGGATGTAGGTGTGTGGTCTTATTTCTGAGATCTCTTTTCTCTTCCATTGGTCTATGTGTCTGTTCTTGTACCAGTACCATGACATTTTGGTTACTGTAGCCTTGTAGTATAGTTTGAAGTTGGGTAACATAATGTCTCCAGCTTTGTTCTTTTTGCTTAGGATTGTCTTGGCTATTTGGGCTCTTTTTTGGTTCCATGTGAATTTTAAAATAGTTTTTTCTAATTCTGTGAAGAATGTCAATGGTAGTTTAATGAGAATAGCATTGAATCCATAAGTTACTTTGAGCAATATGGCCATTCTCATGATATTAATTCTTCCGATTCAAGAGCATGGAATGTTTTTCCATTTTTTTGTGTCCTCTCTGATTTCTTTGAGCAGTGGTTTTAGGCCTCCTTGAAGAGGTCCTTTTCTTCCATCCTTAGCTATATTCCTAGATATTTTATTCTTTTTGTAGCAATTGTGAATGGGAATTCATTCATGATTTGGCTATTTGCCTGTTGTTGATGTATAGGAATGCTAGTGATTTTTGCACATTGATTTTGTATCCTGTGACTTTGCTGAAGTTGCTTATCAGCTTAAGAAGGTTTTGGGCTGAGGTGATGGGGTTTTCTAGATAGAGGATTATGTCATCTGCCAAAATGTGTATTTTTACTATGTGAAACAATGTTAACAGCTTTTTTCTTTTCTTTTTTTTTTTTTTTGAGACAAGGTCTGGCTCTATCACTCAGGCTGGAATGCAGTGGTGCAATCTTGGCTCACTGCAGCCTCTGCCTCCTGGGCTCAAGCCTCCCACCTCAGCCTCCCAAGTAGCTGGGACCACAGGCACACACCACCATACCTGGCTAATATTTGTATTTTTTGTAGAGATGGGGTTTTGCCATGTTGTCCAGGCTGGTCTTGAACTCCAGAGCTCAAGGGATCCACCTGCCTCGGCCTCCCAAAATGCTGGGATTACAAGCGTGAGCCACTGTGCCCAGCCAAGAATGAAATTCTTAAATAATGTGGCTATGCATGGAGGCTTGAACAACAAACCTCTTCTCATTTCTTCTCACTTGTCAAGGCCTGTTCAAATTATGATGGCAATTATTGTGTCTGTTCTAAAGAATGTGTTTCTAGAGTAGTGATTTTATATAAAACTAAATATATTCACCGTCAAAAAGCACACCCCAAAAAAGCACACTCAAAGAAAGCATTAATTAAGTTGCAGTCAAAATTACTAGACTGACCAGGATTAAAGATTTTTATTATTCTCCTCCCAGGAGCATGTTAGAGCTGTGAGGACAGAGTTTCATGTTGGTCACCCCCACCTCTATTCCCAGCCCTTAAGTAGTGATTGGCAGAAAGTAGATGCTCAGGCAGTAAATATTTGTGGAATAAAGTAATTCAGATTATTTTATTACCCAGTTATTTTTTAATTGGAAAGACAGTACAGATATACATTTAAACATTAAAAATTACATGGTGGGAAGTGATGTCTACTCTTACTTAAGACTTTGGGCTCCCACTCTTAGTTCTCTTCCCCAGAAGCAATCACTAACCAGTTTATACAATGTAGTTCTAAAAATGTCCTATGCATATTTAAGTACATATACAGATATGTACATATACTTATCTATGTGTATCTATGGATATGCATATATATTAATATATAGTTTTTATACACTAGTGGAGGCATAGTTTACAGACTGTTCTATGTTTTGATTTTTTTCACTTAATAGCCATCTTATGAATATGTTTTGAGAATTTCCATCTAATAAATGAAAAATTTTATCTCATTGATAATTTACTGTTTTAAAATGATTGAGGTGGACTATCTTTCCTGTATTCATAAGCCATTTGTGTTTCCTTTCTATGAACTGCCTCTTTAAGCTTTGTGCCTGTTTTTCTATTGGTTTAATGGTCTTTTATAATTGATTTGTAAGAGGTCTTTATACATGAAAGACATGAACTCATTGTCATATGCGTTGAAATATTTTTCCCAGTTGATCATTTGTCTTTTGACTTTGTATGGTACTTTTTTTTCCATGCTGGAAAAAAACCCTCAAACGTATTTTATGTAGTCACATTTGCTAATCTTTTTGGAATTCGGGTTTTGTGTATTTTTTTGTTTGTTTCGAGACAGAATCTCTCTCTGTCACCCAGGCTGGAGTACAGTAGCGCGATCTCAGCTCACTGCAACTTCCGCTTCCTGGGTTCAAGCGATTCTCCTGCCTCAGTCTCCCAAGTAGTTGGGATTACAGGCACCTGCCACCATGACCAGCTAATTTTTGTATTTTTAGTAAAGACAGGGTTTCACCATGTTGGCCAGGCTGGTCTCAAACTCCTGACCTCAGGTGATCTGCCCGCCTTGGCCTCCCAAAATATTGGGATTACAGGTGTGAGCCACTGCACCTGGTCTTGTATATTGTGTAGAAAAGCCTTCTCAGATCCAAAAAGGAATAAATTATCCTACACTTATCTGGAATAGTTTTATGATTTTCTTTTTATTATTTATGTATTTATTTTATTATTATTTTTCAAATAGAGATGGGGTCTTGCCATCTTGCCCAGGCTGGTCTCAAACTCATGAACTCAAGTGTTCCTCCCAACTTGGGCACCCAAAGTGCTAGGATTACAGGCATGAGCCACTGTAACTGGCCATGATTTTATTTTATATATCCAAATATTTGATTCACTTGCAATTTATTTTGATAAAATGTAGCTTTATTAGATGTGTTCCAGATGGCTAGCCAGTTGGATAAGCCACATGCCTCTGCTGGTTTGAAATGTTGTCTGTTTCACATTCTGACTTTCAGTGTATTTATGCATTTATTTTAAAAAATTAACTTTGTTATGAAAAATTTCAAACTTATCAAAGTAGACAAAATAATAAAATGAAGTCCCACTGTACCCATCACTTAGCTTCAAAACTTTCAATGTGATCAGTCTTGTTTCTTCTGTACCTTCCCTCTGTGTATATATGTATTTTTAAGATGGAGTTTTGCTTTTGTCATCCAGGCTGGAGTGCAATGGCACGACCTTGGCTCACTGCAACCTCTGCCTCCTGGATTCAAACGATTCTCTTGCCTCAGCCTCCCGAGCAGTTGGGATTACAGGCGTCTGCCACCATGCCCTGCTAATTTTTGTATTTTTAGTAGAGACAGGGTTTCACCATGTTGGTCAGGCTGGTCTTGAACTCCTGACCTCAGGTGATCTGCCCACCTCGGCCTCCCAAAGTGTTGGGATTACAGGTGTGAGCCACTGCACCCAGGCTCTGCATATTATTTTGAAGGAATCAGACATCATGTCATTTTGAGATATTTCTGCATGTATCTGTTTTAGTTTGGGTTACTCCAGAAGCAGACCCTGAGACAAAGATAGTAATGCAAATATTTATGTGTAAATATCAAATAAATGTTTATTTGTAAATACCAAATAAATGTTTATTTCTAAATACTAAATAAACGTTTATTTGTAAATACCAAAGAAATGTTTGGCAGAATGAGAGAGGGAAGGGAAACAAATCAATAGGGGGAACATCAAAAAGCTTGTCACCACCAACTTTAGCTTAATCCTGCTGCAGAATTCCTGGAGGCCATGGAGAATATATGTTCCCTGTCCCCAAGGAGCAAGGGAACTGGAATATGTATTTATCAACCCCCAACAGTGATTGGTTGAGGGGCGCTAGGGGCAAGAATGGAGGGGACAGCTGTGTGGATTCCTCAGCACTTCTAGTCCCTCGTGCACGTGGAGATCTGGGGCTAGTGAAGGCCTCAGGCAAAGGGACTCAGATGCTGGGAGTTGGAAACTGGGCAGGGTATCTAAGGCAATGGTTCAGAACCAAGGGCATGGGATGCAGAGCTGACAACACCTGCTGGAATCTCTTGTTTAAAAGCACTTGTCACATCGAAAAAGATTAATGAAATTCTCCAATAATATTTAATAATGTTCAAATTCCTCTAACTGTTTCATATATTTGTTTTGTTTTTGTTGTGTATTTGTTTGAATGAGATTTCAAGTATAGTTCATGTATTACAATTTCTACATTTAAAAATTGCGTTTAAAGTATAGGTTCCTCATTTCTTTCGAGATAATTTTTTTTTTTTTGAGACAAAGTCTCATTCTCTCCTCCAGGCTAGAGTGCAGTGGTGTAATCTCGGCTCACTGCAACCTCCACCTCCCCGGCTCAAGTGATTCTCATGCCTCAGCCTCCTGAGTAGCTGGAATTACAGACATGCACCACCATGCCCAGCTAATTTTTGTATTTTTAGTAGAGAGGGAGTTTCACCATGTTGGCCAGGCTGGTCTTGAACTCCTGGCCTCATTGATCTGCCTCCCTCGGCCTCCCAAAGTGCTGGGATTACGGCTGTGAGCCAACACGCCTGGCCAACATTTTCTTTAGGAGGCAGTTTTACCTCTTCTTTTCCAGGTCTTTAAGTCTTTTATTTTTTCTTATTTTATTACATTGGTTAATGCTGCCAGTACGATGATAGCAGAAGTATGTGATAGCACATCATTTGCATTGTTCCCAAACATAGGGGTGTGTGTGTGTGTGTGTGTGTGTGTGTGTTTAAAATTTTTAAACTTTTTGTAGAGGCAGGGCCTCACCATTTTGCCCAGGCTGGTCTTCAGCTCCTGGCCTGAAGTGATTCTCCTGCCTCAGCCTCCCAAAATGCTGGGATTACAGGTGTGAGACACCTTGCCCAGCCTGTAGGTGGCCTTTTCATCAGATGAAGTTCCCTTCTATTTCTTGCATGCCTGAAGGTTTTTTGTTTTTTGTTTAGTTTTTAATCGTAAATGTTTTCGAAGTTTGGTGTATGCACTTTTGGCATCTATTAAGGTAATCATGTGGTTTTCCCCTTTATTATTTTAATATGATGATATATATTGATTGAATTTCAAATGTTAAGCTTGGGTAACCACACAGTCATTGTCTTTTTTATTTATTGTTGAGTTCAATTTGCAAATATTTTGGTAACAGCTTTTGCATCCATGTTCATGAGAGATCCTGGTCTACAATTTTCTTTTCTTAAAATGTTCAGGTTAGGTTTTGGTATCGGGGTTCCATTGTCCTCATGAAAAGACTTGAGAATTATCTCCTCCTCTACCTTCTAAAAGCTTTTGTAAGGTTCCTTGGTTTTTTTTTTTTTTTTTTTTTTTTTTTTAGAAAGAGTCTCTCTCTGTCACCCAGGCTGAAATGCAATGGTGCGATCTTGGCTCACTGCAGCGTCTGCCTCCCAGGTTCAAGCAATTCTCCTGCCTCAGCCTCCCAAGTAGCTGGAACTACAGGCTCGTGCCACCACACCCGGCTAACTTTTTTGTATTTTTAGTAAAGATGGGGTTTCACCATTTTGGCCAGGCTAGTCTTGAACCCCTGACCTCAGGTGATCTGCCTGCCTCTGACTCCCAAAGTGCTGGGATTACAGATGTGAGCCACAACGCCTGACCTGGGTCTTTTGGATGCTTTTTATATTTTACTTCTTCAAAGGTTGAGAAGGAAATTTATAAATATACGTATCACCCTCTTTCCTGAAATGTTTATCTAGTATATAAGTTCATGAGTAAAAACTATTTTGCATCATCTGTAGGTTTTATTTATACAAATATTATAGTTACTTACCTTCTAAAATTAGCATAGATATTTGAAGCATCAGAATTACTATTCAAAGGTAATATTGTTCAAAGGTAACATTTATTCATGTATATACATATAGGCTGGGCATGGTGGCTAACCCCTGTAATCCCAGCACTTTGGGAGGTTGAGATGGGAGGATTGCTTGAGCCCAGAAGTTCGAAACTAGCCTGGGCAACACAGAGAAACCCCGTCGCTACAAAAAATACAAAAATTAGCCTGGTGTGGTGGTGCGCGCCTATAATCCCAGCTAGTCAGGAGGCTGAGGTGGGAGGATTGCTTGAGCCCAGGAGGTCAAGGCTAGTGAGCCATAATTGTACCACTGTGCTCCAGCCTGGGCAACAGAGCAAGATCCTGTCGCAACAACAACAAAAAAGAATTCATGAATATACATATACATATATACACATGTATATGTGTGAGTGTCTCTCTATATATGTCTATAGATAAAATTATATACACAATTTTTTAAAGGTGAGGTCTTGCTATGTTGCCCAGGCTGATCTAGAGCCCCTGGGCTCAAGCGATCCTCCCACATTAGTCTCCCAAGTAGCTGGAATCACAGGCTCGTACCACAGTGCCCGGCCATGTATATACAGTTTTGTTTGGGAAATTTAATATACTTCATTCACGCACAATTGGTACGTTCAATCCTTCCTATCCTAGGAAGTGGTTCTCTGGATACACAGTGTGACAGCCAGCTTTAAACAGCTTTTCTTATTATTCCATAAACCAAAATGTCTAAAAATTGACTACCACCCTTTTTAATCAGTGACAGGAATTAAGAATATTAAGGTTTATTTAAATTCTCAGATGCACTAAAATCGGTATTAGAGCCAGTTTTTCTAGGCTTCTTGAAAACAAAGCTTTTCCTCAGGGCGGTTGAGGCCAGTTGCACTCATTGAGTCTCATCTCTTTTTATTTTCTCCAATCTCTTTTTCTCTAGAGTGAAATGAGCTGTGAAGTAGCCAAAAGATGAGCAGGAAAGAGAAAAGAAAAAGGCAAGGTTTTGAATTAGATACAAATTGGAAAAATAAGTCTTGAAATAGTTGAAAATGATTATTCCTTTTATTTTTGCTTCCTTGGTAGTTATGAACTACATGGTTAGCGTCTAGGATTTATAATTCAGGAGTTTTGGGGTTTTGTTTTCATTCTTTTTCACTTTTTTTATTACTTAGATGATAACTTTTGAATAAAAATGAGGAAACAGTTTTGCAGATTGAAACTGAAAACAACAGAATAAAAGTTAGACAATAGCAATTTATTCTAAATTAGTGCTCGGAAGGGAATATTCTCATAATTTAGGTTTTATATCTTTGGAAAAAATGCTCGTGTCTAAAATATGATTGGCCTCCTTAACTAGATGGCGGAGAGTTAGAACAGATATTTATGTTGTGATTTAAAATTTTGGGGATACAGCGATGATTAAGAGACCTCTTGAAAGCCAAGAATTTTCTCTCTTTCCAAAAGAAAAGCCCATGCCTGAGCCGTGTATTGGGAGCGTGGAACAGACTTCAGGCTTGTTTATATGGGCAGGGAGTGCATTCAAACACGATCTTGCTAATCTTGAAGTATCACACCCGGAGCCACTTGCTGCTTTTGAAGGCTTTTTAAATTTAAATAAGATGTTTCCCCGCTTCGCGTCTCAATTTAATTTTGTGCTTCTCACACACTGATAAAAATAAGACATGACACATGCTTTGGTTAGGCTTGGAAAGCAATGATTGATAGCAAGAGAGAAACCTGAACCAGAGAAAGGGAATTAAAAAGGGCCTGGGGGCGGGGGATCATCTTCTGTTTTCTTTATGTGGAAAACATCTTAGGAGTAGAAACAATTTTTTGAACAAATATATTTAAAAAATGTTTAGTAGGCACATTTTTCTGCCATGTTATAATGAGAAACAGATGTAGATGCTGTTAAATCATGTCAAATATGAACTGCCTGTGTACCCCATGTATATGTGTAAATATTTAACTAGAAAAACAGTCACATGAGAACTATTCTGGAGTGATCTTGGAAGCAGGAAGCCACAAATTATAGGTCTGAAATTTACCATGCATGGCTTATGAGTCCAGATAAGTAAAACCAAATGAAAAGACTCTGAAAATTTTATAAACAGTTCATGTTTTTGGGTAAGGGGAGGGAAGGGAAAAGAGCAGAATGAATTTTAATATACTTCATTCACGCACAATTGGTATGTTCAATTATAACCAGAGTACTAAGAATAATATGACAAGAATTTAGTTATACATTTAAATCTAAGATATTAGTTATCACCCTGCTGCATAGAAAAAATTACTATGGAATCATAGCTTATCTTCAATTAGGTTCTAAAGTCAGCACATAAAGCAAAAATTACAAACATTCACATTTATCCTTGAAAGTTCCCCTTGTTGACATCATGTTTGAGACAGACACACATAGGTTGGCTAACGTGGCCAGTGCTGAAACAGATCATATCTTCTGAAGGTTCCAGATGATGAAATTAGCTTTTGTGTATGGATGGAATGAGGGAAAAAATAATTATTGACATTGGGTGCATGTTGTATAGAAAATATGTATTGTTTTCTTCTTCTTCTTTTTTTTTTTTTTTTTTTTGAGACAGGGTCTCACTCTGTCAGCCAGGCTGGAGCGCAGTGGTGTGATCTCGGCTCACTGCAGCCTCTCCTGGGCTCAAGCAATCTACCCACCTTGGCCTCCCAAAGTGCTGAGACTAGAGGCGTGAGCCACCACACCCGGCCAAGAAAATACATATTGTTAAAACCAGAAGCACATCGTGATTCTAGTAAGGTGGAAATGAAAGCAGATTTGTGCCTTCCATCTCGGTCCCAATCTGGGGCTTATCCTTCTGAAGGGCAAGAGTGGAATGAATCCTACCCTACATTATTCCTTCATTTGTTTTCAAGTTAAATTTTAATTCCCTGGAAATAATATTCTCAAATTACCTTCTGTGACCTAAATTATTTTATTGGGTCTTGGTCTTCATGTAGTGAAAGGCACAGGTCATTAGTGCTGCAGCTCCATGAGTTTTGACAAATGTGTATGTTCATGGAACTCAAACTATTACCAAAAACCAGAATTTTTCCCGTCTTGCTCCATTAAGGTCAATCCCCCCACCCTCTACTCTCACCAGGGCAACCACTGTTCAGATTTCTTTCTCCAAAGGTTAGTCTTGCCTGTTCCAGAACTTCATAGCAAAGTTGTCATGTGGCTTGTACTTTTACATATCTGACTTCTTTTGTTCAGCATAATGTGTGTGAGATTAATCTATGCTCTTGGGTAAATTATCAGTAGTATTTTGTTTCTGTTTATTACTATATATTCTGTCTTATGAACATATTACAATTTGTTTATCTGTTCCTATTGATGGACAGTTGGGTTGTTTCCAACCTGAATTATAAGCAAACTAGCTATGAATATTCATAGACAAATCTTTGCGTGGATACATGTTTTTCTTTCTCTTCAGTAAATACTAAAGGGCAGACCTGGTGGTCACAGAACATATTATGTTTATAAGAAAGCACCAAACATTTAAAAAAAAACCGGTTGTAGCTTTTTACATTCTCATCTTTGTATGAGACCAACATCTTTCTGACTTTTCCCATTATAGTGGGTGTGTAGTGGTATCTCATTGTGGTTTTATGGCATTTTCCTAATGATTCACTATGTTGAGCACTGTTTTATGTATTTTTTGGCCATTTTTACATTTTTTTGTTAAGTGTCTGAGTCATTTGCTTTTTTTTTTTTTTTTTTTTTTTTTT
Source organism: Homo sapiens (assembly GCF_000001405.40). Taxonomy (NCBI): domain Eukaryota; kingdom Metazoa; phylum Chordata; class Mammalia; order Primates; family Hominidae; genus Homo; species Homo sapiens. Next base: position 154,317,549 of record NC_000006.12, on the reverse strand, counting down.
TGAGATGGAGTCTCTCACTGTCGCCCAGGTTGGAGTGCAGTGGTGCAATCTTGGCTCACTGCAACCTCTGCCTCCCAGGTTCAAATGATTCTTCTGCCTTAGCCTCCTGAGTAGCTGGGATTACAGGAGCCTGCCACCATGCCCAGCTAATTTTTTGTATTTTTAGTAGAGACGGGGTTTCACTGTGTTGGCCAGGCTGGTCTCGAACTCCTGACCTCGTGATCCACCCACCTCGGCCTCCCAAAGTGCTGGGATTACAAGCGTGAGCCATTGTGCCTGGCCCATTTGCTCATTTTTAATTGGTCTACTTGTCATTTTATTATCGAGTTGGAGGAATTCTTTATGTATTCTAGGTACAGATTCTTTGACAAACACATGTTTGATGAATATTTTCTCCCAGCTTGTGGCTTGCTTATTCTATTAACATCACTTGTGATTAGAATTTTTTTCTTTTATGTTTATTGCTTTCCGTATCCTGAGTAAGAAATCTTTGCCTACCCCAAGATCACAAAAATATTACTTTATATTTTCTTCTGGAAGCTTTATAGTTTCAGCTGTCAAGTTTAGGTCTATGAGGTAGGAATTGAAGTTAATTTTTTTTCATATGGCTATCCAGTTTTTCCAGCAGTATTATTATTATTCCAATTAACTAATTAATTTTAATTGAGAAAATTGTATCTACTTACTAGGTACATGTTGTTTTAAAATACGTATATATTGTGGAATGGCTAAATTGAACTAAATAACATGTCTAATCTTACATACTCATTTTTTGTTGTGAGAACACTTAAAATTTACACTTTTAGTGATTTTCAGGAATACAATACATCGTTATTAACTGTACTTACCATGCTGTACAATAGCTCTCTTGAGTTTATTTCTCCTGTTTCATTGAACTTTTATATAGTTTGACCAACATCTCCTCTTCCCCTAACCCTTGGTAACTAACCACCATCCTATTCTTTGCATCTATGACTTCAATCTCTTTAGAATCCACATGTAAGTGAGAGTATGCAGTATTGGTTTTTCTGTGTCTGGCTTATTTCATGTAACATAATGTTCTCCAGGTTTATTCATGTTGTTGCAAATGACAGAATTTCCTTCTTTTTTTAAATACAGAATAGTATACCTTGTGTATCTAGGCATAACTCAGAGATATTGCAGGTTTGGTTCCGGACCACAGCAATAAAGTAAGTATCACAATAAAGTGAGTCACCTTAATTTTTTTGGTTTCCCAGTGCATATAAAAGTGATGCTGTGCTGTAGTTTATTAAGTGTACAATAGCATACATCTAAAAAAATGTGCTTCCCTATGAGTGAAGGAGAGGGCCAATAATGGCAACCCAATTTTACAGTGTTACCTAAAGTGAGGGTTAAGAATTTGCACATGTTGGCTGGGAGCAGTGGCTCTTGCCTATAATTCCACCACTTTGGGAGGCTGAGGCAGGCAGATTGCTTGAGGCCAGGAGTTCAAGACTAGCCTGGCCAACATGGTGAAACTGTCTCTACTGAAAATACCAAAATTAGCCAGGCCTGGTGGTTCATGCCTGTACTCGCAGCTACTTGGGAGGCTGAGGCACAAGAATAACTTGAACCTGGGAGGCGGAGATTGCAGTGAGCTGAGATTGCAGTGAGCTGAGATTGCAGTGAGCTGAGATTGGGCCACTGCACTCCAGCCTGGGTGACAGAGTGAGACTGTCCACCACCGCTCCCCCCCAAAAAAAATTGCACATTTTAATTTTGATTCTAGATTTCTGTACTTAGATTTTCATCAATTTCCCATCAATATTTAAAACTTCAAATTTGACTCTGTTTTCCCTATTTGAAGACAGATGGGGGATTGGTATCTCAGGGCCAAATACAGGGATGCTAGTGTGACTATCAGCTCCCAAGCTTGGTATAGATCCACAGGACTAAGATAAAATCCGGGACTTAGTTGTCATTAATGGTGGATACTGGCCCATTCCCATCTGTGATCGTTACCACAAAGGAAATTGACTTAGAGCCTCTGACTCTGGTTCTTGCCTTATGCCTTATAACTATGTTCAAAATAAGGATCTTGACACTGAACTCCATACTGGGGATCTGGGCTACTTGTAACTCAGCTTATTTATGTCAATGAAACAGCTGTTATTAGAGAAAGCTGTTCAGTTTCTAAGGGCTCCCACTCTTTGCCTTCACGGACCCTGTTTTTCCCTGTAGAAATGTCATGTTCATAGAAATGCTCTGGCCCTACAAATATTTACTGAGCACCAAGATGATTAAGTGCTTAGGTACATGAGTGAGCAAAAATATTCACTGTCCATGTTCTCCCAGGACTTTTAGTCTAATGGAGAGACAGATGTTAATCAAGTAATCACACTAGTGGGCTAGGCATGGTGGCTCACGCCTATAATCCCAGCACTTTGGGAAGCCAAGGCGGGCAGATCATTTGAGGTCAGGAGTTCGAGATTAGCCTGGCCAACATGGTGAAATCCTGTCTCTACTAAAAATACAAAAAAGTTAGCTGGTCGTGGTAGCACATGCCTGTAATCTCAGCTACTCGGGAGGCTAAGGCAGGAGAATCGCTTGAACCTGGGAGGCGGAGGTTGCAGTGAGCTGAGATTGTGTCACTGCATTCCAGCCTGGGTGACAGAGACACTGTCTCAAAAAAAAAAAAAAAAAAGTAATCACACTAGTGAAGCCATCTTTACAAAGTAGATGGGGCCCTGAAGGGAAAGGAACCTCTTTCTATGAGTGCTTATCCCTGAGATTTTTAGGGATAAAAAACATTTTCAAAAACTTGTTCTTTTGTGGTTTTTATCTTATCTCAATTTTGTCTTTTACAAAACTAAGAGCTATTTAGAGTGTTCGGTTTTTCATGTGAAAACTTGAGATCAATTGGGGAGATGATCAATAGATACGAGAATTCAATTAGAAACAGTAATTAATACTGTTCTGAGTTTTCTTTTCATGTTAGATGAGGCAAAGGAATTCTTAGGATACTAAGGTAGAAAGAGAAACACAAGAGGAAGGGCAAGTTTTAAAAAGTAAGAAGAAAACAAAAGTTTCCTAGGTAGATAGACCTGATTTTCACTAGTTTTTTCTTAGTATCTTTGTTGGTAATATAAACATAGGTATGTTTGCATTTTTTTCTATTTTTAATTATGGGCTCAAATTTCTATACAAATGATTATGTCATTAATCTTTCCAATATGCTTGGCCTTCTTTTGCAAGAGTTACTGGGCACAGAGCCATAGTGGCCAATTTGATTCTTCTATTGGCATTTATATTGGGCATTTCCCCCGAATCTGTTCTCAGTTTCTTATCTAAGATGAGCTGATAATCCTCCAAAGACTTGTTTTTTGTGATCAAAATGAAATGAGATTAAAAGCACTCTATAATTATAAATGTACAAAAATGTAAGTGGTATGATTATTAGCCAAGACCTGTGTTAACTCCCTTTTTGATGCCAGAGAAAGCACCAAGGTAAATGGCAGAGGCAAAAACAGAACCAGAAGATGTCTGGGCATGGTGGCTCACACCTGTAATCCCAGCATTTTGGGGGGCCAAGATGGGAAGATTGCTTGAGGCCAGGAGTTTGAGACCAGCCTGGCCAACACAGTGGGATCCCATTTGTACAAGAAATTAAAAAAAAAATTAGCCAGGTGTGGTGGCACACACCTGTAGTCTCAGCTACTTGGGAGGCTGAGAAGGGAGGATTGCCTGAGTCCTGTAGTTTGAGGCTGCAGTGAGCTGAGATCATGCCACTGCACTCCAGCCTGGGTGACAGAGCGAGACCCTGTCTCAAAAAAACAAAAAACAAAACAAAAAAAAGAACCAGAAGATGAATTTCTGGCTTCTTGGTGTTTTACATCTCTTTTATATTAAAGCATACATACAATTCTACACCATTTTGGAATTTACTTGCCTATATAACCGTACAGTAAAGCCTTAATAACTAGAACAGTGATTGAGTTGAAGAGATTAGGCTTAACCAAAACATCTTTCTTTAATAAAGTCATTAGTATAGAAAAGTAGTAAAGAAAAAGGTTTCCAATATCCAGTAGGATAGACTTTTGTAGTCTCTTAAAACATTTTGTTTTACTGTTAAATTGAAATACAACCTATCTATTGTTTAAACTCTCTAAGAAATCTGTGTGACATTAATTTTTTTTCTTTTTCTTTTTTTTTTTGAGACAGAATCTTGCTCTCTTGCTCAAGATGGAGTGGAGTGGCGCGATCTCAGCTCACTGCAACCTCCACCTCCTAGGTTCAAGTGATTCTTCTGCCTCAGCCTCCTGAGTAGCTAAGATTACAGGCACCCACCACTACTACGCTTGGCTAATTTTTGTATTTTTAGAAGAGATGGGGTTTTACCATGTTGGCCAGGCTTGTCTCAAACTCCTGACCTCGGGTGATCTGCCCTCCACAGTCTCCCAAAATGCTGGGATTACAGGCGTGAGCCACTGTGCCCGGCCATGTTTTTTTTTTTTTTTTTTTGAGACAGGGCCTCACAGCCTGCAGTGCAGTGGGGTTGATTTCGGCTCACTGCAACCTTCCCTTCCTGGGCTCAAGTGATCTTCCCACCTTACCCTCCGAAAGTGTTAGGTGTGAGCCACTGTGCCCTGCCCAAGAAAAAGTTCTAAAAAATTTTTTATTTATTCATCTTAAATTGACAAATAAAATTGTACATATTTATGGTTTACAATATGGTGTTTTGAAATATGTGTACATTGTTGCATAGCGAAATCAAGCTCATTAACATATGTGTTACCTCACATAGTTTTTTTGATCATGAGAATACTCAAAATCTCTCTTGGAAATTTTCAAGTATACAATTCACTGTTATTAACTGTGGTCACCATGTTGTACAAGAGCTCTCTTGAACTTATTCCTCCTGTCCAAATAAAAGTTTTGATTCTGGCCAGGTGCGGTGGCTCACACCTGTAATCCCAGCACTTTGGGAGGCTGAGGCGGGCGGATCATGAGGTCAGGAGTTCGAGACCAGCCTGGCCAACATGGTGAAACCCCGTCTCTACTAAAAACACAAAAAATTAGCCGGGTGTGGTGGTGCGTGCCTGTAGTCCCAGTTACTCAGGAGGCTGAGGTAGAAGAATCACTTGAACCCAGGAGGTGGAGGTTACAGTGAGCCGAGATCGTGACACTGCACTCCAGCCCTGGCGACAGAGCAAGACTTTGTCTCAAAAAAAAAAGTTTTGATTCTTTGACCAACTTCTCTCCAATCCTTCCCTCTACACCAGCCCCTGACAACCACCATTATACTCCCTGTTTCTCTAGGTTTGACTTTCTTAGGTTCCACATATAAATGAGATCATACAGTACTTATCTTTTTGTGACTGGCTTATTTCATGTAACAAAATGTCCTCCAGGTTCATCTGTGTTATTGCAAATAACAGGATTGCCTTCTTTTTAAAAGTGTTTTTAAGTGTATTCTATTGTGCATATAGATCACATTTTCTTTATCTGTTCATCTGTCGATGGACAAAGATTGATTGCATATCTTGGCTATTGTGAATAGTGCTGCTATGAATGTGGGGGTATAGACATCTCTTTAATATACTGATTTCATTTCTTTTGGGTAAATATCCAGGATTTATCCAAAAGATAAAGAGATTGCTGGCCCATATCGTAGTTGTATTTTTAATTTTTTGAGAAACTTCCATACTGTTTTCCATATTGGCTGTACTAATTTTCCTTCCCATTGACTGACTACACACAAGAGTTCCCTTTTCTACGCATCTTCACCAACACTTGTTATCTTTCATCTTTTTTTGAAAATAGCCATTCTAACAGGGGTGAGGCGATCTCTCACTACAGTTTTAATTTGTATTTTTGTAATGATTAGTGATATTGAAAATTTTTTTCATACACTTGTTGGCCATTTGTATGTCTTCTTTTGGGAACTATCTATTCTGATTCTTTGCCCATTTAAAAAATTGGGTTATTTAAAAATAAGTGTTTGAGGAAACATAATGAGCACTTTTTTAAAAAACATATTTAGGAAATTGTGGTTCATGGAGAGGGGCATGGCCAGTGGTCAACTGGAAGTATAGCTCTGGAGCTCAAGAGGTCTAGCTTGAAATATGAATTTGGTTGCCATTAGCATTGGTGATAATTCAACAAAAGGTAGTAAGAGAAAGTAAAAAGAACATGAATAAGATCCTAAGGAACACTGATATTTAAGGGATTAAAAGAGGCAAGGGGTTGCAATGAGCTTGAGAAGAGATGAAAGAAGACTGGCAGAAAGTGGAGTACTGAAAGCCAAGAGAAAAAGAGTATTAGGATGGGATCCTGTGCTGCAGGGAGGTTAGTAAGAGAGAGATTGAAAAGCACTCCTTGAACTCAGCAAGAACAAAATGCCTGGCAGTTTTTCTTTCTTATTTTTTATTAATTTATTTTTAATTGACAAATAATAATTGTGCATATTTATGGGTTACAATGTGTTGTTTTGATTTATGTATACATTGTAGAAAGATTCAATCAAGATAATTAGCATATTTATTCCCTTCCAACATCATTTGTTTGGAGTGAGGACTTTAAAAATAAATTCTTTTAACAATTCTGCAATATACAATACATTATTATTAACTGTGTTCACCATGCAGTGCAATACAACACCAACACTTACTCCTCCAGTCTAACTAAAACTCTGTGCCCTTTGATCACCATCTTCCCTTTCCCCAACCCTTCCCCAACCATCCCCAGCCCCTAGTAATCCCCTTTCTACTCTCTTTTTCTATGAGATTAAGTTTTTAGATTCCACATATAAGTGAGATCATATAGTATTTGTATTTATATGCCTGGCTTCTTTCATGTAGCATAATGTCCTTCAATTCCATCCATGTTGCAAATTACAGACTCTCCTTCTTTTTTAGGTCTGTATAGTATTCCATGTGTATATACATACCACATTTTGATTCTGTATCTTAACTATTGTGAATAATGCTGAAATAAACATGGGAGTACAGATATCTCTTTGACATACTAATTTCAATTTCTTTGGATATACACCCAGAATACGGATTGCTAGATCATATGGTAATTTTATTTTTAGTTTTTGTGGAACCTCCATACTATTTTCCAAAATGGCTGTACTAATTTACATTCCCACCAACAGTGTGCAAGGGTCTGCATCCTTGCCAACATCCTAGACCTCCTCCCCTTCCTCTAGTTTTCAAAAAAATAGAAAGAAAGAAAATAGCCATTCTAACAGGTATGAGGTGATATCATTGTGGTTTTAATTTGCATTTCCCTGATGGTTAGTGATGTTCAGCATTTTTTCATGCATCTATTTGCCAATCATATGTCCTCTTTTGAGAAATGCCTGGCAGTTTTGATGTGGGCATCTTGATTCAGCTGAGGTTGAGCTCCACTTGTATTATTAGGTCTTGGAGAGCTGACTGTGTGGTAAGAATTGGAGCAGTAGGAACAGACTTCTTTTACAAAGGTTGACTAAAGGGAAAGTTTAAAAATGCACAGCGACGGCCGGGTGTGGTGGCTCACGCCTGTGATCCTAGCAGTTTGGGAGGCCGAGGTGGGTGGATCACTTGAGGTCAGGAGTTCAAGACCAGCCTGGCCAACATGGTGAAACCCTGTCTCTACTAAAAATACAAAAATTAGCCAGGCGTGGTGGCATGCGCCTGTAATCCCAGCTACTTGGGAGGCTGACCCAGGAGATTTGCTTGAACCGGGGAGGCGGAGGTTGCAGTGAGCCAAGATCTCACCATTGCACCCCAGCCTGGGTGACAGAGCAAGACTCCATCTAAAAAAAAAAAAAACAAGAAAAGAAAAGCAGAGTGACTAAATAGCTTTAGCGGAAAGAATTTTATTTTAAGGTGGGTAGAATTTCACAAAGATTGTGGATCAAAGAGGAAAGTAGAGAGGAATTGTCTAAAGATACAGGGCAGATGAAAAAAAATACAGGACAGAGAAGAGACAGTAAATATGCCTTCTCCAAGAACAAGGAGGGCGGCACCTCCCCAGCATAATGAAGGGATTGGTCTTCAATAGGAAGAGAAGGGTAACAGGTATATAAGGATGGTATCTAACAGCTCTGTGAAGAACGGTGAGATGGCTGAATAAGAGACAGCAGGATGTATTGGGGATGTGAAGGTAGAATAACTGCTGGTTTCTTCCATCGGTTGGGTGTCATTAAACACATGTTGTGAGCTCCTGTTGTGCTTCAGGTAGTGTGCTGGCATTAGATGGTGAGCCCTGCCACCATAGAGTGGGGGGACAGATACTCATCTTAATCATACAAATATATCCAAATTTGTGATATTGATAAAGGCTGTGAATGAGCGGTTATTGGCGTTCTGAGACCATGTAATGGGTAGTTTGACTCAGACAGCTCAGGGAAAGTTATCTGTGACAGCTGGAGAGAGTGAGTATATGATACTTAGTAAAAGTGAGTTTCCCTTCTTTTTTAGAAATCACCTTATTTAAAAGAGACAACTTATTTTAGCAAATATTGACCTTCTCCATGTCTCTTTACAAAACTGTCCTCATCTAAGATGACTTAACATATTTGCAAGAAGTTCCTTTTTAAAAAAACAAAAAAACCAAATGTAGATGTTTACACTTTTAAAATGAGAACTGCAAACCATTTTTAGCAGACGGTCCTTGTGTTCCTGAGTTGCAGATGTCACACCTTATCGCATCTAATTTAAATTGAAAAATAGTATTATCCTGTAAAATTGACAACAAAGAGAACATTCTAAAGTATTATCATTTTATGAAGAATCTAGAAATTACAAATGCATGTTAACTCCTTTTGTGCTGTAATAGTGGTTGTGTATTCGTGATTCTTTTACAGTCCTTCAACACAAATTAATTAGTTTTATCCCCAGTTTCAGGTTAAACTCCCCTAAAAGCCACACAAAGTAATGGCTAGTTTTATTAGTCAATACCATTGATTTCAATTAAACAGCAAAGATAGGCTTTGCTGAAAGAACGATGTTTATTCTCAGGATGTCTGAAATTAATATAAAGAATACTTTGTTCTCTGTTAAACCTCTATTGCCTTGGGAAAGAAGGTTGGCTTCTGGATAAGTTTTGTAAAAAGATAAATTGGATGGTATAATTTTAAATGTGGAGCCCTCATTAAAATATTTCAGAAAGGGCCAGGTGTGGTGGCTCAAGCCTGTAATCCCAGTAGTTTGTTTGGGAGGCTGAGACAGGTAGATCACCTGAGCTCAGGAGTTGGAGACTAACCTGGTCAACACTGCGAAAAAAAACAAAACATCTCTACAAAAAAATACAAAAATTAGCAGGGCATGGTGGCACGCACCAATAGTCCCAGCTACTTGGAAAGCTGGGGTTTGAGGATCGCTTGAGCCTGGGAGCTTGAGGCTGCAGCCAGCCATGATTGCACCACTGCACGCCAGCTTAGATCACAGAAAGGACATAAGTAAATTAATCATATCTTTTGGCCCCTTTCACCCTGTTCTAGTTTCTTTCCACTATTTACTACTGTCTGTTTACATCCCTCTCCCCCTAAAAATTGCTGAGACTGCTGGAGAACTGTTTTTATTTAAAGGGGCAACGTTCAAGCCACCCCTTACCTTTCTTCTTTTCAGTGGTGAGAGCCTCCTGGGAAGTGTTCTGTTTGCTTGCTGGTTGTGACTATTTGTCAGTGGGTGGATGTGAGGATGCCAAGTTGGAAAGGGCAGCTCAGTCGTCTAACAGTACACAGAGGAGGCACTCAGTGCTGTGAGCACACATTCATTTTTACTCTGTTTTTGATGAGTGTTTGAAGCAAAGAGTAGGGTATAGTTAGCAATAAAGATGGTGAATGTACATCTAGATGCTTTTCACATTAAATGCAGATCTGTGAAAAAGTCGAAATCTAAATAAATTGTCTAGTATTTGTGTGATTTTATTATAATTTGATGAAAGAGACTACTTGGCGGGTATGGGATTAAGGAAAACAGAAATAAAAGACAGTTCTGGACCACGGTTATAGGCTTAAACTGTGTCTCTCCACACCTCCTACCCCTATTCATATGCTGAAGTCCTAACCCCAGTACATCAGAATGTGACTGTGTATTAGTCCGTTTTCACACTGCTGATAAAAACATACCCGAGACTGGTCAATTTACAAAGGAAAGTGGTTTAATGGAGAACTCACAGTTGCATGTGGCTGGGGAAGCCTCACAACCATGGCGGAAGGCAAGGAGGAGCAAGTCACGTCTTACATGGATGGCGGCAGGCAAAGAGAGAGCTTGTGCAGAGAAACCCCCATTTTAAAAACTATCAGATCTCATGAGACCCATTCACTATCATGAGAACAGCACAGGAAAGACCCCACCCCATGATTCAGTCATGTCCCACCGGGTCCCTCCCACAACACATGGGAATTATGGGAGCTACAAGATGAGATTTGGGTGGGGACACAGAGCCAAACCATATCAGATTGTATTTGGAGATAGGCAGGGCCTTTAGAAAAGTAATTAAGTTAAAATGAGGTCATTAGTATGGGCCCTAAAACCAAACCTGTGGCACCTTGATCTCAGACTCTGGCCTCAGAACTGTGAGCGGATGAATGTCTGTTGCGGAAGCCACCCAGTCTGCGGTATTTTGTGATGGCTGCCTGGCAAACTGATACAACCACTCACACACAGCAAACTGCACAGAGGGGCATGAATACAAATGTGAATGTTATAGCAGGTGCAGGTTAAGGGAAGTGAGATATACAAAAAAAATGAGATTCAGTCCAAGAGCTGGGTCTGGGCATTGGCTAGATGTCTGACTTTGAGCAAGTTCCTTAACTTTTTGAGTTTCAGAGTCATCAACTGGGCTCATGAGAACCACAAGAAACCTACGAAGGCACTGGGACAGAGCCTGGCTGCTGGTAGGCGCTGCACAGTATCCATCCTCCCTGTCCTCTGCCCTGGCTGTGTGTGCTCTTTCCTAGGGGGCCCATAGGGTAAGGGTGCATTGACCCTGAGAACTTTCTCACAGCAGGGTGTCATGAGCCATCTCTGGGTCTTAGTTTCTTGACTATTAATGGGCTGGGCACAGTGGCTCATGCCTGTAATCCCAACACTTTGGGAGACTGAGGCAGGAGGATACCTTGAACGCAGGAGTTCGAGGCCAGCCTCGCAACATAGAGAGACCCTGTCTCTACAAAATAAATCAATAAAAATAAATTAAAACAAAATAAAGCAAACAATTCAAACTAAAATAAAAAGAAATGAAAGGATTGTGCTGCACTGTTAGACTCTAACTCGAGGTCATTCTGTCTCTGAAAGTTTATATTTTTAAAGAATTAAAGGAAGCAAGCTTGAGTGAGAAGACAAGGTAGGGGGTTCTGGATAGATCTGCTCAAATGTTAGTAAATTATGAGAAGCCAAGCACTGATGAGGTTAATGTAAGTGACGTGGGGCGACTTCCAGAGTTAGATGTCGGGGTGGGCAGGCAGGAGAAGGAAGCTGGATGTATTAGGGTTCTCTAGAAGAAAGAGCTAATAAGATATATGTCTATATGAAAGGGAGGTTTTTAAGGAGAATTGACTCACACGATCGCAAGGTGAAGTCCCACAATAGGCCCTCTGCAAGTTGAGGAGCAAGGAAGTCAGTCCAAGTCCCAAAACCTCAAAAGTAGAGAAGCCGACAATGCGGCCCTTAGACAGTGGCCAAAGGCCCAAGAGCCCTTGGTAAACCACTGGTGTAAGTCCAAAGGTCCAAGAGCTGAAGAACTTGGAGTCTGATATTTGAGGGCTGGAAGCATCCAGCATGGGAGAAAGATGGAGGCCAGAAGCCTCAGCAAGTCCATTTCTCCCACCTTCTTCTGCCTGCTTTATTCCAGCTCCACTGGCAGCTGATTGGATGGTGCCCACCCGTATTGAAGGTGGGTCTGCCTCTCCCAGTCCACTGACTCAAAGTTGATCTCCCTGACAGTCACACCCAGGAACAATACTTTGCATCCTTCAATCCAATCCAGTTGACACATAATATTAACCATCACACTGGGGGTAGTTTCAGTGGTTGAAAAGGAAAGCCCAGGATGGAGAACTATTAGTGATTTTTGTTTTTAAACCAGTGAGATGTGATTTTTGTGAAAGATTATTCTGGTAGTATATGCTTGTGTATGTAGGATAGACAGGTACAGCAGGAGGCAGAAGACAGAGATACAGGCAGAAGAATGAGCATAGGAGGGCCTGAAAGATTGCTGTGGAAATGGACAAATGCACAGAGAAGAATGCATGGTAGAATTACTGATGGAGTGGGAACAGCAGGGGAAGGAGAAAGGGAGCTCAAATCACTGAAAAGCAGATGACATGCACCAGCCTATTGACCTCCTACTGGTTTTTTGTCCCAAGACAGACACCTGACTGGGTAAACTCTGAGATGGAGGGGGCTGAGTAACAGCAAGGAGGCACAGTCTTCTCACATATTTTCTTTCTTTCTTTTCTTTTCTTTTTTTTTTTTTGAGACAGAGTTTCGCTCTTGTTGCCCAGGCTGAAGTGCAGTGGCACAATCTCAGCTCACTGCAACCTCCGCCTCCTGGGCTCAAGCGATTCTCCTGCCTCAGCCTCCCGAGTAGCTGGGATTACAGGCATGCGCCACTACACCCAGCTAACTTTTGTATTTTTAGTAGAGATGAGGTTTCTCCATGTTGGTCAGGCTGGTCTTGAGCTCCCAACCTCAGGTGATCTGCCCACCTCGGCCTCCCAAAGTGCTGGGATTACAGGCGTGAGCCACCGCGCCCGGCCTTTTCTTATGCTTAAAAATCAGGTTGACTTGGTCTAGAAATGCAGATGATGATTTTTTTTTCTTTTTCCAAACTGGAGATACAGGCAGGAAATTTCCCAGGTATGAACTGAGCATGGTGTTATTAGGTCAGCAGAGAGCCTTCAATAGGTAACTGACTGTCTATGGATTTGGTCATATTGGCCTCTTGCTTTTCAGGATCTCTGGCTTTTGATCCAAATACTTACATATCAGATCCAGAATCAACTCATACAAGCAAACCTTCATTCAGAATATATAAATGGTGATGTCTTCTTTTATTCATTTATTCAATGTTTACTAGTGTCCTAAGTGATGGGCTATGAGTTGGGAACACAGATGAATGAGATGCCAACCCTTCCTGTAATAATTCATGCTAAGTTTATCTGTCTATTAAATTGCATCACACAAAATTGAAAAAGAGAGTGATTTCAGGAAGTATTCTCAACATGAATAAAGTCTGAAAAAATTGGCACGAATACTATACTCTTTAAGGAAGAGCAGACTTTTGTTCTATCCTGGTGAAGCTGCTTATTGATGTATTTTTAAAGTATATTTTATTTATTATTATTTTTTAATTAAAAAAATTTTTTTGAGACAGGGTCTTGCTCTGTCACCCAGGCTGGAGTGCAGTGGCACAATCATGGCTCACTGCAGCCTCAAACTTCTGGGCTCAAGTGATCCTTCCACTCAGTCTTCCAAGTAGCTGGGACTACCGGTGTGCCCCACCACACCAGGCTAACTTAATTTTTTTACAAAAGTGGGATCTTCTTATGTTGCACCAGGCTGCTCTTGAACTCCTGGGCCCAGAGCCTCTTGCCTCAGCCTCCTGAGTAGCTGGGACCACAGATGCATGCCCCCTTGCCTGGTTAAGGAGTGCATTTTATTTTTTTTATTTGAGACGTCTTGCTCTCTTGCTCAGGCTGGAGTGCAGTGGCACAATCATGACTCACTGCAGCCTTGACCTCCCGGGCTCAAGCAATTGTCCTGACTCAGCCTCGCATGTAATTAGGGCCACAGGTGCACCAACATGCCTCGTTAATTTTTTAATTTTTTTGCAGAGAGAAGGTCTCACTTTGTTGTCCAGGCTAGTCTTGAACTCCTGGACTCAAGCAATCCTCCTGCCTTGGTCTCTCAAAGTGCTGGAATTACAGGCATGAGCCACTGTGCCTAGCCAGGAGTACATTTAAGAGTAGGGCAATAGTTGTTACAGAAGAATGTATGAGAATCATTCTCTTTTTGTGTTAGTTCTCTTCAAAACAAATGATAAAAAGGAGAAGGGTGAATGAGCCATTCTTGTCTCTCCCCGTCCTGTATTATGTCGTTAAAATTGGAGAGGTTTTGCAGAAAACAACCCTCTCGTGTTCTGAGAGCTGATGGATATGTACACCAGTAATCAAATGACAAAGTGAAAAGTGCTATCATAGGCCGGGTGCAGTGGCTCATGCCTGTAATCCCAGCATTTTGGGAGGCCGAGGTGGGCGGATCACAAGGTCAGGAGTTTGAGAACAGCCTGGCCAACATGGTGAAACCCCGTCTCTACTAAAAATACAAAGATTACCCGGGCGTGGTGGTATGCACCTGTAATCCCAGCTACTCAGGAGGCTGAGGCAGGAGAATAGCTTGAATCTGGGAGGCAGAGGTTGCAGTGAGCTGAGATTGTGCCATTGCACTCCAGCCTGGGTGACAGAGCGAGACTCTGTCAAAAAAAAAAAAAAAAAAAGTGCTATCATAGCTATAATATAGTTGCGTTCAAAATCTGATGGGAACTTAGGAAGATTTACTAAAGCTGTTGGGTTGCTGGTCAACATTGCCTCACTAAAGATGATAAGTAGTGATGGTGATCCATATATTTGGGTGTTGCAGAGTCAATACACAAAATAAAGGAAGGTGGGAAAGGATAAGAAATAAGTAATTATTAAGCATCTACTAAGTGCCTGATGACAACTGGGTAAATTCATGAAAATTATGTCATTTAATCCTTACAAGCACCCTGGGTCCTAAGTTATAGTCACTTTTCAGATGAAAAATCTGAGACTTGGGCCAGGCACAGTGGCCCATGTCTATAATCCCAGCACTTTGGGAGGCCGAGGCTGGGGGATCGCTCAAGCTCAGGAGTTCGAGACCAGCCTGGGCAACATGGTGAAGCCCTGTCTCCACAAAAAATATAAACATTAGCCAGGCGTGGTGGCACATGTCTATAGTCCCAGCTACTCGGGGGGCTGAGGTGAGAGGATCAGTTGAGTCTGGGATGTTGAGGCTACAGTGAACTGAGCTCATGCCACTGCACTCCATCCTGGGAGACACAGCAAAACCCCCTTCCCCCACTAAAGAGAAGAAAAGAAAAAGCTGGGACTTGGAGAGAATAATAGTTTATCCAAAGTCCTACAGCTAGTGGGAGGCAGAAGCAGGATTTCCATATGTGTCCAGACTCCCCCCACCATATCATGTGGTTACAACTAAATGAGACAAATAAAGCACACAAGAAAGAGGAAGTGGGCAAATTTGGTTTTGCTGCCTCTCGAAGTGAGCGTGACTCAGAGATTTCTGACAGCAGAACCTAGTGGTTTGTGGAGTCAAGGTCTATAAATGTTTCTGTTACTGGATTCAGGAGATTTAACTCAATAACAGAAGCTAGCTGTCAGATAAAGACTGGAATAAACATTTCTTTGCATTGGTATATAGATCCACAAATGTGAGCAATGAGAACTCTCTGGATGGTTTCCACAGAAAATGAAGTGTAGTTGAATCTCATTTATTTGGAAGTTGTCTATCTATAAACTCACACATCCAGCACACAACAAGGAATCAGCAAATCAGCAAAACTCCATGAGCGCTCAAATAGATGTCATAACCAACACATCGTAAATCTCAGGCACCACGCTGTTTATTCCATTCCAAATGCCTTCAAGCCTTCAATTAGAATCTAGATTTAAAATATTTAGTATAATTTTTTTAACCTTTTGAGAGTATAAGGTATTATTTATTTTTACTTATTAGTACTACCTCCTTTGAGATACTTAATCTTAAAATGTGGATTAGTGATTCTTACTTTTTATATGTCCTGGTTCAATTTGAGACTATGATGAAAGCTGTAAATGCACATATCACGTTAAATTATCCACACAATTTCAGTGATCATGATCCCCCGAAGTCCCAGGGCTCAATAAATAACTCTGGAATATAGAGTAATAGGTGTACCTTTAAGAATATTATATAAATACTGTTTATTGTAACTGAGCCTTTGACACGGATTGAGAACCAGCCAGTTGGATTTAAGTGTTCCTAGCATTAAATAAGAATGCAGCCTGTTCTATGCTGCAGATTAAACAAGTGCTTTCGTAGCCTGGAGAACGGTACACACACAGACACATTTAACAAAACACCATGCTAATATTTCAAGGTTTATGGGGTGCCTGGATCAGATAGCCTCAACCCTTGTGCCCAAGAGTCTCATGACCGTTTGGGAACATCACAAACCTCTAGATCCTACCAGTGCATGGCCCCAGGAGATGACGATCCACGTAAGAATGCTGGTCCCTTCCCTCATCATTCCTTCCTCATATCTCAGCTGAGTCCAAACTATAATGTGAGGGATCAGGGATACACATGTAGACCATAGACTACGACAACAATGATTTTAACCTGGAAAATCTAAACAGGTGTAACTACATGTTGATTTCAACTCTAAAATTTAAATACAGCATATATGTAATATTTTAAGGGTGATTAATATAACTTTTGGGTGTATGTGCCAAGATAATTGACTGTAAAATATGCTTTAGTAAGTGGCCGAGTTAACTTGTTTTATAGATTTATTGATTATAAGCCACTTAAATGTGGAGCTAAGTCTAACAAAATAATTACTTTGGGTTTAGAATAGCTGGTCTGTAGCTCTTCCTTTTCAGTGGTCAAGTAACAGGGCAACTTCTCCATTAAAGCCACTCCTAGTTCATAACAATAAAAGCCATTGTTTTCAAATATAACAATCTTTATTTACTTACCTAAAGAAGTAGAGTGCTGCCAATTTCATCCAAGAGTAATTTGCTAAGGGGCATAAAATGTCTGTTTCTTCAAAGCCCATGGGGAATCTGGTGTTTACGTGTTGGACTTTATGTTTTTTGGGGGGTGGCGGAAAAATCTACTTTGCTTCTTTTTTTGTTGTTGTTATTGATATTGTTAGTGTTTTTTTGTTGTTTTTAGACACAGGGTCTTACTGTGTCACCCAGGCTGGAGTGCACTGTTGTCATCATAGTTCAATGTATCCTTAAACTCCCAAACTCAAGGGATCCTCCCACCTCAGCCTCTCAAGTAGCTAAGTACTACAGTGCACGCTACCATGCCTGGCTAATTTTTACATTTTTCTGTAGAGACGTGGGTCATCATATGTTGCCCAGGCAGGTCTGGAACTCTTGGCCTGAAGCGATCCTCCTGCCTCAGCTTCCTAAAATTCTGAGATTACAGGCATGAGCCATCACATCTGAGCATTTGTTTAACAAAGAAAGAAAAAAGGAAGCCATGTCTCTCAATACCTACATTTAAACAAATAGAAAATAAATATTTTCAGAGGCTCAGTTGAAGAATCAGAATAAGTAATAATACTCTATGTTTAACCTAAAATTGCATCTGCTTTAGACTTTACCCACAAAGAGGTCTGCCTGCATTTCAGCTTTCATGAAGTTGTAAAGTAATTGTTCTTTCCTTTTGGGAGGGAAGACAAAACACCGTTCGCAGTCATGGGAGAAATGCTTCCTCCATGCATGGGGCTTGGAAAATGACTGGTGAGGTGAAGTCTTCATTCACTTCGGGGTTTCATTTTTAAAGTAATATGCCAACTGATGAATGTTATACATGATTCGGGCACAGAATTGCTAAATTTTTGCAAAATTGAAGAGTATAGATTCACAGTTTTCCAAGTTTTTTTTTTTAAGTCATAGACTACTTTCTTTTTTCTTTTCTTTTTTTAAACATTTTATGGTATTTGCTTTATTGCTTATCAGTCCTTTTATCCATCCCTCTATCCATCCATCAACCCATCTTTAATTTTTTATTTTATTTCGTTTTAAGTTCCAGGATACATGTGCAGGATGTGCAGGTTGGTTACATAGGTAAATGTGTGCCACGGTGGTTTGCTGCACCTATCAACCCATCACCTAGGTATTAAGCCCAGCATGCATTAGCTGTTTTTCCCGATGTTCTCAGTACCCACACCTCCCCTAGAAGCCCTAGTCAGTGTGTGTTGTGCCCCTTCATGTGTCCATGTTTTCTCATCGTTCAGCTCCCACTTATAAGTGAGGGCATGCAGTGTTTGCTAAGGATAATGGTTTCCAGCTTCATCTATGTCCCTGCAAAGGACATGATCTCATTCCTTTTTATGACTGCGTAGTATTCCATGATATATATGTGCCACATTTTCTTTATCCAGTCTGTCATTGATGGGCATTTGGGTTGATTCCATGAAAGACTCTTTCTTTGAATGAAAGTATGCCCTGCAGCCCAAGTGAAACTGCTAAGTGTGGACCCGCCCACCTCCCCTAGGCTCTCAGCAATTGTCCCCTGGTCTCTTCTCTCAGCTGCACAGAGCCTTGCTTATTGTTGGGCATGGAGTAGCTTTATCCCAGCTTAATAAAGCACTCATGGGAGGACCGAGAGGGGCTTTAGGATGCTAACCACTGACAACAGGATTTTAAGGCATGAATGATTCACAACTGATTTGTGAAAGAAATAGCAGTATTTCCTAAACTCTTTGGGTTAACATCCTGGGATAAAGAGGAACATTGGCATTCTTCTTCCTTAGATTATGTGTGTATGCATGTGCACAATGCTAATATTGGTAATCTTTTTTTTTTTTTTGAGATGGAGTTTCGCTCTTGTTGCCCAGGTCGGAGTGCAATGGGGCTATCTCAGCTTACTGCAACCTCCGCCTCCTGGGTTCAAGCAATTCTCCTGCCTCAGCTTCCCAAGTACTTGGGATTACAGGCATGCGCCACCATGCCTGGCTAATTTTGTATTTTAGTAGAGACGGGGTTTCACCACGTTGATCAGGCTGGTCTCAATCTCCTGACCTCAGGTGATCCATCCGCCTCAGCCTCCCAAAGTGCTGGGATTACAGGTGTGAGCCACTGCGCCCAGCCATAATGTTGGTAACCTATATAAGAGTTACTCATTCTCTGCTGAAAGAAGAGACTCTTAACCATTCTTCTCTCTTTAAAGGAAGATTGCTCTCCATTTTCTTTGCTTTCTTTGGGTTTGAGTCATTTTTCAGTTGAATTAGCAGGGCACAGTCTGTTTCTTCAATGAACAAATAACAATGCCCTCTTGATTCGAGATTATATAATTGACTATGACTCATGAAATGTTTGCAAAGTCAAAGTGAAACTGCTGACTTACATTTAGTTTAAGTTTTGATTAAGAGGTTCTCTAGGAACCAACTCTGCAAAGACATTTTGGGGACCACTTGGGAAATCGTTACATCAAAATGGGGTGTATCTGAAAGCTTATTACAAGATATTTTGTGACGTGTTCTCAAAATGTTTTCTTAGAAAAAGTTTTTATAGTTCTCTGAAATTGAGCCAGAGGATCCTGAATCTGACATTTTTTTTTAACTAACAGTGAATTTTTAGTTGAAACAATCTTTGCATTCTGCCATTTATGTAGCTTTTATTTAAAAGAACATAGAAATGCTAAATGATGAAATAAACTATTTTGGATAACCCTACCCATTGAACCTCAAAAGTGTTCCTGACCTTGTTCTTAGAAGCACTTCTGTGCTTTATATGCTGGTTTTCAAACACTGAAAATGTTCATGTGGACTTTCACATTGTTCTGCACCCTGGGACCTCACGCTCAACAGCTGAGATAAGAAAAGAATGCTCTTCAGAGCACTGCGGCTCATTAGAGTGCTGTCCAAAATCTCATCCATGCCTAATAAAGTTAGTGGAATGTCAGGGCCTCTACTGTGATGCAAGGATCTAAATGTGACTTCTCAAGCAGCCAAAATATTAGCTGTCATCCCCGTCCATGCAGAGCTCTAAGACTAGGCCTTGCAGACACAAAACTGTATGTACAGAATGACCCTTGTTATGTTACAAATTTTCAAAATGAATAGAAGAAAGTGGACAGGAAATGCACAATGAGTTCACAGTGGGTACCTGTGGACCTGGGGATGATGGTGATTTTTGTTTTCCTCTATTAACTTTTTCTTTTGCATTTTTAAGCTTACAACAATGCAAATATGCATTTGTAAATGTCAAAGCAACATAGTTTTCTAAAAAGTGGAATAGATGCTGTAGTTATTGGCAGAGCCACAATCAGAGTGAGGACATGGTGACCATGAGCCCTGAATGTAGGCTGCCCAATAGCATTGCCAGACCTGCACGTCAACCTGGGGTTTAAAATATGCTCATGGTAGGGGTGCTGAGTCAGGAACCTGCTACAAGCCAGAAGGACCAAACACCTAGAAAGGTAATGACTTTGGGCTGGGCGCGGTGGCTCACATCTGTAATCCCAGCACTTTGGGAGGCTGAGGTGGGTGGATTGCATGAGCCCAGGAGTGCAAGACCAGTCCAGGCAACATGGTGAAACCCCGTCTTTACAAAAAATACAAACATTAGCTAGGTGTGGTGGTGTGTGTCTGCAGTCCCAGCTACTCAGTGAGGCTGAGGCAGGAGGATCACCTGAGCCTGGGGAGGTTGCAACTGTAGCGAGCCATGATCATGCCAGGCTGGGTGACAGAGTGAGACCCTATTTAAAAAAAAGAGAGAGAGAGAAAAGAAAAGAAAAAAAGAAATGTAATGACTTTGGACCAGTGGGGAAGCAGAGAGAGCAGCGTCATCTTATATCGCACATTTAGGATCTGCATCCAATCCTCCTGACTTCCACTGTGGCTGGGGCCCTGTCAGCCTTTCTCACTTTAATGTTCTTTGTCTGTTTTTATCCAAAACCGTTGAGGATGATATTCTCTTTTTTTTTCTTTTTTTTTTTTTTTGAGACGGAGTCTCTCTCTGTCGCCCAGGCTGGAGTGCAGTGGGGTGATCTCCGCTCACTGCAAACTCCGCCTCCTGGGTTCACGCCATTCTCCTGCCTCAGCCTCCCGAGTAGTTGGGACTACAGGCGCCCGCCACCATGCCTGGCTAATTTTTTGTATTTTTAGTAGAGATGGGGTTTCACTGTGTTAGCCAGGATGGTCTTGATCTCCTGACCTCGTGATCTGCCCTCCTCGGCCTCCCAAAGTGCTGGGATTACAGGCGTGAGCCACCACGCCCGGCCGATATTCATTTTAACAACATTTTAGGTGGTACATACGTTTTGGTCAAGGAGAGATACAGACAGAGTTTTTCCTGGGTGTTGGTAGTTGCCAAAAATGAATCTCTAGCCTGGGAGTTTCTAGGGCATGCGGTGGAGTTGAGGGTGGGCTAAACAGGTGAAAAGATGTGGCGCTGGCCTCTAGGAGAAGCAGAGAAGGCAACGGTGGATCCGAGAAGTGACTTTTGTGTTTCACACTCCCTTGTCTTCTTTACATCCTCTTCTTATAGCAGCTCTTCCCCTGCCTCTGGTGTTCCTGTCCTCTTGGTGCCCTCTGGGTGGTCAAAACCCAACAAGAGCACCCCTTGGAATCTGCTTGCCCAAAAGGGCTCCTTTCCCTTCATTCCTGTTTTGTTCCTTTCTTCCCTATCTCCCTGTGCTTCCTTTATCCTCATGAAATGTATGCACAGAGCCCACAGCATATTTAGACTCAGAACACTGAGAAGTTTGAGAGTAGTAGCTGTCAGCTCCTTCATATAGCTAATAATTTGGGACTAATATTTTGAACAGTGTCAGGGAAGACAGTGTGCTAACATGACCTGCTACATTAGATGGCGGCCAGCCAACTGCTAAGAGTGTGTGTGTGTGTGTGTGTGTGTGCGTGTGTGTGTGTGTGTACGCATGTGTGTGTGTGTGTGTGTGTGCGTGTGCACATGTGTGTGACAGGCAGTCACCTCCTGGCTGTCAGAGAGCTCCAGACAGTTCAGGACAGAGGCATGACCAGGAGTATTGCAAGAGTCCCAAAGCCCTGGGCAAGAGAGGCTAAATTTCTCTGCAGTTTTAGCTTAGACATGTACAGACTTAGCTGATGGACTCAGATCCACAAAAGGCTGGACTGGAGGGAGAGCCATGGGGCTGCTGGCAAAAGCCAAGATGAGCCAAGAAGTCTAGCAGTGTGGGAAGAGGCAGCAGATCCTTGTGCAGGCGTCGCTGACCTAGACCCCCTGTGCTCTCTGTTCCCCAAGCAATGCTCACAGCAAAGTGTGTGCCACTATGGAAAGTCCTCATCAATGAGCAGAAAGAGGTGTGTGTGTGTGTTGGTGGTGGGGTGCGGTGAGATGGGGGTGTCCAGAGGAGGTTGGGGGCAGCACGGCAGCCACCCGTGAGCAATGGAGTGGCAGCTGCCAACAGAGCAGTCAACAGCAGCCACAGCGGCAGATGCCAGGGCAGTGGTCTTCATTTGTAAGAACAGCACCACCTTCACGGGGTTGCTGTGAAAATGAATACTTAATGCATGAGCAGCATCTAGCACATGACTGTACAAATTAAATAATCAGAGCTTAATAAATGTTGGCTATTAGTATTTTTTTTTTTGAGATGGTGTCTCACTCTGTCGCCCAGGCTGGAGTGCAGTGGCGCAATCTCAGCTCACTGCAATCCCCGCCTCCTGGTTTCACGCCATTCTTCCGCCTCAGCTTCCCGAGTAGCTGGGACCACAGGGGACCGCCACCACACCCGACTAATTTTTTGTATTTTTAGTAGAGACGGGCTTTCACCGTGTTAGCCAGGCTGGTCTCGATCTCCTGACCTCATAATGTGCCCGCCTTGGCCTCCCAAAGTGCTGGGATTACAGGCATGAGTTACCACGCCCGGCCAAGTACTTTTTTTAAAAAATAATTTTTATATTTTATTTTTTAAAAGAGATGGGGTTTCACTCTGTTGTCCAGGGTGATCTTGAACTCCTGGTGGTGTAGGACTTTCTCCTTAGTTCAGCTAAAAGCCAGGTTCTTGTCACACAACCATGAAAGATTAGGCTCGCAGACACTTTGAAGGGTGAGAAGGGCAGGGTTTATTGGGCAAAAAGGAAATAAAAAGGGAAACAGGGACTCTCAGCAAAGTGAGAGTTCTGCTGGTAGGCTTCCTGCCTCATAGGTTGAATTCCCAGTTACCACCCCAGAACAGGGGAAGCCAGAATCCTCCGCTCTGCAAATGGTGTGAAATTCATGGCTGCACCACAGTGCACACACCTCCCTGTGCACAGGCCAGTCGAAGGTTCTCGGGAAACCCCTTTATACTTGGCTGTCTCACTGGGGTCAAACAATCCTCCAGCCTTGACCTCCTAAAGTGCTGGGATTATAGGCATAACCTATTGCATCCAGCCTCCAGTACTTTTATCATTGGTGTTTCTGTGAGATTTCCTTACTTTTACCTACTTCTACTTATTTTCAAGTGGTTACATAGTTTGATTTTACATGATATAATAAAAAGGATTCGGCCCAGTTTTTGTTTTTAAGCAGATAAATTGCTTCTTAGGATGTATTTTAAAGGGTTAGATTACACCTGAAGTGGGTTGAACTTGAGCAAAGTTTTAAAAATAATTGTGTCTCAAAGTTGAATAAAAGAATTGGGCCCCAATGTCATTCTTTGCTTTAAGAGGATTGTGAGAATAACTAATAACAATTAGGAGGTTAATATATTATTGAAAGTGGTAATTTTACCAGTTTTGAACTCATGTTCAAAGACATAATTGGAATAATTTTCAATAGACATCAGTCTTTATTTCTTAGGAAATTACAGTGATTAAATTAATGGCAGGCAGCCTCTCTTATTATCTGAAGATAATAGGAGTCTGTTGAGGATTAGTGGGGAAAAATGAATGATACATGTTCTATTAAAGACTTCACAGTTGAAACATTTCTTGCTGCTCCCTGTCTTGCCCCAATTTATATATTTAAGCACAATCATCAGTGCAACTTCCTTTACTGTATTTGGCCTAAAAAATAATTCAAATGAAGAATAAGAATAATGCTTTTCTTGGGATTAAAGTAGAGAGTTTTCTTTTAGGGGGTGCATAATATGCCAATTCAAAAGAAAGTCATGTAATGCTCGAAGAGCTCTGTGGAAGTGGAAAAGATAGTTCATTTTTTTCTCCGGGTATTTTTCAGGAGTCTGTTCCTGCTTCTTTATGAAATTGAACACTGGACAGTAACAATAATATCACACTCATTATTCAGACATTTTAAATGGCTCTAATTGCTCTTTTGCTTTGAAGTGAGATATTCAGATCACTGAATGTTAGAGAAATGGTGCATGGATGAAGCAGTAAATGGATCTTGATCTGTTATCTTAGCTTGAGGCTTAGTAAAGTGGTTTTTGTCAGTGGACAATTGCAGCCTATTTTCTTGAAGATCTTTCTATACTGAAAGTGATTGAGATGGTACATCTGAGTCTGATGCCACCCAGATAAGCATCTGCAGTTGCGCTGACCTGGACTTGGGTTGTATTGCTTTTTAGATTTCAGTATCACTCTAAACCTTGTCTGGCTTTTGCCAGCTTCAGTACCCTTGACCTATAGGTTGGGAAACCTGTTTGTTTCTCTTTCTGGCTGGAATGTCTATTTAGAGATTCATGTTATAAGTTGTGACTCAAGTTACATACACCGATTCCCAAACTTTTCTTGACTTGATTCTTAACTAAACAGCACTGCGATTGTGAGGCCCCCACGGCAAAAAGTAAATAAGAAAAACTACCTAATTTAATATGCTGGAAAGTTTTTGTAAACATACAGATGACTCCTTCAGGAAATACTGTTTTCATTGCTTTGGAATGTAGGAGGAAGTGACATAAGATCTTGTTCTGGGGAGAAAGAAAGAGCTGGTATATCATTAGTTGCACCAAAGCAAAGGCAAAAACATGAAGAAAAGCCAATCACTTTGAGTGTTAGCTTACTCAATACAGCTAATACTCATTTATTTTAACATATCGCCCACTTTTAAGTTAATACCCATTTTTTCCACTGTTTCTGGTTTAACTCTTATAATTTGAAATAATTATGGTTGAAAAAATGTTTAGATAAATCATGATACCTCACTACCTTGTAGTTTAACACAACAAAATAAGAACTGTAAGGCAAAGAGTTTGGACAACAGGGAGTACAGGTTACAAAAGAGAAAAAGGGATCTAGATTTATTTGACCTGAAAATAGAGTTTCTTACTCTAGGGTGATTTTTACGGTAATTCTATACTTAAATTTTGGCCACTGAGCTAGACTTGCTGGTTGTATGAACTTGGATAAAATTCTATTCAAAAGAGGAAAGATGACCAAAATAAAAAACCTACCTCATGCGATTGTAGCGCAAATTTCATAAATTAATCCATATCAAAGCATTTTGTAAATTGCAAACTGTGACACTAAATTTAGTTTATATGAGGCAATCACTAAGTGTTACTAAGTGATTGAAAGAAAATATTAATCCAACCTGTTATGTGGTTTTCCTAATGTATACAAAGAAGGAAAGCATTCCAACCTGTGAGTACCTCTGCCAAAAATGTTTAACTTAGTTGTGAAGGAACAGTCAGTCAAATCCATATTGAGGGGTGTTAGGCAAAGCAACTGGCCTGGACTCTACAAAAACATGTCCTGAAAGGTAAAAGGAGACCGTAGACATGCCTTGGTGATCCCTGATTAAATCCAGGATTTAAAATAAAATATAACAAATCTTCCACACTGAAACAGACATCAGTGATACAATTGGAACATTTGGACTGTATAGTGATTGCATTTTGTCAATTTAAAATTTCCTGAGTGTGGCCAGGCGCGATGGCTCAAGCCTGTAATCCCAGCACTTTGGGAGGCCGAGGCGGGTGGATCACGAGGTCAGGAGATCCAGACCACCCTGGCTAACACGGTGAAACCCCGTCTCTACTAAAAACACAAAAATTAGCCGGGCGTGGTGGTGGGCACCTGTAGTCCCAGCTACTTGGGAGGCTGAGGCAGGAGAATGGCGTGAACCCAGGAGGCGGAGCTTGCAGTGAGCCGAGATTGTGCCACGGCTCTCCAGCCTGGACGAGAGTGCGAGACTCCATCTCAAAAAAAAAAAAAAAAAAAAAACCTTTCCTGAGTGTGATCATTATTAATAACTATAGTGGGATCATTGCTCTTAGGAGGTACATGCTGAAGTATATAGGGGTGAACCATCTTTATGTCTACAAGTGACTCAAATGGTTCAGCAAAATATTTAGATATGCAGAGAGATAAAGCAAATGTGGAAAAGTGTCATAATTTGGGAATCAAGGTGAAGGCCATCTAGGTGTTCATTGCTACCTATTCCTACAAGCTTTCTATAGTTTTAAACATTTTCAAAATAAAATTTTGGAAAAAAAATTTAAAAAGAAAAAAATCCAAGTACTCAAGTAGATTGAGTTATTAAAATACAGATCTTGAAATATGTCCTTTGCAGAACATGTTTTCCTACAATTTTATTTTTCTGTGAGATGCAAATATATAGATTTTAAAAAATAAAAATCTGTGTTTTTATAAATGTATGCTTTTAGGCAATGAATAGAATTATTGTTACTAATTTGAAATATATTCCCACTGGGCTGGGTGCAGTGGCTCATGCCTGTAATCCCAGCACTTTGGGAGGCCGAGACGGGTGGATCACGAGGTCAGGAGTTCAAGACCAGCCTGACCAACATGGCAAAACCCTGTCTCTACTAAAAATACAAAAATTAGCCAGGCGTGGTGGCAGGTGCCTGTAATCCCAGCTACTCAGGAGGCTGGGGCAGGAGAATCACTTGAACCTGGGAGGCGGAGGTTGCAGTGAGCTGAGATTGTGTGTGCCACTGCATTCCAGCCTGGGCCACAGAGTGAGACTCTGTCTCAAAAAAAAAAAAAAGGCAATATATTCCTACTGGAAAAATTCCAGGAAAATAGATAGAAGTTCTCAATCTATGTGCACATCTTTCGTGGTATTTAAAAGTGAAGTAAAAATGTATCATGGGGTGTGTTCAAAAGGATAAAACATTATTTTTACTGTCCTCTTTAGAAAAAATTAAATGTTGAGGATCTCAGTTTAATGATTTTTTGATAATTTGCTACCCAGATCTTCTTTCCTATGAGAGAAAACTTTTGTTTTCATATTTTGAGAGAGACAGTGGGAAGTTATTGTTAGCAGAGGTGAATCTGTGCAGGTCTGCACCAACTTGATTCTTGCCTCCTCGAAGGAAAGAATTCAATTGAGGGGCATGACTTAGAGTGAGAGACTGAGGCAAGTTTTTGAGGAGTGAGAGCTTATTAAAAAGTTTTAGAGCAAGAACAAAAGGAAGTAAAGTACACTTGGAAAAGTGCCAAGCGGACAACTTGAGAGATCCAAGTACCCTGTTTGATCTTTGACTTGGGGTTTTATACATCAGCATGGTACAGGGGTTTCTGTCTCTCCTACCCTGATTCTTCCCTTGGGGTGGGCTTTCCGCATGTGCAATGGCCTGCCAGACGTTGGGAGGGGAGCATGCTCAGTGTGTTTGCTGAAGTTGCATGCATGCTCACTTGAGGCATTTTTCCCTTACCAGTCGAGTGTTCCCAGAGGGAGGTCATATGCTAAACTCTGCCATTTTGCCCTTTAGTACACATACTTGGGCCCATTCGCCATCTCCTGAGATCTTATCAGGAAGCTGCTGATCACCAGCTTCAAGTGTTACTTATCTAATGGGAGACTGCCTGTCCCTGGCACCAGCTGCCACCAATTATTATTTTAGAGAGCCAGTTTAACAACTACCTGACCATCCCCTGGTGGTTTAACATTGCCTGACATTCCTGGGTGGTGGTGGTGGTGGGACTTTCCTGAACTGTTTGTGTTTGCCTAGCTGTCTACCCTAACATTATCACGATGATCAACTTACTGTTCTGTTGCTTATTCTTGGGGTTGATGTGGTGGGATTCTGATTTTAACCCAGGTGATTGAGTCCAGGCAGAAATCTCATGACTCACTTTTTTTTCCTCTCTCTCTCTTTTTTTTTTTTTTTTTTCCATAAAGGTCAAAGGCAACAGAACTGGACCAAGAAAATTCATAACTTTTTGGTATGTAATTGAAAATTCTTTGCAACGAATTCTTTCTCTTTAGTGATATTTATGACTTGAAAAGCTTGAGTTTCACTTTGTTATTCTAGTTTGTGAATCAAATTAGTGTAGCCTAGGTATGTTTATCCCTAGTCTAGGATTTATGCAGAGGGAAGTTGATAGCATTACTGACTATCTTTGGTCCTCCGAAGATTATTTTTCAGTGGGAGAATTAAGTAATTTATTTATTTATTTATTTATGGGTTGATTTTTTTTTTGCTTCTCTAAGAGTAAGGAATATACCACGACTATCAAAGTACTTTATAACTATAATTATGTGAAGAGTCTATTTTACAAGCAATTGCATGTTTAGATGCCCAAGTATAAACTGAATGCTCTAGAAATGGAGTACTTACTGATTTAAATTTACTAATAATAACAATTAAATATTTATATTTAATAATTATAGTAGAAGAGTAAAACAATCTGAAGATGTCCCCACCTCTAAAGTTTATAAGTTTACTCCTAATGATCTAGGAAAGACTGGAGTTGAATACCTGTGTAATTCTTCTCATTATTACTCTGATTTTCTATTATAAAATGATTTTAAAAGAATTATATGTCTTAGCTCCTCACTGAGGTATACATCTTTTATTTGGTTTAACTCTTGTTTGTTTGTTTGTTTTTGAGACAGTGTCTCACTTTGTCCCCCAGACTGGAGTGTAGTGGCATGATCGTGGCTCACTGCAGCCTTGACCTCCCAGGCTCAGGTGATTCTCTCACCTCAGCCTCCCAAGTATGCCACCATGCCCAGCTAATTTTTAAAATTTTTTGTAAAGAGGGGGTCTCGTTATGTTGCCCAAGCTGATCTCTCACTCCTGGCCTCAAGTGATCTTCTTGCCTCGGCCTCCCAAAGAACTAGGATTATAGGCGTGAGCCATTGTACTAAGCCTTAATTCATTTTTTTCCAAAGATGAAACACAACTTTAAACTTGCTGGGGAATTCAAAGGAAGCATTCTTTTTACAGTTTTTTTTTTTTTTTTTTTTTTTTTTTTTGTTTTTTTTGTTTTTTAGACAGAGTCTTGCTCTGTCTCCAGGCTGGAGTGCGGTGGCACGATCTCGGCTCACTGCAACCTCGGTCTCCTGGGTTCAAGCGATTCCCCTGCCTCAGGCTCCCTGGTAGCTCGGACTACAAGCGCCTGCCGCCACACCGGGTTAATTTTTTGTAGTTTTAGTAGAGAAGGGGTTTCACCATGTTGGCCAGGATGGTCTCGATCTCCTGACCTCGTGATCTGCCCGCCTCGGCCTCCCAAAGTGCTGGGATTACAGGCGTGAGCCACCGCGCCCGGCCGCCCACAGTTATCTATTAAGGACACATCTTTCTGTGACTGTATAGATATAACTGAAATCCTGGTAATTTTTCAGAAAGTATTAGCGTATTAACTTAAATGCTATTATTTTCTATGACCCAGACAATAATCACTATTGTCCTCAGTATGTAGTTTCTACCATTTCCAATTATGTTACAACTGTCTTTGAAACACTGTTAGTCATAACTCATTAGTCACCATTGTGCTTTTTGGTGACCATTGCCCTTCTCTTTCTTTTTCTGTAGTTATTAAAACCCGTTGTCCTGGTTGTCCAACTCATGGACATACAAATTAGCTTTGGTGCATACCTTAGCTGTATAGACGTCTTCTAAGACATAAATTCTATTGTTTCAACATGTATATAAAAGATACGCATTTACTGATGAGTCAGGCAGTAAGATGTCTGCATTGTCTTCTGCAGTAAAGAATGCTTTATTTACCATAAAATTTGATGTTTTGTTGAGGAATTTTAAGTGATGCTTTTTATATTCATATTTTTCATTGATGATATGCAGAACTGGTTACCCTAAGGTATTGACAAAAGTGGGTGATTTTACTATCTTCAAAAGTTGTCAAGTATGTTTTCTAGTATAACACTTCTGGCTCTCAGATTAGGGACCTCCCCATCACAGTGGGCATCTAGTAAGAGCATGGCTTGTTATAAGAAGCTGTGTTTGTTGGAAGACTGAATTCGATGAACTTTATAGTCTCTTGTAATAAAATAAGAGATAGCACAATGGTACAAAGGGGAGGCTCTGAGCTCAGAGGGCTGGGGTTTGAATCTTATCTCTGACACAAATACACACCAATCTGTATGACCTTGGGCAAACTGCTTAACCTTTATGCACTTCGCTTTCCTCATCTGTTAAATGGAGACAGTAATAGCACCCATAGCTGGTGTAAGGATTTAATGAGTTAATATGAATATAGCTCTTAGAACAATATCTGGTGCATTGTTAAGCACTTAATAAATATTAGTTATGATGGTGTATTAGTCCATTCCCACACTGCTATAAAGAACTACCTGAGACTGAGAAATTTATAAAGAAAGGAGGTTTAATTGGCCCATAGTTCCACAGGCTGTACAGGAAGCATGGCTGGAGAGGTGTCAGGAAACTTACAGTCATGGTGGAAGGTGAAGGGGAAATAGGCACAATCTTCACATAGCAGAGCAAGAGAGAGAGAGAGAGAGAGAGAGAGAGGGAGAGAAGGGCAAAGTGCTACACACTTTTAATATTTTATTTATTTTTATTTTTTAATTTTAAAAAAAAGAAAGGGGGCTTTGCTATGTTGCCCAGACTGACCTCAAACTCCTGAGCTCGAGCAATCTGTTATACACTTTTAAACAACCAGATTTCTTGAGAACTCACTCACTGTCATGAGAACAAGGGGAAATCCACCCCCGTGATCCAGTCACCTCCCACCAGGCCCCTCCTTCAACACTGAAGATCATAATTCAACATGAGATTTGGGTGGGGACACGGGGCCAAACAATATCACGTGGTGATGAATGATCTTGTCATCGGCCCTGGCCTTTATTCCCAGCAACTTGTTTTTTCAGATGTCCTTGTGTACTGCCTCGGTTCCACCTGATGCTAACATGAAGGCAAAGTTCAGACTCTTCACCGCTTTCTACTGAAACTGACATTGTGGTGTCATTTCTTCCATCACACTGCTCTCCCCATTCCCCATTTTACAGCCTCCACCTCTCTTCTTCCCCTCCCTGCCTCATTGCAGGTCTTTCTACACACATCCAAACACTGCTGGATTTCAGATTTTATGACAAAGGGGCTTATTATGATATTTTTCTAGCAAAGTCAAATGTTTACATAAGAGAAAGTCTTGAACCAGCTACTAAGATAATAAAATGTCCTCCATCTTGATGCAAAAGCATGTTAACAATTTTCGTCTTTTACTCCTGTCATTAAGCAATACTAAAGGAATCTTGTTTATCTAGTCACTCTAATATGTTATAGACATAGTTCTTTTTAAAAAGTTTTTATTTTACTTTAAGTTCTGGGATACACGTGCAGAACATGCAGGTTTGTTACATAGGTATACATGTTCCATGGTGGTTTGCTGCATCTATCAACCCGTCATCTAGGTTTTAAGCCCCACATGCATTAGGTATTTGTCCTAATGCTCTCCCTCCCCTTGCCACCCCCCACCCCCAGACAGGCCCTGGTGTGTGACAGACATAGTTCTTGGTTCAAGGGTGTGTAGTGGGAGCAAACAGTTCATATTTAGTTTTCATTCACATGTGCCTACATTCTTGGCCCCATAATTATTTTGAGCTCTCCACAGATTTCTTAAGCACAGAATGCTTGTCTAATTATTTTGACATATTCCTGCTGGGCAGTAAATATTGTGAAGTTTTATGTGAATGCATTTGAACATCAGGTTATATTTTTCTTACTATTTTTTACTTGCTATGGCCTATGAAACTTATGTTCTAAGAACTGCTTAATTTTGATTTATGTTACCAAGTGATTCAAGGTGTCAATGGACTTTTTCCAGTACAGAAACGTGTGGGGCCAGGTCTCACACCTCTAATAAAGAAACAACTCAGACTCCAAGGGTTTCTTGCCTTATTTTAAAATAAACTCTGTGTTAAAAACTTGTATGCTGGCAGTGAAGAAATAGATGACCACATATATTTTCTTCTTGAAGGCTCATAATTTTTGTGCATATGTGTGCAAAATATAACAATGTGAACAAGAATGTGGACAACTAGATTACAAAAAAGGAACTAGCTGAAAGAATACTTATATGGAGATTATTCCTTGAAAACAGAATCTGTTTTTCAGATTATTGAGAGGGCAGGTTAACATTTGAGCTATTGTTTTCCTGGTTAATAATATTTTTGCTTTTTTTAAATTTTAGCTCAAAAATATGGGTATAGCTTTCTAAAAAATAGAATCCAATTTCAAGAATGATGAGGTACTAACTGAAAATCTCTAAATCTTTTGAGATTATTTCCACAATGAATAGGGCATTTCCTCAGAAAATTTTCTGCATTTATTATATGTAGACAGTGAGGAAAAGGGAAAAGAAAAGAACAAGTTTTCTCAGCAAGTGAAAGGTTTCCTGTTGCCATTTTCATTTTCCCTGAGTTTATTATCCTCAGTAGAGATACCAATGTCTTTCCTAATAAAATTACCTTCCAGCCAAATTGTTAAAAAAGGCAACTACCTATCTTGGGTATATGTTAGTTTACACAGAAAAAATTTAAATAGAGCTTGAAGAAATATAGAAAAGACTTTTGTTAATACTTAATGAGGCACAGGAGCTCTTATTAGACTAGACGGTGTTATGCTGAAATTAACTCTCGAGTAACTCTGATTCTCTGATTTCTTTTTTTTTGAGTCGGAGTCTCACTCTATCACCCAGGCTGGAGTGCAGTGGCGTGATCTCGGCTCACTGCAACCTCTGCCTCCTGGGTTCAAGAGATTATTTTGCCTCAGTCTCCCGAGTAGCTGGGACTACAGGTGCACACCACCAAACCTGGCTAATTTTTGTATTTTTAGTAGAGACGGGGTTTCACTATGTTGGCCAGGATGGTCTTGATCTCCTGACCTTGTGGTCCACCCGCCTCGGCCTCCCAAAGTGCTGGAATTATAGGCGTGAGCCACTGTGCCTGGCTATAACTCTGATTTCTTACCCACACTGTATGTTCAGTGCTGGTCGTCAGGAGGGGAGAGATCCTCTACTCCACAAAGTCACTCAGGGATTCAGGCTGATGAAAGCTCCACCATCCTGCAACACCACCATGTCAATAGGTGGCTTCAGAGTTGGTCATGACACAGAAGGAGGGTGTGGGGCACTCATACTCTTCTCCAGACACAAAGTGATGACATCACCTCTGCCCAGTCCCCATTGGTCAGAACAACTCACACGGCCTCTCCTAACTGCATGGGTCTGGGAGGTCTTCCTGGGGGCCGAGGGAGAAGAGGAGAACTAGACATAGAGTACACTAACAATTTCTTGTCTGATGGTATGTGCTGCAAAGTTATCACATCCAGTATCTCTATACAACACCCTTCCTTTCTAAATCAGTCACACTTACAATTCCTTCTGTTCTACCAGGTAATTGAGTTATTTTAATATTTTAAAATTAACTTCACATTTTTTACTTTCTGACTTTAGGTGAGAATAAGTGAAAAAGGATTATGAAGAAGGAATTATATTAATGGTACTTTCTTTTTTCCCCAACAAAATCATTACTTGAAATTAAATGTAACTGCAAATGTGTGAGGATTGATTGCAAAATCAATTCAAGGGATATCAAGCTAGGAATAGGAAACTATACTTGCACAGTTTCAGTAGATTGTATTTTATGTGTACATCTTTTTTTAATTATATGCTCATCTTTCCCTGAATCTTAATCTCATGTTCTTTTCCTTCTTCTATCTCATGTTTTTCTTTTTAAATGTCTTTGTCAGTTTATTATTTTACCAAGCAATGTTTTCACGTAGGGCACATAAGGAATAAACAAACATGTCTAAAATGTGTTTATTTTGCACTCACACTTGATTGTATGTTTGGTTGGATACAGAACTTTATGTACAAATTTATTTTCACTCAGAACTTCAAAGATATTGCCCCCATGTCCTTCAGCAGCTCAACTTGCATGAGAAATCTAACAATGTTCTTGTTTCTTTAGAGAAACTTTTAGAATTCTCTGTATACTTTGAAATTCTGAAATTTCACAAGACATATTCAAATGTACATCTTTTTAAAAATTTATTTAATTTTAATTTTTTTTGAGATGGAGTCTCACTCTGTCACCCAGGCTGGAGTGCAGTGGCGCGATCTCAGCTCACTGCAAGCTCCACCTCCCAGGTTCACACCATTCTCCCGCCTCAGCCTCTTGAGTAGCTGGGACTACAGGGGCCCACCACCGCACCTGGCTAATTTTTTGTATTTTTTTTGTAGAGATGGGGTTTCACCATGTTAGCCAGGATGGTCATGATCTCCTGACCTTGTGATCTACCCGCCTCGGCCTCCCAAAGTACTGGGATTACAGGTGTGAGGCACTGTGCCCGGCCCTCTTTTTTTTTTTTTTTTTTTTGAGATGGAGTTTCACTCTTGTGCCCCAGGCTGGAGTGCAGTGCGTGATCTCGGCTCACTGCAACCTCCACCTCCCAGGTTCAAGCGATTCTCCTGCCTCAGCCTCCTGAGTAGGATTATAGGCCTGCGCCACCATGCCTGGCTAATTTTTTTGTAGTTTTAGTAGAGATGGGGTTTCACCATGTTGACCAGGCTGGTCTTGAACTCCTGACCTCAGGTGATCCGCCCACCTCGGCCTCCCAAAGTGCTGGGATTACAGGAATGAGGTTCCTGCCCTGCCCTCAAATATACATCTTTGAAAATTTGTGGGATTGAGTATTTTGTAGCATAGATTTCTTTTTCCACTCTCTCCTTGGGCTCTGCTTCCTGCTGTTTTGGCTTCATTTTCAATCTCTTTTCTCCACCATTTCACCAAGGTGACCACTGCTAACTCCAGGTTTGCAGAGCGTTCATGGCTGACACCCCAGAAAAAAGGGACAAATCTCTTTCCCAATATTTCAGACAGAATTTCCTGATTATCTTGACTTGGTACATGTACTATTTTCTGGATTGGTCATTGTGACAAAGAGGAGTAAGTACTTTGATCCAGCTAGTTCTTTTTTTTTTGAGACGGAGTCTCGCTCTTTTGCCCAGGCCAGACTGCAGTGGTGCTATCTCGGCTCACTGCAAGCTCTGCCTCCCGGGTTTATGCCATTCTCCTGCCTCAGCCTCCCAAGTAGCTGGGACTACAGGTGCCCGCCACCGTGCCCGCCTAATTTTTTTGTGTGTGTTTTTAGTAGAGATAGGGTTTCACCGTGTTAGCCAGGATGGTCTCGATCTCCTGACCTCGTGATCCGCCCACCTTGGCCTCCCAAAGTGCTGGGATTACAGGCGTGAGCCACCGCGCCCTGCCTGATCCATCTACTTCTTACCACTTCTATCGCTACCACTCTGGTCCCGCGAAAGAGATGACATTGTAATCTCTTCCCTGGATCGTTCCAGTAGCCTCTTAACTGGTTTCTTGGTTTATGTCTTTTCTCTGTTTCAGTCTGTTGTCAGTGCTGGAGCCAGAGCTGTTAATGTGTTTGTCAGATCAGAACCCTGCAAAACCATTTATTTTATTTATTTATTTATTTTTTAATTTTGAGACAGAGTCTTGCTCTGTCACCCAGGCTGGAGTGCAGTGGTGCAATCTCGGCTCATTGCCACCTCCGCTTCCCAGGTTCAAGCTATTCTCCTGCCTCAGCCTCCCGAGTAGCTGGGATTACAGACATGTGCCATCATGCCAGGATATTTTGTTGTTGTTGTTGAGATGGAGTTTCACTCTTGTTGCCCAGGCTGGAGTGCAATGGTGCCATCTTGGCTCATTGCAACCTCTACCTTCTGGGTTCAGGTTATTCTCCTGTCTCAGCCTCCCACGTAGCTGGGATTACAGGTGTGTGCCACCACATCTGGCTAATTCTTTGTATTTTTAGTAGAGACGTGGTTTCACCATGTTGGCCAGGCTGGTCTCGAACTCCTAACCTCAGGTGATCCACCCACCTCAGCCTCCCAAAGTGCTGAGATTACAGGCGTGAGCCACAGTGCCCGGCCTCCAGGCTAATTTTTATATTTTCAGTAGAGACGGGGTTTCACCATGCTGACCAGGCTGATCTCGTACCCTGGCCTCAAGTTATCACCTGGCTCATCCTCCCAAAGTGCTGGGATTACAGGCGTGAGTCACCATGCCTGGCCAGGCTTGCCCATTTCACTTCAAGGAAAACTAAAATCTTCAACAAGAGTTTATTTATTTATTTAGAGACAAGCTTTCACATTGTTATCCAGGCTAGAGTGCAGTATGGCTCACTGCAACCTCAAACTCCTGGGCTCAAGTGATCCTCCATCTCAACCTCCTAAGTAGCTAGGATTATAGGCATGCACCACCACACAAGGCTACTTTAAAAAAAATTTTTTTTTTTTTCGAGATGAGGTCTTGCTCTGTTACCCAGGCTGGAGTGTAGTGGCGCTATCTCGCCTCACTGCAACCTCCACCTCCCGGGTTCAGGCAATTCTCTTGCCTCAGCCTCCCAAGTAGCTGGGATTACAGACATACACCACCATGCCTGGCTTTTTTTTTTTTTTTTTTTTTTGTATTTTAGTAGGAACGGGGTTTCACCATCTTGCCCAGGCTGGTCTTGAACTCCTGACCTCAAGTAATCCACCCACCTCGGCCTCCCAAAGTGCTGGGATTGCAGGCATGAGCCACTGCGACTGGCCTTAATTTTTAAATTTTTTTGTTGAGATGGGGATTCTCAGTATGTTGCTCAAGCTGGTCTCAAACTCCTGGCCTCAAACAATCATTCCGCTCTGGCCTCCCAAAGTGTT
Source organism: Homo sapiens (assembly GCF_000001405.40). NCBI lineage: Eukaryota > Metazoa > Chordata > Mammalia > Primates > Hominidae > Homo > Homo sapiens. The sequence goes on along the minus strand of NC_000006.12, from coordinate 154,280,949 downwards.
GGGATTACAGGTATAAGCCATAGCATCTGGCCTAGTTCTCACTTTTCAAAATGACTTTTAGTTTGAAATATAACATACATGCAGTGGAAAACATGAAAAAAATGGAATAGCTAGATGATTTATCATAAAGTGTAAATTCTTGCAACTGCCACTTCAGTCAAGAAATAGAATACCATCGGGATCCCGAATCCCCTCTTGTACCCATTCCAATAAATAATTCCTGATTCCTCCTCAAAGGTTTCCACTCTCCTGCCATTTGTGGTCATTGTGGTTGCATTTTGTGATAATTTTATGACCCAAGTACACTTCCCTAAACACTATGATCTAGCTTTGGCTGCTCTATTATTTTATATAAATGGAATCATATTGTTTATATTCTTTTGTGTCTAGCTTCTTTCTCTCAATGTTATTTCACTGTGGATAGAAGTAGTCTTTTTCTTTTTGATTGCTATGTAGTTCATTGTAATGACTGTACCACAATTTATTTATTCATTTTCCCATTGATGGACATTTTTTTTTAACAATTTTTTAAATGATTTACCTCTTTGTAGAGATAGAGTTTCACTTTGTTGCCCAGGCTGGTCTTGAACTCCTGGCCTCCAGTGATCCTCCCATGTTGGCCTCTCAAAGCACTGGGATTATAGGCATGAGATACCATGCCCAGCCCTGTTTTTTGTTCTGGTTGTTATTAATGAACTGGATAGAACCATTGTTACGCATTTTCAGCATACATTTGCACACATATCTGAGGCATGTACATCTTAGAGTAAAGGTTGTGGGCATAGACTATGCATGTAATTAACCTTAGCAGGTGTTGCCAAACACTTTTCCAAAATAATTTTCCACTGGCAATATTTTGAGTTTTCACTGGTTCTACAATCTTGCCAACGCTTGGCATTGTCAGTCTTCTAAAATTACACTGTTTTGGTGGCTGTTTAATTATGTTTCATTGCTGTTCTGCCTTGCATTTCCCTGATTGTTAATGAGGATTAACATTAACATTAACATTAACATTTCCTGATTGTTAATGATTGGTGTCTCTCCTATGTATATTGGCTAATTGATGTTCCTTCTTTGTCAAAGGCCTAGTAAGTCTTTTCTCATTTTTGTCTTAGGTTTTCTGCCTGTTCCTTACTGATTCATGGGAGTTCTTTATAGATTCTGGATGCATGGCCTCATGCATGTTATATGTATGGCACATACCTCTTCTCATTCATTTGCTTGTTTTCTCAGTCCCTAAGGTTGTCTTTTGATGAATGGGAATTCTTAATTCTAATGTGTTTCAACTTACAGCTTTTCCTTTATGGTTAGAACCAGTGGGGGAAATGACAGTATTTTCAATAGATGATACTGAGGTAATTGGCCATTAATTTAAAAGATGAAACTTGACCCCTATTTGAAACCATAATAGAAAATCAATTGCAAGTAAATTGTAGATCTAATAAGGAAGACAAGACAATAAAATTCGTAGAAGGAAAAGTAGGACGATATCCTTATGACCACAGAATAATGAAGATAACGAATGGCAAAGGAAAAGCACTAGCCAGAGTCATCTTCACAATATTGAGTCTTCCAATGAATGAACACACGACATCTTTCCATTTATTTATACCCTTTTTAAGTTTCTTTCAAAAATTGATTTCTTCATTGAAGTCTTATACATTTTTATTAGATTCATTCTAACATATTTGAATTTTTATGATATTGCTATCTTCTTAGAAATTTTACTTTCAAACTGTTGGTGGCTGGTAGAAATGTTGTTGATTTTAATATATTGGCTTTGTAGCTAGCAACCTTCTTATGCCCACTTTTTTTTTTTTTTATTTTGAGACAGGGTCTGGCTCTGTCTATGATTTTTTTGCGGTGGCACGATCTCAACTCAGTGCAACCTCTATCCCCCAGGTTCAAGGGATCCTCTCACCCCAGCCTCCCAAGTAGCTGGGACCACAGGTGCACACCACCATGACCAGCTTTTTTTTTTTTTTTTTTGTATTTTTGGTAGAGACAGGGTTTCACCATGTTGCCCAGGCTGGTCTCAAACTCCTGAGCTCCAGCAATCCACCACCATAGCCTCCCAAAGTGCTGGGATTACAGGCATAAGCCACCACGCCTGGCCCACTTTTTAATTGTAATTATTAATGTGTAGATTCTTTCTGCATGTAAAACTATATCATTTGAAAATACTGACAATCTTGATTTTTTACCTTTTAATCATATATATATATATTTTTACCATTGTTTTCCAGTACTTTTGAGACAATGTTGTTAAGTGATAATGAGAATCTTTGGCTTATTCCTAATATCAAAGGAAAAGGTTTCAACATGTCACCATCAAGCATGTGATGTAGGAATAAGGACCTTCTTACTTATTGAAAACAGTGGAGTAAGGACCTTTTTGTTTTGACCATGACAGGAATTTGGAGAGGGGTTGACTTGGCTTGGCAGTTCATCTTTGACCCATGTGACTTTAGCTGGGGTGGCTAGGATCGGAGGATCTCTACTTTCAAGATCACTTTTGCATCCATACGTCTGGAGCCTTGGCGTCTCTTGGATTCCCATTCTCTACTTGGCGTCTCATTCTCCCGGACCTGTCCACAGGGCTCAGCTCTTTGTAGCACAGCAGTGTCAGGAGACCTGGACCTGGTGAATGTCAGTCTGGCTTCTGCTAGAGCACATGTTCCTCTTTCAGATGTAAAATCCCATGAAGTGGTGCCTGTGAGGTCATAGAAATTGCAATTAAACATATCTGTTAAATTAAAAATCAATTTCCAATCTAAACTTTTTTTCTATGCAGGAGTTTAAAAATAATAATTTCAACGTTTGTCATAGCTGAATTTTAGTACTATGGAGTAAAGAAAAAAATAGGTGATTCCTTCTATTTTGTGATAACAAAGTTTTCCTTTTGAGGTTAAATGAAGGTATCTAGGGCAGGAGGGAGAGAGGAAGGTGCACGTGTGCATGGAAGATGAGGAGGTGGGTGCGGTACCCAGTGTAGGTGAGGTACGAGTGGGAAAGTGAGCATGTAAAGATGAGAGTGGGTGGACCACAGGAAGCTGGGCGGACCACAGGAAGCTGGCTGGAAAAAAAAAGTCTGGCTTTACCTAGTTAAAAGCAAGAAAAAAGCAACCCAAAGACAAGCGGAAAATCTCACAGGCAAAGTCTATAAAGGAATGGAAACAAAAAAATAAGCCCACATGTGTTCAGGGAAAGGTGAAGTAAAGTGGCTGGCCAGCTGCAGTCTGCTCTGTAATTTTTGTATTACTTCGCAGTAATTTATACGTAAGATAGTCTAATGAACAACAACAACAACCAATAAAAGAGCCAATGCTTCCTGGAAAAACAAATAGAACATTTTCTTTTTGAAAACTTAGATTTCTGAGTTTATGATTCTAGTGGTTTAAAAAAATGCGCTATTGAAATTGAAAGAATGTCAAATTAGGGAGTTGGACGATTTAATCTTTGGTCTTAAGCTAAATATTGTACTTAGGTGTTCTTCCACTAGGTGTCTCTTTGCATACATGTTATGATTTCAGAGAAAGCAAATCTATTCTTGACGGCATTCGCTTATGTGGATTGTGTCAACAAATATCTCAATTTGGGATGGGGGGTATTTAAGAATGACTTTAATTTAACAGTTCTTCCTAAAGAATAAATAGGTGTGTTTTAGTGACATCTCTCGTTCTTGCTTTAGATGTTTTGGAGACACTAACCCAGATTTTTCAGCAGATGCAAAATTGAGGTCCTTGTGCCTGTGTGGTTTCCAGCATGATATGGTTTAAGCCTTCAATTCATAGCCTGCCCATGTGGGATTCTGACCAGGACGTGAGCCCTTCATAGTTTCTGAATGAAGCCTCACCTAGGATGCGCAATTCCCAAACAAGCTGCATGCAGCTCGTCAGTGTCTCTTTCTGAGAGCTGTATTGCCTGCTGATCAGACCCTTCCAGACCACACAGTGGCAGCTGATCTATGATCCCACGAGTAGCCCTTTGGCAGCCACGTTATCACTGCTAGTCACCGAAGGTCCCTCTGAATTGTCTAAATTTGGTAAATAGCTTACTCATTCTAACTTGTCCTAAAGTTGAGGCAGGGCCAATATAAGTCAACAGATATTTGTTAGGTGCCTACTGCATGTCTTGCCCTGAGTGTCTGTAAGAATTATTAGACTCATTCATTCTCTAAGAATGTAATGAGATCTACTGTTTGCAAAAAGAAAATAAAAGCCTGCTTCTAAGGAGAATTTGAAAAGGCAAAGATTATTCTGAGACAGCACTGCTGATGACCATAGGGCCCTGGACCTGGAGTCTGAAAATCTGAATTCAAATTTGGCTTTAACTTGCTAGCTATGTAAACTAGTTAGTCCACCCACTCTGTATATTCGTTTTTTCACGTGTTAAAGTATAAGTTACTTTACAACCTTGCTGTGAAGACTGAAAACAGTTTGCAACAGTTCTGCCAAATATCATTATAAGAGCCTCCAAGAGAAGTCACTCTATTCTGGGCAAAGCAGCCCTCACCATGATTATATACAGTAGTTTATCTCCTTATGGTCTCTCTTGTCTGATAACCCTTGGGCACGACCTTTGCAAAATTACAAGGCCCCTAAAATGATCTTTTATTTCCTCCTTCCCTCCCTCCTTCCCTTCCTCTTTTCTTTTCTTTTTTTTTCTTTTCTTTTTTCTCTTTCTTCCTCCCTCCCTCCCACCTTTTCTCTTTCTTTCTTTCCTTTTCTCTCTCTCTCTCTTTTTCTCTTTCTTTCTTTTCTTCTGAGATGGAATCTCTCTCTGTTGCCCAGGCTGGAGTGCAGTGGCACAATCTCGGCTCACTGCAACCTCCACCTCCCAGGTTCAAGCGATTCTCCTGCTTCAGCCTCCCGGGTAGCTGGGATTACAGGCACCTGCCACCATGGCCAGCTAAATTTTTTTGGTATTTTTAGTAGAGATGGAATTTCACCATGTTGGTCAGGCTGGTTTCGAACTCCTGACCTCAAGTGATCCACCCGCCTCGGCCTCCCAAAGTGCTAGGATTACAGGCGTGAGTCACTGTGCCCGGCCCCTAAAATGATATTTCTTAAGGAAAAATCTAGCCAGACAAAAGGGGTTTTGGCTCCAACTCTAGAGCAATGGGTGCAAGCGGCTGACAGCTTTTATAATCATTTTTTTTTTCTTGGCTGCCTTCTAGCCAGTGAATGTCCAGTTGCAGAGTCCTCTGCTGTATGGGGTATAGCTGCTCACTTTGGTGTAAAGGGCACTGAATGGAATAATGTTTGGCAAAGCAGAAATAAAGTGACTGGCTGCCTCAGAGCCATGTACACTGTCTGAATTTCACCAAGTAGAAAAACATTTCATCTTCTGCAGACAGAAAATGTAATTATTATTCATGTGGAGAAATGGAGAGATGCAAATTTCAGAAAAGTAAGGGCCATCGCTTGCTATTCCTATCTGGCTCATTCTAGAGCACTGTATCAGCTCTTGCCCCACCGGCTGGAGTGAAGCAAACTAGGAATTGCGGATGTTATTCGGGGGATACCCTAGTAGGGACCTGGAAGGAACCAAGCTGTGCTCATGGAACAGACTGTAGTAGATTGCAGTGGGCCTCATAATTGATACCTTGTCTAGGAGCTACCAATGTTTCCTGTGTCCTCATTAGGGAGCTGGTGCCCTTTGTCTCATATGATGTAGCAGCTTGAGGACAGTACAAACTTTTGAGGTGGCTCCTGGAGTTTCAGTCACAATCCCTTAGAATCACGCTTCAGCATACGGCTAGCTTGGATCTTAGAGTAACTGGCTCCTAGAAGTTCCTTGGATCTGGAGCTGGCGTAGGAGAGGCAGGTGTGATGGTGTGTTTTATCTGCATTGGTAAAACTGAACAAGAGCTGCCACTAGGGTGTGTGTGTTTATGTGTCTTTGAGGGGTAGGTGAAAATATGCATTGTAGGACCCCTGCCTATATAAATAATTGGAATCATTGAACATCCATCCCTGTTTTGGAGAACCAGTGACAACAACTACTCTCCAGGCAGGTGTCATGGAACTTAAGACAACCGCAGAACAAACCCAACTCTGTAGAAACAAGTCCCAGTGCTTTTCAGGGCATCTGGTCTACCCCATGTTCTGGGGAAGGGAACCTTGATTGGGCGCAACCAACACAGGGTGCATGTGGGCCAGGGCTGGGCTCTGGGTGCTCTGAGGAGGATTGGCCAGGGTGTGGCCCACGGCTGGTCTCTGCTTGCCCCAGTCTAATGGCCCCTGCAGGTATAGACCACATTTTAGAAGTTTCAGGTTCAGGAGTCCCACAGAAGGACAAGAGACCCCTGTAGTTCAGCAACTCAGGGGAGCTTTGTACCTCCAAGAGGGGCATGGCCAATAGCCATTGGCATTTGGTAGGCCCTTCCAGGATGTGAAAGAGGCAAATCGTTTGAGATCTCTTGCAGTTTTCCACCTGTTTGTTACTATGGTAAAATGGTCCACTGGGAGGAAAGATTGACATTATTGGCTGAAAGAAAGTCTTTTATCTCCCTTAGCTTTGTGGATTTTGTGTGTCTGAGCCTTGATTGTCAGGGCTGACAGCTTATGTGGGAATTTCTGAAGGGAAAGCAGGGAAGAGGCCTGCCAGTCTCCACAGATGATGGATTGCAGTATTTTTATGGTGTCAAAAATAAAGTAATTTTAAGCATCATAGTTTCTCTGTTTGAAAAAAGCTGTGGTTCTTAAAACCATCTGTCAATTCATCATCAAAGTGGAGAGAAGGCAGGAAAGAAATGCAACGAAATGAGTGGAAAAGACAACAATAAAAAAGGGAAGATAACCGAAAGAGAAAGAATGAGAATATTCTATAGCAAGTAGAAAATGGATTGGAATCAGAATGACACTTTGAGCTTAAGTTAAAAAAAAAAAAAGCAGCCAGGCACGGTGGCTCATGCCTGTAATCCCAGAACTTTGGGAGGCTGAGGCGGGTGGATGATGAGGTCAGGAAATCGAGACCATCCTGGCTAACAAGGTGAAACCCCGTCTCTACTAAAAATACAAAAAATTAGCCGGGTGTGGTGGCGGGCGCCTGCAGTCCCAGCTACTCTGGAGGCTGAGGCAGGAGAATGCCGTGAACCCGGGAGGCGGAGCTTGCAGCGAGCCGAGATGGCGCCACTGCACTCCAGCCTGGGCGACAGAGGGAGACTCTGCCTCAAAAAAAAAAAAAAAAAAAAAAAAAAAAAAAAAAAAAAAAAAAAAAAGAAAGAAAGAAAGAAAGAAAAAAAGAAAAAAGCTTAAAATAATTTGGATGAAGCTACTTTCTCCTTCATAAAGTTCCTGAACAAAGTCACAACCCCAAACCTCCCCTGCCGCATATGTCACTGTACACAGACTGGTAGGGAAGTCATCTTGCATTTGCTTCCTTCTCTCCTGCTTTGCCTTGACAGGTGAAATCTCCTACTAATTGGCAAAACGAATGGATTATCTCATGTCCTTTGCTTTTATATGTGAGCGAAGATGAATGTTCTCTTCTGTTTTCCATGGCATTGCTGTGATGGACTATCATGTAACAGAACATGCTCGCTTATAAACAGTGCTTGTCTCCAGTAGAGTGTGGACGTTTGCTGCCACATGGATTACCTACTTGTCGACGATCAAGACTTCTGCCACGAGGATAACAAGCATTTTTTTGTTTCCTCTTAGCTCTGACTTCTGGCTTAAGAATAACGCACATTGTTTGCCTGTGTTTGTGGACTTTGTATAAATCCACTTGCTGCTGTGATAATGTCTTGCTGAATGCCAGCATTATAATTTTAAAGGATAAATTAATCTGTGGGTTTTAAACGTTTTAGTTCAGACCTGTTTTGTTTTCACTTAAGGCTCTGTGAGAAAGAGAATCAACCTAGCTCCTATGTTATTTCAACTGGAAAATCGTCTCTAAATCACAATAAATTATCTTTGTTTTAAAAATGTGTAAAACATTAGGCATGGTACTTATTTTGCTCCATCATTCCAAAGATGATAATGTCTATTAGGGAATAACCAGGACAGTTACCTTTGCATCAGTTGAATGAATAAATCCCCTTAGTGGAATTTTTTTCTTGATTCTTAAAAAAAATACTGATTATGCTAGCCTTCTTTATAAATAGTGTGTTTGTTGGGGATTGATATTCTTGGTTCATTTTCTGGGTTTAAAATAGTATAGGATGAGAGTCCATATTTCTATCTTAAATAACTTTCTAAACAATTTCTAAAATGGCTAAAACACACTTGGTTTAAGAAGCATGCAATTTGTGATTAAAACAAAATGGAATGATTCTTTATTAATATATGTGAAGGAAAATCTCTTCTTTGAAATTGACTTTATTACTCATTTGCTAACAAAACATATTTTCTAGTTTTCAGTTACAGAGTTGATCAGGAATGCATTTTATTTCATTTAACAAACTTAAACAATTAGTGATTTCATTGGTTTGGCTATGTTTCATGTTGTAGTTTGTTAAGAAATTGTTCTTTAAAGAAGATAACTGTTTTAAATATGACTGAGATAACTATTCCCTTAAACTCTGAAACAAGGCACCAAAAATGTCATTGGTTAGTTGGCTAGGGAGTTTAACCAACCTTGAAGTGTGAAAGCTATTTTATTTGATGAAACCTGTTATCACACTTGTTCAATCCCTTTAGTTGTATACTAATTCCATTAGGAAGGATAGTTTTGTATAATGAAGCTATTTCTAGGTAATAGCTCCCATTCTAGGTAATTGCTACCACTTACTAAGCATGCACACTTGTGCCCTGTGTGCTTCCCATATGATATCTCGTTTAATTCTCACAAACACCTTATGAGTTGGTTATTATTATTCAAAGAGGAGGCATTTGCTAGTCAGAGCATTAAGCAGTTTCCATAAGTTTTCTCATTTAACAAGTGGCAGAGTTGGGATTTGAACTTAAACCTACTTGACTGTAATCTACATACTTTAGTGGAGTGGTTTTCTTTTAGAGACAGAGTCTCACTCTGTTGTTCAGGATGGAGTGCAATAGCACAATCAAAGCTCATTGCAGACTTGAACTCCTGGGCTCAAGCAATCCTCCCACCTTAGCCTCCTGAGTAGCTGGGGCTACAGGTGCACATCACCATACCCTGCTAATTTTTATTTTATTTTTGTAAAAATGAGGGTTTTGCTATGTTGCCCAGGCTGGTCTCATACTCCTGGTCTCAAGTGATCCTTCCATCTTGGTCTTCCAAACTGCTGGGATTACAGATGTGAGCCATTGAACCCGGCCTAGTTTTAAGCATATATTTTTGGTTGTGTACCCATAAAAGAACTTAGGAGCCTCATGTACCCCCTTATACTTCAAATTGTCACCTAAAGTTTTTGTCATACATGTAGTTGAAAAGATGTGGTTTCTGGCATATTGTAAACATTGATGGTAAAAAAGGTTATACTTCTGTATAAAAGTAATCTATATAATATAGATATCATAAAGAGTTGGTATGTCCTGTAATTTTTTTTAAAAGTAAACTTTAGGACTTGCACATTTTACATTGTTTTCTTTTCTCCTGAAACTCATATTTTCATTCCACTATCATATGGATTTTTATCCTATTATATGATTTTTTTTTTCTTTAAGAGACAGGATCCCACTCTGTCATCCAGGCTGGAGTGCAGTGGCACTATCATACCAACCTTGACCTCCTGGGTGGGAGAGATACTCCTGCCTCAATCTCCCAACTACATATGCCTGCCATCATACAGGGCTGATTTTTCTTATTTATTTATTTTTTTTTTGTAGAGATGGGGTCTTGCTATGTTGCCCAGACTGCTCTTGAACTCCTGACCTCAAGTGATCCTCCTACCTCAGCATCCCAAAGTGCTGGGATTACAGGTGTGAGCCACTGTGCCAAGTCCTATTACATATTTTTATGCCTGAAAATATTTTATTGATAATTCTATCATACATTTAAGCTAAAAGAAGAGTTTTTTTGGTTTGTTTGTTTGTTTGTCTTTTGGAACAAAGTCTGGCTGTGTCACCTAGGCTGGAGTGCAGTGGCACAATTTCGGCTCACTGCAACCTCAGCCTCCTGGGCTCAAGCCATCCTCCCACCTCAGCCTCCCTAGTAGCTGGGACCACAAGTGTGCACCACCGCACCTGGCTAATTTTTGTATTTTTGGCAGAGATGGGATTTCACTATGTTGGCCAGGCTGGTCTTGAACTCGTGATCTCAAGCTATTTGCCCACCTTGGCCTCCCAAAGTGCTGGGATTAGAGGCGTGAGCCACCGTACCTGGCCAAGAATACATATTTAAATTGAAATTAATTTAAAAAATTTTTGGTGACAAAATTATTTAAGCCAAAAAATTTTATTCAGAGTTATTATTACAATTATTATTGGTACATAATTTAACAAGCATTAATATGATATACTACACATTTTGACTGATAGTGATTGAATAAAACAGATAAATATTTTTATTGAATATGCAGTACTTAGATAGATGAGACATTACCCCCAATTATGCAACATACACATGAATGAACATTATTTATTACTACAATGACAGAGTTGAGAACTAATTCTAATCCTATTATTGGTTTTTATGTATGTAAGCACTTAGAAATATTTTTCACGTAAGTAAATATGTAGGAATTGAGCACTTTTTGAACTCCTTCCAAGGATATGCCAAATATCTCATGATGATTTATCACAACAGTTACTTTCATAATCCATAGACAATTCAAATAGGTTTTTCCTTAATTTTGTTGAAAGCAAAGAACTGGAAACCTCTTGATATACAAAAGTGTTTTGTTACCCTGTCGTTAGGGTCTTATCTATTTTTAAATTTGTGGTAATTCAAAAATTCATTCTCATGATATATCAAATAGTCATTATTTCTTCCTTCAATTCTTATGTATAGGCACTTTGCTTAAACTGATATTCTCAGAAAGGACTGTGAATACTGAAAAGTTATCACTTTCAAAACACCTTTGCCAGGATTATTTTTCTCACAAGCTGCTTTTATTGTGTACTTTATATGTATATATTTTCATCAAAACCTTGGAGCTACCTATTTAGCTTATCAACATATGGACACCATGTGTTTCTGGTTAACCTGGTTAGCTGAACCAGTTCTCATTGTCCAAACAATCAAAAGTACGTACATGAGTCTCCATAGCCCTCATTTCTTTTCCTAATTCTTCTTTATTATGGCCATGGGCTTTGACTGGAAGAGGAGAAACAAGAGTTGAGCTTAGCTTATTTTGGTGGTTCTTCTGCCCAAAATTATTTTTGAATCATTTTAGTGGAATTTAGATTTCATATGTTTCAACTACTTCAAGAAACAAAGTACTGGCCAGGCATGGTTGCTCACTCATGTAATCGCAATGCTTTAGGATGCCGAGGCAAGAAGATTGTTTAAAACCAGGAGTTTGAGACCAGCCTGGGCTACAAAGCAAGACCCTGTCTCTATTTTTTTAAATTTAAAATTAAAAAAAGAAAGGAAAAGAAAAGAAAAAAAAGAAACAAAGTACTGAAACTCCAAGATTATTAATGAAACACTCATACACAAACTCCACAAAGGTACATCAATCCCTAGCTGTCTCCCATCCCACCTCCACCACCCATGCCAGTGACTGCGTATTATTTCTACCCTTTTGCTCTTTGACCGAAGGAGGTATGATATCAACATCATCTCATTTCCATATCCTGCAGATTGGGAAGGAGCTTTCTAATGGGATATTCATGATGCCAATATTTTACAAAACAAAAATTTGGAATCTATAGATTTCCTTTATGGAAACTCATCTATAGTGAGTGGTTTTATTGCTTGTATATTTAATTCATTTACTCAACAAATATATATTGAACCACCCTGCCTACAGAGACTGAGGACACAGCAGCAAATAAGTGACCAAGGCCAGACACAGTGGCTGCCTTCAGTTAGGTTATATTATAATGGAGAGTCAGATGTTAAAGGACCAATTGCAAAATTAATCATTCACTACAATGATGAAAACTTCTATGAATAAAAAATAAGGTGATGTGAGAGGCTATAAAAGGGGATCGATCTCTCCCAAGGATCAGGGAAGGTTTTCTTGATGGAGTGACCTTCTGTCAGAGAGTTGAAAAATTAGATGGTATAAGCCATCCTAGGTGGTGACTGTTGAGAAAAAGCATGCACCAAGGCTCTGAAATGGAAATAAATGTGTTTGAGGACTTAAAAAAAAAAAAAGACAATGAGTAAGGGAGATAGAAACAGATACGGAAACAACCCAAGGAAGGGCCGGAGATGAGGTCGTGGTCAGATGGTGCAAAGCCTCACTTGTAGGAAGTTTTCACAATTTTGATCTTTATTTAAAGACCAATGACCATTGTAGGGATATAAGGACAGAGGTGAATAGTCAGATGTGCATTGAAAAAAATCACTGGGCCAGAGAGAAACTGGGACATCAGTTAGGATGTTCTTGCAGTGGTCCAAGAGGGAGGTGCTGATGGCTTGGACTAGGATGATGGCAATGGGTGTGGACAGAGAGGACTTTAAGGGATAGTTAGGAATTAAGCAGGTAAAATGGATACAAAAGAAAGATTCTGAGTTGAGATGGAGCTCCCTGGGTGCTGCTGCAGCTACCCAAACCACAGCTGAGCAGGCTGTAGCTGCAGACCCACACCTCCCACTCCAAAGAGCAGACAGGACCTACCCCACCCCCAGACTCAGGCATCACTGCACTCTTGGGGGCCTGGGAAGGCCCCTGCTGTCCTTGCAGGCTCAGGAGTGCCTGCTTCTGCTGCCTGGCTTCTCCCTGCTGTCAGTGCCTGCTCTGATGGGAGCAAAGTCCCCACAAGCCCAGGCACCATGAACGGCAGCAGGAGGCAGACAGATGCCAGGGCGGAAGGGGGCAGGTCCCTGGTGAGACCCCACCTTCAGGCCAGGGAGGGCCTGAAGACTGGGGACCAGGCTGCCAGTCCCACCAACTGGAGTGGGAACTTGTGGTGCCTTTCTGGGCCCTCCCATGGCCACCCATGGACCAATCTGTGTGCATTTCCTCACCTCTGAGGCCATAAAAGCCCCAAGATCAGCCAGAGCTGAACAGACATCCTGACAACCAGCTGCAGGGAGGAGCTGCCCTCTCTGCTGAGAGCTTCAGGACCTGCAGAGACATTGGGACTACCACCTGCAAGGAGGAGCAACCCATTCCAGGGCCTCCTCTCTGCCAAGAGCTGCTGCAGACTTCTGGCTAACCTGCCTGCAGAGAGGAGCTGCCCTCTCCAGGGCCTCCTCTCTGTTGAAAGCTGAACACTCCATGGGACGACCTGCCTATGGAGAGGAATTACCCACTATGGGTCTTCTCTGAGCTGTTCTAACACTCAATAAAGCTCCTCTTCATCTTGCTCCCCTCTACTTCTCTGTGTACCTCGTTATTCCCAGATGCAGGACAAGAACTTGGGCAAAGGTGCCACCAGCCACAGAGGTTTCTGGCCAGAAGAGCGACAACCCAAAGATCCTGTAACATTTTGATATCCCAATATGTGAGAATATTCTTTTCAACACACCTCCACCTCCACCCAAATTGACTTCCATCACTTAATTTTTTTCCAATCCTGAAGAATAAAAATGGAATCATGGTATTTTATTTTGCATTTATTTTATTACTAATGAGATTAAGCATTAGTTATTTGTATTTTATTTTTTCAATTTTCCTTTATTTGTTCTTCTATTAGTTTGCTTATTATCTTCTTTGTGACATGTAAGAACTCTATTTTATGGTTCTTATGTATTAAATGTATATTTCAGATATTTTTATCAGCTTGAGACTTGATTTTTTAAATTTAGGTTTTAATTTTTTTTTAAGAAATAAGTTAAAATTAAGTAAATTTATCAGTCCTTTTATTGTGGTTTATCTCTTTCACATTTTACCAATAAATGTCTTATTAATATCTATGTAATATAGCATTTTTAATATGAAAAAGGAGTTTCCATTACTCAGAATTTGGGGACCTCCACTGGTGTAAGAAACAAACAGGTCATGAATGTGTACTTGTGGTGTCACTGGGATGAAGTTGAAAAGCTGTCTGCTTTGGGGAGAGTTTCAGTGGCTTGTGGATCTTTAACAAGTTTCTTGCTTGTCAATGTTGAAAACATGAGGATTTTTTTCCTTTTGTTTTCATTTGCTTTTCTTGAAACCACAGAATATCTTGTTTTTCAGGCAACCCACTACAAAGTGCAAACATCAAAAGGAGCCTATCTTGCTATTAAAGTTTGGGACTTCAGAGGCAGGGGAGTTAGCTATGTTTTCAAAGTTGGATAATAGTGATGGGCCACATTTTCACATCTTAGTTGCATTGTTTATCATAAAGAGGAAAACATTTCCACTTCTCAAAATGTGTGTGTGTGTTTGTGTGTATATATATATATATATATATATATAGTAATATTAAGTGTGTAAATCATATACATGTCTTGCTGAGTACTTGAAAAGAATATTGACAAATGTATAAATGAAATTCTGGCTTATCTTATGAACTCAACTTTAAACAGTTGGCTTATTGAGTTCTGAAATAAAAAGCTATTTATTTATTTATTCATTAAAAAAAATTTTTTTAAGAGACAGGATCTTGTTCTGTCACTTAGGCTGGAGTGCAGTGGTGCCATTATAGCTCACTGTAACCTTGAACTCCTGGGCTCAAGCAATCCTCCCACCTCAGCCTCCTGAGCAGCTGGGATTACAGGTGTGTGCCACTACAACTGGCTATGTTTTTTTTCTTTTAGGGACAGGGTCTCACTATGTTGTTCAGGCTGGTCTTGAACTACTGGCCTCAAGCAATCCTCCTGCCTTGGCCTCCCAAAGCTCTGGGACTAGAGGCATGAGCCACCATGCCTGGCCGAAAGGCTATTTAATGAATTACTTTTATTGTAAAATTGATTAATCACAATAGAAGTATTTTCTTTCCCCACTCAAAGAGATATATGTTTTTATGAACACTTTAATCTCACATTTAACTGAAAACATTTTTTCTCTTCTAGCTTTTGTTTCTACTAAGATGACATCATACATGGCTATTGATGGCAGTGCTCTTGTAAGTATCCTTTGGAATACCCCAGGCTTTAGATATTGTCAGTTTGATGAATGAGTAAAATAGTAGGTTGATTTCAAGTTTGGCTAGCAATTTATTGTCCTCAATTTCATTAGCCACAGTAGAACCAAAGACACTGTTGCTAGATTTAAACGGTCTTATGGTTATCAAGCATTTAAGACCTCTAGATTTTTACTTTTAAAGTTTAAGCTGCATACCATGGTTTTAATATACTGTACATCAATTATATTTTAAGAAGATGTTAGCTATGGTACTAGTGGAACCTCTCATGCAACCTCTGTAGGAAAAATTCTGTTA
Source organism: Homo sapiens (assembly GCF_000001405.40). Lineage (NCBI taxonomy): Eukaryota > Metazoa > Chordata > Mammalia > Primates > Hominidae > Homo > Homo sapiens. Next base: position 154,265,596 of record NC_000006.12, on the reverse strand, counting down.
ATAATTTCACTGAAATAGGGCTGGGCACGGTGGCTCATGCCTGTAATCCCAGCACTTTGGGAGGCCGAGGAGGGCAGATCACAAGGTCAGGAGATTGAGACCAGCCTGGCCAACATGGTGAAACTCTGTCTGTACTAAAAATACAAAAATTAGCTGGATATGGTGGTGTGCGCCTGTAATCCCAGTTACTGAGGAGGCTGAGGGAGGAGAATCACTTGAACCTGGGAAGTGGAGGTTGCAGTGAGCCGAGATCGCGCCACTGCACTCCAGCCTGGGCAACAGAGCGAGACTCCGCCTCAAAAAAAAAAAACATAATAATAATTTCACTGAAATCATGGGTATCTTTTAAAACAATTTTATGGTCATATGTTTGCCTAAGATAGGTAAGTGAATTGAGCAAGTATATAATCTCTATTAGACAAGGAAACTTATGCAGGGAAAAATTAGGAAGTCGATGTTAGTAACACGGCATTTCTAATAGAAGGGACTGTGGGGAGTGTCGTGGGATTGTATGGTGTGCTTCTTTTGGCAAATCTAATGACCTCATGATGGATGTATAGGTCAGAGTTTGAGGAGCAGAGCTAAAAGCAGAATCAGAAGTGGTGTGTTGGGAGGCTAAAGTATAGACTTCCTGCCAAATCTGGAATGTAGACTGTGGTTTCTTGACGCAAATTAGAAAATGGATGTCAAGGGACTTTGTGGTAACAGGGATGAAGAATCTGAGTTAACTAGACAGCTCCTGAAAGGGACACCTTAGTAACATGCAGGGCGGCTGAAACATCCTTTGCTTGACTTGCTAACAATGTCGTATCCCAGAAATTGAAAAGGCAATGAAGACACTTTAATTCCGGTGCTCATTCTAATTAAGGAGAAAACTTGCTAGGTATGAAAAAAAATGCAGGAAACTTAAGAAGTTATGTATTGGCTGGGTACGGTAGTTCACGCCTGTAATCCCAGCACTTTGGCAGGCCGAGGTGGGTGGATCACTTGAGGTCAGGAGATTTGAGACCAGCTTGGCCAACATGGTGAAACTCCATCTCTACTAAAAATACAAAAATTAGCCGGGCATGGTGGTGCGCACCTGTAGTCCCAGCTACTCGGGAGGCTGAGGCGAAAGGATCACTTGAATCTGGGAGGTAGAGGTTGCAGTGAGCTGAGATCTGTCACTGCACTGCAGCCTGGGCAACAAAGGGTTACTCCATCTCAATTAAAAAAATAAAATAAAATAATGATGCTGGACCTTTACCTCACACCAGATATAAAAATTAACTCAACTGGGAGGATGGCCTCACCAGCACACACAGGCCTGAATCATGAATGGAGAGTGACCAACAAATGATAAGGTGTTTCTTTAAAAAAAAAGAAGTCATGCATTGTAGGATATTTGCCATGTAAAGCTTGGAGAAAAGGAAGGAAGGTGTGATCCAATGGGCATGGATGGGTGGGTGTTTTTTGATAATAGAAATGTGAATAATTACAAGGAGCATAAATAAGAGGAACAAATAAGAGAATCAATGTGGCTGCGGTAGGAGGCTTTGGCTAGGAGTTGATATAAAGACTCATTTACAGTCTGGGAGGGAGGTGGGGGGGGTCAGCCCCCCGCCCGGCCAGCCGCCCCATCCGGGAAGTGAGGGGCGCCTCTGCCCGGCCGCCCCTACTGGGAAGTGAGGAGTCCCTCTGCCCGGCCAGCCGCCCCGTCCGGGAGGGAGGTGGGGGGGTCAGCCCCCCGCCCGGCCAGCCGCCCCGTCCGGGAGGTGAGGGGCGCCTCTGCCTGGCCGCCCCTACTGGGAAGTGAGGAGCCCCTCTGCCCGGCCACCACCTCGTCTGGGAGGTGTACCCAACAGCTCATTGAGAACGGGCCAGGATGACAATGGCGGTTTTGTGGAATAGAAAGGGGGGAAGGGTGGGGAAGAGATTGAGAAATCGGATGGTTGCCGTGTCTGTGTAGAAAGAGGTAGACGTGGGAGACTTTTCATTTTGTTCTGTACTAAGAAAAATTCTTCTGCCTTGGGATCCTGCTGATCTGTGACCTTACCCCCAACCCTGTGCTATCTGAAACATGTGCTGTATCCACTCAGGGTTGAATGGATTAAGGGCGGTGCAAGATGTGCTTTGTTAAACAGATGCTTGAAGGCAGCATGCTCCTTAAGAGTCATCACCACTCCCTAATCTCAAGTACCCAGGGACACAAACACTGCGGAAGGCCGCAGGGTCCTCTGCCTAGGAAAACCAGAGACCTTTGTTCACTTGTTTATGTGCTGACCTTCCCTCCACTATTGTCCTGTGACCCTGCCAAATCCCCCTCTGCGAGAAACACCCAAGAATGATCAATTAAAAAAAATAAATAAATAAATTTAAAAAAAAAAGACTCATTTACAGGATGCTAAAAGGGAGTCCTGTGGTCAAGATTTAATGCAAATGGACATTGCAGATCTGTAAAAATAGAGTAAGGAAGTTGAAGTTCAGAGTAACAAAAATGAAAATTTTTAAATAGGAAAAATTCCATTTTAAGATTATAAGCATGGCTGGGCATGGTGGCTCATGCCTGTAATCCCAGCACTTTGGGAGGCTGAGGCAGGTGGATCACAAGGTCAGGAGATGGAGACCATCTTGGCCAACATGGTGAAACACTGTCTCTACTAAAATACAAAAATTAGCTGGGCATGGTGGCGCATACCTGTAGTCCCAGCTACTGAGGAGGCTGAGGCAGGGGAATTGCTTGAACCCGGGAGGTGGAGGTTGCAGGGAGCTGAGATTGCATCACTGCACTCCAGCCTGGTGACAGAGCAAGACTCTGTCTCAAAAAAAAAAAAAAAAAAAAAAAAAAGGATTATAAGCATGTGTATATGTACTATTTGGAACAAAGACATAAAAAAGAAAGGATTAGGATTGTTGGATCCTTGGGAAAGGTAATGCAATGTTTAATTCTTATATTGCTCCACCTTTTCCACTGAAAGGATGTAATCTTCCAACTGGAGGAAGTTCATCTTATATGTTTAAGAAGAACTGGAAATCAAGGTAATAAGAGAGCATTTAAGTGTTTTAAATTAACAAATTTATTTGTTCATTGGAACATTCAGTTAGTATTACCTACCCTTACCTATCCTGATTCTATCATGCATCAGGCACTGTACCAGGTAGGGTAGGAACTGGAGATTTAATTGGCTTTGGACAAGTTAAAGTCTCTACATCTACAAGTATAACCCTGGGTATTGGAATCAGATCACAGATGTGATTACCAAAGGACTAACATATCATCCACGTAATTCCCGACCTAAAGCCATTACCACTATAATAGGTAACCTGTTTCCCTTGGTCTTGTGTACAAATGAATTCTATTCTTATTAGTGGAAACTGGCTATTTATGTATCTTCCTCATTTCATGAGCCATCTCCACTCCTAGAGTCAATCAGCCAGCTCTCCTCGTGTGTCTATTTTTCCGTTATTTTTATCTCACAGCCGTCAGTGTCTGGGCGGCACTGCTGAACATTTCTTTTAAGCATTTCTTCCAGCAGCTTTTCAGTGGTTACCCTACTTTATCTTTCCATTCAGAAAATTAGTTCAATTTTCTGCTGTCATTTGTTCTCTAAATAAAATGTAGCACAGGAGACCTATTTTTATGCTAGGTAGTTTCAGTAGGTTTGACACCTTTGACCTAATCACATCTTGAATTACACTTCATTTCCACTAAACTAACACTTATTGAGTTATATGGGTTGAACAAACTGCTTGGTGCTGGGGTATAAAGATGAGGAGCATACCATCTTGTTGGGGGTAGGGGGAAGGAATATACCTTTAAGGTCCTTTCGTTGATCCTAGCCTGCTAGTTTTCACTGAAGCTGGTATGGTAAGTGGTGCTAAAAAAAATGCTCAGAATTCACAACTAAATTTTAAGTGTTATTTGAAATTTTATTATGTGTATACCAAACAGCATTGTCCTGTTTTGCTAAGCTGAGTTGTTTACCTGATAGTATTCTTTTCTCTCTTCTAAATGAAACAATGGGATTTTCAAAGCTAAAGTTTCATGTAGATCCAAAAGTATCGATCCACCAAGTTCTATCGGTTCAGTCTCTTAAATATTTCTCCATCTTCACAGCCACAGCTCTTGCCCTCTTCCCCTGGGCTTTTGTCTCTGGCCCTGTGTCCCTCCAATCCAATTGCCACATGACAACGAGAGTGAATTTTTCTTAAATGGAAGTCTGATTATGCCACTCGCCTGCTTACATTGGTTCAATGTCCCATTGTCCTTTGGATAAACTTCATACTTTAAGGCCGGGAGAAGTGGCTCATGCCTGCAATCCCAGCATTTTGGGAGGCTGAGGTGGGAAGATCACTTGAGGCCAGGAGTTCGAGACCAGCCCTGGGCAACATAGGGAGACCCCATCTTTACAAAAAATAGCCAGGCGTATTGGTTCATGTCTGTAGTCCCAGCTACTTGGGAGGCTGAGGTGGGTGGATCGCTTGGGCCCAGGAGATCGAGGCTGCAGTGGTCCACTGCACTCCAGTCTTGGCTACAGAGCAAGACCCTGTCACAACACACACACACATGCACACACACGCCTTTAGAATCTGGCTCATTGTGTGTTGGGAAATCTTCAATATAGTTACTAGATTTGGCACTATCCCCAGACTTCTCTAAGAATTGGTTTATGTAGTCCTTGATATTGATAAAGTTTCCTCGAATCACACTATGGTGATAACCAAGTGTTATGCACGAAATCATGATTGCTTGGTTTTCTTTTATGATCAGTTTCTCATTAAAATAAATAAATAAATAATACTAGCATATATGAATCTTCAAGGCTTGATTATAAAGTTCTCTGGTCGGCTGGGCATGGTGGCTCATGCCTGTAATCCCAGCACTTTGGGAGGCCGAGACAGGTGGATCACGAGGTCAGGAGATTGAGACCATCCTGGCCAACATGATGAAACCCCGTCTCTACTAAAAATACAAAAATTAGCTGGGTGTGGTGGCGTGTGCCTGTAATTCCAGCTACTCAGGAGGCTAAGGCAGGAGAATCACTTGAACTCAGGAGGTGGAGGTTGCAGTGAGCTGAGATGGCGCCACTGCACTCTAGCCTGGGGGATAGAGAGAGACTCCATCTCAAAAAAAAAAAAAAGTTCTCTGGTCTTAGATAGATTTTAGTAACGCTGTTCAACTAAAGAAGGAAAACAGCCTTAATTTAAGGATCACAGGGCTCACTGGGAATGAGACAGATAATCTCTTTTACTGTTATACATAGTTCCTGTACCCAAAGCTCCTAAAATGTTTTCCCTGAAACAAAAAGTTACGTATATAAATCATGGATATTTCGCTCAGTTTTCTTGCTGACAAGGAAACGGTCAGTGGATGTGAATGCATGTTTATGTCTGCTACTGTGGTTAAGTTATTTGCTGTTGCCTGGACTCTCACCTGTGGGATGATCTGTCTAATAGCAAACTGGTACTTGCTGTGTTTACTTCACAAGACAGCTCTGCATTCGCCACTCACAAAGCATCGGTCTTTATGTGACTATGTGTAGTCAACAGCCCAGACACGATTTCTGCCTGCATGAAACATGCATGTCTCACCGCTCACTCCATCTCCGTGCTCGTCGTGTGAACTGCAGGGAGTGGAAGTGAGGAGTTTATTCTTCACATTTCTGGTCAATTAAAAAAAGCTGAAACTTTGCAGTTTGCTTTCAGGCTACATCAACATAACCCTATGTTGAAATAAGGGGCCAACGCTGCTCTTCACATGGGTCAAAAACAGGAGACTTGAACATATTTCCTGTGGCAAGGACTTAGGTGGGAAGGGCATGAGAGCTCTCTGGGGAATAGATTATTGGTAGGGGTGGGAGGGGCTCATTAAGTAGAAAACTTCTGTCCTCATGCCACCCCTGCCCCATGCATTCTATATTTCTTTTTATTTATTTATTTTTTATTTTATTTATTTATTTATTTTTAGACAGAGTTTCGCTCTTATTGCCCAGGCTGGAGTGCAATGGAGCGATCTCGGTTCACCACAACCTCTGCCTCCCAGGTTCAAGTGATTTTCCTGCCTCAGCCTCCCGAGTAGCTGGGATTACAGGCACATGCCACCACGCCCGGCTAATTTTGTATTTTTAGTAGAGACAGGGCTTCTCCATGTTGGTCAGGCTGGTCTTGAACTCCTGACCTCAGGTAATCCTCCTGCCTTGGCCTCCCAAAATTCTGGGATTACAGGCGTGAGCCACCATGCCCAGCGCGCATTTCATATTTCTTTGATTCCAGATTCTCAGTATTTGGAGGGTTTGTTGAAAGAGGATGAGGGAGAAAGGTATTGTGCTTTTTAAGGAAATAGTCTTTTAGTAGAACTAGAGATTTGTTCAGCAAAAGTCCATTTTACCTTCAAGAAAATACCAAGAGTCAACTCTTCCTGTGAATTCAAGTTTCATGTCAGTCAATCCTATGGGGTTTTCTCTATGGATGTGCCTCTTTGGGAGTGAGAAAGGTATTGGTGAAACTTTTGTGTTGCTTAACTTTGCTGATATTATTTATTAGCCAAGGTATTTTACAGCTCTGAGTAATCGAGCAGTAGATGGCTTTGCAGACATCTGTCAAAGTTCCACTATCTGCCAGGCACATAGGAAGGCATCATGCTTACTAAAGGCATCATATGAAGGAAAAATTGATATAAGACCATAAAACTTTTTGTTAAATATTTTTTTGAGTGCTTACTTTATGTCAGTCATTGGGCTAGGTGCTAGATTTTGAGGACATGGCATGTTCAAGAACATCAATTCTGTCTTGAAGTCTTGGCCAGTCATTGATGCATTTTAAGCAGAGTTGTAGTTGTTCAGTGGTGTGTTGAATGGGTTTTGAGGATCTAGACTGTAGACGGGGAGTCCAGGAATGAGATGGTTGGTCATTGTTTAAGAGAGAACTGATATGGATCTGACTAAGGCAGCAATAGTGGAGATAGAGAGGAAAGAGAGATTTGGTAAATATTAGGAAGCAACCTGGACATGGGTGGTGCGTGAGCAAATGTGTAGGAGAGGGGAAAGGGCAAACCTGAGATTACTCACAGGCTCTGGGTTGGACCGTTGGGTAGGCAGTGTTACCACAGTGTGTGTACCATGGTATCCCACACAGATAAACAGATTATAATATCAATTTCAGAGGCATAGCAAAACATGGTGAGAACACAGAAGACAGAACAGCAGGAGAACATATAATTAAACAATAGGCTTAGGAGTCTGACTGGCTGGGTCCCATTCTTGGCTTTGCTACTAGCTGTGCGTGATCTGTGGAGAAGTTTCTTAACCACACCAAGCTGAAGTTCCTCATCTGTGAACAGGAGGATAAAAATAGTACCTACCATGAAGATCTTCAGAGATAACATAAATAGCTTATTACAGGGGCTACAAATAAATAACACTGGGTGAATATGAAGTTAGTATTAGAACTAACCACCTTCTGATGTCAGAGAGGGCTTCATAGTGGAGGTGCCATTTGACCTGGATCTCAGAGGATGAGTAAGCATTAACCAGGAGAAGAATGGGGAGGGAAATACAGTATTCAAAAGCAAGGAGCTGTTTAAGTGTCTGATATTTCTGCAGAATAGAAAAAAGTTATCTGGGTATGGTGGCTCACACCTGTAATCCCAGCACTTTGGAAGACCTAGGCGAGAGGATCACTTGAGGCCAGGAGTTTGAGACCAGCCTGGGCCACATGGCATGACTCCATCTCTACCAAAAAATAAAAAATTAGCCAGATGTCCTGGTGTGTGCCTATAGTCCCAATTGCTACTTGGAAGGCTGCGGTGGGAGCATCGCTTGAGCCTGGGAAGTTGAGATTGCAGCGAACCATGATCCTGTCACTGTACTCCAGCCTGGGTGAAAAAGCAAGACCCTGTCTCAAAAAACAAACAAACAAACAAACAAAACCCAAAACCAAAACAAAACAAAAAAGCAAAAAGTTTTGGTGGTATATTGAGGCCAGTATGGGAAGAGACTTGTTTGTTATTTGTGGATTTAAGATGGAATCTTATAAATGAATTAACTGATTTCCGTTCAAGGGTGGTACACATTTTGACATTCCATTCATCTTCCAACATATAGCAATGATAGACAAAGAAAAACATAAAAAGCCAAAAATGATAGTTAGGCTCAGAAACATGGTAAGCATCTCTGTGGATCAGAAATGAAAAGTGTAGCATGACTGAAGCCATGAGCTGGATAGGCACCTGGTCTGGAAGCAGGAAGTAGTTTGCCTCTGCCTGCAGGTTAAGGGATAGGGGTGTAAAAAATGTTCCGCTAAATGTGGGGAGAGCTAGCTAGGTTCACTCCATGATGACAATGGAGCTTCCTCACTTGTGAAAGGAGCTAAAGATAAATGGAGGAAACAGTTGCCAAATCACTGCCTGAGATGACACATTTTGCTAGTTGTGGGCCCTGGGAGGAAGGAGATACAGACACAGGCACCAAACCAGGAACTAAATTTAGTCACCAACTGGATCAGTGACAGGATATACAGATGTTTCTTGACTTACCATGGGGTTACATCCTGATAAATCTGTAATAAATTGAAAATATCTTAAGTTGAAAATGCACTTAATACACCTAATCTACTGAACATCATAGCTTAGCATAGCCTGCCTTAAACATGTTCAGAACACTTAAATTAGCCCACCACCGGGCAAAATCATCTAACACAAACCTATTTTATAATAAAGTGTTGAAAATCCCATGTGAAGGTATCATACCATGTATTACTAGCCCAGGAAAATATCAAAATTCAAAATTTGAGGTGCAACTTCTACTGAATGCATACTGCTTTTGCTTTTGTACTATCATAAAGTCATTGTAAGTCAAACTATCCATCATAAGTTGGGGACCATGTGTGCAAGATTCTCTATGATTAAATTAGGATATTTTTGTAGAACTAGTTTTGCAGTAACTAGAGGTAACTTCTAAACAGCAAAAGAGAGAGCCATAAGCACAGATGGGAAGAGAGAGAGAGAAAGTGAGAGTGTGTGTGTGTGAGAGAGACACACACACACACACACGCACAGAGAGAGAGAGAGAGAGAGAGAGAGACGGAGACAGAGACACAGAGAGAAAGAATGCCATATAGACAGATAGTAAGGCAGAGAAAGAGAAGACATAAAACTTTTTCACTTGCAATTCTGCAAATTTAAATTCTATCATAGCCTGGATATTTGTGTCCCTCCTATTCAATCCCCACAAATTTATACATAGAACCCCTAATCCCCAATGTAATGATTTTAGGAGGCGGAACCTTTGAGAGTTAATTAGGTCATGAGGGCTTCACCCTGATGAATGAGATTTGTGCCCTTATAAGAAGAGACCAGAGAGAGATGATTTTCTCCCTGGCCATGTGAGGATATAATAAGAAAATGGCCATGTGTAAACCAGTAAGAGGGCCCTCACCAGGCACCAGCTCTGCCCACATCTTGATGTTGGACTTCCCAGCTTCCAGAACTGTGAGATAAATATTTGTTGTTTAAGCCACTCAGTCTATGGTACTCTGTTACAGCAGTCCAAACTGACTAAGACAAATCCCAGAACACATTTACAAATAACAATGCTAAGAAAGATAGAATATAGAATAAAAAATTAGAAGATAGCTTCATTTTAAATTAAATAAAAAGTTAAAAGCTCGACAAAATGTTTAAGTACGAGGTTCAAAGAAACTTTTAAAAATTTTTGAAGAAAAATCAAGCACCAATAATAAAGTATCAGTTGGTTTTTAAAAAATTTATAAATTTCAGAAAAGAAAATACCTTTCTTGCAATAGCTCAATAGATGGCATAAACATTGGACACTTTCAAAAAAGAGTATTAGTAACTTGGAAGCAGATTTGAAAAACTGATATAAGACATAAGTAGCATAGAGAGATAAAGAGATTAAAAAAGAGCTAAGATATGAAAGAAAAATCACTCATCTCTAACACAAATCTAACAGTACTCCCAAAAGAAGAGAATGAGGAAAATGGCAGAAAAGCATGATTTGAAGACCTTTTAAAATTTTCCATGCTTGAGAAAAGATGCAAGTTATCAATTAAAGCTTCACTCAGAGGATTGAGCAGTATAAATAAAGATAAGTCCATAACTAGAAACATTGCAGTAAAGTTACAGTATATCAAGGATGATGAGAATGCCTTAAGAGAGTGAAAAGAAAAATCAAGTACAATGAATGACAGACTGATAGCAGAAATCGATCAGTGTGATAGTTGTTAGAAGACCAATGATCAAAATAGTCAAAGTGCCAGGGGTGAAAATACTTTTATACCCACCTCAATTATCATTCAGTTTTGAGGTGAAAATAAAGGCATTACAATACACACAGAGACTGAGAATTTACTGCCTATGGATCCTCATTAAAAGGGACTATTCAAAGAGGCACCCTCCTAAACAGAAAAGTGGATCCAGTGGGAAGCTATATGATAAATGAAAGAAAGATGATCCCAGAAATAGGAAAACTTGTGATTTCTGATTGAGAAATAATAACTTAAATCATAATAAATTTATGATTAAGAATAATAATACACAACATTTTTAATGGAAAAATAAATATGTAGACTGCAATAACAAGAGAGTAGTCATTCAAACAGGAGTTACAATATGCTAAGTTATGCTATATTTATGGTGAATTTAGAAATACTAAATTAAACATCAGAGAAATTGCATGTGAGAAAGAAAAAAGGGAAAAATAAAAGTAAATGAAGTGAATGAAACCAAAACCGCAAAATAAAAATGTTGTTAAATGTAAGTAGATTAAACTCACCTATGAAAAGGCACAGATAATCATGTTATATTAAAAAAAATCAAAATGTAGTCATATGGTCCTTATAAAAGAAATGGCAAAAACCAACCAACCAACCACACAGAAAGTTTGAAAATAAAAGGATGGAAATGCTAACAAAGTTGTAATTCCAGCAACAAAAATTAAAGAGAGATATAAAAGATTTGGAAAACAAAATTAGCAGTTTTGATTTAGGTTTACATAGAATGTGATATGATTTGACTCTGTCCCCACCTCATCTGGAATTGTAATCCAAATTGTAATCTCTGCATGTTGAGGGAGGGACCTGGTGGGAGGTGATTGGATCATGGGAGCAGTTTCCACCATGCTGTTCTCATGATATTGAGTGAGTTTTCACAAGATCTGGTTGTTTGATTAGTATCTGGTGCTTCCTGCTTCTCTCTTTCTCCTGCTGCCATGTAAGACGTGTCTCTCTCTACCCCTTCTCCTTCCACCATGATCGTAACTTTTCTGAGGCCCCTTCAGCCATGCAGAACTGTGAGTCAATTAAACCTCTTTTGTTTATAAATTACCCAGTCTCAGTTAGTATGTTTATAGCAGTGTGAGAATGGACTAATATAGAATGTTTACAAAATTTGATTATGTAATGTCACAAATAAATGCTAATAATTTCAAGAAATTGGTATCATAAAGATCATATGTTCTGAACAAAATGCAATGAATTTAGAAATTAAAAAAAGTAGTAAAAATTTCCCATATGCTAAGAAACCTATAAATACATATTCCAATGTCTTATTCTAAAGAAATGATTTAGAATGGAAAAACAAGGCGATACAAGTAAAGCAAAATTCCCAGTAAATGTATAGCTCTGAATGTTTTATTATAATAAAAGCAAAGAATATAAATAAGATATACATCACCTCTAGGAGCTGGAAAAAAAATAACAGTAATTTTTTTAAAAATTTAAAGAAAGGGTAATAAGTTAAGAGCAGACATTAATGAAAGAGAAAAAATAAACAGGTAGAAGGAGATGTAGGAAAGATTTCTGAAACTCTGAGATAGGAGACTAAAACATATTCCTGGTTGTAGAAAGCTAAATTTTATATATTGCAGGAGGGTCTGTAAGTAGGACACTTTGGAAGAAACGTGGGAATATCTAAAAAATTAAAGATGCACATATCCTATGATCATGGAATTCCACTTCCAGACACATAGGTAGCCCAGAAAGACACCTGCATATATGAATAATGGAAGTTATACAAAATTGTTAATTGCAACATTTTTGTGATAGCATAACATTGTAAATAATTTCAATGTGCATCAATAGGTAGAGATACATTGTGGCATTTTTCTTCACTGCAGTACTATGCAGCATTGAAAATGAACTAGAGATACATGTATCAACGTGAAAACATTACAAAAACATAATAGTGAAAATTAAATGTCTGCATTAATGTTATTACTTCTAGTTTTGTTAAAATATTATTTATAGATAGTAAAAGTGCAAAGGAGGTCGGATGTGGTGGCTCGTGCCTGTAATCCCAGCACTTTGGGAGGCTGAGGAAGATAAATCTCTTGGGCCTATGATTTCGAGACCAGCCTGGGAAACAGAGCGAGACCCTGTCTCTACAAGGAGAAAACAACAACAACAACAAAAAAAGCAAGGAAATGATCAACATCACATTCAAGTTAGTGTAATGTGAGGAGAATGAGAGGGAAATGAAAAAGGGAAGGAGTACACAGAGAGATAACAGTATACTTAATTCTCTTAAAAATAATCTCAAAAAGAAAAAAGGCAGAAAGAAATGGATGATCAATGAGTTAGAATATGAATATAATTGAAGCCTTTGATACTGTATTGTTGAAGTGCTTTCTAAGTGTGTATCTGTATCTTACTGCAATAAAAGGGTTTAAGCACAGAAGCTTGGTTTTGAGGGAGGTCTGTGGCAATCTCTGTCCTTTGGCAGTGTGCCTTCCTGTTACTATCATGACGCCTCTTTTCAGTGAAGATTCTTGAAGGAGTAGTCTGCAATGCTGTCTTTATTTCTTCAATTCCCACTCATCTCTCAACCCACTCGGATTGGTCTTGTAGCCCCACACAATAGTTAAACTGGTTTTGCCAAATCTCTAGTGAATCCATCCTTCGTTTTTTCTTTTCTTTTTTTTTGTTTTTCGAGATGGAGTCTTGCTCTGTCACCCCAGCTAGAGTGCAATGGCATGATCTCGGCATACTGCAGCCTCCGTCTCTGGGGTTCAAGCAGTTCTCCTGCCTCAGTCTCCCGAGTAGCTGGGATTACAGGTGCCCACCACCACGCCCAGCTAATTTTTGTATTTTTAGTAGAGACGGAGTTTCACCGTGATGGCCAGGCTGTTCTTGAACTCCTGATCTCGTGATCCGCCCACCCTGGCCTCCCAAAGTGCTGGGATTACAGGTGAGAGCCACCGTGCCTGGCCAAGAGGAGCTCGTCCTTTGTTTTTTCACACTGACAGTACTGGAAGGTTTGGACCTACCTTTCTCTTGTATTCCTCCCTCTGCTCCACGACAACCTTCTCTCCTGCCTCTCTTTACTTTTTCTTTGGCTGTTAATGGCACAGTCCCCTTGCTGGGCTTCTATTGCTTTTCTGGGGCATGTTGGTTTTCCTTTGGATTCTGATGTTGAGCGTTTGTCATTCTATACATTCTCTGGGTGATCTGACCAAAACATGAGACTTCTACTCTTTATACAGTGACAAGTCAACATTTTATGTCTTTATTCCAGATTTTCCTCCCAATATCTAATCCCTTATATACTGCTGTATACCAAGTATTTCCACTTAGATGTCTCACATGTTTATCAGACTCAGTATCTTTACTGCTGAAACAATATGTACATTTCTAACTGTGTTCTCTATGGTGCTAAGTCATTTATTGCAATTGTTTCAGCTAGAAACTCCACGATTTTCCCTGGAACTTTGCTCTTCCCCACTTTCTACATTGTCTTCCTCCTTCTTCCGTCTTCTCTTGCACCCTTCCTGCAGCTCCTTATCTCCTCTCCCTTCCTTCCTCCCCTTCTTCCCAGTCCTCCTTTCATTTCTTCTTTTCCTCTTCTAGGTGGAAAGTGCCGTGGTATCCATCTTCGCCACAATCTCTAGTCCTTGCTTCCCTGCCCTACTTCTTAACAAAACAGCAACAATGCAAACAAATATCCTAACAGTTTACTATGCAGAGTTTTATTCTTGAAATACCTATTTTCACTTTACCATTTACTTTGGTGACTTTGGGCAAAATTCTGAAGCTCCGTTTGCTTTAATTTCCACTTCTGTAAAGTGGATATAATAATAGCACCTGAGCCAGAAAGGTGGCTATGAGAGTTCAATGCTAGTAATCTTGAAAAGACTCAGAGCAGCGCCTGGCACATGCGAGCATGATATGATTATTAAGCTTTATTCATATGTTTTAGCTGTCATTGTGGTTTTTTAAAATAAGAGATGGGATCTTGTTATGTTGTCCAGGCCAGTTTTGAGCTCCTGGGCTCAAGACATCCTCCCACCCCGGCCTCCCAAATCACTGACATAGGCGTGAGTCATCACATCCAACCTCTGTCATTGTTTTTATTACTGCTTCTGTTATTATTGTTAGAATGTCTATTGTCTTTCTTCATTATCCACTACTATGACAGATTATTTCAATTAATGTATTAAGTATTATTTAAGGTGGTTAGTCTTCTGAAAAAATTAAGCAAGCTTTTCATGTTTTCACAGGTAAATGTCTATTAATTGGATGCTTTAGAATCTCCTTTAAAAAGTTGAGTCTATTTTTCTGGGAAGGATAAAAAACGTTTGTGGAGATGTCAGGGGTTTCTGGAAGAACATCCCTAACAGCTCTATCAGTGCTGTGCCGATCTGGTATGGCTCTAAAATAGTCAGGAATTTCTGTGGCTTGGTTGTTAAAATATTGGTAATTTGAAACTGTCAATGATGTGAGGGTTTCTACCACAGAAATTGACAAAAGCCACCAGTTAGGGCTCCTGCAACCAGAGAGCCCATTTTACCAGCATATCACTGTATAGTTTTTGCTAAAGATTAGGATCACTATGAAGTCTGATGTAATGACAGAGCATCTTACTGTGAATTTTAATACATCTTGGGGTAAATTTTGCCTGCAAGGTTTAACAACTACTATATGGATTATAAGTCAATATAACAGTTACCCGTAACCTGGGCGTTAGCCCCAACATTCAATATCAAAGGAGTTTCCTTTGTATATTTTCTACTGGGTCTTTTGTATATTTCCATGTGTTTTTGAGTGATTCGTGGCCAAATGAAGTTTTTGAACCATCTTTTAAAAAGTTAAAGAAAAATACACTTCTTCAATGAAAAAGAAATACATATTTTCAAAGAAAAATTTCCCCTCAACTTTAGAAGTAAGTTAGGGCAAAATCAGATTTTTAGAATAATTTTTTAGTTTTACCTATAACATTCAAACTGGAAGAAAATAGAATGAGAAAATATCTTACTAGGCTCTGAATATTTATGATGATAGCAAGTTATAATTTCCCCTATTGAAAAACCATCTCATAAAATGCTCAACTGGTTGCTTGCTTTTTTTTTTTTTTTACTTACCTAGCGAAAAACCACATGCAAGATCATTTTGAAACGGACTAGTTCACGGGTTCCACTTCCTGTTGTGAGGAGTAAAATCTATCTTAGATGCAATAAAGTTCTCAAAGATTGTTTTCACTGTCTCATATAAACCAATTTAGGTTTCAAATTCATGTATGTTAGGTGAAACTGAAACTCCCTGAATTTGTTATTTCTATAATATGCAGTCTGTTTCTGGTCAGGGAAAACAGTTTTAACAGTTAATAATTTGCTTTAAGAGAATTATTGTCAGAACAGGGTTGACTCAATGACTCAATAACTAAGCTCCCTCCCCCACTTAAAAACAAACAAAAAAAAAGCCTTTCTTTGAGTTGGGTGCCTGTTCTGCTTGAGGTATTGTTCTCATCCCATCCTAGGCATAAGAACGTGGTGTAGACCAAGGGTTGGTCTTGGGCAGAATTGAGACAAAGCTCACATTTTGGGGCTTTCCCTGGAAGTAGCCCTAAGGTGGAGCCGGAGGGCTCCAGTCCCACTGGGTGCTCACAAGGAATGGGTGGAGGATACTCACTGGTACCCAGCTGGGAGCGATGGAAGGAGCATCACTTCCTCTCTGCCTTGGCTGATCCCATCGCTGCCCTCCAGGGACTTTCCTCTCATTTGTTCATCTGAAGGCTGCTCTTCTTGTTTGAACTAATGTAATTTCATCTTGTTCATTGGAGGCCTGAGCACTCTAGGAATGACTGTTAACAACGCCCTTTTCTCCCTATTCCCCTGGTTCTTGGTTTGTCTCAAGTGCTTGCTAGGGACTCCTGGACCCCAGATTTCCCAAATCTTACCCAGCATCTACATTCACGAATTCTCTTCTTTGTCTTTAGTCCTGGCTCTCAGCTAAAATTTAGCCACTCAAATAATATACATATTTGGGCAAAAATATTTTGCCAATAGGTACTAGTTGGGTTTTACTGATCTCAGAGAATTGGCATATCAAAAAAAGGTCCCAGGAGATGATTTGAGGGAATGATAGGAACTTTAGAACACAAGACAGGTCAGTGTGGGAGATATTTGTGAAGTGAGGCTGAGACTAGGTCCTTTTCATGATAACTTGCCTGGATTTTAGTAACATGCCATGATTATAACATGTCTATCTTTGCTTAAAATTTAAGGTAATTACTGCCATCTTTATGGATGATTAATTTTGGGGGGGATAAATTTTACTCTAACATTGGTCAGATGAAATGTCAGTGCAATATTTCTTGGGATCTATATTTCCCAGGAAATATAATTTAAACACTTTAGCTTCGTTGTAATTGCTGAAGGATACATAAATCATACTTATAAAAATTATGATTTTTTTCTGTTTATTAGATATAAAGTATTTGTTTATCTCAACGATATAATATTATATTACACATACTCATATAAAGGGATGTTGTTTAGTTCTCAGAGGATTTTCACAAATAAATCTTGTAAAATCTTTATAAGACCTATAGGATTAGAATTATTATCAATATCTTCATTTTATAAATGAAGAAGCAGATTCAGAGAGTGCTATTTTCTTGGGCACCACAGCTACTAATTATAATAGCCAGGAATTGGTTCCAGGCCTCTGGATTTAAAGACCTTCTCCTCTTTTCACTATGTCATATCCCTTCTTCAAACATACAGTAGAACCATATACAATAGCTATCAGATCAATAGTTAGATATGTAGACTATAAGCCAGGAACCTCTAGAAAACATTATAAAATGCTGTACTAAGATTACATACCAAATTTTGGAACTGCTTTTCATTTTCACACGTTTTTTCCCCTGAGTTCTCTACCTGTTAACGGAAAAGGTTGTCTTTCAAATTTAAATCAGTTCAGCTTAGATATTTGTAAAGAAAAAACAAATAGAACTTCTTTAAGCAAAATTTTTTTTCTCTCTCTCTACACACACACACACACACACACACACACACACGTATTTTAAAGCACTTAAAAATATTTTTTATTTTTGCTGATAGTCTGATTGTATGTTTGTTTAAAATGTATTGTGGAAAAAATGTATATTTCATATATGTTGTCTTATGTCTGATTTGAAGAGCTAGTACAGAATAGTAGGTGGTAACTAATTTATCTTCCATAAAACGTGAGAAATATTCAGAGATATTTAAAGACAGAATAACAAACTTTAATTTGTCTGTAAATAAGAATTTCCTGATAAGGAGGGTTGATTGCTACTGAACTCTCACTGAAAGAGGTTGTGGAATTTCATTTTCTGGGATATTTAATTCATGTGGTTTAGGTCTAACCCTACGTGGTAGCAGGACTATGAGCTGAATAGTCAAGTGACTCTAATATTTTGAGATTGTAACAATTATCTTCCAGGTTTATCTGAATAATCATTGTTATTTAGAAATTGCAAAAGAAGCAGATATATTTTTCCTTCTCTCACAAAAACACAAAAGGGGAAATATTTTTTGATTTTTAAAACTTCCGTGAACACTGTGCTATCATAACTAAAGTAGTAGTGAGAGCGGCTTGTGGGTGGGAACAGGAAACATCAGTGATAAATGCTCTGTGACTTTTTTTTTTTTTCAGGTTCAGCTCAATGTATATTGATTCTAATTAGCACATTTTGTGCCTCAGCTAGTAGCTCCCCGTTAAGCTCTGCCTGGAGAGTTTTTTTTTAGATTCCATCCTGCTCATAAACACTGCCACCTCCTCCCTCCTTCTCTCTTTACAAATGTTACAACACAATCAGAAATTTCCTCTTTTCTTTCCTTCCTGCATTTTCAGCAGGTTCCCTTGCGTCAGAAGCCCAGGAGGAAAACTCAAGGTAATTAGATCTCTTTTGTTTCTTTATCTCCATTTTGTGTACGTTGAGTGTGGCTTTTCTCCGGGGTGCCTTCCTTGGGATCAGATTTCTGTCTGTCTTAATGCTAATAAGAGGAGGTGGACGGCAGATTAATTTTTGGTTATTGTTGAATCGATTTTAAGAAATGACGACATGTTGTTCATTTGGATTAATCCCTCGTGGTATGTCAAAAGAGCTTAGAAAAACTGGCAGTGAGTCGGGAAGTAGCTGTGTATTGAGGTGGGCATTAACCCTTCAACATCTATTGCATAACTACGGCTGTTATTGTTGAGAGGAGCTATGTTACTGCACTGATATGCCCGCCAGCCTTACAATTTTAATTATTTTCAACTTATTCTTGGTGAATACTATTCTTAGACTAATACTTGCATATTACTCCTGCTGCGCTGTTTCTTTGGCCGTATCTTATACCTTCTAAGCATGAAACAAATGTTTAAAAATAAAACAGACACATGGCTTTTTTTTTTTTTTTTTGCATTGGTTTTGCATAGGTTTTGCATAGGCTTTGCATAAATCTTGGTGAAAAATCCAGCTCCCCGGGGGGTTAACAATTAAAAGTTGCCTTTCACTCTGTCACATAAATCAGGATAATACTTTACCTACCAAATCAGGGTAATACATTATCTACCTCTTCATGTAATCATTGCAGGTTTTCTCACGATGAGTCGGAGGAGGATATCGTGTAAAGATCTGGGCCATGCTGACTGCCAAGGGTGGCTGTATAAGAAAAAGGAAAAGGGAAGTTTCCTAAGCAACAAATGGAAAAAGTTCTGGGTGATACTGAAGGGGTCGTCACTGTACTGGTATAGCAATCAAATGGTGAGTCTGCTTTCTTCCTCCTATTCCCAGCCGTTTTAATGAGGGATACGTTAAAGGCATCAGGTGATCCCTATGGGAAAGTTCATTTTGATTTCTGGGAATTGGAGCGGAGTAAATAAACAAATAAGTTATAGAAGCCATTTCTGGTGCAGTAGATATGTAGGTTATGCTTCTGTGTTTTATGGAGAAGAAACCCATCCTGTTTGACTACTCTGGCTGGGGAGGAAGGGAGTGTCGACATTTACATCCTTGCTAAAGGAGACTTTTAAGTTCTGTTATTAATGTTACTATTCCACGAGGGATTCTAATAGTTTCAGGATTTATGTGGCCATCACTTAACATGGCACCTTTACATAGTTAAGGTCTCTCTACTAAAAGGAGACTCGGCTTCACGACCTACAAGGGTGTCAGTTGATTCAATTCAGAGAAGCTTTTTCAATTTCTCCTCCTTTACTTTCTTCTTCCCCTTCTTTCCCCCGACCTTCTTTATCAAATGGGTTGGTTTGGAATCGCTAACCCCTATGCCAGCTTTGCATTGGCGACTGTCACCTCTTGTCCCCTGGTGTGCTCTGTGATGGCATTAAACTAGTCGTGCTTAGACAACATTTGAAAAGATAGTTGCCTAGTTTATTCCTTAAAAAGTCGGTATACTGTTGTGGTCTGCATCCCAGGCTAGTTTTCTTTTGAAAATGGCTGGAAATAAAGTTATTCTTAGAAAGTGTGCTGATCTTTCGTGACCTGAATCATGTTGAAAATGACGATGTTGTTGAATGTCGAATGAGGAGACGTTTCCAAGGAGGAATGCTCTCCACAAACCCAGTGAGGTTTGATTGCTGCTCTCAGGAGAGTGTGAGTCCCTTTGTAGTACTGTGAAGATCAGCACTGGAGGGCCTTTAGTCAATTAAGGGAAAAGTACTTAGGAGTTGCTTATAAGCCAGGAAAGTTCTTTTTATGTGACATTCTTCTTGTGAAATGACGTGGGCATGCATGTCATTCAAGCAACAGAGCTGTACATCATGTAACTTTATAAATGCAAAATAAGTACTGCATATTGTTTGTGGGCCAAATTTTTAGTTGATAAATTTACATTCACTGGCCACTAATCAATTTTCGTTGCTCACATAGCCCTGGGCACCTGTTCATTAAAGATTTGGTTAAACCAGACCCAAATCCAATTCCAGTGCTGGGAATAAGCACTCTCCTCTCTGCTGCTCTGCCCCCAAACTTATTGCTCCAGCTTCACCTCATGAAAAATGTGGCACAAAGCTCCTCTTTGGGTTCCATAAAAATACATTTTTTTTTTCCAAGCATTTGGTGAGTTATAACAACTTTATCAAAGTTTTAAGGGATTCACAAAAAGTCACTGGCAGAGTGTGCAGTTTTCCACTGGCATCCTTTTTCTCTCTTTTCTTCTCCCCTCCTGAATACATTCTTCATCTTGTCTAGCATGTATGGTTTTACCCAAATTGAGGCAACCTGGGTCTGTGGTCTTGCCTTCTATTGTAAGAGAGTTTTCCTAAACAAATACAGCTTCCTTCTTAAGAGGAACTAAGGTTAATATAAATGTCTCTTTCTTGTCTCATATTATTTCAGGCCTTTGTTTTGGGGTAGTTGTGGCAAGCGATAGTCCTCTACATCTTTTATAACATGAGAGAACCTACTGATTTACCTTTTAATAGTGGTCAGGGCATTTCCAGAGGCTGTTGGAAAGATTGGACGCTGATGGAGCTTGGCATGTCTGTGGGAAGTAATAAAGCTCAGATAGAAGGAGGATGTTCATCTTCTCCGGGAATCAAATTATTTAGCAAATATGTTCTGGCTGCTGTCCCTGTCTTCATAGAATTTAAAGGAAGTCCTTCTGAACCACACAGGCTTCCAGATTGGGCTGGCTTGGCCTCATCAGCTCATTCAGCTTATGATTCTCTTAGAGGAGAAATGAGTTACCTATTTTAGGCATTAGGAACTTCATGCTTCCACAAGGAGCAGCAGTGTTGACAGACTAGGCTAGAAAGAGGAAAGGGATAGAGCCTTAGATACACTCATGCATTCCTGCCCTGGCTTGCTTTCATGGCAACACAGAAAGCAATATTCAGGTTGCAAAGCATGTACTTGAATACAGTTAGATTAGCAGCATTGAATGGAGAATAAGCTTGCCGCTATCTGGCTAGGGAACTATAGGATTAAACTAATGGTATGCAAACTAATGGTTATAAAACTAATGGTATGTAGGGGAATTCTCCCTCTCTCTTCCTCTCCACCACAAACACACACACACACACACACACACACCCACCCACACACACACCGAATCTTAATTATATGTTTACTGTGAGGGAAAAAAGGCTACTCAATGAATGCTTAATTAGCAGTGATATTCCTCTTCTCTGTGCGGACACCAACTGTGAAATAAGACCCAAGCATGTCCTGTCAAGCCAAGAAGCTTTATTTACTTCCTGCCACTTAAAAGAATTCAGATTCAACAAAGTCGCTCTCAAAGCACCTAAGCCTAAGCACCTAAGAGCAGAATTCTAATTCTACCTTGGGTTACAACCAGCCCCGTCCCTACACTTCCTCAGTAGCCTAATGCTGAGAGGTAGCAGAGTCCATAGCATCTTAGGAAGAGCCACCTGTTACTTAGTGTCTACTCTAGGCCAAGGTAGGTGATTCAAGGTACCTTGCATATATGCTCTCATTTACTCCTCAAAATCACCCTGAGAGGTAGTAGTTGTCTCCACATTTTGAAAGTGGGATAGACTGAAATGCAGAGAGATTGCGTCAATTGTCCCAAGTCACATGGGAGTAAATGGAAAAAAACAGATTCACATTCAGGTCCCTTGGACTCCTAAACCCATGACTTACAGCATGCCAATCCGACTCCCTCTCGGGCCAGGATACATGACACAATTAAGACCACCCTGTTTTCTGCCTTCAACGGGTTCTGAGAGAACAGCTCTGGAAATGAAATTTAGGGCAACTCTCCTTTGAAATTACATGTGATCTCATTGTCATTGAATCCCTTTGCTTTTCTCTCTCCGTCATTGCCTGACACTGCCTGGGAAGACCAGCCTCACCTCTCTTCTGTTTTATGCTATTGCTACCCAGTTACCCAATGCATAGTCTACCTTTTTCTTTCACCACACGTTGCTACTTCAAACTATACTACCTAGAATTCATTGAGAAAGGTCAAGTCCAGAGGCTCATCTGCCATTTTTCACGCCACAGAGTATGTGCTTAGTGTGACGCGGCACACAAGTCCTACAAAACCATATGCAAGTTTAACAGCCGTAGAAATCCAAGCTGGTAAAATCTTGGATTTAAAATCCACAGTTTTGTTTTCCCTTGCCCTTACAAGAAGGTACACGTTCACTTCCTGGTTTGTGGGAATCACCTTAACTGGTAACCTTTCTTATTTCCTCACACTTGTCAGCCCTACCCAGTTAAAGATGGCACTTCTTTCAATTCCTGTTAGCACGTGGGCTGGCTCTCTCTAAGCCTTCGCATATGCTGTTTCTCTGCTCAGAAAACTCTGTCTCCATGCCCTGAAGTCTTTCTCCTATCCAATTCCATCAAACTTATCCCTCCTTATAGGTCAAATTTTAGCTTAAATAGCCTTCTTCTAGAGGCACGTACCTTCTCCTTTGACCTAAATTTGGCTTCCTCTCTCTGCTGCCTGAGTGGCCTATACTTTTCTTTTCTTTTCTTTGAGACGGAGTCTTGCTCTATGGCCCAGGCTGGAGTACAATGGTGTTATCTCGGCTCACTGCAACCTCTGCCTCCCAGGATCAAGCGATTCTCATGCCTCAGCCTCCTTGAGTAGCTGGGATTACAGGTGTGCGCCACCATGCCCCGCTAATTTTTGTATTTTTAGTAGAGACAAGGTTTCACCACCTTGGCCAGGCTAGTCTCGAACTCCTGACCTCAAGTGATCCACCTGCCTTGGCCTCCCAAAGTGCTGGGATTACAGATGTGAGCCACCGCACTTGGCCTATACTTTTCTTACTATCATGCTTGTCCTCTTTTTTGAGTACTTGCTTGTCAGACTTGCTGTTTTCCATAATTGATCATTTCTGTAGGAGAAGATCATGGGTATATCTTCAGCAACTTACTCTGTGTCTGACAGTTAATAGGCTCTCAATTAATAGTTCTTAATTTCATATATAAATAAGAATTAAGAATCTTCGGCATTTACGTTGCCCATGGGAATTTCAAGAAATGGAGTCATGTGTAAGGACTGATTTTGACAGAAAATAGTTTTCCAGGAAAGGATTTCCACCTCTATTCTTAAAAACAGATATGGGAAAAGGAGCAATCTGAATTTGCTAGAAAGGCCCCAAGGTTCCGATTAGGTCCTGCACAGCTGCTCTCATTTTGCTAACACATTATTAGGATCTTTGAGAAGTAGAGGTGGGAGATGCGCATTCTGGGGACTAATGGGAACAAAGGAATGAAAATATAAACGAGCTGTGCCAACCCACTGTGTTAGCGATTATATTGAATTCTCATAATAGCCGAGCAAGATAGATTTTATTATTCCCATTTTTCAAGGGAGTTTACTGAAGCTCAGGGAATTTAAGTAACTTGCTCAAAGTCTCATAAGGAGTAAATAGCAGAACTGGGATTTAAAACAAAGGTTTCCCAACGACAAAGCCAGGCTCTTTTCCCCAGGCTGCATAGCTTCTCCATTTAGAGGTGACTTAGGGCCAGTGAATGGGGGACTGAGACATGTAGTGATAGTGTAGGAATGTGGGTTTGATCCAGCAGGCAGTAGGGAGCCACTGCCTATTCTTGAGCCGGAAGGTGAGCTCGTGAAATTGGCATGCGAAAAATATGAACCTAGCAGCAATAGATTGGATGTTTTGGAGAGTGAGGGAGCTGCCAGAAGGCCAGTTAGGAGATGGTGAGAAAATGCAGGCGTTCAGACATGAGCTCCTGGACTAGAGTGCCAACAGTGAGAATGTAGGGCGCACTACGCAAATAAAAAGGGGTGAGGTATGAAGAACGCTTGGATATAAGACACAAAAAATTTGAGGCTAAAATAAGCATGATTCCAAGTTTTAGAGCCTGGGGAGACTGGGAAAATAATATGAAAATTGAGGGACAAAGAGTTTGTGAGTAAGAAGGGTGGAATTTCATTTAGATTCACCGTCGCTTACTTTTTTGGTGTATTTTAGTTTTGTACATTGTTTCTTTGTATAAAATTATTAGATACTTGTGTTTTTTAGTTTTCATTTATTGACACCATGTGTGCCATTGCATCACCAGTTCAAGGAAGCTTGAGGCCCCTGAGCCTTGACTAGAAAAAATGAATCAT
Source organism: Homo sapiens (assembly GCF_000001405.40). Taxonomy (NCBI): domain Eukaryota; kingdom Metazoa; phylum Chordata; class Mammalia; order Primates; family Hominidae; genus Homo; species Homo sapiens. Next base: position 154,241,279 of record NC_000006.12, on the reverse strand, counting down.
CCAACTATCTGTTTCTCTCTCTCTCTTTTTTTTTTTTTTTTTTTTGAGATGGAGTCTCACTTTGTTGCTAGGCTGAAGTGCAGTGGCGCGATCTCGGCTCACTGCAACCTCCGCCTCCCGGGTTCAAGCGATTCTCCTGCCTCAGCCTCCTGAGTAGCTGGGATTACAGGCGTGCACCACCACGCCCAGCTAAGTTTTGTATTTTTAGTAGAGACGGGGTTTCACCATGTTGGCCAGGATGGTCTCGATCTCTTGACCTCATGATTTGCCCGCCTCAGTCTCCCAAAGTGCTGGGATTACAGGCATGAGCCACCGCACCTGGCCCCAACTATCTATTTCATAAAAACTTTAGACAAACTGAAGAGGTTTGTAGGTTAATATCTGGTTTTGTATATATTACAGAGACTTTAATGTTCTTTGAGGCCCCAATATGTCTGTACAATTGTGATTGTGTTTCTCCTTTGCTTTCTGAATTGTGAAAGTTTTGCATGTTTGGGGATTGAAGTAACTGTCTGCATGAGATGTGTTCCATCTCTAGCTGCATGCACACTTCATGTGAATTTCAGAGGCTCTTATCTTTGGAAGGCATATTTCTTGAAATCAGTTTTATGAGAATCTCTATAGTGAAGATCTAATCACTTTTTACATTGGGCAGAATTACCCATGTAGAAAATGTTACTTGAAAGTCAAAATTTTCTCTTTTCATGAGACAGCTATTCTGCAAGTTTCAGTAAATATAGAGTACCTTTTTTTTTTTCAGCTCAAGAAAAATAAAGAACAGATTAATTTTCCCTGGGAAAGTGACATTAAGTCTTCTGAACCTTTCATCAGTAGGCATAGATTAGCATACATTTTGGAAAATGTCTGAGTGAGTTTACAATAGATTCAAAAAAATTTTATAGGAATTTATGAATACATTAGTCATAGCTTATTATATTCTTTCTCCCCCAGCTACAACATAAGCAGCAGAGGACGTATTCTTTACTTGTCTGATTTAAACTGTGTTTCTGTATCCTAGAAGTTGGCAGGTACAGAGCATGTACCAGTATTTTTTGAAGGAATTGCTTAATTATTACATTACTTAATTATCAATTAGTTGTATGAATTAACTAATTAAATTGAGCATTATTATTGAACACTGATGTGTTCCCAGACTTCTACCAAAATGAGAATTATGGGCTTTTAATTTATTTGAACTCTATATTTATTGTCTTAGCCAAGAACCAGCCTCTGAGCGTATCCCAAACAAAATTCCAATGTTTTGAAATGTTTCTTCAAGGTTGGGTGCTGTGGCTCACGCCTGTAGTCCCAGCACTTTGGGTGGCTGAGGTGGGCAGATCACTGAAGGTCAGGAGTTCAAGATCAGCCTGGCCAACATGGTGAAACCCCCCTCTACTAAAAATATAAAAATTAGCCAAGCGTGGTGGATATGCCTGTAGTCCCACCTACTTGGGAGACTGAGGCAAGAGAATTGCTTGAACATGGGAGGCGGAGGTTGCAGTTAGCCGAGATCACATCACTGCACTCCAGCCTGGGTGACAGAGCGAGACTGCGTCTCAAAAAAAAAAGTTTCTTCAGTGAAGACAATTCAAACTAACCATGTGAAATTGATGAACTTTTGGCCAACATATGGGTTCCTAGAATTTGCATTAGAAAGGAGAATGAGAAGGTGGAATGTTGACATGTCTGGACAGGGCAAAACGTGACATTTCAGCAGCTGTAGGTGACCGGTTTACCGCAAGACAATGACTCATGGATCAAAGGGGTAAAAATGCTTGCTTAGTTAACATTTGGAAACCTAAATGTTAGAATGATTGAGGACTTTCTTGAATTCTGTTACTTCTGACATTCTAATTTCACATGTGTGGAAATGAATTTTTAAATGGACATTTAGTTTATTTATTGTCTATAATGTATTATTGTGTTCTAACAATTATTTTCCTTTGCAGATCCTTGAATGTATTTCTAAAATAATGGTTCCCCTGTCATAGCTTTATGGCCACATTATCTGTAGTTGGGATGGGCAGTTCTCAATAACTTCTTGTTGTAATGTGGGAACAATTGCTCATGTTGCCAATATTATTTTCCTTTAAATTCTTTCCAAACTTTTCAAAATTAACTGTGGAACACCGAGAGCCAGGAAATGTTGGTTTCTTTTGTCTTGTTCTCAGAAGGCAGTGATATGCTTGGGCATTGCCAGAGTGAATGCCATGGCTGAGGTATTTTAGAGGACAGTCTTCTTAGCTCACAGCAGTGAAATGCCCACTCAGGGGATACAGCTTCCTTCTTTTCTCTGGTGGACAGTGCATAGTACTTTTGTCGGTGTTTCCACAACTTCTTTTTTTTTTTAAAAAAAACAACAATATAGAATCCAACTTTTTACTTTTTGGAAATTTAAAGTAACTGAAAAATGCTTTAAAAGATTATACAATAGGGCCAGGCATGGTGGCTCACGCCTGTAATCCCAGCACTTTGGGAAGCTGAGATGGGAGGATCACTTGAGGCCAGGAGTTTGAGACCAGTTTGGTCAACATGGTGAGACCCCATCTCTTAAAAAACAGCTAAAAATAAAAATAAAAATTATAAAAAAGGTTATACAGTAGTATGTGCTCATAGGAAAAATTTGAAAATAGAAGTAAGCGAAATAAAAAAAGAAGACAGACATGGAAGCAAACACACAGAGAGAAATAAATGAATTAAGATCATACAGGCTTGGCCGGGTGTAGTGGCTCATGCCTATGATCCCAGCACTTTGGAAGGCCAAGACAGGCAGATCACCTGAGGTCGGGAGTTTGAGACCAGCCTGACCAACATGGAGAAACCCTGTCTGTATTAAAATATATATATATATACAAAATTAGCCCAGTATGGTGGTGCATGCCTGTAATTCCAGCTACTTGGGAGAGTGAGGCAGGAGAATCGCTTGAACCTGGGAGGCAGAGGTTGCAGTGAGCCGAGACAGCGCCATTGCACTCTAGCCTGGGCAACAAGAGTGAAACTCCATCTAAAAAATAAATAAATAAATAAAGGTTCCTACCACCATGGCACGAGTTTAGACATTTTGTTGTATGTGTTTCCAAGCATTTGTTTCTATGTTTTACAAAAATAAAATAATATCATACATGATGCTGTTGTCACTTGATTGTCTCACTAAGTAATACATAGAAACATATTTCCATGTTGATACATGTATATCCACAACATCATTTCTGATGGCTGTAAGAATTATATATGCATATATGATAGTTGATTTGCCAATGCATAGAATCTAAAATCAAAAATGGCTTTTATCCTAAAATCGTTTAAAATCGTTAACAGGAAATAGAGTACATAAGTGCACACACACTAACTTAAAAATAAATTGATATATATTGAATTGATATTTATAGTGCATAAATGTATAAGTATTGACACATATATAGATATGTATGTGTATAAATATTAACATATATATAGATATGCATGTGTATAAACATACATATGTATATGTGTGTGTATATAATTTCATCATTCTTGAAGCAAGCCAGCAGTAAGGTGGATTTCGGCAGCATGGTATAAGGGACAAATGGCACCTGGATTCTAATCCTGTACTTTATTATGAGGTCTTGTAGCTCTAAGTCAGTGATGCAAATGTCTATGCGTCTATTTTCTTGCAAGTAAATGTTGACCAAGAACACTATCTCTATATTATTCAAAGCTACTTTGAGAAGATTGAGTGCAGCTAAAAGCAATATTTAAAAAATCAAAGGAATGTATACAAACAAAAGCAATGTGTTTGCCTAAATATTGAGATTTTAGGATGCAGGAGAATTGTGCTAGGAATTTTCAGATACCAGGAATGGTTTTTCTCAGTGACTATGATCTGTCCTGTGTAAGAAAGTCCAAAAATACACCTACCGACCCCGTGTAAAGGATGATTTTAAGCTACAAGATGGGAATGGACTAGAAGACATTGGGTACTTGTCAATACAGCGTTTTCCACCCTGGAGGAAGAGTTCAGTTAACACATGAGTTAATGGTGAGGGTGTGGGCACATTTCCCAAGCAACAGAATGCCAAGTGGCCCATGGGATGAGCTGAACTTTTCATTAGGTTTGAGGATTTTCCTGAGAAGTCTTTATTTGAAGATTTATCATCTGTCTGGAGCAAGCTCTTTTAAGGGTCAGGTTCCAGCTGCTTCTTCTACAGACAAGCTAATTGATAGACTCATCTGTCACTGTGCTGCTGTGTTTAATCTTCCATAGAGCATGTTTCAAGAAGATTTCAAAAGGAAACCATAGAGAGGAAAGTTTAAACAAATATTGAATATTTCTGTAAGGAGTCAGAATTTAGGGAAACATGTTTGAAACGATGTCTTTAAAAAAGATGCAAGGAAAAGGCACGCTGCAGGGGAAGATAACCCTGGGCTCACAATGTAGAATCTCTACATTCCCTTGAAAGAGAACGCACCCAATTTTAATTCTACCCTGATTCTACCCTGATGCTGAGGCTCCTTGACAATCTAGGCAAACCACCCACCATCTCTGGGCCTCGCCTCTATGTCTGTTCAACAGAAGCATGAATAGATGTCTGTTACCTGTGAAAGAGATGGTGCTCATTAACAGCAGGTCAGCCACTGATATTTTCACACCTTGAATCTTGTAAAACTTACCTTGGAAAATGCATTTTCATTCTTCACTGACAAATAACGATTTCAGAGTAGTAGCTTTAAAATTAAATGTTTTTTAATGAAGTTTACCATCTTAGCCATTTTTAAGGGTACAGTTGAGTGGCATTGCTTAATTTCTTATTACTGTGCAACCGTCAGCATCATCCATCTCCAGAACTCTTTTCGTCTTGCAAAACTGAGACTCTGTACCTATTAAATAATAAGTCTCCATTCCTTCTCCTCCCAGTCCCTGGCAACCACCATTCTCCTCTCTGTCTCTACGAATTTGACTACTGTAGTTCCCTCCTATAAGTGGAATCATACAATATTTATCCTTTTGTGACTGGCCTATTTTACTTAGCATAATGTCTTCAAGGTTCATCCATGTGGTAGCAGGTCTCAGAATTGTCTTCCTTTTTAAGCTGAATCTTATCCCCTTGATGTGTGTACCACATTTTGTTTATTGACTCATATTTGTTGACAGACACTTGGGTCGCTTCTACCTTTTGGCTATTGTGAATAATGCCAATATTCACAATAGAGATGAGACTCTGCTTTCAATTCCCTTGGTTTTATACCTAGAGGTGGAATTGCTGGATCATATGGTAGTTCTATCTTAATTGTTTTTGAGGCGCTACCATGCTATTTTGCATAGCAGCTACACTGTTTTACATTCCCAACCATAGAACTGGAACACAAGGGTTCCATTTTCTCTACATCCTCAACAGTGCTTGTCACTTAATTAATTAATTATTTACAGTCGCCATCCTAATGGCTGTGAGGTACCATCACACGGTGGCTTTGATTTGCCTTTTCCTAATGACTAGTGACCTTGAGCAACTTTCGCATGTGCTTATTGGCCATTTCCATATCTTCTTGGGAGAAATGTCTTTTGCCATTTTTGAACCAGATTTTCTTAGTGGTGGTGGTGGTGTATTTTAATAGTACAGACGAAACTCATGAAAACAGCTTGAAGAGATTTGAAAGTTCCTGAAGTATTTGATAACTTCACATTGCAGGAAGGCAAGATTATGTGTTGTACTGACTGTGATTTTAAAAGACTTAACTTTGTCTTCATTACTTTTTTTTTTTTTTTTTTTTGTGACAGAGTTTTGCTCTTGTCGCCCAGGCTGGAGTGCAATGGTGCGATCTCGGCTGACTGTGACCTCTGCCTCCCGGGTTCAAGTGATTCTCCTGCTCAGCCTCTCGAGTAGCTGGGACTACAGGCACCCGCCACCACACCCAGCTAATTTTTTGTATTTTTAGTAGAGACGGGTTTTCGCCATGTGGGCCAGGCTGGTCTCAAACTCCTGACCTCAGGTGATCTGCCCGCCTTGGCCTCCCAAAGTGCTGGGATTACAGGCGTGAGCCACCATGCCCGGCCTATTACTTCTAAATCTCTAATATTCAAAGAGAATGCACCTGATTTTAAATTTTCTTAAATGGTGCTCCTTTATCTATTCTTCTCCCAACTCGTGTAATAACCATGGATGGTAGATTAATTAGATAGCAAGAGATGAAATTTAGTCTGTAATGGTGAGATTTTATCAAATTTCTTCTGATTCATTTAAAAGCTTTCCTTCATATGTATTGTTTTCTTTCTTTTTTTGACTATGCTGGTGCAGAGACCAGCCCATATATGTGAAAACAGTAGCACATTTGGGGTTTTAAAGCTTCCGAAAGAATAGGGCAGAGATGAGACTGAGCAGAAGCTAAGGATTTTACACGGCAGAGGACAATCACACAAAATTCTTTTAAATTTGAGGTTTCCATCTTAATCATTTTTTAAAATTACATTTCAGAAGGTAATTACTATCTTTGTATGTCAGACTACCTGAAAGTTCACTAGTAACTTAATTTCACTTAAAATATGATTTTGCTCCAAGTGATCTCCTTACTTCAGAGCCCTTTCCCTCTTTCTCCATAAGGAGAGAATGAAAGATTGTGAGTGGCTAGCTAGAAGAGGTGACTTACAAAGCATAGAACAGGATGCCAGCCACTTCTTGGTCACCACCTAAATATGACGTAATGTGATAGTGAGAGAGCCATATCCTTGGTTGACTTTTAGGAGGGAATAGTAAGGAGGGATTGTTGTGCTGAGCAGTTGGGCTGTTCATGGCAGGGAATGTTTTCTGCAAGGGGAATAGCATCCTGGTTTAGGTTTCCCAGAAGCAGATTCTTGAGAAGAGGATTTGGGTGCTAGCAGTTTACTTGAGAAGTGATCCAGGAGATACTCGGAAAGGCAATAGGGAAGTGAGAGAGGGTAGAAAAGTTAATAAAGTTCTCCTTAGCAAGCAGGGTGTGACTGTGGGTAACCAAAGCTTCATCCTTCTGGGGAACCCTGGGAGCCTGTGAAAAACATGTACCGCAGAGTTTTCACGCTAAGGGAAAAAGGAACTGGGATATTGATTTGTTTATTTATGTATTTTTCTTTTTTTAGAGATGGGGTCTCACTGTCCTCCAGTGGTGTGATCATAGCTCACCACAACCTCAAACTCCTGGGCTCAAGCAATCTTCCTGCCTCAGCTTCCTGCATAATTGAGGCCACAGGTGCACATAGTTGTGCTTTGCTAATTTTTGTATGTTTTTAAGACAGATGTCTCACTGTGTTGCCCAGGCTGGTCTTGAACTCCTAGCCTCAAGAGATCCTTCTGCTTTGGCCTCTCAAAGTGCCGAGATTACAGGTGTGAGCCACGGCGTCCGGCCTAGCTGGGGGCATTTCTACCCCAAGACCCATTCGTTGCTGGTTGAGAGCTCGTCCCAGGAGCAGTGATCTCCGAGGACCTCTGCACAGGTGAAAGAGTGGAATAGGGCAGCCAGAGAAGCTTTCCCACAGTGAGATGCAGGTGCTGGTGGCAGGAAGTCTTGCCAGTGTGCCCTGGGTGGTAAGGACAGGGCATATGTCAGGGTCACTGAGAGTAACTGATCTCCTTACTGCAGAACCCTCCCCTCTTCCCCCTGTTGGAGCCTCAGTATCCTCAGAACCATCCTCATTAGCGTAATCAATTCTTTCCATCTGTTTTTATAATCAATGCCAAGAATCTCTGGGTTCTGTAGGAAATTGGGCCTTTTTTCTAGCCAAAAACATTTACCAAATGTTGTCTATGTAGAATATCTATTTCTAGGTGTTTGTAAGAAAAAAGTCTCTCTGGATCTAAATCTAGTTATATTCATAGGGTAATGTTAGCTAAACCCAAACGCAACAATATTTTAGTAAAAATACCCCAAATAATACATGAAGAATATGGTAAGTTTACTAGTATTATTATTCTCCAAATAAACTAAAATGTTTTTATAACCATTAATCTGATGCAAAGAAAAGAGAGGAGAGCCGAGACACAGAAACAGCTAGTCGGATGGCTCAGCTTACAATGCACTCAGTCAAAAAGCTTATTTTGCACTTTGGGAGGCTGAGGCGGGCAGATCACTTGAGGCCAGTAGTTTGAGACCAGTCTGGCCAATATGGCGAAACCATGTCTCTATTAAAAATACAAAAATTAGCTGGGCGTGGCGGCACATGCCTGTAACCCCAGCTACTTGGGGGTCTGAGGCAGAAGAATCACTTGAACCCGGGAGGCGGAGGTTGCAGTGAGATGAGATTGCACCACTGTGCTCCAGCCTGGGTGACAAGAATAAGACTCCATCTCAAAAAAAAAAAAAAAAGAAAAGAAAAAAGGCTTATTTTACATTAATTTCTGGGTCATTCCTTCTCTTTTGTTTTCTTTTCACCCCTTTTCCTGCTTTCCTAGGAACTAATAATAATAAATTCTTGGATTTCTTTATAGCTTTAACAAATTTTACATTATTACACACATCTATGTTAATTTCCATTTAGTCTGGAGAAGCTGGTTATAGCTGCTTATTCACTGTGAGTACAGTGACTCAGAGAGGTTAAGTACTCTGCCTCGGATGTCAGAGTATGTGGCTTACATCGAGACATTAATTCCAAATCCAGGGTTGTTTTTTTCTGTGCCATGTGTTGACTGCAGATTCTCTCCTCCTCCCATTTCAGTTCCTGAGCCTATTTTAGCTCTGAAGAATTTCTTCAGTCTTGTCTTTAGAATTATTTGACTGGTTGCTGGGTCTTGGTCTGAGTCCTGTCACTTTAATAATACCACATGATGGTTCCCATGGTATAATACCAGGCTAGCTTGGTGTTCTAGGTCTGGCACTTGGCATGGGATTAATTTTCCTCTTAAGGCTGTGATCATAGTACTACCTCACTGGCATATGCTTAGCGCTCAATAAATGCTAGGTCTTATTAGATGTTACTCAAGATTATTATATTTCTTAAAAGGATTCCAAGCACACTCCCTACCAGGCCTGCTTCTGATATCTAGAAGAAAATAAAACACAGACATTTTTTCTTTCTTTTGGTGCAGTGCTTGTCACAGCCCGATGCTAATACGTGCAGCTCTCTGTGATAGTTGCAGGATGTAGATTGTGTTGGTGTGCTAATCTTCGTATTTCCTTTTCTGAAAGGAAGGGGCAGATGAGTTGCAGTGCCATGGACGCTATTGTATGGAGAGAAGGAGGGGAGCTTTAGATTCTGTGCAATTTTAGAGGGGAAGAAAGGAAAAAAACCTACCAAGACTATGTAAAAATGATAATAACATGTCACTACGAAGAGTCCTTACTTAGCCTATTTGCCATGAAATACGTATAGTCAAAGTTCTTAAGTCTTTCAGAGCAATGATTATTTGTGTGGGGCTATGTCACCATGTTTACATTCAATTAGGTTTGTTTCTATTTGTTTTTAATTTCGAGAATTGCTTTTCTTTTTCGTGTTTGTTTTTGATTTAAAAAATCAATCATGTACCCGATTCCAAAGTCAAACCTGTAACAAGTTACAACCAAGTCAGTCTCCTTCGCATCTCTGTTCTCTATCCTCTTTCTTCCCCCTTTTCTATTTGTTTTTGGTTTATTTTCCCATGTTTCTTTTCGCAAATACAGCAAGTGTGTATATTGAGTCAAATCTCTTCCTCCTTTCTTACACAAAATTAGCACATTAAATATATAGTACTGCACCTTACTTTTTCTCTCACTATGTCCTAGAGATTGCTCTACGCGTTGTATGGCGTTTTTCATAGTTATTCACTGTGTGTGGATACCACAGTGTATTCAACTGTCACCTGATGACAGACATTTGCATTCTTTGCAATCCTTTGTAAATACAAACAATGCTGCAATGTACATGTCATTCCACATATTCTCCAAGGTATAGTTAGGACAGATCCCAGAAGTGGAATTTCTGGGTCAATGGGCAAGTGCATTTTTGCTGATTATTATCCAGTTTCCTTCTGTTGAGTTCCATTTTGCATTACCACCAGCAGTGTTTGAGAATGACTGTTTCTCCATAGAACTAGAACTTTTACAGTGAATTTTATCCTAACTTTTCTTCAATCTCCTTTTACTTTTACTTTCTATTTTAAAGAATATAATTCAGATTTCTCTAGTGGTCATGAGTCTGTGTGTAGTGTGAGAATCTAGAGACAACTGTTCTAAGGCGGCATGAGAATGGGCAGCTCAGCTCAGAGTTTAGACCTCATCTGTTTCCAGTGCCCTGGGGGTTTTGGGGAGTAACTGAGAAAACAATAGATTTATATGGAGAAATGGAGACTTTTGCAGTTTCGGCTGATTCAGATAGTCATTGGGTAACCTCATTAAATTTGCTCAATGTAATTTCAAGAATTTCAATTCTATATTCACTTAAAAACACAAAAGTATATTACAAAGAAATTTTTTTAGCTGTTTTTTTTTCTTGAATTCAAGATTCTATTTAAGACCTGTAATTTATTTAATAACAGGTTTTAGGGGAGAAGATGTTGCAATGAAAATATACATAGATTCTAAGGTGTCTTCTGATTTCAGAATTATTGAAGTGTAAAGAAATCAGGGTTTTAGAATTAAGGAACTATGGTTTCATTGAAAATAGAGATATAATATTACTTTTCATTTTTTAACCAGGAACTACATGACAGTTTCCTATATTACCATTCATCTGTTTCTGGCTTGGTCCTCTTTGACCTATTTAGACTCGGGAATACACGTCACTCTCATTTCTCCTGGTCAGCCCTTCTGCTTTTCTGACATGTGTAGGTACCTAAGAAGTAATTTTGTATATTTTCCAAAATACTTGTGGTACGAAAAGGGCAAATGTTATCATGGCAATGAACACTTATTTTTGCATTTAAATTCTAAAATCTGATGTCCTGTTTTAGTTAATTTCTAAAAGACTTAATTTTTTTAGAGCAGTTTTAGGCTCACAGCAAAAGTAAGAGGAAGGTACAGATATTTCCCATATGATCCCCGCCCATACTCATGTACAACCTCCCCATTATCAATATCCCCATCTGCATGGGAGATTTGTTATAACTGATGAACCTCATGTTTTTAAAAACAGCTTTATTAAGGTACATTTTATGTATCATAAAGTTCACCCTATTCAAATTTGCAGTTCATTCATTTTTGGTAGATTTACCAAGTGATGCAACCATCATAATAAATCAGTTTTAAATAATTGGTATTGTACCAATAAGATCCCCCATCCCCATTTACAGTCAGTTCCCACCCCCAACCGCAGGCAACCACCGTCCTGCTTTCTGTCTCTATAGATTTGCCCTTTCTGGACACTTCCTAGAAATGGAATCACACAGTCATAACTGATCGCTTGTGTTTCACTTTCACTTAGCAGAATGTTTTCAGGGTTCATCCATGTTTCAGCAAGCGTCACTGGTTTGCTCCTTTTCATGATTAAATAGCATTTCGTCGTATGGCTGTGTCATATTCTATTTAGTAGCTGATGGACATTTAGGTTGTTTCCAGTTCTAGGTTACTATGAATAAAGCTGTTATAACGATTTGCATGCAAACCTTTGCATGGGCATTTGCATCCATTCCTCTTGGGTAGACACCTAGGAGTAGAATTGCTCAGTTGTATGGCAATTATATGCTTACTTTTTTTAGAAACTGACAAACTGCTGGGCACGGTGGCTCACGCCTGTAATCCCAGCACATTGGGAGGCCAAGGCAGGCAGATCATGAGGTCAGGAGATCGAGACCGTCCTGGCTAACACGGCGAACCCCATCTCTACTAAAAAAAAAAAAATACAAAAAATGAGCCGGGTGTGGTGGCGGGTGCCTGTAGTCCCAGCTACTCGGGAGGCTGAGGCGGGAGAATGGCGTGAACCCAGGAGGCGGAGCTTGCAGTAAGCCAAGATCGCGCCACTGCAGTCCAGCCTGGGCGACAGAGAGAGACTCCGTCTCAAAAAAAAAAAAAAAAAAAAACCGGCAAACTTTTCCACACTGCCTTCTGCATCTCATTTTAACACTTTATTGTCAGAGGAAAAAGATTATAGTTCATTCATTCATTCAAAAAATGTATTTATTTATTTCACATGTATTTATTCCACACCTTATAAATAATATGTATGAACAACACAGTTATTTCCTTCAAGGTACTCACAATCCATTGGAGAAGCAGACAAACAACCAGATAATTAAATACAGTAAGAGAGGTCCTGTAAGGGAGGGCCGCCCCTGGGGCTGGAGGCAGACATGGGGGCACCTAGTCCAGACTTAAGGGAATAGGGAAAAAGTTTTGGAAATGGTCACACCTAAGTTGAATCCTGGAAACTTATCTAGGGGAATGAGGTAGGAAGGGCATTATAGGGCCAGGGAGCAGGAGGCAACCTGCCTTGCTCACACCTTGGAACCCTTTACTCTGTTTTTTGTTTGTTTGTTTTGAGACTGGGTCTCACTCTGTAGCCCAGGCTGGAGTGCAAGTGGCACCATCTCAGCTCACTGCAGCCTTGAACGTCTGGCCTCAAGTCATCCTCCCGCCTTGGCCGCCCAAAGCACTTGAGATTACAGGCATGAGCCACCACATCTGGCCAAGAGCAGAGTGTTTAAAGGAGACAAATACTCTAGAGGTGATTCATGAGATCAAAGAGATGATCAGCAACCTTTACATTTCCCCCCAATGTTGTAACACCAGCCATTTTCATAAAAATATGTATTTAATGCTGCCTAATGACAGCAACTGTACGTGACACTCCACTGAGATGAACAAAATCAGAGATGCTGGGAAAACTAGATGGGCTGAATTGTGAGGAGAAAGGTTTGAGATCATAGAACATCATAAAACAAAGTGAAAAGGAACGTGTTTCTTCTGAATTTAAGACTAGATTTGGAAAGAGAAGTTTGTACAATGGCCAAACGATGGGTTTGATACCTCTGGCAGGAGAACAAGTTTTTTATTACATCAGGATTTCGAGGGAAGCTTGCAGGTACCAGCATAGAACCTGGAGGAAACTTTTTTTTTTTTTTTAAACAGAGACAAGGTCTGCCTATGTTGTCTGGGCTGGTCTTGAACTCCTGAGCTCAAGTGATCTTTCTGCCTCGGCCTCCCAAAGCGCTGGGATTACAGGCGTGAGCCACCCTGCTTGGCTGCCTGCAGGAAACTTTTTAGAAAGTTAGGAATTGAAGAAGAAGGATCCCATTCAACAAAGTTATTTTAGTTAATATAATAGGCAACAGGGGATCTGGAGAAGCGGAGGAGGAGGAAAAGGAGGAGGAAGAGAAGAACACTGTCATTCTCTCAAGATTTGCCCTCTGTGATTGTCATTTTTGAGGCATTTTTTTTTTGCAAGTCAAATAAGCAAGGACCATTTTTTGACACAAATTATCTGTGATTTTGAATATAGCTCAACTGTCTTCAGAATAAAAAAAAAGCTTCTGCTTATAAAGTGATAATTTCCTGGGGAAACACTAAGGTGTTTTCACCCAAACTTATTTAGGCTCCTGTTTAAGGGAATCTCAGCTGTTTCACTTATGCAGAAAAGGAATCCACCCAAATGAAGATTTACCATTTATTTTTTACATGGATTAAATTTAATTAATTAATTAATTTTTTTTTGAGACACATTTTAACTCTGTCACCCAGGCTGGAGTGCAGTGTTGTGATCACAACCCATGACAGCCTCGACCTCCGGGCTCAGGTGATTCTCCCACCTCAGCCTCTCAAGTAGCTGGGAATATAGGCGTGTGCTGCCATGCTCGGCTAATTTTTATACTTTTGCAGAGATGGGATTTCACCATGTTGCCCAGGCTGGTCTTGAACTCTTGGGCTCAAGTGATCCTCCCACCTTGGCCTCCAAAAGTGTTGGGATTACAGGCGTGAGCCAGTGAGCCTGGCCAATTTTATTTTTAGATGAATAAAAATATTACTAAAAGTGTATATAGGTATGTTACATTTTTGTTGATTGATTTGTGTATTATATCATTTGAGATCGATTTATTGTACTGAAAATGAGTTGTCTAGAAACTAATCATGCCATAAATTGGGTGCTGATTCTAATTCAGCTCCATGGAACTATTGTTTTTTATTTTTTTATTATTTTATTTTTTAATTTTTTTGTTTGTTTGTTTTGAGACAGAATCTTGCTCTGTTGCCCAGGCTGGAGTGCAGTGGTGCGGTCTTGGCTCACTGCAACCTCTGCCTCCCAGGTTCAAGCGATTCTCCTGCCTCAGCCTCAGCCTCCCAAGTAGCTGGGATTACAGGCGTCCGCCACCACACCTGGCTAATTTTTGTAATTTTTAGTAGAGATAGAGTTTCACCATGTTGGCCAGGCTAGTCTCAAACTCCTAACCTCAGGTGATCCGCCCACCTTGGCCTCCCAAAGTGCTGGGATTACAGGCGTGAGCCACTGCGCCTGGCCAGAAGTATTGTTTTTTCTTTGTTTTTGATTTTTCTGTTTGTCTTTGGCTGAATGGGGGAGGGGGAGAGATGAAATTGTGGAACTAATCAGGGCTTGATTATAAAGGGTCTTTCATCCTCTGCTGAGGCATTTAGACTTGACCCGAGGGCAGCTGGACACCATGCAGGGTATTTAATCAGAACAGTGCCATGAAGAATGTTCATGATGTAAACATTTGCTGTGACTGTGACTGTGATTTGGACACTAAATTTGATGAAACAGCAGAATTATAGAGAAGGAGAACAGTTGAGGAGACTTTTGCGGTAATTCAACAAAACATTAAAGGTAAGTTGAAGGAGGCAGTAGGTAATGGGTGGATTGAAGACCTGAGCAGATGCAGCAACTATACAACTTTGAGTTTACCTGCATGGGCACCGAGAAGGGAATGGAAGAGTTGGGGATGTCTCTCACATGTCCTGTTTTGGCAACTGGCTAGAAAGTGATATTATTCACTGAAGTCAAGAACACAGGAGAAAGAAGTGGGCATTTTATGGAGTAAGATAATGAGTTTGATTTTGAATTTGTTACTCTTGCGGGGCCCATGGGAATAGGCTTACTAGGCAGTTGGAAATCTGGGACAGGAGCTCCAGGATTGAATCCCAGTTTGAGATATGGATTTTGGATATATGTGGACAGTGGTGATACAAGGTATGGGTTTTGGATATGTGTGTACAGTGATGACAGATGGAGCCATGAGGGTGTGTATGATCATCCATAGAGAGTTTTGGAACAAAAAGAGAATAAGTCTGTGGACAGAACTCTAGTGAACTCTGACATTTAAGAAACAGACAGGAGAACAAGACCCCTGAAAGAGAAGAAGGCATAGTTAGAGGAAAAAGGGGAGCAGCAGTAATGTGTTGTCAAAAAGGCCACAACATCAGGGTGGCTCCAGAGGGAGGGAGCAGCTACAGCGTCACTTAGAGTTCAATTAAGGGAGGACTAAAAACAGTAGATGGGATTTAGCAACGCGGGTGGAGTTTTGGTCTCTACAGTTTCTCTGGAACATATAGAAATGAATGGGAGGAGGAAGTAGAAACAAATGCTGAGTCTAAGTGATGTTTCAATTATGGAAATTTACATAAAAACGCCTTAGCCTAACATAGATTCTTAAAATTTAGATGAAAGTCATACAACCTAACATTAATTACTTTAAAGTGAGCAGTTCAGTGGCATTTAATACATTCACAATGTTGTGCAACCCCCTCATCTATCTAGATTGTGAACATTTTCATCACCCCAAAAGGAAACCCCTTACCCATTGAGCAGTTGCTCCCTATTTCCTACTGCCTGGGACCCTGGTAGCTACCAATTAGCTGTGTTCTGTCTCTCTGGATTTCCACTTCTGGATATTTCATATAAATTGAATCATACGAGAGATGAGCTTTTGTGTCTGGTTTCTTTCACTTAACACAAGGTTTTCAAGATTCATCCACGTAGCATGTATTAGTACTTTATTCTTTTTTAAGGCTGAATAATATCCCATTGTATAGATACAGCACAATTAATTTATCCATTTATCTGTTAATGGGCATTTGGGCTGTTTCTACCTTTTGGCTGTTGTGAGTGCTTTGTGAACAGGGCTGCACATGTATTTGAGTACCCTTTTTCAATTCCTCTGAGCATCCATAATCCAAAAATCCAATCCAAAATGTTCCAAAATCTGAAAGTTTTTGAGCACCAACATGATGCTCAAAGGGAGTATTCATTGGGTGTTGGATTTTCAGATTTGGGATACTTGACTTGTTTGTATATGCAAATATCCCCAAATCAGAAAAATTCTGAAATATAAGGCACTTCCAGTCCCCAAGCATTTCAAATAAGGGATACTCAGTCTGTAGATCTAAAAGTGGAATTGATGAGACCTAACATAGTTTTTCAAAACTATACTTTTTTGTAAGGCGGATTGAGAATCCACAGGAAGCACTGTGCATTGTACAGAAAGTTGACTTAGTCTGTATTCTTTGAATACCTTATATTCTCTTCGAGAATCAGCATCCAGTAATTAAGAAGGCTGTCAAGAGAGAAGCTGCATATATATAATATACATATGAATGAGTACATATTCACTCTGTATAAACACACATATGCATATATAATGTTTAAAGAAGAGAGTGCCCATTAGAATTGAGTTTTGAATCTCTTTTTTTTGTTTGTTTGTTTTTTTTAAGACAGAGTCCCACTCTGTTGTCCAGACTGGAGTGCAGTGGCACGATCTTGGCTCACTGCAACCTCTACCTCCCAGGTTCAAGCTAACCTCCTGCCTCAGCTTCCCAAGTAGCTGAAATTACAGGGGCCCACCACCATGACCAGCTAATATTTTTTGAATTTTTAGTAGAGATGGGGTTTCACCGTGTTGGCTGGGCTGAACGTGAACACCTCACCGCAAGTGATCCACCCTCCTCAGCCTCCCAAAGTGCTGGGATTACAGGCATGAGCCACTGCACCCAGCCTTGAGTTTTGAATCTTATAAGAGGAAGGCATTTCAGGTGAATAATTTAGATAAGTTGAGTCACATAAGAGAGAGAAGATGGGCATAGGGTTGGATGCCTCACAGTTTAATTTTTCTGAAGAAAAGAATGCAAGTTGCACTCTAGTTGGCAATAAAGGAAAGAGCAGAATGATCAAGTAAACTGAAAGCACCCATGGCACTAACTTAATAGCTAGCTGACTTGTAAAATTAAGATTGTATTTTCAAAATCCATTTTTACTCATCTCCCAATAACCACAGACTCATTTATGTTTAATCTTGTAGATTCTATTTCTCTACTCAGAGACACCAGTGTAGATGAAAGAAGATTTGAGTTCTATGGGTGACGAACAATCTAGCTTTGTTGTGGCTCAGTTAAACTTTATTTGTAAAACACAGATTAACAAATTCTTAGAGAGGTGGGACAGTGATTATATTTCCTATACATGTTTTTGGTGATGTAAAGTGACATTTATGCTACGTCCTCATAAATATAATTTTCTTATGCAGTCTTTTCTTTGTAGAAAGAATTCCCAGAAATCAATGATGGGACTGAGGTTCTGAAAGATGCAGCTCTGTGATTTAATCCCCAAGGCCCTGCCTACAGACTTGGGAGAGGAAATAATGTTTGTTGAGTGACTCTTAGCAGTTTTATTTATCTGAGCTCATTTAAGTCACAACAACCAGTAAGTGGTCAATCCATGATAGGAATGTAGATTTGCTAACTCCAGGGCTCTGGGCACCATATATATCAAGAATGCTAGTTAGGTTTCTTCCTGTGTGCTAGCTGACTAGAGTCGTAGGAATAGAAGATGCTGTGGATGCTGATGGGCTCAGCAGACATGACTGTTGGGTTAGCTATGTTTTCCACAGAGACAGGAGGCCGGTGGAGACAGGCCCTAAGCCTGCCATATGGTGACCATCCCTAAGCTGTGTCATGTCATGCCACTTCTCTTGGAAAGATTCTGGGTGACTTATCAGGAGAACATTAATCTTTCTCATGAGCTGTGTATCTGGGACACCTCCATGGTGATTCAGGGTGGTTGGTATCTCTTGATTCTCCCTCATGTCATTTATACCATCCCTATTCCATGTATATGATCTCAATGCACTAATCCCCAGGATTGATGCATTCATTCCTATTTGTGGTATATATTTGTTTCAGGCAGAGAAAGCTGATGGATTTGTCAACCTGCCTGATTTCACTGTGGAAAGAGCATCTGAATGCAAGAAAAAGCAGTAAGTTGTCTCTCATCTTCCACAAAACTCTGAGCCAGGATACTATCTCTTCATAATGTTCACCAAGGGATATGGTGATTTAGAAGTGAGTGAAGGTAACATCGGAATGTCTGAGAATTTGAAGCATTATGGGTTGGCACCCTACATAGAAATAGAAGCATTTAACCTCTCATTTTCTGGAATTTCGTTTTGTGGAGCAGATGGATTTTAAAACCCCCACGAAGTCTTGGCATGGACTGTTGTTGATGACTGTGTCTGTGATGGAATAAACCCCCTCCAGGACTGGCAGGGAGGTCAGATGTCAAGCTTCGGTTCTACTAAAGAAAAAACAAGCAGTTAAATAGGACTCACCCGAGTTGCAGATACGCCAGCAAGACCAGCTTTTCTTTCTTAGTTCATGGAGTTGTCAGATGCACACTTGGAATTGAATTTTCTGAGATGTCTTAAGCTTGGAGATTACACTCTGATCTAATTGAAATCCAAAAGATTTGAGCACTGACAGGGACCAAAAAAAATTACCAGCTCATGGTCCTGGTTTTCCTGAGAAGGAAACAGCCCAAAGAGTTTGTGACCTGCTTAGATCTCATGAGCGGGCTGGCTGTAAACCCAGGTATCTATAGACTCTCATTCAAGTGCTCCTCCCATGATAGCAGTCTGCTATATTTTGCGTATGTGTCCATTTTCACCTTTTTCTTATTATTTCTTCTACCTTTGACATCTTTTCCAGTCTTATCAGAAAGGGGCCTTCCTTTTTGTCCTATGTGACTAGTTGCAGCAATTGAGTAGTTTTCTTTTAACAAGGTTAGTAAACTGGTGTTAGCTTTAAGTCTTTGCCTCTGTGGTGTGGTTGCACATGTCCAGTGCTGATTCTTGTGGTTTGAAAAGGATTGGCTATTTACAAAAACCCTGGCCTGTGCCGTGCTGCAGGACTTCCTGCCTAAAGGGTAAAGTGGAAGCCCTTCTCATTTGTTATCTTCAATGTTTTCTGCTTTTCTTTTATATTAAAATCTATTTCATATTTCCCTTTACTAACAAAGGGTGCCTTGAATAAGATTTCTGATGTGTTGCTGCAGAGTGGACGTTCCATACCTGATTATTCTCCTATAAAAATTCTTCTGTATATTTGATTGAAAGTGAAGAAATACCTTGCTTGAAGTAGTTGTTCTGAATATTTTGAAGTGTTATTTCTATCACTTTAAAATTGAATTTATTGTATCTTTATAGCAAAGCAGTTAGCAAGTGAAAGGAAGAGGATATACCTATATGTTTTATTTTTTATTTATTTATTTGTTTTTTGAGACGGAGTCTTCCTCTGTCACCCAGACTGGAGTGCAGTGGCATGATCTCGGCTCACTGCAAGCTCTGCCTCCCAGGTTCATGCCATTCTCCTGCCTCAGCCTCCCGGGTAGCTGGGACTAGAGGTGCCCGCCACCATGCCCGGCTAATTTTTTTGTATATTTAGTAGAGACGGGGTTTCACCATGTTAGCCAGGATGGTCTCGATCTCCTGACCTCGTGATCTGCCCGCCTCGGCCTCCCAAAGTGCTAGGATTACAGGCGTGAGCCACCGTGCCCGGCCATACCTATATGTTTTAAATGGAAACTACTGACCAGCTAAGACTCAGCCCTGTTCTGGACGTTCTGACATAAAAAATTGACTCTTAGTTCTCTATATGAAACAGAGACTAGACAATAGGTATCTAATATTACTAAATTATTTTTTGTAAATTTACAAAGAAAGCAGACAAGTTTACAAAGCTTGTATTTTACTGATTTACTTTCAGACCCATTGTTGACTATAAACACTAATTTTTTATGTGTTTGTGCTTTTCCTCCTTCAAGTGCTTTTAAGATCAGCCATCCACAGATCAAGACCTTTTATTTTGCAGCTGAGAATGTGCAGGAAATGAACGTGTAAGTAGAGGAAACTGGTAAACCCCATCCTTAATGGGAATATACTTAACTTTAGCCTGGTACTGGAATTCTAATCATATGTCCATATCAATTATTATTTTATTTCTGTTACTTTAAGGATTAATTTATTTAGCAGTTACAATGCCTTCGTGCTTTCTTCTCTAGTATTTGGAAACGGTTTGGAGAATTACATGTATCAAAGTGGCTATTTCGGGGAACCACTAAGTTGAAAAAGGAGTGGACAGAAGTCATTAAAAGAACATGTTAAAAGGAGAATCAGCATCACAAGGAGAGAGGCTTGAAAGTATTATGTAACTGATCTTGCAGCTTTCGGAATTCTACATGCAAAATATTGCTATAGCGTTTAATATATGCTGTGTGATTATCGTGATGATTCACGTATTTATCACCTCTCCATGTATTGTCCTGAACATATTGCAAAACGCCTTTGCTCGGAGTACATCAAACTTAAAATTGTAGATCCCTAGCTCCATTTCCAGGGTGGTCTGTGAAAATAAGTGGGCTGTGTGCAGAGTACAACCTGCCCTACACCATTCCTAATGGTTTAGAGTCAGGTGTGATCACAATAGCTGTTATTTATTTATTTATTTATTTTTGAGACAGTCTTGTTCTGTTGCCCAGGCTGGAGTGCAGTGGTGCGATCTCGGCTCACTGCAACCTCTGCATCCTGAGTTCGAATGATTCTCCTGCATCAGCCTCCCAAGTTACAGGCGTGCACCACCATGCCCAGCTAATTTTTTGTGTTTCTTGTGGGTTTCACCATGTTGGCCAGGCTGGTCTCGAACTCCTGACCTCAAGTGATCCACCCACCTCGGCCTCTCAAAGTGCTGGAACTAAGGCGTAAGCCACCGCACCTGGTCAACAATGGCTGTTTGAATCAGGCTGTATTTGAGGTGCTGATTGGAGATATCAGAGGGCATTCTCTTTGATTTAGCCCTATTCTCAGAATTCTTAGTGTCTCTTATTATTTCACATGACCAATTGAAAATATGTTAATGGAACGCCTACCACATGCCCCATTGCAGCAGATGGTGGGCAATGGCAATGAAAAACCCACACATAATTCCTCCATTCACAGAGCTTACGCTTAACCTGTTTTACTTATAATGATTTCCTTACCTATCTGCCCTATGTAGTTCTCATTGCTCTCTTGCTCTAGAAACATGAAGAAAAAAAGCAACTGCCTTTCACCAAACATGTGCATGGACACACACACACACACACACACACACACACACACACACACACACTCCTTACAGGTATCCGCTCAGCTCTGTCCAGCTAGAAGGACTCTCATCTGTCCCCTATCCTCACCTCCCCAGCATCACCCTCCAGATGAGGACAGAATGGCTTTGTACTGTAGAAAGTCGGGAAGCTCTGTGTTAGAAATAACAAGGCAAGGAACGGACAGTTGAGTCTTCCAAACAAAGCTTTGATTTACTTGGACAAAGAGAGAAGTTGTTTCTATCCTTTTTCTAGTTTTAGCTTTTTTTTATCCCCTTGGTTTTCTTAAGCATCTGAGAAAAATAAGAACAGATACACGAATGGAGAGGATGTTAAAATCTCCACATCAAAGATCTTTACTTATTTTTTTTTTATTTGCATCAGTTGCTAAATCCTGTTGGTTAGCAAAGCCCTTGCTGTGTAAGTGGGATGTGGAAGGCACAAGGTCTCGCCCGCTAGCACTTGGAGCCCTGTGATAGTGAGGTCAGTCCGCCGCTGAGCCTCAGTTCATCCCAAATGGTCTTTTCTGGTCTTGAATGGTGGTGAAACAGTGCTGCCCGCCTCTCCCCTGCCCAATACCTCCTGCTGTCCTGGCTTTTCTTTAAAAGTGCCTTGTAGCTCCAGCTTCCATCCTTGGCCCGTCCTTCCCACTCATTCTGTGGCTGATTCCTTGCAAGTAGTTTTCCTCTCTCCAGCAAGAGGTGAGTGAGACAGAGTAGCAGAGAAACAATTGCTTCTCAGTGCTTTGTTTGTTACCTAGTGAATTTCTCCTCCTACACAGTAAGGTGCATTTTTAAACCGATGAAAGTGTGAGACCCTTCCATGTTTATCTGAATCCGTTGTATTTCATGCACGTTTGCTCTGTAAATCCCAGATCCCCCTCCTCACCGCCCCAGTGTTTATTTACATTTCCAGTTTATTTATCTTCCAATTTTATGTTCTCCCTTTGCAGAAACCTATCTAATGGTAAGTAGAGTTGCATGGGTAGATATGATATAAATACTTCATCCTGTTGGCTGTGAAATCAAAGTCTTTCACAGTTATCAACGTCAAGATCTTACCGCCTATCTATGCTATGAAGATCTGTTCATTTTACTTGAAATTCTTTTGGGGGTTATCTTTCCAGCTTACAAAGAAGATGCAAATTGAAATTTGAACTTAAGGTGTCTGGACCCCATGTTTTTGAATCTGTCAGTGACCTTTAGACTTGAAAATTGTCCATCCGGCTAAATGGTCCATTTTGTCTGGGCCTGAAATTTATAATAACTTCTCATGTTTATAATATCATTATAGAGTTTCATTATTCTAAAAATGACTTTTCTAGTAGCCAACAATGCAACTTCTCCCTTCTCCCACAAGATTATGCAGATGATAGAGATTTACTTTGCAATAACACATGAAGAACTTCCCTTCTTACTGATGCAGCCGGTTTAAGCCAGGAAATAATGTATCTGGGTATTACTTGGTAAGATGAGAGGTGTGGGGGAGGGAGTGGGTAGCGTTTGCAGTGATGAGTCCTTGTTTTAGAAGTTCCTCTCCCTGGGCAACTGCATTTCTGGATAGTGACATTTCTCTCAGGGACGATGAAGGGAAATGTAATTAAGTTTAGTAGAAACTCCGCATGTTCTGTAGTGAGTCTCAATTTAAAAGTACAGGGGTAAGTAATTAAGGGTAATGAAAGAGTTCGTTTCTCAGCAAAGACGGGAGCTGCCTTTCTCAGACACTGTGGGAAGAATGCTCTTGTTTTGTACATCAATTTCTTAAAACTTGTTCTCCTCCAACACACACATTCACGTCAAGTTAATATACAACAAACTCCCAGGAAACATCTGTCATTTTCTTTTATGTAAATATAAGTCCTTTAGTGCATCCATCTACTTAGCCACAGATAGATGTTTTCCTGCTGCCATGATGTTTTAAAAAAAGTTCTTAGCAAAGAAGGTACTCTAAGCCAGTGGATCCTAGAAAGAAAACAGTCAAACAAGATTCTAAACATCACCAGTTTTTCACAGCAAGTAACTAATGGTTGTAATGAAAAGGTTACAAGTTTTGGGTAAGGGCTGAGAGAAATATTTTCTTTATTGTCAACAGTCTTCTATTTTGCTCTATTTCCATGTTTGGGAGAGGAGCTTAGAAATGCCTTTTCTTGTTTCAGACACTCAAGTGAAAACAATTTTTTTGTCTCTTTAAAAAAATATTTTCCCTATTTCACTTTTAGATGCTTTTTTGAGGGAGAATAAACTTATACAATTATGAACTAAGGTATAAGCTAAAAATTGTTATTGTGGTATTTTAAAAAGTGAACCATGAAATTGTTATGTTTTGCCTGGTCAATTTTAAAAAATGAACTTTTAAATGCTTATTTTAGTTAATAATACATAAAACGTATTCGTGTCAGACAAAGCAAAAGATTTCCTATATCCTCACCTCACTTTCTAATTCAACTACCCTCCCTAGGGCTAACCACTTTTTTTGTGTGTGTGTGCGCTTTCATTTGCATTTATTTTATGCTGAATCGATGCTCGTGCCATGAGCTTTTGTTTCTTCAGTTTCTTATGGGACACTTTTTTTTTTTTTTCTCCATGCAGCCACCTCTTGTGGTTTAGGAACAATTTCTTCCTTTCCAGCGAGGATCATCTCCATGTGGCAGAGGGAGCTCATATATATAAATTCATCTGACCATGAGCTCTGAAAGTACAGTGGCCCATCTTGGGTGTTTCATTCACCTGGATGTGCTTAGTGACCAGAGAATCTACATCTAAACCCTTGAATTCAGCATCACTCTCTGCACTTTTAAACATGTGCAGGAAAAATGCAGCATTCTTGTTGGGCCACCAGCCCTGTGTCCAGCCCCACTGTTTGGCCTGTGCATACCTACCAACTCCACCCTTGGAAGGCTGGAATGGTACACGTTGTTTCCGTAAAGTGACATCTTTCAGATAACTTGGTGGCTTTTCATATATGCATACCTTTGATAGCCTAGGGAATTTCACAGGTGTTCTTAAAGTGAACACAAAGATTTGAACCTCTTGGTTTGCATGGTTTTATGGGGTTTTTTGGGTCAGGTGAATAGCAAACCATTTTCACAGATCACCTGAGGCCACTTAGGGGAAGAAGAGGTTACCCTCCTCTTTTGTTTTTTTTGAGACAGAGTCTCACTCTGTCGCCCAGGCTGGAGTGCAGTAGTGCAATCTCAACTCACTGCAACCTCTGCCTCCTGGGTTCAAGCGATTCTCCTGCCTCAGCCTCCCAAGTAGCTGGGATTATAGGCGTGTGCCACCACGCCTGGCTAATTTTTGTATTTTTGGTAAAGACAGGGTTTCACCATGTTGGTCAGGCTGGTCTCCAACTCCTGACCTCATGATCCACCTGCCTTGGCCTCCCAAAGTGCTGGGATTACAGGTGTGAGCCACTGTGCCCGGCCATCACTTTAAACAGTAAAATTATATTCTTCCTGACACTTTTCTATGCATACCAATTCATGCACATACAAAAACATATCGTTTTTGAAGTACAGTGGATCAGGCTAAACATACTATTCTATGCTTGATCTTCTCAATTAAGAGTATATTAGGGTTTTCCATTTTATACAAATTTCCATTACAAATTTGGAAATTTGTAATTTCAAAGGCACAATTACAGAAGATATATTTGTTCATAATTTGTTCATATCTTTTCCAGGTCATTACAACCACCCCCCACCCCCATCTTAGTCCTCTCATTAGCTTCATTATAACAGGAAATTGATAGAATCAGTGTTGATAGAATAAATAATTTATTTATCCATTTTCTTATTAATGTTTTTTCTTTTTGCCATTACAAGCCTTGTTGGCAGTGAACATTCTGCCACATTTGTGTATATGAAAGTGTGTTTCTATAGGATTGATATTTATGATTGGAATTGTTGGGTGAAGGGGATGGATATTTAAATTTTTAATATTATCATCAAATTGCCTGCTCAGAATTGGCTGTATCAGTTTTCATGTTTAATTCAACAAAAGGTGACAATGCTTCTTTTTCTGTTTCCTGCTAAATACTTGAAATCAATAATATTTTTAAGTTTTTTCCAATCCAGTGGTGAAAATATTTTCCTGTGTTTGAGTGTGCATTTCTCAAAATACTATTGAGGCTGAGAAATTTTTTTCGCATATTGTCTAGCTATTTGATTTCTCTGTAAATTTCTGTTCCTTTATTTTGCCTGTTATCCTATTGAGACTTGATATACATTTTTGGGTTCCTGTTTCGTATCTGGGCTCTTCATTGGTCCAATTTTAAGTGGCTACTAAGGAGTTTGTGATTATTATGTGCTGAAGGTGATTTCTTAACAAAGGCTGGAGCTCATCTTTGTTCTTTAGAAACTCCTATTTTGTTTATTTTTTTAAATTTTATTTATTTATTTATTTTTGAGATGGAGTTTCGCTCTTGTTGCCCAGGCTGGAGTGCAGTGGCATGATCTCGGCTCATTGCAACCTCCACCTCCCAGGTACAAGTGATTCTCCTGCCTCAGACTCCCGAGTAGCTGGGATTACAGGCTTCCGCCACCACACCCGGCTAATTTTGTATTTTTTTAAGTAGTGACGGGGTTTCTCCCTGTTGGTCAGGCTGGTCTTGAACTTCTGACCTCAGGTGATCCACCTGCCTTGGCCTCCTGAAGTGCTGGGAGGCATGAACCACCGCTCCCGGCATTGAATTTGTTATATATTTTCTATTCAAAAATAACAGGTACAACAAGACCATGGCAGGTTGAGGGTTGCGTAAGGATTCCTAATTATCTGACAGTTATACAGGTGGGAAGGTGCAATATTTATGGCTTAGTGCAAGTGTAGTATGCTGAATTGTTCATGGCTTGTTCATTGCCCATGGGAGACTGGAAGACATCAAAAGCATAGACGAATTGATAAACGTGTAGCACGGATTTTCCCTGTCTCAAAATAGGTACAGAAATAAGCAAGATCCTCCCAATAAGTAGAAAATTATATAGTTAGGAGTATATGTCATAGACACACTTTGTGTCCCAGCTTTTAAAAATTTGTGTTTCAAGATATGTTCCTAAGTAAACCCTTGAGAAGGAACTACAGTGGTCTGCAGTGATAAGCCAAGTTTGAGTTTCTGTCTCGTTCTATTTTTGTTATTGATGTTTAATTGGAATTCATTGCCAGTAAAATGGTAAATAGGACATTTTCAATTTTTACCTTACATAAAATTCTTCAAGGAATTAAAATTTGTTCTAGTTTAAAAATACCTGTTAAATTCTAGCCAGATTTTTTTTACTGATTGACATAAAAATATTCCTGGATTAAATGGATGATCTTTTCGTACATTTTTTCTAAAATAAACTGACATTATTAAGACATTATTAAGAGTAACACCTAATAACTTTAATAGCCAAGTTACTAAATCCAGTGATAAAGGATTTGATGGTTGCTAAAAATTTCAAATGCAGGATTACAGAAGATGTGTTTGTTCATATATTTGGAATACCTAATTTAGCTGCCCTCATGAACCAACTGAGTAATGGGCCACCTCACATCTTACCTTACAAAAGATACCTTGAGTATGGAAAGTATTGTGAAACCAGAGGCCTTAGGTTTCGATGGCACAAACTTATGCTCTTTCTGGAAATGTGCAGACTGATGGTAGAATCATGACCTAATTTCATAACAAACTCTGGGGGAAGGTGAATGGGTGGGGGGCTAATCTCTTTGGTCAACATTTGCTTTCTATTTGAATTTTAGGTGGTTAAATAAACTTGGATCGGCTGTAATCCATCAGGAATCCACTACAAAGGATGAAGGTATGTTCTATTTTAAATTTCTGAAAATTTAGCAAGAATATTAGAACAGGTTGAAACAGGGTGAAAAAACAATGTCAAGTTCTATGTATAGTCTGATCCTGAGGAAACATGCTTTGGCATTTAAGATGATCTGAAAATATGTGGAGACAGACATATTCACACAGACTCACCAACATGGAATAGAGCTTCCCATGCTGGCTATGAATGCTTTTCACACTTCACCCACACTCCGGCAGCTGTGGGCTTCATGACATCTCAAACAGTCACCGATGCAAATGTTTAATTGCTCCACTTGTGGAATTCTTACTGATAGACATGATCTCGTCATGATCTGGTCAGTTAACTTTCATCCCACTATTTCCTCCCTGATATTTTAATATTTCCACCAGGTGTGTACTGAGGCTAATTACCCTAAGATTGTACCAGGAACCTGAAGGTCATACTGGGACACAGGCCATATTTTTAGCTCAGTCGGTAGCTTTCAGGGTTCAAAAGCTACAGGAGTCTAATTCTTAATGATGTGATTACACCTTAGTGTTGAGAAGAGGGAGGATTTAGCTGCCAGGGCCACTGAACTCATAGTCTTTCTGAAATGCCCAGACCACAAAAGGCCTTGGAAATTGGAAGCAGGGAGTTATATCTTCTGATAACAAAATCATAAAATCTTAGAGTTAGTTAGAAATGGAAAAGTGGCAACTTGATTTGAAACAGTAAAGGGGTACCGTGCAATACCATGAAATCGGTGGTGTCCTAGCCATCTTCTTGGTCCTCTTTTCCATAAAATAAGTACCCATTGTCTATTTATAGATTGTGAGTTAGTACAAAACTACACACAAAACTTCTCCTTGTCCTGGTATGTAAGGCCTTCTATGACATGGCCTCCACCACCTTCTAGCTTCGTTTTCTGCCATATCTTGTAGGGGTCTCCACATACTTGGCCCAGCCTGCTCCCTCAGCCAGAGACTCCCCTTCACAAGTTGTGCACCACTGATAGTTTAGTGATCCTGCCAGTTTCAATTCATTAGGATTCCTACAATCAAAATTAATCACCACTGATTTTGTGTTCTCTTGGTATTATGACTCACACCTCTTTTGAGGAATTATTTTATTTTCCCCAAGCTACGATTTGTCTTCTTCCTGCATATTGGATGCTCTTTGAGGTCAGGAGCCCCGAATTGGCCATTTGTTTCTGCCTCTTATGTAATTCCTTTGCACCAGGTAGTTACCAGGTAGTTCATTAGATATGAACTTTCTGAATTGGATTGAAATTGCAATAGCCAGATGGAGATAAACCTCTGCTCATGCATTATGGAATAAGCGATGACAGCGTTAAAACATTAAGCATTTTCATTTTTGTTATAGAATGTTACAGTGAAAGTGAACAGGAAGATCCAGAAATAGCTGCGGAGACACCACCCCCTCCTCACGCTTCCCAGACTCAGTCTTTGGTATGTACCGACATAAGTAGTCTGTTGGTCATCGATCAGACATGTGGATGTCATTTCTTCCAATTGAATAGGAAGTAGCTTGACCAATAAATTTTTAGAATGGGCTAAATTAAGATACCTGCCAACGAGCAAGTGCAATTTTCAGGGTGCTGATTTTGAGCCTTCTCCATAGCAACCCAGTGGTATGATAAACTTGGTATATTTGTGTGTGACCCGAAGATGTACCGTACTCAGAGAATTCATGAGGATGCAAAGGCTTCTAGGTGACAGGCCAGTGCTTGCAAAGACTTCTTTGACAGTGTTTATTTATGTTCTACTTTTTCTCAGGAAGAATTTAAATGCCTTGCCTATGTGCATGTACTATAACAATGCAAAATGAATTTAGGATGAAAAAAGAGCAGAAAGAAAAAAGGAGAGCCAGAAAGAGAGCAGGAAGTCAGGAGTGGGGTTAGTGCATTAAAAGTGCACATGGAGCGATTTGTGTATTCACTAGAGAGGAATTCAAATTTGATTCTAAGCTTTGGAAGCACCAAATGTAAGTTCACATTATTAATTAATGTGAAGTCTATGGAGAGTTAGCTTCATATTTAGATGCTCTTAGCATTACAGTAATGGCCCCGAGGAAGGGTCATACAATGATCATTGGGGAAGGTGATTTTTGGTTTTATACCTACCATGTACTAGGATGTATGTAGGTGCTTTAAATGCATAAACTTTTAATTCTCCAGGCAACCCTGGAAGTAGTATGATTTAATTTGCATTTTATTTAATGCATTGCATTTAATGAGGCCAAGCACCTTCTCATGTTTGTTAGCCATTAGAACTTTCTCTTTTGTGAAGTGTCTAAGTCTTTCCTACATTTTTAGCTGCTTCCTCCTCCTCCTTTTTCTTTATGAATGATAGGATTTCTTAATTTATTATTCTATGTGTTAGTCCTTTGTCAGCTCTACAGCTATAGTTTGGTGCAAAAGTAGTTCTGCTTTTTGCTATGAAAAATAATGCAAAAAACACAATCACTTTTGCACCAACCTATTAAAAGTGAACAAATGTCACTTTTAATCTTTTTTAAACTGTTCCACAATTTCTCTTTGTAAACACATGTTCTTGATTTTAATATGTCAGATTTATCCATCACCTTCATTGTGGTGAGTGCCTTTTTTTCCCACTGGTTTCAAAAATTGTTTCCTATTCTAGGTCATGAGGAAGTAGATATTCCTGTCTTCATTTCATGGTTAAGGAAACTGAGGTTCAGAGATGTTGAATGGCATGCTCAAGTGTCCAGTGAGTGCCTGAGATGGGAATCCCAGTCTGTTTAGCTTTATAGGACATGCTTTTCCTTTTTTTTTTTTTTCTTTGTTTTTGAGATGGAGTCTTGCTCTGTCACCCGGCCTGGAGTGCAGTGGCACAATCTTGGCTCACTGCAAGCTCTGCCTCCCAGGTTCACACCATTCTCCTGCCTCAGCCTCCCGAGTAGCTGGGGTGCTCGCCACCTCGCCCGGCTAATTTTTTGTATTTTTAGTAGAGACGGGATTTCACCGTGTTAGCCAGGATGGTCTCAATCTCCTGACCTCATGATCCGCCTGCCTCGGCCTCCCAAAGTGCTGGGATTACAAGCGTGAGCCACCGCACCCAGCCAGGACATGCTGTTTCTACTGAACCATGACACCTGTCCATTATAGACCCAAATGATGGCAAGTTCTGACAGGTTACAGTAGCTCATTCACTTACCAGACCTTTTCTGCCAGAATTTCTGTTCAGTGTGATAGTTTTTATCTTTATTGTGTTTTGCAAGTTCCTGGATTTAAGGTATTATATTGATTATTTAAATAATGACCTCTACTGTTTTTTCACACTGTCAGTGGAGAATTGTGGTCATTTTCTAATTTATTTGGCTAGCAGCCAAGAAAAGACATAAATATTGTTGAATAAATGTTTATTAAACTATCTATTAAATATGATTAGCCAAAATTAAGCAAGATATAAATAAAATTAAACTTTGAATATGGTAAAATTTAGAACAATTTTTGAACTACATTTATAATATTATTCTTTCTTACTATATTCATAGCTTCTCCCCAGTGTAATCCTTCTCCTTTTTAAAAATCAATTTTGGATTTTAGAAAAAGCTTTTATTTTCTTTATATCTTTCAAACTTAATGATATCTTCAGACCTTACAATGTTTCTCAGCTTTTGACAACTTTCTGATTAGTTTACCCTTTAATGCCTCTAAAGACATTATCAACTTTGTATTGAATAGGTCTTCAAAAAATGTTCCTTGTTGTTGATTTAAGAGAGGATTATGTATTTTTGCTAAGTTTCTCTCTGTCTCTGTCTTTGTCTCTATGTCTGCTTCTGTGTCTCTCTCCTATTTTAACCTGTAACATACAAATGTTTAGTTGTTCTCCCTCCATTTTTTCCTCAAGTTCATTCTCCCTCACACTGTGCCCACCAATATACCTCTTTTTATGATTATTTAGTTGTAAAATACTGGCATTTTCAGTTTTATAATGGCAAACTAGTATCTCAGGTTACTTTGCTAAGAGCATTGTCAGGCATCTAGAACACACTGGTGAAATAAAAGCAACCGAGTAGCCATATCATGGAGGGCCTTCTAGAACTCTCCCTGGTGAAATAAAAGCAACCAAATTGCCTTCTTAGACAAGGGGTCATGGCTCAATTGCATTATATAATGACAGTCTAACCTGATGCACAATAGAAGTTCAGGGAATACTTGATTTAAAATAAATAAATGAAGGGATACTCATGAAGCCAGTAAGTTAGGTCACTGAACTCAGAAGTATCTTTAAATTTTTTGAATCATCAATCAAATGTTATTTTTTAGAAGTTCTAAGTTGAGCATTTTTTGGCAGGCCATTAATGCTAACATTTTCTAAAGAAATATATTGGAAATCGTCAGATAAACGTTGAACAGTTAGATTTTTTTTCCCCCTTAGAAACAGAATGTGTTCCTCCTGATCACATATTTCCCAGACAGATTTTGTTTTTGTTTTCTTCTCTTTCTGAAAAACAGACATGGAAGGCACTTGGTTAAACTAACATTTAGGCTTTTTATTTAAACAGATGAAATAAAAAAAATATATAGTAACTTTTTTTTTTTTTTTTTTGAGACACAGTCTCAGTCTGTTACACAGGCTGGAGTGCAGTGGCGTGATCACAACTTAAGGCAGCCTCACCCTTGGCTCAGGTCATCCTCCCACCTCGGCCCCCCGAGTAGCTGGGACTACAGGTGTGCACCACCATACCTGGTGAATTTTTTTTTTGTGGAGATAGGGTTTTGCCATGTTCTCTAGGTTGGTCTGTGGCTCCTGAGCTCAAGTGATGCACTCACCTTGGCCTCCCAAAGTGCTAGGATTACAAGCGTAAGCCACTGCACTCAGTCATAGCTTTTATGCAGAGAGTGAATTGAGCTAGTGTTTGGCCCAATACAGTATAGGCTAGCGATGACTTAGATATACAAGCCTAGGGGCAAAAATATTTTTTTCCCCAAGTTTTTGGTTAAAATTTTATTTTGGGTGATGTACTTCCATTTTGTGATAATGAACTCAACAGTATAAAATAATACTATTTTGGAAAATTCAAAAAAATTTAAAATCTTGAAAATATTTAATTCAGTCTAATCATTCTAATTGCTATAGAGTCAAGATAAACAATGAAACCAGTTTGGACTTCTGCTTCTAATGGGCTGAATGACATTTCACGAGATAATAAAGAACATGTCAGGAAATCTTCCTTCAGTGAAGAAGAGGTTTTTATGTTATGTTCCTCCTTCTTCAGAAGGTTTCAGAGGGTTGATAGTGGAAAGAACATCCATTTATTCTCAAAGAAGTTGCAAGTGGGCAGCTTTTAACAGGCTTACTGAAAAGGCTCCAAATAGATGTGAGTCTTTTAGTTTCACTCTGGAAGACAATTTGTAGAAATCATTATCTGTGATTCCTTTAGTTTCACAAAAGAGCAAAAAGAACCAACTTTCTATTTCAAATCTGATAATTTTATAAGCTACAAAGTGAGTTAAGAGCTATAAAAGTCACTAAAAATTTACTCCAGGTATTTTTCCTTCAAGTTTAATTTTAAAAAAGCATCATGAGATAACCTGGTCTATGCTTCTGGGCATATTCATTCATTCAAGAAGTATTTATTGAGAGCCAGCATTCTAAATACTTGGAACACATCAGTGAATAAAGTGGACTGTGATTCATGTTCATCATGGAGCCAAACCTCTAGTTGAGGGAGACTGTTAATAAAAAATCCACATAATAAGGAAAATATATGCTACATCAGAAGTGGAGTCCAGTGAGTCAGGATGTGATGGGGTAGAGATTGGGTTGTGGCAAAGAATAGAGGAGCCAGGACACGTCCGACTGAGAGCTGAGATCTGAGCGAAACCTTGAAAGGTGGTGTGAGAGTCAGCCAAGTGGATATTTGGGGGAAAAGTTTTCCAAGCAAAGGGAACAGTGAGAGTCAAGGTCTCCTTGGTGTGTGGTACTGCAAGGAGCCCTCTGTGGCTGACGCGGGGTGAACCAAGATGAGAGTAGTAGGAAATGAAGCCAAAGCATAGTGGTAGCCATATCGTGGAGGGCATATGGGCCAGTTAAGGACTTTAGGGAGCCTTTGAAAGGTTTGAGCAGAGGAGGGATATAATCAACTTCCATTTCAAATGGAGCCCCCAATCTGCTCTGTGCAACAGACACTGGGAAGTGGGAGGTAGGCATAGAATCAGAAAACTAAGAGAGGGTATACAGTAAGCTATTGCAAAAGATGGCAGCGATTCCATCGGGATAGCAGTGGGGTGGCAGAGAAATGGAATGGTTAGATTTTGAATCCGTTTGGAAGGTAGACCATCAAATAGGCAGATCAAATATGAGACAAACAGAGGAGATAAATATTTCTAATTCCAGCTTCTAGAAGCTTATGCAGATTATTTCAACACAACAATCCTCATATTTTGATGTTTTTCTGAAGTAGTTTTTTAAATATTGAAATGAGGAAAAAAAAATCAGCTAAAATAAACAAAAGAAGCAATAAGGAAAAATAAATCCTGCAAACTGTGGCCCTTGGCCAGCGACAGAGGAGGAAGTCAAAGTTTCCACCAGGCCAAGGTGGGTGGATGGCTTGAGCCCCAGAGTTCAAGACCAGCCTGGGCAACATGGTGAAACCCCGTCTTTACAGAAAAACAAAAAAACAAAAAAAACCCCAAAAAGTTTAAACACAGAAGGAGGTGAAATTAATTTTGGAAATTCACATTTAATCTTAACAAGACATATCTTGAACAGTTGTCTACCAAAGTCATTTGATTATTCAATATCTGTACTAAATGAAAGAACAGAACTGCAAGTGGATAGTTGGGTGAAAAATTCTCAGTGACTATATATACAAGAAAAAGGTAGACAGAAAAATTCACCCTTTCTCCTCAAGATTTCAAAAAATGATTGTAAGCCATATGGTTGAATATCTAACTGATTTTAAGACTTTGCTAAAATTCGTGTTTATATTTTTGCCTCTGGCTTTAACAGCTCATCTTCATTCACAGCCTGCTCTCCTGGCAGTCAGTCACGCAGCCCGGTGGCTCTCCCCCAGCCTCTCTCCTGCCTTCTGCTCCCACTGCCTAGTTGAGGCCCTCATCAGCCCTGACCTGAGTTATTGAAATAGCAGGCTATTTTTCTTTCCCTGTCTCTAGTCCCTCTCTCTCTCCTCCTAAAAACCACCTCCCAATTAGTCTTCCTAAGATGCGGTTCTGATCACATTGATTCACCTGCACAAAAGCTTCCAGTGAATTCTCATTGCTTCTTAAATTAACTCCTGAGTCTTTGGCTTGGTATTTTAGGCCCTTGGCCTGTCTTCAGGCTGCCATTGCAGTCTTGCTGCCAATTTTGCCCTTATCGTCAGCCCAACAAACGGCCTGCTGTTCCCCAAAAGCGTTCCAGACATTCCTGCCCTCGTACCTGTAGGTATAAAGTTTCTCCACTTGCAGGACCACTTGCCCCTGACTCCCACCCCAATCCCACCTTCTAAGTATCTTTCAAAATGGTAGCTTCAGATGTAGATTCCTTCATGAGAACATCTCTAGTCCTCTAGGTCAGGGTAATTCTTCCCTCTTCTGAACTCTCTGTATTCCCATAGTGTTTCTTTTTTTGATGATTTTTTTCATGTTGTTATCACAATCTGCTTTTGATTAGAGATTTTGTGTATCTGGTTTATTTCTCTAATTATTAAATTCTTAAAGTCAGAGCCAGTGCCCAATATCTTTTCATTTACCCACATCATTTATGACTGTGCCTAGCACACATTTGAAACTAAATAAACATTTAATGGACAGATGGATGGGTGAGTGATTATTGTGACTTCATCCACAACCCCCGCAAATTTCTTGTTCCACAAATATTTCCCCATGTGAATGAGAAATATACTACTTTCCACTTGTCTAGTGCTTTTGCATGGCTTTGAGAAGAATGATTTCATTTGACTCTCACAGAAATCTTGTATGAGTTTTACAAATGAGGAAGCCAGGTTCCAGAGAAATACACATAGCTATCGGAAGTAGCATTTGCAAGCTGCTTATGTTTCATGAAGAATATTCTTTATGGGATATCACTTGCCCCTCTTGATAAATTTGAGTTAGTCAGGCAGCTGATAAATATTTTTGTGTATTTACCATGTGCTAGGGACTGTTACCAATATGGGGGTGCCATGAAGAGCTTTTGAGAATAAAGTCTCCTGGCATCTCTTGATAGCCAAGGTAATCCTTTGGCAAAAGCCTCAGATGTAAGCCATTAGTTTCAGGCCTAGCAGCAGCTGGGGAAGGCTGCAGCATAGCCAGGTAAAGGGGATCTGGGTGAGTTTCCGAAGGGTCTGCTATTGTAATCCTAGTTGGAGGAACACAAGCAGAAGCATGGAGATACAAAACTTTATGATGTGTTAGAAAGGAAGGAATAATCAAATATGATAGCATTTGATTTTAAGTGGCAGCCTGGGGTAAACAAAAATGGAAAATGTGCACCTTGTCCTAATTGCAGTTTATTCATTGTCCTCTGAAATATTTCTACAATACACAGCCGCTCAAATTCAGCAGCATATACACTAACTAGTTAGGTAACTAATTAAATAATAATACATAATAAATTAATGTGTTTCTTTGTGTGTGTATGTTTTTATTTTGAAACAGAGTCTTACTCTTGTTGCCCAGGCTAGAGTGCAGTGGTGTGATTTCGGCTCACTGCAACTTCCGCCTCCTGGGTTCAAGTGATTCTCCTGCCTCAGCCTCCCAAGTAGCTGGGATTACAGGCTTGCACCACCACGCCCAGCTAATTTTTGTATTTTTAGTAGAGACAGGGTTTCACCATATTGACCAGGCTGGTCTTGAACTCCTGACCTCAAGTGATCCACCTGTTTTGGCCTCCCAAAGTGCTGAGATTACAGGCATGAGCCTCCACATCTAGCCAATGTTTTAATAAAGCTGTTTTTATTAAAAAAAAATACAGGGATGCTGAATGGAACTAGATGGTGTCTTCTCCCTTGAGCATCTTGAGTTCTGTGTTGAGGAAGAGGGACAATGCAGTAATAATTCAAACAAATTACTTCAAGGACTGACAAATGCTCTGAAGATGAAGTAGGGCAATGGGCTAGGGAGTGGCCAGGGGTTGGGAGTGGAGAGGATACTGCTCTGTCTGCTCTGTCATGGAAGACCCTGTGGAAGAAGTGATATTTCAGTGGAGGTCCAAGCAATGGGAAGGAGGCCGTCCACCCAACATCCACAGGGAAGCCTTTCTGGCAGAAGGGACCAGAGATGTGGTGATGGGACAGAAAGAAGGCCAGTGTGGCTAGAAAGGAGTGGAGAAGGAGGGAGGAGATGCAGGTGGAGGAGTCCTTAGGGGTTCATGTGGACCTTCTAAGCTCTAATGAATACTATGGATATTTTTCTACTTAAGATGGGCAGTTATAAGAGGGTTTTCTGCAGAGGAATATTGTGGACTTTTTGTGTGTGTTAGAAATACTCTATCTGTGGTTTGGAGGATGGACTGGGGTGGGATGGGGGGCACTGATAAGGCAGGAAGCCACTAGAATGGTACTTGCAGGTAAAATGACTTCTTCAAGGTCACATGGATACTAAGGATCACAGTGATGAGTAGATCTTCGGTCAGCACATTGCCCAAGGTCATGCAGAAGGTCAGTGACAGAGAAGGAGTGTACTATTACAAGGTCTTCTGGTATTTAGGGTGATGCTTCTCCTGGCATATAGGAGAAATACAAACATGATACTTCCTGGGGCTTAACAACAATTGACTGGTTTATTTTTTGTTTTTGCTAATATGGCCAATACAAGGAAAGGGAAGCTGTGTACTTTTCTTCCTTTCTTGTCATTTTGGTTTTGTTTTGTTTTGTTTAGACTTTTTTGTTTCCATGTACTTTGACTCCTTAAGATTTCTATGCTGACTCACTTCTGCCTAATTACAGGGTTTGGGTGGCCATTTTAAACTATTTTTTCACCATGTCAAACTTGTGTTTGAAAAACAATTCCAAGAAAAGGATTTTAGGGCTAACATTTGAATGATGCTTCTTCAAGAATTAAAACTATCCTATACAGAAAATAGGAAAAATCAGTATTAATCTTTAATGTAATCATATCATAGTCTCTTAACTAGAACGAAGATTTTTGAAATGTCTTTAACTTCCTCATTTAAATATAAAATACTTAATACCTAAGTGTTCTGAAAGGAATGAAACCACATACAATTATTAATCACTAACTAAATAAAATAATACTTTTATCTGAGGTTATGAGAACATTTTGTCAGGCTATTTGCATTGTAATTGGCACCGATAGCCCCTTGATCCTGGGATTCGGATA
The DNA here is from genome assembly GCF_000001405.40 of Homo sapiens. NCBI lineage: Eukaryota > Metazoa > Chordata > Mammalia > Primates > Hominidae > Homo > Homo sapiens. Next base: position 154,203,905 of record NC_000006.12, on the reverse strand, counting down.
AATCACTCAGCAACTTTATGGAGGATTTCAGGGAGCTCCTCCCCCAGAGGCTGAATAACTCTGGGGCGCTTTTCTTCACAAAGCTGGTTCTGGCCAATTCTTTGTCATTAATTTGTCACCAATTATGTGTCAAACAAGAGGCAAAAAATGGAGGTGAAAAATGATTAAAACCAGCCTGTTCTCAGGTAGCTCATCAAAAAGATGAAGAGTCAATCAGTAGTTGCAATCCAGTCATCCCTTGGTATCTGTGGGGGTTTAGTTCCAGGAACCCCATGGAGACCAAAGTCTGTGCATACTCAAGTCCCACAGTGGGTCCTGCAGAACCCACCTACACGAAAAGTCGGCTCCCTGTATCCTTGAGTTTCTCATCCTGCATCCCACAAACGCTGTCTTCATCCCCATTTAGTCATGGATTTGGAATCCATGGATACAGAAGGCTGACTGTATTTATTGGAAAATATCTGTGTTTAAGTGGACCTGTGCAGTTTGAATCCCTACTGTTCAAGGGACAACTGTGTAAGTTGATACACAAAATGACATTCCACCTATTATGATAGAAATAACCGCAGAAGCACCAGGCAAAGCACCTACCTGGCCCCGAGACTATCAGAGAAGGCTTCCTGGAGGAGTTGGTGTTTGAACAGACACACGAAGGTTGGGCTCATATTTACCAGTAGAGGTGGGGCGGAGAGGAGAGACTAGCACTGCCTTCTGCTTTCATTTGATCTTCAGTGGGGAGCTTTATGAGTATGTTGCACAGATGGTTCACAGAAGGCAGTGAGCTAAGAGTTCTATGCTTGATGTTGGCTATTGGTTTCTCCAGAATGTTAGAAATAATGAGCCATGCCTTAGCACTACACGGTCTATAAAGCGTGTTTTCATACTGAATCCTTGGAAATTAAACTCCAGGTTCACTTTCATTTGTATTTGTATTTTATCAATCTCTTTTCCAATGAAAACTCCCCCTGACCTGAATATGTAGTCACTTTCTCATTTTCCTTTTCCTCTTCTCCAAGTCTTCGTGTTTCTTCTATTTCTTTTTTTCCCTTCATTCTTCTTTTCTCCATTTAAAAATGAAATTTATAAGTGGTGCCTGGTGCCTAGAGAAAATGGATTGAGAGAGCATTTGCACTGTGTTTGAGTCATAGCACAAACACGATGACACTTCACAGATATTTCTAATGCTCATTTAACAGGTCTTGATACTTTAAGCAGAGTTTTGAGGTTCAATAAACCTTACAGACAGTCCTGTAGCAACTGTGTACATGGTCTGTTGTTCAAATAGCCCAGTTTGCTATAATCTAATTTAAAGTAGAGTCAGCAGGAGTAAGAGGAAAAGCTTATTTGGTGTTGTTTCGAAAAAAGGAAGTTGATCACATAGAAGTTGAATTTTACTAAAATAGCTCACAATAGGGGAACGTGTCAGGACTGGTCCAGAATGGATATTTTTGTTAATATTTATTTTGTAGATCCTGCTAACGAGTAAACTATTCCTGCCATTTATTTGGACAATTTGGGGGTAGTGCATTCCCTCCTCTAGATAACTAGGGTTTTATTGAAATTATAGGTCTTTGATCTCTTGGTTATTAAAGATCTAAGTGATGTAAGGTAACCAGTTTACAAGGTACTTGACATATTCCTGAATGGATTTTTTTTATGTACGTGCCAGTATATGATTATTGAGAAGATATGTGATTAGTTAGTATCTTAACTAGAGATTTTAATGTCATGCTACTTAAAAGTGTATTTATTGATTATCTGACAATCCGTGTCTAGCATGGAACTGATTGGGTACACATTAGGTAAATATTGGCTTCTCCCATCAAAACTCAGAGCTCAGAATCTACAAATTTCCTGGGGACCATATTGATTTGGAAGAAGGTCAACTGTTCTGAATTAGTTGCAATGATTCTGAGGGTTTTTGAAGAAGATCCTAGTTTGCTCTTTGGCTTCCTCTCTCTGTCAACCTTCCTGACACTTCCTTGGAGTTTTTTTGTTTGTTTGTTTTTTTGAGATGGAGCCTCACTCTGTTGCCCAGGCTGGAGTACAATCATGTGATCTTGGCTCACTGCAACTTCCGCTTCTTGAGTTCAAGTGATTCTCCTGCCTCAGCTTCCCGAGTAGCTGGGATTACAGGCATGAGCCACCATGTCCTGCTAATTTTTGTATTTTTAGTAGAGACGGGGTTTCGCCATGTTGGCCAGGCTGGTCTTGAACTCCTCACCTCAAGAGATCTGCCCACCTCGGCCTCCCAAAGTGCTGGGATTACAGGCATGAGCCACCGCGCCTGGCCTTCCTTAGAGTTTTGAATGCTTGATGTTGACAGGCATGTCCCATAGGATGATGTAATGCAACTGAACCATAAAATGCCTTCTCTACCTTGTCTGCTGTTGGAGATATAGGGTGATCTGTAGAGTACTGGAGTCTAGATTTTTTGATTTTGTTGGCCAATAAAGTTAAAAATGGAGGAACAAGACAGAGTTGCTGAATCTTTATTTTGCTACATAGGACATTAAAGAAAGGAAAAGAGACAAAGAGACAAAGAGACAAAGGCTTATATGTACTGTCACCATTTTTTAAAAAGAAGGCATGTATTTCAACATCAAAATGTAGCAAAGATAAAAATCTCAGAATAAATGAAGTTCTTTCCAAGAATTGTTGGTTATATTAATCCATTTTCACACCTCTGTAAAGAACTATCAGAGACTGGGTAATTTATAAAGAAAAGAGATTTTAATTGACTCACAGTTCCACATGGCTGGGGAGGCCTCAGGAAACTTTACAATCATGGAGGAAGGCGAAGGGGAAACAAGGCACATCTTACATGGTGGCAGCAGAAAGAGTGAGTGAGGTGGGAACTGCCAAACACTTTTAAACTATCAGATCTCATGAGAACTCACTCACTATCATGAGAACAGCATGGGGGAAACCACCCCCATGATCCAATCACCTCCCATCAGGTCCCTCCCTCGACATGTGGGGATTACAATTCGAGGTGAGATTTGGATAGGGACACAGAACCAACCATATCATTGGTGATGTTGCTTTGATGTTTTCTCTGTGTACTGATGAAAATGTCGCCAAGGCTTTTCATGCACTAAGGAGTATGTGAGCGATATTCAAGGGTTTAAGTTCGTATTTTGTTTCTGGAATGGCTCCAGCTTTTGCTCTCTTTTTCTTTTCTGGAGGCAGAGTCTCACTCTGTCACCCAGACTGGAGTGCAGTGGCATGATCTTAGCTCGCTGCAATCTCTGCCTCCCAGGTTCAAGTGATTCTCCTGCCTCAGTCTCCTGAATAGCTGGGACTACAGGTGCGCGCCACCAAGCCAGGCTAATTTTTGTATTTTTAGTAGAGATGGGGTTTCAACATACTGGCCCGGCTGGTCTCAAACTCCCGGCCTCAGGTGATCTGCCTGTCTCGGTCTTCCAAAGTGCTGGGATTACAGGCATGAGCCATCGCACCCAGCCTCTCCTTTTTCATAATTATCTTTCTTGTTCCATCAGTGTGAATTCAGTGATAGATTGCAAATTATATTTTGCTCAAAGTGTAATGCAGTATTCTGAAGCATTCCCAAAAGAGGCCTTTTAAGTTTCTGGAGAGCATTGAAGAATAGGACAAATCATGATAAGGAGATTTTTCAGATCCTAGAACAGTGAATTTAAAGTTACATAAATCAGTTTTGGAGAATGAAATCCTAATGTGTGTCAAACAGAAATAAATATCATATCTTTACCTTTTGACTCTTTTATTATTGGTCACTTTTTGAAATAACACGGGGACACCGTGATTGAAAATAAAAGGTAGAGAATGATGGTTTAATCATGATGTCTTTTATTCTTTTTTTGGTTTTATTTGTGAAAAATAGACTGCACAGCAGGCATCTTCATCCTCACCCAGCCTGAGTGGAACGTCGTATTCTTTCTCTTCCCTGGAAAATACAGTGAAGACACCCAGCAGTTTTCCTTCCTCCTTATCTAAAGAGAGACAATCCTTGCCTGACACAGTTAACAGTTTGTCTGCTGCTGAAGATGAGGGACAACCAATAACGTTTGCTGTGCAAGTTCATTCACCTGTACCCTCAGAGGCAGGCATCCACAAGGCCCTGGAAAACAGTTTTGTCACATCAGAAAGTGGATTTTTGAACTCTTTATCTAGTGATGATACTTCTTCATTGAGTAGCAATCATGACCATCTTACTGTCCCAGATAAGCCTGCTGGATCAAAGATCATGGACAAAGGTAAACCAATAAATTATTTATTCTTCGTTAGAGAGTGAATATTTGTTTGTATATGGAACTGTAATATTAATTTGTAACAAGAATGGTTAAACTCATGAATGATGATTCAATAATTAGTCAAGTGGGGCTATGCCCAGAGGTTGCTTTGTAGAGGAGTTTGCATGTGGACAACTCCAGCTACTAGGCCACTAATTACTTGCTATAAGTGTCACTAACCAATTGCTTCAGAACTCCAAGACATGTGATCATAAAATAATGATACTTTTCCACCAATCGGAGAAAAAACTTGCCTCTTTTTTGGTCCCATGTCCCATGCGCTGGAGCCTGTGGTGGTTAAATCAGGATTTTGTAGTCTGGTATTCATAACATCACCTTGATAGTTCAAAATGAGCTTAGATCAGCCACTTTCTCTGGGCTGTGCCCCAGACAGTATCTAATTCTTAGCCTGTCGGCTCCTGAATGTTCCTGTGTGGTTGATGGGAAGACAGACAATTTGCATGCACTTTGTGCAGCATTAGAACCTTTACATATAAAGGAGAGCACAACTCATGCGTTCAGAAAACATTTTAAGTCTTAACAAAGGAAAGAATTAATTGTGTGTGGAAGTTAATAATATGAGGTTTAAAAAATACTCTGATAACTGGTCCTTGTCTTTTATCCAGGACTAACTTATTTTTATTACTGTTCAATCGTGACGTATCTTTTCTGATTGTGCGCTATTCATTCTGCTGTAAAACACGCTTACCTGATGGAAGATACTGAGCAGTGAAAGAATGATGAGTTTGGTTTGTATATTTTTGGTGTGCCATTGAGAGAAAGTTGACTTGCTAAATTCTCATAATCACTTGCCAGAGTGTCTAATGACATAGATGACTGCTCTCTCCTCTCCTCTAGCCTAATCAGGGAATGTTTCTTTAAGTTCTCAAATTTCAGATGGGTACCCTGCTAATTTAATTTTTGGTATCAGCGTAATTTGCCCAAGGATCACAACTGCAGAACAAGTTGTGTGTGTGTGTGTGTGTGTGTGTGTGTGTGTATGTAATATTTTAAAAGTATGTAAATTTCATTACTCAGCCTGGTAACTAATTCTCCAAGTTATAACAGTTGTCACCACTCTCTGAGGCCTTACCTAAAGATGCTTTACACAGACCTGCCTGGCCTCTGATGGCATTTTTCTTATACTTCTCCCCTTTATTTAGGCCAACTATCTAGATTAGAAGAACTGGAGTAAATAAAGTCTGGCAAACCAACCTATTTCTAGAGGTGAATGAGTAGCATAGGGAGGAGAAAGGAAACCTTGTCACTGAGGAATGGAGAGGGCTGAAGATTGGACTGTGAGGAAGAGTAGTCTCAACCCGCCCTCAGGTTTGTGAGTTGCTGTCGTTTGGTGAAAGTATTGAGCTTAATTGTATCTCCTTGGAAGCACAGAATTGAGTTCAATGGTGCAAGTCAAAAGGAGATAGATTCATGCTCAGCATAAGAACTTTTTTTTGATGTTGTGAACTCTTCAAAAAATAGAATGGGTTCCTTGGAAAGGAATGCATTCCTTATCACTGGAGGTCTTTACTCATTCTGAGACAAACATTTTCATTGAATATTGATTGCCTATTGTGTATTGGTCACACCTCTTGTTCTTGAAAAGATATACTGAAGAGAGAATTTAAGCATCTTGAACTAGATGACCTCTATCTTGATGCTTAGAAGAGACTTCCAGATATAGGACTGGTGAAACTAAAGAAAATAATAAAAAGTACTACATCTATTATTTTTCTCCTACAAACGCTTACTTTAATCACTGGGTCGTAAGTAGAACTAAAAAAATTTCAAACACACACACACACCCCCCAGGATGAGCATAGCTTCAAAAACATACTAGAGAATAAAATCCCATTTGCATTCTTTCCCAAGAGATAACCCTGGAGGTTGAGGGTTTTCTTTTAGGACCATAGCCAGAGACATGGGAAGATGCAACAGTCCTTGTTCCTGGCTAAATGCCATTCCAGGATTGCATGTGCTGTAGAGCCTGGCTGGGTACCACCAGCCCTTTTAATGTAAGAATGAAGCAACCTGGTATTATTTAGTTTTGAGTTACATGCAGAGTGACCAGCAAAATCTGTATACTTCTTCAAACAGCTCAATGTGACAGTATTCCTCTTGGTAAAAAGGAAAAGAAAATGAAAGTATTTTTTTTCTCTCATTGATTTGTTGGCAGTTCTCATATGCTACAGAATTTTTGCTGATGATTTTCTTCTGCTGCTGGGGATTTGGTTAAATTCCCAGAAGAACTGAACCACTTAAAGTCATCTCTATGGAAACAGCAACCCAATCTTTGCTTGCATTTGTGATGACTTGCTGTTGAGTAATCAAATTTCATATTGTGCATTTTTTTTTACATGTGTGTTTATGTGTTGCAGACAAAGGTAGCTTTTCATTTTTGTGACTTTTAAAAGGTATTGTTTTTGAGTTACTAATAAAAAATTCCTGAAATTCTTGTGTCTGAAATTGTTCAAGGTGTTTTTATATCAGGGATAGAAATCTTAACATGGTTCAAAATGAGAGCTAGGATTTTAAAAGATTAAGTCCCAGTCTCAGGATGCATTTGCTGGAAGAAGAGGCTTTCATCCTAGCAAAGATTCTTAAAGATTAATAACTGAGTCCTGAAACAAGCAGACAGTACATATTACAGTCTTCCTTTTATTTAGACAATGAAAGAAATATTTTTGCAGTTAGTATGCAATTAAAATTGTGGTTGCTAGGATTTTATGCTGAATTTAAATACTCTGTTAGACATTTTCTCCTGTAGTGTTAAGCTATTGAAAAAATAAAATCAGGGTGTTAATTGCCTCCTATTGCCTTTCTTCACTGAGAGTTCCAGGTTCCAGAGCTCTAGGAATTATTCACTGATTATTTTCACAAAGCATAATGGGAAAAGAGGTGAGAGGGTTAATGACATGTTCATTTCAGCTCAATTTTACCCTGTGCTCCTCATTTCTTTTGTTAGAAATTTTTTGAACCATGACTTATGCCTGTGTGATAGTAAGTCACATATGTACAACACACACTACCTGCTGACAATGTGGAGACAATGTCACTTCTACTTAATGAATGAAGAAACCTTACTCTGGATGCTGAAAAGCTGCATGTCAGCAAATAAGACGAATACCCAATTTATACAAATAAATTATCAGGTATAAGCACAGCCAGAATTGATCTGGGAGTCATGTAGATAACAAGCTTAATTAAAAAAAATAAAACATTGTTAAAGAAGAGGCAGGCATTCTAGAGCATGCATGATGTTTCAGGAAAGTGACATGAATGAGCCAGATTTTAGGATTTAAAAAATATTAACAAAATTGTACACAATCTGAGTGTGAACAGTACTTTAGCTAGCTACTTTGAGAGTTGCTGTTGGAATCATGCAGTATGCCTCCTCAGGAAGTATGTAATAAAAAATAAGTCCAAAACTGGACTCCATTCAATTTTGCATTATTATATTGTGTATATATCATTTTTTTGAGTACCTAACATACATGTGCTGATGTACTTTGTGCTAAAGTGAATAAAATGTGAACCAGGGGGACTGGGCAGGGTGGCTCACATCTGTAATCCCAGCACTTTGTGAGGCCGAGGTAGGCGGATCACGAGGTCAGGAGTTCGAGACCAGCCTGGCCAACATAGTAAAACCCTGTCTCTACTAAAAATACAAAAATTAGCCAGGTATGGTGGCACACACCTGTAATCCCAGCTACTCTAGAGGCTGAGGCAGGAGAATTGCTTGAACCTGCGAGGCAGAGGTTGCAGTGAGCCGAGATTGCACCACTGCACCCCAGCCTGGGTGACAGAGCAAGACTCCGTTTCAAAAAAAAAAAAAAAAAATTGTGAACAAGGTACAATTCTGGTCTAAAAAATGTTAACACCTAATGGGCTGAGTGGGAGGAACTAGACACATTTAACAAAAGAAAGCAGAGTAAAATAGGTGCCACAGAAGAGATACAGAGCACTCCAGAGAGAGGTTTAAAAGAGAGCAGGGACCCAAGACAAGATCTCATCTAAGTGGCAAGATATGTACATGGAGAAGGGAGGCGTGGGTAAAGGGGATGGAAAGGACATTTGGTTGAGGTTGAATACTGGGATAGGTGTTCCTTAATTTAAACAGCTAATGGATGACCATTTCTCATCAGGGTGAGTTGGAAGTATGCTTTAGAAAAATTATTGTAGCTGGGCCAGGCACGGTGGCTCACACCTGTAATCCCAGCACTTTGGGAGGCCGAGGTGGGCGGATCACAAGGTCAGGAGATCGAGACCATCCTGGCTAACATGGTGAAACCCCATCTCTATTAAAAACACAAAAAATTAGCCAGGTGTGGTGGCGGGCGCCTGTAGTCCCACCTACTCGGGAGGCTGAGGCAGGAGAATGGTGTGAACCCTGGAGGCGGAGATTGCAGTGAGCCGAGATCGTGCCACTGCACTCCAGCCTGGGTGACAGAGCGAGATTCTGTCTCAAAAAAAAAAAAAAAAAAGAAAGAAAAGAAAAATTATTTTAGCTGTAGAGTGCAGGGAAGAAGAGAATAAGAGGAGACAGGACATAAGAAGGTTTAGGGAGCCTGCATAACAGCTGAGGTGGCAGTGGAGACGGGAAGGAAGGGGAGATGAGGGGTTCTGCAGCATGCCTATCAGGGTGAAGACTGATCTTGGCCTTTGTATCCTCAGCACTTAATTTTGTTCCTAGAACATTACCTAGTAATCTTGTTTTGTGAAGTATCATTTGATGTTGGGAAAACCTTGAATATATGATCATTGGCATCAATGGCATTGATCTCAGGCATGGGTGATTCACCACCTGCTTTCTCTGATCCTGTGTCAGGTGGCTAAAGATCTCTATGAGTTGTCATGAAGTTATGCTGATTAGGTTACCTGCAGATTTGTGTGATTTAAGTAGGCCATTCATAGTACTTAGATTTTACATTACCTTTGTTTTTCATCCTACTTCCTACAATTTTTCCTGAAGCTAGGAGTTAGGAGTGGTAGGTGGTAGGAAGTCACTGGGGCAAAGGTATGGGAGATGGTGACAAGTGTAATCTAGAGTTTGGAGGTACGTAAGCTTAGAGTGGCGATGACAGTTTGAAAGAAGTAGGAGGGGTTGAGGAGTTGGAGGTCATAATTGAAAAAGGAAGGTAGTAGGTTCAGAAGAGACAGAATGTGAATAAGGTAAGAGGAATCTTCCACTCAGAAAGGAATAAATTTAGAGGTGAGGATTTTATTTTATTTGAGACAGAGTTTCACTCTTGTTGCCCATGCTGGAGTGCAATGGTGTGATCTCAGCTCACGGCAACCTCTGCCTCCTGCGTTCAAGTGATTCTCCTGCCTCAGCCTCCCAAGTAGCTGGGATTACAGGCATGCGCCACCACGCCTGGCTAATTTTGTATTTTTAGTAGAGATGGGGTTTCACCACGTTGGTCAGGCTGGTCTCGAACTCCTGATCTCATGTGATCCACCCGCCTCGGCCTCCCAAATTGCTGGGATTACAGGCATGAGCCACCGTGATTTTAGATGTAAAACAGTTTGAAACGTTGAGGAGCGGGTATTAACAGTGATCTGCCCTGGGCGTTAAGTACGCTAGGTGTACCACTGCTCATGGTCACAAATTCCTGCCCAGAATACCACATTTATTATGATGTAAACTGTGTATGTCATGACAAAAAAAAGTCTTTGAAGTCTGTTATGTTGGACATCCCTTTTAATACTATGCTACTAGAATTGTGTTTTATCAACAGTTTTTTGAGCACTTTTTGTCTGTATAGAGTATGGAAAACAGCATTGGAAGAAAAAAATAGGGAGTATTGTCATGTTTGATGCTGGGGTCATTTCTAAATTAATGTGGCTTTGAGCCAAAGTGACCTGTCACAGGCCTCTCCTCCTTGTCTGTCTGGCAGCAAGGCCGAAGTGTTTGTTTTGCTTATCATGTGGTCTAGCGGTGTAGAGGGTTGGAAAGTTATCAGAGGGGTCTTCAATTTTTCTTCTCTTTCTTATAACTTCTTGTTGTTGATTAAATCCTTGGTTTTCTTTCTTTTTTGATGTTATTGAAGTTTTTATTATTTACTCCTTAGCAGGAGAGTACAAGTATATGCAGATAGATGCGTATTTTTATTTATTTTTAATTTGTTATTTCCATAGGTTTTTGGGGAACAGGTGGTGTTGTGTGGTTACATGAATGAGTTCTTCAGTGGTGATTTCTGAGATTTTGCTCAGCAGCATATACTGTACCCAACTTGTAGTCTTTTATCTGTCACCTCACTCTTATCCTTTCCCCCGAGTCCCCAAAGTCTATTTTATCGTGCCTTTGCATCCTCATAGCTTAGCTCCCACTTATGAGTGAGAACATACAATTTTGGTTTTCCATTCCTGAGTTACTTCACTTAGAATAATGGCCTCCAATTCCATCCAAGGTTGCTGTGAATGCCATTATTTCGTTCCTTTTTATGGCTGAGTAGTATTCTATGGTATATATGTACCACAGTTTCTTTATCCACTTGTTGACTGATGGGCATCTGGGCTGGTTCCATATTTTAGCAATTGCGAATTGTGCTGCTGTAAACATGCATGCAAGTATCCTTCTTCGTATAATGACTTCTTTTCCTGTGAGTAGATATCCAGTAGTGGGATTGCTGGATCAAATTGTAGTTCTGCTTTTAGTTCTTTAAGGAATCGCCACACTGTTTTCCATAGTGTGGTTGTCCTAGTTTACATTCCCACCAGCAGTGTAGAAGTGATCCCTGTTCACCACCTCCACACCAACATCTATTATTTTTTAGTTACGGACATTCTTGCAGTAATAAGGTGGTATCACATTATGGTTTTGATTTGCATTTCCCTGGCAATTAGTGGTTTCCATCACTAATTGAACATTTCTTCGTGTTTGTTGGCCATTTGTATGTCTTCTTTTGAGAACTGTCTATTCATGTCCTTAGCCCATTTTTTGATAGGATTAAGTCATTTTTTTTTCTTCCTAATTTGTTTGTGTTCCTTGTAGATTCTGGATATTGGTCCTTTGTCAGATGTACAGATTATGAAGATTTTCTCCCACTCTCTGGGTTGCTTGTTTACTCTGCTGATTGTTTCTTTTGCTGTGCAGAAGCTTTTTGGTTTAATTAAGTTCAAATGTTTGGTTTTCCATTTCTTTTCATGACTCGATATTTATATGCTTCATCATTTCTTCTGTTTCATGGAAATTGTTAATTATACTGAAAAGTATCATATACATAGAAGAGTGTTCTCTCTCTATCTAAAATACTCCATAAATACACACACATGCATACACACACACACACACACACACACACACACACACAGTAACCACGTGGCCACCATTTGGGTCAAGAAACAGAAATCAGCCAGCAAATTACTTGTGAGGGTGTGGGGTATTGAGAGTGCTCACCCATGCTGAAGAGATATATTTTGGTGGAACCAATTTAGAAAGCAATTTGTCATCATCTAGTAAAGTTGAAGATAGGCATACATCATGGCCAGCAGTTCCACTTCCAGGTGTATACCCCTAGAGAAGTGCAGGCATAATGCAGAAACCCTTTGTAATATCCTCTTTATCCAGCCGGAATTCATTCATTTTCATTGTTTTATAGTACTCCATTGTTTTACTATACAACAATAAATGTATCTACTATTGGTGAACACTTTTTTTTTCAGTTGTGGGCTCTTATGTAAAATGCTGCTGTGGAGATTCTTATTTTGAAATTAATAGGCTTAACTTTGTAGAGCACTTTTTGATTTATAGAAAAATTGAGCAGACAGTACAGAGTTTACATATACCCCCTCCATTCCATACACAATTTCCTCTATTATTAACACCTTGCATTAGTATGGTTCATTTGTTACAACTGGCAATAAATATTCATACTTTTTTATTAACTAAAGTCTATGGTTTACATTAGGGTTCACTCTTTGTTGTTGTTGTTGTTGTTGTTGTTGTTGTTGTTGTTGAGGCAAAGTCTCACTCTGTCACCCAGGCTGGAGTGCAGTGGCGTGATCTCGGCTCACTGCAACCTCCACCTCCTGGGTTCAAGCGATTCTCCTGCCTCAGCCTCCCAAGTAGCTAGGACTATAGGCGCTCGCCACCATGCCCAGCTAATTTTTGTATTTTCAGTAGAGACAGGGTTTCACTATGTTGTCCAGGTTGGTCTCAAACCCCTGACCTCAGGTGATCCACCTGCCTCGGCCTCCCAAAGTGCTGGGATTACAGACGTGAGCCACCGCGCCTGGCATGGGGTTCACTCTTTATGTCGTTATGTCATACAGTTCTATGGGTTTTGACAAATGTATAACGTCATGTATCCACTAATACAGTATCATACAGACTAGTTTCACTGCCGTAAAAAATATCCCCTGTGCTCCATCTATTCATCCTTCTACCCTTCTCCCAGGAACCTGACAACCTCTCATCTTTTTTACTACCTCTTTAATTTTACCTTTTCCAGAATGTCACATAGTTGCAATTATATGGTATGTACCCTTTTCAGATTGGCTTCTTTCATTTGGTAATATGAATTTAAGCTTCTTCTAAGTCTTTTGTAGCTTGATAGGTCACTTTTTCTTTTTTTGAGATGGAGTCTCTCTCTGTCGTCCAGGCTGCAGTGCAGTGGCGCGATCTCGGCTCAGTGAAAGCTCTGCCTCCTGGATTCATGCCATTCTCCTGCCTCAGCCTCCTGAGTAGCTGGGACTATAGGTACCTGCCACCACGCCCAGCTAATTTTTTGTGTTTTTAGTAGAGACGGGGTTTCACCGTGTTAGCCAGGATGGTCTCGATCTCCTGGATAGGTCACTTTTTAATCATTGAATAATATTCCATTGTATGGATGCATCACAGTTTGTTATTCATTCACCTATTGAAAGACATCTTTGTAGCTTCCAAGTTTTTAAAATTATGAATAACCCTGCTAGCAACATGTGGGTGCAGATTATTGCATGGATGCAAGTTTTCAACTCTTTGGGGTAAATAGCAATGAGTACAATTGCTGGATTGTATGGTAAGAGTATGTTTAACTGTATAAGAGATGCCAAACTGTCTTGCAAAGTGGCTGTACCATTTTGCATTCCCACCATCAATGAATGAGAGTTCCTGTTGCTTCACATCCTTGCCAACGTTTGGTGTTTTCTGTGTTTTGGATTTTCGCCATGCTAGTAGGTGGGTAGTAACATTTTATTGTTTTAATTTAGAATTCCCTAATGACTCATGATGTTGAGCATCTTTTCATACGCTTTTTTGCTATTTATATGCCTTCTTTTCTTTAACATAAGATGGCTGCTCAGAATTTATTAATTTTTGTATATACTTTCTTTGGTGAGGTATCTGTTGAGATCTTTTGCCTATTTTTTCCATTAGCTTTTTGTTTTCTTTTGAATCTTTGTATGTGTGTGTATATGAATAATATTTTTAATGTGAAACGTCATTTTATTACTCTACATGTACAAGTTAATGATTTTTGCTTATGTGATGTTGGTGACAGTCTTATATTTTGTGAGTTTTTGGGACCAGATTCAAACTGAGTCAATATAAGTATAGGAAGTACATGAGAGCAGAATATTCAGTTTGATGATACATTATTGTCTACAAGATAGTTTATAGTTTATTTTTATTTAATTTCTTACCTATAATTGACATATAACAATTGTACATATTAATGTGGTACGGTGTGATGTTTCTTTTTTTTTTGAGACTGAGTCTTACTCTGTCGCCCAGGCTGGAGTGTAGTGGTGCATTCTCGGCTCACTGCAACCTCCAGGTTCCAGTGATTCTCCTGCCTCAGCTTCCCATTACAGCCACCATGCCCAGATAATTTTTGTATTTTTAGTAGAGACAGGGTTTCACCATATTGGTCAGGCTGGACTCAAACTCCTGACCTCAGGTGATCCACCCACCTCGGCCTCCCAAAGTGCTGGGATTACAGGCATCAGCCACCGCGCCTGGCCCGGTGTGATGTTTCAATGCATGAATATATTCATTATACTAGTGTAATGATCAAATCTGGGTAATACCATATCCATCACTTTAAGCATTTATTATTTATTTGTGGTAACAACATTCAAAATCTTCTAGCTATCTTGAACTATATACTACATTGTTATTTGCTATAGTCTCTCTATTTATTAAGTCCTTTATTTATGTGTTTTGCACATTTTTTCTTTCAGTCTGTGGCTTGCCTTTAAATGCTCTTAATGAAAATTCTTACATATGTATTTTGGTCCACATATGCCTGCATTTCTCTACGGGTATACACCTGGAAATGGAATTGCTGGCCATGATGTATGCCTATCTTCAACTTTACTAGATGAAATTGCTTTATAAATTGGTTCCACCAAAATACATCTCTTCAGCATGGATGAGCGCTCTCAAAGCCCCACATCCTCATTGGTAAAGTTGAGTTTCTGAATTTTTGCAAAATTGGCAGGTGGTAATCTTGATTATGGATTAGCACATCTAAGAGTGTTTATTTCACTCTTTTACCCATACCTTTATAGGTGTTTTTTTGTTTTTCCAATGGATTTGTAGGAATGTATACATTCTGGATACTCCTTCATTGTCAGTTTAACATATTGCAAATGTATTTTCTACTTTTTTACTTCACTTTTCTTGTAAAGTAGTATCTTTTAATAAATAGAACTCAGTTTTAAAGTGATTAAAATTATCTATCCTTTCCTTTATGGTTAAATGCTTTTTTTTGGTATCAAGAAATTTCTCCCTACACTGGTATCTTAAAGATATTCTTCCATATTTTATAAACGTTAGTCCACTTGGAATTATTTTGATGTGTTCCATGAATGAGATACAATATCATCTTACTCCATATGCAAATATAATTTTCCTAGTATCATTTCTGTACACGCCATTTTTCTCCCAAACATCCACATGAGTCTTCAGTGTCATCTTTCTCATGAATCGAGTGCTGGTGCTTTTTAGACTTTCATCTACCCAGTGGGCCACTTTTTCTACCCTGGCTCATACCATTCTTTTTACAAAATAAGTTTTAAAATCTGGTAACACATGTTTTCCTACTTTGTTCTTTTTTTAAGGGTGTTTAGGATACTCTTGGCCATTTTAACCTCCATATACCTTTTAGAATCACCCAGTGAAATTACCCACACATACACACACATGCACATGCGTGCATACACACAGTCTGTGGGACTTTGGCATGAATTGCGTTACATTTTTAGATTCAATCTGGGGGAAACAGAAATCGTTATGGTCTAAAATTTTCCAGTACATGAAATTGGTCTCTTTACCTCTCTCCATTTATTTGTCTTTCTTACATCTTATAATAAATTTCACAATTTATATTTTCTATGAAAAGTCTTGAACATATTTGTTAGATTTAGTTCTATATATTTCATAGTTTTAAATGCTATTTTTAACATCGATTTTTCTCTTTTTCATTTTATAACTATTGCTGGTTTACATGAATGCAATTAGTTTTTAAAATGCATTTTTAAGAATCAAACTTTCTAAATTGTCATTTTAATTCTAGTAATTTATCCTAAATTTTTTTATGTATATGATCATATTTCTACAAATGATAATGGTTTTGCTTTTTTCCTTTCCAAACACTATATCTGCTACTTATTTTTCTTGTTTTGGGTAGACCCAAAGTACAATGCTGATAGAAATGGCAATCATGGGCATTTTTGTGGTTGCTTGATCTCAGAGTGAAAGGTTTCTGTGTTTCTGCTCTACCACCAAGTTGGAAGTAGGTACTTTTTCATCACCTCTGCCACCAAGTTAGAAGTAGGTACTTTTTCATCACCTCTGTTTTATGGAAGAAGAAAAATACCTCTATTTTACTGGGGCTTAAACTGATTAAGTAAATTGCTTAAAACAGTCATGTAACTAGTAAGTGTGAAAGTTGTATCTGAAATGCAGTTCTGTTTGACTCCACAGCCTGAGATTCTAATCGCCTTAATACCTAAGAATAATTCTGAATAATCAGCAAGACACAGGGTTGAGTGAGACATGATGTGAGCCAAGCCATATATAACTAAGATAATTTCTCTCCTTCGACAATCATGATATTACATGTTTTTCAATAACTACTGGTGAGGTAGTACAGGTCACCCACCTAATGCTAGAAACAGGAGCATGTAAATACTATTATGATATCTCTGGGTGTGGGAACTCCATTCATTCAACAATATTTGTCAAGTGCTTTTTATATGCCAAGCACCATGCCATGAGCTGGGCAAAAAGCAAACGAAAGCCAAAATAAACAGCCCTACAGAGCTAACACTGAGGGGAGAGACTGGTAGGGAAACAGTAGGAAACAGCACGTATGATAGATTCGGTGGTTGTTAAAAGCCATGCTTTTTTTACAAGAGGCAGGGCAAGGGGGTTAGAGAGAGACTGGACAGAGGTGGGGTATGGGGTGGGGTGTGTGATTTTACATTGGTAGTCCTGGAAAATCTCTCTGATAAGTCGATATTTGAGCAGAAAACTATGGAGGGGAGAGGGTGAGCCAAATTAATATTTGGGGAAGAGTCTTCCAGGCAAAAACACAACAAGTGCAGTCAGACAGTGCTAGAGGTGATTGAAGACTAGCGGCAGGAAGACAGAGTGTGGAGTGTGTAGAGTGGAGGGCGTGTGGCCAGGAGCAGAGGTGCAAGAAGTGGGCAGGGATCCCATCATGTAGGGCCATGTAGGCGGTGAGCACTCTGGGTTCCACTCAAAAGTGGGAGGGGAAGTGGCTGCAGGGTTCCCTCTGCAGGGAGGAGCGGTGCCATCTCACTGAAATTTGAAAAGAGCTGCTCTGGGCCGGGCGTGGTGGCTCACGTCTGTAATCCCAGCATTTTGGGAGGCCGAGGCAGGTGGATCACGAGGTCAGGAGATCAAGACCATCCTGGCTAACACGGTGAAACCCCCTCTCTACTAAAAATACAAAAAATTAGCCAGGCGTGATGGCGGGCGCCTGTAGTCCCAGCTACTCGGGAGGCTGAGGCAGGAGAATGGCGCGAACCCGGGAGGCGGAGCTTGCAGTGAGCCAAGATCGCACCACTGCACTCCAGCCTGGGCGACAAAGCGAGACTCCGTCTCAAAAAAAAAAGAGAAAAAAAGAAAGAAAGGAGCTGCTCTGGCTCCGTGCACGGACATGAGGGAGCATCTGCGAAAGGAGGATAGGCGGCGAGGTGGCTGCTGCCTGTGTTCAGGTGGAGGTGATGGGATTTGCTAGCAACAAAACACTAGGTTGAGATGGAAAGCAGTCAGATGCTGTGTATATTTTAAAATGAGACAATGGAATTTGCTGACATGCGGTTTGAAAGAGAAAGACAGAAGTCAAAGATGATTTCAAGACTTTCAGCCTGAATGACTAAAATAATAGAGTTGTCATATTATGAGATGGAAAAGACCTAACACTTGGAGATATAAATCAAGAATTTGAAGTTGAATTTGAAATGCCTCACAGAAATCCAGGTAGAGAAGTCAAGTCTGTGTGGATATGTGAGTCTGGACTTCAGCAGAGGGCTTGGAGATTTAAAATGGATAATCTTCAGCATATAGTTGTATTTGAAGAATTGTGGCTAATTGAGATCACCTGGGGAGAGAGAACACAGAGAAGGAAGAGGTCAGGGCTGAGCTCTGGGGTGCCCCAATATTGATAGGCCGCAAAGAACACAAGCAATAACCCCTGTTAAGGGAGAAGGGGAACCAAAAGGGTCGTTATTCTGGGGGCTAAGTCAGGAAAGGTATCAGCCAAATGCTTTAGCTTTTAGCAAAAAGCCAAGATTAAACAAGCTTATCCAACTTGTGGCTCAGGACAGCTTTGAATGTGGCCCAACACAAATTCATCAACTTTCTTATAACATTATGAGAATTTTTTGTGATTTTTTTCTTTTTAGCTTTTGTTTCAGCTATTGTTAGTGTATTTTATGTGTAGCCCAAGACAGTTCTTCTTCTTCTTCTAATGTGGCCGAGGGAAGCCAAAAGATTGGACACCCCCGGATTAAAAGTTGACTGTTGAGGAATTGAGGTAATCATAATATAGAACTTGATACTAAATATTTATAATAAGCATATGGCATATTTTGTGTTAAAATCAAAGCCAAATCTATAGCAATTTTATGACCATATTTATTTACATAGCATGTATTATATCAGCCATACAAACTAGACCTTTAACCATGTAAAGTAACACTGAACTGATTTGTAAAGTTTGGGGGCAAGTGATGGCAGTTATGAACAGTCACAATCTAAACTCTAACTTTTTGCCATTAAAAATTACAAAGTACCTGTTAGAAATATTTTCTAAATATTTGAAAGGTACATTGTGAATATCTTCATATTTGGAATGAAGTGTGCCTTGGCAGTTTGAACACTTAGGCAGTCATTAAGCTCCATGTCTATAGCTGCTCCCTGGAAATACAGAAGACCCTCCTCCTTGGCAGGACCCATTGGCATGAGACCCCTTGCTAGGCTCTGTTTTCTCAAAATCCTTTCACATACAGCTGAGTATATCATGGTAAGAGGCTCAGGGGACAATAATATTCAATATGTTTCTTTATCACCAATGGATATATTTTTTAACTTGAAGGACTAGCTAGTCATGCCATGTAGCAGGATCAGAAATCTCTAATCTTTAGGATGATTTTTTTACTTTTTAGGAAAAAGGGCTATATGCAGACAGGCTGGCCCTGGTAGTACTTTACAAATAATTTTGTTTTATTACCAAGAAATATGTTTGTTTCTTGTGACACATTATAACATTATCTGAAAGGGGTAGGCAAGAGTTTATTTTTATCTGTATTTAAGTTTTAATTACAAAATTATTATAACATGCTTGATAAAATCTCAAACAATCTAGAAAGATACTATACTTGATAAAATCTCAATCTGGAAAGATACCAAGAAAAAATAAAGATTTCCTTTACCAGCATTTTCCCAATGCTAACATGTCTTCATCACTAAAATTACCATTCATTCATTCGAAAAAAATATATTGTACTTTTATTAATTGGTAATATCTGTTATAGGCACTATGCCTACAATTTTTGTGTTCTGGATCTTGCATTCTGGTTATTAACAATTTGGAGTGTATTTTTTCTATGTACCAATGCGCATATATATATATACATACACATACATAGATGTACACACATATACCATTGGTCTTTTAAAAAAAATGTAAATAGAATTAGGTGACAGATATCCATCTGTAGCCTGTTTTTCCACATAAGCCTTCCTTGTTAGTACATGCAGCTCTACCTTGTTATTTTTGATAACTGCATCATTTTCTGTGGTGTGAATATTATACTACTACTAGTATAGTAGTATTATTTATTCTCCAAAAGATGGAAATGTAGGTGATTTCCAATTTTTTATTATTACAGAGTGTTACAGTAAACATTCTAATATGTATCACTTTATATGCCAGTGCTATTACATTTTGAGATAGCTGATACAGCTATTTTTTTTTAAGAGAAAGTTTTCAGTGTAACTCAACATTTGAAGTGTACTTGCCCTTGGACCAAGCAATTCTTCAAATGTTGAGATACACTGAAAACTTTCTCTTAAATAAAGCAACAACAACAGCTGTACCAGCTTTCAGCTATAAAATGAATAAGCTCAGGGGATCGAATATGCAGCATAGTGACTAGAGTTAGCAGTACTACATTGTGTACTTGAAATTTGCTTAAATGTTCTGACCACAAAACAATTTTTTTCTTTTCCTGTTTGTGTTTTTTGTTTTGCTTTGTTTTTTGTTTTTTTTGTTTGTTTGTTTTTGATACAGGGTCTTATTTTGTTACCCAGGCTGGAGTGCAGTGGCATGACCTCGGTTCACTGTAACCTCTGCCTCCTGGGTTCAAGTGATTCTCCCACCTCAGCCTCCCACGTAGCTAGAGGCATGCACTACACCTGGCTAATTTTTGTATTTTTGGTACAGATGGGGTTTCACCCTGTTGGCCAGGCTGGTCTCAAACTCCTGACCTCAAGTGATCTGCCTGCCTCGGCCTCAAAAAGTCCTGGGATTACAGGTGTAAGCCACCACCCAGCCCAATCTTTCTTTTTATCACTTTGTCAGTATGGTAGTTAGAACATACCTTTATAGCATCCTTTGGTATTCTATAGAGCGCACCTCTCCTTGGCACTATCATTCAGGTAATCTTGTGAATTTAATTTTCAGGTTTTATTTAGAATATAATTTTTGGATTTTGGTCAAAATGTTCTCAAATGTTTAGATTAATTTGGCAAGAAGTACTATCTTTAAAGCATTAAGTCATCCATGAATATGGTATATCTACCTATTTAGGTCATGTTATGCAAGTACATAGATTGCAGTAGATAATAGTCATAGCGATAAGTGAATGAGAGCGCCATCTTGAAAAGATAAAGGTGGCTGGGTGTGGTGGCTCACGCCTGTAATCCCAGCACTTTGGGAGGCCAAGATGGGCAGATCACGAGGTCAGGAGATCGAGACCATCCTTGCTAACACAGTGAAACCCCGTCTCTACTAAAAATACAAAAAATTAGCCGGGTGTGGTGGCACACACCTGTAATCCCAGCTACTGGGGAAGCTGAGGCAGGAGAATCACTTGAACCTGGGAGGCAGAGGTTGCAGTGAGCTGAGATCACACCACTGCACTCCAGCCTGGGCTACAGAGCGAGAGTCCGTCTCAAAAAAAAAGAAAAAAAAAAGATAAGGGCATTTATTTGTTCAGCCTTCATATTCTGCTTAGTGAAATTGAGATAAGCTAACTTCTTCCTTTCTCTTGCCTCCCTGTTCTTGACCTGAAGTGTTCCCTAGTCTCATCCCTTTCCTTTTTCTAAAATTTTCATTTTTACCTTTTGTATTCACTTGTCCCCATCATGGATCCACATGGTTGATGGATCCAGCGGGTTATGGTGCCACAGCTAACATATTTATCTACAATGCATTGGATTCGTATCCTAGAATTTAGGTCATTTTCCAGCTTCCCACCCACTGCTACCATTTTGTTCTCATTCAACTGATACCTCATAAACGTATTTTAAGAAGAAAAAAAGGCGATCAAATATCTTTTTTGTATGTACACCAACGTTTTCTGTTTTCTTAGCATATGAGGAAACATAGTAATTTTATGTCTACTTTAAATATCTTGCCTAATCCTGGGTGCTCCTATATTTGGAAGAATAAAATTTAAAAACAAATGAAATATTTGTTTTAAGAATATAAAGCTACTTAATCAGATAGTTGAGCAATGGAGTCAACTTAAGATTATTTCAGAAAACGATTGCCTCAAGACTCAATAATAACAACAGCAAAACAACCATTAAAGATCACCCAATAGACTAGGATTGTTCTTATCAATAAAAGCAATAATACAGTAGAAGAGCCTTGAGCTGTCTTAACAGAAACATCAAACACATGAAAGAAGATACGTACATGACTCTGGCAGAGAAGGTAAAACAAATAGAGGAAAATGAGGGAAATCAAAATGAAGCTACTCTTGTCTTAGATTCATGAGAGCACAAGTAAAAACATTAGCTTTATACTTGGGTGTTCTCTCTCTCTTTCTCTTAATATGTTCAGTTTCTCATGGAATTTCTTTTACCTGTGATCTTTTTTAAAAATTTTAATTTAATTTAATTTTAAGTTCTGGGATACATGCGCAGATGTGCAGGTTTGTTACAAACCTGCCATCTTTTAAAATCGCCTCACCTTTCCCAACTAGAGTGTTCTCCCAACTTGACGTTCTCATCTTCTAAGCACTCATACCTCTGTTTAATACATGGCTGCAGTCTTGTACACATGTATTTATGATTATTACCTTCTGCTTTTGATTCAACTGGTTCATGATCCCCAAGTGTCCAGTTCAAGTCCCCAAGAAGGTAATCTGATTTTGTGGTTTGTGTCCTAGATTGCTGGCTGGCTTATCAATTTTCTGCTCTCAGGTCTCGTGCCCTGCGGCCCTGTGGAGACAGAATTTGAGGTACAAAACCTGGGAACCTCAGCAGCAGAGGCTCCGGGTGGGGATTGCTCCCTTTGAAGATGCAGTAGTTCAAGCAGGGATCTGAGCCTTGGTCTGTCCAGTTCAGTCAACTGCTATCTCAGTGACTATATATTGCCTAATTTGAAATATATAGTCTTCACTGACTTTCATTCAAAAGAACGCATCAAATATATATATTCATAGCATAGTATAGCTATGTAAATTTAAAGCATAGTATTTAAGAAAACGAGCTTTGGAGTCACAACCTAGGTTTGTCTCTTTGTGAATTTGGTGAAAGAATTTTAATTTAACACTTCTCATAGAAGTGTTAAAAGATAATGAAATAACGTTGGTCTAAGAATTAACACAGTGCATGTCACATAGTAAAAACTCAATGTATGATCGTTATCTCTACCCAACAGGAACAAAAATAGGAGATTTCTCTCTCAAATTATACTATGCCAATGTTGTTGGTCAGTAGTGTCCTCACTACTAAAATGAGTTATCCAGATTTTTTTCTTAATTAAATAATTTAAATATATCATTATGATTTCAAATCTTTTGCTATGTTGTAGAGTTGTCAAATTTACTAATTGGAGAAAGCCTATACAATTCTTCTGATCTTTTGGCATCAGGTGCTATATTAAATAACATGTGTAAAGCCTTTTAAGGTTTTGCATACCTTTAGGGTATGCAAAATACCCAAATGACTATATAGTTTTTTCTTCTCTTGGTGACAAGTGCCTTCCACGGTCTTTTCTTTCTCAGGCACTTAGAACATTGCATATGAACAGGAAACGCTGTTTTCTACCTAAATTTTTCCAAGTGTTGCATGTTGGGGAACTAAAATTATCTTCCCTGGGACATCATTTAGACATTCCTAATCTGAAACAAATTTCCTTTCAAATTCTGATAAGAAATATGGCATATGAATTCCCCTCCTGTCTTCTGAATCCAGCATTTAGGTTCTAAGTAGAAAATAAACAGCCACATTCTAGAAAGCACAAGGAAAGACCAAAAATAAGATAGTGGGGGAGGCAGAGTTGAAAATATAGCATTTAAAGAGATAATCTGCATACAGTGTTCTCGACAGCCAAATTCTGGGCCTACTGGGGCATGCCTGTGCTGTCAGAGCAGACAATAGACTGGGGTATGGAAGAGGAGGAGAAGGGAGCAGCACATTCATTTGGCAGGGTCTTGGAAAGGAGTGAACTTATAACTGTTGGCTAAAAATGTTGTTTTGTCTCATTTGCTAATGTCACCAAGAAGGATCATGTTTAAAAAAAAAATATATATATATATATATATATATATATAGTTGTTGTTGTTAAACTAGCTCAGTATATATATATATATGTCTCCTTTCTTGAGTCTAACTAGTTAGGTAGCTGACCTAAGTTTGAAGAAAGTTTAGGAGTCTGACCCCTTGAGACATCCTAAGCTAGTCTAACAAAAGTGAAGGGTCACTGACATTAACCCAAATTCGCACCAACTCAACATTATGAGGCACTGACACTTTTAAGCAGGGATTTTGGACATACTCCTTTGAGCAAAGCCAAATTTTCTTTCATTCTCTTGTTTTGGTTTTTCAGTTAAGAGATAATACAGAGTGCTGCTTTATGGACAAATCTCAGTGTGCTAGTTGTAACTCTAGTTGCTTTCTCTTCCAATGACTTGAGGCTAGCATTGCATGAAAAATTGCTAACAGGCTGGCCTTGCTACTCAAAGTATGGTTCATGGACCAGCAATTCCAGCATCACTTAGGAGCTTGTTAAAAATTTACAATCTCGGCACAATCCCAGATGAACTCAAATGGAATCTACATGTTAACAAGGTTCCTAGGTGAGTGCCTGTTAAAAGTTTGAGAGGAGTGGTCTAGAAGGGCATGATTCTGCACGGTGTGAAAGTGAACTTTTATTCTTAACTCCATCACTAATTTGCATTTTGAAAAGATCACTTACTGTTTTTCCGGAATCTTTATTTTTCTCATCCATAAAATAAAAATAGTTTTCATCTTCCTTGACAAAACACTTGTGAGGTGAGATAAGACAGACTTTAAAGTGCCTTCTGTGGCAGAATCAAAGTCCTGCTGTTTTATGTAGGAAGACTAAAATATGCTCCAGAAAGGAAGGATAAAAATTGCATTGGAAACACTTGACTGTCAGACAAAATTCATTTATTTTGCTTCAGAAGATAAGGGGGGGCGGAAATAATTAATTTGGCTCCCGTCTCCAATGGGAGAGAGACAAGCGGTCTTCTCTGCCAATCTTTTTTCCTCGCTCTTTATGATCTTGTAAGATAAGAGAAATAATGTAGTGTTTTCTACTATGAAATTCTAATTTAGAAAAATATATAAAAAGCAAAAGGGAAATTTTTAAAATACTGCTTTACTGAAAAGCCTCTTGGAGGTACAAGGGTAGCCAGAAAGGTTTGACAAGCCTGCTGTAGTCTTAGTATAGCAATTGAGAAGGATTCTCACATTTGCTTTGGGGTCAGGTACAAGCTGTGTTTTCTTTTGCACTTGTACCTTTTGGGTCTGTTTTTGTCCTGTGATCCTACTTATCACCTGCTTCCACTGGATGTTCATTTTATGGCCCTGTGAAGACCTAAGCATCAGCCATTAGCAACAATAAAAACAATGTAATGTCCCTGACTGGGTCGTGGACCTGGGGCACAGTGCATCCCCTGAGTATTTAGTGATATGTTGTAGACCTCTTAGATTATGACACACAAAACAGCCAATAAGGGTATTTTCTTGATTCCTAACACCAGAATTTATTATTTTACTGTTTTATGCTTGTGGATGATTCTGGAATCAGGTTATTAGAGGTCAGACACACAGTCTTTCAGTTCCAGGCTTTCTCTGAGGAGAGAGGGATGGCTGAGAGGCAGGAAGCTGAGTGATAATTTGCCTTTCATTATTTCCTCATTTTCTGAACAGCTTTAATCCTATGTGAACATACATACTTCTTGCCATTATCTCATTTTTGGATTAATTTAAATTGAAGATATTGGTTTTTTTGAGCATAATATATGAAATTTTAGGTGAATTCTGTTTTCATGTCTGGTTACCCCAACAGGTTCACTTTATCTGTTTGTTAATTTTAAAGTTTAGTTATTTATTGGAAGATCAAGTTGTATTTACATATACACAGTTGCCCAACCCAAAGTTTAAGTTAGAAAAAGAAATGGAAGAGGGGGAGGAAGATACCCTTCGATATTTTTAACATAAAGGTCATATATCTTCATGTAAATACATTAAATAATAAAGCTATCAAAAAGAAAGTTCCATTTATTTTTCATGTAGGGAATATATTATATGCCATGTTATCCTAAGATTCTAAAGTTATTTTTATCTTTACTGATTTAATATCTATTGAATCAGATATGTAATTTTAATATAATTTTTTTTATTATTATACTTTAAGTTCTAGGATACTTGTGCACAACGTGCAGGTTTGTTACATAGGTATACATGTGCCATGGTGGTTTGCTACAGCCATCAACTCATCATTTACATTAGGTATTTCTCCTAACGCTATCCCTCCCCCAGCCCCCCACCCACCAACAGGCCCCAGTCTGTGATGTTCCCCTCCCTGTGTCCATGTGTCCTCATTGTTCAACTCCCACTTATGAGTGAGAACCTGTAGTGTTTGATTTTCTGTCCTTGTGATATTTTGCTGAGAATGATGGTTTCCAGCTTCATCCATGTCCCTATAAAGGACATGAACTCATCCTTTTTTATGGCTGCGTAGTATCCCATGGTGTATATGTGACACATTGTCTTTATCTAGTCTATTATTGATGGACATTTGGGTTGGTTACAAGTCTTTGCTATTGTGAATAGTGCCACAATAAACATATGTGTGCATGTGTCTTTATAGTAGCATGATTTATAATCCTTTGGATATATACCCAGTAATGGGATTGCTGGCTCAAATGGTATTTCTAGTTCTAGATCCTTGAGGAATCACCACACTGTCTTCCACAATGGTTGAACTAATTTACACTCCCACCAACAGTGTAAAAGTGTTCCTATTTCTCCACATCCTCTCCAGCATCTGTTATTTCCTGACTTTTTAATGATCACCATTCTAACTGGCGTGAGATGGTATCTCATTGTGGTTTTGATTTGCATTTCTCTGATGACCAGTGATGATCAGCATTTTTTCATATGTCTGTTGGCTGCATAAATGTCTTCCTTTGAGAAGTGTCTGTTCATGTCCTTTGCCCACTTTCTGATGGGGTTGTTTGTTTTTTTCTTATAAATTTGTTTATGTTCTGTGTAGATTCTGGATATTAGCCCTTTGTCAGATGGATAGATTGCAAAGATTTTCTCCCATTCTGTAGGTTGCCTGTTCACTTTGATGATAGTTTCTTTTGCTGTGCAGAAGCTTCTTAGTTTAATTAGATCCCGTTTGTCAATTTTGGCTTTTGTTGCCATTGCTTTTGGTGTTTTAGTCATGAAGTCTTTGCCCATGCCTATGTCCTGAACGGTATTGCCTAGGTTTTCTTCTAGGGTTTTTATGGTTTTAGGTCTTACGTTTAAGTCTTTAATCCATCTTGAGTTAATTTTTGTATAAGGTGTAAGGAAGGGATCCAGTTTCAGCTTTGTGCATATGGCTAGCCAGTTTTCCCAGCAACATTTATTAAATAGGGAATCCTTTCCCCATTGCTTGTTTTTGTCAGGTTTGTCAGATCAGATGGTTGTAGATGTGTGGTGTTATTTCTGAGGCTTCTGTTCTGTTCCATTGGTCTATATCTCTGTTTTAGTACCAGTGTCATGCTGTTTTGGTTACTGTGGCCTTGTGGTATAGTTTGAAGTCAGGTAGCATGATGCCTCCAGCTTTGTTCTTTTTGCTCAGGATTGTCTTGGTTTCATATGAAATTTAAAGTAGTTTTTTCCAATTCTGTGAAGAGTCAGTGGGAGCTTGATGGGGATAGCATTGAATTACCTTGGGCACTATGGCCATTTTCATGATATTGATTCTTCCTATCCATGAGCATGGAATGTTCTTCTATTTGTTTGTGACCTCTTTTATTTCATTGAGCAGTGGTTTGTAGTTCTCCTTGAGGAGGTCCTTCATATCCCTTGTAAATTGGATTCCTAGGTATTTTATTCTCTTTATAGTAATTATGAATGGGAGTTCACTCATGATTTGGCTCTCTGTCTGTTATTGGTGTATTGGAATGCTTGTGATTTTTGCACATTGATTTTGTATCCTGAGACTTTGCTGAAGTTGCTTATCAGCTTAAGGAGATTTTGGGCTGAGATGATGGGGTTTTCTAAATATACAATCATGTGATCCACAAACAAAGACAATTTGACCTCCTCTTTTCCTAATTGAATACACTTTATTTCTTTCTCTTGTCTGATTGCTTTGGCCAGAACTTCCATTACTATGTTGAATGGGAGTGGTGAGAGAGGGCATCCTTGTCTTATGCCAGTTTTCAAAGGGAATGCTTCCAGTTTTTGCCCATTCAGTATGATATTGGCTGTGGGTTTGTCATAAATAGCTCTTATTATTTTGAGATACATTCCATCAATACCTAGTTTATTGAGAGTTTTTAGCACGAAAGGCTGTTGATTTTTGTTGAAGGCCTTTTCTGCATCTATTGACATAATCATGTGGTTTTTATCATTGGTTCTGTTTATGTGATAGATTATGTCTATTGATTTGGGTACGTTGAAGCAGTCTTGCATCCCAGGGATGAAGCCGACTTGATTGTGGTGGATAAGCTTTTTGATTTGCTGCTGGATTTGGTTTGCCAGTATTTTATTGAGGATTTTTACATCAATGTTCATCAGGGATATTGGCCTAAAATTCCCTTTTTTTGTTGTGTCTCTGCCAGGCTTTGGTATCAGGATGATGCTGGCCTCATAAAATGAGTTTGGGAGGATTCCCTGTTTTTCTATTGATTGGAATAGTTTCAGAAGGAATGGTACCAGCTCCTCTTTGTACCTCTGGTAGAATTCGGCTGCGAATCCATCTGGTCCTGGATTTTTTTTGGTTGGTAGGCTATTAATTATTGCCTCAATTTCAGAAGCTATTTTTAGTCTATTCAGAGATTCAACTTCTTCCTGGTTTAGTTTTGGGAGGGTGTATGTGTCCATGAATTTCTCAGTTTCTTCTAGATTTTCTAGTTTATTTGTGTAGAGGTGTTTATAGTATTCTCTGATGGTAGTTTGTATTTCTGTGGGATTGGTGGTGATATCCCCTTTATCATTTTTTATTGTGTCTATTTGATTCTTCTTTCTTCTTTATTAGTATTGCTACCATTCTATCTATTTTGTTGATCTTTTCAAAAAAAAAAAAGCTCCTGGATTCACTGATTTTTTTAAAGGGTTTTTTGTGTCTCTACCTCCTTCAGTTCTGCTCTGATCTTAGTTATTTCTTGCCTTCTGCTAGCTTTTGAATTTGTTTGCTCTTACTTCTCTGGTTCTTTTAATTGTGATGTTAGGGTGTCAATTTTAGATCTTCCCTGCTTTCTCTTGTGGGCATTTAGTGCTGTAAATTTCCCTCTAAACACTGCTTTAAATGTGTCCCAGAGCTTCTGGTACGTTGTGTCTTTGTTCTAATTGGTTTCAAAGAACATCTTTATTTCTGCCTTCATTTTGTTATTTACCCAGTAGTCATTCAGGAGCAGGTTGTTCAGTTTCCATGTAGTTGTGCAGTTTGGAGTGAGTTTCTTAATCCTGAATTCTAATTTGATTGCACTGTGGTCTGAGAGACAGTTTGTTGTGATTTCTTTTCTTTTACATTTGCTGAGGAGTGTTTTACTTCCAATTATTTGGTCAACTTTAGAATAAGTGTGATGTGGTGCTGAGAAAAATCTATATTCTGTTGATTTTGGGTGGAGAGTTCTGTAGATGTCTGTTAGGTCTGCTTGGTTCAGAACTGAGTTCAAGTCCTGGATATCCTTGTTAATTTTCTGTCTTGT
The DNA here is from genome assembly GCF_000001405.40 of Homo sapiens. Lineage (NCBI taxonomy): Eukaryota > Metazoa > Chordata > Mammalia > Primates > Hominidae > Homo > Homo sapiens. The sequence goes on along the minus strand of NC_000006.12, from coordinate 154,174,761 downwards.
TGATTTGTCTAATATTGACAGTGGGGTGTTAAAGTCTCCCATTATTATTGTGTGAGAGTCTAAGTCTCTTTGTAGGTCTCTAAGGACTTGCTTTATGAATCTGGGTGCTCCTGTATTGGGTGCATATATATTTAGGATAGTTAGCTCTTCTTGTTGAATTGAGCTCTTTACCATTATGTAATGCCCTTCTTTGTCTCTTTTGATCTTTGTTGGTTTAAAGTCTGTTTTATCAGAGACCAGGATTGCAACCCCTGCTTTTTTTTTGCTTTCCATTTGCTTGATAGATCTTCCTCCTTCCCTTTATTTTGAGCCTGTGTGTGTCTCTGCACGTGAGATGGGTCTCCTGAATATAGCACACTGATGGGTCTTGACTCTATCCAATTTGCCAGTCCGTGTCTTTTAATTGGGACATTTAGCCCATTTACATTTAAGGTTAATATTGTTATGTGTGAATTTGATCCTGTCATTATGATGCTAGCTAGTTTTTTCACCCATTAATTGATGCAGTTTCTTCCTAGCATTGATGGTCTTTACAATTTGGCATGTTTTTGCAGTGGCTGGTACCAGTTGTGTCTTTCCATGTTTAGTACTTCCTTCAGGAGCTCTTGTAAGGCAGGCCTGGTGGTGACAAAATCTCTCAGCATTTGCTTGTCTGTAAAGGACTTTATTTCTCCTTCACTTATGAAGCTTAGTTTGGCTGGATATGAAATTCTGGGTTGGAAATTCTTTCCTTTAAGAATGTTGAATATTGGCCCCCACTCTCTTCTGGCTTGTAGGGTTTCTGTCGAGAGATCCACTGTTAGTCTGATGGGCTTCCCTTTGTAGGTAACCCAACCTTTCTCTCTGACTGCCCTTAACATTTTTTCCTTCATTTCAACCTTGATGAATCTCACAGTTATGTGTCTTGGGGTTGCTCTTCTCAAGGAGTATCTTTGTGGCGTTCTCTGTATTTCCTGAATTTGAATGTTGACCTGCCTTGCTAGGTTGGGGAAGTTCTCCTGGATAATATCCTGAAGAGTGTTTTCCAATTTGGTCCCATTCTCCCCGTCACTTTCAGTTACACCAATCAAATGTAGATTTGGTCTTTTCACATAATCCCATATTTCTTGGAGGCTTTGTTCGTTTCTTTTCATTCTTTTTTCTATAATCTTGTCTTCTCACTTTATTTCATTAATTTGATCTTCAATCACTGATCCCCTTTCTTCCACTTGATTGAATCGGCTGTTGAAGCTTGTGTATGCTTCACGAAGTTCTTGTACTGTGGTTTTCAGCACCAAAAGATCATTTAAACTCTTCTCTACACTGGCTATTCTAGTTAGTCATTCATCTAATCTTTTTTTCAAGGTTTTTAGCATCCTTGCAATGGGTTAGAACATGCTTCTTTAGCTCAGAGAAGTTTGTTATTACCCACCTTCTGAAGCCTACTTCTGTCAACTCATCAAATTCATTCTCCATCCAGTTTTGTTCCCTTGCTGGTGAGGAGTTGTGTTCCTTTGGAGGAGAAGAGGTGTTCTGGTTTTTGGAATTTTCAGCCTTTCCACTCTGGTTTCTCCCCATTTTTGAGGTTTTATCTACCTTTGGTCTTAGGTGTTGGTGACCTACGGATGGGGTTTTGATGTGGACTTCCTTTTTGTTGATGTTGATGCTATTTCTTTCTGTTTGTTAGTTTTCCTTGTAACAGACAGGACCCTCAGCTGCACGTCTGTTGGAGTTTGCTGCAGGTGCACTCCAGACCCTGTTTGCCTGGGTATCACCAGCGGAGGCTGCAGAACAGCAAGTATTGCTGCCTGATCCTTCCTCTGGAAGCTTTGCCCCAGAGGGGCACCCACTGATATGAGGTGTCTGTCAGCCCCTACTGGGAGGTGAGGCTCCAGTCAGGCTACATGAGGGTCAGGGACCCACTTGAGGAAGTGGTCTGTCCGTTATCAGAGATCGAATGCCGTGCTGGGAGAACCACTGCTCTCTTCAGAGCTGTCAGGCAAGGACACTTAAATCTGCAGAAGTTGTCTGCTGCCTTTTGTTCAGATATGCCCTGCCCCCAGAGGTGGAATCTAGAGAGGCAGCAGGCCTTGCTGAGCTGCAGTGGGCTCCGCCCAGTTCGAGCTTCCCTGCTGCTTTGTTTACACTGTGAGCATAGAACCACCTACTCAAGCCTCAGCAATGGTGGATGCCCCTCCCCTTGCCAAGCTCCAGCATCCCAGGACAATCTCAGACTGCTGTGCTAGCAGCAAGCAAGGCTCCATGGGTGTGGGACCCACCGAGCCAGGCATGGGAGGGAATCTCCTGGTCTGCTGGTTGCGAAGACTGTGGGAAAAGCACAGTATTTGGGTAGAAGTGTATCATTCCTCCAGGTACGGTTACTCATGGCTTCCCTTGGCTAGGAAAGGGAAATCCCCCGACCCCTTGTGTTTCCCAGGTGAGGTGACACCCAGCCCTGCTTCAGCTCACCCTCCATGGGCTGCACCCACTGTCCAACCAGTCCCAATGAGATGAACCAGGTACTTCAGTTGGGAATGCAGAAATCACCTGTCTTCTGCATTGATTTCACTGGGAGTTGTAGACTGGAGCTGTTCCTATTTGGCTATCTTGGAAGCAATGATAATAATTTTTACTGTGACATAATTACAAACAAAATGTTTTAGTCAAAAATATTTTTTTCTTTTAGTGGCTCAATTGGTAAGTTGTTTTCTATCACAATCTTTAGTAGCACAATGTAGCTACTTGGTGAACACAGAGAAATGTAAAGAAACCATTCTATTTATCTTTGTCATACTCTTGTTTGGTTTGCTTGTTGATGTTTGTTAAACATATATTCCTTAATTCAAAAATACTGTGGTATTGAAAGCTATGTGTTTATGCCTTAATCTAAGTAGAATTCTACCTTGTTAGCTGTATTTTTTTAAAAAGTAAAAGGACATGTAAAATTACTGTGTCTTAAAACTGAAAACTCTAAGTCTTCAATCCTAATGCCCCCCTTCAGGAGTCAGATTTCTTTCCACTTAACTTCTTTAAGACTTTCCAGTGTCTCCAGCTTGACCCCATGACTGTGGCCATGCTTAGTATTTCTGCTATGTAGCATCAGCTCTCATGACAATCTCATAAATGACTACTTTTTATAGTTTTATTGAGATATATTTCACATACCATAACATTCACACATGAAAGTGTACAGTTCATTGGTTTTTAGTATATTTGGAATTGTGCAGCTGTCATCACAATCTAATTTTGGAACATTTCAGCATCACAAAAAGAAATCCTTACACATTAGCTGCCATTCTCCACTCCTGCTTGTCCCCTCCCAGACCCCAGGCAATTATTATTCTGGTTTCTGTCTCTGTGGGTTCATCTAATCTGGACATTTCATATAAATGGAATCACGCAATATGTGGTTGTTTGTGACTGGCTTCTTTTACTTAGCAAAATGTTTTCAAGGTTCACCCATGTTGAAGTATTGTGGACAACTGAGTATTTATTTTAATTATTGAATACTATTCTGTCACATGCAAATGCCACATTTTGTTTATCCTTTCATCAGCTGATGAACATTTAGGATCTTCCCAAGTTGAGTCTGTTATGAATAATGCTGCCGTGAACATTCATGTACAATTTTTGTGTGAATATATGTTTTCAATTCTCTTGGGTATTTATGTAGGAGTGTAATTGCTGGGGCACATGCTAAACTCCATGAGAAATGGACAAACTATTTTCTAAAGTGGCAACTCAATTAGCTGAGCATGGTGGCATGCACCTGTAGTCCCAGCTACTTGAGAGGCTGAGGCAGGAGAATCTAGTGAGTCCAGGAGTTCAAGGCTGCAATGAGCTATGATCATGCCACTGCACTCCAGCCCAGGTGATAGACCAAGACCCTGTCTTTAAAAAATAAACAATAAAATAAAAGTAGCAGCTCTGTTTTACATTCCCACTAACAATGTATGAGGGTTCCAATTTATCCACATCCTCATCCACACTTACTACTGTCTGTCTTTTTAATTGTAGCCACCCTGGGTGTGAAGGGACATCTCATGATGGTTTTGGCTTGCATTTCCCTCATGACTGATGATACTGAGCATCTTTTCATGTGCTTATTGACAAAAGCCCACTTTTGATGTCTGCACACGGTGTGAGCCAAAAGTCTAATTGTCTTCAGATGTAGTTTTGAGTATTTTCTTCCCTTTTGTGAGACGGTTTGGTAGAGAAAAAGGAGGTTGTGCTGATGAACATTTTAAGTCAGCTATGAAGTGAGTGCATCATCTTTGCTTTCTGTTTTATGAAAGAGTATTGGTGACTTTCTGGGATGGATAGGGGAAACTAATTCTTGCATAAAGGTTTCTAATCGTAGAGGAGTAAACTCTAAGGCATGTGAAGTTTGCTTGGTTTTGATGCTCCTAGGTCACCATTATATGCTTTTCTCCACCCTATGGAGAGGCTGTTTTTCTAGTTCCTCTAATGCCATACTTTCTATAGAGTCCTCTTTCAAGCTGGTTCTTTGGACAGGAAGTGAAACATATAAACATTAAGGAGTATGTGGTGGAAAAAGAAATCTCATTGTATTTCTTTCCCAAGCTTTCTTCCAAGGAATAAAGGAAAAATAGACTAACGTTCTTAGTGAGAAATTAAAGCAACATCAAAGGATGAAGATTTTCTTTGAGTAACCTCTGTATCATTTGAGGCCCTTCCAGGTGCATATGATTGGAAACCAAAGCCAGGGTAGCTTAACATGGGTAACATATTAGCTCCCACAGGCTGAGAGGGCTCCAACGGTATCATCAAGATCTGTGTCTCAGAATGGGTTGGCTTCCATATCATTATTCTTGGGATACTTCCTGGAAACTTCCAGCTCACACTATCACAACATTCAGCTTAAGAAAAAAGAGAGATTACTTATCTGATACTCCAAAGTCTTGGAACTGAGTCTCCTTGGCCCCAAATGGCCTGACCAGAGGCACATGTTTATCTCTGAATCAGTGACTGTGGCCAGAATGGTGGAACTGCCATTGGCCTCGTCTAGTCCACATGGTCCCCAGTAGATCCTGTGGTGGAGTGGCTTCACTGCAATCATGTGGGCCGAGGCTGGCAAAGTGTGGTTAGGAAGGGAGATGGAGTCTGTGTGGCAAGATGAGGAATGATCACTTTCTACTCAAAACCACAGACCACAGACAGGTTTCTTCTCTCCAAGGGTAGTTCTGGGAAGGACATTAAGCAATCATCTAGGGCAGTAGTTCTCAAACTTTAGCATGTGTATAATTTGCTAGGGCTTATTTGTCCCACACTGTGTTTTAGAAGCAGATATTTGTCGACTTGCATGGGTTTAAAGATGGAGATGAATTTTGTCTCAGGATGAATCACTCCCCCACTGAGTTTCAGCAATACCTGGTTTAGATGATATTTTGTGTGTGTGTGTGTGACAGAGTCTCACTCTGTAGCCCAGGCTGGAGTGCAGTGGTGTGATCTCAGCTCACTGCAACCTCCACCTCCCAGGCTCAAGTGATTCTCGTGTCTCAGTCTCCTGAGTAGCTGGGATGACAGGCACGCACCACCACACCCAGCTAATTTTTTGTATTTTAGTAGACAACGGGTTTTACCATGTTGTCAAGTGTGGTCTCAAACTCCTGAGCTCAGGCGATCCTCCTGCCTTGGCCTCCCAAAGTGTTGGGATTACAGGCGTGAGCCACCACACCCAGCCTGGATGATATTTGGGTGAGCTTTTGGTCTTAGAGTTGATGGTGGAATGGGTTAAGACTTTTGGAGTTGTTGGGATGAGGTGAATATATTGCACGTGAGAAACACATGAATTTAGGAGGCCGGAGGGTGGACTATGTATGGGTTGAATTGTGTCCCTCTAAAATTCATATGTTGGGCTGGGCGTGGTGGCTCACACCTGTAATCCCAGCACTTTGGGAGGCCAAGGTGGGCGGATCACCCAAAGTCAGGAGTTCAAGACCAGCCTGGGCAACATGGTGAAACCCTGTCTGTACTAAAAATATAAAAATGAGCCGGGCATGGTGGCAGGTGCCTGTAATCCCAGCTACTTGGGAGGCTGAGACAGGAGAATCACTTGAACCTGGGAGGTGTAGGTTTCAGTGAGCCAAGATTGTGCCATTTCACTTTAGCCTGGGCAACAGCAGTAAAACTCCGTCTCAAAAAAAATAATAATAAAATTAATTAATTAATTAATAAAATTCGTATGTTGACGTCCTAACCCCTAATACCTCAGAATGTGACCTTATTGGGAAATGGGGTTGTTGCAGATTTAACTAGTTAAGATGAGTTAATAGGGCAGGTTTCTAATCCAACATGACTGATACCCTCATAAATAGGGGGAGTTTGGACACAGAGACATGCATGCAGGGAACACCCCATGTGAATATTGGAGTTATACTGCCACAAACCAAAAAACCACTTGAAGCCAGGAGAGAGGCTTGGAATAACTCCTTCCCTGGTGCCTTCACAGGGAACGTGGCTCTGCAGTAACAAAGTATCGCAAACTGGGTGGCTTAGACAGCAAACATTTATTGTCTTTCAGTTCCGGAGAGAAGTCTGAGATGAGGGTGCCAGTGGGGCCGTGCCTTGGGACCACAGTATTGAATGTTCTCTCCTTGATTTTTCACTGGGTTTATTGTTACTGCTTTCTTTTTTTTTTTCAAATAGAAGAGACAAAAGTGTCTGAAGATGATGAAATGGAGAAGCTGTACAAATCATTAGAGCAAGCTAGTCTATCTCCTCTTGGGGACCGACGACCTTCGACTAAAAAGGAGTTGAGAAAATCCTTTGTTAAGCGGTGTAAAAATCCATCTATAAACGAGAAACTCCACAAAATCCGAACATTGAATAGCACATTAAAGGTAACAAAATTTCAAATTGTGGATGAACTCTATGGATGTGGGGCAAGGAACGGCTGGTTCTGCAGAGAGATTCTTGCTAATCACAGCATGTTTGTGTGGTTGCAGGGAAGGGCTGTAAAAGTAAATATAACCTTTATAGGGCAAGATGATCTTGACGTTCTTAAAGCACTAGGACATTCACACAGTAGCGCCCAAGGCAGTTTTTCACAATAGGCCTTGATGTTTGCATTCACTCTGATATAAAATTTCAAATTTTAAGCTTCTGGACAGCAAGGACCATGCATAATTTGTTTTTTAACCCTTATACCTAGCACAGTACCTGGTTCAATAAATGTTGATGAGAGACAGAGATCATCAACTGGTGAGAATAAACAGTCGTATAAATAAGATCTCGAATTTTCATCTGATTCATACAAGGGTACCAGTCTTCAGGACTGCATCCAGAAGGAAATGTCTTGATTTCAGCTGCAGCAAAGATGTAGTGATTGTCAGCTGTGGGCACTGCAGCCAAGGAGCACCATGAGAGCCCGACAGTGGGAAGTACACACTCTGTGGTAATAGACCAGCAGATGTTTTCACAATGGGAATAAGGGAAAGTGTACAGGAAGTACTGAAGCTATTTTCAGGCCCTCCCTGAGCTGAAATGGTTCTTCATAACAAAAGTGTCCTGCTTTCACATTTAGATTATAACATGAACAGGTGGAGGCCAGGATACTTTGTAAAATGCTCCTGATTTAGCAGACGATTTATCTGAAAAGCTTTGATAGATTCTGTAAGTGAATTTTGTTTTGTCTGTGGCCTTTGGCATTAAGAACTTAAGTCATTTTCCAGGAAGAAATGTCAGCAATTGAAAGGACAAGGCTACAAAGGCAGGCTGAGTGGCTCTTAGGCGTCCCAGTTAGTCAGTAGAACATCTGAACACCCTAAAAGGCTACAAAAATGAGGCCAGAATGGAAAAAGAAAGTAAATTTTAATTATACAAAGATAATACAAATGCAGAGAAATTCACTCTTATTTAATATTAAAATTTTTATCGATAATAAAAGATATCACTGGCCGCCATTTCACAGTATGTACGAAGCTGATGAATATATTTGATTATTCAATGTAATATGTCATAGCGTGTTGGGATTTTACTGTCTTCTTTGTCTGTGATAGCTGATATGAGTGAGTAAAGTTTTCATTGAGCAAGTATTTCCTGACTCTTACTATGTACCAGCCACTATTCTAGGTGACTGGGACCATTGAATGGACTCTACCGGTGTAGAAACAGAGGAAAACAAATACATGATTAAAATGAAGTGCAAAAATACTCTGGTTGAGATGTGCTCAGGGTGCTTTGGTGGTCCAAGGGGGACAGTGGATTACTGGAGGCATTAGGAACACTGTCACGAAATCCGTGAGTCAGGAAGAAATGAATACCAAGGGAAGGACATTCAAGGAAATGGAATGTCTGTCAACGGATAATAAGCTGTAGTTCCACGTTGGGAGAAGCAGGAAGTAGAGGCCGCGGAGAGCATGTGCAGTTTGAGTCATTAGTAGAAGGAGAAAGGCTGTGGCCTCAGGCCTTCCACAGAGCAGCAGACTCAGGATTCTAGATCTTTACGGCACCATGCCCTCACCTGGCCACTGGGGGGCCAACTTTGTGAAAAGAATTAGTGTTACCATTCCCTATGGGTCTCTGTGACCTCGTCATTGGTGAATTCAGCAGCTTTTGCTTTTCTGTCAGTGTATCGGTTATCCAGTGCTAGGTAACAAATTATCCCAAAGCTTAGCAACTCCAAACAATCAGCATTTATTATTTCAAAGTGTCTGTGGCCAGGAATCTGGGTGTGGCTTGCTCAAATGCCTCTGCCCCCAGGTCTCTCACAAGGCTGTGATCAAGCTGTCAGCTGGGGCTGCATTCATTCCTCCATGGAGAGGGATCAGTTTCTAAACTCCTGCATGTTAATTATTGGCAGGATTCAGGTCCTTTCAGGTTGCTGGACTGAGGGTCTCAGTTGCCCTCTGGCTGTTGGCCAGAGGCTCCCCTCAGTTCCTTGCCACATGGGCTTCTCCACAGGGCAGGTCACAACTTGGAAACTGGCTTCTTTCAGAGCAAGCAACACAGTGAGAGTGAGTGAGTGAGATGGGTTATAACCCAGTGGCAGCAATGACATCACATTACTTTTGCAGTATTCTATTCAGTAGAAGCAAGTCATTGGGTCATCTCATTTTCAGGGAGGAGATTACACAAGGCCTTGAATACCAGGAAGCAGAGAAGATTGGGGGCCCGCTCAGGGCTGCCTGCCCCACCCAGCTAGGGAACTGCTCTTTCTGGACATTTGTGAGAAGGAGCCCTTTCCATAGATCCCTCGTGCAGTGCTTGGGGCTGATGAAATAGAACAGGACCCATGTCATGCAGTCCTATTAATCTCAGGAGGTAGGAGGACATGCTGATGTGGAAATTGGTCTTGCTGAAGAAGCTGAACAAAAGCAAAGTGCATCAACCTATTCAAAGGAGAGAGAGAACTTGGTACATGTGTGCATGTTCATGTTGGAAGGGTATAATAATTATTTCTAATTGTTTTTAAAATTCAAAGCAGTCAAGAGAGTGGTTGTCTTTGAGGAAGAGGAGAGGATGGGACTGAGAGGGGATGTGAATGGAGCTTCTGAGTGCTGGGTGCGGGTCCTTCTGTGACCCTGGTAGTAGTGGTATGGAAGTGTTTATTTTGTGATAATTCTTTAAGCACAATTTTTCTATTTGTGCACTTTTCTCTGAGTATGATATATTGCACAGAGAATATATCATACACAGAGGAAATGTTTATGTTTTAAAAGCTCCAAAGTAGGAGTGTAGACAAGCAAAGACAACAGAGTTTCATGCAGAAACAAGGAAACTGTTTTAACAATAATGTTTATATTTGCCGCAGGTGCATTCCGTAAATAAGAAAAATCCCTGCACTGGGATAGTACTGGAATGAATGCACTTCAGGGAAATTCTTCTAGGAAGTTGAGCAAACTTCCAAGTTGAACTTGAGCAAAAGTTGATCGTATTATGTTGTACACTAAATACAGATATTTAGGAATTTCTAACAGCTCATCATTCACTGACTTTTGGCTAAGTCTGCTTTTATTTTAAAATAAGTTATTAATGGAATGATTAATGGGTCCAACTGAAACTCTCTCTGAGTTACTCTGACCTATGTCACAAGAGCGGTGAACCCTTTCTTCCCGTAGCTACTCTGGTGGAACACATTTCCAATGCTTAGGTCTTGAGTCGAGCCACACACTGACTATTTGGAGTAAAAACTGAAAGTACAGCATTCTCTCTTTCATGGTATTTTTGGAATCCCTGCCAAACCTTGCTTGCCTGCCAGAAAGCAGAGCGGATGTTGTGAAAGTAGTTCAAAGCCCTCCAAAAGCCTCATGCGCCATCCAGGAGAAGCTGGGCTGCTGGATGAGGCCCAGCCCCAGGATGCCTGGTGTAGGAAGGAGCTTGGAAGGTTCTGTTGTTTCATTAATTTCCTTCTTCTGTATTATTGTCTACATTTTTTTCTTTCATCCATAGAAGAACTAACACAGATTTGAGCCAAATGGTAAAAAATTTGAACTACTTAGAGCCAAAAGCCATATGAGAAGTGTCAGCTTAATGCCCAAAGTTGAAGAGACCCTGTTCTAAAAATTTTATTAGCTATAAAGAGGGGTTAATTCATGTATGCAAAGTCAGTTTCCCCAATTTTTATTAATTTTCAAAGATCTTATTTAATTTTTTAATATGAAAAATTAGGATCTTCCTTTGAAGTAGATGTCTAAATTTCTTTAGAACAAAATAAAACTCTTTAAATAACTTTACATTAATAGCAGTATGGTGATATCAGAGGAAGAAAGCTTTTGTTGTTGTTGTTGTTTTGGAAAAGTTGTTTTGGAAGCATAGATATTGAAAACTCAGAAAGAAGAAATATGCTCTTTTGGCCCTGCCTAACTTTCTATAAACAATCCCTCTGCTTTCCTACTGCACTGTTTTTTCTCCATTTTGGAAGGAAGGATTCCTATCTTTATCCATCTATATGTCTATCTTCTATCTATCTATCTATCTATTAATATCTATCTATCCAGCTATTGATCTATGAATCTATGTCTAGTTTTTTTGTTTAATGGAAAGGATTTCCTCAGACTCCAAATAGGGTTCAGAATGCAAAAGAGAATAAAAAGCAAATTGGTAATTCATTTATTCATTTATTTCTTATTTTATATATTCATTTTTTCAACAAGTATTCAACGAATGTCTACATGTGTAAACAGTCTACATGTGCAGTCATTCTTTCAGGCACTTGGGGCTATAGCACTGGGCATGTCAGATAAAAAGGCCTGCCTTCCGGAAGCTTATGTTTTAGTAGGAGAATAAACAAACATAATTGACTATTAAATGTATAATATGATAAGTGATGATAGATTTGATAAAGAATAGAAAAGGGGATAGAACATGTTGAGGAATTGATATTTAATTAGGAAGGACATGAAAGGCCTCTTTGAAAGACATAATTTGTGTAAAATCTGAAAAAGGAAAGGGAATGAGGCTTGAGGTTCTCTGAGGCCGAATATTTCAGGCAAAAGGAACAAAAACACAAACACCTTGGGGCGGGAGTGTGCCTAGGGCATTTAAGGAAGAGCAAGGAGGTCAAGGTAGCTGTAATGTAGTGGGGATGGAGCATGGGGAGTGCAGCAGTGGGCTGGAGGGGCAGCAGGGACTCGAGCCATTGAGGATCTCATTGCCATTGCAAACACCAGCTTCTGCTCGGAGTAAGACAGTGACCCTCTGGAAGGTTCTGAACAGAAGGATGGCATGCTTTGTGTCATGTCTGAAGGTAGAACCATCAGCCTTTGCTGGTGGATTGGGTGTGGTAGAAGGAGTCAAGAATGACTCCAGTGTTTGCTCTGAGCAACTGGAAAGACGGAGTTACCATTAAGTGCTTTGTGGAAGACTACGGTAGGAACCGGGTTTGGTGTGCATTGGAAGTTGGTGGGGTGGGGATGTAGAGAATAAGAGGAACTTATCTTTAGATATGTTATTTTTGAGATGCCTCTTAGGGGTTGATGTGGAACTGCTGAAGAGGAAGTTTAGACAAATGATGATGGAGTCCAGGGAAGAAGTAAGGAGAGATATAAACTTGGGACCCTCAGCACATAGGAGAGTGGGAGAGATTTCTTGTGATTACCAACAGCATGAACATAGATAGAGCAGAGAACAGGATACAAGCTGGGGCTTTAGAACACTCCAGTGAGAAGAGGTGGCGTGACAAGGAGGAATCAGCAACTAAGGTGGGAGTAAGTAGCAATTGTGGTACAAGAAAAATCAGGAGAATGTATCATAGGAGCACAACAATGAAACTGTTCAAGAAGGAGGAGTAGTCAATTGTTTTAGGTGCTGCTGATAAATAAGTTGAAGATGGATCATTGGTTTAACATTGATTTAATGGTTTATTGGATTTAACAACATGGAGGTCACTGATGGTCTTCACAAGAGCAGTTTTGGTGAATGGTGGGGGCCAAACCCTGATGGGACTGAATCTATGCAGAATGGGCCACTGGAGACAGGAAAAAGTAGAGCATTAGCTGGACAGGGATTTGGGGGCAGAGAGGAATTTTAACATGCAAGAAATAACAGCAAACATGTGTACCAGTGAGACTGCTGGAGGGGATCTGGAAAGTTGGTGAGTCAGAGGAGAGAACAGAATTGCTGGGATGAATTTCTTGAGTAGGAGAGCGGGGGCCATTGTGCCCAAGTGGAGGGATTGGCCTTTACTAGGAGCACAGATGCTCCATCTCTGTGAACAGGGCAGAAGGCAGCATAGATTTGCATCCATGTAGTTCGTGGGCAATAGGAACTTGGGAGAAGTGCTCTTCTGATGGCTTCCATTTCCTCAACAAAGAGATAGCAAGGCCATCAGCTGCGAGTGAGGATGAGAGAGGGGGTTTGAGATGAGAAGAGTTTTGAAATAGTCATTTGGGAGACTGCCAGAAAAAGGATGTGAAAATGTGATGACTGGAGAGTAGTGAAAATCCACTTACTGGCAGTGGTTGTGAAGTTTTAGTTTCACACATGCTGTCCTGGGGATAGTCAAAAAGAGTAGTTCAATCACATGCATGAATTGAATGTCTACATGGCACTTGGCATTGCGTTAGGTGCAGGGAATACAGGGATGAAGGAAATGTTTCTTGTCATCTTCTTTAAGCTTTAGAAGAGGGGCCATGACTTACCCGTAAATACCTAAATGTACCTCGGTAAGTTCTCAGAGGGCATCATTGGAAGGCATGAGAACATAAAAACTTAAAAGCTTATCAGTCCAATTTTGGGAGTGCAGGGAAGGTTTCCTGGACAATGTGATGCCTCAAGTATAGATTTACGGGTTTTGAAAAATTGGGTAGGCCAGGTGCAGTGGCTCACGCCTGTAATCCCAGCACTTTGGGAGGCTGAGGTGGGTGTATCACTTGAGGTTTAAGGAGTTTGAGACCAGCTTGGTCAACATGGCGAAACCCCATCTCTACTAAAAATAGAAAAATTAGCCAGGCATGGTGGTGCATGCCTGTAATCCCAGCTACTTGGGAGGTTGATGCAGGAGAATCGCTTGAACCTGGGAGGCAGAGCTTGCAGTGAGCTGAGATTGGGCCACTGCACTCCAGCCTGGGCAACAGAGTGACTCTGTCTCAAAAAAAAAAAAAAATGAAAAGAAAAGAAAAAAATTGGGTAAAGAAAGACTGGAAAGTGTTCTGTGTAAAAGAAACTCTAGAAATTAGAGTTTATGAGGTGAAGAAAGGCAAGGAAGATTCTTCATGTGGCACAACAACACGGAGGTGTGAGCTAGTGTTGTGTGGGTGAGAAAATGCATGCCAGTACATTAGACTGGGAAGTCAAAAGGAAGCAGAGTATCAACAAATGGTGCCAGTGCAGGTGAGGAGCCTTGGGTGTAAGGGGATCCATGAGGGGGACTCGGCATTTACATGCATCCCTGCTCTGCTAAGTGGAGGTGGAGTTGAAGTGGGCATTGGAGGCAGTGGTCTCGCTCAGGAGGCTGTGGCAGCAGATCAAACGTGATATATTGAACTGGATATCCAACCTTAGGATTATGGTCATGGGATGGAGAAAACAGGCATAGATTTGAGATACAATTGTCAGGGCTGAATATTTGTTTTTAATATGGAGGATGAACATCTTATTTATACTCCATTCCTTGTCTATAGAAAACTCTAACCTGAGCTAGACATTTCAGAAATGTGTGCCATTGGTTACAGAGGAGGCAGAATGGAATAGCACCAATAGGTTGTTTATTAGCATTATTGGAATACATACTGTTTTGATGGAAGGTTAGTAGCCTCTTCTTTGACTGAAAAGATAATCTGTGTATTTATTCTGTATTAAATAAATGTGATTTATTAAAAATAAAGATAATTTAATAAAATCTTAAAAGACATATTTTATGTTGCCATATGTCCTAGGTAAAGTGTTACGTTCCAATTTTACTTAGTGAAGTTTGGATTGTCAATAAAATGCTAATACCTACAATGGTAAGTTTTAGGAGGCATGATTCCCACACCAAGGTAGAATTGTTACTGTGGTGTGGAATAATGGATTGATCAGGGAAAGGCAACATAGAAGATCTTTGCTATATGTCTAGCTCTTCCACTAACTCTTGGGTAGGATACTTCACTTCTTTGCGGCTAGCGTATGCAAACAAATGTCGTATTTCTTAAGCTTAATGCTGGAATTAGAACATTAACGTGCAAAAATGCTTTGGTAATTTTATGTATATGTGTACTTGTAAAAGAGTTGGTAAAGATGGTTTATGTAAATTAAGACACTCTCAACATACCCCCTTCCCCTTTTTTTCTACTCACACAGTGTAAAGAACATGATCTGGCCATGATTAACCAGTTGCTGGATGACCCGAAGCTGACAGCCAGGAAATACAGAGAGTGGAAAGTCATGAACACCCTGCTGATCCAGGACATCTATCAGCAGCAGCGGGCTTCGCCTGCCCCTGATGACACTGATGACACCCCCCAGGAACTCAAGAAATCACCTTCTTCTCCCTCTGTTGAAAATTCCATTTGAGACAAAGTCAGGGTTTTCTCCTCTTATATTTTATCACAAGCAACTCTTCAAGATGTTGCAAAAGCTTACATTTTTCCTTAAAAGGAAAACTGAAACCCAGTCCTTCAAGCATCAGCTTCCCATCTAAAGATGCACGTTAGATGAAGATAATCACCGAATACACCAGGGCTCCTCATTTCAGTCGTAACGCATCCATTGAGATTGGAATGATTGAGTTCAGTTGAAAGGCGTTTTTTGTGTTCCTACTGGGAGCTCACGGTGATGTGGGGCTCTAGGGGGGATGTGAGAAATGTCTCTTCTGTTCATTGCTCTCCAGAGAATGCTATGGACAAGAATCAAATTTTACCAGGAGTAATTGCCCATGGAAACATTCTGTTTTTCAAAAGAAGAATGTACATATTCCACTTGACTGGGAAGCTGTGTGGCCCAAATCACTGTTTGAGTGGAGGAATGTTTTCTAGAGCAGTGACTGGAAGGACAAACGTGGTGTTGCAGAACAAAAATTCCTTGCCTTTGGTATGGAATGGTGGTGCCTTTTCCATGTGATGAGAAATGCTTCATAGACAGTGGCATGTGGGAGAGCTGAAGGAGGAGGCGTGTTCCATATTCCACTCATTCAAAGGACAGCTTGGTGTTTTCACACTTTATGCAGGTTAGGGGATCTGATTAATGTTTCCTTTCCTTACAACAGCTAGAGAAAACATCTCATCACAATTGGAGACCTCTACTTCCTTTGAGCTTTCCTACTCAATGGTAGGAGATAGGAATATGTTCCGCAAAGAATGTCTACTGCTCTTGTCCTTGGCTGTGATCCCTATACATAGTGTGAATTTATATCCAGGTTTCCCAGGATCAATATTGACAAGACGACTTTGGCATCTGAATTGTTTTAATATCTTTACTCAAAAAAACAAAAAAACAAAAACCCATGGAAGCAACAAAAGAGTTAAACATGAGGGATTTATTTTTGTATGTTTATATGTCACTTGTGTGCTATGTGAATAGCTATGTTTGTTATTTAAATATATTTATAGAAGTTCAAATTACTAGTGTTTAAAAGATGATATACTATTATATATTGTGCTTAGTATATATTTGATGAGTCTATACTTTTTGCTTGAGAAAAATAGAAATACTATTGATTCACTGGTGTTATGATGTTGCACTGTGTCTGAGGAATGCTCAGGAAATCTTGTGGGAAAAAAATGGGGCATGCATTCATAATTTTTCATTTTCTTCCCCACCCCAACCCCCATGAGCTCTTAAATTTAGATTTCTATCTCTTGTAAGTCACTCTTTTAACCAGCAAAGGACTTTCATCTTAGATTATCCTTTCTATTAAATAAACTTTAAGCTTTGTGCCATTTATGCCTGCAAACCTTAGACCAAAGGCAACACAACTAATGTCATCTTTTCATTAAAGACTAATAGAAATTTAGAAATCATTGTGTTAAAGAGAGCTATAGAGAAACAATATGAAAGTCTTCCCTTACTAATCACCATGAATATTTCTCACCATAGGAATAACCACAACCCACCAAGTACCCATGTTGGCCCTGCCTACCCGTAACAAATTGTTCACACAACCTATTTTGTTTTATAGCTTCAAAGTGTGGCTTGACATTCAAATGGAAGGAACCACCTGAATTATATCTGCAAACAAAATGGAAATAGTTGTTGAATAGTTCCCCAAGCTTTACTAAGAAGCCTTAATACTCTGTAAACAAACAAACAAACAAAAAACAACCTTAGCATTAAGAAATAAAAACAAAAAACAAGAAGCAAGTTGTACTGCTAGAAACTTCTCTAAGATAAGAGGCCAGGCCAGTCAGTTTGGCCCAGCAAACATGTGGGTACTTCTCCACCTAGGGAAGCCACTGAAGATGAGTTTGACCTGTGGTGACCTGACAGAGAGAACATTCAGATCCTCAGATTGCACCCTGATGCCCTGGTTTAGGAAAGCAGTGCTTTAACCTTTTGCCCCTGGAAATTACTGATTCTTTCTGTGATTAGCAGATACCAGAAGGGAAATTATTTAGGATTGGCAATGTAAAGAGTATTGAAGGAACAACAAATAACAATAGCAGAAATAACAGTGTGACATAAAGTGCCCTTCCACCTATTTTTCTTTGGTTTGCAACACCAGCCTGTAGACTTCCAGTTTTTCTTAAATTGAAGAGCTCCAGACACTTTTGAGCAGGGTTTGTGAATAGCTTTGAATGCTTTCCTTTGGCTTTTCGTGAAGACATATTTCCCCAGCCTTTCAACTGTAAACTCCTTTAGTACCATTGAAACTTAAGGCAAAAAAGATCCCTGGGATTACTTAGCCAAGGCTTAAATTTATTTTTCAAAGTCAAGAACATTAGCCTAGAAGTTTTTGCTTTGCTAGTTAAAGCTTACTTTGCAGAGCTTCCCAAAGTGAAAGGGAAACTGAACTTCACAATTTTGCACCTGGCTTTCTGGAGCCCCATTGCCTGCTCATTCGTGTTTTTCCCCCTGTAAATTATTTTGCTTTTGACCAGGTTGTGCTAGAAAGTAGGGCTGCTTCTGTGAGTTCTCAGCCTAGGCTGTGGCCACTAAGACGTGGGTGGGGGGATAGACAGGAGTGAGAGGGAGAGTGGGTGACACTTTCCGTGACACTTAATGTAGGAAGACATGGGCTTCTCTCTCTTGGCCTCAAGCCACTTTTCTGGTCCAAAGAATATTGGGAAAACTGGATTACTTTCAGTATATTTCTTGAGACCGGGTCATCTCTGAAATGCATTTGGGGTAGTTTCCTGGGGTCCAAGGGCCAATTCCTATACCCAGTCCTGCAGTGTCTGTGAGCTGTGGAATGAGAGAGAAAACCATGGCTGCTCAGGAAGGAAGTGGAGAATCTCTCAGCACACGTAGATCCAAATCTGTGGCACCTGCTAAAGATTAGGATTTGGAGAGGACTCCTCTTTGGGGTTGTGAAGAGGACCTTTTCCCTCTGTTGTTAGCCTGTAGATCCAGAACGGAGCCTGATGTGATGCCTTCACTGGTTGATATATTGCAAATAGACACTCTGAGCCCTGCATTGCAAGGGCGTCTTTTGCTTTAAAGAATTCTTAGTTTTGCCACAACAGCTCAAATCTCAGAATAGGATCAAAGGCCTAGAAAGACTCCTAAAGTATAGGATTACAAAGACTCCAGGAAGCGTAAGAAAGAGATTGTGTTTGGAGTCAGATTTCAATGTGAAACCCATGCCTTACATTTACACAGCACTTTGTAGTTTGCAAATTGGTGTGTTTTCAGCCCCCTCCCGCTGCCCCATGCTCTGAGATGATTGTGGATTATTACAGTGAAGTGCCTGGCCCGGAGCCCCCAGTGATGAAGCAGGAACTTGAGTCTCAGGACTCCCAGCGGCTCTCTGCCCATTTCCTCCTCTCCGCCCCCCACCTCGCTTCACCTGTTACCTTGTGAAGTTGCTGTTGGCACATAGCCCACTAGGAAACCAAGAAGTTTGACTGGGAGCGTGTGTTTCATTGCACTGGGCTTAGCATACGGCTGGCCCTGGTGGCTGTTTGGCTAAATTCTCCATTTGAAACCTAAAGGGCCCTCTCTGTGCTTGAGCACAGTCTCCTCCTAGTGGTCCTGCCTCAACCTGCTGGCGGGCTGTCTATGGATTGGGGTTTCACCTAATCATGCTGTGTTTCCTTTCTTTTCTTTCTGTACATTAGACTACTTGGGAGGTGCTGTGTGATCCTTGGATGAAAAACATATATTTAAAGAAATGGAGAGTGTTTATTTTGTTTGCTTTTTGAGGCATGTGCTGTCAAATGTTAGAGACCAAACTTAGTGATTAGAGGTTGGTCCTTTGACCTTCTTCTCTTAATTGCTTTTCATGTAATCATGATAATTTACTCAGGTAGCACTCCAGTCACAAACAATGTCACAGAGATGAAACAGATTCAAAGAAAAAATATTTTTAAGTCTTTTGAAAAGAAGTGCTATTCAAATTTAAGACATGTTTAAATTCATAGGTACATTATCTCTTAGTAAGAAATACTTTTTTTTTTCTTTTTTTAGACAGAGTCTTGCTCTGTTGCCCAGGCTGGAGTGCAGTGGCACGATTTTAGCTCACTGCAACCTCTGCCTCCCTGGTTGAAGTGATTCTCCTGCCTCAGCCTCCCGAGTAGCTGGGACTACGCCCGGCTAATTTTTATATTTTTAGTAGAGACCGGGGTTTACCATGTTGCCCAGGCTGGTTTCAAACTCCTGACCTCAGGTGATCTGCCTGCCTCTGCCTCCCAGAGTGCTGGGATTACAGGTGTGAGCCACCACACCTGGCCGAAAGACAGTATTTTGATATAGCCACATACATGATTTAATGAGTAATGTTAAGTACAGAAAAGCTGCCATATCCACATAGTTTTAGGGGGCATTTCTTCTTCAGTCTAACAAGAATATGATATCCAATTGTGGTTTTCCAATTTATTTCTCTTCCAATTTCTTTTGTATACCTCACAGGAGAAATTGAATCCTAGAACTGGGAGATGACTGCCCTGCCCAGGGTTTTGTAATACATAATTGAAAATAAAAGTCCCTGAAACTAAATGTTTGCAGCCTGTATGAAATGGACTGTGGAAGGGGGATAATTTCTCTCCTCACAGAAAGCCACTCGTCTCCTTGAATGAGGCATTGAGCAGACACACGTTTCTCTGTGTCGTGGGGCAGGAAGCAATTCCCTTGCCTCTTCAGCACATCTCAGTTCTTTCCCACATGACCCCAGAACCACATAGAAAACATTGAAAATAATGGATTCTTCATTGTATTTGAATTTTTTTTTTTTAACCTTTAGCCCAAAAGGGAAGTGTGCCTCGTGGAAAGAGCAAATGCCGTAAAATAGAAACCAGGAGTTTTAATCGCCATATATTTTAATGTGCTTGCATGATGGGAATGTGACTTTTAGCACTGCATGGTGTTTGGGGGCAAGATATTAATGTGGAAATCTTAGCTTAAGTTTTACTGTGCTCTCATCCTGTGTCAGCTACCCCTCTAAACTGAAAAAGAGGCATGGCTCATTTCTCTCCTGCTTTATGTTTTTGAGGTTGACTTGTAAGATAAAAATAAAAATAAGAAAAAAATATATCTAGGCAAATGACATGAAAAAAAAGTTGAAATATACTACTGGTGTTCATTTTTGTCCTGCAGTGTTGCTTTCTCAAAGAAATAAACATGTGGCTGGAAGTGTTTAATGGCTGCGTTTTGATCGTCTACAACAAGGTTACAGTGCCCTCTGGTGGCAGTCATCAAAATCGCTTCTAGACTTGTTTTTATTTTTAAATAAAAGATCTAATTATATTGGAAATCTGTTTCAACAATAATCGATGTGGTCTTTTCCAGTGGTTCTCAAGTTACAGGTTTATTAATACAATAATATTTAGATTTTTCAAAAATTGCCATTGGACCACTAAATTTGACTTGCACATTGTATTACTTATTATTTCTAGGCACCCACATTTTGTTTAAAGAATTTTTAAAATTTGCATATTATAAAAGTTACAAAATGTGGTACACAAGCTGCTTAAAACATATGAGATATTTATTTGAAAATGAACAAAGAAAATAATGAAATAGCCTAATAAATTGCCTTTCTTTGGATCCACTGATCAGAGGGAATCAGCCTGCATTTGAACTGATTCATGCTCCTTGACTGCTGTCTACACACACAGTTTTCATTTTGTTCCTGACTCTCTCCCAAGTCTCACCTCACAAGCCAAGCTCCACCTTCTGTCTTCTTTGTCCTGCCACCACCAAATATTTCTAGGCTCCTACATGGAAGCAGGAAAAATTATTTTAGACCAAAGGTATTAGTAAAAGGTATAGGCACCATGCGTTTCCTGATTTCGGGAACAATCTCATATTATTTCCTATTCCTGATATAACAAATTACCACAAATAGAGCAGCTTCAACAAATTTGTGAACTCACAGTTCGAGGAAGGTTGCACTCCTTGTGGAGGCTCTGGGGGAGAATCCATTTCTTTGCCCACTCCCTGGGCTACAGGTGCCCCACTTCGCTTGTCTCTGAGCTTCTTCCTCCAGCTTCGGTGTCAGCAACTTGCACCTGGTGCCTTCCTTCTCTCCTCGCCTCCTCCTGGGGCTTTTTTTTTTTTTTTTTGAGATAGAGTTTCACTCTGTCGCGCAGGCTGGAGTGCAGTGGCGTGATCTTGGCTCACTGCAACCTCCGCCTCCCGGGTTCAAGTGATTGTCCTGCCTCAGCCTCCTGAGTAGCTGGGATTACAGGCACCCGTCATCACTCCTGGCTAATTTTTCGTATTTTCAGTAGAGACGGGACTTCGCCGTGTTGGGCAGGCTGGTCTTGAACTCCTGACCTCAGGAGATCTGCCCGCCTCGGCCTCCCAAAGTGCCGGGATTACAGGCGTAAGCCACCGGTCCTGGCCGGGGCTCTTTTAAGCAACCTTGTGATTACAACAGGCTCACCTGGATAATCCAGGTGAATCTATTTGAAGGTCAGTTGATTTGCAGCCTAAATTCCCCTTTGTTACGTCTACACAGGTTCCAGTGATTAGGACTGAACACTATCCTGCTTACTGCAAATCTCCCTTTCAAATATCCTGCTGAGTCCCCGTGGACCAGCAACACCTCCCAGAAATCCCAGGAATTCCACGTTTTAGCTAGAAGCATGAAAGTCCTTTTTCACACCCCGTAACTTGAATTTGACTTCAAGGTATGTTCACCATAGGAAAGATAATTCATCTTTATGAGGGGAAAAGCAAGAAATTTCTGGCTTTTAAGAAATCAAGTGCTGGGAGCTGTGGCTCATGTTTGCAATTCTAGCACTTTGGGAGGCTGAGGCGGGAGGATTGCTTGAAGCCAAGAGTTTGAGACCAGACTGGTCAACATAATGAGACCCTGTCTCTTTAAAAAAAAAAAAAAAAATAGCTAGGTGTGGTGGAACATGCCTGTAGTCCCAGGTCCCAGCTACGTGAGAGGCTGAGGCAGGAGTATCCTTTGAGCCCAGGAGTTCGGGGCTACAGTGAGCTATAATCAGGTTACTGCATTGCAGTCTGGGTGACAGAACAAGACCTGGTCTCAAAAATAAAATAAATAGAAACAAAAATAAAAATTATGTGTGCACAGGTGCAATGGGGACAATATTTTAATTATCAGATCAGGTATTCACAATACCTGCATTTAAAGACAAAGCATTAAAAAATCACTTTTGAGAATCAAGTATCATCAAGCAAAGGATAATTTAGGCCTTAACATCTTAGGTTTATGATCTGCTTGGTGCCATGTCAGACTGATGGATTTGACCTAGTCTGCAGCCTCTTCCCCCATGACAGTGTGAGGGGGCTTTTCTGAGTGGATGTTGCTGTTGAAATGCATGGATAAATACAGAATTTCATTGGTCCTGACCTGTGTAACCACAACCTGAACACTATTTCTCTTTCTTTCTTTCTTTCTTTCTTTCTTTCTTTCTTTCTTTCTTTCCTTTCTTTCTTTCTTTCTTTCTTTCTTTCTTTCTTTCTTTCTTTCTTTCTTCTCTCTTCCTTTTCTTTCCTTTTCTTTTTCTTTCTTTCTTTTCTTTCTTCTTTTTCTTTTCTCTTTCTTTTTCGTTCTTTCTTCCTTCTTTCTTTCTCTCTCTCTCTCTCTTTCTTTTTTTTTTTTGTTTTCAAAGTCTCACTGTTGGCTGGAGTGCAGTGGCGCGATCTTGGCTCACTGCAACCTCTGCCTCCCAGGGTCAAGCAATTCTTGTTCTTCAGCTTCGTGAATAGCTGGGATTACAGGCCTGCGCCACCATACCCGGCTAACTTTTCTGTATTTTTAGTAGAGACAGGGTTTCACCATGTTGCCCAGGCTGGTCTTAAACTTCTGGCCTCAAGCGATCCACCCACCTCAGCCTCCCAAAGTGCTGGGACTTACAGGCTTGAGCCACCGCGCCCGGCCCTCTATTTGTTGTTTCTCTTCAAACAAACGAACGAACCTGGATTTATAGCTAATTCCTTGATGCCAGTCTGCTTGTTTTTCCAGTCACGTATTCTAGGAAGGCATAAACACAACATCAACCCAGAAGTCTCTTCTGAGCATACCTCGGCAGTTCTAGCCAGAGTAGGAGGTGTAGGGAAGGAGCAAAATTCCCAGGCAAACAGGGTGCCTGGAGATTTAGCACATTATTGTCCTCATGCCAGAGGCTCTTGCTGTGGATGCTGTTGATGCCCTGCCCAGATCCCTTTACCTGGCCAGAGCTTTCATTCCCCAGTGGCTATGAGTTTTTGCAGCAAATACCGTGCTCCTTTTCCAGAAAATTTCCCTCAGCTACATGAAAGCCACTCAGGTCAGGAGGTTATGCTCCCCATCCCCAACCATGGCGGCCACAACAATGACTGACAGCTGTGGTGCAAAGGGCCCTGCCCCTCTTTTGCCCTTGTCTCAAAATGGAAGCAATTCTGTGGTAGGATGTGTGCTCCAGGGCTTCCCCCAGGGACCAGGCTGAATCTGGTCCACAACTAAGGTCACAGCCTTGCTTAGGTTCTCCCACCCCCTTGTCCTATCTTGCTTCCCTCACTCCCTTCTGAAAGCATTCCTTCAATAAATCACGGTCCCAAGACTCCATTTCTCAGGCTTTGCTTCCAGCCTAAGGCGGTTAGTACTGGAAAGGACCCAGGATACCGATCGTAAGGATGGAATTAGAGAGATGGGCGCTCCTTGGTTGCAGAGCCAGCTGCATGCCAATTGGGACAACACCTCCTGTGGTCTGTGGTTGCTGAGACTTTTACCTGTGGTGGACTGAGACAAGACACAGGAGGAAGAGGGTGGACCAGCTGGGGCAGTGTCTCTGGTATTTGACAGGCGTGGGGGAAAGTAGTCGCTGAGTGCCATTGACGCATCGAAGAGAGGAACAGGCTTAGATAACAGGCTCAGGTCTATTAACAATTTAAAGCAAAATGTTGGAGAATGGCTTTTTGGGCAACATTTAGAGAGATACTGATTAATACTAATCTTCTGTGGTCCGAAGGCAGAAAGAGTTCAAAATCAGGTACAAGAGTGACAGAATTTCAAAGAAGATTAAACACTTGGCCTTGGCCAGTCTTCAATGTCAAAGTCAGGATCTTGACAGAGAAGGAACAAGGCTTTGAGACTTGGAATGGGGATGTGCGGGTAAAGAAGCTTGAGAAATGTGAATCCCCAGGTTCACTTGAAACGTCTGAGCCTGCAACAGAGGTGGACTCCTCCTTATTGGGATATAGGGCTCCAAGCCCCCAGTCTTCAAAACTACCCAGAGGGTTCCCATGAGGCAGGGACCTTATAAGACAATGCCTGGCCTTGCTAGGCTCACTCCCAATTTCCCTATCTTGGGTGCCTGATTTGTCAATAGGACCAATCAGCATTAGCCAATGGGGGAAGGGCTAGTCTGACTAAAGGACGAAGGCACTTATACATCAAATAACTGCAGAACCTTCTGACTCACTGGCAGGAACCAGGACACAACACCTGGGAGTAGATCCTGAAGGTTGGATCAAGGGAAGCAAGAACAAAGCATCAAGCAAGACAAGGGAGAGGTTATTAATATAGGCTTAATATACCATCCCTGTTGTCTGCCACAGGAATTCATGCTGGGCAAGAGCCCAGGGAGACTAATATGCTGCTGAAATGGCTCTCCTTGAAAGCCTGGAAAATGGTGTCCCAAATTTAATGAAGATGAGTTGTCAGAACTGCCAGGCAGATTGTGGAGGAAGGGACGCAAGTGCCCAGAGAAGTAGGGGAAAAACTCAAACAATTGAATTATTAAACCAGGAAACCCACTAGCAGATAATCTGCCTTGGTGGGACATTATTTGCCAAAGCAATTGGGACGTGCTGGTGAGGGGGCTATTAGCATCATTAAAAAGCTATGGTGGCTGTCCTGTGGAGGTGGGAGCTGTCAGTAGGAGACGCTGTGAGGGAAAATAACTATCTAGAAGCAACGGGGATAACAGAATTCTGGAATAGTAGAGGCCAGATGGCAGCACTGTATAGTCATAAGCAAGGTATTCAGAACTACTGTAGTAGGCACAAGGCTGGAATGGCTACCTGGGGCCTTGACCATATGGGACCAACCATATGGATCTTGGAAGATCTTGGGAGATTGCTAATAGAATAATAGAATGTGGCATTTCTAAAGACAAGATATATGGGAAGTTTCTCTCTCTCTCTCTCTCTCTCTACACACACACGCGCGCACACACACACACACACACACACGATCCAGAATGGATATGCAGAAGGCTGAGGTCAGCTGCTTCAAAAGAAAGTCACAATCCCTTGTTCAGTTTTGAGACCTAACCCTCAAGAGGAGGCTGTTTCTCATGAGGAAGACGATTTTAACAACACCATGTGATATGGGTAGGCTTTGAGTCCCTACCCAGATCTCATCTTGAATTGTAGTTCCCATAATCCCACGTGTCATGGGAGGGATGGAGGGGAGGTAATTGAATCATGGGGACAGTTACCCCCATGCTGTTCTTGTGATAGTGAGTGAGTTCTCACAAGATCTGATGGTTTTGTAAGAGACTTTCCCACTCTCCTTTGCTCTGCACTTCTCTCTCCTGCTGCCATGTAAAGAAGGATGTGTTTTCTTCCCCTTCTACCACGATTGTTAAGTTTCCTGAGGCCTCCCCAGCCACGTGGAACTGTGAGTCAATCAATCCTCTTTTCTTTATAAATTACCCAGTCTCAGGTATGTCTTCACAGCAGTGTGAAAATGAACTAATACACCCTGAGATAAGATACAGGCAATTCCCCTAGTCCTTCCCAAAGGAACCTATAACCATTTACTTGGGCAAGTGTACAATGGGGAAGGGGAATACATAAATCTTTTAAGAAAAATTGTATACAGGGGCCACATTGTTTCTGATTTCCAGGAACTACTCAAAAAATATCATGGCCTCTGTGTTAAGGTAGGGGTATACAGAGGTCAAGTAATAGATGACCCATGTTCTCACTGGTTTCTAAATGTTCAAGCCAAAAATGGGCTATGACTGCCCTACAGCCTCACTTATGGGTGACTCTGAAAGCTGGTGATGAATGGAAAGCCTTCCACGGGGCAGAGCTTCATGTAACATATCTTGCCATCCATGTTGTGTGGAGATAGAAGTGACCCAAGGAACATAGTGGACAAGGAGGTCTGGGGGAGAGCCTTGTGGAGGTACCTGTGGGAGTGGGCACAATGTTGATGATCTGATCTTTATATTGAATGAAAATACCTACCAGAGAGCGTCCCTTTCAGAAGAAGCACACAGGCAGGATGACTCAGCCAGCAATGTCTGCTAGTTTCTCTGTTGACATGTGCATGGGCTCATGAACAGAGAAGACATGGTGGCAGAGATGGAGGGGCACCATGGCCCCCAGACATGCACACATTCACCAAGGCTGCAAGCTACTGCTGCTGCTGGATGGCTTGCCTGCTAATAACAAAAGTCAATGCAGAGTCCCAATAAGGTATCATGTTTTGGACATCAACCAGATACTTGTTGGCAACTTGATTAGCTTGGACCCCTTCCATCTGGGAAAAAGCAATGTTTCATCCTGGCTATGAAAGACAAGGATTTCACCCATGGATTGGCCTTTCCTTGATACAGTGCCTCAGTCAACACTAATATTCCAGGGTTCACAGAATGTTTGATCTATGCATGGGATCCCACTGTATGGCCAAGGAAGTGAGGCAGTGGGCACATAATCATGGGATCATGTGGTTCTTTCACATGCTTTTCCATTCAGAAGCTGTTGGCCTGAAAGAGCCTTGAAAAAGTCTCTTGAAGGTGCAGGTGAGGCACCTGCCAGTGGAAGACATCTTATGAGAATGGAGAATCAGCCTTCAGAATATAGTATACTTTACAAAAAACTGGCCATACTTTATAAAAAACTGGGGTACTCTGACCCCAATAGGCTGAATTATATAGGTCAAGGAACCAAGGGGTGAAAATAGGACTGGTCCAGCTCTTCACTGCTCCAAGTGATCAACTTGGGATTTGTGTTTCCCATCCCTACAACTTTAGGCTCTCTGGATCTAGAGGTCCTGCTCCTGCCAGAGGATGCTGTAAGAATTCCAGTAAACCTATGCCTGACACTTAGTTCCTTTGGGTTCCTCATGGTAGGAGATCAGTGGCACTGAAAGGATTTACCAGCTGGCAGGGATGATTGATAATCATGAGGAGGTAGGATTTGCTGTTTCTTAATAGAAGAAGGAAGAGTATGGTTGGCATTCACATGATCTATTAGGGTGTCTCTTGGTATGCCTATGCTCACACTCAGTTATAACTCGCTCAGTGAAGCAACTGGCCTGATAAGTATATGGTGAACAGGGGCTCAAACAGCTCAGGGATGAAGGCCTGGGACACCAAACAGCAGAAACGCAAGTGAAGGAAAATCTAGAATGTGTTGTGTAGGAGGGAGATAATGTATCACCGAAGGCTTTAGGACCAATTGTACCACACAGCTGTAGTTCATCACCCTAACTTGCCTTTTGGAAGTTTCTCCAGAAATCATGACAGTTCCTATGTAGTGAACAATATGAAAAACAAGAGAACATGAGCGAGAGAAGAGATGGACTCCACTGGGTGTTGATAGCGATCTGTTTAGATCCTCTTATCCAGGCAGATGGACCCAAATTACAGTGAATGGTGGCTGCTAACCACTCCCCATTGCCTTGTCCTCCAGAACTTCACCTCTGGTTGAATAGCAGCTGCTTCCCTGGAGCAGTTGTCCTTCTGCTCCCCTTCCCCACCTCTCCCTCAGCAGCCAGTGACCAATAACTGATTTATGAAGAGTACAAAAGTCCATTTCCCTTAAGGTAGAACCAGCTCTGTGGTGCAATGTGGACTTCAGAGCTGCCCTCAAGACTAGATGGAAGCTAGTTTCTATCCAGACTGTTTTGTTAATTAGCTTACTTCCCACGCCCCACCCTCCTTTCCCAATGCCCCTTCTGAGATTCCCTCCTCAATGCATCACTTTAACAAAAATCCCCATCTCTGGCCCCAACTCTTCTCTGGAACCTGACCTAGGACAGTTACCCACCCCTCGGCATGGCTCTTCCATGTGGGGTGCCCTTTCAGTTCCATGCTCATAAAGGTACCCAGGGGAAGCACAGCATATTAAGGATGATATTGTGTTTCTCCTTGCACCATAGTTTGTCAGTCCCAAGAATGAAGCTAGAATGCAAATGCTCTTTTCCCTAACTTGTCACCTTAATGTATCATCCAATATGAGTGAATATCAGAATCATTCACCAGCAATCACACAACATATTTTCAATACTGATTTTATATGTTATGCACAAAGTACTCCATTATATACCTTATAAATTTTGGCTGGAGTTTAAGTGTTACCCTTATCCACCAATAGAAATTATTGATCAAAGTAGGTTGTAGATTTCCTCTTCCACTTTCTTTCTTTTCTTTTTTTGAGAGGGAGTCTTGTTCTGTTGCCCAGACTAGAGTGCAGTGGCACGATCTCAGCTCACTGCAACCTCCGACTCCCAGGTTCAAGTGATTCTTGTGCCTCAGCGTCCTGAGTAGCTGAGATCACAGGCGCCCGCCACCGCGCTCAGCTGATTTTTGTATATTTAATAGAGATGGGGTTTCACCATGTTAGCCAGGCTGGTCTTGAACTCCTGACCTCAAGAGATCTGCCTGCCTTGGCCTCCCGAAGTGTTGGGATTACAGGCGTGAGCCACTGCGTCTGGCCCACTTTCTTTCTTTACTTAAATATCTAAGTTAACCAAATGTCTCTTTGTAAAACCACTGACTTGCTGAGATGCCCCATGCAAATATTGCCTTCTTGTTGGGCTATTTCATCAAGGACAGTATGATACTTTTTGAATACAGTGTGAGGGTTATAAACCTTATGAATCAAGGTTTATTTTTCTTTCTTTGCCTATGGATGTCCAATTGCTCCAGCACCATTTGTTGAAAACACTTTTATCTTCATTGAATTGCTTTCACACCTTTGTCAAAAATAAGTTTGGTGTATTTATGTGGGCCTATTTCTGGGTTTTCTATCTCTGTTCATTTGATCCATGTCTCTATCCCTCTGTCAATACCGCACATCTTTGATTCCTGTAGCTACATAAGTATCGAAATAGGGCAGACTGCTGCTTCCTCCCAATTTATTCTTCTTTTTCAAAATGTTTTAGCTATTTTAGTTCCTTGCCCTTTCATGTAAATTTTAGAATAATCTTGTCTACATCTACAAAACCCATTGCTGGGAAAAACCTGTATATCAATTTGGGAAGAATTGACATCTTTATTTCATTGAGTCTTCCAACCTATGAACAATGTATGTCTCTCCATTTATTTAAATGTCTTTGATTTCTGTCATCAGTGTTTTATAGTTTTTAGCATGAGTCCTGTATGTTTGTATTAGATTAACACCTATTTCATTTTTTGAGTGATTGTAAATGGCATTGTATATTTAATTTGGCTGTCCATGTGTCCGTTGCAAACATATAGAAATACAGTTGATTTTTGTGTCTGTTCATCTTCAATTCTGTGATTTTGCTGAACTCCCTTATTAGTTCTGGGAGGGTTTTTTGTTTTTTTCTTTTAAGATTTCTGAGGATTTTCTACAAAGATAATCACAGTCATGTCATCTGCCAACAGAAGTTTGTTGGTTTGTTTCCTTCTTAACTGTATGACTTTTATTTCCTTCTCTTGTCTTATTGCACTAACTAGAACTTCTGGCATTTTCTTGAATAAGAGTAGTGAGGGTGGACATCCTTGCTTTGTTTCCAGTGTTTAGGGAGAAAACATCCAGTCTTTCACCATTAAATATAATTGTAGCTGTAGTTTTTTGGTATATATATTTTTTAAATCTAGTTGATGGAGTTCCTATTGCCATCTATTCTTATTTTTCTGAGAGTTTTCATCATGAATGGATGTTAAAGTTTGTCAAATTAATTTTATGTATCAATTGATATAATGATGATTTTTCTTCTTTTACTATTGATATGGTGAGTTTCTTGATTTATTTTGAGTATCAAACCAGCCTTGCTTCCTTGGAATAAATTCCACTTGGTCATGGTGTATAATTCTTTTTTTTTTTTTTTTTTTTTTTTGAGACAGAGTCTCGCTCTTGTTGCTCAGGCTGGAGTGCAATGGCGCGATCTCGGCTCACAGCAACCTACACCTCCTGAGTTCAAGTGATTCTCCTGCTACAGCCTCCCCAGTAGCTGGGATTACAGGCACCCACCACCACACCCAGCTAATTTTTTGTACTTTTAGTAGAGACGGGGTTTCACAATGTTGGCCAGGCTGGTCTCGAACTCCTGACCTCGGGTGATCCACCTGCCTGAGACTCCCAAAGTGCTGGGATTACAGGCTTGAGCCACCATGCCCGGCCCGTGTTGTATAATTCTTATTAAATGTTGCTGAACCTTATTTGCTAATATTTTGTTAAAAAGTTTAACTTCTTTATTCAGGATGAATATTGGTCTGTAAATTTTTTTGGTGCTATCTTTATCTGGTTTGGTATCAATATAACAGTAGCTTTGAAAGTAAATTGGGAAGTGTTCTCTTCAATTTTCTCAAAGAGATTGTGTAGAATTGATGTAAATTCTTCTTTAAACGTTTAGTAGAAGTCTTCAGTGAAATTATCTGGGCTTGGAGACATTTTTTTGAGAATTTTAAAATAACAAATTCTATTTCCTTAATACTTACAGGGTATTGAAATTATCTGTTTCATATTGGGTGACTTGTGGTAGTTTGTGATTTTTGGGGAATTGGCTCATTTCATGTAAGCTGCCAAATTTATTTTTGTTGAATTATCTATAGTATTTCTTTATTATCCTTTTGATATCTGCAGGTCTGTACTGAAAACCCTGTTTCATTTCTGATATTGGTAATTTGTGTCCTTTCTCTCTCTCTTTCTCTTTCGGTCAGTCTTGCTAGAGGGTTGTCAATTTTATTGCTTTTGTCAGATAACTGCCTTTTTATTTTAGTGATTTTCTCTATTGTTTTTCTGTTTTCAATTTGTGTGTGTGTGTGTGTGGTATTTTGTAGTAGAAGTAAGGAAAAATATATCTACTCCATTTTTCCAGAAGTGGAAATTCCTGAGTCTTGTTTTAGGACCAAACTTGCCCTTTTAAAGTGAGATTAATCCCATTCATTAGGGTGAAACCCTCATAGCCCAATCACCTCTTAAACGTCCTACCTCTCAACACTGAAACAAAGGCAACTAAATTTTTAACATGGGGACTTTTGGAGGGGACAAACATTCAAACCATAGCATCTATCTGTCTCCAAACTCCTTTCCCAGTAGTTTATGCAAGAGAAGGCAATTTATATTCTTACACTTCACTCTGTGGTCTTGTTACTCTTTGCTTCCTGTCTATCTTTCTTGTCCTGATGAAGAATAAATTCATTGTCAAATTACATCATGACCAATAATTTTAATAAATGTAGATGAAGAAGAGAGGACTGTGTGCTGTAGTGGTCAAGGAGGGCTTCATGGAGGTGGTGAAGTTTGAGCTGCATTTTGAGGTATCGGTATAGATGGAGCAAGAGTGATGAGAGAAGGACTAGGTATGCCAGTCTTAGATACAATGGGACAGAGGAGTGAACTCAGAAAAATACCAGGTGTATTAATAGACACATAAGCAGTTTGGCTTACTGTAGAAAGGCAATCAAAAAAATATTAAATTACCTTATATTAAACACATATTATATCTGTGCATTTATGTGCATATATGTATGTCTATGTTAGTGACCTTTTTTTATATATATATTAGAAATGAGACTCTATTAGTCTGGCTGGAATTCCTCTACTCCAGGCAGAGAATGTTCAGGGAGTTCAAAATACTCTCTGATTGGTATGGAACCTGGAAGAATTGTAAGGAAGAACTGGTCCTCCCTTGGGGTTCAGATAGGTCTCAGTTATTTGATGGAATTGGGGGAACCTCAGATGAGGCTGCATTAGAGAATGAGAAGAGTGGCAGAAACCATGGACTGCAAGGCTAAAAGGCCAAGTGTGAGCAGTGGAAGGTATCCGAGCTAGTGGAGGGGAATCCGTGCAAGTCTACCTCAATTCTTGCCTTCTCAGTAGAAAGAATTCGACTGAGGGGCATAAGTCAGAAAAAGAGACTGAGGCAAGTTTCAGAGCAGGAGTAAGGGTTTCTTAAAAAGCTTTAGAGCAGGAATGAAAGAAAGGAAAGTACACTTGGAAGAGGCCCAGGTGGGTGACTTGAAGGACAAGTGCCCCGTTTGACCTTGGATCTAGGATTTTATATTCTGGTCGACTACTGGAGTCTAGTGCCCCTTTCCTTGGATTCTTCCTTCAGGGAGAGCCGCCTGCATGCTCAGTGGCCTATAATCCCAGGGCGACAAGAGTACACAGTGTGTTTACTGGAGTTGTACACATGCTCGCCTGAGGTGTTCTCGCCTTTTCTGGTGGAATGTCCCCAGAAGGTCATACTACCCATTTTGCCTCTTAATGTGCATGGTCGAGCCCAGTCACCCAGTTCCTGAGATCTTATTGGAAGCTGCTGATGACCAATTTCAGGTGTTATTATCTATGGAGAGACTGCCTCTCCCTGGCGCTGGCTGCGACCTATTGTTATTTTAGAGGGGCAGTGTGACAACTGCTTGACCATCACCTGACTTTCCTGGAGGGGTGGGGTGGGGAGTCCTGTCCTGCCCTGCTCATGCCTGATGAGCTACCCACTGTAACACAAGCCCAGCAGAGACGGCCAGAGGTTGGAGGGGACAGATTACAGGTCCAGAGCGTGAGAGTTGGGCTATTTGCATCTTTTCCAACTTTCAAATGCTTGAGCACTCTGGAGAGGAGAAATCAAAGATGATACCAGTACCACAGATCTACTAGCAACCACTTGTGTAAAACTTGGTCATGAGAGGCAGAATGTAAGGCAGGAACTGAGGCTTGTGGATTGGGAGATGTGAAAGGAAAATATCTTGGGCCTTGAAATCACTAAGGTAAAAGGAAAATTCAAGCCGGGAACTGCTTAGGGCAAACCTGCCTCCCAGTGTATTCAGTCATCCTTTTACTCACTGAGATAAATGCATATCTGATGGCCTCCTTTGGAAAGACCAATCGGAAACTCAAAAGAATGCAACAGCTTGTCTTTCACCTAGCTGTGGCCTGGAAGCCCTTTGCCCGCTTCGCGTTGTCCTGCCCTTCTGGACTGAACCAATGTTCATCTTACATATGTTGATTGATGTCTCACGTCTCCCAAAAATGTATAAAACCAAACTGTGCTCTGACCACCTTGGGCACATGTCGTCAGGACCTCCTGAGGCTGTGTCACAGCTGCACATCCTCAACCTCTGCAAGATAAACTTGATACATTAACTGAGACCTGTCTCAAATTTTCGGGCTTCACACAGAGCTCTGCCGACTTCAGACCACAGGGCTGCTGCGAATACCACCAGCCCCACCCCCATCAAGGCCTCCAAGAGGAAATAATTTGGGAGAAAATTAATGGAAAAGACTGGAGTTTTGGCATGACAGACCTAGGGGATAGAGCACTGAGACTTAGGGGTAAGCTAACCGTTAGAATATTTATACTCACCAGCTGGTAAAGACTGGGATAAGCGGGTGATTTATAACATTAACACGCGCTGCCCATGTACTGAGCATCAGGGAAGGTGCTTTGTGTCCATTATCTCTTTTATGTGAGGTAGGTTTTATCTTTCTGATGAATGAGAAAACTAAACCTAGGCTCAGAATAGCTAAATGTATTGCATCCAATAACAGTCAGGGGTGGATCTGATTCTAGTTTGAGAGTGACAAATCTTAACCATGAGACCACCAAGGAGTGAACATTCTGGTTTTGCCTTGGCTCCATGACTGAGGCTCTGATCAAACTGTAAGTCTAGTACTGAAGAGCTGGGGCCATACGTGAGTCATTCATTCAGTCTGGCTTCTACAGCATCTAGTGCTGGCCTCAAATGGACATGTGACAACCAACTCTTGAATGGACTTGATCACATTAAAAACAGCATCTGAGTAGTTAGGAAGTGGCCAATAGGATGCAGTCTGCAGGAAGTTTGCAGAAAGGGTGCCTTCTCCTGCCAGGCCGTCAATAGGGTAGGGAGTGTAGGCAGGGTGCCCTCTGTGGGTTGACCTGTATATCTATGATTCATAATGGCCTCCTTTTGCCCTATCTGGAGCTGCATATGATTCTTGGGAGGTCCATCTCCAAGTAGTGCCTCAAAAATAAGGCCAGGCGGGGCTGCTCACACCTGTAATCCCAGCACTTTGGGAGGTTGAGGCGGGCGGATCACCTGAAGTCAGGAATTTGAGACCAGCCTGGCCAACATGGCGAAACCCTGTCTCAACTAAAAATACAAAAATTAGCTGGTGTGGTGGCACACGCCTGTAATGCCACCTACTCAGGAGGCTGAGGCAGGAGAATCGCTTGAACCTGGGAGATGGAGGTTGCAGTGATCTGAGATCGTGCCACTGCACTCCAGCCTGGGTGACAGAGCGAGACTCTTTCTCAAAAAAAAAAAAAAAATAAAATAACATAAACGGCTAAACTTTCTATTATTTTTAAGGCTGATGATGAAATAAACCATAGGTCAGGGAAGTATGTAAGCTTGAAAGTTGAAGAGTTCTAAAGTCTTACTTCCTCTGGGGAGGATAAAAGCTGTGGTTCTTTTGTTGCGATAATGACAGACTGTCAGTGTCTGTCTGTTTGCCTGACTCCCATTCACTGAATAAATGCTGGTAATTGTTAATTGCTTTGAGAAGAAAACTGAGTCATAGCTTGAGAGTGACTTGCATATCAATGTTTCAGGCCCTCCGTTCTGGTTTTCTCAAGAGGGCGGGGAACTGGAGATGGGATGGTTGCTTCCTCAATTGCTTTTGGCCTAGACTGATTCAAGTGTGATTTTTCTTTTTTGTTCCCCCCAAGAGATAACGTCACCGGGGAATTTAAACTGCGGGCCAGGGGAATGAACGCTTCTTTTTTCTGGTCATCTTGGTCTGCAGATCATGTCTTCCATTTCATATACCGTGGAGAAGATAAGCATTTGATCAAATTTCTAGCAAGCTAGATGTTAGGGGCTGATTTAAGTGGCTGCCTACACTTACCAGGGGCCTTAAGTGTCTTTCACTCTGATTGCTCCTCTGAAAATATATTAACCGACCACTGACTGATGGCTGTGTGTTAGGCCCAGCTGCAGCCATAGTGATGCCCTTTCTCATTTTAAGGATAGCTATAAACTAAGAAGGTGTCCCTGGGCTGCACAGGTCAGGGGGCTTTTTCTGAGATGCTAGAGACATGAGATCCTCAAAGCACTGTTTTTGTTGATTGCTCCATCCTTGGGGCATGGTAGCTGTTTCTCTTCAGCTTATTCTGGTTTTCTTATTTTCTGGTTTATAATGTGCTCCAGGTTGAAAGAAATTTTAAAGTCAAGAGATTTTAAGGTGAGAACTCCAAGAGTTTTCAAAAGGGAAACCATTTTTAAGACCCCCAAAAGAGGACTATAACCCCCCTCTTGACCTCTCCAATGTTTGGTACACATCTTATCCTCTTCCCTTCTTGTCTGTCAGACTCTGATACCAGCGACACAAGTCAGGAATCATCCATTCCAGGAGGCCTGCCTTTGTAACCTATCAATGGGTCACCTTACCTGCTGCCCAGACAGAGCTGATTTCTCAAGACTGGGGAATCGCAATAGGGAAAGAGTAATTCACGCAAAGCTGGCCAAGCCAGAGGTCAGAGTTTTATTATTACTCAAATCAGTCTCCTGGAACATTTAGGGATCAAAGTTTTTAAAGACAGTTTGGTGGGAGTGGAGGGGCAGTGAGTCAGGGAGTGCTGATTGGTTGGCTTGGAGGTGAAATCCTGGGGTGTCCCAGTCTTCTTGCGCTGAGTCAGTTCCTGGGTGGGGTCACAAGATCAGATGGGCTGGTTTCTCAATCTGGGTAGTGCCGGTTGATCCATCAAGTGTAGAGTCTGCAAAACATCTCAAGCATTGATCTTAGGAGCAGTTTAGGGAGGGTCAGAATCTTGTAGCCTCCGGCTACGTGACTCCTAAACTATAATTTCTAATCTTGTGGCTAATGTTAGTCGTCTAGTACCCAGGCAAGAAGGAGGTTTGTTTTGGGAAAGGTCTGTTATCATCTTTGTTTTAAACTATAAACTCTAAACTAAGTTCCTCCCAAAGTTGGTTCAGCCTATGCCCAGGAATTAACAGGACCCCTTGGAGGTTAGAGGCAAGATGGGGTCATTTAAGTTGGACCTCTTTCTCTGTCTCCGTCATAATTTTGCAAAGGTGGTTTCATCTTGACACGCTCCTTCCCGGCAAACACATGGGCAGAGCTCCTTATTCCTTCCATATGCTCAACCCAGAAAGCAGGCACATGAGCCTTACCGGGAGGACTTTGAGCAAAGTCCTGAGGACCAGGTCCCACCTCCAGATACTTGCTGATATAATTCATCTGCAGCAGGTTCCAGACATTGGTATTTTTTATTTTAAAGCAATCAGGCGATTCAACTGAATAACTGGCCTAGAATAACCTCTGTATGAAGGTATTCTAAAATATTAGCATTAAAATATTTACTTGTTAAAAAACTGCGTGACTTTTTTTTTTTTCCTGAAAGCTTTTTGCATACTGTCTAATTTAATCCTCACGTCAATTATGAGAGACTTTGCAGTGGCAGAAACAGGCTCAGAGAGTTTAAGAATATGCTAGTAAGTCGAAGGAGTAAGGAGTTACACCTGGTCAGTGTGACTTGAAAGCTCAGAATTTTAATTAGTATTGTAGATGCTGGCTTGATTTTCTTTGCTTTCTACTGGGCTCAGAAGTCCTTGAAGGGGAAGACTATGTCTTTTTATATCTCTATTTCCAATGCTCAGCATTATGCCCCATGTTAGTTGGAAACAAATGAATTCTGAATATTCTTCATGAACGTGAGGGCTCTTTAACAGAAAGATGGGTCTCAGCCCTGAGTTCTGGGTCTTCAGGGTTATTTATTCTTCTGTGTCTGGCTCATGCAAATTCTTCTTCTTCCAACATCCCTCTTGTCCTATCCATTGATTTCGATTTCATACTTCTATTTTACCTGTGAAGTTTTCCAGGCCAATTGTGGCTGAAATGGTGTTTCCTTCTGAACTCTCATGGTATATAAAACATGTGTTATTTGACTTAGGACTGAATCTGTACCATTCTTTTGTATGTGTAAAGGCTGTACACTTTCATTTTGATTTGTAAGATAATTGGAATAAGACTGTAAATATCACCAGAATCTTCTCTTTTTGAATCTCTTAAAATACCCAAGGTGGCCCCTGGTATAGAGTACTTATGAATTGATTTCTGTTTATCTGTTAACTTTATTCTGTTAAATAAATTTAATGATTTATTAAATTATAGAAAAATATTTCTAACTTTGGAAATAAAATTATTAGCATCAATAACTGAGTACATAAAGGTTTATTTCTTTATTAATATAATTTATTAGTCTTGCACAAGCATGCCACAGAAAGCAAGTATATTCAGAGGTAACAGATACATTTTAAAATAATAAATATACTCCTATCTTTTCCTTTCTTTTTATCACTGTACATAGATGTAATATTCTCTTTACCATAAGCCCACTTTTCTAATTATGGACTTGTATTTCATAGGCATTTCACCTATATTCTTGGGGAATAATTTTTGAAGGAGGTAGTGTAATGTGGAGGTTAAAAGTATAGTTTTGACATAATATATTAGCTGGGCTACTGTGGGTAATGTAATCTCTCAGGCTTGGTTTCCTAATCTGTGAAACGAGATACTAGTATTACTGTCTAAGGTTGTCGTGAAGATTAAATGAGATCATAAAGATCTTAGTGGAATGACCATAAATAGTCCATACTTGATGTATGTTCACAAGATCATTATTACAATTTTTGTTATCATTAAAAGGTTTAAAATGTGAGCTGCTTTCAAAGACACTTTATATCCCCAAATAGCAGCAGGAATGTTTTTTTGACAAGTAGGTGTGGGCAGCTACCTATCGCTCGGCTTGCCTCCCTTTTCACCCATCCTTTGCAAGTCACATGTTGGCATCCCTTCAAATCCCAGCTCCATCCACATCATATGGGCAGGTCATGGAAAGCAGCTGCCAGTTTTCACCACTCTCCCCATGTATTTGAAGTAAAGGAGATGTATATTTTTGTTGTACCTGAATTTCAGACACTGTCTTGGGCACTGTCTGTGGGGATGCTGCGCCAGTGCAGGAAGAGGGCCCAGGAACCAAGCGGAGGGGCTGAGGGATTAGGTGGAACATGAGATCCCCCTGGCCATTCTAGAGAGGGCCCCTCAGGTGGGTATGAGAGATTTAGATGAGTTCAGTCTACAGAATCACTTAGATATATCTGACATCTCTTTCTAGATGATTCAGCTGAAATTGACACCATTATTTTACAAGAAGAGTCAGGGATAGCCTAATATCATACACACATTCTCATAGGAGTTTCTCTTATTTCTTCTCTCCTTCTACCTTGGGCAGAGTGTTCTTCGTATTAAATATTTAGCCTTGGAATGAAACCATGGCGCAGTCAGGGAGGCGAGGGGCAGGAGAGTGGTGATGGGGAGATAGAGACGTGGAAGCCCCAGAAAACAGAACTAGTGACAGGCATGACACAGGTAGGGGTTTGCCTGGGATCCCTTGGCTATAGCTTCTTTTGCCTTTATGATGGCCAGGACCCAACAAATTCATATTCAGCCATTTCCCTGTGATCACCCAGGACTCTCTGGGATATGATGTCTCAGCCTTCCTGGAGGCAGAGCCGAATCACGCCTTTATAGGTGCTAAACACTCAAGAGAATGATTCTCCTTCTGTGTGTAAGTCAAAATGATAAAAATACTCAACACAGGTAAAGCCCAGCAAAGTTTTGAGTTTAATATTCCCTACGATGCTTCTTTAGGGACATTAAATATGAAATGCTTTCAATTTTTTTCTCTCAGTCTTGATGTTTTGGGTATACTTTCCTTTCAGAAAACACATTTCTAGTTTCAATGGGAAACTAGCAGCTTTGGCACTGCTGGGAGTACCAGGCTGTACTAGGAAAATGTCGAGTGGTGCCTACAGCTACTGCTTTCATTCCTCGGGAGACTTGGCCAAGGCCAAGAGGTTCTATATGCCTGGATATGAGGCCTAGGTACCTTGGAGAAGTTGGACACCATGGCTGGACCAAGCCTTTTATATAGCCTTTTCAAGTTGGCCAGGGAGCCTGCCACTAGGAAGAAGACAGAGTTAAAAAACAAAGTTTCCCCCACATCTGGGCAAACATTAAGCTGTAGTATGCTTGACAAAATATCTATATCTATATCTATATCTATATCTATATCTATATCTATATCTATATCTATCTATATATTTTTTTTTACATGGAGTCTTACTCTGTTGTCCAGGCTGGAGTGCAGTGGCATGATCTCGGTTCACTGCAACCTCCACCTCTCAGATTCAAGCGATTCTCCCTGCCTCAGCCTCCCGAGTAGCTGGGATTACAGGTGCCTGCCACCATGCCTGGCTAATTTTTGTATTTTTAGTAGAGACGGGGTGTTGCCATGTGGGCCAGGCTGGTCTTGAACTCCGGACCTCAGGTGATCCACCCGCCTTGGCCTCCCAAAGTGCTGGGATTATAGGCATGAGCCACTGCACTTGGCCGAATG
Organism: Homo sapiens; assembly: GCF_000001405.40. Lineage (NCBI taxonomy): Eukaryota > Metazoa > Chordata > Mammalia > Primates > Hominidae > Homo > Homo sapiens. Next base: position 154,135,181 of record NC_000006.12, on the reverse strand, counting down.
TCAATATTCTTTAGGATGGGTACATAGACTTAATAAGGGAAGATATCTGTTCTCATATTCTGACACCTCCAGTGAATTCCATAGTACACATGGCAAAAAAGAAATTTAAAAAGCGTTGTTAGAATGCGGACTATAGATTTGACTTAGTGAAATTGTCCACGTCTTGGCTGGCCACCAGACTGGCTCTGGGAAACCCATAGATGATGGGTGGGTATGAAAGAAGGGTTCTGAGATCTTCTCTTCCCAAAATGAAACCTAATTTAAATAGATAGTTTCTGTCAGCTATTTTTGACAACTGGGTTAACTACTATTCTCATTTTCCCTTCTCAAATAGTGGTTTTCTTTGGACTCAAATAGTGGTTTTTTAGGACTCTTGTCCTAAAAAAAAAATGCATGTTAAATTTTAAATTCGCTGCTCAGCTAGCCAGTTTCTCGAAGAGAACTATCTGCAATTTGCAGGTTGGCCTGATCGCTCCTTCTATCTGAGTCAGAAGCTTGAGGGTGAGGAGTCTGAGCCCTGGTTGAATATCTTTTAACAAGTTCCTGTTCTGTTGTGTTTGATGGTCCTCAGTGTGGCTTCTGGATATATTATGTCTCTAGCACTGTCAGTGCTAAGTGGGTTCCCTGCCTCGGCCTGGGGATTAGAGGGAGGGCAAGGGGTGATGTGAGATGCAGGGTGGGTGATTCAGGCGCAGCTTCAGAACCAGGGCCATTGTATCTGCTGGTCTCTTCTTGCACATCAGAAGTCTTCTTTGCAGACATAAACCATTTCAGAGAGGGCACCCTCCTGCCTCTCAAACTAAATCTTGGATTGAATGTCGATGCATCAGAAAGAAGTATCTGGTTGGCTTTGTTTACTCTATCCCATGGTGAGGTCTCTCTCCTGCAAAGCCAGGCATGAAACAACTTCTCCTCTGCTTTGGGGTTCCAGAAGGAATAATTCATCTCCCAAAGCCTGGGTATGAATATAACTCTGTATTTAGAGTAGATACCTGGGAATTTAGGTGACAGAAATTAGGCATGGATGTTGCCTCCTAGTGATCTTTCAGAAAGACAAATCTAATCATCTGACTTCTGTTCTTAAAGATCACTGATGGTTCCCCACTGTGCAGTGAATAAAGTGCATACTCCTTAAATGACAGCCAAAGTTTTTAAAAATGAGTCTTCAGCCAAACTTAAAGCTTCTTCCATTGCTCAGCTTTCAAACCCTATGTCCCAGTCAACCAAACCATAGGCCATTTCCAGTGGACAACAGTTTATCTTTATCACAATCCCTTTGGCCTTTTCTGTGGAAATGAACAAGCTAGTTCTAAGATTTATACAGAAATGTAAAGGGTCAAGAATAGCAGTCAGTCTTGAGAATGAAGCACTTGGAGGGCTTACGCTGCTAGATAATCAAGACTCATTGCAAACGCACAGTATCTAAAACAGAATGGACAGATCAATGGAAAAATTCAACAGTTGGAAACAGACCAACACACATTGGACTGCCTGAATTCTGGCACGGGTACATGACAATGAACTTGAGAAAAATAGTCTTTTCAATAAAAATAGTCTTTTCACACATTATTGGAAGGAGGGTAGACTGGTAAAGTCACTTCAGAAAACCATTTGGTATTATTTGCCAAACAATTCAATTTCTAGATAAATACTCCAGACAAATGCATGCATATGTGTACCTGAAGATGTCACACACTAGCATTATGATCACCTAAGACTGGAGGTGACCCAAATGTCTATCAATTGATAGCAGAATGGGTGAATAAATTGTGACATGTTCACACAAAATATGAAGGCCCTTGAATACCATGGGAAGGGATCGGACTTTAATCGTTAGGTAATAAGACACCATTCAAAGCTTTTGAGCAGAAGAAGGACAAGATAAAAACTGTGTGTCAGGAAATTACATCTGGTAATACCATGTAGAGATGAAATTTTTACATATAGGGACATAGCTTTTTCTTTTCAAAAGGCCCTTGTAAATAACTCTTTTCAATAGGCAATCTAAAGTTATGCAATGTTATTTTGAGATAGTTTTTTTCTTTCTTTTTTTTTTTTTTTGAGATGGAGTCTCACTCTGTCGCCCAGGCTGGAGTGCAGTGGCACAATTTCGGCTCACTGCAAGCTCCGCCTCCCGGGTTCACACCATTCTCCTGCCTCAGCCTCCCGAGTAGCTGGGGCTACAGGTGCCTGCCACCATGCCCGGCTAATTTTTTGAATTTTTAGTAGAGATGGGGTTTCACCGTGTTAGCCAGGATGGTCTCGATCTCCTGACTTCGTGATCCACCCACCTCAGGCTCCCAAAGTGCTGGGATTACAGGCGTGAGCCACCACGCCCAGCCGTTTTTTTCTTACCATAAAGTGTTTTCATGTTGAGACGTTTCCACTTCAAAAAATTGTACCTAACAACCCAGAGCATGCTCTGAATTTCACCTTATCAAACTCTTTGTTTCTTGCAAATAATTTTCCTGCTCAAAACATCAAGAACACATTTTTAAAAAAAGTAGACTATCAGTGGATTTAGCTGCCTATATTTTCAACTATAGACTTTACAGTGGATATTTTTCTTCTCTGTATGGTTTGGTTAGAATTCTAGCTTAGGAAGTTATGGTTGTCAAGGTTTAGAGACATTTTGGTTCTAAAAATAGAAATAATTCATGAAGAGAGAAAGTTCACTTCTTTATTTTGAAGTATTTATTTAGTATCAAAGTTGTCTGTTACTCTAATTCTTAGGCTATTTACCTACGTCGCAACATTTACTTGGGGAATATTCTTTTAAAACAGGTCAGTAATGTCAGAATGAGAAAGACAAGGGAAAATCTAGATTTGTATCAGTTTTAGGTTTTATTTATCACATATAATTACACATTACATATTACATGCAGGAAACTTACAATACAGCCTAATATGTTTATGTATGCTGGTACATCAAGAACAATACAATGCAAAAATTTATATTTTTTATATACAACTATCTGAAACAGTCAAATAGGAGTAATGTAAAAATAATTTAGTGAATTGCTCACTGTTTGATATACTAGTTGACATTTTGATCTGCACATGAGACCATTATGATTTAGCAGGTAGTTCTTTTGAAAGCTGCATCTGATCATCCTGTCCTACCTGGAAATGTGAAATAGTAGCTTTGTCTCTACTTTAAATGAAGATATTTATTTTTCAATAGTAAACAGACATGATGATGGAACTAACACACTAATGAAGAGAAAAAAAAAAAAAAACCAAAAACTTATAGAAAAACTCCCAGACCATCAAAAGGAAAACAATGTTGTGTGTTTTTTTTTAACATTCCTTTTTGTGCATTATCACAACAAACAATATATGTATTTGTCTCTATAGGCGAAATACAGGTTTCCAGGCAAATATTTTTGAAAAGCAGATGTGGGGAAAGAGCTTAAAAACACACACAGAAAGCATGTTGTGCTCACTGTTACAACTGTGGATTTCATACCATGTTTTGAAAGGTGATTGTGTTTTCATTTACTTGGATACAAAATCCGTAAAACAGAAACTATTCTATACTTTTTTATTTTAATATGACCAGTTGACATTTCTATGTCCTGTTTAGGTGTCTGGACTACTGTAAATTAAAATGTCACCCTGGCATACAAACTGAATCTACGTGCAGAGCAGCAGGGGTCTATCTTTTATTTCACCCCCAACACTGTCAAGGAAACGAATTAATTCTGCCCTTCTTTCAGACTCAGGAATATAAGCAGCTAGAAAGAGGACAATGGGTGGAAGGGTTGATTGCTTATGTTAGGTTTGACTTAAAGCTATAGAATAAAGAAGGAACAATTCAGTTGCCATTCTTATTCCTGGAGAGGAAAAATAGTTTGTGGGCAGGAGTCTGTTTAAAATGTCTGAACTTAATCAACCATGAGAGGCTCTCATTTACTCAGATTCTTTACAATATTTTGATTTTTTTCCTACGGAAACATTATATGTATCTTTTAAAACCAAGGGTTATTAGTTACCTGAATTTCAAATGCAATTTAAAACATGGAGGACATCTTTTCTTTTCTAGTGGAAATTATATTTGGATAGCAAAAAATGTGTCATTAATGTTATAAAAAAATGTAATGACAAGTGACAGAGCACCTAATCTTTAGACTTACTTTTTTTTAACTTTCCTATTTGCTATGTTTGACAGAGTAGTTTTTCAATTTTTTAAAATAAATCTGCACTTACAAGGTTTCTTTTTTTCATATAACATAATAAAATGAAAACAACAAGATCACTCATTGTTTTACATTTTCATAACTGGCTATTTAAGTATGTAAAAGTTCAGGAAATGTATTGCCAGGGGAAGGATGACTTAGTGAAAACAGGCATTTTTTCTTTAATTCCCATTAAAATAATGGAAATGTATGTGCCAATATAAATTCCCATTTATATTGGTATATATATATTCCCTTTATATATTCTATTTATATTGGTAGATATATTTTTATGGAATGGCATATATACTTTCATATAATGGTACTAATGCTTTTATATGGATATACAATTAGTATATAAAGGGAATATATATACTAGTATTTCTAACTTAATTCCTATTAAATTGATGGGGATTTATAGGCAAATATTCATATAGCTATGCCTAACACAGAAATTTTTATGGTAGGAGTATTAAATTATAAATGGTAGCATTGAATTTTATGGATTCAAGATTTATGAAATTTTAAACATTTCTGGCCAGGCGCAGTGGCTCACACCTGTAATCCCAACACTTTGGGAGGCCGAGGCAGGCAGATCACGAGGTCAGGAGATCGAAACCATCCTGGCTAACGTGGTGAAACCCCATCTCTACTAAAAATACAAAAAATTAGCCAGGTGTTGTGGCGGGCACCTGTAGTCCCAGCTACTCAGGAGGCTGAAGCAGGAGAATGGTGTGAACCCGGGAGGCAGAGGTTGCAGTGAGCCAAGATTGAGCCACTGCACTCCAGCCTGGGCGACAGAGTGAGACTCCATCAAAAAAAAAAAAAAAAAAGAAAATTTAAACATTTCCATGAAATCGATGGTTTGGGTAGAGACAAAATAATTTAAATTTCAAATTAAGATTTAGATAGAGATAGTATAATTGAAAGCAAATTCTAATTTTCATTTTAAGTTTACTTCCAGAGTACAAATGTAAATAACAAGAGTGCAAGTAAATTATTGATGCTGGAGTTTCAAATAAGGAGGTAAGCCTTTGGTAAATTGTATTTTAGTATTGATTGCATTTTATTTTGATTACAACTATCATATAATTCCCACGGGTCCATTTCACTATGTTGTGTGTGTGTGTGTGTGTGTGTGTGTGTGTGTGCTGGGGGGGGAGGGTGTCGGTGGTAAAGTACGCTTAAAATGCAAAGTGCCTGACTGATAAGAGAAACTTCAACCAAACCAGCCATTTAAAAAAATCACAGGAGTCTTCAAAAGCTTGAGCAGCTGTAGAGCAATCCCCAACAGTCTGGGAGCTCATCAGACCTTGAACTAAAGAAATATGTTTCAAGAATAGATATAGAACTATTTTTCAAATGAATGTAGATGTTCTTATGAGAACTAAAATACACATCTGAAATTATTATTGACATTTTAGTTTTTCCATTATGATTTTCTGTAACAGTGGGCACTAAAACTCAATTATGTGGAAGTCTCCAATCATATATGATGTTGACATTGAGAGGAGAGAAAGACCCTCTCACATTGTTTTATATTGTTTCATATTCAGTAAAAACAACAAGGAAGTAAAACCAAATACAGGCAGCTCAGCGCCAGGCCCGAAACCAGGCCTGGGCCCGCCTGGCCTAAACCCAGTAGTTAAAAATCAACTTATGATTTAGAAGCCGATGTTATTCATAGATTCCTTACATTGTATAGAAGAACATTGTTCTGTTCTCTATTGTATAGAAGAACTCCCTGTCCTGTTCTGTTCCTCCCAGACCACCGGTGCATGCAGCCCCTGTCACATACCCCTTGCTTGCTCAAATCAATCACGACCCTTTCATGTGAAATCTAGTGTTGTGAGCCCTTAAAAGGGACAGAAATTGTGTACTCAGGGAGCTTGGATTTTGAGACAGTAGCTGGTCGATGCTCCCAGCTGAATAAAGCCCTTCCTTCTACAACTCGGTGTCTGAGAGGTTTTGTCTGTGGCTCATCCTGCTACACCATGAGGTTCCTATACTTCAAAATATTAATAAAACACAGATATAAGTTAAAACTCCTATTCTCTTTTGACATAATAGAGCCAAATTGACTTATGTTTATAGATCCAATTTAACATTAATTTCCTGTTTTTTACAAAGATCTCTGTGCACTATGCAAAAACAGAGCTAGAAGAAACAATACTAGTTTTTAAATTTATGTCAGAAATAGCATAGCTATTACCTGGCAGTTCCCATTTATCAGACCTTCAGCTCTCCATGAGGTACAAGGTAGCCTTTTTCCTCAATGATGTCTTTATGTGCTCAGTCTCCAGCTGTCTCTGGGAAACCAGCTAGTTCGAGAACAACCAGTATGATTGCTTCAACTGTCTTCAGGATCAATGATAAAACAGTAACCAAATTGATCTCTCAATTTCCTACTGTGAGTTTCAAACTTATTATGAGAAAAAAAAGAATTAAAAGAGGTGCCCATATTTTAATATGCATGTGCACATTCATGGGGCAACATACATCCTGGCACAAGGATCCTCAACGGACTGTCCCAGTTCTTAGACTTCACTGGAATTTTGCTATGGTGAACATTGCTTCAAATAAATGGTCCTTCAGCTGTTATTAGGAATTGTACTAAATAATTTGGTGCATAGATTTGCTTATGATAAGATTTAGTTAGAAGGAAGGAGTTCATTATAAAAGTGAAAAAGGAATCCCGTAGTCAGAATTAACTCCACCTTCATTTTATTCTTTTAATAAGTGGGTAAAGTTTATTAAGAAAACACACAAATCACTGGGCAGATCTTCAGGTAAACACCAGTTTTTCTTATTGTTATTTTCCCCCAGCCCATTCAGAAGTTATATGATTGAATTACAGGTAGCAAGGGGATCCTGAGAACACTTGCCAGATTACTATTTGTAATACTGAATTTATAAATCCTGGAAATACTCTGTTATTTGAACCTAATTTATACAGATGCGGTAGCTTGCATGGAAAGTACTCAGCTGGGGAGTAGGCCTATTGGTTTTCTCTGGTCCCTTGAGAAATAAGGGCCATGAATTTCCATAAAGCAAATGAGTTTTGAGTTAATACAGCAGTGATCAGTTACAGCTTACCACTGAGACAGAGCACTGGGTGAGCCTGGGGGCAGACGGGAACAAATTGTATTACAGCCAAAGAGAATTACAGGAAGCCTTTGTTATTTTCCTGTTTTCTGAATGAACCCCTGCAGAGGCAGGAACAGGCATTAGGAATCAGGTTTGCCACCTGCAGAGATGCAGGAGAACAAGAATCAACCTATGGATTTCTTGTGCTAGTCAGGATATTGGAGATTGAATTCTGACTGGCTCTAAGTCAAAATGATGGAGAGAAGAGAGTTGTTATTTAGTGAAAGCGAGGGGTGGGGAGGGTTGTAGCCGGCCCACCACAATGTCAAGTCATGAGCACAGGTACATCTCAATTGGTGGTGTGGACCTCCTAATCTAGTCTGGTAGTTCTTATCCTGAGCGTGTATCTGTGTGATGACAAACATTTCAGGGACAAGTAAAACGTCTTAAACACAACAAACAAATAAACAAGCAACAGCAACAAAAAACCCAAACAAAACCTCCCCCTAAGCCCCTAAACCCTTGAAGAGTAGGCAAGTAGGGCATAGGTGTTTCTGAAAACACCTAACTGGTCATTTTATTCAAATTCACTTTATAAATGAGACCTCTTCTTTTGGAAGTCTCTGGCGGAATCCTTAGATGATAATGGCCACTGATTTCAAAGCATGACATCTCAGAACACAGCAAAGAAAAGCCACATGTATCACTATGGTAGGAAAAGTGTAGAATTTAATACTGCATCTCAAGGCTGTGTTGTGTGAAGGAAACTTTGGGCACATAGCATGGCATGTGGCACTTTTTTTTTTTTTTGAGACAATCTCATTCTGTTGCCCAGGCTGGAGTGCAATGCTGCGATCTTGGCTCACTGCAACTTCCGCCTCCCCAGTTCAAGCAATTCTCCTGCCTCAGCCTCCCGACTAGCTGGGATTACAGGCGTGCACCACCACGCCTTCCTAATTTTGTATTTTTAGTAGAGATGGGGTTTTACCATATTGGCCAGGATGGTCTTGATCTCCTGACCTTGTGTTCCGCCCGCCTCGGCCTCCCAAAGTGCTGGAATTACAGGCGTGAGCCACCGCGCCCAGCAGGCACTTTTTTATTTGGGGAAAGTAAGAAGTCTAATATGTCACCAGCAGGACCCACATGTTTACCTCTGCTTGGAGAACCTTTGAGGCATTACTGAAGGCTGTACACCTGTCACTGAGCCTTCCTAACACAGAGCAGTGAACAACCATGGAAGCCAAATCTACCCTGCAGATGAAAAGAGGCACCAGCTGATTCTAGGCTTGGTTGTTTCGGTGTCACAGCAGTGTAGGGTGGTGACATTGCCACCACAACCAGATACAGAATATGAAAAGCACTTCTGCAACCCAGAAACCCAGCTCCTGAGGGAACCAGGGAAGAAGAGCCTATGAGACATTTGAATTTTGCAAATATTGGGTAGTGTTGGGACACTTCTGCCCTTCTTGAAATGGGGGAATATAATTGTTGTTCTCCTTCCCAGAATTTCTTTGTCTTTGTCCTCTTGGACAGTGAAATCACAACCATTAGGTCACACAAATGTAGTCTCCTCTCCCTTCTCTCTGGTCTTGTTAATTAAAGCAGTTTTGCTGTGCTTAAATTAATGAAGCTCACTCATGTTGTTCAGTGAATATGGCTATGTTCAATTTTACCCAGACTCTTAGGAAAAGAGTTGTCTTCTTTATTTCCTCTTTTTTTTTTCTCTTCTCCTATATCTTCTGTGGTTTATACCACTTATCTCATTTCCGTTTGGTATTTTGTAACCCTGTGAATTTATCAAAAAATGTCTAGCCGGGCCGGGCGCGGTGGCTCACGCCTGTAATCCCAGCACTTTGGGAGGCCGAGGCGGGCGGATCACGAGGTCAGGAGATCGAGATCATCCCGGCTAAAACGGTGAAACCCCGTCTCTACTAAAAATACAAAAAATTAGCCGGGCGTAGTGGCGGGCGCCTGTAGTCCCAGCTACTTGGGAGGCTGAGGCAGGAGAATGGCGTGAACCCGGGAGGCGGAGCTTGCAGTGAGCCGAGATCCCGCCACTGTACTCCAGCCTGGGCGACAGAGCGAGACTCTGTCTCAAAAAAAAAAAAAAAAAAAAAAAAAAAAAAATGTCTAGCCTTAGTGGGCAATGCAAACTTAAATAAAACATTTATGCATTTGAAGCGAAAGAGCGTAAGTTTAAGAGACTTTAAAGCAAATGGGATGTGATAGCCTGTTTTCAACTTTTAGGTCCTTTCAAAAATCAAATTGCAAAGGAAGTTGTAGGTAATATTGGAAACCACCTTTCTCTGGAAGGTTTTTTTTGCTAAACATTCCTATTACAGTGCATGTGACAATATGAAGATGAATTTTCCCCACTGTCTCAAAGGGACTCTGTGCTCTCTCTCTAAAACCTAAAACAAATACTTATTTTTCTTTATGAGTATACTTATGCTAAGAATGTAATACTTTTAGTTGGAACTTAAGCAAGAAAACTCTGAATCTAAACCTGTGTAATGGAAGAGGTTTATTGCTTCAGAGGTTTAGGTTTTATGTACACAGTTGTGGGGCAGGTAGAAAACGATATTTGATTCATGAAATAGCTTTGGATGACAACAAATCATTGAGATGCATGATAGAGGCAAATTCAGGTACCATCAAAATTGTCAGTAGCCCCTTACATGGGATATAATTAGTATTACTGTTCTTTCAAAATCGAAAATGAAGATATATCATCTGAAAAATATAAATATATCTATTCTTACCCTGAAATATTTTGGGCTGCTCTGGTTAATATTGGGCAATTTTTACACTAACAAAAAACTGGTATAGTTTTGTATTGCTCCCACAGGACAGAAGTTTTCCTGAAATACAGAGCTGTAAAACTGTCTAATGTAGCTGCTTGTGCTTGGCTGTGGCCTTTGGTAGGTCCTGTACCTGGTCTGAGAGATTCTACAGAACCTTTACAACTTTGAATAGATTGCTACTTGCTCTACAAAATGTCTGAGTGCTTTTAGAGATAATTTCTTTGGATAAAAGGTAGTGAGGTGAACTACTTTCTCTAAGTAGCAGCAAGGTGTGTTGGCAAATAATTCCAATGGTAGAATGGTTAATATGAGTAAGCTTTCATCTTTTTTCCTTGCCCTTTATCATTTCTACTTGATTCTTACCTTGCTCTTCCCAAATAAACAATAAAGCTTCTGCACTGTCTGAGACCCAGTAGTATGTTCCAGGAGCATATTAATGTATTTCAATAAAGTTTTACTTTAGTTTCGAGCATATGAAGTACTTTTTGATGCAAATGGATTAAAGACTTACTGTTTTTTGAGATTGAGACAAAAAGGAAGGGCTCACCCCATGTGTCACAGGAGGTCAGAGGACTGTTTTCCGTAGGTATGCGATTCCTAGGAATTAATGTCTAGAGCTCTAACATCCCACCCCACACCTATGGAAAACAACTTCTTCTGTGATTTTGTAAAGTTTAAGTGCAATTTCAAGTGCAGGTTTTAATGAAGTTCTCAGTACAAGGTAACAGGAAATGCAAAGTGAGTTGAAAAAGTATATTAAATTTGTATAAAATGCATGATGGAAAAAACCCATAGAAAACTGATCTTTCTCTGAATATCTGCCTAAGGTCTAGAATAATCTTTTCATATATTTGAGTCAGAAGATGCTTTCAAAAATTGATAAACTTAATTTTAATGATTTCCGAGCTCTTAAAATTCCTTTAAAAATGTATACACTGCATTTATTCAATATTGTGTGGAAAGTACCTTGCTACAAAAGTACCTTTAGTCCACTGTCAATCTGTTTTTCCTCCCTTAAAATCTCAGTGTCAATGGTCCTTATATTTGTAATTCAAGTGTCAGAGGTGTTTGAACCAGAGCGACTCCATCTTGAATAGAGGCTGGGTAAAATAAGGCTGAGACCTACTGGGCTGCATTCCCAGGAGGTTAGGCATTCCAAGTCACAGGAAGAGATAGGAGGTTGGCACAAGGTACAGGTCACGAAGATCTTACTGATAAAAGGATGTGGTAAAGAAGCCGGCCAAACCCCACTAAAACCAAGATGGCAATGAAAGTTACCTCTGGTTGTCCTCACTACTCATTATACACTAATTATATTGCATTAGCATGCTAAAAAACATTCCCACCAGTACCACGACAGTTTACAAATGCCATGGCAATGTCAGGAAGTTGCCCTATGCGGTCTTAAAAGGGGAAGAACCCTCAGTTCTGGGAATTGCCCACTCCTTTCCCAGAAAACCCATGAATAATCCACCCCTTGTTTAGCATATAATCAAGAAATAACCACAAAAATAGCCAACCAGCAGCCCTTGGGGCTACGCTGCCTATGGAGTAGCCATTCTTTATTCCTTTGCTTTCTTAATAAACTTGCTTTTCAGGGAGAAGAAAAGGACCAATCAGTTAGGTAAACAGCTAAGACTAGTCCTCGGAGAAGCAGGCTGCCTGAAAAATCATAGCTACAGGCAAAAATGGAGCAGCCTGGAGAAAACTCAGACTATAACTGCTGCACTGTTAGAAAGTAAGGCCCAGCATAGAAGCCTTTTGTTCACTGTGTGATTAGTGGGCTCCCAGGAAAAAGTTTCCTCCTTTTTTCTGCTCCGTGGGAACTTGCAGGGAGGAAAGTGGCTTACTTAAAACAAACCCACAATTATACAACAAGAGAAGCTATGCTTTGTGCTCGCCTAGAGACACCCCATAGCTGCATAGATAGAGGCAGTTGTACAGACAGCTTTTCAGATAAGAGAAGTTACTCAAATAGCTGCAGAGATGAGAGGAGTTTCTTATAAAAGCTTTTGGATTCAGCTGTAAAAACAGCAACCCACTTGGGCTCCCGTCTCTGCTGCAGAGAGCTTTCCTCTTTTGCTTATTAAACTTTTGCTCCAACCTCACCCTTTGTGTCCATGCTCCTTAATTTTCTTGGTTGTGAGACAACGAGCTCGGATAACACCTTAGACAATGAGACCATTGATCCTGACCCATTTCACTTTCACTTTACTCCTGAATTCTTTCTTGCATGAGGTCCAAGAACCCTCTTTTGGGGTCTGGATCAGACCCCTTTCGAGTAACAGAAGCGCTTAGAACACAGTAATATTGTTTGCATTAAATTGAACTTGACTCATCTGTCTACTGCTTTAAGAATGGTATTTGATATGGGTGATATTGCATAACAAAAGGTTGAACATTTGCCACACACTGCAGCTCACAAAGCTATCCACATTTGGTTTTGTTTCTGGAGCAGTTTGTAATGTACACAATTCCTTGTACTTTTTATATTTTTGAAGACAGTGAAGAACACTGACTATGGGTTGAAATTATTTGTAATTAAATGGATTAAATGGCTCTTAAATGGATGCCCCAGAGTTGGACTCATTAATTTACTTTTGCCTTAGACCTTACTTGCAGTGGTCTTAAATACAATCTGCATGCCCTGTTCTATGACTATGTATCCTGAACCATATCAAACTGGGGGAAACACAGTGGTTAGAGTTGCAGTGGCCCAGGCATTTATGAACTTTCATGTTCTCACTCTTCTGAAACCAAGCAATAGGCCTGTGAGTAAAGACTTATGTTGAGAATCCAGGCAAGAATCTTGATGTTTCTACAAGGGCAGTAGGGATTCCTTGAGAAACCAATTTTCTGCTGGTGGATATTTCTATGAAGAGGATAATATTTCTTCCAGCAACAGATTTTTTGGTTCTGATTGACCTCAAGAATTGTACAAACACAACTTGTGTGTGTGTGGCCAGTTAAGAAGCTGAAAAACTTAAGCTACCATGTCCTATTCTTAGGTTGCTTTGGCTAGAACCCTCTAGAATTTGTAAAACCACAACGGATAGTATCAGCTTCTGCAGTATTCATGGCGTAAGCTGGAGAAATTTCTAGTGCCATCTTATCTTGGTAATTGCCAGTAGATGGAGAATATGTCTGTATAAAACTGATTATCTTTATTATATGAGAGATGCAGTACGCATCTTATCATTTCCACATATTTAGATAAAACATTTAATTGAAGCATTACCAAAAAGATCTTGTTTTTAGCTTTTAAACGTATAAATAGACTTGACTTAAGTAAAGATTTTGAATGCTTTGGGGACTTTTTGATAAATGTGGTCGGAATCTTTGCAGAGGTGTTTTCTTTGTATCTTACATTTCATATCTATGTTTCTGAATTTCAACTTTTGCCTGGATCCTGAGATGTAAAGGGCATGCTGTGACAATGTGGGAAACAGAATTTGTTAGCATCTTTTGGGTAATATTAAATGAGCTAAGTGAGACTTATTCAATAATAACATTTGCAAGTGAATGGTTATCAGTTTTATCAACACAGTCATATTATTGAAGGGAATGAATGCTCTCTTACCTACTCATAGCCGTGTCTTAGAAGAGGTTATTTTAAAACTTCAACTGTCTATTTCAATGTTGAGAAGTGTTTCAAATGGCCACATTAGGAGTTCTCCGTCTGACAGCCCTGTTGGGATAGGATAGCAGGGTCCTAGAGACTCACCAGTGCTCCAGCGAGTCTCTTTCCTCTTCTTTCCTTTCTAATGATTGGCAAGGAAAGAGGGATGAAGGAGCAAAATAACAGTGGAGACTGAAGGAGAAAAACCACTAACTACTTGGAACACAATAAGCTAGAATTTCCACAGCAAGTGATCAGGTAAAGAAACAAAGCTTCCGCCCCATAGCTACAGTCTGCATTTCTGGGATACCAACCTGGGAAGAAATCTCATCCTTAGGCAAGGGTGAAATTAGAAGGAAGAAAAAAGCAGAATATTCCATTTTCTTTATCTTCAGATTTTATCAGAAACCTTAGCCCATCCAGTTGAGTCAGGGTTGTAATGTCTCTCCTTGCCTTGGAATTGGAAGGTGGTTCTAGCAAATTTACGTTAAAAAATGGTTTTGAATGAAAAACGTTGACAATGACCTTATTTATTATTTACTTTAGAATGTCTTATTTTAAAAATAACTCCCTTTATTGTGTATTCTGTGTAGAGTCTCAAAGATGACATGGAAGAAACTTGTTCACACACATGACATTTGTGGAAAAAGATAGATCAGGTCCTACTTGAAGACAAAGTTGCTCTCAACATGCCAGATAATTCGTACTAGGAGCTGGTATTAAGCAGAAACAATGATTGCTGAGAAACAGCCTGATGAGCAAAAGCAATACTATGTCATCTCTTGGGAGAAACCATCCTAGCCCATGAAAAGCATGGATTTTCCTCCTCAGTTATTTACATACAAATATTACATTGTGTTCTGTTTGAATTATCCATTTTACTTTTGGAAGCTCTAGTAGTGTATATATGTAAATATATACACCCTAGTACACTTATTTAACATTCTAAATCTTTTTAAGGTCCTAGTTTTAGTTACTTTTGTCAGAAAATATAAAAAATTAAACATAATGTATGTCTATTATGGAACATAATATTTGAGAAATGGAGATTATTACAAGCAAACATGAAACTTCATCAGAAGGAAACACTAAAAAACTTATTTTGGCTTTTGTTTTTTCCCATCTACTGGATACGTGGGTTGAGTCCACATAACTATAGCCAATAGATCTGAGAGTAAATTCAGTTATTCTGATCCATGATAGCTGTTTTCTAGAAACATTGCTTTTGTATATCTGGCACATATTTGTGCCTTGTCAGATTGATGAAAAAATACAAATTTTACAATGGAGTCTACAATTTTACAATTGTAGGCTCAGGAATACTCAGAAGTCAGCAGCCTAGTTTTTTACTTGTATCATCATAGATAACTACAAGGTATTTGATTCTTTTAATCAATGCTGACAAAAGTTCAAAATGGAGAGCTTCTAGGCATGGGCCATCTGACTTGGCTGTCTACCTAGATCAAGTAAAATGGTTGATTGCCAAATCTCTACTGTGTTTCACAACAAAGAAAATCAGTTAAAGCGGAGAATTGTCTTAAAGAAACTACTTAGAAGATCGACACTTTACAAAGGAAATCTTGACATTTAGCAGAGATCAAAAAGACCAAAATATTGGTGATGACATTATATAAACACAATCTTCAGGAAAATATTTTTGGGCCATTGTTAATATTTCACATCCAAGTAACTACACAGGATTGAAAAATAGATGACACACTTTTCTGTATGGTCATATGAGTCTGTCTTGAGATTATGTTTATTGGATTTATTGTTTAAAAAAAGTTTAAACTGTTCTGGCAATCAACAAAAACATCTGTCATTTTATCACACTGATTCAAAAGGCATAAGGATTCTGAGCTGAGTTAAAAAAAGAAAATAATATGTGGGGAGCCTGCAGTATGGAGAAACCAGTGAGAAATAAAGAGTACATTTTAATGCTTGACTTCCTGCATGGATGAAGTGATGAGCTCATTGACTATTACCTTTTGTGAACACTTAAATAGGAGCAAGAAAATTGCACATTTAAAACTGAGGAACAAACCACTGAAAGCCTAAGAATGAAAAATCCCCCATGATGACTCTTTGGAAGTATTTGCAGTGCATGAGAATCAACCTTTCTACAGCTGACACATGACTGTGTTTCAGATTACCTTTCATGCTAATCTCTTCCCTTGCAATTATGGAGCTAGATGAAAGAGATGTTATTTTTTTAAACAATACAAAACCAAGAAATGGAGGTGAAAATGATGCCTTAGCCAGATGCTAATTTTAAGGTGAAGTTAAAAGTCTAAAATAGAATAATGGATTCATTCCCTTGCAAAACACTAAAAAGACTCGGACCTTCCATTCAAGGTGCTTTGATCAGAGGTAGCATTTACTTTATGTGTTACTACGGTGAACTTAACAAAAGATGGTTCTTCTTTGTTGAGGTCATAAATATTTGCTTGAAAATAAAATCTTACAGACAGAAGGGTCACCTTTTATGATGACTTCAATTCACATACCACGATGGGTTTTGGTTCCACTGGGTGTCTTGCACAAACTGGACTCCTCGGTGTGGTATATTCCTTTCCTTCCAAATGCTCCACTTACTTTTGGCTGTCCCTCTAATGTGCAGAGCAGAGTGGCCAGAGAGGAAAGAGGTTGGATGACCTAAAAGCAGGCACTTTCCTAGAGAATTAGAGCCTCCTACACATTCTTGAAGCAACCTGCTTCCACATACATGGTGGCTTCTAAGCTTGGTGAAGGTCGGAATGGCATGAGACCCTGTTAGGGCAACGGAGCAGTTTCTGCTTCCAGATTTTCTAGCTGAAAGGAGAGAAAGAGCAAAGACAGTGAACATTTCAGATACGGTTGCAACACACATTTGTTGAGCATCTTCTGCTCGTAAGAACTGCATTGAAGACCTTCATGTATACTTTCACCTGCAAGCCTCAGTTTTTCTTAAATGTCAAGACATTAATCAATCTCTTCAGACATTATGAATAATCTTCTGGCTCATTATGAATATGCTCTTCATTTGTGTATGCTACTGAAAAGAACTGTATACTAGTCATTATAGAGAGATTATTGATAATTTCCTTGAAAAAATACATTTTAATTGAAACTCTTTCTCCCCCTTTTTTTACCCTCTTCCTCCCTCTTTAGCCTCAAATCATTTATGACTTGATCAAAATTTTGAAAGAAAAACGATGTTTTTTTCAGTACTTCTGATCTTATTTATTTCCAGATAAAGAGATTTCTATTTTTACCCAATTCTCAAAATTAATGATTTTTTTCCTGTAACTGATTTGAAGTATACACCCTACCTGATCCCCACTGTAAAGCTGGCATATGTGTTGAACAATAACATTTGCTCAGACACATGGAAATGTGGCCTGCTATTTTCAGGTAAGAAAAGAGGACTGTGGAAACAGAATAAGTTTTGTAATTAACAAATAATTGTTGCTATCATTCATTATAATACTGCTAAGGAGAAAAGGAGATGTTTGTATAGGAAGCGTAAAAGGGTAAAAGATCATTTTTTTAAAATTTTATTTTAGTAAATGTGCTTTATCCATGTGCTTTGCCATCTGCTTTTTCTCTCTTTTTTTCTCTCTCATACACACACACACACACACACACACACACACCATCTTTTTAAGCCATTTGATGCTTTACCCTTAAATATCTCAGTACATTTTTTCTAAGAATAAAGAACAGATTAGGTCATTCTCACTTTAGGGAGAGGCAGTCCATCATGGCCAGGAGTGTCCCTGCACACCCTTGCTGACCCTGACAAATTACAAGGTCTAACTGTCCTCTGACTCTGATCATTTCTGTAGCTGGTCACACAGGCAATTAAGAAAGCACAGGCGAGCACAGCACTGACCATGATGTGGCTGCTTGATCGTAGGGGAGGTTTGTTTATTGCTCCCCCAGGTGCTGAGACTTAAGCTCTGGGTTCCTCAACTGTGATACGACCCACTGTGTGTGTACTGCAGTCTGGTCCCATCGTATTGCCTTGTGGGATTTGGGAGTAGGGGAACTGGCACTATTATGCTAAAGCTTCTGCTGTTTGCTGTGCTGTGAGTAGTCAATTGCCTGGGTCTTTTGTCTAATTTTGGCACCTATAGAGTTGTGGCAAAGCAACCTACTTGCTTGCTTAGTCATCTCTTTTGGAATTCTATTACTTCTTGCCATCTTCTAAGAGGTTGAAATTCTTCTCAAAGTGGCACAAAGTGCAGGGTGCCAAGACAGACAACAACTTTTTGGAAGAATAAAAAGGCAAGAACTCATAAGCTGGATTCAGGGACATTTGTGAACTCCCTGGGTCTGGTAGCAAATATTCTGGCCCAAATGGTGCAGAAGGTGGGCAGCGAGTGGTCCACCTCTGTCCTACCTGTTGATGAACAAGAGTTGAGTCAATAGATGGAGGTTGAAAGGTGAGGGATAAAATCCAAGAAGCTGCCATGGTTTCTGTTTGCTCATCTGTGGGGTGGAGGATGGAGAGAACATTCTGGGTTCCATTAGGGAGGAAAGCACAACGGTGTCAAGTTGTAAGTTACAAATGTATACACCTGAAGGGCAATGCATTCCCACAGAGAGTACCAAGATGCAGATCCAAGGGGAGAGAGAAAGGAAAGAAGTCCAGGGGTGCTTGGATCAGCAGACAGAGGGGCTGTTCGACACTTGGCTGCTGCATTGGTGTAATGAAGGAGTAAGAAAGGTTATGCCTTAGAGCATGCAGAACCAAGGCTGTCTCATGTGGGACCTTATACTTTAAAACACTGTGCAAATTATGTCATTGAGATAGAATCATGTCCCACAATAAGGTTTGCTACCCTGGATTTCTGTTTTAGTGACTACATTATGGTAAATCCAAGAAGATTTTTCTTTTCTTTTCTTTTCTTTTTTTTTTTTTTTTGAGGCAGAGTCTCGTTCTGTCACCCAGGCTAGAGTGCAGTGGCATGATGTTGCCTGACTGCAACCTCCACCTCCCAGATTCAAGCAATTCTTATGCCTCAGCCTCCTGAGTAGCTGGAATTACAAGCATGTGCCACCACGCCCAGCTAATTTTTGTACTTTTAGTAGAGATGGGGTTTCCCATGTTGGCCAGGCTGGTCTGGAGCTCTTGACCTCAAGTGATCTACTTGCCTCGGCCTTCAAAATGGTGGGATTACAGGCATGAGGCACCACGCCCAACTGAAGAAGATTTTCTTAAGTCAATAAAATCTCATGAAACCCCATGGAGGAAGCTATTTAAAGCCTGAGGGCTGAAGCTGCCCTAGACTTGTTCTGTCCTGGACAGAATGACAGCTTTGATGATGAACCCTCACCCAGAGCACGACCAGTGCATTTTTAAGATTGAGTTTCTCCCTCCAAGGTTGAGGATTCCACTACTTTTCTTGCCGGGAGATCCTGTACTGGCAGCTGTGCTGATTTAGGGCCTCTAGATGTCTAGGATAAAGACACCACTCCCTAAACCAGGTAAGGTCTCTGCAATCCAAAACAAAGCCCAGG
This sequence comes from Homo sapiens, assembly GCF_000001405.40. Lineage (NCBI taxonomy): Eukaryota > Metazoa > Chordata > Mammalia > Primates > Hominidae > Homo > Homo sapiens. Next base: position 154,115,988 of record NC_000006.12, on the reverse strand, counting down.
ATGAGAAAAACCAAGCCCCTCCAAAGGGACCTGATCATAAGGCAATGTGGGCATGCCTACTAAACAGGAGCTCCCAAAGAAGGGAATGATCGGATGATCGCCAAAGAAACTCAGTCCAGATATCTAGCGACGGTGGGCCCTAGGGAGGCAGTTAGTTGTTTACACAGATGAAACTCTATGTTCCTTTATAGAAACAGATTCCTTTGTGGAGATCAATCCTCCTTTAATGGAGGGGGAAGCCAGGTTGCTGCCCCAGGGCAGATCACCCCCTCAGAACCTCTACTGTCTAACTTTAAACTTCTATATCCTGATTTAGACTCCTTTAAGGACAAGCTCTCTTCATTCCCAAGAGGAATCAGAGGCATTACACCTGATGGGGGGAACAATGGAGGTAGAGGAGAGAAGGAAGGGTCCAACTCTTATTCTCTCTCTCTCTCTTTTTTTCTTTTGAGGCAGAGCCTCACTCTGTCACCCAGGCTGGAGTGCAGTGGTATAATCTCTGCTCACTGCAACCTCCACCTCCCAGGCTCAAGCAATTCTCCCACCTCAGTCTCCCGAGTAGCTGGGACCACAGACATGCACCACCACACCTGGCTAATTTTTGTATTTTTGGTAGAGACGGGGTTTCACGATGTTGCCCAGGCTGGTCTCGAACTCCTGAGCTCAAGCGATCTACCCACCTCAGCCTCCCAAAGTGCTAGGATTACAAGCTTGAGCCACTGCGCCGCCTTATGTCTCTTTTTGATATCCATGCTCAAATGACTAAGTACTAGGTTCTCCTGAGGGACTGCACTAGGTTCTCCGAGGTCCTTCTCTTGTAAGGACCACACATTTAATTACCCAGATTTGATACCAAAAAAATAGGAAAGGAAGTAACTGTATCCACTAGGCAGAGCTGTTTAGAGCCCTGTTATCTACTACTTTTGCGGCTCCCAGGGCTGAATGTGTAATTGGTATTGATAATTTACATTCTTGTTCTGTAAATGTTCATGATGTACAAGAGAGATTTTTTTGATTGGAAGAGCCATTTGTAGAGAGGGATAGAAGGATGCATGCACAACTGATCACAACTTGGCTTTGGTTCTCTTCAAGTTTTTTGTTTTTTTTTTTTTAATTAGAATTCCAGAAGGAGAAAATGAAACCACAACCTTGACCAAGGACTTAAATACAATGGGACTAATGAAAAATGTAATATCTCAATGTAGCAGCCTTGTATGGTCAGTGAAAAAAAAAACTAATGGGAATCTGGAGGCTTGTGTTAGATCATGCCAACTGAATTTAGTTGGTATTATAGTCCTGGCTGTTACAGACATTGTGACTGTAAATGAATCAATTCCCTGTGATAGCACCTGGTGTGCCATTTTTGATTTTGGCCATGTATTTTTCTCAATCCCTTTTGCACCCAAAGATTAAGACCCCTTCCCTGGCTGACCCTCCAAAACATGTTTACTGGGCTGTTGCAGTACTACGTGAATTTCCCTGTTATTTATCGCCAATAGGTGGGTCAAAACACAGGACAAGCCTCTCTCTCTTTCTCTTTCTCTCTTTTTTTTTTCTGCAGAGAAATTGGGCTTACTGTATTGATGATATTCTATTGAAAGGCCTTAATAAAATTAGCCAATGCTAAATCACATGAAGTCCCAGAAAGGCTCTTAATTCTGATAAGATACAGGACCAGCCACCCAAGTCAGTATCTCCAAAATGATGTGGACTAAGACTCAAAAGTTGATCCTAGACGGTAAAGAAAATATTCTTTGCTCTATGGCTCTCCTAAGAGAAAGGAAGCCTGGCACTTAATTGGACTATTTAGATCTTAGAGACAATACGTGCCTTATCTATGCATGCCTCTTGTTGAGTCCTATGTACAAGTTGATTAGAAAGTCTGCCATATATGACTGGGGACCTAAGCTGCAGGTGACACGTGGGTCAGTGTAGCAGGCTGTTGCAGCAGACCACCTAGGGGGCCCTTTTCAACTCCAGGCTTCTGGAAAGGGAAACAGTCTCCACCTGGAGGTACCCCTTGGCATCCTGGACTCACTGCTTCCCTGGCACCACTCGCCACTTCATTGGGGAAAGAACACCTTAGACCCTGGAGGTGCTCAGAGGAGGGAATAATGAATGATCTTTTTGTCTCTGAATCCCAGCCTCTCACTTGGCAAAATAATCACATGGTCCATCAGAGACAAGCAGCAGCTCTGATTGCCAACCCGTAACACTGCTGGATTTATCAGCTGGATTTATCATCCTCATCCGTGTGCTGTGGGATCAGAAAATCTCCTGTTGGCCTGCTTGGTCCAGAATTATTCTACTGTGCCTGGTGTATCAAAGTCAGCTCCCCAAAATTAATCACCCTTTTTACCTGCACAATCACTCAGACAGCTCATACTGATTCATGTGCTTCTCCTGACACTGAGTGCCCTTGAGTCATGCTATGGAGGGCTGTCCAGGTGACAAGTACTTGGCGACCCTGCCCATAGAGCTTAACCAAACCAAGGTCATGGTGATCCAAATCAAGTTATATGTTCATATGTGGGAGAGAGTGGCCCAGAGGATATCCATCCACTGGAGCATGTGGAGGTTGCTATTTGGTTCATCTTTGAGTCCTTGCAATAATTGGCAATGGCGCCACTCTTTGGATTTTATTTCCTTTGTTAGTCCCCTAGGTAAAGAGGGCTGTCCTGCCTGAGGGATACATGGTTTTCTATTTCCATACAGCAGTGTGAGTACTGTTCCCCAGCATCAGAGTCCACATTTTAGAGACAGGCCAGGAACCTATTCTTAAGTTTAGCTACCCTAGCCAATGAGACAGAACAAACCATAGAAGATCAGCAGGTCAGTCTTAGCTCCCTGATTGTAAATGGGTCATTGATTGGCCTTAGACTACAGTCTGGCTGAATGGAGGAGAATTTGTATGGTAGCCAACTGTTCCTGTTTTGTTTGGATTAATATCCACGGTATGGTGGAGCAATCCATGCATACCATAAGAAAGGAAGCTAGGTGCTTATCTGAAATTTGACCTATTAGTCTTCTCTGTGACTTATTTAATTGGGTCGGGGATCCTGGAGTGCATGGTGGAGGTCAATACTGCAGACTGACCTAATCCTGTGGATGGGATTCTGCTGACAATAGCCCTAATCTAGTATTGACTGAAATAAGTGGAAACAGATTTGGTCCTAGTCCTTGTCAATATGTCTAATTCAAGTTGCTGATAGGGTGGCATAATCGTATAAAAATTTAAGTTCAGCCAAGAATATTCTAGGTTGAATGTGAATTATTGGGAGAGGCAGTCCACTGAACAACCCTGCCCATTCTTACTGACTGAGCTGAACTGCAAGATCTAATCATCTTCTCACCCTGATTTCTTTCTACAGCTAGTCATAGTCAATTAACAACCTTCACTGCCTGACCACATGAGGACCACGGCATTTTGAGACTCTGGCTCCTGGGGAAGGAGGATTGATTTGTTTACTGCTTGCTACAAAAGACACTGAACCCATATCTCTGAACTCCTCAGCTGCTGTGCAACTCATTGTATGTGTAGCAGCAATTTGGGTTCATGGTGTCACATCACAAGACATAAAGGCAAAGGAACTGGCATTAGCATGCTGATACTTGTGCTGTTTACTGTGCTGTGAGTAATAAGTGGTTTTCTCTGGTCCACTGAGTCATGCTATTTCTAGCACCCATAAAATTGTGAAAAGCCAAGCTACTTGCTTGCTAAGATATCTCCTTTGCAGTTTTGGAACTTCCTACCATTTTCTAAAGCTGGGTTTCTTTTCTGATGATAACCACAGTACAGTTAGTAGATTTGACATTTGACATTAGATACCATACTTAGACACATATGTTAGATACATAGATGTAACACAACTCTCTGCTGTCGGTTTTCTATTTTTGTCAACAATTTTTTAAACTATAGTTTTTGGCCAGGCGCGGTGGCTCCAGCCTGTAATGCCAGCACTTTGGGAGGCCGAGGCGGGCGGATCACAAGGTCAGGAGATCGAGACCATCCTGGCTAACACAGTGAAACCCCGTTTCTACTAAAAATACAAAAAATTAGCTGGGCGTGGTGGCAGGTGCCTGTAGTCCCAGCTACTCAGGAAGCTGAGGCAGGAGAATGGCATGAACTCGGGAGGCGGAGCTTGCAGTGAGCCGAGATGGCACCACTGCACTCCAGCTGGGCGACAGAGCGAGACTCGGTCTCAAAATAAATAAATAAATAAATAAATAAATAAAAATAAACTATAGTTTTTCCAGGAAGTCAACTAGCAAATACCCTTGGGCTATTTTTGGTCCTGTTTAAAAAAATTAAATGTTTGAAAAGCTTTTAAGGTTCAAATGGAAGCTGATTTAAGGCACTTTTAATCTTTATCCACGCAAAGGTTGGTGTGTATTTCCTGCACTTTTGGAACTAAAGAAAATTGAAGAGATTGTCTTTTCAACCTTGTCAATCTATGGAAGCAAACATAACCTTGAGAGGTGAAGTGGTGTGCCCAGGTGCATTGGAGGAGGAAAGTTGGTTTAATATTTTTATTTTGTGGCCACTCTCCTCCACCTCAATTTTTTTCTTTTCTCTTTGTGATGCCATTCAAAGTTACAATTGAAGGCAATAACAGGCTTGGGTACTTTTGAAGCCAATCAGAGTTTGAGCCAGAAATAGGCTTCAAAATCTCATTTATTACAGAAATCATAAAAACAGAGCCATACAGAAAACCTTGGGAGCTGATGACTCATAGGCAAAGATCTCCATGTACCTAAATAATAATAATAGGAAACTCATCCCCTCTTCCAAGCTCCATTGCCTGAATCAGACATATGGAATCTATAGTACAAGGGCTCCGACTTCAGCAAAGAAGAATTCAAGGAGAGGTAGAATAATCTGGTAGTTCAAAAGATCCAGACTTGATCTGCCATATGCTTTCTTCTGCTGTGAATATGGACTTATTTTGTCCAATATAATACATCTTTCTTTCACAAGAGAAAGCGTTGGTCATTACATTTATTGTCCACTAACAGAAGCTGGCCCTGGAGTCTGAATGGTGTAATCAGTCAAACCCAGAAATGAGTCCTAATTCTCTCTTTTTTTTTTTTTTTTTTTTTTTGAGACGGAGTCTCGCTTTGTCGCCCAGGCTGGAGTGCAGTGGCGCGATCTCTGCTCACTGCAAGCTCCGCCTCACGGGTTCACGCCATTCTCCTGCCTCAGCCTCCCGAGTAGCTGGGACTACAGGTGCCCGCCACCACGCCTGCTAAGTTTTTGAATTTTTAGTAGAGATGGGGTTTCACCATGTTAGCCAGGATGATCTCGATTTCCTGACCTCGTGATCCACCCACTTCGGTCTCCCAAAGTGCTGGGATTACAGGCTTGAGCCACCGTGCCCGGCCAATGAGTCCTAATTCTTGAGCAGTCAAAAGAGCTCGGAAACTCCTGCTTGTGAAGGGATCCCTTAAGCAACCATAAGCAACCCTTAAGCCATGGGATGAAAAACTCACACAAATGGTCTCCATTAGGGCTAGCAGCAGAACCCAGGCTCTCTGGCTTCCAATCTTATATTCTTTCACGGGAAAATATTGTAATTATTAGCCCTTGGTATGCTCACAGTTGAGTAAAGATGACTTTTGAAATAAATCTATTTTCTGCAAAGATATTTCATTCAAAAACAGAACAATGTACCAATTATAATGCTTATTCTTAGCAATGTATAGTTTAATTCAATGATTTATACCCCAAAGGTACATAGATTTTTTTCTTGTAATATCACCAGAAAACAAAGTAAAACAAAAGTGAAAACCCAAATAAAACAAAAGGGAAAACCCTGCTCTATTTTCAGAGATAGGAAATTTTAATGTCTTTTTGTATACTGAAGTATTTAGAGCATATATTTTAAATGAGTAAGAATAAGAGTTCAACAATCAATTTTAGGATTCTGATTAATGCCTAGAATTATGAGACCTTGCCAATTATTCCAGTGAAACATTGAATTTTGAATAGATTCATGCCTAACTGGGACTGATGATCTACAGTGGCTTTTAAACATTGCTTAGTGAAACCTTTATTCTGTGAGATGTTATAAGGTGTCCCTTGAAAAACTGGGCCTGAGCTCAGATGAACTGGAGAACTGAACTTTGGCTTAGAAAATGAAATGTGTATGTATGCAACACACACACACACACACACACACACACACACACACACACAGAGAGAGAGAGAGAGAGAGAGAGAGGGAGAGAGAGTAGGGCTTTTCACAGCCTTTTAAATGCTTATACATATTATCAGTCCCCATGACCAAAATAAGGTAGGCCACATTTCCTAACACTTGTCTATAGAGCTTCTCATTCACGGACCACCATTAGCATTTCACTTTAGTAGTGTTCTACAAGAAGCTGGTAGAGCGTGTGAAAACTGAAAACCTTATTCAAAGGGTCATTCCCTCTGATTCCCTAATCATCAAATCTTAACATCTGAATTATCTCAGTGTCCTTTTCATGTAGGCAAAATGCTGATGTTTGAATATTAGACTTCCAGTAACAAGAAAATCTCTATAACTCACAGCTTAGAAAATTCTAAACTCATCAAGTTGTATACATTAAATACATACATCTTTTTGTAAGTCAATCATGTCTCAAGAAAGTGGCTTACATTTTATTTTTTTTGTTTGGTTGTACTGGAATAGCTTTCTCTGTAACCTCTACCCATTGGCTTTAATAAGTCGGGCTATGTTGGTTGAGTCCAATTCCCTATTCACATTGCTTTAAGCATATGAAGAAACTGTGTTGTCCTTTCTAAGCCTTCTATTTCCCAGGGTAATCATGAGCAATTATTTTAATTCCCTCTGCCATCTTGGTTATTCATCTCTGAACACAATCTAATTTGCTTATTTCGTTCCTGAAGTGTATTGTCTATTAGAGTGAGGCTAACATTTCTTTGGTTCTAGACACTAGAATTCTCTTGATGTGACCTATAATTCCAACAGGTTAGATGGCTTTTATCATCATATTGCTGGTCCATGAAATAAAATCCCCATGACTTATTTCTTATGTGCTACCTCTCACATTCTATGTTTCTATAGTTGGATTTTTGGACTAAAATTTTTCTCTAGTAACTACTGTATTTTTAATTTTAGAGAACACTTCTAGTATGCTTGGTTTTTTATCTTATCACCGAGGTTATCAAGCATTCCTCCATGGATTGCAACTGTTAAGATGGGAGTCAATTAAAAGTTTATAAAGCGGGGTTAGAGGCCCTACTTAGGATGGTTAGAGTCTCTTCTAAGATTTAGGGTGTTAGAGACCCCTCTCGTTAAAGTCCCTCTTGGCTAAGAACAGCTTTGATGCTATGGGATATTAATTGCTATTCTCTTTGGATTAATCTGTCTTGCACTCTTTGCTGATGGCTGTGGATGGCAGGGTTGGACATGTACAGGATCGCGGGACATGGGGAGCTTTTTCCTCCCTAAAAGGGGAAACTTGAGAGCTAATAGGATTGCTGGAAAAGATCCTTTTGCTACCGAGAAGCAGCTGCCTGAACTTCTACAGTGTTGCTGCAATAGGTGAGTCTTTCTCTGGCCTCCTTGATCATTTCACCTTCCCCACCCTTCCACTGGCACGTTTTTCTCTCTCTCCTTTTCCTTTCCTATCTTTTCTGTTACTCAGGGCAACTGTTTTGCCCAGAGAGCACGTGTTGAAACTGCAAGTCAGAGGTCGGATTAAAGATGATGGAACCCATCTGGGGGCAAATTTAAGCTAGTCTGATATTTGGTGCTAAGCAGAGTAGCTAATGCCTATGTTTTATCACATGTGTTTTGCTCTGGCCAGAATGAAAAAAAAAAATTTCCTTTATGATGCAGCTTGGCCCGTAGGCGATGGTGCCGCAAGCCGGATCACTAGGGCCGCTCAGGGAAAGGGAACCCAGAAGCCTGGCATGCTGGCAAAAGGGTAACAATTTCTTACCAGTCAGATTTCTGTCTTCTTTCTCTCTGTGCAAACGGTTGAATGAATGGCAATAAAATAAAATAAAATAAAATAAAATAAAATAAAAAAATCAGTGTTTATCTCCTCTGTAAAGTTTTGATTAATGTGAAAAATAATTCAAAGGCTATTTTTAAGCTGGTGTATTTTGTGTTATGAGGTCGTTTTTCTGTGTTGAGGGATACTTCAGGATAAAACACGGGCTTGGAACACCTGTAAGCCCCCTTTTCAAGACGACCCGGCAAGTTGGTCAGCAACAAACTTGGCTGGAGGTCCCTGAAACCAACAAAAAAACTGGATGAAGTCTCTCCACCTTGGGAGCTTGACCTTTTAACCACACGGCAGTACCTTCTCTTGGTCTCCACCTTCAAGGGAACAGGAATTTTAGGGTTCATGTCATAGTCAGCTCTAAAAATCATATGAAATAGTTACAAGCCTTTGCAAACTCAAAATTAATGCTCTAGACTCTTCCTGGGAAGGGAAATGGAGACTGCCCTGCATTGTAGCTCAGTGGCCAAGGCTTTGCATTTTCACAGTGACAGTCCAGGTTCAATTCCACCTAGAAAGTAAGTCACTTCTGGTTTAATATCTGAGTGAAGACGTCTATTCTCTTCTCCTCTGCGGACTGTCTGAAATTTTCCTTTCTCTAAGCACCAAGGAGGTTGCCTTTGGTGAAGTTCAAAAGCCAGAAATACCGGCCTTTTGGCATAAGAAATTCTAAAAGAACTTTATTAAAGAGTGCTATGGTTAAAATCAGTTTAATTAAAAGCGGACATTCAAACTCTTAACAGTCTGGACTCCTTGGGAAAAACAGGAGGCACCAGAGACCCCTTTCCTGTCCCCATTCTTCCAAGGACTCCATCCTCAAGCCAGTCATCCAATTAAGAAACTGGCAAATGAAAATCTTACAAGTGCTGAATCTTCTGTCTGTCTCTATATTTATATGTGTTGTATGTTTATATGTAAAAGGGCTCTGATTAATTGGCTTAGAAATATAAGCCTTTAAATGAAGTATTTCAGCAGAAAAATAGAATATTTTATGCCTCTTTGTTCACATGACTTTAGTAATATTTTGGAAATAAAGACAGTTTTAAAGATTATTGGTAAAATAAAACATCTTAAAAATGTAGACATTTGGTCTAAATTAAGGTCAGATATCAGATTTGCTAAATGCTTTAAGGTCAAACTGTTTCTTTGACTTTTGAAAATTGTTCAATCTACCTACCCTAAAGCCATTAAATTCTAGATAAGGCCTGGGGATATGTGGAATTTACCATGCCCCCTAGCTATACAAAGAAGATTATAAAGAAAGAGATTTTATATAAAAAAGGATCCTGTATGGTAAATTCTTGTCCTAAAGTAAAATAACTGGTTGTTTAAAAGAAGGGAGGTTTAGGGCAAGTCAGAAAGTCCAAAAATGCCTCAGATATTCTGTGTGAGTGATGAAAGGATTTGTGAAAAGGAATTTATGCAAGAAATGTTGTGTAATTCAAAGGTTGTAAGGACTCCTAAATGCTTCATAAAATGCCACTATGACTCTTACCGTACAACTTGCCTGCTTTACTGCTAGGTAAGGTCTGGGGACATGCGGAGTTAGTCATGCCCTCAGCTGTGCTGGAGAGCCAGCTCTTATCTGCACTTCTGCCTGGAGTGTTCTGGGCCAGGCTTCACACCTAGCACACAACTAAAATCTCAAATTTACCAAGGTTTTCATCAAAAATAGAAGTTGCTAAGAGTTAACATTATCACATGTAATTAAAACTACTAAAGAAACAATCTTACATGCAAGGTGTGTAAAGAAAGTAAAATGTGTTTTTGGTGAAAAATTATAAGAAGTCATAAGAATGTGAATTTTTTCTGCTTAAAGTGTTAAAGGATTGTTTTAAGTAAGAAAAAAATCTAAAGATTTAAACAAGCTGTGGAAGGTTTATAAGGATTAATTGTAAGAGATTCTGTGTGTGAACATATTGGCTAAAAGGGGGTATTATTCCGTTTTTCCATAAATTAAACATTGGAATAAATCACAATAGCTTTTTCCTAGAGCACTGATCTGCTCTTACACAAAAAAATGTAAATGGTTATAAAAGGTTTATAAGAATCTTACCTTATGGTTAAACATTAAAATTGGGTAAATATGTCTATAAGGTTTTATTAAAACTTAGGTTTAGCATTAATAGTAAAAGGTGAAATTTGACTTATTTGGCATAAAAATCATAGAGGAAGTGTTATCAAATGTGAAATGATGTTTTGCTTGCTTTAGACTATATTTGCATAAATGTGTTACTGGTATATGTTCCAAAGTTATGGGAAACTCCTATAATTCTAATATGACTTAGTGTATGTTATTTATAACTGTTGTGTAAAATTCTGTGTGCCACAGAAGTAAGCAAATTTCCTTATCAATTGTGGCTTTAATAGTGGCTGTCCTAAAACTTTTTGTCATCCACAGAAAATTGTTGTCTTGTTTTAATCCTCTTTAGAAGATGATTTATAATCAACTATAGAACTCTAACAGGTGTTCTTAAATGCAAGTTTCTGATAACTTTGGAAATTGTAACATTAGAATAGAGGAAACAACTTTCAGAACTCATGAAGACATGGAATGTTCATGAATGTCAAGCAAAACAGGAGTTAACTAAATTCAGTAAACCAATAGAAAACTAATCTTTTAAACTTTGCTTAGAACATTGCTGATCCTTTGTTTTGTTTTTCAGAGTCAAGAAAACTTTTCTTTTAAGCTATTTACAGCTTTTAACAGTTGAGTGTACTCCTATGAACAAAATTTGGAGCATATTTATTTCTGTCTACCTGATTTCTACAGAATTTGGAAACTAGTTGTGAGTATTCTTAACTTATGGTAGTATAGTTATTTGCATAGGCATAATAAGAATCTGTTTTCTTTTGTAATACAACACAATTGGAGAAATTGTTTATCTTACCAAGGCTTTGACTGGAATGGTGTGTTTTCCTTTAAGGAATTAAACTTGACTTATAAAGCCAATAAAAGTCCCTTGGGGAACTGGCCTCATACCTTGCCTACACAGTCCCTGTTCAGGGTTTCTGACCTATGGTAAGTAAAGAACGTCATTTTCTGTCAGGTCCAGAAGACTGAAGTTACTTTGGGACCTCAAGAGGAAAGAAATTTACCCAACTTATAGGTATTTGAGGGTACAAACCCATGGCTGGGCTTGGCTTAAAAAGATCTTACCTGAAATTCCTTCTGTGGAACAGCATTCCATCAAAGCCAATTTAAAAAGAGCTTATGTGAAAAATAATTATTCTTGCTGCACTTTATACAAATAATCAGGTCATGTATAATAAAGCAAATCAGCCTTACCATGATTTGTCTTTAGTAAAAATGGGAAACTAGAGAGAGAAATATTATGTTTCAAAAACTATGGTACACTTGTTATTAAATTCTAGTCTCATTAGTTGTTTTTAAGCTTGTTTCTGCAATTTAGGCTAATCCTGCTTATTCCTGTAAACCAACCAGTGATGTCTGACTGCTGCTTAGAAGAAACAAGAGGGATGGGTAATGTAAAAATCTAAATGAGTATTCTAATTCTGGGCACATTACAATCAGCTAACAACCCCATATCAGCTTAGTTCCAACAGTTGTCCAGTTTATGAAAAGCATTCTAATTTAGTTTACTTGGAATAACTTCATTTGTTTTGCTTTACTCTTTTGGAATATATTCCTATTATATTCTTTGTGTAGGAATACAGGACAAGCTGACTGAATGTTTTCTTTAACTAAACATTTATTAATCTTCCAGATATCATCTGTTGTTGAAACTCAAGAGTCATGAATGGCCCTCGCCATACTGATGCTTTCTGACTGAGCTTCTCTCTACCCTAAACACAAGAGCCCCTAATAGCTAGGCAGGAATATTATTGCCCCTATTCAGCCTGAAGAAGTTACGGAAGATGGATCTTCATCTCTCTGCAACTCTTAGGATTAAGGGTTCTCTTACAAAAGGGAGGGGGGACATGTCAGAGGCATGTGAACCAGAACAACTCCATCTTGAATAAGAGCTGAGTAAAATGAGGCTGAAACCTATTGGGCTGCATTCCTAGACAGTGAAGGGATTCTAAGTCACAGGCTGAGATAAGAGGTCAGCACAAAATACAGGTCATAAAGACCTTGCTGATAAAACACGTTGCAGTAAAGGAGCCGGCCAAAACCCATGAAAACCAAAATGGCAACAAGAGTGACCCCTGGTTGTCCTCACTGCTACACTCCCACCAACACCATGACAATTTACAAATGCCATGGAAACATCAGGAAGTTACCCTGTATGGTCTAAAAAGGGGAGGCATGAATAATACACCCCTTGTTGAGCATATCATCAAGAAATAACTGTAAAAATGGGCCACCAGAAGCCCTCAGGGCTGCTCTATGGAGTAGCTATTCTTTTATTTCTTTACTTTCTTAATAAACTTGCTTTCACTTTGAAAAAAAAAGTTTATAAACCTACCTCATTGTACTATTACCTAGATCATAAACACAGTATAGTATTACAGAAATTAGTAAGAGCTTGTCAAATCTATTGTTAGAAACACAATTGGTATAGGGTTTACCTAATTTCCGGGTCCAGTAATGTTCTAAGAAAATAAAATTTATTTTGCCATAACTAATGATAACTTGCCTCTTAGAGGTTACTTGCTTTCTTTCTAAGTACTTTCAAAATACATTTTAATGATTTAATCCAGGTTCTAAAAACAATTTGTACAAAGCTAAATATTCTGTGGTTTTCAGTTGCTACAATATTCCCATTAAACTTGGGATTCTATTTCTTTACCCTCATTTTCCAGGAGTCCTTCCATTCTTATTTGCTTCAGAGATTATGATTTGTGTTTCATTGTAGTTTGTCCACAACTCCTCTTAATGTTTTAATATCGCCATGAGATTTGACCTCATTCAGAGCCTCCTGGGGTTCTCTAACAATATCTTCATCTTTATTGGCCTTTAATTTTTTTCTTAATAGTGTCTCAAGCTGAAGGTCATTTTTTTTCTAAAAGAAGCTTGAAGTAATATAAGGGTTGAAGAATTGTGCCTTTCTCTTGTCTTCCATGAGTATGGAGTGTTTTTTTTTTTTTTTTTTGCAACTGGTTAGTGGTGTAGAAGAAAGCTTTCCTTAGAGAAATTTTCAGAGGAGGATCAGACTAAAGTCAGGACACCTGGGGTTTGGTTCCAATTTTCTCAAGCATTGCTTTAAAAACATCACAACTAATTGGACCTTAATGTTTCTCCAGCTATTGAACAAAATTAAACAGGTTAGATCAATGGTTCTTGACTGATTTCTGCTGCCTGCCTCCACTCCAGGAGACATTTGGCAATATCTGGAGGCATTTTGGCATCACAGTGGGAGATGGGTGGGTGCTACTGGCATTTAGTGTGTTGAGACAAAGGATGCTGCTGAACATCTTACAGTGCCCACAATGTCACTAGCGCCAAGGTTGAGAAGGCTTGGGTTAGTCCACTTTATGATCTCTTTTGGTACATTATTTCATTCCTTTTAAATGCTATTTACAAGAGATGAAATTCAGTTTTGAGGGAAAAGGAAAAGAAGAAGATGAGAATAGTAAAGCCTCACCGGATGGCTTGGAGTAATAATATTAGCCAGTTGCCTGACACTTTGGATGGATAATCATACATCATGCTTACATCAAAGCTAAGTGGTAGTTACTACAGTTATTACCTTTCTTACAGATGAGGAAATGCAAGCAGAGATTGTTAGAAACTTGCCCAAGAACATTCAGCCCATCAGTAGTATGATCTGGGGCCATTTACATTTTTAGGATTTTGGCTATCCTAGGATTTTGGGAGGGCAAGGCAGGTGGATCACTTCAGCCCAGGAGTTTAAGACCAGGCTCGCAACACGGCAAAACCCTGTCTCTACAAAAAGTACAAAAATTAGCATGGTGTGATGGTGTGTGCCCATAGTTTTAGCTACTCAGGAGGCTGAGGCAGGAGGATCACTGGAGCCTGGGAAGTAGAGGCTGCAGGGAGCTGAGCTGGTGCCACGGCACTCCAGCTTGGACAGCAGAGCTAAATCCTGTCTCCAAAAAAATAAAATAAATAATTTTTTAGGATTTTATCTTGCATCTGCTGTTCTTATCTAATTGTAATGCTTCCCCTTAACCTGATGAAAATTTTAAAATTAAATTTACATATGTTTATGTAAAAATACAATTATCTGACTTTTTATTTACACAAATTTTCTTAAACTCTATTTGAAAACTAGGTGTTTGGAAAGATTTCACTATCATCTTTTACATTTAGTAAGAAAAAAGGTACACAATAAAAAAATACATTTCTGGCCTTCAATTTCTCCATTTATAGGAAAAGGATGTTTGGATAAGACAGTCTGCAGTGTTCTTTTTCAGTTCCAGTGTTCGAAGAACTGTGAACATTTTGCATCTGCTTGACATATCCAGTTACATTATTGAGATTTAGACGTTGATATTTGCTATACTATAGCCATTTGAAAGTCTATTTGTCATATTGAACTTCTGAAGCAATCAGAAAGAAATTCAGTTATTATAGTATATGCAAGTCACACTGCAAGCCTTAGCTGAAGCATTTAAAAATTCTATGAGAGAATTGTTCCTCCCATTTCCCTTCTATTTCCAAAGAGTAGCTCAAGGAGAGCGTTTTTAAAAGTTGATGGTTTGAATTTGAATGAGCCCATATTTAATGATACTTCAGGAATTTTGAATATAAGAACACCTTAGCTAATATAATAGAGAAGAATGAAGAAGAGTAAGAGTGAGATATTCTTCTTAAGTCGACAAATTATGAAATGAGTTAAATAGATGATTGTATTGTCAAATGTACAGTAGTCATATCTCATCCCACATCCACCTTTCACTGAATTTTCTGGTTGTCAACGTTTTAAAAAATATTTTGCTATTTGTTGATTAAGTTATTCTTATTTCTTAATATCATCTTTCATAGGATTTGCTTTTCTATTACATCTTAAAGGAATCCATTTCATCATAATAAATCATTTACTTTTTACACTTCAAGGGACTTAGGTATAGAAAACTTGAATTTTATATATGTGTGTATATATATTTATATATATAATATGTAAATATATATTACGAATCCTGGATTATATATACATATATATTTATATTTATAAAATCTCCTAAATATATATTTTTTAACCTTTATAAATATTGGATAATGTGACAAAAGTAGAAAGAACCTAGGTAGGGATTGCTAGATTTTGTAGATATCTAGTATTCTTGGGATTTCTGGTGTCTGTATAGAAAACAGAATAGTAGATGGTAGCTGATTTTACACAAAAAATGTGCTCTATACATTAGCTCTTTTTCCTTCTTTCCCAAGAAATACTTCACTTTATACAGACAAATTGCTCACATTATTTTTCTATATATTCATTCTTAAACTGAGAGGACCAATATTCAAATTGTGATGAAATTTTCAGCCTATATTTATTTGGTATCTGATAATGATATGGAGCCAATTTATCAGGCTATTTATTTCTTTGCATGTGTTTCTAATATGTTCAGATGTTATAGAAAGACAAGATGGTTAATTTCCTTTGATTCATACACAGTAAAGCAACAAGCACTACCTTAAATTCATACTTATCTCACACCAGTTAGGGTTAATATTTATGGGTGTATTCCTTTAGCACACACCACTGGCAATGGGGATGACTGGGCTTGCATGAGCTCTGTGACTTTTTGATATATATTATGATATATGTCATAATATGATAATATATATTATGATATATGTCATAATATGATAATATATATTACGATATGTCATAATATGATAATATATATTATGATATGTCATAATATGATAATATATATTATGATACGTCATAATATGATAATATATATTATATGTCATAATATGATAATATATAATATATATATCATAATATGATAATATATAATATGATATATATCATGATATATATCATATGATATATATCATATGATAATATATAATATGTTATGATATATATCATAATATGATAATATATAATATGTTATGATATATATCGTAATATGATAATATATATGTTATGATATATATCATAATATGATAATACATGTTATGATATATATCATAATATAATATATAATATGTTATGATATATATCATATGATAATATATAATATATTATGATATATCCTGATATGATATATATTTGATATATATTATGAAAACTCATGTTTTTATGAAACTCTTCATGTTTATTATGAAAACTCTCCATGTTTTTAAAAACTACAATTACAATTTAACATTTGAAATGAATCTTGTTTCTAGCCTCCCCTACCCACATCATATATATGTGTGTATATATGTATATACATGTGTGTATATATATGTGTGTATATATGTGTATGATCTTTATTTAAGAGATTTTATTGCAGTAGAGTAGAAGTCATAGACGATATGGTTTCCTTCCTCCCTCCCTTCCTCTCTCCCTCTCTCTCTTTCCTCTTTCTCTCATTCTTTCCTTCCTCTTTCTTTTTCTTTCCTTCTTTCTTTCTTTCTTTTTCTTTCTTTCTTTCTCTCTTTCTTTCTTCCTCCCTCCCTCTTTCTTTCTCTTTCTCTCTTTCTTTCTTTACTTTCTTTCTTTCTCTTTCTTTCTCTTTCTTTCTCTCTCTCTCTCTCTCTCGCTCTCTTCCTCCCTCCCTTCCTTCCTTCCTTCCTTCCTTTCTTCCTTCCTTCCTTCCTTCCTTTCGACAGACTCTCATTCAGTTGCCCAGCCTAGAGTGCGGTGGCACAATCACTGCTCATTGCAGCCTCAACTTCCCAGGTTCAATCAATTCTCCCACCTTAGCCTCCTGAGTAGCTAGACCTACAGGTGCATGCCACCGCGCCTGGCTTTTTTTGTTTGTTTGTTTTTTGCAGAGATCGACTTTCGTCAGGTTGCCCAGGCTGGTCTTGAACTCCTGGGCTCAAGCAATTCACTGGCCTCGGCCTCCCAAAATGCTGAGATTACAGATGAGAGCCACTGCACCTGGTCTGGCTCTAATTTTTTTTCTTCATCATGAAAAGTTCCTATTCACGTGAAACTCAGAAACTCTACTCTATAAAGAAACAAATTCTGAGTGTGAAGGGAGAGGACTGATGAAATTGTGGCTTTGGATTCTTGATTTCCAGGGAAATAATAATTAGAAAAGGAAAATTATCAATAAGACAAATTTTGTTCTACACCCCACAGAAATTTCTATTTCTCATAATGTACTCTCCAAATTAATTTTGCCATTTTTGTCAAATTTTAGCAATTTACAAATATTTATTTGCAACCTGCCAAAAGATATAGTGATCAGAATGACATCCAAAAGTTAACAGCTGGTTTGTGATAGGTCATATACATTCAAATATCCTTTCCTTTAGTGTGAAGGAGAAAATGCAAAAGCAAAAATAAATACTGTGAAACTGCATTTCAAAATCATAGAGGTAGAAGTAAAAATAAACGTGGTGTTGTTGAAAGTTAAAAGAGAAAAATATGCACCTTTTCATATTTAGCATCCAAAACTACATGAGGTAGAAAATAAAGATTGACATGTTCCAAAACACTAAATCTCAGTGAGAGTATTTTTACAAAAAATGGCTGTAAAATAGCAATTCACCACTTAAGTTTAACCAAATAAGATGACATCTCATTTTGTTAGTTTTGAAAGGAAAAATATGTTGCTGTTTTTCAGTTAGTTACATTAGTTAGAACAGTCAGGAAAAGAAGATACTGCACCACTTTAGTTAATCCAATCTTTAAAACTAAATTTCCCTAAATTTCTCAGGTCTGAGACCATGCTGAGAAGAGTGAAAAATAGACTGGAATATATCAGGGCACATTGATTAAAAGCCTGGGTTATAAGATGGAATTTAACTGGAGTCAATAGTTAGCCACTAATTAAAATTTTTTTTCTAATTTTTAAAATTTTATAAATTTAGTAGAGACAAGGTCTTGCTATGTTGGCCAGGTTGGTCTCGAACACCTGGCCTCAAACAATCCTCCTGCCTTGGCCTCCCAAAGTACTAGGATAACAGGCGTGAGCCACTGCACCCAACCCTCAGCCACTACATTTTAACTATGACCTTGGGCAAGTTACTTCCTTAAACATTAGTTTCCTCAACTATAGAGTAGAGGTTACAATCCATATCTAATATGATTAAATAAGATATCCCATCCCAGACACAAAATGGTCAATATATGTTATTATGAATAGTCTAAAAGCCAAATTTTTCTAGGGATAAACACATTTTTAACTAAACAACATTTTCTCTCACATATCACAATAATTTATAGAAACACATACTAATTTCTTCTGCTATGCATGAAATATTAATTTTAAACCTACATTTACTCTAATTCCATACATGCAAAAAGAGACATGCCTATATCACACGCACACACACACACACACACACACGGAACCATTTTCTTTTTAAACTGTAGAACTGAAAGAATAGCCATTTTGATTTCATTCACAAAATAAGCATTAATGTTGTCCACTGCTGTAATTTTGTGAGCTATTCTCATTTGAGTTTTTTTTCCCATTGAATTGAAACAATTACTTTCCCAAATTAACTCTCCACAGATGTCTTGTAAAAAAAACTGAGATCAACTTTTGAGAGTGATGTATTTTATTTTAAAAGTAGGCTTCTGCTTTTAGTTTAGCTGGGGATAATATAGTTCACAGTTAAACCAAATACAGAGCATCTCCTAACTTCTTGACCCGCTATTTTGATTAAAATGTCAAGAAAGTGCTTTAATAATAGTAATTAGAGGGTTTAGGACTGGACTTGCCATATTAATGGAAAGGAATTAGCAGGACATGCCACGACGTTCACTTTATCACTATTATATTGCTTTTTCCTGTAAGACCCACGGGTAGATATGTCAGAATATTAAGGCTTTTTCCAAGGATAATTACATTATTTCACAAAACACATAACTCATTTGGTGAAAACATTCATGTCAATCAGCTTGACTGAAATGGCTAGACAGGTTAGACAAAACAGTAAATGTGCTACTTTGGAGATGAAGGTACAGTTTAAATAAGAGATTTCAGTTTATTGTTTTATTTAAAAGGCAGATTCTTGGACCCTCACATAACAAACTATAATTTATTAGAGCAGTTCTTAAGAACTTACATTTTCTGGAGCTCATAGTAAATGTTGAGAATCTGGCTGAGACCATGTGATAATAATTGAGTGCAAAGTAGCATTGTGTAGGAAAGCAGAGAAAAGCTGTGGAGTAATATTCGAAGCCCTGGGTGCTTGTCTGGATTCTACCTCTTCCTGGCTGTTTGATCTTATATAATGATTTAACTTCCCTGAGCATTTTCTTACATTTACCCATCAGAGTTGTTATAGGAAGCAGATGTGATAATGCCCATAAAAGCACTTTTGAATCTGTACATTGCCATATAAATGTAAGGCAGCATTATTATTATAGTGGTTGTTAGTACTAGCCTGGTGCAAAAATAATTGCGGTTTTTGCCATTGAAAGTAATGGCAAAACCCGCAATTACTTTTGCACCAAACTCTACCGTTTCAGTGATAATTCAACTGATGTAACAGTGTTGCTTTTTTCCCCATATAATGCTAAACGTTTTCAATAATCACCTACGTGTCAAGATATAAAATGCGTTAGAGGCCAGACACAGGGGCTCACGTCTGGAATCTCAGCACTTTGGGAGGCTGAGGTGGGCGGATCACTTGGGGTCAAGAGTTTGAGGCCAGCCTGACCAACAAGGTGAAACCCCATCTCCACTAAAAATAATACAAAAATTAGCTGGGTGTGGTGGCGCATGCCTGTAATCCCAGCTACTGGGGAGGCTGAGGCAGGAGAATCGTTTGAACCAGGAGGAAGAGGTTGCAGTGAGCTGAGATCGCACCACTGCACTCCAGCCTGGGCGACAGAGTAATTCCATTTCAAACTAAAAATCAAAAAACAAACAAACAACAACAATAACAACAAAAAGAAAATGCATTAGATAATATGATGCGGGTGGAAACCAAGTGGGCAAGGCAGGTTAGCAGTGGCCAACAGTTCAGGTTTGAGTTGAACCTGAAGTGATCGAAATAAACAAGGGAAGGGTTTGAAAGCAAAGTGGAGTTCAATAGGACAACAGCAGTGTAGGGCGTGTGTGGAGAAATTAAATTGCACTGAGAACAGATGGAAAATGAATGCCTATGCCTTAGTCTACCTAATAAAGATCTAAAAGTCATAAAGACAGCAAGCTGAACATAAATCAGGCACAGAGGCTACAGCTGGAGCAGTAGGCTGAGCCCAGGCATGCACAAAAAAAACACGAGACCATCTTTTTTGTTTTTTCATACTCAGCTAGGGAAAGACCTCTTTAGGGCACTGAATCAATCTCTTGGTCTCCTTATCAAAAGTACGCGTTAGAAATAAAATTAGAAAACAACCATGAATGTAACTGATTTTTTGAAAAGTATAAATAACATTGGATCAGAGTAGCAAAGGCTGAGGAGGAGAAAAGGAAGAAGGCCTATTTTGAATATTTTCCCATTACTGACGGTAAGAGGGTTAGGGTACATAGTCATTTAGGTTGTTCGTCAGTTGCATGATGAAGGGGTCATGCCTGCCACATCTCCTGAAATATCCTCAGCCCTCTCATCATTTATTCAACAGACATGAATCTGTCCAATGCTTTGGATGTTTTGGAAGTACTTTCTTTCTTTTCTTTCTTTCTTTTGAGATGGAGTTTCGTTCTTGTTGCCCAGGCTGGAGTGCAATGGCACGACCTGGGCTCACTGCAACCTCTGCCTCCCAGGTTCAAGCGATTCTCCTGTCTCAGCCTCCCAAATAGCTGGAATTACAGGTATGTGCCACCACACCTGGCTAATTTTGTATTTTTAGTAGAGACGGGGTTTCACCATGTTGACCAGGCTGGTCTCGAACTCCTGACCCCAGGTGATCCACTAGCCTTGGCCTCCCAAAGTGCTGGGATTACAGGCATGAGCTACTGTGCCTGGCCAGAAGTACTTTCTTTTTAATGTGCTAGACTCTGGCTTGGGAGAGCAAGACAGACACGGCTCCTGCCCTCAGGAAGTAATGGCTTCCCTGTCTCATGCAGCATGTCCTTACTACGGATTGTTAGCAGAAGTGGTCATAATTATTCGCTCCCTATATACCTATCCTTTTGCAATGTGACTGCAGATCCTATCAGCAAGAGATGGAGTCTAATTTCTCACCCTTTGAATCTAGGTTGGCAGGATGACTTTATTTGACCTATAAAACCACAGAGTTGACCGTATGCCAATTCCTACTCTATGCCAAAAGACGCTTTCCTCTTTTCTCTCTCTCTTTCTTTCTCTTGGAATCTGTGACCACCATGAGAACAAGGCTGGGGTAACATGCTAGACGGTAAGAGTCCATGTGGAGCTAGTCATTCTTGCTGAGGCCATGTAGATCAGCTAGCTGACCACCCGCCCATCGGGCAGCTGCCCTCCGAGCAAGCCCAGCCAATACTGGAAGAACGGTCCAGCCAAGCCCAGCTCCAATGGCTGTTCTACAGAATTGTAAACTAAATAAATGGTTGCTTCTAGCCACTACATTTTGGAATGATTTGTAATGTAACAAAAGCTGACTGAGCAGCTCTTAACTGTGTAAGTATGACTCTAAGCTTATTTTGGGCACAGAATTTTCTCATTGGCTTATCAAATTACCTTGATAACTGCCAAATCGCCACTCCACTTTGCGCTGTATGGAAATTGCCTCAGTGGACAGTTGTCAGAATACAGACACCCTGGGAAGGTTTGATATTGGATCTCTGATCTGCAGAATATGAAGTTGACTAATGTGCTTGAAATGTGACATATAGAGTATAATATATTCCTCAAAGAAAGTACAAATACATAAGGCAGAACATAAACATCCACAACCAATATAAACTTCAAACAAGTAGTTGAAAAGTTAAATGCAAATCCTATTAGCTTTGTTTTCCAACATGATGGGTCATGATGTGAAACAACGACCAAACACCTGTTTATCACATTCTGGATTTGTACAACTAACTTAACATGTCCTATAGACACAGCCATCAAGTCTCCAATTTCTCCTTCAAGTCATTTTATTATGTTGATATATTATTGAAACTATCACTAGCAGCTTATGTATTGTTCCAGTTGTCTGGTTGTAACTGCTTTAATTCTAATGATGACACATCAGTGGAGATTAGCCAAAGGGAGCTTTGATTTATCTTAATTTTTAAATATGTCAGAGCATCTTTCCCTCTTTTCCTGGCAGCCTCTCTTCTGTGTCCAGTTCTCTCAGTTGGGCATTTTGGGACAGCAACCAATTCGAGGGCTAATGTGTTTCTGCTGTTATCTTACACTGATACTGCTTCATAGAGGCAGCGATGAAGATAAGGCCTAATTGGATGTATTTTTAAAGCAAACCTTTTAGTTACTTGGAACAGAACTCCTCCAATTAGCTTCTTTTCTCTTCTATCTGGCTGTACAATAGCCATACTGATGTGAAAATGCCGAATTTGGAAGGGAGTCAAGGGCAGTGTCGGGCAACTGAAGAATAATCATGCTTAACTCAGGAGAAATGCTCCACCAGACGGGCTGGGAGCAGTATTTCCACGAAGGCAGGACGAGTGAAGGATAGCTGGGAGGTCATATCTGACAAGAGGTCCTTGCAGTGGTCCAGGGTACACAACCAAGCAGCCTTGCTCTAGAGCCCAGCAAGACAGGGAAGGTATAGGTAGGCACTAAAGGAGAAAGAGTCAGTACTTTATAATGGCCATTATTTTGCTCCAATGGAAATATTTTACTTCAAAGCAAAATATTTTATCCTTAGCTGAGGACTAGGCATTTTAAGTTGCAATCTTTAACATGTTATCCCCAGGTTGGTGAAAATCTATTTAAATCCCTGCCCTTTTAAAGTTACTTACAAGATTCTAGCAGCCACTGAATAGGAGGGCTGCTTAGCATTAGGTTGGTGCAAAAGTAATCGCTGTTTTTGCAATTACTTTTTAAAAGTAGCTCCTAGTAAAAGGAGTAGGTTTAGCAGTCTTGATGTGGAAAAAAACGTAGAGAAAAGAAGCAGAGTCAAAACCATTTCTTTCTGGCATTCATTTCTGAAATGGAATTAGAACTGAGACATAATAAGTTAATTTCCCTTTGTCTGGAAGTGGGTCTGCCATCATTACCTCATGCTCTCTAGGGGGTGTGAGTTCCTGTGTTCCCTTGAGCATCACTGAATACCAGGGGTATGAGGATTAATGTCGCCCATGACGGATGTATCTGGGCCATATTACATTAGTCCTCTGGTCAATTAGAAAGGTTGAGCCTGGGCTGGGCTGGATGGCAGAGTGGGGTAAAGAGGGGACAGTGAGAGACAGGGTGTGGTCAAGAGACAGCAGGAGGAAGCCACTGCACCCTGTGGTGGCAAAGGCCTCCCCTAGCTCCTCAATCATTTGACTTGCTATTCATTTCTCCGGAGCCATCTGTCCTCACAGTCCTGACGCCTGACTCTAGGAACTTTAGCCAAGATTCTGACTCCAGCCTTTACTTCATAGGAAGTTTGAATTTGAATTCACTGTTAAAAAAATTATACAGGCTGTGATTTTTGGATGCTGGCATCATTATTTAAAATTTACTTACTTAGATTAATATTAAAAATTAAGCCATGTATTTGATTGATTTTATAGATCAGAGGTCAAATTTAGCCAACCAGTGGCTTAATCAAGTAATACTAACTTGGAGACAGCCTTTTCTCTTTCCTCCTTGTTGATTTCCCATATGATTATAATAGTGTGTATAAGTCTTGAATTTTCTGTGTAGGTCTGGGCACAGAAATACACCTTCCAAAAGCTAGTCGCTATTCACCCTATTATCTCCAACAAGCATGAGGTCTGTTAAAAATTGTTTAATCTAATAAAATTTATTAGATTAATATTCACATATTAATAATATATTATTCAGTCTAATATGTTTGATATTTGTGCTAGAGTTCAGGTAGCAAACCAATAGCTTAAGAAAAGTTAGGGATGGTCATTTTTTAATCTTTTCTCCTTTTCCATGATGCTAATTTTCTGTGAATATCTTGCATCCATGACCACAGTGGGCAAGGCACTCACCCTCTCTCTTTAATCACAGAACCAGAGCAAGACTGGCTTTTGAGAAATAAGAGGGGTATTGCAGCAACATCTATGAATTATATAATAATTCTGGGGAAAATGAAAAGGATTCTAGATCAGAATTATTTCTATAATGTGCTAAAGTCATAAATTTTGCATAGAAGTAAAGGCCATAAAAATAGTTATTTTGAATAGTTTCATGGATTTCTCATTGGTGTATCTTTATACCTAAATGAATATGTACAGTCAAATATAAAGAACACAGTTTATATAACAAACCTCTTCTCTAACACTAGAACCACAATTTGCTTCCCCTCTTCCCTCCATTCTCATCCTCTATAATGGATTAAACTCCTAGTTTAGCACAAAGCCTTATAATTTTTATGTCATCCCCAGTAGATATACCTAATTCTAGAGACTGCGTACCTGATGATTAGTTCTATCCACTGTATTGGCCGTGGAGGGGTGGTCTCTAGTGTTCTGACGAATTCGAGTGGAGTTTTGTTGCTCAATGTTGGAAGAGGTTGGGATACAGAACTCTCTGAAGCATCGTTTGAAGTTTTCATCCAGAAATGCATAAAGGACTGGGTTGAGGCAGCTGTTTGTGTAACCTAGAGCAATGCAGAAGTGCCAAGAAACAGTCTGGAACGTAGTTTCTGGGATTGTAACCAAGGCTTTAATGATGACGTAAATGTGAATGGGAGTCCAGCAGACGATGAACACAGCCACCACCACCAGCACCATCCTGGTGATCCTTCGAAGATTCCTGTCCTTTTCTTTGGAGCCAGAGAGCATGCGGACACTCTTGAGGCGCAAGATCATCAGTCCATAGCACACGGTAATGATGAGCACTGGCATAATGAAGGCGAAGATGAAAACACAGATCTTCAGCAGGTTTTCCCAGTACCAGGTTGGATGAGAGAATGTTAGTGTACAATCTATGGAACCTAGAAGAAAGGAATTTAAAGGAAAAATTAGCAGCAACATTTAATTATGTCATAAGGTGTTAATACTGCCATTTTGCTCATTCATTTTTAGCCTTGACCAGAGCTAACTTAAGGCTATAAAGAAATTGTGGAAGAAACTCAGTTGTTTGTTACTTTTCAAAGAAAGTTTTACTTCTAATGTTTTTTGTTTTTTTCTAAATTTCCCATTTTGCAGTCCACTTCGATCACATTAAGCTTTCGTTCAGGGAACAAAAATGAACCTCTCAACATGAGCTAGATCCTCCATGAGGTCTATATTGATATAAAAAATGTAATAATTGTCCAAAGTCTCTAGGCGGCTCCAGGTAATGGATGTTTTCACTTCATTTTTTGATGGATTGTTCAATATTCTGATATTAGGTGTAGAAAGATACATTTGCCATGTAGTCAGCCACTTGATAATTTTAAACAAGCCTCAGTGTAATACTCTTTGGGTTTAAGCTCCAATTACTCTTGGGAGAGCTATGTACTAATTTACACACCATTTTTATGAAGTAAATACAGAGAAATCAGAAATAAATAGATTACATTCTCTTTAAAGGATTTAATAGGCCTAAAATTATGAGGAAAATTCCTATTTTTAAGTATTCAAAGGCTTTTTTTGCTAGGAAGAATAATTAAAATTACAATGTGACTAAGACAATGGGGCACTCCATAAATACTGCTTTGCTTATGACATCACCAACATATCAGGCTGTGAACCCTCCTTCCCTCAGGCTGGTAACATCACTCACCTTGCCTGTATTTTGTTGTAGCCATGAACATTACAGGAAGACCAATGGCTGAAGAGAGGATCCAGTTGCAGACATTGATAATTTTGGCATTTCGGGGAGTACGGAAATCTAAGGCCTTGACAGGGTGGCAGACTGCAATGTATCGATCAACACTCATGGTGCAGAGGGTGAATATGCTGGTGAACATGTTATAGTAATCTATGGAGATCACTATCTTGCAAAGGATGGTTCCAAATGGCCATGTTCCCATTAGGTAATTCACACTCTGGAAGGGCAGGGTACTGGTGGCTAAGGCATCTGCCAGAGCAAGGTTGAAAATGTAGATGTTGGTGGCAGTCTTCATCTTGGTGTATCTAGGAGATAAAGGAAGAAGAGTGAGAATCAGTAAAAGACACTAGTGTAAAATATAGGTAAGCTTCCAATAATAAATTTGCATGAATTAGTAGAAAGCTTTTTTGAGATTAGATATAGAATTGTTTTCCAGTATCAGCTTGGCTATTTACAATGATGTCAATGATGTACCTATTGGCTAAATAGCTGCAATAATAGCAACGATGCTGCTTTGTTGAGTTTCTTCCTTTTTTTTTTTTTTTGGATAGGATCTTGCCCTGTTACCCAGGCTGGAGTGTAATGGTATGAACAGAGCTCACTACAGCTTTAACCTCCTGGACTCAAGAGATCCTCTTGCCTCACCTCCTGAATAACTGGGATCCCAGGTGCATGCCACCATACCCTGTTAATTTTAAAAAACTTTTGTAGGGACAGGGTCTTGACATGTTGCTTAGGGTGGTCTTGAACTCTTGGGCTCAAGCAGTCCTCCCTCCTCGGCCTCCCAAAGTGTTTGTGTTACAGGCATGAGACACCACACGCAGTGAGGGTTTTAATTTTTTTTTTTGTAATGTGTCAGTCATTGTGATAGGTCTAATAGAAAGAGGGAGATTCCAGTCAAATAGTAGGGGCAGCGACTGGATAGTAATTCTAAATATAAAAGAGAAAATTTTAGCTATATAAATATAGTTAAAATTATCAAGAAGTATAATTGTGCAAGTGTCTATAGGTATGTACACAAACACATGCACATACAAACACACAGGCGATTATGGGGCACAGAGATGAGGCATCTCACAGAGCATAAGGCAAAGGGAATAGTAGGAGTAAGATGTGGAAGGCATCCTGGAAGTGCAAGTTTAATCTCAAAGCACAAGCAGGATGATTGAGTTAGACACTTGGTAGGAGCAGGTCATTCTAGACAGAGAGGTAACAGAGAGAACCCCAACAAAGATGTAGAGTTGGAATGGCCTGATGTGTGTGTCAAGCACATTCTACCAGGGAATGGCAAGGGATCTGACTGGGGAAGAAGAGAGGCCAGTACATGAAGAACTTGTATGCCATGGTAAGATTAGACTCTATCCAATCCATGATGAGGAACCCAAGTGTGTTTGCTTTGTTTTTATTTTTTAATGCTTTATTGAGGTGGAATTGACCTATAATAAATAACGCATAATTAAAGTATACAATTTGATAAGCTTTGATACGTGTGTACACCTGTGAAACCACCACCATAATTAAGATCAGAGATTGGCAAACTATGGTGTGTAGACCCAATTGGACCGTTGCCTGTTTTATAAATAAATACACCTATTTAAAAACCCATAAGTGTTTTGATGCTACAATGGCAAAGTTCAATAATTGCAACAGAGATCAGATGACATGCAAAGCCTAAGTTATTTACTATCTTGCACTTTACAGAAAAAAATGTCAACCTCTGATGAAGATAATGACATCAATTGCTCCCAAAAGTGTCTTTGTGTAGCTCTTTAATCTTTCCTGTTTGCCCCTCCCTGTCCTCATATCCAACCCTCACTATTCCTCAGGCAATTGCTGATCTTGGTTTGCTTTCTGTTCTTATAGATTAGTTTGCATTTCCTAGAAGATGCAAATAGAATCATTCAGTATGTACTCTTTTTTTGTGCTGCTTCTTTCACTCAGTGTCATTATTTTGAGATTCATCTATGTGGTTGCATATAACAAGAATTAATTCCTTGTTATTGACAAGTAGTATTACTTATGCATTCATCTGTTTTTTTTTTTAATCCATTCACCTATTAATGGGAACTGAGTTGCATACAACTTTTGGATGTTACAAATGAACTGTTACGAACATTCATGTGCAAGTCTTTATATAAACATATGCTTTTCTTCCTCCTGGGTAAGTATCTAGGAGTGTTATATGTTTTCAAGGCCTGCAGAAATTAGAAATATGATAGTAGAATATAAGCAGGTACACTTGCAATAATACATTATATCTGATGGCAGAAGTATACCTTGTAAACATTGGACATCATTTTTTTTTTAACATTCCACATATATTTACCTTAATTTAGTAATAGTACCTCAGTTTCACTCTGGGAACCACTCATTTCCCGTTCTCAGTCCAGGTGCTTTGGGATAGGCTGTATTACCAGTCCAGGGCGTGAAGACGTTTAGTGACCGGGGCCATGGTGAATGGCAAGGATGCTCTCATGTTCCAACCAGAGCCAGTGAGAGTTTATTTTGAGACTTATGGACAAAGAGTGTATTAGTTTTCCTGCAGGACCCACACCTGAGAAGACGCATGGTATGTAGTTGCTGGAGGAGCTTGTCTGAAAATGGACCTAATCCGGAGGATGTGGATTTGAGAGCGTGAGAGAGAACCCCACACCTGAAGCCAGGCCCTCCTTGGGCTTCTGATTTACACGGTGCCATCAATTCCTTTTAAATGTTAGCTTGTGTTTACTGTTTTTCCGTCACACGAGGTTGAGTCTAACTCATTCAGCCCAAGACAGCTGTTGGTTGGAGGCCCTTTGTTTAGGACTGAATTCAGTGTCCAGGAAAGTGTTTTGGTTTCAATAACATCAGGAAAGTGATTTCATAAATCTCCTCAGGGTCAATAGGACAGCTTTGTTACTGAAGCTTTAAAATTCTGATACCTGATCTGGTCTGCAATACTTGCAGAAGCTGCATTACTGCCAGAAAAGCTCCACATTTTCAGACTTGGGGGCTTTTTTTTGGACTTACTTTGGGAGTTTCACTTTCTTAATGGATTTTAAAGAAAAAGATAGAGCCATTTAACTTGAGGAGAGAAAATAATTTGCTTTTAGTTTGGACTTTAAATATGGCAAATATAAAAAGGATAATGTAGACAAATACTCCAAAGTACAAAAACCAACAAAAAAGCAAAATTAAAACTGTGGTTTTAAGATTTAGAATAATTGACCTTGGTGCTCAAGAAGTTGAAACATTTTTTATTTTTTTAATAAGAAGAAGTTTCTCCCCAAAAGAGAAAATAACTTTTGCTAGATTCACCGTTGGTTATAGACCTGCATGATCTAAAGACATGCTTCATTGCATTTGCCACTTTCCTACCCAGCAGACCTTACATTTCGTGGCTTATCTTTAATGGTGTTTTATGTTAAGTAATTGGTTTCTTTACAGTCAGTTTTCTGACTCATCATACTTCCAACCTTTCCTTCAGGCTTATTTTAGCACTAAGTATTTCCAATGTATGTTTATTTTAATTAAAAAAAATCATTTCCTTCTCCAGAGTGAGGTGTTTGTGGAAAAAAAAATTATGTCAGGGTTCAACATGGTGAAAGGAAACGTGGTTATGCATAGTTAATTAGCATGCTAGCCATTCCACAATGTGTATACATTTCAAAACATCATGTTGTATATGGTAAATATACATAATTTTATCATCAATTTACCAAAAAAAAGTGAATATTTATCTATAAAAATTCTTTCAACGGGCATTTTATAGGAATGATGCTGTTTAATTTTTCTCAATTTATTTAAAAAGTCTTCCTCTAAAGATAGCCAGCATTCTTACCCCAGTTACTCATGCTTTGGATCACAGCAACATATAAAAGGGGGCTCAACGATCTTCTAAATATGTGAAAGAAAATTATACAAAGCTAAAGGATTAAGAATTCCAATTGCCTCCAGCATATACCCAAAGGCTTTAATCTGAAGAGATGGTCTAATCAGAAAAGGAGTAATGTGGGCTGGGCCTGGTGGCTCAAGCCTATAATCCCAGCACTTTGGGAGGCTGAGGTGAATGGATCACTTGAGGGCAGGGGAAGGAGACCAGCCTGGTCAACCCTGTCTCTACTAAAATTAGAAAAATTAGCTGGGGGTGGTGGCAGGCACCTGCAATCCCAGCTACTTGGGAGGCTGAGGCAGGAGAATCGTACCACTGCATTCCAGCCTGAGCAACAGAGAGAGACACTGTCTCAAAAAAAAAAAAAAAAAGGGCAAGCTTTCATTCTGTTCTGATGTGGTGGCATGAATGTTGTCCCAGCAAAGTTCAATGAATGCTCAGAGTCACATCATGGGCCTTGCACAGGAGCATAGGACTCAGAGTTAGCAAACTAGCAAAAGAAATGACCTGCAGGAAGAATTATCTTTGCCATTCAGTTTACCTGAGTGGGTCCGAGTAGAACTCCTGGCTATTAAAACACAAGCCTTTTTCCTTACTCCATGCCTACTGCTTTGTACTGTGCTGTGAATGTGTTCTGTGGCAAAATGGGCAAAGAGAGACTCATCTGGACTCACAGGCCATCCTGATATTGACCCTTCCTATGGTAGCCACTGAACTCCATCTTCTGCTCGAAGCAGTGGCCCAAGCTATTTCTTTCTAATTATCCCATTAAAATTTTTGTAGTAGGTATTTCTTTAACTTTGGTCTAGATGATTAAATAGCTCTTTTGTTTTATGAATTCAAATGAATTTACAATGCTATTCGTTTTTGAAAAAAATTGTGTTCTTCTGAGAACCATCGATGTTTGACCCATTAGAGTGATTTTTATGGAACTTCCAGAAGTGTTGGGGAAAAGGCATTGTGAGGCCCATTTGCTGGCAGCTCACCTATTCTTTTATGTTGCATATATGACTTTTGTTTATAGATGTTCTTCCTTTCTTATGGTTATAAAATAATTCTTATTTATCTTTTGACCTATTCTTCACACATTTCTCCAACTATTACTACTTACAAAATGTGATTGCTTTTGACCTATTTGTGTTAAGTGAAGCCAGACTAAATAAATTACCTCTGTACACCTGATGGGTTTTGTAAACTTCTGTTTAGTTTTGTGGTTAATTATTTGAATTGTGGTGATCGTGTCTCAGTTCAGAAATAAAACTGATCAAGAGAGTGAGAGGAGGAAGGACACATTTTAGAATCCAGCATGTGTGTGTGTGTGTGTGTGTGTGTGTGTGTGTGTTTAATTCCACATCATGGCCTTCATATTGCTCAACTACCTTTTTCATAAGTTCACAATAGAGTCAATGGTGATGGACGGAAGAGTTTCATCTCTTTTGGGGCTAATTTTTCTGCCTTTTCATTTTTTTTACCAAGTAGTGTGAAGAAAGATACCTAATTCAGTAAGAATTCAACAAGCCCCTTTTATATGTTCAGCAATGTGCTTGGAAAGATATATTTCTTGCATTTGCCATGACTTTTATGTC
The DNA here is from genome assembly GCF_000001405.40 of Homo sapiens. NCBI lineage: Eukaryota > Metazoa > Chordata > Mammalia > Primates > Hominidae > Homo > Homo sapiens. The sequence goes on along the minus strand of NC_000006.12, from coordinate 154,084,673 downwards.
CACTTACCCTCACATAGAAATTAACCTTTTTAGTCGAGAAAAAAATCCTCCCTAGAGTGTCATACTTTAATACTCATATTTAATTGGATCAATCCAATGAGATAAAGATACTTTCCTACATTTCAAGTAATTATTTAGGCAAAGAATATGGTCAAATGAGTATCTACCTGAGTTAATTGATCCATTATTATCCATCTATTCCATTCTGATATCCCAGGTGCGTTTTTACTTGTGAGTGTGTGTGTGTGTGTCTGTCTGTCTGTTGGGGGGGGAGGTTCTAAAATAAGAAAAAGCATAATCAAAACTAGTGATTATCCTCTCATTGGCATTAACATGGAGAAAGACTATATATTAGGTTGCTATTTTGTATTATATTCTCCACTAGCTTAGTGAAGGGGAGAATGGAGGACTTCTCACTTTGCTATAAAATGTTGTGAAACATTTAATTTACATTTATTTCAAGGTGACGTTATGTAGTTAATGACATTTCTAATAAGCTACTATCAGCAAAGGAAAAGAGTGGTGATAGCAGACCTCTGAATCCTGCGACGGGAAAGGAACTATTGCTTGCTAGTTTACCTCAAAAAGAGAAGACGGGGAGAGGCCTGTATGAAATTAAGCAAAGAGGCATTTCCATCCAGAGGGCAAGTGGCCGTTTCCATTCCTGTGTGTCACCAGAGTGGGATGAATATCAGTCTTCTTCCTTTTTTTTTTTTTTTTTTTTTTTTTTGAGACGGAGTCTCCCTTTGTCGCCCAGGCTGGAGTGCAGTGGCGCGATCTCGGCTCACTGCAAGCTCCGCCTCCCGGGTTCACGCCATTCTCCTGCCTCAGCCTTCCGAGTAGCTGGGACTACAGGCGTCCGCCACCAAGCCCGGCTAATTTTTTGTATTTTTAGTAGAGACGGGGTTTCACCGTGTCGTAGCCAGGATGGTCTCGATCTCCTGACCTCGTGATCCACCCACCTTGGCCTCCCAAAGTGCCAGGATTACAGGCGTGAGCCATCGCACCCGGCTGACTATCAGTCTTCTTGGTAGCATGTCACCCTTTCTCTCCACATCCTCTCGCTCTTTTGTCCTCTCCCAATCTTCTCTGCTTTCTTCTTCCTTCGGGTCCCCCGATGACAAACCATGAGTATCTTTCAGACAGAGCAAGGGGAAGTTGCTTTCTCAGAACCATGATGAACTTTGTATATAGAAAATATAAAATGAATAACTAATTGTATTTTTATTTTTGCATTTGGTGCTTAAAATATCAGAGGAAAATCTGTGTATCCCCATAATAATTGTGTAGAAGCTAATGGCATACATTTCTATTGTGTTACCTCTCCTGCTAATCTCATGGTTTCATTCTCTCTTGGTTTCTATTGGCCTGCCTTCTTCTTTATTTCTCTTGTTTTCTGGTATGCACTTTTGTAAAGCTCTTCAAATTCTTATTTTGGAATTGGAAACTGGGTTGGAGGGTGAGGAGAGAACATGGCCGAATGTCATTGCACTACTCCTCTGGGTATAGGAAAGGAAATGGAACGAGAGATACTTCCATTATAGCCAAGAGACCTTGCTTTCCCATTTTTGTATTATGCTTTCCGGAAGTGCCCATTTCCTGCATTATTCGATTTCTGAAAATTTTACTTCAGGACATGGATAGCACGTATCAGAAGTTTATATAAAAATGACATGTTTTGCTTCTCTGATTTCTGTATTCTGTGATAAATAGTATTTATGTATTATAGAAAAATGTTACTATGTTATATTCTCTGACATATATAAGCAGTTATAACTAGATGAAATATTCCTATCTGTGGCTTTGATTTTTGTTTGCAAATATATAGAATATTTATTTTTTTGGACTAAAGACTTTGAAAACAGCATCAGAGCATCCATCTCAGGAGCTAGAGATTTTTGGTTTACAGAGAATACTGCTTTGCTTTTATTCTAAGAACCTGATATTTAGAGCTTAGAAATAGCTTAGCTTTCAAACTTATAACTTCTAAGGGGAAAGGTCATTTCTTATATTTTATGATCTGGGAATTTTATAAATGAAAAATCAAGTATACATTACTAGCGACTTCAAATCATAGTATAGCCCTAGGTATTTCTTTAATACGGAAGGAACAACAAAGAAGACAACTTCAAAATATGATAAAACAATTTCATCATTATCAATATTAGAAAATTACCTTTTGTAGAAGTGCAAACATATGCTGTAGATTTTAAATTTCTAGAAAGTTTAGACTACTAGTAAAATTATTTTTTACTGCGCTTAGTACAACAAATATGAGGCTTAATATACACTTTTGGTAATGACATTGTACATGTAATCACTCAATATAAGTAAAATATGAAAAATAACATGGATAGAATAATTTAACAAAATAAAATAGAAAAAAATAATCCATTCAGCATAGAACCCAGCACAAGATGGGCACCAGCATATGCTTGTTGAATGGAATTTAAATAAAGAAATAAGGGCTTGGGTTATTTTATTTTCTGTGTGTAAGACAAAACATTTTTTTCTTAGAGAACCAGCAATTTTTGAAGTAAGACTGAAGAGGGAATATTTGTTTTTGCTGTGCCAGTTCACTATCAAATTAAAAAGAACTTCAATCATAGAAAGTCATGGAATAATGAGAAGATCCCAATGAGACTTTCAAGATCACATTGTCTAAGAGAACGAGGGGTGATAGCAGACCTCTGAATCCTGCTGCAGGAAAGGAACTATTGCTTGCTAGTTTGCCTCAAAAAGAGAAGACCGGGAGAGGCCTCTATGAAACTAAGCAAAGAGGCACCTTTGCTTGATGGTGAAGGACCCGAGGCACACAGAGTTACAAGTATTTGAGGCTTTTCTCCCATTTCTCTAGACTCCATCTGAAACTAAAGAGGAGTCTAGCCTGTATTGTGGGCCACGTGTATTTCTAGGAGTGCATTGCTGATTGTGTTGTAAGCAATGGGTCCCAGAAATACTCTTCCACCTCTCTGACCACGTCGAAGTAGGCATGCAAAGCTTTCTTATCTTCTTTTCAAATATGACTGTGCTGAGAGTATCTTGGAAATCTTGAGACATTTTCTCGTTATAGTGAATGCTGTAACAGTCATAGTTGTTTAAAGGAAAGCTGAGTTTTTTCCATATCCTTTGCTTTCTTTTCTTTTCTTTCATTTATTTATTTATTTAGAGATGGAGTCTCACTCTGTTGCCCAGGCTGGAGTGCAGTGGCGCGATCTCGGCTCACTGCAAACTCCGCCTCCCGGGTTCACGCCATTCTCCTGCCTCAGCCTCCCCAGTAGCTGGGACTACAGGCGCCCGCCACCACGCCTGGCTACTTTTTTTCTGTATTTTTAGTAGAGACGGGGTTTCCCTGTGTTAGCAAGGATGGTCTCAATCTCCTGACCTCGTGATCTGCCTGCCTCGGCCTCCCAAAGTGCTGGGATTACAGGCGTGAGCCACCGCGCCAGGCCCTTTGCTTTATTTTCTTACAATCCATGGTTTGAACCTATCAGTTCTATGTAAACTGACTCACAACCTCTCTGTTCCCAGTTTGGTGACTACATTTTCTCCTTTTGTTTGGACATCTGTGCTTGCTTGCCGTGTTGGTTTCTCAGAGACAATACTTCTCAAAATACACTTATTCTTTCTCACCTCTTCACCCACCACCACCACAATGAGAACAACGCAATAATCAGTGACGTCACTTACAAAGATACAACAAATGGAGAATTGGGATTGTTAGAAAGAAGGATCAACAAGACTTATTTTTTGGAAGGAGGGAATAAAAGAAGGATGTAATGTGACTTCTGCACTTCCAGCATGGGAGAATGGATAGATGATAATATCATTGTCTAACAGAGAAGGCAGAGAGGAAAAGTAGATTTGGTGTTGACACTTTGGATGTATGGTGTTGTGGGACAAAGGAGACTGTTCATTAAGCCATTGGAAATGTCTACAGTTTAGCCGGAGCCACTCACGTACGGGTCACCAGACTCTAGATGATTCTAATCATGTGAGCAGATGGGATGGCTCTGTGCTGTGATGCAGAATGGAAAGAATGCTGAAGGCAGAGAAGGATCAAGTTCCAGAAAAAAACAGAGAGGAAAAGAGGGAGCGAGACAGGGAGGAAAGATAGGAATGCACTTTGCAGGCTACGTCAGAAATAAGTGAGTGTGAGAGAAATGAGGTTTGAAATGTCAGAGGTAGAAGCCAATCTGTGGGAAATTTTTTAATCATCGTACACACATTTTTGTAAGTAGAGGATCTGGTTTTTATCAATTCTCGTCTGACTATAGCTGATTATACATGTAACATGCAATTATTCATGGACTATAACTTTTTCATGGCAATCGTCTGAAATACAATTTATCAGGATTCTTGCATTTGAAGGCGTTAAGTTTGCTGCAGTACTATAGCCATGAGTATGTTTGTAAGTGAAATCACATATTTCATGCATCTTAACATATTGAATTACATTTCACTTATGTGATACAAACTTTCCTGATAAATCTTATAGCTCATATAAGAAATGATCTTGATAGAAATGTCCCCAAATGTGACAATCTTAAACATTTAAATGAGAATTCCAGGATCAATTTGCAAACTAAAAAATTATGTAAAATATCAATAAAAATAAATAAATTTTTCATTAACCATGCTAGAGAAACTAATTAGTATTCCCTTTTCCATATAGAATATGATAATCTGAAATTGTTATCAAATAATCAGGCATTCCTAAAGTATGCGGCCTACCATTTAAGAAAGCATTACAGAGGTATGGCAGGGAGTTAACTAACAAAAATATTATTATTTTTCTGACCAGGTGCAGTTGCTCACGTCTGTAATCCTAAGCTCTTTGGGAGGCCAAGGTGGGAGGATCCACAGAGCCTAGGAATTCAAGGCTGCAGTGAGCTACGGTCATGCCACTGCACTCCAGCCTGGGCAACAGAGCAAGATCTCACCTCTAAAAAATGAAAACTAATTAAAAAGATAAATTAAAAGATTATCTTTTTTGGATTTTGTGATATTTGTGGTATTTGTCAACTTTTAATACTTTATATTTCTAAATGATTTTTCCATTGAATTATCTGCTTTAGTTTCTTATTTTTACTTGTGATTTTCTATCGTCTTCTTACAGAGCACTCCAGTGTGTATGAGTCTTGAGCCTCATCCCACATATTTCGAGCCCCTGCCTGCTCACTTCTCAGCTCTGGCTCTCAGAGCTGTTCCTGGACTGAGCCTGATTATCTCTCTGGTCTCTGCCCTGGATTTCTGCCACAGGAATCTAGAGGGCTCACTTCCCCCATGCAGTGCAGGTGCCTCTGGCTGGCACAAAATTTCCCAACTCCATTGACCTCCTCTACCCCATTTTGGGTCTCCTTTGCATATTGCAAGATCATCTCAGTTTCTCTTTGCCTAGTGCCACTTGGCCAGATTTCTACTCCCCTCTAGCTACTCCAGGGGACCCTGGGGCACCCTGTGAAATGTCTCCAGAATTCCAGTCAGGCGAGAGGTCACATCTCTTACTGTTTTGGATTCCTTTTGTTTATTTCCCCATAAAGAGTTTTTCCTGGAGTGAGGGAATGAGATGATCAGTTGGTAAAGGCAGGGCTCACACTGAGTTGATTTCTCTTGCTCTCTTTCTCCTATCCTCTCAAATGTCTTTCCCCAGCCCAGAACGTTTTCCTCTCTCCTCTCTTCCTCTCTGTGTGGCAGGAACATCAACATTTTCACCAGCTTTTATTTTCTAATCTATGGCCTATGGCATAAGCCATATTCTTTTAGTCTTTTAGGATGATTTTTTTTCCCCCTCCTGACATAAGGTCTGGCTCTGTCGCCCAGGCTGGAGTGCAGTGGCACAATTATGACTCACTGCAGCTTTGACCTCCTCTGTTCAAGCGATCCTCTACCTCAGCCTCCCAAGTAGCTGGGACCACAGGCATGCATCACCATGCCTGGCTAATCTTTTGTATTTTTTGTAGAGATGAGAGATGGGGTTTTGCCATGTTGCCCAGGCTGGTCTCAAATTCCTGTGCTCAAGTGGTCCTCCCTCCTTGGCCTCCCAAAATGCTGGGATTATAGGTGTGAGCTGCCACATGCAGCCTAGGATGTGTTTTTCATAATTAAGTCCAAGATTTCAGAATTCATTAAAAACATTTTCCTTTTTCATCATCTAGTTTTGCATTTTAAAGCTAAAGCTTTCAAAATTCTATAATGGAATTGACAGTCATTTGCTCTCCCTGTGGGTTCTTTTTCCCTTTCTTGGGAATACAGGCTTACTCTCATAGTCTGGTGTTAAGGGTAACAGACCTGCAGTATAAAAAGGAATTACTGAAAGGGAATATATGCAATGGATATTATTTTTATTTCTTATTTTTGCTAAGTACCTATTAGGTAACTGGTAAGGAAATTAAATAGGCAGTTGGAATATGGAGTTTAGAAGAGAGGACAGGGCTAGAGTGTGACTTTGGGAGTAGTTGACATATGGGTAGTTTATAAAGCATGGAACTGAGGAAGAAAACTTAAGGAGAAAGTATATGCACAGAAGAGAAGAGGGACTAGGTTAAAGCTCTGAGAAAGGTAGAGGAACTAAGGAATGGCCAGAGAATTTAAGCAAGAAACCCAGAGCTAGGGTTAAGGAAATCAAAAGAGGAAAGATTATCATGAAGTCTATAGTGGTCAAATTTGCGGAATGCAGAGAGACTGAGTAACAGAAATATGTTCACTGCCTTTGGCAAAATACCTGTTAATAACCTTGGCAAATTCCTTGGAGTGGTAGGGTTGGATGATAAATAGATATGAGTTAAAAAAAAAAAAGTAGATGGGGTGTGAGGATCTGGAAGCCAATGATTTAGAAAACTCTTTAGAGATATTTTGGTATGAAGAGGGAAAGAGAGACATGTGAGTTCAAGAAAGAATTTCTTTTGTTTTAGTTAATTAATTAATTAATTAATTATTTTTTTAGATGGAATCTCACTTTGTCGCCCAGGCTGGAGTGCAGTGGTGCTAGCTCGGGTCACTGCAACCTCCGCCTCGCAGGTTCAAATGATTCTCCTGCCTCAGCCTCCCAAGTAGCTGGAATTACAGGCATGTGCCACCACGCCTGGATAATTTTTGTATTTTTAGTAGAGATGGGGTTTCAGCATGTTGGCCAGGCTGGTCTTGAACTCCTGACCTCAACCAATCCGCCCACCTCAGCCTCCCAAAGTGCTGGGATTACAGGCGTGAGCCACCATACACGGCCTTATTTTGTTTTTTAAAAAACATGACTTGAAGGCTGGGCATAGTGGCTCATGCCTGTAATCCCAGCACTTTGGGAGGCCGAGGTGGGCACATCATTTGAGGCCAGGAGTTTGAGACCAGCCTGGCGAGCATGGTGAAACTCTGTCTCTAAAAACAAAACAAAACAAATCCCAGAAACCACCCCCTTATGATTTGATATACTAGAGAATTTATGTGTGCTATTAAATTATGTTGTAGCAATGGAAACTTGAAGAAGCAGGGAAAATAGAGTATGTGCAATGTCCCTGAGAAACTGAAAGGGGGTGGGGTTTGGAGCACATGTGGATTGGTTGACCTCTTCTTGATTATTACTGGCATGAAGACTGAAAATATGGGCACAGATACAGAAAAGGCTTGTAGATCTATTGAGGACTTTTTTGCCTGCTTTTATTTTTTTTCATTGAAAGCCCTCTCTTAACCGCAATTTTTTATGTTTTATAATTTTCATTTCTATTTTACTTTTCAGCAAAACTTCAAGAAAGAATCCACATTCATGGACCTGAATTCTATTGGAAAGGAACAAAATAAATATTTGTTGGATGAATAAATAAAATAAAACCCGGAAGTATCAATGAAAGGAAATGATAGAGAAGAAAATGTGAGAGATCTAGAAGAGAAGAGAACAGGAAAGTAAATTTAGCAAAGAAACATTTGCTTGGCAGTATTAGGTGCTCATTTGAGATTTGTAGTTTATAAAAAAGGAGTTAGGATGATGGATTGAAGAGCTCAGTTTTGGGGGAGGTGTCAGATTCAGGATCTGGAAAGGAAGAGGTGCTGGTCTGAAAGGTGGTGGTTCTTACAGGGGAGATTTTGGAGTTCTTGATGACCAGTTCCAAAAGTGCTGGGATTACAGGCGTGAGCCACCGTGTCTAGCCATATCTACCAATATTATGAATGATAGGTAATATGCCACTATTGTTTCAATTAACAATATACTAATTAGAGGTTGAAAATAATTTCATCTATTTCTGGGTTAATTGTACTGCCTCGTCTATGAATTTATTTTTTGACCATTTTTATTAGGTTGTCTTTTTCTCACTGATTTATAAAAATTTAAGATATATGCTGCAAATAGTTCCTCAAAGATTGCTATTGTTTAACTTTATTCATAGTGTTTTTGTCCCTTAGGAGTATTACATTTTGACTACCTGTGGTGGGTGTGTTTGTACATGTTTTTCGTAAAGGTCTTACTTATTCTGAGGTTATTAAAAATGATCTCTGAAATTTTCTTCCGATAATTTAAAAATATTGATTCTTTTACAGGGTGCATTTTGTAAACTTTGTAAAAATAATACATGCTTACTGTATAAATACACAATACAGGAAAATACAAAGAATAACATAAAAATAAAGTAAAATCCTACTACATGGAGATAGCCTTTTCGAGCATCTCCTTATACATGAGAAGAAGAGTAATGATAATGAATGTTGTCTACATGCCAAGTATTGCACTAAGTAATTCATAAAGTTGATGGGGTAGGCATTTCATCATCCCCATTTTACAGGCAAGAAAACTAAGGCTCAGAGAGATCAGCTCCCTTCCCTCAACTTGTAAAGCCAGTAAATGACAGACTGGGATTCCCCAGATGTGTTCACTGTTCCACCCTTCCTCCCTCTAACAGATGGGAAGTCTCTCAGAGGTGGGGTTGAGTCTTCCAAGTCTTCAAGCCCTCTGCATAGGAGCACTCGAAATGCTTATTTTAGGCTGAAGTGGGTGGATCACTTGAGGTCAGGAGTTTGAGACCAGCCTGGCCCAAATGGTGAAACCCCATTTCTACTAAAATTACAAAAATCAGCTATGCATGGTGGCCTGCACTCATAATCCCAGCTCTTCGGGAGGCTGAGGCAGGAGAATTGCTTGAACCTGGGAGGTGGAGGTTGCAGTCAGCCGAGATTGCGCCACTGCACTCCAGCCTGGGAGCAGAGTGAAATTCCGTCTGGAAAAAAAAAAAAAAAAAGTGCTTATTTTAGTTGGTTATATAAAAAACAGATTTAATCTCTATGAAAAGGGTACAAAAACATAATTTCATCCTTGTAATGAAAAATGCCAGTTCTTTTTACTTTGTCTCATTCCTATTGCTCACCGTATCATTTTCAATACTTGTAACTGATTATTTTGCTATTTACTTCAATGTCTCTAAAAAGCATGTTTCTAGTGTAAGTTGAGGATGTAACCTCTAAGAGAGCTAGTTTGGCTTAATTTTCAAAGTAGTTTTTGTTCACTTTGAAAATGTTACTCTATTCATTGTCTTCTTTGTGCCAAGTGTGTTGATGAAAACTCTTATTCTATTCCCTTTAAAAATATCATTTTCTCTTCTCTTATAGTACTTGCAATCTTATCTCTTTTGTATGTTCCTGAATTTTATTAAAATGTGGCAAGAATTTTTAAAAATATTTATTGTGCCTGGAACACAGAGACATCAGTTCAGTCTCATCCCTTTCTTTAGTTATAGGATGTTTGGGGCTATTATTTCTTCCAATATTGCCTCTCTTCCATTGCTTTTGTTCTCTACCTTTAATAGATACATTTTAGTTTTTCCGTGTCTATCCTTCTAGTATCTTTTGTGTTTCTTCATACTCTCCATTTCCATCCCATTTTCTTTTCTTCTTTGCTTGTCTTTTTTTTCTGTTTGTTTTTCTTTTCTTTTTTTATTTGGAGTCTTGCTCTGTCCTCCGGGCTGGAGTGCACTGGTATGATCTCAGCTCACTGCAACCTCCCACCTCCCAGGTTCAAGCAATTCTCCTGCCTCAGCCTCCCAAGTAGCTGGGACTACAGGAGTGTACCACCACGCCTGGCTAATTTTTGTATTTTTAGTAGAGACTGTGTTTCACCATCTTGGCGAGGCTGGTCTTGAACTTCTGACCTCAGGTGATTTGCCTGCCTCGGCCTCCCAAAGTGCTAGGATTACAGGTGTGAGCCACTGTGCCTGGCCTCCATCCCATTTTCTATGTTCTTCCAGCTCATTAACATGCTCTTCGCCTTCTCTCTTTCTGCTTTTCGGCTCACCCATAAAATCCTGAACGCCAAAAATTAAAGTTGTTATTTTTAGAATTTCCAATTTGTTCGTTTATTTAACAAACACTTATGTGTCAGATACTGTTCAGAGTGCTTTACTAATGCTAAATTATTTAATCCTCATACCACATATATAAGGTATATACTATGACTATCTTCATTTTACAGATGAAAAAATGAAGACACAGATTGGTTAAGTAATTTGCCCTGGAGACATCCAACTAGTGATTGTTGTCAGAGCCAGGATTGAAACCCAGGTTGTCTGGGAATTTGGTTGCTATGCTTTGCTTGTTAATAACCATCTCTTATTATTTTTGAATTGCTTCCTCCTATTTCATAGAAAAAATTCTCTCTTTTATCTATCTGAAGATGTAAAATATGACTTATTATCATTCGTTTTTCTGAGACAGGGTCTTGCTCTGTTGGCCAGGCTGGAGTGCAGTGGGACAATCTTGGCTCATTGCAACCTCCACCTCCCAGGTTCAAATGATTCTGCTGCCTCAGCCTCCCGAGTAGCTGGGATCACCACCACACTGGCTAATTTTTGTATTTTTAATAGAGACCAGTTTTTGCCATGCTGGCCAGGCTGGTCTTGAACTCCTGGCCTTAAGTGACCCAGATGCCTTGGCCTCCCAAAGTGCTGGGATTACAGGCATGAGCCACCATGCCTGATATGACTTATTTTAAAGTCCTTGTGTGACTGCTTTTTTATTCTGTTTCCTCAAGTGTAAATTCTTCTGTTTGCTGTGTTCCCACTGCTGCCCTGTCTCTTTCCTGGTGCAGTCACTCTTCAACAGTGTGATGATTATTGGCTTTGAGATGATCCTTGAAGTTAATATTCCCTGGTAGACTGTTCACTGCTTCTGCTTGTGCAGCCTGGCTGGGGATAAAGGTTAGAATTAGCTCCTGAGTTTACACACTATGCAGTTTTCAATAAAAACAGAGGATGAGATGGCTTGCAGTAGACATAATACATTAGTGGCTGGTCATCTGATTTCGATTACTTATCTTTCCTTCTAATCCTGTAGAGAAGTGCTAGTTTCCCAGGTATAGCCTAGTATCTCTGCCCTAAGTATGCATGAGGACACTGTTGCTTATGTCTAGCCTGGAAGATATAAAAGAGTAAACTAACATGCCTGCTACCACTGTGGAAGTCTGCCTCATTATGGAACATCAGTGGAGTTTGCTCCACTACCTGCAGCTTATATTGGCTGTTCTTAGTTTCAGGTATTCTTTCAGCATCTTAGTTTATCTGCAATGGGAGAACCTCCTTTCTTCTGAGTTCATGTTTCATGAGTAAAGTCATCCACCATTTCTCTGCTTTGATTTCTCTCAGTTCCATTATTCACTCCTTTCAAAAGGAGGAGTGACTTAGCTATTTTATATGTTTAAAGAATAGGATATATATAGCTTTCTCCATTTCTCTCTTTCTTTGAGATTCAGCTTCCCAAGGAAAACATAAAAGTACTCTATTTTCTAAATTTTAAAGGGGCTGGTATCCGTGTGCAGAGGTCACCAGTGGTTCAAGCAGGCAATCAGGTGGTTGAGTATGCTGCATTCTGGGATTAGAATTGGGAAGCCATTGTTACTGCACAACTTTCCATCATAAAGATATTTATCAGTAGTGACGTTGTTAATTCATTTTGTCTTATCTCTCAGTTGGTTCAAAATGGCAGAGAAAACAGGAATAACCTTTAATAGGGCCCTTTAAAATATCACATTGTTTAGTAAGAATTTTTCTGTCATTTTCATAAACTAATGTATGACTGTCCATTGATTTATTGCTTTATATTCTCTAAAAAATAGTTTCTATTGTGTTCTGGAGCTTGGGGACCAGGAGTGGAGTCTCATGCTTGTTCTCAATTAGCTATCTTGAAAATGAAAGATTGCATTCACTTTAAGCAAGTACTTAGTTTTAGTATTGAATAAAAGCAAATCTTGTGCTATCAATGAATTTGAAAATACATTTCAACCTTTTGCATTCTTGCACATGAAATCTTAGTGCTATGTAACATATGTGATGATTATAGTAGTAGTATCTGTTTTATCTATTGGTTTATAAGCTTCTGGAGTTCAGAGACCACCTTCAATCTGCACTCAACTGCCTACCTTGCTATGCCTGAGCAACATGATGCATTCTCTTGATCCTAACGGCCACATTTATATATTTGTTTAATTATGACATTCCTGATCATCTCACATTCTTAGGAGATTTCCCTCCAATAAGAATAAACCATACCTTCCCAGCTCTTGTTATCTTACCATTCCCACGTTGATTCTCATTTTTATCCCTCTCCTATTGCCAAAGAAGGAGAAGGGACAGTATATAATAGTTGAGTAATTGCGAGAAAGACCAAAAAAAAGTCCCTGACAGCTTTTGGGAAGCAGCCTGGTTGCTAACCATCAGTCTGTGGTATTCCTCTGTGGAACAAAATTCCATAGAATATAAACATCAGATGAGGACTCTCCATGATGTGATGCAACAAGACAAAAACAAGTTAACTTTGTAACCATGCCTGGAAAAGAGATAAAACCAAAATCACCCACAACCATAAAAATGCCAAGCATCTCCCTTTCCTGGTTAACATTAAGTAACCACTGCTTCTTATTGTCATTGACCACTGCTCAATGACAACTCTAGCCTTACATGCTTAATTCTTCCTCCTAGATAAAAAATTACTGATGCTCATTCATCAGATTTCTCTTGCTTTAGGACAGCACACTGTCTAGATAGACCTTTGTTTCTTTGAATCCTTTCCCAAATCACCAAATATAAACTGAAATCCCTGGGTGTTTTGTATTCCTTGCTGTAGCAAGATCAATACACCTATTTTTTTTTTAAAACTACAGGGATATTCCTGGGGGTTTTCGCTGGTGAGCATGGATAATAGAGTGTACTTGAAGATAACAAATGAGGATCAGGCTTCATGATGAGCAAGCTGACAAAAATCAGCAATTAGAGGGAAGCATTAGACATTTTCCAGTGATGCTGACAGATGGGTACAGGCCACTTAGGGGGCATTGTAGCTACATCAGCTGCTGCCTCACTGAAATCTTGGCATATATACTTATCCAGCATCTATCTGTAGCAGGCAGAAACCCACCTCAGGCAGACCTGGGGGTATGAAAGCTAGTGTTGGATACCATCTCACCTTTTTAATGAGCTGCTTCCTTCCTTCAGCAGCTATGACTACACACTGTGCCTTTAGCTGGATCTTCACCATGATCTAGGTTAAGTCTCTTTCCATATTATGCATTCCATACCTTCAAATATCAGTTAACCATGGTCTTTAGGTCTAGAAGTTATCAAAGTGAAGACCTGCTTGCTCAGTTGTAATCAAATGGCTTATACTTACAGTGAGTATTTTCAATACCTTCTAGAGGTATTTTGCACCTTACAATGTCTATCCAATGTTCCCTTAATTAAAATATTAATTGTTAAAGGATTAAGAAACAAAAACCTGCCTTTTAAGGTAGAAACATTCTTAGAGATTCCTGAGTCATACCAACTGCTTACTCATCTTAAGAGCAAAGTTGGCTCCATTAAAATGCTGTGAACCCACAGACCAATGAGTAACTAAAACTACCTTGATTTGTTAATTTCCTCCTATATTTGGCTTCTTAACCAAGTTAGGAGTAAAACGGTCCAGCATATTCTAGTAGTAAGAATATTGGGTTTGGAATTAGGATATATAAATCTGAGAACTGTGTCTGTGATGTTAGTCAAGTTGCTGAGTCCCAATTTCCATAAATGTAAAGTGGCGAAGATATTACCAAAAAATTATCTTTAAAACAAATTAAATAATAATGGAGATAGATACTGTTTTTGAGCATTATAATTAGAGCCAACATTTGTTGAATGCCAGGCATTGCTCTAAAGAGTTTACTTGGATTTTTCTTACTTGATCTTCATCACAGCCTTTCAAGATGCACCTCTTAAATAACAGTGGCAAAGATTCTGGGCAGATGGATGAGTAGAAGCATCAAGAATCTGTCTCCCCATCTAGATAAAAACTGCATTGGCATAGTCTGTCTGTTGTAAATATTTTTGAACTTTGGAGTGTTGTGGAAGGCTTGCAACTTCCAGGGGAATGCTTGACAGTAAACTTGGTTTATTTTGGTTAATTTCTGCTCTTACCTGGCTAACAGTTTTCTATCTCCCACACGAGCCTGGTGGGAGGCAGTGCATGAGCTGCAGGAGCAGCTTGCATGCAGCTTGTGGGAGCCAGGGTAGGCAATAAGAACCATGTCATCCAAATAGCAGAACCTGTGTTCTGAGTGCTGACTGTTGCTTCTGATCATGGAAGGCAGACACAAAGGCAGATAGTCATTGTTGTACCCCCTCACCTCCGAATATTACAAATTTCTTTCCCTATAGCTGAAGCAACTTCCAGGGAATTTAAATTACCAGGACCATTTCCCCCCTACTTCATTTGTTTTTCCTTCTTATCCTTTTTTGGGGGTCAGACATTAAAGACTAGGATATTCAAAAGCAACTGCATATACAAGGAAAATCAGAAAGTCACTAACAAGCCGAGGGAGAGGCACAGGCCAGAAAAAAGCCTGAGAAGACCTTAAGTTTATATCTCAGTGACTTTCAACAAAGGTGCTAAGTAAACACAATGGGGAAAGGGAAGTCTTTTCAATAAATAATGTTGGGAAAACTGGATTTCCACGTGCAGCAGAATAAAATGAGACCCTTATCTTTCACCAGATAAAGTATAAATTCAAAGTAAGTTAGCAACTTAAATGTAAGACCCCCAAACTATGAAAATGCTAAAAGAAAACATAGGAAAAAGCTTCATGACACTGGTTTCTGCAATGATTTTCTGGCTATCACCTTAAAAGCACAGGCCAGGGCTCGGCGCGGTGGCTCATGCCTGTAATCCCAGCACTTTGGGAGGCCGAGGTGGGCAGATCACGAGGTCAAGTGATCGAGACCATCCTGGCCAACATGGTGAAACCCTGTCTCTACTAAAAATACAAAAATTAGCTGGGTGTGGCGGCATGCACCTGTAATCCCTGCTACTGGGGAGGCTGAGGCAGGAGAATCACTTGAACCTGGGAGGTGGAGGTTGCAGTAAGCCAAGATCTGGCTACTGCACTCCAGCCTGGTGACAGAGCGAGACTCCATCTCAAAAAATAAAACAGGCCACAAAAACAAAATTAGACAAATAAGATTACATCAAACTAAAAAGCTTCTGCACACTGCAGGAGACAAATTACCAGAGTGAAAAGACAACATTCAAAATGGGAGAAAATATTTGCAAATTATACAGCTGATAAGGGGCTGATATCCAAAATACATAAGAAGCTCTTACAAACCAATAGCAAGAAAGCAAATAACCTAATTAACAAATGGGCAAAAGACCTGCATGGACATGTCTCAAAAGGCATACACATGGTCAACAGGTATATGAAAAAAATGTTTAACATCAGTAATCATCAGGGAAATGCGAGTCAAAACTACAATGAGATATCAGCTTGTACCTGTTGGAATGATGATTACAAAAAATACAAAAGGTAAGTGGTGGCAAGGATGGAGAGAAATGGAAATCCTCACACAATGTTGGTGGAAATGCAAATTAGTAGAGCCATTATGGAAAACACTGTGGAGGTGCTTCAAAAAACTAATTGCACAACTAACATATGATCTAGCAATCTCACTACTAGGTATATATATCCAAAGGGAACAAAATAAATATGTTGAAGAGATAGCTACGTTCCCATGTTTATTGCAGCACTATTCACAATAACCAAGATATGGAATAAATCTCAGTGTCCATTAATATATGAATGGATAAAGAAAATGTGGTATATATACACAATGGGATACGACTTAGCCATAAAAAAGAAGGGAGTCCTGTCATTTGTGACCGTGGGTCAACCTGGAGGACATAATGTTGAGTGCAATAAGCCAGGCACAGAAAGACAAATACCATATTATTTCACTCAAATGAGAAATCTACAAAATTGATCTCACACAAGTAGAGAATAGAATGGAGGCTGGGGTGGTTAGGGTGAATTGGGGTTGAGGTTATATAGATCAAAGAAGACATAATTACTGTTAGGAGGAATAAATTCAAGAGATCTATTGTACAACATGGTGACTATAGTTAATATTGAAATATGGTACTATTGAAAAATGCTGAGAGTGAATGTTGTGTTTTCATTACAGAAGTTATAACTAGCTAGATTTAACCATCCCAGAATGCATGTATACTTCAAAATATCATGTGGTACATGATTTAAGAAATTTACATCGATTACTTGTTGAAATGATAATATAGATATATGGGATTAAGTAAAATATACTATTAAAATTTAAGAAAATGCTAAAGGGAGTCTTGCAGGTTGAAAGGAAAGTACAGTAGACAATATCCAAAGTCATGCAGAGAAATAAAGGTCTCAGTAAAGGTAAATACATTGACAATTATAAATGCTAGTATTATTGCAAAAATAATTTGTAATTTAACTTTTTGTAAATAAAAAAAGTTTACAAGTGACAAAGAAAGGCATTATATGTCAATAAATGTTTCACAGCAAGAAGATATAACAATTACAAACAGTACTCAACAACAGACCATTAAAAAACATATAAAGCAAAAGTGGACAGAATTGAAGAGGGAAGGAGGTAGTGCCAATATCTTACTCTGAACAAAGGATAGAATAATCAGATGAGATAAGTAAGGAAATAGAGGACTTACAAAACACAACAAACCAACTAGGTTTAACAGATATAGACAGACTACTCTACCCAACAACAACAGAAAACATTCCTCTTACATGCACATGGAACATTTTCAAGGACAGACTATATGTTAGACCACAAATTAAATCTTAATAAATTAAAAAAATAAATATTATATACAGTATCTTCTCTGACCAAAATTGGATAAAATTAAAAAAAATCAATAACATAATAACATAAAGAAAACTGGAAAATTCACAGGTTTGTGAAAATTAAGAACACTCTTAAATAAACAATGGTTCAAAGAGAAAAATCACAAGAGAACTTAGAAAATACTTAGAGATAAATGAAAATTAAAGCACAACACACTGAAATTTTTATGATGCAGCAAAAACAGTGCTAAGGGAAAATTTGTATGTATAAATGCTTAAATTTAAAAATCTTAAGTTAACAACTTAAAAACTTAAGGAACTAGAGAAAGAACAAAGTAAGCAGAAAGCTAGCAGAAGGAAGGAAAAATTGGAGCAGAGATAAATGAAATAGAAACTAAAAAAAAATAGAGAAAGTGAACGAAGACAAAAATTGGTTTTCCAAAAATATTAGCAAAATTGGCAAATCTTTAACTAGATTGGCTAATAACAAAATAGACAATAATCAGATCACTACAATAAAATGTTGAAGTAGGCATATTACTAGTTTTTGTACATAAATAAAATGTTTACAAGAGAGTTCTATGGACAAATTATATGCCAACAAATTGGATAATCTGGATGAAATGACCAAGTTCGTAAAAACATAAAAACTACTGTAATAGTCTACTTAAGCTACTACAATAAAATACCATACATTGAGTGGTTTTAACAACAAAAATGTTTTTTGTAGTTCTGGAGGCTGGTCAATTGAAAATCAAGATGCTAACTGATTTAATTCCTGGTGAGGGATTTTTTTCCTGGCTTGCAGGTGCAGCCTTCTCACTGTGTCCTCCTGTGATCTTTCCTCTTTGCTTAAAGGAGATCTCTCTCTCTCTCTCAATTCTTATAAGACTACTAATTCCATTAATGCACTAACCTCATTAGTACCCCATCATTGTGATCTCATTTAACTTTAATTATCTCCTAAAGGCCTTACCTCCAATTACAGTCACATCAAAGTTAGGGTTTCAACAAATGATTTTTTTTGGGGGGGATGGGAGGGTGCATAATTCAATTCATAACACCTCTCAAGACTAAAGTACAAAGTAATAGAAACTATCAATAATAGGAGATTGAGCCAGTAATAAAAACATCTCCCAATAAACAAAAGCCCTGGTCCTGATGGCTTCATTGGTGAATTGTACCAAACACTTAAAAAAAATCAAATACCAATACTTCTCAAAATTTTTCAATATAACGAAGAGGAGAGAGCACTTCCTAATTAAATCTATAAGGCCAGCATTACCCTAACATCAAAGACAGACAAAGATACTACAAGAAAAGAAAACAGTAAACCAATGTCCCTTATAAAAATTGAAGCAAAAATCCTCAGCAAAATATTGTCAGACTAAATTCTACAGCATATTGAGAGGATTATACATTATAATCAACTGGGATTTATTTCTGGAATGAAAGGATGGTTCAACATGTGAATACCAATCAATGTAATATATCAGATTAACAGAACGAAGAAAATAAACCACATGATAATCTCATTTAATTCAGAAAAAGTATTTGTTAAAACTCAACACACTTTCATGATAAAATACTCAAAACAATCAAAATAGAAAGAATCAACCATAACATATTAAAAGCTGTATATGAAAATTCCACAGCAGAGATCATACTCAATGTTGAAAGGCTGAAAGCTTTTTCTCTAATATCAGGAACAAGACAATGATGGCTGCTTTCCCCACTTCTGTTCTATGTAGCATGAGAGTTCTAACCAGAGAAAATAGGTAAAAGAAATAAATTTGAAAAAAAAATACACCTAAATTAGAAAAGAAGTAAAATGAATATGTTTGCAGATGACATAATCTTATAAGTAGAAAATACTAAAGATTCCACACACAAAAAAAACTGTTAGAACTAATAATGAATTTGGTGAAGTAGCAGAATACAAAGTCAACATATAAAAATCAGTTGCATTTCTATACATTCACAATGAACAATCTGAAAAGAAAATTAGAAAAATAGTTTAATTTATGATAGCATCAAATGTAATAAAACACTTAGGTATTAACCAAGGAGGTGAAAGATGTGTACAAAATCTACAAAACATTGCTAAAGGAAATTGTGGCTCACGCCTGTAACCCCAGCACTTTGGGAGACCAAAGCAGGTGGGTCACAAGGTCAAGAGATGGAGACCATCCTGGCCAACATGGTGAAACCCCAACTCTACTAAAAATACAAAAATTAGCTAGGCATGGTGGCACACAGCTGTAGTCCCAGCTACTTGGGAGGGTGAGGCAGGAGAATCACTTAAACCCGGGAGGTGGAGGTTGCAGTGAGCCGAGATCGTGCCACTGTACCCCAGTGTGGTGACAGAGTGAGACTCTGTCTAAAAAAAAAAAAAAAAAAATTAAAGAAGACATAAATAAATGGAAAGGCATCCCATGTTCATGGATTGGAAATGTAATACTGTTAAGATGTCATACAATGTCATCTTCAGATTCAATGCAATCTTTACCAAAATCTCAATGAAGTTTTTGCTGAAATAGACAAATTCATCCTGAAATTCATATGGAATCTTAAGTTAAACACTATGGCCAAAATAATCTTGAAAAAGAAGGACAAAGGCAGAGGACTCACACTTCCTGAATTCAAAACTTACTTTAAAGTAATGGTAATCAAAACAGCATGGTACTTGTATAAAGCCATACATATTGACCAATGGAATAGAGTAGAGATCCCAGAAATAAACCCTTGCCTACATGCCCAAATGATTTTCAACAAGAGTTCCAAGACCTTTCAATGGAGAAAGAACAGTCTTTTCAACAAATGGTGTTGGGAAAATTGGACATTCACATGCAAGAGAATAACTTTGGCACCTTACCTAACCTGATGTATAGAAGTTAACTCAAGATGGATCAAAGACCTAAATATAAAAGCTAAAATTATACAACCCTTAAGAGAAAAAATAGGGCAAAATCTACACAACATTAGATTTCACAAAGATTTCTTGGATATGATACTAAAGGCACAGGCAACAAAAGCAAACATGGACACATTGCATGTCATAAAAACTGAAAACTTTTGTTAATCAAAGGACACTATCCATGTAGTAAAAAGGCAACCTACAGAATGAGAAATATATTTGGAAATCATATATCTGAGAAGGGATTAATATCCAGAACATATAGAGAACTCCCAAAACTCAACAACAGAAAACAAACAACCCAATTTAAAAAATAGACAAAGGACTTATTCAAGAGTCTATTCAGACTTTTCTCCAAAAAAGATTTTTGAATGGATAATAAGCATATGAAAAGATGCAAAATATCACTATTCATTAGGACAATGCAAATTAAACCACAGTGAGACACCTCCTCACATTCATTAGGAATATTACTATTAAATAAAGCAGAAAATAACAAGTGTTGGTGGGGATATGAAGAACGTATAGGACCCTTATGGACTGTTGGTGGGAATGTAAAATGACATATCAGTGTGGGAAACAGTAGGACAGTTTCTCAAAAAATTAAAAACAGAATTACCATATGATCCAAATACCCAAAGAAATTGAAAACACGGTCTCCACAAGATATTTATATACCCATCTTCACATCAGAATTATTCAGAATTACTAAAGCATAGATGTAACCACTCAATAGATGAATAAATAAACCAAATGTGGTTCATACATACAATGAAATGTTATTCATCCTTCAAAAGGAAGAAAATGTTAACATATACTACAACATGGATCAACTTTGAGGACATTATGCCAAATGAAATAAACCATTTATAAAAGATAAATAATATATGATTCTTCTTATATTAGTTAACTAGATTAGTCAAAATCATAGAGACAGAAAGTAGGATGGTGATTACCAGGGTTTGGGAGGAGGAAAGAACGAATGGGTATTATTGTTTAATGGGTATAGAGTTTCAGTTTTGCAAGATGAAATGAGTTCTAGAGATGAATGATACTAATGATTGCACAATGACATGGATGTACTTCAGACCACTGAATTGTATACTTACAAGCGGTTAAAATGGAAACTTTATGTTGCATGAATCAATAAAAATATGAATTAGGGTTAAAAAAGAATAACAATGGCAGAGGCAGAATTTAAATTCATATTTAAATTTAATAAAGTTTAATAATTTAATAAAGTTAATGCTCTTTACTACTACATTGCACTGCTACCATATATGCACCATGAAACATAAGCTATCTGTATAATAAATAAAGTACAGTAAGCTTTACTAACTCTTTACAGGGGTTTGTGCGAACTGATGTTCACAAAAATTCTAGTAGTAACTTAGACAACCGTGATTATTGTATCTATTATTGTATCTATTTTAAAGAGAAGAGTACTGAAGTTTAGAACAATTGTCAAAGACAAAAATGTTTAACATTGTTAGCATTGTGCATTTGAAATACCTGGATATTTGTTGCTATGCAAGCAAAATATCTGGATAGTTAAGATTTGTTTCAGTTGTAGTTTTGTGTGTGTGTTTTCTGGAGATTTAACTACTTGGAATGTTTAATAATAGCACAACAGATTAGAAAGAATTATATGTCAGGATACTGTTTAGGAAGCTGAAATTGAAATAAGGATGTTCTCATTGCTCCTAAGTTTTACAAAAGGGAGATTTAATTAAGGTCTATAAAGACTTAATTTCAAATTCGATTTGTCCAAACTGTTGATGAGCATTTCTGTTTATCCATTTTAGTGTGTCTTAGTACCTGCTGATGTCTGAATATTTTGACATTTAATGAATTCCTGCAACAGTAGGTTTCCAAAATATTTTAGGACCAATTGATGGAAAAATAAAGGTAATGCAATTAGTTCCTGTAGATCTTGATTTATATAAAATTAGGTACTTATGATGACTGTTTTCCATCCAAGAATTACACAATTATTTGTAATTTAACAATCATGCTGACTTGAGATTTTTCTAGGAAACAGAAAGAAGCTTATTGAGATTTTTTTTTCAGTCAGAGAGTTTTTTTGGAAGGTATTTTCCTTTCCCTGTGGAAAACTCAATAGCATTTGTAAGGAGAAAATATGATTCATGAATAAACCAGTAATTTGGCAAAGCAAAGAAGTCCCATTAGTTTTTAAAGCCTGAAATTTTAGTCTTATAGTGCAATACAGGTTATTAAATCAATATGGAGTTGTCTTCTGACTTGGAATAGAGTCATTTGGCACTAACAACATTTTTAGCCACAAATTATGTAACTATTCTTTTAATAGGAAAATTCCAAACATTGATTTATATTTTAGTAAAAAAGCTCTCTAATGCAATACTTTATTACTTTTCAGGATCATCTACTACTTCTGAAATGTTCTCCCTTTTTACTTGTTTTCATATGATTAATTATATTTTTCCTTATGCTATTGGACAGTCATATTTAAAAATCTGAATAACACTGAACTATATAAAAACTAAAATATAAATCACTCTAAACTTAACAAGTACAGCCAAACTCTGGGAACATTTTGTTATATTTAATACTCTAACTTCGTGATCAAAGTTATACATTTCACACTTTTCCTAGCTAAAGACAAAAATGTTATTGAGCTTTATGTATTAAAGCATCTTAAGAATTATGGGCATGTTTTTAATTTTCATAGAACGCATTATATTTTCATAATTACTTTTGTTCGCCATAAAATCTTCTTAGTGTCAACATTGAGTCAACATACATTTCCTTAACACCTTTTTTTTTTCCAACTATTATTTTTTTTTAGGGAGTACATGTGCAGGTTTATTACATAGGTAAATTGCATGTCACTGGAGTTTGGTGTTCAAATGATTTTGTCACTCAGGTAGTGAGCATAGTGCCTGATAAAAGTTTTTTGATCCTTACCCTCCTCCCACCTTCCACCCTCAAGTAAGCCCCGGTGTCTGTTGCTCCCCTCTTTGTCCATGTGTACTCAATGTTTAGCTCTCACTTATAAGTGAGAACATGTGGTATTTGGTTTTCTGTTCCTGCATACATTGCCTCAGAAGAATAGCCTCCAGCTGCATCCATGTTGCTGCAAAGGACATGATTTCATTCTTTTTTATGGCTGCATAGTATTCCATAATAACACCTCTCTTATTTTTATTTTTGCCAAGCACATGATAGGCACTGGTTCTACAGTGAGATATATCTCTCCTAAGTCTGGTGACAAACCAGAACCAAGCGATTTCTAAATGGTGTGTTAGATGTTACAGCGCAGTGCGGGTAACATGGCAGTGTTGAGAGGAGTACTTAATGCTCATGTAGGTGACAGGAATGTTGCAATTATTCCAAATTTGTTCTACTAGATGGAGAGTGTCTGTGAAAGTATTTAATTCACTTACTGGGGACATGTTCCTGGCCCATTTTGCCAAGGATTTTGTCTCTGATGGTAGCAGAAAGCCATTAATTTAGGGTGGGCCCCAAAGTTTTCCAGAAACTAATATAAATCAAGTATCTCCAATTAGCCTGCCATGTATCTAGTTTCCAGAAGTGAATATACACCACTGTTAAATATGTTTAAATTCACAAATTTTACTACCCATTTTAGTGAGAGTGAGATATTTGCCAATATTTTATTACCAGTGTATTTCTGCTCCATGAAGTAAGAATTTCTTTTCTTGACATAAACTTTGTACTTTTAAATATTTGTGAAATAATTGGTGCAGAGTAGAGGCTAGAAATTTTCTTGTGTCACCCAGTATAACCTCCTTGTGGGATACATCTCTAAGATGAATCTGGATTTCTTAATGACACATTGTCTTGTGACTTCTTTCTTCCCATTTTCTAGGGAAGCATTCTGCCCCTATTGTTCTCCTGTTATTATGGCTAGTGTCACCTCATCTTTTTCTCCCAGGGAGGCAGAAATCCACTGATTTTTCGGGGGAAAAAACTCATACAACTAAGAATTCTTCTCTCAGTGTTTGTCAGTTTTCAGACTATCATATTGATACAATAAGCAAAAATCTCATTTACTGGAAGTCTCCGCAGATACCTTATTCTTTTCCAATCTGTTTCTAAGACAAAGAATATGGAATGGACTGGAGTAGTCTATGGGAAGAATTTGGCATGGGAGTTGAATGGACTAGGTTTCCATACTTTTCATAAGTGACCCCATTAACCATTTGAGAAGCAAAGAAAGAGTTACAGATAAGAGTCATGAATAAAATGTGGGAGTTTCCACTACTTTGCTGGGTACTTTTGGTTCTTTTGGTCTATTTATTTAGGCTCGCTGGAGTACCACCGACATGCCTGGTTACTTGCACTTGGCAGTAATTCCAGCTAATCTGCCTTCAGCCTGTCCATCTGGTGTTTTGGTCGCTAGGGTAGGGATGCAAGGATATGGAGCAGGATGCCTTTTCTTGAATTTCATTAGTGCTGCTTCAAAAATAAAATCCTTGAGTAAAGTTGTACCTTTTATTCCAGATTGATTCTTCTTAGAGTCTTCCAGATTTAATTCCTCTTCTAGATTCAATTTTTCTCGGTTACTATTATCTTGCTATAACCCCTCTCCCATTTGGATTCCTTGCGGCAATAAATTGGGAAGAGGAAAAGGCAGACACTTCATGGGCTTAGGTTCTCTTCTCAACTCGAATGTAGAAAATAACCTTGGAAAATATCTTTGCATCAAAATAATTAAAAAAGCTCTTTTACAATAATTTTAATCTTGGGAATTTCAAGTTTCTTTGAAACATTAGCTCTCAGTGGAACAATGACTTAAAAGTTACTTTCAAAAATTAGAAATGGAACACTGAGACACAAAGGGCTGAAATAAATGTAGCATTAACATAACATTGTAATAAATTCAGTGTAGTGGAACATTTCAGCTACTGTATGTCACATGAGTATTTGTTACTTTGTTAGGTTCTGAGATAAAAGAATTAAAACAGGCAAACAAACAACAACAAAAATACCAGACACAGTCTGTCCTCAAGGAGCTTGCATTCTTAAAACCGGAATTTTTTTTTTTAAGTGTAAAAAAGGATCATGAATGTAAGTGGAGATATGCAAATGTCACAGTGCTTGGCTGAATAACACATCCAGGAAGCCTGACTAGATCTCCAGCTTTCAGCACTGAGCCTGGCAGAGTGGCTGTCTCTTGACCAGTTTCCTGATAGGAATTATTAGCACTCACTAGTCACACATTGAGTAATGATGCTGTCGAGGACAGATTATGACAGCACCTTTAGATCACAATTGAGGCTTTGTAAATAGAAGTTCCACTAATAATTGATGGGTTCTATTTTACCAGGTTAAAAGGCTGACTCAATTACAGACCTAGATTGAGTTATCCTAGAGACAAAAGGTCAATTCAAAATGTCACCGCCTAATATGAAGGAAAATCTGCAGGGTTTGACTTGCAAGGAGACAGGCATCTCATTTCCTTCATTCCGATTTCCACAAGGTAGAGCCTATCAATAAGGAAAATAGGCTGCCAATTAGGGAACAATTCTGGAAAGTAAGATATAAAAGCTACCTTAATATACCTGTCAGCCATCCAAATGAACCCTCAATAACTGGTTTGAAAACCTCTCCTTGATGCAATTGAATAAAACAATTTTTAAGCACTTAGGTTTCAGGGTAATGTAGCTCTCAATTCAAATCTGACTTCCATCATTTACTAGTTGGACAAATTTGGGCTTATTACACAAATTTTCTGAATTCTATTTTTCCTGTCTGTAATAGTTGGAAAATATTAATACTTTCCTTAATGGTTGGTGTAAAGATGAAAATTTTTTAATGTAGTGTATTTAAGGATTGTTAGTATGGAATCTGAACTGTAGTTACTTTCAGTAAAAGTCAGTGATGATGATGATAATGAAGACGGTGATGATGATAATGAAGATGGTGATGATGATAATGCTTTCTATGGGTTTCCAATTTAATGGGTGCTAATTTATTCTCCAAGGCACATTGCTAGGGACCAATATTCTACTACGTTCATGTTTATTTGTCCTTAGAATATGAGCCCAGATTAAGCATTCATATTTACTAAAGTGTTACTTTTTGTTTTGACTGTACTAACATTGCTTCTAGATGTTTCTCATGTGGGCTAAAGATAATTGATGCATTCTGACCTGTGATTGTTCTGAAAACACAACTGTTTTCAAAGGGCTTCTTTGACCAATTATCTTTCCAAAAATGTTTTGGTCAGCTAAATTTTATAACTTCATCTATTTCAACTAGAATGCTGACCCAATATATTCTGTTTTAATATCAACTTAACTTCAAACAAATGTGTGAATAAAAACATGAGAGCTATACCAAACATCATTTTTCATCTTTTTAATAGTGTTAGAATTTTTTGATATAGCAGAAGGCATATATCTTTATATACAATTTTTTTTAAAGATGCATAAAAGCAAGGGTGTGTAGAAAGCATGTTAATTCTTTCATTCATATGCTGTTATTTTAAGTTTCTAAATTGCTGAGAAAATAATACTCCTGTGGAAATGATCACTGGTGTGCTTTATATGTTTTAAGTTATGCTTTGTGGCATTGACAAATATACCAAAGTCTTTTGTGGAAATGTGATGCATTTGTTTATATGCAGACAATTTCTTCTTTGTTCAGAATAGTGGCCCTTTTCTAAAAGATAGTGTCAATTTCTCTTTTGATAGTTACATCTTAAATATCACAAAACTGATACAAAACTTTTTAAAATGTGAAAGTTTCAGGTTGGACTTCCGGCTTGATTTTTCTCTTGCCTGTCTTCGTGTGACAGGGTATTCATAAGTAGACTGGTCATCGTTCCATTACAGTGAGAGTAACAAATGTCCGAAAGGAATGACTCCTGAGATTTTCTTCCTACAAATTCCACTCATACAGGACTCTGCTCTTCTGTGCCGATATCCTTACTATTTGTAAAATTTTTACAATATCTACTTTGAGAAAAATACTTATAAATTATGGTCAATAGCACTTTTTTTCATTCTTTTATGAAAATGAACGCAGGCCTTTTCCACTCACTACTATCTTGCCTCTGAGACATAAATAATACCTTTAACAAAATTTGAGAAATGGAATAAAGACTTAAATTAAGAAGTTATCACATTGATGGGCTTGGTGATGGAATAAGGTGAGCTATAGTAATTGATGGCAATAAACCTTGAGAACAGTGTTTTTCTGATACTGTGATGGAAAGAACACAAAGTCAGTTATTATAGTCCTATTCTTGGCATTTATTAACTGGTAAAATTGTTTAATTTTCTCATCCACTGGACTGTACCTTTGGGAAAAAGTCAGACTGTGTCTATTTTGCTCACTGATATCTGAAACTCCTAAGAGAGTGCTTTGTACATAGTGCTCAACAAACGTAGTTCATGTTTATTCTTTAAAATTAGTCTATTTCTTTAAAATGAGTCTGTTCAATGTCTTCCCTGTTTAGACTCACAAAAATGTTATGAGACTCAAACTGCTCAATTTAGGGAAAAATGTAAAGTTCTATAAAATTAAAAGGACAAAAAGAATATCTTTAGTCCTTAGATATGTGTTTTATTTATTTTATAAGGAAGTTGAAAAGGCTTCCTTTTGTCATCAGAAGGAAAGACTATTTGAAGGATTTCAATTAATGCTATCTGCTTTTAATAGGACTACCAATTTCAGTGGCCTTGGATCTTTAACATGCTCATATTTAATTTTATTCAGCCCATGTGGTTTTCTTTCCAGAGCTTATGGGGGCTGAGTAAGAATGAAATTATAATGTTGATAATAATTTCCCTTGTTCTTCTTGGCAGGCACAATGAGGCTCTGATGTTCAGGTTATACTGCTGGCAACGTTTTTCAATTAACATTTAATACTCCCCCGGAAAAAGCTCAACCTCTCACTGGCACTGAACCCAGCATTTCGGTGAAAAAATGCTCGGAAACAAAGAGGCCTTCCCTTCCATTGATCTCCTTGTTCCCACAGCTTCTGTACTTGGAAGAGTCTTAGTTTTCAAGGGCACCGTAAGATTCCAGGTTGTCATTCTCTGCTGCATCCTCTGCTTGCTTTATTTATAGAGTTTACTGTCCTGAGTTAGGAAGTTGACAGACATCGCATTGCAAGTCCTGGAAAAATCCATCGTGAAGGTGTTAGAAATAGCCACAGAATCGTCATTAATGTGTCCTTCATGCAGAAAAGAGCTCCATCAGGCCGGGCGCGTTGGCTCACGCCTGTAATCCCAGCACTTTGGGAGGCTGAGGCGGGCGGATTATGAGGTCAAGAGATCAAGACTATCCTGGCCAATGTGGTGAAACCCCATCTCTACTAAAAATACAAAAATTAGCTGGGCATGGTGGTGAGCACCTGTAGTCCCAGCTACTCAGGAGGCTGAGGCAGAAGAATCACTCAAACCTGGGAGGCGGAGGTTGCAGTGAGCCGAGCTGGCACCTCTGCACTCCAGCCTGGTGACAGAGCAAGACTCCGTCTCAAAACAAAAAGAAAAAGAAAAAAGAAAAGAAAAGAAAAGAAAAGAGCTCCATCATTTGACCAATTTTACTGTGATTAGAGAATCAGACTCAACAGGGGTCAGGATGACTCTTTATAGGGATGAAATTAGAAATCCCTAAATTCTCAAAGCTGGTGTTCAGAGAATGCCATTGTTATAAGTTATTTCTTCTTATTCAAATGAACAGTGCTGCTGGGGACAAAGGAGTTTTGTCACATGCAGTTAGCATTTAGACTTAGATCCTGCTTGAGATTCTTTCACACCAAGATTTAAGTAACAAAAATGCTGTTTTGTTCGAACATCACTGGTTTGCATATTTTTCCCCTACTCACTTTATTAGACAATATAAAAAGACTTAACAGTAGGGAACCAAATGAGTTGCAGTTGCCTGTCCTTAGAATTTTCTTCACATCATCATGTCCTTGACACGATGGTTTTGGAATGACCCAGTGCATGTAGAAGGAGTTGATGGGAATGAAGAGAAGAATGACAAGAAACAGTGATACTCATGCAAAACCTAGCTTCTTCTCTGCAGAACTTAGGAGTCTAGAAAGATAAACTGTAATTAGAAATATTATAATGGATAATATATCTGACCTAGGGAAAGGCAAAAGCCCTGAGTGAGTGTTGGTAGGTTGCATACTGATGGTGTGAGTGCAGTGGGAGGGAAGAAAATTAGGAGCTAATAAAACTCTCTAGCTTTTATTTTTTTTTTTTTGTTTATTCATTAATTTTTTCAGACGATGTTTCACTCTGTCACCCAGACTGGAGTGCAGTGGCACCATCTTGGCACACTGCAACCTTCACCTCTCAGGTTCAAGCGATTCTCCTGCCTCAGCCTCCCAAGTAGCTGGGATTACAGGCACAAGCCATGTTGCCCGGATAATTTTTGTATTTTTAGTAGAGATGAGGTTTCACCATGATGGCCAGGCCGGTCTTGAAGTCCTGACCTCAAGTGATCTGCCCGCCACAGCCTCCCAAAGTGCTGGGATTACAGGCATGAGCCAATGCGCCCAGCCAAGCTTTACAGAGCACTTTAGAGTTGACCACATATTTTTTATTATCCAAATCTTATCTATTTGGACCTAAAACCCATGTGAGGTTGAATATGGCTATTTTTCCTTTATTAAGGTTTAACTAATGAGATTCAAGTAGGTTAGGTGTCTAGTGTAGTCACTAGTAAGGGGCAGACATCTAAACATGTCTGCTTTTCAAGTTTTTTAATTTAAATTTTTGTGGGCGACCTAGTAGGTGTT
The DNA here is from genome assembly GCF_000001405.40 of Homo sapiens. Classification (NCBI taxonomy): domain Eukaryota; kingdom Metazoa; phylum Chordata; class Mammalia; order Primates; family Hominidae; genus Homo; species Homo sapiens. Next base: position 154,054,868 of record NC_000006.12, on the reverse strand, counting down.
AGGTGTGTATATTTATCAAGTATATGAGATGTTTTGATACAGGCATGCAATGCATAGTAATCACATCACAGAGAATGGGGTATGCATCCTCTCAAGCATTTATCTAAACATGTCTTTCATTACATGTTTACTACTCTGTCTACTCCACTATGCCTACTCTGAAGAGAGATGATTGGTCAAATTTAGAGAAATTTTCAAAACATCCTGAGCTTTCGCTTTTCTGCAAGATAATTTAATTTACTACTTGTTCTATAAATAACCCCTTAAAGTTCAGGGAAGTAAAATATAAGGACAGATCCGTTAAATATTTTTCACAAACAGGACTCAGTTTTCTCATCCATAAAATGGATAGGTTGGACCAGACCTGTCCTTCTTGATCTTGGCTGCATGGTAGAGTCACCAGGGGAACTTTTACACTTACTTATGCCCAGGAGCTGCCCCTGGAGATTCTGATTCAATTAACCTTAGGCGGGTTTCCTTTTTTTTTTTTTTTTTTTTTTTGAGACGGAGTCTCGCTCTGTCACCAGACTGGAGTGCAGTGGCGCGATTTCAGCTCACTACAAGCTCCGCCTCCCGGGTCCACGCAATTCTCCTTCCCCAGCCTCCCGAGTAGCTGGGACTACAGGTGCATGCCGCCATGCCCGGCTAATTTTTTGTATTTTTAGTAGAGACGGGGTTTCACCGTGTTAGCCAGGATGGTCTCGATCTCCTGACCTCGTGATCCGCCGGCCTCGGCCTCCCAAAGTGCTGAGATTACAGGCGTGAGCCACCGAGACCGGTGTAAGCTTTCCAGGTAATTCTAAGGTACCACCAGGATTCAGAATCACTGGACTAGACGATCTGAAAGTACTCTTCTTCTACATGTCTAAGCATATTGTGGGGATTTATATAATGGCTCTGATGTTCCATGAGTTAATTGGAAGGAGACTCAATTATTATTCATTTTATCCTGTCTGGGTTCCTTGCTAGAATTTAGATCCAATTCTCGCTTAAGAGAGTCTGGGAATTATAAAATTTTGCAGTGGACTCTATGTCACCCAGTTTAAACTCTCCTTTAACTTAACTCTTCTTGCGAACTTTTTCCTGATGGTCATCTGGCTAATCTAAAGAATTCCTGTACATGGGAGAAAGTTTCCTCTGAGCATGGCAGATCAAAGGGCAGTCATTTAGATATGGATGGATGGGGACAAAATTAAAGATGTAGAGTCAGGCAGGGAGGAGATTTCAGTGAGTCTTAAGGAAATCATTGAACAAAACTGTAGACAAGAAGTCAAGGGATTATAAGCATCCTTAGAATACCTTGGCCTACCCTAGCACTCCTTTTTACCCAGCTAGACAGTCTGAGTTCTAAAGAATAAGTAATAGCATTTTCCAAAGCAACTTCTGAGAGCTGCAGAAAACATTTTTTTTAAATGAGCAATATGTAAGTCAGACAGAAAAGAAAAAAGATCCAAGCAATGAGCTTTTATGTTTGAAATGGCATAGAGTTTGAAGCTGCCACTCACTATCTGGTCACATGCAGTGGGTGCAGGGTGGCAGGTGTGCAGGCATAGGTATCTTGGAAGACAGATTTTATATTTGCCAAGAAGTTAATATGAATTTGCAGATGACAGTTTCCATTTTTCCTGAAAGCTTCCAAAAGATTGAAGACGAAAATACTGTGACAAGCCTAGCAAACTGCACTTACTTAAGATAACCACAAAGCATATCCAATAAAGATAAATTCTTCAGAAATGCTATTTTCTAAGCACTTACTCCTTAATCACTGGCTAAGGGTGGTAATAAACCTTGCTGATTGTCTGAGTCAAATAAAGGGTTGGGGGTTAGATATGGAGGCCTGGGGTGAAATAGAGATAATTTTGTGTGGTGATTATTATAGCACAACTTCAACCTCAGTTCCAGAAGAGCAATATGCTCTGTCATAGCAATCTATGGCAACTGTTCTGGTTTGTGGTAACTTCATATTTGTGTTGCTATTTTCTGATGTTGAAAAATACTGTGAGTTGGTCTAGGTTTTTGTTAATTTTTAATTTTTGTGGGTATATACATACCCCATAAATATACACACCTACTAAGTACTAGGTTATTTTAACAAAATGTTTTGCCTTCATGTAGTAAACAATATGTAATCAAATTTTCTAAAGAAGATGATGTGTTCCTATTTCATGACCACTGCAAGAATAAAATTTTATTTAAGATGTTCTGTGTCAGAGTTTGGCAAATGACAGCTTGTGGGCAGAACCCAGCCTACCACTTCTTTCTGTGGTCTTCCAGCTAGGAACAATTTTACATTTTTAAATGGTTGAAAGAAATCAAAAGAAAAATAATGTTTTGAGGCATGTGAAAATTATATGGAAATTCAAATGTCAGTGTCCATATAAAGTTTTATTGAAATGCAGTCATATCCATTCATCTATGTGTTGTCTATGGCTTGCTCTAGGCTGCAACAGCAGAACTGAGTAGTTATGACAGAGATTATCTGATTGTAAAAACCAGAAATATTTACTTTCTACCTATTTTATTTTATTTTACTCTAAGTTCCAAGATACATATGCAGAACATGCAGGTTTGTTACACAGGTATACTTGTGCCACGGTGGTTTGCTGCACCTATCAATTGTCATCTAGGTTTTAAGCCCCTCATGCATTAGCTATTTGTCCTAATGCTCCTTGTCCCCTTGCCCCCCAACCCCCGACAGGGCCCAGTGTGTGCTGTTCCTCTCCCTGTGTCCACGTGTTCTCATTGTTCAACTCCCACTTATGAGTGAGAACATGCAGTGTTTGGTTTTCTGTTCCTGTGTCAGCTTGCTGAGGATGATGGCTTCCAGCTTCATCCATGTCCCTGCAAAAGACGTGATCTTATTCTTTTTTATGGCTGCATAGTATTCCATGGTGTATATGTAACATATTTTCTTTATCCAACCTATCATTGATGGGCATTTGGGTTGGTTCCATGTCTTTGCTATTGTAAACAGTGCTACAATAAACATATGTGTGCATGTGTCTTTATAGTAGAATGATTTATATTCCTTCTGGTATATACCCAGTAATGGAATTGCTGGGTCAAATGATATTTCTGGTTCTAGATCCTTGAGGAATTGCCACATTGTCTTCCACAATGGTTGAACTAATTTGCATTCCCACCAACAGTGTAAAAGCGTTCCTCTTTCTCCATGGCCTCACCAGTATCTATTGTTTCTTGATGTTTTAATAATCGCCATTCTGACTGGCATGAGATGGTTCTCATTGTAGTTTTGATTTGCATTTCTCTAATGATCTGTGATGTTGAGCTTTTTCTCATATGCTTATTGGTTGCATAAATACTTTGTAACTCTTATAGGAAAGACTGAGCAAAGCCATCACTCTTCATGCAATGAAGGGGTCTTATATGCATCTAACTATAGTAAAATGAGATGAGAGTCTTACCTCAGAATCATTTAGATCCAAATTTTATGTTGGCTAATAAAAGTATTTTGGTATAAAATAGGATTTTACTTTCCAGATGGAATGTCTAGTTTACTTGTGCATTTTCGCCATTCTCAGTTTGGAGGGAGCAGGCTAATTCACGGTCCTAGAGCCATTCAATTTTAGGCAGAGCCCTTTTTAGTTGTTTACCAAAAATTAGAGTAAGGATTTTGTGGCTTAATAAATTTTTCCAAAGTTTGCTAATTGTAAATATCAAGTAATTGTTGTGATTTTATAGCTATAGCATGGTTATTACTTATTAGGTAAAAGTTTCCTTTCCATGTTTTAGAGCTTTACTGAAAAAAGCATAAGACTTCAGATAAATGAAATCCTACATTGTAAGGATAATTTTGATGTTCACATACTTATATTACATAATCACAATTTTACTTAAACTTCTATTTTAGAAATATACAGGAATCAATTTAGTTTTGAAAATTTTATTTCAATATGCAAAATAAAACATGCTAATATATATTTTAATCTTAAAAATATTTGTTTTTTGTGGCTATGTAGTAGGTGTATATATTTACGGGGTACTTGGAATGTTTTGATACAGGCAGACAATGTGAAATAAACATGTCATGAGGAATGAGGTATCCATCCCCTCAAGCATTTATCCTTTGAGTAACAATCCAATTACATTCTTTATGTTATTTTAAAATGTGCAATTAGCTTATTATTGATTATAGTCACCCTTTTGTGCTTTCAGATAGTAGGTCTTATTTATTCTTTCTAATATTTTTGTACCTGTTAGCAATCCCCACCTCCTCCCAGCCCCCCATCAGCCCCCACTACCCTTTCCAGCCTCTGGTCACCATCCTTCTACTCTCTAAGTTTATGAATTCAATTGATTTGATTTTTAGATAACACAAATAAGTAAGAACATGCAAAGTTTGTCTTTCTGTGCCTGGCTTATTTCACTTAACAGCATAATCTCTAGTTCCATCCATGTTGTTGCAAATGAGTGGATCTCATTCTTTTTAATGGCTGAATAGTAGTATACCATTGTGTTTATGTACCACATTTTCTTTATCCATTAATCTATTGATGGACACTTAGGTTGCTTCCAAATCTTAGCTGTTGTAGACAGTGCTGCTGCAACAAACATAGGAGTGCAGATATCTCTTTGATATACTAACTTCCTTTGTTTTGAGTATATACATACAACCTACCAAAATTGAACCAGGAAGAAAACCAAAAGCTGAATAGATCAATAACAAGTACTGAGATCTAAGCCATAATAAAAAGTCTTCCAGTAAAGAAAAGCCCAGGACCTGATGGCTACACTGCTGAATTCTACCAAATACTTGAAGAAGAACTAATACTATTCCTACTCAAACTATTCTAAGAAATAGAGGAGGAAGGAATACATCCAAACTCATTCTGTGAGGCCAGTATTACCCTGATGCCAAAACCAAAGACATATCAAAAAAAGAAAAATACAGGCCAATATCTCTGATGAATATTAATGCAAAAATCTTCAACATAATACTAGCAAACAGAATTCAATAACACATTAGAAAAATCACTCCTTGTAACCCAGTGGGATTTATCCTTGGGATGCAAGGATGGTTCAACATATGCAAATCAATCAATGCGCTGTATATATTTTAAATTTGTGTGATGTGGTTGGGTATCTGGTGACTCATGAGTGAGTTATATGGGAATCCATTTTGTTTTCAAACGATTCTACCTGATTATAATAAAACATACAACTTGTCATCATGTCATGAATTTGCTACCATATTTAATTTGGAACATAGCTTCCTGATTTTCTTCTTTACTAGTGTTTCAAAAATATTTCCTTGAGGAACATTTTATATATATTTGATTCTCATTATTTGAGGATTCTGTATTTGAAAATTGGCCTCTTCACTAAAATCTATTAATATTTACCCGCAAAATAATACTTGGCTTTTGCAGTCATTTGAGGACCTGTGTGGACATGTATAGAGCAGCAAAAAATTTGAGTTGCTCTCTGTGCAGGTTCCCAGGTAAGGTCAAACAAGGCAATGCTCTGCTGTCTTCTTTCAGCTTGTACTATAAACACGTGTCCTTTTCACAATCTATTTATTGCCACATTTTTCACATTTCTGTGTTTTTTTGTTGTTGTTGTTGGTGGTGGTGGTGACTTCACTGTTTAAAATGGTCTCAAACATAGTGTGGAAGTTCTGCTTAGTGTCCCTAAGCCAAGAAGACTGTGATGTGGCTTATGAGGAAAGTACTTGTGTTACAGAAGCTTTGTTCAGGCATGATTTATAGTGCTGTTAACCATGAGTTCAACGTTAGTGAATCAGCTATATATTAAATAAAGCGTCTTTAAACAGAAACACACATAAAACAAGGTTACGAATGCATTAGCTGATGAAAATTTTATAATCAGAGGCTCACAGGAACCTGCCCTATATATCCCCTAGAAGCAAAGCTTCAGTACTCACGAATTCTGTAGTCATAATGACTTTATGGACCATAACTATCATGAATAATGGGAATTGACTATATTAACTTTTTATGTTTTTACTTCTTCAAATTTTACTTTCTGAGTTTTTATTATAAGAGTAACCATATATTCCCTTTTTAAAGTTTGTAAACTCAGGAATATATGCATATATAGACATGTATGTGTTTGTATTTGAATTTATGATTTGCTAATATGTATCTATGGTACAGATCACTTTTCATGACTCAAGTGATAAAAGCTAAATATGCATGAACAAAGTGAATTGAGAAAATTATTTAAATTAGATTTTATACTTGAATAATTTGAGGTACATCTGAATTGCTAATAGCTTAGAATTGTACAGTATTTTGAAGATATTCAGTTCTGTTGGTCAACTTTGAATGTTGGATTTCTCACCTAAACACAAAGAGATAGATATAGTTCAAGTCTTTAAGTTTTATCAAGTGACATTTTATAAGGCCATGAGAAAATGCATAATTTTTTTTTAACAATGGTAGCATGTATTTTGGGTTATATTGCAGGGAAATTGGTTGTAGGAGTACTTTGGAGAGGCTGTAAGAAAGGATGGATTTAAGTTGATACTTGAAGAACAAGAAACATTTTGATAGGAAAAGAATGAGAGATACGTTACAGGAAAACAGAGAGAAAGAAAAATAAAGGAAACAGTATAGAAGAGATAAACATGAAGCATATTGGAAGATAGTGAAGGAATCAGGTTGGCCTAATTTACGTAAACGTTAATTTAAATCACACTAATGGTTTTCAGTGAATATGAGTGGTTAATATTTGAATCACTTAGGACACCTACTGTAAACTGAATGTGTTCCCCTCAAATTCACATGTTGAAAACCTATTCCCCAGTGTGATGGTATTTGGAGGTGGGGCCTTTGGGAGGTGATTAGGTCATGAGAGCAGAGCCATTATGAACACTATTAATGCCCTTATGAAAGAGGCCCTAGAGAGCTTCCTTGCCTCTTTGCCTTGTGGAGAAATGGGGAGAAGTTAGTTGTCTCTGCAAGAAGGTCCTCAGCAAATGCAGAATCTGCTGGTGCTTTCATCATGAACTCCTCAAGCCTCCAGCACTGTAAGAGTAAATTTCTGTAGTTTGTAAGCCACCCAGGCTATGGTACTTTGTTATAGCAGCCTGAACACACGAAGACACCTACTTACATACAGTGCATAAGCTAACATATTATTTAAAACAAACAAAAAACAAACAAACAAAAATTGTACTTAACAACATTTTTGCCTGGACAGACACATATCCAGAACAGAATGATCTCTCTCTCATTTAAACCCATCACACACTTCATCTTATGGGAAAGCCCTATCCATTGGTTTACGAAAGTTCACTTGATTAGATTTGGTGGAACCTCTTTGCATCAGATTTGGAATACAACATCCAGGATAGGACTAATACCTAAAGGCAAATATTAAAACCATCTCCTAAAAATTAAACAGAGAATGAGAGACAGAGAGAGAGAGAGAGAGAGAGAGAGAGAATTTTGCCCACGCTCCACCTTTGCCAGTCACGCTTTTAGGTTATGCGTTCCTAACCCTTAAGGAGGCAGCACATACTCTGACTCACTGTTTTTCATTCCTTGTCTTTCCCCATCTTGCACCCAGGCCCTCAGGTACACAAAACAGCAGGACCTTTTGCTTGGGCCTCCCAGTGCAGTAAGAAGATGACTTTTCCCTCTCCTTCCTGCATTTCTGCTCAAACATGTGATGCTCACCTGGTGGCTTCTGTGGGGTGGGGGTGGGGGGAATGAAACATGATGGGGTTGCACCTTTTCCCACTTAACCACTTGCCTGTACTCTCGAAGCATATGAATAAAGGCTTGACTGTAACTTTCTGTTTCCCTTATTGTCCTAATCATAAACACCACACCTGGCAGTTCAGAGCACACTCACTCTTTCTCCCTTTGACAGAACCTATTTGAGCTTATATAGAATCCAAAGGGCTGTGATGGAATGGCAACCACGATTGTTTAGTTTTGTGGATGATTCCTCTTTTCCTCCAGATTGTATTGCTGGGAAAAACATGCTCTTAATAGTCATTGAAGTTGCCATAGGACATTTTAGTACTAGAAAGCGTTTAAGATTTTTTTAGTCCAATTCGCACCTTTTTACAGATAAGGAGAGTGAGGCGCAGAGTGCCTTGAAGTCGAGCCACAACTGACACTTGGGGCCCTGAGCCAGGGCAAGGTTTCTCTTCCTTGCTGTTCTTCCTTTCTAAATTTGTATCTGAGAAATTGATGGGGAAAGAAAAAAAGTTACCTGAGGCAAGAAAGGATGGGTAAAGAAAGGAGTTGCTTGGTAAGCTCAGTATATGATGCTTGTTGTATATGACGTTTCCTGCATTTGATGCTTCAGCTCACTTTTGAAGACTGAAATTTTCTTGAGCTCAATTAATCACAAGATACTCTTAACGTTACTATATAACATGAAATTAATGGAAAAGGGAGTGGCAGGATTTTTTGTTTGTTTGTTTTCTTATACCCTCAGATAATTTGCCAGAAGGCACAGGAGGCTTTATTTCCTTTACATGGCACACACAATTCTGCTCCTATTATCCTGAGCTCAAGAAGAAGTAAACTGAACACTGGACATGACTGGTGCCCACTCTCTCTCCATTCAGCCAAACCTACCCAAAAAAGCCTTTCCTAAATCCCAAGGCAGGAACAAAAATGGAAGGAAAAGCTTAGCTTCTGAACTCTCTTGGTAGTTCTAACTGGTGCTGCCTATCAGAATTTTTCTTACGAGTTTTTGATAGTTAAGAGAAAACCTTTATTGATAGGTCTGTAAGAGCTCTATTTATTAAACAGATTTTACTGTGCTAACGTATAGTCACCAATTATAAAATAACAGGAAGGATATTCAGCAGAGTGTGAGATACGACCTTGTGTGAAGGTGAACCATTTTGAAAAGTGGTTGCTTGGCAAGGAGTGGGAAACTAGAAGAGTAAACCAGGGAAGAGGAAAACGAGGCATGTTTTTGAGACGGTCACAATGTGGGCGGGGCCTTCTGATGTGCCTTGTAGTTGGCACCTCAGAATTGTACACCTCAGGAGAGAGGGGAGCAAGGGCAGCATTTTTCCACAGGCTTCCATTTCCTGGTCAAGGGAACTTTCCTGAACTTCCAAATAGTGCCTTTGTGAGTGCCAGGCTGATTCCTATGGAGGGCAATTACTCCAGTAGAGAAGCCCTAGGGCAGAAAGTAAGTGATTTAGATGCAGCCAAGGTGAAGTGTTACTCAGTTATGTCTGGAAACTGACTGCCATATCAACGGCTGAGGTAGAAGGCGAGGTGAAGGACATGAGGTGGGCACGAGAAGGATATGAAACAACGTGAAAGCCATTGCTTTCAAATTTTGCCTGGTGGAGCCCTAGAAATTCTATGGTGGTCCCTTGGGGACAGCACTGGTGGGTGGCATGGGGGTGCAAGGTGAGCAGTGCTCTTGGTCTCAACATGTGGTTACATCTGGACAGTTGTTCTGTGATCTGTTTTATATATTGGGTCCCAAGTTCTTGAAATAAGTGTCTACATCTAAAAACAAGTTTGAAGACTGCTGTCACAGATAATTATTTCAGTCAGATAAACATTAAACTTAGTGAGGACTAAAGACTTGGAATTCTTGTATTTTAAAATGACATGCACCATTTAGTCTTGGTATTTACCCCTAGTACTTTTTTTTTTAATTTATTTTTTTTGTTTGAGTCGGAGTCCCACTGTGTTGCACAGGCTGGAGTGCAGTGGTGCGATCTCGGCTCGCTGCAGCCTTTGCCTCTGGGTACAAGAAATTCTTGTGCCTCAGCCTCCCCAGTAGTTGGGATTACAAGCATGCGCCACCCAGTCTGGCTAATTTTTTTTATTTTTAGTAGACACAGCATTTCACCATGTTGCCCAGACTGGTCTCAAACTCCTGACCTCAGGTGATCCACCTGCCTCAGCCTCCCAAAGCGCTGGCATTGTAAGTAAGAGCTACAGTGCCTGACCACCACTAGTACATTTTTAAATCTCATATAGTTGTATGTTATTTCTCAAAATGAGCTTATTTTTTCTTGCATCTGACCTTAAAATATCTGTTTCAACTACTGCCTTAAACGGAATCCTAGGAGAAATAATATTTTCAACTTTTATATGTAAGAGATCCTATTAGATGTTCAAAATCTCAAAGTAAATATTGTCAGCATTTATTATTTGAATACCTACAGACACCAATTAATTATTTGTATTTTCTTCTTAGCAGTAGAGAAATTATGCTTTATTTAAATTTATTAACCGATTTATTTTTTTTGCAGCAGTAGCTGAGGTTTTTTTCTGAGTATTATACCTAAATATTAATTAAAACAATTAGCTTAGAAAAATGCTTGCAAATAAATTTTTACAAATAATTTTTAACACATTTAAAAAAAAATAAGATCAGTTAAAAGTACTCAGAAGAGTTAATGGCCCGAATGTTTGTTTGTTTTCTTTTATGTTTGTTGGTTTTATTTGACATCTATTTTCTAGCATTGGCCTACTGGAACTATAACAACTTGGAGTAATTAGGGAAATTATGTGTTTAAGCTTAAACATATGATATGGTACCAATTATAAAAAGTTATGAGAACATACAAAAACATTTACTATGTATGTGTGTTTCCATATGTTTACTATATATATATGTGTTTCCATATGTAGTAAATGTTTAAAAACATGCATGTGAATAACTCACCACTAAATTTATGATAGTGGTAGTCTCAGTGACAGGAGGGTATTAGGAGCAGAGAAGAGACTTCAACTGTTTCAGTCTGTCTATCTCTCTCTCTCTCTCTCTATCTATCTATCCATCCATCCTTTAAGAGAAGAATTGTTCTGTAATTATATATTTTTTATCTTTGGAGATGTTTCATAAAATATCAGATAGGTCATTCTTTCAAGAAAGAAAAGAGAGAGAGAAGAATATAGGAAACTCGTTGATTGGTAATGTCATGCAAATGACAAAGACACAGCTTACAACCAAGGAAAGGAAAAGCAATTTAGTGTGTTTAGAAGACACAGAAGAAGAGTTGTTCTCCTCTGAATTAGTTTCTATATGGAAAATAGCACTTAAAGTTCAAATTGTAATAGGTACCAGGAGCTCTCCCTTACTAAGTGAAAGGCATGCAATTAAGTTAGTATTTTTTAATGTAAGCCATTAAATTGAGAACTGAATTTTATTTAGTGTTTTTCACTTTAAATCCATCCTCTAATTAGGATATTTTGTGGGTTTTAGAAAAGTGAATTTTATTAATATTTGAGTAAATAAACTATTATCTTTTTATTTTATGAAAATTACTAATGATCATATTTAGTGACATGCATTCAAATTGATTCAAATATGTATGTGTGTGTGTGAATTTATATATATATATATATACACACACACACATATATATCCTTATATTAGATAAAACATTATTGTTCACTAATTTGTAGCTACCTGAATCTAGATTAAGTTTAAAAGCTTATACTTCTGTTTCAATCAAGTATAACTGATCATTTTTAAATTTAAACCTGAATCAAATATTTAGTATATAGAACAAGTATAAGCTCACAGGACTTTTTCTAAAATCAGAAATACTTGTTAGGAAGGAGAAATGACAATAACATCTTGCACGTATTTAAATGCTCTTCTCTGATAATTAGTTATATTGAGAATTTATCTAACCACATTAAGAAATAATCTTAAAAATGAAGGTACTATTACTTGGCACTCTTCATTGGAAATTTACTGGAAGGATGGTTTACGCAGCCCACAGAAATCTCAAAGTTTCTAGCCCTCCACTTTTCAACAGTGTCTGTACATACCATGTTCATAGCTACATGAACAAACCTTGGAAAAAGAATTTCCCAACATAAACACATCTGGGATTATATTAGTTTTTGCAGTTATGGGTAATTCTATAGTCTGGTTCAGTTATTAAATATTTTCCCAAAAGTGAAACATCTCTGGTGGCTGTTACTTTTTGTTTTGATTTTTTTTCTTTACAGTTCTTGACAATGAAATACTATCATCCCATTTTAAGTGATTGCTACTGTTTGTAGTATTTTCATCACATTTTCTAAAATCTTTGTGATAATTTTCATAAGGTTATTCTCCAAGCATTATTTTTCTTTAAAACCAAAAAAGCTTTCAGGTGATGGTTACTGATAACATTTTTATCACTTAACATCTGGACTTAAAATCTTTAGAACATATTACAGTTTCTCCTTTCCTCCCTTGTATTCCTTAGAGTAGCCCTGTTTAAGAATCTCATTTAAGTTATACTACTTAATAATGTTGTTGATGAGGGGATGATGATGATGGTGTTACAAACAGAACCAAAGAGTTAATCACAGCGTCCATGTTAGCAGTTATTTTTGTTGTTGTTGTTGCCATAGTCATCTGAGCCTCATGATTCACTCAATGTACTAAAACATTTTAATAAATATTACCTTAATATAATCAGAAAACTGCAACTACTTGATCATTCAATAGCATTTGTTGAATTTTAAATAGGGAAGGAAGTGAACATTTCTCCTCAATACTTAATAGATGCAACATTATATCCAGCATTTTAGCAAGGACAATACATCCCTGAACTGATCATTTTGTAGTTTAAACACCGCAGCCTGGAGACAGTCAGTTAAATGTTCTCAGCTAAATAGACATACTTGCTTCAGTCCCCAGATGCTTTCCCTGTCGCTTCATCTGTCACTAACTTGCCCATTTTTCTGTTTCACAGTCACATTCCAAGAGGGTTACCTAACCCTGCGATTAAAACCCAGCCTGCCACAGGTGGGTGTTTGGGATGACCTTTCAAATAGTACTGCATTTTGTAAGAACTTTCAGTACCGAGAATAAAGCATAATAACATGTTCTCAGTAAGATGCACCGTCACCATGTTTCTCCAAGTCAACAAGAGGCCAGAGGTAATGCCTTTAAAACTAACTCACCCAACCAGCAACCTCTTCTACACTGGAATAAGACCAATCTGCTCATTTCACAGCCAGTTGCCACTCTATTGGCTCTCTCTGTATTGCAAAGCATAAACTAAAGGGTAGAAAAATGAGGAAGGAAAATATCAAGAAGCAATAAAAGGGAATAAAATATTATGTTTCAGATGGCAGGATTCCTAGATGCTTTGGTATTTTTGTTTCATGCTTTTTTCCTTCAGGATTTCACATAGAATTTGGGGATAATTTGTTATTCCCAAGTTATTATTGCTATATCAACCCACTCTGTCAACCTAATAGTCGAATTAACTCAAATCATGATTTGCCAGCACAATAAAAAAAAAAAATATGTTAGCTAGGAGAGATTTAGTGGCACTGAATTAATGAACTATCTGTTCTTAGAGAAAATAATTTACATTTTCTGTGCCTCAGTTTATTTACTTAGCATAGATAATCTCTAGAGTCCCTTCTAGCTTGATTAGTTTATGATTCTATGAATTTCTTTTAGAAAAAATGAGAAACATATTTTCCCTTCACAAAACAGGCCTTTAATTATAACTTTTATTGTCATAACTGCAAAATTAAACTTGGTTTTTAATCTTCAATGTGAATCATTGTATTGAATTACTTAAAGTAAATGTTTTTAAAAATAAATACTTCCATCGATCTTCTTGCATTTTTCCTTCTGTTGTTAGCCTTCCTCTCAATAGATGGTGCTCTTTTCTTACAGACAATACTTATCTTATTCCTCATCAAAAGATCAGGGAAATTAGCTTTACTCTTTAAAAATCATTAATTAAAGAAATCAGACAGATGAGTAGAAAGAATTGCTTATAAGCAATTTGCAGCACCTGGGTAATGAAAGCATACTGGAGAGAGCAATTCTTAAATGATTTAAGAGCTCCGCTGAAACCTGCAATACTTGCTGAATAGGTGAAACAAACATTGTAACTAAATATGAAAATGCCATGTTCCCTATATACACATACCCCTGGTTAAAAAAAAAAACCCTCGAATTAGGAACTATTTTAAAGTGTTAAAATATTTATCTTCTTTAACAAAAACAGATATATGGCATTTCACATTCACATGTAGTATTTGAATATACACATCAACACCAACACAATCAATATCAATCTCAGTCAATACTGAGAGCTTCCACACTCTGCCAAATATACCGGGAACATCTGGGTAAACAGAAAGTGGACTACAACTCTTTTGAATTAATTTTACTTGATAAGAACACTTTGTCTAGAGCACCCATCACAACTTCCTGTATAAGAGTTTCTGCAGTTTCTAATGTGGAATTATGATGCTTTTGGTCACTCCTAATTAGCTCCAACTTGTGAAGGCAATGAAATACAGCCATGTCCTGCGGTTCTCCTGAACCAACCTACCCATTCCAGATGCAGTTTGTGACTTAGGCGATCTGAAGCTACTAACGGCAAACTGGTCTAGGCAACACATTTGTCATGTTTGTTATAACAGAGGAAAACTGTCATGGAGAGATGCTAGGAAAACTTCCTCTACCTAGTGTTGCCTCAGGATGAAAGGAAGAGTTGGGTAAGGGCTGCTATGGCAGGGGAGAAGAAAGGGTGGGGTTGTGGTACAGGGAAGTACTAAACCAGCAGGAGTAGGAAAGTTGCCAAGGTCCATCTCAAAACAATTGAGAAGACTTGAGACTGCTCCCCCCGCCACACACACACACACCGGCCCCAACCAAATTTGGGAAAGCTAACTAGAATTTCTCTCCCATTATTCACAACTTACTCTTTCCATAGCTCCTGCAGAGGGACTGAGTGTAGGACTCTGCCAAGAGCCCTCTTTGCTCAGTATAAGGAAGCGCTCCAAGTCTATGCTATAGCTTCCCTCCGCCCCCCACCCCTAGACATTTGTAGCTTTTACCAAAGCAACTTCTCTGCTCCTGAAATTTTGAATTCTTTCTTTATCAGTTGAAGAAAAAACAGAAAAGTAGGTTTTCTCATAGAAATAACAATCACTGTCCGTGGTCTCCTCCAGAGTCCCCCCAGTTTACCTCCCCTCTTTCATCCTCCCGCCCAACATTGAGCCTTGGGAGTTAGGTGTCTCTTTGTACCCCCTTAAGCCGCTGAACCCTCCGCTCGGAGCCCTGGCGCTTTCCTTACCTGACAATCACATACATGACCAGGAAGTTTCCGAAGAGCCCCACCACGCACACGATGGAGTAGAGGGCCATGATCGTGATGGCCGTGATCATGGAGGGACTGCCGGTCGGAGGGCACAGGCTGTCTCTCCCGCCCAGGTCGGTGCGGTTCGGACCGCATGGGTCGGACAGGTTGCCATCTAAGTGGGACAAGTTGACCCAGGAACCGGGGCTGGGTGCTGGGGAGCAACTTGAGTACGCCAAGGCATCAGTGCAATTGCTGGCGTTCGTGGGGGCAGCGCTGCTGTCCATGGTACTGACGGCCGGGCGGGCACCGCTGTGCGAGGTAGCCAGGAGCACCGAGACTTTTCGGGTTCCAAGCGCCTCAGCCGCTTCCTTTCGCCGCTGCCACAGCTCCTGCTGTTTCTTACAGAAACCAGTCCTGGCTGAGACAGAGAGGAGCGTCAGGCGGAGGGGACCGAGCTGAGCATCTGACATTCTCCTCTGCGTATAGCCCCCTCCCACCTTAGTAGTTCACAGAGGCTCATCACCTGCCCCGCACCGCTGCAGGAGGGGAGCGTGGGCCATGCGGGATTCGGAGGCTGGAAGGGAGGGAGGAGGGAAAAGGGGTGGATTTTGCGCAAAGCGATCCAAGGAGTAGGTCTCTTCACTGGGCACTCTTCTGTGCAAACACATCTAAAGGAGGGAGATGGAGAGAAGGGTTGGGGAGAGAGATAGAGTTAGTCTTTGGTAGCAGTGAAAAATAAGAAAGGGGGCTAACATCACTCAATTTTCCAGCGCCTTTTTCTCCTTAAAATCTGGCAGGGAATACATTGGCTTGATGAAACCCTAACAGCCCTAAAACCCCAATGCTCTTCCATCCCTACTGCCAATTTTGATTATTTAGGAATGGGGGACACACAATTTTCTTTTGCAGTCCTTGTTGCCTCCGTTGCCAACATCTAAGAAAAGGTAATAATGTTTCTCCAATTTTCTTCCCTACAAACCTGTTGGGAACAACAGCGATCCTTTATTTTCTGAAAAAGAAATGAGAAACAAATAAACTTTTGTGCAGAAAACCTGTTCCTCATTTTCCCCAATTTCTAGGGTGAAGCTCTGTTTGCCTCTGATTTTGTTTCAGTGGGTAGGAGGCATAAGAAGTGGTTACAGAAATCAGAAGGTTGTGGCATCCAGTAAAGTCAACTAAAGATAATGTTGATCTTTCACATCTTAAATCTCATAGACCTGTTTGGAATTGTTTATCTTTTTTATCTGAAGACTTCCTCGATAGACATATGCTTCTGAGAAGAAGGTTGTTAAAACAAAACAAAATTTGCATTCAGTCTGTTTTCTAGTGTAAAAATTCTAGGAAAAGCCACATAATATATGGAATTAGAGTGGCCTACAACAAGATCCTTGAGAAACATGGATACGTTTTTGAATTTTATACCTTACTTCTAAGTCCATGAGTGCTTCTATTTTAGAAATAAATTTGTAAATACCAAGAGTAAGTTCTTGGTCTTTTTTTTTCTAAAGTTAACACCAATTCTGAAGTAATTCTCATTTCTGTACATGTATATATCTGTGCATGTACATATCTTTTAACCATAAACATTGAAAATACATGTCCTCAGTTGGTCTTGAAAAATTCACTGCAATTTCAGGGAGCAGGGAGGGAAGATCTTGAAAGGAACATTTAATTCCAATATTATTTTTTGGCATTTATCTTAGAAACAGATAACTCATAGGTAAACTCTATTAATCATAGGCTATTTTGCCAATGTTCACTATTATTTTTATCCTCTTACATTAAAGCATATAATTTACACAATAAAATGTTACAGAGATTTCCTAGAGACTAACAAAAATACCTTAAAACATATTCTTCCATGAACTAATGTAACAATTCTCTTATATTGAGCTGAAATCTGTCTGCCTGCATTCAGTTCCTTTGTGCTTAGTTCATGTGGAAGACAAGACACAGTATAATAATTCCTGACCTTGGAGTCAATCATTTTATAAATCAGCTTTGTAACTTTGTAGCTGTATGAGTTTGGACATGTTACTTTACCCTACAGGATGACAGTCTTCTCATTACTTAAAAAAGGCGAGGGTAGGCTAATAATATTCACCTCATATGTCTGTTAGCAGGATTAAATGAGTATACATTGCAATAGTAATTGCTTAATAAGTGATAACTCCTTACCACTATATTTCATATATTTGAAATCAACTGAGTTTTCTCTTTTGCAAGTTAAACATTAGCATCATTCAGTTGTTTCTTATAAGATGTAGTTCTGAGTCCTTTCAGTGGCCTTGCTGTTCATCTATTCTCATTATAGTTTGTCTATCTGCTCTGAAACTACAGTTCCAGTGTTAAAAATAATGACCTAAATTTGCCCTGACCAAAAAACAAACAACAACAAAAAAAGAAACTAAGCCAGATTATAAACTTTGTCTTTCTACCAGTACAATGAAAGTCCCTTTTTTTTTTTTTTAGTTTTATTTTTTGGTCACGTTGTTCTCTTGACTCTCCTTAGGTTTACCAATGACAAAATTTCCTAAACACAATCCAAGCCAGTTCCACAAATACTAAAGATCTGCTTTGGACCAGGTGCTGTGATAGGAGCTGGAGTTTAAAAAGATGGATACAATAGTGTTTGATTACGGAAACTTTCTTCTTATGCCTGGTGAATCATATGTTTCATCTCCTATAAATTTATAGTTGCTTTGGAGGGAGCTCAGTACAACACTATAGATTTTTTTACTTTTAAGTTACATCTTGTTAGATCCAATTCATGATTCTTATCCACCAAGATCTTTTGGAATGGTGATTCTGTCATCTTTTGTATGCATTTTTTAATATACTTTATTTACTCTCCTAGCTTTGTACTCCGTAATAAGGTTCCTAAGGGAGGTCTGCTCACTAACACAGTACTTAATACATAGTGGACTCCCTCCCTCACTCTCTGTGTTTCTTTCTATATTAAACATATATGAATATTAATGTGCATAATATTTGAATTCAGTTGAAAAAATGATTAGCATATATTTTATGCCATTATACCCAGATAATGGCATAAAATATATGCAATCTGGGTGATAAATAATATAAAATAAAAATAAAACAATCTGGGTGATTTTTTTAATGACACAGTTTGAAAATAAAACATCTTTATGGGAAAACCTTAATGAAGACGTTTTGTCCTTTTTGACTCAATATAGTCTGTCAACCAACCAGGACTTAAATGTATAGACTTATGGACTAGCCATATGCCTTTTCTTCTAGAATTACAGGCAAAGAGCAACCCCATTCCCATTGCCCTTTTCTAGAAACAGTTGTTTTTTTATTCTGTTTTATAGAAAAATGCAATTACTCTCTAGAGCAGGACTTGAACTTTGTGCTTCATATTCTCAGCTGAGATTGATTTTTTTGTTTTCTATTGGTCTTTATCATCTTTCAGTGAGGATAGTTATTATCCTTCTATTTTGAATATAGAATATTCTGGTTATCATTGCATGTCCTTCCTTAAGTTGTTTAACATTTATATCTTGGTATCTTCCACCCATTTAATATACAATTCAGGAAGCTGCAGAACAAATTTAATTTTCTTTCAAATATATTGACAGTCTTGAGAAACCTAGAGAAAAACTGTTCCAGAAATAATAAATTAATACCACTTAATATGTAGTATAAAAGCACCTCAATTTCAAGTTTTTGTTATTTCAGAGTTTCCCTATGGTATATTCCCTGTTTCCTCCATAATTGTTCATTTCCTACTCAATTGGTCTGAAGTCTGTTGTGAAAGTTCAAGTCTCTCATAAAAGGAGATGGACTGCAAATAAATGAGTCAATTTATTACAAACATAATTATTTCATACAGTATTGATCCCAAATATATCTTTTATTTCATTGAGCCTTAATATGTAATTTGTACAATAGAAATATCTGTCTTTTTGTTGATGCTTCTTGCTTAGCCCAGGCTTTCTATTCGAAGCAAGAATAATTTATTATCTATACATTTAGATTGAACATTGCTATCAAACCCATATCATGCAACATTTTTCACAAAAATTATTTGTTTCAAAGCAACGTATTTATTCATAGCACGGATGAATCCCAGGAAAGTGCTAAAAGTCACTTCTCTTCTTTGAATTTCAACATCTATTGGCTTAGTTATTCATAGAATTGCCTTCATCCTACACTTACTTTAATAGCTTAGTCCTGATTCTGTTGAGAGTGGCTGTTAATGGAACACATGATTAATGGCTATTAATGAGGAACACAAACATAAATACTATGCAGGAAACAATTACAGTGGTTTGAAGCTCAGAAAAATGGGACATCCAAGGTTTCATTGGAGGAACATTTTATGTATTTGTTTATAGATATTTTCTATGTTATCTAACTTTTAAATGGGCATAGCTAATGAGAATGCAAATGCATTGTGATACAATATTATCCTTGATCACTGGATTGTTGCATACATATCAAGTAAAATGGAATAGGCACTCTTTATTTGCATGGTAAAAAAATAAATAAGTAAATGAAAGCAAAAAACTCCTCACACCAACTTCTACCCAATAAACCTAAAACAAAGCCATCTAGAATAAAGTGGATGAAAGCCCCGGACTTTTGATTAAAAAAAAAGCAGTTCAAAATCCAGTCTCAACTATTTACTTCCTTGTGACTTACTAAATTACTTATACTTCCTGATATTTGGTTTCCTTTTCTGTAAAATAAAAATATGAGAATCAACTTCAAAGAGGGTTTATAGGATTACACACATATGAAAGAATTTATCCTTTGTTGTTTGGCTTTTTATATCCTGTTGTATGTGGCCTAGAAATTAGCAAGAAGAATTATTATAAATAATACACTATATTTAACTGTACAGAATCGTCCTTAAAGGACCTGATTCTTTTAAGGGCCTGAAGGTAGTATCTAGGGTCCAACTAAATCAACTCTTGAAAATTTATCCAAAAACAACTAGTTTAAATGATACATAAGCCTAAATGTCTTTCTAAAATCTGGAACCTCATTTCTATTCAAGTCTTGCTCTTCAATTTCCAGTTACAGAGGTTTGCCATTACCCTAGTACAGCCCCTTATCACTTTCTAATAGATAAACAGTTGTCAGATGTTTCAGTCTCAGGACTCTTTACACATTTTTAAATTATTGAGGATCCAAAAAGCTTTTCTTATTTAGGTTATCTTTATCACAGTCTATCACTTCAGAAATTAAAACTGAGAGCTCTATAAAAACATTTCTTTATCATTATATTTTATTTTATTTATTTATTTATTTTAAAACAGAGTCTCACTCTGTCGCCCAGGCTGGAGTGCAGTGGCGCGATCTCAGCTCGCTGCAAGCTCCACCTCCCGAGTTCACGCCTTTCTCCCGCCTCAGACTCCTGAGTAGCTGGGACTACAGGCGCCCGCCACCAAACTCAGCTAATTTTGTTTTTGTATTTTTAGTAGAGACGCGGTTTCACCGTGTTAGCCAGGATGGTCTCGATCTCCTGACCTCGTCATCTGCCTGCCTCAGCCTCCCAAAGTGCTGGGATTACAGGCGTGAGCCACCGCGCCCGGCCTCAGTCATTCTTTAAATAAAAATAGTGATCCACGGAAAAAGT
This sequence comes from Homo sapiens, assembly GCF_000001405.40. NCBI lineage: Eukaryota > Metazoa > Chordata > Mammalia > Primates > Hominidae > Homo > Homo sapiens. The sequence continues at coordinate 154,034,220 of NC_000006.12, read as the reverse complement.
GGTTAATTTAGTTCACAGCTCAAACAGGCAACATGCGCTTTTCTTTGGGACAAGCATTCTACTTTAGTTTGTGGCAGAAGCTTCATGTGTCCTTCCCATTTCATCATACACAGATTTAAAGAGATGTACTCAAGGGCCAAGATTTAATACAATTAATACATTTTACTGATCCATTAATTATATTTTTAAAAGTGGAACTTCTTTCGTGTTTTTCTTCTGTGAGTGCACGTCTGTGAAGAGTACAGTGACTCTTAGTATGCCATGGGGTCACTGTTTCGATTCCTGCTAAGGTATTAGCAGTTGAACTCATGATTGCTTATGCCTCATTTGTGCAAAAATACAATACAGTGAAAAAGCCATTTAACTTTCTAGAATTATTATTAAAATTTTTTTGACCTTGTTGATCCATGGAAAGAGTCTTAGAGACCCCACAAATCCACAGACCACACTTTCAGAAGCACTGATTTAGGTCATCATAAAAATGTCTCAGCTTCTTTCTTTTGTTTCCTTTTACTCCATTGAACATTTGTATCAGTGCCATATAAATCTTTCTAAAATCACTTCTTGAGCAAATCACTCTTTTGCATTATAGCCTTCAATACTCACAAAAAAAGTGTATTAACCTGCATTCTTATCTCTGTACAACTCTCTGTGCTTCCTTTCACTTGATTCTTTCTCTCATCCTCCCCTCCCTGAACTTCATGCTCCAAGGGTCACAGAGAAAGCAGTGGGGGTAGTAGCACTTTTCCAGCGCTTTAATTCCACTTTCAAACCCTTGCACATCTGCCTTTGTATAAAAGACTCTCGTTGGTGTTAATACCATGGGACTATTCCATTTTCATTAAAAACTGGCACTTTATTCATGTTTTCATCTCTAACCCAAGGCCTGCCTTCAACTTTCTCTCTGTTTTTCACAGCTTCCCTTTCTCCTCCTCCACACTTTAAAATCTGGCCTTTATTTCCAAGGACTTTAGGGACTTTCATAATGTTAAACCTATTGGTGTTTTAGTCTTTATTTTACAGCATCTCTTATCTCTTTCTTCCATAACTTTATTTTTAAAAATTACTTTCCCACCCTGACAATTTATTTTGGTTTATCTTAATGCTTTCTTCTTCCTTTGCTTGCATTTTAAATGTTGATGTTTTCCAGCATTCTCTCTATTAACCTTTTCAGCATATTCTTAAGTAATCTCAAATCATTCTTGTCTTGATTTTAACCTATATACTGATAGATCCAACCTACATCTCTAGCTCTGTTGTTTCTCTAAAGCTTCAGATTCTAATATAGATAAGTTTGGTAGACATTTCCACTTAAATAACTCATGAGCACTGGAAATACAACATGCCCAAAGCATTTTCACCTTCCTATCCAATCATAGTTCTCTTAATGGCATCACCATCTCCTGAGTTCCTCAAGGCAAAAATCTGGCAGCCTTCCTTGGCCTTCTAGGTAGGCAGCACTGTTCAGTGGTTAGAAATGTGAACTCTGGACTGGGTGAGGTGGCTCATGCCTGAATCCCAGCATTTGAGAGTCAGAGGTGGGAGGATTACTTGAACCCAGGAGTTTGAGACCAGCTTGGGCAACATAGCAGAATCCCATCTCTACAAAAACAAAAAATTATCCAAGTGTTGTGGTGCACGCTTGTAATCCTAGCTACTCGGTAGGCTGAGGTGGGAGGATCACTTGAGCCCAGGAGGTTGAGGCTTCAGTAAGGTATGATTGTGCCACTGCACTCCAGCCTGGGTGATAGAGAGAGATCCTGTCTCTAAAAACAATTTTAAAAGAAGTATAAATTCTTATGCCCCATTTATTGCTAAAATCTTGTTTAAATCACAGGCAATTGGTGTGACAATGAACAACTTAATCAGCTGGTTGATGGCCTGATTTTTTCATTTGTAAAAGTGAGTTTCCATAGTGCTTACTTTATAAGACTTTTATGGGTGTTAAATGAGCTTCGTTAATAAAGCACTTACAAGAGTCCTTGGCACAGTATGCATCATATAAATTTTTGTTAAAGAAAATCATAGACTGCTCTCACTGCCTTTCCCACATTCAACTACCACGATTGTTGACTCTACCTTTTGGTATCATTTTTGTTGTTCAGACTTTCATGGCTCATACAGAGTTGTACAGTGAGCTCTTAACTGATCTATCTTCCTACATGTTCATCCTATACACTGTAGCCAAAAACAGATTAAAAGAATGGAAATCAGACTGTGCCCTTGCTGATCATGCTTGTTGGCTCCCCATAATGTACAGGATAAAGTTAAACATCCTGACATCTAAGGTCCTTGAGGACAAACCCTTCTAGCTGCATTTCTGGATACTCACCGTTTGCTCCTAGCTCACCATGAATCCTCAACAGCTTATAATTCCCTGTACTTGCCATGCTCTTTCTTCTCTGTTTTTGCTCATTTTTTTTCCTCTAGCACACAGTAGATATTTAATAAACATTTTATTTTTATTATTATTTTTTTCCGAGACGGAGTCTCACTCTGTCACCCAGGCTGGAGTGCAATGGCGCGATCTCGGCTCACTGCAATCTCCGCCTCCCAAGTTCAAGCGATTCTCTTGCCTCAGCCTCGCTAGTACGTGGAATTACAGGCGTGCACGACTATGCCCAGCTAATTTTTTTTTTTGTATTTTTAGTAGAGATGGGGTTTCACCATTTTGGTCAGTCTGGCCTTGAACTCCTGACCTCAAAAGATCTGCCCGCCTCGGTCTCTCAAAGTGCTAGGATTACAGGCGTGAGCCACCGCACCCAGCCAATAAACATTGCTTGACTCACTGTAAGGCACTGGTTCTGTTGACATTATAGACTGGCAGTTATAGAATATAGCAGCTCCTCAGTCTTTTCTGTAGCAACTGGTTGCCAGGAGAGTAGTGTAGACTCCATGGTTTGGTGCATTTTAGACATATGCAACAGAGTAGCTCAGAACTTAATGACCTGTGCCAAACAATTAATTGATAATTTTCTCTTTAAGCACTTTTAGTAAAATAATAATTTAAAATTGTCCAAATACCAATATTTTATATTAACAGTAAGATATTGCATTTTTGAAATGAGATTTATAGAAATGTGAACTACTCACAGAGCTTTTGATGAGATTAAACTACATAGAAAATTTTATTTTTTTAATTGCTTTAAATGTAAAATTAAACTTCCATGGTAACCTTAGAATTAAGTTACACTTAGATTCTTTGTGGCTGAAATTTCTGCTTCTTATCTTGGATTATATAGTCTAGGCTTCATTTGCATCCATTTGCAGGTTCAGAGAGCAGTGCTAATGTAACTTGTCTTTGTATTTATCTGTTCTGTGACTGCTTTCATGTAAGAACAATGAAAGCAGTCCATGTATTTTAATGGTGTTTATCACTCTCGATCCTTTTCAGCTTCATAGAATGTTTCCTCTTTTCAGTGAAGAGATTGCCAAAATTGATATAGAACAAGGTCTGTTACCCAAATTTCTTCTCTAATCTCTCTGTATTTTTAGTAGAGATGGGGTTTCACCATGCTGGTCAGTCTGGTCTCGACTAGACTGTCTTTCTTCTCTAATCTCTCTGTACTTTCCAAATCTTATAGGGGAAAATACAAAAAAATTTTTTTTGTACTAAAAATTAATTTGCTACTGGGAAAGTCAACTGCATGTATTTGGTGAATATTTTCTATTACTCTGTTTTTTTTTAGCTTATAATTTTACTTGTTTTCTCCTCATTTCCCTTGAAAGTGTCCAAGCACACAGTAAGACTATTGATTAAGGTAAATTGATGCTTTGAAGTTCATTCTTAATTATACCTTACTATCAAATGTTTAAATTCTTAAAGAGACAGACATAGTCCTGTTTTGAATCTTTAAAATTTTTCTGGGTATAAAAGAAAAGTTCTAAAATCCCCAGTGTCCCCACAATGCCTGTCTTTTTATTTCCTTAATCAAGTTTTAGAACCTCAAGAGCAAAAACCAGGATTTACCCTTCTTCATAAACGTATTAATATATCCTCTTCTTAAACGTAAATGCACACCAAGGGGAGACTCTCAGAGGTCTACAGTATGTCAGGTATTCTACTAATTTTTAAGGAAACAGACCTGAATAGAATTATTAATGATAGACCATTGTGTTAGTCCATTCTCAGGCTGCTAATAAAACATATCTGAGACTGGGTAATTTTTAAAGGAAAGAGGACTCACAGTTCAATACGGCTTGGGAGGCCTCAAAAATTAGACCATTCTCACGCTGCTAATAAAACATATCTGAGACTGGTAATTTTTAAGGGAAAGAGGACTCACAGTTCAACATGGCTTGGGAGGCCTCAAAAAGCTTAAAATCATGGCAGACGGGGAAGCAAACATGTCCTTCTTCACATGGCAGCGGCAAGGAGAAGTGGAGAGCAAAGGGGGAAAAACCCTCCTATAAAACCATCAGATCTCATGATAACTCATTCACTACCATGAGAACAGCATGGAGGTAACTGCCCCTAGGATTCAATAAGCTCCCACTGGGTCCCTCCCATGACATGCGGGGATTATGGAAACTACAATTCAAGATGAGATTTGGGTCAGGACACAGCCAAACCATATCATCCAACATATGTTTAGAAAATCTCATCTGGAAATGTGCTTCCTTGTATATTAACATATCCTTTAATATAGCTGCAAGTGTTTAAGTCTTTATTTTTTGAGGATAGAATTGGTTTTTTTGAAATATTAAAGCTAAGTTTATGCATTGTACTCATATTATTTTATTTGTGGTTTAAAGAAAGACATTCAGCTTTAGTGTATGTGAATGAAATTTCTTTTCAAAAAATAGGTTTATGAATTTTTTGAAGGCAGTTTCAAGATTTGTCCTGAACCAGCAAGTTTTTCTAGAAACAGATAATCTTACAAAATGACCATTTAAAAAGATTGCTTTCATTTATTCATATTCTAGAGTGTTTAGTTTTTTTTTAAAGGAAACATTTAATTTGTTGTCACATTGCTCATATACTACTTTACAAAATGTCAGTCTTACGTATATCCAAAGATTTTAAAGGCAGATCAGAGTTTAAAGGCGGCACTGTTTAATATGTGAATCTGTATTTGAACTTAGCAAAGCCCCATGGAAGAGACATAGAGACCCCTACAAGAGAAGGGCTACTGATAAGCTAGACCAAATAAGATAATAATATTGGATTTCTGGTGAAGCAAGATGGCAGAATAAAAGGCTCCAGCAATTGTCCCCCTGATAAGAACACCAGTTTAACAACTATCTACACAAAAAAGTACCTCATAAGAACCAAAAATCAGGTAAGCACTCACAGCACTTGGTTTTAAGTTCATATCACTGAAAGAGAAAGAGGCACTGAAAGGGTAGGAAAAACAGTCTTGAATCACCAACACCATTCCTCCTCCATTCCCCAGCAGTGGGTGGGCAGTGTATGGAGAGTGCTTCTGTGTGCTAGGTAGAGGGAGATTGCAGCATTTGTGACACATTGAACTCAGTGCTGTCCTATTATAACAGAAAACAGAACCGGACCAACTCAGTTGATGCCTGCCCATGGAGGGAGCATTTAACCCAGCCCTAGCCAGAGGGGAATCACTAATCCCAGTGGTCTGAACTTGAGTTCCTGCAAGCCTCACCACTGTGGGCTAAAGGGCGCTGGGGCCTTAAATAAACTCAAAAGACTATCTAGGCCACAAGGACTGCAACTTTTAGGCAAGTCCTAGTGCTGAACGTGGCCAGTAGACAGTGGACTATAGGAGTATGTGGTGGCTAACGGAGAGCTGGCATCACGCCTCCCCTAGCCCCAGGCTGCACAGCTCACAGTTCCAAGAGAGATCCCTTTTCTCCACTCTACGAGAGGAGAAGGAAGAGTGGGGAGGACTTCGTGTTGCATCTTGAATCTCAGCCACAGCAGGATATGGCCCCAGTCAGACTTATGAGGCTCTCTTTTCAGGCTGTAGCTCCTGGATGACATCTCTAGACACACCCTGGGCCAGAAGGGAACCTGCTGTCTTCAAGGGAAGAACCCAGTCCTGGAAAAATTTACCACTTGCTAATGAAGAGCCCTTGGGCCCTGAATAACCAGCAGCAATACTCAGGTACTATGTCGAGGGCCTTGAGTAAGACTGGAAACTTGATGGCTTCAAGTGAGACTCAGCAGGTTCCCAGCCATGGTGACTATGGGGTAAGACTCCTTCCACTTGAGAAAAGTGGCTGGGGGAGGGAGAAGCAAAGGGGACTTTGTCTTGCACCTTAGACACCAGCTTGGCCACAGTGGGGTAGAGTACTTAGTAGGTTCATGGGGTTCTAGGACTTGGCTTTTGCATGGCATTTCTGGGCCTGCCTTGGGCTAGAGGATAGCCCACTACTCTGAAGAGTGAGTCCCAGGCAAGGTAGCACTCATGACAAGCTGACTGAAGAGCCTTTGGGGCTTAAGGGAACAGCAGTGGTAGTCTGGCAGTACTCCCCATGGGCCAGTAGTGGCTCTGGCCACAGGGTGAAGCTCCTCTGCCTTTGGAAAGAAAAAGGAAAAGTGGGAAGGACTGCATTTTGTGGTTTGAGTACTACTTCAGCCACAGTACAATAGAATACCAGATAGAGTTCTAAGGTTTTTGACTCTAGAACGTGGCTCTTGGACAACATCTCTGCACATGCCCAGGGCCTGAGAGGAACTTGTCACACTGAAGGGAAGGACACAGGCCTGGTTGGCTTTGCCACCTGCTGATTGAAGAGCCCCAAGTCCTGTGTGAACATAGGCCACAGCCAGGGAATTGTTATAGCAGGTCTTGAGTAAGACCCAGTGCTGTGTTGGCTTGAGGTCTGACCCAGCAGAGTCCTAGTAGTGGTGGTCTCAAGGGTGCTTGTGTCACACCACCACCAGCTCCACATCGCTCAGAACAGAGAGAGAGGCTCCATTTGTTTTGGAGAAAGTAACAGGAAAAACAAACAAACAAACAAGAAACACAAGAGTCTCTACCTGGTAATTCAGATAAGTTTTCCAGATCTTGTCAAAGACCATCAAAGTGGTCCCTCAATGAATGTGCAAGAACCACAGCATTACTGGGGTTGAGGTGCTCCCTAAAGCAGATACATCTTAGATTAGAACACCCAAGTTATTTTGAATATCTGGAAAGACTTCCCAAGATGGACAGGTACAAATACAAACAAGACCAGGCTGAAAAGACTACCATACATACCTAACTCTTCAATGCTCAAACACAGACAAACATCTACAAGTATCAAGACAATCCAAGAAAATACGACCCCACTAAATGAACTAAATAAGCCACCAGGGACTATTCCTGGAGAAACAAAGATATGTGACATATCAGACAAATAATTTAAAATAGCTATGTTGGAGAAACTGAAGCAAATTCAATGTAATGCAGAAAAGAAATTCAGAATTCTATCAGATAAATTTAACAGAGATTAAAATAATTAAAAATAATAAAACAGAAATTATAGAGATGAAAAATGCAACTGACATACTGAAGAATACATCACAGTCTTTTAATAACAGAATTGATGAAGCAGAAGAAAGAATTAGTGAGCTTGAAGACAGGCTATTTGAAAATACAGTCAGTGGAGACAAAAGAATAAAGAATAAAAAACAATGAAACAAAGAAGCACACTTACAGGATCTAGCAAACAGCCCTCAAATGGGCAAATCTAAGAGTTATTGGCCTTAAAGAGGAAGTAGAGAATGAGATTAGGGTAGAAAGTTTATTCAAAGGGATAATGACAGAGAACTTCCCAAACCTAGAGAAAGATAGCAATATTTAAGTATAAGAGGGTTATAGAACACTAAGCAAATTTAATCTAAAGAAGACTACTTCAAGGCATTTAATAATCAAACTCCCAAATGTCAAAGGTAAAGAAAGGATCCTAAAAGCAGCAATAAAAAAGAAACAAACAACATACAATTTAGCTCTAATATGTCTGGTAGGCAGCCTTTTCAGTGGAAACTTTACAGGCCAGGAGAGAGTGGCATGACATATTTAAAGTGCTGAAAGAAAAAAAAAAATTTACCCTATTTCTGCATCAGATATACTTTAAACATGAAGGAGAAATAAAGACTTTCCCAGACAAACAAAAGCTGAGTATTTCATCAACACCAGACCTGTCCTACAAGAAATGCTAAAGGGAGTACTTCAATCAGTAAGAAAAGGACATTAATGAACAAAAAGAAATCATCTGAAGGTACAAAACTCACTGGTGATAGTAAGTACACAGAAACCCACAGAATATTATAACATTATAACTTTAGTATGTAATCTAAACTTACCTTAAGTAGAAGGAATAAATAACAAACCAATAAAAAATAATAACTACAGCAACTTTTCAAGACATAAGCAGTACAATAAGATATAAATAGAAACAACAAAATGTTAAAAAGTAGGGGGACAAAGTTAAGGTTTAGAGTTTTTTGGGGTTTTTTACCTGTTTGTTTGTTTATGCAAAAAGTGCTAAATTGTTTTCAGGTTAAAATAATGAGTTACAAGATAGTATTTGCAAGCCTCGTGGTAACATAACCCCTCCCCAAAATACACAGGATACACAAAAAATAGAAAGCAACAAACAAAACCATATAACCAGAGTAAATTACCTTCACTGAAAGGCAGATAGAATGGAAAAAAGAAGGAAGATAAGACCACAAAACAACCAGAAAACAAATAACCAAATGGGAGGAATAATTGCTTACTTATCAATAATAACATTCAATGTAAATGTACTAAACTCTCCAATCAAAACATAAAGAGTAGCTGAATGGATGAAAAATAAAGACCCATTGATCTGTTGCCTAAAATAAACACACTTTACCTATAAAGATACATATACACTGACAATAAAAAGATAGAAAAAGATATTCCATGTCAATGGAAACCAAAAAAGAGCAGGAGTAACTAACTATACTTGTATCAGACAAAATAGATTTCAAGCCAAAAGCTACAAGGAGAGACAAAGAAGGTTACTATATAATGATAAAGGGGTCACTTCAGCAAGCAGATATAACAATTTCAAATACATTTGCACCCAACATTGGGCACCCCGATATATAAAGCAAGTATTATGAGAGCTAAAGAGAAAGACAGGCCCCAATACAATAATAGCTGGAGACTTCAAAAGCCAACTTTCAACATTAAACAGATCTTCCAGACAGAAAATCAACAAAGAGACTTCACACTTAATCTGTACTATAGACCAAATGGACTTAATACAGAACATTTCACGAAACAGCTACAGAATACACATTCTTCTCCTAAGCACATGAAGCATTCTCAAGGATGGACCATAAACATTAATGTCTAAAACATTCAACAAAATTAAATATCAAGCATCTCCTCTGATCACAATGGAATAAAACTGGAAATCAATATCAAGAGGAATTTTGGAAACTGTTCAAACACATGGAAATTAAACAATATATTCCTGAATGACCAATGAGTTAATGAAGAAATTAAGGAGGAGATTGAAAAAAATTCTTGAAACAAATGATAATGGAAACACAACATACCAAAACCTGTGGGATATAGCCAAAGCAGTACTAAGAGGGAAGTCTGTAGCTATTAAGTGCCTACATTAAAAAAAAAAAACTTCAAATAAGCAACATAATAATGCATCTTAAAGAATTAGGAAAACAAAAACAAACTGAAGATAAAATTAGTAGAAGAAAAGAAATAATAAAAATCAGGGCAGAAATAAATGAAACTGAAATGTAAAAAACAATACAAAAAGATGAACAAAACAAAAAATGAGGTTTTTGAAAAGCTAAACAAAATTGACAAACCTTTAGCCAGACTAACTAAGAAAAAAAGAGGGAAGATCCAAAAAAATAAAAGTCAATAATGAAAGAGAAGACATTAGAACTGATACTGCAGAAATTCAAAGGTAATTAGTGGCTACTATGAGCAGCTATATGCCAAGAAATAGGGAAATCTAGAGGAGATTGACAATTCTTGGACACATACAACCTACCAAGATTGAACCATGAAGAAATCCAAAACCTTAACAAACCAGTAACAGGTAATGAGACAGAAGCCAGAATAAAGTTCTCCCGGTAAAGAAAAGCCCAGGACCTAGTGGCTTCATTACTGAATTTTACCAAACATTTAAAGAAGAACTAATGCCAATCCTACTAAAACTATTCTGAAAAATAGAGGAGGAGGGAATACTATCAAACTCATTCTATGAGGCCAATATTACCCTGATACCAAAACAGGACAAAGACACAGCACAAAAAGAAAACTATAGGCCAAGACCTCTGATGAACACTGATGCAAAAATCCTCAAGAAAATACCAGCAACCTGAATTCAACAATATATTAAAAAGATAATTCATCATGACCAAGTGGGATTTATCCCTGGGATTCAAAGCATACACAAATCAATCAATGTGATACATAGTATCAACAGAATGAAGGCCAAAAACCATATGATCATATCAATTGATACTGAAAAAAGCATTTGATAAAATTCAATATTCCTTCATAATAAAAACCCTCAAAAAACTGGGGCTAGAAGGAACATACCTCGACATAATAAAAGCTATATATGACAAACCCCCAGTTATTATCATACCAAATGGGGAAAAACTGAAAGCCTTTCCTCTAAGATCAGAAGCATGGCAGGGATGCTCATTTTCACCACTGTTATTTAACATAGTACTGGAAGTACTTGCTAGAGCAATCAGACAAGAGAAAGAAAGTGCATCCAAATTGGAAAAAAAGAAGTCAAATTATCCTTGTTTACAGATTATATGATCTTATATTTGGAAAACTCTAAGGACTGAATCAAAAAACAACTAGAACGCATCAACAAATTTAGTAAAGTTTCATGATACAAAATCAACATACAAAAATCAGTAGCACTTCTGTATGTCAAAAGTAAACAATCTGAAAAAGAAATCAAGAAAGTAATTCCATTTACAATAGCCACAAGTAAAATTAAATACCTAGGAGTTAAATTAACCAAAGAAGTGACAGATGTCTATAGTGAAAACTATAAAAAAAGTAATAAAAGAAATGTAAAAGGACACTAAAAAATTGAAAAATATTCCATTTTCATGTATTTGAAGAATCAATATTGTTAAAATGTCCATACTACTGACATCAATCTACAAATTTAATGTAATTTCCATCAAAATCCCAATGACATTCTTCACAGAAAGAGACAAAATCGTCCTAAGATTTATGTGAAACCACAGAAGACCCAGAATAGCCAAAGCTCTCCGAGCAAGAAGAACAAAACTGGAAGAATCACATTACCTGACTTCAAATTGTACTACAGAGCTAAAGTAACCAAAACAGTGTGGTACTGGCATAAAAACAGACACATAGACCAGTGGAACAGAATAGAGAACCCAGAAACAAATCTACACACTTACAGTGAACTCAGTTTTTTACAAAGGTGTCAAGAACATACATTGGGAGAAAGACAGTCTCTTCAATAAATGGTGCTGGGAAAACTGGATATCCATATGCAGAAGAATGAAACTAGACCCTTATCTCTCACCATATACAAAAATCAAATCAAAATGAATTAAAGACTTTAAGTCCTCAAACTATGAATCTACTACCAGAAAACATTGGGGAAACTTTCAAGGACGTTGGTCTCAGCAAAAATTTATTGAGTAATACCCCACAAGCACAAGAAACCAAAGCAAAAATGGACAAATGATATCATGTCAACTTTAAAAGGTTCCTCACAGCAAAATAAACAATCAACAAACTGAAGAGACAACCTATAGAATGGAGAAAATATTTGCAAACTACTCATCTGACAAGAGATTAATAAACAGAATACAACAACCCTGTGGGGAGCAGGCCAGGCCCCTGCTCTGGAAGGAAGGGCGGAAGCCACGGGGCGTGGAGCAGAGGCTCTTCTCTTCTTCAGGAAATTACTCCAGGATTTGAATCATCACAGGAGATTCATCAGAGGATTTTATACACTTGGGCTGTGGCAGCAGACTAACTACACCACAGCACCAGGCTAAAGAAGGAAAATCACATGATCATATCAACAGATGCAGAAAAAGCATCTAACAGAACCAGCTCTCATTCATGATCAGAACTCTCAGCAAACTAGTGTTAGAGGGGAACTTACTCAAGTTGATAAAGAACATGTACAAAAATATTTCAGCTAACGTCATACTTAATGGTAAGAAATTGAAGCTTTCCCACTAAGATAAGGAGCAAGGCAAGGACGTCTCCTTTCACCAACCCTTTTCAACATCATATTTATCATATTTATTGGAAGTCCTAGCTAATGCAATAAGACAAGAAAAGGAAGTAAAAAGTATACAGATTGGGAAGAAGAAGAAAAAAATAGAACTGCCTTTGTTTGCAGATGACATGATTGTCTATGTAGAAAATCTGAAAGAGTTGACCAAAAAAAAGAGAAAACCCTCCTGGAGCTAATAAGCAATTATAACAAGGTGGCAAAAATGGTTGATATACAAAAGTTAATTGCTTTCCTATATGCCAGCAACAAATAAATGGGATTTGAAATTAAAAACAAAATCCCATTTACAATAGTTCCCCCAAGTTAAATACTTAGGCATAAAGCTAACGAAAATATATAAGACCTTTATGAGGGAATTTATAAAACTCTGATGAAGAAATTAAAAGCTAAATAAATAGAGAAAGATTCCATGTTTTTGGATAAGAAGACTCAATATTATCAAGACATCACTTCTTCCCAACTTGATGTATAGATCCAAGGCAGACCCAATCAAAATCCCAGAAATAATTTCCTGAATATCAACAAACTGATTTTTAAGTTTATAGGGACAGGAAAAAGACCCAGTATAGCAAACATAATATTGAAGAAGCACAAAGTTGGAGGACTGTCACTATTCGACTTCAAGACTTACTATAAAGCTACAGTAATAAAGACAGTGTGGTGGTATCTGCAAAAGAATAGAAAAATAGAACAATGAAACAGAACAGAGAGCACAGGTATAGATCCATATAAATACTATCAACTGATTTTTGATAAAGGAGCAAAGGGAATACAGCGGAGAAAAGTAAGTTTTCAACAAATGGTGCTGAACAATGGGATGTTCACACGCAAAAAGATGAATCTAGACATAGACCTTAAACTCTTCACAAACATCAGCTCAAAATGGATTACAGACAGAAATGTAAAATGCTAAACTATAAAACTCCTAGAATATAGTGTAGAAGAAAATCTAGATGACCTTGGGTTTGAGCTGAATATTTTAGATCCAACACCAAAGGCATGATTGATGAAGGAAATAATTGATAAGCTGTACTTCATTAAATTAAAAACATTTACTCTGTGAAAGCACTGTCAAGAGAATGAAATGACAAGCCACAGACTGGGAGAAAACATTTGCAAAATACTTTTGATAAAGGTTGGTGTCCAAAGTACTCTAAAAACTTACCAAAGAAGACATACACGTGGCAAATAAGCATATGAAAAAATTTTCAACATTGTATGCCCTTAGTGAATTGCAAATTAAAACGAGATACCACTAAATACATATTAGAATGGCTCAAAAGCAAAACATGACCACCACCAAATGCTGGTGCGGTAAGAACTCTCATTCATTGCTGGTGGGAATGCGTGATGGTAGAGCTGTTCACAGTGCCGATCATAATCCGAAAGACAAAATCCCAAATGCCATAATCTCAAATGCCTATAAAGTGTTCGGTTGTGTTTTTATGTTTCTCAAACAAACCTTCTTTACAAATGTAAGTAAATGTCTTTAAAATTTTTTTTAAATTATCTTTCCAGAATTATATTGTGATTTTGGTCTATCAGGATTGGGATTTTGGGGACTTTAGACATTAGGGATTTTGATCTTTTGGGATTTCAACATTTGATATTACAACATTTAGAATGGTATCTTTCAGGAGTATGGCCCAAACCCCAGCCACTGTAGAAAACAGTTTGACAATTTCTTAAAAAACTAAACACCTAGCCACTGTTGAAAACAGTTTGGCAATTTCTTAAAAAACTAAACATATTTTTACCATGCAATCCCATAATCATGTTCCTTGGTATTTACTCAGATGAGTTGAAAAGTTATGTCCATATAAAACCTGCATACAGATGTTTATAGCAGCTTTATTCATAATTGTCAAAATTGGAAGCAACTAAATTGTCTCTCAGTAGGTGAATGGATAAACTGTAGTACATCCAGACAATGGGGTATTTTTCAGGGCTAAAAAGAAATAAGCTATCAGCTGGGTGCGGTGGCTCACACCTATAATCCCAGCAGTTTGGGAGGCCAACGTGGATGGATCACTTGCTCCCAAGAGTTTGAGACGACCCTGGCCAACATGGTGAAAACCCATCTCTACAAAAAATACAAAAATTAGCCAAGCACGGTGGCATGTGTCTGTAGTCCCAGCTACCTGGGGGACTGAGATGGGGGGATTGCTTGAGCCCGGAAAGGAGAGGCTGCAGTGAGCCATGTTTGTGCCTGGGCAACAGAGCGAGACCCTGTCTCAAAAAAAAAAAAAAAAAAGAAAAGAAAAGAAAAGAAAGCCACTAAGCTATGGAAATACATAGAGAAACCTTAAATTCACATTTCTAAGTGAAATGAGCCAATCTGAAAAAGCTATGTACTGTGTGACTTCAACCATATGACATTCTGGAAAAGACAAAACTCTGGAGACAGTAGAAAAGTCAATGGTTGTGAGAGATTGGAGGGAGGGAGGAAAAAATGGGAAGAGTGTACGAATTTTTAGGGCAGTGAAACTATTCTATATGGTACTATAATGGTGAATGCATGTCTTTATATGTTTGTCAAAACCCATAGAATGTACAACACCAAAAGTGAACTCTAATGTAAACTATGGACTTTGGGTGATAATAATATGTCAATATAGGTTCGGTTCGTTGATTGTAACAAAGGCAAGAGGTGTTAATTGTGGGGAGGCTGTGTGTGTGTGTGTGTGTGAGGGAGCAATGGTCATATGGAAATTCTCTGCATTTTCTGCTCTATTTTGCTGTGAACTTAAAACTGCTCTAAAAAATAAAGATGATTTTTTAAAAAAGCATGCTATCAGTAAGCCAAAAAAAAAAAAAAAGCACAACAGGGTGACTACAGTCAATCATAATTTAAGTGTACATTTTAAAATTACTAAAATAATGTAATTGGATTGTTTGTAACACAAAAATAAATGCGCGAGAGGTTGGGTGCTCGATTTGGCATGATGTGATTATTACACATTGCATGCGTGTATCAAAACATACCATGTACCCTATAAGTATATACACCTACTAGGCACCCATCAAACTGAAATTAAAAAATAAAAAAAAGTAATATTGTTAAGAAATTTGTGATATAAGGAAAAACAAAATTTGTGGAGGAGAAATTATGTGTTCAGAAAGAGAAGATATTAATACAGGTGCAAGTGAGGTTCCTGGAAAATAGTCTAATGCTGGATATAAGGAAGGTGGGCCTTGAACCCAAATAGAACACATTTTGTTTCAATAGAACACACTTTGTTTTTCCGTATAAACCATGCAGAGAAAGTTTATCCTGGGTCAGGGGATAGTAGTATTCTCAGGGGTTGAGTCTTCATTCCCGAACCTGTAGTTTGGATAGGAGAATGACATTGTGATTTGAAAAGAGTATCAAATGTTTTCTCTTGGGACAATATCAGAAGACTTAATCTGTTTTTATTATTTACTAGGACTATAATTGGTTTTGGTCTCCCACATTTTTGATATGCAGGGCCAGAAAAGACAAAAAAAAAAAAAAGAATTAACGGGGCACAATAGAAAATGAGAAAGAACTTGGAACCCAAGGATGTATATTTTCTTCTTTTTGTTTGTTTGTTTGTTTTTGAGACAGAGTCTCACTCTGTCACACAGGCTGGAGTTCAGTGGCCTGATCTCAGCTCACTGCAACCTCTGCCTCCTAGGTTCAAGTGATTCTCGTTCCTCAGCCTCCCAAGTAGCTAGAATTACAGGTGAGAGCCACCATGCCTGGCTAATTCTTTATATTTTTAGAAGAGAGAGAGTTTCACCATGTTGGCCAGGCTGGTCTCAAACTCCTGACCTCAAGTGATCCATCCACCTCGGTCTCCCAAAGTGCTGGGATTACAGGCATGAGCCACAGTGCCTGGTCCCCAAGAATATATTCTTGGGAGAAAAAAATCTCTTTGTTTATACCTGAGTGCCCGCAGCTGCATGTTAAACAAAAATCAGAAGATTTCAGTGAATCTTTTGTCTGTGGTTTCCCTGGGGAGTGCTGTAAATACCTACATTATTCTACATGGTGAAGAGTTCAGTGCCTCTCACTTGGTGTGTGATCATGAATACGTACTGTTTGATTGATTGAACAGTTGGCTTAATTGACTAGGTGGTTTGAGTGGGTAGATGAAAAGGAAACAGCACAGTTATATAGTAACATATCACTTCCACTTAAATGGTCTTATTTGACTTTTTGATTGAGCAGGAATTATTTTATTTCAATTTTTCTAATTCAGAAGCTGATGCTCAAATCATTCCAAAAAGTTAACCATGGTCACCTGTATGAAAAATAGCAGAATGGGAAATCGAGGAAGTTAGGTGTTGGGGAGGCTTTATGGCTCCTTCAGACTTCTTCCCTTTATCCCTTCTCATAACTTATGGGTATGAACAATAAATTTTCTTGACTGTCTGCCAGACAGTGTATTGGGTACTTTCCTTGAATAACCACATGAGATAGGTTCTGTCCTAAGTCTCTGTATCCAGGTGCGTGAACTAGGCTCTGTGGAAGATGGAGTGAATGCCTTCAGAGAGCATCCTCTTTAGCCAGGACAGTCTGCCCTGATCTCATGTACGCCTGTGCCCCAGTGCCATTAAAAGCCTACAAGAGACGCTGTCCATCATAAATACCTGGATTGATACGCATGGCAAAACGCACTGTGACCATATCAAATCTCAGTTAGATTTTTGGCTGTGACAAAAAATCAATACTCGCCCATGCATTTACTTAACAAATATTTATCAGGCATCACCTATTTGTCAGGCACTAGTACCAAGTACTTAGTTAAAAGAGTAAAAACACAAATTCCCTGGTTTAATGGAGCTTATGTTGCAGAGGGAGGAAAGAAAGATGGGGTGTGAGAAGGAAGAGGAAGAGAGAGGGAGAGAGGAGAGAAATTAGTTTCATGTAATGTCAGATGGTGATAAGTGCTAGGGAGATAAGTCAATTTTGTGTCAAAATCAGCTTGATAGCTCAATGAAAAAGTAAGCTAAGAAGTAAACTGAGATATTTGTATTTGATTACATAAACAGGATCATATCCATTAAGGGAACAAACCCCAATCATTATTTCTGGATACAATCAGTAACCATTGTGGGTTTTTTCTGTTTGTTTTCAGAGAAATTTTTTCTGTTTATTTGGCTAGTGACCTGATTTCCAATTGAGAAACTCTCCACCAGACTCCGTCTCTTTCTGCTGTATACTGGAGCTCTTATCACAGTGAAAAATACAGTCCACACGTATGTGTTTTCACACATGCCAACATAGCTGTTGTGTATTCCTAACTTTAGAAAATAACTTAATGTCATATGACAAAATTTGAATTAGAATTCCTAAACTTGAAAATAACTTTCAGCATAAGTTCTTCAAATTCACTTCTATAAATTACAGTGTTGCAATATGTTTTATCAGCAATTTAAATTCTTATCAGAGTCAGGTATACAAAGTAAAGTACATTCTAAAGAAGTTTAGCTACTCTTTACTCACTGCCTTTTCCCCTTCTTCCCTCACTTAAAGGTAATTTAAAAATTTTGTTTTCTCCATAAATTGTTACCGTAAACAGATATGTATATGTATTAACAGTATATTCTCTTCTATCCTTAGGTAATTGTTGTCACACTACACAATTTTATCTCCTCCCTACTTTCTTATGCTTTTTGTGTATAATTTTATAACCTGCTACTTTAATATAGTTTCCTGTGATAGTACATAATGATATGCAGAGACATATTTCACTGCTTTTTATAATTGTAAACTATTTTTGCATGTGTGTGGAATTACCATACTTTATTCAACCAGTGCCTTATTAATGAACATTTGAGTTGTTCTCTGACATTTGCTGTTCTAAACAGGAGTACAGTGAATTGCCCTGTGCATTTTGGATTTTTGCCACTGTGTCTTTGAGGTAGATTCCTAGAGTTAATGCTGGGTCAAAGGATACACGCATATGTAATTTTGCTAGATATTATTAACTTTCTTTCCTTGGAAATTGTACATTTTGCAACTCTACAAGAAATATATATGAGTGTCTGATTCTTCATGAATTTGACAACAGAATGTGATTTCAACCTCTTGGATTTGTGCTGATCTAGTAGGTGAGAAATGATATCTCAGTGTAGTTTTAATTTTATTTCTCTTATCAGTGAGGTTGACCATCTCTCAGAGTTAAGAGCCATTTGCTTTCTTGTGAGATCTCTTTAATTTTCTGTCCTGTTTAAAAATAGGGTCTGTTTTTTCTTTATTTTAGAAGATCTTTATATATTAGAGATATAGCACTTAGCTATTTTTTTTCAGTTTGTCATTTGTCTTTATTTGCTTATGATTTTGCCATACCAAAAATATCTTTTTATTTTATGTATTCATATTCATCAATTTTTTCCTGTATTACTTCTGGACTTCGAGTAGTAGCGTGGCAGTTTTCCCACTCTCAGATTATAGAATTTACCCATGTTAACTTCTAGTACTACAGGGTTTAATTTTTTAGAATCTACTTTTTGATCCCTTCGGAATTTATTCTCATGTATGATGTAAGAGACTGATCTAATTTTTGTCTTTTTCCATATGGCTATCAAATTATCTCAATTCAAGTTACTAAAAAGTTCATCTTTTCAGTTTAGACTTGAGATTCCATCTTTATTGTATCCCATATTTTCTATGTATGTATGTATATGTAACCAAGTTGATTTCAGAATTTTTAAATTTTGTGCCATTAGTCTCTCTGTCTTTTTACATAACACATTCTACACCGTTATGAGACTTTTAGTGGATTTTAATAACAAATAAGACTGGCCACTCTCTCCATATGTTTGCTTTTTTTCCCAAATGAACTTTATAATTAACTTCTCAAGCTCTAGAAAAGAAAAACCTGGTGGTTTTCAATGGTGTTGTATTAAATTTCAAAATTACCTGAGGGAGAACTGATCTCCTTATAAGGTTGCTTCTTCCTAAGTAATGGCATATCTTTTCATTTGTTTAAGTTTACTTTTGTGTCTTTGAAGAGTGTTTTCTAGATTTCCTCTAGAGATGTGAACACTTCTTGCTAAAATTTAGCCTAGATGTTTTATATTATTATACATTTTGGCTATATCAGATATGGTCTTCTTTCCCATTGTATCTTCAATTTAGTTATGTGTGCATATAGGATATTGCTTTTGGCAGGCTTACTTTTTATACCCTATGCCTTATTCAATTCTCTTATTGTTTAAGGCAAATTTTATTTTGGAGAATTTTAATTTCATTTCTGCATGGGGATACATAACTTCCATTATAGTAATGGGAAAACTACTTCACTTTAAAATTCAAAACCCCATAGACCTTTTAGAAATGCATATACCACATAAATGAAAGGATATCTGTGCTCAGTGGGCCCAGCAGTAACGTATTCAAGGACATAGCTTATGGTGAAATCTCTGCTTAGCTGGGCTTTTTTTTTTATCTAAATTCAGCATAAGCAAATTTTAAGTCACCTTACCTTCAATAGTCATTAAATTTCCTTTAAGGTACCAGGTATGTAGTTTTGTATATATGATCCTGCATGTCCAATTTATCAATTCCTCTCATTGTCTATGGCTCTTAATATTCACTTTTTTAATGACAACCAGCAGCCTGCTCAGCTTTTTGTCCATTGTAGGAAACCTCTTAAATATAAGGTTATGTTTTTCCATCCCTCATAATCCTTAACTGGCTTCTTATCTTTCTTAGAGTAAAATCAAGTTTCTTCGAATGGCCTACAAGGCCCTACAAGATGTGTGTCCCACCTCACTCCTCCACCACCTCTGTGACCATTTCTACCACACTTCCATCATTTCTTCCATACTGCCTTATGGCGTCTGCACTTGAAATATTTCTTCCAGATATTTCTGTAGCTCACTTATTTACCTCCTTAAGGTGTCTTATCAGTTAGATCAAATAGATCAGTAACCTCTTTCCTGACCTCTCCTTTGGAGTAGCATCCACGCCATGGTAGATGCATCACTGGCCCCATTTCTTACCCTTCCTTGTCTCTATATCCTTTACTATGTGACTCTCCAGTTCCTTCTCTCAATGCGTAGGATGACCTGCTCTGTTCTTTGACTCTAGGATCAACAATATGACTTTCTTTCCCCAATAGAATGAGCTGGAAGTGACAGTGTGCTAGTTCAAGTCTAGGTCTCAAGAAGCCTTGGCTCTTTCCACATGTCTTCCCACTCCTTCCAAAGCCTTGATAACCTGCTCAGACTAACATGCTGGAGGTGGAGACACATACTGGTTGCTCCAGTCACCTTAGCCAGGGTCAGCTTTGATCACCTTTCAGTCAGCCAACCCCCGCCAACATCAGCATAGTTGACAGATCTCAGACACATGAGCAATAAATACGTATTGCTGAAATGTGACAATTTTGTGGCAATAGTAAACTAATGGACACACTATTGATACTTCATTTTACTAAGCTTTATTAAACTTTTACCATTATTCAACCTATTAAATTTTACTTATGTGTTTATTCTACTCTTTGATGTGAACTCCATGAAGGCAGAAAATTTTGTCCAAAATGAAATTGGTTCCCCATAAACATTTGTTGGATGCATAAATTCACAAATTCTTTCTGTAACTTTTGCCAGCATGCATTGATTATTTCAGGCACTTGAATGACATTGCTTATAGAATTTCTCAGTTTATTCTCTCTCTCACAGGCGAATATAAAATGACTAAAATGAAATGAACATAGCTATTTATAAGCTCTTCTAAGAATTTCATGTATTAGTTTTTGAAAGTTTCCTGGCTGTAACTGGTTGGTATTCTATGCATCACATCCTTCATTGTTATTGTTCTCTCTTGATTATTGGATACATTTAAAAAGCAGGAATCAAAATGTTTGAGGCTCAAGGCTAACGTCCACTTGAAAACTCTCTTCCTCTTTTTGGCAGGCCTAAATCATCAAGGATATGATGCAATAAATATTATGAAACAAATTCATTCATATGCTATTTGTGTACCCCCCCAGCCCTGCCAACCACATTCATATGTTGAAACCCTATTCGTCAATATAATGGCATTTGGAGATGGAGCCTTTGGCAGGTGGTTGGGTCATGAGGGTGGAGCTCTTATGATGGGATGAGTGCCCTTATGAGAAGAGACCCAAGAAGGCTTTCTTCCTCTCTCCCTGTGTATGTCATGTGAAGACACAGCAAAGGACGGCTATCTATAAACCTGGAAGAAAGCGCTCACCAGAAATTGATCTTGGACTTCCCAGGCTCCAGAACTTTGAGAAATAAATTTCTGTTGTTTAAATCACCAGTCTATGGTATTCCATTATAGCAGCCCAAACTGATTGAGACACCCACATTTCATTCATTTTTAGAAAACATGTCATAGACCCTATTTTAACTTTTGAACATTGCTGAAAATGAATACATTCAAAGAAAGAAAAAATAATTAATGAAAATATAATAGAAACAGCAATTGTGACCAAATCCTACCTTTGAGTTTAAGACTCCAGGCTGGGCACTATTTGCCACTTTAATCCTTTGGAGAGATAATACCTAAGAGGGCTCGGAAAATAGAATGACACCATAAAGGCCACTGTTTTGCCAAAAGTGGGAACTACAAAAATTTGTATATTCAGCTTAAGTGTGCCCAATAGATCTTAAAGGAAGGAAATACATATATCTATTCATGATCCAGAACAAAAGTTGATGATCCATTTACTGCTACTTTCTGAGGATTAAAAATTCTTAATAATTTAAACATTGTGGAAAGTTTCTATTATAACAGTGATTAGAAAACTAATGTTTATTTCTACTGAGCTTTACTTGCTTGAGATTATTTCAGAAATTTGTCAACTATTAAAACACAGCTATTAAAAATCGTAGCTTGTTACACTTCTATTATTTAGCCCATAGTTATGTCCAAACCTTTTGTTCAGTCCAAACCTTTTGCTGAAGCAACAATGATTGTAAATACTCAATTCCATTGGTGTTATTGATTTAGTCTCATCATATAACTGCTAAAAATGCAATTAAGGAAGATATTTCAGTTTTTACATTTGGAAGTGGAAGTCCAATAACTTAAATTATTTAGTTGACAGTTGAAGTATTGCTTGAATTCATTGGAAAGTAGACTCACGTTGACTCTCAAAGTATCACCCTTTTTATTTCTGAATGAATCTTTTTTCATAATGTTAAATCCAAGTTCCCTGCAAACATTGATGTGACATAATTTTAATAGTACCATCTGTATTAGTTGTCCATCTGTGAAATAAATAAATAAATGGGCCTATTTTGTGCTCATTCTAATGGCTGTCAAAGATGACTTCTTTTTGAAAAGAGGAAATGTTCTAAAATAGTCTACACACAAATAAAGTGGAAAACTGTGACATCATTTTGAAAGTTGTTGTGGTCGGAATAATTTTTACTTTTTCTTGAACATTCATGTAATTGAAAAATATGTATTTTTTCAACTAAAATTACTTGGGCTTAAATTCTTTGTATGAGCATTGTGTTGAATACACATGCATATAGGTGTACAAAGATAATTATGCATTCTTAAAGCAGTTTATGTTTACACTAAAAAATACCACTTTTGTGAAACTTTTTAATCTGTCAGAGCTTTTCTTCTCTTTGCTATTGGCTGATTTTTGTAAATATTAATTTCCTTAGCTGGGAGTCCTAGATTTCTCTATAAGTTGTCCAAACTGCCAACTGTCTGATAAAGTTAAGAAGTCACCATAGGAACTCCGAAATAATTTCTATAAAACCATAATTTGGCATAAAAATCACTTACTCTATGGCCACTGTGAGAAAACACAGACATGCACACACACACTTTATCATTTAACCCACAAAATTGTTAACTACTATTTTTGTGCTTGGTATTCCTTATTTCCTGCTCTTACATCACAGGGACAAGGTAGAATGTATAGCATTTAAGAGATGAGTGTCAAGCAGCCCTTACTCCTCCTCTTCCAGCAAATGCAATGAAAAGGATTTCTTCAACAAAATAAATGAGCTGTACCCTACCCTGGACCATGCTATTTCAGCATTGTGCCTTGTGCTGCTTCTCCTGCCACAGTGTGAGAGGATATCAGAGTTCTGTGCTCCAGGTTTCCAGGAAACATTTTGATGGGATGTAAGGGCTGGTCCTTCTCATAGAATTACATTTATTGCATGTAGCAACCACAAGAACAAGGGGCTGCAATTACAGGAAAAGCAGGAGCCCTTTTCTATCATCTCAGAGCAGCCCAGTTCTGCCACATCCACTTGACCGAATTCTCTTGTTTGTAGGAGAAAGGGGCAATTCATGCAGGCAAAGTCATGTCCACACACTGAATCCAGAAGCCTGTCTGACCCGGCTGCTTTTTCATGCTTGCTTTCCTATCTTCCAGTGAGTTTTCAGGATGCAAACTTAGTGCAGGCATACAATATTGTGACAGATCACACTTCCTTTGAGCTCAGAGGAGTATTTTCTTCCAAATGAACCTGGAGGGCTTCCCAGCTTTGGTGCTGATGGATTTAGCCCTCATCATTTTCTTTACAGGAAGACAAACAAAGAGTTATTGGTGGGAAGGAAATCTTGAACAACAAGTAAATACATATGCAGTGTTGAGCCAAAGACAATTTTGTTTTTGGATGGGATGATTTTGAAATTAAAATTCTAGTTGCCTCTATTCAGATACAAGATCAAAACTGGTTTAGGGTGATTTGACTGAGAAACATCTCTGCTGACTAAAGTAACTACTAATACTCTATTAAAAGGGTGACCTTTCCAAATAGAGAGACCATTTTTTTCTTAAGAGAAGATAATATACTAACACTTGTCATTTATGAAGGTCTATGGTCCAGGCACTGTTTAAATTCATTTAATCCCCACAACAATGCTGTGTAGTAGGCATTTTCTTTATCCTCATTTTATAGGTTGGAAACTGGAATAGAATATAAAAATAACTTGCACAAGTTTACAGAGTTAGTAGGAAGTAAAATTGAACATCAATTGCGTAGTCTGCTTCCTAGCCTATGTTTCTAACCATTTTCCTCTACTGTTGCTCATTACAATATATCTTCAGCATTGGCTTTGGTGATGGACAAGCTGGCCTTCGACCCTGGATCTGACACTTCCCAGCTAACTTCCACAAATCTGTTTCCTCATCGTAAATTTAAGATAATAGAGTCAACCTCACTGTGTTTAGAAAAAATGAATAGAATATGCTCGGGACACTTACTTGGGTGGAAACTCTTCAATTAAAAATTAGTCCCTTTACTTAAATTTTACATGTTGTCAAATTAAATACCAAAACAAGTTTCTCGGCTGTCTCCTTGCAGTGAGATGCCCTTCCCATTCCCTCATCTAAGCTTATTTATCTGTCCTTTGATTATCTATATGTCTCTCACATGTGGGAGAAGAACTAAAGAATTTTCATATTTGCTGAAAATATCCTGCAAGTTTGGCTGTTTTTTCTTTTTTCAGTGAAATTATAAGATAACCTCATTTTGAAGTGACATCTGAGGTCAAGCTCTCTGCTTTTGTTCTGGTAGCGCTTGGTTTTATATGGACAGTGAGAAAATGTTTTCATAGTGACCTACATGACAGGAATTACTGCAATTTTATAAGGATCTGTATCACAGACCATTATTTCTTGTTAAATAGAAAGGATATTTTATTCAGGGTTTGTTTTGGTGAGAAACGTGAGAAAATATATGTAAGCACATTAGAAAACCATCTATATTTATAAATTGCCTCCTTTATCCCGTGTCTCCTTCTATTTACCACTTCATGTATTTCCTTCAAACTCATTTCTTCCAAGTTGTCACTCATTCAATCTCGACTTCCTCACTTCCTATCACTTTTCAACCTATTTAACCTAGTTTTCACTTTCATTGTTCCATAGAAATGGCTCTTGACAAGATCACTCTCGACTTTTCTTCTGATAAAACAAATTGACCCAGCTCTTTCCTCAACCTACTCATTTTCTCTTTCTTTTCTTTAATTTTTGTGGGTACATAGTAGGTGTACATACTTATGGGGTACATGAGATACTTTGATAGACATGTAATACGTAATAATCACATCATAGTAAATGATGTGTCCATTGCCACAAGCATTTATCCTTTGTGTTACAATCAAATTATATTCTTTTAGTTATTTTAAAATGTACAATTAAATTATTAACCATAGTCACCCTGCTGTGCTATCAAATACTAGTTTTTATTCATTCTATGTTTTGTACCCATTAACCATCTCCACTTCCCCCTACCCACCCCCTACTAACCTTCCCAGCCTCTGGTAATCATCCTTTTATTCTCTATTCCCATGAGTTCAATCATTGTAATTTTAAGCTCCCACAAATATGCAAGAATCTGTGAAGTTTGTCTTTCTGTGTCTGGCTTATTTCATTTAGCATAATGACATCCAGTTGCATCCATAGTGTTGAAAATGACAGGATGTTATTATTTTTTTATGGCTGAATAGTACTCCATTGTGTGCATATACCACATTATCTTTATCCATTCATCTGATGATGGACACTTAGGTTGCTTCTAAATCTTGGCTATTGTGAACAGTGCCGCAATAAACACTGGAGTGCTGATGTCCCTTAGATAACCTGATTTCCTTCCTTTTGGGTTTATACCCAGCAATGTGATTGCTGGATTGTATGGTAGCTCTATTTTTAGTTATCTGAGGAATCTCCAAACTGTCCTCCATAGTGGCTGGCCTAATTTACATTCCCACCAACAGTGTATGAGAATTTCCTTTTCTCCACATCCTC
Organism: Homo sapiens; assembly: GCF_000001405.40. Lineage (NCBI taxonomy): Eukaryota > Metazoa > Chordata > Mammalia > Primates > Hominidae > Homo > Homo sapiens. The sequence continues at coordinate 154,008,274 of NC_000006.12, read as the reverse complement.
GTCAGCATTTGTTATTGCCTGTCTTTTGGATATAGGCCATTTTAACTGGAGTGAGATGATATCTCATTGTAGTTTGGATTTGCATTTCTCTGATGATCAATGATGGTGAACATCTTTTCATATGCCTGTTTGCCATTTGTATATCTTCTCTGGAGAAATGTCTAATCAAATTTTTTCCCCATGTTTTGATCAGATTATTAGATATTTCCCTATAGAAAAAAATTTTCCATAAGAAACTTTTATCATTGATATTATTCAGTATCTTCATTGTAGTGGTGATAAAATTGCTTCTTATATATTTTGTGGGTTGTCTCTTCACTTTGTTGATTGCTTCTTTTGCTGTGCAGAAGCTTTTTAACTTGATGTGGTTCCTTTTGTTCATTTTTGCTTTGGTTGCCTGTGCTCTGGGTGTTACTCAAGAAATTTATGTGCAGATCAATGTCCTGGAGATTTTACCCAATGATTTCTTGTAGTAGCTTTACAGTTTGAGATCTTAGATTTAAGTTTTAATCCATTTTGATTTGATTTTTTTTATATGGTGAGAGATAGGAGCCTAGTTTCATTATTCTGCATATGGAAGTCCAATTTTCCCAACGTTATTTATTAAATAGACTGTCTTTCCCTGATGTATGTTCTTGGCACCTTTGTAAAAAAAAAAAAAAAAAAAAAAAAAAAAGAGTTCACTGTAGGTGTATAGATTTGTTTCCAGGTTCTCTATTCTGTTCCATTGGTCTACATGTCAGTTTTTATGCCAGTACCATGCTGTTTTGTTTACTGTAGCTCTGTAGTACAATTTGAAGTCAGGTAATGTGATTCCTCCAGTTTTGTTCTTTTTGCTCAGGAGAGCTTTGGCTATTCTGGGTCTTTTGTGGTTCCATATAATCTTAAGATTACTTTTTCTCTTTCTGTAGAGAATGTCATTGGTATTTTGATAGGGATTGCATTGAATCTGTAGATTGCTCTTGGTATGTGGACATTTTAACAATATTGATTCTTCCAGTACATGAAGATAGAATATCTTTCCCTTTGTTGTGTCCTCTTCAATTTATTTCATTAACATTTTATAGTTTCCATTGTAGACATTTTTCAACTCTTTGGTTAATTCCTAGGTATTTAATTTTATTTGTGGCTACTATAAATTGGGTTACTTTTTTAAATTTCTTTTTCAGATTGTTCACTGTTGGCATAGAGAAATGCTACTGATTTTTGCATGTTGATCTTGTGTCCTGTAACTTTACTCAATTTGCTTATCAGTTCTAATAGTTTTTTGGGGTAGTCTTTAGAGTTTTCTAAATATAAGATTATATCATCTGCAAACAAGAATAATTTGAATTCTTCCTTTTCAATTTGGATATCCTTTATTTCTTTCTCTTGTCTGATGGCTCTAGCTGGGACTTCCAGTAGTATGTTGAATAACAGTGGTGAAAGTGGGCATCCTTGTCTTGTTCCAGATCTTAGATAAAAGGCTTTCAGTTTTTCCCCATTTAGTATGATAATAGCTGTGGTTCTGTTGTAGATGGCTTTTTTAATGTTGAGGTATACTCTTCTATACCCAGTTTTTTGAATTTTTTTGAAAGAATGTTAAATTTTATCAAGTGCTTTTTCAGCATCACTTGAAATGATCATATGGTTCTTGTCCTTCATTCTGTTGATATGATGTATTACACTGACTAATTTGCATATGTTGAACCATCCTTTCATCCTTGAGATAAATTCCACTTGGTCATGATGAATGATTTTATGAATGTATTGATGAATTTTGTTTGCTAGTATTTTGTTGAGGATTTTTGCATCAGTGTTCAGGGATATTGGCCCATAGTTAGTTTTTTTTGTTTCGTTTTTTTTTTGACATGTCTTTATTTGGTTTTGGTATCAAGGTAATACTAGGCCTTGTATAATGAGATTGGGAGTATTTTATCCTCTTCTATTTTTTGGAATAGTTTGAGTAAGATTGATATTAGTTCTTCTTTAAATGTTTGATGGAATTCAGCAATGAAAGCATCAAGTCCTGGGCTTTTCTTTACTTGAAGACCTTTTATTACAGCTTTGATCTCATTACTTGTTATTGTTGTATTCAGGTTTTGGATTTCTCTTCTTTTCTTTTTCTTTTCTTTTCTTCTCTTTTCTTTTCTTTTCTTTTCAGGCTGCAGTACAGTGGCACAATCTCAATTCTTTGCAACCTCCACTTCCCAGGCTCAAGCGATTCTCATGCCTCAGCCCCTCGAGTAGCTGGAATTACAGATGCATACCACCATGCCTGGCTAATTTTTTGTATTTTTAGTAAAGACGAGGTTTTGCCATTTAGGCAGGCTGGTCTTGAACTCTTGAGCTCAAGTGATCTACCCACATCGGCTTCCCAAAATGCTTGGATTACAGGCATGAGCCACAGCACTTGGCCTAGGTTTTGGATTTCTTCAGGGTTCAATCTTGGTAGGTTGTATGTGTCTAAGAATTTATCCATTTCCTCTAGATTTTCAATTTATTGTTATATAGTTGCTCAAAGTAGCCACCAATGATTATTTGAATTTCTGTGATATAAGTTGTAATGTCCCCTTTATCATCTCTGATTTTACTTGGGTTTTCTCTCTTTTTTTCTTAGTTACTCTGGCTAAAGGTTCGTCAATTTTGTTTATTAAAAAAAAACACTTTCAGTTTGTCAATCTTTTATGTTGTTTTCTTCATTTCAATTTTATTTATTTCTGCTCTGATATTTATTATTCCTTTTCTTATATTAATTTTATCTTTGGTTTGCTTTTAATTTTCTAGTTCTTTAAGGTGCATCATTTGGTTATTTATGTAAAGTTTTCTTATTTTTTGAACTAGGCACTTATAGCTATAGATTTCCCTTTTAGTACTTCTTCCTCTGTGTCCCATAGTTTTTGATAAGTTGTGTTTCCAATATCATTTGTTTCAACAAATGTTTAAATTTCCTTCTTAATTTCTTCATTGATGCATTGGTCATTCAGAAAAATATGTTTATTTTTCATTTTTTTTACAGTTTCTAAAATTCCTCTTGTTATTGATTTACAGTTTAATTCCATTGTGGTAAGAGAAGCTGCTTGATATTATTTCAATTTTTTGAATGTTTTAGGACTTGTTTTGTGACTTAACATATGATCTATCCTTGAGAATGATTCATATACTGAGGAGAAAAATGTGTATTCTGCAATCATTGGATGAATTGTCCCATAAATATCTATTAAGTCTATTTGTTCTATAGTGAAGATTATATCTGATGTTTCTTTGTTGATTTTCTGTCTGAAAGATCTGTCTAATGTTGAAAGTGGGCTGTTGAAATCTCAAACTATTATAGTATTGAAATCGATTTCTCTCTTTAGCTCTAATAATATTTGTTTTGTATATATGAGTGCTCCAGTGTTAGGTACATATATATTTACAATTGTCATATCCTTTTGCTGAATTGATCCCTTTATCATTACATAATGACCTCCTTTGTCTCTTGAGATTTATGTCATATGTTTGTCTTGAAATCTATTTTGTCTGATATAAATATAGCTATTCCTGCTCTTTTTTGGTTTTCATTGGCATGGAATATCTTTTTCCATCCCTTTATTTTTGGTCTATGTGTATCTTCATAGGTAAAGTGTGTTTCTTTAAGGCAGCAGATCAATGGGTCTTATTTTCTCATCCATTCAGCCGCTCTTTGTGTTTTGATTGGAGAGTTTAGTCCATTTACATTCAATGTTAGTATTGATAAATAAAGACTTAGTCCTGCCATTTGGTTATTTGTTTTCTGGCTTTCTCTTCCTTCTTTGCTTCTTTCCTATCTTCCTCTTGGTGAATGTGATTTTCTCTGGTGGTATGATTTAATTTCCTGCTTTTTATTTTTTCTGTATGTGTTGTAGGTTTTTTGATTTGAGGCTAGCATGAGGCTTGCAAATGCTGTCATATAGTTCATAATTTTAAACTAATGACAGATTTACATTGATTGCATAAACAAAAAAAGCAAAAACCAAAAAAATGAGTAGAGACTCTACACTTCAATTTCATCTCTTTGCTTTTTAATTTTTGTTTTTTCTCTTTATGTCTGATTGTTCTGTCTATGTCTTGAAAAGGTGTCATAGTTATTATTTTTGACTGGTCCATCATTTAGTCTTTCTCCTTAAATAAGAGTAGTTTACACTGCACAATTATGTGTTATAATATTTTGTGTTTTCTCTATGCTTAGTATTATCAGTGAGGTTTGTACCTTCAGATGATTTGTTATTGATCATTGACATCCTGTTCTTTGAGACTGAAGCACTCCCTTTAGCATTTCTTGTAGGACAGGTCTGGTGCTGATAAAATCCTTCAGCTTTTGTTTGTCTGAGAAAGTCTTTATTTCTCTTTCATGTTTGAAGGATATTTTCACTGGATATCCTATTCTAGGGTAAAAGCTTTTTTTCCCTTCAGCATAATAAATATGTCATGACTCTCTCTCCTGGCCTGTAAGGATTCCACCTAAAAGTCTGCAGCTAGACATATTGAGCTCAATTGTATATTATTTGTTTCTTTTCTCTTACTGCTTCTAGGATCTTTTTTTTTTTTTTTTTGAGATGAAATCTCACTCTGTTGCCCAGGTTGGAGTGTAGTGGCATGATCTCAGCTCACTGCAGCCTCCATCTCCTGGGTTCAAACAATTCTCCTGCCTCAGCCTCCCAAGTAGCTGGGACTACTGGTACATGCCACCATGCCTGGCTAATTTTTGTATTTTTTAGTGGAGTCTGGGTTTCACCATGTTAACCAGGCTGGTTTTGAACTCCTGACCTCAAGTTATCCTCCCACCTTGACCTCTCAAAGTACTGGGATTATAGGCGTGAGCCCCCGCACCTGACCACCACTAGTACATTTTAAAATGTCATATTGTTGTATGTTATTTATCAAAATGAGCTTATTTTTTCTTGCTGCTGACCTTAAAATTTCTGTTTCAATTGCTGCCTTAAACTGAATGCATCTCAGCCCACTCTGAAACTTTGGGGGCCAACTAGCTCAGGAACAAATTTGGCAGGGGGCTGACGGTGGGGCTCGGCATGGGCCTGCAGGTGTCCCTCAGAATGAACAGTCTGGGTGGTGCAGATGGCATGTTGATGGCAGTAGGAGGCAGACAGGTTACTAGTTGGGAAGGGATGAGTCCCCAGTGAAACCTCACCTTCAAGCCAGGGATGGTCTAAAGCCTGGGGGCCGGGATGGCTGTTCCAAGTGGAGTCTGCGACCAGGAGTGAGAACTTCCTTGATGTCTTTTGGCCAGCTGGATGGTGCTTTTTTAAGGCCTGCCCACGGCCATCCATGGACCAGTCAGCATGTACTTCCTCCATTCTGAGCACATAATAACTGCAGACTCAGCCACTCCTTGGGATGATCTGCCTGTGGAGCTACCCACTTTGAGTCTCTCAAGAGCTGTTCTGTCTCTCAATAAAGCTCCTCTCCACCTTGCTCACCCTACAGTTGTCTGTGTAACCTCATACCTCATTCTTCATGGACATGGGACAGGAATTTGAGACCTGCCAAATGGCAGGAACAAAAGGAACTATAACATGTTCCTGGCTGGCTTGCTGAGCTGCAGGCAGTGACACACTCCTGGATTGTGGGTATGAAAAGTAGTGACCTTTTGGAAGCCCAGATCTTGGAGTTCCTGAAGCCAGAGCTGCTTTAACAGTATAGCTCTTCTGCCTTCCACTGGCTCCCAGTGGTCACCCTATGCAACAGGAAGCAGTGGTGGGGCTGGGCTAGTCCAGGAGCCACGGGCTGGAGTCGGGCAGTGGGACTGAAAGAGCTGTAACACAAATGGGCTAAAACTCGCCTCCCCAAAACATGCCCTCCCACCCTCGCTCCCCACGCTGTGGGTGGCAAGAAGGAAAGAAGACCTGTGGCCCTTCTGGGAGCCCAGACCTTGCAGCTCCCTGATCCTGGGCTGTGACAAGCTGTAACAACCTCTTTGGGGCTCTGTGTTCCTGGCATCTCTGAGCTTTTGGGCGCCACTGTGTTCCCTGGTGCCCATGGTGGAAGCTGCTTATGGTATGCCTGGTCCAGTTGCAGCCTTGCACAGAGCCAGTGCCTGTGCTGGCACCTGGAGCTGCCCACCCCACTGCAGCCAGTGTGCCTGGCCACGTGCCGTGGCTGGACCCTGCATTCACTCAGTCACACGCCCATCCCCACTCTGTGCCTGGCTCACTCTTGGCAGGCATGGGATCCGGGCCAGTACTGCGAGCTGAGAGCAACCTGCTGGGCCGAATGAGCAAGCATGATTACAGGCATGAGCCACTGTGCCTGGCCCGAGCCCAGTGGATGCAAGCAAAACCCAAGCAGAGGCACCACCTGTCACAGAAGTTTCTGGTCGGTGAAGCAACACTCTAAGGCTCCTATGACGATGCCTTTAAATATAACCTACATTCTAACAACTACCAACATTGTATTTATAATTCAAACTCCTTTTCTAAAATAGTTATTCAGCTTACTAGTTAGTGTCTCTATTTTGATAACTCCTAGCATCCCAAACCTAATGGGCCCAAGCTTAACATTTTGTTTCATCTCTAAAACTTTTTATCACTCAGTCTGTTCTCATTTAGTAAATGACATCATTGTTCACTTAGTTCCCCAAACCAGAATGCTCTTCCCCTGCTTTAAACTCTGCCATGGTCACTGCATTCAGGCCCTTGCGTTGTATGGCTTTTGCTCATCCTTCAAACTCATCTGGTTTTACTTTCTCCCTTGCTGTGCTTCAGCCACAAAGACTTTATCCCATTTCCTCTAACACACCAAGTTCTTCCTTAATATTTCAGCACAAACATACCCCTTCAACCTCTCTCCTTTGTGCTATTCCTGTGATGAATTCTTTTCACTTATTGGGTTAGTTCATATGTTGCTGTTGTAGATAGGACTCCCCTATGTTATCAAAATTGATGGACTTTTGACTCTCTAGCATAACCGCTTGTTAATTTCCTTCCTGGCATCTAATACAATTTGTATTTATTTATTTATTTATTTTTTTTTGAGATGGAGCCTAGCTCTGTTGCCCAGGCTGGAGTATAGCAGTACAATCTTAGCTCACTGCAACTTCCGCCTTCCAGGTCCAAGCGATTCTCCTGCCTCAGCATCCCTAGTAGCTGGGATTATAGGCGTATGCCACCACACCTGGGTAATTTTTCTGTTTTTAGTAGAGACAAGGTTTCACCATGTTGACCAGGCTGATCTCAAACTCCTGACCTCCAGTGATCCACCCACCTTGGCTTCCCAAAATCCTGGTATTACAGGCATGAGCCACCACCCACCCCCGGCCACAATTTGTATTTAAGTACATATTCATTTATTTACTTGTATTACTTATTTCCTACCATATTATGTACTTTTTAGTTCAGAGCCTAATTTTTGTCTCATGTATTATATGCTTAGTATCTCATTCAGTGTCTTGACATTGTAAGTATTCAATAAATACTTATTAAATAAATACATAAGTTAAATAGATTGGAAAATTGTTTTGAGACATAGTGTGTGCTAGTATCCCTTAGAGCAGAGCAAAATAAAGAACTATTACAGTTGTAGAGTTGTAGAGTCTGGAACATGGTTTATGAGCTCTCAGGTTTAAATTTATTAAAGCCTCTATGAACTTCAACCCATGTACAACATGAAGTCCATAAAGAAGCAGTAAAAAGAAAATACAACTGAACACTGTTTATCATCTTCACTTCCCTGAATCATTCCCAGAGTGATTCTTTATATTGTTCTCAATGCAGAAAAAGGAGTCCAAAACAAATGACAGCTATCCAGTCACTCAATTTTGTGAAGTGTTCTCCCTTTGATGTAGCTGATGGGAGAATTAATAATCCATAGCAGTTTAGAAAATAAGAGTAGTAGCAGACTCAGATGTCTTTAATGGAAGAAATTAATTCTTCCCTTTATTGTGTATGAAGTGAAAAAAAGTTAATAAAATATCAACTCTTACTATTCTTATTAGCTATCCAGCTTCTTGCACCAATAAACACATAGTTCAGCAAAATCAGGGAATCTGATGTCAAATTTGGATTCTTTTCCCATTTGGGATCAGTATTTTATAAATTTAAAAATGTAATTCTTGGACTTTTGCTTTCAGTGGAAATGGAGTTACAGAGACTCGATTTAACCTCTTGCCTGAGAAAATGATTTTCAATTTGTTGAACATCAGGAAACAAAGAACAGTGATGCCTGGGAAATGTGAAACACACAAGGTGAGCCTGAAAATTGCCTCAATTTCCTGCCTGAAGAAAGTTTTGAGGTTGCAACATGGGGAGGAAGAATCCAAACAGAACCTGGTGGTCTCCTGAATTGGGAAGAGAGAGCTGGGTGTCCCTGGAGGACAAGGTGGCTTGAGTTAAGTATGGCAGAATAGAAGAGAGTGCCGCATATAGACAGAACTGCATAGGTCCCCCTCAAAACTTCAGGTGTTTACTAATCAGTACACGCATGTGAGGAAATTATCTGAGGCCAGATGAAGAACAGCCTGAAAGTATTAAGAGCCAACTGTGCTTCCACTAGGATGGAGAATAGTTCTTTTTTCACCAGAGTAAAAAAAGAAATCTCCTAATTCATGGGCATCAAGAAAAGTACACAAATATCTTTTATCTCATTAGTGGGGAAAATTAACACTAAAATAAATGCTTCTCTGCTCCTCCCTAACCAAGCTTAAAAGCAAGACCTGTAAAAATCTCACTATTTCTAAGTAACTTATCTTCTGTTCCAGAAAAAAAGATTAAGAATATTTATAAAAATGCAAAAATATTTAGCATCCAGCAAGGTAAATTTCATAATGTTGGCTTATAATAATAACACATTAACAAATGTGATGGTTAATACTGAGTATCAGCTTGACTGGATTGAAGGATGCAAAGTATATTGATCCTGGATGTGTCTGTGAGGTGTTGCCAAAGGAGATTAACATTTGAATCAGTGGGCTGGGAAAGGCAGAGCCACCCTTAATCTGGGCAAGCACAATCTAATCAGCTATCAGGGTGGCTAGAATATAAAGCAGGCAGATAAAAACTGAAAAGGCTATACTGGCTTAGCCTCCCAGCCTACATCTTTCTCCGATGTGGGATGCTTCCTGCCCTTGAACATCAGACTCCAAGTTGTTCAGCTTTGGGACTCGGACTGGCTTCCTTGCTCCTCAGCTTCCAGATGGCCCATTGTGGGACCTTGTGATCATGTGAGTTAATATGTGTGTGTGTGTGTGTGTGTGTGTGTGTGTGTGTGTGTGTGTATCTCCTATTAGTTCTGTCCCTCTAGAGAACCCTAATACACAAAGTGTCCCAAAGAAGCAGGAAAATATGATCCATAATGAAGAAAAAAATCCATCAACCAAATCCAATCCCCAAATAATACACATAATAGAATTACTAGACAAGAATGTAACACAGTTATTTTCATTATAGTTCATATGTTTAGGAAGCTATGAAAGAGATGAGCATATTAAGTAGAGACATAGGAAAAATCTCTATATCAAACTTCCTGAAATGAAAACTACAATAATGGAGATAATAAATACACTGGATTAGATTAACAGCACATTAGACACGGCAAAAGAAAAATTTACAGATTTAGCAATAGAAATTCTTCAAAATAAAACACAGAGAGGAAAGGAATGAACAAAATGAAGATAACATCAAAGAGCTGTGGGAAAACTTTATGTAGCCTAATATATGTAAAATAGATTCTCCAAAGAAAAAAGGAATAAGAAAAAAAGATAAAATAACAAATAAGTTAAAAAGTAAGGTGGTTAAAAATATGCCATGCTAATAGTAATCAAAGGAAATCTGGAGCACCTATATTATGTTAGGTTCAGTGGATTTCAGAATAAATAATATTACCAGCAATAAAGAGAGGTTTTAAATGACATAAAGGGATGATTCATTAAGAATGCATAATTCCAAATATGTATGCATTTAATAGCAGCACCTAAAATACATCAAGCAAAAACTGAAGAACTAAAAGCACGCCAAGGAGAAATAGACAAATCCATAATGTGTGCTGAATATTTAAATACCCATTCTGAATATTGACAAACCAAGTAGACAGAAAACCAGTAAGGATATGGAAGATTTGACTAATACTCTCATGTAATTTGACCTAGTTGACATATATAGAACATTTCTTTGAACGAGACCAAACTGTCCATTTTTATAAGTGCACATGGAATATTTCATAAGGAAAACCATATCCTGGATCATAAAATGAGTCTCAGAAAAATTTAAAAGTTTCAACTCATAGAAAATATGTTCTTTGAGCAAAACAGAATTAAGGTACAAGGCAATAATAAAAAGAAATATCTCTGAGATAATCTTAGAGATCATCTAAATAATTTATGGGACAAAAAAGAATTTAAAAGCAAAATTAAAAAGTATGTTGAAGTGAATGAAAATGAAAACACAGCATATTAAAATTTGTGTGATGTAGCTAAAGCAATATGTAGAGGGAAATGCACAGCACTGAAGTCCTATGCTAGAAAAAATAGTGTCTCAGATTAACGACTTCAGCTTCTACTTTAAGACACTAAAAAAGAAGAGAAAATTAATTCCAAAGTAAGCAAAAGAAAGAACATAATACAGGTCAGAGAAGAAAACGATAAATAGAAAACAGGAAAATAATAGTGAAAATCAGGCTGATTTTCGAGAAGATAAATAAAATTGTGAAAACACCTTTCTTCCTCCTAAACCATCTACCTTTGTGGGTTTTTAAAAATATTAGATTAGAGGACGTTTTAACTACTCTGCACAGTGCCCTACAAAATATGATAGTTTCCCATCTGGTTAGTAGAAATAGGCAATATTTTTAGCTTGGGATGAGTGCCAGATACTGTTCCCTCTAATCGTGTCTGGGTGGTTCTTTTTCAAGCCTTTGATAGCTTCCTCTGCACTGTTCAGTATTATGCTGAATACTCAAGAGGCACCCTCTGCAGATTCCAGGGTTCTTTATCTGTGCAGCCCTCACCTCTCCAGTATTCTGCTTGGTGAGCTCTGGCTGCCTTGCTTTTCTTAGGCTCTTTGCTTCCTCTCTTCACAGCTCAGATGCTCTGCCTCGGTTTCCTCTTCCTGTGCTATGGCCTGGAAACTCAAGGCACTAAGCCAGGGCAACCGTAGACTCGCCTTGCTTCCTGTCTCTCAGGGATCACTGTTCTTTGTTGCTGGACATACAATGTCTTGAAGACTTTTGTTTTCTATATTTATTCCTTTTTTATTGTTTCAGTGAGGGTTAATGAAATATCTGTTATTCCATCTTGGCTAGAAAGAGAACCTTAAATCTCTTCTGTTTTTAAATCTATGTCTGTCATATTATGTCGTGTCTTCTCTTTGTATGTCTTTTCTGTGGCCCCATCCCATTTGTCTGGCCTTTAAAAAATCGTTTGAGTTTTTAATTGTCTCCTAAATTGAAATGGAATTTATACATCCTACATATTTTCTTTTTGTGCTTGCACTAGCAGTGGCAGTTAAAAAGTGTTTGATCAGTAAAGAATACTCATAGAACCTAGAATGACAATGATTACAAACCTATGGTTTTCTTCAGGAAAAGGATATTGTATAGCCACTTAGGAAAATTTAATACTGTAAGACAACAATTCACAAAGTGCTTTTGATATCCAATATTGGTTTGTAGCGATACGATACCAAAATAAACATTGAAATCAGTCAACGTAGTATTGAGAATGTGTTTAAAATACAAAACTATTACTGGGCTTTTCAAGTTTCACATTTCATGCTACTGTTGTGTAAATATTGCGTGTCACCTTGATTTGATCCAGAAATCACTTAAAGCAACTCATGATACATATAATAAATTGAGATTGTCAATGCTCTCTAGACAAAGACAATCAGAAATTTACCTGTAACAGAACAAGTTGGAATTGCTGCTTGTATCAACAAAGGCCACAGGAAACTGAGTCACCTCAGTAGAAGGGTTTAGAAAAAACTTTTTTTTTTTTTTACATAGAATTTGGGCTTGAGGTTAGTGATTTTTTGAAGAGTTAAGGAAGCAGGTTTTACTCTGGATTGGATACTCAGAGACTGGGGTTATTTCTATCTGGCTAAATCACATCCAGGAGGGAAGACTAGACTGAGGTTGAAATCAGCCACTCATCTTAGCTAGAACAGGGATGTGTTTAGACAGTTTTGTGGTTTGAACGACGTCAATAATTTTGTCTGTATCTGGACACAGTTTTGCAGTGGTCTTGTCTTTGGCTTAATCCATCATAGTCACACAGTTTCCCTGTCTGATATTGATGTTCTCTGAAATTATGTTACAGAGGAGAACATCAAGGCATAGCTCTAAGTGCCAGGCCACCTCCTGGCTGTCAAGGACAGCTTTTCTCTTTTCCAAGATAAATTAAAATGAAACCCCGCCTCTACTAAAAATACAAAAAATTAGCCGGGCGTGGTGGCGGGCGCCTGTAGTCCCAGCTACTCGGGAGGCTGAGGCAGGAGAATGGCGTGAACCCGGGAGGCGGAGCTTGCAGTGAGCCGAGATCGCGCCACTGCACTCCAGCCTGGGCGACAGAGCGAGACTCCGTCTCAAAAAAAAAAAAAAAAAAAAAAAAGAAACCAAGTAAGGGAGATCAAGGAGAAGTAAGGAATAGAAAAGTGTGTTAAAATCGAAAGAATGAGAAGTGTACAAAATTTGCACCATCATATTAGTCAGGGTTCTCCAGAGAAACAGAACCAATATATACAGAATATAGAGAGTATATAGAGAATATATAGAGAGTTGTTTTATGAAATTGGCTTTCTTCAATATGGAGACCATCTGGTCCCATATCATCAAGGTGGGCTGGCAGGTTGGAGATCAGGGAACAACCAATGTTTTAGTTCATCTTCTGACAGAATTCTCTCTTTCAGAGGAGGTCAACCTTTTGTTCTACTCAGGCCTCCACTGATTGGAGGATGCCTGCGCATGTTAAGGAAGGCAAGCTGTTTTACTCAAAGTCTAATTTAAACGTTAATCTTTTCCAAAATACCTTCACAGAAATATCCAGAATATTTGATCACATATCTGGGCGCTGTGGCTCAAGCCAGTTGATACAAAATTAACCTTCATAACCGTGAAATGTCATACACTTACTGGAAAAGGAACATAAGCAGTTATGTGTCTGATAGGGTCTGAAAACTAGTGGCTCTGGAGAAGTACAATCCTTCCTGGTACTGAGATCAGCGATATCTCTTTTTCCCTGGCTCTCATAAAATGGGTAGACAAGTCACTTGGCTGTTGAACAAAGTATCAGGCTGTGTCCAAAGCAACACATCTCTGGGTATGCTGCTTTGGAAGTGTGCCCTACTCTGTTCCTCTAACTTGTTATATTTAGTCAGATCACAACCTACTTTGAGGCTGAGGTTCTATAGGAGAGGTTGCTCTTGTCTGCAAGACAGCTTGCATTATCAGACTTCAGAAGCTAATGATGAAAAACTTGGGGCTGCTCTCTCTGATCTTTTATCTTAAGCACACGAGAATGTTTGTCTGCAGGATAAGGCAAGTTTTGAAGTATAATTGGTCCTTGAACAACGTGGGGATTGGGACACTGCCCCTACTCCCCCTACTGCTCCCTCACACACAGTCAAAAATCCATGTATAACTTTTGACTTCCCCAAAACTTAAACGACTAATAACCTCCTGTTGTGTGGAAGTCTTAATGATAACTTAAATAGTCAAATAGTACATATTTGTGTGTTACATGTATTATAGGCTGTATTCTTACAATAAAGTAAGCTAGAGAAAAGAAAATGTTATAAAGAAAATCATAAGGGAGAGAAAATACATTCATAGTGTTGTACTGTATTTATCCATATAGTAAGTTGATATCCGTTTACAAGATGATTCGTCTGTCTGAAATGGTGGGCAACCGTAGCTGCAGACGTCAATCTAGGGTATATATCGAGCAGTCCAGCTTTTTTTTTGTAATGCCATAATTTTTATCTGTTCCTCGGAAGCACTTCCAGCGGCACTGTGTGCACTTTTTATTCAAAGTTTATGGTATTGTGCTTAACATGATGAAAAATACAGGAGAACAGTGAGAGATCACTTTTCACTACTACATGCCAGTTACTGGAGACAGAAACTACTCAGCTGGAGATGATTAGCATGACAGGGCATTTTAAGTGGCTACTCACAACATTAAACTCACTGCAATAGCAAAAAAAAGATGGTTATAAAATGATTACCCTAGTACAGTTACTTTTATACAGTTATGATTTAATACTTCATCTTTACATTTGTTTACATTTATCTCAACTGCCAATGGTACCCTATGTGGTCTGTGTCTGTGTGTGAGTTTTGATGTATTTAACTTTTTGTAATAGACATATATATTTTATTATAGTACATGATAAAATACACTAGTATCATAACATACCAAACTTTTTCTTAATTTTTTTTGACATTTCTAGGCTATGTGGTTCATCTGTGAGGTTTTTCAGATTGTCCCAAACCTTCACAAATTTTCCCAATATATTTACGGAAAAAGTTGGCAAATAAGTGGAATCACGCAGTTGAAAGCTGTGCTGTTCAAGGCTTAACTGTGTGTTTTTTTGTAATCCAGATTGTGAGATTTTGAGCCAGATTGATAATATAATATTTAGATCAAATACATAGCTCAGAAACTCACTAAAAATTTATATATCTTATAATATCCCTCAACTATTTGCAGGGAATAACTGTTTCAATAACAATTGAGAAGCATTTATGCTTGGTTGTGATGTGAGGAGCAGTCTATGCCTAGGAGCAGTATAATTTTAGATCTTCCAATAAGGTCATAAACTTTTTAAAAAGCTTTTCACACATTCACCTTTACTTTTGTTTTGCATTTGTGGCTGAGTCTCTTGTTTTGTTCTCATATCACCTTGTATCTATTTTTCATTCCTTCAGCTACAATTCAAACTCCTTTTAGGCAGAAGTGCTGGCTTCTATTTATTTTGCAGTGGTGGCATGGCCTACAAAAGAGTTGCATAAATCGGGGGTGTGTGTCACTTACAGATATTGTTGAATGTACAAAAGGAGGAAGGAAAGTGTGAATATACTGATACATGAATAAATATCAGGTAGGGAGAAAGAGAAGTTCAACTTACCCTAGTCCATCTTGAAAAAAAAAAAAAAGGCTCTGTGAAGACTACATTTTGTATTCCTGTATCTCTGATTAGTGTTTACAATTATCTCTGGTTAGTGTTTACAATGACAAAAGCAAGTTCCAAAGGAGCACTTGGCACTGTAATTTTTATCCAGTAACTGAATTGATCAGACAGCACACTACAAGTATAAATTGATACATAGGTGATCAGACAGCACACTACAAGTATAAATTGATACATTTTGTCTTTCCTTTTTCAATAGTCTTGTATCTCTGAGTTTCTTCTCTCTCCTCTTTTATTATGAGAAAGTAACAAGAATATTGAGCAAATAATTAGAAGAGTTAGTTCTATGTTCTGGATCAACCACTTATTACATCTCTGACATTAGACAAGTCATTGTGATTAAAAGATTTGGGTTCTTAATCTAAAAACGAGGAAAATAATTCCCATTCTGCCTGTGATGCCATTGTCAAGAGATGTGATGAATATGATGGGCATTTATAGGCCATAAAGCTCGAAGAAGTGATTGAAATTCTATTTGTGAGTGTCTCAGTTCTGCAGGAACAATGGTAATTTCTAATCCTTTCATCTTGTACCTGTGACTTTGTTTAAATGTGAGATTCCTGTGGTTCTCCTGAGACTATAAATGTCAGATGCACTAAAGGATGGAGGCAATTATCCAGATAATTTAGAGCCAGAACACCATGTGTGGCGTTTCCAGAGAGTGAGAGTGAATAATATTAGACAGGCATCCAAGAGCAAGGCCATGTAGGATCTGGTAGGCCATGCTAAGGACTTTGAAATTTATCTTGAGTTAGATGGAAAGTCTTTGGGAGTGTTGATTGCAGAGGGTAACATGATGGGATTTCTGTTTGAAAGGATAACTCTGGAGAATGTGCAGCTAGCCTCCAAAGATGGGGCCCAATGGCCCATACTCTTCAGAAGTCATTTTTTGTGAAGTGCTCTCCCACCACCATGAGTCTGGGCTGGCCTTTGACATATGTTAATGAATAAGTGTGACAGAAGAGACGTAGTACTAGTTACAGATCTAGCATTTATGAGGACTGTCCACTTCTGCTTCCTCTTTCTTGAACCACTCACTTTGGGAGTCTTTAGCTACCATGGGAGAAGCCTGGTTACTCTGCTGAAAAACTACATGGAGAGAACAGGCCTTGAGAGGACAGGCCCTGAGGCTTCACAAAGAGAGGGAGGTCCAGCTTTCTCATTGTCCAAGTAACGAACTCTCTACCTCCAACTGTGTTAAAGACACCAAGTGAAACCAGCTAAATAATCAGTCAACCAAGCCCTGTCAACACAAGGAAATATGAAAAACAATAAAATTGTTGTTTTCAAGTTACTGTGCTCTAATAAAGTTTGTCACATTGCAATAGATAACCAGAATATGGATGTAGAAAGGCAAAAGAAGAAACAGAGAGACGACTTAAAGGCTTATTCAGTTTCCAGGTGAAAGATAATGACGACTGAGTTCTAGAGGTAAGAAGTTGAAGTTAGAGATGACACAGTTTGTTGATGGATTGCTGGTGGGGTCTGGGATAAAGATGAGAATCAAAGGTTATTCTATGTTTGTTGGCTGGAGAAATTAGGATAACAGTGCTATCACTTAGAGTTATCTTTTCCATATTGTCAACATAAAAAGAATTATATTGGCTGGGTGCAGTGGCTCACGCCTGTAATCCCAGCACTTTGGGAGGCTGAGGCAGGCAGATTGCCTGAGGTCAGGAGTTCGTGACCAGTCTGGCCAGCATGGTGAAACCCCGTCTCTACTAAAAATACAAAAAAAACTAGCTGGGTATGGTGGTGTGCACCTGTAATCCCAGCTACTCAGGAGGCTGAGGCAGGGGAATTGCTTGAACCAGGGAGGTGGAGGTTGCAGTGAGCCGAGATCACACCACTGCACTCAAGCCTTGGCGACAGAGCAGGGCAGAGAAGGGCAAACAGAGGTTTAGCCATATGACTATTAGATATTTGATAGATACTAGAGGGCATGTCAGAGCTGAGGTCTAGTTATTTAATTTATGAATGATATTAACACATGGTCCTGTATGAGATCACCTGGAGACGAACTGTAGTTAGAGAATAGACATGGTCCAAGATGGAGCCCTGGAGTATGCCAATATTTAGAAATCTGGAACATGCATAGCATCCAAAAAAAAGGTGGAGACTGAGAAGAAACGGTCAGTGAAAGCGAAAGATAATCAGAAAAGTATGTTGTCCCCAAATCCAAGTGAAATGTGTTTGAAGGAAGAAAGTGTGAACAGTTGGGTTAAATACTGCTGAGAGATCACATAAGAAGAGGGCTAACCATGACTATTGGATGTGACAATATGAATGTCGTTATTGACCAAGAACAAGACTAGCTTCAGTGGAGTGGTGGGGATAAATGCTTGAACTGATGAGTTCAAGAGAGAGTGGGTGATTAAAAATCATGGCAGCAATGAGGATAAAAATCATTTTATTTTATTTTTGCTATGAAAGGGAGCAAGAAGTGTGTGCAAAGCTGGTGGTATGGGGGTTGCAAGAGGATTTTTTAAAGATGGGAATTGTCACATGATTGCTATGTCATTAGAATGCTCTAGTGAACAGAGAGAACTTGATCCCAGGGGAGATGACATAGGTAATTTCAGGAGCAAGTTTCTGAGTAGGTAAGCAAGGCTGGGATCCAGGACACAGGTGGAGGAATTGACTTCATCTAGGAGAAAGGCTGTTCCTCCATAATACAGGAGGGTTGTGGTATACATGAGCACAGATGCTTGATCTTGGTGGACTTGGTGGACTAGGAGGAGGAGGATGTCTTCCGAGTGCTTCTGTTTTTGCTGCTAGAAATTTGGAGAGGAGATGTTGGAGTATTGAAGAGAAAAAAATATTGTGAAATAGTCATCTGAGTAGAGTGAATGGACTAGGCATTCAGAAGCATACTTGAAGTTCTGAGTTTCTGTTTCTCCACAGAAGAGTGATTTCATCTTGATCCCCTGTACTGTTGCTACATGGTCTGCTGTTTTGTCCAAAGGTCATGTTGAAATTGTTCTGAACTGATGTTGCCATAGAGCTCACACACACAGGCTTAGTGAATTGCCCCAAATTTCATGTCTGTTGGGGATTCAGGATTGGTGTACCACTCTATGAGACATTGATCAGGACATTTTATTAGACTCTATATAGGCAGAAGGTTGAAGGATCTTTGCCAGTTACTGTGAAAATTTTAGCAGCATTACCATAGAGAGTATTGCAAAAACTATGATTCCATGCAGGAGACAGAAAATGCATTTGCTCTGTTTATGTCTGCTGAGTGTTGAAGCCATTCAGCTGGCCTCGGGGTGGTTCCTTGTGCCTCAGGTGACTATGAATTATTATCATGGTGTTATTCTCTCTTGCTGCTTCAGCATTCTTGATAACATATTTTCATCCATCAACAAGGGTTGCTTTTTTTCCCCTTGGTTATTTTTTTTCCTTGTTTTTTTCTATTCTTTATGTATCAAAGAATAACCATAGAAACATAAGAAAGCCTTAAATTGCTGAATAGCATGAGTTTCGAATAGTGTTCAGAAAAACCTGGAGTATTATCTTTCTGTCTTCCCTAGGAACAATTTACACACACACACACACACACACACACACACACACATGCCTCGTGAATCTAACAGCCACTGATTTTTTAAAAGACAAAAATTCAATTATTCAAATGGTAAGTTTACAAAACATTTCCAGCAGAACCTGTCTAAGCTTGAAAATACACTGGTTACTGTAGATTTTTTAATAACTAGAACTACCTAGCACTATGGAAGAAATAAATGGAGACAGTCTAGTGATAGAACCCCTGGGTAAGTAAGAGGGTGATATGATTTGCCTTTCCCAGTGCCAAAAAGAAAAATCATGACGATCTATTTTTGAACCACAAGTTAGGTTAAACCATGGTTGTATGAAAACAAAGTCTTACTGGCTAGAACAATTAAGTATTGATGTGTCAGGAAACGCATTGATACAAAGAATATCATTATAAAAGATAAGTTTTTAGCTGGGTGCAGTAGCTTACACCTGTAATTCTAATGAATTGGGAGACTGAATGGAGAGGATCACTTGGGGCCAGTAGTTCATGACCAGCTTGGGCAACATAGTGAGATCCCCATCTCTCAAAAAATTGAAAAATTAGCCAGGCTTGGTGGCACACACCTGTAGCCTCAGCTACTTGGAAGGCTGTGGTGTGAGGACCACTGGAAACCAGGAATTTGAGGCTGCAGTGAGCTATGATCACATTACTACACTCCAACCTGGGTGACAGGGCTAGAGCCTGTCTTTAAAAAAGATAAAATTTTGGTGCTAGTTCAGAAATGCTCTCAGTGCTCTGATGTTAAATAAAACCCTTTGGCCAATTTCAGAATGTCATTTTCTGGCACTTCAGTATATTTGCAATTTTAGACCAAATGCAGGACTTTTCACTTGGGGATAAAAACTTCTGGCTTTGAGTCTCTGAATTGTCTAATGGAACAAGCAGTAGAAGCGTTCAGAAGCGATAATGGGCAGACGACTTAAACATGCTCTTTAGCGTCCTCAGCTTCTCTAGGGAATAAATATTTCATTCTGTGGAACGAGAATCAGCTTTTGAAGTAACAGTGATAACACCAGAATTTTTTCAGCTCTATGACTCTAGAGACACTACCTAGTCTAAATAATTGAACTTTTGAAAATGAGGCTAGTGAGTGTTCATAATGCTGAGGTTTAGATTTAGATGAATGCCTGACAGGAAATTACTTGGGCCGGTAATAAATGGGTGTGGTGGGGCATAGCAAATGCCAATTTTTCTGAGGACCCTTGACTAAGATAGCAGAGAGAGTGTACGTTCTGGCCCCTGTCCCTAAAGCCTGGAAGGTACCTAAGGATGCTTGCTACACAGAATATAATAGGGATAATTCAAGCTTGTGATATAAACATTGAGGATTAGAATTGTAACTACAGCTGGATTAAGCAATGTTAAAGACCCTTGGTTTTCATTCTTATCTGTAAAGTGAAGCCACATGATATCAGCTTGCATTTTAATTGTCTTAGCATGTTTGATCTTTCCTATAATTGAAATATAAAACGATGTAATTTTGGGTATTTTTCTGACCAACCGATCCTAGGGATAAAGGACGGACTCTGGCACTTTACTAACAGCCAAGCTTTCTTTGTGTTAGGATCACATTCAAGAACGTTTTGAGCTTGGAAGCAGAGCAGGAAGAAGGCTGTTAGAATAAACAACTGCTAGTAAAGGGTCAAAGCAATGCTTGTAATAAGGGGAAAGTATTTTTTCTCTTTCGTATACAAATATGTGTTTTTTAAAGAAGATATGGTGAGTCTGATTCTAATTCCATTCTGTCTGCAACAGGAAATAAACAAAAATATATAATTTTAAAAACTAAAATGATTTAATTTATACAGAACCAAAAAGCCTACAGTTACTAAATAGTGGTGCTGGCAATAATAATACCCCTTATTTGAGGCGTTTACATAAGCAATATCTAGAAGACAGAGGCACTAACATAATTCTAATCTTAAGGTCCATGGGAAATATTTTATAGAGAAAAAAAAAAAACAATAACAACAAACTTACTTCTAGCAAAAATGCCATTTTTAGATGATTCAATAAATTCAGCTCCTCAAATGCTCCCTTCTCTCCCATAAATAGTTGTATGAAGGGTAAATAATTAAACATAAAGCAAAAATACAGCAGCAGTGGGCCTATAGGCAGTTGGGTACAAGTAAGGTTTTGGGCTTTCTTGGGGTCTAGGCAGAGAGAACAGTGCAGAGCTTTTGCTGCTTTTCTTGGAGTTCTTGGATGAATTCTGGGAAGCAGCGGACTGGGAAGAGCTTTCCACCCACTGAGTGTGTTGAGTCTCCCTGATCATCCAGAGAGTAGGCAGGAACTGAGGTGGACTAAGTGATTTCTGTCATTGATGGTGGTAGAGTTGAAGATTTGGAAGAGATAGAATCTTCCAGGTGCAGCAGCAAGAAGCATGCCTAGTTCTATATCACAGGCCCATCGAGATAGAAGGGATGAATACTAAAAGCATGTTATTCTCCTTATCTTTTGTTGCTAATGGTCAAAATAGGTTTTAAAACTGATAAGTAATATCACAGAAAATGTATGTTCCTCAAAAATTGAATGATAGAGAAATAAGGCAGGAAAAGGAACGAAGAGGAACAATATTAATTCTGTTATGATCATATAATGCATTAAGTCAAATACTGTAGAAAATGAAAATAACTAAGATATTATATAGATGTATAGATATAAAAGTAACCACTGGAATGAAAATATAAATTATATACATTATTTGAAGAAACATACTAAAAACAAAATAAAAGAAATAAAGCAGAAGAAGACATAGTGAAAAGCGAAAACATAAAATTTAAAGTATAATAGAGTATGTGATAACAGAGATAAGACCAAGATAATGTGTTGATAAATATAAATGGTCTGATGAACTCACAAAAAGAAAAGTTTCTGATCGAATTACAAAGCAAAACACAAATAATAATTGCTTCATAAGATACACCTTTAAAAAATAATTTAGATATGCTCAAACTAAAAAGATAGGAAAAGACGTAACAGGAAAATACAAACAGACCAGGCAGGGTGGTTCATGAGAGCAATGCCAGCACTTCGGGAGGTGGAGGCAGGAGGATTGCTTGAGCCCAGGAGTTTGAGACCAGCCTGGGCAAAATAGCACGATCTCATTCCTACAAAAATAAAAAATTAGCTGGGCATTGTGATGCATACCTGTAGTTCTAACTACTTGAGAGGCTGAGATGGGAGAATCACTTGAGCCCAGAAGTTTGAGACTGCAGTGAGCTATGATCACACCACTGCACTCCAGCCTGATTGACAGAGTAAGACCCTAACTCTAAATAAATAAATAATAAATAAATAAATATAAAAAGGAAATACAAACAAAAAGGAGAAGAGTTATCTTCGTACTAGAGTGAAATTAGATAAAAATAGAAAGTGTAATAATCTATAAATACCTGTGTACTAAATAATATAGTATCAGTATTCATTAGGCAAAGACTATGACAAATACAGATAAAAATGCATGAAGGATACTCTTTAGTCCACTATTATCCAATCATGTAAGATCAAACAAACAAAATTTAAGCAAGACTACAAAAGGTATAAATAACTTGAATAATGATATGGGTTCCATATACTTAGAAAACAGATGTTATGTCCTTTTCAGGTGCTCATGGAGCTATAAATAAAAATTGACCACATATTAACACAACCTCAGTAAACTTCATAAATTAAAAAAGACTCATTTTCTGATCAAAATTAAGTATTAATGAATTTATAAGATTATTGGAGAATAAGGCAACATCTATTACAAGAAAATAAAAACTGTAAAAAAAAGCAGATAAAAAGCTTTCTTAAAAATTATTTAGTAAAAGAGAAAAGCTGTACCAAAATAGCAAAATATCTAGAAAACAAAAATTATGGTAAGACTATATATCTGAACCTTTGGCATATGGATGAGATAAAATAAGTCTATCTAAATAATCAAGAAAAAAAGAAAAAATTAAACACCCAACACAAGAACTTAGAAAAACTAAAATAAACTTATAGGAAACAGAAGGAAAAAAAGGGGACAAAAATTATAATAATGAATTAGAAACTGAAAACCATTAGAAATAATGAATAAATCTCACATTAGTTCTTTTGCGGGGAGAAAAACAGACCATAAAATTGTTAAAATTGTCAGCAAAACCAGTCAAGGAGTAAAGAGGGGAGTATGCCAATAAACCATAAAAATGATAATGGGAAAATAATAATAATTGAAAGAAGCAACAGAGATGGCTCTATCCAAATTATGCTATTTAATTTCATGAAAATATATTTTCTATGAGAATGTAAATGGTCTAAATTGCCCCCAGAAGAAATAAAACAATAGCACTAAATGTTGTTTTTTTTCTGTGCCAGGCACTGTTCTGAGAGCTTACAGACCTTAACTCTTTTATTCTTTGCAACAACTTATGAGGTATTCTTATGCTTATTATTTTAATTACTGCCATTTTTCAAATGAAGAAATAGAGGCACAGAAGAAGCGACCTGCCTAGGGACACATAGCTAGTAAGTGATGGAATAAAGAGTCTAACCATGGTTGTCTGGCACCAGCTTCCATGCTTTCAGCCAGCTTACTACATTGACTGTAAGAAAACATAAGTAAGCCAAATGCCACAGAAGAAATAGGAGTTGCTGTCAAAGTGTTACTTCCTGAAAAAAAATCAGACTAGAGAGTGGCAAAGAAAATTCTACTATGCTTTGAATGTAATCTAATCAATGCTATTTGACCAGTTCTAGATAAGAGAAATGGAAAAACTCCCAGTTTCTCTCTTTCTTTCTTTCTTCCTTTCTTTCTCTCTTTCTCTCTCTCTCTTTCTCTCTCTCTCTCCTCTCTCTCTTTCTCTTTCTTTCTTTTGCTCTCTTTCTCTTTCTTTCTTTCTCTCCTCTCTTTCCCTCCCTCCTTTCTTTCCCTTCCTTCCTTCCTTTCTTTCTTTTCTCTCTTTCTCTCTCTCTCTCTCTTTCTTTCTTTGATGGAGCCTTGCTCTGTCACCCAGGCTGAAGTACAATCTCTGCTCACTGCCACCTCCGCCTCCCAGGTTCAGGTGATTCTCCTGCCTCAGCCTCCCACGTAGCTGGGATTACAGGTGCCCACCTAATTTTGTGTTTTTAGTACAGATCAGGTTTCACCATGTTAGCCAGGCTGGTCTCGAACTCCTGACCTCAGGTGATCCACCTGCCTCAGCCTCCCATCAGTTTCTTTTATGAGGCAAACATAACCTTGATATTAGTGTTCCAAAAATATAGCATTTAAAATGTCAACAAGCCAAGCTTGCATGTGGATAATAATAAAAGTGTTCCGAGTAAACAAAATTCTAAGCAAATGATTAACAATTTCACAGCATAATAGATTGCATTTTATTCTGGTTATATAACAAAGATTCAGCACTAGGAAACCTAGTAATTTATCAACTAATCCGTAAAAATGTAATAATTTTACATATACATAGATACTGAAAGTAAAGTCGATAAAAGTTAATATTTGTGATTAGAAAACATTGTGGTTAAATAGTAATGTATTGAAGCAGGAAGTAGAATTGCAAACTGATAGTCTATATGCAACGATTATTAGAGTGGTACTCCAAGTGGTGTGTTCCTCATATTGGTAAAGAAGCTAGAAAAATTAAGTTAAATATTGAGAAATTAAAAGAATAAACACAATGTGATTCCGAAATACACTTATGAGAATGGCTATAATTGAAAAGACTAAACACAAAAATATTGGCAGGAATGTAGAGCAATGAGAACTCTCATATATTGCTGTTGTGGGTGTAAACTGGGACAGTCACTTTGAAAACCAGTTTTGTAATATTTCCTGACCCTAGATGTTTACATAGACCTTCACACAGAAAAGTTATGTATCCTTATAAATATTTATATAAATATATTGGAGAGAAATGGGTATATGTGTCCACCTAAAGACATATGACCAAAATATGTTTATAAAATTCTTTGTACAATAAGTACCAGCTTATTCATAATAGCCCCAAACTCAAAACAATGCAAATGCCCATCAACAGTAGAATGGATAGATACACCGCAGCATATTTGCTTAATGGAGAACCACACAGCTACAAAATACAACTGCTACCTACAAGAACATTGATGAATCTGACTGTCATGAGTGAATAAAACCAGATGCAAAATACTATGATTCCATGTATATGAAGGCAAAAAAATAAAACATTGATGTGTGGTTGTAGAATAGGTGCTATGGGGGATCGGAAGGAGTAGGTTTTGACTGGGAAGGCATAAAGGAAATTTCTAGGCTGCCAGAAATTTCTCTGTCTGTATAGTCATTACAATGGTTTACACATAGATAAACACTCATCAAACTGTACACGAAATATCTTTGTTTTTTATGCATCTCAGACTTCAATAAAATGTTACAAAATAAAATGCACATAAAGTAAA
This sequence comes from Homo sapiens, assembly GCF_000001405.40. Lineage (NCBI taxonomy): Eukaryota > Metazoa > Chordata > Mammalia > Primates > Hominidae > Homo > Homo sapiens. The sequence continues at coordinate 153,983,176 of NC_000006.12, read as the reverse complement.
TTCTATAAAGGCAAAATTTGAGAGTTTTGAATATAACACAAAGATTTATCTTACACAAATAACATCATGGACAGTATTAACAGGCAGGTTATAGATGGAGATGATTCTGTCACAATATATAGCTAAAAAGGACTAAAATCTTGAATATAGAAGAAATTTCTTTAATTTAGGAAAAATAAGACAGGAATGCCACTAGTTAGCCAAGAAAGGATGTAATTAGGCAATCCACAAAAAGGAATGTTGATACCTGATTATTCAATCTCATTAATGAGGAAAATTTTCAAACTAACAAAATTAAGGCAGAAATAAAAAAATATTTGAAATAAATGAAAACAGAAACACAATATACCAAAATCTCTAGAATACAGCAAAAGCAGTGTTAAGAGAAAAGTTTATAGTGCTAAATGTCTACTTCAAAAAGTTAGAAAGCTCTCAAATTAATGATCTAACCATCACACCCAGAGAAAACTAACCCCAAAGGTAGCAGATGAAAAAAAATAACTAAAATGAGAGCAGAACGGAATAAAATTGAGACCTAAAAATAAATACAAAAAATCAACAAAACCAAAAGTTGATTATTTTAAAGGATAGATGATATTGATAGACTGCTAGCTGGATTAACAAAGCACAAAAGAAAGACGATTTAAATAAATTTAATCAGAAACAACAAAGGTGACATTACAAATGATCTCCCAGAAATACAAAAGAAAGATCCTCAGAGACTACTATGAACATCTTTATGCACACAAATTAGAAAATCTAGAGGAAATTGATAAATTCCTGAAAAAAACCTCCCGAGATGGAATCAGGAATAAATTAAAACCCTGAACAGACCAATATTGAGTTCCAAAATGGATTCAGTAAAAATCAAAAACTAACCCCCAAAAGCCCTGGACCAGAAGAATTAAATCCAAATTCTACTAGAAGTACAAAGAAGAGCTGGTACCAATTCACTTGAAATATTCCAAACAATTGAAGAGGAGGTACTCTAACGCATTCTACAAGGCCAGCATCAACCTGATAAGAAAACTTGGTAAGAAATACAATGAAAAAAAGAAAACCACATGCCAATATCCCTGAGGAACATAGATGCAAAAATTCTCAGTAAAATACCAGCAAACCAAATCCAGCAGCACATCAATTGTGATTCATCACAATCAAGTAGGCTTTATTCCTGGGAAGCAAAGTTGGTTCAACATTGCACAAATTAATAAATGTGATTCATCACATAAACAGAATTAAAAACAAAAACCATATCATCATCTTAATAGACACAGGAAAAACCTTCAATAAAATCCAACATCCTTTTATAATAAAAACCCTTGAGAAACTAGGCATTGAAGAAACATGCCTGAAAATAATAACAGCCATCTAGGACAAACCTGCAGCCAACATTGTACTGAATGGGAAAAAGCTGGAAGCATTTCCCTGGAGAACTAGAACAGGACAATAATGCCCATTCTCACCAATTCTATTCCACAACAGTACTGGAAACCCTAGCCAGAGCAATCAGGCAAAAGAAAGAAATAAAAGTTACCCAAATAGGAAAAGAAGCCAAATGAGATCTCTTTGCTGAGAATATGATTCCATACCTAGAAAACCCTAAAGACTCCACCGAAAAGGTTCTTGGAACTGACAGATGACTTCAGTAAAGTTTCAGGATACAAAATCAATGTCCAAAAATAAGTATTATTTCTATACAACAATAATATTCAAGCTGAAAGCCAAATCAAGAATGCAATCCTATTCACAATAGTCACACACAAAAATAGAAAATACTTAGAAATACATTAACCAAGGAGATGAAAGGTCTTTATGAGAAGAACTACAAAACATTACTGAAATAAATCAGAGATGACACAAAAAAATGGAAAAATAATTTATGGTCATGGATTGAAAGAATCAATATCATTAGAATGGCCACACTGCCCGAAGCAATCTACAGCATTAAAGCTATTCTTATCAAACTACCAACATTATTTTTCACAGAACTAGAAAAAAAACTACTCTAAAATTCATATGGAACCAAAAAAGGGCCTGAATAGCTGAAGCAGTCTGAAGCAAACAGAACAAAGCTAGAGGCATCTCATTGCTCAACTTTATACTATAAGGCTACAGTAACAAAAATACTGTGGTACTGGTACAAAAACAGGTACACAGACCAACAGAACAGAGATTCCAGAAATAAAGCCACACACCTAATACAGCCATCTGATCTTTGACAAAGTTGACAAAAATAAGGAACAGGGAAAGGACCCCCTACTCAATAAATGGTGCTGGGATAACTGGCTAGTTATATGCAGAAGAATAAAACTGAACCCCTCTCTTTCACTGTATACAAAAATTAACTCAAGATGGATTGAAGATTTAAATGTCATGCCTCAAACTATAAAAATCCTAGAAGAAAACATACAAAATACCATTTTGGACTTTGGCCTTGGGAAATAATTTATGACTAAGTCCTCAAAAGCAATTGCAACAAAAAAAAATTGACAAGTGATACCTAATAAAACTAATGAGCTTTCTGCACAACAAAAGAAACTATCAACAGAGTAAACAAACCACCTACAGAATGGCAGAAAATATTTGTAAACTATGCAACTGACAAAGGTCTAATATCCAGGATCTATAAGGAACTTAAACAATCCAACAAGCAAAAAACAACCCCATTAAAAAGTGGACAAAAGACATGAACAGACACTTCTTAAAAGACAAAATACAAGTGCGTGACAAACATATGAAAAAAATGCTCCACATCATGAATCATCAGAGAAATGCAAGTCAAAACCACAATAAAATGCCATCTCACACCAGTCAAAATGTATATTATTAAAAAGTCAAAAAATAACAGATGCTGGCAAGGCTACAGAAAAAGGGTAACACATATATTGTCGGTGGGAATGTAAATTAGTTAAGCCACTGTGGAAAAGAGTTTGGAGATCTTTCAAAGAAAAAACAATTACTATGTGACTCAGCAATCCCATTACTGGATATATATCCAAAAGAAAATAAATCATTCCACCAAAAACACACATGCACTCATATGTTCATTGCAGCACTGTTCACAACAGCAAAGACATGGAATCAACCTGGGTGCCCATCAATGGTGGGCTGAATAAAGGAAATGTGGTAATATACACCTTGGAATACTACACAACCATGAAAATGAATGAAATTATATCCTCTGCAGCATCATGGATAGAGCTGGAGGCCATTGTCCTAAGCAAATTAATGCAGGAACAGAAAACCAAATACCACATGATCTCATGTGTAAGTGGGAGCTAAACGTCAGATACTCGTAAACATAAAGATGGCAACAATAGACACGGGGGGCTATTAGAGGGAAGAGGAGGGAGGGGGCAAGGGCTGAAAAACTAACTGTTGGGTACCATGCTCCCCACCTGCGTGATGGGATCATTCATTCCCAAATCAGCATCGAACAATATACCTGTGTAAGAAACCTGTACACGTACCGCTTAATCTGGCCGTGTGAGGTGTCAGTCTGCCCCTACTGGGCAGTGCCTCCCAGTTAGGCTGCTCGGGGGTCAGGGGTCAGGGACCCACTTGAGGAGGCAGTCTGCCCGTTCTCAGATCTCCAGCTGCGTGCTGGGAGAACCACTGCTCTCTTCAAAGCTGTCAGACAGGAACATTTAAGTCTGCCGAAGTTACTGCTGTCTTTTTGTTTGTCTGTGCCCTGCCGCCAGAGGTGGAGCCTACGGAGGCAGGCAGGCCTCCTTGAGCTGTGGTGGGCTCCACCCAGTTCGAGCTTCCCCGGCTGCTTTGTTTACCTAAGCAAGCCTGGGCAATGGCGGGCGCCCCTCCCCCAGCCTGGCTGCCGCCTTGCAGTTTGATCTCAGACCGCTGTGCTAGCAATCAGCGAGACTCCGTGGGCGTAGGACCCTTGGAGCCAGGTGCGAGATATAATCTCCTGGTGCCCCGTTTTTTAAGCCCGTCGGAAAAGCGCAGTATTAGGGTGGGAGTAATCAGACTTTCCAGGTGCCGTCTGTCACCCCTTTCTTTGACTAGGAAAGGGAACTCTCTGACCCCTTGCGCTTCCCGAGTGAGGCAATGCCTCGCCCTGCTTCGGCTCGCGCATGATGCGCTGCACCCACTGTCCTGCACCTGCTGTCTGGCACTCCCTAGTGAGATGAACCCGGTACCTCCTAAAATAAAAGTTGAAAGTATAAAAGAAGGAAAAAGAGAAAATAAAAAACAATGATATGTTAATTTTTACCATCAGAATTAATCTGCAGAGATAATCTGTAGTGAATTTGTGTATGTGTACACATTGTGACTCTTGAGAAAAATCATTCTACATATACACAAAGAGATTGTCCAGAATTGTTAATCAAATCAAAGAGTGCGAAACAATGTAAATGTCTGTAAATAGGGACTTGATAGGTACAATGTGGTATTACAAATGATGGAATGCTATGCAGCAGTGAAAAGGAAACTAGTATATCTACAGGGGACAGCATGGACAACTCACAATATTCTGAATGAATATTGTGAAGAAACGTGAAGAGATGAAAAGCCCAAAGCCATCATGTAAATTGTATTCACATAGCTTATGGTGACATCATGGATTGGGGTGAAGATGAGGTGATATTAGACATAATACAAAGGGATAAAAGGAAGGAAAATAAAAGGTGAAAATAAATTTAAAACAGAATGCAAGAAGCATAAATTATACTGTGTCATAAACTGTGGCTGATTGCACCAACTCTATGCACTTGAACCCTAAAAGAATAAGATAATCTCCCAGATAACACAAGAAAATAACAAAACTGTTTTTCATTTCCTTTAAATTGCAATGTATAAAGCTAGGTCACATAAAAATAAACAAATTGGAGAAAGCAAGAACTAAATCAGAATAACATCATTTATAACATACCTTTTTTGCTGGATCTTGATGAGCTCAATCTTTATCTTATCTTAGTTTTTGAGTATTTGATTGAAATCAAATATGATTACATCTGCTTCAGTTTGGAAGAGGCCATGATTTTTTGACTTCTAGAGGTCTAAGTGTCAGAAAAATTGACCAGATTTATTTTTTATCAATCTAAAACTTCTAGTTTTGCTCCTACAGTGTAATTATATAGCTTATGAAAATATACAGAAATACTTTTTTATCTATAGAGTTTTGTATAATCATATTAACTAGTCAAATCTTGTATGAAACCTAATAAACAGAATATTCTTGACTAATACTCAGAACGGCTTCTTATTTCATTAGTAGAGATATGAATTTTTATTGTTACTGCAGCTCTAATTTAATGAATAATCAATTTTGGCAACTAAAATTCTATTATTTCACCCTGAAAAAAACTACCAACACAATTTTATTGATATTATTAGCACCATGTCAGATTCCTGGAAAATTAAAAAATGCTGTACAAACTACAACTATAATCACAATTTTCATATCACTGTAACTTACTAAACTTGTAGACAAACTAGTTTTCCTTAATTCATTTTAACAGCAAAAGTCGTGATGAATTGCAAAAGGCCATGATTTTTAGGTAGAGCAAATCTGCAAACGTTTACAATCCATTGATCAACAGGTCACACACCGGAAGTAGTTAATATTAATGCAACATATCTATGCTTTTTACTTGTGCCGTTTTTTTGTTTCATTTTGAGCAAATCAAAGAAAGTCTGTAGAATGTGGTGGTTAGCAGCGTCAACTTTGGAGCCACATTCAAATAGTCACTCCCCACTTAACAATCTGGGTCACGGTGCATAAGATGTTTGATCTTTCTGTGCCCCAGCTTCCTCATGTGTTAAATTGGCCAATTGTCCTTACAGTCTCCTATTAGGGTTCACTTAACTGGTGCCCAGAATATTGTGAAAAGAGTCAGAGAATCCAGCAAAATGCAGCTTAGCCAAAAACATCTCACCACCAGATGCCTCTCCCTTAACACAAACCTCTCCCAGAGTTCCTCAGAGCAGGCAGGGCTGTGATACACTCCAATTCGCTGCAGTTGGCAAGCAAAATGAGCAACATCTGGCACTAATTACCTCACTGCCACACACTGGTCAGCAGTGAACCACCCTGATGACTTTGTTAGTAGTGACCAGCTGCAGAGCATATTGCCTTTCATCAGGGTCAAGAATTCTATGTTGCTGCTGGGCAGAGTGGATGTTTCAGGTGCCCAAGGGTTGACTCACACAGTTGCAGGTGTGGTCTATTAAGGTAGGCAGGGACTCTAGGCAGGTGCAACAGCCTTGATCCCTGTATTTCTGTCCTCACATATATTAGTTTGTCCTTTCATGGTGAATACACCCCTTTTTATATTTATGTTAGCTTCAGGATATTGCCCTAACAATGCATGCATATCCTCAGATTAGATCTTCATCAATAATTTTAAATAGTTGAATTGACAATGTTGAATTAGATTCAAAATCCATTCCCATTTTCAGAAGCAATTTCAACATTAATTTGTCAATGAAATAAAAAGAGCTGTTCAAATCTTTAAATATGATTTTAACTGTGGTATTTTTTTCTGCAAGCTTATTATGAACAAAGTTTTAGTGATGTTCACATCCAGAACTTTAAAATATCATCATTTAAAACTTGACCAGGAACTGCATCTTACCATTTCAGGCACAAGATTAGATATTAAAAAGACATGTTCAGTCCGGGCACAGTGGCTCATGCCTGTAATCCCAGCACTTTGGGAGGCTGAGGTGCGTGGATCATTTGAGGTCAGGAGTTCGAGACCAGCCTGGCCAACACGGTGAACCCCGCCTCTACTAAAAATACAAAAATTAGCCGGGTGTGGCGATGGGCACCTGTAGTCCCAGCTACCCGGGAGGCTGAGGCAGGAGAATTGTTTGAACCCAGGAGACGGAGGTTTCAGTGAGCCAAGATTGCACCACTGCACTCCAGCCTGGGCGACAGAGTGAGACTCCATCTCAAAAAAAAAAAAAACAGACATGTTCAGAGAAACAAATTTAAATTTTGAAAAGCTGAGATTTGACTGTTGTATAGACATTAATTATACACTATATGACCAAACATTTTTTCTAATAATTAATATAAAGAAAGTGCAATGAAAATTTTTTGTTTACCAAATACCACGTGGATATCTCTAGCATGACCCAATCCCCCATGTATTTCCTCCATTTTTCCATAGAAATGTTATTTTTCTTGTGTGCCATGCCTCAATAATTGGGGGAAGTATTTAACCAAAGTATGGTAGAAGCCAAAACTGGAATGCACAGCAAACATTAGAGCAGGAAAGTAGATGTAAATTACTAATAAGGGAAAATGTCCAAGCATAGTAGACATTGCTAGTTCTTACCAATATACTGGGTTCTTCTTTTCTTCCTGGGCATTTGGGAGGCTGCATGTCTCATCATTCTCACAGTTGGGAATGAACGATCATCTAGTTCTGGATAATACTATGTGAGAAGACATGACATGTATCACTTCTGGTGTGAGATTTTCCAGTTTTCTGTTTTTCTCTGCCTTGCAACTAACAGCATTCCAGATGGTGGAGCATCAGTCACTCTGGACCCTTGAGTGAGAGACTATATGGACAAAGGAGCTGTCCTCAAACCCAATGATCTGCAGCACATCTAAACATTTAAGTGTAAATCCACTGATAAAGGTTATTTGTTCTCTCAGCATAAACCTAGCATATCCTGACAAACTCATCAAAATATTAAATAAAAAATTGTAAAATTCATTGGGGCTTATATCTAGACTAAATTAAGAATTGTTAAAAGATAATAGAAAAAAACAGATGATCCAGTAAAATTATGGGCAAGTATCTTGAACACAAAAGAAGATACACAAATGCTCAATAAATGTATAGAAAGGTGCTTAACTTTAGTAATGAAAGACATGCAAATAAAAACGTAACAAAAGACCACAAATATACCATAATGACTACATGAGACAAATGCAATCCCACATGCTAGCAAGGTTACGAAGCAATGGAAACTCTGGCAGAAATGTAAATTGGACCAATCCTTTTGCCAAACTGTTTGGCATCATTTACTAAATTTGAATCTATTTAGTTCAATAGCTGAGCCTATGACTCAGCTATTCCATTGCTAAGAATCAACTACATATCGATGAAAAAGATCCAACACCTGGAAATAAAAGTAGACTAAATAATTAAAGAGTGGTGTGTTCACATACTAGTATATTTATTATTCGTCAATAAAGGCAAACAAACTATAGCAAGACAAAATTACATAAATAAAGTGCATAATATAACATTGACTAAAAAAGCCATAAGCAGAAAAAGACATATTTTTCCTTTTCATACATTTCAAAACTTGCAAAGTGTCCATTCTGTTGGAAGTCAGAATCGTGTTACCATTGATGAAGAGATAGAAGTAGTGATTGTGCATGAGCAATTGCATGAGGCACTTCCTCATCCTTCAATATTACTATCCTTCCTTGAGTGGTGGTTACCGGGGTGTTCATTCTGTTATAATTTACAGTGGGGAATATTTGTTCTGCACATGTTTTCTGTATGTTTGTTATTCTTAAAGAGCCAGGAATGTTACTAATGCAAAAACTCCTTCTGATAAATATGTGGGTAGGCAAAGAATATAGTGTGAGAGTATGCATTTCAAGTGAATTATACTGTATGGTAAAATTATAGATGGTTTTATGTTCTTCTTCATATTTTTAATTTTATATATTTTATTATACCTTTTTTAATTTGAAAGGAAGTGAAACTATTATATATAAAATAAATACCTCAACCTTACGGCAGGCTACAAAATTTCCTTCATAGTTTTCTTCAACTTAAACCTCCTTTCAGTTATTCTTATTTTTCAGAGGCATTGCATTTAATATAACATTTAAAAATGTATCTTTGCATTTCTGTTTGATTCAATTTTACTACTGTTTCAGACATAAATGTCCTACTGCATGATCAGTAATTTATTTCAACTTTATTCAAAGAATTAGTAGGCTTGGCTGGAAACTGAGCCACCATTTTTATTAGTTTCTATTAGAAAATGCATTCTGAGTTATTAAGAGTGATAAAAACAAACTTTTAGAACTTAAAACTCCTCGGTAAGTTGAAATCTTTGCTTTTAATAAATTGTTTATGTGAATATCTCCAACAGTTTGTGCCATAGGAAAGCAAATCTGTTAAGTGTATATAAATGCATATTGTACATTTTATTTCACCCTCTTAGTTTGGCTGTGTCTGGTGATTTTTGTTGTCTTAGGACACATTTTGTCATAAGAAGGTTATAGCTGAAGTAGTAGTTTTCAAAATACATTTGTGAAGATTATTTCTGAGAGATGTTACACAAGCGCGAACACACACACACACACACACACCCCACTTGTTTTCAGAAGTATTGGGGAAGTGATGTACTCTCTAGCTTCCCTTGGAGATTGACAGGTCTCATTAGAATATGTAGGACTGTAAATAGCCCTGCAAACAAATGAGCCTTCTTTATTGACTTTAACACATTCTTCCCCACATTTATTTAAAACAGAACATTTTCCCCGCTGACTACAGCTTTCAATATTCCCAGTTCATGAAATCCTGGCTCACATCTAAGGCATATTCGGTGCGGTCATCTGTGATCATCAAGCATGATGCCCCATTTCGTCTCTGCCTAAAACACATTTGAGTAATCTTTGCCAGAAATCTGAAGAATGAGGATTCTCATCTTTTTCCTCTCCTTCCCTAAAATGCCTTTGTTTTATGCAGTTTTAACCACAGTGGAAAAGCCAGTAAGTGTTCTAGGGAACATTGTTATACAGCCTTTGTCCTACATTGTCTCCCACTACACCCGCGTTTCTGTGCCACTTCTGGAGACCTGCATCTCCCCTGCTGCCAATCAGGGCCCAGCACCACCCCACAGCCTCACCGCTGATGATCAGCACGCCCCTCCAGGGCCCATCCAGCCTTTTTCCTGTGGGATCTATTATTTAAAAGGACCCTTTCATCTTCTCATCTACTCTATTAAAACTTCCATTTTCTGGGTATGGTTGTTTGGAGAAAATCATTTTCACAATTTCACATAGTGAGAGATAGCATAGCCTAATGCATTTTTCCCCCCTAGAACGGTAGCTTTTTACTTCCTTTTTTTTTTTTGCAAAGACCAAGACTTCTAAGTTTAGAATTAGAGCTAGAAAGATAATCAAGCAGATTTTATCAGGAAAGAACCTGGGGAGATATTTTTCAGAATCAATGTATCAGACCATAGAGGAGTGACAAGCTCCAACCTCTGTACTGGGTTAACTTGGATTCCAATGGCATTGGCTTGGACAACACGACCCACCTGTAGTAGGTATATTTCCACTTATACTTGCACTGCTTAGAACAGGGATTGGAAACTATGGCCCAAAGCCTGTTTTGGGCCAGCCCATGAGCTGATAATGGTTTTAACATTTTTCTATAGTGGAGAAAAATATCAAAAGAAGAATGATATTTTGCAAAGCATGAAAGTTATATAAAATTTATATTTCAGTGTCTACAAATAAAGTTTTATTGGAACATAGCTAATGGTCATTTGTTTTTGCGTTGCCTGAAGCTACATTTGCATTACAGCTGCAGAGTCTGTAGTTGTGACAGAGACCGTATGTATGGCTGCCAAGCCTAAAATATTTACAACCTGGCCCTTTACACAAAAGTTTGCATACTCTAACCTAGAAGAGAGAAAAACATCAAAATGGAGCTGCTGCAGGGCCGCCTCACCTCACCGCTTTCTGATCTAGAATAACACTGTGTGCCTTCTACCTTCACACTAACTTTAACATGTAGGTCCCTCAGGGAACAGTTTTTTGGTTTTTTGTTTTTTTTTCCATTTGCTTCTTGAGGTCTTAAACTTTTTATTTTATAAATTTGCCAATGTAACACTTGCTTTTCACGACAAATTAGAGTTAAGAGATGGTTTTAGAAAAAAAGTAAAACCTTTTTTACAAACCTGTGAAATTCCTCTACCAGAAGTAAGCAACATTAACGATTTGATATATATTATTCCACAAGTTGCTCTATGCTTAATCAAACAGAGACGAACATGTACAGCGTAGAATAATTCACTCCTTGAAAGTAAAGCTAATCTGGAGAGCAAAAAGGCAAACTTGGATAAAAAGTTATGGACATATAACTTATAACATATAACATATATACATACTTATAACCTGTAACACATATACACACGATACACAAACAACACTCCATATTTTATAAAAAGATTTATAACTAATGTACAGTCATTAAAACACACATGTATACACACACAAAACCAATACTCCACACTTATATAAAGGGCAGCCACTGATGGATTTTTTATAACCGATTGTTTTTAGTTGTTCCTAATAGTTTAGGATGTACCATGATTATGTAGCCATTCACTTTTGGTTATACATGCATTTTTCTTTCTTCCTCCTAATCTAGCTGTGATAAACACATTATGTATAAATCCTTACACACTGGAGATTTTATTTCTGTAAGATAGAATCCCCAATGTGTCAAAAGGTTTGTGCATAGGAAGGGTAGAGGGGGGTTGAGGGTGAGTTGGGAATGGTTAAATGCAACAAGAAGTGGAACATATGAATAAGGGTTATAATTTGTATATTTAAAAATAACTAAATTAATATAATTGGATTGTTTGTAACGCAAAGGATAAATGCTTGAGAGAATGGATACCCCACTTTCCATGAGGTGATTATTACACATTGCATGCCTGTATCCCATATAACCCATAAATACCTACACTTACTATGTACCCACAAAATTTAAAAGTACAAAATAATTTTTAAAAGGTTTGAGGCAGGAGAATACGGTTTGGAGGCAGGGAACCAAAGGCTGGTTCACACTGACTTCCTGGAACTAAATCAGAAGGAAAACCCCAATTTTCCACACCCAAGTAACAAAAACAGAGGTTATTCCCTTTTTCAGGTCCCCCCTTTTCTGAGTCGCAGATGAGAAATGGAAAGCACCTCTGGTCTCCTCCTGCAATCAATCAGACATTTGCATAGGGTGTAACTTCGTAACTTTACTTCAGCCTCTTATTGGTCGCCTTCGTAACCAATCAGACTGTTGAAGGGCCACTCCTTCATTTACATAGGGTAAATGAACGAACCAACGGGAAACCTCTAGAGGGTATTTAAACCCCCAGAAAATTCTGTAACCAGAGCTCTCAAGGCACTTGCTTGAGCCAGGTCTCACTCTGTGGAGTGTACTTTTAAAGAAATTAAAATACATTTTATTACATCTTGATTTATTTTTTGAAAAAGTCAGTATTACAGTGATATCAAATCTCTGTTCATATTAATTTAATGCCCCTCCTTGATTTATTTGACAGTATCTGTGGCAAATTTAACCTTGGTTGAAATTATTATTGCAATTCAGTTTTCTTTTGTTATAAATTGACTAATATAATATTTTCATTCTTTTAATTTAGCTGAGGTATTTATTTTTAGTTGAGTCGACTGTATAAAACACATAGCTAATTTTAGTTTATGCAGCCAGGTATGAGTGTTTATGTTTAAATAGACAAATTTACTCCCCATTTAAAATTATCAGTAAAACATATCTGACTAGTATTAATTTCTTAATCTAATCTTATGTGTCTATTTCCTGAGTTTGGTAAATAAGACTTTCGATAGTAACCTCAGATAGTGATATCTAAATCCATCTGGAATCCAGATTGCAGAAAATAAGTAAGGACATTTTGGATACTAAAGCATTTATCAAATATTTGTCTGAAATTATTTAGTCCCAAAGTTTGGATAGGAAGATTTCTAACTTCTATAGATACCTGTATGTGATTGCTTTACAATGGTGAGCAATATCAGAAGTTTCAATATAGGTACAACGAGAAGTTGACACAGAGTGTTACATTTCAGAGAAATGTCAGTGATTTATTTTATGAGCCAATTTCTGCAGTAGAACAACTCACACCACTTCAGGATTTATACTGAAATTAAGTTGACAAGGCGTTTAAGAAAAGCCAAGTCTCATAGGTAAAGGAGACGCAGTTCCCAAGAATACGTGCACCTCTAATACACAGTTTCTTTGTGTTACCAACTTCCACAGGAATAAAAATCTCTGACTAAGGAAAAATTGCCACCAGCTTTTGATCACAATTCTTACACATTTTATGGATTAAAATAGAGCTTAAAATAGCTCTATCTATCTATCTATCTATCATCTAACATCCATCTAGTGATGGACAGCTTACAGCACATTCCTAGTAGATGCTAAAGGACAGCACACACTCTCCAATGTTCATTATTTGGTTGTTAATTATTTTTAAGGCCCTCTGAAGTTCCTATGAATAACTAATATAATATTACAATTTTTAAAGACAGACACACAATACTCCACACTTTTATAAAAAGATTTTTAACTAATGTATAGTAATTAAAACACACATATATACACACACAAAACCAATACTCCACACTTTTAGTAAAGAGCAGCCACTGATCGAATTTTTATAACCCATTGTTTTTAGTTGTTCCTAATAGTTTAGGACGTACCATGATTCATGTAGTCATTCACTTTTGGATATACATGCATTTTTCTTTCTTCCTTCTAATCTAGCTGTGATAAACACATTATGTATAAATCCTTACACACTGGATATTTTAGACACACTATAAAATTATATTATTTTGGCCCATTTACCAACCTTTATTCGAGGAGAAACAATTCATCAGTTGTTTAGGAAAGTGATAATCCATACATTGTCTACATCAGCCCAATTTCAGATAATAAAGTTGGGAAATTATCTGATATCATCTTTATATGCATGAAAATAAATTGTAAAAACTTCTTCAAAAGTAAGTAAAATTTGAGAATTATAAAACTGTGACTCTATAATTACAAACCTATGACAGAATTACAAAAGGAAGCATGATTTTATCTAGTTACTTATATATAGTATCAGAAGTAGTTGCTAATTTGTTTCTGCTAGATGATAGCCTCTTGGAGATAAAACGAATACATTTTTTAAAAGGATAAACAAATGAGTACAGAAAAAATGTCATTAGCATATTTATATGTACATTGATCTTGCTAATGTAGCTTTAAGGGTTTACCTTTTTTTTTTTTTTGAGACAGAGTTTCACTCTTGTTGCCCAGGCTGGAGTGCAGTGGCGCAATCTCGGCTCACTGCACCTCCACCTCCTGGGTTCAAGCAATTCTCCTGCCTCAGCCTTCCAAGTAGCTGAGATTACAGGCATGTGCCACCACGCCTGGCTAATTTTTTTTTTTTTTTTTTTTTTTTAAGTAGAGACAGGGTTTCTCCATGTTGATCAGGCTGCTCTCGAACTCCCGACCTCAGGTGATTTGCCTGCCTCGGCCTCCCAAAGTGCTGGGATTACAGGCGTGAGCCACCTTGCCTGGCCAAGAGTTTACCTTCTTGAATTGGTTTGCAGTCTTTTCTTTCATCCATAATCTAATTTACTTTATAGTTAGTTTATTAATCATTATTCTTATGACATAATGTTAAGTGTTCAATAATAGTTTCAAAAGAACTACAGTTTAAATTGAGAATCCTTTAGGTTTTAACGTGTATATAAAATGGCTTTGAGCAAATTCAGAAAATGCCACAAATAAATGGTACTGCTACATTTTCCAGTTTATTTGAAGGGAAGCAATATTAAACTGGGTTATGTAAGGTGTTCAGAAAGAATGCTGTGTAAGGAAATATGGCACATAATTAGAGCTGCCAGATAAAATACAGTATGCCAAATATTACGTGGGACACATATATATGAAAAAATATTTGTTATTCATCTGAAATTCAAGAGTGACTAGGCATCCTATATTTTTATTTGATAGATCTGGCAATCCTACATATAATACCAGTATAGAATTGTTTTGTTCAGAGCACATACAGCATGTAGTAAATGTTCAAAATGTATTGAGTATACTAATAAAAATGATAATTGTTGACAAAATTTGAAAATTTGACCAAATTTGAAAAGAATACCCAAATGTGCATTACACATTGTATGAAATAAACAATGGTTAAAAAAATAACCTCAAGCATTATTAAGAATAATATTAGTTCTTAGGGACTAATTTCAATCTATAGATGTATAATACATTGTTTAGATATTTGCAAAGAAGAGTTCTTCAAGAATCAATGGAAGGCAACATTTTCTGTAAACAGATGAAAAGTGGGAATAGCTATGGAACCAGGCCAAGCTAAAAGGTACAGCCAGCTAACCAAAGTGCTTTTAATTATTTCTTCGGGAATGTTAAGGAACATGTTAAAGAGAGTGCTTTAAATATGTAATTTAAGGATTTATTGCAAAGAAGTTTTGCTCACATGGACCTTATACTTTTAAAATGTAATATTTAAATATTGCAAACCTGAGCCTGCTGGTGTGTTTTCAAGGCAGGGCTTTAAGAGTGTAAGCACAAAGGCTAATAAGGATAAATTCAATATTCTGCTTTTCGAGACCATTTTTTTTTCCTCATGCAAGATGAAACCAAATCTCATAAAGATTACATAATCACATTAATGATCTAGTTAAGGGTATTCCTGAGACCCAGGTTACCTGACCCCAAAACTTGTGCTCTTTCCATAACATGATAAATATAACGCAGAAGAGATTTTAATCTCAGGAATAACTTAGTGCTTGAGAGTTTACTAAATATTATCATTTGATGCTTCAGATCTTCTATGTTATCACTCCCTATTCTTATTCATCTACAAACTCTCAAAAGTTGAATTAAGAAATTAGCTTCTGGAAAGTTGGTGCCAATGAGTTATTCTATCAGGTTCTTGGGGCGTGGGGTAGAAAATAATATTTCTTAGGAGTCCCAAGGTCAGGAAGAATAGGATTATTATGTCATTTAGCAGTAGCTAGCAGGGACTACTTAGAAATTAAATTTCATTCAGATTTTTATCTTTCCTTGTCCATTTATTTGATGAGCATCAAGTCAGTTTTCATTTGTCCCAGGTCTCCAGTATACAGTTTTGATAGGCTCATTGTTCCTTATGATTGAATAATCATATTTTGGTGTCCTTTCCTGTTGTTATTTTTTTTTAAATTCTTTGTATGGCATATCTAATCCTTAAGCTTGTTTCCTGCAGCCTGACTCGTCTTGTTTTAGTTGCTTTCAGTCAACTAAAATTTACCAGATGTTTTTCCATTTGTTGCCATATAGTAATACCTAAAAAGACTGCAAAGAAAACCTTACAATGTTTCTAAGTAGTAGCTCTTCTGAGTGGGGAAGAGAACTTGGAGAATATTGGAGAAATCTAATATAGGGCAGGGGGACAGCAGAGATAAAATCTTCTTCACAGCTCATTTAGCAAATTACGCCGTATGACCATTGAATAAGAATTTCATTTTTGCAAAGATTATTTAAATAACTTCTCTGATGTTCTCGTCCTGCAGTGTACACCATTAGTCCTTCCTCAGGGACGTGATCACCTTTAGTGACAGGAAATCCCAATTTCCATAAAATCAGCCCATTCTTCCACCTGTCAGCTCTGACCATACCCTCTTTAACTTGAAATTGAAGGATTATTTCTGGCAAAACAAATAGCAAGAACAAAAGACACAGAGGTAAGAAACCTCATTATATATTTTAGGAGTGGACATTTGTGTCATTCTTTTTTTTTATTATTATTATTATACTTTAAGTTTTAGGGTACATGTGCACAACGTGCAGGTTTTGTTACATATGTATACATGTGCCATGTTTGAAATGATGAGGGTGTGTTGTAATAAGATTTCTCATGGAGCACTTTATAAGTAAATCACCAACAGAAATAGAATTCTGATATTTCACTGGATTAGTTTCATTTCTATTAACTAAGACATGCATGTGTCCTTGTAAAATATGTGCACACAGCCCCCACCCTGACTTCCATGTATGGTTTGTTTTTAAACATACATTGGTGAGTAGCTTTCGTGTTAGCCAGTTCTCATTAAACTCACGGTAAAAGAGACAGTTGGTGTTGTGGCTTTGATGGAATGTTCACACGAGTGTCCCTGTTATTCTAACTTAAGATTCAAATGTGGTTTTGTGGTTTCGAAAGCATGAGGTCCTTTTGATATCTTACCATGAACATCAGATTGAGAAGGAAGTTTTTGATAACTTACCAGTTGAAACACTGTAATGTCAACACAGTGTGTTTCTTATTCTCAGAATATTTGGTGTTATGGTAAGGCAGCTCAAATCTTCTCTGGCAAAATTTCTTTTCTTTTTTGTTTTAGCTATTTATCTTCTAGTTATTTTCCATCTTTACCCTTTCTAGTACCTACAGACTTTCTTCTTTATTCTAATCTTTCAACTCTGTTTACAAAAATAATTTTAATATAAATGGGAAATGTTACATGCGGTCATTTAGAAAAATTAGAAAATATTTAAAATGAAGAAAAAAGTCACCTGTAATATCACCACCTGAGATAAGTATTGCTATCATTTTGATGTACTTAAAACATAGATTGTGTGTAATCCCAGCACTTTGGGAGTTCAAGGCGGGCAGATCACGAGGTCAGGAGATCGAGACCATCTTGGCCAACATGGTGAAACCTCATCTCTACTAAAATACAAAAAATTAGCGGGCGTGGTGGCGCACGCCTGTAATCCCAGTTACTCAGGAGGCTGAGGCAGGGGAATCGCTTGAACCCAGGAGGCGTATGTTGCAATGGCTGAGACTGCCCTCCAGCCTGGCAACAGAGCAAGACTCTGTCTCAACAACAACAAAAAAACATGGATTGTGATATAATCATCTTTTATTCACTTAACACATTTTGTGAGTACATTTGTCAATTGCTGAACATAATTCTATCTTGTAACTTTAAAGCCAAATTACATCCGTTGTATGGGTATTCTTTTAACCAATCTCCATTGTTGTACATATGTCTTTGAATAAAACTCTTGTAATTTTTATTAGCGTTTTTTTCTAATAAGTAAGAAGGGACATTTTAAAGCTTTATGAAATCAATTCTAAATCATTTTTATAATAACTCTTTTTATGTTTTTCCCTTTAATTATATAATGTATTCCTTATAATAAAATGTTGTTAAAAGCTTATATTGATTATAGCCATCATTAATTAGTAACATGTATTTTCCTAATAATTATTATACTGTACTATACCAACAATTACTAACAAAAGAAGGAGTTTTGTTTAGTCTTTGTGCAATAGTAATTATTAGTATAATACATATATGACATAATAATTAATAAGGCACAGACCATCTTTTTAGCCTAAGTGTTGAAGTGTGGAGTATAATAGGTCCACATTTTTGTTCAATACATGGTTGAATATAAATGATAAAAATCTTAATTTGAGAAAATAATTTGAATTCTGGATTTCTAAATGTTTTCTTCGTATATTTAATACACAATATAAAAATTATCAAGAACACTTATTGAAAGAGGTTTGTTTGAGAGAGATCCATTTTTCTCTAATTGAATTCATAGTGAGGAACATAGTATTGAAAGTTATTTTCTGCTATTTTCTCATAATCAGGATAAAGCACAAATGGATATGACAGGAGACATCATCTGGGTGCCAAATGCTGGCAAAAACAATTACCAGCTGTTTTTATACACTTGCAGCTCATCACCAGTCTGAGGGGACACAGAAGTCAATTCCTAAATTCTTCTCTATTAACAATCTAAAAAGGCAAATTCATAATTGGAAGAGGATGCTTCTTGTATGTCTACTCTAAACATGGGGGAATTATTAAACAACAATTAAAAATAAGGCAGTATTTTTTTAAAAGCTACTTTTTTAACTTCCCTTTACAAAAGTAACATTGAAGAAATTACAGATAAGAAAAAATAGATTACATAATCTCTACTAACATATTGCTTCAAATTCCCAACTTCATCCCTAATATATTTATATACATGGATCAAAAATATAATTATGTATCTCTAATGGATTTTTAAAAATTTTTATTTTGTGGGAACACTTAAGGTTATATCTACCCTCCTAACAATTTTAAGTGTACAATACAGTATTGTTAACTACAAGCATAATACATTTTTAATAAGAAAACATATTAGTAAGATAATTTTTAATTGTTCATATTTCTTTTCTCTATAGATAAAAGCAGTGCCAGAGACATAATATAAAATTTGTGTATTTTGAATGAAAAATAAGATAAACAATTGTTAATGAACTTAATACTTATATAATCAACATATGTTCTTTCGTCATAGACAACTTGAGCACAAGTGGGCATTGTTTGATTAAGAACATCATGTTTCTTTCCTTCCTGCCTCTAGGGAAGATGGATAGTTAGGGAAGCAGGGTTGCTTCTTGCCCAGGAGAGAGGCTGCATTTGAATCACAACATGAAGCAGAAAGCATGGTTATTTACCCTCAGAAAGTATAAAGTCATGTAAAAAAGCCAGTGTCAAATCTCTTTTCACAAAACAAGGTTTTGCCTCCAGGAATCAACTCAAATATTAGTTTTAGAGATTTCTATCTGTCCCTGTCTTTACTTTTTCTATTGTTCCCAGATATTGCTGAGTTCACAGTCTGTTTAGCACTTGGCAGGGATTATTTAGCGTAGTGGCAGGTGTCTAGTGATAGCTCTACTGCTTTCCTTTTTCTGCAATAACTGTTGTCAGTGCCTGAAGCTCCTGAATGAAAACTTAAAAAAAAAAAAAAATAGAAAGGTAAGAAGACCTGTAGTGACAATTTTAGGTCCACTGGGGGCAATCACATCACAGCTCTCTTCACAGCCAGAGAAACGGTGACACTTCACACCAAGACCTTTAGAACTTTGGAAAGCCCAGAAATCTTTCAGAAGGGTCAACCTAAACTGATGTTTGAAATTCAGGCTTGAGTCCAAAAGGGATTGGCCCAAATCCGCATGGCATATATTGCCTGTTACTTTTGTAACATGTTCTTTGTTCCATAATGAATGCTGAAGAAGAAGAAGAAGGAGAAGGAGAAGGAAGAAGAAGAAGAAGAAGAAGAAGAAGAGGAAGAAGAAGAAGAAGAAGAAGAAGAAGAAGAAGAAGAAGAAGAAGAAGAAGAAGAAGAGGAAGAGGAAGAGGAAGAGGAAGAGGAGAAGGAAGAAGAAGAAGAAGAAGAAGAAGAGGAAGAGGAAGAGGAAGAGGAAGACCATTTGCACCTAGCTGTTTTCTCCTATTAATTACTGTTTCTGAAAAGTGCCTTGGCAGAAAATGTTTTTGATCTTTATCAACTTGGCACAGTGTTAATCTCCAAATCACAGGAATTTCTACACAATATAAACATCTTGAGAAAAGAATGCAGAGATTAAAGAAAAAAATTCTATAATGGACAACACTACATACACGGATGTTAAATACAGATATTATCACTTGGAATAATTCTGTTGCAGTTAGAGATTTGGATACTGATTTACATATGGATGGACAAGGGATTGAGGGATAGAGAAAAGAGGGGGAATTCTAGATGTATCTGAAGAGTTCATCTATTGCTATGGAAACAGATACATCCTAGCAACAGCTGCTTGGTACGTAGCTGACATGCAGAGCTTAAGCCCTCAAACAAGAGAAAAATGAGCCACAAAGAAATCTTTAGAATACACAGCATTTATATTTCAAAAGTTTTAAATGGACAATTGAAAATTCATACATATGTCAAAATAATAAAGTTACAGAAATTTCATTTTATTACCATCATAGAATGCAGCATATTATTTGATATATTAACTACTATTCTGATTACAAGATAACATGTCATATATCAGAGAGTCAATACTAGTTGAACTTTTTTTGCTGAGTCTAGAAGACAGTATTCAACCGTACTTTTAATATACATGGTTTGTCCTCAGCAATTCTTAGACTCTTATCAGTATAAAATATGACAAACATCCCTCTGTAAAAGAAGGAGAAAATTCAGATGACTTGAGAATTTTATTGAGGTTCGAAAAATATTGTGATTATATCTTTTTTAGTAAATAGAATATCTTTTGTATGCATTAAATGTTCTGGATAAGTACTTTAACCACGTACTTCTTACATGCTTAAATAACCATTTATTTCTATAAAATGAAAGTAACCAAATACTTATCATAATTTTGTATCATTTTGTATGAGTGGTGTGTGTGTGTGTGTGTGTGTGTGTGTGTGTGTGTGTGTGTATCTGTGGCAAAGTTTCTAGGAAGCAGAGTACATTTTTATGTGACTTT
This sequence comes from Homo sapiens, assembly GCF_000001405.40. NCBI lineage: Eukaryota > Metazoa > Chordata > Mammalia > Primates > Hominidae > Homo > Homo sapiens. The sequence continues at coordinate 153,962,068 of NC_000006.12, read as the reverse complement.
CAATTACAACATAAAAAGTAATGAAATTAACATTAAAGGTCTCTTAATCCTGAACTGTCATATTTGCTGGATCACAGAAGATTACATCTGGAGTAGATCAAACTCTTATTCTAACAAAAATTAATACCCAGAGCATGAAGAAGTTTAGCTGGCTTTTTATTTTCCCAAAAGAAATAATTTCTTCCCTACATAGGTCTGTGGCTCTATGTGTGAGATTTCTTTTTTTCTTTTTTCCTTTTTTTTTTTTGAGACGGAATCTTGCTCTGTCGCCCAGGCTGGCGTGCAGTGGTGCGATCTTGGCTCACTGCAAGCTCTGCCTCCCGAGTTCTCGCCATTCTCCTGCCTCAGCCTCCCGAGTGGCTGGGACTACAGGTGCCCGCCACCACGCCCAGCTAATTTTTTGTATTTTTAGTAGAGATGGGGTTTCACCGTGTTAGCCAGGATGGTCTCGATCTCCTGATCTCATGATCTGCCCGCCTTGGCCTCCCAAAGTGCTGGGATTACAGGTGTGAGCCACTGCGCCCGGCCTATGTGTGAGATTTCTTAGCCAGAATCTCATCAAATATAATTATAAAGCAAAGAATTCTACTATAATTATTCATTCATTAAAGCAGATACCATCATAAAGAGTAGGAGAAAGATACTCTAACCATAATAAACTGTAAGAAAAGGGAAGCTTGGAGGACTTCTCATTAAGATAATTTATAATTTTTAAAGCATCTTATATACAGATAAAATAATTGGAAGTCGAAGCCATTTTTGGTATCTGGTCATGAGTCCTGGAGGTAAACATCTCTGATTTGTATTGTGTCGCTTAGCCAAACCATATTTTTTGCTCTTTGTATTGTCTATAATAGGGAATCAAAGAATGGGTCTTTTATTGTCCCTCTGTGCAAAAATTCATCTGCATGTGATATATACCAGTGCCAACTGGAATTTATAGTAACACATATTACATATGCCTCTAAATAAAAAATGATATCAAATAGGTCATTAAACTGAATTTAAATATTCAGATCACCTCAGAACTCGGAATGATGCTGACCCCCAAGAAGCAGACACAGCTTCCTTTGTGGCAGGACAAGTTTCTGATCTCACAGACTTGTCATAACTTGTATTGTGGCTGTGCCTGAACCATGGTGCAATGGTTGGTAACTACTTAAAGACAGTGCCAGCCCCCCACCCTCTCAGATTCAGTGAATTGAGGCAAATAGGCTTTTTGAACTTGAAGACCTTCCTTGGTGACCAAATGTGGGCTTGGGCTTTAGCTTTCTTTACTTTCCCTTAGCTTTGGAAAGCAGCACAGATAAACATCTGTTCTAATATAAACAATACACTTTTTATCTGAATGTAGCTTCAAGATACATCCTGGACTTTCCCTTCTCCCTTTCCTGGACCCATCAAACCAGGGAATGGAAATAGTTGTATTATTAAAGACCTTTTTAGCAACTCATGCTGCTTTACTGTTTCACATATCTCTTTTAATGGCTAGAATCATAAATTTAATGTTTAAAACACACTTTTACACCAAACCCATAGGAACAGACAAGAAAACAACTATTAAATATGTGCCCTTTTGCTCTCTTGCTCCTGCTCTCACTATGTTGTTACTGGAAACTGGTCGCAATCCAGACCCCAAGAGAGGATTCTTGGATCTCGTGCAAGAAAGAATTCAGGATGAGTCTATAAAGTGAAAGCAAGTTTAGTAAGAAAGTAAAGGAATAAAGAATGGCTACCGCACAGACAGAGCAGCCTCGAGGGCTGCTGGCTGCCCATTTTTATCATTCTTGATTATATGCTAAATAAGGGGTGGATTATGTATGCATCCCCTTTTTAGACCATATGGGGTAACTTCCTGACATTGCCATGGCATTTGTAAACTGTCATGGCACTGCTGGGAGCGTATCAGTGAGGATGACCAGAGGTCACTCCTGTTGCAATCTCGATTTTGGTAGGTTTTGGCTGCTGCTTTACTGCAAACTGTAGCATGATCTTTATGACCTGTATCTTGTGCCAACCTCCTATCGCATCCTGTGACTTAGAATGTCTTTTCCTCCTGGGAATGAAGCCCAGTAGGTCTCAGCCTTATTTTACCCACCACCTCTTCAAGATGGAGTTGCTCTGGTTCAGACGCCTCTGACAATGTGATGTGCCTTTTTCCACTTGCCTTCTGCCATGCGTAAAAGCTCCCTGAGGCCTCTACAGAAGCCAAGCTTCTGCTTGTACAGTCCGCAGAACCATGAGCCAACTAAACCTCTTTTCTTTATAAAATACCCTGTCTCAGGTATTTCTTTATAGCACTGCAAGAACCGCCTAACACAGAAAATTGGTACTGAGGATTATGGCATTGCTATAAAAATACCTGAAAATGTGGAAGCAATTTTGGAATTGGGTAACAGGCAGAAGCTGGAAGAATTTGGAGGGCTCAGCATAAGACGGGAAGATGAGGGAAAGTTTGGAATTTCTCAGAGACTAGTTAAATGTGACCAAAATGCTGACAGTGATATGGACAGTGAACTCCAGGCTGATGAGGTCTCAGATGGAAATGGGGAACTTACTGGGAACTGGAGCAAAGGTCACCTGTGTTATGCCTTAGCAAAGAGCTTGGCTGTGTTGTAGTCATGCCCTAGGTATCTGTGAAAGTTTGAACTAATGAGTGATGATTTAGGTTATCTGGTGGGAGAAATTTCTAAGCAGCAAAGTTTTCAAGATGTGGCTTGGCTACTTCTAATTGCCTAGCTCAGGTGTGGGAGCAAAGAAATTACTTACAGTTGAAATTTATATTTAAACAGGAAGTGGAGTGTAAAATTTTGGAAAATGCTACTCATGTGGCAAAGAAAGAAAAAGCTTTTTCAAGAAAAATTCAAGTAGACTGCAAAGTAACCATTTGCTATAGAAATTAGCATAACTAAAAAGACCCAGGTGCTGATAGCCAAGACAATGGAAAAAAGCCTCAGAGGCCTTTCAGAGATCTGAGGCAGCCCCTCCTATCACAGACCCTGAGTCCTAGGAGGAAAAAATGGTTGCTGAGGTCAGGCCCCTGCTGCCCTGTGAAGCCTTGGGATACTGTTCCCCACCTCCCAGCGGCTCCAGTACCAGCCTTGATTCAAAGGTCCCCAGGTATAGCTTGAGCTGCTGCTTCAGAGGGTGCAAGCTATAAGTCAGGGCAGCTTCCATGTGGTGTTAAGCCTGCAGGCACACAGAGTGCAAAAGTGAAAGAGGCTTGGCAGCTTCTGCCTAGATTTCAGAGGATGTATGAGAAAGCCCAGGTGTCCAGGCAGAGGTCTGCTGCAGGGGCAAGCCCACTCAGAGAACCTCTACTTGGGCAGTGTGGAGGGGAAATGTGGGTTGGAGCCCCCACGCAGAGGCACATGGAGTCAAAGATTATTTTAGAGCATTTAATTACTGCCCTGCTAGGTTTCAAACTTGCATAGAGCCTGAAGCCCCTTCTTGTTGGCCAATTTCCCCCTTTTGGAATGGGAATGTTTACCCAATCCTTGTAACCCCATGTATCTCGGGAATAAATAACTTGTTTTGATTTTGCAGGCTCACAGGTGGAAGGAACTCATCTCTAGATGAGACTTTGGTATGGGACTTGGGACTTTTGAGATAATGATGGAATGAGTTAAGACTTTTGGGGAGTGTTGGGAAGGCATGATTGTATTTTGCAATATGAGAAGGACATGCAATTTGTGGTGGGGGGGAGGGCAGAATGATATGGTTTGAATATATGTCGCTGCCAAATCTCATGTTGAAATATGATCCCCCATCAGCCTGTTCACTCTGATGATAGTTTCTTTTGCTGTGCAGAAGTTCTTTAGTTTAATTAGATCCCATTTGTTAATTTTGGCTTTTGTTGCCATTGCTTTTGGTGTTTTAGTCATGAAGTCTTTGCCCATGCCTATGTCCTAAATGGTATCGCCTAGGTTTTCTTCTAAGGACATGAAATTTGAGGGGGGAGCGGGGCTGGGCGGAGAGGGTAGAATGATATGGTTTGAATATATGTCGCTGCCAAATCTCATGTTGAATTATAATCCCCCATGTTGGAGGTGGGAGGTGTTTGGGTCATGGGGGAGGATTCCTCATGGCTTCAAGCTATCCTTATGATAGCGAGTGAGTTCTCACAAGATCTGGTTGTTGTAAAGTGTGGCACCCCTGCCCCTCCTTCTCTCTCATTCCTTCTTTCACTGCTCCTGCTCCTGCTTCACCTTCTGCCATGAGTAAAACCTCACTGAGGCCTCCCCACAAGCTGAACAGATGCTGGTGTTACCAGTTGAGGGTGTCCAGGTTCTTGGCATTTTGAACAAATAATTGGATAAAACACACAAATAAAGCACGGGAAGAATGAAGCAATAAAAGCAGAGGTTTATTGAAAATGAAAGCACACTCCACAGGGTGGGAGTGGGCCCCAGCAAGCAGGTCAAGGGCGCTGGTTACAGAATTTTCTGGAGTTTCAGTTCCCTCTAGAGGTTTCCCATGGGTTACTTGGTGTATGCTCTATGTAAATAAAGAGGATGAAGTCAAGTTACAAAGTCATTTACTCAGTATGTACCCTATGTAAATGGAGAGGATGTTACTGGGTGTGTGTCGCCTATGTAAATGAAGAGGATGAAGTGAAGTTACAAAGCCATTCACATTCGTGTTATTGCTGAAGTGTTTCCATTTAATTTAGTTCTAGGAAGTCCTCAGGTTCCCAGTCTCCAGGCCCTATTCTCCTACCTCAGGGGCACCATGCTTGTACAGCCTGCAGAAACATGAGCCAATTAAACCTCTTTTCTTTATAAATTAAAAACAAACAAAAAGAGTCTTTTATAGAGAGCAACTCAGAAAATTGTGGTAAAAAGATAACATTCATTTTGTATTCAAATGCCAAATACCAAATGTCAAATGCTTCCATCGGTTAGAAATGTCTTTTTTAAATCCAGAAAAAAAAAATTTTCTTCTTCATTAAGTGATTAGGAAGCATATATTCTTGTCTGCACTGTCAAGATTGCAAGACTATGACTCAGAACATTTAAATGTCTAGTTATCATTGCATAGAGAATCGTTTGCATGATTCAGAGAGCCATAGTCTGTGACTGCTGATTTTCACATTAATGGACACTAGTGTCAGAATCATCTCTTAGTTGTGATTCACAGTTCTTGTTTTGTAATATCTAAGCACTTATTAGCTCAAGATACATTATAAGAGTCCCCAAAAAGCTGAAAAAATTAATCCAATTTTATTTTAATCTAATTACATCCCATCCATATGGGTAACAAAACCAAAAACCTGGGAGTTGTCCTAGACTTTCTGTATTTCTGATCTCTTATATCCAATCACTAAGTCCTGTCAATTTTCGTTTTTTTTTTTTAAATTATCAGATGGATAGATTGCAAAAATTTTCTCCCATTCTGTAGGTTGCCTGTTCACTCTGATGATAGTTTCTTCTGCTGTGCAGAAGTTCTTTAGTTTACTTAGATCACATTTGTCAATTTTGGCTTTTGTTGCCATTGCTTTTGGTGTTGTAGTCATGAAGTCTTTGCCCATGCCTATGTCCTAAATGGTATTATTTAGGTTTTCTTCTAGGGTTTTAATGGTTTTAGGTCTTATGTTTAAGTCTTTAATCCATCTTGAGTTAATTTTTGTATAAGGTGTAAGGAAGGGGTCCAGTTTCAGTTTTCTGCATATGGCTAGCCAGTTTTCCCAACACCACTTATTAAATAGAGAATCCTTTCCTCGTTGCTTGTTTTTCTCAGGTTTGTCAAAGATCAGATTGTTGCCAATGTGTGGTGTTATTTTTGAGGCCTCTGTTCTGTCCCATTGGTCTATATATCTGTTTTGGTACCAGTACCATGCTCTTTTGGTTACTGTAGTCTTGTAGTATAGTTTGAAGTCAGGTGGCATGATGCCTCCAGCTTTGTTATTTTTGCTTAGGATTGTCTTGGTTGTGCAGGCTCTTTTTTGGTTCCGTATGAAATTTAAAGTAATTTTTTCTAATTCTGTGAAGAAAGTCAATGGTAGCTTGATGGGGATAACATTGAATCTATAAATTACTTTGTGCAGTATGGCCATTTTGATGATATTGATTCTTCCTATCCATGAGCATGGAATGTTTTTCCATTTGTTTGTTTCCTTTCTTATTTCCTTGAGCAGTGGTTTGTAGTTCTCCTTGAAGAGGTCCTACACATCCCTTTTAAGTTGTATTTCTAGGTATTTTATTCTCTTTGTAGCAATTGTGAATGGGAGTTCACTCATGATTTGGCTCTCTGTCTATTACTGGTGTCTATTACTGGTGTAATTTTTGCACATTGATTTTGAATCCTGAGACTTTGCTGAAGTTGCTTACCAGCTTAAGAAGATTTTGGGCTGAGGCGATGTGGTTTTCTAAATATACAATCATGTCATCTGCAAACAGAGACAATTTGACTTCCTCTCTTCCTATTTGAATACCTTTTATTTTTTCTTTTGCCAGAATGCCGTGGCCAGAACTTCCAATACTATGTTGAACAGGAGTGGTGAGAGAGGGCATCTTTGTATTGTGCTGGTTTTCAAAGGGAATGCTTCCAGCTTTTGCCCATTCAGTATGATATTGGCTGTGGGTTTGTCATAAATAGCTCTTTTTATCTTGAGATATGTTCCATCAATACCTAGTTTATTGAGAGTTTTTAGCATGAAGGGGTGTTGAATTTTATCAAAGGCCTTTTCTGCGTCTATTGAGATCATCATGTGGTTTTGGTCATTGGTTCTTTTTATGTGATAGTTTATGTTTATTGATTTGTGTATGATGAGCCAGCCTTGCATCCTAGGGATGAAGCTGACTTGATTGCGGTGGATAAGCTGCAATCGGATTCTGTTTGCTGCTGGATTCGGTTTGCCAGTATTTTATTGAGGATTTTCACATTGATGCTCATCAGGGATATTGGCCTGAAATTTTCTTTTTCTGTTGTGTCTCTGCCAGGTTTTTGTGTCAGGATGATGCTGGCTTCATGAAATGAGTTAGGGAGGAGTCCCTCTTTTTCTATTGTTTGGAATAATTTCAGGAGGAATTGTGCCAGGTCCTCTTCATACCTCCGGTAGAATTTGGCGGTGAATCCATCTGGTCCTGGGCTTTTTTTGGTTGTTAGGCAACTAATTACTGCCTCAATTTCAGAGCTTGTTATTGGTCTACTCTTGGGCTAATACCAGAATCTACAAGGAACTTAAACAAATTTACATGAAAAATGCAAACAACCCCATCAAAAAGTGGGTGAAGGATATAAACAGACACTTCTCAGAAGAAGACATTTATGCAGGCAACAAACATATGAAAAAAAGCTCATAATCACTGGTTATTAGAGAAATGCAAAACAAAACCACTGAGATACCATCTTATGCCAGTTAGAATGGCGATCATTACAAAGTCAGGAAACAACAGATGCTGGAGAGGATGTGGAGAAACAGGAATGCTTTTACACTATTGGTGGGAGTGTAAATTAGTTCAACCATTGTGGAAGACAGTGTGGTGATTCCTCAAGGATCTAGAACAGAAATACTATTTGACCCAGCAATCTCATTACTTGGTATATACCCAAAGGATTATAAATCATTCGTTATCAAGGTACATGCATACGTATGTTTATCGCAGCACTGTTCAAAATAGCAAAGACTTGGAACCCACCCAAATGCCCATCAATGATAGACTCGATGAAGAAAATGTGGCACATATACACCATGGAATACTATACAGCCATAAAAAAGGATGAGTTCATGTCCTTTGCAGGTACATGGATGAAGCTGGAAACCATCATGCTCAGCAAACTAACACAGGAACAGAAAATGAAACACTGCATGTTCTCACTCATAAGTGGGAGTTGAACAATGAGAACACATGGAAACAGGGAGGGGAATATCACACACTGGGGCCTGTCAGAGGGTGGGGTACTTGTGGAGGGATAGCATTAGGATAAATACCTAACATAGATGACGGGTTGATGGATGCAGCAAACCACGATGGCACATGTATAACTATGTAGCAAACCTGCACGTTCTGCACATGTATCCCAGAACTGAAAAGTATAATAAAAAAAATTCTCATGAATTACTATAACAGGCTTCTAACTGTTTTCTCTGCTGCTGTCTGTCCTCACTTCAATCAGTTTTCCTCACAGCTGCTACCTGAGCTTTCTGAATTCAACTCCATTGGTGTTAACTCTCCTGCTTAAAACTTGTTAATGTCTCCCCGCTTCCCTTACAGTAAAGTACACCACATTTTATAGGATACAAAATTCTCCAAGACCTGATCTCTACTTAACATTCCAGCCTTATATTCCCTTTGATTTTTAAACTCCAAGCAACAGCCACCAGAAACTACGTTTCATGAACTGTGCCTACTTAAACATATACACCTTTACTCTGCACTAAGAAGCTTTTCTTTAACTTCTAATTTAAGTTCCATTTGTTCTTCAAGATCCCCAAGCATATTGTTCTGTCATTTTTTTAAATGTAGAATTCCAAACATATGTAAAAGTAGACCAAAGAGTACATTGAAATCCCACGTAACCATTACACATCTTCAACTATTAATCTATGGTCAGTATTTTTCAAGTATATCTCATCCTTCCCATATTGCTTTGAAGCAGTTTTATTATATCTTCTGTAAATGCTGTAGTTTACACCTCTTAAAGAGAACTCTTTTTTAAACCCAAGCACAGTAACATTATCTAAAAATAATCACCAACGATTCTTCAATGCTATAAAATATCCAGTGACTGTTCCAATTTTCAACTGTCTCACATATGTTGTTACTTTATTTTTAATTTTTAAAATTTTTAATTTTTATTTATTTATTTATTTTTGAGACAGAGTCTCCCTCTGTTGCCAGGCTGGAGTGCAGTGGCACAATCTCGGTTCACTGCAACCTCCATGTCCTGGGATCAAGCGATTCTCCTGCCTCACTCTCCCGAGTAGCTGGAACTACAGGCGTGTGCCACCATGCCCAGCTAGTTTTTGTATTTTTAGAGAGACAGGGTTTCACCATGTTGGCCAGGGTGGTCTTGATCTCTTTACCTCATGATCTGCCTGCCACAGCCTCCCAAAGTGCTGGGATTACAGCCATGAGACACTGTGCCCCGCCTTTAATGTTTTATTTTTTGCTGCTTTAGTCTAGATTGAAATCAGCTCAAATATGGCAAATGGTTTATGTGTTACTACGTATAGGTCTTCTCTCCAACTTTTTCCCCCTTTTCAACTTATTTATGGAAGAAATGAGGTGATTTATCTTGGGGAGTTTCTTACTATCTGCATTTTGCTGATGCACCCCTGTGGTGTTCTTTAACATTCTTCTGTCTTCTCTTTCATCTGTCTTGATAGTTGGATCTAGAGACAATCATATTCAGGTTTAATTGTTTTGGCAAGACTGTTCCAAAGCTGCCATTGTGTTCGTCCACCAGGAGGCACATACTGTCTGGTTACCTCTGGTTTTAGGACATGAGTAGCTGTTTATACTCTTAATTCATTAATTTATTATTGGTTGCCAAATACTGGTATTCCAACTGTATCATTCGGTTCTCATTTAATAGCTAGATTACTTTAAAAATAGAAACATCCCTTCATCTTCTCTTTGTCTATCAGTGGTAAAATGTATTTACCAGTTTATATAGATATGTATTTTTTTACAAGTTTTCAAAACGGTAATTGACCAACAATTTTTAAAGTTTTATTTTGAATCACTGTAAACTTATGATGCCTCTTTGATGTATTTCAACCCGTTTTAGCTATTTTTGATATTGATGCTCAAATAGTCCCACTTTTAATCAATGATCCCTCCTTAAGTTTGCTCCTTATATCTTTTGCTGTCTTTGCAGGTCTTTTTTTTTAATATCTGATATACCAAGGTGTTTCAGGCTTAGCTTATTTATTTCCTGCCCAGACCTGAAATCAGTCATTTCTCCAGTGAGCTATTTTATTTGTTTGAATAAAAAATAAAGACTATCATGTGTCCTATTTATATTTCCAGTTAAAATTCAGGACCATGGGGATTTTGTGTAGCTTCTTCTACCTTACCTCTTATCTTCTTAGTCCTACATTGAGAATCTTGGTTATAAATGGTATTGCTTGTGATAAAATATTACATAGGCATTTATTTAATTTACCTTGTCATATAACAGTGTCAGAATTACAATATAAACATGACTATCAACAATATGATTTCCAAAAATAGCTCAATTTATTTTTTCAGTCTTTTGCCTTTTTGTCCTTAGGGTGTATCCTGTTAGTGATTATAAATACCCAATTTGTTTTAAAGTTGCTTAGTACTAGTACTGGTCTTCTCTGTGCGTATATATCATCATCAACATACATAGTTAGGTTTATGTGTTTCATTTTCTTAGATTTTATTAAGAATTTTTAAGAATTAAAAAAATTCATACAATTTCTTAATTATGTAAAATATTCTTATAATTTAAAAATCAAAACAAGATATATTTAAGGAAGTTTGGTGCCTTCACTATTTTCTTGCTCCTAATTCTTTCTTCACTTATATAGGTATCTATTTTTTACATGTTTATTTCCTTTTTAAAAAATATTAAGCATATATACAATTACATTTAGTATTTTTAAGATAAACGGGACCATACTATATCCATAATTTTCCACCTTTATTTTTTAACTGAAAAATAATTCCTACCCTCAATCCCTAGAAGTACACAGAGATGTTCCTCATTCATTTTTATAGCTACATAGTAAGGCATTGAGTGTCAGTGTAATGTAATTCAAACAGCTTCTTACTGATGTACATTTAAGTTGCTCTATCAGATAATTCCCACAATGAAAAGCCAATCTATCTGTGGGATAGATTTTTAGAAGTGAGATTGCTAGGTTAAAATGTAGATTCTATGTAATTTTGCTAGACATTTTCAAATTATTTTCCATAGTAATTACTGTATGTTGATGTCTCTCTAGACATATATGAGAGTGCCTCTTTTTCCACAGGCTTACCAACAGAGTATGTTTTCTTTTCTTTTTTCTTTTTTTTTTTTTTGAGATGGAGTCTCACTGTGTCACCCAGGCTGGAGTGCACTGGTGCGATCTCGGCTCACTACCACCTTCCCCTCCCAGGTTCAAGTAATTCTCCTGCCTCAGCCTCCCGAATAGCTGGGATTACAGGCATCTCCAATCATGTCCAGCTAATTTTTGTATTTTTAGTAGAGACAGGGTTTCACCATGTTGGCCAGGCTGGTCTTGAACTCTTGACTTCAAGTGGATCTGCCTGCCTCAGCCTCCCAAAGTATGTTTTCTAACTTAGTGCCAAACTAATAAGTAAAAAATGCTCTCTAGGTGTAGGTTTAATTAGTATATTCTCTTAATATGAGAGAGATTGAACATCTATTCACATGTTCAAAAACCATTTGCATTTCTTATTTCTATGAATTGATCATGAATTTCCATAGGTCATCTGTAAAGAAACATTGACTCTTTACTATTTTAAAAAACATTCAATATATTAGAGATATTAATGATTTATCTATGATTTAAGTTGTAAATAAGTGATGTATTTTATTACTTTGCTTACAGTGTTTTTGACCATTCAAATGTGTTTTCTTTTTAATGTGATACAATTTTTAAATTTCTTTTATTTTTTCTTCTTGCCTCTGGATTTCGGACTTTAGATGGGAAAGTTATACCCACTCAAGGTTAAATACGAATTCATCCAAATTTCTTTTCTTTTCTTCTCTTTTCTTTTGTAGCGTCTGGGTCTCACTCTGTCACCCAGGCTGGAAGGCAGTGGCATAATCATGGTTCACTGTAGCCTTGGACTCCTGGGCCAAAGCGATCCATCAGCCTTGACCTCTCAAAGTGCTGGAATTTCAGGCATAAGCCACTGTGCCCGGTCTAAATTTCTTCTATCACTTGTATCATTTCTTTTTTTTTGTTTAAATCTCTGATCCATTTGAAGGTTATCTTGCTGTGTAGTGTGAGTAATGGATCCAATTTTTCTGTTTATCCACGGGGCTATACAGTTCTTTCTGAATATCACTAACCACCACCACCCCCCAAGAAAACCCACAAAAACCCAAACAATATTCACACAAAATTGAGATATTGAAATCGTCCTTTTACCGTATATTATTTGTGTATAAATTGCAGGATATTCCTTTTTTCATGATTTTGTCTAAACCGTGCACATAACCCATATTGTTTTAATTTAGATTCTTTATAGATTGAGTTGTTTTAATATTTGGGGGAGGTAGCTCATCCTCTTGCCCTTTTGGATCGTCTTCAGGATTCTCTTGGGTTTTCATGCTCACTGGTGGATGTCTTTAACCTGACTAACTAGAAAAGAGTCAGTCATTTACCTCTTGCCAAATCCTAAGAGTGGAGCTAAGGAGGTGCAAATCTGTCATGAAGTCCTGAGTGTTTTTTAAACAAATAAAATGCCCAAAGATACATTTTTAAATCAGACTTCTGATAATTTTTGGTTTAATCTATTCACCACTGAAGTAGAGGACACTCTTGCAAGTACCTTATTTCCTGAACTTAACCTCATGTAGAGAAATACGTTTTAACTTTATCTTTTAATACTAAGAAAACATAGCAACAATTTCTTTTTCTTCCTAATATTTTTTTTTATAATGATTTGGCATATATTAGTTAGAATTTATGCCATTGCTTAATATAAGGGTAAGTTTTTTCATGGGTGAAGTTGCAAATTGTAGGTGTCAGTATCTTGACCTTAAAGCCAAATCTACAGTTATTTCACAGAGAAATAACCAAACCCTCTAGCAGACAATGGCAGACAACCTTCCAGATACATAATCTGGATAATCAGTCTTTCTTTAGATAAATGATTTTTTTCTGGGAAATCATCAAAAATTCAGAAAGTTTAAAAATTAAATTTCCACAATTTTCAATAATGTTGATGTATGCATCATCTCTGTCTCTACAATGTGAATTGTTTTAATTTCAAAATTACCTAATTTCTGAATTACTTGGAATATCTATATATCAATTCATTTTATGTTAGCATAGATGCATCTTTGTTTCTTACAGCTACAGGAAATTTTTTTTGGTAGGCCTTGGATATATCCTGATTTATTTAATTTTTATTTATTTCAATAGCTTTGGGGGTGCAGGTGGCTTTTGGTTACATGGATAAGTTCTTTAGCGGTGATTTCTGAGATTTTAGTGCACCTGTCACCCAAGCAGTGTACACTGTACCCAATATGTAGTCTTTTATCCTTCACCTTCCTCCCAACCTTCCTCCACAGTCCCCAAAGTTTATTATATCATTCTTACGCCTTTACATCCTCATAGCTTAGCTCACACTTACAAAGTGAGAACATATGATGATTGGTTTTCCATTCCTGAGTTACTTCAATTAGAATAATGGCCTCCGGCTCCATCCAAGTTGCTGCAAAAGACATTATTTCGTTCCTTTTTATGACTGAGTAGTTACAGAAAAATTAAATCCTACAGCTATAGCCAATTGACTTCTTGCAGTCAAAAAATAATAATATAAAAGGATAAGCTGCTTTGTAGTGTGGGTTGAGGGCTTCTACAATGTCCCCTAGTCCCAGAATACATACTTCTTTAGGTGAAACCCTAATGGACTAGGTTAAAATTCATTTTTAAAAAGCACAATATAAAGATTTTTTATATTGAGTAATAACATTTTAGCTTGGAAATCAAAGTAGCCTACCTAGCAGGCTTTTTGAGGAAATTACATATCTAAATACCCATGGAAGCCCCTGCAAAATGAGAACACCTAAGACATCTCAACAATCGAATTTTTAAAAAAAGTTTTAAGTCTGCACCTTGCACTGTATGCAGAGCTAGCCTCCAATACATCAGTTGGTTCTCTGCTGAAACTTACTACTTTTGGGGGTGTTATAAAAGCATTAGTTTGAGACTAGCTACTTGAAGATTAGAAAGTATGGCAGCAGGCAAGCCCATGGGCAGATTCTTTAGCAGATTCAGAGATAAAAATACAGCCCAGGCCACATTAGAGAGCCTGGCCAACTCCAAAGATTTGAGAATGACTCTGGAATTTTCCTGGCTTGCAGTTCCAGTTCATGACCAGAGATGGCGCTAAGTGTACAGGGAACCTGCGGCTAACCTGAAATAGGACTGAAGTCTGAGAGCGTGAATCCTCAATTAACCTCAGCAGCACAACATCAAGATAGAGAGTTTGCAAGAAAGAAAAGCAAAGAATAAATCAAAAAGACTTGCGTTAGGGGAGCCTCACATTAGAAAAGAGATAACAGTGAAAATCCCTACAGTTAATATGGGTAGAAGCACTAACCAAGTAAGGCATCAGGAATGCCGATGAAAACACTCTGAACATTGAGGCATCCGTGTATTTTCTCTGGGTAAATCCCCTTGAGGGAAGTTTTTATTTGGCGGAATGATATTGGAAATTTTCAGGGTTTCATGTTATATATTCTAAATGCATATGGATTGTTTATATTCTTTCTGTCTTTAACAAACAGGAATTCAAAAGTAATTTAGTCCGGGCATAGTGTACTATCCCCAAAGTCTAATTTAATGCATTTAAAATTCCTTTTTGGTTAGCAGATATTTTCTAAACCAACATGAGGTCCATCTTAAGTGAGAAAGACATTAACTGCTTAACTGATAGCAGCTGGTATTTCCTTCACTTATATCAAAAAGAAAACAAAATTAGAGACTCCATATAAATACGAAAAAATTATTCAAAGTCCCTCCAATGAGTATGACAATTTTCAAAAATTATTTTTGTGCTGCTTAACCCTCTGTATTTTAAAATTAAAAAAAAAGTAGAGACAAAACAAATTCCAAATAATATAAGATAATTTAAAATAGAAAATAAAAATGTCCTCCCTTGCCTTGCTTGTATAGCTCCCTCCTCCATCTCTCCTTGGAATTTGTAACTAAGGCACACAAAGCTGTGGTTAAAAGCTACTTGCTGTGGTCTGTAAATCAGCAAGTTGAGCATCACCTAGGAGCTTGTTAGAAGTGCAGAATCTCAGGTCCCAGCCCAGAATTAGTGGACCAGGATCTGTATTTTAATAAGAATCTCCAAGTTGTATGTTGCGTTGAGGAAATTATATTGAGGAAATTACCTTGAAGTTTGAGAAACTCTACTCTTGATTCCAGAGAAGGAATCTTTAATTGACATCATGGCCTTCTCTTCCAATTTAGCAAGAGGCTGTAGGAATGGTCTAACTCTCATCAATGGCCCTATTCTTAGTCTACACAGAGAGGACTAGGGAAGGGGAGCCTAAATCGATTGTAACTAGAGACATTGAGAAGTACAGTGTTCACAGTGAGAGACTTTCTCCTTTGCAAGTGAGTGAGAGGATTCCCTCCAGGGGAATCAGTGATAGAGGTGGTGCTGAGAGTGCACTTGCCTCTTAATGGAAGGCTGAATGTTTGTTGATTTGCAGGATCTGCACAGCCACCTTGGTGTTTCCCGTGGAGTATAAAGGAGCATACATGTTCTTAGGAAGGGGTTGTGGTGTATGATTAGAAGGAGATGGTGGAAACCAGCCTCTCAAATCATCTCAGTTCTCTGTGATCTTGGAAGGGGTACAAAAGAAGATGTGTGCAGTTCCTTTGTCTCCCTGAGATGGGGCATAGCAGTTAAATGAGGAAGTATGAGTTCAGGAGGCTGCTAACCCTAGCAGGGTTTTGTCCATTCCAGAAAAGTAATTGTGGGCATGAACCACTGTCATGGTTAAGGAGACACTGCTGCTATCTCTGAATGGGGCAACAATAACAGATGAGGCCTGGGTGAATACTGGGGAACACTGCACTAAGAAAAACACTCATACAGCCATTTGGGGACTCTCATGACCATGAGTGTCACCAGCAGCAAGGAAAATGAACTCAAATCAGAGCAAGACCAGGGGCTAGTGCCCATGAACAGCCTTCAGGTAGTTGTATAAATACACCTTGCCACTAATATTTCTCCCCCAGAACCCCAGGAGATCTAAACGCAGAAAATGAAATGGGAGAAGGAGGTCAGAGTAGACTCCATCTCCCCGTCACTCTAGCAGCCATGATTACGAGTCAAATCTATTATTGAAAATGGACGTGGGGTAGAAAGGGAAGATCTATGATTAAAATCGAGTTTCAGATTGATGCATTAAATTAGTCTGAACTTTAGTAGCTGAAAGTGACCAGAAAGTTACAGAATTGGCCCAAGATGTAGCTAAGGGATGAGAAAAAAAGATGCAAAACAGCAGGGTTAGAAGAAACAATAAGAGAAAAACCAAACCAGTGACTGCCATCCATCCACTTGATTTTTAAAAATTACAAATGTAAACAATAAGCATATATTTCTGTTTCTTTATAAATCACCCTTTTCTCCTTACTCCTTGGTAAGCAAGATGAGGAAAGTGCAATTTTATTACCTCCTACCACCCTTCCACACTCATATCTCTTGATTTGGAGGAGTTACATTATTGTTGGTTTTACTTTGTGCTTAGCTGTACAACTTTACTAAAAGTAATGTAATATCGACATCATTTAGGGAAGGAAGCCATCACTGACTCTCTGAAAAGGAATTGAAAAAGCTGTTAATGCATTTTTGCTCTCTACACATTTTCTCTTAGCATCCACACATTCTCCCAGGACAGTCCTCAGCCACTGGTTGACAAGAATTGGAGCATAAATTACCCCAGCTTCTTTTTCCTTATATCAGGAGGAAGAGACAAATCTGAGGTGTATGCTATACCATTTCCCAAAAATTTCCAGTGGGAAAACCTAAAATTATTGAAAAATAAAGCTATCGTGACAGAATATATCTATCACATTTATTACCACACATGAAGATTGATGGACTAGAAATAGGAAGAATAAATTTGCATGATAGAAAGAGGGTCTTTTCTCTGATTTGCAAAATGAGATAAGCAAAAAATATAAAATAATCTGGGGGAAATCCACAATGACTGGAATTGTGTTATAAAATACAGCACAATAGAAATGTTCCAAGTCCAGTCAGTTTTTAGAATCTTCTTAGGGACCTTTGTAGGAATTATTTTTCTAGTTGATGTTTTTTAGAGTCTTTTGTTTTTTCTTCCTTCCTGCAACCTGCTTTCTAAGACATGTCATTATGTTTTTTAAATTTGAAAGCAGTTATGGGACATACAAGATAAAACTCAAAGCAGTTTGTTTTGCTCTTATTAATACAATTTTGCCAAAAAGGCAAGAAGAAAGGAGTTAGAAACAATTATCTAAAATATCTCTCAGACTCCCTATGGATTTTAATTTTTAAAGATAGATTTAGCATTTTAGATACAATACAGACGGGCAGGAAGAGGCCACCCTCACCTACACAAACATTCACATTTCTCCCTCTGTTGTAAGATTAGGTTATGTTCATGATTTAACTCACCAAGGCTAGAAAAAAAAAAGTGACTGAAAGTAAGGCAGAAAAGAAGCGCATGCAGCATATCATAATACAGCTTTTCTTGGCCTAGAGATTCAATAAGTATATGCAGTTACTGGTGAAACGGCAGTGGTATCAGCATGAGGTCAATTAGTGTGTAGAGTAGCTCTTTAATGTGGGGCCATACATGACTGTTCAGGTAGACTTTACGCAAATAATCAGTGTGCCTCTATTCAAAGCAGCATTCCTCAGCCTCAGAACTACCGACTTTGGACTGGATAATTTTTTATTGTGGGAGGCTGTCCTGTGCATTTTAGGATGTTTAGCAGTAAGCCTGAGCTCCACTCACCAGATGTTGTGACAGCCCAACATGCCTCCAGACATTGCCAACTACACCCTGGGGAATAAACAGCATGCAGTTGAAAATCACTGAATTAAGGTAATGTTCGCAAATAGTTGGCTCTCCTGGTTCTTGATCTATACTCAGCATCATTAAAGCAATGCCATCATACTGAGGGATGTGAACAGAGTCAGTGGTCAGGGGCTTCTGAGCTGTAGTTCTCTACAGCTTCCAGTATTCTTGAAAGGCCATTTCTGTAAACCCCCTTCCCCTGCTATCAAAACTAGTCAGCCTGGCTGTGCTTTACATTACAAATGGCATGAAATTAAATATTTCAGTGCTTGCTTATACAAGTTATAAATCATACCATGATTTATACATTCTAGCAATGGTTTTTCTTTCTTGTGTACCTTCTTTCTTTGGATTATTTTTTTTTCTTCCTACATTTTTTCTCACTTCCCACATGTTAGTTTATTGTGCATGGTAGTTTTTGCAAGTGGGGAGTAAGACAGTTATGTGTGGAATATTGCTAGTAGAAACTAAAGCTTAATCCATAGGTCAGCACAGATTGTTGTGTTTACAGAGTCATTCTGCATGACACCATGAAGTATTTTGATCATGTATCTAAATGCAGCATGTTTCCCAGTCCTGTCCACCCTGCCATAATTCCTATGTATATCTTATCCACTCCACTTTTGCTATCGTCTTTTTTAGTAAATGTGAGAAACTCTACAAAGAAATAACATCGTGCTTGCTGCCAGACAGATTTGATGTGACAGTCATGTGAAGATCAATGGATCTGGTCTATTCCAGTGATAATCACAAGTAACAGTTCTCAGATATGAAAGCTTCAAACACAAAGAATAAGCATGGCAAAATCTTTTCTCCACAGCAAAGGCAGAGACAGAGCACCTGTTACTGAAGTTGTTATTTCCTTGGATGCAATGATAGCCGTTTACCAGTGCAGTTATAACTAGTTTGAAAAATACGGGCTGGGCGCCGTGGCTCACTCCTGTAATCCTAGAACTTTGGGGGGCCCAGGCAGGCAGATCACGAGGTCAGGAGATTGAGACCATCCTGGCTAACACAGTGAAACCCCGTCTCTACTAAAAATACAAAAAATTAGCCGGGTGTGGTGGTGGGTGCCTGCAGTCCCAGCTACTCGGGAGGCTGAGGCAGGAGAATGGCGTGAACCCAGGAGGCGGAGCTTGCAGTGAGCCGAGATCGTGCCACTGCATTCCAGCCTGGGCAACAGAGCGAGACTCTGTCTAAAAAAAAAAAAAAAAAAAGGAAAAGAAAAGAAAAAAAAGAAAAATACATGTGAAATAACTTTTTACCCACTAAAAGGATTACAGTAAAAAAAGCAGAAAATAACAAGTGTTGGCACAATGTGTAGGAACTGGACACTCCCATTGTTTTTGGGAATGTAAAGTGTGACAAGCACTTTTAAAAACAGCTTGATAGTTTCTTTGAGTTATACATAAACTTACCAAAAACTGACAATTCCACTATTGCATATCTACCCAAGAAAAAATAAACTATATCCACATAACAAGTTGTTCATTAATAGCACCATTATTCATAATTGGAATAAATAAAAGCAATCCAAAAATCGATCAGATGGTGAATGGATAAACAAAATGTATGGTGTAGCCATACAATGGAATACAACTCAGCAATGAAAAGGGTTAAACCACTGATTCATGCTATGACATGAATGAATTTCAAAACATTATGTTAAAAAGTGCAATGCAAATGACTACATGTTGTAGAATTACATTGATATGCACTGTGCAGAAACGTCAGATCTATAGAAACAGAAAGTATATCAGGGGTTTCCTAGGGTAGGGAGTGAGAACAGGATTTGAAAAATGGGCAGAGGGGATTTTTCTGGGGTGGTGGAAATGCTCAGATTGTGGTGATGGTTTCACAGCTCTGTAAGTTTAATAAAAATACTGAATTATACAATTTAAATGTGTGAATTTTATGGTACATAAGTTTTACCTCAGTAAAACTATCTTAAGTAAATAGGAAGACAGGCTGAAAATAGAAAAACCTGCCTTGTTTGCTTTCTTAGATTATCTTGGTTCATATTTTTACCTCTGTATACAGCATATCAATTTTATGTGATTCTATCCCAGCCTCACCAGTGGTCTCTAACCTCCCTGAGCATCATCTTACTAGAATTCTCATTGAGTTAAATGTCACTTATTACACTTAGTTATTGTGTAGTGATAAGAATTAACCTTACTCAAAGAGAGGTCTGGACTTTGCCCTAAGCTACTGGAAGGTGAGATCTAAATGCCTGATATTTCATGCCTGAGGGGAGGAGGGTCTTTGTTTGCCTGGAGGCTTTGACCATCTGACAGTCTGACAACGTGATTTATGATGGGACTTTTGGCCATGTGGTTTGAGTTTTGTCTCTGGAGGGAACTGGAGGTTAAAGATGTCAGTATGACTTCTGGCAAATCCTGGAGACTAAAGATTAACCACACAGCAGTGTGTGATTGAGCCGCAATAAAATCTCTGGACAACAAAATCTTGGGTGAGCTTTCCTGGTTGGCAATACTCCATGCATGTTGTCTCACATTGGTGCTGGGAAAGGAATGTGTCCATGATGCCAGGGGGGAGGACAGCAGAAGCTCTCTTCGTGCCACCTTCCCTGGACTCTGTCTTACGTACTTCTTTCCTTGGATGATTTTAATTTGCATCCTTTCCTTGTAGTAATCCATAATCACGAGTATAACAGCTTTTAGAGAGTTTGGTGAGCCTTTCCAGTGAATTATCAAATACAAAGGTGGTTTTGGAAATCCGCTCCCATCCCTAAACATTCAACTGGTGTCAGAAGTGAGAGTGACCTTGTGTGGGGGCTATACCCCCTACTTAGTCCAGTTGTGCAGCTGGATAAACTATCTCAAAAAACAATAGTTCCACTTTATATTTTATAGTATTGTGAAATCCATTTTTAAGTCCTTCAACATGGTCAGACCTTGAGGATAAGGCCTATGTAGTATCTTCCTGGAAGCTGGCAATTGATAAATAATTACTATAGTCACGAAAATATTTTCAAAACAAGATATTTGTGTGTGTGTGGTGGGGGGAAGACATTACATAGTGTCCTATTCCTAAAAACTGGACAGTGTTCAGCACTGGGCTAGAGACCTTAATGTAGTCCATTATGTACTGAAGAGGCACACAGAAATATTCATCTGAACTGAAATGACCTGAATTACATTAAGAAGCTCTAATTCAGACTGTTGGCACATTTAAGGGAATCTGTAACAAGCACCTTGTTCTTGAGAACTGACCACAAATTCCTCAGAGCCAATTGTTACATACATGGAACTGAATAATTTAAAAAATAAATTTAAGAGACCTGACACAGTGGCTCACAACTGTAATCCCAGCACTTTGGGAAGCCAAGGCAGGTGGATCACTTGAGGCCAGGAGTTCGAAACCAGCCTAGACAACATGGTAAAACACAATCTCTACTAAAAATACAAAAATTAGCCAGGTGTGGTGGCATGTGCCTGTAGTCTGGGCTACTTGAGAGGCTGAGGCAGAAGAATTGCTTGAACCGGGAGGTGGAGGTTGCAGTGAGCCCAGATCATGCTACTGCACTCCAGCCTGGGCAACAGAGTGAGACCCTGTCTCAAAAAAAAAAAAGAAAAAAGAAAAAGAAAAGAATTAAATATATGCATATTCATATCATGATAGTTTACTTTAGAAGTTACAAAGGGCTCTCACATAAATTATTTCATATCATGATTACAAAAATCTGGTGAGACAGGCACAGAGTGCTTAAAGCTAGTTAATGACTTGCTTAGATTTCCATAGTCACTGAGAGTGGTCTCATAATATATCAAGACCCAATTCTTGTGAATGAAAGTTCCTCACCTAAATTCCCTGTTATGAACCATGTGACTTTCCCATTAACAAATGATTGGACTGAAAGTGGCATCTGACCCAAAGGCCAGTCAGAAATTGTGCCACGGATTGATATGAAAAGACGGGGTGGATCAATCAGCTCATCTCTCCTGGGAATATGAACTGTGAATGAAAGTTGCTGGAGTGCAAGTAGAAGCTGAAAGGATCCTATGAGGTAATTGATGGCCTCTGGGCTCCTGGTGAGTCAAAATCACAGGGAAGAGAAAATTATGGGCCAAGTGGAAGTCAAGAGGGGAAAAAGAATGTCACTAGAAGACATTTGATACAAGGCAGACATTAGCAGATATACAGAGGTAATTGAGCTACTCCAATGGTGGATATGGGCATGAAAATATGACTACCTGTTCCTCCTCAGGTTGCAGCAAAATATAACACCCAGACTACTTGTGGCCTCTGTGCATATTGTACTTCTGGTTTACTTTGAAGAATTTCTCTCCCCTAGCACTAGAGAAACAAGGAGAAGATCTCAAGGCTGCCCTGGATTCTTCATGAAATATGCTCTTGTTTTCATGATGTTTGGATGTTGTACCAAACCTAAGTCCCTATTCCTGTGTACCCTTAAAATAACTTTGTTATGTCATCACCACTGTATATTGATATATTGATAAAGTTCTGGCTTTTTAAAAAATTATATGTCTTTGATGCTCAAACATACCCAGCTGAATTATTCATAACATTCATCAAATGTGGCTTATCGGTTCAATTCTTCTCAGAAAAAAAAGAAGAATAAAATATTCTCCACCAATATGCATCTAACATATTTTTCAGCTTTGTTGTGAAATTCTTGTCTCATAAATATTTTACCACAGCTATAAGATAGAGCTCTTTGGTTATGTAGCTGCATGTTGCTTTAATTTCAAAAGTTTGCTTTACTTGTGTTATCCCTGGCTTCACTGCAGAATCTAAATCCTATAAACTGATAAATGCAAGTTACTTGGGCCTCCAGAAAAGCCCACTGGAGACTTACTTTGAAAAGAAGAGGGCTGGTGCCGTGGCTCATGCCTGTAATCCTAGCACTTTGGGAGGCTGAGGCAGGTGGATCACCAGAGGTCAGGAGTTCGAGACCAGCCTGGCCAACATGGCGAAACCCCGTCTCTACTAAAAATACAAAGATTAGCCGGGTGTAGTGGCGGGCGCCTAGTCTCAGCTACTCAGGAGACTGAGGCAGGAGAATCGCTTGAACCCGGGAGGCAGAGGTTGCAGTGAGCTAAGATCGCACCACTGCACTCCACCCTGGGTGACAGAGTGAGGCTTTGTCTAAATAAAAAAAATAAAAATAAAAATAGAAAACAAAAGAAAACAAAAGAAAGAAAGGAATAGGGAATAGGTGGCTCTCGTGGAGGCAGCTAGTGTGAGGCGGCTGGGGAGCGCCGAGCTGCGTGTCATGCCCTGCACTGCTTAGACTAGTGAACACTATAGTCAGGATGGCTAACGATAACCCCGAGCAAAAAGGGCAACATGTCTGCTTATGCCTTCTTTGGGCAGATGTGCAGAGAAGAACATAAGAAGAAAAACCCAGAGGTCTCCCTGTCAATTTTACAGAATTTTCCAAGAAGCGCTCTGAGAGGTAGAAGACAGAGTCTGGGAAAGAGAAGCCTAAATTTGGTGAAGTGGCAAAGGCGGATAAAGTATGCTATGATTGGGAAATGAAGGATTATGGACCAGCTAAGTGAGACAAGAAGAAGGACCCTAATGCCCCCAAAAGGCCATCGACTGCATTCTTCCTGTTCTGTTAAGAATTCAGCCCCAAGATAAAATCCACAAACCCTGGCAACTCTTTTGGTGACATGGCAAAAAAAAGAAAACTGGGTGAGATGTGGAATAACCTAAGTGACAATGAAAAGCAGCCTTACATCCCTAAGATGGCCAAGCTGAAGGAGAAGTATGAGAAGAATGCTGCTGACTATAAGTTTCAAGGAAAGTTTGCTGGTGCAAAGGATCCTGCTAAAGTTGCCCGGAAGAAGACGGAAGAGGAAGATGAAGAAGACGAGGAGGAAGAAGAGAAGAAGGAGGAGTAGGATGAGTAAAAAAAAAAACCTGTTTATCTGTCTCCTTGTGAATGCCTTAGAGTAAGGGAGCACTATAATTGACACATCTCTTATTTGAGAAGTGTCGGTTGCCCTCATTAGGTTTAATTACAAAATTTCACTACAATCATATTGGAGTCTCTCAAAGTGCCCTAGAAATTGTGAGCGCTTTATATGAAGTGGCCATGGGTGTCCGGAGCACCCTGAAATGGCATCAAAGTTGTGCATCTTTCCAAAGATGTTTAAAATGTAAAGGAACTCTCATGTTCCCTCCACTCTGTGCATTTTGCTGTTACTGTGAGAAAGCATTTAAACATGTTTCTGGCATTTCTCTTTTCCTATTTGTAAGGTGGTGTTAAATATATGGTTATTGGCTAGAAATCTGGAGCTACCAACTGTAAACAACCTGCTCCTGAATGACTCCCGGGTAAATAATGAATTTAAGGCAGAAATCAAGAAGTTCTTTGAGGCTAATGAGAACAAAGAGAAAATGTACCAGAATCTCTGGGACGCAGCTAAAGCAGTGTTAAAGGAATTTATATTACTAAATGCCCACATCTAAAAGCTAGTAAGATCTTAAATCAACAACCTAACATCACAGCTAAAAGAACTAGAGAACCAAGAGAAAACACACCCCAAAGCTAGCAGGATAAAAGAAATAATCAAGATCAGAGCAGAACTGAGAGATAGAGACACGGAAAACCCTTCAAAAAATCAATGAATCCAAGAGCTGGTTATTTAAAAATAATAATAAAATAGACTGCTAGCTAGACTAATGAAGAAGAAAAGAGAGAAGAACCAAACAGATACAATCAAAATAAGGGGGATATCACCACTGACCCCACAGAAATACAAACAACCATTAGAGAATACTATGAATACTTCTATACACATAAACTAGAAAATCTAGAGGAAATGGATAAATTCCTGGACACATATACCCTCCCAAGACTGAGCCAGGAAGAAATTGAATCCCTGAATAGACCAATAACAAGTTCTGAAATTGAAGTAGTAATCAATAGCCTGCCAAGTAAAAACAAAACAAAACAAACAAACAAACAAACAAACAAAAACAGATTTACAGCTGAATTCTGTCAGAGGTAAAAAGAAGAGCTGGTATCATTTTTACCGAAACTATCCCAAACAATTGAAAAGGAGGGACTCCTCCCTAACTCATTTTATGAAGCCAGCATCATCCTGGTACCAAAACCTGAAAGAGATACAACAACAAAACAAGAAAACTTCAGGCCAATACCCCTGATGAACATCGAAGCAAAAATCTTCAATAAAATACGAACAAACCGAATCAGGCAGTACATCTAAAAAGCCTGTCTCTCACAATCAAGTTGGCTTATTCCCCAGGATACAAGTTTGATTTAACACATGCAAATTAATAAATGTAATTAATCACATAAACATAAACAAAGACAAAAACCACATGATTATCTCAATAGATGCAGAAAAGGCCTTTGATAAAATTTAACATCCCTTTATGTTAAAAACTCTTAATAAACTAGGTATTGAAGGAACATATCTCAAAATATTAAGAGCCATATATGACAAACACATAGCCAATATCATACTGAATGGGCAAAGGCTGGAAGCATTCCCTTTGGAAACTGGCACAAGAAAAAGATGCCTCTCTCACCACTCCTATTCAACATAGCATTGGAAGTTCTCACCAGGGTAATCAGGCAAGAGAAAGAAATAAAGGGTATTTAAGCAGGGAGAGAGGAAGTCAAATTATCCCTGTTTGCAGATGACATTATCCTATATTTAGAAAACCCCATAGTCTCAGCCCAAAACCTTCTTAAGCTGATAAGCAACTTCAACAAATTTTCAGGATACAAAATCAATGTGCAAAAATTGCTAACATTCCTATACACCACCAACAGGCAGGCAGAGAGCCAAATTATGAATAAACTTCCATTCACAATTACCACAAAAAGAATAAAATACCTAGGAATACAGCTAATTGAAGTGAAGGACCTCTTCAAGGAGAACTACAAACCTCTGCTCAAAGAAATCAGAAAGGACACAAACAAATGAAAAAACATTCCATGCTCATGGATAAGAAGAATCAATATTGTGAAAATGGCCATACTACCCAAAGTAATTTATAGATTCAATGCTATTCCCATTAACGTACCATTGACAATCTTCGCAGAATTAGAAGAAACTATTTTAAAATTCATATGGAACCAAATAAGAGCCTGAATAGCCAAGACAATCCTAAGCAAAAAAGCAAAGCTGGAGGCATTATGCTACCTGACTTTAAACTATACTATAAGGCTACAGTAACCAAAACAGCATGGTACCAGTACAAAAACAGACACATAGACCAATGGAACAGAATAGAGAACTCAGAAATAAGACCACACACCTACAACTATTTGATCTTAAACCTGACAAAAACAAAGAATGGGTAAAGGATTCCCTATTTAATAAATGGTGCTGGGAGAACTGGCTAGCCATATGCAGATAATTGAAACTAGACCCTTTCCTTATACTTTATACAAAAATTAACTCAAGAGGGACTAAAGACTTAAATGTAAACCCCAAAACTGTAAAAACTCTAGAAGAAAACCCAGGCAGTACCATTCAGGACATAAGCACTGGCAAAGATTTCATGATGAAAATGCCAAAAGCAATAGCAATGAAAGCAAAAATTGAAAAATGGTATCTAATTAAACTGAAGAACTTTTGCACAGCAAACAACAACAACAACAAAAACTATCATCAGAGTGAACAGACAACCCACAGAATGGGAGAAAATTTCTGTGATCTATCCATCTGACAAAGATCTAGTATCCAGGGTCTACAAGGAACTTAAATTTATAAAAAAAGAAAAAACAAACAATCCCATTAAAAAGTGGGCAAAGGACATGAACAGACACTTCCCAAAAGAAGACATCCATGTGGCTAAGAAACATGAAAATAACTCAACATCACTGATCATTAGAGAAATGCAAATTAAAACCCCAATAAGATAACCATCTCACGCCAGTCAGAATGCCTACTATTAAAAAGTCAAAAAAAACAACAGATGCTGGCAAGGTTGCAGAGAAAGAGGAACACTTTAGCACTGTGGTGGAAGTTTAAATTAGTTCAACCACAGTGGAAGACTATGGCAATTCCTCAGAGATCAGAGGTGGACATACCATTTGACCCAGCAATCCTGTTACTGGGTATAAACACAAAGGAATAGAAATCATTCTATTACAAAGACACATTCACACATATGTTCACTGCAGCACTATTCACAATAGCAAAGACATGGAATCAACCCAAATTCCCATTAGTGATATACTGGATAAAGAAAATTTACATATGCACCATGGAATACTATGCAGGCATAAAAGGTATGAGATGATGTCTTTTGCAGAGACTTGTATGGAGCTGGAAGCCGTTATCCTCAGCAAACTAATGCAGGAACAGAAAACCAAACACTATATGTTCTCACTTATAAGTGGGAGCTGAATGATGAGAACACATGGACACATGGAGGAAAACAACCCACACTGGGGACTGTCAGGGTGGCCAGGGGGAGTGAGAGCACAAGGAACAATAGCTAATGGTTGCTGGGCTTAATTCGGCTTAATTCCTGGGTGATGGATTGATCTGTAAAGCAAACCACCATGGCACGTTTACCTGTGTAACAAACCTGCACATCCTGCAAGTGTACCCTGGAACTTAAAAGTTGAAGAAAAAAAAAGAAAAGAAGACATATGTTTCCATGACCATACAGCTTTGACATATTTACACACCCATCTTTTTAGTTGCTTAGGCCGAAGAATATCCTATCCACATATTTTTTAATGCGTAATTCTGAGTAGGTGATGAAATACCCTGACCTCTTTTGTTGCCCCTGCAAAATCTCACTAGTTTTTAGCTGGTTTAGATTACTAAAGTTGCCTTTCTCTAGCCTTTTTAACTGGGAGGCCTTTTTCCCCATTAATGCTAAGCAAAATTCTCATTTTCATTTAAAATACCTGATTACTTTTTGGTTTTTAGAATCTGCAGCTGTTCTTCTTTTGGTGTAGTTTATCACCACCTTTTACATTTCTTCAGCTCCTCTTGCATCTGAGGCTGCCTTAACTTTTTTCATTTGATCTTTCTCTTTCCTTTTATGGGTATATTGCCAGTTTAATTTTGGTCGTGGTAGAGAATATTTTTCTCATTTTGCAAGAGGGAAAATTGAGTATTAGACAGGGGAAGGTGCTGTGTGACAACAAAAATTATTAAGTGGCAGAGTCTGTACTTGAACCTATGTCTGTCTGACTACAAACCTGAGCTAATGATTTTTCTACTATTTATTGCTAGTTCATGTTCCTGTAATTGAAAATGCCAAAATATATACCTTGCTATTAAGAATCTTCAGTTGGACCAAGATATCCTAACTGCAATGCCTATTTTATTTGAATTACATCAGACTGTTTCCCAGAAATAATTCCATTTCACTTCACTTTGGATTTACATTGTGTTTTCACGTCCATTATTTCAAATTGTCCTCTGAGTTGGGTGAGGCAGATACTACTAAACAGATAAATAAGACCAGACTAAGAGAAATTAAATGACATAGCTGAGGTCACAGGCTTAGTAAAAGCTTGCTCTCCAAAAGAGTCAGTTTTGTTTTTGTTTTGTTTTGTTTTGTTTGGTGAGACAGAGTCTCGCTCTGTCACCCAGGCTGGAGTGTAGTGGCGTGATCTTGGCTCACTGCAACCTCTGCCTCCCAGGTTCAAGCAATTCTCCTGCCTCAGCCTCCTGAGTAGCTGGGACTACAGGTGCCCACCATCATGCTCGGCTAATTCTTTGTATTTTAGTAGAGACGGGGTTTCACCGTGTTGCCCGGGCTGGTCTTGAACTCTTGTATTTTTAAGATGGTTTATTCACATATTATTACATATTTTTAAAATCAGACCAGATTTCAACTCCAGATGGAATCTTTGTCTATATTAACACATGAAACCCCTGCATTTCAAATGCTCTGTTTAAGTCAGATATTTCTTCCAATTTCTCTTTGCTTGTCTCCATTGCAAATAACTACACAGACTGGGGCAAAAATAGGAAGAGGATTCTATCGCTGCAGGTGTGTCTCCATGGGCACAGGCAGTTCTGTGGTAGTGGGCATCAGTAAAGCTCTTCTCCAGGGCTAGGCTTCTCCTTATTTCTAGAGTGTCAGGGAAAAGGACTTCTTCAAAGTAAACAAGAAGTGCAATATTCACAAAGGACACATACATTCTCAGTGCTGTATTTGGCTGCAACTTCAGGGAGGTCAGATGGTCGTGCAGTTTACCACTGGGTAAGACCAGATAGCATCTGCTGAAACATTCAATATCCAGTGGCCACATTTTGTCCCATTTTGTAAAAAGGTAATCAAAATCAAATAGGAATTAAATCCCCAAGAAACCATGAGACTAAAACAAACCTATTTTATACTATTCAGTCATCCTTATAATCAAATCCAGGTTGCTGAAGGAAAGTAGTAACTTGAGTGTAGACACATTTAGGAAGTTTGCAAAATTTTCTTTTGCCACCTCTACATCTTTTCTCATTGAGATCGCAGAATAACTCTGCATCCTTCCAAGCACATTTCTTGCCAGCATGATGGATTCTTAATTCTAAAAAAGAGTTTGGTCATAATGGAGCAGAAGTAGTTCTGTCAGTGATTTTCTAGACTATAATATCTTTCTCTATTTTCAAAATGAACTCTACCTCATTTGGTTTTGCACATCTTACTCTATCCCTATGAAAGTATGGATAGTAAATTACCAAGACTGACTGTGCCTGGAGAAAAACATGCTTTTTAAAGACATTAAAATTCTTTTGAGACATTGAGAAAAAACGTAAATACATATTCTTAGTTTTTTTTTCTTTTTTGATTGTTTGAAGAGATTTGAGTAAAGGAATGGGGGGAATAAAAACAGCAGAGGGTCCCCAACAAGTCCAAGCAAGTAAACTACCATTTCAGAGGAAGATGAGCTGCAGAGTATCGATAATTTCTCTGATTCTATTAGGCCTGACAGCGGAGAGCTTCCAATGTGAGCAAAGGCTCAGAAAATGACAATTATGACAATGTCAGAGATTTCCGTGAGTAATTGTTGTGAGAGCTGTTGTTCTTGCTTATCCAAGATTAATTTCTCCTTTGTGTGGTAGCTATCTTGATTCTCTTTGAGAAAAAGATCTCTCTCTTCTATTGCAGTCAGCCTTGTCCATGATTTCAACCAAGATGCTTTGACTTCCCTTGGCCAAGAGATGATAAGTTTATAATCCAACTAAGGCAAAATAGCTCTCACAGATGAAATGAAGAGAGGAAGTAGTTGGTAAAGAAGTACCTCCACGGTGATGTGGGGATGCTCTCTGTCTTTTTTCTCATCATCCCAAGGGATTTTTGAGTTTCTGTATATATAGTCAGGGACTCCAGAAAAACAAATGGATAGGAGATATATATATATATATATGTACATTAGTTTTTCAGCCTCTGTATATATTATATAAATATATGTACCAATATGTATTATAAGGAATTGGATTATGGAGGCTGAGAAGTCCCAAGATTTGCATTCAGCAATCTGGATACCCAAGAGAGCTGATGGTGTAAGTTCCAGTGCAAGTCTGCATCCAAAGACAGGGGAAGACTGATGCCCCAGCTCAGAAACACCCTCACAGACACACCCAGAATAATGTTTAACCAAATATCTGGGCACCCTGTGGTACAGTCAAGATGACACATAAAATTAATTATCACACTGTTCTTTAAGAAACTTAGTTTACCGGCTCTGTTTTTCAATTTCATGACTCATCACATTTGCTTCGAATAATTTTTTAAAAAAATTTTCTTGCTTAATTTAGCCAATTTTGTTTTTCTGTTGTCAACAACTAAAGAACCCAGAAAACAGAAATTTTTCTTACCATATTGAGGATAGGGTCAGTTGTTGTCATAAAAGTACTAGGTAATTGACGCTGTATTTGCAGTGTCAGAGTCCATGGGGCCTATTCCCAGATATCTTTCACTTTGGTCTACCATGATTTATAATCTCACATTAGCGTCATTGGTAATGGCAGAATTATAGTTGTTAGAACTATGAAGGGCCTTGCAAGCTCATTGTCCCCCTAGTTTTAGCCATATGTATACTTGACAAAAAGTGACAATATACTTTCCTAAGGTCACAGAGCTGGTAGTGGGAGGGATAGATGTGGAATCTAGGTCTTTTGATCGTATGTCTTAGTATTTTTATGCTACCTCTCCAGGGAATGTACAGTACCTGTGAGCATTTCCCTAGCAGACTCCTGTGTCGACAGAGATGAATTGAAAAATCAGATCTGAGAGGATTTAGAAAATTGTTGAGGAACCTTAAGACAAAATATGTAAACTCTACCACCATGCCTAGAACTTGTCCTGACAAAGGGGTAGGAAGAATTATTTGTGAGTAACTGACAAGAGTAGTTTCAGTTGGAGAAGTGATTAAGTAAGATTTAGAAAATCTGTGCACAAAGCACTGCTCCTTAAGTTATAAATCTCAGCTCATTCATGGGTTTTGAGAATCATTTCAATTCTCCATTTCAAAAATGGAGTTATTTAATCTACTTTTAGAGAGGAATTATATACAATTCTATCAACTTGATATTTTTAGGGTTAAGTTGTTTGTAAAAAATAAATGGCTTACTTTGTGTAATTAAATTATACTATTTATAAATTTAAAAGCAAATTGGTCTTTTGGAGTCTTAAGAAATTATTTCGCAACTCAAATTTATGAAACAACTCTCTGAAATCTTTAAAGTGTTTTACAACATGCCCTTTAACATTTAGATTTAACACTTTTACAGTTGCATGTATTGTGTGGTAGGAAATCTACTTGTTCTCTTCTTGTAACAAGCCATTTTTCCCAACATTATTTATTATACAATCTGCTCTGTCTTCTGTCATTTGCAATGTCTTAAAGTTTTGTCACTTACATGTGACTAGGGAAATACTTCATTTCATTGATCCATGTGTCACTTCCTGTGCATGAATTGCACTGCACTGATTTGATATCAATGGATTTAAAATACGTGCTTATATAGGCACGGGCAAAGATTTCATGACAAAAATGCCAAAAGCAATTGCAACAAAAGAAAGAATTGATAAATGGGATCTAATTAAACTAAAGAGCTTCTGCACAGCAAAAGAAACTATCACCAGAGTGAACAGACAACCTACAGAATGAAAGCAAATTTTTGTGATCTATCCATCTGATAAAGGTCTAATATCCAGAGTCTACAAGGAACTTCAACAAATTTACAAGAAAAAAACAAACAACCCCATTAAAAAGTGGCCAAAGGATATGAACACTTTTCAAAATAATACATACATGCAGCCAACAGACATATGAAAAATAGCTCAACATGACTGATCATTAGAGAAATGCAAATCAAAACCACAATGAGATTCCATCTCACGCCAGTCAGAATGGCCATTATTAAACAGTGAAAAAACAACAGATGGTGGCAAGGTTGCAGAGAAAAAGGAATACTTTCACCCTGTTGGTGGGAGTGTAAATTAGTTTAACCATTGTGGAAGATAGTGTGGTAATTCCTCAAAGATCTAGAGGTGGAAATACCATTTGACCCAGCAATCCTATTACTAGGTATAAACCCAAAGCAATATAAATCATTCTGTTATAAAGACACATGCACACATATGTTTATTGCAGCACTATTCACAATAGCAAAGACATGGAATCAACCCAAATGCCCATCAATGATAGACTGGATAAAAAAATGTAGCATATGACACCATGGAATACTATGCAGCCATAAAAAAGTACTAGATCATGTCCTTTGCAGGGACATGGATGTAGCTGGAAGCCGTTATCCTCAGCAAACTAATGCAGGAACAGAAAACCAAACACTGTGTATTCTCACTTATAAGTGGGAGCTGAATGATGAAAACACATGGACCCCTGAGGGGGAACAACACACAATGGGGCCTTTTGAGGGGTGGTAGAGGGAGGAGGGAGAACATCAGGAAGAATAGCTAAGGGATGCTGGGCTTACTACCTAAGTGATGGGTTGATCTGTGCAGCAAACCACCATGGCACACGTTTACCTATACAACACACCTGTACATCCTGCACATGTATCCTGGAACTTAAAATAAAAGTTGAAGGAAAAAAATAACACGTGCTTATATCCAGCAGGTGGATTCTCCTTTTTCAAAAATTATTTCAATAATTTCCTTAGCTGTTTGTTAATCTTTATTCTTCCACATTTATTTTGGGACATGTTTCTCACATTCTACTAAAATCTGCCTGAGATTAAAGTTGCAATTGCATTGGATATTAAAAAATCCCATCCATAATCATGTCATCTCACTTATTTTATGTCTTTTAATAAAGCTTAAATTTTTATCTGTATTGGTCTTACTAATTTTTATATAGCTTTGTTTCTCGATAAGATACAGATTTTCACACCATTGCAAAATATATCTCATTTTCCTATTTTACTCATTGTATTAAAAATTCTCCAGAGAAACATAATTGATAGGATATCTCTCTCTCACACTCTGTCTCTCTCTCTATCTCATATCTATATATATTTTAAGGGATTAGCTTACCTAATTGTGGGGGCTAGTAAGTTCGGGATCTGTAGGGCGGGCCTGCAGGCTGGAAACGAAGGCGGGAGTTAATACTGCAGTCTTGTGGAAAGGTTCCTTTGTGGAAAACTTGTACTTTCTCGTAAGGTGTTCAAATAATAAGATGAGGCACATTCACATTACCAAGGGTAATCTTTACTTGAAGTCAACTGATGGAAGATGTTAACCGCATCTATAGAATATATTCACAGCAACAACTGGATTAGTGTTTCATTCAAATAATTGAGCACTACAGCTTAGCCAAATTGATAACATAAAACTAACCATCACAATTACTCATGAAAATACCTAGAGGAACATACGGCTTTTGGAAATTGATACACACAAAGCAAATATCTGTCTGACTCTGATTCTAACCTGATTCTAATCTCTTTTGATTTTCTTGTGTTTGTGATATAAATAACAGCATATAATTTGATCTTGTTTCCTACAATTTTTACCTATCTTTTTCCTCTCATCTTACTGCATTGGTCAATATCTCCTCTTCTAAGGTGAATTGTAGGGGAGAGATTCTTTTCTTGTTTCCAACCTTCTCTAGTTTTCCCATTAAATAGAATCTTTCCTATAGGGATTTGATAGAGTATATCAAGTTAAAGAAACTACCTTATATTTCTAGTTTTCTAAAAGCTTTTATTTGTAAATAGGTGTTAGCTTTTATTAAATGCATTTAGACTCCTAATAAGAAGATATTAATTTCTCCACTTTTGAACACTGTTGCGTAATATCACATTGTTAAATTTTTTGAGGTTGAATCATTTTTGCATTTCTGAAATATACTGTAATTGACCATATTATTTTTCTTATACTTTCAGGACTTTTAAAGCTAAGTTTATAGCTGAAGTTGACTTATTTTTCCTTGCACTTACTTATGAGATTTTGACAGTTAGGTTCCAGACTCATCCTGAATTGGAGCATGTGGATACAAAGGGAGGCAAGGGGAGGGGAAGAATTCTTGCTTGACTTATGCTGCGATGGCAAGCGAACGTCAGCTTTTACTAAACTTGGAAGGTGTTTAAAACAGACTCTTTCTTTATCTCATGGAGTGCTTCTGTGGGACTTTTGAAGACCCTCCAGCATTGGGAATGTCTCCCCTTGCAATTCCTGTGACAAGGCAAAATGCATCTTTATTTCTTTGGATCATTTACTCCTTCCTCAGTTTCTGCTTATCTAGTGATGACTCTAGGTTCTTATTGTTTTGCATTGAATTACCAGAGAATCCTTGGGATAAAAATGATTAAGAACCACTGCCTACAGAGAACCAAGATAAATATTTGAGGCTGAATAATATGCAAGATATAATTTATTCTCCTGAAGATTAATCAAGCTTTCTTTTAGTTTTCATTAGATCTAAGGTTCTGCTTTTTTAATGTAACAGGGATTTATATTTGGAGAAGTGTGCTTAGATACATTAAAAAAACACCACCAAAGCCAGGCATGGTGGCATGCACCTGTAGCATGCTCTACTGGGCTCATTCTTCCTGCTTCAGCCTTTCCAATAGGGATGGCACCAGGTTCAAGAGTACTTGGGAGGCAGAGGCAGGGAGATTGTTTGAGCCCAGTAGTTTGAGGCTGTAGTGCAGTATGTTTCATGCGCGTCCATGTGAAGAGACCACCAAACAGGCTTTGTGTGAGCAACATGGCTGTTTATTTCACCTGGGTGCAGGCGGGCTGAGTTCAAAAAGAGAGTCAGCAAAGGGTGGTGGATTATCATTAGTTCTTACAGGTTTTGGGATAGGCGGTGAAGTTAAGAGCAATGTTTTGCGGGCAGGGGTGGATCTCACAAAGTACATTCTCAAGGATGGGGAGAATTACAAAGACCTTCTTAAGGGTGGGGGAGATTACAAAGTACATTGATCAGTTAGGGCGGGACAGGAACAAATCACAATGGTGGAATGTCATCAGTTAAGGCTATTTTTACTTCTTTTGTGGATCTTCAGTTACTTCAGGCCATCTGGATGTATACGTGCAAGTCACAGGGGATGAGATGGCTTGGCTTGAGCTCAGAGGCCTGACATTCCTACCTTCTTATATTAATAAGAAAAATAAAACAAAATAGTGTTGAAGTCTTGGGGCGGCGAAAATTTTTGGGGGTGGTATGGAGAGAGAATGAGCGATGCTTCTCAGGGCTGCTTCAAGCGGGATTAGGGGCGGCGTGGGAACCTAGAGTGGGAGAGATTAAGCTGAAGGAAGATTTTGCGGTAAGGGGTGATATTGTGGGGTTGTTAGAAGAAACATTTGTTGTGTAGAATTATTGGTGATGGCCTGGATACGGTTTTGTATGAATTGAAAAACTAAATGGAATAAGAGAAGGAGAAAAACAGGTGTAAAAGGTCTAAGAATTGGGAGGACCTAGGACATCTGATTAGAAAGTGCCTAAGGAGATTCAGTATAGACCTGCCAGCAAAGATTATTTATTTACTTCAAGAGTTAAGAGTGGCAGTTTGGGGATAGCAAGAGGAGATATCAGCTGTGTTGGCTTGGAGAAAGAGTGTAAACCGGCAGTGTAAACAAGAGCAGGGCATGTATGAGTAGTTGAGAACGGAGAATAAGAGTATGACTAGACAGAAAATAGTAGGGATGACAAGTTTTTTCGGGGCACAGTCTAAGTTGGTCCGGTGTCTGGAATGAGACTGGGGCCTAATAAAAAGGAACTCAAATGGGCTGTACCTTGTAGCAGTCCGAGGACAGGCCTGAATTCTGAGAAGCGAAAGTGGTAAAAGTATTGTCCAGTCCTTTTTAAGTTGGTGGCTGAGCTTGGTGTGGTGTGTTTTTAAAAGACCTTTAGTCCATTCTACTTTTCTTGAAGACGGAGGACCGTAAGGGATATAAAGGTTTCACTGAATACTAAGAGCCTGAAAAACTGCTTGGCTGATTTGACTAATAAAGGCTGGTCTGTTATCAGACTGTATAGAGGTGGGAAGGCTAAACTGAGGAATTATGTCTGACAGAAGGGAAGAAATGACTGTGGTGGCCTTCTCAGACCCTGTAGGAAAGGCCTTTACTTATTCAGTGAAAGTGTCTATTTAGACTTAAGAGGTATTTTAGTTTCCTGACTCAGGGCATGTTGAGTAAAGCTAATTTGCCAGTCCTGGGTTGGGGCAAATCCTCCAGCTTGATGTGTAGGGCAGGGAGGAGGGGGCCTGAATAATCCCTGAGGAGTAGTAGAATAGCAGATGGAACACTGAGAAGTTATTTCCTTGAGGATAGATTTCCACGATGGAAAGGAAATGAGAGGTTCTGAGAGGCGGGCTAGTGGCTTGTACTATAGCATAGCCTGCCTCTTTGCTGGTGTGTGGAGATTAGGCCTGGTGGAACTGCCATCAATAAATCAAGCGTGATCAGGGTGAGGAACAGGAAAGAAGGAAATATGGGGAAACGGGGTGAATATCAGGTGGATCAGAGAGATACAGTCATGGGGGTCAGGTGTGGTATCAGGAATAATGTGGGAGGCTAGATTGAAGTCTGGGCCAGGAACAATGGTAATTATGGGACTTAACAAAGAGTGAGTACAGCTGAAGGAGCCGGGGAGCAGAAAGTATATGCGTCAGGTATGAGGAAGAAAATAGATTTTGGAAGTTATGAGAAATGTAGAGAGTGAGTTGAGCATAGTTTGCGATTTTTAGGGCCTCTATAAGTATTAAAGCAGTGGCAGCCACTGCACGCAGACATGAGGGCTAGGCTAAAACAGTAAGGTCAAGTTGTTTGGACAGAAAGGTTACAGGGTGCGGTCCTGGCTCTTGTGTAAGAATTCTGACCGCACTAACCATGCCTAGGAAGGAAAGGAGTTGTTGTTTTGTAAGGGATTGAGGTTTGGGAGATTAATCGGACACGATCAGCAGGGAGAGCACGTGTGTTTTTATGAGAATTATGCTGAGATAGGTAACAGATGAGGATGAAATTTGGGCTTGACTGAAGTAATGGGGGCTGTCTGTGAAGCCTTGCGGCAGTACAGCCCAGGTAATTTGCTGAGCCTAATGCATGTCAGGGTCAGTCTAAGTGAAAGCAAAGAGAGGCTGGGATGAAGGGCGCAAAGGAATAGTAAAGAAAGCATGTTTGAGATCCAGAACAGAATAATGGGTAGTAGAGGGAGGTATTGAGGATAGGAGAGTATATGGGTTTGGCA
This sequence comes from Homo sapiens, assembly GCF_000001405.40. Classification (NCBI taxonomy): domain Eukaryota; kingdom Metazoa; phylum Chordata; class Mammalia; order Primates; family Hominidae; genus Homo; species Homo sapiens. The sequence goes on along the minus strand of NC_000006.12, from coordinate 153,924,666 downwards.
CCATGGGGTGGATAGGCAAAACAATTTGGTTGATAAGGCACAGATTCTGAACTAACTTGTAAGCCTTGTCTGGTTTTAGGACAGATAAAATGGGGGAATGGTAAGGAGAGTTTATAGGCTTTAAAAGGCCATGCTATAGCAGGCGAGTGATAACAGGCTTTAATCCTTTTAAAGCATGCTGTGGGATGGGATCTTGACATTGAGTGGGGTAAGGGTGATTAGGTTTTAATGAGATGGTAAGGGGTGCATGACTGGTCGCCAAGGAGGGAGTAGAGGTATCTTATACTTGTGGGTTAAGGTGGGGGGATACAAGAGGAGGACGCAAAGGAGGCTTTGGATTGGGAAGAAGGGTGGCAATGAGATATAGCTGTAGTCCAGGAATAGTCGGGGAAGCAGATAATTTAGTTAAAGTGTCTCAGCCTAATAAGGGAACTGGGCAGGTGGGGATAACTAAAAACGAGTGCTTAAAAGAGTATTGTCTAAGTTGGCACCAGAGTTGGGGAGTTTTAAGAGGTTTAGAAGCCTGGCCGTCAATACCCACAACAGTTATGGAGGCAAAGGAAACAGGCCCTTGAAAAGAAGGTAATGTGGAGTGGGTAGCCTCCGTATTGATTAAGAAGGGGACGGGCTTACCTTCCACTGTGAGAGTTACCTGAAGCTCGGCGTCCGTGATGGTCTAGGGGGCTTCCGAGGCGATCGGGCAGTGTCAGTCTTCAGCCGCTAAGCCGAGAAGATCTGGGAAGGAGTCAGTCAGAGAGCCTTGGGCCAGAGTTCCAGGGGCTCTGGGAGTGGCTGCCAGGTGAGTTGAACAGTCCGATTTTCAGTGGGGTCCCACACAGATGGGACGCGGCTTAGGAGGAATCCTGGGCTGCGGGCATTCCTTGGCCCGGTGGCCAGATTTCCGGCACGGGTAGCAAGCTCCTGGGGGAGGAGGTTCTGGAGGAACACCTGGCTGCTGCAGTTCAGGCGTTTGGAAGTTCTTGTGTGCTGAGGTTGTGGCTGGGGTTTGTCTCACAGTGGAGGCAAGGAATTGCAACTTTTTTCTGTTATTGTACACCTTGAAGGTGAGGTTAATTAAGTCCTGTTGTGGGGTTTGAGGGCCAGATTCCAATTTTTGGAGTTTTATTTAATGTCGGGAGCAGATTGGGTAATAAAATGTATTTTGAGAATAAGACGGCCTTTTGACCTTTTAGGGTCTAGGGCTGTAAAGCGTCTCAGGGTTGCTGCCAAAGGAGCCATGAACTGGGCTGGGTTTTTATATTTGATGAAAAAGAGCCTAAACGCTTCTGATTTGGGATAAAGAAAAAGGAGCATTAACCTTGACTATGCCTTTAGCTCCAGCCACCTTTTTAAGAGGAAATTGCTGGGCAGGTGGGGGAGGGCTAGTCATGGAATGAAACTGTAAACTGGACCAGGTGTGAGGAGGGGAGGTGATAAAAGGATTATAGGGTGGAGGAGCGGAGGCTGAGGAAGAATTGGGACCTAGCTCGGCCTGGCGAGGAGGGGAGAGGTCAGATGGGTCTGTAGAAAAGGAAGATTAGAAAGACTCAACGACTCTTGGGGTTGGGACTGAGGGGACAGGCGGGAGGGAAAGAAGGAAGATTTGGGACGAGTTGCATTGGGCACAGAGACTAGGAAGGGACTGATGTGTAAAAGAATGCCTGGACGTCAGGCACCTCAGACCGTTTGCCTATGTTACGACAAGAATTATTTAGATCTTGCAGGATGGAAAAATTCAAAGTGTCATTTTCTGGCTATTTGGAACTACTGTCGAGTTTGTATTGGGCTCAAGTGGCATTGCAGAAGAAAATAAAGCATTTAGGTTTTAGGTCAGGTGTGAGTTGAAGAGGTGGATCTTCAGTTACTTCAGGCCATCTGGATGTATACGTGCTAGTCACAGGGGATGTGATGGCTTGGCTTGGGCTCAGAGGCCTGACAGTGTAATCTTGCCTATGAATAGCTACTACTCTCTAGCCTGGGCAATATAGCAAGACCCCATCTCTAAAAAATTAAAATAATAAAATAACAATACTATGATATGCCTTCTTACTCCATCTAAACCTTTCTTTAGTTTAACTCAATTCACTATTGTTTACTATATAATAAGACGCTCTAACCCTCTTTCTCCCACAATTCTCTGCTTTTGAGAGAATTCCAGTCTGTGTGGAGCACATGCTTTCTTCAAATTTTCATGTTTTACTTTCAATCACAGTGTTCAGGGAATAATTCTAATGACTTTCATAGAATCAAAATGAGTGGCTGAGGCATGTGTAAGAAAAAATGCTAGGCCAGGCGTCGTGGCTCATGCCTGTAATCTCAACACTTTGGGAGGCCGAGGCAGGAGGATCACGAGGTCAGGAGATCAAGACCATCCTGGCTAACACGGTGAAACCCCATCTGTACTAAAAATACAAAAAACTAGCCAGGCCTTGTGGTGGGCGCCTGTAGTGTCAGCTACTCAGGAGGCTGAGGCAAGAGAATGGCATGAACCCGGGAGGCGGAGCTTGCAGTGAGCCAAGATCGTGCCACTGCACTCCAGCCTGGGCCACAGAGCGAGACTGTCTCAAAAAAAAAAAAAAAAGAAAAAAAAATTAGGTGAGAAATGCTTTTATACAACAATTTAAAAAGAGGAAAGAAAAGGGGAAAAAGGCCTTGAGTGCTGAGAGAGAGAGAAGAGAATAATTTTTGATAGTGGGAGTGGGCTTTTTTGGATGAGATTTATGTGCTTTGTGTCTTTGATTACATGAAATAATATAGCAGGCAGATAAAATAGGTTAAACAAAGGCAGGACCTTAGAATGCGATGGGCATATTCAGAGAAGAATGAAATCAGGTATGGTTACAGTGTGTGACTAAGTGTTTATTATTGTACATTTTATTTTTATTGTACATTTTATTATTGTGCAATTTATGGAACGTCCTATTTTCCTTTGAGTAGTTCTAGGAAGCTACTAGAGATTTCTTTGGTTAAGTTTTCCAACAATTTTTTTTTTAAATGCTAGACATGATACATCCATTTCAGTGGTTAGGTATGTAGGGTTAGTGTTAAACTTGCTTATCTTTTACCAAGAGCTTCATTGGCTCCAAAACCATTCCTTATAATCTTCCAACTCAACCTTCTGCGCTCTTTCAAAAATCACGCCTGCCACAAAAAATAAAATGAAAATAAAAAATAAAGATTACTTTTTATGCACAGATATTGTCACCATTACTAATAAGCTGTTTGTATCTTAGATAATTTACCATTCTCAAAAGAGGCAAATAGTTCTGGAGTATTTGGAGAGCAGCTTCATTTCTTAACTCATCCACAGTTCCTCTTTAGCTCCTGGGATCCAGTACTTTTCCTGTGGAATTTGATTGTGGTCTCCACTCTGGGAAGAAAGCCTTTCTTTAAGCAGGTACTCTTGGAGAGTTTGAAGTATTGATTTCTATGTACAAATATTTTCTGGAGGTGTAAAAAGAGGATCTCAGTTTTTAAAACAATAAATAGATATCTAGGTACATCCAGGAGTGAGGGCAATTTCAGGAAGTCTTGGTGAGAATTTTTTAAATATTTGATAGGAAACTGACTGCTGTCATTCATGAAAGTGTTCTAGGACTTCTATTGCACCTACATATGTTACTTGGTGACATAAATGTAAATATCATAAAAATGGGATTTAAAAATATTCATTTATTTAGATGTGATTATTGTTCAATGGATGAACTTGATACATATCAAATAGGCATTTAAAGGAAACCAAATATAAATATTAGATAATCGTGCAATGTAATAACAACAAACATAATAATAAAGCACTTTCTTATCAATACAGCAATTAGGCTGTTTAAGAAAACAAAACAAAATTGAAATTCAAAACCTGACAGTAAGCAGACAGCTAAAAGGCTGCAAAATTTAGAATCCCCATCATATATTCAGCACATAAAATGAACATGTAATCATTTGAACGGTATTTATCCTTTTAACTAAATTTGAATCTGCAGTTGTATCTCTGCCTGAGAAAAAAATGAAGATATTTTTTTGTTTCGGTTTCTATGGAAACCTATACTTTGATTACTGATGGGTTTCAAGTGTATCACTTTTAGTCCCATAGGTACAATGTTTGAAGAAAAAAATAGGAGCAGAAGGAGAGGCCTGCAATGTTATCAGGAACATTTCCTCAAATGCTAATTTTTTTCAGGCATCATAGATCTGAGAGATGCTGGAAGAAATTCCAAATTAAATTTTAGCTTCATTCAATAGTCACTGAGCGCTTGCTAGGTGCCAAACACTGTCCCAGTGGCTAGAGCAGCAAACAAAAAGATAAAATTTAATACCAAGCTTTAGAAATAACTTTACTAAGAAACTTAAGTCACATTTAGATGTTTGGGTTTTAGTTAACTGAATTTTGTTATTTTCATATTTGTATCCATGCAATGTCTTAATGCATGGATTTTTGATATGTTTTGCTGGAAATTATGTGTCCTTTCCTTGAAGAAACATTTTTAAAATGTCATTAACCTTTACTTAAACAAGTGGAGAATGTGAAATTTGTTTCTGCTTTCATTCTTTGTTCTTTTTCATTGGTTTCCAGACAAAGGCATTAGGGCAATAGTGAAGGCTTTGCAATGTTTTCAACAGTGTTATTTTCAGTATGACATGTTAAGCCAGTGCTTTTATTAATATAGGAACCTGGTATGACTAGCATAAAATAGCCAAAACTGCTACTCACTAGATGTATATCATATAAAATATGTTTATTATATAGCTAAATCCAAATACTCTCTTTAAAATTAGGTTATAAAATACAATCTATTTTATTCATTTAACATATTCAAAGAAATTATAATTTGGCAACACTGTATTTTTTTACTGGTAGTTTTCAATTTGAGTTAAAACCTATGTACATATTTACATAGTTCTTATAAATTCTTTAGATCTCAGTTTCATTGACACTTTATTGGAGAATTCTTCTGTAACCTCAATGAGGCTAAACATCCTTTTATTTGTGCAGTATCTGCACAACTATTATCTGTACCAATTTTACATTTATTTGTAAGTTTTATGCGTCTGCTTTCTCCATCATATTGAGTGAATGGATGAATGAATGGATAACCAGTTGCTTAACTGAAAGCATTAATCTCTTCCCTTCCCTTATCCCTGTTCATTAAATAAAGGTCATGATGATACAACAGTGTTTCCTTTGCCTCGTTCTGCTCACTTCTCCATTCTGTAATTGGAAAACTTTACTCAACGAGCTTTCAAAGATCAGACAATGCCAGTTAGAGTTTTAGGTGCATGTCACAAAGCATTCTTGGCTAAATGACAAAATTCACTGCAATGAATTATTTTAATATATTAATTTCCTAGTAGACCCTGAGATTTTTGAGTACAGAGGCTAAGTTGGTTTTTCTTTTTTCTCCACTACTCTCTTCCCAGCACTTTCCTTAGTGACCAACTCTTAATTGGTTGTATTGGTTAGAATGTTATCATTTGCAGTGACAGAAAACCAATAGTTCAAACTCTTGGAACATGAACAAGAATTTGTGGGATAATGTAATTATAAACATCTAGATATAGGGCAAGCTTGAGTCTCAGTTTGCCCAACCCTTAGTTCCATTTCTTTCAGCTATAATCTCATCTGTATATTGGCTTCATCCTCATCCTGACATCCCTTGTGTTAATAAAATGTCTGCAGTGGTTCCATCCTTTCCATGTGAATACCATGTGATTCCAGAAGAATATAAAACTTCGAACATAAAAAACTTTGAAAAAAAAAATAAAACTTTGAAATCCTGAGCTTCATTCTAATTAGAAAGAGGGGGGAAAAAGACAATGTACACATTCTTTATCAATTTCTACGGTCAGTAGGATTGTCATTCACTGTTGGCTTAGGTCCCTTTAATGTGTCCTAAGTAACAGTAGGGTGATTTTAGATCAATTAGATCTTTGCTCTGGAGCTAAGGATGTGGCCCTACTCACTTTAAATGGCCAACAGTCAATAGCAAAACTGTGAAATGGCTGGGGAAAAGGCAAATAAAAATTGCAAAATGGCCACTATTCACATGGAAGTGGGAGTGCCTAGAAATAAAATATTTACAAAACATATTTTCTAATCTAGGACCTATAAGAAAATAAAGTCATTCTCAGGAAGGTGAAAGGCATGTTGAAGACTGGAATTTGCTTATGTACATTTTCATGATTTTATGGATATTTGTGGATACTGGTGGGTTGAATAAGTGTTTTTATTTATATTTTGTGTGTGTGTGTGTCCTGATTGGGGTAAAAATGGAAGATTATACAGTTGATCCCTAAACAACACATGGGTTAGGGGTGCTGATACCCTGTGAAGTTGAAAAACCTGTATATAACTTTTGACTCCCCCAAAACTAAATTGCTAACAGCCTACTGTTGACTGAAAGCCTTACTGATAACATAAACAGTCAATTAAAACATTCTTTGTATATTATATGTATTATACACTATATTCTTACAATAAAGTAAGCTAGAGGAAAGAAACTATTATTAAGAAAGTCACAAGGAAGAAAAAACATATTTACTATTCATTAAGTGGAAGTGAATTATCATAAAGGCCTTCGTTCTTCTTATCTTCAAGTTAAGTAGCCTGAGAGGGAGGAGGAAGAGGAAGAGTTGATCTTGCTGTATTAGGCGTGGCAGAGGCAAGCAGAAAAAAAAATCCACCTATAAGTGTTCAAAACTGTGTTCTTCAAACGTCAACTGTACAATCATAGGTATTTTAGAAATTCTAGCTTCATTGACTATTATTCTATAACTAAATGAAAGTAAATACCACTTTAAATTGTTGTGGGTTGTAAAAAGAGCCTGAGTTGAACCTAAGTATTCCTGCACAAATGTTGGCAGCAAGTTCAAATATATATTTACCTATGTATGTTTCACCAGGCTGTGACAAATTGCTTTAAAATTATATTTTTAGAAAGTAATAATTCCTTCCACATGTATGTTAATTGATTATAATCATTATGTAATCACAATAAATACATCTTTGGCTAATTCAAGAAGAGATAAAGGGAAACACAACAACGAGGAAAAAGTCAGCAGAGAGTATTTCAGGGGGTTTGGGGTTGCTGAAGGCATAAGAGGTTCTGGCCATGAAAAACTAGGAAAGATAGAAAAATAAAGAGTGAAAAAGATTTGAGAAACTGCAGGTCATAAGGCGAAAACATTTACTCAGATGTCCATGTTAATGCAGTTGTACCTGGCCATGCGATAGTAGATGACCAGATGCCGGAAAATAATACAGACACTTGAGTGAGACCTGTGAAAGAAGCCTCAGTGGGGAGAAGAGTGATATCACACCATTAGATAGAAGTGCCCTGGGTATATACCCAAGGGATTATAAATCATTCTACTATAAAGACACATGTACACATATGTTTATTGCAGCTCTATTTAGATAGCAAAGACTTAGAACCAACACAAATGCTCATCAATGATAGACTGGATAAAGAAAATGTGGCACATATACACCATGGAATACTATGAAGCCATAAAAAAGAATGAGTTCATGGCCTTTGCAGGGACGTGGATGAAGCTGGAAACCATCATTCTCAGCAGACAAACACAGGAGCAGAAAACCAAAAACCACATGTTCTCACTCATAAGTGGGAGTTGAACAATGAAGGCCTGTTGGGGGATGCGGGGCAAGGGAAAGGAGAGCATTAGGACAAATACCTAATGCATGTGGGGCATAAAACCTAGATGATGGGTTGATAGGTACAGGAAACCACCATGGCACATGTATACCTATGTAACAAACCTGCACATTCTGCACTTGTATCCCAGAACTTAAAGTAAAATAAAAAAGAAGTGCCCAAATGAATAAGGTCTAAGTAAAACTATTTTTCTGGTATAGGTAAGTCCCAACTTGCTACATAATCTATGTACATTACTTGCCAATTGTATGTATTGTATATCCTCATTTATTTCCCATCTTTAGGGAAGTGGTTTTGTTTTCATCAATGATTGTACAATTGCTCTAATTACAGAGATTGATACAGGGAGCAAGTGGATGATCTATTCCTAAAACCACAGGGCTGAGCCCTCATCCCTCCAAGGTCAGCAATAAAAGGAGAGAGCTGCCCGTGAGGTTGTCACTTTAGCACTGTAGGGGGCTACAAAGGAAATATGATTTTTTTTTTTACCTTTAGGCTGAAGAGTCTTAAGGGTGGTGCCAGAGGAAATTCTGACAGTGTATCAGTGTATAGTGGAGTAAGCTATGTTCAGAAGCTGCAGTGGGTAAACTGGTCTTAAGTCAAAATCAAGTTGGGCAAGCTTCCCAAACTCCCTTCACCTCATTTTCTTCAATTGTAAAATAGGGATTATGATACATCTTATATGATCAGTTGTGAGATTTAAATAAGATCAGATACACAGCATACCTAACACAAAGTAAGGGCTTAAAATTGGAAGTAATTTGTGTAATAGTACAAAAGTAGACAATGAAGAACTAACTCACTGATGAATTTGAAAAATATTTAAATTAGTGTAATATTAGAATCAACAGAATTGTGTCATTTCCTACATATTTCAATGGGAAAAAAAACCTTTCTTTGTTTTTGTTATGATTGTAGTCATTTACTCCTCTTTTCCATGATTAGATTTCATTATTCAATTTAAAAAATTAGTCCTAGAACATAGTTCTGGTCCTGCCATTGACTGAGTGTGTGAACTAGAGTAAGTCACCTAAACTTTATGCATTTCTTTCCTCATCTATAGAATAATGGGTCAAACTAGGTAATCACTAAGATCTCTTTCAGCTATAATATTCTATGTGCCTTTTTCCTCTTTGTTCTCATTACTAACCTATGAGAAATGACATAGGTAATCTTAGGCAAACGATACACCATTTTCTCTGTGATAGATTCCTGTTAAAAACAGGCCGGTAGTTTGATTAAAATTTATGAGCATTAATTCTGTTTATCTTTAGATCTGAGCTAGCTTCTCGTGCTTTTGGGCAATGGGATTAGAGATTATTTTCACGACTGACTGAAAATAGAGTTACCAGTGGTTCCTAGGAAAAATCATTTCCATTTCTATGATTTTATGATACGTGCCTATGTAGGAAATGGCAAACTCTCTGGTATCTGAAAAATCAATAAAATGAAAAAATTCTTGTGGAATTCATAATACAAATTCCAAGAAGCTCATGACTTTAAGGGAAAAAAAATGATTCAGGAAGGATAGAATCATAGGGAAACCCAGGAAAACATTTTAGAAAATGTCGTGCCCTCTGGATCATTTATTCTCCAAAACTGATCCTTTTTACTGATGGTACAAGACATCTAAATACACTGACACTGAAATTCCTGGTGTGGGGAAAACAAAACCAACAAAATAAGAGCAAGGATGAATTGTTCAAGAAAAGTACAGGCGTTAGAACAAAAACCAGACATTTAGGTGGACTGGATGATAACATGTGTACATATGGATTTCTGACCTGGTGATTTACACTGAAATAAAGCACAACAGCTTGTCTTCCTTGGCGAGGAGAAACAGTGAGGTTATTGGTAGCTCTATGATGTTAAGAAAGTTTCTCAGTCTCTCTGAGCCTCAGTTTTCTGATCTGCCTCCAGGCTTTCTTGTGTGTATAGCATGAAACGACATAGAGCCTTTAGCAGAGAACCCCAAACGATCTGTATCAGATTTGCAGCAATCTTGTCCTACCATCTATTCTAGCATCTGCCTGATCGCAGAAGCCATCCAAGTCCTGGCCCTGCCCCTAGTCCTTGCCCAGGAGCCAAGTGAGGTGACAGTACAAACCGCCTTGTCACTTTGTTTAGCTTTATAAGGAGGTTGAGGCAGGTGGATCACGAGGTCAAGAAATCGAGACCATCCTGGCCAACATGGTGAAACCCCGTCTCTACTAAAAACACAAAAATTAGCTGAGTGTGGTGTCACGCCCCTGTAGTCCCAGCTACTTGGGAGGCTGAGACAGGGGAATCGCTTGAACATGGAAGGCAGAGGTTGCAGTGAGCCAAGATTAAGCCACTGCACTCCAGCCTGGTGAAAGAGTGAGATTCCATCTCAAAAAAAAAGAAAAGAAAAGAAAAGGAAAGAAAGAGAGAGAGAGAGAGAGAGAGAGAGAGAGAGAGAGAGAGAGAGAGAGAGAGAGAGGGAGAGAGAGAGAGAGAGAGAGAGAGAGAGAGAGAAAGAAAGAAAGAAAGAAAGAAAGAAAGAAAGAAAGAAAGAAAGAAAGAAAGAGGATTGCTTGGAGAATCTTTGCTTCCATGTAAACATTCATCATTACCTAATGGTGACTTGGAATTGCCTCCTACATGGCTTGTCTCCCCTTGCCTCTCTTGCCTCTCTTCCCCCATTTGCTTTCCCCTCTCCTCCCCTCTCCTCCCCTCCCCTGTGCCCTTTCCACTTTGATCCCTTCCCCCATCCCCACTCTTTCTCTCTCTCCCTTTCCCTCTCATTCTTCTACTGCCTCAATCTTCAGCTCCTACTGTACTTATAGTCCAGATCTTATAAAGATTATTCAATTACTGTTTAAGTCCTCTTGATTTATACAGCACTACATTACTTATGTATCTTTTATTGAATAATTCATGAGATTTAAAAAATTCTTGAAAATGGTTTTTCTTCATAATCACTTTTTAAATTGTCTCATAGATTTCTCAGAAATGAAATAAAAGTTTATTACTAAATATCCTATCTCTCTTCTTCTCATCCATACATGAAAAGATGGATCACATTTATTTTGTTATGGGCATACTTGGTTTCATTAACCTAGTAAGCAGATGTCACAGAAAACAGCATGGTAATATATGTGTGGATAACTGTTTATGGAAAATGTGTGGCTCTTTAGTGCCAGTGTTCACTAGTCAGGATACAGGTATCAAAGTCTAAAACTATCAAAGAGAGTATTAAAATTTGGCTATATTATATACATGCTTTTTTTTTTTTGAGCCCATGTCTTGCTTTGTTGCCTAGGCTGGAGTGCAGTGGCATAATCTCAGCTCACTGCAACCTCTGCCTCCTGGGTTCAAGTGATTCTCATGTCTCAGTCTCCCAAGTAGCTGGGACCACAGATGCATGCCACCAGATTCAGCTAATTTTTTCTATTTTTAATAGAGACAGGGTATCACCACGTTGACCAGGCTGGTCTTGAACTCCTGGCCTCAAGTGATCCACTGGCCTCGGCCACCCAAAGTGCTGGGATTACAGACGTGAGCCACCATGCCCAGCCTATACAGAAAAAAATCATAAATGATGTAGGTTACAATAATTTCATGGAAATTCCACAAAATTTGTAAGATTTGAGCCATAACATGCAAAGGAAGGCAATGATTTGCATTGTAGTAAACTATTTCTTTATTTCTCTTATTGTAGACTGTAAGATTGCCTAGAACTAACTTTTGTTAACTGTACTCAGAGATGGTACTTCTGTCTGAGAAAAATGAACTATGACAGCACTGTCAGAGGGACCTCATGGTTTACAAGACTTATACCATTTGCCTCTAGATATCTTGGGGAAGGTTTACACCACGTTGGATTCAGGCTTCCAACAATGATGTTGAAGGATAAAGAGTTATATCTCCAGTGGGAGCCTGAGAGTCTTGGCAGGGAACAAAAGGCTTCGCAGAACCAAATAATCTCTGGGCTATGTGCAAATTCTGGTGGACTTGGGACCTGAGGTACTGGAGGAGTGAGAGGTCAAGACAGAAAGGGCCTGTGATGGCTAATACTGTTTGTCAACTTGATTGGATTGAAGGATACAAAGTATTGATCCTGGGTATATATATCCAGCAATATACCTGTACTGTCCTTTCTCGGGGGTATATCAACTCTCTGGCTTTGTATCATAATCTTATTCGCTTTTCACTTCCACAAGGTATCACCCTGGTCATTACATTAATGACATTATGCTAATTGGATCCAGTGAGCAAGAAGTAGCAAACACACTGGACTTATTGGTGAGACATTTGCGTGCCAGAGGATGGGAAATAAATCTGACTAAAATTCAGGGATCTTCTACCTCAGTAATATTTCCAGGAGTCCAGTGGTGGGGGGCCTGTCAAGATATTCTTTCTAAGGTGAGGGATAAGTTGCTGTATTTGGCCCCTCCTACAACTAAGAAAGAGGCACAACGCCTAGCGGGCCTATTTGGATTTTGGAAGTAACACATGCCTCATGTGGGTGTGTTACTCCAGCCCGTTTATCAAGCGACCTGAAAGGCTTCCAGTTTTGAGTAGGGTCCAGAACAGGAGAAGGCTCTGCAACAGGTCCAGGCTGCTATGCAAGTTGCTCTGCCACTTGGGCCATATGACTCAGCAGATTCAATGGTGCTTGAGGTGTCAGTGGCAGATAGGGATACTGTTTGGAGCCTTTGGCAGGCCCCTATAGGTGAATCACAGCAGAGACCTCTAGGAGTTTTAAGCAAGGCTCTGCCATCTTCTGCAGGCAACTACTCTCCTTTTGAGAGACAGCTCTTGGCCTGTTACCAGGCTTTGGTGGAAACTGAACATTTGACTATGGGTCATCAAGTCACCATGGAACCTGAGCTGCCTATCATAACCAATCTAGCCATAAAGTGGGTCATGCACAGCAGCATTCTATCATCAAATGGAAGTGGTGTATACATGATCAGGCTCGAGCAGGTCCTGAAGGCACAAGTAAGTTACATGAGGAAGTGGCTCAAATGCCCATGGTCTCCATGCCTGCCACCCTGCCTTCTCTCCCCCAGCCTGCACTGATGGCCTCATGGAGAATTCCCTGGAGCAGCTGACAGAGGAAGAGAAGACTAGGGCCTGATTCACAGATGGTTCTGCATGAATGGCCTTTTGAAGTCACAATTACAATGCCAACTAGGTGACAACACTTTGCAGGGCTAGGGCAAAGTTCTCCAGAAGGCGTTGTATGCTCTGAATCAGCATCCAATATATGGTACTGTTTCTCTCACAGCCAGGATTCATGGGTCCAGGAATCAAGGGGTGGAAGTGGAAGTGGCAGCACTTACCATCACCCCTAGTGGCCCACTAGCAAAATGTTTGCTTCCTGTTCCCACGACATTAAGTTCTGCTGGCCTAGAGGTCTTAGTTCAAGAGGGAAGAACGCTGCCACCAGGAGACACAACGATGATTTCATTAAACTGGAAGTTAAGATTGCCACGTGGACTTTTTGGGCTCCTCCTACCTTTAATTCAACAGGCTAAGAAGGGAGTTACATTGTTGGCTGGGGTGATTGACCCAGACTATCAAGATGAAATCAATCTACTACTCCACAATGGAGGTATGGAAAAGTATGCATTGAATACAGGAGATCCATTAGGGTGCCTCTCAGTATTACCATGCCCTGTGATTAAGGTCAATGGAAAACGACAACAGATCAATCCAAGCAGGACTACAAATGGCTCAGACCCCTCAGGAATGAAGGTTTGGGTCACTCCACCAGGAAAAAAACCATGACCTGCCAAGGTGCTTTCTGAAGGCAAAGGGAATACTGAATGGGTGGTGGAAGGTAGAACCAGCTAGGACCGCGTGACCAGTTACAGAAACGGGGACTGTAATTGTCATGAGCAATTTTTCCTTCTTGTGCTAAAAACATGCTTGTGCTTGTATACACTTGTATTAAGAAAATATCATTATTTTGTTTCCTTTTCCTTTATCATGTGACATGAGATTGATTGACTCTATATCAGCATTTAAGTATTGTTAACCTTACGTAATAGTATTTGGATTGGTGAGTGGTGCGTTTCCGGTTGTATGAAGGACAGTAGTATTATGTTAGGCATAATTATGACCTTATTATTGCCTTAATTTGAAGACTGTGTGATCTTAGGAGATGTATATGGGTTCAAGTTGACAAGGGGTTGACTTCTGATGGTTAACACTGAGTGTCAACTTGATTGAGTTGAAGGATACAAAGTATTTCTCCTGGATGTGTCTATGAGGGTGTTGCCAAAAGAGATTAACATTTGAGTCAGTGGGCTGGGCAAGGCAGATCCACTTTAACCTGGTGGGCACCATCTAATCAGCTGCCAGAGAATATAAAGCAGGCAGAAAAATGTGAAGAGGAGACAGACTGGCCTAGCCTCCCAGCCCACATCTTTCTCCTGTGCTGGTTGCTTCCTGCCCTTGAACACTGAACTCCAAGTTCTTCAGTTTTGGGACTTGGACTCACTCTCCTTTCTCCTCAGCCTGCAGACAGCCTATTGTGGGACCTTGTGATCATGTAAGATAATACTTAATAAGCTCCCCTCTATCTATCTATCAATCAATCAATCTATCTATCTATCTATCTAGCTATCTATCTATCTATCTATCTATCATCTATCTAGTCTATCCTATTAGTTCTGTCTCACCCTAATACAGGGCCCTTTCTTGTTAAATTGCTTCCGTAAGCATTAGAGAAGCTTCTTTTTGAAGTTTCATGTAGTTATATAATCTATAATCTTAAAAAAATGTTGTGGGTACATAGTAGGTGTATATATTTATGAAGTACATGAGATATTTTGATATAGGCATGCAAAGTGTAATAATTACATCACAGTTAATAGAGTATCCTCTCCCTCAAGCATTTATCCTTTGTGTTACAAACAATCCAATTATGCTCTTTTTGTTATTTTAAAATGCACAATTAAATTATGATTGACTATAGTCACCCTGTCTTATTCATTCTATTGTTTTTGAACCCATTAGCCATTTCTACTTCCTTGCTGGTCCCACACTACCCTTCCCAGCCTCTGGTAACCATCCTTCTACCCTCCATCTCCATGAGTTCGATTGTTTTAATTTTTAGCTCCCACAAGTATGTGAGAATATGTAAAGTTTGTCTTTCCATGCCTGATTTATTTCACTTGGCATAACAACATCCAGTTCCATCCATGTTTTTGCAAATAACAGAATCTCATTTTTTTAATGACAGACTAGTACTCCACTGTGTGTATGTGTATATATATACAAATATTTACATATACACACATATATATACACATATATAACATGTTATATATATGTGTGTGTGTGTATATATATATGTGTGTGTATATATATAAAACTTTTTTAAATCCATTCATCTGTTGATGGACACTTAGGTTGTTTCCAAATCTTAGCTATTGTGAACAGTGCTGCAACAAATATGAGGAAGCAGATATTCCTTTGGTATACTATACTGATTACCTTTCTTTTGGGTCTACAACCCGCAGTGGGATTCCTGGTCATATAGTAGCTCTATTTCTAGGTTTTTGAAAAACTTCCAAACTATTCTCCATAGTGGTTGTACTAATTTACATTTCCACCAACAGTATATGAGTGTTCCTTTTTCTCCACATCCTTGCTAGCAACTATTTTTGCCTGTCTTTTAGATAAAAGCCACTAAACTGGGGTGAGATGGTATTTCAGTGTAGTTTTTATTCACATTTTTCCAATGATCAGTGACGTTGAGCACCCTGTTTATTATTTGTGTATCTTCTTTTGAGAAATATCTATTCAGATCTTTTGCCTGTTTTTAAAATTGGATTATTAGATTTTTTTTCCTGTAGAGTTGCTTGAGCTCCCTATATATTCTGGTTATCAATCCCTTGTCAGATGGTTAGTGTATTAGTCTGTTTTCATGCTAGTAATAAAGACAAACCCAAGACTGGGAAGAAAAAGAGGTTTAATTGGACTCACAGTTCCACATGGCTGGGGAGGCCCCATAATCATGGTGGGAGGAGAAAGGCACTTCTTAAATGGCAGGGGCAAGAGAAAATGAGGAAGATGCAAAAGTGGAAACCCCTGATAAAACCATCAGATCTCATGAGACTTACTCACTACCAAGAGAACAGTATGGGAAAACTGCCCCCATGATTCAGATTATCTCCCACAGGGTCCCTCCCACAACATGTGGGAATTATGGGAGTACAATTCAAGGTGAGATCTGTTGGGGGACAATGAGTCAAACCATGTCATCCTGCCCTTGGCCCCTCCAAATCTCATGTCCTCACATTTCAAAACCAATCATGCCTTCCCAACAGTCCCCAAAAGTCTGAACTCATTTCGGTATTAACCCAAAAGACCACAGTCCAAAGTCTTATTTGAGACAAAGCAAGTCTCTTCCACCTGTGAGCCTGTAAAATCAAAAGCAAGACAGTTACTTCCTAGATACAATGGGAGTACAGGTATTGGGTAAATACAGCCATTACAAATGGTAGAAATTGGCCAAACCAAAGGGTTACAGAGCTCATGCAAGTCCAAACCAGTGGGGCAGTCAAATTTTAAAGCTCCAAAATGATCTCCTTCGACTCCAGGTCTCACATCCAGATGCAAGAGGTGGGTTCCCATAGTCTTAGGCAGCTCTACCCCTGTGGCTTTGCAGCCTCCCTCCCAGCTTCTTTCAGAGGCTGGTGTTGAGTGTCTGCAGCTTTTGCAGGCACACAGTGCAAGCTGTTAGTGGTGGATCTACCATTCTGGGGTCTAGAGGGCAGTGGCCCTCTTCTCACAGCTCCACTAGGTGATGCCCCAGTAGGGACTCTGTGTGGGGTCTCTGACCCCACATTTCCCTTCTGCACTGCCCTAGCAGAGGTTCTCTGTGAGGGCCCTGCTGCTGCAGCAAACTTTTGCCTGGGAATCCAGGCATTTCCATGAGTCTTCTGAAATCTAGGCAGAGGTTCCCAAACCTCAATTCTTGACTTCTGTGTACCTGCAGGCTCAACACCATGTGGAAGCTTCCAAGGCTTGGGACTTGCACCGTTTGAAGCCACAGCCTCAGATCTACATTGGCCCCTTTAAACCACAGCTGGAGCAGCTGGGATGCAGGGCACCGAGTCCCTAGACTGCACACAGCAAGGGAACCCTGGCCCTGGCCCATGAAACCACTTTTTCCTCCTGGGTCTCTGGGCCTGTGATGGGAGGGATGCCATGAAGGTCTCTGACATGGCCTGGAGGCATTTTCCCCATGGTCTCAGGGGGAATAACATTTGGCTACTTGCTACTTATGCAAATTTCTGCAGCCAGCTTGAATTTCTCCCCAGAAAATGGGTTTTTCTTTTCTATTGCATAGTCAGGCTGCAAATTTTCCAAATTTTTATGCTCTGCTTCCCTTATAAAACTGAATGCCTTTAACAGCACCCAAGCCACATTTTGAACACTTTGCTGCTTAGAAATTTCTTCTGCCAGATGCCGTAAATCATCTCTCTCAAGTTTAAAGTTCCACAAATCTCCAGGCAAAATGCTGCTAGTCTCTTTGCTAAAATATAACAAGAGTCACCTTTGCTCCAGTTCCCAAAAAGTTCTTTATCTCCATCTGAGACCACCTCAGCCTCTACCTTATTGTTCATATCACTATCAGCATTTTCAGCAAAGCCATTCAACAAGTCTGCAGGAAGTTTTAAACTTTCCTGCATTCTCTTATCTTCCTCTGAGCCCTCCGAACTGTTCCAACCTCTGCCTGTTACCCAGTTCCAAAGTCGCTTCCACATTTTAGGGTACCTTTTCAGCAATGGCCCACTCTATTGGTACCAATTTACTGTATTAGTCCATTTTCATGCTACTGATAAAAACATACCCAAGACTGGGAAGAAAAAGAGGTTTAATTGGACTTAACAGTTCTACATGGCTGGGGAGGCATTCAGAATCAGACTCTGGGGAGGCATCAGAATCATGAAGGTGAAAGGCACTTCTTATATGGCAGTGGCAAGAGAAAATGAGAAAGATGCAAAAGTGGAAACCCCTGAAAAAACCATCAGATCTCATTAGACTTATTCACTACCAGGAGAAGAGTATGGAGAACACTGCCCTCATGATTCAAATTATCGCACACTAGGCCCTTCCCACAACATGTGGGAATTATGGGAGTACAATTCAAAAGGAGATTTGGGTGGGGACACAGAGCCAAACCATATCAGGTAGTTTGCCAATATTTTCTCCCATTGTGTGGGTTCTCCCATTCTCTTCACTTTGTTGGTTGTATCCTTTACTGTGCAGAAGCTTTTTAGCTTGATGTGATCCATTTGTCCATTTTTGCTTTGACTGTCTGTGCTTGTGATGTATTACTCAAGAAATTTTTGCCTAGACCAAACTGCTGGAGATTTTCCCCAGTGTTTTCTTTTAGTAGTTCGTAGTTTGAGGTCTTAGATTTAAGGATTAATCTATTTTGATTTGATTTTTGTAGATGTTGAAAACTAGGGGTCTAGTTTCATTATTCTGCAGATGGATTTACAGTGTTCCCCGTGCCATATTTGAAGAGATTGTGTTTCTCAGTGTGTGTTCATGGCACATTTATCAAAAATGAGTTTATTTTAGCTGTATGAATTCGTTGGCCTGTAGTTTTGTTTTTTAAAGGTATCTTTGTCTGGTTTTGGTATCAGGGTTATCCTGGCCTCACAGAATGAGTTTGGAAGTATTCCCTCCTCCTTTACTTTTGGAATAGTTTGAGTAGGATCGGGATTAGTTCTTCTTTAAATGTATGGTAGAATTCAGCAGTGAAGCCATCAGGTCCCAGGCTTTTCCTTGCTGGGGGAATTTATGCTATTGCTTTGATCTTGTTACTTATCATTGGTGTGTTTATGTTTTGAATTTCTTCATGGTTCAATCTTGGTATATTGTATATGCCTAGAAATTTATCTACATCCTCTGAATCTTCCAATTTATTGGCATATAGTCACTCATAGTAGCCACTAATTATCCTTTAAATTTCTGTGTTATCAGTTGTAATGTCACCTTTTTCATTTCTGATTTTTAAAATTTGGGTCTTGTCTCTTATTTTTTTTAACATTTATTTTGGGTTTGAGGGTACATGTGAAAGTTTTTTACATAGTTCATCTCGTGCCACAGTGGTTTGTTGTACAGATTATTTCATCACCTAGGCATTAAGCCCAGTATCCAATAGTTATCTTTTCTTCTCCTCTCCCTCCTCCCACTC
This sequence comes from Homo sapiens, assembly GCF_000001405.40. NCBI lineage: Eukaryota > Metazoa > Chordata > Mammalia > Primates > Hominidae > Homo > Homo sapiens. Next base: position 153,905,802 of record NC_000006.12, on the reverse strand, counting down.
TCCTCCCTCAAGTACACCCCAGGGTCTGTTGTTTCCTTCTTTGTTTTCATAAGTTCTCATCATTTAACTCCCATTTATAAGTAAGAACATGTGATATTTGGTTTTCTGTTCCTACATTGGTTTTCTGAGAATAATGACTTCCAGCTCCATCCATCTTCCCCCAAAAGATATAATCTTTTTTTATGGCTGCATAATATTCTGTGATATATATGTACCATATTTTCTTTATTCAATCTGTTATTGATGGGCATTTAGGTTGATTCCATGTCTTTGCCATTGTGAACAGTGCTTCAATGAACAATCACGTGCATGTGTCTTTATGGAAGAAAAGCTTTGTCAATTTTATCTGTTTAAAAACACAACTTTTTGTTTTGTTGATCTTTTATCTGGTTTTCTTCTTTTAACTTCGTTTGTTTCTGTTCTGAATTTTATTTCTTTTCTTTTTTCTATAATTTTGGGTTTGGTTTGCTCTTGCTTTCCCAGTTCTTTCAGATGCATCATTAGGTTATTTATTTGAAGGTTTTCTTCTTTCTTGATGTAAGCACTTATAGCTGTAAATTTTCCTCTTAGTACTGCTTTTGCTGTATTCCACAGGTTCTGGTTTGTTGTCTTTCCATTATCATTCGTTTCAAGAAATTTTTCAATTTCTTTATTTACCCATTGGTTATCCAGGAACAGATACACATGTGTTTGTATAGTTTCCAAAATTCCTCTTGTTATTGATTTCTAGTTGTATTCCATTGTGGTCAGAGAAGATACTTGATACTATTTCATTTTTTTGAATGTTTTAAGACTTGTTTTATGACCTAAAATATGGTCTATCCTTGAAAATGATCCATGTGCTGAGGAAAAAAATGTGTGTTCTGCAACCGTTGGATGAAATGTTCTGTAAATATCTGTTAGGTTCATTTGTTCTATATTGCAGACTAAGTAGGATGTTTCTTTGTTGATTTTCTATCTGGAAGATCTGTCTAATGCTGAAAGTAGGGTGTTAAAGTCTGCAGCTATTATTTTATTGAGATCTACCTCTGTCTTTTTTTTTTTTTTTTTTTTTTGAGATGGAGTCTCGCTCTGTCACCCAGGCTGGAGTGCAGTGGCGCGATCTCGGCTCACTGCAAGCTCCGCCTCCCGGGTTCACGCCATTCTCCTGCCTCAGCCTCCCAAGCAGCTGGGACTACAGGCGCCAGCCACCACACCCAGCTAATTTTTTTGTATTTTTAGTAGAGACGGGGTTTCACTGTGTTAGCCAGGATGGTCTCGATCTCCTGACCTTGTGATCCGCCTGCCTCGGCCTCCCAAAGTGCTGAGATTACAAGTGTGAGCCACCACTCCCGACCTCTCTGTCTTTAGCTCTAATAATATTTGCTTTATATATCTGGGTGCTTCAGCATTGGGTGCATATATATTTATATTTTTATATCCTTTTCCTGAATTTTCCCATTTATCATTATATAATGGCCTTCTTTGTCTCTTCTTACAGTTTTTGTCTTGAAATCTATTTTGTTTGATATAAGTATAGCTATTCCTGGTATTTTTTGGTTTTCATTGGCATGAAATATCTTTTTCCATGCTTTTATTTTTAGTGTACATGTATCTTTATAGGTGAAGCATGTTTGTGTGTGGGGGTGGGTGGGGGCAACAGATCATTGGGTCTTGCTTTTTTACTGATTCAGTCATTGCACATCTTTTGATTAGAAAGTTTGGTCCATTTACATTCAATGTTATTAATAATTAAGGACTTACTCCTGCCATTTTGTTATTTGTCTTCTGGTTATTCTGGGGTCTTCTCTTCCTTCTTTCCTTTCTTCCTGTCTTCTTTTGGTGAAGGTGATTTTCTCTGGTGGTATGATTTAATTTCCTGCTTTTTATTTTTTGGTGCATTTGTTGTACATGTTTTGATTTGAAGTTTCCATGAGGCTTGCACATACTATCCTATAACTCATTATTTGAAATTGATGTCAACTTAACACTAACTGCATAGAGAAACATACAGACACTAAAAAAAAAAAAAACTAAGAGTGACTCTAATTTTGTTTCTCTGCTTTATAATTTTTTTTTCTTTTAATGTCTTATTCTACTGAGTCTTGAAAGTCATGGTAGTTATTATTTTTGATTGGTTCATTGTTCAGTCTTCTTGCTTAAGGTAAGAGTAGTTTACATACCACAGTTACAGTGTTATAATATTTTGTATTTTTCTGTGTACTTACTATTACCAGTGAGTTTTTTTTTTTTTTTACCCTCACATGATTTCTTCTTGCTCATTAACATCGTTTTCTTTCAGATCAAAGTATTCCCTTTAGCATTTCTTGTAGTACATGTCTGGTGTTGATAAAATCCCTCAGCTTTTGTCTGTCTGAAAAGGTCTTTATTTCTCCTCATGCTTAAAGGTTATTTTCACTGGATAATCTATTCTGGGATAAAAGTTTTTTGCCTCAGCACTTTAAATATGTCATGCCACTCTCTCCTGGCCTGTAAAGTCTCCTCTGAAAAGCCTGCTGGCAGGCATATTGGTGCTCCATTAGATGTTATTTGTTTCTTTTATCTTGCTGCTTTTAAGATCCTTTCTTTATCCTTAAACTTTTGGAGTTTGATTATTAAATGCCTTGAGGTAGTCGTCTTTGGGTTCAATCTGTTTGGTGTTCTATAGCCTTCTTGTACTTGAATACTAATATTGTTCTCTAGGTTTGGGACGTTCTCTGTTATGATTGCTTTGAACAAATTTTCTACTGCCATCTCTTTCTCTATGTCCTCTTTAAGACCAATAACTCTTAGATTTTACCTTTTGAGGCTATTTTCTAGATGCTGTAGGCATGCTTTATTTCCTTTTATTCTTTTTTTTCTCCTCTGTCCATAAATTTTCTCCTCTGACCGTGTCTTCAAACTCACTAATTCTTTCTTCTCCTTGATCAATTTTGCTATTGAGAGACTATGATGCATTCTTTTGTATGTCAATTGCATTTTTCAACTCTAGAATTTCTGCTTGGTTCTTTTAAATTATTTCAAACTTTTAAAAAATTTATCTCATAGTATTCAGAATTCCTTCTCTGTACTATTTTGAATTTCTTTGAATTTCCTTAAAACAGCTATTTTGAATTCTCTGTCTGGAAGGACACATATCTCTGTTTTTCCAGATTGGTCCTTGGTGCCTTATTTAGTTTGTTTGTTGAGGTCATTTTTTTCCTGTATAGTCTTAACACTTACGGAGGTTTGTCATTTTCTGGGTATTGAAGAGTTAGATATTTATTGTAAGCACTGTCTGGGCTTGTTTGTGTCTATCTTTCTTGTGAAGGCTTTGCAGGTATTTCAAGGGACTTGAGCATCAATTCTAATAATGCAGTGGTTCTTGTAGACTCATAGAGATACCACCTTAGTGGTTTGGGATAAGATCTAGGAGCATTCTCAGGATTACCAGGCAGAGACTCTTGTTCTCTTCTATTACTTTTTCCCAAATAAAAAAGAATCTCTGTGCTGATCCACCTAGAGCTGCACATGGGGTGACATAGGCACACCTGTAGCCACCACCAGTGGGACCACACTGAGTCAGATCTGAAGCCAGCACAGCCCTGGGTCTCACTCAAGGCCCGCTGTAACCATTATCTGTTGATAGTCTGTGTTCACTCATGGCCCTAGGGCTCTACAGTCAGCATGTGAGGTAGCCAGCCTGGTTGTGTCCTTCCCTTCAGGGCGGTGAGTTCCCTCAAGCCCCAGACAGGTACAGAGGTATTATCTGGGATCCAGGAGCTAGAGAAAAAAACCTTAGCTATCTACCTGGGTGCTCTATTCTACTGTGGTAAGCTTGCACTGACACATCAAGACAAAGTCCTTCTTGCTCTTCTCTCCCCTTTCCACAGGAAGAGCAGCATCTCCTAGTGACCATCACCACCACCACTCCATGGGGAATTTTGCCAGGCCACCGTCCATGTTCACTTAAAGCCCAAGCACTCTTCAGTGAGATTGTGGTGAATGCTGCCAGGCCTGGGTCTCATCCTTCAGGACAGTGGGCTCCTTTCTTGCCCAGGGCAAGTCCAAAAATGCTGTCCAAGAACCTAGACCTGGATGCAGTGATCCTGAGAGCCTGCTTGGTGCTCTATCCCTCTGTGGCTGAGCTGGCATCTAAGATGCAAGACGAAGTCCCCTTTACTTTCCCCTTTGCTTTTCTGAAGCAATGGGAGTCACCTCATAGCCATCACAGCTGGGAATATGCGGGGTCACACCTGAAGCCAGTCTGTCTCAGAGTCTCACCCAAGGCCCACGATGTACTACCTGAATATCACAGTTGGTTATTCAGGGCTCACGGGCCCTTTGGTCAGCAGGTTATGAATCCTGCCAGGATTGGTTTCTTCCCTTTAATGCAGTGAATTCCCTTCTGGACCAGGCTGTGTCTAGAAAAGTCACCTGGGAGCTACGGTCTAGGATGGGGGCCTCACGACTCTGCCCGGTGGCCTGTTACATTGTGGCTGAGCTGTTATTCAAGACGCAAAACAGAGTCTTCTTTACTTTTTGTTCTCCTCTCCTCAAGCAGAAGGAAGGAGTCACTTTTGTTGCTGCTAGTTGTGCTGCCTAGGACTGGGGGAGATGTGGCACAGTCGCTCTCTTAGCTGCCCCTGCTGGTGTCTCCTTAGGTCATGTGCTACCCTAGTCCACTGACTATAGGCCAAGCCCAGGGCTAACAGTTGCTTAAGAATTGTAGTCCTTGTGGGCTGGGTGCGGTGGCTCATGCCTGTAATCCCAGCACTTTGGGAGGCCGAGGCGGGCGGATCACAAGGTCAGGAGATTGAGACCATCCTGGCTAACACCGTGAAACTCCATCTCTACTAAAAATACAAAAAATTAGCTGGGCGTGGTGGTGGGCGCCTGTAATCCCAGCTACTTGGGAGGCTGAAGCAGGAGAATGGCGTGAACCCGGGAGGTGAAGTTTGCAGTGAGCCGAGATTGCGCCACTGTGCTCCAGCCTGGGCAATAGAGCGAGACTCTGTCTCAAAAAAAAAAAAAAAAAAGAATAGTAGTCCTTGTGGCTTAGACTCTTTTTCAAAGCCCAGCATGGCTTTACTCTACTGTGACAGGGCAGCACTGAGTTCAATGCCAAGTCCCCAGTTCACTGTGTTCTCCCTCCTTCAAGTGCCAGATTCTCCATACCACCTAGTAGCACCTGGTGCTACTAGGGGAACAAGGGAAGGGTGGCGTTGACCATTCAAGACTGTCTTTCCTTCCTTCTTTAATGCCTCTTTCAATGGTATGGACATTAATAGCAGGTACTTTGATTGCTCACCTGATTTTTGGTTCTTATGATGGTGCTTTTTGTGTGTGGAGTTAGTTGTTAACCTCTGGTGTTTCTGCAGCAGGGACAATCAGTGCAGGCTTCTATTCAGCCATCTTCCTCCATTCCATGATCTATAATCTTGTGTCAAAGTCTTAATATATATTTTTGATATTTATTTTATTTTGGTCCGTCTTTCTTTCCTTCCTTCCTTCTTTCTTCATTCTTTTATTTCTATCCTTCTTTCTTTTTTTTCTTTTTGCACATTCTCAGTGTCCATATGCTACTACTAGACATTCAAAACTGTATACAAACTTCTGTTTTCTCTGGAGGGTGCTAGGCAAAGAATTTTAATTGACGTGTCTGCAGTGGACCTGAAAATGGAAATAAAAGTAACTGGAATGGTTATTTCACTTATATGTCCAATACCATCCCTGCTACAGCATCTTCCTTCTTTCTGGCTTTCTGGTTTGAAGGGAGAAGAAAACTGAGAAGGAGAAAAGAAAAGCACCTTTTAACTATCTTTGAAGTAAAATGTGTTAGGATGTTTCTGTGAAATCAAGTCTATGTTTCTGAAAAAGGGTCAGAATTAAAACTAACTTGCATTCTGAAAATCTGTGATTTTGTTTTCTGGAACCAGGTAAAATTTGACATGATTTCCATAAACTAACCATATAAGAGTCCGTCAGTTATAGTTATTTATTATTTATTAAAAATCTGAGAGCATATATTAGGAAAACTGACTCGTGGCTAATTGAGATCGTTTTTTAAATTAAACATTTTTTAGTGTTTGGGAGTATTGTCTATTCAAGTACAAGCCATTATCCAGAAAGTGATTTAGTTAAATTCAGGAATACTCCAGCTGTATAGGAAATTCAACAAGGTGTTAAATTCTAGAAATTCCGTTTTCTTTTTCTTTTCAGAAAGAGAAGTTGTGGGAGACGGAAGCTCCATTTTATAGTAAATATCATAGAATGGTGTTTACTTATCTTCAGGCAGTTGCTGGCCACATGAGCTCATGCTTTGACTGACAATTGCTGAGTTTTCTGTTTCCAGAATGCAAGAAACACACTTACCAGTCCAAACCAAAAGAATGGACTTAGAGACAGGAAGAACAATGGAAGTGAGACTTTTAATGGTGGTCTTGCGAGATCGGGTGTCTGGTAGGCAGGCACATCCAGGACAGTTGCAGCAGGTAATTGATTTCCTAGCATGCAGGTCCCTCCCCCAGTTCCTTATTGGTGGAATACTACTGGGTTGCAATCTTCCTGGACGTGGCCCAGGTTTTATTATCCCCTTATAAGATCATATTCTGGTCCCCTTCCCGCTTAAGTTTTGGTTTTACCAATAAAGACATTTTATTTCATTTAGTGAGCTGACCTCTCCTTTACATCCTGCTTGCTTATTGTGACTTTCTAGGTGCATGGGCCGTGTGACAGTACCTAGGTACTGGCTGTCAGTACCTACATTTATCTTGCCTTGAAAATGGACCATTAAAATGTTTTTTCACACAGAACACAATCATTCTCCTGTTGGCTATGAACAGGAAGGTCTGAAGAAAAGAAATTTGCTGTAAATGCCCGTTTATCCTACTACTTTCAGATAGTAGTACCACCACCTATGCAGGCCTGCCTCTCAATTCCACAATATACGTTAACCTTGAACTCTGGCTCCCACATTCTTTACTACACGTCTGTCATCAGTACACGCAGAAAGCAAGAGTGCCTCTAAATTGTTTTATGCTGCCAACGTGTTTTATTGTTGACAACTTACTTTCCAAGTTGTTGATTGTTGACATTTTAAAATCATTTTCTTCTGTGTACCTAGGCCTCAATTACAGAGAGACAAGTTTCCTGAGCTATGCAATAAAAGCGAATATTTGTTTAGCACGTTGTGAGTTATAAAGATTTATTGAATATATGATCACATTTGACATCCACCAGAACTCTCAAGTTAGACATGACTATTCTTCATGTTTCACTGGCCCCGTGCCAAGAGATTTACCTATTGTTTTACTTTCCCATTGCTGCTGTAACAAATCACTACAAATTAAGTGGCTTAAAACAGCACAATTGTATTACTATTCTGGAGATCAGAAGTTCTAAAATGAAGGTATTGGCAGGGCTGAGTTCCTTCTGGAGGCTCTGGTAGGGAGTCCATTTCCATGCCTTGTCCAGCTTTTAGAGGCCACCTGGATTCCTTGGCTCATGGTCCCTTCCCTCTGTGTGTAAGGCCAGCAGTGAAGCATCTTCCACTCTCTCTCTCTCTCTTTGCCTCCATTGTCATTTTGCTTCTTTCTCTCTGACTCTCTTGCTTTCCTCTTATATGGACCTTTTGGAGATCCTTAACTTGATAACAGCCACAAAGCCCCTTTTGCAATGTAAGGTAACATATTCAGTTTCTGGGGATTAGGAGCAAGGACATCCTTGTTGGGTGGGGTGTGAAGCATTATTTAGCCTCTCATACCTGCATTATCTCATTTAATCTCACATCAACTCTGTGGCGTTGATATATTTTCTCCATTTTATAACATCAGGAAAATAGACTCAAAAAGAATAAATAACTTGTTCAAGATAATGAAATTTTACTAATTGAGAGAGTGGCCATTGTCCTCAAGTCTGTCTACAAAGCCCATGCTTTTTTCCTACACAGTAATTTTAAAATCTGATGTTCTCAGGGACTCTCTTCCAGATGATAACATCACAAGCTTCAGGCAAAAAAAGGTTCGCAGTGAAAAAAGTTGAAAAACAAGCTTCATGCTCTAGCCCTATTAGAGGTTTATAATGTGCCTAATAATTTTGTAAGAACCAGATTGCTAAAACAACAACAGCAACACATCTCTAATAAACTTTGCTTAACTCAGCATTCCTAAATCGTCTGTGCAAGAAAGAATATCACATTGTTTTTGAGGGAATAGGGCAGGGATCATACCTAAAAACTCCTCTCAAAACAGAAACAGTTTAGTTTTGATAAACATTAGGCAGATCCTGCATTCCCTTATATAAAATTTGTAGAGCTTAAAAAGTAATGTTATTTTAACTAAGTTCACTCAGTTACTGATTGGTAGGTCAGAACATCAAGGCCAGGTCTTTTGACTTTAAAGAAAATATTATTTCTTTATATTAGTGTTATAGATAACCACAAACATTTAAGAAGCCCCCTCATTTGAAAGATTTATTCCACTAAAATGCATACCATAGTATTTTTATTTCTGAAACAATAGCAGATAGTTAATGAAGGTCATAGAAGAAAAGTTTGATCTTGGGCTTAAACGTTTTTAGAAATATATATTTTCTGTGAAAATATATATTTTCAGAACCTTAGACAGATTGCCTGAACTAATTGAATCTGCTTTCAGATCCATGAAATGGACGTATTGCAAACCACATAGAATTTAGAAGCTAGCTATGCGGTCACTGATATTGACTAGTACTTATGCTAGATGCTTTTTGTCTTTGAGCTTGGAAATTGAAAGTTTGAACTTAGAATGTAAAGTCAATTTCTATACTTTCTCCATTTGAAATAATATTGAAGTAAATTACTTTAAAATACTAAATTTTCTTACATGTTTATCCAGTGAAAAATCATTAATTTTATTTACTAAAAAAATTCTTCCTCTGTCACAAGGAGAGAGTTCTTTTCCCAGATCATCATCAAACAAACTGGTATAACACCAGTTGTTCCACTTGTAATTTGCTGATTTGAGGCATAAATTTTCTTCATCTTCTAATGGACAGGCCATAATCGCATTGGTTTGTTTTGAGTTATGAACTTGATATGAATAATTATCTCATTTATTCTGATTATTTTTACCGGAAATTATCTCTTCCTTTAGCAAAAAAGTTGACATTGCAGATTTAATCTGACCTTGTTGAGTTGTGAAGTTAACGAGAATCCTTTTTTGTATATTTTCATTGTGTGATCAACAATTAACTATTCATTAAATAAACAATTAGTAAAGCCCATTCTTAAATTTCATATTGACCATGCTTACCAAAAGCTGCTTGTTTTTATTGGTTCTGGTTTTTAAAATGTAAACACGATGCCTCTTTAAAATTTTTCTCTTTTTAATTTCAGTCATTTTCTATAGCCTTATTCTTGTAGGTTTTATTTCTATTATTTTATTGACTTATTCTCAATGATCTAAAGGATTGAAAAAATGTAGCCAAGCAATACAAAATTTAAATATATTTTTATCAAGTATGTAAATCAAATTAAACAATTGAAATATTCAAATTATTATCATAAGGTATTTTTGTTCTCAAATATTCAAAATAATCTATTAGAATTTGAGTATCAAATAATGCTGTTTTCTTCTATTTGACTTTTTGAAAATGTTAAGTTTGATTATGTTTCTCTGCAAAATAAAAAATTTGCAATTCTAGTATTCATTGTCCATCTAGTTGCCAATGTTTAAAAGTCACCATCAGCTTCACTTATGTTCTGTCTGGATATACACACATGCACCCCCATCCCACCCCCCCCCCCCCGACACATATATAAAAGGGACAAGATCATTTAATATTGCAATATGTTCTTTACCTGTAATATTCAAATATTTCAATACTGTTCGGATTAGCTAATGCCTCTGCAGTTAAAAATTAGCATAGAAATAGAAATAAGAAAATAGATGCTTTGTAAAAATTAGAAACACTACTTTGTAATGTAAAGATCTTTCGCAATCGGCCAGGCGCGGTGGCTCACACCTGTAATTCCAGCACTTTGGGAGGCCGAGGCGGGCGGATCATGAGGTCAGGAGATTGAGACCATCCTGGCTAACACAGTGAAACCCCGTCTCTACTAAAAATACAAAAAATTAGCCCGGCATGGTGGCAGGCGCCTGTAGTCCCAGCTACTCGGGAGACTGAGGCAGGAGAATGGCATGAATCCAGGAGGCGGAGGTTGAAGTGAGCCGAGGTCACGCCACTACACTCCAGCCTGGGCGACAGAGTGAGACTCCGTCTCAAAAAAAAAAAAAAAAAAAAAAAATCTTTTGCAATCATTTTATGTAAAAGGCAGAATGTTGTAAGTAATCTGCCTTGTCTGTTACCTAAATGCTTCCCCTGCTCAAATTCTCCTTACCCTGTAAAGTAGTGTCTGTTGGTAATTTTGGTTGCAATTAGCCTAAAACCTTCATGCCTTCATAGTGTTTGAACAGTGGACATTTGCTTTGGGGATGCACGGATACAGCTGCAGAGAAGCATTTTTTGCGGGGTAGTCTGTACAATGTATGCATTTTTCTTGATGATCTTCACTGATCATCACAACAATCACATTGTTGACTCTTTTTTCCTTGAGTTTTCAGCAAACATTTCTTTTTCACGTCTTTCAATGTATATTCAATATATAATAATTGGCCATTATACACAAAGCACAGAGCTAGGTATAGGAAGTTGGGAGGTTAGAAAAATAGAATCCTTACCTTTAAAAGTTCATATGCTAATGTGGGAAAAAAGACAAATGTACAGAAAAAGATTTGGAAGGTGGGTGCAAAGTCCTATAAAGGTGTTAAGCCCCAGTGATAATAGATAGCAGAAAAAGGAGAGATTTCAGGTTTAATCACGAGGGTAAGTAGACTGAAAAATAACCTCAAAGAGGGAATTCTTTAATTGCAACACCATCTTTTAATCTCTGCTCTTTATTCTCTTTTCTTTCCAGTTTAATTGTAGCAATTTTGATTTATTTCCTTAAACAATAAAAAGTCCAAGAAAAAATCTAGTACATATTTCATGTTCTTGGTCTGACATTTAATTCATAGAACTAAGTACAACACTAAACCTCACAATATGCTTTAGCCCTTGTCATTTTCACTTTGAAATACGTTTATTAAAAACTAAAGAAATGACTTAAATATAACCTTCTAACTTAGCCCATTCAATCTAGAAGGTTCTTTAAAAAATAGGCTATAGAGCAATGACAATACAAGTTAAGATTTTAGGGATCTTTTTATTAAAAGTGTCGTATTACTTAATATATTACTATAGTAATAATAACAAATTATTTATTTATTTATTTTCTATGTACCAACATCAAAGGAAAAATGCTCCGAGCAAGTTAAATAGGCAAGGAAGATTTTATTCAAGACTACTGCAATAGAGGAGAGATATTGAACCCAACCCTGCTGAAAGAAAAGGAGGAAGCTAGCGAGGAAGTACTGGAGGTTAGGGGAATAGATGGTCAATGCGATTAGACCACTTGTGCTTGCTGACTGCCGCTTATTGAAATTATGCTTCTACCCAGCAGAGACTGGAAGTAGGGATGCTGTCTCCTTCAGGGATGATTTCCACAAAGATTGCTTCCAGTTTCTCAAGAAAGACATTTCTGTGTTGTAAAGTTGACAAGAAACTGGGGGAAAATGTACTGTCTTTCAAAGAGTCAGGGAAATAATTTACAACAGAAAGTTTTCTAAAGTAATTGCTCTAAGTAAAAGGAAGTCAGGAATCTAGCACCTGGAAGAAATTCATCTAAAGTTTAGTCAAGCCAAAGGAAATTTAGGGTTTTCTTGGTCACTAGACTTTGTGTTTATTTATATATATTATCTTGTTAAATTTTCATAAAAATGTACATCAGGAAAATTTTATATTAATCTTTCTTTTAAAGTTATGTACCTGAGGCACTGTGGGATCAAATGAATTACCTAAAATCATAGTGCTTTTAAGTGGCACAAATGACACTGGAAGCTGGGCTGTCTGATACACAGTCTGTGGCTTGCCCACTGTATAGTATGACTTTAGAACAGCCCATTAGGGTTCACAACATACATTTTTCATGTTGAATCTTTACCATGACCCTGTGAGATTGTAACTTTTTTACAAAGGGAATCTCAGACTCCTAGAGGGTGATGGGCAAAATGAAGTACAATTGGTGAGAGATATTTCATCTTGTTACTATCCCGAAGCTGCTTTATTAAAGTATTCATTGCAGTAAATACTTGAACTTCTCAAAAAGTGGCCTCTGCAAACAATGGCTAGAGTCGTTGCCTTAGCAAAAGTGTCATATATTTTTGTTTAGTGAGAAAAAGGTTAGAGGTCAAATATTTTTGCTTTTCTTTTAAGGAAATATTGAAAGCTTACAAAAATTATGGAAAATAATAAAAGTGAACACTCATGTACTCACTATCCAGGTTTGTCAAATCTTGTTATTTTAACTTGCTTGCTTTAGATCTTTTTCTTTTTTATTTTATAAGGATATAAAAAATGCACTTGGAACTCACTGTAATTTCTGAATATGAGGATTTATACTTTATTCAATTCAAGAGAAATGTCAAAATCAACTTGCAATTTGGAATTCCAGTTAATTCATAGAAATTCATAGTTTGTGGACGTCTCAATCTTTATTACCATATTGTGCAAGGGGACTCGTCTCCTTTTCTTGTATAGGCATTAAAATCCAATCTCTTCACTTACTAAGACCAACAACAGCTCCCACTTTGGAATCAACAGCATCAGCCCATTGGCTTGCTATTGAGGCTTTCAATTCTTCCACAATTTTTGTCGCTGGAGATATTCCCAATTTTCTTGCAACTCAGCTATGAATTTAAAGGATTTTTTGTTATATTTTTTCCCAGAACTTTTAGCTTTTTTTCACTATTAGCAGAAACATTTTCAGATACTTGAGATCTTTATATTCTCATAGGTATTTTTCAGCAAACTCCTACATGTTGATATAGACACTTGTAGTGACTATGACTTTTGTGGCCATGGATACATATTGTCAAATAAACATTAATGCATTCTGATTATACATAATTGAGTCTACTTGAAAGCTTTAGATGAAAAAGTGTTGGATATACACTTTTATATACTTTTTATTTGCAGTTTATCTGCAGGCTGTTTAATGCTGTTGAGTCATGCCATAAAAATAAATTATATTTTTGGTTTCCCATTTGAAAGTTGCTATAGTATATGTGTTAGCCTAAAGTCCTTCTCAGCACTGACTCTTGCATTTTATGAAGCTGTATGAATATGCAGAACCATTTTTATAAATGAAGGTCGGATGGATAGCGTGGAGACTGAATATAAGTTACATGTTAAAGTTGATCTTACGTTCTTTGTTCAAGTGTAGAGTGGTTTTGAAGAGAAATGACAGGTATCAGCGTAAGAAAAAAAGGCTTATCAAAAGTGTTCTTTCTCACAAGCCATTTTTCCAGAGAAATTTTGCTAAATTTCCACTCAACAAATTAAATACATTTTATTTTACCTCAGAGTCAATTACTGTAAGTGGATCAATAGTAAATGAATTCAAGTTTTGTTGTGGGGCAATAAACAGTATTTCAACTCAGATTCTTTTCATCTGCAATTTCCCCTAATTCTTTTCTCTCTAATTTTATTATATTTGAAGGTGTCCCTGTTATGTAGAAACACAGGATTTCAGTCTAATGGCTTATCTCTCCTATTATGACTTTAACCCAATTAATAAATCTCACATACATTTAAATATTTGAAAATTGTTTTTTAACAATTAAAATGTTTTGGAAACAAAAGAACTCCTATGATTTGTTAAAAAAATCTTCAGACAAATTACATTTAACAGAGTTTAATTGAGCAAAGAATGATTTAAGAATAAGGCAGCCCCCAGAACCACAGTAGGTTCAGAGTGACTCTAGGTCTGCCCCATGGTCAGATAACATTCCTGGACAGAAGAAGGCAAGTGACATACAGAGGGCAGAAGTGAAGTACAGAAACAGCTGGATTTTTTTACAGCTTGGCATTGCCTTATTTGACCACAGTTTGAACACTTGTGCAGCTGCGATTGGCCAAAATTCTGTGATTGGTACAAGAAAAGGTCACAGTATGTTTACACATCCCGTTAGTGGATGTGTAACTACCTATTCACTATGTATGGAGAAACCTTTAGGCCAAACTTTAAATATGTAAGGAGGCAGCCTTAGACTAAATCCAATTTAACCATACTCCTCTTTTGGTCAGCCTCTCAATTTTGAGATATTGACAAAAACTTTAGGCATTGACATCACTCTGTCACCATGGTAAGTGAACTTATTTAATCTCAAATTCCACTGGGAAATAGCAGATGAATGCATTTTGTATGATGTGAACAAGAAAACAGAACAATTTAAAAAATGATTGGTTACTTCAAGTTACTTTTCTTGTAAGGATTAGAGCAGGGGGGACTTCCTTATTATGCTGTGATCGCCTGTTTTCAGGAGACAGAAATGTTGGGCTCTATCTGCTTTTTTTTTTTTTTTTTTTTTTTTTGAGAAGGAGTCTCGCTCTGTCACCCAGGCTGCAGTGCAGTGGTGCAATCTCGGCTCACTGCAAGCTCCACCTCCTGGGTTCACACCATTCTCCTGCCTCAGCCTCCCGAGTAGCTGGGACTACAGGTGCCTGCCACCACCCCCGGCTAATTTTTTGTATTTTTAGTGGAGACGGGGTTTCACTGTGTTGGCCAGGATGGTATCGATCTCCTGACCTCGTGATCCGCCTGCCTTGGCCTCCCAAAGTGCTGGGATTACAGGTGTGAGCCACCACGCCCGGCCTCTCTCTGCTTTTTTAAAGTTTCAGTTTGCTTAAGTCAATTTAGCATGAATGATTCTATTTCGGTTTGGTCTGGTCTGTTCAGGGGCCTAGTTCAGGAGCTCAATCCAGAACAATGGCTTCCTAAAATTTTGTGTAACAATTCCCCACTCTTTTGATCAGGTTTCACCTAGGTAAGACTGTGTCCAAATCTTGGGGCTACTTCTAGTTGTGATCATTTCAAGTTTCCGGTCTCAGCATGTCATTCCCCGGTTACGGTGTCTTCATGATTATACATTTCTTTACTTTTTTTTGTCATTCCAGTCAAAGAGACACCATTCTACGGATGGCTGCCTGTAAACATTTAAAGGTTTTGAGGGAATACAGTATACCAGGGAAACTATTATGACTATCTATCAGGAGGATAATACAATAATTTGAAATATACTCTTTAGCCAGACTCCCCAAGAACAATATCAACTCAAATTAAATACATCAAAAGATGAACCAGATGAAGAATCTAATCATTTTAACCAAGAAGCAAGCAGCCTGTCTGTTAATCCCTGCAACTGACTCTCTATAATACTCTGCATAGTCATCTATATGCAACAAGAAGTGTCAGTAACTGCACAGATTCTTCTCTGTTCAGTCAGTAATCTAGAGAAATTCTATTATTTAGCACAACTTTAGTGAAAGAATTTAAAGAAGTATGTTGTGTGACCATAGCCTTTGCAGTAGAATTTGCTATAGAACCTAATATGAGGGAAAATTTTCTAATCATTGCCTCATTTAATGCAAACCATAGAAAAAGAGACCTAACAAATGATGCCCACCCAGAAGGGTGAAGGCCTCTGGGCAATGTTCCCTTTACCTATGATGTGTGTTAAAAGGAGTGAGCCAGTATTCTATTCCTGACTGGTTTACTGAGCAACAAAGATACCATTAACATTTTTAGCCCACATTGGCTCTTCATCTTCCATCCATCAAGCCATAAGTTTGCCCATGTATAAGATTGGTTGCAAAATCCTTGACAAAATGAATGTATACCCCATGGGTCCACACAAGGCCTCCCAGTTCTATTGGTCATAGAGGCACAGGCCAAGAAAAAAAATATGAAAAGTAACAGTCTCATAACATCAGAGTAGCCTTGATCTGTGATCTTGGGGAAGCTGTCAACATCTAGGATGCCATCTGCTTCTGGGGAGAAACTTTGCTGATTAGCTTTACCTTGAGGTCTCCAATGGGTGTACAATTCCACCACGATTCTGAAGGAGCCCTTCTGAGTTGTGAGATTACAGACTCAAGGTTCAAGGTTCCCAACTTCTGCTGCTGTGTGG
Organism: Homo sapiens; assembly: GCF_000001405.40. NCBI lineage: Eukaryota > Metazoa > Chordata > Mammalia > Primates > Hominidae > Homo > Homo sapiens. The sequence goes on along the minus strand of NC_000006.12, from coordinate 153,889,735 downwards.
GTGGCAATGGAAGTCTTTCTCTGATGACATTTTCAGAAATCTGGCTTCTAGATTATAAAGGGTTTGATTGTCCTCAGTTGGTGAATCAAGAAAAGCTTCCTTTACCTAGTGAAAATACACTTTGGCTTAATGAATTAAAGCCTTTCAGCATTTAGTCATATCAGAATTCAGGAAGGAAAGATACATGAAGTGCAATCATTAGTGTCATAAGCCTTCCAGTTACTATTCACAAAAAGTTAACTTATATTTTACATTGAAAGTGGATCTGATTGCCACCAATATTCAATACCTCCAACCAAGGCAATATTATCATTTCAGTTAGCTTTACCTAATGCTACTGTACCTGTAATAACTTATTTAAATGTATTATAATTTATCCACTGAAACAAGTACCTCTATTGCTGGAGATTTCTCCAGAAATGCTTCATGAGAGAAACACATTTTCTAGCAACCTTTTATCTACTGTTATAACATTGACGTTCTTTCATGGGAAAGCTTTTATACAACCAGAAAACATGCATTAAAAGTGGCAATTGAATTAAATTCCTATATAAATGTTCAAATGGTCTACCCAGTTAGCAGAAATGTACCTAAAATTTTGACTGTCTTCCCAGTGTTATGGGTTTGACAAACCAAACATTGGTAATAAACCATTTTAGCAATTTAGAACAGTCACCACACACACACACACACACACACACACACACACACACACACACACACACAGAGAGAGAGAGAGAGAGAGAAATCATTTTATCTCTTCTATGATGAGTCATGAAGTGCAGAACTTTAAATAATGGAATCTTTAAAGACTCAGGAAGGACCAGATAGCCATCCAGGCTTTCTGTGAGTTCATGCTTAACACTTGATTTATATCCTCTTAAATATCAATTTTGCTTTTCCAACTCAGATGTATATTAAATGGGTTATCATAGGTAATTTGGTTGGACCATGGTGTTCATTCAAATTGCGTATCTTTGCAATTTCTATGCTGGCTGATTTAGCATGAATATCTGGCACAGTATTTTCTTGGTATTCAATGAACTCTTGTCCTTCTTGAGTTAGCAGTTTTATAATTCAGTCAGGCTATTCCTTAGAGTTCTGGGAATTTTACACAGTGCAAATAATATCACCCTAAAATTATTAGAAACCTGTATTCAAGAGTGCTTGAAGGTACAATACTTCAGGATTTTACTTGCTTTTAAAGAGCTTTCTGAGAATGCATCAGAATTAAGCAATTAACTGTGAGCGAGATCTGAAATGGTCATGGTTAAAGATGCAGTTGACAAGAAAATTCAGTTATTTCTGTGGACTACAATAATTTGACATAGAAACCATAATTATGATGGATAATATATAAGACATTTCAGAATTTTAAGACTCTTACTCAATTTGGAGCACATTTTAATAATGTATCCATAAAAAATAACTCAGAGAAGGTCAAACATCATTTCTTGACAGTGCTTTCCATCTAATTTAACACATCAAATAAGCCTGTTTATTATCTCTCTTTTGTATTATTCAGAGGTCCTTTGGAACATCCAAAGTTAGAGAACAAAGAGACTTAATTTTAGAATTTGAAATTTGACTTTGAGAAGCCTGTCAAATACATCAAAAGTTTAAAACACTTAATCAAAATGGGATCACAGGTCACTATGGTCAACCTAAATAACACAGAAAGGCTCTCTAAAGTAAAAAAAAAAAAGTTTATTTAGTAATAAAGCATTGTAATGGAAATATGAATGACATAGTAAACTATGCAGATGTGAAAGGAAAACATCTTAGGGTCCCCAAATCACTAAGCTGAAGGGAAAAGTCAGGCTTGGGAACTGCTTAGGGCAAACCTGCCTCCCATTTCATTCAAAGTCACCCCTCTGCTCACTGAGATAAATAGATAAACACATATCTGATTGCCTCCTTTGGAGAAGCTAAATCGGAAACTCAAAATAATGTTATCAGACCCAGTAAAAGATGACAATCAAAATAAACTGCATTCCTGAGACACAGGGCCAGAAATTAAAACTATTCAACTTCTCCAGGCCCAGGGACTATCATGGAAGAGGTGGGCATGTGAGATTGTAAGAGCCAATTTTGAGAGATAAAGTAAGTTCAATTTCTCTATAAATTAATAATTAATGTCAATAGCACATTGATGCAACCAGCATATGGGTCCCTGTGTCAGATTAACAAGATTTTCTTTAAGCATTAAATGTTTTCTCAATACAGCTTATAAAGTTTATACAAGGCTTATGAAAGTTATATCTTATGGTAAGGATTAAAATTTGATAGATTGTTCATAAAATTTTGAAAGACAAATTTAATTGGCTTCATACTGTTTATATTTGGGATTATTGTTTGGAAAATTAAGTCTCCTCTCAAAGAATGAAGGTTTTTGCCTTTTTTTGAAACCCTTGAGTTATCACTTTGGTCAAATGAATGACTTATTTTACAATGACTTGTGATATCAAGTGTTTAAAACCTTTGATATTAGACAAACTTTCTAAAATCAAATTATAAATTTTCTTCTGACCTTATTAATCCTTTAAGATATTAAGTTCCCTAAAGTACAAAATATGACATAATTTGGTTTATTTGGTATAAACTTTATACAGGAAGCATTGTCAAATATAAAATGATGTTTGGTTTTCTTTAGGGTGTACTTGTATAAATATGTTATTGGTATGTGTTTCAAAATCATGGGAAACTCCTATAATTCTGATATGACTTAGTGTATATTATTAGTAATAATAATAATTGTTATGTTAAATTATTGTGTGACACAGAGGTAATAAATTTCCTTGTCAATTGTGTCTTTGTCTATGGCTGCCCTAAAACCTTTTTTCATCCACAGACAATTGTTGTCTTGTTTTGGTCCTCCTTAGAATGTAGTTTTATAATCATCAGTAAAACTCGAACAGGTGTTCTTGAATACAAGTTTCTGATAGCTTTGGAAATTGTGACATCAGAATAGAAGGAAAACTTTCAGGACTCATGGAGAGCTGAAATGTTCATGAATATAAAGCAGAACAGCAATTAACTATGTGGACTGAACAAATAGAAGACTGAAGTAAACTTTTTGACTTTTTGCTAAAAATGTTGCTGATCCTTTGTTTTTTCAGAATCAAGAAAGCTTTTCTTTTGAGTTATTAACAGCTTTTAGCAATTTAGTATACTCCTATGAACAAAATTTAGAACATTTTTGTTTTTTCTCTACCTGATTTCTCCAGAATTTGGAAACTATTTGTGAGTATTCTTAACTTATGGCAATACAGTGACTTGCATAAGTGCAATAAGAATCTGTTTTCATTTATAACAGGACACAATTGGAGAAAATGGTTATTTTACCAAGGCTTTGGCTGGAATGGTGTACTTTCCTTTAAGGAATCAAACTTGACTTATGGAGCCAATAAAAGCCCCTTGGGAAAATTGGCCTCATACTTGTCTACACAGTTCCTAAACAGGGTTCCTGACCTGTGGTAAGTAGAGAATGTTGCTTCCTGACAGGTCTAGGAGCCCAAAGTTTTGTCTTGGAACCTCAAGAGGAGAGGCTCACCCAACTCATAGATATTTGATGGTACAAATCCATGGCTAGGCTCAGCTTTAAAAAAGTTTCATCTGTGATTCCTTCTATGGAACAAAGTTCCATCAAAGCCAATTTTAAAAGCCTATGTAAAAAAAAGTCTTGCTGTACTTTATATAAATAATTAGGCCAAATATAATAAAGCAAATCAGTGCTACCATGATTTGTCCTTAGCAAATATGAGAAACTGGAGAGAGGAAAAATTATGTTTCAAAACTATAGTACACCTGTATTAGATTCTAATCTTGCCTAACGTTTTTAAATTTTCACCATTTTCCACAGTTTGGACCAAATTCTAATTTTTCTTGGCTATACGTCTTCAAAATAATGTTTTCAATTTTTTCTTTCAGGTTTTCCCCCATTTTTCCTAATTTGGATTCACTGAAAACTAAGTTGTGCTTTCAGAAAGCCCTGTGAACTGAAGCTAGACAACTTAAACTTCAGAAGAAAATAACAGCATACATACATTTACATACATAAGCCAAATTCATCCCTACCTGCTGATGTATGGACTTCAGAGTACTGTGTCCTATTATCGATTTTCCAGAATTGTTCTTTTTTGTTGTTTTTCTCTCTTCCTCCCCCTATTCTGTCTTCAGAGGACATGAGACTTCACAACCTTCTAAAAATGAGCTTTCCTAATAACTCAGGACCTACCTGTCTAAGAATAAGCCATCCTAACCATGAGAGATCAGATGAAACCTGAGACAAGAGATTCATTTTCTTCTAAAATGCTTTCTCCAAAAGATTTTAAAAAAGAAAAGGGGGAAATGTGAAAGAAAAATATCTTGGGGCCCCCAAATCACTAAGCTAAAGGAAAGGTCAAGCTGGGAACTACTTAGGGCAAATCTGCCTCCCATTCTATTCAAAGTCACCCCTCTGCTCACTGAGATAAACGCATGTCTGATTGTCTCCTTTGGAGAGGCTAATCAGAAACTCAAAAGAATGCAACCATTTGTCTCTTACCTACCTGTGACTTGGAATCCCCCTTCCCGCTTCAAGTTGTCCTGCCTTTCCAGACTGAACCAATGTTCATCTTACATATGTTAATTGATATTTCATGTCTCCCTACAATGTATAAAACCAAACTGTTCTCTGACCACCTTGGGCACATGTCATCAGGACCTCCTGAGGCTGTGTCATGGGTGCATGTCCTCAACCTTGGCAAAATAAGCTTTCTAAATTAACTGAGACCTAGCTCAGATTTTTGGGGTTCATACATGTATTTAGAGAAGTAAAGGAACACACAAGTTTTTAAAGAAAAAAATGAAGAGGATTACATAATTATTTTGAAATAATTATCTTTGGCTACAAATATTAGTAATAAGTGTGATGTCAGTCCAAGATTGAACCCAGCAACAGATAGTTGCTGGGCAGATGTTATGGTAGAAGTAGTTTTCATGTAAGATTGTGATGATGTTTGTGCAAGGTTGTGGTTTTTGTGGAGTCTTTTATGTTACCAGCCATACAAGTGTGAAAACCTTTTCTTTATGGGTTTTTTTTTTGGCTCTATTTGTCAAGATTTAAAAAAAAATTAGTGATTACATTTTTATTCTGACAACTTTTACACTATAAATAGGCCATTCACTTAGCCAAAGTAATAATTAAATTTTTTAAATGCAAAAACTTTTATTTTCTGATAGAGAAAAAGCTCAATTTTCCAATCAAAAGACCTAATAGAGACAAGATGAAACAGAATCTGTCTCTCCTTCTCTCTCCTCTTTTTATTGTAGTTGTTCAAAAAATGAACAAAAATATTTTACTATTTTACTATTAATAGTAAAAAAATATTTTATTATTAATACTTCATGAAATTCTTGTTCAAAGAATAAAATCAAATTTTAGTTTTATATTAGTGTATTATTGATACAAAAGCTAATGTTAATAAACCTAGTAAATAAATCTATCCAATCACATTCAGCTTTTGAACACACAAGAAGATAAACCCTTAAGCCTGTAAACCCCTTGTAACCTCTTATGAATTCTATGTTATTTCTTTCCCCAAGTTTTTATAGCAATTTAGTTTCCGTTTCCTTTTTTTTTTTTTTTTTTTTTTTGGGGGGAGATGGAGTCTCACTTTGTCTTCCAGGCTGGAGTGTAGTGGTACAATCTCAGCTCACTGAAACCCCTGCCTCCTCGGTTCAAGTGATTCTCCTGTTTCAGCCTCCAGGGTAGCTGGGATTACAGACACCCACCACCATACCTAGCTAATTTTTGTATTTTTAGTAGAGACAGGGTTTCGCCATGTTACCCAGGCTGGTCTTGAACTTCTGACCTCAAGTGATCCATCCACCTCAGCCTCCAAAAGTGCTGGTTTTAGGTGTGAACCACTGTGCCCGTCCCCATTTAGTTTTTTTCTATATTTTTTCCTGCATTTAGTAACAACTCACAAAACTTCTAAAACAGACAAAATTACTTTTCTGTTAACAAAACTACATTCTTGTGTTTTTTATAAACTTCTTTGTAAAAAAACACATCTTTTTTAATACTCTGTACATAGATTTTTTTCTAGTAGTTTTAACGACATTTATAATATTAACTGCAGTTGTAACTGTTAGTAACCCTAACAGTGAAAAACCTAGAAAGTAATTTTGAACTGTTTTATATCAGTATTTTTAGATAAAACCAATTTTTTTAGAAAGATGTTTTTTCAATGTTTTTGTTTGTTAACAGATCTACATATATTTAGCTTTTCTATATCATACAAAAACAACATGCCAAAGTATGTAAACTTAAATTTTTATTTAATAATTAATTTTTCAGTATTTTAACTTAGAAATGACTCACAGATTTTATGATTTTCTATTACTTAATTTAACATAACATGACTTTAAGATTTTAAATTACTGAAAAGAATTTTGAAACTATGACACAGATACCCTCCCTAATGTCTTCCTCAGTTATCCTAGGTCTTGAGTATACATGTGGCACCCAGGATGGCTGTGAAGGGCAGAATTTGCCAGGACCCTGAATTTACACACTAGGCTTAGAGTTCAAGACAGAAGACAGAGCTGTGTAGACGAATTCCTGGAGTATCCAACCCCTCCCAGGTTGGCCAGGAGGTGACGTTGGGCCAGGGAAGACAGGGCCATATTGGTCTTGGCTCTGCCTTGGTGCTGGTAGCCCATGCGTTATGGACACACATATGTCCTCAGGCCTCGCCATGACCATTGGTCCATCCCCTGGAATCCAGAGGTTCAAAGCAAAGGCATAAGCTCATAGTAAGATGTGAGCAGTGCTTCAGGGGAGCCCAGGATCTGGTCCATTACAACTGTAGCTCACAGACAAATCAAGCAAGTATGAACAATATTACAGAAGCAGCAGTTTTATGACCTTAAAACAAGTAACAGAGACAGCATAAGCCTGTCTGACCCAGGGAAAAATGTCTGAATTATATTTAATAGTGACAATTCTGGAGACTATTTCATTTTAACAACAATTTTAAACTAGCTTTATTTATCAAATTATCTTAGCTCACATAGAGCTAAGGTCTTAGTCCAAGTTGAGGCCCACACTCCATAGTTATCTCCAGTGACACAGTGCATGGCCACAGCTTGCAGGCATTCCACAACTCCAGGAGACACCACTGACAAGCAGTGCTTACCACATGCTTTACACCTTAATGCATTTCTTTTTCAATCCTTGACATCCTTGGGATTTCAGCAATGCACTTAAAATAATACTGCTATGTTTATTCAGTTAAAAGGCAGTTCATATCAAAAATATAAAGGTGTCTAATTTGCCTTATGACCTGAAGTGATATTGTTTTGTTCATTTGCTTTTTCAGTTGACAAATTTCATGAACAGCTTTCTGTGAAATAAATCTCCTTCTATTACTTTATCTTTAATTGTGGTATATAAATACATTACACAGATAGTCTAATGCCACACTAATCTCATATGTGGTTAATATTTTGTTTATAACCATAATTTTATATCTATTTATAATTATTTATGAATCATTTATAATTATAATTATTAGAATAAATTGCCAGATTACCTGATAGAAACTTAAACATTATACATTCTGACCAACTATGTGAGAGATTTTCCCTTACCTTCACCTATGCTTACCATATGATTGACACTAATTTTCAATCTTCAATTTTTATCAATGTTAGGCTCATGCTAAAAAAGTCATTGTATAGACAACTTGTTTTTCTTTTATTTCTAATAGTGTTAAACTTGTAAATTTACCTTTTCATTAGTTATATTTTCCTGTCATTGTGTTATTTGTTCATTTATTTTGCCAATTTTCTTATTGAGTTATTTACCTTTCTCTAATGATCTCTAAGGCATTTTTATATATTGCCCAATTCACCATTGGTGGGGACCTAGGTTGCTTCTATGAGAAATTGCGAATATATGCAATTATTCCTTTGCATTTATTAATTTGCATTTTGCCACATTTTTGTTCATTTTGACTCTATACGAATATACATTTCTTTTCTGGTCAGTTCTATCAATTTTTTGCTTTTATGTGTTCTGATTTTGATATGTTTGTTAACTAGCTGATTACTGAGGACATGTAATACAGCCAGAGAGGTGCTCAGTACAAGATGCTGGGCTGGGTTAAATGAGACACAGAGTGATTTCTTCCCCATGCCAAGATTTTTGTACAATTTATTTATATTACCTGATATTTACCTATCATAGCATATATTTTTCATAAATTTATATTTTTCTAATATATTTTGATGTTAAATCCATCTATAATCTATTTTTACATAAAGTATAACATAAAAATCTTTTTCTCCATGATTATATCCCGTTTTTGTAGTGATTTTTTTAAATTATTTTTTCGTGTATTTAAATGCCATTGTTTCAATATATACTTGGATTTATCATTGGACTGTCTATGTCAAAAAATAAATTAGTCATTCTCGTTTTCCATTAGCATCAAATTAATTTTATTATATAGCAACATAATAGCATATATCTGTAGACTAAATAGCTCTTGTGCTTCATTACTCACTCATTTTAGAATTATCCAAGCTGCACATGATGTGTTTGTTATTGTAGATTTACTTTAGAATCATTTATTTTCCAAGTTAAAATATCCATTGAATTTAATTGACTTTGTATTACATTTAGAGGTCAGTTTGTGGTCAATTTATAACATTTAAAAAAATTAGTCTTTGTGCAGGATAGTTCCCATTTGCCTCTCCAGAGCCAATCTCTCTTCTTCTCTACCTTGTTATATTCCCTGGGAGGCTGACTTTTATGAAGCACATCAATTGGCATAGCCTATTTCAAATGGGTGTAGGCAATGTAAGATGCTGGTAGGACATTAGGGGGCAAGGAAAAAGTGACATCTACTTTACTTGTCTCCTCCTTTCCTCTCCTGTAGGCCATTATGTGACAGTGACTATATCCCTTAACCCTCATTGGGCAGCCCCCTCCTGCTATTGAATCCAACTTCAGATGAGTAACTGATTCTTATTCTTGATACTTCAGACCTATGGGAAGGTGATGGCTCCCATTCTTGCTAACCCTGGGTCCTTCCTTTTCCTGATTTTTCTAATTAAGGCCACACTTGGTCCTTTGAATTACCTCTTTAAATGTGACTTCTGATTCCTGTCAGGATCCTGCCTGATAAAACTACTTAAAACAAGATAGTTTTCCATTTTCATTTCATTGTTTTTGTGTTCCTCAGTAGTTTAATAACTTTTTAAATAAAGTTTCTATATACGTTTTGTAAAGTTTATTCTTAGATTTTTTAAAAGTTGGAGTTTGTCTTAGTCTGTTTTATGTTGCCATAACAGAATAGCTGAAACTGAATAATTTATAAGGAAAGGAGATTTATTTAGCTCATGGTTCTGGTGGCTGGAAAGTTCAAGATTGGGCATCTGGATTTGGTCAGGGCCTCAGGCTGCTTCCACTCATGGTGGACAGCAGAAAGGGAGCTAGTGTGTGCAAAAAGATCACATGGTGAGGAAGAAAGCAAGACAGTAAAATTGGGGAAGTCAGATTCTTTTTAACAACAACTAATCCATTCCCACTAGAACTCACTCACCTCAGTGGAAAGGAGCAAGAGGACATGAATCTATTTATGAGGGATCCAGTCTCTTCATTCACACCACTCTGCTAGGTCATACCTTCCAACACTGCTACATTAGGGATCAAATTTCAACATGAGCTTTGGTGGGAATGAACGAACCGTAGCCAAACTACTGCAAAGCAGCTGCATGAACGCTGCCGGACTCTGCATATTCTTTATGAGCCTTTCAACTTTACTCCCCGTTTTTAAGGAATATTCACATGTGGTTCTCAAGACTATGATGCTCTGGAACTTATGTACATAGTAGATAAATAGAGAATAGGTACTCTAACGATAACAGAAAGTAGAAAAAGCCAACATTTTTGGTTGTTTGGCATAGATATTATCATTTGCATTACTTCAACAAAGCAAATGGTCAACTGAACACTCCCCTTTTTCTGAAGGTTAGAGATAATGAAATGACAAAAATTCACAATTAAAAAATAAGCACAAAGTCTAAACTTAGACATATACCCATGTCCACTGTTGTAAGCATCAATTCAGATTTGAATTGATGATAAGACATTTGTTAAAGCACTCCAAATTAAATCAGATTTTTTTTCGGGCATAATATTGATCACATCATACCCTGCTCCAGTAGATACAACAGTTTCATTTTCCAACACAATAGTTCTTTTGTGAATTTTTAAAGACCTTCACAACCTGGCCTGGCATACAATAGGAAACAGTTTTCCTTCTACAGCTACAGCTGCTCCACTGTCTCCTTTGCTGGGTATTTATTATCTCCTCAACATCTAAACATGGGGGTGCTCCAGGGTCAATACTCAAACCTCTTGTTTCATAGGGGTCCTGTGTGATCTGCTTTACTTCCTGCCAGCCTTATTTAGGATTCTAGCCAGGACTATGGCAAAGAGGTCCATGTGCAGGCTTCTACTCACTTCAGGCTGCAGCTCTCACCTCCTTTATAATCTCTGCCTGAGGCTTCTCCTAACCTGGGGGTGGCACCTGCCTATTAGGTGCAAAGGCTCAGCCTGGAAGTCCTGGTGAGTTAAGCCCTGTGGGTGACTCCTCAATCATTGGAGCTGATAGAAAAACCTTTCTCCTGGTCAGTCCTCAAATGAGACAATACTGTGAAACACTTCAAATGATTTTCAGAAGATTCTAGTGGAATCAAGCTCCTATTGCCCGAGTCAGTGATCTACTTGATAATATATGATTGCATTGGCTCTTTTTCCTTCCTTCATTTGTTCTTCATGGTCTTTTATCCTCTTTCTTAGAACTGCCTCTTGAATAAACAACTTGTCAATAAGCCCTGGTTTCAGGGTCTTTTCAGAGGGAATCCAGGCTCAGACAGTGATTTAATCCAATTGCATGAATTAAGTACCATTTAAACATGGATGAATCTCAAATATATATTTCTACTCAAAGCTTTCCCCATAATTCCACATTTGTGTACCCATTTTATTGGACATTTCCAGGTAGATGCTAAAGTGTTTTGCTCAGGCTTATCACTGTAAGTGACTGAATACTTTTGCATGCACAGTACATGAAGTAGAACACAGGACTCAACTGCAGAGGTGGGGCTCAGTCACTGGACCAAATATAGGAATAGCTAAAACAGAACAGGGAAGGGGCAGAAGCACCTCTCTATAAGACATGTCCAGCAGTGTGCCATGTCAGTTTGCCATTGCCATGGCAATACCCAGAAGTTACCACCCCTTTTTATGGAAATGACTCGATGACCTGGAAGTTATCACCCTTTTCTAGAAATTTCTGCATAAACTGCCCCTTAGTTTGCATGAAATTAAAAGTGGGTGTAAATATGACTACAGAACTGCCTCTGAGCTGCTACTCTGCAAACACCACCAATAGGGTAGCCCTGCTCTGCAGGAGCAGTCACAGAGCTTGTAACACTGCTGCCTCAGTAAAGCGGTTTCCTTCTAACACTAGCTCACTCTTGAATTCTTTTCTGAGCGAAGCCAGGAACCCTCCTGGACTAAGCCCCAATTTGGGGCTTGCCTGCTCTCCATCATACGCACCAGGACAAACTAACTAAAAATTACTAAAATCACTATGATAAAAAGAAGGATAATAACATTATGCAAACCTTCACAAAATCATGTGGAATTTTTCACCTGGAACAGACTTGGACAAAATACTTATCTTTTAAGAATTTGTCAAGACAAGATTGAGGAACACAGATGCCTTCTGAACAAATGATACTTTTTCCTGATAGCCAGGTTTGACAGGTGTCAGAAGGAACCATGCAACCTCATGTTTCAATTTTGCTTCTAGTCCACTACATAGCTACAGATACTTGTAACTTAAAAAAATCCATTTACTTAATTCTTTATGTAAGTAATATATTCACATGTGCAAATATCTTAAAAACTGTACAATGAAAGTCCCTCTTTCCCATCAGTTGAGTTCTGTCCCTTTGAAAACAAAAATAAACAAAACAACCCAACCACCTCACCAAAAAAAGTCCCACACCTAATCTAACCACCTATTAATTTGATGTGTATTTCTCTAGAATTTCTTTATTTGTATATGTGTAAATGTAAATATTTGTTTTTCTTCATTTTTACAGAAAAGATAACATATGTGTTGTTCTATGAAATGTGTGTAACAGATTTTCCTATATCAGATTTTCTTATGCCAGTACTGTACTCCTTTTTTAGAACTGTATAGTATCCCAATGTTTAATATGGCATAATTTATTTTATTAACCTGGTATTGCTGGTTGTTAGGGTGCTTATGCTATGAAAGCATTGTGGCAAGGGATAACTTCCTACACGCTTGCATGGAGATTGATTGGATAAAAATTCTAGAAGTGTTGCATGGAGGAAATGTCCTTTTAATATGATTAATGTTAATAGATATCACCAAACTACACTCCATAAAAACTATATAAATTTATTTTTCTCTAAGCAGTGTCTAAGCATGCCTGTTTCTTTACACTGTTTATTGTCTTTCCTTGAACTTTCTTTGGCTAGTCCAACAGGTGCAAAATAGTACCTCAGTCTAGTTTTAATTTACTTTTTTCTTATTAGGAGTGAGAATATGCATCTTTTCATGTTTTATAAGTCATCTGTATATTCCTTTATTGAATATCTTTTAGGAATGTGTTCGTTGTGAGACAGAGCTCATAAAGCACAGGACGTTGCACACTTACTTCTGCTCCACTATCCACTACAGCTCTGTGCTTCTGTGTATATTTCACATCCTAGAGCAACTGGATTCCAACCAGACCTTGTAAGGTGCCGAAGGAGGTGCACCTACCTGGATCAATGAGATTCAGAGTACACGTGTTGTAGTACACTCCACAGCTGTGCCCAATTCAGCATTGCATGGTACTCACTGATCTTAGCCAACAAGCCATAGTACTCTCTCTCTCTCTTCCTCCCTCCCTCCCCCTCCCTCCCTTCCTCCATCTCTCTCTCTCTCTCTCTCTCTTCCTTCCTTACTTCTCCTTTTTCTTCTTTTATTTCTTTTTTTTTCTTTTTTTTCTTGACAAAGCTTTGCTCATTGCTGAGGCTGGAGTATAATATACAATGGCTCCATCTCAGCTCACTGCAACCTCTACCTCTTGGGTTCAAGTGATTCTCCTGCCTCAGCCTCCCAAGTAGCTGGGATTACAGACATGCACCACCATGCCCAGCTAATTCTGTATTTTTAGTAGAGACGGGGTTTCACCATGTTGGTCAGGCTGGTCTCGAACTCCTGACCTCAAGTGATCCGTCTGCCTCGGCCTCCCAAAGTGCTGGGATGACAGGCGTGAGCCACCACGCCTGGCCCATAGTACTCCTTTCAATCATCCTGAGGCACGGCAGTTGTGCCAAGCATGATTAATTTAGCTTCGCCTTCTCTAATGATTTTCAGTGTCAACTTGTGTCCCAGCACATATTTTCCAGTTTGCATTTGCAGCTAGAATCCAGAGTTCAGATCCCAGGACTTTTTCTTGCAGGACCCGTGCAGTCTCTATTTGGGGTTCTGCTGGTTTTATTCAGTGCTATTGTATGAATTACCATGTCCTGACCTCCTTGTAGATGTGGGTCCTCCAGTTCCCTCACTAAACACAGTGCCTGTTCCCTTAGTCTGCAGCAGGCACTCAATAAATGTTGATGTGTGCTTCTCTGCCACTATTTCCCTCACAGCTCTTCAGAAAGACAACCTCTCTACCAATATTATGGGGAAAGATAATGTTCCAGGAAGGGGATGGATGAAGAAGCTGAGAAAACTATAAGTGGGTGAGGGGTGAGGGTGTGGAGGGGTGAGGGTATGGGGACCACTCCTGTGAAAGGTGATGAGAGTCCCTCGAGGCTTCCTTTTTCTGTGTATCTAGTTTTTATTTTTAAAGAAAAGAGTCTATACCTTGATGTTGAGTAAATATGAACATATAGTGTTCCCATTTGTGCACTATCATGGTTTCTTATCTCCCTGACAACATTTTGTCAGTGCCTTCTAGTTAGTTGAGTATATGACTGTACCTGTAATTCATATGTGAATCATATCTCATTCCTACTTGAACTTAGTTGCTGAAGAAGAGTGACTTTGTCCTATGGACTTCTATGGTCCAACCCCTGCCTTGACGCAGACTTGATACATGTCCTATTTCTAATGAGTACTTGCTCAAATCAATAGCATACTCAAAAGTTGACCTTGATTTTACAGATATTGGCTTATCGATATCAAATGAAGGATTTCATAATGGTGGCTATCAAAGTATAAAGTAACACACGTTGTTTTCTGTTTCAGCAGTTAATTAAGGGATGTGACAAGGGAAGTATTGCATTATTCAAAAACAAATTGAGGCTAACTAACAACAGAAGTTCCCAGGTTTTGGAAAGTGTACCAAAGATCTAGTGGAAATGAGGTCATAAAATAACCAGTGTTGCTCTCCTCTACAAAAATATTGTACAGGGCTGGGCACAGTGGTTCATGCCTGTGATCCTAGCACTTTGAAAGACCAAGGTGGGAGGATCACTTGAGCTCAGGAATTCGAGACCAGCCTGGGCAACATGGGGAGACACTTTCTCTACAAAAAAATTTAAAAATTAATGGGCATAGTGGTACTCACCTGTAGTAGTCCCAGCTACTTGGGAGGCTGAGGAGGGAGGGATTGCCTGAGAACAGGAATTTGAGGCTGTAGTGACCTATAATTGTGCCACTGCACTCTAGCTTGTGTGACAGAGATTCTGTCTCAAATATATATACATATATATAGTGCAGTACTTTTGTAAATGAACAGTTTAGCCTGAAAATGCACCATGAAACATTTTTTCCCTTCTCTCTTTCTCTCTAGTCTCAAGATGTAACCTTGAAGTTTACTACAGAAACATTTTTTTTTCCTCCTAAGTCTTATAGCCTTGGAATATACTTTATTTGAAACAACACATCCCTCTTTTTCTTACCATACTCTCCTTTTCACCATGCACCTTTATCTAACTGTATGATAGTATCTAATTGTGTGCCTACTTAGAAGTTTTGGTGGCTAATCTTGGGATAATCTTGGAGACCCAGCTGCAATATTACAGAGACTACCTCAAGTTGGTTAGTCTATAATCAGACTTTTTTTTTTTTGAGACGGAGACTTGCTCTGTCTCCCAGGCCATAGTGCAGTGATGCCATCTTGGCTCACTGCAACCTCCGCCTACCGGGTTCACACCATTCTCCTGCCTCAGCCTCCCGAGTAGCTGGGACTACAGGCGCCCGCCACCATGCCCTGCTAATTTTTGTTTTTGTATTTTTGTTTTTTTAAGTAGAGATGGGGTTTCACTGTGTTAGTCAGGATTGTCTCCATCTCCTGACCTCGTAATTCACCTGCCTTGGCCTCCAAAAGTGCTGGGATTGCAGATGTGAGCCACCTGGCCCAGCCGAAAAATGTATTTTCATGGCCAGTTGTGCACAAGTATGATTAGAGGCCAAAAGGTGTGATCGAATGGTAATAAACTAGGGTAAACTTAGCAAGGCCTGTTCAGATTCATCTGGGTCTTTGGGTATAGGTCAGGATCCCTCTGGAAATAGGGTCTTAGAATCTGTAGGTAGTTCAGAGAATTATTTTATGGCCCGCTTCAGGGGAGAAAGGTGGGAGAAAATCAGAGTGACTTTCCTGATTCTGCAGTTTTCTCAACTTTCGTCAGCTTAAAATTTTCAATATGCCAAGGTGCCATACTTTGGGATTATCATGTTCTGGGCTCCAGCAATGTTAGGAAAGAAGCCCAGGCCACATAGGAAGAGCCCATGTAGGAATTCCCAGTTAAGGTCAGAACAGATGACCAGCATCAACTTCCAGGCATGAATGAGTGAGCATTCAGAGGACTCCAGTCTCTAGCCCTCTTCTGCTGATGCCTCAAATGTCAGGGAGTGAAGCAAGCTGTCCCTGATGTGCCCTATCCAATTTCCTGACGGAATCCGTAAGTATGATAAATGGCCATTATTCTGTCACTGAGGTTTGGCCTATGAGCAGATCTTGTTTTATTGCACTTTGCTTTATTGTGCTTCACAGATATTGCATTTCTTTACAAATTGAAGGTTTGTGGCCACCCTGAAACTAGCAAGTCTATTGGCCCCGTTTTTCCAGCAGCAAGTGCTCACTTCATGTCTCTCTGTGATGTTTTGGTAATTTTCACAATTTTCAAACTTTTTCATTATTATCATATATTTTAAGGTGATATTTGATGCTACTACTATAGTCATTTAGGGGCACCATGAATCACCCCCACGTAAGACTGCCAAACCTAATCACTAAACAATATGTCTGACTGTTCCACCTACCAGCCATTTCTCCATCTCTCTCCCTCTTAAGGCTTCTTATTTGCAGCAAAACAATACTGAAATTCAGCCAATTAATAACTGTGCAAGGGCCCCTAAGTGTTCAAGTCACATGCCTCTCATTTAAAATCAAAGCTAGAAATGATGAAGCTTAGTGAGGAAGGCATGTCAAAAGCCACAGTAGGCTAAAAGCCAGGGTTCTTGTGCCAAACCGCAAGTCAAGTTATGAATGCAAAGGAAAAGTTCTCGAAGGAAATTAGAAGTGCCACTTCAGTGAACACATGAATAATAAGAAAGTAAAACACCCTTATTACTCACATGGAGAAAGTTTGAGTGGTCTGGATAGAAGATCAAACCAACCACAACATTCTCTTAAGCAAAATCCTAATCCAGAGCAAGGCCTTAACTCTCTTCACTTCTGTGAAGGCTGAGAGGCATTAAAAAGCTACAGAAGAAAAGTTTGAAGCCAGCAGAGATTGGTTCATGAGGTTTAAGGAAAGAAGCCATCTCCATAACATGAATTTACAAAGTGATGCAGCAAGTGATGATACGGAAGCTGCAACAAGTTATGTAGAAGATCTAGCGAAAATAATTATTGAAGAACAACAGATTTTCAGTGTGGATGGAACCAGGTTTTATTAGAAGAAGAAGCCATCTAGGACTTTCATGGTTATAGAGAAGAAGTCAATGCCTGGCTTCAAAGTTTCAAAGGAGTGGCTGCCTCATTAGGGAATGAAGCTGATGACTTCAAGTTGAAGCTAGTGTTCATTGACCATTTCAAAATTTCTAATTACGTAATTTAAGAATTACGCTGAATCTACTCTGCCCGAGCTCTATAAATGGAGTAACAATGCCTGGATAACAGCACATCTGTTTACAGCATAGCTTACTGAGTATTTTAAGTCCAATATTGAGACCCACTTCTATTTTTGGGGGGGGGGCGGGGGGATGGAATCTCGTTCGGTTGCCCAGGCTGGAGTGCAATGGTGCAATCTCGGCTCACTGCAACCTCCGCCTCCCAGGTTCAAGCGATTCTCCTGCCTCAGCCTCCCAAGTAGCTGGGATTATAGGCTTGTGCCACCACGCCCAGCTAATTTTTTTGTATTTTTGGTAGAGACGGGGTTTCACCATGTTCGCCAGGCTGGTCTTGAACTTCTCACCTCAAAAGATCCACCCACCTTGGCCTCCCAAAGTGCTTGGATTATAGGCATGAGCCACTGTGCCCGGCCAAGAACCACTTCTGAGAAAAAAAAAAAAATTCAAAATAGGCGCTCATTGACAATGCACCTCATAACCCAAGAGAACTGATGGAAATGAACAGGAGATTAATGTTTTTTTATGCCTACTAAGACAACATCCATTCTGTAGCCCATGGATCAAGGAGTAATTTTGACTTTTAAGTCTTATTATATAGGAAACACATTTTGTAAGACAGTAGCTTCTATAAATAATAATTTCTTTGAAGGATCCGGGCAAAGTAAATTAAAAACTTTCTGGAAAGGATCTATTATTCTAGATGCCATTAAGAAATTGCCACATTCCCCACCCCAGCCTTCGGCAACCACCACCCTGATCGTCATAAGTCATACTGAAAGCTCAGATGATGGTATTTTTTGGCAATAAATTATATTTAAATTAAGGAAAGTACATTAGTTTTTGGACATAATGCTACTGAACACTTAATAGACTACAGTATAGTGTAAACATAACTTTTATATACACTGGAAAATAAAAAAAAATTTGTGCGACTCACTTTATTGTGCTATTTGCTTTATTGCAGTAATCTGAAACCAAATCTATAATATCCCCTATTTGTTGTAATGCTTGTAATTTGTCGTGTGCCGGAGTAATTGAAACAAATATGTAATATACTACATATTTTACTTATTTATTGTTCCCCACTATAATGCAAGCTCTATGAAGGCAGGACGTTTTATATATTTTGTTTACAGATATGTGCCCAAGACCTCCCAGACCGCCTAGAATGTAATAGGCGAGTACTCAGTAAGTATTTATTAACTGAAAGGATATATTGAAAAATTGTTTCACATACTTCTGTGCTAGTTTGGTTGAACATTGAATTCTAGGTTTAAAATAATTTAATTTCACAATTTCAGGTGTGTTTTATTACCTTCTCCTTCCCACTGCGACTGAGTAATTTTGATGGCCTCTAATACTCATTCTTTTGTGAAACTCCATTTTTCCCGTGGGAGGTTTGATACTTTTTTTCTTATCCCTGGATTTATGAATATCTGAAATTTTACCATGTTATGAGATTTTCTCTTTATCTTTTAGTTTAATCTCTTTGACGCTCAGAGGATTCAGTCTAAAGATTTATCTTCTTTTAGCTGCAGAAAATCATTATCTATCTTTTCTCTGATTACAATATCTTCTTTTTTATTGTAAGGGCCTCTTCTTAGAGTTTTCTGTGTCAAAAATACCTTAGCTGGTTCTTCCCATGCTTTCCTTTTTATTTTGTTTTTAAATTTGTGGAGAATTTATGTACAATTCCTCAATAATCCCAACCGTCCCTGTACTAGCATCTTTCTTAAAATATTAAGCCCAGGGCAAGATTCCTTCTGCCAACTGAGAACTTGCCTGCCCCAACTTTAATAAATCAATATTTCAGTTAATAACCTTTGGTCACCTCAAGGCTGACTCAGGTCTTTGTTCTTGTTTTACTTTGAGTTCGGATTATTTCTGGAATTACTTACAATTCTATAGTAGTTGTTGTCTGAGATTTCCTTTCCTCCTGTTCCTCTATCAACTCAACCTCATGTATTTTCTATCTTCCAGTGTTCCTCAAAATTTTAGTCTTTCTAGTGGTGCTATTTATTATATTCTAATATTATGATATGTTTGTCCTTTAAATATATATATGTATTTGTTTTTGTAGGTAATTTCTGCCAAATCTTTGTAAGAGGAGACCCTACTGAGTGTGCTTGATTTGTTACTTTTATCCAATCTCAATTTAATCACAAGTCCTCTGACAAAGTAGGTGTTCTTAACCCCATTTTACAGAAAATTAGTGGACAAATTCAGTGTTAGGAAGATTTTTTTTTTTTTTTTTTTTTTGAGACAGAGTTTCACTCTTGTTGCCCAGGCTGGAGTGCAGTGGCACAGTCCTGGCTTACTGCAACCTCTGCCTCTTGGATTCAAGCGATTTTCCTGCCTCAGCCTCCCAAGTATCTGGGATTACACCACGCCCAGCTAATTTTTACATTTTTAGTAGAGATGGAGTTTCGCCATATGGCTAGGCTGGTCTTGAACTCCTGACTTCAGGTGATCTGCCTGCCTTGGCCTCCCAGAGTGCTGGGATTAAAGGCGTGAGCCATCATGCTCAGCCAGAAATTTTTATTTTATACTTTAATTTCTGGGGTACATGTGCTGCACGTGCAGATTTGTTACATAGGTATACATGTGCCATGGTGGTTTGCTGCACCCATCAACCCATCATCTACATTAGGTATTTCTCCTAATGCTATCCCTCCCCTAGCCCTCTACCTCCTGACAGGACCCAGTGTGTGATGTTCCCCTCCCTGTGTTCTCGTTGTTCAACTCCCCACTTATGAATGAGAGCATTTGGTGTTTGGTTTTCTGTTCTTGTGTTAGTTTGCTGAGAATGACGATTTCCAGCTTCACCATATACGTGAAAAGGACATGAACTCATCCTTTTTTATGGCTGCATAGTATTCCATGGTGTATATGTGCCACATTTTCTTTATCCACTTTATCATTTATGGGCATTTGGGTTGGTTCCAAGTCTTTGCTATTGTGAACAGTGCTGCAATAAACATACATGTGCATGTGTCTTTATAGTAGAATGATTTATAATCCTTTGGGTATATATCCAGTAATAGGATTGCTGGGTGAAATGTTATTTCTATTTCTAGATCCTTGGGGAATTGCCACACTGTCTTCCACAATGGTTGAACTAATTTCCACTCCCACTAACAGGGTAAAAGCGTTCCTAATTCTCCACATCCTTTCCAGCATCTGTAGTTTCCTGACTTTTTAATGATCACCATTCTAAGTGGCGTGAGATGGTATCTCGTTGTGGTTTTGATTTTCATTGCTCTAATGACCAGTGATGATGAGCTTTTTTTCATATGTTTGTTGGCCATATAAATGTCTTCTTTTGAGAAGTGTCTGTTCATATCCTTTGCCCACTTTTTGATGGGATTGTTTTTTTCTTGTAAATTTGTTTAAGTTCTTTGTGGGTTCTGGATATTAGCCCTTTGTCAGATGGACAGATTGCAAACATTTTCTCCCATTCTGTAGGTTGCCTGTTCACTGCAAACATTTTCTCCCATTCTGTAGGTTGCCTGTTCACTCTGATGATGGTTTCTTTTGCTGTGCAGAAGCTCTTTAGTTTACTTAGATCCCATTTGTCAACTTTGGCTTTTGTTGCCATTGCTTTTGTGTTTTAGTCATGAAGTCTTTACCTATGCCTATGTCCTGAATGGTATTGCCTAAGTTTTCTTCTAGGGTTTTCATGGTTTTAGGTCTTATGTTTAAGTCTTTGATCCAAGTTGAGTTAATTTTTGTATAAGGCATAAGGAAGGGATCCAGTTTCAGCTTTGTGCATATGACTTGCCAGTTTTCCCAATACCATTTGTTACGTAGGGAATCCTTTCCCCACTGCTTGTTTTTGTCAGGTTTGTCAAAGATCAGATGGTTGTAGATGTGTGGCGTTATTTCTGAGGCCTTTGGTAACAGTACCATGCTGTTTTGGTTACTGTAGCCTTGTAGTATAGTATAGTGGTAGCATGATGCCTCCAGCTTTGTTCTTTTGGCTTAGGATTGTCTTGGCTATGTGGGCTCTTTTTAGATTCCACATAAAATTTAAAGTAGTTTTTTCCAATTCTGTGAAGAAAGTCCATGGTAGCTTGATGGGGATAGCATTGAATCTATAAATTTCTTTGGGCAGTATGGCCATTTTTACAATATCGATTCTTCCTATCCATGGAATGTTTTCCATTTGTTTGTGTCCTCTCTTATTTCTTTGAGCGCTGGTTTGTAGTTCTCCTTGAAGAGGTCCCTCACATCCCTTGTAAGTTGGATTCCTACTTATTTTATTCTCTTTGTAGCAATTGTGAATGGGAGTTCACCCATGATTTGGCTCTCTGTTTGTCTGTTATTTGTGTATAGGAATGCTTGTGATTTTTGCACATTGATTTTGTTTCCTGAGACTTTGCTGAAGTTAATTATCAGCTTAAGGAGATTTTGGGCTGAGGCGATGGGGTTTTCTAAATATACAATCATGTCATCTACAAACAGAGACAATTTGACTTTCTCACTTCCTATTTGAATACCCTTTATTTCTTTCTCTTGCCTGATTGTCCTGGCCATAACTTCCAACACTATGTTGAATAGGAGTGGTGAGAGAGGGCATCCTTGTCTTGTGCCTGTTTTCAAAGGGAATGCGTCCAGTTTTTTTCCATTCAGTATGATATTGGCTGTGGGTTTGTCAGAAATAGCTCTTATTATTTTGAGATATCCATCAATACCTAGTTTATTGAGAGTTTTCAGCGTGAAGGGCTGTTGAATTTTGTCGAAGGCCTTTTCTGCATCTGTTTAGATAATCATGTGGTTTATGTCATCGGTTCTGTTTATGTGACGGATTACATTTATTGATTTGCGTATGTTGAACCAACCTTGCATCCCAGGGATGAAGCCAACTTGATTGTGGTGGATAAGCTTTCTGATGTGCTGCTGGATTTAGTTTGCCAGTATTTTATTGAGGATTTTCACATCTACGTTCATTAGGGATATTGGCCTGAAATTTTCTTTTTTTGTTGTGTCTCTGCCAGGTTTTGGTATCAGGATGATGCTGGCCTCATAAGAATAGTTAGGGAGGATTCCCTCTTTTTCTATTGATTGGAATAGTTTCAGAAGGAATGGTACCAGCTCCTCTTTGTTCCTCTGGTAGAATTTTTGCTGTGAATCCATCTGGTCCTGGACTTTTTTTGGCTGTAGGCTATTAATTGCTGCCTCAATTTCAGAGCTTGTTATTGGTCTTTTCGAGGATTCGACTTCTTCCTGGTTTAGTCTGACTAGCAGTCTATCCATTTTGTTGATCTTTTCAAAAAACCACCTACTGCATTCATTGATTTTTTGAAGGGGTTTTTTGTGTCTCCATCTCCTTCAGTTCTGCTCTGCCCTTAGTTATTTCTTATCTTCTGCTAGCTTTTGAATTCATTTGCTCTTGCTTCTCTAGTTCTTTAATTGTGATGTTAGGGTGTTGATTTTAGATCTTTCTTGCTTTCTCTTGCTGGCTGGAAGATTTTTTAAAGGAAGGAAGTGAGAGAGAAGGCAAATCAATGGCTAAACAGGTTTATTTACAAGAATAAGCCTGCTAGGGGTCCCAGTCAGGAATCTGGCTGAGACACTGACAGCTTACAAGGTGAGGTTTTATAATACTGTTTCTATAGGTGAGGGGTTGGGGAAGCGCTGGCACGCTGACACTGTAGGGGCCTGGGGAAGGATGCGATAAGGGCCAGTCAGGCTTTGTTGTGGTCAGGGTTGTTAAGCTCTGTTAAGGGTATGGGTGAGATTGACCTTTGCTTTGGTTTTGGGAACACCGTCACCAAGGTAGGAAACACAGTTACCAAGGTAGAAAAATGGCATCGCTATTGTGAATTCTTACACCTAGAATTTTAGACATTGCATTACAATTGTTTTTAATTAGCAATCCTCCTGACAGACATGGCATGAATGTTCTTTGGTTGTGTAAAATGGAATAATCTTCTAGTTAAATTATATAAAAGGGAGTTGGTAAAAAAAAATATGGGGTGGCTGAAAGAATCAGAGGTAAAAATGAAGAACCAGTCTCAAAAAGTCAAGATGGGAAAAGTCCAGGGATGTATGCATAGAGCTAATAACGAAGCATCTTCCTTGGACATTTTAACTGAGAAGAATAAATATCTATTCTTTTCAGGTTCTGTATTATTTTGCTGAAGATGGAAATCTCATGGAGAGAGCTTAGGATTAAACTTAGTTTTGTTTAAGGATGCCATCTCCTCATTTGCAGGTGGGACATTGAGCTTTTCTGCCAAGACTGCCTTAAAATGTGAGCAAATCAGATCATCAAAGCAAAATCAGGGTGCTATTAGCAGAAATGGGAACTGACGTTGGACAGGCAAACACAACGGAACTCACTAGACATAAAAACTCCTTAGAGTCATGGACTTATTTAATTACTTAGCAAGCATTCTCAGAACTGGAACTGTGCTCAACAAACGCTGCAAATCAACAGCTACTGGATGAGGCTGCCCTAATTTGTACAGCCAGGCATTCTCATTACTGCACTCTGCCTTACTCCTATTGCCTACTATGATTGCACTCCTTTATATAATGATCAAAGACTGTTTCCTTAAATTATTAAGCAGTATTCAACTAAGACTTTAACTGTTTTCTATTTATCTTTAGGATAGTGACAGAATAAATGATGTGGTAAAATAGCTAGCTCATTCAGCAAAATTCCAGTAATAAGAGTATTTGTGGAAAGGTCAATCTAAATTAGGGATGGCTGTATTATGGACTATTTTAACTCTAAATATTTTGTGTTATTATAATTAGAAGGATTACCGGTAAGGAACTCTTGCCAAATAGGATCCCTTAAGGTCAATTTTAATTGAAGGGGCATTTGTAACTAACTCTTTCCAAATAGAGATGTTAAAGTCCCTGAAACCATTTAGCCACTTTAATCTTTTAAAGAAGTCAAGTACCTTATAATATGATTTTTAATTTGCTTTGTAAATGCTTTTTTCAGAGCTCATCTATAAATTTCAACCTCTCTAGTTAGATAACTGTAAATTCTATTTGGTTTGTGCTAAGTACATGAAGTTTTACTATGCTTGAACAGTAATTTTTCACCACAAAAGTGACTAAATGCAACAAAATAATGTAAAAAATAATGAACACCTACTGTGTGTTAGATACTCTACTAGGTTGTGGGAATGCAGTGATTAATATTACATAGTCTGACTTCATGGAGCGTAGAGTCTAATAGGAAACTTTTTCTCTACATAACCAATTATCTTCTTGCATTTAGAGTTTCATTATGATACTAAACAAACTCTATATATTTTTAGAAACTCATCTATTACAAAGAAGTATACATATTAGTTAGAAAATCAAACAGTTTAACATCTCGTACCAATGTTGTCCAGTAGAACTTTCGGCATTGATAGAAAAGTCCTCTGTGTGGGCAGTTCGATAAGGTAGACAGTAGGCACACGTGACTATTGGAAATTTTAAATGTAGCTGATGCAAGAGGAATTGAATTTTATTTTTTTCATTTCTCTTTTTTATTGATACATAATATTTGTACCTATTTATGGGGTACATGTGACACTTTGTTACGTGCATAGAGTATGTAATGATTAAGTCAGGATGTTTGGGAACTCTATCACCTCGAGTATTTTTCTTTTCTATGTCTTGGGAACATTTCAAGCCCTCTCCTCTAGCTATTTTGAAATATACAGTGTTTTGTTGTTAAACATGGTTACCATACTCTGCTGTCAAACATCATAACTTTTTTCTCCTATATAACTGTATCTAATTGTATGTTTGTACCCATGAACGAACCTCTCTTCATTCTTATGCCGACCCGCCCTCCACACCATTCACAGCCTCTGGTATCTGTCATTCTACCCTTTATCTCCATGAGATCTACATTTTTAGCGACCACATGTGGGTGAAAACATGCAATATTTGTCTTTCTGTCCCTGGCTTATTTTACTTAATGATCTCTAGTTCTATCCATATTGCAGCAAATAATATAGATTTTGTTCTTTTTTTATGGCAAAATACTATTCCGTTATGTATATTTATCATATTTTCTTTATTCATTTGTCTGTTGATGGACACTTGGGTTGATTCCATACCTTCACGATTGTGAACAGTGCTGCAATAAACATGCAGGTATTCCTCTGATATGCTGATTTCTTTTCCTTTGGGTAACTACCCAGTAGTGAAATTGCTGAATCATATGGTATTTCTATTTTTAGTTGTCTGAGAAATCTTCGTATTTTTTCCCGTAGTGGCTGTACTAATTTCATTCCCACCAACAATGTGTAAGAGTTCTCTTTTATCTGCATCCTCACTAGCATCTGTTACTATTTTTCTGACTTTTTAATCATAGCCATGTATTTGTATAGTTTCCAAACTTCCTCTTGTTATTGATTTCCAGTTTCATTTCATTGTGGTCTGAGAAGATACTTGATGTAATTTTGATTTTAAAAAATTTGTTAAGACTTGTTTTGCATCCTAACATATGGTCTATTCTGGAGAATGTTGCATGTGCTAATGAGAAGAATGTGTATTCTGTACACATTGGATGAAATGTTCTGTAAATATCTGCTAGGTCCATTTGGTCTAACTTGCAGTTTAAATTGCATGTTTCTTTGTTAATCTTATGTCTAGATGATCTGTCTAATTCTGAGGAGTGTAGAAGTTTCCAACTATTACTGTGTTGAAGTCTACCTCTCTTTTTAGATCTAATATTTGCTTTATGTGTCTGAGTGCTCCAGTGCTGTGTGTATATGTTTAGATGGATATATCCTCTTACTGAATTGGTCCCTTTATCATTATATAATGACCTTCTTTGTCTCTTTTTACTGTTTTTGACTTAAAGTTTGTTTAGTCTGATATAAGTATAGTATAAGCATAGTAACTCCCACTTGCTTTTGGTTTCCATTTGCATGAAATATCTTTCTTTCGTCCTTTTTCTTTCAGTGTGTATGTGTCTTTATGAGTTGAGTTCCTTGTAAGCAGCATGTAACTAATGGGGTTATGTTTGTATATCCATTCAGCTCTTCTACATCTTTTAAGTGGAAAGTTTAATTTGTTTATATTCAAGGTTGTTATTGATAGTGAGGTCTTATTCTCACCATTTTATTAATTGATTTCTGGTTGTTTTTGTATATCGTTTATTCCTTTCTCTCTTATTGTTTATCATTGTGGTTTGGTGCTTTTCTCTAGTGGTAACGTTTGAGTCCTTTCTCTTCCTTATTTGTGTGTTTACTCTACCAGGGGCTTCTATGCTCTCATGTGTTTTCATGAGTGTAGATATCATCTTTCACTTATAGGCGTAGGACTTCCTTAAGTATTTCTTGTAGGGTCAGTCTAGTGATTAATTCCTTCTGCTTTTGCTTGTCTAGGTAAGATTTTATTTCTCCTTCATATGAAGGAAAACTTTGCTGAGTAAACTGTTCTTGGCTGGCAGTTTTTCTCTTTCAGCACTCTGAATATATCCTTCTAGTCTCTCCTGGCCTGTAAGACATCTGCTGAGAAATCTGTTTAGTCTGGTGGGGATTCTCTTATAAGTGTCTGGAGGCTTTTCTCTTGCTGTTTTTAGAATTGTTTCTTTTTGACTTTTCACATTTGACTCTAATTGTGCCATAGAGAAGAACTTTTTGAATTGTAACTATTTGGGGATCTCTGAGCTTCTTGTGTCTGTAAGTCTAAATCTCTGGATAGACCTGGGAAGTTTCCAGCTATTATTTCATTAAATAGGTTTTCTCTCCCTTTTGTTTGCTCTTCTCCTTCTAGGGCACTGAAAATTTGAATATTTGGTCACTTTGTGATGCCTCATATGTACCATTGGTTTTGTTCATTCTGCTTTATTATTTAAAAATTATTGTTCTGATTGGGTTATTGCATAAGATCTGTCTCAAGCTTTAAAGTTCTTTATTCCACTTGATCTAGTGCATTATTGAAAACTTATGAACATATTTTATATTTCATTCAATGAATACTTTAGCTCCCGAATTTATGTTTGGTTCTTTTTTATGATATCTATTCGGTACATTGCTCATTTGTATACTGATTTTTTAAAAATGTCTTTTTATCATTTTTCTGAGTTCTCCTATATATAATTGAGCTTCTTTAATATCATGATTTTTAATTGTTTTTCTGGGACTTGTTGAATTTTTTAATTGAAATCTGTTGCTGGAGAATTGCTGCATTCCTTTGGAGGTGTCATATTTCCTTGTCAGTCCTTCCTTCCTCCCTCCCTTCTTCCTTTCTCTTCCCTTCCCTTTCCTTCCCCCCTTTCCCTTCCCTTCCCCACTTTCCCTTCCCTTTTTCCTTTCCTTTCCTTTCTTTTTGTGTGTATGTTATTACATTGATACCTGCTCATCTGGTGTAACAGTTGCTTTTTCCAATTTCTTGAATTTACTTTCATAGGGGAGGGCTTTTTCCCAAAGATGTATCAATAGTGTTGGTTGGATAGGGCACTTTGGTTCTAATTGTGGGTGCAGGCAGTAGGGAAGTCTCCATGTGATTTCTTCAGCTGTAAACAGTGACAGTGGAATCATTGATTTCCCCAGTGGCTTAAGGTATGGTTAGTAGCGGCCATGGTGAAGTTTTTATGGGAATGAAGATGCCAGGTGGACCAGTCATCAGGCCTCAATAGTGGCAGCAGCAGGCTGAGCATGGTCATCCTTGGGTCCACAGGAGGCATATAATGGCACTGGTGTTAGTGAGTCCAGGTTGGCTAATTCTTGGGTCTCCAGGCAGCTTTCCTGGGTTATGGTAGTGCCAGTGAGCCAGTTGGGTGAGTGGGTCTTTGGGTTTGTGAGCAGTAGATGTGGCACAGGCAATGGCAGTAGCAGTGGCATGACAACACTATGACTCCCAAGCAGTTTATGCTGGTATTGGTGGTGGCTGCAATGAGCTTTTGCACCAGTCCCCAGTCACACAGTTGGTGCATATGGGGGGTGCCAGCTGTGGTGATAGTGACAGGTTGGCTGGGCTTGACCTCAGTTCCTCAAGATAAATGTCCAGGTGCCAATGATAGTGGGCCAGGCTGGGCAATCCCCAGGTGTCCTCGGCCCCCTAGGTGGTGTGTATAGGCACTCGCTGTAATAGGCAGGGGAGGAGCTATCCCTAGGCTTCTGGTGGAATGCCCAGGTGGGGATGGCTGTGGCCATGCTGCAGCCCTGTTACAGGGGAGGGCGGGTTACTTTCAGTGACAACAGTCAAAGGCAAGCAGGTGAAGAGCAAGCACTCTGCTCTTACTTTAGCTCCAGCAGCAGTGGCCTACAGCGGTGGCCGCTGGAGGTGGGAGAGTCTGCTCTTGGGGCGCATGAAGATGTGTAGTGGGTCTGCTGCTGAGGGAAGTGGGGTTGTTACAAATGATTCCCACTGTGACCCTGGTGGCAACCCAGCTGTGGTGGTGGGTGCGTGTTGTGGAAGTGAATGAAGCTCTGGGGATGTGGAGGTGCAGGGTCTGTTGAGCCTCTAGCAGAATGCAGGGTGGAGAGGGCTAGGATCTCAAAATGGCACTTTGCTGCAGCTGCTTAGGACTTAAGGGGTGTATGGGATCAAGCATGAGCTCCTTTTCCAGAGCAGTGTTGTTGTTCAGTGTCCAGGTAGCTCCCTATGTTAGTCTCAGGGCCCGTGAGGTGAGGGTTGAGTGGCAATTCTGTGGCTAGGATTGTGGGAATCTGGGAGGCTGGGAGTGGCGTAAGGATTTCTAGCTTTAGACTTTAGTGAAGTGAAAGTGAATTCATGTCTTCCTCTACAACAAAGGGATTTAGGAAAAAATATGAGTGTCATGAAATGAAACAAAATAATGACCCATATTTTGAAATATTTAGAATTCTTATGAGACTAAACCTAAGTAATAATATATAGTACAAAATAATTTTGGTTCTTACATTTTTAATGTATATCCAGAAAAAGGATTCTAAAACATGTTATTTATTTACATAAGACCAACTTCTAGTAAATGTTTTCAACTTTATTATGCATTCAGTAAGACATGGAAATGAGTGAAGTTATTGGAATTATAAACCATATGAGGTGACAAAGCTCGAAGCATCATCCCCGTATAAATGAGAAAACTGAGGTTTAGGGAGATTGAAAAACTTGCTTAAAATTTGTACAGACAGGCTTCAGGGTGGTAAGATCATATTCTCCCATCATGTCTCTTTATTAGAGGTATGGATTGCAAAGCTTAGTGCCTTATTCTCCACTTTTCCACCCTACTTTGCCTCATATTTATAGAGTGCTTTAATAATTTTCTTTGGATTTGTAAGCCAAACATGTATTTTTAAAATATGCTAGTTGAATAAACTCAAAAAATTTTTTTTAAACATTGTGGCACCAAAATGCTTATTCTTACCTTGGATTCCCCACCACGCCCATACTAAATCTAAACTTGATTTGCAAATATTGATTTGCAAGCAAGCATAATGACTACAGGAAAAAAAAAAGTTTAATTTTGTAAACTACGGGATTTTTTAGGCTTAAGGGTTTAATTGAACTATTTAGAGAATTTAAAAAGATGTGAAAGCCTGCCTATATCTTAAAAACTCTAAGGAGTCACTCATTTTCAGCTGCAACTTATACTACCTAATTGAAAATACAAGTAAACTAATCAATTATCCAGTCTGAGAAGACAGATTGAAAAGAGATATGAAAATAATTTAACATTGTAGTCAAGTACTAACAGTGCTTAGGAAATATAGATTGTTTATCTGGCAATAGTTCAGGAAAAAATAAGATTTAAAATGGTATTACAGTAGTTCCTCCTTATTGGTGGGGATACATTCTAAGCCCCCAGTGGATGCCTAAAATTGCTGATGGTGCTGAAGCCCTATATGTACTATGTTTTTTTCTCATACATACATCTCTAGGATAAAGTTTAATTATAAATTAGGCACAGTAAGAGGTTAACAATAACAATATAGTAGAACAATTATAACAATATGCTATAATAAAGTTATGTGGCTGGACATGGTGGCTCACACCTGTAATCCCAGCACTTTGGGAGGCCGAGGCAGGTGGATCACCTGAGGTCAGGAGTTTGAAACCAGCCTGGCCAACATGGTGAAACCCCGTCTCCACTAAAAATACAAAAATTAGCGGGACATGGTGGCAGGTGCCTGTAATCCCAGCTACTCAGGAGGCTGAGGCAGGAGAATTGCTTGACTTGGGAGGCGGAGGTTGCAGTGAGCTGAGATGGCGTCATCACACTCCAGCCTGGGGGATGAGAGTGAGACCTCATCTCAAAAATAAATAAATAAATAAATATAAATAAATATAAATAAATAAATAAATAAATAAAATAAAAGTTATGTGAGTGTGGTCTCTCTTTCTGAAAATATCTGCCATAAGTAATATTTCCAGATTCCTGCTGACCCTGGGTAACTGAAACTATGGAAAGAAAAACCATAGATAAGGTAGTATACTATATATAATTTCTCATTTTTTTCTTTACAAGAGAATCATATAGATTATTTATAGAATGATGCCTAGCACATTATGACCAGCTGGAAAACACATGCAACTGGAAGCCTTGATTCTCAGTTAGTTTCGAGGTCAGGAGGCAAACTTGCCAACTTTACCCCAGTAATAACAATATGATTGAAGATTGAGACATTGGGTATTGTTACCGAAACACCTGGGGGTTGGTCTCGGTCCTGCTGCTCACCTCACAGAAAGCCAATTGCTCGTCAAGTACTACCAATGAAGGAAGGAAGAGAAGGAAGACAGCTTTAGTCGGGTGCTGCAGTCGAGGAGATGGGAGTCCTAAATCCGTCTCCCTAACTGACTAAACGTAGGGGTTTTATATAGTGGGAGGAAATGTAACAATGTATAAGAAAACAGGAACTAGGAAGGGGCAATGAAGCAATCATGATGGGTGAATGAGAGGTCTCTCATCTCATTGTCTGTATGTGGTGATGTGGTGAGTTTCAGTTCTTTGATACTTTCTTTTTGAGCAGCTTGAAGGTCCTTTCCTGAGGAAGGAACACAGATAAAATGAATACAAGTTTCAAGCTTTAAGACCAGAAAGGTCAATTTCTATGTTTATTTAAAAAACAAGTGAACAAAAAAATTATCTATGGGACTGTTGGGTCAGTTTCAGCATTGCCTCTAACAAGGATCTCTTGCTTTGGCACAATCAAGAACAGTACAATCTTATTAATGTTTTAGAGAGCTTATTTTTAGGCAATTGATGAAATGGAATGTTTTGAAGGGTTTTTGTCAGGCACATGCTTAAAGACCCTTCTCATTGGCTAGTAGGTGAATATCTGAGAAAAGAAATGTCTTGAGAGAGGATTAACTATAGGCTTTTTAAAATTCATTGAGATGATAAATTGCCTTCTTTCTCCTTCAGATTTGGTAGCAGGTTATCTGTGTTCTAATTTCGAGGGGTGGCCTTTATCATTTCTAGCAATCAGTACAATACATGTGATTACAGCCTCACAGAGAGGAGAGGTCATAGCCTGTGAACAATGCAACTTAGGTCAAATTCAGGTTCTTTCATTTTCTATCTGACATTAGCAATTTACCTTTCTAAGAAGCAGTCTACTCAACTCTCAGTTGTAATAATAACACACATGTTGGAATGATTGTGAAGAACAAGTATATAAATTTATGTCAAGCATTTAGCACAGTTGTGACTGCCTAGAATAGAGGAAATCCTTAGCTGAGTGTGATCAAAGGGGCACCATTTCACGTTCTTTTCTTTGTTATTCTATAACTTTCCCAATTCTCAAGTGGAAGTTAATGCCAGTGTTTCATATATATTAATTTTGGTTTATAGTATATGATTATATTTTAATTAAATATTAAGTAGATTGAAAAGTTTATGTCATGCCTCATTCTCATTCTATTGCTTCATTGCCCTTATAAAACCTCGAGTTAAAAAAAATTGCTCTAAATATTTTTTAAAGACAGGTATTTGGACCAATTCAAACCAGCTGACCATTTAAATTTAAAAAAAATTTATATTGCCCAGATTTTACAGGTCATGTAGACAGTGTTTCTTTCAGAAAGACAACCAAATGAGGCTTATTGCTTTTTGGGCTTGCTATGGGTTAGCAACATGTTACATTTTAATTATCCTGGTATGCCAAATAACACACATCTGCTCCTTTTCTGAAGGCAGTGAGAGGTGACAATGTGCTAGCAGCCCTCGCTGGCTCTTGGCACCTCCTCAGCCTTGGCGTCTGCTCTACCCATGCTTGAGGAGCCCTTCAGCCTGCCGCTGCACTGTGGGAGCCCCTCTCTGAGCTGGCCGAGGCTGGAGCTGGCTCCCTCTGCCTGCCGGGAGGTGTGGAGGGAGAGGCACGGGCGGGAACTGGGGCCAACGCGAGTTCCTAGTGGGCACGGGCTCTGTGGGCCCCGCACTCAGAGCAGCTGGCTGGCGCCGCCACCCTGGGCAGTGAGGGGCTTAGCGCCTGGGCCAGCAGCTGCAGAGAGTGCAGGCCGGGTCCCTCAGCACTGCCAGCCCTCCTGCGCCGTGCTCAAATTCTCACCAGGCCTCAGCCGCCTCCCCACGGGCAGGGCTTGGGACCTGCAGTCTGCCGAGCCGGAGCCCCACCACCCCCGCCCCTGCCCCATGGGCTCCCGAGTGGCCCAAACCTCCCCGATGGGCGCTGCCCCCTGCTCCACGGTGCCTGGTCCCATCCACCACCCAAGGGCTGAGGAGTGCATGCGTGTGGCACGGGACTGGCGGGCAGCTCCACCCACGGCCCTGGCATGGGATCCACTAGGGGAAGCCAGCTAGGCTCCTGAGTTGGGTGGGGTCTTGGAGAACTTTTATGTCTAGCTAAAGGATTGTAAATGCACCAATCAGCACCCTGTGTCTAGCTCAAGGTTTGTAAACACATCAATCAGTGCTCTGTGTCTAGCTAATCTAGTGGGGACTTGGAGAACTTTTATGTCTAGCTGGAGGATTGTAAATGCACCAATCAGCACTCTGTGTCTAACTCGGGGTTTGTGGATACACCAATCAGCACTCTGTATCTAGCTAATCTGGTGGGGACTTGGAGAACTTTTATGTCTAGCTAGAGGATTATAAATGCAGCAGTCAGCACTCTGTGTCTAGCTCAAGGTTTGTAAACGTACCAATCAGCACCCTGTCAAAACGAACCAATCAGTTCTCTGTAAAATGGACCAATCAGCTCTCTGTAAAATGGACCAATCAGCAGGATGCGGGTGGGGTCAGATACGGGAAGAAAAGCAGGCTGCCCAAGCTAGCGGCGGCTCTCTGCTGGAGTTCTTTTCCACGCTGTGGAAGCTTTGTTCTTTTGCTCTTTGTAATAAATCTTGCTGTTGCTCACCCTTTGGGGCCACGCCACCTTTATGAGCGGTAACACTCACCACGAAGGTCTGCAACTTCATTGCTGAAGCCAGCGAGACCAAGAACCCACTGGGAGGGACTAACAACTCCAGACACGCTGCCTTTAAGAGCTGTAGCACTCACCGCAAAGGTCTGCAGCTTCATTCCTGAAGTCAGCAAGACCACGAACCCACCAGAAGGAAGAAACTCCAGACACATCTGAACATCTGAAGGAACAAACTCCAGAAACGCCATCTTTAAGAACTGTAACACTCACCGCGAGGGTCTGCCGCTTCATTCTTTAAGTCAGCGAGACCAAGAACCCACCAATTGACACAGCAGCTTTTTTTTTGTTTTTTTTTCGAGATGGAGTCTCACTTTGTCGCCCAGGCTGGAGTGCAGTGGCATGATCTTGGCTCACTGCAAGCTCCGCCTCTGAGGTTCAGGCCATTCTCCTGCCTCAGTCTCCCGAATAGCTGGGACCACAGGCGCCTGCCACGACGCCTGGCTAAGTTTTTGTGTTTTTAATAGAGACGGGGTTTCACCGTGTTAGCCAGGATTGTCTCTATCTCCTAACCTCGTGATCTGCCCGCCTCGGCCTCCCACAGTGCTGGGATTACAGGCATGAGCCACCGCGCCAGGCTACAGCAGCATCTTGATGACCATATGATACAGCTGTTTCGTGAGTCAAATCAACTTATTTTAATTTCTGGTTGTATGAGCCTCAGTGAGTCACTTAACATCTCTGGCTTTTGTTTTCCTGCCTAAAAGTGATTGTTCAGAGAATTAAATAAGTATATACACACACACATATATATATACTTCCTAATACAATATTTGATTCATAGTAAATAAACACAATAAATGGTACTCATTTTTAATAACTTTATTGAAATAGAAATGATGTATGATAAAACTCACCCATTTGAAGCATGCATTTCAGTGATTTTTGGTATGTTAGCAGAGTTGTACAACCATCATCACAATTTTAGGTCGTTTTTATCACCTTCCAAAAAAACTCACACGCCCATTAGCAGTCACTCCCTTTTCCCCCTTAGTGCCTATTCTTCCACTTCCCCAAGCTCTAAGCAAGCAGTAGTCTATTTTCTACCCCTATAGAGCCATCTATTCTGGACCTTTCATATAAACAGAATCATGCAGTACATGTTCCTGTGTGACGATTTTCTTTTCTATTTAGCAAAATGTTTTTAAGTTTCAGCCATGTTTTACAGTGTATCATGTCATATCGTTTTATTTTCAATCATTGTGTGGCTATATCACATTTTGTTCATTCGCTCATCAGTTTGTGGCTATTTGGGTTGTTTCTGCTTTATGGCTGTTATGAATAATGCATGTCTAAAGTTTTTGTGTGGACACATGTGCTTTTGTGTACCTAGGAGTAAAATTGCTGGGTCACAAGGTTACTCTATGCTTACCATTGTGAGGAACTGCCCAACGGCTTTCCAAAGTGGCGATGTCATCAGCACCCATTTTTGATATCTTGAGGATGATCAATTCTCTGGTGAGAATAAAGTTAGGACTACATCAGATTTGAGGTACTTCTAGAGCTGGAGTAATAGATGCATCCTCAGATATCATCCAATAAATTCTAGTTTTCCTAACATGTGCTAGGGGACTTGCTGGAATTGAGCTGCTACTAAGAAGCCATTCACTTTTATCTCTAACTCCTGGAAGAATAAGAACATCAGCCCTTAGTGAGCCAGTTTTAGAGTTGGCAGAATATTACTGGCTTTGAAGAAAATTAGGTCTTTTAAAAATACCAACTTGTGGCATCAGAGAAGTATCAGAAAGCTAAAACATATAATTGCCTTTTATTAAAATAAGTACCAATAAGGTGGTGAATTAATCTATCTGGAAACAACTATTTGGATGGTAGACTATAGTACCAGGGGAAAGAAAGGCAAATTCTAAAAGTATTTAGCAAACCAGAACAACGATACAACCCACAGGAAATATTATGGGGGCATGGAATACCTGCTTGCTTTTGAATAATTTCTTATGTATGACTAGACAGCTCTTATACTTGATGTGATGATTATTGAGTCAAATGCAATTCATGTCATTAACATCCCCAACTCACTTGGGAAGCTGCAACTTAGCTGACGACAGTCCTTGAAAATCACTCATTTCCACATTAGCAATAAGGTTAGTTAATTAAGTGAAAGTTACTTATATTTGAAGGCATGCAGTTAAAGACATTGTTACGGTTTATAATCAATGCTTTTAAAAACTTTCACTTAGTGTTAGAGAAATCAGTCAACTTTATTTTTCAGAGTGATGTGTTATTTACTTTAAGCTCAGAGATAAGTGTTTTAATCTTGTTCATTGTCTGTTATTAACTCCTATAAAACAACTCATTGAGTTGAATTGGTGTGAAAATAGGATAAAGTTCAAGCCAGAAATCAGACTAAATAGTTGGCTGAAAAGTTTTGACACTCCCGCTACTCATTCTGTGAGCCTGTATGTAGTGGGTTAAATTCCCCCAATAATTTAAGGGTCATTGGACACCTTCATTACATTTTTCCTTTATAAAGAAAAATGTGCTTGCAAACAACTTTTATGCAATCGACAAAGAACTGCTCGTAGAGCCTGAAGCAGAAGCAAGTACGCCATCTGTTTTTATTTTTGAATAAATAAGCAGAGCACTGTACAGTGAAAACAACTAGAGGATAAATGAATGCACACATTCATTTAAGCTGCAGTAAAGTCTGTTAGTTCTTTTGGTGTATCATTAATCAAAGTCAGATAATTTCGATTGAAGAGGTATTTGTATTAAATAAGGAAAGTAGTTTACAGACCAAGCAATCCATTAATGTCATGGAACAAAGGAAAATTATATGCTCTGCACAAAATATTTTTGAAAAGATAATTCAGGCCACAGAAAAACTTTGATAATGTGTTCAACATTTCAGAAGCTTTGCCATTTCACAGACTATAAACTTTGATAATGTGTTCAACATTTCAGAAGCTTTGCCATTTCACAGACTATGACTTTGGCCACAGCTACACATCACTTGCTGGTCTGGGAGAAACTTCAGTGATAGCAACTCCAGAGCTACAAAATTTTAATAAGCTAACTTATGCCTCAAGAGAGTTGAATAAAACAAGATTGTATGAATATGCCACCACTATGAGGTCAATGCTACAATTAAAACCCAATGAAGGGCAGTAATATCTGGGATATAATTATTAGCCTATAACTGGCTCATATTTAATGGTACAGTATCCCGGACTTAACAATAACACCGTTAATTTAAAACAGGTCAGAATGATTATACTTTGTTGAGTAGCAGAGAAAACAGAAAAATACAAAAACTTTTAGAAAAGATGATTATTATTTTGGGGGGGAGCTGGAAGTATGCAACATTGATCTTAACGTCCCTCTAATTTGTTGAAACATGGAACATGGAATAGTAACACAAAAATATCAAAACACACTGTCAGGGTTCCCAGGACACTTATCAGTCCTACATATTCAGACACTATTATAATTTAGCCTGCAAGTGGGCACAGTTTGTGAGTCTTAAGTCTGTAGCATATGAACTGTGGTACAGCCACAAGATAGCGCAATCTGAGCAGTTGTGAAATCAGAGGAAGCCTGCTGTTACCTTCACATGGTGAATTTGCTGAGTGTCAGGAGCCGTCAGACACAAGGTCACCTAAGAGGGCAACACTGGAGATACTTCCAGGGTTCCTGGCACTGAGAGTTTCTTGGGGGAATAACTTGGCAACTGATTAACTTGGAGATGATCAGCAACTCCATTTTATCCTGGATGTCTTATGATATGAAATCTGTCTTTTCAATTATAGTGTCCAAAACCCACCTATTAAATGTTTGTAAAGCACTTAGAACAGTGAGTACACAGGTCATGCTATGCATGTGTTTATTGGAAAAGTATGCTTTCAGTTTTATAACTCCCAGCAAATACTAAATCTCATGTTAAAAAGGGGGATATGAGCGGCAGGACAGCATATGGAGCTTAGTGCTCCAGGAGATTCTGAGATGTGGCTCATTTGATAATTCATTATGACTCACTACGATTGGGAAGGTGAGATGACATTACACAACAGAACCCTTGGCAGGTCCAGTTGCCAGTTTCTTTTAGCGATGTGCATAATCCACACTAATCTTTAAACATGACCATTTAATTCAGGGAGACAAAGCATGATATTGACTGCTCAGATCAATGTTCTTTTTACAAATCTCTTACCTTTATGGAAGACAAACACAGAACCATTGTTAGAAGCAACAGTCTCTGGAAATTCATGATTTAGGAATAAGAGATGCCAAACTGTGTCTCTTGTGGCAGATATTTAAAATGGAAGTATGAGCCTTATGAGGTATATTGAGGTGAATTCTATTCAAGAAGTTCCTCCTCTAAAATGTTCCTACAGAACAAAACAGAATTTATAACCAAGCTTTCTTGTTTGTATCTCATGAAATATCATCCTAAACCTCTTAAATGGTCTAAAAGCAACTGATGATTTCATCAACATCATAATTGTATTAGGGTTCTCTAGAGGGACAAAACTAATAGGATATATATATATATATACATATCCTATATATATATCTATCCTATATATATATCTATCCTATATATCCTATATATATATCTATCCTCTATATATATCCTATATATATCTATCCTATATATATATCTATCCTATATGTATATCTATCCTATATATATATCTATCCTATATGTATATCTATCCTATATATATATCCTATATATATATATGTATAAAGGAGAGTTTATTAAGAGTAAACTCACGCAATCATAAGGTCCCACAATAGGCTGTTTGCAAGCTGAGTTGCAAGGAAGCCTGTTCGAGTCTCAAAACCGAAGAACTTGAAGTCTGATGTTAGAGGGCAGGAAGCATCCAGCACAGGAGAAGGATATAGGCTGGGAGCCTAAGCCAGTCTAGTCTTCACGTTTTTCTGCCTGTTTTATATCCTAGTTGTGCTGGCAGCTGATTGGATGGTGCCCACCCAAATTAAGGGTGGATCTCCCTTTCCCAGCCCACTGACCCAAATGTTAATCTCCTTTGGCAACACCCTCACAGACACACCCAGGATCAATACTTTGTATTCTTCTATCCAATCAAGTTGACATTCAGTATTAACCATCGCAATAATCAACATGGAACTAAAATGTAAATTCATGTCATACAAGGCAAACAAGTTTTATAAGCACTTTTTTTCATTTACACAACTGTTTTTTTTTTTTTTTTTTTTTTTTTTTTGAGACGGAGTCTCGCTCTGTCGCCCAGGCTGGAGTGCAGTGGCGGGATCTCGGCTCACTGCAAGCTCCGCCTCC
Organism: Homo sapiens; assembly: GCF_000001405.40. Taxonomy (NCBI): domain Eukaryota; kingdom Metazoa; phylum Chordata; class Mammalia; order Primates; family Hominidae; genus Homo; species Homo sapiens. The sequence continues at coordinate 153,850,952 of NC_000006.12, read as the reverse complement.
CGGGTTCACGCCATTCTCCTGCCTCAGCCTCCCAAGTAGCTGGGACTACAGGCGCCCGCCACTACGCCCGGCTAATTTTTTGTATTTTTAGTAGAGACGGGGTTTCACTGTTTTAGCCGGGATGGTCTCGATCTCCTGACCTCGTGATCCGCCCGCCTCGGCCTCCCAAAGTGCTGGGATTACAGGCGTGAGCCACCACGCCCGGCCACAACTGTTTTTAAAAAATAGATTTTATTTGTTTAGAGCAGTTTTATGCACATAGCAATATTGAGTAAACGGTGCCGAGCTTTCCCATATACTCCATGCCCCTACACATGCACAGCCTTCCAGACTGTTAACATCATCATCAGACTACATTTACACCGTGGAATACTATGCAGCTATAAAAAGGAATGAGATCATGTCCTTCGCAGTAACATAAATGGAGCTGGAGGCCATTATCCTTAGCAAACTAACTCAGGAACAGAAAACCGAATACTGCATGTTCTCACTTATAAGTGGGAATTAAATTATGAGAACACACGGACACATTGAGGGAAACAGCACACACTGAGGCCTGTTAGAGGGTGGGGCATGGAAGGAGGGAAAGGGTAAGGAAGAAAAGCTAGTGGATGCTGGGCTTAATACTTGGGTGATGGGATTATCAGTGCAGCAAACCACCATGGTGCAGGTTTACCTATGTAACAAATCTGCATATTCTGCATATGTACCCCAGAACTTAAAATAATTGAACTTAAAAAAAAATCACCACCAGAATGGCACATTTTTTCAATTGATGAATGTACATTGACACATCGTCACCCAAAGTCTATAGTTTACATTAGAGTTCACTTGTATGCTCTATGGGTTTGGATAAATGTATGATGATGTGTATCCACCATTACAGTATCATACAGAGTAGTTTCATTGCCCTAAAAATCCTCTGTGCTCCACCTACTCAGTCCTCTCTCTAAACTCCTGGCAATCACTTATCTTTTTACTGTCTCCATTGTTTTGCCTTTCTCAGAGTGTCATCGAGTCGGAATCCTGCAGTATGTAGCTTTTTCAGATGGCTTTGTTCTTTTGTTTAGTAATGTACATTTAAGTTTCTCCCATGTTTTTTTTTTTCATGGATTGATAGCTATTTTCTTCTTAGTGCTGAATACTATTTCCCCTTTTGGGTGTACCACAGTTTAGTTATCCATTCATCTATTGGAGGACATCCTGGTTACTTTCCAGTTTTGGCAATTATGAATAGAAGTGCTGTAAGCATGTGTGTGAAGGTTTTTTTTTTTTTGGGGGACACACATTTTCAACCAATTTGAGGAAAGTGAAAAGAGCGCAGTTGCTGGAATGTGTGATAAGACTGTATTTAATTTTGTAAGAAACAGCCAAACTGTCTTCCAAAGTGGCTGAGTCATCTTGCATTCCCACCAGCAGTGAAGGAGAGTTCCTGCTGCCATATCCTTTTGCAGCATTTGGTGTTGTCAGTACATGCTCTTTTAAAATATAATACTAGTTAATCAAATATAATCTTGATTTCAGAAGTTATCAAGACACTCTGACTAGTTAGGTTGCTGTCTCATTCTCTCTGAAGCTGCAAATTTTGTCCAGGAATACAATACTCAGAGGAAAACTGCTATACTTCCTTGCAGAAATCCATTCTTTACAATATCCATTGAGGAGAGTTTACTATATAATGATGTCATTGTTACAGTGAGCTACATACATCATCTATGATAGTCATTCACCAATGTAATATTCATTGAAATAAGTATCAAATGAGCACTAATATATAACAGATCCTCTGCTGGGCACTGGAGGTTCAAGGGTGGACAAAACTATTAGAGTCTTTCCCTTTAGGAGCTTACAATTTAATGGTGAAGAAAGATTTTAACCAAATAATCACAGCAATGAACCTATAACTAAAAGTGGAATAAGTTATATGAAGAATAGTGCAGGAAGTGAAGAAGGTATGTAATAGGGAGATCTGACCTAGTTTGAGAGCCTGTGGTGTATGGCAGGGGAGGAGGATGGGTCAAGGTCATGGGACACTTCCCAGACAGAGTGATGATTGAGCTTAAATATGAAGGATGAGAAATAATTTAGTGGATGTTGTGATATTCCACCCAGTTTCTCCCTTCAGAGCCCATGCACCCATCTCCCACTTGCTGATGGCTGGCAGCTGTGTCCTTCAGTGGAAATTGCCCTCAGCCTCTGGGAACTATGTTGCTCAAGGTAACAGCTCCTCCTGCTTGCAGGGGGCACCCTGTGGCCAACAGTGAACAACAATGAAAGTGAAAATGCTAAGGCCCCACCTCATACCTATTTGAGGCAACGTTGAAGGATCTTCCCATTTCCAGATCTTCTCTTAAGTTTTTCTGAAATCTCAGTGGCAACTGCATTGTAGGTCAGAATTTTCCTCTGCCCAATACCTCTGCTTTTACTTCCTGGCAGCTGTACCTCCTGAGATCACTTCTCAATATATTTCAGCACATGATTCTCCGCCTCACAGGTGAAGGCAGGTAATGGTATCAGTCCTAGGAAGCAGAATCTAAAATGGAATTTGGGAGATGGATCACTTGCCAGCTATATGGCACTAGGACCCTATCAGTGGTGGTGGGTGGTGTTTGAATTGCTCCTGGCATGTTGCACTGATGCGACTGTTAAAATTTTCACCTGTAGTGAACTGTGACCAGATACCTGTGGAAGGAGATACATTGACAGATGCGTTATTTTTGGCTGTCAAGAGAGAAAAGGGAAAACTATAAGGACCATGGAATTAGGTTACTGGAGCTCCACTGATTTGTTGAAAAGATATAATTACAGGCTCAGGGTGATCAATTACCTATTATAGGCAACATTAAAAACAAACAAAAAACCCCGCAACAACTGGAGAATCTCATCTTTTGCCTTCTTACCAGAGGGCAAAAAGATGAAGGACCTTGATCAGAACTTAATCATAAGAGTAGTTGACATCCAGAAAAAGGTTGAATTCTGAGACCTGATGGATTTTTTTAAACCAAGGTTAGGGCCCTAATAAGGAAAGAGTGAGACCTTGAGAATTGGGATCAGCTCAACCTTGAACACATAAATTATTCTTATTTTTCTGGGCCTATAGAATTGCCTAATTCCCCTTTTTAGAAGGTAACTCCCTCTAACCCATCCTCCTATCCTTGCCTTTGCTTGAGGATCATAAATCTCAGATGAGGTAGATGTCTTATAGAACAATGCTTGTTCCCAATTAAGATTTACTTCTATCACTCTTCCTCACAATCAGACCAAAACAGAGGTTAAATTGCAGCACAACTTGGTGAGGTGTGCCAGACCTGGGAAGGGAAGAGAGGACCTATATATCAATGGAGCAGTGTGATCTGTTACTATGTACCAGCGAGAGCTGGAAGCATGTGCATAGCAGAGCTCTCCCGTGATGTTGGATCAAGGGGCAACCAATTGATACAGGATGCTCTTCTGTGATACAGAGTTTAACACACTGGCAAGTGCTCTTAGAAATTTTAAAAAGTGATGTCTCGCATTGAATGAAGTGGATATGATCAAACTGTCAGGGCAGACAAAGGAAGAAAGAACTAAAAGGCTCTGAAAATAGTATCCTGGAGTAGATATACTGTGCAAGGTTGGAAAACCTACTTGCCTAATAAGTTCTGCAACATAACATTCCATTTACTGAACAGAGAATGTGCTTTTGAGAGGGATGCCAGAACTTCATCATTTAGAAGCTCTACTGTGTCTGTCCTCTACAAACTGGACTCCTTGTAAACAATGGTGATGATAGGGTTCTATAATAATACAGACCATGTAAAGTACTTAATAGACAGAAACAATTACTGGAGAGGCAGTTATTGCAATGAATGGAAAGATCAAAGTGGTAGCTAGGGGTCCCAATCCACAGAGAACTGGAGGTGGTTAAGAGAACATTGTGATTTCAGGGACAAGATAGATGGGCAAGTAACAAGACTTTTACTTTATTCGTGCAATCAAAGGAAATCAGGGATGGATGATCAGAAATCCAAATGCAGCTGACAGATTCTGGACCTAGATAATTCTCAGATATGGAATCTCTTTACTGACGAAAAAGTCATGTCTCCACCAGGACCTTACAACACTGTGACAAGCATATTCAATAGCTGTTTCCCCACTATTCCCCAAAGGTATCTCTAGTCATTTGCTTAGATAATCATGCATTGGCAAATGGGAAATAACTACACATTTCCAGGATTATGAGACATAGAGTCTGAATTGACATTAATACCCATTGATAACTTAGCCCTCCTGTCTGAGTGGGGATATATGGAAGCCAGATAATAAATGAATTCCTGGCCCAGGCACAACTTATAATGAGTCCGCTGGGTTTAAAGACTCTGTTGATTTTTATTTTCATAGATTTTGAATTTACATTTGGGATGGCTAGAGGTGGTAGTTGGCAGAATTTTCCTATTGTTTTCTTGGTCCAAGGATGAAGGTAGGGGAAAGAGCACTGAAAGTATATAGTATAATGCTTTGAAACTGACCCACTGCTCAGGAAAAATAGCAAATCAAAAACAATAGCAGATCACGGGGGGACAGGAAGAGATAAACGTTATTTTAAAATATTTAAAGAATGTAGGACTAGTATTTCCTGTCATATCCTCATTGAGATTCACCAGTCTAGCCTTTACTAGGAATGGATGGATAATGACAATTTACAGTGGATTACCATAAACTGTACCAAGCAGTGGCTCTAATTGCAGTTGCTTTGTCAGATGGCGTATCTTTACTAGAGGAGAACATCACAGCCTGTGAAATATTATACAGACCCACTGAGAGATGCATTTTTTTTCCATTCTATCAGGAAGGAGGATTAAAATCCCTGGTTAATGTCCTGGATGCTTGGTCTGGAATTTGAAAAGAGAAAGATTAGAAGCTCAGGGACCAAAAGATCAGAAGAAGAGGCACATGGATAGACCTATGGGAGTGGGCACAGAATGACGATCTCTGTATCACAGGTTAACCCACCAGAGGCACTAGTCAAGCAATGCCTCCAATGAACCAATCACTTCTTTTTCATGTGGCTAGTTGACATCAGCCAGTCCCTATCAATCAGTCACAGGGCTGGCATAATTGGCACATAAATGAAGTAGCCATGGTGGCAGAAGTGGTTGTGAAAGCCGAGTTGCACGGGCTTTCTCTCAACAATAATGATTTTGCTATAGCCTCTGCCAAAAGTCCAGCTTGCAATATCAGAGACCAATATTTAGCCCTTGGTATGACACACTTTACCCAAGGAATGGAGCTTACCAGAAAGTTGACTACGATGGACCTCTCCTACCCCTGAAGAAGCAGTGATTTATCCTTAATGGAATCCACAGATAGTTTGGGTGTGAGTATTTATTTCCCACTGCAAGGCCATTGCTAATATCACTAGCTGCAGATTTTTGAAGATTTTGTCTGCTGGTACAGGATACTGTGTAACCTGTCCTTAGACCAAGAGAATCAAATGATAACAAATGAGGTGTAGTTGCAGTAGAGGATGTGTGACTACACGCTCCATTTGTTTTATATCATTATTCTCACAAACCAAAACCTGTCAATCTGATACACTGGTAAAGTCATGTTTAAAACGTGCAACTGAGGTCCCTGGTCGGAAACCATACCCTGTGAGGATGATATTCACTTCAGGACGTGGTATTCACTGAAAATCAATGACTATTATGTTGTTCTGTATCTGCTTTAGGCTAGAATACATGGATCTGGGAACCAACAGATGGAATTAGAAGTGGTGTTGCTTTCCATCACCCCAGTTTTCTCTAGGGCATTTGTAATTTCTGTTACCACAGTTATAGTCTCCGTGAGTCTAAAGATCTTGGTTCTCAGAATGGTAGTGCTTTCCACTAGAGGATACAGTAGAGTCCTATTACAGTTTAAGCTAGTTCTTTCATATGGTTATTTTGGTCTTCTCATGTCAAGGGGCCGGCAATCAAGTGAAGGAGTCACCATTTCAGTGGGTGGTCAGCTCAGATCAGCAGGAGGAGGCAGGGCTGCTGCTGTACAATGGGGATGGGGTGGAAAGTGCTTGAGCTCAGGTGACCTACTAAAACATCTCTTGGTGCTCTGTTGTCCAGTTTTAATGTTAAACGGAAAGGTACAGTATCCATTATCTGAGAAGGACATAATAACTACTGGGACTCAGACCCCTTGGGGATAAGGGCCTAGGTCCCCCACGTGGCAAGCCACCAGCTGGACCAACAGAGGGGCCAGGCAAGGTGAAAACAATCTAAGATGAGTGCTGGAGGAGAGGATGATGAGGGTCAGTTATGGCCTTGAGATTAACTGTGCAACAATACAGGTTGTTTCCTCCCACTTTCTTCTACATTCTCCCAGAAGTAAGACCAACCAGCACCCTGAGAAAGCTCTTTCCAGATGGGGCTAACTTTCTATAAAAAATAAGCAAATTGGAGAATGCAAGGGATATTGCAGTACTTCACTCACATTGCATTCCCAGGACCAATGCACCCCTCCCTGAGCTGCTGGGCATATCAATTACTGATAGGTCATGGCTGCATCCTTCACAGGGAATTGTATTTGGACACATGGAGCTGCAATAATCAAGTTTATGCCCTTTCCCAGGGCAGTTTCTGACTAGTGACTGTTGTGAGAACGTGAACAGCCAACCCTTTTCTGTGACTTGGGGCTAACTTGAAGGACTATCCCAGTTCTAGAGCTCTCCTTAGGCAGGTGGAAGTCTTAATGGCAACCACATTGCATGTCAGCACTTTTGCCCATCCCTGTCTTCTTCAGTTCCTTACAGGTGTAACCCCAAGAATGCTCCTCCATAAGGTCATGGCCCTGATCTTCTAGGATTCGTGTCATTATAAAAGGAGGCAGCAAAGAGCTCTCTCCCTGTCTCTGAATACACACACTGAAGAAAGGCCATATGAGGTCTTAAGAAGAAGGCAGCCATCTCCAAACCAGAAAGAGGGTCCTCACCAGGCCCAAAACCAGCTGGCACCGTGATCATTAACATTTAGTCTTCAGAACTGTGAGAAAATGAATTTCTATTGTTTAAGCCACCAAGTCGGTGGCATTTTGTTATGGTGGCCCAAGCTGACAAATACACCATGTCACACTATTTCCAGGGCACTTAATCTATGACACGCACTGAAATATTCCAGAGGCAGGCACCTCTATCTGTCCTGAGCTCTAAGGAGGATGTTGGGTCGTAGAGTTTCAGAAATAGTTCTGGACTGAAGAGTTCTGGCAATAATTTTAAAGGAAGAGACTTTTAAAGGTATATTCGAGACTCTATTTAAAGAGGAAAGAATGACCTATAAATTGAAAAAAAAAAAACAAAACGCTTTCCTCAGCAAATTTTTTAATCTCAACTATTTTAAAGCTAACACAGTAAGATTTTAACAGAACGATTTTGGCAACACAGAACATGTGGATTACAATTACTTATTTAAGTGCAACAAGATGCTAGAGACAGGTAAATATACACTTTATTATTGAATCTATCTTTATCAAGTTCCTTGATGTGTATTTAGTCCAATATATTGAGTAAAACAGAGTATTAACCGGAATGGTACAAAAGAATCATATGCTCTTTAACTGGACCCCCTATAAACTCTTCTACCTTCATAAGCAATGGAAGGATCTGAAGCCCAGGCTGGAGTCCAGTGGGATGATCTTGGCTCACTACAACCTCTGCCTACTGGATTCAAGCAATTCTCCTGCCTTAGCCTCCCAAGTAGCTGGGACTACAGGCATGCACCACCACACCAACCTAATTTTTGTATTTTTTAGTAGAGACAGGGTTTCACTGTTGGCCAGGCTGGTCTCGAAGTCCTGACCTCAAGTGATTCACCCGCCTCAGCCTTCCAAAGTGCTGGGATTACAGGAGTGAGCCACCGCGCCCGGCCCACCAATTGGGTCTTAAATGTAGAGGAAGAGGAGGGAGGTAGACTAAAGAAGAGAGAAAAATTTAAAAGAAGAAATCAAGGAGATTTAAGAGAAAAGATTTTAAAAGAGGTCAAGTTGAGGATGAAAGAAATGGCTGGTATAGAGCATTCACAAATAAGGGAGAAATGCTAAGGCCACATGTAATATTGAAAAGTCCTGGCAATAACACACACACATGCGCGCACGCGCACATACACACACACAGCAAAGAAAAAACTGTAACTCAAACCATCTTTCTTTCCCCTTCCATTTCAGTCATTTCCACCCAGCCCCCGCCCCCAGGATATTTTAACTTGTTTAGTTCAAAGCAGAAACAAAGGGAACTACTTTACCACTTTATTTTTATATTTCCGAATGTAGAATCCAACACAGCATGGGGTTTCATGCATGCGTACAAACGCTGTGCCCACAGCAAACCTCAAAGTAATCAGGTCCCCTAACAAAACTGAAAGGGCTTGGAATCCATCCCCGTTACTGATATTACATTAGTTCATTCCAGAATTCAGTAAGAGAGGATCATTTCAATATTGATTTAAAAATTACATTTTCTCCAAAGGAAAAAAAAATCTTCTTTTATAGTTTTTCCATAGTGAATACAAGTCATACTGAGTAGGAAGGGCTGGAAAGACAGTCCAGATTTTTTGTGTAAAACTTTTTCTCTTCTTTAAAAAGGTTATTATTCATGGACAAGATATTTGAACTACCCGTGTAGTTATTATTTTATCTACCCTTAAAAATAACTACCCTTGTAGTTATCCAAATAATGGATATTAAGGTTTAGCAGTTTTTATTCGCTTTGGGCTGTGAGTTATCATAGTCTCTTTTTCTAGGAGTCTTCTTTTCTCATTTAAGGGTGCAAAATATGTTACATCAAAATCTAGTTTCTAAGAAACATTATTTTAATGGAAACTTGTAGTTTAAAATATACCTGACTAATGTTTAGGAAGAGACACCTGTTTCCAATACCTCTGATTTTTCCATCTGTTAGGATGTGCCTTAAACTCAAGAAATAGGTTTTGGCTATAAGATCCTCTAGAGTAAGGTCTAGGTTTTGTTTCTCTCTCCCTAGAGTATAACAAACTGATAGGCATACAATAGCTTCTTTTCCAATTAGAACTGATTACATTTTTTCCCTAAAATTATTTATTTCTAATGTCTGTTATAATATGTGACTAGAAAATATTCCACTATTCCACTCTTGCTGGCCCTCTCTTCTCTCCTCTCCTCTCCTCTATTCTCTTCTGTTATCCTCTCCTCTCTTTTCTCCTATCCTCTCCTCTCCTCTTCTCTTCTCTTCTCTCTCTTTTCTTTCTTGAGATAGAGTCTCTTTCTGTCACCCAGGTTGGAGTGCAGTGGCACGATCTTAGCTCACTGCAACCTCTGCCTCCTGGATTGAAGCAATTCTCCTGCGTCGAAGCAATTCTCCTGCGTCAGCCTCCTGAGTAGCTGGGATTACAGGCACCTGCCACCACGTCCCACTAATTTTTGTATTTTTAGTAGAGACGGGGTTTTGCCATTTTGGCCAGACTAGTCTCGAACTCCTGACCTCAGGTGATCCACCCCCCTCGGCCTCTCAAAGTGCTTGGATTACATGTGTAAGCCACCACGCCCGGCCGTCTTCTGTTTCTTCTACATGTTGTGGTGCATTTTCCTCCTGGGAGTTCTGAAATCAATCCAGTTGAAACTTTAAGCAGCCTCAAGTTTTTCTCAGCTTTTAAAATGTACTTTATAATTTTTTTCCCTTATATTTATTAAACTATTTGGACCACAGTTTATTCCATGACAATGAGTTCAGTATTAAATATTTATTGAACAGTTTCTACATGTACAGCAGCACTCTAGATGACTTTTTAAAAATGAAACTTTGCTGTACTTTTAAATTATTGCACAGTCAGAGATGTTTCAGTAGTATACATAAAATTTATTTCTTCTTCCTAAAGCTGTTTTCTCAGCCTGGGTATGGATATGCATTAGTTTCCTAGGGTAGCATTGCTTCAGATCACTTTCTTCTCCACTAAGTGGTGACATCTTGCGGCATTTTTTTTTTTTTTTTTTTTACCAGAAAATGAGTAAATACATGGCGCCCGTCCTGAAAACTCATCACCTCACTCATGAAAGAAAAACTCGTATGTGTTCAAAATTGTCTTCTCCATGATTACAGATAAAATTCCCCTAAAATATTTTGTAAATCAAAAATGAAAATGGTTTATTTCTCTGAAAGGCCTTCTGCTGCAGCAAGGTTGAGGCTGCTGGTAATTTCCTTTGATGCAGCATATCTGTCTGCAAGCCCCCTTCCAATCCACACTCTGGAATCTTCCACTGCTGATTTAGATCATCTTGTTTTCACAGGAGTATAGCCTCACTCTGGCAAGACTAATATATTCATATTTTCCCCTGCAGATAATGTATTTGCTCAGACAGAAAAAAAATGGAGAATAAATCTAAACAGGCACAGATGTAGAGAGCTTGTACAGCTCCTGGTAAAAGTGGTGCTTAGATGAGACATTATCTACTGCATGACACAAACATGACCCTTATACCACCATTGCTCGGGTGCTCTAAATGCCACCCTTTGCACTTCTGTAGAAGTAAATCAAAGCACATTACGTAATGATCTTGGGTCAAAAAGTTATTTTCATAGACATTTGATGTGAAATAATAAAAAAATGAACCACTTAACTGACAGCTCCCCAGCATGGAAAACATCACTAGTACTTCCCAGGGGACAAAGCAATAAGAAGGCTAGAGGAGACAAAATGGAATGCTGAAGTTAAAAACACTGGGTAATTGGCCCTGTGTATCTATGCCGTTCTTACTACACTGATACTATTGGGCAGCATCCAAAAATCAAACAGCACTGCTCCTGAGATATGGAGCAAATTAGAACATAGTCCTGAAACATGCCAGGGTTCCTTTGGTGTCTCATAACTTTAAGGTTTCCTGACTAGCATTTGCTCTTCTGGAATATTGTTCACTTTCTCTTTACTTTCTACAAAAACACTTTCTCTTTAAAGTTCAATACAAATGTTCAGCAAAATTATCAGCTAACTTTTATTAACATTTTGCTTTACAGCAGCATCTAAGCCCTTAGGCTTATATTTAAAGTGGATCAAAACAGTTCCTTTATGGCCAACAACTTCATTCCTGGAGATTTCATAAGTAGAACCACTTTCCAGATGGCCTGATTTTAAAAGCTACAATTTATTCCTCTAAAACTCCTTAAAATCTTCTATCCTTGTGTTAGAGAATTTTTGATAAAATCTCCTAGGTGGACAACCTGTACAATGGAACAAGAAGAGGTCAAAGATACTTTGGGGGTTTTGAGCCTCAGTGCTGGAGAAAAGGGAATCATCTGGGAGGGGCAATAATAAAGAAGAACTTATATTTGCAGACAGCATATTTAAAAGACAATATAGGGGCTGGGTGCGGTGGCTCACGCCTGTAATCCCAGCACTTTTGGGAGGCTGAGGCGGGGGGATCATCTGAGGTCAGGAGTTTGAGACCAGCGTGGCCAACATGGTGAAACCCTGTCTCTGCTAAAAATACAAAAAAAATTAGCCAGGCCTGGTGGCGGAAGCCTGTAATCCCGGCTACTTGGGATGCTGAGGCAGGAGAATTGCTTGAACCAGGAAGGCGGAGGTTGCAGTGAGTCAAGATTACGCCACTACACTCCAGCCCAGGCAGCAGAGTGAAAAACAAAACAAAACAATACAATATGGGAGAGACTGTTTACTAAAACTTGAAAAACAAAAAAAACAATTATCTGGCCTGTTTTCTGGTCAGCTTTGTCCCATCTTCCTGCTCTGAATGGTCCCTGGGTCATCAAACACATACATTTGGAAGTAGAGAGGTAACAGCTACATCTTGCTCCTAACAAATTCCATTGCATTACTTTATATAAAAATACTATACAAATTCGACATATTTTGGGCACCATCCATGTACCAACTACTTTATTAGTTACATCTTCTATGTTATTTATGTTAATTTTTCAAAATAACTCTATGTGGGAGGCATTATTAGGTAACAACCCTATGAAGGAGATAGTTGCAAAAACTAAGCCTTGTAGAGCTTAGGTAACTTACTCTACAGTTACATAACCATTGGGTGGATGGAATGTTTGCATCTAAGTCTCTCCAGGAAATTTTGTGATATCTCCACTAGTATTTGTTGCTGTTTTTCTCAACTAATTAATAAATCCATAGTGTGCAATTTTAGTAATCTTACTTTGATTTCCATTGATCTGAATGCATGCAGCATGCTTTTCTGTTGCTCTAGTCCCAAACGTCCTTGTTCAGTGGGTGTATAGTGAAAAAGCAAACAACGGGCTTTATCAGAAGCAAATTCCTTTCTAGTATCTTCTTAATGACCCTGTCTTTGATGCAGCTATTTTCCTGCAGTTTTACATTTCTATGGTAGCAACCCTACTGCTGAAAAGCCCTTTAAAAAACATTCTGATCCTCTGCCATAGAGGCAACCTGTTATTGAGCAAGTGATTGCTCTTAGGACAACATGATGTTACCATAAGAGGGTCAGATGTTGAGTGCAAGCCATACTCTGTCATGTAGAGAGAATTCAACATTTCAGAACAATAGACTAAGAACTTAGGAAAGAGTATCATTACAAATTCTGCACCGTGTTTCCCTGTTTGCTTTTTAGATATACATGTCATGATTTTCTTTGACCCTGATCCTCCTTGTCATTCTGGGATGTGGGTGGACTTATCAGGTACTTGGCTAGAATATGGATAAGGTATACAGGTCTCAAGAGATCAAGACTTATCAGGTACTTGGCCAGAATATGGATGAGGTATACAGGTCTCAAGACATCAAGTTAAGGGCCCAGTTTACTGAAGCTGCAGGGAATTGGAAGTCCAGAAGTCAAAGACCAAAAGAGACACAATAAAATAGTAGATAACTGTGCCAAAAAATGATATATTTTTATTTTTATTTTTATTTTTTTTGAGACGTAGTCTCCCTCTGTCACCAGGCTGGAGTGCAGTGGCACGATCTCGGCTCACTGCAACCTCTGACTCCCTTGTTCAAACGGTTATCCTGCCTCAGGCTCCCGAGTAGCTGGGATTACAGGCAAGCGCTACCACACCCAGCTAATTTTTGTATTTTTAGTAGAGAGGGGTTTCACCATGTTGGCCAGGAGGGTCTCGATCTCCTGACCTTGTGATCTGCCTGCCTCGGCCTCCCAAAGTGCTGGGATTACAGGTGTGAGCCACCATGCCCGGCCGCTAAAAAATGATTTAAAATCTAAAAACTCAAGAGACCCCATTGATGGTAGTGGCAGGAGGGCGAACTGTGGAGAGAGAGGTATTGGGATTGTGATAGTTAGATCTTGATTGTGAAGAAAATAAAAGTTTTCATTCTAAGGGTCTGGGTCTCTGAAAATTCTGCAATACCAAGGAAGCCCAGTGAGTCCAGTTCTGCCAGAGTCTTGGCTTTTTCCTCTATGAACGCTCAGCACTTATACACAGGTTGGTCTCCTTCACACTTTTCTCACTTTACTCCCTTCACTTCCTCTGGGCTGTCTCATTGTATCCCACATTTATAACTGCCCGCTGTTCTGTGAAGACTCAAATCTGTCCCTAGCCAAGATTTCTTAAGTTCTAGATCCATGCAGAAAATGGCCTCCTGGACATTTATGTACGGATACCCAATTAGCACCTTAAAGTCACAATGATCCTTGCTCTGAAACTACTCTTTTGTGTTTCTTTGCTGTACCTATAAGTAACTGTTTTATTTTTCTTGATATATAATGCTTTTCTGTTGTCCCTGGATTTTCTCTTGCTGGTTCTTTTTTATGGACTGTCTTACATTTTTTCTGAGCCAGTTCTCATTTTAAATTCCTTTTTATAGTTACAGAATCAGCCTTAGTGTTACATCTCATTTGAAGCGTTTCTTCACCACCTCAGTTATAGTTGAACATTAACTTCTCTACCCTTTCTCAATATATATCTTATCCATCCTTCCAGCACTGCTTCATACTATATTCACATGTATCTGTTTATAGGCCTGTTTCCACTATTAGTCTTTACATTCTTTTAAAAGCAAGAGCTATTACATGTGTTACTTATCTAAAGTGGATGCTGTTGTTTCAAATACGAAAAACTCCAAGTAAAATCAGATATTTGTGTGTATTGGAGGTGGAGTAGGGGTGAGGGATGTACTTTTATGCCTATTTTTCACAAATCCAAGGGAGAGGAGTGTAGCTTCTTGCATATAGAGGATACAGAATTTCAGATAATTTTGTGGATTCTTTATTTTTGATCTCTTTCTCCGTTTCCATCTTTATTTCTCAGTATCTCTTAGATCTCTTTGTCTCTGCTTGGATTTACCCTTAGTCATACCTCCCTTTAGGAATGGTAATATATCTGCTGGTAGCCTCGGGCTCATGTAATCTTTACAACTTTAATCACAAAGGAAGAGAGAAGATCTTTTCCTTCCAAATGTTTTCGGAGCAAATCTTATGGAAACATTCTGATTAGCCAGGGCCAGGCTCTAAGCCTACTCCCAAAGCTAAAGTTTGTGTGTTGCATTATTTCATAGTTCCCCTGAATTATGTAGGTTGGAAGAGTGGCAGTTTCCTTAAGAAAGATAAATTGAACAAATGACTTAAGGTCACTATGCAAGAAAATAGAAAATATACTGTATACAAGGAATAAAAAATCAATGATTTATTGGTTGAATACATAATTGAATATAAATATATTTTAGTTCACCATAGAGAAACAGATGGGTTAAGAAATAATTACTAAAGAATGGAAAAGGGAAAAGAAGTACTTGGTGGTGATTAGAGACAGCCTGTGAGTTGCACTGTTATTATTATATTATTATTATTAAATTTAGTGTTTTTTTAGTATATCATAAAATTGTGCAATCATCACCACCATCTATTTTCAGTACTTTTTTTCTTTTGAGACAGAGTCGCTCTCTGTCACTCAGGCTGGAGTGCAGTGGCACAATCTTGGCTTACTGCAACCTCCGTCTCCTGGGTTCAAGTGATTCTCCTGCCTCAGCCTCCAGAGTAGCTGGGATTACAGGCATGCACCACCATGCCCGGCTAATTTTTGTAGTTTTAGTAGAGATGGGGTTTCGCCATGTTGGCCAGGCTGGTCTCGAACTCCTGCCCTCAAGTGATCCGCCCACCTTGGCCTCCCAAAGTGCTGGTATTACAGGCATCTGGCCTATTTCCAGTACATTTTGGTCACCTGAAAGAGAAGCCGCATACCCATTAGCAGTGTACATGTTTTCTACTGAGATCTTAGGGTGTGTGCTTGGCTACACTGTACCACCAGAAATTGGATAGTGTAAGCAATGAGACATTATTAATCAAAATAAATGGAAAAATTGGAATGTTCTGGTTGCTTGTACCCTATTCCTGTCTTGGTCATGTGGGATGGTCCAATGAATGATTGTTTCTACAGAAATTTGACTAACCATGGTAGAAATAAGGAAGTCCTCATTTCTCTTTTCAATGCTGACTCCACTTCTTGAGCAAACACCTTTCTGCACTTTGATGCATTTAAAGTTTATTTCTTTTTCTGTTTCTCAGGAAAAATAAAAAAAGTGCATTTTAATTATATACAAATCAACATTTGTTATGCAAATCAATTTTTTAAATTAGCATATTGTGATAATTTATTAGTCTCCTATCACTAATACCTATAGTTTCAGACAGTGGAAAAGTATTAAAACAAATATCAGTTTATCTTGCTGATATGCAGGAAAACATTGACAGTAATTCAACCTGGAATCTGTTTCTCTAGAAGTATTACCTCGGGATGTTATTACAGATTATTGCTGTCCTCAGGTTTTTGAGCTCATGCAGACAAAATCCAGCAACCTCCTTTTCACTTGGCTGCATCTGTCATGGCTAAACTCAGGGACAAAGCAACCACTGGAGAAATTAAATTATAGTTTGGAATACATAAAGAAAAGACAGGGGAGATGAGAATTGCACTTTCAGCACTATCAATGGCAAATTCTGTTTTGACATCCCTTAGTAGCAGAATAATTTAACCACAGTTCTTTATTTGATATCATGTGCTCTCTTTTGAAAACTTGTAACATCAAGAAGATACAACAAGCACTAGTCAGATGGTTGGAGGAAAATGAATGTATCTATAGATACCTAAAAAAGCAGGGTGATAAATTACATAATATAGAGGACTTGTCATTTCAGTGCTGCTAGGAAGTATCCACAAGGTCTTAAGCAAGCTGCTTTATTTCTTCTGGCCTCACCTTAAAGGAGCATAGTCATATATGGAAGGAAAATTAGATTTCTCCTGTGTTTGTCCAGAAGGAGTCCAAAGAAATAACAGTTGGAAGTTATCGGGGATGCACAGTTGATGCTCAGCAAGTTTGTTACTTTCATTTATAAGGTAACATATAAAGAGGCCCTGCTGGATAATTAGAATTGCTTAATAAAATAAATACTTCTCAATATTGTGAAATATTCAAACAGGGTTCATATGGCTATCAAGCATATATAGGAGAAATTATTTGTAATAATTTTATTAAAGATGATAGAGTTTGAATAATCTTAAAGTCAGTACTGAAAAATTTTAACTGTGAAATGACCACAGACAATAATTATTAAAAGAGTATCTATAAATATGTAAATAGGCTTTTCAGATGAAGAGAGTCTTATGTTTTCATTAATGAGTCAGGTGTTACTTAGTGCCTACACAACAGTCACACTCCTTCAAAATAGCCTGGAAAATGGAACCCCAGCATTCTTTAGAGCCTGGGCAACCAAGAGCTTCAGCTTTATTTCTCTAAGACAGTCATATAAATTCGATGCCCCTTGGTGGCACTTGGGTTACTAATGGGCATATGATGCCATCTGTCCAGTGTGATCTGAAGAGAACTTATCTAGAAAGAATCATTGCTGTTAAAATGGAACACGAGAAGAGGCTATACAGTCTTCTATTTTGATCTT
The DNA here is from genome assembly GCF_000001405.40 of Homo sapiens. Taxonomy (NCBI): domain Eukaryota; kingdom Metazoa; phylum Chordata; class Mammalia; order Primates; family Hominidae; genus Homo; species Homo sapiens. The sequence continues at coordinate 153,834,065 of NC_000006.12, read as the reverse complement.
TGATTATATTATAAATTGGAGAGGCATTGATGCCTGAAACCTGCTGTAGCCAAACTCCTAAGATGTGGGTCTATAATGTAAAGATGGAGAACAAAAAATGATACAGTACCTGGTTTTTGAAGATATTGCTGGCAACTCAATTAACCAACTCTAGTACCAGATTAATTTTAGATTTGTTGTTATGCCATGGAGAGAGAGAGAGAGAAAGCGAGAGCAAGAGTGAGGAGAGCAAATGAGAGAGAGAGAGAGACAGAAAGAGAGAGAAAGGATAGTGAAGGTCATGGATACTTTGTACTGGGCGTTCTCCATGTTTTTCTCCTGCTCTAGAAGTCTACAATTTATCTGCTTTGTCTGTTTCACAGAGTCATGAGAATAAAATAAATTATTTTTATGGGAAATGGCATTGAAATGGATAAAGCACAATGCAATTGTCAGGAACTATTAGCATTTGTTTGTAAGAATAAAATATAGCCCACAGTTCTTAAGTTGACAAACATTTATGGATTTTTGAAAAATTCAGATGTCTGTAGTAACAAAAAAATGCAGATACACATGAAATACACAATGACTAGAAGTTGACATGGCTATATTGGGAAGAACTGTTTTTGATAATGAAGAGGTAAAATCTTTATCTGGGAGGGAAAGAAATAATAGGAAAGAAAAAATTTTATGGGGGTGGATTATCCTGTAACCAAAAGAACTAGGTTGCCTTAGTGAGAGAAGGGAGATCTGATGAGCATGAGAATGAAGGCAGCAGAAATTCCATAACTAATGAAAAAAGAAAACAAAAACAAAAAAATCTTGCACCATGTTTATGACTGCGACCTTCCTCTAAGAATGTTCTCTCTCACAGCACTGCTTTTTTTTTTCACAAGTTGAAGTGGATTCTAAAACAATTCTTAGTTATCCATATCGTATAAAATAAAATCATCTCTGATGTTTTTAGGTGCCAGGTTAGCCAACATCTGTTGATTTCTCCATCTGCTGCTATGCTTCTTTTTCCTGTTGCATTAAAAGTACATTTCCTACACTCTTTGCTCTGAAAGTTTCTTTTAAGCACATATATATGTGTGTGTGTATATATGTGCATCTGTATGTGTCTGTGTGCATCTGTATGTGTCTGTGTGTATGCATGTGTGTGCAGGTGTGTGCATGTTTCTGTGCATGTGTGTGTATGCATGTTTATGTGTGCACGTGTGTGCGTGTGTGCGCCTGTGTATGTGCGTATGTATGTGCACATGTATGTGCACGTGCGTGGTTGTGTGTACACTTGTGCATGCACATGTGATTGTGTATGCATCTGCATGTGTATATGTGTGCATGTGTTTGTGTGCACGTGTGTATGTACATGTGTTTGTATGTGTGTATGTGCACATGCGCATGTGCATGTGTGTGTATGCACATGTGTGTATGCATCTGTATGTGTGTCTGTTTATGTGTGCATGTGTGTGTGCGTGTGTGTGTGTGCCTCCTCTACTTGTTTCTGGATATTCTACCCTTTGCTTGCAGTTGTTCCTAAGACAGCAACAGGAAGAGGCAGAGCATATGTAATTCAGTTTCTATCTTGGTCAATTTTAGTAACAGAAGTGTAGTTGCACTTAAAATATTATGTCGACAAGACGAAGAGATGGTTAATAAGATGCTAATATAAAATAGTCTGAAGTATAGAAGAACGAAATGGTAGTGCATTTATGTCCTCGCCCAGTTGATTGGACTGTATTTCAACAATTCATGAGTTAAAACTAAAAGAGGTGGGGAAAAAACTGTCAGCATCTAATACTTTTCAAAGAAATTTTGTGAGCCTTAGAAGATTGAAAATGTGCCTTGGAGTTGAATGCTTTGTGTGACAAGATGTAGAGTTTATGATGCAGAAAGGGCACAAGCCACAGTTGAATAAAAGCTGTATCATACTGTATTGAAAATGCAGTAATAGGACATTCATTCGTGCAACTAAGATGTAGATGCCTCTATTCCAGGCGTGGGGCTAGGTATTAACAAGTACCAGTTAGCATCTGGTCAACAGTACATACAATGCCACATCTACCATTTGAGCACAGATAATTTCATATAAAGAATTGTAAAACAGGTATTAATGAACAGACAGAAAAACAATGGAGCACTTAGACCTCATGCAGGGAGCAATAGGAAGCAGTTAGTACTCCTAGGGTTGAGGAACAAAGAGCTGAAGTTGAAATTACTGAAGCCCGGAAGTTTGGAGGTGGGACGCTGGAATTGATTTGACCTCTGAGGAGGGGTCACTGCTCTGTGGATAGTGTCTCCAAGGAAGGCGCAGGGTCTAGTTCTAACATGGGTTAGAAAAATTTCAGTCTAAAATTAATTGTTGCTAGCAAAACAAATAGCCTTTATCCTGTTGAACAAAATTGGTTAGGGTTCGATTCAAAAAGGCAGCACCAACAAAAAAGGAATAGGAAAGAAAATAGGAAGGAATTTCTCCCACTTCTCCCTTAAGCCTCTCTGTCTCCCTCCAGCACCCTCTCTGGACTTACAGCCTAACAGCCAGCCAGTGGACCAGGGAAGTCCCTCTTTCAGCCCCACACAGCAGAGTGTTGAAGGCGGGGTTTGAAGCTGAGACACCCTATCTTAATAACTGGCACAGGAAGTAATAAAGATTTATGAGACATTTACCTTGTTTCTAAGGAATTTTCATTTTAGTAGGGGAGAGAGATCTGTGATCAAATGCTTGTAAAAGGAATACACGCAAAAATCTACAGAGGTGACCTCCATATGTATACATTATGAATTATGAATTTTAAAATATATACAATATTACTAATATTGATATTGGTATGTTTCTTTTAAATGAAAAAATATGATAATACAGTTATCATGGAGGCTAAAATTAGAATAGACTTTAAGAAATAATTTGACCCTGCTCCAAACCTTCATCTAGGTAAGGTATTTTTGAAATGATTCTGGCTTGGATGCAGGGGTGAGTGTGCCTAGGGTCTCTTAGCTGGCATACTGGGGAAGGTGAACCTCTGCTTCCTAGCAGAAAGTTATATCTACCTCTCCACCTTGTGACCTCTCAAGACATATAAAAAATAATTATCTTATTTCACATTTTAATTTAAAAATCATTGATTCTTCTAAATATGTCTCATACAGTGCTGCATTACGTGAGTGGCAGTGCTATATTACATGAGTGGCATTGATTATTCTAAACATTTCTGATACAGTGCTGTATTACATGAGTGCTATGTTACGTGTTATCAGCTGGACAGCCGAGAGCTGCTTATTTTTAAATCTTTAGATGCCTTTGATGAGATTCCTGTAAGTGTCAGTCTGCCTTACCATTAGATTACTCTGATCTGCCTGATCTGCCATCTTCTCTTAAACGTAAATCTGCCCATATCAGCAGGAAAGTTACAGAGAGAACACATAAATATATATCATACTTTCACATAAAGGTAAACCTTAGAATATTTTATCATAAAGCATCAATTGCTGATGCGTACTTATGTGTGCATATATGTAAATATAAAATTACAGTACAGCGAAGAGCTAGTGTTCCATGTCTTGTTCCTTTCACAGAGTGTATCATGGTTCCTTGAATATTATGTACAGTCATGCATCACATAAGAACATTTTGGTTAATGACAGACCATGTATACAATGATGGTCCCATAAGATTATAATACGGTATTTTTCCTGTACCTTTTCCATACTTAGATAAGTTTAGATACACAAATATTTACCATTATGTTGCAATTGCCTACAGTTAGTATTCAGTACAGTCACACGCTGTTTAGGTTTGCAGTCTAGAAACAAAAGGCTGTATCATATAGCCTAGGCATATAGTCGACTATGACATCTAGGTTGTGTAAATACACTTTATCATGTTTACACAATGACAAAAATCACCTAACTCATTTCTCAGAATGTACACCCACTGTTAAATAAAGTCTGACTGTATTTGAGAGGCAGTGAGGCAGTGTGCTTACAGGCATTGATATTGGTGGCACCAGACACCTAGCAGGATTATAAGAACTCACTAGCTCTTGTAAGATATGCCAACTGACCAAACAACAACTATAGTATATAAACATCATATAAAGATGGGAGTTCTTCTAGTCAGTTCTCTGTTCAGTTGACTAATATGTGCATATTTACTTAATTTCAATTATAATGTAGATGTTTACTATACCTCAAACATTTTCAGATGAATGGATCTCTTCCTTAATCAAAGTAAAGTTGGATTCTTACCTTTCTTTACTTTATAAATTCTTTTCTGGGTTCTGAGCATCTATTTGGAAGTAGAATTCAAGTCTCTCACAAAAACAACAAAATAACAACACACAACAATTTGGAGTTGACCATATGCCCTCAAATAAAAAGATGAACTGAGCCTTTCAATGACCCTGTTCTAAGGTCCACATCTGTGGTTAGGTCTGTGGAAGCCAGGGAGTATAGACATTCCAGGAGGCTGCTGGGGACTCTAGCTTGTAGGTATTTGCTGTGGCTCAGGAAAGCATAGCTTGTGTCTGTTGCTGAAAAGTGGAGGTCCTCTCAAAAGAAGCTGCACATATTCTTAACTGAGGAAAGAAAAATAGGACTACCACTGGACAAATATTCTACAAGAAAGCTTTAATGACTCTAAAATAATAGGACTAGCAAGACCATGTAATGCTTACTGTGTACCGGGCACTGTTCTAAGAACTTTGTATGTATTTTTTTAACTCGTTTTAATTCTCATAACAATCCCATAAGATTGGTATTATTATCATTCTCATTTTACAATTGAGAGAACAGAGACCCAGAGGTTAAAATACACAGTTGCGAGACCAGAGCCATGATTGAAACCCAGGAAATTTGGCTCTAGCATTTATGTGCTTACCCATACGTAATATTGTTTTTCAGATACCTATTTTTTAGGCTCTATGCCAATTTTTCTCATTTATTATTTATTTCCTGACAAATAAGACAATATGATCAAACAATATAGGTAATATTAGCATCCCCACTTTGCAGATGGAGAAATGGATGAACAGAGAGGTGAAGTTATATTCCCGAGCTTACAGGATTAGTAAATGAGGAACACCAAGATGGATCCCTGTGTCTAACAAATATTGAATCAGAATTTCTAGTGGTGGGTCTTTGGGAATTGGCATTTTATTAAGCATTCTGAGCAATTTTTGCAGACACTAACATTTGAGAATCACTGCCATAGGGGCCAAGATTTTTCAAATTTAGCATTGGTGCTAATTCGTATACTTTATGTTAGGATAGCACTACTTATATGTGTAGAGCACTTTTAATCAATTGATTAATTCAAAAACTTTTGAATGAACATCTGCCATCTGTCAAGTGCTTAGCTAAACTCCTGAGCTAGAAAGTTGAATTAGAAATGGTTCTTGCTCTCAAGGTTATTAGAAAATAGTAGGAAAAGAAGACAGAATGATACGTAGTATAGTATAGTATAGAAAATATTATAATAGAGATTTGATTAAAATGCCAGGTGATAAGATAGAAGGAAATATCTAATTCTTCCAGGATGAGTCCAGGAACATGCACGAGAAGATCACTATTTAACTGGATCTTAAATTTGTAAGAAATTAGCAAGTGAATAAAGGGCTTTCTAGGGAGAGTGGAAAGCAAGTGCAAAACGATGGGAATATGAAAGAATGTAGCATGTTTAAGTTTCTTTGGGCTCACCAAAGAGGACAGATGCATTAGATATGTATGTGTTTGAGCATGGAAGAGGATGGAAGTCAGGTGGTCGTGGGAGAATGAAAGCATGTTTTGAGAGACTATATGTACATTTTGTACCAGCTAGGCAGTGTTGTGCTGGAAATAATTAAAAATGCAACTGAAACTGGTCTCATGATTTAAAGGTAAAGGTATTTATTCTTTCACAAATTTAGAAATTCCATAAAAGTGCTGACTTATTTCAAGGCCTCAGTAATGTCATCAAGGTCCCAGTTTCTGTCTCCTTTCTCTTTTATCAGTGTTTGCTTCATACTAAGATCCATTTTTTTTCTCATGTTCATACTCAAACACAGTCGGTGTTACAATCTTCTATGCAGTAGGAAAGTAAGTACTTTTATCTTGTCTCAAGGTAGGGAAGCATCCTGAAATTTATGTATTAGATTGTTTATTACACATTGTATTACTTAGCTATTGCTGTGTAACAAATAACTGCAAACCTTTCAGCTTCAAACAATAAACATATATTATCCCACACTGGTTCTATGAGTCAGGGATTTGTGAGTGGCTCAGATGAGAGAGGTCCTTACTTGGGGTTTCTCATGAAATTGCATCTAGCATGTTATACGAAGTTGCAGCTATGTGAAGACCTACTGCAGGTGGAGAATCAGTTTCTAAGATGGCTCATGTGGATTGCAAATTGATGCAGACTGTAGACAGGAGACTTCATCTTTCTGTAAGGCTGCTTGAATGTTCTCCCAGTATGGCGGCTATCTTCCCTCAGAGTCAGTGAGGCAAGAGAGAACAAGGCAGAAGCCACAGTATCTTTTATTACCTGGCCTCCGAAGTCACATTCTGTCATTTCTGCAATATCCTATTGGTTATAGAGTCAGCCCTATTCATTGCGAGAGAAGATTACATGGAGGCATGAACATTACAAGGCAAAAATCACTGGGAACCATTTTGGGGATTTTATCTTTTTCTGGGTCTTCTTAACTATTTAATTAAGGTTATGAAAGGAGCTGAGTCCTGGATTCCCACACAGATGAAATTCTAAAATGGCAGCTTCAGTGACTATGACACAACTAGGAAACATCCCTTCTCTCCCCTCCCGTTTACCAGTATTTCTGCCCACATTCAAAGACTGCCACCACCTGAAAATAAGAAGAAAGGATAACTAGTAAAGAACCACACCCCAGAGGTTGTAATCTCGAGTATTAAAAGGCCTTAAAAAAGAACAATGGGGAAAAGTACTGCTCTGGTACTTGCTAAGAATGACAATTTTCAATTTATTCTGTATTCTTCCTTTTAGAGAAAGATACAATGTATGTAGGAGCAGATTAGAGATTGCTTAACACAATTGCACCAGACAAATGTCTGCAACACACTACAAACATCACATCAGCTTGTTCTTTTATCATGGAAATGTAACAGTTATTCTTCTCAAACTGGAGAATAAGTTTGCTAGGATTGGATTCTAAATATGTTTCTGTTCCAGAAATAAGGACCTCTGTAAAATGATACTAGCAAAAGTTTCCCACACTCTCGTTCTAGGCTTGTGCTGTTTATACCTTGTTAATATGTTTCTTAGCAGTTGCAGAGGGAGTTTTGAAATAAAAGACTAGAAACATAAATTATAAGAGGAATACATACGTTTTAAGAAAACTCGAAAGGGCAAAAAGAAAAGAAAAACCATGCTAATATTTTGGTCTGTAAAATGTCAGTCTTTGTTTTGTTAAATAAATGTATGGATGTTTGAATATCAATGGACCTTGTAATCTACTTTCACTTAGCTAATTGCAAATGCCTTCTCATGTCTTAAAACATATTTTTTGAAATTATTATTATTATTATTCGAGACAGACTCTCACTCTGTCGCCCACACTGTAGTATAGTGGCAGTGGTGTGATCTTGGCTCACTGCAACCTCCACTTCCTGAGTTCAAGTGATTCTCCCACCTCAGGCCCCCAGGTAGTTGGGACTACAGGTGGGAGCCACCATGCTGAGCTAATTTTTGTTTTTTTTGTGGAGACAGGGTTTCACCATTTTGCCCAGGCTGGTCTTGAACTCCTGAGGTCAAGCAATCCACCTGCCTCAGTCTCCCAAAGTGCTAGGATTTCAGGCATAAGTCGCCAGGCCCGACCTTGTGAAACTGTTTTAATGATAACATTGCATGATATTATGTGGATCGACCACAGTTAATTTTACCAATTTTCTATTACCAGGCATTTGGGCTCTTTCCAGGTTATTATTACTATATATCAAAGCATTACTGTGGATAAATCTCTACATGAACTTAATTTTTTTTTCTTAAGTAAATTCCTAAGGTTGTTTTTGGAGGGGGTGGGGGGCAGATGGAGTCTGGCTCTGTTGCCCAGGCTGGAGTACGGTGGCACGATCACGGCTCGCTGCAACCTCCACCTCCTGGGTTCAAGCGATTCTCCTGCCTCAGCCTCCTGAGTAGCTGAGATTACAGATGTGTGCCACCACACCTGGCTAATTTTTGTATTTTTAGTAGAGACAGGGTTTCACCATGTTGATCAGGCTCGTCTCGAACTCCTGACCTAGTGATCTGCTTGCCTTGGCCTCCCAAAGTGCTGAGATTACAGGTGTGAGCCACTGCACCTGGCCAATTCCTAAGATTTTTTTTGGAAGATATTTAATACATGCGCTTAATTGTCCTTGAAGATTATTTTTTATCAGATCTACACCTGGCCTTAGGCATTATCATTTACCAATGACACCAATCTTACAAAAAGTCCTTTGTTTTTATTTTAATTTCTTTAATTATTAGAGAGCTTAAATATTTTTCATATAATTACTATATACTTGCCTTTCCTCTTCCAGTATTTCCTATTCATCTGAACATCCTTGCTTCTTTACCTATTGGGCTGTTAATGATGTTCTTAGTTCTTATTTATTTGGAAGGGCACTTTTTATTAAGATGCTAAATGTTATTGCCATTCACTGATCAAGCAGTCTTAAATCAATTTTTCTTTTGTCTTTTATTTGTAATTATGAAATACTTATTAATGAAACATTTAATTCTAATTTGTCATAATGTATTTATCAATATTTTTCATGGTGATAATATCGTTTTTGGTCACATACATATTTAGCTAAGTTTTCAACTAGATCAGTTACATTTATCTTTTTTTAAATATTTATTCATCTGGAATTTATTTGGTGTACAATGTAAGTTAAGGACTTGTATATTTTTCTAAAACAAATAAATTTACACTGTGTAGAAAAGTAAATTGTATAATCTTAAAATTTTTTGGTATTAGAAGTGTTTTGAGCCAGTAATCCAGCTTTGGCTTCTTACCCTTTGACCATTGCAATCCTATCTCAATAACTTTATTTTAGGAAATAATAGATGCAACCAAGATGCACATATGAGATATTTCACATAACAGAATTTATTAATAGTAAAAAATTAGAAGTAACCTACATGTTCAATAATAACATTAAGTAAATGGTTAATGGAAAAAAATACAATAGGGCAAAATTTAACTACTGAAATCAAGTCTGTAACATTTAATTATTTTGAAAGACATGCTCAAGATATAATCTTAAGTAGAAATAACAGACTACAGAAGTTTATGCACAGCATAATCTGTCTTCCATGGATTATGTTCAAACTATATTTTATTTGAAATATGTCCTGTGATTTTCAGTTTTTCAACATGAATGTGAGTAGCTATATTAACATTTATACACATTAATGATTTTTGAAAGAAATATATGATGATAAAATCAAAGGGAAATGACTTTTTTCTTTAATGTAATTTTGTAATGATGAATTATAAACTTGTTTCTGATTTTAGCTAGCCTCAAGCATACATACCTAGGTGTAGTCACCACAATTGGCAACCAAGCATGAGTGTCTCATAATTATAATGACAGAAGCATTTACTGACTCATTAATATTTATGATGGTATATAGTCAGTGTTAATTTAAGAAATGATTACTTGAAGTTACTTCAAGCAACAACACCACAACAGAGGTTTTTATGTTGAAAACATGTCAAAAAATAGTAAAATATGGTAGCATGAGAAGGTAGGACAAAGAGTCTCATGCTCAAATACACTCTACAGTTGAACATGAATCAATCATGAAAGATCGATTTGCTTTTCATGGAAAAATTATATATTTTTGAAGCCACTTCTAAATATTATTTCAATTGTTTGTCTTTTTGTGTATTTAAAATTATATATATTATGTAAAATCATTTATATATTTGCAATCAAATCAAACTTTCAGTCTTATATCTGTATGGTACAAAGACCAACACAAATTAGTTACATTGTAAGTAGTAGTATGGAGTTAGACTAAAGATTTATTACTTTTTTCAGAGCCAGCTTTAGGGGCAAACAATCTGTGCAGTCATGCAAGGTTAGAATGGCCCCATCCTTGGTTATACTTTTTCTGATGTGGTTTGGCTGTGTCCCCACCTAAATCTCATCTTGAATTCCAACATCTTGTAGAAGGGACCCGGTGGGAGGTTACTGAATCATGGGGCAGGTCTTTCCTGTGCTGTTCTTGTGATAGTGAATAAGGCTCATGAGATCTGATGGTTGTATAATTAGGAGTTTCCCTGAACAAGCTCTCTCTTTTTGCCTGCTGCCATCCGCGTAAGATGTGACTTGCTCCTCCTTGCCTTCCACCATGATTGTGAGGCCATTTTAACAATATCGATTCTTTCTATCCATGACCATAGGATGTATTTCCATTTGTTTGTGTCATCTCTGATTTCTTTGAGCAGTGTTTTGTGGTTATCCTTGTAGAGATATTTTGTGTCCCTTGTTAGCTGTATTCTTAGGTATTTTATTCTTTTTGTGGTAATTGTGAATGGAAGTTTATTCATAATTTGGCTCTCAGCTTGTCTGTTATTGGTGGATAGAAATGCTAGCATTTTTTGTACATTAATTTGATATTTTGAGACTTTGCTGAAGTTGTTTATCAGCTTAAGAAGTGTTTGGGCTGAGACTATGGGTTTTTCTAGACACAGGATCATGTCATCTGAAAGCAGGGATAATTTGACTTCCTCTCTTCCTTTTTTGAATGCCCTTTATTTCTTTCTCTTGGCTGATTGCTCTATCCAGAACTTCCAATACTATGTTGAATAGGAGTAGTGAGAGAAGGCATCCTTCTTGTGTTGGTTTTCAAGGGGAATGATTCCAATTTTGCCCATTCAGTATGATATTGGCTGTGGGTTTGTCATAGATGGCTCTTACTATTTTGAGGTATGTTTCTTCAATATCTAGTTTGTTGAAAGTTTTTAACATGAAAGGATATTGAATTTTATTGAAAGCCTTTATTGCATCTGTTGAGATAATCATGGATACAGTAACCAAAACAGCATGGTACTCATAGAAGAACAGACACAGAAACCAATGGGACAGAATAGAGAACCCAGAAATAAGACTGCACACCTACAATTACCCGATCTTCAACGAACTTGATAACAATAATCAATGGGGAAAGGATTCCCTATTCAATAAATGGCACTGGGATAACTTGTTAGCCATATGCAGAAAATTGAAACTGGACCCATTCCTTACACCATAAACTAAAATTAATTCAAGATGGATTAAAGACATAAATGTAAAATCCAAAACTACAAAAATCTTGGAAGACAATCTAGGGAATACCATTCGTGACATAAGCATGGGCAAATATTTCATGATGAAGATACCAAAAGTAATTGCAACAAAAACAAAAATTGAAAAATGGCATCTAATTAAGCTAAGGAGCTTCTGCACAGCAAAATAAACTATCAGCAGAATAAACAGACCACCTACAGAATGGGAGAACATTTTTGCAAGTTGTGCATCTGACAAAGGCCTAATATCCAGCATCTATAAAAAACTTAAACAAATTTAAAAGAAAAATCAACCCCAGTAAAAAGTGGGCAAAGAACAAACACTTCTCAAAAGAAGACATACATGTGGTCAACCATATTTTAAAAAGCTCAGTATCACTGATCATCATCAAAACCACAATGAGATACCATCTTATACCGGTCAAAATGACTATTATTAAAAAGTCAAAAAATAACAGATGCTGGCAGGTTGTGGAGAAAAAGGAACACTTATACACTGTTGGTGGGAGTGTAAATTAGTTCAACCATTGTGGAAGACAATGTGGTGGTTCCTCAAAGACCTGAAGTCCAAAATACCATTTGACTTAGCAATCCTACTGAGTCCGGAATTGGTTCCTTCCGGTGGGTTCTTGGTCTCGCTGACTTGAAGAATGAAGCCACAGACTCTCATGATGAGTGTTACAGTCCTTAAAGATGGTGTGTCCAGAGTTTGTTCCTTCAGATGTTCAGATGTGTCTAGAGTTTCTTCCTTCTGGTGGGCTTATAGTTTTGCTGACTTCAGGAGTGAAGCTGCAGACCTTCGCAGTGAGTGTTACAGCTCTTAAAGGTGGCATGTCCAGAGTTGTTTCTTCCTTCCCGTGGGCTCATGGTCTCACTGACTTCAGGAGCGAAGCCGCAGACCTTGGCAGTGAGTGTTACAGCTCTTAAAGGTAGCACGTCCAGAGTTGTTTGTTCCTCCTGGTGGGTTTGTGGTCTCGCTGACTTCAGGAGTGAAGCTGCAGACCTTCACGGTGAGTGTTACAGCTCATAAAGGTAGTGTGGACCCAAAGAGTGAGCAGCAGCAAGATTTACTGTGAAGAGCAAAAGAACAAAGCTTCCACAGCATGGAAGGGGATCTGAGCGAGTTGCCGCTGCAGGCTCAGGTGGCCAGCTTTTATTCCCTTATTTGGCCCCACTGACATCCTGCTGATTGGTCCATTTTACAGAGCGCTGTTTGGTTCATTTTACAGAGCACTGATTGGTCTATTTTACAGAGTGCCGATTGGTGCATTTACAATCCTTTAGCTAGACACAGAGTGCTGATTTGTGCAATTTTACAGAGTGCTCATTGGTACATTTACAATCCTTTAGCTAGACACAAAAGTTCTCCAAGTTGCCATCCAACCCAGAAGCTCAGCTGGCTTCACCTCTCACTACTACTGGGTACATATCCAAAGGAATATAAATCATTCCATATAAAGACACACGCACGCATGTGTTTACTGCAGCACTGTTCACTATAGCAAAGATATGAAATTAACCCAAATGCCCATCAGTGATAGACTGGATAAAGAAAATGTGATACATATATACCATAGAATTCTATGCAGCCATAAAAAAGAACAGGATTATGTCCTTTGCAGGGACTTGGATGGAGCTGGAGGCCATTATCCTTAGCAAACTCATGCAGGAACAGAAAATCAGAAAATCAAATACATGTTCTCACTTATGAGTGGGAGCTAAATGATGAGAACACATGAACACATAAAAGGAAACAACACACACTGGGGCCTATCAGAGGGCCGAGGGTAGGAGGAGGGAGAGGATGAGGAAAAAATCACTAATGGATACTAAGCTTAATACCTGGGTGATGAAATAATCGGTACAACAAACCTCCATGACACATGGTTTCCTATGTACCAAACCTACACATGCTGCACATGCACCCCTGAACTTAAAATAAAAGTTAAAAAAGAAAAGAACAATTGAAACTGGCTTAAGCCAAACAAGGACATTTTGGGAGGGAAATATATCAGGTGTTTTCAGGGCAAGTGTAATTCCAGGTGATACTTTATTCAGGCAAACAAGCATAGTAAAAAATCTGATGGATCAGGGTGTGTTACCTCAGTGCCAGGTGTTCTGAGGCTCATCAGCACTCAGGTTTTGGAACCAAGATGGCTGCCAGCATCTTCTGGACTGTGTCTTCTGTTGCTCTTTACAGGAAGGAAGACTATCTTCTTTAAACCTTTAAATCAAAGTTCTGGACTTCATTCTTGTTGGCTTAAGTGAATCAACCTCTAAGAAAGAGAAAGGAAGGATGGAAGAAAGGAAGGGAGGGAGGAAAAGTGGGGGAGGGAGGGAGGAAGGAAAGAAGGAAGGGAGGGAGGGAGGGAGGGAAGGAAAGTCCATAAGAAAAAGGAGGGGAATGTAATGATGCTGATTAGCCTAGTGTTGAATAGAGGGATGCCTCTAAAGACAGCGTGGGGCTGGCTTTTCCTGAAACTGCATCACGCAGAAATGAATGACGTGAGGGCACTTCTACCAAAACAGGAAATGGATACTAGATGGGACAAACTTTTTTTGATGACTTTACAGAGAAATTAGAAGTTTATGACAAAAATTAAAAAGCATAGTTATTAATTTTATTAGTGAAAACTGAGAGAATGGAAAAGGATGTATAAATCATTTCTGCATATGTTTGCTTTAAAGTGTCTGCTGTGTAGCCAAAATTCAAATATTTGATAATTGATTGACCAAAATGATTTAATAAGCTAGAGTGGATTAATTTTCCAGAGAAAATAATACAGCAAGATCAACATAGTCCTCCAGCTGAGAAGAAGATATTCTATTAAAAATGGTTGGAATAAATACATATAATGGCTTTGCCAGTGTAAAGTCAAGGTGTTTAGGGATTTGGGGTATCTGTAACACCACTATTGAAGGTGTGGTGGACATTCAATTACTTTGTACAAAGCAATGAGGGGCCACAATGCCAAATTGTACTTTCTCTTGCAAACTAAAATTAGAGGTAGCTTTTCTTCTTTCAGTGAAACTAAAGACTGTATCATTTGTGATTCAGGCTAGCAGTATTATTCCCAGCCAAGTCTTATTGACTTTCCTTTCCAGTGACATTATTTTAATTAATCACTAGGACAAAGCATGTTAAATGCAGACTAGAAGAGTGGTTTCATGAAGTCAAGGTCATTTCCAAAACACATTGTTTGTTCTCAATGTAGATTATCATTGTCATTTCCCGACCAGTCAGTAAGTATCTAATTTTGGTCAGATCAGTTCAAACTTACAAGACGATATCCCAAAGTAGAAAATGATTACATCTTTTAGAAAAATAAAATGTTGATTTTGTTAAAGAGTAAAGCATATGCTTTATTTCAATGTCAATATAGTCACCTTACAATAACGTAAGAACACAAATGCAACTGTGTGATTACTAAGGTATAATAGAGAAAAGTATTCTTTCTCAGGCCAAATGATCAAAGTGGTGAGAATTAAATCGATAGAAAGGTAAAAAGAAAGAAGTCAATGATCTTTATAACTTTATGTGAGAGAGCAACTGGGAACTTTGGTAGCTAGTGTATTTCTCTGTCTTAAATGAGTGAATAAGCACTCTAGAAGAAAGGAAATTATTTATCCCACACGCATAGCGGAGAGGAATTCAAACATTTAATTTTCTCCTTTCAGTGCCACAGTATACGTAAATATTCTCTGATATTTCCTATACTTCCTCTTTTCTTCGTGTTGACTTCACTCAGTTGGAACAAATACTTTATCTTTGGAGAAGATGGAAATCCTAAACTTAAATCATGTTTTTGATCATTTCAAAATTAAAGGCCTGACTTGACCAGCAGATGTTTTGGGGTTTGGGATTCAGAGTATAAGAACCCAAAGATGTTTGGCTACTGGGCAAGACCAATGTGAAATTGTGCTGGAAAGAAAAACTTTACTAATTTATTCCTTGTTTATTCATTCAACTAATACGTATAGGACACATGCTATCTGCCAGGCATTGTGCTAAGACATAAGTAAGAGTTTCCATCCCGAGGGAATTTTCAGTTTAGAAGAGGGAAACAAACATGCAAACAAGTGTAAAAACAAATTATAGATGAAATTAATACAAATTTTAATGGAAGACAACAGAGGAACTTGGCTTTTATATATAGAAGTAACGAAAAATGTTCGAAGAAGATTCACATGGCTTTATTTTTGGGGGGATGGTGTCAAGTAATTGGGAGTTTGAAGGAAAGACATTTTTCTTTCTTCTCTCAAGGGTTCTCTGCTTTTCTTCTTATTATTAAGCAACTATTGTGTTAGTGTCAGCCACAGAAAGAAAAGGCTTCAGTAAAGGGTATTCCAATACCTCCAAAAATGTACTTTTATCTCCCAGTACAGAGGTGACAGTCATTGAAAGTTGGATGAATAAAGGAATTAATAAATACATGGAATGCCTTTGCTTTCTAGAAGCTCAGAGTGTCTAAAAGAAGCATGAATTAGACCTCATCAGATTACTGGATAGGTTGAACTAACTCTAGCAGATGATGGAAAAGCTTCACAGAAGACTGTGAGTCTTAAAGGATGAGTTTATTCGGTGGGGGAGTAAAGGACTTTTTCAGGCAGATGTAATGGTGTATAGAATCACGGAGAAGGGACTTGGTGTGTTGGAGGGTTGATGTGGCAAGATTTAAGAGTTCATGATGGGAGAAGAGTTGGTGATGTGGTTGATCAGGTTAAGATAGAGAAGAGACTCGTTTGCATGTAATGCCAAGAATCAAATGAACACCATATAGGAGTTTTTAAAGGAGGGAGCATTCTTTGACTTTTTATAGCTCTCATTTATCAGGCTGCAACTCTGTACCCCTGAAGATTCTGCTTCTTCATTCACATGCGTTATCTCATTCCTTTCCTCCATGACAATCTAGTGAAATCACTTTTTTAATTTTTTAATTTTTTAATTTTTTTTTTTTGAGACGGAGTCTTGCTCTGTCTCCCAGGCTGGAGTGCAGTGGCGCTATCTCCGCTCACTGCAAACTCCGCCTCCTGGGTTCATGCCATTCTCCTGCCTCAGCCTCCCGAGTAGCTGGGACCACAGGCGCCCGCCACCACACCCGGCTAATTTTTTGTATTTTTAGTAGAGACGGTGTTTCACCGTGTTAGCCAGGATGGTCTCAATCTCCTGACCTTGTGATCCGCCCGCCTCGGCCTCCCAAAGTGCTGGGATTACAGGCGTGAGCCACCGCACCTGGCCCATTTTAAAAAAAATCTCTATTTAACTAAAGGGTAAAGATTGGAGAATATAACAACTTTCCAAATATCACATAGCTAGTAAGAGTCAGTGGAGTGCAAATCACCACAAAGTGACATCTGCGTATGCAATAAGCTTTCATGTGTCTGTGGAGGCCTGGGGTAGGCCAGTGGAGACAGATAATTTATTGACTGAGCTGACATTTTCTTTCCCTGCATACTGCATTTATAGCGGTCATCACTGTTTCTGCACAGGCTTTTCTTTTCTGACAGTTGATAGTGTACATCTAATCCAAATCCCTCCATGCTGCCTTAGGCCACAGCTCAAATGGCTTTATCATTTTAAGCAACTAGGTACAATGCTGCTCTGCACAGAGACTAGGCATTTTCTCATCTACATTTTAATTTCATCTCCTGGTAGGTTCCTATGTGAACACCATCTTTTACTGGGTCCATTCACTATTCATTTGTCAGTGTGATAAAGTATGCCTAGTGTTTTCCTCCTAATCTTTATTTCTCTTACTACTTAGTCACCCACAACAGCTCCAGCTATACATGAGAAGACAAGAATGGTGATGGTTCACTAATTTTTAAATTACTGTGTCTTCACAATGGCAATCAAATTAGGAGAATTAGAAGACGAGGATTTTGTCTTGAGAATTCATTTGCATAGTTGGATTTGTGTGTGTTTGTGTGTTTGTGTGTGTGTGTAGTGGGTTATTTGAAGGTCTTTTATCGTTATAAAAATATAGTCAAAATATATTTGTTAAGTTTCCCTCCCCATTTTCAGAGAACAGTCTGCAGTCTTGAAATATTTTACAACGCTTTTTCAAGATATGGCAGCAAAGAGTTTAATAAGGGTTATCTCCAGGTGAGAGTCAATAAATCGTCAGACCTGAGCAGCTGCCAGATCTCGATTCCTCTTAGAACTGATGTATTAAACACAGTCAGGCCCAAAGCAGGACCTCTGAGGATAAAGGACTCTCAGATCTTTACCAACATGCTGTGTTCTAAAACTCCATTATATCCAAAGACATGTCATTTACAATACTTGTACTTTGTAGCAAGGGCAACATGCCATTTATTTCAGCTCCATTAATCTGTCAAACCTGACAGCTTCTGGGCTGTAGTTAACCTTTGAAATTAATGATGGTGAACAAATGATAAGATAAGCATATTTCCAAGGTGTTTATCACATCTTTTTTAGAAGATAATGTTTTCAAACAGTTCAAAATCTCTGTTTACAAAAGGTATGTTGATTGGAGATTATTATAATTTCTTACTGTCACATTTTCCAAGATAATATTTGATAACACTGAACAAGGGGTTGAAAATCTGAGCTGTTTCATATACTAGTTGTGTGACTTTGGATAAATCAATAAATATTTCTGAACATCTATTTCTCTTTCATTTTTAAGGGATACAATGATTTTTACCCACTACAACTGTGGTAAAAGAGTAAATGAAATCTTACTTGTGAAAACCTTAGAGAACTAAATAATACTAATTAAAGGTAAGATACAAATATGTGACTTATTTGAGACTCTTCTCAATCAAGAACTAATCGCTCATGTGTTTTTGGTTTCAGAACTTTCTTACCATAACTAGATATTTCTCATTTTCGTATTGGTGTTAATTTTGTGTATTTTCCTAAGTATTTAAATTTCATCAAGTTGCTTGAGGGCAGAGTCATTGTCTTATTTATTTTGATCTTTAAAAATTAATTCTCTTAGTAGACACTTGTGATGGTTAATGTTGTGTCAACTTGATTGGATTGAAGGATGCAAAGTATTATTCCTGGGTGTGTCTGTGAGGGTGTTGTCAAAGGAGATTAACATTTGAGTCAGTGGACTGGGAGAGGCAGACCCACCCTCAATCTGAGTGGGCACCATCTAATCAGCTGCCAGCCTGGCTAGCATAAAATCAGGCAGAGGAACTTGGAAGGATTAGACTGGTTGAGTCTTCTGGACTCCATCCAGCTAGAAGCTGGATGCTTCTAGCCCTCGACTGTCAGACTCCAAGTTCTTCAGCTTTTGAACTCTTGGACTTACACCAGTGACTTGCCAGGGGCTCTCAGGCCTTTGGCCACAGAGTGAAGGCTGCACTGTCAGTTTCCCTTGCTTTTGAGGTTTTAGGACCCAGACTGGCTTCCTGGCTCCTCAGCTTGCAGACGGCCTACTTTGGGACTTTACCTTGTGATCATGTGAGTCAATTATCCTAATAAACTTCCCTTCATATATGCATCTATCCTATTAGTTCTGTCCCTTTAGAGAACCCTGACTAATACCGCACTGTTATAACAAAAGAGTGGGTTGTATTAGTCAGGATTTTTCAGAAAGACACCACCAATAAGATAGATAGATAGATAGATAGATAGATAGATAGATAGATGAAAGGGGACTTATTAGGGTAATTGACTCACATGTTTATGAAGGCTGAAAAGTCCTGTGACAGGTTATCTGCAGATAGCTCTTAGATTTGCCCCTTTGAGGGATTTTATAGGTCCTGTAAGTGTGTTTTATTGTTTTTTATTCTTTTCCCTTTTGTCTCCTCTGGCTGTTTTCAAATAGCCTGTCTTCACGCTCATGAATTCTTTCTTCTGCTTGATCAATTCTGTTATTAAAGGACTCTGATGCATTCTTCAGTATGCCAATTACATTTTTCAGCTCTAGAATTTCTACTTGATTCTTTTTAATTATTTTAGTCTCTGTTAAATTTATCCGATAGGATTCTGGATTCTTTCTCTGCGTTATCTGGAATTTCTTTGAGTTTCCTCAAAAGAGCTATTGTGAATTCTTTGTCTAAAAGGTCACATATCTCTGTTTGTCCAGAATTGGCTTCTGGTGCCTTATTTAGTTCATTTGGTGAGGTCAGGTTTTGCTGGATGGTGTTGATGCTAGTAGATGTTCTTTGTTGTCTGGGCATTTAAGAGTTTAGGTTCATTGTAGTCTTCACTGTCTGGGCTTATTTGTAGCTGTCTTTCTTGGGAAGGCTTTCCAGATATTTGAAAAGACTTAGGTGGTTGTGATTTAAGCTGTTTCTGCTTTAGGGGGCACCCCAAGCCCAGTAACACTGAGCTTCTTGCAGACTTGTGAAGGTACCACCTTGATGGTCTTGGCCATGATCTGGGATAATTCTCTGGATTACCAGGCAGGGAGTCTTGTTGTCTTCCCTTACATTTTCCCAAACACACAGTCTTTGTTCTGAGCCACCTAAAGCTGAGGTGGAGTGACATAGCGCCCCATGTGGCCACCATCATTATTTGTGCTCTAGTTCAGACCTGAAGCCAGCACAATTCTTAATCTTGCCCAAGGCCTACTGTAACCACTCCCTGGGCCCTGGAGCTCTACAATTGGCAGGTGGTAAAGGCCAACCAGGCCTATGTCCTTCTCTTTTTGGGACATGAGGTCCCCCAAATCCAAGGTGGGTCCAGAAGTGCCATCTGGGAGTTAGAGACTAGAGTCAGAAACGTCAGAAGTCTACCTGGTGTTCTATTGTATTGCAGGTGAGCTGGCACTCAAACCAGAAGACATAGTGCTTCACACTCTTCCCTCCCCTTTTCAAAGGCAGAGGAGCTCCATCCCATAGCCACCACCAACCCTGGCCACAAGGAATACTGCCAAACTACCACTTATATTCCCTTAAGGCCCAAGGTCTTTTAAGTCAGCTTGTGGTAATGCTGCCTGGCCTGGGACTCACCCTTTAGGGCAGTGGGCTCCCCTTGGACCCAGGGCGGGTCTGAAAATGTCATCCAAGAGTCAAGTCCTGGAATGAGGGACCCTAAGAGCCCGCTTGGTGCCCTACCCCCTTGTGCCAGTGTTGGTACCTGAAGCCAGCAAGTCTCTCACCAAAACCTTTGATGTAGTCCTTCGGTATCACTGCTGATTATTCAAGGCCCAACAGCTCTTCTCCAGTTGGCGGGTGATGAAGGCTGGCAAGACTGGGTCCTTTTCTTCAAGGCAGTGGGTTCCCTTTTGATCCCAGGTGTGTCTAGAAATGTCATCTGGGAGCTAGCGCCTGGAATGAGAGCTTCATGACTCTGAACAGTGCCCTCTCCTGCTGTGGCTAAGCTGGTATCCAAGATGCAAGACAAATTCCTCCCCACTCTTGACTCTCCTCTCCTCAAGTGGAAGGAAGGGATCTCTTTTGGAGCTGCAAGCTATGCAGCTTGAGGTCAGGGGAGTGGTGATGTCAGCACTCCCTTGGCTGCACCAACTGGCATCTCAGTATTTCCTGTGCTTCCTCTATAGTCCACTGTCTCTGGGCCTAGTTCAGCCCTAGGACTTGCCTAAGAGTTGCAGTCTTTATGGCCTAGACTGCCTTTTAAGTTTATTCAGAGACCAAGAGCACTTTGACCCTCAGTGGCAAGGTTTGTAGGCACTCAATTTTGGACTGCTGGGATAGGCAATTCCCCTCTGGCTACTTCTGGTTTAAATGCTCTCTTTGTGGGTGGGCATCAGGTGAGTTTGGTCCAGGTTTCGGTTCTGCTCTAACAAGATAGCACTTATTTCAATGCCTCACCATTGCTGTGTTCTCCTCCTCCAGCACCCAGAGAGGCTCTCTGTACCACACCCCAATGTAGCGGGTAGGAGAGGGGTTGCATTGGTGATTCAGGACTGTTTTGTCTATCTCTTCAGTGCCTCCTTCATCAATATGAAGTTAAAACCAGGTGCTATGAGTGCTCACCTGATTTTTCTTAGGAAGATGTTTTCTCTGTGTGGATAGTTGTTAATTTGGTGTCCTTTGGTGGGGACAATTGGTGGAGGCTTCTGTTCCTTCATCTTGCTCCACCTCTTTCACTGTGCTTTATTTTTAAAGCACATCTCTTTTTAAAATTTCCAGCTCACTTTTCATCACTGTGAGCTCTGTCACCTCACAGTCAAAATGGTTCCCAAAAATACAGGTTGCGTCTATTTGCAATTTGATACCTCATCAGTGTAGTCACACAACGTCCATCTTGTGATCAGCTGCTTCAACAATCTGTTGTCCTAGGTGCCTATTCTTGAAAGCAAAAGAAAGGAATGGAATCAAAACAGCAAAATTGGAACAGGGATATATATATACACACACACATACACATATATATACACATATATACACACATGTACACATATATACATATATACATATATATATACATATATACATATATACATATATATACATATATACATATATATACGTCTCCCGCCACACACATATCTGTATATAACACACACACACACACACACACACACGTATATATATACACACACACACATCTGTATATATATATGTCCCTGATCCCTGTTCATATATATTTTAATGGCTGGGCATGTAGTAAGCAATAACAGTATGATCTCTCAAAAAATATCCCTAAATTTTTAGAAACTAAGTTACCCAATTTCAAATTATCTGTAGTTGAAACAATAAATCAAATGGAAATTAGTAAATATTTTAAAGTGAATAAAAAAGAAAACTACAGCATATCAGAATATGTGGGATACCACTAAAGAAATATTTAGTGGGAAATTTATAGTACTAAATATCTACTATGGTTTGGATGCTGTCTACTCCAAATCTTATGTTGAAATTTTATCCTCAGTGTTGGAGATGCAGCCTAATGTGTTTGGATCATGGAGGCAGATCTCTCATGAATAGGTTAATGCTCTCCCTTGGGGGCGGGGGTGAGTGAGTTCTCACTCTGTTGCTTCCCATGACAACTGATTGTTAAAAGGAGGCTGGCACCTTCCTTTCCACCTTGCTTCCTCTCTCACCATGTGATCACTGCATGACTGGCTCCACTTTGCATTCCATCATGAATGGAAGCAGCCCAAGGATCTCACAGATGTAGATGCCAGTGCCATGCTTCTTACACATCCTGAAGAACTGTGAGCTAAATAAACCTCTTTTCTGAATAGATTATCAAGTGCAGGTATTCTTTTCTAGCAAAACCAAATAGACTAAGACAGCACCTATGTTAGAAAACAAGAAAGATTGCAAATGAATGACCTCAGCTTCTACTTTAAGAACTGAAAAAGAACAAATTAATCCCAAGTTATGAGGAAGAAAAAAAATAGTAATGATTAAAGAAAAGGTCAGTAAAATACAAAAGAGAAAATCAATAAAATTTTGATCTTCTTTGAACAAATAAGGAAAATTAATAAAACTCTAGCCAGACTGATCATGTAAAAAAGAGAAGATATTATTTTTACCATTTTATATATATATATAATTTATATATATATATTTTATATATATTATTTATATATATTTTTTATATATATTATTTTTACCATTTTTTATGTATATATATATATGAAAAAAATTTCTACATTTTCTACAAATAGTAAAAGAATAGAGACCATGGGGTATGGTGAAATAATACTATGGTAATAAGGATAGTAAGACAATAATATAGACAACTTTATGCCAGTAAATTTTACAACGTAGTAGGAAAATTTTTCTTAAATAATACAAACTAAAAAGGTTCTCTTAAGAAAAATAGAGGTAACTCAAATAGCTCTATATTTATTATAAGCTTTGATTTTTTAGCTTAAAACATTACCACAAGGACAACTCCAAACCCGGATGACTTCCCTGGTGAATTCTACCAAATATTTGAGAAAGAAAGAATACCAGTTCTACCCAAAGTCCTTCAGAAAAATTGTAGAAAATGAAATGCTTTCCACACATTATTTGAGGCTAGGATTACCCTGATACCAAAGTTAGACAAAGATATCATAAGAAGGGAAAATTACAAATATCTCTCACAATTGTAGATACATTCTCTACAACGTTTTGTAAAGTGAATGCAACAATATATTAAAAGATAATACATCATAACAAGTTGTTTTTTCCCCCAGAAATGCAAGATTGGTTTACCATTAGAAATCAGTCAACGTGACTCAATATATTAACAGACTCTATTAGTCCCTTCTCTCATTGCTATAAAGAACTACATGAGATTGGGTAATTTATAAAGAAAAGAGGTTTAGTTGGTTCACAGTTCTGCAGGCTGTACAGGAAGCATGGCTGGGGGGGCCTCAGGAAACCTATAGTCATGGTGGAAGGTAAAGAGGAAGCAGGTATGTTTTATATGGCCAGAGAAGGAGGAAGAGGGTGAAGAGGGAGGTGCTACACACTTTTAAACAACCAGATCTCATGAGAACTTACTGTCACAAGAACAGCAAGGGGGTAAATCTGCCCCATGACCCAATCACCTTCCACCAGGCCCCTCTTCAAACACTGCAGATTATAATTTGACATGAGATTTGGGCAGGGCCACAAATTCAAACCATATCACACACTAAATTAGAAAAAATATATTGTCGTCTCAAGAGATTGAGATAAAGCATTAGGCAAACTTCACCATCTATTCTTGATAAGAACTTTCAGCCATCTTAAAAGATAATCAGACTGTTTTATTTCAATAAAAGGCATACGTAAAAAACCTGCAGCTAACATTATCATTAACTGTGGAAGACAGAGTGCTTCCCAGTAAGATCAGAAACAAGGCAAAAATCTGCCATAACAACTTCTATTCAACATTTTCTGCAGGTTATAATATGTTCAATAAGGCAAGAAAACATTTTTTAAAAAGTCTACATTGGAGAAAAAGTATAGTTGTCTTCATTTGCAAATGATATAATTATCTCCATAGAAAATTGTATGGCATGTGAAAAAAACTATGGGAATGAATAAATGAGTTTAGTACGGTTGCAGGATATAAGATCAATTATACAAAATCAATTGTATTTTAGAATATTAGCACGAACATTCAGGAATTGCCATTTAAAAAATACTGTTTGCAGTACTATCAAAAACTGTGTGTCGAGCATTGTGGTGTGTACCTGTAGCCCCAGCTACTTGGGAGGCTGAGGCAGGAGGACCACCTGAACCCAGGTTTGAGATTAGCTTGGGCAACATAGATGGATCCCCTTCTCAAAAAACAAAACAAAAACAAACAGACAAAAAAAGAATTGGAAATACTTAGGACTAAATGCAGTATGAGTTGTCTAAGACCTGTGTATGAAACTGTAAAACATTACTGAGAGAAATGGAAGAAAACCTAACTAAACAGATATACCATGATTATGTATCTGAAAACTGTATTTATCAATTTCTTGACCTATACAACAACACGATTCCAAAAATATATATAGTAGATTTTTTTTGGTATAATTGACTCATGTAAATTCAAAGAATATTGAATAGCCAAAATAATTCTCAAAAGGAATAAAGTTGGAGGGCTAACACTACCTGACTTCAAGGATTATTATAAAGCTGCAGTCACCAAAACAGCATGGTACTTGCATCAAGATAAAGTAGATTAATGGAACAGAATAGTCAGTTTAGAAATAGGTGTGTGTGTGTGTGTGTGTGTGTGTGTGTGTGTGTGTGTGTGTATAGTCAATTATTTTTCAACAAAGTTGCAAAGACAACTTTGTCTTTCCACAGTTCAGTAGACTAGGGACAGTGTTTTCAAAAATTGTTTTTAAACAACTGAATGTCCATGTGTGAAAAAAAAAGTCCCCCCAAACAAAAACAAACAAAAAATACTCAATCCATTCTTTGCACTATATACAAAAATTAACTCATAATTTAAGAGAGAAATTTATAGAACAAAAAAAGAACTTTTTGCTTTGTAAATTTTTACTTTGTGAAGTAGGATCCCTAACAGGTATTAGAGGTTGCCATTATTGCATTTTACTTATTCTCAGTCACACTTTTTCATTTTTAAAAACGTCTTTGAAATCAGCTTGTGATTTAAAATTGATGGCAACTTAGTTACCATCAATCAGGTGTTAGTCACAGCACAGTTTTCACTTCCTTCATATGTGCAAATGTGATCATAGTTATGACGTTTTATGTATAGCCTAGGTATTAGATGTATTTTAATATAACCAATATAACATTATTTTGACCATATCTAGTGTAGGAAATTTATCTTTGAGTTTAGATTTGATTTTTGCCAACAATTGCAAATTATTCAGAGCTAACTTTTGTAAGGTTGGGCATCTGTCTGAGGAATGTTTTATGTCAAAAGGTGATATAACTATAACGAGAGCACATTTCTTGTGTGATATATAAACTTACCCTAACAGTAATTTCAAAAAAGAACAATTCTAACATGTTTTGTGCAGTATCAGACTAAATTTGAATCTGCGTTCAGAGCCTCATGAAGAGAGTAGTTTGAAAGACAGCATTCTTTGTGTACTAATAAGCTGATATGTGTACAAAAACTTTAGAATCTTTAAGAAGTAATTATAATAATTATTAATTTTATCCAACTAATATATAATGACTGACTACTCCAAAGGATCATACTAGTAACCATAAGGAGGCAATACTAATTAGTAATAGTATCAATCTTGGATGAAAACAATATATTTGAAGAATAGTTTTTAGTGGTTGAATATTAAGAGGTATATATTACCTCATTTAATTACTATAACAACCCTGTAAAAATGCATTATTATCATAATTTTCTAAGTGAGTCAGTGGAGAGCTAGGTTAAATGACTTGCCTAGGGTCACTCAGCTAGAATTTGGCAAAGCTCGAAATATACATTGATGTGACTAGTGAAACTTCCTCTGATGTTGCCTTTACTTATGTCCTTAAGCAGCTTTCATTTATTAAGGGAACAAGTAATAAATGCCATGAAAAATGTGAAAACAAATGGCCACAGTTGTCAGAAAGGGATCCCAACTAGGGGAAGGTAAGAGGAATTTTCAAGGAGTTAAAATTTTAGTTGAGTAAATAAGTAAAATTTTAGTAAGTAAAAATAAGTAAAAAAAAAAAACAGTTAAATATTGAATTATTTTAACAAGTAGATTTAGAAGCAGGAGACATTGTATTTGGAGGGAACTGTGGAAGGTGAGACATAGAGATACTAAAACACAGGGCAGGTTGCAGACATTGTATATAACTAAGTGATTTTTTTAGCCTAGTCCTATGCAAAGGAGCAGAGAAAATACACCTAGACAGTCAGGTTAGGAACAATCTTGGAGGGACTTGATTACAAAGGTGAGGACTTCTTGTCTATTTTATTAGGTATATATGGAAGACAGTGTGAGCCTTATTGTGCAAAGAAAGGATGTGTTAACAGCTGAGTTTTATTTAAGAATATTAGGCTGGGTGCGGAGGCTCATGCCTATAATCCTAGCATTTTGGGAGGCCGAGGCGGATGGATTGCCTGACCTCAGGAGTTCGAGACCAGCCTGGGCAACACGGTGAAACCCTGTCTCTATGAAAAATACAAAACATTAGCCTGGCATGGCAGCATGCACCTGTAATCCCAGCTACTCAGGAGGCTGAGACAGGAGAATCACTTGAACCTGGGAGGCGGAGGTTGCAGTGAGATGAGATCGCACCATTGCACTGCAGCCTGGGGGGCAAGAGTGAGACTCTGTCTCAAAAAAAAAAAAAAAAAAAAAAAAAGCTTAATATGGCAGTTGGGTATAGACTGGATGAAAGCATGGGAGCAATAAATCAAGAAGAAATATTAGACAGCTGAGCTATGATGACAGCTTTGAGGATAGGGCTAAAGGGATAATAAATCCAGAGAGAGAAAATAGAGAGAAACAGAAGGAGCATGAAAGAGAGAAACTGATTTTTACTAGATGACATCTATTCTTTGAGGGATTGTGAAAGCTAAATTCTAATGAGGAATAACTGATTTTGCCCATACACACAAAACAGTATCCTGTCAAAATTGAGAATAATCTACTATTTTAAGGAGTATGTAGCTTTTACAGAAAACAGTTATTAATACACCTTGATCAATTGATCAATCTCTTTCTCTGTCAGTCTCTCATTCCATATATATATATACACCCATCACCCAGCGGTCATCATCTATCATTTGCCTTTGGCTTATTCATTAAGGGCTGAACTTAGTGCTAGACAGATTTCATCTTCTCTGAAATTTCTAACATGGCCCTGAGCAAGATTTCTGTGCTAAACCTAAATTTTCTCATATGTAAAAACAGGATTATTAATGGTCCTTTCAAATAAGGTTATTATGATTAAGTGGAATAATATATGTACAATTCTTAGCACAGTCTTTTGTAATAGTCAGCACTTAAAAAAATATGAACATGCGCACATACACAGATTTACAAATGTATAACGATGTTGGTAGATTGCCTATCAATTGTGTTGTTTATTTTGTTTGGGGTCTAGCACAGTACTTCCAATGACAGGTTATTGAAAATTTTATCCTATGGGAAGAGTTAATGTGTCATGCCTTGTCAATCCTTTTTCATTTCCTTTGATGGTTGCTTCCAGCCTAAAGCCTCCCAAATTCCATTGATCTTCCCTAGGAGTCTCATTCTGGCACCATCTATCCATTTTTCTTGGTACCAGGAGACCCTCCTAATTTATCCTTTTCATCAATGGAGTCAGGTTTTATTCTTGGGCTTGATTCTCTTACAATGATAACTCATGTATGTTTAAGTGGGTTATAATTGCTTAATGAGTTACTTTTTTCAGATAAGTGATTTACAATTAACTGAAATTGTTAATGGTTTAAGCTGATGGTTCTCAATTTTGAATATACATCAGAATCATCTGAAGGGAATACAACACAATTTGTTGGGTCCTAATCCCGGAGTTTCTGATTCAGTAGGTCTCGAGTGGGATCTGAAAATATGCATTTCTAACAGGTTCCCAGGTGATATCGATGATGTTGGTGTTGAGACCAAGCATTGTGAACCACTGGTTTAAGCCAAAGGGATATTATGAGTTTAAATCATCACAACTAAGTTACTAAAGGAGACATTTGGTGTAAGAGAAACATTCAGTATTGCTTCAAGAAAATAGGTGGAAATAACTTCACAGTCAAGTGACTTATACCATTAACAAAAAAATGTAATTTTGTATTGGAAGGTCTGGAACATTTTTTTCCCATAGTTAGTCCCTGTTTCTTTATTCCTCAGAAATTTCTGTGTACATGTACAGCACTAACTTCTCAAAATCCACATGCACCAGCAATCTAGTGCCTAGTCTCAAATACATTTTATTTAGACTTACATTTCCCTTGTAAAGGTATGAGACATCTAAAGCTAATCCCTGTCCTTTGGGCCTCCTTGATGATCAGTGTGTTGCTGCTAGGATGGGAAGGAAGAAAACTGCCACCTCTATTGGACTTGGTATCCCTACAAAGCATGACTACTTGCCAGACATCCCAAACCCTGGGGCTGGTTGTTTTTTTGAGTCCTTGGTGAATGCAGATGAAATGACAGGAAAATTCATGTCATAGGGTGACTTTAGTACTCTGAATGGTTCAAGTGGCTCTGTTTCTATTGAATTTTTCACATAATAACTTTAATTTTCTACTTTATTTGCATGCATATGCCTGGCCAGACTCCCAACAGCTGAGTTCTTTCAGATAATCAGCAAGAGTATCTTGGAACAATTGGCAATTGCATGGAAATTCATGTTTTGAAAAGTGAGTAATTATATGCACAGGTATCTAACAATATGTGTACTGAAGTACTCATTTGAAGCGATTATGAATAACTGCCCCAAATTGCCCTGAGCGTTTCTCTCCTGAATGCTCCACAAGTTGAGTTTGAAGTGCAACGCAAGCTTAGCTTCAAGGCCTCCTTTTGTTTACTGAAGCCTGCTGAAAATGGTTCCTCTGCGCTGTCACAGTGCACATACTCCTGCCTTCTCTTCCTGCACATTGAAGCTTGTTTATTCTTCACAGCACACTTCAGTGTCTCACCTTGTCTCCTCCTGAAACATTTCTGTCTTTGTGAAATCTCATTTGAGTATTTCTTAGTATGACATGCTGTCTTGCTGCACATCCGTATTTTGGCACAGTTTGTCATTCTAAAATAGGCTATTCTTAATTTAGCTTTAGCTTTTCTTCAGTGTTTTCATTTAATTTCCTATCAATTGTATTACCTATCAGAAAGTTGGTAGAGATGTTAAAAATAAATTATTTGAAACAGGTGTCTGTAAGATTGAGATGCATACACTCCCCTGGCCTTTTGCACTTTTTTATTCTTTACTTTTCCTTTCTTCTAAACCCAATCTGTTTTTACATAGGCAGTGCTTCATTGCACCCGAGCCCCACCTAAGTCCCACCTGAGTCTCTTTTGTGCTTCTTTTCCTAGGTGTAATACACTAATTATGGAGATTATCAACAGAGATGGAAACACCGCTTGTCTCCTTTTATTTTAATTCTGTAATTTTTTTAAGCATCAGGTCTCCTCTGCAAAGGCAATAGTTAGTCTTTGTGGAAATGGTCTAAAATCCCTTAAGGAAAACAAAGCTGGGGGACTTGCTGTTCTGCTGGGAATGTTACAGCCTTTCATGATCTAGAGTCAACAATGCCAATGGACAGGTGGTTTTGAAACATCTGGAATCTGATGAACTCTTTGCTCTTCTTTCCATGCCTTTTATGGATTTGTGTGAGTATATGCTGGCAGGTCACAGTGAGTTATAAAAATAAAGATATGGTTAGCATAAGAGAAAGATTGTGGAAATAAATGAAGTAAAAGCTACTGAAATCCCAGGTTCAATGTGCAACATTTTTGAAATGCTGAAGGTAAAATAAGACCACAACTTCCTAGGGTTTACATTAGGATTTTTTTTCTAAATTTGTGTTTTCTTATTTTACTGTCTCTGATTTTTCATCTTTGTTTCCCCTAGTGGTCACTGAACAATTTTATTTGCAGTCATCACAAGCCCATCAGTGGGAGGTTTAATTTCTTTGTTTTTCATTTCCTGTATCATATATTAAGTCTTCCAATTCTAAGGATGAAGCAAAGTGTCAGATAAGGCCTTGGTGACAGAAAATTTGAAAATCTCTTGTTAGAACTAAATGAAGAAAATCTTCCAGGGATTTCAGGCGATTTCATAGAGGACAAGGATTATATAGCAGAGAAATAAGATTTTGATTGACCACCTGAAAAACAAATAAAGATATTGCAAACATTTCAAAATTTTTTAAAAAAAATAAACCTCTGATTGAATTGTTTGGTTAGGGTGTAGGAGATTTGATGATCATGACGAGAGAGAAAAGGATTTTGGTGGAAAGCTTCCATGTTGAAGTGGAAAGAGTCAGCTACAGTGAGTGTTTATGCTTTACTCATATATGTAATGAGGATTCAGAATAATGCCTGGAATATGGCTGTGACTTAACACATGTTGCTTGAATGAATGCCTGTTAGATTAAGAGGGTGTTCACAGGACTGCATATTGCATTCTTCTGACCCTGAATATCCCTGTTATTACCACAGTCTTAACAATTTGGGCACTCTCTTTTTGGACTTTCTGGCTTACAATCTCTTCTGATTCTATTTTGCTTTCTTCTTCTGAACAGATAGAGCTTCCTAGCTTATTTTCTCATCCTGATTTCCTCAACCTTTAAAGGCGCCACAGTACCTCAAGAAAATAAATTCAGGCTTCTTCCTGAACTTCAAACTATAGTTTGAATTATTTCCATCTATATGATCCATTGCTATGTTATTCTTCCAAAAAGCTCTATACTCCTAGTCTAGTAGATTTTCTATTGCCTTCTATACATTGCCATCTTTTTAACTTATTCCACTTGAAACAGTGCCTCATACAGTTTTCTCCTTTTATCTAATCACTTCAAAGAACAGCTTAACTGCATTGTCTTATTAAAACCTTCCTAGTCATCTCAACTTGCCTTAGAAACATTTCTCTGAAGTCTAAGCTCCTTACTGCCTTTAGTACTCTTTGTGGTCACTTTTATACACATATGTGTTCTACCTTCAAAAAACTTAACTACTTATGGAACACAATTCTCAAAGCAGTTGACTGCTTTAGGAACTTGCAAAAGCTTTTCCATAGTAGATATACAAAAAAGGTTCATAATGATGATAGATACTAAAATAATGGTGCCTTTTATTAAAAAAAAGTTGAAACTGGTTTGTTTTCTTTGTGAGCATTTTCAGTCAGTTTTAGTATGAAATTCACTTGAATTCATTGAATTACACTATGTTGACAACCAATCAAAATGTATCAGATGAGTTGACTTTGGAAATTCTCATACTGTAAATGCACCAGGTTCGTTGTCTGGTGCATGCACGACAATACACCAAGATACTTGCAGCAAAGAGGTTTAATCATAAGGCAGCCAAATGAGGAGATGGTAGGAAACCTCAAATCCACCTTTCCGAGTAGTTTGGGGATAGAGATTTTATGGGGTTTGGATGAGTAGTGGGCTGAGGTGCGGGGATCATTTATTATTGGAAGAGTACAGGGTGAAATCATAGAGTGAGGAGATGAAGAAACTGGTTCATTTCCTCTGTGAGGGTATCTTGTTGGTATCAGCTATTCCACTGGAACTTAGGATCTGAAAAACATCTTAAGCAATCCTTCAACAAAAGCCTTATAACGTGAGAGGTTCTATCTATAGGAACAATGGGGATGCAAATGTTCAGTACCTAGTGTGTGTGATTTTTGGTTACCAAGCAGCGGCAAGGAAGTGGGTTAAGGTGCAACCTAATTAATGCTTAACTATAACTTTATTTCTGTCCAGAACCCAGCATGTAATTCTTATTGACTCTGTGGGGACAGTTTCAATATTGAAAGCTCACTACATAGGTTCATTCAATTGATGAAAACTAATTTCACATTAAAATACTTATATTTACATTTTTTAGGTATATTAGGGCATACTCCAGTTTTATCTTCATTTACATAAAATGAGATGTGCCTTTACTGTAAATTGATATTTTCCCTAATGTATGCCGATAGTGGCCTGACTGATAGTTTAACTAAGTAGACAAAGGGCAATATTTTTGATTTATTGGAGACTAACAACTGTCAAAATATGAGTAATAAACGACTGGCAATCAGAAAGCAAGCATATTATGAAAGCATAGTGAGGTTTTACTTAATACCATGGAATACTTTATTTCCTGCTACAAGATAGTTATATCAGGACAGGTTAATATGTATTTATCTATCTTGCTCTTATACCAAAAAATATTAAGGTGGTGACTGATAAAAACACAACGTGTGTATGAATAGAAAGTAAATGTAACTTGCATGGATTCTGGAACCAGACTACATAGGCTGAAATCCCATTGCACTATGGCTTATTTGGAAAGTTACTTAACATCTCTGTAGCTCAGTTCACTCATCTGAAAAATAGGGGACCTGAAGAGTACCTACTCATAAAATTCTCGTGAGGACTAAAAAATAAATTAGCATTTGCAAAATGCTTAGAATAGTGCCTAGCACAACATATAACTTTTTGTTAAATAACATTATTGAAACTACCAGAAAGAAGACTTATTTACATACGGGACTTATTCACATAATGGGACAACAATTAAACTGAGTGGTGACTTTGCAATAGCAGCAAAAGTTGCTAGAAGACAATTATTTAATAACTTGAAGTTCTGAAGGAAAATGTGGGTCAAACTAGAGTTCTATATATAGCTAAACTGTAATTGAAAAATGAGGTCTGTGGTAAAATAAAGAATATGTTCTGGTTTTTATCCCAGTTTCTGACAAAGAGCTTCAAAAACCCTTGGAATTTCTTGAGTGTTGGAGTATCTTTTATGACTTATTCATAAGTACCTCTTTCCAGCACACCTGAGTTTATACCAACCAGGTGATAAGTAGTGCGCCCTTTTATAGTTTCAAGGAAGGGGCAAGCACTCCAGAAAGACCTAGCATGTGATTAGAGGGTGGGAAATTTCAGTCTCACCCCACAGCAGAGAGGGTCTGGAGAAAATGATTTCCTAAGACCAAGACCTCACACTCGATACACAAAGCTCGAAGAGCTTCCTGGTTGGCGAATACATAGATGTGCTGGGAGGGAGAGCACCCTGACTCCATGGGGAGAGGTCATGGGAGCTCTCCATTTGTCAGTTCCTAATTCATATCCTTTATGATAAAACTGGAATTGTAAGTATAGGGCAGTGAATGCTGGAAGTCCTTTAAGATGATTAACAATTCTGAGGAGGTCATGAGACCCCCTGAATTTATAGCTGGTCAGAGGTGTGGAAACTCCCCAGGAGCTGCAACTGGCGTCTGAGGTGGGACTCCTCTTCACCTCTAGAATCTGTGCTAACTCTAGATAGTTAGCATCAGAATTGGGTTACATCGCAGGACATCCAGTTTATGTTAGAATTCGTGTCAAAATAAGGTCAAATAAACAGAACTTGTAAAGAAAGCAGAAAACTTACCATCTGTGCAA
Source organism: Homo sapiens (assembly GCF_000001405.40). Classification (NCBI taxonomy): domain Eukaryota; kingdom Metazoa; phylum Chordata; class Mammalia; order Primates; family Hominidae; genus Homo; species Homo sapiens. Next base: position 153,800,387 of record NC_000006.12, on the reverse strand, counting down.
GCTTATTTAAAAATTCCACCCAAAGAGGTATTATAGCAAGAGATAAACCCAAAGTAAAAAAGGAGCTGTATGTAGAAGATAATATAAATCAAATACAAAGCATGACTTTTTTTTTTTTTTTGGTAATTCTAGTTAACTCGATGAATAAAAGCAAAAATTTGTTTTGTGCTACAAAATAACATTAATTAAAATTTTAGATACTAGTAAAGATGTAGGAATGCAGTTCTGAATGTGTTTAAGCCAGATAATAATGTCCCTGCTTTGATTAGGAAGAGGACAGAGATTTCAATTAATTTTAGATTTTACTTAAAAAAAAGATATTTATATCTCTACCCATAAATGAATCTATCTATATTAGAGTCATGAGGATAATCATGAAAGCCATAGAAACTAATTATATTACTTCCAAAATATAGAAGGAAAGGAGATTAAAGGATACTTTGAATCTTCAACTTAAAAATGACCAGGGAAAATCAAACAAAATGAAATGTATGCTAAATAAGAACACAAAATAGGGTTGTATAAATTCATGTACCTCAGTTATGTTAATAAATATAAACAGTTTAAACCCAATGATTCAAATATGGAAATCTTATGGCTTATTTTTAAAAAGTCAATCATGTTCTGCTTTCAAGAAAACAAAATCAGAAAAAAAGATTTTTGTCACGTAAAAAAAGATTTTACATGAAGTGTGAAAAAATACACAAAGCAAACAGTGACCGAAGATGAACTTGTATAGCTATATTAATTTCAGATAAGAGAATTTAATGCAAAATGTATTAATAAAAATAATAAATATTACAGCTTAAAGTTCACAGAATCAATCCGCTGAAAACTTGCTTCAGGTACATTTGGTCACCTAGTGGGCCATTTAAACATTTTATGAAGGGATTTTGTTCCATTGTTATTTTCAATGCATGTTTTCTGTTTTCCATGCAAGAGGGCTGATGTTATAACAGTAGATTATTATGCTACAGTGAATTTTCACCAGGTAAAGAAAGCTTTTTGTAGTTTGAATCTTCTGAGAATATCAAAGAAAGACTGTCCTTGCCATCCACACTACAACAAAACTTTGGCACCTTGAACTGTGGGTTCATAATCTCATAATTGAGAAGGGCCCCTCCACACTCTTGAAATTATGCACCCATTGGAACCCTTAAGGTAAAACTAATCAGGGAAGTTTCTCACCAGAGGAGAATGGCATCCTTGATGTGAACAGCTTTTCCCAAGTTCACAGATTAAGGCTTCTACTATCATGAAACTCTTATCTTTGAATATTTTTTCTTGCTTATGCCTCTATGAACAATAAAAATGGAAAAGGGGTCAGTTATGTGCTCTTACGGGGTATGCTTTTATTTGTGAAACAGTTTGCAGCTGGCCTTATACATGGATAATCTTATACTTTGATAGATAAAAGATGAAAGCCCGATGTAGGTAAGAAACTTGAATGGTACATACGTTGTCTGATTATCACTCAGAAACAAAACACTAGTTCCCTCCTCTTAACCATATCATAGTTCCAAAAGGGTATCATTTGTTAGGTTCTTTATCCATGGTTTAAATTAAAAGAAGCAATGATTAGAAATGTATTTCTCATGATAGGCTCTATAGCAAATTCTACTGTAAAGGACACAACTTTAAATTCTCTTGTGAAAGTTATTAGAATTGGCTGAGCAGAGAAATATTTGTGCCGCTGCTGGCACTCACGGCCTATGGAAAAAACATTGGATATTACAGAAATTCAGTTGTAGCAGATTAATGAAGAAACTGCTTAGTTAAGTCATTCTTTGATCTTTTTGATTTTAGGAGGTTTGTTTTATGGGGACCTTGGGTAAGGAGCATACTATGAACTCTTGGTATTATCCTCCCAATAGTCATAATAATAGTATCCCGAGTGCGCTGGATTCTCTCAAAGGTGTAAATGCTTGCATGCAGCCATCTCTAGAATGTCATATGGTCTCTCTTCAACGAGAATGACAGGAACTGAAAGAAATGTACAACCATGCGGACACTGTAACTTATAAATGATGTGCTGAGACCAAAAACCCAAAATGATGGTAACTGAGAGTGGCACTACGGCCCTAAGTTTGGTCACACTCTCACCTAAGTGAGAATCTAACCATAAAGCGGGGATTTTTTTAAACGAAATTCTGGGAGGCCATTGTTTGGGACTGAGCTCATGCCCTAGGCCCCAACAAACCAAACCAAACCAAAATGGAGTCACTTGTGCTAAGTTTAAGGAAACACATAGTTTCTAGAACACACCACAAACCAGGTTTTGCTTTTCTCCTGCAAATCTCTGTAACAAATATTCTTAACAGCATAGTTATCCACCCCCTGAAGTTCCCATTAGGTCTTTTTTGTTTGTTTGTTTGTTTTTTGAGACAGAGTCTCACTCTGTTGCCAGGCTGGAGTGTGGTGACACGATCTCAGCTCATTGCAACCTCCACCTCCCGGGTTCAAGCGATTCTCCTACCTCAGCCTCCTGAGTAGCTGGGATTACAGGCACATGCCACCCAGCTAATTTTTGTATTATTATTATTATTATTATTATTATTATTATTTATTTTTTATTTTTTTTAGTGGAAATGGCGTTTCACCATGTTGGCCAGGATGGTCTCAATCTCTTGACCTCATGATCTGCCCTCCTTGGCCTCCCAAAGTGCTGGGATTACAGGTGTGAGCCACCGCTCCTGGCCTAAATCTTTTAACTAAATTCATTTTCTTTCACTTAGAGACCATCAAGCTTCACGTGATCAAGCAACAAAGGTTTCAGCCAGTTCCAGGTAAAAGCACCACCCCTGCTCATCAAGAAAGCACTACCCAGGCCACCACCCCTGGCTCTGCCTCCACTAGACAGAGCAGGGAAAGAGTTCCGTTCCATGATCCCCAGTAGGTAGGGACTATGCCCCATGCCAGCATGGAGCAGTTACAGAAGAAAGATCATCGGTTCTTCTGCGTCCCATAACGATTTATGGGGATCACATTTCTCACAGGAGATGAGGCAGGAAAATAGGGTCTGGAGGCAGGGAACATAAGGTCAATCCACACCTCAGCAATGACAGGAAATATCCTCTCCATAGGGCGTAGGCCAAATAAATGACTTTATAGCTTTACTTCATCCTCTTCATTCACATAGGGCATACCCAAGTACCCAAAAGAATCCTCTAGAGGGTAAACTTCCGAAAATTTTGTAACGGGGCCCTCGAGCCCCTATGCTTGGGCCTGCTCCCACCCTCTGGAGTGTACTTTCATTTTCAATAAATCCCTTCATTCCTTCCTTGCTTTGTTTGTGCATTTTGTCCAATTCTTTGTTCAAGACACCAAAAACCTAGACACTCTTCACCGGTAACAATCTGATGAAACAAGGATAAAGAACTAAGTACTGTTACGTCATCTACAGAAATGGAACACTCTTTCCCTTTGTGCCTAGCTGGGGTACTATTAAACTCTTTTCTGCCAATATCCTGCACAAATAATGTGGGATAAGGGCAGAAGGCTTTTTGGTATAGCCTTACTCTTGAGAGGAGGTCCATCCACCATGAAGTTCTTTGTAATTGTTAACTGTCTACCTAGTGAGCTTTGACTAAAGTTATTGCATTTGTAAATAAGACAAATATATATTGCTTACCACTCCTATTTGTTTGCTAACCAACAGAGTCATATAAGATAGCTGAGTAGAAGATGGTGCCAGTGTTTGAAGGGTTCACACCTTGTGAGTACCCTCCCCTTTTACCTGACATTACTTAGCTTAGGAAATTCCATAAAATCAGGAAACCTTCTTGGAGACACCACTGGACAACTGTACACCTGCTGGGAGAACAGCTCCCAATGGTCCATCCTGAGCTCTTCATTTATTTCTGATGCAAGTCCATGTCTTTGAGTACACCTTCTTTTAAGTCATTAGGATAAACTTAAACACTCCTGAACAATGCAAGCGTATCGTTGTTGATACTGTCTTATTTATTTAAAGGTTAAGATCATCTTTTACATATATGTTATCTCATTTAATACTTATGTTTATTTGGGGTATTATTAAACCCATTTCATAGGTGGGGAAGGCAGTAAAGAAGGGTAAAATTGTGTTTTCCATATCACACAACTCGTTAGCAGTGCTGCCAGGATCAAAACCCAGGTCCATCTGATTTCAAGGTCAGAGTGTCATATCCTCTGTAGAAAATGATAAATATAGGACAAGAGATGGACAAGATCATCAATTCTAGAAGGGCTTCCATGACTTTCTAAATATGACAAGCCAGTGCTTGAGCCCTTCCCATGGCAAAGAACTATTTCACATGGGAGTTCATTTATTTGTTGAACTCCTCTAATAATTTAGAAGTTCCACCGTATACTACCTTCAAATCTTCCTCCTTATAACTTCTAACTTTTCGGCATTGTTTTTCCCAATAGAAAATTTCATCTTGCTTTCCCTGAACATGATAATTTAGTTTTGAACCTGTATGGGGCTCTATATAAAACCCTATTAAATAATAGTTACAGCACTTTAGAATGATATACTTTGACATTGAGAAATGAATTTCATATTAAAGTCTGTATTTTGTTTTATTAAAAATTTAAATAGCAATCTCATCTGAATGTCCTTCAAAATAAAAATTAAAATGTAGCTTATAATAAAATCAGACTTTTTTCAGGCTGTGAAAGTCATTAAAACCATATCTTACTTCATTACATTATTATAAGAGTGACTTTCAACGCAGGAAGTTAAAGTATAATTAGCAATGTGCATTTTGGCATTACTTTTGAACATATTATTTTATTTCTTCTACATATTGTAAATTTCAAATGTCCAGGTAAAATTTTGCATTTTATTTCTAGAAACTGACTGAACAACAATACAAAAGATAAACCAAAATAGTACTAGTTGTTCAGATTTTTAAGATGCCCAGTTTCTCTTTTCTTTTCTTTCTTTTTTTTTTTTTTTGGAGACAGAATCTTGCCGCATTGTCTAAGCTGGAGTGCAGTGGCGCGATTTCTGCTCACTACAATCTTCACCTCCCCAGAGTAAGCAATCCTCTTCACCTGAGCCTCCTGAGTAGCTGGGACCACAGGCGTGTGCCACCACACTCAGCTAATTTTTGTATATTTTGTAGATCAGGGTTTCCCCATATTGCCCAGAGTGGTCTCCAACTCCTGGATTAAAGTGATCTGCCCGTCTCGGCCTTCCAAAGTGCTGGGGTTACACAGGAGTGAGCCACTGCATCCAGCCTATATTTTATATATATATATATTTTAATAAAAGAAGCATACAGCTAAGATGACATGCATAATTTGGGGGTAAAATGGTATTAGATGTGATGGAATTAAACCTAACCTGCTTGCCTTCCTTCCTCCCCTTCCTTCCCTTCCATCTCCTTCTCCTTCTTCTCCTTTCACTTTTTTCTCTTCCTGCTCCGTTTTCTTTTGCATAGCTTTATAGCTTAATCTGAGAACCCAGATCATCTTTCTTGCTCCATGTCTTTTTCAGTGTGTATGAATTAAGCAGAATATAAACATCCCCCTAAATTGAACAAGTACTTAGTTGGAGATCATTGAAAAATTCTGAATTTAATGATTTAGTCAGTTTTTCTGGTCACCCTCAATTATCACTTATCCATAGAGCAGCAATTTGTTAAGTAAATGCAGTCAGATTTTGGCAGTTGCCAGACCTCTATTTTTTCTCAAATTGACCTCTGGATAAAGTCAGATGAAGTATAAATTGAAGACTCCTCAATATTTTAGAAATTGCTCTTCTCTGCAGATTTGCATTAGAGACCATGTCCATTTATAGAAAAGGATAAATTGATCATTTTATGCATTCATTTTTTGTCATTTGTACTCTGTAATATTGGTAAAACTTAGTTGTCAACCATATTAGTACAGAATTTGAAATAAATCTTTTTCCTAAGGTTAACTTAACTGTTAGCTTTATATATATATACACACACACACATATATATAATATATATGTGTAAAATACATATACACACATAATGTAGGCCATGTGAATAACTTCATAAGCACATTTTTACATTTTGACTGAGAATATACTCTTTAAGTACTCATAAAGCATGATTTTTGTCAAATAGCCCATTTGCTAAACCTTTACAGGCACTATTTGCACATGGCAAGGCATTCTAAGACCAGATCGCAAACTCCAGTTTTGCAATTACTTGGTATGTAACCTTGGCCAAGTCCTTTATGCTCTTTGTGCCTTTGTGTGTTCCTCTGTAAAATTAGGCTAATAATAACTATTCTATTTAAATCACAAGAGTATTTAATGGATACAGTCAGATGACAAAGTATAATTTAAGTTGAAAAAACTAAGAAAATCTTAAAAATCATTATCTTTATTATATCACATTGAACTCAGTTGAGGTCCTGCAATTTTGTTAGGCTGCTATCATGTGGCAGGCATGTGGTTTAAGCCATGTGTGTGTTAGGACCACATAAATGTAATGAATGCCTACAAGAAACTAGGAACAGTACTTGCAGCTATGGGGCACAGCTTAATCAGACATGGCTTCTGGACACATCATAATCTACTAGGGAGATAGACATAAGCTTGTAAAATGTGTTATGATGAAGGCTTAAAAAGTGCAGTGGAGAGCAAGGAAGGAAATGTTTAATTATTTCCAGTGAGATGTGAGAAGATGTTGTGAAGAAAACAGGGTTTGTACTTAAAAAGTAGGTATAGCTGACAACTGATATTTATAAATAGAAAGGAAAGAAGACTTAGGTTGTTCTTCTGTTAATATTTAAAAATTCACGTAGAAACTAAAAGTTAATTAAATATTAATGATGATATTTAAGAGCAAATTTAATAGAAAATTGCCAAAAACATAATTACACGTCTTCCCCAATATTCAAATGTGTTTTTCTTTGTCAACTCTTCTAGAAGGTCAGATTAGTCAGGAGTTCTGTCTTGAGCACTTCCTCAGGACTCATAATTGTCAAAATGTCCCAAAAGGGATGACTCTGTCTTTGCTACATGTTGGCAAGACAAGCCACCTTAGCTTGTGAGATTTCCAACCTTTCTGCAATTAGAACTCCTGCTTCTTCTACACTTGAAAGAGGCAGACAAGTCCAAGAGCAGCGAAATTCAATAAAATTATGTGACGAGTAGTTGCAAGTTTCCAATCAATGGCTCTGTTTTTCCCCCCAAAGAGAAAGAGGTGTTTTTCTGACACTGATGTTAGGGGTTATTTATTTATTACAAATTCGGGGTAACATGTGTAGCTTTGTTACACGGGTATGTTGCATAGTGCTGGGGTTTGGACTTCTAGTGAACCCATCACTCAAATAGTGAAGATAGTATTTGATAGGTAGTTTTTCACTCCTTATCTGCTTTTCTCCCTCCCCTCTTTTGGAGTTCCCAGAGTCCATTATTTCCATCTTTGCTTTAGCATAGCCAATGGAAACATTGGCTTTGAATAGCTGTCTCACTTGAGTCACCCTTTTAGTAGTGTTTGCAGCAATGTTTCCATTATAAACAAAATTAGTGAGAATTATGTCTTTCAATATCAAACCACATTGGCTCAAATTTAATCCTTTAGGGAAGTATGTATTTTTAAATGTTAAATTTAGTATGAATACATTTCAGGAAATCTGGGAATGGCAAAAATAAATTATCCCAGTCCCATTCCAAATACTGTTGGTATTTGTTGTCCATCTTTTTCCCTTTTTTCCAATATGACTGATTATATATTGGCCTGCCTGCCACTGTATCTATTCTTTACAGTCTATCAATGGCATCACAGTTATATCTTTTGTTCTGTTTATATAATTATCAAGGTATCCAGCTTGGATTTTTATAAAGTCTTAATAATTATGGGTTGCTATAGCTATATCTTTTTAAAGAGTGAATATACTATATAATTGTTAATGCAATGCCATACTGTTAGATTTTTAGGCTGATCCTAGAGTTTTTTGTTGAATCATAAGCATACTTATATGAAAGTATTTATACATGGAACTTTGATGAAATATTTGGGTAAAAAGGTATGGACAATTCCACAGTTCTGGATTACACAGATGCAACATCAAAAAATTTTGACATTCTCAGTTTTTCTGTTATAATCCTTGGTTTCCTTGTTAAGTGATCAGCAAAATGCTCGTCAGTTATGTATGGTAAATTACTTACTTTCTGGCTCCTGAATTTGGGAGGTTATGTAACCTGGAAAACCTCGGTTTCCTCACATGAAAACTTAGAATAATACTACCTTCTAGAAAAGTACTGATATAAAAAATAGTATGTGTAGTAAATCTTCTAGAACATTGCCTATTTAATGAGCACTCAATTGATAGATGTTAGCATTAATTTGTTTCAGCTTGCTTTTTGTAATAATAAGAGTGATGCTAAATTTCTTCTGAAACATTTGGAGGTAATTTGGATTTTTTATTGTCCTATGCACATTCAAGTCTATTTTCTCATGCCTAAGTGACAGTGCTAGAAGTAGGCAGCAGCATCAGATGCAGTCCCTGGGGTGTCCTGAGTAAAAGTCTTCCTACCTAGGATGTATTGGCTTAGTCTCTGGTTTTAGTAATTCCATTGATGGACCATGGCTCTTTCAGTGATTGGTTTGGCCTTTCAAAACTGATGGTAACACTATTATTATTCAACTATTTAATACTACCATTTTAATAAGGGAAGCATTTCATATTCTCCACTTTGATAACTCATCTGCAATTGTACAGTCACCTTTTGAGACTACTTAAGATCTACTTAGAATAAGAAAAAAAATGTCCTTTTTGTGGCCAGCCTCAGATACAGAGGTTCAATCCTAGGGCTCATGACCATCTCTCATTTTCTTACAAAGCGCTGCTTTGCCCTGCTTCCTCTTCTTTGTGTTTGGTATCTGTGATAGCTTCCTGGCAGAGAAATCCTGGTCTGATGGTTAATTTTATGTGTCAACTTGGCTGGGCCACAGTGTCTAGATATATGGTCAAATGTTCTGAATGTTTCTGCAAGGGTATTTTTTGGATGAGATTAACATTTAAATTGGTGGACTTGGAGCAAAGTAGATTGTCCCCCACAATATGAGTGGGCCTCATCCAGTCAGTTGAAGGGCTGAAAAGAACAAGACTGGCCTCCCTCAAACAAAAGGGAATTCTGCCAGCAGATGGCAGACTTTAGACTTGAACTGCTACATCAACTCTTACATGGGTCTCCAGCCTGCCAGCCCACCCTGCAGATTTTGAACCTGACAGTCTCCATAATTACATAAACCAGTTCCTTGTAATAAATCTTTCTCTACACAACACATGTCCTATGAATTCTGTTTCTTTGAAGAACCCTGACTCATACAATCACTAATGGAGGGAACACGTCTCATGATTGAGTGCCTTGTCCAGAAACTTCTTGGACACACCCCAAAAGCTCTCTTTTTGGCTGCCTGTTCTATTTGTTTGATAGCTCTGCTGCTGGATCTTGGGGAGGAGGACAGTGGAGAGACAAATGAAAAAATAAACTTTTGCTCCTTGGTAATTGAATCATGGGGGTGGGTCTTTCTCATGCTGTTCTCATAATAGAGAATAAGTCTCATGATGGTTTTGCAGAGGGCACTTCCTCTGCCCATGTTCTCTTGCCTGACACCATGTAAGGATATGCCTTTGCTCCTCCTTCACCTTCCACCATAATCATGAGGCCTCCCCAGCCATGTGGAACTGTGAATCCATTAAACCTCTTTTTCTGTATAAATTACCCAGTCTCAGGTATGTCTTTATCAGCAGCATGAAAACGGACTAATACGTTCCTTTAGTGGCGTGTATATGAGGCATCTGGAGACCGCTCTGTCACTTTCCTTCTGAATGAGGAAATTTCAATGGGTACTGCATTGAGTAGACCTCCAGAGGAGAAAATTTTTCTCTTATTCTTCTGCCTCCTCAACTTTAACTGAACCTCCAATTTATTCTAGAAAAATTGCTGATCAAATTCGTCCAATTCGAGTACATTGAATAGAATATATTTTCCAGAAGACTAATGTTGTGTGTGAAAGGGTCAGGAGAATGTGACTCATCCTCTCTGTCTTCTCTCTTTTGTGTATGCAGCTGCAGAGGGAGTTGACTCGTGATTGGCTCTCTTCCAATCTAGAGTTCAGATTCCAGACCCATGAATTCCAGAACAGGAAGCTCAGTCACAACCTCTGTGCTGTGAATCACAGGGCTGCTGTTCCTCCTGAGGCCTCCGGGGACTGCTAAGGAGGCAGACTCTCGGAGGCCCGTCTTCTGTGTGCACCCTGCTGGAGTCTGGCTGCAGTGGTCCAGCAAGGGGGGGTGCTGACCCTCTCCCGACCACCCTTGCACTGTTTGTCACCTGCACCCCGAAGCAGGGTTCTTCAGTTTCTGCCAGCATTCTATGCTGCTTGGTCCAAGCCCCTTCCTTCCTCCTCCCGGTCTTATTTGCTGTTCTGTTGCAGCATGCATCCATTGATACATCATTGATTTTTCTTAATCCAACCTCATCTGCTCTAGAATATGGATTTTTTTTTCCTGTCAGATTTTTGGGGAAAAAACAAATGTTGCATGTTATCCGTAACCTCTGAAACTATTGTGACTTGTTTGTCTCTCTGCTTGCCTTCATGAGGGGAATGGGAGGCGGCACTCATTAGAAATGGCTAGGCCGGGCACGGTGGCTCACGCCTGTAATCCCAGCACTTTGGGAGGCCGAGGCGGGTGGATCATGAGGTCAGGAGATCGAGACCATCCTGGCTAACAAGGTGAAACCCCGTCTCTACTAAAAATACAAAAAATTAGCCGGGCGCGGTGGCGGGCGCCTGTAGTCCCGGCTACTCGGGAGGCTGAGGCAGGAGAATGGCGTGAACCCGGGAAGCGGAGCTTGCAGTGAGCCGAGATCGCGCCACTGCAGTCCGCAGTCCGGCCTGGGCGACAGAGCGAGACTCCGTCTCAAAAAAAAAAAAAAAAAAAAAAAGAAATGGCTAGCCGTTCTACCTGGGTTCTTTCTGTTACTGATAAACTCAGGGAAGATTTCTCCTTCCCAAACTGAGTAATGTTAGAGTGACTCATATTTTCCTATGGTTGAACTAAAAATATAATTTACAGTTTGAATTGGGTATTAATTTAAATATTGATGTAAATTTTTAATATCACTTACCTATACATCAACCAGCCTCAGCTCCAGGAGAACAAAAGAGTTTTCACATAAATCCACTCTAATGAACTGTTTATGAAGCCAAGAATGGTAGTGGTTATAATTTAATCTTCCCTTTGTGTTCCCTATTTTTTTCCTCTCTCTCTAAAATCAAGTAATAGAAAAAAAAAAGGAAATTGGAAAAGAAAAAATAGACTGGTAGATATCAAAAAGAGAAATGAGACTTAAAAACCAGAAAAAGAAAAAACGAAAATAATCACAACATTAGTTGTGGGAAGTACAACACTATTGTCTGGTAGGTCCCATAGAAACCATAGTATCTGCAGTAGAAGTTTTCTATTTCTAGTTTAGTCAATGAATCTTTTATTGGCTATAAACTTTTCAGAGGTTTTGAGAAGTAAGCAGTAATACTGACTAATGAATAATTTTCAATTGCATATTCTCCAATACCATATCAATTTGCTGTTTCATTAATTATGGAACTAATCTGAAACAACTATTTTTAAAAATGTTGCTACTGAGCGTTTTTTGTTCCAGTCAGCTCATCTCTTTCTGAAAATTAGATTTCTTCCGTTTAAAAAATAGTCTTAACAGTAAGCATTCTCAACACAGCATGTTTCTACATAAAATGCTAGACTCTTCTCCGTTCTTAGAAACAGTTGTAAATTTAGATTTAGAATGTGACATAACCTTAATAGCAGCTCCAATTGGTCCAACCTTTAGTTGGAACTGAGAATGTAGTTTAAGTCAAACATTATTGATTCTCAGTTTAGTTTTGTTCTTAGGATCCTCTTAAACATTCTGAATGTATTAGAAGAAAATACGTAAATATGAACAAGACTGCCTTGATTTTAAAAAGTATAGTGAGATACTGTCACCCAGAGAAATGTTTTTCAGAGGACTAAATTTTCCTGAAAGGTAATTTTGTTAGGAGACATGCCTATAGTAAATTAGAAGATAATGAAAAGAGGTAGACAGACAAGTTCAAAGTTTGTTATCACTTACTGCTCATTTGACTTTGGGAGAACCACTGTGTGGATTTCCTCATGAGTAAAATCAAGTATGCCGTGCCCTCTTTTATAAGGATTTTGTAAGAAATTAAGTTAAAAAAGTATGAAGCGCAATGTCACAAAACTTGGCACGCAGTAAATAATAATAGATCATAATGTAGTTGCTTTTATTGTTTAAAATAGCATGCATTTCTCTGCAACAGTAAACTGAATACAATTAATATAAATTTGCTTTTTTTGGTGAAACCTCTAAAATTATTAGACAGTTTTGAGCTAGTTGCTTCCATTGGTGGTTCAGAGGAGTGAGTTGGGGAGAGAGAGTATGGCTCCCCTGAAACCTCCAAAATACACATATCATCTAAGTAGAAACAGCAGACAGAGACTGTTCCCTGCCACAATGGAGTAACTGGAACCAGACTTACTATTCCACTATGAACAAGTAGAAAACTACAGAATATATGTGGCAACCATTTTTAGACATCGGACAACCAGCAGGTCAGGACTGTGATCCCTAAGAGCAGGGAAGCACGGAGAACTTGGAGGCACTTTCCCAGTGGGGATGCAGGGAGGAAATTCTGAACAGAGTAAGCGTTGCAGGACTTTTCCTTAGTTCAGCTGAAGACAGGGTTCTTGTCCCATGGTCGTGAAAGTTTAGGCTCGCAGACAGTTTGAAGGGTGAGTAAAGCAGGGTTTTTATTGGGTGAAAGGAAAAAAAAAAAGGCAGGGCAGGGAAAAGGACTCTCCTCAAGGCCAGAGTCCCTGCTTGTGCACTTCTTGCCTTGCTGTTTGAATCCCAGGTTCCACACAAGAAGAGGAGGGGTCAGGCTCCTCCCCTGGTACAAAGGGCATGATCTTCTGTGTCTCCACTCCAGTACACAGGCAGGTTGCAGTTTTGCCTGGGAGCCCCTCCCATCTCGCTGTCTCACAAGAGGCCTCACTGAATCAAAGAAACAGAGATCACCCAGGCGCCCTGGCTCATGCCTGTAATCCCAGCACTTTGGGAGGCCGAAGCGGGAGGATCACCTTAAGTCGGGAGTTCGAGACCAGCCTGACCAACATGGAGAAACCCCATCTCTACTAAAAATACAAAATTAGCCGGGCATGGTGGTGCATGCCTGTAATCCTACTCGGGAGGCTGAGGCAGGAGAATTGCTTGAACCCGGGAGGCCGAGGTTGTGGTGAGCTGAGATCGTGCCGTTGCACTCCAGCCTGGGCAACAAGAGCAAAACTCCGTCTAAAAATAAATAAATAAATAAATAAATAAATAAATAAATAAATAGAAATAGAGATCACCATTCAGGGAGGCAAAGTGGGATGGAATTTGTAGAACAGTACTAAAGATGACAGAACTATTCAAGAAAATGCACCAGAAATTTGTTTTGATCTCTTAGGTCTGTTTAGCATTCAATAAACAATTCCTGGACATATGACATTTTAAAAGTGTGAGTCATCACCAAGGGTCACTTCCTGAATGAAACTTAAATGACTTCCCATAACTCTAAAAAAACTACTCCAGTCTCAAAAAGTTGACTTTAAATGTAAGCCCTGAATCATCTGTGTGGTACTTGCATTTCTAGCCTCATCCTTAACCAGTATGAAGCAGCCTGGCCACCACTCTCCCTTCAGTGGCTCCAGGGTACTAAAGTTATTGCAGGTCTTCAAATGGCCCATTCTGTTTTTCTTGATTCCATGTCTTTGAACATCCTCTTTCATCTGCCTGGATCTCTGGTCTCTCTCTCTCTATTTATCTTACTAAATCCTACTCTTCCTTCAGGTCTCAGTTTTAACATCAGTTCCCTGGTGAGTACTTTTACAGGAAACACAGTTAGTGTTCCCTGCTCTGTGTCCAGAGCTGCTTACTTTCCCTTTCCTAATCTGCTTCACAGTTAATTTAATGTGTCTTCTCCTCCCTGATGGTCAGCAAGCCCAGGGATGTTGGGTCCTGTTCTCTATTGCCTCCAGCACAGTAGCTGGCCCATGATAGGCTCATTGTAAATGTCAGGTGGAGTAAGTGAACAAGCTCAGAGACAGACATTACTCTTGAATGGGAAGAAGGACACTGCTCATTTCTTCCTTTGACTTTTTAGAAAAATTTATTCTAAAAAAAATGTGATACATGTGCAGAATGTGCAGCTTTGTTACATAGCTATACACGTTCCATGGTGGTTTGGTGCATCTACTGACCCATCCTCTAAGTTCACTCCCCTCACCCTCCATCCCCCAACAGGCCCTGGTGTTTGTTATTCCCCTCTCTGTGTCCATGTGTTCTCATTGCTCAAATCTCATTTATGAGTGAGAACATGGCAATATTTGGTTTTCTGTTGCCTGTGTTAGTTTGCTGAGGATGATGGCTTCCAGCTTCATCCATGTCCCTGTAAAGGACATGATCTCATTCTTTTTTATGGCTGCATAGTATTCCATGGTGTGTATATATACCACATTTTCTTTATCCAGTCTCTCATTGATGGGCATTTGGGTTGGTTCCATGTCTTTGCTATTGTAAATAGTGCTGCAATAAACATACAGGTGCATGTGTCTTTATAGTAGAATGACTTATATTCCTTTGGGTAGATACCCAATAATAGGATTGCTGGGTCAAATGGTATTTCCTTCTAGATCCTTGGGGAATTGCCATACTGTCTTCCACAATGGCTGAACTAATTTACACTTCCACCAACAGCGTAAAAGCGTTCCTATTTCTCCACAACCTTGCCAGCATCTATTGTTTCCTGACTTTTTAATGATCGCCATTCTAACTGGTGTGAGATGGTATCTCATTGTCGTTTTGATTTGCATTTCTCTGATGATCAGCGATGTTGAGCTTTTTTTCATATGTCTTTTGGTTGCATAAATGTCTTCTTTTGAGAAGTGTCCATTCATATCTTTTGTCCACTTTTCAATGGGGTTGTTTTTTTCTTGTAGATTTATTTAAGTTCCTTGTAAATTCTGGATGTTAGACCTTTGTCACGTGGGTAGATTGCAAAAAATTTCTCCTTTCTGTAGGTTGCCTGTTCACTCTGATAACAGTTTCTTTTGCTGTGCAGAATTAATTAGATCTCATTTGTCAGTTTTGGCTTTTGTCACAATTGCTTTTGACATTTTTGTCATGAGATCTTTGCCCATGCCTATGTCCTGAATGCTATTGCCTAGGTTTTCTTCTAGGGTTTTAATGGCTTTCGGTTTTACATTTAAGTCTTTAATTCCTCTTGGTTAATTTTTGTATAAGGTATAAGGAAGGGGTCCAGTTACAGTTTTCTGCATATGGCTAGCCAGTTTTCCCAGCACCATTTACTGAATAGGAAATTCTTTCCCCATTGCTTATTTTTGTCAGGTTTGTTGAAGATCAGATGGTTGTAGATGTGTGGTGTTATTTCTGAGGTCTCTGTTCTGCTCCATTGGTCTATATGTCTATTTTGGTATGAGTACCATGCTGTTTAGGATACTGTAGCCTTGTAGTATACTTTGAAGTCAGGTAGCATGATGCCTTCAACTTTGTTCTTTTTGCTTAGGATTGTCTTGGCTATACAGGGTCTTCTTTAATTCCATATGAAATTTAAAATTGTTTTTTTCTAATTCTGTGAGGAATGTCAATGGTAGTTTGATGGGAATAGCATTGAATCTATATATTACTTTGGGCAGTATGGACATTTTCACAATATTGATTCTTTCTATCCATGAGGATAGAATGTTTTTCCATTTGTTTGCATCCTCTCTTATTTCCTTGAGCAGTAGTTTGTAGTTCTCCTTGAAGAGGTCCTTCACGTTTCTTGTTAGCTCTATTCCTAGGTATTTTATTCTCTTTGTAGTGATCATGAATGGGAGTTCACTCATGATTTGGCTCTCTGCTTTTCTATTGTTGGTGTAAAGGAATGCTTGTGATTTTTTCACATCGATTTTCTTTCCTGAGACTTTGCTGAAGTTGTTTATCAATTTAAGGTGGTTTGGGGCTGAGATGATGGGGTTTTCTAAATATACAATCATGTCTTTTGCAAACAGAGGCAATTTGACTTTCTCTTTTCCTATCTGAATACCTTTATTTCTTTCTTTTGCTTGATTGCCCTGGCCAGAACTTCCAATACTATGTTGAATAGGAGTGGTGAGAGAGGGCATCCTTGTATTGTATCAGTTTTCAAAAGGAATTCTTCCAGCTTTTGCCCATTTAATATGATATGGACTGCAGGTTTGTCCCAAATAGCTCTTATTATTTTACTAAAAGCGTTAAAAATGGTGAATGTGGATAATTATGCACATAATATTGTAATATTTCTGGAAAGAAATTAAAACATGGCACTTGATTGGATATGAATGATAAAGATGGGGCTATATATTTTAATAGTCGTTGATCAATAAACATACAATTTGGAGGTTGATTACTTCTATGCTTATTTTGGTAACGTTTGAGCTTTTTTGGTTACTTTTGCACTAGCAGCTCCTCCAGATATTGGTTAATACTCCTTCCTCTCATTAGTTAAACAAAATACAATTCACCTTTAGTATGAGCTGTTTAGAATATTTATTTTACCTCAAATACTTACACAATTTTAATAGCAGGAAAATGTTACACATGTAGAAGTTGGAGGGAAAATTCAGACTAGAAAGTTCTGTTTTGGAAATATTTGTACAGAAATATCTTTCTTAGGACTTTTCCTTAAGAAAATATTTTTGATGGAATGATTTTGGAGAAAATATTTGAGAGTTTTGAAAAATCACATTCTTTATTTAATAATAACAATTTCATAAGTCTGAAATTCAACAGACTGGATTTAGATCTCACATTCATTACCTCACAGACACAAAGGAACCCTTGGTATGCCACTACTTAGTTTATAAATAAATAGTCTTGGGGCACTTTTGGATTAAAACAGAAAAGCTAACTCATTTAATTGCCTTTGTAACATGGTAAGTGTATGTTATCCCCAGGGAATGGCGGTTTTTAGCTGTGCTAGTAATTCTTGCTTATGTATATAGATCAAGAAAATATTTTTGCTGGTTAGATATGTTTCAACTAACAATATATGCATCTCAGACAGTTGGCTTTGTTTATTAATGTTTGTCTTTTAATTTTAGAAACTATAAATCTTTTGAAAGAAGTCTTTCTTGTGTTCCATTTTTCTATTTATACTAAAATCAAAGATCAACATTATTTGCACCAGATTTACACAACTCAAGATTAAATTGAGAAAGCATGGCTATAAATATATTTTTATCTTAAAGATAGCCTATGTTGATATTCTTGGAAGACACTTTAGTTGAAATAAATCTATTTTCTTAGTAGGTTTATTTGCTGTGAGGCAAATATTTTGGCTATTTTCGACATGCAAATGCGTGATCACTAATTGTTCACAAGATTCTCATAGAGCCTTCTGAGGTCATGTTGATACAGTGTTACTGAGAGCTGTATTAACCAAATTCACCATTAAATATGTAATCCTATTTATATCTCTGTCCCTACAAGATCTTTATAAGGCTATAATATGATTTTTAAATTATTATTATTATTATTTTTGAGATGGAGTCTCGCTCTGTTGCCCAGGTTGGAGTGCAGTGGTGAGATCTTGGCTCTCTGCAACCTCTGCCTCTTGGGTTCAAGCAATTCCCTGCCTCAGCCTCCTGAGTAGCTGGGATTACAGGTACCCGCCACCAGCCCCGGCTAATTTTTGTATTTTTAGTAGAGACAAGGTTTCACCATCTTGGCCAGGCTGGCCTTGAAATCCTGAACTTGTGATCCACCTGCCTTGGCCTCCGAAAGTGCTGGGATTAAAGGCGTGAGCCACTGCACCCAACCGATTTTTAAATTCTTATGTGTAATAGAGAGCATTTGCCTGATTTATTAAAAAAGTTGTACCTATGTGGAATTGGCTTTCAACAAGTTTTACAAATACACTCTCCCAATACACCTGGCTTTAACTTTTAGGATTTATTTTTAATGTATGATTTTTTTTTAAATAAAGCTCTGTGTAACCCTGTGGAATGTAAACTTTTATTGCAATACTTTATAATTCAATCTAAAACTTATGAAAAAGCTTCAAGAAAAGAACAAGGTTTGTTTCCTCAACCATTAGAAAGGAGCCTGCCAATCTGATATTATAATAGATTTAAAAACTTTGAATGTATTTCCTAAAAACAGGAACATTCCCTGCATAACCACAATACTGTGACAGGTAAAATAACACTGATACGTTTCTACCACCTATTATGCCCCATTCAAGTTTCAGCATTTTCCCAATAAAGTTCTTTTTAGCAGAAAGATCTAATTCAGATTCAAGCCCTTCATTTAGTTGTCAAATTTCCTTAGTCTCTTTCAATCTGAGTCAGTTTTTCAGCCTTTGACTTTTATGCCTTTGATTATTATGGAAACTATAGGCAAGTTATTTTTTAAAGTATTGTCAATTTTAGTTTGTCTGATGTTTCCTTGGGATTAGATTCAGTTTGTCCATCTGTGGTAGGGATATAAAAGAAATGATGCTGTGTCCTCATTGCATCTGCTGTGGTTTGGATCCCATCAAAACTCATATTGAAATTTGATTCTCAGGGTGACAGTTTTGGGAAGTAGAGCTTGATGGGAGGTATTTGGGTCCTGAGGGAGATCCTTCGTGAATAGATGGATGCTGGTTCAGAGGAGTAAGTTATTTCTTATGTGGGACTGAATTAATTGCTTTGAGAGTGGGTAGTTTCCTCTCACATTTGGTCTGTTTGCACACATCCACTTCCCCTTTCATTTTCCACCATGAGTTGAAGTGGCACAAAACTCTCACCAAATGAGCTGCCTGATCTTGGACTTCCCAGCCTCCAGAATCATGAGCCAAATACAGTCATGTGTTGCATAAGGAGCTTTCAGCCAACAATAGACATTATATATGAGAGTGGTCTCACAAGATTCAACATCATATTTTTACTGTACCTTTTCTATGTTTAGAAATGTTTAGATACACATTTATTATTGTGTTAAAGGTGCTTACAGTATTCAATACGGTAACATGCTCTACAGGTTTCTAGCCTAGGGACAATAGGCTATATGCCATATAGCCTAGGTGTGTAGTAGGCTATACCATCTAGTTGTGTGTAAATACACTCTTTAAGCTCACACAGTGTCAAAATCACTTAATAATTTCTCAGAATGTGTCTCCATTGTTAAGCATGACTGTAAACTTTTTTCTTTATAAATTACCCAATCTTGGATACTTTGTTATATAGCAACACAAAATGGAGGAAGACAACATCCAATGGGTAGAACCACTTTGCTTTGTCCAATTTTTGATAATGTTTATTGTAATCACTTGATTTAAGTGGTGCTCATCTTCCCCAACTGTAAATTTATTCTATTTCCATTTGTTATTAATAAGTAATTTTGAAACTAGGCAGCTCCTCTGTTCATTACTAATCTTTGCTAATTTAATCATACATTTATAGACTTTGAGAAAAATTTAATGTGTTATTATTTATATTTGTCCCAGATTTAGCCAGAGTAATTCAAGTTGGCTTTTCTGTCCTTCTGACATCCCTATTGTTTTATTTTATGAATATTTCTTTGCTTTCTTGCATGACAAGAAGAACCAGGCACATCTTGTATTTCCCACCTCTATCCCTGGATTCAGTCATTTCTCCAAAGAACCAAGGTTTTTGTAAAAGAAAAATGACATGTAGAAGCCAAGGTCTGGTTTGCTTATGTATTTATTTCTGTTCTAGATTTTGTTTGTTTATTGACTCCTTACTGTAGACTTTGACTTCCCATGCTGGGCTAGGAAGCATAGATGCCTTCCCCACCCCACTTGGACCCAACACCCTGTGCCAGGCCATGTCCCCAAATAGATTTTCTATTCACACTGTGTGGATAACCTCCATACAAACCGCATTAGGTTTCTGCATATCACATCAGGCTACCATTATGTCCAAATTGTCTTTATCTTCTCCGAAAAACATGACTTTAGGATTAAATATTTCTGGAAGAAAAGAGAAAGGAAAGACAAGAGAATAAGGAAGAGAAGAAAAATACTGAATTATTCAGGAAAGATAGGAAAAGAGAAGAGAACAAAAGAACTTTAAAAATGTCATCTCAGCATCTTCTGGCTTTCATAGATTGAGATAAGAATTATTCAGTTATTCTTTCCTGTTTATTTAATGTTCCCTTTACTCTGCATGATTAAAATAAATTACTGTTTTTAGCAATTTGATTATGATGTTTCTTGGTGTGGGTTTTCTGGTATCTATTTCAAATATGAACTGAGCTTCTTGGATTGATGTCTTTATAAAAAGGGGAAATTTGAATACGTATACACAGAGGGAGAATGCCATGTGACATTAAAGGCAGAGATTGGAGTGATACAACAGAAGCTAAGAAATGCCAAGAAATACCCCAAGTTAGGAGGCAGGTATAAAAAAGATTTTCTCCCATAGCCTCAATGGAATCAACTTCACCAATACCTTGATCTCTGAATTCTTGCCTCCAGACTATTAGATACTAAATTTCTGTTGTTCTGAGCCCCACTCCATTTGTAGTATTTTGTTACAGCAGCTCTAGCAAACGAATAAAGGTATGTTTCTATTTCTCATCAAATTTGTAAAATATTTGGCCATCGTAAGTTCCAGTATTTTGATTTCTATAGAGGAGTCACTATGCAAATTTCTAGAGTCTTTACTCGCTGTAGCTCCTTCTTCCTTGGTAGTCTGCCTCACAAATGACTGCTGTGGCTGACTCCTTGTCCTCTGGTTTTTGTTTCTTCAACTTAGAAAGACTGTTGTACCCTGTCTGCCTTAGATCCTACGCTCTTTACCGTAATTCAGAAAGTGCATTTAGGCCATTTAGGCCGAAAGTCAGGGCAATTGTAGTGCTCACTTCATTTGTATCACTTCTGTCAGAGGCCACAATTCTTTGTCCTTTTGTCATTAGTGAGAAGAGTTGTTTTAATAATTTTATCTAGTTTTTAGTTATTTTTAATAACAAGAGGATACTTTTGATCCCAGTTACTCTACCATAGCCAGAAGTAGTAGTACTACATTATTTTCAGAGATCTAATAATTTGGTTTACTAATTCACCTGGTATTTAGACAAGAGGTATAGATTCATCTTGTAAATATATTTTATACTTAGAATATGTAAAGTTTTATTCTTGTCCAATTTAGAAAAGCCGTTTTTTAATAAAGGAGTAGAAAAGGAGGTGCTACTATCTATTAAGGATTGTTGATCATTTTTAGACACAAAGACATAAATTAAGCCCATGAGGTCTTTTGAGAAGCATCATTATCAACATTCTAAGCAATTTTGTGATTTTCTTATGAATTTACCAGTGTAGGCTTTAAAACTTTTTCTTTCATTCTCTAAAAATAGTAATAATCTTTTTTTGTTAATTTTATTTAAAGAGTCCTGAAGAGATATTAATTTGGGATCATTCTATCATTGGAAGTCTTGCATAACAGTGAACAAAAGTTGACCAGTGCATGTTAGAAATTTCATTTCCTTCCATTCAAAAGCTTTGATTGTGAAATTGATATTGGTACAAATGCTAATCATATAACCAGAGATGATTCCCGCAATAGTTAGAAAAATAACAAAAATATTTTAATGCTTGGTTCTCATATGTAAAAAAATATGAGAATCTTCAAACAAACACAGATACACAAATTATAAAAAGACTAATAAGAAAATAGATTCCAGCCTTTTTATCAGCTGCCACCTGAAAGATACACAAATTCTGACATCTACTACATGTCAACTTTGTGATTCAAAATCGGATTTTACCATTGTTATTACCAAAAACAGACTTGGCCATAAAAAGAGTGTCTGAACAGAACTGAAGAGCTTCCTCACCATGTATGAGATTTGCCAGATGAGTCAAGTGAAATTGAACTGAGCACTCCGCCTGTCCAAGTCCAGACAAGGTATGCCACTGGACTACATGTTTCTGCTGGCTTTGATGACAGAATACAAAATGAATTATAACTTAATGGAACCTTTAATGATGACTTTCAAAGAAGACTGTGAGACAAATTCATTCAGAAAAAAAGCACAATACTTGCAAAAAAAGCAAGGGAGTCACATTCCAGAAGGAAAGAGTTGTCAAATATAAAACACAGCAAAGGAAAAATGTAAAATTTGCATTTTTTGAGAGGATCTTACTCTGTTGCTCAGGCTGAAGTCAAGTGGCATGATCTTGGCTCACTGAAGCCTTAAACTGCTGGCCTCAAGCAATTCTTTCACCTCAGCCTCCCAAGTAGATGGGACTACAGAGGCGCACCACCAGGCCCAGCTAATTAAAAAAAAAAAAAAAACTGTAGAAACGAGATCTCACTGTGTTGCCTAGGTTGGTCTCGAACTCCTGGCCTCAAACAATTCTTCTATCTCGGCCTCTCAAAGTGCTGAGATTACAGGTATAAGTGACTGCAATCAGCCAAAATGTAAAATTAATGATGACTTAGTGTGTATTCACGTGCTTACAGTTAAAAACTGGTCATTTTTTCAAATGTTTATCATATTCATATTCATAAGCAATATGACATGTCTTCAAATACCAACACATCAAAAAATAACAATAAAATTGTTTATGTTAAGAAGTCTGGTTTAAGAAAAATATTCACTATTTTATTATTGTGAGGACAAGAATCCATCAAGGTGACTCCCTCGTTTTATCATGAGATATACTTTTTTTTCCCCTTGAGTGAGGTATGTGAAGTATATAGTTTTAGTATTGGTAGCAGGACAAATGTTAGATAGCATTCTATATAACCTATTATCTCTGTTCCTTAGGCAAGATTTTTACCTTCTTTGTGCTCCGGATTTCTCACCTATAAAAAGTGAATGGTAATAAAGTTATATTTCTCAGTGAATTGTTATAAGGATTAAATTTGTGTTCGGCAGTGCCTGCAATATCGTGAGCAGTATAAAAATGCTTTCTGTTACTGTTATTATGTTGATGGAGATGATTCAACGGAGAGTGAAAAATAGATGATGCAGGAGAGGAGAATTTCTGCATTGATGTCCTTAAGTAGGTAAGGATAGGTAGACGGAGTCTGGTGCCCAAATGGGAACTCCAGTCTTGGACAGAGGCATAGATTGTTTGTCCATATAAGCATGAAGCAAAGCAGATGGCTGTAACATGGGACCAGAGTATATGGGGAGTGTACTGGAAACAGCCTGGAGAAGTTTGTCTAGATTGCTCACATTTTCTTCATCAATTAGGAACTAATGTCATCCGTTGGAAGTGAGAATAAGGAAGAAACTATGGGAGGAATTGAGATAATATCATTTCAGGGAGCAGTAAAGTTGACCAAGACAATGTAGTGGGACTCTAGAGGCAGACTCTGAAATACCAAGGACTATGGCAGAGAATATTATTGAAATATTCTGAATATGTTGTTTTAATGGTTTTATAGGATTTTAGATCCGGGACCAAATTCTACTTTATATTGGACTTAAGTCCTACAAACAACGATATAGAAGTGGTTATTGTAGTTTTTACTCTCTTTCTTGACACAGGATTAATTAATGTTATTTATTCACTGTTATTTTGATTACAGTTTAACAAATTCAGAAGAAATTCTTGGTGGATATAAACACATTATCTTATTTTGCATAGCCGCTTTATGGATATGTGTGAATTTGATTTTAATGATAAAATGTAACAGTAGAGAAATGTAGCAAGGGTGAGGAGCCACCTGGGCTTAGTGGTTGTGCATAAGCAGTGGAATCAGTCATACAAGATTCTGTAGAAACAGGGAAATTGGAGACTGGGACATCACCAGGATTACCAGGATAGAAGGGAAAGGAAGTTAAGGGTGTGTGCAAGATGTTCATATAGAGGTGAACTTTGTAATCGCAACTGGATAAAGAGGGAAGAAAGACTGTAAGTGGGTGAGATCCAGGAAAAATTTGTTAGGATTAACAGATTAGGGAAAGGACTTAGTTATTGGTAATGGCATGTTCTGGAAGAAAGTGGCTGAGCAAGTTAGGGAACAATACTATGGAGTAAAAGAAGTCAAGGACCTAGGAGTTCTATATATTTGATGGTTTTATCCAAATACATATGGAAAATCACCATCATTTTGAAAGATAACAATATCCAAGTGTTGGTAGAATCATGACCCCATGCATCCCTAATCTTAGAAAACAGTTCATCTTTTTTTTTTTTTTTTAAACTGTGAGCTCTAGTAACTCCAGTCTTTTTAAAAGGAAAATTCATAGTGAGGTAGCCTCTCCCCAGTTAGGGTAGTTTTACAGTATAGAGATAGTGGTCATGTAATTTTCAGTGAAATGAAGACTGTAGGATAGAAATGAGACCTGGTAGTTTCCTGTTCATGATAAAGTCCATTCTCAATGTACCCTATATCTAGAAGAGAAAATCATGTGTCCCATTGCTTCTGAGAATAGTAATTCATTAATTTATCCATTCCAAAAATATACTTTGAAGAGTTTGATACTTTTAGGGATGTTAATTAGAAGTTACCGCCCACGTGCACTCCAGCCTGGGTGACAGAGCAAGACTCCGTCTCAAAAAAAAAAAAAGAAAAAAAAGTTACCACCTACAGTAGAGAAGTGCTGAACATAACATATTGGAAAAATGAGGATAAATCTCACTTGACTTTAAAATGTTAAAAAGACTTGAAAGAGTCCTTTCATGTATGAGTGATCCATAAAATTCTTCCTCTTTTCTTTCTTTCTTTCTTTTTTTTTTTTTTTTTGTAAGATGGAGTCTCGCTCTGTCGCCCAGGCTGGAGTGCAGTGGCGCGATATCCACAATCTCGGCTCACTGCAACCTCCGCCTCCTGAGTTCAAGAGATTCTTCTACCCCAGCCTCCCAGGTAGCTGGGATTACAGGGACCTGCCACCATGCCTGGCTAATTTTTGTATTTTTAGTGGAGACAGGGTTTCACCATGTTGGCCAGGCTGGTCTCCAACTCCTGAACTCAAGTGATCCACCCACCTCGGCCTCCCAAAGTGCTGGGATTACAGACAGGAGCTGCCATGCCAGGCCAATTCCTCTTTTCTTTTATGCAATTGTTTTTAGTAGATAACTAATTTTCTAGTTTACAGATTAAAAGACGTGTAAAACATTTCTAAAAATGACTGATAACAGTAATATTGTAGACAGTTAAAAGAAAAACAGTTTGAACAAGGTCATTTAGTGGTATTTCTGTTACAGCAACAGGAAAGAAGCTTCTACTCTTGTGAGATTCTATAGTTTCATATTCAAGAGCCCAATTTTGAAGGGAAATCAGGAATATCAAGCACTACTGCCAACCAACAGCATTATTGGCATAGTTGGACATTATGTTTTCACAACAGATTAGGTTCATGCCCAGTTTCCACTTGGTGCTGGAAATAAATCCTGCCAACTGCTTTGAAGATGTGACTATGGTGACTTTTTATTCTTTATTTTCCTGTCCATATTTACTTACAAACAAAACAGTTATCTACTGGGGTATGTTTATCCAGAAATATTCTTGCTGCAAATTTAAACTCTAAAAGTAATCCTTTCTGACAATAAACACAATACATACCATATGCACCTGCTTAATTTATATGCAATGCTAAACTAAAAAGTAAAATAAGTGTTAGTTGGTGTAACTATGGGAGTGCACTTAGGTCTGTGTGAACAGTGACAGTTCAGTTGAAGATTATAGCTTCTTTATGAATAAACCTATAATAAAATTTAAAATTTCAGCTGAGCTATTCATAAGCTATCAAAACTCCTCATCTAAAACTGTCATTTTCCAGATGCTAAGGTTGTCTTAATAATCATGAAAATAAATTGAGCCCTGATTTCAGAACAAAGTAATTGGCTTTATTAAGACTGTTTTCTGAATCTTCATCTGAGTTTAAAAGGAGTCTATTATCTTAGCAAAGAGACCAAATTAATTCTTGTCTGCATCCTGACATCAGGATGGGCTTCATCTTTTGGGTGAGAATTATTCTTGTTTTATTAGAAATAATTAGCAAATAAATCTAAGTGTTTTGTGGCATTATTCAGCCTTTAATCAAGTAAAGTCGTTGACATCAAGTTTTCAACCACATTAATGAAACAATTATTATTAACATTCACTCTTTCTCCTATCTGTAAATCAATCTGGATATACACAGTGAAGTAGATGCTATTCTTTCTCCCTAAATAGCGAGTCCTTAGATGCAGAGATGAATAATTTGCATAAGTATACTCTTTTCACAAGGAAATGCATTCTGCTTCTTGAGATCCCTATAAAGTATTGTGGATGAAATTTGACTACAAGTAGGACACCCACCTGGGACACAGAAGAGCTTTATTTTGCCAAATCGTCCAGTCTAGACCATTACTTCCTTCCTCTGTGCACTGTAAATAAAACTTCTCAGCGTTTCATTCCTTCTTTTAGCCTTTGGATTTCTTCTTCTGTATGAAGCCAGGATCAGGTATCTCACATGTGTGCTGTTGATACACAATGGGCCAACCTTCTCAGCAGGTCCTTTTGATACACTGTAGACCCCTGATGGCACACTCTGTGGACATCTGACAGCATACCCTGGACTATGGACAAAAAAGTCACATTTTCTCAATGTCTTCAGGAGTAGTTGACATAATTTCAAAAGGTAGGCCCCTCTCTTCTGGTAAGAGCTTAGACAGAATTCCTCTTCTGTCTCTTTCAAAAATGGACATTCATCTCTTGCCCAAGACAGAACCATTCACATACTCCTAAGTATAATTACATTTGTGAATTAAAACATATTTACTTGTCTTCTTTATGAAGTTGATATTATGTTGATAATCACTCTTTGCCACAGATGGTGGGGTGAGAAGTGGGAAGAAAGTGACTTGTTTCTTAATTTATCTTTTTGGTCAACATTAAGGAAGACATTTCTGATCCACATTTCACTCTGGAAATTGTGGCAGTTACATAAATTTAGCATACACTACATAATAGGCTTCAATAAGTATTTGCATTGTGATATTGAGCATTTATAGGAAATAATTTCATCTATTAAAAAATCCTAGGTTGATTCATTTTTTTTATTTATATACCAGTTCTTTCCTTATATAATACAGTATTTTTTAATGTTTATTTTTTAATGACAGAGTCTTGCTCTGTTGCCTGGGCTGAAGTGCAGAGGTGTGATCACAGCTCACCACAGCCTCGGACTCCTGAGCTCACATGATCCTCACACTTTAGCGAGGGACCACTGGTGCAAGCCACCGTGCCAGGCTAATTTTTGTATTTTTTGTAGAGACAGGGTCTCACTGTGTTGCCCAGGCTGGTCTCAAACTCCTGGGCTCAAGTGGTTCTCCCGCCTTGACCTCTCAGTGTTGGGATTACAGGCATGAGCTGCCACACTTGGCCTCAGTACTGTTTTAGTGGTTTAATTCAACATTTAATATCTCCTTCACTGTGTACTTTTACAGGCAGAAGAAAAAATGAAGAAACAAAAAATGCAGTTGCATTGCTTTTATTTTTACCTGTGTATTTATCTCCACTGATGCTCTTTATTTCTGCATGTGGATTTGAATTACTGTTTAGTGCCCTTTCTTTTTTCAGCCTGCCTGTGAATAAAACTGGTGTTATGGGCTGAATTTTGTCCCCCCAAACTGACTCTTGAAATCTTAACCCCAAGCATCTCTGTAACTTTATTTGGAAATGAAGTCTTTAAAGAGGTTATATAGTTTAAATAGGACCTTTTGGGTGAACCTTAACACAATGTGAGTGGTGTCCTTATATGAAAGGACATTTGGATACAGACATGTGTGCACATAGAAGAGAGACAATGTGAAGATAAATGGAGAAGGGGACTATCTATTATATAAGCCAAGGCAGAGGCCTCCTAAGAGATTTACCCTGCCAACACCTTGATCAAATTCTAGCCTTCAGAACTGTGAGAAAATGAATTTCTGTTGTTTCAGTCACAGTCTGTGGTATTTTGTTATGACGGTCTTAGCAAACTAATGCAACTGGAGAGGATGATGACAGTTTGGTCTCCATAAAAGAAATATAGGTGAGGAGTGTTGATAGCCTGCTTTCAGGCAATACTGTGAAAGAAAGAGAACTAATCTGACTGACATTTAGAAGTTAGAAGTAGAATCTGTAGGACAAAGAAGTTGTTCACCATGCAAGTGGATAGTGAATGCATCCACATTCACAGGGAACATAGGTATTGGAATAAGTGGATAGAGGATAGTGGAAAGATACGCATTTGATCTTGAACATGTTGAGTTTGAGGTGCTTATAGGACAACTAGACAAAGATACCAGGACTTGTTTACATACATGGGTATAAAGCTGAGCCCATATGTAGAAAGAAAAGGAGACTCAAATTTTCATTTTCAAAATGGGATAAATTTTAATATATTTGCATGCCAAGGAACTTTGTCTTTTGATAATTTGATCACTGTGTGTCTACATGTGCATCTCTTTGAGTTTATCCTGGTTGGAATTTGTTGAGCTTTTGTATGAATAGGTTTAATATTGTTTCATCAAATTTGGAATTTTTTTGGCCATTCAAATATTTTGTCTTTTTCTCTGCTTCCCCTCCTGGGACTCTGATTATGTGCATGTCAGCACATTTGCTGGTGTTGCACAGGTCTCTGAGGCTCTTCTGTTCAGTTTCTTCTTTAATTTCTTTTTCTGTTGTTTGGAGTGTAGAATCACAATTGATCTACCTTCAAGTTCACTGATTCTTTCTTTTGCTATCTATCATCTATTGTTCTTTCCTAGTAAACTTTTATTTAATTAAATTATTTTTTAAGTTCAGGATTTCTATTTAAGTCTCTGCTATAATTCTGCCCATTTGATGGATATTTAGTGAAATACTATTCTTATACTTTGATTCTTTAGACATAGCTTACTTTAGCTTTTTG
Source organism: Homo sapiens (assembly GCF_000001405.40). Classification (NCBI taxonomy): domain Eukaryota; kingdom Metazoa; phylum Chordata; class Mammalia; order Primates; family Hominidae; genus Homo; species Homo sapiens. The sequence goes on along the minus strand of NC_000006.12, from coordinate 153,771,463 downwards.
AACATATTTATAGTAGCTAATTGAAAAGATTTTTCTAGTAGGTCCAAAATCTAACCTTCTTCAAGGACAGTTTCTATTGACTGCTTTTTTTTTTTCTCTGTGTGTGGGCCATGTCTTGTCTCCTTGTGTCCTTGAAATTTCTTGTGGAAAACAGGACATTTTAAATAATATAATGTGCCAATTCTGGAAATCAGAAAACTTCCTCTCCCTCTCAATTAGAGTTTGTTCTTGTTTACTGTTGTTGTTACTGATGCTGCTGTTTCTTTATTCACCAAATTTCCTGGATTAAGTCTGTACCCTTTGTCATGTGCAGCCATTGAAATCTCTGCTCAGTTCGTTCAGTGGTTAATGAAATTCAGTCATTTTTCCTCCATAAATTCTCCTTGGATTTTTTTGTAAGTCTTTGATTAATTCCCAGAGTTCATTGAAGTTGATTTTGACAATTTTATTCTAGTGTTCTCATTGCTTTTATGAAGGAACAGGCTTTCAGAGGTCTTTACCATTCCAGAAGTGCTTTATGAGCTTGAATATTTTTGACCTCATGTATAGAAAATTCACATGAAGGCCAGCTTGTGATTTAAATTGTCTCACTGAATATTTAGTGAGACAATATTTAAATTGTGTCACTGAATATTTAGTTTGCTAAATTGTCTCACTGAATATTTTAGTTGCTTTTCACTTAGCACCAAGGCCAAGACAGGTTGTATGTGTGTTTGGGTGTTGGATTTTACTTATTGTGTATACTCACCTTTAAAATAAGGCTGTAACTCTTATGAGACCCATATTCATGCAGGTCTGTTCGTTTGTCTGCATTTCCATGAGTGAGTACTAGGCTTTATAACATGTTCCACTCGCTTCACAGAGCCAGAAGAAATAGAAGCTCAATGACATGATGATTTGATGTCTCAGGGAAAATTATCCTCACCACTCACTTCCCCCCCAAGAATTCCTTCTATGGTGTTTAATTTTTTTTCCTTTGTGGATTCTTCAAATTCTTGTCATTTATGCAATAATTTAATTATTAAAAATGTGCTTTGCCTGGTTTCAAAGCTGGTTTAATGCAAGTTGTTCAAACTTTATCGTTCATCAGTGATCAGATAGAGAAGTGAGGTTTTTGTTTTTAACGAACAATTTTCCCCAAGATTTTTCATCTCTTATTTTTATCTTTACAAGCAGTAACAAAACTTTAAGATCAAAACCCCTGGATTAATTTTGCAGTGGATTTTTTTCACTCTTCCTACCCATGTCTCTGTTTTGCAACTCTATCAGAGAAGGAATACTACCTAAAATCAATTAGTAATACTGTGTAGTATTATGCCTATGCTGTCACTTCAGAAATATCAACAGTTTTACATTACATTTAGTTATCCACTTCTAATCCTGATAAGGAAATTCAGTAAGAAGGAGAGCTGCCTGTGATTTGATCTGTTGGAGAGTGCTGGAATGACAAATGTAACCTTGGCCAGACATTAAAATGTTGCCTGCTAAGAATTCCATATATATATATATATATATATATATATGTATGGAATTATTGGGGGGAAAGTGAGTGGCGAGGATAGTTTTGAGACATCAAATTATTATGACATTGAGTTTTCATTTCTTCTGGCTCTATGAAGCAAGTGGAACACATTATAAAGCCTAGTATCCACTCATGGAAATGCAGACAAAAGAATAGACCTGTGTGAATGTGGGTCTCATAAGAGTTACAGCCTTATTTTAAAGGTGAGTATACATAATAAGTAAAAACCAACACACACACATCCACTCTCACATACATAAACATATATATGTATGTGTATATATATAATGTGTGCTATATATATTTACATATTCATATAGTATATTCAAATAGTGTATTCTGTTGAAAATTGACTTATCTTTGTCTTGTACAGAAACAAAATAGTCTACATTTAGATTTTAGTGTAGTCCAAAGGTATAACATGTATTATGCATTTTATTACACTTGCCACCTTTACCTCTCATGAACAACTGTGGTTATGAGGTTATGACTAATCAGTCATGACAATTTCAGGCATGGCTTATAAACCTTCCTAACAGGGTACACTGGGAACTTTCTGCTAATTGATGGTAGTTGACACAGTACATGAAACTTACCTGCCCATGATTAATGAGTTCACTGTTAATATTTATGTACTACATTGTAAAATTCTACAAAAAAATCACGTCTGTAAAAGTGTTTAAAAACAAAAACATCTTCAGTTGTTAACACCAGCCTTCTTTTTTAAATATATGTATACACCCTGGATTTATTATAAAAATTTAAACAAGCATATGATATAATCTAATTCTACTTTTAATCAAATATGATGAAAATATCTTGACTCAAGTTTCTAAAGTGCACCCTGGATTGCAGGTGTTAAAACGCTCTGGCAGTCAAGGTCAAACTGCCCCTTATTGGAGTGTCATGGAAAGCCACAAGTTGCCATGGAGTTTAGTCTGAGATGAGAGAATCGGTGTTAGAAAAGGTACCTAAGACAATGACCAAGATTTAATTTAAAGATGTTGTAAACTTTACAAATCAGGTACTAGAGTTGTATAGTTAAGTTTAGGACAGGATTTATGAAAATAAGCAAGGTAAGAGGAGATAAGAATTTCCAAGGCTATGTCCCCAGAGTAATTGGACTTACCTAAATGATATTGCTCTCAAGTAGGATATGTTTTTGAAATCATAATAATGTGTTAGCTCTTGCAATACATAATCTTGTCTTAGGATATATTTAAAATGTACCTCACAATACACTTCGTATATGCTGTGTTAAGCCTCTTTGATCATGCCAAGTATTACTAATTTCATGTTACAAGTTTACCCCACTAGTTCTGTTACATAGGAAACAAACATCTCACTATATTGATAGATGTACTTACTAGAAACATTTTTGAGAACTTAATTACTGTTCCTCTTATACATAATTAGCCAACAATTATTTTCATTTTTAGCTATAAAAGTAATTTTTATACACAGCTTTGGTTTATTAAGGTACCATATAATGCATGGTCTATGATTTTGACATTTTAAAATTATTCTTTCTCTAGTAGATTGCTGTTCCAAGTTGTGATCTTTAGCAAGAATGTAGATTTTTCAAGATAAAAAAATACCATTGAATTAAAATATTAGATCTTCGAGGTTAAAGCCAAATACTATTCAATAAAAAATAAATTATTGAGTACCTGTATGATGCAGCATTGTGAAAGAGTCTCATAAAGCAATTGTGAATAAAAGACACAGTCCCTCTACTCATAGAGTTTATAATCTTGTGAAGGATATAGAAAATAAAGCAGATTATTAAAATCGAAAGTTATGTCCAAAAACCCCACAAGTCTGTAATCAGGTGAGAAGCGCCTTTATTCGAAGGATTATTTCAGTGAGGGGAGGAGTATACTGTTATGAAAAGAGGGGGACTGTTACAATTAGGAGGGGCCTTTGACTATAAGATCTGAAATGTCGGCCAGGAGCGGTGGCTCAGGCCTGTAATCCTAGCACTTTGGAAGGCAGATGGGTGGATTGCCTGAGCTCAGGAGTTTGAGACCAGCCTGGGCAACATGGTGAAACCCCGCTTCTACTAAAAAAAAAAAAAAAAAATATATATATATATATATATACACACACACACACACACACACAAAATTAGCCAGGTATGGTGGCGGGCGCCTGTTATGCCAGCTACTCAGGAGCCTGAGGCAGGAGAATTGCTTGAACCCCGGAGGCGGAGGTTGCAGTGATCCGAGATCGCACCGCTGCACTCCAGCCTGGGCAACAGAGTGAGACTCCGTCTCAAAAAAAAAAAAAGAAAAAAAAATCTGAAATGTCAGGCAGCAGAAAGGGCTTTCCTTTATAAAGAGAAGAAAGCATGAGGTGTGCAGAAATGTAGTGAGGTGGGATGATTGCAAAGCTGATAGTTCCCCGAAGGCCGGCAATTCTCTCTGCAGGGGCTTTTAAGGTAGGCTTATTCTGTGTCTCAAAGCTCTAGGGTAGGCCAAAGTTCAGGGGCCTGGAGGAAGAAGAGAATCCTGACTAAAGTTTGGTCAAGTCTAGTTAGCGGACATGTTGTTCTGATTGATCAGTGTGGACAAACAGTTGAGCTCATTATTTATGACCCAAAGAATAGGAGTGTAGAATGTCTCTTGCGTCATCTTTGGTAAACAAGTGAGCTCTCCAGGAGCCTTATCTAATTCATTCGGGGAAAGGAGTTCTTTGCGGTAAATTGTTTTCCTGAACACAAGAGTGTGGGGGGATTTATTTTACCTATTGCTGTTTTCCAGGAACAAAGGGCTCAGGTGAAATCGTATGTATCATTCTACAAGGTTTGTGATGGACGCTATGAAGGAATATTTGCAGGATGCTATGGAAACACCAAAAGGAAGTCAGGGAGGAAGTGCTTTTAAGAATCAGGGAGGCTCTGATTTTAAGAATTAGTAGGAGTCAAAGATGCAAAAGGATCACTGAATGAAAAGACAATAAATGTATAATTTACTGGGAGATTGCATTGTACCATTGTGGATTGCATATTCAAAAGAGTCAAAAATCCATTCCCCACAGATTTGTGCAATTAGATTTTATTTCGTATGTGTGTTCATGCAGTAGTGCCTTCACTTAGCATAAGACACTTGGGAACCAGAAAGGAGTTGATGTTTATTCTCAAGGTCTTGCTAACTGCAGGACTCCAGCCCCTAATAGTTGCTCCTTGCAGGAATTACAGGAGCAGTAGGGTGGAATTCAAGCAGATCTAATGTTAGGTAGAATGAGGAGGATAAACACTTGGTCGACATACATGTGGTGAGGGCAGAAAGTAATGGGACTGAGGAACTCTGGCGTGTTAGCTCCTGAATCTGGGTAGGAAGAGTGAGGGGAAGAAGAGCATGCAGTTTGAATCACCAAATTCCAGGACTAGGGTGAAAGGATTCTTTCCAAGACCCCTGTGCAGTTGTCTCCTGAAGTGTTTTGTGCTTCAATCAGATTTAACTCAGAATCTGAGGTAGCACTTTGCCATCAGTATTGATGGTTTAGCACTGTGCTGAATGGATGGTATATAGTTACTCATTTCGGTTAGTGCCATTATCTTCAGATACATGGTGTTGAGGAAATAGCGACAGAGAAATTTAATTATTTCCAAGGGTCACCAGGCAATTAGTGATGTAATTCACATTGCAAACTCAGACTATGGTCTTGAGTCTAAGCTCTTCACCACCACACTATGCTGCCATTCAGCATCGAGACGCCGTGGTGCTCTAAATCAGAGGGACAAAAGAATATACCTTGGGGCTTGTAGGGATGGGAGTTAGTCTAAAGATCAAGTGTAGATTGCATCTTGTCTCAGGTCATTGGTCTCTTTCCAGAGGTCTATGTCTCAGGTATAGTTGTTATAGCAGAGGAGAGAAGATATCAGTTCTTCTTTCTAAATGCAGATAGTCCTGGTTGAGAAATTATGAAGTCTTCAACACTTGTTGCTCAGCTCTTTTCTGGTATTTGGGGGAAGATAGAAAACTTTGAGAATCCCTACTTGGTGGAAGATAGAAAGCTTTGAAAATCCCTAACGTGAGGGCAGAAGGCATTGAGAAGAAAATAACACAGCAAGAAAGAAGCAGATCTCCACATCCACCCCCACGATGTAGTCTATGTTGGGATCAGCCTGGGACCTGAATTTAAAGCCAGTTTGCCATGCGTGACAGCCACTACTGATGAGAGGGATAGCGTAGATGGTCCTCTTACTGATTCTCAGGATCTTCTAAGCAGTAAATCTGCCCCAGTATACATTGTGCTCAGTTCCACCAAATCATCCTCTTTTTAAAAATCAAAAATAGTACTTTGTGTCTGAAGATAGTGTCTTGCAGTATTTTTCTATTTAGATTTTTATGGAAGTTGTTAAGTTTCTAAACACCTGACCTCTCAGGAATGACAATGAAATACATCACTGAGCTACTGACTCATAAATCTATCTGTTTTTCTGTTTTTGTGAGACTCCTTATTTTGGAATGCCTAAACATAATCCACAGAGTTCTGTTGCATTCATTTAATTTCGTAAAAGCTTTGATGTGGTGGGATAGGAAGTGGAATTCTGTCCAAAACTTAAAAAACTCCTTCATCTAATAACCCTTGTACACCTCTTCCCCACCAAATGTTTTAATATGTTTTTTGTACTGTACCTACTCTTTATTCAGACCTCAGAAAAATAGGATGTTCATGGTGACATCTATATACAAATTTAATGTTGTCCATATAGTAGGCATAGTATGTATGATCATAGAAAGGCTACATTTGGGCTAAATAACTCCTTTCTCTGCGACACTTTGAGCATGTTTCCTGGCCTCCATATGCAAATTCAGAATGCTTTATGCTGTTAAATCACTTGACCACTTTCACAGCGCTTGTTGCACATCTCTGCCATTTGTAGCATATTGTTTTGATAGTTAAACAAAGGGGAACAACCAAGTCCAGCAAAAGTACACTGTTGTTGTTTAGGCAACACTCTTCAACTACCAGCACCTCAGCTATTTTTTTAAAATTAATATTTATTTGACACATTAAAATTATAGAAAAGCATAAGAACATAAGACATACTTAGCTACTCTCCACCATAATCAGCAATTGTTGACATTATGCTGTATTTGCTTCATATCTTTAAATAAAATGTAACACTTTGAATTTATATACATATATATAAAATGTTGGAAATTTATTTATCACCTATTTTCAAATTTCCCTTTGTTTCCCCACCCCTCTATCTTCTGACAACCACTGTCAAAAATACAATGGCATTCTTTCTTTTCAAAAAAGTTTTTATTTCAATAGCTTTTGGGATAAAAGTGGTTTTTATGTTACATGGGAGAATTATATAGTGGTGAATTCTGAGATTTTATTGCATCTGTCACCCAAGTAGTGTACATTGTACCTAATGTGTAATGTTTTATTCGTAGTTTCCCCCTCCCTGCTCCTTCTGAGCCTCTAAAGACCATTCTGTATACATTTGTGTACTCATAGCTTGGCTCTCACTTATAAGTGAGAACATTTAGTTTTTGGTTTTCTACTCCTGTGTCACTTAAAATAATCGCCTCCAGCTCCATCCATGTTGCTGCAAAAGACATTCTTTTTTCCTTTTAATGGCTGAGTAGTATTCCATTGTGTATATGCATTTTCTTTATCCACTCATTAGTTGATGGGCAGTTAGGTTGGTTCCACATCTTTGTAATTGTGAATTTTGCTGCTATAAACATATGTATGCAAATGTCTTCTTCATATAGTGACTTCTTTTCCCTTGGGTAGATACCCAGTAGTGGGGTTGCTGGGTCAAATGGTAGATCTACTTTTAGCTCTTTAAGGAATCTCTATAGTGTTCTCCATAGAGGTTGTACTAATTTACATTCCCACCAGCAGTGTATAAGCATTCCCTTTTCTTCACATCCATGCCAACATCTACTGTTTTTTGACTTTTTAATTAAGGCCATTCTTGCAGGAGTAAGGTGGTATCTCATTGTGGCTTTAATTTACATTTCCCTGATGATTAGTGATGTTAAGAATTATTTCCTATGTTTGTTGGCCATTTGTATATCTTCATTTGAGAAACGTCTATTAATGTCCTTTGCCCACTTTTTTATGGGATTATTTGTTTTTGTCTTGCTGATTTGAGTTCCTTGTAAATTCTGGATACCAGGCCTTTGTCAGATGCATAGTTTGCAAGTATATTCTCCCATTCTATGGGTTGTATGTTTACTCTGCTGATTATTTCTTTTGCTGCACAGAAGCTTTTTAGTTTAATTAAGTCCCATTTGTTATTTTTTTGTTGCATTTGCTTTTAGGGCCTTAGTCATTAATTCTTTGCCTAGGCCAATGTCTAGAAGAGTTTTTTAAATATTGTCTTCTAGAACTTTTATAGTTTTGGGTCTCATATTTAAGTCTTTGATCCATCTTGAGTTGAATTTTGTATAAAGTGAGAGGTGGGGATCCAATTTCATTCTTCTGTATGTGGGTTGTCAGTTTTCCTGGCATCATTTATTAAATAGTGTGTCCATTCCCCAATTTGGCTTTATTTCCAGGTTCTCTATTCTGTTCCATTGGTTTATGTACCTGCTTTCATGTCAGTACCATGCAGTTTTGGTAACTATTGCCTTGTAGTATAATTTGAAGTCCAGTAATGTGATGCCTCCAGATTTGTTCTTTTTGCTTAGGATTGCTTTGGCTATTCGGACTCTTTTTTAGTTCCATATAAATTTTACGATTGTTTTTTCTAATTCTGTGAAAAATTATGTTGGTATTTTGATGGAAATTGCATTGAGTCTGTAGATTGCTTTGGGTAGTATGGTCATTTTCACAATATTGATTCTTCCAATTCATAAGCATGGGTACATTTCCATTTGTTTTTGTCATCTATAATTTCTTTCAGCAGTGTTTTGTAGTTCTCCTTGTAGAGATCTTTTACCTCCCTGGTTAAGTATATTTCTAGGTTTTTTTTTTTTCTGCAGCTGTTACAAAAGGGGTTGAGTTCTTGATTTGATTCTCAGATTTCAGAGGCAGAAATTTGCTGCAGGGGCAGAACCCTCATGGAAAACATTTGCTAGGGCAGTGAGGAAGGAAAATGTGGAGCTGGAGCCCCCACAGAGAGTCCCCACTGAGGCACTGCCTAGTGGAGCTGTGAGAAGAGGTCAACCATCCTCCAGACCCTGGGGTAGATCCACCGACAGCTTGCACTCTGCACCTGGAAAAGTCAGACATTCAATGCCAGCCTGTGAAGGAGCTGTCCAAGGCCATGGGAGCTCACTCCTTGCATCAGCATGCTCAGAATGTGACATATGGAGTCAAAGGAGATTATTTTGAAGCTTTAAGATTTAATCGTTGCCCTGTTGGCTTTTGGACTTGCATGGGGGCTGTAGCTCTTTTGTTTTGGCTAATTTCTCCCATTTGGAATGGGAGCATTTATCCAATGCCTGTACTCCCATTGTATTTAGGAAAGAACTAACTTGCTTTGGATTTTACAGGCTCATAGGCAGAAGGGACTTGCTATGTCTCAGATGAGACTTTGGACTTGGACTTTTGAGTTAATGCTGGAATGAATTAAGAATTTGGGGGATTGGGAAGGCATGATGGTGTTTTGAAATGTGAGAACATGAGATTTGGGAGGGGCCAGGGGTGGAATGATACAGTTTGGCTCTGTGTCCCCACCCAAATCTTATCTTGAATTGTAATCCCCATATGTCAAAGAAGGGACATAGTGGGAGGTGATTGGATCATGGGGGTGGTTTCCCCCATACTGTTCTCATGATAGTGAGTGAGTTCTCATGAGATCTGATTGTTTTATAAGTGGTGGTTTCTGCTTCTCTCTCTCTCCTACCATGATGTAAGACAGGCCTGCTTCCCCTTCCTCTGTGATTGTAAGTTTTCTGAGGCTTCCCCAGCCATGCAGAATTGTAAGTCAAACTTCTTTCTTTTATAAATTACCCAGTTTCAGGTATTTCTTTATATCACAGTGATAATGGACTAATACAATATTACAATGTAATAATAATAGAAATAAAGTGCATAATAAATATAATGAGCTTGAATCATCCCAAAACCATCCTACCCCAACTGGTTTGTGGAAAAATTGTCTTCCATAAAACTGGTTCTTGGGTCCAAAAAGGTTGGGGACTGCTGGGTAAACTATTTCTTATAATTATTCTTAAATTTATGTTTGATTTGACCATGTTTCTTTTTCGTTTTTTAATTTCTTTTTTCCCTTTAAGGATGTGACTTTATAGTTAATCACAGCCATATTTTGTTCTTGGTGCTTTCACGTGTGAAGACTCTGTAAGAGTTCCTTGGTTACGGAAGAGTCTTTGTAGGATGGCTTTCTCATGTGCTGATTGTGGAAGCAATGTGCTCAGTGTGTGAGCAAGTTCGCTGTCTTTTATGGGGTTGTGATGGTAGAGGTATCTTAAAGCTTATATCATTCCCCTGTGGCATGCATGTTTAAAATTTATTTTCTTTCAGTATCTTATTTACTGGTTTGATGGTTTAGGCTTCAGGCCAGTAGGGGAGGTGTCCCTGGGTAGGAATCAGTTTTGGCTAAAGCAGGTAAGTAAAAGCAATACCCAATGGTAGGCAGAGGTCCCAGCCTTGACAGAGGTGGCTGGAGGAGCTCTCAGTGAGTTGCACTAAGGGCTTCTTAGGGGGGAAGGTTGGAGCCACCTCAACTCCCCTTCCAGGTCAGCAAGAAAGTTACCCAGCTCTCAGACACATTCCATTCCCAGGGCTTCAGCTAATCAGATCAGTCAGGCACCTCTTTTCATCTGTGGGAATGTTGATGTTCCAAATAAGGTGGAATTGTGACTCTGTCGCTCATGCAAGCCTGAACCTGGAGGGTGCTCCTCCTGTGTGGATGTAGTCACCCTGATCTGTTGCAGAAAGACTGTCTATAGTTGCATCCATGCCATGCTCCCATGGGGAGGAGCTCTAACTGTGCCTGCAGTGGTGGACAAGAGGTCCCCTTCTCCAAGACCCTTAAGGCACACCAAGGCTGTCTGACTGTTGGATTAGAGCTGAAGACTTTCCCTACTGTGCCCAGCATTGCAACTGTGCCTGTGTTGAAAGAAACGTCCCACAAGCAGACAGGTCTGGTACTTAAGGCCTGCTGTCCAGATTTTTTTTAATCTACCTGGGTGTTCCCTTGTTGTGGTACACACACTCCCACTTCTCCTAGGAGTTGGAATCCCTGAAAGCTAGACTACTGTGAGTGTTGTTGCTTCTCTGGATCTAGCTGCCCAGTGAAGTTGCCACACTCCAGGCTGGTATTGGGGAATGTCTGCAAGGGAGCTGGTGATGAGACTTGTCCTCAAGTCTCCCAGCAGTGGGTAGCAGGACCAACTCTAATGGAGGTGACAGGGGAATGACATAGACTCTTTTAGATTCCTTGGTTATTGATAGCTTTAATGTGTTGACTTTCTCGAACCTGGTTAGAGTAGTAATGAACCAGTCATGTGGACAGACTCAGGATCTCCCGGTTAGCCAGAGTGGTACAGGCAGTGGCGATAGCTGAGATCATGCAGACACCTTCTCCTTTCTAGGTACAGTGTTATTCTATGAGGATATGGACTGTGTTAGTAATGGACTGTGTTAGGTTGGTTGGCTCCAGCCAGGAGGTGACATTTGCAAAACAGCATCAGCTGCAGTAGTAGCAGTGGGATTTTTGCTTACCTTACATTTCCCAGGGTGGATACTATGGTTTCTCAGGCAATGGATGGGGCTGTATAGTTCCTAAGAGTTTCTGTCCTTTGTGTTAAGCTACCAGAGCTGGTGATGGGGCAAAGCCCTGTGGGGGTAGTGTCAGGTGGGTTTGCACTTGAGTCTCCATGTTCAGGGCAAGCTGCAGACCCTTTGGGTGTCGAGGAATGGGAGCAGTTCTCAGGCCACTGGGTTGATGTTCCAGAGGGGACTGTTGCTGCCTCTGTTCCACTCTGCTTCATGCAGGAAGTGAACCCCACACAGGCAGCAGTAAGCCCTACACAGATCCCACATACCTGGTGAGGCAGATTCACTCCTACAGTGTTTCTCTGGCAGCAGTGGACTAGGTTCCAGTCAGCCTGCACTCAGAACTCTCGTCTGCCTCAAGTCATAAACTTTCCACATAGATATAGCAACTGTGGCTTTCAGGCCATGCCCCTTTCCATCCACCGCAAAGCTGGAAACCAGGCTCCTGCACTCATGGCTCCTGCACTCCTGCTACAGCCTGCTTTTCACTCTTCCCTGTCCTGGCCCTGGCCAAGGGAGTTTGCCCCACTCAAAATTATATCATGAGCCCCAGCTGGGGGCCTCTTTCAACCTGTGTTCACTGTCTAAATTTTTTGGTTGTCATCCACAGGGCTCCCTTTGAGGAACAATAAGCAATGTCTTCCCTCAGTTTGTGCTGAAAACTGGGAGTGCATGCAAGGATCTTCCTGCTACTGCTTCTACATTTATATTCCATGATCCTCCTGAAGTCAGTTTCTGTACTAGGTAGGGTTAAAGTCTTCCCCTGTGGCCTGGACTTTCAGGGTCCCCAGTGGGGGTGTATATCCTGGAGGCAGTCTCTCCCCATTTCACACTCTGGGTACTCACAGCCCTTCATCTAACTAATGGTGTAGGCTGCAGCCTCCTGCTTCCTTCAAAAGCTCTGTAGATTCCTTCAGTTTTTCTGTTCAGTTCCTGTGTCACTTCTTGAAAAAATGTTCACTGTGTCCGGTCTTCCTTCTAAGCTAATTTTACATAGGTGACCATAAATAAGATAGATTTTTTTCAGGTTTTGAAAAATCCACAACAATATATAAATTGTATATATTATTCTATAATATTTTTATTCAACATTTTGTTTTTGAGATCTATATAATACCTGAACCTTGTAAAATTGGTCATGTGTTTTTAAAACAAACATCAATAGCTAATAAATGGGCTCTACCGCATTATTGTTAAAAATAGCATCAAGCAGGTGAATTTGCTGCAGGCAAGAATTAAAAAAGAACTCAACAAGAAGCATGACTGAACTGTGAAACCAAATGGAAAGGGCACAGATGCAGTGTTCCACAATAATGATAATCATTATAAAAATGCTGACTTGAAGCATATTTTAGAGGCCAGCTGCTAGAGAAAGCATTTGATTCTTTCTCTCCCATGCTCTAATGGATGGAGTCTCCTGGGGTAGTGATCCAATTTGCCATATCCTCAGGCTGGTTCTGTCCAGGGCTTGAAATGAAAAGTTTCCCCATTAACGGCAGTCCACCCACACCATCCATAATTGGAAGTGCAGTGCAGCCACCTCTTTGAGGCCTCCCACCGGTGCACAGAGATGGAAAAGTATATATTTCATGTGACCCATCTGGCCAGCCTCTGTCTCAGATACTGTCCTTTGGGGAACATAATGTATAATGGATTCAGTTTCAGTGTAGATGCTATAAAAGACCAGGGACCTGACCTCCCTATGTGAAAAAGAAACAACAGGCCCACTCCAAAATATTAACAGGCATGTGGGAAAACTGCTATATGTCTATCATTTTACCAGCAGCAAATGTATTTCTACAGAATGAATAAAGTAGTTCTATTTGCCTTCAGTTATATTTCCTGGCTACAATGTTGAGACATAAGCCATTCCAAGCAATGATACGTGAATTACCTACATCTCATATTTCAGAGACCCTTATGAACTCAAAAATTGAATTTCAGGGTTTTTTTTTTGGTGTTTTATAAGAGTTTTTGACTCAGATTTTCTACTCTCCTTGAATTTGAGTTACTGAAATGTGGGAGAAAAGACCCCTAAATCATTTGTCTAAGTTGAAATTTCAGACACTATAATTTTCCATCATACGATTCTTCTCTTCAGCTCCCTCTAAATATCTCCATGTTGACACACCAAAGACATTTTTAACTCACTGTTTGAAAAGCCTCTTATAGTCACTAAGTTGTCAACACACCAGTTACTCAAGCTAGAAACCTGGTAGTTACCCTCAACTCTTCCTTCTCTCACACCACACATGTAATCAAATTCGGCTAAATAGTTTTGAAATTTCCCACCTGTCTATGTCAACTCTGTCAGGCTCACTCTTTCCTTATCTGGACTTTTTCAGTTAAGATTCTTAGGATTGAAAGCAACAGAATATGTTTTGTGCTAAGTTGAGCACTTCATAAAAAATATAGACTGTTAACAGCCAACTCTCCTAAAGGGAAGGGACAGGACAGCTCCAGGAACTCTAGAGATTTCTGTTTTTTCTCTTTGGAATTACAGTATTTAAAGATGTGTAGCTGTTGTAACAAACAAAAGCATAATCATATCTCCAGCAACATACAAGTTTATTTCTCACTCATAGGAAATCCAGAATGAGTATTCCCCAATATTTAATTTGTGTGAAGTGGTGAAATGGGAAAGAACATGGAGGGTTGTACATGGGCAATTACGGGCAAGCCTGGAAGTGCCACACATAATGTCCATTCATATTTCACTAATTGTAGATCAGTCACATGACCATAAATATCAGTAAGAGAAGCTGGGAAATGTTTTCTAGCTGTGTGCAAGGGAAAACCAAGACTAGGCTTGGTAATCAGCTAGTAGTTTCTGCGAGAGCTTACCTTTCTGCCACTAAGTATGTACATATCTCAACCTTCCTTCCATGACAAGAACATGCTCATCCCCTCTCCAGGAGAGATGATTCAAAGCCACCTCTAGCTCAATTTTCAGGTCCTTGATTGATGTGAAATTCTCAGTATCAGGACATAAAATGACAACATCTGTAACCCTGCTGTGCACACCCCATATATGATGGTACAGAAACAGGAACACCACAAGTACTCCCATTAGAAAATGAAAGATTAGAAGATACATAGCAGACATGTACTGTTACAATTATGAGTTCTTGCTGGGCAAAATTTGGGAAGGCCCTACCATGGCTGACTGGCTCCTTGATTAGATCCTGATTATTCTGTTTGCTTAGAAGAAAATTCTTATCGGAGACACCTAACTTTATTCTCTTGTTTTGTTTTGTTAACTTGTACATTATCTTCTAAGGCTCTAGTTGTAGTGGATCTTGAAAGTATGTGTTCCTTTGAGACTTTTGCTGTTTTTGCAGTCTTTTTCCTAGTTAATAGTTTAGGCAGTACTGAATGTTGTTTTAAGACTGAACAATGAAAAATGTTCTGCTTCAAGGTGAAGGGTTCTTTCTAATATTATACAATTCACTCAGAAACCAATATTGCTTCCTATATATTGTTTCCAGAAATCCTATATGCTAGTAAACATCTCCAGAGTTCTTTTCTAGGTGCAATGACCAAGCCTGATATAGTTCTCGGTTTCCTAGTTTCTACTGATTTTTTCTTCTAAATTTAATGGTGGCCGTATTAAAGCCATTTGAGATAGTAGGTGGGAAAGCCTGTAAATCTTATTTTTTTGCTGCATGATTGTCACTTGCCTGGATTGAGAAGTCTTGGGGCTTTTTGAGTCTTGTCTTTTATAATCTGAAGTCCAGGTGAAGTTAATTTTTCCAACCCTGCAAGACTCATGCTCTAGATATTCTCCATTCTATATCATCTTTGCTTAAAAAATTGTAACTTCTTACTTTATTTCTTGTAATGCCTTGTTAAAAGTAGCCAAGAGAAGCCAACACATACTTATCATCTACTTTTACAGGTCAGGCCTAGTAGTCTTCCAAGTAACTGTAGACATATGTTTGACCAATTGTGTTCCCTCCACATAAGAAGATTCTTCTGTTTTCCAGCCTGCGCTGCACTAAGTGCTGGGACACTGGGGTTGTTCACCTAACTCCCACTCTCAGACTGTGAATAACTTCATTGGAAGAGCTTAATTTACTCATATTAATATCTGTCATAATGAAGCAATGTATTTCATAGTTTACGTACTTATTATTTTTTGTACAAATGAATCACATGGACCAAAGGACTAGCCATTATATTGCTGAATAGACCATCATGAGGATTTTTATCTGTACTTATCTATTCTGTGATTGTTTTTTCAAATGTAAATTGAAGTGTTCTGCATTTCTAATGATTTATGCTTGTTCTTTACTCCTTTCACATTTGGACAACTTCCACATAGAAGTCTCCCTTTTTTCCTTTCTTTTTTCATTCATTTAAAGGCCTGTATTGCTTTCTCTTGCCAAATTCTGCAAAGAACTTGCAAAGATGAGTAAAACATCATCGATGTCTTCAGTGAGCTCTCGTAAAAGTTACGAATACAGCATTATTACCAAATTATATATCTTAACATCTTATGTGCTATAATACTGATTTCTGCAAAGTGCTACCAAAATAAAGATTTTATCTTTTTAATGGGTATTAGATAAAGAATCAAACAGATGGAGAACATCTGAGCTAGGCTTTGAAAAATCAGTGAGATTTAATAGAAATGAAATTACGGAGCAGGGGGTTGCAGGCCAAGGAACAGCTTGCAGAAAGGACATGAAGTTATGCAAATGAAAGGCTTGTTTGCTTCAGAATTAAAAATTCATCTAGGGTATGTAAAATACTTTTTTCTTTTTTTGTTAAGAGTGGTAAGAGATAAGATGGAGAAGTTGACATAAACTTAGTTTTAATCCTTGTTGGTTGAGAAAAAATATTTGTGACTGAAATTTATTTCCTGCTGAAGAACTTTAAAGACTAGTTCTGATCCATTACTTTCTCTCATTTTTTAATTTTTAGTGAAAAGGTGCTTGTGGTTTATCAAATTCCTATAGGCATTCCTTTCATAATCTTTGATTTCATTTCTTTTCATATAAAGCTTATAAGAAATTCTTGGAGGCTCATTCTAAGATTAACATCTAAGGTACTGACACACAGTATTGCATTTTCAAGGCAACATTTGTAAATCCAGCTTTCCTGCTTTTTAATGCCCAAGTGAATTTTCTATCACTTAGCCAGCACTTCTGTTAGAAAAGAAGAAGGATTGGGTAGTAAGTTTCTAGCAATTCCAAAGAAAAATAAAGGAAGTGTTTTCTCCCAGAAGACTCATTGAAGAAGTGGCATGAACATCCAGGAAATGATTCTAGAATAGGGGAACAATGCCTGAAGGTTGGGGATGGGTGTTCAGAATCTCTGGCACACAAAGCATTTGCTAAGGCAGGATCAAAGTTGTCATGCCAGGTGTAAACAGTCAAGAGTTGAAAGACTGGCATAATAAGTGTTCCACAGTACTGATTATCTTTGTTTTCTTTTGGCTTATCCATTTTTGGAGTGCTACAATCATCTATCTTGCAAACCTACCTCCTATTTCTAATTAATTTTAGACTCCAGTCTCAAGAGCCCATTTTCTTCTCACCTACTAGGAGACTGATAAATATTGGAAGGCATTTGGCCATCTCAGCCTATGACCATTAGGAAGCAAGTCTTTTGGGATGCCTTAGTGCTGTTGGCTGGCAAGAGCCAGATGGGAAATAAACTGCTTCAGAGGCTCAGGGCTAAGCAATGGAATTACATTCTCAGAGGGAAGAGAAAAGAAACAGAGCTAAATATCAGGCTTTGGCATTCACTTTGCACTTTTTGGCCATGCATGGTGAGAATTGCTGTGGGGTAGGACAATAAGTTTGTAAGAAGGTAATATCAAAACTGTACTCAATTTGCTCTACATCAGTAGTCTCCATTAGACTTCAGGCATTCCCTACACAAATTGCATTTTCTTTGATGCAATATGTATTCTTACTGGCTTGACATTTGAAGAATTTGAGATTTTTAGTATTAATCTGCTTCGCATTCGTTTTTCATAAAATAGTAGCCCCAGGATAATCCATTTCTAAGATCCTACCCCTCTAATGGCCTGTGGTTCCATTGGCTGGTGGGATGTGCCTATGTATGCTTTCTGATGACCTGATGAGAGTGGGTGAACCCTCATCTCTCTTGGAAGTTTCTGGACAGTTTTGTGTGCTTGAAAAAGTTTCAATGATGCAACAAAATTAATTTCCTTAGTAAAAACACCTATGATTATAGTATTGAACAAACAAAAACTGGTCTCCATTCACACTCATTTTCTGTTTTGTAGGAAAAATTCCAACCGCTTAAATTGTAAGTTGAGCTCATAGCAAACTCAGTACTTTTCATGACTCTTCACTTGTGGTCTTACTTGTTCTTATGAACAGTTGCACACACATATACCAATGACACACATACACACACATGCATAAACACCATTCTAAGGAAAAAAAAGAATAGCAATGGGTAAATTATATATGTATATGTATACTTTCAGCTATGATCATATATTCAACTACGTATCATACATATACACATCAGAACCCATTCAATGTTTTAATGTCTCAAATTCATGATTTATAAATAGACTAACTTCTATTGATGTATCTGTTATCCTAACCAGAGCTTTATGAAGACAATGAATTGATATTTCCTGTGCCTCTTATAGTCTGAATTTATCAATCCAGTAGAGAAACAAGTATCTGTTCCTGATTGAATCCTCAGTATCTAAATTGGTAGCCTTTCGTAATAGTTAATTCCACTAGAAATAACATTTTAAGTGTAGCTCATTATTTACAACTGAGTACTTAATGACAAATAAAAAATAAGAATTGTCTTATATGGAGAAAAAAAGAAAGTAGAAATGAAATATAATAGCTCTGCTATTCACCAACAGCTACCAAGCTGAGAATCAAATCAAGAATTCAACCCCTTTCGCAATAGCTGAAAAACAAACAAACAAAATAACTGAGGAATATACTTAACCAATGAGGTGAAAGACCTCTACAAGGAAAACTACAAAATACTGCTGAAAGAAATTATAGACAACACAAACAAATCCCATGCTCATGAATGGATATAATCAATATTGTGAAATTGACCAGACTGCCAAAAATAACCTACAAATTCAATGCAATTCCACCATCATTCTTCACAGAACTAGAAAAAAAAAAATCCTAAATTCGTTTGGAACAAATAAAGAGGCCACATAGCCAAAGCAAGGCTAAGCAAAAAGAACAAATCTGGAGGCATCACATTACCTGGCTTTAAACTATACTATAAAGCCGTAGTCACCAAACAGCATGGAACTGATATAAACTAGGCACATAAACCAACGGAACAGAATAGAGAACCCAGAAATAAAGCCAAATACTTACAGCCAAATAGAACTCAACAAAGCAAACAAAAACGTAAAGTGAGGAAAGGACACCCTTTTCAACAAATGGTGCTGGGATAATTGGCAAGCCACATGTAGAAGAATAAAACTGGATGCTCCTCTCTCACCTTATACAAAAATCAACTAAAGATGGTTCAATAACTTAAATCTAAGACCTGAAACTATAAAAATTCTAGAAAATAACATCAGAAAAACCCTTCTAGACATTGGCTTAGGCAAAGACTTAATGACCAAGAACCCAAAAGCAAATGCCACAAAACAAAGATGAATAGATTGGACTTAATTAAACTGAAAGGCTTCTGCACAACAAAAGAAATAATCAGCAGAGTTAACAGACAACCCGCAGAGTGGGAGAAAATCTTCACAATATATATATCCAACAAAGGACTAATATCTAGAATCTACAAAGAACTCAAACAAATCAGCAAGAAAAGAAAACAAACAATTCCATCAAAAAGTGGGCTAAGGAAATGAATACACAATTCTCAAAAGAAGATACACAAATGGCTAACAAGTATATAGAAAAATGCTCAACATCACTAATTATCAGGGAAATGCAAATCAAATCACATGCAATACCACCTCATTCCTGCAAGAATGGCCATAATCATAATCATAAAATCAAAAATAATATATGTTGGCATGGATGTGGTGAAAAGGGAACACTTTTCCACTCTTGGTGGGAATGTAAACTAGTATAACCACTATGAAAAACAGTGTGGAAATTCTTAAAGAATTAAAATTAGATCTATCATTTGATGCAGTAATCCCACTGCTAGGTATCTACCCAAAGGGAAAGAAGTCATTATACAAAAAACATACTTGCACATGCATGTTTATAGCGGCATAATTTGTATTTGCAAAAATATGGAACCAGCCCAAATGTCCATCAATCAACAAGTGGATAAAGAAAATATTATATAGATGTGTACACACACACACACGCACACACACACACACACACACACACCCAGATGTATACCATGGAATACTACTCAGCCATAAAAAAGAATGAAATAATGGCATTTGCAGCAACCTGGATGGAATTGGAGACTATTATTCGAAGTGAAGTAAGTCAGGAATTGAAAAGCAAACATCTTATGTTCTCATTCATAATTGGGAGCTAAGCTATGAGGAGGCAAAGGCATAAGAATGATACAATGGACTTTGGGGACTCAGAGGAAAGGGTGGGGGTAGGGTGAAGGATAAAAGACTACATGTGGGGTACAGTGTACATTACCAAAACCTCAGAAATCACCACTACAGAACTTTTTCATATAATGAAACACCACCTGTTCCCTCAAAAACCTATTGAAATAGAAAATAAATTGAAAACGAAAAAAAAAAATTTAAGGTAAAAAAGAATATGGAAGAACAAAAGAACAGTTTCAAATTTTACATGTATTTAAATTAAATTAAGTAATTGAGGAAATAACAAAAACATCAAAACTGTGTAAACCCTGACATCATAAACACCCTTGTAGTTAAATTGTATCATTAAGACTTTGTTTTAAATGTATCTATTATGGACACTGTCAGAATTACAAAGGAATATTGATTCACTGAAATCACTATATAGTAAAAAGAGTAAGAAAAAATAAAGTTCAACATGTAATCAAAAATATGTTTTGAGCAATACTGAATGCATTTTTTTTGAGATTGTTGATATTTTACTGGTCACCCAGGAATGCCTAAACCACACACTCTTCCTTCATTCCTCCTCTTCCAGGAGTTCCCCTGAAAGGATATTATTTTTAAGAAAAACAGGCTGGGCACAGTGGCTGACGCCTGTAATCGCAGCACTTTTGGAAGCCGAGGCGGATAGATCACCTGAAGTCAGGAGTTCGAGACCAGCCTGATCAATATGGTGAAACCCCGTCTCTACCAAAAATATAAAAAGTTAGCTGGGCATGGTGGCGCATGCCTGTAACCCCAGCTACTCAGGAGGCTGAGGCAGGAGAATCGCTTGAACTCGGGAGACAGAGGTTGCAGTGAGCTGAGATTGCACCATTACACTCCAGCCTGGGCAACAAGAGTGAAACTCCGTCTTGAAAAAAAAAAAAAAAGGCCAGGCATGGTGGCTCATGCCTGTAATCTCAGCGCTTTGGGAGGCCGAGGCGGGTGGATCACGAGGTCAGAAGTTCGAGACAATCCTGGCCAACATGGTGAAACCCTGTCTACTAAAAATGCAAAAATTAGCTGGGCGTAGTGGTGGATTCCTGTAATCCCAGCTACTCAGGAGGCTGAAGGAGGAGAATCACTTGAACCAGGGAGTCAGAGGTTGCAGTGAGCCAAGATCGGGCCACTGCACTCCAGCCTGGTGCCAGAACAAGACTCTGTCTCAAAAAAAAAAAAAAAGCAAAGTGAGATATAAAGTTCTACATTGTTAATAACTGGACAAGTTCCAGGTAACTCCCAAAGACTGTATCTGGTGAAGATTGGATTAGAAATTGGGAATCAAGTTTTAAGTGATACATTCTGCTTGCAGCATATTGGTAAATCACTTGATTTAACACCCGACTGAAAGAGATTAACAACCCCCTTGCAGCTTACAAATGGTATAAAGTATGGGGATAGGCCTTGCCTTTTGTGCCCTGTGGAGACAGGTTCTATCTCATTTGCCTACTTTTGGTCATAGATAGCAAAATTAGGTGGTATTTTTCATGGCTGTTGATCTTTAAAGGGCAGTAATCCAGCACACTAGGAAAATGCCACTCTTAACGTTTTTCTAGACTCAAAGAGGATATAAATGTTTCCTCTGCATGAGCTAGGTTCCAGGAACAAGGAGAGGATGTTCAGCATGCTTTTTCCCATAGTAAATTAGAAAAGAGAGACTGAGCATTCTAAATAGAGAGAAACGGCATGGACCAAATCATGAAAATAAAAGTGATGTATCTTGCTGGGAGCAATCAGTCCATGAAATTCCGTAAAGGTCTTAGACTAAAAAGGTGACAGATGATCACCCTTCCATGTCAGCACACACTGTGCGTTTTGGGTGATTGCAAAAGGGTCAGAAAGGGCTGTCTCTCCCAAACTGTCTTCCCTGTTCAGCGACTCTTTGATGCACTTTGAAGTGCATCAAAACCTTTACTTGCACAGTTAGAACGATTGTTTCCTTTGTACATATCAGTGGAGAAAAGACATTGACTTAAACTTAGGCTTAAGTTAGCATTTACAAAGCAATTAAAGGATCGGGAAAAGATATCAACAACAAAATATTGGGCAGGAATGATACAGGATTACTTACACTTTATTTTGCCAAGAACCTACATTAAAATAAACAAAAAATGTACGTATAATCATAATATCATTATGGAATGTGTGTTTTGGCTTTATTATGGATAGAATTGTTTTGATCCATGAATTCATATTTGGACCAGTGGACAAAGTTTTCCCTAGATACCTGAACTTTGCATTTTGCTTGGCATGTGGAGTGTAAATATTCATGTTTCTTTAATCCGAGCCGTAAAATATGATGAACAGAAAATTATGAGTAAAATAAATGTTAGCTAGAATACCAATTCTTAGTCAATGCAGAAGTTTTTTCTTAGAAATTCCAGCTACATACTTGCCAGAGTATTTAGAAAATGAAATAAGGAAATTTCAAAGATACGATGTT
Source organism: Homo sapiens (assembly GCF_000001405.40). NCBI lineage: Eukaryota > Metazoa > Chordata > Mammalia > Primates > Hominidae > Homo > Homo sapiens. The sequence goes on along the minus strand of NC_000006.12, from coordinate 153,749,239 downwards.
TAAACACTAATGATAGATCAGTAAATGGTACCTTGATGCTAAAAAAAAGGAAATCTGGATGAGTATCTTTTCGTAAATCATAATTAAGACAGTACTTGAGAATTAGAAACCAGTTGCTCACTTTCCATGTTTCTATAAAAATACCATTTTAATAAAATATCAACTTGGAAGCACCTGGAGCACAAAAATGTTAAGTAGCAGTGAACAGATTTGTCAGAAATAATTCTCAAGCACCTCTAATTTCTGTCTCTGTCTAAATAATTTACCTACTAAATGGCGAGGAGTTGGCTCACAAAAATGGTATCCATTTGTATTTTAATGAAGTAGAATTAACATAATTATATATAGTCAAGGTAAACATAATGAAACTTTGATGCACAAGTTTTAAATTGTATTTTACACATGTAGAAATCACAAAAATTAAAATACATTTTAAAAGTGATATCATTATCTTCTAACAAAATATAAATTTGGATAAAGATGATAGATTTCTTGAAAACTTTAACTCAATTGGTAGAAAGTGATGTTTGGAAGAAATTTTGAACAATATTCTGTACATTTGTAATTTATTTTTTCTGTGCAAAAATCCAGATTGCAGCATAAATACAAAATGCATTTTTACTTCACGTATCTGTTATTTTAGTGTCAATTGCTGAACAGTGCTGATGATTTAGATTGTGTAGATGTAGATGTTATTCTGGGCATAGAACCCTGGGAGAGGCATAGGTGATACCACAAACTATAATTTTTATTTATTCTTATTTAGTTCTTCATTTGATTATATTTCTCCCTCAAATTCTCATATATTAGGTTGGTGCAAAAAGTTATTGTTTTTGCAATAACTTTGAAAGTAATGGCAACTGTAATTACTTTTGCACCAACATAATACATTACTTTGTCTCCATATCCAATGGTCTTGAAAGCAAGCCATGTTTTACCTCCCATAATCCTGTCTCCCATTGGTAATAGTCTATATTTTGATAGTAATCTAATGCTTGAAAAGTACAAAGACCATTGTTGTATATGATGTACCCAATCTCCCTGCCATTCACTCCACATTACACATTTGAAATAAATGAGACTCAGAGAGGTTACATGGCTTGGCCAAATTCACACAGTAAAAGATGAAATATGGTCATCATTCTAGGTTTTCTTATTAGAATTCCATTGCCTTTCCCTTCCATTATGTTGACCTTTAAGCTCTGGTCTTGGAAATGGAGGAGATGAAGGGAGTAGCCTTTCTCCAACCTGAAACATGAGGGTCTGGAAAAACCTACTCAGTCTACATTTTGTCAGTTCACAGGTGCCACCTAGATGTAAAGAAAATGGGGAAAAAAATTGTGTTCCATTTTTTGCCTTTAAAATATGTGTGTTTTGGAGAGAAATGAAACAACCGTACTTCTAATGCTTGTATTCAAAGTATAAAATATCAAAATTAAAATACATTTATAGAAAGAAAAAATTAGATTATTATTAACCATTAATACATCTTCTCTTAATGTTTACTTTGAACTTTTTTTTCACATAAGCATGGGTTTGCCAATGGAGTTTGCCCATTTTTTCAAGATTTCTGTTCTAGATATTTTAACTAATTTTTTTTTCTCTGAAAGTAAGGATTCTGTTAAAAGATTAATTGGGAAGCCATTAGGCTGGGGAAGCTACAGTGCCTGGAGTTTCTACATAAGCAAACCAAACCCAACTCAGTGTGGAAGGTCATATTCTTGGGCAATCAGAAACCACCAATGAACTTTTACGAAGGATTCTCCCACTGGCATGATGCAAATAAGTTTACTGCAGTATTAGCCAATCAAAGATTTTCTTTTCCTTGCTTCCATATTCACCTTAAAAGTCTTCCCCTCATGCCCCTTTGGTGGAGTCTCTGACCCCCTTGTGGTCTGGAGTTGCCCAATTCATGAATTGCTGTCTGCTCAAATAAACTCTTTAATATTTGAAGGTAACTCAGTTTATCTTTTAACATTTCTTTCCCTATTGTTGACATGCTTATGCTCTGTATCATTTAAATCTGTTCTTTCTCTTGAAATTTGTTCTGAGTGCCTTTTGAAAGAACCATATATCATTTGATTATATTTTCATCTTGACTTGATTCTTTATGACTCCAGACTCCTTTAACATGCAGCTTCTTCTTGATGACAAACTCATTTTTAGCATTATAAAAGCATAGGAGCCAGGTGCTATGGCTTATGCCTGTAATCACAGCACTCTGGGAGGCCAAGGTAGTGGATCACTTGAAGTCAGGAGTTCAAGACCAGCCTGGCCAACATGGTGAAACCCCGTCTCTACTAAAAATACAAAAATTAGCTGGGCATGGTGGTGGGTGCCTGTAATCCTAGCTACTTGGGAGGCTGAGGCAAGAGAATTGTTTGAACCCAGGAGACAGAGGTTGCAATGAGCTAAGATCATGCCACTGCACTCCAGCCTGGGCAACAGAGTGAGACTCCATCTCAAGAAAAACAAAACAAAACAAAACAAAAAAACAAAAAAAAACCATAGAGATTATAGAACATAGAATACCAATTCTAAAAAAGGGTTTTATTACCTAATCCGGTTTAGCTACACAATGTCAGCAACTTTTCATTCTCCATGTGAATCTTTAGAAATTGTTGAAACACAGACATAAATATGAAAAACCCTTAATTTTGAAATAAAATCAAAAGTTTAGACAAAATTCTTATGGAAGTACAGGGATATGAGTAAAATACTTTTCAAAATTGATCCAGGTTTTTTTTTTTTGTATTTTAGATAGAAGTAAGACCTGCATAAAATCAGGAAAGTAAACTGAGCATAGTGGTGCATGCCTGTAATCCTAGTGCTTTGCAGCGCCAAGGTGAGAGGATCAGTTGAGACCAGGAGTTTGAAACCAGCCTAGGTAACATAGCAAAACCTCATATCTACAAAAAATTGAAAAAAAAAAAAAAAAAAAAAAAAACAAAACCTGGGCATGTTGGCATGAGCCTGTTGTCCCAGCTACTCAGGAGGCTGAGGCAGGAGGATCATTTTTGTCTGAGATTGCGTTGAGCTATGATTGCATCACTGGACTCCAGTCTGAGTGACAGAGTGAGACCCTGTCTCGAAAAATAAAAAAAAAAAAATAAAAATAAAAAGTCAAGTACCCTAATCATAAGTGTAGAGTTTGCTGAATTTTTATGTTTGCTCATTTATCAATAATCCCAGATCACACTGTAGGTCAAGTCCAGCACCCTAAAAGGTTTCTTTATGCTCTTTCCCATTTAATATTTACCACCAGTGGCAACTGCCATGTTGACTTCTGTTGCCATGGACTAGCTTTGCTGGTTACAGAACTTCATCTGAATTCTAATATAGATACTCTATCATGTCTGGCTTTTTTTTTTTCTGCTCAGTATATTGTGTGTGAGATTCATCGATTTTTTTTTTCACGTAACTGTAGCCAGTGCATTCTTACATAGTATCCCAAAAGCAAAAGACCTGATTCAACATTTACATTTTTTTTTACCAAAAACAATGGAAAGATAATATATGCTAATACTCTCAATTTATGATAATTGAATTTTGAAATTAAGAAAACATGTTTTAGAAAAGTATTTTTAAAATGATGCATTTACTTGTGTTTTATTTTCTGTTGTTTTATGACTTTCTTTTTTAATTGTAATAAAGCATTTCCTACTTTGTTTACTTTCTCTCCCATGGCTAAATTCATGATTTTCAATTTACCAAAAAAAATAAAGGAATTGTTTCCTCATATAAGTTCTATTTAAAAACATATTTGTTAGTAAAATGAGATGTGTTCTTTTATTTATATTATTTATGTAGTAGTTCCCACAAGTGAAATTACCAGCAATTGATGAAATAAGGGGTAAAAGAAAGTAATTACATCTAGTTTTCATGTTTGGATTGTAACTGAATTCTGAAGTGCCTTATGAGTATTATTTAAAATACCTAAGACCATAAGAAATACCAATATTCAATTATTTTGACACAACAAACAGCAATGACTAAAACTACAAAAAGTATAAATGATGAAATAACCTTATTGTCAAAGATTAAAAACAATTTTAGTAAACCAATGAAAATTTAGACTTGACCAAGATGAGGGAGAAATACAACAGCTGTGCCTAAAGCTGTACACAGTTCAAAATTTGACCTTGAAAAAATTGAACTACTTGGGAAATTTCTCATAAAAAGAAACTAAAAATGAGACAAGTTATATTTGGTAAAATCAGATGTCATTAAATAAATCAGTAAATGTTTTATTGCAAAAATATATTTAGAAACAACTTTATCCAGGAGAATATAATTTTATAAAATTCAAGTGAAAATGAGAACAGATGTAAGCTACCAATCAGAAAATATTTCTATAGCAAATGATTTAAAATCTGCTTAAAATCAGCTGAAATGATTAACATGTTTGTTTATTTTATGTACAAAAGTCTAGGTTTAGCCAGTCCGGAGGTAGCATGACAGCAATGAAAGGACCCAGCCTCCTTTTATCTTCCAGCTCAAAGATATTCTATAGTTATATTTATTTTCTCCACAGGGTGGGAAGATAGCTTATGTTTCCCAGCAATCTTGTCCATGTACAAGGCAGGAGAAAACAAGAGAAGGCAAAAATCACAAATGACATTAATGAAGTCAACATTCTAGCTAAACCAGCCCTTGAAGAGATCTCTTCTGGAACCCCACCCACGTATCTTTCTTTTCTATTTCATTGCCCAGAACTGGATTACATGTCCTAGAAGTAAAACCATCCAGACTAGTGAGTATTATGGTTTTCTGGTGTGGGTAGTAGAGGAGTGTAAGGAGGAAGGGAACTTTGAATGATCAGGGTAACCCATCCCATATCTGTCACTCAGTTCCACTGTTCTCTTTGGATCCTTGAACAAAGAATTAAATTAATCTAAGGGAGTTCTTTACCTGAATAATTTACATTATAGCTTGCATAAGTCTGTTTAAAATTCTTGTGCTTATAAACAATGCTTATAAACAAAGTAAAAAATGTTTATATTGCAAAATGCCAGAGGTGACACTTCTGCTAGTCCAAATGGCAGGAACAATATGGGGATGAGTTTCTAAATGTATTAGCCATTAAAAAAAAAAAAAAAAAGGCCGGGTGCGATGGCTCACGCCTGTACCCAGCACTTTGGGAGGCCAAAGCAGGTGGATCATGAGGTCCGGAGTTCGAGACCAGCCTGGCTAACATGGTGAAACCTCGTCTCTACTAAAAATACAAAAATTAGCCGGGCTTGGTGGCGGGCGCCTGTAATCCCAGCTACTCAGGAGGCTGAGGCAGGAGAATCGCTTGAACCAGGGAGGCGGAGGTTGCAGTGAGCCAAGATCACACAACTGCCTTCTAGTCACACAACTGCCTTCTAGTCTGGGCGACAGAGCAAGACTCTGTCTCCAAAAAAAAAAAAAAAAAAAAAAAAGGAGAATTGCGAAAACCTGTTTAGTGATTATCACTGAAATTATACTAAGGATATACTACTAAGGATAATTAAAAAAAAAATCCATGATTTTAGAATCCATGAAAAACTACGTATTTAGAGAAAGAGCAGGAACCATGGCAAGTGCCATCTTACAGCACTGCATCAAATATTGTTTCAGGGCTACTGATTCCTCCTGAATGCTGATTATCTTTTAGTTTTGTAGCTGTTCAGTGTCCTGTATCATGAATACAGAGAGATAATTTTGTTTTAGTTTGTTTGCGGTAAACTCAAACTTGCATTACTTTTTTTGGTTAACTTTCTCTATGTCAACCTATGCAGCTTGGCCTACTCATTTTATCCTTTTTGTCCTATGAAACCTTGCCAAACGGTGTTTGTAGAAAGATATTAACTTTATTTTCTTATTATCTTCATATTTACCCTGTTCTTATCAACACTCAATTTTCCTTTGTTAAGGATATAATGTTCATGTTTTACCAATATTTCTCTGGAAACAAATTTAAAGAAAAAGAAGAAAAAGAATATAATGTTCTGTACTAATCTATTTCCAGCTCGTGTTTTTATTTTAAGGTATCTGTGGATTAGTTTTGGCTGCTGCCACCATGGAGAAAAGCAGATCATTTCTACACCTAATTTTATTTCAAATTCATTAGCTCCGTTGGAGATGGTTTTTGAGGATATGTTACTTTCTATACTGATGGTCATAGATATGTACTATTAATATTTAAATAAAGTTTGAAAAATTATATGAGGAAATAATACCCATTTCTTAAATTGCAGTGACATCTAATAGCATATGTAAACAAAATACTGATATTCGGCTTAAATAATCACTATTTGAAAGGATTATTGACTTTGTAGGGTCAAATTAATTTTTTAAAAAAGCCATTTTTACTCCTGATGGATTTTTTTTTACCCCAAGTAATAAAGGCTTTTTAGCTATAAAGAGTTCCCCCAACAACCAAAGCTTTAATTGGAGGAAACATTCATTCTCACATTAAACAATGTGGTTCTTATGTTGCTACTCTTTTGAAGATTTGTAAAAAATATCACTTTATATGTAAACATTTATAGTGCCTCTTCCAATGATCAATGGATTGAGAACCTAGAGAGTATAAAGTAATTCCAGGGATTTTAACAAAGGCTATTGATACATGCCTTGCCACTTCAAGGACTGATTCAGTGTCAGGAGTGCCACAATGAAAATGTGGCATCTGAGTAAATGCCTGGAAGAGATGAGGAAGGAAGTTCTGCCAATGCCTGGGAGGAGAACTCCAGTAAGAAGAAATGGCAAGTGCAAGGGCCCTGACAGCAAAGCACGTCTGAGTGATAGCCAGGAAACACTGGGTGGTTTTGAGTAGAGAAGTGAAAATATATGATGTCGGAGGTCATCCTCACTCCTCTGTTGAGAGTGTTCTGAAGGAGGCCTGGGGCGGAAACAGGGAGATGGGTTAGGAGACAAAATTATTGTCATAATCCCAGCTAGCGACGACCATGGCTTGGACCAGCAGTGAAAATGGGGAGAAGTGGTTGTACTCTGAAGATAGAACCAAGAGTATTGCCTAAATGAATAAATGTGGAATCCAGGAGAACTTCAAAGTTTTCAGCCTGAGCAAATGGCAGGAATTTGTCATTTAGTAACACAAGTAAGGTTTTAGATGCCATAGATTTTGAGGTAAAGCTTAGAGGTTCAGTTTTAGACTTAATCATGTTTGAAATGGCTACTAGGCATTCAAATGGAAATACCAGTTATCAGCTGAACATGTGAATCTAGAGTCTGAAGATGTAGAGATATTGAAAGCTTACCAGGAAGAATAAGATGTTTCTATGTCCATGAACTCCTTGGTATTTGAGTTTAGTCAGCATTCATAAAGGCTCATTCATTCCTCACTTACTGCCTCTAATTTCCTTTCAATGAGAAGTAAGTGTTTTAAAAAATGTTGCTGTGGGCTGGGTGCTGTGGCTCATGCCTGTAATCCCAGCACTTTGGGAGGCTGAGGCAAGCAGATCACGAGGTCAGGAGATCAAGACCATCCTGGCTAACACGGTGAAAGCCCATCTCTACTAAAAATACAAAAAATTAGCCAGGTGTGGTGGTGGGCGCCTGTAGTCCCAGCTACTCAGGAGGCTGAGGCAGGAGAATGGTGTGAACCCGGGAGGCGGAGATTGCAGTGAGCTGAGATCGCGCCACTGCACTCCAGCCTGGGAGACAGTGAGACTCTGTCTCAAAAAAAAATAAAAAATAAAAATAAAGGTAAAATAAAATGTTGCTGTGGATCTTCAAATCCAGGATTTAGGAAATTGTCTAATTTATGTTTAAAAGAAATGGACTTTTTGGGGGGCAGAAGGTCCTCAAGGAAAATGAAATATTTAGTAGATGAATATGAGACACAGAGAGAATCAAATCACAGCAAGATTCTATATGTTTTTCCAAGAAAAGGAACAAACATAAATGTTAAATAAATGCAGATTCATATCACTAGTCTATTACTAGGAGTTAGTCAGAAACAGCAATTTTCAAAGGACATGAACAAATAAGATTAGCTATTACAAAATGCTATGCTGATTAGAACAATTTTTGTTCACTGCTATCTCTTACTCTTAAACTTCAGTGCTCACTGGAAAGAATGGCCATTGTTATCATTGTGACTTGACTGATGAGAAATATTGTCTTGGCATGAGAGCTATAGATTTAGAGGGTTAGATGTAATGTCATAGCATGTAAATTGTGGAGGTGGAAATAGATCTGTGTTCTTCCAATTCCCTAGTCATTAAATTGCTGATTAAAATGCTTCTGGGCATGTAGTCCTGTGGAACTTTAATTAGAGACCCCTTTTTCCAACTTAGGATCAATAGAGCCTAAAATAAACCTTACTTTTTCTAAAAAAAAGAAAATGCTATTTTTCATAGCAGTGTTATTATTATTTGTAGTAACAAGATATTGAAAATTATAAATGTTGAATAGAAATTTTTTAAATGTCGTGACTAATCCATATGATGAGGTGGTATGGTTGTTTTGAAACTTATGCTTCCCTTAGACAAGATTCAGGCAAAATTTAAATTCTCCTTTCTGGGAATCTGCCCTCGGAACCTGTTCCACAGAGCAGTAGTTAATGCTGCCATTAACAGTAGGCTTCAGTGTAATTAATGGTACCTATAAAATAAAGAAAAATGGTCTTTTAAAATATTGGAGGGAGGTGGGGAAAAATTGGAAACATTAATATAAAGTTTAAAAGGTTTCTTTACCATATGACTTTGCAGAGTCCTTGATAAATAAAAGTGCATGGTAAATATATAAAAGAAAAATAGTCTGAAGTGTTCTCAAAACATATTTAGTCGTAAACACTTTTTAGTTTGAAGGGAATCTCATGGGAATAGATTCTCATTTGGGGAAAAAACTGCTTTAAAGTGGACCCAGCCAGGCCAGCACATTCCCAATACAACCCTGGTTGCCGATTGCAATTGTAAAATATGCTACAGTCTGAGCTAAAAAAAATTTGATCTTTTTTTTCTTACTCTCTCTGCATAATTGAGGAATATTCCTGCTTTCAGTCTTAGGCACACTGGTAAAATTTATATATATATAAACATATATATACACACACACACACATTTGTGTGTGTGTGTCTGTGTGTATGTGTATGTGTGTGTATATATATGTATATATATATTCCAATAAAGTAATTTGTTTGGTTTCATGTACTTTCATTTGAAAAGTTCAGTCCAAAATAAAAAGTAGGGCTATTTTTCTCTAACATTCACTGGGATTTTGGGATTATGTTCAATGGTTCTATGGGCTTGAAATTTTATTACTTGAATATCCTTGAATATTTTTGAATTAACATATTTATCTTATCTCAGATATACTTTATACTAAATTTAAGCATATTTAACAATTTCTTATGCTCTAGAATTTTATATTTAAGAGAATTCCTTATTTAGGATCATGCTAACTAGTTGGTGCTGCTTTTTCCCATTATTTTTAGTGTCACCAATTTAAGTGAAATGAGATATACTCAGTGTAGTTTTCTCAGGAAGAAAATCAGGTATAATATTAGATATTAAATTGAGCTATCTATAGCATTTATTTTCTAGCTAAGTAACTCTCTAGATATCTGCCTTGGTGAATCTATTTATCTGTTCTTCATGTTCTGCAGTTGAGACTGAAGTCTTATAAAATCTGTGCATTGATTCTCTTTCTCTGCCTAGTCCTTATATGTCAGTGTTTCCTGAAGTTCTGTAAATCAATCTGTGTCTGTAATTGTACATATTGTAAAATTAGGGTTATTTCATCCCTATTCACCTGTAGCCATCTCTGTTCTTCCTCCAAAATGCCAAACACAGCTTTAGCACTTGTTATTCCCTCTTCCTGGAATGTTCTTCCTCCAGAAATTCCCAGAGCTCACACTCTTATTTTATTTGGTATTGCTTCCTTAAAGAGGTCTTCCCTGACTTGCTTTATTTTTATTTTTTATTTTTATTTTTTTTAATTTTTTTTTTTGAGATGGAGTCTCGTTCTTTCACCAAGGCTGGAGTGCAATGACAAGGTCTTGACTCACTGCAACCTCCGCCTCCTGGGTTCAGGCAATTCTCCTGCCTCAGCCTCCTGAAGTAGCTAGGATTACAGGCATGCACTAGCACACCCGCCTAATTTTGGAATTTTTAGTAGAGACTGGGTTTCGCCATTGTTGGCCAGGCTGGTCTAAAACTCCTGACCTCAGGAGATCACCCGCCTCAGCCTCCCTAAGTGCTGGGATTACAGGCATGAGCCACCGCACCTGGCCCTGACTTGCTTTTTATGTTAGTATGCCACCTTGAATTTCTATTCCCTTATAGCATTTCCTTTAAAAAACAACCTAATTGTTAATACTTGACATTATATTACACATTTGTTAATTTTTCTTCTCTCACGAAAATATAAATTAACCAACCACAACCTGATGATCATGAGTATTACCTAACCACCAACTTGATGATCATGAGTATGAAATCTTTTTAACATTTTTGAATATTTTTTACTTTTTTCTATTTTTTTTCCACAGCCCCTGGAGGGAAAATGAGTATGAAATCTTTATCTCCAGCACTGTCTTTCTCTAAGCCTCAGACTCATACTAACCACTGAAAGAGAATTCCAACTGGATTTACCTCTTGAAGGTCAAACTCAATATATCATACACCAAACTAATTGCCTCCCTGACTCTTTTCCATGCTATCACTCTTAGTAATGTCTCCATCCCATTTCAAGAAAAAGTATCACCAATATCCAGTTATTTCAGCCAAATGCTAGTTGTTATCCTTGATCCTATTATTCCCTTTACTACCCTCCAGTTTCACTCTCCCATTTATTCATAAAACAGATATTTTGGGGAACTTAGATTATTTTCTAGACATTGTTCTAGATGCTGGAGATATAGTGACAAAAGTATGTCCCTGCCCTAATGAAATTTGCCTTCTAGTGGAGGAGCAAGAAAATAAACAATATAAGAGAATAGACATTGAAGGATGCATACTAACAAAAAGTAAGCCAGGGAAGACCTCTTTCAGGAAGCGAAGCCAAATAAAGTAAGAATATGAGTTCTGGGGCTTTCTGGAGGAAGAACATTTCTAGGCAGAGGGAAAGCAACTGTTTGAGTCAGTGCATGGCATGTCGAAGGAAAAGGAGAGGTGGCCAGTGTGGCTGGAAAAGTGAGTTATATCCTAAGTGTCATAAAAATGTCCTGGAAATAATTTGATATGAACTTTGAGGCCATCGGATGTTGGGAACAGGCCCCCAAAATCTGGCCATAAACTGGCCCCAAAACTGGCCTTAAGCAAAATTTCTGCAGCACTGTGACATGCTCATGACAGCCTTGACTGTCCCACGCTGGAAGGTTGTGGGTTTACTGGAATGAGGGCAAGGAACACCTGGCCCACCCAGGGCAGAAAACCGCTTAAGGCATTCTTAAATCACAAACAATAGCATGAGGGATCTGTGCCTTAAGGACATGTTCATGCTGCAGATAACTAGTCAGAGCCCAACCCTTTATTTCGGCCCATCCCTTTATTTCCTCTAAGGAATACTTTTAGTAAATCTTATGACTGGCTTGCTGTCAATAAATATGTGGGTAAATCTCTGTTTGAGGCTCTCTGCTCTGAAGGTGGTAAGACCCCTGGTTTCCCACTCCACACCCTATATTTCTGTGTGTGTGTCTTTAATTGCTCTAGCGCCGCTGGGTTAGGGTCTCTGCCACCGAGCTGGTCTCGGCAATTGGAGAATATTTTGAGTATGAAAATCAACAAGTTCTAGAAATTAAAGAGCTTCTCAGAGAACTAAAGTACCAGCAAATGAGACTGGTTAAGGTAGCTTTAGCATTTCTCTCAGCATGACTAAACTTCATACAGACTTCTTTCTGACTCTAGGTTCCTGACCTCCCTTTTCTTAGAACATTTCTTCAGAAAACTTGTAATTGCAAATTATTTCTCTGCCCCTTTGATGTAAATAGTTTTAAAAGCCTCTGGCCAGTTTGACAGCCCAGAAATGTATTTCTCAAGCACCTGGGAGCCATCTCTTTGAAATATAATCCTTAAGATCATTCCCTATCTTCCAGTCTCTGTGGTGCCTAACTCCAGTGCACATCTTGCTCCAAGATGGAAAATGATCTCAGGTCATAATGATGAGAAAGTTTACGTTTCCTTTAGGTAAGGCCAATTAGCAACACAGATGACCGATGATCGCTCTCTTCCCCTAGAATATAAATACACTCCCACCATTTGTGTTGGCTAAGTAGAATTCAGACTTTGTTTTTGTCCGTCTTCTCTCTTGCAATAGCGTTGAAGTCTTCTTTGTTTAATCTGGCCCAGTTCAATGTTTGATTTAACAAGACTAACTACTGACGGTGTGTTTTAAATTGGTAATTATGCTACTTATCATCCCAAAGTATCTACAGGATCTGCTGAACCTGTTGCAATGGGAAGATATATTCACATTTTCAATTTATGTATTACCTATTATCTACTCTGAAAAACACATAGTTTGTGGCTTGGAATATTTTCTACACACTATTATGGAGACACAGACTGTAGCTTAAAATGGTTGGGTGTAGTGTGCCAGCTAAAGTGTTCTCTGATTCCTTGTCTGGACGTTCATCACAGACAAGCCAGACCCTAGATAATAAAGCTGTGCTTATTTTCTCAGTTCATGGTGCTGTCATGGGCAGGATAGACTATTGGAATGCAGAATATGGAGATGAAATGGGGTGAAATAAGATTGGGAGCTAAAAGAAAATTCAGACATATGACATCAGGGCTGATCCCAGGGCAGAGAAAGGGCATGGAAATGGAATCTGGAGATATTTGCTGACCCTCCATGAATAGGCTACAGAGCGACCTTACAGCATGGTCGTAGGTTGAGTAGAGCTCTACAGGCTGCCGTATCACCTCAGGCAAACTTCAATTGCCTTTTCTGTTTTAGCTTTTGTGACTGCACCCCAAATCTGCTTAACTTGTGATGGTGGCAGTGGACCACCTGGAGTGGCCGCTGTGGGGATGCCAGCTGCAGCAGAGGGAGTTGCGTCCAGAGGTGAGTGCTCTGTGGAGCTGGTGGGAGCCGGGAACAGGGATCTCAGTGGGAGCTCTGTGCCCTACTCAGTTGCCAGGGCAGGAGCCCATGTTCCAGGGTGCAGGTGCAACCCACCCAGCCACAGCTCCAGTCCCAGGAATCCCTGTGCTCTCAGGGGCTCAGCAAGCCCCTGCCCTTGCAGACTCAGAAGTACCTGCTCAAACTCCCTGGCCTTTTCCTGCTTCTGGAAGCTGGGGAGTTGTAGCTAAGCCCACGTGCTGTCGCAACCTGGCCAGGTGTGTGTGCACTCGGGGTGGCACTTACACATCAGCCCCCACTGCTGCCTCGGTCCTTTCCAGACTTTGGGTGCCAAAAAGTGCAGGAGGGAGGTGGTGGGGCACAGGCTGAGGGTGGCTCAGCACGGGCCTGCAGAGTTTCCTTGGTGCAGACAGCCTGGGTACTGTGAATGGCATGTTGATGGTGGCTGGAGGCAGACAGGTTCCTAGGTGGGAAGGGGCATATCCCCAGTTAAAACCCACCTTCAAGCCAGAGACAACCTGAAGCCTGGGGGTTGGGCTGCCAGTTCCACATGGAGTCGACAACCAGGAATGAGAACTTTATTAATGCCTTCTGGACAACTGGATGGTGCTCTTTCCAGGCCTGCCCATGGTTGCCCATGGAGCAATCAGCATGCATTTCCTCCATTCTGAGCACTTAAAACCCCAGAATCAGCCAGAATCACACACTTGCTGGGACAACCTGCCTGCAGAAAGAAGCCACTGACTTCAGGTCTCCTGAGAGCTGTTCTGTCTCTCACTAAAGCTCATCACTGCCTTGATTACCCTCTGGTTGTCTGTGTAACCTCATTCTTCCTGGATGTGGGACAAGAACTCAGGACCCACTGAACAGCCGGAGTGAAAGGAGATGTAACAGGAAACGGTTCCTGGCTCACTTGCTTAGCTGCGGGCAGTGACGTGCTCCAAGACTGTGGGAGTGAAGAGCGGTGACCCTTCTGGGGGCTCAGATCTCGGGGTTCCTTAAGCCAGAGATGTTGGAACACTATAGCCCTCCCACCCTTTGCTGGCACCAGGCAGCTGTTCCACATGACAGGAAGCAGCAGTGGGGCCAGGCCAGTCCAGGAGCTGGGGGATGGAGCAGGATGGCAGGATTGAAAGAGCTGTAACATGAATTGGCTGAAGCATGCCAGCACCCTCGACCCCAACAACTTCCCACTTGCCACACTGTGGGCAATAAGAAGGAGAGAACCACAGTTCTGTAACACAATGGATTTCATAAGAAGGAAGAGTAATTAATGACCTTCATGATTTATTTTAATTAAAATATTGTCATATTAAAAAATGTTATTCTCTGAACATCCTACCATGTATATATCACACTATTGAAATCTATTTAAAATTTTTCTAACCAATAATTTAATTCAGTTTGTAACAACTAATTTATCCAGTGACTATTATATCCAGGTTGTGATGCATACTTCAGGACTCATGAACATTAAGGTTCTAACACCCAGTGTTTTGTGAGAGTAGTAACACTTCTTTGCCATTGCTTTGGTCAAATGGCAGAAATCAAACTCTAGTGGAATGAGTAAGGTTTTCGAAGATACTTGAACAGAAATGAGTCCATCCAGAATAAATGAGAAGAGAACAGTGTCACAGTGCAGTCTTAGCAGAATAGATGTGCTTCATGTAACTTGGTGTCCAAAATGGAGAAGTGGCAGAGATGACTCTGGTTGATTCCATGGTTTTCCAGGTCTTAGACTGATCTGTGGGTTACATACAATTTATCTTTAAGAAATTTTTTTTATAGTGTGCTTTTCTTTTTAGTTAGACAAATCTTGCTTTGGAGAATAAAAAGTTACATTTATTCTTTAAATTTTAACAACTAATACTCATTTCTATTTCAATAGGTTTCATTGCATTTATCTTCACATGTCAGTTCTGCAGATAGTCACAGAAACATAATAGTGGAAGATAACTGAAATTAAATGGGCTGGCTTTATCTGCTCTGTCCATGCCTAGCAGGATCACATTAAATGAGTCTTTGAGCAGCTGTCTTTCAAGAATATGTTGATTGATGACTGAAAAGATGATAAAAACGCATATTCTTGCCTTTATTTATTGTAATCACTATGTTGAAAAGTAGATTTCTTTCACAAAGAATCCCTGATTTTTAGGATTCTTAATATTAAAAAGTGCAACAAAACCCAAACATAGTTTATTTTTCTAGGTCAAAGCACTAACATATATTTCAGCTAAGTTGAAAAAATATGAAAAAAATGATTGAAAATACAATATGATTAAAACAGAATTATTTTTACTTGAGATAAAAGCATTTAAGGTACTAATATGCCCAAGACCAGTGGAGAAACACTGATTGCTTTTGTAAGTACTAAGATATATATAATTTAAAACATCAATTCCCAATGCAATGTTAATAATAAAAAGGTAAACTGTAATAGTACAGTATTCGCATGCCAATAAAAAGCAAAAGATAATTTCATAATCAATTGGAGTTTGAAAGGGAGGAAAACAAGAATAGGAAAAGCAGGATAAATAAAGATAGTAGAAATAAATCTAAATACATTTATAATAAAATAAATATAAATAGACCAAACTAATCTATTAAGTGACAATACTTTTCTGAGTAGGTTTTTAAAAAATCAAGCCATATATTTTTTGTTTTTTTTTGAGACAGAGTCTCACACTGTCACCCATGCTGGAGTGCAGTGGCACAATCTCAGCTCATTGCAACTTCCGCCCTCCCAGGTTCAAGTGATTTTCCTCCCTCAGCTTCCTGAGTAGCTGGGATTACAGGCGCCCGTCACCACACCCAGCTAATTTTTGTATTTTTTGTAGACACTGGATTTTGTCTTGTTGGCCAGGCCGGTCTTGAACTCCTTACCTCAGGTGATCCACCCGTCCCTGCCTCCCAAACTGCTAGGATTACAGGTGTGAGCCACCGTGCCCAGCCAAGCCATATACTTTTGAAAATACAAAGGAACTTCAGCCTGAAAAAAAATAACAAAAAAAGATATACCAGTAGAATGTAGTAGAATGATTTATAATCCTTTGGGTATATACCCAGTAATGGGATTGCTGGGTCAAATGGTATTTCTGGTTCTAGATCCTTGAGGAATCGCCACACTGTCTTCAACAGTGGTTGAACTAATTTATACTCCTACCAATGGTGTAAAAGTGTTCTTATTTCTCCACATCCTCTCCAGCATCTTTTGTTTCTTGACTTTTTAATGATCATCATTCTAACTGGTGTGAGATGGTATCTCATTGTGGTTTTGATTTGCATTTCTCTAAAGACCAGTGGTGATGAACTTTTTTTCACATGTTTGTTGGGTGCATAAATGTCTTCTTTTGAGAAGTATCTGTTTATATCCTTTGCCCACTTTTTGATGGGGTGGTTTGTTTTTTTCTTGTAAATTTAAGTTCTTTGTAGATTCCGGTTATTAGCCTTTTGTCAGATGGATAGATTGCAAAAATTTTCTCCCATTCTCTGGGTTTCCCTGTTCACTCTGATAATAGTTTCTTTTGCTGTGCAGAAGCTCTTTAGTTTAATTAGATCCCAATTGTCAATTTTGGCTTCTGTTGCCATTGCTTTTGGTGTTTTAGTCATAAAGTCTTTGCCCATGCGTATGTCCTGAATGCTGTTGCCTAGATTTTCTTTTAGGGTTTTTATGGTTTTTTAGGTCTTACATTTCAGTTTTTACTCCATCTTGAGTTAATTTTTGTATAATGTGTAAGGAAGGGGTCCAGTTTCAGCTTTCTGCATATGGCTAGCCAGTTTTCCCGTCATCATTTATTAAATAGGGCATTCTTTCCCCATTGCTTGTTTTTGTCAGGTTTGTCAAAGATCAGATGGTTGTAGATGTGTGGTGTTACCTCTGAGGCCTCTGTTCTGTTTCATTGGCCTATCTGTCTGGTTTGGTACCAGTACCATGCTGTTTCGGTTACTGTAGCCTTGTAGTATAGTTTGAAGTCAGGTAGCATGATACCTTTGGCTTAGGATTGTCTTGGCTATATGAGCTCTTTTTTGGTTCCATATGAAATTGAAAGTAGTTTTTTCTAATTCTGTGAAGAAGGTCAGTGGTAGCCTGATGGGGTTATCAGGCTACTTTGGGCAGTATGACCATTTTCACAATATTGATTCTTCCTATCCATGAACATGAAATGGTTTTCCATTTGTTTGTGTCCTCTTTTATTTTATTAAGCAGTAGTTTGTAGTTCTCCTTGAAGAGGTCCTTCACATCCCTTGTAAGTTGTATTCCTAGGTATTTTATTCTCTTTGTAGCAATTGTGAATGGGAGTTCACTCATGATTTGACTCTCTGCTGTTTATTATTGGTGTATAGGAATGCTTGTGATTTTTGCACATTGATTTTGTATCCTGAGACTTTGCTGAAGTTGCTTATCAGCTTAAGGAGATTTTGGGCTGAGATGATGGGGTTTTCTAAATATACTACCATGTCATCTACAAACAAAAACAATTTAACTTCCTCTCTTCCTATTTGAATACGCTTCATTTCTTTCTCTTGCCTGATTGCCCTGGCCAGAACTTCCAATACCATGTTGAATAGGAGTGGTGAGAGAGGGCATCCTTGTCTTGTGCTGGTTTTCAAATGGATTGCTTCCAGTTTTTGCCCATTAAGTATGATATTGGCTATGGGTTTGTCATAAATAGCTCTTACTATTTTGAGATATGTTCTATCAATACCTAGTTTATTCAGAGTTTTTAGCATGAAGGCCGTTGAATTTTGTTGAAGGCTGTTGAATTTTGTTGAAGGCCTTTTGTGCATCTGTTGAGATAACCATGTGGTTTTTGTTATTGGTTCTGTTTATGTGATGGATTGATTACGTTTATTGATTTGCTCATGTTGAACTAGCCTTGCATCCCAGGGATGAAGCTGACTTCATCATGGTGGATAAGCATTTTGATGTGCTGCTGGTTTCGGTTTGCCAGTATTTTATTCAGGGTTTTTGCATCAATGTTCATCAGGGATATTGGCCTGAAATTTTCTTTTTTGTTGTGTCTCTGCCAGGTTTTGGTATCAGGATGATGCTGTCCTCAGAAAATGAGTTAGAGAGGAGTCTCTCTTTTTCTATTGTTTAGAATAGTATCAGAAGGAATGGTACCAACTCCTTTTTGTACCTCTGGTAGAATTTGGCTGTGAATCCGTCTGGTCCTGGACTTTTTTTGGTTGGTAGGCTATTACTGCCTTAATTTCAGAATTTGTGATTGGTCTACTCAGCGATTCGAGTCCTTCGTGGTTTAGACTTGGGAGGGTGCATGTGTCCAGATATTTATCCATTTCTTCTAGATTTTCTAGTTTATTTGCATAGAAGTGTTGATAGTATTCTCTGATGGTAGTTTGTATTTCTGTGGAATCAGTGGTGATTTCCCCTTTATCATTTTTTATGGCATCTATTTTATTCTTCTCTCTTTTCTTCTTTATTAGTCTTGCTAGCGGTCTATTTTGTTGATATTTTGAAAAAACCAGCTCCTGGATTCATTGATTTTTTTGAAGGGTTTTTGGTGTCTCTGTCTCCTTCAGTTCTGCTCTGACCTTAGTTAACTTTGGGATTTTTTAAATGCTTAAAGATGGCCATACTTATAAATAGCCAATTGTTCAAAGATGATATCACAATATAAATAAGAAATGTAGAGATGTAGACAATTGTATTTGATTTAAATGCTTATACTATTAAAAAAATAAAAATTAACGAGCTAAGTGTCTGACTTAAGATGGTGGAAAAAGAATAATGGAATAAAACTCTAGGAAGATGAAGAAAGGTAATGCCAACATACATAGATTTGAATTAGAAAACCAAGATATAATATGAAGTGTTAATAAACTCAAAAGTTGGTTATTTGAAAAGAATAAAAATAGACAAAACTCTGCAAAATTTATTTGAAAACATAAATTTAACAATGGATAAAATAATTATAAGATAGAAGTCTATAAACTCCTATAAAAATTATAGGAAAATCATATGAAAAAATTTATGTCAATAAAATTGGAAATCTATCTTAAATAAACTTTGAATTAAAACATGTATACACCAAAATTAAGTTGAATTTATTGAAGATAGGAAAAGTGACTGGTTATGTAATTCATCTCAACAGTAGAATTTCAAGAAACAAATACTTTGTTGTCAGCCTCTATAGATGCCTAACAATATTGGATAAAATGTATAACTCATTAATGATACAAGAATCAACACTTTAGCAAACTATTAATAAAACAGAATTTTCTAAATTTGATAAAGTACAGGTATTTTCCAAAAACTGCTTAAGTATCACCACAAATTGTGAAATAATAAAAGTATCTCCTTTAAATTTAAGAATAATCAAAACAAATCTGCTCTTATGGGTTTTATTTGTTAGGCTAGGCAGCACAAAAATATAAAAGTAAATATTTAAAAGTTAGAAATAACTAGAAAGAATAAAGAAATCTGTCACCATTTACAAATTATATGATTACTTGTATTTTTAAAAACTCAGAACAATTGACAAATTGTTGGAATTAACAAAAGCTCATGAAGTTTGCTATATATTTTGCCTGTATAAGCCTAAATCAATCATATTGTGCATACTAACAACTGACAAATAAAAATATAATAAATATATGTCATTTCCAGTAGTAATAGCAACTTTAAAATACATAAGAATAAACTTCACAACAGATCTATTGAGTTGTTTGAGTTCCTTATATATGTTGGATATTAACCCTTTATCAGATATGGTTTGAAAGCACTTTATCCCATTCCGTGGGTTCTCTTAAGTCTGTTGTTTCATTTGCTTTGTAGAAGGTTTTTGGTCTGATGCCAATCAGATTTGTCTGTGTTTACTTTTGTTGCCTGTGCTTTCAGGTTCATATTAAAAAACTCTTTGCTAAAACAAGTGATAAGAGGCATTTACCCTCTGTTTTCTTATAATGGTTTTACAGTTTAAAGTCTTAAGTCTTTAACCTATTTTGAGTTGATTTTTATATATGTTCTGAGATAAAGGTCGAATTTCTTTCTTCTGCATGTGTATATCCAACTCATGCATCACTGTTTATTGATGAGTCTGCCTTTCCAGTCTGTGAATTTTGTTGATTTTTAGTAGTTCTATATATGGATTTTTGTATCTGAAAGACAAAAATAAGAATTGAAAGAGAAAACATCTCCAGGTGAATATGTAAATGAAGCTATTATAACTAAGAGGAAAAAACGATGATGATTATTCAAAAGACTTAGCAATAGGCCGGGCGTGGTGGCTCACACCTGTAATCCCAGCACTTTGGGAGGCCAAGGCGGACGGATCACTAGGTCAGGAGATCGAGACCATCCTGGCTAACACAGTGAAACCCCGTCTCTACTAAAAATACAAAAAATTAGCCGGGTGAGGTGGTGGGCGCCTGTAGTCCCAGCTACTCCGGAGGCTGAGGCAGGAGAATGGCGTGAACCCCGGGGGGCGGAGCCTCAGTGAGCCGAGATTGTGCCACTGCACTCCAGCCTGGGCCACAGCAAGACTCCGTCTCAAAAAAAAAAAAAAAAAAAAAAAGGCTTAGCAATAAAAGTCTTAAATTGGTATTAATAAAGTAATTATATTCCCAGCACGATTTTCATTCAATTTGTTTCTAAACACCCATATTAACTGAACAATGCTGATTTGAAGAGTTAGACCCCCAAGGGATAAAAAAAAGCTTTAGTATAGCATGTCACTTTGTACTGATAGTGAAAGCACATGTATGGCTTGGCAAATTGCTAGAAAAAATCAAAGAAATTTCATATCACCATAATATTTCCCATATTACGTGAATCATTGCAGAAAAGGGAGACAGATATTTCATAAAATGTCACACTATAGCGATGTGAAGAATTGCTGATTCAATTTTTGAAAACTTGCATGAGTGTCATATTGAGGTAAAGTTTAAAACTATACAAATTCAGGAAATTTAAAAATAATTTTTGAAAGTCTGCATATGATTTCTTGTTTATACTTGATGGATTTTTTTTTTACAACCCTGCTTATCTTTATCTTGTGAAAATTAGGCCTCCAGCTTAAAGTACCAAAAGACTCATCCATGTTGAATGTGTGCCTCAGGGCTTTATCTCAACAGGAAAGAATTCTTGACAAACAAAGCACAGTAGTTCTGTGCTGGAAAATGAAAACAGCAGCAGTGGATGCTGTATCCGACAGTGTACTCACTAAAATACAAACTGTTAGTAAGATAACCAGGTCATGAGAAATTTCTAGCACTGGCTGGCTGAATATCTATGCTGCTGCTGCTTTTAAGGTAAGTAATATGTCAGGACTACAAAGCCTCTTTTAGCAAAGGAATACAGATGTGGAGTAATGTTTCCCAGTTTTCCCTGATCCATATAGACTGACTGAATAAAATATAGTCTTAAAGATGCTTACTTATTTGTATGCACTATTAAAAAATAAAGAAGTGACATAAATAATTGCTCCCCATAGTGTCTTATTTGTTCTTCCAGAGTAGGATGCTCTACCCTATGGTACCATCCTCAGGATGGCATGGCTATGAAGAGTCTGAGACTATAACTGGTGTTGTGAGAGTACTAGCTCTATTATTTCACCCTGTAATGGGTTTTTCTTTTTCCCTTGAAAAGCATTAAACTATAAAATTTCTTACAGATAGATTCCTTGTCTTATTCAACCTTGTACTAGTCACAGTGCCCATGTAGTGCTTTGAATGACACTAGGTAACCTAAAATTACTTATTAAATTAATAAATGAATAAAATTATCTGCCATTTCCCCCTGTCTGGAGCCCATTCCATTGATATTTTCTTCATTATTCAAAGTTAAAACTTGTTTTTGAGAGTTTTGTGCTGGCTAGCTAAATGTGTTACTACAGCCAGGACTTTGATCTTTGATCAATGAATTTCCCCCACTTTAAGGGGAGACTCTCCAATAGGCAGGTTTTAATCATTAGTAATAAGCAACCCCAATAGGAACATTCCTTGATAATTCAAATTGTGTTCATCACAAGGGCTTATCTTTCAGCATGCCTGTTTAGGTGTATGTAAGTTCAATACTTAGCAAGGGATGAAGTGTCTTAAAGGTTTCGCAGGGCTCAAAGTAATTCATCTAAACTTTTCCTTCTCAAGATCTCCTCTCTATGTCAAAAGCTCCTTCCTTCACCTTTAATGAGAACATATCTGAAGGTATAAACCTCTTAACTCTCTCTGTATCTCATACAGAGACCATTAGAGACCATTTTGGCCAAGAAATAAAATAATTATTGGTGCAGCACATGCACTCAGATCTTATTCTATTTTGGGAATAATGTGAAATAAGGTGTCTTTCCCTATTTTTAGATAATAAAACCCACCCTTCATATTATGCTTCTTAAATAACAGATGTATCCCGCACATATTTAAAATTTAAAAAAATGAGGGACTATCAAATTAGAATTTTATCCCTAACAAACTGAAGATACTTACAAACATATCAACTCATTCATATATTCATTCAGTCAATAGTTATGCATACATGTGCTCTACATAGATAAATATATATGTATGTATATAAAAATTTCCATTTATAAGTAAATGTTCCTATTTCTCCCACATTGTTTCTTTTCCTCATTTGTTTTCCCAAGAGGCAAATAAATATGTTACCACATTTTGTTTATATACTTTCCATTATATTCTATGCATATACAAACATCCACACATAATACATATTATGCAAATCTTATAATTTATAAAATAGTATACTAGAATATTACTGCACATCTTGATTTTTTCCTTACTTATATAACCTTGGCATTAATTCATATAACTATTTATAAAACTGATCAGTCTTTTCAAAGATCATAGTATTTTATTACATGGATTACTATAATTTTCTTAACTCAGATTTTCCTGATGGACATTTAGACTTTACGATTAAAATAGCTATTATCAACATGCAACCTCATAGACTCATTTCTCCTGCTTATATTTTATTTTGAAGTAACACATGCTGATTTACATTTGAACATGTATGACTCCTTATATATGACTATGGAATGAGGCTATACGATTGCTGTAATATTTTATAAGTAAAACAGTGCCTACTTTTAATGAAACATAATTTTCAAACTTGAGGGATTATAAAGATAAAAGAGAGTTTTCCTTTTACCTTAACATAAACATGAAGCATGTATTTTGTGACCCAAATTTCACTCTCTCCATAAGCATGAGAACAGAAATTATGCATAATATATAATCAGAAACGTACTTACATAGGTTTGTGACATTTAGGAAACATCTTTCATTTTTTAAAAGTTATTACAGTATGTATATGTGACCTTCCCCAAAGCAGACTCTGAGATAAACATTCATGTACAAGCAAGTTGTGAGAATCACTGCCACATGAAATCAATAAAAAATAACAGGACAGGGAAAGAGGAACAGCCAAATGGTCACAAAGATAAGACAATTCCTAGCATCAACTTACTTCAAAAGAGCTATTGAGCACAAGTCATGCCGTAAGGAAAGGGAGCTAAGCTTTCTTATTTTCACAAGGGAAATGCAGACTCCCAGGAATTTCTGACTATAATGAGGGCTGAAGCCTCTCTAGGAGTCAAGGGGCAATCTTCTGAGGAAGTTTGCAAGCGTGAAGCATTAAAAGGATAAAATACAAAAGCTGGGGAATGAGTGCACAGATTCCTGGATGTTCTGTTCTATTTCTTCTCCTTTGTTTTCCTCTTTGGATTTCCGTTTGGGGAGGTTTTACTGACATGTCATCAAGTTCACTGATCCTGTCATTGGCTGTGTCTAGTTCACTGACCAGCCTATCAAAGGCATTTGTCATTTGTGTTACAATGTTTTTTATCTCTAGTATTTCCTTTGATTCTGAGAAGTTCTCTCTCCACTTACATTACCAATCTGTTCTTGCACCTTGTCCACTTTTTCAATTAGAGCTTTTAACATATTAATCCTGGTTATTTTAAATTCCCAGTCTGCTAATTCTAAAATCTCTGCCATATCTGAGCTTTGTTCTGATTTTGTGCTGTCTCTTCAGACAATTTGTTATCATGACTTTTAGAATGCTTTGTCATTTTTGGTTGAAAGCCAGACATGATGTATCAGGTAATAGGAACTGAGGCAACTGGGCCTTCAGAGTGAAGTTTTATGCTTATCTGGCTAGGAGTTAGTCTGTGTTTCATGTTTGTTGTAGTTGTAAGAGTTAGGGACTTGAAGTTCCTCTAAGATCCTTGCTTTTGTCTCTCTGTTTTCTTTGGATTTCCCTAGAAACTCCTTTGTAATTAGTCTTTGTTCTGTAAGTCTGTTATAATCCATGAGTGTTTTACTGTAGCCAAGTTACTGGCTTTAGTGGCTTCTGATCCCAGTAAGCTGTGATCCTCTGTATTTACCTGTCTCTCCATTTTTGAGGGCAGTGGTTTCCCTGTGATCTTAATTCTTTGAAGGGTTTAGGAAGATTTGTTTTTCTGTTTTCAGCCCTTTTTTTTGTGTGGACAGAGTGATACAAGTGATTACAAACTCGTTACATATTGGAGTGGAAAACGGAGGTTCTGTTGAGGAATTTTACATCTAGGTACATGAAGAATATTGACCTATAATTTATTTTTCCTAGAATGTCTTTTTCTGTTTTCCTTATCAGTATAATACAACTTCATGGAATGAATTGTGATGTTTTCCCTCCTCATATAATTTTTAGAAATAATATTGGTTGAATAAATATTATTTCTTTTTTTAAATGTTTGATACAGCTCACCAGAGAATAAAACTAGGCCTGGAGTTCTTTGTGGCAAAATTTTTAATGATAAACAATTTCTTTTATAGGTATAGGGCTATCCAAGTTTCTATTTCATTCAGTATCAATTTTCAGACTTCTAATTAATTAGTCCATTTCATTCAAGTTGTCACATTTCTTGGCATGAATATCCATATAAACAGTTATTGTATTATTCATCTGATGTTCTGGGATACATAGTGAGATCTGTTTTATTTTGAATATTTGTAATTTGTTTCATTCCTTTCTTGATTAACCTACCTAGAGTTTATCAAATTCATTGATATTTTTAAATCTAAAACTTGTACTTTTATTAATTTTCTCTGTCATTTGTTTGTTTTAATTCTATTATTTATATTCTCATCTTTATTAGTCTCTTCTTCCTACTTACTTTGCATTGAATTTGATTACTTTTTCTATTATCTCGAGAAAAATTTAAATAATTGATATTAGACCGTTACTATTTTCATAAAAATTTGGCACTATAAAATTTCTTTTAAGCACTGCTTTACTTGCAAAATATATCACAAATCTAAATACATGTTTTTATTTTTATTAAATTCAAACTATTTGCTAACTTATCTTGTGATTTCTTCTTTGACAAGGAGTTTATTTGGTAATGTGTTGCTTAATTTTCAAGTGATTGTGGATTTTTCAGTTATCTTTTTATTGTCAATTTTAAATTTATTCATTTTGTAGTAAAAGAACATATTTCTAATGATTTCAAAATGTGTGAGACTTAGTTACACCGTCTACCAAATTATCTATCTCAATGTGTGTTTTCTGTGTACTTAAAAAGTAAGAGTACTTTTTCTGTTGTTGATAGAATGTTTCTGGATTTCCACTGGGTCAATTTGGTTGATAATTCTATTCCACTCTTCTAGATCTTTATTTATTTTCTTTCAACTTGTATCAATTACTGAGAGTAATTAAGAGTGCCGATATCTCAAGTATATCTGTTTGTCCATTTACTTCTCTGTTAATTTTTCCTTCATGTATTTTGACAGTATTTCCACTTTATTTATATGAGCTATATATTTTTTCTATGCCTTCAAGAAAAATCCCATCAGCTCCAGGGTCCTTGACTACAGCATTAAAACTAGGTAACAGGAAAGTGCTCCTATATGACAAAATTTATCTTACCCAACTTTATATTCTAACACTCTGGTTCCGCATCCTCAATATCTACCTCTGGCTTTTGTCAGTACGTATTAATCAGGCCCTATAGCTCATTTGTAAGTAATTCTCTTTGTCCCTTACCAGGGACACGATTTGCCTAATTGTAACATGAAGTGCTTTGACACTACTACCTTTCTCCTGACACTGAGAGTTTGTGTGGAAAGATTCTGAGGAGGAAAGCATTAAGAAAACCAAGCATTAATTACATCCCTTACATCCCTTTTGCAGTCTTCCTGCAAAGGAGAAACCAATTCTGGCCCCTACCAAGGTGGTGGGATACTTTTTTTTAGGCAAGCAGGTGAATAAGAATGGGAGTTTGATGTTCTTAATTTCATCAACCCAGACCTTCCCGTTTGAAGTCTCAGAGTCTCACTCCTTCCCTATCAAGATGAAAAGTCTCTGTAGGAGATTTATTGCAATTTAAAATGTATTTCTATCAAATTTTGCCATTCTTAAAATTGAGTTCCAAGCCTGTTGGCCCTCTCTTTTCAGGAAATGAGGGTTTTTTGTTTGTTTGTTTGCTTTGCCTTTTTTTTAAACGGAGTCTCGCTCTGTTGCCCAGGCTGGAGTGCAGTGGTGCGATCTCGGCTCACAGCAACCTCTGCCTCCCGGGTTCAAGGGATTCTCCTGCCTCAGCCTCCCAAATAGCTGGGATTACAGGCACTGCCACCACTCCCGGCTAATTTTTTGTATTTTTATGGAGATGAGGTTTCACCATGTTGTCCAGGCTGGTCTTGAACTACTGACCTCAGGTGATTCACCCACCTTGGCCTCCCAAAGTGCTGGGATTACAGGTGTGAGCCACTGTGCCCGGCCAGAAATGAAGGTTTCTTTGTATCTTAGGTTGGAAATTGATCAGAACTTGCCATTTGTTATTTTCAATACGTAAATCATACCTAACAACAACAAACTGATTCCAGAGTCCTCATGCTTATCATTTCCCCCAGTATCTCTCAAATGCCAGAAAAGTGGCAGCATAAAAACCAGTGCAGTCCCTTCTGCCTGTTATTATATCCAATTTATCACAGGTGAAAGTCTCATCCACTACAGTGATATATTATGTCAGGGCTATCAACACCTTATCTATTACAAATGATGAGGATCTTTATTGCTATTTGGGCAATGAGTGAGCCAGCATCATTTTGTCGTTCATGCAGGCTGTTTCCTAGAACCAATTTTGTTATTTATTCTCTTAGGTATCAGAAATAGACCTTAAGATAAAGATCCTAACGCAAGTGAGTTATTGAAGAGACACAGGAGCTGGGTAACTATGTTTTATGAGTCTTTTCTGAAATAGCCAACATAACATTGCAACAAAGAAATAAAGAATGGCATCCTCATGTGCTGTACTATTTTTTTTTATTTATATTTTCTTTTTTTTTTTTTTTTCAACTTTTAAGTGCCAGGGTACGTGTGCAGGGTGTGCAAGTTTGTTACACAGGTGAATTTGTGGCATGGTGGTTTGCTGCACAGATAACTCATCACCTACGTATTAAGCCCAGCATCCATTAGCTGTTCTTCCTAATGCTCTCCCTCCTGCCACGTACCACCTCCCAAAAGGCCCCCATGTTGTTCCCTTCCATGTGTCCCTGTGTTCTCATTGTTCAGCTCCTGCTTTCGCTTGTTTTTCTGTTTCTGTGTTTGCTGAGGATAAAACAGCTTCCAGCTCCGTCCATGTCCCTGCAAAGGACGTGATTTCCTTCCTTTTCATGGCTGCATAGTATTCCATGGTGTATGTGTACCACATTTTCTTTATCCAGTCTATCATTGATGGGCATTTGGGTTGATTCCATGTCTTTGATATTGTGATTAGTGTTGCAATGAACGTACATGTGCATGTATCTTTATAATAGAATGATTTATATTCCTTTGGGTATATACCCATGAGATTACTGGGTCAAATGGTATTTCTGTTTCTAGATCTTTGAGGAATCGCCACACTGTCTTCCACAATGGTGGAACCAATTTACACTCCCACCAATAGTGTAAAAGTGTTTCTTTTTCTCTGCAACCTTACCAGCATGTGTTGTTTCTTGACTTAATAATCACCATTCTAACTGGCGTGAGATGGTATCTCATTCTGGTTTTGATTTGCATTTCTCTAATGATCAGTGATGTTGAACTTTTTTCCATATGTTTATTGGCTGCACATATATCTTCTTTTGAGAAGTGTCTGTTTATGTATCTTGCCCACTTCTTAAAGGGGTTGTATTTTTTTGTATTACCAATAAGCCAGTTTCCTTTTTAATATAGTATAATACTATACCCATTCCTTTGCAGAACCTCTCTTCCAAAGACATTGAATGAACATGTAATCCAGCCCTATCCAACTATGTCATTACATCATCACTCTGGTACAGTGAATGACCCAGAAACTGCCACAGAACACATATAAAGTTGATTGAAGTCCTCCAGAGTGCTAGGAAAAAGAAGGAGGCTTAATTACTGACTCTATGGAGATATTCTAGTCTGAGACATCTATGAGAATTCCTCCCTTTTGTACCATATTAAGAAAAAGAAAATGTAGCTTAACACAGAAAGAATTAAAACTGAGAGATGGAGAGTTCCTGTGGTAACAATTGTGCCCTAGATCCAGGCCCATTTCACTGATTACTTTACAAGTATATGGGCCAAAACATTCTAGTTTTTAAATCTCTGTATAAGCTTGTGTTAATTAAAAGTGAAGGGTGAGATTATTTCTCTTAATAAACTGAAAGTATTAATATAATGAATTATAAAAAATGAAAAACACAAAAGAAATCCAGAAGAAAATCAAATAATTTATTTAAAATTATGAAATAAAAGTTACTAACTTAGTGTTAGAAAACTGGCAAAAATATCCTCCAAATATGGAAATAAAATTAAAAAGTTTCGGACAAACAAAAATAGAGAAAATTTTCAATGAACAGACTAGAATTAAAATAAATGCTTACGGATGTTTTTGAGGAAAAGATGAATGTTTCCAGACATAAACAAACAGAGGAATGAATAGACAGCAGAATACATAGTAAATATGCAGATAAATTTAAATAAATTTTAATTGTGCAGAATAATAAGGAAAGTGTCATCAAAGTTAAAAATTTGATTAAATATGTCAAAAATAGTGCAAATATGAGATCGGGCTAAGGTAATTAAAATGTTTTAAAATCCTTATGTTGTCTGAGAAGTAATAAAAGTACTAATCTGTAATAGGTGCTAATAAATCAAGATTTTATGTTGTAATCTTTAGAGCAACCACTAAAGAATAGTAAAGGAATGTACAAATGACAAGAAAATAAAGCCGAAGATTGAAAAATATTATTTGATTATTTCAAAAGAAACTAGACAAGAGAGAAAAGACAATGTAAAACAAATAGGAAAAATAAAAGGCAAATGGTAATACAGGAGATACAGACTCAAATATTTCAATAATTCCATTAAATATTAAGGAGTAAATGCTCCAAGTAAAAGTGTAAAACTCACAGACCCATTGAACAAAACAAAGCCAATTATGTACAGCTTATGTGAGACATACCTTAAAGTAATAGAAGAGAAAAATGAGAATAAAGAGACTACAATAAAGATACACCAAGAAAACATCGTCTTATAGCAAGCAAACACTATCTCGCCTCATCCATTACCCGTCTCCCCAAATGGTGTTATTATATAATTTCAGATAAAATTGACTTTAAATCCAAAAGCCTTATTAAAAATGTACATGCCCTAGTAGTATACACCAGCAACATGTGAACTGTGCTCCATCTCCTGTTTTTATAAATAAATTTTTATTACAACACAGGCACACCAATTTATTTTTATATATTATACATGGTTGTGTTTATGCTAGATGGCAGAGTTAAGTAGTCGCAACAAAAACTATATGTACCACAAAGCATACAATTGTTATTATCCAGTCCTTTACAGAAAAATGTATGTTCAAAATACATATATTATAAAAGTAAAGAACTAGACAAAAAATAGATAAGCCCACAAACATTTTGTTAGACTTTTAATGTATCACTTTCATAAAAATTAAAGAATCACTACGGATAAGGAAGATTTGAACAAGCAAACAATGAAACAACTAATTTCTATATTAAGAACACAACACTCAAAACCTAGAGTTTTTTTTCAGGTAGATGTAAATGGAATTTAGCAAATGTTAAAGGGTTGAAATAATACTGCACATATTCTAACCACAATGAAGTCAGGTAACAAAAATAATTGTAAAATCTTCAAATGTTTAAAAATTAAACAATATTCCATGCATCAATGAAGTCACAAGTGAAATAGTAAAATCATTTGTAATAAATAATAATGAAATTATTGCAAGTTATTACATATCACAATTGGTTGAATTAATCTCAAACCATAGAAATTTATAATGGTAAATGCATACATTAGAAAAGGATGAAAGAAAATCAGCCATATGAGCATCCATCTCAGGGAGTTAGAAAAATAATTGTAAGTTAAATGCAAAGAAGTAGATGGAAGGAAATAATAAGAGACTATGTTAGTAAAATGTAACACAGATAGAGAAAATTAATAGTCACTTATAAATGGGAAGGATACTTCAAAGACCCCACGGATGTTGATGAGACCACAAAGAGCTGATAGAATTTTATGACAAAAAAATTGTAACTTTATTTGAAGTGGAGGCATTTGCAGAAAAATACAACTGACCAAAATCGACACAGGAAAAAATAGATCAGATCTATGAAAGGCAATGCTTCCATTAAAGACATTGAATCTGCGTTTAACATTTTTTTCTCAAGAAATCACTAGACAGGATGGATGGCTTCAAGTCAGTGGCCTGACTTTCATGTGCACATTTTCAGAGAGCCTGATATATGCTTAGAATACTGTTGGAAGTTAATTTTTAAAATAGAGATGCTTTGTGTTTTTGCAATACGGTAGGGTACTTTTGTTGGGTGACTAATCTATTGAATGTATTTAGTATCCATCACATATAAACACCCTCAGTAAGGCGAAATTTTGATGTGTTGCTTTTCTAGAATGAAGAACACCTTTTTTATTAATGTAAATCACAAAGGGAGAAAAAAATTACCGAATTATGGATGTTGTTGAAATTTGAATACAAATAAAACTATATTGTGTATTTTATTTCATTTTCTTTTTCTTATTTATTAAAAGTAATGGCGAAAACTGCAATTACTTTTGCACCAACCTAATATTATAGGCTAGGTAAAGCCAAATTATAAGAATTTTATTCTTTTTTGTTTGCACTTTTCCTTTTCTGGCAAATGATATGAATTAAAGACATTTAATGATCTTAAAATTCATATGTGATTAAATAAATATTGTTTTATGACTGGTCTTTAACAAATGACATTTAGTGATGCTGGCTGCCTCATCAAATAACTTATCTGCTGTGTAACCATAGCATTAGATTATAGCACTGGAAATATTTACAGGTGTCAGAAGATCCTCTTTCTTCATACATAAGGCAGAACACCAAAGCAATAATATGTTTTTATTATAGCTTTTCCTCTCATTAAATCGCTTGATTGTCATTTTTCTTTATTTGAAAATATTGATTATTCAAAAAGGTGCTTCAAATTTACCAAGCATTCAGTGACTGAAGTGGGAGAGTGGTCATGAGTATAGTTTGGAAGAACCACATTCTGGAGGGACATTTCTGAAATTTGCTAGGACTCAATAAACATTTTATTATATGGAGAAATGTCTATTTTCTCTTATAACCTAAAACAGAGCCAGCCTTAAACATAGGCAGAATCAATAATTATTTCTACTGTACAGATGAAATAATTTAAAGGAATTGCCTGAAACTTCAGTTTTGATCACCCACCCATAATTTTCTCTCACAATATTCTCATTTACTCATCCAGGATCTGAATACCAAATGATTTGCATTTAAAGAATTAGTAAAGTAGAATCATGGTGTTAGATAAGGTTAAGCCATGACAAATATAGAAATAGAATCGTGATTGGCTACCAAGAATCATTTTAAAAATACATGAGCACATCTTTAGACACAGAAAATAGCCCACTGGGGGAGGAGATAAAAAAGCAAATCAAATGTACCTGAATGATCACAGTGTTAATTCTGTCGAGAAGGATAAGGTCCCATAGCTGGCATTGTTGGCACCACGTTTAGATCTTGAAGCACCAGCTCCATGCACCATCCCTCAGGGTCTAAATCCTTGGCTGTAATGGCTTCCATCTGTCACCTTCAGAGAAAGACCTTTTACAGTTGAAGGGACTGGATGTTCAGCATGTTCACTGAGGATAATATTAATTTCTTTAAAACAAATATCTGAGAAATCTGTTAAATCCAAGTGAAAGACAGTTTGAAGAGAGTAACATTTTAAGAATTCTTCCCATTAATAGTAGAAGAATGAAAAACAGTAAAGAGCACAAATTTTTATTTACTCACAACACTGAATAATTAATGTAAACTAATTGAATCTCTTCCTTTAGACATTTTTCCTCTTAAGTAACTTTTCAAGGCCTTGCCATGAAGAGCCTTAAGTTGTATTGTCAAAATAAATGCACGTATTTTGGGAAATAGTTTGAAGTAAGTCATAAGCATTCCCCACTGTACAAACAACTTCTCTTAAGGTAAAGTTCATTTTCTATTTAGGTCACTAGCTTTTACATAAAGCCAACCCTGGTTCTGTGTAACTTACATTTCACCTATAGTCATTCCCACAAAGGTTGCGGATTTATTTAAATAGGTACATTGAGACTGTGTGTGTGTGTTTTTTTTTAATGTTCTGATACTTTGGGATGAAGTTAAATCTTAAATCTTATTAGTTGAATTGTTATAAGGACCCTGATGTCTGATAACAAGATTTGACTTTTAGGTAGCACTGTTTTGGTTCAGTCTTTTCAAATCTATTTTTGTTTGTTTAAAAACAGTACAACTTTTAGAAAACAAAGCATAAAAAAAAAGCCCATCAGTGTTATGGGCAATATGTAAATAAGTAAATATAATACTTTATCCTTTATTTTTCAGGTAAAAGGTCGTGCTGTTATAAGTGTAGTTTGTTTGCATAAATAATACTTCTGAATTAAATTATTTAATATTTGACTGATTTCAATAACTGTGAAAAATAAAAAAAGGTGTTGCATTGCTTGTGAAAAAAAATAGAATATTGGAACCACTGCTAGAATCCAGTGATACTATAGAAAATTTTATTCTTGATAAGGGTTGGGAGATTTTCAACAAGACAGTGAAGTGGTGTCAAAGTAAAAGTGATTTAAAGCATGGGAGGAGCAGAGAACAGATCTTTGTGATCCAGTGTAGTTGGAGGTGGGGACAGGGGTGTAGGGACTGGAATGTATGGGAGGGAGTGGGTAGCTGGGAACAGGTAGAAGGTAGACATGCAATGATGGTGCCTGGAAATGCAGAAAGATGACGTACAAGTTTCCAATAAGATCTTATCCTAGAGTTTTTTGTTTTTTTGTTAAAACTAGACTTGACTTCCTCCCCTCCCAAAGTATGGCTACTTACCCTTAAATGGAATTCCCATAGTAATTTTGGGTAGGGGTGGCTCATTTTTAAACTCACAGTATGGGAATTAAGACTACCTACCCAGGATATGTGCCTTCTGCATATATAGCCAGTAACAAATCAAAATATATGTTTTGGAAGTGCCTGTTTCTGGCTTCTGGTTGGAGACTTTACTTCCCAGCCTGTCAGACCAGTAAGCTGCAAAAACAAATAGATGAATAAATAAATAAATAAGAGAGAGAAACAAACAAAAAAAGAGTTTTATTTTTATTCAAACTTCAACAATATCCATAATTTGGTAAATTTCTTATTCTCACTTTGTGATTTACATTAATAAAAAAGATGTTCTTTATTCTATAAAAACAACACATCAAAATTTGGCCTTACTGAGAGTGTATGTAATTGTGATGGTATCTGTGATGGATACTAAATACATTCAAGAGGTTAGTCACTCAACAAAAGTACCCATTAGTACTGAAAAAACACACAACATCTCTAATTTTAAAAATTACCTTCCAATAGTATTCTAAAGATGTATCAGGCCTCTCAGAAAATGTGCACATGAAAGTCAGGCCACAAAAGGAGATTGAAATGAAATGTAAAGAAATGGAATTAAGGAGAATCAACCTTTCTTTCTCTCGTCTTCCCACTTCAAACATCTGTGAACAGACTGTACTTTACTTTGTGAATAATAATCGCTGATCCTTTAGTACTTAACCACTTCCTGGTAGAAGAGTCCCTAATTTTGGACAAATCATGATGAATGCTGCTTTTTTTTTTCCATGAAATTGTCAAGCTTTCATTCATAAGATTTTATTTATTTCATTTTAAAACAGATTAGAAAAGTAACAAATGATAAAAAATTATCATCTTCTATTCAAATTCCTTCATGACAGGTTCTGGTACTTTGAACATTCACTACAAGAAATTAATGAGTGTGGTAGGTTTTTAATCTTTCATCCCAGAAAATCCATTGAGTTGTATGGCACAGCAAGAGTTTCCAAGTGACTGAAAATGTCAACGTAGCCTATATCTGTATTGCTAACTCTATAAAACCTATAGAATGTATTTAGTATCTACTACATATACCATCACATACATACACCCTCAGTAAGGCCAGGCTTTGATGTATTGCTTTTCTAAAATGAAGAACATCTTTTTATTAATGTAAATCACAAAGGGAGAATTAAAAAATTTACCAAATTATGGATGTTATTGATGTTTGAGTAAAAATAAAACTCTAGATTATGTAACGTGATATAGAGGAAAGAGCTCTTAACTTAGTGGGATAAAATCAGAATGAAAGATTAAATTCTCCCATTCATTGGCTCTGGACAATCTTCTTAAACTTTCAAGCCTCTTTTCTTATCAGTAAAATGTGTTTTTTCTTATCTAGGAAAAAGATTGCTTATTTTACCTAATGCTGTGATCTGAATGTGTTGTTCTAAATCTAATCCCTAATGTGATGATAGTATAAAGTGGGACCATTGGGAGGTGACTAGATCATGAGGGCAGAGCCCTGTTGAACAGGATTAGTGTCCTTATAAAAGAGGCCCTAGAGAGCTGCCTTGTCCTTTCCCCCATGTGAGGGCACAGTGCAAATGCATTGTTCTAAGAACCAGGAAGTGGGCTCTCACCAGACAATGAATCTTCTGGTGCCTTTATCTTGGACTTCTCAGCCACCAGAACTGTGAGAAGCAAATTTCCATTGTTTATAAGCCACTCATTTTATGATATTTCGTTGTAGCAGTACAAATGGAATAAGACATTCAACTGGCAGATTTCACATAAAAATAAGTTGAGGTAATGAATAGAAAAAGACTATATAAACTTTCACTGTTTTCCACCAATAAATGATCATTACTATACTCTGAAAAGAGGAGAGGATTTCATGTTTTTTGAAATAAGAGAAAAATAATTTGTTTCCATTGTCATGTATCTATTACCATATGTATCTTCATCTTGTTGAGATTGGTAACTGCATTTTTAACTTCATATCTTTTGTAAGTAGAAAAAAATATTGTGCTCTGAGAAGTTTGATGATCTGCCCAGGGTTGCTAGACTCCCAATTCAGAGTTCTTGCAAGACTCAGAGCTGTGATGAGCATTCTCCATCCAAAACGCCAAGGCATTTTCCTTTTTGTTGTTTCACAAAAACAGGAACTAGAAATTCAGAGTGAAGGTTGCTGCAAAAGAAAACTGCAAACTCATAATTTTAGTAATACAGATAACCATTTACATTCTTTATATAAAATAGATAAAGTAATTTTAAAATATCAGCTTCTGAACATTATATCTCCTCCTTTGCCCAGGAATAAGTGTCTTAACAACCCCATTACATGGGCCACCTATTTGAATATATCACCAGGATTGTACCTAGAGTATAAAGTATATAGAGTAGTTCTTTCTGTCTGAAAAACTATTTCCTTTGACT
The DNA here is from genome assembly GCF_000001405.40 of Homo sapiens. NCBI lineage: Eukaryota > Metazoa > Chordata > Mammalia > Primates > Hominidae > Homo > Homo sapiens. The sequence continues at coordinate 153,713,387 of NC_000006.12, read as the reverse complement.
TTAACTTAGTTTTTGTATTCTGTGGGGCTCTGGCAACTCAAAAGCAAATATAAAAGTAACCTTCTGGCCAGGTGCGGTGGCTCATGCCTGTCATACAGCACTTTGGGAGGCCAAGGTGGGCAGATGATGAGGTCAGAAGATCGAGACCATCCTAGCCAACATGGTGAAACCCTGTCTCTACTAAAAATACAAAAAAATTAGCCAGGCGTGGCAGCGGGTGCCTGTAGCCCCAGCTTTTCGGGAGGCTGAGGCAGGGGAATCGCTTGAACCCAGGAGGAGGAGGTTGCAGTGAGCGGAGATTGAGAGCCACTGCACTCCAGCCTGGGTGACAGAGCGAGACTCCAAAACAACAACAACGTTACCCTGGCGTAGGGGTGCACACCTGTAATGCCAGCTACTCGGGAGGCTGAGGCAGTAGAATCGCTTGAACCCAGGAGGTGGAGGTTGCAGTGAGTTGAGATCATGCCATTGCATTCCAGCCTGGACGACAAGAGCAAAGCTCTGTTTCAAAAAAAAAAAAAAAAAAAAAAAGGAACCTTCTACCATATAACCATATTAGTTTAGAAACATTTAATGCAATTCATATTTCTAGACTTCCTTTTTCATATTTTTAAAATTTCATCATTTTTAGTCTCATACAGTGCTAAGATATTAAATATCATCATGAAAAATGCAATGTCCTTAATAGTGCTGTGACGATTGGTCAGCAAAAGTACCCAAATTCATTTTGTTTCTCTGTTGCTAATGGTAACTTGGAAATTAGAGTTCCTAGGAAATTCCTGAACTATTTAATTTCTCTAGTGCTTATGGTAACTTGGAATTTGTAGTGCCCGGAAGACTTCCATCTTCCATAGCTACCTACACATTGTGTTTTGAGGAAAGCAACTAACGAGGATATAAATCTTGGGGGATCAATTCAAAAAACAGTCTCAAGATCTACATACTTCAAGTTTGTTGATATTCTAAGGCCTTCTTATCGAATAATTTTGGGTAATAAAATTAGAGAACAGTTTGATATTGACTATGAAATGTAAAATTATCATTAGAAAAATTAGTCCTGTCACATTTATTAGGAAACTTATTTTTATAATTAAATCAGACCTGTGTATTTTAAATTATATTAAACATGGTGAAATTTTATTTGGAAGAGATTATAAATAAGTGCTGATAAACTGTTCCAAAATGATGGTCACAATATTTTATTCACATATTTTCCCCATACATTTTGAAAAGGATTTGAGGTATGTTACACAAAGAAGCATAAGGTAAAATAAGTCATACATGTGTATAGATAAAACAATGGTCTTTGTTTAGAGACAGGGTCTCTCTCTGTTACTGAGGCTACAGTGCAGTGATGCAATCACTGCTCACTGCAGCCTCCACCTCCCAGGCTCAAGTGATCCTCCCTCCTCAGCCTCCCAAGTAGTCAGCACTGTAGGTGTGCACCACTATGCCCAGCTAATTTTTTTTTTTAATTTTTGGTGAAGGTAGGGTCTCCCTGTGTTGGCCTGGGCTAGTCTTGGGCTCAAGCAATCCTCCTGCCTCAGCCTCCCAAAGTGCTGGAATTACAAATGTGAGCCACCATGGTTGGCTGGCTAAATAAAATTATAGTCTTAATGCTATCATCTCTTGAGAGAGCTGAGAATTTATGATCCAGGTGTTTTGCTTTCTAAAAAACTAACATAGAATAATGATAACATATAAAGCTTGGAAAAAATATAAATGAAAATTAAAACCAAGTAGGCTATCTCCCTTAACTATTCGGTATCTTCAATGAGCCTTTTAAAGGCACTGCATTTTATTTTATTTTTAAATTTTATTTTAAGTTCCAGGATATATGTGCAGGACATGCAGATTTGTTACAGAGGTAAACATGAAAGCACTGTATTTTAGTCGATTCATGTTTCGTCTTTTTGTTAATGTCATGTTGAAGATAAGCTATCAGATATGAGAGATGGGAACTCATGCTCCTGTAATGCTAGATATATATTATCCTTCAAAAACCCCAGATCGTTTAGTATGAGGATAATTCTCAAATATCAGCACTGAATCTTCTCAAGGACTTTTACAAGGTCTTGGTCATGGTTTCCAATGGCATTGCCAAATGCATCATAATGAGTACTTTATCCTAGGAAGAAAAAGCAAGTGAGGAAAAAAACAAAAACAGCTCCCATATTTTCTGAGATAAGTAAGTGCACTGATATGGCTTGTGTCTGTTTCCCTGCCCAAATCTCATGTTGAATTGTAGTCCTCAACGTGGGAGGTGGAGCCTGGTGGGAGGTGATTGGATCATGGGGACAGATTTGCCCTTGGTGCTGTTCTCATGACAGGGAGTGAGTTCTCCTGAGATCTGGTCTTTTAAAAGTGTGTGGGCCTCCCCGTCTCTCTCTCTTCCTCCTGCTTCCACCATGTGAGATGACTGCTCTCCCTTTGCCTTCAGCTGTGATTGTAACTTTCCTGAGGCCTCCACAGAAGCCAAGCAGATGCCAGAATCATGCTTCCCGTGTAGCCTGAAGAACTGTGAGCCAATTAAACATCTTTTCTTTGTAAATTACCCATTCTCAGGTATTTATTGCAATGCAAGAACAGACTAATACGCCATATGCTAATATTGTTAGGTATCTATTTAAAATCAACTATTCAATTTTGTTGTAGTTCATGCACAAGTTGTTTTTCCTAATAGTGTAAACAGGATTTTAGAATGGAAATATTTTATTTTCAGATTCTGCTGAGGTCTGTTTTCATATTACAAAATACAGTGCAGTCAACCTAGACAGGAGCTTGAAAAAGAGGTGCCCCAAACCTCTTTTGACACTCATCACTATTTATTAAATTATAAAACTGGAAAGGCCAGGGAAAGAAGATACTACCACAGATTTATTTCTATGTCATAGGGTGTTGTGAATACAATCATACCTAACTGCATGGAAGAGAGTTGGGGATTTTTCTGTGACTTCAAGGCTACTGAGAGGTCTTTAGAGAGACTTTCCCACGAGGTTGTCATTTGTGCCCTGCCATTTGGGCAGGAATGGTGAACTGGTGTCTGCCTGACACCTGAAAAATCTAAAACAAAATACTGAATGAGCTGACTGGAGGAAGTAAATAAAAGGGTTGGGTTTGGGAACTGACAGTAACTAGGGATATGATTCTAATAATTTTAGGATACATAGAGTTGTTTAAAAATAATTCTACTAAATTACTCCATGTGCATGCATGTGCGTGTGTGTATGTGTACGTGTATGTGTAAGGATTCCAGGGCAGTTCTCTTGGGACACTCCAGTAGAGGGTTTCCCAGGAATGGAGGGAAAGGGTTAGAGGTAGAGGGGTTGCTTCCAAATAACTCGTGAAAGTTCCCATGAGAGAAAGTGTCCATGTTAAACACTTGTCAAGTTAAGGGAAATGGAAGACAAAGTAGATGGGTATGAGGTAAGAAAGTCTTATTCACCTATGTCATTTAAAAAAACTGGTCTCACTAAATAAATTGGTTATACGACTCAGTAAGAATTCTAACACAGAGTTGCAAAAATATTGCATTAGAATTCAAAACACAGGATTTATTATTTTAACCAGTAGAAAATGATATCGTACCACCCTCACTGTCCCTACCCTGGGTACACACACCAGCTTTGATGAGAACTGTCTTATCAATGAACCAGAGTTGGAGGCCTACGCTTTCACCTCATGAACTTCTTTTTTAGTTTTTTACATTATTTACAAACAACATTTCCAGGAAGCAATTCAAAAAGAAGTAAAGGAGGTGTAAAGGAGGGGGAATCCTAGTTACTCAAGAAAACTATTGTAAATAAAGATGGATAGACCTTGGTGAGTATTTCAGATCAGATGTAGTTTTATAAGTTGGGCTAAGTGTTTCATGTTTGACACTATTCAAAGAACTTCAAAATGTAAGTGAATTTCTCTCTCACTTTAAAAGGGAAGATGCATCTGCATTAGCAGAATGCACCTGCACTGGACACCAAGGGTTGAGCTGAGCTGCACAGGATTAACCTGACTATTAGGGGGAAAGCTAAATGGAAAAGTGTAGAGCACTCATGTGCACTGTGAGGAAGCTGCATGCACAATAACAGCCCCATTTGTTATCAAATGAGGGATCTGAGTAGATTAAACAGTACCTTGAAAATGTTAAAAATTGAAAATGTAGCCACAATTTCATTTACTGGGAATAAAAAGCATTCATGTCCACAATGTGATATTTTTAACACAAAAAAGTTTTCACATTTCATCTTGGAGCCTTTTGTATTCTCTCATAACTAAAGAAAACTATCCAAAATTGTTTAAACCTAATTATTTAAACACAAAAGCAAGAATTGGTAATAACAGTTCATGAAATAATTTTGTATATTGTAAAGCCATATAACGTAATACAACGTTAACCTAACCAGAAATCAATGAGAAAAGGATGAAGTATCTCAATAAGCTATATTAGTACATTGAATAATTTTATTAAAAAGTCAAATTAATACATTGAATAATTAAACTAAAAACTCAAATATCTTCTATCCTAAAATTTTGGTTATCATCAATTAAAAAGAATAATAGTATCAGTATAAAAGTCTGGAAAAATGTGTACAACAATTGTCTTTATCTAAACGATGAAGGGTTTTCTAAAACATAAAAGCAATGACAACATCACAGTAAAAAATGCACTATCATATACTTGAATAAAAACCTTTCATATACCACAAAATAAAAATGAAAATAAAGTCAAACTGTTAAGTCAGGTAAGATATGAGACACAGAGTTAAAAAACATAATTTCTATTTTATAGATTGATTTATTCACTCATCATTTATTTACTAATTCCCTGAGTGTCTGTTGTTCCTCTTGGCTTGTGCTAGATGTTAAAACTATAGACAGTGGTCTACATAGTGATCTCTGTTCATACAGGAAGACAGAAAATAAAAAAATTTCCAGAAACAATCACAACACATGTAAACATTGACAAGTGAGATCTAAATAAACTTAGAGCTTCTGCACAGCAAAACAAATCATTAACAGTAAACAGACAGCCTATAGAATGGGAGAAAATACTTGCAAACTAATTATTAGACAAAGGTCTAATATCCAGCATCTATAAGAAACTTTAAAAAATTACAAGAGAAAAACAACCCCATTAAATGTGGACGATGGACATGAACAGACACTTTTCAAAAGAAGACATACATGCGGCCAAAAAGCATGAAAAAAAGCTCAATACCACTGATCATTAGAGAAATGCACATCAAAACCACAGTGCCATACCATCTCACACTAGTAAGAATGGCTATTGCTAAAAAGTAAAAAATAACAGACTCTGGCAAGATTGCGGAGAACAGGAAACAGTTATACACTGTTGGTGGGTATGTAAATTAGTCCAACCATTATGGAAGGCAGTATGGCAATTCCTCATAGAGTTAAAAGGAGAATTACCATTTGATCCAGCAATCCCATTACTTGGTATATACCCAGAGGAATACAAATCTCTCTGTCATAAAGATATATGCACACGAATGTTCATAGCAGCACTATTCACAATAGAAAAGACATGAAATCAACCTAAAGATTCATCAATGATAGACTGGATAAAGAAAATGTGGTACATTTACACCATACAATACTATGCAGCCATAAAAAAGAATGAGATCATATCTTTTGTGGGAACATGGATGGAGCTGGAGGCTATTGTCCTTAGCAAACTAATGCAGGAACAAAAAACCAAACACTGCATATTCTCTCTTATAAGTGGGAGCTAAGTGATAAGAACTTACGAACACAAAGAGAAAAACAACAGACATTGGGGTCTACCTGAGGGTGAAGGGAGGAGGAAGAGGAGCAGAATAGATAACTATTGGGTACCGGGCTTAATACCTGCATGGTGAAGTAATCTGTACAACAAACCGCCTGGACACAAGTTTACCTATGTAACAAACCTTCACACGTACTCTGGAACCTAAAATAAAAGTTTAAAAAATTCTAACTATAAGAGAAAAATTGTATGTAATGTGACAAGAAACACAAATTATCAGTAAGTAAAGGAAATGCTCACTCTCATGAATGATAAAATAAGTAAAAAAATTAAAATAGGACTTAATGTTTTCTTCCAGGAAATTGCAAAAATTGAATAAATGTGATAATTCAATAGTAGATATTTGGAGAGTGCAGTAAGACAGGCTGTCTTATACACTGCTATTGGAAATGTTATTTGGTATTATATTTCTAGGAAACAGTTTGATAATAAGCTTAAGGTACCATATAAAATTGTCATTGCTTCAAATTCTGTTTAAGAATCTAAACTAAGGATATGATTATATGTCTATCATTATTAATGTAAAACAGTGCATCAATGCTTATCAAAGCTTTATATGTAATTGTGAGAAAATGGAACTAAGTTATATGCCAGAATATAGATTGTACATGGACAACTTGCAGATTCATTTCTAGATAAAAAAATTAAAACCATATGTAGAATAATTTAGATGTTTTTATAATTTCAAGCTTATTACCATTGCTTGCATATTTAAAAACATCTGAAGGAAATACATGAATGTTAACCTTGGTTTTGTCTGGCAGGAAGGGTAATAGCTGATGTGGCTTTTTCTCTATTTAAAAATGTTTTACCTTATTTTTATATTTTTTTAAATTTTCTGTCAGTGAGTGTGCTTGAATTCCATAAATAAAAAATATAAAACTTTCATTACTGCTCTGATTTTAGCCAAAGTGGTACAATTCAAGTTTGAAGAAACAGTGTTGGTTATCTTCTTTCATATACTGAAACTAACCAACACTTTTTTGTTACTTTCTTATTGTGTGACAAACATTCTTTTAGTTTCTGGAGATACTGTGATAAATATTAGGTAGTAATTAGTGCTAAGAAAAAAATAAAGCAGTGTAAGATGGTAGATAGACATGGGGGTATTATTTTAGATTAGTGGTCATGAAAGCCTCCTTGAAGTCATGCCATTTAAGCCAATAACTGAATGTAGTTGAGAGAGTAAGTTATTAAAATATCAGAGGAAACAGCAAGTGCAAAAGCTGAGGTGGCAACATGCCTGGTATGTTCACAGAATGTGAAAATACTACTATGGCTGCGATAAAATGGCTGAATAGAAGAGAAGTAGGAGATATACTCATCATTAAGTTAGCCTTGACTATATTCTTGATGAAATTTTATTAAGCAATGTTTTAAAATTGCATATCAAAATTAATACTGAATTACTTGTTCTTGAAACCTATTCACAGTGTCTGAAAGAAAACACATATTAAAAATAGAATAGTTAAAAATACCTCTGGAATGGTAGAATGAGAACCTCTTTAAATTTACTCCTTCATAAAATCAATAAAAACAGCAGCCAACAAAATTGTAAAGTCAAGTTTTACAGAATTCTGAAAATTAATCGAATGTTTGCAACATTCTGGGAGCAGTTATTCAAGAAATAACGCTGAATCTTAGTAAGAATAGTGGGCTTTGTAACCTTTTAACCTGATCTATTCCCACTATGCTCTGGCCAAGGCTTTGGCAGACTTGAAAATAAGCAGCTCACAACCACAGTAGCTGAGAAAACTAGCAGTCTTGCAACCAATAGAGGAGGTAGACTGGTGTTGAAGCTCCTCACAAAGTCTAATTTCCAGAACATTGTCAGCTTTTGAAATGTTCTGAAAGAGGCCAATTGTAAGGATACTTACACTATTTGACATTATTTGGAATTCATACTGTAAGACATTCCCACATGCAAGATGTTTGCTAAAAACAATCAGTGACAATTGTTTAGCACCATGGTTGCTTGAGATTATAATAGCAGATAAGGCAAACAAAAGCCCAACAAAAACCATCAAAATATCAAAGGAAAAGATGTCCATAGGAGGCTCTGAAAAGCCCTGACATATTCCTGGGAATCTAAAGGGCTACATATATCTGCAGGGCTGTGTGTAATCACAGAAAGGAGCTAAATGGGCCCTAATCTGTTACCTCTGAATGTTCTTAAAGCCCTGCATATGCAGAAAGTGAAGTCAAAGGCAGAGTTTAAAGTTACCTGAGCATTTGATGATCTGTCTCAACTTTCTGATTTGGATGCCTTCAGTGAGAGAAAGAAATAAAGGACATCCACATTGGAAATTACACACACACACAAAAGATCTCTGCTTGTAGATGGTGTAGTTTTGCATATAGAAAATTATAAGGAATCCATCAAATTTATTATAATGAATAAACAAGTTTGGCAATGTTACAGGATCCAAGATCAATGTAAAATATTAATTATATTTACATATACTATCAAAAAATTGTACATAAAATCAAGAATGCAATTTTATTTACAACATCAAAAAACTAAAATCCTTGGGAATAAATTTAATAAAAGTAGTTGAAGACTGTTAAACTGAAAGTTACAAAACAATTGTTAAGAACAATTAAAGATCGAATTAAATGGAAAGGCATCCCATGCTTTCTATCGAAAGGATTAATATCGTTAAGATGGCAGTATTCCTTAAATTGATCAAAGGGTTAACACAATCTATATAAAACTCCCCAATAAGCTTTTTAATAGGTGTTAATAAAGTGATTCCACAGTTTATATGAAAAGGCAAAAACTTAGAATACCTAAGACAATACTGAAGAAAAAACCAAGATTGGAGAACTCATGCTATCTAATTTCAAAACTTCTTATAGAGCCAGAATAATCGAGACAGCCTGGTATTAGTGAAAGAATAATGATCCATATGGTAACAGATTAGAGTTGTAGACTTCACTATGAAGTCATATTTAGCTTAACATAGATACAGATGATTATATATAGAAATATTTACAGATAGGTATATATATATATACAGGTTAATATATGCACATATATTTCCTTGTTTTGTCAGATGAGAGGACCTAAATGAAAGAACAACCCAGTAGAAATGAGCACACCTTATATTCAGATCATAGCTTGGTTTCTAATAACATTCTCTAGAAAAAGAAACCAAGGTTCCTTGGAGAAATGGCTGATTCTTGGGCCAGTTGAAAATACATAAGAGCAGCCTGTCGCATCTTGTAGTGACAGAATAAAACATGCTCAAACACATGCACACACACACACACACACACACACACACACAAAATGATAGTTGTATATCAAGGGGACACAGTAGTCACATGAGAGAGTTCCTAATAAAGTGGAAACAATTTGAGCCACAAAGTAAATAAACAACATCACAAGGAATTAAAATTAAAATACAAACTATAACAAAATTCGTTGGCCCATATTATTCTAAGTAAGTGATTGAATAAAAACATAAGTGACAAGAGACAAATGTCACATGCAGAAGAATTCCATGTAGTTTAAATAGTATTTCACCCCCAAGGAGGTGGTACATGACTCATAACTCCTCTAGTTTGAGTTTTTCATACTGACTTCCTTTCAAATAATATAATACAGAAAGGGGGAAAAAGAGTAACTTCACAGTAGATAAATCTGACAAACACTACTTCAGCCAGGTGGTCAAGGTTAACACTAATAATGATAAGTTATGTTGATACTATCTTTGATATGATGTGATGAAAATGGCATTTAATCTCTGTGGTCTTCCTCCATAAACCTTATAACCGCAGTCAAATCATGAGAAAAATATAAGACAAATCTCAATTGAGGGACATTCTACAAAATGCCTTACCAGTTCTCCTCAAAACTTTCAAAGTCATCAAAAACAAACAAAGTTTGAGAAATTGCCACAGCTAAGAAGAATCTAAACAGAAATGACAGATAAATGTAACATGGTATCCTGGATAGAATCCTTGACAGGAAATGCACATTAGGTAAAAACCAAGCAAATCTCGATAAAGTACAAACGAGTTAATAATGATGTAACACAGTTAATTAGTGATAGCAAATGTAACTAATCCAGGATGTTCGTAAAAGGGAAAACCAGATGTAAGGTATTAAAAACTCATTTTTTTTCTGAAAATATAAAAGACTGTTTCAAAATAAAAAAGTTATTTTTAAAAAGCACTACTGGAGAATTTCTGCTTAACATAATGGATCCCTGTGGAGACTCAGGAGCCATACTACTCAGGTTTCAATTTAGGTTACCACTTACCATTTGTGGTGTTGGATAAGTTACTTACCTTCTTTGGACTCATTTTCCTTCTCTGTAATATGAAAATGGTAATAACACCTAATTCATAGTATTTTTATAAAAATTCATATGTGTTGAAAAGCTATCACATCTATCACAGCATCTATCACATAGTAAGCACCATGAAAATGTTTATTAAATAAACAATATGCTAGAAATCCTTTAGGGAGAAGACTGAATAAAAGAAAAGGACCTTTGATGAGCCCCATGAGATACAATGAAATAGCAAATGGTTAGACTTAAAAACAGAGGCTGCGAAACTGCTTTCCAAGCAGGGAAGAGTTTTTATTTTGCATTTAAGAAATATTTTAAAAATAGAAGACTCAATGCCCACACAAAAACTTGCACATAAAAGTTTATAGCAGTATTAGTCATAATAGCTACAATGTGGAAACAACCCAAATGTTGATCAACAGGCAAATGGATAAACAAATGTGATTCACTGGAATATTATTTGGTCATAAAAAGAAAAGAAACTGGTAAATGCTATAACTTGGATAAAGCTTGGAAATGGTTATGAAACTCCACATACTGAACGATTCCATTCATATGAAAATACAGAATAGAGGAATCTGTAGAAATAGAAAGTGATTAATGGCTGTTTAGTGATGGAAGGGGAGGGTGGTGATAGCAAAATGGTACATGAGTTTTTATAGCTGATAGAACTGACTGTGGCGATGGTGTTGCACATACATGTGAATACTCTAAAAACCACTGACTAGTGTACTTTAAATGAGCAAATTGTATGGTATGTGAATTATGGTTTAATAAAGCTGTTTAAAAATAAAAGCAAAGTGAAAATATTTTCTAGTAAACAAGAACAAAACCAAAGAACACTCAAATTGTTAGCTTATCTTGCTTTTCTACATGTCTTACACTCTAGAAGTGGTCTAGATATTGGAAATATAAATAGAAAGTGACATGCAGAAAGAATTTAATGTCTTGCCTTGTAACATAGCCCAAATCTGCTTCTTCAGTCTAGGGATATGCATGTTTACTTTTAGAAGAGAGAAGATGAACTGTAGTCAGTGTAGGCAGAAGGTCTACTTTTAATCACCTGATCTCACATAACTGCATAAATTACTGTCCTTGTTTGCAGTCCGGATTTGGTGAAGAATGTGATCTGATAGCGGTTGAATGCTAAGCAGTAGACACTATTAGTAATTCGGTTCTTTATTTTTTTTTTCAAGAATGGATGAAGTAAATTCTAGGAATACCAAACAAATCTCTCTGAACTCTGAGAGAAGAACATAGCAAAATATAAACATCTGCACGAGACACTTAAGCACAGTATTATATAATCTGTCTTCACTGCTTGGTGTGTTTGCCCTTCCTCTTCTATGTCCACATCTGCTCACCCACTTACTGATCTGCTTGTAGACCCAACCTGCCTTTTCCAAGCATTGCTTATGCTCTGCCAGGCATATGTGTGGCTGAGGTGCTGTGCTTCCACTGTGCCATGTCCAGGTGCTGCCTCTAGTTATCTACTGACTTTGACATTTCTTTATTAAATAGCCTCTCTGAAAAATGAGTCCTCTCATTACCTCAGCATCCAGATCAGTGTATTGGAGATAGTAAGAGGTAAATAAGTCTTCAAAGTTGATACATTCATGATTCAAAGTTGATTTATCTTCCTTTCTGATATAAAGAACAAAATGCCTATAGGCATTCCCTTATATGAATTGATGATTTTTGGGGTTGAACTGTGAACTAAAATGTAGGAAATAGTGAAGGTAGACTTGAGACACCAAAGATAATGAGTAAAAAGTAGCTGATAAAAAGTTGTACAAAATTAAGCAATGGAAGAATAAAGAGTTGAAAAATAAAAATAACCCATTGTATTTATTCCACATCCCTTTGTAAAACATATTATTAGATCATAACACAGGCATCAAAACTATTGAGTCTTTATCACCTACAAGGCAAAAAGTCTTCACACTTTCATCCTCTGCCACTTCCCATCAACCTGGAAACATCAGCAATGAGAAAATGATTGCACATCCCTGAATTGTGCTTTTCACAGTCCTTGCCTTTCCACAAATGTCTTTTCTCTCCTATCTCCTGGGAAAATATCTTTTTATTTCAAATTCCAACTCAGAATTAGCTTTTTCAGAAAGTTTTCCTTAGACACCCCTTTCCCACTAAAATAGTTAAGTACATTTTTTGTTGTTGTTGTTTATGCTGGGCATTTTACCATTTCTGTTTTTGCATTTATCCCACTGAATTTCAACTGCAGTTAGTTTTTCTAATTTAATGGAGAGATCACCATGACCAGGAATCATATTGCTCTTTTTTCGCACAGTATCTTGTAAATAGTAAGTAATCAGTAAGTGTTCGATTTTGATAACTGAATGATGAATAACAAGTTAATGCTTAGACACTTTGTTTTTTTTAACATAATGCATCAGATCATATTTTTTTATGTCCACACTGAATTAAGCATTTTAAGTATCAAAGTCCTTTTAAAATCAAGAAAACCAAGAACCTGAAAGGTGTAGTGACAACCGGGAGTAGAGATCTAGGTTTTCTGGCTTCTGAATTCCATGATGAAAGGACATCCAAATTTGAGACAACAATTTGGTGGACCTGGGAGCTATGCAAGCAATAAGAATGAGAAAGAAAGGAAAGTAACTCAAGGAAAGATATATTGTTGACATCTAGATTGCTTTCCCAGAGAACAGTGAAATATTACAGTCTTATATAAAGACTGCCTTGGAGAGTCACATTTCCTCCAATCACTATTAAACTCATTTCCATCAAATGGAACTACTTATTACTAATGAATTAATGCTGCTTTGGGAATATTTACTTCCTAGGTCAATTTTTATTCAAGAATTTCAGTCTCTTGATTAAATCAGTATAGATTTACCATTGATTAGATCAGCAGTCTCATGTCACTAGGTATCTATCTACACATCATAAAAAATGTATGACAATCTTCTATCTAAAAAACTAATTTTAAAAAGTTAGAAGATTATGTATTATTTAAAGTGAAAGAAATCATCACCAGCTCTTATTTTAATGTTAAAAACAACAAAGACCCTAGGAGGTGAAATAATTTGCTTAAAGTGACTAAGTGGCAATATGCCTGGGAATTGGCCCCTGATCACCTGACCTTAATATGGCTTTTGTTTTTCTCTTTGTAGATGCTTTTTGAGATGGAGTATCGCTCTGTCACCAGGCTGGAGTATAATGGCGCGATCTCGACTCACTGCAACCTCCGTGTCCTGGGTTAAAGCGATTTTCCTGCCTCAGCCTCCCAAGTAACTGGGACTACAGGTGCGCACCACCACACAGCTAATTTTTGTATTTTTAGTAGACACGGGGTCTCACCATTTTGGCTAGGATGGTTTCTATCTCTTGATGTCATGATCCACCCACCTTGGCCTCCCAAAGTACTGGGATTACAGGTGTGAGCCACTGCGCCCGGCCAATCATCATATCCTTTTCATCAATTTAGTTACCCCAAATTTTGTTATCATGTAAGAGTGGCTATCTCTATTATAGGAAAATTCCTGAATTTTTTAAAGGGTTCCCCATTTTAATCATGTTACCATTGTAAAAGGACCCATATAGTATAACCTTTACATGTAATTATTTGGACAATTACTACGTATGACTATGGCTAGAGATTGTATTGTTAAAAACAAGTGTGCATTTCTGAGTAACTTGCAAGATTAATTTGAAAGGCATTGGGTTGGTCCTTGAAAAGCAGCTTTCAGCAAACAAATAGGCCAGCTTAAATTCAGTTGTTTGGCCTTATAATCCTGCCTTCAGTTACCTTCTTGGCTTTGGCCATTTTCTGGTTTTAGCTCTGGATTTTAAACTTTTCTCCACTTATTTGTTGGCTTCTAACCTGGATTTGGTTTTCTTCCTAATTCTTTAGAATTAATGAACATAGACTCTCTGATACTAAGTAGCTGTCAAAAGTTTGGGAAAAAAGTCACTGAGATTATTTTCCATCTGATAAATGTTGACAATATTAGTACCTACCTCAAAGGTTGTCAACATTATATAAATTATTTTAAAACAAGTAGCAGATTGCACAGTATTTTAACTCATTAATAAATGTTAACTATTAGTATCATTGTTACACAAATCTCTATGAATATAGAAAATGACAAATGTGATTTGTCCCTAAGAAAAGTCATATATGTGAACATATGATATATCAATTTTTCTTACATCTCTTTGGTAAATACTTGTTTAAGAATAAATAACATTAAAATACAATCTTGAACCAGAATCACTGCTAAATACTGCCTCTAGAAAAATATTACAACAAGATTATCAAGGTAAAATTGTTAGAAATTCCCCAAAGATTAGATTAAAAACAAGAATATAATTTATCATATTCATAAAGATGACAAATGGTTTCATTTTAAGGAGAATCTGACACATCATTATTCCACAGTAATGTGATCAACTTGCATTCCTCAGTTGGGCAAACATACAGGCTAGAAGATTGATGAATGAATATTTTTAATGCAAATACTTCATAAACTGTAACTTGTGCGGCAAAAGAAAAGATGAGTATGATTCAGAGTAATGACTCAGAGGAACCTCGAAATAATTTTTACATTTTCTAACAAGTTAAATGTGCTGTTCTCTGCAAGGATCTTTACTGTTTTATTAAAACTGCAACTTGAATGCATAATCAATGAATGTATGCCCTCCTTATAAAATACACAATTCCTATTCGAGTAGTTTAATACAAAAATCTCATCTCTGCACAGAGCCCTGCTGTTCAGGACTGGGGAGAAGCTCTGTGATGAGAAAATGAAAACCTTTCTCCTGGTGTTTTGGCGATATAGAGAGGTGAAAAAAAAGCCTCCTGGTGTTTTTGAGCACCTCTTCTCTAAAGCTAATGCAAGAGAATAGGAACTGGCTCTTCTACCATCTGAGAGGGTTCAAGGGGGTGGAGATCGGCTGGGACAGGAGATATAGGAAGATACTTTCTTCTCTGGAGCATTTCTCTCTAAATATTGATTGTTATCCTAAACATCTGCAACTCCGTTCACCTTTCTCTTGACAAGCAAATCAGTGTTCTTTTGCCTTGAACGCTCTGCCGACTACGGTCACAGGCACAAGAAGGAAGATGAGTCACTGCAAGCTTGACATTAAAGATGTGACTTTTTTAGCATTTGGATGCTTCCTTTTTTTATTTCCATTAAGTGCCTCCTTGGAAAGAGTGGCTTGTGACATGGTATTTAATTATTAATGATCAATACAGCAGAACAGCTATAGGTTGAGAGGCAAGTGTTTTTTATTTTTAATTGTGCTTCAAGGTTTCAACTCATTAAATGTCCATTGAAACAACCTGCAAATTGTGATAGCTAACTTTACACTGTATAAAAAGAATATTTGCTAAATTTCAATCTAAAATGTTATGGACATTCCTTAAATGTTATTTAGCTATCCAGACAAATAATAGTGACACTTTGAGTAGTGATATTGTTCACCATTATATTATGTTCAGGCCATACTGTTATGAAACCACAGCAAAAATAGTTTTATTTTTAACAATCCATAGTTAATCTCTTTCTGGTTCCACTTGCATTTAGGCATAGAAACCTTGTTAAACTAAGAAACAACAAAGCTACAACCAACAATAATAGACACAGTCAATCAGACACCTGATGTTTTCTGGACAGAGCCAAGTTATTTCCTTGTGTTGTGAACTCATTGTTGATTCATTGTAGATATCAGAAGAAACAAGGCAAACATAAGCCAGAGGTCAGAGAAGGAGTTGTTATCGGACTGGCAAAAATAAAATAAAATAAAATAAAATAAAATAAAATAAAATAAAATAAAATAAAATAAAATTACTTTGCTTACTGATCAAGGAAACTTTGGGTATAGGCATGATTTGCAGAGATATGATAAATTTATGCAAGGTGAGGGTGAGTTTAAATGGATGAATTTAAGTGGTTAGATACAATATGGACCCTCGTGTAAAATTCCTCATAGAAGAATTTCAGAATGTGGGTAATTTACTCCAGTTCTTTTGGCTCCCAGCTGCATTCTCACCATTCTGGGTTCTCCTTTGCATATCAGGGAGCTACAGCAGTGTTGGCAGTGGTTTTTAAAGAGCAGAAGTAGGAGTGCAAATTCCAGCCCCTTAGCTGAGGTACACTTCAGTGGTAGTGGATGCCTGAGAGTGCAGACAGAAACATGGGAGACACTTCAGACTCAGACAGAGAACTGGGATGTCAGTAATTCTGTCCCATTGTCTAAAGGCAGGTAATATGACTGAACCCAAAGTCAAAGAGTGGGAAAATCTGTTGTGATCCTTTAACGCAGGGTGTCAAATCTTT
The DNA here is from genome assembly GCF_000001405.40 of Homo sapiens. Classification (NCBI taxonomy): domain Eukaryota; kingdom Metazoa; phylum Chordata; class Mammalia; order Primates; family Hominidae; genus Homo; species Homo sapiens. Next base: position 153,696,960 of record NC_000006.12, on the reverse strand, counting down.
TGGCTTCCCTACGGCACATTGGAAGAAGAAGAATTGTCTTGGGCCACACATAAAGTACGCTAACACTAACAATAGCTGATGAGCTTTAAAATAATTGCAAAAAAGATCTCATAATGTTTTAAGAAAGTTACAAATTTGTGTTGGGCTGCATTCAAAGCCTTCCCGGGTTGCATGCGGCCCATGAGGCGTGGGTTGGACAAGCTTGCTTTAATGAAAGTAACTGCAAAATCACGTACAAAAGACATCAAGGATTGGGGCAAATAATGCAGTCTGCCACATGTGCTTACTATGTTCATAATTAGACAAGAACTGACATTAAATGCAAATGCCTGAAACGTATCATGATTGTCTGGCTTGAGGAATATAGACTGCAATTATTCATTTTTACTGTTTCTTTAGAAAACAGGGTAAAGGGAAGAAGGTGAAGATTCTGAAAAAAGAAAATTTTAACCAGAACAGATTTAAATGTTACATTTGGTCAGAAAACAGCAGATAAATAATCTGAAATCTAATTTATTGCTGAGGATTGTTTTTGCTGCTAAATATAATCTGTGTCAAAAAAACCTGATTTCTATAAAATATTATAAATGAGTGATGATCTATCAAGTTTTTTTCATTTCTATACATGGAGACATTAAAAAGTACTTATATCAGTATATAAAAATATTTTCCATCATATTATTTTGTATAATGCTATTTTTTGTTTTTATTTTCCATAAGGTGATACAAAATCACAAAGATTATATTTGTACTTTAATAGCATTTTTTTAAAAAATCATCCTCGGATGATGCTAATTTGGGGCATACTCAAAGACTCTAAATAGTAAAAAAAAAAAAATTATCTAAAAAAGGTATAAAAGGGCTATGAAGACCCTCAAAAAGACAGAATTCTATCTTATGCCCAAGGGCTATAGAAAAGGCATAATTAGTTTCAGGATTTCGTAAGTTTGCCTTTCTTAGTCAATAAAAATTATGACTGCATTTGAGTTTTCTGACATTTTAACTATGTAAGAAATTACAAAAACGTTCTTGAAACTCTGCAGTACAATTAAGAAGGTTTCAGAGGGAACTAGGGACAACTACAAAGAGAAGCAGCAGAAAAGCCTAGAAGGTATTTTTATAATTTCATCTCTTAACTAGAGTGTTTACTGGTGAGCTAAAAAGTACTTGACAAATGTGAATATAGCCCAAAATGCAGTAGCATTCAAGAAAGTGGGAACAAATTAGTTGATTATCAATATTTCAATAGCAATCTGAAAAATATGTATATTTAACATCATTTATTACAGTATCCAAAGACAAGAATGCAATTTTCTATGAAAGTCGGGGTTTACACATGAACAAAATTGTCATTTTTCATGACAAAAAAATGGAACTAAAAGATTGGGAGATGCCAAGTCAGTGCTCTCCTACTCCAATGAACATACCTCTCTGTGTTTTTAATTAAGCTTTCTGTAAGGAGTCCTTTCATCTCAATTACTGACCCTATTATGGAGAGGTCATTTCACCATGGCAAGTGGTAATCAGAGACAATGCATTTGTATGCCATGATCAGTTTTTAGGCATGGTAAAAGTCCTATAATTTAGAAATGACTTCTAGTTTTGCGTGTGTGTGTTAGTGTTAGTTTTCTTTGTTTTTAAAAGGAGATTTTTGCTTCTTGCCGTGGTGGAGTAACAGAAACTAGATTTACCTTTGTGTTGTAACAAAAATAAGTAATCTGGGCAAAAGATATGAAACCATAGGTGTAGATATTGGAAAATAAGCATGGCGTGACTGTGATCCTTGAGGAAAGAGAAAAATAAAAATACTAGGTGAACCTTCGATAGCCCCAGACTTTATTCCTGAAAGCACACCCCAGAGAGATGGCGAGGCCAAGGGGAGTAGGTTGGTCCCACTGAATCTAGGTAACAGAGATTGTAGATAGTGACACTGAGGTGAATGGATATAGCTGGCCAAGGTTACAGACATGAAATGGCTCTACAGATAAGTTCCAGAACTTTGTATCAGGGTCTTTGAAGAGCTTTGCGTCTTTGCTAAATATGAAGTATGCATGTGTAGGTTAACAAGCTTTGCAATTAGGCAAAGAGCGAGTCTTGAGGTTTTGCTGAATACAAAGACGTGCATCTAAGCCAAAGGGTTAGATCTCAAAAAGGCCTGACACAAAAGCAACTGAGGAGCTGTGACTTGAGTATATCTCAGAGCTGGCGTGCTTTGGAGTACTAACTAGTCACGGTGGGAAGCCTCATCTGTAGCTCAGTGAATTCAGTAGAGATGCCAGAATAACAAACTCTAATAGTGGGACTAAATCCTCCCTAGAGTAAGACACCCCACTGTCAATATTAGACAGATCAACAAGACAAAGTTAACAAGGATATCCAGGACTTGAACTCAGCTCTGCACCAAGCAGACCTAATAGACATCTACAGAACTCTCCACCCCAAATCAACAGAATATACATTTTTCTCAGCACCACCTCAGACTTATTCCAAAACTGACCACATAGTTGGAAGTAAAGCACTCCTCAGCAAATGTAAAAGAACAGAAGTTATAACAAACTGTCTCTCAGACCACAGTGCAATCAAACTAGAACTCAGGATTAAGAAACTCACTCAAAACCGCTCAACTACATGGAAACTGAACAACCTGCTCCTGAATGACTACTGGGTACATAACGAAATGAAGGCAGAAATAAAGATGTTCTTTGAAATCAACGAGAACAAAGACACAACATACCAGAATCTCTGGGACACATTTAAAGCAGTGTGTAGAGGGAAATTTATAGCACTAAATGCCCACAAGAGAAAGCAGGAAAGATCTAAAATTGACACCCTAACATCACAATTAAAAGAACTAGAGAAACAAGAGCAAACACACTCAAAAGCTAGCAGAAGGCAAGAAATAACTAAGATCAGAGCAGAACTGAAGGAGATAGAGACACAAAAAAACCCTTCAAAAAATTAATGAATCCAGGAGCTGGTTTTTTGAAAAGATCAACAAAATTGATAGACCGCTAGCAAGACTAATAAAGAAGAAAAGAGAGAAGAATCAAATAGATACAATAAAAAATGATGAAGGCGATATCACCACTGATCCCACAGAAATACAAACTACCATCAGAGAATACTATAAACACCTCTATGCAAATAAACTGGAAAATCTAGAAGAAATGGATAAATTCCTGGACACATACACCCTCCCAAGACTAAACCAGGAAGAAGTTGAATCCCTGAATAGACTAGTAACAGGCTCTGGAATTGAGGCAATAATTAATAGCTTACCAACCAAAAAAAGTCCGGGACCAGACGGATTCACAGCCGAATTCTACCAGAGGTACATGGAGGAGCTGGTACCATTCCTTCTGAAACTATTCCAATCAACAGAAAAAGAGGGAATCTTCCCTAACTCATTTTATGAGGCCAGCATCATCCTGATACCAAAGCCTGGCAGAGACACAACAAAAAAAGAGAATTTTAGACCAATACCCCTGATGAACATCGATGCAAAAATCCTCGATAAAATACTGGCAAACTGAATCCAGCAGCACATCAAAAAGCTTATCCACCATAATCAAGTGGGCTTCATCCCTGGGATGCAAGGCTGGTTCAACATACACAAATCAATAAATGTAATCCAGCATATAAACAGAACCAAAGACAAAAACCACATGGTTATCTCAATAGATGCAGAAAAGGCCTTTGACAAAATTCAACAGCCCTTCATGCTAAAAACTCTCAATAAATTAGGTATTGATGGGACGTATCTCAAAATAATAAGAGCTATCTATGACAAACCCACAGCCAATATCATACTGAATGGGCAAAACCTGGAAGTATTCCCTTGAAAACTGGCACAAGACAGGGATGCCCTCTCTCACCACTCCTATTCAACATAGTATTGGAAGTTCTGGCCAGGGCAATCAGGCAGGAGAAAGAAATAAAGGGTATTCAATTAGGAAATCAGGAAGTCAAATTGTCCCTGTTTGCAGATGACATGATTGTATATCTAGAAAACCCCATCGTCTCAGCCCAAAATCTCCTAAGCAAAGTCCTTCAGCAAAGTCTCAGGATACAAAATCAATGTGCAAAAATCACAAGCATTTCTATACACCAGTAATAGACAGCAGAAAGCCAAATCATGAGTGAACTCCCATTCACAATTGCTATAAAGAGAATAAAATATCTAGGAATCGAACTTACAAGGGATGTGAAGGACCTCTTCAAGGAGAACTACAAACCACTGCTCAACGAAATAAAAGAGGACACAAACAAATGGAAAAACATTCCATGCTCATGGATAGGAAGAATCAATATCATGAAAATGGCCATACTGCCCAAGGTAATTTATAGATTCAATGCCATCCCCATCAAGCTACCAATGACTTTCTTCACAGAATTGGGAAAAACTACTTTAAAGTTCATATGGAACCAAAAAAAAGCCCTCATTGCCAAGTCAATCCTAAGCCAAAAGAACAAAGCTGGGGGCATCCCGCTACCTGACTTCAAACTATAGTACAAGGCTACAGTAACCAAAACAGCATGGTACTGGTACCAAAACAGAGATATAGACCAATGGAACAGAACAGAGCCCTCAGAAATAATACCACACATCTACAACCATCTGATCTTTGACAAATCTGACAAAAACAAGAAATGGGAAAAGGATTCCCTGTTTAATAAATGGTGCTGGGAAAACTGGCTAGCTGTATGTAGAAGGCTGAAACTGGATCCCTTCCTTACACCTTATACAAAAATTAATTCAAAATGGATTGAAGACTTAAATGTTAGACCTAAAAGCATAAAAACCCTAGAAGAAAACCTAGGCAATACCATTCAGGACATAGGCATGGGCAAGGACTTCATGTCTAAAACACCAAAAGCAATGGCAACAAAAGCCAAAATTGACAAATGGGATCTAATTAAACTAAAGAGCTTCTGCACAGCAAAAGAAACTACCATCAGAGTGAGCAGGCAACCTACAGAATGGGAGAAAATTTTTGCAATCTACTCATCTGATAAAGGGCTAATATCCAGAATCTACAAAGAACTCAAACAAATTTATAAGAAAAAAACAACCCCATCCAAAAGTGGGCAAAGGATGTGAACAGACACTTCTCAAAAGAAGACATTTATGCAGCCAACAGACACATGAAAAAATGCTCATCATCACTGGCCATCAGAGAAATGCAAATTAAAACCACAATGAGATACCATCTCACACCAGTTAGAATGGCAATCATTAAAAAGTTAGGAAACAACAGGTGCTAGAGAGGATGTGGAGAAATAGGAACACTTTTACACTGTTGGTGGGACTGTAAACTAGTTCAACCATTGTGGAAGATGGTGTGGCGATTCCTCAAGGATCTAGAATTAGAAATACCATTTGAGCCAGCCATGCCATTACTGGGTATATACCCAAAGGATTATAAATCATGCTGCTATAAAGACACATGCACATGTATGTTTATTGCAGCACTATTCACAATAGCAAAGACTTGGAACAAAGCCAAATGTCCATCAGTAATAGACTGGATTAAGAAAATGTGGCACATACACACCATGGAATACTATGCAGCCATAAAAAAGGATGAGTTCATGTCCTTTGTAGGGACATGGATGAAGCTGGAAACCATCATTCTCAGCAAACTATCGCAAGGACAAAAAACCAAACACCGCATGTTCTCACTCATAGGTGGGAAGTGAACAATGAGACCACTTGGACACAGGAAGGGGAACATCACACACCTGGGACTGTTGTGGGGTGGGGGGAAAGGGGAGGGATAGCATTAGGAGATGTACCTAATGTAAATGACGAGTTCATGGGTGCAGCACACCAACATGGCACATGTATACATATGTAACAAACCTGCATGTTGTGTACATGTACCCTAGAACTTAAAGTATTAAAAAAAAAAACTTACTTGGACATACCCCTTTAGTTCATGGTGGTCTGTGCTATTCCTGTTCTGCTTGGAACCTGAGTAAACAAAAGTCATATAACAAAGGTATATTCTGCACCTTGGAATCATTTCCTAAGATAGGAGTTCTCTGTGTTCTGTGCTGTCTGCAACATGCCCTTCCCACAGCTATCAGAACTATGTCAACTACAAGGAAGAAGAAGCTTCAGCATTCTGCCAATTCCTGATAAGAACCTCACATCCTCATACCTCCGCTGCCTCCCTTCTCAACTTAAACAGCTTCACTACTGCAACCCGTCTCCATGACCATTAGGACTGGTTTCTCATTCTTTTTTATTCCTCTTTACATTGATAATCAACCTATATCTTCCAGGTCATCACATGTACTTCATTCTCAAATGAGTCTGTACATCCTCACATGGCTCCTCTCTTCACTCCTTGCTAAGCATACCAAACTGTCACTGAAATGCCAGGGTTCTCAGTCCATGTCCTGTTTCCAGGGAAGAAACCTTTATTCCAGTGCTTCAGCCAATGCCAATGAGAATCGTCTTATGTTCATCTCCCTGAACCAACTAAAATTAGGGGTTTATATAGTAAGGAAGGCAGGAAAACAGGAATTAAGGAGGGGTAAGGAAGAAATCATGATGGATGAGGAGTCTGGTGTCTCATTGCCTGTATACAGCTATCTGATAACTTTCAGCTCCTTGCCTGAGAGAGGAATTCAGGTATGGCAAATGTAAGTTTCAAGTTTTAGGACCAGGGAGGGTCCATTTCTATGTTTATTCAAAAAAACATAAATAAGAGTTCTATGGAACAATTGGGCTGGTTTCAAAACCATGCACTTTGCCTTCTGTAACTAATGATCAATAAAAGAATTCTCTATGCCCTTTCTTCTCTAGATGGTTTCAATGTATTACTCTAAATAAAACCTAACTATTCCCTCCAATAACACTGCTTTCCTTATAGCTGTCTTAAGGGGTAGCTGATTTATCTCTTACTATTGTCGTGGAATTGGTACTGGAATAGATATTTCCTCTTTGCTCCTTTCTTCACTATCTTTCTTTCTAAAAACTCACTGCTTGGAAGTTCATTCCAGTAGTATATGCCTCAGTTTTCAAAGACTGCTCTCCATTCATGAGTTAGTCAAGCTAAGAGCATACCCTTGGTCCCCCTCATTGTGTGAAGATTTTAGCTTTTAAATCCAACCCTACCCAACATTACCTCATACTTTTTTGGTGACCTCAATATCCATTTAGATAATACATTCAATACCCAACGCTCTTCATTCTTTGACAGTTTTTACTCTAATAATCTTGACTTCCATTCCATATTAGCTTCTTACTGCCAAGTTCATACTGAATGCTATGTTACAACCAATAATTGCACTCCATCTATAAAATATTAAACACCTCAATACTTTCTGTTCTAGTTTACTGCCTCCAGGACCCTGACTTTCATAATATTTTAACTTGATTTTGATCTATACTTAATTGGTCATCATTCCATTGCATGTACTTTCAAATCTTTTGTCCTGCCTTTCTTGGTTGGACATACCTAGTATATTACTATATTAACATCCCTGGTTGAATTACAACTTGCTTCCTATTGCAGGGGGGAACATAGTTTAAAAATCACAACTGTGATGATTGGTTTCACTTTAAATTTATGACCTTTGACTTCAAGTAATCTTATAAGTCTTTTCAGAAACCAATCTCATTTTCTCTCTTCATTCACTCTCCTGCTCATCTAGATGGCTAATTCATAGATATGTTAAATAACAACTTCACCTACCTCACCCATTTCATCCCTTCCATATGCTTCTCCCTCTGCCCCTCGCTTTATTTTTCCCCTAGCATCTGTTTTTATTATTTTTTGAGACAGAGCCTTGCTCTGTCACCCAGGCTGAAGTGAAGTGGTGCAATCTCAGCTCATTGCAACTTCTGCCTCCCAAGTTCAAGTGATTCTTGTGCCTCAGCCTCCCAAGTAGCTGAGATTACAGGCACCCGCCACCACACCCAGCTAATTTTTGGATTTTTACTAGAGACAAGGTTTCACCATGTTGGCCAGGCTGGTCTTGAACTCCTGGCCTCAAGTGATCCACCTGCCTCGGCCTCCCAAAGTGCTGGGATTACAGGTGTGAGCCACCGCACCTCACCTATTTTTCACCTAAAATCTGAATTCCTATTACTTACATTTTTTCCCTTTCTCTCTATCTCTATCTGATTTTCTAGTAGTTGCATTTTTTTCTTCTCTTTCCCAGTATGCAAACTGTATTATAAATTCTATTATATTAGGAAGTTTGTATATTTTGTTCACTATTGAATCTTTGCTTTCCAGGATACTGCCTGGCATAAAGTGTTGACACTGAACTGTGTATGTGGGATAAACAAAGAGTGAATTATTTCTTTGGAAACAAGCCTGTTACACTTCTCAAAAGAAGACATTTATGCAGCCAACAGACATATGAAAAAATGCTCATCATCACTGGTCATTAGAGAAATGCAAATCAAAACCACAATGAGATACCGTGTCAGTCCAGTTAGAATGGCAATAATTAAAAAGTCAGCAAACAACAGATGCTGGAGAGGTTGTGGAAAAATAGCGCTTTTACACTGTTGGTGGGAGTGTAAATTAGTGTAAATTAGTTCAACCATTGTGGAAGACAGTGTGGCGATTCCTCAGGGATCTAGAACTAGAAATACCATTTGACCCAGCAATCCCATTACTAGGCATATACCCAAAGGATTATGAATCATTCTATTGTGGTACTATTCACAATAGCAAAGACTTGGAAGCAACCCAACTGTCCATCAATGATAGACTGGATTAAGAAAATGTGGCACATATACATCATGGAATACTATGCAGCCATAAAAAAGGATGAGTTCAGTCGGGTGCTGTGGCTCATGCCTGTGATTCCAGCACTTTGGGAGGCCGAGGTGGACAGATCATGAGTTCAGGAGATTGAGACCATCCTGGCTAACACGGTGAAACCCTGTCTCTAGTAAAAAATACAAAAAATTAACCGGTCATGGTGGTGGGCACCTATAGTCCCAGCTACGTGGGAGGCTGAGGCAGGAGAATGGCATGAACCCGGGAGGCGGAGCTTGCAGTGAGCCGATATTGAGCCACTGCATTCCAACCTGGGTGACAGAGCGAGACTCTGTCTCAAAAAAAAAAAAGATGAATTAATGTCCTTTGCAGGGACATGGATGAAGCTTGAAACCATCATTCTCAGCAAACTATCTGGATTAAGAAAATATGGCACATACATACCATGGAATACCATGCAGCCATAAAAAAGGATGAGTTCATGTCCTTTGCAGGGACATAGATGAAGCTGGAAACCATCATTCTCAGCAAACTATCACAAGATCAGAAAACCAAACACCACGTGTTCTCACTCATAAATGGGAGTTGAACAATGAGAACACATGGACACAGAGAGGGGACCATCACACACCGGGGCCTGTAGGGGGTGGGGGGCTAGGGGAGGGACAAAAAAAAGTGGTATGCAACAGTAAGAAAAGACATTTGACTGATAGATGTAAAACATGCAAAAACATAGAGAATCTCACAAACATAATTATGAGCAAAAGAAGCTAGACACAAAATATTACATATTGCTTGAATTAATTTATGAATCTTAATGACAGGCAAAACTTATTTATGCTAATATAAGAGTGGTAACTGGGGGAGTTATTGGCATAGAGGGGCATAAGGGACAATTCTTAGGTAATAGGAATGTTTTGTATCCTAACCTAGGTAGTGTTTATTTAGGAGTACAAATATGTGTATTTGAACTGTGCAATTTTCTTACTGTATATCTACTGTAACGTATATATTAGCATAAATAAGTTTTGCCTGTCATTAAGAGTCATAAATTAATTCAAACAATATGTAATCCTTTGTTTCTAGCTTCTTTTGCTCATAGTTATGTTTGTGAGATTCTCTATGTTTTTGCACATCTTACATGTATCGGTAAAATGTTCATTTAGGAGTACAAATATTTGTATTTGGACTGTACAATTTTCTTACTGTCCTATGTACTTATTAAATTATCCCAATAAAGTAGTAAACAACAACAACAAAAGAAAACAAGCCTGTTAATTTATCCAGAACTGTTGTTTTTGTAAGGGGTTTGATTTTTTGTTAAATTGTTGGCAGGCTCTAATAAGATAGTGAATATACAAAAAAAGTTTGTGTGTTGTGCCATTCTATATGTAAGTTAAAATTAATGCTTATTTTTAAATATCAGACACAAACTATTAATTGACTAATAAAATACTCTCTTAGACATGGAAGTATTAAGCCTGGGGTCTTCTTGTCCCTTTAAACATGCAAAAGGCCCAAGTTCCTCAAAGACAATAGTATGTGTTGTTTTCTAAAATGTCCCCTATAAAGCTTAATTTTATTTTTTTGTTGTTTTTCACTTTTACCTATAAAACTTTTTGGGAAAATTGAAGGTCCTCATCTCCATCCTATTATCTTCCCTCATTTCTCTTCAGCACAAAAAATACCATGTACCACATATTTAGTTACAGTCTTGGAGAATGAAAGAGCCTTAGGTGGAAGTCAGATTCTGGCATTTCTGTGCTTTGGAGGTTAATAACTGGTCTGGGACAGGCCTGATGAATTAGAGAAATTCTAAAACAGTTTAGCCAATGAATGACCCCTCCAAACCGTCTGTGAGATTTAATCATATAGTCTCTAGAATCAATTTGATGAAATTATCCTATCATCATCATTACTGTGGTTGGATGAACAACTACTTTCAGGATTAGAGGAAGGGTGGGAATAAACAAAAATCTAAGAATAATTGCTTTTTTAGAAACCCCAAAAGAACAGGTGCCATTTAATTGGACTGTACTAGGCATGTCAAGGTGCAGATTCAGAGCTGACATAGTGTCAAGAATTATAGAAACAGTTTTCTTTGGCCAATGATACTAGGTTCCCTGTTTAAAAAATTTTTCTTCCTTTGAAGTGGCACCCATGGTAAAACAATATCCTGATCTAATTGTTTACCTATGGCTAAATGAAATTTTGCCAGAATTTTAGAATAATTTCTCCCCTTGAAAATCAATCACTTCCTACTAAAGTTAATGTCTAACCCAATAGATTAGAACATTGTCTATAAGCCAAGAGAAATTAGTTTTTCATTATATGTGGACAAATTAATCTCATTGAAATTAATTGCAAATAGACTGTATTAATGAGAGCTGTGATTTTTAACTGCTCTAAAAAAAGCAAAATTTTAATACTGATTCCGCTGCTTATGAACTGTGATCACAAGTGAGTATTTTTTCTCTGCTTCTGTTTTTCTCACATACAAAATAGGGCTAACATGAAGATTGTTTTGAAGATTAGTCTATTTTTGCCATCTTTTAAAATATTTTATCCAGGCATCAACAAAATTAACTTATCTTTATTCATCCCCACTCAAAAGAAAAAAAAACAGGCTGTCATGATAATTAATGGATGTCTTGACTGCCACATCCAATGATTTCCTCTCGGTCTTCACTCTCTTGAGATGTCTTCACTATTGCAGTTTAATCTTTTAATCAAGAAATTATTTTGCCTTGGCTTCTTTGATAACATTATCTTCTATCTTTTTTCTGACTCCGTGAGAGTTCTTTTCTCTCTTTAAATGCAATCAATGTCAATGTTTCCTGGTCATTTATTTTTGTCTCATTTAACACACTTGTCTTGGCTAATAACGCCAGATATTACCTGCTCAGTGGTGATCCAGAATTTTTATCACTTAGGATAATCTCTTCTAGGTTAATCCAGATATCCTACAGACATTAAAGTTATCATATATCCAAAATTCCAGATTACTTTTATCGCCTTTTATCACAAAGTGCCCTAAACTGAAAGCTTTCAGTTGTTTTCTAATTGCCACGACAACTACCATCACCATCAGCATCACTGTCAGAAATGTAATATCTACCTATTATTGAATGTTCACTGTAATCCAGGGATCATTAAATGATTTGGGAACATTATCTTATTTAATCATCCCAAACACTCCATGTAACAATAAAAGAAAATGAGGGTAAGTGAGGTTAAACCAATTGCCTATAGTGTTATTGTTATCAGGTGGCAAAGCTGAAATTGTATCATCATTTCATTTGACAGCCAAGGCTATGATTTTAACTACTACTCTCTATTACCTCTCTCACTGTAATTCATCATTTTCAGTCGCTTCCTGAGGACACCTATTTATGTCTCAAATGTGCCTCAAACTTGTCTCATCTCTTTATTATCCTCCTACTTCAGATTTTTACTTCTCATTTCTAAACAGACCAATTTAAGACTAATTTTCCTTCAACTCATATGTAAATTAAAAGGAAAATTCCTTGCTTTTCAGGAAGGCAACACTTTTTTATCTTCATTTTTATTCTCTTAAGATACTGCTTAGTTTAAAGGGTACATATGCATGTTTGTTATTTAGGTAAACTGCGAGTTGTGGAGGTTTGGCTACAGAATATTTTGTCATTCACATAATAAGCATAGTACCCAACAGGTAGTTTTTTGATCTCAGTCTCCTTTCACCCTCCCACCTCAGATTGGCTCTGATGTCTACTGTTCCCTTCTTTGTGTCTATCTCTACTCAACGTTTAGCTCCCACTTATAAATGGGAACATGTGGCACTTGATTTTCTATTCCTGCATTAGTTCACTTAGGATAATGTCCTCTAGCTCCATCCATGTTGCTGTAAAACACATAATCTCATTCTTTTTTATGGATGTGTGGTATTCCATGGTGTACATGTACCACATTTTCTTTATCCAGTCTACTGTTGATGGACATTTATGTTAATTCCATGTATTTGCTATTGTTAATAGTGCTGTGATGAACATACAAGTCCATGTTTCTTTATGGTAGAATGGTGTATTAGTCTGTTTTCACACTGCTGATGAAGACATACCCAAGACTGGGCAGTTTACAAAAGAAAGAGGTTTATTTGACTTATAGTTCCACATGCCTGGGGAGGCCTCACAATCATGGTGGAAGGCAAGAAGGAGCAAGTCACATCTTACATGGATGGCAGTAGGCAAAGAAAGACAGCTTGTGCAGGGAAACTCCCATTTTTAAAACCATCAGATCTCATGAAACTTATTCATTATCATGAGAACGCATGGGAAAGACCCATTCCCAAGATTCAATTATGTCACACTGGGTCCCTCCCACAACATGTGGGAAATGAGAGCTACAAGATGAGATTTGGGTGGGGACACAGAACCAAACCATATCAAATGGTTTATATCCTTTTGAGTATATACACCCAAAGATGAGATTGCTGGGTTGAATGGTAATTCTGTTTTAAGTTCTTTGAGAGATGACCAAATTGCTTTCCACAATGGCTGAACTAATTTATCTTCCCACTAGTGGTGTTTAAGCATTCCCTTTCCTCCGCAACCCCACCAGCACCTGTTATTTTTTGACTGGTGTGAGATGGTATCTTCTTGCCATTTTGATTTGCATTTCTCAAATGATTAGTGATGTTGAGGATTTTTTCATATGCTTGTTGGTCCTGTGTATATCTTCTTTTGAATAGTGTGTTCATGTCCTTTTTAGTGGGGTTGTTTCTTTTTTTGCTCGTAAAATTAAGTTCCTTATAGATTCTAGATGTCAGACTTTTCTCAGATGCATAGTTTGCAAATATTTTCTCCCATTCTGTGAGTTATCTCTTTATCCTGCTGATGATTTCTTTTGCTGTGCAGAAGGTCTCTAGTTTAATTAGGTTCCATTTGTCAAGTTTTGTTTTTGTTAAATTACTTTAGGCATCTTTGTCATAAGATCTTTGCTTATTCTTATGCCCAAAATGATATTTCCTAGGCTTTCTTCCAGAGTTTTTATAGTCTTAAGTTTTATATTTAAGTCTTCTTTTTTTGTTTTTTTGAGATGGGGGTCTCGCTTTGTCACCCAGGCTGGAGTGCAGTGGCATGATCTTGGCTCACTGCAACCTCTGCCTCCCAGGTTCCAGCGATTCTCCTGCCTCAGCCTCCTGAGTACCTGGGATGACAGGCATGCACCACCACGACAGGCTAATTTTTGTACTTTTAGTAGAGACGAGGTTTCACCATGTTGGCCAGGCTGGTCTTGAGCTCCTGACCTCAGGTGATCCACCCATCTCGGCCTCCCAAAGTGATGGGATTACAGGCATGAGCCACCACGTCCAGCCTACATTTAAGTCTTTAATCCATCTTGAGTTGATTTGTATATGGTTTAAGGAATGGATTCAGTTTGTCTTCTGCATATGGTTAGCCAGTTATCCCAGTGTCATTTATTGAATAGGGAGTACTTTCTCCATTGCTTGTTGTTGTTGAATTTGTTAAATAACACATGGTTGTAAGTGTATGGGCTTACACTTACTGGGCTCTCTATTCTGTTCCATTGGTCTATGTGTTTGTTATTGTACAGTATCATACCATTTTGGTTACTGTAATCTTGTGATATAGTCTAAAGTTGGGTTATATGATGCTTCCAGCATTGTTCATTTTGCTTATAATTGCCTTGGCTCTTCAGGCTCTTTTTTGGTTCCGCAGAATTTTAGAATAATTTTTTCTAATTCTGCGGAAAATGTCATCAGTAGTTTGATAGGAATAGCATTGAATCTGTAAATTGCTTTGGAAAGCATGGTCATTTTAACAATATTGATTCTTCTTATTCCTGAACATGGGATGTTTTTCCATCTGTTTGTGTTGTCTCTGATTTCCTTGAGGAGTATTTTGTAATTCTTGTAGAGATCTTCTTTCATGTTAACCTTGAAAAGTCTGATGAGTATGTGTCTTGAAGATGCTCATCTTGTATGTTATCTTGCAATGGCTCTCTGCATTTTCTGAATTTAAATGTTGGCCTTTATAGCAAGGTCAGGGAAATTTTCATGAACAATATCCTCAAATATATTTTCCAAGTTTCCCGCTTTTTCTGTCTCTCAGGGATGCCAATGAGTTGTATATTTGGTCTCTTTATATAATCTCATATTTCTTGGAGGTTCTATTCATTTTTTTTTCTTGGTTTTTGTCTGACTGAAATAATTTGAAGAATTGGTATTCAAGCTCTGAAGTTCTTTCCTCAGCTTGGTCTATTCTGCTGTTAATACTTACAGTTGTATTATGAAATTCTTTTGGTGAGTTTGCCAACTTTATCAAATCAGTTCGGTTCTTTCTTGAAATGGCTATTTCATCTTTCAGCCCCTGTATTTTTTTACTGGATTCCTTAGATTCCCTGCATTAGGTTTTGGCTTTCTGCTGAATCATGATGATCTTCATTTCTATCCGGATTCTGAATTTTATGTCTGTCATTTCAGCCATTTCAGTTAAAGACTATTGCTGGAGAACTAGTGTGGCCATTTGGAGGTAAAAAGACACTCTGGCTTTTTGAGTTGCCAGAGTTCTTTTACTGGTTCTTTCTCATCTGTACGGGCTGATGTTCCTTTAAACCTTGAAGTTGCTAACCTTTGGATGGGTTTTTTACTTTTATATTAAAAATAGGGAATGCTTCACAAATTTACATGTCATGCTTGCACAGGGAACATGCTAATCTTGTCTGTATCCTTCCAATTTTAGTATATGTGCTGCTGAAGTGAGTGCAAACAGTTTTTAAATTTTAGTTTTACTTTATGTTTGTGATGCATATGGTTCATTAATATTGAGAGAAATAAGAGGCAATAATATAATTTGTCAAAAATGGAAAATAGACTCAATCATGGTTTGCTATTATCATGTCAATGTTAAAAATGTGGCATACACCTTTTATTAAATTAATTTGATTCTATTAGATTAGTAAATCAGGTAAAATATTTAAATCTAATTGGGATGCAAGCATTTGTACTTCTAATGAAGAAAAATGTACTGAATATAATCCAGGGTAAACCATTAACTTTTCATATTATTCTATTACAATTTTATATTAGCTTTATAGATTTAGAAGCTATAACCACAGTTTTGTTACATGGATATATGACATAGTTGTGATGTCTGAGCTTTTAATATAACATTGAACTCATTAATTTCTTATCCCTAATCAACCTCCCATGTTTCTGAGTCTCTGATGTCTGTTATTCCACTCTCTATGTCCATATGTACACATTATTTAGCTCCAATTTATAGGTAAGAATACCTGGTATTTGACTTTCTGTTTCTAAGTTATCTGACTAAAGATAATGGCCTTCAGTTCCATTCATGTTGCTGCAGAAGACATGATTTCATATTTTTATGGCTGAGTAGTATTCCATGGGGTGTGTGTGTGTGCATGTGTGTGTCTTTGTGTCTATTACGTTTCCTTTTTTTAATCATTCATTGATGAACACTTAGGTTGATTCCATGTATTTGCTATCTTTAATACTGCTGCAATAAATATATGAGTGCAGATATCTTTTGGATATAATGATTTCTTTTCCCTTGGGTATATATTCATTAGTGGGATTGCTGGATTGAATGGTAGTTCTGTTTTTAGTTCTTTGAGAAATTTCCATACTGTTTTTAATAGAGATTATATTAATGTACATTCCCAGCAATGGTGTACATTCTGCTTTCTTTGCATCCTCGCCAACATTTTTTTTTTACACTTTATTAATAGCCATTCTCACTAGTGTAAAATGGTACTTCTTTGTGGTTTTAAGTTACATTTCTCTGATGATAAGTGATGTGGAACATTTTTTTTCATGTGTTTGTTGGCTTCTTATGTATTTTCCTTTGACAATTGACTGTTCATGTCCTTTGCCCAACTTTTAAGGGGTTATTGGCTTTTTCCTGTTGAGAAGTTCAAGTTCCTTGAAGATTCTGGATATTAGCCTTTTGCTGGATATGTAGTTTGCAATTATTTTCTCCTATGCTGTAGGCTCTCTGTTCACTCTGTTGATTATTTCTTTCACTGTGCAGAAGCTTTTTAGTTTAAAAAGCCCATTTGTTTATTTTTGTTTTTGTTATATTTGCTTTTGAGATCTTGGTTATGAATTCTTTGCCTGGGCCAATGTCCAAAAGAGTTTTTCTTAGGTTTTCTTCTAGAATTTTTATATCTTCAGGCCTTATGTTTAAGTCTTTACTCCATTTTGAGTTAATTTTTGTGTATGGTGAGTGATACAGGTCCAGTTTCATTCCTCTGCATGGGGCTATCAAATTTTCCCAGCACCATTTATTGTATAGGGTGTCCTTTCCTCAGTGTATTTTTTTCTTAACTTTGTCAAAGATCAGTTGGCTGTAGGTATATGGCTTTTTTCTTGGTAATTTTTTTATACTAAAGACGTTGACTGAATCACATGAAAAAAATCAATGTTCATAGAATGAGTTACATGCAGTTAATATGTAACAGATCTTTTCCATTCAAAGTAGTGCTTTTTAAAACTATCTGATAAGTCAAGTTCATGATAACTAGTATTTGTTGAGGGCTGAAATAGTATCAAACATTGTTCTAAGCACTTAACATGAATCAAACTATTTAATTATCATACCAACCCAATTTGCCAATGAGAAATTAAGGCACACAGAGGTGAAGTGATTTGCTCAGAAAACGAACCTTTAACACCTGGCAGTCTAGCTCCAAAGCCAAAGTCTTAAATTATCTAGTCCATAAACACATTTTTAATAGAAAAAATCAAGAAACATCTAATATATCCTTAATAATTACTATTGCACATTGTTTTTGTACGTATCATTATAGTTGATAGGGTTTAAAAGACGGGTGGGTAGTGTGCAATTTGAGCAATCATATAACTGGATCTTATAATAAACTAACACATTACTAATAGAGACCTCTTATATTAAAAATTTAATGACAAAGAAAAACACACGTGCTGCTTTAAATGCAGGTGGAATTCACATACCAGAGCCTCTATCAAGAAGTGCTGTTAACACTATTTCAGCAAAACAGTGGAGAACAGACCAACAAACAAACTTATTTAAATGTGATAGTTTCCAATATCTTAATCACTGCATCACAAGATGATTTTCCCCAAATCATGCTGCTATAGAGACACATGCACATGTATGTTTATTGAGGCACTATTCACAATAGCAAAGACTTGGAACCAACCCAAATGTCCATCAATGATAGACTGGATTAAGAAAATGTGGCACATATACGCTATGGAATACTATGCAGCCATAGAAAAGGATGAGTTCATGTCCTTTGTAGGGACATGGATGAAGCTGGAAGCCATCATTCTGAGCAAACTGTCACAAGGACAGAAAACCAAACACCACATGTTCTCACTCATAGGTGGGAATTGAACAATGAGAACACTTGGACACAGGGTGGGGAACATCACACACCGAGACCTGTCGTGGGGTGGGGAAAGGGGGGAGGGATAACATTGACGAGTTAATGGGTGCAGCCCACCAACATGGCACATGTATACATATGTAACAAACCTGCACGTTGTGCACATGTACCCTAGAACTTAAAGTATAATTAAAAAAATACAATGCAAATCCAATGAATAATGGAATTTGTATTACAATTTTGGCATACATTCATCTTGTTGGAATGAGTGATTTTTCTATTTTTCAAAATGTGTACAGTCATGTGTCACTTAACAGCCAAGATCTGTTCTGAGAAATGTGTCATTAGGCAATTTTGTCATGTGAATGACATAGAATGCACTTACACAAACCTAGATGGTTTAGCCTACTATGCACCTAGGCTAAATGTTGTAGCCTATTGTCCTTAGGCTACAAATTTATTCAGCATACTGCTACACTGAATACTGTAGGAAATTGTAACACAATGATAAGCATTTGTATATCTAAACATATAAATGGCATAATAAAACTACGGTATTTAAAAAAGAAAAAAAAGAAAGTGTTAATTTTTCCCCAGGGGAAAACTGTTCGTGAGCTATTAGCTGGGAAAGTGGGTTAAAACTGAAGCATTCAGCCTTCTGAGATTACCAAACAGTAAGGTGAACTGGTATACCTGCCCTCCACAAATGATTTCAGCCTCCTAGTCCCTTAACCAATTTTGTTGTAAAGTGTAGCGTAGTAATAGTCACTGCAGATGGCTTTTTCAAGGAAAATGGGCAAAGTAACTAGAAATTCAAACAAGTTAATATAACTTGACTTAATTTATTGCATTTTAATTAGTTTTGTCCAGTGTTTCTTCTTTCTTTTACATTTTTCAAAGTTTATTTTTTTCTTCCTTACAGGGAATGTTTCGTTAGAGACCTACTTATTTTTCCTTCTTTAAATTTGTGGGGGCATACTTAGAATTCCTTTTGTAGTTCTAGTTCTTAATCTGAAAGATAAAAAGATAGTCCAGATGCCAGATGGTCTATATGCATTATGTGATTCATTGAGTGTCTTCTTTATTCCTCCCTTTAATAAAATCTAAGTTGTTTTACATGATCTCATTTGCATTCTGCAGTCTTATTAGCATTCATCATAATCACCGAGAGAAATCACAAAGATAAATCATCCCTTATTTCTTAGGTGCTTCATCAGTTTCTTGCTTCATCTCACAGAGCTTTTACAGAACAGGAAAGCTTGTAAAAAGATTATTTTTCTTCTGTGAAATCTCACTGTATCTAAAATATTGTGAGCCTTTTTTTTAAAGTTTTTGGGTTTCAAAGAACATGAAGAAATGTCCTTTCCTCATATCTTATTATGGGCAGTCTCACGACATATCATTCTTAGATGTTCTGAATAATCTCAAAATAAAGGGGGAATTTTGGATATCAAATATTAGCTGAAAAATTAAAAAGTGATTGTTGAAATATGAAGCACAATCAATAGCACTTTTCTAAGAGAATGCACTGATTTGCTCCTCCTTGCAGAACTGAGATACTGTCTTGTTTCAGTCGATAGTTTTTCAAATGAAGATTTTGTTACATAACTTCTTAAAGTTCCAACAAGTATGTAGGAATGATATTGAGCATAACTGAATAAACTTTTCTTTTTAAAAATGTTATATTAGTCTCAAGAAGGAACTTATATTTCGAGGTTAGATTAAGTTTAAAATGGAAAAAAATGTTCAATTAGAATATTGTCTTTATAAAATTCAGTTTTATAAAGTCTCAAGATTCAGAGCTCAAAATCTGAGCATACACTTTAAGGAGTATTAAAATAAACTTAGTGTGAGTTTATACAGCCTAATAGTGAGAAAACTATTGCTAGAAAGGAGGATGTCATTGAAAGGGTTATGTACTATAGCAAACATTTCTAAAATGAAAACAATCTTAAAATTCATATCCTCAAAGCAGTGGCATCAACCATTACAGATATTGTAATAGCAACATATGCAATGCAATGTAATACATTATCTGCTCGTGATGTTTTCTTGGTGGCTTTATGAAAGAACCACTTTAAAATGGCATTGTTTTGATTCTCATCTAAGTGGCTGTGGGTTCTAACCTAATTTTTTACCCAATTGACTCTATAGGAAAATGGAGACAGTTCAATTTCAGATCGCTCAACATGGAGTGCTGATGAGAGCCAGTAAATCAAAACAATGCTTGGACAAAACTGTACACAGCAAACACAGCAAACAATTTCATGTTTTCATTATTTTCATTGTTTTAAATTTTAAGCAAGACAAGATAGAGATAAATGGACTAGGAGAAAATCAAGAGATTACAAGGAACTGCAAATAGAATTACATGTGACCCAGCAGTCTCGTTACTGGGTATATACCCACAGGAAAATAAATCATTTTACCAAAAAGACACCTGCTCTTGCATGTTTATTGCAGCACTATTCACGATAGAAAAGACATGGAATCCACCTAGGTGCCCATCAGTGGTGGATTGGATGAAGAAAATGTGGTCACCATGGGACACTACACGGCCATAAAAACGGAAATCATGTCCTTTTCAGCAATGTGGATGCAGCTGGAGGCCATTAGCCTAAGTGAATTAATACAGAAACAGAACATCAAATACTGCATGTTCCCACTTATAAGTGGAAGCTAAACATTGGATACACATGAACACAAAGATAGGAACAATAGACACAGGGACTCCAAAAACGGGGAGGAAGGGAGGAGAGAAAGGGCTGAAAAACTACTTATTGGGTCTACCTATTGCGTGTTGAAAAGCTACCTATTTGGGTGACAGATTCAACTGAAGCCCAAACGTCAGCATCATGCAATGTATCCATGTAACAAACCTGCATATGTACCCCGAAATCTAAAATTAAACATAATAATATTAAAAATAAAGATACAAAAAAACAAAAAAAGTTTGAAAAATTCCCAAAAATTTAAGCTTGTATAAATCAACTTAAAGGAATCATTGCTAAATTTTTATGATACTTATTTCCAGTCTTCTAGTCTTCTTCTAATTCTTTTAAAAAATCTTAGTCTTAGTAAAATACACATAGATTATTTAGCTTTTTTATGCATTGTTTACCGACAATGATGACATACTGTTTCTAGAGTTGATCTATAAGACTGTAATTATCTATGACATATAATTACATCTATAACATATAATTAAGTCGCAGAACCATTTTTAGAAAAGTTACATCTTCAGTGTTTGATACGTGCATCAAATCATCTTAGCGTTCTGTTCCCTACATATATAGTGGGGATGCACATTCATATCACTCAAAGGCATTATCCTTCTTTTTCTCCACTAGACAATTGTGGATCACCTATGTGAGGGTTTTTTACCTGTGCTGATTCTGAGTGTCATTATTGTTTTATATGTGGTTCAAGATGTGGGAAAGGCAAATTACTAGAACTGTGTATAAGGTGAAGTTAATGTATTCAGGAGCAAGGCAGGAAGTTCAAGGTCAGAGAAATCCTGATATCAAAAGTGCTTTGTTTCTGAACCCAGATCTGTTATATCACTAGAGTGTCAATAAAATTTGGAAATATCAAAATATATTTGCAGATATGACATATTGCAGAATGAACCATAAAGTAAGCAAAAATAGGTAAATGAGACAAAAGACAGAGGTTTTCATTAGCTTTCACATTTTATAATTCTCAATTCCAAATAGAAAGATATTACAGTCAGTTTTGCCTTAATTCCTATTTTGAAAACAAATTTGGTCCAATGTGACTAATATATTAGGGAACCATTTGAGCATAACTTGAATTTCATGTTTACTTATGCTTGATTTTATCTGCAAGAAATACTGTGAACCAAAAAACTGTACCTGGATGAATCCAAGGCATAGAAACACATAAGAAACACACATGTACTCACCTCAAACACCTACTAGCTACCTCAGTTCATTGTGCATATTTT
Source organism: Homo sapiens (assembly GCF_000001405.40). Lineage (NCBI taxonomy): Eukaryota > Metazoa > Chordata > Mammalia > Primates > Hominidae > Homo > Homo sapiens. Next base: position 153,674,850 of record NC_000006.12, on the reverse strand, counting down.
GAGCCACGCCCATCCATATCTGGTGCTGGAAATTTCTATCTGATTTCAGATAACCCTCCTCCATCACTTCACAAAAATTCGTAACCCGTAATCCCTCAGATACCCACTTCCAATTTTTCACCAAGTAAAATGTTATATTTACTATATTAGTTATGTATTTTTAAACAATCAAATATGTAAAATTATGCTAAAGTTTTTATTACTTTCTTTTCCTCTTTTTTATATATCACAAAGTTGTTTGGTGTTATGCTCCGAAGCCCATTTTTCCTTATTCTCTCTAAAATTTTATTATTGATTTTGCCTAGAGTGGAAATTTTTAGGAGTTCATGTCAGGTTGCAGCAGAACTGTTTGGATTTTATGCTGAGGGTCTCAATTAATGTATAAAATCTTGTTTTCTTAGTTGTTAAATGTAAACAGATATTAAAAATAAATTTTAAACTACATAAAAATTGAGATACAGGTTAATTATGAAAACTTTCACTTGTTAAATTTAGAAACATATTAAAATACATTTTAGACAGAATCAATTGGAAAAAGTCTCACTAGATAACTCATCTCAATTTTATTTTTTAAATGCTTAGAAAAAATGTGAAAAATTATTGGCTTTAGAGTAAGCTATTATGGAGACACATTAAAGTCTAGAATAATCATGGCTATGCTACTACCATGAACTGTACCATAATATCTGAGTCCCGTATATAATTTACTTAATATGAATCTTTAAACTTAAAAAAAGGAAATTAACATAAATACATAGGGACAAATAACATGCCATTTTATTCTGTTGGTAAATCATTTGTAGAGTCACAGAAAATGTTGAAGAAGAAAAGAGAATACAAGGTAAATTGAACCTGCAAGCTTCCAGCAACTTCCAAAATTAGCTGATTTAAACTTAATTAATGCTGATGTCTCTAAAATATGTTTTGCAAAATTTTAGAAAAATGGTAACGTTTTTATTATTCATCAAGAAACTGGTTAATGTTGATCGAGTTTAAACTTATTAAATCCTAAAGCATGTATTAGCACCTCATCAGCTTTTTTATGTAAGGACTGAAGGTTTGATAGGCAACTTTTATTAGAAAGCTCAGATGCCACAATTTGCATTAATTATAATTTTTGTTTTTTCTACTTTTAAAGGTATTTTCTACTTTTAAAGGTTTTTCTGCTTTTAAAGGTACCTTGCTTACTGATGATAAATTGCTAAAAATAGATCATGGATATTATTGTCAGCCTTAACTGTTAAATATCAAAAGGTATTGTTGATACCCTTCATCCAAAGACCACCAGGAACAAATCTATAGTCAAATAAATGTGGGCTTGTTGACTCATTGCAATGAGAGAGACGTCATACTACGGCAATGATGTGGTATCTCAGTAATAGGATGTTAGGAGGGGTGTGCTACAGAATTTGAACTTGTGTTAATGATTTGTAGAACAATTCAAACAATAGTGGTTTTTCTCAGGATTGCATCATATTAAAAGTGGAGGCAGTTCTATCATTGAACCCTTATATTTTTTATCTAGAAGGCAGGATGAATGAACTGGAGCTAAACACTAATTAGCAAAGAAGCAAAAATTTTTCACACTAGCCAAGAGAGAGGCATGTTTGATCAGTTTTGTGGTTGGTGCATTGCAATCTTGTCTGGTGCGGGTATTCTGTGAAATTGTTTATCATCAACAGGAAAACACTGTGGTCCAGCTGTTAGTGCCAGACCAGCTCCCATCTAATAGCTTTCATTTCCCACATGCCACATTTATTAATTTCTGCTTTATATACTTTATACATAATGTTATTTTCTTGCCTATTTTTAGTTTTCAGCAGATTTTTCCTTTTATTATTATTTAGGGTTTATCTTGAAATAAATACATTTTGTATAATATAATATCTGATATGAATATCATATATAGTTTTTTTGTTGTTTAGTGTTTTCTAGGTATAATAATTGCTATGATTTTTTCCATTCCTTTATTTTCAACATGTATATTTTTTTCCACAAAACATGACTTCTGTAAGCTTCATATAGCTAGATTCTAATCTCTCTTGCGCATCCTCTCTCAATCTCTTTTGCTCAGTAAATTAGCTTACTCCAGTAACATTTACTGTGATTAATGATCTATTTGTATTTTTTCTGCCATCTATTTGTATTTTTAATTACCATGATAGTATTAGTTATCTACTGGCTATACAGCAAATTATGACAAATTTAACAGCTTAAAATAATACATATTTATTAGCTTATGCTATGATATAAATGTTTACATCCCCCCAAATTCAGATGTTGCAATATTAACCCCTAAGGTGGCAATATTAGGAGGTGGAGTCTTTGGGAGGTGACTAGTTCATGATAGTAGAACCTTCAAGAATGGAATTAGTACCCTTATAAAAGAGACCTCAGAGAGCTAGCTAACCCCTCCAACTGTGTATGGACATGGTACATGGTACATGGTATGAAGGCAGTGTCTATGAGGAAGCAGTTCCTCCTCCTGAGACACCAAATCTGTTGCTGCCTTGATCTGGGACATCCTAGTTCCAGAACTATGAAAAATAAATTTATGTTTTTTAATAAACTACTTAGTTTATGGCAGTTTTTGTAGCAGCCTGAATTAACTAAGATATATTAACAATCTGTGGGTCATAAATCCAGGCATATCTTAGTTGAATAAATCTTCTGCTTCAAAAAACTGAATCCAAATGGTGGCTGCAGCTGTCTGAATACTTGACTGGGGAAGGCTTCACTTCCAAGATCACTCACATATGGTTTTTGGTAGTTCCTTAATGGTTGTTAGAGGGGGGTCCTCAGTACTTATCTGTCTGTTGGTAAGAAGCCCTCCTTCAGTTTCTTGCTATGTGGACTTCTTCATACAGCAGCTCATAACACATCTTGCTTTATCGGAGTAAGCATGAAAGAAGAGCCACAGAGAGAGAGAGACACAGACTGAGACAGAGACAGAGACTGGAGAGAGGGAATATGCAAGCCAGATGAAAACTACCATCTTTTATTACCTAATCTTGAATGAAACATCCCATCACTTTGCATGTTAGAAGCAAACCACTGAGTGTCAGATAGCTGGCAAATAAATAACAAGATCTTCAGCTGAGTTGAATCTGTCTGATAGCATTTAAAATTTTGTTTAATTGTCGCTATGGCTTGAATGTTTGTGTTTCCCCAAATTTATATTCTGAAACCTTAATCCTCAATGTGGTGTTATTTGGAGATGGGGCCATTGGAAGGCAATTGGGTCATGAGAGCTGAGCTCTCATGATGGGATTAGTGCCCTCATAAAGAAAAGTCACAAGAGAATTCACTTCCCTCCAATCTCTTCCATGTGAGGACACAACAAGACTTCCATCTGGAAACTAGGAAGAGGGCCTTCACTAGGAATATAATCAATATTCACCTTGATGTTGAAAGCCTTGAACTTCCCAGCCTCCAGAACTGTGAGAAATAAACATTTGTGGTTTACACCACTCAGTCTATGGTATTTTTGTTATAGCAGCCTGAACTGAATAAGACAGTTTTAAATAAGATATTTTGAACAATTATTATTTAAAATATAATTTTTAAAATTGATGTATTATGTTATAATTAAAACAATAAATATCTATACAGAGTGAAAAGGAGACTTAAATATTGATTACTGATTCAAATATTAAGATTTATTTTTAACTAAAAGAATGTTTGATAGTCCAAGAGATTATTTTAAAATATCAGGTCTATTTTTCCAGATTACTGTGGCAACTTGAACATTATTAATCATAGTAGTTGACATTGACATTATATGAAATTTGATTAATAAGAATAAGCTAGCATTGTCTGACTCATAGTTCACCAAGAAGATATGCTTGAAAAATGTGGGCACTGCTGAAATAATTTCTTTTGTTGGTAGAAATATCAATCGCAAAATAAGAGTGGCAAGCGATCATCTTTATCATTTGTCTTGGATAAAAAACTCTTCGCTATTCATATTTATTGAAAGCCTTTCAAATTGTTTAATCAAATCATTGCTAGAAACATGTGCATTATTTTTCGCTGATAAGCAGTGTAAAATGGACTGATTTTCATTTTATCTGGACTTCCTTTAATTGAATGCCTTTAGAATGAATAAGACAATTGTTCATATAATTATGAAAAAAAATTACTTTCCATGGTACTTTCTGTTTATAAGTCTTCCTTTATTTTTCAAATATGAAGTCAGATGTTGTCTTAATTGATTCTTTCAATAATCTTTTGAAGTGGATGAGGTAGCTATTGTATTTAAACCTCAGTTCTTCCTGTGAAATTAAATTAAAATGAAGTCATTCTTTCTGAAGAAAAATAATTCATATTCCAGCATGTATAACATTTTAAAGTTTTCTGTCTTGTAGTTAAGATGCTTTATTTTAAACTAGTAATCTTTATTATTCAATCATCCCTGGAGAATTAAAAGCATTAACATACAATATTATCCCGATGCAAAGTTCTTATTTGTATATAGACTTCTTGGTGTTGAGGATTGCCAATGTTTCTTTCACATTCTCTAACGACATACACTTGTGAAGGAAAATAAATCTTGGGACCCCAGACTCATTAAGCCAAAGGGAACAGTTAAGCTGGGAAGTGGGTCACGCAAACCTGCCTCTCCCTTTTTGTTCCTAAATAAAGTGGTTACAAGATGAGAAGCTACACACCTTCCTCCTATTTTGCCCACAAGGAAATTCTTAGTGAGCTCCAAGATATTTACCCTATAGTATTTCTGTTAAAATTCACCATGGCACTGTAAATGGATAGCTTATATCTTTACAGATGCAGTCACCCCTCTGCCCACGTGGCACAAACGCATATCTGATTGTTCCCCTGCCCCACTTATCTTTGTTGGCTTATGTAAAAACACAGAATCCCTGCATTTTCCCCTATTTGTCTATGCTACCTTATGTAAAAATGCAGATTCACTGAGTCAGACGAAAGCAAGAATATGTTCTTTCTAGTCCCCTCTTACATGAAAATTGTGTACTTCTCAACATCTAGCATTTTATATAGGCCGTTGTGCCTATAAAACTTCAGGCTGCCTGAATGAGAATAGCTACCATAACGAGTGCCATGTGGCTTATGGAGGAGTAAGCAATGAGTGACTTTAGATCGGTTTGGCGTAGACAAATGGAGCCTGTCATGATTATTCCCCATAGGGATAGTATGAGGAAAGAGTAGGCTATGTATTCTGTCATGGGATTAAAGATTAGAGTGAGCCATATCATTCCGTAGCCGCCTTATTTTAGGAGTACTGCTGCAAGTACTATTGAGCCGGCAATGGGGGCTTCTACGTGGGCTTCAGGGAGTCACAGGTGGAGTCCAGAGAGAGGCATTTTTACCAAAAATGCCATGATGTATGCTAGTCATAGAAGGTTGCTGGATCAGGAGGTTGCCAATTCTTGGGAAGTATATGTTGTTACTAATATGTTTAGTAAGCTGAATGCATTTTGAATATAGATAAGTGCTACGAGCAAAGGTAAGGATCCTACCAGTGTATAAAATAAGAAGTATAAGTCTGCGTTAAGGCGTTCTGTTTGATTACCTCAACGAGTAATAATAATTAGGGTGGGGACTAGCGTGGCTTCAAAGAGAATATAAGATGTGATTAGTTCTGTGGCTGTGAATGTTATAATTAAAGATATCTGTAAAGAAACTAACATTAAGATATAAAGCTTTTTTTGCAGGAGTGATTCTTTGGATAGATGATATTGGCTTGCTAAAATTATAAGGGGCAGTAACCAGTATTAGAATTCAGTAACCAGAATTAGAAGGGGTGATGACAGTGGATCAGGAAAGAAAGTTAATAAGAAGTTGGATGAATCACCATTAAATTGGTTGAAGAATAGCAGGCTGATGAGACTGATGAGTCAACTGTGGGAGGCTGTATTAATTCAGATTATAGAGTTCTTAGAGCAAGATGTTATTGGAAGTAGTATAATAGTTGGGATAATAATTTTTAACATTGGAGTAAATTCAGGCTTTGTACATAATCTAGACCATAGGTACTGGAGGACATAACCAGTAAGACTAAACCTACAGCGGCTTCACAGGCTACCAAAACTAAAAGGATAATAGGTATTATGGATGCTAGTGTAAAATGTATGTTTAAAGTTATGAGAGTACTTATGATAAATGTTGATAGTATTATGCCTTCTAGGCATAATAGGGACGATATCAGGTGGGATCGATAGATTATTACCCCTATTAAAGACATAATAAAAGGTAATGTAATGTTAATATAAATAGAGGGCATTTGGTAATTATAATCTATCATAATTTAATGAGTCGAAATCATTTATTTTGACTTAAACTAATTATCAACTCAGTTCATTCTAATCCTTTTTAGGTTCATTCATAGGCTAAGCCTAAGATTTAAATGATAATTAATATGAGGGCTGTACTAATTATTAATTTTAGGTCAGTTGTCTGAAAAGCTCATGGTAGGGGTAGTAGTAGGGCAATTTCTAGATCAAAGAGGAGAAATGTGTGGCTACTAGGAAAAATTTCATGGAAAAGGGGAGGCGGGTAGAGCCTATTGGGTGAAACCCACATTCTTAGGGGCTGGATTTTTCTGTATAGATGTTAAGTTGTAGGAGTCAAAATGTGATTGTTACTAGTAAGAGTGTCAGTAAGGTGTCAGTTGCTAGGGCTAATGTTAGATTAATTACTCTTTTTTTCACATAATACCAAAGCTAATTGATTGGAAATCAATTGTACTATTTTGTGCTAAAAGAGTAAGATCCTCATCAATAGATAGAAACATATAGGAATAGACATACTATGTCTACAAAGTGCCAGTACCAGGCAGTGGCTTCAAATTCAAAATAGTGGTAGGATGTAAGGTGAAATTTTAGTTGGCGGAATAGAGAGACAGTAAGAAATGTTGATCCAATAATAACATGAAGCCTGTGAAAGCCTGTAGCTATGAAGAATGTTGAGACGTAAACCCCGCCAGAGATAGTGAAAGGGGCTTCGAAATACTCTAAGGCTTATAGAAGTGTAAAGTAAATACCTAGGGCAATTGTGATGGACAGTGCCTAAAGTATGTGTCTTTGGTTACCTTCTATTAAGTTGTGGTGAGCCCAAGTAATTGAAACTCCAGGTGGAAGTAAAACAGATGTATTAAGGAGAGGGACTTCTAGAGAGTTAAGAGGGTAAATGCCTGTTGGAGGCCAGCATCTCCCTAGTTCTGGAGTCGGGGCTAGGCTAGAATGGTAGAATGCTCAGAAGAAGCCAGCGGAAAAAAACACCTCTGAAATAACGAATAAGATTATTCTGTATCGAAGGCCTTTTTGGACGATTGATGTATGGTGGCCTTGGAATGTGCCTTCTTGGATAACATCACATCATCATTGATGTATTGTTAATGTATTGGTTAATAGGCCTAGAGTTAGTCAGGAGGGGAGTAGAGTTAAAATGAAATCATGTGGCTAGGCCGGATGTTATCAGTAGTGCTGAAAGGGCTCCCATTAGCGGTCAGAGGCTAAGGTTAACTATGTGGTAAGCGTGAGTTTGGTGGATCATTATGTGTTGTCATGTAGGCAGAGGCTTACTAGGAGTGTAAAGACATAGGCTAGAATAAGGGCTACAGCAAAATCGAGGATGGTTAGTAAAGCTAGAATAATAAATGTAATTGAAGCTGTGGATAAACTAATAGTTGATAATACCAGAGTAGCTCCTCCAATTAAGTGCATTAGTAGGTGGACGGCTGTAATGTTGGCCGTTAATCATACAGCTAGTGCTGTTGGTTTAATGAATAGGCTAATAGTATCAATGATTACTAATATGGGGATAAGTGGGATAGGTGTGCCTTGTGGTAGGAAATGGTAGGAAGTGGGTTAAGAAAGCTTTTGTCTTAAAGTGGAAGCTGGTGATCACTGCTCCAGCTCACAAAGGAATTGCTATCCCTTAGTTTATTGATAATTGAGTAGTTGGTGTAAATGAATGAGGTAGAAGTCCAAGAAGATTAGTTGAACCAATAAAGAGAATCAGGGAAATTAACATAAGGGATCAGGTTCGTCTCTTGATATTATGCATTGTTATTATTTGTTTAAATACAAGTTGGATTAGTCACTGTTGAATAGAGGTCAGTTGGTTGTTGACTAAATGGCTAAGGGTGGGAAGTAGCATAGTGGGAAATAAAATAATTAAGATTGCCATAGGTAGACTTAATATTTATTGGGGTAATGAACGAGGCAAATAAATTTTCATTTATTTTAATTCTCAAGGTGTTGAGTGTTTTTGCATCTTAATTGCTTTTGGTGTGGGATTCAAAGGGTAAATAAAACTTGAGACTTTTAATTGAAAAATGACGAATAGAGTTATGATTATGGATAAAATAGTAATGAGTCACATGGATGTGTCTAGTTGGGGCATTTTACTGCAGGGGAGTTTAGAATCCTCAATCTTTAACTTAAAAGGTTAATGCTAATTAGCTTTACAGTGACATTGGAGTATGGATATAGATCAGGTTTCAAAGCATTTTAGGGGGACCATTTCTGGAACAATGGGTATAAAGCTGTGGTTGGGTCCACAGATTTCTGAGCATTGGTCATAGTAAAGGCCTGGCCATGTGGTGATCAAGGTCATTCGGTTTAAGCGCCTGGGGATGGCATCTGTTTTGAGGCCCAGTGATGGGACAGCTCATGAGTGTAAAACATCTTCTGATGAAATTAATACACAATAGGAATTTCTATTGGGAGAATTACTCGATTGTCAACTTTGAGGAGTCGTAGTTCTCCTGGTTTTAAGTCTGTTGTAGGGATTATGTAAGAATCGAAGCCTAAGTCCTCATAATCTGTATATTCATAAATTCAATATCACTGATGGCCAATTGTTTTGACAGTGAGAAAGGGTTTATTAATTTCATCTGTCATATATAGGATATGTTGAGATGGGAGGACAATTAAAATTAGGATAATAGCAGGCAGGTAAGATATTCCATATAGCTTCTACTTCATGGGCATCTGTAGTACTAGTGTGTGTTAATTCTGTTGTCACTATGAGGGAAATAATATAGAAAACCGGAGAACTGATTAGGAAAACAATTATAAGAGTGTGGTCATGAAAATTAAGTAATTCTTCTATAATAGGAGATATAGCATCTTGAAGACCTAATTGAAATGGATGAGCCATTAAGACACATAGGGTTTTAACCTATAAATTAACTTTGACAAAGTTATTTAATGGTTTTACCAATATCTCATGGAAAAAGTCATAGAAGTTATGAGATTGGCTTGAAACCAGTTTTTGGGGTTCAATTCCTTCCTTCCTCCCTTTAAATTTGGAGCCCTAAAAACCATCTTCAGAGAAAGGGATAGACTTGTCTTCTGGGAGTGCATCCTTAACTTTGGCAAATAAACCTCCTAAAATGACTGAGACCTGTCTCGTCATTTTTCTCAACTGACACACTTATAACCAAAATTCTTTTGGAAGGTAAAGCCAGTTTGTGTTATAGCCATTATCTTCTATACACAGATTGTGTATGCTTACATAATGTTCTTGTCAAATGTACAACTTGGTAAAATTGTTTTATTTAGTCCCATTGATTATGAGGATTAAAGTTGTTATAAAGAGGTTATTAGCAAAGTCAATTCAGGCATGGATAATTTATTAATATGGATAATTTATAAATTCAATACATTATGGATAACTTACTGATTTTTTAGTAAATGGATAATTTATTAATTCAACACATTATGTTATTTAAAGGGGATTATAAAAAGAGGAAGCAAATATATTCGTAATAAATCATCATGAAATTCAAACTTGGCAATATTTTATGTTACACTTTGAGCATAAGTGACAGTCTTTGCGTCTCTTGTTCCAAAATAAAGCTAAATGATTCGGAAATTCAACAAATAAATAAAATCTTCTTAATCTTATATTATGTGTTGGTCTCTACTCCTCCCTTGCAAAATTTATTCGGACAAATAGATTTAATAGAGCAAGTAATGCATGACTGTGCTTTATACAGCCACAGAATAAAAAACTTAGAAATAAAACTAATGTTTAATAAAATACACTTTTTGATGTATATTCCACTTTGCATTACTTATCCTGTATTGCTTAATGTTTTGATACACGAAAGCAACATACAAATAAATAAAACATCCCAATGAAATAAGCCTTGCTGTGATACTTTACCTAGTGGAAAAATAGTTTATTATCAATTTTAGTTAATATGGTATAAGTTAAACATTTAATAATTTTAGTGTAGTGCACAGATAAAGATTGTATAAGAATTTCTATATTGTGGTAAAATGTTATCTTTTTCTTCATTTTAATATTAATCCTATTTTAAAATATAAGGTTTAAATAATCAACTAAAACTAATATTAAAAGTATAAAAACATATTACTCTTCATTTTTTATTTGAATAGTTTACAAGGTCCATTAGACTTTTGAGATTTTTGAGACTATATTATAATCAAACAAGTACATTCAAAGTAAACTTTGAAAGGGCTGTTACACTATGAAATACCCCATGGATCCTATGAACCCCAAAAATCTGAGACAGGTCTCAATTAATTTAGAAAGTTTATTTTGCCAAGGTTGAGGACACGCACCCATGACACAGCCTCAGGAAGTCCTGATGACATGTGCCTAAGATAGTAGGGGCACAGCTTGGTTTTATACATTTTGGGGAGACATGAGACCTCAATCAATATGTGTAAGATGTACATTGGTTCGGTCCAGAAAGGTGGGACAACTCAAGGTGACGGCGGGACAAACAAGGTAGGGAGGGGGCTTCCAGGTCATAGGTAGGTAAGAGACAAATGGTTGCATTCTTTTGAGTTTCTGATTAGTCTCTCCAAATGAGGCAATCGGATAGGCGTTTATCTCAGTGAGTACAGGGGTGACTTTGAGTAGAATGAGAGGCAAGTTTGCCCTAAGCAGTTCCCAGCTTGACTTTTCCCTTTAGCTTAGTGATTTTGGAACCCCAAGATTTATTTTCCTTTCACAAACTGAACTAAATAATAAGTAGTAAAGAAACATGAAATCAAATAATTTAAATTTGTATAAAATTCAATATACCTTGAATTAATTTTGGCCATTGAAATATTTTGTTGCAATTCTCCCTTATAAATGTGTACATTAAAATGTTTTTAGATAGCTTAAGAATTAAGATTAGAAATATTTGTATTAAGACAAAAAAATTTTCAATTCAGGTACACTTTTTAACACAAGATAATTGTATGTGAGGAATGATGTTAACAAGTTGGTAGAACAGAAAGCCCCAGACCGTTTTCCTCCAAAGACAATTGATCTAACAGCAATATATTTCCAAAAAGCTTTTATAGAAACTTCAGAAACCAGTTAAGAATTTGTAATCCTCCAAGCAAGCAAAAAAGCCAAGAATAGCCACATTGGAAGGGGTAAGAAAAACCGTTGCATTTTCTCTTTGATGGCCCTTCCCTAATCTGGCACAGCTAGGAATAACCAGGAGAAAAGGTTCAACTTACAGCTATTCTCTTGTGAGGAAATGTAAAGAGTGGGTCTCATGTTCAATGTCCTGGTGTTTGGGGGGTGCAGAAGGAACTGGTTTCTGTTTTGCCTGATTTGTAGCATTGATGGAGAACTGGCATAATTTGGATGGCTGGAGGCTTCTGAGAACAAAGGAGAGACTGGTGGGTTCTTGAAACACAGTAGAGCCTGGACTACTGTAGACAGACACCAGAGGGAGGAAGAGAATACGAGCTGCTAAAAAATAAACTTTGCAACTTTTCAAATTGGAAAGTTAGATCTGCAAGCCAAGAGAAGTTATGTCTCCAGAAAAAGTTGGAGAGGGCTCCAAAATATTAAGCTGGATTGACTAGTGAAGCTCTTCCACTCTGTGAATCCAGTCTTTGAGGACTGGGAGAGGTAACTGTTTTGTTTTAAGTGCCAAAATCCCAGTAAAATTTAACAAGACATATGAAGAAACAGGAAAATCTGATCAAATCAAAAGAAAAAGAAACCTCCAGAAAAGTATCCTAAAGAAGTGAAGATCTATGAACTACTTGACAAAGAATTCAAAGCAACCATTTTAAAGAAACTCAGTGAGCTAAAAGAGAACAGATAGACAAGTAAACAAAATCAGGAAAATAATGCACTAACAATGAGATAGAAACTATATCAAAGAACCAAACAAATTCTGAAGCTGAATAATGCAATAACTTAAAGAATTTACTAGAAATGTTTAACAGCAGACTTGATCATGTAGAAAAAAGAATCAAACTTAAAGACAGATTATCTGAAATTAGCATTCACAGGAACAAAAAAAAAAAGTATGAAGAAATGTGAAGAAAGTCTAAGGAACTTATGGGACACCATCAGGCAGACCAATACATGAATTATGGATGTATCGGAAGGAAAATAGGAAAAGGGGCAGAGAGCTTATTGGAAGAAATGGTGGCCCAAAACTTCCCAAATCTGAGGAAAGAAATGAACATTCACATTTGAGAAGTTCAATGTACTGTGACTAGGATAAACTCAAGAAGGCCAATATCAAGGCAGGTTATAATCAAACTGTCAAATGTCAAAGACAGAGAGAATCCTGAAAGAAGTATGAGAAAAGCAATTTGTTACATACAATGGAACTTCCATAAGATAATCAGTAAAGGAAATAATAAACATTAGAGCAGAAACAAACAAGATACAGAGTAGAAAACAATATAAAAAAAATCAGCAAAACCAAGAAAGGGTTTTTTGAAAAGAACAACATATATAAAAAATCTTTAGACTAATTAAAAAATAAAAGAGAGAAGACTCAAATAACAAAAACTAGAAGTAAAAGAGGAGACATCACAATATCACAGAAATAAAACGAATTTATGAGACTATCATGAACAATAGGCCAACAAATTGGACAACCCAGAAGTAGATAAAATCAATACATAAAACCTGCCATGATTGAATCATGAAGAAATAAAAAATCTGGATAGACCTATAAATAGTAAGGAGATTGAATCAATAAACAAAAACCTTCCAACAATAAAAATGCCAGGACTAGATGGCTTCACTGGCAAAATCTATCAATCATTAAAGAGAGATTAACATAATCATTTTCAAAGTCTTTGAAAAACTGAAGAAGGGAGAACATTTTCTCATTATGTGAGGCCAGTATTACCCAAAGCCAGACAAAGATACTACCAAAAAAAAAAACTATAGGCCAATATCCCCTGATGAAGATTGATGCAAAAATTCTGAACAGAATACTAGCAAATCAAATTCACAAGTACATTAAAAGAATTATACAACCATAAACAAATGGAATATTAATATACTCTTGGAATGAAAAGATAGTTCAACTTGTGAAAATCAATGTATAAAGCACATTAATAGAATGAAGGTCAAAAACTACATGATTATCTCAAATCATGCAGAAAAAGCATTTGACAAAATTCAACACCGTTTCATGGTACAAAAACTCATCTCATTAGAAATGGAAGGAAATTACCTCAATATAATAAATGTTACATGTGAAAAGCCCACAGCTAGCATTATACTTAATGGTGAAAAACTGAGAGCTTTCCTCTAAGATCAAGAACAAGGCAAGGATGCCTACTCTTACCACTGTTATTAAACATAATACTGGAAGTCTTAGAGCTATTATAGAGAAAGAAAGAAAAATCCAAATGGAGAAGGCAGAAGTAAAATTACCTGTTTGCAGATGATATGATCTTACACTTAGAAACCATAAGATTCCACAAATTTATCTATTAGAATCAATAAACAAATTAAGTAAAGTTATAGATACAAAATACATCTCCAAATACACCTCCAAATTAGTAGTTTTTGTTTATTTGTTTGTTTTTTTGAGACAGAGTCTCGCTCTGTCACCAGGCTGGAGTGCAGTGGTGTGATCTTGGCTCACTGCAATCTCTGCCTCCCAGGTTCAAGCGATTCTCCTGCCTCAGCCTCCCAATTAGCTGGGATTACAGGCATGCACCACTACCCCCAGCTAATTTTTGTATTTTTAGTAGAAACGGGGTTTCACCATGTTGGCCAGGCTGGTCTCCATCTCCTGACCTCCTTATCCACCCACCTTGGCCTACCAAAGTGCTGGGATTACAGGCGTGAGCCATTGTACCTGGCCTAGTAGTTTTAAATACATGTACAATTAATAATCCAAAAAGAAAATTATTAAAACAATACCATTTCTAATAGCATAAAAAATAATAAAATATTTAAGAATAAACTTAACCAAGCAGGCAAAAGACTTGTATACTGAAAACTGTAGAATATTGCTAAATGAAATTAAAGTCATAAGTGAATGGAAAGGCATTCCCTGTTCATATATGGAATATTTAATATTGTCAAAATATTTGTACTACCCAAAGCAATCTACAGTTTCAGTGCAATTCCTACCAAAATCCAAATGGCACTTTTTGCAGGAAAAAAAAAAAAAGAAAAGAAAAAACTAAAGGACTCACACTTCCTGATGTCGAAACATGTACAAAGCTACCCTAATTAAAACAGTATGAGCCAGGCACAGTGGTGTGTGCCTGTAGTCCCAGCCACAAGCAAAATGGCAAAATTCTGTCTTACAGTGGAGATGAGTGTTTGAGTGTCTCATGTATTTTGCATGTGAGTGGTAAAGATTGGATGTTAATTAGGGAAATGTATTGTCAATATGATGTCCTTTGTAATTTAAATCCGTACTCCTGATTTGCAGAGGAGTCTTCAGATTCATGCTGGAATCAGATTCATGGCTTCATGCTGGAAGCCAGTTGAATAAGTTTAAATGTTTGTCTGAGACTATAGCAAAGTCCGTGTAAAATGTTCGCTATTACTATATAACAAACTAACCCAAATCCCAGTGATTAAAGCAATAAGAATTTAGCATTTGTTATGAGTTCACTTACCAAATGGGCAAATCTGCCTGTATCGTCAAGTTTGACTGATCTTTTCTGGACTTGCTAACGTGTCAATGATCAGCTGACAGGGTTGGCTAGTAGCTTAGCTGGCCATCTAGGATGGCCACTCTAATATATCTGGCTGTCGCCTTGGGGATGGGTGTGAATAGCCATGAGACTCTTAACATCTAGAAAACTGTTTTTTAGTCAGTGGTTGAATTTCAAGAGCAACAGGGGGCAAAAGGCAACATTTGGAAGCACTTTGCCAAGTTTCTTTCTAGATCACATTTAGTACCATCCTATTGACAAAAGCAAGTGACGAGGACGGCCCAGAGTCAAGAGCTGAAAAGTCATGTTGCAAAGGACAAGCATTTAAACAAGTTTGAACAACTGGGGGGAATTCTTGCAATAAATCTTCCATCAATGTATGCAATTTCAAGATCCCTCACGCAATCAGTGGCTATGGGGTCAAGGTATAAACATGCCAGAGTCAGGAAGATACAAGGAAATTTTTAAAGAGTTTTCCAATGAATCAAGTAGAATGAGAACACACTTGTGCTTTGAATTTGCTCTGTCATTCCAGGATTTCTTTTTATCCATGTAAGCTTAGAACAGCAGACTGTAACTTGGAATAACGGTGTTTTTCTCAGCAGTATCAAGGATGATTTTTTTTTTTTAAACAGATTGCATTAAATTATATTTAACTAAGAAATGAAATCTGTAAACTAATTTTTATATCAACTAGATATTTTTTTCAAAGTTTCAGGATAAAATTGAAAAATTATGTTTGTCTAAAAGTAAAACTATAATCCACTTATCTAAAACAATTTTCATGAGAAAAGTAAATTTCAATTAATGGCCTATTGGTTTAGAGAAGAAAAAAATACATGTGTATTTTTTAAAGCAGGCACTGATTAAATTTGAAAACTGTACTTCTAAAATGGATTTAGACAAAGAATGATATGGTATGTTCTCAATTTATATATGAGAAGCATTTTGATGCCTAGTTATCCATAAAGTGTTTTTGGAAAAGAAATTTATACTCTCATCAAATGTACTTAAACTTGTACCACTGGGGCTTTTGGAAAGAGAGGGGAAGGGGGGAAGTAATATACTTAATGTGAACTGAGATTTTCAGAAGAATGGATATGTCTCTAGAGAAAATTGACTAAAAAATAAATTTCATGGAACTTGGGGAGTGTGGTGGTGTAATTAATTATTTAAATCAGTAGACATGGAGTAAAGCAGATTACCCTCCATAAATGTGGCTGAACTTCATCTTATGAGTTAAAGGCCTTAAGAGAAAAAAACTGAGGTCCCTTTAGGAAGTTGGATCTCTGCCTCCAGACTTTCAGACTGAGACTGCAACATTAACTCTTCCCTGCTCTCATTTAAGATTTGCCAGCTCCCCCCACAATCATGTGAGCTGACTGCTTAAAATAAATCTCTCTCCTCTCTCCTTCTCTCTCCTTTTCTCTCAATAGATAGATAGAGGATAGATAGATAGATAGATAGATAACCTTCTATGGGTTCTGTTTCTCTGGAGAAACTGGATTAATACAGGGAGTTAAGAAAGGACACACTATACTACCCATGGATGCAGTAATATTTTCAGAGTCTCAGGGTCAACAGTTTGTAGAAGCAATACTAATTTGCATAAGAAGTTGTTATATATACATTGTTTATCATTTAATTTATAGAAGTGATTCTAATTTGCATAACTAGTGAGTGCATCCTGCTTTTCATTATATTTTAAAATTAAATTTACTATTTATTCCTTCCCTAGAAGAACCATTATATATGGTTGTACATATTTTTTGCTATACAAGAGTGTCTAGCTGAAGGGGCAAATGGGATGGGAATAAAATCTCTGCTCCACATGTAAATTGATTAGCCTGGGAATAGGATGCACTCACCTACAGAGATCTCTTTTCCGTATAAAATAACTTTCACTTGCTAAACTACAATTAAATGACACTTCGTTTACCTACAGTAGGTGGTTTTTTTGAATTTGCTCGGAGATACTTTATGTGGTAGAAACAGTCTTCTCCCTGCCTAATTATTGAGAACTTGATTCCATTTGTATTCTTACATTCTGTGATGACAAAGCTACCTCATGTTGTTTCGTGCAAAAACAATATATGTGTTTTAAGCCAAACTTAAAAGCTGTGTTTTCCAAAATGAATAAATATGGACCCTGATGTAAAAACTTATTTATTAGCTAAAATATTGGTTTGTGCATTTGCAAAAAGATATGTAGGGTTTACTCAGGTTTGGATTAAAACAATTATTTTAAATGGAATTTTCAGTAGAATTAATAGAAGGCAATAAAATGAAATCAAATCATTGTATAAGTCAGGTTATTATCTTGCCATAATTGATTAACATTGATATTTTTAACTCAAAGAAAAAAATAAAATTAAGTGCATCATGTTCTAAGCCTCAAACTTGTCATTTAATTTAAGCAGTCCCATTCTTTTAATGATCTGGTTACATTATATGGAGCTTATGTTGTGGTGGCAAAATGACATGACATTTTAATCGTTTTTCAAATTATGTTGAGCCAAGCGTACGAGCAGTTCGACATAACTTTTTTATCAATTACAAGACTTCGATGTTTCCTCATAGTATTTAAATGTTTCTTTAACTTATTTTCCCATGGTTTTAAAATCACTTAGTCTTTCCTATGAACATACTCAAAATTAAATGGTCATTTTCTTATTGACTTTGCTCATAACTTTTTACTTCTGTTTAAAATGTTAAGAGCACTGACCCAGTCGTCAGCACGTTTCATCCTCTCCACCTCCCTTTCTCATTTAATCATTATTCCTTTCAATTCTGTCTCCCATCTGCTTCCTTGATCTTTCTCCAACTTCGCAATCCTACTGCCACTTCATTTTCATAAGAACTGTTGGAATACTTTCCTAAATGATCTTTCTGCTGTCTAGCCCTAATACTTCAGTGAACAATAGCCAAGCAATAAATAAGTGGTGTGGCATGGGTGTGTGTGTGTGTGTGTGTGTGTGTGTGTGTGTGTGTGTGTTTGCATGCATGTGTGCATACTGGCATTTGTTTGTATGAAGAAAGGTGTGGATGCAGAATGATACTGTTGATACTAGTCTGTTAGCATTGGACGCCTCCAGGGGATGGCACTGAGAGAAATAGTAATATTTTATTTCATAAATCTTTGTAACATTTGACTGCTAAAAAAGAAAAAAAAAACTAAACTTTTGAAGATGCTCTATTAATTACCTTTATTGTGACCATTTTTAATACTGTATTAAAACCACAGTATGGTGCCAATTTCTTAAAAGCTGTCTTTGTGGCAAGGTTAACAGATAATTGCCAAATGAAAGCCAGGCAAAGTCAGTTCAGAGTGGAGCTTTTTCTATCAGCAAAAATAGGTCTAATGACTGAGAAATTTAGCTTATAATCTAGAAGAACAAGTAAATAACCCAGGTGATTACGTAATGATTATGTTTAAAAATGCATGTAGACACAGTATCTAAATAACACATCTACAAATATATGTGCATACTTCTATTAAAACGTAGTTCACCATTTTACTCCAGTTTGGCCTAAACATTTCTAAAGGAAGGCTCACTGTAATTATCAGATGGGGATACCTGATTTGGCACTACTATCATATAGATTCTTTCAGTGGAAGAATTGAGGATTGTGCACGAGGGAGGGAAAAGGAGCATGACTTCTGTTAACAACGTATCTGGATGTAAATCTACTGAGGTGGTATTTTCTAGTGTACTTACACACATTTAATTTATTCAGAATAAAATTACATTTCTGAGTTCAACCTGAAATGTTTAGGGAAAGGTAATGAAATGTGTATGTGGGCATTTATGCATGAACACACATATATTTGTGAGTATTGTTAAAAAAGAATTGCTTAGAAATTTGCTTGTTTCCCCTTCTGTTTTACACTGCAGAATATATATATATATATATATATATATATATATTTTTTTTTTTTTTTTTTTTTTGAGACGGAGTCTCGCTCTGTCAGCCAGGCTGGAGGGCAGTGCACAATCTTGGCTCACTGCAAGCTCTGCCTCCCGGGTTCACGCCATTCTCCTGCCTCAGCCTCCCGAGTAGCTGGGACTGCCAGCGCCCGCCACCTCACCCAGCTAATTTTTTGTTATATTTTTAGTAGAGACGGGGTTTCACCGTGTTATCCAGGATGGTCTCGATCTCCTGACTTCATGATCCGCCCGCCTCAGCCTCCCAAAGTGCTGGGATTACAGGCATGAGCCACTGCTCCCAGCCTACCCTGCAGAATATTTAGTGATGACTCATCAGTCTCACAGGCATCATCGAATCTTCTACAGCCTCAATAACATTTTCCAACCAAACAGGACACAGTTATTTAAGAAATCAGTTTAAGGAGGATTACAGTGAATCATAAAATTGTTGATTTCTGCAAACTTAAGCGAAGTTCCCAGTTTATTAGAAAGAAAAAAATCAATATCAATATGAAATATTACAGGATGTGAAGTGTTTTTAATTTCAAACTGCAGAGAATGCTTGGGTATTCAGAAGATAATCAGATTTGATGTCTATTAGCTAACTTTGGCAATGCAAAAGAATTGCTGAAGTCTTGAATCCGACAAAATAGGACTCAAAATCAGTAGAACAGAATTTTGCTTATTGACTCTGGTTTTCCCTTTGTGACTCAAATTTAACTCTGGCAACAACCACTGAGTTCATTTAGAACAATCTTTTTGTTTTACAAATGAGGAAACTTAGCTTCATCAAGCTTAATTGTCAAGGTTATGCCATGGCACATCACAGATTAGAACCCTGGGCTTCAGTAATGCTTCAATTTCAGTGTAAAAAGGTGGATGGGGGAAATCAGGGTGGGATAAATGGGAGGGGCAGGAATATTCCTTACATCCTGCCTGGAAAAATATAGTGTGGCTGAAGCCCTGTCTTTGGAAAACCACTGACAGAGACAGACCATGGACCTGGTCAAGGTCTACCTACAGGTCTTCCTCCTGTCAAGCTTCAGCAGTCTACAGTCATCCCTGGGTATTTGCAGGGGATTGGTTCCAGGACAAGTCAGTGGATACCAAAATTTATGGATGCTCTAGTCCCTGATGTAAAATGGTATGGTATTTGTTTATAACCTATATATATTCTCCCATGTACTTTAAATCATCTCTAGATTACTTATAAGGCCTAATAAAATGTTAAATGCGGTGTAAATAGTTGTTATTGTATTTTTGTTTGTATTACTATTATTATTATTTTGAGACAGGGTCTCACTCTGTCATCCAGGCTGGAGTGCAATGACACAATCTGCAGTCACTGCAGCCTTGACCTCCTGGATTCAGATGATCCTCCCACCTCAGCCTCCCAAGTAGCTGGGACTGTAGCTGTGTGTCACCACACCCAGCTAATTTTTTGTACAGAGGGAGTTGTGCCATGTTGCCCAGGCTGGTTTCTGACTCCTGGGCTCAAGCAATCCTCCCACCTCAGCCTCCCAAAAATGCTAAGATTACAGGTGTGAGCCACTGTGCCCGGCCTTGTTTGCATTATTTTTTATTGTTGCATTATTATTTATTATTATTTTCCCAAATATTTTGTATCAGTAGAATCTGCATATGGGAGCCTATGGATCCAGAGGGCTAACTGTAAATTGACTGTAGGCACTCACCAGGGGAGTACTTTTCCTTACAAAGAAAGCTGGTAAGAGCTCCCTGCTTAGGTTGGTTAGAACATACTCTGAAACATAATCTGACTCTTGGTAAAATCTTATGGGTTTGTTAAGAAATTATCAAATAAATATTAAATATTTATTTCTATTCTAAACTTTATAAACTGCTGTTTTACAGAATAACTTTCAGAGTTTCTAAAAAATATTTTTCTTAAAAAATCAAGGATATGACAAAGATTACTAGCTGTCCATCAAATATTCATGTTCTTCTTTCCATAGCAGATAGCTATTTTTTAAATGGTCTTTCCCCAAGAACATCATATCCCAGGTATCTCCAGTTCAGTGTGAGCATGTGGCTTACATCTAGTTAATGGAATGTACTTAGGATACTAGGCATCACTTCTAAGCCTGTTTCATAAAATCTTCCCTGAGATGTTTCTCCTGATCTTTTGTCCAGCTGGCTGCTTATCACGGACATCTTTTCAGGACCACCTGCAAACTCCCAAGTAGATCACACAGCCTTGTTCAGCCTGAATCTGTGGAATATTGCACGGAAGTACACCCCTAGCCTACCAAGCCTCTAACCCCTTAGACGTGCTTAGCAATTGGTACTATCTATTCCATGATCAGGAAGTAAGCTTACATTGTGTTTGAATCAATATATACCATTAATTCGTAGTATACATAGCAATCAGGCAACCTGAGCAAATGCAAAGTAAAATTCAAGATGGACACAGTTGTATCAGATTCAAGTATTGTTTTTAAGGATAAAATTTAATTATTCTTTTAACACCTACTGTTCATAATTACAAATATATGTACCTACAACTTAATTACCTTCTTACATCTGTGATCATTTCAAAGTTTCTTAGATACGTTGTATATTTACTCTACCCCCACCATTATAAAAATAGAAAATGTAAAAGTACTAGAGGTTATTTAGTTTATCTCTCCAATTTCATCAATCAAGGAATTAAGTTGTTAAGATATGTAATAAATTATGGAATGTCATACTAATGAAATGATGAAATCAGAATTCTTTCCCTGATTCCTAGACTGTTTATGACAATAGATTGATCTTCCAGAATAATAATTACACCTACATTTCCTTCTTAACAATGGTTTCTACATTGCTCTTAGCACAATGGGTATTCAAAAAATGTTGTCTAGATGAATCAATGAGCTTAGGAATTAAATAAAAATTAAACTAGATTTATATAAATTTATGACAGGAATGGATTGGGTTACTAAAATGGTATTCTCTAAGCAAACTTAAGCTATTTCATGACAAAATGAAAATTAAATTTTTGTAACCACATAACGTATTTTTGAGCAAAACATTAAATGTTAGACATTATTCCTTTTAATGAAAGTTCAGTGCAAATTACATATCTTGCTCATTATTATAAGTTGATTTAAATATCATTATTTTCTAATTTGAAATGCGGACTGCCTTTTTTGAACTTGGCACATCTAAGCAGCAAAAAATTTGAAAGTAGCTCTAATGAATACATTTTATCATTTGTCAGATTTTTGAATTTATGTTTTCTGTATATATGTTTAAAACTTGCTTACAAGTTAAACCTGCCAATTGTATAAATGTAATTACTGAATTCTACATCTCTGTATAAATGAACATACTTAGAAAGTAGTAAACATTGTCTGGTTTTCAGTTGTACAATTCATGATAAATGATTTGATTGGTAAAGGATAAAATTTATGGCAAATTTCCAAAAAACTTGGAAAATGTTTGGTTAGAAGGAATGCCTACATGATAGCTACTTTAAAAAGTAAAACCTACATCTAACCACTTATACATTTAAAGTTATATTTTTTTAGAATATTTTCATAGTGTTATCTTTTAGAAAGTTTTTTATAGATAGAAAATTGCTCTTTTATACAATTAATTTAGGTGTTATATATTTAAATACCATATGAAATAACCTACTTGTGTCTTTAGTAGTATTGACTTTTTCTGTATAAGCCTTGTTTCTTTAATCGTCTTATTCATTTTTATGGTAGAAAATATACTTTACTATACATAATATCTCACATACTGTTGAAACATTTGTATGGTGAAAGTTTTGAGAAAGCTAAAATGTACTTGCTACTTCTACTCATCGTTGATCACAAAAATTGCCTTACATGAGATAATTTGAAAATCAGTGACAAAATCTGAACCCCTTCCAAGAACAAAAATAAATTAATACCCTGAAATTATGTTTTCTCCTTTTCATCTGTATTTTCCTTGTCTTCAAGATACTAAAAGGGGAAGCTCCTTCAGGAGCATTTACAACCTCTGTTATGCTTGAAAACAGTCACCTGAAAGGTGAGCCTACTCTTTCAGGTGCTTATTTTTAGGAAAGGGTTTACTTCCAGGGACCAAAAGATGGACGACAGACGAGCCTTCTTAGGTGACATGAGGGTGTGATCATAAAGATATTAAATGAGATACAGCCTCATTAGTCATTGGAAGAAAACTGGACATATCTTATATTCACGTGTTAAAATACTATTTAGTAGTGAAAATGAATAAACTACCACTTCAAAAGGATAAGTGCCACAAATATAATGCTGAACAAAAGAAATGTCGCTCAGTTCAAAAAATAGTTATTTTTAAATGTAAAGTCAAATATGTAGAATGTTGTATATTTAAATATAAAATACCTACATTAATGTATGTGTATATAGTAAAGCTAAAATTTAAGTGAATGACAAAACACAGCCCTTCATGATAGCCGTATATATGGGGGGTGGGGAGGTTGGTGTTAATGACAAAAGGGATGAATTCACCAATTGAGTGGATAATCATCTATATCTTAATCTCTGTGATGGGCACTTTGGGGTCCTTTTATTGTTACTAATTTTATGAATAACAGTATGAATTATTTTATCTGTATGAAATATTTTATTAAGAGCAATAAAATAGATTGAAAAATAAATGGAAGTCTGATTCCTCAGGAAAAATGTAAAGGAGCCACTAATGAATAAAATATCAGATGCAGCTTTTCTTGAAGTCTTTTTTCCTAAAGAGAAAAATGAGCAGTTTATTACCTGTTAAACATGGTATTTAAATTAGTGGGTTTGCCTATTAGTAAGATAACCATTGAGAAAAATATATAAACCTAGATTCCTTTTTTGCTACTTCTATGTCCCAGGATTCCAGATGCCCTTAGATAACTAAATGTAAAAATATAAAAGCTATTTAAAAACCCATAAGTAATTAATTTTATAATTTTGAGAGGGGAGATCTTCCAAATCCAGGGCTGGGCTAGGATGAACTGAATGAGGCAAGTGCCTCACTGACCTCTTGTGCACAATTAGAGGGGATGCCAAAAAGCTCAGTGATCAAGATAATACTTAAAACATTATGCTGAAATATTTTTAATACTTAAACATTCTAAAAATTAAAGCTATCTATCATGAACAAAATTTTAACTAAGGACAGGATTATTATTATTGATGTTTGAATTAAATCATTGCCCTAAATCCAGAAGCCATGAAGAAACAACAAAGAACAAGCATGATAACATGAAAATTAAATGATGAATGGCAATGATAAACTATGTATGCCCACATTTTTACCAAAAAAAAATCAAAGGACAAGAGAGAATTGGGTATAAATTGATTATAACATATCTTACATATGTTATAACATATCTTACAATTCAATATAAAAAATTGGAAAATGATATAAAAGTTTTAAAAGAATAATAAATGTTTAATATATAAAAATGTTTAACTCCAAACATAATTAAATAAACACATATCAAATCAATAAATTAGCATTTATAATGTAATCAGATAATTTATAAACTATTATAATAGGTAATATATAACTAATACATTCTGATAAATAATAGATATATGTACATGTATATAAAACAAAGGTGATATCTTAAAATATGGTCATCACTTATAAATTGCCAAGCAAACTTGAACAAATAAAATGAAATTTAATTCAGTTGGACAAAAATAATGGTTTAACCATTTGATTCTAGAAATCAAAGAATGCAAATTATTACAATAATGAGAAACTAATCTCATACTCTAGATGAGAAAAGAACAATAATTAATGATACTCACTGTTAGTAAACCCTGATTTAAGGAAAGTCTGAGATACTTCTGCTCAGTGTATGGTAATTTCAATTCTGGAACTTTCCCCAAGAAATAGTTCAAAGACAAATGTAATGGAAGTTCATTTCAGTGTAAATTATATTTGTGAAAAATAGAGATATTGATAAAATAAAAATTATAAACCTGCACATTAAGACATAGGTTTTATTCCTATTAATTTGGAAAGATATTTGTAATATAATCTTATCTGAAAAATCAAGTTACAAAATAGCATGTATAACATGATCTCATACATTTTATGAATATAGATGTATGTGTTCATGTGTTCCTAGAACATTTTCGGAACATGTTCACCAAAATGTTATCGTAAGACATCTGTTTGGATAGATTAAAGGTGGTTTTCACTTTCTTATTACTATTACATTAATTAAAATGTAATTTAGAAATTTAAGGGAGGACTTTTATTAAAATACTTGTCAAAAGGAAAGCTAGCCATCAAAAGTAATTAATTTAACCAAAGTTTGGTGACACCTTACCTGTGCTTCAAGCAGTAACAGTTGAAGAATATCATTTCAGCTGTTGAACTGGGATGATGTAGCCTGAATTCCTTTGTCTCATGTATTTTTTTCCTGTAGTGGAAAGCTTGAGTGTGCTCTGCTTAGCATGGGGCAGGTTGGATTTATGATATAATATATGTCAGGCAATAGTACCAATTTATTTGCTTAGGATAAGTGAAAATGAATAAATGCAAATTGTCACATTTCTTGATAAATAAGAGGACAAGAACATTTAAGCAACATGCCTTAATATCCCAAGCGAGCAGACATACTTGTGAAATCCAGCATCCAGATTGTAGGACTGAGCAAAGCAGCTCTATTTGCTTTCATGGGTAAATTCGGGAAAACTAAGGGTATTGGGACTGTAAAAATATAATCAGATGTATTCTATAAAGCAGCTATCATGATGGTAATAAAAATCCCTTATTCTGAAGAATAAGGAGATGCTGGTGCACTGGAAAGACAGCTCAGCCAAGTCGCATTATTGGGTGTTTAAATTATTGTTGTTGTTGTTGCTGTTGCTGTTGCCATTATTGTTGCATTGTTGTTGTTATTTTAAATATTTAGGGCATTCACTTGTGAAAATTGAAGATTGCAGACAAGATAAACAACCACCCTCGTACTATGCCCCCAAGAATTCTAGTTCCCTGGCTTACAGGCCGGTACTCTTATAGATTCACGTAATGAATAAGGTAAGGAGGTAAATATCTCCATGATACTTCATAATCATCACATAAGCCTTCTTTGATGTTTATATATTTGAGGTTAATGATCTTATTTGCCACCTTTATCATTTTCTGAAACTGTTCTGAAGACAGAAGAGATTTTTAAATGAAATTAACTATCATTTCCTAAAACTGACTTAAAGGTGAACTCGTTTATTATTATTATTATTATTATTATTATTGTTATCATTATTTTACTTTTTTTTTTTTTTTTTGAGACGGAATCTTGCTCTGTCACCCAGGCTGGAGTGCAGTGGTGCAGTCTTGGCTCACTGCAACCTCCATCTCCCTGGTTCAAGCGATTCTCCTGCCTCAGCCTCCCAAGCAGCTGGAATTACAGTCATACACCACTGCCATGCCTGGCTAATTTTTTGTACTTTTGTAAAGATGGGGTTTCACCATGTTGACCAGGCTGGTCTCAAACTCCTGACCTCAGGTATCTGCCTGCTTCAGCCTCCCAAAGTGCTGGGATTACAGGCGTGAGCCACTGCGCCCGGCCAAGTTAAGTGTTTTTTACCACAATAAAAACAAAAACAGAAACAGTAATCAGGTCCATATTCTTAATTAGCCATCATTCTAAATAACAGGCTATAAACGAAAATTAATCAAAATTGGCAATGAGATATAAATAAAGTCAAGGAATTATTCATTTAAATGCAACCAGAAAACTTAGTTACCAGATTCATGAAATTGGCCATATAAGCTCCTCCTACATTATGACATTTCAAATTATGAATTTTCATAGCTAGGAAGGAAGATTCTTTCCTGAGGAGAAATATCACCTCTGCCAGCCATCAAATGCCTTATAATTTGCATGCTGTCATTTTTGTCTCCTCTATCACACTGTTTCTAATCATACTTTGTGCTCATTTTGTCCTTAGTGTAGAGGTGCTTTATAAATAATTTAAACCCATCACATCCAATGAATATGAAAAACCATGAGAAGGTTGAAAGTGCTAATAAGATCGGTAGTGCAGTTAAAATGAAAATGCAAGTAGAGCTCATTTAAAAGCCCAAAGGAATTAGAAAAATCACACGTTACCTGGGCTTATGGGAAAAATTATCAGAGTAAGAACTATTTTGAAAAACAGAGCAAATGATGCAACATGTAAATAATTTAATCAACAATAATCAGCGAGGGGTGAGGAAACCAATTAATTAAATAACAACATTTTTGAGTGTGGGCCTAAAGGATTGTCACCAAAGTTAGAAACTTCTTTGCAAAATGTTAATTCTGAGGAAGTTCAAGAAGTTAAAAGATAGGCAAGCTGAAAATGCTACCAATAGCAAATTTTACTCAAGAACATATGATTGTACATGCTCAAGGTTCAATTCTGCCAATGAAAATGAGTGGCAAAGCAATAAGGTATTAAGCAGTTCTTTGGAACACCTATGGGATGATAAAGAGAGTGCTACTACTCTCATTAGATACCTTAGCACAGAACACATTGTTCTATTTTGGGAGAGGTTCAACAAGGAAATGTGCATCTGTGAATAAGGAAAGTGCATTCTATTTGAATGACTCGAAGGGTAGGTCTATTTCTATTTGGCCTACAAAGTTAGAGCAGCCTTTGGAACCCAACCTTTCTCCAATATAGGCATGCGTCACTTAATGACAGGAATACTTTTTCAGAAATGCGTCCTTAGACAATTTCATTGAGTTGCTAACATCATGGAGCGTACTTTCACAAACCTAGACGGTACAGCCTACTACCTACCCAGGCTACAAAGCTATACAGCAGTCTACTGTATTGGATACTGTAGGCAATTGTAACACAATGGTAAATATTTGTGTATCCAAACTTAGAAAAGGTACAGTAAAAACAAGGTGTTATAATCTTATGGGTCCACCCTTGTATGGGCAATTCTTTGACAAAAGCATCATTATATGGTACATGACTGTAATTAAAAATATAAGTATAGATATAGATTAATATAGATGCATTGTTATCCATAATTTATTTTTAAATAACTATAATTTACAGATAATATAATGTGAGCCAAAAAGGCAAACCACATATGTAGTTTCTTTCTTTTTTGAGATCATTATAAATCAACATGAAGTTATAAGAAATAGTACTGAGAGATATCTTGTTCCCTTTACCCAGCTTCCTGCATTGGCAACATCTTGCAAATGTATAGTGCAGTATACAGTCAAGATATTGACATTACATGGAACATTGTTCATGACAAGCATTCTCATGTGGTCCTTTTATAGCCACACCCAATCCACACTCACCTTCACTGACTTCTTAACCTTAATCCCTGGCAACCACTAATGTGTTCTCCATTTCTATAATTTTGTCATCTAAAAAATGTCATGTAAAAGGAGTCATATAGCATGTAACTTTTTGGTTTGGCTTTTTTTTTTCCATTCACCATAATTCTCTGGAGATTCATCCAGGTTGCTGCATGGATTAGTATTTTGTCCTTTATATGGCTGAATGTACCACAGCTGTGTTAACCTCTTGAAGGCCCTTTGGATTATCCTCAATTTGGGCCTATTACAAATAAAAAGTAAATTAGGTACAGATTTTAGTGTTAATATACATTTTCATATTCCTGGGATAAATGCCCAGATGTTTAAATGCCAGGTTGTATGGCAGTTGCATGGTTAGTTTTTAAAGAAACTGCCAGGTGGTTTTCCAGAGTGACAGTATTGTTTTCCGTTTCCACCAGCAATGTATGAGTGATCTAATTTCTGCAAATCTTTGCCAGCATTTGGTAATTGTCACTACTTTCTTTTAGCCATTCTGATAAGAGTGTAAAAATACTGCATTGTGCTTTTCATTTGCACACTTTAATAGCTGATGACGTTGAACATGTTTTCATGCTTATTTGTCATTTGCCTTTCTTCTTTGGTGAACTCTTTGTATATTTTGCCTATTTTCTAGTTGGATTGACTATTTTCTACTGTTAAATTTAGAAATACATACATATATATGTTCTAGATATTTGTCCTTCGCCATATTCACAAATATTTTCTCTTACTCTGTAGTTTGTTTTCTAAAATCTTTTCAACTAAGTACTTTGCAGAAAAAAGGTTTTGATTTTGATGATGTCAAATTGATCAGTTTTTTTCTTTTACGGACTGTGCTTTTGGTGTTATGCCTAAGAATTCGTTACCAAGTCTTAGATTTCAAAAATGTTATCCTAAATTTTTCTAAATGTTTTATGTTTTCATTTAAGTCCATGGTCTATTTTAGTTAACATTTTTTTTGTTTTGTTTTGTAACAAAATGTCAAAATGTAGTGCATTTCTGTGCATCCTTTTAGAATTTGGGAGTAGCAACAGGAAAAACAAAGGATAGATAACATTGAGATTTAAATAATAACTGTCAATTGTACTGTCACTTAAAAGTGTTTCCTGGGGGATAGATTTACTGTGATGTCACAGCTTCATTTATTCACTTACTAATTCTTTCATTCCTGATTATTTGTTGCGTAACAACATGTGCCAGGTAAATGGGACAAAGTGGGAGACAGGTGAATCAAAATATTTGATTGCTTGCACTTTCATTTTATTGGAGAAGGACAAACAATGAACAAAATAAATTCTAGTATGTTGAATTGACCTGGTGGTCATAAGAGTGTTGAAGAAAAATTGGGGAAGGTGGAGTTTGTGTTGAGACTTTTCATTTGAGTTAGTTAGAAAGGGCCTCACTGAGAAGATGACACTTGAGGAATGACTTTATAAAGCCAAGCCCTAATCTAACCCTCAGGCCCTTATGTTCCCTTTACACTATGTATGTATGTCCCAACTATAACCTAAAATTCAGAATACCTAAAACAAGTATACTTTTCTTTTAGTTTC
The DNA here is from genome assembly GCF_000001405.40 of Homo sapiens. Taxonomy (NCBI): domain Eukaryota; kingdom Metazoa; phylum Chordata; class Mammalia; order Primates; family Hominidae; genus Homo; species Homo sapiens. Next base: position 153,645,158 of record NC_000006.12, on the reverse strand, counting down.
CCGTATCTTAATGAATGTTACCTATCAACCACCTAGTTGTTTAACTCAGATATCTGCTATTAAGCCTCCCATCTACCATTATTTCCCACTGGGCTTAACAAAGTGATCTCCTGCATCCACACTTGCCCCACCTGCAATGAGAAATCAAATTATGTTAATCAGCTCCTGACTGCCTTGTGAGTGCACACCACCATACACACACATATACTCATCACAATCATTTACAAACAAAAGATTTCCAATCCTCCTTAGGTTAAAGACCAAAACTGTCCTAACACATATAACAACCTTTACGTTGTCTGTCTCCTTCCACTTCCCCACCTTCAACTAAAATTGGTTCCCTCTACCACTGTTATATGGACATGTTATGACTACATTACAATCAATAATTTTGTTTTATTGTTTTGGTGGTTAGACTTTATATTGTTGTCAATTGTTTGCTATAAAAATCAATTCTATCCAAAACATTATTTTATATGTGTCCTTGAACATACTTGTGATATTCCACAAAAGATGTTCTTTCAGATTCTTTTACTTCAACTCAGGGTAAGAAACACAATTGATATCAAGATTCAGCACAAAAGTACATGCATGCACATAAATAGGTGAACTATAACTTTACAAGCCAATACTTTACTTTCTTAGTCATAATCCATTCTGATTTTTCTATTTTAGTTTTATATTATTACAATCGATTAAATTACTTTCATAACACATTAATATGTCAAGACTCGTGGTTTGGAAAATACTCCTCTAGGATATAGTTGGAATGGAATTGTTAGGTGAGTGGGCATGCACAATCTTAAATATACTATGTACTGTGAACATATTCTACCAATCTACATTTCTACTACTAAGCATATATAAGCATTCTGATTGCATCATATACATATCAAAACAATATTCCAACACACAAGATTTATGCCAGCTTGATATATGAGATACCATCTTATTTTTGCTTTAGTTTGCAATTTTCCACCCCTGAGGTTGAGAAACTTCTCATATGTACATTGGATATTCTAGCGTCCTCTTCTATTAGTTTCCTATTGATAGATTTTGCCCACCTTTTTTTAACAGTTATTTGTCTTTTTTTGCATTTGGAAGATTTTTATATATTTAACATATTAATTTGTATGAGGTAATTCTATTGCATATGCTTGTATTTATTTGTGATTTATTTTTATTTCAAATATGCATTTTATCTGTGGCTGTTCTGTTCAACTGCTTTATAATGTCTTTTGATTCATGATTTTAAAAATTTTTTAAATAATCAAATTATCTCTATTATTATTGTTTGTGGTTTGTTTTGTGGATTTGTTTATAATAGTCCTTTGTTATAAGATATATTTTTACCTAATGCCTTTAAAGAATGTTTAAAAATATTTACTTTTTAATTCATAAAGAATTTTTTGTTATATAGGATTCGAGATAGAGATCATACTACAAACATATTTTTTCCTAAGAGTAATTAATTGTTTCAGCAGTCTTTACTGAAAAAAATATATACTTCTACTCTAATACACAGTGCAATTCTTCCACATATTAAATTTACAGTTATAAATGGAATTTTTCTGGATGTTTTTGTCCATTATCCTGTTTTTATCATGATAGCCTTTTTTTCTGAATACATAATAAAGGAAAGTGCTTCCCCTATTACTGTGCTATATAAATATAAAATATTGACCTATAGCATTAGAAAAGCAACAACTGACTGGGCACGGTAGCTCATGCTTGTGATCCCAGCCCTTTGAGAGGCCACAGCAGGAAGATCACTTGAGCCCAGCAGTTTGAGACCAGCCTTGGCAACATAGTGAGATCTTCTCTCTACAAAAAAAAAAAAAAAAAAAAAAATCAAAAAATTAGTCAGACGTGGTGGCATGCATCTGTAGTTCCAGCTATTCAGGAAGCTGAGGCGGGAGGATCACTTGAGGCCAGGAGGCTGAGGTTGCACTGAGCTGTGTTGGTGCCACTGCACTCCAGCCTGGGCTGCAGAGTGAGACCCTGTCTCAAAAAAAGAAAAAGAAAAAAAAAAGAAAAGAAAGAAAAAGAAAAGCAAAGAAAGAAAGCAACAACTATCTCTTCTTGGAACTTTAGGAATTTTTAGAGGAGGTACCTGTCATTATGATACTGGAACTTATTCAGGAGTCCAGCATGTTTCATCATACATGTAGGTATTCTTTAAACGATTTTGAAGAAGTTTATCATCTGCTCCATATAGTCTATTTATTTCTATTATTGGATTTCTTCCTAGTTGACTTATTTTATTATTATTATAAATGTTACCTTCTGTAAATATTACATTATGCATGTATTTGTTACTTTTGTGCGAGTACACTATTGATTTCTGAATATTGCTGAACAATATAAAGGAATGTTGTTGAACTCTATTATTAATTTGAATTAACTTTTCTATATTAGATGCAGTCTCTTAAGTAGAAAATCTTGTCCTTAGTAAATAATATAATATTCATTCAAATTTATAAGGCTTTTGTTATTTTCCTCCTTTTACTGCTCTGGTTAGCACCTCAAGTTCCATGTTTAGATATATAGTGAGAGTGGAAATACTTGTCTCACTTTAAGGAGATTATTCCAATAATTCAATGCAGAATGAAGTGTTTATTTGCTTTCTGAAACCAACTTCATTTAGATTTAATTTACATGTGATAAAGCAAAGGTGCCTATTTTAAGTGTCAATGAGTTTTGCCAAATATAATTAGCTGTGTAATAGCCATCCAAGCCATGGTATATAAAATGTTCATCACCCCTCAAAATTATCTAGTGCTCTTTTCCAGTCAAATCACCCACAATAGCTGGCTTAGGCTAATACTGGTCTAATAGCGCCTGACTGTAAATCAAACAAGTGTGTGTTATTTTATGTCTGGCTTCTTTTATTCAGCTTAATATTTGAGAGGTTCGTCCATGATGTTATATGCTATCATTTGCATTGCTGCATAGTATCTCTTTCTAAGAGTATACCATAATATATGCCATATTTCATGAATATCCATTCACCTGTTGAGGGATGTACTTCATTGGGATTTTAAAAAATATTTAATGCAATATTTTTAAAAATTAAAATTAATGCCAAAAAAATCAATGATGAACAAATATGAACATTTTAATAATGACGAGAACAATCACAGTGCTGTGTAGAGCCATAGTGAAGTTGGAGGTGAAAGGAAACATCAGTAATACGGAGTCCCTTTTTATTTAAACTTCTTATATGTTTTTCCTCATTGGAATTTTAATTTTCATTTCCTTATGACTAACAGCTCTTAAAATTATACATGAATATTAAATTGAATTAAATGGCTATTCTGCCTCAATAGAGATGATTATAAAATACTATGTGAATTATAGCAAATTTTCTAAACTTAAGCTACCTTTTATCTCTCGTGATAATATTTGCTTATGATGTATAATTTTTAGAACTGCTGGATTTAGTGTGGCAAATTTTTGTTTTTATATTTTGCATCTATGTGAAAGACAGCACTTTTTATTTCTCAAATTGTTTTTATCTTCTTTTTTCTGAAACAGTTTTCTTGAAGATGTATGAGGCTGTGATTATCTGTTAAATGCTTAGTAAAGCTTGCTCATATATGTATATACATCTTTGCATAGTTTTTTTTTCCTATTTTTATATCTGTTTTTTAGATGTTTTAAAATGACTCATTATATTTTGGGGCTATGTTCTGTTTAGATTTCCCATATATTTTAAAATTCATCTTAGTAAGTTAAAGTTTTAGAGAAAATTGTCTATTTATTCTGCCTCTCAATTATATTTGAATAAAGTAGTTCATATAGTTATAATTGTGTTTCATTTGCAACTTCTCTACAACTGTTTGCCTTTTAATTTATTTTTTTTACATGAGCTTTCTTTTTTCCTTTAGCTATATTGCCAGAAATTTACCTAATTTGTTGATTTGTTCAAATAATCAAATTTTGGTTTTGGCAATATTCTATGTTAAATATTTATTTTTCGTTAATTTTGGTATACATTTTCTGTTTTATATTATTCCTTCTACTTTCTTGGGCATATTTAACCTTCTAAAGTTGGATGTTAATAACATTAACTTTGTCTTTCTTACTAATGCATGCATTCGAGTTTGTAAATATCTAAATACCACTTTACCTGCTTCCCACAAGTTTTGATATATATTTACTTTTGTCCTATTTTGATTATTTCCCAATTTTAGTGATTGCTTTTTCATTGACCAATTAATTATTTAGAAATAGGTTATGAGCTGCAAACAAATAGTGTTTTTGTATTCATGTTTTTAAATACTTGCTCACTTAGATGCATTTAAGTAAAAGAATGTGTTCAGGATGATACTCTGAAATTTGTTGAGATTGGAATTCACAGCATTACACATGATCAGATTTTACATATATTCATGTGAGCTTGGGGAAAAAATATTTTTAAGTCATTAATTATATATTCCTCTAGATATGATTTTCAGATAAAACTTTGTTCATGTGTTGTTCAAATATTCCTTAACCATACTATTTATCTAACTGTTCTATCAATTACTGAATGAGAAAATATGTAATAGTTTTCTGCATAGATTAATAAATTACCTCATACTTTTGTCAATTTTTGCTTCTAATACTTTGAGGCTATTTTATTAAGTGAATGCCAGTTTTGAATTATTATATATATATGTGTATATATATATCCTAGTATATTGAATTTTTCCCTAATACTGCCTTTTGGCTTATAAACTCTATTTTTGAGACATGCTTCCTCTTATTTGGTATTCATCTGAAATATAATTTTCCAACCTTAAAATTCAAACCTTTTATGTCCTTACATTGTAAATTTGTACAATGTAAATACAAACATGGTAATTATAACAGATATGGATAGCTGTTACATTAATTGACAAGTTCAATCCATTTATATTTATTGAGATTGTACATATGTGTAATTTTTTTCTTTTCATTTTATATTATGCTTTTTATTTCTCTGTTTCAAGGTATCTTGTTTTTCTCCTACCTGTTTTTTTTTCCTTAAATTTTTTTAAAAATTTGCTTACCTCTAGTAATTTAAAATTATATGCAATTGCTAGTTTGGGTCATTATGATTAAAAATAATAGTTATATTTAACCACATTCTAATTTTAATCAATATCTTTACTTTCTTCCCAAATATCATAAGAACTTAGCATGCTTAGCTCTAATTATATCTATCCAAAAAAACAAATTATTTTATTCTGGAATTTTGTTTCCAGATTATTTTTTCTTATTGAATTAAACATTACTATTACCATTTTATACAGTTGATATTTGTTTAGATCTACTTACATGTTTACCAATATTTACCTATAAGAAACACACTTCTATAAAGACACACATAGACTGAAACTAAAAGAATGGGAAAAAGATATTCTATGCCAATGGAAACAAAAAATGAGCAGGAGTAGCTATAATTACATCAGACAAAAAAATCTCAAGACAAAACCTATAAGAAGAGACAATAAAGGTCACTATGTAATGATAAACAGGTATATTCAGCAAGGGGATATGCAACTGGCATATGTTGCATGTACATAATTTTAAATATATGTACACCCAACACTTGGGCACCCAGATATATAAAGTGAATATTATTAGAGCTAAAGAGAGAGAGGCTGCAATACAGTTTTAACTGGACAGTTCAACACCCCGCTTTCAGCATTGGACAGATCTTCCAGACAGAAAATCAACAAAGAAATAAGAGACTGAATCTGCACTACAGACCGAATGGATCTAATAGATACTTACAGAACATTTTTTTCAAGAACTGCAGAATACATATTCTTTTCCTTACCACATGAATCATTCTCAAGGATAGATCATATGATAGGTGACAAAACAAGTCTTAAAACATTCCAAAAATTGAAATAATATCAAGCATTTTCTCTGACCACATGGAATAAAACTAGAAATTAATAACCACGGGAATTTTTGGAAACTATAAAAATATATGGAAAATAAACAATATGCTCCCAAATGACCAATGGGTCAATGAAGAAATTAAGATGAAAATTGAAAAATTTCTTGAAACAAATGATAATGGAAACACATATGCCGAAACCTATGGGATACAACAAAAGTGGTGCTCAGATGGAAGTTGAAGTTTATAGCTATAAGTGCCTACATCAAAAAAGTAGAAAAACTTCAAATAAACAATGTAATTATGCATCCTAAAGAACTGGAAAAGCAAGAGCAAACCAAACCCAAAATTAGTAGGAGAAAACAAGTAATAAAAATCAGAGGAGAAATAAATGAAATTGAAAGAAAAAAACAATACAAAGTTCAATGAAACAAAAAGTTGATTTTTAGAAGAGTTAAACAAAATTGAGAAGCCTTTAACCAGACTAAGAAAAAGAGAAGTTACAAATAAATAAAATCAGAAATGAAAAAGGAAACATTACAACAGATACTGCAGGAATTCAAAGAATCACTAATGGCTACTATGAGCAACTATATGCCAGTAAACTGGAAAATCCAGGAAAAAAATAGACAAATTCCTAGACACATACAAACTACCAAGATTGAACCAGGAAAAAAATCCAAAACTTGGACATACTAATAACAAATAATGAGTTCAAAGCTCTAATAAGTCTCCCGGCAAAGAAAAGCCTGGGACCTGATGGCTTCACTGCTGAATTCTATCAAACATTTAAAGAACTAATACCAGTACTACTCAAACTATTCCAAAAATAGATGAGGAGGGGTAACTTCCAAACTCATTTTAAAAGGCCAGTATTGCCTTGATATCAAAACTAGACAAATGCACATCAAAGAAAGAAAACTACAGACCAATATCTCTGATGAATATTGATGCAAAAATCCTTAACATAATAACTAGCAAACCAAGTTCAATACATTAGAAAAGTCATTCATTATGACCAAGTGTGATTTATGCCTGGGATGCAAGGATGGTTCAACATGCAATTCAATCAATGTGATATATCAACAGAATGAAGGATAGAAATCATATGATCATTTCAATTGATGCTGAAGAAACATTTGATAAAATTCAACATTGCTTCATGATAAAATCTCTTTAAAAACAGTGTATAGAAGAAACATACTTCAACATAATAAAAACCACGTATGACAAATCCATAGCTAGTATACTGAATGGGGAAATATTGAAAGCCTTTTCTCTAAGATCTTAAAAACAACAAGGATGCCCACCCACTGTCATGACCGTTATTCAACATTGTTCTGAAGTCCTAGCTAGAGCCATCAGAAAAGGAAAAGAAATAAAGGTCATTCAAATTTCAAAGGAAGAAGTCAAATTATCCTTGTTTGCAGATCATATGATCTTATATTTGAAAAAACCTAAGTAACCCACACATGAAAACTGTTAGAACTGATAAACTAGTACAGTAAAGTTGCATGATACAAAATCAACATACAAAAATTAGTAGAATTTTTATATGCCAACAGTGAACAATCTGAAAAAGGAATAAAAAGGTGATCCCATTTACAATAGCCACACACAAAATTACATACCTAGGAATTAACTTAACCAAAGAAGTGAAAGGTCTCGATAATGAAAACTACAAAACACTGATGAAAGAAATTGAAGAGGACACCAAAAAATGGAAAAATATTTTGTGTTCATGGATTGGAATAATCAATATTGTTACAATGTCCATACTACCCAAAGCAATCTACAGATTCAATGTGCTCACTATCAAAATACTAATGACATTTTTCACAGAAATAGAAAAAATCAATCCTATGATTTATATGGATCAAAAAAAGACCCATAGTGCCAAAGATATCCTAAGCAAAAAGAACAATATTGGAGAAATCACATTATCTGACTTCAAACTATACTACAGAGCTTTAGTAACCAAAACAACATGGTACTGACATAAAAACAGACACATAGATCAATGGAACAGAATAGAGAATCCAGAAACAAATCCACACACCTACAGTGAACTTATTTTTGACAAAGGTGCCAAGAACATACACTGGTGAAAAGACAGTCTCTTCAATAATTGGTGCTGTGGAAACTGGATATCCAGATGCAGAAGAATGAAAATAGACCCCTATCTCTCACCATATGCAACAATCAAATCAAAATGAATTAAAGACTTAAATCTAAGGCCTCAGAATATGAACCTACTACAAGAAAATATTGGCAGGGCACGGTGGCTTACGCCTGTAATCCCAGCACTTTGGGAGGCCGAGGTGGGAGAATCATGAGGTCAAAAGATCAAAAGCATCCTGGCCAAAATGGTGAAAATCCATCTCTACTAAAAATACAAAAATTAGCTGAGCGTGGTGGCACTCGCCTGTATTCCCAGCTACTCGGGAGGCTGAGGCAGGAGAATCGCTTGAATCCTGAAAGTGGAGGTTGCAGTGAGCCGAGATTGTGCCACTGCACTTCAGCCTCCAGGACACTGGTCTGGGCAAACATTTCCTGAGCAATACCTCCACAAGCACAGGCAACCAAAGCAAAAATGGATAAATGGGATCACATCAAGTTAAGAAGCTTCTGCACAGCAAAAGAAACTATCAATAAATTGAAGAGACAACTAACAGAATGGGAGAAAATATTGACAAACTACCCATCTGATAAGGGATTAATAACCAGAATAAATAAGGAGTTCAAACAACTCTATAGGAAAAAGTCTAATAATCTGATTTTTTAAATGGGCAAATATTTGAATAGACATTTCCTCAAAAGAAGACATGCAAATGGCAAATGGGCATATGAAAAGGTCCTGAACATCACTGGATTATCAGAGAAATGCAAATCAAAACTACAATGGAACGTTCATCTCACCCCAGTTAAAATGGCTTATATCCAAAAGATAGGCAATAACAAATTCTGGTGAGGATGTGGAGAAAAGGAAACCCTTATATCCTGTTGGTGGAAATGTAAATTAGTACAACCAATGTGGAGGACCATTTGGAGCTACCTTATGATCCTGCAATCCCATTGCTGGGTATATACCCAAAAGGAAGGAAATTAGTGTATCAAAGAGCTATCTGCACGCCTATGTTCATTGTAGCACTGTTCACAGTAGGTAAGCACTGGAAGCAACCTAAGTGTCCATCAACAAATGAATGAATAAGGAAAATGTGGTACATATACATATTGGAGTAGTATTCATCCATTAAAAAAGAATGAGATCCCGTCATTTGCAACAACATGGATGAAACCAGAGATCATTATGTTAAATGAAATAAGCCAAGCACAGAAAGACAAACATCACCTTGTCTCATTTGTGGGATCTAAAAATTAAAACAACTGAACTAATGAACATAGAGAGTAGAAGAATGGTTACCAGAGGCTGGGAATGGTAGGTGGGGGTTGGGGAGGGAGAGGGAATGGATAATGGGTACAAAAAATTGTTAGAAAGAATGTATAAGACCTACTATTTGATAGCACAGCAGGATGACTTATAGTCAAAATAACTTATTTGTACATTTTTAAATAACGAGTATAATTGGATTGCTTGTAACACAAAGGATAAGTACTTAAAGGGATGGATACCCCATTCAAAAAAATAAAATAAAGCTAATACGCATGTCAAAAAATTTAAAAAGCAAAAAACAAACAAAAACTACCCAGTGCAAGCCTTTTGCTTATACATATCCAAAAATGCCACCATGAAACTGCATTTTTTGTATAAGTTTACCACTCAGGTTGCATGTTTTTTATTTTGTTTTCTTTGCTTGTTTGCTTTTGTTTCTAATTTGTTTTGTTTTGCTTTTGCTTTTGCTCTGCAGAATTTATTTACTTTCTTTGGAATCCTGTTTTGCATTTAAGCATGTTTATAGTAATTCATCCAGCATTTCTAAATGTTCTGTACACAACTGCCTTTTTTCTGGATATATCTGACTATTGTATTATCAGTTATTGAAGTACAAAATCTGCTTGTTCACCCAACAGTACATGTTATTTATCTTTTCCATTTTGGTTCACAAGAAATGTGCTTCCGTTTTTTTCTTGTGACTATAATACCGTAATATGAACATTGACAATTTTAGTCATTTCTCCAGCGATGGGCATCCAAATTATTTTATTATTTATTACTACAATATGTGAAAAAAATCAACACCCTTATATATGCCTTCCTGTGGAAAAGTGGAAAGGTTTTTCTAGTGGAGAGAGAGGAATATTGGAATCATACAGTGTGCTCATTTTAATTGTAATGAACTTTTATGTTGCCTTCCAAAGTGGCTTTGCCCAATTATATTGAGGGCAGGATCAGTTTCCTGAAGCCTCTTCAATATTCTCAAAGATAAATTGTGTGGTTTCTTAAATGGGTAAAATATTATACTACATTTTTCTTTTAAATTTGTCTGATTACTATTAGACTGAATGCTTACACATACTGATTAGCCATTTATATTATATTTTCTTTTGAATTACCTGTTTTCATCATATGTCCATTGTGCTGTGTTTTCTTGATGATTTGAAATCACATGAGTCTTATGTTTGTAATATGTTGCAAGTATTCATTCCCAGTCATGTACTCAATTTGCATCAGTTCACTGTGTCTAAGAACAAGCAGAAGAGTAAAGATTACTTTGGGCTGAGTTCACAATGGTTTCAGATTTCTTTGCTCTGTTGAGCTGATTCTTCAGAGCAAAACAAAACAAAATATTGAATAGAATTTCATGGGTAGTGATGAGCATTTCTCTGCACTTTCTGAAAAGCTGTTAGTGCTTCCAGCATTTATTTAAGCATTTCTGATGGTGTTCATACATTATAATAAGGCAGTCTGTTCAGAGAAAAAGATGAGGAAGAGTTTTCTTATTTGTTGTTTGTCTTTGTTTTTGTTCACTGTCCCTTTATGACAATATCACACTCTTTAAGTCACTCCACTACCAGGGTCTGGGGAAATGTATAAAATGACACATTAACCTCATAACTACAATCTATTTGTGCACTCTTGACAGTCCATGAGATATACTTTTTTTTTCTCTTTCTTTTGTTTAGTAAAAGATTTAATAGTGAAAAGCCTCCCTGGAGCTTTAAATCTTTTCCACAAATGAAAAAAAAAAAAGTAAAACACTACAGACTTCTATTTCTATCTATCAGAACTGTAGACTATTTTAACTGTAGACTATCTGAACTGTAGACTATCTGAAGCTGCAATCCTAAAGGCATGCAGAAAGTCTTGTCATAGAAATATACTGGTTACTCATTTAATATCACAAAAAATTAGGACCATAATAAATTGTCTTAGTCCTTTTCAAATAAAACTGTAAATAATACTAATGCTTAGGAAATGAAGAATTATTTAGATAATGAAAAACTTAAAAGCAAATTGCTCTAAGAGAATAGTAGCTTATTATAGCTTTGCCATTCCCACCATGCCATTTCAGAATTTAGTACAGGCACACCTCAGAGATATTGCACGTTTTGTGCTAGACCATTGCAATAAAGTGAATATTGCAATAAAGTGAGTCACACAGATTTTTTGGTTTCCCAGTGCATATAAAAGTTATGTTTACACTCTACTTGCTACAGTCTGGTAAGTGTCCAATGGCATTAGGTCTTAGAAAAAACAATGTACACACCTTGTCTAAAAAATACTTTGTACCTATCCCAAATAGCCAAGGTCAAGAGCATTGGCATAGATTATGTGGAAATTTAATAATAATGATGCCGCTGATGATGATAATAATTATGAAGCAATCCCTTTTTCTTAAAAGCAATGAAAAAGTATAGAGTAGATGTATCAATTATTTATCACTTCAGTAATGCTGCATAACAAACCACATGAAAAATTAGTTGTTTACAATGGCCAATGTATATTATTTCTCATAGCTTTATGGGTTAGCAGACTTGCTCTGCTAATCTGAGCCAGGACTGACTGAGACTGGCTGGGTTCTCCCATGCATCTGCAGGTAGTTGGTGTGGTAGGCTGGGGGCACGCTGTTTTAAGATGGCCTTTGCTGGGCAATTGAGCGCTCTTCCACATGTCTCTCACAGTACTCTAGGAGGCTAGCTGAGCACATTCTTGTGATAGTGGCAGGGGTCCAGAAGAGAAAGTAGAAATGCTCAAGTCAAATTCAAGCCTCTGCTATCATTGTATGTGCTAACATTAATTGCCAAAGCAAGCCCGTGGACCAGCCAGGAGTCAGCATGAGAAGGAACTATAGAGCTACAAGGCAAAGGACTTTGATTCATGAAAACCATTAAGGTGGGCCCTTAATACAAACAATCTACCTCAGTAGAAATCATATAGTATATAGAGTTTTTAAATTTTATTTTATACATAGAATTGTAAAATTAAAAGTTTTAATTCATGCTGTGCCTCTAAGTGGGACTTTGATCAGCTAATTGCTGAAATATATTTGATAATTTTTTTGTGAAATAACTTACTTAAAGGGCTTATCAAAATGGAGCCATTTTGATTTATTTGCAGAGTATTAGGGTTGGCTTTATAAATAGATTCTTGCAAAAAATGTCAAGCCCTATTATTACTGGTTTAAAAATGAAAATACCAACCAGGGGTGGTGGCTCATGCCTGTAATCCCAGCACTTTGGGAGGCCAAAGAGGGCAGATCACCTGAGGTCAGGAGTTTGAAACCAGCCTGGCCAACATGGCAAAACACCGTCTCTATTGAAAATAAAAAAATGAGCTGGGCACGGTGGTGGGCACCTGTAATCCTAGCTACTCAGGAGGCTGAGGCAGGAGAATTCACTCCATCGGGAGGCCTCAGAAATAATACCACACATCTACAACCATCTGATCTTTGACAAATCTGACAAAAACAAGAAATGGGGAAAGGATTCCCTATTTAATAAATGGTGTTGGGAAAACTGGCTAGCCATATGGAGAAAACTGAAACTGGACCCGTTTCTTACACCTTGTACAAAAATTAACTCAAGATGGACTAAAGACTTAACTGTAAGACCTAAAACCATAAAAACCCTAGAAGAAAACCTAGGCAATACCATTCAGGACATAGGCATGGGCAAAGACTTCAAGACAAAAACACCAAAAGCAATGGCAAACAAAGCCAAAATTGACACATGGGAATGGGATCTAATTAAACTAAAGAGCTTCTGCACAGAAAAAAAAAAAAACAACTATCATCAGAGTGAACAGGCAACCTACAGAATGGGAGAGAATTGATGCAATCTATCCATCTGACAAAGGGCTAATATCCAGAATCTACAAAGAATTTAAACAAATTTACAAGAAAAAAAACAGCCACATCAAAAAGTGGGCGAAGGATATGAACAGACACTTCTCAAAAGATGACATTTAAGTCGCCAACAAACATGAAAAAAAAGCTCATCATCACTGGTCATTAGAGAAATGCAAATCAAAACCTCAATGAGATACCATCTCATGCCAGTTAGAATGGCGGTCATTAAAAAGTCAGGAAACAACAGATGGTGGAGAAGATGTGGAGAAATAGGAACGCTTTTACACTGTTGGTGGGAGTGTAAATTAGTTCATCCATTGTGGAAGACAGTGTGGCAATTCCTTAAGGATCTAAAACCAGAAATACTATTTGACCCAGCAATCCCATTACTGGGTATATAATTCAAAGGATTATAAATTATTCTATTATTAAGACACATGCACACCTATATTTATTACAGCACTGTTCATGATAGCAAAGACATGGAACCAACCTAAATGCCCATCAATGATAGACTGGATAAAGATAATGTGGCACATATACACCATGGAATGCTATGCAACCATAAAAAAGGATGAGTTCATGTCCTTTGCCAGGGACATGGATGAAGCTGGAAACCATCATTTCCAGCAAACAACACAAGAACAGAAACCCAAACACCGCATGTTCTCACTCATAAGTGGGAGTCGAACAATGCAGGGAGGGGAACATCACACACCAGGGCCTGTTGGGGGGTGGGGGACTAGGGGAGGAATAGCATTAGGAGAAATACCTAGTATAGATGACGGGTTGATGGGTGCAGCAAACCACCATGGCACGTGTATACCTATGTAACAAACCTGCGCGTTCTGCACATGTACCCCAGAACTTAAAAGTATAATAAAGAACCATCTTTCAGAAGTTTTATCATTAAGCCAGGAATGATAATCTTAATTGGTAACATTGAAAACTACAATTCTCTTTTGGAATGATGTCTTTTGAGACTAGAATTATCAATGTTTCTAGTATGGCCTGAATATGGTCTTACATGCCTTTTTAAAATATAATATTATAGACAATTATAAATCATATCATTATCAATTGATATTCTATTTTTAACTTAGCAAGATAAATTTAGAATTTTAAAATTCAGTATCTTGTTCTGTATCTATTTTACATAAATGATTTTGTTAAAAAAAAAAAAAACCCTTTCTGGAATATACGAGCCTGGCTCCATGATGCTAAGATCAAAATCAACACAGGCTGAGGAAAAGGTCTGTCTAAGATAGAATTATATTTTCTTAAATTTATGTAGAGCTGGTTAAATGAGAATTATGAGAAAAAAAATCAGTGTTAAACTCAAGATATTACATCAAATTTGTAAATGTTAGAGGCCAGACGGTATTAACAATAAGGAGACTCTCTCAAGCTTATAGTGGAGGCATTGGTAATGCTCATACTGAGAAAAATACATTTTATAAGAATTGAATATGAACTTTTGCTTCAGGGATTATTTTATGAATTCAGTTTAGTTAATTACATAATAACTTACTAAAATGCATTTGAGACAGACTTCTTGATATTGTGTGCATTTGAATGCATAGAACACCTAGCCATGCTATAATGAAATACTCATCTACGATGGTACAGTTATTTGTGGATAGGGTCAGCACTACTTTTATCAAACACAGAGTGCTTGATATGCCTCTATGATTCAATTTCAAGAATACTCTATTTCCACTAACAAAATATCTCCTACCCTAAGTATAAAATGCATAAATTTAGAATTTGTACATGCTCCTTTTATTGAGGATGTAGTTAATTCATTATAATTTAAAAGCTCTTGGAAAAGGCCATGCATTGCATTAGTATTTCTTGGCTTATATTTAAATTAGGTTATTAGATCTTCCTGAAGCAGATGTCAAAGTGTGTTCAGTACAACAAAAATTAGGTCCTGTAAAGAAAGGAAAGAGGCAGCATTGCAAGGCTGAAGGCACTGGAAAACAAACTTTCTTCTCAGAATTGTCTTTTCTCAAAGTTTATGTCATATTTGGACAGTAGGAGCATTGGTTCTGTGGTTCTACAGCTTAAGTCTAATTGCAGTTGCTATAATTTTTAAATAGTGGTCTTGGGTTCAATAATTTTTCTATGCCTGTATCCTTTTGATAAAATGTGGACATTATCGACTCTCAGTAATGCAAGGATTACATAAAAGTTTCTCTCTAAAGCGTCTGATGTACAAGACGTCCTTGATGACACCACTTCCTTTTCTCCGATGTAAGATATGTATAAATTATTGTGCAAACACAAAGTCTTAAATTTCTTGAAGATCATGTCAGAGGTTAGATGTCTAACTCAGATTGGGTTCAGTGATGGATTAAAAGCTGGCATTGAATCTACAAGGATTGATCTGAAGATCACTTTTTAGGCACCCTTCAGGGAGAAACTAAAAATTAAACCTAAGTCAGAGAGTAAAGTCCCATATCGGTTGGTAATGGCCTCAAAAAAGCAGAACCCAGAAAGATCACAGAATACTGTGACAGAGTGAGAATTTTTCTAACAGAAGGTAGGAGTCAGTGAAAGAGATATCCTGTGTCCTTCAGCAGAACTGAATTTCTGGAATTCTCTTTAGGGTACTCACAGACTCATCTCTGGGTTGGTAGAGCAATATTAAGCACACCAAGCTAGCTGAGTAGATTCAATTAAATTAAAATATAATGTGAACTGGATTTGTTCTGGCAGGATTACTATCATTGAAGTCCAGTAGAAATAAAATGGAAAGTACTCATATCATCTTACTTAAAAGTTGTGCATCTTCAATTTTTCCAAAAAAAGAAAAATGTAAGGGGATCTAACACACTTCCACAGTTCATTGATGAGAATTTCACATCTGGGAAAACATTATTGAGAGAGTCAGCTGGAGAGATGGCTGGTATTGTCTTTCACAGTGAAGGTGAGAGGTAGAAAGCAGTGCATTTTGAGACTATCCCTCTTTGGTTAAGGATTGATTTCTGGGAAAGTTAAACAAACAAATTAACAAGCAAAAACAACCTGACAAAGACTTATTATATTCCCCAACGTTCATATGTGCTGAGAAATATTGCCTGAATATAGCATCACTGCTCTACCTAGAAGTTCTCTGTTCATGAATTTAAAATTCATGGCTAATGTGATAAAACTAGTTTATGTATTTATTTTCAGTCTAATTGCTTCTGTACTTTTATTGGAAAACAGAGGAAGTTCTGAGTATGGATGAGAAGATATGATAAGGTTTGTGAAAATGCTTACAAAGATTCTAATTTTGTAGGCACTGGGCAGCCTGGTGAGATTGATTCATTTGTTTGTTCAACAAATATTTACAGAAAACCTACCGCTTGCATGCCCCATGCCAGTCACTGGAGATATTGTGGGAAACCTCACTAACACATTCTTAATTTGTCCTCTCTGTGCTCGTTTTATCTATTGAAAAACAATGAAACCATCTGACTGCCGGCGTCAAATATCTCTGGTTCATATGAGATGAAATAAGTTTTAAGTGTCTTGTAAAATGTAAATTATGTTGATAAAATATAGGCTTAATAATAATTTAGAAAGGTTTGTTCAAAGCATTTCGATAGCCAAGTCAGAAAAATTAATATCTACCAACTACAGCAAGGGTGAAACAGACTTCTAAGTCATTATCCAATTATCCTATAATTATACAGTTGTAAATCCACCATCGTACATCATTTTCAAGGACACTTTATAAAAGAAAACTTCCTGACTGTAATCAAAGCTTTGGATAAAATAGTATTTTTGTAAACCGTCTATGTTAGTTATGAGATAATAAATTACATTTTATATCCCCACATGATAAAGACGCACGAGAATACCTATAAACTGTCATGCTGCAACACATATGCTAAATAAATGATTAACACTCTTGACACATATCTCTTGGAAATCAACATTTAATAACACTAGGTTTTATATTAGACAGTTTTTTTTTTGTCTACCTCATATGTCTTTTTCTGGGAAACTAACCCCATTTCTACTTCCATGTTTCTGGTAAGCTACCAGTCCTGGCATCCAAACCATGATTAAAAAGGTGGCCTCATATAAGGCAATTGGACTGTCTTCTGAGACTTGTAGGTAGTGGAAGGCATTTGGGGTTATGACATATAATGCTTCTAGTCTCCAGTTCTGAGATTCTTAGAGCTACCCTGGTTCCCATCTACCCTGAGCCGTGATTATTATTCCACTCTGCCTGAATCTGTGAATTACTTTCTATTACATTAATACCTTTGACATTGTCAGCGTAAGTTACCCAGAATTGCTTTATGTTGTGGGCAAAAAAGAAAACCTCACTCAAAGTCAACAAAATAAATTTCAAAATTTCACGTGTTTCATAAAACAGGTAAATAAATTACATTTAAGAACAAAATAGTCAACCTCATGAGGAATCAAAGATATGCAAGTAAAATCAGTAAGTCAGATCAGAAACCTGCAATCCTCTCCAAATTCACTCAGCGTGAAAGCCTAGGTCCTACCAGTGGCCTACAAGACCCTTCATAATCTGCCATGCGTTTATACTCTGACGTCTACAAGTTTCCTTCACTTTCCTCTATCTCACCCACTTGAGCGTTCTTACTGTTTCTCACACTCACTAAGCACATTCTAGTCTCAGGATCTTCCCTCAAGACATTCCTTCTGCCCCCCTCCAGCCTTGGCCAGTCCCCTTGGCCAGTCCCCTCATGCATTCTTTGCTTAAAGCTTCCCTACTCGAATACTTCAAACTGTCATCCCCTCTAGGTCTTTAGTCCCTGTACCCTATTCTAATGTTGCTTTTGTATCTAGCACTTATTGCATTTCACATAATATATAGTGTACTCAGTAATTTATAAGTAATTTATTGAATGAGCTGTGTGTTATTTTAACTCATTCAGTTAGCAGTTTTTTTAATGATGTAGATGACGTGAAATGGAAAAGGGAATGTAGCATCATGTAGAAGCATCCAGAATCCAGGACCAGATTCCAGAACCCAAGACCAGATTCCCTTCTTTCAAACCTTAGCTCCACCACCTGTACTCTGTCCAGCCTTGAACATTTCACATATTTGTGCCACAGTTTCTGCATGTCTGAAATGCAAATGATGACAAAATCAACATTATATTGTTCTTGTGATGATCATATATAAAGCACTTAAATATTATCTAGCATATAGGAAACAATAATTGTTACTTATAATAGCATATAACTTAGGCAAATGATAATTTATTTCTGGAAACCCAGTAATGGTCATAGCTCAGTAAATTTGGGAGTTAAACTTAAAAATATATGAATAAATATGAGCAAAGCATAATGAAATATTGGAAAAATCTAGATATTTAACAATATAGAATAGCTATATAAATGATAAAATATTTTAGGCATTAAATTCCATCTATAGAGATGTGATAATAGCTGCATAAGCTTCTGCTGTGGTAGTATGTGAAGAAAGTAGGATATATTTTATATTTATGTCATCTAAAGTATATACAATGTGAATGAAAAACATTTTTTAAAGTAGCAAAATATGAACAATTGTCTTTCTGTGATACATTTGTAGGGAATTTTAAATACCACTTTTTTACAGTTTTCTTTTGTTGTACTAGTTTTAAATCATAACAACGTTTTTTAAGTAATTCATCTGACTATGCAGGAAACAAATCCATTTCCCATATGTAGTCTCAATCACATTAATGCATGGTTTAATTCAAAAGTTCCAAGAAAAAGAATAAAATATAATATTTTACGGGACTAACATATATAAGCTTCTAGCAATGTTTTCTTTTTTAAAAATGTGGTGTTGCCCGGGCACGTTGGCTCATGCGTGTAATCCCAGCACTTTGGGAGGCCGAGGCGGGTGGATCACTTGAGGTCAGGAGTTCAAGACCAGCCTGGCTCACATGATGAAACCCTGTCTCTACTAAAAACACAAAAAACTAGCCGGGCATGGTGGCACACATCTGTAATCCCAGCTACTCAGGAGGCTGAGGCAGGAGAATCACGTGAACCCGGGAGGCAGAGGTTGCAGTGAGCCAAGATCGTGCCACTGTACTCCAGCCTGGGAAACAGAGCGAGATTCTGTGTCAAAAAAAAAAGAAAGGTGGTGCTGTGGTAGGAAATCTTATCATATTGTGTTGCATTCCACAGACTGAAAAAGTAAACCAAAGTCTGCTTATATATTTTGAATAACGCTATTTTCTGATTAAAATATTTTCAGTACCAGAAATATAATTAGGACTTAAGACCTATATTATTAAAGGTCCATTTAAACCTCAACTTCATAAACTTATTTGTTAATAAATAGTTGAATCTTTGATATAAGTTATTGTGAACCTTTTAAACATTTCCTAAACTTAAAGACAGCTATTGTCAACTTCATCTTTGATACATAAAGAGCTTAGAAGTCATTACTCCCATCCCTACAACAAGTAAAACCTGAAAATCAATTGTTTTTATTGATCCCATAAGAAAACTGAGGTCCCAGGTCAAATCACTACCCTAAATCTAAAGAGGCAGGTATTTCCAGGGATATATAGCAACCAAAGGCCACTTGCCTACAGCAAAAGCCAAAAGAGCTGTAAACTGGGAGGCAATCTTAAATGTCTGAATTCCTCAGGCTGAGTGAGAGCCAGCATGAGACAAAGAAACTCTGCAAAGTGTAGTTTTACGGGGCCTGTGGGAGTTAGGCATTCAAGGAAATCCACTGGAAATGTGCCAGCCAGGGAAGGGAGTCGTGGGCAGGGCCCAAAACAACTCTACTACTAGAGGAGAGATTGAAACACATGTGAAGACTACAGCCCTACACACAGGCCCACTAAGTGACTGCGATTTAATTGAACTGGCAAAGAACACTCCCCACCTCCCACTCCTTATAACCCTACCAATAAGAATCCAGAAAAATGCATAGTGGATTAAGGTGTAAGAGCTGCCAGCACAGACTCTCTCTGAGAAGAAGTGTTTAGGGAAGAACCAGAGCAAAGACAGATTAAAACAAAAACACTGAACAAAATTGTATCCTCTGGTATCCAAAGCTACAACAATCACTAAACACAGAAAAACTGTTGGCCAAATTAGCATAAATCCTCCTGCTAAAGGACTATTTACCTCAGTCTATTTTATTTAATAAGTCTGGATTTCAATAAAAAATAAGGCAGGCCAAAAAAGCAAGAAGGAAAACAGTGTGAAGGGATAAAGCAATCATCAGAGTCACATTCTCATAAAATACAAACATTGGAACTATTAGGCAATTTAAAATAACTATGATTAATATGGGCTCTGATGGGAAAAACAGATAACATGCAAAAGCATATGCATAATATAAGCAGAGATGGAAACTCCAACAATAACAGGAAATGTTAGAAATCAAAAACACAGCACCTGAAATGAAAATTGTCCTCAATGGACTAATTAATAGACTACGTAGAATAGAAAAGATTTGGTGAGCTCAAAGTTAAGTCAATAGAAACTTCCCTAAGTGAAATGCAAAGAAAAATAGTAAGAAAGAATCAGAACAGTACATTCAAGAGCTGGGGCAAAATATCAAAAATTGCAAAATACATATAATTGAAATACCAGAATGAGAGGAAAGATGAAACAGAGCAGAAGAAATATTTTCAAAATTATCGACGGATATGAGACAACAGACCCAAGGAGATGAGAGAAAAACAAACAACCTAAATAACAAGAACCAAAAAAAAAAATCACATATATGTATACCATATTCAAACTGCAGAAAAACAGGGCAAAGAGAAAATCCTGAGAGAAGCCAGAGGGAAAATGTCTTACTCATAAAGGAACAATGGTAGGAATTGCAGCATATTTCCCATTAGAAACCATGAAGGAAAAAAAAGAGAGAAAGAATGGACTGAAATATTTAAAATGTTGAAAGAAAAAATATTAGGTTGCTGCGTAAATAATTGTGGGTTTTATCATGACTTTCAATGAAAAAAAAAACGCAGTAACTTTTGCACCAAACTAATATCTTACCAACCTAGAATTCAATATCCAATGTAATAATTCTTAAAAAGTTGAAAAGAAATATTTCCTCAGACAAACAAAACCGAGGCAATTTATTGTCAGCAGACCTGTAATATCAGAAATGTGAAAAGGACTTATCAGGTATAAGGAAGACTGTACAAATGAGAAACTCATATCTATATAAAAAAAGGAAAAGTATCCGGCAACAAATAAATATAAAAATACTTTCTTTTTAAACTCTTAATTTCTCTAAATGATAACAATTTGCTTAAACTCATAACAGCAACATATTTAACTTACAGCATTGAAAAGCTGGAAAGCTGCCTTGGAAAGTCCCTGGCTTCGAAGTCACCTCTACATAATTTGACCATACAATTCTAGCACACTCCATGGGATTCCTTCTTTTTCTCTACTTTGAAATCTATATTTTGTCTAATTTGTCAATTTTTTCTACTTTGTAGAAAGGAGAGGGAAGTATTCCAAGTATTCAACTATTATCCCTCTTGGGCTATATTTTTAAACTGGCTTTTGTTTCTAAACAGGAAAGGAACACATTTTTCTGTAGTCTTAAAAAGTATTACTTCAAATAAAATGATATTTTACAACAATGTCATGACAACAAAAATTCTCATTGCTGTTCCAGTTTTTCCTCTTTCTAATTTTATAGCTCAATGTAATTTTCTCTAAAAAAAGATGAATTCTTGATTTGAGACCTCATATGACCAAATATCAATATTTCATCATTGAACTTGATGCTTACTTCAATAATATTTGATTTTAAACTGTTCGACATAAGCATGTTTTGAATTAGGCTTAAGTTAGGTAAGTTTTAAAATTTTTTTGCAATCAAAATAGCCGAAAGTGTCTATCATAGCCATATATTTAAATTATGTGCCACAGAAATAAAAATTTTTCTAAAGAAATAATTTCATTGAGAGCAAAACTGGAATATGAAATTAATCTTATAGCAGGTTTCTTAACAGGTATCAAGCCTTATAATGACAGTATATTTTTAATTCCATTTTTCTTATCTATCAGAATATAGCTTACATATTCTGACAAAAAAAAAAATCACCTAATTTCTCTAAACTTTAGCTCTTTCCCTACTATGCTTTCATGTTTATTGGTCAGGGTAATTGATTTTAACTAATATAATAATTAACTCCAGAATTTAGGTAGCTTAGTACAATAATGCTTAATTTCTCACTCATATTACAATTCATTTGTTGTTGTTTTTTGTTTTGTTTTGTTTTCAGACGGAGTCTCGCTCTGTCACCAGGCTGGAGTGCAGTGGTGCAATCTCGGCTCACTGCAACCTCCGCCTCCTGGGTTCAAGCGATTCTCCTGCCTCCGCCTCCTGAGTAGCTGGGACTACAGGTGCGCACCACCATGCCCAGCTAATTTTTTGTATTTTTAGTAGAGACAGGATTTCACCATGTTGGCCAGGATGGTCTCGATCTTTTGACCTCATGGTCTGCCCACTTCGGTCTCCCAAAGTGCTAAGATTACAGGTGTGAGCTACCGCACCTGGCCAATTCATTTGTTTTTAAATCATCTCTCCATGCCGTAATTCAGAGCTCCTAGGACCTGTCATCCTGCTGGGCCACCACACTCCTTGGGCCTCCTTGGGTTTCTCCACTGCTCTGTGTTCACTAGGACTAAGGAGTAAAAAGAGAGAGAGCGAGCAAGGATGATTATTTGGGGTATGTTAGAGTCTCAGATCTAAAGGTAGCATTTGTCCCTTGAACTCACATTCTACCGGTCAAACCTCTGCCATGTGGCTCCAAATTCACTGCAAGAAAAAATGGGAAAATTAGTTCCTTTGTACCTAGGAAGAGGAAATAGAATGAGATGGCTTTAAACTAGGGCCTGCCAAACTTCGGTTAAAAGCAAATACTTGGGAGCCATATGGACTGAGTTAAAATCTTTGTCTTGCCACTTTCTTGTTGAAACAAATTACATAACTTCTATGGATAATTATAGAATTTACAAGGCTGTGAAAAAATTAAATGAGTTAATTTATATAAAGTTTTTAGCAAAGGGCTTTGCACTTCCTTGTTAGGTACTCTTATGGGCTGAATCGTGTGCCTCAAAAGTTCACATGCTGAATTTCTAACCCCAGTGCCTCAGACTGTAACTGTGTTTGGAGATAGAGTCGTTAGACAAGTAATTCAATTAAAATGAGGCCATTAGAATGAACCTTAATTCAATATTAGGCAATCTTAGAAGAGGGAATTTGAATACAGGCTCACACAGAGGGAAGAGGATATGAAGACACAGAAAGAAGACAACCATCTACAAGCCAAGGAGAGAGGCCTGGAACAGATGATCTCACAGCCCTTAGAAGGAACCAACCCTGCCAACATCTTGATCTCAGACTTCCAGCCTCCAGGGCTATGAGAAAATAAACTCCTGTTGCTTAAGTCACCCAGGCTGTGGTACTTTGTTACGGCATCCCTGGCAAACTAGTATGGGCGCTACAATGTGTTAGCTATAATTAGCCATTTCTTCTGGCAAACATGCCACTCAATCTCCCTATATAAATTTTACCTTTATGTATAAGGTAATTGGAAAATGCTACTCTTTTCTAGAGGATAGATTTTATGTTACACTTTTATGAGACTAAAGCCTTTCTCTCAGTAAAATCCCAAATATCCAAAGCACATAATACAATGCAATTCATGTTGTGGGCAATCAATAATTCTCTCCCACTTGTGTCTACAGTTACTGCAACACCCACGTTTTATTCCCATTCCTCCAGCTTGAGTTATGTGCACGTCTCTGAATCAATCACGATGTGTTAGAAGCCAGAAAAGACTTTAATCCTCAGTTTAGGAGCTCAGTCAGCATTGTATAACCGTAGCTAAGGCTACAGTTTCAGTTCAGAAATTATCTCTCTGTTTTCCGTAAATCCTTATAAATATCATGTATTTTATATTGCAGTAATCTAACTTTGAGGGATTATATATGGTTTGCTTTCTGAAATATTTCATAGAAGGCAGTTAAGGGCTTTTAAGTGATAACAATAACAACGTTAATGATCATAGTATTTTAGAGTTTAAAGTAATCTTCAGAATCATCTTGCATGCATTGGACTGATGTGGTAAGCAAACTACAGAAACGGTAAATAAACACCTTGCCTGCTCCCCAAAGATGAGCAAGAGGATTAATTAGTTCAGGTCCCCTGACTCTGGCTCTTGTCCTTCCCACTCATCACAACATCAATAACGAAAATGAAATGCACTTTCTGCTGAGAAAGACAATTAGTAGTGTGAAAAATTGAAATTGTTACTTTTCTCCCTATCAAAAGAAATCAGATTTTTTGTTTCACTCGGCCTCGTGCATGACTAAACATAATTCTTCCATGACTGCAAATGATCACTCTCTGAACACTTTGACAAACTGAAGCGGCAGAGCAGGGAAGGGAGGTCAGTGATTTTTAAGCTCATCATTTTCAATGCTGAGACAGCTAACAGACCCCAAAGATGGTGACGATGGTAGAAAAAGAAATATATTCTTATTATAGAGTATTTCTTAACACTTACTTTGTAAAAATGGTTTTAAATATCCCTACCTTTAGAGTCACGTCAAATTAAGACTGACAGTCCGGCCTGAACAGTGAGTCCTTATTTCCATAAACTACTCCTATCACTAAGCACATTAGTAAACTAACAAAATGCAAAATGATAGTGCTCATTCCTTCTGAAAGGAAAGAGACATGTTGTTATGTCACAATGTGACAATATGTCACATTTTGTTTCCTATAACAAATCACTTGAAATTCAAAGAGAACTTTTCAAAATATGCTACTTTTAATAAGAAATTCTTATATATATATATATATATATATATATATATATATATATGAATCGTATATATATGATTTACCCCTTTCCCACCTGAAATACTGGAAAGTCGTGGAAATGAGACAAAGTCCAATGTTATTTCCCTCTGTCTTAAGGCCCGATGATTCCATAGCCAGCTACTGAAGAGACGGAAGGGAGTTAAATGCTTTTGAAATCACCTAATTCATGGAGATATTATCAATAGAATAAATGAGACCTGAAATATCAGAATGGCAGTTACATTTTATTCAAAGTTTTTCTATTTCTCTTGGTGCCAGAAACTAGCAAAATTCATATATATATATATATTTTTTTTTTTTTGAATGAAGGATCCGTATTGCATTAACCTCTTTCCAGGAAATTGTTCAGCTGAATGAAATCCCGGATGAAAGTGGCTGTCACAGGAAAAGGGTGTATCAGTCCCATGGGTCATCCTGGTTTGGGGAAGTGCTTCTTGTAGTGTCTCCTTGGCAAAAAATAGGCCTTTCTGGCATCAAGAGAAATAGAAAAACTTTGAATAAAATGTAACTGCCATTCTGATACTTCAGGTCTCATTTATTCTGTTGATAATATCTCCATGAATTAGGTGATTTCAAAAGCATTTAACTCCCTTTCGTCTCTTCAGTAGCTGGCTATGGAATCATCGGGCCTTAAGATTGAGGAAAATAACATTGGACTTTGTCTCATTTCCACAACTTTCCAGTACGTCAGGTGGGAAAGGGGTAAATTTTGTTGTTCAGCCAGGAAGATTTTATATTTAAAAATGTTTTCCTGTGATTTCAACCTCAGTGGTATTCTGTAATTCATTTTTTAAAAAGCAACATTCCTCTTCTAGACTTTTCTAACCATTTGAAAGGGTAGCAAAATCTGAGAATGCTTTAGTGAAATTGTAATTTGATGCCCTGATCTAATCCTTTTCCTTGAGAATGACAGAAATATTTCATAAAACGGCGAGAACATGATTATTATCCTTATTTATTTGGAATCTTTTGGCAGCACAAAGAACATCTTTCTTGTCCAGCATGACTTTGAACAGGCAGGTACTTTGTTTGACAGGAAAGATTATCACATTGACTGATCTGAACTATGTGCTTCGAGACATCGATCTCCAGGGAGAAACAGCAGCTGTGCTTCAGTTCCAACTCACTTGGAAGAAATAAACTATTTCTTTAAATGGCTTTTCAAACAGTGTGCACAACCTTTGAAAAGACTTTCATTTAATCATGCTTTTCTGTACATTAGTTACTTGTCCATTAATGCCACCAATATTAGCCACACATGAGCAATGGGCAAAGCTATCATAGCGATTCCAATTAGACCTGGTTATCTCTAAAACTTTAAATAGACTAAGAATGTGTCAAATGAGTCACAACAGGAAAGGCTTGTCTAGTTTTTCTGTTTATTAGCAGGATGACCTTTCTTCTTTGAAGACAGAAAAGTCAAACTATAAAAAGCTTCTTATTTATTTATTAATAATGAGAAAAAAGTCTTACAGGTCCAGAAAGTCTTTCTGTTTGATGATCACAAACCTTACACTGAAAATAAAAAAACAAATCTTTTGCATGTGTTAGAGAAGGGCATGAACTTTTCCAAGTATCTGGCTGTCTGGACGTCTCTCGCCTGCCATGACACTGCTGGCCCCTGCCTTCTTGTGTCCTGGTTAACACCTTCTTATCTTTGAAGATTCAATTCAAAGTAGAGTTCCTATACAAAGCGTTTGTTAAACACTGCTCTATGCCTCCTCATTCTCCAAACTTGACCATTTCATTCTATTTATTCTCCCTGATTTTTATATATATATATATAAATAATATAGTCTTTAGTATATAATATATAGTATATAGTATATAATAGTATACATAAGAAGTATAATGTGTGTGTGTATGTATGTATATATATATATATATATATATATATATATACTTCAACCTTGGTATCTTCTTTTCCGAATTCTCCCCATGAAGATGTATATTAGTTAACAGCAGGGAGCTTGCATTATTTATGTTCCATTCCCGTTGCCTCATGTAATGTCTTGCATATTATCAATAATAAACTCATACTTAATGCTGTAATAATAGATTAATGACAAAAACTCATAATTTTCTTTCCACACATTTATTTTATATCAGTGTGTATGTATACACGCATTCATATATATCTCTATATAATTGCAATCACTTATAAAATTATAAAGGATATTTATAAAATAATTATAAAATCACTTATAAAATTATAAAGGATATTTAATAATATTCAAACATAAAAAATAAAACTATTTAGCTAGATTGTTATCTCTGTAATGATCTGTTCTGCATTCTCTTCTTGTTTTGTCCAAATTTTGCCAGCTGTATTTGGCACATCCTACAAAAATCTTGCCCCTCGCCAATTATATCATTTTCCTGACACACAGACCTCATCTTGAGCTCACACAAAGTCATTTGAAATGCCATCCATGCTCATTGATCCCACGGAGTTGTCTCTGCCTAGCTTGCCTACTTTCCTCTTTATCTCAGGATGGTTGCATGTTCTGTTTTTCTTTATATATGATAACACTGTTTTTGAAAATTTTTAAGAGAAATGCCTGCAGTTCCTGTATGCAAAAGATCATGATTAAAAGCAGTTTGCCCAAATGTGTAGAATATGCCTTAGAAAACTCCAGTGGTCTTTTACTATTTCTTCACCCAAAGCAAATAACTAGAAAAGCAGGAAAAAAATCTGTCAGGTTCAAATGGAATATTTAACTTCATGAGTACACATTCGGTAACTCCTGAGTGATGTAATATGTAAATAACATTAGTGAAAAAAGATCACTTCGTATTTCATTATAATAGCCTGTTTCTCCACACACGTCTTGCATCTACTGTTTGCACATACTCATCTGCCGCAGATCTCGTCATTTGTGTTAATTTCATTAGGCCAGAATAACTTTCCACATATTGAGGGCACAATCTATGTTTTCCTAGGTCTGGTGACTCAGGAATAGCAGTCGATTTTTTCTCAGAAATCTTAAATCTCTCCTTGCACATGATTTTCTCAAAGTTAGCTCTAGTTACAATCTATAGTCATTGATTTCTGCAGCATATTCCACCATAGATCATTTCCTGATGCTCTGTCCATTCATCCAGGAATGCCTTTTCTCTCAGTTTTCGCCATCCTATTTCACATTCTGCAGGAATTTTAAAGACAAAGACTTTGATAAAGAAAACAAACACATAAAACCCCTTTCAATAATAATTGCTTTAATCCTCTGCTGCCCTAAGTTCAAGTGGTATAGGAAAAATGTCATTTGATATTCTATGGATCAACTGAGTGTTTTGAAAACAAATAAAGCAAACAAAAACCTGGCATCCTAGACCACACTTTCTCCAACTCTCATGTGCATATGAATTACCTGGAGATCTTTTAAAATGGGGTGGAAGGGAGCCTGAGAT
Source organism: Homo sapiens (assembly GCF_000001405.40). Taxonomy (NCBI): domain Eukaryota; kingdom Metazoa; phylum Chordata; class Mammalia; order Primates; family Hominidae; genus Homo; species Homo sapiens. Next base: position 153,616,774 of record NC_000006.12, on the reverse strand, counting down.
TCTGATTACTTAAAAAGCTCTGAGGTGACATCAACCTGCATGCCCAGGGCCACACTTTGAGTAGCAAGGCCTCGGGCTTCCGTTACCACCTGTGTCTCACAGTGAGACCAGGCACTTTTGTTCTCAGTAAGCTGCCCCGGTGGGACACACGTAACCAATAGACAACTTCCACAGGCCAACATTTGGGAACAAATGGAATACATGATCTTTCACTGACGTTTTGTGTTCTGTAATTGAGTGTTCTTTATTTTTATGGAGACAGCGTTCTAAGAAGTCACTTTTAATTCAATACTTCAGTTACTATGGGTGATTACTATGCATTGAAATGAAACTGAGAAACTTATAATTGTATCCTAAGGTAACTTGCATGTAAGATTAATCATTTTTCAAACTGAAAACATGAGTAGCAGGAATTAATGTGCATGTACCCTTAACTACATGTGCTGTACTAATAAGTTAACTGAAATGACTATTATTTTTCATAAATGGCTGCAATTTTCAAAAAAAAAGATGTTATAAAACATGCTGTCACTAGTATGTGGAATTTTTCCCTTAAGGCATCTCTAGCATTATTAAGATCTCAAACCCGACACAACAAAAGCCTTTCATCAGCTTTTATTACCTAATTTCAATTTGAGAAACTTTCCCTTTAGTGAAGTATCTGAAATTATTAATGAAAAAATTTGAAAACTAAGTTATACAAAGTTGCATTTCTTATTGGAAAAAAATATCTGGCAGTGGAATGAAACAGATTGTCAAATAAATGACTACTATTAAATGTTGTATAGGCATCTAGAAAGATTAACTAAAATGACTTTCTCATACACATTCAACATATAGCAGGCTTAGGATAAAAATATTTTAAGCACTAAGGCTTGAGCCTCTCTCATTCCCCTAGTGTCTGATTTTATTAACATGGTCTTTGACTATCATGAGATTTAACTTTAGGCTATTCATCCACTTAGGAAAGACGCTAAAATGTAATTTTGTGCTAATGATTCTGTGGACATATGATTTGTATCATTCATTGGTGGCTGCTGCTATATGTGCTTAAATTTTTGTGGGGTCACTGTACTCAATTGTATCTACTACTTTAGTATTTTGTTGTGTACGCAGGAATTCTTACAGTCCTATAGGGAACACAGACAAGAACCCAGAAGATTCTTTATACTCTGCCTAGAGCCTTTCTGGATGAAAATTTTCAGGAGATTTTTATCTAAATAAGAAATAATTTCTTTTTTAGTTTTTTAACATTGATTGATTATATCTTTGAGATGTCTGATGGCTAAAGGAATATGGTACTATCTTTTGAGCTCAAATCATATGATAAAAATAGAGGCAATTACAGAGCATAAGAAAATTTGATCTTGACTTCAGCTACATAAATATATATTAATAATCTTGATTATACTCTTTCTACCTCTCACTTAAAATTGTAATGATGACTTTTGGAACTTTCTCTATTATGATCATAATGTTAAATCCTATCAAATTATATTTGAGAACGCCTATATTTTTAACAATTAAAATATTTTTGATTCTTTCTTTTGTATCCTCAATGAATACTATCTCCCATCTCATTTGTGACCATAAAGAAAAAGTAAGCAGAATATCTTAGAATTTAAAATCTTAGCAAGCCTTGATAATTTTCACTTTATTCTCTCTAAAATTCCCCCTAATCCTTCAACCCACACTTAAATTAATAATAAGCACTGCACACTTTGGTCACACTCCTACAAATGGCACTACCATCCTGTTATACAGACTGCAAAATCTCTTAAATAATGCCTTCTCCCGTATCTACTTACTTCCTAAGTTGGTTAGGAGAATCATATATTTCACAGTAATAAGAATAATAATTGGGCTGGGCCTGGTGGCTCATGCCTGAAATCCCAGAACTTTGGGAGGCCGAGACAGGTGGATCACCTGAGGTCAGGAGTTCAAGACCAGCCTGACCAACATGGTGAAACCCTATCTCTACAAAAATACAAAAATTAGCCAGGCGTGGTGGCAGGCGCCTGTAATCCCAGCTACTCGGGAGCCTGAGGCAGGAGAACCACTTGAACCCGGGAGGCTGAGGTTGTAGTGAGCTGAGATCGCACCACTGCACTCCAGCCTGGGCGACAGAGCAAGACTCCATCTCAAAAAAAATAAATAATAATAATTGGAGAATTTTTAGACATGAAGAAATATTTTATATCTTATTAAAGGCAACTGAAATATGCAGGGACAGAGAATCTCAATCTTTAGAGAAGACCAAGGAGATAGTAAATATACTTAAGCCAAAAATGTGTTAGCTAATCGGCAACAGTTCTCAAGTATAAAATGCTTGCTGAGCTCAGGGAGGAGAAAGGAAAATAAAACATGTATCTAAGAATCACATTTGAATTAAAACATACAACAAACCTGCTATGCTGTTTCTAAGCTTGAAGTGGTTTCTGAGCTTTACATAATTACATATCACAAACTATTCAAGTGATGAGGCACATGAAAATGTCTCCAGTGCCTCCTTGTTCTCACCTAACATGGACTTTTTCTAAGTGTACATCTGAGTCAGGTATATTTATTTCTGGTTTCTGACTCATATTATTTCTTATCTATTTCTGCTTTCCTGCTATTTTGAGTTTTAATTCATTAATTAATACAAGCATTTTGCTTTCCTCAAAACTGCTGTACAAAAGTGTGGCTATGGAATCTTCAACTCTCAGTGTCTCTAAATTGGATGTAACTATCTGTAAAAATCAGCAATTATACTCTACACTGGACCATGGAAGGCATAGAGTTTTAAAGTCCTTTTGGAATGAAGGAAGTTTCCTGGCTTGGAGTCTGAATTAAAAAATAATGACTCATGTGTGCTGTCACTTTACTTGCCAATTCCTCTGTGACACTATTTAGCAGCCCTCAGTCAACAGTGGTGCAGAATATAACTCTATCATCACTTATGGAAATTTTGTGAGGTTCTGGGTTGGTGGGAATTGGAAAATGATTAAAGTTATACATGTGCCTTTTTATAAAATGCATATGAAAATAATATATGTGAACATATTCTTATAGTACAAAGCAGTAAAGAAAACTGAGTGGTTATTTCTGGGCTGGTGAAATATCATCAATACTTTTAGGCGAGGTAGAAGGGAGATCCAAAAAATTTTAAGAATTTTGGAAATGTTTTATTAAGACAGAATGAGACAGAGGAAATTGGATATTATGTGCAATCACATATACCTATAATGTAACAATGGTAAGACAGTGATTAGCACCATTATTGGCTATAAAAAGGGGATATTTAATCCATATTTCTACGACTCATAGACGACATGGCAGAAGAATCAAACTTTAAAGCACAAGACACAACAGAAAGGGCATCTGGGGAAAATGATTGTCCAGAGTAATGTAAATAACTCTGGAAAAATAGATTGTTCTCTGAAGAATCTTGATACAAATTGTCTTTCTTCTTAAGACATTTTGTTTTTGTTCTGTTGTTTGTTTTTTGTGTTTTGCAGGGGTGGAGAAAGAAGCAAAGCTATTAGCTCTGCATATCTAATTTTGTAATTATTATAGTTGGTAAAAGAAAAATATGAAAAATAACTGGCATTAGTCCTATCAACATAATAGGTTGATGTAAAGTGACTTAAGAAGATTGTAGACAATAATGTCTATCATTTATCTAATAACATGTTATTGAATACTGATTATATGTGTTCAGGTGACATACGTTATCTCTGCTTACCTAAAAATTGGCCTGGAAAGTAAACACATTATGTTCATTCTACAAGTGAGGAAACTGAAACCCAGAGATGATATATAGCTCACCCAAAGACACACCTTTCTGTGGCAGGTGAGAGGTGCCATGGTATGGCCATTTCTAGCTCAAGTCTCTCTGATTGCAAATCATGCCACCTCCTGAAAGTGAGGAAGTGAGCATGGAGAAGCTACATTTAAAGTCAACGCATTGAATCCAAACAAAAAGTCAACATAAAAATGAGTACGACCATGGCAATACTGCCTGAAATTTGCTGAATGTAATTATTTAAATAACATGAAATAAAATAAAAATGGCTGATTTCTCTAACATGTTTGAGCAGCCCATTTAATGACCAAGATTTAAATAGATAGCTTTATATTTTTAATAAGACATTTTAAATTAAGAAATATAAATACCTTTGATGTCTGATTACTGTAGAAGAACAAACACAGTTAGGGCGTCTACCACCATGTGGATTTCATAATACGGTACTTCACAACTGAGTATTGGATGATCTGAGGAATAATTGAATTTTCAAGGAAATTTAGCCATTGAAACAGATCCCTTGGGATTCCTGAATGAAAATAATCATGCTAGTTATGGGCATGCCTGATTTTTAAAAAGCCTGGGCATCTCTTTGGTTTACACCAGATTAGGCAATCATCCACAGAAACCTTACTAAAAGTAAATTCTGTATTGTTCAAGGCTTGATAAATTAGGCTATAAATTTTCCAATCCCTGTCGGCTCTTGAGAGACAATGTATCTTCTAAAGCTCTCAACTCATTTTGGGCTTATAATTCACAATACAATTAGAAATTATAATTTATAATCGAGTTATAAACAAAAGGCATTTTTAATTAGTAGAATGAGAAAAGTCTTGTTTCAAAATTTGGCTCTTTTACTTAATAGCAATGTGACAATTTCTTCATCTGTATGATCAAAATAGTAAAAGCACACCTCAGCTTTCTTGTTAGGACAAAAATGAGACAATGTTTGTAAAATGTTTAGCACATTATTAGTCTAATGCTGAGTTATTTGCTCCCAGGCTGTGTCTCATGTCTCTTCCTCTCTTACCATTTTCTTTGCAGTCATAATTTTCCTATTAGAAACTATAGCAGAGTTGAGTAATAGTACATGCCAAAATAATATTTGATAAATGAAGTAGAAATACATGAACATACCTCAAAAATTCTCTGGAATCTATTTCGTATAAGCTTGTACATTAAAGCAGAGGGCACTGTGTTGTGTGGACCTTTAATGGACTTCTCCGTGTTGATATTTCTCGGTACTTAGTAATCACATAAGTACTTGTTTATTTACTGATTAATACAGGCAATGATGAAACCCTAGAAATGATTTGTGTTCTCACTTGCACTTTAAAAAATTAAGTGTGATTATCTTGAGTTTGCATAGATTCCTTCATATATCCCTATCTTCACCTATTGTATCAACACATAATTAACTGAGATTATATATGTTCTTAAGGTAAACAGGCTAAAAATAAACCAATCCCCCCACTATTATTACATATTTAAAATAGATCTAGAATATCCCTATCTGCACACATCATATATCCCTTAATACATCCTTATCTGCACCCATCGTATCAACACATGATTAACTGAGATTATATATTTTCTTAAGGTAAACAGGCTAAAAATAAACTGATCCCTCCACTATTATTACATATTTAAAATAGATCTAGAAGCATACTGCGAAGACCTGCCCTTTCTCTTCTTCCCAAATGCCATGAATATTTTGAATCCAGCAAACTTTATTTTTAGGGTACCTATGTGTGTGTGCACATGCACACAAACCTGTGCATGTTTAATATGATAAGTAATTACCTATGAGTATTTTCTTTTTTCTATGTGGGGAGTTGAAATCCTCCATTAATGTAACAACAGTTTGAGACATTCTAAAAGAGGTCTGATGGGTGATGAGGAACTAATAAACAAAAATGACTTTAGAAGTAAGAAGGCTGACAGTTCAGACAGGCTGCAATCTTCTTACACTGTTTGGAACCATATTTGAGGGCATTAGGGCTATTTTGTTTGTATAGGAAATAATAAAGTGCTAATTGTTCAAAAGGGGTTATAGTATAGACACAAGGAAAGACACAAACTATGAAACATCCAGAACAATTGGTCAAAGAAAGAAAGGAATTCAGAATTTCTTTTCTTTCTTTTTTTTTTTTTTTTGTTTTTAGTAGAGATAGGGTCTCACTTTGTCACCCAGGCTAGACTACAGTGGCACAATTATAGCTCACTGCAGCCTTGAACTCCTGAGCTCCAGCTGTCCTCCTGCCTCAGACTCACAAGTAGTTAGGACTACAGGCAGGTGCAGAAATCTTTTCTTTAAAGGCTCTTTTTTTGCCAGGAGAGGTGAGGGGCTCTCTTTGTATATTATTTAACTGTGGTAATGCTTCAATAACTGGTTACATTTATCTAGTTAGGAGATAAGGCTGATGGGATCCTGCTTATAAACAAAAGAGGTTGTCTGATTTCCTTGTTCAGCAGCTTGAATATTTCTTTCTTTTTTTTCTTTTTTTTTAACGGAGTCTGGCTCTGTCGCCCAGGCTGGAGTACAGTGGTACAATCTCCTCTGACTGCAAGCTCCGCCTCCCAGGGGGTATTTCAAATACAATATATTAACTTTGCAAAGGCTTACCTGTCAAATACTAGAAATCCGCTGCATTTGGAAATATTAACATTATTTATTCTGTGAAGCATACAAAGCTTAGTAAAAATATGAATAGTTTACAAGTAGTAAAAATAAATAAATTGAATCATAAAAGTGATAATGAAGAAAGGGCAGACTAAAATATCTTTTAAATAGAAGAAAATGTTTTCTAACATGCAAGAATATGAAAGATTAATTTTATAGAAATTGAAATTAGAAATTAGAAATAACTCAGTTACTTTGTGAATTGAATAAGAAAAAATCCACTTGTAAAATGCATTTTATCAATTGAAGGCATTTGATAAACATAGTATCATTACTATTAACAATATCTGCAAAGGGAACCCTGATATCCTTTGAGTTTGGTCAGTTAATTAGTTTTGCTCAGAGGTTATCAGTTGTATTAACTGTTTCAGAGAAATACCTTTTGGCATCTTTACTGTTTGTCTCTTTTTATTTCAAATATATATTTTCTTTCTTTTTTTTTTAAATTTTACTTTAAGTTCTGGGATACAAGTGCAGAACGTGTAGGTTTGTTACATTGGTATAGGTGTGCCATGGTGGTTTGCTGCACCCATCAACCCGTTGTCTAGGTTTTAAGCCCCGCATGCGTTAGCTATTTGTCCTAATGCTCTCCCTCCCCTTGCCCCGCCACCAACCCCCAGAGATATGTTTTCATCCGAATTATTTCCTTCCTTCTACTTACTCGGTGTTTAATTTGCCTTTTTCTAATTTTCTATGCTGGAAACGTACCACTGATTTAAAGCCTTTCTTCTGTTTTTATGTAGGCATTTAAAGTATAAATTTCCCTAACTCACTGCTTTTGCTGCATCCCAGAAATTTTGAAATGCTATGTTTTCGTTTTTATTCAGTTAAGAATATCTCCTGATTTCCTTGTGAGTTCTCCTATAACTCATGGGTTATTTAGAAGTATTGTTTAGTGTCTAATATTTGCAAGTTTCTAGGTGTATTTTATTATTGATTTCTAATTTAATTATATTGTCAAAAACACACTCTGTAATATTTCATTCTTTGGAAATGTATGGAAACTTTTGATGGCCTAGATTATGGTCTACTTAATAATATTCCATGTGCATGTGAAGCAAATATGAACCTGAAGTTGCTGGTCATAGTGCCCTAGAAATATCAACTAGGTCAGATTATTTGATAGTGTTATTTGTAAATTTTGCTCAGTTACTAGGAAAGATGCATCCTAATTTCCAGCTATAATTGTGGGTCAATTCCTGTCTTAACATTTTTTTTCCTTTCCAATATGGATGCCTTTTATTTTTTTTATCTTGTCTTGTTGCACCAAATGGAACCTCCAGTATAATATTGAATAGGACTGGTAAGGCAACTGTCCTAGCTTTTTTCCTGATCTTAGGAAAATAATTTAATCTTTTACCATTAATATAGTTTTAGATGTAGGTTTTTTGTGGATGGCCTTCATCAGGTTGAGGACATACTTACATTCTGAAGTAAGTATGAGGACATACTTACATTCTGAAGTAAGTATGAGGACATACTTACATTCTGAAGCTCTACGATTAGGTGCACATTTAAAATGGTTATGTCTTCCTGATGAATCATGCTTTTATATTTACAAAGCATAGCTCTTATGATGGTTATCCTACATGTCCTAAAGTCTACGTTGTCTGATATTAATAGAGTCCCATCAGCTTTGTTATGCTGTAACATTCGCACTCTATTACTTTCCATTTACCTGTTGTCTTTATCATTGGAATACTTATGATTGGGTTTAAGTCTACCATTTTACTATTATTTTTCTATTTTTTACCCTCTTCTATGTTTCTCCCTTCTGATTACCCTGCCTTCTTTTGAATTAATATAGCATCTTTTAGCATTCTGTTTTATTTCTTCCACATGCTTTTTAGTTATATAAAAATTTATATAGTCGTTACCTTTATATCTTTTTTTTACGAATTTTACTGGTTGTTCTAGAAAGTACGGTATATCTCTTAACTCATCACAATTGACATTAAATTTATATTATACCAATTCACAGCTTACAAATGTAAAAACCTTTCAATATAATTCCATTTAATATGCCTTGTTCTTTGGGCTTGTAGTGTCACTAATTTTACATAGATTTTAAATCCTATAAGGAAGAGATATCGTTTTGCCTTAAGTAGACATTAATTTTTTTTAAAAAAGTTGTCTTTAAAAAATAACAAATAGCTAGCTTTTTATATTTACCTTCTACTTGTATTTCAAATAGAAGTATTAGCACTTCTATCTTACAGTTTAGGTGTGCTGGTGGAAAATTCTCTTAGCTTTAAAAAAACCGTAAAATATCTTTATTTTTGAAGAATATTTTTGCTGGATTAAAAGTTGGGATTAAGTGTTTTTGTTATTGTTGTGATTGTAGTATGTGTATTTTGGCTTTCTTTACCCTGGCCCCTGCTTGAAAGACGTCATTCCATTACTTCCAGCCTTGCTTCTGATGAGAAGTCAGATATAATTTCTATTGTTCTTTCTCCCTTTTTCAATGTCCCCTTTTTCTCTGGCTTTCAAAATTTGCCCTTTGTATTCGGCTTGGAGCAGTTTGTGTATGTACCTAGGTATGTTTAGCTTTTTGGTATTTAACTTGGTTGAGACCTACTGAGCTTCTTGTGTCTTATCTGTAAATAGATGCCTTTCACCAAGTTTGAGAAATCTGGACATTGTTACTTGAAATATTTTCTCTGTTCATTTTCCTCTGTCCTCTCCTAGAACTACATTTATATTTTGTCTACTTGGTATTGTCTCACAATCACTGAAGTGCTATTATTTTTCTGTAATTTACTTTTCTCTATGTTCTTCAGATGGGATAATTTGCATAGTCCTATCTTCAAGTTCATGACCATTCTTCTGTACATCACTCATTTTTCATGAATTTTTTATTACAGCTATTGTGTTGCTCAGTTCTAGAATTTTTAAAAAGTCTGTACTCCTCTATACATAACGTGTCATTTTTCTATGGCTATTTTAAAGATTTTTCTTTTAACTGTGTTATTAGTAGTTTTACTATGATGGGTTTGATGTGGATTTCTTAATATTCATCCTTCTTGGAACTGTCTAAACTTCAGTCTCTTAAATTTATGACTAAATTTATGAGACATTGTAAACCATAATGTATTTCAAAATTTTTCTGTCCCGTTTTCTCTCTGCTCTCCTCCTGGACTCTAATTACAGGCATGTTACCTTTTAATATTATCCCAGTGATCCCTGAGGTACCATTTATTTTTTAATCATATTCTCCCTCTTTTTTTACTAATAAAACATCAGATAATTTTTATTGATTGATCTTCTAGCTTACTGACATTTTTCTCTTGCATCTGCAATCTGCTTTTATACCTACCCCAATAAATTTTTAATGTTTAATATTGTATTTTTTAGTTCTAAATTTCCATTTGTTTCTTTTTATGGTTTCTATTTATTTGCTTTGGTTTCTTATGTTTTCATATGTTAGGCACTTTTTTTATTGTTATTGAGCACAGTTATAATAATTGCTTTAAAATATTTCTTGCCAATTCTAACAGCTAAGTATTCATAAGGTTTTCCTGCAATGATTGTATGTTCTCTGGAGAACTGATCATATTTTCTTCTTTCACTGGATTGAAGTTGAGTATGATGAGGCTGTACCCTGGACATTGTAAAAGTTATGATGTGAAATTAAGCCAAGATTATTATTCAATGTTCTCACAATTTAGGTTTTGCTCTTGAAAAAAGACTTGCCTTAAACTATTTTTATTTATATAGATTCATTTTAAATTACTCTATTTTTATGGCTTATTTAATATGAACTAGTATTAGTCATACTTCAATAGTGTGGTCAAATGAGGAAATGTTTGACGGATGGAAATTTTAGGAACTCTTCTCAAGTAAAATAGTTTCCAAAGTGAGTTTCCTGGGAATCAGAATAATTATTTTTACTGCTGAATTAAAGTTAAAATTCCAAAGTTACAACAAAAGCCTACTGCATGTTGTGGAAGTGTAGAATCATCATTTTGAATAAACACTCCAACTGACGCGTATTCAAGCAAATATTTTATAGCTACTTCTATTAGAAGACAACATTGGTTTGTTTGAAGACAACATTGATATAGTTTGGAGGTTTGTTGCCTCCAAATTTCATGTTAAAATATGATCCCCAGTGTTGGAGGTGGGACATATTAGCGGGTGTTTGGGTCATGGAAGCAATTTGCTTATGAATGGCTTGGTTCCCTTCCCATGGTAACGAATTCACAGGACAGCTGGTTGTTTAAAGGAGCCTCGCACCTCCTCTTCTCTCTCTTCCTCCCTCTCTTGTCATGTGCCACGCTGGTTGCCCCTTTGCCTCCTGCCATGACTGTAAGCTTTCTGAGGCCCCCCACCCAGAAGCAGATGCTGGCATTATGCCTCATTGACAACCTGCAGAACCATGAGCCAAATAACCCTATTTTCCTTATAAATCACCCAGTCTCCAGTATTCCTTATATCAATGCAATGGAATGACACAATTGGTCATATATAAACAGAGAAATGCACATATATGTACATATATGTGTGTATGTTCATATGTATTTACTAAGCACATATATGTGTGTATTTCATATACACACATTAGCACACACATAAACATAAGCATATGATACTCACATATTTGTAATTTTTCCTCATACCTTATTAGCTGCTTCCATCAGTAGATCTATATAAGAAGATTCAGGTTATTTTGCCCTCTCTACTTGCCCCCATTGCTACATGCACACCCAAAGTAGATGGCTCTCCGTTCACATTCATGTGGGCAGGATAACGGTAGATTTATCATCTTCCCCTAGGGTTACAGTAACTCTCTCACCCTCTGTTACACTATAGTCAGAAGGCATCTGGAGCATCATACCTTCTTCTAGTCTCCTCTATTGAGAGCATCAAGATAACGATATCAGATGAGCAAGAAATGGGAAGTAGACTAAAGGCTTTGGCAAGAAATGTGCACTTGCAGGTGGTGGGAGATCAAGCCAATAAAGAGCTAAGGAACAAGTTAGTTGCGTTTTATGGGGAATGCTGAGACATCTCTTCCAAAATACGGGGCCATTTATTGAATTGTACACTTTGCACCAAGAAAAGGCAGAACAAAACCTGGCAGCTGTCTTTGAGTTATGAATGTAACTTGGTATTATTACATTCGAAATGGCAGCAATTCATCTTGACTGGAATCAGCATATATCCTGGATTTTCATTTGCTTGTCCTGCCTTTAGTGACCAAGTCCACATTACTATTCAAGGGCTTATTCAGTACTTGATTCAGCAGCACAGTATCAGGCATAACATCACATCAGCCCGTGACACTCCCACATTACAGCAAATGCCATGCCAGGATGAACATGCCGATGGATGCATGGCCATGAGAACCACCAGCCATATCACATATTGCAGCTCCAGGAGCTCCACTGTCATGGAGCAGTGAAATAGCCTTGTGGGGGTACAGCTGAGGTGCCAACTTAGAGACGAAACCTGGAAATGATGGTGCACCACCCTTAGAATGAAAAATATACCCTAAATCAACAACTATTCTATTATGCCCTGTGACGCCCAAGAGCCCAAGAGTGGCAGTAGGCCTGCCCACATTTACCATCACTTGACAGTGACCCACTTGAGGAATTTGTGCTTCCTCTCCCAAATCTCTCCGTTGCGAATGTCTAGACATTCTAGTTCCCAGAAAGGTAACTTTTCCACCAAGAGACACAGCAAGTGTCCCACTAAACTTTAAGTCATGGCTGCCACTGGGTCCCTTAGGCAGCTTTTCCAAGAGGGCAGTAGGTAAGAAAAGAAGTAATCACATTGGTAGGAATAATTTTCTCTGATTATTAGAAAGAGCTTCTATTTCTGCTATTGCTTAGCGGGGCTGCGAATAATACATTTCACACCCTAAGGATTCATTCATAAGGTTCTGATCTTCCCCTGCCAAGTTGTGATGGTAAAAGCACAGGTGTAGCATCCGTGTCCTGAGAAGGGCATTGGGACAAAATCATAGATTTCAAAGAGAGGTTACTGGGGCCACCCTAACAGGTAAGTCACCTAGACTCAGGGGCTAGCTGAGAATGAGAGGAATCTAGGATTGGTATAGAGGAGAAAGATGATGGGTATTCATTTGCAGCCTGGATAAGGGCTGGTGTGATGGGGTTGTAGTTCGTTATACTGACCTCTGTTTTGCGCATTTTTCCATGAAAAGAGACCAGTCAGAATCTGTGAGGAGCTGTGCAGAACTTATATGAAGCAATTTTTGTTTGCATGTTTTTATTTTTTATTTTTGAGATGAAGTCTCACTCTGTCGCCCAGGCTGGAGTGCAGTGGCACGATCTCAGCTCACTGCAACCTCTGCCTCCCGAGTTCAAGTTATTCTCTTCCCTCAGCCTCCCAAATAACTGAGACTACAGACATGCACCACCATGCCGGGCTAATTTGCATATTTTTAGTAGAGACGGTTTCACCATGTTGGCCAGGCTGGTCTCGAACTCCTGACCTCAGATGATCCACCCATCTCAGCCTCCCAAAGTGCTGGGATTACAGGTGTGAGCCAACACGCCCGGCCTGTATGAAACAATGTGATCCAAGCAGTCCAAGAGATGAACTGTAGTATGAGCTTATGCAGTATGAACTGCAGTATGCTGCTAAGAGCCCCCTTTCAGTACTGACACATTCTCCCAGCTGCTAGGAGGGTTGGCACTCATGGCTGTCAGCCTAGTCTCTCCCATGGGGCATTCAGCTAAATAGATCCAAGACCCTGGCCCTTCTCCTGGGTGTGTGCACATACAATGACTAATCAATGTGTGGGGTACAGGCAAGCCCCAATTCAGCTCAATTTTGAAGGGCCATCCCAGCCCCAGAGCCTCTGCTGCAACTGTATCACCTCTACCTTTGTCCATTCCTCTGTAATTCACCTCCCACAGGTTGTATTTCCCAAAATGCACTCCAATACATCTCTCCCTACATGCAAACCTGAGTCTTGGTGTTTTCGTGGGGAACCCAAACTATGACAACTGGAATGAGGTCACTGCAGTTGAGAAGCTTGCTTCCTCAACTCCTGCATTTCTTCTGCAAACACCAGAGAATGAAAAATTTTCTCTCATTTCTACCCACACACCTGCCCTAGTGAAGACCAGAGAAGAGTATATCAACAAATGTTGCATGTTATTAGGAAATTCGGTCAAGAATAGAGTATGTCCTGAAAACTGACGTCTAATTTGCTATTTATTTCAATGTGCAATTGGCTTCCAGTTTATATATAATTATATTTATAAAATAATGAAGAAAATAGTAAGCTATAGTAATAACCGGTGCAGATGTTATATACACATAGATACGCAGATTAAAATGAAGACATATGTCTCTCCGGTTATCAGTAAAATAAATTTAAAAAACAAAATAGTAATTTACACATTAGTAATCCAATTAACTGTATAAATTACAAATTACTTCCCTGGTTTTCTATTAAATCTGTTTAATTTGGGAGAAATTTTTTTTTAGTTTTATTATGAAATAATTTGAGGCTTACAGCAGAGTCACAAAAGTAGTACAGAGTGTTCCCATATATCCTTCTGGCAACTTCCCCTGGTGTTAACATCACCATAGTAAAATTATCAAAACCAAGACAATAAAAGTGTTACAGTGATGGAAAGGAAAGGATGTTATTTTAATTTCCAAGTGGAGGTAAATCTCTCTGGTAACCTGCCTCGTGCAGACTTCTGACAGCTGAGAAGATAGCTGCTTTATCTGTCTCATGCTGAGCAAATAGGTCATTACACAGGCAATCAAAGCTAAAATCTCACAATCTTGGGTAGCTGTTTAAAACATATAGAGACTAAACTGCCCTTTATCTAATAACTCTGAAGTTTTTTGCATATTAGTAAAGATTTGCATTTCATTACTTTAAAGTTCCCATTTTCAGGGACGTCCTAATTTTGAGAAGGCACTCTTAGTATTGATTGAATGTTTAAGTTTTTTAAAAAATTTTTAATCCTGAACAATTGCTATGGTCTGATTGTGTTTTTCCAAAATTCCTGTGTTAAAATCCTAACCCCCACGGTGATGGTATCAGGAGGGTAGGGCGTTTTGTGAAGTAATTAGGTCACGAGGGTTCTATCCTCATAAATATTATTAGTGACCTTATAAAAAAGGCCCCAGAGGGCTTGTTTGCTCCTTCCACCATGTAAGAACACAACAAGAAGACACTTTATGAACTAGGAAAGGGGCCTTCACTAGGTGCCAAATCTACTAGTGCCTTGATCTTAGAATTCCCAGCCTCCAAAACTGTGAAGAATAAGTTTCTGTGACTTTTAAACCACCCAGTCTATGGTGTTTTTGTTATAACAGCCCAAACAAACTAACGCACCTATTACACTGGAATTTTATCTGTTCTTTTTTGCTTAATCAGTATACATATGATATGGTTTGAAGACCATTAACTATCTATTTAATTTCCTCAGTCTGAACTACAGTGTATTAATATCATTTCCAATATATTGTACTCTGAACTTACAACTTAATTCATTCTCCAACAATTGACTAAATAACATAAACAAGATGCACTATATCTTTTATCTTGAATACTATACTTATATTAGTTCAATTGGTTGCTTTAGCATATTGGTTAACCTTATCATACTGTTGACTTGCGTTTTACTTGACGTCACACAAAACCTCTGAAAACTACTTACACCTGGTGCTGTTAAACTAGCTATACTAGCAATGCAAATATTGAAAATCCTGGAAATCTGTTCATTTCAGTAAGTTGTAAATATTTTTATCTGAGCCTGTATTTTGGCAATGTAAGAATATATGTAATATCTGTTTTGTTATCTTACCTGAATATTTAGAAACCTGTGACTTAGAAAATATCAGGCAAAATAATATATTCTCCTAACCTGCTAAGAACTATTCAAAATTACAGACATGTTGACTTTTTATTTTCATCACAGAAACTCTAACAATAGGTAATTTGGGATTTAGATCCGACAATCTATATCACCTGATCATTCACTGTTTCCTGAGTTGCTATACAAATGGATTTTTTGCATTGAGAAAGCTTTCATAATATTTACATCCTGATGGATTGTTTGTTTCAAAATGCCAATTTCTTCAGAAATTATGACAGTATAATTACTTTTTTACTATTTGAGCTCTTGCCAAGAAATGTCACCTTGAAACTTGTTGCCAAATAATCAGTTTGATTGCAATAAAAATAATAAATATTAAAGATTCCCATTTGTATTGACTCATATAAAATAGCTAACTGCCACTTAAATAAATTTATGTCTATCTGAGAAAAATATCAAATTATTGTAGGAAAAATTACCCACAATTTTGTCAGTATCTATGTGATATCTCACTAGTGATAATGTGAAATTAATAATGATACAGCTCATACAACAGATATTGACATCATTTGTTTAAAAAGTATCAGAATTGTTTAATAATACAGTTATAATACAAACAAAAAAACCTACCAAATTAAACATAAAATCATGTGTTTGTGTTTTTCTAATCAAACTAGATAGTTTATGATCACTTTGGAGTGGATTTATGTGTTCATTATTAATAATATGAATTTAAAGTTCAATGTGGTGTATGCATTAGATTGATTCACTATACAGGTATTCCAACATCTTTCTAGGTTTCCTGTCTGTGTATTGGAGACTGTGAAACTAACACCTCATGTCTAAAAAAAAAAAAACAAAAGACTTACAAAAAGGATTTATACGTGTTTGGCATTCTGCTGATACTATGCCCTTGCTTGGCCCTTGAAGTAGCGGGGATACCATAGCGTGTTAGAAAACAGTTTTCTTAATCTAGTAGATGGCAGTTGTTCTGGTTGCTACAAATTTACTCTGAAATCTCAGCTAGAATGTTTTAACCCAAAGCCAACAAATGTGACAGCAGTTACTTAATGGCCCAGCTCTCTGATTGTGTTATTCTCTGAGCAGCCCAATTCCCAGGGTTGTTCTGGAAACGCTTTATTGAAATCCATCCTAAAACCTGCCCCTATGATTATTCTAAAAATTTTATAAACATCAGTCCATGCTTAAAATAGCTGGAATGTTTTCTATCATCTGCAAATGGATTCTTACTAATAGAATAATAACAACCTATTATGATTGTATTTGGAATGCTTTTTGGGGCATTACATAAATTTAAACTCCTATCTAAATGAGCTTTCCTCCATCTAAAATACCGAATTGTAACCATAGTAAAAATGAATATTCTGCCATTTATGTAAACCCATTAATCACCACTGAATTTATCTAGTAATAAATGTAATAAGTTGTATCTCTTTGAAATATACAGTTGTAAATTGAGTTGAATAAGAGAATAACTGAATCTTTCTTTACCATCACATTCTTCCTTTATGAGTCAATTGGATAGAGTGTGTAGTAGTCTGTAACAGGTTTATTTTAAGTGCTATAGTAGGCAAGTCAGCCAGTCTGCCTTTACTATCAGTTTATAACATGAGTTTGAAAGGAATAATATCAAACTTTTTGTGTATTTTTTGGTAGAGATAGAATCTGTATCTCATAGTTTTTATCTCCAAAAGTAATATTTCTATACATTATATTAATTTAGACTATTACTTCATGTCAACACAGTAACATAATCAAACCAACTGTAATAATCTCTGAAAAAATTTTTAAAGAAAAGCCAATATAAATTGGCCAGAACATACGGGTAGGATTGCCCTCAACAATATTGTGTCTTGACGAACTGACAATTTTAGGCAACCAACTCCTGCTAGATAGAGGCTGGAGTTTAATATGTAGTATTGTGTAGCCACTTTGTGTAATATTATATTTTGAAGACAATGAAAAACTTTATCATCTAATTCTTATATCTCAAGTTTTAATGTAACAAACATTTGCTGAGGGCCATCTACTCTGCTAGGTATAGACATTGAGATGGTGCAGTTCCTTATAGCCAGAACTGAGAGGGCACAGACTTCCAGTGAGACTTCCCAGAGCTATGCTGTGTGCAAACATCTATTCAATAATATCATGCATTTTTTCTATTTAAATAAAGAATCTTTTTGCATGGTAAAACAGAAAAAAATAATAAAAACTGTACATGCATTCTATGGTTTAAATATTTGGCCCCTCTAAAACTCCTGTCAAAATTTAATCTCCAGGCCAGGCACGGTGGCTCACACCTGTAATCCCAGCACTTTGGGAGGCCAAGGCAGGCAGATAACCTGAGGTCAGGAGTTTGAGACCAGCCTGGCCAACATGGTGAAACCCCATATCTACTAAAAATACAAAAACTAGCCGGGAGTGGTGGTGTGTGCCTGTAATACCAGCTACTTAGGGGGCTGAGGCAGGAGAATTGCTTGAACCTGGGAGGCAGAGATTGCAGTGAGCCGAGATTGTGCCATTGCACTCTAGCCAGGGGGACAAAAGTGAGACCTCATCTCAAAAAAAAAAAAAAAAGAAAAATTAATCTCCAATGTAGTAGTTTTTGAGAGATGGGGCCTTTGAGAGGTGATTGTCTCTCTGTCTTCATAAATGGATTAATCCATTTGTGGATTAATTAATTAATTAAAGATTAATGGATTATCTTTGGGATAGGACTGGTGAAAGAAGGAAAAAAAAAGATTATAAGAAGAGAGAGGCCTGAGCTAACATACTCATTCCCCTCTCCATGTGATGCCCTGCGCCACCTGAGATTCTGCAGAGTAACCATCAGCAAGAAGGCCCTCGCCAGATGCAGCCCCTTGACCTTAGACTTCACAGCCTCCATAACTGTAAGAAATAAATTACTTCTTTCTAAATTACTCATTTTCAGATATTCTGTTATTAGCAACAGAAAACAGACTAAGACAACATATGCCCACACACAAGATATGTAATATATTGTAACTATTCCTCCCAGTTGTAAAACCATATTGGGCTCATTTCAAATGCTGTCTCAGTGTTAATCCACTGGGATCCTATATAGTATAAGAGCGCCTACACCAAAAGATCATTATCTGGAAATATAATTTAAAACTAGAAGAAATTATTGCAGTTCACTTTGGAAAGGTGAGGAAACCCATTAATTTTAATGTAACTCATTTTTCATCTAGCTCACTCAAAGAGAGTAATTTAATTTGAAAAGATCAAATGCATTGATGGGAATATGTTTCCAAATACTCAACAGGAGGGTATTGGTAATGAAAAGAAACTTGGCTTTCATCTTTATGTGCTGAGCTTTAACATTTTAATGAATAGAGCATTTTAAATAGAGTCAAAGGCTTGCCACTTGATATTAAGGTCATCCTTTCTAGAAAGGCCATGTTTTCTCAAACTATATTCAACTTTGAAATATCTTTTTTATTTGTTTTATTTCTATTTTACTATCAATTATATATTACTATAATTGGTAGAAGATTAAAAGCAAAAGAAGGGTTAGGTTTTCACAGATACTAAAACAAATGCTTAAATAAGCTTACAGGTAATCTTTTCTTTCCTTCTTTCAAGCAATACACAGTAAATTTGATTTTTCAAAAGACATACATTTAAAATTGGTTGTTTTGAGCTGAGAGGATTCAATGAGGAGGTAGCTTAGTCTAATGGCAAGTCCTTGAAATGATTGATTATAGGAGGACTCACTGGATCTCAGACATTTTCTGAGTTAACAGCACAAGTATCTGTAGGAAGACACTGTTGCCATCCGTACAGTGTAAACACATGGATGTGTGCACAAGCACAACTATCTCATATTACAAATATTATAAGTTGATATACTTACCATTGCAATTTAATGGGAAAAAAATTGAGCTATCAATCTAGGTACATGAATTCAAATTTAAGACCTGCTATTTATTTTACTAATTCATTCCAGAGAATAGGCCTTCTCTTATTAGAAAATGTGCAATAAATAAGATAAAGTAGAAAATGAGTCATATATTTGTAATTATGTATATTTTAAATATGAAAAACATTTATATTAAAAGCACATTCAAAAGAATATTATGCCTTTGGATTTACTATTTAAAAAGAAGATATCTTATTTGCATATTAAAAGACCAGTGAGGCACATTCAATCTAGATTTCCCTTCGAGCTTAAGAAAATTCTAATTTTATGACTTGCTGAGCATAAGATGAAATTACATTTTCTCGCTTGCTTTCTGGAAGTTCTTCCTTGCCATCCCATAGCTCTTCCCCCAGTGATTCTCAATAATAAATGAATATCAGAATTTACTGTGGATCTTTTAAAAATGATGATGCTAAGGTCCTGCTTCTAGAAATTCTGATTTAATTGGTCTTTGGGGATCTTGCAATTGTATTTATAAAATTGTATTCTAAAGATGTCTTTGGGAGTTTGGAATTTTAATTTTAAAATTATCCTAGATTACCCTAATGTGTCCAAGAGTTTTCTTAGATAAAAGAAGAAGCACCTATTTGCCTCATGAAAGTAGCCCTCCTTTCATTGTCCTAACCTCTAGGTTGCTAATAAGATCTAAATCCTACATGGAATATCTGATACCTGTGAAAACAGGATGTCATACGGTCAATTCTGTGGTCTGTTGGAGAAAGATGGAAGTACAGATGGCAAAAATGGGGAAGCAACATTCCTCAGTTTATAAAGTATCAAGTGATGAGTACAAGGTTATTGAGTCTTTCTTCCAAGTTGATACACACTTTCACATGCATTGTCTATTCTCATCTTCATTCAAAATTCCAGTTATTCAGGAAGAATTTTTATCTCAGTTTTAGAGTTGGAATAAACTTATTTTATGGTGATGAGGATAAGAGCAACATGTAAACTGGTTTAACGTAAAAAAGTGAATTTATATTGGAATATAAGTTCTTGGAAACCCAGTGTTTTTCTGCCATGCACTCTTATTCTTATAAAATCAAGTGTACATATTCGATCACTGTCAGTGGGTTGGTAAAACACACATTCCTAATTAATTTTTAGCAATGGTGATGGAATGTAATTAATGCCCTTCAAATCTCTTTTACAACCCACTTTGTTAGCAGTGAAATGTGTTTGAAATATGAGTTCCTAAGTTTAAAGTACAAGTAATATATACAGTTTCTGCATAAGACTCACTAACCCTCAGAGAAAATCACACTCAGGACCTGAACTTTCTTAACACAAGGCTATAAATAACTCAGAACCTTGAACATGATAGAAATGTACTTATGTGAAATAACATTTCATGGGCATCTACTTTGCATGAATCATTTTTCCTGATGATGTAAGAGTGTAACAAGTAAAGCCAGATTGTTTGGTGTCTAGTAGGAGGAGTTATACCACTCTGGAGGAGTGGTGTAACTCTGGAGTAGTGGTATAATGATGAGTACTATAGTAACCACAAAATAATGCACTAGAAGAATGTGTTGGCCAGCCTTCAACTTCGCAAAGATCCACGCCTCTGATACCCACACCTTGTTCAGCCTCCCCTCCCCATTACACTAAGGTTGGTCTGTGTGACCAATACCTCGTGGAAAAAGTGATTATATGTCACTTCTAAGATTATTGGCTGGCATATTGAGTGCTTGTTGTACCTTTCTCATGGATCACTTGCTCTAGAGAAGCTACATCACAACCAGCCCTCAGGAGACGATTATGTAGGGAGGTACGGAAGCCTCATGCCAACAGCCATGTGGGTAAAATTGGAAGCAACATCTTCACCCCCAGCTAAGACTTGAAATGACCACAACCACTTTACCGCATCCTTGGAAAAGATCTTGAGCTCGAAGTACGTACCTAAGCTGCCCCTTGGAAAAAGCATTAGATAATAAACGTTTCCTATTTTAAGCTGCTGAGTCTTGTAGTACTTATTTACATACCAGTGGATAATGAATACAGTGACTATAAGGGAGGAAGAGGGAGGGGGAGATCTATTATGACTCGAGAGCTGGAAGAAAGCTTGGATTTGAAATAGGACTTAAGATGGTAGGGGATTCAGCAGTGGAAGAAGAGCACAGGCATCCCACAATGATGGAATAGTCTGTGTTAATGCTTAAAGTTGCATTGCAGTTAGCATGATTGATGGAAGGTGAGAGATGGGCCACTTCAACTCCCCCCATCCAACCCAAACACACACATCGACAGGAATGGCTAGCAGTGATGAAACTGTGGGAGGGCTTTGATTGATGGAAGGTGAGAGATTGGTCACTTCAACTTCCCCCCCACCCACTCAAACACACACATAGGACAGGAATGGTTAGTAATGGTGAAAGTGTGAAGGGCTTTGAATGCCAGCCTGAGGAGTGTGTATGTTGTCAGCTAGAAATCTGTGTTTATAGGAAACAATTCCAGCACTTTTGGCAATGAATTAGAAGAGAAACTAGCAGCCTGTCAGGAGAATAATGAGTCCTGCAAATGCTTTGGCTCAGGAAGGGGAAAGGAAGCTAGAGGGGAACAATTTGGTACACACTATGGAGGCCTAATTGAGGGGAGTGATGGCTGAATTGATGAAGGGGGAAAAGAAAGGGGAGAAACAATGACTCGTGTTTTCAGCCCGCAGGTCATGGAAGGAGAGTGACTCCATGAATCTAACATAAAGAACACAGGAAGAGGGAATGTTGAGAAGATGATGAGAACTAACCTGGCACATACTAAGTTCTTACATTTGTGCAGCACTTTGACATTTACAGAGTAATCTGGAGCCATAATATTATTTGTTCCCCACAGCCATTCTGTGGAGAAAGGACAAACTTCATCTTCATTTGGGAGATGAAGAAAACCAAGGAAATTAGGTATAATGAACTCAATTAAACTCACAAAACTGGTCAATAGCACATCTGGGACTAGAATTCATGTATCTTGATGAGTAGTTCAGTGTTTTCCTATTACATCCAACTGGTAATGCAATCTGTAGTATAATTTTTAATAAAATGCTATTTAGGTATACGTGTGTGTGTTTAGGGCAGTAGGGTGTGAAAGAAGTGAGGGCAGCAAAGCTGCCGCATAGGTATTTGTACCATCAGCCTAGAACATCAGTGACTCAACTTGGACTTAACCATTTCAGGGACCTACCATCAGACTAGGGGTAAGAGAGCTCTTTTTTTCCTCAGCCTTTCTCAGCTTCTCATTAACAGATTTACTACCTTCTCTCTGAAACTCCTATTTCCTTTACGTCTCTTTATGTCTATTGAAAGATTTTCAGATCTTTGAAACTACATGCTAACAAACGTGATTTTTTTTTCTTTTCTTTTTTTTTTTTTTTTTGAGATGGAGTCTCACTCTGTCGCCCAGGCTGGAGTGCAGTGGCATGATCTCGGCTCACTGCAAGCTCCACCTCCCAGGTTCACACCATTCTCCTGCCTCTGCCTCCCGAGTAGCTGGGACTACAGGGGCCCGCCACCACGCCCAACTCATTTTTTTGTATTTTTAGTAGAGACGGGGTTTCACCATGTTAGCCAGGATGGTCTCGATCTCCTGACCTCGTGATCCGCCTGCCTCGGCCTCCCAAAATGCTGGGATTACAGGCGTGAGCCACTGCACCCGGCCGTGAATTTGAATGATATGAACAAAATGTTTCTTGTATATGAACTTTCATTTAAGAGGTGTAGATAATGTTATTGATTAAAATACCAGTAGTGCACTGGAATTCTAATCTAGTTTTTAGATTTATTTTAAATCAAAAGTAAACAAGCAGTTACACCTACACTGAATTTTTTTTTGAATGGTAACACAAACTTGTGAACATTTTGTCCCTATTTTGAGACAGACAGTCTGATAGGTTTACCAGATAACTGGATAATTCGTGGAAAATAAGATTCCTATTGTTAAGGCACTTTAGGATTGTCATAAACATGTATTTACCAGCAGGAAATTTTCTGATGGGAAATTGTCATTTTTGGAACAGAATGTTTGCGATATTATGCTTTAAAATTATAGTTAAAACAAGTTTAAGTTGTATTTGCTACTGGCTCTGCACTAACTCTAACATGCAGAAGCAGCTTAAAGAAGTGCATAAATTCTTCCAGAAGCCCAAGGAAAGACTTCACTGAGAAAATATTATTTGAGATAGGATTGAAAAGATGAATAGAAGTTCAAAATGAGGATATAGTCGAGGGCAGAGCACTCCAGGCAGTTAGAAGAGAAAAGGCAAAAAGACATGGAGAGTTAATGTATTTCCTGATATTTAAGTAGTTTTGTGTTGTTAGAAAATTATAAATGGAGCAATTAAGGCAGGAATTGGTCAGGCATCAGATATTAAGGTAGCTTGGATGTGATGGTTACATTGACAAACTTGCTCTAAATATACAGATTTCTTTAACATATTTTGATATAGAGGAATAATGTAATAAGACTAGGGTATTATGAATATCACTCTGACGTCAGTTTGAAAAGTTAAAAAGAGATAAATGCAAAAGAAAAGAGAATTTATATTCCAATAAGAGGAGATGAGACCTGAGCAACTCTGGAAAGAAGATAGAGACATAGGAATTATTCAGCAGGAAGAAGGAGTGAATCTGGTTGAAGCAAATGGATGAGTAGCAGTGCCATGGTGAAGACGAGGGAGCAAATTATTTTTCAACAAAATGTATAAGCTACAGGTTGTGTAAATCTCAAAGACTGGGTTGGTGCAGTTCTAACACATGCAAATGACACGCAGCCTGCTGAGTCTTGCATGGTGGCTTGAAAAGAAAGACAAAATCCCCAGTGGAGCCTTTTTATCATGTTGGATTTGGAAAGATGAAGAGTTCAGTTAGATGGAGTTGGTGAATTCAGAGGAACAGGAACAATGGTGAAAATTGGCTATAAACATTCTGATGCAATTTAGACCTATAAGAAATTGGAAGACTGTGATTTGACAAGTAGTAATACATGCTAAAAAATGAAAGCAAAAATAAGAAGAAAATACTAAGAAAGAGATAGAAGTAAAGGAAAAGATGTGGAACACAGCAAAATGTGGAAGATAATGAAATGTATCTTCAATGACAGGAGAAGCAAGAAGAATTTCAAAATTTAGAGCTGTTCTGACTAATGTAGGATTTTGATTCACATCATGTAATTCAACATAGGAGACTTTGGAGATTGAAAAAATGTGGTTTCTTTTTCTATGAGAATACATTGCAATTTCTGTGTAAGATTCATAGTTGTCTTAGGCAGTCTCCTTCTATAAAAGAACAGTACCTCCCAGCAGTCCAAATCAGATATTCACACCTTCCAGTAGAAATGTGCCTGCACCAGGGTTGGTGAGATCATTGACTGGCTGGCCATGCCAACTCCTCTTAAAATCTTTTTTTGCTAAGTGTTTAGGAAGCAGCAGTTCAAAGAAGAGAAAATTGATTCATTCTCATTGGTTTCAATTTAAAATCTTTCTTTCTTAGCATTAAAATCACATTTTGAAAAGATGATAGCAAAATCTCCTCTTTATTTTTAATTATAATGGGTTTAATGTCTACAGTGCGTTCGTTTTCCCCAAGACACTTGATTCATCTCTGGGCACACCAGGCACTTCTAACATGAAAAAAGAGAAGGAATCCTTTCTAAAACAGGCATTTCTTTTTCTTTCCTTACAAAAAGTTTTCCTACACGAAGATACTCGAGACTATGTATATCAAAAGTCAACTTTTCCTAATATACAGAGAACTGAAAAATAGTTTTGTTTCAGTCAATGTCTAGGTCATTGCCTCTACTCACATTTACTTATTTTGTGAGTTATTTGAATCTAACACCTCAATCTAACGTTATGGGCATGGTCCTTTCTACATGAGAATATCACTTTGAGATAGCGATTTTTGCAGGGTTTATAATATTGTAGGAATTAGCAAAGTCCATTTTAATGGATTAGAGTTAGGTGATCTATAAAGTCAACCTTGCTATGAGATTCAGCAAGTCTGTGTTTATAAAACTATGCCTTGATAAGTGTGACAACTATATCCACTGATAAGTAAAAGAATTTTGAAGGAAAGTTTTTTTTTGTGGTTCTCTTGCTCCTTGGGTTCCTGGAAATGAAAGTCACAAATCTGTCCTCAAGCTTTGTCACAGGCCTTTTCAGTTTCTGTTCTTTCAGAGTGAAGTTTGTTTACATCCTGTAAATTTGAGAGAAACAGAAATGAGAGATGACAGAGTTGATAAAGTGAAACAGATTCAGCCAAAAAATAATGTTCACAGAAGTTTATATATCAACAGCTTTGTTACTGTTTCTTATTCTAACTTTGACTCAACAGTGAAATTGAGTTTAGATTAGATGAATTCCACAAAAAGAGAATAAATTTTTGACACGTGCCTCAGTAATTCCACTGGCATTTAAGCAAAGAAAGGAAAGATCAATATCGTTCAGTTTCAACTAAATGTTCTGTTAGCTTTTAAAGTTTTGTGTGTGACATACCTTATAATCATGAATATTATGCACAAATGCTTTTACTTTCATGTTAATATTCTAAAATGTCTGTTTAGCTACCTTCCTCTTAGGGAATAAGATTAAAGAAGCGGAAAAATTTACATAAACAAACGTTTATCTAAAAGTATTCATTGAGTGCCAGGATATTCCCAGTGATGAAGCTATTGTGATGTTCAAAACAAACAAAATACAGCCTTTGAGGAGCTAGCATTGTCGTGAGGGAGATATAATAAGTAAATAAGTAGAAAATGTGTTTTAAATGGTGATAAGTACTATCAGATAAATAAACCAGATTACATACAGGGAGTTCAGGGTAGTGATTGGGAAGTATGTTGCTATTTCTCAGATTCCTTTTTTATTGCAATGTTACATTTGTCTTGAAGAATTTGCTGAGTTCAAGAAATAGTGTATTGTTTGTTGGTAATTTGACAATACCATTATGGCTTTTTACAGAACATTGCCTCTGAGCAAAGAACTAATTTTTTAAGTGTAGTTAAGGCCCCAAATTATGTGCTAACAGATGAGAAAGAGCTAAAAATAATGTGTGGGCAGTAAACTGTAATACAGAGCAGAAGAAAATTTGAAACCTAGATGGTAATAAAGGATGTAACATAAAGAAACAATGTTAGAGATATATGGGATAGAAGATATAATTGAAATTTCAGAAGACATAAAAGAAAGAAATAATATTTGAATAAATTATATTACTTGAATTGGTAATCGCTGGGAATTTTCCAAACTTGATGAAAGACATCACAAACTAGATTCAAAAGTGTTACAAATCTCAAGCATGATAAAAAAAGAATAGTTTTTGGTCTCCTATGAGAGTGTTTTTATAAGTACAGAATGGTATCATCTTCAAAAAAAGACTGTTCGTTTCTTCTTTTCTAATGTTAGTATCAGTTTTTTCATTTTATATTTATGTTGCATTTCCCAAAACGTCAAAGAAAATTCTAATTAATAAACGTATTAGTTAACATTTCTATGAAATTCTTGTCCTCAGTTGATTTTACTGTTCACCATTTCAGAAAACATTTTCTATGTTTTTTGGCCAACAATTATTATGATTAGCTATTTTCTTTCTAATTTGATGCCACTTATATATATTATTGGATTTTATTGGATTTTCTCACCATCTGTGGTTATGTTCATATAATATTTTCCCTTTAATTTTATGATGTAATGGGTCGGGATAATAGAATTTCTAATTGTGCTCCATCTTGAATTCACTGCTTTGTTACAAGGTATAATTACTTTTATACAAAGCTAGATTTTACTTGCTTATATTAATTTACAATTCTTTTCTTCCGTCATGCTAAATAACATCATCCTTAACTGTTTTTTGTTTTTAATTCATTTTTTGTCATAATTTATGTTAAATTTAAATGGGGCTGTGACATGAAATGAGGAAGTTTCTACTTGTATCTAAGGTCTGGAATAGTACAGGCAATCTTTAATTTCTAACAGCTTTATTGAGATGTAACTCGCATACCTTACAACTCACTTATTTAAAGTATACACTTAAATGGTTTTCAGAATATATAGTTGTATAATCATCACCACAACCCGATTTTGGAACCTTCTCATTATCTCAGAAAGAAACACCCACACTCCTTAGCCTGTCCCAGAAACTCAAGCCATCCTCTCTCCTCCAGCCCCAGGCAGTTGTTAACCTACTTTCTGTCTCTGTGGATTTTCCCATTGCCCATTCTGGTGAATTCATATAATCATTTAATATACAGTCTCTTGTGATTGGCTGTTTTCAATTAGCACAATGCTTTCAAGGCTTATCCATGTTGTAGTGTGTTGATGAATAATATTCCATTGTATGGATATACTACATTTTTCATTAATTAATTAACCAAAGGACATTTGGCTTATTTCCACTTTGGGGCTATGAGGAATAATGCTGCTATGAACATCCAGGTACAAGTTTTTGTGTGGACATTTGTTTTCCTTTTTCTTGGGTACATACTTAGGAGTAGAATTGCTAAATTAAGTTGAATTTTTACTGCATGCCTCAAGAATTATAGCATACTAATATACTCATTGTCTAAAATTCTACTAGTTATTAGATTCCTACAATATTAAATTTTGGAAATAAGTATGGATTTAATTATGTTTAAGAATGTCAGTTAGGCATTTTATATTCTTTGAGGATATGTTGTGCTTTTTTTCTTATGTTTTTGTGGAATATAATATATGAAAGTCAGAAGAATTGAAACATACCCATGAACATGTTTAGGTTCATCAAATCTGAATATGTTAAACCAAAAATACAGTGATGGCCACCTTGAGAATTGCTTAGTTTTTCAATCAGCCGTCTTAGAATCCATCACAACTGAATCCAACCTAACAAAATTCAAATGTAACATAGCATTTTGTATTTGGTTGAGATTCAAATTGAAGGAAATATAATTTACATCGAAGTCAATTAGAAGCTTTGCAGAAACCAGTCCAAAACATGCTGCTCCATCAAAAGGAGCTGTCACAGTTTACCTGGCAATGTGCCAAAGAGTAATTTAGAATTAGCACAAATGAGTCCTTACTCTCTACTGTGTAAAAAACTTACGAAAGGCTGAGACATAGACATTATATTTAAGTCTCTCAAAGTAAATAACTAAGAATTTTGTGTTGTATTAAGTTGCACACCACAAATGCAAAAAGTTACTTCCAAAGGATCTGTTTTGAATTGTTAATTATGTGGCTCTAGTAGTCACTCCTTTTTAATGTTTATAACGGTAATATATATGGTTATAAGGCTTTCCTGCTGGGTGCAGTGGCTCACACCTGTAATCCCAGCACTTTGGGAGGCCACGGTGGGCAGATCACCTGAAGTCAGGAGTTTGAGACCAGCCTGGCCAACATGGTGAAACCCCATCTCTACCCAAAATACAAAAATTAACCAGGTGTGATGGGGCATGCCTGTAATCCCAGCTACTTGGGAGGCTGAGGCAGGAGAATTGCTTGAACTTGGGAGGAGGAGGTTTCAGTGAGCTGAGATCACGCCATTGCACTCCAGCCTGGGCAACAAGAGCCAAACTCCATCTCAAAAAAAAAAAAGACTTCCCAATATAACATCTATGATACAAATTTCAATACATTCCAGGTGAAATGAACCCTTATAGGTGAAAAACACAGTGACCCTGTTTTGAGGATGTATTTTGAATGCAGAAAGGTGTGTTTGGAAGTGCATGCATACATGTATATGAGTACTGTATTATTAGTCTGTTTTCACACTGCTATAAAGATACTACCCGAGACTGGGTAATTTATAAAGGAAAGTGGTTTAATTGACTCACAGTTCTACCTACCTGGGGAGGCCTCAGGAAACTTATAATTATGGCAGAAGGGGAAGCAGTCATGTCTTACATGGTGGCAGGTGAGAAAGAGAGAGAGAGAGAGAGAGACGCCTAGGGAAACTACCATTGGTAAAGACATCTGATCTCATGAGAACTCCCTCACTATCATGAGAACAGCATGGGGAAAACCTCCCCCATGATCCAACCACCTCCCACCAGATCTCTCCCTCAACACCTGGGGATTGCAATTCAAGATCAGATTTGGGTGGGGACACAGAGCCAAACCATATCAAGGATATTTGGACTGGTGGATAATCACAGCGTGTGAGAGAATGCAGATCTATTAATAAAATATCCACCAGAAAGGAAGAGTTGATCCACTTGCCAGATAATTTTTTTTAAATTTGTAGCTAATATAAGGTTTTCACTGGGTAGCTATTTTCGTACTTAGAGATATTGTTCAATTGCAATATCTAGTTTAGTAGGATAACCAGTTGACCATCATTTTTTAAATTTTTTCCTTGGAGAACAAACCATCACTAAAATTGCTACTCAGTACCAAGACTATAATGGTAAATATCAACTTCAATGTTACACCTGCATTTTGGCAATCTAGAAGTAAAATTTAAAAACCAATAATGAATGTATTTACTAACTTACTGACAAGAAAAATTAAATTGAGAATAGGCATTAAAGGAGGAAGAATATTGATAGACAGAGACTAATCTTTCTATTAAAGTTTTAGTTAATAGGGACAGATGTGTGAAATTTCAGTTTTCAAAACCTGGAGAGTGCAGATAATGGGAACTCATAAGACAGAGTGTATCTCAGTATGTACTTTTGAGAGCATTTGTTCTATGAGATATTCTTCAAAAAGAGGGTGAGTAGATAAGTTTGTGAATCAAACTTGCTGCTCCATGGTACGTTTTATGTTCTTGATATACATTGTATAGTGTAGACTCTAAGAAGGCTTACAGAAAATAATCAATTCAACTTTCTTTTATTAATTTTTCATTAATCAAGTTAGGTTTGATAAAACTAGGGCCATGCAGAACACACTGTTGGAAATTCTGCCATAACAAAATTCTATAACTTTATTACTTTTTATGTCCTGATTTCAGATGCTGAATGACATAAATATTTAATCATTTGTGAGATGGTAAATCAAGGAAAGGAGAAACTAGAGAATCCATCTTGCATGATAAAATGTCATATATTATACATGTCTTTTTTGTATCAATTGATTCAGCCAAATTCTCCTGTATCTCATGAATTTTTAGCAATTTTATTCTTGGAGCTTTTAAAGCACCTTGTATATACATATATTGTAATATGTAGCATATATTAATTTAATATTTTAATGTTAAAAATAAAAATTTTGAAGTACACACACTTATTTTTTAAATTAACACTCATATACTCATTAATCAGGTTGAGAAATACAATTTACCAGAAACTAACGGTATTTAACAAGTTTTCTATCATTCCTCACTGATTGCATTGCCCTCCATTTGCAGATAAATTACTATAATAAATTTAGTTTCACCATTGAATAAAAAATTTGGGGAGATTTACTTCCTGTGTATTCTTGGATAGTATATTACTTGTAGTTATAGCATTATTGAGGTCTAATTCATGTATTACTAATTTTATCTCTTTCAAGTATACATATAAATCAGTTTTTGTAGATTTGTAGTTATATATTCATCAACCAATCCAGTTTTATAACAGTTCCATCACTCCTCAAAGCTTCTCTCTTGATGATTTGATATAAATTCCTGTATCTATTAATACCTTCAGTCCCAAGGAACCACTAATCTGCTTCTGTCTCTGTAGGCTTTTTTCCTATAAATTTTATATATAGGGAGTAATACAATATGTGTGCTCTTTTGTGTGTGGCTTCTTCCTTATGCCACATTTTTGGTGTTCATACATGTTTAGGCATGATTCAATGGTTCATTCTTTTTTGCTGCTGGGTTCATATGGATATGATGTTTCTCCATATTTTTCTCCATTTACTGGTCGATAGATGCATATCTTTAGTTTTTGAGTAACATGACTAATTCTGTAAGCATTCATGTTCAAGCCTTTGTGTGACTTTTGTATGTTTCCATTTCTCTTGGTTAGATACCTAAAGGTTAAATTGCTGGGTAGTGATGGTAAGTGTTCTGGAACAATTGGATGTCCACATGCAAAAAAATGAATCTGGACATACAGCTTATATTTTAAACAGACATTAACTCAAAAAGGATTATATACCTAAATGTAATATGCAACAAAAAATCTTCTAAAAAGATAACATAAAAAAATCTAGGTGCCCTTGGGTTCGGTGATGAGTTTTTAGATACAACACTAAAAGTAGGGTCCATAAAAAAACATGAAATTTGGACTTCACTAAGATTAAAGAGTTCTGCTGTGCAAATACATTGTTAGAAGTGGAAAGACAAGCTACAGACCTCAAGAAAATATTTACAAAATTCATATCAGAAAAAAAGACTGTTTTTGAATTATTAAAACACAATAATAAAATTAAAAAATGGGCAAAAGATCTAAATAGACTTCATTAAAGAAGATATAAAGATGGCAAATAGGCATATGAAAACATGCTCAGCATAAGATGTCTTGATGAACTACAAATTAAACAACAACAACAACAACAACAATGAAGTTCCATTACTCACCTATTAGAATGGCTAAGATACAAAACCCTGACAATACCAAATGATAGCATGGATGTGGAGCAGTGGGAACTCTCATTCACTGCTGGTGGGAAGGTAAAGCAGTACAGTCACTTTGAAAGACAGTCTGGCAGTTTATTACAAAATTAAGCATCATCTTATCATATTATCCAGCAATCGTGCTACTAGGTATTTAACCAGATGTGTTGAAAACATATCTACATGAAAATCCCCACATGAAGGTTTATAGCAGCTTTAGTCATAATTGCCAAAAACTGGAAGCAACCAAAATATCCTCAACAGGTGAATAGGTAAACTGTGGTATATACACATAATGGAATAATATTCAGCCATCAAAAGAGGTTAACACTCAAGTCATGGAAAGACATGTGGGAATCTTAAATGCCTGATACTAAGTGAAAGAAGCCAGTTTGAAAAAGCTACACTTTCTATGATTCAAATTATGACATTATGGAAAAGGCAAAACTATAAAGATAGTAAAAAGATCAATGGTTGCCCAGTGATTTAGAGGGAGGGAAAGACAGATGAAAACATGGAGCAGAAGAACGGGATTTTCAGGGACGCAAACTCTTCTGTATGATACTGTAATATTGGATGCATGATATTACATATAATTGTACAACACAAAAATGGACCCTAATGTAATGTCTGGACTTTAGCTAATAGTAATGTATCAATGTTGCTTCATCAATTGTAACATACATATCACCAATGCAAGATGTTAGAAAATAGAAAAAATTGTGAGCAGGTGGTGGGGAGGGGTATGCAGAAATTATGTACTATCTGCTCAATTTTTCAGCAAAAAAACTGTCCAGAAAATAAACTGTTGGTTTTTTGAACAAAGGTATGCACTAAATCCAACAGAATTTAGGAGCGTATACATCTGGCATGAATGAAAAATGGTATATTTTAATTAAAATTAGGGCAGTCACCATATATGTGAGACTGAGATATCAAATAATTAAAATAAATAAAAACAAGTAGACTTCAAATTTCTACTTACATAGTTTGAACATTTGGACTACTGTCAAAAATTCTAAAAGTATTATTCTAAACCACTTCAGTGTGCTTTATAAGTAAATTCTAGAAAAAATAGAATTCCTATTTATAAAGTCCTAGTTAATTAAATGTTGCATAAGTGATTGTTAAGAGTTCTTGGCAGATAGCAGATAAAAGTTTTGGGCACTGAAAATGTTTATAAATGTATGTTCACTATCTCACTTTAGTTTGTGCTAGGGAATTGAACTCTAAATATATTTGAAAATATATAAAGAAATATTTGCCCAAGTAATTTATTAAAGTTGTAAATAAACGTTTGCAACTATTTTCAGCAGGGCGTTGTACTAGGCGCTGAGGTTGTGGAGATTCTGTTTATAAACAGTTTGCAATCCTGAGATAATTCTGGGAATAAGGTAACATGTATGACCTGGCAGAAGATGAATCCACTAGGGATGTCTTACAGAATTCACTTTCTTCAAGTATTGGTCCAAATGGCACATTCTCAGTGGAGTGTACCCTGACTCACCCTTTAAAATTGTGAATTCTTCCCCTCACAGCACACCCTTACCCTGCTCTAAGATCTCCTGTAGCATTCTCAGCTACTGAAGTATTATACAGTGTATTGATTTTCTTAATTTTATTTTCTGTCTCCCCCTGGTTTCTTTTCAGACATGCTAGAATGCCACCTTCATATGGGTAGAATTTTTTTTCTCCTGTGTTCTATTCGTTGGTTTGCATATTTTAAGTACTTTATTCATATTTTTTGGGTTAACAAACAAGGAAAGGGATCTTGGAGTACGCATGAAATGCTTGGGAAAACAATCTTAAAAGAACAAAATCTTTGTGTCAGAGAGAAGAGAGAGAAGTAACCATAGGCAAGGTTGTATTGTAGAATGTCTTGAATAAAGCAGTTGTTTCTTCTAGCACTTAGTTTAGTATGGTCTTTCTATGAACTTGATGAGTTACCATTGATAGAGCATGATATAGGCATTCTCTGAACAATTACAGCAGCAGGATTGAATATAGAATATCAGAAGAACCATTAGAATAAAAAAATTTGAACCGTGGAAAGAAAATGACAAGTTTGAAACACACACACACACACAAAACAACAACAACCGCAACAACAAAACAGAGAAAGAACATCTGGATCTGGATTTGTAGTTCCTCTGTATTTTTCTTCTTTTTGAAATTGCCAGCCATATAGTACCTTTTTAAAGTCCATCTTTTCTGCAAATTTCTATGCAGAAAGACCAACGCAGCTTTTGTGGCACACTGGATTTTGAGCCCACAAAACGCTGGAGTAAATCATGAGAAAGAAGCACAAGTAGCCCCAGGTAAAGACGTTATCACTCCCTATTTACAGTCACTTGTTCAGTGAGTCTAGGCTTCAAGAACCTGTGTAATTTTTTCCAGAACATTGACTTCCATACTGTATTTATTCAAAAGTTAAAAACATAAAACACTTGGTTAATATGCAAATGTTTTGCTGTGTGGCAATGGAAATAAGCATTCCTGCCAAGCACTTATGGAAAAACTGTGAAGGACAGCCACTGTGGCTATGATAGCACTAGAAGTTTGAGAACTGAGCTGGTCCAGTGTACTTGAGTGTCTCAGACAGGCTGTCCTGAAATCTAGCACTGCTAAATCCTATACCAGCCAATCTGTTCCCTCAATCAGCAAGGTCACCATGAAAATGATTTTTGAAAAAAAAAGAAAAAGAAAAATTGACCTTCTCGTTTTCATCTGGCTGAATGATGTTCACCCTTGTGAACATGACTATGACCCTGTGTCATGGTTAAGGATAATTAGCCAATCCAGTAGGTGAAACTATGGCCCACTAGGCTGGGCACCTTACCTTGGGAACACTGTTGTCTTCATTTCTGGACTTCGTAACAAACGGAGCATGGTCATTGTTTAGACCTGGAGTAACCGCTACTGTAATACACACTTTTAAAATAATACAACCAAAAATTTACATTTTCACATGTCCTTCACACTGATGACACACAGTTTATCTCCTTTACAATATTCCTTTCAGTACATTAAAAAATTAAATATAAATTAATTAATTAACATATGAACTCCAGCAACAGCAAGATACAAATTTGTGTGAGCTTAAACATTTTAAAAGAAGTTTTTATAAATCAGGCCTATCAAAAGGGCTCATGTTTCCTTTGGGGAAAAATATCCCTTCCTTCTCTAGTTCATACTATCCTCCTTCCCACAATCTAGCTTCACAGTAACTTATTTTAGAAATATGATCTCCTCTCAGTATTTGTGGAGTGTTTGTTCGAGGACCTCCCTCATGGCCCAACACAATTCACAGATGTTCACATCCCTGATATGCCATGTTACATTAATGTTGTATATAAATGTTATATTAATAATGTTATATTATATAAAAATATAATTAATGTATTAATATAACATCTATTAATACCTACATCATACACACATTCTCACACATACTTTATGTCATCTCTGGATTACTTATAACACCTAATACATTGTAAATGCTTTATAAATAGTTGTTATAATATTTTGTTTAGGGAATAATGATAAGAAAAAAGTCTGTACATGGTTCATCACAGACACAAACATTCTTTTTTTTCCAAATATTTTCTATCGGTGGTTAGATGAAATCATGGATGCAGAACCCATGGATACAGAGAGCCAACTGTATATATGAGAAAGACTAGATTTATTTTCCTTTCCGAGTCAAAACAGAATACTTGTAAGTATTATAAATGTGAAAAAAAATCCTGAATCTTCTTTTTAATGTTTCTGAGACACTTTGAATATAGAATGAAGTAGAAAGAACACTAAATTAGGAGATAAAATATTATAACTAGAATTCTAGTTCTTACTTTATAACCTTGCACAAATCACAGAATCTCAAGAGCATTAATTCTTTCATTAGAAAAATGAAAGCAACCATAAAAATCCCATTGATCTACCTATGTCACACTGAGTTGTTGGGACCAAAAGATAATGAATTTGTAAATGAACACGTGCACATCAGGCCTTGTGACAGTGGAAGACATCTATTAGCCACAAATCAGCATACAGGGAAGTGAACTGTAATATGTCTTAGGAAAGGCCTGCCATTATTTCAGGTATCTCAGCAGAGTCAAATGCATGAATAGCTGTGCCTGGGGCTCACTAAAGCGTTTGATTTTCTCTTTTTAAATTTTACTAAAGGCAGAAGTGCATAAATTCTGCCATTTAACATTATTTCAGGTTTACTGTCAAATACATATTATTTAGAATAATATTTAAGCCTTCTTTTTAAAACCATTTTTAAATATGAACACTACAAAAGCTTTTCTATAAGATTTTAAAAACAATTTGATGACTGTCAATATAGTTCAGCTAATGACTCTCAGATACTTTAAAATCTTCTGTACATTATTAATTTCAAATTTGTAGTTTTCCACTAATGCCATCCACTGTATATGCAAAATGGACCAATAGACATAATGCCCAATGACAGTATTTCTCAGGATACTGGCAAATATGTGAGCTGGCTTACAGATCTTTGACATTTTCATAAGTCCAGTCTATTTTATAATATTATATAGCTATTTCCCACGTATCTCATCCTCTAATTTAAGCACATGAAGTAGGCTATGCTATTTATACATGTTTACTTTAGTCCATTTGGGGGATACAATTATTTTTTCTCAAGATTATTGTAATAGAATTTTTTTCTTCTCTGCTCTATCCCAAACATAACTTCATCTATCTCTTTGTGAGAGTAATTTTATTTTCTTTTTATTTGTTTTTAAAATTGAGAAACAAAATTACATATATTTACTATGTACAGCAGGATGTTTTGAAATACAAATACATTGAGGAATGACAAAATCTAGCTAATTCACATATGCATTGCTTCACATATTTTTGTGATGAGAACACTTCACATCTACTCTCTTCTCATTTTTCACAAGCACACTAAATTATTAACTGTGGTCACTATGTTGCACATTAGATTACTTGAACTTATTTCTCCTAACTGAAGTTTTGACCAGCATCTCCCAAACCCCACTCCCCAACCACCCCAGCCCCTAGTAACCACCGCTGCTCTCCACCTCTGTGATCAGGTCACATTTGCCTTTCTGTGTCTGGCTTCTTTCACTTATCATACTATCCTCCAGGTTCATCTATATTGCTGCACATAACAGGATCTCCTTCTTTTTATGGCTGAATGGTATTTCATTGCATATATGTACCACATTATCTTTATCCATTCATCTTTTGATGGACACAGGATGATTCCATGTCTTGTCTATTGTGAATGGTGCTGCAATAAACCTGGGGGTGAAGGTTATCTCTTTGGTATACTAACTTCATTCCCTTTGGATATGTACCCAGTAATGGTGTTGCAGGACTTTTCCTTAGTTCAGCTAAAGATGGGGTTCTTTGTCCCACAGCCATGAAAATTAAGGCTCACAGACAATTTGAATGGTGAGTAAGACAGAGTCTTACTGGGTGAAAACGAAGAAAAGGGGGAAACAGGGTCTCTCGCTAGGCCAGAGTCCCTCCCACCTACTGCTTGAATCTCAGGTTCCACACAGGAAGAGGAGAGGCCAGGCTCCTCCCCACTGCAAATGGCACAAACTTCCCGAGGCTCCACAAAGTGGGCAGGCTGGTTGGGGGTCTTCTGGGGAACCTCTCCCACCTTGCTGTCTCAGTGGGATTGCTGGATCATATGGTAGTGCTCTTTTTAATTTTTTAGCAAATGCCTCACTGTTTTCTATGATGGCTGTACCAATTTACTTCCCTGTCAACAGTGTGTGAGGGTTTTCTTTGCTCCACACCCTTGCCAACACTTGTTACCTTTGAAAATAGCCATTCTAACAGATATGAGGTGATATCCTATTGTAGTTTCAATTTGCATTTCCTTGATAATTAGTGATGTTGAACATTTTTTCTTTTACCTGCTGGCCGTGTGTGTGTGTGTGTGTGTGTGTGTGTGTGTGTGTGTGTGTGTGTGTTTGAGGTCTTTTTTCCATTTTTAATCAGGTTGTTTGTTTTCTTGCTGTTGAGTGGTTTGAGTTCCTTATATATTTTGGATATGAATCCCTTATCAGATGTACAGTTTGCAGATATTTTCTCCTATCCTCTAGGTTGTCTCATCACTCTGTCGATTGTTTCCTTTGTTGGGTAGAAGCTTTTAAGGTTGATGTGATCCCATTTGTTTATTTTTGCTTTATTACCTGTGCTTTTGGGGAGATATCCAAAACATCATTATCCAGACCAATGTTATGAAGCTTTTATTCTAGGTTTTCTTGTAGTAGTTTTACAGTTTCAGGTTTTATGTTTAAGTCTTAAATCTATTTTGAATTGATTTTTGTACTTGGTATGAGATAAGGGCCCAGTTTCATTCTTCTGCATGTGGATATCCAGTTTTTTCAATTCCATTTATTGAAGAGACTGTCATTTCTCCCTTATGAGTTCTTGACACCTTTGTCAAAAATCAGTTAGCGGTAAATTTCTGGATTTACTTCTGGGCTCTCTGTTCTACTCCAGAGTAATTTTTAATAGTAAAACATTTTATTCCCTGCTTGCTCATTAGCAATAGATTGTCATTTGGTTTGTCTTCAGTGAAGACATGTGAATTACTGCATTATAAAATTCCAGAAAAATACTAATCTCCTCAATTGTTTGTATCAAAAGTTTACTGCATCACTTTCATTTTTAGAGTGTCTGAAACTTATTCACAAAGTCCCTCAGTAACTAACCCCATAATTGATTTGTCTGTTTTCTCCAAGTGGAACACATATACATAATATTTTGCCCCAAGATGCATATTATGATGAAATTTGAAGTATTATTTGAAGTGTTACTTTGATTCTCCCTAGAAAATGTTAATGTACAAACCCAATTTAAACGTGAAATGCCCCTTTCAATCATAAATACTCCAGTGATATATAATCATAAATTGCAATGACCGGACTTAAGACTTCATTTCAATTAGCCATTGAAGCTTACTAGGTTCTTGGGTAAGTTCTCTATAGTTCCTTGGGTGACAGAATACTTTAAAGTGCCTTATGGAAATATTCTTTCTATTTCTTCAAATGTATACCAAATGATAGCTCCTCTTACTGATTCTTCAATTCTCAGGGCTAAGGCAAACTCTTTTTCTGTATTCCTCCCAGCTCCACTCTTCATGAGGCAAACTCGTACTTAGAACACTATAGGAGGGCTTTGCAGACACTCCTCTGTTACACTAGAAATAGGAAAAGAAAGTATATCCAAGGAAGGTAATATTTAGGGCTATCGTGTCACTATGAACAGTGCCCCAGAGCAAACAGGATACAAACCTCTTTCTTCATGTGACATTAGACAATGCTAATTGTTTCCCTGGAGAAGAGTCAAATCCGGGAGTTCAAGTCTGCAGAAGGGCTATGTTTGTTTTACACAGTAGCCTGCTTTTGTATTAAACCACTATGGAGAAAAGTTTGGAGGTTCTTCAAAAAACTAAAAATTGAGCTACTATATTATTCAGCAGTCCCACTGCTGGGTATATACTCAAAAGAAAGGAAATCAGTAATATCAAAGAGATATCAACACTCCTATATTTGTTGCAGCACTGTTTACAATAGTTAAGATTTGGGAGTAACCTAAGCGACCATCAACAGATGAATGGATACAGAGAATGTCATACATATACACAGTGGAGTACTATCCAGCCCTAAGAAACAATGAGATCCAATGATTTGCCACAAAGAACTGGAGATCATTAAGTGAAATAAGCCAGGCACAGAAATACAAACCTTGCATTTCTC
The DNA here is from genome assembly GCF_000001405.40 of Homo sapiens. NCBI lineage: Eukaryota > Metazoa > Chordata > Mammalia > Primates > Hominidae > Homo > Homo sapiens. Next base: position 153,577,237 of record NC_000006.12, on the reverse strand, counting down.
ACTTATTTGTGGCATCATGTCGATTTGTTTGGGAGATAACCTGAAAGCAAAGTCCTGCCAACTTGCCATCTGTATTCAATCTTACGTTCTCTAGAATATTTTCGTACTACAGGAGTGCATTGTCTTCTAGGAAATTAGATTTCAAATGATGTTTTAAGAAGTATACACATTTTCTGGTATTCAAATAGGGTTTTAGTTTTTTTTTTGGTTCATATTTTATAGGACTGTATGTTTGAAAATTACCCCAAAATACATGTGTAAAGAATATAAGCATATCTTAAATTACCCACAAGTTGTCAACTTAGGCATGAGAAAAAATTCAGTAAAATAGGAAATTTAAGTTGGGAGAGAAGACATGTTAATGAATTAGGTAAAGTATAGAACATTTTATTTGGGCAAAATGTAAACTTTACTAAACCTTACGGTCAAAGACTTGCAGTAAAAATAAAATTAAAGCTAGCATCAAAATTTATAGCTGATTCAGAAGAGGAAATTAAAATTAATTGAATATTTTAAACTAAAAAAGTACAGGGAGTTGTGAACATGCATCAGAGTATCAAATCATTTTTACTCTAGGGATGTCTTGTTTTCATTCTGTCACCAATTTTTGTGACCTTAGTTTTTGGCTGATTTCCCTGTTTGACTTAATGACGAAGATGTTTTCAAAGCTGAATGATTCACAGTGTAATGTGGCACCTTTGTTATTTGTGTCAGGAACTGGCTTTAAACTTTTTTTTTTTTTTTTTTGAGACGGAGTCTCACTCTTTCGCCCAAGCTGGACTGCAGTGGCGCTATCCCGGCTCACTGCAAGCTCCGCCTCTTGGGTTCATGCCATTCTCCTGCCTCAGCCTCCCGAGTAGCTGGGATTACAGGCGCCCGCCATCACGCCCGGCTAATTTTTTGTATTTTTAGTAGAGACGGGGTTTCACCGTGTTAGCCAGGATGGTCTCGATCTCCTGACCTCGTGATCCGCCCGCCTCGGCCTCCCAAAGTGCTGGGATTACAGGCGTGAGCCACCGCGCCCGGCCGGCTTTAAACTTCTTGAGCTTTTTAACAGTAAACATTGTCAAAACAGTCTCTTGATAATTTATTGCCTTAAGTTATGCATTTAGCCATTAGCAGACAAGAGATAAACAATTGTATGCCCTTGGCAGAAACCAGGTAAGTTCAGAGAACTCTTTAACAAAAAAATAAGAGAGGTAGGAGAAAAAAAATAAGATCAAATATGTGTCTAACAGATTTAAGAGGAGATGTGAAATATGAATTGGCTACAAATTTTCCAGAATTGGTAATATACATGAATTTTCATATGCAGGAAACAAAATGAATCTTAAGCACTATAAATAAATACAAACCCACTCATGGGTTACATCATAATGAGAAGGAGTAAAACTTAAAGCCAGAAATAAAACACAAATTAACTGTGAAGTAAAGATAACAAGACCGCGGTGAATATGTTAAAAGTAACATTGAAAGCCAAAATATAAGGGAATATAGGAATGTAAAAAGTGGTTCAGACACTGTAGACAAGACTACACCAGTTTCTAGAAAAAGTAAACATGCACTTACCATTATGGTCAAGTAAGGCACTCTTGGGTATTTATCCCAGAGAAATGACAAGCTATGTCGACACAAATTCCTGTACACAAATAGTCATAGCAACTTTATAAAAACACAAAACTAGAAACAAACAAAATGTCCTTCATAGGGTGAATGGTTGAACTAACTGTGGAACATCCACACCGTAGAATACTACTCAACAATGAAAAAGAACAAACTACTGATACATACACAGCAGCTTGGATGGATCTGAAGCACAATATGTTGAGTAAAAAAAGTCAGTCTCGAAAGGTGATGCCCTCTGATTCTGTTTATATAACATTTTTTGAAATAACAAAATTATAAAGATTGAGAGACAATAATAGAAAATAGTAGTTGCTGGGGGGTTGAGGTGGATGTCTGTGGTTGTTAAATCATGTCTATCATGAGGGGTTCTCAGAACGGAACTCTTCTATATTTTGACTGTGTTGATTGACAGAAACTACTAGTATGTTAAACTTGCATAAAAGGAATACACTCACAGACACGTGAGTGAATGCAAAATACCTGAAATCAAAGATTCATAGACTGTATCAATGTCAATTTCCTGTTGTGATATTTCACTATAATTATGTAAAATGTAATAGGGGAAACCAGCTGGAAGATATAAGGGATTACTCTGTATTATTTTTTACAACAGCATGTAAATTTCAAAACAAGTTCTTAAAAAAAATTTACTGTAAGAAATAAAAACTAAAAAAGAGATTAAAAAGGAGGGGATTGATGGTCAAAAATTCAAAGAGAATTATCAGTTGCCATATTTCATTCCAAATTGCAGTTGGTTTGTAGAGTACAGAATCCTTAAGGGCTGAGAGAAAATAAATATTAACTTAAAATGTTATATCCAGCTCAATTTTCATTTTTAAAAAAGCAAGTAAATACTTTTAAAAAGACAAATAAAAGTGAGGGTGTTTTTGACATACCTCACTGTTATAGACTGAATAATGCTCTGCCCTCCAAATGTATGTACTGAAGCCCTGACCCTTGATGTATTTGGAGACATGACCCTTAAAGAGATAATAAAGATTAAATGAAATCATAAAGGATGGGGGCCTAATTGGATAGGACTGGCGTCCTTACAAAAAGAAGAAGAGACACCCGAGCTTTCTCTCTCCTCTGTGCAGAGAAGAGGCTATGTGAGAACACAGTAAGGAGGTAGCTGTCTACAAGCCAGGAAGAGAAGACTTGCCAGCAGCCAACTCTTAGGGCACATTAATCTTGAACTTCTGGCCTCCAGGATTATTAAGAAAAATTTTCTGTTGTTTAAGCCACTCAGGCTGTGGCATTCTGTTCTGGAAGCCTGAGCTGACTAAAGCAGAATCATGCACTCACTAAAGAAACTTCTGAAAAATGCACATAAGGAAGAAGAACTGAAATCAGGAATAAAATGATGAGTAAAGTTACAGTGATGCATATCAGGGAAGATCAAAATAAGTAATGACTGCACAAAACAATATTAAATATAAGGATTGGATTGAGAGAATATATGCAACTGTAATAGAATTATTGAGCAACAATAATATGCACATTTGAAAACGGTGATAAAGAATACAAAAGATCTATTATTTGGAAAGAAGTAGAGATATGACTCTTTTGTCTTTAACTTAAGAAAGCACATAAGGCCCCGCGTGGTGGCTAACGCCTGTAATCCCAGCACTTTGGGAGGCCGAGGCGGGTGGATCATGAGGTCAGGAGATAGAGACCATCCTGGCTAACACGGTGAAACCCCATCTCTACTAAAAAAATAAAAAAAAATTAGCCGGGCATGGTGGCGGGCGCCTGTAGTCCCACCTACTCGGGAGGCTGAGGCTGAGGCAGGAGAATGACATGAACCCGGGAGGCTGAGCTTGCAGTGAGCCAAGATCGCACCACTGCACTCCAGCAAAGGCAAAAGAGCGAGACTCCGTCTCAAAAAAAAAAAAAAAGCACACAAATACAAAAACCTACCAGTAGTGTCTACTGTATAAAAGAGTGAAACTGAAAGATTTTATTTAAACATAGGTAAATAATTCAAAAGAAATCAGAAAGGGTTATTTAGGTTTAGAAGTTCTTATATAGTTTAGATACAAAATCTTTGTGAGGTAGATATATCAAAAAAGATTTTGGTATGTGTGTGTAATACACACGTAATATTCTCCCAGTATATGGCTTGCCTTTTCAAATTCCTATTGGCGATTTTGAAAGCATGGGCATTTTTGTGTTGAAGTGTAATTTATCCCATTATTTTTCTTTATGATTAGTGATTTTTTTAATCTTAAGAAATCTTTGCCTCAGCAAACTTGCAAAAATACTCTGTTGTGTTTTATTTTAGAATAGTTGGTAAGTGTTTATTAGGCTTATTCAGCTTTTTGTCCTATAAAGGAGATAGAGAAAAGAATCTGGACCAATTCAGCAGTGTCTTCTGTTTTCTTTTCCTTGAAGAGGGGAAAGGGAGGGAGTCGTGGAGCTGTCACCAGTTACCCCTTCTCCCGGTGGGAGCCTGCTGGTAGGGTTCTGAAGGAATAGACTTTGATTAGGTGTAGGTTAGAATTTTTCATTCTCCCATTTTTGTTTCACTTTTCCTCATATTCTCCATTTGCTTGCAATGTGGATAATTCTTAAGGTCTGACAGCCTATTTAATACTGCTGTTTGAATTTATGTCTAATATGCTATTGCAATTTTTTAAAAAGTTACATATATATCACCATATGACACAGTGATCTCAGTATTTCCCCCAAGTAAAAAATACGCTCAAAATTCTACATGCAAAAATTTAGAGCAACTTTCTTCATAATCACCAAAAATTTGAAAAAACCTGTATATCCTTTAACCAGTGAATGGAGAAACAAATTGTAGTACTTTTGCACAACGGAATTCTACTCACCAGTGAAAAGGAATAAGACATTGATTCACACAAAGACATAAAAGAATCTTAAATGCAGTTTGCTAAGCAAAGGAAGCCAGGCTTAATTGGCTACCTAGCAGGATTCTAAATACATGATATTCTGAAAAACGCAAGACTGCAGAGAGGGAAACCTATTAGTGGTTGCCAGGAGTTGGGAAATAGAGGAAGGGACGATATTTTCTGTGAAAGAGATGCATAATAACAGTTTCATGAAGCTGTTTTATGTGGTAATGAAGTGATGAATACAGTTCTTATACATTTGCCAAAATCCGTAGACTTTTCTACTACAAAGCATGAATTTTATTGTATGCAAACTTTAAAAATTAATTAGCATGTCAAGGGATCCCAGAATAGAATATAGACTGTGATAAATGGATCTAACCATATTACAAATACATGATATATACACTGATAGGATTGGAAAAAGATGAGTTGATTTTTGTAACTTCAGAAAACGATGTTTTGACTGGACACTGAAAGGCTAAAGAAAAAACTATACATAAACAATGTACTCTAGTTGGTAAATTTGTTTCTCACAGCAGTATGGGGTTATCAATTCTCGGAGTACTTTCCATGAATACTAAGTTTGAGCCAATAAATAAATCAATCGTAGATAATGGGAGCTAAGTTTCTCATGTCAGAGAAAGACGTTATAAATATGCAAAGAGTGATGGCTAGAGCAGAACTTACTGTGCTGTATTAGAGATGGAGACACGAACATACATCTTTTTAATGTTTTACAGATACATGCAGGAATAAATACAGACAGGTATATATAAATGGGTTAGGATACACACATTGATTTTCACATCAAGGAAGCAGTGACATATTAGCAGCAATAAGCATACCCAGCCCCCCAGATCTTGGTGTCAAATTCTCATTCTGGAATTAAAGGAAACAGGGCTCCCTAGAGAAATGGCTCTGTTTGGGGGTGGGTTAGAGAAAAGATATAATGAGCCTAAAAATAAAGTGCGTCAGAAAGTAAGAAGTCTAAAAAAAGAAGAGTTTGTATCGAAAGGATACAGGAATCTCACCTGAAAGTGCTCCCAATTGCCAAAGCTGGGACAATTTAAACACATCGCAAATAAATAATGTAAATATAAACAATGATAATGTTTGATTTTAAACCAAAGAGCAAAATAAATATCTGAGCCCATACTGATAATAAATAAAGCACATATGCATACATGGAAGAGAAAGGACAACTTTTTTTGCAAAATAATTCCAAGTAACAAATGTAGAAATAGTGATGGAAATAGAAAATCACCAGTAGAACACCACAGTAATAGGTGCTACAGTCAATATCTGCTGGTGAATGCAAAATTAATTGGCAACTCAAGGGAAATAGGATATTTGCATAGCTTCAAAGTATCTCTTCATAAATAAGTACTTATTACTACTATAGTCTTAATATATGCCAGTGCATTCTTTGATACTTCACTCACCAAGTGTTGGAGTTTAATACCCCTACTATCATAAGTGTAGTTTGGACTTAGTAACTTGCTTCTAACACAGAGTTTAGAAAGGAAAAAATAATTTTGCAAAGGAGAAATTTGGCAGACATGACCTTAACCAAGTGATCAAGGATAACATAATAAATTTTAAGTCATGCTGACATCATGTACCCCCTGATATGTTGTGAAAAGAAGGGGATGTCACCTTTAAGATATTCCTCACCAAAGCTTGTATCTTCAGTTTAATCACACACAGTAAAGGTCAGCAAAGTCAGGTTGAGGAACGTGACACAAAATATTTGAACAGTACTCTTCAAAAGTGTCAGCAATACAACAGAGAAAGAAAGACTGAGAAACTATCAGAGATTGAGAAAGGAGACTAAGGAGACAGGACAACTAAATGCAGTCAGTATGGCATCCTGGACTGGATTCTGCAACAGAGATAGAACATTAGTGAAAAAACTGGGGAAATCCAAAGAAAGTCTCTAGTTAATGAATATATTTTCTCAATCACCACTTTCATTTGGCAGGTGCTAACCAGTTCAGTACAGCAAGTAAAATATATAAAAGGCAGGCCAGGTACAGTGGCTCACGCCTGTAATCCCAGCACTTTGGGAGGCCAAGGTGGGTGGACCATGAGGTCAGGAGTTTGAGACCAGCCTGACCAACATGGTGAAACCCTGTCTCTACGAAAAATACAAAAATTAGCCAGGCATAGTGGTGCACACCTGTAATCCCAGCTTCTGGGGCTGAGGCAAGAGACTCACTTGAACCCAGGAGGCCCGGGTTGTGGTGAGCCAAGAGCGTCCCACTACACTCCAGACTGGGTGACAGAGTGAGACTCCATCTCAAAAAAAAAAAAAAAAAAAAGGTAAAGGAATTAGAAAGGTAAAAGCAGCCAACTCTTGCCCCAAATATTATTATTGACATAGATAATACAAAATAATTTAACAATACATTTTAAGAGTTAAAACAAAAGCATAGCAGTGTTGCTAGTTACTAAATCAATATATTAAAATAACTATATTTCTATAATATATCCAATAACAAAACATTTAAAAAATTAATATTAAATAAATTTACAACAGCAACAAAAACATCAAGCACCTAGAAATAAACATAACAGAATAGATGCAGTATTTCTACAAAGGGAATAAAACTGTACTGAGAAATAATAATGTAGAACTTACAACATGTTCATAGAGTTTTTTGCTCATTTATTTGACAAATATTTATTTATTGAGTACATACTATCTACTAGCCAGTCCCTGTCAAACTAGCAAATTTTGTATGCATGAATATATACGTGTGTGTGTGTGTGTGTGTGTGTGTGTGTGTGTGTGTGTTTGACAAGTTTCTTCTGAAATATATGGAGAAATGCAATAAATCTAGGATAGGGAAGACTCACCTGAAAAAGAACAATACCATACAAGAACTTGCACTATTGGTTAGTCAGATTTGTTATAAATCTATAATTATTAATACATTCTGGTAATAGTGCAAGGTTAGATAAAAGACCAATGGCATAGAACATTGTGATGTGACCAACTGGCTTTATGACAAAAATGGCATTGCACTACAATGGGGGAAATGATAGTCTTTTGCATTAATGATTCTGGGCTGCTTTAATATCAATATAAGAAAGAGTAAAATTTAATACCTTTCCCAACAATATGGGCTAAATACAGATTTGTTTAGGTTGAATCTTATGCAATTATGGAGATTTCTTAAAATACAATAAAAACAAAACAAAATTACCAATACAAGAGTAAGATAAAACTAGATGATTTTCATAATGTTTAAAATGAAAAAAAAAATACTGAAATCTGACAAATACAGACATCACAAATCCTAAAAACTAACAACTTACTTTACTCATTAACTGACTAAATTTTGATATACTTTATTTTTCCACATGGCTGCATAGTCTTTATATAACAATAATTTTGGTATCTTCTTCCATAGAGAGTATAAAAAGGCAATTCAGTCCTACTATCATTGATGAAATTTGCTTTTTTGTTTCTTGATGGCTGGGATGCATACAATATACAACTTTATAAACCTACCTTAAACACAAAAAAGGGCAAGAATATGTTTGTGATAAAAGTCAAGATAATGCTGAACTTTGAACAGTTAGGGGCAGACTGGGGATATGGTGCTGATAGAATTCTATCAATGATCTATGTGGTGGTTACCATAGACATTTGTTTATAGTAAAATATTTAGCTGTACATTTACATTGTATTCGCTTTTTTTAGAAGTGAGTTATTGTTCATAACAAAAAGATTTAAACACTCAAGGGAATTGTTAAATAGTACATTAGCAACAAATGAAACTAGAATTATTAAATGCACCGTCAGACCTTAAGGATTGTCCAAATTGCAAACAGATGGAGAATATGAGGGAAAGTGAAACAATTTGTAGGGCAGAATGAAATATTCTAACAAATAGCCAATCAAAACCTCAGCAAAAGGAATAAAGAGAGTTCAGAAAGAGAGCATGCAAAGGGAAAATAGTTAAGAATTTAAGAAATTTGATCTAGGAAGCCTAAATTTAAGAAAATGTCTCATTTTGCATTCCTACCAGCCATGAGTCAGATTTCCTGTTGCTTTGCATTCCCACCAGCTTTTGGCATGACTACTTATTTATGTGTTTATGTTTTCACCATGTAAATAGGTGTATAGTGATGTGAATTTACACTTTCTTAATGATTAATGATTTTGACTATATTTTATATGCTTATTTGCCATTCATACATCTTCTTTGAAAAGCTGATTTTTTTAGATCTTTAGCCCATTTTTTAAATTGAGTGGATTATTATTTATTAAAGAGTTTTTTAAATTCTTGATGTATTTTGCATACAAGTCCGTTATTAGATATATGTTGTGAAAATACTTTGACTTGTCTTTTTTAACAGTATCTTTTGCAGCAACTTTAACTTTTATAAATTGTAATTTAATTTTTTTAATGTATCACAGTGTGTGTCATCTAAAAATGTATCTCCAAACCCAAGATCAAACAGACATTCTCCAGTTTTAATTCTAAAAGGTTTATCATTTTATCTTTGGATTAATGTTAAATTAAGTTGAGTTAATTTTAGTGTAAAGTCTGAGAGATGTGTCAAGATTTCTTTTTTCTTTTATAGGAAATTTAATTATTCTAATTATTCACTGAATTGCCTCTACAACACTGTCAAAATCAGTTGGCTGTATTTGTAAGGATCTGTTTCCTGACTCTCTATTTTATTATGTTAACGTGTGTGTCTACCATGCTCACTTGATTTCTGTGGCTTTATAGTCAATCTTAACATTAGGTAGCATGAGCCCTCCAATTTTGCTCTATTTTCAGAATTGTTTTGGCTATTCTAGTTCCTTTGATTTTCCCTACAAATGTTACAGTTAGTTTGTTGATATCAACAAAATAACTTGTAATCATTTTTATTGATATTTTGTTGAAATTATAGAACAAAATGTGGAGAATTAGCATTTTAATAATATTGAGTCTTCCAATCCATGAAAATGCTATATCTCTCCATTATTTAGATTTTCTTAGATTTGTTCCATCAATATTTTGTAGTTTTTAGCATACAGATCCTGTACATGTTTTATCTGATGTATATTTAATATTTGTACTGCTACAAATAATATTGCACATGTTAATTTCAATTTCACATCTTATTGTTGGTATACAGGAATACAATTGATTTCTTTTTGCATTTTTTTTGTGTCCTGCAACCTTGCTGAAATAACTTATTGCATTTAATAGATTTTACTTTTGGTAGATTATTTGAGATTTTCTATGTAAACAATCATGTCTTGAGCAAATAATGACAGTTTTACTTCTTTCTTTCAAATGTGTATACCTTTTATTTCTGAGAGAGACATCTTCATGAATAGTGAGTATCCGAATGATGGGATCTTTCTTTAACAACACACTAATGTGTTCTGTTAAACACAGCATTGTGTAACTGTAGACTTTATTAGTGTACTTTGTAATGTTAAGGAAATTATTTTCTATTTCTACTTTGCTGCGAGTTGTTTTTTATTTTGTTTTGTTTTACAAATGAACATTAAATTGTATAACATATTTTCTGCATCTATTTAGATGATCATACAGTTTTTCTTATTTAGTCTATTAATATGACAAATTATATTGACTGATTTTTAAATGTTGAACCAGACTTGTATTCCTGGAATGAACTTCAGTCAGTTGATATTATATATACATACATACATGCATATATATATATATATATATATATGCATGTATGTATGTATATATTTGATTTGCTAATATTTTCCATATTCAGGAAAGGTATTGTTCTATAATTATCTTTTTTGTAATGCCAATGTAATGTAATGTAATGATATTAGGATAAAACTGGACTCATAAAGTAGGTAGCAATGTGTTCCCTCCTCTTTGTTTTTGTGAAGGTATCATATAAAATTGATATTATTTCTTCCTTAAATATTTGGTAGAATTTACCAGTAAAGCAACATGGGCCTGGAGTTTGCTATTTTGGAAAGTTTTTAGCTATAAATTTAATTTCTTTAATAGACTTGATATTATTCACATTATATATTGTTTCTCTTGAGTGACTTTTGGTGATTTAAGTCTTTCTTAGAATAGATCCATTTCATGTAAGTCATCAAACTTACAGGTATAGAGTTATTCATAGAATTTTCTTATTAACATTTTAATATCTTTAGGACCAATAGTTACTTCCCCCTTTTTATTTTTGATATTGCTAATTTTTGTGTTCTCTCCTTTGTTCTTGTTCAACCTGGCTCCTGGCTAAGTTTTAATGATATTTTCGAAGAACAAGCTTTTGATTTCATTGATTTTAAAAATTATTTTTGTTTTATATTTCATTGATTTCTTCTCATCCTTGTAATTTCTGTTTTTCTTTTTGTATGAGGTTTAATTTTCTCTTCTTCAATTTCTTAAAATAAAATCCTAGGTGGCTGTCCATGGTGGCTTACACCTGTAATCTCAGCACTTTGGGAGGCCAAGGTAGGTGGATTGCTTGAGGCCAGGAGTTCAAGACCAGCCTGGCCAACATTGTGAAACCCCATCTCTACCAAGAATATAAAAATTAGCCAGGCATGGTGATGCTTTCCTATACTCCCAGCTACTCGGGAGTCTGACGCATGAGAATTGCTGGAACTCAGGAGGTGGAGTTTGCAGTGAGCCAAGATGGCACCACTGTACTCCATTCTGGGCAAAAGAGCAAGACTCTGTCTCAAAACACACACACACACACACACACACACACACACACACACACACCCCTTGGTTATTGTTTTTGTATTTTTTTTATTTTCTGTTATGAACATTTAATACTGTAAATTTCTCTCTAAATACTAATTTAGCTGCATGCCAGATATTTTGATAAGCTGTGTTTCTATTTGCATTTAGTTTACAATATTTTTTAAGTTGTCCTTGAAACTTCTCTTTTACCCTTGGTTTATTTTAACTTGTTGTTTAATTTCCAAATATTTGAGTTTTTCCAGATATCTCTTGGTCATTGATTTCTAGTTCTGATTGGTCTGAGAACCTAACTTGTATGACTTTTATTTATTTTCATTTGTTATACTTTGTTTTATCATCCAGGATATGGTCACTCTCAGTGGCATATTCCATGTGCATCTGATAAGGATGTATGTTCTGCTCTTCCTGGGTAAAGTGTTATAAATTCAAATTGTTGATAATGTTCAGGTCATCTATATCCTTAATGGTTTTCTCCCTGATTCTTTTATTAACTACTGAGAGAAGAATATTGGCATGTCCACCTATAATTTTGAATTCGTCTATTTTTCTTTCAGATCTGTCTGTTTTGCCTTAAACATTCCTTATCTTTCAGAATAATTAAAAGTAAAAAAACATTGTTACTTGTTTTTTCCATTTCTGATGTTCTCCATTTTGTTGCATAGATCCAAGTTTCTGAGCTTTTACCCTGTGAATCATAGTCATTTTAAATTTCTTGTCTTATGTGAGAGTTTAGTTCTGATTACTGCTTTGTCTTTTCAGATTGTGTTTTATTGTGTATTTTCACATTCCTTGTAATTTTTTATGTTAAAAAAATTGTGTATGTGCAAAGCTGAACATAGGACAGAAGACACTGAAGTAAATGTTTTCATGCTTGGAAATGAGCAGGCCTTTCCTCCTCCTCTCTTTAGTCGTGGGTTTGTGCTTGTTTAGTTGAGTTGGGTTTGAAGTTTGTTCACCTTTGGCTTTGGGTCTCCTAACCTGACTTTCTGTGTTTCCTGTGCACTGCTCCCAAGATAGAAACTGTTTCTGGGCTATCTTCCAGTTGGAATTCCTTACTTGATTCTTATCAGCATGGTTTAGGAAGGGAAACATGTTTTGGGGAAGCCTTGGTGTTAGGCAGGCACTGTGTCTCGAGGGGGTGGCCTTCACCAGGTTTCTGCCTTCTCCCAGTGGCTGCCTCTCTGCCAGTTATAGAGTTTTTTGCTTTATTTTGTTTTTCTATTCCCTTCCTCAGTCTTCAGTGCCAGGCTACTGTTTGGTTGCCCTTCCCCTGCAGAGTAAGGCTTTTCTTCCTTAGGTAGATAGGGTGCATGGTACATAGTCTAGGTGAACTCTTGGTGCTGGCTTCTGTTCCTCTTTCCCAGCTACAGTGCATTTCCACAAATTCCCTTAGGCAGCAGTCTTATTTTATTAACCTTTTCCCAAGCAGATTAAAGGTTTGGCTCCTTAGAGAAACAGAAGAAATAGGCCAGGCGCGGTGGCTCACGCCTGTAATCGATTCCAGCACTTTGGGAGGCCAAGGCGGCAAATCACGAAGTCAGGAGTTCAAGGCAAGCCTGGTCAATATGGTTAAACCCTGTCTTTACTGAAAATACAAAAAAAAAAAAAAATAGCTGGGCATGGTGGCACGCTCCTGTATTCCCAGCTACTCGGGAGTCTAAGGCAGGAGAATCGCTTGAACCCGGGAGGCAGAGGTTGCAGTGAGCCGAGATCTCGCCACTGCACTCCAGCTTGGGTGACAGAGTGAGACTCCGTCTTAAAAAAAAAAAAAAAAAAAGAGAGAGAGAGAAACAGAAGAAACAGGTTTGGACAGACTTTGCTCAGTGACTGCTATTCCCCTTGTCCAGCCAGGCCAAGAGAAATGCTTTCTCTTTCTCTGGTTTCTGTCCGTCTTCTGTATGAGTAACTGGATGGGGTCCTAGAGAACAAAGCCTACAAGAGGAGGCCTCATCCCCAGGTCTACCAGCTATGCTGCAGCCTGGATACCCTCATGCTAGCCTACATTCTTGCTTTTAGCAATTTGTTAAGCAATTGTAGGTGAAAACTCTTCCCAGTTTATATAGTATTTAGTGGCATCTGTCCTGGGTAAACAAACGCTTGGGTCCTGTGTCGCCCTGCAGGTTTCTTTTTCTGACCAGATTTCTAGTTAGTTGTTTGCCCTGAGAACTCAGTCACCTAATGGGCTTCAGAAAAGTCATTATGTGGTTAGTTTGGAGTTTGCCCAGATTAGTTTTTTGTTGCAAGGAAGGGGGCTATGATCTTTCCAGCTCTTTAAATCTCCATGCTGAAACTATACTTTGCTCATATTAATTATATTATTATTTATTAAACACTGTTTTCACAGATGTTTTACATTCTGTCTTTGATAGTTTCTCTTTCTAAAGGGCTTAGGGATATGCTGTTGATTCTTGCTTATTTTATTCTGTTATCTTTTAAGGATTCCTATTTTATTGATATTTTACCAGGGGCCTAATTTGGGATTGATCTCTCAAAGGGGATAGTTTTGCTTATAGCATAAGCCAGGGAACCACTTTAGACCATCTCCAGACTTACAGCAACATTCTAAGGCTCAGCTTTCTTATCTTGTCTGGGCCCAGTAGCAAGTCTCAAACTCAGAATTAGAACATTTGCTCCTTAGGGAAATGCCAACTTTCTCATTTAGGAGGTGTTTTTTTTTTTTTCTTTTGCCTTTATCTTTTTTCTTTCTCTTCTTGTGAATCTAGTGATATACTTAAAATATGCAATATGGTTTGGCTGTGTCTTCACTCAAATGTCATCTTGAATTGTAGTTCCCATAATCCCCATATGTCATGGGAGGGAGCCAGTGAGAAGGGAATCGTGGAGGCGGTTACCTGCACGCTGCTGTCCTCGTGATAGTGAGTTCTCACGAGATCTGATGGTTTTATAAGAGGTTCTTTCCCTTTGCTTGGCACTTTTCTCTCCTGCCACCATGTGAAGAAGGATGTGTTGCTTCCCCTTCTGTCACAATTGTAAGTTTCCTGAAGCCTCCCCAGCCATACAGAACTGTGAGTCAGTTAAACTTCTTTCTTTCGTAAATTACCCAGTCTCAGTATTTCTTCATAGCAGTGTGAGACTGGACTAATACAATACGTTTTATTGAAAACCTAGTCCTTTTAAATTGACCTATATAAAATTGTCTATTTTTAAACTACAAAGACAGCATTTTCATGTGGCTCAACCTTATGTTTTTAGTAATAGATTCTTTCAGAATACCTCTTCCGCTATATTTCTCGATAAGTATATTGTTCTCCTTGCCTTTATGAATATCTAAAATATTACTTAATAATGCTGGATATTTTTAAGAGTAGAAGCAGGTGATTACAGGGATTCCAGATAATTAGGCTTTGGTAAGCACACACGTGCAGTTTGGAATATTCATAATAAATTTAGAGTAAAGTGACCATTGATATGTTCTGCCAATTAGTAAGAAGAAAGTTTATAAAAGCAATATGAGTCCATATTTTTAAAGTCTTAAAATGCCAGTTTAACATTTTTGCTTATAGGATGTAAGCAAATTAGGGTCCCCAAAAGATTGGGAATGAGGAAGAATTCTGATTTTAAAAGTGTCTTAATAAAATTCATTTGACACCAGAGAAAACACAGACCTGAAGACAGAACCTGAAGGTTAGAAGATGACAAGAAGTTCTTCTAATACTCTAGGCCTGAAGTAATTGGACTTAAAATCAGAAAAGTGGCAGCAAGAGTGAAAAAGAATGCGTGAAAAATGCTAGGATTTCACATTTGATGGACTCAAAGGGGAACATTAGACAAAGAAAGACTCTAACAATTCTAAGGTAGATCACCTCGGGGAGAGGAAATGTTTTATAAATAAAAGAGACAGACATGCAAAATCATTTAAGACATGTTGACTTTGAAGTGTCTGGCCAGAGGGCCTGCGTTTAAAGGAAGGGAATTCTCTTCTGGCATGAAACAAATGCCCTAACTTACGTAAACTGAATATGAATATCAACACCAAAATTATCTAAAAAACAGATAAAATTAGAAAAACAATTATAATCATTTTGGACTAGACTTAGTATAAAGGTAAGCCTGCAGATCAAATTATTTTATTGTTTCTGTCTTAGAAAAACCTCTATATACCAAAGATTTTTGTTTCATTTGTTTTCTGTGAGTATAGAAATTTAGCATGTAGAGTTTGGGTCCTGTAAGAAAGTGCAAAGTTCTCCTAAAATTATGAGACTCCATTGAACTTGTGAAATGAGCCACAAGAAACATGTATGTACTAAGAATTAAAATACTATCAGTATGACACATTTATACTTGGAGTTTTCCCACAATCAGTTGACACTGCTTCATTGTTTTCATCTGCTATATAGTTTGTATGGTGCTTTTGGTTTCAAAAGAGCCATAATGCATAATTAGAAATTCAAGATGAAATGTATCAACATTCATACACAGGAAGAACACATTCTTTCCCACAAAGAATTTTTTTCTTAATTTTTAGGACAGCTTTGAAATTGAGCAACCAGGGCACATCACTTTTCTCAGCAAAGTGGGAATTCTTGAAAGAGTTACAGGTGATGAATATTTCAAGAATCATTTGCTGTGTAGTTGATTGCAATTTAAGTTCTTATGATTTCTAAGAGGTGCCTGCCAACTGAAAATATAAGAGAAATAAAACATACTAGGCCATATTCAGAAGCAAGTTTTAATTAAATTACAAATGCTAAACCGAAAAGCTTCTGGATTAGTATCATTAAATTGCAAAGGTTCAATCATCCACTGAATATAAAGGAATAATTACTGCTGTGGCAATATCGATCTTATTAATGTTTATTCTGTCTATGCTTTATGCCAGGGGCAATTTATATATATGTGTGTGTATATTTATATGTACATATATATAAATATGTGTATTTTATGTACATATTTATTTGTATATAAATATATGCACATTTATATACGTATGTATGCATATAAATTATTTATATATGTATTTATATACAGTTATATAAACGTATATTTATATGTACATTTATATACATGTAGATATATAAATATATATTTGTATTTTTATATGTACATGTGTATTTATATGTATATTTGTATGTAAATATATGTGTATTAATGAATCTGTACCTGTATACATATATTCATTTATATACATACACATAAATAATTAGTGTAATTGGAAAACATTTTATTAACATGTTGATAGAAAAATATGCTAATCACTGTTTGAAGGGCTTTTCTAATCTTTTTTTTAAATATTTATCACACTATATAAAGAAATTGTGACTCCAAGATTTTTAAGTAACATGCATGCTTGAAATCCTGTTATCTAGGAAATGGCAGACCATAAATTTAAGCTTAACTCCAAATACACATTTCATATTTATTATATTTTGTAGAAACGACTTTTGGACAAGAAGGGTGCTATGTGATGCCACTTAGGTAGGAAGCTTCAGAATTTCAGCTCTACGTAGCTGGTGACTTTAGCTACCTGGGTGAGCCTCAGCAAGGAGGTGGCTGAGGAAGAGGTCACATCCCAGCCCTGGGGCTGGCACAGTGCTGGTGGTGAACTCATGGCAACTTGTGAAAGAAAGAGGTAATACAGGGTATCCGTGCAAGCTCATAAGGTTTGTGTCGGACACACCTTTCCATTCCAGTGGCCAGAGTACTAAGAAACAGAGAACTTGCTCTGAATATTTCATTTCATGTCCATTGCTCCCTAAACTGCTCACTGGGTCCCACTCAGCCTACTAAGAGCTGAGACAACTTCCAGAGGAGACTCCACTCCTGACTTGATAATACCTCACCGACTACTTACAGTCATGTAAGACAAGGAGGAAATCTTCAACCTATCAGACCTCCGAAGCACCTTCCCCACAAACGCCCACTCTACTTGCCTCAACCTGTGTCCTTCATGATTCCATTTTGTTTTTTAAATATATAAAATTTTCCAGGAGAAGAGTAGAAGGAATGGCAACTTTTATCTCTTTTGAACGTTTGGAATTTCTTATAAACCATGCCAAATCAGGATGTGTTGAAATAATATTCAATTAATTTATCAACACCTGCTTTTAGGTTTCTGACCATTATTATTATTGAAATAAGGTGAGATGTGAAAATGAGTATCTTTGGAGTAACACAGGTCTCTATACAAAACAATGGAAATTCTAGTTACAAGTTGCTTTCTTAAAAAACAAACAAACAAAAAAACCATGTTATTTTAGTGTTTGGTCTCATGAACTCATACATTTATACATAGGGAATTAAGTTGGAGAAGGCCATTACCAATGGATTAATTAAATGCTTTTGGTTACATGCGGCAAAGAAAGCAATGCCAACCGGCTTAAGTAATCAAAGGAATTTTTTGGCTCATATCATTGAAAAGAAAACTCCATCAGTAGAAGAACTGTAAGTCACACTTGACCCAGACTTTGTTTACAAAATGGCAAAAATTGAGGCAAAAATGGCGGCCACCATTTCAGTTCTTACATGCAAGTACTAGCCTATTCAGGAAAAGACAGAACAGCTGTTGTCCAGAGTTCACAGAAAAAAACTTCCAAGATGCACTGTGAAAAGGGCATTTTATAAAGGTAACTTAACAATCGCTATCCTAAAAATGTGAGCCAGGGTGTGGAGTATGCTAATGGGCCTATTCTCCATCTTTCAGTGGAATTCAGAAGCTGTTGGGGACAAATGAAGGAGAAATGAATGCTAGGGATGCAATAAGAGGTGTCCAGTTCCCCTGCTTTATCTGACGTAAGAGTGAATTCTTCAAGAAAAAATTTCCAGAAACAGAAATGGTCAATCACCCTCAAAAATGAGGAAAGGAACTCCAGGAAAGCTTTTCTGATCTATTACCTTGTAGAGGTTCCTAATATTCTATGAGCAAATTATTGTAACCTACCTATTTGGCAGAATGTTCATGAAGCCAAGGTCATTATTATATACTCCTTTTCCTATTTTAGAGAATTGGCATAATAACAGGATTTCGGCTTCTTATAGCAATCTATGTACTGTCCCAAATTGTCAGTAAAATCATGACTACTGTTGGAACCATAGTCCATTATAGACTAATCAGGCTGTAGACATCTGCTGTTTCCTTAAATATGTTTACATACATATGTGCTTCTTCCAAAGTTTTCTCTACTTTTTAAATGAGCATTACTTTGGTCTTCCAGAAAGAGTCTATATACTTAAAGATTTTGAATTTTCTATGGGAGTTTATACAGATTAACCAGCACAATCAAAAAGTAAATAAATAAGTCTTTTAGACTACTAAGAACTAAATTTAATCTGTATAAACCTATTTTTAAGATTTTTACTTTACATGTTGTAAATTAACATAAAATTCCAAGATATTTACATTTTAGTGTATTTTGCTAATTATACTTGAAATTTGCATGATTCTGAATCCCAGAAAGGCAAAAACAAATAAGTAAAATATTTTAAAAATGAAAGGCTGTATGTATTTTATTTCTAAAAAACATTGCCACTAAAATGAGTTTAAAAACCATTTATGATCTCTGAAAATTATTATTAGTCCCCCATTAAATTGGTATGTAAAATGGCAATGCAAGAGAAATTGACGTTGTTATTTTGTAAATCAGGAACTTAAACTCCTCTCAAATATCCTAGAGGAAAATTTTAAGCCTCTTTATGATGAAAGTTCATAATCTTCTCAGTGGCAATCCTCCCAAACTGGCTGTGAAAAATTCAGTAATCAGCGTTACAGTAAAGTTTGTTTTGAGAAATCTAAAAAGAGAAGATTAAGGAAGAACTGATAAATGCAATCATCCTTCCATATTTGTAAGGGATTGGTTCCAGGGCCCCATGGATACCCCAAATCCATAGATGCTTAAGTCCCTGATAGAAAATGGCATAGTATTTGCATATAACCTACACACAATCTTCTGTCTACTTTAAATAATCTCTAGGTTACTTATAATACATAATACTATATACATGCTACGTAAATAATTGTTATACTGTATTGTTAGGAAATGATGGCAAGAAAAAGTCTGTGCATATTCAGTACAGATGCAAGCATCTTTTTTTTCCAAATATTTTTGACTCAGCGTTGATTGAATCCACAGATGAGGAGTCCATGGATAGAGGCCTGACTGTATATGTTTATCTTTACTGGAGAGCAACTTCAATATTAAAGCAAAACTCATCTGTTCTTGCCTGTTCATTTCAACCAATAATTATTTTAGTGGGAATACTGAAACCTCCTATAAATTGTTTCAAAAATCTTCTAAGAATGGTTTATGATTATCACCTTGGGAGTAATGTCATATTTAACTTGTCTATTTTGTCGTCTTAAATTCAGTTATGTTTTCCCATATTTTGTAACCCACATGTAAGAAAATGATTTTAATATTAACACATTTGGTATTGAACACGTTTAGTAATGTAGCACTTCATATTTTATAAATAACATGAATATAAATGACTTATTGAGTGATAACATCTGAAACATCTGAGTTTTGGAGGTAGACATTATTATTCCTGTGATTCCTGGGGAGAAAGGATAGTTACTATTTGGTTGAGTCGACCCTTACAGGGTCGCAGGGTGAGCAGGAATCACAAGAGTACCTCTTAATGATGCGGGGTGGTACAAGGTGGAAGTCCAGCATGTGTAGAAAAGAATAGATTTTCTTTGTTTATTGCACAAGTTTGTCAAGATTACATGACACATTCCATGGAAGAGTGCTTCACAAGCTTCAACCTGCCATAAATGAATCTGGTTCATTTAAATGAATCTGTTCAAGAGTAAGAACAATGGTTTCTAGTTATCCTTGCACTGTCTGTGGCTGTGTGACCTTGAGCAAGCCACTTACACAAGTGTTTGTCTTCTCCTGGAGAGGCAGTATAGTATAACAGCATCCCCAAAACCCTGAAGCCAGTCTGTTTGGATTTGAATCCTGGTTTTATTGCCTTTTGCCTGGATGACTTTGTGCCGTTCACTTACTCTTTTTATGCATCAATGTTCTTATCTACAAAATGAAGTAAATGAAAGCATCGACTCATCAAGGTATTATGAGGATTAAACTGAGTAAGTGTCAAGTACTTAAAGCATTGCTTAGGACTAAGTAGGCACTATATTAGCACTTGTTAAATAAATAGGCCAACTGTTATACATAAGTACATTCTTTAATTCCTATGACAACCTTATGCAGTCAGTAGAATTTGGTTTTTCCAAATAAGAAATAGAAGCTTGGAGAAGTTGAGGAATTTATTGAAGGTCATTCACTTAGTGAGTAGTGGAGCTGAGGTTTCAGCTGAGATCCTTGTGCTCCAAAGTCTGTGCTCTTTCCATTATTGATCCCTAGCCTCAAGAAGAGCACTTTCTAATGAGAGAAACAAACAGAGACAGCTAGAGCTAAAGTATGATATAATGTGCATCAGAATCTGCTTGCTCTAATATTAGCACTAGCAAAGTGGGCTGGGAATGTTGAGGAAGAAGTAATACATACACAAATGAGACAGCATTTGAATTGTTTGTGGGAAAAGACATAGTATTTTATCAGTGGAGAAGTGGCACCTAGATGTTGCCAGCACAGAATTGCCTATAAACTGTTTCCCATTGACTCACATACCAATTTCGAAGGTGAGCAGGGATCACAAGAGTGTCTCTTAATGATGCCTGGTGGTGCAGGGTGGAAGGCCAGGGTGTGTAGAAAAGAATAGATTTTCTCTGTTTATTGCACAAGTTTGTCAAGATTACATGACACACTCCATAGAAGGGTGCTTCGCAAGCTTCAACCTGCCGTAAATGACATTTTACATTCGAGAAAACTAGTAGTCCTGGATGCTAAATCAATGTGTTCATTTTCACCAGGCTATGTTTGAAAAACTAACATTTGGAGCTGCATCTGTGGGAAAACATTAACAGTTAAAGACATACTTGATTAGCACTGACAGTTTCTTATTCCAAAAATCATATGGCTAAGTTGCAGTATCAACCCACGGAAAGTTAAGTCATATTCTCCTTTTCCAAATCTTAAGAAATTGCACTCGGATAATTGTGTAATGTATGATACCATATCAGTTATGTTGTAATATGAATAATGTACTTTCTCTTAGACTTTAAAAAAGTTTATAATTAGTACGTTACTTTAACTTCTGGTTCTCCAACCTTCAATCTTTTTAAAGTCAAGTTTATATCCAGATTAAAGCAATTGTTGTCAGCCTATTCATGCATTACCCATTCATCGAATATTTATTAGATGCCTGGGACTTTTCTAAGAACTGAGGATATACCAGAGAACAAAACTGACAAACTTGTTATTTTGAATTTTCAATGTAACAAGGAAAGAGAGAAAATAAACAACAAATAAAATAACTAGATAAAGATTATGGGATGTTAGAAGATAAAACAAGCTATGAAAAAAAGGCACATTGAGAGAAGTTGGAAGTGCTGGTTGGGGAAGAGATCTGGACTGTAGTTTGAAATATGGTGGTCAAGACAGGATTCATGGAGAAAGTGAGATTTGAACTGAAACTGGAAGGAATGTTAGCCATGAGAATATTGGATAGAGGACTATTCCAGGAAGAGGCAGCTGATAGTGAAAGGTGAAAAGTTGTGTTGGAAGAAGAGCTATAAGCTAAGAATGGCAGAAGAAGCATGAGCTATGGGTATGAGAGTAGGGGATGATGTTGGAGAAGGAAAAGGAAACTGGATGATGTGGAACTTTATTAAAGGCATTAAAGGTAAGATGCTTCAAAAATTATGTGTCCTTTTGAGTACTGATTGCTTCTAAATATGATATTTTCCAAACTTAAAATACAACACACTGATTGGGATATATCATTCAATTGCTATTTTTAATACTTAGGTATTAAAATCCACGTGGATAGTTTTTATACCTGTTTTCAAGATTTTTGCCTACTCGCTGTTGTATTCATGTAGCCATGATTTCTCATTGATTTTCTTTCAATACTGATCATAAAGGACATCAAAATTAGCATTACTTTGAGGAAACTAAAACTTTCATCCCCTGGCTAAAAAAAATAAGCAAGAGTCATTTGAAGTTTTGAACTGCTACTATTCAATGGATAGGAGACAAAGATTTCAATGACTACATGAATAGGAACTCTTTCTACAAAGCTCTCCAAGGACCTAATTGGAGTCTCAGAGGCTGGTGTGAATTTAGTAGATTCTAAAATTTGAAAGATGATATTCACCTTTGAACACACTCTGAAAGATTGATAAATTCTATCAGGCGAGATTTTTTAACTAAAATGGCTCATCTGTTTTCTCTTGGGTGAGTTTGACCTTGCATTTTACTTTGTGGGTGTTCATTATTCTTTCCAACAATATTTCTCATAGTATTTTATGAATTTTCCCATCCATGTTGAGTAAGCAGATATCTGCATTAGACGTTGATATGGTTTGGCTGTGTCCCCACCCAAATCTCATCTTGAACTGTAGTTCCTATAATCCCCACATGTCATGGGAGGGACCAGATGGAGATAATTGAATCATGGGGGTATTTTCTCCCATCCTGTTCTTGTGATAGTGAGTTATTTCTCATGAAATCTGATGGTTTTCATAAGGGTCTTCCCCCTTCACTGGGCACACATTCCTCTCCTTCCTGGCACCATGTGAAGAAGGACATGTTGCTTCCCCTTCTGCATTGATTGTAAGTTTCCTAAGGCCTCCCCAGTCATGTGGAACTGTGAGTCAATTAAACTTCTTTCCTTTATAAATTACCCAGTCTCGGGCAGTTCTTTATAGCAGTGTGAGAATGGACTAATATGTTAAGGTATGTATCAGTTCTTGTTAAATCAGAAGACAAATCACACCTTGATTTCAACAATGTAGTATAAAATATTATTGATGATTACAGGGGATTGAAGTAATGGGGTAGCTTGCTACTCAGGAATAAAGAGAACCCTACAAAGAACAGGAAAGCTGAAAATAGTAAATAGCCGTTAACTCCATGGATAGGAAGAATACTGAAAAAGTCACACCCACCCTGGGCCTGGAATCCTTGCTTTGTTGGAGAGGCTGTGGCTTGGCCTGTTGGGTGGCTTTCACTGAGGTGCCCTATCCAAATTTCACTGAGGTACCCTGCGAAAAAGGCTCTGGAAACTCCAACAGGGATTAATGGGGAAAGCCAACCACAGGTAGTTTCCAGGCCTCAGAACTCTCTCTGAAACCCATAGAGGGTGCTGGAGAGTTGTCCACAGAGAGATGCTATCTCTAGCTAGTAGCCACTTGCTGCAGAAAACAAAAGCACCCTAGGACAAGGAAGAAAGCACTTTCCTCCTCTTGTGTACTCAGCCCCACTACCAGGACACTCTACTGACAATTTGCACCCTCCTGCCAGCTGGCAAAGGAGAAATTCTCCAGTATAATACATAGTAATGAAGGGTGGATTTACAGCTGAGATTCAAGAGATTGGTAATTGGCACAAAGCACTTCTGATGGCAGTAACCATCAGAGCTCCTTCATAGTGATGACAACTATGTGTTTCTAACTTTAGCACTATATGGCTTTCAAATGTCTTGTTATTTTTCTTCGCATTTTTGTTTGCACAGAAATTATTTCTGCTGTATTATATCCAGCCATTTCTGCAACTATTTGAAACTAGTCTGAAACTATTTGTAGAAAGGTCTATTGCCAGAAATTTCTCAAGGGTTGAGACCTATGAAATAAAATGATTATTGCAACAATAACTTCTTTTTACTTCCTGGAGAAAGTGTTAAGCTAACACTTTAAAAAATATTTTACAGCATTCTGATAAACACTTTCTTGGACATTTGAGATGGTCCCATTTTCATGGACATTACATGTTCCTCAGCATTGAAAGAGGTTACAAACGATCTTCATTATCTGTATGTATTATTCAGCAGGTGCTTTTATAGACACAGTGTCATCATGTCATGGCAACAACTATCCATGTTAGTTTTTACTTTCCACTTTATAGATGACAACAATGAGACCAAAAGAGATGTTTAAAACATACAACAGTGATATAGTCAATAAGTGTTAAAAAGAGATTTGCACTCAAGTCTATCATATTCCATGAGATTTCCACCCTGCCTTTGCCATTCTAAGTGTGATCTGTGGACCACCACATTGACATCACCTGAAATACTGGGAGAAACACAAAATCTCAGGTAGTATCTGAGACCTAGTGAATCAGAATCCGAGTTTTCACAAGTTTTCCAGGTGACTTATGTGCATATTAAATTCTGAAAAGTGCTGTGCTATGCCTCATGGCTTTTTATCACATTGGTAGTGTTTGTATATTCCAAGGTCCTATGCTGGACCCTGCTGAGATCGCCAGAAATTTGTAGTGTACTCTAAAATCAGGCTGATAAAATTCTTGATTATAGTACTCAGTACACACATTTGTAGCCACACACACACACACACACACACACACACACCACACACCATGCAGAGAAAGAAAGAGAGATCTTACTGGGAAATGTAACAAAAAGTATAGATATTGTCATAGGAGGTTGATTTAATAATTTTTGCACAAATAAGATATGCAATTTATTGTGATCAGCAGAGCAACCAGCAAAACAATTCCTCTTTTTCATGTGAGAAATATGAGACCCACATGCCAGGGGAAGAAAAAATACAATAATAAATTGTGGGTGTGGATGCCTTCATTATCCCCAGATTACTGGTTGCCAGACTCTTTGTTTTTCTCCACTTTATTAAAACTCCAAAAATATTGAAAGGCCTCCAGGCATCATTTACTTTGCAACTGGAAAGAGCCTCCGGTGTCAAAGTATTAAATATATTTATCACTTCAAAGTCATTGCCCTGTGATGTTTGCATGTTTTTAATTAAGCAATAAACATTGTAGAAATAATGAAAAAACATTTCAGTGCAGACAGCAGGAAGCAGTAAACCAGACTACAGGAACTTATGCCTAGAGAGCAGTATTTTGATCACCCAAACAATTGGTGGCTGGCACTGCTGCTGTGTGCTTTCTGCTGCAGTTCTTGCTCTTGAAATGTCCTTTCATATCCTCCTATTCTATTTCAAAAAATATTTTATTTAAAAATATTTATAGAAGATTTTTTTGAAACATATTCTTCATATATAATCTTTGAAAAAAATCACCAAAGTGTAAGTCCATAATCCTGACATACTGTATATTTGGGTGTGTTGATGTACTAAGCACCGGGGATGATGCTGTTGACAACATGGTTGTCCTTAAGCTTATTTTGAGTTGGGAATGGTGACCAGTCCAGGTACAGCTTATGTTCAGGTGATGTAATCAAAACTGACAAGGTTGACTACTGAGAATTGGTAGGGAGCATCTCTCCAAGAAAAAGAAGTCGGGCTTTATTTTTTATATAGTCTGGTATAGCATGCTGATGAACAGGTTGACCTATAGAATTAACCCTCCTAATTATAGCTGTGTAACTCTGAGCAAGTTAGTTGACTTTCCTCCTGATGTTGTAATGAACGTAAAAAGAAACAGCAATACCAGGGTACCAGAATCTGAAATCATAATAAATCTCTGAGAGCCTGAACTTTGCTACACGTTTGGCAAGTACTCAACAAAGTTTGTTGTAATGATTCTGCTCTTCTAACTATACATTTTTTTGATATTTCTCCATATGTGATCAAACATTCTTTACAGACATGGTTTTTAATGTTTGTTAATATTCCGTTGTTTGTTCCTGCCATAATTTACATATTCCATGAGTTTACTGGACATTAAGGGAGTTTTTCACTATTTTAAATGGACTCTGGCTAGTATTTTTACATGTAATTCTTTGTCCAAATGCCTGATTATTTACCTAGAAAAAAAACAGCCTATTAGTTGAAGTAAGTAGATACATGTCAAAAACGCTGTTGTAAAAATTAGTGTGTGTGAGTATCAGTCACAGCTATGTCTTGAAGTTCACTTGGACTTGAAATCTGTGAATCATTGACCAGGTGAACAGCTTACAACTGACTTAGGTTCTCAAGGATTTAAGCTACAAAATGGTTGTGGAAGATTTAGGCTATGAGATATATGTGTGCATATGTGTATACATATATATATATATATATATATATTCATATAGCAATATACATATAGCTTTTATATATACATATATATGGATTTTAATATATGTACATAAAATATTTTGGCTTTTGTAATATATATGTAAACCAAATTCATTTAGAACATAAAAGAATACTTTTATCTAAAGCTTGTTGGTAACTCAGCAACCCTGCTCCATTCATCATTTCTGAGTATTTTCTAATATATCCTACATGATCTGTGGTGGAAGCCTTTCTGTCTTAGGAAATTTTTCTCTATATAAAACAGAAATACAAGAATTAGCCATCTAGAGATAACCACTTTCACATTAACATGGTATCATCATTTATTTGGATTTTTAAGATCTTATAGTTAAAGTGGTATTTCCTTCTTAACATACATTTTTAGATTACTAGTGAGGAAGAACATTTTAATGTTTATTATACAGTTTCTTGTGACTGTTTTAACAAATTCCCACAGACTTAATGGCATAGAACTATAGAAACGTGTTCTTTCACAGTTCTGGGTACCAGAATCTGAAATCATAATAAATCTCTGAGAGCCTGAACTTTGCTACACATCAGGTGCGTCCATGTGGTCCATGATCTTTTTAGGAGTTCAAAGTCTGCTGAGTGAGAAGACAATAAACAATACATAAAACTCATAATTGAAATAATGATGTGAGAGAGACTAAAGGGATATTTTCCCCCCATGGAAGAATAGCAGGGTTCCTACTTCAGACGGAGTAAGAAATAAGCCTTTCTGTCTCTGAAATGGTAACACTGAAAGTGAAGGCATCAAAATAAAAAAGAGGCTCTTTCAGGAAGGAGAAAATGATCATCAGTGGCCAATGCTGCTGAAAAGGTTAGTAAGATGAGGAATGTTAAGTGTTCATCATCTTGGCAAGATGGCAGCCATTAGTATTCTTGGCAAGAGCAGTTTCAGTGGGAACAATCCAGATTGGAAAGCTCTTCTCCCCATCCCTACTCTCATGTCATTGACACCTACAAGCCAG
Source organism: Homo sapiens (assembly GCF_000001405.40). Taxonomy (NCBI): domain Eukaryota; kingdom Metazoa; phylum Chordata; class Mammalia; order Primates; family Hominidae; genus Homo; species Homo sapiens. The sequence goes on along the minus strand of NC_000006.12, from coordinate 153,550,011 downwards.
ATCCAATGTCTTTTTCTTCCACTGATCTTACTCTCTTGCTTAGCCATGTTATTTATACTTCTCACCAGACTCAGAAAGATAGGTTATTATGAGCTTTGCTTTAACTTCAAGGCAGTCAACTTTACCTATTTTTGTTAAGCTAAAAAAAAAATAAATAACAGGGGAAAAATGGAGTTTTTGTCTAAATCTATAGAACCTAATTCTAATTTTAATTGTGTAGGTCTATAAAATTAATTTAACATTTATTTCAAAGTGTGATAATTAAAACTTCTCTAATATATCTACACATATTGCTACTGATCAGAATTGTTTGCAAAAGTGAAAAAATTGTTTACCAAACCTAATTCATATGAAATTAAAGTTTTCAAAACTAATTAAAGATTTTGTTGTGTGAATATTTTCAGTTTCTTAAAAAAATAGCTTATTTTTATTCTTACGGTCACACTTAACCTCTTAATAGGGAAGAAGCTATCGATTTATAGAGACAACAGTTATTTTATTAGACTTGTGAATCTAAGTGTCACTGCTTTCAACTCTTGATCTCCTATAAAATGCATCTTTTAGGATTACATAAAGGACAAAATTTTATCATAATATGTGCTCAGGGAGTGAAATGGCAGGATGGCTTTTACCAAGTATAACCACAGATACTACTTAATGTCATTTAATTGCTATCACTTGTAAATGTAATATATAAGGAATAAACATTCATATTTGTATTGGCTTTAAAGCCATTAGTATTATCGCAAGTCATATTAATTACTTGGATATGGGGTAGCTTATTTATGCTTCTCAGCATGGAGCCGTGATCTGATAAACAGGTGAAGCCTGTTTTTGTTGTTATGAATATCAGTGCAAGAATTTGAATAAAGAAAGCTGAGGGCGTTTTGTGCAGAGCAGTTATATGAAATCTACATCAGCATGGTAAAAATAATGTCTCTCACTGAGCACCCTTAAAATTCCATTTAGAACAAAATGAAGATTTTTAAAAGTTGCTACCAAATTTGCTTTCCAAATAATGCCTGAATAAACCATATTTTACCTGAAATTATACTCCCAACCCCTGGCTCAAAACACTATATTGTAAAAGCATCCACCCTATGAATTTCTACTCATTTTTTAGAAAATTGAAACTGTATTACTGAGATATTATGAGTGTATAGAACATATAAGAGCAGTTAATAAGATAAAAATAGATGTCTCTGTACTCACCACAAGACTTAAGAAATTAGGTATTTTAGAATCCCCCAGTGTACCCAACCTGATACCATTTACCTTTCTTGCACACATGGGAAAGTATTATTCTGAATACTATGCTTATCATTTTCTGCTTTGCTTTGCTTTATTGCTTTACCACCAATGTATAAACTGACAATAAAATATGTATTACTGCCTATATTTTTTCATGCTTTTAGTTTTACACTCTGAATTATGTTTTTGAGAATTATCCATATTAGTGATATAGATGTAATGTATTTTTTCACTGCTGTATACTATTCCATTATTTAAACAATCACAATATACTGATCCGTTCTTCTGTTGATGGACATTTGGACTATTTTGAGTTTTCTGCTCTTACATACAATATTGTTATGGACATGCTTACACATAAACTCTGATGTAATATGCATGCACAAAGATCTCTGTAGCCACATGTACCTGGCAGCTCTAGGATTGGAACTGCTGGTACATGGAGTTTACCCAATAAGATTTAGTAGATTTCATCAGTTTTTCCAAGTGACTATACTGATTTACAGTATGACATATAGTAAATGGAAATTTCTATTACCTTATATCAAATTTGCTATAAGCTCACTTAATTTTGGCAATCTGGTAGGTCTGACAGTATATTCATTCTGGTTAAAATGTGCATTTCCCTGATTAATAATAAAGCTGTACATAATTTTATTTAACAAGCCATCTGTGTTTCATCTACCAGATATGGCTGTTTATATTTTTGGCCGATTTTTTCCGTGGTGTTATCTTTTTCATACAGATCAGTAGAGATTTTACGTATCAATAATACTAATCTTTGTTGTGTAAGTGTTGCAAGTGTTTTTTGCAAAGCTGTGCCTTGCCTTAAAATGTTCTATAGTCTTGGGATAAAAGAAAGTCTTAATTTTAATCAAATGAAAATATTAATTATTTAATTTGTTTAAACATGTCTGTGTCTTTACATACAAATGGCCAACAGGTATATAAAAACATGTTCAACATAACTAATCATTAGGGAGATGCAATTAATACCACTGTGAGATATCACTTCACTCCTGTTAGAATGGCTATTGTCAAAAAGACAAAAGATAACAAGTGTTGTTAAGGATATAGAGAAAAGGCAACCCCCGCACACTGTTAGTGTGAGTGGAAATTGATACTGTTATTACGGAAAGCTGTATGGAAGTGTGCCCAGGGTGGTTGGGGTACAGCTTGCCTTTATTCATTTTAGGCATCAGTCAATACATGTAACATTTACATTGGTTCCATCCGGAAGAGTGGGACAACTCAAAGTGGGGGCTTCCAAGTCATAGGTAGATTTTAACATATTCTGATTGGCAATTGATTGAAAGTGTTATTATCAGTAGAAAGGAATGTCTGGGTTCTGATAAGGGGTTGTGGAAACCAAAGTTTTATCCTGCAGATGAAGCCTCCAGATAGCAGGCTTCAAAGAAAATAGATTGTAAACGCTTCTTATCAGACTTAAAGTCTGTGTCGATGTTAATGCTGGAGGGGTATAATGAAGAATGCCCAACTCCTACTTCCCATCATGGCCTGAATCAGTCTTTCAGGTTAAAATTTGGAGTGCCCTGGCCGAGAAGGGCGTGCATTCAGATGTTTGGGTGGTGGTGGGGGGCTTCAAATTTTATTTTTGGTTTACAGTTAAGTGAAATAAACCAGGCACAGAAAGACAGTTACCACATAATCTCACACATATATGGACTCAAAATTGAACTTATGGAAGCAGAGAATAGAATGGTGGTTACCAGGTGTTGGGGATGGGAAGAAGGGTTGGGAAGCGTGCTGGTCAAAAAACACAAAAGTTCAATTAGAAGGAATAAGTTGAAGACATCAATTGCACGATGGGTGGCTATAGTTAATAACAATGTATTGAGGTATTGAAACTTACTATGAGAGTAGATTTTAAGTGTTCTCACCATGAAAAAAATGATATGTAAGGTGATGCATATGTCAATTTGCTCTATTTATACATTCCACAATGTATGCACATTTTAAAACAACATGTTGCACATATTAAATATATACAATTTTTGTCAACTTAAAATTACCTGTGTCTTAAGAATCTTTGCCACTCCAGAGTTTATAAAAATCCTCCTTATTTGGCTTCCAGAAAATCTTATAGATATCGTTCATATTTATGACTTTCATCTCCTTTGTTCCTTTTGAATAGTGCCTTAAAAAGAAATCCAGCTTCATTTTTTTTCTTATGTAGATAACTGATTATCCCAGCCCATCACTTCCCTTCTGATGTGCAGGGTTTGCTCTCTGATTTCTTACCTTCATGGTTTTGCTTCTTGCTTTTATTGTGTTCTAGTGTTCTATTAGCCTGTCCTGTGTCCCTCCCAGAGTGTATTGTTTTATAAGTATGGATAACCACAAGTGTAAGTTCTATCTCTTCTTTGACTTCAATAATACCTTACTGATTTTTGACTATTAATTCTTCCATGCATACTTTAAAATCAGTATTGTCAGATTTCATTGAGAGATCCCATTCAAATTTTAATCAGAATTTCATTGGTCTACAGAGCAGCTTCTGATGAATTGGCATCTTTATACTAGTGCAAAACCAAAGGTATCTGAGACAGGTTTCAATCAATTTAGAAAGTTTATTTTGCCAAGGTTAAGCACGTGCCCATGACACAGCCTCAGGAGGTCCTGATGACATGTGCCCAAGGTGGTCGAGGTACAGCTTGCTTTTGTGTATTTTAGGGAGACATATTAATCAATATATGTAAGATTTACATTGGTTCGATCTGGAAGAGTGGGACAACTTGAACTGGGGGGTGGTGGGGAGGGCAGAAGGAGCATGGGGGTCTTCCAAGTCATAGGTACATTTAAACATACTCTGATTGGCAATTGGTTGAAAGAGCTATTATTAGTAGAAAGGAATGTCTGAGTTAAGATAAGGGTTATGGAGACCAAGGTTTTATCCTGCAGGCGAAGACTCCAGGTAGCAGTCTTCAAAGAAAAATAGATTGTAAATGTTTCTTATAAGATTTAAGGTCTGTGTTTATGTCAATGCTGGAGGAGTATAATGAGGCATGTCCAACCCCCTCTTCCATCCTGGCCTCAACTAGATTTTCAGGTTAGTGCTGGAATTCCCTTGGCTAAGAAGGGGGGTCCATTCAGATTGTTGGGGGCCTTAGAATTTTATTTTTGGTTTATGCTAGAGTTTTCTCCTAAGAAAATGATATATTTCTCCATTTTTATAAGACTTCTCGATATTGTTAAATGTTTTATCATTTTAAATTATAATATTTTTGCAAATTTCTGATTAGATTCATTGTTAGGTACTCTATATTTGTTACTATCATGTCATATTTATTTAAATTATATTTTCTTTCTGATTGTTGCTGTAGTAAGTAAAATAAATTGTTTTATTTTATATTTATTTTATATTGATCTGGCAAACATGATAGTCTATTTGATTAATTCTAATTATGATTTGGTAGGTTCAAAGATATTTATACATGGAAATTACAGTATATTTTCATTATAATAGTTTTGTATCTTCCTTTAAGAATTTTTTTTAACTAATAGCTTTACTGTAGTATAGTCCATGCACCATAAAATTCACCCTTTTAAAATATACAATTCAGTGTTTCTATGTGTATTTCCACAATGGTGTAACCATTGCCACTACCTAATTTTATAACATTTTCACCACCCAGAAGGAAAGCATGTGTCCATTAGCAGTGACTCCCATTCCTTCACCCCTTATCTTAAGCAACCACTTAGTTATGAGTTCACTATGCTGGATATTTCTTTGAAATGAAATCATGCAATGTGTGTTTTTTGGTGCCTAGCTTCATTTGTCTAGCTTAATGGTTTCAAAGTTTATCTGTGTTGAAACATATATTAGAACTTCCTTTCTTAGTGCCAAATGATACTCCATTGCATGGACACACCACATTTCATTTATCTATTCACCACTTCGTGAGTATTTCAGTTTGTTTCCATTGTTTATTTCTTATGAATAATGCTGCCGTGAACATTCATGGACAAGTGTTTGTGTGGACATCATTTTTCTTGAGTATAACCCAAAGGGTGGAATTGTTGGGTCACATGGTGATTCTATGTTTGGCATTTTGAGGAACTGCCAGACTGCTTTAAAAGCGATTGTGTCACTTTAGAGCATTCTTGGCCATTGCAGCTTCAAGTATGTCTTCTGCTTCTCTCTTCTCTTTCTGATATTCACTTATACATATGTTACATCTTTTGAAATTGTCCCGCAGTCCTTTGATTTTCTGTTCTGTTTGCTTTATTTTACTTTGTTTTTACATTTTAATATGGAAAGTTTCCATTGACAACTCTCCAAGCTCACTGAATATTTTATTGGCTGTGCCTAGTCTGCTAATGAGCCTGCTGAGGGCATTCTTTATTTGTTGTAGTGTTTTTTATTGATTTCTTGCCTTTCCTTCTGATTTTGCTTACAGTGTCTTTCTGCTTCTCTTGCCCATTTGTTCTTGAATGATCTCTGCCTTTCTCCATTAGACCCCTTATCATATTAATCTTAGTGATTTTAAATTCCCTGACTGAGAATTCCAATATCTGTATTATATCTGGATCTGGTTCTGATGCTTGCCTTGTCTTTTCATACTTTTTTTTCCTTGCCATTTTTCATTGCTTGTAATTTTTGTTGATGGCTGAACATGTTGCATTGGATAATAGAAACTGAGATAAGTAGGACTTTTGTGTGAGAATTATGTTGATATAGCTAGAGGTTAGGCTGTATTTAATGTTCCTTGTAGTTATATATGCGATAGGCTTGAAATTCCGCTAGTCTCCTTGTGCTTGTCTTCCATCTTCATTTTGGGGTTCCCTAAGAACTTCTCCTTAGAGTCTGTGTCTTGTAACTTTTTAGCTGTAATTCACTGTTATTATGCTGGAGCTGTGTTGATGTGGTAAGGGGTGGGAGTTACTATGCTATAATTTTCCAATTAAACCATTAATGGGCCTGTGTCTCTGGCTGTGACCCTCACAAGTGTTTCCTCAGTGGTGTAGCTTTTTTCCCCTTGGCTACAATATTCCAAACTATTTCCTTGAAACTCTGGCCCCTTTTGATATTATTTTTCTCTCTTCTTTATGAAATAAAGAAAGACTAGAGGGAAGTGGGATGGGTGGAAATATCTTCCCCTGGCCGTTGAACAAGGCTCTTTTCATCCTCTGCAGAGCAGGCCATTGTTAAGGAGAAGGCTATGGGCTTAGTTTACTATTATTATTCATTTCTTTCTGCCTGAACCACCAGGGCATCTTTCTTGGATATTCACCATGAGAACCTGGGGGGCTTTTGAAGGTAAAACACATGAAAGTATGGGTTCCCATAAGACCAGCCCAAGTAGTTGCTCAAACTCCTGCTATCCCACATTCAGTTTTCAGAAATTTTGAAAAATTATAGGACAATGGGTTTTCATGCCTGCTGCAGAGTAACAGACCCGTTATACTGAAACAGCAAGGTTTGCAGCAGAGAAAGAGTTTAATGGTAATAGGGGACAGAGCAAAGAGATGAGAGGAGAACATAAACCCATCTCTCCAAAGAGTTCTGGGCTGGGGTTTTAAGGGGATCATGGAGGGTGAGGGGCTGGAGAATTGGGGTTGTTGACTTGTCAGAGTAGGGTAGATGAAGTCCTCAGGATATGGAAACTGCATTCTTTAGTGAGTCAGCTCCTGTGGGGTCCTTCAGACTAGCCGGCATAAGTAGTTTCATTGGTATGCAGGACCTGAAAGAATATCTCAAGTGGAAACCATAACATGTTATAATGTTCGAGTTGCTATCTATAGAGCAGTTAAGGGGAACAATAATCTTGTAACTGAGTCTATGTGATTCTAAGGCAATAGGCACCAAGCCAGTACGAGGAAGCAGGTCAGAGAGAGAAGGCTGACCTAATCATTAACAGTGCATGTGCTGCAAGCTTGATTTACTTTCATTCCCCCCATTCTTGATTAATTTTATAAAGTTTATAAGGATGGTTTCAGTCCCCAAGGGTTTGATCATACTTCAGTCCTGAGGTGAGGTGATCATACTTCAATCCTAATCTACTAGAAATCAGACCAAGACTGCTCCAGCTTTTTCCTTCTGGCAAGGGGCATAATTGGGATAGGAGTCAGGATTAAAGTCATGAAATTGCCTGTCAGTGACCTGCAAGTATTTACTAGTGCACAGTATGGGATCTGGGAGGTGCAGCATGAACACATTAGTGCTTCTCTCCACTGTCCTAGCATAGCATTTAATTGCACACTGGAGTATAAGATAAATTTTAGCCCTTATTGTCAGAATTATGAGCCCAAATTTTAAAAGTTTTGGTAAAATAGATAGAAAACTTTGGGGTACCCATGAGCTCTTACTGCCACATGGAGTCCGTTCTGTCAGTTTTATGATCTCTATTTTAACAATAATGCTGGTCAGTTGTTGTATCTAAACCATAAAAGGGTGGGCATATGACAAGGTGTATTTGAACTTCCATCCTATCATGGCCAGGAACTGTGTTTTAAGGGTTTGTTTGGGAGGTTAGGGTCCTATTGGCCACAAGGGGGTCTGTTCAGTTGGTAGGGAGGTTTAAGGTTTTATTTTTAGTTTATCTTCCCTGCTTTTTGGCCAAGATCTGAGAGAGGCAGCATCAATGTCTAAACTTATATTTTGTCCCATATTGACAGGATGGTGTGGCTACCTACCCTGGATCCATCCTGTTTCTTGGGGGGGACCCTATGGCCAAGGGATTTAGAGCCAAAATACTTAGAGTCAATTAAACATTCTAGGACAGGTGGGAATGGAGGTGAGCAGGTACTCACTAACCCTGAAGGCCTTTTAAGCAACAGAAGAGCCAAAACCAAAAGCCAAAAAGTAAAGTTACAGAATTTAATCCGGGTCTTAGAAAGAGATTTGTAGCAATTAACTATATAAAACATAGCATTTTGTTAAACCCATTTGAGTTAAGGAATTTAGAGAAGCAAAGATCCTCAATTTGTCGGCTATTTAAATATCTGTGTGCCCATCCTTGATGCGGGGGCTCTGAACTAATAGACACCAAGGTTTGCAGCAGAGAAAGAATTTAATGATTAAAGGCCACCGAGGAGATGGTAGGAGACTCTCAAATCCATCTTCCTGAGGAGTTCTGGGCTGGGTTTTGTTGTTTTTTTGTTTGTTTGTTTTTCTGGAATCTTGCTCTGTAACCAGGCTGGAGTGCAGTGGTGCAATCTTGGCTCACTGCAACCTCTGCCTCCCGGATTCAAGCAATTTTCTTGCCTCAGCCTCCCAAGTAGCTGGGACTACAGGCGTGCCACCACCATGCCCATCTAATTTTTATATTTTTAGTAGAGACGGGGTTTCACCAGGTTGGCAAGGATGGTCTTGATCTCTTGACCTCGTGATCTGCCTACCTCGATCTCCCAAAGGGCTGAGATTACAGGTGTGAGCCACTGCGCCCAGTCAGGCTGGGGTTTTTAAGGGGATCATGGAGGGTGAGGAGTTGGAAAATTGGAGTTGTTGATTGATAGGGATAAGGGGCATAAAATCATCAACACGTGAAAACTACATTCTTTGGTGAGTCAGCTCCTGTGAAGTCCTTCAGACCAGTTGGAATCACTGGGGTCCTTCAGACCAGCTGATGTTAGTAGCTGCATTGGTATGCAGGACCTGAAAGAATATCTCAAAGGAAAAACTTAACATTTTATAATATTCAAGTGGTTATCTACGGAACAATTAAGGGCGGTTATAATCTTGTAACAGGTTCTATGTGATTCTGAGGCAAGGGGCATGAAACAGCTGTGAGGAAGCAGGGCAGGGAGCAGGGCAGGGAGCAGACTGACCTCATGGTGAATGCTGCTTGTGCTGCTAACTTGGGTTTTGTTGTTGTTTTTGTTGTTGTTGTTTGCCCCTTTCTTCTTCCCTGATTAACTTTATGAAGTTTATAGGGATGGTTTCAAAATTGTAATTGGCTATGTAGTTTATAGAAATGGTTCCAAAATTTTCATTGGCTAAAAACAGAAGAAAACAAACAACTCAATTTAAAAATGGGCAAAGACTTAAATTGACATGTCTCCGAAGAAGCTATATAGATGGCCAATAAGCGAAAAAAGATGTATAACATCACTAATCATCATTAAGGAAATGCAAATAACCATTTGATTTGCATTTGAAGTGTGTAATATCACTTCACAACCATTAGAATGGCTGTTATTTTTTTAATATCAGAAAATAGCAAGTGTTGGTGAAGATGTGAAGAAATTGGAACCTTTATGCATTGCTGGTGGGAATGTAAAATAGTCTAGCCACTGTGGAAGGCAGTATGGCCATTGCTAAAGAAATTTAACATGGGAAAACTATATCATGTGGCAATTCTGCTTCTGAGAATATACCCAAAAGAGTTGAAAGCAAAGACTCAAACAGATATTTGTACACCAATGGGTATGGCAGCATTATTCACAGTACTCAAAAGTGAAAGCAACACAAATTTTTATTGAGAGATGAACAAATAAACAAAATGTGGCTTAGAAATACAATGGAATATTATTGAGCCTTAAAAAGGAAAGAAATTTGGACATATGCTACAACATGGATGAAGCTTGAAGCCATTATGGTAAATAAAGAAGCCACTTACAAAAGAACAAATATTATATGATTCCACTTATGTGAGACACATAGAGAGGTCAACTCAAAGGGACAGAAAGTAGGGTAGTGGCGGCCAGGGGCTGAGCAAGGGGCAATTGGGAAGCTATTGTTTAAGGGGTACAGTGTTTCAACTTGGGGAGATGAAAACATTCTGGAGATACTTGGTGGTGAAAGTTGCATGGCAGTGTGAATGTACTTCGTGCCGCTGAGCTGTATACTTTAAGTGGTCAAAATGATAAATTTTGTTATTTTAATTTTATTACATTAAAAAAAATACTGTTTAAGTCTTCTTACCAGTTTGTGGCTACAGTGGCTTTTGTTCCAGGTAAGTAGATCTCAGCTGTTTCTCTCTGAATTTATCTGTCTCTCCACATTTCAGGATGTGGTTTGTTCTAATCCTCAGTTTTCTGATGGGTCAAAAAAAAAAGTTGTTGATTTTCAGTTTGTCCAGCTTTAGCTTGTGTGCAGTGGAATGATGACTTCCAAGTTTTTTACATGTCAGAGCTAACATTTTATATTCTCACCAGCAGCATATGGGAGTTCTAGTTTCTTCTTTATCTTTTTAGAATCCTAAACCACATTTCCCACTAATGTCTTACTGTAATAACTAAGATCTCCATTGTCTCCATTGTAATGTAAGTATAAATGGTGCAACAACATTGACTTATAAGTGATCTAAAAAGAATGCATTCAACATTTCACTATTATGTATATTTCCTGTAGATATCTTTGGGAAAGCATCACACTTAATGAAATAGTTTTAGAAAGGTCAATTTCATGGAAAGATTTATCTGTCATGCCCAACTAACTTTTCCAACGTTAGAGTCATTCTATGGTTGACAAAAAAAGAGTAATAAAATTATATGAAATTGGGAAAGTTTAAGCAAGTATAATTGCTCCATTTTCCAAAAGAAATTATACAATAAAGATATTTAGGGTGCTTTGTGCCCTACTACTTTTTAAATAATTCTTACTAACTGTATAAAAATTTTAGGACATGAGACTCTTAATTAATTTCTTAATATCTAACAAAAAATATATTTTTTAAATGTTTTATAACTATCTTTATTTGAAAAAAACGGTAGAGGAAAAAATAGAAAAGTGCTTTTACTTATTCTCAAAACAGAAGGGCACATACAGAAAGATTAAAAATTGGCTAGGCTGTAATTGTGTCTTGATTTACTGTGGCATTTAAGTGGATGCCTTTATAACTATAGTCATCACCAAGGTAGTTTCAATAATTATTTTAGCAGCATATATTCTAATTTATAAAACTGTAGTCCTGTGACTAAAAGTTTTGTACTTAAAAAAAAATGTGAAACTACACAACTAGGTTAGAAGCAATATAAACCAAATTGTTTTGATTAAATTGCCTTTCGAGCTCATAATAATATGGTAAATTGCTAGTTTATTAGATCACTGTGTTGTATTGCCCAATTCACCACTGTAATTTCCCAGTTCTACTTCCTGTGCTCTGGAGAATTTTTATCTGTTCAGCTTAATGGGTTTAGCTTTAACATAAATTGAACTCCTAATCCAATTTCCTTCTTTTTAAAACAGTTTTCTTCTCAACTGACTTCATTTTATACCCTTTCATGCTGTTCCCTGACTGTTTGTATTTTATATTTGCAAGTAGAATATGATTACAGTAAGGTTAATAATTATATTAGCACATTATCGTTTTTCTGTGAATGGCTATATAACATGAAATCGTAACTCATACTGTGCCCATCTAATTAACACTAGCTGAGTGGAGACAAAAACTAATCCAAGTATGGAGTGACATATATCATATGGCCAATAAATATATATTGCATGCATACTATGTAATACTTTAGCTCTATGAATTCAAGAGTGGGTAAGATGCACATGGTGCAACACATTAATATTGCGATTTATACACTACATCATATGGATTTAAATTTGCTCTGTATATAATTGTGTTAGAAATTCAATTTTAATGAAACATCTCAAACTGAAAGAATACTACATAAATCTATACTTACACCAAATGCATACATATGTACATACATATATAAATGTGAATACACACATGTATATACATATACACATATATACATAACACAGGAGAAGGAAAAACCTCTTCCTTACAGAGATTTACAGAGAAATCCCTTTCTTACAGAGAAATACTAAATAATAAATATAAGTGGAATGATGCAGTTATAAAAATCATTCTTTTCCAATACCATGTTAATAAATGTTTCAGGCAAAAATCAATGGATAGTTGAACTATTGGGTGAAAATTTGATGGGAAAAGGCTACATGCACTGATTCTAAGTATTTTCCAACAGATTAGTTATTAATTGGAGAGGGAAAAGGGATAACCTGACAGGAGAGAGACAAAGAAACTTGGCAGAAGCCAGACTTAAGTGAAGCAAAGTTAGCATAAAAAATATTGGGCTAAACTGCCATCATATGCTTCCTGATGGAATACACAGGTCAATTCCACTACATGATCTGGCTTGAAAAAATGTGAAGAGCAATCAGTGAATTCCATGAGCAAGAGTCCATTGTCTTGCTTCATTAAATCATCTTTCTGTCAGAGGCAATGCTGCTGGAATGCCATGCTGGTGTGTATGATGCTCTGTGCACCCGTGGATGGAGACTTCCTAGAAGCATCTGTTGGTGTGCATTGCATCTTTTCATGGTTCTCACTTGTATACTTTGTGATTATTTCCTGTGTTCTGACTAACTTGGGACTAGAAGTAATGGCAGGTGATGGTAGCAAATCCTGCGGAGAACCAGCAGCCCCTTCAAGGCAACTGTCACAAGAGAGGCCATTAGAGTTTTCTCAGGCAAGGAGACACTAAATTCCTTCAGTGACTTCTGGCAAGCGAAGCCAGGCACAAGTTAGAAGTTTGAGAGATCTCCAGCTTTCTCAAATTCATATGTCTCCATGATTTTCAGGATGCCCCTCTATTGTAGTCAGTACCCTAGCTTTAACATATAGGATCCTATGTGATTATTAATTCAATTTATATCATGATTCAGCTACTCATAGGTTTAGATTTTGGGTTTCGTTTCAGCAACGTTGGCCCTATAGCTACAAGAGTTAAGGGTTTCTTTCACAGTAGTAATACAAACTTTCTGGCATTTTTTCTTTTTGCTTGGTCTTGAGGTGGATTTTTAAAATCCCAAACTCAACATTTTCTTTCCCAAGTTCTCCAGAACACTTAGAAGCAACCAGCCAGCTCCACCACTTTTTTAATTTTTCAATAAAAATGTTCTATGTTAGCAATTACTTGGCTATCCAAAACATTGCTACCTATAAGGCATCTGGTTATAGAAGTCTACAGGTTATTTAAGCAACACTTTTGCCAATGCGTGTCATAGGACTACCAGTGCTCACCTTTCCACTGGCGAAGGAGTCATTAACAGCTTTAAAGCAAATTGAAACAGAGAACCAATTCCAGATAGCCCAGATCTCAATCAAAGAACATGTCTTAAGGTTCTATTCTCCTGGAACAACTTCAGGATTAATTTCAGTATTAAAGTTTGATCCAGGAAGTAGCACCACTGTGAGTACTATGGACTAATGGATTTATTGTAGGGATTAGACCTCCCATAGTTGTGAGAGCTGGTGGAAAAGCCTATGGAAAGGTCTCGCTTCCATGTCAGGAGAAGGCCCTGGAGTCTTGAAGGCTGCTGAGCTGGCAGTGGGGAAGAAGTGCTGTGTGTAAAGCAAGGGGACATGAGGACATACTGGAATCAACCAGGCAAAAACATATCAGCCTCACGTGGCCACCAACCCTAACATTGCATATGACTGGCAGAAAGGCCCAAGCCCTTTGCCATCACCTGCAGGATTGATAACCCTGAAGGAGGAGCTCCATGGGAGCTGGAGGAGCTGGGGACCTGGCTGCAGCTCTCATCAAAAGATGTATGGATGAATTATGGCAATATGCATGAGCCCCACCAGGGCCTGGCAACCCACACCAATTTTCCCCGTGTAAAGCCACTGCTGCTTTACCTTTACCCTCCAAATCTCATGCAGAATTTCTCTTGTGGCCAGCTTAACTCAGAGCTAAACAGGGAATAGAAATCCAGGCAACACGGTTCCAGTATAAAAATAAATAAATATTGATTCAATACAATAGCATCACAGAATTTTCCTCAGAGAAATCAATGGGTTAAAGGTAGAGGAACAGTGAAGTGTTTTGATCATTTGACCTCAAAGGCATTACTTGATTAAATTTAGTTGCCAGTCAGTAAGTAAGATCATATAGTGTGCACCAATAAATAATGGCTGAATCTATTTCATTTTATTTGCTTTCTCTAGAGTATTGGTCAGTTTGTCAATTCTTTTGAAGCACACACAGACAAGGAGAGTTTTTCCAGAATCTTTTTTTGATGCCTGAGGTTAAATTAAGATGCAGTTCTTTAAGAAATTAAGTAATATATAGTGTTTAAGAGCAAGTTCTCTGGAGCAGCTTTTTGAAGGATTAAACCTGGTCGCCCTATTTACTAGCTATATGATCCTAGACAAATCTTTTAACCTGTCTATGCCCCAGCTTTCTCTTTTATAAAATAGAGATAATATACACACCTATCTCAGAGATGTTGTGAGGATTAAATGTGTGGGTACATACATGAATAATTGTATACACTTAAGTATTCATACATATGGACATAGTACATATATGGACATATATATATTAAGTGCTACATAAATATAATAATTACAAATGAAAGTATTATCCTTTTCAAGCATCTTTATATTTTTTAAAATAGGGAGAATAATAGTCAGTTTTTCTTATAGCCTTATTTCATAATAAAGTGAAACCTGTCTGTGTGAGTCATGTGGAATGGCTTTTACTTGATACACATCCACTAAATAATCATTGTCTTCAGTGTCTTTGCACTTTTTGACAAAACACGTAAGTCATACTGCATGGTGTCAAGACTGCCATCTTGGTATAATGCTAAACAATGTAAATACATTCCTTGTAAACCCATAGGTCAAGTTATTTAAGTTCTATTTCACATTGGGAAATAAAGTAGCTAGTATTTTATTTACATTTTCTATTTTACATGAAGTTTATCTACATTTGAATACTTCCATTTCACATCAATCAGTTTTTTTGTTCGTTTGTTTTTTTGAGACAGAGTCTCTCTCTGTCGCCCAGGCTGGAGTGCAGTGGCACGATCTCAGCTCACTGCAAGCTCTGCCTCCCGGATTCACGCCATTCTCCTACCTCAGCCTTCTGAGTAGCTGGGACTATAGGCACCCGCCACCATGCCTGGCTAATTTTTTGTATTTTTAGTAGAGACAGGGTTTCACTGTGTTATCCAGGATGGTCTCGATCTCCTGACCTCGTGATCAGCCTGTCTCAGCCTCCCAAAGTGCTGGGATTACAGGCGTGAGCCACTGCGCTCGGCCCAATCAGTTATTTTTAAATTTATATTTCTAATATTATGATATAATAAAAAACATAGATTTGGTCTTTGCTTCTGGGTTCCTCAGACAGGGCTCTTAAAACCCTTGAGATAAAGGTGCTAGAGAACCTTTCATTCTAGTAGTCGGTCTCTGACCCTGGTTCCTGACCCACAGCTCCTAAGATCTTTGTGATTTCCTGAGTGTTAGCAGCATCTAACACAGAGCTCCGAAATACTTCAAAATTTGCTGGGTGAAGGGGGCATCTTTTGTTCTAATGAGGGGACTCTTGGTGGGCTCCTGGATAGCCTTAGGATGGGGGCTGGTGATAAGAGGAAACAATCATGTGATTAGAGGGTTGGAACTTTCAGTTTTACCCACTGACCTCCAGGGAGTGGGGAGGGGCTAAAGCTTGACTTGATCATCAATGGCTAATGAAGTAATCAATCATGTCTATGTAAGGAAACCTCTGTTATATACCCAAAAACAGAGATCTGAGAACTTCTGGATTACTGAACACTCTGGAGGTCCCTGGAGGGTGGTGCACCAAGAGAGGGTGTGGAAGCTCCACACACCTTCCCATATACCCTGTGCTATGCATCTCTTGCATTTTGGATTGTTCATCTGTATCCTCTCTCATATTCTTTATTAATATGCTAAACTGGTAAACATCAGTAAGTGTTTCTCTAAGTTTTGTGGCCCATCGAGCAGATTAATCACCCTGAGGAGGGGCTAGTGGGAAACCTGATTTATAACCAGTCAGCTGGAAATGTAGGTGACGACCTCCTACTTACAACTGGCATCTGAAGTGGGAGGATCTTGTGGAACTGAGCCCTTAACCTGTGGGATCTGACTATAACTCCAGGTAGAGAATACTACAATTAAGTTAAATTGTAGAACAGCCAGTGGGTTTCCACCAGATAATTATTGTTCATAAAGAGAAATCCACATACATTTTGTGGACTGGAGGTGAAGCATTTTGTGTTGAGTGTGGTATTGAGTGTGAGGCTAGAAAAAACACTTTAGTTTTTCCTAGTTCTGAATACATTCAAATAAAAATTATGAGATGAAAATAAATTTAAAAAAATGAAAATCATACCAAGCATACTCTGAGACCCCAGTGCAATAATAATGGAAATCAATATCAAGAAGATCTCTGAAAACTACACGAATGCATGGAAATTGAACAACTTGCTCCTGAATAATTCCTGAGTGAACACTGAAATGAAATAAAAACAATTTTTTAATTAATGAAAATTGAGACACAATTTACCAAAATCTCTGGAATATAGATAAAGCGGTGTTAAGAAGCAAGTGTATTCTCCTAAATGCCTTCATCAAGAAGTTATAAATAACTCAAAATAGCAATCTAATATTATACCTAGAGAAACTAAAAAAAAAAAAAAACAAAGCTAGCAGAAGGAAATTAATAACTGAAATTAGAGAACTGAAAGAAATTGAGATGCAAAAATCTATACAAAGGATCAATGAACCAAGAGCTGGTTCTTCAAAGAATAAAGAAGAGTAATAGACTGCTAGCTAGACTTAAAAAGAAAGAAAAAGATGCATTTAAGCACAACCAGAAATGACAAATAGGACTTTACAGCCAATCCCAGAGAAATACAAAAGATCCTCAGAAACTATTAAGAATTTTCTATTATTAGAAAATCCATAGGAAATTGGTAAATTTCTGGAAACACAGACTTTCCCCAGATTGAATCAGGAAGAAAGTGAACACCTGAATAGACTAATAAAAAGTTCCAACATTGAATCCATAATAAAAAATAGACCAACCAAAAAAAGCCCTGGACCAGATGGATTCATGGCCAAATTCTGCCTGAAGTTCAAAGAAGAGATAGTACCAATTCTATTGAAACTCTTTCAAGAAATCAAGAAGAGACTCCTCCCTAACTCATTCTGGGAAGCCAGCATCAATCTGATATCAAAACCTGGCAAAAACACAACAAAAAAAGAAAACTTCAGGCCAATATTCCTGATGAATATAGACGAAAAAAATCCTTAACAATAACTAGCAAGCCAAATTCAGCAGCATATCCAAAAGTTAACTCACCACTATAAAGGAGGCTTCATTCCTGGGCTGCAAGGTTGTTTCAACATACGCAAATCAGTAAGTGCCATTCACCACATAAACAGAGTTAAAAGCAAAAACCATGTGATCATTGCAATAGATATAGGAAAAACTTTCCATAAAATCCAGCATCCCTTCATGATAAAAACCCTCAATTGACTAGGCACTGAAGGAAACTCAAAATAATAAGAGCCATCTATGACAAACTCACAGCCAATATCATAGAAAACAGGCAAAAACTGAAAGCATTCCCCCTAGAGGACTGGAAAAAGACAAGGATGTCCACTCGAACAACTCCTATTTAACATAGTACTGGAAGTCCTAACCAGAGCAGTCATGCAAGAGAAGGAAATAAAGGCATCTGCATAGGAAAAGGAGAAGTCAAGCCATCTCTCTTCACTGACCATATGATTCTATGCCTAGAAAATCCTAAAGGTTCTGCCAAATGGCTCATGGAACTGATAAACGACTTTAGTAAAGTTTTAGAATACAAAATCAATGTACAAAAATCAGCAGCATTTCTATACACCAATAACATTCAAGCTGAGAGTCAAATCAAGTTTGCAACCCCATTCACAGCAGACACATACAAACGTGAAATCCTAGGAATACCCCTAACCAAGGAGGTGAAAGATTCCTATGAGGAGAACTACAAAACACTGCTGAAAAAAATCAGAGATAAAAAAACCAAATAAATGGTAAAACATCCCATGATCATGAATTGGAAAAATCAGTATCTTAAAGATGGCCATACTACCCAAAGTATTTACAGATTCAAGGCTATTCCTCTCAAACTACCAATGTCATTTTTCACATAATTAGAAAAAAAACTATTCTAAAATTCATATAGAACCAAAAAAGAGCCTGAATAGCCAAAGCAATCATAAGCAAAAAGAACAAAGCTGGAGGCATCACACTACCTGACTTCAAACTATACTACAGGGCTACAATAACCAAAACAGCATGGTGCTGATTCAGAAACAGACACATAGGCCAAAGGAACAGAATAGAGAACCTAGAAATAAAGCCACACACCTACAATAATCTGATCTTTGAGAAGACTGACTAAAACAAGCAATGGGGAAAGTACTCCCTACTTGATAAATGGTGCCAGGATAACTGGCTAGCCATATGTAGAAGAATAAAACTGGACACCTACCTTTCACCATACCCAAAAAGTTACTCAAAATTGATTAAAGATTTAGATGTAAGACTCAAACTATAAAAATCCTAGGAAAAAGCCTAAGAAATACCCTTCTTGACATTGGTCTTGGAAAAGAATTTATGGCTAACTCCCAAAAAGCAATTGCAACAAAAACAAAAATAGGCAAGTGGAACTTAATTAAACTGAAGAGCTTCTACACAGCAAAAGAAACTATCAACAGAGTAAAAAAACAACCCACAGAATGTGAGAAAATATTCGCAAACTATGCCATCTGACAAAGGTCTAATATGCAGAACCTATAAGGAACTTAAACAAATCAACAGGAAAAAACAAATAGCCCCATTAATAAATGGGCAAAAGACATGAACAGAAACTTCTCAAAAGATATACACAGGGCCAACAAATACATGAAAAAATGCTCAGCATCACTAATCATCAGAGAAATGCAAATTAAAACTACAATGAGATAACATCTCACACCAGTCCGAATGGCTATTATAATAAAGTCAAGAAACGACAGATGCTGGTGAGGCTACAGAGAAAAGGAAACACTTATACACTGTTGGTGGGAATGTAAATTAGTTCAGCCACTGTAAAAAGCAGTTTGTAAATTTCTCAAAAAACTGAAAACTGAATTACCATTCAACTCAGCAATTCCATTACTGGGTATATATCCAAAGGAAAATAAATTGTTCTACCAAAAGGACACATGCATCTGTATGTTCATTGAAATGCTATTCACAATAGCAAAGACATGGAATTGACCTAGGTGCTCATCAATGGTAGATTGGATAAAGAAAATGTGATACATATACACCATGGAATACTACACAGCCATAAAAAGTACAAAATAATATTCTCTGCAGCAACATGGATGTGGTTGGAGGCCATAATAAGCAAATTAATGTGGGAATAGAAAACCAAATATTGAATGTTCCCACTTACAAGTGGGAGCTAAACATAGAGCACACATGAACATTAATATGGGAACAATAGGCACTGCAGAATACTAGAGAGGTGGCAATGAAGGAGGTCATTTGTTGAAAAACTACCTATAAGGTACTACACTCGCCACTTGGGTGACAAAATCCATACCCCAAGCCTCAGCATCATATAATATTCCCAGGTAACAAATCTGCACAGATACCACCTGTATCAAAAAAAAAAAAGTTGAAACTAAAAAAAAAATTAGGAAGTGAAGTTTTGTCATTTAATATTGTAATTTTCTCATACTAACTATTTTACTAATTTTGGAATTTAGTTGTATTCGTCTTTTTTCACACTGCTGGTAAAGACATAACAGAGACTGGGCAATTTACAAAAGAAAGAGGTTTAATTGGACTTACAGTTCCACTTGGCTGGGGGAAGCCTCATAATCATGGCAGAAGGCAAGGAGGAGCAAGTCACATCTTACTTGGATGGTGGCAGGCAAAGAGAGGAGTGCTTGTGCAGGGAAACTCCCCTTTTTATAATCATCGGATCTCGTGAGACTTCTTCACTATCATGAGAACAGCACAGGAAAGACCTGCCCCCGTGATTCAATTACCTCCCACCGGGTCCCTCCCACAACACATGGGAATTCAAGATGATATTTTGGTATAGACACAGCCAAACCATATCAATGGTCTTCTCTAGACAGCAAGTATATATGATTTTAAGTTACATGTTTATTCACAATTTTGTTTGCTAAATCGATCTCATATATTACACATTACATTCATATTATATTATATGTTTATGTTTAGGGTTTAGCGGGTTTTTTTTTTTTTTTTGCTTTTTTATGCCAAGAATATTTTGAAACAGTAAGTACATGAGGATGTATTTTTGGCTTATCAGGATGATATAATAATTATGCCTTTGAATACCTTTTTCTTAAGAAGGATCTAAAACCTCTTATTTTAAAATGATGGCAAATTGTAATGCACAATACATTAATAATAGCATTTGCTTAGGAGAGTAATGCAGAAAATGGGATCTGGGACTTCTAATTTTACATAAAAATATATTTGTATATTATAAATATAATTCAAATATATAATAATATTAACTATGAAATTGAAATGTGTGATGGAGAAGTGCAGCTGTAAGAAAAGCAGAAATCCTCCTTGATGTTTTTTAAAAACCTGTAACAAGCTGGGTGCAGTGGATCATGCCTGTAATCCCAGCACTTTGGGAGGCTGAGGCAAGCAGATCACTTGAGGTCAGGAATTTGAGACCAGTCTAGCCAACATGGTGAAACCCCATTTCTACCAAAAATACAAAAAATGAGCTGGGCATGGTGATGGGTGCCTGTAATCCCAGTTACTCAGGAGGCCGAGGCAGAAGAATTGCTTGAACCCAGGAAGCGAAGGTTGCAGTGAACAAAGATCACACCACTGCATTCCAGCCTAGGCAACAGAGTGAGACTCCATCTCAGAAAGAAAGAAAGAAAGAAAACGAAACAAAAAAACCTGTGGCCAGTATTTTGATATCAAATTTCTTTTGTTTTCACTTGATTTCCTAATTGTGACAATAGTTTTCAATGAAAAATCTGTAGATTCCTTTATAGTTCTCCTTCAGCCTTATGACACAATTTTTAAGGATCAGTTAAGAACAAAAGTGACTCTGAGTTAATCTTATCTGTGCTGGACAAATTAGAATTAAACTTCTACGGCTCCCTCATCAGTGTCATAATCTAACCAAGGTCATCTCTTGGCACCTTGTGTGCTCTGATGTTTTGTCCCCTCCCTGCTCCTTCCTTTGTCTCCTCAATTAATTATTAAAAACATGTTGCATCCATGGTCATTCCTACCTTTATTTTCTTTCTGTTTTGAGACCTCTAAGAATCATAGTATTCTTCTCAAACTGGCCGGCAATACTGGCATCAATGTACTGTTCATTTCCTTGATGCCTTATGTGATGGTTAATATTGAGTGTCAACATGATTGGATTGAATTATTGTTCCGGGGTGTGTCTGTGAAGGTGTTGCCAAAGGAGATTAACATTTGAGTCAGTGGACTAGGAGAAGCAGACCCACCCTCAATCTGGGAAAGAACCATCTAATCAGCTGCCAGTGTGGCTAGGATAAAAGCTGGCAGAAGAAGGTGGAAGGACTAGACTGGCTAAGTCTTCTGGCCTCCATCTTTCTCCTGTGCTGGATGTTTCTGCCCTTGAATATTAGACTCCAAGTTCTTCAGCTTTTGGAGTCTTTGACCTACACACCAGTGGTTCACGAGGGGCTCTTGGGCCTTTGGCCACAGACTGAATGCACTGTCAACTTCCCTACTTTTGAGGTTTTGGGACTCAGACTGGCATCCTTGCTCCTCAGCTTGTAGACGGCCTATTGTGGGACTTAACCTTGTGATCATGTGAGTCAATACTCCTTAATAAACTCCTTTTCATATATACGTATGTCTTAATAGTCCTCTCCCTCTAGGGAACCCTGACTAATACACCTTATCAATTTCCCTTATTATTTATTTACTAATCTTTTCTCCGTTTCTATCCTCAACAGCTTCTTTCACTATTCTTTACTTTTAAACCCTTTAAAAACATAAAGCCATTTTTCAGAGCTTGCTCATATATGCTTTTCTTACCTCAAAATATAATATACACCTGTTTCTTCTTTCACAGGAATGTGTCCTTCTTTCTCTCTGCTTAAGCAGTTTACAGTCCTCTCTTGTCTGGGCATTCACACCCTGAATGTGATCTTCCCTGGTGATTCCCAGTGTCTATTTCTCAATTTCCTCTTAAACCTGTCTTCAGTCAGACTCTCCAGGCCAATCACTGCCTTGAAATCTGCATAATCTTTCTCCCCCAATTTTTCTAACAAGTTCTTTGTAATTGAATTACATACTTGCCATTCTTCTTCTTACAATAAGGTTTTTATTCTTTATTGCAGGAGTTCAGAAAATAATAATGAACGAATAATAAGATACATCTGCAGCTTCAACTTCTTATTTACCAACTCACATATCTTGTTGCCAGTTTAGCGTTTCAAGTTGATTGTCTCATGTCTCAAACTTCAGAAATAGAAACAGAACTATTGATTTATGTTCTCAAATCTGCTCAGATTGTAAATCTGTAAATGTCAGTAAATGACACTATCATGCCTTGAATTACTCAAACCAAAACAAGTAGTTTACTACTCCTATCCTCTATGCCTTGCTGTCATCTAATTCAATCCCATTGTTGTCATCTTTACATATATATTACCATTTTGCTCTCTAGCCGTCATCTCAACTACCATCTATTGGGGTAGGTGATTCAGACATAAGCTTGAACTTACAAGCTTGTATATTTTCCATTCCTGCAGTCTTGAAATTTGCCAGGCTCTTGTAACTCATGGTGATTCCTAGGTGGGGAAACTTCCTTGCAGGGACAAAGTAAGAGTGCTGCTAAACTAGAAGTTGGGACTAGCAGTTGACTTTGGGCCCTTCTCCAGTGTTCTCAGTGGTAGGTTTAGTACAGCTAAGCATGGTCTGGTATCACAGAAAGTGGTGTCTGTTGGGATACTTTTGAATAAAGTCTACAAGCGGACAGTGCAGGTATTTCTTTGGTGGTTTCTCATCCTAATTGCTTCTACCACGTTTAGGCAAGATGAGTATGAGTTTGCCTAAGGTTAACAAGATTAGTGATGCATTATTTTGACACTAACCTTCTGTGGCTTCCAGCCTCTCTTTTGGGCTATTCCTGAGTCAGGGCAAATAGTCATGAACTGTGAAGGTACAGATAGGAGCAGTGCCTCGTATGGCAAAAAGCAATTGAGATTACATGAGGCACAGCTACGGGAAATCTTCCCAACGCTTTGATGTTATGTGTATAGGGCTTTGTGGAACTCTGCAGATGCCTCAAAATTGTCTACTATGCAAAAAGCCACAAGTAGGAGAAATATCCTATTCTAGAATGTCTTCAGAGAGTACTACCTCACTAATTAATTTATGTATAGCCATGGAGGTTCTTAAAGATAATGTGGACCCACACAATTGAATACATGCTCAGGTCCAGAATATCATAACCTGAAATTCAATCTTCTGCTGGTTTGTAAAAGAAGAGAGAATAAACATCTGCCTGCCCAGGGATGAAGAAATCCTTCTGTAAGTTGTGCCATAATTACCGCTGGATAGAAGAAATGTTTTGTATCAAGAAATAGAGAAAGAGAATGGAGAAAAAAGAGAAAATTAAGAAAGAGAGGAAGAGCTCAGGAAAGATGGGGAAGTTGCCAAGAATTGCAAATGATTACTCAAAATGATGAGTTTACTTTTTGTGCAAATATACCACTCAGTTTCTCATGGACTGAAATATTTGCTGGCAAACAGGAAGGAACTTGTCAGATTCCCAATTTTAACAAGAAGAGAATGATGAGGAAATGCTCTGATGACAACTGTCTATTTGAGGAGTTTCACAGTAAGAAGTTGACTCTGACTACACAGTGCACCAGCCTCCATTTGGCTGCCATCATGGGAGCCAGCTGCACAAGGGCTA
This sequence comes from Homo sapiens, assembly GCF_000001405.40. NCBI lineage: Eukaryota > Metazoa > Chordata > Mammalia > Primates > Hominidae > Homo > Homo sapiens. Next base: position 153,526,055 of record NC_000006.12, on the reverse strand, counting down.
CCCCAGAAATTGGAGGAGAAAAATATTTGCCAGATGAATAGTAAGCCAGACGTAGTGAAGAGGACTGCTTGGGTCAGATAGAAAACTTACACAAGAGTTACCTAAACTTGAGCAGAAACTTTAAAAAAAAAAAACCAAAAAAAAAAAAAAAAACCCAGCAAACAAACGAAATATTCAGTGAGCATGAGACAGCTTGCTAGATGTTCTCTGTATCAACAGGATTGTTCTTTTCATCACAGTGCCTCTGTACAGGCTTGGCCACAAGTCTCAGGGCATCAAATTGAGGATGCCCTAAGAGGTTAGGACAGGATAATGTATTAGTTTGCAGTTCTATTAGCATCTCCAAATCAATAGCCTCACCTCAAGGGTTCATCGCCGGCAGCACTTAATCCAAAGATTAAAAAGAAGGAAGAAAAGAGAAAGATCAAAACAGCAGCAGTTCCACCGATATCTGAAAGAGCAATGTAAAAGGGAACTACATGTGACAAAGAACGTTATTAATAAAAGGGCCAGTTAAAGTTACTGTTTCTAATAACACTATGAAAATCTTTTTTAACTCTTTCTCTGTAGAAAAAATAATCAAACTGTTTCCAATGAGCACTGTGAATTCAGAATTTTGTGGTGTGCTATATAAGGTTTGTGGTGTAAAAGGGGATAAAATCAGAATATAGAGCTTTCATAATTTCACAAAATAATACATTACTTATTTTACAATTGCATGTCCCTATCAATTAAATGTAAGCTTCAGAAGAAGACAAATATCTTAGTCCATTTGAACTTCTATAACAGAACACCAAAGACTGGATGACTTTAAACAACATACATTTATTTCTCACAGTTCTGCAGGCCAAGAAGTCTAAGACCAAAGCCAGATTTGACGTTTGGTGAGGGCCCACTTTCTGGGTTATAGATGACACCTTCTAGTTGTGTCCTCACATGGTGGAAGGGTGATGTGTCTCTTTTGGATGTTTGTGTTTTTGAGAACACAAACTTATATGGTTTGGCTGTGTCCCCACCCAAATCTCATCTTGAATTATAGTTCCCATAATTCCTACATGTTATGGGAGGGACCCAGTGGGAGGTAATCGAATCATGAGGGTGGTTACCCCCATGTTGTTCTCATGATATTGAGTGATTTCTCACGAGATCTGATGGTTTTACAAGGGGCTCTTTCCCCGTTGTTCATCACTTCTCCTTGTAGCTGCCATGTGAAGAAGGACGTGTTAGCTTACCCTTCCACCATGATTGTAAGTTTCTTGAGACCTCCCCAGTCATGCTGAACTGTGAGTCAATTAAGCCTCTTTCCTTTATAAATGTCCCAGTCTCAGGTATTGCTTCCTAGCAGCATGAGAACAGACTAATACACAAACATTCAGACCATGGCAACAAAGGACTATATCTGGCTTCTTCAGAGCCATGCAGCAGAAAATTATGAAGCCAGTATGAGACGTGAGGGTCAAAAGAATCATTGAAAGCCTCAAGTGGCTCTGGGAAGACAAGCACAGGAGGCCTATGCAGGGCAGATGGGAGGATTGGCTGGAAGTGCTTGTGCCACTCCAGCCGTGACTCAGAGGCCATATTCTGGGGCAGGAAACACACAGTACAGGCTGCCCAAGTAGCCTTTCAGGGTTCACATGACAATCCAAACATTTTGCTTTTTTCTAATTATCCCTGTTTGACTTTTTTAGATAGTACCCCCTTTGTCTTTTTTCTCTTTATCTTCCAAAACTACATTTCATGTTCTTTTAATTATATACTCTTTTCTTCAGAGACCCCAACTTCATCCTGTGTCAGTTATTTCCTCAGTGCCCATGACCTTCCCAATTCTGCACCTTCACCCTGCCATCTTGACCCTTATCTTCAGTGACTTGCTACATAAATGTCTGTCTGTCGCTTCAGCATTTCAGATTTCACCATTCATTTCTTATCATTTGATATAGTTTGGATATGTGTCTCCACCCGAATCTCATGTTGAATTGTAATCCCCAGTATTAGAGGTGAGCCCTAGTGAGAGGTGATTGGATCATGGGCATGGATTTTCATGAATGGTTTAGTGCCATCCCCTTGGTGCTGTCTTTGTGATAGTGAGTGACTTCTTGCAAGATCTGGCTGTTTGAAAGTGTGTGACAACTTGCTTCCCCTCTCTGGCTTTTGCCATGTGATGTGTCTGCTCTCCCTTCACCTTCCACCATGATTGTAACTTTCCTGAGGCCTCCCCAGAAGCTGAGCAGATGCCAGCATCATGCTTCCTGTACAGCCTGCATAACCATGAGCAAATTTCCTTTATAAATTGCCCAGTCTCAGGTATTTTTAATAGCAATTCAAGAATAGACTAATACATCATTCAAGCTTTTTCTTTTTTCAATGTCTCCATCTCTCTCAGAGGATATAATTTTAGGCATAATAGCTTAGTCCTTTATATGTTTCATACTCTTTGTCATCATTTGCTTATTTTCTTTTTTTTTACCTTCTCAGCAGTTTCTCAGATTTTCTTAATTTTTTTTCCAGCACCTCAACTCAAGAGCCTTTGCTTTAAAGTTATCTGTCTATTCATCCTTGAGGACAGCCTGTTTTCACAACAGTCAATCAATAGGCAACAAGATGTACTAGGAATAAAAATAAAAGCATGGATCTGGAACCTGAATACCTGGATTTCAAACCCAATCTCACAAGCAACCAATTGTGGGATTGTGGGCAACTTAATTGAAATCTTGATGTCTGTGTTAGTCATGCTGTGTTACTTCATGCTGCTGATTAAGACATACCCAAGACTGGGTAATTTATAAAAGAAAGAGGTTTAATTGACTCATAGTTCCACATGGCCGGGAAGGCCTCACAATCATGGTGGAAAGCAAGGAGGAGCAAAGTCATGTTGTTTTACATGGATGGTGGCAGTTAAGAGAGCTTGTGTACGGGGAATTCTCCGTTATAAAACCCCATGATTCAATTACCTCCCAACAGGTCCCTCCCATAATGGGTGGGAATTATGGGAACTACAATTTGAGATTTGGGTGGGGACACAGCCAAACCATATCAATGTCCAACTTTATATGTAAAGTCTAATAGTTGCTTCTAGGATCTCTGTAAGGATTAGGAGATGGGTCTGGGCAAACTGTAATATTCCATAGCTATTATTGTTTTATTATTGATGACAAATATTTTAAAGACACAACTTACATTTGACCTTTTTGCCTTTATTGAAATTTTCACTGACTATAAACATCAATTTTGGATTCTTCTTCTTACATTTTATTACATAGAACCTGTTTCAACTTGGCGGTTATGATAAAAACTGTATCTCTTTCTATAATTCAACCTTGATTTCCAGAGACATTTAGTACAGAAGCCAAATCATTCAATATGCCTCATGTCTCCTGAATGTACACTTGAACCAACCATTATACAAAATACATCAAGAAAAACTAAACACTAGCTCTAGGCAATGAATAAGAGAAATTACACATTGTCATGTATGTGAACAGCCTCTGAATATTTCACAGAATAAATGATGCTTAAAGCAATCTTTATAGTTATCTATGTTCTTTACTAAATTAGAGAAATATACAATAGATTTTTTTGAATATTCTTTTAAAATGCTTAAATATTTAGAAAGCATTTGAGGGGAAATGGTAACCTCATTTATCTCAAATACATTATGTTCATAAACAAATAAATGAAAATCTTATTTACACTTTTTTATTATAAGTGTATAATTTTATCTTTAATAATTCAAAAAAGAATTATATTTTATAAAACAATGTGGATTCATTCCAAAATGTTCAATACTCACGCTTCTTACCAAGTACTACTTTTCTGTTTTACATTTTAAATAATTTAAGTGCAATGATTTAATTAATAGAGTTTGTGGTCATGCAATTTTATTTTATCAAAGAAGTGTTTCAAAATACAAATAATGCATAAAAATAATTATGCCTTCAGTGAAGGCAATATTGATTTTACTGCTGTCTTAAGAAACAATGCATAGTTCTATATGCCACTTTGAAAACTCCCAGAAAGAAAGAAAGATAATCTGTTCCTCAAAGTTGTTCGTAATTAGACAGCACATTCTACCTTTATTCTTGAGAGAAAAAAGTGACAGTGACTTTTTCGGTAAGTCAAACACTATATGTGACTTAAAACCCCCTTAAGGTTAAGGTAACCTTTGAAAACTTTCTTGACACACCCCACACAATTCCTGTAAGCATCTTGCTTTGTGACCCTTGTGTGAAGCAAAGTACTTGCTTCTTTGTTTGTTTTGTTGCTTCATTTCATAGAAGAGTCATTTTTTCCTTGAAGTCAAGACCTGTATGTCCCCCATGTATTCTGCCTTTTATGATACCTATTAAGGTTTATATATTTGATGTCTTCTGAGGCAAAGTGAAATGAACAACAAATAGGTAAACATATGAGAAAAAGTTGTTTGGTTCTGTTCCAAGATGGCCGAATAGGGACAGCTCCAGTCTGTAGCTCCCAGTGTGATTGATGCAGAAGCTGGGTGATTTCTGCATTTCCAACTGAGGTACCTGATTCATCTCACTGTGACTCGTTGGATAGTGGGTGCAGCCCATGGAGGGTGAGCTGAAGCAGGAGGGGGACGTCACCTGACCCAGGAAGTGCGAGGAGTCGGGGGATCTCCCTTTCCTAGCTAAGGGAAGCCATGACAGACTGTACCTGGAAAAACAGAACACTCTCGCCCAAATACTGCGCTTTTCCCATGGTCTTAGCAACTGGCAGACCAGGAGATTCTCTCCTGTGCCTGGCTCGATGTGTCCCATGCCCACAGAGCCTTGCTCACTGCTAGCACAGCAGTCTGAGATGGACCTGTGAGACTGCATCCAGGCAGGGGGAGGGGCGTCCACCATTGCTGAGTCTTGAGTAGGTAAACAAAGTGTCTGGGAAGCTCAAACTGGGTGGAGCCCACCGCAGCTCAGCAAGGCCTACTGCCTCTATAGAGTCCACCTCTGGGCAGGGCATAGCTGAACAAAAAGCAGCAAAAACTTCTGCAGACTTAAACATCCCTGTCTGACAGCTCTGAAGAGAGCAGTGGTTCTCCCAGCATGGCATTTGAGCTCTGAGAATGGACAGACTACCTCCTCAAGTGGGTCCCTGACCACTGTGTAGCCTAACTGGGAGACACCTCCCAGTAGGGGCCAACAGACACCTCATACAGGCAGGTGCCCCTCTGGGACAAAGCTAACGGAGGAAGGATCAGGCAGCAATATTTGCTGTTCTGCCATATTTGCTGTTCTGCAGCCTCCGCTGGTGATACCCAGGAAAACAGGGTCTGGGATGGACCTCCAGCAAATTCCAACAGACCTGCAGCTGAGGGACCTGACTGTTAGAAGGAAAACTAACAAACAGAAAGGAATAATATCAACATCAACAAAAAGGAAATCGACACCAAAACCCTATCTGTAGGTCACCAACATCAAAGACCAAAGGTAGATAAAACCACAAAGATGGGGAGAAACCAGAGCAGAAAAGCTGAAAATTCTAAAAACCAAAGCACCTCTTCTCCAAAGGATCACAGCTCCTCACCAGCAATGGAACAAAGCTGGACGGAGATTGACTTTGACGAGTTGACGGAAGTAGGCTTCAGAAGGTCGGTAATAACAAAATTCTCTGAGCTAAAGGAGCATTTTCTAACCCATCACAAGGAAGCTAAAAACTTTGAAAAAAGGTTAGACAAATGGCTAACTAGAATAAACAGTGTAGAGAAGACCTTAAATGACCTCATGGAGCTGAAAACCATGGCACGAGAATTTTGTGATGCACGCACAAGCTTCAATAGCTGATTCGATCAACTGGAAGAAAGGATATCAGTGATTGAAGATCAAATTAATGAAATAAAGCAAGAAGACAAGTTTAGATAAAAAAGAGTTCAAAAAAAAAAAACGAACAAAGCCTCCAAGAAATATGGGACTATGTGAAAAGACCAAATCTACGTCTGATTGGTGTACCTGAAAGTGACATGGAGAATGTTACTAAGGTGGAAAACACACTTCAGGATACTATCCAGGAGAACTTCCCCAACCTAGCAAGGCAGGCCAGCATTCAAATTCAGGAAATACAGAGAACACCACAAAGATACTCCTTGAGAAGAGCAACACCAAGACACATAATTGTCAGATTCACCAAGGTTGAAATGAAGGAAAACATGTTAAGTGCAGCCAGAGAGAAAGGTCGGGTTACCCACAAAGGGAAGCCCGTCAAACAAACAGAAGATCTCTCAGCAGAAACCCTACAAGCCAGAAGAGAGTGGGGGCCAATATTCAACACTCTTAAACAAAAGAATTTTCAACCCAGAATTTCATATCCAGCCAAACTAAGCTTCATAAATGAAGGAGAAATAAAGTCCTTTATAGACAAGCAAATGCTGAGAGATTTTGTCACCACCAGGCCTGCCTTACAAGAGCTCCTGAAGGAAGCACTAAGCATGGAAAGGAACAACCAGTACCAGCCATTGCAAAAACATGCCAAATTGTAAGACCATCGATGCTATGAAGAAACTGCATCAATTAACAGGCAAAATAACCAGCTACATCATAATGACAGGATCAAATTCACAAATAATAATATTAACCATAAATGTAAATGGGCTAAATGCTCCAATTAAAAGACACAGACTGGCAAATTGGATGAAGAGTCAAGATCCTTCAGTGTGCTGTATTCAGGAGACCCATCTCACATGCAGAGACACACATACGCTCAAAATAAAGGGATGGAGGCAGATCTACCAAGCAATTGGAAAGCAAAAAAAAGCAGGGGTTGCAATCCTAGTCTCTGATAAAGTAGACTTTAAACCAACAAAGATGAAAAGTGACAAAGAAGGCCATTACATAATGATAAAGGGATCAATTCAACAAGAAGAGCTAACTATCTTAAATATATATGCACCCAATACAAGAGCACCCAGATTCATAAAGCAAGTCCTTAGAGACCTACAAAGAGACTTAGACTACCACACAATAATAATGGGAGTCTTTAACACCCCACTGTTAGTTTTAGACAGATCAACAAGACAGAATTTTAACAAGGATATCCAGGACTTGAACTGAGCTCTGCACCAAGCAGACCTAATAGACATCTGCCGAACTCTTCACCCCAAATCAAAAGAATGTACAACTGGCAGCATTCCCTTTGAAAACCGGCACAAGACAAGGATGCCCTCTCTCACCACTCCTATTCAACATAGTGTTGGAAGTTCTGGCCAGGGCAATCAGGCAAGAGAAAGAAATAAAGTGCATTCAATTAGGAAAAGAGGAAGTCAAATTGTCCCTGTTTGCGGATGACATGATTGTATATTTAGAAAACCCCATCATCTCAGCCCAAAATCTCCTTGAGCTGATAAGCAACTTCAGCAAAGTCTCAGGATATAAAAATCAATGTGCAAAAATCAAAAGCATTCCTATACACCAATAACAGATGAACAGAGAGGCAAATCATGAGTAAACTCCCATTCACAATTGCTACAAAGAGAACAAAATATCTAGGAATCCAACTTACAAGGGATGTGAAGGACCTCTTCAAGGAGAACTACAAACCACTGCTCAACAAAATAAAAGAGGATACAAACAAATGTAAGAACATTCCATGCTTATGGATAGGAAGAATCAATATTGTGAAAATAGCCATACTGCCCAAGGTAATTGATAGATTCAATGCCATCCCCAACAAGCTACCAATGACTTTCTTCACAGAATTGGAAAAAACTACTTTAAAGTTCATATGGAACCAAAAAGAGCCCACATTGCCAAGACAAACCTAAGCAAAAAGAACAAAGCTGGAGGCATCACACTACCTGACTTCAAACTATACTACAAGGCTACAGTAACCAAAACAGCATGTTACCGGTACCAAAACAGATATGTAGACCGATGGAATAGAACAGAGGCCTGAGAAATAACATCGCACATCTACAACCATCTGATCTTTGACAAACTTGACAAAAACAAGAAATGGGTAAAGGATTCCCTGTTATGCTGGGAAAACTGACTAGCCATATGTAGAAAGCTGAAAATGGATCCCTTCCTTACGCCTCACACACAAAAAAATTCAAGATGGATTAAAGACTTCAATGTTACACCTAAAGCCATAAAAACCATAGAAGAAAACCTAGGCAATATCATTCAGGACATAGGCATGGGCAAAGACTTCATGACTAAAACACCAAAAGCATTGGCAACAAAAGCCAAAATAGGCAAATGGGATCTAATTAAACAAAAGAGATTCTGCACAGCAAAAGAAACTACCATCAGAGTGAAAAGGCAACCTACAGAATGGGAGAAAATTTTTGCAATCTACCCATCTGACAAAGGGCTAACATCCAGAATCTACAAAGAACTTAAACAAATTTACAAGAAAAAAAACAAACAAACCCATCAAAAAGTGGGCAAAGGATATGAACAGACACTTTTCAAAAGAAGACATTTATGCAGCCAACAGACACATGAAAAAATGCTCATCATCATTTGTCATCAGAGAAATGCAAATCAAAACCACAATGAGATACCATCTCATGCCAGTTAGAATGGCGATCATTAAAAAGTCAGGAAACAACAGATGCTGGAGAGGATGTGGAGAAATAGGAACACTTTTACACTGTTGGTGGGACTGTAAACTAGTTCAACCATTGTGGAAGACAGTGTGGCAATTCCTCAAGGATCTAGAACTAGAAATACCATTTGACCCAGTGATCCCATTACTGGGTATATACCCAAAGAATTATAAATCTTGCTACTATAAAGACACATGCACACATATGTTTCTTGCGGCACTATTCACAATAGCAAAGACTTGGAACCAACCCAGATGTCCATCAAAGATAGACTGGATTAAGAAAATGTGGCACATATATACCATGGAATACTATGCAGCCATAAAAAAGGATGAGTTCATGTCCTATGCAGGGACATGGATGAAGCTGGAAACCATCATTCTCAGCAAACTATCATGAGGACAGAAAACCAAACACTGCGTGTTCTCACTCACAGGTGGGAATTGAACAATGAGAACACATGGACACACGGTGGGGAACATCACACACTGGGGCCTCTCAGGAGGTGGTGGGCTGGGGGAGGGATACCATTAAGAGAAATACTTAATGTAAATCATGAGTTGATGGGTGCAGCAAACCAACATGGCACATGTATACCTATGTAACAAACCTGCACATTGTGCACATGTATCCTAGAACTTAAAGTATAATAAAAAATAAATAAAAATAAAACAAAGTTGTTTACGGAAAAAAATATGGAAAAAGTGTGTAGAATCAATATTTAGAAAAGCAAGAGCAAATCAAACCCAAAATTAGTAGAAGAAAAGAAATAATAAATGTCAGAGGAAAATAAGTGAAATTGAAATTAAAAAATAAAAAAGATCAGTGTAAGAAAATGTTGGTTTCTTAAAGAGTTAAACAAAATTGACAAACCTATAGCCAGACTAAGAAAAAAGAGAGAAGACCCAAACAAATAAAATCAAAACAAAAAAAGAGATATTACAATACTTCAGAAGTTCATACGATCATTAATGGCTACTCTGAGCAACTATATGCCAATGTATTGGAAAATCTAGAAGAAATGGACACATTCCTAGACAGATGCAACCTACCAATATTGAACCAGGATAAAATACAAAACCTGAACAGACCAATAATAAGTAATGAGATTGAGGCCATAATAAATTCTCCTAGTAAAGATAAGTCCAGGACCTGATGGCTTCACTGCTGAATTCCACCAAACATTTAAAGAACAACTAATATCAATCCTAATCAAACTATTCCAAGAAATAGAGGAGGAGGTAATACTTCAAAACTCATTCTATGAGGCCAGTATTACCTCAATACCAATATAGAACAAAGACATATCAAGAAAAGAAAACCATAGGCCAATATCTCTAATAAATATTCATACAAAAATCCTCAACAAAACACTAGCAAGTTGAACTCAACAATACATTAGCAATATCATTCATCATGACCAAGTGGAATTTATCCCTGGGATGCAAGAATGGTTCAACATACGCAAATAAATCATTGTGATACATCATAACAACAGAATAAAGGACAAGAACCATATGACCGTTTCAATTGGTGCTGAAAACACATTTGATAAAATTCAACATCCCTTCATAATAAAAAAAAATCTCCACAAAATGGACTTTAGAAGGAACATACCTCCACACAATAAACGCCATATGTGACAGCTAGGACTTCCAGTACCAGTACCATGGCACCTAGCTGGAGCCATCAGACAAGATGAGGAAATAAAGGGCATTCAAATTAGAAAGGAAGAAGTCAAATTATCCTTGTTTGCAGATAATATGGTCTTATATTTGGAAAAACCAAAAGACTTCACAAAAAATGATTAGAATTGATAAACAAATTTAGCAAAGTTGATAAAATTTAAAACTATTAGAACTGATGAACAAATTCAGTAAAGGGTACAAAATCAACATACACAAATCAGTAGCATTTCTCTATGCCAACAGTGAACAATGTGAAAAAGAAACTAAAAAGTAATCCCAGTTTCAATAGCCACACATAAAATTGCAAACCTAGCAATTAACTTAACTCACAAAGTGAAAGATCTCTGCAATAAAAACTATAAAACTTAATGAAATTGATGAGGTCAGAAAAAAGTTGAAAAATATTCCGTGTTCATGGATTGGAAGACTCAATATTGTTAAAATGTCCAAACTCCCCAAAGCAACCTACATATTAAATGCAATCACTATCAAAATACCAATGACATTCTTCACAGAAATAGAAAAACAAAAAACAATTCTATAATTTATATGGAACCACAAATGGCCCAGAATTTAAAAAAAAAAAAAAAAAAAGCTATTCTAAGCAAAAAGAACAAAACTGGGAGGATCACATTACCTGGCTACAAATTATACCACTGAGCAGAGTGATAATAACCAAAACAGCATGGTACTGGCATAAAAACAGACACATAACAAATGTAACGGAATAGAGAATCCAGAAACAAATCCACACACTTACAGTAAACTTATTTTTGACGAAGTTGCCAAGAACATGCACTCGGGAAAAGACAGTTTCTTTAATAAATGGGGCTGGGAAAGCTGGATATCCATATGTAAAAGAATGAAACTAGACCCCTATCTCTTGCCGTATACAAAAATCGAAACAAAATGGATTAAAGACTTAAATCTAAGACATCAGACTATGAAACTGAGACTATGAAACTCAGACTAAGAAGACATACAAATGGCAAACAGGCATATGAAAAGGTGCCCAACACTGATTATCAGAGAAATGCAAATCAAAACTACAATGAGATATTATCTTGCCCCAGTTAAAATGGCTTATATCCAAAAGAAAGGCAATATACTGGCAAGGATGTGGAGAAAAGAGAACCCTTGTACACTGTTGGTGAGAATATAAATTTGTACAAACACTATGGAGAACAGTTTTGAGGTTCCTGAAAAAACAAAAACTTGAGCTACCATATGATCCAGAAATCCCACTGCTGGGTATATACCCAAAAGAAAGGAAATCAACATATTGAAAAGATATCTGTACTCCTATGTTTGTTTGCAGCACTGTTCACAATAGCTAAGTATTGGAAGCAACCTAAGTGTCCATCAACAGATGAATGGATAAAGAAAATGTGGTGCATATACACAATGGAGTACTATTCAGCCATAAAAAGAATGAGATCCTGTCATTTTCTACGACATGGATGGAACTGGAGATTATTACATTAAGTGAAATAAGCCAGGCACAGAAAGACAAACATCACATGTTCTCACTTATTTGTGGGATCTAAAAATCAAACGAATTGAACCCATGGACATAGAAAGTAAAAGGGTAGTTACCAGAAGTTGGGAAGTGTAGTGGGGGGCTGGAGAGCAGGTGGGGATGGATAATGGGTGCAAAAAAAATTTTTTTAAATGAATAAGACCTACCATTTGATAGCATAATAGGGTGACTACAGTCAATAATAACTTAATTGTACATTTTAAAATAAAAGAATGTAATTGGATTGTAACTCAAAGGATAAAAGCTTGAGGGAATGGAAACTCCATTTTCCATGATGTGCTTATGTTGCATTTCATGCCTGTATAAACATTTCAGGTACCCCATAAATCTATACACCTACTGTGTACCCACAAAAATTTAAGAAAATAAAAAGAAATTAGATGAAAAAAACAACATTTAAAAGAAACAAGCTAGAGACATCTAAAAATTAAGAGAAAGAGGAACTTGCAAGAATACATGGAATTTGAAAAAATGGGTCATGAAGGTTGTATAAAGAGATAAATTGCATAAATTTAAAAGGGTGAAAGTAATGAGTTTGCAAACATTAAGTAATAAAAAGGGAAAAGACAATTTGTAATGGTCAATATTAAGTGTCAACTTGATTGAATTGAAGGATGCAAAGTATTGTTTCTGGGTGTGTCTGTGAGGGTGTTGCAGAGGAGATTAACATTTGAGTCAGTGGAATGGGAGAGGAAGACCGACCCTCAATGTGGATGGGCACCATCCAATCAGCTACCAGCACAGTTAGAAAAAGCAGGCAGAAGAAGGTGGAAGAAGTTGACTTGCTGAGTCTTCTGGCTTTCATCTTTCTCCCCTGCTGGATGCTTCCTGCCCTTGAACATTAGACTCCAGGTTCTTCGACCTTTGGACTCCTGGACTTACATGAGTGATTTGTCGGGGGCTCTCAGGCCTTCAGCCACATACTAAAGACTGCACTGTCAGCTTCCCTACTTTTGAGGCTTTAGGACTTGGACTGAGCCACTACTGGTTTTCTTGCTCCTCAGCTTGCAGATGATCTATCATGGGATTTCACCTTGTGTAGTCAATGCTCCTTAATAAACTCACTTTCATATATACATATATCTTATTAGTTCTGTCCTTCTGGAGAACCCAGATACACAATTTGAAAGATTACCTTACATGTTTAGTTTTACTATTGGGGATGAAAATTTCCACTTTCGTGCTATTTACAAAAGAGAATATTATGAATAAAAATAAAAAGAAATATACCATGCATATTAAAATTAGTTTTTATAAACTGACTCCACTTTTAAGAAAAATAAGATTTAAACAAAAACAAAAACATGTGTTCTAAATACTGCTTCAAGTGGGCAAACTTCTTCCCCAAATATTAAAATGAAAGAATAAAGAAGGCCACTTTAGAACAAAGCTGTAAAAGTATTAAGAAGAAGACATACACATGGCTAGATTTCAGATTTTGATGGAACTTCTGCAGAATGAAGTGGGGATCATAAGAAAGAGAGTAGGCCAGGCGCAGTGGCTCACTCCTGTAATCCCAATACTTTGGGAGGCCGAGGCGGGCGGATCACCTGAGGTCAGGAGTTCCGGACCAGCCTGACCAACGTGGTGAAACCCCGGCTTTACTAAAAATACAAAAATTAGCCGGGCGTGGTGGCAGACGCCTGTAATCCCAGCTACTCGGGAGGCTGAGGCAGGAGAATCACTTGAACCCGGGAAGCAGAGGTTGCAGTGAGTCGACATTGTGCCATTACACAGAGCGAAACTCCGTCTCAAAAAAAAAAAAGGGTGACAGTAGAGAAAACCATAGCCCAGGAATTGCGTGAGAGAAGGCAGCCAGGGCAGCAGTGCAGTTGGAGGATTTTGCCAGAATCTAAATAGGTGAGCAAAGGACTGTCTCAAGGAGAACATCACCTACTTCATTCTCCTCTCCCACTTTGTGCAAAAAGATAAAATTGTAGTACCACAATCAACCAGAGGAGGGCCAGACCTCCTGCTTGGGATTAGGTGCCCAAGAGTGAAACTCTTCTTCCTTTATAATTTTATAAGAGAAGAGGAAGTCTGACTGCTTCCTGTTTCATGCCCTAATTTAAGCCAGCGATCTATACTCTGTCCAGTGCACAAATCTCAGAGAGAAGAAAAAGACCTGTCAATATGACCAACAAGAGAAAATCTTTCTGCATAGCTATCTATAATAATCAGACTAGTCTTTTATGCATAACCATGACTGATTGACCAAGGATCACTACATATTTGATCAATTCAGATACAAAATGACCCAGATGTGGTTTATAGGCTATTTTTCATTATCTCTTTAAGGTATACATTACATACAGTAAAAATCTTTGCTTTCTTAAAGCAAAGTTCTGTGAATTGTGCAAGATACACACAGTTATGTAACCACCAGCTCAGGATGTGGAAGGACTATATTATTCCCCAAAATTCCCCTGTGTAATTTTGTAGTTAACCTTTCCCTCTGCCCTCAAATCCTGGCAACCACTAATCTTCTTTGTCTTCATATAGTTTTGCACTTGCCAAAATGGCATATAAATAGGATCATAGGGTATGCAGTCCTTTGAGTCTGGCTATTTCATTTAGCCTAATACATGTTGACATTCAACTACATTGTGTGTATCAATTACTCATTCTTTTTTTTTTTTTTTTTTTTTTTGAGATGCAGTCTCACTCTGTCACCCAGGCTGAAGTACAATCACCCCATTTCCGGTCACTGCAACCCCTGCCTCCCAGGTTCAAGCCATTCTCCTGCCTCACCTTTCTGAGTAGCTGGGATTACAGGTGTGCAACACCATGCATGGCTAATTTTTGTATTTTTAGTAGAGACGGTATTTCACCATGTTGGCCAGGCTGGCCTCGAACTCCTGACCTCAGCTGATCCACCCTCCTCGGCCTCCTAAACTGCTGGGATTACAGACGTGAGCCATCGTGCCTGACCTATTCATTCTTTTTTTGTTTCTGTTATTATTCTATTTTATAAGTACCACAGTTCACTTACTCATTCTCTGGTCAAGGGATATTTGGGTTATTTTTAAATTTCTAACAATTATGAAAAAAAAGCCACCACAAACATTTACACCTAGGTTTTTGAGGAAATGACATTTTTTGTTTTGGGGGTTTTTTGTTGTTGTTGGTTTGGTTTGTTTCTCTTGAAAAAACACCTAGGAGTAGAACAGTTGGATCATACTGTGGGTATACAACTGTCTAAGTAGCTGACAAACGTGTTTCCAAAGTAATTGTACCATTTTCTCACCTCACCAGTTATGTATGAGAGTTGCAGGTGCTCCATCTTCAATATTTAACACCAGGTATTAATAGCCTTGTTAATTAAATCATTCTAGTGGATGTGCAGCCGTACCTTATTGTGATTTGCATTTGCATTTCCCTAAAGACTAATGATGCTGAGCATATTTTTATGTGTTTAATTACCTACCATCTGCGTTTCTTACTTGGTGAAGAGTTTTTACAAATCTTTTGTTTATTTTTCTAGGTTGTCTCTCTTATTGCTGGGTTATAGCATGGCTTTATGCATTCTAGGTAAAAATAATTTTTAGATATATGTTTTCCAAATACTTCTCATTGGCTTGGCTTCCTCTTTCATTTTCTTAACAGTGTTCTTGGAGAAACAAAAGTGTGTAACTTTAATGAAATCCAATTCTTTTTTTTTTTAATGTACTTATTTTTTTAAATGGTCCTTTTGCATTTGTGCTTTTTTTTTTTTGTCATTTTAAAGATGTCTTACCAAGCCGTAGGTAAAAAATATTTTTTCCGGATGTTTTCTTCTAGAAGTTTGATAGTTGTAGCTCTTACATTTAGGTCATGATACATCTCAAATAATTTTTATATGTGGCATGAAATAAGGATTGAAGTTTTTGTTTTTTTGCATAAGGGTACCCAATAGTTTCAGCAATAGTTGTTGAGAAGATTGTATTATTTCCCCTTTGACTTATGACTTTACCATAATGCTTGTGTCAAGCATTAATTGACTATATATTTATGGGTCTATTTCAGGATTCTCCTTTCTGTTCATTGGTTAATTGTGTGTCTTGACACCAATTCCACAATCTTGATTACTGAAGATTTACAATAAGCCCTAAAATTAGATGCTGTGAGTTCTTTCATTTAGTTCTTTTTCAAAGGTGTTTTAGCTATTGTAAAACCTTTACATTGCCATATACATCTTTGAAAGAGTGTGTAAATGTCTACAAAAAATGCACTGAGATTTTGGTTAGAATTACATTAAATTAATAGGTCATTTTGAAAAGATTGACATTTTCACAATCTTGAGCCTTCTGATTTGCAAACACAGTATATCTGGCAATTTATTTATCTCAAAAATGTTATGTAGTTTTAAGTGTGTTGGTCTTATACATATTTTTCCAAACATTTTCCTGGGCATGTCATAGTTTTGATACTGTTTTGAGTGGTATTTATAAATTCTCATTTCTGACTATTGTTAGTGTGACTGAACTTGTTTCATTTACTTCATTTATTTCTTCTATTGTTTAGCATATTTGGTTTGTTACATTTAATTTGGGCTTCTGATAAGCAGTATGTACCCTGGGACCTTAGTTTTCTAAATCCAATCTCTCTGTGTCTTTAAACTGTAATGTTTAGAGCATTTGCCTTTAATAAGTTTATTAACTTGGTAGAACTTGCCATTCGTTTTCTACTTGTTTCATCTAATATTTTTCCTCTTTTTAAATTTATATTTGCTTTATTTTACTGAGTAATTTTTTAGAAATGCATTGTATGTTCTTTATTGCCTATTAGCTAACACATTTTAGTGTGTGTTTTAAATGGATAATTTAGGTTTGATAGCATCTATATCCAACTTATCACAGTCTTTGTCAAGTGATTTTTGTACTACTTCCCGCATGGTATGAGAACCTTAAAACCATACAACTTCATTTCTTGCCTGCTGCACTTCTTGCTCCAGCCTAAACTTTGTTGATAACACATTTTACTTTATGTGTTACAAATGCTGTCCTTATTTTTGCTTTAAACAGTCAATTGTTTTTACGTAGAATTAAATAATACAAGAAAAATATGTATTATATTTGCTGACATAATTACTATGTTTGGTGTTCTGCATACCTTTGCAAATGTCCAGATTTCCTATATTATACTGAATGTACCTCGGAGCTTACTAATGCTATATTCATGTTTTCAGTTTTTCTCTCAATACTTAATTGTATAAGGTTTCTATTGCTGTGTCTTTGAGTACGCTAACTACTTTTTTTATACAATGTGAAATCTATTGTTAATCATTTCCAGGGAATTTTATATCACAAGCTTTGTAATTGTCATCTCTAGAAGTTTAGTTTTTTTCTTATATTCTCCATATCTCTACCTAAAATACCTCTGTAGTCTTTCCTCCAGCTTCCTTTTTTAAATAACAAAACCTATTGAAATATACTTTACATACTATAAAATAACTCTTTTAAAGTATACAACTCAGTGGTTTTTTGTTATATTGACAGAATTGTGCACTCATTGGCATCATCTAATTTTGGAACTTTTTTTTAGCCAATAATCCCCCAAAACATGGCAAAACTGTTAGCAGTCATTCTGTTCCATCCTTTGACAAACATTAATCTATTTTCTGTCTTTATGGATTCGCCTATTAAATTATATTTCATATAAATTGAATCATATGTGGTATTTTGTAACTGGCTTCTTTCATTAAGCATAATGTTTTCAAGATTCATTTACGTTAAAGCATGTATCAGTACCTCACTTTTATTGCTGAATAATATTCCATTGTGCGGATATATCACATTCTGTTTATCCATTCATAAGTTGAAGAGCATTGGGTTATTCCCACTTTTTGGCTTTTATGAAAAATGCTTCTGTCCACATTGGTGTGCAAGTGTTTGGCAGACAATTCTAGTGAGCTTATTAACTCTGTTTTCTGTTTTCAGGAACTGTACAATTGTTTTACAATGTGGCAGAACCATTTTACAATTCCACACCAATGACACAAAAGAGTTTTAATTTCTCCATATTTTCTTCAACATTATTATTCCCTGTTCTTTATATTTTAGTTATCCTTGTGTGTTTACAGTAAAATTTTATTGTGGATTTGACTTGCATTTCCATAAAGACCAATGGTCCTGAACATATTTCCATGTTGTTAATTATTATCTGCATATCTTCTTTGCTGAAATATCTATTCAAGTCTGTTACTGTTTTTTTTTAAGAAATGAGGTTGTCTTTTAATTTTGAGTTGTAAGAAGTTTTTATATATTCTAGATAAAAGTATCTCATCAGATATATATTTTGCAAAAGTTTTCTCTCGTTCTTTGGTTTGTATTTATATCTTCCTAATAGTATTTTTTAAAGTACACACATTTTTAATTTTGATGATGTTCAATTAATTTATCTTCTCTTGTGTGTGTTTTGTTTTTGGTGTCATAGCTTAAGAACACAGTGCCTAATGCAAGGTAACAAAGATTTCACCTATGTTTTCTTCTGAAACCTCTGTAGGTTTCTTCCTTATATTTTTGTCTATAATATATTTTGAGTTATTTTAATTATGGTTTGAGGTAGGGATCTAAATTCATTCCATTGCATGTTGATATACAGTTGTATGAGCACCATTTGTTAGAAACTCTACTATTTTCCCATTGAATTGACTTGTTACTCTTGTTGAAGATCAATTTACCATAAGTATAGGGTTGTATATCTGAACCCTCGATTCTATTCCATTGAGCTATATGCTAGACTATGGAGTGTCATACTGTCTTGAGTACTATATTCAGTATTATAGCAAATAATATATAATGCTGTATATTTGTATACAGCATTATAAATTATATATTATATATTATGTATTTTATATACTATATATCTATGTACAATAATACAGTATATAAATACTATATTCATATAGGAATTTAGATTTGTAGTAAGTTTTAAAATTGTGAAGGTGAGTCCTATTTTCTTCTTTTTCAAGATTCTTTGACTATACTGGTTCCCAAGTACAGTTTTTTGGTAAATTTTAGGCTATATTTGTAAATACCTGCAAAAAATTATTAGATAGAAATGTGTATGAGTATGTACAGCAGTGTGGGAAGTATTGCTATCATAAGAATATTAATTCCATGAACAGATCCATGAACATGAATTTATTTTCATTTATTTCAATCATCTTAATTTCAATCAACAATATTTTGCACTGTACAAGTCTTGCACTCCTTTTAAAAACTTATTCTTAAGTATTTTATAATTTTAATGCTATTTAAAATACAATTTTTTAGAAAAATTTCCTTAATTTTAATGTTATTTTCAGATTGTTTATTGCTAGTGTATAGAAATACAATTGATTTTTGTCCATTTTGTTTATAATACTGTTTTCTGTCTTCTACATTTCTTTTTTTTTTTTTTTGAGACGGAGTTTCACTCTTGTCCCCCAGGCTAGAGTACAATGGCGCAATCTCTGCTCACTGCAACCTCCGCCTCCTGGGCTCAAGTGATTCTCCTGCCTCAGCCTCCTGAGTAGCTGGGATTACAGGTGTGCACCACCACACCTGGCTAATTTTTTTTGTACTGTTAGTAGAGACGGGGTTTTGCCATGTTGGCCAGGCTGGTCTCGAACTCCTGGCCTCAAGTGATCCATCTGCCTCGGCATCCCTAGGTGCTGGGATTACAAGTATGAGCCACTGCACCTCTACAAAATTTCATATCCAAGGAGGGTCTTGGGCATAGGTGGATTTTCTGCCTGCCTGCTAGCACAAGCTGATTCCTACCTTGTGTTTATTCAAAGTCATTTAATAATATTAAGTTTCCATTAAGTTTTCTTTTCTTTCCTAAAATTTTCTCTTGATGGGTTGAGGCTTGTGGAAAAGAGTTGGTAAGTGAGTGAAGAGTTCTCTTGTTTCATGGGTTGAAGATTGTTCTCCTAAAAAGATGTTGAAGTCCTGATCCCCACTATCTTATAGTGGGAACTTATTGGAAATAGGGTTTTTGTAAATAAAATTAGTTTGATTAAGATGAGGTTCCACCAGAGTAAGATGGACCATTAGCTCACCGTGACTGGCGTTTCTATACGAAGATGGGCATGTGAAGATACAGAGACAAACGTAGAACATAATATGTGAGGTTCCTTCCGGAATACAAAGCTGGTTTTTATCTACCGGGTCTCCCCTGATACCACAGAATGGGACTCATTAACACCCAGTAGGGATAAAAGTCCTGGCTCCCCACCTGGCCTTCTCTGACATCACTCCTGCAGGTCGTCTGGAGCCTCCTTACATTCTGTACTGGGTATAAGTTTAGGCTTTTGCTGGTGAAGGTAGCTGAGGAGCCAGTATTTTCTATGTTATTCAGCTGGAGTATCGTGACTATTGTCAAAAACTATTTTTTCTAGGCTACCTTTTCCTAATTCTTTTGTTAGAGAGAATATACTTTTATTGGGGCTTTTTAAAATCTGTGCCCATTGGTGTTAATGAGTTGCTGGCTTTTTCGTCTCAAGTCTGGGTTACATGGAAAGAAAACCCCAATCTCACCACCACACTTCTTGTGCCTCAAGATTCCTAGCTGGTCTTTCTTTTCTTCATTATTCAAAGACATTTCATGTTTATTTCATATAATAATAGAATTCATAGAATTTTATGTATTTCATTCTCCAGGGTTGTAGTTGTACATGGTAAGAGGAACAGGTAAAAGTACATTTACATCATCTTCCCAGAAGCAGAAGGTTCTCCAGACACTGATATTTTTCATTCTTCCTTGCCTTATAATGAAAACCAATACATAAATTTGCATGTAGTGTTTTTTTTTAATGATTTACATGTGGGATTAATACAAAAGGGTCCTGCTTTGAAATATCACCATAAAAATTATAATATTGCATCTCTTTTTCTACAATACTAAAAGTCCAATGCAAATACAAAAAGTCACCTAGTTTAGAAAGTAATGATGATTTAGTAAAGCACACCAAATTAATTTTTCCCAGAAATTAATAGAAACTTATTCTTTGTAATCCAAGACCATTTCTACTGACATATTAGAGTTTTAGAATAAAATTGCAAAGGCTAAGCTCTTTGTAGTTACTTGATAATTTTCATTTGTGCAACGAAGTTGAGAGACCTCAGAGGAGAGAGGAATAAACTCTTTCAATTTCATTTCAAAGAAATGTATCTTGACCTAATTTTATGTAGATTACAGTATATTTTGTACAATGTGCCCCAGCAGGAGAGCTAGTTTAAACCCTTCTTTGCCTGAACCTATTGTCATTATCCTATATGTTAGAAACAACTCCACATCATGATTTTCTGAAAAATTGTAGAATGTCAGAACACACAATTGGCTTCTTTCTTTAGATGACCCCAAGTGTTAAAATGCATACATTTGCAGTGGGAGAGAGCTAGATCTTGGTCTCTTTGTAAATATAATAGAAAAAAATTCTAGTGATGTATGAGCAAACATTCTAAAGCACTTTCTCAAACTTGAATAATGTAAATAAGTATTTTAGTAAAAATATTATTTTTCTGGTTTTAATGATAAAATTGAAGTTATTATCAGAATGCTATTTAAGTGTACACCTCCATAAAGTGCATTCATATTGTAGAAAGTTCTTAAATGTAAAGCACTCCCACAACTCTGACTCCAAAATATATTTATGAATTGCATAAAAACAAATATTTTAAAGCAATAATATTAACATTGACATTGATGCAATATGATGTGTGTTCTCATTTTGCTGAAACCAATTAACCTATTTGGGGCCAACATAGTGTCACTTTTTTATTTTACTAATAATTTTTGATTTTGAGCAAATGGAATATAATTTGACTCGCAGATGCTATCATTCTTCTTGTGTTCTTTCTAATGGTATACTCATTTTAAACTGACAATTCATTCTTTTGATTAGCCTGTTAATTTAACAAATCCTGAAAAAGACTATTCCTTCAAAGAAATATTCTTCCACTATATAGTAAAAAAATCCCAGTAACTTAACTTGTAGAAATTGAAATACACCAATTCAGTATGTACATGTGCACTGACAGTATGAATATTTTACTGACACCTGCTGTGTAGACAATTATATATGTTTTCCTAAGCGTGTATATTTGAAATGACTCACCATACCCCACAGAGTGTAGTCACATAAGGCTTTTATTTAAAGGCAAAAAATTGGTACAGCAGGCGGAGAATTCAGGCAAGCATCGATAATCCAAGAGACACCTCACAGCACACGCTCCCCATGGGCCCAGTGACACACATGGGCTGTATTCAGTCTCTGGCTTTAACTACCAAGGTCTGTGGGAGGAATCTGCTTCAGGGAGCTCAAAGAAGCTGCCAGTAGGGGGGGTCCTTATAAATCTACTTGATCATGTGATTGAGCTAGGCTTGTCAAAGTCCTTAGGTCAGATGCAAGGCTTAAGAAAAGACCTAACCCTGAAGTCACCAAGGTAACTGGACTTGAATGAGCATATTATAGATTCCATTGTCCTTATCTTGGCCAAGAGTCAAAAGCCAGACATTTAGGCATCCCCCAACTAGAGATGAAGCTGTTCTAGTCCAGCTGCAGATAAACTATCTCCACCATGCTTTTCAATGAACCATTGTCATATTTCCTTTTTGTGAGGTAGCAAGGTATTACTTTTGTGTTCATCATGTCTATCAGTGTTCCCAGTATCATGATAAATGGCAAACACAATAAAAACAATGAAATTTTGAGTACTACTTAGTTAAATGGTCATCATCCAAATATCCTCTCCTTCCAAAAGGTATTTTTTAATTAGAACTTAAGTAAATAAATACGTTGACCCCATAAAATAAGATGTATTTATCTTTATTTTCCCCTTATCTCACTATTCATTATTTTTTCTCTATGTATATGTATATTATAATAGTTGAACAAAAATGATGTGACAAAATTCTATACTCCATAATTATTTTTTTAAAACCCTTAGCACAGTAAGACCAGAAGGCAACTTCCTCTTCTGAAAAAAAATCCTTTAAAAACTTAATATCATACAGTGCTAAAGTATTAAACACTGTCTAGGTTTAGAACAAATGCAAGTATTTCTACTCTTATCAATTCTAATCAATGTAAATATTTCGAGACAAATATTTCTATAAATTTTCATAAAATTATGAAGCTTCCAGAAGAAAATACAGGAGAATATCTCAGAAACCTTCAAGTAGGCAAAGATTTCTTAGCAAAGATGAAAAAATATTAAAGTAAAAATCGGTATGTTATAATTCACCAAGAAAATTATGTTCATCAAAATACATTGTTAAGAAAATAATTGACTAAGACACTGAATGGGAAAAATATTCATAAAATACATATCTAGCAAAAAATATATATATATATATCAAGAGAGATAAAGAAATAACCGAAAGTAATAGAAATGATCATTAACATTACAATAGAAACTTTAATAGAGTTATAAAATTAAATGCTACTGGACAATAAAAAAGATGAAATAATAATGAACAATAGGAGTGAACCTCAAAACTCAAACTTTTTAAAAAAAATCTTTAAGAAAATCTGTTTGGATTTTTATCTAAATTATATTCTAGATCAATTTGGGAATTGACATTTTTCAATTATTTTGTATTCTTATCTAAGAAAATTGGTTACAAATCTATTTTCTGTCTTATCTGATAACTTTTTATGAGGTTCGAAACTTTCTTCATAAAGAACTTTCAGTTTTAAAGATTTATTTATAGGCACTTCATGTCTCATTGCTATGTGATAGTATTTTTATTATAACTTGAATTCACTGTTGCTGGTGATTACAAATTAGTTGACTTTTTAAAACAGGTTTGCATTTAGTATCCTTTTTAAATTGATTGATTAATTTTAATACATTTTAGGTTGTCTATGTGGACAACCACATCATCTTCAAATTCTAAATGTTTTATTTATTCCCAATTCTTAAAGTTTTTTTTTTTTTTTTTACCTCACATCAAGCACCACAGGACAATATAGAAATACAGTAGTGGTGGTGGATATTTTCATTCATGGCACTGAAGGAAACAGATGATATATTTCATAATTATAGCAATAAGGATAAGAGTATTTTTGTCTTATTTTATTTTTGGTTTACAAATGCCTTTTATCAGCTTGGAAACATTTTCTCAAATGTTTAGTTTTTATCCCAAATGAATGACACGTTTTGTTCAAACAGTGCTTTCTTCATATATGTGTTATTTTTCCTCTTTAACTTATTAATGTCATGAATTATATTAAATATATTTGATATGTAAACTAAACATACATTATATGGCATATCAAAATTATTAATGGTACATTTTATTTTGTGCATTATTAAACTTGTGCTAATATTTTATTTAAATGTTTTTTAATCTTTGTTATGATTTTTCATATTGTACTCATCTTGTTTGGGGGTCAAAGCTATACTAGTCTTATAAAATGAGCCAGACCACCATCCTGGCTAACCCCGTCTCTACTAAAAATATAAAATATTAGCCGGGCGTGGTGGCACGCGCCTGTAGTCTCAGCTGCTCGGAAGGCTGAGGAAGGAGAATGGTGTGAACCCGGGAAGTGGAGCTTGCAGTGAGCCAAGATCACGCCACTGCACTCCAGCCTGGGCGACAGAGTGAGACTCTGTCTCAATAAATAAATAAATAAATAATCAGACCATCTTCACTCTTTTCCTATTTTTAAAGTTTTTGTGTATTATTGGAATTTTTTGTTCCTTGAATGGTTGGTAGGCCTACATATAAAGCTTCTTAGGCTTTATGTTTTCTCTGTAAAAATGTTTGAAAAATGATCCAATTCCTTTGATAGTTATAGAATAATTCAGATTTCCTATTTTTTCTTGATTTTGTCCAGGTAAAGTCTGTATTACTAGAACAACACCGGCATTTCAGATGTTAATGTTTGCTGGCATCTCTTTCTCTAGGCTTTCACTTTCAATTGCATGGTTGCTTGTCTTTCAGTTGAGTCCACAGCAAATAGAATATAGGAAAATTCTGTATTTCTAAACAAAATAATGGTTTGTGTTTTTTAACTTGAGAATTTATTTAATTTTTATTAATAGTAATTTTTTTAGATTTATTTGTATTATCTATTTTAGTGCTTTCCATTTTTATCACATTTTAGCCCCTAATTTCTTGCTGTTTTTGGATTAATGTTTTTTCCTTCTTGTACCGAGATAAATATTTCTGTAATTTTTCATTATATACGCTGTTCTTTCTTTTAATATTTACTCAAATTATAAGCATGCATAGATAAACTAAAGTTAATCAATATATGCACCCTTTTTTCAAAGGATATAAGTTTTGGGTTTTCTATGTAGATAATAACATCATGTTCAAATTACGTGTGTTTTATTTACTCCCAGTTCTTAGACTTCTTTAACTCTGATTCACCTCCTTTCAGCATGTGCATTCTTCTCTTCTGGTTTCTCCTGAATATTTTTCATTATTATGATTGTATTGTACAACACAATATAAATGATTGCTTGGATTCACTCACAAATTTACCTTTATTTTACTCACCATTTCTTTCTGCAGTTTGCACATTCAAGCTAGGAAATTTCCCTCCTGACACAAAAATCTCTTTACTGAGATTTCTGTTGGTGGTGATTTTTCTAAGATTTTATTTATCTGAAAGTACCATGTTAATTCTGAAAAAAAGTAATAATAAATTCTAGGTTGAGAGTTATGTTCTCTCAGTATATGAAACATACTGGATTGCCACTTTCTGGTGTTCATTATTAACACTCTAGGCTTTCACTAGGTTGATTTCATATCTCTGCTGTAGAGAACAGTGCTGCAATTAACATTGTGCATGCGTTATTTTGGTATAATAGTTTCTTTTCTTTTTCTTTTTTTTATTATTATTTATTTATTTATTTATTTATTTATTTTTTGAGACAGAGTCTCGCTCTGTTGCCCAGGCTGGAGTGCAGTGGAGCGATCTTGGCTCACTGCAACCTACACCTCCCGGGTTCAAGCGATTCTCCTGTCTCAGTCTCCTGAGTAGCTGGGATTACAGGTGCATGCCACCACGCCCGGCTGATTTTTGTATTTTTAGTAGAGACAGGGTATCACCATGTTGGTCAGGCTGGTCTCCAAGTCCTGACCTTGTGATCTGCCTGCCTTGGCCTCCCAAAGTGCTGGGATTACAGGCATGAGCCACCACACCTGGCTTATTTTCTTTTGGGTATATACCCAGTAATGGGATTGCTGGGAAGAATGATAGTTCTGTTTTTAAGTTCCTTGAGAAATCTCAAAACTGCTTTAGACAGTGGCTAAACTAATTTACTTTCCCACCAACAATGTATAAGTGTTTCCCTTTCTCTACAGCCTCACCAGCATCTCTTATTATTTGACTTTTTAATAGTAGCCATTCTGACTGGTGTGAGATGGTATCTCATTGTGGTTTTTATTTCTATTTCTCTGATAATTCGTGATGCTGAGCATTGTTTCATATATTTGTTGGCTGCTTGTATGTCTTCTTTTCAGAAGTGTTTGTTGATGTCCTTTGCACATTTTTTAATGGGGTTGTTTTTTGCCTGTTGATTTAAGTTTCCTATAGATTCTGGATATTAAATCTTTGTCAGATGCATAGTTTGTGAATATTTTCTCCGATTGTGTAGGTTTCTGTTTATTCTGTCGATAGTTTATTTTGCTAGGCAGAAGCTCTTTAATTTAAATAAGTCCTATTTGTCTATTTTTTATTGTTGTTGCCATTGCTTTTCATGACTTAGTCAAAAATTCCTTGCCAAGGCTAATGTTGAGAAGATTATTTCCCAGGTTTTCTTCTGTGGTTTTTATAGTATGAGGTATTACATTTAAATCTTTAATCCATCCTGAGTTAATATTTGTATATGGTGAAAGGTAGGGGTCCAGTTTTAGATACTTCTGCATATGGCTAGCCAGCTATTCCAGCACCATTTATTGAATAGGAAGTCCTTTTCCCATTGCTTGTTTTTGTCAGCTTTGTCAAAGATCAGATGGATATAGGTGTGTGCTTTATTTCTGGGTTCTCTGTTTTGTTTCATTGATCTATGTGTCTGATTTTGTAACATTACCATGCTGTTTTGGTTACTGTAGCCTTATGGTATGGTTTGAAGTCAGGTAGTGATATCTTTGACTTTGTTCTTTTTGCTTAGGATTGGTTTGGGTATTTTGGCTCTTTTTTGATTCCATATGAATTTTAGAATAGTTTTTCCTGATTCTGTGAAGAATAACTATGGTCATGATAGGAATAATGTTGAATCTTTACATTGCTTTGGGCAGTATGGCCATTTTAATGATACTGAATCTTCCAGTTCATGAGTGTCGAATGTTTTTCCACTTATTTGTGGTATTTCTGAGTTCTTTCAGCAGTATTTCATAGTTCCTCTTGTAGAGATCTTTTACCTTCTTAGTTCAGTATATTTCTAGGCATTTAAATTTTGTGTGACTCTTGTAAATGGGATTGTGTTCCTAATTTGACTCTTAACCTAAGCATTATTGGTGTAAGAAATGCTGCTGATTTTGTACCTTGAAACTTTACTAAAGCTGTTAGTTCTGGGAGCCTTTTCGCAGACTCTTTAAAGTTTTCCAGGTATGGAATTATATCATCAGTGAAGAGAGATGGCTTGACTCTTCTTTCCTAGCGCATATAAAAGTTATGTTTACATTCTACTGCAGTGTATTGAGTTTGCAATAGCATTATGATTAAAAAAAGTACATACTTAATTTCAGAGTATCTTATTGCTAAGCAATACAAATAATCATGAGAGACTTCAATGAGTCATAATCTTCCTGTTGGTGGAGGGTCTTTCTTAGATGTTGATTGTTGCTTACTGATCACAGTGGTGGTTGCTGAAGGCTGGGATAAGCTGTAGCAATTTATCTAAAATAAGACAACAGCAAAGTTTACCACATAAATGGATTCTTTCTTTCATGAAAAATTTCTCTGTAGCATGTGATGTTGTTCAATAGTATTTTATTCACAGTAGAGCTTCTTTCAAAACTGGAGTCAATTCTTCCAAACTGTGTTATCACTTGATGAACTAAGTTTATGTAATAGTCTAAATCTTTTGTTGTCATTTCACCAATGTTCACAGTTTCTTCACCAGAAGTAAGTTTTATCTCAAGAAACCCTTTTTTGCTCATCCATAAGAAGCAACTCTTTATCCATTCAAGTTTGATCATGAGATAGCAGCCAATCAGTCACATCTTCAGGCTTCACTTCTAATTCTAGTTTTCTTGCTATTTACAACACATTTTCAATTATTTCCTCCACTTAAGTTTTGAACTCTTCAAAGTCAACCATGAAGTTTGGAATCAATTCATTGAAACTCCTGTTAATGGCGATATTTTGACTGCCTTCCATGAACCATGAAAGTTTTTAATAGCATCTAGAATGGTGAATTCTTTCATAAGGTTTTCAATTTACTTTGCCCAGATCCATTATGAGAACCACTATCTATGGCAACTATAGCTTGACAAAATATATTTTATCAATAATAAGACTTGAAAGTTAAAATTACTCCTTGATTTATGAGCCACAGAATGGATGTTGTGTTACCAGGCATGAAAACAACATTAATCTCCTTGTGCATCTCCATCAGAGCTCTTGGGTGACTAGGCACATTGTCAATGAACACTAATATTTTGAAAGGAATCCTTTTTTTCTCAGTAGTGAGTCTCAACAGTGGACCTAAAATATTCAGTAAGCCATGCTGTGAACAGATGTGTAGTCATCGAGACTTTGTTGTTCAATTTATAAAGCACAGGCATAGTAGATTTAGAACAATTCTTCTAGGCTCTAGGATTTGCAAAATAGTAAATGAGCATTTGCTTCATCTTAAAAGTCACCAACTGCATTAGTATGTAATTAAAAAGCCAGTCTACCCTATAAAGCTTTAAAATCAGGCACTGCCATTTTTTTTCTGGCTGTAAAAGTCAGGATGTCATCTTCTTCCAATAGAAAGTTATTCCATCTAGTTTGAAAATCTGTTGTTTAGTGTACCTTTATCAATTATCTTACCTAGATCTGGATAACTTGTTGCGGCTTCTACACAATCACTTGCTACTTCGCCTTGCACTTGTATGTTATGGAGAGAGCTTCTTTTATGAACCAACCTCTACTAGCTTCAAACTTTTATTCTGCAGCTTCCTCACCTCTTTCCGCCTTCATGGAGTTGAAATGTGTTAGGGCCTTGCCCTAGATTACATTTTGGCCTAAGGGAATGTTGTGGCTGGGTTGATCTTCTATCCAGACCACTCAAACTTTCTCCATATCAGCAAAAAGGTTGTTTTACTTTCTTATCATTTGTGTGCTTGATGGAGTACTATATTTAATTTCCTGCAAGAACTTTTTCTTGCATTCACAACTTGTCTAACTAGTGCAAGAGGCTTAGCTTTGGGCCTATCTCAGCTTTTCAACATGCCTTCCTCACTAAGCTTGACTATTTCTAGTTTTTTATTTAAAGTGAGAGACATGCAATTCTTCCTTTCACTTGAAAGTTTAGAGGCCACTGGAGGGTTATTAATTGGCCTAATCTCAATAATCTTAAGTCTCAGAGAATAGAAAGGCCTGAAAAAAGGGAGGAAGGTGGGAAAACAGCTGGATAGTGGAGCAATCAGAACACTCATAACTATCTTACTTGGACGTGACTTATGATACCCCAAAACAATTAAAATAGGAA
This sequence comes from Homo sapiens, assembly GCF_000001405.40. Taxonomy (NCBI): domain Eukaryota; kingdom Metazoa; phylum Chordata; class Mammalia; order Primates; family Hominidae; genus Homo; species Homo sapiens. The sequence continues at coordinate 153,496,643 of NC_000006.12, read as the reverse complement.
CATTAAATATTGCTGATCACAGATCACCATAACAGATGTAATAATATTGAAAAAGTTTGAAATGCTGCAAGAATTAGCAAAATATAGCATGAAGTGAGTAAATGCTGTTGGAAAAATGGTGCCAATGAACTCGATGGATGCAAGGTTGCCACAAACCTTCAATTTGTAAAATGCACAATACCTGCAAAGTGCTCTAAAGCAGAGTGCAGTAAAACAAGATGTCCTTGTTTCTTTATAGCTGCTTGTTACCTTTATAGCTGCTTGTTACCATTGTGATATTTAAAAGCTTCTACTGTAATTATTTAACATATATTGTAATAATTACAAGATATAAATGGGGAGTTAACCCCCATTTGCAATAAAAACAATTCTTAAAATACTTAAGAATAAACTTTTTATGGAAACATGCAAACCCTACAAGAGGAAAACTTTAAAACAATCCTAAATCAGACAAAACTAGAATTAGGTTTATAGGAGGATAGTCACTCCCCTTTTTAATAGACTGACTTCGCATCTTAAAATGTTATTCCCTGTGGTTAATTTAAACATTTAGGTGGGGGGAGCAGGGAGGGATAGCTGTAGGAGATATACCTAATGCTAAATGACGAGTTAATGGGTGCAGCACACCAGCATGGCACATGTATACATATGTAACTAACCTGCACATTGTGCACATGTACCCTAGAACTTAAAGTATAATAATAATAAAAAAGATAAATAAATAAACATTTAACTCAACCATAACTTAAGAACAACAGACTTACTATACTGAACGAGATTAAGTCAATGCAAAAATTCATCTAGAAAATCAAAACATGCAAAAATACTTAAGAAAGTTTTTAAAAGCTATGTCAAAGTAGGCCTACCACATCACACATCAAAACAGTAGAAAGCCTCATAATTAAAACAGTTTAGTATTGGTCCATCAATTGATAAGAGGCTTTAAAGAAGAACTGAATCTCTGAAAATAGACGCAAGTATAAAAAGTTATTTACTATAAATAATAAAGTGAGCATCTAAAACCAATTTGACAAAGATGTATTATTTAATAAATATTGCTCTGACAACTGATTAGCTATTTATAAAAATTAAAAATTAGAAACTCATTACAAAACTTATAATGATTTTCCAACTGACCAGGGATCTAAATGTAATAAATAAAGAAATAAATAAGCCACACAAATCTTAGGAGAAAAGTGGGTGAATTCCTTTATAACCTGGAATTATGGAATTTTCTCATTATGTCTCAAAATTCACATACATTAAAGACTGATGAATTTGGTTACACAGAAGAAAAACTTTGGTGTGACAATAAAGAAGATAAAGAAAATCAAAGAAAAATAAAAATCTAGGAGCAAATGCCTACATCCTACCCTCTCTCTATATAACTAATATCCCAAATATGGACAGAATTGTTTTTTAAAATGAGGGAGTATGGACGAAAAACCTTATAAAAAATGGGCTAAGCATGGGAGTAAAAAATTCACAGAAAAGATATTAAAATGGTTCTTAAACCCATGAAAAGATATTAAGCTTCATTCATAACCAGGAAAATGCTTACTAAAATATATTAAGATACCACTTCTCACTTACTAAATTGGTGAAAATTTAAAAGTATGACAACACAGTTGGAGAAATTTTGGGGAAACACGCACTCTGAAAGGTTGATTGTGGAATAACCACTTTGGAATGGGATTTTGCAATATCTAATATAACTACATATGCTTCTACTCTTTGACCAAACTCATGTCTAGGGATTTACCCTGGAGATAAACATTCAATCATTCTCCTACATATGGATATTTATTTTGCTTCCAATATTAGGCAATACAAACAATGCCGCAACATGTATTAAATAAATATCCATATGTAGGAGAATGATTGAATAAACATAGACACATTGTGAAATTTATAAAAAAACCTAGCAGGGCCAGGCACACTGCCTCACGCCTGTAATCCCAGCACTTTGGGAGGCTGAAGTGGGCAGGTCATGAGGTCAGGAGATTGAGACCATCCTGGCTAATGCAGTGAAACCCTGTCTCTACTAAAAATACAAAAAATTAGCTGGGCGTGATGGCACACACCTATAATCCCAGCTATTTGGGAGGCTGAGGCAGGAGGAGAATTGCTTGAACCCAGGAAGAAGAGGTTGCAGTGAGCCGAGATCACTCCACTGCACTCCAGCCTGGGCAACAGAGGGAGATTCCATGTCAAAAACAAAACAAAACAAAACCCTAGGAAAATATTGTGAACTGACATGCATTAATATCCATGATAGATCATTAGGTGAAAAAAGCAAAGTGCCAAAGGTTATCCAAAAGATGCAAAAGATGTCACTTTTTGTGTAAAAAAAGGAAAATAAAATATATATAAAAAAGGCTTATTTGTACAAAAATAACTATAAGAAGAAAAAAACAGAAAGCAACAAGTTTAGTTAATTACAGGGACATACATAGAGTAAAAGAATGGGGAATGGCAATACCTAGAAGAGATGGAGTGAGAACCACACTTCTGTAGGTATATTTTATAAATATGACTTTTAGAACCATGATACCATTTAACATACACAAAATCTATAAATAAGATAAAAAAGGATAGGGAAATAACCCAAAGTTCAATGCAATCTAAGACAAACAACCAAACAAATAACTGTGAATGAAATAAATGGCGTAACCGCACTAAATGGGGAAAAGACTAAAACGTCTCTTGAACCTAGCATTTTGACTACCCACTGTCAGGTTAAAAACAAAGAACTATGCCTGATTATTAGACTTTCTTAGTAGGTTTTTTTTTTTCCACAATGGTAGGGGTTAGCAATTATGAAATCAACTGAAGTATATTATTCCGGGTAAACAAGTAACTATGTAGTAAATAAAGGGAGCTATGGTTTTCACTGTTGTGAAACGGTTAAAAATGTAAACATTAAAAAAGTTGGGGGAGATTATAATAAGCTGTGGTGTCAGACTGGAGTTGGAGTCACTAATATGAACTCATGGTAATACACAGATAGAAAGATAGAGAAAGAGATATATAGAGTTAAACTATGTAAACTAAGAGTGTTTAGATCCTAGATACCAGTACAAATGAGCATGTGGTTATTTGGAATGGTCTTGTGTGAGCTCTAAGTGTATGCTGTAAACTTTGGGCAACCACTTTAAAAATTTAAAAAGAAGTATCCTTGTTATGTGAAAATAAGAGAGAAAATGGTGTATCCTTGTTATGTGAAAATAAGAGAGAAAATGGTATCATGTGAAACGCTCAATTAAAACCAGAGAAGGCAGAAAAAGAGTAAAAGACAAAAAAAAATAGAAAAACAATATTTGGTGACTGTTAAAGGAATTAATATTCATTTCTCTGCTATGCATGTTTGTTCTTCTTTAAAACACACACACACACACACACACACACACACACAGGGAATTAACACAAGGGAAAATAAAACAGAAACAAAGACTTTACTTCCTAATCAATTTGTCCAAGGACTACAAAGGACATTGCTCATGACTGTCAGCCTTCCTGGGTATTTGCTGTCAGTATTCCTGGTATTTAGTGTCTGTTTTGGCTGCAGCCTTATTCATCACTTGTTTTCTTTATGGTTCCTAACTGAACAATGTCTGTCTGTAAGTAAAATTAAATGTAGCTGGTAGTCTTCTGTATTCACAGTTAGGAATAACTTTGTTTAATGGGACTGAAGTGTTCACCAAAAAATCAGAAAACAAACTGAGTTTCTCAAATAGAATGTGAAGGAAAAAATGTGCTTGCTTTTCCAAGCAAGTAATCATTAGGAAGATTTGTTATACCCTATAGGAAGCTGAAGGAAGGAGCTATCTAATTGCTTTGGCTCACCTGGGAAATAAATGAGCCTCATAATTTTTAGCTGTTTACCTGTTTATTATTTTCTTCAGAGGATTTAAATCAAACTCATTCCTTTCAATAATTGCTCTTTTCTTAGCCATGGCAAGGAAAATGTCTCACTATCATTTTAACGTCAGGTTAAAACAATGACCTCAACATTTATTACAGTTGACATTAATGGTTTCCTGTTATTAGGACAGGATCATATTAAGAGGTTTATAACATGATTACTCATTTGCTTTGAGTAAAAAAATTATTAGTAAACACCTCATTGTTCCTTCCCTCTGAGAATGTCTTGATTGCAATTTATTTCTATCAAATAGAGGATTCTTCAAATCAGTAATGTTACCTGTAGGTCATTGAAAATAATCAGATGAAACATAGGATATTCTAATAATAATTATGGACAGCAAATTAATTCACTGACTTCCCAAGAGTTGAGGAGTGTTGTTTGATTTTATTGTAATCAAACAAGGGAAGGTCTGGTGAGTTAATTATTCAGGGAAAATCTAAAAGTGTCAATATGCATGAAGCATAAGGGGAGAGGAGTGAGACAAGAGAAAATTACAGAATTTCCCAAAGGGCATATCCAGCCAACTTATCAGCTAGAGGACTCATAAATAGCATACTTGGCTATTAGTTACTTTTATCAATTTCACAGGAAAGTTATGTCTCTACGTTACAGGGGAGGGAGAAGGCTGTCTCTAAATTATAAGGGGAGGAATGCGTGAAGGATAAGTATTAATTCACAATAGGTGTTAAAATGCCAGTCATAATAATTGTAATTATGCGTAATGTGACAAAAAGAAGAAAATGAATGACAATACAAAGAATAACATGGAAGCCGAATTCTGATTATTATTTAACTGAGAAAGTTATGGTTTCATCACCCACAAAAAGATATAAAATGATAGTTTTATTTTGCTTTAATTTACACCTCTGATTTAGAGTGAGTGTGAGCATCTCCTTATAGACCTGTTAGTCTTTGATGTTTTCCTTTCCTTAAATTGCCCTATTTTCTACTTGTATTGCTCTTTTACTTGATAATTTGCTTGAGCTCCTTATATATCTTGACAATAATTTGTTGTTGGTTCTAGAAATTGCCATCATTTTCTCCCAGTCTATCACCTCTCAGTTAACTTTGTACATGGTGTCCTTTGTGAAACAGAACAGGACTTCATATTGTGTACTCAAATTCATCAGTCTTTTACCCTGTGTTTTGTGATTTCTATTTCTACTTTACAAGTCCTTCCCCATGCCCAGGGTATAAATATATTATCTTACATTTTTCTTACACTCATTATATAATTTTTTTCATATTTAATTCTTTCATCTCTCTTGAGCTCATCTTTTTGTTGCCACCCATTTTACTTTTCTAGGTAAAGTGAACCAGTTTCCCAATTATACATTATGAATATTTTTAATCACCTTATGATACCATCTTTTTATATATTGTGGATCTGGGCTTTTGTGCAAGCTCACATGTGTGTATTGTCCTTTTTGTGTATTGTGATAATATCTTTCTGTTTACATAACTATGGCTTTCTAAAATGTTGTAATGTTTACTAAGATATTCCTGTTTCTATTATTAAAATTTACTTCGCTATTTGTGAACCTATATTCTTTTGCTGTGAGTCTTACTATAGGTTTACTGAGTCCTTCAAAAAACCAACTGAAATTTTGATTTATGGATTTGGAATTGCAAATTCAAGATTAATTTGATGATAACTTATATCTTTATAATATTAAATCTTCTAGTCCAAGAAATTTTTAGTGCATCATATTATCATCTAAGTTTCTTATTAGGAATTGTAAAGTTTTATTCAAATAATATTTATGTTGTCCTGGTGAAGTTAATTATCCTATAACTTACAGTTTTTATTGCTCTTGTGAATAGCTTTTTTATAGCTGGTTGTTATTGCCTAAAAATTCTTTTGACTTTTCGTGGGTTCATTTTAAATCAGAAGACACCATGGAACTCTCTTATACATGTAAATAGAATGTCAATTGCTCTATTTATTTTCCAGGTATATGACTGATCATAGCATATACAAATAATAATATTTCATCTTTTGTTTCAAATCCTTACACTTTTTTTTTCTCTTTCCTCACAGCAATAGCAAGAAATTCTGAAATTCAGTTAAACAGTCATGATGACAGGGAACATCCCTGTCTCTTTTTTTTTTTTTTTTTTTTTTTTTGTCTCCCAGGCAGTGGCACAATTTCAGCTCACGGCAACCTCCTCCTCTCGGGTTCAAGCTATTCTCTTGCTTCAGCCTCCCGAGTAGCTGGGACTACAAGTGAGTGCCACCACGCCCAGCTAATTTTTTTGTATTCTTAGTGGAGACGGGGTTTCACCTTGTTAGCCAGGATGGTCTCAATCTCCTGACCTCATGATCCACCTGCCTCGGCCTCTCAAAGTGCTGGGATTACAAGTGTGAGCCACCGTGCCCGGCCCCGTCTCTTTATCTTAAAGAAAATGAAACTAAAGATTCCCAATTAAGCATAATGTTTGCTTGAGAAAACTGTTGTGTAAAACTTACCAACTTTTAGTGGTTTCATTGTTCTTAGAGTTGTTTTTAAATAGTAAATAGTTGTTGAATTTTATGAAATACATTTTTCTGCATATATTGGCACAGTCATTTCATGTTCCACCTTTAGTTTATTAAGCAGAGTACAATAATAAATTAATGATGCTGGATCATTAATAAATCCCTGGCATTAATTTCTCCTTATTATTTTTATAATTGTTGGATTTGATTAGCTATTACTTTATTTATATTTTTGCATTGTCCTTTATAAGTGGAATAGTATATAATTACTTTCTTTTGTATTGTCTTACAGATTTGGAATACAGATTTTACTAGCTTTATAAAATGATCTGCATGATAAACAGATTGACCCCACAAAGATGCCCATTCTCTAATCCCTAGAACCTGTTAATACGTTACACTACATGACAAAGAGATTTTGCACATAGAATTAAGGTTACAGATCTATATGACTGAGTAGACTCACTGCAATCATATGACCTCTTAAAAGCAGACAGCTTTATCTGGCTGGAGACAGAGAGATGCAATCAGAGAAGATAAAAGAGAGCAAAAGCAGAAGTCAGAGATATATCAAGAACGAGAAGAATTTGATATGTGGCTAGCTGTAATGTTTAGGGGACTATAGGGCAAGGCTCAGAGGGATGTCTGCTGGAGTTTAGGCTGCCCTCTGCGGACCACGAAAAAGAAAATGGAGGCCTCTGTCTTATAGCTGCAAGTAGCTGAATTTGGCCAATGACCTGAATGAGCTTGAAAGTGGATTTTTTCCCTCAGCCTCCTGATAAGAGCTCATCCAGATAACTGACTTATGGAATTGTAAGATAATGTGTGTTGTTTTAAGCAATTATGTTTGTAATAATTTTTACACAGCATTAGAAATATAATACAGATATTAGAAGTGGAGTGCTATTGTAACTCTGAAAATGGAGAAATGGCTTTAGAATTGGGCAGTGGGCAGACTGAAAGAATTTGAGGATCATGATAGAAAAAGCCCCAATTATCTTGGATGGACCAGCAGACACATGGATGTTAGTGACTCTGCTAGTGAGGGCTCAGAAGGAAGTGAAGGAGTGTGGCATAGACTCTTAAACCCCTTTAAAGAATACCTAAATAATTGGGAATCATATCTCTACCAATGATTAATAGAAACATGAACTTTGAAGGTGTTGCTGCTGAGAGCCCAGCAGGAAGGGAGGCATGTGTTATAAAGGGAACCCTTGTATCACTGTGACAGGAAGCTCAACAAAGTATTATCCTGCAGTTGTTTAGAGAGCTGTACTTGTAAATGACAGGATGAACCCTGATGTTTATCTGAAATTTATAAGCAAAGTGATGAATGTACCATCTCGTTTCTTCTCACTGCTTATAGGAAAATGTGAAAAGAAAGAGGTAAATTGAGGGAAACCTGTTTAACAAATAGAAAGCAGGAGTAGGTGATTTGGGTATTCTTAGCCCACCAGATGGTAATAACTTGTAAAATTATGAGATTGCTTCCAAAATGTTGCATAGAGATATATCTGAGTGTGTGGCTTTACAACTTCTTGCTAATACATCAGAAAGATCAAAAGATCGAAGTATTTAGTCACATAGAACCTTTAAAATGATTAAGAGAGTGAATCACCATTTCTCTCAACAAAACTAGGGAGATTCTAGCAATCTCGGGAGCTAAAAATGAAGAAGAAACTATCTAGGAAAATCTACAGACAAGCCACTTGTCTGATAGAGTGAATACCTATGACATACATGGGTGACCCAATAAGTTCTTTGGAATTTTTACCAGCAGAAACACTGCCATCTCAGACTAAAACCATCAGTGAGAAGGAAATTTTAAAAGTCATTGGACCATAAAATTTGAATGGTGAAAAAAAGATTGATAGAACTAATTCTCTGGTAACACATTCCATTGTTTATCAATAGGGGAAGGATAACCCAGAGGGCACAATATGGTCCCAGAGGGCCAGAAACAGCACCATAGAGGATTATTCCCAGGCTTTAGACCCTAAAGGAGTTTACTCAGCTAGATTTCAAAACTGCTTTTGGAATAGATTTCATAGCATAGTAATAATCTATTTCTTAAATATTTGAAACAATTCCCAATAAATGCATTTGGGTTTAAAACCCCTTTCTGTTTCATTGACATTTTACCATCAAATTAAAAAAGCATTGATAGAATTGTTTTTAGTAATTTTTAATCATTTATTTTAAGTATCTACCAATCCATTGCTTAATAGGAAAAATATCTTTTGTATATTCCAAATTTGAAAGCATTTTGATTTATTTGTAATTGATTCTTAGCACTGTAGTTAAAGCAGGCCTATATATTTTGTTTTTTTTTTTAATCTGTGTTTAACACTGGTATTCGATATTTTTAAGTGACAGAATTCTAACTTAAGCAGAAGATTGTATAGGCTCATGAAATTCAAGGAAAGCGTGAGTGACTAAGTAAAGAATGCCTGGGATGATTCTGAATCTTAGAAATCACTGGATTTATAATTATCACATGCTGCCATGTCCTCTGTTTCACTCTTTCTCTGCATATCTCTTTAGGTTGGCTTCCATTTCTCCAAGTCCACAATGACTTTTTTCCATTGTGGGGGGAAAAATAACCATTAATACATTCTAAGTATTACATATTACAACCTAGCTATGAGAGAAAAAAACATTAAAATATTTGTGACCCAGTTTTGAATGTGCTAATGAATGTATTTATTGGTCTTGTTTGAATTAGGTGCTAATGAACTTGGACCAAAGAAATGGTACCAGTGGCTGAGGTCATACTGCACTATCAGCCAATTTTCTAAAATAAATATGTGGATAAGAGGGTGGGAAATTTGAACAAGTAACTCAATTTCTAAAACTGACTAGTGGTTAATTAGAAATATTAATATTTGTTCTCAAGGATTATTTGTTGTAATTTATTTATGCCTTAACAACTAAGACAATTTTTCTTTTTTCCTTCCTTCCTTCTTTTCATGCTCAGAAAATTAATTTTTATTTACATTTTTCTTCATACTCTGGTTAAGACTTGCATTTTTGTTTATGATAATTGAAGTACAGTATTAGCCTTTGCAAGAATCACTGGAAGCCAGTAAAGCTTCATGTGGATAACACGCTGTCTTGAGTAATGCTGCACCGAACATTTAATAAACAGTATTAAGGAAATGCAGGGGCAAAAAGTTTTATGTTGTTTAGCACAAACAGGTTCCAAAGAGCCAAGGCATTGTCAGTTATAATAATGTTATTACCTTTCATTTATGGCAAAAGGTATAAACTTAGCGAAGAATGATGCATTTGAAACAGAGGAGGAAAACTTGTCTGCTGAAAGTGAACAGGAAGAGTGGGTATCCAGACCCTATAAAAAAATCTATCCATGTACTTACTGGAAAATGAACAATTAGGTGCCTCTTCTCTACCCATTTTTCTAAATAATCAATGATAAATCATTGACTCTTACATGGGGCCAGGAATTTTGTAATACAACTTTTTTTATTTTTATTTTTATTTTTTGAGACGGAGTCTTGCTCTGTCGCCAGGAGTGCAGTGGTGTGATCTTGGCTCACTGCAATCTCTGACTCCTGGGTTCAAGCACCTCTCCTGCCTCACCCTCCCCAGTAGCTGGGACTACAGGCAGACACCACCATGCGCAGCTAATTTTTGTATTTTTAGTAGAGACGGGGTTTCACCGTGTTGGCCAGGATGGTCTCAATTTCTTGACCTCATGATCAGCCAGCCTTGGCCTCCCAAAGTGCCGGGACTATATGTGTGAGCCACTGTGCCCAGCCTTTTGTAATACAACTTTTATTCAAATTGTTTATATAAACAAATCCTTGTTTCACAAAATATTTGTGGAGGGCCCTGTACATTCAAGGGGCAGTCCTGGTTGAAGGGGCTGGAGATTTTCTCTGAACTCTAAAAACATTATCATTATGGGAACCCTTTAATCTATACACATCATAAGTCTAATGATTTTACTAACAAAAAATGGAGTTAAAGTTTTTTTCAAACCATTTATATTTGAAACATTTTTTACATTTGCATTTAGAAAATATATTTTGATTTAAAGTTTTTTCTGAATAGCATTTTCATTCAAACTTTAAGAGATTGTGAATATGCAATCATAATACTAATAGGTACAGAAACTACTTTTAAATTATGAAAGAATTATGGAGATTTACTGCATTTGGTATATATCTGGTATATGAATGATACCATTAATTATTTACAGAGTACTAATTATACTTGTATAGTAACATATAGTAAGTGCAAGATTTATTTTCAATATCAAATACAAATTTATTATTATACAATAACATTTATTATTTAAGTTGTGAAAGAATGCTTACCTATTAGTCTTTTGATAAATACTTTCCTTGATGTTTTATTAAAGAGATCTCTAGAGGCTTTATAATGTCAAAAGATATAAAAAATTTATTTTCAAAGGACAGAATAGGAATGAAAAAGCAATTGGCTTTCAAATAACATGAAATTAATAATATATTTCAAATTTCTACAAATTAATTTTTGTACTTGAGAAGAATGTAAATGTGATTCACTTTGATTTTTTAGATATAAATATGAACTAGTTGAAAGCAAAAGGGAGATTTCCTATTTAGTGACACTTTTTGTTTTGTTTATTTTTCCTGTTTCCAAAGGTAATCTAAAGCAGTTTCTAAAGCTAACCAAAGGCAGACTCAAAGCAAGTGCATTCCAGAATTTATTCACAAGTTTTCCAATTTGTTCTTTTTAATATCAAAAACAAAGTAAAATTGTTTTTGTGTGGTTTCCCTACAACATTTTATCCTTTTCCAAAAAAGAAAAAGGAAGAAAGAAAAGCTTCCAAAATATCAAAAGGGTGCAATAGAATCTTTTTATACTAACTGACACATTAAGTAAGCAAATTCAGGTCTGTGTAATGAACCGTTCAAGATGCAGACACAGGCAGATGAAATGCAGACTACCCCAGAGAAAAGATTGATATTTTTATCTCCCTGAAGGGCAGAGAAAGCAAATACATAATGGTCTGAAAGAGGATCATAAATAATAAGTTGTCAAATCATAGAATGCCAAATTTTGTTTTTACATTTCAAAGTGAGAAATTGTCAGACTCAGAAAATACTTATGTTAAATATTGCTTTTAATATATAAATAATGACTTCTTTGAGCTTAAAAAGTATAAAGCTCAGTAGTAAGTGGGAGATGAATATTGTAGTTTACACTAAAAATAGTTATTGTACCCAGTGTTATAAGATAATGACTCATTATACTTTATATGAAAATATTAAAGCATATTGTAGGGGAGAAGGAATAATTTTCCTCTCTACCCCTCTTGAGTTCTTAGCTAGGAGCCCCTGTAAAAAGATACAGATTAACAAGAAATACACAAATGTTTAATAACGTGTGTAACTCCTATATACATGGGAGTTAACCCAGAGAAATGAGTAAATCTCTAAAGTAGATTTCAAAGTACAGTTGACCCTTGAACAACACAGGCATTAGGGGCACTGAATTTCTAGTCAGCTGAAAATTTGCTCACAACTTTCAGCTCTCCCAATAGCCTGCTATTGACCTGAAGCCTTAATGACAAGAGAAGCAGTCAATTAACACATATTTTGTATGTTATATGTATGATATACTGTATCCTTACAATAAAATAAGCTAGATAAAAGAAAATATTAAGAAAATCGTAGGAAAAGAAAATGTATTTACTATTTATTAAATAAAAGTGGATCATCATAAATGTCTTGATCATTGTTGTCTTCACATTAAGCTGAGGAGGAGGAGAAAGAGAAAAAATTCATCTTGCTCTCTCAAGGCTAGAAGAGGCAAAAGAAAGTCCACTAGTGGTGGGCCCTTGCAGTTTAAACCCATGGTGTTCATGAGTCAACCATTGTAGCTCTGTCTCTAAGCTCTAGTACAATGGTTTTCAAAAACAAAGAAAAAAAGAATGTGGGGAAAAGCACAGTTAGGATCAGGTGGTCAAAAAAGGCAAGATTTATCATGCGGACTTAACTCTCAGTTCCTTCTCCATTGATGAGTCTCAGTGACTCATTCATCCTTCCCTTCCTGGTGCAAAGAGGGAGACACCCTTAGAAATGAAGATTTCTTTCATACATGTACCCTTCTCTTACAAGAGGGTAGCTTTTTAAAGCTTATCCTGTATCTGCAGTTTCTCAAAATGATCAGATGAAAATAATCCTTACACAAAGAGGCATATCTGAGGTGGCATGTTCTGCTTTTCTTTTAGGGAGGTGTGTCGTAAAATCTATCAGTATCTTTATTTGAGTAAAGAAGCTCGTTTATACATATATAATATACATATATAGGTCTATATGTGATTACTATATTGTATTTCATAGTATTTGCTAGATGAAGCTATATGTATGTTTTGGGGATTCACCACATGGCTTGTAATTTTTGAGATTAATATTTTCTTTTTTCTAATTATACTTTATTGCACTTTAACTTGCTTAAATTTTCAACCTAATTTTGTTCTAAAATATGTGTCTAGATATCTTCATATTCGCTCGGAATGTGTTTATCATCTTTGTTTCAATATGTGAGTAGTTGCTGTGTCTGTGCTAGCTACATTAAGACCTCACTTTTCATTTCTATTTGATGCTAATACAGTTTATTATCAACTTAATTTTCATAACAACTGATTTTATGTGTGTCTGTGTGTACTATCAACTCTAGAATGATGAGGTTCATAAATTTGGAAAGGAGAGTTTTATTTCTCATAAAGGGTTGCAGCCTATGGGCGCCATTCTGACAGGCTGGGAAGGGTAGCCTCCTGCCAGAAGCCAAAAACAAGCACTTTAAGAGTAGGAAGAACAAGACAAGAATTTATGCTCAATGGGGTGGCCAAATATACATATTCAATAAGCTATGGGATGAGTCACAAATATTTATAAAAGGAGAAACATGTGCATGCACAATTGAGCTTTATGACTCTCCATGAGTCCCATGTTCAGAAATGGCAGCCTTAATATGATCCAAGGGTGAAGTTTTCAGCTCTCCAACATAAAAATATGAAGCAGAGAACAAGAAAATCCTCTCTGTGTGGCCTCTGTAGACTGGCCAGAACCACTCTGTGATTGGTGATCTCTAATCAGGAAGGAATGCTGATTGGCTTTTGTGTGAGAACCACAAAGGGAGGGGCAGCATCAGGTGGTTGGTTGAAATCAGTGGTGGAGCCTTTTGAAAGGCTGGTTTCCATTTAGCCCTTAGGGAAGAAAGCCTAAGGGCTCTTAACAGGGGAGGGGTATAATGGGGTGTGTCAGACTTCCTATCCCATCATGACCAGCAACTCAGCTTCCAAGGTTTCTCTGGGATCCCCATGGCCAAGAGGGGGCTCAGTCAGTTGAGGGACTTATGATTGTACTTTTATTTCTTATAACTATATGCTAGGCAACCTTTTGAGTACTTTCTATACTAGTTCACTTAATTTTCACAATTGTTGTTGAGATACATATAATTCTTACACCCATTTAAAATGAGGAAACTAAAACCCAAATAAACTGATGGGGCTTAGGACCCATAACACCAAAATATGACTGTAGGAGATTAGAATATGCCACTCTAAAATATACCCTTCTGGCATCAGAATTAATTTGATCTGCTCATTTTGAGAAACTGTAACATTGAAGCTCTAAGAAATTGCCCTTTTATAGGGGAAAGTTTTATCTATGAATGAAATTTCCATTAGTAAAAGTGTCTTTCTTTCTGCACCAGGAAGAGAAGTATGACTAAATCATTAGAGACTCTTATCAATGGAGAAGAAACCAACTTAAATATCTATAGCAAAACTTACTTTCCCTGGCCATCTCATCTAAACTGGGTCTTGCCCACACCCTTCTTTCTTTTTTTCAGAATACAGTCAGCCCTTTGTATCCATGGGTTCCACATCTTTGGATTCAACCAACAGCAGAGAGAGGAAAAAAAAAGAAGAAAAATATATCTACATAAAAATTTCTGTATATCTATCTATATATAAATTGCATACACACTGAATATGTGCAGACTTTTTTTCTTATTCCCTAATCAATACAATATAACTGCTATTTACATAGTATTTACATTGTATTAGCCATCATAAGTAGTCTAGAGATGATTTCAGTATACTGGAGGATGTGCTTAGATTATATGCGAATACCATGCCATTGTATATCAAGGAATTGAGCATTCTTGGATTTTGGCATCTGTGGAAGGTCCTGGAATCAATCTCCCATGGTTACTGAGAGATGACAACACTATGGTATTTAAGTTGTCAAAGAAAATAACATTTCAGGACTCTCTAAATTTATTATGTAAAGGGGGAAGGTAAGCTCTGGAGACTGAGTCACCTAGCAGGTTTGCAATTCTGCTTCTTAGATTGTAGCTTAACTCTCTTCGTCATTGTTTTTATTCTATAAATGACTAGGAGAGATCAGAGGCCAGGCCCTCCCCATCCGAATCACTGATCTTTCTTATAAATTAACTGCCTCCTTTATTGTCCTGTACCTAATTCAGACCAGATGGTCCCCAAGATGCCATGAGAGTTACATCTTCAGTGTGAAGTGTTAAATATACCTTCCCCCCACCAAAAAAAAGAGCAACTTGGCAATAGAGATATTTTCTCTGTGACAATAAGCATAGCCTTACATTTCTCCTCTGAATAAATAATCACGATATCCATGAGCTTAAAGCAGTCTGTCTTTTTCTTTTGGAATGCTGCTTGATACACCAAAGAAGGCTGTAAGCAGTGATCCTAGAACTATAACAGCAAATGCCTATTTCACAACACAACAGCAAGGCCTGGAGAGAACTTTAGGTGATGGATGGGACATGGTACTCATGTAAGAACAATAGATTGAACAGAATAATGCACTGCCATTAGAAATTCCCTTGGTCCCACCTCAATATTGAATGTCTTTCAAATATACCCAGGACAATGGGGGTACCTATAATAAATTAAGCTACCTGGATTTCTTACCTCACATATTTAGGGAAAAAAAAAGTCTATGACAATGCAATATTTAAAAAAAATAAAACAAGATAAGGGAAAACTTATCTAAGGAAACATACCTCTTTTTTAATCCTGATTAAAGATTTTTAATAACTAAGATTTTTCTGACACAAGTCTTCTGAAACAACATGTTTGAAAATAAAGTTCTAGGAATGTTTTCACCAATGTAACTTCATTTATTCTTTATAGTAATTATTGGGAAGGGTCAGATAATTTCCTACATTACATGTGATTAAGCTTTCAGAAAGTTTACCATAATCCATACAACGTAAGATAAGAATTAGAAGCCAGTGCTAATATGTTGCCTAATTATGTGCCGTGCAAGCCTGCCAAACCAGTACTCAGGCAAGCTCCACACTAATCCCTTCTCCTTTTTCTTTAATGGTTTATGTTTTTCTGTTATAAAATATTTTATAAATGCCAAAATTTACAATACTTAAAGTCTTTCTCCCTCTCCTTGTATACATATACATTAGATATATGTATGTATATATAAAGCACACACACCCTAAATCAGAAATTTATATTCCCTTATATTTATGATTTATCTCATTCTCACCCACTCATGTTTCTGTAACACAAGACTGTAACAGTCTTACTATTGTAAGACTTCAGACATATTTAAACAGTTCACATGTATGTGCAAACATTTATATTTATAGATATGTGTATTCATTGACAGCATATTTTGTAATAGAAAAAGATTTGAGGCCGGGCGCAGTGGCTCAGGCCTGTAATCCCAGAACTTTGGGAGGCCAAGGCAGGCAGATCACGAGGTCAGGAGATCGAGACCATCCTGTCCAACACGGTAAAACCCTGTCTCTAGTACAAATAGAAAAATTAGCTGGGTGTGGTAGCAAGCGCCTGTAGTCCCAGCTACTTTGGAGACTGAGGCACAAGAATTGCTTGAATCCAGGAGCCAGAGGTTGCAGTGAGCCAAGATGGTGCCACTGCACTCCAGCCTGGGCAATAGAGCAAGACTCTGTCTCCAAAAAAAAAAAGAAAAAAAATGTAAACAGACACTCTGTCAACTCAGAATGGTCTTTGTTATCTTGTGAAGTGAAAAAGTAATACGTAAAAAAAGTATGCTGTCTAAAAGATATATTCTATGTATCTCCAGAACAATCAAAGAATGTACATTGCTGACTTTAAGGAGGGAAACTGGGGGCCTGGGGTTTATAAGGAGAAAGAAACGTTGTTCACCTACTAGTCTTTCAAAACCTTCAAACTTTGTTACATGTGAACGCATTACTTGTTTAAAAATAAGAGTTTTTTTTTTTTTTTAAAAACAGCCCAGGTAATAAGCACAAAATGGATATCATAATGTTAATATTACAGTTATAAAATGGATATCATAATGTTCATAAGCCAAAATTTTTTAAACTAGCCTCCTGAGAATACTGTCCTAAAAGATGTTCTGAAGAAAAACAACACAAAATTACATGACCTAGTATGTGTGGAAATACCAATGAAATCTTCGCCTCCTCCTTATTCACTATGAACTCTACATGTTCCAGGCCCTGATTAATTGTTTCGTAAAGGAACATCTTTAGCTCTTTTTTCATTCCATAATTTATAAGTTTGTATTCAACTTTTAAATCTCTTATACTAAGCAGCTTTTAACATCCAGTGACATCAGTTTTAACATGACACTCCTGAGAAAATAGAATACTGCTTTATGCTAAATTCAAGGCAATGTATGTAGAAGAGTCCATTACGCCATCACACAGAGTAATTTATTTTTATTTTGTACACAGACAACAGCAACCTTGGCAATCTAATTTCTAACTCAGCAACACGTTAGAAGTAACAAAGAAAGTGGGAGGGAGAGGCAGTGACAGGCATGTGTACTGATAGCTGGGAAAAGCTATGGATGAAACAAAAAAGAAAGCAGGCTGGAAAAAGAAAAATACACAAATGTGCAATAATTTGTGATTATTTTATTTAATTAACAAACAAGGAAGCAATAATAACTCATTTGATGTGTTTATGTATAGAGTAATTGGTGACACATTGAAGCCATCTTGATGAATGTGATTCATAACATTAAGAGATACATTTAAGAAACAAGAAATGACAGGAATATTCCTCACACAAGCCAGGAAAACACTACCAATTACAATGGGACTTTGATAGTGGTTTTGTCATAATATAAAGGATGCAATCCAATGAGCAATCTGGAAAATGGAAAGACAACAGCAAATTTCCACCTTTTACCTATTTAGCCTATTTAGAAGGAAAAGATAGTCTAAATTTTTTTTTTCTTTTTTCTTTTTCTGAGATGGAGTTTCGCTCTTGTTGCCCTGGCTGGAGTGCAATGGCACAACTTTTTCTTTTTTTAGACAGTCTCACTCTGTTGCACAGGCTGGTGTGTAGGCTGGTGTCCAGTGGCATGATCTCAGCTCACTAGAACCTCCCCCTCCCAGGTTCAAGTGATTCTGGTGCGTCAGCCTCCCAAAGTAGCTGGGATTAGAGGTGTGTGCCACCACACCCCAGCTGATTTCTGCATTTTTAGTAGAGATAGGGTTTCATTATGTTGGCCAAGCTGGTCTTGAACTCTTGACCTCAGGTGATCCGCCCACCTTGACTTCCCAAAGTGCTGGGATTATAGGTGTGAGCCACTGCACCTGGCCTAAGATAGTCTAATTTTCTCACACTTGTAAAAAAGTTTTCCAGAGTTATCTGTTACATTCAGTGAGATTATCCAGATGGAAGAGCTGTTAAAAACATCCAGTCGCCTTTGCTTTAATTCTTTCTTCATTAGCCACCTTCTAATCCATCATTTGCTTTTCTCAATGAGTTTTCTCCACAAAGAACACATATCTTACTTAGACGAGGGAATCTAGCTTCCAAGCATCTGTATCTTTGTTAACTAATCAGAATACATAAGTAAGCAAAGTTATTTTCATGTCTGAGATTTCTGCTGAAAGTTATTAAGAAATATAATGATGCATTTCGAAACAACTACAAAAATACATAAAACTAAAAAGTCATCCAACATCTATCAATTCTTTTTGTGATCACACAGGGTTTCTTATCTCTTGTGGAAGCTTTTGTAAATGATCAGTGGAAGAAAAAATACTTGAACATAAAGCAAAAAGACATGAAGTAAAACATTTCTCAACATAGATAAAACAGGGAAATTCACTTGGTCTGAAACATTCCAAATATTTGGGAAGCTGAAAATATTGGAAATACCATGATTTAGATCTCTCTGATTTTTATATTTAGTAATTATGTATAGTAATTCTCAACTTTCATTAACTTGGGTTTAATTATTTCACTGTAATATCTGTAGTTCTAAAATATGCATATTTTTCCACAAAGAAATTAATGTTTATTTGCTTCCTAAATAGAAATGTAGTAACGCAAATGCATTGTTTTACTGGATATTGTTTAAATGCTAATACCAAATAAGATACAGGCAGGAAAAGAACAGTCCCATTTTGAAGCCTCTAAATTTTTGAAAAGCAAATTTTAAAACTTGCCCCTTTTCCTTTTTATTTAAATTATTGTGTCATTGTTGTTTTTGTTTTGCTTTTACTTATTGAGTAGGTTCAACAACGGCAAGAGAAAGAAATAAGGTGGTTGTGGAGAAACACCTTTCCTAATTATAATTGGACTTTTATAGAGAAAGAAAAATATGGAAAAAGAAATATAAGTTTTCTGAGCCAAATGCATTATGGAACAAACATTAAGTTCTTCCTTACCAAGTAATGATTTTAGACCATGAAAATATTGTTTCTCTAAAAGCAAAATGCATCATGCAATTCAGAGTGCTCTGCAGGGAACAAGGCCACTAGGGAAGCAGCAGCAAAACACTTTCGATAAGAAAGTAGCAAATTGTTCCAGATTTTGTATTATTCTAGTCAACAGGAGACACAGAAATGTGAATTTTCAGAAAATGACATCACAAAATGGTCAGAAACAAAGAGTTCTATGAACTTTCTTTGAGGCACTTGCAGCAGTATGTAGTCCTTGCACTTTAGGCAAGCCAAAGTTATCCAATCTGATGGGAGTCATTCATTTCCCATCACACAACAGAGCTTTATCAGGGAGGAAAAGGGAGGCTAACATTATATCTAAATATATATACACATATGTAAGTCATCAGAATCCATGTCTAAATACTGGGACAGCGATCTTCCTCTGGTTGGATGTTAGGATGGAGAACAAGTCATTCTCGGAGGGAAAGAAAGACTATGGTTTTGTGGAAAGAAGTACAGTCTTGTGGCTGGGCACGGTGGCTCATGCCCGTAATCCCAGCATTGTGGGAGGCCGAGGCAGCCAGACCACTTGAAGTCTGCAGTTTGAGACCAGCCTGCCAACATGGTGAAACCCTGTCTCTACTAAAAATACAAAAATTAGCCAGGTGTGGTGGCACATGCGTGTAATCCTAGCTACTGGGGAGACTGAGGCACAAGAATCACTTGAACTCAGAAGGCGGAGGTTGCAGTGAGCTGAGATCATGCCACTGCATTCCAGCCTGGGTGACAGAACAAGACTCTGTCTCAAAAACAAACAAACAAACAGGCGAACAAGTACAATCATGTGCTGCATGTTTCTGTCAATGAAGAACCACATGTAGTACCATAAAATCATAATATATTATTTTCTCTGTAGCTTTTCTATGTTGAGATACACAAATACTTTATATTGTGCTACAACTACCTACAACATTCATTACAGTAATGTGCTGTACAGGTTTGTAGCCTGTGAACAACAGGTTATGCCGTATAGTCCAGGTATGATAGGCTCTACCATCTAGGTTTGCATAGGTACACTCTGTGACGGTCACATCATGACGAAATTGCCCGACCACACATTTCTCAGAATGTATCTCTTAGTTAAGTGATGCATGACTAGTAAGTTCAGCATGCTAAGGCTATGTATTCATTTCCCTGCAGTATGATTGGCGGATTATAAAACAGATATAAAATCAAATCCAACCTTTGCCCTTTGCTTCTAAGTAGCTTCGTGACTGAGGTGCTAAGTCTCTCTGAGCCCTTGGCTGTTTAATAAAATCAGCTAAATATCTATAATGTGACATTTCTTTAAGAATTAGAAAGTGCCTAACAGGGTGGTTATGTTTTTAGAAAGTAATGTTACTCATTGTTTAATACATACATTATGGGTACACATTTTTCTTCTAAGTATAATTTTTGTTATATAATGCTTGCCTTTATATATGATGATTTCATTTAAATGAGCTCCAAATATTACATAGTTGTAATAATAATTTCTGTTTTAACCCTCAAACTTAAAATGTGATTTCTAGTTTCTAAGTACATGGGAAAATTGAGTTTAACTTTGATTATACAATTTTTTAAATTTTATTGCATTATAGTCAGAGAGCACAGCTTGTAGTGTGTATAACTTGAGTTTTTCAGAATTTGTTAAGAATTTTTGTATCCAGAAACATGATTGTGTGTGTGTGTATGTGTGTGTGTGCACTCACTTAAATGAATAATCATTTTTTGTGTTAATCTCAAGTGGTGAATGTTGTCATTCTCAAACCCCTCACACCCCATGTCAGAGGTGGGGTCTGCAGGTAAGGTTGGTGTCCTCTTCGCTAATAATCACTTGTTACTGTCTACTCTCTCTTTTATCCCTATAAAACCACTAATCTTTGTATATAATGTCACCAGACTACAACACCCAATCACCTACCATTCTACCTTACTCCTCTTAGATCACTGTCAGTCTTTCCAGAAAAACTATTGTCATAGTTCTTAAAAATTATTTCAACAATGTCTGTCCATTTTGATGAATCTTTTTTTTTTTTTTTAAGAGCTAGAGTGTTGTTCTGTTACCCATGATGGAGTGCAGTGGTGTGAATAGCTCAGTACAGCTTTGAACTCGTGGGCTCCAGGGATCCTCCCACCTCAGCCTCCTGAGTAGCTAGGATTACAGGCATGAGTCATTGCACTTGGCTCTATTTTGCTGATTCTTTCCAATACTCTGGTATCTTCGTCCCATGTCTCCTCCAATGGTCATGTCTTCAATCTTATGTCAGCCATTCCCTGCTGTGGTCATACCCTTGACTTTATCATTACAAACATATGCAACCCACTCATAGTGATCAATCCATCTGTAGACTGCAGTAACCTCACAATTATCTTGAATCAGTTGCATTTACCATATTTTCCCTTTCTTTCGTACCTCTAATGTCTGTTCTTGTCTTCTTTCTTATCTTAGTCAGTCATTATACTTGCTTCCTTTCATGTATCCTCAACCTATTTTACCCATTTTTGCACTTAATTGTTAAAAATGTGTTTCTCATTAAGCCATCTCTTTATATACTCCGCACAGCCAGATATCTGTGGCTCACTTCACCTAGAAGCATATGGCTGGAAAAAAACTTTCAACAATGCCGCCTAGTGTCACTTGAAATTCATGATCACTAGCTTCAAGTGACTCTTTAAGGATGCCATATGAGCCTATTGTATTTTCCTGGGCCATTTATTATTTCACTCTAACAGATAACTTTTCTCATACTTTATCTTTTCTCATTAAACCCCAACATCGCATCCCTGTTCTTATCCTCCAGAAGAACATTTCCACAGTCCAATACCAACAGCTTTAAAATAAACACATCAAAGACATTTCTCCAGGATATTTTTTTTCTGACTATTCCGCAAAAACAATTTTTCTCTCTTTACTAGATCAATATTATTAGTCTGGAGAAATGCTATTATTTCTCTCACAGAGAAGACACGCATGCAAATCCTCTGTTCACTTTACATTCTAGCTAAAAACTCACATTTCTTAATTTCTTAAAGTAAAACACTATAAAGAAGTTTCATATGTGATATTTACTTCCAATTTCCTTTTCTAATTCTATTTGAAAATAATCAGATATTTTTCTAAACACTTTATCAAAATTGTTTGTCGAGGTCATCTATGACTCTACATTACTAAATGCAATGATCAATTTTAACAAAAACCCAATATTTGACACAAGTGGTCACATCTTTTTTGAAATATTCCTTTTTTGGGGTTTTACAGTTTTATTTTGACTTTTCTTTCCCTGAACATGTGTTATTCTGTGCTCTAGCCTCAGTGTAGCTGTTGACAGATTTGTTATATATCTAATTGACTTTTCCCTATGAGTAATTGTTCTTACTCTCTGTGATTACTGTCAGTATCAAACAGGGAGAAAAACAGAAAAACTTTAATTGGGCATCAATATAAGTTATAGAAAAATTTTACTTGAGTAACTAAATAATGTACTTTTGTTTTAACTAGTAAGCCTTTCAAGGGTTTGTTTCTAATATTTATTTACATATAACTTTATAGGAACTTATTTATAATATACAAAATTAGAGAAAACTGTGTGCTAATATTACCACTTCTTGAAAATGATAAAATTTAGATGATGAAATAGGATTTTAGGAGGAAAAAAATCTTTTAATCTTAAAGTAAATTGAAAAAATAAAATGCACAAACAATTGGCAGAGAAGACTAAATATTTTATATGGCCTGAAGTTAAATTTATATATATAGGTTTTATTTTGTACAGAAGTATGTCTCCCACATGCAATGTTAATAAGAAAAATAACAAATGATAATATTAACTGAGTGCTAAAAAATAGAATACAGTGTGAATGATGTCCCTAAGATTCTGCAGCAAGGCATCCCCGATGACTATAAAACACCAAGTGCAGCAAATATAGTTAATTTGATTAAGTAATTCAAACACGGTAAAGCAGGTACTTTTATTATCCTCATTTTACAGCTGAGCAATGTGAGGGATGGAGAGTATGAGTAATTTGTGTAATTTTCCACAAAATTATACAAGTCCTTATGGCTTATAAGTGCTATGCCTTGATGTTTTTGTACTCTCCAAAATTCATGTTAAAATTCAATCCTCAAAGTAATAGTATTGGAAGGTGCGTCCTCTGGGAAGTGAATGAGTCATGAAGACAAAGCCCTCGTAAATGAGATTAAGTGTCCTTACAAAATGGCTTTGCCAAGGGAGTTTGTCCCTTTGTGCCCTTCAACCTATTGCCATGTGAAGACACGGGCTTCCTCCCTTCCAGAGGATGCAGCATTTAACCTGCCACCTTAGATGCAGAGAGTGGACCCTCGTAAGACAACTAAACCTGCCAGTGCCTTGGTCTTTGACTTCTCAGCCTCCAGAACTATGAGAAAATTAACTTTAATTCTTTATAAGTTACTCAGTCTCAGGTTGGTCTTTGACTTCTCAGCCTCCAGAACTATGAGAAAATTAACTTTAATTCCTTATAAGTTACTCAGTCTCAGGTTGGTCTTTGACTTCTCAGCCTCCAGAACTATGAGAAAATTAACTTTAATTCCTTATAAGTTACTCAGTCTCAGGTATTCTGTTATAGCAACCCAAACAGATTAAGACAGTAGTGAAAGAGCCAGGCTCCAGTCATGTCAGTAATAATTCAGACTCAGTTAGTTGTCATATTATACTGCTTTCATAAGCCCAAAGCACTAATTTCTCTTATCAAACTACTAATTCTATGTAAAATATATATATATATACACATTATAAAGCCAAATTGAATACCAGAGCAATCAGAAATCTTAAAAATCCTTTAAATTCTTACCTTTCACATATTACTATTGAGGTACCCAATAAGCAGATATGGAATAAATTTATACCCCAAGTTTGGAAAACATAGCCAACAATGGACTCCAAAATATATGATATTTTTGGAAACATGTTTTCTCTCAGAAAGGAACACAATTTCAGAATAGTTTTTGACCTTATTAGAGTAATAGAGATGGATTTACTCTAATGCTTTAGGTAATTTTTAAAAATTGACATACTGTATAAAACAAACATTTCAGACACTGGACAATAGGCAGCACAGGGCTGTGATATCTGAAATGGGAGGAACAAACGAGATGGCCTTGAGGTTGCCCTACTTTTTGCCTGAAGTTTCACTTAGAGCTACAGGGTAGGGAAGGTAATAAAAACTTGAATATGGTAGACCGAGTTGAGGAAACACATGTTGGCATTCCAGAAGTCTGAGGCTGCTGGAAACTACAGGGCAGAGTTCCACAATGAAAGGAGTTATGCAGAATAAAATCTAAACAGTGGTCCTCTTACATTTTTAATGACTACCAAGATGTGAGTGCATTGGGTGAAACTCTAGGAGATTAGTCAAAGAATGACTGAGGAGATGTGAGCTGAACAGTTCTCAAAGCTTAAACAGGGTTGAAAATTATTTCTAATTCCTATCATCAAGAGAAGAGAGCCCTCAACGTTCACTTCAGGCATGCAGTAGAGACACTAGAAGGCCTACACCTTGGTATTGGCTAAAGCTATCCCTAGAATTAAGGCTACTCTAGACCCACACTCATAAATTTTTATTAAAATAGCATCAAAAGAAAAAATAAAAGTAATTCAACTGATAAGTTGGACAAAAACCAATGGCCTTTAAAAAAAGACAATAAAATCCTTATAAAAATACTACATATATAAAAATTGTGATGTGTAATATGTAATCAAACATTAGTAGACAGATCCGGAATTAAGAAAATGTAAAAATGTTCAGGAAACATATAAATTAAAAATAATTAAGAAATATTAGAGATGAGATTAGGAAACAAAAGTGTTAAAACTGCTATTATAAATATATTCAAGTATTTAAAAGAAAACATGAAAAAGAAAATAGAATATATCAAAATGAAATGTAATGAAAAATTCAATGGATAAGAAAAATAGCAGGTTAGGCACAGTAAAAAAAAGTTAGTGAACACAAAGATATGAAGATAATTATAAAGAACAATGTTGGCCAGGCGCCGTGGCTCACACCTGTAATCCCAGCACTTCGGGAGGCCGAGGCAGGTGGATCACCAGGTCGGGAGATCTAGACCATCCTGGCTAACAGGGTGAAACCCCGTCTCTACTAAAAATACAAAAAAATTAGCTGGGCATGGTGGTGGGCGCCTGTAGTCCCAGCTACCCGGGAAGCTGAGGCAGGAGAACGGCATGAACCTGGGAGGTGGAGCTTGCAGTGAGCCGAGATCACTCCACTGCACTCCAGCCTGGGCGACGGAGCGAGACTCTGTCTCTAAATAAATAAATAAATAAATAAAAATAAAAAATAAAGGACAATGTTATAAAGATGTCTCATTCTCCTGTGATACAATATCAAACAATATAACACACACATTTATAGATTCCTCGAAAGGGGCAAAATGGAAAGCATATTTAAAGTAATAATAATTGGAATTCTTCCAAAATAGATGTAAACTAAAAACCCACAGATTTATGAAGGTCAATGAGCATCAAGTGGGTTAAAAATATAGAAAACCTAAAACAATGCACAATAGAATGTCATTGCTGAAAACCAGTGAAAAAGAAATTTTGTTAGAAGCCCAGAAAGAAGCCTTACATGGAGAGAAACAAAGATAAAAATGATAGTACCTATCCCATCAGAAACTGCAAGCAAGATAACAACGGAATGAAGTTTTAAATTCTGAACAAAAGTGTCACCTTAAATTATCTCATCATCAAAATTATATTTCAGAAATGAAGGCAAAGTAAACTTAGACACAGAAAAGTTAAGAATTTGTCATTTGTAAACTTCCTTAAAAATAAGTTAGTTTTTAAAAATATATGGAAACAAAGGAATGATGAATGCAGTACGTTTTCTTATTTTTCAATTTCTTTTAAGAGTAAGTGACAGTTTAAACATTAGTAACAATGTATTGTTTGAATGTATAACATATGTAGAAGTAGAATCTACAACAAAAATAGCAGAAAAAGAGAGGAAGATGAAGATAAAAGTATATTGGAGTAAATTGCTTGCATAATGTTCTGAGCAGTTTAAAATGGTTTGAAGTAAATTGTGATGTTAAAGATGTGTATTGTAAAACTTAGAACAATTTAAAAATTTAAATGGAGCCAGTGTACTAACAAAAATGGAATCACCAAAAAAAACAGTCCAAACTAAGGCAGAAGATGCAGGAAAATAGAAACAAAGAACTCATAAAAATAGGAAAAATATTACAAAGTAGCAAAGTGATATACATTCAAATATATCAATAATTAAATTATATAAATTAAGCCATTTACATTAGCTTTAAGAAATAAAATATTTAGATATAATAACAATATATGTACAAGATTGTTCTGCTGAAAACTATAAAACATTGACAAAAGAAAGCAAAGAAGGCCTAAATAAATAGAAAGACTTCTTGTGTTCATGGATTAGAAAATCTCACAGAGTAAACACATAAATTCTCCCCAAATTTATCTACAGATGTAACACAATACCAACCAAAATACAAGTAAGTTTTTAAAAATTAATATAGATAAGCTGATTTTAAATTTTATATGGAAGGGCAGACAAATTAAAATGACTAAGAAAATTATCAAAGTGGAGAAAGTTGTAGTCACACAAGTGAAATATAAGATTTAGCATACTGTACTATAGTATACTCTAAAGCTACAGTAATCAAGAAAGTGTGGTTTTGGTAAAGAACAACAAACTCAAAGATCTATGAAACAATAAGATGTCCAGAAATAGACACACATTATTATTACCAACTGATAATTAACAATAGTAATTCAACAAGGAAAATGCAGTCATTTCAACAAATAGAGTTGAAATAACTGAGCATCCACATGAAAAAAAAAGGACCTTGAGTCATAACTCACATTTTATGGTAAAGATAACTGAAATGTTCATAATCCTAATGAGAGGTGAGGCCAGCTGGACTTCCTGGGTCGAGTGGGGACTTGGGGAACTTCCCTGTCTTACAAGAGGATTGTAAAATGCACCAGTCAGGAACTTTCCTGTCTTTAAAGAAGATTGTAAAATGCACCAATCAGTGTTCTGTAAAAAAGCACCAATCATCACTGTGTACTAGCAAGGGGATTGTAAAATGCACTAATCAGCGCTCTGTAAAAACACGCCAATCAGCACTCTGTAGCTAGCAAGGGGATCATAAAATGCACCAATCAGCGCTCTGTAAAATGCACCAATCAGCAGGATTCTAAAAGTAGCCAATCGTGGGGAGGATTGAAAAAAGGGTACTCTGATAGGATGGAAATGGAACATGGGAGGGACCAATAAGGAAATAAAAGCTGGTCACCCCAGTCAGCAGTGGCAACCTGCTCAGATCCCCTTCCATACTGTGGGAGCTTTGTCCTTTCGCTCTTCACAATAAACCTTGCTACCATTCTCTCTTTGGGTCTGTGCCATCTTTAAAAGCTGTAACACTCACTGTGAAGGTCCGCAGCTCCATTCTTGAAGTCAGCCAGACCATGAACCCACCAGCAGGAACCAGCTCTGGACACACTAAATGTTAATCTTAAAACTATAAAACTTGTATTAGATAGCATCATGGGGGGAAATCTTTTTTAATTTGGCTTAGGTAAAGAGATTTTAGACATGCTATGAAAAGCATTTTCAATAACAAAATAAATTGGCATTTATCATAATTAAAATTTTGCTCTGTGAAATTGCTGTTAAGACATTGAACAATAAGCTGCAGACTGAGAGAAAATATTTGCAAAGTACATGCCTGTGAAAGAGCTTATATTAAAATAATGTAAAGAACATTGAAAATGTAACCATAGGAAAACAACCCAATTCTTTTTCCTACTGGTTTTTGTTCTATGGGCTTTACAGTGTCTAGAGTTCTTCAGCTAGTACCACAATCATAAATACAACTGTTCGTACCCAAACAATCTTCTTGTCTTTACCTTTTTTAGTCAAACTCTGACCTTAACTTCCAATACCACTAATTTGTTCTCTATTTCTATAGTGATTTTTTTTCTAGAATGGCATATAAATGGAACCAGTGACTATATAGCCTCTTTCTTTTACTTAGTAACACACATTTGAGATTTCATTCATGTTTTTGCCTACATTATTAGCTTATCAGTTGTAATTGCAGGGTAGTGTTTCATTGTATGAATGTATCATACGTTGCTCATGTATTCACCAGTTAGAAGATATTTTGAATCTCACCAATTTAGGGGGATTATGGATAAAGCTTCTATACAGCTATTTGTGTGAACCTGTTTTCACTTCTCTAAGTTAAATCCTAGAACTACCAGTGCTGTATTGTATTGTAAATGTATATTTAGCTTTATAAAGGACTATCAAGCTGTTTTTCAAAACGGCCATAACATATCATATTCACATCAGCAAAGGACAGTGGTTCCAATTGCTCCACCTCTTTGTCAACACTTGTTATTGTCATATTTTTTATTATACCTATTTTAATAGGTATGTAATTACATGCCATTGTGATTTTATTTTGCATTTCCCTAGTGACTAATGATGTTGAACAGCTTTTTATGTCAATTTCTATAGCTACTTAAACAGTCATTTAATAATATAGGATTAATAAAAATATTATTCCTCACTTTCTTCTCCATAAAAAGAGGAAAGGAAAAGAAAAAAGACACTTAAACCGGGACATAAAGGTAACATTCTTACTCTGTTAAAGATAACTTTCAAAACTCAGCAGCAAACAACATTCATAATGTGGAATTCATAACAATTTCCATTAAACCAGGAACAGAAAAACACGTAAACAAAACTTTTGTTAACTCTATTTTTAGTCAATATTTCATTGGAGGTTGCATAAAAAACTATAAGAAAAAGAATAAAGTAGGCCGGGCGCGGTGGCTCACGCCTGTAATCCCAGCACTTTGGGAGGCCGAGGCAGGCGGATCACGAGTTCAGAAGATCGAGACCATCCTGGCTAACATGGTGAAACCCTGTCTCTACTAAAAATACAAAAAATTAGCTGGGCGTGGTGGCAGGCGCCTGTAGTCCCAGCTACTCAGGAGGCTGAGGCAGGAGAATGGCGTGAACCCGGGAGGCAGAGCTTGCAGTGAGCTGAGATTGTGCCACCGCACTCCAGCCTGGGTGACAGAGTGAGACTCCATCTCAAAAAAAAAAAAAGAAAGAAAAAAGAAAAAGAATAAAGTAATATCAACTTGGAAAGAATAAACATAATTGCCTCTACTAATGAAATATTGTATATTTACAATGTTTATGAATAGATAGTGGCCATTATGAAACAGTTCACCAACTTCACTGGATTCAAGGTCAACATACAAAATCAATTGCATTCCTATGCATCACTATTAATCAATTTTCATAATAAAAATTTACAGTCACAATAAAAAAAAAGTAGTCTTAAGCTCCCCAGGAAACTATTAAACCAGAGATAAGCCATTTGTGGGAAAACTTAAAATAATTATTTAAATATATAAAATTGAAATTTAATATTGAAAATTACACCATGTACCTGGAAGGAAAGATTTATTATGGAGATGTCAAGTCTTTTCCAAATTAATTTATAAATTCAATGCAATTCCATTCAAAATATCAGTTTTTTAATGAGATTTCAAAAGATGATCTTAAAATTTAAGATCAATGGAAGACTGACCAAAAGCAGCAAAGAATATTCAGGGGAAAAAAGGTGGAAGTATTTTCTCTAATAGATATCAACACTTTTTGTCAAACTATTATGGTTAAAACAATATTAATATTGTGGCAAAGATATGTACATGTATCAACATACCAAAAACAAGAGAATCAAAAGAATCACAGCCAAGAACATCACAAAGTTTAAAAAAAGAGACACTAATTGGGAGAATTTATCTATAACCCATAAAACAGGTAAAGCATTCATATAGAGGATTTCAAAGAGCTTTCTCAAATCAAAGAGAAAAAGACAGAAAAACCCAATTGAAAATATAAAGAAAATATATGAATAGATGCTTAACAAAAATTAGATTAAAAAATTTAACCTCATTAGCAATCAAGGGAATGCAAATTTAAACAAAAAGTTACTATTTCTCATTCATCTGATTTTTAAATTAAAAATTCAAAAACCAACTTTATACTCTATCATTTTACTATTATCCTTTTTTATTTACTTTGTTAATTTTTGGTCTCCATGTAATCCTTATTGAAATGTTAATATCTCTCTGAATAAGGTTTTATAATATTAACTAAATCTTAATAACTAATATTTAGACATCTTATTTTTCAGTCTAGATTAATTTAACTACATCTAAAATATAAAAATATTACAATAAAGACATTTCAAGTATTGATCCAATTTTTTAAAAAATTACAAATACAACTTTAAAGTTATAGTAAAAATTCCATATGTATTCTAGGCCTGCAACGTATTTGTTTTGAAAGATTAAGCTTTTCTTTCACTCAATAAAATATTCATAAGATTTGTCTACTTAACTCCAGTCCATTCATTTTATCAGAGGTTTATAGTACCGCACTATATCACTACACCATGGGTGTTCATTATTTTCATATTGATGGAAATGTTTTTGAATACTGCTATTTCTCCTTATATACATATAAGCAAATATTCTGTGTGTCTGTATTTGTGTGTACAATTGTCATCTTCTTACATTATAAAGTAGTGCCTTCATATATACTAGATATCATAATATTGGTATTCAAAATGTTTGCTCCAGTTATCTCGTAATTTTTAAAGGCCTAGGAATAGGAGGAGATGAAGACAGGGTGAAAAGGGTCAACCTGTGTCTTTGTATTTGTCTGAGTAGGTAGGTTTATTTCTGAATTAAATGTCATAGGAGTAGTTTCATATGAAACTATGTACATGTACAAATAGGTAAGATTTTGGATCATAATAGGAAATTTTTCTAAATAATGTTTATTTAATTTTATAAAATATTGCTTTTGTTTGCTAAAGTGGCTGGTCTAGTATATTTCATGATTTTATAGAATAAACAATAGAGCGATTTGTATGTCTTTTTGTGTATCTGAATGGAGGCTTTTTTCCTGGATTAAATTCTTGAGATACATTTTCTAACACTCATAGCTTAAGATATGATAATTTTCTAATTTTGTAGAAGACAACTTTAAAAATTTATTGAACACAGCATAATGTTTTTTTAATGTTCCCTTGGTTTTCATAATAACATAAGGTTTTCACGTCATTTTTTTAATCAGGGTAAGATTCCAAATCCTATTTAATATAGCTGACTCATGGGTTTAGAAGCAATGCTTATCCCATACAATAACACTGTACCAAAAGGCATTAAATTGAAGTTAATTAGCGTATGTTGGCTAGAAATATAATAATCTCATTATAATAGGTAAGCCTTCAAATTCATGTTCTGTAGGCAGTGGAACAGAAAAAAAGATGTAAACCCACTAAATTTTATATATATAAAATTTATTATATATATAATATATATATTAATAATATATATAAATTTATATATATATAAATTTAAATTTTTATGTGTGTGTGTATATATAGATGTATACACACACACACACATATCTCCATCTTCTTTTTTCCTTTGTGTGAAACAGTGGCTTTTACTAAATACATTTTGAAAAGCCTTATTTCCCTCAGGATGTATTTGAAGCTAATCTATTATTTTCTACTTTAGAATTTTAAATAGGGTCTATCAGTTGAATGAATGTAACATAACTGTCATTGCTAAGCCAGTGCATAACCAAGAATCTGATTCTTGCACATCATTCTTAAAAGAATAGATCTTTGTTGCTGGCCTGCTAACTGCTAGGCATTAATAGTACCATTAAAAGAAATTTGGGGTCTAGAAATGATTTGAATGCTACTCTTTTTGTTGTATAGTTTTGAAGTGAAAAGTGAATATAAGAGGTGAAAGTAGCATAATAACTCAGCTTAGAAACGTGAAGGCAAATATTAAAGGATTTTTTTTGCAAAGATTGCACAAGGAGGTACAATTTTTAAAACTAAATGTATATTCTATTCAAATAGCAGAGCCATTGTTTTTGAAAGGTTATAGGTATGGATCCATGTTTATAGATAATGCACAAACTTACTGAATAAATAAGGAAAACTTTCCCCCAAAATAGTAGATAGTATAGTGTGAAAAATCTAATAAATAGGTAAACATTCACCAATATGAGTTTTTGTATAGGATATACCACTCTCTGGATGTAGTAGGTGATAATTAAGCATATAAGATAAAATTTTTATAAGCATGACATACTGGGACAAAAGGTTAGCCATCACCTTCAATATTGTATGGTATAGAATGCTAATTATCACTCAGTATCTGTTCTTTTATTTTTTTTTCTTCAGCTTTTGGTGTAGCACATGGTTGTGTAGAATAAGAAGTGCCTATCCCAATCTCCTTTGCAGCTAGGTACAACCAGAATAATATAAATACACAATATACAAAGCCTCACATTTTACAGAGGACTAATATGTTGGCTTTCTGTTAGAATCTATAATTTATGATTCCCAGTTTGATATTGTTGCTCTTCTTTTTTTCCCTAGTCTTCTGGGTTCTTAAATAAACTTGGTTCTCCTGTGTGGGTAGGTGAAAGGGGAGCAAGTATCAATACGTTGAACCAGAAAGTACCTGAAATGGTCAGGAAACAACACAGAAGTCAGTGTGATTGGAGCAGAATGAGGTAAGAGAGAGTGACATAAAACTGAGACTTGAACACTGAACAGGCCCTTTAAGACCATTGTTAAGAACTATTGTGTTTCATCCTGAGATGAAAAGCTACTACTGGAGAGTTCCAAGTAAAAAAATGAACTGTTCTCAATTACTTTCTTTTTCTTCTTCTTCTTTTTTTTATAGATAATGTGATTTATTTGAGAAGTATAGAATTTACAGTTATCTGACTAATTTTACTAATTTTTTTTAATTTTTAGCTTTGGTAAAATACACACGTAACATAGAAATTACCATCTTAACCTTTTTAATTTTAAGTGTATAGTTCAATAGTATTAAGTATCCTCACATTGTTGTTTAACCAATCTCCAGAACATTTTCATCCTACAAAATCAAACCTTCCCATTCCCCTCCCCTGCCCCTCTTCCCCCAGCCCACTATTTTACTTTCTGTTTTTGTGAGTTTGACTACACTAGATAGCTCATATAAGTGGAATTGCATAACTAAAAGAAAATAATACATACTTTTCTATGTAAAATTTACTCTGATGTATTAAATTTTATTCAGTTCATTGTATTTTATTTTACAAAGAATTGGCAACTATTTGTTGACGTACAAATGAATATCTTATTGTAAAAAATACTGTTCAGTCTTTGGGAGCAACCAGTTCAGCATGGTATTTAGGATGATCAACTCTGGATGCAGACCACCAGTCTTCGAATTAGAGCTCCTTCACTTGCAAACTGTGTGTCCTTCTGCAAGATATTTAAACTTGCTATGCATCCCTTTCCTTATCTGAAAGCAGACATAATAATAGTACTTACTCAGAGAGTTTTAATTAATACATGAAATCATTTAGATTATTTGTTACATAGTAAAAGCATATGTAGTGGTTATTTTCTCATTATTTTTACTAATAATGAACATTATGCTTTACTTTTAGAGAAGTGTTCAGAAACTTACATGCTGGTAGAGGAGATACAATGATCATAAAACATGACAAGTGTAGTGTGTATATGATAATAAGATGCTGGTATTGTGATCTTAATTACACTACATTCTAAAATACTGGGGTAAGCCAAACAACACAACAAACTAAAATATGTCTGAGGGTCATTATTACCAGCAGATACCAATTGATTATTCTTGGTGTGAACCATAATCATTTATTTAGGACAGCAAATAAACCAAGCTAACAAATGCAGCTCTGAGCCTTGGATATCAGAATTTTAAATTCCATTAATTACACACTTATAACATGTCCACATTAAAATTAACATTATTTGAAATCCCATTATTAAAATGTAAGATAATTCAACAATGTATGTGAGTATGTGTATATAACTATATATATAATTAAAAAACCTACACACACACATACACACATATTTACACACAGTGCACACACACACACACACACGTGAACATCTATAGTCATCCTTCTATATTGTTTGGGTTCCACATTCATGGATTCAACAAACCACAGACCAAAAATTTTTTTTTTTTTTAAATGAATGGTTGGGAAGGTTGCATCTGTACTGACCACATACAGATTTTTTTCTTGTCATTATTTCCTAACTAATACAGTATGACAACTATTTACATCACATTTAAATTACATTAGGTATTATAAGTAACCTAGAGATAAAGTATACAGGAGGACGTGCATAGGATATATGCAAATACTATGCCATTTTCTATAAAGGGCTTGAACATCCACAGATTTTTGGTATCCATGGGCCTCCTGAAACCCATGTCCCATGAATACCAAGAGATGATTTGGTATTGTTTTATGTGTGTGTGTGTGTGTCTGTGTATGATATGTTTTTACACAAATGCATATAAAACATGATATATATATACACTATATAAAACAATCTCTGCAGTTGCATTAATTCATACAATGATCAGCAGTGCTTCTTTTCTTCAAAAGTTTGATGATAACCTACTATTTTTCCTAATTTAAAAAAAGATTAGTACCTGATAGGAATTCTTAATATCTAATTAACTGATACATTTCAGATAATGTTTTATCTTGTCACACTGTTTTGTGCTCAAGAGATAGTTGATACATTAGAAGGCTTCCAAAATAGTGTTAATGAATAGACAATTCTATTGAAATTCTTTGACCTGCAATTTGGCAGACAAACTTACACTTTAGGAATAATTTTGTAACAAAATGATTTTAGCTTGCTTTCACTATAATAATTGTCATTCAATTTCTATTTGCTTAAACTGTCTTGCATTTTATAATGGCTATTTTCTGTTTCTTATGCAAAAGATACAGCAATTTTTAACAATAATAAACACTACCTTTATAACATTTTATATTATTATATTTCAGCAACTTTGGTATTTATTTGGAGTAAGACAGAGGCTAGTAAATAGTATTGAAAAAGAAAAGTAATGAGTTGTGATTACCTTTCCTTATGCCAACTTGTTTAAACTACAGTTCCCAGTCATTTATTCAAACATTAATCTATTCAAAGAAGTAAAGGTATTTTTTTCTGAAGAGATGAAAGTACATAATAAATTCACTTTACATAAGGGAGATTATCACAAATAAGCAATTCTAGATAATCTGAGGAGGGGGCCTGATTCAATTAGTTGAAAGACTTTAAGAACACAGCCTAGGATTCCTGATAAAGTTGTTCTCCTCATGAATAACAGCTCGAGATTGCCAGCCTGTTCTTCCTAATGGCTTGCTTCATATGTTTCATACCTGCCTACCCAGCCTACATAATAACATTAACCAATTCCTTGAAATAAATCTCTTAATATATATATCTCTTGGTTCTTCCTCTCCGGTTGTGTTTTAACTGACACAGTGTCAGTTTTTAATGGCCTTATCAGATATGAAGGCATATTTTGAAGTTAAAAGTATCAAAATGTTGTGATACCAGTATACAGACCAATAAATGGATCAATGGAAGACAGTAAATGATATATATATATGCAAGTCATTAAAAAAAAGTGGAGTTGTGGAACTTGTAAGGAACTACAACAAAATTCTGACTATTTTCTATAGGTTGACAACATTAAAAGATGCCGTAAAAGAATGTAATTGTATAAAAATAAAAGAAAAAATGGCAATAGGAAAAATATTCTCAATTTTACTATTAAAAATTTAGCAGTAGAAAACTTTATTCACAGAAATTCATATAGAAAACAGACTGTGAATAATAGATAAAGTTCAGCTGTGTTTGTCAACTGTCAAAACCCACCACCTCCCAGATGGACCCTGAGGAGACGGTGGGTGATAAAATCTAATCTTCATCAAGGATGTTGGACAGTCAATAAAAAGCAGCTGTAGGTTAATAAAGCTGCGTTGCCTGTCCTTCTTTACATCTTCACTTTAATTAGATATCTACATTTTGCCTTTATGAAAATACAGGCAAATGTTTTTTCGTATATTTTCCTTGATGAAAAATGTTGAGATATTCATTTGACTTCTTTCTTTCCCATTATTCCCTTTTTTTCATTTAAGATGTATACTCATCTTGTATTGAGCTCAGATCTCCGAACTCTTTCAGTTAATAAACAAACCTTCCACTTATTTTAGTTCATTAAATCAAATTATTTTAATCTTTCCTTGACAGTGATTTTATAAACAATGGTTATTTATGGGAGAAAATAATATCTAGAAGACGTGTCAATGAGATTAATCTTACAAACTATTAAGTCAATTATCTAACTTGCTAAGTGCTGCCCAAATATTAGTAATTTAATAATACTACAGAAATATCATGTTGTCCACCTTTATAAAAATTATTCCAAATAATTATGTCATTTGTTTTAATTTGAAGAATACATAGTTCAGACAGTTAAATTAATGACTAAACTCATGGAAGCTGACAGTTCAGAATGAGCAATGTGACAATGTAAGATTAATTTTTCCAATATTTTAAAGTTTCTATTAAATATTTAAAAATTATACATCAACTGGGGTCTTAAGACGGCCAACTCAATGCAGCTGGGAATTGCTGCTCCCATGGAAAGAGGATGAGATTTTGACTAAATCAACATAATTTGAACAGATCTTTGTAAAGAAGATGCCAAATGTGGATGTAAAGAAGATGCAGACAGTGAGGCTGAAGAGGGAGGAAGCTGGAAACTCTGTGTGGGGTAACTGAATGCTAGGGCTGCTTCCTGGCCTCAAACAGTGTCTGAGGAAGGGGTAAGTGAAGGGACTTGGAGCCTGGGGACCTCACACCTGCCATGGACATTTGAGTTGGTAGGTGGATGTCTTCAGAGATTAGACAGAGACAGAGCTGCCACAAGCATGGCGCCAGGAATCTGTGTGCTAGGGACAGCTTTGGTGGAGCCTAACCCACCAAGGGCTGCCTATCTCCCTTTGACAGGCTCTGGCCCTAGCTAACCACTGAGGAGAAAGCAGGGCCACCTTCCCTGTGGGACTGAGGCACATCTGTCCCACAGGCCACCTGCCTGCCAGCCCCTCCCAGAACTCCTACCTGGCCACCCTGCAGAAGCCTGTACACAGCATAGCTCCACTGCCTAGCCTGGGTGCTTTGTGCCACCTAAGTGCATTCCAGAAGCATGGGAGCCCTTCAGATCCTATAGCACACCTGGGACCCAGTCCCAAGGGTCTGGAGGAGGGAGCTGCAAACAGGTCCTGGTACACCAGGGCCATGGCCCATGGCTCAGGATTATCTAGCCAGGATCTGTGCCCTGCACTCTAGTTGGGGAGGAGCCCACACTATCAGAAAACTGAGAAAAGTGAATTGCACAGGTCCACAAGTTGGCCTAGAACCTAGATGTGCCTCCCTCCACAGGGCAGGTCCAGTAAGGATGTGGTCTATTTCCCTACTGGACCTCTGTCCAAGGGAGCCCTGAGGCTGAAACATCAAATTAAAAATAAATAAATAAATAAATAAATGGAATTGCTGGCCAAGTGTCAGTGATCAGAGGTGGCTCTCCCAACCCCCAGGAGTGGACCTGGTGGAGAGGTCACCTCTCTCCCCCTTGCACCTCTCTCCCCCTTTGCATAGCTGCAAATCCAAGGGTACACAAAGGAGCCATGCTGCTAAATAAGAGCCCGTCTACCATCCATTGCTCTCAAGCACTATCTACCGGATCGCACCCCAAACTACAACAACGAAAAAGTCACTCTGCTAATTCTCCCTGCTTATAAACCAAGGGCAAGAATTCAACAACAAAGACCTGTACAGAGCCTTAGCCCTCTGAAAATTTCCAGAAACAAAGCCAACTGACTATACTAGATTTCCATCACAGTTAAAGGAACACCAGCCTTCCCAGATGGGAAAATATCAGCATAAGAACTCTGGTAATTCAAAAAGCCAGAGTGTCCGCTTCCCTCCAGATAGGCCCACTAGGTTCCCAGCAACAGTTAATTAGTCTGAAAGGACAGACATAGAATTCAGAATCTGGTTGGCTAGGAAGCTTATCAAGACCAGGAGAAAGCTGAAACTCAATCCAAGGAAGCAAAGCAATTCAGTAAAATGATTCAAGAGTTGAAAGACTAAGAAGCCATTTTAAGAAAGACCCAAATTAAACTTCTTGAGCTGAAAAAGTCACTACGAGAATTTCAAAATACAATCAGAAGTATTAACAGCAGAATAGACCAAGCAGAGAAAAAAATCTCAGAGCTTGAAGACAGGTAATTGAGTCAACTCAGTCAGACAAAAATAAAGAGAAAAGAATAAAGAAAAATGAACAAAACCTCTGAGAAATATGCAGTTATGCCAAGAGACCAAATCTATGACTCATTTGCATTCTTGAGAAAGAGAAATAATAAACAACTGTGAAAATATATTTGAGGACATAGTCCATGAAAATTTCCTTAATTTCACTAGAGAGGTTGACCTGCAAATCCAAAAAATATAGAGGACCCTAGCCAGATACTATACAAGACAACCATTCCCAAGGCACATGGTCATCAGATTCACGAAAGTTAACACAAAAGAAAAAATCTTAAAGGCTTTAAGAAAGATGGGGCAGGTAACTTACAAAGGGAATCCATCAGGCTTACAGCAGACCTTTCAACAGAAACCTTATAAGCCAAAAGAGAGTGGGGGCCTATTTTTAGCAACTTAAAGAAAAAAAATTCCAACCAAGAATTTTATATGCTGCCCAACTAAGCTTCTTAAGTGAAGAGGAAATAAAATCCTACTCAGAAAGCAAAGTCTGAGGGAATATATTTAGACTAGACCAGACTTACAAGAGATCCCCAGAAGTGGACCTGGTGAGGGGCTCCTAAGGTCCTCAGGTCCCTGGTGAGGGGGACCTATTGAGGGAGTGCTAAACATAGAATTGAAAGAGCCTGCTACCACAAAAACACACCTCAGCACATAGCCCGCAAGCCCTATAAAGCAACTGCATAATTAAGTCTACATAACAGCTAGCTAAAAACACGATGACAAAGTGAAAATCATTCATATCAACAGTAACCTTGCACATAAATGGGATTAATGCACACTTAAAAGACACAGAGCAGAAAGCTTGATAAAAAGACAAGCGCCAAATGTCAGGTTTCTTTAAGAAACCCATCTCACATATAATAACACCCACAGGCTCAAAGTAAAAGAATGGAGAAAATTCTACCATGCAAACTGAAAGGAAAAGAGAGCAGGAGTCACTATGCTTATATCAGATAAAACAGACTTTAAATCAAGAATTAAGAAGGACAATAAAAGGCATTACATAATGATAAAGGGTACAAACCAACAAGAAGCCTTAACTATTCTAAATATATATGCACCCAACATTGAAGCACCCAGATTCATAAAGCAAACTCTTCTTGTTCAATGAAAATACTTAGACAAACACAAAATAATAGTGGGAGGCTTGAACATCCTACTGACAGTGTTAGATCATCAAGGAAGAAAATTAACAAAGAAACTCTGGATTTAAACTTGACACTTGACTAATTGGACCACAGACAGCTACAGAACACTCCACCCAACAACCAAAAAATATACATTTTTCTCGTCTGCACACAGAATATATTCTAAGATCAACCACATGCTTGATCATAAAAAAGTCTCAATAAATTCAAAATGATTGAAGTCATACCAAGCACATTCTTGAATCGCAGTACAATAACAGTAGAAATCAATATCAACATCTCCCCAAACTATACAAATACATGAAATTAAATAACTTACTCCCGCATAACTCCTGGGCCACCATCAAAATTAAGGCAGAAATAAAAAAAATTCTTTGAAATTAATGAAAATAGGGACACAACTTAAAATCTCTGGATACAGCCAAGGCAGTGTTAACAGGAAAGTTTATAGCCCTAAATGTCTTCATCAAGAAGTTAGAAAAATCTCAAATCAACAATCTAACTTTGGAAAGGAAGAAATTAGGGCAACTAAGGGAAAGGAACTGGTGGGGGGAGAAAATCCCAAAGCTAGCAAAAGAATAATAAATCACTGAAGTTAGAGAAGAACTTAATGAAATTGATGTGTAAAAATCCATACAAAAGATCGATAAAACCAAGACTTGGTTTTCAAAAAAATAAATAAGATCGATAGGCCACTAGTTTAACAAAGAAAAAGAAAGAGAAGATCCAGAAAAGCACAATCAGAAATGAAAAAGGTGGTTTTTATCCATATCACCACTGATCCCACAGAAATACAAAATATCCTCAGAAACTATTGTGAATAACTCTAAGCACACAAATTAGAAAATCTAGAGGAAATGGCTACTTTCCTGTAAGCACACAATTTTCCAAGATTGAATCAGGAAGGGACTGTTACCCTAAATAGACCAATATCTAAACTTCTGAAATGGAATCAGTAATGAAAAACCTACCAACAAAAAAACATCCTGGACCAGTTGGTTTCCCAGCTGAACTCTACCACACTGAAAGCAATCCTGCACAAAACTATTCCAAAAAATCAAGGAAGGAAGCGCTTCTCCCTAACTCATTCTGTGAAGCCAGTATCAGCCAGACATGCAAATCTGGATTTGAAAAAAGAAACCATCAGCCCAATAATCCTGATGAACACAGACAGAAAAATCTTCAAAAAAAATACTAGCAAACCAAATCCAGCAGCGCATAAGAAAGTTTTAATATATCACAATTAGGAAGGCTTTATTCCTGGATTACAAGACTGTTTCAACATATGCAAATCAATAAATGTGCTTCGCCACATAAACAGAATTAAAGGCAAAAACCACATAATCATCTCAATAGATACAGAGAAAGCCTTCGATAAATCCAACATCCCTTCATGGTAAAAACCCTCAACAGACTCGGCATCAAAGGAACATACCACAAAATAATAAGATCCATCTATGACAAACCCATGGCCAGTATCTTACTCAACTGACAAAAGCTCTAACAATTTTCCTTGAGAACTGGAGTAAAACAAGGATGCCCACTGTCAGCACTCCTGTTCAACCTAGTCCTGGAAGTCCTAGTTCAAGCGTTCAGGAAAGAGAAAGAAATAAGGGCATCCAAATAGGAAAAGAAGAAGTCAAACTATCTCCCTTTGCTGATGATATGATTCTACACCTGGAAAATCCTGAAGACTCTGCCAAATGATACCTAGAACTGATAAATGACTTTAGTAAAATTTCAGGATACAAAATCAATGTACAAAAATTAGTAGAATTTCTGTACACCAATAATGTTTAAGCTGAGCATCAAATCGGGAACATATTCCCATTTACAATAGTCAAAAGGAAAATAAAATACCTAGGAATAGAGCTAACCAAGGAGGTGAAAGATCTCTACAAGAAGAACTACAAAACACTACTGAAATAAATGAAAGAAAACACAAATCAATAGAAAAGCATTCCATGCCCATGGATTGGAAAAATCACTGTTGTTAAAATGGCCATAATGCTCAAAGCAATTTACAGATTCAACACTATTCCTATCAAACTACCAATGTTATTCTTCAGATAATTAG
Source organism: Homo sapiens (assembly GCF_000001405.40). Taxonomy (NCBI): domain Eukaryota; kingdom Metazoa; phylum Chordata; class Mammalia; order Primates; family Hominidae; genus Homo; species Homo sapiens. The sequence continues at coordinate 153,454,928 of NC_000006.12, read as the reverse complement.
AAATACTATTAGAACATTCATATGGAACCAAAAAAGGGCCCAAATAGCTAAAGGAATCCTAAGCAAAAAGAACAAAGCTGGAGGCATCACACTACCTGACTTCAAATTACACGATAAGGGTAGAGTGACCAAAATAGCATGGCACCATACAAAGGCAGATGCATAAACCAATGGAGCAGAATAGAGAACCCAGAAATAAAGCCATACACCCATAAACTTTGACAAGGCTGACAGGAACAAGCAATGGGGAAAGGACCCCCTATTCAATAAATGGTGCTAGAATAACTGGCTAGCCATATGTCAAAGAGTAAAACTGGACCCCTACCTTTCACCATATACAAAAATTAACACAAAATGAATCAACTATTTAAATGTAAGACTTCCCACTATAAAATTCCTAGAAGATAACCTAGGAAATACTCTTCTCAACATTGGCCTTAGTAGGGCATTTATGGCTAAGTCTTGAAAAGCAATTGTAACAAAACCAAAAGTAGACACGTGGGACTTAAACCAAAGAGCTTCTGCACAGCAAAAGAAACTTATAACAGAGCAAACAACCTGCAGAATAGGAGAAGTTATTCACAAACCATTCTTTCAACAAAAGTCAAATACCCAGTATTGATACGGTTTAGCTCTGTGTCCCCACCCATATCTTGTAATCCCCATATGTTGAAGGAAGGATTTAGTGGGAGGTGACTGGCTCCCAGGGGCAGCTCCCCAGTGCCTGTTCTCATAATAGTGAGTTCTCATGAGATATCATGGTTTAAAAGTGTGTGGCTGACTGGGCGTGGTGGCTTACACCATGTCTGTAATCCCAGCACTTTGGGAGGCAGAGGCAGGCAGATCACCTGAGGTCAGGAGTTCAAGACCAGCCTGGCCAACATGGTGAAACCCCCGTCTCTACAAAAATACAAAAATTAGCCAGGCATGTTAGCAAGTGCCTGTAATCCCAGCTACCCAGAAGGCTGAGGTGGGAGGATCAATTGAACCCAGGAGGCGGAGGTTGCATTGAGCTGAGATCGCACCATTGCACTTCAGCCTGGGTCACTGAGCAAGACTCCATCTCAAAAAAAAAACAAAAGTGTGTGGCTTTCTTTGCTCTCTCTCTCCTGCCACTTTGTGAAGAAGGTGCTTACTTCCTCTTCAACTTCTGCTATGATTGTAAGTTTCCTGAAGCCTCTCCAGCAATGCAGAACTGTGATTTAATTAAACCTTTTTTCTTTATAAATTACCCAGTCTCAGGTAGTTCTTTACAGCAGTGTGAGAATGGGCTAATACAAGCATCTATAGAGAGCTTAAACAAATCAACAAGCAAAAAACATTTAGCCTATTAAAAATGTGCAAATCACATGAACAGATACTTCTCAAAAGAAGGTATACAAGTGGCCACTGAACATATGAAAAAATGCTCATCATTACTAATCATCAGAGAAATGCAAATTAATACAATGATGTACCATCTCACATCAGTCAAAATGGCTATTATTAAAAAGTCAAGGAATAACGGATGCTGGTGAGGCTTTAGAGAAAAGGAAATATTTTATACTGTTGATGAGAATGTAAATTAGTCCAGCCACTGTAGAAAACAGTCTGGAGATTTCACAAAGAACTTAAAGACACCTACCATTTGACCCAGCAATTTCACTACTGGCTATGTACCCAAAGGAAAATAAATCATTCCACCAAAAAGACACATATACTCATATGTTCATTGTTGCACTATTCACAATAGCTAAGACATGAAATCAACGTACATGCTAATCAGCATAGATTGGATAAAGAAAATGGGGTACATAGACACTTTGGAATACTATACAGCCATAACAAAAATGAAATCATGCCCTTTGCAGCAACTTGGATATAGTTGGGGGCCATAATCCTAAGTTAATTAACTTAGGAATAGAAAAACCAAATACTACATGTTTTCACTTATAAGTGGGAACTAAACATTGAGCATACATGGACATTAATACAAGAATAATAGACACTGCAGTATACTCAACAGAGAGACGGGGAGTTGGTCATGGGTTAGAAAACCATCTATCGATACCATGCTCACTCTCTGAGTGATGGGATCTGTATTAGTCCATTTTCACACTGTTATAAAGAACTACCTGACACTGGATAATTTATAAAGGTCTAATTGACTTACAGTTCCACATTGCTGGGGAGGCCTCAGGAAACTTAGAATCCTGGTGGAAGGTGAAGGGGAAGCAAGCACCTTCTTCACAAGGTGGCAGGAGAGAGAGAGATTGAAAGCGAAGGAAACCACACACATTTAAACCATCATAACTCATAAGAACTCACTCACTACCACGAGAACAGCATGGGGGAATCCACCCCCATTATCCAATCACCTCCCACCAGGTCCCTCCCTCCATGTGGGGATTACAATTCGAGATGAAATTTGGTTGGGAACACAGAGCCAAACCATATCAGGAGCTGTACCCCAAAACTCAGCATTACACAGTATTCCCATGTTACAAACCTATACATGTACCCCCATATCTAAAATAAAAGTTGAAATTAAATTATACATATATCAAAAAGAATGTATATACACACTTAAAGTTTCATAAAATACTTTTATGTGATAATTTTAATGTTACATTTAATAATTGAATATTAAATGTGGTTAATGTTTAACATATAATTTCTTGTCAGAAATTTTCTTTATATATTAGTATGTACTCACTAAAGAGAAGCATAAGATATGTGAGACAACCATGTATTTATTAAATGCCTTAAAATTTTGCTTGTTTGGGATTCTATCTTTTCTTGAAAATTGTTTTAATTAATATTAAAATAGTTTGAATTAATAAACCAGACAACTCCCTAACAATTTTTTTTAAAGTTTTCTCTGATGTTACTAAACTTGATCAATAAAACTACTGTTCTTAAGGTTACTAATGGCCTATTTTATTTTGCTAAATAAAAAGTAAATAAGAAAAATCACAATTTTATTTTACTTCTCAGCAGAATTTTACCTTGCTGATGGAGTGAAGTGGCGCGATCTCAGCTCACTGCAAGCTCCGCCTCCTGGGTTCACGCCATTCTCCTGCCTCAGCCTCCTGAGTAGCTGGGACTACAGGCGCCCGCCACCATGCCCAGCTAATTTTTTGTATTTTTAGTAGAGATGGGGTTTCATCGTGTTAGCCAGGATGGTCTCGATCTCCTGACCTCGTGATCCGCCCACCTCGGCCTCCCAAAGTGCTGGGATTACAGGGGTGAGCCACCATGCCCAGCTGCTTCTTAGACTTTTTTAAAAATTACAATATTAACATCAAAATTGAAAACAATTCAAATAATGTTAAAGTGTCTGAACTAGCAATTGGGAAACATCATCTTATTCTTCCCACTCACCAGATATAACTATAGTAAGCAGTGCACACGGACATAGTCTACAAACTTTGAGATATGTGTTTACACCCATTCAAATGCACCAAGTCAACAGAAATGTTAAAAATGTTCAAAATAAGTTAATGAAGACATAGCTTTTATAAAACATAAAAGAACAAATGAGAAATTATCTTAATGGACAAGGTAATTTGTTGACATTCCCTAAAATAAGACCTGTGTTTTTGCTTTCATAAGCTACTCCAATATCTGGAAGTTCAACCCTCTCTTCCAGCTTGGCTGAGCTCCTAGCAAATGCTAATTTAAGGTTAAGGCACAAACCTGCTTGTAACACAAGGGAAGCCACCAAGGACCTGCCGGCATTCTGCTACTCTGGCCGTATGGAAAAGAGCAGAATCAATTCTGCCACAGATGGTAAAAACCAAGGAATAGCCAAAAAATGTTTGAAGAAAACAGCAGAATAAAAGAAAAATAAAAACCATCACATGGAAGAATTTACACACACAAAAATTATTAAAAACAGAAATTGACATTAAGATACATGTGTAGCAGGACAAGCCGCAGACAAAACCCCTCAGATACCGAGTTAAAGAAGGAAGGGGTTTATTCGGCCGGGAGCATTGACAAGACTCCTGTCTCAAGGGCTGAGCTCTCCAAGTAAGCAATTCCTGTCCCTTTTAAGGGCTCACAACTCTAAGGGGGTCCGCTTGAGAGAGTCGTGATCGATTGAGCAAGCAGCGGGTATGGGACTGGGGGCTCCATGCACTGGTAATTAGAACGGAACAGAATAGGGCAGGGATTTTCACAGCGCTTTTCTATACAGTGTCTGTAATCTACAGATAACATAACCGATTAGGTCAGGGGTGGATCTTTAACTACCAGGCCCAGGGTGTGGCGCCGGGCTGTCTGCTTCTGGATTTCATTTCTGCCTTTTTAGTTTTTACTTCTTCTTTCTTTGGAGGCAGAAATTGGGCATAAGACAATATGAGGGGTGGTCTCCTCCCTTGCATGTATTTAATAGTCTCAGAAATATACTTATGTATATAAGAAAATGTCATGGGCAAATAAATTACACAAGAAAGGAAAGGGAGCGCGGAGAAATTGAGAGACAAAGTTAAGATGTATACAAGTTGTCAACATATATTTGATGAGGATTCTTGCAGGAGAAAACAGGAGAAACAGACATCAAATAATGGAATTAATAATACAATATTTTGATAAAGTGCAAACTTATATTTTTTATTCATAGCCCATGCCTTCTGTGGACTATCTAAAAATTCTTGGCCTAATCCAAAGAAGTGAAAATTTAAGGTTAAGACCATATACATGTGGGTCTATTTATGGACTTTATTGGGTTTGTTGCTCTGTATTCTGTTTGCTGCTCTGTTCCTGTACCAATATTAAATTGCCTTGATTACAACAGAAAACTATTTTTATGTTTATGATGCTGATTATTTCTCCACATTTTTCCATATGGTTCTTGGCTCTTTGTATTTCCTTTTTTGTTGTTTTTTTAAAAAGATTTTATCTATATTATTTTGGATAATTCATGTTTTTATTCTTAATGTATAAGAACATTCTTTATCCTTTTCTCTATATTCTTATGTTTGCAATTGCATTTAATTTTGTTTTTGGTCTTTTATGGTTAATTTTAAAGGTTTAGAAATGTTATCTGTATTTTCCTTTGTGATTCTTTTTCTCACTACTGCTGTGATTAGCTAGTTCCAGAAATCACAAACTTGCTCATTTTGCATCTACATTTTTCTAGATAAATATTTCTAGTAAAATATTTTCAATTTTTTAGATTTTGACTAAAAACTTAAAAATAGAGAATGAGACATAACAAATTAAAAAAAAAAAAATCTTGATCTTGTTTGCATATGCCCTCAGACATGACCATCAAAGATTTTTCCTGAGTTTTTTTCCAAAGTGAACTATAAACTGATTTATTTTTCCCCCTTGGATCCCAGTGCTATAGGACTGTTATCCCAGAGGTGGCAAGAGTTACTTCTTACCACATGGAAAAAAATCCATGCAAGAAGGGTGCAGATGGTAGCTCTGACTTTCATAGTCCTATAACCCTGACTGCAAATTACAGCTTGTAATGAGTCACATACAGATTGTGAAAGGAAAATATCTTGGGCCCTTTCAAGCTGGGAACTGCTCAGGACAAATCTGCCTCTCACTCTGTTAAAAAGTTATTGCTATGCTGACTGAGATAGATGCATATCTGATTGCCTCCTTTGGAAAGGCTAATCAGAAACTCAAAAGAATGCAATAGTTCATTGTTGCTCACCTACCTGTGACCTGGAAGCCCTCTCCTGGCTTCCAGTCTTCTTGCCTTTGCTTCAAGTTGTCCTGCCTTTCCAGACTGAACCAATGTGCTTCTTACATATATTGATTGATGTCTCATGTCTCCCTAAAATGTGTAAAACTAAGCTGTGCCCCGACCATCTTGGCACATGTCGTCAGGACTTCCTGAGGCTGCGTCACAGGCGTGCTTCCTTGACCTCGGCAAAATAAACTTGCTAAATTAACTGAGACCTGTCTCAGATTTTGGGGGTTCACATTTTGGTAACCACAGGGGGATTCCAAGTGAAGATGCTGCTGACCTTTCACAAATCTCCTATAGGTGTTTGGTACCCGCATCAGCTAACTTTATGGCTCAAACCAATAGGACAATTTGTGGAGGTATTTGAACACCTTCTCCAGCGAATCCCTGATCTCTCAAAATTTGGTCGAGATCTAAAGTTTATTTTGCTGTACAACTCCTCTTTTTTTGGAGACCTACTTGCTTCCAACAAGGAAGGCATGTCTTCCTACTTTCATGACGATGGAAGGCAGGTAACTCCTTTATGGAGTTTGAGCTCACTTCCAACATGGAAGAGGAGTTTTTTTTTTCCCTGCTTCTAGGATGGTAGATACCAGTCTACAGCCTGAGACCCATCACAAGCTAAGAAGCTGGTTTGGGATTCTGTCTTGCAAATTCTTTTAAACTAACTAAAGTTAGCATTAACAAGCAGCTGGTGTTAATTTCTGCTTACACTTAGAGCACTCAGAAATCATGCAATTTGTGTGATCATTTATTAGTTTTCCTTAACTGTTTTGTTGTTTGTTTCTGGTCTTGTTGGGTTTGTGTGTGTGTGTGTTTCAGTGCTTTCCCTTATCATATTTGAACAACTCCAAACCTTCTAGCTCATTAATGTGGTCTTCCACTCCAAAGAAATAAGAGCACCTTGCTCCCCTCAGCCTTTCAAGGCATTCTCCAGCTACTGAGAATCATGTGAAGGAGTCTGGGAGAAACACTTCCTAAGACAAGCAGTGGCTCTAAATAGCTTCCCCTGCAGAAGAACATACTTGGGGTTTAACCTCAGACAGCAGGTACATATAAGGAGCTGACCCCTCCTGCACCTTGAGACCCTGACACCCTGTGCCAGGTAGCTGAGACATGGGTGGACCAAACAGGTTCAGGGGGTCATGACCCTGAAGAGCTAGGTCTGTGAGCAGCACATTTTGGGTCTGACACACGTCCCAACTTGGTTAAATCCGAAGAGTTCCTTGGGGAAGAAAGCATTTGAAGTGGGAGGAAAAGGGCCAGCAAAAAGGAAAAAGAAAAAGAGAAAAGACTTTTGATTTTGACTACTAAAGGGGATTTACTTACATAACAAGACCACTTTTTGCCAGTCAAACCAAACTGAAAGAGCAATGGCAGTGCTACTGAAATAGCAGCATCTTGTCCTAGCTGATATACATAATGAGATTTAAAAAGATGTTTTAAAAAGTTTAATGGTTAAAAGTCAGCTTAACTAAAAGGATAACATCCAAAGTGTGTACGTGTATGTGTGCGTGTGTGCATATTTGTATTTAAAAGGCCTTCATGGTTTTGGTTTTGTTTGTTTGCTTTTCTCTTCTAAGATCTTGTCTTTTTTCAAGCAAAAGCATTTTTTTTCTTTCTTATCAGTTGACTGAATTCTGTTTTCACCTGATTTATTGACTAAAATAGTTATTACAACAGAGACTACACTTGGGTTTTTAAGGAATAATGTAGTTTAGACACTCAGAAATTTCTTTGTTTAAAAAAAGGCTTTTTAAGTGCACTGTAAAGGCATCTCCCTCTAGCACCACCAGACTTTTTCTCTCTGTACCTTATGATGGAAATTTTGCTATTTAATTTTCACCTGAGTTGTTTCCTTTAATATGCAAATTTAAGGCTATTTAGCTATCAACTGCCTAGGATTGTAAAACAGGTTATCAAGGATCTAAAAGTCTCAGATAGGAAAAATACATGGTCTTTATGAATCTATAAAATGTACTTCCATCGACCTGTCCAATACATCTATGTATTTATGTATTGTGTATACAATGCTTCACTACTGAAAATACATAAAGGGATCTAATTAATTGGCTTAAAGAAAAATGAAAGCATTTAAATCAAATACTTTATCAGGAAAAAAGAAAAGTCTAGTCAAATGCTTTTTCAAATTAAGTAAAATCTTTAATAAATAAGCTAGCTTTAAAAATTATTAGTAAAGTAATATCAGAAATGTCTGAGAAATTGCCAGCATACATTTTTTTTGCATTTATTAATCAGGCAATTTAATACTTACCCCTGCCAAATAGTATAAGGTGTCAAAATTTGGCACAGGGATTACAAAACTATAAACCCAGCCCAAAACAGAGTGATCTTTGCTTGTATAATTTTTAATAAATAAGACATTGATGTTTAATTAATGAAAACTGCTGCTTCTTAAATTTAGTAAGATTACCATGACTTCTAATCTTGTGGCTTTAGGGAGTCTAGTCCACAGGCAGTAAGGAGGTTTGTTTTGGGAAAGGACTGTTACTGTCTTTGTTTCAAAGCTAAACCATAAACTAAGTTCCTCCCAAAGTCCAGAAATGAACAAGGACAGCTTGGAGGCTAGAAGCAAGATGGAGTCAGTTAAGGCATATCATTTTCACTGCCTTAGTTATATTTTTGCAATGGTAATCTGTAACTTTAAATCATAACTGTCACAGTTTTCATAAATAATGTAGGTAAACCATTAAAATAAAATAATTAGGTAAAAGTAATAAGATAAATCCTTGTAGACAAATGTCATAATTTATAATCTAAAGTTGTATTAAGTTAAATAGATATTTCATTATTTGGGTATTTTCCAATCTATATTGTAGGAGAACGTTCTTGCAAAAAAAAAAAAAAAGGTGAACAAATTTTGTCTAATTCAAAGCTTATTTAAAGGTTATATATAAAACAAGGTAAAAGGAACCAGGAAATAAAAAAGAGATGTAAAGAAAATTATAAAAATAAAGAGATTTTGTGTGTGTGGTAAGAAAGCTTAAAGAGAAACAATTTTATATGAGAAAGCATCTTGTATGGCAGATTTAGTCTTAGATAAAATGACTGGTTGTTTAAGAAGGAGGGATATTCAGGAAAAAACAGAAAGTCTCAAGCACGTTTTGAACAGTTGGTGTAAGTCACAATAAGAGGATTTGTTTTGGAAAAAAAAAACTTTAGTATGATCAAGCTGTCATATTATTATTAAATTTTAGTTTGCTTAGGAAAAAAACTAAGATAATATTTGAATTAAGGTTATTACATCCATTTATCTTCCTGTATGTGCTTTTAAATTTCTTGTGGCATTGAGTTACAGGGCTTTGAGTCCTGGATCTAAAAGGGACACCAAGTCCTGCTAAATCTTAAACACTGACAGCAATTAAAGCCTCATCTTCAGGCCCTGTAGAAGATGCCAATCAAAATAAACTGCATTCCTGAGACACAGGGCCAGAAATTAAAGCCATTCAACTTCTCAAGACCCAGGGACTATCACAGAAGAGGTGGGCACGTAAGATTATAAGGGCCAATTTTGAAAGATAAAATAAGTTGAGTTTCTCCATAAATTAATCATTAATGTCAAAGACACACTGATGCAAGACCAGCATATGGACCCCTGTGTCGGATTAGCAAGGTTTTCTTGAAGCACTAACCAACTCCTTAATAAATGTTATAAAGGTTATAAAAGGCTTATGGAAGTTATATCTTATGATCAATATTAAATTTTATAGATTGTTAAAAAATTTTGAAAAACAAATTTAATTGGCTTCATACGATTTTTATTAGGACTTTTTTTTTTTTTTTTTTGAGATGGTGTCTCTGTCACTCAGGCTGGAGTGCAGTGGCGCGATCTCAGCTCAGTGCAACCTCTGCCTCCTGGGTTCATGCTATTCTCCTGCCTTAGCCTCTCGAGTAGCTGGGACTACAGGCACCCGCCACTATGCCTGGCTAATTTTTTATATTTTTAGTAGAGATGGGGTTTCACCGTGTTAGCCAGGATGGTCTCGACCTCCTGACCTCGTGATCTACCCGCCTCAGCCTCCCAATTTTATTAGGACTTCTTATTTGGAAAATCAAGTCTCATCTCGCAAAGAAGGAAGGTTTTTACTTTTTTGAAATGCTTGAGTTATCACTTTGGTTACATGAATGACTTCACAACGACCTGTAATCCTATTTTGTGATATCAAGTGTTTTAAAACTTTTACATTTGACAAGCTTTCCAAAATCAAACTACAAATTATGTCTTTTTCTGACCTAATTAATCCTTTAAGATATTAATTTCTCTAAAGTCCAAAAATGACATTATTTGGCTTATTTGGTATAAAAATTATACCAGAAGAATTGTCAAATATTAAATGGTGCTTGATTTTCTTTGGGCTGTATTTGTAAAATATGTTATTGGTATGTGTTCCAAAATTGTGGAAAACTCCTGTTATTTTGATATGACTTAGAGTGCATTATCAGTAATAAGCATAATTGTTATGTTAAAGTTATTGTGTACCACAGAGGTAATAAATTTCTTCGTCAATTGTGTCTTTGACTATGGGTGCCCTAAAACCTTTTTTTATCCATGGACAATTGTTGTCTCGTTTTGGTTCTCTTTAGAAGGTGATTTTACAATCAGCTATAAAACTTTAACAGGTGATCTTGAATGCAGGTTTCTGATAACTTCGAAGATTGTAACATTGGAATAGAGAAAAAATGTTCAGGACTCATGGAGAGTTAAAATGTTCATGAATATTAAGCAGAACAGAAATTAACTGCATGGACTGAACTAATCTTTCTAATTTTTTGCTTAAAATCTTTGCTGATCCTTTGTTTTGATTTTCAGAGTCTTAAAACTTTTCCTTTGAACTACTCACAGCTTTAAAAAATTTAGTATAGTCCTGTGAACAAAATTTGGAGCATATTTGTTTCTCTCTACCTGATTTATCCAGAATTTGGAAACTATTTGTGAGTATTCTCAACTTATGGCAAAATAGTAATTTGCACAAGTGCAATAAGAATCTGTTTTCAGGCCAGGATTGGTGGTTAATGCCTGTAATCCCAGCACTTTGGGAGGCCAAGGCAGGTGGGTCACCTGAGGTCAGGAGCTCAAGACCAGCCTGTCCAACATGGTGAAACCCCATCTCTATTAAAATACAAAAATTAGCTGGGTGTGGTGGTGGGCACCTGTAATCCCAGCTACTCAGGAGGCGGAGGCAGGAGAATTGCTTGAACCCAGGAGGCAGAGGTTGCAGTGAACCGTGATCGTGCCATTGCACTCCAGCCTGGGCAACAAGAGTGAAACTCCATCTCAAAAAAACAAACAAACAAAAAAGAATCTGTTTTCATTTGTAACAGGACACAATTGGAGAAACTTGTTATTTTACCAAGACTTTAACTGGAATGGTGTGCTCTCCTTTAAGGAATCAAACTTGAGTTATGGAGCCAATAAAGCCCTTGGAAAAACTGGCCTCGTATTGTGTGTATTCAGTCCCTGTACAGGGTTTCTGACCTGTGCTAAATAATGTCACCTTCTGACAGGCTCAGAAGGCCCAGGTTTATCTTGGAACCTCAAGAGGAGAGGAAATTCACCCAACTCATAGATATTTGATGGCACAAATCCATGGCTCTGCTCAGCTTTTAAAAAGTCTTATCTGAGATTCCTTCTATGGAACAAAGTTCCATTAAAGACAATTTAAAAGCCTATGTAAAAATAATTATTCTTGCTGCAATGCATACTAATAATTAGGTAAAGTATAATAAAGAAAACCAGTCCTACCATGATTTGTCTTTAGTAAAATGGGAAACTGGAGAGAGAAAAATTATGTTTCAAAAACTATAGTACACCTGTTGTCAGGATCTAATCTTGCCGTAATGTTTTTTCCATTTTTATTATTTCTACAGTTTGGGCTGAATTCTAATTTTTTCTTGGCTACAAGTCTTCAAAATAATGTTTTATTGTATTTCCTTCTTTTTTTCCATTTATCCTAATTGGGAGTCACTGAAAACTAACTTGTGCTTTTTTAAAGCCCTGCAGACTGAAACCAGACAACTTAAACTTCAAAAGAAAATAACCGTAACCTATTTACATACATAAGCCACTTTCATACCTGCCTACTGATGTATAGACTTCAGAGTAATGTGGCTTATATTAATTTCCCAGGATTGTTCTTTTGTTTGTTTTGTTTTTCTCTCCTCCTCTCCCTAATTTCTCTTCTTAGGATGTGAGACTTCACAACCTACTAAAAATGAGCTTTTGGGACCTACCTATCTAGGAATAAACCATCCTCGCCGTAAGAGATCAGGTGGAAACCTGAGACCAGAGTGTCAGGCTTCTGAGCCCAAGCTAAGCCATCATATCCCCTGTGACCTGCACATACACATCCAGATGGTCAGTTCCTGCCTTAACTGATGACATTCCACCACAAAAGAAATGAAAATGGTCTGTTCCTGCCTTAACTGATGACATTATCTTGTGAAATTCCTTCTCCTGGCTCATCCTGGCTCAAAAGCTCCCCTACTGAGCACCTTGTGACCCCCACTCCTGCCTGCCAGAGAACAACCCCCCTTTGACTGTAATTTTCCTTTACCTACCCAAATCTTATAAAACGGCCCCACCCCTATCTCCCTTCCCTGACTATCTTTTCGGACTCAGCCCGCCTGCACCCAGGTGAAATAGACAGCCTTGTTGCTCACACAAAGCCTGTTTGGTGGTCTCTTCACACAGACGCGCATGAAACAGAGACTCATTTTCTTCTAAAATACTTTCTCCAAAAGATTTTTAAGAAGAAAAGGGGGAAAATGTGAAAGGAAAATACCTTAGGCCCTTTCAAGCTGGGAACTGCTCAGGGCAAATCTGCCTCCCACTCTATTCAAAGTCATCCCTCTGCTCACTGAGATAGAAGCATATCTGATTGCCTCCTTTGGAAAGGCTAATCAGAAACTCAAAAGAATGCAACTGTTTGTTGTCTCTCACCTATCTGTGACCTGGAAGCCCCGTCCCTGCTTCCAGTCTTCCTGCCTTTGCTTCAAGTTGCCCTGCCTTTCCAGACCATACCAATGTTCTTCTTACATATATTGATTGATGTTTCCTGTGTCTCTAAAATGTATAAAACTAAGCTGTGCCCCGACCACCTTGGCACATGTTGTCAGGGCCTCCTGAGGCTGTGTCATGCGGCTGAGTCCTCCATCTTGGCAAAATAAACTTTCTAAATTAACTGATGATACCTGTCTCAAATTTTCGGGGTTCACAATATCCAGAAGTATATCTATAAAAAGTTGTTTGTTTTCTTCTAAATTACAATATCCACTGTATAGCGCACCATTGACGAGTAACTCCATTTTAGAAAAAGACCTCATCTTATATTTCAAATGGCATCATATCAGTGGGACCAGATGTTTGTCAAGACAGAGGTGTAAGACAGCCCTCACCAGAGGTTGCAAAGATGGTAGTCCAAGACACTCCCCTTGTCCGTGTTGCTATCCTTGGACTGGTTCATTAACATCTTTCCCCATACTACACGGTTTTCTCTCAATGTTAAATGTTACTGTGATGTGGAAATTTTAATCTATCAGATGTATATATTCATTATACTACTATGTATGGTTTGCCATATTGACTAACTTGTAGATCAGCTTGAGCCTGTGTGCTCTTGGCTGTGACTGCCAAGTGAACAGATAATACTAAGGAGATTTGCCTCCTTGGGAACTCCATGTAGCTTGTGTCTTTTATGAATAAATAAGCATCAATAAAAGCCTGACCTTATAAAAAGATACAAACATGCATGGATCTGATTATGTCTGACCTTGTACATCTCATGACATCTGCAGTCAATGAACATGTCTATTTTAGTCTCTGGGTAGGCCTGGAAAGGAAAGGTATACACAAATACTTGATAAGTGGAAAAAATAAATGTCTGCAATTTGGGTACATACTAATACCTTCCGTTTGTTAATTGTTTAAATTTTGCTTTTGTTGTATGCAACTAAAGCATGCTTATGGTATATGCATCTTCTGTTTTTTACAATTATTTGGCATAAATACAATGGTTTTATTTTTATTTTGTTTATTTTAGTCTACCATTCCTCAGATAACGAGAGCTCTAGCTAAACATGTAATCTTTCAGGAGACAAAGTTATGTATTATCCATGTCTGCAGGCTTTGAACTTCAGAGAGATAGTTACCTTCTGGCATCTAATAGATCTCTCTATTGTGATTCTACTGAAATAAATTGCTTCTGCTTTTAATCATGATTCTGTATCTGAACCATTGGAGTCTACGACAAACAGTAATTTCCACATGTGTTTTCAAGGCTTTTCTTTGCTCTGCCTCGCTTCAGCAAGTAATTTGTTATTTATGGACCATATTTTCTAAAATATAAAGCCATATAACTTTATTCACTTCTCCCTTGTCCCTTTTCTTGCCTTTTGGTTTCCTGACAATTTTAAACCACAAATTGATGTTAAAAGAGGCTTACTAGGAGGGTGAAGACACATGAGCAGAGTGCTCACTAAGTAGAAGGAAAGCCAGAACCTTCCCCAAGGTTCTCAGCGGCAAGGCATGGCGAAGGGTTAAGCTCAGGGGGACCAATGTCAGGAAGTTCCAGTTATATTGTATTTCAGTCAGGACAGAAGACCTCTCACTTGTCAGCAGTCATTTCTGGCTGCTTTTTCCCAACTTCTTATAATCCAAAATGTTCCAGGCACATGGAAAACAGAGAGAAAACAATTCCATGTGGAAGCTTTCCAAACGTTCGGGGCCTAATGACTAAGACATTATGAGAGAGGTGAGAGACCTGGGTCAAGAAAAGGAAAAAAAAAAAAAAAAAAAAACCCATATTTCCAAAAAAAGACAGCATCTAGCGTGGAAAATCATGGGATAAAAAGCCATATTGTTGTGTGAGCCACAGGAGGCTGTCTGCTGATCCCTGAGGGCCACACATATTTTGGGGCAGAGGGGAAGAGGAGTACCTTTACTTATAATTCCTTCTAAATTTTCTAAAACTTAATCTATTGATATATTATTTTCTGTTCTTGTTTTTAATGTAAAAATGTTAATGGGAGGATTTTGAAGGAAATGTGATTTATAATCTTATATTCATATTATTCACAGTCCAGGAAATGGCATAATACTTCTTTGAAATGATTAAATACTTCTCATAATTAAATGCTCTAAAAAATCAAACTCTGTGGAATCAAAGCTCTTGTATTAAATCACAAAACATCACAATGATAGTTAATTCACCCGTGTTCAAAGCAGTAATTTGTTAGTAGTTACATAAATAAAATGATCACACACCACTCTTGACATAGTTTTTATTGTAATATTATTTTGTCTTTTGGACTCCCACAATAACTTACAGAATTGATTGATTCCTGAAAGGCAAGAGTTTATGTAACAGAACCGTTTTTATTCTAATGTGTACATTTCAAAGGCAAATCAAGAAAAAATTGTTTTATTTCAGTTATTGTTAATACTATATTTTTAAAGCTTTTTAAACTTCATTGGAAATTCTCTGTTTCTGATGGGCAGAAAAAACATCTGATGTAGGATGTCTTTTTCACTGGAAAACATCTTTCTTATTTTTTTTTAATTTTGATTTTTAGGAATTTAAGGACAAAGATCCTACCCCTTCCTCAGAGTTGGCCCTAACTCTAACCCTTTCTTTCATGAAAGATGCATGAAAAGTAGATTTTTATACTCTACTTCCACTCTTATTCAACATTCAGAAAACCAAAATTCTTCAATGACTACACTGTAGGAATACAGGATTGCATTAAACTACACTGTAGGAATACAGGATTGCATTGACTATACTGTAGGAATACAGGATTGCATTTCTTGGATGACTGCACTGTAGGAATACAGGATTATCATTAAATGATAACAATAAATTGCTAAAGAGGTTATCGGAGTGGTCATTATATCCCTCACTCCTCAATCCACTAATACCTGACTTTCACTCCACCCACTGCATATGAGCTCATGTACTGATCTCAAATATTTTACAACTATAATCTGGTGGTATCTTCTTAATCTTCTACCTTTGTGGGTTTGCTATAGCACTTGACAGGTAGTAACAATAAGGTTTAGCATTTAAGGTAAGTAGCACTGATTAAAATTTTTATCTCTTTAAAATTCTCTCATGAAAAAGAACACTGTAAGAGTAAGACTTAGTTTTCCAGAATTAAACCAGATTATTTACACCTCCATTGTTTCTGCCTCATGTGTCCTGTGGCCACTTTATCCCCTGATTGTTCAGAATGTGGCTCCTGCTCATGATTTTCACTCTGGAATGTGAATTCCCATATTAGGTTATTCTTTTTTAGTGTCTGTGCTGCTCTATTTACTTGCGTGCTGTTGATACAAATGTCCCCATGTCTTTCTGGCCAGTCTCATTGGGTGACTTAAAGATTCATCTTAAATGACTCCTAGACCTAGATCTCTTGTCATAGGTTCTCTCTTTTGCACAGTCTCAATATGTATTTCCCACCGTCTGTAATTTGTTCCATCCTGAAGGGGTTTACAGTTATTTCAATATAGAGTCAAACATTAAAGGTATTTCTTCTACATGTACAAATTTATAATGCATTCCATTCTGTGGATTTGAGAAAGTTAATTAAATTTCTTCCTCTGGTTTTCTCATTGCCAGTTGTTTAATTTAAGGAAACATAAATATCTTCATAATCTGGCCATTTTTTTCTTTTTTTTTTTTTTTTTGAGATGGAGTTTCGCTCTTGTGGCCCAGGCTGGAGTGTAGTGGCGTGATCTCGGCTCACTGCAACCTCCACCTCCCGGGTTCAAGTGATTCTCTTGCCTCAGCCTCCCGAGTAGCTGGGATTACAGGTGCCTGCCACCATGCCCAGCTAATTTTTTTGTATTTTTAGTGGAGACAGGGTTTCACCACGTTGGCCAGGCTGGTCTCAAACTCCTGACCTCGTGATTTGCCCGCCTTGGCCTCCCCAAGTGCTGCGATTACAGCCTCTAACCATTCTCAAAGGTCCATTCACTTATAGCTCCCTCAGACTCAATTTTCCCCAGTCTTCCCTTCCTTCTTGTTTCTGTTCTGTCTCCTAGAACAGTAGGCAAGATGGGGAAGAATTAAGAACAGATATAGAGATGAACACTGAAGACATTTACATTTTTCTCCAGGCTAGGACTTTCAGTTTAATACCTTTTTGTTATACCTCATTTTAAATGGGAATATTTAACACAATTAAAACAGAATCTTGATTAGAGATTCGAAGCCTTCCTTCATCCGGAGTAGAGCTTTAATAGAAAAGTTTCATGAATGATTTGCTCCATTCTGTTGAACACATTTTTTTCCAGCTTAAAGATAATAAGTACTAAGAAAGCCACTTTAGTACTATGTGGAGATATTGATAGACTGTTCTCAAACAATTTGCAGTAGTGGGTACAGGGTAAATACCACAGGTTTTCTAGAAAACTGACTGCTAAAAGTCAAAGAAACTTTACCAAAAAAAATGGCTTTTTATTCCGTCAGTCAAATGGGAAACACTCTGATATATTTATTATTTGTTTATTTAAAAGCAGTATTTGTTAAATAACTACTATATTTCAGGAATATAGAATATCTATAACAGACAAGTGCATTTTAGGGGAAAAACTAATTAAATGCTTTATTAATAGGCTATTATTGAGAACTCTGGTACTGAAATTTAACCCCAACCCTTACCCCTTTAACTGCCTTCTCTATATTTGGGACACAAAAATCATGAGAAACAATAACAGAATACAAACTAAGAGTTTCCTCCTTAGGGTAGCACATACACACGGAGGACTAAACATCACACATTTAACTAGGAGACAGCTGACTAGAAACTCACTCTTAGCTTAAACGCTGAAAACAAGGAATTCCAGAGCAATCATTAAAACAGCAGGGCACACCAACAGGAATTTGTTTTGAAAAACAGAAGAATGTTTTAGAAACAAAATCGTTTGTGTTCTCAGTCCAAATTATGGGAACATAATAATGAGAAATAAATTCAAAAGTTAAAAGAATATATTAAGAAAAGGAAAGCATAAATGTATCATTAAAAAGGAAAGCTACATTTGAGGGCTTAAAGCTCTGCTGTGAGCAAAAAAAAAAAAAAAAAAAAAAAAAAAATGAACTGGGCTATAGAAAATTGAATCAATGATGTGGAAGTAATAGTAAGTCCATTCAGAATTCAGGTTAAAATGTGACCAATGCTGAGATAACAAAGAGCAAAAAAGAAAGAATAAAAAGTCCAATAAATACATTTGAGTTTCCTTAACAAGAAAGCAGAAGCAATGGTTTAGAAGCAATAATCAAAGAAATAATAGAAGAGTGTTTTTCTGAGGTGAAGAAAAAATAGGAGATTTACATAATGGTACATTCACATAAAACGGTCTTTTAAATCAGGTCTTTACATAATAAAGGACTATACTATACAAATGGAAAACAAAAATATTCAGAACTTCTGTTGCAGGATGTAGCTGATAGTTATTGCTTCAAAATATACAGTCCCCAAATACCAGCCGCATATTACAATATGAATTTTTTTTCTCACAGATCTACACATCCACCAGTAAAGCTCTGTGATCGCAGCTGGGTTCACTCACATGTCTGGGAGTCAGCTAGATTTAGCAGGGTAGCTCTGCTTCACTCCACGGGCCTAGGCTTCTCACGTGTGCTCCACATCTCATTCTGAGACCCAGGCTGAAGGGCAGCAGCCTCTTGGGACAGCCCTTCTCTTAACAATAGTGAAAACACAAAGGGCAGGTCAAAACAAGCAAGCATACAAGTCACTGCTTGCACCCCACTTCTTAACATTCTACCCACATGCCTGAGCTCCTTCAAGGACATTTTATATACGTATCAGCACTATCCAGTGAAGTCAATGAGAGCTGCCATTTCTCATAGGAACTCTAGTTTGAAAAAAAAAAATTGGGTCTTATTTGTAATGAAGGGAACGCCTATGTTCTCTGCCATAAAAAAACACTAATTCATGTATTCATATATGCCTTTAACAACTCTATCAAGTTGATATTTATGGTTTCAATAATCCTATTTCTACATCAAATGCAATGCATAAAGTTATTTGCAAAGGAGATAGTTTGAATTTTGTCCTCACTGAACAGAGAGGCAAATCTTAGTTCTGTTCTTTCTTTTCCTAATGTATTCTCTCTCCTTTTCCTCCACATTTATCTCTAAATATGAAAGTATGCAGTTTTACTTCAGTAAGATTTAGAATTACATCACCTCTATGACTCACCACTCACCTCTAGCAGAAGATACACAATTTTGGTTAAATCACTCCCAAAGTAATAAGCCTAAAGTCTTCTTTTCTGGCTTTCAGGAAGCCTAGAGAGAGTTGATCTGCTAATGAAATGCCATTTGTGTAACAATCCCCAGGTCTCTTATGAGTGTTGGCAATAAATGAAATTCAACAGCATTACAAAACAAAAAGTGCTATCACAAGAAAGGATGGTGTGTGTGCATGTGCATGTGTGTGTACTGCATTTGCATAGATAATTATTGGAGTTTGATAGACAGTTTGACATCTTTTAAAAAGTAATAATGTACAGAAAGTACAAGTCAGAAGAGGAGATGAAGGAAAATAGACACTTTCCTGTACTGTTGGTAGACATTTCAATGAGTGCAAACATTCCGGGGAAAAATATGACAATGCTTAGTGAACATTATTATGAATTGTTTTCACCTGAATAAGGAGTTTAAAAATTTAAAAATACATGCAGTTTAGAGAAGGTTGGATTTTACTGGCCAGATTAAAATGCATTATATCAAATGAGCAAAATTATTACATTCCAAAATAAGAATATTATTCCCAATAGCTCCAGTTGCAATAGACATTCTTTATATACATAACACTATAGTAGGAATAAGTGTATGCAAGTAAAATAAATAATATTGGAAGCCATGAAAGAGATTCTCCTATAGACTCTGAATTGGAAACAGTATTAAGGTGGAAAATAAGATTGTAGGCAACAGGGCTTAGACAGTAAATCAAGATAATTTACTGACCTTGACTGTACAAACATACTTTAAACGTGATACATTCTAGTCAGGATCAAAATTCTCATTTATCTATATCGCCTCACCTGTTCTGCTAGACACTTTGAAATAGTCTCAAACACATGTTTACATGTGCCAAACTGATTACAGATGAGTGAAACCGAATTGGATGCTATTACAAGAACATAAGTCCCGTTTCAAAGATACAGCTGCTACTCAGGAACAGTGTTTTTGTTGCCATAAAGGAGTAAAGACACAGTGGGCTAAGTTTTGAGTTTTTCAAGAAAATATAGAAGAAAAAATGTTTGCTTTGAATCTCCTAATTTTTTAATATTTTTGGTTTTACTTGGGAATTCAGGAACACAAACTCAATTTAGTAATATTACTCAGTATAGGATGAGCAATTCTAATCAATTCTGTAAGACCAGTTCTTATTTATAAATTTCATATTCATATTTTATTAGATTTCATTTTAAAATAATTTAATTATTTCATTTTATTTTTCCCTTCATCATCTTCTGGGTACATATACCTTTCTATTCCTTATGTACCTCTGTAATGATTTGGTTCTATAGCTGTGGTGTATATTGTTATAAAATACATTAATATTTACAAAATAAGCAATGTACTTTATGTATTTTTTCAAATTTACTTTAAATGGTAATGAGCTATTAATAATCTTTAGCAAAGTCGACATTATATTTTTAATCTACTTTAGTACTCCTTTGAAGAGTCCTATACGTTTTGTTTTGTTTGTTTGTTTGTTTGTTTTGTGGAGACGGAGTCTCACTCTGTTGCCCAGGCTAGAGTGCAGTGGCGCCATCTCCGCTCACTGCAGCCTCTGCCTCCCGGGTTCAAGCAATTCTCCTGCCTCAGCCTCCCGAATAGCTGAGACTACAGGCACATGCCACGACACCTGGCTGATTTTTTTGTATTTCAGCAGAGATGGGGTTTCACCATGTTGCCCAGGCTGGTCTCAAACTCCTGAGCTCAGGAAATCCATCCACCTCAGCCTCCCAAAGTGCTAGGATTACAGACGTGAGCCACCGTGCCCGGCTGAAGAGTCCTATATGTTTTAACTACTTACATTTCTACTGGTACTGTCATGGGCCAACTTATGTCCTCCCAAAAATATGTGTTGAAATTTCACCCTCTAGAACTTTTGAAAGTGACTTTATTTGGAAGTAGGGTTTTTACAGACTTAATTAAATTAAGGCAAGATCATTAAGGTGGGCCCTAATCCAAAATGTTTCATATCTTTTATAAAAGGGGGGAATTTGGGCACAAAGACAGAGAACAACACAGGAAGATAAAGGCAGAGATTGGGGTGACACATCTATAAGCCGAATGCCAAAGATTGCTGGCAAATCACCAAAGCTGGAAGAGACACATGGAACAGATTCTCCTTCATAGCCCTCAAAAAGAATAAACCCACTGACACTCTGATTTCAGACCTCTAGCCTCTAGAACGGGGAGACAATAAACTTCTATCATTGAACCCATGTAGTTTATGACCCTCTGTTACTGCTGCCCTAGCAAATGGATACAGGTAGCCATTTAGATTGTCTGATGAGCCCACTAACTAATGATCTGATAAATATATACTCATGTCTGTCCCTCTGGGGATTTGTGATAGTTTTTCTGAGTTATATGTCATAAAATAGGATAGCTGCATCATCTGGTATATATACAATCAATCTCACTAAATAATGACAGATTTCTCTTCAGAATCACTCTGTCGGTTTACACTTTCTCAGCAGTGCAGGACAATTGTCCATTCCCCAGCTTTCTGAGAATTTTCAGATTTGTCAGATTTTTTGTCATGTGCTTTTAGTATGCCCTGCATTTCCCCTGTCTGGAAATTACCTATTCATAACAATGAAGTTTTCTAATTGAAGAGTAGGATGATTCTCTACTTTTAATATTCAGAAGCTGTGCTGTAAGTACTTTCTCCCACTCTTTGCTCTTTTTAATCTTTTATGCTGTTCTTTGACAAATGGAAACTTTTATTAATATTTTCCTTCAGGAAAAATGCATTAATCTTTTCCTTTATGGTCTGTGAATAGAAATATATAGCTTAGGAATTATCTTCCTATTCTGAAATCATAGTGCTAACCTCACCAAATTGAAGCCTCTGATTCACATGGAATTTTTCTGTAGGGTGTGAAATAAGGATAATATTTGTTTCCCATGTTTCGGAAATATTTATTGTCTGATACATTTTTCCCATTGGGGTGCAATGCCAGGGACATCATACACCATATTTCCACGGATTCATATTTCTATTGCTAAGCTCTTGATTCTGTTCCATTCATCTATTCTTCTATCCATGAACCAACGTCACCTGGTCTTAAATCATGTTAGACCTACAATAATATATAGTAATGCATTTTTTAGCATTATATATAAATTTTAAAAGCAGTTTAAGTGTCACAAAAGTTCCTATAGGAATTCTGGTCAGAATTGTATTGAATTGTATTTATTTCAGAAGAACTGACATCATTTAACAGCTATAAGTCTATTGCCCAACAAGGATGTATTAGTCCATTCTTGCACCATCATAAAGAAATACCTGATACTGGGTAATTTACAAGAAAAGAGGTTTAATTGGCTCATGCTACCACATGCTGTACAAGAAGCATGGCTGGGGTTGCCTCAGGAAACCTATAATCATGGTGGAAGGCAAAGGGGAAGCATGCACATCTTCACATGGCTGGAGTAGATGGAAGAGAGGGGGAAGTGCTACACACTTTTAAACAACCAGTTCTCCTGAGAACTCACTCACTGTCATGAGAACAGCACCAGTGGGGAAATCTGCCCCCCCATTATCCAGTCACCTCCCACCAGGCACCACTTCCAACATTGGGAATTACCATTCAACATGAGATTTTGGTGGCAACAAAGGTCCAAGCCATACCAAAGGATATACTGGAGAATTGCACAAAATTATGTTATTTAGCCAGACACAGTGACTTGATCCTGTATTCCCAGCAACTCAAGAGGCTGAGGTAGTAGAATTGCTTGAACCTAAGAATTCAAGTCCAGCCTGGGTAATATAGCAAGAACTCATCTCAAAAAACATTATTATTTCCTGACAATTTAAATATGGATGTTTTAAAATACTATTCCAAAACAATTTTGAAAAAGAAAATCCTTTTTAAAACATAATAACAAGTAGTTTAGTTCAAAATAACTATTTTATATTGAAAATTTGAGAATTACATATTATGTAAAGAAATTGATTATAATAGAATGTACATACATATGTCAATATTTGTTATTCATATCTGCTTTTAATATATCCCTGGTTATTTCTGAAGTTTTTTTTTGTTTTACCATGCTCTTATTATTTCTTAGTTGTTCACAAAAGTGTATATCCCTTTCTTCAAAGTCACGTTTTGTGGTTATAAAAGTTGGAATTATCAACTTTAATCAGTTCATCTCTTTGGACCCAAATATGCTTTATAAAAATATTGCCACTATATATGTTAGAATTGCAATGTGTAGAACAACTACTATTAGAGAATATTGTCAGTTATAAACTTGTCATGTAAATATATAAATATTATAGCTTAAATTTTTCCAGAGTATCTGTCTTTTGGTCTTGTTTCACAGACTCTGTCTTTAGCAAACATGTGTATCAGACAACTCACCAAATAATAATTTATATTCTGATTATTTTGCCAAATGTAGGTGTGACAAAATTCAAAGATTTCTTATATTCCTTCAAATTTGATATAGGATATAAGCTGATTTAATTAAATGTAGGAACACTATCAAATGATTATTCTCACAAATTAAGATATTCCACATCACAAGGATGAATTTCAATATTGAAATTTGTACATCGTTATTTTTAGATACTCAATATTACATATTTTCTAAAATGTTGCTTAATGTGTACAGATTTGTTAATTTTTTGAAAAAATGTTTTTAAAATTTTAAAATGTTTTAAAATTTGGTTTTCATAAAAATATTTTATAGGCCCACCAATATAATAAAACTAATTATTTTGATCAAAAAAAGTTGTTAAATTATCTAATTTTAACCATTCTTTAAAGCCCCGTTTCACTCTTTAGAGTACCCTAATTGGACAATAAATTATATAGTCAGCTTATATACTACCAAATTCTTTGTAGTTTGGTTTTGTAACTTTTCTTTTTACTCATTTTCCTTTTTTTCTTCCTACAACTTTTGTTTACTTTCTTGTTTTACTATAAATACATATTCTTTTTTACTTTCTTGTTTTATTATAAATACATTACTTTGGATGAACAAACATCTCATCATTATTTAAATGTTCCTTGCTGCTGGTTGTTTTTTTTTAAACATATTTACTTCAAAGTCCCTGATTCCAACTTATCTTATATTTTTTTAATCTTAAAGTTTTGTTCATGAAAACACACACACACACACACTTAGAATAACACGCCCAGGGCCAAAATCTTCTAAGGATGATAATACCCTCAGGCACACTAAAACCATAGAGAGATGCTGTTGTTAGTCCCTTTTGCATTGCTCTAAAGGAATACCTGAAGCTGGGTAATTTATAAAGAAAAGGGCCTTAATTTGTTCACAGTTCTGCAGGCTATACTGAAAGTATAGCACCAGCATCTATTTCACTTCTGGTGAGGCCTCAGGGAGCTTTTACTCATGGCAGAAGGCCAAGTGTGAGCAGGACATCACATGGCAAGGGAGGGAGCAAGGGAGAGGAAGCAAGAGAGTGGGGGGATGGGAAAAACCACACTCTTATACAACCAGAGTTAACCACTCTTAAATTCAGAGCAAGAGCTCATTCATTACTGCAAAGAGGGCACTAAACCATTCATGAGGGATTCATTATTATCCAAACACTTTCTACCAGGCCCCACCTCCGACACTGGGGAATCACATTTCAACGTGAGATTTGGAGGGGACAAACATCCAGACCATATCAGGTGCCAATTACACCCTGCAGAATAGCTAAACTTAAAAATACTGACAAAACACTATTTACAAGGATGTAGAACACTTGAGACCCTGATATATTGAGAGTAAGAGTGTAGAATAGTACTTCCACTTTGAACAACTGTTTTTTTCAGTTTCTTATAACATGAAATTAATGTCCACAGGGGACTTCAGTAGCAAATGTTTATGATGGCATTATTGATAACAAAAATCAAAAAGTGGAAATCATGGCCAAAAACTGAAATCCATATGTCCATCAACAGTGAATGGGTACAAAATTTGGTTATATTATTACAATGGAACATTACTCAACAAGAAAAATGAGTGTGTTGCAGCTATATATAACAATATGGAGGAATCTTATTGACATTATACGGAGTGAAAGAAATGCGATACAAACACATATACATGTTTCAACATGATAAAAATGATAACAGTGGCTTCCTGGGTAGGAGGGAGTGCTGTGGGGTGAGTGGGTAATGAAAGTCATGGGGAAAAAGTATTCTTGATAGAGGGAAGGGTTTACACAGGTGTCACAGTCATCGAACTCTAAATCAGTGTGTTTTATTGTATGTAAATTATAACTTAATGAAGATGGTCAGAAATCCCATGGTTTTCATTTTTAACATTTCTAAGTTCACAAAAAATAACAGCAGAAACTATAAGCAAATCTGTATTTATACATAATCAATTTAAATATATTTTTCAGCATAACTAAATAATTGTTGTAAGCCAGTGATAGATTTTGGGGAATAAAAATACAACAAAATCAATAAAAATTCTCTTTGTTAAATACAATAGTCTGTTGGGAGTATTTAGATTTTATTCAATTTTCTTTCCTTGCTATTATTTTACCATGTAAAAAAAAAAACTGAGTAAAGAGATTTGATGCAATCATTCCCAACTCCTGTTAAGGAAACAAAGTTAAATAACTCTCTTATGTATGAAAAAATACAAACAAAGAGCAAATAGGGTCTACATTTTTTATTACCAGCCAACAGGCTTTACATTGGATGAATATTTCCCAAACTGTATTTCACAAAGCAGTAATTCCCCATAATATCTATTTCAAAAAATACAATTTTTTTGCAATATATCTTTGACAATTTTTGAATAAACGAATATGAAGGTGTGTATGAGGTATTTTAAGAAGTTGTGCACTATTTCTTAGAAAGTCAGGGAGTTGCTTACAATGTTACCTTGTATATAAATGCATTGACATTTATCCAAGGTGGCATTTTTCTTAAGGAACCTGCTGGTGGACATGTGTGTTGTCAAGTCTTTCTAAGTATGATTACATATGCATGTGTTTATTTCTGTATATGGCTTTTAAATATTCGTTATAAAGTATAAAAGTATAGAGTAGTAACCTAATTAATGCACACTAAATTGTCTTTTTTTCCATCCATAGCCTCATATCCCCACTACCCTATCACCTGCACCCTGCAATAACCTCCCATATAAACTATTTGCATTCGATTTCTTTTTCGAGGTTCTGCTTCATAGATAACTCAACCTAAGACAAACTTCAAAAGATATTTGTGTTTTTTATAACATGTCTTTTTTATGTGTTAAGAAGTTTAAAGTTCCATGTTGATACAGTCAGAATGATTTCGTGATCAGTTAATTTACCAGTGAGATGTTTTATTGTTTTCATTAATACAAACCTATATTTTAGTGTTCATGTTAATGCTCTGTCAGTGGATTTTAATTAAAGAAGTGTTCATGAGCTAAAGAAAGAAATGTTTACAACACATAATAGATCTCATTGTTATTTTTAACATTCATCTTCTTGATCGTAGAAATGTTTTTGATACACATAGCAATAATTTGTTCTTACAGAAATTGATACCTATTTCATATATGGAGTAGTTTCCAAGACTGCAACTTTTGGGGCAGTCCACTATTCAAGGGCTCATAGGGGATCTGATCTGTGAATATGAAATCCCATAGAATAGTGCCTAAACCTAAAAGACTCACTTTATGGTAAAAAGCAGCACAACAGTGAACATATGGCAGTGGGATCCATCCATTGACCATATCAACCAAAACCTCTCTGCCTGTAAGAGTCATATTGGTCTCTCTCTTTTTTTTTAATTAAAAAAAAAAAAAGCTACGATGTTGGCCTGGGGATGACACTTTCCAAAGTTTTTGCTCTATTCTCAAAGGTGCATTTTCCTATTTTGAGCGATGGCCATCAAATGGTGCTTTGTCCCCACTAACTAGAATACATGGATGATAAACTGGATATGTGAATGGACAATGGCTAGACCATATATAAAAACAGGACATTGACCCATAATCTGCAGCAACCAGTCCAGGAAGCCAAATAAGCTCTGTAACAATCAGCCCAAAACAATCAGGACTTAGTTAAAAACTTCCAGCTTCCTTAATTTTTGCCACCTTTATAACTTAGGACAACTAGAGAAGGCCAAATATGTTACCCAAGCCAATCACATAGGATTCTAGTTAGCCCATCTCCAGCTACCCTACCAACACTCTTTTCAGAGGATACCTGAAATCTTCCCTTTTTGTCTGTTATAAAACTTTCCTGTTCCCCTGCCTGCCATTGAGTCTTCACCAACTTTAGGGATTCTAGTGATGTTGGCTGCCTCCCCTGCTATAAAAATCTGTGAATAAAGAGTCTCGGCTTGATCTCACTTGTGTGGTCTTTGTTTATTTCCACATGGACCAGGAACCAAAGGATAGAAGGAGGGATGGCACCTTTCATTATAACTTCTAGTAATCCATTCAGGAAATTGTTTCCTATCCCAATATCTGTGGGCCTGCAGAATTAGTGGTTGCCTCGGTCTTGCAAGGTAGGTGGGCACTTATACCAGGTAGTAACTATGTTGTTACTTGGTTGCTTTGGACCACTCATCCTGATAGACCAGCAGACAAAGAAAGGAGTTAATATAAAAGCAGAAGTAATTCATTCTTATTATCATGAGTTCAGAGGCACAATTACATAGAGAAGGAATGTGGAGTTTGTCTGGAATTCTGGTTATTTACTGAATATCTCTTGCCAATTTTCTGCCTGGTGTCAGCCAAAATGAGCAATGGAAACAATCATGATGTCACAAAGGCATGGTCAGCACGAAGTCAGACCCATCGTGGGTGCAGGTCACAGCTTGCAAGCAAGCAAGCTCCACTAGCAGAACAGAACTGTTGGGTGTGGCTGAGGGGAATCTAGAACACAGGCAGAGGAGGGAGAGTATAAATATCAACTAACGCTCAGCACCAAATGCAGAAGTGGTGAACGCTGCTTGGTCTACCATCCTCTTGCTGTAAGTTTCGATAACTGCAAGAAGACACCACTTGAAAAACCAATTATCAGGATATCCTGAACTTAACATGGGACCCTAGTGGCTCTGAGCATTGCAAGGGGGCTCTAGTCGGCCCTGGCAGCACCTCACTCATCCTTTGCATTCTCATGCTTCCTACTATAAGGACATGTGCTTCTCAGCCTGTGTGCTTTCTTGGGCTGTAGGAGTAGGTGTATTAGTTTGCTAGGGCTGCACAGACTGAGTGGCTTGAACAGGATTTTTCTCACGGTTTTGGAGGCTGAAAGTCCAAGATCAAGGTGTTAGCAGAGTTGGTTTCTTCCAAGGCCTCTCTCTTCAGCTTGCAGGTGGATACCTTGTCTCTGTGTCCTCCCATGGCCTTTTCTCTATGCATGTGCATCCCTAGGGTCTCTTTCTCTTCTTCTGAGGACATGAGTCATATTGGACTAGGGTCCCACCTATATGACCTCATTTAATCTTACCTCTTTAGAGGCTCTGTCTCCACATACAATCACAGTAAGGGTTAAGGTTTCAACACATGAATTTGGAGAGGGTAGGGAAAACACAACTCATCCCATAACAGGATGTTTGGGGCAAGCATGCATAGGCACAGGCTAAACAGACCAATGGCTTGATGTCTCTACAAGAAGGGCTTATGCAATGACACAGCTTTCATGCCTGTTGGGTTACTTATTTCTGAGAGGTATTCCACACACTGTCCTAGAAGTCACCACAGGGAGTAGAGTAGTAACCTGATTAATGCACACTAAGTTGTCTTTTTTTTCATCCACAGCCTCATACCCCCACTACCCTATCACCTGCACCCTGCAATAACCTCCCATATAAACTATTTGCATTCAAGTTCTTTTTCAGGGTTCCACTTCACAGATAACTCAACCTGAGACAAACTTCAAAAAGATATTTGTTATCTTTTCGATATTATAATAGTTTTTACTACTGTAATTGATAGTCTTCCATACCTCAGTCACTAAACGAAAGTTTAATTCTTACTTATGTAAGACTAAATGGCATGAGGGGGTGGGTGTTAAGCCTGACAATTCAAGAACCCAGATTGATGGAGGCTTGAACAATATTCATTGTGTGACTTTCAAAGGTGTCCTCAGTACCAACATCCAACAAGCAAATGAACAAAGGAGCTGAAAATCATGTAAGTTATTTTTATTTTCCAGATGTGGCATTGGTCAGAATTTAGTCATGTGGACATACCAAACTGCAAATGAGGCTGGGAAATGAATTGTAGCTACATGCCCAGGAGGAAGGAGGTAGGTGAACAACTAAACAAACACTGCCCTGGACATTCTTTTCTAGTAACCACATACTTATTTCGTTCCTCTTCTGATAAAATGCAGCCCGACTTATTTCCCAAGCCTTAAGCTTCATCTTCTGAGGTGTACAGGCCTACCACTGACCTCCTCCCCTTGGCTCCAAATATGCCCCTGAGTTATGGCAATCTAGAAATTAAAAATAAGAAAGCCACCCACTACTATTCTTTCATACACCCAATGTACAATGTTGGAGCAAAAACAAAGAGAGCAATAAAAACTCAATCAAGAGGAAGCATCAGAAACACACAGTATTCTCTGGACATCATAATTTGGAAATATTTCAGCGAGCCTTATGGAATTCCCCTACCCTGGATGCAGGCACAGTTCATTAGATGACTATATTCCTGCTCTCTGAAAGGAATGAGATTCCATGTCTCTTGAGGCCCATGGAGTCACCTTCTGTGAGTTTCTTTGCATCCATTTTTCTCCATGGACACATCTGAAGTTGGTTTTGGCAACTTTCCCTGCTTACGAGTTTTACGGCTTTCGTGGCCTACTTCCTACTGGTGCATATTTGACTATTTAAAATTTGTTTTAGAATTGAATGGGTAAAGCTTTTTGAAAAATTGTTTCATTTCTTTAATTGCTTAACACTTCTGATGTGTATATTTTAAATCAGTTTCATTTGCCAATAATCAAACTTAAAGGTGTTTTGCTTTTTTTCCTAGGAATAATGATCAAGTCTAAGTTGCTTTTTTTCTGCCTTTCTCTATTTCATTCTCTTCAACTCGGAGTGATTTCATTAGTTCTGCCTGCATTTCATTGGACAGAGATGAGTCATATTACCATATCTAATTATTAATCTAAGACAGAATGAGAAAGGAAGTCTAGCTATGAGCTCAGAAAGGTAAATAAAATTATTGCCAATTGGTTTCTGCATTCTGTCTCATGAAATTTTAAGTAATTTTTATTTTGTTGAAATAATAATATATAAAATTACTTAAATATTGAACATTTGAAATATATTAGGGTGCAATTTTTTCATTTCTTTTATAAATATGTATTGTCCAATGTGCCAGGCACTGAACTAAGTGTTAGGTATATAGCAATAGATAAAACACACAAAAATCCTACCTTATATGGAGCTTACGTTAGTGCCAACAATTTACTTGACTTGCTTAAGATAAAAATGTGATGATAGACATTTGAAATTATTGCTTTCTAATTTGTATGCAGTTGTAAAGACGATTGTCTTCCTAGTAGAATAAAATTAGTTGGAGCAAAAATCATAGATGCTATATTGGACATTACCACCAATGAATTCTTTTTAGAGCAATTCCCTGAAGATATCCAAGTGGCAAACATAATTTTAATATCAAAGAAATTACTAGAAGGGCACAGCGGGAAAATTCATACTTAGTCAATTTAATTTAAATTATAAACTGCAGTAGGAAAACTAGTTTCAAAAAATCGAATGGAGAAGCACATGGAGAAAGCTGGTTCTAAGGTGGTTCCCAACATTAAAAAAAGAAACTCTCAATTCACTCCATTCACTCTTAGCTAATTTACTTGAATTTTTATAGGAGAAAAGCCACAAAGGCATTTATATGTATGAAGTTTGTGATTCAGCAATCTATTAATTAGTTTTTGAGGCTTAGCAAAATTTATATGAAGTCACTGAAAGTTGATAGGATTTATTGTAAAAATCAAAGATTTGTAATGAAATATTTTAGGATAAAGTTATAAAATTATTAAGAGTATTATATTATTTTTATAAATATATATAGGAATAGTTTAAATTCTATTGTTCATTTGTACAATTCGACATGCTGTTTCTAAAGTTTATATGCAAATGCAAAACACCTAGAATGGTCAATAACTTAAAAAAACGACCAACAAAATTGGAGGACTTAAACAACATGATTTGAAGATACACTATAAGGCTACAGTAATCATGATGATAGAAATAAAGTTTAAAAACTAGAAAAAAACAAAATACTGTCTCCAGATGTAGACTCACGTGTGTTTGATAAATTAATTTTTGATAGTGATGACAAGGTAATTCAGTATCAACAACAAAGACTTTTCAATAAACATTACTGGAAAAGGGAATACCCAAATAGGGAAAAAATTACACTACAATATTCACAAAAAAATTCAAGATGGGTCATAAGCTTAAATGTATAAGCTGAAGCCATAAAGTTTCTAGAAGAAAATATAGGAGAATGACTTTGTAATATGGAGGTAGAGAATAATTTCTTAGAGGAGACATTAATGAACCAAGCTGGGTTCAACCAGAGAAGCAGAACTTGCAGGATATGTGGATAGATAGATAGATAGATAGATAGATAGATAGATAGATAGATGATAGATAGATGATTTATTACAAGGAATTAACTTACACAATTGTAATGGATGGTTAAACAATCCAAAATCCATAAAGCTGTCAGTAAGAAAGGAAGATGGTGAGGATGAACTCCATGCATATAGGAAGCTGTTGTTCACAAGTGGAATTTCTTCTGCGCTCTTTCTCTCTCTCTCTCTCTATCTCCCCTACTTTCTCTCTCACTTTTATTCCTTCTCTCCTACCTAAGCCCAGTTTTTAAGGCCTCCTAGTTGATTCACTCAGCAGGCCCACCAAAAGTTTCCAGAATAATCTCCCTTACTTATATCTGCACATCGGCAAACTACTCTCACAATGATACTTAGATTAGTGTTTGAAAAACTAAAAACTGTTGGCAGGTCAAATTGATGCATCAAAAATTCCATCTTAAAGAAACAAAGTAATAAAATGAATTTCATTAAAATTAAATTTTTTGCTTATGCAAAATTACCATTTAGGAAATGAAAAGTTAATCCACAGACTGGGAGAATACAATCATAATACTTAAATCTTCTAAGTACTTGTATCAATAATACATAAAGAACTCCTACAAATATGAAACACAAGTAATTCAATAATAATAGCAAAAAGTTTTAAAAGACAGTTCTTAAGGTAGCACATATAAATGCCCAATAAGTACATGAAAAGGTGTTCAACATCTTTCATCAGCCAAGAAGTCAAATGACAGCAAAAATGAAGTATTTTTTGCCACCCACTGGAATAGCAAAACTTACAAATACTGAGACAGGAATAAATCAAGGTGGTCACAGGAGAGTAGAAAATTCCAGGTGGCAGTTTCAGATGACTAGCAAAGGGAAACTGTTGAAATATCTGCAGAGGCTAAGGGCAAATAAGACCCTCGAAAACAGGGTGTGGACCAAGCTGGATAAGACCAACTGACCCAACATGCTGCTGGATTTGACCTAGGTTTCACCTAGGACCTTATTATATGCTCATTACACACCCGCTAGTGCCATGACAGTTCTGAGAACACTCATGTTTGGTTAAAAATGGGTGGCACCACAGACCTGAGAAATCTCCACCTTTGCCAAGAATTTTCATGAATATTCAACCCCTTGGTTGAAGGAGCCCAGAAAGGTAAAACCCACTTGTGCATGTCTCTCTCTTGAGTACAACTGCACTCTCTTTTCTTAAATGTCTACTTTTTCCTTTACAATAAATCTCTGTACTTTCTTTCTTTTTTTTTTTTCTTTTTTTGAGACCAAGTCTCGCCCTGTGGCCCAGGCTAGAGAGCAGTGGAGCGATCTCGGCTCACTGCAGACTCTGCCTCCCGGGTTCAAGGGATTCTCCTGCCTCAGCCTCTTGAGTAGCTGGGATTACAGCCGCCCACCACCGCGCCCGGCTAATTTTTGTATTTTTTAGTAGAGACAGGGTTTCATCATCTTGGACAGGCTGGTCTTGAACTCCTAACCTCATGATCCACCTGCCTCGGCCTCCCAAAGTGCTGGGATTACAGGCATGAGCCACCGCCCCGGCCAGTACTTTCACTATTTCCTGACTCGCCCTTGAATTCATTCTCATGACGGTGTCAAGAGCCCGTACGACCCTGGGCTCAAGGTCCCATTGGCATTCAGGAACCTCCCCCAGCCTGCCAGTATCATAACAATACTAAGTGGGGAGAAATGTTGCTGAAGGGAGTGAAAAATGCTACAACTACTTTGGAATATAATTTGATAGTTTCTAATGAAACCTCACAAGTCCATATTTAAGTATTTAACCAAGAAAATGAACACATGTTATCTATATAAGTCTTGCAGATGAATGGTACTAGTTTCTTTCAGTAAATTAATAGGATCACTAGATTTTTAAGCTTGTTCTGAAATGACTTTTGTTTGTTTACAAATTTGTTACATTTCTATAAATTAAAAAGTCACTTATATTACAAATCCCCAGATATCAAAACTGTTGTATTATATTTTGTTCATGCTTCCTATAAAGACTTATACACCACATACACATGACTCTATAAAAATGGGTATTTTAAACTTCCTCCTTTATTATTAAATAAAACAAGGAACTTTTGTGAATTAAGAAGTAATAGATTTTATGACAAATTCACATGACTCAGAAAATATACAAATTGTAGTTTATCATAGAATTGTGTAAGGGCTCAAATGGTTGAGATTCTCATTCTGTTTCCTCTAATTATCCCTCCTTCCTCATCTGCATTTATGGAGAACACACATTGAGCAAAATATGTGTCTGTCCTACTGAGAAAGTTTATCAACTCTAACTCACAGAACTGAGAACAAATGCTGAGAGTGTTACTGTTTTACCAAGATGAACTTAACCAAACAAAGAGATAGAAACCAAATTCAAAGCCAAGAGCCTTACATATAGATAAAAATGGAGGAATGAGAAAATAGCATTTATCGGGGAATCATGAGTTAATTGTGTTACCAGGCTTTAGGGAAAGGGGCTGAGTGAGCAGTCAATATAATATTACATGAATAGTTCTTAGAAAATATCAAGGAAAAATATTTCCCATGGATTTTAACTGCTTGGATTCAGCGCATAGAAAACAGAAGAACACTTGAGTGTAATATTAATAAAGACCTTTAAAAAGATGTTATATAAAAAGAAAAAATCACAGGCCAATGAAAAATACATGCAAAATTCTAAATAACATTTTAGCAAACAAAATCTGGTGATTAAAAGTATAACACAAAAAAAAACCAAGTGAGATTTTTCCCAAGAATGTAATAGTAGTATAACATTTTATCAAGACATTTAAAAATAAGCATAAAAATAGATGTCTGAGTCCTGTTTATAAAATTTAAGACGTATTCCTCCCATCCAAGTACTAACCAGGCCCGACCCTGCTTAGCTTCCGAGATCAGACAAGATCAGCCACATTCATGGTGGTATGGCCGTACTCAAGAGCTATTCCCAAGGAACTAAAAAGTGTGATAAAATAAGAGTACGAGATTATCACTGAAAAGAAGTTCACAATTTCATGCACACACATAAAAAAGTCATAGGCCAAAAGCAATATAGACATGAGAGTCTGGGGGAGGTTAACAGCATCCAGTCTGGAGCCCGAGTACTTGAGGGTTATTCTGAGTTTCTCATATTTCTGTGGTCTTGAGCAAGTTGTGGGACTATCTTTGCCTCAAGTCTTTATATTGTTAAATCAAGTTTAGCCTAAAGCTGCCTTTTTACGTATTTTATGTTCAGCCTAAAGGTTTCTCTGTACATAGTGAACTGTAACCTAAATGAAGATGTAAACAGACTGAAGCCTACTTTTGTGCCAACCACCAAGTTTTGGGCAATCAAGGGCTAACTGTTCAAACCGTGTTCAAATAAGGCAAACGCCCACCAAGCTGCAACCAATTTGGTTGTTTCTGTACCTCACATCCATTTTCTGTACGTCACTTTCCTTTTTCTGTCCATAAATCTTCCACCA
The DNA here is from genome assembly GCF_000001405.40 of Homo sapiens. Taxonomy (NCBI): domain Eukaryota; kingdom Metazoa; phylum Chordata; class Mammalia; order Primates; family Hominidae; genus Homo; species Homo sapiens. Next base: position 153,419,909 of record NC_000006.12, on the reverse strand, counting down.
CGTGGCTGGGCTGGAGTCTCCGAGCCTACACTGGCTCAGGAGGCTGCCTGATTCGCAGATCGTTCCTTGCTAAATAAAAGTCTTAAATTTAATTCACCTGAAGTTTTTTCATTTAATAGATGGCATCAGAAGTGGGCTCCAAAGTAGAGCATCTAATGACCCCCAGGAGGGCTGAGTGACTAAGCGAGATACCCACCAACAAGGACTAAACTCTGTTTTTTTTTTTTTATGTTGCTCAAATTCCTATCTAAGTGGTCTGGGGAGTCAGGCCCTACAAACCATAAATTCTCATCAGATGGGGTTTATTTAACTCTGTATATCATGACTTACTTTCCAATCTGACTCTGGCATAACAAGGAAGAAAATCAAAATACTTTACTCCAAAACATGTTTCTCTGACATATCTTGAAATGGCCCTGCAAAGCTATCCCTTGTAGGAAAAATCCACATTCTACAGAGAATCCCCTTCTCTGCCACCTCGCCTTTTTTTCCCCTTCCTTGCTTTCCAGATCCAGGGAATAATCAACTAAGAGACAGGCATCCTTTTAAATCCGATAAGAAACGTTTTACAACCTGCTCTCTCTGAAGTCAGCTATCCGAGAACTCCCGCTGCACAGTAAAACTTGATCTCCACAATCCTTTACCTTTCTTTTTTTTGAGATAAGAGTTTCACCCTTTTTGCCTAGGCTGAAGTGCATGGCGCGATCTCAGCTCACTGCAACCTCCACCTCCCAGGTTCAAGCAATTCTCCTTCCTCAGCCTCCTGAGTAGCTGGGATTACAGGCATGTGCCACCAGGCCCAGCTAATTTTGTATTTTTAGTAGAGATGGGGTTTCACCATGTTGGTCAGGCTGGTCTCAAACTCCTGACCTCAGGTGATCCACCCACCTCAGCCTCCCAAAGTGCTGGGATTACAGGCATGAGCCACCGCACCTGGCCACTCCTTCAACTTAACCTAAACATTTTCTTTCTGTTGATCCCAGGTCTTCAAATAAACTCAACCAATTGTCAACCAGAAAATGTTTAAATTTACCTGTAGCCTGGAAGCTCCCTGCTTTGAGTTGTCCCACCTTTCTGAACCAAACCAATGTATTTCTTAAATGTATTTAATTGATGCCTCGTGCCTCCCTAAAGTACATAAAACCAAGCTGTACCCTGACCACCTTGAGCACATGTTCTCAGGACCTCCTGAGGGCTGTGTCATGGGCCGTGGTCACTCATATTTGGCTCAGAATAAATCTCTTAGAATATTTTACAGAGTTTGACTCTTTTTGTCCACACCATTGTGGCCATTTCCCTCTCATAGCGACTGGGGATCACGGCAAGTTCTCTTTTAGATTCTGAAGCTCCACGGATTTGTGTTTTGGGGTCTCCAATGTCTTCGAGCAAATTTCTGAGCCAAACTGGGTTTGGAAGTCACAATAGAAACTGACTAGGTCCAGGATGAGATTGAATCTGATAATTAACTGGCTTGGATCCAGTTATAGGCCTCTTATGTCTGACTCGGTCAGAAAGAAACTGGTAGTAAATGGCAATATTGCAGGGGGTGTAAAATATGACTTTTGAAAATTCATGGGGATTTTTCTGTTCTCCTCTTTGTTTCATTTTTCTTGCATGCTTATATAGGAAAAAAATTATTAGCCAAGTTGATTAAGGGAAACTGATATCCAAAGCCAATATTTCAGGTAAAGATAGAACCCTTAGTTTTGGAAGAACTGAGTACCTTCTGGCTTATACATGCTGTGAACCCACAATATCTGAGACAGGTCTCAGTTGATTTAGAAAAAGTTAATTTTGCCAAGGTTGAGGATGCAGACCCGTGACACAGCCTCAGGAGGTCCTGACAACATTTGCCCAAGGTGGTCAGAGCACAGTTTGGTTTCATACATTTTAGGGAGACATGAGACATCAATCAACATATATAAGATGAACATTGGTTAACTCTGGAAAGACAAGACAACTCAAAGCCAGGAGGGAGCTTCCAGGTCATAGATAGATAAAAAACAAATGGTTGCACTCTTTTGAGTTTCTGATTAGCCTCTCCAAAGGAGGCAATCAGATATGCATTTAGTTCAGTGAGCTTTGGAGTGACTTTAAATAGAATGAGAGGCAGGTTTGCCCTAAGCAGTTCCCAGCTTGACTCTTCCCTTTAGCTTAGTGACTTGGGGGGCCCAATATTTATTTTCCTTTCACAATGCATAAGTATTAGACCTCAGAAGCAGCAAAGTCTTATAGAACTGGTGAAATCTTACTAAAGATAAGTTACTATGCAAGGTTCCAAATAACACTGCACTGAAGAAATGCATTTGAAAGTGAGGACTCCCAGATGAATTAGTCTCATCCAGGGGTACCTATTGATATGCAGAAGCTTCTAAAAAGATTTCAATATTTTTATTTAAAGATTTTACAAAAGGCAAATAAAAAGCTTAAGAAACTAATAGATAAGAAAAATTAAAACTGCTAACCTTTGCTTAGCCACTGTTCCACCCTAAAGGTGGCAAGAAAGCTATCCTAGATAAGATATTTTTAAAAGTTAGGCCCTCAGGTAAAATAGGTTTGCTTCTTGTTCAGACCTATCCATGGGGGAGACAAGGCATAGAGGATGCTTTCTTGACTCTATTCCCTAATGGGTTCCACGCTGAACTCAGTAATTTTAACTAAGAAACAGTGGCTATGTTAAAAAGAACACCATATTGAAATAAAATGCACCTTTCTGGAATTTAATTGGCTACTTTGAAACTCTTTTGTAAAAGAAATTTACATCTATAAAAGAAATCTCAATTTTTAAGGATGTCTGCCTAAGTACAATAGAAATTCTAACCATTCTTTTAAATCTAAGTAATAAGTAATGCCTTTGTTTAACGAACTTTTCTGGCTATCTTAAGTGAACTTTTACTTGAGCAGTTTTTCTTTTCCCTTGGTTTGAGCAAATGATGAATCAATACCTAGGCCGAGAATCTTAGCTCTGTGCTTATGAAATATACATGTTTTTTGTTTCACCTAAGAGTTGTCCCTTTATAAATGCAAATTTGTTGCCTAGTTAACAATTGCTTAGGGAAATGAAACAGATAATTGAAAGACTGATACACCAAATAGAGAAAATAAAAACTATTTAAAATCTGGAAAAAGCTATAAGATCTGCTTCTGCTTGTTTGTATGTGTATGTGTTATGTGTATGTGATATTTGATAAATAAAGCTAGTTTTTAATTTGTTGGTAAAATAGAAATGGCTTGATAATTATCAGTTAAATATAGTTAGATACTCACTTGATTTGACTGTGAGCTTATGTCTTCGGCTTAGAGTCTCTGGATTGAGGCATCTGGATAGGTGGCCATGATGATATCTAGAGACACGTTCGTAGTGTCTAGACCACCAGCTACAAGCCCGATATGGCCCCTTCTTCCTCTGCTTTCCCTGTTTTGCCTCCTGGCTATTGTGGGAGTAGTTGGATCCTCCAAGTATAGTCTTCACAGCTCTGGCTTCTGTCCTGATAGACTCAGGCCCTGACCTTCATAGTCCTCATGGGGGACACATGGCTTCTTGGGACCTAGAATGACTGGGAGGAGACATTAGGGAGGCTGCCTCTGTTAATAGCTTCAAAAATTCTTTTCAGTAATTTAAAATCCTAGAGTCATGTTATGTTAAATTAATTAATAAAAAAATCACAAGATGAGTCATGTTCAAGATACTGAAATATGCATTATTAAACATGCATTTAAGTCTATATACCTTGGCATATTATTTCTATGTAGTATAGAAAAGTAAATATATTTAGATCTGATAATAAGAATAATTTGAAGAACTATCTTTCTAAAAAATTATAAAATGGTTTTTATCTACAAATAACTGATATAAAACAGTTCAAAATTACTTTCTAGAGTTTTCACTAGAAATAAGGGTTACTAAGAGTTAAAAACTACTGTTAGAGGTGTTTGAACCTGAGCAACTCCATCTTGAATAAGGGCTTGGTAAAATGAGGCTAAAACCTACTGGGCTGCATTCCCAGAAAGTTAAGGTATTCTCAGTCACAGGATGAAAGAGGAGGTTGGCACAAGATCCAGGTCTTAAAGACCTTGCTGATAAAACAGGTTTCAGTAAAGAAGCTGGCTAAGACCCACCAAAACCAAGATGGTGATGAGAGTGATCTCTGGTCGTCCTCACTGCTACACTCCCATTAGCACCATGACACTTTACAAATGCCATGGCAACGTCAGGAAGTTACTCTATATGATCTAAAAAGGGGAGGCAAGAATAATCTACCCCTTGTTAAAATATCAATAAATAACCATAAAAATGGGCAACCAGCAGCCCTCGGGACTGCTCTGTCTGTGGAGTAGCCATTTTTTATTCCTTTACTTTCCTAATAAACTTGCTTTCACTTTCTTCCACAGACTTGGCCTGAATTATTTCTTGCAGAAGATCCAAAAACCTTCTGTTGGGGTCTGAATTGGGACTCCTTTCCTGTAGCATCTTTCTGGTGACCACTGAAGGGACTATAGTGCAGAAAACCCCCACCCAAAGGCTAACTTTCGGTAAGTGGTAGGGGCCAGTAACATCTTTCTGGTGAACTCTGAAGGGACGATACTGAAGAAACCCTCCCACCCAAAGGAAATAGACTACAGCACTGATTGGCCAACTTTGGGTAAGTGGTGGGGTACCCAGGTAAAGCATGGAATTGGGTTAGAGGCCCAACTTAGGGGAGTTAGAGTCTCTCCTTAGACAGAGTGGGTTAGAGGCCACTCTTGATAAAAGTCAAGGACACTTGACCCATCTTGGGTTAAAGGCCCAGCTTAGGAGGGTTAGAGTCCCTTTTAAGATTTAGGGGGTTAGAAGCCCCTTTCAGTAAAGTACCTTTTGGCTAAGAATGGGTTTAGTATTATGAAATGTTAAGTGCTATTCTCTTTGGATTAATCTGCCTTGAACTCTTTGCTCAGGGCTGTGGGTGACAGGATTAGGCACATATAGGATCATGGGACACGGGGAGCTTTTTCCTCCCTAAAAGGGGAAACTCAAGAGCTGATGAGACTGCTGGAAAATATCCCTTTGCTACTGACAAGCAGCCGCCTGAACTTTTCAGTGTCACTGCAATGGGTGGGTCTTTCTCTGGCCTCCCTGAGTACCTCGCCTTCCCCACCCTGCCTCAAGCAATGCTTCCTCTCTCTCTGTCTCATCTCTCTCTCTCTTTTTGTGTGTGTGCAAACTGGCTGAATGAATGGCAAAAACCATTGTTTATCTCCTCTGTAAAGTTTAGATTAATGGAAAAAAGGACTTGTGAGGCTAGTTGTAAGCTATAGTGAATCTGGTGTGCTTTGTGTGTCTTTCCGTATTGTTCTCCCATAAAGAGGGGTATTGTAGGATGGAACATGGGCTTAGGACACCTGTAAGCCCACTGTTCAAGATGGCCCAGGAAACTGGTCAGGTATAAATTTTGCTGCAGGTCCCTAAACACAAAACTGGGTGAGATATCCCTCTTGTCTTGTATGTCTTGGGGAGCCTGACCTTGTAACCATGTGGTGATGATTTCTCTTTTCACAGTGGCGGCCCAGGATCAGGGTTCAATTCCTGGCTTAGGGAATGAATCCTTTATCTTATTTTATCTATGTATTTATATATGTTGTGGGTGTAATATAAAAGAGCTTTAATTAAATGGTTTAATAATAGGAGCTTACATCAAATATTTGATCAGAAAAGTATAACATGAATACTTTTTATTTAGTTCACATGACTTAAGTAATCTTTGGAAAATAAAGACAGTTTTAAAGTTATTGGTAAAATAAAAATATCTTTAAAATGTAAACATTTGGTCTAAATTATGTGGGTCAGATATTAGGTTTTCCAAGTGCTTTAAGGTCATAAACTGCTTCTTTGACTTTTGAAAATTGTTCATTTTACCTACTTTGGAGCTTTAGATTCTAGATAAGGCCTGGAAACATGTGGAACTAGCCACACTCACTAGCTATGCTGGAAAGAATCAAACCTTATCTGCACTTCTGTCTGGGTCCTAGGCTCCACACCTGGTACATAATTAGAATAACTTACTAACCAGGTTTTTCACTAAAAATAAAAGTTGCTAAGAGTTAACATTGTATGCATTCCAGCCTGGCAAGAGAGCCAGACTACATCTCAAAGAAAAAGAAAAAGAGTTGACATTGTAACATATAATTGAGACTACTGAAGAAACAGTTTTATGTTCAAGGTGTGTAAGAAAAGTAGAATGTGCTTTCGGTAAAAGATTACAAGAAAACATGGGAATACAGATTTCTTGCCTAAGTTTAGAGAGTTAAAGGATTGTTTTAAGTTAGGATAAAGCTGAAGGTTTAAGCAAGTTGTTAAAGGTCTGTGAAATATTAATCTTAAAGAAGAAATTATCTGTGTGAACATATTGGCTAAAATTAAAGGGCTATTATTCAGTTTTTTGATAAATCGGACATTGGAATAAAAGCACAACAGGTTTTTCTTAGAGCTAACACCTGCTTGTAATCTGCTGTTTAACAAACATTTTTAAAGGATTATAAAAGATTTATTAAAATCTTACCTCATGGTCAAGCTGATTAAGATTAAATACATTTGTCTATAAGGTTTTATTAAGATTTGGGTTTAACACAAATAGCACATTAGTGTAGAGATGAAATTTGCCTTATTGGGTATAAAAATCTTACAGGAAGCACTGCCAAATATGAAATGGTGTTTGGCTTTCTTTGGGCTATATTTGCATAAATATGTTATTGGTATGTGATCCAAAATAATGGGAAACTCCTATAATTCTGATATGACTTAGTGTATGTTATTAATAAATACAATTGTTACATAAATTTTTGTATGCCACACTAATAACCAAATTTCCTTATCGTTTGTGGCTTTAATAGTGGCTGTCCTAAGACTTTTTATAATCCACACACAATTGTTGTCTTGTTTTGGTCCTCTTTAAAAGGTGGTTTTATAATCAACTATAGGACTTCAACAGGTACATTTAAATGGAGGATTTTCTGATAACTTTGGAGATTGTGACATTAGATAGAGAAAAAAACCTTTCAGAACTCTCGTAGCTGAATGTTCATGAATCAAGCAGGACAGGAGTTAACTGCATGGACTGAAGTAATAGAAGCTATTTACAGCTTTTAACAATTGAGTATACTCCTGTGAACAAAATGTGAAGGATATTTGTTTCTCTCTGCCTACTTTCTCCAAAATTTGGAAACTATTTGTGAGTATTCCTAATTTATGGGAATATGGTTATTTGCTTAAGTGCAATACAAATCTGTTTTATTTTGCATCAGGACACAAACTGGAGAAACTGGTTATTTTATGGAGACTTTAACTGGAATGGCATGCTTTCCTTTAAGGAATCAAATTTGACTTGTAGAGCCAATGAAAGCCACTTGGGGAACTGGCCTCATACCTTGCCTACACAGTCCCTGTACAGGGTTTCTGCCCTGTGATAAGTAAAGAATGTCACTTTCTAACAGGCCCAGGAACCCCCAGGTTATCTTGGAACCCCAAGAGGAGAGAGATTTGCTCAACTTGTAGGTATTTGAGGGTTCAAACCAATGGCAGGACTCAGCTCTAAAAAAAGTCTTATCTGAGATTCCTTATGGAACAAAGTTCCAACAGGCCAACTTATAAAGTCTATGTAAAAAATAATTATTCTTGCTGCACTTTATACAAATAATCAGGCCAAGTATAATAAAGCAAATCAGTCTTACCATGATTTATCTTTAGTAAAAATGGGAAACTGGAGAGTGAAATATTATGTTTCAAGAATGATGTACACCTGCTATTAAATTCTAGTCTCATCAGTTGTTTTTAAGTTTGTTTCTGCAGTTTAGGCTAATCCTGGTTATTCCTATGACCCAACCAGTGATTGACTGCTGCTCAGAAGAAACAAGAGGGATGGGTAATGTAAAAATCTAAATCAGTCTTCTAATTCTGGGCCCATTAGAATCAGCTAGCAACCCCATATCAGCTTGGTTCCAACAGTTACCAATTCATGGAAAGCCTTCTAATTCAGTTTACTTGAGAAATTTTACTTATTTTGTTTTACTGTTTTAAAATATATTGCTGTTGTACTCTTTGTGTAAAAATGCAGAATAAGCTTACTGAATATCTTCTTAAATTGAACACTTATTAATCTTTCAGATAGTGCCTTTTGTTGAAACTTGGATTTTGAATGGCCCTCACCATACTGATGACTTGTGACTAAGCTCCTCGCTACCCTGAATATGAGAGGCAGGAATAAAATACCCATAATAGATAGGCAGGAATATCATTACCCCTATTCAGCCTGATGAAGTTACAGAAGATGGAACTTCATCCCTCTGCAACCCTTAGGATTAAGGGTTCTCTTATAAAAGGGAGCAGGGAAATGTCAGAAGCATTTGAGTCAGAGCAACTCCATCTTGAGGAGGGGCTTGGTAAAATGAGGCTGAGACCTATTGGGTTGCATTCGCAGACAGTTAAGGCATTCTAAGTCACGTGATGAGATACGAGGTTGGCACAAGATACAGGTCATAAAGACCTTGCTGATTAAACAGGTTGCAGTAAAGAAGCTGGCTAAAACCCACCAAAACCAAGATGGCAATGAGAGTAACCTCTGCTTGCCCTCATTGCTACACTCCCATCAGTGCCATAATAGCTTACAAATGCCATAGCAACATGAGGAAGTTACCCTATATGGTCTAAAAGGAGGAAGCATGAATAATCCATCCCTTGTTTAGCATATCATCAAGAAATAATCATAAAAAATGGGCAACCAGCAGCCCTCAGGGCTGTTCTGTCTGTGGAGCAGTCATTCTTTTATTCCTTTACTTTCCTAATAAATTTGCTTTCACTTTACTGTATGAACTTAGCCTGAAATATTTCTTGCACGAGATCCAAGAACCCTCTCTTGGGGTCTAGATTAAGACCCCTTTCCTGTAACACTACCAGATATGAGAGAAACACTTTTGTATACACAAAGTATATGAACAAAAGCAAGATATGTGTTTGAAGAGGAAAGTTATGAAGGCATAAAAATGTGTGTTAAAAATTTTGTCTGGTTTGAAGTAACTTAAAGGTTTCAAACTGAAGGAGTGAAAAAATAGATGAAGCAAGATGAATATAAAAAGTTGGATAAAACTGTAAAACAAAGGGTTTATGGAACTATTGTGTGGTTGAAAGATGGCAGCTTTGTTAACTTAATTAATGAGGTTGTATTAAAATTAGTTTTAGTATTAATAATATGCTAATACACAGGTAAAACTTGATTTTCTCTTTTGAACAAAAATTATGTGTAGTGTTAAAAAGAGTAAAATATTTTTATTAACCTTTTGTGTAAATTGCAAAAAGAAAAAAAGATAAAAAGGAAAAATCAAAAGGTCTTTTGATTGTTTGGAAAACTGTCTGAGTCTCCTTTATCAAAGAATACAAGTTTTTGTTTAAAAAAATCAATTATCACTGTGACTGAATGAATGGCTATTGTTTTACAGTAACCTGTGATCCTATTTTGATCAAATGTTTTAAACCTTTGACATATTTGACAAATATGTCAGGTTATATATTGATGATTGTTATTAATATATGTTCCAAAATTGTATGGGATTTCTAAACTTCTAATATGTCTCACTATGTGCTAACGATCGTAATTATGGTGACTATGTTAAGTTACTGGAGACCACAAAAATAACCAAATTTCCTTGTCAACTATGTCTTTAACTGATTATTTATAGTCATTTCCACAGTTCATAACTTAATTGTGATTCAGTTTCTGAAAACTTCACAAGCATGCAAAATCCTAGAATATAGTATCTTTAAGGAGGTTAATGAGAGGATGAAAGTACCCTGAGAAGCACTCTTCAGTAAAGGTTTCTAATAACTTTAGAATCATATCGTTTAGACTGGGTAAGAATTCCTGGAACTTTAATGAAGAGACTGATTGGTTTATAAAGCTGGTAAACCAAGCAGGACAAATTTAACTGAATAGCAAGAAAATACTTTGACAGATTTCCATGCTAAATATATACAATTTGAATAAATTCCATGGTTTAAGTCAAATTACCTATGCTAAATCATCAGTTAACAGTGTTCTCCACCTAAATTGGAGAAACAGCTGGTATTCAAGAGAATATAAGTCCAATGTTAAGCATGGGCGCATTGAAAATCAGGATGGCTGCGTTGTCTTTCCTGAGTCCTTAAAGCTTTTGTTATTAAAAGTTCTGCATTTTATGGCTCGTCATAGAAACATAAAATAATCCAGATTAAATATATATATTGGTGTGGTGACTTCTGTAAAAAGAAAATAAATCTTGGGACCCCAAAATCACTAAACCAAAGGGAAAAGTCAAGCTGGGAACTGTTTAGGGCAAACCTGCCTCCCATTCTATTCCAAAAACACAAACAAACAAACAAACAAAAACTACTAAGATGAAAAAGCTATATACCTACCTCACAAGGAATTTCCTTGTTGACAAAGGACAGGCAGAACGCAAAGTCACCCCTCTGCTCACTGATATAAATGCATATCTGATTGCCACCTTTGGAAAGGCTCATCAGAAACTCAAACATATGCAACAGTTTGTCTCTTATCTACCTATGACCTGGAAGCCGCCTCTCCGCTTCGAGTTGTCCTCACCTTTCTGGATGGAACCAATGTACATCTTACATATATTGATTGATGTCTCATGTCTCCCTAAAATGTGTAAAACCAAGCTGTGACCCGACCAGCTTGGCTACATGTCATCAGGACCTCCTCTGGACACGTTCAAAACCTTAATTATGATGAAATAAACTTCCTAAATTGACTGAGATCTATCTCAGATATTTGGAGTTCAGACTTTTAAATTGCTAAAATAGTTTATGACCAAAGTTTGGCTTGTCAAACTCATATTCCTGAGAGGAAAATCAAAACTTCAGGTGAATTCTGCTACCTGATGGGCCATTTAATCATTTATAGACGGATTTTTTTCAATTGTCATTTTCAATGCATGTTTTCTTGTTGTATAAAAGCTTTCTCAGCCAGGTGTGGTGGCTCACGCCTGTAATCCCAGCACTTTGGGAGGCGGAGGCGGGCGGGTCACCAGGTCAGGAGATTGAGATCATCCTGGCTAACACGGTGAAACCCCATCTCTACTAAAAATACAAAAAAAATTATCCGGGCGTGGTGGCGGGCACCTGTAGTCCCAGCTACTCAGGAGGCTGAAGCAGGAGAATGGCGTGAACCTGGGAGGCGGAGCTTGCAGTGAGCCAAGATCACGCCACTGCACTCCAGCCTGGGCGACAGGGCAAGAGTCCATCAAAAAAAAAAAAAAAAAAAGCTTTCTCATGAAAGAGGGCTGAAGTTGTAATAGTAGCTCATTATGCCACAGTGTATTTTCACCAGGTAAAGAAAGTTTTTCATGGTTCACTGACTGAGAACAATCAACCACTTCTCAATCTAGAACCCAAAGACTGGCTCTTCTGAGAACATCACAGAAAGATTGCCCTGGCTATCCACATTGAAGCAATACTTTGGGATCTTTAACCTTGTGTTCATAATCTCACAACTCAGAAGGGTCCCTCCACACTGTTGGAACTGTACAGCTATTGGAAACCTTAAGGTAAAGCTAACCAGGGAAGTTTCTCCCCAAAAGAAGATGGCATCCATGACGTAAACAACTTTTTCTGACGATCATGGAGCAAGACTTCTCTACTATCATACGACACTTATCTTTCATTTTTTTTCCTTTGTTTATGCCTCTATGAACAATAAAAGTGAAAAGGGGATTGGTTGTATGCACTCATAGGGTTATAATTTTATTTGTGAAGGATTTTGCAACCAGTCTTATACATGGATAACCTTACACCTTGATAGATGGAAGATGAAGACCCAATGTATGTGAGAAATTTTAATGGTACATATATAGCTTCATAGTCAGTCAGAAACAGAACATTGGTCCACTCCTCTTAACCTACATCATGGGTTAAAGACAATATTGCCAGAGGATCTTCACTCTTCTAGAATGGCTTCATTTGTTAGGTCCTTTTTTCCACGTATTGGAGTAAATAAGGCGATTTATCCCTCATGATAGACTCTGTAGCAGATCCTAGTATAAAGGCTGTGACTACACAACAGACTTGAAATTATCTTGTGAAAGTTATGCTAAATAATAGAATTGCTCTAAGCTACTTACTGGCTAAACAGAGAAGTATCTGGCACTTCTTGTTCCCCATGGAGAAATTCATCACATGGGATAGTATAAAGAATCAGTTATAGGCGATTAACAAAGAGACTACTTAAAGTGAGTTGATTCTTTGTCTAGTTCATTCTTTGATCTATTTGATTTCTCTTGGTTTGGTTTAAGGCAACCCTGGCTAAAGAACATACTGCAAACTCTTGGTATTATTCTCCTGATAGTCGTAATAGTAGTCTTCCTGGTGCACTGTATTCTCTCAAAAATTTTAAATGTTTGCATGCAGCCATCTCTAGAATGTCAAATGGTCTCTCTTCAACTGGAGTAACAAGAGCTGAAAGAAATGTGTGACCATAAGGGCATATAACCTGTGAATTACATGCTGAGACCAGAAACGCAAAATGATGGTAACAGAGAGTGGTGCTAAGGTCCTAAGTTTTGGTCACACTCTCACCTAAGTAAGAACCTGACCAAAATGGGGCAGTTTTTAAGCAAATTATGGGAGGCCATTGTTTTGGTCTGAGTTCATGCACCAGGCCCCAACAGACCAGACCAAAACAAAATAGAGTCACTTATGCTAAATGTGACATAATCAAACACTTTAAGGAAGCACATAGCAGGGAAAATGCCAGATGCTTAATCAGATCTCATGAGAACTCACTCAGTATCATGAGAACACCAGGGGGGAAACCGCCCCCATGATTCAATTACCTCCACCTAGTCCCATCCTTGACATGTGGGGATTATGGGGATTACAATTTGGGGTGAGATTTGGGTGAGAACACAAAGCCTAACCATACCAGGCAGCTTTAGGCTAAACTTGGTTTAACATTATCAAGAATATATGCACCTTCTCTTCTAAAGCTTGCCGTTGATCTCATTATTAAAATCATTTCATTGAGTTTCATGGAGGAAGCTCTGACATTGCTCATATTAGCTTCTATTTTGAGTAGACAGTGGCAGAAGCTGGGTAGGGAAACAGGAAAGATGAAGGACAGCAAAGCCAGCTCCCCTTTCCCTCTGGCCCACATAATTCAGCTTGTGAGACAGTGGCTCCATAGCAAATAATCCTGGCTATTTTTTTTTATCCAAAATAAATCTAAGCCTCCCCTAAACACACATAATACTCAACAGTGGAAAGAAAAAAAATATGAAACATCAATAGTCAATTCCAGATAGAAAACGAGAAAAAGGGAAACCACATGTAGGACAAACAGCAACAGATCTTGGTTGCTCTGCCACCTTCACCTAGCTTTCCATCTGAGATCCTGAAACAAAGCTCAGTTTTCCCAACCCCTCCATCCCTCAGGCTACCTTTATTCATTGAAGAAATTGAATACATATTTCCCAAGTTCCAGAAACTGTTTTCGTACCAGAGTTACCACACTGAATGCAGAGGCAAAAATCCCATCCCTCAAAAAAAAAAAAAATTAGGTGAAAAAATGTAAATATGAAGAATTCAGTATATTGCCTAATAAATCAAGGGAAGAAGAATGATGGAAAGCGCTGAGTTTGGGGGTGTGGCAATTGTAGAAAGGGCAGCCAGGCAAAGCCTGAGAAACAACATTTGAATAATGGCCTGAAGGAAGTGAGAGAATAGCAATTGAAATGTCAATGGGGAAGAACAAGATAGTCTGAAGAAAAAGCAAACCGAAGACCCTGGGCATGTCCCGAGTGCCCAAGTGAGGAAGCCTGTGGCTGAGCAAGGTGGAGCTGAGAGAAAGCAGTCAGTGTAATATTAACAACAGTCCTATTATAAGACACACCAGGATGAGCTAGACTTTGCGAGGAATGTGGATCTTACTGTGCTTCAGGCATGTCCTTATTAAACTGCCATTGCAAAAATGATATCACTGAGAAAATTATGACTGTGAATGAGATTTGAGCTAACCCACCCCACATCTTGCCTTTCCCTTAATTAATCCTAGGCTACTGGGCTGAGCTAACCTTGGAAGACATTTAGGCTATAGTTTAAATGATAAATAGGCTTTACCCAAAACTCACCAGCTTGTTAAAAGAGAATAGGAGGTCATCAGGCCGCGGGCAGGAGAGGAACCTGAGTCCTGCTAAGGCACAGGCAGGAAAGATTGTCAGCCGTTATTCCAGAGGCTATAAGAAATGCAACTTCCCCAGTTATTCCTGCAGACAACACACTATTGTAAATTGGCCTTTTGAGACGTCTTTCAGGTTTTTTGCATGTCTCACACCCATGGCTCCACCTGGACCACCAACTCTGCTCTCGTGGCCCCACTTAGAAGCTATTCAGCCCACAAAAGGACAGCTTTGACCCACTATGATTTCATCTCTGCCCTAATCAATCAGTAGCAAGCCAAGCTACCCCCACCCCTTTCCCCAAATTGAGTTTGAAAAACACCTAACCTAAGAGCTTTGGAAGAGATGATTTGAGTACTAGCTCTATTTCCGACATGGCTTGGCCAGCCTTATGTCTATTAAACTCTTTCCTACTGCAGTGCCATGGTCTTTATTTTACATACGGTGGGCAAGAAGAACCCCGTGGGTGGTTACATTATTTGTTATAAAAATGTCATTTTTGTTAATAGAGAAGAAGGCAAAATCAAAATAATTTACAGACGAATCAGGTTGTGGATGGATCTTATTTTATAATGGGAAGTGGAAATTGTTGGTCTGGGGGTTGTAAACCAAAAATAAAATTTGAAGCCCTTCCACTTGCCCTGCAGCCATCTAAATGGACCCATAATGGACCAGGGCCCTCCAGATTTAACGTGAAAGACGGGTTCAGGTCATGACAGGAAGCGGGGAGCTGGACATGCCCCATTATGCTGTCTTCCCTTTTGTAATTCAGGAATAGCAGACCAGCAATTTGACATCAACCCAGCCTTTAAGTCTGATAAGAAATATTTACATTCTATTCTCTCTGAAGGTAGCTACCTGGAGGCTTCATCAGCAAGATAAAACTTTGGTCTCCCCAACATCTTATCATAACCCAGATATTCCTTTCTATTTCTAATAACTCTTTCAACCAATGCCAGTCAGAAAATTTTTAAATTTAACTATAACCTGGAATGCCTACTTCAAGATGTCCCACTTCTCTGGACCAAAGCAATGTATAGCTTAAGTGTATTTGATTGATGTCTCATGTCTCCCTAAAACATATAAAACCAAGTGGTAGCCTAACCACCTTGGGCACAAGTTGTCCAGACTGCCTGAGGATGTATCATGGGCCATGGTCACTTACATCTGGCTCAGAATAAATCTTTTCAAATATTTCACAGAGTTTAACAACAGATGTATGAGAGAAATTTAGCGCATTATGCTTCTTCCTTTCTCAAACCCTTCTTATATCCCAATATTATTTCATTGCCTTTCTTGGTTGGATAAAGACATAGATTTTTGGAATTCTGCAATATAGAATCCATAGAAAGAATAGCTGACCCTAAATGACCTAGGAATTTTAGCTGTAGGCATTAAAGGTCACTTTTTTTTTTTTTTTTTTTTTTTTTGAGATGGAGTCTTGCTCTGTCGCCAGGCTGGAGTGCAGTGGCGCAATCTCAGCTCACTGCAACCTCCACCTCCCAAGTTCAAGCGATTCCCCTGCCTCAGCCTCCCAAGTAGCTGGGATTACAGGCACGTGCCACCATGCCTGGCTAATTTTTTGTATTTTTAGTAGAGTCGGGGTTTCACCATGTTGGCCAAGACTGTCTCGATCTCCTGACCTTGTGATCCGCCTGCCTCAGCCTCCCAAAGTGTTGGGATTACAGGCATGAGCCACTGCGTCCAGCCTAAAGGTCACTTTTTACAATAAGTGAAGGACATGATGACAAATGATGACATGATGGGTATGTCACAGCAGAAAGAGAATCTGGGCCTGATGGCTGTGTACAGTCACCAGTCCAACCTCACACTTACCTATCTTGAGTCCTCAATATAAGAAGAAAATAAAAGAACATCTCCATGGTTTAAACCTCTTGTAGTTAGTTGGTTTTGTGTTACTCATATTTGTAAACATTACTAACAGATATGCCTTTCTCTACTATTTGATCTTTTAGCCATGTTCATCCAATACTTTATTAACATTTTAAATATTAAAGTGTAAATGAGTTAATTCAGTAATCTGCAGAGTCTCCACCTGTGGAAAGTTTATAGGCTAAAGGAGAAGATCAAAAGTCCCTTTTTAACTTACTTAGGGCCAAAAGACACCACGGATATCCAGAGAAAAGTGTTTTATAAGATCCACGCATGGTTAGTTCAACATAGAAAGTATTTTGTCATTGTCTTTACATTCAGTGATATCAGCTTATGGAAAGTAATTCTACTTAATTATATTCACTGCTAAAGACAAGATTTATGTTGTTTGAAAACACATTATGATACATTAGTTTGGAGAAAAACCTACAATTATACTGTGGGAGGAACAGAGACAAAAAGACATGGCAGCATTATTGCCATTAAGATGGATAAATTAGAGGTAAAGAAGTGATTTCTGGATAATTTAGTTTCTTTTTTCACTGAATGTCCCTGTAAAGGGTAGTTGATAAATTAGTGCATATTTAGGCATTATTGATTATCCATGGTTAAGATACTTCCCTCTTGGGTGTATGTCTACGGGATATGTAGAAAATGCTTTTAATTTAAATACGCTCTCTAAGAGTGAATCTTATGGCATATAAACTCCAGGCCTAATTGGGATATATCAAAATTTCATGTATTTTTCCATTTTTTTCAAATGATACCACAGAGGTGGCCAAATACTCCAACCACACATGAGAACTAAGTTTCAGGGACAAACATGGAAGATTTGAAGTAGACGACCTGAAGGAACCTGAAATACAGCAGTTTAAAGGCTGTTATAAACATAGCATGTGATTGGAAAATCCAACCAGCAAAGAAAAACTATAAACTTCACATGAAATCTGACTTGCCTCTGGACTTAGTAGCTCTATTTAAATAGCTCCTTCCAAGTTGACTTTTAGGCTTTTTTAAAGTGTTGGTATTGAAGATTTCTGAGGCAAAGCAAAAACAAAACTGGTATAACTGATATCCAACTGTGTCATCTGTAAAGATGAAGAAAATAGTATACTTGCCTCCTTTCTCTTGCTTTCATTTTTTTCTAAAATAACTTTCCCCAACTCTATGAATCACTTACTTTTTCAGTTAACAAAGTCTAAAGTTCTGCTTGCCACTTTGGGACTGATACTTGAATTTCTTATTGCATCTCAAACCTGTGAATTGTTTCGGGAATTATTTCCATGTCCTTGTTATATATTCTTTCAGAGAGAGTGAATCACAACACAGTAGCTGATGACAGTTAATTGTACAATATTTGAAATGTTCTTCATCTCAAAGGAAGGCAGAGTGCTTGGCAAAGACTATTATGCAAATAATTGCCTCTTCTCTGAAAAAAAAAAAACACCTTCTGCACTCTAGGAAGTCAGCATCCATCACACCACGACAAAAAGCAGAGCCTCCTTTTCTCATCACCGGCATGGCTGAAGCATGAAATTTAAAACTCAGAAATTTCTAAAAGCAGAGATTTAAAACATGTCGAAGTTTCACAGGACTTCAGATAATTAATGGCCACTGACACTTACTCTGCTTGTTTATTTTACGGCTCAGAAATTTAGTAGTTTTCAGAAAACTGCCTTTGTATACATACTGAGAATCATCAGCATGTATATATCTAAGTGCTGATCTCACAAAGCGTAAAGCAAATATTACATTATGGATTTTTGTGAGGATAATGACTCAGTTGGGTGCTTTAACTTAATAAGGTGGCTCTTGAAAACCACCTATTGTAGAAGTGCCCTGGTCTCAGAAGCAGGAACCTGAAGTCCCACAGGGCAGCTTTGCAGGAGCTCAGAGGCTGTACCCTGCAGGAGTTGTGCAATATGGAGGTACATGGTCTGGTTAAAGGAATGCTACAAATCAATGATTCAAAGTCACTTCATCGCTTTGGGCTTCACTTTACTCCTCTCTAAAATTGAAGATATGCCTTTGGTAATCTTTAAAGAACTTTCTGACTATATAAATCCATGATTTTCAAAAACCATTCTCAGATGATTAGTTTCTGAGTCAAAAAAGTGACCTGTTCTGAATCATACAAATATTTATTTAAAAGCCATAACATATAACCAAGAATCTCAGAAAGCAAAAATAAAAATAAGGTACTGAAGAAGGTATTTGTCTTTCTGAAAAAAAATAAAAAAGAAGAGATAATATGCATATAATATCCTAAAATAGGATTAAACCAACAATAATTGCTACCTCCACAAATTAGGCAAATAAAAGTTTTCCACTCTTTCCATTAAAAACTGCTTGCATTTAATTATATTCTATCCATGAAAGAAAAGTAATCTCGTATGCTATGAGGCCACAATTGTTTATTCTCCTGTGGATTAACCCTCATTTCACTCCTGAAAAAAGAAAAATGGGTTCCTACTTTTTGAATATAAAGTGGATTTTTCACCAAATGAGATTAAAATATGAAAAGTGATTTATCTTTGTTCTTCTCATTCGTGTTAGAATAGGCTGCCACTTTGTCACCTTGAGTCAAACTGTTAAATTTAGTTACTGGCCTTATTTTATCTTTAGCTACTGTCTGTCCAGTCACAGAAACACCTTTCAGTTTCCTTAGATGGCCTTAAATACAGGTTTAATCTCCTCCCTTTCTGTCTTCTGCCTTTGCAGTTGTCTAAGCTGTCATCTCTGAGTTATTCTTTGCTAGATAAATGTTTTTCAAAAATAAAAACTACTTTTTATTTTTATCATTGCCACCAGTTGCCCCTCTCAATGGCTTTTTAGTATTTAGACTGAGTATTTATAAGGTTTTGTATAATCTAGACCTCTCTTGATGATTATGGCTCAATGCTAAGCTCTAGTGACACTGGCTTCTTTCAGGTCCTTGATAAAAACCATGCTTTCTCACCAAGGAGTCTGTTCCATAGGTCTGGGATGACACATCCACTCTGTTTTAATCTTATTAAACCCTATTCTACTTTTATACTCTAACACCACACCATATCCTCAGGAATATGTTCCCGGACAACCTAACTCAATGCTATATCTGCCTTCTCCATAAACAAAAACATACACTTACCTAATACCAACCGCTTATTCTGAAAAGCACTTACCTTAATTGTAATTTTATATGTATAGTCAGTTCTCATTATCCATGGTAGTTATGGTCTATGAAGTTGCCACCAACACTGAGTTAGTGAATACTGAATAATTGTTCCTAGGAGAAATACAGAGTTAGTTTCCTGGGAGCCTCTGGTCACATTTTTGAGAATTGATCAATATATAACCTTGTTTTGTATGTGTTTCTGGACAACATCTACACTTGCTCTGCTTGTTACCACCTTATTTAATATGTACTGGTGATTCACTGACATTGAGCTCACATTGGTGCTTATAACTCATGCCTGAACAAAGCTTACCTAACACATGCATTTTCTCCCTAAGGTACAACATGGCCTTCTTGTGCTTAGAAACACTAGACAGCACTCCAGCCCTAGGGTTGGGCACTGTTTTAAGCAACAAAATCACCAAAAAAAGCACAAAATGCAAAACAAATGCAACACAAAATAGGCCACAAAAAGAACATTGGTTTGCACAGAGCTGAAACAAAATGCTTACTCAGAGTGTCACCTTGTTTGACATCAGCCTGGAGTGTGCACGGCAGCCACCAACATTTTTTGCCCCTCTGTACATGCCCGTGAATAATTGTAAAAGTTCAGTGAGTATTGATCTTGGGATTATAAATAAATGTTAGCACTCACAAATTTGCAAATACAGAATCTGCAAATAATGAGGATAGACTGTATTTACATAAACATATGGTTAAGGTCTATTTCTCCACTCTACTGTAAGCTCCATGAAAGCAAGAATCATTTCCCACCACTGTGTTTCCAGCACCTGAATGACACACATAGACATACACACACACACACACACACACACACAACACTTGATACATATTTTCATTAATAAAGCAGTCCTAGATATCACTATCAAAACAGTGCTTCCCATCCTGAAAATCTTTCACTTGGTTTTCATTCCCCCTCCATTGAAAATTCATGTAGTTCGTGTTTTGACTCAAATTCTTCAAACAACCTTTATTCTATTAAGGAATGATACAGCACAACCTAAAACTCCAATGAGCTGGGAAAGATATGAGAAGACAATCATGAGGTCACCACTACAACAAAATAAAAAATATTTAAGAAAACTTTATGTTCCATCCAGAAAAAGGCTCAGAACAAACAAATTTTCACCTCAAGTTAGTATAAACAAACTTGTACCCAACATCTTGTCTTCCAAACCATATCTGTTGTCTACATCAGAAACCTGTGAGTCAGTGCTGGCTCTTTTCTACCTAAATAACTGGCTGATCATAAAGAATAATCTACTTATAGATTATTTTGACATTCTGTTGCTTAAGATGAAGTCCAGTTTCTTTGAATATCGTTCATGTTTGACCCTGGTTTATTACATTCATTGTATTTTTTGGCAACACCCACACCCCTCCATGGGACTACTTTGTATCCCTGTTCTCTGGGGTTTTCATGCTCCTGAAAAACAAGCTGTTTTCCCCATGAGCGATCTAGCTTTCCTCACCAAACTAATTTCTTACTCGTTTATCAAGACCACTCAAGTGTTACTTCTCACTTCCAATCCTGCCTGCAGTATCCCTAGGTTAAGTTTACCTATATGTGCTCCTATGGCACCCTGAACAACTCTCCACATTTGCCGTTTCAACCATCAGTTTCTTTGTCTGTCTCCTTTCTGGGGATGGGATCCTGTTTGATTTCTCTTCGTATCCCCAGTATCTAACATGGATTCTGACATACAGTAGAATCTTTATCAGCATCTGTAAAATAAATGTTATTTTATTTTAGTGTTTGACACTTTGGCTGATTAACTCACTAAATGAATGCGTGAACAACTGAAGACACTGGGCTAAAATGGAAATGAGCATGAGGCAAATTTCTAGGATAAAGGAGGTATGGATGAGGCTAAGAAACATTGGTAAAGCCTTTTGTTTTTTATTTGGAGGATCTGCATTGTGTGGACTCTGTAACAGCATAACTCTGTGATTACAATTTTATGGATTTAGATCCTAATTTATGTTATTAGAATAATTTCATTTTATTATTTATTTATTTATTTTGAGATAGAGTCTGGCTCTGTTGCCCAGGCTGGAATGCAGTGGCACAATCTCAGCTCACTGCAACCCCCACCTCCCAGGCTCAAACCATCCTCCCACCTCAGCCTTCAAAGTAGCTAGGACTACAAATGCGAACCACCACAACCAGCTAATTTTTTGTAGAGATGGGGTTCCATCATGTTGCCCAGGCCAGTCTCGAACTCCTAAACTCAAGCGATCCACTTGCTGCGGCCTCCCAAAGTGCTGGGATTACAGGCTTGAGCCACCACTCCTGGCCAAAACAAATTTCTTAGTCACAGTTTATTCTACCTATTGATCATCATAAAGAACTCACAAGAAAGATATTCTCCACAAACATAAGAACATATATAAACCAATGGGCAAGTATCCTGGAAGATACACATTGTACTCTTGCTCTTTGTCTGGAATAATTCTTTTAAAAGAACTTTGTTGTACAAAAATCACAAGCATTCTTATACACCAACAACAGACAAACAGAGAGCCAAATCATGAGTGAACTCCCATTCACAATTGCTTCAAAGAGAATAAAATACCTAGGAATCCAACTTACAAGGGATGTGAAGGACCTCTTCAAGGAGAACTACAAACCACTGCTCAAGGAAATAAAAGAGGATACAAACAAATGGAAAAACATTCCATGCTCATGGGTAGGAAGAATCAATATCGTGAAAATGGCCATACTGCCCAAGGTAATTTACAGATTCAATGCCATCCCCATCAAGCTACCAATGACTTTCTTCACAGAATTGGAAAAAACTACTTTAAAGTTCATATGGAACCAAAAAAGAGCCCGCATCACCAAGTCAATCCTAAGCCAAAAGAACAAAGCTGGAGGCATCACAACTACCTGACTTCAAACTGTACTACAAGGCTACAGTAACCAAAAGAGCATGGTACTGGTGCCAAAACAGAGATATAGATCAATGGAACAGAACAGAGCCCTCAGAAATAATGCCACATATCTACAACTATCTGATCTTTGACAAACTTGAGAAAAACAAGCAATGGAGAAAGGATTCCCTATTTAATAAATGGTGCTGGGAAAACTGGCTAGCCATATGTAGAAAGCTGAAACTGGATCCCTTCCTTACACCTTATACAAAAATCAATTCAAGATGGATTAAAGACTTAATCGTTAGACCTAAAACCATAAAAACCCTAGAAGAAAACCTAGGCATTACCATTCAGGACATAGGCATGGGCAAGGACTTCATGTCTAAAACACCAAAAGCAATGGCAACAAAAGCCAAAATTGACAAATGGGATCTAATTAAACTAAAGAGCTTCTGCACAGCAAAAGAAACTACCATCAGAGTGAAAAGGCAACCTACAAAATGGGAGAAAATTTTTGCAACCTACTCATCTGACAAAGGGCTAATATCCAGAATCTACAATGAACTCAAACAAATTTACAAGAAAAAAACAAACAACTCCGTCAAAAAGTGGGCGAAAGACATGAACAGACACTTCTCAAAAGAAGACATTTATGCAGCCAAAAAGCACATGAAAAAATGCTCACCATCACTGGCCATCAGAGAAATACAAATCAAAACCACAATGAGATACCATCTCACACCAGTTAGAATGGCAATCATTAAAAAGTCAGGAAACAACAGGTACTGGAGAGGATATGGAGAAATAGGAACACTTTTACACTGTTGGGACTGTAAACTAGTTCAACCATTGTGGAAGTCAGTGTGGCGATTCCTCAGGGATCTAGAACTAGAAATACCATTTGACCTAGCCATCCCATTACTGGGTATATACCCAAAAGACTATAAATCATGCTGCTATAAAGACACATGCACACGTATGTTTATTGCGGCATTATTCACAATAGTAAAGACTTAGAACCAACCCAAATGTCCAACAATGATAGACTGGATTAAGAAAATGTGGCACATATACACCATGGAATACTATGCAGCCATAAAAAATGATGAGTTCACGTCCTTTGTAGGGACATGGATGAAATTGGAAATCATCATTCTCAGTAAACTATCGCAAGAACAAAACACCAAACACCGCATATTCTCACTCATAGGTGGGAATTGAACAATGAGAACACATGGACACAGGAAGGGGAACATCACACTCTGGGGACTGTTGTGGGGTGGGGGGAGGGGGGAGGGATAGCATTGGGAGATATACCTAATGCTAGATGACGAGTTAGTGGGTGCAGCTCACCAGCATGGCACATGTATACATATGTAACTAACCTGCACATTGTGCACATGTACCCTAAAACTTAAAGTATAATAATAATAAATAAATAAATAAATAAAAGAAAAAAGGAAAAAAAAGAAAAGAATTTAAAAGAAAAGAAAGAACTTTGTTTCCGGTAATTACATCAAAGCAAGACAGGCGGATGGAAAAAGAAAAGGAGAGAAAGAAAGAAAGAAGGAAAGAGAAAGAAAGAAAGAATGAAAAAAAGAAAGGAAGGAAGAGAGAGAGAGAGAGAAAGACAGAAAGAAGGAAAGAAAGAAAAAGAAAGAAAGAAAGAAAGAAAAAGAAAGAAAGAAAGAAAGAAAGAAAGAAAGAAAGAAAGAAAGAAAGAAAGAAAGAAAGAGGCAGGGAGGGAGGGAGGGAAGGAATGAAGGAAGGAAGGAAGGAAGGGAGTTGTGCAAGAAACAAGTGTCAGAAAAAGTCACGGAAAAAATCCGACAAATGAAATAATGAAATGAAACGTCTCCATCATTTTCAGTCAGAGATACTATACAGTCACCGTTGTGATGTTTAAGCTGATAGGAGATTAAAACAGACTTGAAATCAGGGAATCTGGATTCTAATACTTGTGATCCCAACAAAAAAACTATGTCCCTTAGTTATATCATTAAATATGGTCCCTATTCATATTTCATGTAATGTACTATAGAACTGCTTATGTTCTTAAACTTAAGAAATGCTAAACTAAGGCATATCATGTAAGAAATATAAGTAAGAATGTAATACATAGTAACATCACAAGAATGTATAGTAGCATAATAGATAATACCAAGGCACGTTGGAGGATTTTCCTGAAAATTCTTTTATGTAAAATTATACCTTGATCACCTGAAGGCCCCCATGTTTAGTGAGGTTTCAGAAGAACTAATTTTGCCTCTTGAGAAATATATTTGATTTGCCTGAATGAAGACATAGGTTAAATCAACTTACCTAAATAATATTAGAGAATACATTTGGGGTCCATAACACTCTGGTAGCTTTGGTTTGCTAGACTGTGGGAGGATATAATATCTACACACAGGTAGAATAGATCACAATTTTTAACACAAGTTACATTTGTTACAATGAAGAACTCATCCTTGGACTATAAACTTGGAAATGAGAAAAAGATGTTAATGAATACTATATTATAAATTTACTGTGTGAGAAACTCCTGTTTATGATCAACAACCTCTTAAGAGGATACAAAACTCTCCAGATTAGACCCCCATCCATTATATGTATTGAAACATCACTATGTGCCCATGAATATGTAGAAGTATTTTAATTTTAATTTTATGTTTTAATTTTAATTTTTTAAAAATAAAATTTAAAACATGAAATTGATAAGTACTTGTCAATTAAAATAAAAATTAAAACATGAAATTAAATAATTAAGATATTGATGGATGTGTCCCTTTGAAGAAATAAAAGAGCATTTCATAACAGTGAAATAATTCTTACTAAAAAATAGATCTCTGAACTTCCTGAGAAGCTAAAATTCAGAGCCAAACCTTCTCAGAAGATGTGGGGATCTAAACCAGTAGAGTGAAGTACTGATCTGAAAGTCTAATCTCGGTGATCTAGGAAGAAGAGCATAAGCAGCGACCATGAAATGAATTGTTAAATCAAGGTCTGAAGATTAAAAAAGCAAATTACTTGAAGTAAGCAGGATGCAGTGGGGGATGGCAGAATAACTGAGAGGTGAATGAATCAAGTAAAGAGCTATTTTGATTTTATTAGAGCATAGTCCTGGTTCTTGGGGTTGAATCTAGTTTAGTATTTGTCCAGAATTTATTTTTGTTTCTTAGTACTATCATTAACGGTTGCACTCAAGTAAGCAGGGAATCAAGACACAGGAGACAGCCATAAATGATACAATTGTGAGGACTGATAAACTCTGAATATAGACTGGAAATTAAAGTGCAATATTGTATCTATATAAAATTTACCAAATTTTATATTTGCATGATAGCTATGCAAAAGAATTTTTTGTTTTTAGAAGATATGTGTTGAAGTATTTAAGTCATGATGTCAGCAGTTTATTCTCAAATATTTCAGCAAAATTCTTATGCATGATATTATTTAGGGAAAGAGGATAAAATTAAAAATATTAACTATGATAGAATATAGGTAAAAGGTATAGGGGTTTTTATTGTGACAGTTTTGTGACTTTCTTTAAAATAAGAAACTATGAAAGCACATTGTGTTCCCTTCCCCAGATTAGCCCAAATGGATCTGGTATCCTTCTACTTTTACATCCAGGTTCAGACATAGTTTTGTCTAGTGGTATGTGAGACTTATGTGCAGTGCATGGAATTTTCATTTTAATACATAACCAAATCTTAAGGATGATTGATAAAAGCTGGACTTTCTCTTCCTTTCCTATTTCCAAATTCTGTATGTAAATTCTGACCAATTATCTGGCTAATTTCCCAATCATGATGCACGAGGCTGAGTGAAAGAATCCTGAATCAAAATTGGGCTTGCCATAAAGCAGAGACAAAAATGCTTTCAGTGTGAGTCTAACTAAGTTAATTGTCTATTAAAACAAAGTCATCAGCACTTTTGTATCAATATAGTAGAGCTCAAAATTTCCAAACCATGGCATTCACAATATCAGGATTATAGTCCAAAATTATTTGGTATAACAAGAAGAAAGAATATGTGATCAATTCTCAAGGAGAAGATGATCATCAAATGGCAAGCCCAAGATGGGGCAGACATTGGATTTACCACTCAAGGACTTTAAAAGAAGCTGTTGTAATTATGTTCAAAGAGATAAGGAAAAATTTCTTATAATGAGTGAAAAGATAAGCACAACAAATGTAAATTTTAGAGTTAAAAAAATCCATTGAAATAAAAAGAACTAACCTAGGCTTACTCATGGAATAGAAATAACAAAGGAAAGAGTAAATTAATATAAAATAGATCAATAGAAATTCAATATAAAGAAGAAAAAATTAAAAGTTTGAAAACAAAAGAACAGAGCTTGTGCATAAGATGAAAAAATTTAACTTTGGGCCATTCTGGACTCGGAGAGATAACAGAGAGAAGGGGGCAGAAAAACCGTTTGAAGAAATAATGACGGAAACATTCTTAAATTTGTGGAAAAGTATAAATTTACAGTCTCGACAAGCAAAGCTCAAACTTAACCGTATATTGCTCATACAGATAAAGAGAAAATCTTGAAGAAATGCACGGAAAAAAAGGATATGTTACACAAAGGGAACAGTGATTCAAATGATTATGGATGTCTTCTCAGAAACTATGAAAACAAAAAGATAGTAGAACATCTTTGTAGTACTGAAGAAAAAAATTACACAGAACTCTATAGTCAAGAAAACTGTTCTTCCAGAATCACAAATAAACACATTTTCAGATTTCAAAGAAATGCAAAAGAATTCATCATCGGTAAATGCACACGGCCAGAAATTCTGAAGGATGGTCTTCAGGCTGAGAGAAATGATGCCAGATAAAAACTTGGAATCTTGGTGAATTAATAAAGACCACTGGGAATGATAAGAATCTGGGAAAATATAAGTCTACTTTACTGTTTAAATGTGTTTAAAATACATAAATGTTTAAATAAGAATATTATACCACAGTCTTTGGAGTTTTCAATATATGTAGTTGAACTCTACATGATAAAAATATTAAAATGTTGTGGCTGCAAATGTGTTAACTCTAACTAGACTGTGAAAAGATCAGTAATTATATTGTAATTCCTACAGAAAACACAAAAATAATGCAAAACTTCTATAGCTAAAAGCCAGTAGACAGGTTCTGCTGCTGCTGCTTAGAAAAAACTGGACAACCTCCAATCATAAATTTTCTTGATCCTGTTAGAAAACTGAGGTTAGACAAACAGGTGTACTCAATTCTAAAGGATTCTAGGCTTCCAGGAGAGACATGGGGCACACAGACTGTTTCACTTTTGTCAGAGAACAGAAGAAAGATGAGTCACTGTCAAAGTCAGCAGGAAGAAAACAGCTGAAACTTAAATTAACACTTAAAGGTCAAATATGAGCTAGCAAGCGTTAGTATCGCTGAAGTTCTGTGACTCAAAGATAACCCAAACTCATTCACCAGCTCTTTCCCATGTGCCTCTCATGAGTGATTACAAGGAAAATCGGGGGTACAATAGGAGATCTGAGAAACTCCACTCAGCGACACACAGGGAAGAAACCTTGCTTGGTTCCCAGATGCTTCCTTTGTTTTTCATTTGAAACAGAGCTGTAAGCCACTAATGAAAGAAAAAAAAAAAACTCCTGACTAACTGGCACAAAGCAAGTATTCAGTGGTTCTGAAAAAGGTTTAAAACCAAAATCCATCTGCCATTGGTGGTGTCTTAGTTCATTTTGGCTGCTATAACAAAATACCATAAACTGGGTGGCTTATGATAAACAGAAATTTATTTCTCATGGTTCTAGAGGCTCGGAAATCCAAGATTAAGCCACCAGGAAATTCTAGTGAGTGCTACTTTCTGGTTCATATATGGTGCCTTCTCACTGTGTCCTCATGTGGTGGAAGGGGCAAGGCAGCTCTCTAGCGCCTCTTTTATAAAGGCACTAATCCCATTCAAAAGGGCTCCACCCTCATGATCTAATACCTCTCTAAGGCCCCACCTCCTAACATCATCATATTGGTGATTAAGTTTCAAACTATGAATTTTGGGGGGACACAAAAATTCAGATGATAGTAGGTGAGGCAAGAAGAATGAAAACAGTTTGAGCTTATGACCTGGCATTGATACCACACAGGGTTCTACTATCACAGGAGGAGTGCCAGCAAACATATTCCTACCTGAGACCCCCTCATTGATACAAAGCTCAGTTTTATTGGCAGAAGAAAGAAAGACACTGAGAAAACCCCACTGCAGATGTCCATATGCATAGGGACTGCCTAAGACAGAAACTGGAGTAGAAGGGACCCCTTGTTCCCACTGCAACTGTTGAACTAAGTAACAACAGCAGTCTATTGAGTGGTCAAGGGGAAGGGACATGGACAGAAATCTCCTCAGTGGGGGCAGGCGTGTAAGGGCTGCTGAAAGTTGAGAGTGGAGCAGGAACATTGAAAAAAAATTATGACCAGGCGCAGTGGCTCACGCCTGTAATCCCAACACTTTGGGAGGCTGAGGTGGGCAGATCACCTGAGGTCAGGAGTTCGAGACCAGCCTGGCCAACATGGTGAAACCCCATATGTACTAAAAAATACAAAAATTAGCTGGGCATGGTGGTGCGCACCTGTAATACCAGCTACCCGGGAGGCAGGAGAATCACTTGAACCTGAGAGGTAGAGGTTGTAGTGAGCCAAGATTGTGCCATTGCACTCCAGCCTCGGTGACAAAGAGCAAAACTGCTTCTAAAATAAGAAAAAGAAAAAAAATTATTACAGGCCGTGTATTATTATGTTCTCAGACTGCTGAAAAAGACATACCTGGGACTGGGTAATTTATAAAGAAAAAGAAGTTTAATGGACTCACAGTTCCACGTGGCTGGGGAGGCCTCACAATCATGGCTGAAGGTGAAAGGCACCTCTTACATGGAGGGAGGCAAGAGAGAATCAAAGCCAAGTAGAAAGGGATAAATAATAAAACCTAATAAAACCATCAGATCTCATGAGACTTATTCAGTATCATGAGAACAGTATGGGGGAAATTACCCCCATGATTCAATTACCTCTCACTGGGTCCCTCTGATAACACATGGGAATTATGGGAACTACAATTCAAAATAAGATTTGGGTGGGGACACAGCCAAACCATATCAGGTCTCAAAGCAAGCATAAGGCAGCAGCAATCCAATGCTGAAGGGATTTGTAGTCCGCTGTGCACTGGAAATAGTTACCCCCAAAACAAAACTCAAACCTGGATCAATTCCCGACCAGATTGGCTCAAGCCCACCCATGAAAGATCTTGCCGAAGAAGAGGTGTGTCTTTTAGGCTTTTAGGCATGAATATTAATGACTTCATTGTCTACTGTTCTTGTACACACAAGACCTAACCTTAATCCAAATATATGAGACACACAAGAAAAGTAAGAATAAAGTAAGGAAAGAATCCATTATCAAGATAAAAATCTAGTATGTAGAACCAGACCTAGAAATGACACCAGTGCTTTAAAGTAATTATGTTACTTCTGGCTTATGTCCAGCTCCCTAGAGAAATAATTAATAGGACCCCCTTTCACTTTCCACAGTCCTTGGACAGTAATTTGCATGACTATCTTACTTGTAAAAATTTTAGATAATTTATCTTTTTAAAACTCCAGTAAGTGTTATGAACCATAAATTATTATCGCTGTTTTACAGATAATAAAACTAACCTTGGTAAGCTTAAATACTTCCTCAAATCACATATCTAGAAAGGGACTTTGCTACTACTCAAATACAAATGATTTCACTTAAAATTCCACTTTCACCAATTTTTAAGCATCACTGAGTTATATAATTCTTAGATTTTCATCCATTCCTTTGATTTTAGCATACAGTTAAATAAACAAGTGATTGTTCTACCTTATTTATGAAATTTATGAATGTCCGGAAAGTCTTATTTCCAAGATCTAGCATGGTTTTCTCCACAAATTTGGATTAACCTGGGCAGATAGTACGTCCTTCTGATCTATTTTGCATATATTTTCAGAACTAATCATTGATGTTCTGTTCTCCAGAACTAATCATTGATGTTTCTCATTTTTCTTGAGTTTGATAACTTCTAAAAATATTTTTTTTTCAGTGTACTGTATAGGAATCAAAGCAGAAATACTCCCACCTTCTGAATCAAAGGCAATTCCTGACAATGACTTCAGAATCAATTAAATAAAACTCAAAAGAAAAATAAACATCCTGCTATAGTGGCAGCAACATAACAGAATACTAAAGCATATCAATGGCAATAACTAGGAATAAAGAAAAGAAAACATTTTTCTATTTATTTTTGGTTCATAGTCACAAGAATGAACATCTTTTACTCTTACTGATATTTATGCAAGTTACATGTCCATTTTACATTCAAAATTCCAAAGATCAGGTATACTGTAATGAGGAATTAGATGGAGATAAAAGTATTGTTTAAAAACACAGCAGATGAGTCTTTGAGGAAGCATTCAATTTGCCGTGATGATAACGGTAAACTCTCTGAGCAATAAGATGAAATTCATCAAATGACTTCTGCTTTTCTATTAAGTTCAAGTCCTATAGGAGGTGAGTAAATTGAACAGGAAGTCAACTCTAAGTAGCTTTCAAAAAGTATTCTAATTCCCACTGTCAGTATAATTTTGTGATCTGCATATTACTAGGGAATGAGAAACTTGCATATTACACAAAATTGTCTATAGAGCTGAAGATTAATTACCAGTAATTATTTTTGGCAGGCTAAAGCCTTTTCATGCTGATTTCCTTATCTTAACCATATTTTATTGAAAATCATACCGAATTGAGCTACTTCACTTCTTTGAACAGAGTGTATAGAAAAAAAAATCTTGTTTTCTATTGGTTGTTGGAGTTTTGCTGTTATTATTAGTGGCGGTTGTTTTTCTCTGTTTCTTCAATATCACACTGGGAATGGCCAGGTCTTGCCATTGACAGTGTTACTTCCTCAGGCAAAAGATTCCTCTATCTTGATTTAAATTACAACCATATTCATTACTGTTCTCTTAATTTCTTATAATTTGCAGCTTGTTTCTAATTTAAAATGAACCATGCATTTCATATTGTATCAGAAACTAAACACGAAACCCAAAGATCACAAAGATTTTCTTCTGTATTTTCCTTTAGACCCTTTATAGTTCTACATTTTACATTTAGGGTTTTAACCCATATTGTTTTAATTTTTGTATATGGTATTAGTTATTTGTCAAGGTTTTGATTTGTTTTGCTTAAGGATGTCTAATTGTTACATGATTACTTGCTAAAAAAACTATCCTGTCACCATTGAATTGCCTTTGCATATTTGTTAATTTCATTTGACTATTTTTGTGTGAGTCTATTCCTGATGTGTCTATTCTGATCTACTGATTAGCTATTTATTAACTCCAATTTCCTCAGTGCCACACTGTTTTGATTTATGCAGCTTTATAAGTGTTTAAATTGGTAATGTGAGCTCTGTATGAGTTCTAAAATCAATTATTGTGTTTATAATTGTTTGGGCTATTCTATTTCTTTTGCCTTTCCAATGTATTTTAGAATCACCTTATCAATATCTACAATAAAGATTGCTTAGATTTGGAGATTGCTTTGAATTTATAGATAAAATTTGTGAAAAATTATGTCTTAATAATATGTAGTCTTCTGACCTATAACCTGATATATTGCCCCTTTTGTTTATATTTTCTTTGATGTCTTTCACCAATGCTTAGTAGTTTTATGTATACAAATCCTGCACAGTTTATAGTTAGCTACTTCATTTTGTGTTATTATAAATGGCATTGATTTTTAAATTTTACATGCTGATTGTTCATTGCTAATATATAGGAATACAAATAATTGGCTTTTTTTATATTGACTTTGTATGCTGGGACTCACTTGTTAATCTAGGATTTTTCACTTTTAATGGATTCTTTTAGATTTTCTACATAAACAAATATATTGTCTGTGAATAAAAATAGTTTAAATTTGTTCTTTTCAAACTGTATACTTTTTGTTTCTCTTGGTCTTATTGCACAGTTAGGATTTCTAATGCATTATTAAATTGAAGAGATGAGAAATAACACCTTTGCTTTGTTCATATCTTAGGACAGTATTAAGCCTCTTACCATTAAGTATGAGGTTAGCTGTAGATTTTTCAGATATCCTCTATTAGGTTAAGAAAATTCTTTAGGCAGAATGATTATGATATAGGGAAGAAGCTTATTTATCTGAGACAGGAATGTTTTAAAATCTACCTTATTGAAATTAATACATCCACTTCATTTTTCTTTTGGTTAAATGTTTACATGGTGTATATGTCTCCATCTCTTTACTTCAAATGTATCTAAATCTTTATTTTAAAATGGGTTTCTTTTTTGTAAGTATGACTTTTATTTTAGATTCTGGGAGTACATGTGCATGTTTGTTACGTGAGTGTATTGCTTGATACTGAGGTTTGGGATATGAATGATCACATCACCCGGGTAATGAGCGTAGTATCCAATATGTAGTTTTTCAGCCCTTGCCTCCTCTCTCTCCACTCCCAGTAGTCCCCAGTGTGGATTGTTCCCATCTTCAATTCCATGTGTACCCAATGCTCAGTGCCCACTTGTAAATGAGAACATGCAGTATTTGGTTTTCTGTTCCTGTGTTAATTTTTTTAGGATAATGACCTTCAGCCACATCCATGTTGCTGAAAAAATAAGTTTCTTATAGGAGCATACAGTTGGATTTTGCTTTTGTAAATGACCGGATAATTTCTGTCTTAACTGGTGTGTTTGTATCATTCACATTTAAAATGATTATAGAGTTGGATTAAAAGCTACAATCTTCATGTTTTCTTTTTTGTTATGATGTTTTAATTGTCTGAGTTTTTAAGGACATACTATCACTTTGTTGTGTTATACATGTGGAGCTTATGTTTGTTTACTGATTTAATTACTCTGTTTTTAAAAACATATATTTAGGGATATTTCAAACTATGCTACTGCTTCTGCCATCTTGCTGCAAGCTGAATCAGTATATTTCAATATGATGCTGGGTGCAGTGGCTCAAGCCTGTACTCCCAGCACTTTGGGAGGCCAGAGTGGGCAGATCACCTGAGCTTAGGAGTTCCAGTCAAGCCTGGGCAACATGGCAAGACCCCATATCTACAAAAAGTACAAAAATTAGTCAGGTGTGGTAGTGTGTGCCTGTACTTCCACCCACTTGGGAGGCAGAGGCAGGAGGACTGCTTGAACCTGGGAGGTCGAGGCTACAGTGAGCCATGTTTTCACCACTGCACTTTAGCCTGGGGGACAAAGCCAGACCGTGTCTCAAAAAAAAAAAAAAAAAGAGAAGTTGCCTATTTATGAATTAACCTAATAGGGAAAATATATGTGATATATAATTATGTATTTATTCTAATGTAATTGTTGATATGATGTTATTACCACCTTAACTTTCTCAAAATATAAGCAACTTTCCCTTATTTTTCCTATGCAGATGGTAATTTAAGAACCCAAAGAATATTGCATTTAATTTTAAAGATTGTACCCACATTGTAGAACCCAAAATCAGAGCCCATGGAAGAGCAAAGTAATTTAAAGAACAGATTCTGTAGCTAGATTGCTACATTCACATTTGGGTTCAGTCATATTATTAACAGTGTGAACCTGCGCAAATTCTTTTGTCTTTGTCTTACCTGTCTCATCTATAAAATGGTGATACTATTAGTGCATTAGAGTTGTATACATATCAAATCAGTATCTTCAGTTTTTTTTAATGTAGCTCTTTCATAGGACCCAATATCTGTTAAAAAAAAACTTTTATCACTTCTGTCATGTTTAAAAGGCATTTCAGCTTAAATATTCTAACCCTTGTGAATTATAGACACTACTAGAAAATTCATGGTTGCTCCACGAATAATAACTATAAAAATTACTTTAAATCTTCATTATTCGTGTTTTGCAAGGAGAGTCTTACAAAATTGTATTATATAAAAAGTTTTTTTAAGGAGTGTTGAACTTTACCTGCATAAATCAAAACCTAATGAAGTATAATTTTATTATAATATTGAATCCAAAATTTTTATTGTAATTGTATCCTTTAATTTTGGAAATTGTAATGGGAGCAGAAATCCTTGAAGAGCAATCAGTTTTTCTATTGAGGTATTATTTACACTTAAGGCAATTTAAAGTGTATAGAAAAAATCACAGAACTCTGTAATCTGGTCCCACTGTAAATTCATGTTTCTCCAATCTTCAACTACAGTCAGAAATGCTCTGTATGTTCTGGGTAGCTTTATTCTTTTATTTATCAGATACTACTCCTCTACTCTTCTCAGACTTCTGACTCACCACTTCCCAATTTACTCACAAATATTCATTTGAAAAAAAAAAAAAGATTTATTTGGTTTCTACTATATGCCAGATAGAATTCCTAGCACTAGAGATGCTGTGGAGAAAAAAAATGAAATAAACATAGATGAGATTCCACCCTCATGAATTATAGGAGGTAGGGAATACAGAATGTGAAAAGTTTAACTAGTTAAATAATTACAGAAGTTTTACTCTGCTTCACTGGAAACAAAGAAGGCATCAGAAGGAAACTCCCTCACTTCTGTTTACAGAGGAATGGATGATTCCTCTTTCCTGTTTTGGCGGCTTCCATTATAAAATACCACAGACTGGGTAGCTTAAACAACAGAAATTTATTTTCTCACAGTTCGGGAGGCTGGAACCCGGAGATCAAGGTGCCAGCTGGGTGGGTTTCTCCTGAGGCCTCTCTCTTTGACTTGCAGATGGCTGCCCTGTTGCTGCTGCCTCTTCACATGCTTATCCCTTTGTGCACACTAGCCCTGGTGTCTCTCTGTATGTTTTTTCTTTTCTTTTCTTTTCTTTCCTTTCTTTTTTCTTTCTTTTCTTTTCTTTTTTTTTTCTTTTCTTTTCTGCCTTCTCTTATCTTTTCTTTTTTCTTTCTTTTTTTGAGACAGGGTCTCACTCTGTTGCCCAGGTTGGAGTACAGTGGTGTGATCACGGCTTACTGCTGCCTCAACCTCCCAATCTCAAGTGATCCTCCCACATCAGTCTTGCATAACTCCAATGGGCAAGAAATTACTGCAACTTAACTAGTTTCTGCTTCTCTAACATTGCATTACTCAAATTCTTGACACAGAAGTTTTTTTAAAATATGAGAATGACTCCTGCACTAACAACCTTTCAAAGAGTTTGCAATTTTCTTAACAAAAATTATAAATTTCTTGCCAACCATTTCACTGCTTATCTGTTTGACCTCCCCTAGTACTATGGTACTTACACTCTACATTCTAACTATACTGAACATCTTTACATAAACGAACTGGGGAAACAAGAAAGCTTCATAGAAATGAGGAAGGAGCATGCAGCTGTACGTACGAGAACAAGCTCATACAGTTGTCTTATGTACATACAACCTAATAAACAACACAAATAATTGCAACACTAGCTAAGGATCGATTAATTCCAGAAAATATCTGAAAACTATTAGTATTTCAGAAAGAGGAGAATCTAACTTCTCCTTTAACTATACAGAGCAATCATGAAAATGGAAAAGAAATGGCATTTAAGCAAGTCCAAGAAATAATTTCAGTATAGGAGCATAGTCAGTAAAGGAAATGGCATAAGCAGAAGAGTAGAGGGAAAAAGCTGGAAGGTTATTGGAGGATGAAGAATGATGCTGTGTAGCTTAGGTAAAGTAATCATAGACTGAAAAAAGGGGAGATAGGTTTAAAAGAGAGGTCATGATATGAAGTGCCTCCGGGACCAAACTATGGAATTTAGAAGTAATTTTATGCAAGAAAGAGAGCAACTGAAATATTCTAAGTAGGAGATTTACATTATTTAAGCAATATTTAATAAGACCATTTTATGCTGACTCATTATCGGACTTCTGGGTGAAGACGCATGATTGAATACATGTGGAAACATGAGTTTATTTCACACACACACACACACACACACACACACACACACACACACTATACCGTTGCTCAAAAACAAGAAAAAGAAATTGTCCATGACATGACAAGAAACAAAAACAAAATCACTGTAGTAAAGAGGAAATGAAGTGATACAGCACACAGAGTGTTCTAATCAGGTGCAGAGAACCACTAGAAGAACAGGAAACTTTCCATCAGTAGACAGAAGATAAAGGAAGAAAAGAAAACCTGATAATCCAGCAGAAAGAATGAAAAAAGGCCAAAAGAAGCAAAGAAAACCCACAGTAAATAGATAGCACAATATATGATGCAGAAATAAAATCCAAATATATTAGTGTGCATAATAAATTTTCAGTTCCATTAGAATACACTCTCCACAAGTGTAGACGGATTTTTTTTTTTTTTTTTTGAGATGGAGTCATGCTCTGTCACCAGGCTGGAGTGCAGTGGCCTGATCTCAGCTCACTGCAACCTCCGTCTCCTGAGTTCAAGCGATTCTCCTGCCTCAGCCTCCCAAGTAGCTGGGATTACAGGCGTGCACCACCATGCCCAGCTAATTTTTGTATTTTTAGTAGAGGCAGGGTTTCACCATGTTGGCCAGGATGGTCTCAATCTCCTGACCTTGTGATCTGCCTGCCTTGGCCTCCCAAAGTGCTGGAATTACGGGCATGAGCCACCATGCCTGGCCCTTTTTTTTTTTTTCTTTCTGTTTTGTTTACTGGTGTATTCCTCTCACATTTCAGAAGTGTCTTGTTCATAATAGGTCCGCAGTAAGTAATATTTGAATTAAGGGTGTTTAAACCGTATGCTAAATTATTTTCTTATGCATCCTTTAAAAATTCTTCACAGTAATTGAAGTAAGTACTATTTTATAAAATTCATTGATAATATAATACAAGTGCCTTATTGCAGCTTAGTTCACAGAAGAGAAGGAAACTTGAACCTCTGTCCTCAGGCCCCTTGTTTATTCACCTCTCTTCCTAACATGTGATAATCAGTTTGGGCACTCTTTAAATGTTGAAAGCTGTTCACTGACTCCTGATTACTTAATGTGAAGTTGTGATTTTTATTGCAGGTTGTAAGCAGTTATGTTCTGGATCACTGTCTCCCATGAGCACTTTTCAACCTTAATGTTCTGTAGAAAGTTTTCTTTGTCAAATACCTATATCAAATTAGACTACATTTCATATAAGTACAAATCCCAACAAGTTACACACAATTATGGCAAATTTAAAAAATTTGAACTATTGTTTACTGACAAAGATGAAAAATAGTTTGCTAAAAATAAATCCATTTTTATAATTTCAAAATGAGATATTGAATAATAGTCTGAAATATATAAATAAAGGTAATAGAATTTAGCACCGTAGAGATTATGCTTCTATTGTCATGGAGGAAAAATTAAATATAACCCTGTTTGTTTAAATTGGAGTCCAGTAGTAGAGAAATCATTGTTTCTGGGTTTTTTTCAGCTATTTGTTTAGACTCTAACATTGAAATGTTTTGTCAATATTTTAATGTGCTTTGTTGGTATAAGTCACATATGTTAGAGATGAATAGGGATATACAATAAATTTAATTCAAAATATTCCTCTTTTATCTTTTCTCATTATACATCAGGTAAAGGAAAAATATAGCATGATTTTTAACCGGATCCTAGCATTATCTGAAGTAACTGAAGAAAGGATAAATATATGTAGTAGTTTTTTTTTTTTTTTTAAGTAAAAAGAACCATTGACATTATTAAACCACTAACTAGCCTATGGTAAAAGAGAGAAAAAGTACATATGCACAAACTTAGGACCATCAGGGGAAAGCTAGTCGTAGACATAAGTAGAAGCATGAGAGAATACTGCGTACCTCTATGTTAGTATAATTGAATGCCTGAATGAATTAAAGAATTATTAGTAAAAAATTACCAAAATTGACTTGTGAAGACACACATATGAGTAAGAGAGATATGGAGTTATTGTTCTGACACCTTTTAGAGAAAGAACTCTCATACCTAAACAGCCTCAAAGAAAACTCTCCAACTTAAATTTAAAACATTCCTTAAACTGTATCACACCATTTGCTGTCTCTCTAAATGTGGTCTCTGACTTACCTACGTCAAATTTGCTAGTTTGTTGACTAAAAGTGTAGATTCCTATGGCTCAGGTAAGACCTACTATGGTAAAGTTTCTGGGTATTGAAATCTACATTCTTGACAAGCATTCTATGTGAATCTGATGCACGTTAAAATTTAGCCAAGAGGGCCGGGCATGGTGGCTCACAACTGTAATCCCAGCACTTTGGGAGACTAAGGTGGGCAGTTCACTTCAGGTCGGGAGTTCGAAACCAGCCTGGCCAACGTGACAAAACCCTGTCTCTACTACAAATAGAAAAATTAGCTGGTTGTGGTGGTGGGTGCTTATATAATCCCAGCTACTTGGGAGGCTAAGGCAAGAGAATTGCTTGAGCCCGGTGGGGGCAGAGGTTGCAGTAAGCCGAGATCTCACCCCTGCACTCCAGCCTGAGTGAGAGAGCAAGACTCCATCTCAAAAAAAAAAAAAAAAAAAAAAAAATTGGTCAAAAGAAAAAATTAAAAATAGCAAATTGTTTTATATAGTCATCATCATAATGATACTGAAATCTGAAAAATATAGTTAAGATGAAGAATATTTCAACTCACCCTTACTTAAAATAAGTAGAACCAGCAATAAATTGAATAATTAATTTATTCCAAATTAATCCAATTAATTTATTCTAGGAATTCACAAATTGATCATCATATGGTATTTATAATAATAAAAATTCAAAGGAGAGCAAATATACTATTACATTTGATTAACTTAATACATACCAAAGTGGTATTTATTAATGTTTAATATTTACCCAGAATAAAAAGTTAAATAGGCTGGGCATGGTGGCTCACTTCTGTAATCCCAGCACTTTGGGAGGCTGAGTTGGGCAGATCACCTGAGGTCAGAAGTTCAAGATCAGCCTGGCCAACATGGTGAAACCCCGTCTCTACTAAAAATACAAAAAATTAGCTGGGCGTGGTGGCAGGTGCCTGTATTCCCAGCTGCTAGGGAGGCCGAGGCAGGAGAATCCCTTGAACCCAGGAGGCAGAGGTTGTAGTGAGCTGAGATTGCGCCACTGCACTCCAGCCTGGGCAATAAGAGCGAATCTCTATCGCCAAAAAAAAAAAAAAAAAAGAAAGAAAAAAAAAGTTAAATAGCAAGTTAGAAAGTCATAACAGGTGAAAGACTTATAATAATTCTAACAAATGTGTTTATTTGAGTTGAGGTGATCTGAATTAGAAAAGTAGCCATGTTAAAAATATAAAGTCTATAAAGAGCAAGTGTATATTATCTGGCTAACTTACTAAACCTTCTCATTGTTCTACCAGTTAATTCTCTTGAATATTTCAGATAGATAATTACATCGTCTTCAAATAATAATTATACTTCTTCTGTCACCTGTATTACATTTGTCTCTTATTTATAAAACATAGTTATTCCTCTTTTAAGTTGTATTTTCAATTTCTTGACTAGCACCTCCAGAAAAGCATTACTCAATATTAATAGCCAAACATAACCTTGTGTTATTTTTTGGTGTAAGGGACAAAATTAGAAAAATTCCAGTTTTTCAGTATTAGCTTATTAGCATTAGCATTATTTTCAGTATTAGGTTTGTTAGTGAAATATTCATTAACCACTGCTCATTTTTATGGTTAGGTATGTCTTTGATACAACCTCATAAGGGGCCCTCATGCCTTAACCCTTCTAAGTGTATGCTGACATATAATGCTTGAATAAAATTGAAGAGTAGGTTAGAGAGGTACTGAAGCCCATTCATGCAGCGTCTAGGGGTCTTAGAAGCAGAGCTTATGTAGTGACCACCCTCAGCCTTTTGCTGCTCTGTTCTTCCGTGTTAGCTGCTGATCTGTTCTTCCCCAAGGAACACCATTCTCTATGAACCACCACAGCTCTTTGTGGGCCAAGCCCTTTGGCTGCACCTCCAG
Organism: Homo sapiens; assembly: GCF_000001405.40. NCBI lineage: Eukaryota > Metazoa > Chordata > Mammalia > Primates > Hominidae > Homo > Homo sapiens. The sequence goes on along the minus strand of NC_000006.12, from coordinate 153,379,805 downwards.
AACTTGCCATTCACTGTGGTAATGAGAACTCTTAGCTCCCAGTAGGTAAGTACCATCACCACCTGGCTTCTATTTCTTTGAGACCTCACCTGCCTCTGGATATTAATGAGCCCAGCTCTGTGATTGCCTAATGTGTCTTATCTTCAGCTTGCACAGGTGAGCTCCCTCTGAATTTAATGCACCTGATTCCCCTGTTTCCAGTGCCTTCCCTATGGCCTTGGTGAATGGTGTGTCTTTTGGACCTTTCCTTAGAACATAAACCTCTGGTGGACCTTCTGGCCTTGTGTACTATATATATATCCATTCCAGCATGCACATTTCCCTCTGCCTCTTTACTCATCCTCTACTGTCTGTTGGGGCAACTCAAGCATTTGTACTTCACTGGGAGTTGGCTGCCATTTATTCCAGACTTGTATAGGTAACTCTAACAGTGCGTTTGCTTCATTTCCTGGGCTTCTTACCAGTATATTAAATCATGCGCTCTGAAAACAGGATCTCTATGTCAATGTATTGTTGCTTATCTGTCTTATAGTCTGACCTCTGATCAGGCACACTCAAATTCCAATCACAGGAGTTTGGCTTCTGCCAGCACATGCTGGATAATCTTGCAGCCCTTGAGATGTATAATCTCCACCCTTTTTATCAGGCTCAGAACCTTCCTCAGTTATGTTGGGATTGAACTCTTGTTATTGGCCTGGCTGTGAGAAGCAGGGGTAGAAACAGCTCTTATGGGGGCATCTGTTGCCTGGTGCAGGATTGGGGAGCTTTGCAGTCTCTCAGCACAGCTGAAGTGCCATCACTTTCTGGGGAAATGTGGGCCCCTCTGCAAGCATAAAGGTACAGGGTCTCAGTGTCCAGACTTTCTCTGGCTGAGCATTCAAACAACTCTAAAGCTTTGCTGCTCATTCATTCATTCATTCATCCAACAAATATTTCTAAGTGTTTTCCAGCTTTGTTGTCCAGGGTGGCTGGGTATTTAATGATTAACAAAAAACATATGATTTCTGTCCTCATAATTACACATACACATGTAGTGAGTAACATTACATGTGAATGTGTAAAACTTTGCAATATGCTTCTACAAGTTATAATAATTTCCCCAATTTATTTTGAAATATGTTAATTAATTGATTCTCTTGGGTCTGTTGTGTAGACATAACAACAATTTAGCTCATCTTTTTCTCACATTTAGTCATACTTATAATAATCATAATTAACATTATATCAGTATACTTTTGCTTCAAGAAACAGAATAGCCAATTTAAAGAGTCTAGAATTTATGAACATATATTATTTTACATATTAAGATATCTGAACATACCTTTGCTTTTCATGGGGTAACCTCCAAATCCAATTTTTAATCAATAGCTTCTGAGCAGCTGGTAATGAATTATTAAACACTAAAGATAGTATTGAATAGTATTGCAGAAGAAATAGAAGTAAATAAATTAATCAGATGTCCATGAGAATAAGTCAATTTCAAGGAGGCTGTCTTACAATTGCAATCTGACAGATACTACTCAATATATGACTGTTTTATTTATTATTAGAGGAGGCAGTAGCTATATATAGTCATAGGTTCTGTAGATATTACAAATGTGGAAATGCATTTTTAACCTTGAGTTACCAATGTAAATATAAAGCTGAAATCACTTTTCTACAGAGTTTTTAGAACTTAGTGATTTCACAAAGGAAAACATAGGAGAAACAAACATGCAATTAAATATAGTCATCATTCTTTATATGGTTTAAGCATCTAAATCATTCTACGGTTTTACAATTTTAGGATTTTAGAAAATATGCTGGACTTCCTGATTCTGTTTATGATGGAGTATTTTTGTGTTTGCATCAATCATTTTATTTTATATGTATACAGGTATTCTGAGCTTTGGTGAAAATTTCTGTTCAAAAACCCAGTATAGTAAATGTTCAAAAGTGATTTTAGGAAAGACCATCTACTATGTGCTAGGTCTCTGTGTGGGATGCAAAGACTTACAAAATATGGTTCCTCTTTGGTGGTATTGATGAGAAGGAAACTCTATATACTGAAGAAGGGAAAGATATTAGATTTAGTTAATAAAGATAAAGTATGCTGCACCCATCAAGTCAAGGGCTACACTAGGACAAGCAAATAAGATAAGGTGGGGAGACTGCAGTGGGCTTGCCTTTCATGCACTGAAGAGTCAGCGTAGAGGGTCTGAGACTGAACTGCATAAAGCCACATTGCCAATTGCCTCTATTAGGCCTCCTCCTTATGCTAATGATAATAGAAAATCGACGATTTACAAAAGATAATCTATAATTAGGAGTGAAGCAAAAGATCTCTTTCTCCTCCTTGGACAAATTTCTAGAGAGAGATTTGGAATAGATTTTAATAGTGGGTCAGGGATGAGATCCAAAGGGAATGGAACTGGATTGTAAAGAATAGAGATTTTATTAAGTCTATGAACTTGAAATTTCGTGAGTACTATGAACTCTCTCTTAGATGATTGTAGCTAGTGTGATAACCTAAACATTCTGAATCCACATTTTCCCAGGGTGGGCATCAATGCATGGGGACATACTAAGGGCAGGTTGTAGTAGAAATCACTATCCTTTTGTGGTGACTTTTGTGAAAATCGTTGCGTCCTACAAGTTTGTTCTTTCTCTGCCTTCTGTTTCCTTTGGTGAAGGCCAAGCCACCACTCCAAGTGATTTAGATAAATAGGAATAATTTACCATCTATGAAGTATGAGTGCAGGTCTATGATAAATCGCAGACAAAGTAGTGTTCTACATGTGTAGTTTAGTTTAGGGTAGACAATTAGTGTTTTGTTTTATTTTATCTATTTTAAATAGCAAATCACAGTTTGCTAATTAAAAATAATAGGCTGTGTGCGATGGCTCATGCTTGTAATCCCAGCACTTTGGGAGCCCTAGGCTGGCAGATCACCTGAGGTCGAGAGTTCGAGACCAGCCTGACCAACATGGAGAAACCCTGCCACTACTAAAATACAAAAAATTAGCCAGGTGTGGTGGCGCATGCCTGTAATCCCAGCTACTAGGGAGGCTGAAGCAGGAGAATCACTTGAACCCAGGAGGCAGAGGTTGCAATGAGCTGAGATTGCACCATTGCACTCCAGTCTGGGCAACAACAGCGAAATTCCGTCTCAAAAAATAAATTAATTAAAATAATAATAATAATAATAATAATAATAATATGGGATACCATCTGATGTTTTGATACATGTATACAATGTAGAATGATTAAATCAAGCCAATGAACATATTCATATGGTAAAATATTTTCTATTAGATGAGTCTTCTATCTGAAAACAACTATAAAAGCTAAATAAAATTTGGCAGAAAAAAACAATTTGAAGATATCAGAGAGCAAACTAGGCATGTGTCATTCAGAAGTGTGTTGTTTAAATTGATCAAATATTTGTAGATTTTCTACACACCTTATTGCTATTGATTTTTAACAAGTAAATTGTGATCAAAGAACATTTTGCATACAATTTCATTTTAAAATGTATTGAAACTTATTTTATAGATCACCATGCAATCTATTTCAGTGTTTTTTTATGTGTACAGCAAGAGAATATGTATACTTCAGTCATTTTGAATCATATTTTATATTTGAAAGTTAGATCAATTTGATTAGTAGCATTGCTCAAATCTTTTGTATTTCTGTGATTTATTTCATATATGTGTTCCAGCAATTATACATATAGAAATTTAAAATATCCAGGAGAGATTTCATTTTGTATATTTCTCCCTTTTATTCTTTTTTTAAATTTTTATTTTTGTTTCAGTTTACATTCTGAAGAACTGTCTTCATACACACTAAAAATTCTTATGATATCCTGATGAATTGACCCTTTTATCCTTATAAAACATCGTATTTTCCCTTATTTATTTATTTATTTTTTTGAGATGGGGTCTCCCTCTGTCATCCAGGCTGGAGAGCAGTGGCACGATCATGGCTCACTGCAGTCTCGACCTTCTGGGGTCAAGCCATCCTCCCACCTCAGCCTTTGGAGTAGCTGGGCCCATAGGCATGTGCCACAATGCCCAGCTAATTTTTATTTCTTGTAGACACGGTGTCTCACCATGTTGCCCAGGTTGATCTTAAACTCCCAGGCTCAAGTGACCCGCTTTGGGCTCCCAAAGTGCTGTGATTACAGGTGTGAGCCACTGCACCCGGCCTTATTTTCTCATTTTATCTATGGTATTATTCCTTGTCTTATAGACTACTTTGTCTGATATTAGAATGCACATTATAACTATGAGTTTAACGTGTATATATTCATATTTATCCCTTTACTTGCAACATGTCTTTACATTTAGTGTGTTCTTCTGTTAGATTGTATATAACTGAGTTTTGATATTTATCCAGCCAATCTCCTTTCATATGTAATTTTTAGTAGGTTTGCATTTGATGTAATAAATTATGTATAGTTGGGTTTAAATCTACTACCTTGCTGTTTGTTTCCTGCATATCTCATCTGTTTTCTGTAGTCCCTTTGGCTAATTGAATATATTTTAATGTTTCAATTTATTTCCTAATTGCTTCTGATCTTTGAACTATTCTCTAATTCTCACCCTAAGGGTTAAACAATTCATTATCACTTCTTGTAAACTACTTGGAATTAATATTATATGATAAGTATGTAATAGCAAAATTTCTTTCACATGTATCCTGCCCTTTATGTTATTGTCATATGTTTTACATCTAGAAGTATTATAAATTCCACAACAAAATTACATAATTATCTTTTTACAGTTAGTTGGCAATTAAAGAAATTAAAAAGAAAAAGCTGTCTTTCACATTTATCCATGTACTTATTTTATATGCTGTTTCTTATTCCTTCCTGTGTACCTGAGTTGCTATCTGGTGTCATTTCACCTCAAGAAGAGCTCCTATTAACATTCTCTATAGTGCAGGTAAATTGGGAATGAAAACTCTCTACTTTTGTTTCTTCATGATTTTTAAAGGATTCTTCTGCTGGATGTAGAATATGGGATTTACATTTTCTTTCCTTCTAACACTTTAAACATATTACTTCACTCCTTCTGGAGGTCTTTATTTCCAAAGCCACACCAGGGAAATTATTATCAGTATTGTCCTGTGTGAAGTGTCTTATTCTGTCTGTTTTTAAGATTTGCTCTTGTTGTTTGATTTTCAGCAGTTTGATTTGGATGTAGGCATGGCTTGCTTTGTATTTAACATGCTTGAGTTTTGCTGAGCCCTTGCGTCTGCATGTTGATGGGTTTTTTTAACCAAATTAGAATATTTTCATCCATATTTCTTCTAATATTGTTTCTTCAGTACTTTTTCTCTACTCTCCTGTAAGGACTCCAATTACTTGTGTATGGAATGCTTGACACTTTTCCAAAAGCTAATGTAGAAATGTGTGTTTTTTCAACGTTTTTCTTCAGATTGAATGATTTATGTTTACCTATCATAGAAATAATTCACTCTTTATTTAGCAGCCTTCAAATTCTGCTTAAGTCCCTTATGAACTTTTCATTTCAGATATTATACATATACATATATAATATGTATATATTTACATATAGAGAATATAGAGAGAATTTACATATATAGAATATATACATATAGAATTTATATAGAGAGAGAATATATAGAGAGAATTTACATATATATGTAAATTCTGTCACTGACAATTTTACTATGTGGGTTATCTTGTGGCTGCTGTTGACTACTATATTTCTTGATGATGAGTCATATTTTCACTCTTTCTCACAAGTCTGGCAGTTGTATGATTACTTTCTAGATACTGTGAATGATATGTTGTATCAGTTCTGGATGATGTTTACTTCTTTGTAAAGATTTGTTAATTTTTTTCCTGGAATTTAAATTATGTATTGATCTACTCGATTCTGTCAGGTTTGGAGTTACTTCTTTTAGTTCTAGTTTACTTAAGTTTAGTCTTTTGTCCTAAGGTCTGTCTTTTACTCTAGGTCATGGTCTTGACCCTAATATGGGAGTATTCTGCAATCTTAGTGGCATGTCCAAGGGAATCAAGGAGGTCTCTTCGCTTGGGGTAAGCCAGAACCTCCTTGTTCCCTGGCTCTGAAGACCTCTGCTGCCTCTGCAGAACTTTCATCTCCACAGCAGTCTACTGTAGGCCTCACAGAGTCACACACTGCACATGTGCAGTCTCAGAACCTGCGGCAGATGAATCATGAGGGATCCATATGCAGCCTTCTGGATGCCATGTCTCTATAGGGCCTTGTTTCTGGAAAATTCCAAACAAGTAAGCAGCCAGGAATTCTGATCTTTCCTTCATTGGCTCAATGAGATTGTTTTGTCCAGTTCAGTGACTTTCTTCGTATGCTGTTCTCTGAAAAGGGCTCCCAGTCAAGTCCTGGGGTGATTATGCAGCTGGCTGTGTGTTTCCCTTATCTGAAAGGTCACAATGTGCCTCAAAACCAATACCATTACCATTATATATAAAAAACATATATTTAAGAAATCAGGAAATTTTGGAATCAATAACTAGATAAAATAACATAGCTGAGAAGGGCAGACCCTTCCTAAGTGAGCTGAAGATGGTGAGCTGTTGTTTTTTTCTGACACAGGAATCTTGGATACAACTGAGGATTGAATATGCCTAGGCAGAAAGATTCTCCTGGGGAGAAAAAAAACCAGGAGAGCTTTAGAAAGTCATGTATGTTGATGTAACAGATTAGAATTTTAGTCTCAAATGCATGAGTGGTTTTCCTAAATACAATGCTAATTAGTATCTGCATTACTGCTTTTGGCATTAAGAATATAGTTTCTTAATAGTTTTTATATATTTAAAACAATGTATCTTTGTCAGTTCACTAGGATATACCCGAGTCAATAATTTTTTAACTCCTGAAAACCAGCACATTACTGATTCCAGGAGCCATTTTTTTAATCTCCATATATTCCTTTGATACTTTATCTATTCCTACATTCTAAAATAGTTCTATTACACAGATGGACCCTTCCTATTTATCCAGTCAAACCTTGTCTCCAGATAAGGTATGCTTTGTCTAATATCTGTGGAACACATGGAGTGACATAACCTGCCAGCTGTCAAGCAATATATTCAAAGTGAACCTCTCATGTCTCCCTCATCTTTCAAAGCGATTAATGGCTTCTTTATTCTGTAAGTCACCCAGATTCACTATTTTGCAGGTGTCTTTGATTCCTTCTAAATCCCTCCTAAATTATCAAGTGGGTCTTTCCCTCCTGTTGGCAGTGATGCTGCAACTACTCTTTAATTGTCATAATTTCCATTTTCACTATTACAGGAGTCTTGTTGCTCCACTCACCTCTAGTCTTTTCTTACAATTGATGCTTCTAGATAATTCTTTTCTTTTCTTTTCTTTTTCTTCTTTTTCGAGACAGAGTCTCACTCTGTTGCCCAGGCTGGAGTGCAGTGGTGCAATCTCAGCTCACTGCAACCTCTCCCTCCCCAGTTCAAGCAATTCTCTTGTGTCAGCCTCCCAAGTAGTTGGGATTACAGGCGTCTGCCACCACACCCAGCTAATTTTTGTGTTTTTAGTAGAGATGGGGTTTTGCCTTTTTGGCCAGGCTGGTCTCGAACTCCTGACCTCAGGTGATCCACCCACCTAGGCCTCTCAAAGTGCCGGGATTATAGGCATGAGCCACCACCTGGCCTGGGTCTTGTTTTTTTTATCCAGCTTGCTACTCTGTGACTTTTAAGTGGGACATTTACGCCATTTATATTCAAGGTTAGTATTGATATGTGCAGATTTGATCCTGTCATTTTGTTGTTAGCTGGTTATTATATTAGCTTGTTCGTGTGGTTGCTTTACAGTGGCACTGTGTGTTTAAGTGTGTTTTTGTATTAGCTGGTAGCAGTCTTCCCTTTCTATATTTAGTGCTCCTTTCAAGATCTCTTGTAAGGTAGGTCTGGTGGTAATAAACTCCTTCAACAAATGCTTATCTGAAATGAGTCTTATTTCTCCTTCATTTAGAAAGCTTAGTTTGGCTGGATATGATTTTTTTTTTTTTTTTTTTTTTTTTTTTGAGATGGAGTGTCCCTCTGTAACCCAGCCTGGAGTGCAGTGGCATGATCTCAGCTCACTTCAACCTCTGTCTCCTGGGTTCAAGGGATTCTCCTGCCTCAGCCTCCCGAGTTGTTGGGATTACAGGCACCCACCACCATGCCTGGCTATTTTTTGTAGTTTTAGTAGTGACAAGGTTTCACTATGTTGGCCAGGCTGGTCTCAAACTCCTGATCTCAAGTGGTCCACCACAATTCCCAAGTGCTGGGATTACAGGTGTGAGCCACCATGCCTGGCCCACTAGATATGAAATTTTTGGTTGAAGATATTTTTCTTTAGGAATGTTGAATATAGGCCCCTAATATCTTCTGGCTTGTAGGGATTCAGATGAGAGGTCCTCTGTTAGCCTGATTGGGTTCCCTTTGTAGGTGATGTACCCTTTCTCTCTGGCTGCCTTTAACATTCTTTCTTTCATTTTGACCTTGGAAAATCTGATGATTATTTGTCTTGGGGATAATTTGCAGGGGCTCTCTGTACTCCCTGAATTTGACTGTGGGCCTCTCTAGAAAGGTTGGGAAAGTTTTCACAGAATATCCTGAAATATGTTTTCCAAATTCTTTGCTTTCTTCCCATCCCTTGCAGGGATATCAATAATGGAAAGATTTGGCCTCTTTTCATAATCCCATACTTCTTGGAGATTTTGTTCATTCCTTTTTATTCTTTTTTCTTTTTTTTCTGACTGCCTTATTTCAGAGAACCAGTCTTCAAGTTCCGAGATTCTTTCCTCAGCTTGGTTTATTCTGCTGTTAATGCTTGTTATTGCATTGTAAAACTCTTGTGTTATTTAGCTCTGTCAGATCTGTTGGGTTCTTTTTGATACCGGCTATTTCATCCTTCAGCTCCTGTATTGTATTACTGTGATTGTAGTTTCCTTGCATTGGGTTTTGTTATTCTCCTGAATCTCGATGATCTTTCCTATCCAAATTCTGAATTCTATTTCTTTCATTTCAGCCCAGTCAGGCTGGTTAAGAACACTTGGAGAACTAGTGCAGTTGTTTGGCAGACATGTGGCACTCTGGCCATTTGAGTTGCTGGAGTTTTTGTGTTGGTTCTTTCTCATTTCTGCATGTGGGTATTCCTTTAACTGCTATGTAGATTGATTACAGTCAATAGACTTCATTTCTTGATATTTTTTACAGGGCCCAGGCTTTGTGCAGGGTCTTTATTTGGAGTTTTTTGTCTTTGGTTTCAGAGGGGCCATCTTAGCCAGGTATTTTTGGTGTTGAGCTTTAGGGTGTGATCCACTGGTGATACTTAGGTGTGTTGGTTGGTTGTTAGACTCTTGCTTAATTGTGTGGCTCCCCTGTTTCCTCACAGTTGCAGCCGTGTTCCCTCTCAATGTTCCGAAAATGTGGGTTCCTCTCCCCCTTGAGTGCTGGCTTTAGATCATGGCTTGGCACTTCAGGGCTGCCCACTGCAGCTCTGGGGCAATCTCAGTGTTTATATTTCTTCCCCAAGGAACAGAGGCAGGCATAGAGGAAGGTACCCTATTAGTAGTTGTGGCCAAGGGTCTTTTGTCTGCCTTCTGGGGGCTCCACCCCAGAGAGACGCAGGTCCACAATTGCTCAGTGCAATCACCCCAGAATGGAGGGCCTTTGCTATGGGCCCAAACCAAGGGCTTCCTGTCTAATAACAAGCAGTGAGGTATGTGGGAGTCCCATGGGAGATGGACTGGCCTCCTCTCCTTGGGTAAATTGCCGCTTGTTGGCAATGTGGATAAGACCCTTAGGGTCTTTGCTTCTTCATTAGTCCGAGGGTGGCAAGGGCAATGCCACTACAGAGGCAGTGATAGACAAGCTTTCAGCTGACCCTGGGGGCTCTGTCTAGAGAGTTGCCGAGCTGCTACTAGCTCAATAGCTCTGGGAGGGCGGTGACTACAGGCCCAGGGCGGGAGAACCTGCCCAGTAAGGAGATAGGGGAACAGGCATCCATTTAACAGTTGGTTCACTTTTCTGCAGGCCTGCTGTGGTATGCTGGGGCCCCACTCCAGTCCCTAATCACCTCAAGTTTTCCAGTACCTGGAAGTATCAATGGTGAAGGCTGTGAAACAACAAAGATGGCAGCCTGCCCCTCCCTCTGGAAGCTCTGTCCCAGGGAAGTACAGACCTGTTGCCAGCCTGAATGCACCTGTAGGAGGTGCCTAGAGACTCTGGTTGGGAGGTCCCACCCAGTGAGGAGGAATGGGACCTATTTTAAAAAGCAGGGACCCATTTTAAAAAGCAGTCTTGCCATGTTTTTGTAGAACAACTGTCCGTGCTGAGGGTCCTCTTCGGCCCATAGGTCACCTCGAACACTCCAAAGCCCAAAGGCCAGAATGGGTAGGTTTCTGGAATGGCAAAGACGGTGGTGGTCTGCCCCTCCCTGTGGAAACTCTGTCACAGGGAGGTTTGAAGCCTCCGTCAGGGAGAATACCAGCAGGGGTAGCTGGAGACCCCAACTGGGAGGTCCTATGATTTTTCTTAAAGGTGGTAAAATATTAGCTTTTATTCCACTGTGAAAGGGGATGATCATCACAAAGACACCATTAAAAATAGTACGAAGAGAAGGAGGCAAAAACAATATATAAATTATAATGTCATAATGAATATATTCAATAATTCAACAGAAAGTCAAAACAAAGCAAAAAAACAGAGCAGACAAACATAAAACCAACAATAAAATGGTAGGCATAAATCTAACTACATCAAAAATAACTCCTATTAAAATACAGGAATTATCAGATTGGGGCAAAAATCAATTATATGCTATCTCCAATACAATCACTTTAAATACAATGATTTGAATAGGTTAAAAATAAAAGGATGTAAAAAGATACACGATACAAACACAAATTATAAGAAAACTGCTACCGTAATTTTAAGATCAAAGTAAATTTCAGAATAAGGAAAATTACGAGGGAGGAGCATTATAAAATGATGAAAGAGTAAGTTCACCAAAAACCATAAATGTCCTCAGTGTACGTCCCTAAAACAGAAGTTCAAAAAACATGAGGTAAAATTAATAAAGCTGAAGAAGAAATATTCAAAGCACAATTATATTTGGAGACTCTTCTCTATCAGTAATTGGTAGGACAAAAAGACAAAATTAGCAAGCATTTAGCAGTCATGAACATCATAGGCCAACTGGACCTGACTGTGATGTTACAGTAGGTAGCCTGGAGCAAGGCAGGAGAGGGCTCCCCACAACACACACACCAGGAGTGTTGGGCAACCATCAGGTGATGGTCAGGCGGTTGTTAACCGTTTCTCTAAAGTAATAATTGGTCATGGCTGGCACCACAGAAAGGCAGTCTCCTAATAGGTAGAAAACACTCGAAACTGATCAGCAGCTTCCCAATAAGATCCCGGAGTTATGCCAACCTATAGAACCCCAAGTCAAGAGGTCAGGCTATGCACTTGACTTCTCAAGTTGCCTGCCTGGCCCTTGAGAAACCAAGTGCACAGCTTGACCTCTTGTACTTTCAAGTTGTACTTTCCTTCTTTTCTTTCCTTACTGTTCTAAAGCCTTTTAATAAATTTTCATTCCTGCCCTGAAACTTGCGGCAGTCTCTTCTTCTGCTTTATGCCCCTCAGTCAAATTCTTTCTTCTGAGGAGGCAAGGACTGGAGTTGCTGCCAACTCACACAGATGCACCACAGGTAACTTTGGATAACTTGGATGTCTTCCACCGCTAACAGTGATGGTTAATTTTATGTGTCTATTCGGCTAGGTGATGACACCCAGATGTTGGTCAAATACCAGTGTAGATATTGCTATGAAGGTAGATCTTAGATTGATTAACATTTAAGCCAGTAGACTTTGGGTAAAGCAAATTATCTTCCGTAATGTAGATGGGCCCTATCCAATTAGTTGAAAGCCCCTGGAACTGGTAGGAATTGTGCCTCCCAAACTACAATATCAGCTCTTGCCAGAACTTCCAGCCTGCAGCCTGCCCTGTGAATTTCAGACATGTCAGCCCCACAGTTATGTGATCCAACTATGTATATAAATATCTCCTATTGGTTCTGTTTCTCTGGATAACCCTGACTAATACGCTGAGATTTACAGAACAGTCCAGCCAACAACAGCAGAATATACATTCTTTGCAATGTACATGGAAAGTTCACCAAGATAGACAATATTCCATAAAGTGGGCCACAAAACAAACTTTTAAACCTTAGCAATTTAAAATAAAGGAAACCACAGAAGGTGTTCAGAGACCAAAAGGTAATTAAACTAGGAACCAATAATAGAAAGGTATCTGGACAATTCCATATACTTGGAAGTTTACACACTTTTAAGTAAACTATGGAGACTTCGGCTTCTGAGATAGAGTGATAGGGACCAATTTACTCTCCCACCTGAAAAACAACTAAAAAAAAACTTGATAAAATATATGAAACAGGTTTCAAGACACTGCACATCAGGCAATGAAGGAATGTGAGCTCTTAGAAATGAGAAGCAAATGAGGTGTGTCCTTTGAGTGCTCTCGTTTATTGCTTTGAGAGTTTCCAGACCACAGGGCAGGAACGGAGAGCACAAGTGGAAGGGATGGAGATTTTTGTGGAGAGTCCGTGGAGACCAGACTAGAGTTCCCAGGGCAGCGGATAGGAGAGGAGAGAGCTGCATGGAGAAACAGCTCCCTAGACCTGCAGAAGAGCCCTCACGAGTGTTCAGGACAGCACTGTTCAGCACAGGTATACGAGGAAGCTACCTGAGGCTGGGGAAGGAAACAGACAAAAAGATTTGAGCCAACAGTATACAGATTAGTTCCCATTCCCACCAGCCAGAGGAAACACCTTACAATTCACAGGGCATTTAGTAGAATGCTCAGAAGGATCCTGTTCTTTTGGAGACCAGAGAGCTTTCTTTAAGTAATTTGTCTCCCGTCTGCATTTCCATTGGAAAGAGGATGTATTTCTTTTAACAAATAAATGATTTCTTAAATTTTTGTTAAGAGGAAGTTCTTTGGAATCCTCTCAATGGTCATAATTAGGAGATGCATGCCATACTCAAAATGAGACCTGTTCTGTCTTTCCATGCCCTGAAGCCTTTGAATTCCTGCTTCTATATCATACCAGTAGATTTCTGATGGATAATCTGCTTTCACATGGTTCAATAATAGGTTTAAGTTTGCACAACAACCTAGACCATTGTTATAATTCATGCTCATTAGAACTAACACATTGAATGTAGCCTCTATGATTAAAACACTTATGGAAGCACTTATTCTCATCTAAAATATGTTCACATTTCCTTAGTTGAGCCACCTCAAAACTCATTCCCATAAATATCCTCAGATATGACCCAATATTAATTAGCATATCACTGCTATTCTTTGTAAATATTGACTTTTTCTTCTCTATTCTAATTCTGCATTTAATTACCAGTGAGAGCTTAGATAGAATTACTAGTCTACAAAAGAGCTCTGTTGGGTGGTAGGTTAACAGTTTAGCAGGCCTGGAAGGAATGAGATGAAAACATGTCTCAGCCAAGGGTATAGGATGCTCAGGGCCTGCCCCTTCTTTCTGCTTCCTGCTTTCCCCTTCTCCTGAGTCAGGACCCTGATTCTGAGAAGTTTTCAATTCATCTGCCCTAACCCATCACACACTGGTTCAAGAACCTGAGCACTCACCTAATTTTCTGAATTGCAGCTGCTCAGTAATCATATTTCCTGATTCAACTACTTAATAAGGTTTATGAAAATCTTTCTCAAGAAAAGGATAATTCATTAAAATAACTTACATTAATTTTTTAATGAAACCCTTATTTTACCATTCTCACACTCATTGATTGCATTTTTTAAATTTGTAAGTCTAACAATCCAAAAATCACTTTATAATGGCTACATAAATGATAGTAAAACTTTGTTGTGCCATATGCCAACATTCCAATTAAACTATTCTGTTTTCTCAGATGTATAAATCAATTATGATTAACTATTAATTGATGAGGTCTTTTTAAAAAAGAAATAACAAAAATAATAAAATACTCTTATAATAGACATACTATTGCATTATCTGGAGGACACAAATGGAATGAAAAAATATTTCTTTACAGAGAGTATAAGATGCTGAATTATATTTTTCTAACTCAGTTACAACAGTAGAAAAGAATAATGTAATCAATATCTGTAAGAGACTACTTTATAATGGGCAGCATATTATACTAGCTCAGTTGAAGTATCTCTGCTGAGAAGTCTGTTTATCCTTCATCTGATTTAATTGGGTTGTTTTTCTTTAAACGTTGAGGCAAAGTTTGCAAATTTAGATAATGAAATAAACGTACTATGGTTTTGCCTCATTTGTACTTTGCCACAGCTGATTAAGCCTTCTGATTATAATTTCTGTATTTGTCTTTAGCAGAACAGCAGAACTATGAAACATATTGCCTAAATTGAATCTGTGTTACAAAAATTTTAGGGATAATTAACGAAATTCTCTGTAGGGTATAAAACAACAATAGTTTTAACTAGATTGAATAGAATACATATACATCTATTCGAAATTGTTGTTTCAGGTAGCAAACTTGTTAACCATGTTGATCTGCATTTTTAGTACTTAGTTGCTATAAATAATAAAGCAAAGTCAAAAGTATTCAAAATGCCCTCAAATTTATTTTAAATAGTATAAGGTAGGCACACACCCTGCTGAGCTTCAGTTATATGAACACAATTAACCATATTTCACTAAAGTAATTCTTTGCTAACGGAAGAATATCATTTGCATTCTTTTCTCCAGAGTACAATGGTTCAAAATTTGAAAATCAATTAATGCATTGCACCATAACAAGAGTTTAAATTTAAAAAAATGTATATACCCTGCAAATATTCATAAAAAGGACTGGATGAAATCTCATAGTCATTTCCAATTTAAACTCTCAGCAAACTAGAAACTATATTAATCAAAATAGTGAGGCATAAAGATACACAAATCAGTTAATGGTACAGAACTCAAAAACAGGTTTTCACATATGCCGAGTGATTTTCAACAACGGTACAGAGGCAATTTAGTGGATAAAGGATAATCTTTCAACAAATAGTACTAAACGAGTGAATAAAATTATGCCAAAAGAAAATAAAAAAAACAAGTAAAATGTCTTACTTTGTATTCTGTTGCTCCAACAAAATACCATAGTGAGTATCTATTTCAAAATATTATTTTTTACATTTATGGAATCTGCAAGGTTCAAAAGTATGGCACTGGCAACTGGTGAGGGCCTTCTTAGTGCATGATAACATGGCAGAGGGCATCACATAAGGCATGAGAGCGAGAGTGTGTATCAGCTCAGGTCTCCCTCTTTTTGTAAAGCCACCAGTCCCATCATGGAGGCCCCACCTTCATGACCTTATGCAATCCTAATTACCTCCCAATGGCCTCACCCCCAATCAACACAGAAATTTGGGGATTATGTTTCTAAAACATGAAATTTGAGGGACACACTCAAACCATAACACAAAACAAAACAAAACAATGCAATGACAAAAACTTTGATACACACCTCACACCATATACAAATATTAACTTAAAATGAAACATAGACTTAAAATATACTACTTGAAAATATAAAACTTTTGGAAGCAAAGATAGAAACTTCATGTTCTCAGATTAAGCAAATATTTCTGAGATATGATATCAAAATCATGAGCCATAAAATTTTAAGAGATGATAAATTGGACTTCATCAAAATTAATATTTGTTATTTTGCAATAACAGAAAGAGCCAAAATCACACCACTGCACTCCATCCTGGGTGACAGAGCAAGACTCTGTCTCAAACAAACAAAAAAAACCCACATATCTGAAAAAAAACCTTATATCTAGAATATATAAAGAATACTTAAAAATCTAAAAAATGAAACAAAATTTAAAAGCATACCTAATTTTAAAAAATGGGCAAAAGATCTGAATAAGTGCTTAACCAAATAAAATATATATCTGGAAATTCTGGACCTTAAAAAGTGTTCATCATCATTAATTATCAGCGAAATGTATACTAAAGCCACAATGAGAAGATACACTGAGCAGAATGCATGAAATTAAAAAGACTGACCATACCAAATGTTGACAAGGATGTGCAGCACTTGGGACTCTCATACCCAGATGATGAAAATGTAGAATGGTGCAACCACTTTGGAAAACAGTTTGGTGGTTTCTTAGAAAGGTAAGCATACCATATGACCAGATGGCCCAGCAATCTTACTCTTAGGTGTTAAACCAAGGTAAATGAGAACTTCTTTACACAAAAACCTGTATGTGAATATATATAGAAGCCAAAAACTTTAAATAAAACAAATATCCATCAAAAGGTGAATGGATACATCAATTGTGGTATATCCACACAATGAGATACTACACAGTAATAAAGAGGAATGAACTATTGATACATACAAAAACATGCATAAGCCTCAAAATAATCATACATTAAAGAAGCCAGAGAGTAAAGAATACATACCATTGATTACATACATATGTAAACTTCTAGAAAAAGCCGACTCATCTGTAGTGATAGAAAGTAGATCAGTGGATCCAAGAAGAGCTGGGGGAAGCAGTTAGAAAAGTGTGAGAAGGAACTCTTTAGGTGACAATACTTCAATTATCTTGATGGTAGGATGGCTTCACAAGTATTTTTGTATGCCCAAATCCAAAAACATCTGGAGTCCAAAAACATTTCTGGTGTTAAGCATTTCAGATAAGGAATACTCAATCTGTAGTAACGAATGAAGGGGATAACCTTTGAACAGTTTTCACCTGCTTAACTATTTTTTTCCTGTAATAATTCACTCTTCATTACTCCAGTATAAAATTTCTTTCTCTCCATCACTGGAGAGTCATTAGACCATCTCTATCAAAATCACTAGGGAGATGAATAGCTTTGTTTAAGATTCTAGAAAACTAGACCTACTATCATATTATGGGATATGGCCCAGGGATTTGAATTTTAATAAATATCCAAAATAGTTCTTTTTCATATTAAAATTTGGGAGACACTAATCAATGTGTTTTTCATCTGTTTTTTTTTTCTTTAATAGGATCTTCATGTTGTAGATGTATGTGAAATTGGCCAAAATTTTCATCCCTGTTTATATAAACATTCTTTGAAATGTGACTTTGCAGCTCCTCCAATCAACAGCTAGAATCTGTTTCCCGACCTCTTGAATCAGACTTGCTTTGGCCAATCAATTGCTGTGGAAGTGGCAGTATGCCAGTTTCAAGCCTAGGCCTTAAAAGGACTTGGGCACTTTCACTCTCCTGGAGCCCTCCCTGCAGGATGAGAGGTTTCAGGATAACCTCGCCTTCATAATCAAAATCCACCCCTTTGCTGTTAACCTAAATACACATATCATTTACGTACTTTCACAACTTCAGACTCTCATCTGACTCTTAATAGGCTTGCAACCTTTCTGTGTGTCTTTGTATCATTGTGACTATACTTTCAGTTTAAAGTATTTGTAGCACGGTTGTATGACTATAGAATCTATATACTCCAAACTGGTTTTCAGTAGCTCCAAATTCGTCTTAAAGAAACTACTTATTAATTGAATATGTTTAAATTTATAATATGATGCAACCATATACTATCTGGGAAGGAAGAAATAGCAATAAAATTTCCTCCTTGGCCATGGACTCTTCTCTGCTACACTTTTTGACTTGACAAATTCAGTCACTTATTTACTCAGTTCAGATAACTCCAAAATCTGTATGTCCAACCATGGTTTCCCTTGGAAGCATCTGATACACTGTACCAACTACAGTATGTCCTCACTGAATGTTGTCTACAGGTTCTTGGAAACTGTTCCTTTAAGCAAAATAACTATAAGGAAACCAATTTGACCACAGGCTATTTGATCCAAACAAAAGTGAAATTCCTATGGCATATTTCTGGTTGCAAAAACATCACCAAACTTCTAAATAAAGACCCAAAACACTTCTGACATTGAAACAAATGTGAACTATACATACATTTAAGAATGATTAATAAAAACAAGTAAGATCATGATTTACCCAATTATTCCAGTTCAGGGTTGCAGGTGGCCAGAGCCTATCCCTGCAGCTCAGGATGCCAGGCAGGAAAATGCCCCGGACAGGATGCCATCCCATCACAGGGCGCACTCACACCCACACCACTCTCACTCACACTGGGACTGTGTAGATGTGCTGATGAACCTAACAGGCACATCTGGATGTGGGAGGAAATCAGAGGACCTGGAGCAAACCCAGGCAGGCCTGGGGAAAGCATGCAGACCCCACACAGACAGAGGCCCTGGCTGGAAAGTGATGGGTTTTTTTTGTTTGTTTTTTTAATCTAATTCACATTCTAGTGAAAAAACCCTGGATGAAACAATCTTATTCAAAGTCCTGCTGTACCTATTACCTATTTAGACTTTGAATTCTGTAGGCATCTGTCAAAGTATAAATAAAATACATGGTTATATTTGGGCTTAATAAACTTTTAGCTTTACTTTTTCAAGACATTGTTTAAACTTTTATGAAAATCATGTTATGGCACAATGCAATTTTTTCTCAAACAAAGCAAAGTATATATTTTTTGGAAATGTCATAGCTCTAAAGATTAAACCTCCATGACATAAATAAAGCAATTTGATAGCAAGAGAATGCTTAGAGAATTTTTTATTGAATTTCTGACCTAAGCAACCTACTATTTAATCTTTCAGAGTTAAATTTAACATTTAACAGATTACTTCAACACCTTTATTTAACAGACATACTTTGCCTAGCAATATGGACATTTAATCTGTTTGTTTTGTTAACAGAAGTTATGTGCAACACATCTGAATAAACAAAGATATTTTAAGTTTGTGAGATTTGTTTCAAAATTTCCTCTTAATTAAATCTGTTTATTTGCTTTAAAGCTGACTAACATTTCTGATTTTATATTTTCCTTTTTCAAAGAGAGATTTATAGAGCGATTTCTATGCTCAAAAATACTGATGAGTTTAAAACACAGTATTTCATTTTCTCCAGCAAATCTGAAGTAGAAAATGTTTTCTCTTTTAAAAAGCATTTAACTTGTGGGATGTTCTTTTCACATATCCTCTGTTTATAAATATTTACCAAATAAATGAAGAATAAATACTTTGTTTTTCAAATAAACAATATTGTTTTCATAATATTTATATAAATGACCAATAAATGCAAATAATAATAATAGCAATGCCAGAAAGAGATGCAATAAACAACTTTGATGATTTCAGTCACTAATTCCAAGTTGAGAACTTGATAATGCAGCAAATAATATCCTCATATGGTCTGCATAACAGTTTATTTTAATAACATCTGCAATAGTTTATTTTACAAAGTACAAAGTGCTTCTATGTAATGGCGGGAGACAATTTTTAGGTAGACTGATAATGGGGATGAATTGCCAAGGAGACAAAAACCTCTTCCTTTCACCATTTACATGCATACAATATTTCTGCACTCTAGATCCTCAACAAGTCAGATTACATGTAATCAAAAAATGCCAGGTTTTCAAAATAGTACCCCAACGTGGAGCATTCTGTAAACAACATAAGGACAAAGACCAAGTGGCTTTCTTTCTAATTTTAATATTATCCTTGATACCAAAGATTCTTTTTGTTCATGAATTAAAGTGAGGTGCAGATGGATAGGAGAATAACACAGGGTTAAAATAGTGATAATAAAAAATGTCCTTATTTTGTTTGTGAAATGGTTTATTTTAATAATACTTCTGGATAAATGGTGTGGTGTTTGGCTGCAAATGTCAGTTAATATTTGAAGAAGCCCAATCAGAAACTCCAGAGAGTAGGAGTGTTAAATAGCATAAAGTTTGCTTTCAGCAGAAATTAACACTGTCAGGCATGATTACTTTTCACCCATGGAATGAAATAAAAGTCCAGCAAACATGGAGGTTTTAAGACCATCATTTGTAGCCTTCTACATTCAGAGTCCCTGCATCCCTCCAATCGATGGAGGTCCAATCGTCAGATTCATTTATAAGTATGGACTCTGGCCACTAGACAGTAGTCATGCCTACCTTCCTGCACTTTCTGTGCAAGGGATTAGTTGGAATGCCTGAGGCGCAGAATGGAATCTCCCTATACTTCAGTGTCTGACTGTGTTTGTGCCCACTTGTTAACATATTATAGTAACACATTTTTGGTATGGCAGAATTAGATTGAGGGCTCTCTCTCATTGTAATTTATCACTTGGTAACAAGGTTATGGGAAAAAGGACTGCATAGATGCCAAATTGCTTAACCCTAAAAATGATGAATATTTAAAAAAAGGTCTTGACATTTGCTAAATGACTAAATTGACTAGGAGAAAGATAGCTGAGAATTAAAAATAACATTTCTGTTAGTTCTGCTGACATAGACTTTCCAATTGACTGGTGAAAATGATTATTAACAGTTAACAACAGAATCTTCTAATGAATAAATATATAATTGACTTGATTGCTCTATATGTGTACAGCTGTCTTTCTATATTTCTTCATCTGTTATTTTATGGGGTGAAGTAATCAATGATTATAATTCAGTCATCAAGCATGCATTGTGTTGCTAGTGTGTGCTGAAGAGTATGCTAGAAAATGTAATTAACATGTGAGTCCTTCTCAAAAAAAAAAAAAGATGTGAGTCCTGTCTTAAGGGCATTTATAAGATGGGAAATGAGACAAGCAAAGTGGCAGGTAATACGTAATATAAAACCAGGAAAAGGCCAATTATGATGTTTTGAAGAAAGCATTGTAGGGAAGCAAAGTGCACAGTGTTCTCTAATTCCCCATACTGGAGAATCATAAAAGTTTTCACGGTAAAGCTATATGAATGGATGAGTAAGAGTTTTCTAAGCAAAGAGGGATTAAGGAAAGGTCCTCCAAATAACAGAAATAGCATAGCTCCCTAATAAGAACTCTTAATTCAGAGATGATAGGAAGCTCAAAGTTGCTATAATATGGGAGAGAAAGATGTGAGAAGGAAAAGGGGACACGCTAGAAATACAAGAGGACTTCAAAAAGTTTGTGGAAAAATTGAATTAAAACATAAAAATATAAGCTTTACTTCTCAACATAAGCTTCATCAAGTTCAAGACATGTGTGAATTTGTAAGTGATGATGCCAGCCATGTAGTCCTTACCTAAGGAACTGAGGGTCCTGGGAATTTCACCATGTCAATGCAGTCCTTTTAAATTTTTAACTGAAGTAAAATTGATGCCACTTACAGGCTATTTTAAGATTAGGAAACAAAAAGAAGTCACAAGGAGCCACATCACGACTGTAAGATAAATGCCTAACAATTTCCCATCAAAATGCTCTTAAAATTGCCTTTGTTTGATGAGAGGAATGAGCAGGAGCATTGTTGTAGTAAAGGACTCTCTTGGCCAGACACAGTGGCTCATGCCTGTAATCTCAGCACTTTGGGAGGCCGAGGTGGGTGAATCACCTGAAGTCAGGAGTTCCAGACCAGCCTGGCCAACATGGTGAAACTCATCTCTACAAAAATACAAAAATTAGCCAGGCATGGTGGCACACGTCTGTAATCCCAGCTAATCAGGAGGGTGAGGCAGGAGAATGGCTTGAACCTGGGATGCAGGGGTTGCAGTGAGCGGAAATGGGGTGATTATACTCCAGCCTGGGTGACAGAGTGAGACTCGATCTCAAAAAAACCAAACAAACAAGCAAAAAACTCGCTAGTGAAGCTTTCCCAATTTTTCTGCTAAAGGTTTGGCTAACTTTCTCAAAACACTCTCATAATAAGCAGATGTTATCATTCTTGGTCCTTCAGAAAGTTGACAAGCAAAATGTCTTGAGCAACCCTCAAAAAATCCCTCAAAAAACTTGCCTCGATCTTTGCTCTTGACTGGTCCACTTTTGCTTTCACAGGACCACTTCCACGTCTTAATGTTGCAGGACTCTTCCTGAGCTTAGCTAAAGATGGGCTCCTTGTCCCACGGCCATGAAAGTTTAGGCTCACAGGCGGTGTGAAGAGCTTGAAAAGCAGGGTTTCACTGGGTGAAAAGGAAGAACAGGGGGTAACAGGGACTCTACAAAAGGACAGAGTCCCTGCTAGAGTGCTTCCTGCCTCGCAGTTGGAATCCCACGTCCCACACATGATTGCAGCTCCTTTCTGCTGCAATCGGCAGGAACTTCTATGGTTCCACCCCAGTGTGCCTACTCTTCCCAGTGTGGAAGTCAGTTGGAGTTTTGCCAGGGATCCCTCCCACGTGGCTGTCTCATTCCCCACTCTAACGAAGTACATCTAATTGGCCACTAGAATAAGGATAAGGATGAAGACTGATCTTAACTGCTTCTTGCTGACAGTGGAGAAACGGCAGCCAGAGCTCCCTCAGAGGTCTATCTAAGGGTTCCCAGCAGAAGAGGCCATTGTCAGAGTCTCCAGTTGCATGACCATTGGAGTTTGATGGCCTGAAGGCAAGAACAGACAAACCGCGTTATTAGGAAACGTGTCAAAACATGTGTCAAACGGGAAAGGGTAATGGCAGCTCAAAAATCCTGAGGCCTTTTACCAGTTTGCACAGGGAAAGGGAGGCCAAAACCTGACAGGCAAAATAACTTTACTCTTTTGCTGGCATGTTGGGCTTCTGGATTCCCTTCCCCTGAGCCCAATCTTTTTTTTTTCTTTTTTTCTTTCCTTTTTTCTTTTCTTTTCTTTTCTTTTTTTTTTTTTTGAGATGGAGTCTCGCCCTGTCACCCAGGCTGGAGTGCAATGGTGCGATCTTGGCTCACTGCTACCTCCAACTCCTGGGTGCAAGCGATTCTTCTGCTTCAGCCTCTTGAATAGCTGGGATTACAAGCATGTACCACCATGATCAGCTAATTTTTGTATCTTTAGTAGAGACGGGGTTTTACCATGTTGGCCAGGCTGGTCTTGAACTCCAGACCTCGTGATCCACCTGCCTCGGCCTCCCAAAGTGCTGGGATTACAGGCGTGAGCCACCATGCCCAGCACCTCTGAACCCAATCTTAAACCAACCAGTTTAAGGTTTGGGAAATTAGTTCTTTCTAGTTTGAAGGATACATCTGAGTGGAGTAACCTGTAGTATGGAGACACAATTACCTATCAGTGAAGAGAGGACAGGAGGAGAGAGGACAGGAGGAGAGAGGAAAAAGAAGGTGTTTTTCAAAGGAGCTCCAGGGGTTCAGGATGCATTTGAAATGGGTGGAGACTGAAGATGAATGGCTACCCATCTAGAAAGAGGAGAGCAGGCATCCCAGTTTCTCATTTCTTCCTAGTAGATACCCTGGGAATGTGAGGGAGAGAAGGAAGAGTGTCCTCTTTCCCTCTTCCATCCTTCCATCCTCGAGTTCTGGTGACCTTGGCATGTCCCCCCTTGAGTGTCAAAGTGGCTTACACCGATGAATCAGGGAGGTATGGGGGTAGGAATCATCTGCTCTTACCCATGTACGCCCTATCTCCCCTGTTGTCAGTAGCCTTGAATTCCCTAGAACTCATTTATGCCATGGATACTAGCATGGCATTTATCCCTAAAACAGGAAGCTTGGGCTTGGCTTAATTGGCAGGAATTAGCCATGTTCACCTGCGCTGTGCCTTTTAACTTCTGTTGTCTGCCTCTGGATCCCTTTGATCCAGCTTTCCTTCCTAGGGCTTTTACCCGAAGCTTGGAATTGAGTTTGGGACAAAAATGTGTCTCGGGGGGTTGCATGGACTCCTTATCATAAGGCAAATGCTAAGGTGAAACTGTTGAATTGAGTCCTCCTCCAAAACGGGAAGATGTCTTGTGACACACCCAGATAACTGGTGGCTATAGTCATGCTTGCTAGGATTTGGGTGCCTGGTGCTTGGCTTTGGTTAGCTCCCTTGGTCTTACTTTCCCAAAAGGAAACCTCTGAGTGATGGGCATCCTATTTATTCCCATCACCTGGCAGGATTCACAGGATAATTACTCAGAACTAGACTATCGATCAAAATTTTTTACATTACCCACCCCTCTTGTTTTTTCTGGACTGCAGCTGGAAATTGCTGGTTGGTTCACAGGAACAAGCAGGGTTAGTCTAAGATGTAGGCAAAAACATAAAAATAAAAACAACTGATGAAGTTTTGAAACATAATTTCTCTCTCTCCAGTCCTCATTTTTGTAAAAAAAAAAAAAAAAATGATAGGACTGAATTGTTTGTAAAAGAGACTTTAGTCTTATACTTGGCCTAATTATTTGCATAAAGTACAGCAAGAATAATTATTTCTACATAGGCCTTTTGGATTGGCTTTTATGGAAGTTTGTTCCACAGGGAGTCTTAGATAAGACCTTTTAAAGCCAAGCCTGGCCATGGGTTTGTATCCTCAAATACCTGTGAGGTGGGTGATCCTTTCCTCTTAAAGTCCCAAGATAAACTTTAAGATCCTGGACCTGTTAGAAAGTGACATTCTTTACTCACCATAGGTCAGAAACCCTGTACAGGGACTGTGTAGGCAAGGGTATGAGGCCAGTCTCCCCACTGGGCTTTTATTGGCTCTGCAAGTTGAGCTTGATTTCCTAAAGGGAAGCATAGCCTTCCAGTCAAGGCCTTGGTAAAATAACCATTTTTTCCAACTGTGTCCTGTTGCAAAAGAAAAATGGATTCTTACTGCAATTATGCAAACAACTATATTGCCATAAGTTAAGAATACTCACAAATAGTTCCCAAATTCTAGAGGAACCAGGCAGAGAGAAACAAACTACTCCAAATTTTGATTACAGGAGTATACCTTGCTTAATTATTAAAAGCTGTAAATAGTTCAAAATAAAGTTTCCTTGACTCTGAAAAACAAAACAAGGATCAGCAATATTCTGAGCAAAAGTCAAAAAGTTTGCTTCAGCTTTCTGGGTTCAGTCCATTTAGTTAACTCTTGTTTTGCTTGAAATTCATGAACATTTTAGCTCTTTATGAGTCCTGTACATTTTCCTTTATTCCAATATTACAATCTCTAAGGTTATCAAAAACCTGATTGTCCCATATACAATCAGAAATTGAATTTAAGAGCACCTGTCAGAGTCCTATAGCTCATTATAAACCATCTTTTGAAAAGGATTAAAACTAAGAAAACAATTGTCCATAAATAGCAAAATGTCCAGCATAGTTACAGTTAGAAACACGATTGACGAAGTTTGGTTATCTCCATGGTTAACAATAACTTAACAACCTTAAGAAAACCTTGTTGTGTTTTTATTTTAATGCTCAATTTACAGAAAAACTACATAATGCCTTTTTGAATTTAGTCAATATGTTCACACAGAGAACCTCTTCTTCAAGATTAATCTCCACAATCCTCCTACCACTAGTTTGAACCTTCAGGTTTATCTTATCTAGTTTAAAATAATTGTTTAACCCTAGGCGAAAATTTACATTTCCATGCCTTCTTATAACCTTTTACAAAAAAAAAAGAAAAGAAAACACATTTTACTGTTCTTACACACCTTACATGTAAATCTAATTTCAGTAGTTTTAACTACACATTGTAATGGTAACTCCTAGCAATTGTTAACTTTAAGGTAAAACCTGGTAAGTTGCTTTAATTGTATGCTAACTGCGGCCAAAATTTGCCTTCTTAATTAAGGGTGTGGTTAGTTCCATATGTCCCCAGGTCTTACCAATTGTGAAGTCAAATAGCTTTCAAAACCCAAAAAGCAGTTTTTAACCTTAAAACATTTAGTAAATCTTGCATCTGACCTGCATTATTCATCCCACCTATTTACATTTTAATGACACTTGCCTTTTACCAATAATTTTTAAGGTTGTTTTTATTTCTTAAATATTAAAGTCATGTGAACTGAAAGGTACAAAAGCTTTTGTCTTCCCTTAAAAATATTTAATCCAAGTAGTTGTTTTTCTTTAGGCCGAATCAATTAGAGTCCTTTTTACAACATCACACACACACACACACACACACACACACACACACACACACACACACACACACAGAGACAGGCAGGAGAAAACCCAGTTTCCTGGTGGGGTTCTTTAGGAGACAGGTCTAGGAAAACATGCAGATATCAAACCAGAAAGGAACCTATTCTCTAAGGCAGGACTGCTAAACAAAACCTTGCCACCAGAGTTACAAGCCATGCCCCCAGGATGTAAACAAGATGGCCTGATTTCACAACCAAAACTTTGCAGAAAATATAAACAGTGATAGTTAGGGGTGCCTGTTCTAGTAAAGCATTTTCTAAAAGGAAAGAACGTTAAAAGTTACCTGCTGATGGGGTAAGGAAAAGGATTCCTGAGAGAAGAACCTATTATTCTTATGCAACTGGTTCTTACACCAGGGAAAAAAGTTTAATTACTATCAGATGAAGCTGAAACCCTTCGCAGGGAAAGAGGGAGGATGCAGTGGCGCATGGCTGGGAACCAGCTAGCCAGCTGTGCAGGACCCTTGGGCCATGCGTCCCAACCCCACCAGGGAGGAGGAAGTGGTGAGCAGCTGCTCACCAGTCCATCTCAAAAAAGGAAAGAAAAGGGCATGAAAAGGCCCCCAACTTCTGGGAGTGACGGGGGGTTTGAGTGTAGTTTCCCATAAGATCAGAAGTCTGAGGATGAAAAGGGTTAGAAACCACAGTGAGGAGTTTTGCATCCCCATTTCACTCACCACTTCTTGAGCCTCATGTTGGGTGCCAAAAATGTTACAGAACTTTTCCTTAGTTCAGCTAAAGACGGGGTCCTTGTTCCACAGCCATGAAAATTTAGGCTTGCAGACAGTTTGAAGGATGAGTAAAGCAGGGTTTTATTGGGTGAAAAGGAATACAAGGGGGAAACAGGGACTCTCCAAAAGGACAGAGTCCCTGCTATAGTGCTTCCTGCCTTGCAGTTTGAATCTCTGGTTTTGCACAGGAAGAGGAGGACCAGGCTCTTCTCCCTGCTGCAAATGGCACGGACTTCTGTGGCTGCATCCCATGTGCACTCTTCCCAGTGTCCAAGTCAGTTGGACTTTTTTCAGGGATCTCCTCCCACCTGGCTGTCACATTACTTACCATTGCTTTGAGGGTGCTTTGTTTTCAGGATCATACTGGTAAAGTCAGCAGGAGTTTTATCTCCAGTTACAATTCTTTGAAAAAATGCTTCAGAATCTTGATCTCACTTGTTTAAAATTTCCATTGAAAGCTCTGCTCTTGTCTGCAGTTGATCTGGGCAGAATGGTTTTGTAATCATCGAGTGGAAAGTTTCCTCACCTTTAATTTTTCCATAAAAATTGTGTAAGCTGAACACATTGAGATGTTGATGGTGTTGGCTATTGTTTCTGCTGTTAATCATTTGTTCTCTTCATTTAGGACACTAATGACGTTAATTTTTGTCCTCAAAAATTGATGTGGATAGTCTGCTGCTATGGGCTTCATCTTCAACATCATCTCATCTCTTCTTAAAATGAGTTATCTATTTGTAAGCTGCTGATTTCTTTGGGGCTTTGTCCCTATTAACTTTTCATAAAACATCAATGATTTCACCATTCCTCCACCCAAGCTTCACCATAAATTTGATGATTTTTTTTTTGCTTCAATTTTAGCAAAATTCATGCTGCTCTGATAAGGTCTCTTTTCAAACTGATGTTTTATCCTTCTTAATGCCTCAAACTACATCCTGTTCATACATGTTATAACAAGTTAGTGCAAATTTTGGTGCAAAAAAGTTGAAATTTATGCATGGATATTTCATAATAAGCATCTTCCATATACTTTTTGAAGACCCCTCCTGTAAGCACTCATTCCTCAGTATCCATGGGAGATTGCTTCCAGGACACACCATGAAATTACCTCCCCTCTGAGATCATGATACTAAAATCCACAGATGCTCAAGTCTTTTATATAAAATGGTGTAGTCTTTGCATGTAACCTATGCATATCCTCTTGTATACTTTAAATCATTTCTAGATTACTTATAATACCTAATATAACATTAATGTTATGTAAATAGTTGTTTTACAGTATTGTTTAGAAAATAATGATAAGAAAAATAGTCTGTGCATGTTCAGTGTAGATGCAACTATCCTTTTTTTCCCAAATGTTTTTATCCACTCTTGGTTGAATCCATAGATGCAGAACCCATGGAAACAGAAGGGAAACTAAATGTTAGAATCTGATCATGTGAAGCTTTGGTCACCAAAGAAATGAATGTAAGCAACCTAAGTTCTCACTGTTGCATGAATATATAAAGAAAATATGGCATATACGTGCAATGGAAATTATTCAGCCTTGAAAAATAAGCATATTCTGCCATTTGTGACAACATAGATGAACCTGGAGGACATTGTGCCAAATGAAATAAGGGAGACACAAAAGGATAAATACTACATGATACCACTTACGTGATAAATCTAAAATAGTCAATCTCATAGAAATAGAGTGAAATGGTGTTTGCCAGTGGCAGAGGAGAGAGGGACACGAGGAGATATTAGTTAGATGATACAGTTTCTTATTATATGGGATAAATAGGACCTAGAGATCTCCAGTACAGCATAGTGGCTATAGTTAATAATACTGTTTTGTATACTTAAAAACTTGCTATGAGGATCATTCTTTATATCAACTGTCCTTATCATTAAATAATAATAAGAGGGTGAGAGGCAACTTTTGGAGGTGATGGATAGGTTTATAATATAGATTGTGGTAACAGTTCCATGGGTGTACACTCATCTCCATGCTCGCTGAGGTCTACAGATTAAAAATGTACAGCTTTGTGTATGTCAATCATATCTGAAGGAAGTGGTTTACAGAAAAATAAATAAACAGATACTTTATCTTATCGTGACAGTAAATAATAGTTTTTTAAAAAATGGATAACATAATCAAATCCATAGTTATGGTGACGTGGAGAATGGTTTCAACAGGATTGAGAGTAATGGTAGAGAGATAAATGAGGAGAATTTTGACAAAAAGAGCCCCCTTCGTTTTTTTTAATTAAGTACCAAAGATTTCTTCTAAAATTCCTGGGTTTTTTAAAGTACAGCAACTAAAACCAACCAATAACCTAGTTGCATAAAGATAGTGCTGGGAATCATGCTAAGACGGATACTATAGACAAAAGACCTTCACAATTTAAGGAAAGGTATCATAAATAAGCAAAGTAAAGAAATAAATTAATTTGAAGTTATCTTTCCATTTTCCAAGGCAAAGGAAAATGCAAGAGGAAGGCAAAATCTTAGTATCCTTGGAAGTGCTATTAGCCTTAGAACCTGCCTTTAAGTGTAAAAATTAACTTGGCCTTTTGCATGGATGTACATAGGGCCCTTTGATGCATGTTCTCTATATGCCCTATGACAAGAGCTTTGGGCGTCTCTGTGTCTCTGATATATATTCACTTTGAATGTCACAGTCACATATGCTCGTTCCATAACCTCCCTTTTAAATCTATGTAGGCATAAAAGCTGCTTAAAGCACCAATCCATAAAGTAACTGTCAAATACTTTAAAAACACAAAATAGAAAACCGCTGTTTGAGGTTTTATAGTTCTGTACCTTACTGTGACCTACACTGACTTGCCATTTAATGTTAATAATAGTTCATAAACCAGCATTTCTTTAAAAGCATGAGAAGATGACTTTGATGTGTGCTTTCCTTGAAGAGCCATAATTTGCAGCGGTTTAATGACCACAGCGAATTCCAGTGTTCTGTGACCCTTTAATTTGGGCTGGAAACTAAAGTGACTTATTTCCCACTGTCTGTCTGCCATACTTTCAAAGGTCATCGTGAATTTTTTATTTAGTTATCTTTATTTTAGTGTCAATTAGAGCAGAATTCAGTTCTCTTCGATTTCTCTTTTGTATTTTGATGTTTAATTTCTTTAGATGGCTATTTAATAGATCAGTATTTGTTTTATATCACTTTATATGTGAAATTATTTATAATACATTATTAAAATAGTTTAAATATAACCTCTGAACTCATAGTTAAAAAATTAGTACTTTTTACAACAGATTCATCTGTTGGAGCAAAAGTATATAAAAAATGAGAACAAGAAAGAAAAGGATGCAGAAAGAAACTTGATGCGGGCAAAAATCCCAGACAAATCAGTATTCTCAATTTCTAAGACAGGAAATAAGAAAGCTGACAGCAATTATCAAACTTCTTGCTTTTCCCCCAGACATTAGAACACACCCACCTCAGTGCTAGGTCTCTGAAATAATGAAACTCCTAGAAGCACAGAGTAGGTTTTGTAGATGGTTTTGAATAGCAGAAAAGTTTTGCTGCAATATCTGATACAGAAAAAATGTCAGATACAAAGTCCATACAGAATGAATCAGCCTTAAAATTGTCCATAGTGAGATGACAGGACACTCATATAGCAGTGGGAAGAGCAGAAATTTATAATTTGACCACCACCAAGTGATTTGCTATGAATCTTTGATCTAGTTGCTTTCTTTCTTACTCTCCCATATTCTTACTGACAATATGGGTGTAACACCTATCCCACTTTTTTTTTTTTTTTTTGAGATGGAGTCTTGCTTTATTGCCAAGGCTAGAGTGTGCAGTGGCGCAACCTTGGCTCACCACAACCTCCACCTCCAGGGTTCAAGCAATTCTCCTGCCTCAACCTCCTGAGTAGCTTGGATTACAAGCACTCAATACAATACAAAATTTGTGTATTTTTAGTGGAGACAGGATTTCATCATGTTGGCCAGGCTGGTCTCAAACTCCTGACCTCAAGTGATCTGCCCACCTCGGCCTCCCGTAATGTATCCCATCTTTTTCCATTATGTATTTAAAGTTTCTTAAAGAGAACATATAAAATGTAAGTGAAGAAGCATGGCTTGAACATGATGTTTTACACATTTTACACTGCCTTCATTTCACCAAAATAATAATAAGTTTTTTGAAGTGCCAAAATTAAAATGATAGTATGTAAATAAAAATAAATGAAATGGAATTTAGTTTCCAGCAGTAGGGTGACATTTCTATTCAAAGAAACCCTTGAAGTATAGAACACTTACTGAACAAAACTGCTGAACAAAATATTTTTAAAATATTTCAAAACATAAGGTTAGATTAGTGCCGTAGTCAAATAAATCTTCTGCACCATGGAAAAAAATAGGAGAAGAATGAATCTAGAGATTTTATTCACCATCCTAGATTCTTGATGTTTCCCTGGAACATCTAAACAGTCATAATTGCCTAGAGCTTGAGCTTTGTATTAGCCTGCTCAGGCTGCCATAACAAAATACCACAGACTGGGTGGCTTAAAAAAGAGAATTTTATTTCTCACAGTTTTGGAAGGCAGAAGTCCAAGATCAAGGTCCTGGTGGGGTTGGTTTCTGGTGAAGCTTCCCTTATTGGCTTATAGACAGCGTCTTCTTGCTATGTCATCCAATGGTCTTCCCTTTGTGCACATGTGCAAAGAAACAGATTAGGATCTCTGGTATCTCTTCCTCTTTAAAAGGATATCAGTCCCATTGCATTAGGACTTATGATCTCATTTAACCTTAATTACCTCTTTGAAGGCCTACTGATCTCCAAATACACTCACATTGGGGGTTTCAACACATGAGTTTGAGGGGGACCCAATTCAGTCCATAACAGCTTTTCATGGGTCATTTAAGGGGATCAGAAGAAAAAGCCTAGGGTAAGTCCAAATTTAAATCTTTGATCCATGAACCAGTACATAAAGCAGGATAACTAAAGGTGACAAACTTAGTGGATAAACTAGGAAAAATCCACTTTTTGGCAGAAGATTATGGGGATATTGCAAACCATCAGCATTGGCTCTGGAGAGAGACTTAAAAATAATTTTTCCCCGAGAATCCTTAAACACAAGCCCAACTTTTTTTTTTATTTTTTTTTTTATTATACTTTAAGTTTTAGGGTACATGTGCACAATGTGCAGGTTAGTTACATATGTATACATGTGCCATGCTGGTGTGCTGCACCCAGTAACTCGCCATTTAGCATTAGGTATATCTCCTAAAGCTATCCCTCCCCCCTCCCCCCACCCCACAACAGGCCCCGGTGTGTGATGTTCCCCTTCCTGTGTCCATGTATTCTCATTGTTCAATTCCCACCTATGAGTGAGAATATGCGGTGTTTGGTTTTTTGTTCTTGCGATAGTTTACTAAGAATGATGATTTCCAATTTCATCCATGTCCCTACAAAGGATGTGAACTCATCATTTTTTATGGCTGCATAGTATTCCATGGTGTATATGTGCCACATTTTCTTAATCCAGTCTATCATTGTTGGACATTTGGGTTGGTTCTAAGTCTTTGCTATTGTGAATAATGCCACAATAAACGTATGTGTGCATGTGTCTTTATAGCAGCATGATTTATAGTCCTTTGGGTATATATACCCAGTAATGGGATGGCTGGGTCAAATGGTATTTCTATTCTAGATCCCTGAGGAATCGCCACACTGACTTCCACAATGGTTGAACTAGTTTACAGTCCCACCAACAGTGTAAAAGTGTTCCTATTTCTCCACATCCTCTCCAGCACCTGTTGTTTCCAGACTTTTTAATGACTGCCATTCTAACTGGTGTGAGATGGTATCTCATTGTGGTTTTGATTTGCATTTCTCTGATGGCCAGTGATGGTGAGCATTTTTTCATGTGTTTTTTGGCTGCATAAATGTCTTCTTTTGAGAAGTGTCTGTTCATGTCTTTCGCCCACTTTTTGATGGGGTTGTTTGTTTTTTTCTTGTAAATTTGTTTGAATTCATTGTAGATTCTGGATATTAGTCCTTTGTCAGATGAGTAGGTTGCAAAAATTTTCTCCCATTTTGTAGGTTGCCTGTTCACTCTGATGGTAGTTTCTTTTGCTGTGCAGAAGCTCTTTAGTTTAATTAGATCCCATTTGTCAATTTTGGCTTTTGTTGCCATTGCTTTTGGTGTTTTAGACATGAAGTCCTTGCCCATGCCTATGTCCTGAATGGTAATGCCTAGGTTTTCTTCTACGGTTTTTATGGTTTTAGGTCTAACGTTTAAGTATTTAATCCATCTTGAATTAATTTTTGTATAAGGTGTAAGGAAGGGATCCAGTTTCAGCTTTCTACATATGGCTAGCCAGTTTTCCCAGCACCATTTATTAAATAGGGAATCCTTTCCCCATTGCTTGTTTTTCTCAGGTTTGTCAAAGATCAGATAGTTGTAGATATGCGGTGTTATTTCTGAGGGCTCTGTTCTGTTCCATTGATCTATATCTCTGTTTTGGTACCGGTACCATGCTGTTTTGGTTACTGTAGCCTTGTAGTATAGTTTGAAGTCAGGTAGCATGATGCCTCCAGATTTACTTTAATTAGGAGAAAAAATTCTCACTAGCCTTATGGCTGAAAGAAACAAAAGCCACCTCCATGATCACCACCAGCAAAAACATAGCCAAAAATGTGTACCTGGGCATCTGGAAAAAGCAAATAAAATTACTCTTTGATAAAACTGTAATTTAAACATAGATTTCAAATAGTCATCCAGAGTTTTACAATATTTAAAGGCACATTAGCTCATAATGAGAAACTGCAAAACACTAAACAGAAAATATACCTTGAAATATTAGGAAAAATAACAAACATTATAACTTAAGCCTCAAAATATAGCAGATTTTGTAATTAATAATTTTGTATCAAACAAATAATATAAAATAATGTTTATGATGTTAAAACATTACATTGGAAAATTAAATAAATAAGAAAAGAACAGAAAACTGCAAAATTTGACCATAAATATTTGAATAAAACCTATATAATTTTGGGAATAAAATATAAAACAGTTGCAATTTGATACTGAATGAAGATATTTAGTAGTAGATTCAAAGAGGCCAAGGAGAGAATTCGTAAAGTAGAAGATCAAGCTGAAGGAATAACCCAGAATGTGTCACAAATAGAAATTATGGAAAAAGGGGGAGTTAAGAAACACAGAGGAGAGAGTAAGAAAGACTAATACTCAATCAAAGGAACAGTAAAAGAGCATGAATAAAATGGGTGTGAGTTGTACTTTGTGATTACAGGTTCTTTCTTCTGATCCCTTAGTGTCTAAAGGAATAGTGGCTAAGAACTTTTGAGAACTGATAAAAGACATGAGTTCTTAGACAGAAAATTCAATAAATCTCTCCCCAAATTAAAATGATTGATAGATAAACACCTACATGCATTTGGTAAAAATATAGATCGCTAGAATGTACTTAAATATGACCAAAACAAAAAGGAAGTAGGACAATGATTAGGCCAATAGATGATTTCTCAAAGCAAAACTGGCCGGAGGGCGGGGGTGGGGGAGAAAGCAAATCTGTACAGAAAACTATGGGAACTTAATAAATATCTACCTATATATAATAAATTCAATGAAACTAGATAGAAAAAACTTTATGTGCAAATTAATGGTAAACAACAAAAAGCAGCAGAAATGTCATGGGAAAGCTCAAAGGGGTAGCAAGGGAGCAGACAAAATCACAACAACAAAAGAACTAGGAATTCTGAGTTATCCTATTGAGAAAATCACAAAACATCCGCAAAAACGACCCCCAACCCACCCCCACCAAAAAAAAGTCTCCCTCTCTCAATACCATTTGAGATCTGGAAACAATGAGGATAGGAAGAAGCCTTAGGACATTGGGGAAAACAAAACATGGAAAGTGCACAGAGGACAAGGTGACAGATAAAAGACCATCTGTTCTAACAGAGAAGAACTTGCCTTGGAATACACAGGCAATATCTGTAAGGTGCAGCAGTCAAAGATAAAAACAATTGGTAGAAGCACCCCCTGAAGCAACATAAGACTGTAGAATCAGAGGAAATCTGCCCACAAAAGGCAACAATATTAAAGTAATTGTTAATCACTTTATCAATGGAAGAGGTATCCCTTGAGCAGAGGAACCAGGAAAGAACTTGCTATGGATTAAACTGTACCACACTCTCCCCAATCCTTGCCTAACTATTCTGAAGTCGTAACTGCCCAGAAATGTGAATCTGACCTTATTTTTAAAAAGAGTCTTGCAGATGTCATCAAGTTAAGATGAAGTCATACTGAATTAGAATGGTCCTGAAATCCAATCTGACTAGTCTCCATATAAGAGGGAATTTTGAACATAGAGACAGAGTCAAGCAGTAGAGAGGGCCACATGTGAAGATGGAGGCAGAGATGGGAGTGATGCATACACTGGCCAAGGAATGCCACAGATTAATGGCAACTATCAGAATAGAAGAGGCAGGGAAGAATTCCTCCCCTAGAACACTCAGAGAGAAGATGGCACTGCTGACACCTTGACTTCTGACTTTTAGCCTCTAGAACTGTGAGACAACACATTTCTGCTGTTTGAGGCCACCAAGTTTGCGGTACTTTGTTACGACAGCCCTAGGAGACTAGTACAGTGCTTTAACTCCTCCCTGCCTTACAGAGATCCTTCTGCTAACAGCTAGTCTAGAAAATCCAATTCACTAAAACGTTGATAACAAAAAACAAATAAATAAAACTATACCAATTGTACAAAGACACTTTACTGAAAAAAAATACAGCAAAGCTTAAGAGCCAAAGAAGACTCACCCTAAAAATGTCATCACAAACAGAAGACTGTAATGTCACATTTCAGTCTAAATTTAAAAGAGATCTGCTGTACGATACAGTGCCTCTAGTTAACAGTATGGCATTGCACACTTTACAGTTTAAGAGGGTACATCTCATGTAAAGTGTTCTTACACACACATGCACACGCACACAAGACACGAATAGACACAAGAAAATTGAGGTGATGAGTATGTTTATCATCTTGATTATGGTGATGGTATTATGGGTTTATGCATATTTCCAAACACTTCCAATAGTATATATTAAACAGGTGCACAGCCACAGCATCTACAAGGAGACATCACAAAGCAAAAATAAGAAAGCACTTAGAAAATATGGCTAAAACACTTGGAGCTATAACTCAACAGTTAGATAATATACAGTGGAAACTAGCAGAACTCATGAAAGAACTAAAGAAAAAGACAAAACATCTCCGAATGAAAGCTAAATTACAAGGTGCTCTTGTGGGAATAGTTATTCCAGGAAAGCATAGTAAGAGACATAAAAGATAGAAATGAAGGAAATGAAACAAACAAACAAAAAAGATAAAAAGGGATTAGAGAGAAAGTGATTTGGGCTAGAATGGCCTCATTGCAAATGAGGATTCTGCCTTTTTGCCGGGAGCAACAGCTACATTCTCCGGAGGAGTGATAGAGATTGCTTTGTATTAGAAAACAGCACTTTCTCTCGTGGAATCACGGCAGCCATCCTGTCTTTCCTCTGAGAAATGCCTCACTTTTCTACTGACATCTGTTTCCTCTTGCAACATTTCCTGGTCTTTGCTATCTCCTGTGTTCTCTGGGGGAGATACAGCCCTTTGATGCGTACCTGCCTTCATAAACTTTTCCATGAAGGACGTTTGTGAGGCTGAGTGTGTGGCAGACAAGTGTCACCAAGGAACCAAGAAGAACCCAAATGATGTTCAAGGTCCCAGAGATCCTGGAGCATATGAACGTGGGTACCAAGAGTTTTATAGGTAATTTCTACCAAACATTCAGGGGAGAAAAAAATCTCATGCAAATCTTTCAGGGAATAGAAAAGATAAAGGATTTTCCAATCACAAGGTTAATGTAATATTTATACCACAACCAGACTAATGGTGCTAGAAATGGTAACACCATTTCAAACACAAATGCAAAATAATAAGAAATCTATAATATTAGCAAATAAAATCCAACAATGTTTTCAAGTTAATGAATCACTATCAAATTCAAATTATTCCAGGAATGCAAAATTGATTCAGCATTTGGAAGTGTATTAATTCACCATATTATTACTAATTGTATATTTATATGTGTACAATCATTTCATTATACAAAACATTTGATAAAATTCTAAATGTATTAAACTTTTAAACTAAGAGTAGAAGATAACATGGTCTTTTATTGTTTCCATACCACTTTGTCTTAATCATTATACTTTTACAAAATATATTGTTATCTATGATGGCTAATACCTCTCAGTCTATTTTCCTTTTTAGGCAATTTATTATTATTTTTGGCCCTTTGTTTTTCATTAAACTTGCTAAATTCTATTTAAAACCCTAGTGGAATTCTTAATCTAAGTGGTGAGTTCACTTTTAGCTTTGCTATTTAATGTAAACATTTGTGTTATGTATAGGCTATTATATATATATATGACACACGACATTAATTGAAAAAAATCAAAGTTTCCTAAAAATCGGAATGATAGATTAACAGATGCAAATCAACTGGCCAAATAGAACATAGTGAATAGATAATAACATCTAATTCATGTTAGGATGGTTGATTGCAAAAAGTTTAAAGTACTTAGTTTTACCACTCAACATAGATAATAAACTAAGCCCATAAGGTACAAAATGTTTATTCTTTCCATTCCTAGGCAAGGTTATACGTGTTTTGTTTTGTTTTGTTTTGTTTTGTTTTGTTTTGTTGTTTTGAGACAGGGTCTCACTGTGTCACTCACGCTGGAGTGCAGTGGTGTGGTCACAGCTCAATGTGGCCTCAATCTCCCAAGCTCAAGTGATCCTCCTACCTCAGCCTCCCTAGTGGCTGTGATTACAGATGTGTGCCACCACGCCCAGATAATTTTTTTTTATTTTTTGTAGAGACGAGGTCTAAACTATGTTACCCAAGATGGTCTTGAACTCCTGGGCTCAAGTGATCTGCCTACCTTGGCCTCCCAAAGTGCTAGGATCACAGGTGTGAGCCACCATGCCTGGCCAACAAGGTCAGATTTGATCTTTTAACTGGGAATCAAAAAGATTAAAATCACATTTCATATTCTACCAATGTAATCATCTATAGCAAGATAGTCATTTAGGAGTGTTTATAAAACACTGTTTTATGAATTCACTATGACTCAAAAGTTACATATAACAAATTAGGAATTCTTAAACATCATTTTGCAATGATGGCCGATAGGTCAAAAATGATGGCCATTGCTTTGTATCAGTCAGGGCCAATAAACTTCTGCTGTTGCATTAGAATTCAGATCTGGGATATGTTACTACTTTCTCTAAGTAACACAACAAAATGAATTATGAACATTTCATAACTTTCCTATCTTTCAGGTTTTTAAAATGGATTATAAAGCAGAAAATTGAAAACAGTATCATATCCTATTGAGTTTTTGTTGTTGTTGTTGTTTTTTAACTGGGAGAAGTAATCTCACAATATTTACCACATAGCCATTAAATCAGGCCCAGATAAAAAGCGCAAAACATACTCTTGAAGGGAAAATATCACCCTTTGATGGAAAAGCCAAATGTGTTTATAACTACACTCTTTTTGGATTTCATGCAATGCCATGCCAATAGCATTGCAG
Organism: Homo sapiens; assembly: GCF_000001405.40. Classification (NCBI taxonomy): domain Eukaryota; kingdom Metazoa; phylum Chordata; class Mammalia; order Primates; family Hominidae; genus Homo; species Homo sapiens. Next base: position 153,341,481 of record NC_000006.12, on the reverse strand, counting down.
AAAGTGAAGACTAAACCTATTCTACATGAAAAGAGTCTCCAGAAACACCAACTAAGCATCTGTAGCAGAACTGAGATTTATGAAAACAAGCACAGATTTTAGAAAAAAATATGTTAATTGCTTATATTTTATTTTAAAATATCTCTACCTAGGTCAAAGTGAAATTCAAAGGTACATGAAATTCAACTAAATGCAACAAATTTCCTTTAATTCTAAAGTATACTAAATGAACAAGAAAGGCTTAGGTGCATATGTATCCTATTTCCATAATACCAACCTAAAATACCTTAGTATCTCATTATCTTCCACTATAACTAAAATGCAAACAGTTAGCTTTTGCCTTTTTATTTCTTTCTTTATTCTTTAAATATGAAAATTAGAAATAGGAAGAATAATTGTTATTAATTAAAGCTTTATTTGTCTCCATGTCATTGTCTGAAATCATCTATAAAGCACAGTTACAAAAATGAATGATAGAAATTATTATTTCTTCTTAGTTCAAAATGTCAATTGTCATGGGCGCAGAACCAAAAGTGTTAAAAGAAGAAACAGAGAGAGAGAGAGAGAGAGAGAGAGAGAAAGAGTGGGAGAGGGGAGGCTGTCTGTATCAACCATTAATGGGGTAATTAGCACTAGAATAACAAAAGAGAACTTGAGTAATAGCCCACTTAATGTTTTCTAAAAGGCACTAGTAACATCTCTTCACGCTAATGCCACTTACTCAGGCTGCATTGCCTAGAATTCTGTAATTTTGGATCTAGTCCATTGTTTTCATAGAACTGTGCTCCTTCTGACTCCATTTCATCCAATTATCTCCTTCACTGGCACCATCCATCAACATTCTACTGGAAAGTTCTGCCCTTTATGTATTTGCTTTCCTCTCCTTTCCATTTCATTTTAGCAATAAGAGCAATTTTTGTAAAATATAAATCAGATCATGTAATTACTTTGCTTAAAACACTTCAGTAACTTCACAGTGTACTTGAATAAAAATGGAATTCTTATTTTGCTATTCTAGACCTCAGAACTTGAACCATATCAACTTTAACAACCCCAACATGTGCCACTGTTCCTCTTTTTCAGAAGATACTAGTCGCACTCTCCCTTCCTGCAAGGTGACAGTCTCCAATACATCATTTGTGTCTGCTGTCCGGTTTTTTATTTTGTTTTAATAATACCCGGGATTTTTTTGAGATCCTCCCCTGATTAGTTTTTCATTTTTCATCTGGTTTAACTGAAACTGCATTCTCTTTCTACTCTAAATCAAGTAGATTCTATCTGTAATTCCTTTTTTTAATGTTTTTTAGAGATGGAATTTCACTATATTGCCCAGGCTAGGCATCGAACTCCTAGGCTCAAGTGATCTCCTCACCTAACTTCCCAAGTAGCTAGGAAGTGAGCTGCTGCACCCGGTGTATTTCTATAATTCTTTATCACCAAATACTTAATTTTCATGGCCTTAGTTACTATATGTGTGTGTATATATATGCATTTATGTATACACATTTTCATTGTTAAATTCTCCTAATTGAACAGATGCTTCATGAAGACAGGAGCCGTGTGGGTCACCATCATATGTCCATCACCTGAGACAGTTTCTACCACATGGCGGACAATAAATACTTGTTGAATGAATGAATGAAAGATTTAATAATTTCAATTACATATATATGTATGTGTATATGTGTATATATATATGTGTGTGTATATATATACACACACACACACATATAAATACTGAGTCCAGAATTTCAGTGTAAGGGTATAGTCTCATAATTTTATTTCTATTGTCTTTGATATTTTTCATCTCTTTTCTGAACAGACTCTTAAAACTTTAACAAAACATATTAAGTACCTGTGATCCACCCAAATACAATATAGTTCCTCTCTAAAAGCTTTCTTTTGAGTGGCAATAAAGCCTCTGCCAAAGTAAAAGTTCACTTTCTTATTTAGCTGTGCAATAAACACTTTTAGTAGAAATGCTGAAAAATAAATCCATAAATCCTCATGCTCCCTTGAGAAGAAGCTTTTACAATAAGTGGTTTATAAAGCCAAGACATGAAGAAATGTGTAAGTAAACTCACATAGTAAACCTTGTTTTTTTTTATTTTTTTAAAATTGAACCTTATATTCCATAGTCCTCAGAGAGCTGGAAGAAATAGCAGCAACAAGAAATAAAATAAAACCTAGAAAAGGAAAACATTTGATTTGTATATACTGGCAAAATAGATGTCACTTACTATCCTACTGATTGTACTGATTTTTATCACAGAGATTTGTGTAGTTTTTACATAAATATAACTTTGGAAAATTGCTTCATGGTATGTAATGAATTGTTGAATTACTATGGTATATAGAGCATGATCTGAATCTCACTTCTTAGATGTGTGGACTTAGACAAATTGTGTCATTTGTAAAATGTGAGTGAAAGCATCAAACTCTGGGTTATTTTTGAATTAGATAAAACATAATATGCAAAGTAACTAGCACAGTTCTTGGCACAGAAGTCATACTAAAAAATTGTTGTCCTTATTAGTGTTTTGATATACATACAAAAAGATGACAGGCTTCCAACACCACAGAGATTTTGTTCCTACTTTCCTTGCCTACTCCGACCCCAAACAATACAAAAAAGTGGCAATATTAATTGAATCTATGTTCTGTTTCTAAGGGAATATTGTCTCTTCTAATCATTGAACCACATTCTCAAAGATTTTGAGGATACAGAATGTAAAATGTAGTAAAAAAATAAAGCTATAATTATAAATAATTAGTTATAAGTGCTGAAGAAATAATAAACAATGAAGAATATAAAAAATCTTGGAGTCTAAATTCCAAAAGTATAAGTGGTGTTACCAAAACCTATATGAAAGAAAACAAAGCAAAGTGGATCCTTCATTTATACAAAAGAAGTATACTGCACACCTTCTGTATACTCTAAAATATGCTAGGTACAGAAAGTACTGCAGTTTTGCAAACAGATATAAACCTACCTTCATGGAATTTGCAGTTTAGATATGGGAAGAATAAAATTAATCAAATAATCAAATCAATTGTGTTATGAAACATAATTATTAATTGAGAGAAGTGCTGTTGAATTTTAAAAAAGGGTTCCAAAAGTTATATAAAGCACAGAGTACAATGAACTCATAATATGGGGACTTGAACTAGTGTTATAGGTGTTAAAAACTAGAAGCTGTGTATTTCATTACTGGTGAATGGTTTGAGAGTAAAGAATGGGTGTCAATGAACCTAAAAACATGTTCAATATATCAAAATAATACGTATTATTGAAAATAATATGGCAAACACAGCAAACATCATAGTCACTGGGCAAAAGCTTGAAGCATTCCTCTTGAGAACTGGAACAAGACAAGAATGCTCACTCTCATCACTCCTATTCAACATAATACTCAAGTCCCAGACAGAATAATCAGGCAACAGAAAGAAAGAAAAAGTATCCAAATAGCAAAAGAGGAAGTTAGGCTATTTATCTTTGTTGATGATGAGATTCTATACTTAGAAAACCCTAAAGATTCCACCGAAAGGCTGCTAGAGCTGATAAATGACTTCAGTAAAGTTTTAGGGTACAAAATCAATGTACAAAAATCAACAGCATTTCTATATGACAATAACTTTCAAACTGAGAGCTAAGTCAAGAATGAAATCTCATTTACAATAGCCACAAAATGAGTAAAATACCTAGGAATACAGCTAACCAAGACGGTGAAAGATCTCTACAACAAGAACTACAAAACACTGCTGAAATAAATCAGAGACAGCACAAACAAATGGAAAAACATTCCATGCTTATGAATTGGAAAAATCAATATCATTGAAATGGCCATACTCCCCAAATCAATTTACAGATTCAATGCTATCCCTAGGTAACTATTCTAAAATTCATATGGAACCAAAAAAAGTTGAAATGGCCAAAGCAATCCTAAGCAAAAAGAACAAAGCCAGAGGTATCACATTACTTGACTTCAAACTATACTACAAGGCTACAGTAACCAAAACAGCATGATACTGATACAAAAACAGACACATAGGCCCATGGAACAGAATAAAGAACCCAGAAATAAAGTTACACACCTACAACCATCTGCTCTTTAACAGGGTCCACAAAAATAAGGAATGGGGAAAAGACTCCCTATTTAATAAATGGTGCTGGGATAACCAGCTATTCATATGCAGAAGAAGGAAACTGGTTCCCCACCTATCACTATGTACAAAAATAAACTCAAGATGAATTCAAGACTTAAGACCTCAAACCATAAAAATTTTAGAAAAAAAATACAAAACAAAACAAAAAACGGGAAATGCCCTTCTTGAAATTGACCTTGGCAAAGAATTTATGGCTAAGTCCTCAAAAGCAATTGAAACAAAAATTGACAAGTGGGACCTAATTAAAGAATTTCTGCACACTAAGAGAAACTATCAAGAAAGTAAACAGGCAACTTTTACTGTTTGTAAAATATTTGCACCCTATGGATCTGACAAAGGTCTAACATCCTGAATCTGTAAGGAACTTAACAAACAAAAAACAAATAACTCGATGAAAAAGTGAGCAAGGAACATGGACACATCTCAAAAGTTGACATATAAGTGACCAACACACGTATGAAAAAATGTTCATCATCAGACAAATGCAAATCAGAACTACAATGAGATACCATCTCACACCAGTCAGAATGACTTTTGTTGAAAAGTAAAAAAATAACAAATGTTGGCAAGTGTTTTCATGCTGCTGATAAAGACATACCCAAGACTGGGCAATTTACAAAAGAAAGACATTTATTTGGACTCACAGTTCCACATGACTGGGGAGGCCTCACACTCATGATGGAAGGCAAGGAGGAGCAAGTCACGTCTTACACGGATAGCGGCAGGCAAAAAAAGAGCTTGTTCAGGGCAACTCCCATTTTTAAAACCCTCAGATCTCATTAGACCCATTCACTATCATGAGAACAGCACAGGAAAGACCCATCCCCATAATTCAGTCATCTCCCACAATACGTGGGAATTCTGGGAGCTACAAGATGAGATTTGGATGGGGACACAGAGCCAAACCATATCTTTCTGCTCCTGGCACCTCCCAAATCTCATATCTTCACATTTCAAAACCAATCATGCCTTCCCAACCGTCCCCCAAAGTCTCAATTCATTTCAGCATTAACTCAAAAGTCCATAGTCCCAAGTCTCATCTGAGACAAGGCAAGTCCCTTTGACCTATGAGCCTGTAAAATCAAAAGCAAGTTAGTTACTTCCTAGACACCATGGGGATACAGGCATTGGGTAAATACAGCCAGAAGGGGCTACAAGCCCCATGCAAGTCTGAAACCCAGCAAGGCAGTCAAATCTTAAAGCTCCAAAATGATCTCCTTTGACTCCATGTCTCACATCCAGGTCACACTGATGCAAGAGGTGGGCTCCCACAGCCTTGGGCAGCTCTGCCCCTGTGGCTTTGCAGGGTATAGCAAGACTGAAGAGAAAGGGAACACATACACTGTTGGTGGGAATGTAAACCAGCTCAGCCACTGTGGAGTGTAGTTTGGAGATTTCTCAAAGAAATGAGTTGAACTATCATTCAACCCAGCAGTTCCCTACGGGTGTATACCCAAAGGAAAATAAGTCATTCTACCAAAAAGACACATGCACCCATATGTTCATTGCAGCACTATTCACAATAGGAAAGACATGAAATCAACCTAGGCACCCATCAACTCTGGATTGGAAAATCAAAACTGGTACATATGCACCATGCAATACTATGTAGACACAAAATAAGAATGAAATTATATCCTTTACAGTAACATGGATACAGCTGGAAATCATTATCCTAAGCAAAATATCACAGAAACAGAAAACCAAATACTGCAAGTCCTCACTTATAAGTGGGAGCAAAACACTGGGGATACATGGACATAAAGATGGGTCAATAAACACTGGGGAATACAAGAGGGAGGAAGGAGGAAGGTAAGGTTTGAAAACAACTACTTATTGAGTACTGTGCTCGCTATCTGGGTTCTGAGTTCAGTCATGTCCCAAATATTAACATCATGCAATATACCTTTGTAGCAAACCTGCACAAACACCCCCTGATTCTAAAATAAAAGTTGAAAAGGAAAAAAATAGTTCACAAAAATTCCAAAAGATCATGATAGACTACATGGGCCATAATATTGGGAATATTAGGAAGAAAACAAGACACCCTACTTCAACACTTAACGGAAACTCAAAGTGGGCAAGTCTATGTGATAGACACTGTGGGGGAAAAATGCTGAGAAAAGGCTGTAGTGATACAAGAACCATGAATAGGATGTGAGCAATCATCCAATCTAACTTAGCAAACAATAAGACACCAATCTCTATTATTTCTATTATTTTGTGAATTTAAGCACATAGCTTAACTCCTATTGATTTTAGTTTATTCACCAGAACATTCATACTGTTGAAATAGCCAATTTACTACTAAACTTAATGATCTCTGCTGTAGAGTGAAAGGTATTGAAATTTTGAAACAGTATATTTTTGAGTGACAATGTTCATCATTATCTGTTCTTTCCCTTCAGAAGAAAATCAAATAGCTTCATTCTGTAATGAACTCCAACCTCCCAGAGTTAAGGGAATCTTCATTTCCAGATGATTTTTGACTGACAAAAAATCCTGAGAGAATCATCCCCAGTGAGTGTGTCAGCTGTATAGAGAAATGGGCTAGACCAAATTGGAAACTAGATAAGAGCTCTCATCCAAATGAAGGCAGCAACAGACCTACATTTTTGACAAAATGATACACCGCAACCTAAATCCAAGTGGAATTTTTTTTATAACAGACTTCAGGCCAAACTCTAAATAATGTAGCTCATAATAACTGTATTACTTTCGGGGAAAATTAACAATGATAAGGACATGCTTTCTAAATGTCAGTGTGGTAATTCTTTTGGCTTTTTCATTTTTTAATTGAATATGGATATAATAAATATTTCCCAAGGCTACCAGAATAAATGAACAATCAGGATATAATTAAACAGCAGAACAATGTTTCTCTGCATGTATAAGTTGAAATCCATTTCTCCACCTAAGAAGTGTGTGTCTGTGTGTGTGTGTGTGAAGTGAGCAGCAAGTTAAGGAGGAAGAGGCTTCCAGAGTATTGTGTTTGTGTTAAGGTCTGATTCATTCCTCATGTCTCAGCTTGCCATATTTTTTCCATCACCATTGCAATGTTCTTTGGCCAACAGCCCTAGAAACTGGACAATATTCTGCCCAGTGCAGTTCCTATCCTACTTAGGTGACACTATTTTCTAGAAAAGCCTTCTGGACAGGTACCTGGATATGGAACAAGTGAAATGGAAGCTGAGACCACATGGGCCAGAAATAGAAACAGTATATTTCACACTGTCCTTATCAGAAGGCTACTTCAGAGTTCAGGTTCATAAAGCAGATTGAACACATGTGTTCTCTTTACTATTGACACCCCTCTAAAATGACACCTTAAAAGTTGTTGTTGTTGTTTTAAGATATAAACCCCAAAAAAACAAAAAGAATAGTAAAAGAGGTAAGTATTGACCAAACTTTAGAAACTAAGAGTAAAGCAATAGGGTGAATAGAAAAAGTGGCATACAGACTTAGCAGAACAGAAAAAGCTGAGGGCTATGGTTGTGGACACCGTATGGTGCCATTCAGATCCTCCTTCCTGAATGACCAAGATGTGGATGCACCTGCTGGGAGCACTGAGACAGACAGCCCTCAATTCCCACATTGCTTTGAGCATAGCCTCAGCAGAAGAAAGCTGTCAAGTCTAAGAGCATACCGCCTTCCCAGGGTATTCTAGATATGACTGATTGATATTGAGATACAGAGGCCCTGCCCCTCACTCAATTCTGGAGGGCTGTTCTAACTACAGCTGGGAACAACTGGGGTCTTCATTGGAACTGCATTGGAACTAAACTTTGTCCTTTCCTTACTTCCTTCCCTCCCACAAGAGATGATCTCAAAGGTATTCCTAGTATATTTCCTGCATATTTTCCAGAGAAATCAACTTGTAGAAGCTGGTTCCAGAAGTGAATCAAGAAAGTAGGTGGCATATATAAAATTTTGGTTTGGATCCCTTGTCATCCAGAAGGCAATGAATACTTTCCATCACCATCGCAATTTTCTTTGGCTGACGGCCCTAGAAACTGAACAATATTCTGCCCAGTGCAGCTCCTATCCTGCTTAGGTGACACTATTTTCTAGAAAAGCCATCACTGATAGTAGATATAATAGAATACATGTGAAACTTGGCATCAAGCAGCAACGCATGTGTTAAAAGTTTCACATATAGTGAACTGGAATTGGTATTCCAGGTCAAGGAACTGCATTAGCAGGTGCAATGTATCTGGCAAATTACACATTTCAGGTGCATTGTAACCATAAAGCAATGGAATTGGATACTTGTTGACAAGTGAAAGTGATACTTTCAGGGGGAAAACAATAACTAAAGACTGAGAACTAGTAGGCAATTAAAAACTAAGAGAGAAAGTCAGAAGGCCTTCTTTTAGCCTATAAATTTTTTTCACTTTCTTTACCAGGCAAGCAGAAGAAGCTTAGAAAAAGGTATAGCATTCAAGAGTAGAAGAGCTCCAACAAAGGTTAAGCTCCCAAACAAGTCATGTCTGTATGCCAAGATCAAAGCCCTGGCTTGAAAAACAGGACCCTGGCAAACAGGAGCATATGGGTTGATGCACTCAAAAATCTTGAAGTCCAAGATTCCTCTTAATGCTCTGTGCCAGCAGAAATGGGCAACTGCTCCCTGTTGAAGTTTAGTGCTGCCCCATAGCTTGAAGATAATGGAGATCCTCACCTACTAAATGAAACCATGCACCCCCACCCCAAGGTTATGCCCTCACCTCCCCTCTTGAAATAAATAAATAATGTCACATTACTTGTTGCACAAGCTAAGGGAGAAGTGGACCTCTGAGGAGAAGAAAATTCAGGATTCAGTCGACATGTATGTTTAGGAGCCAGGAAAATATAGGTGAGACTGGATTCTGAGTGTGCTAGACCAAAAGGAACAGAACAAAAGTTTAGGTAAAGGAAAGTTTATCACTATGGGACATTTTTGCAGAATATAGGATTTAATACTGTTGCAAGGACCTGCTGCTCAAGCTACCAGGAGGGTTCCAGAAGCAAGAAAATGTGATTACCCACATTCAGTGAGGTGGAAGTGCCAGAATTACACTGGCAGAGAGTAGCAAAATGTGATGGAATTGTTCTATATCCTGATTGTAGTGGTGGTTACATGAATCTAGTCATGTGTTAAAGGTCACAGATTATAAATTAAAAAATTAATTTTATAGTATGTCAGTGAAAACTTTGTCACAACTAATATATAGTCAGTTAATAGAAAACAATGCTCTATCACATTACTTATGAAAGAAATGCAAATTCAAATAACAAGAAACACAATTTCTCCCAACAAGTTGGCAACAATTAAACCAGTGGCAATACCAAGCATTGTTTTATCCTCATCTTCCTTACAATAACACGTTTAGATGTCCCAGAGTGTAGTCAGAATTTACTCTTTTCTCTGTCTAGACACATTCTTTAAGTAATCAAAACTAGTCTGAATGAGAAATTTAAAATTTTGTATAGTTTCAACAAAAGTTTTTACATTAATTTTTGTTTCAAAATTATTGATTTCATAATAATTTTTATTTTTAAATTATTGCATTAAAATATTATTATTGTAATTATTGAGGTTGTGGTGTCCACATCTTAAATTCTGCACTTGAGGTGGGTGTATTAGTCTATTTTCATACTGCTATGAAGAAATACCAAAGAATGGGTAATTTATAAAGAAAAAGAGGTTTAATGGACTCACAGGCCCACATACCTGGGGAGGACTCACAATCATGGCAGAAGGGGAAGGAGGAGCAAAGGCACATCTTACATGGTGGCAGGCAAGACAGTGTGTGCAGGGGAATTGCCTTTTATAAAACCATCAGATCTCATGAGACTTATTCACTATCATGAGACAACATGGGAAAAACCTGCCCCCATGATTCAACTATTTCACAACAGGTCTCTCCCACAACATGTAGGATTATGGGAGCTATGATTCAAGATGAGATTTGGGTGGGGACACAGCTAAACCATATCAGTGGGTGTGTATCTCTTACTCTGTGCTAGTGCCAGACATTAAATTCCACTTATATTCCACTTCATATATTTCTGTTCTATCTTCCCTGAATGCCAGGTTTTTGTTTTGTTTTGTTTGTTTTTTGAGACAGGATTTCACGTCCATCCCCCAGGCTGGAGTGCAATGGTATGATCTCAGCTCACTGCAACATCTGCCTCCCAGGCTCAAGCGATCCTCCCACCCCAGCCTCCCAAGTAGCTGGGACTCCAGACACACACACCATGCTTGGCTAACTTTAGTATTTTTTGTAGAGATAGGTTTCACTATGTTGTCCATGCTGGTCTCAAACTCCTGGCGTCAAGCAATCTGCCCACCTCAGACTCCCAAAGTGCTGGGATTATAGGCATGAGCTACTACACTTGGTCAGGTTTTTATATTTAATTATTCTATTGACATCTCCACTTGACTATCTAATACACATCTCAAAAACCTAACATATCCAAAATTGACTCTTGATCTCCGTACCACCAGCAATTTGCACCAGCCTTTCTCACTTCAGTAAACTATCCACACTTGACCTGTTCCAGGAATAGTGGGATTCCAGTTATGGTAGCTGGGTACAGTCAACAGTGTGGTGTTGTGTTGCTATTCCTCCACATCCACTTCTCTCCTCAATCTGGCCATCTTCCATCTGAACATACAGTTGTTTCAGGTCTCTTTATCTCTTTCAACACAGGTTAATATGAGCAACACCTCCCCTACTTTTCTATGCTCTGTGACTATGCTGTTAGACCTACCCCTGTGTCCTAATATTTACATATCTCCGGGTCTTAGGGTTTTTAGGACTTTGTAACTCTTCCCTAAATTCTAGGAATTCCAGGTCTATATTATAGTACATATTGTCTTAATATTCTCATATGCTCTTTCCTAGACACTAAAGTACATTTCATTCATAAAATTAATGGTGCTATTAATATCTGTGAATGATGTAACAAACATAAATATATAATTATTTGAAAAATATTTAAGACCAGATTCAAAATATTACATTTAAAAATTTACAAATCTTCCTGATTATGAAGATGATTTTTCCAATTCTTCCTTTCATTTGAATTTTAATAATAGCAATAATATTCTGATTCTGAAAACCTCCCCTCCTGATGCCAACCCTGGGAGTGATTTCACACTACATCCATACATAAAATAGACTTATTTAAAAGGAAATGAAACCAATCAAAATGTCATTGGCTCAATCCCTGCATGCTGCCTTCCTGATATGTATTACTTTTCTTCATATGCTATCATTTTATTTGCAAGGTGGAGGTTTGAGAACACTTGATGATTGAACTTGCCCACCAGAAATCCACTGTGTGATTGCTTCCCCCTGTGTAATATGAAAGTCATGGGAAAAATAAGATAAATCAATAGTTCTTTCTGCCAAGAACCTATTTATTATACCCCAAATGGTGTGCATAGCTGAGAAGGTATGGTTTTTATTTTGACAATAAGAACAGTGTTTTGTTAAACCAACTTTGTAATCATTGAAAGATTTCTTTTTCTTTCAAAGTACATTTTCTCTTGGAGTGTGTACCATACAACATAAACACATTAATCATCTCTTTGGCTATTTATTCATTCATTTGCATTCTCAACTTTTTGTTCTTCAAAACTCCACAAAGTTTTTCTTTTTTGCATTCTTTTTCTCTCTCCTTTCCTTTTCCACTTAGACTCATTGATCATTTTTCTCTTCCCATCTGAGCAGCTATAATAAGATCCAGGGTAACTGGATAACAAAATAAACAATGTCAACTGTTACTAGCAAAAAACATACATTTATTTAATGTAAGTTAATTATACAGCCATGTAGAACAGTGAAAAATGTGTCACTACAAAATATGCAGGCAAGCCATCAGTAACACAAAGGTCCTACCAAAGCTCCCAGTTGTCAATTTTGTCATCTGACAGCACTAGAAATACCTTCAGGCTCTTTATGTAACTAGCACATTCTTTTCTGTTATTCACTAACAAAATAGTAGTATCTTTCAATTTTTATTTTCTGCATTTTTATATCATTCATGAAAATCTGCATCTGTGGGTAGGCAAAAGGTAGTTTAGACTTTTGCAGCTGTAATACCATTTGTCTAAAGCAAAGTTCTAAGAAAATGTTCAAAATATTTTAAATGTAAGCATGATTGCAGAATCCTAGTAGCATCTGATAATGTAATAACCTGTTGATTGATGAGTATTAAAGCTTTCACTATTGATAATGTTATAACCTATTGACCTAACCATTTGTAACAGAAAAAACTCTTAGCCTTTGTACATTTCACAAGAGAGGTAAACTTGTGAAATGGCCTTTTGAGTTCAGTCCATTGATGACTTTTTAGACCCCTAATACCATTTGAGTGCTCTAAATATTTTTTCAAACTGATGAAATAACGTATTCAAAGATTAAATGAAAATTAGAAATTAAAAGATAGAGATAGCTAGTGAAATCAGTAAACGTAACCTAAAGTCTAGTAATTATATTGCATATTACTATAAAACTTGTCTAATACTAATATAAATCTCATAAGAAATATGCACTATATTTTATCCCAGAGTATACAGAGACAAAATTAGTAATAATATTGAACTCCCAACTAAACCAGAGTGGTTTGTAAGGCTCAAACTATTTAATACATGCAAAGTGTATTAGAGCTGTAAATGGCACACAGTAAACACTTAAGAAGCCATGATGATTGAATGATGACAAAGTAATATCACTTTTTTATTTTTATTTTTTGAGATGGAGTCTCATTCTGTCACCCAGGCTGGAGTGCAGTGGTGCAGTCTTGGCTAACTGAAACCTCTGCCTTCCGGTTCGAGTGATTCTCCCACCTCAGCCTCCGAAGTAGCTGAGATTACACGCATGCACCACCATGACCAATTAATTTTCATATTTTTAGTACAGACAGGTTTCACCATGTTGGCCAGGCTGGCCTCAAATTCCTGACCTCAAGAGATCCGCCTGCCTCAGCCTGCCAAAGTACTGTGATTACAGGCATGAGTCACCTTGCCCAGCCAATATTACCACTTTTAATAGCCAAGATTATCTCAATCTATCCAGGTATAAAGTGCAGGGAAGGAAAAGCACTTTAAAGTCTTATTATAAAAGAAGAGGCCCAAAGTGTCCCATGTCAACTGGGCCTCAACAGTACGCAATCAGCCTCTTTTCTATCCCTAAAAACTCTCTTTCTGAATGTCCAGTGGACCGATTTCAAGTATTTAATCTAATACAACAATCTCAGCATACCTGCAGGACTCTGCAGTAATATTGCTCCTGCACAGAGGAAGTCAGGCAGAAACCACTGTATTGAAATATTCTTAGTTTTGTACACAAAATATTCTTTTCTATCTCATTCATTTTTCTTTTCTTCTTATTCCAAAGAAAGGATAATTTTGCTACTATGTAAATAATTTCAATAAACAGGGTATCACGTTATCAATTGTCCTTTCAGTATCAACTTTTGAATATCTGAATTCCTCTAATCAGCATTTAAAATGTGATAAAATTGGAAAAATTCCCCAACTCATTATAAAAGATCAGTATTACATTGATGCCAAAACTAGATAATCATTTAAAGATTTCTGAATTTTCAGTATTGCTTACCTACTGTCACAAACAGTGGTATGTTTTCTATTTGGATTTTTTAAAACTAATTATATTGAAGAATTATATATAGTAAAATGTACCAATTTAAAATGTACAGGACAATCACTTCTGGCAAATTAACACACCATACAATGATTATCTCCTCAATATATAGAACACCTACATCACTCCAAAAAGTTCACTTCTGCCACTCTGCAGTGACTTTCAACCCACCTTCAGCCTAAAGGTGCTGAAAGTACCATAAGTAAATTTTATGCCAATCTAAGATGCTCAATTATTGCACAAATCAGAGATGCACAAACCATTGACACAATAATAATAGAGAAATAACAATAATACACAAAATCCAGCAGTATATTAAAAAGGTGTTTTATCAAACTGAGTAGCATTTTTTCCAGATTTGTAAGTAGGTTTAACATCTAATATAGAGAATGTGTGTGTGAGTGTGCGTGTACATCTAGGTATATGCAATAAATTGTAGCAACATTTGCTGAGTGGAGAAATATTTTAACTTGAGAATGAAACCTAAAATTTTAAAGTACAAGTAATAGATTAACTGGAAGATTTAAAATGTACTTAAAAACGAAAACGTTTAAGTAACAGGAATGAAAAAAATTGCAATATAAACAACAAATGAAAAGATGATGCTGTTTCTCTTGGAAAACCTCCTAAAAACCATAGAAATTTTTAAACATTTTAAGGGAAAAATCCACACTATGTTAGAAATTTACAATATAAGAAATTAAAGACAGCAAAACTAAAATATACTCTGTCATCAAAGAGACAATGACATTTTATTTAGCAAATATAAAAAAGAATAATAATATCCAAAGCTGTCACAGGTGCACATTGGACACACATTCTCAAATAACTGCTGATGGAAATATGCAAATTTAAATAGACAACAATTTGGCAACTCATATTAAGTGCTTTAAAATAGATATACTCTGCATGTCCATTTTTAGAAATGTACCCTAAAGAAATCATCTAATGAGAGTGCAAAGGCATAGGTTAAGTATGTTCTTCAAAAAACTCTTTCTAATAACAAAAACAAAAGGAAGATTTTTTACTTGCTATTATTTGAAATACAGTAAACAGACATGTGATATAATAGCATGTAGCTACTGCAAATTACACTGAGGGTCAGTGCTTATTAATACAGAAAATGAGAAAAGTATGTTGCTAAATGATGAAAATAGCTTTTCACAGAATCTGCTTATTGTATGATACCATACTTATCACAAAATATATTAGAATGCCCAGGGGAGAATAAGCTGTAGTCAACTGTACATTGGCATTAAGAATAAATTTTCATCGTTGCTCTATCACTTTCTCACTTTCTATTAAAAGTTATAGTGAACAGTAAATGACTGTGTATTTTAAAAATAATTCAAAGTTTTTAAAAAATAAGTAGTTTAATTTTTGAAAAAGTCTTGCTGTGTGATCAGTCGGTGATTTTTTTCTTTTTACAATAGCCACATGAGAGTCATCTTTTTCTTCTCAGTCTAGTTCCAGAATTATAATTCTCAATTTTCATTTATTCTATTATATTTTTATGTAAAAATAGGGTAATCATCAACAAAAGGGTCTCTTTTAGGTATGGAATTAATAACAAGAAGATATTTTCTTAAGTTCATTTAAAGTTGTTAAAACAAAAACTTTAGACAAAATATATTTAACAGAGTTTACTTGAGCAAAGAACAATTCACGAATTGAGCAGCACTCAGAACCAAAGGAAGTTTAGAGAGCTCCACTCTGAAACATGGAGAATATTTATAGACAGAACACAGAAGTAAAGTACAGAATAGCTTGACTGGTTACAGTGAGGCATTTGCCTTATTTGGACATCATCTGATCAGCTGGTTGCCTATAATTGGCTGAAGCTCAGCTGCTTGTGATTGGCTGAGATCTGGCTATCTCTAACAAAAAATATACTCCTTATCCAGGTTTTGGTTTGTTTGCATGCTAGGTTAGGATGCAGTTTATTAAGTGGAAACTCAAAAGTACAGAGGCAGTCTCAGGCCAAATTTAATTTAACAAAGTTAATATGACCCTGGTATTGTTCTAAGAACTTTGATATGTTAAATCATTGAATCCTAAAAACAACATTGTAATATAGGTAGTTTTATTATCCCCATTGTACAAGTGACAGAATTGAAGGACAAATAAGTGAAAATAAAAATAAATTTAAAAAGGTGCCCAGGGTTAGTCATCTAATACGTGAAAACTCTGGAATGAGAACACAGGCAATCTAGCTTCAGAATCTGTACTTTCAATCATTACTTATTGAATCTGTACTCTACTGCCCTACTACTGGTAATAAACATTCCCTTTGTTTATATTTAATTTATACATTAATCACAATATTTAAATAAGTAATAACTTTTCTGCTATTTTGAAAGTGCATTTAGTGGCTTGCATAACTAGGCTCTCTTTTCATAATTAGCCTTACAGGTTATCTGAAAGACATGGAATATAATTTTATTCTACTGAGACATTATTTCCTTCTCCTATTGAAACTAAATATATGCATATGGCAGGGTTGCTTTTACTTCCTACAAAGACACTGATGAACATTTCTGGCCTCAAGGAATAACACAATCACCAACCACACATATATTTAAACAGAAACATAAAATTTGACATACATTAACCAAAGGTTTTTGATATAATTCCAGACATTTTCATACTTAAAAACTTGTATAAAGTCTTAGAAATATAAGGTTAATTATTTTCATTATCTGAAAGAGCATAAACAGAGGAATGCCCAATTCTCTTATCAACAGTCATTCCAATGGGTTTCCTGAAGAATGTATTATTCAAGCAATATAAGTCGAAATCAGAACACAAAGATATCATTAGCTGGAATAATATCTGGAACTATAATTTTCATATGCACTCTGAACCAGAAGCTTAAGTGGAGTCTTTACTTCCCACTAAAACCCACATATAATTCTTGGGATATTATTAAAAGCCTCTGATTGGCCACATCTAATAAAGACATCAAGGGAGAGAGAAAGAGAGTCGATCCACTGACCAGGCTATCACAAGACCAAGCCACTTTGGCTGACCGGCTACTTAGGTGAGATAAAAAAAGAACTATAGGCATTATCTGCACTGATATCTTAATCCACATAGACACTGGAATAGGCAACATAAGTGATATTGTCGATGACTGTAATCCCTTTGGAATCAGAGAGCAGAGGGAGAGCAATCAAGTAGGCAGTGCTAGTGGCAGATAGAGACACTATCTCCTATAGGAAAATGTCTTAATACAAAGCTGTCAAGGAAAACAATTATCATCATTCCTCTAGCTTCACCTTTTTTTTCCATTAGCCCCTAGGCTCAGTTGGCTATCACAGCAAAAGTATCTCAATTTTACTCTTATTCAAGGCTTTATCAATATAAATAAGGCTATGTTAATGTCACCTTTTTTTTTTCAGCATAATGCTAATAATGAGTTCCTGACTCAACCCTGAGGATCTACCAAAATTTTCCTCCTTTGTTCACCAGCTGATGGTGAGTTTGATATAAGACTCAAGAAGTAGTAATGATTAAGGAAAGGACATGTGGCCAAGGTGGTCTTTGAGGTAAAGATTAAAACAACTCAATGTGTAGAAGTTTGGGAAGTTTCATTTCCAAGAGCAGCTCTTGGTAAGAAGGGCTTATTGAAAAGTGAAGAGAAAACAGAAACCAGAGGAGAAAAGGGTTAGGTTTATTGAAAAGGTTGTTTTCCTCCAATTATTTCAAATTTTTATGAATGCAGTTGTCTGTAATAGCCAGTTTACCACCTTTGAATTTTGCTTCAACAACGCTTCATGAGAAGTGAATGGAGATGTATGTCCCAAGGAACTACTTTATAGTGTGTTAGTATAGAAGAGTGTACACGACATACATTCAAAGCAGCACTGCAAACCATTCTCATAAGGAACCACTTTATATAGTGTGTTAGTATAGATGAGGAAACATATATACATTCAAAGCAACACTTCAAACAATTCTCACAAGTGAAACAAAGAGCATGGAATAATTCACTAGGTAAAATAGTATAGTTACAACTACAGCTTGAAATCTAGACTTTGTTTTAAATCTAACCTAACACAAGCATTGAGTCATATTTAAAATTTGTTTTAAAATGGTCTATTAAACATAGAAAAAAACATATCTCTGTTGTGCTATTCTGCAGTAAACCTTAAAGGATTAAGACAATATTAACCAGTTTAATACAATGTCCACCTACAAGAATCTTACTAGGAAACACATTTCTGGGGTCGGGCACTGTGGCTCACAGCCGTAATCCCAGCACTTTGGGAGGCCGAGGTGGGTGGATAGCATGAGTCCAGGAGTTTGAGAGCAGCTTGGCCAACATAGTGACGCCCTGTATCTAGAATTTTTTTTTCTAATTAGCTGAACACAGTGGTGCACACCTGTAGTCCCAGGTACTTGGGAGGCTGGTGTGGGAGAATCATCTGAGCCCGGGAGGCGGAGGTTGCAGTGAGCAGAGATCACACCACTGCACTCCAGCCTAGGCAACAGAACAGGACCATGTCTAAAAAAAAAAGAAAAAGAAGTGGAAAACATATTTCTTAAATGTGTTTAACTATCTATAACAATTGGAATGATGCAGTTTGCAAATATAATTTTATATATATATATATATATATATATATATATATATATTTTTTTTTTTTTTTTTTTTTTTTTTTTTTTTTTTTTGAGATAAGAGTCTTACTCTGTGGCCCAGGCTGGAGTGCAGTGGCAGGATCTCATTTCACTGCAACCTCCGCCTCCTGGGTTCAAGCAATTCTCCTGCCTCAGCCTCCCGAGTAGCTGGGACTATAGGCACACACCACCACGCCTTGCTAATTTTTGTATTCTTTTAGTAGAGACAGGATTTTGCCATGTTGGCCGGGCTGGTCTCGAACTTTTGACCTCAGGTGATCCACCCACCTCAGCCTCCCAAAGTGCTGGGATTACAGGCGTGAGTCACAGCGCCTGGCCACATTGTTAGACTTTTAAAACATTTTTTATACTCACAGAATAAATAAAACCAAATGATATTTCCATGAAGTTTACCATTAGTAATTTTAAAACACTCCCTTTAATTTACAACAAAATTAAACATTATTCTAAATGGCTTTCAAAACTGATTTATTAATATTAGTCTATCTGAGTCTTTGCTAGCAATATTAAAGAAAATAACAATCATATACCCTTACATAGTGGCTTCTATGTTCTGGGTATTATAAATTTAATCCAAACTTCTACCCCAGGAAGTAGGTAGCTACTCATAGACCGAGGAACTGAGGTTCTGTTAAGTGAAGTGATTTTCCTCAAAGGACAAAGCTGGGATTCAAACATAGACAAACAGCCTGCAGAGACTGCCCTCTTCATCACTGCATTTTATGAATGGCCTCTCCAGTAATACTGAATAAAAAATATAGATTAGGTGCACTGTAAGACACCATCTTTTCTAGAGATACTAATTTTTTTTCTTATTACCTAGTTCGGAACTGGATCTAAAATATTTCATCGTTACCACTATTTTGTGCATTGTTTGTACCCAAATGACTACTTCTACATTGCCTAACAATCCAGGGCCTATGCACTATACACAAATGCCTCTCCTGTCTCCTACACAAACTCTCAACACCACTTATGCGCTCAAGTGTATCTAGCGAAGAATGTATTAGGGCGTGGGAAGCATATACACTAATATCGATAATGGTTATTTACTAAGGCCCTCAAATAGAAGAGGCAGGAGAGGACATTTAATAGAACTACAGTGAGAGAGTCCTGAATTAGTGTTTCTGCCCATTGGGAAACTGTTCTTAGTTGATGCTCAAACACAGAAGCCACTCTTCCCATCAAAACTAGTCAAAAATGACTCCTATATTATGATGACACAAAGAACTCAGTCCTTAGAAAAACGAACTTTGGTTCAAGACAGCAGAAAGAGAGAGGAAGAATTCAAGTGAGCTATGAAGTTAAATAAGAAAAAAAAAAACAAGGACAAAAACAAACAAGCAAAACCGTCTTTGGCTTAATTAGATATGGATGGCATAGCCAACATGTTATTCAACAGTATATATAAGGAAGTCGCAGACAACACACAAATTGCCTATAAGAATATAAAAAGCTACTCAACATCAGTGGTAATTGGGAGAAAGACAGTTAGATCAAGAATACCAATTAAAATGTTTAGCCTCCTCTTCTCTTGCCCAGTTAGCTCTCTTTCCTGGAGGAGTAATTATTCTGTTTATTCATTTTGGTCTTTTTATTGTGCTGGTGCATTCCTTCAAAAGTCTAGTAGTCTTTGAGTATCAATAATGTTTTTGAATGAAGTCCTTGGTTGAATATTGCAAATGAATATTGGTAGCTCAGGCCAGTTTTGTTTCTGTCACATGACCCACTTTCCTGTTTTTCCAGTACCACTCCTTCCTGATTTGGGAAACTGATTATTGATGAACTGTGTGTATGTGGAAAGGAGACAAATTAATTTTAAAAGGCACAGGCAGGTCTTGAATTGGGATCCTTGGAAAAAGACTTTTCCAACTCCAACTCTGTTAGATGCAGACAGTTCTTTGGGGAATCGTCTCAGGGGATACAGGTGGGAGAAACTGAGCATGGCTGCATTTAGACAGGGGCTGGCTCACAATCCAGTGGCAAATGAGACTTTGGCTGATCCTACGGGAAGACTAGAACTGTGGCTCTTCAGAGTTGTTCCAAACTGATGCAAGAGGAGAGGACCTTGTTTATACGAAATAGTCATTCATTAGCCAATGGCTGCCCTCAGGAGTAGGTGTTATCTCGGGCAAGACATTTCCCTTGGAAATTTTCCGGTGAACACTCAGTAGTTAGCCACCAGTCCCCGATATTATAAGTGTTTGGGGGATAGGTATGTCTGCGCTGAAGAAGGGATCTAGTTATGACACCACAGTATCCACTAGGTCAACCACTTCTGTCTCTCACCTATCCTTGCTTTTTATAGTGAGTTCCTTACATCAGAGGACAGATTCCACAGGATACTGATGACTCTCATATCCCCAGATTTTGCAAGAGAAATGTTGGTGAGACAACTGCAGCCTCCACTACTGCAGTTGATGTTCCTTAAGGTCATAAGGGAGAATCACCCTCTTCCTTCACCACCCATTCTACATTTTACTCACTCTTTCCTGGCACCACTGTTGCTATAGAAGGTTTGAGCCCCTTTTTATTGCCAGTCTCAGTCTGTAGCTATTGAATGTTTTCATTCAATATTAAAATGAAGTATCAATGGAGATTCAATGCAGCACCTGATCCTGTTCTTATTGTGAAGTAAAAGTCCCGTCTTTTCCTGACAATCAGTGTCAATGATCTCTGTGAGTATAGTAACCCTTTTCTTCATCTGCTGGTCTTTTAGTTTGAGGAGGTTGAAGTGACCAGAGAGCAGTCATAGCTTAAAGTTTGGCAGGACTCTTCCTGTGTGCCCTAATGTAAGCATTATAAGATGACCCATCCAGGAGTCAAGCAAAGGTTCTCTATGTACCCTTAGGTGTGAGCTGAGGTAGAGGCCACTGCAGTCTGCAGTCGCAGGGCATCTGCACCACCTGCCTATGCTGTTTACTCTGGTTCTGCTTCTGCCCAATCCCGGATGTGCCCTATCTTAAAATGGATTGCTGCTGGGTGTGCTGCCCCTTGTGATTTAGTAGACTGGAGAATAGCTCTGATTTCATGGGTATTTGACATCCCATGGTCAGAAACTCAGTTGCTCCCAGGGCCCAGTACCACACAGAAGCTGACTTTTAAATAATATATATAGTTCTCTGCTCCTGATAAGAAGACTTTTTTTCCCTCCAGAACTAAGAGATCTACATTGCTACACTGTAATTCTTCTACTGGAACTTGCCATAAACCCAAATGGCATTTTTCCCCATTTAAGTTACATGTAATAGCACAAACTTTACTGCACTGAATTAGCCAAACAGCACGGCACTTTGCACAACAGCCTGGATCTGCTGACAAGCCCTTTCTTGCCCTAGGATCCATCCAAGATGGAAGTCATCTCTGTTATATCATTGGCAAATTAATTGAAGTGGTCATTGAAAGGGTGAAATATGTTGCCTCCACAACTTAGGAGGCCTGCCTAGTGCTATATTTCTTTGTTAATGGTGAAAGGAGTGAGAGTTATTTTTCCATAACTTTGAAGAAGATAATTGGCATGTCCCAGACAACTGAATCCCTAAAAACCTTACTGACGTGGTAGACTCTTGTATATTCGTAGGGTTTATTCCACACTTCCAGGAGCACACATGTTTTACCAACACACATGCTACTTCTTGATCACCTATACTGATGAGCTGGTGAGCTTAGCAACGTACATAGTGCAGATCCATTTATACCATATTGTGATAGAGGGTGGGGGAACTCAGGAAAAAGCCATAAATATGTAATATTGTCCATTCAACATGAATGAAAATTATGTAAGTGAAGATTTTATGAGTTTTAACATATGAATACACAGAAGAAACTATTCCCACAATCAAGGTAATGAAGATATCTATTAATTTCAAGAGTTTTCTCATGCCCCTATGGATTTCTCCATCTTGTGCCTACCCCAGTCCCAGACAATTATTGATATGATTTCTGACACCACAAATTAGTTACATTTTCTATCATTTTCTATAAGTGGAATCACACAGTTTGTACATTTTTTGTCTTGCTCGTTTTACTCAAAATAATTATGGTGAGATTCACCCATGTTGTTGCGTTGATCAATAATCCATCCTTTTTTGCTGAGTAGTATTCCACTGTGTGGATACATCATAATTTGTTTATCCATTCTCTCACCAATGGATATTTTAGTTGTTTTCAATTGTTGTTTATTATGAATAAAACTACCATGGACATTCAAATGTAAGTTTTTGTATGGATGTAAGCTTTCTTCCCTAAACTAAATGTGTGTGAAAGGAATGGCTGGGTCATATGCTAGGTGAATATCTAACTTTTTGAGGAACTTCCAAATCATATTCCAAAGTGATTTATCATTGTGCACTGTCACCAGCAGTATATGAGAACCAGTTGCTCCACATCTTCACCAAGACTTAATATTGACAAACCTCTTGATTTTACCCATTTACTGGGAGTGCAGTGGCATGTTATTGTGGTTTGAATTTGCATTTCTCTAATAACTAATGATGCTAAACACTTTTTCAGGTAATATACATATATATATAAACTTGTTTAGTGAAACACCCTTCAAATTTTTTGCCCATTTTAATTGGGTTGTTTGTCTTATTGTTGAATAATAAAGTTTTTTGTATTTTCTAGATACAGTTCCTTTTTGGCTATATATTAGCAAAACATATTATCTTAGGTGATGGCTTTGCTTTCTGAATTTTCAAAACAGGGTTCTATGAATAACAAAATTATTTAATTTTGATGAAGTCCAATATATTGACTTTTTAAACAGTTTGCATCATGTGTAAGAAATCTTTGTCAAACTTAAGGTCACTAAAATTTCCTCCTGTTTTCTTCTGAATATCATGTAGCTTTTTGTCATTATTTTTAGGACAATGACCTATTGAGGGTTAATTTTTATATATGGTTTGAGGTAAGGGTTGGGGTTCATATTTTAACATATGGCTTGTAAAATTGTTCTGCACCATCTATTGAAAAAATGCTCCCTTCGCTCATTGAAGTGACTCTGTAACTTTCCTTTGTCTTCATATTCATGGGAAGTTGTGACTGAAAGCCAGGCATTTTGAATTTTAATTTACTGGGTGATAAATATTTCTAATTATTACAAAAATGTTGACTTTGTTCTAGAATGCACTTAAGCTACTTGAAAATTATTTAATCCTTCTGAGGCTTACTAATAAACCTTGCTAGGTGGGACCAGAGCAACTTTAGTCTAGGGCTAATTTTTCTTGCTACAGAGGCAAGAAACTTCTGAATACTCTCCCCAGCACCCTATAAATTATGTTTTCCTTCCTGGTAGGAAAACAAACAAAAAAATTCTTCCTGGGTCTATGTGAGCTCCGGGAATCATTCCTTTTGCTCTTTTTAGATGCTTCTTTCTCTGACCTTAGGTAATTTCTTTGCACACATTTGCCGATGAGTAGTCAGCTAAAGAATTGAGGGAAACCCTTGGAGCAAATCTCCCTCGCTCTCTCTCATCTCTATCTATCTCTATCTCTATCTCTGTCTCTATATCTATCTCTGTCTCTATCTCTGTGTCTCTGTCTCGATCTCGATCTCTATCTCTATCTCTATCATCTCTACCTCTTTCTCTGTCTCTTTTTCTCCCCTCTCTTGCAATCTGGCCTATGAATTCCAGTCACTTTCACCTCCCCAGCCCCCTACTTTCTTCTCTTCTCAGGGTGATCGTTGGCCCCATGTTGGTCCACCTGCCTCCCTGTTCTGCAGCAAATAAGCTGGGCAGAAGTTGAGGCACCTGTGGGCTTTCCCTCATCTGTTTCCCTTCTCTTGGTGATTACTGTGCTGCACTGCCTGATGTCCAATTTCGGAAAAACCTGTAGGATGTTTTATTTTTTCAGGTGGGATGGTCACTCTGTTTCCCATTCCACCTTGGTCAGAATTAAAATTTTATTCTAGGCTTTTACCACATTCTAGTGGAAACCTTGCCATCCAAGTCTGGTGGTTCCATTTCTTTGGCACAATGGTTCTCCAAATGTAGTGGAGAAAACTTGAGAAATTTGTTTGAAATACAGAATCTAATGTTCTGCTCCCAGAATTTCAACTCAGTAGATCTGCAATCAAATCAGCTATCTGAATTATTAATAAGACCATCATGTGACTCTGATACAAGTGGTTAACCAACCACAGTTTGAGAAACATGCTTTGTGGTGATTTTTTTTTTTTTTAACTTGGGCAAAAATGACTCCGTGCATGCATGGGGTGGGGAGGGCAAGGACTTTGGCAGTATTTCTGCAGTTAATCCTTTGATTAATAATCATGATTATATCCCCATTTTCCACCCCAAATGCCTAGTGCCTTCTTATCCAGAGTTTGGAGCCTTTCCATAGCTGAGCAGGGAGAGCACTTTCACATGCCATCTAGCCACTCTCTGTGTTTGTTTCATGTTTAGATTGTCACTCTGATCTCATCTGTTATCTTCCTGAAAATTTTCAAAAGCCCTGAGTTACCAATGACTTTGTCTCATTTTAAGAATTGCTATGAATGCATTTCCTCAAATACACTTAGTTGTCATTTCCATTGGATTTGTTGGGGGAATACAATAAAGACAGACTCAGTGCTGTACTTTCAACTGAAAGATACATGGTTTTTAAATAGCGTTACAAGTAATCTATTAAATGAGTGATTTCTTGTTATTTGAGTGAGAGATTTCTACATTCTTCCACCAAGGTAACAATGGTGTTGATAATAATATTTCCATGTTCTATAGTGACGAATCCATTTTCTAACATTTTATACTTATGACTGAACTTTCTCCTTAGACCATCCCTAATACAAGGACATTTTTGTCTTATTTTACTAAGATAGGTTAGATAGCTTACTGAAAGCTATCTAACTTATCTTACTAAGGCAGGTTAGATAGCTCACACACATGGGTAGGAATAAGATTCTATGTTTTCCAGTTTTAGGATCACTGAGGCTTACTTGTGTGGTTTCATGTTTGTGTATTTGTTTGTTATTTATGTTTAAAAATCATATGAATTCATAAAACATTAACTACTGCTAAGGTCCACACTGCTGCAAAATTTTGAGGGTGAATACAATTAAATAATCCTGTTGGGCATTTTAGGCATTGGTGTGAGTGATTTCTACATACTAACTCATTTGGCCTTCACAAGAAAGTTATGAAGTATGGATTATTGTGATTGAGATTTTATTGATGGAAAAACTTCAGTACAGAATAATTTGATCCAGATCACCTAGTCAGTAGTTGTAAAAGCCCACACCCAAATCTAGGAAATTTCTTCCAGAACCTCTGTTTTTAACGTCTATACTCCACTGGCTCTTATATTGAATACATTCTCTTTATTCAATCTAGAGAATCATTTTTTGAGATGATCGGCTCAGTATTATAAATACCATCAGGTCATTTTAAATAGACTGCTTCACAAAAATACTATTTCACCAAACCTCTGATTGTTCCCTTCAGTGACATTATATGACTCAGACTTTTGCAGCCTGTGTTATTTTTAGTCATCTTCTTGTCACTTGGGATTTAAGTATTAGGTTTGAATATTGATCTCCATTACCAGTCAAGAGGCATTCTATTGCAATCTTACATTGACTTAACAATAAAAACAAAATATAGAAGTCTACCTAGAAAATTATTATCTCAGCAATTTCATGGTTAAAAAATGGTCTCGTGTGTATTTAAGTATTATGGTTTACCTTACTTTTTTGTTTTGATGCTGCCTACCTTGGGTTTTTTGGGGTTTTTTTTTTTTTTTTTTTTTGACATGGAGTCTCACTCTGCCTCCCAGGCTGGAGTGCACTGGTGCCATCTCGGCTCACTGCAACCTCCACCTCCTGGGTTCAAGCGATTCTCCTGCCTCAGCCTCCCAAGTAGCTGGGATTACAGGCAAGTGCCAAAACGCCTGGCTAATTTTTTTGTATTTTTACTAGAGACAGGATTTCACCATGTTGGCCAGACTGGTCTCAAACTCCTGACCTCAGGTGATCCACCCAGCTCAGCCTCCCAAAGTGCTGGGATTACAGACATGAGCCACCACGCCTGACTCTGCCTACCTTTTAAAATAAGACTTATGACTGTAATGTGTCCAGTGGAACAGCTGACAGGTGACAAGATGAGGACCAGATTTAAAGAATCATTCAAATGTTAAAAAGAGACTTTAACCAAAAGGTTGGTTGGGGACACATCTAGTCATGGATAGATTTGCGAAACTGGCATCATAAAGTATTCATAGAGGCTCTAATTTGTTAATAAAATGAGTAGCATACTGTACCACATTGATTCTTGAAAGAGTGTTACAAGAGATATAAATAGCTGTAATAGTGGAAGAAAAGCTAACGATTACAAAGATTACTTATGTCCAGATTGATCTAGAGAAAGCAACCATCATAAATCCCTGATAATTGTAAAAATAAATGATAGATGAATATATGCAAATATTGAATGAAAAATGGAAAGTCGTTTTATGTTCCTTTTGTGTCTCAAACATGTCCTGGAGGTTTAGAGCCAGCCTATTTCATGAAAGATATCTTTAGTAAAACAGAGATATGCAGAAGGAAAACCAGGAGAGGATTCTTATCCAGGATGAGGAAGGATTTTTCTATTATCTTAAAACATCAAATGATTTTTTTTGGTTGACACGGTGTTATATCCCTACACCGTGAGTTCTTGGGCTCTTTTATTTGTGTGATGGCAGCACCTAGCATTGTGGGCAGATGCCCAACATGTGATAGGAATTAAATAACACTTGTCCAATAAACAAATTCATATCACTAGTTTTAAAATTAGATTTGTTTGCCTATGAAAGGTATATAATAAGAATATATGTTTTACAAATTATTGGCTGGGAAAAACATTACTTTAATGTATTTTTTCTCCTTCCATATTGCTTTTCTACTAGAGAAATATTTATTACCTCATGAGACACATCTTTTCAAATAGCATCTGAATTTATTTCCACAAACCCATTTACAAGTAAGATCTAGTAAGATAGAAACATATCTGATTGCATATTTCCAAATTTCCAAGTATATTCATCTCATTAACATGGTTCTTGAACAACACAATACAAAAACATCTGTTTGTCATTTAATGTCACTATAGCATGGTTTTGGCACCAGCAAGAAGTAATTTTTCCAGGCATTAATGGAGAACTAAATTTATAATATTCTGGCTTTTGTGAGAGAGCACAGCTTTTCAGAACTATAATAATTTTTATTTAAAAACTAAAAATAATGCTATTATAAGCTGTCAGAAATTCAAGGTATGCAATTTAGTTGGCTTTTTGTTCGTTTTATTTTGTTTTGTAATTAACCAGCCATGTCTGTGTTTGAGATAGTCTTTTAAAACAACACTGAAATAGGAGAAAGAGCACTGGCTAGGAGTCAGGAAATGTGAACGTTTCCTTAGGTAACTGTCATCAGTAAAATGAAAACTGAAATTGAATTAGAACACCTCTCGTATCCATTTATAAAGAAGTTAAGTTTTTAATATACATACTTATTTGAGAACACATGGACACAGGGAGGGGAACAATACACACTGGGGTCTGTCAGTGGTGGGGAGGGGAGGGAGCACATCAGGACAAATAGTTAATGCATGTGGGGCTTAAAACTTAGATGATGGGTTGATGGGTGCAGCAAACCACCATGGCACACGTATACCAATGTAACAAACCTGCATGTTCTGCACCTGTATCACAGAACTTAAAGTAAAATAAAAATTATAAATAAATAAATACTAAGAAATATAAATATAATTTAGATAATACATAATATAGCACCTAACAGAAAACAGCCGGCTGAGTGTAGAAAATAAGGAACAAAATATACATGTGGAAGAAGGATAACTGATTTAAGAGTTCTAGATCCAGCACCATCCCATGCTTATAATATCACCTTTGAGAAGTCATATGTGACATCTGGACCCCACTCTTCTCATCTATAAAATGATTGAATAGTTTGGTCCAGCTGATCTCAAAAGTCCCTTTTAGCTCTCAAAATTATACATTCATTATGATTCATATCAGGACACTGTGTCTCTTCTCTCAGATTGAACCTCTTTTCTGACTTGAGGAAGGTTAAATCTTTGAGTAGTTTTGTAATTAGACATGATTTCAGAAACAGAATTGTCAGTCCAATTACACAACTCTTGAAGCACGTTCTCTGGTTGGATCACATTTTGAGCCAGGACTGGCACTCCAGCAGATGGCACTGTGCCATCACCATGGGACCAGCCGGCCCTTAAGTACAAGCACTCATCGCTTACTCAGAAGTCTTAATCATTTGCAGTAATCAGCAGTGCCATGCTCTTTTTCTTTATTATTATAAGCTGAATTTAATACTTGCTAATTTGAATAATTATGTGCTGTTTAATTCTCCACTCTGCTGTCAGGTGGATAAAAGTTGAAAGAGGAGTTTGCTAGTTCTAAACCTTCAGTAAATAACAGGGCAGAGGTAATAAAGTTGTCTTTTCCCCAGAGGAAAGACAATTGAATTCTACCTTCCCTGAAGGCTGCTGGACCAGATATTGAGACCACGCACTCTGTGAAGGCAAGAACCATGCTGGATTCATGTTTGCGTCTCTATGCCCTAGCTTATTCAGAGGTGCTTAATAAAGCTGTGGAATGGGTTAAAACAGAATATAGGATTACTAACATAGGTTGCAGATAGATGTGGAGATGACAATGTGTAGCAATTTTCTTCCAGTACTTCAAATTTTAAAGGAAAGTAGGAGGTACAGTGATCAGCTGAGAGGAGAGATAGAGGAAGAGACGTTAGAAGTTCAGAAGGCAGAGAAAAAAATGTGAAATATCTTTTGGGAGAGTGGGAGAATGCATGAAGTATACTACAGTAATACAGTATGATTCCTGAGCATATGGTATGATGACTGGTCAGTTTTAAAAACAGGTTGAAGTTTTTGGTTCTGATTTAAAACGAGAATAATAAAGCTGTGAATTTAACTCCAGCTACATTCATAGGGGCAGGCATGGTATAGGCAGAAAGTCTGACATAGTCATTTTTGAGATTTTACCCGACAAGAACCAGGGAGAAGAATGGGATTGAGAGAGTCAAGGGTGACTGCAGTGATTGACCATGGAATTTCAGATGAATAAAGAAAAAAAAATAGAATGTTAGGGAATAAAAATGAGGGAGGACCTAAGAATTGGAGGTCCTGGTAGGGTTGAAAGACTGTTAAAGTGTCAGATGAAGTCAGGTGAAATGTTAGTGGAGGCAGTCAGCAAGAAATGTATAAAACTGAAATTATGGAGGGGTTGCAGTTATTGACAATGAAAAATCCTAGAATACGACCACCAGAGTTATGACTGAGGGAGGGCGAAGGGTAACATTACTGAAGCAGAGGAGTCTTAGAAAGAAAAAGGCCAATGTGTTAGAAATATTATCCATGTGTATCTTAAAATCAACAGGAAGAAAATCAGAAGTAATGTCAGAAAGAGTGACAGGGAATAAAAATGTGGATCATCAAGGAATCAGTGAGAATGAGACAAGGACCCTCTTAGATGATAATCATGTTGAGGATACAATCTAATGAGATGATATTCAAAGACAGAGGATTTTAGGGAGGAGGGAAGGAGAATGGTTTGAAAACAGCAAGGAGGAATAATAAGGACATTTCCTCAACACATGCCCTTGGGTAGAATATAAAAGTTACCACTTAAGAGGGCTGCAAAGAAGGTGGAGTAGTCAGAACACTCAGAATTCTGTTAGAGCAAGAAGGTGAAATAATTACAGAGGAAGAGCATATTGTAATCAGAGAAGAGCATACATAACATTTGATAATGATGAGCCATAATATCTAGATGAAATCGTGAAAAAGCTTTCAGAATTTTTGAAAGAATGGAGAAAAGGAGTAGAACAGAGGATAGTTGACCTTTGTGAAAATTAGTGTAAAAGATGAGAGATGATTAACATTAAAAGGAAGAAAAGGTGTAATAATATTTATAAGTCACTGTGGATTCAAGGAAGATGATAGTGGTGAAGCTTTGGATGTTGGGGTAAAGGAAAGAACAGGTGTCTGGATTCCTTTGTTGACACTCGTTCATGGAAATAATGAGATCTACAGAAGCTGTTTAGTCCCACTCTATGATACCTTGTTGACCCCTGCTGATGAGAGTATAAGATCCCCACTTTTACTTGTGGGTTGCTGGAAGGGTGAGCTGAAACATCAGTGCACAGTTTCTGTATTGAAGGCTAATGATGGAGTTTAAACTCCTCAGGAGGTCATTTGTTACTCTCGGCATGGTAGGGGCCTACTCTTCAATGGTGGTGGGTATAGAAGGCTCTGATGAAGGTTCTGATAGGTATAGAAGGTTCTGAATTTTTCTGAGAAAAATTCTGTTTTCTTTTCCTGGAACTTCTATTGTTTGGATGTTGGACTCTCCTGCAATGATCCTCTAATTGTCTTGTCTTTTTTTCTGCAGTTTTTATATATTTGCCTGTTCTTTCTAAAAAATTTCACCAACTTGATTTTTTTCTACATTCATAGGAATAAGGGGGAGGGGCGACACTTATGAGATCTTTCTTTGTCTGTTTTCCAGGAAAAAGCATCTAGTGGTTGTTTTGTGGGTGCCTAGATTTTTTCTTCTCTTGGAAGATATTATCACTTCTTTGATGCTTTCTTTTCCATGAATTACCTTTTTTTCCTTAAGAGTTACTTTCTTTATTCATTAGGCACTACAAAGCCAGTTAAAAATCTCTGTGTACTGGAGCAAGAGGTGGTCAACTAGTGGGCTTAACCAAAGGAAACTGGGCAAGAACCAAATGTTACACTTGGCTTCTTCCAAAAAGCAATGTCTGTAGGTATTTTCTTTGAGCCACTAAACTTTTACAAAGAATTTTCAACATTCTTAGAAAGTGAAACAGTGGAAGGGGGTATAAAGTACATAAACTTCTATCTAATTTCTGTTTCTAATAAGATACCTTAGTTCCTACCCTTCCTTCTGTCATTATTCCCTCTAGTTCTAGTTATGCATTGAATAAATGTCACAGGGGTAGTTTTATTAAGCACAGATGAAGAAGAATTTCTTCTAAAGGGTCTAAGGGCTTCTTATGGAGACACACAATTAACCTCCCAGTGTTCACCCCAGCTCTTGCCT
The DNA here is from genome assembly GCF_000001405.40 of Homo sapiens. NCBI lineage: Eukaryota > Metazoa > Chordata > Mammalia > Primates > Hominidae > Homo > Homo sapiens. The sequence continues at coordinate 153,309,920 of NC_000006.12, read as the reverse complement.
CCACATCCTGAGGCTTATAGAGCTTCTAATTCCTTAGCCTTTAATGGGTTCTGCTCTGTAAATTAGCTCGTTTCTAAATGGTATTTTCTTCTGCTGCCCTGGATTTCAGCTTTCTCAGCTCTGCTAAGCCTCTGACTGCTAATACATCTGTTTCTCAGCCTCTAAAAATTTACTGATGTTTCTCATTTACTGTTGCTTCCTTTCCTGAGCTCTTTGCCTGGTGGCTCATTTCTTTCTGTTCCCCCCGTGCTGGTATTTCAGCAGGATATTTGGATGAGGCAGAGATCTACACATGTATTTTATTTCCCCTGCTATCCATCATTCCTTTCTGCCAGTGGAATGGAAAGACCCCTGCTAAGCCTCCTGTTGGAGCAAGTGTGACCTGGAGTTAATGTTCACATAGCCAACAATGATTTTGTTGTCACTGCTGTAAAAACCACACATAAAACTAGGAAGACAATTTTGGTTTTGCCATTTTCTCAAAGGAAAGAGATTTATACACCTGTCCCCTTTAATCCTATTTGATAAATGTCACTATCGACATGTTACAAATGTGCCAGCTAAACTTTGCGTAAGATAACTTAACGAGGTTGCTAAGTGGGGAAGCACACTTTGTCCCAGGTCTCTTTGAACGCAGAGACCATTCTGACACTGCATCGCACATCCCCCTTAAGGACCTCAAACTAACCTTAGTTACCTAGTTTGGAGAGGTTGTCTGGAATATGTTGTGATTTAATAAATTTGCATGAAAATATAATTGCTGTGATACATTAAAGTATTAGGTGGCATCGCACTAATGATTTCAAAACTTTCCATGCACTTTTAATATAAAAACTCATAGCTCGGTCATTTTTAGACTGTTTCCTTGTGTTGTTTGGGCATGTGGTGGTGGCAGCCAGGTGTGGAGGGGCAGAAGGAAGAAGCAAAGTGGAGTAGGAAGTGTGAGAATGTGCATGTAATCTACGCCTATGCAGCACATCCAGGCACGCCAGCTTCAACTCGCTTCATCATGAGAGACCAAAAATAAACATAATGAAATAGAGGACATTCTCGCGCCTCAAAAAATTGAACTATCTTAAAAGGTATGTATATATTAGAAATATTTACAAGTGAATTTCTTGGCAGAGGCAAGACAAATGTGATGCCATAATTCAGTAGATGAGAGTTAAGAATCCTTGCAGAACTGAGCATTGCACCCTCTAAAAATTGGATTTACTTGCTTGGATATTCCATCAGTGCCTCCCCATCAAATCTATGATATCCCAAATGGTGTGACAAAAATGATGCCTCTTTTTCTAATGAGTTTCTTATGTTTTTCTCCTCTGTTTCCCCGCTAATGTTCTTTTCTCATCAGCAAGGGCAAGACATTTGTTCTTTAAAATAAATTTGAATTGAAATTACAGAAGAAGAGTGGGTGGTAAATGCCTGGCAAGGTAAATAATTTGATGAGACACAAAAATAACGAAATGTCAGCCAACTTCACTGGAGCTTGAAGGTTTAACTCTATAGGAAGTTTCAGAGAAAGAAAAATTGGCGCCAATAAGTTAAAATTGCAAGATTAATCCTCATCAAAGCAAAAAGTGGGATGATTTACTGATGAAAACTTTCATATTGAAAGCCAGTTACATCAATAATTCCTTTCACTATAACAACTAGAATCTAGATAGTAATTCATTTTTGTCATCGTCGTTTTTGCTTTTATTTTCAATGTGTAAAGAATGTGTAGAGGGAGTTCACTCCATACAGGATCAGGCTCATGATGGAACCGTCTACCCTGCCTCTCAGCCCTCAGCCTACATTGCTATTCCACCTACCCTGTTTATCCTTAACCTAGAAAGCAAGAAAGACCATGGAGGTGCTTGACTAGAAGCTCTTATTTGCTTCTATAATGCTCATTGGCTTCTTTGCTTTGCTTTCTTATTTTCACAACAATGTATGTTTGATCTCAAAGACTTATCTAAGAGTATTAATACATTTCACCGTCATTGAATAACATACTGAGTGAATATTTTGACACTGCAAATAACTTTACATTAGTTATTTGACTTGATTTAATAGTCAAAATTACTTACTTTAGGAATATTGTTATTGCCTCCAGTTTACTTTTGAGAAATGTGAGTCACAAAAAGTAAAACAACGTACTCAAGGTCACACCGCTGAGAAGTGTGTTAGGTAAGTCAGTCTGAATATTAATTGCTAAGTTGGATCAGCAACAGTAGAATTTTTTAGTAGAGTCCATTAACTTAAAATTCACTAATCGTGACCTTTACAAAATGCCAGCTCAAGAATCCATCAAACTCTATTTAAAATGTCCATAATGTAATGAGCTTAATTAGGAATAAATTAGTCACACTTGGAATAAACTGTTTCTTTCAGGAAAGACCTACATGGTAGCCTGAAGAAAGTTAGTACTACCTCAGAATTGGGCCTTCCAGAAAATATGCAACATTGCCCAGTTCACATCAGCAGAGTCTACAGAACTCTATGTCCAAAAGACTAAAATGTGTCTCCTGACCCAAATTTATATCTGCCTTTGTTTGCCATATGTCTCATCAGCATATAGACAGATTGGCGTTACTTATATTGCCAAAGGCACAGATAAACATGCTGTAAGCAGTTAATAATAATGAATTTATTCACAAGGTGTTTTATATAGAGAAAAATGGTTTTTAAATTCAGCAGAAAATGTTACATCTGCTTTTAGGCATTCCTTTCTGAATTGATCTTATTTTAAGGAGGACTAGACTTTAGTGGGGGCGGAGAGAAGCACATCAAAAACTGATTCCTTTAATATAGATTTAGTTAATGAGACAAACAAAGAAAATAAGCAAAACAAATTTAAAAAGTCAATATTCCTTAATCAGATAGGCCTAAGGAAAATGCAATGGCCAATTTAATATATTGTATTGCTTACCACTTAAATATTCAAAACATCTACAAATAATAGTGGCTACTCTGGGAACACTTATTGTATGTCATGCACTATGAGAGCTTTATTCAGATAATTTAATTTTATTTTCACCCTCTTGGAAACTGTTACAAACATTTATCTGTAGGATTGATACACTATTTGGGGATGTAGATAGCACTCTCCGCTTATACTATGGAAAAGGTTAGGATACAAACAGGATAAATGACAAGTTTTAGAGAAGGCTTACTATGTCTGTCTACAATTAAATGTGCCAATTTAAATGAAAATCTGGCATAAAGATACTGAGATGGCCACAAAGGGTGGTCCCCACAGCTGAACTGTGAGTGCAATAGATCAGGCAGAATGGGTGTGGCTCCCTGCCATTCACATCTCCATGCAGGTCCAAACAGCGCCTTCTAATTTACAAGGATAATGAAATACATCAAATTGATGTTATTCACTGATAGGAACCATTAATTAACTGACAGAATACCATGGCCTTATTCTTGCCAGACTTGTTCTATTAAAATCAAATCAGAGCAAAATGTATCTAGGCAAAAAACCTTAAATATATTTTGCCCTCACTTTCCCCAATTTTGAATGAAAAACGTGTGGTTTTCAGTAAGGAGCTTCTAGGCTCATGCAGTTTAGAGATAAATTTATGCACCTTGTGATTAACTGACTAAGCATAATTAACCTAATTAGAAATATTATTTTGCCTGTCTTTATTACTCCTGTTCTAGAACAGGCACAAAAATAAATGCCTAAAAGACCAAGCCTTGGTTAGAGTCATGTCATGTCTCCAGCAAGATGCTTCACAAAACAAAAACAATCAAGAAATATTAAACACAATGAGTACTAATAAACATTTTTTATCTTCATTGTTTGTAATGTGATTTCGATGTAAGGAAGTTCTCAACTCCTGCAAGTAAATGAAAACACATAAAACAGAGATTGCTATTTTGTTAGGATAACAAATATGTTGTATTATTTGCCATTTAAATAGTCAAAACATCTATAAATAATAGAGGCTCTTATTTGGGAGCACTTACTAATGGCCATGCACTGTGAGAGTTTTATCTATATTATTTCACTTTATTTTCACCATCCCCTAATAAGGCAGGAGTTAATGCTTCATTTTATAGGTGAGAAAAATGAGACCTTAAGAGATCAACTATTTTGCCCAAGGTCAAACAACTAGTAAGTGATGGGCCCTGATACTGATCATAGCTATCTGAGCTCAAAACCTGTCTTCTTGATGACACTATTATACTTCCTCTTATCAAGTGTTTGACTCCTGGTAAATCTATGAGTTACTGTTTATTTGTGTTGCTATAAAGGAACACCTGGGGCTGGGTAATTTATAAAGAAAAGAGGTTTATTTGGCTCATGGTTCTGCAGACTATACAAGCACAGCACCAGCATGGCCTCCGCTTCTGGGGAGGCCTCAGGAAGTTTGTAGTTATGGTGGAAGGCAGAGGGGAGACAGGGAAGTGAAGAGAGGGAAAGTGACAGTGGGGGAGAGAGAGAGAGAAAGAAGAAGGAGGAGGAGTAGGGGAAGGGGAAGGAGAAGGGGAAGGAGAAGAGGAAGGAGAAGGAGAAGGGGAAGAGGAAGGAGAAGGAGGAGGAGAAGGGGAAGGGGAAGGAGAAGGGGAAGGAGAAGAGGGAGGAGAAGAGGAAGGGGAAGGAGAAGGGGAAGGAGAAGAGGAAGGAGAAGGAGAAGGAGAAGGGGAAGAGGAAGGAGAAGGAGAAGGGGAAGGGGAAGGAGAAGGGGAAGGAGAAGAGGAAGGAGAAGGAGAAGGGGAAGGGGAAGGGGAAGGGAAAGAGGAGGAGGAGAAGGAGAAGGAGCAGGAGGAGGAAGAGGAGGAGCCAGGCTCTTTTAAACAACCAGCTCTCCAGCGAAAGTAACTGTGCGAGAACTCACTCATCACCAAGGGGATGGCGCCAAGCCATTCGTGAGTGGTCCCTCCCCATGATCCAACACCTCCCAATAGGCCCCATCTCAAACATCACTGGATCACATTTCAACGTGATATTTGGAGGGGACACACATTTAAACCATTTCAGCTACATCATCAAGTATTAACCCTCTGGACAATACAATACCATTGTCCTTTTAAGTATTTAAAGCCAGTTTCAGACTACCTCCATAAAATGTGCTGCATAAATAATAGGGTATGCGTCTGGATTTCTAGGTGAGACATCTTGAAGCTCTTCCTTCTCATGCTGGAAAGGCTGTCAGAAAGTTCAAGTCCTCCTCTTGACATAGTACATGCCTATTTGCTCATTGGGATAGGCTAACCTTTTCAAGCAATGTGCGGCACCCCTTAGCTTCAATAAAGTGTTCAATGTAAGAAGAATATGCTCTGTATCCATAATAAAATCACCACAAATCAAAAAAATGACCAAGTTGCATTCCCTAGTCTAATTCTTAATCCTTGGAGTCTGTCTCTTTTTGCATCAAAAATCCAGGCAATGACATGCTAGGATCCCCACCAATTAGATAGTGTTGCTTGATCAAGACGTATTTTCTCCTGATTTAAATGCTAAAAAGATTGGAACAGTGTATGTCACCATGACTGCATTTATTGTCTTTGTTCAATATAATCTTGATGAACAATACATCAGTTGATGAAATGGCCTGAACTCATCTTTAATTGTTGCTGCCTTTTATTTTATTCAACATTTAGTGTGTAGATCTATAGCATCATTTAAAATTGTTTATCAATGGTTTAGCAAACATACTGTACAAAAGCAATATGGAAAACACTGGAAACAAGTATTAAGAGTCTTCCTGCTCAGGTTTATAGAGATTAAGGAATGATTCAGAGAAAAAATAAGATAGATTGAAAAAAGGGAGGATTTTTTAAAGTAGCACAGTGAAATAATAATGTTTTTGAAATTATAATACCATGGACTAGCGGGCGGTTGCAGGAGAAGGGTAAAACTGTTTCAGAAGTTATTATGTCGAGTATAAATTTACTGATAAACAGCTATAACAGCAGAAATAACAAATATATTAATATGTCCATTAAATGCTTATTTGCCAATCAATTTCTTCTATTTATTGTGATACACGATCACTATAAACATTTTTCAAGAGAGGAAAATAAGTCTAATAATTTAATTAATTTTTCTTGAATCATGCAGCCAAATATGTGCTGGGGCCAAATTCAAATTCAGATCTGTCTATCCGCAGGGTTCAGGCTTTTAACCATTAAGCATAGTTTAAAAAAATAAAGTCTGCAGTCCCCAAGTTTACAGCAGAACTAGAGATACAACCTTTGAACACAGGTACCCCTATTTGGCATCCATTTCAACAGAACCGCATTTTCTTCATCTCCCAAAGCAGACAAGAAGAAATCCTAAGAGTTTTCTGCAAGTTAACTATCAATTCAAATTGCCTAAAACACTCATAGAGGCATTGATTGGAATCTGTTTGAAGTGTGAAGTTCTGAAAGAAGGAAAATGTAAATTCCTATTGAACCGAGACTAAATCATTTTGGTAAAAAGATTGTATTTTAAGAAGTACATTTTGTGAAAACAGAAAGTAAGTTGGCTATTTTCTGAAACAAAAAGAAAACATTGTTAATTACTTTTTATTCATGGGAAATCTCTAACGCTAACAGCGAATAGAAGGATCTTGACATTAGGTGGCCAATAAAAATTCTGTGATTAGAAAAGAGTCTACTAGAGGTATCAAGAAATGTTTAAATATATTAATTAATGTGTTAATTTTTTATATCTAGTTTGTCTTATTTTTAAAACAAATACAAAATAATGATCTCACATGTAACTTCTCAAATTTTCTATCTCACATATTTTCTTTTCAAAAGAAAATAGCATTCTACCTTCATTGCTTATTAATTTTGAGGGAAAATATTTCAATAATGACTTTTGGATAAAATGAAAATATGTCACATTAATTGTAGACAACTATTTTAAGATGCATCTGATTCCCACCACACACAAAAAAATGATAAACGTTTGAGTTGATAGACATGCCAATTACCCTAATTTGATCATTACACAATGCATACATATATTGAAACATCACATTGTACTGCATAAATATGTATAATTACTATGTATCAGTTAAAAATAATTTTTAAAAGTAAAATTATTTTAAAAGTAGTGTTTTAGATTTAGGACTTCATAATGGTCATGTTATTTATTTTAAACTGTTTTCATTATTCTGTTAAATTATTTAGAAGACACACTGAGTCTTTAGAATTTTAAAAGTATTGTGATATTGTCTTCCTTGGCTGTTAATTAATTCATACTAGTTAAACCCATAGGAGCAACTCATTGGTAACTTGAGCTGTTTTTTTAAAGATGTTAAGGTGAAATAATTGCTGTTCCAGTGCCCCTATTCAATTATTTTGTACTATGAATATCTATTCTTCATTTAGGAAAATTAAAGAATTAGTTCCATCATTAGTGATAGTGGAGCACTCTGAAGGGAAGAGCTTGGTCCCTTTAAATGATTGGGAACTGGGAAGTGAAGTGCTGGGTAGGAAAGGCGGGTCCCTGGCTAGGGCTCCACCCCCACGGACCTAGGTGAGGACAGGCATTTCCTGCCCAAATGTTCCATTTCCCAAGACCACCCTGGCCTGCCACGTCCCATCCTGTGTCTATAAAAGCCCCGAGACCCTAGCAGGGAGACACAGAAGTGGCTGGATGTCCTGAGGAACACGTTGGAGGTTAACACACAAGCGGCTGTTAGTTGAGAGCTTGCGGGCAGAAAAGCACAACAGCTGGCACCGGCAGGCTGGCAGGCCATCCACCTGTGGGATGAGATGGAGTTTGGCCAGGGCAGTGGGAGGAAAGTTGGGGCCACTGAGCTGCCCAGCTCCAGAAGAAAACCATCTCCCTTTTGGCATCCACATTGGCTGAGGCTGAGAGCTACTTCCACTCAATAAAACTTTGCACTTCAAGCCCACGTGTGATCTGATTCTTCTGGTACACCAAGGCAAGAAATCCCGGGATACAGAAAAACCTCCGTCCTTGTGATAAGGAACGGGGTCTAATTGAGCTGGTTAACACAAGCCACCTATAAACTGCAAACTAAGAGAGCACCTGTAACACAGCCACTGGGGCTGCAAGAGCTGTAAACTATTCACCCCTAGACACTGTCAGGGGAGTTGGAGCCCCCAGCCTGCCCGTCTGTGTGCTTCCCCTAGAGGGCTGAGCAGCGGGTCACTGAAGAAGCAAACCACACCCCCATCGCACGCCCTGCCAGGGGGCAAGGCAATCTTTCCCGTTTCATGAGCAATGTGACTCATTACTAGAAATCAAACCATACAAGCTATACTTTCTATTTCATGATCTATACAAAATATAACTTGTTTTGTACTATTTACATGTCTCACTTTATGAAGACCTGTGTTATTTCAGAATAAAATTTCTTTAGCTACCAAACTAAAAAAAAAAGGATTTCAGAATACAATTTCTTTAGCCACCATAACTAAAAAAAAAAAAAAAAAAAAAGAATTAAAAAGTGTTCAAATTACCTCATTCCAGCTCCATAGATCACAGTTTCCAAAGAAGAATTATTGATTTGAAATTCCTACTCAAGAACCTGCCAAATTCTACCACTTTAATGGGCTTACCCTTGTCGCCTACATATCTTATATCACCAGGTCAAAAAGACAGCATCAATACTTCAACAATGGAAATAGTAATCACAGATTCATAACTCATCTGAATAACAATATAGACTCATATGAAAGATAATTGTGACTCAAATTACATTCTGTGTCCAATAAAACAAAAATGTTTGTTATAGAGTAGGATTTCCAGATAAGCGTTAGTTATCTGGCTGTCTCTACTGTGTGTTAGACAGATCTGTACTTGAAAATTTCATTCTCTGTCTCTACAGTTCCAAATACTGGACTCAGTGCTATTTCCTTTAAATTAATCAGGTTAACCAGACCAAAGGATACCAGTAAAAATAAAAACAACACTGCCTTAGAAATATTTTTTCAGGGATAAAATGTAAAGTAGCTAGGCAGTAGAGAAACTGACACAAAAAATAAATGTGTGCTGCCTGAAAGAAGTCAAAAGAGAAAGACTTTAACTTCCACGTTATGATAATAAAACACTGAAGTAGTGTATATAGTTTTTTCCTTCCCATTTGGAATCTTAACATTGTATTATGTTTAAAAAGTAGTCAATTGTAGTACAAAAGATAATGAAGAAGCTGGTTATCTTTTTATTCCCCACTGTAAATAACAATAAAGTTTGGCAAAATATATGAAAAAAAAAAACCCTGTTTTCAGGCATTAGAAAGCAAGCATCATAGAGCTGGGATCCTGGATAGAAGCATGTTTACAAGTGAGTACCATGTGCACGCCGGCTTTCAGCCTGGGAGCGTTTCTAAATGCAATGCAGGGAAGGGGGAGCTGAAGCAGTGAGCTCCATTCCTGATCTTCTGATACTGAAGCAGTTAGAACTTGACAGGCAGAACTCCAGAGAAGTGGAAAATGCATGGATGTCCCAGAAATCTGCCAAAGGGCTACTCAGATGTCCTAGGCTCAATGCTACATTGCTCATTGTCAGAGAGACTTCATGATGCCCAACATAGGTCAACTCTTGCTCAGCTGAGACCTGAGCATAGATCTCACCTTGGTGACCACCCCAAACATTCGTTCTAGTCACCAGAAGGAAGAACCATGCTCTGGTAGTATGAACAATGCCTTAAATTTAAGAGTAAAAGTGAAATGTGTTCACTCTATAATGCTTAAAACTAAGCTTCATAGTACAATGATTTATATCCTTTGGGTATATACCCAGTAATGGAATTGCTGGGTCAAATGGTATTTCTGGTTCTAGATCCTTGAGGAATCACCACACTGTCTTCCACAATGGTTGAACTAATTTACACTCCCACCAACAGTGTAAAAGCATTCCTATTTCTCCACATTCTCTCTAGCATCTGTTGTTTCCTGACTTTTTAATGATCACCATTCTAACTGGCATGATGCAGCACTATTCACAATAGCAAAGACTTGGAACCAACCCAAATGCCCATCAACGATAGACTGGATAAAGAAAATGTGGCATACATACACCATGGAACACTATGCAGCCATAAAAAAGAATGAGTTCATGTCCTTTGCAGGGACATGGATGAAGCTGGAAACCATCATTCTCAGCAAAATAACACAGGAACAGAAAAACAAACACCGCATGTTCTCACTCATAAGTGGGAGGTGAACAACGAGAACACACGGACACAGGGAGGGGAACATCACACACAGGGGCCTGTCGTGGGGTGGGGGGAAAGGAGAGGGATAGCATTAGGAGAAGTACCTAATGTAGACGATGGGTTGATGGTGCAGCAAACCACCATGGCACATGTATATCTATGTAACAAACCTGCATGTTCTGCACTTGTATCCCAGAACTTAAAGTATAATAAAAATTTAAAAAGAAAACTAGCTTCAATAGGGTCATAGTAATTTGCTAGGAATTTGACTGTCTGCTTAAATAAAACTCAACACTCTATTCAGGAAAATAACATAATACAGAGTCTCTGCATAGTGTCATTCACTGTGTTCAGGATATAATTTTTAAAAATTATGACTTGTGAAAAAGTTTTAAAATATGACAAGATTAAAAGAAAAATCTGTTAATAGAAGTATATCAGATATTGGAATTATCAAACAAGGACTTTTAAATAACTATAAATTTTAAAGACCAATATTAGAGGAAAATACAGACTATATGGGTGAACATGATGGAAACTATAGAATAGAAATGTAAACTCTAAAGAAAGAACAGAATAGATATTATAGAATTTTAAAAAGGTAAAATATCTGTTATGGAAAATTTACTCGATAAGGCTACCAGCAGACCAAACACAGAAAAACTCATCACTTAAACCACAACCTGATAATATTCATTTTATTTATTTATTTAGATATAAGCTCCGTGAAATCAGAGTCCTTGTCTGTTTTGCTCACTGCCATATCTTTAGTGGATAGAAGGTTTCTAGCACTTTTTGGTGCTTGATTAAATGTTGCTGAATGAAGCAATGAAAGAAGACACTTAAAGATGTAGAGAATAGTTTAAAAAGTAAGTTGTCCTATGTCCAAGCAACACTCAAGAGAGACTATAAAGTGCAATATGGAAATGATCACACAGTGATGATGGTAACACTACATTTTTATTCTGGAATAAAACTAGAACTGTAAATTTCAATCTACAAAATAATCTGAGGTCATTAAGAATCAGTTAAATATATGTCTGTTTTATATGGCCAATTACAGAATAACCTCATTATAATTTTATAGAACACGGTCTTAGTCCATTTTCTGTTGCTAAAACAGAATACCAGAGACTGGGTAAATTTTTTTAAAATGAAATTTATTTCTTATAGTTCTGGAGGCTGGGAAGTCTAAGAGCATGGTATTGGCATCTGGTGAGGGCCTTCTTGCTATGTCATAAAATGACAGAAGGCATTACGTGTTGAGAGGGTAAGAGCATATGTGTCAGCTCAAATCTCTCTTCATTTTCTTATAAAGTCACCAGTCCCTTCATGAGTCCCCAACCCCATGCAATTTGGGGGACACATTCAAACCATAGCAAATAACCCACGATGCACATGCACCTGCACACACACACATACAAACACACACACATGTAATACCTACTTCCATCTGAAGAACTAGTTAAAAATTGTTTTGGAATAAGCTGAAATACTTTATTCATTTATATTAAATAATAATAATAATTAAGAAATGGGACATGAAGCTAGTGACAACCCTATCTTGGCTATTTTATTACTTTTCCTATCACAGTTGTGGTAAGAATGTTCTCTGATAAGACATTTGGACATGTATATGTAAATATTAAATTACATCGTTTCCTCTACAGTACTGTTTTGTTAATAATAAATATGAGAGTCCTACAATATTATTTCCCAAATATATTACAAACTTCTAGACACTGTATCACTCTGATACATGAAATCTTACAGTGTTTTCCCTCCACAAAATAATTAAAAATAAATAAAGATCGAACTCCATGTCATTTAATCTAAAATACTTTAAAATATTTCTTGTTATGGGCTTAATTGTGTCTCCTCCAAAAATTCATATGTTGAAGTCCCAAACCTCAATCAGTCTGAATACAACTGTATTTGGAGATATGGTCTTCAAAGAGCTGATAAATTTAAAATAAGTGCATGAGAGTGAGGCCCCAATCCAATAAGATGGGTGTCCTTATAAGAAGAGGAAGAGACACCAGGGATGTGTACAGAGAAAAGGCTGGGTGAGGGCACAGCAAGAAGGCAGCCATCCACAAGCCAAAGAGAGAGGCTTCAGGAAAAACCAAACCTGCAGGCACATTGATTTGGAATTGTAGGTCCCAGAACTTTGAGAAATAATTGTCTGTGTTTAAGCCACCCAGGCTGTGGTAGCTTGTTATGGCAGCCCTAGCAAATTAAAACATTGCTGTTACCCACCTCTCATCTTATTTAGACTGTACACACTAGCAATTGTAAACTACTTGTGGTTCCTTATGCACATTATGCTTCTATACCTATGTCTACTGGTTCTTCTCTGGGATTCCATTTCCCTCTACCTTGTTATAGTCAATGAAATTTTATTCACAATATCAGTATCACATCCTGCTAAGGCTTTCCTAATATAGAAATAGTCAATCTCTGTGCCAATGCCACACTGTTTTAATCAAATGTCTATTGTGAATTGAAACTAAACTAGTATCCAATTATTTGTTGACTCCTCTTGCAGAAAATAAATAACACAACTGGTGCTTTAAAAAATTCAAATAAATGCTGTAGAAAACAAAAATTGAGAAACATTCCCAAAGGCAGAGGCAAAGAACATATTTATTACTAATCATGAAAGTTCAACTTGCAATTAATAAGAAAATTGAGTAAAATCAATAATCATGAAATTGGTAATAAAATTTTATTGTTTTTTCTTGCAACAAGTAAGCTGATAAAGGACATATGTTCAGTATATACTGCTGAGCTTTTTGAATTCTAAAAAGATTAGGAAAGTTACTGTCACTGATACAAACAAACAAACAAAAACAACAAAACCCCCAAAGTTTCTTAAACATTCCACTTCAGAAAACGATAAGGGAATATTGCAAAACTGAGAGAGAAATACAATCATCCAAGAATGTAGAGACAGTCAAGTTATAATTCTTATAAGAAAATAACAGAAAGACCTCTCTTACATACAAAATCTCAGACATTGTATCATCCATCAGCTTTATTTGGGAAAAATAGGAAGGCATTGTTCACATCATGGAAAATTTTCAATCAAAATTATCACTCAAAATGGAGATGTTGAATTAAAAAGCAGTGGCAGTATTAATATCAGAAAATATTTAGTGTACTTGAGTAATAAATATAAATATGGTTGAAAATAATATGCATTTGTATATTGGTATGGTAAGAGACAGCTATAAATGTTTATGTTTCTATACCGAGTTAAGATTGTATGTTTTACCAAGGTAGAATACATAAACTCTTTAATTCATTTTAATCATACATGGACTTAATAGTTATTATCATTGCTTTCTTCTTATTTACTACCTGTTCTGCTAAAATGAATATTTCTGTAACATGAATTTATTCATTCAAAAATAGCAAATAGTGGCAACCAAGTTCAGTATACCAACATTACTGAATGCAACCAGCTGTATATGAATTTTGTACACAATGTCTTTTTACCCTGGCTCAATGGGGACATTTGCTCTGTTTTGGAAGTAAAGTGTGCTTTGAGCTATTCTCTACAGACTTTCCAAAGTATTCCCTTGTCCCAAAACTCAGTAGCTTGAACCCTCCTTCCATCACTTCTACCATGCTTCTTCTTTTCTTTTTGTCTTTATTTTCCCTTAAATATTTTCTTATGAAAAGTTTCAAATACATATGAAAGTACGTAGTGCACTTTAATGAAATCCCACGTGCCCATCACCTCCCTTCAGTGGTTATCAAAGCATGGCCAATTTTGCTTCATTTATGTCCTCACCAATTTCCCTTGACCATCAATTATCATAAAACCAACCCCAAGCATCATGTAATTACATCCATGATTAATTTAATTTTAATCTCTGAAAGAAAAATGCATATTTTAAACAAATTTAATATTATTCAACATAAAAAAATGACAATTTGATCATCAAATACCCAATAAATGACCAAATTTCCCCAATTATTTCACAATTATTTTAATTAGCATAATTAATCAAGATCCACACAAGGATCATACAGGACATTTGGCTAATTTTTTTTCTTGATATTATCCAAGGTATTTTAGTCTAAAGTTTCTCTTTTCTTTTTACTTAATCCTTCCGTTTTCTTTTTACTTAGTCCTTAGAAATTATTAGTCAAAGAAACCAGGTCATTTGTTCTATGCATGTTCCCAAATTTGGACTTTGCTGATTGTACCCTCAAGAAGTTAACATGTTCTCGGTCTCCTGTATTTTCTATATGTTATTCGGTATATCTAGAGTCTATAATAATCTTGAATAGTGTATGTGTAATGTCTGATTCTCTCTCTCTCTCTATGATACACTTTTAAATTTACTATGACACAGAAGAATTAAAAATTACTGTGTATTTCTCTTCCTCATGGTCTTAAGATGTCATTTCATCTGTTATAGGGTATTGTTTAGGCTTGTTATTGTTTTTGTTTGATACTGCCTGTTTACAAGGCTGCATATATTTCCAGAGGTCTAGTTCCAACCCTATTTTTCACAAGCCCTGCTCGTTTCAGTGTCTTTCAGAAATGTACCTAACATGTTTGAGAAGCATTATATTTAATTTTTAATGAGAGGATCGAAAAAATAACTATCGGGCACTAAGCTTAGTACCCAGGTGACAAAATAATCTGTACACCAAACCCCTGTGACACGAGTTCACCTATATAACAAACCTACACATGTACCCCTGAACCTAAAATAAAAGTTAAAATAATCTAAACAATGAACATTGCTCTAGTCATTGGAAAACTTAAAGCATGTATGCTTATTTTAAGTTAAATTTGCTATCTTGTTTCATGCTATTTGCTTTTAAGCTTTTAATGCTGTACATTTGACATATATGTTTTTGCTATATATTTTTTATGATTTATCTTATCTGTATTTTTATTTGGAAGACAATCTTCCAGCACTTTTATCAATTTTTATGAATATTTTATACTTTAGTTATCAATATCAAGAATGGAATTATATTTATCTATTACATCTGTGTTACGTTGGGAACTTATGATGCATGTACTCTATTTCCTTCAGTTCAATCTTTTTTTATTGCTAATAGAACTTGGGATTTTTAAAATAGTATTGAAATACATTGTATTTTTTAAATTTTACTTGTCACTAAAATGTATTTTGTATTTGCAAGGCATCTTATAAGAAGATTAACAGTATATATTAAAATATATACCAATAACAACTATTCAACAATTCACATATACTGTGTGCCACATGTATTTAGTTTAATAATAAACAATGTTTTTATTCCAAATATGTCATTATTTCTTAATTTATTTCATTTGCTATTTAAATTTAAGCAATTCTTTCAAGAATGAAACATTTTAAACCCAAATGTATTCTCCTCCCCGTGGGACACTCCTCAATATATTTCAAAACCATTACGCAACTGAAGTACATAAAATGATGTGGTCATCTCTGGTGCTATAATAAAAACGACTTTAGAAGTTGAATTTTCACAGAAAGTAGGACAAAATGGACAAAATCAACACAAATGATAAATAAGCGTATTAAAAAATGAGCATTAGTAGCAAACAAATCAAAATAATTACAATTTTTGCTTCTTACATTGGTAAATTTTTAAATGTTAATATTAAATGATGGCATGTGTATAATGATATGTGGGCATCTGATACATTCTTTCTGGAGTGCGATTCAGCATTATGTTTCCAAGAGACTAAAATATATTGAATCCCTTGATTTAGTAATCCGCTTTCAGAATTACCATGAGAAAACTGTATTAGATTGCTGGGATCAGTTGGACGTTCATCAAATGTTTTTTATAATACCAAAGATTGGAGACAGTACAAAGGCTTAACAATGAGAAGAGGCTAAATAAACCATAACACATATGTGAAATCAAATATTCACATGATAAAAATGTACTTTGAAGAATATTTTATGACTTGGGTAAGAATAAACTATATGATACTAACTGAAAATACTGGAAAAAGTTTGATATGTAATTTGGTCCTCTGATGAAAAAACATATAAGGATCATCAAGTTTGTCAGATTTAAAGCCTAGGTTCAGAGGAGTGAAGCTTTTTTCCAGATATGGTTGAATTCACTTCGATCCTACCCTTTTATTTTAAATAAAAGTGAAAGAGGCATCATATCTTCCACTAATTGCTTTTCACATTTCATTTGAGATATACTTCTATTTATACATATTATAACAAAATCTCTATGCTCTTTTCCCCAGTTCCTTCAGAGGCAATGATTGCTCTTTAATACTTAAGACATTTTTATATTTCCAAAATGTCTCCAGTGGTTAGTGGTTTGATTCTTGCTTATTTAGTTATTTCTTTTCAGAGCCAGTATCCTAAGGATTATAGTTCTGTCAACTGTTTACATATGGCTTTGCTTCAGATTCTGATTGATTTGTCTTATGTAATTGTGCTGCTTCTTCTTCCCACTTACGATGACTCTGCATATCCCTTGATTTAATCCCTATTTTTTCCTATAACTTCAGAAGCCATAATATTTCTTTGGTCCTTTGTGTTTTATTATTAATATCTCTAAATGCTTATCTCCCTCTCTAATATTTCCTCACAATTTTTCGTTCTTCTTCCATAAACTTCAGATACAGCTATACCTTCTGCAGCAATTTTTTCTCTTCCAACACTAGTCTAGTCTCTGCTTTATTGATACAGTTTCCTAAAATATTATACCTTTTTATTACTTTACTAATTTGGATATATGTATTAAATCTCCATCACCCAGTCCTCTTAATTTAATCTACAAAAGTCATTTACAACTTAGCCCTAAGCATTCATGATGGAGTCAGCGCTTCTCATTCCCTCTCCCCTCCTAATACCATCAGCACAACTCCCAGATGTTCGCCACTTCTTGCACAACAGACAGTGTTTCTCAATTTTACGTTGCCCTCCCCAGCAAATTTCTGAAACTCTAATGACCCCCATGATGTGGAACCTGTTGGTCTTCTTAGCTACAATATCACCATTTGCTCTTTAATTAACATCAGGGGAAGGCCAACTAATTCTCCAAGTTCCAATGAATGTTATTTATTTGATAGACTCCACATTCTACCATAGGCAAAGAAGCTAACTCCTCTGTGTTCCCATGGCATCTTACTTACATATAAGAATACTGTCTTGAAAATATTTGTTTATCTTTTCCTGTCTGCAAAAATGGACTCAGTTGATTTCTTTCCATTGTTCTATTTTCTGCTGGTATTTTCCAATCCCAGTTCCAAGTCAATGTGACTATTTTGCATGAACTGTTTGTACCACAAAATGTCTTGCTAAGTCACTCTGCCTCCTCTATTCACTGCTTCATTCCTGTTGAGTGTAAATTGAATCTTTAACCTTACCCCTCTAGGTGGTATTACCAAAATAAATCCTTCCAGCAGTCCCTTTTCTTTGTTTTTAAATACTTTTTCCATAATAAATGCATTTTCCTGCTGATTAAATTGCATTCAACTTCTCTACACAAGATTTTTCTAATTAAGCTCAGCAAGAAAAAATGAAATAAATATCAGTGCAAAATAAAATGAACCTACAGGTCTGGAGTTACTCATTTCCTTTTAAATAAATATTTATATGATTTTCTGCCCACATTAGAATTGGAAAATATTTTCTACAAAATGCACCTTTCCTTCTACCAAAATGGATAGATCATAACATTTCAAGAAGCTCACATATACGAGCAATAGAAAAATGGCAATGCCTTTAGTCAGAGTTGCAATTAAACTTAATTACTTAGACCTCTATGAATTGCTTATATGTTGTTTTCAGTGCTTTAACTTTAAGCTATTATTTTCTATTTTACTATTCTATTTTACAGTAGGATTTAATGTAACATATTGTGTTTTTCCATTATAAAGTTCTATAAAAGTTACAGAAGAAATTATTAGGCTTTGGCAAACAACTAATTAACCCTCTTAACAGTATTTCCTTGTATATGAACTTTCATAGTCTTTGCTGCATTTGCTTATTATTATAATGCAAACATCCAGGTAAATCTCAAAATTTAACCATCCAACTAGAGGTTTAACTTCCTATGATTTTAACTGGAAGATAAAATGTTCAGTTAGATACGTAAGTAGATTTTTATATTTAATAGCCAGTACTACTAGGTTAATGTAAATGATCTAAAATTTACATTAGCCCAAATTGTTTATTTCTGATTGACTGAGAGCTCTTAAATATGTCAAAAGACCCATGTGAGAAGAATTTATATTTGATCGATGCCAATCTTTTGTGCTGAAGTGGTAAAGTATCTATTCAGAGGCATTCACATTCTGGCTAGCTTTTTATTTGGTTTCGGCTCGTAGATTAGATGTCTATAAAGAGAATATGTTACCACCTAAGATGTTTTGCTTGTCTGTCATTTGGACAAGCTGAAACTATGTTTCCCAGAAACCCTGTTCATGTATGGTCTGTGTTGGAGATGGCCAAAATTGAAAAATTATTTGAGATGTGGAAGGCAAGATTGACAACTCTGTGGAACTCATCCGAGATCAGGGAAAAAGATGAAAAGGAGATTCTAAGTTGTCCCCGTTTTCCTCATTGTATGCCCAGCTCTTCTCCCAGGGCCTGCTGAGCAGGGCGTGATAATTCACAGTGGCCAAGGCTCTGTTCCAGATCTCCATCATGCTTCATGTTCCAACTCTGACTACAGAAGAGCTGGTTAGTGACTTTTCTCTGAATCTCTAATTTCCCTGAAAAGGCTTAAGAAAAACAAACAAACAAAGAAACAAAAATAAAAACAACTCTTCCAGCTTCTTCCACAGCTGTGTAAGGTGTCATGCTCATAAAGAATCTCTTGTTCTGCAATACTCGTAGAGATTCTACTTCTCTGACACACACTGACTGATACCAATATTGGTATCAGAATTCAGTCCAGGGGAACAGAACCTTAAGGATGAGAATGTATAATTAGTTCTCTGATCTAGTTACATTTAAAACGTTAATGGTTCTGTTTTTCTGTGTTAACCATATACTTACAGTCCACAGTATACAGTGGCAAAAAGAGTAACTTTGATTATCACCTGCAATCAAATGCTTACCAAAGGCAAGGCCTTGTGTGAACAAGTATTTGCTACCAGCCAGTATTTTAGTGGAAACTAAGGAGAATAACTCATATATGAAGTTGATTGCTTGATTCTAATGCATGGAGGACATGGCGAAGAAAAATCGTAAGCACAGACATTTAAATTCTAAGCTCAAGTTTTAAGTAGGGGACCAGAAAACTTTTATGAACACCCTAAAATAAATCCTATTTCCAAGAGCTTCAGAATCAAGATTTCTGAAGATTAAACCCTAAATCTTATCTACAGATACCTGAATTACTGTGCAAACTAAATTCCCATATTCACAAGCCTTTTTTATGTTAAAGTTAGGCCATAAATTGAAAAGGTGTGTGTCCTGAAAATTGGGATGAAGACTTCTGAGCAGATTGTGATGAAGTTGAAGACTTTGAACCCCTAAATTCTACTGAGCCTCACTGGCCTGTGGGAGCAGCCGTTATTCCCCTCTCTGAGGAGGTTAGCCTGCCCTTGCCTGCAAACCCATGCTTGCCTCTTATGATATAGGCGCTTTGCCAGGCATTGTTAATCCTCCTGAGGTCCCATTCCCACCACCTCTAATGAGAAGTGTAGACTTGTAACCAGACTTGTAACCAGAATCAGTCCCCACAGGCTTAGGACATCTGACAAAATACAATCCATGAGAGGTTACCCTACACACCAAAAGAATTGCATAATTTTGCCAATTTATAACACAAACCTGGGGAAAATATATGGGAACATAGCCTAACAAGTAGAATCTGAGTGGAAGAAATATGTTGGATCAGGTCAAATATATTAATATGGGTATACTAAGAAGAGATTCTGTATTCAATGTGTTTGCCTGAGTGCCTGGGAATGGCTCTACCTCTACCATTTGTTTAACTGGTGTATTGAGACATAAACCCAAAAGTGGCCCACAGAGAATGCACTTGAGATTCCAGAATTTCCTTGGTATAATCTAAAGGACAATAATCGAAGACTTGGGGAGACTGAAATGCTAGGGTAGATTTTTTATGTAAGATCTGCTTACTCACACCCTAACTAGAAGAGTCCCAAAGACATTTCCTTCAAGTCTTTGAGAAACACATTGGTGAAAGGTGTCCCAGCAACTGAAGAGCTCCATGTTGGTTCTTCCCTGCAGTCCAGGAACAACAGTGGAAGCTTTCACTGTCTAAGTGGGCTCTCTGAATTCAATGAGGATGATGAGATCCAGGAGTGCCAGGGGCCAGGTGGCAGCACTTAACTGCTAAGACTAGGAATCAGAATGGTTGGCAGACTCAAAGCAGTTATAGGAATGGCTTGACCCACAGAGAACTTTGATGTTCTATAATTAATCATATGTCTGTAGGACTGAAATTGATGGGCAGTCCACTAAAGTCTTACTTGACTTGCGTAAGTGGAAAGGTTTCAAATGCAGTAAATGTAAGGCTAACTTGAATCAGCATAATAGAGGTTGTGGCATATCAATCATTTTCAAAAATTATGCCACTTCATAGAACTAGAGTTCACTGAAGGAAGGCAAACTCATTTTACACCTCATAAAGAGTGGAAGTGGGCTCATGTCTTGTGGAATTCATGGCTATCATCATGTTAACCATCTTTATAAAGTGACTAACATTTTAGAATAATGGAATGGCATTTTGAAGAGTGAATTATGGCACAAACTATGATAACGCCTTGTGTGTATGCTCACATGGCTTACACAGGACATGCTCTTATGCAGTGATCAATATACAGTGTTGTTTCTTCCATAGTCAGGATTCTGGAAGGCCTAAACAGCCCAATAAATAGGGGGGAAAGCGAATAAAAGTGATACTTATCAGAAGTGAATAAATAAACTCTGTTACTATTTGGAGATGACTTGATGGTCTATGTAGAAAACTCCAAGGACTTAAAAAAAAAATCCAGTTTACTGCTGGACTACCAAACACTCATGTGATTTTCATTGAAACCAGTTAGAAGGTTAGTAAAATAATCTATTACAAAAATTTCTGCAAAGCTAAAGTTCCCTGCAATGACCCGTATCTGGTATCCTCATCCTATTGTATGAGGAACTACTGTCTCCTGGGTGATGAGTTGCAAGTGTAAGTTAGATGGGTCAATGTCATTCAGACAACATAAAACTGCTTAGTATTCAAATGATTTTTGGCTACAGTGTATAATGAAGAGAAAGCTGACAAAAACTAATTAAGAGGCAGTGATGCCTACAGTTGATAGAATCAGCTTTATATTTATATTAGCCAGTTTGAGTTTCTAGTTTCTACAATACCGTCTCTACAATTTTCAATAAGATTTTGGAGCTAGAGGTCATTTCATTATATAGAAAATGAGCATCATTTCAGGGTTGAGGTAATTATTAAGTGAACTATGTAAACAGCTTAACTCAATGTCTATCACAGATTAAGCCAAAATTCTTAGTGGCTCATATCATCACCATTATGTTTGTTATATTCTTATTATGAACTAGAAACTCATAGATAGTAACTGTACAGTCTATCAGTACATGCATTTTGTAAAGTAAAATAATTTCTGGCTGATTTTATATCATGCCCTTGAATTTTTTTCTGTCATATTTCTCATATATTCTTGAGGCATGTTATCAGAACATATGTTATCTTGCTTTATTTTAAGTATATGAGCTGTTTTAAATTATTTTGTAACAACATGGAGTTTATGTAAAAGCATAGAAGAATAGGTACAAATGTAAATAATCTTGGGCTAAAATGTAACAAAATGTCACAGGATCTTAAAAATTTTGACTTTATATAATAAAAAAGAATTGCAAGATATAATTGTAAGGAATTACACAAGTCAACTAGAATTTCAAATTTATAAACCACCCATTTTCTTATCAAATCTAAGAAACCTAATAAAACCCAAACAGGCCAAAATATTAAAAGTAAACATTTTGAAAAAGAAAGGGACTTGGGCAATTGTTTCATGGATTCATTCAGTTTCCAACCAGTCTGAGGCCACAAGTCCCCAAATGTGCATATTTCCCATTAGCTCATTACCTAATTTTATTCTCCTTGTACACCCTTGATCCAAAAATAAAATTAATTCTATACTGTTCTTCACTTTTCTTGTATAGATACGGCCTATTTAAAAAAATGTTCCTAGAAATAAAGCCACTAAGAAAGGATCTTGATGGGATTCACCTCATTATCCATGGACGCTGATCTGGATTTCATTAAATCATCCAGCCTAATTATATGTGAAGAAAAACACTTAGGGAACAAAAGTAACTGCGCTTAACACATTGGAAATATTCATCTTCATTAGCGAAGCATTTTCCTTCATAACCAAGGACTTAAAGTAATTTTCAAATAGAGTAGAAAATTCTTATAGAAGGTGTTACAATAACAACTATGTAGTATTTACTATTCTGGCTCATATATTTCTACTAGTCCATTTAGGATGCTATAACAAAATACCATAAACTGGGTATCCTTTAAACAACAGAAATTTATATATTACAATTCTGGAGACTGGGAAGTCCAAGAAGAAGGCACTGGCAGATTCAGTGTCTGGTAAGGGCCACTAACACACACATGGTATCTTGTTGCTGTGTCCTTACATGGTGGAAGGGAAGAGCTAGCTCTATGGGGTCCCTTTTATAATGGTGCTAATCCCAGGATTTCAACATATGAATTTAAGTGAGGACACAAACATTAATAGCAACACTTGTGAATGGTAATTTATTAATGCAGGAATACGGGTAAACACTGCCATGTGATGATAGACCCCCAAACCAAAAACAGGAGGTGGGGCATAAAGGGTTAACAAATAACATATCAATGTTGTGTTACCTGTAATTCAGATCTTTTAATAATTGCAGACATTTCTGTTGAAACATCACCATGCAGAATTGGAACTTTCCAATATTATGTATGATACGAAGATGACATTCTGCATTTTAAAAAGCAAAGATGTAAAGTTGAATAGTTGATGTGACATCTAGGTATAACAATAATCATTATTAACACTGCTTAAAGATGTGATATTGGATTTTTGAATAAATATAATATTTAACTTTTTAAATATTTATTTTGAAAACATACACTCATTTAAATTATTTCCTTTAAAATGTCTATTTTAATACATGTTATAATTGTGTAGGAAAAGTCTTATGACAGAAGAGGTAAAAGCACATTTCTTATTTTTGAATATGCTTTGTGTTTTCTGGTCTGAAATATCTCTGGAGACTGTAGTGCATGCAAACTAGACCATTAAGGACCACAGATTTACTCTCACGGAATGCTAAAATGTATTAAAATTGACGTTAAAAATCTAACATCTGAAACACATATTTGATTTCTTATTTATATTATCTATTGCTGTTCTTTCCAATATAGATGTGAGTTATTGGGTTTTCCAATTAATATTCTACTTACGAAGGAAACGCTTTTATTCCAAAAGCAGGAAAATGGCACAAGTGATAAAAGAAGGCATGACTTACAAGCAGACTTTTATTGCTATCCATTATACCGTCTTGAAGTACAATTGCTTTAGTGTTTTCTTATTAAAGGGTTATATGACGGAAGGCTTACTAGAAAATTGCACCTTACAATATATTTTCTGCTAGAGGAGATTCACATTCCTAATGTTATTTTTACTAAATCAATTCATAAATAGTCACTATGTTTTGAAAAGTAAACCATATATTTAGGTAGAGAGCATGCATAAACAAGTGAAGAAACTAAATGTTCTAAATGGAATATGCCTTGGTTTTAACTATTAAATTGTTCACATCTATATACTACCTAATCCCGAGTTCACACAAAATTAAACAGAGCAGTCATCTATTTATACACATATTCTTATCATACCAGGACAACTGTGTTTTCCACAAATCCTGGGAATTCGACAATTCCACTTTGAAAGATTTATTTATTTGTGTCTTGAAAGAAATTTTGTCATTAAGAATTCTGCGTAAAATACCTAGGAATCCAACTTACAAGGGATGTGAAGGACCTCTTCAAGGAGAACTACAAACCACTGCTCAAGGAAATAAAAGAGGATACAAACAAATGGAATAACATTCCATGCTCATGGGTAGGAAGAATCAATATATTGAAAATGGCCGTACTGCCCAAGGTAATTTATAGATTCAATGCCATCCCCATCAAGCTACCAATGACTTTCTTCACAGAATTGGAAAAAACTACTTAAAGTTCATATGGAACCAAAAAAGAGCCCTCATTGCCAAGTCAATCCTAAGCCAAAAGAACAAAGCTGGAGGCATCACACTACCTGACTTCAAACTATACTACAAGGCTACAGTAACCAAAACAGCATGATACTGGTACCAAAACAGATACATAGACAAATGGAACAGAACAGAGCCCTCAGAAATAATGTCGCATATCTACAACTATCTCATCTTTGACAAACCTGACAAAAACAAGAAATGGGGAAAGGATTCCCTATTTAATAAATGGTGCTGGGAAAACTGGCTAGCCATATGTAGAAAGCTGAAACTGGATCTCTTCCTTACACCTTATACAAAAATCAATTCAAGATGGATTAAAGACTTAAATGTTGGACCTAAAACCATAAAAACCCTAGAAGAAAACCTAGGCAACACCATTCAGGACATAGGCATGGGCAAGGACTTCATGTCTAAAACACCAAAAACAATGGCAACAAAGCCACAATTGACAAATGGGATCTAATTAAACTAAAGAGCTTCTGCACAGCAAAAGAAACTACCATCAGAGTGAACAGGCAACCAACAGAATGGGAGAGAATTTTTGCAATCTACTCATCTGACAAAGGGCTAATATCCAGAATCTATAATGAACTCAAATGAATTTACAAGAAAAAAACAAACAACCCCATCAAAAAGTGGGTGAAAGATATGAACAGACACTTCTCAAAAGAAGACATTTATGCAGCCAAAAGACACATGAAAAAATGCTCATCATCACTGGCCATCAGAGAAATGCAAATCAAAACCACAATGAGATACCATCTCACACCAGTTAGAATGGCGATCATTAAAAAGTCAGGAAACAACAGGTACTGGAGAAGATATGGAGAAATAGGAACACTTTTACACTGTTGGTGGGACTGTAAACTAGTTCAACCATTGTGGAAGTCAGTGTGGCGATTCCTCAGGGATCTAGAACTAGAAATACCATTTGACCCAGCCATCCCATTACTGGGTATATACCCAAAGGATTATAAATCATGCTGCTTTAAAGACACATGCACACGTATGTTTATTGCGGCACTATTCACAATAGCAAAGACTTGGAACCAACCCAAATGTCTAACAATGATAGACTGGATTAAGAAGATGTGGCACATATACACCATGGAATACTATGCAGCCATAAAAAATGACGAGTTCATGTCCTTTGTAGGGACATGGATGAAGCTGGAAACCATCATTCTCAGCAAACTATCACAAGGACAAAAAACCAAACACCACATGTTCTCACTCATAGGTGGGAATTGAACAATGAGAACACATGGACACAGGAAAGGGAACATCACACACCGGGGCCTGTTGTGGGGTGGGGGGAGGGGGGAGGGAGAGCATTAGGAGATAGACCTAATGTTAAATGACGCGTTAATGGGTGCAGCACACCAACATGCCACATGTATACATATGTAACAAACCTGCACGTTGTGCACATGTACCCTAAAACTTAAAGCATAATAAAAAAAAATTAAAAAAAAAAGAATTCTGCGAAAGGCAGCGCGCGGTGGCTCATGCCTGCAATCCCAGCACTTTGGGAGGCTGAGGCAGGTGGATCATGAGTTCAGGAGATTGAGACCATCCTGGCTAACATGGTGAAACCCGTCTCTACTAAAAATACAAAAAATTAGAAGGGCGTGGTGGCAGGCACCTGTAGTCCCAGCTACCGGGGAGGCTGAGGCAGGAGAATGATGTGAACCCCAGAGGTGGAGCTTGCAGTGAGCCGAGATCACTCCACTGCACTCCAGCCTGGGCCACAGAGCGAGATTCCATCTCAAAAAAAAAAAAAAAAAAAAAAGAATTCTGCGTAAAAATATAAAGACTCTAAATAAATAGAAGTTCTATCTCATGGCTGCCATTTTGCAGCCCTTCACTCATTCATTCTTAAACGAGGCTGAGGAAAGCAGGGTGGAAAGTATTTTCTCATCAGTGTCTTTGCACTTTAAAACTATGAACATGTGTTAAATCCTAGCTACTGAGGAGGCTGAGGCTGGAGCACTCCTTGAGCCCAGGAGTTCAAGTCCAGGCTAAGCAACATAGCAAGACCCTTGTCTCTGAAAAACATTTGAAAAATTGAGCCAGGCTGGGTGCAGTGGCTCACAACTGTAATCCTAGCACTTCGGGAGGCCAAGGCGGGTGGATCACTTGAGGTCAGGAGTTCGAGACCAGCCTGGCCAACATGGTGAAACCCCGTCTCTACTAAAAATACAAAAATTAGCCAGAAATCTCTTGAACCTGGGAGGTGGAGGTTCCAGTGAGCCAAGACTGTGCCACGGCACTCCAGCCTGGGCGATAGAGAGACACTCTGTCTCAAAATAAGTAAATAAATAAGCCACAGGTGGTGGTACATGCCTGTCATCCCAGCTACTCAGGAGGCTGAGGTGGAAAGATAACTTGAGCCCAGGAGTTGGAGGCTGCAGTGAGCTATGATCGCATCACTGCACTGCAGAGTGGGTGACAGAGCAAGACCTCATCTCTAATTTTTTAAAATTTTTATGTATATACACTACCTGATGAAATTATAAATTAAATAGTTTAAAAAGGAAGAACATATAGCAGATTTTGAACTTGTTGCAGTGGTGAAATTATTGATAGTTTTTCTCTTGTTCCTCTGCATTCTGATTTTCTTGAAATTGACTTCTATTCGTTGTGTTACTAAAAGAATATTGATTTATATTTTTAAAGTGTGAATAGGAGTTGAAAAAAGTCTTAACTCCTATTCAAGTCTTTCTAGAAATATTGCTCAAGAAGAAGAAGATAGTTTTTTTTTTCGTCTGGGCTGCCAACATGCCATCCAGACTGAGGAAGACCCGGAAACTTAGGGGCCACGTGAGCCACCGCCACGGCCGCATAGGCAAGCACCGGAAGCACCCCGGCGGCCGCGGTAATGCTGGTGGTCTGCATCACCACCGGATCAACTTCGACAAATACCACCCAGGCTACTTTGGGAAAGTTGGTATGAAGCATTACCACTTAAAGAGGAACCAGAGCTTCTGCCCAACTGTCAACCTTGACAAATTGTGGACTTTGGTCAGTGAACAGACACGGGTGAATGCTGCTAAAAACAAGACTGGGGCTGCTCCCATCATTGATGTGGTGCGATCTGGCTACTACAAAGTTCTGGGAAAGGGAAAGCTCCCCAAGCAGGCTGTCACCGTGCAGGCCAAATTCTTCAGCAGAAGAGCTGAGGAGAAGATTAAGAGTGTTGGGGGGGCCTGTGTCCTGGTGGCTTGAAGCCGCATGGAGGGAGTTTCATTAAATGCTAACTACTTAAAAAAAAAAAAAGAAGAAGAAGAAGAAGAAAAATGGAATACTGGAAATGTGAGACCAAAATGAGAAATCCCAGAGCATATTGGTGTGGTGATAATGACCCAGCAGACAGGGAAAGCAGGTGAAGGAGAGAGAGGAGGTAATTGCTGTGTGAAGTCTTTGCGGAGGAAAGAGACAATAGGATATCAAGAACGGGTCTTCCCTGGGAGCATGAATATTTCACCTCATCCATTTCTACAGGAGTGAAGGCAGGATATGTAAGTTCTGATATAGTTAAGTGGATAGATCCTGTAGTGGAAGATGAAGAATTTCAATTCTGATAGTCTGTATTTCCAAAATGACATTTGAGACTAGCTCATCAGCTAATGGGGAATGGGAGAATGAGAGAGTATGGAAATTTTGAGGAAAAATTAGAAGACATGAAATGGTCTACAAATTTACTCAAATTTCATGACAACGTTAGTTGCTTATTGGAGATTTCTGGCCATTAATTTAAAGTGAAAATAGATTAATTGATTATTATAAAAGCAGGTAACAAGCCTAAAATATAGTAGATGTTCATAGAATGGTGCATATTGTTTTGTTATTGTTCTGGACTCTTAACCGGAAATCTCAGGGCCAGATTAAAGTTCAGAATCTTTTCTGATTGGCTTTAGCTTCTCTCAGATTTTCTGAGATGTGATTCCTTCTATCTCCCCATCTAGATGCCCATTGCCATCCCTGCGCTATGCAGATCTTTAGTATAACATCCTCTATCCTCTTTACATAAATAGATGAACAAACAAAGCAGATCAATTTCTCCATTTAAGATCCTCATACCTTGGGGATGGAGGGTAATCAGAAGGAGTAAAGCCAGGTTGTTGGATGAGAAGGGTTCTCTAGGACTCATTTTTCAGCTGCTTCTTGTCACATTGAATATGTGCAAATCTATATTTCTTTTAGTCTCAGCAAGGGTGGGGAATCCCATGTCCTTTAAAACAAGAATTTTCTGAATTCCTTGCTCCCTGTATCTATTGGTTGCTCTGCGGCACCTTCAACTCAGCATCTGCTTTCCTGAATCTGTTCAATTGTTCCCATAAGTTAATGTTTGCTCTTTATGATCTTAGATGTGATGTTGACTTCTACTTCTTTAGTCATTTGCACGGGTGCTGAGACAGTCAATATAAAAATCTTATTCATAGTTCTCAGTACGGTAGCAGAAACAGTCAGGTTGACTGACTGGTCCAAGGTAAGCTGGTTAAGAAGTAGTAGAATAGGACTCATGTCTAGTACTATTTACCTTCTCTGGCTGGGTGCAGTGGCTTATGCCTTTAACACCAGCGCTCTGGGAGGCCTTGACAGGAGAATCACTTGAGGCCAGGAGTTCAAGACCAGCCTGGCCAACATAGCAAGATCTTGTCTCTACAGAAATAAAAAAAAATTAGCCTAGCAATGTTGGCGCCCACCTGCAGTCCCAGCTACTTGGGAGGCTGAGGCGGGAAGATCACTTGGGCCCAGGAGTTCAAGGCTGCAGTGAGTATGATAACACCACTGCACTCCAGCCTGAGTGACAGAGTGAGACCTTGTCTCTAATAAAACTACATTCATAAAAATATAAATAAATTTTAAAAAAACAACTTATCTTCTCTGAAACAGTGGTTCCCAAAGTTTATAATGTATTGTAATCACCTTGAGTGTTTATTAAAACACATTTCTGAGCTTCAGTCCCAAAGATGTTGATTCAGTAGATCTAGGACGGCACCTGAGAATCTAAACTTCTAACAAATTTCTAAATGAAGTTAATGCTGCTGGTTTTTTCTGTAGAAAACATAAAGCATTTCAAGTTCTGCCCTCCCAAATCTCATTCTCTGGCTCCAAGTCCAAGAATCTTACTAATACTTTATGTCTCCCAACATGCTGAGGATCTCTTTAGATGTGCGTGCCCTAATCTTGGATGTAGTAGTTGCTGTATCTGCAGGTTAGACAGAAGACTAGTAATCTCTCCTTGAAACATTGAGTCTTTAAGCTCCTAGAAGTTACCCTTGGAAGGGTTCCCTGTTAATTCTTATGTGTAAATATTTGTATGATGTGTAGAATTTTAGTTAAAGAATAGCTTCTCTATAGGAAACAGACTTATAGTTTCTATGTTTTTCTTTTTTTCATTTTTTTCTTTTTTTTTCGAGAGAGAGTCTTGCTCTGTCACCCAGGCTGGAGTGCAGTGGCACGATCTTGGCTCACTGCAACCTCTGCCTCCTGGGTTCAAGTGATTCTCGTGCCTCAGCCTCCTGAGTAGCTGGGACTACAGGTGCGTGCTACCACATCCGGCTGATTTTTGTATTTTTGGTAGAGATGGGATTTCACCATGTTGGCCAGGCTGGTCTGGAACTCCTGACCTCAAGTGATCCGCACGCCTCGGCCTCCCAAAGTTCTGGGATTACAGGCGTGAGCCACTGTACCCAGCCGGCTTCTATGGATTTTAAGAGTGGAAAATTTATGGCTCCCTCTTCTATTTATCTTCCATTTACAGAGCCAGATCCATCCAGTGCAATGTGAGGTATATTTTCTCCAAATATCTGCTCAGAGAATCAATATTTTAAGGCCAATCATTTATTCCTACTGGCATTTAAATTCACATATGCAAGAAAAACTCAAATTATTTTTCACAGACCACAAGGGGCATATAATTAAGTTAATCCCAAGAGGAGCTTATAGTTTCCCAAGAAAAATATACAGCAAAAATAAGTATCAAAAATCCCATTTGAATCTCATATGCACGTTTTTAATGTAAAAATGAAGTTTTAGATGCAAAATGTCATTTTAAATTTAGCTATTCATATCTTATAGCTTAGATACTGACAAAATTTTAGTCAGTGTAATCAATCCTTAGGGATATAGTGATTTTTTTTAATTTCCTTTGCCAACTGGAAAGAAATTGAGTAGGAGAATAATTTTAGAGAAATGAGACAGCCTCCAGGTAAAACTGACTTTTTACCAAAGATTCATGTGAAGGTGTGTTATGATGATCGAAAAGAGAATCTTCTCACTATCAAAGCAGCAGATTTGAAAGCATATTTTGACATGGAACGTTGTGTGCAAAAAAATCTAAAATCATTAAAAGAACTTAAGTTAGTAAGCATTTTTAATTAAGTTGTCAGGAAAGATTTCCCAATAATAAAACAAAGTTATCTCCTGAAAATGTCAGACTTATCATATCAACTTCAGATATGTATTATGTGAGAAGAGACATGAAGATTAAATTGCATCAAAAAGACATTATTATGCCATTGAAAATATTTCAGTTGGTTTGATTTAAAAAAGTATGAATTTATAAAATGAACAGTCTTAATTAAAAATGACTATTTAAAGAAAACCTCTAAACCTGGGCACATTGCTCTATATCTCAATTTTGCACTAACCCCATATTAAGAAACTGTATGTAAGTTTGGAAAATATCAAGCCAAAGAAATCTCAAAAAAATGAAAGTTGCAAGATCATTTGTATGGTCTCTATTCATGGAAAAATAGCAAAATTTTTTATCTAAAGATCGAGTTATAAGACTTTGCTTCTTGGATGCAACAGTATTTTTGAGGGGGAGTCAGGGCTATTTGTCACCTTCAAGTTGAGGTCATGCCATTTTTATTATCTCCATTTCTGATTTAGCAAGTATTGCTGCCCATCTTCTCCTGAATACTTCCTGTATTTCTTAATTTCCTTATCTTTTTTCATGTTACTGACAATGACTCACTAATGAACAATTCTCACTCAATAATTAATATCTTCCTATTCATTCTCTTCCCAGTCTCTCAAAAACCTGTATTTACTTTCTTCAATAATTTTTTGATGAGGTACGTAATACATTTCCAATTCTTCCCTGGAAGAAATCCGCAGCACACAGCCCAAACACATAACACCATTTAGTACAGATTACTACTGAGATTTGGCTTCATTTATGTAACCATCACCTCTAAGTTTATGTGAAAAGCTAAATGAATATTTTGGAAAAGAGGTGTTTTTTTAAAAATTACTTAAAGTTCATGAAGATATCACAATAATGGACATAAACAATAATGTTGATGTAAATAATCCTTAACTTCAGAAGAATTCAGAATTCCCAAATCTGTTATAAGCAGTACTTGGTACAAAGAAAGTAATGCACTCACATTTTAAAAATATCAAAACAAATGGATAAAAGAGATATTTGTAATTATGATGAGAAGGTGCAAATAAATCCTACCTCGTTCTATTTTCTCTCAGGATATTATTCAAAATAGTTCAAAGCTAACAGTAAAATATACAGAATATCTTGACCCCAATTTACAATAGAACTCATTAATATGAACCTCCCCACAAGATCCAAAAGAAGTACATCTTTACCAGTTTGGTGAACAGAATAATACCACTTGTCTTATTTCTTATTTCAATAATAAATCTACTTCTCCCTCATCATAAGAATGTCTTCATCCCCTTCCTATGATTACTTCAATATCTTAGTCATTCCAGGAGTTCAGGCTTGATTATGGAAAGAAAACTAGAATGTCTTGTCTGTGTGTTTTAGAGGTTTCCGTTTCGTTTGTTTGTTTCTTTGTTTGTTTGTTTGTTTTTGCTGTTATTGCTCTCCAAGCACCATACACATCCCTACAAAATACCAGGGCTACAGTCTTCTAGCAAAAGCCTGTTACAACCAAGAATCTCCACCATTCTTGATGGCTTGGTTTTGTTGTGATTGTGGTTCCAGGCAAGTAGTGTAGGAAGAAACTTTCTCTGCCAGAAGCAAATACCATTCTGTTCCATCTGTTGAATTTCAGATGATTTCTCTAGTATAATCAGTGTCACTGCAGCCATGTTAAAAACAAAAATCAGAAGTCTTTCCTGCCTCCAGTTCTGCTCTTACATAGCTAGAAGCAGCTTACCTCTAAAATGCCTCCTTAATATGTTCTCTCAGTAGCTGAGCAAGAAAGAGTGAGTTGCCCCCTTCTGCAGTATCTAAACCTACTTATATGCACCTGTATAACTTCCTCCCCACCAAGATTAACAGGAGGCTACTTTTTTCATTCTGATTGTAAAAGAACCTTTGCCACAACAAGAAATCTATACTGACACACTAATTATTCATTCCATAATAATAATGTATGGCTGAGTCAAACTGGAGACATTGAGAAAACATTCTGGATTGAAAAAATAAAAAGTTCTACTCACAGAATTAGAAGAAAACTATTTTAAAATTTCTATGGAACCAAAAAAGAGCCTGAATATCCAAGACAATCCTAAGCAAAAAGAACAAAGCTGGAGGCATCACACTACCCAACTTCAAACTATACTACAAGGCTATGATAACCAAAACAGCATGGTACTGGTACAAGAAGAGCAACCTAGACCAATAGAATATAATAGAGAACTCAGAAATAAGACTACAGAACTACAACCATCTGATCTTTGACAAACTTGACAAAAACAAGTAATGGGGAAAGGATTCCCTATTTAATAAATGGTGCTGGGAGTGCTGGCTAGCCAGAGGCGGAAAATTGAAACTGGGCCCCTTCCTTACACTATATACAAAAATTCACTCAAGATGGATTAAAGACTTAAATGTAAATTCCAAAACTGTAAAAACCCTAGAAGAAAATCGAGGCTATGCCACTCAGGACATAGGCATGGGCAAAGATTTCATGATGAAAACAACAAAAGCAATGGCAACAAAAGCAAAAATTGACAAATGGGGTCTAATTAAAACTAAAGAGTTTCTGTAGTGCAAAAGAAACTATCGTCAGAGTGAACAGACAACCTACAAAATGGGAGAAAATTTTTGCAATCTGTCCACCTGACAAAGGTTTAATATCCAGAGTCTACAAGGAACTTAAACAAATTTTCAAGAAAAAAACAAACAATCCCATTAAAAAGCGGGCAAAGGACATGAATAGATATTTCTCAAAGAAGACATACATACAGCCAACAAACATATGAAAAAAGCTCAACATCACTGATCATTAGAGACATGCAATCTCAAAACCACAATGAGATACCATCTCATACCAGTCAGAATGGCCATTATTAAAACGTCAAAAAAAAAAAAAAAAAACAGATGCTAGTGAGGTTGCAGAGACAAAGGAATGCTTTTACCGTGTTGGTGGGAGCATAAATTAGTTCAACCATTGTGAGAGACATTTTGGCAATTCCTCAAAGACCTAGAGGTAGAAATACCATTTGACCCACCAATCACATTACTGGGTATATACCCAAAGGAATATAAATCCTCCTATTATAAAGACACATACCTGTGTATGTTCATTGCAGCAGTATTCACAATAGCACAGATATGGGATCAACCTCAATGTCCATCAATGATAGACTGGATAAAGAAAATGTGGTACACATACACCATAGAATACTAAGCAGCCATAAAAATGAACAAGGTCATGTTCTCTGCAGGAGCATGGATGTAGTTGGAAGCCATTATCCTCAGCAAACTAAGGCAGGAACAGAAAACCAAACACTGCATGTTCTCACTTATAAGTGAGAGCTAAATAATAACACATGGGCATTTGGAAGGGAACAACACACACTGGGGCCCGTAGAGGAGGGGGTTGGGGAGAGGGAGAGGATTGGGAAGAACAGCTAATGGATGCTGGGCTTAATACCTAGGTGATGGGATAATTTGTACAGCAAACAACCATGGCAGACATTTACGTATATAACAAACCTGCACATCCTACACATGTACTCTGGAACTTAAAATAAAAGTTAAAGAAAAAAAAGTTATATTTTTATGTCTCCTTAGTGACAGATTGAAAAAATTAAGGAGAAATAAAAGATGTTTTCTCTAGGCAAGGTGTGGACCCACAAAAAGAAAGATGTTTACATATATAAATATAGCTATCTGCTGAAAGCATTGCACCTGTTGGTTTGCCTCTTGGAACTCAGAGCATTATGGAATAAAAAATGCTTTAGGCCAAATGGTGTGAGGCCTGGCTTTTGGTTCCTGCTTTCTACTGGTGAACTGTATAATCTTAACCAAGTCACCACCTCAGGCCCACTTTCTTCAACCTCATCTCTAAAATTAGGTTGTTGACATTTACTTACCCTAAAAATCCTCCAGCAACTATTTCCATATAAGAGAACAAAACCTCACCAAATGTCCAGGTATCACTAAATTCTTGTCTTTCTTTTAAAAAAAATATTTGCACACATACTAACATTCCATTTCCATAAATATTTACGGGGCACCTATTTTCAAGGTATGTTTCTACATATTAGAGCTGTAACATAAGAAGTATCTGAATTTTGATGCAGCAGTGGAACATAGATATCTTGTGTGCTATTACACTGAATTGAAAGAAGGTAAAGCCACAAGTAAACGATGCCACAAGAACCTGCTGTCTTGACTTTTACTTAAGTGGTCTTTTTGGCAACGTGCTCCATGAAACAAAACAAACTCTATCATCTCTGAGAGGGTAGGGGTAGTTGGGATAACATATACAGTCAGCATGCACAAAAATGCCTCTAGTGAAAACATATCAAGCTATACTCTCTATTCATTCATTCATTTCAAGGACCGTTTGTTCAAAGAACCATTTTAACGACTGCGGAGATTCCAAAAATGCATCAATTTTGGTTGTTCATCTTCGAAAACTCAATCCAATAATACAAAAGATATGAAGATAATTGACTATCATTAAGGTCTAATTGTTACACAAATATAAACCAACTTCTGAGAAAGAGCTGGGATGGTTTCCTGAAGAGAAGTTAGTTGAATTCAGTTAGAAAAAGGAGAAATACTGACAGAGATATGGATGTATGTAAAGAAACATCATAGATAAAATGAACATAAAATTAATATTAGGTAATTAAGACAAGGATAGAAAAGAAGGAGGAAGAAGAATTCACATTACTCTGGAGATCCATTTTAATTGCACAAAGGGCATCCAATAAACAATATTTGGGCAAATCAGTCTGCAGTAGTAAACAAAGTATGGATTTTAGAGGTAAGAGTTGGAAAGATGGATGCCAGTTGTTGTACTGTTGCCAAATGCATGTGTAGGCAATGAAAGTCAGTAATGAAGTTCTTAAAAATGATCATTGCAATGGGAATATCCAACAGTATCCATTCAGAAAATAACTTTAAAACATAGAGAATATTTTAATTACTAAATATTTTAATTACTAAAAATAACATAACTCTTTTCTATTTCTATGATTCTCTGCATTTTACACTTGAAGAAAGTGAGATTCAAGAGATTAAATGATTTGTCTTAGATTACACAGTTTGAAAATGATAATACCAGAATTCAAATTCAGGTTTATTTGATTCCACTGTCCGTATTTTCAGCATTTTACTGTACTGTCTCCAAATGAATGAATGAATAAAAAGAATGAACAAATGACAAATACAAAAGAAATGTAGAAAAAAAGTGATAGATACAAAGCAAAAGCAAAACCAAAAGTGCTCAGAATTTTGGCTGCACACTGGAAGAAATCACGCAAGCTGGAAGAGAAGAAATAATCAAGCATATAATGTTTAAAAATCTGAGCCAAGAAAAGACCAGTCTATGAATTAAAAAGATGCTATGATTTCTAGGCAAAATCAGTGAAAAATTCATCTTTAGTCCATCAAATGTTCAATGTATTTTTATTTACAGGGTTAAAAATAATTTCATGAGTTCCAGTGAAGAAAAATATAAAACACTTACACAGGAATACAAAAATTAAAATTTGGTCAGATTTCCTTTGCAGTGCTGAATGACAAAAAAAGATGAGAAAAATAATATTGTAAATGAAGTGTCCTATCCATAGTACACATTAAACATCTAGAATTGTGTGTTGCACTAGTGATGAGTACTAGATAAATGGTAATTATCATTCTCAATTCACAGTTAAGAATACTAGAACACATAGATATTCAAAATCTTTCCCATTGACCCAGCTATTTAATAAATGGTAGAACCATGGTTTCAAGGCCACCAGCCTGACTCCAAGGCTTATCCACCACACATTACTCTTAGCCATGGCACTAAGGCTCAAATAGGCAGAAAAAAACACAAGTGGCCAGGCACTGTGGCTCATGCCTGTAATCCCAGCACTTTGGCAAGCAGAGGCAGGTGAATCACCTGAGGTCGGGAGTTCGAGACCAGCCTGACCAACATGGAGAAACCCCATCTCTACTAAAAATACAAAATTAGCTGGACATGGTGGCGCATGCCTGTAATCCCAGCTACTCAGGAGGCTGAGGCAAGAGAATCGCTTGAACCTGGGAGGCAGAGGTTGCGGTGAGCCAAGATAGTGCCATTGCACTCCAGCCTGGGCAACAAGAGCGAAACTCCATCTCAAAAAAAAAAAAAAAAATCATGTTATTCATCTACTGTTTCCACAGACTGAAAGGAAAATCAAAGACTCAATAAGATGAATTATTCAAAAGTAACTTTGGTACACACATAAGTCAGTTAACTAGATGAGGCAAGTATAAACAGATGTCATAAAACGGAATGCAAGCATTGAAAAAATTATTCTTAAACATAAGAGTTTGCCTTTATTGATCTCTATTTCAGAAGGCTTTGAGGTAACTTGAGTTACCAAACCACCAGAGGAATAACTTCTTTAAAATCTCAAAAGCACAGGGAGGGAGGGAGGGAGAGAGCGAGGGAGGGAAGGAAGGAGGGAAGGAGGGAGGGAGGGAGGGAGGGAGGGAAGGAAGGAAGGAAGGAAGGAAGGAAGGAAGGAAGGAAGGATCAAATTTATTTTACTAACCTATGCCAAAATATGACTGCTGTCCAATTCTAAATTAGATTTTTTAAAACTAAGTAAAATGCAAGGAAAAAATACAGAAAAATGCACCACAATGCTAATGGTTTTTAAAATTATAGGCATACTTAGAGTTTCCAGGCTGGCATGTAAAACCTTAGAAGTTGTCACTTTGTCCTGACAACAAGTATAAGGCTGAACAAACCAAAAAAGGCAAATTCCTCTTAGATCCCTAGGAGAACTGAGGTCAGAGCACAAACCACCGAGCCCAAAATTGGAGAGACCAGCAGGGGAACACAGAGAATCACAACGGCAACCTCCATGGGAACCAGTTCCCTGGTAAGAAAACCTATACTGAAATGGGTGAATTTCTAGAGTCTCGGTGTGAACAACTGTGAGAGTTAAAAACTCCGGGGCGACCCAGTCATAGGGGCCACCCACACTTTGTGAGTTTTACCTCCAGGAGCTTTAACTGGTCCTCCTAATAAATACCAGGGAAAAATTCCCTAGTGCTTCTGGCAGCAGGAGGGCAAAAGAAAGTATTTTGAAATATACCAGAGCATTGTGTTCTTCTTAACAAAGTCTGCTTTCAGGAGATAGGATTTAACCAGAGCCTAACCCGCTGGGGGTCTAACTGACCTGGGGGAAGGGAAATATCCAACCTCAGACCATGTTAGCCATCAGTCCCACCTAACGAGGAGGAGACTGAGAGCACATGTGAAGTTCAGTCTAGGGTCACAGGCTTACTAAAAGACTGAGACTTAATCACAGGACTGCTAATGCTTCCCCTTCCTCAAAAACCTTACTACCACATTAAGAAAGGCCTAGTTACAGCAATTCCTTTTACCCATTGTACCATGCCTGACTAACCTAGTGTATTATGTCTGGCTATCCAGAAAAAATTGTGAGACATGTTAGAAGGCAAAAATAAAATAACATAAAATAAAACACAGTTTAAAGGCAGAAAGCACTCATCAGAACCAGACTCAGATATTATCAGATCCAGATTTTAAAATAACTATAATTAATATACTAAGAGCTATAACAGATGAAACAGACAGCACACAAGAGCAGATGGGCAATATAAGCAGAGGTGAAAAATAATTCTAAGAAAGAGCCAAAAAAAATACTAGAGATCAATAACATTGTTACAAAAATAAGAACTTCTTCGGTGGGCTTTTAAAACTGTACATAGCTACGAAAAGAGTCTCCAAAATTAAAGATATGTAAAAATGAAGTCCCAAACTAAAAGGCAAATAGAAAAAAAGAAAAAAAAACTAAAAAACAGACCAAAAGAAAAAGAAAAAAAGGACAGAATAACCAGGAATGGTGGGCAAGCTACGACAGATGTAAAATGTGCATGAACGGAATATAACAAAGAGAAAAGGAAAGCAAAGGAGAAAGGAAAGGAAAGGAAAGTAGAAAGGAGAAAGGAAAGGAAAGGAGAAGAAGAGGAAAGAAAGAAAGAAAGAAAAAGAAAGAAAGAAAGAAAGAAAGAAAGAAAGAAAGAAAGAAAGAAAGAAATTTTTGCAGCAATGTAACTGAGAATTTCTTGAAATTAATGTCAGACATTAAACCACAGATCCAGGAAGTTTACAAAACACAAGGCAGGATAAATACCAAAAAAAACCATCCTAGATAGAGGCCTACCATTTTTAACTACAGAAAATCAAAGATGAAGAATAAATTCTGAAAGAAGCTGGAAGCAGAGTGGGAAACAACTTACCTATACCTTACCTGCAGAGGAGTAAAGATAAGAATTACATCCGACCTTTCATTAGAAACCCTCCAAACAAGAAGAGCACGGAATGAAATATTAAAAGTCTGAAGAGAAAAAAAAACCCACTAACATTGAATTCCATGCCCTGAGAGATTATTCTTCAAAAGTGAAGGAGAAATAAAAACTTTCTAAAACAAAGATTAAGAGAATTTGATGCCACTAGACGTATGTTGCAAGAAATGTTAAAATAAGTTCTTTAGTGAGAAGAAAAATGATATAGGTCAGAAACTTGAATTTATATACAGAAAAAAGAGCATCAGAATAGGAATGAATGAAGGTAAAGTTAAAACTTTTAGTTTTCTTATTTTTAATTGACTTAACAGAAAATAATTTATCAAAATAATAGCAACAATGTATTTAATTATATATGCATATGTGTGTATATATGTGCTTATTTATGCTTATGTATAAGCCAAACCAATGACAACAATGATGTAAGAGTCAGAAGGGAGAAATAAGGATTATTATATTTTAAGCTACTCATACTACTGATGAAATGATACACTCTTATCTGAAAGTGGACTTGAATCAGCTATAAATGTATATTGCAAACTCTAGGGCAACCACTAAAATTTTTTTTTAAAAAAGGTATACAACTTAATATGCTAAGAAGGAAAACAAAAGTGAAATAATATAAAATGTCAATTAAAATAAAAGGTATATAAATCCTTCTATTATAAAGACTTATGCATGTGTATGTTTATTGCAGCACTATTCACAATAGCAAAGACATGGAATCAACCTAAATGCCTATCAATGATAGACTGGATAAAGAAAATGTGGCACATATACACCATGGAAATACTATGCAGCCACAAAAAAGAACAAGATAATGTCCTTTTCAGGAATCATGGATGGAGTTGGAGGCCATTATCCTCAGCAAACTAACACAGGAACAGAAAACCAAATACTGCATGTTCTCATTTATAAGTGGGAGCTAAATGATGAGAACATATGGACACATATAGAGGGGAACAACACACAGTGGGTTCTATTGGAGGGTGGAGGATGGGAGGAGGGAGAGGATCAGGAAAAACAACAAATAAACAACAAATGGGTACTAGGTTTAATGCCTGGGTGATGAAACAATCTTTACAACAAACCCCTTAACCCAAGTTTACCCATGTAACAAACCTGCATTTATACCCCTGAAATTAAAAATAAAAGTGAAAATAAAACCATAAAAGGCAGATTTTAAAAAGTGGAAGACAAAAATAGAAACAAAAAATAAGTGCAATAACAGAAAACAGTAACAAATATGGTAGATATTAATCCAACCATATCAGTATTCACTTTGAATGTCACTGATCTAAATGCACCACTTAAAAGACAGAGATTATCAGAGTGGATCAAATAAACAAGACCTAACTATATGTTGTCTACCATAAGCCCACTTTAAATATAAAGGTGCATATAGATTAAAAGTAAATGAATGGAGAAAGATATACCATGCTAACACTATTCAAAAGAAAATGCAGTTACGACACTTGATCTTAGTCAAAAGATTGAGAAGCAATAGAAAGTGCAGTTACTACATAAATTTTGGACAGAGTAGACTGCAGAGCCTGGGAAGGTAGGCTTTGGCCCATGTGGCGGCTGCAGGTGTGGGGGGTGGTCCTCAAGACACTGGTAAATGGGCAGTGACCATGCTGCTGGGGTCAGTGTGATGAGTGCCAGTGCCTCATGCTTCAGCCCTGGAATCTGCTGCCAGCAGTGGCAGCAGCTGTGGGTGGGGGATGTCAACAGGGGTCTAGAGATGTGGGGATGCAGGGGCTGTTGGGCCGCAGGGTACAATGCAGTCTGAAAGGGACTCTCAAAATGACATCAGGCTGTAGCTGCTTAGCACTAACAGGGTGTGTGGGACTCAGTGTGATCTCTCTCTCTGGAAGGACCAATGCCATTGCACAGTTTCCAAGCAGCTTCCTATGTTAGTCTCAGGGCCCACAAGGGTCGAAGGCTCTCCTGTGGCTAGGGTTGCATGAGTCTGTGGTGGGAATGTGGATCACTGGGGATCTCTCTCTTACCCATTCCCTGCATTGGAGAGCTTCTCTGGGATCCCAGCCAATCCCAGCCCAACAGGCTGCCTGGCTTTGCTTTCCTTCCTTGCCTCAGGTGTTTCCAGGCACTTCTCTGTGGATTCCAGTGTTCTCTCTTAGATGATCTACTCAAAGTATGATTATCTACTTGCTATTTTGATTCTCCCAAAAGGTGAGTGGAGGAGGTGAGTGTTAAATGTATCCAGGCAACCATCTTGAGCAACCCCCCAACCCTGAAGTGTAAAAATTGTTACATTTTATTGTATGTGACTCCACCTCAATAGTAGAACCATATACAATAAAATAGTACTTTTTTTAAAGGCCTAGAAGATCAAGTAGAAAATTCTGATTTTTAAATTTATATATTTTCTTGTGCTATAGCTGATCAAGCCATTATACCTAGATGTAAAGCGTTGAAGGCAAAGACCATGTCTCTTACCCTCTTTACTCCCAGCTTATACAATTACAGGCTCACAGGAAATGCTTCCCATCTGCTGAAAAGAAGAATGGATTTTTTTATTTAGAGATTTTATCTTCTATTTCTTTGGCTTCTTTTGAGTATACTGTGTATATTATAGTGATAATAACCATTATCATTCATATAACATGTTTAAATTTTAAAGAAGTTTTCAGTTTATTTTATGTTATCTTCATAGCAGCCCTATGGAGTACACAGTCTATAGTAAATTTACTCCAAAAAAAGCTTTCTTATAAATTCAGGCCAAATTTTCCTTCCTCTTCATGAAATTTTACCATGACAATTGCTAATCTATAACATATCAACATTCTTTTTAATGATGAAGCAACAAGCATGCGCGGGATTAATATTTAAAAGGAATGGGAATAAAATTATATTACTGTGTCATTATTTACTCAGCAAATATGGAGACAGCAGAGACAGTAGCCTTTATGTGGTATGCGTTTACATTAAGAACAAGATAATAAACATGGTTGAGAGTTTCAAAGAACCTAAGAGAAACACACAAACATGTCATTGAAAGGAGATGAAATAAGTGCATGGCAGAGACACCAAAAGAGCTAAAAAAAAAAAAAAAAAAAAAAAAGCACATGGCAGGCTCATCTGACATAGAACAGCAAAACAGCATTGGGGGTAAGTGGGAGTCAGTATCCATTCAGATTTTCTAGACGAAATAAATTTAAGATGCGATCTTATACAGGAAATCAAGAGAAGGAACAATAAATCACGAGA
This sequence comes from Homo sapiens, assembly GCF_000001405.40. Classification (NCBI taxonomy): domain Eukaryota; kingdom Metazoa; phylum Chordata; class Mammalia; order Primates; family Hominidae; genus Homo; species Homo sapiens. The sequence continues at coordinate 153,267,513 of NC_000006.12, read as the reverse complement.
GCATTTCAGGCAGAAGGAACCACATGGGTAGTACACAGCAGTGAAAGAGCATGGCCTCATGAAAGAAAAATAAAACCAAAGGCCATCAAAAGTAGATTAAAGAAGCATATGATTAGGTTAGGAGAACAATTGGCGTGTTATCAAGGAAAAGGTGAGAGAAGACGGTGACTTGGACTACAGGAATGGCAGTCCAGATGTATGGTGAAGTGGTTAGAGACAGCCTGACGGATCAGCGAGGCTGCGGGTTAGAAAAGGGAATAACTCCCCGTGGAGCCCAAAATGACAGTGTCCAGCCATCAGCTGGATAAGAGTTTCAATCAGAAAAGAGAGTTTGAGGTACAGATTTGACAATGATACCGGCAAGTATAGATTGTAACTGAAGTCATGGGAGTGGATGTGATAGCCCAGAAAGAAGACTAGAAGGAACTCAACAGCAAATCTATCTAGCAGAGCCCATTTGTTCTGTTTAGCCACAGATTACTTTTTTCTTCTTTCTTTTTCTTGTTTCTTTTATTATTTATTGAATTTAAATATACTTAAGCAATATATGCACTTTCTACCGGGCTACAAAGTACATCATGACCTACACTATTTCACTGTCCTATTTCACACATTTATGATATTTGCTTGGATCTTGTTTGCTGTGCCCAGTGTAGTGAGGAGTGCAAAGCTTTAAAAAGAATGTTGCAAATAGCAGCAGTTAAGGGAGGAAAGAAAAAGTCCAATCTTAATAGAGATAGTGAAGGAGCAGCCAGGAAAGCAAAGGGGAACCAGAAATGTATCGTTTCGTAACAGAGATCAACCATGTCAAATGTCAATGAAGATAGGCAAAGATGAGGACTGAAATATTCGCTATGGGTTTTGTGATGAGGAGGTCATTGGTGACCCTAATATAGTATTTGGTGCAGAAGTCAAATTGTGATGGGATTATGAATAAGTGGGTTCAGGAAATAGAGCAAGCAGGAAAAGACAGTCATTTCAACATGCTTGTCTATCTAGGATGGAAAGAGCTTGTGCTAGAAGAAAGAATTGAGTCACGGGAAGATTCTTAAACTAGTATTATAGAATCAATAAGACTTTTGATGGATGTCTTTGTTTATCTCATTTTAATATATCTAATATCAGGAGACCATTTAAAACAAATGAATCTTAGAGCTATGGTCAGTCAGATGAGGCTGTGGCGACAGTCGTGACATACTTTTCTTTACCTGACCATATTGATATCACTTCAACTGAGACATGTACATCATTAGTACTGTATATGATGGTTAATGTCTTTAAAAGGATTACATTATAATTAAGCATTAAAATGCTAGTTTGTACTCAGAAAAGCACCAAAACAGTAGCATAGTATAAGGTAAAAATCTATGTCCAAGAATTCTTAATGAACTCATTTATTCAGAATAACATAGAAAATTCCAATAAGACAGGATTGTATTATGGTTTTATTGACACCATTTATTTTCTAAAGATACATACAAAATAGGCCATCGGACAATCAATGTGATATTAGATTTGAAATACCTTTTGATATCACAATACACGAATATATTTTTCTTAAAAAATGCCAATAAATACAGATTTTTAGTTCCCCCACCACTCTAAGAAAGTTTATCTTACCCATGCTAACAAAAAAACTTTTTGATATATATCTTTTATGCCTTTTCTATGCATTGAAATACACCTGTAAATAGTAAGATAAAACATGCAATAGTTTTATTTTTTCTTTTCTCCATTAAATACTGTTATTTTGGATTTTTATAGCTACCTTATTTCTCACATGACTAGTGCTACATTTTATTGAAGGAATGGGGAAAAGTATAAGCATATACTAGAGGGAGTTTAAATCAATACAAACTCAAGAAGAATTTTGGAAATACGTATGACCATTTAAAATGTGTATATCATATAACCTAAAATACCACTATTTAGTCCTACACTAATGAAAAACTCCCACCTATGCAAAAAGGAGGTACACTGGTCTATTTATAATAGGGAAAAGTTGAAACATCATACGTGTTTCAGAAAGGAAATGGATGCAATGAATAAACAAACACCTGAAATATTCATGCTATGGCGTACTGGGCAGCAGTATAAAAAGAATGAAGCTGACCAGTGTATACAGATATGTGCAGTTTCCCAAGACCTCTTATTAAGGTTTTCTGTTTGTTTGTGCTTTTAAATGGAATTCACAAGGATATGTAAATGCTAACAGGAATGAAACCTTAAATCAGGTAAAGAGAAAAGAAACAGAGAAGGGATATTAGTACCTTTGAGGTCCCTGAGAAAATATTGGAATCAGAACGATGGCTAGAGATTAAAACTTCTCTAACAGGAGAAAACAAGAAAGGACAGGTATAAACACTGATGAGCAAAGTTTCTATTCTACTCTTTTCCCAGTTTCCTCTATCTTAACAAGGGTTTCGTGTTAAAAACCCACTCGCCCAATCTGACTAGCTCTTGGGTCTTCGATGTTTCTGGAATACTCTATATTAGCTTCCCAGGGCTGCCATAGCAAATTACTGTGAACTGAAAGCTTCATAACAACAAGAATTTATTCTATCACAGTTCTAGAGTCCAGATGTCAGAAATCAAGGTGTCAGCAGTGCCATGCTCTCTCCTAAGCCTCTCAGAGAGAATCCATCCTTGTCTCTTGGAACTTCTGGTGACTCCAGGTGCCTCTTGGCTTGTAACAGTATAACGCTGCCTCGGTCTTCACGTGGCCTTCTCCTCTGTGTCTCTCCTCATCTGTCTGTGCCTTCTCTCATATAGGGACCCCTGTTGTTGTATTTAGGCCCCACCTTACTCCAAAGTGATCTCATCCTGAGATGCTTAGCCTAATTATATTGGCAAAGACCCTTGTTTCCAAAAAAGGTCACATTTACAGGCTCTGAAGATTAGAATGTGGACATATCTTCAAGGGGCCACAATTCAACCCACTAAATCCTCTATTAAATTTTTTTTCCTTTTTGGTAAGAACCTAGTTTCCCTATTTTTATTTTTGAAAATTATATAACTTTTAATCTTAAAAGAAACACATATCAAAATTAAAATATAGTGTGCACAGAATGGTTAGAGAAGTCTGGTGTTGGATGGGCTTGGTATCCAATGCTATGTGTTAATGAAGGAGAAGCAGGAAGAAAGGAATTCCTGAAAAAAGAAACTGTCTTGTCAATAGAAATTTTTATTATATGAAAAAGATAGTTACGGTTGTTTGGAAAGGAAGGTAATTAGAAGATTGCAAAAAATATAATATGGGAAAGGCCTAATCTATAAAAGAATCATTGCATAGTTTACTTTTCTTTCACACATATAAACAGGATCAGCTGGATTTGATTGTCCTGATAATCTTAAAATGTCAAAAAAAAGTCACTATGTGGTAAATTAAACTATCTTTTGTCTTCTTTATGTGATCCAAGGGTCAAAGAGAAAACTGTTGTAAGGAGAATGTCTCCTACTGGTAATGCTGCTGACAACCATCCATCTTGTGTTGTTTGCTATTAGGACATGTATCTCATTTTCCTTGCTAGATTAAAAACTCCATGAGAACTAGAACATAGAATCTAATACTTTCTATCTCCCATCCATATTGCCGAGCATATGCTCAAAAAAACAGAAATGTTTTCTTCACTTGAAAACTGAGGAAACAAAAATTTGACATTCGAGCACTGGTTTTGTAATGTTGGGAAGAGAAAACCATGTCTCCTGGTTGACTGAGCTATTAATTCCAAAGACACTTGGAGCAGAGTCTCTCCTTGAACTACAAAGAGCTGCTGAGTGCTGGCGAGTGGCAAGTGGCATGAAGCCTCAGGAGAGTGAGGCCAGGGGAGCCCGAACCCTCACCCCAAGCCCACGCCACACTCTTAGCAGGTCCTGTCCCACTGAGAAGCTCACAGGTTTCTGAGTTTTCTCTTTCTCAGAGATCAAGATAATGTAAGAATCAAACAAAATAATGTAAGAATCAAACGAAATAATGTAAGTTGGGGCTTTTAAAAGGGTAAAGAATGGTATCTCTGTGGAATGCAGATCTATTTTGTTACTACACACTGAGTAACCTGTGCTAAACACATTGTAACAAATAAGCATAAGTGATCTTAGAAGCAGATACATACGGAGCTATATTTAAGCAACAAGGCTACTCTAAGCATGTGCCGGTGGTGTCTCTATGCATTCCGTTGCCCAGTCTGTTTGTTTTGTTTTGTTTCGTTTTGATTTAAATAATAAACCATGAGTCTATTAAAAGACAGTCTTCTGCTAAATTCGCATCTCAGAAGGTTAACTAAAGAAAAAGGGAGTCAACCTGATTCGGGTTGCTGAGAACTGTTTTAAAGGAATTATCGATCAAAACTATTGCTCCAGGAGGTACTGGCAATAGATCAATAACAAAATGCTTTATTTATGGGTCTGAAAGAGGCAGCAGGGAAGAGGAAAATCCATCTCAGCTCTTTTTGTACATCCTGGCTTTACAAATAAGATATTAAAGGAAGGAGAGAATCCAATAAACCTCTTCATTCGCTGTTTCTTTCCTTTCTTGAGGATATGCTCAAAACACCAGAAGGCTTTTTATGGCACAAAATGACACAGTAGGAAGAACAGCCTCACAAACCATCTAGCTAATTTTTCCAAGAAACTGCAGAAATAAGAAGATGTTCCTCTCCTAACACCTTCCCAGTTTCACAGTATATACCCGAATAGTCCCTGAAGGATTTAGTGTGTACAGTAATGCAAGGCACAGATAGACAGGATAAAGCATCCTGAGGTTTACAACGCATTTAGCACAAGGCTGTTGGTCAGCAACAATGTGATAAAATCCATGAAAATGACCATCTAACTTGTAAGAATAGTCAATATAATAAAAGTAAGACTATTAAATAATTAAATAACTATATTATGACTTATTACAGAAGGTTTTTTTGGGAGGGGGAATGGGGGATTGAGTCCAGGCTATATTTAATAAACCATAGTGACTAACATAGCCTTCAGTGAGAAAAGATATCTGTTTTTTCTGTAAGTGCACATGGAGAGTGGGCAGTAGGAATTCCAAAAAAAAAATTGGGAAGAGTGGATATCCAGGCATTTGTTTACAAAATAGTACATCTGAAAGATCCATTGATTTTGACAGTATTAGAGAAATACATTTCCCTAGGGTGCTGACTTCAGTAGTTTCCCTTCAGATCAAAATTCAGGTGTGCCATCCACCTGGCTCCACTGCTGAAAACCTGCTGATGACCTCTTCTCGGGATTTGGAGTTGTATCTGATGTGTCCTAGTAGACCAAAATGACTAATCAAAATGTTCTAAATAAGACACTTGAAAAGTGAATCGTGATTAATTGCCCATCAAATGTGGTTCACTTAGCCTAAATACATAGCAATCACCTAAGAAAGGCCCTTCTGTTAAAACACCTTTAATGACACAGTCACCTGTAATTTCAGAGACCTCTCCTGCTGCAACCTATGTTAGGAATTAGAAGTTGGGTTTCTAATTTCATACTAACTAACCACTTTAGTAGATCTTTATCTACTATTTTATGCTACCTATTTTTGTTCTCTTTTAAAACGGTGTCTTTGTTATCATATTATTTTTTCCCAAAGCTAATTCTTGAGAAAGAGTAAGTTCTAAAATTATTTTAATTAAAATTCCATGATGACATGGAAAAACTGCTCTTTTAGTATTCAAGACATTGCCTTTATTTTTTCATTTGGCTAAAAAGAATTATTACACCAGCTGAATACAGCAAATTTCCCACGTGTGTTAGTCTGCTCTCACACTGCTGTAAAGAACTACCCGAGACTGGGTAATTTATAAAGAAAAGAGGTTTAATTGACTCACAGTTCTTCGGGCTATACAGGAGGCATGGTTGGGGAGACCTCAGGAAACTTACAATCATGGCAGAAGGTAAACGGGAAGCAAACACGTCTTAACATGGTGGCAGGAGAAAGAGAGAGTGAAGAGGGAAGTTTTACACACTTTCAAACAATGAGATCTCATGACAACTCTCACAAAACAGCACTAGAGGATTGGTGCTAAACCTTTAGATCCAATCATCTCCCACCAGCCCACACCTCTAACACTGGGGATTAAAATTCAACATGAAATTTGGGTGGGGACACAGAGCCAAACCATATCACCATGTGTGGAACATAACTTATTATCTTGCTTCTTAACACTATTCTTTGTTCTGTATTCATAATATCTAATCAACAATGATTTGCTGAGAATTTCCAGGTAATTCACCACCTATATCATGACTCAAGCAAAACATCACACACAGTGAATCCTCATTTCTCCTCTCCTCATCCTTTTTACCTAGTCTTTTACCAAATGCAGCACTTTTCATTTTATATAATAATTATAAAAGTAGTATAAAATATTCCCTTATACACTTTACCAAATTCCTGAAATATTAATCTTTTACGCTTTATCATTCTTGCATGTTTCATCCTTCTTGGTGCAACCTATCAGGAGGCACATTGTATCACTCTGTCCCATTGTTGGTGATGTTAATTTTGATCATTCCGTTAAGGTGGTGTCTTCTAGGTTTCTTCATGGTTAAGCTACTATTTTTCCCCTTGTAGTTAACATTTATTGTAGGAAGATAATTTAAGATTGTATAAATATAGTATTTTCTATAATATCATCTTCCTTTCATTTTAATGTTCATTTATGATTCTTTCCTGAAAAAATTTATCGTAATTATTGGCAAATGGCGATTTCCTAATCATTTCTCCTACGTTTTTAATTATAATCCCCTCTAGACAAGAACTTTCCTTTCAATTTATTTAGTCATTTTTTCATGTCAGTATGAACTCATTGATTTTTTTATGTGATGGGTTGCAATTTTTAGTATCATTAATCATGTTGTTGTTCAAATTTTCCTCATATTTAAGATGGACCCTATGTCTTTTTTACATATCGCCATAATTTTTTGAGATTTCAGTAATCAGAGATACTCCAGACTCGCCTTGTGCTACCCCATCTGTTAGTTTGCTATGACTGCTCTACAAGGCACCACAGACCAGGTGGTGAAAACAACAGCAATGTGTCATCTCACAGTTTTGAAGGTTAGAACTTCAAAATCAAGGTGTCAGCATGGCAGTTTCCTTCTGAGGGCCATGAGGAAAAGACTGGTTCCAGTCCTCTCTCTTTGGCTTATAGAAGGCCACTTCTTCCTGCGTCTCTTCACATTGTCTTCCCTCTTCACATGTCTCTGTATCTTTGAGTGGAATTTTCCCTTTACACACCAGTCATTTTGGATTAGGACCTGCCTTAATGACCTCATCTGAACTAAGTATACCTGTAATGACCCTATTTCCAAATAAGGTTGTATTGTAAGTTTCTGGCGGTTTGTACTTCAACCTATGAATTTAAGGAGGACAGAGTTCAACTCGTAGCACTGTCTCACCACTGGAATCAGCCATTTCTCCAAGGAGGCCTGGCTCCTTTTATTAGAAATTGATATTTAGAAACTAGCTTCCAGGTGCTAGATGGGCTCACTAATTTTAGGATGTATAGCTTCTACACCCTCTCAGTGGACAGAGATAAAAAAAAAGTGTACATATGCAAACATATTTATGTCTACATATGTATCTATATCTAGATCTAGATACCTGTACATACTGAGTTCATGCTGAGACCTACTATTCTAATCCAATACCACAGGACTTATTCTAACCTTCTTTACCTTCTCTTAAGCTTGCCTTCAATAGATAGAAAAGTAGCTCTCATTTTTCATGGTAATTTATTTTCTCAGACCAAGAATGCACATCTGGTAGTTTTAGAATTAACAGGTCATACCACTGTGAAAAGCAAGCATTCAGAGCTTCCAGCTCAGCAAGTAAGGAACTTGGAAGTTGTCACTTTGTGCAAAAAGCAAGTGAAAAGCTGAACAAACTGAAAAATCAACAACTCTTCTTAGATCCAGAGAAATGAGGTCACAGGACAAACTACTGCCCCCAAATAGGATAGAATACAGGTTAGTACAGAAAATCATAGCTTACAAGACCAGAAACTTCCAGCAAAAAACCTTCCAGGGTTGAAAACCCTGAACTGTAATTGATGAATTGCCAGAGGCTCAGAGCAGATAACTCTGAGAGTCAAAAACTCTAGGGGGCTCAGTCATAAGAGGTGCCTACATTGGTGAGTTTTACCTCAGGAGCTCAACCAGATTCTCACAGTGAATACTGGAGAAAAATTTTCTGGGGCTTATAGCAGAGGGAGGAAAAAGGAAACATTTTGAAATACACCAGAGTATTTTGTCCTTCTTAACAAGAACTGCCCTCAAGAGAAACTGCCAAATCAGAGTCTAAGCTATTGGGGTTCTATCAGTGCCTAACTGACATGGGAGAAGGGAAATACCCAACTCCAGCCTAGTCTAGCCATCCTGTCCCACCTATGAAGGGCGGAGGGAGACTGAGAAGCACTTGTGTAATTCACAGTTCAGAGGCACAGGCTCACTAAAAGACTGAGACCTAATCATAGGACTATAGACTACTTCCCCTTCCCCACACCTTACCAACACTTTAGTAAAGGCTCATTTCCTTTTGTTCACTTGACCCAGTACATAACATTTGGCTACTAAGAAAAAAATTACAAGTCATGTTAAAAGACAAAAAACAAAACAAAACAAATATCACAGTTTAAAGAGAGACCAAGCATCAGAACCAGACCCAGCTATGCCAGGGATGTCGGAATCATCAGAACCAGAATTTAAAACAACTATAATTAGTATGCTAAGAACTCTAATAGATAAAGTAGATAGCATTCAAGAGCAGTTAGGCAATACAAGCAGAACAATGGAAATTTTAAGAAAAATAAAAGAAATAGTAGAGGTCAAAAACACTGTAATAGAAATAAAGAATGCCTTTGATGGGCTCATTGGTAGACAGGACACAACTGACGAATGACCCTTAGCTTCAAGATATGTAACTAGAAACTTCAAAAATGAAAACGGAAAGAGAAAAGGGACTGAAAAAAAAAAAACCAGAATGTCCAAGAACTGTGGGAAAACTAAAAAAGGTAACCTGTGTAAAGAAAAGAAAGAGAGAAAGAAACAGAAGAAATATTTGAAGCACTAATGACTGATAATTTCCTCAAATTAATATCAGATTCCAAACAACAGAGCCAGGAATCCCAGAGAATATCAAGCAGGATAAATTCTTTATTAAAAAAAAAAACAAACAAAAAACAAAAACAAAAAAGCATATCATATTCAAACTACAGAAAATCCAAAATTAAGAAAAATTAAAATAACTCAGAGGAAGAAAACAGCTTATCTATCTATAACCTGTTACATTCTATTCCTAGAACTTGCATTCTAGTTGGGGTACTTATAATTTCTACAATTTTTTAAAATCCATCCAGTTTCAATGTAGGCCTATATTCATTGGTTTATTCAATAATGCTTGATACATATTTAGTGAATACTACTATGGTGTGTCAGACGCTGTTTTAGCTGCTTGCAAATCACAGAGGTCTAGTGGAACTGGAAGTTCAACTAAAATCACCTCATCATTGGGTTCACTCTTCTATATCTCCTCTTAGACAACATCCCTTCTCTCCAACTGCTGCTTTATGTTGCTTGGAGATATAAATATTTTTGTGCACACTTCCAATTACGTATCTATAATGGCGCTCCATTGAAAACAAGATAAATTCCAGTCTCTTTAATATGACATTAAAGACCCTTTGAAACCTTATCGCTCTACTCAAACAGTTTCATCCCTTGTCAGGATCTAACCGTCACTCAAATACTCCAGCGTGCACATTGACATTTCTGTCACCTGGTAAATGGAGCTCCCTATTCCTGTGATACTCTTTCTTCTCCCTACCACAACATCCTACTCAAATTTCCCAAAGTAGAATTAATACTTTCTTCCTGGATGTTTCCCAAACTATGCAATGGGCTTCTTCCCAAAGGCCCACAGTCTCATTCCTCACAAGCTGTGAATGTCCCCACAGCGGATGGTTATATGTATCCCCAGTAGGATATCAGTAATGGTGTTTCGAATGAATAAAAGACAATATTTTTTAGTAAAGTCTTGCAAAATCTTTATTTTTCTAGGAGGAGATTAAGGCCCTAGCAAAGGTCCCATAATTGCTCCTCTTTAAATCACTTTGGTCATTCCCCTTGGAGAATGACAGCAGCACTGAGACTTAACACTGTTGCTACAGCTGTTCTGCCAGAGGTTTGCCAGAGATCCCATGAAGGCCTTTTTGAAAGAACCACAGTTTAGCAAAAAAAAAAAATAAAGCACTCTACTCACGAAAAAAGTTAGAGAAAAACTGTTTTCCTATTTAATGAGAAGAAATAATCAATTAAATCACTCTATTCTGGTCCCCTTTCTATAAGAACTATAAGAACATGTTCTATAAGAACATGAATTCTTGAAGCTTACTGTGTAACCAACTGTAACAGAAGGGTGGATTTGTTTTACATCATGTTGATGTTAAATCCTGACATGACATGATTAATCATTTCAGGTCACAGTTCTAAGAGAGAAGACAGAGAGTTAGAAAACTCAAAAGTAGAATTTTTTATTGTAAAGAAATACAAAATAGCACTTTTATTAGCATAAAAACTGTTTGCAAAACAAGAAAATGTATGTAAATAAAAATATATATATATAGTTTCCTATTGCTACTTTATCACCACAAATTTCATGGCAAAAAACAACACAAATTTATTATCTTGCAGCTCCAGAGTCCAGAAGTATGAAGTGGTCTCACTGAGCTAAAAATCAAGTCACCAGCAGAGCCGCATTCTTTCTGGAGGCTCTAGTGGGGAATTCCTTTCTTTGACTTTTCTGGCTTCTGGAGGCTACCTGCACCCTTGGCTGTTGGCCACTCCTTCCATCTTCCAAGCCAGTAGGGCAACATTTTGATCTCTGTTTTTGTTGTCACATATTATTTTATTCTTCTGCCTTCCTTTCTTATATTTTAATTAACATTAGGACTACATTGGGCCACCCACGTAATCCAAAATAAACTCCTTATTTTGAGGTCAGCTGATTAGTAGCCTTAATTCCATCTGCAAACTAAGTTATCCCTTGCCAAGTACCATATCATATTCCCAGGTAACAGCTATTAGGAGAAAAACATCTTGGTAGAGTACTATTCTATTCTGTGTATTTTATATATATACATATATATGGCTCCTTTCCAATTATTTAGGAAAATAAAGTATGTACAGAATTTTGAGGTAGAAGATATTATTTCAGGGCAAGGACATAAGGAAGCAAGCAAATATCAAGCTCAGATATTAAAAACTGAAGGTCACATTACTAATGAAATGTTCTATAAGGTTATTAATAATTGTGTATCTGTAGTTTTGCAGTTAATATGTGGATACTATTGCAATAAATAAAATGCAACTTCATCTCACAGCATTACTGAATTCTCTGGTGCCTTTTGCCTCCACATACTTTATTCAATCATTATTCTAAAGCATTATAACAATGTTGAAAAGTCCACAAAATTGATGGTTAAAAATAAAAGGGCTTCCCGTATTTAAAGCACTAGCAAGCACTACCACAATTTTTAAATGGTCACCAGCTATAGGAGAAAAAGACCAGGAAGCCAGCCTACTAACGGTAACCAGCAAATAGAGAATGCAGGAGACATCAATCAATCTGTTGCACTTACAGAAATATATTTATGGTGTACCAAGCACAAAGATTAAGGGCAGAGGTTCCACAGACCACCAGCCTAAGTTCAAATCCCCATCTCTTCTACTTATAACTGATCCAAATTAAGTTATTCAAACTTTCTAATTCAAGCTTCCTCATTATAAAAGACACATAATATTTCCAATACTGTAAGGTTATTGTGAGAACTGAATTAGGGAAAATATATGACACAACCAGCATAGTATGTGGCACTTGGTACGTGCTCAATACGTGGAAATTATTACTCTGCTCTTATTATAAAGTGTCCAGAATAGTTCTCAGATGTGAATACTCCATGACAGAAATCCCGGGTCTTCAGAGATAAAGGACATTTGGCTGGGCAAAGGTCTGAATGTCAGTGTGGGACACCCAACACCAGTCTTTATAGAGTAGAGGGATGGAGAGTAAAGCAAATAACTATCTCTGGATAAAATAAATTTTGAGCATATAGGAAAGGAGGCATACTGAGACAGGTTTTCAGTAACACATACAAAAATGATGGTGTGATATTTACACAATTAAGTCTAATTTTTCTAGTAGAGAGATTTAAAAGAAAAACACTTCCTTCTATTACTAAACAAAAGATAATGATATCAGAAAGGAGTTTTAGGATATGAATGTTTAAATAACTAATCTTGAATAAAACTGAAGATAGTTTTTAAAACTTACTATAAATGTAAAAACTAACACGTGCCTCATCAAAAAGCTCATAAACTCAATCAAAATTCAGCACAGCAAACTGGCAAAGTCAACAACTCTGAATAAAAAATAAATTATTTGCTTTCTTATATTTTTTAGAGAATATCCATGAAGAGACTATCCAACTAGATCAAAAGTAAAGACAAAATTGCAGAAGAAATTGGATATGCTAAAGGGGCTTCAAAGTAAAGAAAATAAGATTTGCTTTCCTTTTATATATGAGCCTGAAAATCAGTTAGGCCATCAGGAAAGAACTTGGTTAACATGTTACAAAAGAAAATGAGGCAAAAACAAATGGTAACCTAATTATTTGTCTTGCATTTTGTGGAAGAAGATAACAGGGCAGCTCTCATGATAAGATTGTCTTTGAAGTAGTATCAAATTGTGGAATAATGTAATTGCTCAGGATATCCTCAAAGTGTAGTATTTGAAAAACTAAATGCAAAGAATTATAAAGATCGCATGCTATCTATGGACAAAATTTTAAAGCCAGTCAGCAGTGAAATAATGGAATTGAAAAATTGATAATGTGAGTTTTCTATAAGAATTCCAAAAATACCTGGATATGTATGTCTAAGTCCTCTAAATATGTCAAGACTTTGTAACTAAAATGACACAGTAGTAAGTTCTTAACCAAGCTATCATTGGAGGGAAAACAAAAACAAATTTTCTTAGAGGACAAGTGTTAACAAATACACATTTTTTGCACTAGAATTGAGGAGTTGAAGAGTTTGACTAAGCTCCAGACCACTAATTTATTTTGATTATCATGTTAAGGAGTTAATATCCACATACTTGAGTTTATTTACTAAATTAACTCATTTCACATTTAAAAAAACACACTTTGGAACAGAAAAGTATGAGATCAGAGCTCTCACAATCATAGTTGATATTTTAATAAATTATATGTAATAAAGCATAGTTCAATCAGCTAGTAAGCCAGTGTTATTTTTCAGACACTTGCGTAGTTGCTACAACCTAGACACAGCAAAGACGTGAGGTCATAGAAGTGGGTAAATCATGACCTTGCCCTTAAGTAGCTCACACTATCCTGGGAGTGACAACCTCAAATCCAATATTTGGTTTATGTGAAAAGGTAGAAGTGTGCACAGAGAGTTACAGGTGCTCAAACCGCCCGATTTGCAGGTCTCACTAACCTTTTGCCAAAACAGAGATCTCAAAATACAGGAACAAAAAGAAGTTAGAAACTCTAAGAGTGTTTAAAATAGCACTGAGCGGCAAATGACATCAACTTTAAAGTAAACAGATGTATGGAAAGTTGATCCCAGCCCTCCTTATATCACATACCTTGTACTCAGTTTTTACCCAGTTACTGCCTCTGAGAGGCATTGCAAACCAGTTCTAAGAATCTGCAACTCCCTCTGTACCAAATATACTTAATGCAATACTTGTCTCTGAACCTTATGATAAATGGAATGATGAATAAAATCCGCAGATGCATCCTTAAAGAGATTCAAAACATAGAAAAGGCTTTTTTATAATGACTTTCTCCAGGACATGACTGCATTGCTTCAGGCTTTAGGGAAAAGGAGGTTGCTTGTTTCTGCCTTCTTTAGAACAACTGCTACACAGCAATTATGGCAGAGCGAGTTTACAGCTTGAACAGAATTCTTTATTTTGAAGCACCAAATGAATCTAAAAGATTCATTAAGGAAGTGCTAAAACTGTACATAATTTATTCTGCGACTCAACACTGTCTTCCAGACTCTTCCTTTTGGATAATAATAAAATATTTTAAAACGCATTATCTTTTTTTCTGGTTGTTAGTCTTTACTGATAACTTAAATTTTTATACCAGACTTCTTCTTAAATACCCACCATTTCTTCAAAATTAAAGCTTTTGTATAACATCAAGCGTGTGTTCTGAAGATTTTGTTCTATCCATTAAGATTGTTTAAAAATAAATTTCTTTTCTAATCATTTCTACCAATTTCACAAATCATCTGCTTCTTGGGTAGATTCTATCACTAATATGGTGACAAACATTAAAATATGTATTCTCAATCTCTCTCACCACCATCATAAATAAAAGAGTTCATTTTATGTTTATTTGGGAAATGACTTAATCAGTTTTAAGATAATCTCTTTGTTCTCGTTATAAATACATCAATCTCATCAGTAATCCTTTGAGAACTATTATTCACTTAGGACCCAACAAATTGCTGGCATAAAACCTCAAAACTGCCCTCAGGAAACCTACTATAGAATCAAAATATAGGCATGGAAAAAAGCCCCCACAGTAATTAGTTTCAATCTTTAATATGTGTAAAATAAATAGAAAGGACAGTAAGTTTTAAGATGTTTTGTGGCTTATCCTGCCTAGTTCAATATTGACTAGTTTCCAACTTTGTAGAGATTTTTATTCTCCTTGCTCCTGGGAAATGGATTTTTGTAATTTTTTTTAATTTTGCAAAAGGAGTTATTAAACATGATATGCAAAAGTGCACCATTATCATTGAAAGGTTAACTTTGAAGCTACAGATAATAAATCCAGATGTAAATCTGTACGATAATAATACATTTTTTCTGAGCAAATAAATACAAGGCAATTATTCTATAAACTTTATTTGTTCTTACTCATTTCAGGTTTCAGTGCTACTCAAGAAACTATCACAGGAAATATCTGTTTAAGCCACTATTTTTTAATTGGTCGTCATAATTATTAATTAGCAACTGTATTATATCTCATTTTTATAGTGTTTCAAATATTCTATCATCCTTCCAAAGAATATAACCAGGAAGACAGTCTATGGGCCCTAGCCGAGAAGAAATAAGGAAGATCCTACTTTTTCTGGCATAGAAAGAACACTTTTCACCAAAAAGATTCTTCTGAAAAGCAACATTTCTCTATGCAAAACCACAGACTTCACATTCTTTTTGTTGCTTTATTGGCATTTTCTAAGTATGGCTATAGGCTGCTGCTTTTAAGTGAGATTTAAAAAAAAAAATCATTCCGGGCTGGGCGCGGTGGCTCACGCCTGTAATCCCAGCAGTTTGGGAGGCCGAGGCACGCGGATCACGAGGTCAGGAGATCGAGACCATCCTGGCTAACACGGTGAAACCCCGTCTCTACCAAAAAAATACACAAAAATTAGCCGGGCTTGATGGCGGACGCCTGTAGTCCCAGCTACTCCGGAGGCTGAGGCAGGAGAATGGCGTGAACCCGGGAGGCGGAGCTTGTAGTGAGCCTAGATGGCGCCACTGCACTCCAGCCTGGGCGACAGAGTCTCAAAAAACAACAAAAAAAAAATCGTTCCTTCAGTAAGTTACTCATATTTTTTGAGCACTCACAATGCCCATCGGATACCTTTCAAGATAATATAACAAATGGACAAATTTTTTACTCTCATTAGATTTACATTCTAGTAGGAGGAAGCAGAGTGTAAAAATATTAATATATAAAATATTAACATCAAAGATGTCATGAAGTCTTTCAGATGCACAAGTCCAAAACTCTGAAGAGCAGCTCAGTTGGTGATATAAACTTGGAAAGCCTTTGCACAAATAGTTAAAGGTTTTAAGATTTCAGATATTTAAAGCCATGAAATTGGATGAGATTGCTTTGGGAATTCATGTCATTAGAAAAGCTACAAGAAACAAAACTGAGCCCAAGGGCATTCAGACATGTAGCAGCTAGGGAGATGAGAAGGAGCATACTAAAAGAGGTAATTAGAGATATCAGGAGGAAGAGGGACAACTGTGGTGTCTTGAAGACAGAGAAAAATAGCATTTCTAGGAGGAAGCAATGATCAACCATTTCAAAGTAGGATGAAGACCAAGAATTATCCATTGAATTTTGCACTATATAGGTCACTTTTAACCTTGACAATGGTAGAGAGAAAGAATAAAAGAAGAATTAAATAAAGGAAGTACAGAAAACTCAATTATAGTGTCTTGCTGTAAAAGAGAACAAAGAGAGGGAAATGTGGAGTAATATAAGGGGGTTGTTTTTGTTTGTTTTTAAAATGGGAAAGATTTCACATGTTTGTATGCCAGTGGTGCTGATCCAGTTAAGAGAGAAAAACTTGTGATACAAGACATAGATTGAAATATTTTATATACGTGTCATTGAATAGGCCAGAGAGGATGGGATCTAATATAATACACAAGTAGAGTGCTTAGATTTAGTTAGGAACAAAGCACAGTTCATCCAGAATAACAGAAGGAGAAACAATGCATAAGCTCAAGTGTAAATAGCTGGGCATTGTAGACTGAATTATGTCCCCTTAAAAGAGATGTTAAAGTTCTAACTCCCCACAACCTGTGAATGTGACCTTATTTGGAAATAGCGTCTTGGCATATGTAATCAAGTTAATATGAGCTCACGCCAGAATAGAGTTGGTCCTAATCTAGCATCTAGCTTCCTTACAAGAAGAGGGAAATTAGAATGCAAGGCATCAGACACACAGGGAGAACATTGTGTGACAACAGTCGGAGTCTGGAGTGATGGCTCTGCAAACCCAGAAACACCAAGGACTGCCAGCAATACCAGAAGCTGGGAAGGGACAAGAAAGGAGCCCCCGCTACAGCCTTCAGAGATAGCATGGCCCTATTGACTCCTTGATTTTGGACTTCTAGGCTCTAGGACAGTGGGAGAATACATTTCTATTGTTTTTAAGCCACCATGTTTGTGGTACTTTGTCACTGACAGCCCCGGGAAACAGAAACCATGGGTATTTGCGGTGGGAGATTCTCAGGGCAGTACTCTGATTGCTTTCTCTGTATGTCACAAGTCAATGGCAACTACTTTTTAAACATTTCTTAAGGCTTCTGATAATTTGTTTTTAAAAAGATTTTCAATCATGTCAAAGTTTTATTTATCTCATTAGTAAAGGAAATGATAGGAAAGATAAAAGGTCTGAGTAGAAGAATGTTTCAGGGACATAGTCAAACGGGAAAGGAATACCTAAATGAGATACTAGATTATGTGTAAAACAGGCTACATTTCTACAGAGTAAGAAGTTATACCTTTAACACCTTTGATTTTCTCTATCAGGCTCCAAAATCATAACATCTTATACTATTCTGTATGTTAATTTCTAACCGTGATGACTGCAAATTATTAACATCTCTACTGTTTATTATTATTCAAAAATGCTGTGCTACACATTTTATTTCCTAATATCTTTTGAGGATGAATGATTTATGACTAGAAAAAGTCTCTTTCATGCAAATGAGCAAATAGAAAATGCTCTAGAATAATATCAAAGTTTCAAGCAATCAGCATTTTGTCTCAAGTTTCAATAATATGAGATAATTTTTATTCATTATAATGCAACCAAGATTTTTGCCCAGACTGTATGACACAGAGTAGACATTATTAACCACTTCAGACATTCTGAGAAGTGTAAATTATGAAAAGAAACATTGAGCCACTAATAAATTAGTTCACTTTCCCATGATAATGGACTATAAACTGCCAATTCTTTTTTAAAGTTGTGTTCTGAAGACTAATTAGTTTCCTATCTCTAGAAAATTATTTTTTATTTTAATAGAAGAATCTCCACATCTGTATAGGTTAGTACATTTGCTTTCACCCTGCTTACTCATTGCCGTAAGTTTTGAATTTACATAAACTGCTCTTTCTTTTTCTTCTTCCCAACCAGCCTCTAATACAGATATAATGTGAAAGGACCATGTAGTGTCTACTTTCCAGAATAAACCAGTAAACCAGTTAATATACAGGTGTACTCTACTGTCTTTTTACACTGTAACATTTTAAGATAGTCTATCTGTCTCTAATGCTTCTAAATTAATCCCTCACGTTCTTGGTGAGAATGACTTCACAACCTATTTAAATAGGCCAGTAGTATAAGATTATTTAAGCAACATATGTTGAAATAGAGTTGATTTATTTAATACTTCAATAATTCATGATGTTTTAGCATTCATATCAATAAGTGTATTAAATCTAGAGATAGAAATGGCCATGTTTATGATCTAAAATAAAGTATTGGTTGATGCTCAATCATATTTTTAACTTGGATTCGTACCAACAGCCATTCAGCTAGGAGTATTTATTTTTCTAAGTAATCTATTGAGACATCCATTATGCTGGGTTGAGGAAAAACAGTAATTTAAAAACAAGTCAGTCAATAAAATAATGTCACAATTTTTTGAACTCTGTATTTTCTTAATATCTTGGTTTTTAACTCAAAGTGAAATCAATAAAGGGTTTTGGTAATTTCATTATTTTAAGATTACTTTTTTAAACTCAGGAAAAGTGTATTTTATTAAATGAACGTCATTGATTTTAATACCCAAAGCAAGCTTTATCTTATGTGTCTTGGCTGTCTGTCTGCTGGTTTGAGGAATGGATGGCCAGTCTAAGTGGGACAGTTTATTCATTTGGCAATACAATAATATTATTGATCCTCAGGCTACCTAATGAACTTGCAATGGATTATTGAACTATTTATATGCTTTACATGGACATCAACCAATCTTGTAAAACATCTCTAGAGCATCAATATGGTTCATAATTTAAGACAGCCATGGGAAATAATTCATTATAACACAGTTTCAACTATAAGCTAATGATCAAGGTCTTAATATCTCCCATAACCTCTTATCAGTCATTATGAGGCTATTTAGTGCCATAACTTCCCAGATGGCAAAAAGCGTAAATATTTTTCCTAATTTTAACAGTTTTTTCATCTAAGATTAATGAGAGTCACGAATATCTATTACAAATTGTTGAGTATTGTTAAATTGAAGGCATTAGTATTTCAATTAACATGATACATATATGCCATGTTATACATCAATAAAATTCATTTAACAAATAAACATTTCTTATCATAATAAATTTTGAACATACAATTTTTTTCCTAGCTTGGACAGTTGAATTCACAGGGTTCAGCACTCAATCAGTGGCTTTATTAGAAAGACATGAAAATCTCCAAACTAGAGCATTTTAGTTTGCATAGAGCTTTATCACCTCCTTCAACCAAAGCCAGTCAAAATTATGACAATACTGAAGAGAAGTGAAAATCAGAAAAGGAAAAGAAGGGAAAAAGGAAAAGAAGGAAAAAAGGAAAGGGAGCTAATAATTACAAACCTCCTATTACATGCCAATGAAATTAAGATGTTAGATGAAGATTATTACCATAATACCATTTTTGAAAGCTTCTTGTCTAATATTCACAAATATATGTCTTCTTTCAATATGCTCTCCAGCCATCTTTCACCCAACTTAGTATCAAATGCTATCCTTTTAAAATAATTTAAAACAAAATTCTTTGTCTTTCACATTAAATCATTAATCTTGCTCAAAAAATTGTCATGTGTGCTTCATCATGTAAAAGAAAAATTATGAAACAAAAAAATGATGTTTTCTAAAAAGAAGATTTTGGAGTAGTTAAAAAAAGAGTATCAAAACAAAATCACTATCTAAATGATAAATAAATTAGAAACAGCAAAAAACAAAAGAAACAAAGCTAAAAAGAAAATATTGAATAATACAAATGCATTAAGTAATTATAGAGAACATAGATTAAAAAAGAAACAAAGTAATTATACAGAAGTTTATAGATGTAAAGTTCAGATAAAAATAAAATATAAGCCTAATTATATTTTAATTAGCTGTATTTTTTAAAATTTGTAAGTGACCCTAAAGAGCCCCATAATGAAACAAAATGTATTCCAAAATAAAAAGAAATTTTTCTCAAAATAAGAAAGCTGCAGATTAAAACAGGCTTCAAGTTTGAGAAGTTAATGACACAAAAGCATTGCTACCCAGATATCTACTGATTGTTATTAAACTTAAAATAATAGGAAATAATTCTACGGGCATCTTGGAGGAAAGGGAGGAGATTTCTTACAAGGCAGAGAAAATCAAACAGACTTATGATTTCTTCAGAGCAGGCAGAATCAAAAGAAATCAAAACAGTATCCAGTAAGTCTCAAAATAAGGAAAATTTGACCTCGTCATTATTAACTCGTCATTTAATAATATGCTAACAGGCAAATATTCTCAAATATGAAATATCTCAGGAAATACAGCAAGCATGACCCAGACCTTAATAAATCTGCAGTGGAATTGAACCAACCAAAAAAATGAAGAAGAAACCGTGCTACAAGGATTAGTGGGAAACACTGGACTTTTATTTTTGAAAGCACTATGCCTAAAGTGTCAACGATGGATACAAAAGTTAACATATATCTTGAAAATATTTATTAAAAATCAAGTTTTACTATGAGGAGAGAATGAAAATGAAAATACTTAAAAGTGCTTTAATTTCTTCATCGTGGTTTATTTCCTCATGTTCATTTTTAGGGACTCAATAAGAAATATTAAAATAAGGTAATCAAGAGAGAAAGGGCTGCATACATTATTTAGAGCTATAAATGGGATGACATGATAGAGTAAGTTAAAATGTGAGCCAGAAGTGGAAATGGAAACTGAGGGAGACACCGTTTAATAATATTCTCATTTTTTCCTAGAAGGGAGGCAGTAGCGTCCATCTACAGTAGGTAAAACAATAAAAGACATTAGATGTATTAAATAATGGCATAAAGGTAACTGCTAGGAGAACTAAAAGCAAATTATACACCTTCCAAATTACCACAAGAAAAACATTCATACAACTACAATGCCACAAATTAAGCTACAAGGTTCAGAACAGTACACAGAGTTTTCTGGAAGAAAAACAAAAAGTTATTAACAGTGGTTTTCCTTGGAGGAGATATCATAGACAGGGGATAGAAGGGAAAAGTAGAAAATCTTATAGCTTTTGTTTTATATTTTCTTGTGCTATTCCTCTTTTCTAAGTACTTTATACTTATCTACATTAACAAGTTCTACTATAGTGTATATTAATCATAAGAGAATAATTACTATTAAGGTGTATGGTGATTTGCAAATCTCACAAAACTTTTATGTATATTATATACACACATTTGTTTATGCACAATAATTAATTATAATGTTTATAGTCTACACTGAATTTACTGTTTTGTACACATACATGTATAATTTAGCTTATGCCCACATGGGTAATGAGAAAGAGAAAAACAGACAAAAAGAGAAATCAAACATTACAAGTATTTTACCATGTTGTTTCCAGTTTTCAGTTTTTCTTACTTTTTAAACATTACTCTTTTCCCCATTAGAAATGAAAATAAATACAGTCAACAAAGACAGGAGAAATTACATCATTATATATAAAGTTCAGTATGTATACTTGGTAGATTTCCTTTATAAAATGGGATTTAAAAGAAGGTAGATCCACAAAATAGAGTGTTGTCTGGAAGTAGAGGATGAAGGATAGTATGGAGCTGGAAGGGTAAAATTTTATTCCAGGTTTATAGAAACAGTGAGTAACAGAAAAAGAGCTATTTTCTACATTATGTAAGAGACACGACTGAGGGTGTTTAGAAGGAAAATTTTGTAATAAATTAGGAAGGTTCAAGATTCAATCATGGATGTGACTGGAGAATACTTCATGTATAGAGAAGATACTCAACTAAAATTTAAAAAATTGAGGGTCAATATTTTTAATTGTTAATCAAATATAGATGTATTAATTGTTTATCAAAGACCTTAAACTGTGGTAGGTATTCAAGAGAGATCCAACTTCTATAGGATGTGCTTCTACACTTAGTCATTTATAACCTGGGAAGAAAAATGACATTGAAGAAGCTGCTGTGATAAAGAGTGATATACACTCAAAATTTGATGAATAAGGAAATCATTAAATTCTGAAATCAGTACACAATGGATTAGAGCTATAGCATTCACCTTAAAAACAATGAATATCTCCAAGGCCTGCAAAACTTAATTGGTACCTAACTGACTGTATTATCTAAAGTAAGATTGTTTCTCTGAGCCCAGATATGATATAAAAATGAATATTACTGAGGCAAAAACCAACAGTATTATCCTAACTGTGCAGGAAATAGATAACTTTGACTCAAAGACCAGAATAGCCTGGCCCAGTTAGCAGCCCTTAGCTGTAGAAATGGATGCATCAGGCTTTCTTAGCCTAATTCACAAAATATTAAAATTAAGTAGATTCACCTAGCTCATTGGGATCTCACATACACCAAGCTTCCTTCTAATTATAACTTGGCTCCTTGCCTATCTTTTCAGGGAAAGAATTTGTAAGTCAGAAAATATAATCGCACAATCCTCTTGGCTTTTATAATTCTTTGTAAAGTAGTATATAAGTATCGATTCATGCAACAGTCTTTGGAAGCTTGTATTAGTTCGTTCTCACACTGCTATAAAGAACTACCTGAGACTGTGTAATTTATAAAGAAAAGGTTTAATTGACTCACAGTTCCACAGGCTGTACAGGAGGCATGGCTTGGGAGGCCTCAGGAAAGTTACAGTCATGGCAGAAGGGGAAACAAGCACATCTTCAAATGGTGGCAGGAGAGAGAGTGAAAGATAGAGAAGGGAGAAGGGCTACACACTTTCAAACGACCAGATTGCATGAGAATTCACTCTCTATCATGAAAATAGCAAAGGAGAAATCCACCTCCATGATTTAATCACGCCCCACCAGGCCTCTCCTCCAGCATGTGGGGATTACAATTCGACCTGAGATTTGGGTGGGAACACAGAGCCAAATAATATCAAAGCTCATTTAATTTGAAATCATTCTTGAGAGATGGATTCATTCTTTGTATAATAAAAAAAAAATCAGATTTCTGATACTGTAAGATGAGAGTGGAGGAAGGAGAGAAAGCTAACCAGTGATGAATTCATCAAAATAAGGATGTCATCCAGTGGAAAGGTCTCTGAGCTTCCAGCCCACCATCTCCATTGACAACAATTTGCCACTGTATATTGTCTACTCACCCAGCTCTGGAGCATCTGTATAATTAAACTCAAGAAACATAACACATGCACATACATGTTTATTGCTACACAATTCACAATTGCAAAGATGTGGAACCAACCTAAGTGCCCATCGACCGATGAGTGGATCAAAAAAAATGTACTATATATACACTATGGAATACTACTCAACCATAAAAAGGAGTGAAATCATGACTTTTGTAGCAACTTGGATGGAACTGGAGGCCATTATTCTAAGTGAAGTAACTCAGGAATGGAAACTCAAGTACAGTATGTTCTCACTTATAAGTGGGAGCTAAGCTATGGGTCCACAAAAGCATACAGAGTGATATAATAGACTTTGGAGATTCAGAAGGGGGAGGATGGGATAGAGGTGTGGGATAAAAGACTACATATTGGGTACGACGTACACCATTCAGGGGATGGGTGCACAAAAATCTCATAATTCACTTCTATATAATTCATCTATGTACCTGCAAACCACTTGTGTTCCAAAAGCTATCAAAATTTTTAAAAATTAAAAAAAAACTCATAGGCTTTCAAAAAAAGAAACATAACAATATGTCATAACTCATAGTAAGGGCCAAGTTCCATAGTTCAAAGTAGAAGCTTTATAGCAATTCAAAGAAAAAGAAAAACTACAAATAGAGAAATCTGAAAAAAAAAATAGTAAGACATATAACTGAAACCTAAACTTGAATAATGGGCAATATTTGACCATTTAGAAAAATAAACTTGAGGAAAGTTATTTAAGACAAAGAAGTAGTGTAGGAACAAAAGTCTGAAGGTAAAAGAAGTACATGATGGAAGGTAGAGCCTGGAAGGTCATTTTCTCGTGATAAAAATTGAAGCAAAAGATTACAGGCAATTGTAGCTTTGAAAACATCTGAAACAGTCGCATTATATTCACAAGGATTGATCAATTCATGTTGACTTTCAGTAATCATCAAAGTTGTTCATGCAGATCCCATAAGATTATGCTCAACTATTATTATGACTTTGTATTTACATCACATCACATTTTATAAGAATTGTAAAGCACATTTACAACATTAATAAGGGTACCTCAGGAACTTAAAAGAGTTGGTTTAATTCTAGAAATCTTCCTAACGTGAGAACAAGGAATTGTTTAGGATTTAGCAAAATTATACTTAAGCTTAAAATTATGTTAAGATTGTGGAAATTGTCTCAAAAAGCTTAGAGCAAAACAGTGAGTATAAATACTCTTGCATTACAAGGTGCACTGCTAGACCACCTGTGCTGGACTGGGAATTGAGGTGGTTAAAAACAGGTTATGCAACCTTCAAGCCACCTCGAGGCAATAAAAACCTTGAGATGAAGGCAGTAGAAAGCATTCTTTCGAGAAAATTCTCAGTGTGTAAGTCTTCCTTACACCATCTGAAACCTGGTGAGAGGGTTCCAAGTACACACTTAGGGAGCCTAAGAGGAATCCTTTGAAGTTGGAGGGCATAACAGAATGGTGTGTAATTCATTCCTGAAAATGACTCCACAAAAAAGCCTTCAAGAGCCTCTAACTAGGATGGGAAACTAGTAGAAATATCTCCCCTCCCCGCCTAGGACTCCAATTTCACGTGTACTGGACCAGTGGATATTGTCTCATGGGTCACTGAGGGTCTATTCAATTTTTTTCTATCAATTTCTTCTTTTTTCATTTTTAATAGTACTATTGTTATATATTCAAGTTCAATGTTCTTTTATTTTGCAGAGCACTTTATATGCTGTGAAATCTCAGTCAATTCTTAAAAATAAACTGTATTTTTCATCTCTATAAATTCTAGTTGGCAAATTTGATCATATCTTTTATTTATCATCTCATATGTACAAGTTTTACTATCAATCTGTAAGTATATTTATAATACCTTTTTTAAAAGTTCTCATCTTAATGTCATTATCCTGTCATTTCTAGACCAGTGGCATTTGACTCCATTAATCACTTCCTTGTTCCAACACTTTATTTTGCCTCCAGAACACTACATTTGCTTTTGTTTCATTCTAGCTACACACACTCCATTAGATAGTTCACATAACAGCATGGCTTGAAAATTAATATAAATGTCAAAGACTCCAAAGTTGTATCCCTACCCTAGACATCTCTCCTGAAATCTCGATTTATATAATCACTGCGTAAGCCACATCTCCATTTGGATGTTGATGTGGTTTGGCTCTGTGTCCCCACCCAAATCTCATCTTAAATTTTAATCTCCATGTGTCAAGGGAGGGACCTAGTGGGAGGTGATTGGATCATGGGGTTGGTTTCCCCAATGCTGTTCTCATGATGCTGAGTGAGTTCTCATGAGATCTGATGGTTTCATAAGTGTTTGACTGTTCCCCCTTCACTTTTTCTTCTTTCTTCTGCTGCCATGTGAAGAAGGCCTTTGCTTCCCCTTCCCCTTCTGCCATGATTGTAAGTTTCCTGATGCCTTCCCAGTCATGCAGAACTGTGAGTCAATTCAACCTCTTTTCTTTGTAAATTACCTAGTCTTGGGAATTCTTTATAGCAGTGTGAAAACAGACTAACACAGATTTCTAACAGTCATCTCAAAATAAACTTATCCAAAACTGAATGTCTGATTTTTCCCAAAACAATTCTACCTACAGTTTTCACCACCTCACTTTATGGCCTGGGATACTATTTTCACAGATATCCACATGGTTCCCTGCCTCACTTTCTTCAAGTCTTTGTTCAAATGTCACTTTCTTGCTGGATCTACTCTAAGTATCTAATTTAAAATTTTGTACCTCAAACCTCCACATTCCGTATTCTAAACTCCTCTATACTGCTCTATTTTTCCTAAAGCATTTACTATGTCCTAGTATTTTTTATCTAACATTTTGCTTATTCATTATGTTCATTACTTATAGACTCACACCCCAGGATAAAATATAAGCTTCATGAGGTAAGAAATTTCTATTTTGTAAACTGATGGATCTTAAATCTGGCACATAACTGATATTTTCATGAATGATATGCAGTAATTGTTGCTAGATTAAGTCATTTACATACCTAATCATTGAGGCATCAATTATGTAGTTAACATAAACTATTATTTCAATCTACTATTATATTTTATGAATACTTTTTACAATTAAATGTTTTGTCTCAAACTTGATCTAAGTTCTTTAAGGGTAAAATTATGTTTTGGAATTTCAGTCATTGCACAACTATTACTGCATTGTTTTGTACATAGTAAGAAGTACAGGCGAAAAACAATTTAATTTTTTGTTTTATTTTATTCTAGAGATCTGGTTTCTATCACTGGCTATTTAAATAATGCAGCTAGTGAGTTAAAAACAAAAACGACGATCAAAAACAAGAAACGACTCTTCTCAGTTCATTCCAAATCATCTTAGTTTTGTCTGCACTTGAATCTTCTTGTTTTCTCTATTTATTCCCATTTTTCTCCTATTCTCAATTCCCATTCACCTCTCCACCATTATAAGAAACCATTTTTAATATGTCTCATTTTTATAAATTTTTTGTGCTGCTTTCTAAATATGTTACATTGTTTGGGGCATATTTTTATCTTACATAAACTGTGCTATATTCACAAGCCTCATTCTATTTTGCATTTTTTTCACTTCACTCTATTTTAAAAATCTATCTGTACTGCCAGTACACAGCTAGTCCACATAATTCTCCACTGTATTTGCCACTTAACCTATTTATTATTCAACTAAAAAGGCAGATAATGATAGCTCTTCTGCCTATTTCACCATGTGATTATTAAGTTCCAATAAGAAAATACAAATGAAAAATTTGAAAAGTATTCAAAAGTTCTATGCAGATATAAAGTAGTAATATTGTACAGAACCTTGTAATAGTAGAAATTACAACAGAAGCTTAGTAGATGGGATGTGTATTAGTCTGTTCTCACACTGCTATAAAGAACTGCCCGAGACTGGGTAATTTATAAAGAAAAGAAGGTTAGTTGACTCACAGTTCTGCATGGCTGGGGAGGCCTCAGAAAACTTATAATCACGGCAGAAGGGGAAGCAGGCACACCTTACATGGCAGCAGGCAAGAGAGAGCAAATGTGAAGGAGGAACTGTCAAACACTTATGAAACCATCAGATCTCATGAGAACTCACCATCATGAGAACAGAATGGGGGAAACTACCCCCATGGTCCAATCACCCCCCACCAGTTCCCTCCCTTGACGTGTGGGGATTACAATTCCAGATGAGATTTGGGTGGAGACACACAGCAAAACCTTATCAGGATGTAAAGTAGAATAAATGTGGGATCACCATGCTCAGGAATGGCCTTGAGCTTTGCTGGTGCAGAAAGCCATGGAAAGCTCATTTTGTCTTGGGAGATTAGTGTGACTGATCTATACACCAGAATGTAAGTGAATTCACTTAAATTGTTTTCCCGATAACCAGAACATTCCTGGTTGTCATCAATTTGCAATATAAGTTTAATTAATTATCAGAATTCAACTTTTCCATCTAACACACAACAAAGAGATTTAGGCAATTAGCTGGGTTTGGTGGT
Organism: Homo sapiens; assembly: GCF_000001405.40. NCBI lineage: Eukaryota > Metazoa > Chordata > Mammalia > Primates > Hominidae > Homo > Homo sapiens. The sequence continues at coordinate 153,239,805 of NC_000006.12, read as the reverse complement.
TGAAGGGTAGGTGACAGACAAGACTTATTTTGCCCAAGATAAAATAATTAAAATGATATGTATATGATTCTTTTTGTTATCTCTTGTCCAAATGATTAGATTCTTTCTACCTTGGACACTACCAATGTGTACTGATAAATTGTGTTTTCATTCCTTTTTAAAATATATGTCCTGAAAAATTACTACTCCTTAACACCACATTTTTCCACATTATTTGTTGTTAACATCTCCAAATAGTGAGATACCTTGCATACATAAAGAGTGTACTAAATATATATTTGTGATCAATAAAATAATAGTTAAATAATCTTGTAACTAACATGCAGAGTAAGAAATAAACATTGCACATGCCACACACAGAAGACCTATGCCTGTCTCCTTATCACATCCCTCTCCTTAACTCCTAGAAAACTACTGTCCTGACATGAGACAATTATTTATTTGACTTTTTAAAAATTTAAACAAATCTGTACTTACTGCTATACAAAATGTTTTAGTGTTCAAACTTTTTTTTTTTTCAGATGGAGTTTTGCTCTTGTCTCCCAGGCTGCAGTGCAATGGCGCAATCTTGGCTCACTGTAACCCCCGCCTCCCGGGCTCAAGCAATTCTCCTGCTTCAGCCTCCCAAGTAGCTGGGATTACAGGTGCATGCCACCAGGCCCAGCTAATTTTTGTATTTTTAGTAGAGACGGGGTTTCATTATGCTGGCCAGGCTGGTCTTGAACTCCTGACCTCAGGTGATCCACCTGCCTCAGCCTCCCAAAGTGCTGGGATTACAGGCGTGAGCCACCACACCTGGCCTGAACTTCTTATAAATAGAATCATACTGTACATATTTTTTGAATACTGGTTTATTTCTCTTGCTGAGGCTTTTTTGAAATTTTCAGTGTTGATACATATAACTGTAATTCATTTATTTTCACCTTTTTATAGCATTCACATGCACGAATGGACCATAATTTAGCATATATTCTACAGTGGAGGAAAATTTTGTTCTTCCCAATGTTTAACTATTTTGAAAAATGCTGCTCTGTAAATTATTTATGAGTCTCCTGGTACCAATGTGCAAAGATTTCTAGGCTCTATTCTTAAGCTTTGAATTCTGGGTCATAGGATAAGTGTATTGTTAACTTTACTAGATACTCTCTGGCAATTTTTCAGAGTTTGTACAAATTTACATTCCCACTAGCAATGTGGGAGAATCCTCTTTTGTACACAACCTCACTGGTTGTGCCTATTGCTATTCATGGATCTGTGAGATTACGCTATCACTTTCTCTCGTAGAATCATTTTTTCAATTCCGACTGTCTCAGACTACAGTTTCTCTACTGATTCTCTCCTATAAATTGAAAGCTACACTCTCTCCTAAGGTAGCCCTCTCAGAAAGCAATTTCCATCTACTATTTGCAGAATGGTACTGGTGTCTCTAGTAAGGGTTACACACCCTGTTACAGCAGGGTTTGTTGATCTTAGCACGATTGACTGTCTGGACAGGATAATTTGTTATTATTCGAGTATGTACTGTGCGTTCGGGGATGTTTTCAGCATCCCTGGCCTTTGCCCAGCAGATGCTAGTAGCACTCTAAGTTGTGAAAAACAAAAATTTCTCCAGGCATTGCTAAATGCCCCCTCAGAGGTCAAATGGACCCCAATTTAGAACTGTTGTATTACAGTATCGTTCTATATCCTGACTGGTTAATTTAGGCTAGAATAGTTGTAACAAAATTTGTGATTTGAGAGAAGTCACAGCCTCTAGACACAAAGGCACAAAATTCTTTCAGTAAACAAACTGGACGTTCTGAAAAGAGTTGTGCCCTTACAAATTACATGTTCAGGGAAAATGAAGAGAGGGAGATTCTTTCAGGGAAAGAATTTGTTTTTCTTCATGCTTTTGTTGGTTTGATTGTTTTGATAAAGTACAAGACATATTTCACCTGTCAGCAATTTTCCTGGGGCACGGAAGCAGTCAGGTAGAGATATAAGACCATCAAATTCCCCTAACAAACCAGTTACAAATGTGTGCTTGAGACAGATTTGTGCTTTGGGAAACACGGAACAAACACATTTTCTTCTACTCCTCCTGCTAAGTACAACTATATAGTACAACTACTCCTCCTGCTAAGTACAACTAAGTAAAACTGGACATTATGTTTAAAGCAAACACAAGAAGACTCTCAAAGATGTAGAGAGGAAGATGGACAGGACAAGAATCTCAGGATCCAAGAGATGACAGAGTTGTGAGCTCTGTAGATTTTCTTTCAGCTTCATATATCCCAGATGTAGAGCTGATGAAAAGCGATCTGGAAACACAAACAGGTGCAAAGAAAAAACACACTGGAAAAATCTCTGCTTTCTCTAACCACAGGACCAGGAAAAGGGCAGCCTAGCAAGACAGAAAATTTTTGGACAATGATGAAAAAAATATTTTGCATCCCCCCTATGCTGGCAAAGACCAAGTAAAAAGCTGAGATGTCCGTCCTTAAGAAGCTATGAAGAGGGGCCTCAACACCTTTGCCGGATCAGTGCCAGAGAAAACCAAGCAGTGAGCCAGGACTTTCTACCCTGCTGGCCGGAGATAAGGCCCTCTCCATGGTGTCACTACAGACCACGTGGGAAGCCTAAACTTCCATTCCCACTGGGGATATTGAGGCTCCTCCTTGCTAGGGTAGCATCAGAAGAGGCCTCATGGAAAGTAAGAACTATAACCATTGTCCAGTGGTAACTAGACTGCCCCTACCACGTGTCAGCAGAGACCACATGGGAAGGTGGAATATCCATTCCTATCCATTCCCCCATTTAATAGTAATGAGGAGCACCCCCGACTCTGGGGAAAATCCAAAGGAAATCAATGTGACAAAGAACTGGTTCTTTGAAAAGATCAATAAAATTGGCAACTCTCTAGCAAATCTGGCAAAAAAAAGAAAAAGAAGACACAAATGATCAATACCTGGAATGAAACAGGAAGCATCACTACAGATTATGGAGACATCAGAAGAATAGGAAGGAGACAGTACAAACAAGTAGACACACATACATTTCACATCTTAGACAAGATTCCTCAAAAATATTAGCACAATTCACCCAATAATTTAAAAATTTATATGGAAAGGCAAAGAAACTAGAATAGCTAAAATGATTTTTCAAAGAATTAGGAGCTTTCCATGCTTAATAAATATGTTTTCAGTATTCACTGTGTCTCTGGCACTATTCTAGTACTAAAGTTATAACTTTAATAATATATGGAAAAATGTTTGAAGTTTACACTCTACTGAAGGAAATAATCAGTGAAACGTGAACATGTAAAGCACAGGTGGCAATAAGTTCTATGACCTGAAGAAGGAAAGGGTAAAGAAAACAAATAAGTTCTGTGAAGATGAATAAAGCAGATGAGGGGATAGAGAAGGAAGTCTTCCTATATAAGATGATCAGGAAAGGTCTCACTGAGAAAGGCTGAGCAAAGACTGAAAGATCACAAAGTAATCAGCTGCCTGGGTGTCTAGGGAAGATATGTTTTGGAGAAGGGGAGCTCCCTAGCAGTGATGGGAGGCTAGAGTGTGCTGGATATAGGAGCATGCAAGGAAACCAGTGTTGGTATAGTGGAGAGAATGAGGAAGAAAGGAGAAGATATTGTCAGGGCGTGCTCAGAGATCTCGCCATACCTTGTAGGTGACTGTGAGAACTTTGGATTTTACTCTGATGGAGATGGGAAGCCATTTGAGAGTTTCATGCTGAGGATCTGAGTGACCCGATTTTGGTGTAAAAAAAAAAGGAGCATTATGTAGTGATTAGAATGTAAGACAATAAGGGCAAATTCTTTTTTTTTTTTTTTTTGAGACACAGTCTCCCACTGTCACCAAGCTGGAGTGCAGTGGCACGATCTCAGCTCACTGTAACCTCCGCCTCTCAGGTTCAAGTGATTCTCCTGCTCCGCCTCCCGAATAGCTGAGATTACAGGTGGGCACCACCATGCCCAGCTAATTTTTGGTATTTTTGTGTTTTTAGTAGAGACGGTTTCACTATGTTGGCCAGGCTGGTCTCAAACGCCTGACCTCGTGACCAACTCGCCTCGGTCTCCCAAAGAGGAAAATTCAAAATTATTTTCTTACGGGATAAATCCAATAATAAAGAGATTACAAATCTTAACCTTTTTAACTATATTTTTTCTGACTTCAGATGCTAAGACTGATACTATTTTTTCTCCTGGTTAATAAGTACTCAAAACTCATTAATAAGATAGTATTAATTAACCAAAACCCTAAGGATTAACGGTTTTAAGTGTTGTGTGCTAACCAAAAAAAAAAAAAAAACGCAACTGGAGAATATAATAAATTAAATGAACTTTAATTAGAATATAATATGTTAAAGTTTGCAAATTAATCAAAATTGATAAAGGACACACTAAGTACATTTTAACATAGATGAGTAAAATGCAAAATATGATTTAATATCAGTATATTACTTAACTTGTGTAAATTATAATAATCTGACTTGTTACTTTTTAGTGGAAGTGTCTTCCAGATACTTCTACAAGCAACTTATATATGTACAGGTACATATACAAAATGAGTACATGTACTCATTTTGTAAGAGTAAGGGTACTCTTACTCTTATAAGTAAGAGTAAGATGAGTATGAGTACTCTTTTCATAATCATAAAATGAGTATGTGTACTCATTTTATAATTTTAAGTTGCTTGTGGAAGTATCTGGAAGGCAGCATAGTGGGTTGAGATGAACTTATGTAGTATATATCATGACCCCATTCTTTAAATGTGTTAAACAGGTAGGCAAAACATGCACTCTATCCCAACTGTAGGCTTCATTCTGACCCTGCTCTGGGGATGTTATAGTTCTAACATGTTTGATTCTGTATGCAAGCTGTCACTGAAGAGCTTCACTAAAAGTCGTTAACTAAAGTCAAAAGGAATGCAGTTGTATCATCTCTTATAAAAGATTATTGGAGATGTGATGATAATTTTAGCTTTATTTATCGTCAACTTTTCATCAATATATGTATTTGTTTCAGACTTATCAGAGTTACAAAATCGGATGCTAGACTGAGCAATTCCAAACTACCCAGGAGGTGGAAGGTCCAGTTTCTTTCTCCTTTTCTTTCTTTCTTCCTTTATTCCTTCCTTCCTTCCTTCTTTCTTTCTTTCTTTCTTTTTTCTTTTTCTTTCTTCCTTTCTTCCTCTCTCTCTCCCTCTCTCTCTCTCTCTCTCCCTCCCTTCCTTCCTTTTCTTTTCCCTCCCTCCCTCCCTCCCTTCCTTCCTTCCTTTTCTTTCTTCCCTCCCTTCCTCCCTCCTTCCCTCCCTCCCTCCTTCCTTTCTTTCTTTCCCTCTCTCTCTCTCTCTTTCTTTTTTTTGAGACAGAGTTTTGCTCTCATTGCCCAGGCTGGAGTGCAATGGCACAATCTCAGCTCACCACAACCTCTGCCTCCCAGGTTCAAGTGATCCTCCTACCTCAGCCTCCCTAGTAGCTGGCACTACAGGCATGCACCACCATGCCCAGCTAATTTTTTGTATTTTTAGTAGAGACGGGGTTCCTTTATGTTGGTCAGGATGGTCTCAAACTCCTGACCTCAGGTGATCCACCCACCTCAGCCTCCCAAAGTGCTGGGATTACAGGCGTGAGCCACTGCGCCCAGCCAGGAGCTCCAGTTTCTTTGCATTTCATCACAAATGTTTGTTGTTTTTCAAATTTGTACTGTGTGTTACATTATCCATTTTTTCTCAAGAATCCTTTTCTATTTAGTTAACATCCATTCTGACAGTCCAGTTGGGATTCTCGAATCACTTATTCAAACCAAGAAAAGAATCCTAAAATGCAGATATTCATGTCTTCTAAAATCGGGTTTATTAGCCTTTTACCTAAGTGGTAACTGCCATTTCAATTTCTTTCTTCACAACACCACATGTGCAAGTTTTACTTTCTGTTACCATGATTTTCTCAGAACTCACTATCTTCTAGAAGTTTTACCAACCAAACAACTCTCAGACACTTGTAACTGACCCCTTTGTCTTAGTACCAAAATCTAAAGATGTAGGTATACAGTTTGTGTTCATGTATAAAGGTTCTGATAAAGGTATAAAATATCAAGATATTCTACATCATAAAACCATTATATTGAAGAGTAATATAGACAAATAAAATATGATAAATGCATATTTGGGTACACTTTAGTTGGTCCTGAAGTTTTCTCTTGGCTTAGGAGAGTAAAATATATTCTCCATAATGTGTAGCCTCATAAAACTATTAAGCCATCTTGATTCAAACAAAAATTGCAATTGTGCTAATTTAATTTGATTATTGAAGCATATTACTTTCACATTTCTCTTTATATTTACAAGAATACCTACAAGTTGATAAGTTTGAAGCCATCTTGAAGATCTTGATCTTTTCAAAGTCTTGTCATAAGAAATTGTGCCCCCCGCCAAAAAAAAACAAGTCAACTAACAAAAAACAAATTAAGAATGCTTTTTTTCCTTCCTATCAGTGATGGTATAACGTTTTATCGAATATTATTTCCTGAAAATAGGTAAATTGTTAAGTGGTTATACAACATTTTCATTTTCAGAAAAAACTGAGGAATAAATTTGAAAATCTCTCTTCACTATCAAATCGCAAAATCACAATTGTGTTGTTTTAATCTTTTTTTTTTTTTTCCGAGACAGAGTCTTTCTCTGTCACCCAGTCTGGAGTGCAGTTACACAATCTTGGCCTCACTGCAACCTCGGTCTCCCGGTTTCAAGCAATTCTCCTGCCTCAGCCTCTCGAGTAGCTGGAATTACAGGCGCCCACCACCACATCTGGCTGATTTTTGTGTTTTGAGTAGAGATGAGGTTTCACCATGTTGGCCAGGCTGGTCTCGAACTCCTGACCTCAGGTGATCCACCCACCTCGGCCTCCCAAAGTGCCGGGATTACAGGTGTGAGCCACCGCACCACGACTGTTTTAATCTTAACAAAAGTTAACTGCTGTGCTGTCATCACATATGTTCTCTACAAAATTTGCAGAAGCATGCATTGTACTGTATTGCATTGCATTGCATTGTATTGTATTGTATTGTATTGTATTGTATTGTATTGTATTGTATTGTATTGTCTAACAGTAATTTTTCCTATTAATTGTTTTCCTCATTTTTTTCTGTTATAAATTGTGGGAACAGGAGAGATTGTGAAATTTTAAGTGTTTTTTGTATAAATGATGATAGATGTGAATAAATTCATACACAATAAGTTTAGAAGTCATAGGTACCTATTACTTCACATCATTCCTTAGGTGTAGGTTTCTTTTGAGGTTCTCAGCTATTATATTTCTTAAAGAAGAAATAAATTCTTGTTTAAGAATAAATAACCTATTTTTAGTTTTAAAGTCATCAATTTATGGTTTTTTCATTTTCTCTTATTTTGTCTAATGAATAGAAAATATAATTGTAGTATATTTTGAAATTTGGTTTTTATTTTCTTCATTAAAAACCTTTTTTTCTGAGAATGTCCAATATAATATGGCCATTAAGAAGCAAATTCATTCCTAGGTGTTCACAACTAACAGTTAAACAAATCGGTATTCATAACGACAACTCCATTGCTGCTATCAAGTGATTTTCATTGTTATGAAACCATATGATCTCAGAATTTTAGAAAACCTCAGAGAACAGAGACCCCAGCTCTCCTGAGAGCCCCAGCATAGCCCATCAACATCAACAATTGGTAGTCACCAAGCTCTGTCAATGACAGGGCCTCATTGAATGGCAGAAGCAAAAAATCTATGATACTGCTGACTACTTCATAGATGTTTTAACATAATTTGAAACTGAAGTGCTCTGTTGTGTGTATACTGCCTTACTAGCAAATATATCTTAAAAAAAGAAAAATTTTATGGAATTATGCCCAGCTTTGCAACTGCTTTCCATCACATTTTCTATCTATAACACAGCCACTGCTGTGTTAGATCTCTCATTCTATATTCTAACTCAAGAAGCAGCAAGTATATCTGCTTTTCTTAAAAACTTTTGCATTGACTATAACATGCAATCTCAAAATTTACCATTTACTATTTCATCGTTTTGAAAGGCAATAGCATCAGGGAAAAAGAAGAAAACTAGTTCTTATATTTTTCTGGGTTTTCAAAAATCAAGTTTGCTTCTTCACTACACTCCCACCATGCACCCTTCTAGTTCTTTCTAAATTATCCCTGAGCCTTTGCCTGAGGGTCTTTACTTCCTGTAACTTCCCTAATTTTCCTTACTAGTGATTAATTTAGACGGATATAGCCAGTTATTTCTTTGCTCACACTCAGGCACCTAACCACTGATTTTTGCCAACAAGAACAAGAGACAAAGGGTAATGAAATGCATTCTTGAGCTCACCTGTGAAGAGTTCCCTCTCCTGTACAGAAGGAAAACAGAGTATATCCTGTATTTAAACATGAGCTAAAATAAACTGTAGTTACAGTTTGCCCTTCTCTGCCCATCCCTCAGTTTAGCAATATGTACAGAACACGCGTTGTGCGTAGAACGAAGTGTGAACATCACCTCGACTGGCAGGCAGGCAACTAACTGCAGTGTTTTAGCGCCGTCTGGTGTTGGCGCCTAGAAACGCAGCTGGCATAATTTATACCACATTTAGCATGTGACAGGTACTGATCTTTCTGCGATTTTCAAGGAATTCTCTGTTGTAATCACCAAACGCAACTGAATGTGAAAACATATATATTAATTGTTGAAAGAAAGCAAAGTCTCACAATAGCCTTTTACCCTCTGCATCATTTTATTTCTATTCAATGTCCCTATTATTTATCTGAGGAAAAGATTTTGAACAAAAACAGTATACAGCATACTCTTTCCAAAAATATACTAATTAAGGAAATATAGAGAGTACCCTCAATTTGTTTAAAATTTCTTTTACATTTCAGGGTGTTTAGGGGAATGTTAACCTTAAACAACAAAGAGATTAAAGTGATCAGATTTGCTTCATTCATTTTTTTAAAAAAATATTTTTCTATGGTGCAACTCTTATTTCACAGATAAGAAAATTACACTCAGAAAATTAGCTTTAAAATAAAAGTAGTTTGGTTTGTCTTTCACATGATTTTAAGTGTCTGCTGAGCATTTATATACCATGAAAAGGGATAAGAAGAAATAGCCAAAACTAAGTTAATGCTAGAAGAACGAAGCAGTCTGAACTTACATAAGAGCAAAGTAAACATCTCACAGAGCAGTGAGGGTCCATTTAGCAAATGAGTTTTTCCAGTGAACTAAGGAGTAGTCTTATAAACCTCTAAAAGTGAATCATTTGTCCACCCTTCTCATGTATCTTTGGACCATATCCATGTCAAAATTAAAGTTGTACACATGGAGGAAGATACAAATTACAAGCAAACCACTTTCTCCTGAAACATGTTAAAACATTTTATGCCCTCCATGATGTAAAAACTACCCAAGCCAACATGCTACAGAAGGAAAATAATTAAAGGCATTGTCAAGAATCTAATTGTTAATGAATTTGAGAAATATGATCAATTTTAATATCCCTAGTCATTATATCCTATTTCACAAGCTCGACAACTTTCATTACCATGTAAGATAGGCATAATAATGATAAAATACTGACTACTGTGCTAGAGAAGATCATTCTTAACTTTCTGTAATGAGCAGTTTGAATTTAAATTGAATTTTTTTTTAAATTCCAAGGTTAGAAAACTAACACTGCTTAAATTGAAAGGTAAAATGTCACATTTGTTTAGCTTTTAATCAAGTAAAGCGCAAAGAAATTATAACCAATTCTTTCTTTATTTAAAACAATGTAAGGCATGGTTACTTTTAAGACGTAACCATTTTCTTAAAGTAATGACACCTTATATTAAGTTCCAACTCCAGATGGTACTTGGATATGGGAATCCTTATACATAATCATGGCAGAAGGGGGCAAGGCCCTTGGAGCCATGTGCAAGATACTGTCCTATGTTCTGAGTGCCCTCTCGCCCTTGCAACACAATGGCATTTTCCTTTCTGCTTGCTGGTGCCTGCTGACACCCACTTCTGAAGTCAAGAGTTGGTGAATCTAGTGGTCTGTTCTTTTCAGTAAGCTCAGAGCATAGTGTCCCCTTCCTGACTCAGCCCACCATGATCTTGGCCATATTCTCAGTGTGGCTTCTGTCTAGGCCCTGAACCTTTGTTTCTGTCCTAAGGTCACACTGCCCCTTTCTGTAGAAGCCCAATAATAGGTCTGAAATTTCCAAACTCATCTTCTTTCCCTACCCCCCTGGGAATTTCTAAATGCCTTCTGGGCCACATGGGAGCTTAGACAGAACATGCATGGAGGAGCTCAACTTCTGCTCTTTTTCTGTCTGAATGCACTATCACCACTTCTCAATTACTATGGCTGCACTATTGCACACTGCGAAGTGATCTCCCCCCGCAAATCCCTAAATGTGAAACTAAGTATAGCCCTTTAATATCAGCTGTATGGATTTCCTTCACTCTTCTGTTTTTCCCATGAAAGATGTCTACATTCTCTTCCTGAGGGATAACAACTTCCCGTACATCAGAACCTTCTCCTACCTCAGAATCATTCACACACACACACACACACACACACACACACACAGACACCCCAGCCTATTCTTCACTAGCACTAAAAATAGTGGAAAGAGTGCAAGAGGAGGAATCAGACTACCAGGAAGAGAAAAACATCCAGAGTTAATTCAAAAATGTCTATTCAAATAAAAGTATTTCCTTGACACTCCTACTTATATGTGTTAGATAAGACTCTCCAGATAAAGGGAGTTATAATGAACACTTTCCCTTTTCCATTATCTGATTTCTTTTATTGTTTAATTTCTTGTAAATGTATTCAAAATCCCACCTACAGTTATATACATATGAGTGAAAATACAAGGCCATTACTTAGGCCCTTTTCAAACAAATACTCTCTAAACAGTTGGTTCAACCTCCATTTTTTGTTGGCATACTGAACCCAGCTAGAATATGTCTAGCATATTCTTTATGTCCAAAATAAAGGACTGATCATGTTTAGTGATAGAACATTGCATTTTTACTTATTTGGAATTCTGTTTTACTTCAAAGTCTTCTTCATTCATTACCAGATAACATTAGTCACTAGTATTTACTGGGCATCTAGATACTTTACTTGGATATACTAAAAGTGGCTTTTTTCACTACATCAATTTCATGAACTATGCCGTATCTCAGGAGGTATATTTAGATGGTAAAGTACAGTTCACTTCCATGTTACCATACTACCTCCTGCATTATTCCAGTTTAGAAGGAAACAGATGGTAAAAAGAAACTTCAAACTTCAAGAGGCTTCAGTTGGCTGGTCTTGTGGTCAAATACGAGGTCTAAGTTGCCCCTTATAGTATTCACCTCTACCTCCAACAAAAATCAACAAGACATACGTTAGGAGAAACAAGACATGGTGTCCTATTTTGTGCTCAAATCTATAGCCGATGTTGCAAGAAGCAGGATCATTTTACTTTTCATCAGTTACCTAAGGCCATAAGTGAAAGTCTGGCTTAACTGGCACTATATTTTTGTCAAGTTTAGTGTCATCTATAGATTGGCTCTCTGTGGTCCTTGGACCTGCAGCCTTTAATCGGGCTGTACCTGGGTAACTAGATTACTTTTTGTCTACTAGGTAGTTTCTCTGGCTCTAGTCCAATTCCCCTCCAATACATACTCAAACAACTTCCAGAGTGATTTCTCTAAAATAAAAATATGGTCATGACAGATCAAATTCCTTTAGCTTTCAAAATAGAGTTAAAAACTCTCATATTGGTTCATAAGGCTCTTCATTTCCAAGTCTTCATTTTCAGTTACACTTGAATTTGGTCATCGCTCTCATCCTTGCTATTCAAAGTCCCTGGAACAGCAGAATCTAGATCTCTGAACTAGAATCTACATTTTAACAAATCCTTAAGTCATTCTTAGGCACATTAAAGTTTGAAAAGCACTGGTATATAAAATATTAATATATTAACTATTTGCATGTGTTTCAGACCAATAAAAAACTCAAAGGAGTACTGTTTTAAAAGTGGTTCATTTACTGGCAGCAAAATACATATACATCTGTAAATTTTTCTTTGTCCATAAAATCTCAAAACATTAGCAAGACATTGATCATGAAAATGAACTTCACTAACCTGTCATATTTTAGAAAGGAATTTGAGATGTATATTCCCAGGGATCTTGCTTTTTCAAAGAACCACGTGGTAGGTGCCAGAAATGCACTCACGCCTGCAGTTTAAGAGGGGCAGTATCAAGGGCTCTCGTCCCCAGCATATTGCAAAACCCTACTAAACGCAAACTCCTACTGTTCTTAAACCAATCAGGGATTTGTGGGAAAGGCTCTGATGAGGATATGAACATTCCTCTAATATAAGCAAGACCATATTAATCTCAAACCTGAAAACAGAATCTACACCTGCAAAAATTATTTCACTTCTGCCTATTTCCAAAACATAATTGAGTAAAGCCCTATTTTTATTATTATCTTAATATTTTACTTGTATAGGTTTTTGGGATAATTTTTGACATTTATGTTGTTGAATTTAAAACAAATCTGTGTATTTAGGACTAATTTATTTTAGCTCATGGTACTTTTTTGGTTGAAAGATAGATAACGTTGGTTGAAAGATAGATGGAAAGTCCTGGCTGCGAGTTGTTCAGGTTCTTGGCTTGTTGAACGAAAAATTAAACAAAATGCACAAACAAAGCAACAAAGAGCGAAGCAAGGAAAGCACAGATTTATTGAAGCAAAAGTACACTCTACAGAGTGGGAATGGGCTACAGCAAGCAGTTCAAGGGCCCTGATTGCACTGTTCTTTGGGGTTTTTATTAGACTAAAATAATTTGGTAACACCCTTAGGTACCTTTTAGAGGCCTCCAATTGGTTACACCCTATGCAAATAAAGGCTTGGTCCATGACCGATCAGAGGCTGAAGTGAAGGCTTGGCCCAGACCAATCAGAGGCATTTCCTGTTTCTGACATGGGGGGAAGGGGTTTTGTAGAGGGAAGGGCCTCTGACCTCTTGTCACTTGGGCATCGAGAGGTAGGGTTTTCCTCTCAGTCCAATTCCAAGAAGTCAGCTGCAGGTTTGCCTTAGGCTCCCTGTCTCCAGACCCCATTCTCCTACCTCAATAACATCCTAGAAATCTAAAAAAATAGTTTGATAAGTGAGTAATATATAAATAAAAGCCAAGTGCATATGCCTAACTTGTTACAATTTGCTATTTATGAAATCATTAAAATGCATATTATAAAAATGTCCAGCATTTTAAATTAGCTAGGAAGAATATTAATTTTTGCTTGTACTTTTCTTAATATTTTTATTTCATAAATTTCTATTACTAAACTCAACATAAAAAGTATGAAAGTCAGATGTTTTACTACATATTTTCCTACATATTATGTTTTGAAATCTCAAAAATCAAATAAAATCACATTCTCTTGGGTTCTTTTCCTTTCAATTTATCATCATATATAAACAGGATTAAAAATTACTCTTTTATAACTTCTAAACATTTATTCTCTAAATAACCTAGAGAGTAAATAAAATGTCATAAGAAATCTTTACACATTAGGAAATTGGTCCAACACCTCATAAGTACTTACTTGGCACATGGTATTCTCTCAAGAAAGCATGAAAAAAGAGATTTTAATTGAAATTTAACAGATAAAATATTTGTGTTGATCATATTAGCATACATCATCTGAAAAAGTAGTGTTGTAGACATACATTTTTATTATTAAAATGTATTTTAAGTCTAGGCACGGTGCCTCACACCTGTAATCCCAGCACTTTGAGAGGCCAAGGTGAGCGATTCCCTTGATCTCAGGAGTACGAGACCAGCCTGGGCAACATATCAAAACTCCGTCTCTACAAAAAAGACAAAATTTATCCCAGGATGGTGGTGTATGGCACATGCCTGTAGTCCCAGCTACACAGAAGGCTGAGGTGGAAGGACCATTGCTTGAGCCCGGGAGGCAGAAGCGGAGGTTGCAGTGAGGTGAAATCATAAAACTGCACTCCGCCCTGTCTCAAAAGAAAAAGGTATTTTAAACGTTTTGTCTTCTTTTTAAATAGCTTATTTGTCCTTTAAATGGATTTGAAACCATATATATATATATATATATATATATATATATATATATATATATAAATGCCTTAGATAAATTTATATTATAATCTCACCTACAGCTTAGTAATTTTGATGTATTTCTTGTTTAGTTTAAACACCTCTTCTTTTAATATCTTTCAGTAATTCTTTTTATCGAAAAGGTAATAGCAGACATTCAGAACTAAGAAAATGTATACCATGAACATGCTCTCACCAAAAAAAAAACTGAAAAAAAATGAGATTAATTTGCCTATATATTAATAGAAACTTCTTTAGCCATCTGGGGTTTACTTTTGTGGGATAAGACTAAGACAAGCTAAGTTTTATTATTTTTATAAGAAATATTTTGTATTCTCTTTTTTTTCCTGCTCAAATGCCCTTCTGCTTAATTGGAGGTTCCCAAACTTCCTCGGTTCGTGGCACCCTTAAATAATTTAATATTACTTAATAACCACGCTTAAACTATTCAATAACCACAATTACACATTAATGAAAGCATATGTGCCTACTGATCACAGCCATAACTTCTCAAATCTTGAAATCAGATTGAACACCTCCAGCCTCATTTCTTGTTACACATCGATTTTCATATAGGATGTGCTTTTTTATCAAAACACCCATCAAAAATCCAGTTTCGCAAAAACGTGACATCATAGAAAGAAATGAAGTACAATCAAATTTATGAACTACCTTAAGCTAATTTACACATATACAAAAGATGTCCTGTATTCCTCTGTTTCTCTCAAAAACTGAAAATATCCCATTGTGTCAGTTTATGGTAATACCCCCAGACATCTTGGCACACAGTTTGGGAACCACAAGATTCTTTTCTTAATCTTGAAATTGTATAATACTATCAGGCTACATGAAAGTATTGGTCTCTTATAATTAAATATGTTTGCTTATAAGGATCCATTTTTATTTGTAATATTTGTGGTTTAAACGAATCCTTTAAGTCCTTTAAAATTTTTTTGTTATATTTTTCCTATAAAAAATATACCCAATACCTATAAGTTGAATCCCTATTCTCTGTCTCCCAAGTCTTACATCTCCCTGCTCCCTTCTGTCAATTGGTTTTTATTTTTCTCCACATTCTGAAAAAGATTCTGAAGTTATGATTCTTCAGTATAGTCTATTTTTTTTTTTTTCCAGGCAGAATCCTGCTCTGTTGCCTAGGCTGGAGTACAGTGGTGCAATCTCTGCTCACTGCAACCTCCACCTCCTGGATTCAAGCAATTCTTCTGCCTCAGCCTCCCAAGTAGCTGGGACTACAGGCATGTGCCACAACGCTCAGCTAATTTTTGTATTTTTAGTAGAGACGGGGTTTCACCGTGTTGGCCAGGCTGATCTTGAACTCCTGACCTCAGGTGATCCGCCCACCTCGGCCTCCCAAAGTGCTGGGATTACAGGCATGAGCCACCACACCCAGACTCCATATTAGTCTTTTAACTTTCTCCAGTTTCAGTTCTGCCTGTCACTGCTTGAGGTGTGTATTGGTCTACTAGGGCTGTATCGTATTAAAATGCTGGGGGGACCTAAACAACAGAAGTTTATTTTCTCACAGTTCTGGAGGCTGAAGTCCAAGATCAAACTGCTGGCAGGGTTGGTTTCTGGTGCAGCCTCTCTCCTCGGCTTGTAGACACCACCTTCTCTCTGTGTCCTCCCATGGCCTCTCTTCTGTGTGTGCTCACTCCTGGTATCTCTTCCTATTCTTACAAGGACACCAGTCTTTTGGATTAGGATCCACCCTATGACCTCATTCAAGGGGGCCTTTATTACCTCCTTCAAGACACTATCCCTAAATACAGTCATATCTGAGGTTAGAGCCTCAACATATGAACTTTGGGGTCACACAATTCCGTGCATGACAAGGTGTATATGGAAACTCTGTAAGTGTATTAATTTAAACACATCTTTTTCACTTCACTCACTTTTCTGTTAATTTTGTATATGCCTCTTAGCTCCTCTTTCATCTTTTTGTTTTATCTTGTCTTTTGTTTCTCATGCCACATAGTTTATATTTTTCTGAATTTAGTTGATAGAAAAAAGGCCATCTTCTAAATGTTTTCTACAGGATATCCCTTCTCTGCTATAATCTTTATCTTTTACGTTACAGGATGTCTCCATCTGACCCACTCTGTTGGTTTTCCTGCTGCTCTCATCTGTTGATTTATCTTTCTGTAAGTAGAAAACTACTGTGACACCGTTTCTAGTTTTTGTTTATAAACAACATCAAAGTTCTGTGAATTATCCATGGCTGCCTTCACTGTATAGCTGGTTGCTTTCAGAGTCCTCTTTCTTTGGGTGGAAGCCTCATTGATGTGCATTGACTGACTCTAATGAAACTTTCAGCACTTTGCAATCTCTTATTGAGTGTCGAACTGCAAGACTGAGAAGGGACTTAGCAGTTTCCATTACTTGGTCATCTGATTATGATAATTGGAGTTTATTTCTGAAGTTAAAAATAGTCCACTTATCTTTCTTCCCAAAAAAGTATATATGGAAGAAAAAAAACCCAGAATGCACCACTTTTGTGAGTTTTCTAAGGCTATCCCATTATATCTATTGATTTTATATTGAATGTAAAGTAATTTATTCTAAGCACTTCTGTCAATAGCTACCTTGTGTCAATGGAAACTGAAGTTCCAGAATCTGTTCATCACACAAGTATTAATGGAGGAATAAGGGTAATGAATACCTATGGCTCGCTGCTTAAGAGAAACAGTTTCTCTTGTTCAGGAATATAAAAGCTTTGTCTGTAGTCTACCTGAGCAATAGATACAGATGTTTGGATGACCTAGGAACTTGCCAGTGGCTTCAGATCCACAGACTTTAAGATTGATCATATAATTATACTCTCTGTTTAATATTAAAAAGATGAATATTAAATTGTCCCTATGTCAGTATAAAAATCATTAACTTACAAGCGCTCCCAGCCTTCCTTTGCCCTACCCTCATACAGGATCTTCTAAGTTGTCCCATTTGGTTCTCTTTTCTACCCACTCTGCTTTATGGAGGACCTTTCTTATTAGACCTGGTGTTTTGGCTTTTGTGAGAAAGAATTGGAGGAAGGCAAGAGGGTATGAGGAAAATGTGAGATTCACAAAGGTTACAGAAAAATTGTGGCCTGGAGAATGATGGGCATGGGAGCAGCTTTGGGGTGAGTCAGGTGGACGGAAAAGGAAATTCAGGGAGGTTTTAAGGCCTGTTGAGGACCAAGTGTTCCCATTATTGTATGATTTTGAAATTACTCTTGCTTTCCAGGACGTTTCCCTTTCAACAGTGGGGTTGAGTCACCCAGGTCAGCATTTCCAAGTGTTATATTTGATGGTGGTAATGGGAGTTAAAGCCAAGGTTTGAAGCCAAGATTTAAAGCCAAGGTGTCATACCCAGCTGGATTTCAGATTTAAATTACCAGCCTCAATCTGAGCTGCTTATGTATTTGCACCAAGTCTTCCTAAATTCTGAAGAAAGGAAGAAAGGGAAAATCTGGGCCCCGCATGAGCAGGGATGGTTTTGGGCCACCACCAGACAATAAAAGGGCGTGTGTGGAGACCACATTAAAGTTGGAATTTCAGTTTAGGGGAATGCATGGTTTGGTCCTGGATGTTCCAGGCAGAAAACCAAATTTGTGCAATGTTATCCCAGTTAACTCAATTGAGAAAATGTTTTAAGCTTCCTTGGAAATGCCAGGCATTTGACTCTTAAGTGGACACCAAATTTCTTACAAAGATGCCAGACCTATTGTCTTAGCTGGTACAAAGCTTCCACCTGGCTCCACCTAATGCAAACAGCCTTATGGACGTGGTCTTGGTTTGGGGAATCCCAGTCAGAACTCCCAAGGCAAGCTACTTGCAGCCAGAAAATTGAAACGTTCATAGAAAATAATTGGTAGAATTTAGAAAGGGCTTTCCCTTCAAGTAATCAAGGATGAGAAATTCTAGACCTCTTTCCATGTTCAAACACTTAGATCAGTTTCATTTTGTTTTAATTTACAAAAAATGGAATCAAACACATTGATCCCAGCTTGTTTTTACAATTAGTTTTTCTTATGTGAATAGTTACGCTAAATTTCAAAAGATATAAATTCAACTTCATTTGTTATGCTTCATAATATTTAATAAGATAAGTAGAGTACAAATGGTTTCATTTCAATATGGATGCACATCCAGATTGTTTCTAGTTATTTGACCATTGTTTTCTTATTATTATATTTTTATGTCTTATTATTTTTATTTCCATAGCATAGATTCTAAAAAAAACATGTTTGCTGGGCCAAAAGTGTAAAGAACTGTGAAAATTCAGATTTTCTTCCTTCCTGCAAGCTAACAAGGTACCCTGCGACAATTTCATGAATGTTGGCAGATGACATGCGATCCAAGGGTGAGAGAAAAACAATGGTTTATTACTTATAGCAGTAGCATTTCCACCAGTTCCTCAAGTTGCAATTCCCGTAGTGTGATATAGAAAGGACCAGGCAGTCACAGTGGGTTTGATTACAACAGAAGAAACTAAACTTAAGAAACTTGAGACCAGGCATGGTGGCTCATGCCTGTAATCCCAGCACTTTGGGAGGCCAAGGCTGATGGATCACAAGGTCAAAAGTTCGAGACTAGCCTGATCAACATGAGGAAACCCC
Organism: Homo sapiens; assembly: GCF_000001405.40. Classification (NCBI taxonomy): domain Eukaryota; kingdom Metazoa; phylum Chordata; class Mammalia; order Primates; family Hominidae; genus Homo; species Homo sapiens. The sequence continues at coordinate 153,221,025 of NC_000006.12, read as the reverse complement.
GTCTCTACTAAAAATACAAAAATTAGTCAGGTGTGGTGGTGCACACCTGTAATCCCAGCTACTCAGGAGGCTGAGGCAGGAGAATTGCTTGAACCAGGTGGCGGTGGTTGCAGTGAGAAGGGATTGGGTTATTGCACTCCATCCTGGGTGACAGCAAGACTCTGTCTCAAAAAAATAAGTAAAATAAATAAATAAATAAGAAAGAAAAGTAAAAGAAACGTGAATCTCTCTCATAATTAGCAGTAAACGCACCTGCTTTTTGCTCCAGATGGAGACACCAGCTCTGTCTTCCAAGGTTCTTCACGATACAAGTATTTTTGAAAATATAGTTTGGAACAAAGGCAATCAGTGTCTCTGTTTTCAAGAAGTACAGAAGTATGGTAGACCCATAGAAAATTGTCTCCTAAAAATGTGCATGTGTGCTGTTGTGTTTTCTTACTTTTAGTAACTATTGCCAAATTGCTTTCTAAAAAAAAGCTGGAGAAATTTAATGCTATAATACTTGCAGAAGTTAGTTTCCCTACATTTCACTAGCCTTGATCTTACATGTTCCTTTAATTTTGGTTGAATGGTAAAAATAATATTCAACAGTTGCCTTCATTTCATTTCTCGGACTACATTTGAATTATGTACATTTTCATAATTTTACTAGGTGTTTGTAGTTTTTCTTTTGTCATACCTATTTATGTTTTCTTTTTACTCTAGTATTGTTTTTTGTTTGTTTGTCTGTTTTCTTTTTAGAGATGGGGTCTTGCTATGTCGCCCAAGCTGGTCCGGAACTCCTGAACTCAAGGGATCCTCCTGCCTCAACCTCCCAAAGTGGTAGAATTACAAGTGTGAACCACTGCCCCTGGCCTTTATTTTTTAATTATAAATTTCTAGGAAAAATTTATGCTAGGGAAAATAAATGTTTGTTACAAGTACTTTTTCTACTTTTTTTAAGTTTTCTTAGCTGACTTTCGCCGTATACATTCTAAAATTGGGGATTGGAAAAAATTTTTCTTCCATAATTTCTTTACTCTTTCAACCAAATCACCTACAAGTACCATACAAATTTTCTTTTAAAATTTTTATCATTTCATTTTGTATCAGTGATTAGTCTAACTAGGACTTATTTTCTGTGTAATGTAAGCTGAGAGTGTATCTCTGATTTTGTTGAAGAATTGCTGGTTACATTAACATCATATACTTAATAAGCCATTCTTTTGCAACTGAATTGCAATACCAACCTTGTCATATTTTAATTTCTCACATATATTTATATCTACTGTTGGTCCCTATATTCTGTTCCATTTATATACTTGTTCTTTTCTGTGTGAATATCATATATTCATTAGAATATAATCCAAAATAAAGTAAGTTCCCCCACCCAATGGCATACAGGTAAATAATTAACTGATTGTCTTCAAAACCCTGACTTATAACATTTGCCTATTTCTGTGGTATAATTATTCCATCGTGTCTGATTTAAGGGTACCAATACTCAATAAATTGTCTGCATTGAGAAGAGAGACACACAATTTGCACTTCTACATTTTTTTTTAAACGTGGTGGTTTGTTTTCTTTTTTTTCACGTTTTCTTTTTTTATTTCAATAGGTTTTTGGGGAACAGGCATTGTTTGATTACACAAATAAGTTCTTTAGTAGTGATTGCTGAGATTTTGGTGTACCCATCACCTGAGCAGTGTACACTGTACTCAATGTGGAGTCTTTTATCCCTCACCCCATCTCACTCTTTCTCCTGAGTTCCCAAAGTCCATTGTATCATTCTTATGCCTTTGCATCCTCCTAACTTAGCTCCCACTTTGAGTGAGAACATAAAATGTTTGGATTTAAAAATCATAATTACCTATTCTTTGAAAGTTTGGAGTAACTTATCTATAAAATTGTCCTTGCCATGTGTTGTTTTCATCTTATTCATATGAGTATGGGTTTGTGTAAATGTAAAGATTGTTACTAATAATTTAGCTTCTTTAATGATATAAGATGATTCACCTTTCTATTTATTCTGAATTCAGTTTGGATAGTAATTTTTCTACAAATATGTTCACTCATCCTAAGTTTTCAGATTTCAGTAAACCAAGTTATTATGATATTCTATGTTATCTTTTTAATATGCACTGTAGCTAAATTGTGCCCCCTTAATCATTTCTTAACAAAGTATTTCTGACTGTTTTCTTGTTATTCTGATCAATTTTGTCAAAAGTTTGTTGAACTGATTTTTCTTTAAAAGATTCTTGTACCTTTTTGATCCTCTCAATTATGACTTCATTATCATTATTTGTTTTGCATTCTTCTATCCTTAAGAAGTCTTCCTAAAATAAGAATTTAAGACTAAAAATTTTTTGCTGGGTATGGTGGCACACATCTGTAGTCCCAGTTGCTCTGGAGGCTGAGGCGAGAGGATCCCTTGAGCCCAGGAGGTCGAGGCTGCAGTGAGCTGTGATTGCACCACTGCACCAATCCAGCCTGGGTGACACAGCAAGACCCTGTCAAAAAAGGGAAGGGAAGAGAAGGGAAAGGGAGAGGAGGGGAGGGGAAGGGAGGGAAATGGAGGGGAGGGGCGGGAAGTGGAGGGGAGGGGAGGGAAGTGGAGGGGAGGGGAGGGAAGCTCTATAAATTTTTTGTAAGTACTACTTTAGCTGTATCCATAAGATTTGATATATATTTTTGCTATCATTTAGTTCAAAATAGTTTCTAAATTTCAAAATTATTTTTGAGTTATGATTAGTTTTAATTTTTCAACTTCATAACACATAGCAGTTAAAAGTAATATTTTGTTAATTATTTCCAACTAAATTTCAGTCTTTGTAGATCTCTCCAGAGATTTCTCTGTTTTACACATTTGCCCTTAATGTGAACAGGACATGCTCCAGCTGTCCTCTTGGGACTTGCCCTCAGGCTCAAGGCTCTAGAGTCCATCCCACATGATCTTAGCACTGGGGGTCCTCTTGTCGTAGGAGACTGCCTCTTATGAGAGGCCACTCAGAGATTATTACCTTTTATGGTAAGTACTTACCACCTTGGCTAAAGCAGCCTGCTTTAGCAAAGTGAGGAGAAAGGTCAGCAACTGGGGAAGACTGGCCTTCCACCATTTTGCATAGCATGGAAGTATGGATTCTAAACGCTCACACTGTAGATGAGGGAAGTTTTATTTTATCTTTTGATTTTTATTTTTTTGAGACAGGGTCTTACTCTTGCTCCCAGGCTGGAGTGCAGTGACTCAATCACGGCTTACTGCAGACTTGACCACTCCAGACTCAGGTAATCCTCCCACCTCAACCTCCCAAGTAGCTGAGATTACAGGTATGCACCACCACGTCCAGCTAATTTTTAAAATTTTTATAGAGATAAGTTTTCACCATGTTGCCCAGACTGGTCTAGAACTCCTGGTCTCAGGGAATCCTCTCACCTTGGCTTCCCAAAGTGCTGAGATTATAGGCATGAGCCACCGTGCTGGGCCTGAGGGAAGCTTTGAATGAGATAAGGCTGAAATTGTGATATAAAATTTATGTAATTATGAAACTATGCCAAAACCATCTTTAAATGACAAAAAATTATGAAGTTGCCTGCCCCAAATTTTGTCCAGAAACTAGAAAACAGCCCACAGATCAGGATTTAAACTCTAGAAAACCCAGGACTATATATACCTAATAAGTTATATAATGAGAAATTTATTGTTCTTAAAATTTTGTCTAAACCTCAAAGCAGAGGAGTAGGTAGGAATTCTGCATTCTAGGGAGTGATCAAGAAGCTGCCACTCCTATCTCTCCAGGGATTGTCCAGCAATGCAACCGGTTGTCACCCTGTCCAGCCCATATCAGCAGAAGACTGAGGTATGTCTAGAAGAAAGAACCTGTGCTGGAAGTAGGTTTTTGGCCTATGGATGAAGAAAAGAGGAGAGATGCTGCCCCCTGCTCACAGAGAGCTCCAAAAGAGGGCTCTCCAAGAGATCTGCTTGAAGAGATGGAAGTTTTCTGTAAGAATGAGAAGTTGGCACCTCCCTCCCTGGCTTGATGTTTATTTCCACACCAGTGCGCCAAAGTCAACTGGTAAAAGAGTTCTTGGGAGAGTTCAACTTGGATGCCCTGGATTTGGTAACCAAGGAAGAAAGGGAAACTTGGAAGCATCGAAATGATGGGAAAGTGGAAGTGAAAAGCAAGCAAGAACAGAATAAACAGACTTCCTCCCACTCTTCTCTGCTGCAGGCCCACTAATGATAGCTGGGGCTTGAGCTGGAGAGAAGGAGAAGGCTTCCATCCGATGTAAGCTTGAACCTGATTGGAAACCTTAATACCTCTAAGTGGATGGATCGGCCTCAAATACTATTAAAGAAATGGGGAAAGGAGAAATAGGCAGAAAATGTTTGAGGGCAAAGAGACAAACACATTTGCTACTTGTACCTCTTTGAGTTTAGTCCATTCAGTAAAATGCAAAGCAAATACAAATTTAGATAAAGAATAGACAGATGTACAACTTAACATATTAAAGTGTGAAGTATCATGAACATATTTATTCCTTTTTTAGTAAATGTTAACTTATCTCTGTTTTTTCTATTTTTTTCTATTAATATGAATTTTATTCATTTATTTCCTAATGTTGAACTATCTTATTAGTTCTATAATGGATGTATTTATGATGAAATCATCTTTTAATGTGTTGATGCACTGTTTGCTAAATTTAGAATTTTTTAACCTTATATTTATTTATAATTAACCTTAATTATTTATAATTAAACTGAACTATAGTTTTATTTTGTTTGTGTTTTGTTTGTATTACCTTATCTTTAGGTTTCAGTGTCAATCATCTAATTTCATAAAAAGATTTTTAAATGTTCATTATTTTTTCCAACTCCAGAGTAATTTTTTTTTTTTTTTTTTGAGATAGAGTTTCACTCTTGTTGTCCAAGCTGGAGTGCAATGGTGCGATTTCAGCTCACTGCAACCTCCGCCTCCCAGGTTCAGGTGATTCTCCTGCCTCAGCCTCCCAAGTAGCTGGGATTACAGGTGCCCACCACCACACCTGGCTAATTTTTTGTATTTTTAGTAGAAACAGGGTTTCACCATGTTAGCCAGACTGGTCTCAAGACTCCTGACTTCAGGTGATTTGCCCGGCTCAGCCTCCCAAAGATTACAGGCATGAGCCACTGTGCCCAGCCTCAGAATAATTTATAAAACACTGCCATAATTGGCTATTGTTCCTTTGTAAAAATAATTTTTCTGAAGTATCAGTTTCTGTATCTTGTGTGGGCAATTTGGTCATTTGTATTGCAAAAATGCAATGCTAAATTGACAAATTCACCATCATAAGGTAATTTTTAACATGGGTCTTAGTAATTGATAAATCAGTCAAGTTTTAAAAAATAAAAAATATTTGAACAACATAAATACCACCGTTTCAAATTTTACAACTTAAGGCCTATAAATGCCTAGATTATGACAGCATTTGTGAGCTAAAGGACCTTTGTCTACTTTCCTGATCCTTCTGTCTGTATCTCTGCACACTCACAGAAGGCGGCCAATGGTGGTGCCTGCCTCTTGACTAAAAGCAGGGAACATGAGATAACTGATTCCACTAGGGGATGATCTACGAACGTGTGAGAATATCCCATGTAAGAGCAATTGGAGAGGGCTCCAACTCCTAAATGCAATTCTACAAATGCCATTAAGATTGTTGCCCTGGTTCTCCCAATGCACAGTAGTACAGCACACAGGCGCTGAGGCTGAAGAGCTGCAAATGGACTTGGAATGAGGAAACAGAAAACCTCATTGCAGGCACATCCTCTTCGTGAGGGCAGTGCCTTGCCTCTGACTGTCAACTTAATGATCACTTCCTCGGGTGTTGGGCCCTTGCGACCCACCCACTCAGGGTCACATCTTCCCTCCAAGCAGTGCTGTCCAGTGAGATTCCTTTCAAGATAACCTCATGCTATGTCCCTTTCACAGGAGTCACATCTGGTCCCGAGACACCTGTATCACTGCACTGTTATCTACAGAACAGTAAATGTCTCTCCATGCAGGCGCCTTTACTCCATTATCAAGCAGAGGCAGCCCCAGCCTCTTGTTTTTATATTTCTCTTAGTGAGAGTCAGTCTCAAACCCTTAAGCTGTCTCATAGACAGAGAGAATAAACATCTACTCTATAAAGAGAGAATATTTTATAAATTAATGTTCTTGGAACTATAGAAGAAAATAAGTGAAAACAGGAAAATCTGAAAAACAGAATAATAAGGGGAAGACTAACTTTAGAACATATTCAAATATAAAGCTACAAAATTCCAATCTTATTTGAAATCAACAGTGTTGTGAGAAGGTCTGGGGCTATTTCTACAAACATCACAGAGTGTGAGTGGGAACCCACAGGAAGAGGACACAGATGTTTCCCATCTCTCCCAATCCCATGGAGACACAAACTTGGGCTGGGCAAGTTACACTTTTATCCTGGAATGTGCTCTGACAGTAAGACCTTACCAGCCTGCTGCTCTCATTCCTGTAGGTTGATATAGATGCTGTCTGGCCAAAGAAGCTGCACAATTGTGCTAGAAGCACCCGAAGACCTTGTGGAAAATTGAAGCCAAGTGAACCCTTCATACCAGGAGGAAGAGAAGCCACAGGTCTCCACTAGTGTGCTGTCAGGCAATGCAGAGAGAGCTATCGGGGATAGCAGGGGACAACTGTCTCTCCACAAATTGGAAGAAAAAGTTCATAAAAAGATCCAAACACATATAGGGATTCAGTACATGATAAAGGTAGAATCCCAAATGATGGAGGAAAGATAGATTACTCAAGCAAACAGTTTTGAGACAGTGAGATAAATACTTGGAAATATATATGTCAGTGGGATCCAAACGATGCCTAAACATAAATAAATTCCAAATGCATCAAACATTTAAATTGTTTTAAATTATAAAACCATGGCAACATAATTCAACATATACGTAAACACATATACATATATACTTGTAGGTATTTTATTTTTAAAATACACATAGAAACACTATGCGCACTCCTCTGCATCCTGCTTGCTTCTACCTAATAATACATGGACACACACAGACATCTCTTGGAAGATTAAACAAGCGACTGATAACAGTGGCTGCTTCTGAGGATGAGTGCTGGTGGTCTTTGAAAGAGAGTCCAGATACTTTATGCCTCTTACAATTTTGTCCCATTTACTTATATTGCACCTTATAAAATAATAAGTAAATTCTTGAGGAAGCAAAAAGAATTCAAGATAAGTGAGTTTTGAGGAACTATATGTTATGGGCTGCATTGCATCTCCGCAAAATATATACCTTGAAGTCTTAATCCCCAGTACCTCAGAATGTGACTGTATTTGGAGATAAGGTCTTTATAAAGGTGATTAGGTTAAAACGAGGTCCTCAGGATGAATCCTAATCCACTGTGACTGGGTGTCATTACAACAGGAGGAGATTAGAACACAGACACGAACAAAGAGAAGACCATGTTGGAAACAAAGGGAGAAGACAGCCATCTACAAGCTAAGGCAAGAGGCTTCAGAAATCAAACCAGTCGACACCTTGATCCGGAACTTCCAGCTGCCAGAATTGTGAGAAAACAAATTTCTGTTTTTTAAGTCACCCACTCTGTGGTATTTGGTTATGGCAACACTAGAAAACTAGTATTACACACACACACACATACACACACACACGTATGTATATACAGATATTTACATAAACGTACATACATATATGCAGTAATGAAAAATTGAAAGCTGAGTTTAATTGGATTTTGTGGTTTTTTTCTGTTGTACTAATTGGAAATGAATGTTTTCTTTAGGATTTATATTAATTCACTAGGATATTAGCATTCTTTACTTTTTAAATAAACTCAGGATATTGTCTTTTTTTTTCTAACACAAATGCTGAGTTTTAAAGGGAAATCACCCCTCATTACCCGGACAAAACAGTTCAAGGAATCATATGGTAGCCTCTGTAGGGCTTTCATAAAATTAATTGGTAATCTCATTATATTCCTTATGGAAAAGACTTTCATTAGTTATTTTTAGACCTCTTAAATGGAGTGGCAATTAACACTCATTTTCACTTCTTTTAATAATCAACACGTGGGAACCAACAGCTAATTGCCAAAGCTCAAGCATCCTGATATACGGCAACTCAAATCTCAGGATTGCCAGAGTCAGAAATAGGGATTCCATCACAGAGTGGATGGGGAGGAGGGGACACCAGAGTGACTTACTAGATATAGAAAAGAGGGTAGGAGCTCTGTTTGGTTTGGAAAACCAGGTATGTCAGTTGTTCTTATTTTTCACTCTGCAGCATCATATTCACAATTTAAAATAACCAACACACAGTGTCCATTTTATAATATACAGTGAAAATGAACCAAGCATGAATATACCATGGTAAGTCATTGAACTCAGATTAGGAAATTTAGATTTTTTTATTGCTTAACAGCAAGATGATTTGAAAGGAAAAACAGGAAGGAGCTACATTTTCTCCTCTGTTGTCCCCCTCTCCCCATTCACCTCTCTGCAAAGTAGACTCCCTTTCCAGGCTCACGGGTTTCCAGAAGCAACTGCACTCCTTGCTATACACCAGACTCCTTCTTTTATTTTCCTCACTCTCAACTTCCAAAATATTTAACATTTTTCCAAGTCATGCTGGACATGATCATTGAGGGATATCAATTGTAAAAAAAGAAATGATGTTTTTGCTGCAGCTTGGAGCTCTACTCATTCATACAGCAGCAAGACAGAAAGGGTTTTTTATTAACTGTTTAAACCTTTGTGATGTTAAAGTTGATAATGAACTTCAATAATGAGGAAGGCATAATCCCTGCCCCCTAGAAGTTAACAATCTATGATATATCATTTTGTTTTATTTATAAAGAATATATTGATATATTATTGCCCTTCTGGTATTATACTGTTATTCTTCATAATACCAGAAGGGCAATAACATATCAAAATCAAAGGCAGTTTTTAGTAACTGTGAAGGAGAATGATTCCTGATCAGATGAATAGCTACATAGGGACTGGGGGCTGAGGGCAAGTACAGGTTAAGTTGGCACACTTCTTGTCTGGATTTCCAACAGATCTGGGCAGATTTTACAACAGAATGAGATTTCAGTAGCTCTTGAAATGATGAGATGGAGACATGTTTTTCCTAGGGCATGTAATTTTCCAAATATTCTAGCACTTCCTTCCATCCTACCCTCTTACTCAAGAGCATGACTTAAGACTATGTGTTTAGCCTGTATCTGTCCTTTTCCTAAGGGTTGCGATTTAGATAACCCATAGTCAAGGACAAACTTGAGATACTGAAAAGCCAGCTTTAATCTTCAGCATGTATTAGTTGTATATGAGTAGGCAGGTATTAACTGAAATAAAATGATAAGATCATGTCTATAATATTGTTACAACTTTTTCCCCACCATGTATCACCTAAATTACTACCAAGTCAAGTAGGTGCACAGAATTATCCTAGTGTTCTTTCCAAATGCATTTTGAGTTTTTTCAGGATTTAACATTTTTTTCTAAATGCAAAAGTATCTTTTGATGTAGCTTACCCTCACTGGGTGAAAAGCAGCAACATAGCCAGAAATATTGTGGAATAAGAATGAAGAAAATAATGCCAGTGCAAACCATCTACAGCCTCACAGTCCAATACAGTAACCACTAGCTACACACAACTATTTAAATTTAATGCGTTAAAATTAAATGAAATTTAGAATTACTTTTCTCAGCCACATCAGCCACATTTCAAGTGCTTAACAGCAACTGGCAGCTTGTAGCTATCATATAGGGCAACGGAGAATGTGAACATTTCTCTTATTATAGATCTATTGGATGCTATTGATCTAGAGACATTTTTAAGTTGATGCTGAAAGTATTACTTGATTATTTCTGCCAGAGCATCCTGAGTTTTCACTAAGTAAAAGATAAAGTAATTCTGAATTTTTGTTTGGTATTATCTATGCACAAAAACGTATTTAAATAGCTTGCAATTATTAATATCCATAACTACCCTCTATTTTGTAAGAATTATTTAAATAGAAAAAAATAATTTTTGGCAGAAAAATAGAATGGAAAAGAGAGGCTCAAACTTCCCACTAGTGTTGGAGCAGAGGAGGAGGAGGAAAGCTGTTGGTCTCTTCTGTGCAATCAAAGAGGAAAATGAAAAAGGAGAATGGAAGAGAAGATTCTCTTGATAGAACTCTACATGAAAAAGCCCAAGATAAAACTACATTCCCATAGAGCTGGAGCTAGCAAACTTTGAGGTTTTCTTCCCATTCACAGAGGCACTTTGAGGTTCTTCAGCAATCCATTCATTTTGACTTCCTTTAATAAAATACTTAACAGAAGGGAAAGAGGGTGAAGGAGCAAAATATCCATTTGATACAGGCAGTTCCAGCTGAGAAAAATGAATTAACATTATCACCTCATGTTTTTTCATCTGTAGAAAGGTTAAAAGGACTGCTTTTAAGCAATCACTTTCAATAACTTTGTCACCATCCTTAGGGTACTTGTAGGAAGAAAGAGAGGAGCAATAACCTCCTTTTTAAAAGCACCAGCTTTATAAATTATCTTAAATAATTTGTTTTTATGTCATTTTGTATCACCATAATTTTTCTTTCCATTCTAACTTTGGTACTCTGGCTTTTCTTCACCTAGCAATTAAAGTCCTTCAGAGAAGCCAAATTATAAGTAAAGCAGCTGTTCAGAGCTGAGATAGAGACAGGAAATTGTGGTTTCCTTAGCAATGAGAATTATTCGAATGCTTTCAGAAGCCAGTTTCTCGGCTTCTCCTTTCTCTTCTGTCTGTTCGCCTTGCCGTCCCTCACAATCTCATTCACAAATTTATTTTTCTCTTGGTCTTATGCACGTTTTTGCTATTTACCTTAGGATATATTTTAAATTTATTTATGTATGGTAATCACCATAATTTGACAATTATCCTATGTATACATGCAGTGAAACATTACCTTGTACCCCATAAATATGTACAACTATTATGTGTCAGTGACAAGGAAAAAGTTAAATTTAAAAAGTGTCCAAAAGAAGTAAATAAACTTTTAAGTCCCTTTTCTTCAAATACTACCATATTTAAAATCATACGTATCATATTTACCATCAATTTACAGTGCTGCTTACCAAGTATACTGACTAAACAGTGGCCTCCAAAATGTCAAGTCCTAATCCCTGGAACCTGGAAATGATGTCACCTTATTTAGAAATTTGGACTTTGTAGATGCAGTTCACATAAAGATGTTGAGATGGGGATGCTGTGTTAGATTACCTGGGAGATCCCTAAATGCTATTACACACGTTCTTATAGGAAAGACAGAGGGATCTCTCCCACACACACACAGGCATTGTGAAGATGGAAACAGAGATTGGAGTGATGTGGCCACAATCCAAGGAATGCCAGCAGCCCCCAGAAACTGGAAGATACAAGACAGGATCCTCCCCTAAAGCCTCTGGAGGGGGCATGGCCCTGCCAACACCTTCACTTCAGACTTCCAGCCTCCAAAACTGTGAGAGAATAAATTTTTGTTATTTTAACTCACCAAGTCTGTGATAACTTGTTATAATAGCCACAGGAAACTAATACAACAAGAATAATTTAAAAAGTGTTACTATCCTTTTCCAAACAGGCATAAAATATAAGTGTTATCACATGCCAGAAGTCCAGTGAAAATGAGCACACCATAACTATTAATAACTGGAATCTCTGTTGGGTTGGTAGTTGCAGATATTGTCAGAAAAGTGTATTGCTAATTCTTAAGACTGCAAATCAACCCACACCTCTGCTCTAAAAAAGCAATTATAACACTAACAATATTCTGTGCTATAACCAATAATGGTTACCAGCCATTAAGATATTCCTGCTAACATTAACTACTGAAATTAGTGACTACTTCCAAAGCAGACATGAGAGAATATTGGCTGTCTTCATTTTCTCTGTAAAATCCTTTCTGTGTCTAAGATGGAGTGAAGCCACTTTATCCTTTGTCTCTGGTTAGCAGACAAGCAGTCCTATGTAGGGCAAGCAACCAGGAAAGACAGCCCCTGTGCTGCACTTGATGGAGGAAAGGGCCGTGCTGTCCCCTGCCAGCTGGATTGGCTGCGACAGAGGGAGCAGCTGCGCAGGAGAGGCTCTCCAGCTGTCATCTGAGAAAATGCAATGACTACGTGCAAGTGTCTCTCCAGGCTTGCGAGTCAAGCCGTCAAGTGTTTCCTAAGCATGTGGGATGCGATTTGGGATAAACGAGCCTTTCTAAAAGAAAGGGGAAAAAAGGATTTTCTGGAAAGGTACTCTGTTCCAATTTGGATATAGATCATGTACAAATGAGACCACGGCAGAGTCTGCTTGAGGGAAATGCAAAACAGAACTTCCTCTCCTAGTGCAATCTGGACGGTTGTCCTACTCAAGTGAGTGTCTTAAAGACATCCCCTAAGCACTGGCTGGGGTGTCCAACATATTTCCCACCCCACTAACTTAAGGACTGGGGTAAAGTTACAGACTTTATATATGCTGTACAAAAGTGTGGCTTGACTGTATCACTTGTGAAAGGGGACATGAATATCAAGGGGGGTGGGGGGGACAATAAAAATAGAAAAAGCTAAGATACTTTTCAAGTCCCCTGAATGGAATCTTAACACAATTCTGCAGGTGGAGGGCTCCAGTGTCTACAGATACTCAGCAGGAGAAAATGAAACATCTATAGGGTACTTAATACATGACAAGCACTGTGCTAGGCACTTTATGTCTGTTATTTCATGCAATCCCTAACAAAAACTCTGTAGAATATCATTCTCCCACAAGCCATGAGATTTTCCTGTTTTCATAAACAGAGACAGAGACTAAATAACTTTGCTCAAATCACACAGACAGTAAGTGGAGAAATAAAATTTTGTATCCAGTTCTGCATGACCTGAAATTCCGTCATTATATCCAACCAGGATTTCTAGGAGAACTGGGTGAACCCCAAAAACCCATCAGATTAGTGAGTCTTCCATTTCTTTATAATCATGAGAGAGGAGAAATCAACAGTGGCCATGGTCTTCAAAACAGATGAGGTGAAGAGCAGCTTCTGTAAGACTATAAAAGCAGCTTGAATCCTTTAGAAATAGATTTATAAGCCTACTGTTAGGACAAAGTAATCTGAACATTCCTCAACTCCAGTTTTCTTCACCCAGCTCCCAGTCCCACATATACATACCCTACCCTTCTATTAGGATAGAAATAGAACACTTTCCTTCATGGCAGTTGTGTCTTTGTTAATTAAGATGATAAGCCTTTATAATAAAAATCAGGCCAAGAAAGAATGTGTATTTACATAGCAGGGTCAACTACATCATTTTTGCAAGGAAGTTATATTCACAGAAAGAATGTGCATCCCTCACGTAAACCAGCAGTCTCCAGCAGAAACAGAATTAATTCTTGTATTGACAAAGTATGTTTACCTTTGTGTGTTTTAGGAAGGATCACTGCCATGGAATAACTGGAAGTGAAAAACCAGATGCATTTTTACCCTTTACCCCCGTCCAATAAAATAGAATTCAAACTACCCCAGCACTTGGAATCAGCAAAAGGCTAATCCGAGGAAGATCCCATGATATCTCATACAATGTGGTCAAGAAAGGAGGGGCTGCCATGCTGGTTTCATTTGAATGAAGGTAATTTATGTGAAGAATAACAGGAGATGGGAGGTTGTAAAGAAAATAGAACTACAGGAAGAAATTAATGATGAAGGAAAGAGACAATTGCAGGGGCAAATCTTTGTGTTCTCTAGAAGGATGACTATGCTCTTGAAGAGATGGGCAATCACTCATTGTGACAAGAAGGATATCAGGTAGCACGAGTTTGGCAGATTTGATGGAGAAAGAATGTGGAAAGCCTCTTCTGGTTGTCTCTATTTTCTCAGTAAGCTATCAGCTGAGAATAAGGAAGTGGATATTGAAGAGTTGAGGAAAGAGGAGGACGTGTTGCATAGTTACTGAGAAAGTTGACTATAAAACAATTATCCATATGTCCCTAAAAACATAGTTAAAATAGATAAAACTTTAATGGGAGTTTGACACCTCCAAAATCATTATCAGGATGTATTGGCACACGGCTCTCAGAAACTCCTGGACCAAGCAGACAAAAATAGAGAAGGTAAGGAAGATTTGAGGAACGCGATTAATAAGTTTGAGCTAACAGAGATCTAGTCTCCTATATAACCCCTCTTTCCAAAAAAAAAAAAAAAATAGCAATAATGTGCTTTAAATCAACTACATGATGTCTCAATGAGGCCCAAAGTTATTATCACATATATTGTTCGTTAACCCATTCTAAAAAAATTACAAGTCAATAAGCTCTTCCTATCAAAAAAAATAAGTTAAGAACCTAAAAAACGAATTCACTCACAAATAACTTGTGGGTTAAGGAGAAAATAATAATACACAGTACAAAATATTTAGAACTGCATGATTATGAAAGTGGTATTTTTCAAAAAATAGAGGATACAGAAAAAAAGCAAGAAATGCACAAAGCCATGTAAAGAAAAGTAAATTAAATCTTAATTGTACCATCCAAAACTAATCAATCAACACGTGTTGTGTAATCTTTCAGGCTATCTACACTACTGCAAGGCAAGTTCCTTCATTCTTAGGAGTGTGTTTGCCAGGGTGAACATTCAGGTCTAGCGGATAAAGTGCTTTACACAGAGCATCCTCCAAAACACAGGTAAGTTTTTTCCTAAGGAGAATTTCATGGAGCAAAAGATTTTTTATTTCATTACTTAATGAAATATAATATTTTAATTAAAATTTCTATGTAAGGTGATGCTTACAATGAACATTCTTTCTATTTCCAATATTTTTATTCATCTCAAATTCAGTATGGCTTAAGATGGGAGATGCGTTTCTAACTTGATTAGCTTGCCAATTTATTTTCAAAAACGTTACCCAGTTACCATGTATTAAAGAATCACTCTTTTCCTCTAAAGACCCCAAGGTTTGTCTTTTCTAATCTATTTATTTGTGTTTAAATTAACCCTTGCTGTATAAGAAAACCCCACAAAGCTCAGTGACCCAAACACTAAGAATTTAGTCTTGTTTAGGAGCCTGAAAGTCAGTTAGAGTGCTTTCTGATCACTGCTGAGCTCAATCACATACCTACAGCTAGCTTCAAGGTGGGTGGAAAACTCGAGGATCCTGGGTGAGTTCTTTCATGTACTGGGGGTCCGGTGGTCCTAGAATAGCCTAGGATGGCTTTGGTTGGAACCAAAGAGAAGAAAGAGAGCAAGCACAAAAGGATAAGTCCTAATGTGTAAGAATCCCTCAAGTCTATGTTATATCACACTGGCTCACTTCTTCTTGGCCCAAGCAAGACACATGACTGAGCCAAGTCAAGGTGGAAGAGGACTGCTAAGTTATAGTGCAGAATACAATGGAATACAGGGAGGCCATCAACATAAATCATTAGTAAAATTAGTCTAACATGATCTGTGTTTAGGGATGAAAGCTCTATAAAGGAGTTTAATATAAGGTAGAAATATTCAACCTAGCAGAAAATTTTTTTAAATCTTATTCCTGAGAAATTTATGAAGTAGATTTTATTGTGAATGCTGTATCTTTTTTATTCTACTTTTTTACTATTTAATGATGACTATTTTCATTTATGTATTTCCTTTTCAATCAAACAAATATTATTTGATTTGGCCATTTTATACTTTTCATCTATGTAATGATGTGGTCTGAAAATAACATAACTACTATTTATGGTTTTGTGTCTAATTCAATGTGCTATAACTTATAAAACAATTTCTTGTTCCAAAATAGATTGTAGATGTTTCTAATTTTAAAAATGTAATATAAAGCTAGCTATTAATTCAAGATATTTCTTATAAAATGAAAATCTTTTCATTCTATTTTATAATCTAGAATGAAGTTGCATTTTTTATAACTTCATATTTATCAAGATGATCAAAATTCTCCCTTGGATATGAATATGAAAAACTATGTTAATACGATTCCTATTGATGAATTCCTTAAAAAAAATCATTAGCGCTATTCAATTATTTTTGTGGTATTTGGCTTTATTTACTCATGTTTAATATTTTTGTCTATAGTTATAAGTGGAATATCTCTGTAATATAGTGTATGTTTGGAGAAAACTACAGAAGTTTTGCTGTCAAGTTGGATTAGGAAGACATCTATGTCCCCAGGGAGCTTAAATAATATATAAATTATCTGTTTCTGTAAAATTTGATGGGTATCACCTGTCACATCTCTTCAGCTTGGTTTTAATTATCAGAAGCCCAATCTAAACTGCATTAAGCACAAACACGTAATACATACATTCATGTTGGCTGATAGAACTGACAAGTCCAGAGTTACATAATTGACTTTGAACTCTTCCTGCTTCAAGTGCTCAAATGTAGTCTTGCAGCCTCTATACCGTTCTTCACTACTCAGCTCTGCCTTCTTTTGTGATTACCTTATTCTTAGGCAGACGTACTCCATGTAGTAGAAAAAAAAATGGTCAAGAGAAGCTCTAGGCTTCTGATACCTACAGAGAAAAAAAAAAATGACCCTTTCTCACTCCACATCTACACATGTAGTGATAACCTTGGCTGAACTTGTTTGAATGACAACAATCACCTGGGGCAGCCTGGAAAAGGAGGTGAAGAAATAGGATTGAATGCACCCAAGTCACAAACCTACCTATGGACAGGATGTTTAGTGCATTGTGAAACCTCATTAACAAGTCATCTTCTACACTGTCCTTGGTGAAAATTTTACTTTCCACCCTATCAATTATTATATCTGTATTGTAAGTATTCCTTGTTTTATCCTAGGCCATTGGATTTTTTTAGAAGAAAAAAATGAACATGTGTAGTTAGGGAAGAACAAATTACTATAGTGAAAGTAATATGAAAAACTAAGAAGTTAGGATACATAAACAGAGAGGGGATAATCAAACACATTTTAATCTAACAATTGTTAGTGTCCTCATTACTCAGCTAATTCTATTAAATCTCATATCTATAATGCATTATGAATATTTTATATTAGACTATTATATTTTATATTATCCTCAAGAATAATCATAATACTAGAAAATTTATTTCACTTCATAATCATTTATACCATGAAAATTCATATGAATCTTTATGTTTTCAACAAAATAAAGTCACAGACTTAGAATATAACTTTCTGATTTTCTAACCTGCAATCATCATTTAAGCTCAACAATAGAAAAAAGAAATCTTTTGATGCTGTTATTTTCTTTTGTAAAAAAGAAAAAAAAGTCAATAGTGCACATATATCTTAAATACACTAACTTCAAAACTATATAGACTATGAATTTGTGCTTGCGTCTTGGCAATCCAATTTTAACATATTTCTACATAACTGAGTTTATCCTAAATCTAATCTTCTATAGTTTCCTATCCTTGATAAGAATTCCCTAATGAATATTCACTTTCAAATACAGCATGAATAATATATATTTTTAATAATATAAATAAAATATTTTTAACATAAATTGAATGTTGGAAATAGTCTCAAGAGAAACTAGCTCTATGGTCACTTAATTAATTTTAATTGATCAGGGATTTAGGACTAATTGCTAGTACTTTTAATTACCTTTGAATTTTCATATTTCAGCACTTTTCTCATGATTACTTGGTAACTAGCTCAGATTCTTAATGTTTTTTCCCTACTTGAAATATTTTCCACTGCTCATCCTCTTTGCCTAATTGAGCTTTCATGGTTCAGCTTAGACATCACAACTCAGGAGATCGTCTCAAACTGCTCGTTCAGATTATGTCTCCCTGGTATATGTCACAATTGAACTCTGTAATATTTCTTTGCATTTGTATCAGTGTTTATAATTTTATATCAACTACAAAGTAACCTCCTTGAGAACAGGTATTTTATCATTTTTTTCACACTTTATTATTGACATCTAGAACAGTGAGGAATACATAGGAAATAATAAGTATTTACTAAATTTGTTAAACAAACTGATTTAGATTCTTGGTGCTATAATTAATAACAATGTATTGTAAGCTTGAAAATTGCTAAGAGGGTAGATTTTAAGTGTTCTCATCAAACACACGAAAATAAATATGTGAAGTAATGCATATGTTAATTAGCTTGATTTAGCCATTCTCCAACATATAATTACTTCAAAACATCCTGTTGTCCATTATAAATATATAGGGTTTGTGTTTTTCAATTTGAAAAAATACATACATATTTTATTAATGTTTCTGTTCTCCAAGATGTGAGCTCAGTGAGAACAGAAGATTGTCCTGTCACTACAGCTTGCCAGTTCTGTATCCAGCTTCTAGCAGAAAGCAGGTACTTAATACACATTTGCTAAACGAAGAATGGAAAACACCAGCAAAAAAAATTCAATTCTGAGATGGTGACAACGGAGAAAGTTTCAATAAGCAGACCTCAGACAGACAATGAGCAGAGCAGACAACAATGTAGCCTGCAATGAACTTTGGGCCAACCACAGGGAAGAGAAGAGATGACATTTCAACTTGACTGGAGCTGAAATGCACAAGTTTTTGGAAGTCCCTGAATGATAAAAGTCTGCATTTTTTACCCTTTTTAATGGCAAAAACCACAGCTACTTTTGCACCAACCTAATATAAAGGTGCTAGGAAAATATACAAAATTTCTGGTAACCCTCTGTGTACTTAATTAATTGTCTGAAGAAATCCATGTAAAATAAATTGATTGCATTTGAGTTGATTTCATGGAATTCTGCTCATTTTTACACTGTTATATAGTGACAAACGTTTCTGAAATGATCTCAAGGTTTTGTAGATAGAGACCAGCAAAGCAAAGACTACAATCTCTTACTGAGCAATCCAAGTTGACTGCCAAATAGACTATGCCCAGTTTGGATCAAGTATTCAACCTTAGTCCGAGTATCTATGGCCAAGGGAGCAAAGTGACATATCATTAAACTGGCTACTAAGTGATAAGACTTGACCTGTGACGTGTGGTGGGTGAGAGAGTTGAGTCTCCAGAGAGAAATGAACTGGGTAGATACCATCTAGGTAAACCAACTTTAACTCACTACTTTATTTCCTGACATCTTAAGCTTCAACTCTTCATAAAGGAATACCAAAAGCAGTTAAGGAATGTCCCCTGAAATTTCCCTAGAAAGTATCCAGAAGTTATATGGACCATACCAAGTAAATTTGGGGAAGTAGCCCAGATATTTACTTGCCCAACTTATTTTAGTCTTTAGCCAAACTCCATAACTATGCTTTCCTTATGCTGAAGTATTAAAAAAAACTATCTAAGGGCCCTTTTTTGATGTCTGAAAACTACCTATGTTAATTCTCAGTGAACTCTTGCCAAATATGCCAGATACGGGGATTAATATTATTTGTATTGACTTTTATGCTTAGAGTTGTAGTGTTTTATCCTGCCTTACAACCAAAATACCTCTTCACTAAGCCTTCCTTTATTTAGAGGGAATCATTTAGAGGGATAGAAATTCAAATCAGAAGCCACAGAGATGTAGAATCCAGAAATCGAAAAGTAAACGCCTGCATTGGCCATGACTCTCATATCACTTTGGAACAACTCCGCAAATAACTTTTTTCTGGAAATACTGCAAGAGAGAGACATAAGTGCATAGACTTTATTTATGGTTTAGCATCATTTACAAGAGACAGATTGCAGCGACTTCTTCATGTCTAATCCTTTAAGTTTAATTTGGTCACTCTGAAACAATTTTAGCACAGACAACAGCAAGTTGGCCACACCCATATTTGTGTATTTGTGTCAAAGCTTAATTTTTGAGTCATGTAGAACAAGAAAAAAATCTCACCCTGACTCCCCCAACCCCTACCACAATTCTAGACAATTGTTCATCTCTACAACCCAATCAGTTATCCCAGAGCCTGATTCGAACACTCAAGTCTGCAATCAAGCCAGAATTTCCTTTCCCATTCTACCACTACTTATTGCCACCAATACCTTGTCTAAAACATTGGATTTTTAGAAATGCAAAACGTTTTTAAAAACTGGAAAGTAGGCTTTCCCACAAATGCATTATCTATAACAACATCGTTAGCAATTTTAAATTTAAAAAACTGTTATCACAGAATTCATACAAACTCACTGGGGAAAAATTATAAAATATAAATAGGTAAATTTTTTATAATCCCACTATTCTTTAATGCAGAGATAACTATTGTTATCATTTTAAGTAGATAAACTAATATATATTTTCTAATTATAAAACATGTATTTTCTTTTAGAAAAATGGGATAAAGCCTATTTAATAACCTAGTTTCTTGCCTGGTAGTATTTCAGGAGGATACTTACATGTCAAAAAATTTAATGGCTAATATTTCATTATTGGAAAGTGTTTTGGGCTGAAATATATCTCACTCAAAAAGATACGCTGAGGTTCTAACCCCTGGTACCTCAGAATGTGACCTGCTTTGGAAGCAGAGTAGTTACAGAAGTAATTAGTTAAGATGAGATCGTACTGGACTAAAATGGGCCCTAACCTAAACAACTGATGTCCTTGTAACAAGATGGCTACCTGAAGACAGAGGCACATGGGGGAAGGCCATATAATAATGAAGGCTGAGTGGAGAGAGGCTGCCACAAGCCAAGGAATGCCAAAAACCTCCAGCAATCCATTAGAAGTTCAGAGGCTGCAAGAAAGGATTCCCCTACAGGTTTCTCAGGGTTTCCCCTATGCATTTAACTCTACAAATGTGAAATCAAGAACTATGAGAGACTAAATTCCTATTGTTTATGCCACCCAGTTGTAGTCAATTGTTGTTAGAGCAAACCTAGAAAACTTTGGTACTGTGGTAAAACATTTAAAACAATAATGACAGTAAAAAGTCCCAGAGAATGAGTGTGTACATATAACAATACACAGAAGAGTTCTTCAGTTCCACAAAAGGATTAGTTTAAAACCCATACGGTAGCATGAGAACTCCATTTAATTCTAAGCTTTAACTTAATAAGTATTTTAATAAATTACAGAGGCTATTGTGAGAAGTTCACACCCAAGAAAAACTTTTTAAGAAGCAAGTTATATTTACCAGTCAGGATCCAGTCAGAAGAATTTGAAAAGGGAAAATGGAAAGAATATCTAAGAGGTAAAACCTGATTGCAAGGGATACAGAGGGAGCAGCCACAGACCAGCAAATCTTCCCAGGGCCGAGGGAATGATGAACAAGGAAGAAACTTAGAAATATCGAAGAAGGGCTGGGCGAGGTGGATCAGGCCTATAATCCTAGCACTTCGGGAGGCCGAGGCGGGAGGATCACGAGTTTAAGACCAGGCTGGCCAACCTAGTGAAATCCCCATCTCTACTAAAAATATTTAAAAAAAAAATTAGCTGGGCATGGTGGTGTGCACCCATAATCCCAGCTACTCAGGAGGCTGAGGCAGGAGAATTGCATGAACCTGGGAGGTGGAGGTTTCAGTGAGCTGAGATTGCGCCGTTGCGCTCCAGCCCGGGAGACAGCACAAGACTCCTTCTCAAAAAAAGAAAAAGAAACAGGAAAGAAAAAAAAAGAAATATTGAGGAGGCTGCAAGTCTGAGATTTAAACCTTGGAGGAGATGGCATGAGTGCCACATGCTGCCACCAGTGGGTCATGGAGAAACGTAATGGAACCACTCATGGTGGAACCACGAGAATATCTTGTCGTTTTAGTGACCAAGAACCTTGGTAGAGGATGCTGCTCATGAAGCACAGAAGCAGTTCACTGCAGTGGTGATGAACATATGTGCCAGGGGGTGTCTTGAGTAAACCACAGAGGGCACTGCAGCTAAGAGGTGTGCTGCTGTGTTCCCTTCATGCCAACGTCCTTAATGTTCCATGGGAAACAGAATACAGGAGCTGAAAAATCCCTCCCTCCTCTTCCAGTGCTCCAGTGTCTTCTCAGGAGAGCCTAACCTCAAGCCAGCTGGTGCAGGCACATGCAATCTTCAGGGTGTAGTTGCAACATCACAAAGCAAGGCAAACCAGGGTGAGTTGGGAGCTGAGAGGCAATAAATTAATAACTGGCATAAGCTCCTCCTTTATATCTGTCATATCTACATACCTATATTGACTTCAATGATATTACAGCCACCCAGCTTCTACTTCTTGATTCCCAGACCCAGGTCTTATGACTAAGGGGGAGAAAACATCCCATAGTGCTGATTCAAAGAATATACTGTGTCCTATAAGATAAAAGCCCCTCCTCTCAAGGTGTAGTCTTCTAAGTAGCATTGTCACTGAGACCTCAGGAAGCCATTCCACCTTTCCAGTAGACCAGTTGACAGTGTATGTCTGAAGACCAGTGAATTCCGTGGGCATGAGGCACTGCTGCACTTCCTTCGCTATGAAATGAGTTCCTTGATCAGAGGCGTGGTGGCTCAGGCCTGTAATCCCAGCACTCTGGGAGGCCAAGGCAGGTGGATCACGTGAGGTCAGGAGCTGATGACCAGCCTGGCCAACATGGTGAAACCCCGTGTCTACTAAAAATACAAAATTAGCCGGGTGTGGAGGTGGGCACCTGTAATCCCAACTACTCAGGAGGCTGAGGCAGGAGAATCGCTTGAACCTGGGAGACGGAGGCTGGAGTGAGCCAAGATCACCCCACTGCACTCTGTCCTGGGCAACAAGAGTGAAACTCTGTCTCAAAAAAAAAAAAAAAAATACGAAGAAGAAGAAGCAATGCTGAGCAGGATATCATGACTGTAGATGGTGCATTTTGTGAGTTCATGGACAGTCATACTGGCAAAAATGTCACAGTCAGGGAAGGTAAATTTATATGCAGAATGCATACCTTATCCAGTGAAGGTGGCTCTATACCCACCATGATGGAAGCAGTTTGGTGTAACCTCTCAGCCACCACGTCTCGGGCTGGATCACCCAGGCTTCAGTGCCACATTGAGGATCCAGCCTTACTCTCTATTTTGGGGAGGCTGGGTACTCAGCAATAATCAGTAGCCACAACAGCCTATTTGAAGGGAAAGCCTCGGTTGTTCTGCTCATAGAGAAGCTTCATCTCTGTCATCACGGTCTCTCTGTTCCGAGGTCATCGAAAATCAAGCACTGAGCGGGTGGAGGAATATGCAGATTGATATCCACCTAAAGTTATCCATCTGATTATTGAAATTGTTAAGAACAGCTTTCGGGCTGGGTGTGGTGGCTTACGCCTGTAATCCCAGCACTTGGGAGGCCGAGGCAGGCGGATCCCCTGAGGTTGGGAGTTCAAGACCAGCCTGACCAACATGGAGAAATCCCGTATCTACTAAAAATACAAAAAAATTAGCCGGGCGTGGTGGCAGGCACCTGTAATCCCAGCTTCTCGGGAGGCTGAGGCAGGAGAATTGCTTGAACCTGGGGGAGGCAGAGGTTGCAGTGAGGCATCACGCCACTGCACTCTAGCCTGGGTGACAAGAGCGAGACCCCGTTTCAAAAAAAAAAAAAAAAGAAAGAAAGAAAGAAGAGAGGAACACCTTTCTCCAAAATCCTCTGCAAAATTCAGAACTCCTACTTTGCCTGTCTATGGAATGCTACATTCAGTAGTACTTTCAGTCCATCTCTGCATTTTTGTCTTTTCCAGTGTTTCCATTCTTCATGTGCAGATCTGTTCATTATGAATAGAATTTTAAATACTTACTTTTAGGAAGAAAAATTTGATTGTTGACATCCAACTTAAAATTAGATGTTTTCATCATGGAAGACATAAGTGCCGTAACACACACACTCTTTGTTATATCATTAGGCATTTCCTATGGCTGTGACAATTAAGTAGGTATTTATTTTTAATTGGGTTATATCTAAAGTCATGTGGATTATACACATAGACAACTACTTTAACCTGTGTCCCAATTCCATGTTCCCCCTAGCTTTCAAGATTTAAAATCTGATTGAGTTTTTCAGTTACAGGCTTTAAAAATATATCCCTCCAAATTTGAAAACTTGTGTTAGCAGTACACTTTTCAGTTAATCAAGAACTGTCCCATCCTTGAGCCTGGCATGGACTTAGAGTAAAATTTCCAGGACTTCTAAAACTGTAACTTGAGTAGAAATTATCTGAACATATTATTAAAATGAAGAATCTGATTAGGTATATCTGGCATGGAACTTGAGATTCTGCATTTATAACAGATTTCTAGGTGGTGTTGATGAAGTGTCAGTCTGTAGGACCATATTTCGAAAACAAAGGAGTAAACACAAAACATGTGCTGCTCTGGAGCCTGCTCTTACCAGTCTATGGAAACCTGTTGTTAAATTTTCAGGAATTTTGCAAGCTGGTGGTTAAACATAGTGGTTATCCCAGTTCTCTCTCTCTTTTTTTTTTTTATTATTATTATACTTTAAGTTTTAGGGTACATGTGCACAATGTGCAGGTTTGTTACATATGTATACATGTGCCATGCTGGTGTGCTGCACCCATTAACTCGTCATTTAACATTAGGTATATCTCCTAATGCTATCCCTCCCCCCTCCTCCCACCCCACAACAGTCCCCAGAGTGTGATGTTCCCCTTCCTGTGTCCATGTGTTCTCATTGTTCAATTCCCACCTATGAGTGAGAATATGTGGTGTTTGGTTTTTTGTCCTTGCGATAGTTTGCTGAGAATGATGGTTTCCAGTTTCATCCATGTCCCTACAAAGGACATGAACTCATCATTTTTTATGGCTGCATAGTATTCCATGGTGTATATGTGCCACATTTTCTTAATCCAGTCTATCGTTGTTGGACATTTGGGTTGGTCCCAAGTCTTTGCTATTGTGAATAGTGCCGCAGTAAACATATGTGTGCATGTGTCTTTATAGCGGCATGATTTATAGTCCTTTGGGTATATACTCAGTAATGGGATGGCTGGGTCAAATGGTATTTCTAGTTCTAGATCCCTGAGGAATCACCACACTGACTTCCACAATGGTTGAACTAGTTTACAGTCCCACCAACAGTGTAAAAGTGTTCCTATTTCTCCACATCCTCTCCAGCACCTGTTGTTTCCTGACTTTTTAATGATTGCCATTCTAACTGGTGTGAGATGGTATCTCATTGTGGTTTTGATTTGCATTTCTCTGATGGCCAGTGATGATGAGCATTTTTTCATGTGTTTTTTGGCTGCATAAATGTCTTCTTTTGAGAAGTGTCTGTTCATATCCTTCACCCACTTTTTGATGGGGTTGTTTGGTTTTTTCTTGTAAATTTGTTTGAATTCATTGTAGATTCTGGATATTAGCCCTTTGTCAGATGAGTAGGTTGCGAAAATTTTCTCCCATTTTGTAGGTTGCCTGTTCACTCTGATGGTAGTTTCTAAGTTTGTGGCACCCAAAGATATAAATGGAATTTTATTCCTAAAAAAAAAAAAATCTAGAAACCATTCTCTGCCAAACTTTATTTTAAAGGTTCGGTAAAGACCTCAGTTGACTGGCTGATTGTCTTCTGTCTACAAATATTTTCAATTCTTATCTCTTCAGAGTTTTAATGGATTCTGTATCCAATTAGTAAAATGTATGCATTTGTATAGCCAAAAAAAAAACCATAGTGGTTATTAAAAGTTAAATTACATGAACTTCTAATTAGATAAATAATACTAAAGCAAAGAAAATAAATATGCAAAACTCATCACTTCCTAATTAATTTCCTACATTTACTTTGATCTATGCCCTTGAAGTTATTCACGTCTGTCATGCCTGTGCGATGAAAATATTTATAATGGTGTCCCTCAGTACATCTCTTTCCAGCTGTATTTCGGTGACATTGCATTGGTAGTTTGAAATGGCCATAGTGATAGTATTTATAGCACGAAAATTGGCAAACACTACAAATCAGTTCCCTACTTTTTTTTTAGAACAGCCTGTTGTTAAAACATTTACCAGCACACCACTGGTCCATAAGCAGAGCCTTGGTCCTTTAATCTAAAATATTACCTTAGCCCATTCTAACTCCTATGACAAAAATACCATAAACTAGGTAATTTATAAATAACAGAAATTTATTCCTTGCAGTTCTAAAGGCTGGGGAACTATAGTCAATGCACCAGCAGATTTGATGTCTGTTGAAGGCTCACTAGTTCACAGATGGTGCCTTCTCACTTGGTAGAAGGAAGAGACAGTTCTCTGGGCCTCTTTTCTAAGGACACTAATCCCATTCATGAGGGCTCTGCCATCATGACCTAGGTACCTCCTAAAGGCCCCACACTTTAATACTATTGCATTGAGGACCATGAACATTCAGACCATAGATACCCAAAGAGTAGACCAGGTAAACACAATGCTCTGTAACTACACTCAAATCCCACTTGAAAGAGACAGAAATAGGTCCCACTTTATTTCTTCCATATCTGAAAAGAACAGTACTCTGCACTGAAACGCATAATGACTAGGACAAAACAATACATTTAGGGGCAATTGAAATTTGCAGGAATGAACACATGTTTAACCTGGCTGTTATAAGTGGCTGAGAACTTAACATAAATATTCTGATGATTATATTGTTTCTGTATTTATACCTTAAATAACACATTTATATTTGTTTTTAGTGATAATGTTCTTGTCACATTATAATAAATCAAAGGGTTTTAAAAATATTTATTTGAAAGCTCTGGCTTTTTTGCCATGCCAAGTAAATGGTTTTTCATTTAAAAATTCCTTTTGAATGAAATTTTTGAGACTCTGTGGATTAGAATGTATGCAGGTTTTAGAAATCCACATCAAAACTAAAAAAAAGATGGCTCAAACTGAAGTACTGTCTGCAATAAGGCTTTCCACAGTTCCTGGCTTTATTTACATTTTAATTGGTGCATATATTCATATATTTACCTTCACAAGGAGTTTTCCAGGTTCTAATTTTGTTTTACACATATTTTTAGCCTTGATATATGTAGGAACACTTGGGTAAAACTTATCTCCAATAATAAACTCTAAATATATAAAATGTATTTTTTAATCTGTAAACAATTCACTCATTTAAGCTGAATTCAAATACTTCCTCACTCCCTTAATCTCCTTTGATCACAAAAGCTCAAAATAATCTCACCCACCTCACCTCTGAATTCCTGTAGTATTTTCTGCTTGGGGAAGAAAATCAACCAGCGCACCATTCCCATAAGACTTTATTCAAAAATATCTGGCAAGAGAAGACTGTGAAGGAAGGTAGAAACATTCTAAATTGGGGAAGGGAGTGGAATATTTCAGGAAACTTTGAGGTTGGTCAAAGTTCAACTCTTTCTGGAAACGCTTCTCATTTCCAGAAGGATTTTTCATGTGGATTAGCAGCTATTGTTTGGGCAGCCTGGATTTTATCAAAAGAGTGAAGAGAAATAGTTAGGGTTTATGTTACATGCAAGAGAGGCTGGAACAGCTGCCACGGACAGGGGTATATGAAGGCCATAGTGGAAAAATCTCAGGTCTCAAGTCCTTCAGTTTTACATATATCTATCCATCATTTGTCTTTTTTAAATGTACCCTATCCGTCAGGGTTCTCTAGAGGGACACAACTAGTAGGATAGATGTCTATATGAAAGGGAGCTTATTAAGGAGAATCGACTCATATGCTCACAAGGTGAAGTCCTGCAATAGGCCATCTGCAATTTGAGGAGCGAGGAAGCCAGCAGTGGCTTAGTCCAAGTCCCAAAACCTCAAAAATAGGGAAGCCAACCGGGCAGCCTTCAGAAGGCCTGAGAGCCACTGGAGTAAGTCCAAGAGTCCAAAAGCTGAAAACTTTGGTGTCTGATGTTCAAGGGCAGGAAGCATTCAGCACAGGAGACAGATGAAGGTCAGAAGCCTCAGCAAGTCAGTTTCTCCCACCTTCTTCTGCCTGCTTTACCCTAGCTGGGCTGGCAGTTGATTGGGTGGTGCCCACACATACTGAGGGTGTCTCTGCTTCTCTCAGTCCACTGACTCAAATGTTAATCTCCTTTGGTCACACCCTCACAGACACACTCAGGAACAGTACTTTGCATCCTTCAGTCCAATCAAGTTGACACTTAATATTAACCATCACACTAAGGTGACCATAAAAATTATCCTTGACACATAGATGAGTGAAAATAAATGCTATTAATAATTACCCTAAGAAAATAGGCATGAACCACATACTCATCATACATTCAGATAGTTTTATCATTTTTTTTCTGTTTACTCTGCCCAATTAAATTCTAAGTCTCCATGTATCACAAAACAGTACCGAAGAGACCTTAAAAATATCACTTGATTGACTGGAGTAAAATGATAAATATAAAAGACTCTTTCTATAGAGGATTCACTAATTATAGCTGCAATATCCTTTCAGGTAGTTTTTTTCCAGTTCATATTTATTACACTCTTCCCCAAGGCATACTTGCTGTTTGTGCCCTTACACATCAATGATACCGTGAGGTCATCCAGCTAGTTTCCCTGATACACACTACCACATTATTTTCCCTCTTTTAAATTTCCAAAGAAAGAAAAAATATTACTTCTTTATGTAAAGGAGAAATGTAATATATATGAAAATTAGTAAATTCTACTGACTGTAGGCATTTCAAGTTGTGGGAAATCATTGCACCTTTTAGTAGGACAGTCTTCAATTCAAGCATGATGGCTTTTTAATTATGAAACTATGAGATTTTTAAATTATACATTTTTTCAAGCCCAGTATTTACTAAAAATGTGTAAGTAAAAGGATTTTTATGTAGGTTACTTAGAACTATATCATATCTATGAAATAGAGAAGATAAATAAGATGGGACCAAATTACCTGAACATGTAAATATTTAATCTGTTTCCCATTTAGAAAAAAAGAAAGAAAGAAAGAAAGAAAAGTGCAGCTTGCTGCCAGAGCTTATTTCTCAGGGTAAGCAGGAAATAGGTTAAGTTGGTAAATTAGGAGAATACAACATTAAAAAACCCACATCCAAAATGCTTTGTATTATTAACTGATTTTATAAACCACTTATTCTGCCTGTAAGTTTCTATCTCCATAATCAAAGTAGAATAAATTCATTCAATTCAGCCAATATTTGATAAGCATTATCAATATGTGGGAAACAGCCCATTGTTGAGGCATTTCATATTAAAATATTAATAGAATAGGATACCTCAAACTGAGGGGCTCATAGTCCCTGATATGGTTTGGATCTGTGTCCCCAGCCAAATCTCATGTCCAGCTGTTCTTCTCAATGTTGGAGAAGGGGCTAGGTGGGAGGTGATTGGATCATGGAGACAGAATTCTCGTGAATGGTTTAACACCATCTCCTGGTGCTGTTCTCATCATAGTGAGTGAGTGAGTGAGTTCTCGTGAGATCTGGTTGTTTAAAAGCGTGTGACACCTCCAGCTCCTGCCACGTAAGACATCTGCTCCCTCTTTGCCTTCCACCGTCAGTAAAAGGTCCCTGAAGCCCCCCCAAAAGCAGATGCTGCCATGCTTCCTGTACAGCCTGTGGAAACATGAGGCAATTAAACCTCTTTTCTTTATAAATTACCCAGTCTCAGGTAGTTCTTTATACAGTGTGAGAACGGACTAATATAGTCATAGTCCTAAAGATAGAGACAAATATGTTATCAACTAAGTCCAAAAACCCCCACAGTTTAGGTATCTTCAGGGAAATGCATAAAGCATACTGTAGTTGACACAAAACATAATTCTACCTGAGGAATCAGGAATAACTTTGAGTTCGAAAAATAGTCAAATGATTCAAGCTAAGGAAAAATTCCACATTATTTTATTTTCAGCACCGGGCAAGTATTTTTAAGTCAAATTTTATTCTAACATTGATTTATGATTACAGTTAATTTTGGAAATACACCAAATAAAAAGTAAAACAAAAATCACTCAGAATTCTACCATGCTTAAATATCCACTTCTATTCTTATATTTTGTTTTATTTTTTCTATAAAGATACTTTATAAATAGAATTTGAAATGAAAATCTATTAACCTGCTCTTTATTATTTAACATTATTAACTATGGGGATTGTCTCTATCATCATATATATTTCAGAAACATAACTTTAAATGGTTACAACATAGTCTACTTTAAAATTTGTCTTTAGTAAAATAGGAAAGAAAAACCTGTTTTTGTTTTGTAGTAGCACAAATGCCACTATGATGAACTCTCTTGTAACACATTATTGTGTGACTACATGCTTTTTTCCCCTAAAATAAATGCTGAGAAGTGAAATTACTGAATCAAAGGAAATGAATATTTCTCCCTTCAAAAAAGACTGGTAATTCATAGATCTATCAACAATGTATTAGAATTTTCAATTACCTACAAACTCGAAGTTGCCATTATTATTTTAAAAACAAAATGACAAAAAATAAATCCATACTTGTCATATTAGTAGGTGAAAAACAGATTGTCACTTTATTTTGCATTTCTTTGCTCTCTAAGTGGGTTAAACTTTTTCACACTTATTTACTCCTTCCACTTCTCTTATTTTTTTTCCTCAACTATTTATGTTGCCTTGAAGAGGTGTTTATTTTTTAAATACTGAAAGCTTATTGACTGTAGTAAACATTGCAAATAGTTCCCAGATTTGCCTTTGCCTTTTAATTTTATCATTGATTTATTTTAATTTTCCTTTGCCCCACTTAATGATTTCCAACTATTAAATGACCTTTGCCTGGAATTCTAAATCTCTAACACTAATATTGTAAACCTTTCATTTGCCTGGTAAATCTTTGCCTATTCTTTTATTTGGAAATTCTTTTGTACTTTTTTTATGACACTCTTAATAAGTAAGATTTTTGTTTTTACCTTACCAAAGAGCTCCATCTTTAAATTAAAACAGCCTTCTGAAATATTTTATATGATTTTAGAATATTTTTCTTTACCTTTGTGATTTTAAAAATTGCCACAAAATATTTACAATGGGTATCTTTTTAATGCTATTGCTTATAATAACTCATTCCTCTCAAACAGAACACACAAATGTTTTTTTCTTAGCTCAATTTTAGCTCATATATCTGCTCTAGCTTCTGTTTTCTTGTTTCAGGATCTTGCTGTTTCTTTTGTTTTCTTTACTATATAGGGTTTTTAGAAGTTTTATTTTACTTATAGGATCCGCAGTGTTTCAGAAGATATACATTCTATTCTATTGTGTTAACATTTAAGTTTTTTGAGTTTTTCTAATTCCCATACTGGTCTTTGTTAATGTAATATTACATCAGCAATTATACAGCAATTGCTATTAATATTATATGTTTTAAATGTCTTCATTTTAATTTAGAAAATATTTTGATTTTGTTCTTTTTGCTCAAGATTGCTTTAATTATTCAGGGTCTTTTGTGGTTCCACACAGATTTTAGGATTTTTGTTTTCTGTTTGTGTGAAAAATATCATTGGTATTTTGATGGGGAATGCATTGAATTTATAGATTGCTTTGGTTAGTATGGATATTTTAACAATGTCCATTTCAACCCATGAGCAGGGGATATCTTTCCATTTTTTGTGTGTCTTCTTCAATTCATTTGATAAATGTTTTCTAGTTCTTGATGTAAAGATCTTTCGCCTCTTTGGTTAAATTTATTTCTAGTGTTTTTTTGTACTTATTGTAAAAGGGATTGCTTTGTGATTTCTTTTTCAGGTAACTCTATATTGGCATATAGAAATGCTACTAATTTTTGTATGTTGATTTTGTATCCTACAACTTTACTAAATGTATTAGTTTCATTTTGGGCAGGGCTGGAGTCTTTGGGGTTTTCTGTATATTAGATCGTGTTGTCTGCGAACAGAGACAATTTGACTTTCTCTTTTCTAATTTGGATGCCCTTTCTTTCTCTTGCCTGATTATTCTGGATAGAACTTTCAGTACTATGTTGAATGAAAGTGGTGAAAGTGGGCATCCTTGTCTTGTTCCAGATCTTAGAAAGAAAGCTTTTAGCTTTCCCCCATGTAGTATGATAATAGCTATGGATTGTTTATGTATGGCCTTTATTATGTTGTGGTATGTTCCTTCTATACCCACTTTGTTGAGAGTTTTTACCAGGAAGTGATGTTAAATTTTATCAAATTCTTTTTTGTTTGTTTGTTTGTTTCTATTGAGATGATCAGATGGTTTTTGTCCTTCATTGCATTGATGTATTGTATCATGTTTGTTGATTTGCATATGTTGAACCATCCTTATATCCCTGGGATTAATTCCATTTGGCCATGGTGAACAATTTTTCATATACTGTTGGATATGATTTGCTAGTATTTTGTTAAGAATTTTTGCCATTACCATTCAGGACATAGGCATGGGCAAGGACTTCATGTCTAAAACACCAAAAGCAATGGCAACAAAGGCCAAAATTGACAAATGGGATCTAATTAAACTAAGGAGCTTCTGCTCAGCAAAAGAAACTACCATCAGAGTGAACAGGCAACCTACAAAATGGGAGAAAATTTTTGCAACCTACTCATCTGACAAAGGGCTAATATCCAGAATCTACAATGAACTCAAACAAATTTACAAGAAAAAACCAAACAACCCCATCAAAAAGTGGGCAAAGGACATGAACAGACACTTCTCAAAAGAAGACATTTATGCAGCCAAAAAACACATGAAAAAATGCTCATCATCACCGGCCATCAGAGAAATGCAAATCAAAACCACAATGAGATACCATCTCACACCAGTTAGAATGGCAATCATTAAAAAGTCAGGAAACAACAGGTGCTGGAGAGGATGTGGAGAAATAGGAACACTTTTACACTGTTGGTGGGACTGTAAACTAGTTCAACCATTATGGAAGTCAGTGTGGCGATTCCTCAGGGATCTAGAACTAGAAATACCATTTGACCCAGCCATCCCATTACTGGGTATATACCCAAAGGACTATAAATCATGCTGCTATAAAGACACATGCACACATATGTTTATTGCAGCACTATTCACAATAGCAAAGACTTGGAACCAACCCAAATGTCCAACAACGATAGACTGGATTAAGAAAATGTGGCACATATACACCATGGAATACTATGCAGCCATAAAAAATGATGAGTTCATGTCCTTTGTAGGGACATGGATGAAATTGGAAATCATCATTCTCAGTAAACTATCACAAGAACAAAAAACCAAACACCGCATATTCTCACTCATAGGTGGGAATTGAACAATGAGAACACATGGACACAGGAAGGGGAACATCACACTCTGGGGACTGTTGTGGGGTAGGGGGAGCGGGGAGGGATAGCTTTAGGAGATATACCTAATGCTAAATGATGAGTTAATGGGTGCAGCACACGAGCATGGCACATGTATACATATGTAACAAACCTGCACATTGTGCACATGTACCCTAAACCTTAAAGTATAATAATAATAAAATAAAATAAAATTTAAAAAAAGAATTTTTGCATATATGTTCATCGGAAATATTGTCCTTTAGTTTTCTTTTTCTGTTGTGTCATTGTATTGTCTGGTTTTGGTGTCAGGGCAACGCTGGCCTCATAGAATTAATTTGGAAGAATTTACTCCACTTTGATTTTTTTGCAATAATTTGAGAAGAATTAGTATAAGTTCCACTTTAAGTGTTTTGTAGAATTCAGCTGTGAAGCCATCTGATCCTGGGATTTTCTTTGATGAAAGATTTTTTTATCACTGATTTAATTTGTTACTCACTGGTATATTGAGATTTTCTATTTCTTCATTATTCAATCTGAATAAATTGTATATGTCCAGGAATTTGTCCATTTCTTCTAGGATTCCCCATTTGTTGGTATATAATTGTTCATAATAGTATCTAATGATCTTTTGTATCTTGTGATGCCAGACTCCATTTTCTTTTCTTTTCTTTTCTTTTTTTTAGAGTTTGATAGATTTTTAGTTTCTTTAGAAATACACAATGTACCCAAGTTATAGCAAATAGCTTTATGCATAGGTACATATCAATTTCACTTTTATTTTATTTAATTGTTGTTAGTAGACTCCTTTTTCATCTCTGACTTCATTTATTTGAGTCTTCTCTTTTTTTTAAGTCTAGCTAAAATTTGCCAATTTTGTTTATCTTCTCAAAAGCCAACTTTTTTTGTTCTCCTGGGCTTTTTTTCTGTATTTTATTTACTTTTGCTCCAATATTTATTATTTTTTCCCTTCCACCCTTATTTTGGGTTTGTCTGTTTTTGGCTGGCATCACTCCACCTCGCTTCAAAATATACCACAAAGCTATAGTAACCAAAACAACATGGTACTGGCATAAAAACAGGTACATAGAAAAATGATACTGAATTGAGAAAGCCTAGAAATAAACACACACAACTACAGCCAATTGATTTTCAACAAAGGTGCTAAGTACACCATGGAGAAAGAACAGCCTCTTTAATAAATGTGCTGGGAAAAGTAGAAATCCACATACAGAAGAATGAAACTAGACTCTTATCAATTACTCAAAATAAACTAGAGATTTAATCATAAGACCTGAAACTGTGAAACTACTAGTAGAAAACATAGGAGAAAAGCTCCCTGAAATCGTTTTAAGCAAGGATTTTTTGGATAAAACCTCAAAGCATGAGCAACAAAAGCAAATACAGACAAATGGGACTATGTCAAACTAAAAAGCGTCTGCACAGCAAAGGTAACAATCAACAGAGCAAAGAAACAACCTACAGAATGAAATAATTTATTTGCAACAAATATCCAAAATTATAAAGAATTGAAACAACTCAACAACAACAAAGCAAGTAACCCAATTTTAAAATGGGCAAAAGACCTAAATAAATATTTATCAAAAGAAGACAAATAGCCAACAGATACGTTTAAAAATGCTCAATGACTCTAATGATCAGGGACACGCAAATCAAAACTACCAGGAGATCAGGCACTATCCAATCAGAATAATGACTATCAAAAAATCAAAAGATAACAAGTGTTGGTGATGTTGTTGGGAAAGGGAACCTTTATACCCTTTACACACTGCTTGTGGGAATGTAAATTAATACAGCTATTATGGAAAACATTATAAAGGTTCCTCAAAATATTAAAAATAGAACTACTATGTGATCCAGCAACCGCACTACTGGGTATATATCCGAAAGAAATGAAATCAGTATGTCAAAGATATATCTGCACTCTATGTTTATTGCAGCATTATTCCCATAGCCAAGATACGGAATAAACCTAAATGTCCATCAATGGATGAATGGAAAAAAAAAGTTGTATTTTGGGAGGCTGAGGCGGGCGGATCACAAGGTCAGGAGATCGAGACCATCCTGGCTAACACGGTGAAACCCTGTCTCTACTAAAAATACAAAAACATTAGCCGGTCATGGTGGCAGGCGCCTGTAGTCCCAGCTACTCGGGAGGCTGAGGCAAGAGAATGGCATGAACCTGGGAGGCGGAGCTTGCAGTGAGCCGAGATCGCGCCACTGCACTCCAGCCTGGGCGACAGACAGATACTCCTCAAAAAAAAAAAAAAAAAAAAAAGTGGTATATATACACAATGCAGTATCATTTGGCCACAAAAAAGAATGCAGTCTTTATGGATGAATCTGGAGATTATCTTCAGTCTCCAGAAAGAGAAATATTGCATGATCTCACTCTGAAATATACAAGTTGTTTTCACAGAGGTAGAGAGTAGAACAGTGATAACCAGAGAATGGGGAAAAGGGGTTTTGTGAGAGTTTGGTCAATGGGTACAAAGCTACAGTTAGAAAGAAGAGATAAGTTCTGTTGGTCTATTGCATCTATAGTAGGATGACTAGGGTTAACAATAATGTATACTGTAAATTTCAAAACAGCTAGAAAAGAAATTTTTGAATATTCGCATCACAAAGAAATGATAAATGTTCAAAGTGATGGATATGCTAATTACACTGACTTGATCATTACAAAATGTATACATGTATGAAAACATCACCTTGTTTCCCATAAATATGCAGAATTATTATATGTCAATTATACATTTTAGAAAATAAAATATTTCAATATTCTTCATCATTCCACTGAATCACAATATACTACAGTTTATATTACTCTTTTTTTATCTCCTCAACCTGTCATTCAACATCTGATTTTCATTTCACTTCTGTGAACTGGTGTTATTAAGTGATTTTTTTAAAAGAATATCATAATGGTGGCACTTTTATGTACCATTTCTATATTTGAATATACTTTTGTCTCCCTTAACAAACAAAAGACAAGTTGGCTAATTATACAATTATTAGATCGAATTACACTTTTGCAAAATATGCTCTATATTTTTGGCATTTTGGATTGCATCAAACATTTTAGTAGATGATGTTTTTTTCTCCATGGATGTTTTATAAGGAGTTTGTTGTACTGGAAGGGGTTGGTCATTTGATTTTTTAATTTTGCTTTCTTTGAACAGACTTAGGATATGTCACAGTGTGAATCTGTTCTCATTATTAACGAGCCTTTCAATTTGCACATGCAAGGTAGTTTTAATCAGTTATAGTTTTAACTATTGTTTCTCTCCTATTGATTTTTAATATTTTTTTCAGCAATAAGATCAGTTCTTTTATTTTCTTATTGCTGTCATTTACCTCTGCATTCTCAAAAAACTTGTAAATATTATCTTCCAAACAATTATTCCCATTTCTCCCTTTTTAATTCTGACGGTTACCCAATCCAGGGTGGATTATTATTCTATTTTCCTTGCTGTCCTTCTTTGTCTCAGGTATATATTTTGTCATCACATCCTATATCTCCTTTTAGGGTTTTTTCGATTGTTTCATTGGAATGATGTATTATTGCATCCTATTAGGATTTTTTGTTATCTACCTAATGTGTTCTAGTCAATGCTTTAGTAATAATTTTTAAATTCACCTTCTCACCTGCATCTTCATGATGATGTTTCTTACCCTGGTTCTGCACTGTTTCTTCACGGGATTTTATTACTTTTCTCTTTTTCCAATAAAGCAGAACATACAGAGATGAAGCGTTCGTCAACAGATCTGTTATGTGATTTGCCCATGACACTGCTAATCTTATGTGAGTGACAGATCAATTGTGTTCTCAGGTTTATAGCTAGAGAGCAGGTTACTGTGCAGAATCCCAAGGTCAATATCTAGTCTCCAATGATAGTTTATCTGGTGCAGTTTTGCTTCACTGGGGTTGATTCTTTTCTTCTATTCATTATTTCATTTCTCTGAGTTAAAAAAAAAATAAATCTCATACACAGAACCCACTTTTGCCATGCTTGTTCCACGTTTTTTTGTGTGTCTTTTTTTTTTTTTTTTTTTTGTCCTCTATGTCTTGTTAATTGTTAGGTCAGTTGTTGTTTCGTTTTATTTTTATGTTGCCATTTGAGCTTTCACATTTGTCTGTGTCTTCTCGGATATTGGTGAGAAATTTTAAAGTGCTACATCCAGAGCTTCTGAGTAGAGGTTATTTAAAAATTGAATATAAACTCTCAATTCTCACCCCTAGTGAAGTTCTTTCTCATTAATTCTTAACTCCTGACTCTTCTAGCTGTATATTGTCCATTGTTATGGAATGAATTGTGTCCTCCCAAAATTCATATATTGAGTCCAAACTCCCAGTACCTCAAATGTCACTGTATTTGGAGACAAGGTCTTTAAAGAAGTAATTGAGTTAAAATGAGATCATTAGGATGAGCCCTAATCAAATATGACTGAGGTCCTTTGAATAAAAGGAAATGTAAACACAGTTGGGTGCAGAGGGCAGACTACGTGAAGACTCAAGGAGAAGGCAGCCGTTGACAAATGAAGGAGAGAGGCCTGGAACAGATCTTTGCCTTAAAGCTCTCTCAGACTTTCAGCCTCCCGGACTGTGAGAAAATAAATTTCTGTTGTTTAAGCACCAGTATGGTACTCTATTATGGCAGCCCTAGCAGACTGACATGCCCATTCCCTCTCCCATACTGATAGAGGACTGTATCACCCACTCTTATCTTCCTTCAAACCACCTTTCCCTTTTCCATCCTCACTCTCAGCTAACAATCCTGCTTATTATTTCACTGAGAAAATAGAAGCAATCAGAGAAGAACATTCATGGACACCACCATCACTTCTACCCGGGAACACATACGGCACATATGTGGAGCAAATATAGAACATATAGGACATCAGAAACCTTTGCATTGGCTGTTCCTATTGCTGAAGCACTCTTCCTTGTGATATCCCCAGGACCAATGTATTCCCCCCCTTCAAATAAATGCTCAAATGTCACCTTCTCTGAGAGTTCTAGTCTGCCCAAACTAGTTAGAATAACAATGCACTTCCAATACCAAACCCACCTGTACCCTGATTAATTTTTCCACCATACCTTCTAATATTCCATACAGTTTATGACTGTATTATATTCATTATTTATTGTCTGGTCCAAGTACATAAAAACATATGTCTATTTGTTTGATAGTATATTTTATGCCTCCAGATCAATGTCTGGCACATGAGAGATATTTGTTTAGATACCTCCATATCTATTTAATAAATAGGTATTTATTAACTCTATTAATAAATTGAATATCTTCAAACAATAACAACTTTCCTCAACCCAAACTCTCTGTATTGTTTGTATCATACTTAGAGAAAGAAAAAAAAAAAAGATTTGACTTGGCATCGTATAATGAAGAGCAATAGGGACACCACTTTTCTGGGCGCAGCAATGGATTATCAGTTTCCTAGGACAGTAGTGGATTTGGCATTATAATGAAACCACCTTCCTTACTAAGCAGAAGTGCCTTCTCTGCTACCTTATACCTGCAACAGAATAGAGTATGAGGTATCCACATGAACATCTAGCTGCAGTCTCCCTATCTAAACCACTGTTCTTAGCAAACCTTCTTTACTGGTTTACAGGCTCTTCCCTCAAAGCTGTTCCACTCTGATGCTCATTGTACAGCACCTGCCAGGCTCATTCCCCAGGGTATGTTTCTGTTCTTTCGCCCTTATGCTCATTCTTCTCCGAGATGAGGCAGTGTTACACAGAGCTCAAGGCTGTGAGATTTGGAGACAAGTAGCCTGAATCTGGGTCCTCCCTCTGCCCCTTCTTGGTCAATTTGACTTGTCTTATCTTCAGTTTCCTTATCCGTAAAATGGACCTAATGAGTGTAGAATTTACAGAGTTTGTGAGGATTGAAATAGATGATGCATGCAAACTATTTCATAGTGTGCTTGCAAATAGTAAGTGCCATTATCAAATAATGTTACCTGTATCAAACATTTTTTACCAGGTATCAAAAAATGTTACCTGTTGTTGCTAATTGGCTCTTGTATCCATCCAATACAAAGGATGATTTTATTCTTAGAAACCCTTGCAAGGGCAATTTGTTTCACCCTGTTCCCTTCAAATTGACATCAGCTACACTAGAACTTTATTTTGTATGTTTTCTTGGATATTGTCACTTGGGCTGCAGAAAGCAGACACATTCATAGGTAAAACTAATTTTTATCTAACACTGCCCTGCATCAAGCCTGCCTTTGGAGCTCCTAAATGCTTGATGACTATGGATATCAGGGTTATCACAGGTCTCCAGTGGAGAATTGCCTGGCTACCTGACACTCAGCCTCCCCAGGAGAAAGTTTTGTTATGTTTTGTTTTGTTTTGTTTTGTTTTTGCTTCATAAGCTGTTTTACCTCTAAGACACCAATTAACTATCTGGACCTGCACTTAATTTTGTCTTATCAGATTTTCATCATTTTATCTCTAATGTCTCTGATTGTGAGCTAGATAGATTCATATGAAAATTCTCTAAATCTTATAAATTCTCTCCCACTTAGACACAAACCATGGTTATATAGAAAGATGATATCAAGTCATACATATTAGTTTTCTCAATATATCTCGATGTATGACAGCTTCATTTGGTAGCATTTTATTGATTCCCTGTTATGGGCTAGTCTTGAAAAAAAATAATCATAGTTCCTGTTCCAGCATTTTACAGTATAATAAAGGAAACAAATCTTAAACAGTTACTCCCAAACACTGACAAAGCAGTGAATAAAATAGCCTGAAATATAATAGAGTGTGTTGTTAATTTTATTATGTCCAAATAAAGTTGCTTTACAAATGAGTACTGTTACACTCTAAGAATGCTTGTTTGTTTTAATAAGAATTTATGGTGAAATCTGTTAAATTACTTCTTTATAATCAAAGAAATGAGTGAAAGAAGAAATCTGTAACTTCTCATCATAATTCCTGATAAGAAATTCTTGTACATGATTGATATTCAGTAAATCTATTTTGAATTAATGCATGTATCTATAACTGTTATTTCATTAGAGAGAAAAGGACTTTATGAACAAGAGCTCAACTCTGGAGCTCAGCAAGAGGACCATTTTGATGTAGCCTCACAATTTACTGGAAAAAATTCACATTTTACCCTAGATTTATGGAGTGTTTGATCAAAAACAATTCAGTATGTTTCAGAGTCTTCTTCCAGTACCTTTGGCTTTTTGCCCAGTTTCAATCAAAGCAACATTTTTATTATCAAGTGGTTCCTTTCTGTCCCTTTGATGTAGATTTAGCTTGTTAAATGCATGCTCAGTTTATTCCTATCGAACTCTTTCTCAGCCTGATTCCTAAAGGTAGACAGCATTTTTAGACCCACCTCTAACTCTTCCACTTGCCCTATCAAATCTCAGAATTGCAAACATTCAGGTAAGGACCTGCAAGGACAAGGGGAATGCAAGCATCGATCAAAACCCAACACACGGTGGGTGTGGTGGCTCAAATCTGTAATCCCAGCACTTTGGGAGGTCGAAGTGGGTGGATCACCTGAGGTCAAGAGTTCGAGACCAGCCTGACCAACATGGAGAAACCCCATCTCTACTAAAAATACAAAATTAGCTGAATGTGGTGGCACATGCCTGTAATCCCAGCTACTCAGGAGGCTGAGGCAGGAGAATCACTTGAACATGGGAGGCGGAGGTTGCAGTGAGCCAAGATTGTGTCATTGCACTCCAGCCTGGGCAACAAGAGCGAAACTCTGCCTCAGAAACAAACAAGCAAACAAACAAACAAAAAACAACACAATGATTTTGGAATCTGGCCAGAGTGAACCAGTGGTTACATTTCCATTTCCTCAGCTGGAAGTTCAAGTGTCCATCAAAACCCCTCAGTGCCATTAGGCTTCGGAAAATACCTATAGCTTCTCTTTACAAACTTTTGGGAACCCACATGATTTGTACGTGAATATTGCTGAGAACAGTACGTTACTGAAGTAATTTTCAGCTGATGGTTAAGGCTGCCCACACTGTCGAATGTATTTACTTTATTAATGCCAATATCTATTTTTGAAAAAAAAACTAACAAATTACTTAACTATACTCAGCATATAAGAACACATCTGTCATGGCAGAAATTGTTGACTTATCCTGATGTGCTTTGGCTCTAGCTAGATTTTAGCAAAGACTATTGTCTCTTTAATTGTTGCACCCCACATCAGATCTTAATCTTTCAATGAACAGAAACCAAGTCTACATTTTCCCCACTGGATCCCCAGAATTCTCATAATAAGACCTTAATTGTTGCTCAATAAATATTTGTAGAATGAATAAAAGATGATTAAATACAAAAATGAACAAACTAACTCTTAACAAATGATTTTTAGTTCTTGACCCAAACGTACCCCACGCCTGGAAACATGAAATCTGCAGCTAGATTGTTCAATAATGCTACATTCCTAAGCTTCCATTTTGTATTGCAGCTAAGAGTCCTTCCCTAATTTCCATTTGTTAGAAATCTTTGATCTCATGCTTATTTTAATCCTTTTGTTGATGAAGCCTGGTTCTCTCATCCTCACCATGTAAACTGAAATGCCTCAGCTCTATTCTCAATTCATGGTCATCTGACTCTTCTCTGAGCATACTGAAATTTCAAAGTCAACCAGCAAAGAAACATGAAACGAAAGAAGCTGGGTTTTAAAGACTTCCAGTAAAAGTTGCCCTGAGATTTTTTTCAATTATTCTTTGTCACTCTAGATAACAGGTATTAGGCAAACAAAAACAACCTCAGTCATCATGGAAGATATCATAATTTGCTATAAGATTTAGATGTCTATCTTACTCTCATCTTCCAGGAAACTTTCAGGGGTTCACTTGACAGAGAAAACTGATGCCTCAATTATATCAGATTAGGATGTAGCTCTATGTCCTTGATGAATAATATTAAAAATGTAAGTAGCTTCATGCATATTTCAAAGCATTATAAATATAGCAACTAATTTCTTTTACTTTTAATTTCAGGAGAGTTTGTAAAATCTTTCCAAAGAGGTGTCAAAAAGTCATTGTTAGTTTTCAGATCGAGTCTGATCAAGTCTGAGCAAGTCTCATCAAGAGTACAGACTTAGAATAGATGCTTTTCTCCATTACTTCCAATGACCCCGATAAAATAATCACACATAAACAAGCTTACTACATCAGAGAGAATGGTCCATCCTAAGACAAGAGGTTTTTAACACATTTATGAAAGACAGAAACAGAGTGAAAACTTGTTGACAGATTTAAAACAGCATTGAAAAATATGCACAGGAATATGACAGCAAAGGAGAGATTTTATCTTTGTCTTAAAGGACAGAGTCCAGAGAGGCTCCAGACACAGGTTAACAAGCAAAAAGGATGACACGAGAACAAAGGGGGCATGACATAGAACCTTCAGAACTAGTGCCTTAAGCTTGAAATCACCTTCATTTCACACTCCCAAGGCAGTCCAGGTTTTACCCTGGCAAACACCTGAGAACTCCAGATAAATCTACCAAATAACTATGGAAATGAAGGGCTGATGGGAAGATTTCTGGAGCTCCAGGAAAACCTTACCCATTCTGGCAGGTTGGAGGTCCCAGTCTAAAAACCAGCTCCTTTCCTGCTCATCCTCAAGTGAAGCCTGCCATTGATAAGCCCTTTCCCAGACACAGAGATCACAGTCATGTTTTCTATTCACTAAGACCTAGTGGGAAAACACCCTACACACACAACATTGGGAGAGCAACCCAGACTAGCTTCCTTCAAATTCAACCAAGTCCTGAATCTTAGACATGAACAAACAACTAAAGATTACCAGGCACATGGAGAAAAACAATAGCCCTAAAAAATAAAAGAAAGAAAAACCTCCAAGAGAACACATGGAACAGACGAAATAGTATAGTTTTGTTTTTTTTTTTTGGAATCGGCCTATGAGCACAGATGAAATATTTCTTGTGGTTGCAAGTTTAGTACAAATGTAACCCTGAGAATGTAAAAGTAAAGGCAGAGTTGATATAAGGTGGGAGAGCTGTGAGAAGCAGAAGCAAAGACAATGGTAGAGTCACTGGTAGCATCATCCTTCAAGGGGGTCAAGGGTCTCAAGTGATATTGCTTAAATTTGATGGAATAAGAAATAGAGCCTATTACTTAGTGTAACTAAAGAAGAGCCTTATCAAAAAGTATAATAAGAGGAGGGGAGAGCATACGGTAAGCTAAATCCTATTCTTTTGAATCTAAGCAAATAGGTAAATCAGCAAATCAAATGATACAAGAGAGTGAATTACCAAAACAAAAAATATATGAATTCTTCATATTAGTTTTCTCTGGAAAATGGAACTGGAAATGTCGAAGTTATACAGGGGACTATTGTTTTTCTATTCTAATAAGTCTTTCTGGCTGGGCACAGTGGCTCACGCCTGTAATCCTAGCACTTTGGGAGGCCGAGGTGGGTGGATCACTTGAGGTCAGGAGTTCAAGACCAACCTGGCCACTATGGTGAAACCCCATTTCTACTAAAAATACAAAAATTAGCCAGGCGTGGTGGCATGTGCCTGTAATCCCAGCTACTCAGGAGGC
Source organism: Homo sapiens (assembly GCF_000001405.40). Classification (NCBI taxonomy): domain Eukaryota; kingdom Metazoa; phylum Chordata; class Mammalia; order Primates; family Hominidae; genus Homo; species Homo sapiens. The sequence continues at coordinate 153,177,319 of NC_000006.12, read as the reverse complement.
TAAGCCAGGAGAATTGCTCAAACCCAGGAGACGGAAATTGCAGTCAGCCGAGATGGCACCACTGCACTCCAGCCTGGACAACAGAGTGAGACTCTGTCTCAAAAAAATAAAGAAAGAAGAGAAAAATCTTTCTGTTTTATTTCATTTGTATCTTGTACACAAATTGATTGAAAATATTAATATTAAAATGTTAAAGGAGATTAGTGGAAGAGAGAACGATTTTCTCTGACTAGTGGCTGGATTTCCAATGTTTAGATGTCATGAGCCATAACTTATTGAATTAGTTTCCCAATTGGTACAAGCATTGGGTTGACTACACAGTCCTTAAGGATATGAAAAGGTCAGATCCATTTACCCAGAAACTCCCAGCCAAAATCCCACATGTTTCATCACAGAGTCGTTGTGTGTGGCCCAAGGTGGAGAATCGCCATCTTGGGCAACACTCATTAGACAGTCCAGACACAAGGCTCACTGCCTCTTCTCTCGGCTCTGTCCACTACTCATCTCCCCAATTCTTCCTGTCTCTGATCCTCCACGTTTGTCATCCTTTCTTGACATAGATTGTGGCCTTCTTTATTTTAACGACATTCAACCTGGACTTGTCGCAAGATCTGTCTCTGGTTTAATAACCCAATTCCAATTCCTGCTTATCCCCTGATTTATGGTTTGGTTTTGGCATTTTTTGCCCTAAACTACCTTGGTGACCCCATCATCATCATCAAAACCTAAACACCACAGTGTGAGACTGCCATAGACCAAATCATTTCTACAAGACACCATACAATTCTGAAGACATTGCAGCGACACCCCCGAGGCTCACGAATTGATGTCATAACTTAATAGTTATATACAGGATAGTTCAGATTAAGGAAATGTCACCCAGCCAGAAACCTAGTTAATTTAAATTCATAGCATTCATCATTCTCTGAAGGGTCTTTCTAGGGCTCCCTTCCATTCATACTATATCCTAAAATTTCTCTAGTAACTACGTTAACTATTTAAGTTAGAGTTCACTTTTACCAACTAACTAAATTAATACGGTAAAATTCTGTAATTCACACTTCATCACTTAATCTTTATTGCACACATTGTATCATATCTGAAAATTTACTTATTTTACACTGACCTTTGTACAACAGAGGGTACTCCAGAACGAGAGACAGAGACATCAAGATCATAATAATATTGGGCAGAGCATTTACCAACAAAAGTGCCACATAATGAAGTTTCAGTAAATATCTTAGTATTCCAGTGGTAGTTGCCTCACATTGCTCAAAACAAACAAAACAAAACACAACCCTCTTTCAAATATCAGAGAACCCTATTTAATCATTCACTAAATAAAAATATTGATTAATCTTTTCACAGAAAACTTAACAAAACTCAGTCATTATTTTAAAGGAAGCATTTGCAAGGATTTATTCTAGTAAAAGGAGCTCACGGTATTGCAGTAGGGATAATGCATGCTGAATTCTCTCTTAATTCTTTACTAGTTTCAAGAACTTGCGTAAGACTTGTAATCCTTCTGAGCCTCTTTTTCTTAAATATCAAATAGGGATGTACTAATCTGAGTTTTTGTTTACAAACAACAGAGACCAACTCAGACTAAATCAAACAGAAAGCAATGTATTGGAAGGCTACTGGATTGCTCAAAGCCTGAAGAGTAGCCCCACTATAGGCTCATAAAAGGCTCAGAAATCAGGGGAAGTGAAATAACACACAGGAACATTCTGCTTAAGACAACATCTCTGGAGCCTGCAGCACAGGCATCTCAGATGCAGGGAAGCAGTTCAGACATACCCGCTGAATCTTTGAATTCTTACCCAGGCAGGAACACCTTGATGACCATGCCCGCCACCTACCTTGGGGATCTCTGAAAATAAATATAATAGCTAATATTTTTATAGCACTTACCACGTGACTGGCACTTTTCTAAACCCCACATACATAATAATCCTCACAACATTACACAAAGATGACTTACTTTTATCAGGTAACTAATAGGGTTGTTCATTTTGATCAACTGACTAATGAGGCACATCCTATGATTAGCCCCATTACATAGATTAGGAAACTGAGGGACAGAGATGTTAAGTAACTTGCTGAAGCTGGTGAATGGTGGTGCTAGAATTTTAACCTGCTCATTACACTCACTTGTATGTCTTCTAACGGCAAATAATAGACCAGTCTCACAGATTATCAGGGTGCCTGGCATGTAGTGTCTGCTCGGTAATTACATAATAATGTTATTTTCCCCTAAGGCTTCATGAAACAGAAATAACTGATTATCAAATATTTCATAACGGTTTTATGAAAGGTGTTTATGTTTCAAAAAATGCTGGCTGAATTCTTACAGTGTGAGAGGGTACAATCTCTCTTTAGTAGAAGACACATTGACATCTGCAGATCAAAATTCCACAGACAGTACAGAAATACACTGGTGATAAAATCAAGAAAAGGACCTTAGCACAGTGCTTCCCATCCATTTCCCATCATGACATTCAGAGAAAAGGACAATATTCATACAGCACAAGAATGAAACCAACCAGAGTATTGGCAGCTGGAGCTGCCCCAGGCCCCGCCTGGCCTTTCCTGAGAAGAGAAGGAATCAGTATCTCTGGACACCTACAACTCATTCATGACCAATCAGTATGAGTGACATGCAGCACCTGTTTGCCTTAGAGAATGTCTCAAATATCGATAATTAATATTTTAGATTATGCTTTAATAAAATATTCCTTTTATTCTTTTTAAAAAATCACCAGAAGATTATTCACCCAAATCCTCAAACCTTCTACTCGTCTCATATGCACAGATTTTCAAATTCATGCAAGCAGCATTTTTAAATTATGCTGTCATAGCTCTCAAACATGAACATGGAGGTTAAAAAAAAGAACTGCTTCGTTAGTGTTGATGCGCCGGGCTGTTGCTCTCTGTTGAGTGTCTGTCTACCTCTGCTTCCTGGGAGACATCTTCACGCTTGTGGAGGGATGCCATAGTTCACAGCACGCAGCATGGAAAATGCTGCTTTACATAAAATAATCTTTTCTCTTTCTCTCCCTATGTGTACACCCCTCTATACTAAGTTATTTATATTTCTGCAAAGGTAGCCTATTTTCTTCACCCCTGGCGTCTGCATACGCATAAAGCCAGAGGGATCCCATTTCTATTCTAGGAAACATAACCTGAACCATAATGGAGGATCGTGGGCAATTCACAGTTTTTTTGGCCACCTAAACAACAAAAGCTACCTGGAAAACTGTCACATAGGAGAAGCTACTCCATTGAGACTCTGGCACTGTCTTCCCCACATCTCCCCGTTGGACATTTAAGGATCTTTGTAACAGCAGAGATTTTCTCATGACTGAATAAATTAGGAGCCAGGAAAATGAAGCCATATAATAAAACTAATTTTAAGAGGATAAACTGCTCTTTTTTTTTTTTTTTTTTTGAGATGGAGGCTCGCTCTGTTGCCCAGGCTGGAGTTCAGTGGCGCGATCTCCGCTCACTGCAATATCCGCCTCCCGGGTTCAGGCCATTCTCCTGGCTCAGCCTCCCGCTTAGCTGGGACTACAGGCGCCTGCAACCACGCCTGGCTAATTTTTTTGTATTTTTAGTAGAGACAGGGTTTCACCGTGTTAGCCAGGACGATCTCGATCTCCTGACCTCGTGATCTGCCCGCCTGGGCCTTCCAAAGTGCTGGGATTACGGGCGTGAGCCACCGCGCCCGGCCTAAACTGCTCTTAATGAGACTATTGCATGCCAAAATCAAATTATTTTATTAACAATGTAAAAGACAAAAAAAGAAGAAGAAGAAGAAAAAGAAGCCCAAAGGCTTAACAATAAATCTCTTCCATTAGTTGGGATATTTTAGGCAAAATATTTAATTGACCTCTTTCAAAAGCTTCTCTTCACGAAAAACAGTGTGAAAATCACTAGAGTAAATAGCTATTTTTTATTGCAAAGTTAGCCATGTCCTAAAAGTCCTAAAATCACCCCAAACATGCCAATTAAAATGCAATTGTGCTCTTAAGTAAAATGTACTCCTTTCTTACAGCCTCAAATGATTATAGCACAATACCAATTAAATTAGCATAAATCTTTCTTTCCCAAAGTAAGAGAGGATTATTAATAATGCATCAGGACACATTCTCTGGACAGGCCAGGTTTTCAAAGTAAAGTTCCCATTACCTGACTGTGCTTGGAGCATTTTGGATTTACATTTTAGTGTGTGAACAGCTTCCAGCCTCTGAATAGATCACAGGTGGAGCTGCACAGCAGTCTCTAACCTGCTGTCACAGGAGATTTCACCAGGGCAGAGCCATGTGACAATCACAGCCATCTGGGAGGCATCTGGGAGGCAGGTTCAGCTTCCATTCTCCAAGCACCAAAAGGGAAGCTTTCACTTAGTATGAGGGAAGATGTGAACAATGTTAATTGTGTGCATTGCTGCCATTATTATTTATTATTACATCTCTTCTTGCAGCTTTAATAGGTGATCTTAGAGATCCCATGCTAATTTTTAAAATCATTATTTTAGGAGGAAAATGTTTACTAATAACGGCAAAACAAAACAAAACCATTCTCAGTTCTGAACCACTTCTATCAAAATCCCTGAATCTTCCCCTCCAAGTTCTCCAGCAGAGTCCCCAGTCTTGTTCAAAATCCTATCTGCTGCAGCTGCAGTCTCTGCTTGCCCCTCTCTGCCATGGGGCTCCTCCCTCCTGGAGGCATCATTGTGCCTGGATGCAACCACACCCGGAGACTGGCACAATGCTGTTCCCACCGGGACCTCTGTCCTAAGGTAGGTGCAAATGCCTCCCCACAAAATATGGAGTTTAGAATCCCAGAAAAGTTAGATTTATAACCCAGCCATATTTTGTAAGGGACTAGTCTCTATTCCCTGCTCCCCTATTCCTGTCTGAATGCTGTATTCAAAAATAATTGAGTTGTGTTTGTTATCAAAGGAAGTTATACACCTTTTGGATCTAGAAGCAATATGTGGGCTCACCAATTAGTTTCTTGGGATTATAGGATAAACCATATCACATTTCATAGACATATAGAAATAGAGAGTTAGAGTATGTAACTACTCATAATGACAGTAAGTCTACAAACCTTTAAAAATTTATCTAATTTTTGTGTGTGTTTCTGTAGGTGTCTATATTCACACTGTACACACACACAGACACTGCACACACAGTGTCTATATTCACAGTGTACACACACACACACATTCACATTCGTGTGTGTGTATACACTGCACACATCTCACTATAAACTCTCTCTCTGGCAATGCCATCCATACTCATAGCTTCAGTTATCGCCAATAAAAAATAGCTCACAGATGTGCACCTTCAGCCCAAATAATTCCTCTGAGCTCCAGCCTTGTCTATTCAATGTCTTCTCAAAATATCCAAGCTGAACACACATCATGCCATCCTGTGGCTCCCTCTTCCCATGGGGCAGGAAGCAATTATGGGGAACCTTGGGCCTCTTTCAGTGTTTTCCCTTATACCAGCATCCACTAGGTACGTAGAGTATAAAACAGACACTTAACAGTCATCCTGTTTCCTTCTTCTTTCTCATCCTCGATATTCAATCGATCACCATATAATTTGTGTTTTGTTTGTTTTGTTTTTTTGTTTTTCTGGGACGGAGTCTCACTCTGTTGCCCAGGCTGGAGTGCAGTGGCACAATCTTGGCTCACTGCAACCTCCACCTCTGTCTTCCAGGATCAAGCAATTCTCCTGTCTCAGCCTCCCAAGTAGCTGAGACTACAGGTGTTGTGCCACCACGCCCAGCTAATTGTTGTATTTTTAGTAGAGACGGGATTTTACCATATTGGTCAGGCTGGTCTCGAACTCCTGACCTCAGGTGATCCACCAGCCTTGGCCTCCGAAAGTGCTAGGATTACAGGCGTGAGCCACCACACCCAGCCGTAACATGTGTTTTATCAGGTATTCTTCTGGCCTAGCCCAGTGTTTCCATGTCCTTTGACATCATTACAGGTCCAAACCATACAGAATTCTGAATAAGTTGCTTTTTGCCACACTAGATCAAAGCAAAAGCCAGAGTTGGGAATATAAAGTAAAAATTACTTCACATGCTAAACACCCCAGAAAGCATTTGGGGACCAGATACATCCTTGGGATTTATTAAACATCCAAACCAGCTAAAACCTACAGCTATCATCCCATCAACTCCCTCCAGTCTACATAATAAGATGACTATGAGGAAGGAAGGGACTCAAGGAGAATAGTAGAAGTTATGGTTACAGCATCGGTCTGTAGTTTTGTGATGCACCATCACCCCCACTGACACCATCCCTACTCCCATAAACTCAGGTGAAGTGGGCTCCAAGAAAATCTCTTATAGAGATTGGAAGATGGATTTTCATTGGCTTCTCTTTTTCTGGTAGATTTGTTTATACAGTTTACATATACTTAAGTAGTCACAATACACTTGTGTCTATTTAAGTGAAGAAAACAAAGAACTGAAAAAGAGATGTCAATTTAGAGAGGCAGCCCAGAAACAGCCTGATTTCCTACCTTTGCTTGGGCAAGGATGAGTAAGTGTCCCATGGGTCTGGTAGACACTGTGGAAGTTCCTGGGGTGTGACTCATCTTGCCAGCACCTTATGCAGGATGGTGGCTGCTGGGCAAGGAAGAGCCAGCAGTAAGAAGGCACAAGCAGGACATGAGAGATGGGAGCAAGGGCAGTGGAGCAACGAGGCAGCAAGGAGCCCCACTATGTGCTACGGAAAGAACCCACACATGCTCCATGGAAGATGGCGGCATTTGGGGAGCTGTCCCAAAGGGGACACTTGAAGCACATTAGAATTCACCAGAAAAACAATGATGGTCAAGAGAGGATGGCATCGTCATCACCACTAAGAGAAAAAGCATCTGACCCCTTCTCCCTTCATCTCTTCTCCAAGTTCTCAACATACGAAAGGAGAAATGGCTAGTGGAATGGGGAGAAGGTAGGGAAGCACAGATAGCACTTTGTCATTTTTGGAAGTTCTTTAGCCAAAGTTGGAAGAGAGGAGCATTCGAATGTGAACATGAGACTGAAGTTTTAAATGGGCCCCACGTGAACTGGACTAAATGATTAAACATGTGCACTCGGTATGGATCTGTTCAGATGTCACTAAGGGATGGGAAAATGAGATCTGAAAGAAGTAAGGGGATAAAATAAAACTATTTCATTTCATATTTGTGCTTAAAGAAATGTAGACTTTTTAAAGAACCAGATGTAAAACCTACTATCATCTTTCAACTAGACAACTATGTTAAATTGCTCCAGGTCTACCAGCATCCACTCTGGTCTCTCTCAAACGTGATTATGAAAAAATTACACCTAATTGTGTCACCCTCCCACCTCTAATTAAAACCCTCCCATTTTAAGACCTATTATTTTTAAGACAAAACGAAATGTTTTTATGTAAACTATGAAGATCTCAATTTGGATTCCACCTAACAACCCAGCATCATGTTTTTCCAACCTCTCTTCCTTTGCTATTTACTCCAGCCTTCTTTCAATCCTTCTTCTTGCCACTGTCTCTCATGCCACAGGACCTTTGCACATGTTCTTCTCCCTGGATTCATCCCACGTTTTTCACACTTAACTCTGAATAATTCCTTGGATCTTAGCTCAGAAATCATTTCCTAAGAGCATCCTTTCCTCTGTCTGCTACATCCTACAATTAGAACTCTGAAAGCATGTGAATCACTCCTTCACGTATTTATCAGAGATGCAATTTTGTATTAGTGTGTGTGTCGTTATTTGGTTATGTCTTTCTCTCTGTGTTTCTTGTCTTCTCCCGACCCCCAACATTGAGCTCTGTGATGACAGAAATGACGTCTATTAGGACTCATTTTTGTGTCCGCAGGTTCCAACACAGTATCTGGCACATAGATATAATAAGTCAATGTTTAATGAATAAGTGAACCACAAACTTTATATATTAGGATAAATAAAAATAATTGCTACTAAATTTATGACCCTAGAATCCATCCATAGCTTTTCTCTTAAAATTATTGTTATTAAATATGCCAATGATCTTAGTATTTCGGTTTCGCTGGTCACAGTCCATAAAAACTTGAAAAGTTCACTCTGAAATCCAAGACATAAACTAGATACCAAGTGTTAACCCTGTAATCTGTGTGCCCCGGGCCACAGAGATGCTGCTCCCTCAACATCCTTAGGTCCTAGAAAGCATTTAGGTAAACCAACTAGGGGAAAAAAAAGTAAAGAGTAGAAGAATACAGACCCACTAACAAGACCAAGCTCCCAATACAAAATGGAAGGGAAAGTATACCAGCAAAAGTACTGCGACAGTGGGTACATAGTAAGTCCTCAGCAAATGCAGGAGGATTCTCACAATTATTATATAGGCATAATGTTTTATTTGCTAATAAATCCTGACCATGTGCAAAATTCAGCTGCAATTTTCTTTGTGTTTAATTTTTAAATAAATCACTGTTTATAAAATTCTGACCAAGTTAATTTGTTTTTTTATACTCTTTATAGCAAACTTGTCTAAGGATCTAACTTTATGGAACTTTTTTTCACATTTTTAAGGAACAAATAGTACACTATGTTATTAGAATTCAGAGACAGTATTAAATTAAATTAATTTATTTTATATTTCTCTCTGGACACAGCTGAACCTTACAAACATGCAACAGCCAACCTGCCCAGCACCAGGCAACACATGGAAAACCACCCAGATTTCTCTAAAATCATTGGTTAAACGAAACTGTCATGGCTCAGTAGTACTTTGTGCTTTTGATACTGAAGCAACGTCAATGCTAGATGAACTTATTCTTAGTGAGAATTTGGCTGCTCACCTCTGGGAATATCATTTGAAAATAACCTAATGTTTTTAAGGTTACTCTTAGTGTGATTAAATAATTTCCAAATGGCTGCTCCAGGGTGAAGGATCTTTTTTTCTTTCTAGAAATAACTTCACCATTTTTTCAACCCCAGAATGTCATCCTCAATGTACAAAATAGATCATAAACTAAAACATTAAAGTAAAAATCAAACCTTATATGTACATCAAAGATTCAGCCTGTGTCAAACAGTGGCAAGCTTTATAAAGAAAGGAAAGAAGAAAGCCAGCACTCTTTGGAATAGAAGTGCTGTAATCCCTTACTAAAAACTCTGATTTAAACATGTGGTCTAAATACTGTAAGCACAGGAGTATCGCACAATTAGAAACATATTTAAGACAAGAATTTTTAAAAGACATGTTTATGCAATTCTGTACTTTACTCAATCTAAAAAGAGTGTGTGCAATCTTATTTATACATTAACCACTATCATGAAAACTATGGCTTAGATATAGCAGTGATAAAGTTTTTCAGTAATTTTTCTTGAGACTAGCAAGGTTAATCATTAGGATTAGTTTACATGAAAATGGCGAACTGCCTCTCTGTTTTTTCTTGAATTTCCATGGTGAGCAATAACCAAAAAAATTAGTATTCCTTCCATGTTATTCACGATTCTCCTATTTCATGACTTTATCAGTATCATTTGTAAAAAGAAATTATGTTTCTGTGGTTACTACTGTGAAAAGTCATTAAACAATGCAAGCAAAAAGCTTAAGATAAAAGCAGCATGCTTTCATTCTATTGCCAATATTCCACCGGTGAAGGCTGCACATCTATCCAAATCATGTGGGGAGGACTGAGATGCATGAGTAGGGTGGAGAAATAGTTGAGACCACTGCCCATTTTATGAGAATATAATGTTCACAACTCATTTTCAGGAAGCCATACTCTCTGTGTTTCAATAACAGTGATGAGTTTGTCCTGAGTCATCCACACTCTTGCCCAGATGTTTCTGTGAGTCAGCGCTTAATTTTTAACAAGTACATTCCGGGAAAACAAACATACAGCACAAGATATTTATATTAATTTTTAAATGTTCATGAAAATCAACATAATATCAAATTACTATAATTTCTAAACAATCTCCTATAATTATGTATAGATTTACTCCACAAAATGATTTAGGCCATCAATATTTTTCAGCACTGGTGGCTGAGGACTCTTGCTGACTTCCTGCAGCTTAGCAGGGAATCTAGGTAACGAGCAGCTTAACAGGACAATTTTGTATTACTCATCATTTTATTCATTCAGTAAAATGACCCCATTCATCCACTGGGGTCATTTTACTGCGATTCCCAAATCATTCAGGGCCACACAGATTTTCGGCCCTTCGTTTCACAAGATAGGAAGCAGAAAAGATTTTCCAACTTGGCTGCTTGCTTAGCAAGATTATAGACTGTTCTGATAAATCATTCTATTCACATTAGGCTGCATGGTCATCTTTTCAAGGCAGTTTGTTTGAGGATCAAGTCATGATCATGAGGAGTTTTTCATAAGTTAGTATGTTCCAATCAATGAAGTTGAGAGATGATAGATTAATGTGGAAAAGAAACCAACGATTATCATTCATATCTACTTAAGTCACAATTACTCTTATAAATGCAAACTATATAATTAAAACACTGCTTGAGAACAAAAACCAACCTCGCTTTATTAGGGTGGTGTGCAAAGGAATATAAACTGAGGCAACAGAGTCCTTTTTTGGGACTGATGCTTAAGATTACAGAATATAGCCAGTGCAGTCTGTTTATGAGAATCTGAAATATTAGGCAAGGCCATGTCACATAATCGTTGAAGGACTGTCACAACCAAAAATGGCTGCCACTTTTCTGAAAAGTCACACTGGGGAAGTGCTAGACCCAGTCAATCACTCTACAGATCTCACACTTAGTGACAAGAACTGCTGAAACTCTGAAAGGAGAAAATTAACAATAGACATAGAAAAACAATTGGAATATTTCAGAAAGTACTATGTTGCAGAAGTACTACTATGAATTTTAGTGGCCCTATTAAAAACCCTCTTCAAGAGAAGACATGATAGAATGTGCAAATTTACTTGATTTTTGTTAAAACCAAGTCTTGGTGAGTTAAAATAGGGAGTCCTCCTAAACTGTAGGACCTTCCTCTTTCTTGTCCTGCTCTATTTACATTGATTGTCCAATAAATAGAGGTTGTACAAGATAGAAATCATGAGATGTTCTGCATAGTTAATACCAGAAGTGGGTTTATAATAATCTGTATATCTATTTGATTATTCCATATAAATACTTAGAACCAGGAAGCTTAACTTGAAAAGTGACTTTATTTAGAATGGTAGACACGTCATAGATAGGTAATTCCTATCCTGCCATTATTTTATGAAATAGAATTGTAAAGAAAATATGTCGTTACAGGAATTCATACAATATTTTTAAGCAGAGGACATTTTCACATCTGCATTTGGAAAAATATTTTTGAAAGACAATACAGAGAGTTTGAAGAGCATAAAACCAATTAAAAGTCTATTTCAATGGACTCGGGAAAGGAACAGCCTAAGACTGGACATCTTATCTGTTTGATCTGTGCCTCAGTCCACCACCACCCCTTATTCTTCCACCACTGTTGGTAAAAATTGAAGTCAAAGCCAAGTAAATAATCATTGCAGCTAAGGTATCTGATATGTTTTGGCTGTGTCCCCACCCAAATCTCATCTTGAATTGTAGCTCCCATAATTCCCACATGTCATGAGAGGGACCTAGCGGGAGGTAATTGAATCATAAGGGTGGGTCTTTCCCGTGCTGTTCTCATGATAATGAATAAGTCTCATGAGATCTGATGGTTTTATAAAGGGGAGTTCCTCTGCACACGCTCTCTTGCCTGCTGCCATGTAAGATGTAACTTTGCTGCTCATTCATCTTCAACCATGATTGTGAGGCCTCCCCAGCTATGTAGAACTGTGAATCAATTAAACTTCTTTCCTTTATAAAGTACCCAGACTTGGGTATGTCTTTATTAGCATCATGAGAACAGACTAATACAGTAGTCATCCAAAGTGTCTAATTAGAGTCAAGACTCATGAACAAGGGAAGGTGATGGGCAGAGAAAAGACCAGCCCCAAACCACATTTTGGAAAGCAAGGCAGGAGTTAGAGGACTGAGGTGCCAGAACTTAGCAATGAGCACTTATTTTTATGTGTTTATACTTTAAGTTCTGGGATACATGTGCAGAACGTGCAGGTTTGTTACATAGGTATACATGTGCCATGGTGGTTTGCTGCACCCATCAACCCGTCATCTAGGTTTTAAGCCCCACATGCATTAGGTATTTGTCCTAATGCTATCTCTCCCCTTGCCCTTCTACTCCCCAACGGGCCCCGGTGTGTGATGTTCCCCTCCCTATGTCCATGTGTTCTTGCAATGAGCACTTTTTAATGGAGGCAGTAGGGAGATCCTGCCTTCAGCTGCTGGTAGAAAAGAAGCTCTCAGTGAGAGATGAGGCCAACTTGAAAAGCAATAGTACAGGTAAGCACTGGTGTGGGCTGAAAGACCCATTGCAAATGTGGTGGGGAAGCAACCACAAATGTGAGTACTTGATGAATTGGAGAACAAAGCACAGTGCCACAATGATTCTGCATGCAGGTGTGGAACGGGGGAAGCTGGACACCTTTCCCATGCTTCTCTTTGGTTCCAAAGGTTGAATGATCCCAGACCACCAGACCATAATCACAAGAAAGTTTAAAAATTTAACGAATATCAAAATAATCGGTTTCTGTATTATTGTCTAGTTAGGATTGTTTCATCACCTACTCCAATTGTGCAGATAATTTGGAATAGACTAACCTTTCTCTCAACTCTTTCCTATTTTCATATTTTATTAATTTTCATGTACTCACAATGTATCAAATATTTAGGATTTCATTAGCAAATAAATGTTATAATGTTTATTTTTAAAGTTACTAAAACTAGACTTAGTTGATACAAGTTCTCACTATGATTGGTTTTTTATGTTTCATGTTTTATGTTTATTGTGAAAAATGATGCAGTGAACAAGTGAACATTGTCATATAACTATCTCTTTGAGTCTTTTTTTCAATTATTTTGAGTGTATGCCTATGATGGGAGTTGCTGAATCGTATTCTATTCAGTGTTTAACTTTTTCAGAAACTACCAAACATTTTCGCAATGGCTGCACCATTTTATATTCCTATTCACAATGTAAAGGAGGTTTCAGTCTCTCTACATCCTTAACAACACTTGTTATTTTGCTTTTTCTAAATTATACCCATCCTAGTAGCTGTGAAGTGATAGCTCATTGTGATTTTGATTTGCATTTCCCTAATTACTAATGCCAATTTATTTGTAAAAACCACCTTTAATACAATAATTAATATTATATGGTTCTAAATGTTTATTTCCAATATTTTATTTTCTTAAGTTGCCTTTAAAACTTTATATTCTTAGTTCAATATTTTAAAATGTATTTTATAAGAGGGAATAAACTCACTGGCATTTTAAATTTGCAATATATTCTAGAGCCAAAATTCAGCAATATCATGATGAAAATATAGTTTTATTAGGCTGGTGCAAAAGTAATTTTTTTAAAGTACAAATATGAATGAAGCATTTCAAACAAAACTCACAGCAGCAGAGAACACCTTCAAATCCAGATACTGTCACGCTCTTTAATAACAACTTCTCATCCACCTGATTTAAATAGTATATAACACTGTTACAGTTTTATGAGAGACTCTTTCAAAGGTTATATAAAGGACTTTTTCCTTCTATTGTTCCTTCCTTGACTAAAAGTACATGCCTGATTATTAAAAAATGTAACTTTATTTTAAAATACCTTAAGAATGTCATCTAGTCCATAAAACTTTGTAAGACACACACAAAAAAATTGCCTGTCTTTAAGCTTAATCCCCTTTCCAATTGACGCCTGTGTTCATATTCTTATTTTATTTTTCTCAAAGTGTAAAACTTGGAATTTATTTTTTAGGCACCTTTGTACATGACAACCCAGAACTAATTATCATACTTTAAACATAAGCAAAGTGATTCTACAAGTATGTATGATATGTAGATAACTTCATAATTAACCTATAATTTAGACATCCAGTAATTTAAATGCATTAAGCTATGTACTCTGTGTAGAGACATGCAGATTACCTGTTCCTGATATTAACATATAGCTCCCTCCAAAGAACTTTTTGTTTTCATAATTTATTCTCCATTAAAGTATATATTAATTTAATAGTTCCTAATTTCCTAATTTGTACTAGTATGGAGAAAGAAATGAGTAATGGTTGAACATACTATGATTAAATTATATTGAGTAGTCCAGTAACTATGAAATACACACATCTCATTTCTTAATGGCATTCCATTAAAAGTTCTAAAGCAAGGAGTAATAGAAGCTTTTCTGTTTTCTCTTTTTAAAAATGAAAGTCACTTAGGAAAAGGATTGCCAATTTATCTTTAAGTTTTTCCTCTTTATCTGTTTCCAACAGCCACACTCACCAACAAACCTCTCCCACTCGAAAGCATTGAAATAGACATGCTGCAAATGCGAAGGATGTATGTCTGTGATGTGAACACAGGAGTGGGTTGCTTCACTTCCAGCTCCTTCTGGAGGATTAAACAGATACTAATCCTGAAAAATACACAGAGAAAAGCTTCTTTCCCAAAACATATGCTCACACACAAATCATTGTAGTAGTGAGCAGGGGAGGATCCTTTATCAGCCCTAACTTTAAAAAGGGGAGTGTGGCTTTTACTTACTATCATCCTACTTTAAAACATAAACAATTATTGGTAGGTTGAAAATACTTATGGTCCAGAAGCCCCTAATGAATGCCCTTCACCAACAATTCTTTAAGTAATACCGTGTACTAATGGACTGAATATTCACCAAGAAGACAGAAAATAGAAATATCTGGCCTAAAAATAAAAAGCTGGCAAGTGTTTTACACTTGTCTGAACTAGTCTTACATCTACTAATGAGGGTAAAATACATCTTGACCACTTGGCTAGGATGTGTCATCTTAACAACAATTATATGTATATACTTAGAATGTTTGCCTTTGCTCCTAGAGGAAATTGCTAAATCGTGTCTGATTCTAAGGGACTTAACTTACAAAGTGGGATAAGGAAACATAATACTATATTGCAGCAACATCCCAAGGTTTCTGTAAGGTCATAGTGAGCGAAGTACTGACCAGGTGCACTTCAGCTTGCCCGAGAGAACTGTAACACCCAATTCACCCTAATGCTTAAAAAAGGATGTGCCACTGAGGAAGCTCCATCTTCGTTTTTCTTTCAGACATGATTGCAAACTCCAGGACAAGCCCTAAGGAGCAAAGTCAGGAGACTCTCAGGCAAGAGCTTTTCACTAATTTACTCTGCCTGAATTGTAAAGAAGTCATTTAAGTGATCAAAGGGGTTCTGCTGTTAGCTAATTACCTGAGAAATCCTAAGGAATATATGAGTTCTCTCTCTCTCCCTATCTGTCTCTATTCAAAAGCATATCTGAGAGTGAGATAAGGAATTAGTTCTCTGCTATATATCTTTACCAAAAGAAATGCTTGGATATTTTGATCAGTCATAGTACATCACCTGGAGTTCTCATTTGCCGTAAATTAAGCAAATGAAAATAATGGTGCTACTAAACATCAATCATACACAAATACTTCCAGCTTCTCTTGATAAATTGGCACAGATATCTCAAACAGGAATGTATTTTCAGTTGTTTTAGTTATAACATGTATAATAATGAGCATGCTATGGTATATCTTTTACTATACCACACTTAGTTTTGTAATTTTATATTTCATATGTATTAGTCTGCTCTCATGCTGCAAATAAAGACATACCTGAGATTGGGCAATTATAAAGGAAAGAGGTTTAATAGACTCACAGTTCCACATGGCTGGGGAGGCCTCACAATCATGGAGGAAGGTGAAGGAAGAGCAAAAGGACGTCTTACATGGCGCCAGGCAAGAGAGCGTGTGCCGGGGAACTCCCACTTATAAAACCATCAGATCTTGTGAGACTTATTCGCTACCACAAGAACAGTATGGGGGAAACTTCCCCCATGATTCAATTATCTCCACCTGGCCCCAACCTTGACATCTGAGGATTATTACAATTCAAGGTGAGATTTGGGTGAGAACAGACCCAAACCTTATTGTCATATAAATATCCCTAGACCTAATATTCAAGGATTTATTTAAATCCATCTTCTCCAGCTTTCAGGAGAGAAGAACTTCCCTTTTAATATATAAATTAAAAATGCAAAGACCATTTTTTTTCACATTAGGAATCTACAGTCTTGCTGGTACTCAAAAGAGATATCTCACATTTGTCTTTGCGGCCAGTTTTCACCTATGATGACTACTTAATCACTGCTCCACCTTTCTCAAGTCTTCATCCGATGTCTAACAATAACGTTTTCCAGACTCTTGCTTCTCAAATGAGCATAAACAATGCTATTAATTCTTCAGTGCATGGTTAAAATAAAGTGGCGACGTTCAACAAAAAACTTTATTACTCTTATTTTCTAGCAAAATCAGTGATCTCAAAACCCAAAAGAATAGCCCAGGGAACACAAAACAAATGCCTAATGACCATCCAAAACCAAAATAAATATTGTCTTCCTCCTGGATCTAGGTCAGAAAAGGGAATTGTCTTACACTTCTGTCTTTGTTGAAGGTTGAATAAACACTGAACAACAGCATGGTGTCTATGAAAATCACAATGGCTCACCATATTTATGACATCTCACTAATGGGACCTAGTGAGCAGGAAGTAGCATGTGTGTATCCTCAATACCTTGTTAAGAAATGTGTATTCCAGAGTGCAGATGATAAACTACCAGGAAATTCAGGGAGCTGTAACCACAACAAAATTTTAGGTATCTAATGTTTGAACTGTTCCTTTCAGGTCCACAATGAAATGCATGTTGCTTTATTTTGTACATTCCATCGCTAAGAGAATGTCACAACACTCGGTTGCCTCTTTGAACTTTGGAGGCATTACATACTGCATTAGGATATTCTGCTCTATTTACCAAGTAGCCCATGAGGCTGACAGTTTTGAGTGGAATCTGTACAAGTAAAGACAGTAAAACTGCATTCAGCTGGGTCAGGTCCCAATGTAAGAAGCCATGTTAACTAGTCTCTATGAACTACTGTCCAGTAATCTATTATGCCATAACAAATAACCCCAAATCATAATTATTTAAAACCACAACAATCATGTCTTTAACTCACAAATCTGAAATTTTGGCAGGGCTCTATGGAGAAGACTCATCCCTCTTCTACAATGTCTGGGCCTCAGTTGAGCTAATGCAAATGGCTGGGGACTGGAATCATTCCATGTGGTCTCTACCTATGATCTTTCCATGTTGCTTGAATTTCCCTACAGCATGACACCTTTAGGATATTTGAATTTCCCTTATGGATGCTCAGGGCTCTAAGTGGGAAAAGTAGAATCTGCCGGTCCTTTAAGAGGCTATCCTCAGAATTGGCTATGCATCACTTCTGCCATACTTTATTGGTTAAGCAAGTTAATAAGCTAGACCAGATTCAAGCAGAGAGTGATTAGAAAACTTTTCAGTGAGTGTTGTAATGAAAATGCAGCCATCGTTAATCTATGATAGTCAATGGATCCAAAGCACTCAAATTATCTGTGGCTGAACAGGTTTCTGTAACAACCCTATGGTAGGTCTTAAATTCAAAATCATAGCTGTGGACAAAGGTATGCCCTCCTTTTTTTTTTTTTTTTTTTTTTAAGACAGGGTCTTGCTCTGTTGTCTAGCCGGGAATGCAGTGGCACAATCTTGGCTCACTGTAGCCTCCAACTCCCAGGCTCACACAATCCTCCCACCTCAGCCTCTGGTGTAGCTGGGACTACAGGTACTGGGACACCATGGCCAGCTAATTTTTGTATTTTTTGTAGAGATGGCGTCCCACCATGTTGCCCAGGCTGGTCTTGAACTCCTGGGCTCAGATGATCAGCTCGCCTTGGCCTCCCAAAGTGCTGGGATTACAGGCCCTCCTAAACAAGTAGCTGCTGTCTTTTTGGGAAATGGTTCCTGTCTATTGCCATAGCACCCTGAACGCACCTGAACTCATGTGATCTTGGAAGCTAAGCAGGGTGGGGCCTGGTTAGTATTTGGAAGGGAGAAACTGCTCCTGGCTTGTTAAAATCCTGATACAGACTAAACACATGAATATAGACACCAAGTGATCAAGTGACCTGAGCATGACATCAAGTGGGTGTCATCTGATATAC
Organism: Homo sapiens; assembly: GCF_000001405.40. Lineage (NCBI taxonomy): Eukaryota > Metazoa > Chordata > Mammalia > Primates > Hominidae > Homo > Homo sapiens. The sequence goes on along the minus strand of NC_000006.12, from coordinate 153,159,147 downwards.
TATAGACTTACTGAAGACAGGCAGGACTAAATAAGCCTCTGTTTCCAAGTAGGAAAGATATGTACTTTATCGGGCTTTGGCAGCTCCTGAATGTGTTCACAGTAACATGGGTGGGATCTTCACATTTCCAGGATGTCTGTCTTAGTCCGTTTTCATGCTGCTGATAAAGACATACCCTAGACTCAGTGATTTGTAAAGAAAAAGAGGTTTAATAGACTCACAGTTCCAAATGGCTGGGGAGGAATCACAATCATGGTGGAAGGTGAAAGGCATGTCTTACATGGCAGCAGGCAAGCGAGAGAATGAGAGAACCAAGCGAAAGGGGTTTCCCCTTATAAAACCATCAGATCTCATGAGACTTATTCACTACGACAAGAACAGTATGGCGGTAATTGCCCTCCCTCCCCCTGTGATTCAGTTGTCTCCCACTGGGACGCTCCCACAACATGTGGGAATTATGGAAGCTACAATTCAAGATGAGATTTGGGTGGGGACACAGCCAAACCATATCAATGCCTACTCCTGCTGTATGTTAGTAGTTAGCCCCTAGGAAACACCTGGGCATCATTCAGAATTCCCTCTGACTAGTTCAGAAAAAAAAAAAACCCTCAAGTCTGGTTCACAGATGGTTCTTCATGGCATCCTGGCACCACACAAAATTGGATCGTTAGGCCTCTGCTTTTACCATTTTGAGTGGTCCAAAAGGACAATGGGAATGGAAACACCTTCAAGTGGGAAGAACTTCAATTACCATATTCCTTATCTATTGTGTTATCTATGGTAAATGATTCTTACTATCAAGGAGAGAGGTAGGATTGTTAATGTATGATTGGAGATAAGGAGGAGTATGTCTATTATTCAGGGAATCCTGCTAGTTGCCTCCTAGTCTGCCCACATGCAGTTGAAGGAGTGAAGGAAACAATTCAGCATCTTATAAATGCAGGATCAAGAGTGCAAACTTCTCAGGAATAAATTTCAAGTGACCTGTCAGCTCAGGAAACTTTCAAATAAAGGTGTTGGCTGAAAGCAAAGGAAATATGAAATGAGTAGTTACAAAAGAAATTATTGTATATCAAACATGACCTCATGAAGAGCTGTAAAAATGAGAACTATCATGAGCACCCCTATTTTTTTCATTGCTCTGTTATGTTCTCATTTTTATATAATTCCTTTTATTTTCCACCCTCCCTTCTACCTGTGATTTTATACAGGATGTGTAGGTAATATCTCAGTGCAGAGATTACAGGATACCAAAATGCTGCTGAGTTATAAACTAAAAAGAGGATAAACATAAAGCAGAAATTAATGCAAGAACTGATGAGACTGTGTCATCACTTTCAAAGAGATGGTTTGTTTTTATTTGTACAAGGAATAGATGCATTATGTTAGGCAGTAGCACTTTGAAGTTATGATGAGTTTATTTGGAACTTTAAATATCAGAAGATGGAGAGGGATGAAATGTTGAAAAGTCCAAAGGATGTAGTGGGGCACAGATGATACACTGGCTCACCCAACACCAATTCTAGCCCTCTCTTGGGCTTTCCTTCCTATATTTCAGTGACTGGAAATGGAATTTGCACAGTAACTACCAAAGGAGCATAAACCTTCTTTTAATAAATGCAAACAGTATCATCCTGTGAAAACCAACTTGTATTCATGATTGTTCAAAAGCTCTTAGCCAAAAAGAAATAGAAGTTAACTTCCTTAACCCAATAAAAGAATTAATCAACCACAGTAGCAAAAAATCGCACCTCATGTTGAAATATAAATGCATTCCTATTATCATTTATGCTATTCCAAACTAACACAATAAATCAAGAAAAAGAAATGAGATGTAAATATTTAAATAAACAAAAATGTGTCATTTTCAAGTGACACATTTGCATACCAAGAAAATAATAGTAATGAAAACAATTATAATACAATTTAACATTTATTAGGCCCTTATTGTATCAGACACTTTACTAAGCTGTTTATATATGTATATAAAATAACTTAGTGAAAATAAATTATTAACAAAAACTACATTTTTACAAAAAAATAGATTATTTAGGTAAAATATTGTAATTTTTTAAAGTCTGGCAAGCAGTTGGATGTGTGCATAACGTACACGATAAAACAATGTTCCTGTAAATAATACAATATTTTTTAAAAGAAAAAATCTAGTTCCCAAAATAAATAAATAGATAAAAAAGCTAGGAATAACCGAATAGACGATGGATAACACCTATATGAAGAAAATTGGAAAATATCATTGAAAGACGTAAATGGACAAATGGCAAGATATGCCAATGTCCTAGAAGAAAGAATTTAATATTATATATATTTCACTTCTCCCCAAGTTTATATATACAATTCAATGCAATCGAAATCAACATACCAATAAAATTTTTGCTGAAAATTGACAAGCTGATTCTAAAATGCGTGTGAAAAATTTTGTACATGTATAAGAAGGACCAAGAAATTAAATGACAAAATACTAAATAAAGAAGCAGGACTTATTTTATAATAATGGCAACTAAAACATTTTGTTATTCCACAGGGAGAAACAAATACATCAACGGAGACAACTTTGGAAACAATGGAAACAAAGAACCAAAAATGGGCCTGCACATAAATAAAAACTCCATATATGACCAAGGCAGTGTCATGAATTAAGTCCGATGGAAAAATAAAATAAAACACTATCCTAAATGCATTAAATAAACAAGTACATAAAACAAGCCAAGTAATTCAAAACTCAGACAAAAATATAGAGTAATATTTTTATGATATTAAGACAGGGAGAAATTTCTTAAAGAAAATGTAGGAAACTCAAATCACAAAGAATACACTACAAAATTAACGTATTCCACATGACAAAGTAGTTATAAACAAGGCTAAGAAACAAGCAATAGACTAGAGAAGATGTTTGAAACATGTTAACATGCAATAAGTTATTTTTTCAGAGTTTATTAAAAACTCCTATACATAAAAAATTGAAAAATTAGTAAAGCATTTGAACAGCAATTCACTGAAAATGAAATTCAAATGGGCAGCAAATAAATTTTCCATCTCATTGGCCATTAGATTGGGTGCACATAACTGAGTTTTGGAAAATGGGATATGGGCAGAAATGATGAATGCCACTTATGGTTCTGGGAAAAGAAGGAAATAAAATGGAGGAGGAGAAAAAAAAATTGTAAGAGGAAGAAGAGAGGGTAGGCAAAGAGAAGGAGGAAAACAAAAAGGAAAAGAAGGTACAGAAGTAGAAGCAGCTGCCAACCCCAATCTCTGATCCTCCAGCTAGCTTTCCCTCTGCTAAAACAAAAGCAAAGAAAATGTATTCATGATGGCAGGGCTAAATGATAAAGGAGGGCCCCCCTTCCCCACCACCTTCTTATTTGTTATGCAATAAATTAATTGTTTAGGGTTTGTTACTGCAGTATGGCCTAACCCTAACCTAATATGACACTCAACCTGGTTTAGCCACATTTGCCACATCCCAGCTAATGACAACTCCATCCCTTGAAATATTAAAATAAAAGACTCAATGCTATTTCCACCTCCTCTTTTTCTTTAACATCCAACATCCAATCCATCAGAGAATCTTACGGTTCCACCTTCAGAAGACATCCAGAATCTAACTTTGACAGTCATCTTCCAAGTGATCATCATCTGTCACTTGGATTATTGCAATAGTCTAAAAATTATTCTCCCTGCTTCCTTACTCATTCTCCTATAGTCTAATCTCAACCCAGGAATCATAGTGATTCTCTTGAAATGTATGTCAGAATTTCTGTAAAGTGATTATATCAGCAGTGTAGTTGTTTTAAGTGTCCCAAACTTCTCTTGAAAATCAAATAGAGAAGCTAGTATAGCTAAGACGATGGGAACAACAGCCCCAAGAGTGTGGGTACATCTTGGGGACGAAGCAGCTACAGCAGCAGGACATGCACGATCAACAGTTGTGGTGAGAGAGCATGAAGTGAAAGACAGCTAAATAGCTTAAAAGTCATAAAAACCAAAAAGTCAGTAATAAATGAACATGACCCCCGCTGCCCCTGCCTCAAAAAAAAAAAAAAAAAAAAAGATTTTGCCCTGAGAGGAAATCTGGGAAGAAAAAAATGTCTAAGAACAATTCGTGATAATGGAAAAAGTCCTCACAGCCTCAGAGCTGCAGATCAGTGCCAAAATTACACAGATATTGGGGAAACTAACATGGGTATGGTGGTTCTGGCCTTCAATAAAATCTCACATACTTCCCTCTAGTAGGACAATGCCTCATCCCATTGGAAATAGCAAAACTGAAAAAGGAAGGAACCATGAGAAATGAGAGAGAGAGAATGAGAGAATGTTTGACAAGCTCAGAGAAAGGAAGTCTCAGGAAGTACTTTAAGAGCAAATGCTTTTTAGCTACTCTTGCCACCAAAAAAAAGTTGCTATGTGAGATGATGGATATGTTAATTTGCTTCACTATAGTAACCATTTTACTATCTACATAACATCATGCTGTAATCTTCAAATACACACAATCCAATTTTTTAAAAAAAGAATTCAGAACATACAGGAAAATATTTATCATTATTAACGGATAAATAAAAATAGAGCAAAAAGAGTAAATGCAAGACCTGATACTGAGAGCACAGCCATGGAGGACAAGACAGTGGACCTCACAGATGAATGGCAGGGAAGCCTTTCTTTTTTTTTTTTTTTCTTTTGAGACAGAGCCTCACGCTGTTGCCCAGGCTGGAGTGCAGCAATGGCGCGATCTCGGCTCACTGCAACCTCCACCTCCCAGGTTCAAGCAATTCTCCTGCCTCAGCCTCCCGAGTAGCTGGGATTACAGTCGCCGGTCACTACACCCAGCTAATTTTTTGTATTTTTAGTAGAGACAGGGTTTCACCATGTTGGCCAGGCTGGTCTCGAACCCCTGACCTCATGATTGGCCCACCTCGGCCTCCCAAAGTGCTGGGATTACAGGCATGAACCACCACACCCAGCCAAGGAAAGCTTTCTTAACCAGATATGGCTTAGAGAAACAAAGTGACTCATAGAGAGAGGACATATTTTTAACCTTTCCTGGTAAAAACAGAGAAAAAATTCTTAAACTGTGCTACAGAGAAAGCTACCTTGTCTTGTCTTTCTCCTATTAACCCAGAAAGTTCCATCTTATTTTGTTCCTCGTTCAAACATCATGGACAAAAAAAAAAAAAAAAAAAAACAACTTTCTAGCACCATACCAAATTATTACAATAAAAAGTTGAATGAGGTCTTAATAAAATTAAGACAGAGAGAATTCGTCAGAAAAATGAGGTCATGGAACAGATGAAAACTGTAATATTTAAGTATTAGAGAAGAATGAAAGCTTTGACAAAAACAGCACCAACAAGCAATAGAAAAAGCTCAGAACAAGTGAATAATCAGTAAAAAATTAAGAAAAAAATAATTTCACAAAAGAGGACTAAATTAGAAAAACACAAAAGCAAAATGACACCATAAAAGGTAGAGTAAAGTAAATAAGAACAAAGAAGGAAGAAAATTGAGGGGAAATGAAACAAATTTTTTAATGATTCAAAAAAAAGGATTTGAGAAATATTTGCCTGATAGGCAGAATAATGGCCCCACAAAGATGTCTACATCCTAAACCCTGAGGCCTATGAGAGTTGCCCTGCATGGCAAAAGGACATTAGAGATGTGGTTAAACTGAGGATGTCCAGATGAAGTGATTATTCTTGATTATCCAGGTGGGTGCAATATCATTACCAGGGTACATAGAGGCAGCAGGTTTAGAGTCAGAGGAGAGGTGACAATGGAAGGAGAGGTTCTAGGGATCTAGGCCCGTGAGTCAGGTCATACAGACAGCTTCTAGAGACTGGAAAAGGCATGAAACTGATTCTCCTCTGGAGCCTGCAGAAGGAACACAGCTCTGCCCACCCATTTTAGATTTCTGACTTCCAGAACTATAAGAAAATAAATTTGTGTTGTTTTAAGCCACTAAGCTTGTGATAATTTGCTACAAATATCAGCAATAGGAAATGAATGCAATGTGATAGACATACAATATAGGAAACCTAAGGGCTAACATACATAAAATTGATGTCTTCAAAGAAGAAAATAAAAATAATGAAAAAGAAGAAATATTTAAAATTATAATTGAAAAATATTTTCTGAAATAAAATATTAAAAAGCATAGCATACTGTGTGTCAGATTTTGGGGTCTGGGTCCAGCCTATGCTGAAGTCCGAGGGGAGTGGGTGGATGAGCAGAAAGAACACTCGGGGGGCTGTAGGCAGGTAAAAGATTATTTTATTCAGCAGCAGCTCTCATCAGCAGCTTCCTCACACTAGCTCTCTACACTGCTCACCTTTATCTCGGCTGTTTGCTGGGGCTCTGTGGCTCCCGCCGCCCCCACACCTGCAGCTGCATGGCCAGCTCTCCCTTGCCTTCAGGGTCAACAGCTTCACTCTTTCTGTCTCTGGGCACCAGTGCGAGCCGTGCTGTGGCTCCCCTCTGTCCACCTACAAGAAGGACAGCTCTGGTTCTCTTTCTCTCTTTCTCTGGGTGCCAGTGCACCCGCTGTGTTAAGCCATGTTGAGCCAAGCCGAGCCTCAAGAGCCCCTGTACGGTGTTAGCAAGGCAATTATACCTTTTACAGACGATAGTGGCTCAGAGCCAAGTATGAACTTACACAAACAGGTTATATAACAAATGGAGGTGTGCACCTGTGCCCCAAACTCACTGAGTCATGCAGGCCTGGACATCTGCCTTGGCCTATTCCTTGACCAAAGCACATTCATGTACCTTACACTCCACCCTCTAGGCCGAGGGAGACATAGGCCTAGGACACACAGGTTTGATACACAGGTTTGGCACATAGGCCTGACATATCAACTTTGGGCATGCAGGCCCGATACATACACATAGGCTTGACACATAAGCCTCACACACAAGCTATGGGCATGCAAGCTTGATACACAGGTTTGGGCACACAGGCCCGATACATACACATAGGCTTTGATAAACTGGTGATTGATGCAGATTACCACAGATGTCTCCTCCTTGGTGATTGCCACTCATACTGCCCTGAGTTTAGCTTATTAGCTACTTCACCCACACCTGGTTTTAAACCATATGGTGTCAGTACTAGGCTGTTGTCAATACTGCAGCAGCAGCAGTACTCTGGCTGGATCTATCTGTATACCATGCCCCATCAGGAATGGGGGTATGCCCTTCCTTATGGTAAAGGCTCAGGGTCTAGGGGTGCCTCAGGCCCCATGGCTTTATCTTGCATTAGGGCTACAGACCCTAAAATCTCTTGTAACTCTGCTGGTAAGGGACTTGTACTCAGGGTACTTTACTGCTCTAAATAGCGCTCCACTTCGCTAAAGTGGATGTCTGTACCGTCCCATTTTGAGGGCTTGCAACCCATGAACACACCCACCCTGCTGTCAGGTAAGTCATCTGCACGACGACTGTAGCCCATCCCGCCACACTCTTATGAGCCTGAAGGGCAGTATATACAGTTACCAACTGCTTTCCCAGTCCGAGGTAGTGGTTATCCATGAACACACCAATCCTGCTATTAAACTGCTTCTTTATTAAGGAATACCAGAGCTCAGCTCCCTTCCATAGTTGGGACTAACAGCCCACTGGAGCTTCCAAGCGTTCCATGCACTGCTATAGGCCCTAGCCAAAACTATCTGTGATTACATGTACATCTAGTGTAAATGGGCATCCTTGGTTAGAAAGGCTGTCTCAGCCTTATCATCCCAATCTCAGGCAAAAGGGGGTGTTACCGCTTCTAAACCTGCAAGATAATTGGAAGTTAACATAACGTCATTAACAAAATCATGACACACGATGGGGCTATGCACATAGCCCCGCAGCAACACTGTAAAAGTCCATTGTCGCCCTCCCATGAAGGCAAACTGTTCCAGGCTCTCGGTGGATTGTCTCAGTTCCGTTGTCAAATGGTCCATTAAGTCCGTGACAGACAGCACAGCTGCCGAGCCATGCAAAACATCCGCCCCCGGAGTGTCCTCAGGTATGGGAGAGACATACACAGGGCATAAGAGGAGAGCCAAGCGGCCAATGCTAAGATGCAGAGACAGAGGTTTCACTTTCACTGACCAGCCTTTATAGCCATTAATAAATGCAGCTCTGCCTGAAAACTTACGCAGATTCAGGGACCAGCAGATTGCCAAGTCCACATGTGGCTCTGGTTGTCTGGTGCCCCGCACAAGCCAGGCATCTCGGCCAGTTCTCTTATCAAACAGAAAAGGCTTTACACTTCCGCCAGCTGCAGCGGGTACTTTTTGAACTGGAACTCTTGGGCAGGACCGGGTTGCGCAGCAATGTCCTTCTCCCGAATGACTTGCAGTAAGTTTGTACATGACTGCCGACATTACTTACTTCACTCCCACAACTCAGCGGGGGCACAGGGACCAGAGGAAGTGTGCTCCACCACAGTAGAGGGGCTCTGGGCCCACCCTTGGGGCCCAACAGCTGCTCATGCTCTATTTTCCGGTGCATCCCTGGGCGAGCCTGCAACGGGGTTTCTTCCTTCTCCCTGTGCTGTGTCCCGCAGGGACTGGGCATGCACCTCCCACCAGCACAGTCACAAACGCCCATCTGACTCTGCGGCAAAGGCATACTTCTCGGTGCTGTGCACTTCCAGGTGCTTCAGCTCCTTCTCCACACTCATGGGAGACCAGTGCACCGTCTCCCACGTTTCCACTGGGACCCATCCAAGCAGCACCACTGCCACCAGGTACCACAGCTCTTGCTGCGGCCACATAGCCGACCCAGGAGCCCTCAGGGGCTGAAGACCCACTCACCTCATCCCATCCTCATGGCCAATTGTCAGATCCTGTGGTCAAGGTCCAGCCCATGCTGAAGTCCGAGGGGAGTGGGTGAATGAGCAGAAAGAACACTCAGGGAGCCGTAGGCAGGTAAAAGTTGATTTTATTCAGCAGCAGCTCTCATCAGCGGCTTCCTCACACTAGCTCTCTACACTGTTCACCTTTATCTCAGCTGTTTGTTCTGGCTCTGTGGCACCTGCCACCCCCACGCCTGCAGCTGCATGGCCAGCTGTCCCTCGCTTTCAGGGTCAGCAGCTTCACTCTTTCTGTCTCTGGGCACCAGGGCGAGCCTTGTTGTGGCTCACCTCTGTGATCCCCACTGTTGGAGATGGGGCCTAGTGGGAGGTGTTTGGGTTATGGGGGGTGCATCCTTCATAAATGACTTGGTGCCCTCCCTGCAATAAAGAGTGAATTCTCACTCTATTAGTTCACCCAAGAGCTGGCTGTTTAAAAAGAGCTTGACACCTCCTTCTCTCTGTCTTGCCATATAACACATCTGCCTCTCCTTTGCTTTCTGCCATGAGTAAAAGCTTCCTGAGGCCTCACCAGAAGACAAGCAGATGCTGGTGCCATGCTTGTGCCTCCTGCAGAACCATGAGCCAAATAGACCTCTCTTCTTTACAAATTACCCAGTCTCAGGTATTCCTTTATAGCAATGCAAAACAGAAGAGTATAGTATGCTCTGCATACACTTCCAGAATAATCTGTTTCATCAACATTAAATATTTACTCTGGCAAATATTTCTCAGCCACATTATCCTATGCAGCTTTTCCTTAAAAGCTTCATTACCTTCAGTATTGGCACTTGTTGCTTCACCACTGACCTTCACATTATAAAAGTCATGATGCCTTTTAAAGTGTTGGAGCTACCCAGGACTTGCTATAAACATTTGCACATAACATAGCATAATACCCATGCTTAATGAGAGGTGTTTGGGTCATGATGGCAAACTCTTCATGAATAGATTTATACTTTCCCTTGTCGGGAGTGAGTGAATTTTCATGCTATTACTTTCCATGAGAGCTGGTTGTTTAAAAGAGCCTGGCACCTCCCTACCTCCTGCTTCCTCTCTTGCCATATGATTTCTGCACACCTTTATGTGCATAAATTAGAAAACCTAGAGGAGATGGAGAAACTTCTGGAAATATACAACCCTCCTAAATTAAACTAGGAAGATATAGAATCTCTGAACAGACCAATAACAAGCAGCGAGATTGAAATGGTAATAAAAAAATTGCCAACAAAAAAAAGTCAAGGACCAGATGGATTCACAGCAGAATTCTATCAGACATCAAAGAAGAATTAGTTCTAATCCGACATCAAAGAAGAATTAGTTCTAATCCTATTAATACTATTCCAAAAGATAGAGAAAGAGGGAATCCTCCCTAAAGTATTCTCTGAAGCCATAAAAAGAAACAAAATAATGGCGTTCAATTCACAGCAACCCGGATGGAATTGGAGACCATTATTCTAAGTGAAGTAACTCAGGAAGGAAAAACTGAACATTCTCTTCAGAGAATACTTTGGGGAGGATTCCCTCTTTCTCTATCTTTTGGAATAGTATTAACAGGATTAGAACCAATTCTTCTTTGATGCCTGATAGAATTCTGCTGTGAATCCATCTGGTCCTTGACTTTTTTTTGTTGGCAATTTTTTTATTACCATTTCAATCTCGCTGCTTGTTATTGGTCTGTTCAGAGATTCTATATCTTCCTGGTTTAATCTAGGAGGGTTGTATATTTCCAGGAATTTATCCATCTCCTTTAGGTTTTCTAATTTATGCACATAAAGGTGTTCATAGTAGCCTTGAATAATCTTTTGTGTTTCTGTGGCATCAGTTGTAATATCTCTTGTTTCATTTCTAATTGAGCTTATTTGGGTTGTCTCTCTTCTTTTCTTTGTTAATCTCACTAATAGTCTATCAATTTATCTTTTCAAAGAACCAGATTTTTCCTTCATGTATCTTTTGTATTGTTTTTATTGTTGTTGTTTCAGTTTCATTTGGTTCTGCTCTGATCTTTGTTATTTCTTTTATTCTGCTGGGTTTGGGTTTGGATTGTTCTTGTTTCTCTAGTTCCATGAGGTGTGACCTTAGATTGTCTATTTGTGCTCTTTCAGACTTTATGATGTAGGCATTTAATGCTATGAACTTTCATCTTAGCACTGGTTTTGCTTTATCCCAGAGATTTTGATATGTTGTGTAGCTATTATTATTCAGTTCAAAGAATTTTTTAATTTCCATCTTGATTTCATTGTTGACCCAATGATCGTTCAGGAGCAGGTTATTTAAGTTCCATGTATTTCCATGGTTTTGAGAGTTCCTTTTGGAGTTGATTTCCAATTTTATTCCACTGTGGTCTGAGAGAGTACTTGATATAATTTCAATTTTCTTAAATGTACTGGGGCTTGTTTGGTAGCCTATCAGATGGTTTATCTTGGAGAATGTTCCATGTGTTGATCAATAAAATGTATATTCTGTAATTGTTGGGTAGAACGTTCTGTAAATATCTGTTAAATCCATTTGTTCAAAGGTATAGTTTAAATCCATTGTTTCTTTGTTGACTTTCTGTCTTGATGACCTGTCTAGTGCTGTTAGTGGTCTATTAAAGTCTCCCACTATTATTGTGTTGCCGTCTATCTCATTTCTTAAGTCGAGTAGTAATTGTTTTATAAATTTGGGAGCTCCAGTGTTAGGTGCATATATATGTAGAATTGCGATATTTTCCTGTTGTGTTGGACTAGTCCTTTTATCATTATATAATGTCCCTCTTTGTCTCTTTTAACAGCTGTTGCTTTAAAGTTTGTTTCATATGATATAATAATAGCTACTTTTGCTTGCTTTTGGTGTACATTTGCATAGAATATATTTTTCTACCGTTTAAGTTTATGTGAGTCCTTATGTTTTAGATGAGTCTCCTGAAAACAACAGAAACTTAGTTCGTGAATTCTTATCCATTCTGCTATTATGTATCTTTCAAGAGGAGCATTTAGGCCATTTATAGTCAATGTTAGTATTGGGATGTAGTCCCAATGTAGTATTGGGATGTAGTACCAATGTAGTATTGGGACAACAGGTGCATATATATTTCATAATAAAGAGTATATAAGCAATTTAAAACATATTAATACAAAATAACGTGTATGTACACTTTGGAGAATTAAAACATTTGCCAATGCCTCAGAAGTCCCTGAGCACACTCTTTAATTCTGGATTTTGTGTTGATTCACTCTAGTATATTAAAAAATAACTTTGCTACATGTATATTGTATTTGTTTTCTACTACTTCTGTAATAAATTACCACAAACTTGGTGGCCTAAAGCAGTACAAATATATGATCTTATAGTTCTGTAGGTTTGGAGTCTAATGTGGGTCTTGCTGGGCTGAAATCAAGGTGTCCATAGGGCTGCATTTCCTTCTGGAGGCTCTCAGGGAGAGTCTATTTCCTTGCCTTTTCCTGTTTCCAGAGGCCACCCATATTCCTTGGCTCATGGTCATTTTCCACCTTTGAAACCAGCAACATTGCCTGTCTCTGACTCCTCTTTCTTAGTCATGGCTCCCTTTAACCACAGATGGAAAAGATTTTATGCCTTTAAGGTTCCATGTCATTAGATTGGGTTCACCTGTACAATCTCCTCATCTCAAGGTCTTTGATGTCATCATAATTACAAGATATTTTTTGCCATGTAAGGTACTTTTTGCTATGTAAGGTAAAACTATATTCACAGGTTCCAGGGAATAGGTGTAGATATCTGGTGGGAGGGATGCATTGTTCTGCCTACCACATGTATATATTTTCAAAAAATATTTTGGAGGAGTTGTGGATTATGATGGCAGACAGGAAGCAGGACTAGCTTGCAGCTCCTGTTTGGATGGACAAAGCAGCATGTGGAGACTCACACTGTGAACTTTTGCTCTAAGAACTACTACAGGAAATTACTAGGAAAGCCAAGAGACTCTGCAGACACTTTGAAGGAACTGGATTACTGTTGCAGGCTCCCTGAGTTGCTGAAAAACTGTTAATGGGCTTGCTTTCTCAAAGGGGAGGTTCATTATCTGGGGAAAGTTCTCAGCCCTGGTCACCAGCTGCCTGGAAATAGACTTTGTGCCATTAGGGGGGCACAGTGGGAGTGAGACTGGCCTTTAGGACTGTTGGCTGCATGGCAGCGGGGTGAGGCCAGTGACTGCTGGTTTTCCCCCCACTTCCCTGGCAACCTGTATGCCTCAGCAGAGGCAGCCATAATCCCTCTGGGAATATAACTCCATTGGACTAGGAATCATATCCCCATCCCTTTCAGCAGCTGCAGCAAGCTCCCTCCAAGGAGAAGCTGAGCTCAGACACATCTATCCCTGACCCACATGGTGGTCTTTCGCTACCCACCCTGGTGGCCAAAGACAAAGGTCATAATCTCTTGGAAGCTCTATGGCCCTGCCCACTGCCTGAGAAACCTGAATACTTAGCCAGGTGTCCCTAAGGCAAATTTGCATGCTCTCTACAGGACTGCAGCTGATGTGCTCTTGAAAGCACCACCTGCTGGCTAGAGGCCAACAAACACGAAACCAGTGCACTAAACAAAAACACAACCAAGGACCGTCAGAGAGTCCACTTGACACCCCTGCTACCTCTGCCAGAGCAGGTGCTGGTATCCATGGCTGCAAGACCTGAAGATGGATCACATCACAGGACTCTTTGCAGACACTCCTCGGTACCAGCTCAGTGCCTGGTAGCTCTGCTGGGTGGCTAGACCCAGAAGAGCAAAACCAATTACTACAGTTTGGCTCTCAGGAAGCCCCATTCGTAGGGGAAGGGGAGAATGCCACTTCAAGGGAGCACGCTGTGGGATGAAAAAATCTGAACAGCAGCCCTTGAATCTCAGATCTTCCCTTTGACACAGTCTACCCAAATGACAAGGAACCAGAAAAACAATTATGGTAATATGACAAAATAGGGTTCTTTCACACCCCTAAATGATCTTACTAGCTCACCAGCAGTGGATCCAAACCAAAATAAAATATCTGAATTGTCAGAAAAGGAATTCAGAAGGTCGATTATTAAGCTAATCAAGAAGGCACCAGAGAAAGGTAAAGTCTAACTTAAAGAAATAAAAGAGATGACACAGGATATGAAAGGAAAATTGCTCAGTGAAATAGAGAGCATAAATAAAAAAAAATCACAATTTCTGGAAATCAAGGACACACTTAGAGAAATGCAAAACGCACTGGAAAGTCTCAGCAATAGAACCGAACAAACAGAAGAAAGAACTTCAGAGCTTGAAGACAAGGCTTTCAAATTAACACAATCCATCAGAGACAAAGAAAAAGGAATTTTAAAAAATGAACAAAGCCTCCAAGAAGTTTGGGACTATGTTAAACATCCAAACCTAAGAATAATTAGTGTTCCTAAGGAAGAAGAGAAATCTAAAAGTTTGGAAAACATATTTGAGGGAATCATTGAGGAAAGCTTCCCTGGCCTGCTAGAGATCTAGACGTCCAAATACAAGAAGCTGAAAGAACACCTGGGAAGTTCATTGCAAAAAGATCATCAACTAGGCACATAGTCATCAGGTTATCTAAAGTAAAGACGAATGAAAGAATCTTAAGAGCTGTGAGGCAAAAGCATCAGGTAACCTATAAAGAAAACCTATCAGATTAACAGCAGATTTCTCAGCAGAAACCTTAAAAGTTAGATGAGATTGGGGTCCTATTTTTAGTCTCCTTCAATCAAACAATTATCAGCCAAGAACGTTTTATCCAGTGAAACTAAGCTTCATAAATGAAGAAAAGATACAGTCTTTCCCAGACAAACAAATGCTGAGAGAATTTGTCACTATCAAGCCAGAACTACAAGAACTGTTAAAAGGATCTCTAAATCTTGAAACAAATCCTTGAAATACACCAAAATGGAATCTCTTTAAAGCATAAATCTCACAGGACCTAAATAACAATAACACAATGAAAAAAAACCCAAGGTATTCAGGCAGCAAGCACGATAAATAGAAGAGTACCTCAATCATGAAATATATACTTATGAAATATATATAGACATTATTATAAAATGTATATATTTATTATGAAATGTATTTCATAATAAAGTGTATATAAGCCTCCCAAGTAGCTGGGACTACAGGTGCACACTACCATGCCAAGCTAATTTTTTTTTAGGGATGGGATCTTGCTATGCTGCCCAGGTTGGCCTGAAACCCCTGATCGCAAGTGATTCTTCTACCCTGGTGTCCCAAAGCACTGGGATTACAGGCATGAGCCACCATGCCCAATCTAAATGATATATTTTATATTTAAAAAAACTGTTTAAAGACAAAAGCTCTAGGCTAGAGTGTCTGCTGCAGAGGAGCATCACCTTGAGTACACTGAATGGACATCTCCTAGATGGGAATTTTCTCAATGCCCTGTGACTAGATGGATAACAGGGCAGAGAGTGGAGATGGCAGGAGAGCTTCCTGTGTTCTCTACCCTTTGGGATAGCAAGGCTGTGTGAATTTCTCATGATTGCGTAGAGATCATGAAACTTACCTGTGAGCCAACTTACTGGAGTCCCAGTCACGAAGGCCATCTACTCACTGAGCAGGCCTCAGCAATAAAAGTCTGCCGGGAGACCCCCTGTGGCATAAACTGGTGTGAGAGGGGCTTGTAGCAGTACTGGAGCAGCAGCTGCATCTGAAATATCAGGGAACTGTACAGGAGACGTCTGTGCACTACCCCTCCGAAGAACCCAATGGTGCACCTGTAGTCCCTGATATTCCCAGTGTCTGGTCCTCACCACACCCATGAACATGCCAGCCTATTAGTGTCTGTCTCCAAAGCACAAACAGCCACAGGGAGAGAACTGTGGCCAAGACCAGTTAAGCAAAGACATGCTTGCCCTTTTCTCTACATCTTTCCTCCCTGATCCCTCCCACCCTGTGGAACTGGACCGTAGCACAAGGAGGTGGGGAAGGGAATGACGGAGCAGACTGTACCCGGTCTGCATTCCAAGTCCCTTCAGCCAAAAGCCTGTCCTGTAATAAGAAAAAAAGTTGTAGAACAGATAAATTAAAATTTTAAACTGTACTGGAGTTAGTTTAATAATGGAAAGTGACCAGATAATTATGGAATCTGCCCAAGATATCATAAAGGAATGGGAAAAGGAATTTCACACAGAAAAGTTTGAAACTGTATTTGGAAAAAAGAAGACTGTCAACTTCATATTCGACCCAACCAAGACTGCTAAAAACAATGTTACATAGATGTTTATGGGGTCACAGGGCAGGGTCACATGATCTCTGTTAAGCAGCAGAATGTAATGCTAAAACTCAAGGGGGATTGTAGCTCCTGTATCAAGGGCTATAGTTTAGCCACTCTTTCACTGTAGATAACGTATCTAAACTTCAGTTTACTTATGCATAAAATGTAGAATAATTTCTTAAAGTATGTTTTTAAGTTTGCAACTTAAAAAAATAATAATAATAGTACCTATTTGTAGGATTATTGTGAGGATTACATCGAATTATGGATACAAAGTACTCAACAGGAGGCTTGACACATGTGAGCTCTTACTGAATGTGAAGTTTAATGACTGGCTGGGAGTAAGGGCTAAAGTGTGAGTAACAACAGAGAGAAAGAGATGCTGGTGATGGGGGAATTGTGGTATTGGTGATGGAGTGGAAGGGAACATTTCAGGCAGTGAGAACAACATAAGCAAAGAAAGCAAGAGAAACAAGCATTGTGATGTCAGCGGGGTGGGGGACGGGTGGTATACAAACATTTTGGTGTTGCCAGAGCATAAATTTTTAGTCAAGGAGAAAAGTCTGAAAAAGAGAAGTAAGGACTAAATGGTGAAAAGCTTCAAGTACCTAGTTCCTACTCTTTTTTTTTTTTTTTTTTTTGAGACAGGTTCTCACTCTGTCACCCAGACTGGAGTGCAGTGGCACGATCTTGCTCCCGCTCCCAGGCTCAAGCGATTCTCCTGCCTCAGCCTCCCGAGTAGCTGGGATTACAGGCATGCGCCACCATGCCTGGCTAATTTTGTATTTTTAGTAGAGACGGGGTTTCTCCATGTTGATCAGGCTGGTCCTGACCTCAAGTGATCCGCCGACCTTGGCCTCCCAAAGTGCTGGGATTACAGGTGTGAGCCTCTGTGCCCGGCCTAGTTCCTACTCTTAGGTGTTCTGCATACCAGAAAAAGGTACAAACTCTTTAGCTAGCATACATCCAAGGTCCTTTTTGTTTTTTTGTTTTTGTTTTGTTTTGTTTTTTGAGACGGAGTCTCGCTCTTTCACCCAGGCCGGAGTGAAGTGGCGCCATCTCGGCTCACTGCAACCTCTGCCTCCCGGGTTCAAACGATTCTCCTGCCTCAGCCTCCCAAGTATCTGGGATGACAAGCGCCTGACACCACGCTCGGCTATTTTCATATTTTTAGTAGAGACAGAGTTTCCCCATGTTGGCCAGGCTGGTCTCGAGCTCCTGATCTCAGGTGATCCACCTGCCTCGGCCTCCCAAAGTGCTAGGATTACAGGCATGAGCCAACGTGCCCAGCACCAGTAATCAAATCAAATCCTTTTTGATTTGATTACTGCCAACCTTTCAAAATTCATAATTTCATGCACCACATAGATAGATAAATATCCTATATCCTAGACTCCAGCACTACTTCAGATTGCTTAAACACATGGAAAGGTCTCATATCTTACTTCTCTGCTCACATTATCCTTAATGCTTGAAACAATCTGGCTCTTCCTTCATCTGATGAATTCTTTTTTTTTTTAATTTATGCAACTGACATCACCATCAGGAATTCTTCTATTATTTTTTATTGTTATTATTATTTAACAAATATTTATTGGGCACTTCGTCATACATGCCACTGTGCAAGAGGCTGGACCTGCTAATGTTAGCAAGCAAAGTCCCTGCCCACAGAGACAAAAGTCTCATGAGGGAGAGGGTCAAATAAACAGGCAATTACTAAACCATGTTATGACTGAGATCAGAGCAGGTCACTATGAGAAGCCTGGATTCCTATCCAGGCCACTGTGATCAGAGAATGTTTTCCTCCTACCAAGAATTCCCTTTCTCTGTTCCTTTTGCCCCCATTTAGACTGTTAGAAAAAGGAAGAGGAGGAAGAGAAGAAGAAAATGAAGACATGTTAAAATTTATTGTGGTCTTAGTACGTGTCAGAAGCTATGGTAAAACATTTTACATGAACACGTTATTTAATTTTCCCCAAAACAGTAAGACATCTAGTTGTTATTCCCATTTTAAAGATGAAGGAATCAGAGGTAAATTAACTTGCCAAAGAAACTCAGCTAGGAAGTGGGAGAGCCAAAACTCCAGCCTCAATCAGATTAACTCCAATCCCAAGCTGTAAAACACTGCACCACACTATTTGCAAGGAAAAAAAAAGTCTTAGTTTTTTTAAAAAAGATGATTATAGATAGAGGGAAATTATCACAGTTCCCTTTCAAATATCTGTCTTCACCATTAGCCTATGTCCTTCTCGACTATAAGAGATTCTCTAGGACTTAGACAATAAAGCATACGGAAGACTCCATCCTTTTTTAAATTATTCACCTTTCTTTTGCAGATGAACCTAAGAGGCAGATGAACCTAAGAGACAGATGAACCACAGTTAGCCTTTAGTAAACTAACCACAGTTAGTCTGAATGCACAAATACAAACATGAATGAGTCAATCCTTAAATGAATGAATTAACTCAAGAACTGGTAAGACTGAACACGTGGAAAGAGCCACAGAGCTTTAGGGGACAGTGACAGTGGGCAACTGGCAAAGGTCCAGGCCAGGATGGCAAGGTGCCAGCATCATAGAGGTCCAACCATAGGCAGCAGGCAGATGTCCTGGCAGTCAGGCAGGCCCTGTGTCAACAGATTTAGCAACAGGAAATAGATGGAAAATCAGGCAGGCAGGTGGTTGGCATCAGGGATTTTGGAAGTAGGTAGCCAGCAGTACAGCACTATATCAAGACTTCATCCCGTTGAAGGACTTGGGTGATAGAATGTCACTCCTATCCCAGACAACAAAAATGGGCATTCAGAGGCATGAGGATTGACACAAGAGAGCAAGGTCTGAAGCTGGGGTACAAGGCCCGAGCTGCACCAGTATAAGAGGCTGACAGATGCTGAGCCGCCAGGCTGTGCTTTAGGTCCCTCTGAATTTCCTTTGTCTGGAATCCCTTTTTCTCTTTATACCTGGCAGCCCGGCAGGGACAGTGAGTTAAGCCTATTCACAGGAATTTATTGGTCTCAGTTGTGGGGACTGGAGGGCTCTAGGAGCAGGAATTCAAGCACATCATTATTAAAGGAAAGTTTCTGTGATTAGACCGATGCCAGTGAAGTCTTCCTTGATTCCTCAAATTATTTTATGCCACATATCCAAACAGCAAATCCTACAAACTCAACCTTGAAAATATCTCCAGCATCTGACTACTCTTGAACACTTTCACTTCTAGTACTCCGGTCCTTGCCATCATCATCCCCCGCATAGTCAACTCCAATAGCCCAGCGCCTTCCGCATTCTGTCCATCCCCATACAGCCTATCCCCAATGCAGTAGCCAGCATCATTCTATTCTTATTCTGCCTCATTTTCTATTTGGTTATTGTCTCTTTCTTACTTACATTTAGCAGTTTTTTGTACGGCAGTCCTTCAGTGAAAATCCTTTAATACATCTCCAAGTCACCCAGAGTACAAGCCAACCTCCTAAGCTAAAGGTGGTACATAATTACCTTCCTTTTCTCTAATATCATCTCTTGCCACTCCCTTCATTTGTTCCTTGCTGTTCTTTGTCTATGACTGGCATAACCTGACCTGAGGGCCTTTGCCCCAGCTGTTTCCTCTGCTGGAATGCTCTCTCTCCAGAGATCCAGAACTCAACCCCTTGCTTTCTTCAGACCTTAACTCAAAATTTCACCTTCTCAGTGAGGTCTTTTTTGCACCCCTACATGTAATTCATAACCCCTTCCTACTCACATGCATACATACTTCCTATCCCCTTTTCCTGACCTGCTTTTTTCCTTTAGCATTTATAATTGTCAAATTCTATATTTTTTTCTTATTTACATTGATCTTTGTCTGTCTACCTCTTTAGAATATAAGCCCTGTATGGGCAGAGACTTTTGTTTGTTTTTGTTCCTTGCTGTATTCTCAGTACCTGGGACAGAGCCTGCCAAACAGCCACATAATAAATGCTCAGCGTATATTGGCTGAATGAATTAAGAAAACTAGAGGTGTAGTACACATCTGTGTAGAGCAGATTCTGACTATGACTGAAGTTAATTTTAATTTTAGATTACACTGTCAATAAAATTGAGATCCTTGATACCACATATATATGCATATGTGTATATATCTATGTATGTGTGCATGTAAGCTAGAAGGGGTTAGGAATTATATGTAGGGTTACAAAGAAGACCTCGCTGACAAGGTGATATTTTGAATCAAGGTCTGTAGAAAGCAAGGGGTTGAGTTCTGGTTCTATTGTGTGTTGTGTGTATGTGGTGTGTGTGTGTGTGTCTGTGTGTGTGTGAGAGAGAGAGAGAGAGAGAATTTGTGTGTATTTAGAAGGCATTGTGCCTTTTTTTGATCAAGGGGCTTTTCAGAGATGTTAATATGCCAATGTATGTATCAAATCCTAAGAAATGAATTTAGAAGTCAACTTTTTATTACCCAAGCTTATTCACCAAGTGAATACATTGTTCTCAAAGTACTAATTTTGGAGGGAAAACAACAGTGTGGGGGTTCTTCAAGAACTATGGCCCTGATACTTGTGAATCCCCTTTTTCCAAATTATTTGACTCTCTTGACTAAAACAGATATTTGAAATACTAGGCAAATCTGACTACAACAATTAAACATTGTCATGTTCTCTAGATAAGATAATTTTGCTTTATTTTCCAAGGAAGACTGTTATCCAACAATATGATAGATATGATAGGTTTGCTGAATGGGAATATGCAGGGTCCATCTAAAGAATACTTTTATGAAGTATTTAGGGTGACCCCAAACCAACTCTACATTGTCAAGCCATTGTGGGAATATTGTGGGAATATATGATATACAAAATTGGGCATAAATGATTTTTAAAATCCCATAAAGATGTTTATATCTATTTCTAGGGACTCACTCAATTACCTTGAGATATAAATTTACTAGCACTATTCTGAAAGAGTAATAGTGAGCCTTTTAACTTCAAAGTTGGTAAGTTAAACAAAGGAACATTAATAGCTAATGATTTATTCAAAATTAAGTACAGGCCGGGCACAGTGGCTCACATCTATAATCCCAGCACTTTCAGAGGCTGAGGTGGGCAGAACACCTGAAGTCAGGAATTCGAGACCTGCCTGACCAACGTGGAGAAACCGTGTCTCCACAAAAATACAAAATTAGCCAGGCGTGGTGGTGCACTCCTGTAATCCCAGCTACTCGGGAGGCTGAGGCAGAATTGCTTGAACCCGGGAGGCAGACGTTGCAGTGAGCCAAGATCGTGCCATTGCACTCCAGCCTGGGCAACAAGAGTGAAACTACTTCTCAAAAAAAAAAAAAAAAAGTAAAAGAAAAAACAGAAAAACATAATTAAGTACATTACATAGAAAATATAAAATTCTATATTTCATTTTTTAGCTTTTGGGGAACAGACTATCTTTCCTTTTTCTCTTTTCTCTTCTCTTCTTTGAATACTGATGAAGAAACACAAGTATTTCCCATCTAAATAAGTTCCCTGGGATGAACCTGTCTCAATGGTTTGATTAAAATCAGTTGGAGAAACATGTTTAGCTCTATTTACTAAAAGTATAGAAGAAGTCTGCTGAAGCAGTCATGTTCTAATTATCCTTCCACATTCCACTCTGGAGAAGTTTGCCTGGCTGGAGCAGTCAGGGTTTTCTAGATTCAAGCAAACAATTAATTTCCTTTCCCTCTGCTTTTCAAAGGAAAAACAGCTTCTTTTAAATAAATAAGCATGTAGGAAAAGAGAATGAAATTTTAAAATGCTACATAGTTTCTTCCTGGAAATACTTTTGTAGGGTACCAAACTCACTGAGGTAATTTCCAGCTCTCCTAATAATGACAAATATTCCTAATTATGGATAAATGTACACTAAATACTTTGATGTTGATAGTCTGCACTTTTGCAATATTTTCTGTCTGCAAATATCTTCTCTGCAAATCTCCTTCGTGCCTTACTGTAAAGCCATTATACCTAAACTGCTGCTGTGTCCAGAATTTCTCTACTTGAAAAAAAAACACATTCATTATGGTAGGGAAATGCTCATGATCAAATGCTCCTTTTCATAATTACCACATAGCTGTTTAATGATGACTGGCCCAGTGAGCTCTGAAATTCTGTATAAAGAGAAGGCATCCCCATTGCCAAAATGAACTGAAATCCATTTCTGAGTCCTGTAGGATAATTTTATATAACATTTACATTTTTTGCAAAAAATTTGAAGACATAATACTAGGCATATAGTAGATATTAATGAAGTTTACTGAATTGAATTATTGATCTGGTCATCACTTGATGTCAGTGGGGTTGCAGATAACTCCCTAGACCAAGTGTCCTGGTCTGTTTCGTGTTGCTGCAACAGAATACCTGAGACTGAGTAATCGGGTTTATTTAGGTCACAGTTCCACAGGCTGGGAAATTCAAGGGCCTGGCCCTGCCTTCCACTGAGGGCTTCTAGGCTGCATCACAACAGGGCAAAGAAGGTCAAAGGGGAAGTGGACACATGCAAAGAGACAAGGCCTGAGGAGCATCCTGGTTTTGTAAGAATCTCCCCTCTAGGGAACTTGTTTATTCCCATGAGAACTTTTCCAGTCTCCTCCAAGTGAGAATTCACTCACTACCTGGAGAACTGCACCAAGCCATTCATGAGGGATCCACCGTCAGCACCCAAACACCTCCTGCTAGGCCCCACTTCCCAACACCACCAAGTTGGGGATCAAATTTCAATACGAGTTTTGGAGGGAACAAACTCAAACCATACCACCAAGATATACACAGGGACTGCAAGTGATCAGACTCCACAAGGTGAATGTCATTAAAGCTGTGGTTGTTTCCACCCATCTAGTCAACTCTCAGATGGTAGGCAACATTTTCAGTCCTAGAATACTATTATTACAGATTCTGGCTCATGCATAAGGGATTACACAAAAAACTACAACCATGAAAGAAAGTCACCAAGGGGTTACATTTGGCTTAAGCAATTAAATGAATAGCAGAATAGCCAAGTTGTCATATAAAAATTGCCCAAATAGCCATTATAAGAATTTATGGAAGGGTCCCTTTTTTATTGAATATGCTTGTTTTAAAAGTGGGTTCTGGGAACCTTACCCTATCATCTAGTTTAAAGGAGCACCCCTGCATGCAGCCATGTGTGGTGAGCTAGGCAGAGGAAACAGTGTAGTCTATCATGGCACCATCTGTGATAGGTTGGGCAGAGGAAACAACGTGGTCTATCTGTTCACTTCTGAAAAGCAACAGATTCTGAAAGGCGGCAATTAGGATCCAAGAAGAAGCATCAGCAAACAATAAAGAACACTTTTTCTAAGTTTGTTATTTTTTCAATCCATCCTTCATTCACTAAGCATATACTATGTGTCAAATCTTGTTCTGGGCACTAGAGATAAAACACTGAAAAGTGAAAGCAAAGCTCTTGAGATTCTTTACTTTAGCAGGGGCTGAGGAGAATGAATAAGCAAACAAATGAATCCAAGCTGATTCAGATAGTGAAGTGTTTTAAAGACAATGAAATAAGGGGATCCAACAGAAAAGAACTCGCTGGGGCAGATTAGATTGGGTGGTCAGATGAAGCCTTCTGAAAAGTGATATTTCCGGAGGCACTTATGTGATATTAAGGAGTCTGCTATGCAAAGATCTGGTGCACAGGATTCCCAACAGAAAGAACAGCAAATATTACAAGTTAGATTTCTTCAAGAAACCCAAATAAGCAGGTCTACATGGCTAAAACACACTAGCTATGATCTACAGAAGCGTGGTATAAGATAACTAGTTAGGGACAATACTATATAGAACCTTCCAGGCTGTCTTAAGAATTACAAATTGTGTTTGAAGTGCAATGAAAAAAAAAACTCATTTGAGCGTGTTAAGAAAGGGTATGACACAACCTGATTGTTTTTATTTATTTTTTATTTTTATATTTTTTGAGACAGAGTCTCACTCAGTCGCCCAGGCTGGAGTGCCGTGGCGCCATCTCGGCTCACTGCAAACTCCGCCTCCCGGGTTCACGCCATGTTCCTGCCTCAACCTCCCGAGTAGCTGCGACTATAGGCGCCCGCCACCATGCCCGCCTAATTTTTTGTATGAGTAGAGACAGGGTTTCACTGTATTAGCCAGGATGGTCTCGATCTCCTGACCTCGTGATCCACCTGCCTTGGCCTCCCAAAGTACTGGGATTACAGGCGTGAGCCACCGCGCCCGGCCTCTGATTGTTTTTAAAAGATCCTTCAGCTCTTAGTGTGTCCGGAATTGGTGGGTTCTTGGTCTCACTGACTTCAAGAATGAAGCCACGGACCCTCACGGTGAGTGTTACAGCTCTTAAGGTAGCGCGTCTGGAGTTTGTTCCTTCTGATGTTCGGATGTGTTCGGAGTTTCTTCCTTCTGGGGGGTTCGTGGTCTTGCTGGCTCAGGAGTGAAGCTGCAGACCTTCGCGGTGAGTGTTACAGCTCTTAAGTCAGCGCGTCTGGAGTTGTTCGTTCCTCCGGGTGGGCTCGTGGTCTCGCTGGTTTCAGGAGTGAAGCTGCAGACCTTCGCGGTGAGTGTTACAGCTCATAAAATCAGCGTGGACCCAAAGAGTGAGCAAGTAGCAAGATTTATTGCAAAGAGCAAAAGAACAAAGCTTCCACAGTGTGGAAGCAGACCGGAGTGGATTACCACTGCTGGCTCCAGCAGCCTGCTTTTCTCCTCTTATCTGGCCCCACCCTCATCCTGCTGATTGGTAGAGCCGAGTGGTCTGTTTTGACAGGGCGCTGATTGGTGCGTTTACAATCCCTTAGCTAGACACAAAGGTTCTCCAAGGCCCCACCAGAGTAGCTAGATACAGAGTGTCAATTGGTGCATTCACAAACCCTGAGCTAGACACAGGGTGCTGATTGGTGTGTTTACAAACCTTGAGCTAGATACAGAGCGCCGATTGGTGTATTACAATCCCTGAGCTAGACATAAAGGTTCTCCACGTCCCCAGCAGACTCAGGAGCCCAGCTGGCTTCACCCAGTGGATCCCGTACTGGGGCTGCAGGTGGAGCTGCCTGCCAGTCCCGCGCCCTGCGCCTACACTCCTCAACCCCTGGGTGGTCGATGGGACTGGGTGCCGTGGAGCAGGGGGTGGCGCTCGTCGGGGAGGCTCCGGCCGCAGGGGAGCCCATGGAGGGGGTGGGAGGCTCAGGCATGGCAGGCTGCAGATCCCGAGCCCTGCCCCGCGGGAAGGCAGCTAAGGCCCGGTGAGAAATCGAGCGCAGCGCCGGTGGGCTGGCACTGCTGGGTGACCCAGTACACCCTCCGCAGCCGCTGGCCCGGGTGCTAAACCCCTCATTGCCCGGGGTCGGCAGGGCCTGCCGGCTGCTCCGAGTGCGGGGCCCGCCAAGCCCACGCCCACCCGGAACTCCAGCTGGCCCGCAAGCGCCGCGCGCAGCCCCGGTTCCCGCTCGCGCCTCCCCCTCCACACCTCCTTGCAAGCTGAGGGAGCCGGCTCTGGCCTTGGCCAGCCCAGAAAGGGGCTCCCACAGTGCAGCGGTGGGCTGAAGGGCTCCTCAAGTGCCGCCAAAGCGGGAGTCCAGGCAGAGGAGGCGCCCAGAGCGAGCGAGGGCTGTGAGGACTGCCGGCACGCTGTCACCTCTCATTAGGAGGGTGTTGTTCGGGGTTGTGGAGGATAGAAATGAGCAGACAGAATAGGGGCTTTTGTGGTTGCCCAGGTGAGAGATGACAATAGCTTGGACTAAGGTTATGGCAGTAGAGAGGGAGCAAAGTAGATACCTTGGAAATATATTTTGGAGGTGAAGAAAACATGACTAATTAATTGAGTGCGGGGATGAAAGAAAGCAACAAAACGAGGATGACTTCTAAATTTTTGGAATGAACAACAGAGTAGAACAATTTGAGGAGGAACAGGTTTGGAGGGGGTGGATATCCGGAGTTCCGCTTCTGAGATGCCTGTTAACCATGATAATAATAGTATCTACCTTGTAGGGTTGTTGTGAACAACGAATACGAAATATGAGGAGAATTTAGATCTGTACCTAGCATGTAGTAATTGTTCAATAAATACCAGCTACGACAATTATTCCTCAAGTGGAGATGTAAAGGTAGTGAAGGACATAAGAGTTCTGTGTGAGGCCAGGACAGGACTGAAGACATAAATCTGAAAGTTATATAGGATTCAACGCTGCTCAAATCATTTTTGGTGAAGAACTTTTATCTTTATCCACCGCGAATCAATACTGCAGTGGACTAGCCGTGTTTGTCTCTCCAAAATTCGTATGTTCGCATTCTAACCCTCAAGATGATGATATAAAGAGGTGGAACCCTTGGAAGGTGGTTAGGTCATGAGGGTGGAGCCCTCATGAATGGGACTAGTGTCCTTATAAAAGAGACCCCAGAGAGCTCCCTTGCTCACTTCCACCACGTGAAGACACAGCAAGGAGTCAGCAGTTCATGAGCTCGGAATTGGGCCCTCACCAAATAAGGTATCTGCCTACATCTTGATCTTGGACTTCCCAGTCTCCAGAACTGTAAGAAATCAGTTTCTGTTGTTTATAAGCCATCCAGTCTATGGTATTTTGTTATAGCAGCCTGGAAGACAAAGACAAATACTTCTGTGAAATCCAACAAAAATGAAGACACTTTGAAGAGCACTAGTACTCAAAGCCATGGGAGGCCCTGGAGGAGGCCCTGAGACATATTTAACCCAAGTACCCGTGAGTCTATGAGGATGGAGGCACAGGAGAGTTCAGTAGGCTGAAATAACACAACGCTTGCTTACATGAACACACAAGGAAGGGGAACTCACACAGATTTACAAGTAATCTGTTTTAATTAGGTGTAAGAAAAAAAAGCCCATTCACTCCTGCAGGAACTCCCTCCTCTTCCCACAGATGTGGTATCTGAAGAGCAAGACACTGCTTCTCCACTTCCTCCGCACAAACACTTTAGTCTAATCATTGGAGATGCAATCTAGCGCTCGGGTTGCATTAAGTATCCCAAGCTCCTTCCCTACCAAGCTGGGCTCCACTTGGGCACAGAACGATTATCAGACCTGGTAACTACCAAGCTGTCCCCTAAGGATGCTCTAGGCCCCAAGCATCAGCACCTCCGTTAATAATTCTCCACTCTTGCCTTGTCATCGGCTTTTCTCACTCAAAACTCTGCTCCAGCGAGTGGTCCGGGCGCCTGAGGCAGCTGGCATGGGCTAGGCCAGAGAGCACCTGCACTGATTCTTAGGAGAAAAGGTCCTCTTTCTGGGCGAGGAAGTCAATAAAGTAAAGGACGCTTCATAAAGTCCTTCGGGAAGCAAAACTTGCTTAACTTCACACTTCCTTGAACCCCCACGCAGGGAATGCTTCCTCCGGGACCCGGAGCAGGCAGGCTGCTGTGCCTGGCAGGCCGGCTCCTGGGTGCAAGGCTCCCGCGCAGCCCAGGACAGCAGCGCGCGGGCTACGGGCGAGTGGAGTTGCAGGGGCCCGGGCGGAGAGCCGCTGTCACCCAGGGAAGCTCTCGGGACTCCGGGCCTCCCGCGAAGCTCCGGACGGGCGTCACCGAAGCCGAGAGTCCCGGCCGAGCCCCTCCGCACGGTGGGCGCCGCGCCCAGGCGAGCGCGCGAGGTCGGGCGGGGCCGGGGGCCGCCCGGGGAGGGGGCGGGGCCGGGACTCTCGCGGCCGCGCGCAGGGGCTGGGAAGCTGCCCCTCCGGCCGCGCCGGGCGAGGGGCTGCGCCGGCCCGCGAGGCGCATGCGCGCTGCCGAGCGGCTCTCGCTCCCTCCCCGCCCACCGCTCCCTCCTCCCCCTCCCCCTCCTCTGCATCCTCGCCGCTCTCCCTCTCTCCTCGCCCGCTGGGTGCTGAAGTTGGGCGGATGGCAGCAAACCGGCTCCGCTAGAGGACCGAGCCGCCCAGCCCCGCTCCCCCGGACCCATCGGCGCGCTGCCCACACCTCCAGGCGACCGGGTAAGACGCTGCCTCCAAAACAAGCGGTGCTAAGTAAATGACATCAAAATGTCTGCTTTGCACCAATGGATGGATTTTTTTCAAGGTAGGGGGGAGGTGAAGGAAGGAGGGGGCGGAGAGCGCGACCGCCCATGCCCCGGCGGGGGCGGCTGCGCGGCGCTGGGGTCTCAGCTGTGGCCGCGGCGCCCTGAGCGGGAGCGGGGGCCGCGCCGCGGGTCCGGGAAGTTGAATCCCGCGTCGCTGCCTGGACGCGGTCCGCTCGCCGCCCTCAGCTGCTGCAGGGAACCGGGCGAGTGTCCTGCCCGCCGGGGAACGCTCGGCCAGGTCCCAGAGTTCCCGCGGAGAGCGGGGCGCCTGCTGGGGGCGGCCGGGAGGGCCGGGCCAGGGGCGCGGGAGACCCCGCGGGGACGCGAGGTGTTGCGGGTTTTGTGCGGTTGGTTGGGAACGAGGAGAATGTGCCATCAACAGTGTCCAATCGACTGATCACCTTGGGTGCTGTGTTTCCTCCCTTATCTCTCTTTACCTTTGGGAAAATGCACTGCTCAGGTGGGGAAGGTGTTCGAAGAAGAGGTTGCGAAAATGAATCCTTTGACCAGCAGTAAAATACCGGAGGGGTGTGTGTGTGTGTGTGTGTGTGTGTATGTGTATGTATGTATAGGGGGTGGGGGGTCTCTTTTGTTCCTTCCCCTCCCCTTAGTCAAAGGAAAGGGAGTCCTGGCGTGTGCGGCGCGGGGTGGATTCCACAGCCACCGAGGGGGCGAGGACGAGGAACGCCCACCAACCGCGAGTCGCTGCCCGGGTGGGCGCATCGGAGCCTCCTTTGCTGTAGGTGATGGTGGTCTTTCCGTGATCGATGGAATCATAGTTTAATCTCTGCCTCCCCGCCAGCCTCCCTGCTGTCCCTCATCGAGTGCTGCGGCAGAGGCTGGGTGCAGACACGGCCGCTTTCTCCTCTTCTCTCTGCCTCCCTGTCTCCCTGAATAAATGCCGGAGGACTAGGGGATGGCGGAGGGACAGAGCTGGACTCGGAAGCCGCGGGTGGGAGCTGCTCCTCGCGAGCCCGAGGCTGCTGGCACCTTGTCGCGGGCAGCCCGCGCCAGCCTCGGGAGTCCCTGGGCTCCGGGAGAGCGAGCCGGGGTCGCCTGGCCACAAAGATGCCCGCGCGCCCGCCCTGCGTACGGGACCCGCCCTGCGCCCTGAGCCCTGCGCCTCGCCCGGAGCCCGGGACGTCGGTTCACGTGGGAGAACCCCTGTCGCCCGGGGACGATTGACCCTGGCTCCTGGCATAACTCTCCTGACCTCCCCTGACCTTTCCATAAATGCTTCTTTCAAAAGATTCACTATAAGATTTGTCTGGAGAACTTCACACTCTTCAGAGTTATTTCTTTCTTTTCTTAAATTGTTTTACGGCGAGATTCTCTCCAGCGTGGGATGGCTTTCACAAATAATAAAGAGAAATCTTAGTTTGGTTCCCATCTAGAATAAGCAGTTCTGAGGCTGGGTGCCATCTGCATTTCCGGCGTTCATACATACTGGTTTTCCGGGTGATGAACCCTTCTGAAAATCATTTAATTGAAGACGTGAGAATTGATTTTTATTAGTGTAGTGGAAAATAATGCTTTCCTCCTCGATTCACAACTGCCAGACGCTGCGTGTACGAAATAATTTGCAAACCGTGAAACATTTAAAGTACATTGTACTTGTTTCCGAAGTCTTCTGTAGTGAGAGTATTATCCAAGAAATATGCATTATAGCACTCCTATCTAATGGAAGGGTGATTTAATACAAATGAATGAGAAGTTTGACCTCCTCCAGTTGTTACTGTTGTTAAGCCATTTCTTCTGTTAACATGAACTAAAACAGTAATTAGCACACTCATGGGAGACTGGATTTATTCACTAGTTTTTATAGTCTTTTGAAACCCGCACTTAGAGCCACCATAGGAGAGTAGTTTATTTAGTTTGAGGTAACAAGAAAAGAAGTGTTCGTTATTACAAAAAGATTGAGTGGTATTACTTATTAAATAAGATAAATCTCCATGGCAATGACACGTGATCTCAGAGCCAGGGGCACTCATCCTTCCTCCTGAAATTAGTCTGAACGATTAAGAAAACCGTCGAATTTACAGAACAAATAACATAAGGTGTCTGTTATGCTGATTGATTTCGACCCTTTTTGCTATAGTTCCGCAACTACTCCTTGGCGTTTAGTCCCCACGGAAGGGAATTAACAAGGAGAGTTAATTTACTATCCTGTTCATTCTAAGGCAAACAGCATTTCCTTCTCAAATAGGTATCTCTTTGGTTGTAGGGCTCTTCCTCTGAGGTACTTATTTATTTGAATTCATCATGTTTAAGGTCTAAGTTCCTTATTCCTGTGACCATTTTATACTTTTGCATAATAATAAATAATAATAATAATAAACCTTCCTTAACATTTCCTACCACGAGGGCCACGGTCTTTGAAGAAAAGGAGAAATATATATTCTTACCCGTTTGATCTTACTGTAACAGCCAAGTAAAAGTGAAAATTTTAAATCTGAATTGATCAAAATTCTGGTTGACTTGCAGAGTAAAGTCTAAGAAAGATTTTACCTTTTAATCTAAAGCCGTAGAGATAATGGCCTTTGTGTCAGAAGTCCGTTTGCTAAAATACATGGGCTTTCCTGGAAAAGGAAGGTAGGCATGGATGATGAGGTACGATGCCAAGAGGGCTGGGAGTCCATTCAACCACATTTCTGCTGAGAATCCTGTTTCTGATACTCTCCAACTCTGCTTACTTAACACTGAGAATACTGCACTACCAAAGAGGGCAAATCGAAGGACCGCTATATACCCAGAGGTTGAGAATAATGCTATGTGATGTTAAAAGCATTTT
The DNA here is from genome assembly GCF_000001405.40 of Homo sapiens. NCBI lineage: Eukaryota > Metazoa > Chordata > Mammalia > Primates > Hominidae > Homo > Homo sapiens. Next base: position 153,128,246 of record NC_000006.12, on the reverse strand, counting down.
ATTTCACCTGATTGGTATAGTTAGAGTGTAAGTGTGAATGCATTGTGGAGGCGTAAAATTATATGACATTTCCAAGGGAGTGTCAAGGGTCCTCAGACAAATATATTTTTATGGAAAACCTTAAAATAATCCTTTGCTATAGGTAGCCAATAGGTAGCCAAGACTTTCAGTGTGAGATTGATGGATACTCCCACCTTCCTTCTCTCCCTACCCACACTTATCTCTGAAAAAAAGACACTTTCCTAACTTCCAAAGAAATTCATTTAGACGATCATTCCTGCTATTGTGCCAGCACCTGGCACAGTATGTGGCAAAGGCAGGTGTAAAATAATTTTTCCTAAATTAATAAATTTTGCAGGGTCGACATGGCTCGCAAAAGTCTTCCAAGGTAAGAATTGCATTTTTAAAATCAGCACTTACACTGTTTACCAAGTACACTAGTTGGGCTCCTAAAACTCGTGTTTATGGTCCTACATCTTTGGAGGAAGCAATTTTCAGAATTGTCGTTTTGGGAATATATATGTGTTTAATACAACATTTATATTACTGATTTGTTTCCCAATTATAAAAGCTCTATATTTGCTTATCTTAGATCCCCTACGATACAAAATTACCTATAGGCAGATATGGATGTGAAGAGCATGAATTTTGGGTCAAGCTGGCTTTAGCTTGTATTGTGGCTCCTCCCTTTAAAAACTTTATTGCTGTAGGCAAGTTACTAATCTGTCCTGAGCCTCAGTTTCCTCAGACATACAAGAGGGATGAAGGCAGGATGCAAGCATAAATACAATGCAATGTATATAAAGTACTGAACATAGTGCTTGGCATGTACTGAGTGCTTATAATTATCTCAATACCTAAAGAACTGCTATTGAAAACACAGCATGGTTTACCACAAGTTTATTTGCTTTATATAAACGTACCATTGTTTTAAGAATTTGAATCATATTCTAGAACAGGGGTCCCCAACCCCTGAGCTGCAGACGGGTACCAGCCCATGACTTGTTGGGAAGCCAGCAGCACAGCAGGAGGTGAGTGGCTGGTAAGTGAGCATTACCTCCTGAGCTCCTCCTCCTGTCTGATCAGCGGCTGGCATTAGATTCTCATAGGAGCGTGACCCCTATTGTGAGCTGCGCATGCAAGGAATTGAGGTTGTGCACTCCTTATGAGAATCTAATGCCTGATGAGCTGACGTGGAACAGTTTCATTCCAGAACTATTCCCCCACCCCCACTGCCATCCGTGGAAAAATTGTCTTCCATGAAACCGGTCCCTGGTGCCAAAAAGGTTGGGATGGCTGTTTTAGAACTTCATATTTCTAAAAAAATTAACATTCCTTTGTTGCTGTTTCTCAAGAAATTAAAATTGATATTTTTAATGCGATTTAGTGATATAGTTCACCTTATGAATGTCTTTATTTAGCCATTCTTTTATCTTTGGATTTTGATCCTCATGCCTAAATTTTGTATGCGTATCTCTATTGCAGTTTCTCCTTTGGGCACGATGCTTAGAACAGCTAGTTCTTGCCAACATAATGCCATTCTTTAAAAAATCTTTGCTAACTTGATAGGTGAAAATAATATTTTTCAAACTTTTATTTCTTTGGCTACCAATAAGACTGATTACTTTTTGACATACTGATAAGCAGTTTTTGTCTTTGAGGATGGCTCGTTCAAGTCTTTAGCCTGTGTTTCCACTGCTGTTCTGGTACATTTTTCTTATTTGTTTGAGTGCTAATATTAATTTTTTAAAAGGCAGAAGCAAACAAGGAAAGGAAATGCTCAGTGACAAAGATCACTGTGGCTAAACCAGAAAAGCTGGATCAGCCAGGGCATTGGGGTTCATCATATACTGCTACACCCCTGAGTTTTCCAACCTTTACACTTCTTTTTAGAAGTCCGGAATCAGTAAACAATTTGCTCACAAACACCTTACTATGAGAAGCTTGTGTCTGAAGAGTTCCCAGATAGTCGTGGATTGTTTCTGCCAGTTGCCAATGTTATGGAAGAACTTCTGAGTTTTTCTGAGATAAAGGGGTTGAAAGGAAAGATGGGAGTACATAGAGATCATAGGGACATTCATTTGATTTCTCATCAGAATGAGTCAGTTAAGCTAAATTATAAAACCATGTCAGGTTAGAATCATACCTTACTTCAACTACTAAGCTCTAGGTGAAATTTACACATGTTAAAAGTAAGAATTTAATGTGTTACCTTAACGAGCTCTGTATCTGCAATGTTTCACATGATTCAGTGGTCTTGTAAGCTCCTGTTTTTGACTTTTTAAGTTCTATAACTTTTGACAAATTTGGTTTCAAAAGTTTAATTATCTAGCTTGGAAAATCTATAAAGTCCTTAGGTATTAAACTATCTAGAAAGTATAAATGTTTTTGTTTTGTTTTTTGAGGCAGGGTCTCACTCTGTCACCCAGGCTGGAGTGCAGTGGCTCAGTCATGGCTCACTGTAGCCTCAACCTCCCTGGGCTCAGGTGATCTTGCCACCTCAGGAGCTGGGACTACAGGTGTGTACCACGACGCCCAGCTAATTTTTGTATTATTTGTAGAGTCGGGGTTTTGCTTGTCTTGAACTCCTGGGCTCAAGCAATCCACCCACCTCAGCCTCCCAAAGTGCTGGATTACAGGCGTGAGCCACTGCGCCCAGCTGAAAGTGTAAAATTTTATAATCATCAGTGGTACCAGTTTATCAAATACAGTAAAACCTGAGTAATTCAGAATTTATAATGATGGGAGGTCCCTATAGGAGAAGCAATGACCTATGGTGGAAAATAAAATCTATTTCAAATAGAAATGGATTTGAATTTTTACTCTACTATTTATTAGATATGCAGGCTTTTTCATGAAATTATAGAAGTATTTTATACTTAGTATTCTAGCATGATTAATAAATATCTAAAATCACTGAATTTCTTAAGCTTTGTATGTGAGATTTTTAAAAATTCCCTGTGTCAGTAAATATAATTCTATTGTAGTCAATGATTGTGGTTCACAAAGCAAATATTTACTTCCTTATCTTGGGTCACAGGCTTTTCACAGTACAGTACTGCTGATTGGCTGTTGAAATACACAGGTTATAATTCAAGAGCCATGGCATTACAGTAAAACAGACACAACCTGGGGGAAATTATGACATAAATGGAATGAGCAGGTGAGTGTTTATTTCATTTTAAAAATTTTCTTGAATCTTCCCAATAATATAGTGAGTTAAATCCAGTGAAGTCTCTTGTGAAAGTTGTCACTTTCTCTATTTTCCAGTCTCTATGAAAGGTGGGAGCCTGTTATTTTGGTGTATTTATGATAAGTCATGTAATCTACAGATTTTATGAGTCAGTTTTGGCTCTTGGTAGACGACCCTATGTCCACGTCCTATTACCCTAAACTCTCCTATTTTTTCAGGATTTGATTAATCAAACTCAACAAATATTTGAAAGTTTGCTATTTGAAACACAGCAATCCATATTATTTAATTCACATGAAGTAAAAAAGCTTATGGAAAATTGCCCTTAAAAGAAGGAGACTTTAAAAGCAGAGAATGTAATTTGGTGGAAAGAGCCCAGGTTTTAGATTCAAATAACCAGGGATTTAGCCTTCACTTCTTTGAGCCTTAGTATCATTATCTGTAAAACTGAAGACAATTTAAAAATGTTAAAGGATTAAAAGAAATTATGTCTATAAAATCTTTCATATATTGGTACTCAGTATGGAAGTGTTAGGTATTGTATTAGACTTAATAAATCAAAATAGGTACAAGAAACATCATGTAAACAATAAGGGCTTGAAGGGGTTTTAATTTCGTGCCAGTATTTGTCTTAACTAATTGGTCCTTATTAATGTTTAGGTTGTTCTCCATGTATTTCGTGTGTTATCCTTTCCTGACTAGTTTGTTTCACCAACCTGCTTACAAACATATTTGAGCACCCACTATGTGCTAGGCTGTGTGATATTTTTGGATACAAAGATTAATTAAACGTGGCCCCTTTCCACAAGGAGTTCACATATAAGCTTCTTCAAGTTATTTTTCTTTTATCTAGTGAGTACTGGTCATTCTAAGCTTTGAAGTCATAGCTAAATACAACATGGGAGTAATAGGCAATGATTTCCTTAGGGTTTAGCAATAGACCAATTGATCTCAAAATTTAGGAGCCTCTACAACTAATGTTCAAGCAAGCTGCTAAGCAGAGACTCAGAGATAAGGGGAAGAAAAGCAGGAAGTGGCTCTGTTGGTGGATGATTTAACAACCTCCACCATAGTATCAGAACAACAACAGACTGGAGGCTTAACCCTCTTTGTGAACCGACCTCAACACCCAATTCCTTCTCATTGAAATAAAGAAAATGTGTACATACATCTGTACTATGCCTTTTCCCCTCTCACTTGTAGGCTACCCTGCGTAATCATTGTAATGTAAGATATTCTAAAACGCTGGTGTAGGGGATGAACAAAAGGGAAGGAGAGTGAGATCCCTGCCCTTCTTCCGGGTCCACATTTCCCATGCACTAGCAATATTTTAGAATTTTTTCCTGATACTGCTGCAGTTCCATCTTTGATTACAATCTGTTTATAATATAGTACCTTGACCAAAACCCCAGAATCCTCAGTTTGGATGAAGAATAAATACATTTAAGTTTGAGAAAGAAAACCATCTCCAATATCAACTTGTTAAAATCACTAGGGCAATTTCTAAATCTAGCAGTTAGATTTGCTCCGATCTGGAAAGATTTTGTATGATTTATAAGATCAGAGTGAAGACTTCAAACCCGTTCTAGAAATATGTGATGAATAGATAGTTAATATATCTAAGTATGGAAATGAAAGACATTGACATTAGGAATGAATTAACTTGAAGGTAAGCTCAGCACTCCTGTCAGCCACTACATTTAACATTCTTGTCATTAAATCTTTGACCGGGCTCTTAATAAGTAAAAATGTATGCTAATGTAAGATTTGAACCTATTTCTTTCTCAATTTATTGCCACTCAGCACTACCATACAGTAATTTACCTGTGACCTATGAGTTTAGTATGATCAAAATTCACTAGATAAAAGCAAAGGAAAACTAGTGTCTTTTATTAGGGCACTAAGGCATAGACATGCTATAAAGCAATACAATGACCTATATAATTTACAAACTATTATGATTAACTGAATGCCGTGTTGTGAATTGGAGTATTAAATACTCCAATTTACTCCAGTGTACATTGGAGTATTAAATACTCCAATGTACTCTGATGTACTCCAATGTACTCCAATGTACATTGGAGTATTAAATACTCCAATTTACTCCAATGTACATTGGAGTAAAAGGCTTCATTGTGAATTGGAATACTAACATTTTCCCTACCTACTGTTTGGGTGAGGCTTGACATTTGATTTTCCCCACACTCTCTTATGATTATTATTGTTATTAGTATTTCTAAATAGATAAATTGAGGAGAAAGGAGCATCTTTGCTTTTCATACATCTAATAGTTCATAGAAAAATAGGTGTTTACTCATATTTTATGTAATTTTAGGATATTTACATAATTTTGTTGCCTGAAATTTAAAACATATCAAGAGCTCAAATGTTCTATCTGCCAGGAAAAAACAAACAAACAAAAAACCCTACTGTCTTATTTTCTTCTGGTAGGAATAAACTGCCCTGATTGTAATTTCTATGCTAGTTTATCAGTAAATAATATTGGCAATTTTGACTCAAGCTATTGGAGTCCATGTTTTCTTCATCTACTCAAGTCCAGTAACTTCAATTTTCACTGATGAAGAAACATTTTAAACTAAATTACTTTCAGTAAATTCAATGTCTAATGACCCACCTATGTTTATATAAATGATGGATTTAGTTGAAAGTTACATTTATTTATCATTTTGAGTACTCAAAACCAAACAATAGAGAAATCCTTCCCACACTGGAATTGTCTCCAAAATGTAATATTTTGAAAAGATGATTTTATGTGTCAATGTATGCATATATGTATGTTTCCCCTTTTATTTATGGGAAACAACTGATATGGTGCCTACGTAATCATAGCCAAATATTCAGGAAGAAAGGATACATACTTGAGAATAGAGGGGGAGGCACAAATGAGATGAGAAGGAGAGTCAAGTAAAAAGCAGGAAGGCTGGGCTCAGAAAACAAGACTATTAGTTAAAAACTCATTATATCTTAAAGTATAATATCATTCAATACGTTATTATGTAACTCTGCTATATTATGTAACCACTTCCAGTTTTGTGAATTCATGTGACCTAATCTTAAGAAGGTAATTTTTTCCCATTAATTCAGTAATTTCATTGACTGAACATCTGGGTAATGCAAGTGGGGTTTCGTAAGGTAGAATTCCATTAAATAAATGTTAATTCCAGGAAGGAAAAAATGTGAAGCCCTTTTCTTGACCTAACATAGGTTATGTTAAATAGTTTAAAATTCTCGTAGGTGATACTGAAATTCAATCACATTGATAAAGAATCTATTCCCAAGTTTTCTTTCTAAATGCAACTATTTCGAGTACATCTTATATAAAATCAACTGTATCTTTGTGATGTAAAGACCTTTATGTCTTGTTTCAAAATAACAGCAGTGAATAAATGTGTATGATAAGCTTTTTATTTTTATTGAGCAACAGGACATTGCAATGACTTAATATCTAAAATATTTATTAAGACTTTGGGGGAGTAACAAGTGAGCTTGGAAAAGCTTGTCTGCTCATTGCCACTGAGATTATTTTTAAGAGAATGTGGATTTATGGCTTAGTAGGATCACTGAATGTAGTTACTCAGTGAGGTGGCTGATTGCAACCAAAATCAACTTTGGCACTTGGTGTGCTGGCCTCTGACTGTTGCCCCCAAGAGAGTTCTAGTCTGGTTAGATTTTAGGGAAAAAGAAATAGGTTATGTTCCTGAAAGTAGAGTTCAGAGGATACAGTCTAAAATGTTATGTTAGAGAGAGGCAGCAACAAAGGAAAGAGAGAAAAGTCTTTCGGTGCATTGGTAAATACAGCCTGTGTGGGTCTGAATTTCCAAGTGTTTGCATTAGATTTCCAAGTTTTCTTTAGTTTCTGCTACTCATCAGTTTTACCTCTTCTGTTTTCTGCCTCCTTTTTCTTAATTAATGTGCTGTGTAATTCAATCCTTACTCTGTACCAAAGAATAGCAAAATTAAAAAAAAAAACATGAACAAGTCTGAGGGAGCCTAAAGAATAAAGAGATAAGACCTATATGTAAATTTCTGTTATTATTATATTCTAGGAGAGAACTAAAATGCTGTGAGAACTCAGCAGCATGAGATTAATTTTAAATGGCTAGACCAGGATCTGGCAAAAGTGTCATAGAGGTTGTGACATTTTCTCGGATTATTGAAAGATAGAATTTTGACAGACAAAGAAAGGTGTCTCCAGGCTCAAAAACAATGTAAATAAAGATAGATGCAGAATCAGGAAAATTAAAACCATTTTGTGCACAATATTTCAAAAGCATACAGTACTCGCAGGAAATCACTAGATGATAAGGCTAAAAAAGAAGACATATACTGGCAGCTGCTAATATCAGAGTAAAAAGGTGGAATTTTCCTTGCTAGGCAGAGTGCTGCTGAAGCTCTCTAAGCGGAGGATTACCGGGCGGGAGCTGTGCTATGGGACAGGCGCTTCATCAGTCCATGCAGGGGGGCGGTCAAGGGAAGTAGGAACACCACAATTTCAGCTGTCCAGGTGAGAGAAGAGGCCTAAACTGAGAAACAGCAAAAGGCAGGGTCCATGGGAAGATGATGATGTGAGAAAATGTTTGAGTCAGAGCCTTCAAGACTTGGTGAACAAAAAGATCTAGAAGATGTAAGAGGAGCTATAAAGCTGTCAGGGAGCATTTTAGCCTATGAGTCTGGGAAATAAGGATGTCATAAGACATGGACAAGTCAAACTCATGAAGAGGTTAGTGAGGAAATAAGTTGAGTTCAGTAGTTTGACATAGCCATCAGAATTCTTGCAGATGTTTAGCACGCCATTGATTAAAAAGCCTCAGGGATATTATTTGATTAAGTAGGAAGTAACAAGTATGATCTTAGGCTATGTCAGTAGAGCCATATAGCGTCCAGAATGAAGTTGGCAATCGTTACGTTCTATTCTGCATATCCAAGTCACAATTGCAATGTTATTTTGAACTTATTTTTGACACCATGGTTAGAGGTCAAGAATATAGGTGGTGAAATTCACTTACAAAACAAAATAATTTGTGTGAGACATGGTTGGAGGAATTTGTACTTTCTTAACCTGGAAGACAGTGGTTTCCCTGGAAGATATGTGTGTTTCACCATTTGGAGAAAAGCCGTGGAAAAAGATTATACATTCTAAATTGTCCCAATGATATGATGAAAATAATAAAACCACCTTGCAGAGTTGTGGAGAGATAATATGTGCAGTGCCCCTGGAACACATTTCATATTCAATGTGTCTTAGCTCTTATTGTTACCTTAGGAATAGCATTAGAATCAGCGGACATGTATCACAAAGATGTTGCCATCCTATTGGAAATAACCGTTTTTTCTTTTTTGAGATGGAGTCTTGCTCTTGTTGCCCAGGCTGGAGTGCAATGGCGTGATCTCGGCTCACTGCAACCTCCACCTCCCGGGTTCAAGCAATTCTCCTGCCCCAGCCTCCAAAGTAGCTGTGATTACAGGTGCCCACCACCACAGCCAGCTAATTTTTTTTGTATTTTTAGTAGAGACAGGGTTTCACCAGGTTGGTCAGGCTTGTCTCAAACTCCGACCTCAGGCGATCCACCCGCCTCAGCCTCCCAAAGTGCTGGGATTACAGGCATGAGCCACTGCGCCCGGCTTGAAATAACTTTTAAGAGTCATAGCCAGCTGGTTAGGTAAGCTGCCTTGAAAGGTAGCAAGTTTAATGTCACTGAAAAAATGTAGGGTGGACAAATACTTGGCAGAGATGTCATGGAGGAAACTCAATGACTGGGAGGGTGAATGAACTACAAGGCCTCATTCTAACTCTGAGGTCCAGATGGTACCAGAGAATTTGGACTGCAAACCCAAGAGAATGACTAGAGCTAGAAATAAAACTTGAAAGTCTTTTACATACAGGTAACAATAGTAGAAAAGTGTCAAAGGAGAGAGAGCAGAGAGCAGGTGAGCTTAGAATAGAATCCTGGAGCATATCTGCATGAATGGGCATGTGGAAAAAGAAGGAAACTAAATATATACACATGCATACATACATGTATACATGCATATATTCATATATGTACACATTCATACATAAGATAGGATAAAAATGTGTTATAAAGAGAATGAAGACACTGTAATATGCCATAAAACCGAGGATGTGGAGATTTTTTTTACCAGTTTTATTCATATGTATAATAATCCTACACCAAAGATTAGAAAGAAGATCAGTGAGTTATGTCATGTGGCAGAAAGGGTGAGTAAGATCAAGACCAGGATGACACATCAGATTTTGCAATGAGGAAGTTACTTGTGATTGTTAAAAGCACTTGGTGATTAATGATTTATACATCATCTATTTCCAAAAAGTTTGGGGCAGCTTAAATAAAAGCACTTTCACACAAGGCAGTAAAAACAAAATAAAGATGAGAAACCATCAAGAGAAATAAATGGGGGAAATAGTGAATGTACCACAAAACCTGGGTAAGATCATTTTTGTAATAGGAGCACTACGTTTTAGCTATGTGGTTCCTGGCAGCCAAAATAAAAGGATAACAGGAAAGATTACCTATAATTCATTGGTTAACGAAGGAAAACAGATCTTCAGAAGAATTTTTGTTTCCTGGCACTAAATTCTATGAGGAGTATATCCCATACATTCTTAGATAAGAGACAGTGACATGTTAGACAATGTGATGAACAGTGGTTCTGCTGAAGATGCAGGTTTGCTTTAAGTTGCTGTTTCTTTAAGGCCTTGAAGGTCAAGTGTGCAATATTAAGATGAGGTTGGTAAAAGCCAATAAGGCAGTAATATTTCTTGTGGGCATAGACCAGATGGGCATCTGAATACTCCTGGGTGTGAAAAATCAGCATAAGAGAGCATTAGGGAAGAGGACATCCAAGAGAGGAGATGCAAGGATAGTTCCATGAACGTGAGGAGAGACAGCACCAAGTGCCCTGCAACCTCCTTTCCTTGGCACTTGCCACTCCCTCTGCCTAACAAGCTGTCCCCCAGTCTTTCTCATCATTCAAGTTTCCATTCAAATGTCACCACTTCAAAGAGACTCTAAGAACTGTCTTCCTAATGTGGTCCCTTCTTCATCCCTCCTCATATCTCTCACTCTCTAACAATAATCCATTTTATTTAACAGTATTTACTGCTCTGTTAAATTATTGTATTTATTATTAGTCTCCCTCATTCCAGAAACTAGAATGTAAGCTAGTACACCAAGCAGTGCCAGTGATTGATATGTTGAAGGAATGAATGTTTTATGAATGGGAAAGAACTCAGCTCAGTACTGATGTGATAATAAATAGGATGGTAGTATTGGGCATGGAGTAAATGCTTCCTAAAATGTTAGCTGAGAAGAAGATGATAATTATGATAAGGACATAATTTTGTCCTGAGAATATCAAGAACACTGGGGTTTGGAGGAAGAGCACATATTCTCTGTATACTTTTCTGTCCACTCACAAGGTGCAGGAGTACTAATATTAATGGTACTAATATGAATTGATCATGATTATAAGGGGCGGAGCCTAAGTGGGAAGAGTACAAAGAGTCCTATATCATGGCAAACCCCTTTTCCTCTCATATTGGATGAGATTGTTTGATAGTGCCTGATATGGTTAGGCTTTGTGTCCCCACCCAAATTTCATCTTGATTTGTAATTCCCATAATCCCCACGTGTTTAGGGAGAGACCTGGTGGGTGCTGATTGGATCATGGGGGCGGTTTTCCCCATGCTGTTTTCATGATAGTGAATGAGTTCTCACAAGAGCTAATGGTTTTATAAGAGGCTCTTCCCCTTTCACTCTCATTCTTCTCTCTCCTGCTGCCATGTGAGAAAGTCCAAGCTTGCTTCCCCTTCACCTTCCGCCATGATTGTAAGTTTCTTGAGGCCTCCCCAGCCATGCAGAACTGTGAGTCAATTAAATCCCTTTCCTTTATAAATTACCCAGTCTCGGGTATTTATATTTTTTCTTTTTTTAAATTATTATACTTCAAGTCCTGGGATACATGTGCAGAACATGCAGGTTTGTTACATAGGTATGCACGTGCCATGGTGGTTTGTGGCACCCATCAACCCCTTATCTACATTAGGTATTTCTCCTAATGCTACCCCTCCCCTAGTCCCCCACCTCCTGACAGGCCTTGGTGTGTGATGTTCCACTTCCTGTGTCCATGTGTTCTCATTGTTCAACTCCCACTTATGAATGAGAACATGTGGTGTTTGGTTTTCTGTTCCTGTGTTAGTTTGCTGAGAATGATGGTTTCTAGCTTCATCCATGTCCCTGCAAAGGACATGAACTCATCCTTTTTTATGGTGGCTTAGTATTCCATGGTGTATATATGCCACATTTTCTTTATCCAGTCTGTCATTCATGGGCCTTTGGGTTGGTTCCAAGTCTTTGCTATTGTGGAAAGTGCTGCAGTAAACATACATGTGCATGTGTCTTTATAGTAAAATGATTTATACTCCTTTTGGTATATACCCAGTAATGGGATTGCTGGGTCAAATGGTATTTCTGGTCCTAGTTCCTTGAGGAATTGGCCACACTGTCTTCCACAATGGTTGAACTAATTTACACTCCCACCAACAGTGTAAAAGCGTTCCTATTTCTCCACATCCTCTCCAGCATCTGTTGTTTCCTGACTTTTTAATGATCACCATTCTAACTGGCGTGAAATGGTATCTCCTTGTGGTTTTGATTTGCATTTCTCTAATGACCAGTGATGATGAGCTTTTTTTCATGTGTTTGTTGGCTGTGTAAATGTCTTCTTTTGAGAAGTGTCTGTTCATATCCTTCACCCACTTTTTGATGGGGTTGTTTGCTTTTTTCTTGTAAATTTGTTTAAGTTCCTTGTAGATTCTGAATATTAGCCCTTTGTCAGACAGACAGATTGTAAAAATTTTCCCCCATTCTGTAGGTTGCCTGTTCACTCTGATGATAGTTTTTTTGCTGTGCAGAAGCTCTTTAGTTTAATTAGATCCCATTTGTCAATTTTGGCTTTCATTGCCATTGCTTTTGGTGTTTTACTCATGAAGTTTTTGCCCATGCCCATATCCTGAATGGTATTGCCTAGGTTTTCTTCTAAGGTTTCTACAGATTTAGGTTTTACGTTTAAGTCTTTAATCTATCTTTAGTTAATTTTTGTATAAGGTGTAAGGAAGGTGTCCAGTTTCAGTTTTCTGCATATGGCTAGCCAGTTTTCCCAACACCATTTATTAAACAGGGAATCCTTTCCCCATTGCTTGTTTTTCTCAGGTTTGTCAAAGATCAGATGATTGTAGATGTGGCATTATTTCTGAGGCCTCTGTTCTGTTCCATTGCTCTATATATCTTCTTTGGTAGCAGTACAATGCTGTTTTTGTTACTGTAGCCTTGTAGTATAGTTTGAAGTCAGGTAGTGTGATGCCTCCAGCTTTGTTCTTTTTGCTTAGGATTGTCTTGGCTATACGGGCTCTTTTTTGGTTCCATATGAAATTTAAAGTAGTTTTTCCTAATTCTGTGAAGAAAGTCAATGGCAGCTAGATGGGGATAGCATTGAATCTATAAATTACTTTGGGCAGTATGGCTGTTTTCACGATATTGATTTTTCCTATCCATGATCATGGAATGTTTTACCATTTGTGTCCTCTCTTATTTCCTTGAGCAGTGGTTTGTAGTTCTTGAAGAGGTCCTTCACATCCCTTGTAAGTTGTATTCCTAGGTATTTTATTCTCCTTGTAGCAATTGTGAATGGGAGTACACTCATGATTTGGCTTTCTGTTTGTCTATTATTGGTGTATAGGAATGTTTGTGATTTTTGCACATTGATTTTGTATCCTGAGACTTTGCTGAAGTTGCTTATCAGCTTAAGGAGATATTGGGCTGAAATGATGGGGTTTTCTAAATATACAATCACGTTATCTGCAAACAGAGACAATTTGACTTCCTCTCTCCCTATATGAATATCCTTTATTTTTTTTCTCTTGCCTGGTTGCCCTGGCCAGAACTTCCAATACTATGTTGAATAGGAGTGGTGAGAGAGGGCATCCTTGTCTTGTGCCAGTTTTCAAAGGGAATGCTTCCAGCTTTTGCCCATTCAGTATGATATTGGCTGTGGGTTTGTCATAAATAGCTCTTATTATTTTGAGATACGTTCCATCAATACCTAGTTAATTGAGAGTTTTTAGCATGAAGGGGTGTTGAATTTTATTGAAGGCCTTTTCTGCATCAATTGAGATAATCATGTGTTTTTGGTCATTGGTTCTGTTTATGTGATGGATTGCATATATTGATTTCCATATGTTGAACTAGCCTTGCATCCCAGGGATGAAGCTGTCTTGATCATGGTGGATAAGCTTGTTAATGTGCTGCTGGATTCAGTTTGCCAGTATCTTATTGAGGATTTTCGCGTCGATGTTCATCAGGGATATTGGCCTGAAATTTTCTTTTTGTTGTGTCTCTGCCAGGTTTTGGTATCAGGATGATGCCAGCCTCATAGGATGAGTTAGGGAAGATTCCTTCTTTTTCTGTGGTTTGGAATAGTTTCGGAAGAAATGATATCAGCTCCTCTTTGTATCTCTGGTAGAATTCAGCTGTGAATCCATCTGGTCCTGGGCTTTTTTTGGTTGGTAGGCTATTAATTACTGCCTCAGTTTCAGAACTTACTATTGGTCTATTCTGGGATGAGACTTCTTTCTGGTTTAGTCTTGGGAGGGTTTATGTGTCCAGGAATTTATCCATTTCTTCTACATTTTCTAGCTTATTTGTGTAGAGGTGTTTATAGTATTCTCTGATGTAGTTTGTATTTCTGTGGGATCAGTGGTGATATCCCCTTAATCATTTTGTATTGTGTCTATTTGATTCTTCCCTCTCTTCTTCTTGATTAATCTGGCTAGCAGTCTATCTATTTTGCTAATCTTTTAAAAAAACCAGTTCCTGGATTCATTGATTTTTTTGAAGGGGTTTTTGTGTCTCTGTCTCCTTCAGTTTTGCTCTGATCTTAATTCTTTCTTATCTTTTGCTAGCTTTTGAATTTGTTTGCTCTTGCCTCTCTAGTTCTTTTGATTATGATGTTAGGGTTTTGATTTTAGATCTTTCCTGCTTTCTCCTGTGGGCATTTTAGTGCTATAAATTTCCCTCTAAACACTGCTTTACCTGTGTCTCAGAGATTCTGGTACTTTGTGTCTTTGTTCTCATTGGTTTCAAAGAACTTATTTATTTCTGCCTTAATTTCATTATTTACGCGGTAGTCTTTCAGGAGCAGGTTGTTCAGTTTCCATGTAGTTGAGCGGTTTGGAGTGAGTTTCTTAATCCCGAGTTCTAATTTGACTGGACTGTGGTCTAGAGACTGTTTGTTATGATTTCCATTCTTTTGCATTTGCTGAGGAGTGTTTTACTTCCAATTATGTGGTCAATTTTAGAATAAGTGCAATGTGGTGCTAAGAAGAATATATATTCTGTTGATTTGGGGTGGAGAGTTCTGTAGATGTCTATTAGGTCCACTTGGTCCAGAGCTGAGTTGAAGTCCTGAATATCCTTGTTAATTTTCTGTCTCGTTGATCTGTCTAATATTGACAGTGGGGTGTTAAAGTCTCCCACTATTATCGTTTGGGAGTGTAAGTCCCTAATAGGCCTCTAAGAACTTACTTTATCAATCTGGGTGCTCCTGTATTGGGTGCATATGTATTTAGGATAGTTAGCTCTTCTTGCGGCATTGATCCCTTTACCATTATGTAATGCCCTTCTTTGTCTTTTTTTATTTTTGTTGGTTTAAAGTCTGTTTTATCAGAGACAAGGATGGCCAACCCTGCTTTTTTTTCTTTTTCTTTCCCTTTGCTTGGTAAATATTCTTCCATTCCTTTATTTTCAGCTTATGTGTGTCTTTGCACATGAGATGGGTCTCCTGGATACAGCACACTGTTGGGTCGTGATTCTTCATCCAATTTACCAGTCTGTGTCTTCTAATTGGATGGA
Source organism: Homo sapiens (assembly GCF_000001405.40). Lineage (NCBI taxonomy): Eukaryota > Metazoa > Chordata > Mammalia > Primates > Hominidae > Homo > Homo sapiens. The sequence continues at coordinate 153,113,102 of NC_000006.12, read as the reverse complement.
GCATTTAGCCCATTTACCTTTAAGATTAATATTGATATATGTGAATTTGATTCTGTCATTATGATGCTAGATGGTTATTTTGCCTGTTAGTTGATGCAGTTTCTTCATAGTGTTGATGGGCTTTACAATTTGGTATGTTTTGCAGTGGCTGGTACTGGTTTTTCCTTCCCATATTTAGTGCTTCCTTCAGGGACTCTTGTAAGGCAGGTCTGGTGGTGACAAAATCTCTCAGCATTTGCTTGTCTGTAAAGGATGTCATTCTCCTTTGCTTATGAAGCTTAGTTTTGCTGGATATGAAATTCTGGTTTGAAAATTGCTTTCTTTAAGAATGTTGAATATTGGCACCCACTCTCTTCTGGCTTGTAGGGTTTCTGCAGAGACATCTGCTATTAGTCTGATGGGCTTCCCTTTGTGGGTAACCCGACCTTTTTCTCTGGCTGCCCTTAACATTTTTTCCTTCATTTCAACCTTGGTGAATCTGACGATTAGGTGTCTTGGGGTTGCTCTTCTCGAGGAGTATCTTTGTGGTGTTCTCTGTATTTCCTGAATTGGAATGTTGGCTTGTCTTGATAGGTTGGGGAAGTTCTCCTGGATAATATCCTGAAGAGTGTTTTCCAACTTGGTTCTATTCTCCCTGTCACTTTCAGGTACACCAATCAAACGTAGATTTGGTCTTTTCCATAGTCCCATATTTCGTGGAGGCGTTATTCATTCATTTTCATTCTTTTTTCTCTAATCTTGTCTTCAGGTTTTATTTCATTAAGTTGATCTTCAATCTCTGATATCCTTTCTTCGCTTGATCAATATGGCTATTGATTCTTGTGTATGCTTCACAATGTTCTCATGTTGTTTTTCAGTGCCATCAGGTCACTTTCGTTCTTCTCTAAAATGGTTATTCTAGTTAGCAATTCCTGTAACCTTTTTTCAAGGTTCTTATATTGGGTTAGAACATGCTTCTTTAGCTGAGAGGAGTTTGTTATTACACACCTTCTGAAGCCTACTTCTGTCAATTCGTCAAACTCATTCTCCGTCCAGTTTTGTTCCCTTGCTGGTGAGGAGTTGTGATCCTTTGGAGGAGAAGAGGCTTTCTGGTTTTTGGAATTTTCAGCCTTTTTGCACTGGCTTTTCCTCATCTTTGTGGATTTATCTACCTTTGGTCTTTGATGTTGGTGACCTTCGGATGGGGTTTGTGTGGACGTCCTTTTTGTTGATGTTGATGCTATTCCTTTCTGTTTGCTAGTTTTGCTTCTAACAGTCAGGCCCCCCTGCTGCTGGAGTTTACAGGAGGTCCACTCCAGACCCTGTTTGCCTGGGTATCACCAGCAGAGGCTGCAGAACAGCAAAGATTGCTGCCTGTTCCTTCCTCTGGAAGCTTTGTCCCAGAGGGGCACCCACCAGATGCCAGCTGTAGCTCTCCTGTATGAGGTGTCTGTCAACCCCTGCTGGGAGGTGTCTCCCAGTCAGGAGGCATGGGGGTCAGGGACCCACTTGAGGAGGCAGTCGGTCCCTTAGCAGAGCTCAAGTGCTGTGCTGGAAGATCTGCTGCTCTCTTCAGAGCTGGCAGGCAGGAACATTTAAATCTGCTGAAGCTGCACCCACAGCCACCCCTTCCCCCAGGTGCTCTGTCCCAGGGACATGGGAGCTTTATCTATAAGCCCCTGACTGGGGCTGCTGCCTTTCTTTCAGAGATGCCCTGCCCAGAGTGGAGGAATCTAGAGAGGCAGTCTGGCTACAGCGGCCTGGCAGAGCTGTGGTGGGGTCAGCCCAGTTTGAACTTCCTGGCGGCTTTGTTTAGACTGTGAGGGGAAAACTGCCTACTCAAGCCTCAGTAATGGCGGACGCCCCTCCCCCGACTAAGCTCGAGCATCCCAGCAAGTTCAGACTGCTGTGCCGGCAGCAAGAATTTCAAGCCAGTGGAGCTTAGCTTGCTGGGCTCCGTGGGGGTGGGATCCGCTGAGCTAGACCACTTGGCTCCCTGGCTTCAGCCCCCTTTCCAGGGGAGTGAACAGTTCTGTCTCACTGGCATTCCAGGCACTGCTGGGGTATGAAAAAAAAAAACACTCCTGCAGCTAGCTTGGTGTCTGCCCAAATGGCTGCCCAGTTTTGTGCTCGAAACCCAGGGCCCTGGTGGTGTAGGCACCTGAGGGAATCTCCTGGTCTGCGGGTTGTGAAGACCGTGGGAAAAGTGTAGTACCTAGGCCGGAGTGCACCATTCCTCACAGCACATTTCCTCATGGTTTCCCTTGGCTAGGGGAGGGAGTTCCCCAACCGCTTGCGCTTCCCTGGTGAGACGATGCCCTATCCTGCTTCGGCTCGCCCTCTGTGGGCTGCACCCACTGTCTAAGCAGTCGCAATGAGATGAGCTGGGTACCTCAGTTGGAAATGCAGAAATCACCTGCCTTCTGCGTTGATCTCACTGTGACCTGCAGACTGGAGCTGTTCCTATTTGGCCATCTTGCCAGCCACCAGGTATTTCTTTATAGCAGTGTGAAAACAGACTAATATAGTGCCCATTTAAATTTTGGAGACTATCTGTGCTATTATTGCATTAATAATGTCGCAGGGTTCTTTCTAAGAGTCATTAGTCAATGCATCCTTTTATGACCCTTCCTGGTAGCTAAAAACAAAACCCTTATTATATTGAAGTGTGTGTGTGTGTGTGTGTGTGTGTGTGTGTATGTTGGCAGTAAAGAGTCCATCAAAATTGCCTAAAGTATAAAGCAAGTTGCTGACATACAAATGTAAAAGCAGAGGTGCTGGTAGAGAGAAGCTCATCAGAATTGAAGAGGAAACTAGAACCAGGAAAGGAAAGACTGGAGATAGACTAGGAAGTGAGCCAAACATCTCTTTGAATGTGGACTCGTTGTTTAAAAGAACTACGGAGAGGAGAAGAGTAACTAGAGGAAACTTAACAGCAGCCTGAGGTGGGTAGTAGAACCAAACAAAACTCTCTTGACACTGATTTTGGGTCTATGGAGCTTCTTGGCCGTGAAAAGCAAAATTATCAATGGAGAAGGGTCAGGAAAAATACCATGGTATTTCCTAGAATATCAATTGTATTCATTCTTGAGAAATTTAAAATGTTTCCATATCAAAGTAAAAACAAATATTAGGAAACAGTATATCATTTTTATGGATTCATTTGTTTATCTATTTGTATGTTTTTTAGGTTAGATCTCATGTTTGGAAGAAATTTTGATTATTCAGGCACCATGTTGGGCTTTGCCTCAGGGCCCCAGGGGGCAAGTTTGCAGTTTAGAGATAGTGGAATTTCCCCAAGGTTCCGGACAAGCAAAAGGTTTTAGACTCATATAGCATGATAAGTTTAAATGGCACCCTGACACTCTCCAAGTCCATGGGTCCTTTTTTTCCTCATCTCCTTATCTCTAATATTTTAACTCCTAACCAGAAGAAAGATGTTGTGAGACAAATGTTACAAATTGTTTTTTTCTAATGGCTTTACTTGAAGCATCTGAAATGATAAAAAGTATTTACAGCTTTGCAAAGGACAGATTAAAATACAATCTAATTTTCCTTCCATGCTGAAAGAGGAGGTTTGATCGTGATATTGTCTGTATTACTTAGTCCATTAACCAAATGTGCGGCTGCTAAAACAAACACACAAGTAAGCAAAGACTTTCCTGACTATAATTTGTTAGATTGTTCCACAAGAGGATGTCCAATCTAGTGAATGTTGCCTGTGTGCAATTGACCAAGTAAGAAGATACTCTTAAAAAATGGAAATGAACATTTAAAGGAAAAATAATTGCCTCATAAACTCATTGGCAAAGTACCCTTTGGAATGCAAATGTGAAATAAGGTAGATTTTAATATACACTCGTCTCTTATGTGAAGGCAGAACAGTGAACTGTCATTCAAAAGAAGGGGATAAACAGGAAATTGAAGTTGAAATAATAAAAATGAAAAAAAAATGGCGTTTAGCTGCAGATTTTTCAAACCATGGAGTAAGAAACTACATTTACTTCCTGTATTATCGTTTATTTGCTTGTTTCTAATGTTTGATTGCATTTGGCTTTTATAGAAATAGTCTGGGAAAGAGGAGTAAGTGATTTTGATTAAACAAATTACTTACTGAGCACCCACTATGTGCTAGCACTGTTCTGAGAGATGCAGATTGACTAGGGAACAAAACAGACAAAAATGCCTGCCCCCATGAGATGGCTATACTTGGTCTTTGAGGTTTTTTTAATTGGTTCATAGAGCTCCATTTGGACTCCTTTGTAGAGCAAGGCTATAAAGATTGATCTGTCTGTCTACACGCAAACACACACATGCACACTCTTGCATTCATACATTAATTAGGTACAAATACATAAGGCTAAGTGAAGGGGTACCAGAGGCGTAGTGGCTGTATCAGATTGGAATGTAGGGGAATTTTCTACACCTTAATTGTTTTAAAAACTGACATCAGTCTGTTTCAAACCAATATATTGTACTACTACAAATGTATTAATTGCAGTATAGAAATGTTGGAATGAGAGGTCAAAAGAAGGAGATTCCACCCTCTTGCCTTCTCTCATTCAAGGAAATATATGGCTCATAGCATCTGAAGTTCTGGGCACAAGGGGGAGAAGTGAGCTTATTTTTTCTCAGGCTGGAAATCTGACTTCCCTCCAGGAATTTCCCAGGAATGAATGCCTGTTTCATCTTCATCCCTGTGCCATTTCTGCCATTTGCCTGCCAAACTTGTTTCCTAGTATTCTGAGGTACATTTCTGAGAATTTAGAGCATAATTAACTGAAGCAGAAGAATTTTGAGATATACCAGAACATTTAGATCACATTTAATGGAGATAGAAAACCTAAAGGAATATGTTCCTCAGATGCATATTAGGTGATAAGATGGAATGCAGCAATTTTATTTTGTCTAAACTTTTGGGAAAATTATGTACGGAGGCTGTATAATGTGCTCAGCCAGAATGGGAATGAAATGAATGAAGAGCAGAAGCAGCCTCAAATAACAAAAAAGGAGGTGGCACTTTTTGGGGGACGGGAGAGGATGGATATTTTGGAGATTGCCCCATAACTGACATGAACTCAGGGTTTCCAATCATATCATAGGAGAAGCACTATTTCCTGAAAGCACTCATTTGGAGCAATCTGAGCTCCCCTTTTACCTGTGATTTTTTTAAATGACATATACACAATAACGGATGGCTTTGTTTTCAAGAATGGCACTGAAGCAAGAAATGAGAAATTATCAAGAGCTGTTAGGGATTTGATTGCTGCTAAGGGAAAATGAAAGAAAAGAATCTGAATGTATTCCAGGAAAATATGTAATGATAGCTAATGCACCTGTTGGTGTTTTATTTGTTTTGAAATGATAGATGTGGAGAAGACGTAGCAGGTACCCAACCAACACTTGCAACGATTTCAGGTGAAACAGAGCAAGTGATATTTTTACAGCTAAGACTTTTAAATATTATTTTTTTTAAGTTGTGTGTTTGGGTGGAGTTAAAATTTCATTACCATAGTCCCCAATATAATAGATAATATAATATAGGCTTTAAGAAGTTGATTTTGTACTTGAATTTTTTTTTTACAAACAGCATAAAACATTCATTACAGAATTTATTTGGTTTAACTTATAAAAACAGCTAAAGGCTTCAAGATGAAATAAAATATTTAAATAAAGTATTGTTAAATTTGTATTAAACTTGTTTTTGACATTTCAGACATAACTACAATATTAGGTGTTTGGAGAGAACATGGTGCCAGTGATTATGAATACCAAACTACTTTTCTTTTGAGACAAAATTTTCACTGTTATTGCCCAGGCTGGAGTGCAATGGCGCGATCTCGGCTCACTGCAAGCTCCACCTCCCGGGTTCAAGCGATTCTCCTGCCTCAGCCTCCCGAGTAGCTAGGATTACAGGCGCCCACCACCATGCCCGGCTAATTTTTGTTTATTGAGTAGAGATGGGGTTTCACCATGTTGACCAGGCTGGTCTTGAACTTCTGACCTCAGGTGATTAACCCTCTTCGGCCTCCCAAAGTGCTGGGATTACAGGCGTGAGCCACCATGCCCGGCTTATGAATACCAAACTACTAAAATATTATTTTAATCCAGAGATGCCATCAAGAGAAATGAGTTCTAGCTCTGGCTGTAGAACTCTGTGAATCCTAGTATGACAGAGAATTATACATACAGCCAGGCACGGTGGCTGACGCCTATAATCCCAGTACTTTGGGAGGCCGAGGTGGGCAGATCACCTGAGGTCAAGAGTTCAAGACCAGCCTGGCTAACATGGTGAAACCGCATTTCTACTAAAAATACAAAAAATTAGCTGGGTGTGCCTGTATTCTCAGCTACTCAGGAGGCTGAGGCAGGAGAATTGCTTGAAACCGGGAGGTGGAGGTTGTAATGAGCTGAAATCGCACCATTGCACTCCAGCTTGGGCAACAAGAGGGAAACTCCATGTCTATGTATATATAATTACTATGAATTAATGTCATTGGCATGTTTATGATGGCTACCATTACTCTCCAGGATTGTTGATCAACAGTGAAAGCAGTTGCCTTACAAAACAGTGAACTTAGTGAATTCTCCCTTCCTGAAAAAAAAAAAGTCCTGAATGTAAACCCCAAACCATTCAAGGGCCAGCCTCTTCATCCCTTTTCTTCTACCCTCTCCTGCTTGCAAAATCCCATATACTTACCCCAGAAAATTGTTTCTCTTTTGCCACTTCTGTGTGCCTTTCCTCAGCTGTTTTCAGCCTGAAATGCTGTGCATGCTTCCCTTCACTTTTCTAAGTCCCAACCATCCTTTAAGGTCTAAGGTAAAGTCCTGAGGCCTTTATGATTCCTTGCCTGGCCACCTCATAGTGACGTCCGCTTCCATTGAAACTGCCTGCATCAGAACGTGACATGTGCATTCCTGTCTTCTCTATGAGTAACCCCTTTCCTTCTCATACTCTTACCAAAGGGTGGCTTCTACACAGTCCCCAGGAGTCGACCTTGACCCCCTTCTCAGTTACACCCATATGTAAACTATCCATAACCAGGGCTCAGTCTACCTCTTCAGGACTCCTTACCTCTGTTCTGTTTCTCCGTTTCTGCTCTCCCAGTTCCCATCATCCTCTTGCCTGGACTGTTGTGGCAGCCTCCCTGCCTCCATTGCCATTTCGCTCCACTTCTCTTCCATGCAGGTGCCAAAGTGTTCACATGAGACTCCTGATGCCACACTACAGTCTGAAAGCATTCAGTGCCTCCCCATTACCTACAGAATGAAATCTAGAGATTTTTGCATGGCTCCTCCCCTGATTCCTTCTGCCTGTCTGTCCTTGGCTGCCACCACCTCTCAGACACCTTATGCCTCAGCCACACTGATGAATGAATGAATCTTTAAAAAGTAAGCCATGCTATTTAGGCCTCCTTGTTTTTGTCCATGCTGTCACCTCTGGATGAGATGTTTTACCTGCCTTCATCCACTTGGAAGACTTCACCTTACATACTGCTGCCAGACCTCACCTCAAGCATTTTTTTAAATTAAACTGTCTCTGGCTACTCCTGGCATGATCATAATTCTGAGCTTGCCTCTCCAGCAGCGAACACTTGGTATAGACCTTCATGATTTCACAGCTAAGTTATAAGCTCATTGTGAGTGGCAACTAAATCATCTTTTTATTTTTTATTTTATTTTATTTTTGGTAGGAGGCTGAGCCCGGGGTGGCAGCAGGATGCGGTAGGCGCTTTTCTAAATGCCCAGCACAGATAATAGGTCCTTAATAAATATTTATTTGTTAGCTGTCCATGGAGCTGTCAACCCTCTCTAGAATAAGCCACAGTTTATAGCACAGCAACAAGGTAGACAGAACAACAACTACATGGCAGGTAGCCTGAGATTAAATTGGACGATGAAGTAGACGTATTTGGGATGCCTAGGACAGAGTTATTGAACCTGACTGGGTTCTGAATTCCATGAGGCTGCTGTCCCTAAGGTCATCATTTAGTTCTGTGTAAATCCCAAAGTCCTTACATTGGCCCTCAAGGCCCAGTGTGATCTGTCTGTCCACCCCCATGCCTTTGGTACTGATCACCTTCCAGGCTCTTCCTTTCTGATTCTGCTCTGGCCATCCAGCCTCTCAGCTGTTCATGCAATAATGAGCCAGGACATTCACAACCAGGCCATTTTCCTTCCTCCTGCCTGAAATGTTCCTCCCCCAGATATCCATGTAGCTCACTTTCTTATCTCCTTTTTCTTTCTCAGATGTAACCTTTTCAGGGGTGCCTTCCTTTTCTTTTCTTTTTTTTTTTTTTGAGACAAGAGTCTCGCTCTGTAGCCCAGGCTGGAGTGCAGTGGCGTGATCTCTGCTCACTGCAAGCACCTTCCTTAGCCACTATTTAAAATATAAATTCCCCCATCCTCCTCCTTCCAACCTGTTTCTCTCTATAACTCTTAAATGTTCCATGTGATTTTAGGTATTTTATTCACTACTGTATCCTAGGTACTAAAATAGAGCCTAACTCACAGTAACCATTCAGTAAATGTTTATTGAATAAATTAATGAATCCGTCTGACATGTGCAACAGCTTTTCCTATGTATCCAACAGATACATTTCTCTTTGAATTATCTTTACGTCCATGTTCTAATTTCAGATCTGGGAGCTGGTTAATGTCTGACTTTAGTCAAACATGTTCTGGATTCAGAGTCATTTATCTTGGGTTTCACTCCTGGCTCTGTTACTTTCTAATTATATGACCTTGAGTGAGTCATTCAATTTTTTTAGGCCCGGTTATTCCCATTTATAAAAACAGGCCTAGTGATACCTAGTGAATTACTAGGAGTATAACAAACATGTCAACAGCTATCGAGTTCTATAAGCATGTTATTCAATAACACTTTTTATCTACTATCTGTGCAATGAATTGAAGAAACAACATTGAATTAAGATGAGTTTGAACATAATCGTCAAACAGATATGGATTTGAATTATGTCTCTACCCCTTATTAGCTATGTGACTCTGAAAACCTGGGTTCTGCTCTTTTTCTGTAAATACATAGGATATTTTATCTCACAACTGATTGAAATATCAAATGAGTAATGTGTCATGTTTCAATAATTCTAAGATACATATTTTTCACATTCCAGAAATCAGTACACATTTTACAATCAATGATATCTTTGGTTCAATAAGATGTGGTATCCTCTTCAAAGCTTTTATATGTGAAGCTGGATGGTAATTATGGTTTAGAATCTTCCAGGTCACTCTGACAATTTTAAGATGTTTACCTCTCTTCCTCTATTGGGAAAAAGTAGCTTCTACTGACTAATGATAATGTGGTTTTGTCTTAAAACGTTTAATAGCCATTCTTTTGTGGATTGTCTTTAAAATTTGTTTCCTGATTTTACCCAAAAGAAAAGAAAAGATAAGATACATTTTTAAAGCATTAACAACAGAATAATTTGCTCAATTTATTTCTTCTCAAGAATAGGCTGGCATTTGGTTTTTCGGGGTCTCTCTACCTGTGTGTTTGCCTCAGTTTGGTTTACACTTTCTCTTGCCTTTGGTTTGATCATGGAGGACAAGAATAGACGAATATCCTGGCAACCTCAGCAACTGCACTTTAACATAATATGGTTGCTAGGAGAAAAGGGTGGTAGCAGCACTTGAGAGGAAGTGTGGCTCTGCTGTCCTGGAGGAGCCGGTGACAGAAGCCAACAGCTCACAACAGCATCCTCCACCCCGCCTTCTGCTGAAGGTCACGGAAATATAACTATCGTATCAGTGGTAATAATTATGGCATATATTAAATAAATTATGAACACAAAGGGAATAAAAAGTTACTTCTAGAGATGTCATCATAAAGATATGAAACATCTCAGCCCATTATTCCTTAACCACTGTTTGATTAAACTGAAACTCCTAATGCTGTGTTACAGTCCAGCAGCAGGTCATTACTCAAATGTTAGATCCTCCTGTATATCTTGTGATTTATTGTATTGTCCCTGGTTTTCAGCTAACGAAATTGGAAAAGAATAACTGAAGAGTGCTGTCTGGGTTATTGTAAGAAATTCTACACCCATTAGCCATATTCTTTATTCACTGAGCTATAAAAATTCTGAGATGGATGTAATATACCACCATAATGCTTTTCAATAGCAAAAGCTTGTTGTAGAATTCATTTTATTCATTCAGCAGTTATGGCTGAGAGTCTACCAACTGCCAGCCACTGAGTATCAGGGCAGTGACTAAAAATAAATATTTTAAGATAGAATGCATAAAACAAGACACATACACAATGAACATGGAATGCCTAATGTTTGCATTGTAGTTTTTCTTTATTTGAAGGGCACAACAAAATGCTTTGGGCCTAACCCTTATTAGCATTTGAAAGAAAGTAATATTCAGAAAAGAAAAAACATTCGAGGATCTGCCCACATAGGCCAGGCCTCAGTTGACAACTGTGATTAGATTCCTCCACATGTAGAGAGGGGCCTGGAGAAACTCTAAGGAACCATCTCTGTGACATTGACAGCGTTACTCACTCACTATCATGAGAACGGCATGGGGGAAGCTGCCCCCATGATCCAATCACCTCTCACCAGGTCCCTCCCTCAACACGAGATGAGATTTGAGTGGGACACAGAGCCAAACCATATCAGACCCTGTTTGTTTTACTAGTAAAGATATGTATCAATATATAGAGTTCCAGTATAATTGATTGGTTTGTTCCTGCATAGTCCAAATCACATTGGTAAGAATGTGACAACTCTAGAACTAGTCTGTCTGAATTTTCACACAGGTTCACTTACATACATACATGTTATTCTTGTAATTTTACTTGACAGGTAAGATGTGTTAATTTTGCCTGTTTTACCCCTAGAGAAAAACTAGAGACAAAGTGTGTCTCTGTCATGTTCCATTTCCTGTCCTCCTTGCTGGTGTCCCATCAGACTCTCTCAGAGCATCAGCTGGGGTCCAACTGTTAGCACTGAGTTAAGTGATAAGGCTTATCATTTTCCTTAATAGAAGACTGTGCAGAAGCAAAATGCCTTCAAGTACAAAGGCAGATCGTTGCATTGATGGCAGAAATGCCAAACAATGGATTTGATACCTTGTTGGTAGGTACCAATTCATAACCACCTGTATTAGTCCATTTTCACACTGCTATAAAGAACTACCTGAGATTAGGTAATTTATCAAGGAAATGTTTAGTTGACTCACAGTTCTGCAGACTTAACAGGAAGCATGACTTGGGGGTCTCAGGAAAACTTATAATCATGGCAGAAGGTGACGGGGAAACAAGGCATGTCTTCTTTTGGTGGCAGGAGAGAGAGAGAGAGAGTGAAGGGGGAAGTACCACATACTTTCAAACAACCAGATCTTACGAGAACTCACTCACTATCACAAGAACAGCAAGGAGGAAGTCTGCCCCCATGATTCAGTCACCTCCCACCAGACCCCTCCCTCAACATGTGGGGATTACTGTTCAAGATGAGACTTGGGTGGGGACGCAGAGCCAAACCATATCACCACATAACATATGTAGTCACCAACAGTAGCATATACTGTTAACTGCTAAGGCCAACCCTACCAGTCTCCAGTTCCATTTTATGAAGGAATTCTTCCGTATATAGAAATGACATCTGCCATCACTTTTAAATCGGTAGCATACAATATGATCACTAATAGATGCAGTCTTCCCTTGGCCTCCATGGCGGATTGGTTCCATGACCACCCGAGGATAACCACATCCATGTACACTCAAGTGCCCAGTTGGCCCTGCAAAACCCACATATGGGAAAAGTCAGTGCTTCTTATACTATGCAGTTTTGCATCCTGTGAATACTGTACTTGCAGGTCACTTTTGGTTGAAAAAAATAAAACTGTGTATAAGTGGACTCCGCAGTTCAAATCCGTGTTGTTCAAGGGTCAACTGTATAGAGTATTCATAGTCTTTGAAATCTAACACACTAGGTTCAAATTTTTATTCCGTTGCTTGGAACATGGACAAATTACTTAAATTTTTCAAAACTCAGATTTCATTTTGTTAAAAGCAATACGATAGCCAAATTAAGTTTAACCGAGTTTGAGCAAAGATTGATTTGTGAATCTGGTAGCCTCTGAGCCTGAATAGGCTCAGAGAGACTCCAGTACAGCCACATGTTAGAAGATTTATGGACAGAAAAAGGAAAGTGATGCTCAGAAAACAGAACTGAGGGCAGAAACAGCCAGATTGGGTACAGCTTGGCATTTGCCTTTTTTGAACGTGTTTTGAACAGTTGACCACCTTTGGCCAAAACTTGGAGATTGGCACAAGAGTAGGTTACGGTCTGTTTACACCTTCATTTAGGTTATAGTTCATGATGTCTGGGGAAAGCTTTAAGCCAAATTTAAAATATTTAAGGGGCTGCTTTAGGCTAAACTTGATTTAACGACTTCTAAAATGGAGAGAACATTTACCTGGTAGACATTCCTCTAGGAACGTTCCTATAAGAAGTAAGTTAGATAAAAGGAAGACTTCTAGCAATAATTCTTAGATATATTGGCATTTAAACTATTTCCTTTTTTTCTTTCCTTTCCTTTTTTTTCTTTTTCTTTTTAGGTGATGGGTAATAATTTTACATACATATAGGATATAGAGTGATAGTTTGATAATATGTGTATACAATGTATAATGATCAAATTGGGATAATTAGCCTTTTGCTGTATGAATTCTAATTCCAGTTCTAACATTTGATTCTAGTCAAAGGTTGATACGGAGAATTATGTCAGGATATAAACAAGTATCTGGGAGAAATAACAAGTTTCTGGAAGAAAGAACAGATAAACTATGTGATGAATAGGAGTTTATTATTGCCTCTTACAAAAAATATATGATGTAGACAAGAAAAACGTGGCAGTATGTGCACATAAATAAAATTAATTTGGTCTTTAACTACATAAATTGCCTGATATTAGCCTCATATAAAATTTGGATTAATCAGAATGCCCAGGGTATGTAGTCTTTAGATAAATGGTCTGCCAGGTTAATTAAGGCTTCTTTATTTATTAAGTCTTCTTTAATTTCTTAGGAAAAATTATTGCCAAATTGAAAGTGTATTAATTTCCCTTTCTGCCCTATCAAGGAGAATGTACTAAATATAGCCCTTGATTTGGGAACTAGTAGCATCTTGAAAATATCGTTATTAAAAGCTGTTCTCATATAACAAGCTATAGATTGAAACAGAAACTGGAAGTAGAGTCGCTATGTGACATTTGAGGGACTGGGTGCCAGGTGCTGTGATAAGCCCTTTCATACATATTTTCTTATTTAATCTTCACCCACTCTGAAAGTGCTTTTCTGCTTGTGGAATAATAATTGTACAGATAAGGAAACTGAAGTGTAGAGAATTTAGGTAATCTGCTTACGCTTAGTTACTGAACTAATGAATGGTGCAACCAGAAACAAATACAGGACTTCTGATTACAAATCCTGACATCTTTTTTTTCTACCCAAACGCTTTTGTATTGTTCTTCACAAAGCCACTTGTGAAATACAAAATCACTCAGATTCCAGCAAGGGAGAAACTTGGTATGGACAAAATGCACACTTCCTCTAGGACAGATACAGCAATTTTTTTTCCGAATATATTTTAGAAAAGGGTTTGTCTCACTTATGCTTCTCTAATTATAGCAGGGTAAAAAAAATAATTCAAGTTAAGTCAGGGTAATACTTATTTGAACTTAATTGTCTGTACAGAGATATTTAAAATTTAGCCCAAATATTCTCCACTAAGTCTTCAAATAAAGATTAATTAAAAGTCCTAAAGCTATCTAAACATAAATCAATAAGTAGTAAATGTTAAAAATAAAGAGACAAAGTTGCTTTTCTCTCTTGCTAGGAGAAAAAGAGAAGGTGAAGCATGAAAGTCATGCTTTCATTTTAAAAGTATGTGCAGAGTGAGTAGATGGCACTTTTATTTCAACTAAATCATGTGTATTTAGTGTCTGTGTATCTTACTGGTGTGTTCATTTTCATTTTTCAATCCACTGTATCTCAAGTGATCAGATAATTCATCATCCAAGTCAATTTCATTTTAGAACGTGAAAAGGGGCACTGGAAACATTTTTTTTGGACGGGGGGACAAGAGATACAACCATGAACATCTCCAAGCAAATCAGAATAAATGATCACTTAACATTGACCCCAAAAATCTGCTGCTCTAGTATTTTTGTCGGTTCCTTCTCTTTTACTCCATCAATGCACCAGGTGTAGTTCTGGCTAATTTTCTGGTTTATAATGTCAATTTCAGATTCAGGTTTAGTCTGTTAAGATCATAGAATGATAGTATTCTTATTGGAAGCAACTTTATTAAAAATCTGATTTTTGAGGTCCCCTTATGTGGCAGACAACCCCACACTTTAACTTGACTTTGACTTTTAAAACAGAGTTGCCACCCGGCATCTGATACATTGATTAAACCCTGTTTACTTTGAACTCTTTGTGGTTCCTCTCAATTGCCTGTCCCTTAGGTTTATAATTCATGGAGAGAAGCAAAGTAGCACAGGACTTCCCTGAGGTAGCTGATCACCATGTGGGGGGCTGAGACCACAGAAATCACTGCATGAAAGATACAATAATGATATAAGAAGGAGACAAGCAAAGTGCCAAACAAAAGCAGGTATTTTATAACATTTTAGAATCAATAAATATGTTGAATGCATATTCGGTTTTAAGAGTGGGAAGTGTTAAAATCTGGAATAAATTTTTCCAAAACAAATTTAAGTGAGAAATCTAAAAGCAGTGGTTCCTGATATGTCATCATTGAAGATATTAGTTGGTCATCATGGAAATGTTTACTTTCTCTCCCCTTATATAAGCCACTACAGGAACTCCTCCTGACTAAGGTCACCCCCTCATCCATACTCCAATACCTGAAAGACTCTATATTTCCCTCTTTTATTCCTGTAACCCACTTCTCTTTAATTGCTGATAGGCCTTCAGCAGCAGCAGTAATCACTGTACATCCACCCTCTTTTCTGGATACTCCTTTTACTTTCTCGATCTAAGAAACCTGACTTTTCCATTAAGTCATTACTTTCCTGGCAGCTCTTGGAAGTGATAGTTTTTCACCCGTTTCTACCACTACCCAAGAGGCAGAAAAGAGGCAATGAGGAGTGAGAAGAATTACTTATTCCACCTATTGAACAGTGGTAGAAAGGGGTGAAAAACTGTCATTTGCAAGAGCTCCCTTAAAATCTCCAAATTTGAGCCCCACATCATCAGATTAGATCACCCTGTACCACTCATTATTGCCATCATTTTCTTACTCCTGTGTCACTCACCCTAATTTTCACCAATCTTCACTCCAGGCATACTGTCGCTCTCACAACCTTCCTCCTCTTTCTAATCACTTCAGAGATCCCTCCTAGAGTTTCTTGACCTTCTCTTTCCTAGTGATCTTGTCCTCCACACTATACTAGACATTCACTCCCATGTCATATCTCCTTAGACTGAGGCATGAATTCAGTCTACAACACTGAGATTCTTCTCAGTGTTGCCCAAGTCTTTGACTCCACTGCACGCCCTGCTCCCAGGCTTCCAAGGATCCTTTGGCTGCACAAAGGACCTAAAATTCATGAACTTACTGTTCTTTAGTCCCTTAATGTCCTATCATTCCTGGGTGCCAAAGTTTTCTTTTAAAAAAAATCATTTATAAATCACTATTGTGGGAGGCTGCGGCAGGAGAATTGCTTGAGCCTAGGAGGTGGAGGTTGCAGTGAGCTGAGATGGTGCCACTGCACTCCAGCCTGGGCGACTCAGATTCTGTCTCCCAAAAAAAAAAAAAAAAAAAAAAAAAAAATCAAAAAAACGCTATTGTCTAAGCCCTACCAAGCACATAATGGTTGTTCAATAACCATTGAATTAAAGGAGAGAAAACATTTGGGATCAAAATTTACATCCATAGGTCATTTTTCCTTGCTTTTGCTCATAAGAAATATTTGATAATTGTTTCATGCAATTACAAACATTTTATTAAAAGCCACAAAGAATAGCTGACTAGTTTACTTTTTCCATGATTAAGGAACAAATAAATCAAAGTGCCTGTTAAGCTATTACGTTTTGTTCTGAAGTTGCAAGCCAACAAGTTGCAACTTGTTGAAACAGCCAGAAAACAAACAGGTTCTTGATGCTTCCCCTATTGTCAATGTTGTTATATTTAGAGGAAGAGGCCCTGGTATGAAGAAGGGAGAGTCCACTTTGGGCCATGTTTTTCAGATGCTGTCTATCATCTTTCTGAAGTCTTTCAAAAAAAGTAAATTTACCTGAAATAGAAATTAAAGTTAGAAGTGTTCAGTTTTGAATAAGTCATCCAACCTGAAGACCTAAAAGCCAGTTCTATGACCCTATTATTCATCCAACTTGATATGTTAAAAGGAGTAATATAAAATATTCCTCATAGAAAAAATTTCCTAAAGTTTACATACATTTTACATTTTAATGTGAATTTTTACTTATGTGGCAACGATCATATAGCTGTGACAGTCTTTGAATTGGAAGGGACTTGAGATCAACATCTAGTTTGATTGCTTGCCTGTTACAGAAAAGTGAAAAGGAAGCCCAAAGAGATTAAACGGCCAGCTTGACGTGATAAAGAAATGAACACAAACTGACACTCAGAATCTCCAATCTGCAGCCACTAATGCTTATTGAGCATTTAAGTCGGGAGTAAACACTTTGCCAAGCACTTTACATGCATTGCAAAACCCTCAGTGAGGATAGGTTTTATTGTCTTAAATGAGGAAACAGCCCAGAGAGGCTAAATAACATTTCTATATTACACAGCAAGTTAACGACAGAGCTAGACCTCAGCCACATTGAACTCCACTTTTCCTCAGCACTTGCTACTCTTGGCTAACATTATGCCCTTGCAGATGATGATGTATCTTCCATCTGGCAGGCCTGCTGACCCTCCTTCCCTCGTCTTAGCAGCCAGCTGAAACATCATGACTTGGAGAAGCCACTCCAGCCTTCCTCTGAGTTCCAGTAGCACGTTGTTCAAAGCTCTGTCAAAGCTGTTTATCTTGGAAATTATTTCTACCCAGATTATAAGATTTCTACCCAGATCTTTCTTCCCACAAGACTATTTGCTCCTTGAAAACTCCTGCTTATCATTTTTCCTTACATTTCTTAGACCTAACACATATCTAGAACACAGAAGATGCCTACCATGTTAATTGGTTGTGTATTATAACACTACAGACAAACTGTGTGTTTTAGAAAGCTGAAGCTGCTTTGAATTTTAAGAGATGAAAACAATTTGGATCCTAAGTATCATTTGTAATGTTTTGCAAATCAAGCTATATATTATAGACCCTAAAGAATTAAGTGCCTTCCCATACAGAGATTTATGCGTCCTTTTATTCCTCAACAAATATGAATAATATGTATAATTAGATCACTTCTCATAATCTGCCAATAAAATTGCACATATAGCATTCTGGTAACCAGTTTGATATCTTTCCTTTTTAAATACTTACTTTAGAGAATCCCATGAAGTAGTTTTCGAAATTCAATTTTATATCTCTATAAAATAATGTATCTAATATCCCAAAGCCTGCTATATTACAGATTCAATTATTAAGTGGGTACATCTTCCTAGAGTAAATACACCTGGTATTTAATTTCAAAATTTATTTTTTTAAGTGTGCATTTTTCCAGAGCACAAAGTAGAAACATTTTAAATTGTGAACATAACAATACTATTTCAGAAATGTTTTTCCTATTTTATTCATGTTGTGTTCTTTTTGCCACTTCAGTTTTAAAAAAATATCTATTACATGGTGACCAAGATATAACACTTAAATGTTTTAATAGACTATCTTCAATATCCAAGAATATTTCATTATGAAACATAATGGTTTTCTCTTTCTGTTACTCAGGATCTCAATGATTCGCTGAGAAATAAACAAAACCAAATTTCATAAATACTAACCTAACCACAAAAAATGAGCCACTTAAATTTCTATTTTTCCCAAATTATTTTCTTAAAAACATGACTCTTTCAGAAATTCCCGGAAACACATACCAAGCCAACCATATTAAACTCTTAATGGATATATCTGAGATTATGCATCATTATTAATATTTTTGTTTTTGGAGACAAGTATTTATCTTCTTTTATGTATGAAGATTATGTTAATCACAAAATTCAATTCACAATTATATTGTGAATGTAATTATAAAAAGTGATTTAAAATGTTTAAAAATTAAATATTCTAATTCAGAAATTATTTATAGAGCTTTCATTGATAAAACTGGTTATACTCTTTGAAAGAAGGTATAAAAGCCCTCCATGAAGATATGTGCCATGTGTAAATGAGGAAGGGAAAAGAAAGAAAGAGAGCCAAAAAATTATTTTGAGACCACCTGCCATTCTTTCTCCCATTGATTGATTGTGTAATTTTCAAATTACTGACATATCGAGAGTATCTCAAAACACTACAAGAAAAGCCTGACAAAAAATTAAAATTATTATGTTGAAGCTGATCTCTTTCCTAGTAATCCTGAGTCAACCTTCTTAAAAGTGTTCAGTGTTCTGAATTTTCTTATTTGATTTTCAAAAAGTATCAAAATCAAACCATGGAAATTAGGTAGAGAAAAGCAAAGGTACAAGGATGAGAAGTTATCTATAATATTATCTAATTATCAACATTATTATGATATTATCTAATTACCAACTTTAAATGCATATCATTTAAAGAGTTCAGTAGGCCACTGAGCACAATGCTCACGCCTGTAATCCTTGCACTTCGGGAGGCTGAAGCGAGTGGATTGCTTGAGCCCAGGAGTTCAAAACCAGCCTGGCCAACATAGCAAAACCCCATCTCTGCTAAAAAAAATACAAAAATTAGCCGGGCGTGGTGGTATGTGCCTGTGGTCCCGGCTACCCAGGAGGCTGAGGCATGAGAATCGCTTGAACCCGGGAGGCAGAGATTGCAGTGAGCCAAGATCATGCCACTGCACTCCAGCCTGGGCGACAGAATGAGAGTCAGTCAAAAAAAAAAAAAGTTCAGTATAGATGTGTGTAATATATTTAGGCATAGTACATATGGAAAGCCTCCTCCATTGATGATACCAGATATTACATAATCGTATTTATATAATGCACTTTCATATACATTGTGACATTTGGGCCCGAGAACAATCCTGTGGGGTACTAGAGAATTTCATTCCTGTTTTCACAGTTGGGAAAACTAAGGCTAAGTAAATTTAAGTGACTTGTCAAAGATTACCCAGGGATTTAGTATAGGTAGGGCTGAAGTTCAAGTCCCCTGACTGCAAGATCAATGATCTTTTCACTAGAGCACTTTGAGTCTCCAGAAAGCTGCAAAAGGAAATTTATTGTATATTAATCCCCTTATCTACCAAGTCAAGATTGTGTTGAGTAGGTGCCATTCTGGGTGCCTTTCTGTTCTCTTTGACTACGTGGATTCTGTAAAGTGTGTGTACGATTTATCCTCCCCCTTAGGAACCTTGCCCGAAATGTATTCCAGTATTCTCACCACTTTTTCCCTTGTTTAGTCCTCATCCTTAAAGTAAGGCAAGAAATGATCATAATCAGGAGTTGAGTCCCTTGCCTGGTACTGAAGAAGCTTGTGGAAGATTGTGGAAGATAAAGTGAACATTTTCCTAGTGGAAAAAAGAAAGATGAACCAAACCAAGACTATAGTCGCAAATATTGCATTGACTTACAAAAAGGTTCACCACACTGGGTACCAGTGAGAAGTCATCCTTGGAGAACCATGAGTTTCAGAGATACAGAGAAAATCAGATCAGATTGATAATCTAAAATGCAGTTCATCTGCCTGTAGATAGCATGAACGCACCATAAAAAGAGCCATTGTTTTTATAGCCATTCACACAATAGCCACTGTTTTCATAGCCATTAAATAGCTATTAATGCAAACCTCTATTGTATTAATGACTATTCAAAATTAGAATCAAATGAGACACTAGATGTATGATATCTTAAAAAATAAAAGAATGTTTCAAGTACATAATACTTGGTTGGCAGACTAATTAATTCTTGATAATAATATTTCCTAAGTAGCATCTTTATGTTTTTTGGTTTCTTTAAGTTATTTTTAGTCTTTGTTAGGACTCTCTCCCCTGATAGAGGAAGCGTGGAAATTGAGTAATCTGAAGCCCTGGTAGTGTCAGGAGTTAGTCAGTCCATTTCCCCCCACCTTTCACTGGTTTTCAAATGAAAGCGAATCATAGAGGGAAATTGAAACCATAACTGCTTCTGTAACACTTTGTTCCTTAGGGGGTAGCTGGACTAAAAGGATGCACAACAGCAAAACGCACTTAAGTTACAAGTTATATGAGTCATCAGACACTGTTTGTATAATTCCAAAACATTCACAGGCTAAATTGAACCAGGATAATTTGTGAGCAATGTTCTGACCTCTAGCATTTCCAAGTCTTATTTGACTCTGTAGCTGAGAGGTATTTTTTAAGTGTGCCACTTTAGTTTTGTGGCATCCCAAGCCCATTCCGCACCAAGCCATATATAATTGTACATGTTTTATCCAAAAGGCAGAATGAGTAAAGATGGGACTGGAGGCGGGTGGAGACAAAAGGCACGCTGTGACAAAACAACCACATTAACTCACAGGCAGTTGCTTTAGAGAACTGATACCAAAATACTGTAGTTTCCTAGAGAGAGCTTCATGAAACATATTGGTAAGAAACTTCAGTGTCAAAAGCCAAACAGCAAACTCTCTTTTGACTTGTCCTAAAGCAGTGTTACCTGAGTCTTCAACTGCTTCCTTCAAAATCGTATAGTTAAATTTGTACCTTGGTGTTTAGATATATCAACATGACAGCATTTTATACAGGCAAAGAAGTACCCAAAGTGAACGGTTCTATGCCCCGTAAAATTTGAACACAGGACTTGTGTAGGTGGGTTTAAATAAGCTGAATTATGTCTATATTTTTAAAAGACAAAAATTCAAAGAGTAAGTCCAGTAATCTTTTGGAATTTTTTTAATGATTGGCTTAAGAGTTTCAGGTAGTAATAAATATAGTGGTAAATATCGATCTTGAGATATATCCAGCTGAATCTGGACATCGCATTTCTACTAGTTTTCCCAAAGGTGGGAATTTTTTTCTGTTTTATCTAAAAAGCTCGTGGCTTGATCTAAAGATGTGTCTGGTCAAATATTGATTAAAAATTGAGATTCTTGTTTTTCATTTCCCCAGATTTACAGAATATGATTAAATGGAAACAATGTTTTAAGGTCAAGTACTTTTATTACAATCTTTGAAGTATGCCGGCTGGGCATGGTGGCTCCTGCCTGTAATCCTAGCACTTTGGGAGGCCAAGGCGGGCAGATCACTTGAGGTCAAGAGTCCGAGACCAGCCTGGGTAACATGGAGAAACCCCGTCTCTACTAAAAATACAAAAATTAGCCATGTGTAGTGGCACACATCTGTAACCTCAGCTGCTCAGGAGGCTGAGGCAGGAGAATTGCTTGAACCCAGGAGACAGAGTTTGCAGTGAGCCAAGATTGCACCTGTGTGCAATCCTGTGTGACAGAGCCTGTGTGACAGAGCCTGTGTACTCCAGCCTGTGTGACAGAGTGAGACTCCGTCTCAAAAAAAAAAAAAAATCTGTAAAGTATGGATGTTAAGTGTCATATCTTTGCATAATATGTAGTTATGGAGATTTTAGCTCAACAGCCATTAATGAAGACATTTTCTTAAAAATATTCATGTGTTTACACTTGGCAAAATCATTTGAGATGGTTCTCCAAACTAGCCATTATCTTCATGTTCAAGAGTGGAATGCAACATCTCAGGAAACCAGGGGAGTGTATTTTAGAATCACTTGTGCCTTTAGATTGTTTTCCTAGGCAGCAACAACATGTGAATATCATTCTGAAGTAAGATTAATGAGTGGGAATCTATCCCAGGTTCATGCTATTTCTAAACCAAATTCTTTTTCCCTTGTAACTTTCTGGCTATATAATTAAGGAAATGCAAATTCCAAAATTTTCTTTAAAATATATATAAATGTTTACATTACTTGGTATTTATGAATATTTTCATCCTTGCCTAAATCATTGATTTATTATTTTTAAATTGTTTTGTTAAATGGTCTTACTTTGTTAAATGTTCTTATTGTAGGGCATAAGCCACCAGAGGAAAATGTGTACAGTAGTCCCTTTATCCTCAGGGGATTAGTTCCAAGACCCCTGTGGACACCTGAAACCACAGAACCCTATATATATATACTATGTTTTTTTACTGAACCCTGTATGTGCTGTGTTTTTTCAATCTGATTACTGAAACAGCTGTGACTGATGGAAGGTAGCATATACAGCATGGACACGCTGGACAAAGGGATGATTCACATCCTGGGCTGGAGACAGCGTGAGACTTAATCATGCTGCTCAGAACAGTGCACAATTTCAATCTTATGCATTGTTTATTTCTGCAATTTTCTTTCCTTTTTTTTTGTGACAAGGCCTCATTTCGTTGCCCAGGCTGGAGTGTAGTGGCTCAATCATAGCTCACTGCAGCCCTGCAGCCTCCAATTCCTGGGTTCAAGTGATCCTCCTGCCTCAGTCTCCTGAGTAGCTGGAACTACAGGGGTGTGCCACCACGGCTGGCTACTTTTTTTTTTTTTTTTTTTTCAGTAGAGATGAGGTTTCACTATTGCCCAGGCTGTTGTCAAACTCCTGGGCCCAGCAGATCCTACTGCCTCGGCCTCCTGAAGTCCTTGAATTACAGATGTGAGCCACCATGCCGGGCCTGGAATTTTCGATTTAATATTTTTGGACCATAGTTGACCTTGAGTAACTAAAACCACAGAAAGCCAAACCACAGTTAAGAGAGTCGGGTATTATATTTTTACCTCTACCTGTTTTAGAAGCAAACACCTTCAGTAACCAAGAAGTTACCAGTTTCCCAACTTTTCCTTTTTCATAAATTGATAATAATTTTTATCTTAGCTAAACTGATCGGTTTCCTTAACATCATACAGCAGATAGCAGTTATGAAAAGGAAAATTTAAACTGGGAATAAAAAATGATTATTCATACACTGTTCAATCCTTCAGTTAATCTAAGAGAAGCAGTTAATCAAGAGTAAGATGCTGCTGCCAAGGGAGTTGTCTGCTAATGATTATGTGGACTAGACACTGATGCCTGGAAAAGATTTATTAACAGTTTATCTTTTATGTGGAAAAAAATATTCATAACACATTTGGTAGACTTAATCTAGACATATTAACCAGCATGCTATAAAAGTTACAAAATAATTTTTAAAATTATATATACTTATATTACATATACAGGTATAGGTGTTTTTTAAAAAACTTAATGCATCTTTATCTTTTCTCTACAGTCAGTTAAACTATTACCAGATTTATTTATTTAACAGCTTATAAAATATGCAGTGATAGCAGAGAAAAACTAAGTCCAAACAGATCATGAATGTGGTTAATTTCCCTTAGGAAAAAAAAAATCACCAAGTCGTCTTTATCAACTTCAGAATAACACTTTTTGAACACATCTACTTAGATTTTCTAAATATCATTTTCTTACACGCAGACTAAAGTACCATGTCTCCTTAATGTGTTGATGGCAGAAGCAACATTCACTAAATGACTGGACCACTTCCTAATTGTTCATTTTGACTGCTTAATCACCAGCATTACAGTTGGGTTAGATCCATTATTTTCATTTTTATCAAAAATGGACTTATTTCTATTTCTAGATGAACTCTTAGAGTTCTAATTTCAAAAATATAAATGTTTTTTATTAATTGGATTCTATTGGCAAAAACCACATATGTCTACTTCCCCCTACTCAAACCTCTTAATAAGAAATAAATATATATACATATATACATATATACATATATACCTATGCACATTTGTAAAATGTGTTTCATAATGCATGCATACCAATAATGCAGAAAGAAAAAAAAAAGTGTACCATTGTGATCAGAGACTTTGAAGCGTCCCTAAAAGACACACTATAAGAAAAAAAGCACAGTCCAAACAGTGTTTGAAAAAAATCCTTTTATAGGTGGGAGCAGTTCTTGAGATTCTGCAAACACATAGTCACAAAATACACAAAGTAGGATGTGTTCCAGGGAAAATCATTAGGTGAGCAATTTCAAATAGTTGAAATATTACTCGTTTCTTTTTCCCTTACAATAATCTGCGGACAGCTGCAGTGTTTACCCTAGGCCAAAGTACTGAATCTAGCTAAAAATACATGGTACTATCTCAGGGAGGTCTAATCTGAAATATGAATGGATAAACTATTTTGGATATACCCCCAAAATAAGCTACCTGCACAGTTACTTCCAGTATGCCACACTCTGCACCCCACAGTCACCAAAAGCATCTGCACTTGGGCAAATAAGGAATCTCTCATGCCAGGAAGAGTACAAGGAAGACCACCAGTACCATGAAAGAGATGCCAACAAGCTGAAGAACTGACACCTGAGAAAACAAAATAAAAGACTCTAACATAAGAATAATGATTTCCTCAGTTTATAAGATCCAAATATCTCGCTTATAAAATAAACATGTAAAAAGGAAACAATTAGACATATTGGGAATAAAAAAGCAATTTAAGAAAAATGTGCTTTATTTAAATTTAGGCATTTATTTGTAAACTTATGAATAATTGGCCAAGTTCAATGCATATGAAATCTTTAATCAGAGTAACAAAATAAGGGTTCAGTCTTATATCAAACTCAACATCTGTATTAGTTATTTACTGTTATATAACAAATTGCCCCAAAATTTAGGAGCAAAACCAATAAATACTATCTCACAGTTCCTATGGGTCAGGAATTGAGGCACAGTTTACCTGAGTGCTTCTGGCTTAGAACATCTCACAAAGCTGTAATTAAGGTGTTCGCTGTGGGCAACAGTAATCTCAAGGCTCAACTAGGGAAAAATTCACTTCCAAACTCACTTACGTGGATGTTAGCAGGAGACCCCTAGTCCACCCTGATTGTTGGTCCTCTAGCAAGGACTGTATCAGTTCCTTGCTACCTGTGCCCTGGCATGAAATGACAAAGTGAGGAATGGAAGGGAGAGGGAGCCCAAAACAGAAGCCATGATCTTTTAATAACCTAACCTTGGAAGCAACATCTCATCACTTTGGTCTTATTCTGTTCCTTAGAGGTGAGTCAGTAAATGTAACCCACATTCAAGGGGAGAGGATTATACATTGGTGTGGAATACTTGAAGGCAGGGATCATTATGGGTGATCTCAAGGTCCTCAGAAGTCTTCTCCCTTTACATAATCACCTGGAAATTAGATCCAGGGATGGAGAAGGCTTCTTGGGTAGTTTCTTAATTAGAGCTCATTAAGTATCCTCTCTCTTCACTGCAGACTGAAGAGATGAGACATTATCTGCCTCCTACACACCCAACATACAGTGGTGAGACACACAAAGGATAACTGCTTATAAACATTTCAGAAAGGGGAAATGGAAAGCTCAAAAAAGCCACTGATTCTTAGAAATCCTGACATCCAACTGGGCAAATGTTGAAAGTTCTTCATTAGATTGCAAAGCCTAGAAATGATTTTCCATGGCTCTCAGATCTGCCTGAGTTATCTTTTCTTTACTTTGGGATAGCAGCATGTGTTTGCAGCTGACTAGTATGTGTATTTGTTTTTATAGAAGATTAGAGGATATAGATTCGATAGATAGCTTTCGATAGATAGTCAAACATTAAGCATTATTCCTAGGTTGTGAAATATTTTTCATCATTATGTATATCTGTGTTTTCTACATCATCTCCAGTACACATTTTTAGCTGTTTGTTTGTTTGTTTGTTTTAGACGGAGTCTCACTCTGTTGCCCAGGCTGGAGTGCAGTGGCACGATCTTGGCTCACTGCAACCTCTGCCTCCAAGTGATTCTCCTGTCTCACCCTCCTGAGTAGCTGGGATTACAAGCGTGCACCACCACGCCCAGCTAATTTTTGTATTTTTAGTAGAGATGGGGTTTCGCCATGTTGGCCAGGTTGATCTCAAACTCCTGACCTTAGGTGATCTGCCCGCCTCAGCCTCCCAAAGTGCTGGGATTATAGGTGTGAGCCATTGTGCCCGGCCTTTTGTATTTTTCTTAAGGATGGGAGAAAACTTACTTAATTCAAATACCCAATGATGATGTAATGAACTGATTTTTACTATCAGATCACAAGACCAAAAAAAGTGTAAATTATACTACCAACTTACTAATTCATGTCAAGAAATATTACTGCTAGCATTCTTTTCCTGCATGAATAATAATGTGAAAGCTAAGTCATAATGAGAAGGTTGCATGATAAACTCCTGGGTTCATATGGGACATGTGTGTGTATGTTTAGTCTAGGGCAAGTTATGTTATTAACCTCGCTGTATCTTAATTTCTTCCTCTATATGATGGAGTTAGTTAAATAATAATGCCTACCTCTTGATGTGTTTGTGACAGTTAAGTGATTTAATATATTCTGTGTGCTTAGAATTTTGCCTGCTGCTATTAGCAATAGTAATAATGGTGTGTAAGCACATGGAATCGAAAGAAGATACCTGTTCTGGAAGCAACATTGTAGGACTTAGCGTTTCCTTCAAGGTGGTTATAAATGTATTATCTATCAAAGTGTTTGTGGCATGACTTCTTCCTCTAGAGATCGTTCACAGTTTCTTTTCAGCATAACTTACGGGCAGGCCAATTTATAAAGTGAAAAATGAAATCAGTCATCACTGGTATTTTGTTTTACCCTGGTGATACAATAGTAATTTTTTTCATACTTAGAATGAACTTTCAGATAGCCTATGAGTTATAAAACATACTTCTAAAACCACTACATCAAAATTTATCATTAGTTCCAAAAATCAATTCATATTGAGTATGATGAATCATGGCATCATGTCATTCTGTGTTTTTTTAGTATTTTTTCATTTTTTCTGTTTAGAAAAATACAAGAATCAGATGATCATGATTCATGTGATGATTAAATTTATAAAATAATTCTAAAACAATTATTTTAGCAGTAATCAGGATAGCTGAAACCCATGAGTTAGTAGGGACGTAATTATCTTTCAGAAGTCTGTCTCTCAGACATACACAGATAAATATGATCCCATGAACTCCCAAGAACTTTCCTGAATTGTCAGACAATAAAAGTGACCAGGTTAGAAGGACAGCCTGCCCCCTCTACAGTTGTTTTTCTTGTATGAATCTCTTTAAATAAAGTCATTTAAATCTGCATGGTAAGCTCATGATTTTCATACTTGCAGACTGGGTACATGGGCTCTATTTTTTAAAGGGTAATCTCTTGGACACTTAATGGATTTGTTAAAGAAAAAAATGTAAGAGTAATGAAGGAAATGTAGCTATGAAACTTCAGTAATATTTATTAATGCCATTCATCGTTACGGAGAGAATCAGACATTTTGTGATTTTTCTTTCAGAGTTGTGCTACTCAAAAGTTATTATCCTTGGGACTAATCCTGGTATGTGACTGATAGCTTCTGATCAGCAACAGAATATAAATTAATGCACTGCTTCCCTTATTCTTTTGCAAGCCCCTTATCTCAGTGTGAACCGGTAATAAACATTTTACAGACTGGAACTTTGAGCAGTACTGAGCTGGAGTATTGCAGGTGACGTCACTTCTGTTTCCTGCCCTCTGTACATGTTATGGCACAAGGGTCTGGTTTTGACCCAGCTGCTCATTTCCAGTGTTATCCTGATGGAATTCACTTAAGTGCTTTGTATCTTGGTCTTCTCTGCGTGAGGAGGATGTGGTACCTGATAATCTCTGAAGTCCCTCGAAGAGCTATAATTCAAATTTATGCAATGATTACATTTACGTTAGTTATAGCCATGGCTAGCAATAGAGAAAAGGCTAAGTCAATCATGGAAATTAAATATCAGTATCAAAGTGTTGACTATGGATACTATACAAGATAGAAACATGATTATAATAAGTAAAACAAACAGTATGTCCTGTGCCATTTGTATATATACCTTACTACAACCATGGAAAAGTACATATAAGAGAGAAGACTGAGCGTAAATTAAAACACAGTTTTAAAGCATTCTGAAACTATGACTTGTACATTCATTTTGTTTCTTTATCTGAATTTTCGTAACGTTATCTTATTTACAAATATAAATACATAGCATACAAACGTACTCAAAAATAATATCCGTACAATTTTTAAGTCTTTTTCTAAGTACTTTAATGGATGGAACTGCCGTATTTTCACTATTTGGAATTTCCTATGGCATCTCTCAGTTCCTTGTTCTTGCACCACTTAAGGCTTTTCCAGAGCAAATGTGTGTATACTTTTGGCCACTCTGGTCAAAGACACCATTCGCTGGACAGTGCTTACAAAACGTCCTATTACATTAATGGAGGCACAGCTCCTCCTAGCTAAAGCTGTCTGTCCACCTCTCCTTGAGACTGTATTCCAGTCTTCTGAGGAACCTTAAATCACTTCCATTTTTAAAAATAAAATTTCCTCCCTTAACCCTGCAGCCTTTTCCAGCTGTTCTCTATCATTCCTTTCCCTTTCACAACCTTTTAGAATGAGTCATTTAAGCCAAGTGGCTCCCTTTGCTCACTTCTCTGTCCCTCACCCGCCTTCAATCAGTCCACCATCCTATGTCTCTGTTAACAGCCCAGACCTTCTCTGGTTGCAGTGACCCCCATGTAATTAAATCCATTGACTCTTTATTTCTATGTCAGTTGGTTTTAGAATCCACTCTAGAATAAAATAGAAAACAAATTTGTTAAGGGATTTTATGTAGCACCCAGGTCTCTAAGAGGGCCAGGAAGACAGGCTCTATAACTGATCATCTAGGAGTAAGACCCAAATGGAGCAACTGTAGAGAAAACACCACTGCTACTTCTGTTCTGCATTGATAAAGCTCCAGGCTGGATGGTAGTAGCTCTGCTACTCTCATCCTTGAGTAACCAAATCCTTCTACTACCTTGTATGCCAGAAGACCAATTCTCCCCATTGTGGCTGTCTCCTCCTTCTGCTAAATAAAGGAAATAGTCATTCATCAAAATTTCAGTGAGTTATTCATCACTACATGCTGACAGCCTGAGGCCACCTGTCACACCTGAATGTTATGCATCAATACTGCAAATATTCCTATTTCATAAAATGAGATTTACAATGATTTTTAATATTTATGCATATTTTATAGGTGTGTGTATGTCTTCAAAAATAAGCCCTTTATCAGGAGAGCTGTATTACAGTTTTTCATGTGGCAAAACTGACATTGTTTATGCAAAATGAGAATACCATTATATAATTTGTGGCATCAACAAATTCAAGCAAGTTCAGTTTGCCATTTCAGATTTTTCTTTGTTAAAATAAGGCTCCTCTGTTTAAATGTAATTGATGTGGTAGCAATACTTTACTTGCATTTCAATTCCAAGATCCAAGCCATAAAGTGGTATTTACTGATTCAGTTTCTTGTTTGTTTCCCTTTCTGTCCTCCCCTATAAATATTGTCCAAAAGTTAATGAATTGTGTCCATCAAAGATTAGTACTAATTACCTTATTTCCATAAAAACAGACTTACCACTCTGCCAGCTTTTTCTTCTGCAAGCTTGCCTGTTAGGAAATGATCCATTAGTTAAAAATTAAAAAGAAATTAGAAAATGTTTGTCTCCATAAATCTGGCAACGGCATAGACCTTGGTTTGTTTCGGCTTTTTTCCAAAAGAGAATTTTAAAAAATCTATTATGACAACTGTAACTATTTTCTTTACTCTATTTCCTGAAAGTTAATGAAGAAAACTAATTTTCATAGTCTCATGATGTATTCTTTGTAAACAAGACACAAATGTTTTCTCACCATTGCAATTCAGATAAACATTTAATTAGAGATACAATCTTATCTTGGAGAAGATGGTGACAATAATTTGTAGGGGAGAGTTTCAGAGGAGGGAACTTTTCAGATAAAGAACTTCAGAAATCTGCCTACGGTCTTTTTGAGTCTTTCCGGAGTACTAGGCCATGAATGTAAAAGTGAAATTCTACAAAGCCAAGCTAAAAAGGAGAAGAGCTGTAAACCAAAAGATTCCCAGGTCTTACAGTAGGCAGAAAGCCATTCAGACTCCAGCCAGAATGGACACAGAGTCCAAAGTAATCACCTGGAGCATTTAATATGGACTCTGGTGGGGTCAGGCCTGCTGGTAGGACTGCACTGGCCCTGGAATGATGGCTACTCTAGACTCATGCAGTAAAGCTTAAATATAGGCCTTGATTGGTATGATTAATGGCCTGTCAGGACTAAGTCTAACTTCCATTAAAAGATGAGAACAAAATTTTTGTATCTAATGATGTAAAATTAACATAGTATCCAGTGAAAGATTACTAGAGATGCAAAAACACAGTAAAATATGATTCTTAGCCAGGAGAAATATCATCCAAGAGAAACAGAATTTTAAAAGAATGTAGATATGGAACTAGTATATAAATAGCATAGCAGTTATAACAATGTTTAGGAATTTAAATGAAAACATGAACATGATGAGAAGGAAAATGGCAGATATAAAAAAATTACAAAGTAAAACTCATAGGTAAAAATTCAAATAAAACCATTGGATGGGCTTAACAAAAGATTAGATTGTGGAAAAAATGGAAGATTTAGTGATAATTGAAGATTTAGTGATAGAATTTATCCAGCTTAAGACACAGAGAGGAAAAAAAATACTGAAATGAAAATTGACACAGCCTCCGTGTCAAGCTGTGTAACATATATGTAATTGAACTTCCAGAATTTGGAAGGGAGCAGTGCACAAAATTTATTTGAAGAACTAATAGCCAACAGTTTTCCAAATTTGATGAATTCTGTAAAGTCACAGTTCCAAAGAGTTCAATAAACTCCAAGCAAGATAAACCACGCCAATATACACTATTAGTAAAAGCCAGTAATAAACAGCAGTCTTAAAAAGAGCCAGAAACCAGATACATGCACAGTGTATGGAGAAACAAAAGTAAGTATGACTACAAACTTCTCCCAAACACTATGCAAGCCAGAAGATAATGGAATGACATTTTAAAGTGCTGAAAGAAACAACCAGGAATCTTTATATTCTCCCCAATCTATCGTTCAAGATTGAAGCCTAAATAAAAGCTTTATCCAGTCATCAATAACTGAGAAAATATGTGTCAAACAGAACTGTAATGCAAGAAGTATTAAAGTTATTCAGCCACAAAGTAAGTAATACCATGTAGAAACAGATCTGCACAAAGCAGTGAAGTCTGTCTTAAATGGAAAATGTGGGTAAACATGAAATACTTTCTTTCCTTTTCTTTTTTTCCTTAAATATTTCTTGATTGGTTAAAACAAAAAGAGTAACATGTATTGTAGGATTAATAACATGTAAAAATACCATGTAAAACAATAATAGCACAGGGAACTGGGGGCATGTAAAATCAAAGTATGCTCAAGAAAGAAAAAAGAGGGGGAAAAAAAGAAGGAGATGAGGCAAATAGAAAATAAATGGCAAGGTGGTAGACTAAAACCAACCGTATAAGTAATCACTTTAAATGCAAACGGTCTAAACGTTTCACTTAGAAGCTAGACATTATCAAGACCCAACCATATACATGATCTACAAAAATACTCACTTAAAATATAAGGTACAAGTAGGCAAAGATTAAAAGGATAAACAAAGATATACTGCCAAGTCAGTAACCATAAGAAATCTGGAAGAACATATGAATATCAGAGACCTGGAGTTCAGAATAAAGAATACAGCCAAAAAGAGGACATTTAATCAAGAAGACATAACAATGATAAATGTGCATGTAAACAATAAGAGGACTTCAAGGTATCCAAAAAGGAAACTAACAGAACTGACAGGAGAAACAGAAAAATTGACAATAATAATTGGAGATTTTAACATTCCTTTCCGAATAATTGGTAGAACAAGTAGAAAGGCTAGAGAAAGGATAAAGAAGAGTGAATAGCACTGTCAGCCAATCTAATTGAAATTTATAAAACACTGCATCCAAATGCAGCAGAGTATACATCCTTTTCAAGTACACATAAATATATATCACAATAGATGCTGAGCCATTAACCAATTATTCTTAAATTTAAAAAAATCTAAATTTAAGGTAAAATTTTAAATATACACAGTATATTTATTCCAAAATGGAATTAAATTAGAAATTAACAAGAGAAAGATATCTGAAAAATACAACAAATAGTAGTCAAACTACACCTTTCCAAATAAATCATGGATTAAAAAAAAAACAGGAGAAATGAGAAAATGTTTTGAAC
Source organism: Homo sapiens (assembly GCF_000001405.40). NCBI lineage: Eukaryota > Metazoa > Chordata > Mammalia > Primates > Hominidae > Homo > Homo sapiens. The sequence continues at coordinate 153,080,811 of NC_000006.12, read as the reverse complement.
TGAATGAAAATAACAATTTTTATAATGCAGCTAAAGTAGTGCTTAGGTGACATTTTACAGCATTCAATGCTTTTTACAGCATTCAATGCTTCTTATGTTAGTAAGGAAGAAAGAACTCAATTACCTACAATTTCAAAAAAATAAGCTAAAATAATAAGAGAAATTTTAGTTCAAAATTAGAATGAAATAATGATTTAAGGCAGAAATCATGAAAATCAGGCAAACAGAATTGATAAAATTAATACAATATTGATAATCATAATGATTTTAGATTAGAAGTCATAAAAATCCAGCAAACAATAGAGATTATTGATAAAAGATGGTTAACTGTAATAATAATAAAACTGATAAACCTCTAATGAGACTGAAGGGGAGGGAACAGAAATTACCAATATCAAGAATGAAAAAAAGAGGAGGGTAGCGCGATAAATCTTATAATTATTGAAAGAATAAAGAAATGCTATCAGCAACTTTATGCCAATGATGAACAGCTTACATAAATTTCTTGAAAGACATCAAAATGAGAAACAGAGGCTGGGCATGGTGGCGCACGCCTGTAATCCCAGCACTTTGGGAGGCCGAGGCAGGCTGATCAGGAGGTCAAGAGATGGAGACCTTCCTGGCCAACATGGTGAAACCCCGTCTCTACTAAAAATACAAAAATTAGCTGGGTATGGTGGTGTGTGCCTGTAGTCCCAGCTACTCAGGAGGCTGAGTCAGGAGAATCACTTGAACCCAGAAGGCGGAGGTTGCAGTGAGCTGAGATCGCACCACTGCCCTCCAGCCTGGCGACAGAGCAAGACTCCGTCTAAAAAAATAAATAAAAATAAAAAACAGAAAAATCTAAATGTCTCTATAACTATTAAGTTTGGAATCCAAAACTTTAAAACTTCTCCCCAAATAAGGTCCAAATAACTGGTTAATTATCTCAAATATTTAAAGAATTAATATGAATCTTCACAAAGTATTTCAAAAAATAAAAGGAGGAACACTTCTCAATTCATTTAATGAGACCATCACTGCCCTTGTATGAACATTAAATTAAAAAAACCTACAGATCAATATCCTTTATATTGATAGATACAAAAAACCTTTAAAATATATTAGCTATTCATATCCAGCAATATATAGAAAAGATAAGAGATCATAACAAACTGAGGTTTATTCCAGGATTATGAGTTTGATTTGATACTTCAAAGTCAGTTAATAGAATTTCTTGTATTAGTGAAATAAAAAAGAAAGCCATATGATCACATCAGTACATATTTAAGAAATTACAAAATTCAACATTAATTTGTGATTAAAAAGAAATTAGCAAAGTAGAAATAGAATTCCCACAATCTGTTAGCATTTATGACAAATCAATAGCAAACACCACAACAGTGGTGAAATCTGCTTCCTTTTTATTATGATTAAGAACAAACCAAGAATGTTGGCCAGGCGCTGCGGCTCATACCTGTAATCCTAGCATTTTGGGAGGCAGAAGCGGGCAGATCACCTGAGGTCAGGAGTTCAAGACCAGCCTGGACAACATGGTGAAACCTCATCTCTGCTAAAAATACAAAGATTAGCCAGATGTGGTGTCACATGCCTGTAGTCCCAGCTACTCAGGAGGCTGAGGCAGGAGAATTGCTTGAACCCGGCAGGCAGAGATTGCAGTGAGCCACATTGGACCACTGCACTCCAGCCTGGGTGACAGAGCAAGACTCTATCTCAAAAAAAAAAAAAATTTATCACTTCTTTTCAACATTGTTTTAGATACTCTAACCAGTGTAATAAGGTGAGAAAAAGAAATACAGATAGAAAAGGAAGAAGAAAAGCTGCCTTTATTTATAGAAGACATGGTTTTTGTAGGATATCCTGAGGATTTTTTTTTTCTTAACTACTAGAGTTAAGATGTAAATTTAGTCAGGATACAAAATTAAGATGCCAAAGCCTACTGTATTTCTGTATGCTGGCAATGAATGACTAGAAATTGGAACTAAATGATACCATTTATAATATTACTTAAAATCTGAAATATATATAGATAAATCTTTTTACAGTATGTAATGCCATTTACCAAAAGCGCCTGACATTGTTTTCATTTATATGATTGAAAATAAAGTTGCTAAAAGTATAAATTTTGTTAACCTCATTAATTTATAGAAAAGTGAGCCAGAAAGTTTTATGATTACTCAATATATCACATTAATAAAGTATTATTTTACTATATAAAATTATGACACCAACTTTTAAAAGCAATTTGTAAGTTTATATTGTTTCTTATGTGTCATTATAAACCCTATTGTATTTTATAAGTAATAAAATATTTTTAAAAGGAAAAAATGTGCAAGACCTAAACTCTGAAAAAACAATAAAACAGCACTGAGAAATTTAAAAAGATATAAATATATGAAGAGATACCATGTTCATGGACCAGTAGAGTTAATATTTTTAGGACCTTTAATTTCCCCTAGTTAATCTAATTCAACCTCAATGAAGATCCCAAAAGGTTTTTTGTAGAAATTGACAAAGTGATTCTATAAATGTATACAGAAATGCAAAGCATCCAGACTATCCAAAACAATTTTGAAATAGAAGCACAAAGTAGAGAGGCTTACAAAAGCTGATGATAAATTTCCTATAAAGATAGTGTAAGTCAGCTGGGCGCAGTGGCTCAGTAATCCCAGCACTTTGGGAGGCCAAGGCAGGCAAATCACCTGAGGTCAGGAGTTCGAGACCAGCCTGGCCCACATTGTGAATCGCCTTCTCCACTAAAAATACAAAAATAAGCCAGACGTGGTGGTGGGCGCCTGGAATCCCAACTACTTGGGAGGCTGAGGCAGGAGAATTGCTTGAACCTGGGAGGCAGAGGTTGCGTTGAGCTGAGATCATGCCATTGCACCCCAGCTTGGGTGATGGAGCGAGTCTCTGTCTCAAAAAAAAAAAATAAAAAAGATACTGTAAGTCATTTGCTCACATTAGAGACTCCAAATATAAACTCACAGATATATGGTCAGTATGTCTTGGAAGACAAAAAGCATAAGCCATGAGAGAAAAAAATTAATAAATTTAATTTCATCATAATTCTAAGTAGCTACAATTTAGTTTTGTTGTCAATGATAATTTTCTTCCTTTTACTTTTTTGCCCCAACTTTCTCATTATGAAATTTTAAAACATACAGAAAGATATACCACAATTTAGTTTTGTTGTCAATGATAATTTTCTTCCTTTTATTTTTTGCCCCGACTTTCTAATAATGACATTTTAAAACCTACAGAAAGATATACCATTTAAAAGGCCACAGATGTCATAAAACTACTGCTGAACTACTTCAGTATATATTATCAAAGAATAAAGGCCATCTCCTACTTAATCACAGTACCATTATCACAGCTAGTCAAATTAGCAATAATTCTATAGTCTCATCTAATATCCAGAGTTTCCCCAATTGTCCCAACTATTATATACAGCTATTTTTTTCCCATGCAGGATCTAATCCAAACTCACCTAGAACAATCTCCCTGTATTTTTCCCCTACACAGCACTGATTTTGCAAGGAGCCCAAGAGAACTGTATTTTAGAAATTCCCATGTTTGATATGTCTTATTGTTTCTTCTTAATATCATTCAACTTCTTCCTTTGTCTTTTTTGTTTCTGTAACTTGAAAATTAGGTCTAGAAATTTGGTGATATTCAAGTTAAATACTTTGTGGGAAGACTAGTAGATGAGTGAGTATCTCCTGTTGCATCAGTTATGAGGCACACAATGTCAGGTGGTCCCTCATTAGTGATGTTTTCTAAAAGTGGTCACTAAAACATTGCTTCATGATGAAAGTACATTTTTTTCCCTTATAACTAGTGCAGAATATGTGATATTTGGGCCCCATACAAAGGTTTTGTTCTCAGTCTCTCATGTTACAGTTTCAGAATCCATTGGTAATCATTGAGTAAATCAATTATTTTATTGGTGAAAAATGATGTTTTTTCATTCTATCATTAGCTCGCACTTTTCTGTAAGACGAAGCCTTGTATTCCCCTATTTAGTGTTACTATGGACATGAATTTGTATTTATTCAGTCTAGTAAAATCTATTGCATATATTATTTGTTAGATGCTTAAATTACTCTGACTTTGGCCAGGAGCCTCTTCAAACTGACTTCTGTTTCTGTTTATGTGAACCCATTGGTCTTTAAGCATTTCTCTACTGTCTGGCACAAGATGCCCTTGGCTCACCTTAGGATTTTTCTGTGTCAGACCTTGAATCACTATTTCTCCATCCAGCTCTGGTTCCTTTTTGTGGGGAATGGTATTTAGAACCCGGGATCCAGATACTCTATATATGTTCATCGCTACTGCCGTATCATTGCTTCTGAGACTTTCCAGTGGAAAGAGCAAGGAAATACATTTTAAAAATCACAGGGTCCTGTGAATAATTCTAATTCAGTTGCAATATTACAGTTTTTCTTAACTTCTGTATTTCTCTTTTCTCTTATGTTGATAATATTGGTTCATAAGAATATTCCATTTACTTAAATTTTTATATATTTTTGTTATTATATTGTATATAATAGTTTCATAATGACAATAACAGTGTCACTACCAACAGAATCCTACCAGGTGAAATTAAGATTTCCTTGTTTATATCCAACCAAGGATATACAGAGTGTAATGTTTAAAATTTGCCTAAATGGATTCTTCCATGTATAGTTATATTAACAATTTAGCATATATTAAGGTTTATTTGTGTTTGTATTCAGTTTTAGAATTAAAAAATTTTGAGCATTAAATACATAGCTCAAAAGTCAAAGTTCTGTAAAAAGTTACACTCTAAGAAATCTGACTTCTAACTGTCCCTATTTCCACTACTGTATTCCCACCCGCCTACTGTAAATAAGCACTATTACCATCGGTTTGTCCCCTATGTGTCATTGTTTTGTAAAAGTAAGCAAATGTGTATGCAGGTATGTATGAATGTGTATGTATGTGTATACACACACAAAAACTTTTCTTTTTTATACACATACACAAATGAATACATTGTTTTCTTTTTCATTTCTCATTTAACACATATGCTGAAAATTACTCGATATCAGTTTATAGAGATCTTTCTCATTTTTTTGACAGATGCACAGTTCTCCATTTTATAGATGTGCAGTGCCCTCCAGGGAGTTTTCTTAGGCTCTACTAACCATTCAGACTCAGAAGACTCTCAGTCTGCTTAGAAGGATAAAGGATGAGAACCCTGGGGGCAACATCAGTTGTTTCTCTCTATTGTTCCATGCAGCAGTCCGTGCCAGTGACAGCCCACTAGGCAGTTCAAGAGCTCTTTTCTCTAGGTGACACATCTCAGGTGCAAGAATGTGAGATCCACATCAGACAGGGTAGAGGTAGGGATGGGGGAGGCACCCAGCCTCCCACAGAAGCCAGTATCTCTTGGAACAGTTGAATAGACACAGTTTTCAGGGTCTCCATGAGACGTATGCCCAGTTACAAAAGTGAAGGTACTTATAATTTATTTACAATTCTCCCTAGTTCAGATGCAACTTACAAGTCAGGGTCTCATTTTTATCAGAAGCAAAATTGCTGGGGTGTAGTTGGTGTTCTACCTTTATCAAGTTGCTAGGATTAATGTTGGACAGTTAAACAAAAGTTTAAACAAAAGTTTCAGTTTACTTAAAGCTAGATTACCTAATTTATCTTTGCAAATACTTTTTAAATATAACACAAAATAAAATGTATGAACTCATTTATCTATATTGTTTCTTACTCATCATTTCATAAATTCATCCAAGTGAAATAATCAGCCCAATCTTGCTCTTAGTACTAATCAGCATCCGGGGAGGGCAGTGCAGGGTTTCATGCTGAACTGCACTAAACCGGGAGCAGATGATGGTCCCTGCCTTGCCAAGTCTTTCGTAAAAGTGTGCTTCCAAAGAAGAGCTTAAAGAGTGGATTTTAGTTTTCTTCCCAAACTGAGATATCCATATAGAAAGCAGACTACCAGTCAGTCAGTAAATAATCTGTCTCTGATACCAACCATGGACTGTTGTATATACCAAAAAATCCTTTTTAAAATATTAGCCCAATTAATGATGAGAGCGAAGATTGCTGACAACATCCAATTTACAAAAACTAAGAAGGAATTTCTAATAAACCGTATCCTGTTTATAACATCTATATACCTGGCAACTATGAAGGCAGCCTTTTCCCCCATCAATTACGGAATTAAAGAAACATTTTTTAATTCCATCTGCTCCACAGTTGTATCAACATGGTAATTAAAGAGTTCCAGCGATTTCCAACATCCATTCTGCTTTAACAGGGAGTTTTGTAGTGAGGAAGCTGCTGGAAATGAAGAGTGTTCTTAGTAACTTTTTATGTGACTGGTTAAAGTTAAGAATGCAGACCCAAACTAAATGAAGAGGATGCATTAAGAGAAAGATTACTCATGTTGAATTGATTTTGCCTACCTGTTAAAACCCTGAAACACTAACTTGCAATCAACAGAGCAAGCACTGCTGGCTGTGCTGATTGTGTATAAATGAACAGCCAGAAGTAAATTCAGTGTTATACAAACAAGCCACAGAAAACACGATCAGTTTTGGAAATGTAAAAAAATTGTGTAAGTTTGTCTCATAAGTAGGGGTAGCTCTTTTCTGGAGGATGTTGGGGTTCATTTCCTCATCAAGAATGTTTTAAACGCTGAAAACAATCTTGTTTTTATATATCGAGTGACATGAAATACTTGTCTTAATAGTGCTAAAATGCAACGGAATTGTTACACAACTTGAGGTAGATCTGAGTTTCATTTCCTTCTTATTTTAGGTCTGGATATTACACTTAGCAACATACAGTAAGCTTGAAATCTCTCTCATTATATTTTATCATCAAGCAATCAGTACACAGAACCTGAGGGAAAATGGTCCAACAGGACAGTCCTCCTGGCTGGATATCCACCATTTGCCCCTGCAGAATATTACCTTCTCTCCCTTTCCTCCTCTGTCCCAGGAGACTGATCTATAATGGTTACATCAATTGGTTGGACCCATAGCAAGCACTGACAGGAGATGAAAGGGAGGATGGAGTGGCTGGGAATATTTGTTTCCTGCACAGTCACCTAAGCTGATGGCTTCTCTTGACCTACCTATATTCACAGCTTTGGTGGGAAGACCACTCTCCACCCATCCCTCTCTGTCACTAGATTCTGTTAACTACTTTCTCTCCTTGTGCCTGCATGCCTCAGAAGGGTAGTATCACCTACTGCTTATCACCTAATCCCAGGGTGCTGCACTGTCCCTGGGGTTTCTCAACATTTGCCAACACCGTTTTTAAACAACCCATTTCTAAACACTCTAAGTTTGACTGCACCCTTGGTTACTTTCTGGGACCCTGACTGCTAAACCTTCTTTGATAGAGTATCCTCAGATTTTCAAAGGCATGTCTGTGGCACCTCAAGCTGAATCAAAAAGTCGTAGATGCTAATAAGACTCTCTAAAGTGGAGCAAGCCCATTTGGAGGAAAAGACAGTTACTGCATCTCCTGGGCTGGGGTGGAGGAGGGATTGAAAGAGACAATGGAGCAGAGCAGGATGATTGCACAGAAGATGAGAGATGCATTTCCTTATGGTAATTCTAGTGAAATAACATTTACACTGTTTTCTGAAATATATTAGAAGCCCATTGGTAGATGCATTTGCAGTGAAGGGGACACCTACATCCTACAAACTTTCATTACAAACTAACTCAATGGAATTGTTATGTCATCGAGATGGAAAGCAAGACACTGCCTTTGGCCTGATGTGTGTGTAGTAGGAACTTAATACATGCATGTTTGCTGATTTTCTGAGTTTGTAAAGCTTTAGTTATAAGCCATAAGACATATATTTTTTAACTTTGGATCAAATATTTCACAACTCATATGAAATGGAAATCAAATACTGTAAGTTTATGTGTGTGATAAACCATGAACAGGTATTAAGTGCTGAATTTATAGGCTCCCTTGCTGAATAAAATAATTTAACTCTAGTGATTCCAAGTTATTACAGAAAAGTATGGAAGCCTAGACCATGGAGGAAGATTGACAATTCATGCATCATGGATGGACTCAGCCAACCAACCTTTCAGGGCATGAGGCCTCTACTTCTGCTAGCTGTGATAACTTCTTGAGCCCTCTGAGGGCTTAGCCCTGGAAGTTTGTGCTAGATCATGTTGCCTAGGAATTCTTGACAGAGAAAGAAGGATCAGAGACTCTGGAGATACCAGTCTTAAATTTAAATGTGCAGGGATATTAACTGGACATCCAGTAACGAAGTGATCTCTCTGATTTCAGTTTCCTTATTTATAAAATGGCAATGTCTACCCTATAGGTTTGTTACGAGAGTTGTATGACAATCTATGTAAAAACTCCTCAATAAAAGAAGAGCTACGTGCATCCCATTTCTATTTAATTATATTACCTATTTCTACCCAACTGGGTAACACATTGCTGAAGACCTTTACTTCATGAGACTGACTTTTGCTGAGACCTATGATAACCTATGTGTGTTATTTGTTAATGCTTTAATTACTTACGAATTATTTGGAATAGAGCAATGCTATTATATGTTTTCCATCAGTGTGGTGAATTGCTTATATTTTTTCATATTTCTTAATATTTCTGCTTCTTCATGACAAATAATCATCATTAACTGAGCAGCCTGGGCAGTTGGACACTCCCTTAGATGCTGGGAATACAAGTAATAATGTGATAGGATTCTTAGCCTCAAAAGACTTGTAGAGAAAGTACAAAAGTATAAAAATAAGGAGACTTAACATCAATTGACAGCTCACTATGTGCCCAGTGCTGTGCTAACTACAAAGATCTTATTATTTAATACTCACAATCCAAACAACAACCTGGTAAATTAATTAATATCTCAATTTTATAATTGCATGACTTAGTGCTCGAAATAGTTTAGATAACTTGCCCAAAGAGTAAGAGGTAGAGGTACAGTTTTAACTGTCAGCTACTACTATAAAATAGATTATCCCTAACAATGCTAGTTCTGATATTTGATACAGACAAGAAGTGTTAGAACATGGCTACTCAATATGTAATCTGTGGGCCTGTGCTCATTTGCAAAACAGTTGTTATTGGTTATTATTTCTCTAAACCAATAACAAAGACAGAAATTGAGAACAAGCATTTAGAAACCTTTATAGCAATTTGACACAGCAGTTTTATGTCTATTAAATCTAATAGTGAAAACTAATTGGGGCTTGTGTTTTGCAAGTTTTTTTCACTTTATTATTCATTTTTATTGTATTTGACAAAAGTAGTGCTCCATGGCTGATTGGAAATTTAAAAACAAAACAACATAAAAACCACCTTGGTCCTACACCATTGATAGAGTCACTCTTCTAACCAGGAGGATTAGTGAGGTTGGAAAGTGTCATGGATGAAGTAGGAATTATGATGACAATATGAATAGCTGATGAGAGCCAAGTACCTACTCTGTGCCCATTGTTATGCTTAGTACCTTATAGTTTATGTGTATGTGTGTTTATAGTACTATATTATATATATATGCTCAGTACCTTATAGTTTATGTGTATGTGTGTTTATATCTATGTCTATAGACTGTGTGTATATATATTGATATATATAAGATATATATGAGTGTGTGTATATGTACATATACACATATGTACATATACAATATGTACTTATATATTAAGATATATATGAGTGTGTATATATACATGTGTACATATACGTATATGTACATATGCGTATACACATGTACATATACGTATATATACATATACACATACGTGCATATACACATGTACATATATACACACATGTGTGTACATATACACGTGTATATACACATGTAGATATACACATGTGCATGTACAGATACACATGTACACATATGTACATATACGCATATGTACATATGCGTATATGGGCATATGCATGTTATATATGTATTGTGTATATGTATATGTATGTGTATATATGTATATGTATATGTGTATATGTATATGTATGTGTATATATGTATATGTGTATATGTATATACATACACACATATACGTCTATGTATGTGTATATGTATATGTGTATATATATATGTATATACACACACACACACACACACACACACACAATCTTCCATGTGGTACTGAGGGATGGCTGTATATATACAGCCAGTATCCATGGAAGATTGATTCTAGAACCCCCAAGAATATCAAAACTCTTGATGTTCAAGTCCCTTACAGTTGGTCCTCCATATCCACAGGTCCTGTATGCTCAGGTTTTGAGGGATCAGATCAAATCCACTGTTAATTTAATCACAGATGTGGAACCCAAAGTTATGGAGAGCCAACTTGTATACATAGACATAACTATTTAACATCCTAGAAATTTATAAAGTAGATATTTGTTGTGCCTCCTTTATCTGATTATGTTCTATATTTTGCTGCCAATATCCACTTCTCTCCCAAGAGTTATTCTTTGCTAAAAGCTGAACCAACTGGGCTGCTTTCATTACCAGTGCTCTTCCATGGATATGTGAGAATAGAGAATCATCATACTTCCCCACACCCCCACCAAAAAAGAAAACAACTTGTCATTTTACTTATTATTTCTTCTGTATATCAGAGAGTACTTTAGTGGGAGGTTGGGAATAGCTGTGTCAGGGCTGCTGAGTAGAGCCTTTATTCCTTCATCATCATGCAAAGTCTTTCTAGTAGCTGCTGCCCACTCTTCCTGGAATGAGCAAAAATGTTTTGCTATGTGAGGAGTGCTGAGTGAATTGATTCTATCACTTGTATACTTCCTGGAAGTTGATGTGTTTTTTAAAAAAACAAAAAGGACAAAGATGGAACCAGCATGAGCTTTGTAACAGGACCAGTTTGCTGAGAATACATTATATTAAAGGTAGAATAATGGGAAGACATGATTTTGATTCAACAGACATAATAAATAACGTACTGAAGTGAAAGAAGACCATAAATCCTCTCCAACAATTTTTTTTTAGTTTTTAATTTTTGTGGCTACACAGTAGATACACACACACACACACACACACACACACACACGAGGTGTATATATGTATGGGGTACATGAAATGTTATGATACAGGCATGCAATTCATAATAATTATATCATGGAGAACAGCATATCCTCTCAAGCATTTATCCTTTGTGTTACAAACTATCCAATTATACTCTTTTAGTGATTTTAAAATGTACAATTAAGTTATTATTAACTACAGTCACACTGTTGTGCTATCAAATGGTAGGTCTTATTCATTCCTTCTAACTATTTTTTTTCCACCCATTATCCATCCCCACCTATCTCCCACCCCACACCCCAATACCCTTCCTGGCCTCTGGTAACCATCCCTCTACTCTCTGTGTCCATGAATTCAATTGTTTTGATTTTCAGATCCCACAAATAAGTGAGAACATGCAATGTTTTTCTTTCTGTACCTGGCTTATTTTACTTAACATAATGAACTCCAGTTCCATTCATGTTGTTGCAAATTACAGGATCTCATTCTTTTTATGGCTGAATATTACTCCATTGTGTATATGTACCATATTTTCTTTATTCATTCTGTAGCTGGACACTTAGGTTGCTTCCAAATCTTGGCTATTGTAAACAGTGCCACAACAAACACGGGAGTGCAGATATCTCTTCAATATGCTGATTTCCTTTCTTTTGGGTATGTACCCAGCAGTGGGGTTGCTGGATCATATGGTAGCTCTACTTTTAGTTTTTGGAGGAACCTCCAAACTCTTCTCCATAGTGGTTGTAGTAATTTACGTTCTCAGCAACAGTGTACAATGGTTCCCTTTTCTCCACATCTTTACCAGCATTTGTTATGGCCTGTCTTTTGGATATAAGCCCTTCTAAGTGGGGTGAGATGATATCTCATTGTAGCTGTGATTTGCATTTCTATGATGATCTTTGATGTTGAGCAAATTTTCACATGCCTGTTTGCCGTCTCTCTGTCTTCTTTTGAGAAATATCTATTCAGATGTTTTGCCCATTTTTTGATCAGATTATTATATTTTGTCCTATGAATTTGTTTGATCTTTTTATATATTCTGGTTATCAATCCCTTGTCAGACAGGCAGTTTGCAAATATTGTCCCCCATTATGTGACTTGTCGTTTCACTATGTTGATTGTTTCCTTTGTTGTGGAGAAGCTTTTTAACTTGATGTGATCCCTCTTGACTATTTTTGCGTTGGTTGCCTATGCTTGTGGGATACTACTCAGGAATTTTTGTCCAGCCCAGTGTACTAGAGATGTTCCCTAGTGTTTTCTTGTAAAAGTTTCATAGTCTGATGTCTTAGATGAAGTCTTTAATTCATTTTGTTTGTTTGAGATGGAGTCTCACTCTGTCACTCAGGCTGGAGTGCAGTGGCGCGATCTCGGTTCACTCCAACCTCTGCCTCCTGGGTTCAAGTGATTCTCCTGCCCCAGCCTCCCAAGTAGCTGGGACTGCAGGCATGCACCACCATGCCCAGCTAGTTTTTTGTATTTTTAGTAGCAATGGGGGGTTCACCATGTTTGTCAGGCTGGTCTCAAATTCCTGACCTCAGGTGATCTACCCGCCTTGGCCTCCCAAAGTGCTGGGATTGCAGGCATGAGCCACCTTTAATTCATTTTGATTTGATTTTTTGTATATGGTGAAAGATAGGGATCTAGTTTCATTCTTCTGCGTTTGGATATCCAGTTTTTCCAGCACCATTTATTGAAGAGACTGTCTTTTCCTCTGTGTATGTTCTTGGTACCTTTGTCAAAAATGAGTTCATTGTAGGTGTGTTGATTTATTTCTGGATTCTCTATTCTGTTCTATTGATCTGTGTGTCTGTTTTTATGCCAGTACCATGCTGTTTTGGTTACTATAGCTCTGTAGAATAATTTGAAATCAGGTAATGTGATTCCTCCAGTTTTTCTTTTTGCTCAGGGTAGCTGTGGCAATTCTGGGTCTTTTGTGGTTCCATATAAATTTTAAGATAGCTTTTACTATTTCTCTGAGAAATGTGTTTGGTACTTTGATAGAGATTGCATAGAATCTTTAGATTGTTTGGGGTAGTATGGACATTTTAACAATATTGATTCTTCCAATCCATGGACAAGAAATAACTTTCCATTTTTTGGTGTCCTCTTCAATTTATTTCATCAGTGTTTTATGATTTTCCTTATAAAGATCTTTCACTGCTTTGGTTAACTTAATTCCTAGGTATTTAATTTTATTTGTGGTTGTTGTAATGGGATTACTTTTTTTGGTTTCTTTTTCAGATTGTTTGCTGTTGGCATGTAGAAATGCTACTGATTTTTCTATGTTGATTTTATACACTGCAACTTTACTGAATTTATCAGTTCTAATTTTTTTTTAAGTGGAATCTTTAGGTTTTTCCAAATATAAGATCATATCGTCTGCAAACAAGGAAAATTTGACTTCTTCCTTTCCAATTCGAATGCCCTTTATTTCTTTCTCTAATCTGATTGCTCTACTCAGGACTTCCAGTACTATGTTTAATTATGGTGGTTAAAATGTGCATCCTTGTCATGTTCCAGATTTTAGAGGAAAGGCTTTCCATTTTTTTCCCATTCAGTATACTAGCTGTGTTTCTGTCATATATGGCTTTTATTATGTTGAAGTATGTTTCTTCTATACCCGGTTTTTTGAGGGTTTTTAATCATTAAGGAATGTTGAATTTTATAATATCAGATGATTTTTCAGCATCAATTGACATGTTCTTTGTTTGTTTGTTTTGTTTTTGAGACAGAGTCTCACTCTGTCACCCAGGCTGGAGTGCATTGGTGCGATCTCAGCTCATTGCAAGCTCCGCCTCCCAGGTACACGCCATTCTCCTGCCTCAGCCTCCCGAGTAGCTGGGACTACAGGTGCCCACCACCACGCCCCGCTAATTTTTGTATTTTTAGTAGAGACAGGGTTTCACCATGTTAGCCAGGATGGTCTCGATCTCCTGACCTCTTAATCCACCCTCCTTGGCCTCCCAAAGTGCTGGGATTACAGGTGTGAGCCACCGCGCCCAGCTGACATGTTCATATGTTTTTTGTCCTTCATTCTGTTGATGTGATATATCACATTGATCGATTTGCATATATTGAATTAATTTTTGCATTCTAGGGATAAATCCTACTGGGTCATGATGAATGATCTTTTTAATGTATTGTTGAATTTGGTTTGCTAGTATTTTGTTGAGGACTTTTGCATCAATAGTCATCAGATATATTGACCTGTAGTTTTCTTTTTTTGATGTGTCTTTGTCTGGTTTTGGTATCAAGATAATACTGGCCTCATGGAATGGAAGTATTCCCTCCTCCTCTATTTTTCAGAATAGTTTGAGTAGGATTGTTATTGGTTCTTCTTTAAATGTTTGATGGAATTCAGTAGTGAAGCCATCAGGTCCCAGGCTTTTTTTTACAGGGAGACTTTTTATTATGACTTTGATCTTGTTACTTGTTATTGTTCCCACCAACTTACATTCTTATAATCTTATGTTCCCACCAACAGTGTACAATGGTTCCCCCTTTTCTCCTCATCTGTTCTGATTTTGGATTTCTTTCTGGTTCAATCGTGGTAGGTTGTATGTGTCTAAGAATTTGTCCGTTTCTTCTAGATTTTCCAATTTATCAGTACACGGTTACTCATAGTAGCCTCTAATGATCCTTTGAATGTTTGCGGCATCAGCTGTAATGTCTCCTTTTTCATTTTTGACTTTGTTTATTTGGATCTTCTCTCTTTTTTTCTTAGTCTAGCTAAAGGTTTTCCTATTTTGTTTAACTTTTCAAGAAACCAAATTTTTGTTTCAGTGATCTTTTTTTATTGTTTTCCTCATTTCAAATTCATTTATTTCTCTCTGATCTTTATTATTTCTTTTCTTCTACTAATTTGAGGTTTGGTATTATCTTGCTTTTCTAGTTCTTGAAGATGCATCATTAGGTTATTCATTTGAAGTTTTTCTTCTTTGTTGATGTAGGCACTTACATCTATAAAGTTCACTCTTAGTACTGCTTTTACTGTATCCTATAGGTTTTGGTGTTTTGTGTTATTATAACCACTTGTTTTGAGAAATTTCTCAATTTCCTTCTTAATTTCTTCATTGACCCACTGGTCATTCAGGAGCATGTTGTTTGATTTCCATATATTTTCATAGTTTCCAAAATTCCTCTTGTTATTGATTTCTAGTTTTATTTCATTGAGATCAGAAAAGATGGTTGATATTATTTCAGTTTTTTAATGTTTTAAGACTTGTTTTATGACCTAACATGTGATCTATCCTTGAGAATGATCCATGTGCTGAGGAAAAGAGTATGTGTGAAATGTTCTGTAAATATCTGTTAAGTCTGTTTGGTCTATAGTGCAGATTAAGTCTGATGATTATTGACTTTCTGTCTGGAAGACTTATCCAATGCTGAAAGTGGAGTGTTGAAGTCTCTAGCCATTACTGTACTGGGGCCTGTTTCTTTAGATCTAATCATATTTGCTGTATATATCTGGTTGTTTTATTTATTTCTGGTTGGATGCACATATATTTAAAATTGTTATATCCTCTTGTTGAATTACCCTCTTTATCATTATATAGTGACCTTGTCTCTTCTTACAGTTTTTGTATTGAGATTCATTTTGACTGATATAAGTGTAGCTACTCCTGCTCTTTTTTGATTTCTGTTGGCATGGAATACCTTATTCCATCCCTTTATTTTAAGTCTATGTGTGTCTTTATAGAAGTCTGTTTCTTATAGGCAACAGATCAAGGGGTCTTATGTTTTTATCCATTCAGGCACTCTGTATGTTTTGATTGGAGAGTTTAGTCCCTTTACATTCGATGTTATTATTGATAAGTAAGGATTTACTCTTGCCATTTTGTTGTTTTCTGGTTGTACTGTGGTCTTCTCTTTCTTCTTTCTTTCCTTCTTGTCTTCTTTTAGTGAAGGTGATTTTCTCTGGTGACATGATTTAGTTTCTTGTTTTTTGTATTTTTTGTGCATTCATTGTATGTATTTTGGTTTGAGGTTACCATGAGGCTTGCAAATACTATATTATTATCCTTAATTTTAAACTGATAACAACTTAACACTGTTTGCATAAACAAATAAAGAAGCAAAATGAAAATTAATGAACACTCTAGGCCTTAACTTCATCCTCCCAGTTTTTTTTTTTTGAGATGTAGTCTTGCTCTGTTGACCAGGCTGGACTGTAGTGGCAGGATCTCAGCTCACTGCAAGCTCTGCCTCCTGAGTTCACACTATTCTCCTGCCTCAGCCTGCCGAGTAGCTGGGACTACAGGCGTCCGCCACCACACCCGGCTAATTTTTTGTATTTTTAGTAGAGACGGGGTTTCACCATGTTAGCCAGGATGGTCTCAATCTCCTCACCTCATGATCCACCTGCCTCAGCCTCCCAAAGTGCTGGGATTACAGGCATGAGCCACCGTGCCTTGCCCATCCCCCCACTTTTTAACTTTTTGTTTCTATTTATATCTTATTGTACTGTCTATGTCTTGAAAAGTTGTTGAAGTTATTATTTTTGACTGGTTCATAGTTTAGTCTTTCTGCTTAGAATAAGAGTAGTTTACATACCACAGTTACAATGTT
This sequence comes from Homo sapiens, assembly GCF_000001405.40. NCBI lineage: Eukaryota > Metazoa > Chordata > Mammalia > Primates > Hominidae > Homo > Homo sapiens. Next base: position 153,064,196 of record NC_000006.12, on the reverse strand, counting down.
ATAGTACTCTGTGTTTTTCTGTGTACTTTCAGTGAGTTTTGTACCTTCAGGTGATTACTTATTACTTATTAACTTCCTTTTCTTTCTGATTGAAGTACTCTGTTAGCATTTCTTGTAAGATAGGTCTAGTGTTGATGAAATCCTTCAGCTTTTGTTTGTTTGGGAAAGTCTTTATTTCTCCTTCATGTTTGAAGGATATTTTTGTCATATTTATTATTCTAGGGTAAAAGTTTTTTTTTCCTTCAGCACTTTACATATGTTATGCCACTCTCTCCTGGCCTGTAACATTTCCACTGAAAAGTCTGCTACCAGATATATTGGAAGTCCATTGTATGTTGTTTCTTTTCTCTTGCTGCTTTTAGGATCCTTTCTTCATCCTTGACCTTTGGGAATTTATTTATTAAATCCCTTGCGATAATCTTCTTTGGGTTAAATCTACTTGGTATTCTGTAACCTTCTATAACCTTCTTGTAATTGGATATTGATATCTTTCTCTAGGTTTGGGAAGTTCTCTGTTATCCCTTTGAATAAACTTTCTACCCTTCTCTTTCTCTACCTTCTCTCTAAGGCCAACAACTCTTAGATTTGCCCTGTTGAGTCTATTTTCTAGATCCTGTAGGCATGCTTCATTGTTTTTTATTCTTTTTTCTTTTTTCTCCTCTGACTGCATATTTCCAAACAGCCTGTCTTCAAGTTCATTAATTCTTTCTTCAGCTTGATCAATTCTGCTTTTGAGACTCAGATGCATTCTTCATTATGCCAATTGCATTTTTCAGCTCCAGAATGTCTGCTTGATTCTTTTTAATTATTTCATTATCTTTGTTAAATTTATCTGATAGAATTCTGAATTCCTTCTCTGTGTTCTCTTGAATTTCTTTGGGTTTCCTCAAAACTGATATTTTGAATTCTCTGTCCGAAAGGTCATATATCTCTGTTTCTTCAAGATTAATCCTTGGTGGCTTATTTAGTTCATTTGGTGAGGTCCTTTTTTTCCTACAACTATCAACAGTGTCTTGATAGTTGTAGATGTTTGTCTGTGTCTGGGCATTAAAGAGTTAAGTATTTATTGTAGTCGTCACTGCCTGGGCTCCTTTGTACCCATCCTTCTCAGGATAACTTTGCAGATAGGACTTGGGTGTTGTGATGTTAGCTGTGTCTGCTTTAGGGGGCACCCCGAGCCCAGTAATGCTGTGGTTCTTGCAGACTTGTACAGGTACTGCCTTGATGGTCCTGGGCTCTTTAGTTAGCAGGTGATGAATCCTGCCAGGACTGGGTGCTTCCCTTCAAGGCAGCATGTTCCCTTCTGGCCCAGGGTGTGTCTAGCAATGTCATACAGAAGCTAGGGCCTTAAAAGAGCACCTCATGACTCCGATTAGTGCCATATCCTGTTTGGCTGAGCTGGTATCCAAGATGCAAGACAAAGTCTTCCCCACTCTTCCCTCTCCTCTCCTCAAGTGGAAAGAAGGTATCTATTTTGGAACCACAAGCTGTGCAGCCTGTGGTTAGAAGAGGGGAATAACAGCATTCCAGTAGCTGGTAGCCACCCTGGCTGGTGTCTTGATAGGTCACGTGCCCCTGAGTCTACTATCTCTGCACCCAATTCAGCACTAGGACTCCTGTAAAAGTTGTAGTCCTTGTAGCTTAGACTGCCTTTCAAGTTCATTAGGGCCCTAGGGTACTTTAGCCCACAGTGGCAAGGTTTGAGGGAACTCAAGTTCCAGCCTCTGGGAGTAGTGATTCCCCTCCAGCTAGGGCTAATATAAACACACCCTCTGTGGGAGGGCATCAGCTGAATTTGGTCCAGTTTTCCCTTCTTCTCTAACAGTACACCACTGAGTTCAAAGCCTTACAATTGTTGTGTTGTCCCTCCCTTAGAGCCTAGAGATGCTCTTCACACCTGGCCACTGCTGGGGGTAGGGAGGAGAGGTGGCAGTTTACATGGTGGTTCAAGTCTGTTTCTCTCTACCTCTTCAGTACCTCTTTCAGTGACATGATATTAAAACCAGGTATTGTGAGTATGCACCTGATTTTTAGTTCTTATGACGTGCTCTTCTTGTGTAGATAGTTGTTAATTGGTGTCCTTGTGAAGGGTGGGGTGGGCGGGAGGCACGGGGATCTGCCATCTTGCTCCACCTTCTCAATGCCATCTTTATTCACTCTCCAACAAATTTTTACCTTGAGTAGAACACAGATTTTTTGAAAAGGTTAACTGATTATTTGATTCTATCTTTCGTATAGATATCAGCTAGGTTTAAGACAGAATATACAGAATGTAGCTTTGGAAAGCATAATGTTTGCTCTCATATGCTTAATATCTGGAGAGATGGCCAAGTAAAGCTGTTCTTCAATATACAGGTATTATGAAGTACAAAAGAGAGAATCACAGGTAACCTACATTGTTTTAGTTGTAAAAAAAATAACATATAGGTATGTTACATTAAACACAAACATAAATGGGATACATTTCATGTGTTTTAACTCCTTCTGGGGATATTTCCACATAGTATTAATCTCTTCATTCCCATTTAAGATATTTAAACATTGTCTTGTATTGAATTTCCACAGCTGTTATCCCTGTTTGTATAAGTATCTTAAATCATTATATGAATAATAACTATTAGGGGAAACAGTCTCTGGAATACCCTTTTTCAAATGTTATTGTTTTTGTTTTGCATATTTTTTCACATTTTAAGTGGTTTTTCTTCTTTCCTTATTTTAACCTTATCTTCTTTACGTGTATTGAAATATTGAGCATGTCTGCTCTCTGAAAAACAGTTTTATGAATCTCAAAATGAACATGTCACATAGATGAAAGTGCTGTCAGTATTTTCCTAAGTAAACACATTATGACTCTATATTAAACAGAGAGTTTTTATTTTAGAATGGCACAGTGAATGTAATAGGGCCATTCTAAAGGTTCTTGTTGTCACCATGCAGTATTTCTGACAAAAGCTGCTCTAACTGTAATGCATTTTTGTCCCCATTAAGATGTTCACCCCAAGCTAATGCTGCTGTTCTAAAATAAAACAAAGCCTGAATAAGTCAGGTAAAAATTGGATTTTTAAAAGCATTACTTTGTCCATATTTGTCTTCCAGTCTTTCTAAAATTTCTAAGCAATTGAATGACTTTCCACTTCATTTTAACTGTACATATCTGGCCTCTGTTAGAGAACCTAAGTGCTCACCTACACTAGAAAGATGCCTTCTCATTCTCCTTTTTTCACTCATTTAACATACATTTACTGAACTCACTGGTTCTCAAGGTTATTCATGATGCTTCTTATCACATGGCATTCTCAAAATACTAGCATCAAAATAATTTTTAAATGGTTGTTCTAGATGAAATACTGGGTTCAGAATTTCATAATGGGTTTTTAAATATCACTGCAAGATAGATTTATTGTGATAGATTTATTGTGTATTTGGAATTCCAAAATACACAAACATTAGTAGGCACCGACATTTTAAGAAAAAAAAAAAAGTGCGATAAACCTTAGTAGAGACATTTCTCCTGATTAGATTATTTTTTTCCTCTCTGAGCAAAATAGAACAATGGCTCCAGCTCACAAAATATCAGTGCTTCGTTGGAACTTAATTGAAACTTATAATTATTTTTTCTTGTGTACCAAGAGTACTAAGATGAATGACCCAGCCTCTGCCCTCAAAGAGCTCAGAGCCTTGTAGGAAAAACCTACAAATGGCAAAACTCTAAGTCAGCAGGGAATTACAGGCCAAAGAAGATGGAGCAGTGCTGGGCACCTTCCCAAAGGCCAGGAGGGTCTGCAAAGATTTTCTGGGGGAAGTGCCTCTGCCAGGTGCTGGTGAGACCAAAAAGGGTGAGACTGTTTAGGATGTCCGAGTCCAGTGAGAGAAGCCAGCTTGTACATAAATACAACTCAAAGTGGCAGGTGCACAGTACTATGTGTGAACACTGAGAGGGCCTATTTCTGCCCAAAGAGCAGAAAGAGAGGGTGAAACACAGAATAGAAGTTCAACAAGCCCTTAATCTTTTCTCTCACTTGGGGCTTCACTAGGACACTCCGTGTCCTTCTGACTCTGGGAAACAGACTTCCCCTGCACACCAATCACAATGCCTAGTAGGTGAGACCTTCAGGGTCACAACTCAGTGTGGCCTGAGCCAGTGCTTCCTAGGTCTCAGTGACCTGAGACCTGACCTGTAACTCTGTATTGGTTGATACTGTTAACATGCAGATTGAGACACAGGAAGCCTCAAGTGGGGCTTGAGATCCTCATTTCTAACAACCTCCCAGATGGTGGAATGCCACCTGCTGGTCCAGGAACTACATTTTGAATAGCAAAGACCCAAATTTTGACTTATGTTAAAATTGTTATTTGGTAATTACCAAATACATCTATCACCCTTGCATTGATATTTAAAAACCCATTATGAAATTCTGAAGAAATATCATCAGCTTTTTATTGTAAATATGGAAACAGAAGTTGGTCCAGGAGTAATAATAACATTAGGAACAATTGTTACAGTTGGGATTACAAATTATCAAGTGCTTTTCACTTGGCTCCTTGTTACAGTTGTTAGTAAAAACTAGCAATAAATAGGGTTTCTTTTATTCCTTACAATTACTGAGTGAAGTAAATATTTTCCTATTTTGCAAACAAAGGCAGAGGTTAAGTGACTAATTCAATGCCACACAGCCAGTACAAGGCAGAACTTTGTGATTCAATTCCAGATCTCTCTTACTCCAGAGCCAGTACCCCCTAAAGGGCATAGTCAAAAGAAGCAAATAGAAAGTTGATAGAAGTGCAGAATAATAAGAGTGAAAAATGTGATGACCTTTAGCATAGAAATGGCTTAACCTTCTGGGGATGAAAACTAGCAGCTGAGCTACACAAGGTGCCTCTGTCAAACAGCTCTGTCGAATAATGCTTTTAAATGCGACCAATAGATATACATGAGCCAAAACAAGGAGGCAGCTGGTGCTAATCTGATTCAGTACTTTAATAGGGGAAAGCACCGGAGCAACTATTTTATAGTCTTTTTATATATTTATCTGTAACTAAGTATATATAAATGTTATGAACATGAAGAGAGAATTGCTGACTCACCATCAAGTGACATTTCAGTGAAGACTGTATATCAAGTAGGAAAAGAAATTACATGGGTATATTCACTGATGGAGCCAGACTGTGACCACCCAGAGTAAGGACCAGAACCATATTCTTAGTAATTATTCACTCTGAATGCACAAAGAATTTATTTCTTGAATTTCTGATCATTTTAATATAATCATAAAAATGGCGATTTTGAAAAAAAAAAAATGCGCTAACGAGTATACCCTTCCAGGAGTAGTAGTATTACTCCAGGACAACTCTTTTTAGGTAAATGGGTCATGAACTAAGAAGTGACATTGAAAGCTTGCTCAGTTGCATAGATATATGCTGGCTTAGCTGAAGCAGGGTAGTTATCAGAAATTTTAAATTGAGAAGTGAGTTGCTTTTCCTCACAGGAAAAATTCGTCACAACTAAGAATAACTATCTGTACTTGGTGAATTGCTTCCTTGTCCACCCCAGTGCTGAAGTGGGCTTCACAAATTTGGCTTATTTAGCAGATAACTTTGTGGGGCCCCACACTGAATCAACAACTACATGGTAAAACCGGATGCTTTCAACAACCATGACAAGACAGCGACGGTTATAATGAAGTTTGATTGTTGGATAACGAGTTGATTGTGGGTACTATGAGTCACTTTAGACTCAGTTCATTTACATGTGATAAAAAGTACAGTGTCAATGGTGAAATAATAAACCAAACCATTAGTCTTTCTTCCTCACTGACTAAGCCTTTGTGTAGAACCCTGAGATAGGAAGATCCCAGCCAATGGATACAAAAACTTTACATCCCACCATATAAGTGAAATGATCTCTCAGCAGGAAGATAATGATGAAAACCTTCAACATCTGTAGCACTAAAACACTGAACCACACTAACTTTTTGGCAACATTATGAACAACTCTCCTCAGTGTTACCTTGAAAGAGCTACCACATACTGCGCACTTACTGTAATTGCAAAGATTTGTTCCAAGTATTTATGTGTCAAATTCATTCAGCCCTTATAGCAGAATGGATGTACTTATGTGTTCTATTATTATCAATTATTATCTGCCAATGAGGAAACAAGGATAAGAATAGGTAAAGTCAGGGGTCCCCAACCCCTGGTCCATGGACAGGTATTGGTCTGTGGCCTGTTAGGAACTGGGATACATAGTAGGAGGTGAGCAGCAGGCCAGCGAGCTTTACTACCTGAGCTCTGCCTCCCGTCAAATCAGCAGTGGCTTTAAATTCCCATAGGAGCATGAATCCTGTTGTGAACTGCACATGTGAGGGATCTAGGTTGCACACTCTTTATGAGAATGTAATGCCTGATGATCTGTTGTCGTGTCCCAACACCCCCAGATGGGAGTGTCTAGTTGCAGGAAAACAAGCTGAAAGCTCCCACTGACTCTACATTATGGTGAGTTGCATAATTATTTCATTATATATTACAATGTAATAATAATAGAAATAAAGAGCACAATAAATGTAATGTGCTTGAATCATCCCAAAACCATCCCCCACACCCATCCGTGGAAAAATTGTCTTCCATGAAACTGGTCCCTGGTGCCAGAAAAGTTGGGGACCGCTGGAGTAACTAACCAAAGGTCATCCAGTTGATAACAGAGGCAAGATTTGTACAGAGGCAGCCTGACTCTAGAGCTTGTTTACTCACCATATTGTAATACAGCTTGGGAGTGGTGATACGAGAGACTGCCCTGTTTATATTTGTAAGTTTAAGTCCTAAAAATTTGGTGACTTCAAGAGTGAGATGAGAGCTAATTCTGATGTGTAGACTCATTTCTTTTCCAATTCAGCCTAATTTTCCAAAATTGATCTTACTGCAACGGCATCTTGACCATTAAGAAAGATGGAGGAGCATTCTTTTTCTTCCCAAGTTAAGAATATGAAGCTTTTATTTTTATATTTATATATAATATATATCAAAATACCCAGATGTTATGTGGATTTTAAAATAAAATATAAGAGTTTACATTGCAGCAGGTCATTCAGACTTAATTTTTCCCTTCCTCTGTGAGGGATACTTTGGGAAAGGATGAGGAGCACCATTCAGACTTGACACTGTGCTTTAGGGCTGTAAGAATTGTATGTGAAACTTCCAAATCTCTGCCTTGGGAAAATAGATATTTTTAATAATCAGAGAAATCTGTCATATTCATCATCCTCAATAATTAATACTTATTTTGCATCTACAATAGAGAACACTAGGATTCCAGGAAAACACACACACACACACACACACACACACACACACACACACACACAGCCCTTCCTCTTAAGAGTTTTTCAATCCTATTGGAAAACAATATCTAAACAAAAGGATGAAGAATAATATTAGTCAGTGCACAAAGATTGACAATATAATCTATAGGAATGTACAAATTGATAGAAATAGGGATTCATCATCTCACTCCCAGCTGTATTTTGAAGACAGCAGTTAGGTTAGGCAGCCCATTTCAGGAATAGTAACCTCAGAACCAAGAGAGATTTTCTGTCTAATCATCTATGTAAACTTGAGGCCCCTTTAAATCAACCTCTTTCAAGGACTTGTTCACCAGTAACTTAAATACTCAAGAATGCTTGGCTTGAGGCTCTTCTTACAGGTGAATTAAGATCTTATCTGAGTATCAGTCAGACTTTCCATATATGGAATAAAGAGTCTTTCTATTGCTTCTATTCGTTAATCCATGTTCTAACCTTTGGGATCTTACAAGTGAATGCATATCCTCTTATCCTGTGCATGGCGTCACTGATCTCAGTGATTAGAAAATTATGATTCTGATTATCTTTCTCTTCTTCAGAGGAAACACCTTTGTTCTAAAAGTAGTGTTCTTATGAGACGCTCATGAGTTTTTGTTAACTCTCCTCCTTTTAGTCTTCTGAACATATTTCAATTTATTTCTTAAATTGTAGTGAGCAGAATTGAACATAACTGTTTAACCAGCCCAGAGAATATCTATTACATCTTGTTTTAGAAAACGTATTTCTGTTAATGCATTCTAAATTGCCATTGACTATTTTAACATCATACTGTTGGTTAATGCTGAATTTACTGTCCCGAATTTTTCATATGTTCCTGTTAAACCATGTTTCTCCCATCCTAGCCTTAACAGTGTTTTTAGACCCAAGTTCATATCCTTACATTTATCCTTTTTACATTGTATTTTGTTTTATTTGGCCCATTGTTCAACCTGTGAGATGGTTTTGATCATTGCACCTGACCCTGGGGAAGGGAAAGAAGTAACAGAGTAAAACTGTGGACAGCTAGAAGTTAGAGCAGAATTTCCCCTCATTTCTTGGAAGATATAACTAATGCACGACAATGAAAAACCTTCTCTGATTAGTACACCTGATTTATGTGTGTTCCTTATTAATAAATTTGCCTAAGCTTTGAGGGGAAAACCATTATGCTTGGGTCCGTTAGTATTTCTTCCATACCAACTTTCCCTGCACCTCACCGTAAGGACTAGATGAAGTGTTTTTACAGGTAGGATGCCAGCTGTAAAACACTTTCCATCCTTGCTCAGCTCAAAAAAAAATCTGAAGTCCCAGTTTTGTGCACAGGTATGTCCTTCTTTGCAAAGGAGAGACCAGTTTCTCCTGCCTTGTTCTTCTCCACCATGTGAAGTCAAATGGGTTTTTGACACTCTTCCTCTATAGGGAGGTAGGGATGACAAAAAAGAATTGACCTCCACATATTCAAAAATATTTGAGAGTTTCAGTCCATAGTTATGCTTCATTTTACATAACTTTTCATTTTTTAACTTATAACATTAAGAAAATGTGTTTGGCTTAAAAAATTAGAATTGGTGAACTCAAGGGAAAAAAAACAGCAGACAGATTTTTCCCTTCTGTATTTACTGATAAACCCACACCAATCCCCTCAGCACCAGTTTGCAGTGGTGCACAGGAAGTAGAAGCAAATAGGGGTTCCAGGATGTGATCACCTGAGGGCATGCAGCAATTTTCCGTGCTTACTTACCACGTTCAGGGATTTGGGAAGGACCTTCCTAGGCACTGTCACTAAGCAGCTCTTTGAGATAGTGCATCTTCCGCCTGCTCTGTGTGTCTAATTATTCAGACGCCCCAGCTATGTAGCAAAATATTATACCTCATTGCTTGCTGGGCGGTCCAGAAGTTTAGACTGGAAACACAGATAAGATGCTGAACTGCTGGTATTCAGGGACTTAGAGAATTCTCTATCAGTCAGAAAAATAGGAGTGATCTGTTCCAAATGGTATGGGAACTACACAAAGGAAATCAATGAGTAGGAATTTCTTTCCAGAAGGAAGATGATTATGGGACAACATACACAATTACTTCAGAAGAGCGCAAATAAAGCGTTTGCCTATGATGTTTTTTTTAAGCCGGTTGAAAGACATAGAAGAGAGTGAAAGTCATGCAAATCTTTTTATTTATTTATTTATTTATTTATTTATTTATTTATTTATTTGAGATGAAGTCATGCACTGTTGCCCAGGCTGGAGTGCAGTGGCGCGATCTCGGCTCACTGCAACCTCCACCCTCTGTGTTCAAGCAGTTCTCCTGCCTCAGCCTCCCAAGTAGCTGGGGTCACAGGCTCCCGCCACCATGCCTGGCTAATTTTTGTATTTTTAGTAGAGATGGGGTTTCACCATGTATGGTCAGGCTGGTCTTGAACTCCTGACCTGAAGTGATCTGCTCATCTCAACCTCCCAAAGTGCGGGATTTCAGGCATGAGCCACCATGCCCTGCCTCGGTCTTGCAAATCTAACAACTAATATTTGAACCCCTCTACAGTGATTTCAAACCACAACAATCTCAGAGATTTTGTGAATAAATGGATATCCAAGATGACATTTACCTCTGAATGTTTCAATATTGAGTATTTAACAGTGAGAAAATTAAGGTATTCAATTCTCAAGAAAGTTTTTGAGTCTTTCTGCAAATTTTCAGGATATAAATAAGAAATTCCTGCCTGGTATAAAGCTGTATATATATATATATACACATATATATATATATATATATAAAAAATATTGTGTGTATATATATATGTATATATATTATATACATATATACATATATATGTATATATATTATATACATATATACGTATATATGTATATATATTATATACATATATACATATATATGTATATAATATATATGTATATATATTATATATACATATATATACATATATATATAATGTGTGTATGTATGTATGTGAAAAAGAAAATATAGATAAGTATAAAACATAATAAAATAAATACTCCCATACCCAAAACTCTATTTTTCTTTCTTTCTTTTTCTTTTTTCTTTTCTTTTTTGAGACAGGCTCTTGCTTTGTCACCCAGGCTAGAGTACATGGTGCGATCCTAGGTCACTGCAGCCTCGAACACCTGGGTTGAAGCAATCCTCCTACCTCAGCTTCCCAAGTAGCAAGTACCTAGGACTACATATGTATGCCACCATGCCTGGTTAAATTTTTTATTTTCTGTAAAGATGGAGGCTCACTGTGTTACCAGGCTGGTCTCAAACTCTTGGCCTCAAGTGGTCCTCCCAAAGGGCTGGAATTACAGATATGAGCCACCGTGCTCTGCCTCAATACCAAATTCATGTAACTGTAAATATTTTGCTTTTTCTTCAGATCTTTTTTAAAGAAATGATTAAAGTTGAAATTCTTTCTTTTGCAATCACAGCCTGATCGTTATCTTCCCGAACACCCAGTAATGGATCCAGTCCATGCTCTGTAACTGCGTATGTTACACATATTCTCCAGAAAAGATATGTATTATTGTTTGTTTTGTATGCTTATGAAAATTATGTTGATACTGTATTTAATATTTTGCAGCTTTTTTATTCAACATTGTTTTGTGATTGCCTCAAGTTGATTCATATAGATCTAAGTTACTCATTTTAAGAGCTGTTTTATATATTAACATATAACAATATCACCATTTTAAAATTCATTCCTGGAAAAATGAGAATATTGGTTGTGTCTTAGCTCAGGCTGCTATAACAAAATGCCATAAGCTGGATAACTTAACAACAGAAATTTATTTCTCACAGTATTTCTCTGAAAGTTGAAGTCTGAGATCAAGGTGCCAGTATGGTTGGGTTCTGGTGAGGGCCCTCTTTTAGGCTGCAGACTACTGATATCTCGTTTTATCCCCACAGGATGGAAAGAGAGCAGGAGAGTAATCTGGGGGTCCCTTTTTTAAGGGCACTAATCTCATTCATGAGGCCTCCACCGTCATTGTCTAATGACCCCGTCCATAGGCCCCACCTCTTAATATCACCCTGAGATTAGATTTCAACATATGTGTTTGAGGAGGACACACACATTCAGTATTTAACATTCTGCTCCTGGCCCTCCACAATTCATGTCTTCACATGCAGAATACATTATTTCCATCCCAGTAGCCTCAAAAGTCTTAACTTGTTCTAGCATTGGTTCTCAAGTCTGAAGTCCAAAGTCTTATCTAACTATCATCTAAATCAGATATGAGTGATTCTTAAGGTATCATTCATTCAGAGACAGAACTCCTCTCCAGCTATGAACATGTAAAACCAAATATTAGGTTGGTGCAAAAGTAATTGCGATTTTTGCTACTTTTAATGGCAAAAAACCACAATTACTTTTGCACCAACCTAATAAGTTATGTGCTTCCAAACTACAGTAGTGGGACAGATGTAGAATAGATATCCCCATTTCAGAAGCAAAGGAATAGGAAAGAAGAAAAGAGTGATAGCTTTTAAGTAAGTCCAGAACCTAGCAAGTCAAACTCCATATCTCAGGGCTGGAGAATAATCCTCTGGTGCTTGATGCTGTGCACTCCAGGCCCACTGGGGGCAGAGGTCCCATTTTCCAGACCCAGTAGAGTTGAGATATTGCTCTGCACCTCTGCCAAATTGGGATCTCAATCCCAGGGTTCTGCTGGGCAGGCACCAAACCTCCACAGCTCCTCCCAGTCCTACCCCCATGCCTTTGATTGGAGGTAATCTAACTTGTTGAAAATCAGGCAATTCTTCCTCCACCCTTTGCAACATAGGATGAAGCCCTGATGATCTCTGAATCATTTTTTTGTAGTCATTCTTCCCTTGTCTTTAAGAATAGATCATGTTTGCAGCTGAAAAGTTTTATGGTCTTCCCTGTAAAATCCAAAAAATCTGACAACATTTCTTCATTCCTTCCCATTCAGTTCAAACTGGCAGTTTTCCTGCTGAGGTAGCTAATTCAGTCCATGCTTCACACCATACTAATCTCCTTATCAAATGGTGGCTTGGTAATACTCTTAGTGTTCTCTTTTAAACATGCTTTCTCATTTTGTGCAATATGGATTGGCTGAGAATTTTCCAAGCTCATAAGTTCTAGTTTCTTGTTGTTTGATAAGTCCCTCTTCACATCATTTCTCTCTTCTCACATTTTACTAAACAGTCAGGAGGAACAAAGCCGTGCCTTCAGTACTTAGCTGAGAAATATCCTCAGCTAAATAGCCAACTTCATTGCTCACAAGTCCCAACTTCCACAAAACACTAATAATATGAACACAATTCACCCAAGTTGTTGGCCGCTTAATAACAAGGATTGCCTGTTCTCCATTGCACAAGATGGAGAAAAGGACAGTGAAATTTAGTGTTAATGAAGATAATAACATGTTTTTACTTCAGTCTGAGAATTCATCAAAATGGCCTTTACTATCCATATTTCTACTAACATTCAGTCCATGATTACATATGTATTCTTTAAGAAGATGGAAGCTTTCTCTACAGCTCTTCTCTTCCCTTTCTGAGCCCTAACCAAATCACCTTTAAAAGTCCCTTCATGACAATCTTGGCTTCTTCTAGATGTACTTCACAACTCTTGGTTAGTTCCAAAGCTGCTTTCACATATTTAGGTATTTGTTATAGCAGCACTCCACTTCTCAGTACCAATTTCTCTCTTAGTTTGGGCTGCTATAATAAAATACCATATGTAGGGTGGCTTATCAATAACAGACATTTATTTCTCACAGTTCTGGGGGCTGGAAAGTTCAAGATCAAGGTGATTGCCTATTTGGTGTCTGGTGAGGGCCTGCTGCCTGGTTGTAGATGACTATCTTCTTTCCGTGTCCTCACATGGAGAGAAGAAGAACCAACTCTCTGTCCTCTTCCTATAAGAGCACTAATCCCATTCATGAAGGCTCTGCTCTTGTGACCTAATTACCTCTGAAAGGCCCCACCTCCAAATATCATTATATTTGGCCCCATCTCCAAATATCATTACATTTGGGATTACATTTCAACATATGAATTTGAGGGGGACATAAACATTCAGTCCATAACAGGTTGTTTCCAATTTAAGGTGTTAAATATACTGTAATTAGTGTCTTCAAATAAAGGTTTGAGTTTCTCCAGTGTATAAACATAAAAATGGAATTTGTCATAGGTTATGTGTATTGTGAACTACATGTAGTCAATATTGTTCTTCAAAGTGATTTCTCAATGTATATTCCTACCATTAGTGTGAGGAGTTTTTAATTTACCCAAGTACTCTTCCAAAATTGATATTGTATGACTTTTTAACAGTGGAAAATTTGAATGTGGAATACTTTTTTATCCACATTTCTCTGATTAATAGTTCTGAGCATCTATTCATTTAATTTGGAGTATTTATATTTTCCTCTTTTATGACCCGCCTGCAAATTTGTTTGCCAATTTTTCTATTAGGTTTTTATGTTGTTAAATTGCAATGTGTTACTTATTATTACGGATAATATTCCTTTGTATCTTCCAGTATGATTCTCTATTTTTCTTGTTTCTATTTTATTGTTTCCTTATTTGCTCAAAACTTTTTAATAAATTAAACTATATAAAAAAAAGCTTTTCCTTTTGAGCTTGATCTTATAGTAAGAAATCCTTTTCTGCTCTGAAGCTATAGTCTACGTTTTTATGACAGTTTTAGAATTTGTAACATCTATTTTTGTATTCATGTTTTGAGTTTATTTTTGCATGTATTATCACTTGGAGGTGTAATTTTTTATATGTAAGTGCAAATATCTCAACACCATTTTTGAGTAGTCTGTCATTCTTGAATGATAAAGTTGCATACTCTAATTTAAGCCAGGACTGCATAAATGCCTGAAGGTTACTCAGCTCTCTGAGAGTTTTATTATTTTGATCTACATATCTGTTCCCATGCCATTGCCTAATTATTATGACTTCTATATTATTGATAGAACAAACACCCCCACTTATTTTTATTTTCAGACATGTCTTCAGTCTTCCATGTAAGTTTTAGAATTCATTTGTTAAGTTCCATGAATGATTGAATTAGAATTTTTACTGTGATCACATTGAATTTATTTATTTATTTATTTATTTATTTTGAGAAGGAGTCTCACTCTGTTGCCCAGGCTGGAGTGCAGTGGTGCGATCTCGGCTCACTGCAAGCTCCTCCTCCCAGGTTCATGCCATTCTCCTGCCTCAGCCTCCCAAGTAGTTGGGACTACAGTCGCCCGCCACCACACCTGGCTAATTTTTTGTATTTTTAGTAGAGACGGGGTTTCACCATGTTAGCCAGGATGGTCTCGATCTCCTGACCTCGTGATCCACCCGCCTCGGCCTCCCAAAGTGCTGGGATTACAGGTGTGAGCCACCATGCCCGGCCTTGAATTTATAAAATAATTTAGGACAATTAAGATTTTGGTCTTCCCACTTGAGAAGATAACCCAACTCTGTATTCAGGTCTTATTTTATGTTTTTTGATAAAGTTTCGTAATATTTCTATAGAGTTCTTATACAATTTTTGTTATAAATATTACCAGTTACTGTTTTGGTTTTGCTATTGAACTATGCCTTTATTTTTCTTATATATTCAAATTCATTATTACTAGTGTATTAGAAGTATATGATATTTTAAAGCTTAAACTGGCATCCCTCTTGAACTGCCTCTAATAACTTATCTGCCGAATCTCTTGGAAGTTTTATGTTGATAACCATATCATTTGTAAATAGTAAAGTTTGTATTTTCTTTTCCAATTTTTATTTATTTTTTCTAATTTTGTTGCATTGGCTGCAAAATTAATAATTTTGAATGTTGGGTATATAGACTTTATTGTTTTCTTCTTATCGTTAATAGGAATGCTGTAAAATTCACCATTCTACAAATATTTGTGTACCTAGTATGTGCCAAGCATTGTTACAACAATGAACAAAACAGACAAAAGTGCCTACCTTCATGAAATTTATTGGCTCCTTGGTTAGACAAACAAACAGGTAAAACTTGTAGTATGACTAGTGATGATACATTATATGGAGACAAGTTAAACAGGAAAGGGTAACAGCTCATACTGGGGATGAGGTGAGGGAGTTCATTTTTAAATAAGATGGTCATGAAGGCTTCAAGGAGAATGTAACATTTCAGTAAATACTTGAAGGAGTGAAACCCTAAGTGTGAAACAAGTGCAAAGGTCTTGACACGTAATTGTACCGAGCATGGCTGAGGAGCAGCAAGGAGGCCATTGTGATTGAAACAGACAACAAGAGGCAGAGAAAAGGAGATACATTCAGGGGAGTAACAAAAAAGCAGACTGTAAGAACTTCACTCTGAATAAGATGGTAAGCCACTGGAAGTTTTGGATTGGATTTGAATGGAAGAGTCTTTGCTGAAATTATCTGACTTAGGTTTGAAAGGCTCATCCTGGCTGCTGTCTTGAGAATAGAATAAAATGGAATTGTAATAGAAGGAGATAGGAGGTGGTAGAAACAGAAGATGGGTAGCAGATACCAGTTAAGAAGTCTCACATTTGCTGATCTGCTGATGTGACATCCAGATGAAATAGAGGAATCAAGGATGAGTCCAGGATTTTTTGGTGTGAAAAATGAGAAGGATGAGGCTTTTCATTCAGTAAAATTGGAGAAACTGTGGGAAGAACATGTTTTTGGGAAAAGATAATGAGGGCAGATTAGAGCATGTTAAGTTTGAGAAAGCCAAGTGAAGATATTGAGTAGGTAGTTGGATATTTGCATCCTGAATTCAGGAAAATTATCTTCACTGGGCATGTAAATTTGAGGATTTTGTGCAGAAAGCTGGTAGACCCAAAAAAGTCTCAATGAGTTCATCAAAGAAGTGATAGAGAAGAAAGACAGAACACTGTGGCCATTCAAAATTTGAAAGCGAGGAAGATGAAAAGGAAACAAGAAAGTAGACTGCAAAGAAGTGATGAGAAAGCAGACAGGTGAGTATGGTGCCCAGGAGGCAAGAGAAGAAAGTATTTCAAAGAGGGTGGAGTTAAAATAGTCAGTTTGGACTACTGTAGACAAAGTATCATAGTTGGGTAGCTTAAAAACAACGTAAATTTGTTTTTCACAGTTTTGTTGGCTGGGAAGTATAAGATCAAGATGGTGGCCTATTTGGTGTCTGGTGAGGGCCTGCTTCCTGGTTGTAGAAGATTGTCATTCTGTATCCTCACATGGTGGGGAAAAGCAATCCAGTTCCCTGGCCTCTTCTTATAAGGGCACTAATCCCATTCATGAGAGCTCAGCTATCATGAGCTAATTACCTCCCAAAGGCCCCAGCTTTTATTACCATCACAATTGGGGTTTGGACTTCAACAAATATATTTTGCAAGGGCAAATTCTGTCCATTGTAGTGTAAAATGCTGTTGGCCCAGAAGGAGATGGCAAAATAACTCTTGGACTTAATAATATGCGGACATTGAGATGTCTACAAAATCTGTTTCATTAGAGGGTTAGGGCAGCCCACCCATTTTCGTAATTGATGTAGTCTTAAATTTAATTCTTGAGTGTATCTAAACAGAGAAACATAGACTTTTATTTTAGCCAGGTCATTAAGTTCAGCATCCTATTTTACCAATTTCAGTTCTGTTTCTTATATTCTACCCCTTCCCTCTAATTTTGTTTTCTTCTGACTGAAGTAGGTTCCAGCAAATATTTGAGTAATCAACTCAGTGAGTTTATCAGAAATAATCTTCACTCTTGAATTTTTACTTAGGTGCATATAAAATTGTAGGATGATTATTATCCCTCAGCACTTGGAACACATAACTCCATTGCCCACCATCTTCAGCATCTAATATTGCTCATGGAAAGTCCACTGTCAATCAAAGCATTACTTGTGTGTGGGTAATTCAGCTTTTGTCTTTATCATCTAGATGTGTTTTTACTATTTTGTTTATAAGTGTAGATTTCTTTTTATTTTTATTCATCCTACTCAGCATGTGGTATACTCCTTTATGTGAGGCTTTGTTCTGTTTTGTTTTCTTCCAGTTCTAGGGAGTTCTTGGCCAATTTTCCTTAAAATATTATGACTTTCCTGACAATCCATTATTTTTCCCCTTATGAAGAAAATCTTGTTGGGTATATATTGGGGCCTTTCAATGTTACTGGTCTGCTTATCTCAATTCTCTTTTCATGTTGTAGCTTTTCTTCACTCTTTGCTGAATTCTGAGTATATTCCTTGGCACCATCTTCGGGATTGTTTGGGAAAGAAATGATTATGTGTAAATCTTTTAATAGCTATTTGTGTTTGTTTTTACATTCCCGTTATGTCTTTTCTTATTTCATATTTGCCAATTTTTGTTTTATAATTTATTTTATTTTATTATTTATTTTTAATTGACAAATAATAATTGTACATATTCATGGGGTACATAATGTTGTTCCAGTACATAAAATGTAGAGTGATAAGGTCACTTATCACTCTATGGTAATAAAGGATCATTACCATATTCATCGTCTTAAACATTTATCATTACTCTGTGTTGGGAATTTTCAATATCCTCCTTCCAGCTATTTAAAACTATATATTATTGTTAACTTTAGTCATCCTACAGCGATGTGGAACACTATAACTTATTCCTCCTATCTAGCTGCCATTTTATATCCCTTAAAAAATGTATCCATATCCCTCCCTTACTCCTACCCTTCCCAGCCTCTGGTATGCTATGTCCTTCTTTTTACTTCTATGAAATCAATGTTTTTTAAACTTCTACATATGAGTGAGAATATGTGGTATTTAACTTCTGTTCCTTGCTTATTTCACTTAATATAATATCTTCCAGTTCCATCCATGTTGCTGTGAATGACAGGGTTTCATTATTTTTAATGGCTAAATTAGTATTCCATGATGTATATATACCGCATTTTCTTTATTCATTAATCTGGTTTTGGACACCTTGGTTGATTCCATATCTTGGCTATTGTGAATAGTGCTGCAGTCAACATGGAGGTGCACGTATCCAAAAGGCATCCAAATTGGAAAAGGGGAAGTCAGATAAGTTTTATAATTTATTGTTCTCCCATTTAAATTGTATTCTTTCATTTATCACATTGTTTATCTTAAATATATGTTTGTTAAACTAATTTTAGGTGATTCTGTTATTAGCATTTGATCAGGAATATATTAATCTCCTAATTGTTGAGTTGGTTGTCTGTTTTCTGGTGTTAATATGGATTTTTGCTTTCAGGTAACACATTGAGTGAGAGATGTATTTCTTACTGTCACTTACTCTTCATAATGTAATGCTTTTCATTTGTTTCCACTAATCCCTTAAGACCCTTAGTCTTGAAGCAGCTCTTTTATCAGTATCTCAGGATTCCCTGCCATCTGCCAGTGATTTTGGAAAATTCCCTGACCCAGTCACTGAACAAATAAGCTGATTGGCTGAAGTCTGATCTGGATGGCTTTCTCTGCATCCTACCCTTTCTGCAGCTAGGCATTACTGAATAGTAGAAATTATTTTTTCAGTACCTTTTTATGAAGGGCACAATCACAGCCCCTGATTTTTTGCAGGCAACCTGGAATCAGACTCCCACTCCTCCTAGGGGAGCATCTAACACCTCACTGGAGTGTGGACCTTTGCCCGCTTCTGTTTCAATATCTGAATTGCAGAATTACTGTGGCTTTAGACCCCATTCACCTACAACTGTGGTTTTCTGCTCTGTTTCTGGTCGAAAAATATGTTTATCTGGTTTTCAAGAATGCAGTATTTTTTAAAGTGTTTATCATTGTATTCAGAACTGAAAATATCATTTTAAAATAATAGCTCATAATGCCAAAATAACCTGAAGCACTTTATAGTTTTAATAAGTACTGCTCTCAGCCACACATTTGACAATATATGTGTATGATTTACATACATTGCCTATTTATGAAAAACATCATTCAGTAGATTGCATTACTTTTTCTAAGAGTTCATGCTAAATTTGATATTACTCAAAGACAAAACTTTTTATTTTAATCCTCAGTACAGTCTTAGATCAGGATTGGTCCTATAAATAGGTAGCAACTCATTTGGCCTTATTTGTAAGATCACAGATAGGACATTCTGTATCCCAATATTTATTTTATCTGCCATGATATATAAATTCCACCAGAGTAATTCCCCTGAATTTGATGACTTTTATTTTCCCCCAACTCTCCGTTAAATAAAGATAAATTTGGGGGATGGAAGAAGAGAAGCTAATGCCTTTGCAACACTGACACCTAACAGAAAATAAGGCCTTTTGGTAATGTTATTAAGGTTAGGCCTCTGGAGGATGAGTCAAAAGTGCCAAAAAGGATATTGTGTTTCAAAGGAAGTGAGAGGGCGCCAAGAATAAACTTGATCTTCCTCATACTCTTATATAGTTAGAAACCATGCAACAATCATTTATAAAGCTCAATTTACCTTACTGTAAACATTAGTGGAAAAACGAGTTACATACACCCTCTATAATCACCGAATGGTGTCCATAAAAAAGGCAGATTTAATCATTCTTGAGTAAAGAAGGAAGTTAAAAATAAATTTTCAAACCTTATCATATTTACTTTACCAACAATCTTGATTACGTGGCAACTTTGTTGCTATAATTTTATGCAGCAGATAAAGGTAGACGTTCCTCCCCAAAGTTTTTAGTATATCCTTCTAAAAAGTTTTCCTGAGAATTTTTAGTTTGGCCTCTCAAGTTTCCTTATTTTACCTTTTCTTAAATTACCTCCCTCCTTCCTTAGTGAAATGAGCCTTCCTTCAGCATACGCAACTTATCCTTATTGCTTTTTTCATACCCAATTTTTTGTTTTATCTCTTTCAGCCAACTGGGTCCTGAAGTAGCTGAAATGCGAAAAAGGCAGCAGTCCCAAAATGAAGGAACACCTGCCGTGTCTCAAGCTCCTGGAAACCAGAGGCCCAACAACACCTGTTGCTTTTGTTGGTGCTGTTGTTGCAGCTGCTCCTGGTATGTCATGTTACCTGTAGGATGCCACACCCAGGCTTGGCAGGCACTAGTGTGAACATGCATGCCAAATCTCAGAACTGTAGAAACTGCTCAACATGTCTTTTTTTGTTCTTTCTTTGCAAGTAGGACTTATTGAAGACTATCATTGGTTTAATGCAAATACTTTCACAAACAAAATATATAATATTTCCCCAAAATCTACATTTAAATTGATAATAAGGTAAAAAAAATGAAGAGGTGTTTTATATCATGTTTTTCTCCATCCATGCTTCTTAAAGATATGGGTAAAAATAAGATTTTAGTTACATTTGTATTTATCAATAAGCAATATTCTCCAATGTTACAGGCAAGAACATTAAAATAACATCTAGTAATATTGCATGTAGTATTGCATGTGTTTTTTTTTTTTTTTAGTTCTCTGCTGCTACTTGATAGGGTGTTGAGCATTCAGCTGTATGACCAGATAACTGTAAGTCAGGGTAACAACCTCTGCCCAGAATTCCTGCCAATAAGGACAGAGAGAAGAGTCATTGACTCACAACTACCTATCTAAAAGGTCAGTGGCTGTGCTTGGAATGAAGTCCAACTCAGTTCATTGAAAAATCCTGAAATTAGAGCCAGAGAACCTGCTTCCCATTGTGGTGTTATCACTGGCAGGCTCTGGGACATCATGCAAACTCATAATCTCTTTGTCCTTTGATTTCCTCATTGGCAAAATGATGAAGAGTTAGACAAGCTAATTCCCAAGGTGCCATCTAGTGCTGAACATCCATGATCCAGGGAGCTCAGAGAACCTGCTCGAGTTCCGGATTCGTAAAGTGCCTAACATTTATGCAGATGAGATTCCTCAAGGGGATGCTAGACTTCATGGAACTTTCCTTTGAACCATACATTTTGGGGTCTTTTAACATACAGTTTACAAGTGGATCTTCTAGCCCAGCAGTGGTCTTCTGGGTCTCCCCAGACTAATTCAGAACCTAGAGAAAGGCCCATATGTTGGAGTCATCTCTCTGTGTATTATCTCTACAGTTTCCCAACATATATTGAGGTTTCTTTTTTGATATGACAAAATGTTGTATCATTGTGGCCAAAAGAAGGTAAAGAGGGCTGTACTAGAGTGGTAACCTTGGTGACGAACAAGTTCCATCCACTCTAGAAAACTCCAGTTTCAGAAAAACATAGTCATTGTAGTAATCTGGAAAGCTTAAGTAGTTTTTATAGATATCAATATTGCTTCCCAGATGATGATTCTTTGTTACAGAAAGTCATACTGTATTAGTCCATTTTTATGCTGCTATAAAGAAGTACCTGAGACTGGGTAATTTATAAAGAAAAAGAGGTTTAATGGACTCACAGTTCCACAGGGCTGGGGAGGCCTCACAATCATGGCAGAAGGTAAAGGAGGAGCAAAGGCATGTCTTACATTGTGGCAGGCAAGAGTGCATGTGCAGGGGAACTGCCCTTTATAAAACCATCAGATCTCGTCAGATTTATTCACTGTCATGAGGACAGCGTGGGAAAAAAACCATCCCCATGATTCAATTACCTGCCACCGCGTCCTTCCCATGACACATGGGGATTATGAGAGCTACAATTCAAATGAGATTTGGGTGGGGACACGGCCAAACCATATCATATACATAATTTGTTTCCTTTCATTATTAAGCCTTAATAATTTAAGATGGAGGAAACAGAGTTTGAGATGAAGTAAATATTTCAATCATAGTTGTGTAATCTTTTTCTGTGTCATGCCTAAAGAGATTATCTAGCTCTGGTCTTAATCTGTGAAGTACCATGTAATGACTTACTATAGTGGTTCTGAAGTCAGACTGCCGGGGTTCAAATCTTATCCTCACCCATCTCTATCTGTGTGACCTTCAGCAAGTTAGTTAAATGCCAGTAATAAAAATCCCTGCCTCGTAAGGCCATTGTAAAATTAAATGAGATAAAATACATAACAAGCCAAGAGCAGTGTCTGACACACAGTAAGCATTTAATAAGAGTTAGCTCTCTGGGCTATGGAACACTTCATATTGGAAAATAAAGATCACTTTAAAGAGGAACTGGCTTGAAATACTGTTTTAAAAAAAGATCAGTTTGTGGCTATAACACAAAAATTATCTTGGAAAAGCTATTTTATTTTAAATTCTGTATAAAACATCACCAATATATTGTTACACAGGGTTGAGGAATAGACTTCTAGTGCTCATTTGCACTATACCAGGTTCCTGTAATCGGTATATGATTTTCCTTAGCTGCCAAAACTTATCTCTGAATTGCTTTGGGATTAAAACACCAGAACAGATAGAATACTGAAGTTTCTTTGTGCTATATGTATTAGCTGCCATATAAATATTTAGTGAGATTTGCTTTTATCAATTTTTAAAGGACACATTAAATAACAAAACATTTAACATTAGCACATGAGCAAGAGATTATTGCAGTACACAGGCAATAGATGGAGAACAAAACAGCTTTCGGAAGCTGCATCAACTCTCTACACCTCTAGAGTAGATCCCCAAACATTGGGTACATTGGCTGCATGCTCTGTTAGCTCTAGACTAGCAATGCCCTTGTCAGGAACTGCATTTCTTGTCAATGAACATTGGATGCCTGAGTCTAGGCCATAAAATATACAGTCTGTAAATTTACAAGTCCTTCTATATATGATAAATGATAGAAAATTTCTAATTATTATAAACCACTTGATTATTATTTATTTATTTATTTGTATTTGAGACAAAATCTGCTCTGTCATGCAGGCTTGATTGCAGTGGCACAGTCACAGCTCACTGTAAGCTCCAACTCCTGGGCTCAAGTGATCCTCCCTCCTCAGCCTCCCCAGTAGCTGGGACTACAGGTGCATGCCACCACACCTGGCTAATTTTTTTTTTTTTTTTTTTTAGTGGAGTCAGCATCTTGCTATGTTGCTTGGGCTGCTCTTGAACTCCTGGGCTCAAGCAATCCTAAAATGCCTCAGCCTCTCAAAAGTGCTGAGATTTACAGCCATGAGCCACTGTGCCTGGCCACTTAATTTTTTTAAAAGGATAAAAGTTAAAGTTCCTTGAACTATGGATTTTAATTATGACTATATTGTCTTATTGCAAATGAAAATGTCCTTTACCCATATGTTTTTAAAATATTATTATTTTTATACTTCAAGTTTATAAAAGAAAATTGTACAGGCTTTCTGAAGTAAAAAGAAAAAGAAATAAATGTTCTTCAGATTTTCCAGGCTAGGTCAAAGGAGCAGAACAAAAAGAAACACTAAAAATGTAATTTAGGGAGTAAAAAAAAAAAGTTAGAAATCAAAATATGAAGTAACTGTCATTCGTGAATGGGACCAGTTGTCATGTGGCTGAATTTACTTCCTTTTAAGGAAATAGAGTGGTAAGAAAATAAATTTCTGTATCTAGTAATAAATATAAATACCTCACCCTAAGCTTCATGTTATGGGTTTTTTAACAGTGTAATATTTCCCTCAAATTTGCACTTCTCATTCATATTTCATTGTCAGCTCTTCTCTCATTTTTAAATAGATTCCTGTCTTTATAACATTACCACCACATTTTTTGCGGGGAGGATACAGAGAGTGAGTACATAACTGCTGAATGTTTCCACAGTTTCTTTCAAAATTCTAAACTGTTTAGACAGGCTTCATAGTGATTTAAGCTGGTCCATTCTCTATCTCTGTCATAGAGGCACTTTCTCCCCCCACGTCAGTCTCTCTCCTTATCTCCCTTTTCTCCTCATAGCCCTTGCAATTAAAGAAGAGAAAACAGGAGGATGTGGTTTAGAACCATTAACATCCTTAAATACACATAAAATGGACACTCTATAAACATGCAAGACCTTCTATTCATGGGACCAAGCTAGGGTGAAGAGACCATTTTGTCAAGACCATTTGTCTACAGGTTCAAGGTTGACACTGGCAAGTGGAATGTCTCGTTTCTTCAGATAGTAACCTTCTTCCCTTTTCTTTATAAGAAAGAAAACTTTGAAAGATACTGAAGGCTCCTCTCAAACTGCCTTCAGTCAGGACAGCGTGAAGCAGTGAGGTTGTTCAGATGCTCACATGTGAGATAACACATATAAAAGTGCAGAGCAGACTAGAAACTGCTGTGTGCTTACAAAAAGGAGGGGCATCAAAATGGCCATAGGAAAGGCAGAGCTTTCAAAGTTTATTATGAGCTTAAAGCTCATTTTCAAATTGTCCTACGAACTCTCTTGCAACATCATTCAGAGGTTGCATTAAAATAACCCATGCTACTTTTTCACATAAAATCTTCAGGTACTAATTCCTCTTTTAATACTGACGCTTCTGTGGGTGTCCCATCAAGCAAAACAGGGTTCCCTGTGTGTAAAAATTAGAACTTCAGAGACCTCAGCTACCATCTCTCCAAAATGTTTACGTTGCCCTCTGCTTGGCACATCATGGTGGTGAGATGACGGCTATGGAGAGGAGAAGAATGAAGTATCACTGGCCACAGCCCTGGCTCCAGCTTGCAGTTTCCAAGAGAATGGTTCTGTCTTTAGCTACTTTATAAATTAGACTTAGGTAAAAGCTTTCATTTGAAAAAACAACAACAACAGCAACGTTTGGAAAATGTTGTGTCTATTTTTACAGGTAAGGAAACTGATGGCTTGCTGATGTCAGTAGACCCATTAGGGATCGAGGTGGAACTGAGATGCAAGCCTCTGAATGTCTAGTCCCGTTGTTCGGTCCACTTTAATGTGACACTTCCAAGCTTTTCATTTCCAGGTTTGATATGAGCCATTTCCAAACACAACTTTCTCAGTTGAATTCACAATCTCATGCTCTCCCGGTATTGCCCACGAGATTTGGCCCACTGCACTGGACTCTTCTCAAGAGAAATTGGTCACAGACTGAATTTAGTAAATTAACTAGCCTTTTGAAAGCTAAAATTGTCTCTTTTTTGGATACATTAGTTCCCAGAGTTTCCAGACCATGGGATGGATCTCACTGAGTAAATGTTAAGTGCTTCATAAATATGCTTTGGGCTGCCCCTCCCTCCGTTTCTAACAAGTACCATGGCCTCTGTAATTCAAAACAGTGCAAAAATAATGTCCTGTTTTATCCTCTGATGCTGTCACACTTTCGCTCTCTGCCAAAGGAAATACTAAGATGCATGCTTTAAAAGTCAAAGGATATTTTTTGAAAGGAAAAACAAAAATCCATGCCTGCACCATGGTAAAGAAACCACTCCCTGGAAATAAAACTCCTCACACAGGCAAGGTGAATCATTTCATCTGAGGCACCAGAGCATACATGGTTTCCTCTGTGCCTGTCACCCTCAGAGAGCTGATTCATCTCACATGGCAGAATACGTTATTCCTGCAGAATAACTCACACTGCACAAGATTTCCAGAGTACTTGTAAACAGACCATCATACATATCACTTACAAAGTAGCAATACGGAAGTCTCCAGTTGGGAAACTCCATCTTGCCATGGCATGGGTAAATTTCCTCAATGTTTTTATCAGTTATATCAACTTTACACAATCAAAAGACATCTATCAAAATGAACCCAAGTTTCTCAGGCCATATACACAAAACCAGAGTGGACAATAGGACTATGGACTGAATGAGAGTTAATGGTAGAAGGAGCCTCACTCTGGTGAAGAAGTCCAGAGTCCCAAGAAGCCAGGAGGAAGAAATTGTAGATAAAGAGGTGGCAGGTGCATTTGGTGACAGGGCTCTGCACGGTGAGGTCTGCTGACCCCAGATACCCCAGTCAGCTTCAAGGTTCAGACCCGGACAAAAAACTCAAATTTCAGCCAAAGCTGACTCACTCTACATGGCAATGCAGTGAGGACTATCTATGTCTGGATGGGCCAGGATGTACCGGAGCTTTGGGGATGACCTTGGTAATAGACTGGTGCTGTTCATACCCATGGCCATGGCTCCCTCTGCCCTAGAGAAGGCTGAACACATGAAAGGTCAGAGTTTGACTCACCAACCCACTGAACCATTTTTTATACGAGTGATACTCCTGTCTGCCCCATGTTGTTGTTTTTTAGGTTAATACCTTTGGTAAAAATTATATTACATAGATCTTGTATTTGAATTCACAAAACTCCATATTGGTCATTGCTGCCAGGCATTTTTGTAAACAGATAACTGAAGTTTCATGCATTAAAATAGCAAAAAATAGGCCGGGTGTGGTGGCTTATGCCTGTAATCCCAGCCCTTTGGGAGGCCGAGGTGGGTGGATCACGAGGTCAGGAGTTTGAGACCAGCCTGACCAACATGGTGAAACCCCGTCTGTACTAAAAATACAAAAATTAGCCGGGTGTGGTGGCATGCGCCTGTAATCCCAGCTACTCAGGAGGCGGAGGCAGGAGAATCGCTTGAACCTGGGGGGCTGAGGTTGCAGTGAGCCAAGATTGCGCCACTGCACTCCAGCCTGGGCAACAGAGAGACTCTGTCTCAAAAAAAAAAAAAAAGTAAAAAATGCATATTTTGGCTTACATTATTTGGCCAGTATTAGTAGGTGTTTAACATTTGTTGAATGGGTGATGGATTTGGATTTGCCAATTGAGCCTACTTTATGAAATATAAAAACTTGTGTCACAGAAATTCTTTTCAAAAATTACAGGCACATTCTCCCAGGCCACCAGATTTTTTTTTATGCACCATTTTTCTTCATGCTCCTGTGTGTGTGTGTGTGTGTGTCTGTGTGTGTGTGTGTGTGTGTGTGTGTGTTTTAAAGGTAGTACTACCAATTAGTAGTACAGAGGGAATGAATTTGGGGAGGGAGCACTAAATCTGTTTAGCATTTCTGGGATATAAAGTCAAGAAGAACAAAATAGAAGACTAGGGAGATAGGCAATGACAAATAATCAAATATCTTTTCCACCTTATTAAGGAGTTTACACCTTTTTAGAGATGGGAAGCAATTGAAGGGTTTTAAGTAAGGAGAGGACAAAGTCCATTTTATATTTTAAGTATTCTCCTGAGGGAATGGAAAATGTATGGAAGAAAATACAAAAAGTAAGGGGGATGTTAAGAGACTTTTATAATAGCCTTGGTGAGAGATGGTGGGGCACAACAGAAAGAGACAATAAAAGGGATGGAGAGAAGTGCATATTCAAGAAAAAATTAGGATATACTGCCAAGAATTAATGATAGACAAGAAAGAGAAGGATGACTCCATATTGCTTGCATGAGTAGCTGGGTTGCTGGTGATCCCATCAAATGAGAGGACACTGCAATAGGAAGTTATTTAGGCCAAGGATACAAAGATGAGTTCAACTTGCTCTGATTGAGGTATCCAAGAGTTAGTTGTATAAATGAATTTGAAGCTTGCAAGACAAGCGTGGATGAAATATGACAATCTGGGACTCATCAGTTGCAAGAGATGAGAATGATTCGCCCTGGTGAGTATTCCAGGGTGAAAAGCAGGGAGCTACAGACAGAAACCTCAGGACACACCACATTTAAAGAACAATGGAGGAGTGAGAGAGTTGCAAACACAGTGGAGAAGAAGTGATGTGAGAAATGACATGCAAAACGCAGCAAGGGGGCCGGGCACAGTGGCCCACAACTGTAATCCTAGCACTTTGGGAGGACATGGCAGGAGGAAAGCTTGAATCCAGGAGTTCGAGACCAGCCTAGGCAACATAGTGAGTCCCCATCTCTACAAAAAATTTTAAAATTAGCCGAGTGTGGTAATACACACCTGTAGTCCCAGCTACTCAGGAGAGTGTTGTAGGAGGATGGCTTGAGCCCAAGAGTTGAGGCTGCAGTGAGCCATGATCACATGACTGCACTCAAGCCTGAGTGAGACCCTGTCTCAGAAAAATAAAATAAAACACAGCAAGGGACTGTTACAGAAGCCAAGAGAATTGAGAGTTTCACAAAGGGAAGTCTGAGGTTGCAGATACACCAGAGAAGTCCAATACAATAAGAATCATAAAACATTTTGTGATTTGACCAGCCAGGAGGGCTTCTTGGTGAACTTTAAGAGAACCAAGCTTCTCTGTAAGATGTACAACGAGGAAGAACTTGGAGAAAGAAAAGCTACTGACAGAGAAAATGAGTGAGCCCCTCTTTGAAGACTCTAAGACCCCATATGCTCCTCCTTCAGGGTGAAGGTTTGCTTTGAGAGAAGTTGGATTTTCCTTCCTGACTCATTCAAAGCAAATTATTCATTTTCCAAGGCAATATGAAATTCAACCATTCCAAATCCAGGTCAACTTTATTAGCTACCTGGACAATATTTAACAAATTCCTCCAGAAAATTCCAATCAATAATGCAAAAATGAGGCTGACTTCTTTGCTACCCTTATTTATAAAATTTCATAGTTGTGTTACACCTGATTAAATTAAGTATTAACCCTACTTTTGCTTCTCTCATTAAAAGTCTTCATTATTTCTTATGGGCCTAACCTACTGTCTTTCATGGTCTAGGTGTGGTAGACCTATTACAATCTGCCTGCTCTTTTAGGACATGATTCAAGAATTACTTGTTCTGTTTTTGTCAGATAAGACAATCAAATTCACTTTTTGTGAAAATGAAATTGATTTTATAATAATCATGCTGGACTGGGTGCTATAAAATATAGCATGTATAAATGCTATAAAGTCCATATCTTTGTTTCAGACATTAATATGTTACATATTAATGTACATCTTTTTGCATGGGAATATCTGTTCCTAAGTGAAACACAAATTTCTGTCACTGACACTTTGTGTATAAAGCAATATACTTTTTTTTTTTTGTGAGAGAGTCTTGCTCTGTCACCCAGGCTGCAGTGCAGTGGTGCGATCTTGGCCCACTGCAACCTCTGCCTGCCAGGTTCAAGCAATTCTCTTGCCTCAGCCTCCCGAGTAGCTGGGACTGCAGGCATGCACCACCACACCTGGCTAATTTTTTTTTGTATTTTTAGTGGAGACAGGGTTTCACCATGTTGGCCAGGCTAGTCTCAAACTCCTGACCTCAAGTGATCTGCCTGCCTCAGCCTCCCAAATTGTTGGGATTATAGGCATCAGCCGCCGCTCGCAGCCAAAGCAATATAGATTATTTAAAAGTACAGAGCCATTTAACTGCCAATTCCATCGTAATAGTGGAACAGTAACTTCATGTGTTTCGTTCTAGAGGTAGTCTTGCCATATTTGACAATTACACGCAAATTCTAATGGCATGTCTTCCTCGGAAAGCTGACTTTCAAGAGGCTGTATGGGATAAGGAAAGACCCATGGCACTGGAATTTTACAGACCTGAGTACATTCCA
This sequence comes from Homo sapiens, assembly GCF_000001405.40. Taxonomy (NCBI): domain Eukaryota; kingdom Metazoa; phylum Chordata; class Mammalia; order Primates; family Hominidae; genus Homo; species Homo sapiens. The sequence goes on along the minus strand of NC_000006.12, from coordinate 153,034,640 downwards.
GTTTTATCACATGTAACTATGAAACCTTTGGCAAGTTACTTACTACCTCTGAGCCTCGGTTTCTTCCTCAGTAAAATGCGATTAGTCATGTACACAAATCCCTGCGTAATCCTTTATTGATAGGTATTATTTCTGTCCCTTTACAAGTCTCAGGCCCAGAGGAATTTACCAGACTGTGTAGGATCTGGCTATTGCAGGCTTGGCAAGGTTCTGTTTGCATGTTGTCAGTTAAGGTAGCGGATGCTGTTTCTTCAGTCTGTATCACTTCGCGCTTCCCAGCCCTCACATTAATCGGCACAGGTATACGTCAGAGCAGCCCTGGAGCATGCACTGCACAGCTGCAGGATTCCCAGAGTGTTGTAACTTTTATATAGCAGGGTTTTGTTTCTCTACAGATCAAGATTGTTGTCTTCCATGGTGTCTGTTCTCAAGGAAGCCCCGCACATTCATCCCATACGTATTCACACACACACACTAACTGGAAAATGCGAGGGAAAGGATGAATGGGTAGATGAATGAGCAGTCCTGCCAGCTATCAGATATATTTCTGAATATTCACTAACAGGGTTTTAACTTTTTCACTCTCCTTTTTATGATAGGGACCCAGCCTTCTAAAGTCAGAAACTGGAGCTCCAATTGAATTAATGCACTTGACACAAATGATCGCATGCCATTTTAATAACAGTCACACTATTATTGCTCCTAACTAAATAGAAGTCCATTTGGCCTTTTCACATCTAAGATATTTGCTTTCCCATTAAGGCATTCACTTAGTTATAAATTATAGGTAAAATTACAGTGGGTTGAAGGAATAGCTTAAAATAGGATTTTAATCAACGTGAGAACTGAGGTATAGAAGATTCTGATGATTGGCATGTATTTTTTATTTTTATTTTATTTTTATTTATTTATTTATTTATTTTGAGATGAAGTCTCACTCTGTAGCCCAAGCTGGAGTGCAGTGGTGCCATCTCAGCTCACTGCAACCTCCACCTCTGGGGCTCAAGCGATTTCTGTGCCTCAGCCTCCTGAGTAGCTGGGGCTACAGGCGCACGCCACTATGCCTGACTAATTTTTTGTATTTTAGTAGAGACAGGGTTTCACCATGTTACCCAGGGTGGTCTCGAACTCCTGAGCTCAGGCGATCTGCCCACCTTGGCCTCCCAAAGTGCTGGGATTACAAGCATGAGCCACCATGCTTGGCCTGGCGTGTATTATGTAAAGTATATCTTTGTATTCAGACCTGTAATTCTCTTAATTTTAAGGAAAAATAAACTCTGTTTATGCTAAATAAGAAGCTTTGGTCATCTAACTGAACATAAACGTACCGTGTAGATTTCTATTTTCACCATGTAATTACTTGGTAAATGAAGTTGGCATTCCAAATCAAATCAATATGTCCATGAAGGAAATCCAGGCCTTGGGGTTTCAAATGAAAATTGAATATAGATAAAAAGATGGAATTTTTGATACCCATCTTTTCAAACAGATGCGTATATAGAAAGAAATTGGCAACTGAGAGAGAGAATCAGAGAATGAAGAAATTTGTCTTCAGTTTCCATGGGTCAAAAGAAGAAATGAATGTTCACGTACCACCCAAACAGAAATTGAAATAGTGTGGAGAATCCATTCTCAGGATGGCTCTTTTAAAATATTGTAAATTAAAAATATTTCCTACCTATTGGTAGTTAAAACCCTTTTCTAATTTATTTGTTCTAAGAATGTATGACCTAAGTTCTGTATTATCCCAGCATGAGACGGTGGAATGCAAAACGACTTCTTATCGGAAACGATAATGACAATGTTAATAACAGTATGCCTGCCTGTTTTTAAGACTAAAGTATTCCCAAATCAAATGACTTTGGGCCGGGATCTATTCAGAATATTTTGTAAATACCAAAAAGGAAAAATGGTTGCAGTTATGCAAACCTCCCAAGATTAAGTTTATCCTCTTCGAGTTTGATTATTACACTCACCGAAAAACTGAATGACTCCTTTTAGATTCCTTAGAAAGATATAATTATCAAAACTCCTTAAGAGAATGAATAGACTTTTTTTTTTTTTTTCAAATAAGGGTATTTACCCGCAGAAACTTTTTTTCAGTTTTTCCTTTATTCTGACTTGGTTAAAATATTGTATTTATAAAGGTAACACAGCCATCTAGTGGACAGATATTTGATAGCTGATTATTTTACTTGAGTTTAAGTTCATGAAACAAAAGCTTAAGCCAAATGAAATACTTGTTTCATGACACACGGCACATGATTACAAAATGTGGAGTGAGCCTTTAGAGGGGCAACATGGGGTATTTTTAGGCAGGTGTTTTATAACATTTCCAGACACAAATTTCTAACCACTGTTCCCATCCCCACACACCCCACTCAAAACCATACTCTATTATAAAAATGTAGAAATGAAAGAGGTGAAGTTCAAATCATAGGTTTAACATTGAGTTTCTATGTGTCTGAAATGTTGTATATTATGTGGTTACCAGCCCATCTTCTGGTGTCTTTTTGGTTTGGGGTTTTAGTTTTTTTGGGGGGTGGGTAGTCTTTTGTAAGTGAAACATCAGTTCTATTCTCCTTTCCTTGTTGCCCTGTCCTGAAGTTATCTTTGCTAATGGAAGAAAGTCATACTTCCCAGGATGGCCCTCCTCAGCCATAGCAACACCGTCTGCAGTCATTAACGGTGTTACTTTTGTCCTTCCTCTTTCACACTTTGCTGTCAAAACCTTCTATAACAACTCCTTTTTGTTCATCTCAAATTCCAGGGAATTGAGAAGTTACTCTTCATCAAATTCTACTGCAAACTCAGACCTCTGGGCAACAGCTCCTATGGAGTGATAGCTGTGGGATGATACTTAGAGAGGGCATTTATACTCAATGTACTGGATTGTACTAGGAGGTTTATTTTTCCAAACCTTAAGAAAAATCACTTGTGTAAACACTTGCAATACCACAATTAACTCTTCTATGTAAAGAGAAATGGCATTGCAGAGTGAAAATGAGCCTGAGACAGGAAGTCAGAAGATGGGAATTCCAATCCTAGTTCTAATAATTTTGAGTTGTGGGTATTGTGTAAGTCAACCCCAATAACTGTTTCCTTGTAAATAAAACAAGAATGACTAATAACAACTCTGCTGCTTACCTTCAAGGACTATTGTGAGGAGGAAGTGACAAGGTAATGGATGAGGAAGTGTTGTGTAATAATGACAAAGGAGAAGTCTCTATTTACTCAGGTGGAAATAAAAAGCTCTTTGGTAAACTTGGAATTGGAATTTTAATATGCAACCAACTTGCCCTTCCATTCAACTAAGCATCTGTAATAATGGGCCTTTTTGTCACAAGCTTTTATTTTTTGTTTTACATCCTTGTGAAGTAGTTCATTGCCATTATCCCCATTATGAATGGTGAAAACAAAGCATGGAAAGCTTAAACCATCCTAAAGGAGGTATATTCTACATTTGGAGTCCACCTCATCATTTTCTTGGATAACACATACTTTGCTGCCTGTTTTATTCTCCTGCTCCAGCCCTGCAACATCTGATATGTCCATTCTGTTCTACATTTGTATTGTGCCCCTGCATGATTTTATCCCCACTCTGAATGAGATCCCCTTTTTCCAGGTCTCCATCTGGCAAACAACTGCCCATTTTCAACCCAATTTAATCTTTACGTCTTCTGTGAAGCCTTTCTCAATTCTCTTATGCAAAAGCACAGGTACCATCAAGGGTGTCTAAGAAACCCCATATGCACAGTTCTGTCCGAGTTCTTATCACAATGCCATGTGATGTTTATTTACCCGTCTGAGCTCCTCAGTAGCAGAGCCTTTGTCTTATTCACCTTTTATGTCCAACCAGGGAATGTTGCATGAACCAGTGTTTCATACACATTACTAAAGTATTGCTAACTCCTCTAGTATTTACTGTGATATCTTGAATGCTGAAAATGAAGTATTTAAAGAATAATCTACCAATTCATTTTCAGAGCCTGAAGGATGTTGATTTCATTTTTGCACCAGGAACTTTGAGGTAGAAGCTGTTAAATAAAAAGAAAAGATTGATATCACAATGTGAGACTATTTCAATATTGAATAGACTGCTTTTACCAGTGACAGTAGTTCTCTCTTGGAGCCTTGATGTCACACTGTATTAAATTTAGGCATCTTATTGATTCTTCAGTTTAATTTTTCTGTAAATATATGTGCTTTCCTGACCAGCCTCTATCCCAGAGTTACCATGGCTACTGGTAAGTTTTATCTTCTTTGCAACCATTTTAACAGTTTTTCTTAAGAACCAATTGTTTTCCTTACAATAGAAGAGTGTCTTCCAAAATAGACCCTGCGCATATCCATGATGACAGATCAGTAGATAAACTGTATAATTGGCAGCAGGTAATGTTTTTTCTCACTCCACTGTCCACACTCCCCTGTAAACAAACAATCCACCCCCATAGAGAGGGGGCACATTTTCTTAAGTTCTCAAATGTCACAAGTATTTTTCCTCCCTTTTCAAAGTCACTATTTAGAAAATCTCTAATGGGATTTTAAATGCTTATTTTAGTATATTTGGCCAAGGATATTGGCACTTTTCTTCCATAAAGTATTTAAGGTTTGATCAAGACCCTCACAGTGAGCACTGTGTATGTGTTTAGTTCTCTTTGTGGCTTTTATTGCTTAAAAAGTAGAAATGTTAGTTTTAAATGTTACATACATAAAAGTCAGTGGGGGAGTGTCTCTTCTTGGAGAGATATGGGCTAAAAAGAAAAAACAAGACATGTAATCCCAGCATTTTGGGAGGCCAAAGTGGGTGGATCACAAGGTCAGGAGTTCAAGACCAGCCTGACCAACATGGTGAAACCCTGTCTCTACTAAAAATACAAAAATTAGCTGGGCATGGTGGCGGGTGCCTGTAATCCCAGCTACTCAGGAAGCTGAGGCAGGAGAATCACTTGAACCCGGGAGGCGGAGCTTGCAGTGAGCTGAGATCATGCCATTGCACTCCAGCCTGGGCAACAGAGCAACACTCCGTCTTAAAAAAAAAAAGAAAAAGAAAAAGAAAAAAAAAAGTGTCTCTATGGGACCCTCAAAACTGTTGATCTGGTATTTTCCTTTTAGGGCTTTCCTCAAACACATATAACATATATAAGTTGGTCTAGAGCAAATATTTCCAGTGAATTAATAAAAACAACAACAACAATGCACTACTTGGAGCAGGACCAGGTAGGACAGACATTAGTCAATATCAAGACAGACAAACTGTTAAGTATTAATCCCTTGTCTATTTTCTCCATTTCTCTTTAACTTAAAATGGTATTTTCAGCAGTTCTTGATAACTGAAACCTTGAAACCCATTTTTTAAGACCGGTAGTAAAGGACAGTTAATAAAAAGGACAATTTGTCTGTTGCCAAAGTTCAATTTCTACAGGGCAAGACTGTGGCCAATAGTAGATCAAGAGCTGCACAGTGAATAGTTAAACATTTACTGAATGTCTGTTGTAAGTAGTTTTAGTCCAAATGTGTGTCCATATTTTACCACCTGTAGAAAAGAAAGATGTAAACTCAACCTAATATTTCGTAATGATCGCTCTAATATGGTAGCATTTGGGATGTTTGTAAATATCACAGAAACAGATAGAAGAGCCAGAATTCATGTTCAGAAACTCGTGATTCATGCCTGTAGACTCCAGATTTGTCACTCTACGGCAAAGGCACAACGGAGAAAAAAATTTCTCAAAGATGTTTAATGAAATGAAGTATACCTGCGTCATGTGTACTGCCTTCTGTAGAACACTGTGTGGAAATGTAATAAAAATAAACTCAAGGAGTTTATTATTTAAGCAGGGGATGAAAGCTCTTTTGCTAGTTGTGTTATAGTGCCTTAATATGTGTTTGCACACACACATAGAAGCTCAATAAAGGTTGACAGAATGAGTATCAATTTCCTATTTTAAAAAGAGCTGAATAGAATTTACCAAAAAATTGTACATTTTATATATACAGGAAGTTTTACAGAATATTGTCAGCAGTGTATCCCCCCCCATCCACTTTTCCCATCATGACTGGAAATACATCAAATTCCAGAGAAGAACTTTCTTACTCATTCATGAATCTCCTCTAAAATACTTATCTGGCCTATTTGTATAGTGACATAGAGGACTGAGGTTTCCCAGGCTATCTCAAACCTCAGACACATTCACAGCACTCACACGCAAATACCTCCAAAATTATGCACTGTCTCTGAATTCCTCCCCAAAATTACACTACGCTAAAGGCTTTGCTGTCTCTAACCCTGGGACTGCTGCCTCCAGCAGGGGTCTAGTCAATGTGCAGCAGGTCCAAGGGACCATCCACTCTAGTTTCTGCTCCCCAGAATCCTTCTGGGCTACATTACCTTTCCCTCCATGGTTCGACACCAATAAACCTGCCCCTGTCCCTAGAAATGGGTAGAGGCAAACTCAATGTATTTCACTATGAAATCCTATGTTTTCTATGTCCTTTTCCTGACTACAGAATCCTTTTCAATTCCTATTGGGTTCTCCTTTTTCCAGTGAGTCTGCTCTCTCAGGTCAGTTTTCCTATCTAGCCTCACTTTCCATTGTAGATGGGCCCGCTTGTCAGAAATTAATATTTCCCTTTGCTCCATTCTCTCCGTCCTCACGCTTGCACTTGAGAATGAAAGAAGGAATTAAGGAGACATTGTCTTGGTTTCTCTTATCAGACTTTCCAGATTGAGAATAACTGCTTGTTGGGCACCTCTTCCTAAACACTTTCTTTCCATACCAACGATGTTTAGTGACCCTTCTTTGCATTCACATAGTAAGTGGTCTATGACCTCAGTGTCTATCAGCAGCCATGGTTCATAGCAGGCACTCAGAAATACAGGGTTGTTGAACAGGGTAGGCTTCCAATTCCAACTATAGCACCTATTTAGTGTTCGGTTTTGGGCCAGCCTCCCAGACGGGTCTGCACCTCACTTTGCTCATCTGTAAAATGGGGATAATAATATTAATGGTAAAAGAATGGTGCCCAGCACATAACAGGCACTAGAAAATCATCATTTCCATTGCTTCTTATTTTGAGTAAGTAAGTGAAAGAAGGAACAAATGAGAGATGTTATCTGAACTTCTTGTGCTCTCTGCCAGGCTCTTAAGCTCCTCGGCTTCTAGACAGAGGGATCAGTTGGCTAATTTGGGAGCTCAAATTTTCCCGAGCCACTGAGTTATTCTCCCTACCCTGCTTCTTAGTATCTCCCATGACCTCACCTGTTGTTTCTAGTCCACACCGAGAGTTTTCGGTGTTTTGCCCTAAAGCACTGCTCAGCTTTAGGGAGCAATTGTCATTGGACAATTCTTATTCTTATTCTTGTTCTGGGCTACTAAAACCTTCGGCATTATCCTCTGTCCTCTATGATGCTGTAGAATTCCCAAACCTATGCTACACAGACACACACCCCTCCCACCCAATGCTCACCTGTTCCAAATGCTCAGTTACTGGTCTGTCCCTTTCAAGACCTTGGACATTGATTTACTGGGGTGAAAGGGCAAAAACAAAGTCAAATATAAATCCGGTAGCTTGATTTTAGCAATTGAAGGAATGATATTATCGGTAACAATGTAAATTTAGCAAAATCTGTATTAGATTCTGACACATTGTATCTTATTAGCTCTCAATCGGGGAAAATTAATGGAAAACAGACTATGAATAGAATTAACCAAAAATCAAAATGACATTTTGTTTAAAGAGTAAGGTAATCATATGTGTGTGTGTGTATATACATATATATATAATATTAAGGCATTTAATCATATATCTCAGAAATATTCAGTAATTCAGATTATGTAAGGATGAAGTCAGAATATTTAACAATATCCACTTTTGGGAGTCTGATTTACTATATAATTTTATTTAAAAATTATTCTCTTCCCTTTGACATGGGCTTGCCCATCATTTAAAAATGGTATTGCTCTTTTATACTTTAAATATTCTCACATAGTTGAATATAAGATCTCCTGTGAAATGTTTCCCCAGAAAAATTTATTCTTTTCTTCAACTGATTGAATTTCCCTTGACAAAATTAAATGTTCTGTTACATTACAGCCTCACTGTGAGGAATGAAGAAAGAGGGGAAAATGCGGGAAGACCCACACACACTACAAAAATGGAGAGTATCCAGGTCCTAGAGGAATGGTGAGTGTGAGAACCACATAGCTATTGTTTCTTGCATTTATATGCCATTTACATCAACTGCGTGCCTCAGTATTACCCCTTGCTTCATGGTACTCTTCAAAATGATTTTGGGAAGTGAATGCAAATTCAATCTGGAAGATCTTATTTTGTCATTGCTGTTGCTTTTCAGCAATTTTTCTATTAGCTATGTTAAGTTATTGGCTAAAACATGATCTAAATTTACTTTTCTCTTTAAAAAAAATAAAGATTGTCTTATGAATTAGCACCCAAAATTGCCCTAATTCATTACTTCTCATTTCTGAGAATTCAAGTTTTTCTCTTTATAAGAGAAGTGTCTAAACACACACACAAATGATATGGAATGTCCAAGTGAGTGAGGAAGGGCACCCAGCGACTCCTGGTTCCTTTTCTACCAGAGCAGACTCTCCCCACGTGCTGCCTCCCAAACGAGAGGTACCTATGGACTAAAATCAAAATACAAATAGTCCAGTCATATAATTGTAAGTGCTTTCTTTTTCTGCTTTTTATGAGAAGGTTTTAATGATGCTTCATGGTCATTTTTAAGCTTTTTAAAATTAAAAATTGTTTTAAGTGAATGAGGAAGTGCAGAGATTATGGAATAGTAACAATCTATTTGAAATACCTGGTTAAAAAGGTAAATACATATATATTTACCTTTATATATGTATTTACCTTTTTATGTGTATATGTATTTACCATATATATGTTTATATATATGTTTATATATATATGTTTTTATATATATGTTTATATATATGTTTATATATATATGTTTTTATATATATATGTTTATATATATATATAAACATACTTCTTTGGCCAAATGTCTTTTAGATTGGAAAATTATTAAGTAAATCATTGAATAGGAAAGGAAGATCAGAATCATTTTAACCATAAGACTCTCCAAGTTTCTGTCTTCTACTTCTTTAATGTATAAGCAAGTGGATTAATTACTAGTGGTTTTTGCAGTCACCTAGTCACTAAAAGATCTGTATATAGTTTTAAATTCCCCAATGTCAGTGTCATTATAGAAGCACTCTGCTTCCAATTATGATAACTCCATTCATGACTAACAATTCGTACATTAACTTTTCGTAGGAAAAAAACCTTTTTTTTTTTTAGAGGCAGGATCTCATTTTGTTGCCTAGCCAGGAGTGCAATGGGATGGTAATAGCTCACTGTAACCTGAAGCTCCTGTCTCAAGTGATTCTCCTGCCTCAACTCCCAAATAGCTGGGACTACAGGCACATGCCAGCACACCCAGCTAATTTTTTAATTTTTTTTTTGCAGAGACAGGATCTTGCTATGTTTCCCAGGCTGACCTCAAACTCCTGGACTCAAGAGATCCTCCCACCTCAGCCTCCCAAAGCACTGGGATTATAGGCATGAACCACCATGCCCAACAGAAAAATTATTAAAGTTTAGGAAAATATGTGACAAGTGCACACAGTGTATTCTTATTTTAAATCAAGTGACAGATGAAAAAAATGGCCACCAGAGATGAGAAAAAAAAACTGTATCTTATGGCTGGAAAATTGAAATCCTGATTAGAGGCAAAGAAAAAATTCATGTTGTCCTTAGTCACTTACAGACAGTTTCTATCAACTTGCAACACATTGTTAAAGTTTGAACATTTCCAAGCTTCATTAGGAATGTACGATGACTGCATGCATATTATGTTTAGGCCCCTTGCTGTTTGAATGCTTGTCTCCCTACATGTCTCTTATGCCTGTGTGAATTTTTGTCAAAACCCTGAAATAACTGACGTAGTCCTGACAGATACTTATTTGGCACATCAGGCTGGACTGAGTGGCAAAATACTGACCACTAGATGGCAGCAAATTGATAGAATTTCTATCTGCTCCTCTCCTTACCTGGTCTAGCATTCACTGGTCACAAAGTTCCCTTTGATCACGGCCCCGTTCTGTCTCTGCAGCCAAAACCCCACTGCAGAGGAAGTCTTGTCCTGGTCTCAAAATTTTGACAAGATGATGAAGGCCCCAGCAGGAAGAAACCTTTTCAGAGAGTTCCTCCGAACAGAATACAGTGAAGAGAACCTACTTTTCTGGCTTGCTTGTGAAGACTTAAAGAAGGAGCAGAACAAAAAAGTAATTGAAGAAAAGGCTAGGATGATATATGAAGATTACATTTCTATACTATCACCAAAAGAGGTAAAAATCTGGAAAACATTGAGGTGGGCTTCCTAAGACCAAGGATAACCGTCAAGGGATGGCTGTCCACATTGGGTAGGGCATGGGGTGTGGAGAGGGTAGAAGATTTCACTGGGTAGATAATTCAGCTTCTGTTGGGAGAATTTCCTTGAACACATGTTTGAAGGCTAGGTTTCCCTACTATGCTTTGACTGTTTATCTCTAGCTGACTTGTGTGGTAGTTCACTTGCTTTTCAGAACTAACACTAAGGAGCCTGCTTAAACACAATTTGCTGTGACAAACGAAAATGGAAAGAGAGAATGTATTTTAGGGTGGTATTTCGCAAAGCATGACCCCTAGATCATGTGAATGAGAATCACCTGGAGCATTTGTTTAAAAAACAAATTCTTAAGGCCTAACCAGGACTTCTGAATCTGAATTTTTGGAAATAGGACCCAGAAATCTGCACTTTTAACAAGTTTTCCACATACATACTAGTTGGAAAACCTCTGGTATAGGTACTCAAAAAAAAGAAATCTGACATGTTTGTTGATGTTTATGATTGACTCTTTACAGAAATGAAAAATGATCCTTGACCACTAATATTCTTAGGTGGGAAATGGAAATTATATTACTTATTCTAGGTTTTCTGTTATTGAAAGTGCAAGTGTCTTTCCCATTGCCAAAATGTACCTAATCAATAAGCAATACTTCTAGCAACCAAATAGCACTTTTCCATTGACTGTTTAAAACTTAATTTGTTCTTGAGAAATGTTCCAGCTAACAGAGTTAAAAGCATTTGGTGAAAGAGTGGTTAATAATGTGGCCAGGCCCTTGGAGCCCTGTGTGATGGAGCTCCAGAGGGCTTCAAAGCACTTAGAGAACATAGAGGTTCCTAGAATGTCTTCTCTTTTCCATCCCAGCCTCTTTTTGTCTTTTTTGTTTCTCCTAAACAACTGTGATTTTTACCTTTGCATTTAAATGGCATGCCCCTCTCTTGTGCACCTGAACATTTATGGGCTACAGTCATCTGTTCCTCCTCCAATACCTGGCATGGTCCCAGGCTGCCTTACACTCCTTGCTTTGAGATCTATAAAAGGAATTAGTGTCTATTTTATTAACCTCTAAGTTTGGAATGCTACATAAACGATTTCACTTCTAATAAGATATACAGTACCTAAGTTATATAGTTTTTTTTAATTAGTTAGGTTAAAATGCCATTGGTATTCCAGAGTGCTCCAGGACTATTGTCTCTACAAAATGAGAAACCTTCTAGAATTAGACGCACAAAGGATTGATTTATTTTTTTATTTCCTACATGAACATGAAAAATGTATTCATAAAAGCAAGGTGGGGAGAATTTAATAAATGTAATACAGTGTGACATCAGTAATAAATATGTAGCCTCAACACATTTGTTACTGATGTCACACTGTATTTCTAACACCGGTATAATTCTGCATCTTAAAACTGCATTCTTCAGGCTTTTAGCCTGCCTCGAATTTTAGTATCTAAACAACTCTACTTGTATTTTATCAGTATAATAATTTTATGCTAATTTTTATTATTTTAAAGTTATTGCACATAGCAAATAAACCAGATGATCCAAATGTGCCCAAATATGTGCTTCTTTTGCCTGTAATTATACAAAATGAGAGTCCTTGGGAAGATTATCAAGCCCATTTCTGCCCCCAAAGTATGTAAGATGTGACATCTTAAAGTGATAGTTGTCTAGATTACTTAGTCCATTCCTTTGTGCTATATTTGTAGCATCTTAAAATGATGACTGTTCCATTCTTTTTCAGTGTTAGGAGAAAAAATATTCTCCATACTATGTCCCTTATTTTTACAGTTTCTGTTCTTTAATGTTTAGTTTTTTATGTAAAACATTTTCTTATTATCCACACAGCCCCTGATTTTCTGATGTCACTGATTGATGGAGCTTTGTAGAATACTTAATTTTTTCTTTTTGAGGCATGTTTAGAGTTACAATAGTGATTATTTAAATATAAACTAGTGAGTTTCCATTCTTTTTGCTAAAGTAATAGAGGTTTGTTTTCATCTAATTTTTTTTGAGACGGAGTCTCACTGTGCCACCCAGGCTGTAGTGCAGTGGCACGATCTTAGCTCACTGCAACCTCCACCTCCTGGGTTCAAGCGAATCTCCTGCCTCAGCCGCCCAAGTAGCTGGGATTACAGGCACCCGCCAACACGCCGGGCTAATTACTGTATTTTTAGTGGTGACAGGGTTTCACCATGTTGGCCAGGCTGCCCTCGAAGTCCTGACCTCAAGTGACCTGCCTGCCTCAGCCTCCCAAAGTGCTGGGATTACGGGTGTGAGCCACTGCGCCTGGCCGTTTTCACCTAATTTCTTTCTTTTGAACACAAGTTTCACCAGAAAGTCACTAAAATCTCATTTCCTGATCAAGAACATGACCTTTCCAGAATGACATACACTAATGTTTAGTGTCGTAACCATATTTACTCTCTCCTTTATGTTTCCTAATACCCATATTTTGGCCATTACCCGTTCTTTAATATCCTCAAAATATCACAAAGAAACAGAGACAGAGGTGAAATTCAACTTGTTCTAATTTTGCCGACTTGTAATTAACTCTTGGTATAGAAATTAATAGACCATTGAAGTGCCATTGTTTAGCCAGCTGATTTCTATCCTGTCAACAGAGTAATTAAATTTAATCATTGTTTAATGGCAAAAACAAACAAGCAAAAGTAGATATTTTCAGTTATAAAAGATAATTGTTAAAAAGCTATGTTTTAAACCAAGGTATCCTGTTCATTGACTCGACTCATTGATATACTCAGCGCATGGCATGCACTTTCCGGCTATTCCGAAGCCAGTTCAATCTATTATGTACCTCACTGAACTTCCTGTGCAAAAAGTCATCCATTTCTAATCAGCCACAATACATTACTGACTTACATCAAGTTACCACTCTTCAGATTTTGTTTTCTAACATTGGAGAGAGCACATGTCAGATTGAGAGAGTCCTGATTATACCGGAATTAGAGCACTGGACTAATATTCAGGTGCACAGGATTTTAATCCTGCCTTTGCTACATCCCAGTTGTGTGGCCTGGGATAAATCACTTTACCCCTCTGAGTCTCAACATTCAGTTCATTTGTTTACAAAAATAACAATAAAAATAAGCACAGAAACTAATAAACCAAATGCATAATGGCAACTGTAAGGCTATGAAGCTATTGAAAAGGTCTGTTAGGCCGTTCTGGGCTTTCTATCTCTGAAATTCTATACATGTTTCTATTTATTCAGAGTATTTGTGCTACTACTTCATCCTCTCTACCTAATGGCATAGCTTATCCATCATGGTCCTCCTTACTGCTGTCCCCACACTGAACCTCAGAATCTACTTAAACACAGTACTCAAGGCAGTTAATACCAATCTGAGTTCCTATCTGTTTCTCATTTTGGGGCTAGACAATCTTGGCTTTCTACCTCTGAAATTCTATGCATGTTTCTACTTATTCAGAATATTTTTAAAGAACATGAACATTTGACTCATTATAAAATGGTAATGCCTAAAAATTGTCATGATTTTACTGTTAAACAGAAGGCCATTTTTCTTCACTAGACTTTCATTTTACCTTAATTTGATTGCGTATTTGTGTTCCTCTTTGTTAAATATAGAAAAACAACTACATTTTAAAAATCATTTATATATAGATAACTTTTTCCCCTAATGAAACTATTGAAGTCAATGTGCTAAAAATTACATTACCTTATTTTAAGAATATGTTTTATGCATTTGTAATAATTTGAGCATTGTGTTATAAAATAAGAGATATCACCGGGCGCGGTGGCTCACACCTGTAATCCCAGCACTTTGGGAGGCCAAGATGGGTGGATTACAAGGTCGGGCATTCGAGACCAGCCTGGCCAACATAGTGAAACCCCATCTCTACTAAAAATACAAAAAATTAGCCGGGCGTGGTGGCGGGCACCTGTAATCCCAGCTACCTGGGAGGCCCAGGCAAGAGAATCACTTGAACCTGGGAGGCGGAGGTTGCAGTGAGCCAAGATCGTGCCACTGCACTCCAGCCTGGGCAAAAGTGCGAGACTCTGTCTCAAAAAAAAAAAAAAAAAAAAAAAAAAAAAAAAATATATATATATATATATATATATATATTTTTTTTTTTTAAGATATTTGCAATTAGGAGGTGACATAACTTCTGTTCTTGGTATAGTGTACATTTTATGAAGGAAAAGGCCAAACTAAAAAAAAAACTAGAAATTTACACATTTGTTTTAAAAAGTAAATTTTTTAAAAGTGATGTCTTCAAGGGAAAACAAATGAAGATAATAAAGAGGCCTTTAAGCCTAATAGTAGACTTGCTCCACATTGCAGATTTTGGTGGCAGCTTATATTTATTATTGAAAAGATGTGTTAGGCCAATCTTGCATTGCTATAAAGAAATACCTGAAACTGGGTAATTTATAAAGAAAAGTGGTTTAATTGGCTCACAGTTCTGCAGGCTTCACAGGAAGCAAGGTGCTGGCATCAGCTCAGCTTCTAGGGAGGCCTCAGGAAGCTTATAATCATGGCATAAGATGAAGGGAGATCAAGTACATCACATGGGCAAAGCAGGAGCAAGGGGTGGGGAGGTGCCACTCACTTTTAAATAACCAGATCTCGCAAGAATTCACTCACTATATCAAGGACAGAACCAAGAAGATGGTGCTAAAGCATTCATGAGAAATCTGCCCCCATGAACCAGTCATCTCCCACCAGACCCCATCTCCAACACTGGGGATTACATTTCAACCTGTGATTAGGGTGGGAACAAACATCCAAACGATATCAAAAGACAAACCTAGCAAAATAAATAACTTGAATAAAAAATCTACTTAGAGGCTCTTATCAACTGTAAACAGCATTAAGCTACTGAACAAAGAAATAACTATAAATCCTTCAATAAATATAAGATATGTATCTGAATTGAAGAAAACCATGGTCCAGTTAGGTAGAAATCTGCCTAGTGATGGCGTTGTCGTTACCAGGACTATAAACTGCATCTGTCACTTACCATCTGTGAGCCACTTAGCAGCTCGCTTTAGTGCGCTGGAACCTCCACGTCCTAGTGTTATGAATGAAGGCATGGGGAAAGCCCAAAAACCCGTGATATCTGTGATGTTCAAGCTCTGGGGAATGGTAATTGTAATCGTAGTAGGAGTTTGCTTTTTCTGATTTTTCTAACTTCCCAGTTACCATCTGAGAGAAAAAAGTAATAGACCTATTTGAACACCAGAATTATCTACAAAATAATGCTTATGTGATAGACATGCAGATTCTGTGTGTCCATGTAGATATGTCTTTAAGTGAAATTATGTGAATTTAGCACATTCAATGATTTAAGTCAGTTTTTCTAAACAGAACTCACTTGACTGTATTTTCCTAAATGTATTTTTATGCACGCATATTATCATTCAAAAAATATTGACTATTTCCTATGAGCCAAGCACTGGACTAGATGTTGGGGATATGATGATAAACAAGAGACACTGGCCGATCCCTTAATGGAGCTTACATTTTAGGAAGACAGACAAATCTTGTTGAAATAAGTAACTAAAAATTGTGATGGGCTGGAGATTGAATTAGATGGAATAGAAGTAGTCAGGTAAGGTCATTCTGAGAAGGTAAAATTCAAATTGATGCAAAAGCCAAACACATTGGGTTTGATCAAGATGATGTCATAATTATGATCAATTATTATTAATTACTTTACATTGGCTTCATTATTGGCACAGTGATCTTGCCTATATTATTACAGTCTGAGTCTCACAACAATCTTTCAGCCACGAGGACCGATGGTACCACTTTACAGCAAAAGAAACTGATACTCAAAGAGGTGAAATGAATGTTTGAGGAAATTATAAATATATCTGGTAGAGATAGAATTCAAGCCCAAGATCTTCTGATTCCAAATGTGGTGCTTTTCCAAATATACCATGCTGATTAATTCTTCCATTGCCTAATATTTTCTTCCTGATGTTACCTTAGATTTCTATAAACCCAACCGTAGAACTTCACACATGATGAGAAATAGCAACCTTAACCACAGGCCTGAACCCTCCCCTAGACCAGCAGGATATACTTTCCTATCATCCAGACACCACCAAGAGTATTACATTACAGTTTACCCTACCAATAATCTTTGTTCTAAGAGAGAAATTCAAACAACTGGTCTTATTTGCAATGTGCCATTATTTTCAGGAGAAATAACAAGCACAAAATAAAATGTGACTAAATGTACACAAAGTAAAAATGAAAATTGATAGGAGGATCATGTATTCTTTAGATTTATAAAATTTAACATAGGAATACCAAATTTAGTTCAAATTAAAAGCAGAAAAGAAAATTTCCAGTGGCAGATGTTACCATTGGTAAAATTTGATATGGACTTATAAAGGGAAAAAATTAATCAGAATTTTACTTGGAAAGGAATTCTAAATAAAGCAACTTCAGTAACAGTAAAAATAAGAGAGAAAAATGGAGAAAACACTTGGATGTGATACGTGAAAAACATTGTTCAGGGAATTAAATAACATAAAGAAAGGTTCTCTACAGAGAAAAAGACTTTCAGTAAAAATTCAATATTCTCGTATAATTATGCCAAAAATGTCCATAGGATCAAATTTTCCCTTGCATCTTGATGACTGGAATAAAAAGGCAGGGTGAAAAGTTGGTGTACCCCCTTTCAGCAATGCTAACCCACCTTCATGTCCTCCTTCAATGAATAGGAAATCTAGTAAGATTAACCAGGGTATATGACTCCGTTTAGCCCAGATTTTCCCAAGCCACACTAACAAGATTTCTCTGTCTTCATTCTCCTCGCTTTACCTCCATACTTTTGTTGACCACTTCGCTCTCATGACTTTTTGCTTGCAAGTCCCTTGCTTTTCTGCCTCCCTGTCTCCTGCTCCCTGTGGGAATGAATGCTTCCAAGTTCACCGAGACCTATTGCAAAGTCACTTGTGTCTTTTTAAAACTTCAGTTGCTATGTCTCAACATTGCCGGACTTTTCAGCACTGCTAAAACTGCCAGTTAAATGCGGTCAAACCTATCATGCTGTCTTGTGCCCTGTCTCACAAGGGTAGTGCTTTTGTGCTATAAATTCTGTTATTGCTGGAATGCACTCTTTTCTCCACACCACCTTGGTATGGGTCTTTGTGGCCTGAGATAAGAGGAGACATGCATTGCCCGAGGATAGCTCTTATCTTGTGCTACTCAACTTTCTCTTCCCTTAGGATGAGTTCTTTACAGGAAATTCCTCAGTCCCTCATGCAATGGAGCCCAGATAAGATGGCTTTAGAAGCCATCCAGACACACCTGAATCCTAGGGTGACTGTGGCCCAGGCCCAACTGGGATCCACCACCAATACCTTGTATTATAGATGATCCACATTCTGAAGCACAAAGATGGCACAAGATGAAACAATAGATTGTTATCCCCATGGGGTTTATCCTTATTATTTGACCTCGCTACACTTCTTTTGACTGATCGACAGCCTTTTCAGACAAACAACCTGATATTAAGGTAAATATTTTATTCTTTAAATAGAAATAACAAATGCATTTTTGTTATAGATTACTAAATATTGAACTGTATGACTTTACAATATTTCACTACTGTTTTTAGCTTGCAAAAAAATTAAAAATTAAACAATGAGGACATAAGCCATTTAATAGTTTATTTTATTTGTCTTAAGATAATAATGATTCCTTCTACTGAGAAGAAACTTTTACACTATATTTAATGATACTACTTTTTAAGAAGTAAATGACCCCCCCTTTTTTAATCTCTAATGTAAGGTTTCCTGCTCTATTGAAACAAAAAGTTTTCTCAAGTTTGAAAGAAAACAGAGGAGTGTGTTTGGTAAGAATTTACCTTACCATAACATGATGTTCCAGAATAAGATAAATCAGTTTATCTCAGTTTAAACTCCAGTGTCAGCATTTCCCTCTGGCATATAAATGCAAAAATACATTTTCAGGTAAAATAAAAACGTTGGGGAAAAATATTCTGTGCTTTTTAAAATTACTTTGTACTTGATAGTGACCTCATGTGGTAATAACAGAAAATAAAAACTGAACAATTCATTTCCAGAACATTTTTATTTTTAAAGAATTCCCAATAAAGACAAATGTGTAGTTCAGCCAAGTAATGTTTTTTAGGCTTGCTTCAGCAATACTGCAGGTTCAGTTACAGACAACCACAATAAAGCAAATACCACAAAACAAGTCGCACAAATATTTTGGCTTCCCAATGCACATAAAAGATATGCTTGGCTGGGCGCGGTGGCTCACACCTGTAATCCCAGCACTTTGGGAGGCCGAGGCAGGCAGATCACGAGGTCAGGAGATTGAGAACATCCTGGCTAACACGGAGAAACCCCGTCTCTACTAAAAATACAAAAAATTAGCCGGGCGTGGTGGCGGGCGCCTGTAGTCCCCGCTACTCAGGAGGCTGAGGCAGGACAATGGCGTGAACCCGGGAGGCGGAGCTTGCAGTGAGCCGAGATCGCGCCACTGCACTCCAGCCTGGGCGACAGAGCGAGACTAAAAAAAAAAAACAAAAAAAAGATATACTATACTGTAGTCATAGTATAAACAATACTTGGCAATAGCATAGCAACAGCATTATGTCTTAAAAATGTGGATACCTTAATTTTAAAATACCTTATTGATAAAAACCGCTAACAGTCATCTGAGCTTTTAGAAAGTCATAATCTTTTTGCTGGTGGAGAGAGGGTCTTGCTTCGACATTGATGGCTGCTGACTCATCAGGCTGGTATTGCTGAAGGTTGGGGTGGCTGTGGCAATTTATTCAAATAAGAAAACAATGAAGTTTGCCACATCGATTGACTTCCTTTCATAAAAGATTTCTCTATAGCATGTAATGCTGTTTGGTAGCATTTTACCCACAGTAGAGCTTCTTTCAAAATAGGAGTCAATCCTCTCAAACCCTGCTGCTGCTTTATCAACTAAGTTTATGTAATCTAAATCCTTTGTTGTCATTTCAACAATGTTCACAGCATCTTCACCAGGAATAGATTCCATCTCAAGAAACCACTTTCTTTGCTCATCTATAAGAAGCAAGCCCCTATTCTTTAGAGTTTTATTATGAAATCGGAGCAATCAGTCCTATCCTCAGGCTCCACTTCTAATTCTAGTTCTATTACCATTTCCACCACATCTGCAGTTAGTTCCTCCACTGAAGTCTTGAACTCCTCAAAATCATCCAGGAGGGTTGGAATCAACTTTTTCTAAATTCCTGTTAATGTTGATATTTTGACCTCCTTCGATGAATCACAAATGTTCTTAATGACTAGAATGGTGAATTCTTTCCAGAAGGTTTTTCATTTGCTTTGCCTAGATCTATCAGAGGAATCACTATGGCGGCGATAGCTTTATGAAATGGGTTTCTTTTTTTTTTTTTTTTGAGACGGAGTCTCACTCTGTAGCCCAGTCTGGAGTGCAGCAACGCGATCAAGACTCACTGCAAGCTCTGCCTCCCAGGTTCACGCCATTCTCCTGCCTCAGCCTCCCAAGTAGCTGGGACTACAGGCACCCACCACCACACCTGGCTAATTTTTCGTATTTTTAGTAGAGACGGGTTTTCACCGTGTTAGCCAGGATGGTCTCGATCTCCTAACCTCGTGATCCACCCACTTCAGCCTCCCAAAGTGCTGGGATTACAGGCGTGAGCCACCGCGCCTGGCCTCTGAAATGTATTTCTTAAATAATACTTGTGAGTTGAAATTACTTCTTGATCCATGGGCTGCAGAATGGATGCTGTGTTAGCAGGCATGAAAACAATACTAATTTCCTCGTGCATCTTCATCAAAGCTCTCGGATGACCAGGAGCATTGTCAATGAGCAGTAGAACTTTAAAAGGAATCTTTTTTTTCTTTGAGCAGTAGGGCTCGACAGTGGGCTTAAAACACCCAGTAAGACATGCTATAAACAGATGTGCTGTCATCTAGGCTTTGTTGTTCCATTTATAGTTCACAGGCAGAGTAGATTTAGCATAATTCTTAAGGGCTCTAGGATTTACAGAATGGTAAATAAGCATTCGTATCTGTTTAAAGTTACCAGTTAGTATTAGCCCTTAACAGCAGAGTCAGCCTGTCCTTGAATCTTTGAAATCAGGCATTGACTTCTCTCTGGCTCTGAAAGTCCTAGATAGCATCTTCTTCCAATATAAGGCTGTTTTGTCTATACTGAAAACCTGCTGTTTAGTGTAGCCACCTCCATCAATTATCTTAGCTAGATCTTCTGAATAAATTACTGCAGTTTCTACATCAGCCATTTGCTGCTTCACCTTGAACTTTTATGTTATGGAGATAACTTCTTTCCCTACACCTCATGAACCAACATCTGTGAGCTTCAAACTTTTCTTACACAGCTTCCTTACCTCTCTCAGTCTCCACAGAATTGAAGAGAGTTAGGACCTTGCTCTGGATTAGGGTTTGGCTTAAGGGAATGTTGTGGCTTGTTTGATCTTCTATCCAGACCACTCAGACTTTTTACATTTCAGCAACAGGTTGTTTTGCTTTCTTATTCACATGTTCACTGGAGTAACACTTTTAATTTCCTTTGAGAACATTTCCTTTGCCTACACAACTTGGCTAACTTTCAAAAGAGGCCCAGCTTTTGACCAGTCTCAGCTTTCGACATGCCTTCCTCATTAAGTTTAACTAACCATTTCTTAGCTTTTTATTTAATGTGACAGATGTGTGAATCTTCCTTTCACTTAAACACTTAGAGGCCACTGGCGGGTTATTAACTGGCCTAATTTCAATATTGTTTTCTCTGTGGGAAATAGGGAGGCCTGAGGAGAGGGACAAAGATATGGGAATAGCAGGTCAGTGGAACAGTCAGTATACACACTATAGTCATCAATTAAGAATTAATTAAGTCTTATATGGGCATGGTTCATGGCCTCCTAAAACAATTGCAAGAGTAACATCGAAGGTCACTGATCACAGATCACCTTAAAATATATAATAATGATGAAAATTGTGAAATATTATGGGAACTACCAAAATGTGACACAGAGACACAGAGTGAGCACACGCTATTGGAAAAATGGTGCCAGTCGACTTCCTTGACACAGGATCGCCACAAGCCTTCAATTTGTAACAAACGCAGTATCTGCGAAAAACTAAATAAAGGGAAGTGCAGTAAAATGAGGTGTCCCTGTATGAGTTGGTCTGGCTAAGCCACAGAAATGTAGTCTGGATTGCCATCTCCCAACAAATCTAGTAGCCATCCCTGGGGTGTAGCAATCAACCCAAATCCACGTGGTCTGTTGAGGTCAGGAACCTGGGGACACTGGATGGAATAGGAGAGGCTTCAATAAGAGACTGTATTAGTTCCCAGACTTAGTCTGAACAGTGGTGGGAAAAGAAGCCAGAACTAAAAGGCATTTGCAGAATGCTTATGACAACATGTTTAAATATAAATATGGAAGGTTTTATGTGAATATGTCATGAAATAACTATGGTTCACAGGTCCTATTCCTTGCTAAACAGTGAGGATCGAGGAAAACAATCTGGACTTTGAGTGGTTGTTTACCACTTGTAGGGTTGTTCTAACATGGTGTTTCAGCGCAGGGCTTTAGTTCTGTTCCTCCAACCATGCCCTTATTGCCAAGTATTTTTCCCCATTTCCCTTTCCAACATGTTTTACCAGTTCCAAGAGGATTTGCATTTAGTGAGGAAGGGGGAAGATCCTAAATCATTGCAGAATTTAATTTTTGTACACTTTTCAAATAACACTGTATTGATTATCTTAATGGTCATTCTGCATTCCTATTCCTATTTCTCCTCTCAAAGATCTCACTCCAAGCAACTGATCTGCTTCATCGTTAGTAAGAGGTCTTTGGATATATAAGGATGTTTGCTAGTCCTTGCCAGGTAGATGTGAGACCTGAAGCATACCTGCTCATTGCATGCCCTGCCACACTCTTGGTTTCCTACTTTTGACACAGTAGGACTTGTTAGGATACAAAACTGTGGGGAGTTGGCATTTTATATGCATGTTAATTTTTGCCAGGGAACTCTTTTCTGCCAGTAGATTTTTATCTTCTTATCAATATTGCCAACCTCCCCCAGTCACAGAATAGCAGGAGGTGAATTCACATTCTGGCTAGGAAATTTCTGGTATCTCAACCATGATTAGAAATTGTCAAAAACTCCTGAATGAATGCATAGAAACCATAAAACCAAGTAAGCAAAGACATCTGTAAACTAAATTTCTGGTTTAAAAGACTTAATTGGATTTTTTTATTTAGTGCAAATTTTGAAGGAGAAAAGTACATAAGGTTGTGTAGTCTCAAAAGATGAACCCAAGACTTTTGGTAGTTGGATTTGCTCTTTAAAGTTTCTCTAAAATGTCACAAACCTACAGTTACTTAATTGAGGTCTTTTGAAAAAAATATTATTTAATGTATTTGCTCTTGTTTCTTTTTAGGTCAGTCTTGATTCTCGAGTTAGAGAGGTGATCAATAGAAATCTGTTGGATCCCAATCCTCACATGTATGAAGATGCCCAACTTCAGATATATACTTTAATGCACAGAGATTCTTTTCCAAGGTTTTTGAACTCTCAAATTTATAAGTCATTTGTTGAAAGTACTGCTGGCTCTTCTTCTGAATCTTAATGTTCATTTAAAAACAATCATTTTGGAGGGCTGAGATGGGAAATAAAAGTAGTTAAATAACATCAGAAACTGAGTTCCTGGAGAACTACAGTTTAGCATTCCTCAGGCTACTGTGAAAACACAACCGTTATGGTCTTTGTCTCCATTTTTATCAAGGTTTTCCATGGTTAAGTTTGGAGAAAATACCACACAAAACAATGAATTGCCAAATTGTTTGTTTTATTCAAGACTCATTCTACTTGCAAGCAAAGTGTATTTGTAGTCCTATGAACAGTCTCCTCGTGTATCTCCAGAGACTGCATGTGCAAAGTAAAATGCTTCATTTGCCACATAGTTGTTGTAATATTTAATCCAGTAGCATAACTTATATCTGTATTTAAGGACTTTTGTGCAATATGGTCTTAAGAAATAATTGCCAAAAAAATCGGCCATGGTTTGCATTTTTTAACATAATCTAAGACAGAAAAAAAGCAATTTTTACTATGTAACAATGGTATTCAACATTCTATATACTGTGTTTAGTACACTAATTTTGAAGCCAATATTTCTGTACATGAAAAAGAGCTATTTATCTCTGTTTGTTGGAAAATCCTAATGGGGATTCCTCTGGTTGTTCACTGCCAAAACTGTGGCATTTTCATTACAGGAGAGTTTACTATGCTAAAAGCAAAAAACAAAAAAAAAAAAAAAGGGAAGAAGGAAAAAAGCACAAAACAATTTGAAGATATCCTATCTCAATGACAAATCAAAAGAGTGATATTGCTTTTAACTGTAATAGAAGAAAATGAATTTATGTATATATCAGATGTCCAATACTGTAATTAATTTATTAAAGACTGGCTCTCCAGTTTTAAAATGGTTGTGTAAAGTTATGTACTTCAGCAAGAAAAAAATAATAATAAGCTTGATAACTTAGTTTTGGAATATAAAGAAAAGGACTTAATAAAGGAATGCCTACATGTAGCACTGTAAAACATTTTGATGAATAGCATCTGTCCTGTGGCATATTTTCCTTGAAAGTGAAATCCAATGAAAAGCTAAGTTTTTACCAGGAAAAGTTTTATAAGGGTTATGAAGAAAATAATCCTCTACTTCAGACCTTAACTGTTTTCACATAATATCTTAAGGATGACATTTTAAAGATGTTTAAACCAAACTATTAGTTTTCATCCATCATTAAAAGGCAGTACAGTGCTCAAATCTTCCAGCTGCCATATTATTTTTTATAAGTACACTAAATCTTTACGACAAAACACTTGCCTGACATTGTCATGTACTTCTGACCTTCAAGGAAACAATATTCTGTCATGCATAAAAGTGATAATTAAAATAATCAGTGTCATATTTATATCAAAGTGTTACATTTGAATATTAATATCCCCTGAAGACTATTTTTTTAATATTAAACTGAATGAATATAATACTGAGTAACCTAAAATGAAAGTTTTAAAAAGATTTATATCCACTGAGAACACTGGCCTTATATTAAGGATGATATTACAGTTACAGGTTTTCTTTGTCATTTTTTTAACTACCTCTCATTTTTTAATTTATTAAACATATTTTTTAAAAAAACAAGTTTGGGGGTTTCTTTTTAAATTTATTTTACTTGAAAGGTTGGCATCACAAGTTTCTTTTTCCATAAACTTAAAACATTTCAAAAATGGTTTTTTTAAGCAAGTATGATTTTCTAATTTATATAGAATTCAGGAGACATGAATAAAAGGGCTATTATCTATTCCCTATGCAAATATTTTAACTGTTGCAGTGTTTGACAAAATGGGATTTTTTAAAAATTGCAGAGTAGAAAACAAAATATTCTGTTTACACTGGCGTTGCTGACTATCCTACCATATTCAGCACTTTTAAATACGTTATTTATGAAAATGCAGTTAAAATGCAAGATAGAAAATATTTATAATAATCATTTCTTTTAACAAATGCCTGTGTTTTCTGAAAGTGTTAGTGTGTTAAGACATATTTTATTCATGTCATTTAAATACTATTTGAATAAGTTTTCAGTAATATGTTGAAAAAAAGATAGCTATGAAGATGTTTACAAAAAGTCATATTTTTTCCTAAAGAGTAAAGAAAAACCTAAAAGAATCATCACTTCTATTGTGAAGTTCTATTGTTCCTAAATTATTTAATTTTTTTCTTGCTTAGAATTGAGTTTATTATGCTACTATGATATATACACATGTATGGTGTAGTATCATATTTGTTTCTGTGTGTGAGGCTCAACAAATTGGTGCACATGACTAGAAAATATGTAATATACTGTGATACACTGCATGCATCCATCTTTTTAAATGTAGACTTTATATTCTCGTTGTTACTATATATGATGGTGACCTGCTAGTCATAAGTTATCTTTATAAGATACTTTGGACTATTAGATGAATTGTCTGTTTGACAATATCTTTAATATTTTACCAAATGTAAAAGATAAGGGCCGTTATAAAGAGTCCTAATCTCTAACCTGGGCATTTGTAGAACACAGATTTTAAAGTTGGTATATCCTTTTGAAACCTGATGAGGAAGTTGAGTTAAAAAAGATTCGAGAGCAGATTTACACATCAGATGTTGATAACCATGCTATGTGAGCATTTCTGTGCTAAACTCGTATTTTTGGGTGAGGGGAGGGTTTCTCATTTAAGAGTATGTCTGTATATTTGCAACTCTACTAATTTTCTAAGTATGATATAATTCCTTCTGTTTAAGTTACAGAGCTATTATAAATAAACAAAAGAGCCTTCAACTGGTGTCTATGCTACCATTCCAAGAGCACAATATTTGTTTTCTTAGAATTTGAGTTTTCCTAGTGAGTAAATTCCTCCCTGGGGAAAAATTAGCACTTTAAAATGGACACTTTGTGTTTTCAATTGCCAAGGTATCTTTGTATACTATTAGAATTTGCTGATGCACACAGAAAGAGATTAATGCACTTTCTATAGTGCCTAACTTTAGATGTATCTATAAAAGAAAGTAGAGGATACAGATTATGTATATATAAATAAATTGGAGAGCCAGATTTCTTCAGAGATTGATCTTGTACATTAATCACACCAGTAATGGATGGATGGCACTTCTTTACTCGGGCTGTTATGATGTTATCCAAAGGTAGTAGAGATGCTCTGACAGTGTTGGAGTGTGCACATGAACAACAAGAGCAAAACACAACTTTGATACTAAAGTTACGAAATGCAGAAGTCAAGACCATAATGTGATGTTTTTTTTTTTTGAAATCTTAAAATATGTACATAGAATGACCAGTTCTGATATGCCGTCTTAGTGCATGGATGTTTATTAGTATCCTTTAATGCTGCCTAGGTTCTGACTTACAGAATGAAATACGTGTTGTTTATCTACCTGATAGTTCAGTTTTGCCAAAGGACTATAGGGATAAGTGAATAATATTTATTTATTAGGAGCAAAAATACATTTTCATCCCATTAAGCTAATTTAAAATAATGCCTGATTTTTACTTTTGAGTTTATCCATTTTTCTATACCTTTAACTTATTTATACTTTAAAAAATCATATTGTAATTGTGACAAATTATATCTCAAAAAATACCAATTATTAGATGCTTTGGTGTTGAAATGTAAAAGAGAAGGAATTTAAAATACAATCAAAAAAGTCAAAAATAAAACGTATTTGAAAACCACCTAAAATTTCTTGGCCAGGCACAGTGGCTCAAGCCTGTAATCCCAGCACTTTGGGAAGCCAAAGAGGGCGGATCACTTGAGCTCAGGAGTTTGAGACCAGACTGGCCAACATGGTGAAACCCCGACTCTAGTAAAAATACAAAATTAGCCGGGCATGGTGGTGGGTGCCTTTAATCCCGGCTACTTGAGAGGCTGAGGCAGGAGAATCGCTTGAACCCAGGAGGCAGAGGTCGCAGTGAGCTGATATCATGCCACTGCACTCCAGCCTTGGCAACAGAGTGACTCCATCTCAAAATAATAATAATAATTATAATAATAATATTTTTAAGTCTTAGACAGAAAATGCCTATAGATAGAAGCCTATCAAACATGTATTTTGAATACTTTGATCTTGACACATTGCCTAATTATTTTGAAAGATGGTAAAGATATTTCCAAAAAATATTTTCGCCTATCTGTTTACATTGACAGTTTACAACCATAATTTTCTAAGTATATTTTTCAAACATGTATTTTTGTGTTTTCCATCTTCAAATTTCTGACCAATGGGTTTGTTCTCCTGCAAAAACAATATCCAATCTGCAAAAATTTTTAATTCTTCACTTGCTACAACTGCAAATATTTATCAATAAAACTGATAACCCAAAACTTGCTTCAGATTTTCCCTGCAGTGCTTAAAATATCCTTGCAACACAAGATGGTGCACAATGACAAGTATTATTTCTGAATACCCAGATTTGATTTATTTATAGGTATTTTTGAAATTATTACTCTTACAGGTGTAGTCCTCTCCAGCCCCAAGTAACATCTTTTCAGATGAATTCAAGAGGCTGTTCAAGACTTTGACTCTACTGAAAACACTACAAAAGGCAAAATGTTGCCCTAGGTGATAGAAGGTCCCAGTTTGGGAACTGATTTTCTTCCTATGACAAAAGCTATAAGATGAGTAAGGTTACTAATGGAAATGTATGTCCACAGATTCACTTAGGGAGCATAGTGTAAAAACATCAGGAACTTAAAATTACAAATTTGATTTCAAGTTATATTTCTGTCTCATGTGACTTTGGGCAAATCATTTATCTTCTCTGAGTTCATTTCCTCATCTGCAAATGACAAATAAAATACGTAATTATCAGGATAACTATGAGCATTAAATAAAACAAACGTGGAAAGAATAAAGTGTGGCATACATTATTATTTTATCAAAGTGCATCACGTCAATAATTGTTATTGTATACTTGTATTAAATGTCACTTTAATGCACTTTCCCCTATTTTTTTCCAAAACATACGTTAAACATCTGATTTAGCTACTCATCAAAACATACAATCATGTTTTAAGATGGAACACTATATCAGTGTTACTGCTTTTCTCAATAATGTGATCCCAAATCAGTACTTTCAGTTCACCATCACCTCAAATCTATAGAAATGTTTCTTTCAATGACATAGATAGATAGATGATTGATAGATAGATGATAGATAGATGATAAATGGATATACAATTATAGGTTAAAATTAAAGTTTAAATAAGATCAATCATTTGAAAGTTTTATTTCCAAAGGAAATAAAACAACATTCCCAAGGACAGAAATAATATCAAATTACTTGCTAAATATATAAATGAGTTATAGGGCTAAGACTAAGTTATAAGAGATTGACAATTAGAAAACACTCTTTTTAATATTAAGGTGGTATGATTTTCTTTAACAATTTTACAATGAAAATAAAAACTTAATAAAAGGTGGTAATGGGCCAGGCACGGTGGCTCACGCATACAATCCCAGCACTTTGGGAGACTAAGGCGTGAGGATCACTTGAGCCCAGGAGTTCCAGACATGTCTATGCAACAAAGTGAGACCCTGACTCTAAGAAAAAAATAAAATGTATAAAATTTAAAATAGTAATGTGTCCATTAAACCTTTTATTTTAGAGTAGTTTTAGATTTACAGAAAAACTCCAAATAGAGAGGTCCCATATACATCTATGGGCATTAATGAGCCAATATTGATCATTACATTCATACTTCATTCAGATTTCCTTAGTTTATAACCTAATGTCCTTTTTCTGTCCCAGGATCCCATTCAGGATACCACATTACATTTAGTTGTCATGTTTCCTTAGGCTTCCCTTGGCTGTGACAGTTTCTGCAACTTTCCTTGTTTTTGATGACAGTTTTGAGAAATAAACTGGTATTTTGTAGAATGTCCTTCTATGGGGATTCGTCTGATGTTTTTCTCGTGACTAGACACAGGTTTTTGGTTTTTGAAAGAACACAACGGTAAAGTGCCATGCTCATCACATGGTATCAAAGGTATATGCCATCACCGGGACTCGTCTTAGCTGTGACAGTTTCTCAAACTTTAGGCTACTCTTAGCTGTTGATGTTAACCTTGATCACTTAGCTGAGGTAGCATCTATTATATTTCTCCACTGTAAAGTAATGCGTTTTTAAAGAGATTATATTGAAGGTAAATTTTCTGGACATTTACACTGAGCTAAACAAATTCTAAACACTAATATTAGGTTCCACTAAGTGATTACTAATAAATGCTATAAAGAAAATACAGTGAAGTGGAAAAATAAAACTCCAGAAGTCTTAGCCTGAATATTCACCTAATAGAGGTGAAAGTGAATTTTTCCCTTGAACTGTCTGCGCAATTTACAATAATCCTCCACATACTTTGGATATTAAAGATCTTATCTTACTAATTGTCATAAGAGGTAATTTAAATTTAAACTAACCATTTTGCTTATTGCATTTTTATATTGCCCTCCACTAATCAATGAACACTGAATATTGAAATAATGTAAAAGACCTATTTCCCGCTAGCTTTAACCGATTTGTCATAAACACCTTTCTTGTATATGATTTTTAAATGTTTGCTAAATATTAAAAAGAATTCAATGTGTTTGGTTTTGTAAAATTACATATCGAATGTGTATAATTTTTTACTACCATGTTCATCACACTTAATCTATATCCATATATTGTACTCCACCAATATTTATCAGTGGACAATAAAGAAGTTTTGAATGCATGAATGCAACTTAAGAGGCACCACACTTGGTTATTTTGCAATGCCAGAATAACGGTGGGTATTCACAAATTGAATAGATAATCCAGATTATGTTTCCTCCAATTTAAGTTTTTCTGGGTTTTTTTTTCCCCCTTCCTAGAATCAATTTTATCATTTTACCTATGTACAATAATATACTTCTGGAAAATGCTAGAATTTTCACCATGTAACAGAATTTGAGCATGACAGTAATGTAAAAATATTCAGAAGTCTCGAACTATAGGTTTGAGTTTTCAAAGTAAATCAAAATACAGCTGTTTTCATTTTACTAGATTGTGGAAACCTATGGATGTTATTGTAAAATGCATATGCATTACACTGACTTTCTTAAAATGTTTTGAATTAATAAAGAATTCAACAATGTATCCTTAGAAAGTTACTGTTTCCTCATTGGTATATAACACTATAGGAATAAAAGGTACACTTCTATGTGTTACTTAAATTGCTTATGCACTTGGGGGAAAATAAAATTCTGGCTAGATTCTTTACATTGTTCTATAAGGTTTTAATTATTAAAATGTTTCACCTTTTATAAATAATAAAATATATTGTTGAAATGACTTATGTTCTGAGAACTCAACTGAGAGATATACCATGTTGAGTTCAAGTGATTCTCACCATTTCCATGGTTAAGATAAATTCAAAGTTAAGTTCAGACTTGGGAAACAATTGTTCTAATAGAGATAAAAACATCCTGATCAGTCCTGTTCTATCCTCAGATCAGGATTAAAATAAAATGGGTTTCAACAGCAGAACGATTGTATAAAGTTGTGTAGCTTGAATACACAAAGTGAAAAGAACTGAGATAATTAGGTGGAGCCTTTAAGTAGCAAAAAACTATTTTTGCTTCCTGATGTTTGAAGAGTCATTTCATTCTTCCACTCACTCTGCATTTGTTATCGTGCTAAGAGATGAAAAGAGAGAGGCAATGCAAACGTTATTTTCTAAGAATGTTTATACTTAACAGTTTCGATTAGATGACCTAAGGATATTTTAACCTTGATAAGGGTTCCCATTTTTTACCATTTTATTTTTTATGAATAAATTAGAAGTTTCGTACTTCTAATATATCACCTCTCTCAACAGTGAAATACCACTTAGTAGACGCTGCCCAAACCAGTTAGGTAGTGGCAGTTCTCAGATTGAGCGTTTAGCCCTTGCATTCCCAGGACTGTCTTGGTTGTGTTTATTCCCTCATATTTATTTCTCCGTTGAGCTGTGAACAGGTCTTTTGAAAAGTGCAAAGCATTGTGCCAATAAATGTCGGTATTGCTGGCACCTATCCGCTACCAGTTCTTTGGAAAGGGATGAGGGTTGGACTCCTGGAGGCAGATATCTGAAGGCTTTGTTGGGCTGTAGGTTGCTGTAACACGGAATCACTCCACCTCTTTAAAAAGCTGACGATAAGTGGGACTAAGTGAAAATGAATGGGCAGGTGAATAATAAAGTCCTTTGAAAGCAAGTAAATGACGCGGCAGATGAAGGGCACGCACGTCTATTGTGCAAATTCATTCAGTGGTTATCTCATAATACACTTATCAAGTCCTTATTACCACGAACCTCACCCACCGTGGACAAGAGAAACATAAGCAGGAAAAAAGGAGGAGGAATAAACACACGCCTGTCCATAATAAAACTCGCTCTTGAAGACTCAGCGGCAGCCCTGCACCGGAGACTGACGACTTGCGCGGCTGTGACCTCCGCCCTGCAGCGGACCCTCGACTGCCCTGCACTGCGGCTCTGGAGGCCCCGACTCAGTGCATGGGAAAGAAATCCTCACTATCAGAAAACAGAGGGGCAATCTGCTGCTCTCCCTTTCCGGCCAAACACGTCACCCATCAACCGGATACCTACCAAGAGGCTTTCAGAGGAGGCGCCCAAGGTCTCCCAGGCCCGCCCCTCCCCAATCACGCTCCGCTCAGCCCCCTCAACTTTTGGCCTCCGGGAAGTTCGCAGCGTTCTCACGCTTGGCAGGAAGTTCCCGCCAAGGCTTCCGGAAAATCCTTTAAAAAGCAACGCTTGCGCTGGGCGGGGCTTGGTGCGCTCTCACCCTTATCTCCAAATTCTGGGTGTTGTCGCGAGGGCTGCTGTGTCCGGAACTTCCGGTTCCGGTCAGGGTCCGCGATCTCGGACTAAGGATGCGGTCCCGGGTTCTGTGGGGCGCTGCCCGGTGGCTCTGGCCCCGCCGGGCCGTTGGCCCAGCCCGCCGGCCCCTGAGCTCCGGTAGCCCGCCGCTGGAGGAGCTGTTCACCCGGGGCGGGCCCTTGCGGACCTTCCTCGAGCGCCAGGCGGGGTCTGAAGCCCATTTGAAGGTCAGGAGGCCCGAGTTGCTGGCGGTGATCAAACTGCTGAACGAGAAGGAGCGGGAGCTGCGGGAGACTGAGCACTTGCTGCACGGTAAGGGTCGGGCCCGGGGGAGAGGCGTCAGAGCACATTCTTGACTCTTCGTTTGACTTTTCCACTGCCCACACTACCCGAGTTTGAAACTCTTTACTCACTTGCAGCCGTTTTTATTTTGGATCAGAGGTCAGGACATCATTACGTGCTGTGATCCCATCCTCTCCTGTGGGCTCTCTTGTGCTCCTTTGCCACGGCGCTCTGCCGCCTTTTACATGCTTATTAGTTGTGGACTCGGGCAAGAGCTCATTAGCTCAGCAAGGATAAATAAGGCACTGTCCCTGTGATGGGCTCCACAGCGGTGTTTCTCAAAGTGTGGTGTGGAGACCCATTTGCAGTAGTATCAGGGCAGTGCTTGTTAATAGCAGACTTAGGACTCAGAATCTCAGACCTATACGTGGGTAAAGGTACTAAATTGGGAAATTCAGTATGGCCTAAGTATAGAATAGGTGGGAGATGATGTCATAGAAACATGAAGCCAGAAAAATAGTTAAGAACCTTGCAAGACAAAGAATTTGGATTTATTTTTTATAGACCATGGAAAGTTAGCAAATGTTTTTAAGCAGAGAATTCACGTCTTTGTAAAGAAAAGTTAATGGTGGCATGCGCTGAGGATAAATTGGAGTATTCTCCAGAAACGCTGGTGGCTGACAGGCCAGGGAGGAGGCAGTTGAAACAATCCAAAGAAGAAATGGTGATAGGCATAGTTCTGACTCACAAAACATTTTGAGAAACAAGTTAGGATTTAGTGGCTTATGCCCTGAGAAGGATGAGGGAGAGAGTTAGTTCTAAGAAAAGTCTTAGGTTTCTGGCTTCAGCACGAGTGGTACTGTTAATTAAGATGAAAGTATAAAAGTTGGACCGAATTTTTTAAAAAGATGAGTTTTGCATTGAATGCCATATTAAGTTAAAAATACCTGTGAAAAGGAATTCCAATAAAGATATCTGTACTAGTCTAGGAGAAAAAATTACTGACATAGGAGAAAAATTGAGCCCAAATAATCATATGAGAGCTCTCGAGATATACAGTACGTGGTAAATTAAACCTTAGAAGTAGATGAGAACACTCAGGGAAAATGTGTTAAGATAGAAACAAGTCTAACAAGGCCAGAAATACACAGTATTTGAGGAGCAGGCAGAGAAGAAGGCTATAAAAGGTCAAGAAAAAAACAGCCAGAGCTTTGTGACCCTGAAGTAGATAAATAAATGAAGCTGTAGAAGCCAATAGAAAATTTCAAGAAGTAAGAGATCCTTGGCCAGGCGTGGTGGCTCACGCCTCTAATTCCAGCACTTTGAGAGGCTCAGGTGGGCCGATCACTTGAGCCCAGGAGTTCGAGACCAGCCTGGGTAACATGGCAAAACCCTGTCTCTACAAACAATGCAAAATTAGCTGGGCATGGTGGTGCGTGCCTGTGGTCCCAGCTACTTGAGAGGCTGAGGTGGGAGAATCGCTTGAACCCGGGAGGTGGAGGTTGCAGTGAGCCAAGATGGTGCCACTGCATTCCAGCCTGGGTGACAGCGCAAGACCCTGCCTCAAAAAAAAAAAAAAAAAAAAAAAATCCGTAGTACCTGACATAGAAAGGTAAAACAACCTTTTCAGCTCACACTGAAATAAGTCTTTAGATTTGGCAATTTTGTCATTGGTAACTTGAATAAAAATGGTCTTGATATGATTATAGAATCCAGTGTAACAGCTTGAGAGGTAAATTAGAGTTAACAGGAGAAAAGTTATAAAAATGGCATTTTATCTCCAGAAATCTGGGTGGGAAAAGAGGGGTGACAATAAGCAGCTACTTAAAGGGTTGAAAAGAAAAGGACCCATTTAGAATGGGAAACCATAAACATCTTTATAGGCAAAGGGGAAGGCAGGCACATGGTAGGTGTCCAGTAAACATATGTTGATTTATAATATTCAAGAGAAATTAAAGAAGTAGTATATTACCATTGCCTGTGAGTAACTCCTAATTCTAAACCCTTTAGAGCTGCACTGTCCAATATAGTAGCCAGTAGCCACACAGCTGTTGAGCAATTTGTGGCTAGTCTGAATTGAGGTGTGTAAGTGTAAAATACATATAGATTTCAAACACCTGGTATAAAAAGTAATATGTTTATGTTAATTACATGTTGAAATAATATTTGGAGCATATTGGGTTAAATAAAATATAGTATTAAAATTAAATTACTTCTAGACTCTAGTTCCAATCTCCTTAGCTTTGCAGAACTGAAAGGCACCTTAGAGATTATCCAGCTCAGAACTTTCATTTCATTCTTGTCATAACTGAAAGAAGTTGAGCCTATTGCCCTAACAGTACCTTAGCGATTAAGCTAGGGCTAGAATTCATTTTTGCTTTTCCTAACACATTTTCCATTCTACCAAATTTCTTCCATACCATATGCTTGCCAAAATAATTTTCAGCAGTGCTTCCTGTACTTGCTTATCTCAGTTTTGCTGTTGTTATTCTCTCTCCTTGAGTTAATCTTTTTTTCCTTTTTCTGCCCATTCCAAAACCAACAGATTCCTTCAAGGCACAACTGTTTTAATATTTAATCACATAGTGTATTAGTCTGTTTTCACACTGCTGATAAAGACATACCCAAGACAGGGTAATTTTTAAGAAAAAGAGGTTTAATAGACTAACAGTTCCACGTGGCTGGGGAGGCCTCCCAATCATGGTGGAAGGCAAAAGGCACGTCTTACATGGCAGCAGACAAGAGAGATAACTTGTGCAGGGGAACTCTTCTTTATAAAACCATCAGATCTTGTAAGACTTATTCACTATCATGAGAACAGCACAGGAAATATCTGCCCCCATGATTCAGTTACCTCTCACTGGGTCCCTCCCACAACAGGTGGGAATTGTGGGAGCTACAAATCAAAATGAGATTTGGGTGGGGACACAGCCAAACCATGTCACATAAGGGTTTAGGTTATTTTTTGTTTTTCTCTTCTAGAAAAATATAAGGAAACTAAAATTATCTATAATGCTCTCTTGAGGGCAGGTCTTATATATGTATTATCCCACTTCCCAGCATGGTTGTTTCTTAATAGATAAGCATACAAACTGATGCTTTGTAAGGGTTTGAACTTTCAATAGAGAGAACAATTTGTTAATAGCCAGAAATTTTCCCTTTCCTCCTCCTTTATATATGCTGCATATCATCTATAGGGTAGAGGAATGAGAAAGTATGTTTTATAAGGTAAAAATGAAAATTCAAAGATGAAACAACAATAAAGGTAAAGCCAGAGAGAGAGACAGAGGAGTACTTCGTATAAACATTCTGTATACATTAGGCAGAATCTAATAAATGTTTTTGGGTGGATACTAAAATACTAATGAAACATTTGCTTATAAGAGAATAAATTTCTACTTTTTAATTGAATTTTAGTTTTACTGGTGTAACCTTCTGTATCCCTTCTGTCTTATTAGCTAAATGCATTCGTTATTATACAGTCTAAGTTGGAAGTCTAAAAGCATATTTATTAAGGTGAATATTTCATGGAGATGAAATTATGGAAGAGTTTAGCTTCTTTATATTTTTATAGAAATTTGTACTTGTACTTTATCAGAAAAAAAATTTTATACTTACATGCTTATGAAAACTAATGTATAAAATGGTGAAATTGATTGAAAGGACATTTATTGAAAGGCATTTATTGAATGGTATTTATTGAAAGGACAAGATATACATTTTATTTTTCCCTTCAGCTATAATAACCATAAAACTATTTCCTAGAAGTCTGCTAGCAATTTAACACTAATTAAGGAAAACCTTAACTTCTGCCCTTTTTTTCCTAGATGAGAATGAAGATTTAAGGAAACTTGCAGAGAATGAAATCACTTTGTGTCAAAAAGAAATAACTCAGCTGAAGCATCAGGTATGGTATTTCTGCAAAGAATAAAGCATTTGTGCTATTCTTAGGCATTAAAGTTTATTAAAGGTTTATAAAAACAAGTGACTAGCTTGTTACTGTTTAGAATAAACTGGGTTTTTTAAATTTATTTTCTAGATTTATTGAGGTATAAATTGACCCCCAAAATTGCATATATTTAAGGTATATGATGTGATGTTTTGATATATGCATACATTTTGAAATGATTATGACTATCAATAAACTGGTTTTTAAAGAACAAACTTCACATGGTCCTGTTTTCATCATACTAAAAGTACTGTAGCGCTCTCACAGAAAGATAAATGTCACAGTGATAGTATTTTCTGGAAAGGCAGCGAAATAGTGGCATATCTTCCCTTTTTTTTTTTTTTTTTTTTTAAGAAGACTGGAGGTAGACATGGGGCAGAAGAGGTTATATGAAAGGACTTCAAAAGTTTGTGGAAAACTGGAATTAAAAGATAAAAAAATATATATATAAACTTTAATTTATTGACATAAGTGCCACCAGCTATCAAGTTCAAGACACTTTGGTAAGCAAAAAGGTGATATACCAGCATTTAATGCATCCCTAAAGAACTGAGGGTCCTGGGAATTTAACCATGTCAATGTAGTCTTTTTTATATTATTAACTAAAGAACAATGGGTACCCTTTACAAAGTTTTTAAGATCAGGAAACAAAAAAAAGGAGGAGCCAAATAAGGACTGTAACATGAGTGCCTATGGATTTCCCATTGAAGCTCTCAAAATTGCCTGTTTGATGAGAGGAATGAGCAGGAGCACTGGTGTAGGAGAGGACTCTGGTGAAGCTGTCCCTGGTATTTTGCTAAAACTCTGGCTTTCTCAAAACCCTCATAGTAAGCAGATACTGTTCTTTGGCCCCTAGAATGTCAATAAGCAAGGTGCCTTGAGAATCCCCAAAAAGACTATTGCCATGACTTTTGCCCCTAGCCAGTCTGCTTTTGCTTTGACTCGACCCCTTCCACCTCTTGGTGGCCATTGTTTTGATTGTACTTTGTCTCCAGGATCATACTGGTAAAGCCATGTTTCACTTCTGGTTATAATTCAAAGAAATGCTTTAGGATCTTGATCCAATTTGTTTAAAATTTCTATTGAAAGCTCTGCTCTTGCCTCCAGCTGATCTGCATGCAAAGGTTCTGGCACCCATCCAGTGGAAAGTTTGCTCACCTTTAATTTTTTTGTCAGAATTTTATAAGCTGAACCAGTTGAGATGTCTGTGGTTTGACTATTGTTTCTTCTGTTAATCATCAGTCTTCTTCAATTAGGGCATGAATAAGATAATTTTTTTCCTCACAAATTGATGCAGATGGTCTGCCACTGTGGACTTCTTCTTCAACATCATCTTGTCTCTACTTAAAATGAGTTATCCATTTGTAAACTGCTGATTTCTTCAGGGCATCATCCCCATAAACTTTTCATAAAGCATCAATGATTTCACCATTCTTCCACCCAAGCTTCACCAGCAATTTAATGTTTGTTCTTGCTTCAATTTAACAGAGTTCATATTGCTCTGATGGGGCTCTTTGCAAACTGATACCCTTTTTAGTACCTCAAACTAGAGCCTGTGACTTGTTATAACAAGTTAGCACGAGTTTATTTTGTTACAAAATAACTTTGAAATACAACTTCTTGAAGTCCCCTGTTAGAGTGATAGTAGACTGTGAGCTCCTCAGGGCCAGGAATACTTATTTTGCATCTCTGACACTATTTGGAATACCAGACCTAGAGTAAGCCCTCACGATTTTAAGAATTGGATTACATTGCTTTGGTTGTACATCTTTGTGAATTACAGAACATATAGAGTTAATGAAGAATAATTATATGAAATTAGAGCCACTCTTTGCTAATTCTGTAAAGCAGAGACTAAAGGTTGACAGCAATTACCGTTGGGGATAAGTGAAAGAATATGTTAGGTAAGGAAGGAGCCAGGAAAGGGGGTACTTATTTTTGAGAATCTGCTTCCCCTTTAGGCAAATGTGAAAATTACTAAAAATTAATGTTCCTATAACCTATGTTAGAGGGGGAGAATTCCACTATAAGGTGAAAAGTGTAGTATAGCTCGCATTTTACCCATTTTCTAAATTAAATTTTGTGTGAATAAGAAGGATATGTGTATTAAATGTTTCTGTTCAGTGTCTAGTAATCAACAAACAGAAGTAAAATCCATTATTTGTTCAAAATTTGAATGATAATGTTGTATTGGCATAGGCTAGAGAGATGGAAAAGTAGTAACTAGCATAGCTTCTGACCAATGTCAAGTGTGATAGCAGTGTACTCAGGTATATTCAGGTTCAATTCTAGCTCTTCCACTTAACTTTTGAGTTGGGTAATGTTGAGCCACTAGATTATTCAACCCCTGTAAAATTAGTTTCACATCTTAAGGTAGAACTGTTAATAATACTTACCCAAGATTGTTTTAAGAATTACAGTATGTACAGTGCTTAGAATGCCTGCCATATATTAAAGAACCAATAAAATGTTGGTAGCTTTTCTTATTAATTGACCTAATCTAAGAAGTGTTTGTTCTAGATCCCCTTGATTAGAAACACACTATTGTAATGGAGGGAAGACTGATCTAGGCACAAAGGTTTGTGTTCTTGTGCCTGCTTGGCCAGTAACTAACACTTTGCCCTTAAACAAGTCATTTAATCTCTGTTAAGCTCTGTTTCCTTTACATGTATAATTAAAGAATTGGACCAGATAATCTCTAAGGGCCTTTTTAGTTTCAAAATTACAAGTTTCTCTTCCATAATAAGAAATCTTAAAATAATACAAATGTAGTTTTGAGTGCTTTTGGTTTTCTGCCATACTAGGCCTTAATTTTCAAGAGGATGGATCTAGAATCTTCTTTTGCTTTCCACAACAGTATAATCTCCGAATCAGAGCAAGTACTTAGTTCTTATTAACTGAAGAGAGA
The DNA here is from genome assembly GCF_000001405.40 of Homo sapiens. NCBI lineage: Eukaryota > Metazoa > Chordata > Mammalia > Primates > Hominidae > Homo > Homo sapiens. The sequence continues at coordinate 152,995,599 of NC_000006.12, read as the reverse complement.
ACTGATACAAAGCATACAAGAACTCCAACAGACAATAAAACAAGCCTGAAATTTTAGCTGAATCTTAACAGCATTTATAATATGGTTGTAACATTAATACTTTATGGAAGTTACACATTATACAGTTCTAATTGGCAAGGTGGTTGAACAGTACTCAGCAATATTACATTATTTGCTTGGCGAAACTTAAATATTTAAAATTCCTGAATCATTTAGCTTTTTATTTTTTGATAAATTTTAAATCTTAATTATAGGAGGGGTGATATTTTTATATTTACAGATTATCTTACTTTTGGTTCCCTCAGAAGAAACAGATGAAAATGATTTGATCCTGGAAGTAACTGCAGGAGTTGGAGGTCAGGAGGCAATGTTGTTTACATCAGAGATATTTGATATGTATCAGCAATATGCTGCATTTAAAAGATGGCATTTTGAAACCCTGGAATATTTTCCAAGTGAACTAGGTCAGTAAACTATTCATTTTGTTTCAGGTAAAGTGTTTAGGAAAAGAGTTGGAAAGACCATGACTAGGCTTTAGAACTTATCTGTGAGGATGCTTATGTAGTTTTATGCTCATCATTTACCTAATAAATTTGAATGCACATACAGTAATTTTGAGATGACCTATAAAATCTAATGGAGAGTCTTTCAATAATACTAACCATCAAATTGCTAACAGTCTTTAAAAGTAGTCTTAGATGTGTTACTGATGTCAACTGATTAGCCCCATAAATGCTTTGTTTAGTACTTGTAAGCAGTAAAGATAAATATTAAAACATTGAATATTTTAATATGTTTTACAGTCTCCATGTTCATCTCCTTTTATGACTTTAAAAATATACCTCAAGATAGTAGATGTGATGGTCAATTATTTATAAATGGCAGGAATAATAAAAATAATTCTATTTCCCTGTATTTTCAAGGTGGCCTTAGACATGCATCTGCCAGCATTGGGGGTTCAGAAGCCTATAGGCACATGAAATTTGAAGGAGGTGTTCACAGAGTACAAAGAGTGCCAAAGACAGAAAAGCAAGGCCGCGTCCATACTAGCACCATGACTGTAGCAATATTACCCCAGCCTACTGAGGTAAGGCATAAGCCCCTCTCCTTGGAATCCCGGGCCTAGCACAGTGCCTTGTCCCCAGAGTTAACATTCAGAGTTTACTGAATTGAGTATCTATTTGGTCTTCCTTGTGTATTTTGAGTTGCATATTATCTCAGTCTAAAAAATATAATTTTATAATGCTAAAAAATTAAGGATTTGTAAATGATACAATGTTGCATTGTCTGTGTATTAGTATTTTCCTAATAAGTAGTTATTGTGAGATCATCTCTGTGGGTGAAATAATAACCTATTTAAATATGGACTGGTTGCCTTTATAATGACTTCTGCCTTGTGTGACTGGTTTGTGGGGTATTAACAGCAACAATCCTATTTAACAAAGGTAATTACTTAACAGAATTGCTGCTTCATAACCCAGTTACATTAAAATGAAAGTATATTGTTATACTGTTCATAATGAGTATACTTTATTCTCACAAAGCAAATTCTCAGTCTATATTTTTAAGATAACTTAGTGTAGGAGTTCTGTTTTGCCTCATTTCCCTTCTACTGAAAAGTGATAGCAGATATCTGACTTGTTTTTCAGAATGAAGTGTGAATGCTTTGAGAAGGAACTCTTAGTGGTTCCTATGCTAATTTTGGGAAAAAGTGCTATTTGGCTCTGTAATAGGTTTAATGGAGTTCCTTTCTTTAGGTCTTAGTTTCTTTAGATCTAATTTTTGTGTGAAGCATAGGTGAGAAACTAAGCAGTTAAGGGAGAGAGTAAAGTAGAATAAATGGCAAGAGCCACATCTAGAAACCTAGTCACTTATGTTTAACCATCTTGGGGTGGAAGTTTTCAGGAAAAGATGAGAGACTGAGGTCCATGTATCATCTAATTCCTCTAGCAACCATAAGAGGGAGTCAACACAGGGAGACATAGAGGTAGAAGGCCCAGAGAATGGTAGGATTCTTACTGTCAGCATTGCAGAGATGTCACAGAATGGTTCTTAGTTGTTCATGAAACAGTGCTTTTGATGGTGGCTCCTAGGACAAAGCATTACCTTGACCTCAGATCCCAGTGTGTTGAGGAATTGAGACTCATGACTTCTTGGCCACTCCCATTTCCATTTGGCTCATCTTTGCCTCCAAATATGTTTGAAATAAAACAAAACAGACCCTTCCCACAGTTCTCACGCTACCATTTTTTTTTCCTGCTGCTAGGCTCTTTAAACTCAGAAAAATTTGAAAAAACCTTAAACATTCAGTTCTAAAAGTAGGCAGAATAGTATCAAGTTCTGCTGTTTCTGTGGTAAGAAATGGATAAAGGGAAGCCAGGTTTTTGAGGACTAGAAAGGATTTGTTTTTCAAAACTGTACAGTCCTGTACTATTTCGATTCCCTACTCTTCCAAAAAGCAAAAAAGTTTTAAAATGGTATCCTTCTAGCTACTCTCTAGTCTTAAAATTAAACCTCCCAAATATATGAATTCTGTACATGTTGTATATTCATAAATGGGTCGCTCTTGCCTTTATAAAGTTGATACATGTAATCTTTTAAAATCCCAACTTTTCTTCTGTATAGATTAATCTGGTGATTAATCCGAAAGATTTGAGAATTGACACTAAGCGAGCCAGTGGAGCTGGGGGGCAGCATGTAAATACCACGGACAGTGCTGTCCGGATAGTTCATCTTCCAACAGGTGTGTACTTATTCCTTCAATATATGACACCAAAGAAATCAATTTTGGAATAATATGACTAATTTTCCACTGAAATAGATCCTCGGTTACCAGAGAAGTATATACTTCTAAGGATTGTTATTAAATATTTGATTTACTTAGAATCCTTACCTGATACTCCGTGGGATAACTGCAAGGCGAGGAAGAGGGAGGGATCCAAACTCAGGGAATGTCTGTATTAATTACTATTTATAGAAGGTGTGGATGGTCCTTTCAGGTGGAGTTCTGAGTTTTACACTTAAAAAGAAAATTCTCACAATGAAGTAATTATCATGGGTTCTTTATCAGAAAATGCTCTAAATTGTTGGTTCTGAGCCTTTTTGCAGGGGAGGGGAACATGGCTTCCTTTAAAAAAAAATGATATGAAAGCATTGGACCTCCTACTCAGAAACACATATACAGTTTTGCATATAATTGCAGGGGCTTCTTTCCATTAAGTTCATTCACATACTTCGAGGGGATCTGATTCTAGATAGTTAGGCAAAGGGACTATATCGAAATCTCCAGTATACTGTAGCTCGAACTAAACGTCTTTCACAGGTATCACCACAGTGATTCACATGTGATAAAGAGCATAGGGATAGCAAATCTCAGTTATCTAGAAAGGAAACAAGAATCTCTTACTGTGACTGATCTCAAATGGGCATAGTCCCTATTAACTAATAGTGGTTGAGGCCAGTACTGGATTGTTAACGATTTTGTTCTTTTAAATTATGAGAATATCCTTATGTTAAACTGGATGATGTCTTAGGTAATACAGAATATGAAACAAAAATTGGGGGAAAAAATGGATAGCCTAAAAAAGTTAAGTGATTTTCTCTGGTAATAGGATTTTTCATGTATCGTAGTTTCTATAAGTAGTTGTTACTTTTAAAACATGGTGGCTAGCTGAGGGGAAACAATCTGTATTAAATGATTTATGCTTATTGTTTAGTATGTATGCCTTCAGTATAGAAATACTTTGTGCTAGGCCGGGCGCGGTGGCTCACGCCTGTAATCCCAGCACTTTGGGAGGCCAAGGCAGGCGGATCACGAGGTCAGGAGATCGAGACCATCCTGGCTAACAAGGTGAAACCCCGTCTCTACTAAAAATACAAAAAAAAATTAGCCGGGCGTGATGGCGGGCACCTGTAATCCCAGCTACTCGGGAGGCTGAGGCAGGAGAATGGCGTGAACCCGGGAGGCGGAGCTTGCAGTGAGCCGAGATCGCGCCACTGCACTCCAGCCTGGGCGACAGAGCGAGACTCCATCTCAGACAAAAAAAGAAAGAAAGAAAGACTTTGTGCTATTTGTGCTATTGCTCAAAACTTAAATTTTCAGTTTTCTGATAAACTCTGCAAAAGTTAAGCTTATAGTCTCTCCCTTTTTTATTAGAGTCCTCTGTTTTTTCCCCTCATAAAGGAAGAAGAAAAAGGATGAGGAGGAAAAGTATTCCTTGATAATAAGTAAAGAAGATTTTTTTATTAAAACTTTTTAATTCTCGTAACACTATTCAGGTGTTGTTTCTGAATGTCAACAAGAGAGATCTCAGCTGAAAAATAAAGAGCTGGCTATGACAAAGTTACGTGCAAAACTGTACAGCATGCATCTAGAAGAAGAAATAAATAAAAGACAGAATGCTAGAAAAATTCAGGTAAAAAAAGAATTTTAAAAATGCTTTTAAAGGATAGAAATATTTTTATATAACTCAGCTTTTTTTAAATAACTTGGTTTTTATATATTTGTTTTAACCTGTGTTGAAAACAATTCAAGTAGTCTAAGGGCTATCCTTCTTTGATAGTAATCTTACATCTCTGCCCTGTTTTCTATATTCAAAGGTATTTTTCTCAGACTTTTAATCCGTTACTAAAAATAAAGATATATACTGAGTCCTCATTCATTTTTAATCCTTTGAAATTTTAATTACGCAAGAAAGTTGGAAAGCAAACTCAACTTGGCTTTCTTCCTGTTTTTTTCTTCCTGTATTTAATTTTTGTTGTTGTTGTTTGTTATTGACATGGAGTTCCGCTCTTGTCACCCAGGCTGGAGTGCAGTGGTGCGATCTCAGCTCACTGCGACTTCCACCCCCTGGGTTCAAGCAATTCTCCTGCTGCAGCCTCCTGAGTAGCTGGGATTATAGGCGCCTGCCACCACACCCGGCTAATTTTTTGTATTTTTAGTAGAGACGGGGTTTTGCCATGTTGGGCAGGCTGGTCTCGAACTCCTGACCTCAGGTGCTCCACCCACCTCAGCCTCCCAAAGTGCTGGGATTACAGGTGTGAGCCACCGCGCCTGGCCGGTATTTAATTTTATAACTACAGAGCCTTTTAAGAATTCCTCAATATGGGAAACTCACCACCTTGTTACCACGGAAGATGACTGCATTAATTCACAGAGATTATATGTATTCAGCGACTATAGGAATAGCATCTATGTGCCAGGCTCTATTGTCATCATCACTGTGTAGTAGACACTGTATTTTGCAGATCGGGAAACTAAGTTGCCCGAGGTCATAGAACATTGAAGTGGCTGAGGCAGGATTCAGATATTAATCTGATTTTAGAGCACGTGTTCTTTTTTCTATATCATGTTCCCATGTCATTTGAGATTCTAAGTGTTTAAAACCTGGTTCTCGCATTTGATTCATGTTATAAATCAAGAACTTAAGTCTCCAAATAAGTTAAATTTGTAGGTTTAAATTGCCCTGAATCTAGCTGCATCTCATCTTTTTCTCTATATACAGATTGGAAGTAAAGGAAGATCAGAGAAAATAAGAACATATAATTTTCCACAGAACCGGGTCACAGATCACAGAATAAACAAGACGCTGCATGATCTTGAAACTTTTATGCAAGGAGATTATCTACTGGATGAACTTGTACAGTCATTGAAGGAATACGCCGATTATGAATCTTTAGTAGAAATTATTTCCCAAAAAGTTTAAGTTGATTTGTTATTTATAGACTTTCGTAGCTTAGAAAAATTCTACAGTACATCCACATAGGGTGAAAGTACCCTTACTCTCTTGAAAAACGTTGAGTTAACACAGTTGGAGGTAATATGCATATTCTGAAGTCATAGATAATTTACACAGATCTCTCTCAATGCATTAGCAAAAATCATACAATATACAGATGGTCCTCGATTTACATTGTGGTTAATTCCCAATAAACCCATCATAAGTTAAAAATGCATATAACGTTAGCAACACAGCAGTCTCCTAATTAATGACAGCTTGACTTAACAATTTTCCAACTTTACCATGGTGTGAAAGAGGTATGATTCCTAAGCCCTAAGGAGCTCCTCAGCTTGAAATGGGGCTGCATCCCTATAAACCCATCATAAAGTCAAAAAATCCTAAAACATAAGTTGGTGACCATCTGTAATCATGATGTGGTGGTAAATCTTGGACGCTACCTTACAATAACTAGACAAAGGAAAATCATCCTTTGTCCTGTTCTGTGTAAATATTTAATGAATGATCAAAACTTCAGTTTAAATATTATGAAAAACTTTAAACATAAAGTAGTAGAAATAAGACAGTAAATACTGTATCCTAATATCCAGTCAGGATACAGAAACCATACCATTAACTTGAACAGGGATAATTTTAATATAAAAACTGTTAACTGATAATGGTATTAACTTTTAAGAGGGATGAAAGAGAGCTATGATGTCCTAGGACTGAGAGTACCCCAGGAAAGAATACCCTTGAAAGGGTCTCCCCTTCCCCATGGTGAAGTCAGGCCTAATGGAGAGAGTGGCTACAGCCTACTCAGTGATTGGGAAATTCCCTGTCTTGCCCTGGGCCAGAGCTGGTGTACCGCTGGTGGATCAGGTCTTACAAGCAAAGAACCTCACACTCCCAACTGGTAAGCCAGAAGCCTCTTGCTAGGGTGTGAGCAAAACTTGGACAGGAACTCTCAGTAGATGTTTGTGTTTGTCAAGATTCTCCAGACAAACTTCCTTAAAAGGATTGGCTTGTGTTGTTATTATTAAGTCTAACAAGTCCAAAAGCTGGAGTGTGAGGCAGGAGGCTGGAAACCCAGGAAAGCTGATGGTGCAAGGTCCAGTCCAAAGGTATCTGTTGGAGGATTCTCTTGTTCTGGGAAGAGGACGGTCTTTTTTTCTCTTCAGACCTTCACCTGACTGGATCAAGCCCACTAACATCGAGGAGGACAGTCTGCATTACTCAGAGTTCACTGATTGATTTAAATGTCAATCTCATATAAAACACCCTCACAGAAACACCTAGAATAATGTTTGACCTTATAATTGGAAAATCAGAGCAAAAGTTAAATCTCAAAAAAAAAAAAAAAAAAAGTATGACCCAGTAGCTAGGCACCTGTGGCCCCGCCAAGTTGACACATAAAATTAACTGTCACAGTATCATCTTAGAAGTGAAAGAAGCCCCTTTATCCTGCAGTGCCCCTCTACCACCACCTACTGACAAAGAACATGGTGCTATCTGGCATGGGAGAAATGTTCAGTTTGCTATGGCTTGTATGTGTCCCCTCAAATTCAAGTGTTGCCAATGTGACAGCATCAAGAGGTGGGGTCTTTAAGAGATCACTAGGCCATGAGGGATTCTCTTAGGACTGGGATGAAGGCCCATAATAAAAGAGGTTTCGGGGAGCATCCTGCTAGCTTGCCTTCTGTATGTGAGAACACAGCAAGAAAGCCCTAGTCAACAAGTGCCAGCTCCTTGATCTTAGACTTCCCATCCTCCAGAACTGTGAGAAATACATTTCTGTTCCTTACAAATTACCCAGTCTCCTGTATTCTGTTATAGCAGCACAAAATGAAGATACCATACCTGAACACCTGAACATTCTTCACAAGGTAGTAAATGCACTGCTTTATTCTGGTCTCAGTATTGTGTGCTTAATAAGGAAATGAGAAAGGGTGGATCAGGGCATAGGATGAACAAGTTACTGCTAGACCTCTCACAATGCCACTAATGGATAAGATTGTATTTTCATCATTCTTGTCTCTTCGGAAGCTAACACCATGCTATAATAGGCACTAAATAGATGTCTAAAAACACCTTAAGTATTTGTCTAGAAATCTGGTGCATTGTTCAGAAAGAACCAAAATTCAAAATAATTTCAAAGGGCCTAAAGCACTAGTTAATCAAAATTCATTAGTTTTTAATGGTACTACCACTCTCAAATTTAAAATGTCATCTTACGTTCCTCTTCCTCGCATTGGATTTATTGCTAAAACCTGGTAAACACTTTTAATCCTTTTCAATTCCATTACCACTGCTCTTGTCCAGAATTACTTCGCAGACTAATAGTCACCTGACTTCTCCCCTGCATCCGATTTGCTGTCTAATTCTGGTTACAAATAAGTAACTGCCAAACTAATCTTTCTAAAAAGCAAGACTGATCTCGTCACTCCTTTGCTCAACAATGTAAAAGCTCCCATTGTCTCCCAAATAAAACCAGCTTTCCACTGTGTATACAATACATCCATGATCTGTATCCAGCATCATTTTGTATTAGCTCACTTTATACACCACCCCCCATGCCACATCAAATTAAATTATCCTGATAAATGCAACTGCATTTACCCTTTCCCTTATTTTGTTCTTTATGTTGTAGGCCTCCTTTGTGCCCATTTCTTCAGAAGACATCCCCTACAGCCATGGTTCTCATCCAGAGGGTCTTTTGCCCCCGCAGGAGACATCTGACAACGTTTAGAGACAGTTACCACAACTGGAAGATGGAATAAAAGAGATGCTGCTAAACATCCTACAACAATTATCTGGCCAAAAATGTGCTGAGGTTAAGAAACCCTGTCCTACAGATTATTCCCTTATCCTGGTACATAGAAGTAACTCCTTTTTTTCTATGAAAATTTCCACAATTTTTTTTTTTCTTTTTGACATGGAGTTTCACTCTTGCTGGCCAGGCTGGAGTGCAATGGCGTGATCTCGGCTCACTGCAACCTCCGCCTCCTAGGTTCAAATGATTCTCCTGCCTCAGCCTCCCAAGTAGCTGGGATTACAGGCACCCGCCCCCATGCCTGGCCAATTTTTTGTATTTTTAGTAGAGATGGGGTTTCACAATGTTGGCCAGGCTGGTCTTGAACTTCTGACCTCAGGTGATCTGCCCACCTAGGCCTTCCAAGTGCTGGGATTACAGGTGTGAGCCACCAGTCCCGGCCAAAATTTCCACAAATTTAAATGTATTTGACTCATCCAGTGTTCCACATAGCTTTATTTTATACACCTTACCCCCACAGATATGCCTGATTGGTATTCAGAAATTATTTACTGAACACCTATTATGGCTATTATGTGGCAAGCCCACAGATAATAAGCACAAGGGCAGGTGTCATGTCCCATTTATTTCCATATATCCCATTGTTTTGCATGTGATAGGTCTGCGATAAGAATTTTACGAAAGAATGAGGGCAGTTCTCTCTGCACTTCATGTTCCACCTAAACACCCAACAACTGATTGATGCTGATTTGAAAAATGAGGTGTATACATCTATTGGCTTCTAGTAAAATTCAGAATGTCCCCTTGCCCTTTATTTTTTGGTCGCCAGGCTGGAGTGCAGTGATGCGATCTCAGCTCACTGCAACCTCTGCCTCTGGGCTCAAGCCATCCTCCCACCTCGGCCTCCCAAGTAGCTGGGACTACAGGTATGCACCACCATGCCTGGCTAATTTTTGCTTTTTTTGTTTTTGGTAGAGATGGGGTTTCACCATGTTGACTCCTGGGCTCAAGCAATCCTCCTGCCTCTGACTCCCAAAGTGCTGGGGTTACAGGCATGAGCCACCACACCCCGCCAGAGTGGCCCTAACTTTCTCACTTAGATGAGAATTTTAACAGGTGCCAGTGAACTGAACCTATCGACAGTTATGAATAATATAATAATTAAAGCTCAAACATTATTTAATGTCAATGATGCAGTAACCCAATAAGCTGAAAAAAAAAACCTAACAAATTATTCTAGCATGCAACAAAACATGCTTGGTTCTTTATATTACATTATGACAGAAATTTTGATTTCTCCAATAATATATCAGCCTTTTTCTAGAGAATAAAAAAACTGCTGAAGAACAAATCTAAGCTGAGGATAAGATCCAAAGGTTATATTCCAGATGCTCAGCTAATTTAATGAGCCAGGCTCGGTGGCTCATGCCACCCAGCACTTTGGGAGGCCGAGGTGGATGGATCAGTTGAGATCAGGAGTTCAAGACCAGCCTGGACAAAAAGGTGAAACCCCGTCTCTACTAAAAATATAAAAATTAGCCAGGCGTGGTGGCGCATGCCTATAATCCCAGCTACTTGGGAGGCTGAGGCAGGAGAACCGCTTGAACCAGGAGGCAGGGACTGCAGCGGGCCAAGATCGCGCCACTGCACTCCAGCCTGGGCTACAGAGCGAGACTCAGTCTCAAAAAAATACAAATAAAAACTAATGTAATGAGAAACCTTGCCTGCTTCGAATTTTGTATTTATGCCAGCATCTGAAAATAGAAGAGGTGAATACAATTATCTCTAAGGTCAAACTGTGAAGTAATGTGAAATGTACTAAAACCAACCAGGACTCCAGCAGATAGTGTTATAGGCTAGCATAGCATAAGAGGAAAGGACATGGACTTTTTGAATCCTGCAGACGGGCACTCGAATCTCCGCTTACTAGCTGTGTGGTTTTGGTAGCCACAGTGAGAATTAACTCACACTGAGAAGCACGACCATTGTACACTGAAAATAATGCTAACCTATTGTGAGAATGAAAGGCTAACATTTACATTCTTTTTTTTACATAAAAAAGCTATTATAATTTCAATATTCTATCAACAAATAACTACCTTGCCAAAATCCTTCCAACAGCTAACCACTGCAATCAGAAGAAAGTCTAAACTCTGCATGGAAAAACTACAAGGTCCCACAGGATCTGGCTTCTGCCTACCTCTCTAACCTCATCTCCTCTCTCTCTTGTTCACTAAGTCGTAGTCAGGCATTCCCTCTGCTTATTATTCCCTCTGCTTATTATGCAGCCCTGCATTGCCAGTTCAACGCATCTGGGTTCAAAGCCTCAGAAAGCGTCCTGACCATCCAAAATCCTTAACCTATACTAATCTGCATTCTCTACCCCCGATTACATTCTTTCATATCCTCTTTCGTGTTCTGAAATTGTTCACTGTCAACTTCTTTCCCATTGGTCTCTGTAAACTCCCTAAAGGACAGGACTTTGTCTTTTCAACCCTGAATCTCCAGGATCTAGCCCCAGGGCCAGGTTAGGGTGAGGCAAGGAAGCACAGGCCTCAGGTGCGTTTACGGGGATGAAAAAAATTTAAGTCATCAAGAGTGACACTATTTTAACATTTTTAAAAATGAAAAAGGCAAAAAACCCATGATGAACTAATTATCAAAATTTTAGGTAAAGACAGGATCCACCCAGCACTTGTATGATTCATCCTAATCCTGGCCGCGCCCCACAACTAATTATCAAAATTTTAGGTAAAGACAGGATCCACCCAGCACTTGTATGATTCATCCTAATCCTGGCCGCGCCCCACCGGACTCGTCACTAACGGTACTGAAAACTGACTACAGCCAAGAACTCACTCCGAGGCTGCAGAAAGGCACCAGAGGGAAACAGCAAAGGAGGATTCGCCGTTTTGGAGTTCACATCCCGTTGCTTCACTGGGCTGTAGCCATAAAGCTGAGTTCAGGGAATGCACTGCCCTACTTAAGTGCATATTCAAATTGTGAAAAGTTAAGCATCACTAATACTCCGGTACACTTTCATACTGACGTCCATGCCAGCCATCACTAAAAACTCCCTTGGCCACGGGGGTCCAGCCCAAGAGGGCGGGCACTTCTATTTATTCTTTTTTTGGGAGCAGGACTACTGTCTCCTACACCTGGCCCTTTAAGGAAAGGAACAAAAACCCAGGGGAGCGTAGCTGCACACTCAGTAAACTTAACGTTCCTATAAACCAGTAGCGTCTGAAGTGTGGTTGAAAATACAAATAAACGCGCTTGCAAGGAAGAAGTGCCTCGGTCCTACCCTCGGCCCCGCCGGAAGGCCCTGGGAGATGCAGCCGCAGGTCTCCTGCTACAGCCGCTGGGGAAGGCCGCACAGCCTCCTCGCCCACCCCGGAGGAAAAAATCGCGGGGGACTCCAGTGCGCAGGCGCCGACCCGCCAACTCCGCAGCCACAGCCCGCCAAGGCGCCTGCGCAGAGGCGTGGGTCAAGGGGAGGGTCGAGTTAGGAGGGAGAGCAGAGCGCGCGCGTAAATCCTAGAGAGGCGGGCTAAGCTGGACTGGGGGGAGGGTCCGTCTTCCGGAAAGTCTGGATTCCCGGACGAGCCGAGTTGCTGCTCACCGAACTCCCGTTCGAGAGATGATCGAAGAAAGTCGGCTACCATTTGTACCCATCAAAGATCTCCAGATGGAAGCCAGCGCTGAATTTGGGCTGAGATTAGGACTTGCAGGAGGCCGGTCCAGAAGACGGCGGAAGGAATCTTGGCGGGCGCACGCATGCGTGATAGACCCTCCACACGTGTGGCCGGGCCGCGGCCTCCCCGTGCTCGGAGGTCCCGCCCCCGGCCGTAGCATCTTTCCGGACGTGGGGAGCCGGTAAGCTGGAAGGGGGCTGGGCTTCGCGGCTCGGCCCCGCCTCGGCAGCCTCCAATTGGGCGCGGACGAGGGCGCCCCCACCCACTGCCCTCCTATTGGTGCGCGCATGCAAGCGACGCGTCTCATTGGACCGCGCGGATTTAGGCACCAAATTCAAAGATTTTAAAAGTACCAGCTGGCGCCTTTTAAGAGATACAGGTCTGTGAAGCAGGCAGGTTGCTCAGCTGCCCCCGGAGCGGTTCCTCCACCTGAGGCAGACTCCACGTCGGCTGGCATGAGCCGGCGCCCCTGCAGCTGCGCCCTACGGCCACCCCGCTGCTCCTGCAGCGCCAGCCCCAGCGCAGTGACAGCCGCCGGGCGCCCTCGACCCTCGGATAGTGAGTGAGGGGAGCGGTCGCGAGGGGGGCGCGCACGCCAGGAGGGGTGCACGGGGAGGGTCGCAGCCTGAGACCCTGACCCGACGTCCCTCGGAGCCTGGACGCGCGGCCATGCCACACGCCCGGCCTCGGGCGGCGGCAGCGGTTCCTGGGTCCGGGAGGAGGGCGGCTGGGTGTCGGGGGGAAGCCAGAAGAGCCAGATGTGCAGGGGCGGGATGGCGGGCCGCGGGGTCCCGCCACCCACGCCGACCGTGGACTCCAGCCCCGGGAGGTGCGGGTCGTGGCATCCCAGGGCGCCCTTTTTCCTCCTCGGAAGACCCACCTACCCCACCCTGCTTGAATAGGCGCCAAATGCCCCTCCCCTCCCCCACCCCGGGGCCCCCGGCGGTGACAGGGCTGCGAGCGAGAAGCCCCCAGGGCCTGGCCAGGTGCCTCACCTTCTCCCCCTGCGCCCCTTTTCTACATCTGCCCCGCACCCTCACAGCCAAAGGCAGTTTCCCCGATTTTTCGCGGTCCCAGCCTTGCTGGCGGGCGCGGGAGATCGCGCTCGCGGTTATCTCCCGCCTCCTCCGCGTGTCCCGCGCCCTGAGGGGCAGCCCCACCGATCCCTCAGGAGTTCCAGGGTCTCCCTCCCCACTCCCGCCAAATGGAGAGACACCCCCCCAACTCATTGGACCAAACTCAACTGGGACATCCAAACAAAAACGTTACTTTTTCCCAATTTTTTCTCCCTTTGCCCGTTAACCCAGTCTCAGGGCCTGGAGTGGAAAGGGAAGACTTTAAAAAAAGCAATTTTTACTACGAACCTTGAATTTGTCCATAGTATTAAGATGATTTTGTAAGAATCGAAGAATTGGTGACTTTTTCCCGATAACTCATGAAGAATTAGATAGTCCTTTATTTCAAAGCTTGCAGAGAATGGAATGCACTCAAATGCTTATTTTTATCCTCTTTGTTGCTACCTCTAAATAAAATCTATATGCACTTATTTTTACCTGAGAAATAACCCAAAATGAAAAAATTTAGCAATTCGGCATTGTACTATTTTGTAATGACTCTATTATTAAAAAAGAACTCTAGAAAAAAATACTTAATTTTAATTTTAATAGATTAAATATATTTCTAGAAGATCCTGGATCGTCAGTCTACCATCGAAATTCTGAAGCTTGATGGCCTTATGAGGGTTTTTTTTTTTTCTTTTTTGATAACTCTAATTGTCTTTACTACCTTGCTCCTCAGAAAGAAATGACTGCCTGTTGGAATTTTTTCCCCAGTTTACAGGTTTGAGGAGATGAAATTAAAAATACATATATGTTACTTCCAAGTAGTTTTCAAAGGAGGCTTTTGTAAAATTTTCTCTTAAAGATTACTTTATGGTCACAAGCATTGGGCCTCTTAAATTCTTAAGGAATAGCCATGCCTAACGTTGACCACATGGTCGTTATCTGTAGGTATTAGAGACTGGAACTTAATTATTTAACAGAAGAGTTACAAAGATTTTTAAGGACTGCAGCCTTATTTATGATATTTGATATGGAGGATCAGGTCTATATTGAAAAGTTAAATGTAAGATCAAACATTGTAAAATTTACTTTTCTCTATATGACTGGGCTGGGAGTTGGTAAATGAGAAGTTTAAACAATGCCATGTATGAGTCTTATTAGTGTCTGCACTTGGGGGAAAAATAGGAATAGGACATTCCAAGTTCACAAAGCTAGTCAAAAGGCTAAGCAAGGATTTTCATTCAAACTTGGATCTGATTCTTAAATCTATACATTCTAATGGAAAAGTATGTGTTACTCTGAAATATATACTTCTTTGTGAAATGTGTTTTACTACTTTCAAATGTTAATGATTGTCAATGTAAGGAATATGAAGGGATTTGGCTTATGTGATTAAAAATAGATTGTATTGACTAGACCCTTGTGATAGGGACTTTGCCTTGCATTTAGTCCTGTTTCATTGTCTTACTCCCATTTTATGGATGAGGAAAGTGAGGTTTTAAGAGTTAACTTCTTCAGTTTTCCATACTCAGTAAATAGCACTGTATACCTTCGATACTCAAGACTTAAACCCCAGGGTGTTTTTTTACTCTCCTTTTCTTCATATCCAGATCTAGTAGATTAGCAGCAAGTTGACTTTACCCTTCTAAATAACAGACCTTGAATTTATGCAGTTATTTTCATTTCCACTACAATCCTTCTAGTCTGGGTTTCCCACACTCTACTTCTGTCATAAACACTTCTAACTATTCTCTCTGCTTCTACTTACCTTCCTGCAATTCATTCTCCACAATTGCCAATGATCTTTTAAAAATGTAAACCAAATTTCTCCACTTTTGACCCAGCCTACCCCACAAATCTGCAGATCATTCTACTTCTTCAACTATAATTTTCAATAACCTCCCCCAACTCAGCCCTACAGATATTTCTCTTCCTTGAACACTCACATTTTTCCTTGCTTCCTGTGTTTCCCACCATCTGGAACTCCTCCACCAGATTTCCATAAGGTGTTCAGATCTCAGAATGTCAGCTTTGCTGAAAGATCATCCCTAATTAATATCTTTCTCTCTCCCTACCCTGTCACTGAATGGATGTTGGATAAATAAGTGAAATGGTTCAACTGAACTCTTAGCCCTCATCTGTTTCATTCAAGAGGTTATGAAGCCATATAATGTTTTCTGTCTTTCTGGATAATAATTATATGAATACTTCACATATTTCCCAAATTTGGCCTGGTCATTGGAAAACACTTAGCTAGTTAAAAGGAATGGATTTAACCTTTTGCAAACAGTTGCTTCAGCTTCCATTTTTATAAAATATGATGCTATTCTATTTCTTCTGCAGTATTGTTATGGAAATGAAAAATACATTAATTTCATATTTTAAAATTAAATCTACAACCAACATCCAGATTTCACTCTCATTTAATACCTTTTTCCAAAAAAAAGGAAACCACAGTGCTTGGAGAAATGACTGATTCTAGGGCTGAAACGGAAATTATAAGATGCACTTAGAGCATCTTGTAGTCCCAGAAAGTAAGGGATGTTCAAAACACAAAATGATTTAAGTATGTGAAATGGACACCAATGTCAACTGCAAGAGCTCACAATAGCAAAAGCTGGAACAATTTGAGCAATACAGTAAATAGTATTGGATTATAACCCAAAGTCTATGAGTTTATACTGATATAAATGATTGGTAGTATGAATAAATAGGAGATTAATGGACAAATCTGCTGTAAAGAAGAATTCCAAATGATTTATAAATTTACTCCCCACTCCTTTAAGTGTGAGGTGTACATAGTGACTTCCTTCCAAAAAGTTTCAAATGGAAAAAGAACAAAAAGGAGTAACTTTACATTTGGAGCAAGCTCAGAAATACTACCTCAGCCAAGTAATCAAGGCTAACAACAGTTCAAATCATAGCACCTTACCTCTGGTCTAAAAACCCACAGCCCCAGACTAAGGCTGAGAAAAACTTGACAAATCCTAATTGTGGAACAGGCTACAAAATAACCAGTATTTCTCAGAGTTGTCAAGGTAATTATAAACAAGGAAATTGTCATAGTCAAGAGGAGCCTAAGGAGATATGATGACTAAATGTAATGTATCCTGGATAAGACCCGGGAACAGAAAAAAGATTTTAGGTAGAAACTACAGCAGTCCACATAAAATAGGGATTTTAGTTAATAATGCAACAATATTGGTTAATTTGTTGTGACATGCATTACTGTTAGTAATATAAGTTAAGCAATGGGTGTACAGGAATTCTGCACTATCCTTGCAGCTTTTCTGTGAATTCAAATAAGTTTATTAAAATTCTTTTAAAATACTAAACCTTTTTTTTTCTTTTTTCTTTTTTTTTAAGACAGGGTTTCCCTCTGTCTTCCAGGCTGGAATGCAGTGGTATGATCACAACTCCCTGCAGCCTCAACCTCCCGGGCTCAAGCAATTCTCCCGCCTCAGCCTCCCTAGTAGTTGGTACCAAAGGCACATGCCACCATGCCCAGCTAGTTTCTTTTTTTAATTGTTGTAGAGATGGAGTCTCTTTATGTTGCCCAGACTGGTCTGAACTCCTGAGCTCAAGCAGTCCCCCAACCTCAGCCTCCCAAAGTGTTGGGATTATAGGCATGAGCCACTGCACCTTACCTAAATACTAAATCTAATTATCCATGTGAAAATACTGTTGTTGCAAGAGGAACGTGGTAGTCATTTTAACTCCTTAAGTGCTAATTTCGTGAGGAAGAGTACAGATTCTAATGTTGGTATTAGCTAACAAAAAAAAATGGGAAACACATTTTTATATCATATGTCTTCATTGTGTCAGGCACTGCCATTTGCTTGGATTTTGTCATAAGCAGTAACAGTTATGTCTGGCCTTTAAGGAAATTAAAGTACTTTTTAAAATTTCAATTTGGTAGTGCTTTAGAGTAGAGTTTGATGAGGTCTGAGAAGTCCCCCGCCCCCCCCCCCCCCCCAAAAAATGAAGCTCTCCATGATTAATGGATTAGAAGCTAAATAAGCAAAGGAAGTGGAAAAGATTCTAAGCAGGGAAAGGCATGATGTACAAAGCCCCTGGGATGGAAAGGTCATTGTTACTAAGGACTGGAAAAGGGCCAGCTCACATGAGAAAAGAAACGTACACATTTTCTTCTTTAGTACCTTAAGTGCGCTTGCAACATAAATTCTGACTTTTCTATCATTTTTATAAACAGTATGAATGTTATTTGTAAGATCTGTTTTTCCAGAGCACCTCATTATAATGAGGAAGAGAAATCTGGCTCATTTAATTAACTGCCTGTATTGGGCAAACTAAGCTACACTTCAGTGTGCTCAATTGTAAAAATAACAATTCCCCATCCTACCTCAAAAGGTTTGTAAGCATTGGAAATTGCAAACTTCTAAACAAATATAAAGGATTTGCATCATTATTAGCTCTAATTTTAAGGAACTGTCCATATTCAAAGAACAGTGTTGAATGAAAGAGGTTCTATAGGACAACCCCCCAGTAACTGTTCTAAAGACAGCAGAAAGAGAATGACTTTGAATTCCTGAAGTATTTTCAGGCCTTTTTGGTTTAGGCAGCTAAACAAAGCAGAGTGTGCCCTTCATAAGTGGCTTCTGCTTTTTTATCCTGTCATGTAAATTGTGGTCATATATAAATCAAACCTAATTCTTTAGTTGATTTGAGGCAAAAATAGAGGCAATCTCTTGGCATTTTTTACTTTTCCTCTGAATAAAACTAAACCACTCAGAATCATTTGTTCTAGGTTTAGGGTTAATTAGGGAGCTAGAATTTGTATATTCTTTGCTTTTTATGCAGCTGAACCCTTAATTTTAGGTTTAGTAGGATCCTGGAGCACATACTATGTGTCTTTCACTGTATTAACATTGGGAATTTACAAGCAGTTTCTCTCTACAAGTTACTTTCTATGAAGGTATCCATTTCTACTTTGAGTTAAAAAGTTTTGCTCTATGTAAAAAATGGTTAAGTTTTATATGAACGCATTACCAATATTTAGTGCAGACTAAACATACTGATGCTGTATACATTTACTTACAGGATAAATTGTTAGCTATATATGATTGGCTTGTGTGGGGATGGTAGATGGGGCACATTTTAACCTGGCATTTAAGATTCAGGCTTTCTTAGCTCATGTCCCCATTGTTTGCCTACTCTTACTCTCTGCCTTCAACAATGCTAAACAGTTTTCTGAACCCATCTACCATATTCCTTCCCAGCATTGTGCCGTTGCTCAAATTGTGAATGCCCTTCCCAGGCCACTGTTGTCTGACAAAATCCTAATCATTTTTTAGAGTTGTGGTTCTCAACTGAAGAATAGAGGAAATTTTGCATCTGGCCTTTTTCCCTGCCCAGTATTTGGCAATAACTGGTAACTGGAGACATTGCATCTTGGGAGTGGGGGCTGCCACTGGTGTCTAATGGGTAAAGGCTGCTTAACATCCTACAATGCACAGGACAGTCCCTGAGAACAAAGAGGTATTCACTGCAAAATGTCTGTAGCACAGGGATGGTGAAATCTTGCTTTAAAGCTATCTTAAGATGCTGCCTGCTCCATTGTGTCTTAACTGATTTCTTAGATCCCGGGGGTTGGAGCAGGGTGGTAATAAAACCCTGAACAAGTCTTTCCCTTTTTTCTATTTATCATTAATAGCAAGTTTATCTTAAGTTATTTAAAGCAATTGAACAGTAATTTACACCTGCTGCCCTATCACTCATATTCTTAAATCTGGTTAATTGATTAGAGTGTCATTCTTATTTACCAACACTTACTTTTGATTGATAGCAGAACTATTCATACTTACGGTTCTTTGGTAAATTAGTCGTGGAATGTCTTTGTTCAGTGATTAAAGAGCAGTTTCCAGCACATATTAGACAAGGTACAGGGAGATGTCCCGGTACTCGAGTTTACTATCCAGTAAGGTAGACAAACGCTTTGAATATATTAGAAGGTCACCAGGAGCACCCATCAGAATAAAACTTGGAGATAAGAGCTGTGGGAATTCAGGTAGACTTTAATTTATAGATGTTTAAATGTGTTATTAGTTCTTTTCTCCAAGCTACCTATAGATTTCTTGAATAGTTATTTTAAGGCTTGCAATCATTGTTAATAGTGAAATAATACACAAAATTTTTATTATTTTTATCAAGATTATTCCCACCCTTATACCTTGTCCTCCTGTACTAATCTTAACCACTTTTGCTGTCAGTGGCTTGGGTTGTGCTTACGTCAAAGAGAACCATAATGTCATTTCAAGTCCAAGGAATAAACACTGAATCTAAAAGTATTTGTGGTTACTTTAAGGATAACTTTGACCATAGCGCCTACTCTTTTGATACATCACATTTCTTCATTTGTTCCATAAACACAGATGTTTATTATATAGCCCCTTTTTCCACTATTTTTTACTCAATCAGTTATAGACAACAGTCAGGTGTTACAGCCAGGCAGATCCAAAAGCAGTCTGTTCTGAAGTGCCTTCTCAAGAATAATATAATATGTATGTACTTATAAGATTTAAGTAATATTTTCACATATTATTGTCATATCAATAATTAAACTTGAATAACATCACAGCTATGTAAGCAAGTACATGTAGACAATACCTAATGCTGAGAGATTGCAAAGTAATCTTTGTATATCCCAATTTAAGAAGTAGGGATGTGTGGAAATTTTGCCATTAAGATGTAAATGTTATGTTCTTTTTATAGGTTGTAAAGAAGAAAGTTCTACCCTTTCTGTCAAAATGAAGTGTGATTTTAATTGTAACCATGTTCATTCCGGACTTAAACTGGTAAAACCTGATGACATTGGAAGACTAGTTTCCTACACCCCTGCATATTTGGAAGGTTCCTGTAAAGACTGCATTAAAGACTATGAAAGGCTGTCATGTATTGGGTCACCGATTGTGAGCCCTAGGATTGTACAACTTGAAACTGAAAGCAAGCGCTTGCATAACAAGGAAAATCAACATGTGCAACAGACACTTAATAGTACAAATGAAATAGAAGCACTAGAGACCAGTAGACTTTATGAAGACAGTGGCTATTCCTCATTTTCTCTACAAAGTGGCCTCAGTGAACATGAAGAAGGTAGCCTCCTGGAGGAGAATTTCGGTGACAGTCTACAATCCTGCCTGCTACAAATACAAAGCCCAGACCAATATCCCAACAAAAACTTGCTGCCAGTTCTTCATTTTGAAAAAGTGGTTTGTTCAACATTAAAAAAGAATGCAAAACGAAATCCTAAAGTAGATCGGGAGATGCTGAAGGAAATTATAGCCAGAGGAAATTTTAGACTGCAGAATATAATTGGCAGAAAAATGGGCCTAGAATGTGTAGATATTCTCAGCGAACTCTTTCGAAGGGGACTCAGACATGTCTTAGCAACTATTTTAGCACAACTCAGTGACATGGACTTAATCAAGTAAGTACTGTTTTGAATATACATATTAGCATAATACACTGAACATTGCTGTTAGTGGCTCAGTACCACCAGCTCATGCAAAGGCTGTTGTACAGGTTGAGTGTCCCTCATCTGAAATGCTTAGTACCAGAAGGATTTCAGATGTTTTTCAAATTTTGGAATATTTGTATTATACCCTACAGGTTAAACAGTTGAACATCCCTAATCCAAAATCCGCAAGTGCTCCAATGTGCATTTCCTTTGAGCATCATGTCAGCATTCAAAAGTTTTCAGATTTTTGGATTAGAGATGCTCAACCTGTTGTAGATAACCTTACAATGTTGTTTAATTGCGGTAATGACTTGCTGGTGTTTTGCTACCTATGTGCCACTAAGATGAAAGAAAACTTGAATTATGCATTTAACCTAGTCATTTCAAATTTTATATTCATGCTATTACAAAACTATTTCTGTTGGATTAGGATCCTTGTTCCTTTTAGTTTTGAAATTTCTAATATGTAAGTTACATCTTTGGGGCTTAACTGTAAAACAGCCTAGTTCCAGTCTACATGTCTAATAGGCATTATGACTTGTCACACCAGAAAGTATGAAGTAATTTTTGTTCTTTCTAAGCCATTTTTGGTGCTAGGGCTCTCCTAGATTTGACAGTGATGAAAATATAAAGATCCACAAATAGAGATTTGTGACTTTTTTTTTTTTTTGAGACAGGGTTTCACTCCAGTCACCCAGGCTGGAGCGCAATGGTGCAATCTTGGCTTACTGCAACCTCCACCTCCCAGGCTCTGTTTATGACAATTTCTTAGAAACCTGGTGCTAACCACCATTTCTTTCTCAATCTACCAAGGAAAATCACTTAGTCAGATAACTTTGAGAATTAAGGTGATTATGCAGGCTAGAATTAGATAGGACTTAACTGGAGTTGTTTTTTTTTTTTTGGCTTTTTGAAAAATTATCTAGAGGTACTCTTTGCAAGTGTGAGTTTACACTGGTCTTTATGAAACAGAGCTAAAGCAAAACAGATATAAACAGCTTCTTTTTTTTTAATTTTTTTTGGGGACGGAGTCTCGCCCTGTCACCAGGTTGGAGTGCAGTGGCACGATCTCAGCTCACTGCAACCTCTGCCTCCCGGGCTCAAGTGATTCTTCTGCCTCCTGAGTAGCTGGGACTACAGGCGTGTGCCACCACGCCCAGCTAATTTTTGTATTTTTAGTAGACACAGGGTTTCACCATGTTGGCCAGGAGGGTATCTCGATATCTTGACCTCGTGATCTGCCTGCTTCAGCCTTCCAAAGTGCTGGGATTACAGGCATGAGCCTAAACAGCTTCTTGAGGGACAGTCAAATCAGTACCACAGATTCTACTTTTTCTGTTAACATAGTGAGTTTCTAAAGTTGATTTCTAATAGCAGTGTGCCTAGAGTACTTTGAAATTTGTCTATTACTTTTACCAGATAGCTAACATGGTATCATATATACAGTGGGGGCTACTATTTGATGTTTGCAGATATTGTGAAAAAATACTGTACAAAGCAGTGGTTCTTAAGCCTCAATGCACTCAGAATTACTTAATGAGGAGGGAGCTTTTTAAAAATACAGAGCCCTGAGCTTCATTTTAGACCAGTTAAAACCGCCAGGCAATTGTAATGTGGTCAGGTTTGAGAAGCACTAATAATATAAAATATCTTTTTGCACTGCTGATGTTTTTCTACTGTATTCATCTTAGCTCTTTGTGATGCTTTAATTATTTCATTTATGGTGATTTACTTTTCCAGTGTGTCTAAAGTGAGCACAACTTGGAAGAAGATCCTAGAAGATGATAAGGGGGCATTCCAGTTGTACAGTAAAGCAATACAAAGAGTTACCGTAAGTGTTTGCAGATGATGTTTTTAGTTAAAAATGCACTGTTAGTGCTCTTCTAGAAATAGAAAAGAAAAGAGGTAATCTGGAAACCCTTCTTTACAGTCATAAAGTATTTCAGCCTTATACTGGAACTTAGAAACCACATTCAAAAATAAAGAAATCTCAACTCAACATTTATTTCTTGGATTCTTCCTAGAAATAGAATGTCTAAAGTAACAAAGGGAAAATTACTCATTTCTCAGATAGAGTCGACCATTTAGTCAATCTTAGTTGCCAGTTGTGTGTATGTGTATTTTATAACATCTGGAAAATTTGGAAAAGCTGTTTTACTTTTTAGGTATTAAGTACCATATAGACTGCATCTAAAGTGATTTCCCATAGTATTTGGTTCACAGTTTCTGTCTATAAGTTAGGCTTGATATGTGTGAGTATTTAGGTTTTGCTTTGTTTAAGTACGTGCAGGTAAATTGCATGTAGGGATAAGTCTCTTACCTAATCTTGTTTGTCATTTCTTATATGTACAAACATAAAAATGTCTCATTGAGGATACAGGAAATAATTTCTAAATTCTATTAAAACTTTTTTTTAAATTAGGAAAACAACAATAAATTTTCACCTCATGCTTCAACCAGAGAATATGTTATGTTCAGAACCCCACTGGCTTCTGTTCAGAAATCAGCAGCCCAGACTTCTCTCAAAAAAGATGCTCAAACCAAGTTATCCAATCAAGGTGATCAGAAAGGTTCTACTTATAGTCGACACAATGAATTCTCTGAGGTAATTTTTTGTCTAATCATAAATCTTAAAACATAAGAGATTTAGAGTAAGAAATGTAAAAGAACTTTCAAGGTCAAAATGTAACTTTGCTCTAGATAATAACTAATTTATTCTCTGACATTAAGAAACCTGATATTAATGATCATTTAAATTTAATTATAGTATAATTAGAACTATTAGGGATTTCATTAGTGTCCTCTTCATTTCGCTCTCAATGTGGAAAACAAAAGAAACATGAAATTAGGAAAGTACGTAGAAATGTATTTCTATGAATATTAGGTACTGCTTGGCATTGTTTGAAAGTTCAGTGATTTTGAGTTCTAATTTAGAAACACTGAAGAAATAATGAAAAACCTAGATTTCTTATAAAATTACTCAGTACTACATTTTGCATTTTCCGCTTTTAAGAACCGAGGAAGAGAGTTAAGTGGAAAAAGGCAAGCTTTCTGAACTTGAAGGCCTTCTATTATACCTTCAGATCAGTGAATGATGTGTGCTAAAATTTCTACTCAAATGTAGATAACTTTGCAAGCTTAATTTAGATAACTTACCAAAATTATAGAATATTTTCTGATTCATGTTGATCAGTAAATATAAATCCTACATAATAAAACTATTCTTAAATTTTATGCCATAATGACTAATGCAACATACAGATTTATTCAAAAAGCATTTATTGAGCATCTATCAGATAATGCATAGATAAAGGGCAATAGTTAGGGCAGTAGTTATCGTATGTGTGACAGTGATATTTCATACATGAATTGGGGAAGGTGCAAGGGTGTCCTTGGTTTTATTAACTAAAGTACATGTAATTCTTGCTGAAATTTGTTAATGGGTTTTTTTTTTCTTTTTAGGTTGCCAAGACATTGAAAAAGAACGAAAGCCTCAAAGCCTGTATTCGCTGTAATTCACCTGCAAAATATGATTGCTATTTACAACGGGCAACCTGCAAACGAGAAGGCTGTGGATTTGATTATTGTACGAAGTGTCTCTGTAATTATCATACTACTAAAGACTGTTCAGATGGCAAGCTCCTCAAAGCCAGTTGTAAAATAGGTCCCCTGCCTGGTACAAAGAAAAGCAAAAAGAATTTACGAAGATTGTGATCTCTTATTAAATCAATTGTTACTGATCATGAATGTTAGTTAGAAAATGTTAGGTTTTAACTTAAAAAAAATTGTATTGTGATTTTCAATTTTATGTTGAAATCGGTGTAGTATCCTGAGGTTTTTTTCCCCCCAGAAGATAAAGAGGATAGACAACCTCTTAAAATATTTTTACAATTTAATGAGAAAAAGTTTAAAATTCTCAATACAAATCAAACAATTTAAATATTTTAAGAAAAAAGGAAAAGTAGATAGTGATACTGAGGGTAAAAAAAAATTGATTCAATTTTATGGTAAAGGAAACCCATGCAATTTTACCTAGACAGTCTTAAATATGTCTGGTTTTCCATCTGTTAGCATTTCAGACATTTTATGTTCCTCTTACTCAATTGATACCAACAGAAATATCAACTTCTGGAGTCTATTAAATGTGTTGTCACCTTTCTAAAGCTTTTTTTCATTGTGTGTATTTCCCAAGAAAGTATCCTTTGTAAAAACTTGCTTGTTTTCCTTATTTCTGAAATCTGTTTTAATATTTTTGTATACATGTAAATATTTCTGTATTTTTTATATGTCAAAGAATATGTCTCTTGTATGTACATATAAAAATAAATTTTGCTCAATAAAATTGTAAGCTTAATGTATACCTTTTATAAACATTGTAATCCTGGAAACAACTGAATTAGGAAGCTGCAGTAGACTGCGTTTGTGTGAAGGCATTGAATGGATTTTTGTGATGGTTTTTCTGGGGAGCTTGTGAGATTTTTGGGCAGTACCCTGATCCCGGTTTTTCCCACTTAATAGCTTAATTCAGTAGTTGTGGGGTTGGGTCTTGAGATAAACATCTCGAGATGATTCAATACAGGAAGGCCATAAAAGACACTGATAAATACTGATGTGCTAATTTGTCTATCACTAAACCAGCTGAACTATGGATTAAATAGCACCCCATCCCCCTCAAAAAGCTAGAAGGATTTAAATTGTATAGAATAAGATGCCATCTTGGCTGCAGTCAAACATTTGTGCTAATAACAAGAGCCCAGAACAAGGATGTCTTTATTCCTTAATTCCAAAGTTAGTTATGTTTCAGTTTCAATTACGAATATGGGGAAATCCTAAGAGGCTGAATTCAGACTAGGCCCTCCAAAGATTCAAGGGTGGGCCTCGGATGCTATCAGTTGGGCCCCAAAGATGTTTAAGGGCTTTGCCTTTCGTCTCAACAAAAACCTAAGGTAGAGGGTCCCTCCTGTCAACTCCCAGGCAATCACTGATCTTTGTCACTGCAGACTTTTCAAGGATTTTCTATAAATGGAGTCAGTTTGCTTTCACTGAAGGCTATTTTGACACTCATCTGTGCGTGTGCATCAGTAGTTAATGCTCTTTTCTTACAAGGCAGTATGCTGTTGGATATACCAGTTCACCAGTTGATGGATGTTTGGCTCTTTACTCCATTTCCTGCTGTTACAAGTAAGGTGCTGTCAGTGCAATCAAATTAGAACTCAGGATTAAGAAACTCACTCAGAACCGCACAACCACATGGAAACTGAAAAATCTGCTCCAGAATGACTACTGGGTGAATAACGAAATTGAGGCAGAAATAAAAATGCTCCTTGAAACCAATGAGAACAAAGACACAACATACCAGATTCTCTGGTATCATTCTCTGGACACATTTAAAGCAATGTATAGAGGGAAATTTATAGCACTAAATGCACACAGGAGAAAGCAGAAAGATCTAAAATTGATACCTAATATCACACCTAAAATAACTAGAGGAGCAAGAACAAACAAATTCAAAAGCTAGCAGAAGACAAGAAAGAACTAAGCAAAACTGAAGGAGATAGAGACACGAAAAACCCTTCAAAAAATCAGTGAATCCAAGAGCTAATGTTTTCAGAAGATCAACAAAATAGACCGCTAGCCAGACTAATGAAGAAAAGAGAAGAATCAAATAGACGCAATAAAAAATGATAAAGGGGATATCACCACCGATCCCACAGAAATGCAAACTACCATCAGAGAATAAACACCTCTACACAAATAAACTAGAAAATCTAGAAGAAATGGATAAATTCCTGGACATACACTCCCTCCCAAGACTAAACCAAGAAGAAGTCGAATCCCTGAATAGACCAATAACAAGTTTTGAAATTGAGGCAGTAATTGATAGCCTACCAACCAAAAAAAGTCCAGGAAGGGACAGATTCACAGCTGAAATTCTACCAGAGGTACAAAGAAGAGCTGGTACCATTCCTTCTGAAACTATTCCAAACAATAGAAAAAGAGGGAATTCTCCCTAACTCATTTTACGAGGCCAGCATCATCCTGGTACCAAAACCAGGCAGAGAGACAACAAAAAGAATTTCAGGCCAATATCCCTGATGAACATCAATGCAAAAATCCTCAATAAGATACTGGCAAACTGAATCCAGCAGCACCTCAAAAAGCCTATCCACCATGATCAAGTCGGCTTCATCCCTGGGATGCAAGGCTGGTTCAACACATGCAAATGAATAAGCGTAATCCATCACAAACAGAGCCAATGACAAAAACCACATCATTATCTCAATAGATACAGAAAAGGCCTTCAACTAAATTCAACAGCCCTTCATGCTAAAAACTCTCAATAAATTAGGTATTGATGGAACATATCTCAAAATAATAAGAGCTATTTATGACTATCCCATAGCCAATATCATACCAAATGGGCAAAAACTGGAAGCATTCCCTTTGAAAACCGGCACAAGACAAGGATGCCCTCTCTCACCACTCCTATTCAACATAGTGTTGGAAGTTCTGGCCAGGGCAATCAGACAAGAAAATAAATAAAGGATATTCAATTAGGAAAAGAGGAAGTCAAATTGTCTCTGTTTGCAGATGACATGATTGTATATTTAGAAACCCTGTCGTCTCAGCCCAAAATCTCCTTAAGCTGATAAGCAACTTCAGCAAAGTCTCAGGATACAAAATCAATGTGCAAAAATCACAAGCATTCCTATACACCAATAACAGACAGCCAAATCACAAGTGAACTCCCATTCACAATTACCACAAAGAGAATAAAATACCGAGGAATACAGCTTACAAGGGATGTGAAGGACCTTTTCAAGGAGAACTACAAACCACTGCTCAAGGAAATAAGAGAGGACACAAACAAATGGAAAAACATTCCATGCTCATGGATAGGAAGAATCAATATGGTGAAAATGGTCATACTGCCCAAAGTAATTTATAGATTCAATGCTGTCCCCATCATGCTACCATTGACTTTCTTACAGAATTGGAAAAAACTGCTTTAAATTTCATATGGAACCAAAAAAGACCCCGCATAGCCAAGACAATCCTAAGCAAAAAGAACAAAACTGAAAGCATCATGCTACCTGACTTCAAACTATACTACAAGGCTACAGTAACAAAAAGCATGGTACTGGTACCAAAACAGATATATAGACCAATGGAACAGAACAGAGGCCTCAGAAATAACACCACACAACTACAACCATCTGATCTTTGACAAACCTGACAAAAACAAGCAATGAGGAAAGGATTTCCTATGTAATAAATGATGTTGGGAAAACTGGGTAGCCACATGTAGAAAGCTGAAACTGGATCCCTTCCTTATACCTTATACAAAAATTAACTCAAGATGGATTAACGACTTAAACATAAGACCTAAAACCATAAAAACTCTAGAAGAAAACCTATGCAATACCATTCAGGACATAGGCATGGGCAATTACTTCATGAACAAAACACCAAAAGCAATGGCAACAAAAGCCAAAATTGACAAATGGGATCTAATTAAACTAAAGAGCTTCTGCACAGCAAAAGAAACTATCATCAGAGTGAAAATGCAACCTACAGAATGGGGGAAAATTTTTGCAATCTATCCATCCGACAAAGCGCTAATATCCAGAATCTACAAAGAACTTAAACAAATTTACAAGAAAAAAACCCCATCAAAAAGTAGGTGAAGGATATGAGTAGACATTTCTCAAAAGAAGACATTTATGCAGCCAACAAACATACGAAAAAAAGCTCATCATCACCGGTCATTAGAGAAATGCAAATCAAAGCCACGAGGAAATACCATCTCATGCCTGTTAGAATGGTGATCATTAAAAAGTCAGGAAACAACAGGTACTGGAGAGGATGTGGAGAAATAGAAAAGCTTTTACACTATTGGTGGGAGTGTAAACTAGTTCAACAATTGTGGAAGACAGTGTGGCGATACCTCAAGGAACTAGAACCAGAAATACCATCTGACCCAACAATCCCATTACTGGGTATATACCCAGAGAGTTATAAATCATTCTACTATAAAGACACATGCACACGTGTGTTTACTGTGGCACTATTCACAATAGCAAAGACTTGGAACCAACCCAAATGCCCATCAATGATAGACTGGATAAAGAAAATGTGGCACATATACACCATGGAACACTACGCAGCCATAAAAAAGGATGAGTTCATGTTCTTTGCAGGGACATGGATGAAGCTGGAAACCATCAATCTCAGCAAACTAACACAAGAACAGAAAACAAAACACCACATGTTCTCACTCATAAGTGGGAGTTGAACAATGAGAACACATGGACATGAGGGGAAGGGGGTGGCATCACACACCAGGGCCTGTTGGGGCTGGGGGACTGGGGGAGGGATAGCATTGAGAGGTGACAGTGTGCTGGCAGTCCTCACAGCCCTCGCTCCCTCTTGGCGCCTCCTCTGCCTGGGCTCCCACTGTGGGGGCACTTGAGGAGCCCTTCAGCCCGCCACTGCACTGTGGGAGCCCCTTTCTGGGCTGGCCAAGGCCGGAGCCGGCTCCCTCAGCTTGCGGGGAGGTGTGGAGGGAGAGGCGTGGGTGGGGACCGGGGCTGCGCGCGGTGCTTGTGGGCCAGGGCCAGTTCCGGGTGGGCGTGGGCTCAGTGGGATTACAGTGAATCTATAGACCAATTTATACAGAACTGACATTTAGCAACCTTGAGTTTTTCAATCCATTAACATAGAGTTCTTCCACTGATTTCCATATTTCAAAATCTCTCTTAGCAAAGTTTTATCTTTTCATTGTATGTCTTGTGCACTTTACATCAGATTTATCCCTGTTTTTTGTGCTATTGTAAATGGCATTTTAATTTCAATTTTCAATGATTTATTGCTAATGTATTGAAATACAATTTATTCTTATATTGATCTTGTATTCTCCAACCTTGCAAACCTCAGTTATAATTGAAAGTCTATCACTTGTTCTCTGTAGGTGATTTTTGTCTTCTACAAATAAATACAGTTTTATTTCTTCCATTTCAATCTATATGGTTTGTATTTATCTTCCTTGCCAATTTGTACTGGCTAAAACCTCCAGTAAAATAGAAATAAAAAATGTTGATGAAGATACCCTTGCCTTGTTCCAGATGTTAGGGGAAAACATTCAGAATGATGTTAGCTGTAGGTTTTTCACATATCCTCTTATCAAGATGATGTTCCATTTTATTCCTAGTTTGTTGAGAATTTTTATCAGAAATGGCTGTTGGATTTTGTCAACTTTTTTTCTCCATCAATTCATATGACCATATGGTTATTCTCTCTGGATTCGTTAATATGAATTACACTGATTGATTTTCAAATGTTAAAGCAATCTCGCATTCCTGGGGTTAATGCCACTTCATCACAATGTATTATCCTTTTTAAACATTATTATATATTTAAATATGTATAAATATATATTTGTTAAGAATTTGTATTTATATTTATGATGAATATTGGTCTGTAGCTTTCATACAATGTCTTTGGGACATATTCTTTTCTTTTCAATTTTCTGGATGTTTGTGTAGAATTGGTATTATTTCTTCTCTTACTATTGCTGGAATTGTACAAGGGAACCATCTGAGTCTGTCATTTTCTTTGTGAAAAGATGTTTGAAATACAGTTTTTTAATAGATAAAGGGCTATTCAGGTTATCTATTTCTTCTTGAGTGAGCTTTAGTAGTTTGTATATTTCAATGCATTTTTAATTTAATTTATTGTATTTATTGGAATAAAGTCATCACAATATTCTAGTATCTTTAATATTTATAGAATGTGTATTAATGTCATCTCTTGCATTCCAATATTGATAAATTCTGTCTTTTCTCCCCTTATACTGATCAGTCTGACTACAGGTTTATCACTTAGATGGATCTCAAATAACTCATTTTTGGTTTCAGATTTTTCCCTGTTTTTCCTTATAATTGATTTTTTGTTTTATTTCTTCTGTTTCCTTGTGCCTGAAGGACTTTAATTTGCCCTTTTTCTACATTCTTTTTCTGGATTCTTAAGGTAAATGTTGAGTTCATTGATTTCAGACCCTTATTCTTTCCTAATATAAATATTTAGTCCTAAAAGTTTCCTCCAAATTCTATTCTAGCGGCATACCACTAAATCTGATATTTTGTCCTTTTCTTTTTATTCATTTGTAAGTGTTCTATAATTTTCCTTTG
The DNA here is from genome assembly GCF_000001405.40 of Homo sapiens. Lineage (NCBI taxonomy): Eukaryota > Metazoa > Chordata > Mammalia > Primates > Hominidae > Homo > Homo sapiens. The sequence continues at coordinate 152,964,686 of NC_000006.12, read as the reverse complement.
GATTTCTTCTTTGATGTGTAGGTTATGTATAAGTCTGTTATTTACTTTTCCAATATTCTGGAATTGTCCATATATCTTTTTATTAACTTCTAATTTCATGGTGGTCAGAGAAAACAGTTGTGTGACTCAATTCTTACAAATTTATTGAGTATTTGTTTTTGGCCTATAATACGCTCTATGAAGGGAATATGGTGTGTTTTGCTGTTCTTTGGTAAAATGACCTATAAATATCAATTGGTTCAACTTGGTTGATAGTGCTCTCCATATCTTCTATATCCTTACTGATGTCTATCTATTTGTGCTATTATTGAGTGAGAAGTATTCAGATCCCTAGCTGTAATTGTGGATTTGTCTATTTCTTGTAATTCTATCAGTTTTTGCTTTTAAGTACAGATGCTCCTCAACAATGTGGTTATGTCTGGATACACCCACTGTTTGAACTTACAGTGTGTTTATCTGTGCACAACTTCATAAGTCAAAAAGCATACTGAATGTGTATCCCTTTTGCACATTGTAAAGTTGAAAATTTGTAAGTCAGAGGCTGTCTGTATTTTGAAGCTCTGTCATTAGTTGCATAAATATTTAAGATTATTATGTTCTCTTAGTGAAATGAACACTTTATCATTTTTAAATGACCTTTTTATCCCTGGATGTGGCTTTTCTATGGAATCTACATTGTTTTATATTAAAATAAGCACTCCAGTTTTGTTTTGTTTTTTGAAATTAATATTGGCATAGTATATTTTTTCATCCATTTTTAACTTTTTTTGTAGTTTTCTATGGTAGTGTGTTTCTTACAGACAGCATATAGTCAAGTATTCATTTATTTTTTTAATCTACTTCAAAAATGTTTGTCTTTTGAGATAATTAGACAATTTTCACTTGATGGGATTATTGATATGGTTGGATTTAAACCTACTTTCTTGATATTTGTTTTCTATTTGGTAATTGTTCTTTATTCCATTTTTTTCTCTTTTTTGCCATCTTTTGATTATTTTTATGGTTCCTTTATATCTAGTTTATTAGCTAATTAGCTATAATTCTATTTTGTGATTTTAGCTATTACCTCTGGATTTATAGTATTTCTTTTTAACTTGAGTCTAGCTTCAAATATTATTGTACCCTTTTATATATAGTATAAAACTGCCATACTATTTCTTCCCTCTAAGCTTTGTGCTGTTATCATACATGTTAGTGCAATATATATGTGTATATATATACACAAATATATACATACACTACATTATTTTTGTTTCTTTGTTTATCATCTAAGATATTTATGTAATGAGAAAGTTTTCTTATACTTGTATTTGCCCACACAGTTGTCATTTCTGGTATCTTCATTCCTTTGGGTAGAAATAAATATATTTCTATCTGATAAAACTTTCCTTGTGCCTGAAGGACTTCCTTTAATTTTTCTTATAATACAGATATGCTGGTCTTTGATTTTTTTCAGCCTATGTACATGTGAAAACATCTTTATTTTTGTCATTTTGAAGTTATTTTTAATTAACAAATGATTCTATATATTTATGGGGTACATGATGCTTTGATATATGTACACACACACACACACTGTAGAATGATTTAACATATCCATCACCTCACATACTTATCTTTTTTTTGTGGTGAGAACATTTAAAAATCTATGTTCTTAGCAGTCTTCAAATATACATACAATACATTATTATTCACTATTGCCTCCATGCTTCACAGTGGATCTCCAGAACTTATTCCTCCTATCTAACTAAGCTTTTTATCCTTTAACCAATATTTCTCCATTTTCCACCTCACTATCACCCACCCTAGTCCCTGGTAACCTCCATTCTACTCTGATTTCACATAAAAGTGAGATCATTCAGTTTGTCTTTTGTCTTTCTGTGCCTGGTTTATTTCACTTAGGATGATGTCTTCCACATTCATCCATGTTGTTGCAAGACTGCCATGTGGAAGGCAAGATATCTTTCTTTTCATAAGGCTGAATAGTATCATGCTATGTATATATATCACATTTTCTTTATCCATTTATCAGTTGATAAACACTTAGGTTGACTCCATATCTTTACTATTATGAATAATACTGAAATGAACATGGAGGAGGGAATATCTCTTCATTTCCTTTGGTAACATACTGAGAAAGATAATTGTTGAATCATACAATAGTTTTATTTTTAATTTTGGGGGGAACCTCCATACTGTTTTCCAAAATAATTATGCTAATTTACATTCCCACCAACAATGTACTAGGGTTCCCTTTTCTCCACATTTTTGTTAACACTTGTTATGTTTTATTTTTTTGATAAAGACTATTCTAGTGAGACGATATCTCATTGTGGCTTTCATTTGCATTTCCCTGATTGATTATTAGTGATGTTGAACATCTTTTCATATACCTGTTGGCCATTCACATGTCTTCTTTTGAGAAATATCTATTCAGGTTCCTACCCATTTTTTAAACTGGTTGTTTTCTTGCTATTGAGTTGTTTGAGTTTCTTAAATATTTTGGATATTGGCCCCTTATCAGATATGTGGTTTGCAAATATTTTCTCCCCATCCCATAGATAGTCTCTTCACTCTGTTGATTGTTGCCTTTGGTGTGCAGAAGCTCATTAGTTTGGTGCAATCCAATTAGTCTAATATTGCTTTTGTTGCATGTGTTTTTGGGGTTGTATCCAAAAAATTTTTGCCAAATCCAATGTTAAGAAGCTCTTTCCCTCTGTTTTCCCCTAATGGTTTTATAGTTTCAGATCTTATATTTAAGACATTAACCCATTATGATTTGACTTGTGTACTTGGGACAAGATTAAGGGTCTAATTTCATTCTTCTGGGTGTTGATATCTAATTTTCCCAACATATTGAAGAGAATGTCCTTTCCTTATTGTATGTCCTTGACAGCTTTGCTGAAAATCAGTTGACTGTAAATGTGTGGGCTCTGTTTTCTATTTCTTTGGTCTATATGTCTGCTTTTATGACAGTATGGGCTGTTTTGATTATTATACGTTTTTGGTACATTTTCAAGTCAGGTATTGTGATGCCTCCAGCTTTGTTTTCCTAAAAATTGCTTTGACTATTTGAGGTCTTTTGTTTTCCTATACAAACTTTAGGGTTGTTCTTTTCTATTTCTGGGAAAAGGTCATTTCACTTTTGACAGGGATTGCACTGAATCTGTAGATCACTGGGGTAATATGGACATTTTAACAATGTTAATTCCTCCAATCCATGAATACTGTATATATTTTCATTTGTTTTTCTCTTAAATTTATTTCATCAATGTTTTATAATATTCAGTGTATGGATCTCTCATACACTGAATGTATTTGGTTAATTTTATTTTTGGTTAAATGTATTTCTAAGTTTTTCATTAATGCTATCACAAATAGGATTGTTTTCTTGATTTCTTTTGTGAATAGTTTGTTGTTAGTGTATAGCAATGATACTAATTTTAATATGTTAATTTTGTATCCTGCAACTTTACTGAAATCAAAGCCAGTCAAGGACATTACAAAAAAAGACAATTATAGGCCAAAATCTCTGGTGAACATACATGCAAAAATCCTCAACAAAATACTAGTAAACTGAATTCAATAAGACATTAATAGGGTTATTCACCAAGTTTTTCACTTGATTTTGTGCTGCTATAACAGATTATCTGAAACGGGGTAATTTATAATGAACAGAAATTTATTGGCTCACTGTTCAGAAGGCTGAGAAGTCCAAGATCAAGGGGCTGACATTTGACAGGGACCTTTTTTGCTGCACTCTTTTATGACAAAAGGGCAAAGAAAATGCAAGAAGGCTGGGCGCGGTGGCTCACGTCTGTAATCCCAGCACTTTGGGAGGTCGAGGCAGGCGGATCACCTGAGGTCAGGAGTTCAAGACCAGCCTGGGCAACCTGATGAAACCCCGTCTCTACTAAAATACAAAAATTAGCCGGGTGTGGTGGTATGCACCTGTAATCCCAGCTACTCCAGAGGCTGAGGCAGGAGAATTGCTTGAGCCTGGGAGGTGGAAGTTTCAGTGAGCCAAGATCGTGCCATTGCACTCCAGCCTGGGGGTGACAGAGCTAGACTCCATCTCCAAAAAAAAAAAAAAAAAAGGGGGGGCAAGAGATTGAACTTGCAGCCTGAAGCCCCTTTGTAATCAACCTTAATCCACTTATAAGTGGTGGAGCCCTTATAGCCTAAACATCTTCTATTAGGTTCTACCTTTCAACACTATTAGATTGGAAATTAAGTTTCCAACAAATGCTTTTAATTAATTAATTTATTTTTGAGAGAGGGTCTCACTCTGTTACCCAGGCTGCAGTACAGTCGTACTATCATGGTTCACTGCAACCTCAATCTCCCAGACTCAACTGATCCTCTCACCTCAGCCTCCCCAGTAGCTGGGACTACAGGTGTACACCACCATGCCCAGCTAAGTTTTTGTTATGATTTTTTTTTTTGGTAGAGACAGAGTCTCACCATGTTACTCAGGCTGGTCTTGAACCCCTGGGCTAAAGCAATCCTCCCACCTTGGCCTCCCAAAATGTTGAGATTACAGGTGTAAGCAACGGTGCTCAGCCCACACATGCTTTTTTGAGGACACATTCAAACCATAGCCTTTTTGTTCCCTTGGGCCCCAAAATTCATGTCTTTCTTGCAAAATACATGCATTTCATCTAATAGCCCCCAAAAGGCTTAAATCATTCCAGCATCAACTCAAAAGTCCAAAGCCCAGAGTCTCATCTAAATAAGATATAGGCTAAAGTCAAGGCAGGATGGCAAGGAGGCAATTTACTTCAGGCATGAGCCTGTGGAATCAAGCAAGTTATGTGCTTCCAAGCGTTATGTGCTTCCAAAATACAGTGGTGGGACAGGCATAGCATAGACATTCCTGAGGCAAGATAGGTAGTCAGGGAAGTAACCATGTCTTTGGGATTCAGCGACTGCACCACAACAGCAAGCCCCACAACCATGTCCTCGGGAAGTGAAAACCACACCAATACAACAAACCCCAGGCGGAAGTACGGACCGCATATTGGCGTCGCCGAGCAACTGTGGGGGATCCCGGGGGGAAAAATCAACTGGCGCCGAACCGAGCTGAAGAAAAAGCTGATCAGCGCAGGCCGGTGTTGAACCGCAAGCAGCGTCTGAGGCACTGGGTGGTCGAAGCTGTGATAGATCAAGCGCTGATCACGCGGCACCACCTCAAGAAGCAGGCATCCAGTGCACGTGCCAACATTACTCTGTAGGGGAAGAAGCCTAGAAAACTCCTCCGGCAGATCCGGCTTGCCCAGATGGAGAAGGCAGCCATGGAGGTGGAAGCCCGTCAAAGCCAGCCAGGACTATCGAACCACAGCTCAAAATGCAAAAGAGGACAAAAGTCCCCCAGGACATAGAAATGAAGGACCTTGAAGATGAGAGCTAAACCTCTTCCACTAGAAGATTCTCAACTGGAGCCCAAAGGACTCAGTGGTTGTTTCAGAGGATGTTGACAAAAGCAGTGCCCCTTTTCACTCTCCATATTTCCTCCTTTCTAATGGCCTACTGACTTCCCCTGGAGGGATGTCTTTGGGAGAGAAGAGGGTACAGAAGAAAGATTGGAGAAGGGCCTCTCTAGCAGTCAACTCCATTTGTGATAAAACCCTGGCACTCTGGAAAACAAACAAACAAAGAGCACTCACTACTGGCTTCATAATCAAGCACAGAACTATCCTCAGTAGGAATTTTTCTTTTTTTCTTTTTTTTAGAGATGGAGTCTCGCTCTGTCGCTTAGGCTGGAGTACAATGGCATGATCCCGGCTCACTGCAACCTCTGGCTCCCAGGTTCAAGCTATTCTCCTGCCTCAGCCTCCGGAGTAGCTGGGACTATAGGCATGCGCCACCATGCCTAGCTAATTTTTGTATCTTTAGTAGAGACGGAGTTTCACCATGTTGGTCTCGAACTCCTGACCCAGTGATCCACCCGCCTCAGCCTCCCAAAGTGCTGAGATTACAGGCATGAGCCACTGTGCCTGGCCAGGAAATTTATCCTGTAGACAGTATGCACATTTTAATTTTACTTGTCCGCAGACTGACTCATTGCTCATTATAATAGTAAAAAACACACCACTGGGAGGAGATTTAAGATGTGAATGGGACCCACAGTATATAAACAAACATGTACATGGCTGGGCATAGTGGCTTACACTTATAATCCCAGCACTTTGGGAGGCCAAGGTGGATGGATCACTTGAGGTCAGGAGTTCGAGACCAGCCTGGCCAACATGGTGAAACCCCATCTCTAGCAAAAGTACAAAAATTAGCCAGGTGTGGTGGCACGTACTTGTAATCCTGGCTATGTGGGAAGCTGAGGCAAGAGAACTGCTTGAACCTGGGAGGTGAAGGTTGCAGTGAGCTGAGATTGCCCCACTGCACTCCAGCCTGGGCGACAGAGTGAGACTCCATCTCAAAAACGAAAACAAAAACAAAAACAAAGCAAGCATGTACAGCTACTGAGCATGTGTACCCAGAGAACACCTGTAATATACTTACTATTAGGCTGATGTAAAAGTAATTGTGGTTCTGCCATTAAAAATACAGCAAAAACTGCAATTACTTTTGCACCAACCCAATAGCAATGTCTTTTCCCACCCCCTTATGAATGATCATGTAAGACTTCCATAAAGAGAGTTTCCCTTGTAATAGTCAATGCTGTCTCACTCTCGAGCAGCCTACTCTGACTCAGCTCTCAGAGTGTACTATTATTGCTTTTGCACCTACCTTTCAGAATATACTTATTCTTTTGCAATATATTGCTTCATGCTGTTTATTGCTGTGTGTCTCTTGTTTAAATTCTTTTAACCTAGAAGACAAAAACCTAGGATTCACAATCACCATCAACATTCCCATTCCAAAAGGGAAAAATAAGCAAGGAGAAAGAGATAACTGGTCCCAAGAAAGTCCTAAAGCCAATGTGGTAAACAATGTTATCGATTTAATTTTTTTAGACAGGCTCTCACTCTATTGCCCAGGCTGAGTGCAGTAGCTAGATCACAGCTCACTGTAGCCTCAACCTTCCAGGCACAAGTGATCCTCTCACCTTGGCCTCCAGAGCAGCTAGAACTGCAGATGCACACTACTATGCCTAACAATTTTTTTTTTTTAATAGGGTTAGGAGTTTGTGCTATGTGGCCCAGGCTAGTCTCAAACTCCTGGGCTCAAGCAATCCACCCACCTCTGCTTCCCAAAGTGCTGGGATTATAGGAATGAGTGTCACTGAGCCAGGCCAACAACATTAAATTTTAAAGCTCCAAGAATAATCCTCCTTGACTTTATGCCCACCTTCTGGGTACACTGGGGTGGGAGTTGAGCCCCTAAGACCTCAGCTAGTCCCACTCCTATGGCTTTGCTGGGTATATGGGTTGGAGTCAGGTGACTGCAGCTATCCCAGGCTGGTGTTGCACATTGTAATTCTAGTGTCTTGGGGGTGGACCCACCTTTATAGCTCTACTAGCCATTGCCCTAGTGGGGGCTCTCGACGGTGGCTCCAGCCCTGCAACCGTCTACTGCCTGTGTTCCCAGGTAGTCCCTAATGTTCACTGAAATCCAGGTGGAGGAAACCATTCCCCCACAGCTTTTGCATTCTGCACACCTGCAGACATAACATCATGTGGATACTGCCACTTACACCTTCTGAAGCTGGAGCCAAAGCCACACCTGAACCCCTTTAAACCATACCTGGGGTGGTCAAGGAGTGCTGCATCAGAATGTGGGAAGCAGAGACTTGAGGCAGCCCTGGGAAGTAAACCCCAAGATCTTCAGCGCACCCTAGGCTCTCTTTTGCAGGATTTCCTTCCCTCAGATCATGACACTCTGGGCCTATGACGGGAGGGGCTACGCCAGTAATCTCCAAAGTACCTTTGAGGTTATTCTCCCATTGTCCTAATTAGTAGCTCTGGCTTTGTTCTATCCATACTAATCTCCTTATCAATCAATTACTTGGCCACACTCTTGGTTCCCTTTCCTGAAAATATTCTTTCATTCTCTACCACATGGCCAGGCTGAGAATTCTTCACATTCCTGTTTTGTTTTGTTTTGAGACGGAGTCTCGCTCTGTCACCAGGCTGGAGTGCAGTGGCGCAATCTTGGCTCACCGCAATCTCCACCTCCCTGTTTCAAGCGATTCTCCGGCCTCAGTCTCCCGAGTAGCTGGGACTACAGGCACATGCCACCACGCCCAGCTAATTTTTGTATTTCTTTTTTTAATAGAGACGGGGTTTCATTATATTATTCAGGCTGGTCTAGAACTCCTGACCTCAGGTGATCCATCTGCCTTGACCTCCCAAAGTGCTGGGATTACAGGTGTGAGCCACCACACCCGGCCTGGCTTCTTTCACTTAACATAATGTCTTCAAGGTCATCCGTGTTGTAGCATATGTAAGTACATCGTTTATTTTTCTAACTAAACAATAGTCCACTGTAAAGATATGCTATGGTTTGTTTATATATTCAGCAGTTAATAGATGTTTGACTTGTTTCCACTTTTTGGCTATTATGAATACTGCTTATAAGAAAATTCATATACAAGTTTTTTATGTAAACATATGTTTTCACTTTTCTTGGGTTTACCTAGGAGTGGAATTTCTGGGTCATACGGTAACTCTATGTCTAGGTTTTTGAGGAACTGCTGAACTGTTTTTCACGGCAGCACATTATTTTACATTCCCACCAGCAATGTATAAGGATTCCAGTTCTTCCTTTGCAGTTTGGATGGGTTTTATTTATTTTTCTTGTCTAATTGCTTTAGCTGGAACTTCAAATACAATGTTGAATAAAAGTGATAACAGTGGACATCTTTGACTTGTTCCTGATCATAGGGCACTCCTCTGGCTGTGCCACCATTGTATGTTGGGTATTTGAAGGACAAATAAATTATCCCTTTAGTCTATAGATTTTTAAATTGAGAGGAACCATACTTGAGGAATTGTATGTGAGGAACATACCTGAAGAGCCTCATCTATACCAGGACCTAATTTAAATATGATTCTGTCTTTTGAGTTGAAGCTATAACGGGATAATATAAGTTTTTTCCAAACTTTTGAGAGTCTGGGGAAAGGGTAAGTGTATTTTTCCTGTGAGAAGGATGTGAGTCACTGAGGACCAGAGGAGACTGTGGCAGTCAGCTTCTGAAATTGTCTCCAAAGATCCCAACCTTTTGGTATTCACATCTTTGTGTACTCCTCTCCCATGCTGTATCATCTTTGGTCTATGGGATGGCATGTCACTTTTGAGACTAGATTATAACAGACCTTGTGCTTTCTGCCTCTTTTTTTCTCTTTTGGATCACTCACTCTGCAGGAAGGTAGCTGTCAATTATGAGCAGCCTATGGAGAGGCCTACACTATGAGAAACGGAGGTCTTTGGAAGTCCTGAGTGGAGAAAAACTGATGCTTCCTGCCAATTACTAGGTCTGTGAGTCTTCTTAGAAGCAGATTCTCTAGCTCCAGGCAAGCCTTTTGGCAACTTTAGTCCCTGCTGACATCCTGAGTGCAACCTTAACTACAAAGCCGAACTGCTCCCAAATTCCTGACTTTTGAGATAGAATCTCGCTCTGTTGCCCAGGCTGGAGTGCAGTGGGGCAATCTCGGCTCCCTGCAACCTCAGCCTCCCAAGTAGCTGGGATTACAGGCATGCACCACCACGCCAGGTAATTTTTATATTTTTAGTAAAGATGAGTTTTCACTGTGTTGGCCAAGATGGTCTCAAACTCTTAACCTCAAGTGATTCACTCACCTCAGCCTCCCAAAGTGCTGGGATTATAGGTGTGAGCCACTGTGTCCAACCAACATTTGTTGTTTTAAGCTTCTAAGTTTTGGAATAACTTGTTATGCAGGAATAAATAACTAATAGGAGCGGGCCCACCCTTCTAGGAGAATTGGGCAAGAGAAAGATGAGCAGCTGTCTCACATCTATTGATTTGCTATAGTAACTAATATTGAAAAGACTAGGTCTTCCCCAGGACTCTGAGACATGTAATTGTTTGACGTGGAATTGATACTGGCTTAGGTACAGGATGACAGCCACCTTGTGGCTGTATAGAGTGTTCTTCAAAAAAGAGCTCACTCTCCCCAGGCCAAAATAGGTTTAAGACTGGTCTAATCACAAAAATGGACTATTTTGAGCTTGTTACATAAGGGAGAATGGATAACGTCTAGATGTATTTTCATGGTTCCTGTGATATATATGCTACTTTTAAAAATTATTCATTCTTTACAGAAAGTCCTTCTACTAGCTTCAAGCTTACTCAAACTTCTTTTTTTGTATTCCAGCATCCAGAGAAGACCTATGTGTTTTCTAGATTGAATTAAATAAAGTCTATTTTGAAAGATTCATTAGATGGCTTACGTTGTGGCAAGAATACATGACAAGACTCAGAAAGGTCCTTAAGCTTACCCTGGCCAAATATGGGCTGAACTTGAAGGCCAGCTCTGGAGTGACTTCTGGTCAAACCACTTACCAGGCTATGTTCTCACATGGTTATATCTGGCCATCCTAACATAGTATGGGACCAACTGGAATTTCAGATTGGTTGAGTGATTATTTAATGGCAGATACAGCTTCATTGAAGCCTTTATTCTAATGAGGAATGTTTAGGGTTGGCAGCCCTGTAGTAGCTCAGTTGGTATTTATAAATGGCGGGGATTATATTTTAGTGTTAAAATCTCAGTGTGTTCATATGCACTGGTGTTTTGTGGGTGTTCTCAGCTTTCGTCTCACACAATTCAGTGAAACAAATACCATATTAACATATTAGCACTGAAGCCTGCTTGCCATTCTCCAACGCTCATGTTAGAGTGTTATCTGGAATTCAGAAATTAGCATTTTCATGTCCTATGTCCAGAAAGTGTGTCATACCCAGTATATACAACTTGAAGACCTGCCATAAAGACTGCGTATAAGGTCTGGTGCGGTGGCTCACGCCTGTAATCCCAGCACTTTGGGAGGCTGAGGTGGGTGGATCACCTGAGGTCAGGAGTTCGAGACCAGACTGACCAACATGGAGAAACCCCGTCTCTACTAAAAACAGAAAATTAGCTGGGCATAGTGGCACATGCCTGTAATCCCAGCTACTCGGGAGGCTGAGGCAGGAGATCCGCTTGAACCCGGGAGGTGGAGGTTGTGGTGAGCCGAGATCGTGCCACTGCACTCCAGCCTGGGCAACAAGAGTGAAACTCTGCCCCCCCACCAAAAAAAAAAAAGACTGCATATAAGAGAAAGAAAAATGATAGTACCTCTACTAATTTCTTAAACTCCTAATTCTATCTTGACTGTTTGGCATTATTCTCTTTTTCCCCAATTCTGCTTCAGCAATGTAAATGCAACGCCACAAGATGGTGCTGTTATAACATCATACTTTTGAATTTGTCTATTCATGTGAAGTTGACTGTAAAAAGGGATGAAACAATATTACTGCTATTCTATTCAATGTACGTTGTCAGAATATAAAATGAAGTCTGCATGAAGTGTTAAGCTAGGATAGGAAGATATAAACAATTTATTTTTTGGTCTTGAGTACGAAAGACACAAATCTTGTTTCTCTTCGACATTTTTATCCACTGCTTATATTTAAAGTCTAGATCTGCACTATGCAATGCGGTAGCAACATGTGGCTACCACACACTTGAAATGTGGCTCTTTCAAAGCCAAACTGAGATGTGCTGTAAGTGTAAAATAAACACTACATACTGCACACAGGGAATGAAGAAAAGCAAAATCTCAGTAATTTTAAATCGACTACATGTTGAAATAACGATATGTTGGATATAGTGGAGTAAAAAAAATACTATGAGCATTAATTGTACTTGTTTATTTTTACTTTTTTTGTGTGTGGCAATTAGAATTTTCTTTTTGAGACAGAGTTTCACTCTGCCGCCCAGGCTGGAGTGCGATGGCGTGATCTCGGCTCATTGCAGCCTCCACCTCCTGGGTTCAAGCAATTCTCCTGGGGTTTCACCATGTTGACCTGGCTGGTTTCAAACTCCTGACCTCAGGTGATCTGCCCAACTCTGCCTCCCAAAGTGCTGGGACTACAGGAAAATTTTGAATTATATATGACCCACTTCTTTATGTTTCTATTGGACTGTGTTGGTCTAAGACCACACAATAAATAAGTACCAGAGGAGTCTTTCCTGGCACCGAAACCTAAATATGTCATGGTATAGTAACCTAATAGTAACCTAATACCCAGATCTCTCATAATTTTAAAAGACAAGTCAAGTTATAGATATGGAGATTGGAGGGCATTTCCTAAATAAAAGAAGGAACAGATTTCATTTGAATTGACTGTAATAGTATCCTTCCAAACTCCTACCCCTCGTGGTTTTGCAGTGACTGACTCATTTGGCTTCTGCCCTTAAACTGACAGGAAACTACTGTTATCAACAAAGGTCACCTAGAAAGTGGTCAGTAAATATTTCTGGAATGAATCAATGAATGAAAGGATGACTAGATAGATTCAGGTAGACATCTTCTCTGAGTGTGAATGGAGTGCCATTAAACTTGGCTTTGCCTCTGCATTAGAACCTGCTGTGACCTTTTCAAATGCCTTCTCTACTCACTTTCCTCAGAAGTAAACTTTTCCCTTCATCCTGAGCTTTGAAGTCTCTCAAGAATCTGTAAGTCTAGGTTTGCAAAGTTTTACTTTGCTAATGCCTCATTTGTTTTGGTTTCTAAGGCTTATATTTTGGTCCCAAATCCATTTACCTATTGGAGACAGATAGGAATGAAGATAATGGTCAAAAAGTCCAGCTACACTTTATCATTTGGTTTCCAAAGGCTTGGACTTTATATTCATGTGAGGATTAGAGAATAGACAAAGTAATAAAAAGAAGTGCCTGGTCATTAGAATGAAAGTGCAAATGGAAGAAACTATTCACTCCTTTCTTTTAAGCACTGATAGTTAAATATCCACTACATTTTGTTAATATAATTTTTTTTTTTTTGCAACAGTCTTGCTCTGTCACCCAAGCTGGCATGCAGTGGTGCGATCTTGGCTCACTGCAACCTCCACCTCCTGGGTTCAAGCACTTCTTCTGCCTCAGCCTTCTGAGTAGCTGAGACTACAGGCGCACGCCACCATGCCCAGCTAATTTTTTGTATTTTTAGTAGAGATGGAGTTTCACCATGTTGGCCAGGATGGTCTCGATCTCTCGACCTCGTGATCTGCCCACCTCACCTCCCAAAGTGCTGGGATTACAGGCGTGAGCCACCGCGCCTGGCCAATACAATTCTTTTTATGTTGACAATATGCAAAAGATAACTGTATCCATGAGTAGAAGAGGGTACATAGTCATATATTAGATATATCCGAACTTTTATTTACACACAGTACCTGTAGGATAATAGTGTCCCAAAATGTAAAGAATGATATTTTACCATTAGATATCTCTGCTTTGCAATTCTAACCTTTCCACATACTATTTAACCTTGGGCAAATTTTTAACATCTAAGAGCTTCAGTTTTCATACTTATAAAGAGAAGGCAATATTGCCTATCTGATATTATTAACAAAATGATTAAATTTGAAAATACAGATAAAATACTAATGCAATTTCTGACACAAAATAAATGAGTGTAGCTGTTGTAGATCTTTTATTAAGGCCAAAGTGTTAATGCTTACAAGTATCTGTACGTGTATGATAGTCAAAATAATGAAGTCCCTTAATACATAATTCTAGAATTTTGATAAGACTGGAATAATCTGATGCTAAATTTTCTATCTCATATTTTATTTACTTCTGAGAATTGAAAAGCTTTTTTGTCCTCAGTAGATAAGCAGAGAAAGTAAACTTACTACTAGAAAATAATTCTGTTAAAGTGTGGACTGAATGGATCTTAAAATGAATTCAAAGCTCACACTTAAAAGTTTAGAGCCATTCATTTATCTGTTTGTTTACAAAAACGCTTATTGAGTGCCTTCTATGCATAATGAACTATGCTGGGTGACGTCTAATGCAGAGTCTTTCTCAACCAGGTGTCCAGGAGAGAACTGAGCTTTCATAACCTAGTGCGTCTATTATATGTAATGAGTTAACATTTTTCCTAGGCATCTAGAATGGTACAAGTTATGTACCTTCCTTGAGGAAATTAGGAAAATTATCACGTAAATAAGTTTCTGGGTTGTATGGCCAGGTAGGAAGTCCACCTGAGAAAGTCTAGGAGGCAGGGAGAAAAACCAAAAATATATACTAATTAAAATAGAAGATAAAATGAAATAAATGCAAAATAAGCAAAATATAAAATGGAACGGAAGGAAAATTACTCCTAACAAGACGATCAGAACAAATAAATTACTGAAGGGAATCTTGAATCATGAAAATCATTGCCCTTTTTTTTTTTTCTTTCCCCTCTTTAAAATGTGCAACCTATTGTATTATGTCCTGGGATTGTTTCAGGGGTGAAATGGTCAAGAAGCTTATGTGGTTTCTGGAGAAGTGGTAAGGGCAATTGAGGGGTACACTAGCAAATTACTGTGTGAATTCAGAGTGGGAAGGCAGATGCCTTCAGAAATTCCTTTGCTACTGTGAAAAAAAGTAAATGTCATAATTTATTTTCTCCTCATACTATGAAAACCAATATCTATTTCGCTCTAAGAGTTAGGAAAATTCCATAGAAAACTTTTTTAAAGCCCTAAGAATAGGATAGCAGAAGGGAAAACTCAGGGGCGACATTAGAGATTGTGACACCCCAGAGAAAGACATGCATTAGTGACCCGAGTTCTAAACACACCTAAGTAGTTATTTATTTTTAAGGACTAGTGCTAATCTTTTTAACTAAACTTTTTTGTTTTTTCTTTTTCTTTGAGACAAGGTCTTGTTCTGTTGCCTAGCCTGGAGTGTAGTGGCATGACCATAGCTCACTGCAGCCTGAAACTCCTGGGCTCAAATGATTCTCCCATAAATTAGAAGCATTTTAAATAAGTAGGCGGTGGGCCGGGCGCGGTGGCTGACGCCTGTAATCCCAGCACTTTGGGAGGCTGAGGCGCGTGGATCACGAGGTCAGAGATCACGATCATCCTGGACAACATGGTGAAACCCTGTCTCTACAAAAAAATTAGCTGGGCGTGATGGAATGTGCCTGTAGTCCCAGCTACTTGGGAGGCTGAGGCAGGAGAATCGCTTCAACCCGGGAGGCGGAGGTTGCAGTGAGCTGAGATCGCACCACTGCACTCCAGTCTGGTGACAGAGCAAGGCTCCGTCTCAAAATAAATAAATAAATAAATGAACATTTAAAAAAATAAATAAATAAGTAGATGGTGAATTGGAGAAGGGTATGGTATAATGCTAGTGGATTTCTCTACTGAAAAATTAATTTTCTAGGACAAGGCATATAAGATCATATTCTTTCTTTCTAGATAAACTAACATTTACATAAAAGTCACACAGTCTCAGAAGATGGATGCACAAGCAATGTCCAGTGTCAACACCATCTTCCTGAGAGACCGCAATAAAGAAAGGAGAATCCCTAGCCAAAGAAGGTAGTTGAGGGTAACAGTTTCTCACTACTACAGGGAATACAGGGGATAGTGACAGAGTCATTCTGAGAATCTCTTGGCAACAAGGAGCTTGTCACTTTCGAGACCAAAGGGAAGAGGGAAGAGGACAGTAACAGTTCCCGCCCTTCCTCAGATGCCCGTATACAGGAACAGCACTAGTAACTTCATATAAAATGCTGTGCAGTCGTTGAGTTGGACCAGTCAACTTGCATTTAATGCCCATTGACTTTAATTGCTTGACTGCAAACTCTGATGAACAAAGAAATAATATATTATTCCACATAGGCTTTACCTGGAACTAAGGGGTGGGTAAGGAGTGCGGAAGTGGTTCCTAAGGCCTTAGGAGGGCATCGTCTCAGAAACCCGTGAATCTTGACAATTCTAGCAGTACAAAGAGAACGTCACATTTCCCGTTAGCAATTCATTCCTGAGAAGGTGGTGTACAGTAGATTCGTGATAATGCTTTTTGGCACGCTGATAAATATGTTTTTACTTAAAATTATTTCTACTAAGATTGCTAACACTGATATTATCCCTTGAGATTTTATCTTCAGTTTCCTTTGCACAGTTGTCACTCTGAAGGCTCTGCTGTGTGGAGTCAGCGTGCGAGGCATCTACAGCCTGCTGATTCCTTAGACTCTTGCTGGTATTCTTGTCTTGTTCCTGGAAGATTTTCCTGCCATGTTCATGAGCTTGAAAACTTTTCAAAAGCTCAGGATGTCAGTAAACTCGCCGTTTTCTGTTTCTATTGCACTTAATATTCCTTTTCATTTACTTCATTGGATTTCCACCAGAGGGCACAATAAGCCTAGCTAATCCACAGTTTAGAGCTATTCAGTACACGAAGTGTAACTTTCTGGACTTGTTTACGGTGGTTCTAATTTCATTACTCCAAGGTGTTGTGGTTAAGAGTGGGGTGTCTGAGGCCAAACTGAGTTTGGATCCCAGCTCTGCTATTTGCTAGCTCTGTGATCTTGGAGAATTCCTTAATTTCCTTTCTGAGTAAGTGTTCTTCTTGTAAAATGAGCATACCAATCTTCCTTTTGGGCTGCTGCGAGGATTACATGAGTTTAGACACATATCCAAAGTACTTGGAATATGTCTGGCATATAATAAAGCACTAAGGATAAATGATCTCAAATTTTAAGAAAATGACAGTTTTACTTACCTGGGAGTTACTTGGAAAGCATCAAAGAGTTGAAAGCTACTAAATAGAGAGAGTGTTAGGCGTGTGGCAAGGGCTACTTAATGTACATCATTTCTATCCAAGAGATATATGAGGAAGAAGTCTATGTTCATTTGCTCACTGATTCATCCCAAGTGCTAGAACAGTGCCTAACACATGGTAGGTGCTCAATAAATATGTTTTAAATGAATGGAAGATAACTTTATTAACTCATGTATACAGGTAAGAAAAATGGAGACTCAGGAAGTTGATAAAAGTTGCCCAGGGTCATACAAGTAAGTGAAATATGTTGTACTTTCACCCAAATCTATCTAATTGCAGACCAACTTTCTTTTGACAGGGTTGAAGAAAATGAACTTTTGGTTGACTCTCATAAGTGAACTGCCTGGCTGAGTTTTTCTGTTAGGAGTGAGACTGTAAGGTATTCTTTTTAGTAAGGCTTTAAGAAGATTGTTTCACCAAGATTTCAATGGTAGTTTGAAAAAAAAATAACTTAACATTAGTTACTTTCAATCAAGTCTAACAAATATTCGTAAATCATATTTTCCCTTAGGCATTTTGAAGTCTATTTTCCATAACCGAATGGAATAAGCAAAATATAAAGGAAAAAAAATCTTCATAAAGCTGCTTACATTTAAATTCACATTTTCTGAGAGCTCAATGGCTGATTCACAGTTCATGCTCAGCATGTTTGTTGAATGCCTGTGTATGAGAGGGAAAGAAAACAAATAACTATAGCCAAAATCTTCTAGTCCTTCAGTATATGATGAGCAGGCTGCTGACCAGCAGCTTCGGTGTCACCTGGAAACTTACCAGAAATGGAATCCCATCCCATGGCTATTGCATCAGAATTGGCATTTTAATAATGTCCCCAGGTAATTTATATGCATATTAAGGTTGGGGAAACTCTGCTCTAGCCGATATGGTTAACTGTGGAAAACAAATGATTGATTCCTATCAACTAATAAATCACATCACATTGAGAATGTTTCAAAAGCAAGAAATTAGAAGGAAATTTATGCTGGGCACCATAAAACTCCAAAATATTTTTTGGGGAGGGGTTGAGTGAAACTCTGAGAGAATGTGTTAAAAAATGAAACTGCAAATGGATGTGTTTATTCTTTTTAGAGACTTATACCCATCATGCCCATTTAGAAGAAGTTTTTTCAATTTTACAAATTGATTTCTTGCGTGGATTTACTTGTATGAAAGGTTTGATTTCCCTTTATTTATGGGCTTACATAGCCTGAAGTCATTTTATTGTCATATTATCCTTACACTGTGCGTGAATCATCAAAATGTTTTTCTTGAATCCAAGGCGGAGGTGGGGAGCCAGGCTAAAATGTATGAGACTGTCATTCTCTGTGACAGATGTCTCATGTCAAGTTATAAAATATTTCTGTCTATGAAAAGACAAAGAAATCTGCAGTGATATATACAAGGTTTAGTTACATGGAAATATATTGAAAAACATTTCTGCTTAATATACTATACTATATATAATACATGTATACATATATTATACATGCATGCATATATGCATATTTTGTATATGTAGACATCTATAGCTATCATTTTAGTGGTTTATATGTAATATCATTAAATACAAATCATTTTTATAAAATGTGTTATGCCTTTTCATGTCTTTTCACAAGTTTATAGTCACCAAAATATAATTTTTTATAATAAAAATAGATATTTGTCTTTGTAAATAGTTAAAATTTGTTTTTCAAATTTTATTTTTTTTTGTAGAGACAAAGTCTCCCTATGTTGCCGAGGCTGGTGTTGAATTCCTGGACTCAAGTGATTCTCCTGCCTTACCCTCCCAAAGTGCTAGGATTACAGGCATAAGCCACAGCTCCTGGCCTACTTTTAAAAATTATACCAGAGTATTAGTACCTGCATATCTTGGTAGAGTTTTTTTTGGTGTTCACTCATATCTGTATAGTCCAGTACAACTAAAAATTATTAATAAACTAGCAATAACAATAGTAATAAAGTGATTTCCTCCAATGATTTACAAATTTTCCTTCATCTACACATGATTTTTCATCTGAAAAACTGAACTTTTTCTTTTTAAAATATGACCTGGTTACTGCATTTTAGCCATCACTTGTGCCTCTGTGACTTGAAACTGACTCATCTGTAATATATAGAATATTTTGGTTAGATCATCTCTTAAATAACTTTTGGTTTGGTTCAAAACCAAAATGATAGTGTTGTTTTTCCCATTAAATTGCTATGAATTTGCACAAGGCCATAGATTTTATATTTTTAATGTTTTGTCCTTACTTCAAATGTTATTGAATAAACTGGCAGCATTGGTTGGCTCATTGAACATTTGAGGATTCTTTCCCTTCTGCCAAAGGAAAAGGGAAGGAAACAAACTGACATCATCAGTGGCTGCAGTGAGTTCACCTGGAAAATACTGTGCTTTACCTTTCTATTTTGTATTTACTTCAATAAAGCAGGTGCTCTATTCTGCTGAAAATAGTTTTGTATTTGTTTTTGAAGACAGTTGTGCTAACTGCTTTTTTCTCTCCCTCTTGTTTTTCAATGATGAGTCCATAGAAACTGCACTTCTATGCATTGGCAGTGCTGTAGTGATCTTTGGAAATGTAGTCAAATTGGAGAATTCCCTCGATATCAATAGTTTAGATCATTATCAATGGGAAAAATATTTTTTATACACTTGTTTATTTTAGTATACTCCTGTTTTGTTTCATTTGAAACTAGTTTTAGTGTACTGTGGAGTTCATAGTCAAGGTCCAAGTCTTATGATTTAATATCTGTAAGAAAAGAGAACAACAGATATAAGGAAATAAATAACCTTGTTTTTTTGTCAGTTAAATAAATTCCATGGAAATTTGATCTCTGAAGACTAATAAGCAAAGCATGATGCTCAAATTGATAGAGTAATATGAACATTTTTACCAACAGCAAGACCATGTCAAGAACTCGTTAACTGAAAATGTTGCTCTAGTCTCATCAAATCACCCAGTAGAAGAGTGGTGTTTTTTAAAAGTAAATCAGATTATGTGCTAGATACTCTGGAGGAAGAAAATCTCAGGACAAAATAGTCCCATCCTTAAGGAGGTTTCAATTCAGTGATAGCCATGGGAGTAATGCTGTACAAAGGGTCAGCTTCTTTGGTGAATAGATGTGAGCTCAAAAATCATTTCAATTACGCACAGATATATATACACACACACATATGTATCTATACACACATATACATATAAAGATATATGTATCCCAAAAAAAGAAGAAAAAAAAGAAAAGAAAAAAGTAATAAAAGCAAAAACAAACACAAAAGTTATGTATATCTTTAGTTTGTTTGAACCAGGTTTATGAATTTTTATTTTTATTTGTTTTACAATGTATTGTCATAGAGTCATAGTATGCTCTTTTAATTCTTTTAATTTTTCTCTACAGTTACTTTACCTTTTTCAGTCCTAATATATTTTATTTGATAATTCCTTTTGTCTTTATCCAGCCTCTTAAAAATATTTTTATTAGTCTTTAAAAAATATCAGCTTTCGGCTTTTTTGTGCATCTCCTTATTTTATTGATTTCTACATTATGAGTTTCTGTTCTTGTTCTTGCAATTTCCTTCTTTTTATGTCTTTGTACTCCTGCCACTGTTCTAGTTCTTTCTCTTGAGTTAAATAACTTAATGATCAATTTTCAATCTTTCTTTTTAAGCATAGGCAATTAGGGCTATGAATTTCTTTCCCAATATTACATCAACTCTAGGCCAAAAGTTTTAATATGTATTTTTTCCACTGGCATTTCATTATAAATGTTTTATTAGTCCCAATACTAACTTTTTAGACTCAAACATTACTTATAAATAAATGCTTTTAAATTTCTAAATAAATAGAATTTCAGGTGTGTCTTTTGGATTTTGATTTTGAATTTTATTTTACTATAGAACATACAGTGAGAAGGTGGTATATATGATATTGATTTTTTGATATTTGTTTTGGAGACTAGTGTGTAGTCCAATTCTATAAGTGTTCCATGTTTACTTTCAACAAATGTGTATTCTCTACTTGTTGAATATAGACTGCTGTTTGTGCTTGTTAATTGTATTATTTAAGCTTTCCAAATTCTTACTATTTTTTGACTGTTTTATCTATCAATTTTCATAGAGGTATACTAAAATTTCTTGCTATGGTTAGGGATATATCTATTTCCTCTTGCATTATTGCTACTATAACAACAGGGATAGTTTCTGAGTAATGTGTCCTTAGGCAATTTCATCATTGCGCAAACATCATAGAGTATACTTACACAAACCTATAGCCTACTGCACACCTAGCTGTATGGTGCAGCCTATTGCTCCTAGGCTTCAAACTTGTACATCTTGTTACTTCACTGAATACTGTAGGCAATTGTAACACAATGGTAATTATTTGTGTGTCTAAACATACAAAAGGTACAGTAAAAACATGATATAAAAGATAAAAAATGGTATACCTGTTTAAGATACTTACAATGCACAGGGCTTGCTGGACTGGAAATTGCTCTGGGTGAGTCAGTGAGTGAGTGGTGAGTAAAGGTGAAGGCCTAGGACATTACTTTAAATTGCTGTAGACTTTATAAAGTCTGTACAGTAAGGCTACACTACATTTATTTTAAAAGATTTTTTATTTTTTAATAATAAGTTAACCTTAACTTACTGTAAGCTTTTTACTTTATAAACTTTTTTTAACGTTTTGACTTTTCTTTTCTCTTTTCGATAGGATCTTACTCTTTTAGATAGGAACTTAGATAGATAGTTGCCCAGCCTGGAGTGCAGTGGCACGATCATGGCTCACTGCAGCTCAACGTCCTAGGCTCAAGCAATCCTTCCACCTCAACCTCCCAAGTAGCTGGGACTACAGGCACACGCCACCATGCCTCTCTAATTTTGCTCTTATTTTTTGTAGAGTAACATTAGTTACACATGGGCATTTCTAAGAGTAAATGATTATTGCATATTCTATGTTCATATGTTGTTTGAGGGTTTATTCCCCTATATCCTAACCACAATTTATGGTTTATTTAATAAAAAAACTTCATTCCTGTGGAATTACTGATGGAAGCATCACTGTATCCAAATTTGGAATATTCTATACCAAGTGTCAAACATATAACTTTTATTGACTTAAGTTTCCCCTGAGAATAAAACCTTGTGCAGGTTTGCATGAGGAGTCAAAGCAAAACGATGTTCTCTTTCTCTCCAGCATAGTTGAAGAATGGCTTTCTGAACTACTGGTATCATTAAGTGCATAACTAGTTGAACAAACCATCATAGGACCAGAATATCTCATGGCAGGATGCAATTTTAAATAGCCTCTAGTCTAATAAAGTTTCCTTTATGAGTTTTCCAGGCATGCAGCCAGGTACACCTGATTTATCTGCCATGAGAATTTTTCTGTTCTACTTTCAGAAACAGGGATAATTATGGCAACTAACATCATTGAGTGCCTTCTCTGTGTTAGGCATTAAGCTAAGCACTTTACATGGTATAAACTCATTTTACTCATCTAACTCCCTCCTCCACCCCTGACAAAAAACTCCTAAACTCTTTCAGCCAGGTGCTTTTTTTGCCTCTCATGTTACAAATGTTTACCTGGGGACTCTCAAAGGTGAAGTAACTTAAGCCCAGGTTTATCTGACTGGCAAGACTGTGTGCCCTTGGGCTTGAACGTGCGGCAACCTCCTGTCAACTCCTTCCACCATGGGGACCCAGCATCTTTACACTTTGCTTCCTCTCTCTGCCTTTCCACCTACTCTTTCTATTTAGAATAGCTTTGATACTAAACATTGCTATAAATTTAAGTCAAAATGCCATGCCTTTGGAGGACTCATAATTTCAGTCTTATTCCTAACTGAGGTAAAATAATACATCTTGTGGAATAAACTTTGGGATCCTTAAGAAGATATTTTGGGAACAGGAACCTTCCTTGAGGCCTCTGAAATCAACCCACAGATCTCTACTCCTTTATGACTAAGACTGACCTTTATGGACACTATTAGCTTTTTAGCTCTCCACTCCTGGAGCTATAACAACCATCTCAGATGAAGGAAAAAAAATGGAGGCTACAGATGATGTATAAGTGAGTCACAGGAAGAAAATGATAATGTATCTATTCCCAGATGGCAGTTATATTTTAGGATAATCTACCTTTCACCAAATACAGGGTGTGGACAGAATTATTATTTTTATTGCTTTTTAAAAATCACATTCTTCAACATATTTCAAAACTTCATTTTTTATGATACCTTTTAAACACGATTATAAGAGAAATGACATATCAGAGGGATAAAATGATATTTTAAATTTGAGCTGCCATCATATGATTGACTTTCATATTGGTAATTCTTTTTGCTTATTTATACATGAGCACTGTGTGTCAATTTAGGGGAAATAACACCTATTTCTCATTTTTTCTGTAGTTTTCATTTTATACCAAGTTTATCTTAAGTGCTTTACCAATTGTTCTTTAAATTTATTTGAACCGTGCGTATAGTATAGTATAATCTTTTGCTGTGTGACACTATTGGTTTTATAGCTTTTATACAGCAAAGCATTACTCTCTGGAAATAATTGTTAACGTTAAAATACTGAGCACATTATTAAAAGTGACAGATTTATTCAGGCAGATTGAATAGCACGAGCATGAGTGAGATCTGTGTATATTATTTTGAGATATAGCTTTGAGTAATTCAGTCCTTAGTTACCAGAATTGAAAGAGAAAAAAATGATTTTAAAGGTCTAGAACACCCTTAATAGCCTTATTTTTCTCTTACAGTTAAAATGTAATGCCAAAATACATTAAGTAATTTCATTTATTATTCTAATATGCTCATTAACATTATATAATAATAAAAAACATAGTTGGAAAATAATAAAGGGGTAGATTGACCAAATGTTATCCAGAGGCATTATGCAAGACAGACAGGAACATCTACTCACCTGCCAAAATATGTTCTTCTGCTCTTTCCGAATTTTGAGTATATGTTTATCTTTAAAGTATGCATTTCTGATTGTTAGATGCTACTATATGTTGCTGTTCAAAAATTTCTTCTTAAAATGTTTTTGAAAGATGTAGGGCTTCAGAGACATTCTTTTATTGATAAGCATTAGAGAATACTGGTGTTCTTACCACTAGCAAACAAAAACGGGAACATGAGGAAACTTCAGGAGGTGTTGGATATGTCTATTGTCTTGATGGAGTACTCTGGTTTCTCTTTAAATCATATTGTCTTGATTGTGGTGATTGTGATGATGATATTACAGGTGTTCAGATATGTCTAAACTCATCACGTAGTACATGTTAAATATATATGATTCTTTATGTATAAATTATACCTCTATAGAGCTTTGAGAGAGAGTGAGAAAAAGCATTTCCGGCAGGCAGAATATGTTTCAAGGCCCAGAGGTAGGAGGGGGCATGGCTGGTGAAAGGAAGTCTGCGTGGAGGGACGTCAGGCTGGATGCCTGCTCTCCAGTTCCTGGCAGCTCTGGTAAGCCAGGTATGAAGTCCCTCAAATGCCAATGGCAACCTTTCACAGAAGGCTGTACACAGGGAAAGGACATGGTCAGATTTGCTGTTTTGGTAGATTGCACTGGCTGCTTTATGTAGAGTGGATTATATATATATATTTTTCTTGTGAAAATGAGAGTTAAAAGAAGGTGGAAGAATAGATGAAAACAATTTTCTTTTTCCGGAAAAGAAGATGCTGATGGCTTATATCTCTAGGGTTATGAAAAATTAGATACAGCTTTTTTTTTCTTTTGGCTTGGAAAGTTAGCATAGACTTCAGAAAAACGATAAGTTGTGAGCAATCAGTAACTGTATGTTAAATGTAAAGCTTTTCTGGCACCTATTGTATGGTGAGAACAAAAAGAATTATAGTTGAATTAATCAGCAATTATTAACAGTTGCTAATTTATTTATTTTTATTTTATTTTATTATTTTTTTTTAGAGGGAGTCTTGCTCTTGTTGCTCAGGCTGGAGTGCAGGGGCACGATCTCAGCTCATTGCAACCTCCGCTTCCCAGGTTCAAGCGATTCTCCTGCCTCAGCCTCCCGAGTAGCTGGGATTACAGGTGCGTGCCACCATGCTGCCTATTTTTTGTATTTTTAGTAGAGATGGGGTTTGACCATGTTGGCCAGGCTGGTCTCAAACCCCTGACCTCGTGATCCGCCTGCCTCAGCCTCCCATAGTGCTAGCATTACAGGCGTGAGCCACCGTGCCTGGCAACAGTTGCTAATTTATTTATTCCTTTAACAAATATTTATCTTTGTACCGAGCATTGTGGTAGACACTGGAAGCAGTGAACAAAATACATATGTCTTCACTCATGGAATTGGTAGTCTATACATTCTGAATCAAGATGTTGATAACTTTGGTTGGGCACGGTGGCTCACGCCTGTAATCCCAGCACTTTGAGAGGCTGAGGCGGGCGGATCACGAGGTCAGGAGATGGAGACCATCCTAGCTAACATGGTGAAACCCCGTCTCTACTAAAAATACAAAAAAATTAGCCGGACATGGTGGCGGGCGCCTGTAGTCCCAGCTACTCGGGAGGCTGAGGCAGGAGAATGGCACAAACCCGGGAGGTGGAGGTTGCAGTGAGCCGAGATCGCGCCACTGCAGTCCAGCCCGGGCGACAGAGTGAGACTCTGTCTCAAAAAAAAAAAAAAGATGTTGATAACTTTTTGAAGTCTGAACTCCGCTGGGTAAGCTCTGTTAATTGCAATGGCCTGTCCAACTTTTCATCCCTCACAGTCCGTAAACCTTCAGTCATTGAGCTCATTTAACCCCTAACTCCGTATCTGAATTTTCCTCATCCCCTCAGGGCAATTTTGCCAAATGTTTGTTATGAGAGTGATCTTAGTGTGTATAAGAATCTCGTTATGTATAAGGATCTCAGTGTCAGTAACTCTCTGGCTCAGTTATGTCTTGCTGGGGCTCTTTCTCTGTCTTTGGTACCATGAGTATTGTTGATAGGTTACCTGGCTTTTATTAATGCCTGAGTGTCTGGACCCTGAACCTGACCTAACCATCATCCTCCCTAATTCCTTGGCTCATTGTCAGTAGTCTATCCCACACCACATAGATAGGTACTATGAATGATGATGGTGTTGATGATGATGATGGCTACAATAGCAATTATAATGCAAACTAACATTGAGTAAATGCAATTATCTTTGCTCAGTCCTTGGATCACATCACTTATAATTTCATTGGGCTTTTGTCTTTGAACACAACTGTTAATTTTGGATCTACCTTTTTGGCTTATGGGTTGGCATGGCTACTCTGGAGTAAAAGCACCAGAGACTCAAGTTATTGACTGGATGTTAAAAAACAGCTTTAACTTTTTCCTCCTGGTTGGAATTCTTCTTTGTTTTGGCTTAGCTTCAGGCACTTTAAAAAATGTAAACATTTAAAACGTTTTATTTAGTGGAACTTAAAACACTTATTTCTGTAATTTCACGGTTGCTCAGGTTTGACAATGTTAACTAAATTTTAGTAACAAAATTAAATTCAGCTTAAGTAGCCAGCCTGATTCAGTATCAATGCTCACAATTCAAAGTTTTAAAAATTTATTAGTTGATTATTTCAGTCAACAAATACTTACTGGGCAACTACTATGTGCCAAGCACTGTGCTGTGTTCAGGGCATACAAAGTGGAAAAAACAAAGTCCTTGTTAGTTTAGTGAGAACAGATCTCCGGCGTATCATGTATGGCAACCAGCTGTGCAAATTAGGCACCATTTGTTTGCAGGTTTATAGATGACTTGTGGAACTGATTGATACCAATCAATAAATGTTTCTGAATAGGTAATAGAGTGTATTAGCCTTGTAAATACTTAAAATTTTTACTCTCCAAAAGTTGCTACTTTGGGCTTCTCTATTTTGTCACGTCTTGTCCATAATACTGCTTCCTTTATGTCCATACCACTTTTGTCACTTCTTTTCAATACTTAGGACATAAAAATTTACCTGTAACAAATCAATCAGTCAACAGATGCATTTACTTACCATATCCATCAACTCTATGTGTAATGCTAATAGATTTGAGAGGTGCTTGGAATACAGAGATTCCCAGAAGAGGAAAGTCAATGGAGACTTGATTCGGATAGAGAGTACTGGGTTATCAGGAGAGAGAAAGATGAAAATTTGGGAAGATTTCATGGGAAGGGATGTAATTTGATTTGGACTTTGAAGGATGGCCATTACGATGGATGAGGAAAGAGAAGATTCTCTAGGCAGGAGGACATAGCACATTAGTGGATAATATATTTGGCAGTTTATTGGAAAATTAAGTTGGGTGGTACAAGGCCAAATTATGAGAATCTGGACACCACCAAGAAAATGGTTTAGGTAGCCACAGAGAATGTGTGAGACAGACTGACATTGATATCAGAGTGCAGGAAAGTGAATCAGGTGATGATAGTCCACATACATGGAGTCAAGGGAGGGAGGGACTTGGAGGTCATTCTCTCTTTTCAGTGGAATCTACTCATAAATCCTGTGTACACACAGCTTTCATAAGAATGAAAGAAGAAAAAGGCAAAGAAAGCAGCAAAATGTAATTAAAAAATATTCAGATATTAAAATACCTTAGTGACTCTCATTTTTTGCACACTGGAAAGATTTTTTTCCTCTTAGCAAAGGGACTAGCTGCCTTATACATTTTATATCCATAAAACTTCAGATTTGGGTTGGTAAAGAGTTATTACACAATAAAAATTTTGGTAAGGATAAAAGAAGGGCAGATTTGGGCTGGGCATGGTGGCTCACACCTGTAATCCCAGCACTTTGGGAGGCCAAGGTGGGCAGATCACAAGGTCAGGAGTTCAAGACAAGTCTGGCCAAATATAAAAAATTAGCTAGGCATAGTGGCGTGTGCCTGTAGTCCCAGCTACTCGGGAGGCTGAGGCAGAAGAATCACTTGAACCCAGGAGGCAGAGGTTGCAGTGAGCCAAGATTTTGCCACTGCACTCCAGCCTGGACGACACAGCAAGATTCCATCTCAAAAAAAAAAAAAAAAAAAAAGGAGAGAGAAGACAGAGTTTTCACTTTTAGCAAAATAGTGGGATGACTGAGCTATCATCCTCAGAAAATTAGAAAATTCTTTAATCTTTTCTGTACATCTATTTAATATCTGAAAGAATATAGCTAATATCAGAGGGCTTATTCCTACATGATGATGTTCTTTTTACTTGCAAAGCAAATAGCATTCTAACTATATTCATGAAACGGGACCTGATCGCTTTTGGATACTTTAAGAGACTGCTTCAAAGGTGACATGGTGTCTGGCATGCCATGAGCAGCTCCATAATGTCAAATGTCATTGATTGGATTTGTACAGCCCAGATGTCAGAGACTACTCAGCAAATTGAACGTAATATTATTGAAACTCATGACAAAAAAGGAAGGACAAAAAGGGACTAATTGTCAATTAGGATTTGAAGAAAACATTTGTTTATGGTTACTCACATTTTTAAAGGTTATTCAGATACATTTTAAAAGTCTGGAGACAGTAAAACATTTTTATTACTTTTCAAAAATGATGAAAATAGGAAATTATGACTATAAATAATATAACTTTAAAATATGTCTACATGCATGAGTACCACAGTAATGAAATTTTAATTTTCATTAGGAAAAGATAAAGTAAACAAATTAGTTCTCAGTCTACCCCTTCTTGAATTAAATGATGATGCATATGCCTTCAACACTGGTCAGAACATTATTCATATAATGGCTACTTTTCCATGTTTCTAAAATTTAGAGCAAGGTAGAAAATGTGAATAGATTTCGGCTGGGCATGGTGGCTCACGCCTGTAATCCCAGCACTTTGGGAGGCAGAAGCGGGTGGATCATGAGGTCAGGAGATCCAGACCATCCTGGCCAACATGGTGAAACCCCGTCTCTACTAAAAATATGAAAATTAGCTGGGCATGGTGGCGCGCACCTGTAGTCACTTGGGAGTTGAAGCAGGGGAATCACTTGAAACTGGGAGGCGGCAGTTGCAGTGGGCCGAGATCCTGCCACTGCACTCCAGTCTGGCAACAAAGTGAGACTCTGTCAAAAAAAAAAAAAAAAAAAGAAAGAAAGAGAGAGAGAGAGACAAAAGAAAGAAAGAAAGAAAGAAAAAGAAAGAAAGAAAGAAAGAAAGAAAGAAAGAAAGAAAGAAAGAAGGAAGGAAAGAAAGAAAGAAGGAAAGAAAGACAGAAAATGCCTGGATGAGGTGGCTCATGCCTGTAATCCCAGCACTGGGAGGCTGAGGAGGGTGGATCACGAGGTCAGGAGATCAAGACCATCCTGGCCAACATGGTGAAACTCCATCTCTACTAAAAATACAAAAATTAGCTGGGCGTGGTGGCACGCAGCTGTAGTCCCAGCTACTAGGGAGGTTAAGGCAAGGGAATCGCTTGAATCCGGGAGGCAGAGGTTGCAGTGAGCTGAGATCCTGCCACTGGACTCCAGCCTGGTGACAAAGTGGGACTCCAACTCAAAAAAAAAAAAAAAAAAAAAAAAAAGAAAAAGAAAAAGAAAAAAGAAAAAGAAAATGTGAATAGATTTGGAAGAAACAGTCATCTACACTGTTAAAATATTGATGCATAAAATCCAAGAGAGAAGACGAGAAGACTAAAGGAAGTGAAATTACTTGGTCTAGAGAAAAAAATTCAAGTATATGAAATCTATCATGAGAAGAACAAGAAAAAGTCAGCACTAGCCAAAAGATAAATATTTTTGAATAGATATCAGGAAAAACACTTCCTCACAAGTTAAACTAGACTGTTAAAGTGTGATCCCCCTTTGGAGATATTTTAAAGATGGAATTAGGTTCATCCATGCATGCATTCATTCATTCATCTCTTCAACAAGTTCTTATGGAGCAGCAACAATGTACAAGATAGCCAAGATCTCCAGTCTGTTTGTTCTTACCTTATAGTAGGTGATAGGACAATAATAAATAAACTCATAAGGTAAGAATTTCAGATATCAAGAATCACTGTGAGGAAAACAAAACAAGGCAAAAGGAAAGAAAGTGGCCAAGTTAGGGTCTATATTTTCAAACAAGGGAGTTAGGGAAGTCTCTTTTGAGAGGGCCACACGGGTACTGAAACTTGAGTGATGGAAGGAAATAGCCTTTTGAAATCTAGGGGAAGAGCATCACAGGAAGGGTAAGTAGCAAGAGCAAAGGTCCTAAGCTCGGCTTGGACTCAGGATGCTTGTGGAAGACAAGAAGGCCAGAGGACCCAGAGAATCAGCAAGGAGGAGGAAGGGTAGGAGATGAGATGGCTGAGGTTGAGCTTCTGCAAGCTTTGTAGACTACAGTTAGGAGTTGGCATTTCATTCCAAGCCCAGTGCGAAGCTACTGGCTGGTTGTAAATGAGGTAGGGAACTAGGATAGGTATATTTTTCCAGTTTGCATCACACTTAGGATTTGACAATCATAATCAACATTTTTTAAGGTCTTTTCTTTCATAGAAAAGGGCATAATCTAAACTTGAACAGAGAAACTCTTAGATTTCCAGCCATATTTAATAGCCTAAAAACATCGTGAGTTTTAGTTTATTCCAGAAAGTTTGTGCCTGAAAAGACCACCAAAACCGGTCTTTTCAGTTTTGTGAGACTGTTAACTTTTGTCACTTCTAAATACAACTCAAAGACAGCATTCCCTATTCCTTCTGTTCTCCATTTCTTTAAAATAAGAAAGAACATTATTTTGCCATTAAATCCACCCTTTTGACTAATACTAGCCATTAAATTTAAATCACTATATTTATTTTACTTTCAGTGTAAATTTCTTTGCTAGCTTAATGTTATAGGATCCATTCTTCTCATTTTGGGAAGAAGAGATATGAAATAATCATTTAATATTTAGTAAGATAGAGAAAGAAGAAGGAAGTTAGAAAATATTAGTACTTATTACATCTCTTACACTCTACCTAAAGTTTTATACACAGTGCCAAGAAAAAGTGACTCTCCTGAGGTTATCAAGAACCTGTGAACTAGAATCCTGGAATTCTGTATTCCCTCTTACCTTCCTGCAACATTCTGGACCCCATCAAACCTGGTGACTGAATAAAGTCTTTCTACACAATCACTTCATGATAACTTTGGCTTTAGTTCCATGGGCCTCTTACTGTCAAGATAAGTTTCTTTTACAGGAGTATTACAGGAAATAGATTTGTGCTGCTACACCATCTCATGTTTGCCTAAATGACACTTATTTCAAAGCCCCCTCTTGATGTTTAAAGAGATTCTGTAAAGGACGGATTAAGGACATACCATATTTACTACCTTTAAGTTATCATATTACTAAGAAGTGCAGGAAACTTGGGGCCAATTGATAGAATCCTGATATGATAAATCACATCTTTCTCACTATTCTTTAAGCTTCTGTCAAATTCCCCATTTCCTCCCAGTGCTTACAATAGAGATTTATGTAGAAGAGATGCTCACCATATTTTGTTGAGAGAATGAATCTGTACTGACATCATTTAGTATTCTTTACCAAATTCTTGTTTACAAAAATAGCATAGGAAATTATGTTTTACTAGAAGGCAGTAAATATGCATTCTATTCTTATGTCAACAAAGACTGACACACTTTCTGATATCTGACTTAAAATTGCTACTTATGTTTTACTTTGCCTATTACCCAAAGAATTTGAGGTGGCTTATAAAAATTCAATGATGGAAATCAATGAAAATGAATTGGTGTTTTTCTATCCCAACAGAAGCACACAGCGCTATGTGATGGGGATACCAAAATGAATAAGATGTGTTCTCTGCACCCAAAAAGCTCACTGTCTAGTGGAGGCTGGCAATTAACTATAATACATGTAGTCAGTACTACAGTGCTGATATGAGCAAAGTGCTCTAATGCAATAAGAAAAAAACAAATGCAATTAGACCACAAAATCATTGCAATTCTGATAAAGAAATAAGAGTCCTGCATTGGGTGGAGGCAGATATAAAAAGAAAACCCGGACTAAGAAAAAAAAAAGCCCTACTATAATTGAGCTCTCATCTAATAAGCCGGATCATGAAATTTTCCCAAGAAAATCATCTTATTTTCATAACACTAAATGTATCATGTTTGTCTTTGTGTGAGGGCAATTAGCAAAACTAGTGCAACTTCACGTAGAGTACAATTATATGGAACATTTGAAAATAATGTCTCTTTCTTATATCAATACGTGACAATGGCTGGTAATACAGTTGTATATTGCACTTTCATGAAGATGTTCCTGCAGGAAATATAGAGGTGTTGCCAGACCAAGGGTTTTTTCATTATCTGATTTGATATGAGAGTTTAAACTAGAAGTTCTACACAAATAAAAAGCATAGTCCGTATTACGTAACAGACTACTGCTGTCCACTGGAGTTTCGCCTCCAGGTATGGCACGTATTGTTTTTATTGTCTTCTTGGTAACATCCAGCAGTCAATTTACAGACAGCATCACCTGTTCCTTCTTCAGCTATCGGCTCCTCAAATTCTCCATCAGCCTAAAAGGCAGACCATTAAAAGCAGAAATTGGGCTCCTTGCAAGTAAGCTTTGGATAGCTTTAGACTGATCATGAGTGTTAGGTGTTTGGGGTTAATCAAGGAAAAATATATGCCCACAGGAGGCAGTGACATGCTGTAAGCTTTATCGGGTGGTACTTGGACAAGGTCATCTGAGAGAGGAAATTGCTCACAGCAGCAGTCTGTCCAAAGGCTACATGGAGGCCACCATCCAGAAAGGGAGGAGGGCAAGAGGACTCCCGGGAGAGAGGAAGATCAGACAGACATTTTATGTTCCTACGTGTCTAGGTGATGTTTCTCAGCAGCATAGTGGGAAGTTTCCGGACCAGGGAGTTCCAAAGGGCAAAGCAGTTTTGAATCTAACTCATCAACATCCAGCAGAGGTTGGGTGAAGTTTTACAGATTATGCAAAGTAAGCAGGCTAAAAATCTGCTTGTTGGGCCTATTTTTTTTTTAGTGTGATAAAAATACGTAACATGAAACTTCTTAAATTTTTGAGTGTACAGTATAGTATTTTTTAACTATAGGTACATTGTTACACAGCAAATCTCTAGAACTTTTTCATC
Organism: Homo sapiens; assembly: GCF_000001405.40. NCBI lineage: Eukaryota > Metazoa > Chordata > Mammalia > Primates > Hominidae > Homo > Homo sapiens. Next base: position 152,931,865 of record NC_000006.12, on the reverse strand, counting down.
TTGCATGACTGAAACTATACCTGTTGAACAGCAACTCTCCATCTCTTCCTTCACAGCCTCTGGCAACCACTCTTCTACTTTCTGCTTCTGTGAATTTGACTGTTTTGGATACCTCATGTAAATGAAATCATGCAGTATTTGTCTTTCTGTGAATGGCTTATTTCACATATTTTTAAAGACCTCCAGATTCGTTTATGTCGTAACATATGACAGGATTTCCTTTTTCTTAAAGGCTGAAAAATATTTTATTGTGTATATATATCACATTTATGTATTCATTCATCACATTGAGACATTTAGATTGTTTGCACACCTTGGTTATTGTGAAAAATGCTGCACTGAACATGGGAATGCAAATGTCTCTTCTGGAGCCTAATTTCAAGTCTTCTGAATAAATACCCAGAAGTGGGATTCCTGGTGCATATGATGCTCTTTTTTTTTTTTTTTTTTTTTTTGTCTTGCTCTGTCACCCAGGCTGGAATGCAGTGGTGTGATCTTGGCTCACTGCAACCTCCGCCTCCCGGGTTCAAGCAATTCTCCTGCCTCAAACTCCCGAGTAGCTGGGACAACAGGTACGTGCCATCACACCCAACTAATTTTTGCAATTTTAGTAGAGACAAGATTTCACCATGTTGGCCAGGCTGGTCTCAAACTCCTGACCTCAAATGATCCACCTACCTAGGCCTCCCAGAGTTCTAGGATTACAGGTGTGAGACACCACATTCAGCCTGGTAGTTCTATTTTCAATTTTTTGAGGAACCTCCATACCGTTTTCCACAGTGGCTATACCATTTTACATTCCCACCAACAGTGCACAAGGGTTCCAATTTCTCTACATCCTTGCCAACACTTCTTTTCTTTCCTTTCCGCCTTTCTTTTATTAATAATGACCACCCTAATAGGTATAAAGTGATTTCTTACTGTGGTTTTGATTTGCATTTCTCAGGTGATTAATGATGTTGAGAATCTTTTAACATATTTTCTGGACATTTGTATGTCTTATCTGAAGAAATATCTATTAAAATTCTTTGTTCATTTTTAATTGGGTTATTTATTTTACTATTGAGTTATAGAAGTTCTTCACATATTTTGAATATTAATTCCTTATATGCTTGAAAATATGTTGTCTCATTTGGTAGCTTGTGTTTTCACTATGTTGATGGTCTCCTTTGCTCTACAGACACTTTTTAGTATGATATAGTCCATTTGTCTATTTTTGCTATTGTTCCCTGTGCTTTTGTTGGCATATCTAAGAAATCATCACCGAAACCAATGTTGTGAAGCTTTCCCTTATGTTTTCTTCTAGGAGTTTTATAGTTCTTGTCTTACATTTAAGTCTTTAATCCATTTTGAGTTGATTTTTGTGTACGATGCAAGATATGGGTCTAGTTTCATTCTTTTAGATGTACATATCCAGTTTTCCCAGCACCATTGTTGTAAAGACTATCCTTTCCCCATTGTGTAGTCTTGACACTTAATTTTGACACCGAAACTGCTACTCAGTTTAAATAATCCCAGGTTTTTTGCAGGCAAATTCCTATTTTCTCTTTCATGTATCTTCTAACGAAGATAAGACTGAGTAAAACTACCATGTGGTTCCTCAATCCTGATAGAGCCATTTATTCTTCGATTCATACGTACTCAAATGCCAGGTCAACCATTTTTCCCATCATGCAATGATGATACCAAACGAGTATTTTATAATTCATTAAGTTTACTTTAAAAGTTTGAATTAGAAGAACAATCTCAGGCCAGACACATGGCCCAAGCCTGTAATCCAAGCATTTTGGGAGACCAAGGTGGGAGGATCACTTGAGCTCAGGAGTTCAAGTCCAGCTAGGCAACATAGTGAGACCCCATCTCTACAAAATATAGAAAAATAATTAGCCAGGCATGGTGGTGCACGTCTGTAGTCCCAGCTACTCGGAAGGCTGAGGTGGGAGGATTGCTTGAGCTCGGAAAGCCGAGGCTGCAGCGAGCTGTGATCATGCCGCTGCACTCCAGCCTGAGCAACAGGGTGAAACATTGTTAAAAAAAAAGAAAAAAGAGAAAAACCAATCTCATGTAAGGCACTGCTAGGTGCACATGCTCATTTCTAGGTGTAATCATTATTGTTTAATTGAATTCCCAAAATTTAAAGAAATTTCAAACTACTTTTATAAAGCATGATCATTAAATTTTATCGGGTATTTTTGTATTTTCCTACAATATTCCTAAAGTTTCAAAATGGATTGTACTAAAGTAAAAACAAGTATGACTTTTGTGCATAATTGCACAGTTTCAAATTTAACGATAATTCAGAAAACCAATATGTGCAGTTGTGGAGAAAAAAGTGACTCCATCTTGGATACCAATCCACCAGTTGACTTATGATTAACCCCAGTTCCGGGAGTGTCTCCAGGCTTCTGTTTTATTTATTGTCCCTAATGTAAGAACATGTACTCCTACATTTAGGCCAAAGCAATCTTGATGTTACCACATACTTTATAGGCTGTGATGCACGTAGCATTCTTGCCTGTCATGGAGAGTGCCTTTAATTGTCTTGTTAGATCACATATATCCATTTTCTATGGCATGTAAGCCATGGATTAGGGAATAACAGTGCAGAGATCTACCTGTCTTGCGGGCATCCAAGACCATGCTTCTGTTGACAGTAAGTTCCCTTAATAAATCCCTTAATAAATCCACCTGTGCTGACAAAATGGATTTATCTGCCCCCTTCTTCTTGGTTTCTCGGTTCCTTTGGCAATTGGGGGCCAAGTCATTTTATTGACTTGGCCTCTTCTAAAAACTTGAAGTAGAATAATAGCTAAATGTATAGTCATGTGTCCTAGGAACTCAACAGACATTACATTTTTTTTTCTTTTTTTTTGAGACAGAGTTTTGTTCTTGTTGCCCAGGCTGGAGTGCAATGGCACAATCTCAGCTCACCGCAACCTCTGCCCCCTGAGCTCAAGCGATTCTCCTGCCTCAGCCTCCCAGGTAGCTGGGATTACAGGCATGCACCACCATGCCTGGCTATTTTTTGTATTTTTAGTAGAGACAGGGTTTCACCAAGTTGACCGGGCTGGTCTTGAATTCCTGACCTCAGAAGATCTGCCCGCTTCAGCCTCCCAAAGTGCTGGGATTACAGGTGTGAGCCACCACACCTGGCTGACCTGTTAATGAAATAGGTTCCATTGTTATTGCCATTTCTATACAGGCCTAAGCTGAAAAAGGTTAAATGACTTGCTTAACATCACCAAGCTTATAAAGAGGAGGAGTTCAAACCTATGAAGTCTAATTTCAAAGCATACTCACTTTCCATGACGCCATACTGGTTATGGAGAAGGAGCCTTGAATACACTGACAGAAAATTTTGGAAAACGTAATGTATTAAATGATATTAAATATTAATTAAAATGGAATAAATTATTATTTAAATTATGCATGGTCTAAATTGAGTTATAGCCACTTATATAGGGAAAAATATTTTAAATATTGAATATTTGTTGCTTTTGCTTAGAAACTTACAGCCTCATTTCAGATCTTATTGATCTTTGTTTTATGCTACTTCTTAGTTTTTAATAAAGCTCTAAGATTTGTTCTTATGATTTGAGAAGCAGGAAGGCTAATCTAATTATTAATCTACAGTTTTGAATTTGAAATGACATAGAGGAAGATACATTCTAAAGAGCTCTTTAATAACTAATCTAGATGTCAGGATGCACAAGTTGGTTGAAATACTTCCTGGTGCATCTTAGGAATCACTTAAGTTTAAGTAACCAAATTAAGTATTTGAAGTGCCAGAGACCCACATGGATCTATTTGTGACCATGGAAATAAAAACAAAGATGGTTGACTATGTTCTGATTTTAATCCCCCTCCATGTCTTTACTTTCTTCTGCAATGATAGAGCCATTTGAATAAGAAATTGTGATCTGTAACTTAATCCTGTTTAGTGTCGTCAAGCAGTAGTAGTAACTCATCTGTCCTCTGCTGTTTTAGGAGAAACTTGAATGTATGTTTTTATATTTTATATTGAAACAATATTCAGTTGTGTCACATTATTTAATAATTAATTAGTCAAAATGGCTTAAACAAATTTTACAAAACTTTAAGAAAGAATTTTTCCATAAAAATTTTGGAGATAACATTTAGTAAGGGCTTAATGGTTTCATTATGACAATGAACATTTATCAAGTTAATTTTTATACATAATTAAGTCTAGATTGTTACTTTTCTTTGTAATGGTTTTAATTTGTATATTCCTATTAGCTTACTTTTAGTCATCTTCAGCTTCTAATACTGAATGACTACTATACTTTAAAAATTAAATTTCTGTGTTCTATCTTTACTTTTTAATACTAGGATGAACAATTTATCTTTTCATAGTATTTTGAAAATTGTGAATCTGGTAATAATCATGATATCATTGTATTGGTCTGTTTTCACACTGCTATAAAGAAATACCCAAGACTGGGTAATTTATAAAGAAAAGAGGTTTGATTGACTCACAGTGCTACCTGACTGGGGAGGCCTCAGAAAACTTGCAATCACGGTGGAAGGCAAAGGGGAAGCAAGTTCAAACCTTATCACATGGCATCAGGAAAGACAGAGCTAAGAGCAAAAGGGGAAGAACCCCTTAAAAAACCATCATATCTCTGAGAACTCACTATCATGAGAACTGCATGGTGGAAACCACTCCCATGATCTAATTACCTCCCACCTGCTCCCTCCCTCTACTGGCAGGGATTATGGGGATTGCAATGGGGATTATGGGAGATGAGATTTGGGTAGGGACACAGAACAAAACTGTATCAATAATTTTTCATGTTAGTAAATGCAAATCACGTTTTTGATTTATAAAAGCATTCAAATTCAAAATATTCAAATTATAGTGATTTAACAGGTAAAACCAAGGAGTAATGAGCTAAATAAATAACCACCTCAAGAATTTTTTTTTTTTTTTTGAGACGAAGTCTTGCTCTTGTTGCCCAGGCTGGAGCATAATGGCGTGTTCTCGGCTCACTACAATCTCTGCCTTCTAGGTTCAAGTGATTCTCCTGCTTCAGCCTCCTGAGTAGCTGGGATTACAGGTGCGTGCCACCCTGCCAGGCTAATTTTTGTATTTTTAGTAAAGACGGGGTTTCACCATGTTGGCCAGGCTGGTTTTGAACTCCTGACCTCAGGCGATCTGCCAGCCCCGGCCTCCCAAAGTGCTGAGACTACAGGCGTGAGCCACCGACGAATGTACATCTTAGTGTTCAGAAAAAGCATATCAAATTTTTATTTCTGTAGCTCTTTTTTTGCATAGTTCTCTCTTTTTCAGAATTCTGCTCTTCACATTCTGCTGCATTAGACTACCTGAACTCTGATTTCTGTCTCTTCAACTGAGCAAAACCACTGTAATTTGTGAAGGTTCCCCCTCCCTCTTTTGTAGTCAATAATCTGCCTTTAAGCAAAAATTCTGTGTGGTCAGAAGACAACCTCCATTGCATCTCATATCTCAGGGATCCAAGTCCTGTGTTGCCTGTTGATTAATGTTTGAAAACAGTTGTACTATATACTTTGTCCAGCATTCCTTGTGTTTAATGTTAAAGGATAAATCTAACCTTTATTACTACGTTGTGGTTAGAAGAGGAGGTATTCCACTGTCTGAATTTTTAATTTTCAGTTATTAGCTCTTGAGTTCTTAGTCTGAGTTAGAAGTCTCTTATTCTGAAATTCTAAACATTTATTGCTTTTGAACGGCTTTTAAAATAATTCTCGAATTGTTGCTTCTATGGTAGTTGGCATTTCCATAAAAAATAATAGAACTATGCTTTCCCTGTAAAGCTTATTTTGGAAAATCCATTTACATACTTAGAATTTATTATCTACAGAACACCTGACTGCTCTAAAAACTATAAATCTATTGTAACTTGATTCCTATTGAAAGGCATAATGCTAGAAGGTGGGCAGACATATTAGATCTCTTTTCTTTATTTTAAATTCATGATTTTTATTGTGTTAGAAGCCATTATATGTTTTTAAATCTTATGATACAATGAGGGTCCTCTTAAGACTGGGATCCCCAGAGTTTTTAACCCAGGCTAGTTCACACTGAGACTGTAGCAGTTCGTCAAGTACAGCTACGTGTTTCTACCGGGCTGGCTCTAGCAGCAGGCTTCTGCTCTGGGAAACCTGTGATTCCCTCTGTGCACCTCTCTCTCTGGTTCTCAGGGCAGTAGCTTGTCCTGTGACCTCAGTTTTCTGATGGATCTAGGAAGAGTTGTTGTTTCTCAGTGTTTTCAGCTATTTTAGTTGTTGTTTCAAGTTTTCTTGTTGGATGAGAGTGACACCTTCCAAGCTCTTTACATGTCAGAATGAAAACCAGAAGTCTCCAGCAATAAACTTTCTAAATGTTACTGTGCTAAAAATCGACAACTCATTTCCAATTCAGGAAGTCTGTCTCAGAGCCTGCACACTAAACTATTATGTGTATATAAATATTCTCCAGTTCACTGTGTCATCTGGATGTTTGACATTTTCTTATATTTTCTCCAACTAACTTACTGCTTCTGTTGCTCATAAACAAAATAATTAAAATATAAGGCTACCTCTGAGAAGAGCTTTTTACATGCCATAGGTTTCACTTGCAGACTCAAGTTATATTGCTTTTAACTCAGTTAAGTGTGCTTTTATTATTTCTGTGATTGTGGCTACTTCTAGAATTTTTTTCTTTTCCGCAGTTCAATATTTCTACTATCATTTATTTATCATTTTTTTTTCTTTTTTTGAGACAGAGTCTCTCTCTGTCACCCAAGCTGGAGTGCAGAGGTGTGATCTCGGCTCACTGCAACCTCTGCCTCCCGGGTTCAAGCGATTCTCCTGCTTCAGCCTCCCAAGTAGCTGGCATTACAGGTGCCCACCACCATGCCTGGCTTACCTTTTTTTCTATTTTTAGTAGAGATAGGGTTTCACCATGTTGGCCTGGCTGGTCTCAAACTCTTGACCTCTGGTGATCCTCCTGCCTTGGCCTCCCAAAGTGCTGGGATTACAGGTGTGAGCCACCATGCCCAGCATCTTATTGTCTTTGACATTAGTTTTGCCCCTTTTCCTTTTTCTTGTTGAAGGGCATACGCGTTTGTTTTCCTGATCACTGATTTCACTTTTGCAGGGTTGATTATAAACAATACAGCTTTAATTCTTCTCTTGCACTTTTCATTTTCTAAAATTCTCTACTTACTTTGGTCAACTCACTCTCCATTTTTGACTTGATCTCACACTCTCTCTTTTCCTTATGATTTTCTGCTTCTCCCTCATGGCATCGTTCTTGAACTTGTCAAGGAAGTTGTTTCTAAGACCTTGCCCTGGTTCCTACTGAAAACTGTACTTAGAGATATTTTTAAACTTTGTGTTTTAGGAAACTTAATGAAGTGATGCCTTTCTGTCTACAAACAGTAAGATCTGTCTGGGACATTTCCCTGCTTTTAGATAATATTTGAGGAATGTCCTTGGTTTTTCTTATAACTGCCTTAGGTGATGACCCAACTTTTAACTCAGATCTGGAGAAGAATATGGGTTGATTTCATAAATCAAAGAAGTAATTCTACTTTTTAGTAGATTTGCATCTAATGTGACTAACATGAGATCTTAAATGCTGTTAGAATTGAGTCGTTGGTTTAATTAGATCCCAGGCAGGACTGTAAACTAGTTCAACCATTGTGGAAGTCAGTTTGGTGATTCCTCAGGGATCTAGAACTAGAAATACCATTTGACCCAGTAATCACATTACTGAGTACATACCCAAAGGATTATGAATTATGCTGCTATAAAGACACATGCACACATATGTTTATTGTGGCACTATTCACAATAGCAAAGACTTGGAACCAAGCCAAATGTCCAACAACGATAGATTGGATTAAGAAAATGTGGCACATATACACCATGGAATACTATGCAGCCATAAAAAATGATTAGTTCATGTCCTTTGTAGGGACATGGATGGAGCTAGAAACCATTATTCTCAGCAAACTATTGCAAGGACAAAAAACCGAACACCGCATGTTCTCACTCATAGGTGGGAACTGAACAATGAGAACACATGGACACAGGAAGGGGAACATCACACACCGGGGCCTGTTGTGGAGTAGGGGGAGGGGGGAGGGATAGCATTAGGAGATATACCTAATGTTAAATGACGAGTTAATGGGTGCAGCACACCAACATGGCACATGTATACATATGTAACAAACCTGCACGTTGTGCACACGTACCCTAAAACTTAAAATGTAATTAAAAAAAAAAGAAAAAAAAAAGAAAGAATTGAGTCATTGGATTGGATCCAGGAAGAGCTGCTGCTGCTAGAGAATTGGGTGCTCCAGAGAATCAGCTACAGTCCTTGTGTTCTTTTGGGTAATGCACTGGTCCTTATCTTTCCCTATGTGCTTACGTCTGCTCTCACCTATATAACTTTTTTGCATGCACATTTCAGGAAGCAAGATATTACTGCCTATTACACTCTATTTGGCTCATGTTATAGAAGCTGTAGTGTCCCAAAGGATTAAAAATATAGGAAATGGAGATAACAATGGAGGTGGGCGATGAGAGGGCATGGTTTCGCCCTCCTGAGGAGAGAGTCCTCATGAGGTTGGGTCCCTGTTTTCGGATTAGAGTTTCATTTTAAAGTTATTGGCTAGTCCTCAAAAGCTCAACTTCACAAAAATCACGTCCATCTTGAAGTGGTTTAACTGATACAAAGATAGGTTTTTCTCAAGATATTTCATAAAATAAAAATTAGGAAATAAATATATTTCTATTAAGATAGAAAATTAAATTCCCCAGTGCCCCATGTGACTGTTTTTCTGGATTGTTTTGATTTAAGGACATATTAGAGTGGAAACTGTCATGCGCCACATGGGTTGGCCTTCCAACCAGATGTCCTTTCCCCAGGTCTGGCAGCTTTGGCTGCCAGAGAGTTCACAGCCAAATTTCTACCTAAGAATAGACCTTGGCTGAAGGGAACTGCCTTGGTGGAGGCTATTCTCTCTCCCCTGCAGCAGACAGCTTCCAGTGGTTGACTAAGCTGGGAACAAACGCCAAGGTCACTCTTCCCCATTCAGAACATTTCTGAAAGGCCTACCCCAGCTTCAGAGCCCTTGAAGGATCAGCTGAAGTTGTTGCTCTGACTGCATCGCAGCTCAATTTTTGCCTCACTCCATCATGCTTCCCTCCCTTGAGTGTTGTTCTCAAGAGCGTCTTCCTGCTAACTTCCTATATTAAAATCTTTTTTCTTCCAGATTCTGTGTTTCAAGAATGCAACCTGAGACAATAGTTGTGTTGCATTTTTTTTTTTTTTTTTTTTTTTTGAGACGAAGTCTCGCTCTGTCGCCCAGGCTGGAGTGCAGTGGTGCAATCAAGGCTCACTGCAAGCTCCGCCTCCCGGGTTCACGCCATTCTCCTGCCTCAGCCTCCCGAGTAGCTGGGACTACAGGCACCCACCACCACACCCGGCTAATTTTTTGTATTTTTAGTAGAGACAGGGTTTCACCATGTTAGCCAGGATGGTCTCGATCTCCTGACCTCATGATCCGCCCGCCTTGGCCTCCCAAAGTGCTGGGATTACAGGCATGACCCACCGCACCCGGCCTGCATTTTCCATGTCAGATTGTATTAGTCCGTTTTCATGCTGCTGATAAGGACATACCCAAGCCTGAGCAATTTACAAAAGAAAGAGTTTTAATGGACTTACAGCCACTCACGTGGCTGGGGAGGCCTCACAATCATGGTGGAAGGTGAAAGGCACGTCTTACATTATGGCAGGCAAGAGAAGAGAGCTTATACAGGGAAACTCCCCCCTTATAAAACCATCAGGTCTGGTGAGACTTATTCACTATCATGAGAACAGCACAGGAAAGTCCTGCCTCAGTGATTCAATTACCTCCCTTCAAGTCCTTCCTGCAACACATGGAAATTCAAGATGAGATTTGGGTGGAGACACAGCAAAACCATATCACAGGTCAACCCGTTGCTCTTCTCTGCCCTGCTCTGCTCTCACAGGCTCATCTCTAAAAGAAGCATCTTTTGGGCTCCCATGCTTTCTGGTTTCCTGTTGTCTTCAGCCCTCCCTAAAAACCAACAGGAGATCAGAGGGTGGGAGGAGAGTGGGACCGTGGTATTTACAAATTTCCCATCTTCTTTTTTTCCTCATGGTTCTGGAAGTTGCTGGGTCAAGACTTTGTCTGCCTCTTTTTCATGGCTCTGGGCCTTGGGTTAGTAGTGGCTTCCTGTTGTTACTGGTTCAGCACAACTCTGCCTACAGCTCTGTAAATACTCATCCCATTAAGATTTTCTTCAGTTACAACCTTTTATATGTGCCAGCTGTTTCCTGCTAGGCCCTTGACTGATGGTATTTTGCAAAATTCAGTGTTAACTTACTGGTTCTAATTTCTATCATCAGGCATTCAATGATACAACATTAAAAAACTAACAGGTAGCACTCATTCTCTTGTGCAAAAAGCAGAAAAATGTTTTTGAAACTAGTTTACTACTAGCATAATAATTTATTCAAGAATCCTGGGCATGAGAAAGCTCCAATGGAGCATTCCGATCTGGCGAAGGATGACAAAACGTTTTACAGGGTGTAGGTGGAGGGGTCAGCTGAAGTTCTGCTAGTTTTGGGAGTAGTTGGTCAAAGATAATTCTTTTGAAGTAGAAACAATTTTTCTTAGATTTGAAGCTATTGTTTGCACAATTTGGAGTTTATCAAAAGGAGTGAAGAAGAACAATTTGGGTAAGGTGATAGGATAGAGGGGTTGAAGGGGAGCGGCTATGAGGGACAAGGTGATAAGAGAGGCATAATGAAATATTCTCAGCCTTTTAGTATGTCTTAGAGAGAGAACAGACTTTATCCTCAGATGGGTAAAATCATAACCAGAATAATTTAAGGCTTATGAATATGTAAGGAAATGAACATAGAGTTTTAAAAAGTTTAAACTTTTTAGAGGAAGAAATGCCAAATACAAAAATGGGATTAAAATAAACCAGCACAGGGAGTGGTTGGTGCATGCCTGTATTCCCAGCTACTTGGGAGGCCAAGGCACGATGTTTGCTCAGGCCCAAGAGTTCATGTGCAGCCTGGGCAACATAGCAAGACCCCATCTTAAAAAATATATAAATAAAATAAGCAATAAAACACGTGAATTGTTAACAAAATAAATAAAACAATCCAGGATGCCTTTGAGACATTTGCATTAATTTTTCAAAGTGAATGTAATGTGTCTGGTTGAAGTGAATGTGTCTTGGAAAAAAAATGAAGAGAGATTGAGGTAGAGTTTGCCTAAATTTGCTATTGCAATTTAAATTAAATTAGAGAGCCCAAGAAAATACCTAACACAATTTCTGAGCTGCAAATAGTGAGTTTCTAATATTCATTTCTCCTTTTCTCCTTCTTAGGTTACTTTGTTATTTGCTATTAGCTTTTCATGGAGAAGGTACATTGAGTAAGAGAAAAGGCCAGGAAGCCACTGTTCCAGAAAAAGGCAAAAGCAATACAAGTCCCAGGAAAGTGCAGCAGTTTATACTAATTCTTTCTCCTTCTCCACTCACCTCATTACGCTGCACAAACTGCATGCTAAAAAGTTTGATGCCGAGCAGTCTAAAATCGACTATGTGCAAGAGAAAGGGTCATTTACATGTAAATGGTTTTAGTGGGTGTTGCAAATTTGCAGCCTTCAACTCAATACTCACTTGTGCTAGTGGAATCTATGATGGTTGCTCTACCATTAGAGATTTGGTTGACTGAGGTGGGAGCTGCCTTTCATTTTTACATGTTTATGTATTATAACAGTTAATAATTTCTGTTCTAAAGCAACTACACTCAGTTTTTCCCACTGTGATTCCTTTTTTGCTGTCTTTACAGTTAATGTGGAATAGTATTTTCTTTTTCATAAAGCCAAGCATATGTTGATTATTTCATTTGTTTTATAGATTGTCAGAGTATGGTATCTAACGGGGACTGTTTACAATCTCATGAAAATAAAACAACAGCATCAACAAAACCACCACCAACAAAATAAAATCTCATGAAAACAAACTGAAAAGGGCACTATTTTCATGGAAAAAATAGAACAAATAGACAGTTTTAGTTTTAGGAGTTCATAAATCCTTTTTAGAAATCCTTTCATTACTTGTCTGATGAAATGTCTACAATGGAAAGTGTGAAAGTAAGAGTAGTAACAATCGCATATAGCTTCCTGTTTCCTGATTTACTAACTTACTTATGCGATTAATATCCTGTAGGATTCCTGCTCAAACAACCTTTCCTTTCGTGATTGTTTTCTCACCTGTTCTTGTGCTTGTTTTCTTTCTGTCTGCCTTTGTTGTATTACATGCCTTCACTCCTTCTCATCTCATTCATCTGCAATCACCGATTTTCTGTTTTTAAATTGGCCCCATAATGTCACTTGCTGTATATAAATTCTTTAGTAGTTTTTCTTAGTTTTGGGGACAAAAGACAAGCAATAAGATTGGACCCAGATGGTAAAGGGTCAGCCTAATTCTGAAATCTCATATTTTTCACTTCTACATTAACATTCTTTGCTCCAATTACAGTGGAAAGTCCCTTAATTGTATTCTGCTGATTTACACCATATTGTAGGAAAACATGCTGTTTCGTTATCCTGGAATTTTTTTCCTACCTACAAATAGTTTACTCCTATTTCCTCTTTAAAATGCAACTTAAACATTTTTTCTCTTAGAAGTTAATAAATCCCCATGTGTCATGGGAGGGGCCGGTGGAGATAATTGAATCATGGGTGCAGTTTCCCCTATCCTGTTCTCATGATAGTGAGTTTGATCTCACGAGATCTGATGGTTTTATAAGGGGCTACTCCCTTCACTGGGCACTCGTTCTTCTCCCTGCCGCCATGTGAAGAAGGACATGTTTACTTTTCTTTCCACCATAATTGTAAGTTTACTGAGATCTCCCCAGCCCTGCTGAACTGTGAGTCAATTAAACCTCTTTCCTTTATAAATTACCTGGTCTTTGGTATGTCTTTATTAGCAGCATGAGAACAAACTAATACAGATGCCCTTCCTAATCCACAAGTCTAGTTTGTATGCTCCTTCTCTTTGCATGCCCTCATTCACTTAACAAGTATTTATTTAGTGCTTATTATGGATTGTGCCCTGAGTTAGGCACTGAATGTATTGTGGAACAACATAAATGAAGCTCTCAGCCTTATCTGTTACATTTAATGTTTTTTCATTTCTTTGTTTGTCTTTTACTGTAGTCTTAAATTCTATCGGGAAAAGGTAATGTTTTATTCAACTTTGCCTTGCTAGAACCTAGCCAATAACATGACGTATATAATACATGTTCAGTAAATATTTGTGGAGGGCAAGAATTAATGAAGGAGGAAACTAAGAATGCGAGGTTATGGGGAAATGAAATTTCCCCCCCAAAAATGAAAAACAAAATGGGCTGTATTAGTTTGCTAGGGCTGCCAAAACAGAGGATCATAGACTGGGTGGGTTAAATAACATAAATTAATTTTCCCACACTTCTGGAGGCTAGAAATTTGAGATCAAGGGGTTAGCAGGCTTGTTTCTTCTGAGGCCTCTTAACGTTGCCTTGTAGATGTCAATGTTCTCCACGTGTCTTCATGTCGTCCTCCCTCTGTGTGTATCTGTGTCTTAATCTCCTTTTCTTATAAGGTCCTCAGTTATATTGAATTAGGGCCCCACCCTTAGGACCTAATTTTAACTAAATTACCACTTTAAAGACCCTATCTGTCTCCAAATACAGTCACATTTTGAGGTGTTGAGGGTTAGAACTTCTACATATTAATTTTAGGGGGGCAAAATTCAGTCCATAACACCTCCTAACCCAAAAGATCCTCTCCAAAAAAAAAAAGAAGAAAAAAGTTTCATTATTGAATGAGCATTAAATCAGAATGTGAGTCACATCACAAGCAATCTGCTAAAGAGATTGCAAAAACAGAAATTTTACCCTTTTACATTGCAGACAGATATTTACAAATCCAATCTGTTACATACATTGTCTCAAGATAAACGATAACTAGCCATCAAGTAAGAGGAGTTGACTGCTCCAGTTCATGTTCCTGATAATTTCACTTAGTAATTGGGGTAACCATCCAGGTTTGATAATTACTTTTATGTAAAAAACACAATTGTCATATTTTTATGACAGAAGGTAGTTTTGCAAGCTGAATCAAGGCTTCTAGCCTCCCACAGAAACAGGGAGATAAATACTCTATCTTCCTTGATGATTACATTACAAAAAGATCTAGATCTCGAGAAAAATATTTCTTTTTTTTAAAAAAAAAATTATTTCCATAAGTTTTTGGGGAACAGGTGGTATTTGGTTACATGAGTAAGTTCTTTAGTGGTGATTTGTGAGATTTTGGTCCACCCATCACTCAAACAGTATATACTGAACCCTATTTGTAGTCTTTTATCCATCACCCCTTTCCCACCCTTTCCCCCTGACACCCCAAAGTCCATTGTGTCATTCTTATGCCTTTGCATCCTCATAGCTTAGCTCTCACTTATAAGTGAGAGCATACAATGTTGAGTTTTCCACTCCTGAGTTACTTCACTCAGAATAATAGTCTCCAGGCCGGGCGCAGTGGCTCATGCCTGTAATCCCAGCACTTTGGGAGGCTGAGGTGGGCAGATTACCTGATGTCGGGAGTTTGAGACCAGCCTGGCCAACATGGTGAAACCCTGTCTCTACTAAAAATACGAAAATTAGCCAGGCATGGTGGCAGACACCTGTAATCCCAGGTACTCGGGAGGCTGAGGCAGGAGAATTGCTTGAACCCAGAAGGTGGAGGTTGCAGTGAATGAAGATCATGCCACTGCATTCCAGCGTGGGCGATAGAGCAAGACTCTGTCTCAAATAATAATAATAATAATAATAATAATAATAGTCTCCATCCCATCCAGGTCATTATGAATGCCATTAATTCATTCCTTTTTATGGCTGAGTAGTAGTCCATCATATATATATATATGTACCACAGTTTCTTTATCCACTTGTTGATTGATGGGCATTTGAGTTGGTTCCATATTTTTGCAAATGCGAATTGTGCTGCTACAAACGTGTGTGCAAGTATCTTTCTAGTATAATGACTTCTTTTCCTCTGGGTAGATACCCAGTAATGGGACTGCTGGATCAAGTGGTAGTTCTACTTTTAGTTCTTTAAGGAATCTCCACATTGTTTTCCACAGTGGTTGTGCTAGTTACATTCCCACCAGCAATGTAGAAATGTTCCCTGAGAGAAATACTCCTTTGTGGTAAAACTGGCAAAAGGCATATTTTAAAGAAATCGTTTTAGAAAGAATTTCATAAATCTCAAAGGGTCAGAAACAGAAATTACAATTTTCACAAAGTTTTCTAAAACAAAAGCTGAAATAAAAGGATGGGGGGGTAGCAAGGAGTCCCTTCCATTATTTTAAAAAGGTAAAGTTAAGCCTCTTATTTTTAATTTGTATTTACCCTTAGAAAGACAAAAAGGAGAAGATGTAGTACAGCAGGTATTTCAGCTCCTCTCTGAGGTGATACTCCCCACGGAACATTCACACACAGCACATTCCACAGCTGTGCCTGGGGCTGTGTCCAAATCCACCATGCCCATTTCAACTCCATCCTTCCTGTCACTACTGCTCAGAAAGCACATTAGAATTCAAGCTGATGAAAGTACAGTTCATCCATTCTAACTTATAATAATGTTAGTCATGTACAAACATTCATAATCTAACTATTAATAGCAAGAATTTACTTGCCATCTATGCCTATTTACACCATAGCAGAGCCACTAGAAAAATGACAGAATAAAAGGAGGAAAAGAAGACATAGTGTTTACCATTAAAAATTACCTTAACATCTGGATTATTAACCCCTTCTTTCCTGTAAAAACAAGATGAAGCAAAATCAGAAATTATGTATATAAATGACCACATTGATAAGGGACATGTGCAACAGCAGCTGCCTCAGAAGCAATTGAATTTCTCCTACCTTCCACTCTCCAAAGTCATGCTACTTTAGTCACAGTAACAAAGAATGTCAATGTCTGGATACATACTTTTTATCCCCCTAGAACCAGGTTACTTGTGCAAACACAGTAAAGACATTTACAAAATGATATAAATTATGCATAGAAGAATAGCAAGAAATGCAGAAAGTGTGACGGTCAGTGCTTGATGTGATTATGGTCAATTTTCTCTGGAATACTTTTTGTTTCTAAGTTTTTAAAAATAGAATGTATAATAATTATAATCATAATTATATTAACACTAGAAAATTGCTAATTCCATGATTTTCTAGGTCATTCCCCCTAATTTTGTGCTGAGAAAAATATGTACACATAAATTTATCTCCATTCCAGTGCCTGCTCTCTGTTAGCAACATGAAATGTTCAGTTGTGAAGAGAAACTGCTGAAGAGAGTAAAATAGTCAACAGGTTTCTACTTATTCTTTATGATTTCCACCATGATCTTGAAGACAGTCTTATTTAAAGCTGGCACTTTATCTTATAATAAATAAGATAGCATTTGGACTCATGTGTCTGAATTTTGTCATTTTCCATGTAGCTACGTGGTAGTATTAGACCACAGAGTTTTAATTACATATTTTATCTGAGATGCAAAAATGAAGTGCATTTTTATGCATTCTTTTAGAAAGAACTATGTAAATCTTGATGCCTTTGAGGTTCTTTAAAGTTATTTATGCTTACCCCTACCCACATCCTCCTGGCCCTGCAGCCTTCTCCCATTGCTTTGCTGGCATGAACTTGCTCATAGCTCCCCCACCACTTTGCTGGAGTGTGTATGGATGGACCACACTGCACTGCCCCCAAAGGCAGGCATGTGCGCTCACCCCACCATGTTGCTGCTGAGAGCACAAGCACACATGGACACCACTGCCCCACCTTCACCTGTGCCCTGCCCTCACCAATGCACATATATCCTGCCATGCTGCTGTTGCTGCTGGCCTGTGTGTGCAAGTGTCTACCCTGCTGCCATGGCACTAATGAAGTGCTTTGGTTGGCACTGCTTCACTGGAGTCTTGTTGCCAATGGACCTGGAACACTTTGGCTTCTCCAATGCAGTGGGTTCCTAATCTCAAGGGGTCAGAGAACCAAGCTGTGTGCCTGGTTCCAGCCCCCTAGGGCTAGAGCATGAGTCCAGAAGCTCTAAGTTGAGTGTTGGCCACCTGAAATCTTACAGAAACAAAGCTAGGTGATTGAACCTACCTTATACCACAGTCAAACTGTCAATGAGATCAAGGAATGTAAAAGCAAATAAATTTATCCAAGGAGAGCAGCTTCAAAGATTAAAGTAACATCAGCCCACACAAATGAGAAACAACCTGTGCAAGAACTCTGGCAACTCAAAAAGCCAGAGAGTCTTCTTACCTCCAAATGACCGTACTAGTTCACCAGCAGCTGTTCTTAACCAGTCTGAAAAAAGACTCTGGATAAGAACGAAGATCGTTGAGACTCAGTAGAAAATCAAAACCTAATGCAAGGAATCTAAGGAATTCAATACAACCATACAAGAAAAAGAACAAAATCTGACAGGCATGGTGGCTCATACCTGTAATTCCAGCACTTTGGGAGGCTGAGGAGGGTGGATCACTTGAGGCCAGGAGTTCAATACTGGCCTGGCCAACATAGTGGAACCCTGTTTCTACTAAAAGTACAAAAATTAGCCAGGTGTGGTGGTGAGAGCCCGTAATCCCAGCTACTCAGGAGACTGACGCAGGAGAATCACTTGAACTCAGGAGCGAAGATTGCAGCAGTGAGCCGAGATTGTGCCACTGCAGTCCAGCCTGGGTGACACAGCTAGACTCTCTCTCAAATAAAGAATGAACAAAACCTGAGAAATATGGGATTATATAAAGAGACCAAACCTATGACTCACTGGTGTCCCTGAAAGAGAAGGAAAGAGCAAGCAACTTGGAAAACAAGTTTGAGGATATTGTCCATGAAAATTTCCCCAAAGTCCCTAGAGAGGTCAATACTTAAACTCAGAAAATTCAGAGAATTCCTGTGAGATACTACACAAGACGATCATCCCCACATAGTCATCAGGTTCTCCAAGGTCAATGTGAATAAAAAAATATTAAAGGCAGCTAGAGAAAAGGGGCAGGTCACCTACAAAGAGAACACCATTGGGCTAACAGCAGACCCTTCAGCAGAAACGCTACCAGCCAGAAAAGATTGAGCAGCAATATTTAGGATCCTTAAAGAAAACAAATTCCAACCAAGAATTTTATATCCAGCCAAACTAAGCTTCATAAGCAAAAGAAAAATAAGATCCTTTTCAGACAAGTAAATGCTAAGGGAATACATTACCGCCAGACCTATCTTACAAGAGATCCTTAAAGAAGTGCTAAACATGGAAAGGAAAGATCATTGCCAGCCACCACAAAAACACACTTAAGCATACAGACCACTGACAGTATAAAACAACTACAAGATCAAGCTTGCATAAAAACCAGTTAACAACATGATGACAGGACCAAATCTGCCCATATCAATATTATCCTTGAACATAAATGGGTGAAATGCCCCACTGAAAAGGCATAGAGGCATGTTGAATAAAGAAGAAAGACCTGACTGTGTGCTGTTTTCAGGAGACCCCATGTCACATGCAATGACACCCATAGGATCAAAGAAAAGGGATAGATAAAAATATACTAAGCAAACTGAAAATACAAAAGGAGTTGCTATTCTGATTTCAGACAAAACAGACTTTAAACCAACAACAACAACAATAATAATAATAATAAAAGGCATTACATAATGAAAAAGGGTACAATTCAGCAAGACTTAACTATCCTAAATATATATGCATCCAACACTGGATCACCCAGATTCATAAAACGCATTCCTAGAGATCTACAAACAGACTTAGATAACCACACAATAATAGTGGGAGACTTCAACACCCCACTGATAGTATTAGACAGATCATCAAAGCAGAAAACTAAAACAATATTCAGGACCTGAACTCAACACTTGACCAAATGAACCTAACAGACATCTAAAGAACACTCCTTTCAACAACAGAATATAGTATGAGAATATTCTTCTCATCTGCACACAGCACATACTCTAAAATCAACCACACAATTGGCCATAAAACAATTCTCAAAAAATTAAAAAAACTGAAATCATACCAACCATACTCTCAAACCACAGTGCATTAAAAATAAAAATCAATACTGAGAAGATCTCTCAAAACCAAACAATTACATGGAAACTAAACAATGTTCTCCTGGATGACTTTTGGATAGACAATGAAATAAAGGTATTATTCAAGAAATTCATTGAAACTAATGAAAACAGAAGATACAGCATACTAGGATCTCTGGGAAACAGCAAAGGCCTATTTATTTATTTATTTGAGACAGGGTCTTGTTTTGTTGCCCAGGCTGGTCTCAAACTTACAGACTCGAGCAATCTGCCCACCTCAACCTCCCAAAGTGCTGGGATTACAGGCATAAATCACTTTTTCCAGCTTAAAGCATTGTTAAGAGGAAAGTTTACAGCACTAAACACCATATCAAAAAGTTAGAAAGATTTCAAATCAACAACCTAATATCACATCTAGAGGAACTAAAAAACAAAAGCAAATCTTTGCAGGTAGCAGAAGATAAGAAATAACCAAAATCAGAGCTGAACTGAAGGAAACTGAGAGGTGGAAAATCATACAAAAGATCAACAAATCCAGGTTTGGTTCTTTGAAAGAATTACTAAGATAGATAGACTGCTAGCTGAACTAATAACAAAGGAGAAGCTCCAAATAAACACAATCAGAAATGACAAAGGGCACATTACCGTCTACCCCACAGAAATACCAGAAGCCCTCAGAGAGTATTGTAAACACCTCTATGCATGCAAGCTAGAAAACCTGGAAGAGATGGATACATTCTTGGAAACATACAACTGCCCAAGATTGAACCAGAAAGAAACTGAAACCCTAAACAGACCAATAATGATCTCCAAAATTGAATTAGTAATAAAAAGCCTATCAACAAGAAAAAGCCCTGGACCAGACAGATTCACAGCTGAATTCTACTGGATGTATGAGGAAGAGCTGGTACCAATCCTACTGACATTATTCAAAAAAATTGAGAAGGAGGGACTCCTCTAATTCATAGTTGAGGCCGGCTTTATTCCAAAACCAAAATCTGGCAGAGACACAACCAAAAAAGAAAACTTCAGGCTGATCTCTTTGATGAATATAGATGCAAAAGCCCTCAACAAAACACTAGCAAACTGTATCTAGCAGCACGTCAAAAAGTGACTCCATCATGATCAAGTAGGTTTTATTCCTGAGATGTAAGTTTGGCTCTTCCCTACATTCACAAATCAATAAATGTGATTCATCATATAAACAGAGCTATAAACAAAAAACACATGATCATCTCAATAGATAAGGAAAAGGCTGTAGATAAATTCAACATCCCTTCATGTTAAAAACCCTCAACAAACTAGATATCAAGGGAACATACCTCAAAGTAAGAAAAGCTATGACAAACCCACGGCCAACATTATACCGAATGGCCAAAGCCGGAAGCATTCCCCCTGAAACTGGAGCAAGACCAGGATGGCCACTCTCACCACTCCTCTTTAACATAGTACTGGAAGTTGTAGCCAGAGCAGTCGCGCAAGAGAAAGAGATGAAATGTATCCAAATAGGAAGACAGGAAGTGAAACTATCTCTGTTTGCAGACAACATGATTTTATACCTAGAAAATCCCAGTCTCTGCCCAAAGACACCTAAATCTGATAAACAGCTTCAGCAAAGTTCATACAAAATCAATGCGCAAAAATTAGTAGCATTTCTATACACCAACAACATTCAAGCTGAGTGCCAAATCAAGAACACAATCCCGTTCACAACAGCCACAAGAATAATAAAATACCTTGGAATACAGCTAACCAGGGCAGTGAAAGATCTCTACAACAGCTGAAAATAAAAATAAAAATCAGAGACTATAAAAGGAATGGAAAAGCATTCCATGCTCATGAATAGGAAGAATCAATATTGTTAAAATGGCCATACTGCCCAAAGCAATTTACAGATTCAATGCTATTCTTATCAAACTACCAATAATATTTTCAAAGAATTAGAAAAAAATTATTCTAAAATTTACATGGAACCAAAAAAGAGCCCAAATAACCAATACAATCCTAAGAAAAAGAGAAAAGCTGGATGTATCACATTACTCAACTTCAAATTGTACTGCCAGGTTACAGTAACCAGAACAGCTTGGTACTGGTACAAAAACAGGCACATAGACCAACGGAACAGAATGGAGAGTCCAGAAATAAAGACACACACTTACAACCATCTGATCTTCAACAAAATTGACAAAAAAACAAGCAGTAGGGAAAGGACTTTCTATTCAATAAATGGTGCTGGAATAACTGGGTAGCCATTGGCAGAACACTGAAACTGGACCCCTTACTTCTACCATGTTCAAAAATCAACTCAAGATGGATTAAAGACTTAAGTGTAAACCCTAAAACTGTAAAAACTCATGAAGAAAACTTAAAAAATATCATTCTGGACATAGCCCCTGGGAACAATTTTATGACAAAGATGCTATATGAGTCAGGGTTTTCTAAAGGGACAGAACTAATAGGATAGATGTACAGATAAAGTGGAGTTTATTAAGAAATGTTGACTCACACGATCACAAGGTGAGGTCCCACAATAGGCTGTCTGCAAACTGAGGAGCAAGGAAGCCAGTCTGAGTCCCAAAACCTCAAAAGCAGGGAAGCTGACAGTGCAGCCTGCAGTCTTTGGTTGAAGGTCCAAGAGTCCCAAAGCTGAAGAACCTGGAGTCTGATGTTTGAGGGCAGGAAGAATCCAGCATGGGAGAAAGATGGAGACCAGAAGACTAAGCCAGTCCAGTCTTTTCATGTTCTTCTGCCTGCCTTTATTCTGGCTGCAGCTGGCAGCTGATTAGATGGTGCCCACCCAGATTGAGGGTGCATCTGCCTCTCACAGTCCACTCACTCAAATGTTAATCTCCTTTGGCAACACCCTCACAAACACACCCAGGAATAATACTTTGCATCCTTCAGTCCAATCAAGTTGACACCCAATATTAACCATCACAGATGCTAAAAGCAGTTGTAACAAAATGAAAATTGACAAATGGGACCTAATTAAACTAAGGAGCTTCTGCACAGCAAAAGAAACTATCAACAGAGTAAACAGACAACTTACAGAATGGGAGAAAATATTTGTAGACTATGCATCTGACAAAGGTCTAATATCCAGCATATATAAGGAAATTTATCAAATTAACAAGCAAAAACCAAACAACCCCATTAAAAAGTGGGCAAAGGACATGAACAGACACTTCAAAAAAAGACATACACATGGCTAACAAACACATGAAAAAATGCTCAGCATCACTAATCATTAGGGAAATGCAAAGCAAAAACACAATGAGATACTATCTCACATCAATCCGTATGGCTATTATTAAGTCAAAAAAACAGATGCCAGTGATATTGCAGAGAAAAGAGAGTGCTTCTATTCTGCTGGTGAAAATGTAAATAAGTTTCAGCATTGTGTAAAGCGGTTTGGAGATTTCTCAAATAACTCAAAGCAGAATCGCCATGCAAACCACGAACCCCATTACTGGGTATGCACCCAGAGGAATGTTAATCATTCTACCATAAAGATAGATGCACTTGTATGTTCATTGTAGCACTATTCACAATAGCAAAGACATGGAATCAACCTAAATGCCCATCAGTAGACTGGATAAAGAAGATGTGGCACATATACACCGTAGAATACTAAGCAGCAATAAAAAAGAATGAGATCATGTACTTTGTAGCAACATGGATGGAGCTGGAGGCCACTATCCTCAGTGAACCAACACAGGAATGGTATATCAAATATCACATGTTTTCACTTATAAGTGGGAGCTAAACCTTGAGTACATATGGACACAAAGAAGGGAACAACAGACACCAGGTCCTACTTGACGGTAGAGGGATGAAGGAGGGCAAGCGTCAAAAGACTATTGGGTCATATGCTTACTTCCTGGGTGGCAAAATGATCTGTACACTAAACCTCTGTGGCATGCATTTTACCCGTATAACAAATTTGCCCATATCACTGTGAATCAACAATAACAGTTTATTAAAAATAAATCTAAAATAACATTTATTAAAAATAAATAAATGGAAATAAAACTGCCCATTCTATAATCAAAGTTACTATGAAATTGTATTTTAACAGTATATGTGAAAATACATTAATAAACATAATAGCACTCTACAAATGTGCAAGTCTTTCATGTTGGTGAGAGCTCACTATATTCTGAGAAAAATCTGAGTAAAAGAGAAATTGTTTTCTTCCTTTCTTTCATCCTTCCACAACTACTCATTGAGTGATGAATCTGGAACAGGTATAACTATAGGCACTTAGCATATAACAGCAAACAAGTTCAATGAAGTCCTTGTTCTCAAGGCTAATAACTGCAACAAAAACACTACATAATAATAAACCAAGCTAAATCTCTCTTGAGCCAAATTAATAGTTTAATGGTCACTTACAACTTAAAAACTAATTTAATTTTAATTTTGTCAAAAATGGATTAAAGAGTCAGTTATCAAAAAATGTCATCTATCATGGCTTTTAACTGATATTTCAAATGGTAACTTAGGGAGTTCAGTAACTGATGCTGAATGAATTCCATTATGGTTCTTATGTCCGATAGTTCTATATTTTATTTTCCTTAAAAAAAAGCTAATTAGTACAAATTAACTAATAATAATAATCAGAAAGTTTAATATTAAGCCATTTAGGGATCATAAATGCAGATCCCATTTCCCACCCTACATGTGCAACATTTGTTTGTCCAGAATAGAGAATATTAGCATTTGATTCAAACTTATAAAATTATCTTGATGACTTTATAACAGAATGCAATTAACTAAATAACTAAAGAAACCTTTTCTGTAGAGAAATTGTTGAAGGGGAGAGTAGTGAGAAAACTAGTAGGCCAATTTGTCCCTTTTAGTGTTATCATGGGTAAAACATAAAAAAATAATGAAGCCAATGGAAAAGAAACAATTTAAATCAAGTAAAAAGATTTTCAGAATAATGTTATTGCAACATTAGTAGGAAGAAATTTACATTTTGTTTGGCAACTTGAAGTAAGCTATTATATAGGATTTCATTAAAATTCGAGAAAATTACTCACAGTCTAAATGTATTTGTAATATTAACTCTAACATTGTCTTTATCTATAAACCCATAAGATCCACATGTAAGTTCATATAAATATGAATGTTTATAAATCTTTAAAATAAATATCGTAAATAAGCATGAAGCAAAAGCCCTTGTAATCTTTGCTGTTATTTCTTGATAGTCATCTATCCATCTGCTTTCTCTATGATCTGAAGAATTCCACTTGAAAGAAGATCAAATTAATTGAGTTCACCTTTCCTCTAACGTGTTTATATTCTTCTTCCAGGATCACTTCACAAAATTTACTTTTAAGCTAGCCCCACATTTTAGAAATGACCTTGATTTTATTGCATGTCTCTAAAGACATTTATCTTTTCTCAGATAGGAGATAAAATAGCTTTTTGTGGGAAGATATGAATGGCCCTAGTTCAGAGTAGGTGTTTTCTAGGGTAATTTGCGTCTCTTCGGTTTCTGTCTTCTCCAAACTTACATTCAATTATATGCATTCTGATGATTAATTACTATAATAATAACCTTCTATGTGCTTTTTATATGCATGTTCATTACATAAATCATTATTAGTTGAATATTAATATTCAACTAATATTGTTTTCATTTGACATTACTGTATATCAGGATTTTTATTTTACTATTTCACTGTAATTCTTTTTTTTATTAACTACTGTGCATAAATTATTATAAATGGTTAAAGAAAAAAGATGAACAAAACACTAAGACCTTGGAAGAGGCCGGGCGGGCGCAGTGGCTCACTCCTATAGTCCCAGCACTTTGGGAGGCTGAGGTGGGTGGATCATTTGAGGTCAGGAGTTCAAGACCAGCCTGGCCAACACGGTGAAATCCCTTCTCTACTAAAAATACAAAAAAAAATTAGCTGGGCATAGTGGCAGTTACCTGTAATCCCACTTACTCGGGAGGCTGAGGCACAAGAATCGCTTGAACCTGGGAGGCGGAGGTTGCAGTGAGCCAAGATCGCCACTGCACTCCAGCCTGGGCGATAGAGCGACTCAGTCCAAAAAAAAACCTTGGAAGAGTTATCAAAGTAGTAAAGTACAGAAAACTCATTACCAAATAAACACAACAAAAAAGCTGAAATGATATTTCTTCTACTTCAAGTGAATTAAGAACTAAAAGAAGAGTTCCCCAATATCAATTTTCGCTTAAATCTGCAAAGTGGAAAAACTAAAAAATATATTAATTTTATTTTAACTACTAATTTTAGGTTTCACATTACCTGATCTTTAGATGACTTATTGGTGAAGTTTTAAAACTATAAGATTTTATTTTTTCTCATTCCAGCATTAAAAAATTGAGAAATTTGAGAATACAGATGTAAAAAGAGAAAGATCAAAGTGTAGAGGGACCATATAAACAAGAGATGGGATTAGTAGTATCACACATTTAAGGATTTTGTGTGGAAAACATAGTTCTTCATTTAATAATAAGTTTCTGCCAAGTCAGTTATTTAACACATAACTTGTAATGGATTCTGCATGGTGTCAGTTTGGATAAGCTGAAACAACAACACCCAGAATCCTCCTCTCTGTACAGTTCCAGGCTAGAGTTGGCCAAATGAAAATGTTTTACGGGATTTTTAAGGCAGAAGTGATGCAACAACCATTGCTTTCTGAGGGTCAACATGTTAGTTGTGGTGAGAGACAGATGCAGAGGTACCCACAAATTCCATCTTGTCCTGGTTCTTTCTGTCTCCAAGTCCAGTTTTTCTTCTACTAGCTCTGGGTAGAAAGAATATCCTAGATCACCACCCAACACAGAGTCAGTCACCTTCCATGGACTTTCTTACCAGCTCTAATCTATGCAGTCTCGCTGTGGCAACAGGATGTGCTTATTTTGACATATTTCCTTGTAGACTCTGACTTATCTATGCCTACCAATGTTTCAGGAAGGCTGGTTAGTGACCTCTGCCTAATTCTCCAATGCTCCCTTAAGACCTTTATTTCCTAGCTTTTAAAAAAATTGTATAAGATTTTATTCCTATAATAAATCCTTTATTTCATAATGCTCATAATAGTTTTGTTTTTTGATTAATCCCTAAATGATATTTCTAGAGGTTGCAGAGGAGCAGAAACTTAACAATGGGAATCTGGAATTGGTTGTGTGATCTGATTGGTTAAAATGACTTTGTTGACAATATCAAAGCAAACATGGTATTTCACGGTATGTGGTGGAAAAAGGCTTACTTAAATTAACCCAGAGTCACCTGTAATCAAATGTCGACAGAAGACAAGATTTTGGTTGACTATGTAGGTGCTTCCATAGGACTTTTTAGTGGACATAAGAACTATAATGTTTTGTAGGTGATTTCTAAGAGGAACCAACTTGGAGAAAGAAAATTTAAGTTCCGGATCAAGGTATAAGCAAAAGGTCAGAGCTTCTGTAACTGCCCTAAAAGAAACCTTATTTCCTATAATTACAGGATCAAGGTTTCTGGAAACCAAATCCAAAGTCTAATACTTCATTTGGCTGAATAATAAAATGAATTCTATCTTTACTCTCACAGAGTATCTTAGGTTAAAGTTAGGGCATTGGTTGTGAAGGAGTGGGATCACTGAAAATTAGAATGATAACATTTGAGCAGATTTTTAGGAAGCTGGGAAAATTGAATCATAAATTCTGCCAAGACTCCTAGGTCTCTAAAAGAGCACTGTTCTCTCCTGGAAGTTAGTGTCCCTTAGCTTGTAGACATTGTGATGGTTTCCTGTGAAGTAGTTGTCTTGCAAAGACTGATGATTCCTCTCAAGATCTGCCTTCCCCACAGTACAGAGCTCCTAAGGGAAGCCCATAGGTGGAAAGCTCCATTCTCATGCAAAACTCCATCAGCTCTTTTTGTTCTACTTTTATCTATGACTTGACAGTTCAGACTCAATGGTCATCTTAAGAAACCTTCTATGTGAAACAAACAAGTTATAATAAAATCACTAACCAAAAACCAACAAAAATGAAAACAATTTGAAAAAATATAGAGAAAGAGAGTGAAGAAACAGAAAGAAATGTAATAGTATCCCTGAAACAAGAACACAGTACTATACAAAAAGCAGTCAGAGAATAAGAAAGAGCCCATGGGAATTAAATATATAATGCAGAAACTAAAAAGTGAGTAAAACATTCAAAGGGTAAAATATCCTACAAAATAGGTTAAAAGGCAGATATAAAAACTAGGAGCA
The DNA here is from genome assembly GCF_000001405.40 of Homo sapiens. NCBI lineage: Eukaryota > Metazoa > Chordata > Mammalia > Primates > Hominidae > Homo > Homo sapiens. The sequence goes on along the minus strand of NC_000006.12, from coordinate 152,904,437 downwards.
AGAGGATAAGAAAACTAGAGGATTTGTATGGTAGGACCAACATCCATATACTAGGAAACTGAAAAGAAAGAATGAAGAAAACAAAAGGGAGAAAATTGTCAAAACATCATTTCCTGCTCCTGAATGACCTATGTCTCCATACCAAAGATGTTCACAAGAGGTGCTGTGAGAAATAAATGGAAACAAAATCCACATAGTATATTATTGAGAGATTTCAGAATATTTGGAATAAGAAGATTCTAACCACTTCCAAAATTGAAAAACATAGCTTAAAAGGATCAAGAAACAAAATGTAATTGAATTTCTCGTTAGTAACATTTCAAGATGATGAAACAAAGTCCATGGTTCTTTACCAGGAATCTACTGGAAAATGCACTCCACTAAAATGGGAGGACATCTAAAGAGGACAAAAGAGACATAAAATACATAAGAGACATGCAGGGAGACATGTGGGAGACCCACGATTGTGGTCAGAAAGCTCTCAGGTTGATGACCCATGCAGCACCCAGCAGCCAGGCAGTCCATATTGGACCAGGTCAGGAGACTCTGGGAAGTTGTCTCCAGGGGATAAAATTAATAGAATCTATGTAACAGGTTTCAACTTAATGAAAAAGGAGTTATACAAATAAGGAGCATGAGGGAGACGAATTAGAAACGTAATAAACAAAGGAAACAAGTAATGCAAGACTGCAGGGAGAAAACAATTATGCAAATCACCATTGTGTACTGTGTGGCTTAGTACTGAATATAAAACCACAAAGATAATGTAACAATACTGGGGAAATGGAGAAATGAGTGTGCTTATGGGTTTGGTAGGGGTAGAGAAAAAGAAGTAAGTCTCTGTTTCCATACTGCCAAATCCATAGATTATGCCTAAAACTGAAAATTCAGAGTGTGGCAGTTTAAGTAGGTTATATAGAGATAAAGAACTAAAAGAGTTAAAATAGTTGCCTGGAGGATGGAATGGAGGCAAGAGGTGTGGAAAGAAGCTATGTTTTTCTAAGTAAGTCATGTACAACGATTTGACTCATTAAATATATATGATTTTGTAGAACTGTTTGACTGAATACGTGCATGTATAACTGACAAAATATTTTAAAATTAAAAACTACACAATTTATTCATAAATGATTAAACATATCTGATCATACCTAAGTGAGATTTGGGAAGATTAACACAAGCTAAGAAAAATAAGTGAATAATTGTGACTGAATATGCCATAGTCCATATAAGTTCATCTAAATGTTACTCAACTTAAACTCAGTAGTTTGAGTGAATCATTAATGATGCATAGATGACAGTAGAAAAGGAAGAACCTGTTTTAAAAGTGATTGATTCATTTCTTTTTCCCGATTATGCAGGAAATAACTTCTCCAGATGTCGTTGTTTTCTGTAGTCAGATGAGGTGCTTCCCTTGACATCTTGTCGCCCAGGAAAATCTTTCTTGTGATCCTCCAGGTTGAAGCTGGATATTCCCAGTACTCTAGGTGTGCTAATTTCACCACATTCTTGGACATTATTCTTCCTTTCCAATCAAAGTGTGGTGTTTGTGGCCAGTCGTTGTAACCCCTTTTTTTCTTGTCTCCATAAATGTTGACCAGCTTGAAAGCCTAACGTCAAAACATAATGAGTGTAATCAAGTGGAGGAAAGAAAAGCTATTTGAAAGTGGTTATTTCTTCCCCACCTAATGTATAGGTTCTTGTGAAAATGTTCTTTCTGTTATTTTTAAGACTGCCTAAGACTGCAATAGTTTCCTCATTGAACAAGCTGTAAAGAATGAGTACATCCAGATCAGGGTCAATCTGGTCTTCAAAGACCTCCTAGTTTATGTGATTAACTTCAGCCAAAAGAGAAATTATATAGTTATGTGACATCTGAAAGTCACTTTGGTAAAACTCGGTACGTGGTGACCTAGAAACGTTTAGACTTTGTCAGATAGGAGTAATTGTGACAATGTAGATCCTTTTTTTTTTTTTTCTTTGTGGTCAATACTCACTGGATCAAAATAGCTATTACCCTCTGTGCTTCTGTCTGCCTGGCTTCTTTCATTTAATCAGATGCCCCTTGAGTAACTTCATTCTCCCACCAACCCCCCTTCAGCTTTGTTTCCTAGAGAGATATTCTTTTTAATCCAAGATTGTGATGGTATCTATTCTGTTCTTCCATTTGGCAATGGAGGAAACAAAGGGAGTGTTAATGGAGACGCGGCTTTGCATAATTCCCACAGAATGACTTGTAAATATGATGTTTACTATAGTAACACAGTTGAATTAGGATTTATAGTCCCTTTTTCCGAGATATGTTAAAATAATACATGGAAAATGCTAAAATTAGACAAGTGCATCCATTTCAGACATTAGTTTCTTAATAAGCAGCACATATTTAACAGTTTCGGCCCTGCACGAATAAGGTGAAAGAATCTTTTCTTCATTAGCTCTGTCTTCCTTTTATTTACCATTACTTCTTACTATATATACAAATACATATAGTAAGTATATTTCTTACAATATATACTAAGATATATTATATAATATATATTTGCTAGAAAGAGAACAGAGATTGTGGATTGTAACTTTCCTTGAACAACTCTGACATTCTTATCTCCATTACCAAGTAGGAAATCCTTACAAAGTTATATTTGTTGTCTCCAGAGGCCCTGGTTATAATAATTTCCATTGTGATATCTAACTAGTCCATTCATTGAGGTAAAATCCCAAGCCTCTTTCTAAATAGAATTATAGTCTAGACTGATATCTCACAAACAGAACAATTCATTTACTAAAGAGCTTTCTGAGAATAAAGAACTTTTTGTTACATCATAGGCTTGGCTATTATTTGTCTCACTAACTTCATCTTTGTTTCTGTTACCTATAGGTTTAATGATGATTTGGGAGTTTTTTGTTGGGGAAATGAGTCTCATGGGACTCTTTGAAGTAGGGTAAGAAAATTGCTTTTCTGTTTCCTAAGCCTGGTCAGAAGGAAAGAATGAGAATGAATTAATAAGTTGGAAATATTCTATTTTTTACTATTCCAATTAAACATTTATAAAATATTTGGAATAATAAAAGACTTTATTCCATCTACATATGAACAATTTGGACTGATGATGATAATGTAATGATTTGCTTGATTTATTTCCTGTGTATCAGTTTTTTAACAAAAAGACAATGAAAATGCTTTTGTCGTGGTACTTGGTGCAAACAACTTATGCAAAAGTTATCAGGTGACAGTCTCATGAATACGAACATTATGAATATAGAACATGTCATAAGCAAGGGTCAGCTTTGGGAAAGGAACCATAATATAATTTACATTGTGTTGAATGAAAGAGTTCTTTGAATTTTATTCCGTAGTCCATGATGTTCTAGGAAGCCTTTCTTTTCTTTTTTATTTTCTTTTCATTTCTTTCTTTCTTCTTTTTTTTTTACATCATTGAAATAGGGATGTTAAGAATGTGCTTTTCAACTTAATTCCAGCACAATGTTCTATTAATTTAAATGGTACCAGTGGAGTGTACATTTTGTTGTCATGTGGATTCTGGGAAGTCTATGGAAGATGTAATTCAGGAATCCAAACTTCTAAGAAGCTTCTCAATGGCATTTCCATGAGGCATATGACTTTTACTTTATTCAAACACTGATAGAAAAGTTAATAATCCAGCAGCATATCAAAAAACCTAATTAACCACAATCAAGTAGGCATTATCCCTGGGATGCAAGATTGGTTCAACATATGCAAATCAATAAATGTGATTTATAACGTAAACAGAACTAAAAACAAAAACCACATGATCATCTCAATAGATGCAGAAAAGGCTTTTGATAAAATTTAACATCCCTTCATGTTAAAAACCTTCAACAAACTAGGCATTTAAGGAACATACTTCAAAATAATAAGAGCCATCTATAACAAACCCACAGACAACATCATACTGAACAGGCAAAAGCTGGAAGCATTCCTTTTGAAACTGGAATAAGACAAGGATGCCTACTCTCACCACTCCTATTCAATGTAGTATTGGAGGGCCTAGGCAGAGCAATTTGGCAAGAGAAAGAAATAAAAAGCATCCAAATAGAAAGAGAGGAAGTCAAACTATCTCTGCAGACAGCATGATTTTATACTTAGAAAACCCCTAATGAGTCTCTGCACATAAGCTCTTACATCTAATAAACCACTTCAGCAAAGTTTCAGGGCACAAAAAACCTGTGTACAGAAAACAGTAGCATTTCCATACACCAACAACATTCAAGATGAGTGCCAAATCAAGAATGCAATCCTATTTACAATAGCCACACACACAAAAAATAATTTATGTAGGAATACAGCTAACTAGGGAGGTGAAAGATCTCTACTTTGATTTTTTTTTTTTTAATATCATGCACCTACTATATCCAGGTCCTGCACTAGTATGTTTGAAGCGATAAGAACTTCCACCCTCAAGGATTTAGGATTTTCAGTGTTTTAGGATATTGACATGTTGTCCAAATTTACCTATTCTACAAACTAAATGCAATAAAATTGATTAAGATGCATCCCAGAGGCTCAGGAGAGAAAGCCCCCTGAGAATGCCGAGGATGCTTTGAAATTTGCAAAGCCTCACAGAGACAAATGATTAACTTTTTTTTTTTTTTTGAGATGGAGATTTGCTCTTGTTGCCCAGGCTGGAGTGTAGTGGCATGATTTTGGCTCACTGCAACCTCCGCCTCCTGGGTTCAAGAGATTCTCCTGCCTCAGCCTCCCAAGTAGCTGGGATTACAGGCATGCACCACCATGCCTGGCTATTTTTTTTATATTTTTAGTAGAGATGGGGTTTCACCACGTTGGCCAAGCTGGTCTCAAACTCCTGACCTCAGGTGATCCGCCTGCCTTGGACTCCCAAAGTGCTGGGATCACAGGTGTGAGCCACTGCGCCTGGCCAACAGAGATGAATTTGAGATGGTTCTTGGGGGATGCACTTTCTTTTCACTATGAAAATGCTGTTAATGATGGTGTCGGTACAGTGTGTGCTATGAAGTCGGGAAGAGCTCCAAGTGTACACACAGTGAGACCTGGTTATCAGAGAAAAGATTGTGAGTAAATAGAATTCCCACTGCTTCCCCACTTTACCCAGTGTCCATGTCTGAAGGCTCTAGGCCACCTTCTTCTTGGCCTCCTTCTCAACCTTTCTCTCCTCCTTGGCTGAGGTGTCCTGGTATTACTGGTACCGGGACACCAGGTTGTTCATGTTGCTCTCAGCCTTGGTGAACTCCATCTAGTCCATGCTCTTGCCCATGTGCCAGTGCAGAAAGGCTTTGCACCGAAACATGACCACTCAGAGATGTGCTTGAACAGCTCCTGGATGGCCACGCTGTTGATGTTGAAGGTGGCAGACATTTATAGCCCCAAGAGTGGGATGTCACAGACAGCTGTTTTCACATAGTTGGGGATTCACTCAACAAAGTAGCTGCTGTTCTTGTTTTGGACATTAAGCATTTGCTCATCCAACTCCTTCATGGACATGTAGTCCGTGAACACTGTGGCCACCTTTAGGTAGTGGCCATGGCAGGGGTCTCAGGGAACCATCATGTTCTTGGCATCAACCATCTGCTGGGTGAGCTCAGGCACTATGAGGGCCTGGTAGTGCTGGCTGCTGTGGATGGTCAGCAGGGTGAAGACAGGCATAAAGAAGTGCAGGTAGGGAATGGGACCATGTACATAGCCAGCTTCTGCAGGTCAGCATTGAGCTGGTTGGGGAAGCCTAGGCAGGTAGTGACCCCACTTATGGCGGCAGACACCAAGTGGTTCAAGTCACCATAGGTGGGTGTGGTCAGCTTTAGGGTTCTGAAGCAGACGTTATGGAGAGTTTCATTATCAATGCAATAGGTCATATCTGTGTTTTCTACCAGTTGGTGGACTGAGAAGGTGATGTTTTAGGGCTCCACCCCCATGTCTGACACCTTGCGTAAGGGCACACTGAACTTGTTCAAGATCCTGTCTGGATACTTCTCTGGGATCTTGCTGATGAGAGGGGTACCCCTCTTAGGCCCAGTCCCTGCTCCTAGGGAGTGGGTCAGCTGGAAATCCTGCAGGCAGTCACAGCTCTCAGCCTCCCTCCTCACAATGTCCAGTACCGAATCCACCAGCTCCGCACCTTCTGCGTAGTGCCCATTGGCCCAGTTGTTTCCGGCACCACTCTGATGGAAGATGAAGTTGTCCAGCCGTAAGATCTGCACGAAGGAGCCTGAGCACACCAGAGTCCCCGGTGCTGGGCTCCAGATCCATGAGCTCAGCGTGGGGCACATACTTGCCACCTGTGGTCTCATTGCAGTACACACTGATGCACTCCAGCTGCAGGTTGCTATCCGCATGCTAAGTGCCAGTAGGCTCGATGGCATGCTCATCACTGATCACCCCGTAGAACTAGTTGCCAAACTCACCAGCCTGCAGGTGCACGATCTCCCTCAAGGTGGCAGCAGTGAGGATAGAGGCGGCAGGATAGTCACAGGAGCAGAGGCTCAGGCGTGCAGAGTGCTGGAATCCACTTTATATCTGGAGAGAACGATATACAATTTATAAACTGACCTTTTAAATTCAGATCTGATATCCTATATATGTTGATGTGTTAATATTATTTGCCATCAAAATAACGGCAAAACTGCAATTACTTTTGCACCAATCTAAAATAACTTGGGAAAACCTTTAGATCACTCTTTTTTGTTTATGAATAAATAATATTATTTTGCTACTTTATATGGGGATAAAATATACCTTAGTAATAAGAGACTTTTTTCCCCACAATACATCATCTTCATCTCCCTAAAGCCAAACTGTTTTACCAACTTCATTATGATTTGAATTGAGAGTTTATTTGTCGTGTAAGGTCAGGCAATTCCTGTCTTCACTTGCTGTTGGACAGATGCATATAGGAAAAGGCATTATAATTATTAATGAAGTGAAAGTCGTAATTATAGAAAGACAGTCCTGAAGTAGTCTTCTGTATGGGAGTCCAACATGTCACATGAATCTTCATTTAGAGTGACAAAATTATAATAGATTTTGGAAATTTTAATTTTCTTGTGCAGGCAATTTCGAATTAGCTGTTCTCTTTGTCTTTATTAGCTATATAGAGTTTCAAATAAAATCATGTACATACTATAACTTTTAAATCACAGGACAGTTTAACTCGACCTGAGAAATGACATGGATCTATACATACCTTCATTGCTTATGTATGAAACGAAACGAAGTTAATCCTCTGAAAAAGGAACTTCCCAGTGGCTTTGGTTCAATTTTCCTTTAATGATGATTCATGTAGTTTCAGAGCTCCAAAGGTCACTAAAGGTTGTGTCTGTGCAAATTTGAGAAGTCTGCCAGCTCAGAAGATAACCTGAGGCAGTTCTGTCATCCTCTTGTGTTATCAAAGGGTCTGCAAATCTGTAAACATGAAGCTTCATATTCCCCAAAATAATTTCTTCAAGGAGCAACAAGAAAACAGTAGTTGGAAAGATAAAATCCAAAATAATATTGACAATTAAAAATATATATAGATAGATGATTTCAGTAAATTAAAACAAAAGGGGAGTAAGCTCTTCATTAAACTTTTGGTATTTTTTTCTGATACAGAGTATGAACACTCAACTTGTTTTTACTTTGAAGAAATAGGACTTCTACGTCTGTGTGTGTGTACGCGCATGCATGTGTGCACACTTGCTCACGCGTGTGCGTCTGTGTGGTGCGGTTTTGTAAAATCACCCAGATAATTCTAAGGCATTTCTGTCTTTCCCCTACCTCCCCATAATCATTGATAGAATGTCTCATTTTCCTTTAAAGACAAGTTTGGAATATTGCAGAGGGTGAAAACATAAGCCCACAATATGGGCATGCTAGAATGAAAAAGCTCTTTTAGTTTACTATATTTGTAAGTAAAAATTTAACCGTGTTATCAGGGTTAAACTATAGGCAGTTTCTAACTAAAAATAACCAAACTCAAATAAAAAATAGTAACATTTATGTGTAATAATTAATATCTATTTCAATTATAAAATTTATACCTGTAGAACTCTACTATAAAGTAATATACACACTACTTTCCACAGCAATAAATAAAATGGATTGCATATTTCAGTGTCTCATAAGTGCATAATATCAAAAATTTCACTTATAGCCCTCTGTTCTCATTTTTTTCCTGATCTTGTCTTTTGTTGAATTAAAAAATGCATCATTTCTGTAATTTGGGGGCTATTTTTGCCCTTCACAAAATGATTATGTTGGATTTGTTTTGGAGGGTTGTTTGTGCTTTCCTTTTAAATTGGCTCTAGATGATTTTCAGTGAGGCAAGTACCAGGGTATCCTACTCTTACCCTACTCTTCCATTGGTGGGAGTTGATTCTGTTGCTTTAACTGTTATTGTTAATGTATTTTACAAGGCATCTCCTTTTGCCTTAGTTCTTCTGCTACTTGCCCTCTGATTTTTAAATAACTCTGTGATCTCCAGCACACCAGAGGGATAAGACATATTCCCCTAATGGTAGTGGTTCATCATGGCCCTGGTTCTGAGTCATGCCACTGTCATAAGCACATCAGATCATACAGGTACATATGTGTGGTGTGTGTGTGTGTTTATGCACGTGTGTGGTGTGTGGTGTGGTTTTATAAAACCATCCAGACAATTCTGAGGCATTTCTGTCTTTCTCCCACCTCCCCATAATCATTGACATAATGTCTCATTTTTCTTTAAAGGTGAGAATTTCCTTGGCTAATCCATAAGTCTTCTTTTAACATTTGAGGACATGATTCTCCTCTTTTACAATTCTTTATGGTGCTGCTTTTTAGGGACTCTTTTTTCCCCCAGTTTTGGAAATCCTTTCTCTAATCTACAGTACTTCTATACAAGTAAGGGGAATTAGAAGCATGTATCTCAATTAATGTCCTTAGCATTAATATTGACAGACAAAACACAGGAAACCATAAAAGAACTCTGTAATTCCCCCATTGGCATTGAGTTTGCTATTCTAGAGGGTCATAGAAAAGGTTTTCCTCCGTGGAACCAGAGTTCTCATTGGTATGTTGTGGTAACAATACAGAGCTACTAAACAGAAATTTGGTTACAGGAACAGCTTTATTGCCTTTGTCTTACATTTAAAAATAGACATTTAAATCATTTATTTTCTCCTTTTTGTTTTTTGGGCTTTTTTAACTCTTCAAAATATACTTCAAGGATTCTCATTGGTCTAATTTTCTACTTTACATGTTTGTTTACAATCTCTTGGAAGTCTTTCTGTTGTTGTTTGTTTGTTTGTTTGTTTGAGACAGAGTCTCCCTCTGTCGCCCAGGCTAGAGTGCAGTGGGGCAATCTTGGATCACTGCAATCTCTGCCTCCTGGATTCAAGTGATTCTTGAACTCTAGCTGGGACTATAGGCATGCGCCATTACACCCGGTTAATTTTTGTATTTTTAGTAGAGATGGGGTTTCACCATGTTAGCCAGGCTGGTCTTGAACTCTTTGCCTCAGGTGATCTGCCTGCCTCGGCCTCCCAAAGTTCTGGGATTACAGGTGTGAACCACTGCACCCAATCTGGAAATCTTTTCTAATTTTTCCACTAGTGTAAGGCATTGCTTAACAGATTTTTATCTTCTTTACCAAACTGTAAGCATATATAGAAGTGAACTAGATGTTACACATCCTTAACCTCTAACACTTAGCACTGTCTGGCATATGAATAAACAACTGAAGAAACTATATTCCCATTTTTCTTAGATTATTTGTTCTCTTGACTTGTATCCTAACTTTCGTATTAGTTTTTTTTTAACATATTTTAATAACTTCTACTCTTGTTCTTGGCAGTATATTATTACATGTCATATGAGATACAGATACATAGATATATATACACACATATCAATAAATGGATCTATACATATCTATATATGTCACATGCCATATGCTTTGGTTTAGACTGTATTGCAAAGTATCTTTGTCATTGTCACTCATCATGTCTCATATATTTGATGTTCTTAAGATTAGAACCATGGTGAAAAAATAACATAAGGGATATGTAGTCAGCCTTGGTTTACTTATATTTATTTCGTTAGCAGCACATTAAGTAAGAGGATGCTGCTTCCATGTTTCACATCAATATCTTTAGTTATCTTTGCAATGTTTCTGGTAGCCACTAATTTTCTATGGTCTTAAAGAGAAAATGATGGCCTTAGCAAAATATTTTTTTTTAAAGATCTAAACATTATGACTATTTTTTCCATTTTTTTCTTTTAGTGTGTTCTACAATTTCTCTTAAGTTTATCAAGCAGGCATTGTGTGCCTAGGTGAACTCCATCTGGTGTCTCATGTCATCTGCTATTATTTCTATATGGTTTAAGCCTCTATATTTCTTAACAATTAATTTTAAGAAATGTTATTGCTATTTCAGCTTCCTTGTATTAGTCATTTCACCTTTCTCTAGAGTCATAAAAAACTCCATCAGCGTTGGCTCAAGAAAAATAAATCACAATCAAAGTCGAAGTTCCCAAGTACAACCAAAATGAACGGAAAACAAAAACGTATGAGACGGTGCAGGCCATCAAATTCAGGTGTGGAGTCAGAGAACCCGTGTCTGAATCTTGGCCCTACTACTCAGGATGTGTCAACGTGGGGAAGTTACTTAACTGATGAACCTCCCTTTCCTCATCTTCCTTTAATAATGAACACGACTTTTCCCATTATGTAATAACCTTGTAAAGCTGCTTCCACTGGCTTGGCACTTACAAAATGCTTCAGTACAACTCAACACACAATTGTGTCATCACAGGGCCTGACCCTGGCAAGGTAAGGGGGAAAAGGAATGCCCCTGGCTTCAGAGAGTTCACAGTCTCATCCGGCTCCCACCCCACCTTTGACCCTTGCCTTCAAATCATGGTGCTTCCCAATAGATCACAAAGAATGCTGATGAGTGATGTTCTCCGGGTCTCATGTTTGAGAAAGTCTTGATGTGAGGTTGCAGATGAAGGTCTATGATTTGGAGAACATTCTATTAATAGCACTGTAAGCACAGATGGCCCAGAGTTCTTTTCAGGGACAGCTTTCTGAACCACATCCATGGCAGCTGGTTCACATGAGATGGTCTTTACCAGTGGAATAAGGAATCAGGTGGCCTGGCTCAATTTCAACTGGGAGGCACCCCGTGAAATTAGACACTGTTTAGCATATATTTGCTGGTTTGTGATACAGATTGTCTTGTGATTCTACAGCTCTTTCCTTACAAAAAAGCTTCACTTGCTTGCAGCTTAGCTAGATTACTATCCTGCTAGCTCCTACTTTCCTTCTACGTGATTAATTACATTTATATTTCAGATAAAGGTAAATTAAAACTAAAGATTAAAAGCAGAATTTGATTTAAAAATAGCGTGATGTGACATGAGACCATGGAATGAGCAAATACTCTACATGCTGCCAATGTTGTTTGGTTGAAGTTAGTATCATATTCAATATTGCTCTTTGTCAATAGTCACTAGGTGAAAAAAAAATTCAGACAGGGAGAAGGCTCAGTGATGTCTGTAAATGAGATTCTTCTGTTGAGCTGGAGTAAGAGAATGGACCTGCTTTGGTCTGAATGTGTCCCCTTGAAATTCTAATGCTCAAATGCTCAAATCCTAACCTCCAACCTGAAGGTATTAGGAGATGGGCCTTTGTAAGCTGATTAGGTCCTCCCAATGTGGATTGGGTGTCCAGAAACACCAAATCTACTGGCACTTTGATCTTGGACTTCCCAGCTTCCAGAACTGTTAAAAATACATTTCTGTTCTTTATAAGCCACTCAGTTTATGATATCTTGTTGCAGCAACTGGAGCACACTAAGACAGGGACAATGGGATTTTTACTATTTTAAGTATTGATATGCTGAAGAACTATTTTAAATACTATAATAAAACAAAACAACAGCAACAAGAAACTTTGCTGGCATTCTGTGCTGGAAATATCTTGTTTGCTGCAAGACTCACAGAACTTGCAAGCTAGCATTTCTTCTTGCCGTGAGATTTTTATGTTAACTGCTTGATCCACAGGCTTCTTTTCTTCCCAGTATCTGCCACAAGATTCCTACTGCAGGCTCTGTTTGTGACCTGTGATTGGTGGGGGCTGTGGTTGTTGTGGGCAGAGAAAAGGAGTCCTTGTTTATTGCTTTTTAAACTTGAATAATTTCCAGAATTACCTAGAAGAGCTTATAAAAATTCACATTTCTGTCTTAACCATTCTGATTTTCTAAGTCCAGTGTGAATCTTAGGAGTACATGTTTTTATAAAGCTTCTTAGGTGATTCTATTTAGGTTGGTGCAACAGTCATTACGGTTTTTACCTTTACTTTCTATAGCAAAACCCACAATTACTTTTGCACCAACCTAATATTAAAGAACCAGAATTAAAACCAGAAAAAGATATGCTTCTGGTCTTGCTTCTCATAACTAGATTCTGGCATTTTCATCTTGCCCCCATTCCTAGGAACCAAATCATGGGTAAGTTCGATTAGTGCCCACATCCTTTTTTTGACACACTGCCTAGAAAACTTTAAAACTGTGCCATTGGCCAGGCACAGTGGCACATGCCTGTAATCCCAGCACTTTGAAAGGCCAAGGTGGGCAGATCTCTGGAGGCCAGGAATTTGAGACCAGCCTGGCCAACATGGCAAAACCCTATCTCTACTAAAAATACAAAAATTAGCCAGGCATGGCAGCGCACACCTGTAATCCCAGCTATTCGGGAGGTTGAGGCAGGAGAATCGGGAGAGTCACTTGAACCCAGGAGGCAGAGGTTGCAGTGAGCTGAGACTGTGCCACTGCACTCCAGCCTGGGTGACAGAGTGAGACTCTGTCTCAAAAACACACACACACACACACACCGCAAAACTGTGTGATTTACTTTGTTATCTCCAATTGGCTTTTTCCCTATATTCTCACCTGGAAGAAAGTCCTAAACTTGAAATCCCAATACCCAGGGCAATATGGAGGGGACAGGACGCCTTGCTGCAGGTCTCTTTGGATATGCAATCTTGCCTGCTCCTGGGTTCCCTGGCACTGTCCTTGCTCTGTCTCCACCTGTCTGTCAGAATATCTAATTTTATTATATCGGATGTCCCTAACTTGAGCTTTCTGCACTCCCACCTGTTGCTTGACAAATCCTTGCAAATTTAGACAGGATAGTGATCAACTGCATCATGAGTTAAATAGATTTTTGCATTCACTCACTCCAGTCAATAAATCAGAAACCCTGGGAATTGGTCATAGGAATCTACATTTTTAAGAAGTAGGCAAGTCTTTCTGATACAATTACTGCTGGGCCACACTCTAAGAAAGAGAACCTAGAACTAGGTTAATTTCCCTAAGTTCAGTTCCTGTCTTGTGGGTAGATCTTATTTTAAGCCTTAACTCAGGTAAGCCTCATCCATCCTGTGACAGTTAACATGCCACCCATGTGTCTGTGTGATGAAATACACTGGCATTAAGTTAATCCAAATGTCACCTCTTCCAATTCTGATCTTCCCCACTTGAGATGTATCTTTCCCTCTCCTGGACTTTCATAGCTATTTGTTCATCTCTTTAGGTAGTCATCATATCTCATTGCCTTGCATAGCCATTTATCCAACTTAAAAGGCTGTGAGCTTCTTGAGGCAGGTCTAGGTCTGGGTTTTCTCTGTTTTCAGCCCTTGGCGCAGTGACACAGGCCTGGCACATAGTAGGTGACTAAAAATGCTTATTGAATAAGAGAGATATAGTGTGGACGCTGCATTTGGAACTGGAGGTATAAGAAAGTCATGTGATTTTCAGAGGTTTATTCTTTTCTTAGAAAGTAGTGATTTGAAAGCATTTTAAGACTTTCCTTGAAAATGTTAATTACAGAAAATTTTTCTAAAAAGAAGAATAATTGGTTGTAATGGGGAAAAGAGGGAATATTGCAAGGAGGACCATAAAAATGATAATGCTTAGTCTTTCTATCTAGTCACAACTTTGGTAGATTGTTTATAGATGGGACTTGGTGGACTGTTTATAAATAGGAATTATTTGGCCAACATGAGTTAGGCCACAACAAAACTATGTTTTTAAAAGCAGTGTGTGCAATACCTTACTCCCCATAGTATTTGCCTGTTTTTAGGTCAAAAGAAACTAAATCAGCTAGCTTCAGAAACTGACCCCTCAGAAACATTTTTTCAGAATATTTGAAACATTTTCTTTCAAGAGAGACCTTGACGTTGGACACTGTTTTTCCATTTCAATACACAGAGAACTGAGTTTTTTTTCCGAAGTGCTCAATAAAACTCCCTAACAAGCAAAAGACCTATTCATCTGACCATTTCTTCTACAATGCAGCTGATAACCAGGCTTGGACTGTTGGTGTTGTGTATTTCTTTTCCTTTTCATTAAGGAAAGGGACTAAAGGAAATAAGTTTGTGTTAGTTTCTTCATTTATTTCTCTTTCTCCTCTTGGCCATAAGAACAAAAAAGTTTTACAGTGTCACTCACAAAACGAGGTAGTAAAACTGAAGCCGCAGGCATCTGTTTTCAAAAAAATTAGCCAGTATCAGAAAATGTATAATAATTATTAGAAGCCCTAAAGTGTTCACCAATTGAAGAAGTGGGATGTTCGAGTTGATGCAACTCAATAGCAAGTTTCCAGTGGAAAAGTCCATTAAAAAAAGGATTTATGTACAAAGACCTGGATGTAAAGTGCAGTGTTAAGCTTTCAAAATAATAAACTCAGCCAATACAATCATTCCAGTCTTTCTGACAGACCTGGATGTAAAGTGCAGTGTTAAGATTTCAAAATAATAAACTCAGCCAATACAATCATTCCAGTCTTTCTGACAGTATTGCAATTCTCTCTCTTCTGTTAGTCAGGGTCCAATCAAGAAAGAAAAATCATACCAGTTAGTTTAACAGACTTTAATATGAAGAATTACCAATCACTTTTTAGGGAACTGAACATTTAAACAGGTAAAAGTAGTGATTCAAAGAGTGTTTTAGTGCTGCTATAACAAAATACATGAGACTGAATAGTTTATGAAAAACAGAAATTTATTCCTCACACTTCTGATGGCTAGGAAATCTAAGATCAAGGCATTGTCAGGTTGGGGTTTCTGGTGAGGGCTGCTCTCTGCTTCCAAGATGGAGCCTTGCTATGCATCCTCAGGAGAAGAGGAACATGGTGTCCTCACATGGAGGAAGGCAGAAAGGCAAATGAGCCGGAACAATGCATGAAGCCCCTTCTATAAGGGTCTTAATACCACTTATGATGGAGGAGCCCTCAAGATCTAATCACCTCTTAAAGGTTCCACCTCTTACTATCATCACATTGGCCATTAAGTTTCAACACCTGAATTTTGGAGAGGACACATTCAAATCATAGGGCAAAGGTGGTAACTGCAGGAAGCAGGTTTTCCCCTAGGGCTTGGGAAAAAGAAAAAAAGACTGGGATTATTAAATTTAGAAGTCAATAGAAGAGCGTGTAAAATTGGGATCTGGATTAATGAGGAGGAATGTTTGGGGCTACCAAGTAGCACCTCAGGAACTTGCAAGAGGGTACCCATGGAACCCGAGAAACTTAAGGCTATAATATAGATGAACAGAAATCTCTGTTCTTAAGATGCTCACAGTGTAGTGAGGAAGGCAATAACATATGCAGAGGTAATTTGGAAATTGCAAGGTATTGTATAAAAATAAATTTATGTTACAGTTATTTATAATAAATTTCAAACGTATTTATCATGAACATTCAAAAGAGATATTCTGGGAGCAGTCTGGATGTCATATCTTCTGCCCATTGTCAAACTGGTGTTAGACTATGGAACCTGATTTTTGCTTTGTAATATACAATAATCAATTATAAACCTATACACCACAATCAGTTTCTAAATTCATTTAATTAAAACCTAAACTTATTAAAAGTAACATAAATTTCAAAGTATGTGCCTCATCGATATTCATGGTTTGTTTATTATAGCCTAGCTTTCCTGGGTCAACTTCAGAAGGTTCTAGTGACTATTGAGCTTCTTGAGGGGGTTGGATAGGGTGGAGCCAAGAGAGGCGGGAATGTGTTGCTGTTGTCGTATTTTTTGAGAAATTTTTAAACACACAGAAACAGAGATTGAGTCATTAAATACAGGGAAGATAATGTAAACTAAGTGTTTTACTCATTTAGTGATTCTAACTTATTGTCTCATGGGCAAAAAATTGTTTATCACAAACTTCAAGAGTTAGAAAATAGTTCCTTAACAGTCCACAGATTACACATACTTTCGGGTGAAAAACGATTTCAGATAAGTCTTTCTCAGCTGTACTTAAAAACACAGGTGGCAAAATCAATATTTATATTTTGGTTGATTACAAGAGAACATGAAATTTAATTATGAAATAACGGGCACAGAGAATACTTCCTCTTGGTTTAGGATAACAATCTTTTCCTGTACAATTTCATCCCAGACATCAACTGATTTATGTAAATGCCAGATAAATATTCTGCATTTTTGTCAAAACGAAAATATTCTACAAATATCTGCAGAGAGGATCTCTCCCTGTAATTAGCTTCTCATTATGCAGTTCATCCCTCAATCCACTCAAATAGTCCTCTATGCTAATTGCACAATATTTCATTGTTATCAGAAAGTGCAAATAGCATCCTCATCATTTAACAGAAGTTGGTTCCTTAACACAGACCTTTTGTAAAATGAAGCACATTTTCTGGCACGTCTATGTTACAGAAAAATATTATTCATGACACTTGATAAAGACGGTAGAGAAGACTTCCCTACTACAAACGGGTTTTGTGGTAAGAGAGAGATCAGTCTCAACTCCAAATACAATAAAGACAAGTGGAGATTTCTAGCCAAGGAGTTGGGTTGGGGGGTGAGGTCGTCAAGCGGATAGAAAATTACTAAGAGGAAACATCAGGGGTGAGAATAATGCTCGCTAAGCCCACTTGCCAGGATGATTGCTGAAGGCAGGCCAGAGTGATAAGATACTGAGGGTGGGAGAAGTGGGGAATTCGATCAGATATCAAGGGTGGTGGATTTTTGCTAACCTGATCCAGCAGGATTCTTGCTAGAACTGGACTAAACCAGATGAACCCAAAAGCCCAAAAGTCTGACTTAGAGTTAGGTCAAGGAAGAGTCTTTGTCAATAGCACTTAAAATAGTTTTCAACTGATTTATTAAATTTCTTATAATTAAGACATGGGTAGGTATATTTTAAGTCACACTTTATATTAATGTGATATGTTACACAACAATTTGTCTTCTGAATAGCTCAGTATTTCTTTGGCTTTCTCACTTTTACATTTAAAACTATAAATGAATGGTATTAAAATTACTTGTGGCATTTAATGGCATGACTTATTAGGAATTATGAATTATAATGACAGTCTACACTTAAAATATTTAGGGTCTTTTTGCAATTATTCTCATCTGCCCAAGAGCAATTCTTATTAATAAACTAATAACAGTAATACTTAGAACAAACCTTTGAGTCTTTCCTGTGTGACAGATAATGTGTTAAAATCTTTACATGATTATTATTTTTTAGTTTTTATGATGTAACAGTTCATTTCAGCCATCACCATCAGACATGTATGCTGTTGCCATTTTTCTCCATTACACATAATACTGTGATTAAGAGCAGTTATGGCAGAATTGCTAGGAGAGAAGGCATGAACTTTTTTTTTTTTTTTTTGAGATGGAGTCTTGCTCTGTCTCTAGGCTGGAGTGCAGTGGCTAGACCTCAGCTCACTACAACCTCAGCCTCCCAGGTGGTATGAACTTTTTTTTTCTTTGTTATACTTTAAGTTCTAGGTTACATGTGCACAACGTGCAGGTTTTTTACATAGGTATACATGTGCCATGTTGGTTTGCTGCACCCGTTAACTCGTCATTTACATTAGATATTTCTCCTAATGCTATCCCTCCCCCTGCCCCCCACCCCATGACAGGCCCCTGTGTGTGATGTTCCCCTTCCTGTGTCCAAGTATTCTTGTTCAATTCCCACCTATGAGTGAGAACATGCGGTGTTTGGTTTTCTGTCCTTGTGATAGTTTGCTCAGAATGATGGTTTCCAGCTTCATCCATGTCCCTACAAAGGACATGAACTCATCCTTTTTTATGGCTGCATAGTATTCCATGGTGTATATATGCCACATTTTCTTAATCCAGTCTATCACTGATGGACATTTGGGTTGGTTCCAAGTCTTTGCTATTGTGAATAGTGCCGCAATAAACATACGTGTGCATGTGGCTGTGAATCGATTTGGTCCTGGACTTTTTTCTGATGGAAGGCTATTAATTATTGCCTCAATTTTAGAGTCTGTTATTGGTCTATTCAGAGATTCAACTTCTTCCTGGTTTAGTCTTGGGAGGGTGTTTGTGTCCAGGAATTTATCCATTTGTTGTAGATTTTCTAGTTTATTTGCGTAGAAGTGTTTATAGTATTCTCTGATGGTAGTTTGTATTTCTGTGGGATCGGTGGTGATATCCCCTTTATCATTTTTTATTGCATCTATTTGATTCTTCTCTCTTTTCTTCTTTATTAGTCTTGCTAGTGGTCTATCAATTTTGTTGATCTTTTCAAAAAACCAGCTCCTGGATTCATTGATTTTTTGAAGGGTTTTTTTGTGTCTCTATCTCCTTCAGTTCTGCTCTGATCTTAGTTATTTCTTGCCTTCTGCTAGCTTTTGAATGTGTTTGCTGTTGCTTCTCTAGTTCTTTTAATTGTGATGTTAGGGTGTCGATTTTAGATATTTCCTGCTTTCTCTTGTAGGCATTTAGTGCTATAAATTTCCCTCTACACACTGCTTTAAATGTGCCCGAGAGATTCTGGTACGTTGTGTCTTTGTTCTCATTGGTTTCAAAGAACATTTTTATTTCTGCCTTCATTTTGTTATTTACCCAGTAGTCACTCAGGAGCAGGTTGTTCAGTTCCCATGTAGTCGTGTGGTTTTGAGTGAGTTTCTTAATCCTGAGTTCTAATTTGATTGCACTGTGGTCTGAGAGACAGTTTGTTGTGATTTCTGTTCTTTTACATTTGCTGAGGAGTGCTTTACTTCCAATTATGTGGTCAATTTTGGAATAAGTGCAATGTGGTGCTGAGAAGAATGTATATTCTGTTGATTTGGGGTGGAGAGTTCTGTAGATGTCTATTAGGTCCGGTTGGTGCAGACTTGAGTTCAAGTCCTGGATATCCTTGTTAACCTTCTGTCTCATTGATCTGTCTAATATTGACAGTGGGTGTTAAAGTCTCCCATTATTATTGTGTGGGAGTCTAAGTCTCTTTGTGGGTCTCTAAGGATTTGCTTTATGAATCTGGGTGCTCCTGTATTGGGTGCATATATATATTTAGGATAGTTAGTCTTCTTGTTGGATTGATCCCTTTACCATTATGTAATGGCCTTGTCTCTTTTGATCTTTATTGGTTTAAATTCTGTTTTATCAGAGATTAGGACTGCAACCCCTGCTTTTTTTTGCTTTCCATTTGCTTGGTAGATCTTCCTCCATCCCTTTATTTTGAGCCTATGTGTGTCTCTGCACATGAGATGGGTCTCCTGGATACAGCACACTGATGGGTCTTGACTGTTTATCCAATTTGCCAGTTTGTGTCTTTTAATTGGGACATTTAGCCCATTTACACTTAAAGTTAATATTGTTATGTGTGAATTTGATCATGTCATTATGATGCTAGCTAGTTATTTTGCCCGTTAGTTGATGTGATTTCTTCCTAGCATCGATGGTCTTTACAATTTGGCATGTTTTTGCAATGGCTGGTACCGGTTGTTCCTTTCCATGTTTAGTGCTTCCTTCAGGAGCTCTTTTAAGGCAGGCCTGGTGGTGACAAAATCTCTCAGCATTTGCTTGTCTGTAAAGGATTTTATTTCTCCTTCACTTTTGAAGCTTAGTTTGGCTGGATATGAAATTATGGGTTGAAAATTCTTTTCTTTAAGAATGTTGAATATTGGCCCCCACTCTCTTCTGGCTTGTAGAGTTTCTGCTGAGAGATCTGCTGTTAGTCTGATGGGCTTCCCTTTGTGGGTAACCCGACCTTTCTCTCTGGCTGCCCTTAGCATTTTTTCCTTCATTTCAACCTTGGTGAATCTGACAATTATGTGTCTTGGGGTTGTTCTTCTTGAGGAGTATCTTTGTGTTGTTCTCTGTATTTCCTGAATTTGAATGTTGGCCTGCCTTGCTAGGTTGGGGAAGTTCTCCTGGATAATATCCTGACAAGTATTTTCCAACTTGGTTCCATTCTCCCTGTCACTTGCCAGTACACTAATAGAACATATATTTGGTCTTTTCACATAGTCCCATATTTCTTGGAGGCTCTGTTCGTTTCTTTTACTCTTTTTTCTCTAAACCTCTCCTCTTGCTTTATTTCATTAATTTGATCTTCAATTACTGATACCCTTTCTTCCACTTTATTGAATTGGTTATTGAAGCTTGTGCATGCATCCCATAGTTCTCATGCCATGGTTTTCAGCTCCATTAGGTCATTTAAGGTCTTCTCTACACTGTTTACTCTAGTTATCCATTTGTCTAATCTTTTTTCAAGGTTTTTAGCTTCCTTGTGATGGATTCTAATATCCTTCTTTAGCTTGGAAAAGTTTGTTATTACCGACCTTCTGAAGCCTACTTCTGTCAGCTCATCAAAGTCATTCTCTGTCCAGCTTTGTTCTGTTGCTGGCGAGGAGCTGTGATCCTTTGGAGGAGAAGAGGTGCTCTGGTTTTTAGAATTTTCAGCTTTCTCCTCTGGTTTCTCCCCATCTTTGTGGTTTTATCTACCTTTGGTCTTTGATGCTGGTGACCTGTGGGCTTTTGGTGTGGATGTCCTTTTTGTTGATGTTGATGCTATTCCTTTCTGTTTGTTAGTTTTCCTTCTAAGAGTCAGGTACCTCAGCTGCAGGTCCGTTGGAATTTGCTGGAGGTCCACTGTAGACCCTGTTTGCCTGGGTATCATCAGCAGAGGCTGCAGAACAGCAAATATTGCAGAACAGCAAATATTGCTGCCTGATCCTTCCTCTGGAAGCTTTGTCCCAGAGGGGCACCCACCTGTGTGAAGTGGCAGTTGGCCACTACTGGGAGGTGTCTCCCAGTTAGGCTACACAGGGGTCACAGACCCACTTAAGGAGGCAGTCTGTCCATTCTCTGAGTTCAAACGCCATGCTGGGAGAACCACTGCTCTCTTCAGAGCTGTCAGACAGGGACATTTAAGTCTGCAGAAGTTTCTGCTGCCTTTTGTTCAGCTATGCCCTGCCCCAGAGGTGGGCAGTAGGCCTTGCAGAACTGCAGTGGGCTCCACCCAGTTTGAGCTTCCCCGGCCACTTTGTTTACTTACTCAAGCCTCAGCCATGGTGGAGCCTGCTGCCTTGCAGGTCGACCTCAGACTGCTGGGCTAGCAGTGAGCAAGGCTGCATGGGCGTCGGACCTGCTGAGCCATGCACGGGATATAATCTCCTGGTGTGCCATTTGCTATGACTGTTGGAAAAGCACAGTATTTGGGTGGGAGTGTCCTGATTTTCCAGGTACACTCTGTCACGGCTTCCCTTGGCTAGGAAAGAGAAATCCTCCGACCCCTTGCACTTCCTGGGTGAGGCAATGCCCCACCCTGCTTTGGCTTGCCCTCCATGGGCTGCACTCACTGTCCAACCAGTCCCAATGAGATGAACCAGGTACCTCAGTTGGAAATGCAGAAATCACCATATAAAAGAGTTCCTATTTCTCCACAGCCTCACCAGCATCTGTTGTTTCTTGACTTTTTTATAATTGCCATTCTGACTGGTGTTAGATGGTATCTCATTGTGGTTTTGATTTTCATTTCTCTGATAATCAGAGATGTTGAGCTCTTTGTCACATTTGTTGTCCACGTAAATGTCTTCTTTTGGGAAGTGTCTGTTCATGTCCTTTGCTCACTTTGTAATGTCTTTTTTTTTTCTTGTAAATGTGTTTAAGTTCCTTGTAGATTCTGGATATTAGACCTTTGTCAGATGGATAGATTGCAAAAATTTTCTCCCATTCTGTAGGTTTTCTGTTCACTCTGATGATAGTTTCTTTTGCTGTGCAGAAGCTCTTTAGTTTAATTATATCCCATTTGTCAATTTTTGCTTTGGTTGCCATTGCTTTTGACATTTTCATCATGAAATCTTTGCCTGTGCCTATGTCCTGAATGGTATTGCCTAGATTGTCTTCTAGGGTTTTTACAATTTTAGGTTTTACCTTGAAAAAAGATTAGACAAATGGATAACTAGAGTCTTTAGTTATCCAAATGGATAATTAAGTCTTTAATCCATCTTGAGTTAATTTTTGTATAAGGTGTAAGGAAGGGATCTGGTTTCAATTTTCTGCGTGTGGCTGTCCAGTTCTTCCAGCACTGAAAAGGGAATCCTTTTGTCATTGCTTGTTTTTGTCAGGTTTGTTGAAGATCAGATGGTGTGGCTGTGCCATCTTATTTCTGAGATTTCTATTCTGTGCCATTGGGCCATGTATCTGTTTTTGTACCAGTAACATGCTGCTTTGGTTACTGGTTACTGTAGCCTTGTCGTATAATTTGAAGTCATGTAGTGTGATGCCTCCAGCTTTGTTCTTTTTGCTTAGGATTATCTTGTCTATAAGGTCTCTTTTTTGGTTCCATGTGAAATTTAAAGTTTTTTTTCTAATTCTGTGGAGAATATCAATGGTAGTTTAATGGGAATAGCATTGAATCTATAAATTACCTTGGGCAGTATGGCCATTTTCACAATATTGATTCTTCCTGTCCATGGGCATGGAATATTTTCCCATTCATTTGTGTCCTCTCTGATTTCCTTGAGCAGAGGTTTGTAGCTCTCCTTGAAGAGGTCCTTCACTTCCCTCGTTAGCTGTATTCCTAGGTATTTTATTCTCTTTGTAGCAATTGTGAATGGGAGTTAATTTATGATTTGGCTCTTTGCTTCTCTATTGTTGGTGTATAGGAATGCTTGTGATTTTGGCACATTAATTTTGTATCCTGAGACTGCTGAAGTTGCTTATCACCTTAAGAAGCTTTTGGGCTGAGATGATGAGGTTTTCTAGATGTAGGATTGTGTCATTGACAAACAGAGACAGTTTGACTTCCTCTCTTCCTATGTGAATATGCTTTATTTCTTTCTCCTGTTTGATTGCCCTGACCAGAACTTCTATTACTATGTTAAATAGGAGTGGTGAGAGAGTTCATCTTTGTCTTGTGCCAGTTTTCAAGGAGAATGCGTCCAGCTTTTGCCCATTCAGTATACTGGCTGTGGGTTTGCCATAAATGGCTCTTATTATTTTGAGGCATGTTCCATCAATACCTAGTTTATTGACAGTTTTTAACATGAAAGGATGTTTAATTTTATTGAAGGCCTTTTCTGTATCTAATGCAATAATCATGTGGTTTTTGTCTTTAGTTCTCTTTATGTGATGAATTACATTAATTGATTTGCACATGTTGAGCCAGCCTTGCATCCTGGGGATAAAGCTGACTTAATTGTGGTGGATAAACTTTTTGATATGCTGTTGTTGGATTCAGTTTGCCAGTATTTTATTGATGATTTTTGCATCAATGTTCATCAGGTATATTGGCCTGAATTTTTCTTTTTTTGCTGTATCTCTGCCAGGTTTTGATATCAGGATGATGCTGGCCTCATAAAGTGAATTAGGAATGAGTCCCTCCTTTTCAATTGTTTGGAATAGTTTCAAAAGAAATGGTACCAGCTCCTCTTTGTACCTCTGGTAGAATTCAGCTGTAAATCCATCTGATCCTGGGCTTTTTTTGTTTTTTTTGGTTGGAAGGTTATACATTACTGCTTCAATTTCAGACCTTATTATTGGCCTATTCAGAGATTCAACTTCTTCCTGGTTCAGTCCTGGGAGGGTGTATGTGTCCAGGAATTTATCCATTTCTTCTTGATTTTTTAGTTTATTTACATAGAGATGTTTATAGTGTTCTCTGATGGTTGTTTGTATTTTCTTGGGGTCAGTGGTGATATTCCCTTTATTATTTTTTGTTGTGTCTACTTGATTTTTCTCTCTTTTCTTCTTTATTAGTCTAGCTAATGGTCTATTTTATTTTATTTTTTCAAAAAAACCAGCTCCTGGATTCACTGATTTTTTGAACGGGTTTTCATGTCCTTATCTCCTTCAGTTCATCTCTGCTTTTGATTATTTCTTGGCCTCTGCTATCTTTGGGGTTTGTTTGCTCATGGCTCTCTAGTTCTTTTAGTTGTGATGTTAGGGTATCACTTTGAGATCTTTCTAGCTTTTTGATGTGGGCATTTAGTGCTATCAATTTCCCTCTTAACACTGCTTTAGCTGTATCCCAGAGATTCTGGTATATTGTCTCTTTGTTCTCATTGGTTTCAAAGAACTGGATTTCTGCCTTAATTTCATTATTTACCCAGGAGTCATTCAGAAGTAGATTGTTCAATGTCCATGTGGTTGTGTGGTTTTGAGTGCATTTCTTAATCTTGAATTCTAATTTGTTTGAGCTGTGGCCCAAGAGACTGTTTGTTATGGTTTCAGTTCTTTTGCATTTGCTACTTCCTCATACTTCTTGTTCAACCTGCCCTCATTTCCTCCAGCCACCATGACCCTTTACAATCCTTAGACAGGTCAATCATGCTTCCCCTTAGGGTATGTTTGTTATGTTTTCCACTCCTTTGGATTCTCTTGCCTCAGATAACTGCTTGGCTGACTCCCTCTCTAACTCAAGTCTTTGCTTAAATTTCACCTTTGCAAAGTGGCCTCTACTGACAATATTAATACTAAACTTTTACCATTTCCCCTTCCACCATCTTGCTGTCCTCCAATTCCAACCTTCCTTTCTATGGTAGGTCATGCTTTACTTCTTCTTTATTACCGGCACTAATTACCTTCTACAGCATATAATTTACTTATTATTGTGTTGTTTGTTGAATCTCAGCCTGCTCCCTCCAGAACACAATCTCCTTGGGTTTAGTATTTACATTTGTTTTGTTCCCTGATATATCCCAAGTATCTAGAATAAAGCCTAGACAATCATATGCACTCAGTAAATATTTGTGGAATGAATTAAAGTTCATCATCAAATTGAATTTTTAAGGGACTTATTGCTAGGAAATGCCAAAATCTAAAAAGAGAGTCTTGAGTGCTTATAATCAAAAGCAATCATCAGCTCTTCCAAGTATGCCAAAAGGAAGAAAGGTCCTAAAGCCATGCAGCCCCAGAAGAGAATCATCCCCCATCCCTCTGCCCCTGACTCCCCACTCCCCCACCCCCAGGGTCCCTTCAGGTGTGTCAAGAAAGTCTTCAGAGCAAGAACAACTGTAACCAACCAGATTGCCTCTGGGGGCCTCATTTTACTGTAGAGCAAGGAATCATTACCCTTCCTTCCCACGGGGATGAGTATCACAGACCAATCAGCACTCTGCGGCTCTTCCTCTTCTCTATTTTTCAAGGGAAGCTCTTATTATGATGAGGATATTGTTATCTTTGAAGGTGGTACTTTGAGTGTGTTGGGATGATAAGATTTCTCATTAATTGGGACCATTGACTACTTCTTGGGCCATGAGGAACCACAATTGGAACTAACCAAGAAGAATTCACGCCCCTAGAGCTCTTAAACTCAGCACAGAACCCAGAAACTGGACATGACTGTTGGTGTCTCCTTGAAAAGACAATAGTGTATTATTTATTTTCAATTGAGCATAGAATATTTGTATGGGACTACATGTATCATGTTTGGAATTGGATGTATGCAGAAAAAGAGAAAGTGTGTGGACCTGGGCACTGATGAGGATGGTTTGTATGGAACAATAATTATTAGTTTAAATTTTTAAAATGGAAACAAAACACAATCAGAAACATGTACAAATTATAATAGATTGATGGCATATTACAAAGAAAATAAACTCAAGTAACCAACACTTAGATCAGGAATGAATACAGGCAGCATTTCAGAAGCTCCTCTGCCTTATGCCAATTGCATGCCCTTCTTTCTCCTCAGAGGTGACCACTCTCCTGACCTGTAACATTGACCTCTAACATCACAGATTACTTCCGCTTGTGTTTGGCTTTAATAAATGGAATCATGCAGCTTGTGTTGTTTTTGTATCTTGTTATTTTGAATAATATGTTTGTAAGATTATTATGCTTTTTTTTTTCAAATACCAGGGCTTTTTTTTTTTTTTTTTCCATTTTCATGCTGTATAGTTTTCAATTACCATGTATACCACAATTTAACCATTCTACTGCTTATGGACATTTGTTCTTTTATATACATTTTGGAATATGTGTATACATTTCTACTGGTTATTTAGGAGTGGGCTGTGGATTTGCTGGGTTATAGGGTAAGTATTCCTGCATATATTCAGATTTGGTAGATGCTGATAAACACTTCTTACAGGTGATTGTACCAATTTGCACTCCCACCAGCAGTCTGTGAGAATTTCATCTATTCTGCAATTATCATCAGTTGTTTTAATTTTAGCCACTCTAGTGAAGATGTAATGGCATTTACTGTGATTTTATTTGCATTTTCCTGCTGACAAATGAGAAATAAGCACATTTTCATTGTTTGCTTTATTTTGTTTTCGTTTTTTGACCATTTGACTGTTCTCTTTTACTGTTAAATTTTGTTTCTTATTGATTTACAAGAGTTCTTATATATTACAGCTACAAATCAACCTTTTGCTAATATATGAATTGCAGATATATATACCCAACCTATGGATCAATTTTTCACTTCCTTAATTTTATCATTTGGTAAACAGAATTATTAAATTTTAATGAAGCTTAATTTCTCTACTTTATTTTATGACTTTTGCATTATTGTGTTTTCATTATGGAGTTTTTGCTAACCATAAGGTCATAGAGATATTCTTCTATAATATCTTCCAGAAGCTTTATTATATACCCTTTTATATTTAGCTCTATAGCAAATGTGGAATTGATTTTTATAAAAAGTACAATGTTAGGAGTCAAGTTTCTATTTTTTTCTATTTTAATGTACATTTAAATAGCACCATCTATTGAAAAAAAATACCATTTCCCTATTGCTTTGCAGTGCCACTTCTCACAAAAATCAAGTGTTCACATATGTGCAGGTCTGTTTTTAGACTCTCTGTTTTGTTTCATAGTCTATTTTGGTAGCTTTGCACCAATCTTATACTATTTTAGTATTGCCAGTTAATATTACCAGTCAACTATTGATTTATCATAACACAACTCTTCTAACTTTATTCTTTTTCCATAAGACAATTTTGGTTTTTTCCTGGACTTTTGCATTTTCATATATATTTTAAGATCATCTTGACATATTCTATAAAAAATCTTGCTAGGATTTTGATTGACAATTTACTGAAGCTATAGATAAATTTGCAGAGAATCAATATGGTAACATGATTGAGTTTTCCAATTCACGTACATAGTACACTCTTTGATTCTGAGGTTTTAAATTTCTTTATCAACGTCTTATAGTTATTTTTGTAGTGATCTTACATGACTTTTGTTAGATTTATTCCAACTATTGGTAATTGTTTGACGCTATTATAAGTGATGTGTTTTTAAATTTTACGTTTCTATTTTGTGTTACATAGAAATGAAATTGACTTTTAAAATTATTTTTTAATTTGTATTTATTTTTATTTTTTTATTTCCATAGGTTTTGGGGGGAACAGGTGGTGTTTGGTTACATGAGTAAATTCTTTAGTGGTGATTTGTGAGATTTTGGTGTACCTATCACCTGAGCAGTATACACTGAACCCAAATTATAGTCTTTTATCCCTCCCCCCATAATTGATTTTTATATAATAAATTTGTAAATAGAAATATTACTTATTAATTTACTTATTAAATGTACTTATTAATTATAATCCTTATGGATTATTTTGGATTTTCTATGTTAATACTAATATCATTTGCAAATAAGGACTGTTTCATTCTTTCCTTTCTAACCCTTATACATTTCATTATCATTATTCATAGTAGTTCTATTCCATAAGATGTTGTAAGTTATATCCTATAAGGTAGTGACAAACATTGGATTAGTGAATGCTGAATCATTGCTCCAAGGAGAAATACAAGGTTAAGTTGCTGTGCACCTCTGATCACAACTTTTTAAATCAATATATCCACGTAATCTTGTTTAATATATATTATTGATTCATTAGCATTGAACTCATGGCATTCGACACCGTAACTGATGCCTAAATAAAGTTTATGTGGCACATATTTTTCTACATAAGGCATATCACAGCTTTCTGGCTTTGTAACAGTAGATAGCACTTCAGCAGTATGCTTGGGGGCTGTTTTAAACAGTATAATCGCCAATAAAAATACAACAATGTGGCACTAAACAAACCAAGGAAAGGACACTTATTTTATTTTATTTTTTTTTTCTGAGACGGAGTCTCGCTCTGTCGCCCAGGCTGGAGTGCAGTGGCGCGATCTCGGCTAACTGCAAGCTCCGCCTCCCGGGTTCGCGCCATTTTCCTGCCTCAGCCTCCCGAGTAGCTGGGACTATAGGCACCCGCCACCACGCCCGGCTAATTTTTTGTATTCACAGTACAGACGGGGTTTCACCGTGTTAGCCAGGATGGTTTCGATCTCCTGACCTCGTGATCCGCCCGCCTCTGCCTCCCAAAGTGCTGGGATTACAGGCGTGAGCCACCGCGCCCGGTGGAAAGGACACTTTTTTACAGTATGAGCACTGAAACAAAAAGGCAAAGCAAGGTCTGTTCACCTTCAGCTGAGAACGTGAGGATTGGTGAGTCAAATTTTGCACTGCTCTACAGGTGCCTGTCAATGTCTGCAACAGTGCAGAACTGATTTTGGGTGACAAATTTCAGCCAGTAGGTGAATCTGCAAAAACTGAATTCTTTTGCAGATAACTTACAGTAAATTAAGGGACTTCTCCTTTATTAGCAGTTATCAGGGTTTTTTAAACTATTAATGTCTATTTTATTTAGTTATAATTAAGTGAAAACCTCTGCCATTTTCCCGAATGAGAAGACAATTTTCTTGTCAATTAATTTATGAATTTAATGTCGTTCCAATTCCAAATCTAAGAGGTGTGTGTGTATTGTGCATGTGGGTTTGTGTGTGTACAAGGGGTGATGGGGAAGGAAACTAAAAAATCATCTTTACAAAAATTTAAAAAAATCTTAAGAGTGTCCTACACTTTCGGTGGAAAATACAGTTACATTTTATATAGATTAAAACATTGGCTTTTACTTTTATTGTCATACTTCTTAGGAATGTATAGTGGACTTTGTTATCTGTACCCAGCTCCCCCTTCAGGCGTGGAGGATTGTCACTCCAGCTGCTGGCTGTGCTGCCGTCTGATAGCTCTCAGCTGTCAGCTCTCTTCAGGATTCTCTCTGCTCACAACAGGCACCTTGTCCAAGAACCCACCCTATTCCCAGAGCAGCCCACATCCAATAACTGATCTGGGCGTATCCTGGCCCAATACTCTGTCCATGCTGGAAGGCTCCTCACTTCAGAATGTCCCATGGGATAATCTGAGGACTTCATGGAGACTAATTTCCCTCTCTGCCCAATCTTACTTCCTTCCCTTCCACTGTGTTGAAACCAAGAACACTTTTTAATAAAGTCCTGCATATTGATCTCCACCTCAGAGTTGGCTCCCACCTACCTTAGGGCACCTTTAGTATATAGTGGGAAGGGCCCAGGTATGCTCAACATCCTGCAATGAGGACTGTCTTGCCCAGCAAATAATAGTCTTGATTTTGTACAATTTTTAAAAATACACCACCAGACATTCATGTACTTAGAAAACTTTATAATTTTCAGAGCCTAGAACGGAGGTATTTTAAATATATAATTGCAGAGTATATTTTGCAAGATTTTATGTTTTACTGATTTTTATTAGCAATGCAACTACAATGTAAAATGAAAGAAGTTTGTGTTGTGTTTTGTTTGGAATTTTCCCAGTCATTGTTCCCTACTGCGAAAACTAAAGGCAGTAACATGCGTGTCATTCATGGCGCTTGTGTTAACACAGCACACTGATAGTAGACTCCATGTACAGCTGTTTCACCCATGATAAGTCTGTATTCAGGGACAAACATCTGACTGTCTTATCATGTATTCAAATTCAAATATATTTGTACGTTCATAACAAAATATTGACTTATATGTTATTTTATATTAAATTACTTTTATTTTCTCTCCCTCATAATTAAGACAGTATATTGATTATTTTGCAATCACAGGTGTATCAATTCAATAATTTTGTGAAAGCTCCTATTCCAATTTCCCACAAAATATCCTTTTTAGTTTATTTTTTAAATTTTGGATTTAGAAGCCAATCAAATACTGGGTTTTGTTGTTATGTCTCTTTAGACTCTTTGTTCTAGAATGGCTCTTCCACATACGCCCTTTGTGACACTGATTTTGTGCAGTGGTTTTGTGCATTGTCCCACAATTACATATGTCTATGATTAGGATTTCTTTGATTGTTTCCTCATTACCAGATTCTCTTTGAAACATTTTTTGGGAAGAATAGTCATAGGTGAAATGGTGTTCTTACCAGTGGGTTACATTAGGAAGCAAATAATATCAGCTTGTCCTATTACTGTTACATTTGATCACTTGGTATTCTTCCATAAAAACAACTTTCTACACTGTGTAATTAGTTCATCGTTTTTGGGGTAAGACCTTTAAATGATATGAATATCCTGTTTTACAAGAAAATTTGACCCAATGGTTTTAGCATACATTGATGATTGTTGCCTGAATCAATGATTCCACTGGGAATTCCAAAACAGTAATTTTCTAATTCCAGAATTTCTTCTGGACGTATTAGCTGTCATTCTTTTGTCAAGAAGAGTGTGCTTTCCTTCCTTTCCCTGCCTTTTTTGAATATCAATCATTCAGAACTTTATTTATTTGTTTATTTATATATTTGAGACGAAGTTTTGCCCTTGTTGCCCAGGCTGGAGTGCGATGGCACGATCTCTGCTCACTGCAACCTCTGCCTCCCGGGTTCAAGCGATTCTCCTATCTCAGCCTCTCAAGTAGCTGGGATTATAGGCATGTACCAACACACCCAGCTAATTTTGTATTTTTAGTAGAGACAGGGTTTTGTCATGTTGGTCAGGTTGGTGTTGAACTCCTGACCTCAAGTGATCCACCAGCTTCGGCCTCCCAAAGTGCTGGAATTACAGGCGTGGGCCACTGCGCCCGGCCCAGAACTCTATTTATTTTAAAATTTTATGCCTTATAATATATTGTTTTGATCATTATTTTTTACTGAAGTTCAGCCACATTTTGCTAATGGTAACCCTTGGATCTTGTTTTGGGGCACTTTCTTACTTTGTGGCAAAACAAAATGTTCTGTTCTCTCATTGTACTCTTCTTCTTCTGACCGATGTGCTTATTGCTACTGCAGGTGTCACTGCTTCTAGACTATATATAAATCTATTTATAAATCTTTCATATAAATCTACCTGTCAATTATCCATCTATTGAGAGTGAGTAGTTCAGACTGATATCTAGAATTTTCATTCAATATATAGAATTCTTCCTTTCCATTTCCATATCTTGTTCGACAATATCAACGTACATACCATTGACTCTTATCTATAATACAAAAAATATTTTCAGAATTGCTCCGCTGATATCACATCAACAGCAAACTAACCAAGTAAAGTTCATGATTTCTTGGCAGTCCTTTCTGTCTTTAGACTATATGCCCTTTCTGTTTTTAGAATATATCCCACTTAGGGAATAATCAGGATATATCCCACTTAGGGTATAATCAAGTTACTTGATTTAATATTTTTCTATATGATTACTTTATTAATTTGATATAGCTATATAGGCTCATTTTTTTCTGACTGGTG
This sequence comes from Homo sapiens, assembly GCF_000001405.40. NCBI lineage: Eukaryota > Metazoa > Chordata > Mammalia > Primates > Hominidae > Homo > Homo sapiens. The sequence continues at coordinate 152,872,606 of NC_000006.12, read as the reverse complement.
TGCTATTTTAGTTTTTTTCTCCAATTCTTGTGAACGTTGTTTTATTTTTGGGACTGTGAAAGTAGTAACATGTTCAAAAGTAAAGTTTATATAAAAAGATATGCTCAGATAAATCTTATTCTCCTCTTGATTTATTTTCTCATTTCCCCTACCCTTTTGTGGTAGTGCATGACATTAATTTTAGATTTACACTTCCTTCCTACCTTCCCAGGTTTTTTTCTGTACAAAGAAGTAAATACATATATATCTCTCCTCTTCTCTTTTTAAAATAAAAGTTGCATACTTTTTTTTGCTTTTATCATTTAATAAGTATGTTAAAAATCATGCCATATCAAAAATTACAGACCTATCTATTCTTTCCAGTGGTAGAGTATTTCATTGTGTGGATGTAATGTAGTTTATTCAACTCTTCTCCTATTTATGAGCAATGAGGTTGTTTCTAGTATTTTGCAGTTTAGACATAGTGCCACAGTGAAAACCCTAATTCGTATGTTTTTGTATTGTTGGAGATATACGTTTAGCATTAATTTCTAGAAAAATGAGATTGCTGCAGCAAAAGGTAAATGGATATGTTGTTTTGTGAGTTATTGCTAAATTCTGCTCCATGTAGATTTCACCATTTTGCATGTGTGTATGCAATTATGTATGACAGAACCAGTAATGTACCATAGAACCCGTTTGCCATAGTCTTGTTGACAGTGTGTAATGATATTTGAGAATGTGATAGATGCCATACATGATGTCTGTTTATTTTTGTTTCTCTTGTGTTGAACATCTTTTCATGTGTTTAAGTGAGGTTGAACACCTTTTCATAAGTTTGAGTATCATTTCTTTATATGTCTTTGTGAGAGAGAGAGAGAGTGCGAGAGAGAGAGAGAGAACTGGGGAGTGAGGAGGCAGGGGAGTTATTTGTGCCCTTTGCCTATTTTCTTCATCTGGTTTTTATATTTTTATGTTTTCCCTCATATTTTAAGAGTTATTTATATGTTATTTTTTGCCATGTACTTTTTGGTTTCAGTTTTGGCCCTCAGATTCTTCCAAACCTTATTTCACAAGAAAAATATATAACATGACGAAAAGAGACATGGAATCAAGGCATGTCATGTAGTTTATTTTTCCTTGCTTGTTACTTTTATGGAGTCTTCATCTGTAGATTTCGGCTGGTTCAGCAGTCTTTGTCCAATGTGTGTGGAATGCTGTCCACACCTCAGAGGAGCACTTGAGAAATGTGCACAGAGGATATACCACATGAGTAAATGGCTGTGGAGAACTAAAGCAATTTCTATTGAGTACTTAGTTAATTCACTCAAGTAGATAAATACTTTATGAAGATTATTAAATTGTTTTATTGAATTTTTGTAGCAAACACAGCTGTGTTCTACTATTATATAATTTACCTCTTATTAAGGAAGTACTTTAAGAGTATGATTGGGTCCTTGAAAACTATACAATGCATTGGACAGTCGTAATGCAAAGTATTAAGATAGAAATACAACGTTCATTGCCATCAGAACAAGGGGTTTTTCACTGCATGTGTTAGGTGTTGGTTTAATGAAACTGGTTTATTTTCCTCCGTCATCCCTTTGACAATTTTTATGTATGTCATTCCTTCACCTAAGTAATTTAATGCATTCTTTCCAGTGCACTTTTCATTTGCTAACTAGTTATCAAAATACAAATAAATGCCATTAAAAACTCAATTAACTTATTAGATGTATATGCTTGAATTTGTGGATTTCTTCTTAAACTCTTAAATCTGTGAGAGCATCAGCATGTGCAGGCCAGTTGCTTTAAACAGACTGCAGAAGATTCAGAAGCAAGGCGAACCTAGAAAGGTTATTTAGAGCTTTGTTTTTAAATGTATACATTCAAATTTGTTTACAGAAGGTTACCCTCAATATAGACATTTTGGTAAAACAGGAAAAGATGAAAAAACCCTACCTAGTTCCAACATACTTAAACATACAGGGTGTGGTCATTTTAGCATGATTTCCTATCTATTAGTCCATACATAATTTTTTTTTAACATATGTATCTGGCTTTGTGTGTCTCCATTTATAATATTCTGTAATATTTTATTTCACCAGATGTAAAATAATTTATATGACATTTCAATAGTATTGTATTTTTTCTGTATTTTAAAATGAATTTACTGTTTAATTCAATGTAATCTTTTCATTTGACTCTTTAAACATTTGTAGCAATAGCTATAGAAGAGAAGAAAGTACAATTAAAACCTTGAATACCAGGTGAATTGATTTTAAAAATTGCTGTATTTATTGGTTTAGTCTCCTGTGGTACAGCTAAGAATAAAAAAATGATGTAGACCTGAATGGTTGATAGAATTACACATTCTTCTTCAGAAGTCAATGGTAACCTGTTTCAGGATGCATATATTTATATATTGGTACTCATATATGAATCATTTTTGTTTAGTTCATATACTTACTAACTACTTTGTAATTGCATGGGCTATTTAAGGATGTGTGGAGAATAAAATAAGTACTTTCTACTTCTAAGGTATTTTAATTCTAGTAGATGGTAAAAATTCATATTTTTTCATGAAGCACATAAAATGTATAAATTTTTCATATAACTTAAAAGTTTAAGATTGGAGTTGGAGAGATTACCTTTTATTCATTAAGAAAGAGAACAATGTATATTTACAAATTGATAAGTACTTAGAATTACATTTGAAAAAAAATTAGCCAGGACAGAAAAATATCAGCAAATATTGCTAAAAGACCACAAACTGAAAAACTGTAGTCTAAAAAAACAAAGTTGTAAGCCCCTTACTGGTATACCAATGCTTTTTTAAACTATTGACAGTTTTTGCCTTTTTGAGACAGGGTCCCGCTCTGTCACCCAGGCTTGAGTGCAGTGGCGTAATCATGGCTGACTTCAGCCTTGATCTCCTGGGCTCAAGTGATCCTCCCAACTCAGCCTCCCAAGTAGCTGGGACCACACTCGCAGGAGCCATCACACCCGGCTAATTTTTGAAAGTTTTTGTAGTGGCAAGGTCTCACTACGTTGCCCAGGCTGGTCGTGAACTCTCAGCCTCAAACAATCCTTCCACCTTGGCCTCCCAAAGTACTGGAATTACAGGCATGAGCCACTGCGCCCAGCCAATTTTTTCTCTTTTCTTTTCTTTCGTTCATTCTTTTCTCCCAGGATGGAGTGCAATGGCACGATCTCAGCTCACTGCAACCTCTGCCTCCCAGGTTCAGGCGATTATCGTGCCTCAGCCTCCCAGAGTAGCTGGGATTACGGTTGCCTGCCACCATGCTCGGCTAATTTTTGTATTTTTAATAGAGACAGGGTTTCACCATGTTGGTCAGGCTGGTCTCAAACTCCTGACCTCAGGTAATCCGCCCGCCTAGGCCTCACAAAGTGCTGGGATTACAGGCATGAGCCATCGCGCCCAGCTCAATTTTTTCCTTTTTACGACACTTTTTTTTTTCCTGGTTGGACCGCCATAGCACAACATTTTTCTGGGTCTCTTCCTTTTCTTATTTCCCTTTCTCTTTTAGTTCCTGAACTGTGTGCATTTTTGAAGACTACTTCCTGAGTCATTTTTCTTGACCCCTTCCTTATTCCTCAGATAACTTGTGGGCTCATAAAACTTCAACGCTCCAGCTCCCTGTGCACTATTGTACAGAAGTCTCCTCCACAGACCAGCCACGGTGGTTCACACCTTAAATCCCAGCACTTTGGCAGGCCGAGGTGGGTGGATCACCTGAGGTCAGGAGTTCAAGACCAGCCTGGTCAACATAACGCAACCCCGTCTCTACTAAAAATACAAAAATTAGCCAGACGCGTTAGTGCGCGCCTGTAATTCCAGCTACTCGGGAGGCTGAGGCAGGAGAATCGCTTGAACCCAGAAGGCGGAGGTTGCAGCGAGCCAAGATTGTGCCACTGCCCTCCAGCCTGAGCGACAGAGAGACTCCTTCACATATGTGATTAGCCATGGTTTTTCTTCAAATTTGATTTCTTAATTTGGTAGGAAGGGAAATAAAGATAAATAATTATGATGTTTCCTTAGCAGGGATACAAGGACCATTGGGACAATTGTAAACCAATCCCTTCTTACCACATGAAAAACAGAACACATTTTAATTCCTCCCTCTCTTTATATTCAGCCAAGCCCCGATGAGACTTCCTTTGTGGTGCTCACATTTATTTCATTCACTTCAGTTCCAGCTGTCATAATGCAGACCCTTATCACCTGACCGTGATTTAGGGTAATATTCTTCTAACTTTTTCTTCACTAACCTGCTGAGTCGCCAGATGAATCCTCCTAAAAAAAAATTTAGAATAATATCACTCTAACGTGATAAGTCCTAAAATGTGTCTTTCATAATAACTTTCCTGTTTACAATTCTTAGAAGTCCCGCACTACCAACTGGCTAATGTCCACTTCTGGCTTTCTGCTCCTGACCTCAATCTAACGTTCTAGATTTTTACCTTCCTCATTCTTCTCCCATCTGTGCTCTGTTTTGGTTTGTTACTTAGCTGCTTAAAGTGCACTTTCTCTGTTGCTTTTTGCCTTTAAATATTTAATACCAGTTAAAGTCTCAATTCTTTTGCGAAGTCTTCTTTAGGAACTTGAAGCATTTGCAAACACATGTTTGTTCTCACTTTAATCATGTATGGCAATAGGATACCAAATTCAATCCATAATTGTTTATGTGCTGGGTATGGTGGACAACAAAAATGTTATGTTTAACCCGTAATCTTGGGGAATGCACAGCCTACAGCTGCACTGTTCAGTTGGGAGGCTGCTCACCACCTGAGGCTACTGAGCACTAGAAATGTGGTTCCTATGACTGAGACATCGAGTTTGTTATTTTATTTAGTTTTAATTAATTTATCTCCGAATTTAGAATCTGAAGCAATGCAAATAACATTTTTTATTAAACACAACTCTGTTTTTTGGTAGGACAATATTTTATTTTTTTGTTGTACCACATAAAACATTATTATATCACAATGTATGTGAGGTGAGGGTGGATGGGGGTATGGACTTCATTTCTAGATAAACGCATCATCCATCTAGTCAATATCACTGAACTGACTCAGTTCCAAATATGTTTTCTAAGCACTGATAAAACAGTATAATGTATTCGAGTTGTTGAGACAGACAGCCAAAGTCACAGTAACTAATTGTAAGGTAGGTATAATTATGGTACTATGTTGGGGATATCTATTATATTTTAATTGTAGTATAATTAAATTATTTTTCTTGTTAAAAAGTAAGTATGGACATATATTTTTAGATTTAAAATGAAGGCATGTTGCTGATTTAAAATCAAGAGTTGCAGAAGCTAGCACTATGCCCAGAAGACTGGAAGAGAGAGAAAGAGTGAGAGACAGAAATTGGAAGAAGATATGTCCCAATGATGAATGGCAATTGCAATTTGTTGTGGCAGAGCAAAACCTAAAAAGCTTTCAAAGCTGTTGTGAAAAAAGATTTTATGTTAATAAAGTGGATAATATTTAGATGTATTTTCAGGAAATACACAGTGAATTTAATAATAACTTTCCTCTCAACAGTTACAAGTTAAAAAAGAATTAAAAAAATTAGTTGGCAAAAATAAGGATGAACAGTCCAATCATCACAATGAAAATATTATAATGTTTAAGTAAATCTGACCTTGTAACTAGGGCCAGCTATTAAATGGCTTGTATATTTGTATGAAAAAGAAAGCCATTTTTAGATGAAGGAATGTAAAAGGAGTCACTGTGTCAGATATGGAACTTCTGTTCTCCAATCTTGCAGAAAAGCCTTAAAAAGGTATTTTATAAAAAGTGAAATATCTACACTTAATTAACCGAACAGTTGCTTCATAATACAAGACCCTTCTAACCGTATCAATGATCTAATGAATCCAAATTGGAAAAATTGAAAGCACTTTCTTTTCACTTTAGTTGAGTCTTGCAATAGAAGAGATAGTGTTCAATTAGCAATGTGGGTGCCTTTTGTCTCAAAGGATTTACTTCCAAAGATATGAAGAAGTGTGGTTTCACAACTGCACGGCATAGATATTTTTGATTCTTTCATATCTCCAAAGAAGAATTTAAGCTAATTATGAAAAAAATAATTTCTATTGTGATGAAACTGCTCTAGTGTACTGGAATTTTAAAACGAGAATTTTTCTTTCTTCTTTCATTCTGTGCTATGATACATACAGTATGTATGCAGTTTTTTCAGACAGACTCCTCGAAATATTTAATGGGTATGCTTGTTCAGTACATATGGGTGTATGCTAGGAATCACTGCAAGTTTAGAGGACTGCTGAAAGAAACACGAGATTAGGACTCTAATGATCTTAAGTTCTTTGACCAAAGCTCATGCATTAAGTCATGGAAGACTTTTTACAAAATTTCCTGTGCTGCTAACTCCAATTCAAGATTTTCTTGAAACTAATAAATGTTTACCATATATTTAATAATTAAAGACAAAAGAAATGACAATGTGGTTTATATTCTGTCACTGATACCACACTACATGTGAATAATATAAATTTGAAGCTCCAATAGAAAGAAAAAGCATATTTGTGATTAGGTAGACATGCATGAGAACTTCTGTTGAAATTAAACCTTTTTATACTTCTAAACAATACTAAAGATTTTACAAATATTTATAAATCAGTATTCAGAAGATTTTAATTGTAATTGACAGTTTTATATAAATTGGCTGCACAAACTACATGAAAAACATGAAGAATGCTTTGTTGATATTGATTGATTAGGAGTTGATTTTTAATTTACACAATAGTCTGAATTCAATGTTAATAACCGGTTGACTTAACAGTTAGTGAGTTTACTTAACTTGGGGAGCTATAGTTTTAAAGGTATATGATTTTGCTTCAAAGTCTAAACAATTCTTTTTAAAAAACAAACCAGTTTTGTCAATGTGCATATGAATATTAAACAAAAATAATGTTTTGGTACTCAAATTATTGGAAAAGTTTTAAAATGTATTTGGAACAACTTGAGCATGTGAATCTACTTTTCAATTGTAAATTGTAAGTAATCTCAGCACAGATCAAGTATTTCTGATGAAAATATTGTGTCTGAATTGAGTTGTCCTTTAAGTGTAAAATATACACTGTATTTCAGGGTGGGTGCAGTGGCTCATGCCTGTAATCCTAGCACTTTGGGAGGCCATGGAGGGTGGATCACTTGAGCTCAGGAGTTTGAGTCCAGCCTGGCCAACATGGTGAAACCCCATCTCTACCGAAAATACAAAAATTAGCTGGGCGTGGTGGTGGGCATCTGTAATCCCAGTTACTTGGGATGCTGAGGCAGGAGAATTGTTTGAATCCAGAAGACGGAGGTTGCAGTGAGTCGAGATCATGCCTCTGCACTCCAGCCTGGGTGACAGAGGGAGACTCCATCTCAAAAACAAACAAACAAACAAACAAACAAAAAAACCTATCTATCTATCTATCCATCTGTCTATCTATCTATCCATCCATCCATCAACTTTCTATCTATCTAGATATACATACTGAATTTCAAAGACAAAAAATGTGAAGTATATCATAATAAATATTTTATATCAGTCAAATGTTGAAATGATAATATTTTGGGTATACTTGATTAAATAAATATACTATTAAAATTATTTTTACTTGTTACCTTTTACCTTTTTAATGTAGCTACTAGAAAACTTTCAGTTATGTTTCTGTTGGACAACACCACTGTAGACAACTCATATTTTGACATTGTATTAACTTCTTTAATATTATTTAACTTTTCAAGGTGCCTGACTCACGTTCCCTATCAGACTAAATTCTACTTGAGATCAGGAATCATGTTCTTCTTTTCTCACTTAGCCAGCTATTATTGAGAGCTTACACAGAAGACAGAAAGGTACATTTAAGGCCCATTTCTTGCACTCAAAGAACTCATAGTTTAATAGGAAAAGATATGTAAATAAATAATCAAAATATGGAGACATAAGAACTTAAAGATCATAAAGACATAAAGAGCATAAAGACATAAGAGCTTAAAGCTTCAAAGCACCATGGCTCTTGAAAAGAAGGAAGACTAAAGCATCCACCATAGCATTCTAGCAAGCAGACTGCTATGTCGTTACTTAAATGGCTTTGAGACTAATGTAACAAATGGAATTTAAATCCTTGATTGTACAATGGAGTCAGAGTAGTAGAAAAATGCTAGTGGGAAAGAAATAGTCATAAAAAATTGAAGGTGAAGTAAGAAGTATGAAAGAAAATGAATTAAATTATGTTCAGTGTGTTTGGATGGAAGTCTTGGTTTCATGCGAAATTCATGCTGAGAATAAAGGAATGTGTTTCCATGCGATAACACAAACTCTTAGCTTTGTTGCACAGTTTAGAAGTAACCAAAAGCAGGAATGAGAAAATATTCATCTTATCATATCTGCCAGTTTTAAAGATACTGTTTACCATGCAGTGGTGTTTGAAGCAAGACCATCTGTGTAAACAGAAATGTAGAGAAAGCAAGCAGTTCTCTGAAGTGCTAAGACTAAGGACTCTTATTGCTTCTGCTTTGGCGCCCTCAAGTGGCCAATTGAAATGAGTAATTCAAGGTATTGTATAATATTGTATTGCGCTTATTTGCAGTTATGCACCATCCTTGCATTAATTGGCTTTTCCCAACTATGTCACTAATAGATGGCCCCATTGAAGATGAAGCCTTTGGTAAGTTGTTTCAGAGAATTTTCCTTTCCAAATAAAGGAAGAAACCACCATTTTGTAAGTGGATGCTTATTTTAGGCAATACAAGGCCTAGACATAGTGATGAAGTACTGGCCCCGGGGTGTTTTGAGAGAAAGACAGAAATAAATCATCCGTCTTTCGAAAATTCTCTACAAATATTTCTATACCATAAGAGACGACTTGGAATCTTCCGATGTCCAGAGTGTCCCTTAGATGGTAAGGCTTACTGATGAGAGAAGGGGCCGCCTTCTATATCTTTATTTAGTTCTTTAAATGTCCTCTGGGCTGTAGAGATGAGCATCATGAGTCGCTGATGAAGGCTGTCCAGTAGCCAAGCTAAATGTGCTCCATCTAGTCACTGCGCCAAGAATGGGCCTATTATGACACATACTAGTATATTATGTGACCCAATAAAAAGTCTCCATTATTAAAGGTCATAGTAAATGGATATACTTCAGTACAAGAAATGAAAGCAACAGTCATTCTTTTAGGAACAATCAGCTGATTTCAGGAAAGTTTTTATGCCATATTTTTAATTTTTGACAAAGCATAAATGATGACACTTTGGTGTGATGAGTAAAACTTTGCATTTATTGTCATACCTGTCTTATGAAAGTCATGAACTATTAATGAACTTAATAGTTGATTATTTCATTAACTTTGACACAATCCTGTAAGGTAGGGCAATTGTAATTCCTTCTGTAGGTTTTCATATTCTTAGTTTATTAGGAGAGGAACCGTCAGGACTTAGAAATAAAAATAAAGACTTGGTAGTTGGTATTTGGCAGGAGAAACAATTCTGAGTAATCAACTGGGAATTAACAGATGCAGAATCTAAGCACATTAAAAATAAAAATTCTAAAAGATTCACTGTAGAGCCAGATGATATTTTATCTATTGTCTGATATGTTTTCAATATTCTAAAACATAACATCGTGATATAAAAGGACTTCTCATTAAAGATGACAAAGGAGAAAGAATAACAATGACATGCCAGGATTCTGCTATCTGATAGTTCTGAAGAGCACTTTCCATAATATTAATGTACTTTTGTTGTTGTGAGAAGAATCTAATATTGATTTTTGAAATGAGACATTTCTTTATTGTGGAATTTAGAGTGTAGTTTAAAGAATTTTTTCCATGGAAAGAAACCCTTCATTGCACTTGATTTGAGGGTTTCTTTAATTATTATTATTGTGGATGAAAAACCTTTCAAATAGGCAGACCTCATGTAAGCATATTGGATTTGAATGAAATTGTAGCACCAAGTATCAGAAATTTATTATTAAGAATAATAATTTTGATAATAATTATTAATAAAAATTCTTAATAATATTATTTATCGAACTTATATTTATTAAATGTCTATAATGTATAACTGCCAACTCCCATATAATGTCTTGAAATAAAAACCAACTAGGAATAAGCTGTCCTGGAGGCTTATATTTACACACTTCTTCAAACAATAATCTTGGTGTCTGTGAGCACCTGGTGTCTTACTGTAGTGTAAGGTAGGTAGGAAAGGTCTGTTTTCTTTAATGTTTAGGGTTTGTGATGCATAAATAAAATAATGCATGTAAAAGGCATTTTTGAAATGCTAGAATTCTAATTTCTAGTTGTAGTTCTTTTTTTTTTTTATTGTATATTACTAGACTAGCCAAACCAGCAAATTCAGACAATGGTATCTGTTTGATTATAATATGCTTCCATATAACAACAAACAACTAATCATTTGTTGGTCTATATCAGAGGGAAAAAAGATGATCAAGTTGATAATCTCTGGTTAGCTCACACTGTTATTTAAGGAAAGACCTTTCGTCTTATCATATTTTATCCTCACTGGAGCAAATGTTTGTGTCTTTTTTATTTGTACAGATTTATGGGGTACTTGTGAAATGCTCTTGCATGTATATAAGACAGAGTGATCAAGTCAAAGTACAGTAAATTTTTGTTAACTATAGTCACCCTACTCTGCAATCAAACACTGTATTTAATCCTTCTATTTAACTGTATGTTTGCACTTTTAAGCCACTTCTCTTCATCCTCCTCCCCATTTTTACCAGTCTCTGTTATCTTTCCACTCTCTACCTCCATGTAATCAAATTTATTAGCTCCCACATATAAGTGAGAACATGTGATATTTGTCTTTTTGTGCATAGATTATTTCACTTAAGATAATGGCCTCCAGTTCCATCCATGTTGCTGCAAATAGCATGATTTCATTCTTTTTTATGGTCATATAATATTCTATTGTGTATATATACCACATTTTCTTTATCCATTCATCCACTGATGGATGCTTAGGTTGATTTCATATCTCTGCTATTGTGAATAATACTGCAATAAACATGCAAGTGCAGGTATCCCTTTCATGAGTTTATTTCTTTTTGCTTGGGTAGAAACCAAGTAGTGGCATTGCTGGGTCAAATGGTAATTCTATTTTTAGATTTTGAGAAATCTCCATGCTGCTTTCCACAGGGGATGTACTGGTTTACATTCCTACCAACAGTGTATAAGGGTTTCCTTTTCTCCACATCCTCACCAGCATCTATTATTTTGTCTTTTTTTAAATAGCCATTTTGACTCGATAAAATGATTATCGCATTGTGGTTTTGATTTGCATTTCTCTTATGATTAGTAATGTTGAGTATTTTTTCACATACCTGTGACCCATTTGTATGTCTTCTTTTAAGCAATGTCTATTCATGTCTTTGTTCGCTTTTTAGTGGGATTATTTAGTTGTTGTTATTGAGTTGTTTGAGTTCCTTGTATATTCTGGATATTATTTCCTGTTGGATGAATAGTCTCCAGACATTTTCTCCTATTCAACAGGGTGTCTCTTCACTCTTGATTATTTCTTTGGTTGTGCAGAAGCTTTTTAGTTTAATTAAGTTCCATTGGCTATTTTTGTTTCTATTGCCTGTGCTTTTGATGTCTTAGTCACAAATTCTTTGCCTAGACCAAGGTCCAGGAGAGTTTTACCTAGGTTTTTCTTTGTTTGTTTGTTTTTTGTAGTTTTGGGTCTTACATTTAAGTCTGTAATGTATTTTGGGTTAATTTTTGTGCATGATAAGGGACATGGGTCCAGTTTCATTCTTCATGTGGCTATCCAATTTTCCCAGCATCGTTTATCGAAGAGGGTGTTTTCCCCCAATGTAAGATCTTGTTGGCTTTGTTGAGAATCACTTGGCTGTAAATGTGTGTCTTTAATTCTGGGTTTTCTATTCTGTTCATTGGTGTATGTGTCTATTTTTATGCTAATACCATGCTGTTTTAGTTACTATAGCCTTGTAATATCTTTTGAAGTCAGGTTATGTGAGGCCTCTGGCTTTGTTCTGACTTGTTTTTGAATTCCCCTGGGTCTAGCCAAATATCTGGCACAGATAGGTGCTCAATAAATCACTTTAAGTTTGTTAGTATATTAACAAATTCTTATCAGGCGAAATAAATTCTTAACAATAAACCAAAGTTCTAGTAAAGGCTAAATTGACAATAATAATAGTTACAGCAGAACAATTAATTGGTATTATATGGAAGTTACTAGAGAAACAAAGAAAGCCCAATAGTAAAATTACTGACAATACATACACCTGGAGAATGATAGCCCACCATTGGTAATGCAACGCAGAGCTCCACTGAGATGAGACTATGTAGTAGAAACCAAGATAAAGGCACTCTGAAAATGAATTCATATGTAAACCTAGAAAGTGAAAAACAGTCTTCAACGAAGAAACAAATATTACATTGAAAATGCTCAGAGGCAGAATTTTATGTAACTCCATATGAATTTTGCATAAAAGTCCAATAAAATGAAATTCTGGGTATTCAGCAGCTTTGGCAATTGAAGCTCTGAATATTCTAGGCTACCCACAGTTTATTTGAGAACTCTGTGATAAAGGAGAAGAGCATTGCTGTGAGCTGTACATAGACAAATAAGTTAGCAAACTATGTTTTGTGATAGATAAATATTTTGGAAATCAGAATTTTTTGCGTTATTGTTATGTCTTAAAAATGTATTCTGAGATTTAATTTTTCTAAATAGTGCATTTGTTTGATTCCAGTTTCTCCAGAGGAAAATGATGGCATTTCAAAGAAAAATATACTTTTGTGTGTGAAAATAAGAATTACCATGAAACATTTTGTATAACTACTGATTTATCTTTTTATTACATAATTTATACTGAAATAAGTTCAATTCTCTAACATGCTAGTCAATATCAGCTACAGCCCACCCTAAGCAGGTATTTCCAGCTCATTTTTGAACATTGATTCCTGCTTCATCATATTTTTCTGTCATTGTCATTGAGAAGTAGCTTACAATCAAACAGCTTTCACCAAAGCTCCCTCTTCTCTCCCCAAACTAAGAAAAAAAATCAAACAACAACAATAAATAAGTCAGACACACAGCACATGCTATGTGAGTTCCTTGACATTGACACTTGACATTTTGAGTTGCGGTTGCACTTGTTTTGGCTCCGTTTACATCTGGTTTCGATTTGAGTTATAACCAGCCACGTTCAGGAGAAGTAACAGAGTTGGAGTTGACAAGATATTAAGAACTTTCCTCTAGGGTAATTGTCTATGGGATGAAAATGAAAGTTGACATCCAGGGATCGATTCCTTGGTAACAGAAGTCCAGTGAGATAAGATGTCATATGACGAGAGAGTTATATATAGGAATTGGATTCAGGTGATGTGGAGAACTTGTGGTGGTAGAAATGATAGGAATTGGACATTTACTAAACATGGCTATCAAATTTCTATGTCTGAGCCACAGGATAGATTTTTGACAGGGTAGATTTTTGTTGCCATTAATAGATATAAGAAAACGAGGAAGAGGAGACTGGTGGAAAAGATCTGATTTGTCAGGACACACAGAGGAACATGTATAATAGAATTCTAGAAGTATAGAGCTGAAGTTTGGGAAAGATGTCCCAATGATGTATTCCTAAACCAAAAAAGCTAACCTCCTAAAGGAGGAGGAGTTAGTCAGGATCTAAAATCTGGAACATTGGTTTGGGTAAAAACAACAGCAAGCAAACAAGAATGCCCTGAGGAGGATCCACATTATAAAATGCTCCCATTTGTGTTACTAATTGAGAATAGAAGAAAACAAAAAAATTGATAATAATCAGCTTATTTCTACAAGATTATTAAGAGCACAGTATATTACTTCCATATATATCTCAACTAAAATGCATTTGACAAATGTTTGCTGATTACCTACTAAGTGCCTTTTGTTTTTCTAGGCACTGGAGCTCTGAGATGAGGCATGGTGATTTGAAAGTGGTCCATTGTAGAGGTTAACAGTGTAGGCTTCAGCATTGGAATTATGCTGGGGTTTGATCAGAGGCTCTGCTTTGCCATCTCCTGCTATTGGGGAGGAGGCTAAGCCTCCTTGAGTCTCCGTTTTCTCATTTGTAAAGTGGAGATGTTTAATACCTCATGGAGTTGTGAGTTAGTAAGGAACAAATGTTGAAAACTGTTTGTTTAACACAGTGCCTGATGCATAGTAAGAATTAAATAAATGGTTCCATTTTTGGACCAAGGGTTTAGGCCATCTGTTCATTTGGGAAGGTTTCAAAATATCATTTCGGCTTTCCAAAGTGAAGTGACCTAAATTGCAGTCTTTTTGTTTGTTTGTTTTTTTACATTTTGGTCCATATATATCTCAGGAGTTCTTTTCTTCATTCTATTCCTAGTCATTCACATTTGCAGCATGAGATTTTTCTTCTGCACAAAGAGTATCTCATGCTTAAGGAAAACTTTCAAACTGTCTCAAGCATAATTTATCTCTACCATTAGGCTTTAATGTTTTGGCAACAACAAAAATTTTAACCACAATAGTACACTTGTAGTGAAAATATTTGGATATATTTTTAAAAACAGATTTATTGAGGTCTAGTTTACATAAAACAAAATTCACCCTTTGTAAGTGTATAGTTCGATGATTTTAGTAAATTTATAGTTGTACAACCATCACCACACCCATTTTTAAACATTTCCATCACTCCAAATGTCCACTAGTGCTGTTCTGCAGTTATTCCTAGCCTCTACCACCAGTCTTCAGCAACCGTGAATCTGTTTTCTGGCTCTGTAAATTTGCTTTTCCACATATTTCATATAAAGGGAATTATACACTATGCAGACTGTTGCATCTGGATGCTTCTTCAACTTAGCACACTGTTTTTGAGTTTCATCCATGTTGTCGCAGTAGTAGTGCATCTTTTATTTTTATTGCTATATAGACTTCACTATCTGTCTATGATTCATGCACTGGTCATTTATTCAGGAACCATTTGGATAATTTCACATTTTGGCTATTATAAGTAATGCTGCTATGAAAGTTAGTGTTCATGTTTTCCCGTGAATGTATGGTTTTATTTCTCTTGGATAGATTCCTAGAAGTAGAATTGCTGGGTCGGATGGTAATTTATGTTTAATTTTGTGAGAAACTGCCAAACTGTTTTCCAAAGTGGCTATGCCATTTTAATTCCTAATGGCTGTGCAATAGAATTCCAGTTCTCCAATCTTTGCCAGCGCATGATATTGTCTGTCTCTTTTAATTATAACCATTGTAATAAATGAAAATTTATTAGTAATTTCTTGGCATGTTACTGTGATTTTATTTTGCATTTTCCTAACAATTAATAATGTTGAACATTTTCTTATGTGTTTATTAGCCATTTACATTTCTTTTCCTTCTCCTCTTTGTCTTTTTTCTTTTCCTTAGTGAAATGTGTACTCAAATCGTTAGGTTCAAATATTTTATTTGGATTCTTTGTCTTATAATTGAGTTTTAATTGAACATATTTTAAAATAATAAACTCTATAAAAATTATATTCTGTTTAGCCACCACTCAAAGAAAATAGTGAAACATAGCCATGTGGAGGATTTGAGAAGAATTACATTAAAACAGGTTTACATTGCTCATATAAGGGGATGTATGGGAGCACTCTGTGGATGGCTAGTTCAAGGACAGACATCATCAAGGATCAGGCCTCACTGTCCTCATGGTGTGGCTTCCTTCCTCAGGCTTGCACGCTGGCCAATGCACCTCTGGGAATCAGGTCCATGTTCTAGACAGAAAGAAGGACGTTGCAGAACAAAAGGCATGGGACACCCTGATTTAGATTATTTTAATCCGGAAGTTCTATTAGGTTGGTGCAAAAGTAATTGCGGTTTTTAAAAGTAATGGTGAAAACCACAATTACTTTTGCACCAACCTAATAGCTAGTACACTTCTGCTTATATATCATTAGCCAGCACTGGGGCAAATGACCACGCCAAGTTGCTACAGAGCGTGGGATCGGGGCTGCGATATTTTCAATGTTCAGGGTGCTGCTCAGGGTTCTTTAATTAAGGAAGAAGGGGATAGTGGATATTGGACAGGTAACCAATAGTTTGACAGTGCTACATTTATGCAGATATATATTTATAGGATGTCCACCACAGAGTAATTTGTAATAAAAAGTTTAAGAAAAATTAATTAGAAAATGGAACTAGTTAATAATGGGATACCTGTCACAGGGGGACTTTATGATTCTATTAAAACTAGATTTAAAAGACTATTTAATGATGAGAGAAAACATTCTTCTTATATTAAGTGAAAAAGCATTATTAAAAACATCATATAAAATAATCACATTATTGGCCAGGTATGGTGGCTTATGCCTGTAATTCCAGCACTTTGGGGGACCGAGGTGGGCGGATTGCTTGAGGCCAGAAGTTCAAGACCAGCCTGGCCAACATGGCAAAACCCTATCTCTACTAAAAATACAAAAAATTAGCCAGGTGTGGTGGCGTGCTCCTGTCATCCCAGATACTTGGAAGGCTGAGGCAGAAGAATCACTTGAACCTGGGAGGCGGAGATTGCAGTGACCTGAGATCCATGCCACTGCACTCCAGCCTGGGTGACAGAGCAAGACTCTGTCTTGAAGAAAAATAAACAAAAGACTACTTAAGATGCAGGAAGGGTCTGTTTTGTAAGAGAAAGAGTGAAAGATTTGGGAAAGGAATCATCTAGCCAAGGCACAGTAGGTCTGATGGCAGGAGATTGTCAAAAAAGGTAAGCTCATCCAAGATGTTTGGGTCATTTTTTTTCCCCTTCCATTGCTGTGAGTAGACACCTGTTCATCTTTCTATTATAACAAACAGCCTAGTATCTGACACATACTAAGCACTGTCAGTGTTGACTGAATGAGTCAATAAATGAATTAATGAATGCGAGAGGTCCCCTTTAGTATACTAGACAGGAGTCAGAGACACACGCTTAAGTATAGGGATACCAAACTGTGGGATTGTCTATGGAACCCGAGGTCAGGTGGGAACTAGCAGTTACTGTGCTGGGATGTCACCCATTCTGACATGCAGCTCCTGAAGTCTGCCCACCCCCATCCTCACTCCTCTCCCTCACCCTCACCCTCTTTAGGATCCATCTTGGCCTTGGGAACAGGAGTAGGAGGAGGGTTGAGCCTTCATGTGCCTCAGGTGTTGGATAGTAAACATGTAAAAGACCAGAACTGAGCAGATTCTGGTGGTTGCCTTTAAACTTGTTTTGAAGTAAATAAATATTTAAGATAAATGTAATGATATTTCAACTCCTGAAGCATGATTGTTTTTTTAAATGTTCTTTCAATAAAGTTAATTTCTGTGTAGGTTGTACTATATATTCTTCCTGAGGTAGATTATAGTCTTGAACATCTAAAGATATAGGTGGATCTTTTCAGGCACTCTTTTTTTTTTTTTTTTTTTTGAGACAGAGTCTCACTCTGTCGCCCAGGCTAGAATGCAGTGGTGCGATCTCGATTCACTCCAACCTCTGCCTCCCAGGTTCAAGGTGATTCTCCTGCCTCAGCCTCCCAACTAGTGGAGATTGTAGGCATATGCCAAGATGCCAGGGTAATTTTCATATTTTCAGTAGAGTCAGCTTTTACCATGTTGGCCAGGCTTTTCTCGAACTCCTGACCTCAGCTGATCTGCTCACATCAGTATCCCAAAGTGCTGGGATTACAGGCGTGAGCCACTGCACCTGGCCACTTTTTAAGAAATCAGAATGGCAAAGAACTATCAGATGTTTGTAAATCTGTTTTTCAAACAAGTTTGTTAAAAGGCCAAAGGAAGCAGAGACCAGACACCCTGAGAGCAAGGAGGACTGACCTTCCTTGAGGGCCAGATTCTAAACTTGTGACAGCCTTTTTAAGAACCTCTTTTCTAAGACAATCTTCAACGTAAGTACTCATACTTTCACTTACAAGTCAGGGGCATCTGGACAAAAGCCTCTCAGCTACAGACTTCAGTTTATAACCACAAGATTTCATGTGCAGGCAGATGTTACATTTGTAAGTATCGTAGGATGGGCTGGTACTGTAGGACATAAACATCATGATGTTTTTATTTCCAGAGACCTTCACAGGGAGAATCTTATTATGGAGACGTGATCTATTTTTAAAGATCTATATCCCTGGACTTGATAAACTAAGGAGATATAATAAAGCATAACCTAACTGAGGAGAGAGAAAGGGAAAACCACATTGTTCTCATGACAGACAGGGCTGAAGGGTCCCTTTGTAGGATGCAGAGAGACTTTAATATAACAGTGATGTTAACCTTTGCTTCAAAGGCAACTGTGTAATGTAAGAACAACCAACTCTGCCTCAGGGGATAGTGAGACTGACCTTTCCTATGATCTAGTTGCTATATACTCTACATACTCACTAATACAGATTCAATGAGGTTTTGAATTAAAGCTTATTTTGCCTGCAGAAGCAAGCTTAAAAGAGATCTGGTTTATCTTATCAATTTTGCTTGACTCCAAGCCACTTATTATACCTTAAATCAATTTTCTCTCTTACTTTTTCTTTAGGTTAATTTTCACACATCTATAAATTAAGAAGAGGCCCACTAGTTATTTTATCTGCATATTAGCAAAAACAAATTTAGCCTGGAATCTATTTACCAAAAGTTTTTTCTTTTGGTGATTCTTATTAAATCCTTTCTTTCCCCATACATTTAAAATTTTGTGTTGAATAATCCTTCTGATTCTCAGCAATTTTTTTAGCTATGTTCGCTAGCCTTAAGGCACTCGCTTTCTCTCTGTGTACACACACACACACACACACACACACACACACAGACATTAGAACATTGCATAATTCAGTTTAATGAAATTTAAAAATATATAATTCTAGATATGCACAATGAACACATACAGATACTTGCTTCTCATACTAACCATTACTGGTGACAGATAGAAGGTATTAGTAAACCCATTTGGGAAGACTAGAATTCAAGTTCCAAAATTTTTATGCTACTTTACTTGGTTGCCACAAACAAACAAGCACACCATTAACAAACTAAGCATAAACAGAATGGAATAGAAGTTAAAATGGGAGCTGATAGAGAAAACATAAATAAAGACAGTGAGGGAGGGGTTAGAGAGACTGGGAGATGAAAGGGCAAATGCCATGGTATTTTGAAGAATGTTGAGGAAAAGAAAAACTGATTAAAGGCCACTAGGTAAGTTTAGGCTCCTGGGCCTGCTAGGAGGTTTCTCGTAGCCTTGAGTGCAGTTTAAGTTGAATGGAGACAACAGAAATTTAACTAAAGAAGTTAAAGAGTGGTTGGGGTGACCAGACAATGAGACAAATTAGTGTATGTGTTAAGAAAAACACTTAGAACAATGCTTTGAGAGAATAGCAAAGTCAAACAAGGTTTCGGGGTTGGTTACTTGTTGATGGGAAGACCTGAGATGATTAGGCAGAGTCAGATTTCAGAAATTGAAAGTTCAAAAAGCAGAAACAAAAAGAGCATTAAGGAGAAACAATAGAGGCTGTGGAATCAAGAGTGCATGTTTTTACTTGAAAAGAAAGAGAGAAGCAGCATCACTCTCAGAGAGAGTCAGGAAGAAGCACCATGGAGAAGATGTACATGGATTTAAAGCAGGAGGGAAAGGAATGAGTGAAATTTATGAATTGAGGAAAGTTTAAATGGTGAAGTATCAGCCACTAAAACAACATCCTCACAGAAGAGCCAATGGTGTTGGAAAATGCTTTGACAGAAAAGTAAGGTACAAATTGTGTGTACAATATGATCTTAATATGATAGAAAAAGTAGAGAGGAAGGGAGGAAGAAAGGAAGGGAGAAGGGAGGAATGGAGAAGGGAAGAAGGGAGGGAAGAGAACTTACGCTTCTGCACAAACAGAAGGCTGGAATGGAAAATGACACCTGTGTGATAGAGCATTGCGGGCAGCCTGGACAGCAAGAGCAACACAGAGATGAGAGAGAAGTGAGCTATTTTAGGAAACTGAATCAAATAATCTCTACTTCTCAGCTACCAGGGCCATTTGGAACACACTCAGTTTAAAATGGCAATAGCTGTAGGGATTCTTCACTTCTGTCATTGATATTTTCAAGGACTGTGAGTTCTAGTTCTGTTAGGATGGGTGAAGGTTGGTAATATTCCCTTTAGAATCGAGCCGAGTCCCAGTGGAAAGTTAGCATCCTGGCAAGGGGATGGGCACTAAGGACTGAGCAAGGTGATGGCCAATAAGGATTAATAGTTCGACTTAAGACTGATAAAACAAATGCTACTAAACAAAGATATAGAAAGGAGCTGGGGAAAGATGTGTTTCCTTTTAAGGGCCTATTGCTTAAAACGATAAGCACTCTAATATCCAGCAGCAAGTGTACGAACTAGAAAGAAGTCAGTAGGAAAGTTTCACAGAGGTAGGATTCAGAGATAAACACATTTTCAAAGGAGTTGAATTTTTTTTTCTTTTTTTTTGAGATGGAGTCTCACTCTGTCACCCAGGCTGGAGTGCAGTGGTGCGATCTCGACTCACTGCAACCTCTGCCTCCCAGGTTCAAGGGATCCTCCTGCCTAGCCTCCCCAGTAGCTGGGATTAAAGGCGTGTGCCACCATGCTTGGCTAATTTTTGTGCGTTTAGTAGAGATGGGGTTTCACCATGTTGGCCAGGCTGGTCTTGAACTCCTGATCTCAAGCGATCTGCCTGCCTCGGCCTCCCGAAGTGCTGGGATTACAGGTGTGAGTCACCGTGCCTGGCCGGGAGTTGAAAAGTCTTAACATGAAAGTAGAGGTCATTTATAAACCTTGCATTCAACAGGAATCTAAAGTTCATTTAAAAACATGCTTTTATTTCCACATAGATACAGTAAAGAACTCCAGGAAGATCCTTAGTCCTCAAATTCCTCCCTTTGTTGTTGTCAAGATGCTCAGAGTTTCAACATTTAAAACAGATTTATTTGTTCAAATGTTTTCTGGTAAAAGCTAGCAGAATGTGCAGCTAACATTGGTGGATTGAAGGGACTTATATTTATAAGGGCTTTAACCCACAAGAACAAAGAGAACAGAACAGAAGATGACAGCAACAAAATTCTGGAAACTGGAAAGAATAGGAACACGTGGTAATCAACTTCGCAGGCTGAAGGAAGCTCAAAGCTAAGCTGGAAGTGAGCGTTAGAAGTAAGTTGATTTGCACTGCAAAACCTCAGAAAGCTCAGCAGCTAGATACATCTATTATCTTGAATAGTGAGATTCATGGGAGGCTGGAACAGAAGGATTGGTTGGTTGTCTACATAAAAA
Source organism: Homo sapiens (assembly GCF_000001405.40). Classification (NCBI taxonomy): domain Eukaryota; kingdom Metazoa; phylum Chordata; class Mammalia; order Primates; family Hominidae; genus Homo; species Homo sapiens. Next base: position 152,851,293 of record NC_000006.12, on the reverse strand, counting down.
TAATTCAGAATTCTATAGCTGAGAGTACATTGAGATCCCATGCATGCACACAGAAAGATTTAGGAATAAAAGAAAGTCATCTAAGATAGTTTCTAAGTTCCTGCATGCTGGATTTCCAAAGAAGTTTTGACTTTTGACCAGATTCAGAAAAAAAACTGTTCCTTCAGATTTTTGGAAGATTGCATGCATAGCCATTACACATTCAAACCCAGCACTATTTTATATCCCAAATGAAGGTTTATATATCGGCAATCTTTCATTATAAAATAGGAGCTAGAATTTTTAGCTTGAGTCATCCTTCTTAATGGGCAGCTGGTCTCTTTTACCAACTGATATTTCATATTAAATTGTCCCCCAGATATTTCATCAAAATGGCTTGCAGCACACACCCTACATTTACCTCATGTCTCTTTTGTGGTTCATTGTAAATCTGCACAATGAGGGCGTCTGTGAGGCAGCTGCAAATTTTCTGGTTTTCAATACACACAGCGTATTTGTCAGCAATTATGTCTCAGCTTCTCTTTCTGCACTTGTATTCTCAGTACTGAGCAGTGATGCAAATTAATTATTACAAAGATCTGGATTCGGCACTCCTGTCCCTGCAATGCAAACTGAAGTCCTTCCAATTCATGGATCATTCTAACCACTCAGGAGCAGAGATCAAGAAAACACAACCTCCATATATTTTAGAATTATTTGAGTGCCTTAGGGTTTTCTTCCTAAAGATAACATCATGTTATCTTTAATTGCTAGATAAATTGTGCCACATCTTCTTACTGCCCTTGAACAATGGTTTTCAAAAACTTTCCTAGTACAAGTTTAAAGGTAGAAGAAAGTAAATACTAAGAAGGATAGCTACATAGCCTAAGATCATGGAAAAGTGAACATTAAGTCCCAGGTTTTAGTTTAAAAAGTATACTAGTTTTATATTCCAATTAAAAAGGTAATTTTTTTATATTATCATAATACTCAAATTACTGCCTAGGGGAAAATTATGTGTAAAACCTTTTTCGAAGTTTATACCGTTTATTTGAGTATACCTTGCCACACTCTTTCATATGCCTGGGATTTGTGCATTCCAAATCTGAAGTACAAGGGAAGATTCCTTGTAAAAAATTATGACTTCAGTTGCCTCAAATTTTATTTATTTAGGGCAGGGCACAGTGGGCAGTGGCTCATGCCTGTAATCCCAGCACTTTGGAAAGCTGAGGTGGGTGGATCATTTGAGGTCAGGAGTTGGAGACCAGCCTGGCCAATGTGGCGAATCCTGTATCTACTAAAAATTACAAAAATTAGCCAGGCATGGTTGTGCGCACTGGTAGTCCCAGTTACAGGGGAGGCTGAGGCTGGAGAATCACTTAAGCCCAGGAGGGAGAGGTTGCAGTGAGCTGAGATCATGCCACTGTACTCTAGCCTGGGCAACAGAATGAGACTATCTCAAAACACACAAAAAAAATTTTAAGTTTTTTTTCTTTTTTCCCCTTGAAAAGTTACTCTTTTCTGAATTTGGCAGATAGTGAAAACTTTCTTATAAGTTCTTCCTGATGACCATCTATAGTTTTGTCCTCCAATAATCTTAAAATTCAAAATTCCAAATTTATTAAAGTATATAACTATAAATATATTTAGCACAGTTCGTAGGCCTACAGGCCCATCTCTCTTTGCATTCTAGGTTTAAAACCCAGCTCCTTCATTTTCTTGATGTGAAATTGAGCTACTTTATTCCTCAGTTTTCTCATCTAAACAATGGAGGTGAATATAGTGCCTATGTTTTAGGACTATTATAAAAATTAAATGAAATCTTGTATGTAAAATGGTTTAGTGCTGGGCAATAGTACCAATGATCAATATTCTTACCTCTTGTACTTAGATAAGAAAATTGAGTCCAGAAAGAGAGAAGTTCTAAACACAATAAATCTTTTAGTAATTTTCAAAAATTACAGTCACCATACCTCTTTCCAGAATTCTCTCATTAAGAAATAGTGACTATTTCTCCTCAGATAGTCACAAATTTTGCAAAATGTTGGCACATCTTTCTACATAGCTATTCTCAACAAAAAGTCAAATGATAGGCTATAGTAGACACCTGGAAAATGAACACTGAGAGGGAAGGAAATGTACATTCATTTATTCATTCGTTCTTCACCCATGAAACACACGTGCACCAAGTCCCTGCAGTGGCTGTTCACACGTGTTGAACACCACTGAAAGCTCATGTCTTTGTCCATTCCATTGTAAGCATCAAATTAGTCCCTAACCTAGCATTAGAGTCTCTGTTTATGCTTTAGATGTATTCATAAGTTCTGATGGTTCAAGTCACAACAGCAGAGTGAATGATTGAAGCCATTCTTTGCAAGCTCAGCTGTATCTTTACTATTGCTAGATTTTTTTTTTTACAGCAGCATATCTGTTGCACCACCTACAGTAGCTTTTCTAAACGTTCCTGTTGTTCACACCCCTCTACTCCACCACTATCCCTCTGTTCTTTGCCAGTGACCTATTGAAATTTTATGAAGTTTGAGATTATTTACTGTAAATTGCCTCAGCTGTCTCCCTTCCTTCTCAAAAGGAGTGGATGTGAACCCATCTTCCCTTTCTTCTTCTCAGAGAAGTAGACATCTCTCTTTGCAAAGGCTAATTCCTTGGCGAAGTTCCTGATCCTGCTCAAGTTCTTTGTTTTATCAGCTAGTGTTTCTCATCCTCCCACCTGACTTTCCTAATCAGAATCAAAGCAGCACCTTCTTCCTACATCACACTGCTCACTAAACCTCATTGTTAATATGTCAGTGGGAGCTGCCTGTTAAAACATAACCATGTGTTTCCACCAAGATATCTAACAGCTACAGTAAAAGAAATTAGGATGATTTTCAAAACATATTTGACTAATAACTTAGTCATGTATTATGAATAAAATAAGATGTTCTGACTATAGAAATTTTTTTAAAAATCACAATCTTTAAGAGAGGCGTTCTACATAGAAAATAAAGCTATAAAGTTTCATGATAATATGTTTACTATGTGACTTTCTAAAATTTGCACATGCTAGAAATATTAAGACCATTTATGTTCTTTAAGTGTGTGTGTGTGTGTGTGTGTATATATATATATATATTTTTTTTTTTTTTGAGACAGAGTTTTGCTCTGTCACCCAGGTTGGGGTGCAGTGGCACAATCTCGGCTCACTGCAACTTCTGACTCCCAGGCTCAAGTAATTCTCCTGCCTCAGCCTCCCAAGTAGCTGGGATCATAGTCAGGTGCCACCACACCCGGCTAATTTTTGTATTTTTTGTAGAGACAAGGTTTCACCATGTTGGCCAGGCTTGTCTTGAACTCCTGACCTGAAGTGATCTGCCTGCCTTGGCCTCCCAAAGTGCTGAGATTACAGGCCCTACATGTTTATATTCTAGAGGAAATTTTAGTTCCTCCACAGTCTAATGAACTATTACAAATGTACAGGAAATTAGATTGTATCATAGACTTGTGCTAGTATCTCTCAATACTTTAGGCAGAAAAAGAACAAGTTAGATTCTTTCAATACTTTGGACTGGAACGAAACTGTTGTAGAGTTGCTTAAGTCCCCTGCTTTTAAATATTTATATACTGAAATCTTGAGGGGATGTTGAAGGACTCATTAAGATGTATTTCTCTCACTTCAATTGTGATGATTAGATTTCTGAGTCTCTGAACGTCAACTACAGATCCATATTTCTCTCTATTTCATTACTCGCTGATAATTTTATTTTATGCTGCTTTGGAATTCATCTTATAAAATGTTTTGTATTCTCACATTGTGTTGTGCTCCTGTTGCTTGATTCTCAATGACATAGCATACACTTAAAACAATAGTCTGCTTTTTCTTTAGGAACATTTTAAAATCAATTAATATTTGAGAATGAGACAAAGGGGAAAAATTACCATGTTTTAATCAGGCTACATGTTGAAAAATTTGTTCAATTACAAAATCCTTTATAACAAAAAGGTATAGAAAATAACTCTTCACTGCCTAAAATATTTACAATGAAGAAATTCGAAATTCAAGTAAAAGCAAGTTTTGTGCTGAAAATCTTTTAAATATATAAAACCAAGAAACAAATGGCTTTTTTTTTCCTGTATGCAAACATGAGAAGGTCACCAAACCTGGTCTGGGTCTGTGTTTGGGTAGCAGGAAGCACTCTGCTGTAAGGGAAATGGCTGTGCTTTAGTCAAGAGCAGGCCGAGGTGGCCTTCCCATGCAGCATGACTCAGAGGGTTTGGAGCGCAGGCGCACAACCCTGAACATTATGTAACCATGCCATGTGAGGTGCATTAGGTGAACACTCACGTGAGCTCATGCTTGGCTTGGAGCCACTGTTGTCTGTAGAAGGCATAACTACCCTGCTGATGCTGTACATACGGCTTGCACCCAGAAAGAGAATAAAGCCATGCCATGGTTGCCTAGGATTTCTCAAGTGTTTTTCCAGCTACCCACCACTCACCCACCCACTTCCCTCAGACCTCAGCTTGGGCTAGAACCTGACACTTGGTGTGACATCTGCCTACCATTATAAACCTCTTCTGTTAGTTAAATCACTGGGAACAGTAGCCCACAGTAAAAGTGCCCTCTGTAATATATCCCATACTCACCTTAATCCATTGCCAATTGCCTTCTGCCCAAAAATGTCTGTATAAGCTTTTTCTAAGGTCAAGAATGACTTCCACGTTGCTCAATTCAGTGAACACTGTCATCATTTTATTTGATTCTGAGCACCATTGACCCCACTCTCCACTTTTGTCTTTTGTTGTTGTTCATACACAGATTGATTTAAAATAGTAAAATTGGGGCAATAGAGAACTAGCTAAAGATAGTATGGCACAGCTATAAAATAGACCATATCATCTTTTTAATTTTTTTGATTTGCTTCAGACTTATTATATTTTATTTTTTGACACATTTTAACCATGCATAATTATATGTCACACAGTGATGTTAAGATGTATGTATATAGCATGGGATGATTGAATCAAGCTAATTAACATATCCATCCCCTTAAATACCCATCATCTATTCCTCCTGTCTAACCACAACTTTCTAGCCTTGGATCACCTCCCCATGCCTTCCACTCCCAGCCTCTGCAACCACCATTCTACTTGCTGCTATTATGAGTTTGTTTCAAATTCCACGTATAAGTGAAAACATGGCTTTTGTCTTTCTGTGATTCGCTTATTTCACTTATCAAAATGTCCTCCAGGTTCAGCCATTTAGTCATGTTGTCAAAAAATGACAGGATTTTCTTCTTCTTATTCAGGTTTTATTTTAGAATCAGGGGTACATGTACAGGCTTGTTACAAAGGTATATTGCGTATTGTGGGGCTTGGAGTATGAATTCTGTTTTCAGGCTAAATAGTATTCCATTATGTCCTTCAGTTCCATGATGCAACTGACAGGATTTCACTCTTTTTTATGGCTGAATAGTATTTCATTATGTATACAGATCATATTTCCTTCATTCATTCATCTATGGATAGACACTTAGGTTGATTCAACATCTGGGTTATTGTGAATAATGCTGCAATGAACATAGCAATGCAGATGCCTCTTCCACATACTGATTTCAAGTCTTTAGGATATCTACCCAGATGCACTTCTGTTCTTTGAAGTTCACTTTCTCTCAGCTTTTGAGGTTCTGGGCACTCCTGCTTTTCCTCATTCCTTTCTGGCTGATCCTTCTTAGTCACCTTGGCTCCTTTTCTTCCATTTGGTTTTCAGAATGTCTGGACTCCAGAATGAACATACTTAGAGATGGCTTGGGATTACAGCTGTGAATAAAGAAGTGAACAAATAAATAAACTACCCACTATTCTTTTGATTTCAGAGTATTAAATAAGACCCTCTACACCTATAAAATGACTCCTCCTCACCAACCTGCTGATACATGAAATACCCTAGGTAGGAAACTCTCAAAAGTCTTACTGTCAAACACCATCATCTTGGGGATTAGGATTTTGTGGGGACACCGGCACATAGACTGTAACGAGAATGTAAAATTTAGAAAAGCTGGGTGATATATCCCTAGCACCTAAACAATGCATTATAGATACTCAATGAATAATTGGTGACTGAATAAATGAACACGTACATTCAACCGAACTATGTAGCAGGGAACGTGAACTAGAGCTACATTATCCTATATGCATGGATATCTCCAACATAGAGTAAAATAATAGTTGCCAAAATATGTATGGTATAAAATATTTATATACCATTTAAAAACATGAAAACAACTTAAATATTAAAGATATAGGAATGAAAAACAATGAATTCAGGACAGTGGTTGCCTTTGGTGACAGAATGATTCATAGCAGGAATAGGTGCATAGCAGGCTTCACAGAGGAGTGTTAATAAAAGGCTTTATTTTTTTTTTTACACTGTTGGTGGGACTGTAAACTAGTTCAACCATTGTGGAAGTCAGTGTGGCGATTCCTCAGGGATCTAGAACTAGAAATACCATTTGACCCAGCCATCCCATTACTGGGTATATACCCAAAGGACTATAAATCATGCTGCTATAAAGACACATGCACACGTATGTTTATTGCGGCACTATTCACAATAGCAAAGACTTGGAACCAACCCAAATGTCCAACAGTGATAGACTGGATTAAGAAAATGTGGCACATATACACCATGGAATACTATGCAGCCATAAAAATGATGAGTTCATGTAGTTTGTAGGGACATGGATGAAACTGGAAATCATCATTCTCAGTAAACTATCGCAAGAACAAAAAACCAAACACCACATATTCTCACTCATAGGTGGGAACTGAACAATGAGAACACATGGACACAGGAAGGGGAACATCACACTCTGGGGACTGTTGTGGGGTGGGGGGAGGGTGGAGGGATAGCATTGGGAGATATACCTAATGCTAGATGACGAGTTAGTGGGTGCAGCGCACTAGCATGGCACATGTATACATATATAACTAACCTGCACATTGTGCACATGTACCCTAAAACTTAAAGTATAATAATAATAAAAAAAATTTAAAAAAATAAATAAAAGGCTTTATAAGTTGAGGGAATCATGGGTATATATTTTATTGTTATTTATGCATCTTTTTGAATGCCTCAGATGTTGAGTAACATTTTTTAAAAACTTGAATTGTCCTAATTCAAGAAAAATCAATCACTCACTCACTCTCTTTGCCCCATCATGGTATTCAGGCTACATTTTCTTAGTATATTTAAGCACTGATTTTAGGTAAATATCCTCTAAATGATAAAGTTTATATGAGGTTTAATCCTTTATTAAAATTATACTGTAGTAGGGCGCAGTGGCTCATTTGTGTAATCCCAGCATTTAGGGAGGCTGAGGCAGGAGGACTGCTTGAAGTCAAGAGCTTAAGACCAGCCTGGACAACATAGTGAGACCCCTTTTCTATCAAAAAATACAAAAATTAGCCCAGGTGTGGTGGCATGCATCTATAGTCCCAGCAACTTGGAGGCTGAGGCAGGAGGCTCTCTTGAGTCGGGAGGTGAAGGTTCTAGTGAGCCAAGGTCGCACCATTGCATTCCAGCCTGGGCAACAGAATGAGAATCCATCTCAAAAAAAATTATAATGTAATCTTTTGGTAGTTATTTACTTATAGATATCTTTTATACTTGCGTTGAGTGCCCTGAGGAGCATTCTTATTTTTGGTGAGGACAGAATCATAACTATGTATTTAGTAAAAAATTATTGAAAAGTTTTATGAAAATTTTAAGTTCCCAAATTAGGTACTCAAATTTCTATCTTTATAATAAAAGATATTTGATAACAGCCATCTGAAAGAGCCACTATTTGCTTTAATTCCCCTAAAAGGATTTAGTACAGAGATATGCATCCTAGTGACATAGATTAAAGAGTCTTTGGAGTAGAATTGACTTTTAGCTTAATACTAAAGCAGGCAAAGTTCCTCTTCGTTGTCTCATCTCTCTCTCTCTCTTTTTTTTTTAGTGTGGTAAGAAACTACACCTTCTTAAAATTTTAAGTGCATAATACATAATTGTTGAATACAGGTACAATGTTGTTCAGCAGATCTCTAGAGTTTATTTATTTGGCTTGACTGAAATTTTAACTCACCGTTTCCTCTCCCCCATCCCCAGCTCCCAGTAACCATCATTGCACTCTGATACTATGAATTTCACTATTTTAGATACCTCATACAAGTGGAATCAAGCAGCATTTGTCTTTCTGTGACTGGCTTATTTAACTTAGCATCATGTTCTCAGGATTCATCCGTGTTGTGTGTATTGAAGAATTTCCTTTTTTTTAAAGGTTGAGTAGTATTCCATTGTGTATATTATCCCACAATTTTTTTATCCAGTCATCTGTTGATGGGCATAATAGGTTGTTTCCACATCTTGGCTATTGTGAATAGACCTGCAATAAAACATGAGTGCTAACATCTCTTAAAGATCTAAATTTCAATCTTTTAGATAAATATGCAGAAATGGGATTGCTGGATTATATAATCATTCTATTTTTAATTTTTTGAGGAATATCCATACTGTGTTTTTTATAGCAACTGCATTATTTTGCATTCCCACCAGCAGTGTGCAAGGGTTCCAGTTTCTCCACATCTTCACCAACACTTGTCTTTTGACTGTTCCATCTCTTTCTGTTCTGCATACTTTCTTCCCACCTGGAAAATCCCCTTTGAAACTTTCTGCTGATCCTGAACTTCAGGATCCATTAGAATCTTTATTAATCTCTTAAAATTCAGGAGAGAGTAATAGGACTTCTCCTTGGGAGAAAAACAGAAATGAAGAATCAAAATGTAAAAATTCATCTGACTCAGAACCTTGTCTCTTTTCATATTTCAGCAACATCATCACTAATCTTTTTACTTTCTCTGTTTTTAGTTAGTTCTACTATTCTTGCATGTGTGCATATTACTTGAGCCTCTCATTAATTCCAATTGTTTGAAGTCATTGCCTTATTTTTTCCAGTTTTACCCTATCAGAGTTAAGGCAAATGGATGGGGGTGGGGGAAAAAGATAAAAATGATTTCTGAACTGAAGAATCAAGGATGAGGCAAAGAATCCTCACCAAGATGATGGCAGTTCTGGGACTCAGAGAAATATAAGATAATGACAGCCTACCTTTCTCCCTTCCTGCGCTTTGAATATGTAATCTCACTGCCTTCTGGCCTCCATGTTTTCTGCTGGGAAATCAGCTGCTGATCTTATGGATCCCTTGTACCTGATAGATTGCTTCTCTCTCACAGCTTTCACGGTCTCATTTAGATTATGATGTATAGATCTCTGTGAGTTTATCCTATGTGGAATTTACGAAGCTTCTTACACATATAAATGAATCTTTTCATAAATCTTGGGAAGCTTTTGGCCATTATTTCTTCAAATATGTTATTTGTTCTTTCTTTCCTCTCCCTCTAGGACTTCCATTATTTGTATATTGATACACTTGATGATGTCCCACAGGTCTCTGAGGCTATATTCATTTCCTTTCCTTTAGTTTTTATTTCTGTTTCTAAGGCTAGATAATTTGAACTGCCTATATTTGAATTTACCAATGGTTTATTCCGCCAGTTCAAATAGGCTGTTGAGACTACCTGGTGAAATTTTCATTTGAATTATTTTACTTTTTAACTTCAAAATTTTTATTTAGTTCTTTTTTATAGTTTCTGACTCTGTACTGGTGTTCTCTATTTGGTGAGATATCACTCTCATGCTTTCCTTTAGTTATTAAGACATGGTTTACTTTACTTCTTTGAACATATTTGCAATAGCTGATTCAAAGACTTCACCTAGGAAATCATTGTCTGGACTTCCTTAGAGACAGTTTCTAATGGCCACGTTTTTTTCCTACGTATGAACCATAGTTTCTAGTTTCTTTACATACAGAGGAGAGCCAAGATCACTTGGTGGCCATCAAGCAGACCGTCCAGAGGCAAAATTCCTTATCTGAGGAATTTATAAGTAATTAGACTTCCCTATTATCCAAAGCCAGCATCTGCTACTAGGCTTCTTTCCTAAAATTTATAAATAACTAGAATGTCTATACATCTCTGGAATGCATTCATATTGAAACTCATTCTGCAACGCTTGCTAATATTAAGGCACGAAAATGTCTATAAATGTAATCATTTATCATGACCTACATGGCCTATATGGTTCAAATTATCCTTAAGCTCCTGCTTTAAGGTCCATAAATACCCATAAGGGAAAATCCACCATGGCATGTTCAGTCAGTCCTCTCTTGCTGAGGCTTCCCACTGCACTCTTCTGCAGCATTCTTTCTATCTAATAATAGACTTCAATCCTATCTAATAAAAGGATTTCCAACCTATACTATTGTCAGTAAATTCTTCTTACTACCTGTAAGCTGATCACTTCACGTTGCTGCGGCTCTGACTCCTCACCCAGCACATGCCTCATACATTGTTTGTTGTAATTGGATATTTAAAATAATATGTGATAACTTTGAAAATCTGATTCCTCCCTTTCGAGACTGACATAAAAAAATCTGCTAAACCCCAAAACCCTTAGGTTCCTGAGGCAAGAATGGAAGGGTTGGTCTTCAGAGCCATAAGAGCTGAGAGGGTGAAGATTTCTGCAGGAAGGGCTAAGTACTCTTAGAGCTGATCTGCTCTCCTGATGTAGTCTTCCCTCTGCTTTTTAAAAACTGGACAAGAAAAATATTTCCTATATATAGAAGAAAGGCATTCTTATAATATTATTCTTTTTATTTTTCTACCCTCAGAAGTTCTTTTGTTTGCTAAACATTTAGTTTACTCTGCCTTCGGTGTTACATGTAACCGAAACTGACTTCGGTGTTACATGTAAACGTGTTCCTTTAGGCAATTCTTTGAAGCAAAATCAAAACCAAACTAAACTAAACTAAAATAAAATAAGAGTTGACATTTCCATAGATATCTGTTTACTTTCTTTATATTTTCAGGTTCTATGTGATCTACACCAACTTTATTTTTGGAGAAAAGATCGCACTTGTTAGGCATATATTGTCATTACAGGTAAAATATTCCTTTAAGTCTATAGTTCTAAGGAAGAAAAATAGTGAGAACTGTACTTCCTCACAGTGATTCTAGAAGTTATCAGAACAAGGTGAAAAAATTAGTTATAAATTTTCAGCTCTGCTTTTCTTCCATATGTCCTACAAATAAACTAGAAGTGATTTTAATTTTTTTGAAGCATAAAGTTGCATACATATCTCCAAATGTTTTGTAACTCAAAAGTCATTTGGAGCCCTCTTTACTCTCTGAAACTTAGATATCTTCAGATTTCCCTTGGAAGTTCAATGCCCTTCTATCATATCTGCTAATATCTTGGTGTTCTCCCACTCTTCTGTGCCAGGCTCCTTAACTCATATATGTGAGTCTTCAAAGATTCACGGAAGATGTTTATTAAGAAAAAAACTGTGCATGGACTTCAAAACTTTTTTGCACCAAAATAAACTCATACTAACCTGTTATAATGTATCTGAACAGGATATAGTTTGAGATACTAAGAAGGATAAGACATTAGTTTACAAAGAGTCTCTATCAGAGCAACATGAGTTCTGCTAAAATTAAGAACAAACATCTATTGATGGTAAAGCTTGGGTGGAAGAACAGTGAAATCACTGATGCTTTTTGAAAAGTTTCTGGGGACAAAGCCCCAAAGAAACCAGCAATTTACAAATAGACTGCTTGTTTTAAGAAGGGAATAGTGATGTTGAAGATGAAGCGTGCAGCAGCAGACCACCCACAACAATTTGCAAGGAAAAAAAATTTGTGCCCTAATTGAAGAGGACCAATTGTTAACAATAGAAACAATAGCCAACACCCTAGACATCTCAATTGGTTCAGCTTACACAATTCTGGCTGAAAAATTAAAAGTGAGCAAACTTTTCAGTCAGTGAGTATCAAAACCATTGTGCCCAGATCAGCTGCAGACAAGAGCAGAGCTTTCACTGGAATTTTGAAACAAGCAGATCAAGATTCTGAAGCATTTCTTCGAATTGTTAACAGGAGATGAAACATGACCTTACCAGTATGATCCTAAATACAAAACACAATCAAAGCAATGGCTACTGAGAGGTGGAAAGGGCCCAATCGAAGCAAAAATGGACTGGTCAAGAGCAAAGGTCGTGGCAACGGTGTTTTGGGATACTCAAGGCATTTTGCTTCGGAATATTCTGGAGGGCCAAAGAACAATAATGTCTTGCTCATTATGAGAGTGTTTTGAGAAAGTCAAAGCTTTAGCAGAAAAATGCCTGGGAAACTTCATGAGAGAGTCCTCTACAACAACAATGCTCCTGCTCAGTGCTCTCATCAAACAAGGGCAAGTTTGAGAGTTTCGATGTTAAATAGGCATCCACCTTATAGTCCTGATTTGGCTGCAACTTTTTTTTCCCCCTAATTTAAAAAATCTGTAAAGGGCATCCATTTTTCTTCAGTTAATAGTGTAAAAAAGGCTGCATTGATGTGGTTAAATTCCCAGGATCCTCACTTCTTTAGGGATGGACGAAATGTCGGTGTCATTGCTTACAAAAGTGTCTTGAACGTGATGGAGCTTAGATTGAAAAATAAAGTTGATATTTCTTATTTTTTGTTTAATTTCATTTTTCCATGAACTTTTTGAAGATCCCTCATACCTTGGTTTGTTTTGTTCATGTCAGATCAGACTCAGACAACTTAGTCGCTACCTTTTGTTTTTCCTGTAAAAAATCAATATATACTTTTGTGAGATTAATAATCCTTGTTGAAGGTTTAGAAAGAGATTCTCATTTGAGTGTGTGGACTTTTACTATCTCACCAAGTCTTCCTCCTCCTTTGCCTTTTGATATCTGTGCTTCTTCTGCTCAGACTTGTCAATTCTCCTTTGGTAGCTATTTACATCTCTCTCATTTCTACACCTAAAATTTGCATAATCAGATTCATCAATGATTTTCATTTGGCAGAACCCACCCCACCTAAAAGACAGTTGGGTTACAGATAATGAAAGCATTTCAGTAATACCCCCAGACACAAAAACATATCCATTGGAATTCTGAAAATATGAGAACAAGTAAATTTGGAAGCTAGTCTCAGTATTATTTGTCTCAAAATGTCAGCAGTTCTTTGATTAGGTCATGCAAAGAATGATGTTAGGAATATTTGCAAGATTATCCATGCTGTTAAAGCTACTATAGTCCAATATGTTTTGGAGAAATTAACAAACCTTTTTATTTTTTTCTGAGAATTTTTTACTCTCCTCCCATAAGCTGAAGATAAAAAAGACACAAGATGAAGATGTAAAAGATGTTGGGAATAAACCCTGAGCCAAAGCCAGATTTATATTTCTTTCCATTTATCTCCTAATACCAGGTGTAATTCTAAAACTGAACATCCACTATTTTATATAGAAGCTGAAAAGTAGCTTAATTTTTTTATGGAAAGAGGGTATAAATGAGCTTTCTGAAACATTAATTTTATAGTTTACAGCACAGGAGCATCTTAGTTCTTGAACTAGGATTTCTGGTTTTCTCTGCTTGTCTTTTATATTCTTTATGTTTGAAAATGTATGTCAGAATTCACATATGAGTTATTTCCCTTGAAATAAGTATACTTATATTAAAACAAATAGATGTTACCTGTCTAAAATTAGAAAAAATATTTGCTTTATAATTGAGCGATTAAAGTCATGTTTGTGTCTGCCATTTAAAGTTGTCCATGGTCCAGAGCTCACTTGAGATTTACCATGCCTAATTCAGTAATGTTGACTCAAATCTTTCCAGAATTTCTGATAATCCTGTCTTCACTCAACAGTTACAGGCCATTTTTGCCTCTGAAATATAGGATTTGAAGAACTTTTATCTACTACAGTGTCTCTTTTATAGATCTGTTCATTTTTATAACCAAGTTCTTTTATTTCAAATTATTCTTTAATCTTTCTTCCTAATCTTTATGATTAAACTTTCAACCTCCTGTAGTAGAATAGATTCTAGATGCTGAGGTATATAACTCAATTGTGCAACTCAGAATTGACCTCAGAGTTTTGTATGTCTCCAGTACAACTGTTTAAACTTGACATTAAAATGTTAAGCCATTCTGTAATTTTTGAGCAATTTCCTGAATAATTTCCAATTTCCAAGCTATTTGTACACAGGAAACTGCTGTTTAACAAAGGTTGCACCCAATGAAGTCAGGGGCCTTTCATCTAATTATAAACATCCCTTATTATCTTCAATTAAGTCTGCTGTGACCCTGAAATAACTTTTCATAGTTGAAACCAAACTATAAAAAGAATCTATTGGGTATCAAAAATATCACTTACCTCCCCAAAGAACGAATTTTTAAGGCCTCTATCAAAATCTCTACTTCAGAGATCTCTGGAGATGCATGTTTGGCAATGGTATCTGTTTACTAAGAACTCATTTTCTATGAGACTTCTAGAAATATCTTCCACTCAATTAGGAGTTGACATTCTCCCTTAAGTAGATTGAAGTCCCCCAGTATTAGAGTACAAAGCAGAGACCTGTGGGAAGAGGCATTCCTTACAGGAATGAGTCTTTATGTTTAGAGAATACCCCCTGGGGAGGGCTAAAAAGAATAGCCTTGTCAAGCCAAGGGGTGTGAATTGCTACCGTGAGGATTTACAATTCTAGAGTCCTCTATATTTTAGTACTATGGTTACATTAGGAGAGGTACCATATGGAAGGGGTATGAGGAGATGGTACTGAGTAAGTGTAAAATGTAGATGAGATGAAGAACTTTTATCTATTACAGTGTCTCTTTTATAGATCTGTTCATTTTTATAACCAAGTTCTTTTATTTCAAATTATTCTTTGAATAATTTTATATTCTTTATATTAATATATATTAATATATTTCCTTGTCCTCACCCAAATCTCATCTCGAATTGTAATCCCCGCGAGTCAAGGAAGGAACCTGTAATCCCCACCTGTCGAGGGAGGGAGGCAATTGGATCACGGGGGCAGATTCTGCCATGCTGTTCTCATGATAGTGAGGGAGTTCTCACAAGATCTAATGGTTTTAAAAGTGTGGCATTGGCTGGGCGTGGTGGTTCATGCCTGTAATCCCAGCATTTTGGGAGGCTGAGGCGGCTGGATCACCTGAGATCAGGAGTTCAAGACCAGCCTGGGCAACATGGTGAAATCCTGTCTCTACTAAAAATTCAAAAAATTAGCCGGGTGTGGTAGCGGGTGCCTGTAATCTAGTTACTTGGGAGGCTGAGGCAGGAGAATTTCTTGAACCCAGGAGGCGGAGGTTGCAGTGAGCCGAGATGGCGCCGTTGCACTCCAGCCTGGGCAACAAGAGTGAAACTCCATCTCAAAAAAAAAAAAAAAAAAAGTGACACTTCCTCGTTCGCTTGCTTTTTCTCTCTCCTGCTGCCTGTGAGGAAGGTGCTTGCTTTCCCTTCGCCTTCCGCCATGATTGTAAGTTTCCTGAGGCCTCCTTAGCCATGTGGAACTGTGAGACAATTAAATCTCTTTCCTTTATAAATTACCCAGTCTCAGGTAGTATCTTTATAGCAGTGTGAAAACAGACTAATACAGTAGACAAATATGCTAACCACCCTGATTTAATCATTACAAACTGTATACATGTATCAAAACATCACACTGTACCCCATAAATACATACAATTATGTCCGGAATTGGTGGGTTATTGGTCTCACTGACTTCAAGAATGAAGCCGCGGACCCTCGCGGTGAGTGTTACAGCTCTTAAGGTGGCGCATCTGGAGTCTGTCCCTTCTGATGTTCAGATGTGTTCGGAGTTTCTTCCTTCTGGTGGGTTCGTGGTCTCGCTGGCTCAGGAGTCAAGCTGCAGACCTTCGCAGTGAGTGTTACCGCTCATAAAAGCAGCGTGGACCCAAAGAGTGAGCAGTAGCAAGATTTATTGCAAAGAGCAAAAGAACAAAGCTTCCACAGTGTGGAAGGGGACCCGAGCGGGTTGCCAATGCTGGTTGGGGCAGCCTGCTTTTATTCTCTTATCTGGCCCCACCCACATCATGCTGATTGGTAGAGCCGAGTGGCCTGTTTTGTCAGGGCACTGATTGGTGCGTTTACAATCCCTGAGCTAGATACAAAGGTTCTCCATGTCCCTATCAGATTAGTTCCATACAGAGTTTCCACACACAGGTTCTCCAAGGCCCCACCAGAGCAGCTAGATACAGAGTGTCGATTGGTGCATTCACAAACCTTGAGCTAAACACAGGGTGCTGATTGGTGTGTTTACAAACCTTAAGCTAGATACAGAGTGCCGATTGGTGTATTTACAATCCTTGAGCTAGACATAAAGGTTCTCCAAGTCCCCAACAGATAGTTAGATACAGAGTTTCCACACACAGGTTCTCCAAGGCCCCACCAGAGCAGCTAGACACAGAGTGTCGATTGGTGCACTCACAAACCTTGAGCTAAACACAGGGTACTGATTGGTGTATTTACAATCCCTGAGCTAGATATAAAGACTCTCCACGTCCTCACCAGACTCAGGAGCCCAGGTGGCTTCACCTAGTGGATCCCGCACCGGGGCTGCAGGTGGAGCTGCCTGCCAGTCCTGCGCCGTGCGCTTGCATTCCTCAGCCCTTAGGTGGTCGATGGGACTGGGCGCCCTGGAGCAGGGGGTGGTGCTCGTCTGGGAGGCTCGGGCCGCACAGGAGCCCATGGAGTGGGTGGGAGGCTCAGGCATGGCGAGCTGCAGGTCCCGAGCCATGCCCCGCGGGAAGGCAGCTAAGGCTCGGTGAGAAATCGAGCGCAGCGCCGGTGGGCTGGCACTGTTGGGGGACCCAGTACACCCTCCACAGCCGCTGGCCCGGGTGCTAAGTCCCTCATTGCCCGGGGCCGGCAGGACTGGCCGGCTGCTCCGAGTGCGGGGCCCGCCAAGCCCACGCCCACCCGGAACTCCAGCTGGCCCGCAAGCGCCGCACGCAGCCCCAGTTCCAGCTCGCGCCTCTCCCTCCACACCTCCCTGCAAGCTGAGGGAGTGGGCTCCAGCCTTGGCCAGCCCAGAAAGTGGCTCCCACAGTGCAGTGGGAGGGCTGAAGGGCTCCTCAAATGCCGCCAAAGTGGGAGCCCAAGCAGGGGAGGTGCCGAGAGCAAGCGAGGGCTCTGAGGACTGCCAGCACTCTGTCACCTCTCACAATCATTCGTCAATTGAAGATAAAATAAAACAGTAATAGAGTAAGCTATGTCTCTCTCTATATATATATTCACACACACATACAAACACACACACACACATAATTTGCCAGATTACTACTATTTGACCTTTTAATAAAATGTTATTTAAAATTTAATATGAATCAACATTTTACACCTTGAATTTTAGAATACTTTGGTTTTTGTTTTGGCTTTTTTAAGCCAGGGTCTCTCTCTGTCACTCAGGCTGGAGTGCAGTGGCACGATCTCAGCCCACTGCAACCTCTGCCTCCCAGGCTCAAGTGATCTCCCACCACAGCCTCCCAAGTAGCTGAACTACAAGTACACAGGCCACCATGCCCAGCTAATTTTTGTGTTTTTTGTGGAGATATGGTTTCACCATGTTGCTCAGGCTGGTCTCAAACTCCTGAGCTCAAGCAATCTGCCTGCCTCGGCCTCCCAAAGTGCTGGGATTAGAGGCGTGAGCCACCATGCCCAGGTTAAAATACTTGCAATATGAAATAAATTTAACTCTAGAAAACATAGACACTAGCTGCTTGAGAAAATTGGTCTGAGGTAATCTCAACTTCAAACAAGTAATAGTATTTTCAAAATCAGCCCATATCAGTTAGTTCTGGCTCTCCATGTTTCCGGCACTCTCTTGCTATACTCAGACTGCAGGATCCAAAAACAAATGATACATCAAGTCATAAAAATAAGGAGGTGACTCAAGTAAAACGAAGCTGGTCTTCATAAATATTAGAGCCTTTTTAGCTTGATAAAGTTTAGCAAAGCAACTATTTTATTTAATAGCTGTAGTCTTTAAAACTTAGTTTTACAAATGTCCAAATTTCTATTTAAAATTTTTAATGTCCCTAAGGAAAAAAGCTAAAAAATGGTTTTTAAAAACATGTTTTTATTGTGAAAAACTTCAAACATAAAAATGTAGTTTAATTCATATTTCTGCCTAATCACCCCCATTGGCATAGTTTAATTGAATTCCTAGATATGATATCATTTCATCTGTAAATACCTAACAGTGTATCTTTAAAGGGCAGGAACTTTAAAAAAATATGAGGAGAATGTCATTATCACACCTAAAAACAATAATTCCAGAGCATAAAATTGTATCTAAATAGTGTTCCAATTTTGCTGGTTCTATTGTAAATGCATTGTTTCAGTTGGCTTATTCAAATGAAGATACAAAGTCTACACATTGCCTTTGTGTAATATGCCTCTTAACCTCTGTTGATATATTACAGTTTTTCTCCTTCATTTTTTCTTGCTGTTTGTTTGTTGGAATTTCCCACAATCTGAATAGCAGCATCATGGTATTTTTTAAACATGCTCATTTACTCTATGAATGTCCTATGAACTGAAAGTCAGATCTAGATGCTTAACTAAATTCCTTTTGACAAGAACATTTCATAGGTGGTTGTGAGTGCTTTCTATTGCTCTGTATCAGATGGTACATGACGTCTTGTTTCAATCCCTTTTACTTGATATTAAGATTGATCTGTGAATTCATGTGTGATCAACCTGATCCATCCATTGTAAGGTTTCCTATTGGCCTTTACCTAAGGATTTTAAAACTGATGAATGTTACCTAGTTCTATGATTTTATTAGGAAAAATATTACATGTATTTTAAATTCTTTCTGAATTTGTTTAGAATTATTTCAGAAAGAAGGTTCTTTTATCAACTGTCTGATTACTCACAAATGCACTTTGTACAAGAAAGGTAGAATAGATGCTTAATTCCCAAATTTATTCCTAATAAACTAGGAAGATTTGTGTATCCTTACCAAGAGCTTTCCAACATAGCGGGCGTTAGAAAACAGTTCTAATTTGATTTGATTTCCTATTTTCAAGAGGGACAAGATTGTTTGAGGTTGATTTCTTTCATTTTCAATTGGTTATGAATAGCTAAAGAGAGTATAATCTTTTGTAAAAATATGATTGGTTGTCTAGAAAGTAATTTCTTATCCAAAAGTTATGTGATTCAGAACATCGACAATGAAAAGCTGGTGAACTTGAGAAGAAGAAATAAAATGAGAAACTTGTCTTTCACCAGGGTGGTTTGAAATGAGATAGAAATTATGGGGAGAAGGGATAGGGATAGGGTAACAATGGAGTGACATTTTTCCTAGTATATGTTTGGTATGGATTTGATTTTTAGAATATGCTATTTTATTAATTAATTAATTAATTCTAACTTTTATTTTAGGTTCAGGAGTACATGCGCAGGTTTGTCATATAAGCAAATTATGTGGCACAGAAGTTTGGTGTATGGATTATTTCATCACCCAGGTAATCAACACCATACTTGATAAGTATTTTTCCTGATCATCTCCCTTCTGCCACCATTCACCCTCAAATCGGCCCGTGTCTGTTAGAACATGCTATGTTTTTCTTTTTCTTTTTCTTTTTTTTTTGAAATTTTCAGGGAAAGAACATGTTTTTTTTTAATCTTTAAAAGCAAATAAAATAAATAAAAAGGGAGGGGTACCATAGAATACAAACAGAAGGAAATGAATAACATAATACACTCAACTGAGAAATAAGGAACTAACCCAATTACTTGTTGAATTTGGTATTTTGACTATATACTTTCTGGCTAAAAAAAAAAAAGGCAAACAAGTTAGTAGTTGGTAGGTTAGTGTTTCAGAGGTATAGTTTAGAAATTCTGAAACTTCTTAGTGCATACTGTAGGATTGAGCAGATACATAAATGAATGAAGCGTAGCAGAAGTCAGGTTTGCTATCATCAGAAAAGAGTATCACAAAATGGGAAGGGTAAGCGTTTGGAGCAGCAATCCACGAAGGGCTCTGGGCATCCCTGTGCATCATTGCTGGGTGTGCCAGGAATGCAACACCCTCGCCACTTTTTATCCAGGCCGTTTCTCAGCGTTGGATGTGCAAGCAGTTTTGAGAGATGAAGTCATGACTTCAAGACAAAAAAACAGGTTTGCTTATTTTGCTACAAACCAATAAGTTCTTCAGCCATGCTGCAAATCCACTGTGTATCCAGTTCCCATCTGCGGCCCGCACATCATCCCCATGGGACTTGAGAGCAAGAGGATCCCACGCAAATCATGTTGCTTGCTATGCTGTGAGTAAAATGTCCTTTGTCTCTGACTCAGAAGTCTTGTATCTTCTATTAGCATCCATGAAACCGTGGCAGGCTAACTCGTTAAAATAACCCAAAATCAAATTCCAAGTCTGAAAGACACTAGAATGGCATATGGTATTTTGTTAGAATTGGAGGGATGGGGATGAGCTCATAGTTATAAAGATAAATGATAGATATTAGATTAATGTATAGACAGATATTGGTGTGTATGTATAAATAAATGTTTTTACAAAGTAGATTGCTACAGGGTTCGTATAGCCCTTAGCTCTTTGTTTATAAATACCTTTCGTCTCTAAAAAGATCCAGGGCTCCCTGGAGAACTGGCTAATTCTCGGGCATGGAATGAAAAAATACAAGATGAACCTGGAGAAGCTTTCTGTGTCAGAAAGTAAGAACGTGCTCAAAGAATGATGGGACCATGTGAAAAGGACATAGGAGTCTGTTTGAAAGGCATCCCACTGGCCAAATATAGGATAACTCTGAGGATAAAAATGTCAGTAAAGAATTATAACCCACTGAAATAAAAAATGATAAATGGATAAATGAAGGCATTATTTATAGGACAATGACAGCTAATACATTTTAAAAGAAAAATGAGATACAAGATCAACATTTGGCAAACACCATAATAATTATTTCTGGCAAGAAACATCCATGAAAGCTAAAAACTAATGGATGCAAATTGATGAGAAAGATAATATTTATATAACCTCAAAGCATCTCCTTCATAAAATACTTATTAGTGACAAAGTGAAGATGGTGACTCTACAATGGAGGAACCTAGCAGACAGCATCTTAACCAAGGGATCAAGATGGAACAATTGTGTACTATAATGTTCATTCTCATATCAGGCGCTAAGTACACAACATCACTTTTGTGCTACTCTGCACAAAACCCATAACTGAAATCTAACTCTGAGGAAACATCAGATAAAAACAAAATGAACAATATTCTTTGCAATAAGTGATCTGTGCTCTTCAAAATGTGAAGGTCATAAAAGACAGTTCCAGGTCAAAAGAGACCAAAGGTGCACAATAACTAAATAAAAAAAGAACCTTATATTAGATTTTGCAGAAGAAACTATTTTTTGCCCTTTCTTTAAAGAATATTAATGGGAAGTTGGTGAAATTTGAATAAAGTCTGTACATGAGATGATAGCATTATATCAAAGTTAATTTCCTAGTTTTAATCACTGTCAGGTGTTTATATAAGAGAATTTGTTTTCCAGGAAATACAAACTGAATAATTTAGGAATAAAGGGATATATCTCCATAATTTACTCCTAAATGACTCAGAATATATATATATATATATATATATGTATATGTATATACACACACATAAGTATGTGTATGTATAAATTTGTTATATATATAACATATGTATGTGTTAATATAACAAATTTATATATACATATGTATATAAATACAATATAGATATTTTTTATATATAACATATCTCTATCTATGGAGAGAGAGAGTAAAGAAAATGTGAAATGTTAACATTTGAGGCCTTTAGCAAAGTGTTGACAGAGATTCTTTGTATAATTTTTTTTTTTTTTTTTTTTTTTTTTGAGATGGAGTCTCGCTGTGTCACCCAGGCTGGAGGGCGGTGGCGTGATCTCGGCTCACTGCAACCTCTGCCTCCCATGCTCAAGCAATTCTCCTGCTTCAGCCTCCTGAGTAGCTGGGATTACAGGCACAAGCCACCATGCCCGGCTAATTGTTGTATTTTTAGTAGAGATGGGGTTTCACCATGTTGCCCAGGCTGATCTTGAACTCCTGGGCTCAAGTGAACCACCCGCCTTGGCCTCCTAAAGTTCTTTGTATAATTTTTGCAACTTTTTAGTATGTGTGAAATAATGTTTTCTAAAAATGTTTATAAAATTTCATTTCTTGCAAAATTCAGTACTTTTTTTTACTTTTGGATTTAGTCAATTGGTTTTAGTAAAATTTAAAGTAATTGGAATTAAAAAGAATTGTTTCTAATCCTGGCTGAGCACAGGCTTGATAATTTAATCTCTCTGAGCTCCAAAGACATATAATTGCAATATTAATATATATACACTTATTTTCCTCATATACTTAATACCTTTATATAGCAAACATAGATTGAATCCTGACTTGTTTTTAAATGAAAAGTTTACGGCAGGAAATTGAATAGAGAGATCTGATTATAACCTCAAACTGTAATTCTTAATCTCTGGTTCATGACATACTAATCCAAAGTACTGCAAGTGACTATTTCCACAAATAATTAAAGTAAAATTTTAACTCATAACATTTTTGCAGAGTAGAACATGGTTATTGTCATACTAATATTATTGTGTTTTGGTAGATTTTCCTGAGTTGGGGAGATAGAGTTGGATTATGGCCAGGACACTGTGCCTTGTACCGGCAGTTGATGGTCCCATCTGGGAACCACCTGTCATTAATAAAAGCAGTATGCATGAATTACTGCAGTACTTTATGTCCCTGTAAATATTAGGTTTCATAAATATATAATTGTATGCATGAGAAGGAGTGCATCCATATTTGAACATCATCTGTCATGAATTGTATGAGGAAATAACATTTAAAAATTATTGCTCCAAAAATGCAAATGGTTTGAAGACACCATAACTTATGGTTCATAAATGTGTTCATAACTGAACAAGGTTTATGTGGGACATTTCAGTATTTGTAACTTATAGAAGTAAAAACTGATAAATCTTGCTGTTTTATCATTTACAGATAAAATAATTTTGAGAAAGAAAACATTTTGGAGATAAATATAACTACTACATTTCCTAGAAGTAGTTTTGGCTCATTGGAGATAATGTTTCTATAATAACTGTAAACAACCACATTGGATTTGATGAGCATACTACTGCTGCAAAGCATTGTGCAAAGGAGCACTCAGCTCCTTTAAATTAATTGCATTTGTATAAATGGAATTGGTTTGGTCAAAGGCTGTCTTTTAATGAATGAGGTTTTATATTCAAGAGTGAACATAATCCCTTGGTTCAAGAGTCAATGAAATGAAAAAGTGATTGATTCACCAAATTAGGGCTGAATTTACTTTTGTATTTTTTATAGATGAGGAGCTACTGGCCACATTTGACTCATTTGAAAACGCCACTCCATCAAAATTAACTTTTATCATTACCACCTACTTCAGGGCATGCTTTCCCAGTTGTTTTCAAATATAAATTTCCTCAGGAATATAAATAGGTTTACTTAGTGATGATTCAATATGAAGTGGAAACTCACTTAGATCTACTGGAGAATACAGAAAATCTATTATATTAGTCTTGGTTATAAGGAATTATAGTAGTAAAACAAACTATATTCACATGAAATAGAGCATATCATAGGTAAATAGTAAAAAATATATACTAAATCCTAACAGATGCCCAGATTTTTGTTTCTTTACTGTTCCCTCTATTTTTGTGTGGAGATTTAGAGAGATTGAAAAACTAAGCCATCACCCTACCGTCTTCTCAGAATCAATCAATTGAATTAATAATTTTGAATATTTGGGAGCAAGTAATATAATAGAAGACAGGGAATTTTAAAATGTGCTCTAAGGTATGGTTAGAATTTACATATTTGAAGGTTATTCTAATTATCATGTTAGAGATTGTTCAGCATGCTGTATATCACAAATATCTCATTTTAACATCATGGAGGCCAAGTGCAGTGATTCATGCCTGAGAGGCCAAGGCAGGAGGATCGCTTGAGCCCAGGAGTTTGAGATCAGCCTGAGCAACATGTGAGACCCTCTCTCCACAAGAACAATTGTAAAAATTAGCCAGGCACTGTGGCCTGTAGTTCTAGCCACTTGGGAGGCTGAGGCAGAAAGTTTGCTTGAGCCCTGGAGGTCCAGGCAGCAGTGACCCGTGAATGCACCACTGCACCCCAGCCTGGGTAACAGAGTGAGATCCTGTCTCAAAAAGATAATAATAAAATAAAACAAAATCTTGGCATATTTGAGCCCTTTTTATTATGTTTTTTTTTTTTTTTTTTCAAATTACAATTTGGTGATACAATACAGAGGTAACAGGGCCTGGATTGAGGTAGAAGGAACTATGCATAGTATCAGTTGTGTAGAGCAAAGGGACAGGTAAAGTAACTAGCCCTATGTCACCATAGCAGGCCTACACACCTTTTTCTACCACAGCTAGAGCTTAGGTCAGGTGGCTTTCTGTTCCTTCTGGTCTGCAACCTCTAGTTACCTTCCAAATACTAGGAATCACAGGCATGGCAGTAGAACCCCAAAGCCCCCTAAAAGCCACGAAGAAAATACCCAGACTCAGATATGTGGCAAAAAATTAGGAGCAGGTCCAGATTTTGTGGGCCCAGAAACTTTGACAATTGGGAGGAACTTTTTTAAAAATGCAAAACAAGAAACCCAAAATTAGGAACAAAAGTAAATATTTATTTAGAATGAGTAAAAATATCTTCCTCAGTTACTAATTATAAAAGTTGATGAACACCATAAATATTAAAAATGCAAATAACTCAATATTTTATTAATAAACTCCCTGATGTACCTTTATCAGCTTTATTGGGGTATAACTGTATAAAAAATGCACATGCTAAATGTGTACAACTTGAAGCATTTGGACGTAGGCACACAACTGTGATACCATCATCAAAATCAAGGTAATAAACACGTGCATCACCTCCAAAAGTTTCCCTATGCCCCTTTATGTGTGTGTCTGTGTGTATACATATGTGTGTATGTCATACATTCTATTAGTGCTTACTCTGAAGGCTATACCTGCATTCTTGATTTGTTTATTGTAGTTATGAATTTTAATTATATATATTTTAAATTCAACGAAAGATTACATCATTGTTTGGAGACTTAACATAAGTCTACAGTCTTAAATATTCAGGTGCACAATACCAGTATTATTTATAGGCACTATGTTGTATAGCAAATCTTCTCCTATTTCTCCTTCTTTTCTTATTCATAAAGATTTAAAAATATAAAAACCATATCTAGCTTCAAGAAACAGGCTGTGAGAAAGATTTGCTCTGGGGCCATAGTTTGCCATCTCCTCTTTTGGTAGTTTTTTGTATGTATACATATATATATATATAATATAGAAAAACCTTATTTTACCATGCTTCACTTTATTGTGCTTCAGAGATACAGCATTTTTCACAAATTAAAGGTTTGCAACAATCCTGCTTCGAGCAAGTCTATTGGTGCCATTTTTCCGACAGCATATGCTCACTTTGTGTCTTTGTGTCACATTTTTTGCAATTTCTTCAATATTTCAAACTTTTTAAATTATCATTACGTCTGTTATGGTGATCTGTGGTCAGTGATCCTTGATGTTACTATGGTAATTGTTTTGGAGCACCATGAACTGTGCCCACGTAAGATGGTGAACTTAATCAATGTTATGTGCGTTCTGACTGCTCCACCAACCAGCCATTCCCCTGTCTCTCTCCCTCTCCTTAGGCTTCCCTGTTCCCTGAGACACAACAGTATTGAATTTAGGCAAATGAGTACGATGCCCTCTAAGTGAAAGGAAGAGTCACACGTCTTTCACTTTAAATCAAAGGCTAGACATGGTTAGTGAGGAAGGCATGTTGAAAACCAAGATAGGCCAAAAACTAAACCTCTTGCAAAAAAACAGTTGGCCAACTTCTGAATGCAAAGGAAACTTTCTTGAAGGAAATTCAGAGTACTTCTCCAGTGAACGTATGCATGATAAGAAAGCAAAACAGCCTTATTGCTGATATGGAAAAAGTTTTAGTGGTCTGGTTAGAAGGTCAAACCCACCACAACATTCCCTTAAGCTGAAGCCTAATCCAGAGCAAGAACTTCTATGGAGGCTGAGAGAGGTGAGGAAGCCACAGAAAAAAGTTGTAAGCCAGCAGAGGTGGGTACATGAGGTTTAAGGAAAGAAGCCACCTCCATAACATAATTGTGCAATGTGAAGCAGCAAATACTGATGAATCTTTCTCATCCCTTTTAATATGTACATTTAAAATTATAAAAAATTTCAGCTTGTTAAGGAATAACTGAAAAATAAAATTCACATATTTAAAGTATATATTTAGCTATGTTGTCCAGGTTGGTCTCGAACTCCTGACCAGGCCTGGGTGAAACAGCAAGATTCTGTCACAGAAAATAAATAAATAAATAAATAAATAAATAAATAAATAAATAAATAAATAAAGTGTATATTTAAAGTGTACAACATGAAGATTCAATATAGGTATATATTGTAAAGTGATTACCACAATGAAGTTAATTAACATATTCTTCCCTCAACTCACGTAGTTTCCCTTTTTAATTTTTGTTTTTTTGATGAGAACTCAAGATAAACTCTCTTAGCTAATTCCAAGTATACAATACAATATTATTAACTATTGTCACCATGCTGTACATTAGATCCCCAGATCTTATTTTTATAACAGAAAGTTGGTACCCTTGGATCAACATAAGATCATAGAATTTTATTTAAGCACCTCTTTTGCTGTATCTCATGAGATTTTTATATGCTATACCTTTATTATCATTTAGTTAAATATATTTTCTAATGTCTGTTTTGATTTCTTTTTTGGTCTATGTATTGAATAGACATTTATTGCTTGATTTCTAAGCAGGCGGAGATTTTGGTAGCTTTCTTCTCATTATTTTGTCTTAATTCTGATGTAATCAGAGAATATATTCTGAATTAGTAAATTCTTTGGTAAGACTTAATTTGTGGCCAGCATATAGTTAATATTGGTATCCATTGCACTTAGTCATTCATTTCCTTGTTGTTCAGTGCACTATTCTATATATGTTAACTAGGTCAAATTAATGATGATATTCAAATCTTTTCAAACCTTACTAAATTTTTTTTGTCCCTTTATTCTGTCAGCTTTTGGAAGTCTGTTTCACGTTTATTTCCTTCCATTTCTGTCATATATTTTGAAACCTTGTCACTGAGTACATGCAGACCCAGGAGTATGTCACTCTATTGTTTCAATGACCCCTTTATTATTCTGAAATGCCCTTCTTTAACTTTTATAAAGCTCGTTTCCTTAAAGCATACTTTTCTGATCTTAGCATAGCTAGATGATCTTTTTTTGTTAATGTTTTTCATAGTAAACATTTTCTGTTCTCTTACTTTTAATTTTATATGTTCTTGTATTTAAAATGTGTTTCTTCTATGCTGCGTATTGCTGGGCTTTCTTTCTTATTCAATGTATTTTATTTCTTATTTGGTTTATTTAGTTTAACTTATATTTATTGTAATATCTGATATAGTTGTGTTTTTGTCTTACCAGTTATTTCCACTTGACCCCCTGAGTTTATGGTCCTCTTTCTCTACATTCTTTTTTCTTTAATTAATCAAAAGTTCTATTTGTCCACTAATTTCTTATTAATTTGTTAGTCACATATTTTATTAATGCTTACTCTGAAGGCTATACCTGCAATCTTGGTTTGTTTATAGTAGTCATGAATTTTAATTACATATATATTTTAAATTCCACAAAATATTACATTTTTGTTTTGTACAGTGAATGTCCATTTATGTTTGGGTTTAACCCAAAAAATTTGAGAATAATGACTCAAATACTTTAGTTTTAAATTTTTGATTATTTTATCTAAATTTTATTTATATACCACTTGGCTTTCCTTTTCTCACTCAGAAACCAAGGCCACAAGCAAAGATCCCAACATTTAAAATGCCAGTGCAAGATCCCTTCTCTGTTAATGAAGGCCATTTTAAACAAAATGAAATTATACAAACATAAAAATAAATGTTTTAATAAAATAATTTTAACTTTCACCTTTTAGTTTTAAGCAGTGAACATTAATATATGAAATTTTTCACCTTAAAATACTATCCATTTATTTATAACAAGACATCTAATAACATGTAAGCAGAATATGCTTCAACTGAGGTTAAGTAAATGATAAACATACTTATAAATAAGCAGTAAATGTTTAAAAGGAATCTACAAAAACTTTTAACTCAAAACCATTGAAAATGCAAAATCCCAGTTCTTGAAGATAACAAGTTAATAGATACATTTTCTTTTATAACGGAGAACTGTCTAACCTCAGTCATATTGAGTCTGAATGAAGCATAAATTTATTATTGATAATTTTAGGGAGGCTGGTCCAGTTCGTTTTCTTCATTTTAAAATTCTAATCTGTATTACTGCCTAAGCAAAGGCATCACTGCAGGAACCGTGTAGAATTTGTCATTTAATTCATTTGCCTTCTCCTCTTTTCGAGCCCACCTTTGTCAAACTGTCAAGTGTCTATGCCTGGATATGTTAATTAATGTGTTATTTTCTAGGGAATGACTTTTACTCAATAACTTTTCTTCCGTGGCCTCTTTAAAGACCACTTCTTGGTTTCTCTAAAATCTCTAGCTACTTTGTTAGTATTTACTGCAAACAAAATTATCTTGTAAAATGGAGAGATCAAGTCAAATTGGTTTCATCTAGTTCTAAATTCCCCCTTACCCCTATGTTCAACCCATCAATACAATTCTCTAATGCAATTTAGGGAATGGTCCCTGTGCCCAGCTCCTTATTTTTAAAATTAACATCTTCAAGTATTTAGCCTGCTTGCCTTCCCTTTTTAATTTTGCCTCATCAAATATATGCTTTCAGAAGCAGTCCCACATTAGAGCCTAAAGTATAAAGAAAAAAAAGAACCCCATATACATATATCAAAATACCTTCTTATAGTTTGGGCCAAGTGGAGAAGTCAATAACAGCTCTATATTTTTTAAAAATATGACTATATATGAATCCGTGCTGCCCAATCCGTTTTCACACCATTGTCAACATTCAGATGCCCTGGACATGGGCTGAGACAATTGCTGTTGCACAACAATGCCACATGGTAAAACAGCCTGGATTTATTAAACTTTCTGATATTTTGTGCATCCCAGATTTTTTGTATTAATTTCAGTTTTTAAAAATATTGCATTAAAATATTATTTATCTTGATTACTGGAATTTCTAGCACCCTTTAAAATTTTGTGCCCCAGGAGAGTGCCTCATAGGCCACACCCTAAGCCCCATCCTGAGCTGGAACCCTTCCTTGAAAATTAATGTCTGAGCATTCAGCAAGGTGAATTTCATTGATGTTTCCCTTTGAGGAGAGAGGAGCATGTACTTCTGTCTTCGTTGAGCTCAGCTCCTGGATCATCATCATCTCTCTCTGGAGAGGCTGCAGATGGGAAAAGAAGATTTTTCCACTTCCGAGTCTTCTGAATCATTTGGCAGGTCAACCAAACTGCTCTCTAGTGGTGTCTGCATTTTCCTCTCATTTCCCTTGCTTCTGGCTCCTCCTCCTGGACCTCCTTAGCAGGTTCATTTTCTTCTAACCTGCTCATTCCGTGATTTCAACCCAGACCTCTTCTCTCTCCCTCCCCCTTGCTATGCTTTCCCAGCTTTCTTGTGTCTGTCTCAGCTTCCTGAACCTCTTTTCTCCTAGGGAACATCATGCAGCTACCTGCTTCCCTCATGGTGCCTCCATGCCAGGCTACGTTCCCAGGCCTAGGGACTATGAGAATGATGACACTTAATGTCAGAATGTTTAATACACCTTAAATTCAAATATTATAATAATGTGCTTTAAAAGTGGCCCAGATCATTACTTTCCTGCTTTATTTAAAAAAGTAGGGGGTTAGGGAAAAGATCCAGTTTATAGCCTAGAGGAAGAGGGTGGTTCCTTAGTAGAAATAGAGAACAATTTCTCAGTGACTATTTCTAAACACCATTTTCTCTCCTTAATAAAATGAGTTTGTACAAATTACAGAATCTCAAAACCAGAATTTCCTGTAACTCTGTAAAGAGAAAGATTTAGTACTCATTAAACATACTAATTATATACATTCTAAATGTTATTTATTATAAATATATTTACTTTCCTTTTAACATTTTAAATGCATTTGTATGTTGTTTTACATTTTTAGTTTTACATCATTTAAGAGCATTCTATTTTACAATATAATTACTATAGTAAATTATCATCATCAATTTTTAGAGTACATTGTACAATTTTAAAAATATTTGCAGCTCAGAATCACAGGTAAAATATTTTTCACAAATGTTGTTTTTTCCAATGTACTGTCTGTGTTACTCACAATCTAGGCAAACCTCAGTAAGTGGCTAAAATTCCTGTTTATCAGTTTCCTCACTACAATAATGAGGAAACACGATTGATACCTACCTCCTGGGGATGCTCTAGGGATAGACCGAATCAGTGTATGCAAAATGCCCAGAACACTGCCTTTTGCACAGCAGTGCCCAACCCAACAAGTATTAACCATTATGTTTATCATTATTAATAGGGCTAATATTAACACGAGTTCCTTAGTGTGAAACTAAATTTACCTTCTTTTTTTCTAAATTCTTTCTCACACTGAGTAAGTTGGATCATTCTGAATTCAAAACAGAGCTCAATTATTGTATTAATCCCTTAACTTGGTAATACCAATTGATAAAAAGGAGTATCACAACATAACCACAAAAGAAGTTATTATTTATTTTTACTTTTCATTAAAGACCAGGATTTTCAGGGACAAGTAGGGTTTCACATATGATAACAGCTTTGCCTTATTATGAAATAAAAATAAGTGATATAGAGTATAGAATATTCTTTTTGTTATGATGTTTTTTTTTTAGATTGGAATAGATAGGAAATACTAATTAGGTAATACTGATAGGGACACAAAATTCTCAAGTTTTGGGTAGGGGTTTTCTGACTGAGAAAAAAGCATCTTATAATTCTTGAAGTTTAGACGAGGTGATCTTTGCTTTAGGAAAAGTACAGACAAAAATGAAACTTAAAAATAGAACAACTGCATTCAGCAGGATTCCACTCACTTAATTGTGGAAAGCTAGAGCTGAAGGGATGTTAGAAATGACACAGTTTGACCTCTGCATTATATTATGTGAGGCAATGTGATCACATACATGCACACACTAGATAGGTAGAACATGGGCTTCAAAGTCTGAGCCTCAGCATTTCTAAAACTTGTCTTCCATATTAATTCCTTTCGGGTCAAAATGTTTCCAAACTCATCATCTATGGAATGTATTTCTCATTTCCCACCTAGAAGATGATATCTTACATTATACAATGCAAATGACTTAGTGAAACACACCATCTCAGTGAAATATTGATATTCTGTACATTTATCCTGATATATCCTTGGATAGTCTTAAAATAACTGAATACTTAAGTTTGAAGCCTGAAGTCTTAAGATAACTGAATGCTTAAGTTTGAAGCAGAAGAATAACTGGCATTCTTTTTCAAAATGAAATTACTTTGTTTAAAAGAATTATTAGAAGAATTTCTCTCTCTTGGTTTTAGACTGTCTTTCCACAAATCACGTATAGAGGATAATTGTGTCTTTCCACAAATCAAGTACATAGGATAATAGAGGATTATATTTTGTCAAAATAATAAAGATATTACTACTTATTTTATTTAATTTTTAATGAACAATTTATATATATTTATGGGGTACAAGGTGATGTTTACTACTTATTAAGGGCTTTTTGCATGTCTACATGCCTTATCTGTTTCAATTCCTACAATAATTCTGGGCTAGGAATCACTATGCCCATTTTATTGACGAGGAAACTGAAGCTCAGGAGGTTGCATAATGCGCTCAAGGCCACAGTTCATAACCTGAACCCAGATTCTTCTCACTCAGGGTTCCATATTTTTAACTACAATGCCACAGTGCAGAATGTTCTTTACCCAGAATACTTTTTAAAATTATCTATTAATGTACACAGCTGTTTTAACTATTCTCCTCACTATTTCTATGTATAATGAATGTTAATGACTTTTAGTGAGAAGATTATAAAGCTTTATGCAGGAATTCACTCTGACATCTAAGACTAAGAATTCTTTGCTATAATGATTTTTTTTTTTTGCTGAATCTCAAGTAGATTATTTTTGCCTTTTTTATTATAACTTAATTATTTTTAAACACAAATTAAGAGTAAAAGTATATGATGATAGGTAGGGGATCTATTCATTTCTAAGAACTGTCTACGAAGTAAAAAAAAATCAGCATGAGTGTTTTTTTAGGACTTTTCATGATTATTTATGGGGTTTGCATGAGCGAGAGTCCCAGGGACAGTCATGCTGGCAGTAGTACCTGCAGGCACAAGAGTGTCACCCTCAGAAGAGAATGAAATGCTTGCCCCAGGGAAGGGAGGAGAAAGCTTACCATCTGCTCTCTGGAGCTTGCAGGTATAGATGAAGGAGAGGCTGGTGTCTGCTTTTCACCTGAAGATTCCTGGGAATCACATTTGCCTGAAGCATTCATAAGAGCATGGCAAAAGGGGCAGTTGCTCTGTTGTGCCAGGAAGAAGATGGAGGTAACCCCATGCCTTCATTCCAGTTATCCAAAGCTCTCAAAGCTGTAGAAGAGAACTTCAAAGTTCTGTTTTATTATTATTATTATTATACTTTAAGTTCTGGGACACATGTGCAGAACATACAGGTTTGTTACATAGGTATACATGTGCCATGGTGGTTTGCTGCACCCATCAACCCGTCATCTACATTAGGTGTTTCTCCTAATGCTATCTCTCCCCTTGCCCCCCACTCCCTGACAGGCCTCGGTGTGTGATGCCACCCCCACCCTCGTGTCCATGTGTTCTCATTGTTCAACTCCCACTTATGAGTGAGGACATGTGGTATTTGGTTTTCTGTACCTGTGTTAGTTTGCTGAGAATGATGGTTTCCAGCGTCATCCATGTCCCTACAAAGGTCATGAACTCATTCTTTTTTATGGCTGCATAGTATTCCATGGTGTATATGTGCCACAATTTTCTTAATTTAGTCTATCATTGATGGGCATTTGGGTTGACTCCAAGTCTTTCCTATTGTGAACAGTGCTGCAATAAACATACATGTGCATGTGTCTTTATAGTAGAATGATTTATAATCCTTTGGATGTATACCCAGTAATGGTATTGCTGGGTCAAATATTATTTCTGGTTCAAATATTATTTCGGGCAATTCTTGAGGAATTGCCACATTGTCTTCCACAATGGTTGAACTAATTTACACTCCCACCAGCAGTGTAAAAGAGTTCCTATTTCTGTGTTTTTATGTGAAGAAACATGAGTTTAGGGGAGAGGGCAGGAGACAAGGTCCCCACCCAGGAGATAAGTAGACAAAGTAAGATAAAGGCCCATGAATGAGCCTAAGGCATAGGTGGGTTATAGGGAGATGTGTCTGTGTCTCACTAAGAATGTTCTAAAGATCACCCTAAGGAAGCCATCCACATCAGCAGCAGGGAAACATCTAAGGTGATGACACCACTAGCAGCAGAAAAGAAGAGTTTGTGCCGGAGTAGGACTGGGGTCTCTAGATGAAGCCTGCATGGCACCAGAGTTGCCTCCCCACCACCAATACACGGCCAGGTCTGTAAAACCTGAAGATTCTTTAGTTTCCCTTTTCTTCTCTCTGCCATACCCCAAGAAAAGCTAGACCCAGAAGAGAAAGGGAAGAAGGTGTGTAAATAAGAGAAGTCCACATACTTTTACCTTCCCCCTCAGTCTTCTCAAAGACCCTGATGTGAGAGGAGAAGAGGAAGATCAGACATTGGCTCTTCCTCACATAGGTTCCTTCTTGATAGGAAAAGAAGACAGCGTTAGATAAAATTTGGGATCACAGCTTCAAAGATGCCATTATGTGATGGGAAAGAAATACTAGACAGAGTCTTGTTAAGGGCAGTGATTGGAGAAAAATAAAAATGTTCAGTTTTGACCCCATTGAGTTATCTACTCTGTAAGCCAGGTGCACTTACGTGAGACGAGATTTAACACAATGTGAATTTTGCTTTTTTTCCTCCCTTAAGGCTTTCATACTGCACTTAGCACTTTATTAGGATTTTAGTTTATGGTATACACACTAAATATTAAATTTATCGAGACTTGGTTGGGCAGATGCCCTATAATTCACACAGTGCCAGGTAACATAGACACTGTAACAAAGGCATATACGCTGGGCGCAGTGGCTCACGCCTGTAATCCCAGCACTTTGGGACGCCGAGGCAGGCAGATCACGAGGTCAGGAGATTGAGACCATCCTGGCCAACATGGTGAAACCCCGTCTCTACTAAAAAAAAAAAAATACAAAAAATTAGCCGGGCGTGGTGGCGGGCATCTGTAGTCTCAGCTACTCTGGAGGCTGAGGCAGGAGAACGGCGTGAACCCGGGAGGCGGAGCTTGCAGTGAGCCGAGATGATGCCACTGCACTCCAGCCTGGGCGACAGAGCGAGACTTCGTCTCAAAAAAACACAAATAAACAAAGGCATATACGATAAGGCTTCCTTTCCAAGCATTTACAATTGGCCGGGGGTAATATACAAGCACTTAAGTTATCTAAAAAGACAGAAGTCAATTAACAATATAAATTCTGCCAAGATTTATATGAAACATTTTAAAGAAAATATTGCATTTGTGCAATGTTAGAAAAAATTAAATACCATATGTTAAACCTTCTCATATTTTCTTCAGCCAGCTCCTCCTATATGTTTTCTTTAAGTCGATATTTTATGTGTTAGGTCCGGTCATTCGCTTCTAATTGTTGCCATTAATTTTACATGTGAGAGTGCACAGATGAAAAGAATGAGTGTTTGACAGCGTCTACAAATGGAAAATGTCTTTGTCAAGAGCCAAACTGAAAAGGCCAAAGCCCTCTAGTTTGCTGTTTCTAGCATCTGAAGTCCAGACACAAACGACTCTGACCAGTGCTTGCTGATGTGACATCTGTTTTCATCTGCGTTTGCTCTGGGAGATGCCCTGTTAGCCCTTTCCTGGACTGCCTTGATTCTGATACCTTGCCTGGACAATCTTATTATTTGTCATCTGGCTTTCTGGCTACTGTGTTCTCTTCCTGTCACCCTAAACTTCCTTTCCTTATCTGAAGCTGGAACTACACTCATTCTGAAACATGAACACAAACACACCTAAATCTAAAAAAATCTTGAAATTATAGTGACCAGTATATCCTTTTACATTCATCTGATTTAAGCAGCACTATAAATGAGGAAATCATATCTAACATGAAGTCAAGTTATTCTTACGTCTAGAAATAATAAGCTTTTGATTCACTTCAGAATATTTTGAGCTGACGTCAAGGCTTTTAATACAATTTTGTTGATGCGGGAGCATAATATGACGAACAAAACACTTGAGAATGTTGAGGTATGCTCTCAAATATGTTAACATGATCAGACAAAATTTAGTCCTCAAACTGGAACAGAGCAGTTAAGGTAGCATGCACTGGCAGATAATCAAACTCAGGCTCGCTAATTAAATTGTACTGCAGCTGATAACAATGCAGTTGATGATGCCCAGCATATTCCATGCTTGTCACAAATTGCTGTTACTTATGAAACAGAGCAGTAGCTTTCCACTTGAATATTTTCCAGAGCAAAGGGAACTGCGGGCATATGCACATATGCTCACAAGTGCTTGGTGGCTCTTTCTAAATATTTTTAAATGGATGTTTTAATACACAGAGCAAGCTTTGGATTTTTTTCTGTGATTCAGCATTGTCAAGTACTCCATCATTTGCAAGATTAAAGTCAGAAAGTTGTCATAGCCTGTCTCCACCAGGAATATATGTGTGCATATATATCTTACACCACTTTTCACTTGTCACATATCTCAGTGGCTGGATGAGAATATGGTGCTAATACTGAGTTCTAACTCTTGGAAGGTAGCTACACTTTAACGCATTATATTAAACAAACATCTTTACAACTCTAAAAGATCTATCTGAATATGGAATGTGTGGCCTTAAGGGAGCTCTTCTCAATGCCAGAGAAGTACAAAAATACACCAGGTAGTCATGTAGCTGTTATGCTGAATTCGAATTTCAAGTACTAGGTGATGGTTAAACATGTTTTGGTGGGAGCCTAGTCAGAGAACACAGAAGCTATAGGTCTGATTGGTTGGCCTACCTCATGCTGGCAAAATTCAGTGTAAATAACAACTCCTATATATTTTTCTCAGAACTGGTTCCTAAGAGAGCAGAAAATCAGCTATATGAAACCACGGCTAAAGAGATAAATGGCCTCAGTACTCAAATTTGTATACCACGCTTATCTGCAACTGCAGATCACCTGAACGATAGTGAATCAACTGATTGGGAAGAATTCATCTAATGTAAACTATGTGGTCAACGATCTAAGGGATTATTTGTGAAGAAGAAAATCTGGGTTCCAATTTATACTCTGTTCTAGCTGATGGTAGAACCTAAGGAATGGTCCATTTCCCCTAGTAAATTCTCTTGTATCACTATAGATGCTTTCCGAAAATGCTGATCACAATTTAAAATTTTACCTCTTAAGTGTCTATTTGATTAGTGGCTGAATCCCTCCTTCAGACTGAAGTCCATGAGAACAGAAACTCTGTTATTTTTTGGTCTGCATTGTATACACGGCATTCAACACAGTACCAGCCACAATGTGAATGCTCACTTACCAAATACATGATTGAATGAATTTAAATCTTCTGGGGCTCAGTTTCTCCATATTGAAAATGATCCTTGTATCATGTCTAAATATTGCTCAAATTTCTTACATCTTTAAGGGTTGTGTACCACCATTTTATGATCCTTATTCTTCAGAAGCATAACAATGATTTAGAAACAGAGGCATGTATGAAATTACTAGAGAAAAAAGATATAGCCAACAATTAAGCATTCCCTTGTAGGTTACTGAGCTCAGAAAATGAATGAATAAATTATTATTTTGCACGATGGATGCATTTGAATAATGGAAAGAATGTAAGAAGATATTTTCAGGTTAGCGGTAGAATAATAACAGAGGGAAAGAAGACAGAGGCAACAACGAGGATGAGCTGTGCAAGGGAATGTGAAGATTTTCTCCATATCTGCATGTTTGTATGATTAAGATTTCCAATTTATTCTATTAATGTTTGTTTCTCTGCCCAATTAAATGATGAAGTAAATGTCATGGCCCAGATATTTGGGACTGGCTTCATCAGAATCATTTAATTATATTTATGGGTTCTTGGAAGTTCAGATTAAAAATATCACATCCCAAATCTTGAACAGCTCAAGTGACAATGCAATACTCCTAGGGAGAAAAACATGGCCATCCCCATCATGCTGTGTGGAGGCTGATTGTGACAATAGAGATGCTTGCCTCCTTTCAAAGATAAAAGGAAAAACTTCAAGTTCTTTAATTCTGAAAAGCTGGTAAATAGTAACAGCTTATAATAGTCTTTAAAATGACCATAAAGAAAATTCCAATTGATTTAATGATTAGAAGTGAAACTTGAAGTCAAGAAATTCAAAGCCTCTTTACAAAGCCATGCCCTTCACATTTATTTAAGAATATATGTGATCACAGGCACATATTGTACAAGTCCAGCATCCTTTTGCTTATCCAAGAGAATATACAGCCACATGGCACAATGCTTTTGATTAATACCACTGAAATAAAAAATGAGAAATTTAAGTGGAAATAACAGCCAACTAAATGCACACACAATAATAAAGTGTTCCATTTGTTTAAGTGAAGAATAAGAACTCTTACTTATTTTAGGTAGTTTTTTGAAAAGAAAGGCAACAAATATTTTTCAACAAGTACAAAGATCATATGTATGTTCTACAGTTTTGACTGAGGGTACAAAATAAAAATGTCCTGGACATTAAAGGGTCATAAAGGAATTTTATGCACAACTGTTTGCCCACAGATTTGATTATTGGTTGATTGTAGTGAATCAATTTTATGAAAGATGCCATCTGCCAATATTTGTAAAAGGAGAAATAGACAATCTGAATAGATCTATGTCTATTGTAGAAATTGAATAAATAATTAATAACCTTACAAAACATAAAGTCTTGGGCCTTCATGGGTTCACTGGGATGAATTCTACTAAACATTTAAGGAAGGAATTAGAGGACTCCTGTAAGATCTCTCTTAGAAGATAAAAGCAGAGGGCATACTTCCTAACTCATTCTATGAGGCCAGCTTACCCTAATACTGAAACTAGACAAAAACATTGCAAAAAAGGAAAACTACAGACCAATATCTCTCATGAACATTGATGCAAAAAATCTCAACAAAATGTTAGCAATTCAAATACAACAATGTATAAAAATAATTATACACCATGACCAACTGGCATTTATCACAGATATGCAAGGCTAGTTCAACAATAAAGAAATCAATTAATGTAATCAATCACATCAATAGGCTAAAGAAGAATAGTCATGAATTTACACATAGACCTTACATCCTTCCTGAAAACCAACTTAAAATGAATCATAGACCTAAATGTAAAATGCAAAACTAGAAACTTTTAGAAGATACTATAGGAGAAAATTTAGATGACTTTGGATATGGTAGTAATTTATTAGATACAACTCCAAAGGCATGATTTATGATAAAAAATGATAAGCTGGACTTCATTAAAATTAAAAACTTCCACACTGTGAGAGACAATATCAAGAGAATGAGCAGACAACCCACAGACTGGGATAGGATATTTACAAAAGACACATCTTGTAAAGGTCTGTTATCCAAGTTTACAAAGAACTCTTAAAACTCAACAGTAAGAATACAAGTCTGGGTGTGGTAGCTTATGTCTGTAATCCTAACACTTTGGGAGGCTGAGATGGGCAGATGACTTGAGCCTGGGAGTTTGAGACCAACTAGGGCAACATGATGAAACCCTGTCTCTACAAAAAATTAGCTGAGCATGGTGGTGCACCTGTAGCCCCAGCTATTCGGGAGGCTGAGGTGGGAGAATCATCTAAGCGCAGGAGTTTAAGGCCACAGTGACTGCCACTGCGTTTCATCCTGGGTAACAAGTGAGATCCTATCAAGAAGGAAGGAAGGAAGGAAAGAAAGGAAAGGAAAGGAAGGAAGGAAGGAGGAAAGAAAGAAAGAAAAGGAGGAGGAGAAGAAGGAAGGAAGAAAGAAAGAAAAGGAGGGAAGGAGGGAGGAAGGAAGGAAGGAAAGAGAAGGAAGGAGGAGGAGAAAGGAAGGAAGGAAAGAGAAAGAAGAGGAGGAAGGAAGGAAGGAAAGAGAAAGAAGAGGAGGAGAAAGGAAGGAAGGAAAGAAAGAAAGAAAAGGAGGAGGAGGAAGGAAGGAAGAAAGGAAGGAAGGGAGGAAGGAGGGAGCGAGGGAGGGAGGAAGGAAGGAAGGAAAGAGAAAGAAAGAAAGAGAGAGACAAAGAAAAGGAGAGAAGGAGGAAGGAAGGAAACCAGATTTAAAAATAAGCCAAATAACTTAACAGACACTTCGTGAAACAAGTTGTATAAATGACAAACAAGCATGTGAAGAGATGCTCCACATTATGTCATTAGGAAAACAAAAACTGAAACAATAATGAGACACCTGTTTGTGTGGCCGAAATCCAGTACACTGACAACACCTAATGCTGGGGAAGATGTGAAGCAGCAAGAACTCCCACTCGTTGCTGGTAGGAATGCAAAGTGGCACAGCAACTTTAAAAGACAGTTTGGTGTTTTCTCACAAAACGAAACATACTCTTACCATAGGATCTAGCCAACACATTCTTTGATATTTACCCAAAATGTTGAAAACTTATACCCACACAAAAATCTTCATATGGATCCTTATAGCAGCCTTATTTACAACTGCCCAAATCTGGAAGCAACCGAGATGTTCCTCAGTAGGTGAATGGATGAATAAACTGTGGTACATCCAGGCAAAGAAATGTTCAGTGACAAAAAAAAAAGAGCTATGAAAAGACATAGAAGAAATGTAAATGTATATTACTCAGTGAAAGAAGTCAACATCAAAAGGCTATATGACATTCTGGAAAAGGCAAAACTATGAAGACAGTAAAAAGACCAATGGTTGTCAGGGGTTGGAGGGGAGAGAGAGATGAGTAGACAGAACACAGGATTTTTAGGGCAGTGTATATACTCTGTGTGTACACTATAATGGTGGAGACATGTCATTATGTATTTGTACAAACCCATAGATGGTATAAAACCAAGAGGGAGCCGTAATGTAAACCATGAAGTTTCGGTGACTGTGGTATGTCAATGTAGGTTCATCAGTTGTAACAATGTACCACTCTGTTGGGGATACTGATAACTGGGGAGGCTGTACACATGTCAGGGCAGAAGATATATGGGAAATCTCTGTACCTTCCTCCCAATTTTGCTGTAAACCTAAAACTGCTCTTTAAAAAAGTGAAAAATTAAAACAAGGGCAATCTAGTTGATATGGAGGATGTACAGGAAAGGTAGAGGGGGAAGCAAGATTAATTTTTGAAATTAGAATCATGAATAAAATGAAAGAGTAATATGATTATAAAGTCTTCTTCAATATCCACAGATAACTTTTTTTTCCTAAATGTTAAATTTCTCCATGATCCCTGACATTGTATGAACCAAAGATTTACAGTCTTGGACTATATGATAGTTCAGTAATATATCTGATTTTGGAGAATGCATACTAGAGAGGCTTGCCTAGAAAGTTCAGAAGGAAATTCTGAAAGCAGTATTCTTATCTTAGTGGCAAGCCGTCGTTCTCCAATGGGAAAATCATGTTTGTATTTAAGCATCATTTTTAGTATCTGCAAATGTCACACACAGACCTTCCGTTTTTACTTCAATAACCTGCACATGGTGTATATTTAGTTAGAGGCCCTGCCAGCTTTGAGGGACCTATTTACCCAAGCGCAAAAATATCTTTACTTAATACATAGATTGTACAGATTCACCAAATAGCTTGTCTTCTAAAGTAATGATAAGACAATGGTGAATAATTCTTTACTTTTTTTTTATAATAAGAAAGAAACGAAAGTCTTTCTCTGCAGTTAAATTACTACCTGTTAAAAGTGGCAATATATGCTGCGTCTTAAAATTGAATTTGGCATATTTTTAAAATGTTTAATCTTGCCTTAATGTAATTTAACAATGAAATTAAGAGAGTTGTTCTTATTTATTTTTAAAAGTTTTTTAAGCCGTATGAGTAAATAAAGCAATTACCCATAATGTTACATTATAGTATGTTTATTTCTATTTTTGTGCTGGTTTGTCCACAGACATATATGTACAATTTATCAATTTGTTCCTTTTGCTTCAAATTGTATTAATATAGCATTGTAAACATTTTTCCTTATTTCCATAGTTTTAAAAATAAATATCATATTAGTGTCAATAATTAAATTTATTTTGTGCTTCTTTTAATCTACCTCAGTAATTTTGAATCATTAATTATGCTGTTTTTATTGTTTTGCTTTCATAATGATTATCTCAAACTCCCTTTAGCTTTTCTAATGTTGTTATTATTTATTTATTTTTGTTGTTACTCTCAATTATCTTCTAAGGAAAGCAGGGTGTAACCTCAAAGCCATGTGGCTTCTCCTAGCTCATTATCTAAATTTTGGAATCTGAAATCCCATTTTTTAACCTTTAAATAAACTTTTATTTTATTATTTAAAATGTTTGTTCTACTTTTTTTTCTAAAATTTACTCCAGTTATTTAGACTTACAGCACGTCTTCCCTTGTTAGACCCTTACTTACTATTATCAAACAATAATCATACACTTTAGTGACTGCTCTGTAATGGGAACATGGTTTTAATGGCCATCAAACGTTTTTGTTTGTTTTTTTTCCAATGCATAATCCAATTGGAGAGCTTACATGTAATTCAGTCTTTTGGAGTTCTGGTTTATATCCTGTTGTGTATTTTGCAGAAAGAATTTCTAGGTGGGAAAGTGGGAGTCCGTAGTTCGAAGAATGTCTTCCTATTGTTTTCACACACAAATGACACATTTCCTGAGTGTCTTGGTTGAGATCTTTTTCCTTTCAGAGACCAGGCCATTGATTGATACTCTATTTGTGATGAGGTTGAAAGGAGTCCTGATTTTAATGCCCTGAAACTAAGTTTTCTTTATATAAAAGCTTGAAGACTTTTTTTAACCTTTAAAGAATTGCACCAAACTATGAAGTGCTGACTTCCTATGAATTTTGCTCGGATATCAAAAGCACTTTGAATATCCAATGATATTGGTTTTTTAGTTTGCCTCATGACTTTTACTATAAAACTTTTTCCTTCTCCGTTTTGTTCCTTAGTAATTTCTATTATTGAATGTTTTCTTTCTTGTTTTTATTCCACACCTGACATTTTTGTCTCATTCTCTTCATTGTTATTTTTTTCCCTATTTATTATTAGCTCCACCTTCCATCATTTACCTTCACTTTGAAAGAATTGATTCTTTTACATCTGCTTTCCATAGAAATCTTTACCGGTTCATTTTAAAAATTAATTCTCATAGCTGTGATGCTTTGTTTTATCTCCCTGAAAATAAATAACATTTTTGCCTTAAAATACTGCCTCTCGCCGGGCGCGGTGGCTCACGCCTGTAATCCCAACACTTTGGGAGGCCGAGGCGGGCAGATCACGAGGTCAGGAGATCGAGACCATCTTGGCTAACACGGTGAAACCCCGTCTCTACTAAAAAAAAATACAAAAAATTAGCCCGGCATGGTGGCGGGAGCTACTCGAGAGGCTGAGGCAGGAGAATGGCGTGAACCCGGGAGGCGGAGCTTGCAGTGAGCTGTGATCGCGCCACAGCACTCCAGCCTGGGGGACAGAGCAAGACTCCATCTCAAAAAAAAAAAAAAAAAAAAAAAAAAAAAATATTGCCCCTCATATATTGGACATTCTAGGGTGAGTATTAGCTCTAGGATTTTTCTTCTTTCTTTTGTTTTTTTATCCCCAGAATTTTTTCATGAATCTCAATTATTGTTTCTGTTTTGTTCATATTTCATGGAAAACTAGTACTAATTTTAAGAGAAAAAGGGAACGTGGACCCTTGCTTACAAATATTCTTCTTTGAGTCCATTAATAACAAAATGCACTCCCTTCCAACCCCCTAGATTTGTCAGGGTCAGTCAGATTCTTCGTGGTATGTTTGAAGTGAAGTGTAAATTAATAAAATCATTCTGATAGATGAAGAAGTTGGCAAATATATCCTTTGAATTTAGAACTGAGGAGCACACTTATTTACCTCCTATCACTACATCTCACCAACGATTTCTCCATGTTTTAAACTGGAAATGAAAATGGAGGAAGGAGTTGCTGTTCAGCAGCTAAACCACATAAGACTTCCAAATTCGGGGACTGGAGATACTTTGGGGTTAGAGAGCTGTTTCTGATTAATTTTAAAATTTTTATTACAGACACATGCATCTAACTTTAGATAAAAGTGCTTACAAACATTTATAGAAATTAGCGTAGCAGTCTATTTCTTGTCTCCATTTTTGTTTGGCTTGCTGCCTCTTCTTTCCGGAGCCACCCTCTTCACACTCCCCTCCACTGGTAACTCATGTGACATCCTAGTATATAGCAGTCTATACTTTCTCCATGTTTTCTTTTCTAAAACAGAATAAGATTTTACATCCCCATCTGCATCTTTTCATATTCAACAACTCTTTGTGGAAAGCTATCCAAGTGAAATGATTTGTTCTTATTAATGAATACATGGTATAATGTATGCATGATGTTTCACTGCATGCTTATGCCATAATTTGTTCAGTCATTCCGTTGTTGAAGTGCTTTATCACTGTGAGCAATGTTGTATCCTGGTACTTTGACTCCTATGGAATATATTTCTAGAAGTGGGGTTTTCAGATTAAAAGACAAATGATTTTTAACTTAATAGGTTATATATTTCTGCACCCAAAGCTGCTACATATCCTGTAACGGCAATGTATTATAATAATCTTCACCTGATCTCTGTCAGCAATACAAATTTTTAAAGTATTTTTAAATAGTCTGATTGGTAGAAAGCATATCTTGCTAATTTAATTGGCATTTCTCCAACTTTTGGTTACTTCTTTCTAGTCTAAGTTTTTCATCTCTTAAAACTTATACTTTAACTATTAATCCTCTGTTTTCTGAATTATGATTTTTTTAACCAATCTATAGTTTATTTAGTGTTTTTTTTTCCTGGTATTTTTCAAGGTCTTGATCTTAATGCTAGTCTATGATAATAGAATATTATAGAAAACTCTGCAAAATATGTAAATGGTTATTATTTGCAATTGTAGCTCATATTTCATTTTCTGTTTGCATATTACTACTTGTATTCCAATGGAGTTTATTAACAAGATGGTCTCAAAACTTTTACTCATTTTATTCTTTTTCCT
This sequence comes from Homo sapiens, assembly GCF_000001405.40. Lineage (NCBI taxonomy): Eukaryota > Metazoa > Chordata > Mammalia > Primates > Hominidae > Homo > Homo sapiens. The sequence goes on along the minus strand of NC_000006.12, from coordinate 152,806,861 downwards.
GCACACCCCGATTTTTTTATTCTCTCTCATAATAGAGTCTGATTACTTTACTCAGAGTGAGTGGGGAATAGATAAAATACAACTTTTTGACATTATAAGAAATACTCCTTCCTGAAGTCTGAATTGTACTTTCAAGAGTTCCTTTTTAATGTAATATATTTTAATATTTTTTAGCAAACATAAAATAGGATTTTTTCTATTAATACAAAGGAAAAAGAATAATTTTTACATCATTGAGCTCTATTTTGAAAATCATCTTAGATTCCATATGACAGTGACAAATTAACATCTGTTAAATATTTTTACCATGCAGTAGGCATGGTGCTTTCCAAACCATATATTGTTTGATCCTTAAAACAATACCACGACGAAGGAGTTATCATAATTTTACAGTAGAGGAAATTGGATTCAAAATAATTGCAAAGATCACATAATTAATAAATATTAGATAGGATTTTAATCAAATACTATCCTTACTCCTGTAGCCCTCTCTGTATGAGTTTAACAGAACAGTTGAATCGCACAATCAAGTTGCAAAATGAAAAGAGCTACCTGCAAACAGTTCTGAGAACTGCCCACCGACCTGCCCTGAGGATTTACAATACAAAAAAGAAAATCGATGTGTGTGGCTCCCTTGTTATTTTGTTAAAGCCATCAAACGAATAACTGAAGAACTATATGGTAACAGAAAATGGAGTTTACATTCCATCTAGTCATTCAGGAGATGAAGCTCCCAGTTTGGGTGCATAGATTGCTATGAATTTATCAAAACTTTCCACTGAATGTGATTTTCAAGTGAATGTTTTAAAGTACTTCACATCAGAGATTTCTCACTCTTTTATCAGCTCATTAATGTATTCAAAAAATTTTAAATATTTTATCCAATAATTTTAGTTTTTTTCTTTATTTCTTTCAGGGAAAGAGTTAGTGAAATGTGTACTAAGCTGCTAGAAATAGACACATGATTTAAGATTCTTGGTCTCCTGAACTATAAACAGTTAATATAAAGATTTTTCTTTCAATTTTAACTTTTTATGAATAAAAAGCTTAAGTCACAACCATGAATACTGAATCAACACATAATACATTTCCCTAGATTTTTTATATACAAAATCTTTATATATCTTTAAAATAGAAAAAGAAATATGAAGCAGAAAAACAAACAAACAATTATCTGACAAAGAGAAGGAATAGATTACTTTCAAGGGAATAACAACCAGGCTGATGGGTGATTTCTTAACAGAAACTATAAAAGCCAGATGACAGCAAAAGGAATGCCAAATTTTAAAAATTTGATTATTCAATAGGTACTTCCAGGTTTCAAATGAAATAATCAAAGCCTTGAAGCTTTCTAAATGCTTGGAAAAAAATCTAGGGAAATGTATTATGTGTTGATTCAGTATTCATGGTTGTGACTTAAGCTTTTTATTCATAAAAAGTTAAAAATGAAACAAAAAATCTTTATTATCAATTTCATAGATTGAATTCACTGACAGCAGCTCTAAGATCATTCAGAAACTCTGTTTTCTCTTGGTTATAATGAAATTTTGAATTTGCATGATAAATTGAAGAATAATGTTTTCCTCTAATAAATTAAAATCTGGTTTTTCGTAGTGCTCTGTGCAAGGGCAAAGTTAGCTTCTGATTGAGGCTCTTATTTTTTTTTTTAATACGCATGATTGATAAACTAATTCAAGGACAACACTAATTGCTTTTCTTTTTTTTTTTTTTAGAAACACATAAAACAGTGGTCTTCTCCTCTGATGTGATTTTACTAAGTATTCCTTCACTCTTCAGTTTAGAAAGAGCTGAATTACTCAAAGAAATAAACAACAAAACATTCTGTACTTCATCAGGTAGAACTTTCAGTTTTATGTCCTTACTGTTCAGACTCACAGCAAACATTTCTGCTATAGTGAAGTGTCTGGATTTCAGAGATCTTAGTGTGGCCTGTAACTGTTTCTCCAATTCCCACACCTTTCATGTAGGTCCAGGAGCTCAAATGTTGGAAAGGAGCCAGAATTGTTATTGCCCCCTGTGAATCAAGCAGGATGTACACAGTCAAAAGAAGCTGCTCACTAGAAGTTTATCTATATTAAATAACTTATATAATTTTTGTATTAGTCCATTTTCACACTGCTGATAAAGACATACCCGAGACTGGGCAATTTACAAAAAAAAAAAGGTTCAATTGCACTTACAGTTCCACATGGCTGGGAAGGCCTCACAATCATGGTGGAAGGCAAGGAGGAGCAAGTCACATCTTAAGTGGATGTTTGCAGGCAAAGAGAGAGAACCTTGTGCAGGGAAACTCCCATTTTTAAAAAACATCAGATCTCATGAGACTTATTCACTATCATGAGAACAGCATGGGAAAACCTGCCCCCATGATTCAATCACCTCCTACTGGGTGTCTCCCACAACATGTGGGAATTCAAGAGGAGATTTGGGTGGGGACACAGCCAAACCATATCAATTCTCATCAGGGAAATTATGCAACATAAGCATTAAAAAGTATTTAGACAATGGTGAGTACACTCATTCAGAAGAGAATCTTGAGATTCTACTAGCAAATGAAGATGTAATACTTTATAAACACTAAAAATTTAGAGTACTTTCATTTGTAAATATGTTCAATTTAACCTAAAGAGGTTAGAAAATAGTAAAGTAAAATTCTTTTTTAAATAAAACTCTACTAAGGCTTAAAAGATAATTTCAAGTGTTATTGAGAAATCCTAACCAGAGCAATCAGGCAAGATAATGAAATAAAAGACATCCAAATAGGAAAAGATGAAGTTAAACCATCTCTCTTTGCTGACAATATAATTCTATTACCTAGAAGACCCTGAAGACTCTGCCTAAGGGACCTTGGAACCGACAAATGACTTCAGTAAAGTTTCAGGATATAAAACCAACGTACAAAAATCAGTAGCATTTCTGTACACTAATAATGTTCTAGCTTAAAGACAAATCAAGAACACAATCCCATTTACAATAGCCACACACCCAACCCCCACACACCCCCATCTCTCCGACTCCACACACATACATAGAAATACATCTAACCAAGGAGGTTAAAGGTCTCCATAAGGATAACTACACAACACTGCTGAAATAAATCAGAGATGACACAAACAAATGGAAAAAATTCCATACTCATGGATTTAAAGAATCAGTATCTTAAAATGGCTATATTGCCCAAAGCAATCTACAGATTAAATTACCAACCCCAATGTTTACAGAATTAAACAAAATCTATCCTAAAATTAATATGAAACCCCAAAAAATGCCTGAATAGACAAAGCAATCCTAAGAAAGAAGAACAAACTAGAGGCATCACATTACCTGACTTCAAACTATACTCTAAGGCTACAGTAATCAAAACAGCATGACACTGGTTCAAAAACAGACACATAGACCAATGGAACAGAATAAGACCAAGAAATAAACCCGCACATGCAAAATCATCTGATCTTCAACAAAATCGACAAAAATAAGCAATAGAGAAAGGACTCGCTTTCAATAAATAGTGCTGGGATAACTGGGTAGCCATATGCAGAAAGAACCTGACCCCTACCCTCACCATATACAAATCTTAAAATGGATTAAGGATTTAAATGTAAGACCTCAACCTATAAAAATTCTGGAAGACAACCTAGGAAATATCCTTCTTGTCATGGGCTTTGGCAAAAAATATATGACTAAGTCCCCAAAAGCAAGTGCAACAAAAACAAAAATTGACAAGTGGCACCTAATTAGACTAAAGAGTTCTGCATAGCAAAAAAAAAAAAAAAAAAATTACCAACAGAATGAACAGACAGCCTACAGAATGGGAGGAAATATTTGCAAACTATACATTTGACAAAGATCTAATATCCAGAATCTAGAATCTACAAGAAACTTAAACAAATCAACAAGCAAAACAATAATCCAATTTAAAAATAGGCAAAGGACATGAACAGATACTTCTCAAAAGAAGACCTACAAGCAACCAATAAACATATGAAAAAATGCTCAACATAACTAATTATCAGAGAAATGTAAATGAGAACCACAAAGAGATGCTATCTCACACCAGTCAGAATGGCTATTACTAAAAAGTCAAAAAAAAAAACAAACAAACAGATGCTGACAAAGCTGCATAGAAAAGAAATGCTTTTGATAGGAATGCAAACTAGTTCAGCCACTGTATAAGCAGTTTGGAGATTTCTCAAAGAACTTAAAGCAGAACTACCATTCAACCCAGCAGTGCCACTACTGGGTATATACCCAAAGGAAAATAATTCATTCTATCAAAAAGACACATGCAATCACATATTCATTACAACACTGCTCATAATAGCAAAGATATGGAATCAACCTAGATGCCCAACAATAGTGAATTGGATAAAGAAATTGTACACCATACAATACTATGCAGCCATAAAAAGAAGAAAATCACGTCCTTTGCAGCAACATGGATGCAGCTGGAGGCCATTATCCTAAGCAAATTAACACAAGAACAGAAAACCAAATACCACATGTTCTCATTTATTAGTGGGAGCTAAACATTGAATACACATAAACATAAAGATGAGAACAGTAGGCACCTGGGACTGCTAGACAGGGGTGTATGGGCTGAAAAACTACGTATTGGGTACTACGCTTACCACCTGGTTGATGGGACCATCTGTATCCCAAACCTCAGCATCACATAATATACCCATGTAACAACCCTGCACATATACCCACTGAATCCCCCAAAAAAATTTATTAAAAGGAAAAGTAAAAAAAAATTCTCAGATGAGTGGGCAATAATAGCTTTATTTATACGTAAATTGTAGAGAAAATATTCCTTGTTTTACCTCATTAGAATCAAACTTATATGATATTGAATTTGGTAATCTATAATTCACTGAATATTGCTATCATTATTGAAACTGGATCTTGATTTTCTGGTCCTCAGAAAAAAATTGGCTTCTTCAAATCTTTTCCCTATAAATCTTCATGGAAATAGACCTCACAATAGGCAAGTTTTTGTTTTGTTTATTTTATTTTTTGTTTTTCTATTTCACACAATATGATAATAATATTAAATGGATTTAAATGAAAATATTAATTTAATTCTATCAGGGTGACCCTGTTCTCCTTCCTAGATTTTTTATTTCAACCAGTAATTAATATAAATAGAGTCAGGTGGGGTTTTACACAGTTGAAATCAGTGCATTGCTTGTGTGTGTGTTGATATCATTACCATGACATATTAACACTTTTAAAAACATTGTCAAATTATAGCTTAAATAAATTAGTGTTATTTTTTTCTAACTAATTTGACAAAAAGAATACATTTATAAACCAATGTAAACATCAGAGTTAGCACAGTATTATGATTAAAAGAATGGATTCTGGTGATAGACTACCTGGATTAAATTCTAAATTAGCTAGTTGAACAAGTTAGTTCTTTGTGCCTGATCTTCTTTGAATTCATCTGTAAAATGGACATATTTTGTCACTTTCATTAGGGAATTATTATGAAGATTAAATGAGATGTAAAAATTAAATGCATGGAAAGGCCTTAGAAAAATTCCTGACTCATAATAGATGAAAGTATTAGGCATCAATATTTTATCAACAGAAATTAACATGAAAAAAAGGGCAAACTATTTGAGTACAACCTTATTAAGGTGCTTATACTAGCATTAATATTTTTTCTGTGAAATGAAATTGTTCTAATTATATGTAATATAATTTTACATTATATATTTTCCATAATATTATTTCACTCAGTTTTTTGTTACTGCAAAGCCTTGAATTTTATAAAAGCCACATAACATTCCATCTGGTTGATATATACTATGATATTTAGATTGTTTCAGTTTATCATTGTAAATATTATAAATTTCTTTGTCAGAATGACTTTTTACTTCTCATGATTTGTTTCTTTAGAGTAAATTCCCAGAAGTGGTATTACTAAGCATGGACTTTTTCAAATCCCTTTTGCGTCCAAATTTTACTCAAGAAAGATGCAGGTAACCACAGGAAATAAAAACAAGTGGAACTACAGAAGGACAAGTCTCTGTCTGGAGGGAGGAGGTGGAAAAATGCTCATGGAATTAAGGTAAACTGGAATGAGAACAACAAAGGGAGGACAGGCACACACAGGAAATGGAAAGAGAGACAGAAGACTTTGCAAATTTGCTTTGGGCCATCTACTAGCTTTCTTTCTCATTCATTCATAAGTGGAATTCATACCAGAAATAAGACTGGAATCACACAACTTTTGATATAAATAAACTTTTCATTGGAAGATATGGTGGATAATGATCAAGAAATTCACAAAGCTTTGGAGCACCGAGATAGCAAAGTAGATGCATGACACCTAAGCATTGACTGATAAGTATGGCAATAAGATCATTTAATTGAAATCCCAAGCCCTGGGCAAATATCTTAGAAGAGCCACACTCCTGTAAAAGTTGACTGGTGTTATGTGTGTGTATGTGTGTGTATATACAGGTATATATGTATGTGTATGTATATATGTGTATGTATATGTACATATACATATGTATATATGCTCCTATGTTTTCCAAGGGGGACCAGGCTTGACAGTGACTTTTGGCAGGAAGAACCAAGGAAAGGGAAGCCATCTAATAGATTTAAAATCAGAACTTTGAGGTCCTCCACAAAATTAGACACCTAAAAATCTGGCAGCCGTGGAAATTTCCATGTGAAATTTTCAAGGGAGAACATGAGGCAATTTGTCTGATTCAAGGTCTAGGACATATGAAGTACTGGTATGGATACCTTCCTATGCACCCCCCTAGCAAATGCTTAATTTGTCTTTGTGTCTGAGATGATGACTATTTAATGTAAACTCTACATGGAAGTTGGGAAACCTTAGAGTGGAGAACATAAAAGCTTACAAAAGCTCCTCTGTGCTCAAGCTCAATGGAGAGAGGGAAAAATCTCTAGAGAGAAGAAATGAACTTGAAAGAAGTTAGAGAATTAAAACCAGCATCAAGAAATTGCCAGCAAGGGAACATGATGGGGAGAGAGAATTCTCAAGTAATTGTTTACTATACAATGATGATTACTACTTATTGAAGCTTTGCTACTATACAGCATGATCGTAGCTTCTCCTACTTTTGTTATGTGATTAAGCATCTCTGTTTTAGAAATGAGAAATACTAAGATTTAGAGGTATTAGTACATTTGCCCAAGATTGCATAGCTATTAAGTGGCAAAGAAAGGATTGAATTCAGACTGTTTTGCTCTGAAAAACCAACTAATCAATCACTCCTATGAAATATAGAGCCTTTTGGAGAAGAAAACACCAGCTTGCACTGAGAGAAATGAGAAGAATTGCAGCAGAGCTTCAGAACTATGATCTATTACAAAGTAAATGGTCATTGATGAATTACAGCTTTAGAGAAATTTCAAGGTAGATGACCTTGCTAGTCCCTTTTAATGAGAAGATTCTATGATTCTAATGTTTCTTAAGATGATCCTCTGAAGTGACTCAATGGCTTAAGGGACAAACATTACTCTCTGATTCATTGTAGCCCTTCCACTGTTTGGCAAACTAGCCAAGTGATTTGGGCTTATTTCTAAAATAAAAGCAGTAAGATTAGTAAAGTGTAGTTTCATTTTGGAAAAAAAGCCAAGGAAATAAGAAAAAACATATTTGGAGGAATAATTAAAAAGGCTTAATACATAGTGGCATTATGAACTAGGCGTCTTAGAGGTATATTTTTAATACACATATTTGTATGAATAAAGAATGATTTAGATGACATGGCAGCTTTGGATTTTTTCAATTTCTAGTCTCCTATGGGATTTCAGATAAAATAGGCATGACTTTAACTCTGTGGAGGTTTACTAGGGAAAAAATATTTGCATTTATTTTGTGGTGGTATAAGAAGAGAATGTAGAATTTGCATGAAGGAGACCTCAGCTCCTGTTCCATTTCTGTTGGTAATTGACTCTGTGACCATGGACTAGTCACTGAATTTCCATCAATCTCATTTCTATACCTCAACAATGAGCTAGATGAGAAACCATTTCCTTTTATTTCTGATATTAATTCATTTTTAAAAATCCATTCATTTAAATAAACACACCTATTTTGTTCGAAAATGTATTGTAAGTGGTAGGTTATATTGTGATTGAGAAGATATTGTTTCTACTTTAGTTAGCTTAAACTCAAGAAGGGCTCCCCAAAAAGACAAAAAACCAATAATCTTGGAAGTGTGAAGAGATACAAGTGAATGAAGTTCTAGATGCTGAGCGAGGGGCAAGCTTGACAAAGTATGAGATTCACTGAAGAGTAGTCAAGTAGGATGAAGACGGATTTTCACTATTGGATTTGGATTGGATTTCACTTTTGAGCTGTCACTAGTAAATTAGAGCAAATTTTTTTTTTTTTTAGTTTTTGCTTTCTTTTTTTTGGGTACATAGTAGGTGTATATATTTATGGGGTACATGAGATGTTTCAATACAGGCATGCAATGTATAATAATCACATCATGAAGAATAGGGTATCCATTCCCTCAAGCACTTATCTTTTGTGTTAGAAACAATCCAATTATACTTTTTTAGTCATTTTTAAATGCACAATTAAATTGTTATTGACTGTAGTCACCCTGCTGGTCTATCAAAAAGTAGGTCTTATTCATTCTTTCTAATTATTTTTTGTATTGATTAACCATCCTCATCTCCCTCCAACCTCACTCCCATTTCCCTTCCCAGCCTCTGGTAACCAAAGAATGTTTTAGATGGTACAAAAGGGCAAGATGAGTATTTAACCGAGCTGAAGGATAAATGCACTTAAGAGGAGAGAAGGTAAAGATGACTATTCACAGAAATTTTGCCAGGAAGGGAGAAAGGAAGGTAGGTAAGCTTACTTAAGCAAGAGTTTGTGTTCCTTGAATGATTTTATTATTTTACTTAATACTTCCAGTTTTCAGTGATCACATCCCTCTTTGACATTTTTACTAAATAATTAAATGAAGGCATTTTTGCTTTTACATGGAGCATTCATGACACAGAATTGTAACATCATTACAGTGAGCATTGTAACAATTTCCAAAATGACTCTAATGAAAACACTCTAATTAAGGGGATATTTGGGGAATGGAGCTCTACACCAATTCATAAGCCTGACCTGCCCCCAATTATCCATCCCTTTATTTCTTTATTTGCATCATCGCATTTTAAATTGTTTCCCAAATCACACATCAATGGGTTAACTGCTTTATATTGAGAATCTCTTGTATGCTAAGGATTATGCCAGCACTCAAATTAGAAGTGAGCAAGTCAGTGGAATTATAGAAGTTCAAGATGCTATTATCTACCTCAGAGAACATGCCAAAAAAAGAAGTCTACATGGATTAGGAATTTAACATGTGTAAAACCACAGTGTCCAAATAGAACACGTTATTAAACTATAAACAGATTTAATTAGCTACAAGTTTTCAGAAAAAAATATGAGGTTTGAGGGCTCACACAACTAAGAGGGTAAACATTGCAGCCCCTAGAAAGAGAATCTCATCGCAGAAATAATGTCAGAGAAATCAAAGAGAAAGGTGAAATACAGAATATTGAACTTTTCTTGAAGCCCAGGTCTGACATGATTTAGGGCCTTTAAGTGAAAAGAGACATATTTTGCATGGGAATGCATATGCTTTGATATAGAATATAATACCCAATATGTTGTTAATTTTCTAAGATCATTGGATGACAATTTGCTCCTTGACTGGCATAAATTCTCCAAATGGGAAGGAACAAAGTCTACAAATATAGTAGAAGGAGGGAGGGTCAACAAATAGGTTTTCTCTGAGAATTATACAGATGTGGATTCAACAAACAGCAATTCAAGAAGAGCATCTTTCATGTGCAAATGACAATGGCATCTTTTGGCACAGGGTATGTGGTGTGAACTTGCCACATCTCTTTCATTAAATTTAAACTTCATGGGCAGCACCTTCTGGGGAAAATGCACCTTTTGGCTGAGGCTAGAGAATCTATTTCTCTTCCCCCAGGGAGCAGGGGGCAGGACAGATAAGGTATGCCTTTCCTGTGCAGTGGGGACCATGTTCCTGGCCAAGGAGATAAAGGTAAACTTCTTCATAAAGATTGTCACTGGTACGATTTGGCTGTGTGTCCCCACCCAAATCTTATTGTGAACTGTAATCCCTACATGTTGTGGTAGTGGACTGGTGGGAGGTGATTGAGTTGTGAGGTTGGACTTCTCCCTTGCTGGTTGTTTGATAAATGTCTGGCACTTTGACCCTCACACTCTCTCTCCCTCCTGCCACCATGTAAGATGTGCCTTGCTTCCCCTTCACCTTCCATCACAATTGGAAGTTTCCTGAGGCCTCCCCAGCAATGTGGAACTGTGAGTCAATTAAACCTCTTTTCTTTATAAATTACTCAGTCTTAGGTAGTTCTTTATAGCAGTGTGAAAATGGACTAATATAGTCACATTTTTTCCCGAGAAAACAGTCACATTTTTCCTAATTTATTTCACATTTCCTATCCTTGGATTCTTGAGAAAGAGGGAAAAAAATACCATGTATTATTTTTAGTTTTTTTTTAATCACATTTCTTAATGTCATTTGCCAAGTCCACCAGCAAACAAGTGACACACACTATAGTTTGCTTGTGTCCTGTTCCAGCTTTTGACACTTAGATACACAGATTGAAGCCTCTGGTCTTAGGTGGTGGCATAGGTAGGACAACAGGTTAGTTTTGTGTCAGGCTTGAAGAATGCCACATAGGAAGGAAAGCTCCTAAGACCCTATAAGCCCACAGTGAATGATAAATCGAGGTGCTTATTCTTTTTGACTCTTCCAGAAAATTGAAGGAATAACACACAAGATTTGTCATCATTTCTGAATCATTTAATCCTGAAATGAAATCATGCCTTTTATCTTGGGAATTCTTTTGAATACAGACCCATTTGGCATCTAAAAAGTTAGCTTCTTTGACTCATGCATCTCGCTTCTCAGACAAGGAAACACATTCTTAATTTGGGAAAATAACTTTTTAAAAAAATTCTCGCCACTTGAAACAAGGCTTTGTAAGAGCAGGCTAAAGCTTGGGTTTAGAAATCACATGTGGATTCCCTTTTTATCAAACAGACACTAACCTCAAACAGGACCCAGGTTCGAAACTGAGAAAATCTCAGAGGTGAGATTCTCTGGGCCAGGGGATGGCCAATGGATTAAGAATTCAGGGCTCTCCACAGGGCAGCCTCTTTCTCACAATAAAAACTGAAAGTTATAACAAGGAATAACAAGACCACCGTGCTATCAAAATGCAGTGGGTATTCTCAGAAAGTTCTAAAGAAGTAGCGTGTTGTCTAATTCAGAATGGAAATCTGAAACATTTGTTGCTTTCAAGGCTAACTGCTGATGGAACAGGCTGAAAGTCTGCACCAAGTACTTGCTTTTTCCTCTCCTGTTCAACAGCCATCTTTTTTTAAAAAAATGGAAAACTAAGACAAAGGCTCAAAAACAATCCTTAAACTCCACATCCACTTCCAGCTACCATCCTATGTTCTGAGTCTGCCACTCACATGCAAGTATTTTGAAAGTGTGATTTGGCATCGTGGTGTTCAGTGAACCTGTTAGCAACTCTGGATATGAAGGGATGGCTTACTACTCTCACCACCTAGCTTTACAATAGATCTTTAAACCTAATACAAATCCTGAAAAATATTTCTCCCAGCAGAAAATGGCATGTGCCAAATTTTATTAATAGAGAATAGTTATAATAGGGCAAGAACTTTTTGCATTTTTAAGGTCAAAGACCAAGAGATGATATGAGTCAAAATCTTGTTTCCTAAGACAACAGAAATTCCTCTATTTTGAGGTTATTAATTTTCCTACACTTATTTTTCACTATAAACATGAGAGGAAGAGCCAACAAAGAATCATGCAATGGCCCTGCATTTCTAACTAAGCTGGAGTCAGGAAATGGCATTCATCTGTGAAAAAAGTCACTCACTGCCAAATTAGTTCACTGACATTTGGGACAGCAATGGAGAATTTAAAATGGTTAACCTAACACATTAGAAGCAGGATTTTTGGAATGAGCCTTAAATGACAGAAATCTCATTATTGTAGGTCAGAAAAGCTGACTTTTGAGAAGATAAAATTTGAAGTAAGAAGATATGGAATAATTTTTCATTATTCATTTCAAACTTTCAAATGTAATTGTCTTTCAAGTTTCTTACACTTAACCTGAGGCACTTTTTCTGCATTTTTGTAATTGATTATGAGACTCGCTACTTGTATCTTCCTTTCTGATTTGTTTATTCTAGGATACTTTTACAAGAAAAATTAATCTTCAGTGTTTAAAAATAAAATATCTCAACATTTGCAATGTTAATGAGTAACTTACACAAATTCAATTATACTTCTCTCTTTTTAGTGATTAAAATATTATAGAATATATTAACATATGCACTATATGTTATGGTATATATTATACATTGATAAGTCCATATTTAAATATAGGTTTAAATATATAATATATGTAAATATATAAATGTAAGTAACAACATATAATGTAAGTAAAAAGTAGTTAAGGACTTTTTTAGAGTAATTTAAAATTCTATTTTGACCTATTTGCTAGCTTTAAAAAACATCTTCAAATAAGATATGCTACCACAAATGTACCCATGAAATCAGTTTATACAGTTTATACATCGGTGCTACGTTCACAGGAGAATTTTATTCAAATGAAAATAATCCATTTGTAGAACCCAATACAATGCCTAATGTTTATCAGGTATTCATGAGTATTAATTCCTGTCTTCTCTTAAGAAACAATATTGCATGCAGATGAGAAAGTAATTCATTACACAATAAGCAAGAAGTTTTTCCAAATAAGAAGACAGTAAAACATGGAATATACATTATAGTCAAATGCAGGAGCTCAAGCAACGAGTGGAAAGATATTTCGTAAGCAATAAATTTTTAAGAATCAAAGGAGAATATGTAATTATATTTTCACTGCTTTTCATTTATTTAAAATTTAATGTCTCCTTTGAGAAGTCAGTATCATTGGAAAGAAAATGCTCTTCATTTTACAGCAGAAGAATGTTAGTGTTGAGAATAGTGTGGGAGATATAAACGCTGTGGAATCTATTAGAAAGGATACAATGGTAGAATAATAATATCACCTTTCTTTATTATGTGCTTACTATAGTTAAGTGACTGAGAATGAACTAGTCATGTCCAGCACAATGACTAAATCATTTGCATTTATTGTTCTTTTTTCAGGTAGGCACTATTTTCTCGCATTTATCCATCCTGAGTATTCACTGAATGAGGTATCAGTTGATGACTCCCTGATTTTTAGAGTATATGTAAAGATGCCTTGAATTTTCCCCCAGGAAATGTATTTCTTTAATATTCCAAAGATCCCCTAAATTTCTTTAAATCTCACTAGGGTGCTAGTCGATAACAAGTAAAATGCACATGCATCTTTGGCTTCAGACTTCTGCACTGGTCAAATTCATTCAAGTTATGAATCACCTAACCATCCCAGAAGCTCTCCCTGTATTTGGGCAACACATAGAGTCACACGTGAAACTTATATAATGATGCTATCTATGGCTCCTCCCTCCAAACTATTCCCGGGGCCTTTAGAAATATTATAGATGTGATCATAATTTGGTAGAGGAGGATAGAGGAGTGGTCAACATTACAACACAGCTTCAACTTCAACGTTAGTCACTCCAGTTCTTAAAAGTTCTTTAATTGTCCCAGCTTTCAGATTTGCTTTCTGCCTGTTGCTCTCTGAGTGGTACCCAGGTTCATACCTTCTTTCTCTCTTTTGTATTGCTCTTTCCCCCCCTCTTCTTTTCTCTAAATATCAAAAAAGAAAACAAAACCCAAAAAAACAAAAACAAAATGAAACAAAACCCCAAATCATTCTTTTACAAAACAGTTTGGCCATTTCCTACAAGTTTGGCCAATTCTAAGGTTGCCTTAACTCCTAATATTACCTATGCCTTGGAGTTCTCACCTTTTACCAAAGCTATTCAAGACATTTATCTCTACAAAGAGTGTTACATCCCTCAAAATAATTCTCGTGCCCAATATTAAGGTTATAAAAGTTTCAGCAACAAACCCTCCTTTCCTTTTTTCTTCCCTCCACACTTATGTAAAGATAAACTCTTTAGATCACATTAGAGTTTTCCAAAATAAGACACTGAGGATACAATTTTCCTACATCTTTTAGTTTATGAGTGAATGGATTGTTAGTAGCAGCCAGTTTCAAACATTACCTTATGAGATGCATGGCTGCTCTCCTTTTCATCTGAATTTAACAATATGTAGGGAATGTTAATTATGTGGCTGAAAAGTTAAATGTCTCATTAAAAGTCCTTCACAAATGGTATAAACACAGAATTTATTCCTTATGCAATGTAGATAGCCAATATATACTAATCCTGTTTTTAACTGTGACTGTGCCTCATGGACAGAAACAATTCCTTATACTCAAATTATTTCTCCAGTATGTGACTATTCTTTAAGCCTGACTTCAACACATTGCTGCATGACAGTTCAAACTAGAGCATTCATACTGACAAATCTACAAGAAATTTTCTTACCTAATACACAACAAATGGTATTTTAATGTGGCAGTTTTATCATCACTGACAAGTATTTAAGAAGTACCCACTTGTGTTTCTCTGTTTGGATTGCTAGGGAATCTTAGTGGATTGTTCCAGAATTATGAAAGAAAAATAATTTGGAACACAGAAAGAGCTAGACAATAGCTTCTATTTTTCTGGTACTAATAAAAATGTAGCTAGATTATATAATTAGGACAGTTATGATGTATAGTTTTGTTTTGTTTTTATCAAGAGGAGTTCAGTTCACCACTCGGATATCCAGTGATTTCACATGGTCGACTCAGAGACTATAAAATAGAAAAGTATTATTGTGCAAATTAGTTAACTTCTCACGGGAAATTTTTTAGGAGTGTGGAAAAACAGTAGAATCAACAGAACATTACAACAGAATGGAACTTGTATTCAATCTATGGCAGAGACATTAATTTCTCTGCCATATATCACTTCCCTCATGGATTAATTTGCTTCATTCACAGTCATGGAAGACAGTTTCTCTATATAAGGAATCACCCCCTCCACTTTGGCCTCAGCTAATTGGGTCAGGACTTATAGGGAAGGCAGTTACTCATGTGGTTGACTAAGAGCCAATCACATTGCCTGTCTCTTGAGGATTTCATCTGAGGGCACAGATAATGGACTTGGGAACTGTGTCTCCAGTGAGGCCAGCGAGCATCTGGTAGGGAAGTTACTGAATACTTCATTGTTTATCCCTACTGCAGCCTGCTCATTCCCATTTATTGAGACTCCTGGAATCTCAAATTTAAGTTTCAGTTATTTGCAGTTGGGGATATTGGAATAATACTTAGAGTAAGTCATGTTGAACTCCCTCACAAAAATAAAAGGAATTCCTAAATGAATGTGTTATTCTGGATTGGATCCTGGAATAGAAAAAGGTCAATAGTGGGAAAACAGATGAAATCTTAATAAAGTCTATAATTAATAGTATTACATCAATGCTAGCTTCTTAGTTTTGATAAATGTACCACAGTTATGTGCAATATGAACACTGGTAGAAGTTGAATGTAGGCTATACAGCAACACTCTCCTATCCTTCCAACTCTTCTGTAAATCTAACATTATTTCAAAATAAAAAGTTAGATAGATATCAAGATAGATTATGATAGATAAACAGACAAAGATAAATAGATAAAAATACAGAAAGAAATTTGGAGCCAGAAAAGTGAAACCCATATTGTATGATAGTGAAAGGCAGAAATTGCCCTAAAATTTTATTCTCATTACTTAAAAGACTTGTGTTTTTTTCTTTATCAGAATTTCCTGATGTGGAATCCTTTAAATATTGGTTATTCAGAACACTAACAGGTTGAAAACAAAAAAAGGTGAAAAGTAAGAGTTTTTTCATAATTAAACTAGGTTTAAGAAACACTGGGATAAACCAAGGTTTATTCCCTACAAATTTTTCTGAGCCTTCTTTGATGGGCTATTTCACTGGACCATTATTCTGAGGAAATCATACTGGGAAATGCCCCATCTCCGTGAAGTTCACCTAGACTTTTTTCAATCACAAGTACCTTTTGCATATTCCTCACAGAAAAATTAATGAGACAATAAATATATGGTAATATACCTTGATAGCAGCTCTCACAGGCCCAGCACTTCCCAATAGGGTTGGTCATGCTGATATTTAACCTTACTGTTAGTTATGGTGGCCATGAGGAGAAGTAAGGCAGATCCTGAAGAGGACAATCATTGATTGCCTTGTGAAATGCCTCATTTGAGGTCTCTGCATAGCATTCAAGAAAGGGGTCATCTCCCTTACATCAAGGGAGTTGGAGCCACTTCTGAAAGTCAGGAGGATTCAGGGAAGTCAAGGGAGACCAGGTTCTCCAGAGTAAAATCATCCTATCAAATAGCCCTTCTTCCCTATCAGGGCCTTGACTTTGACTTGGAGGAATTGTCTAGGTTCAGAATTAATTCTTAGAAAACTGCCATTTTTCTAATGAAGTTTGTGCCTGATCTTCAGCTCTGTTTGCCCCTTGGCTGCAGGAGATGAATATCTGTCAGTGCAGCTAAGGAGGCCCTTGGACACTCACACTTTGCTGTAAATTGTAGATTAGTCTGCCTGGGCCTGCCATTTTGAGGAGGATTTGCAGAAGAAAGGGCATGCAGGACAGGAAAGGATGCAGGACAGGAAAGGATGCAGGACAGGAAAGGATGCAGGACAGGAAGGAAGGCAAGCAAGAAAGTGGCCTTGGCTGGAAATGTGTCTTAGTTTATCTGAGCCCTGAGGGGCTCAGAAGCGGAAAGTATATACCCTAGAAATTGTTCCGTTTTGAGACAAAGGAGCTGGCCTTTTCTCCTCCTGGATCAGTCAGTTATTAACCTCTGTCCTCTCGAAGTAAGAAGTAAGGTCCCGTTAGAAGAGTGCTGTGGCTCACTCCTGTAATCTCAACACTTCGGGAGGCTGAGGCAGTTCAAATAAAAAAACACCTGAGGTCAGGAGTTCGAGAACAGCCTGGCCAACATGGCAAAACCCCATCTCTACTAAAAATACAAAAATTAGTCAGGTATGGTGGTTTATGCTTGTAATCCCAGCTACCTCGGGAGGCTGAGGCAGGAGAATTGCTAGAACCCAGGAGGCAGAGGTTGCAGTGAGCTGAGATCACACCACTGCACTCCAGCCTGTGAGACAGAGTGAGACTCTATCTCAAGGAGAAAAAAAAAAAAAAAAAAAAAGCAGCACCTATTGAGCTGAGGGCGATTCTCAGGTAAAGCATGCCACTGTGAGGGAAGCAGAGACACTCACAGCACCTGGGGGCTATATAGCTGGACTGGTGAAGGTGATCTGGGTGGGCCCCAATAGCATCTCTACAGATTCCCCAATGCCAACTTTGAGCTACTTTAATCTTCATTGTTTCCCCAGCTCATAGCTCCTCTACACTAACAGCCCATGCCCACAGTGTTTAATCTGCTGCATTTTGTTATGCATATCAATAATTTTATAGATTATCATTTTATCTGTTCAGCTGTATTTCTTGGCATCGAAAGATAAGAATTGGGTAACACATTTGGTTTTTCTACTGTTTAAGTCACAACGTTGAACTTTTGGTTGAGACATAAACACTCAGTGATTAGTGGAATAGACAAAGTGTCTGTAATACAATACTTCTTCTAAGCTTATAATAAATACTGATTAGAGAACAGCAGAAATTGAGTAAAACTAAAAGAAGTTAATAAAATCAATGGGAAAATATCTATGAATAATGAGAATTCTATATTAATAAGGATCAAACATTACATGCGCAGGCAAAACATTTGAAAAGATGACACAGTAAACTATCAAATACTCTCCATTAGGCAAACTGTGAGACAGAAAAAATATGAGATGTTACATTTAAAAAAATCTAAAGACATTGTATCATGTGTACGCTTAATACAGCAGCCATAGATTTGATTTTTTTTCTTGTGGTGAATAAAGGATACCAAAGTAATCAGAAGTGATAACTATATTTTTAAAGAAAGTAAGTAGAAGTGGATGATAATACAGATACGTGAGGCCATTTGAGTAGAGAGTGCTGACGTTCCAGAGGACTCAGAAATTGCCACACCTGTACAATAGAAGGACATCCCATGCTCATGGATGGCAAAATCAATATTGTGAAAATAACCATACTGCCAAAAGCAATCTACAAATTCAATGCAATTCCCATCAAAATACCGCCATCATTCTTCACAGAACTAGAAAAAAAAATTATAAAATTCATATGGAACTAAAAAAGAGCCTGGATACCCAAAGCAAGACTAAACAAAAAGAACAAATCTGGAGGCATCACATTACCTGACTTCAAACTATACTATAAGGTCATTGTCACCAAAACAGCATGGTAGTGGTATAAAAATAGGCACATAGACCAATGGAACAGAATAAAGAACCTGGAAATAAACCCAAATACTTACAGCCAACTGACTGTTGACATAGCAAATAAAAGCATCAAGTGGAGAAAGGACACCCTATTCAACAAATGGTGCTGAGATAATTGGCAAGCCACATGTAGAAGAATGAAACTAGATCCTCACCTCTCACTTTATTAAAAAATCAACTCAAGATGGATCAAAGACTTAAATGTAAAACCTGAAACCATAAAGATTCTAACAGATAACATTGGAAAAACCCTTCTAGACATTGGCTTAGGCAAAGACTTTATGATCAAGAACCCAAAAGCAAATGCAATAAAAACACAGATAAATAGATGAGACTTAATTAAAATAAAAAGCTTTTGCACAGCATATAATAATAATAATAATAATAATCGCAGAGTTAACAGACAACCCACAGAGTGAGAAAAAATCTTCACAATCTGTACATTCGACAAAGGACTGATATCCAGAATCTACAAAGGACTCAAACAAATCAGCAAGAAAAAAACAAACAGTCCCATCAAAAAGTGAGCTAAGGATGTGACTAGACTAAGCGTGTAGAAAAATGCTCAACATCACTAATTATCAGGGAAATACAAATCAAAACCACAATGCGATACTACCTCACTCCTGCAAGAATGGCCATAATCAAAAGAACAAAAAATAATAGATATTGGCATGGATGCAGTGAAAAAGGAATACTTTTACACTGCTGGTGGGAATGTAAACATAGTACCACTGTGGAAAACAGTGTGACGATTCCTTAAAGAACTAAAAGTAGATCTACCATTTGATCCAGGAATCCCAATACTGGCTATCTACCCAGAGGAAAAAAGTCATTATATGAAAATGATATTTGCATACACATGTTTATGGCAGCACAATTTGCAATTGCAAAAATATGGGTATCAGCCCAAATGTTCATCAATCAGTGAGTGGATAAAGAAAATGTTATACATATATAACATTTATATTAAGGAATTTATATTTATGGAATAAAGTCAATCATCTTCTGCCATAAATAAACATTTATAGGCCAGGCGCAGTGGCTTAAACATGTAATTCCAGCATTTTGGGAGGCCGAGGCAGGTGGATCACCTGAGGTCAGGAGTTCAAGACCAGCTTGGCCAACATGGAGAAAACCCATTTCAACTAAAAATACAAAACGATTACCTGGGCATGGTGGCAGCCACCTGTAATTCCAGCTACTTTGGGAGGCTAAGGGGGGAGAATCGCTTGAATCCAGATGGCAGAAATTGCAGTGAGCCAAGATCGTGCCATTGCACTCCAGCCCAGGTGACAAGAGTGAAACTCTGTCTAAAAAAATAAATAAATAAATAAATAAATAAACATTTATATTTATAGAAGAAAGTAAATTTCTTTATCCAATCAATGAATCGATAAAGAAATGTTTTATATGTATATATATACACACACACACGTATATACATATATATAACTGAATACTACTCAGCCATAAAAAGGAATGAAATAATGGCATTTGCAGCAATCTTAATGGAATTGGAGATTATTATTCTAAGTGAAGTAACTCGGGAATGGAAAACCAAACATCATACATTCTCATTCATATGTGGGAGCTAAGCTATGAGACACAAAGTCATAAGAATGATACATTGAACTTTGGGGACATGGGGGAAAGGGTGGGAGTAGCAAGGGATAAAAGACTACACATTGGGTAGAGTGAACACTGCTTGGGTGGTGGGTCCACCAAAATTTCAGAAATCACCACTAAAGAATTTATTCATGTAACCAAACACTACCTGTTACCCCCAAAACCTATTGAAATAAAAAAATTAAAAATAAAAAAATACAATAGCAGGAAAGAGCATTACTCAATATCACAGGTGGAAAAATTCCAAATATAGTCATACTATTCATACAAGCTTCCCACCTGACCTTTTAAACAGCTAAATATTTTAGACATTGAGGCAAATCTTCAATGAGACACAAATGCATTATTTAGGTGAGCAGGTGTTGGCTTCTGCAGTCATTTCAAAACCTCTCAGTAGAATCAAAGGAAACATGTTTAGCTCACAAAGAGCAGTTTTAATCACCATAACCAGGGTTCAGTCAGGGAAATAAATTTTTGCCTAATTCTTGCTTTTTCAAGGTCCAGCTCCCATGAATATTTTCTCAGTCCTCTAGACAAAAAATTTAAGTAAAAATACAAAGTGTGATTCTATTTAAGTATCTCTAAGACACTGGGAATCAAGGGAGCACAAGTCATAAGCCCATGTAGCAGAACAGTACTACTGGTGATACAGTTTGGCTGTGTCCCCACCCAAATCTCATCCTGAATTGTAGCTCCCACAATTCCCACATGTCATGGGAGGTACCTGGTAGGAGGTAATTGAATCATGGGGGTGAGTCTTTCCCATGCTGGTCTCATGATAGTGAATAAGTCTCACAAGATCTGTTGGTTTCATAAGGGGAGTTTCCCTGTGCAAATTCTGTCTTTGCCAGCAGCCACGTAAGACGTCCCTTTACCCTTCCTTCATCTTCCTCCATGACTGTGAGGCCTCCCCAGTCATGTGGAATTGTGAGTCCATTAAACCTGTTTCCTTTATAAATTACCCAGTGTCAGGTATGTCTTTATCAGCAGTGTGAAAACAGACTAATACAACTGGTAAAGAGATTTATGTCATGTTGGCAAAGAACATGGCCTGGCTTCAGAATATGAAGATCAGGAAGTCAGAGCCACCTTTGGTACACAAAGGGTTTGGGTGATCAGCGGAGGTCAACTTCAGCAGGTGGTGGCTACACTTTGGTGGGACCATCATGCCCAGAGGCACCACTTATAGTTGAGAGCACAGACTGGTGAGTCCTCATGAGATATTTCTTATGGTCTCCATGAAAATGTTGGAGACACAACTCTGCAAATAATCCCTGGAGATCTGGAGATTTCACAGATAGGGAAACATCAATCAATCAGGGTTTTCTGGATGAAAACTTCAGACAGCCACTCATGTGATCCAATAGGAAAGAAAACCATTAGTGTGATGGAGTGTAGCTCACAGATTCAAGGAGAAAGCAGAATAAGGCAGGAATCAGCATAGCTCTGGATGCCAATAGATATCCCCTTAGACCTGCCGCCTGTGTGAATTTTTGTTCTGTTTTCACCCTGTTCATGACTTAAATTCCAGAAAGATCAACTCCTTAGTCTAGCTTCAGTCGTGTGCTCATTCTTTGGCTACTGAAGAGCTAAGTGCCTTGATTTGCAGACTGTACTTACTAGGACACTAAATAGACTGTATTCTGTGGAACAAAGACAATCCTCCCAAAGGGAAATCAGAATCTTTTTCCAAAATGAGGCACATTTTAGGAGGAAAAGGTGTACAGAACCACTGAAGTTTAGTTAATTGCTAGTATACTTAAATAAGTTGGTGTGGAACACCAATGAAAATAGTTTCAATGAAAAGATATTGAGTTATGCAAGACCAAAATGACCTACGTTAAATAAAGTAAGGGAACTGAGACCAATGGCATGAAAGGAAAAAGAAGGCTGTTCAAAATAGATTGGAAATGGAGAGAAAAAGAATAGAACTAGAGACCAGTCTTTCAAGTTCCTAAATACAATGTGACATCCATCCTTGAGGGTAGAATGTCTTCATGGGTGTTTTACTCATATTCGTTTTCATAGCTTAGTCCCTCCTAAGTATACAGCAGATAGATGTTCTATAAAGTTTTGCTAAATTTTTGGTGAATAAATAAATAAATAGACTAGCAAATGAATGGATGGGTGGATGGATAAAAGGGAGGACAGCTAACAAAATAAGGCTAATTTGGCCAATAAAAATAGACAAAATACACCATGGTAGCGTGCTTCTGTTAGAGCAGCAGTCCATTAATTAAAGTCGGGTCATTAGGTTAGCTACAAGGCAAGTCATGACTCATGCTTAAATTTCAAAAGTGTCTTACAGAAATCAGAGGGATCTAATTGTTTTCAATTCTGCATACTCAAAGAACACAATTGTCAGCCTCAAATAACTTGTGTGAGTGAGGAGTCGACTTCAATGTCACAGCTTTTGGAAATTACCCAAAATATACCAAAATCCTTTCATCTTGTAAATTTATGTACAATCGATAGCTAGCCATTTTGTTTGCTGTTCTCCTCTAAAGTTTGCTAGAATGGTAGCTAGACTAACCTCATAAACCTGAACTTTGACATGCAATGGGAAGTAATAAGTTAATTCAAGTCCTTCACAGAAATCCTGGTGAAATTGCCACAACTCAGCCAGGATCATTGTTATGTTTTAAGGGTTTTATTTCTTAGAACATTTCCTATTTCAAGAAAGGAAAAAACAGGGAGCTCAATAATTTAATCCTTTGTAATTGAAATATTTGAGATGAGATTATCTGATTTTCACTTTTATAGCAAAGTTTTGCTTGTGATAAGCTTTCTGAAAACCTATGACCTTTTCTGGCTTGACTTCAGCTTGCTGTTTTTAATGTGACTTTCTCCGACAGACCCAATGAGAAGTTTGATATGTTTTTTGTTGTACCGTTCAGTAATATATTAAATACCTTCGCATTGTCGTGCAACCAGTCTCTAGAACTATTCATCTCACAAAACTGAACCTCTATTACTCATTAAACAACAACTTTCCACTTTTTTCTCCTCCAAGCCCCTAGCAAACATCATTCTACTTTCTGTTTCAATGAGTTTGACTATGGTGTATTTCACATAACCTCCTTAAGGTTCATTCATGTTGTAGCATGTGCCACAATTTCCAATCTCCTTTTTTTAAGGCTGAATATATTCCATATATTCAAAATAGCTTGTTAAGTGGGGCAAACCCGATGCTTGTCTCACCCTCAGTAGGTAACTGGGTGCTTAAAAAGTGCCTTTTAAAAGCAGGAAGCCACATCCTCCAAGGGCGAGACAAGTGGCCTTAGAAAGCTGCAGCTTTAGAAGTCAGGAAGTTTGGACAGAGAATTGAAGCACTGGAGGCGAGCAACCAGACAGAGTCGCAGGAGAGCCAGGCAGATGGTGGCCTGTCACAGGAACGCCTGGTCACCCAGGTATCTCTCTCCTCTTTCTTCCTTTTCTTTCTTCTGTCATTCCTTCTGCAAATATTTACAGAACAACTTTGTGTTAACACTATTTTAGGCCCTCAGGATATATTAGTGAACAAAGGAGATTTTTAAAAATTCTGCTCTCAAAGTGCTAGGATTACAGGCTTGAAACACCATGGGCCAAGGTGTGTGGATCAGGAGGTCAGGAGTTCGAGATCAGCCTGGCCAACATGGTGAAATCCCATCTCTGCTAAAAATACAAAAATTAGCCAGGTGTGGTGGTGGGCATCTGTAATTCCAGCTACTCGGGAGGCTGAGGCAGGAGAATTGCTTGAACCTGGGAGGTAGAGGTTGCAGTGAGCCGAGTTTATGCCACTGTACTTCAGCCTGGGCGACAGAGCAAGACTCTGTCTCAAAAAAAAAAAAAAAAGAAAAGAAAAGAAAAAAAATTCTGCTGTCATAGAGTTTACATTTTGGTGTAACATTTCTTCTTTCTTCTCTCTCCTCCTTTCTGGAATCAGATTTCAGAGGTAGAACCAAAGTTTTTGCTGTGGCCAACAATTCAAAACCCTAGTCCCAGAGCAATTAAAAAACAAGAGGCTTCTGTCAACTCAGTCAGTGCTGGGCCTGAAGGATTCTACTAAATGTCCCCAGATTTTTTTCTAAGCATTCATCACCACTCATAAAAACATAAGTCTCTAACTCTCAGGGATGAACTAAGAGGCCACAGAAAGGAATGGGAAAATGGTTAAGACCATGGGGTTTGAAATTAAATTCAAAATGAACTCTACTACACTCTGCTTGTCGACCAAGAAATATAACTGATGAATGCCCAGTAGGGTGGCTCTAGGTAGGCTGTTGGCTCCGGGAGTAGAAACTAACAACAAATTATTTCCCAATTTAAATTGTGGTCTCAGTTGGGTTTCAGCTGTCCACTGAAAATAAGGTGAATCATTCCAAGAGCAGGTTATTTTTCATATCTTCTTAGGCTTTGTACCATATCTTCATTGCACATAAATTGCATTAAGCCTTCCTACATACAAGTCAACTAAAATCAGCTAAGTTTTTGACAATGTTAAGTTGTCAGGTTGGCAACACTGTAATAGTTCACTAGTGTAAACAATGAATTGGAAATTTTAGTGAGTGAATTGCTAGTCATGAATAGGATTAACAATTCCATGAGCATTTGAGAGTGTAATTACTTATGATCTGCAATATTTATGTTCCCTTTGGGCATCATTATGTTTTTCTATGTGAGTAATTTTAAACCCATACATCTATAAAGGTCCAAAGATATTCACATATGTTTATATTTAATTTCATTTAAAATATCTATATTACACTCAAAAATTCACAGAAGGATAAATTAGAATAATGTGAAACTGGTTACTAGAACAGAAAATATTAAATACAATTCTTCAAAAATAAGATTGGCTTCAAATGTTACATGATAATTTCACAAACATACACTGTAAATATATATATAATGTTACATAAAATATGAAAATATTAACTCTTCTATAAGTAATTATTACTGCTATTGATTTGCTAATTATTTTTAAATACTTAATATGTTGATTTAAATTATAAGCAATGTGGTGTATGCATAAAAGAAAAAAATCTCTCCCTCTCAAACAAGAAAAAGATACCATGATCTATACATAACCAGAAAAGTTACATACAGATTAAATTATACAAGGGTCCTAGGGCAGTAAAGAATATCTAAATCTCATATTTCTCATTATTTGCTGTTTCCAGTTTGAAGATATTACAAATAGTGTTGCTAGGAATATTCATGTACATATCTGCTGGTGATTATATACAAGAGTTTACTTTTATTGTCTTCTCTGACTAGGGCCTATAGTACAAAGTTGAATAGAAAAAACAACTGTATCTCTGACGTAGTCTTAATTTTTAAAGAGATACTTCTAATGTTTTCCCATTCAAAATTATGTTTGCTGTAATTTTTTGGTATAAACCTTTACCAAGTTATATATTTCTACTTTGTTAATTTTTTTTTTACCATGAATGGGTACTGAAATATGTGCACCTATTGTCATATAGTTTTATGTGCTTTAATCTGCTAATATGAATAGCATTTTTAGGTTTGCTAACATTAGAATACTTTTGAATTCCTGGGAACCCAACTTAATCAATTCGTGTTATCTTAGAAACACAGGTGAATTTGGTTTGCAAGTACTTTGTTTGGGATATTCAGGGGAAGATGGTAGAATAGGAGGTCCCAGGCTGCTCTCCCCCGCATAGAAAGCTCAACTACAACTATCCACTGATAAGAACACCTTGGTGAAAATCTCAAAACTTGAGAATAAGCTTGAGACTCCTGAATGGACCATGGAACTGAATAAGAACAGCATTAGACAGGTATTGCCTCTCCACATCCTCCAAGTCGATGCAGCACCACACACAGAGGACCAACAGCGGGAAAAGAGAACCAAAACCTCACATCCAGGTCCCCTAGCCTCCCGCCAAGCCAAGGCCCACTTTGATCTTGTCTCATGGGGAACACAGGGAACACAGGGGAGAAAGACATGACCAGACTGCCCAGGGTCAGATAGAAACAAAGCAAGGAGGCACTGCCCACAGTGACCTGCACCCAGATCTTGGTGGTAGCTCCATATTACTGCCAGCAGAGGTGCGGATTAGAGGTGCCAACAGCACAGCCCACAAGCAGAGCCAGGCTGATTGCTCCCAGAGCACATTAACTAGGCTTGAGTCTTTGTTTGTTTGTTTATTTATTAGAGACAGTGTCTCCCTCTGTTACCCAAGCTGGAGTGCAGTGGCATGATCATAGCTCATTGTAGCCTGGAACTTCTGGGCTCAAGATATCCTCCTGCCTCAGCGTCCCAAGTAGCTGAGACCACAGGGACATGCCATCATGCTCGGTTATTTATTTTTTGTAGAGATGAGGTCTCACCATATTGCCCAGGCTGGTGTCAAACTCCTGGCCTCAAACAACTCTGCCACCTGGGCCTCTTAAAGTGCTGGGATTGTAGATGTGAGCCACAGAGGCTGGCCTGGCTTGAGTTCCTAGATGGCTAGGCTCCATCCTCAGCCTCAAGGCCCCTTTTAGCAAAGCTCAGGCACTAGACTTGTACCATCCAGGCTTTCAAACAATGGCTCAGTGCACCCTCAAAGCTCACCCTAAAGCTCTTCCCAGATGAAGAGGCAAACCTCAACCACGCATTTCTACCAAGCAAGAAAAAATGTTCAATATCACTAATCATTAGGGAAATGCAGATTAAAACCACAGTGAAATATCATCTCATACCCATCGAAATGGTGATTAAATGTCTTATTAAAAAGACAAAGATTACACACACTGTTGGTGAGAATGTAAACATAGCCATTGTAGAAAACAGCATGGAGGTTCTTCAAAAAACTAACAATAGAATTACCATATAATCCAGAAACTACATTGAAGAGATATCTGCACGCCCACATTCATTGCAGCGCTATTCACAATAGCCAAGTTATGGAATCAACTGAAGTGTCCATGAGCAGATGAAAGGATAAAGAAAATGTGGTATATATACTGTATTAGTCCATGTTCACGCTGCTGATAAAGACATGCCTGAGACTGGGTGATTTATAAAGGAAAGAGTTTTAATTGACTCACAGTTCCATATGGCTGGGGAATTCCATAGTCATGACGGAAGGCAAAGGAGAAGCAAAGTTACGCCTTACATGGCAGCAGGCAAAGCGAGAGTGAAAGCCAAGCAGAAAGGGAAACCACTTATAAAACCATCAGATCTTGTGAGACTTATTCACTACCAAGAGAACAGTATGGGGTAAGACCCGCCCCCTGATTCAGTTACCTCCCACTTGGTCCCTCCCATGACATGGGAATTGTGGGAGCTACAATTCAAGATGAGATTTGGGTAGGAACACAGCCAAACCATATTATATATGCAATGGAATATTATTCAGCCACAAAAAGGAAGAAAATTTTTTCATCTGCAGGAGCATGGATGGACCTGGAGAACATTAAACTGGGTAAAGTAAGTGAGTCTGAGAAAGACAAAAACCACATGTTCTCACTTATATGTGGAATCTAAAACAATTGAATTCATAGAAGCAGAGAGTAGAAGGGTGATTACCAGAGGATAAGGGTGGTGGAATGGGGCAATGTCAGTCAAAGGATAGAAAGTCACAGTTAAACAGGAGGAAGAAATAAATATTTAAGAAGATGGGTAGGTTAATTCATTTGATTCAATCATTGCACAACATACATATGTCATGATATCACTGTGTATCCCATAATTCTATACAATTACAATTTGTCAAAAAAAATTAAAAGTAATTTTTAAAATATTTTATTTGGGATTTTGCATCTATGTTTATGAGTAAGACTGGCCTGTAGCACTCCTTTCTCATGCGTTTTTTAATCTAGTTTTAGCATCAAACGTTATGCTGACTTCATAGAACGAGTTAGATAGGAATCCTTCTTCAATTCCCTGGAAACGTACCTGAGATTGAGCTAATCTGTCCCTTAAATGTTTGGTCAGATATAAATATACAAGAGGCCGGGCGCGGTGGCTAACACCTGTAATCTCAGTACTTTGGGAGGCCAAGGCGGGTAGATGACCTGAGGTCAGGAGTTTGAGACCAGCCTGGCCAACATGGTGAAACCCCGTCTCTACTAGAAATGTCAAAAAAGTTAGCCGGGCATGGTGGCAAGCACCTGTAATCCCAGCTACTCAGGAGGCTGAGGCAGGAGAATCGCTTGAAGCTGGGAGGCGGAGGTTGCAGTGAGCCAAGATCGCGCCATTGCACTCCAGCCTGGGCAACAAGGGTGAAACTGCGTCTCAAAAAAATAGATAAATAAATAAAAATAAATAAATATACAAGACACTGCATCTGGGGTCTCATTTGTGAAATTATGTTTGTCTTAGTCAGCTCAGGCTGCCAGAACGAAACACCATAGACAGTGTGGCTTAAACAATAGAAATTTATTTTCTTGCTATTCTGGAGTCTAGAAGTCCCAGATCCTGAAGCCAGCATGGTTGGTTTCTGGTAGGGGCTCCTCCCTGTCTTCTAGAAGGCAGTCTTTTTAATGTGTCTTCACGTGGCAGGAAGAGAGAGAGCTCAAGTTCTCTGGTGTCATTTCTTATGGGGGCCCAGCCCATCATGAGGACCCCACCCTCATGACTTGATCTAACCCTCATTACTTCCCAGAAGCCCCATTTCCAAATACTGTCACAATGGGCTCCAACATATGACATTTAAGAGGACACATTCAGTCCACAGCAATGCTAAACAACTTATAAAGTTTCCTTAATAATTGTAAAGTAATTTACTCTTTCTATTCTTACTCAGATATATTTTTCATTGTGCCTATAATTTCAAATTTTTTGGCATAAAAGATGATCTCCTTAGTTTATTATTACATTTTAATCTCTTCTCCATGTGCAATTAGTTCCTCATTCTCATGCTTAATATTTTGGTGTATACCTTTGCACCTTCTTTGTACTTTTCTGGATTAATTTTGCCAAAGTTCTTTTTTCAACTTCATTAATATTTTCAAAGAGCTAAAAGAGGTTGGTAGATCTTTTCTATAATTTCCTTATTTTCTACTTTATTGATTTCTGCTGTTGTCTTTATTTTGTCTAACATAGGTAAAGATAAGACATTATGATGTAATTTTTTATTTTTTTTGAGACGGAGTCACTCTGTTGCCAGGCTGGAGTGCAGTGGTGCGATCTCAGCTTGCTGCAACCTTTGCTTCCCAGGTTCAAGCGATTCTCCTGCCTCAGCCTCCTGAGTAGCTGGGACTGCAGGCATGCGCCTCCACGCCCGGCTAATTTTTGTATTTTTAGTAGAGACGGGGTTTCATCATGTTAGCCAGGATGGTCTGGATCTCTTGACGTCGTGATCCTCCCGCCTCCGCCTTCCAAAGTGCTGAGATTACAGGTGTGAGCCACCACGCCTGGCCATAAAATTTTTAAATAATTTTTATTTCATACTTTCACACTAATTTAAAAGAGGATAAAAAGATTACGAGTCTCTTATGGGTGTACACCTGTACCAGTTGTCAGTTTATTGTCTCTCAGCCACAAAACCAGTGTTCATTGCCCTGCTGAGGATACTGGAGCTGGAGTTACTAAATATTCTTCCTTTGCCGTTAGAGGGTCTGGAAGGGATGCTGCAGGAAGAAGATTCTTCCCGTAAAGTGCCTGCTTTTTTTGTTGTTGTTTTTGTTCCTACAGTGCAAGGCTAGGCTGTGGGACACCCAGTGGAACTCACCACCAGCTGGTTTCAATGACGTCCCCATGGGTACTTCCCAGCATCTCCTGTGGGTGATTTCCCAGTAAGTCCTACAGTGACCCAAGCCTACTTCCTAGAGAATTTCACCTCCCTCCAAATTCTTCATAAATGTCATAGGCACTGCAGCAGGGGGTTTTCTGCCCACCAGCACCCCAGTGGGAGCTTTCCAGCTTCCCAGTCCCAGTCCTTGGCCTCCACCTGCTGTAATGGAGCAGCTCAGGCCTGGGGCAACTCGGCTAACTTCAGCCTCCACTGGGTTTTAACTTCATCTTCTCCATTGAGATCTGAATCCCATCCTTAGAGAGGGGCCCTCTTCCAAGTTTTTGTCTCCCTTTGCATTAGGGACTTTGTACAGCTCTCTTTTATCCCCTTTTTAGTAGTTAATCCCCTACAAATAGTCAATAATTTTTTTTTTGCATGAAACCTCCCTGTTCAAATTATTTTGTTGTTTCTGTTTTCTGAGTGGACCTTGACTGACACAACACCCCCACAAATATATATATATATATATATATATATACACACACACACACATACACACACAAGAATATTTATAGCATCACCAGTTAATAGACAAAAATGGAAAGCTACTGAAATATTTATTAATAATTGGTAAATTAAATTAATTATAGTGTATTTATACAGTATATATTTGATTTCTGTTGCTGTATAACAAATTACCTCAAACTAAGTCACATTTATTTATTTTTTATTTTTATTTTAAGTTCTGGGGCACATGTGTAGGATGTGCAGGTTTGTTACATAGGTGAACGTGTGCCATGGTGGTTTGCTGCACCTATCAACCCATCACCTAAGTATTAAGCCCTGCATACATTAGCTATTTTTCCTAATAGTTTCCCTCCTCCCACTGCACCCCCTGATAGGCCCCAGTGTGTGTTGTTCCGCACTCCTATGTCCATGTGTTCTCGTTGTTCAGCTCCCACTTGTAAGTGAGAACATGCAGTGTTTAGTTTTCTGTTCCTGCGTTAGTTTGCTAAGGACAATGGCTTCAAGCTCCATCCATGGCCCTACAAAGGACATGATCTCATTTCTTTTATGGCTGCATAGTATTCTGTGGTGTAAATGTACCACATTTTCTTTATCCAGTCTCTCATTCATGGGCATTTGGGTTGATTCCATGTCTTTGCTATTGTGAATAGTAAAACAACACACAGTTATTATCCATAGTTTCCATGGGTCTGGAGTCTTAGCACAACTTAACTGGTTCCTCTGCTCAGGTGCTGGCCAGGCTGTGCTGTCATCTGAGGGCTCTATTAGGGAAGAATCTGCATCTAAGTGCATTCAGGCTGTTGGCAAAATTCCCTTCCTTGTGGCTGTGTGACTGAGGGCTCTGGCTTCTTACTGGCAGCCTGCAGTTCCCTGCCACATGGCCTTCTCCTTGGGGAATTTACAGCAGAGCTGGTGGCTTCTTCAAGGCCAGCAGGATGGGAATGACACTTTATCTTCTTTGACATATCCTGTTGGTTAGAGACAGGTCACAGGTCTTTCCTCACTTGAGGGAAGGGGCCATGGCTCATTGTGGGCCTTCAGGGTGTGTCTGCCACAGACTAGAATTCTTTATTGCAATGGGAATTAACATGGATAAATTAAAACAATGCTGAGTCAAAGAAGCTGGACACAAAAGAGCATTTACTGTGGAATTCCATTTATGTCACGTTCAAAATCAGGCAAACTGATCTATATTGTTAGAAATTAGTGCAGTGGTTACCCTTGGGGATGTGTATTACTTGAAATGGGGCAAGTAGGGTGCTGATAATGGCCTCTTTCTTGATCTAGATGCTGTTATTTGGGCATATTCACTTTGTGAAAGTTCATGGAGTGGTACATTTATGATTTATGAGGAAACAAAGTATCTAGTCTTCTTCCTCTGTCCTTTAAATGCTGGTGTTACCAATTCACAGCATTAAACTTCTTCTTTCACTAGCTGGATCTTCCTGTAATACCTCATCAGTTTTCATAGCATTAACTCTTTCCTATAAGCATATGAATCCAACATTTATAACTTCAGCTAAGTTATCTCTTCTGAGCTACTAGATATCTCCACGTGGAGACCCTATACACCTCAATTTCAAATTTCAATTTCTTCATCACTTGAAGCCATTATCTTTCTCCCCAAACCCTTCTCATCCTATGTTTGCTATTGGTACCACCATCCTGACCCACCAATGGCCAGAAATCTATGGTTTATGTAGCCTAGTAGACAAAGGCAAGAGCTGGGGAGTTAGCTCGTCTGATTACAAATTCTCTTGCATACAATGTGTTTTTAGAATTGTTACTTAATTTCGGTACTCTTCTATTTTCTTTTTCATTAAACTGGGTTGGTAATATTACCTACTTCTAGGATTTTTACAATTACATACAAAGTATATGTAAAGCAATGTTCCTGGTGCATGGTAATTATTCAGTACATGATATTTCTTATTAAGAAATTTGTCCCTGTCTCCTTCCCTCACCCCACATTCTTTTAATCATCAAGTGGTGTCGACTTTACCACTTTAATATCTTTTTTTTTTTTTTTTTTGAGATGGAGTCTCGCTCTGTCTCCCAGGCTGGAGTGCATTGGCGCTATATCCGCTCACTGCAACCTCCACCTCCTGGGTTCAAGCAATTCTCCTGCCTCAGCCTCCCGAGTAGCTGGGTCTACAGGCACGTGCCACCACACCCAGCTAATTTTTGTATTTTTAGTAGAGACGGCGTTTCATCATGTTGGCCAGGCTAGTCTTGAACTCCTGACCTCAGGTGATCTGCCTGCTTTGGCCTCAAAAGTGCTGAGATTACAGGCGTGAGCCACCATGCCCGGCCACCACTTTAATATCTCTAAATATCTGTCTTTTATTTATTTCCACTGTCACTGCCTTCATTCGAGTTTTCATCTTTTCTTATATTTTTATTTATTTATTTATTTTTGAGAATGAGTCTCGCTCTGTTGCCCAGGCTGGAGTGCAGTGGCGCCATCTCAGCTCACGGCAAGCTCCACCTCCTGGGTTCACACCATTCTCCTGCCTCAGCCTTCTGAGTAACTGGGACTACAGGTGTCTGCCACCACCCCTGGCTAGTTTTTTTTGTATTTTAGTAGAGACGGGATTTCACTGTGTTAGCCAGGATGGTCTTGATCTCCTGACCTCATGATATGCCCGCCTCGGCCACCCAAAGTGCTGGGATTACAGGCATGAGCCACCACGCCTGGCTTTATATTTTTATTTTTGTAATAATTTCTCAGTAGGTCTAATGTACAACACTGCACCTGACACATTTTCAAAACCAGTTACCTATACTTCTTTCAAGGTGATCTAGTTTAAATTATCAAAAGATCCTCTCACCACCTTCAAACAGCCCTAGAAACCTATGGACTCTGTCAATTAAAATAGTAACTACCATCCTAGGTGGAGGTGTGTGGGACTATATACCACAGCTGTGCAAAAGTTATTTACCAATTGCCTCCACTTCTGAGACTATAATAGAGTTCAGTGCCAAATGCTGTAAAATCTACAACAAGTTAAAGATAGCTTCAGGATACGTAAGGATTTCCTCGAGAGCAAAAGAGGTTATTAATCAGCTAGGTGGTCACCTCTGGCAATAGAATGATACGTAAGTCAAGTATCACCGGCCAAGCGGCTCTTTCCTTTGAAGCTGTTTATTTCTCCACAGCAGTCAAAGAGTGACCACAGGCATCTCTGCACTCACCCTTTTAGTGTCTGATTTTCACAATGTGTAGTTCTCCTGCAAGTTGTGTTTGAACTGACATTTTACGTT
Source organism: Homo sapiens (assembly GCF_000001405.40). Taxonomy (NCBI): domain Eukaryota; kingdom Metazoa; phylum Chordata; class Mammalia; order Primates; family Hominidae; genus Homo; species Homo sapiens. The sequence goes on along the minus strand of NC_000006.12, from coordinate 152,773,257 downwards.
ATCTTATCCTGGAGAAGGGAACAAGTACTATTATCATTGTATTTCTTTGTTCTTTTGTTTGTGTTTTGTTCCTTCGGTGTCTGGAGTACCAGTGGCTCTTTTATAAAGTCACTGAAACTCCAGTGAGGGCTTGGTGAGTGGTAAAGCCAATTTTCAGGAATCTGTTCATGTCTCCTCTCATATCACGTCTTGTGGTGCCTCTAATTTTGTCTCACCCTTCCATTTAGACATTTTCTTTCTCCACGAAAACCCCTGACATGCTCTTTTGTTGGGGCTGCTACCTAAAAGCTAAGTCCCAGCTCCAGCACCTACTCCTGCAATTATAAGACTATATTGATGATGGGATAAAGTGAATGGTGCTTTGTTTTTTGAAGAAACTGACAAACTCATTCTAAAATGAATATGGAATGCCAAAGACCTAGACTGACCAAAACATTATTGAAAAAGAAGGCAATGGTGGAAGACCCCTGCTACATTATTTCAAGACTTATGATAAAGCTACAGTAGTCAAAGCACTGTGGCACTGGGATTAGTATAGATAACTAAATAAAGAGAAGAGAACACACAGCCATAAAGAGACCCACACATATACTGTCCATTGATATTTTTTAAATCAAGAAGCCAAGTCAGTTAAATGAGCAAAAGAATTTTTTTTTTTTTTTGAGATGGAGTCTCACTCTGTCGCCCAGGCTGGAGTGCGGAGTGCAGAGTGCAATGGTACGACCTCGGCTCAATGCAACCTCCGCTTCCCAGGTTCAAGCAATTATCCTGCCTCAGCCTCCCGAGTAGCAGGGATTACAGGTGTGTGCCACCATGCCCAGCTAATTTTTATATTTTTAGTGGAGATGGGGTTTCACCATGTTGGCCAGGCTGGTCTCGAACTCCTGACCTCAAGTGATCCTCCTGCCTCGGCCTCCCAAAGTGAGGGGATTACAGGTGTGAGCCACCATGCCAGGCTAAGAAAAATATTTTTAACAAATATTAAGGCAACAGGATGTTCAATGGGAAAAAGCCTCAACTGCTACTACTTAACTCCATTTCTAAACACTAATTTGAGATCATAAATTTAACCATAAATGTAGAACCATAAAACTTCTACATGCAAACACACTCCACAACCTTGGGACAGGTGAAGATTTCTTAGGAAAAAAAACACAACAAAAACTAACCATAGAATAGAAAATTAATAAACTGAAGTTGTCAAAATGGAAGTATCTCTTCATCAAAAGACAATATTAATATTTTCTAACTTCTAACACTTATATCTTAAATTCATACCGTGGCCTTTCCATTGGGAGCTGCCTTAAACTTCATTGAGATAAAATCCTATGTTATAAATTTCTATATTTATATGTCTGAATTCCCCCATCATAGTATCTCCTGTTTCTTTCATTTAATCTGATTTTTCAACCAGATCTTCCTCTTTCAAGCTGCTCATTACTCTTGAAAGTATAATCCTAATTTGCTGTATCCTTATTCTTAGTAATGTCAGTTTATAATAGAATTCAGGAGTTATAAACTAACACCTAGACCTAAATTTGGCCCAAATACTTGGATTGTTTGGTCAAAATATACTTTAAAAAAATTATATGGCTTTATATAGGAGATTTCCTCTCCAACAGATCAAAACTTCTACCAGTCTTATGATAGAACAGTGTGCAGATTCTCTCGCATGTGTTTTAATGACCTGACTCTTGAAATCATTTGGGTTTGACACCCTCAATGCTGGAGGTCTGGCTAGTGGTTTCCTTCAGACACTAGTGGTCTAGTAAGAGGTAAACCGGAAAGAATAAATCTGTCTCTGCATAGGCTGAGGTTAAAAGGGCCCTCCAGCTGAGGGAGGACTCTGGAGGTTCATAAGCTTTCCTCAGGGCATGAGAATCTGAGAGAGCTGGTCAGTCCTCTTGTATATGGGAAGGTAACGATTCCATTCAAGTTGCTGAGGGCACTTAGGAGGCAGTAAGACTGACTTACCCAGCTCAGGGCACAGTGAGAGAGCTGGCTAGGTGAGCTGTGATCTCCACAACACCGCATTCCAAAGCCAGCCCTTCACCACTCCCACCTCTCCTAGGCTATAGAGACCCAGCAATTCAGTTGTAGCTTGTAGACTACATCCCCCCTCTAGACAAGAAATATGGGAAATATTGTATGTAATTCTACATTCTCGAGTAGCCTCAGAGAGTAATAGAGACAGGCAAGGGGCTTACAGTAGCTGTGGAGATCCAATTATTGACACGATTTTCCCAACTCCTTTATATTTTCTAATCTCCTCTCTTAATGAACTACTTTTTGAAGGAAGGCTGTCATAATCATCTGAAAAGATAAACTAAGAAACAGTTTCAACAGTAGCAGTATCCATAGAAGTGCAACTCTAAATTCTGGTGGCTATCTGGACCAGTTAACGAAGTTAAGTAATTCTTACATTATTTTATTGGAATAGGGAATTTGGAATTTGATGAGGTTTTAATACACTAAGCTGATGAGAACACTGGGTTTTGCCTGCAGCAAAGCATATTTAAAAAATAGTTTTAACATCTTATTTTCCACATACTTTCCACAACATTTCTTTCTTTTAATTTTTGTCCTACTAATAATTTAAGAATTGAAATGGGTTTATTAAAATGAGAGGGAGCAGGATGAATTCACATTGAGTAATCCAAATTCCAAAACAATTTTCTGTGCTCTGAATCATGGTTACAATTTGTGATCGGATTCCTTTTTAACTGAGCTGAATTATAAATTTAACACGTGGACTTACTGATTTTTTTTTTCCTCAAATCTTATTCTGTGATTTCCTTGCAAGCATCTTTGGGATTACACATGAAAAATAGCTAAAGAAATATGGGCACTGTAAGCATGGAACAGAGACCTATTGTGTGAACTCCTGTGGCTATGTTTTAGGAAAAAATAAACACCAAGGGTCCATATGCACTGTGCTTTAGTGAATATTGACCCTTCCTGGAACTAGGAAGAGCTATTTCTGTCTCTGAGTTGGTCTGTGGGTCAGATTGGTAAGCAATTGACCTTTGCAGTTTGGCGCTTGAGCAGAAATGAACTGTTGACCAAGGTTGAGGCAGGCTCTTGAGGCCATTCAACCCCCTTCAAAGCAGAGATGCTGGCCCTGTACTGGCAAATGGACCAAAGGAAAGAAAGGTCACTGAACCAAGTGAGACCAAAGGCAAACCCTGACTTGGGCAGCTCCTGGGCTGCAGAGGGCCCTCGGGACAGAGTCCTGATGCAAACCAGCTACTGCTTTAATACCCTGAGTGTTTGATTCCTGGAAAAGTGAATCCTGCTTCTCAGCCGGTCTGGGACTGTAGATGTACCATGCAGTTTTTAAACACTCAATTCAATGTCCTGAAGCTGAATCATTTTTGTATCTTCCAGGCAGTGAGGCTGATATCCTTGTGACTCCTTAATTCTGGGGGGAAGGTGAGCCTCTGTTCTGTCTTGTAGCAACTCACCACCCATATCAGGCAACAATAATGTAGGTATGAAAATTGCATCAACCTATGACTTGCATGTCAACGTATGTGTGGGCACTTCGATTGCTCTGGTGTGAACCTCACCAGATTCTGTAACAGACTTGGGCTCTCAGTTCTATTCTGATGCTTCATTTTTATAGTTACAGACAGAGGCTTCATTTGCAAACCTGAGAATGAGTTCCTGGGTTCCCATGAGACTGCATAGTGACATTAGAAGTTATCAAAAAGGGAGGAATCTAAACCTTCATCTTCATGCTCCAAAGCCATTGAGTCACATGGGGTGGCCGTCTCCCAGTTCTAGGAAAACCAGAGAATATTTGCATGTATTCTTTATTCATCACCCGTCCTTTTAGAGTCATGTTTTCTTTCTGATAATACGGACTGTTAAGGAGAGTCACTAATTAGCAATTTTTCTTATCACAAATACATGATGACTAATGACATTAATATTCTAGTTTATTCAAGCTAATGGTGGACGGAAGTTGTTGGCTACGTACATAGAGAGTGACTGTTGAGAAATAGCCTCTCCTTTTTAGCCCCTGCTGTTAATGCCCCATTGAGAGTCACGGGACAAAGAAAAATGATATTTATACTTTGTCGTTTGTTCCAATACATCTTGCATCATCAATACTTATTTAGTACTTCCCAAAAGGAAGTGTGAACCTTGGTAGCTTGAATTACCTTTCCACCTGCAACATCACTAAATTAGTATAATCCATACAACATCACTTCACTACAAATTATTTCCATTATTATTTAGTTTCCAAACATTTTCCAATTAGAAACAAATTAGTAGTTATGTCCCACAATTTAGTAAATTGTATTCAATTTGGGAAGTAAAATATTTATATTTTATTTGTAAAAATCATTATATACTTTCATCATAATGTTTTAAAATATTGTCATTATAACCACTACATATAACCCAACTTCTAATATCATCTTTTATTTATTTACAGTTTTCCTTTACTTTTCAGGTATATTCTCAGCCCAGGCTCTCCTATAAGCAGCTGCTCAACAAGAGCTAAGATCTTTTTTCTTTTTTTTTTCTTTTTTCTTTTTTTTGAGAGGGAGTCTTGCTTTGTCGCCCAGGCTGGAGTGCAGTGGCACAATCTCGGCTCACTGTAAGCTCCTCCCCCCGGGTTCACACTATTCTCCTGCCTCAGCCTCCTGAGTAGCTGGGACTACAGGCACCCGCCACCACGCCCGGCTAATTTTTTTATTTTTAGTAGAGACGGGTTTTCACTGTGATAGCCAGGATGGTCTCAATCTCCTGACCTCATGATCCGCCCGCCTCGGCTTCCCAAAGTGCTGGGATTACAGGCATGAGCCACTGTGCCCGGCCAGATCTTTTTTTTAAAACCAAGATTCACTTCTTTTTCTTTTTTATTTCTTTTTGTTTGTTTTTATATTTATTTATTTTTAAAATTTCAATAGTTTTTGGGAAATTTAATTTAATTTTGGTGGGTTTTGGTTACATGGATAAGTTCCTCAGTGGTGACTTCTGAGATTGTGATGCACCTCTCACCTGAGCCGTGTGCACTGTACCCCGTGTGTAGCCTTTTATCCCTCATGCCCTCCCACCCTTTCCCGAGTCCCCAAAGTCCATTATATCATTCTCATGCGTTTGAGTCCTCATGAGACCTAAGATCTTAAAATGGGAATTTTCACAGTTCTCTTCCATTAGTCTTATCTTCACTACCTACACACAATTTCAGATTTACCCTTCTATGATAAGCTCTCTTTTTTGGCATATGCCTGTTGCTCCAAATCCTTATTTCATTAATGTCTACCCAAATTTATAAGGGTATAGCCAACATTTCTTTATAAGAATCAAGGTAAGGGGAAATGTCTTTGAAGAAAAATTAGGAATAATGGCATAGTAATTTCCTTAGACATCAACTACAAACTTACAGATAATGGCAACTGCTAGCTCAAAGATTCTATGTTTTTAAAGCAGAAAGGTAAATGAAATGTAAATTGAGAAAGATACTTTAACAAGTGTCATGCATCTGTCTAAGATCCCATGCAAAGAAAAGTTAAGAGACAAAAGGAAATCTGGAGAGATCTAGATCCATTTTCTGTCTCTGGAACAGATGAGGTTAACATGTAGATAGGGCATGAGGCAGAATAAGACACCCGAGAGAATGAACCCGTAACTCTGTAGAGAACAGAACAGCAAAGGGGGAAGAAGCAAAATTATGAAACGAGGGCGAGTTTCCAAGGAACAAGAAAAGAAAGAGCACAATTGTGTGGGGGAAAAATGAGACAAGTTAAAGTCTGAAAAGAGATGCATCTTGCCAGAGATTTGCAATTACATAAGGCAAAAGAGAAGGACCAAGGAAATGTTTTCTCTCTAATAGGGAGAAAAAGCTGTTAACAGAGGTTTGTGAAAAGGCAGATGCTTTTCATGTATCCTTTCCCTCTTTCTCCTTTCCAAAAACTGCAGCTGTTATCAGTTAACCAGCTAGGAGACCATTTGAGTGTGGAACACCAAACAAGAATAGGGAAATAAGTAATTAGAGTATATTTTTCTAAAATCTAGATCTACTGAAATGTGCAGCTCTAAGGGTCTTAGGAACTCATAGACACGATTATAGAACTCTTAGTATCTATCTTTGAGATATCCTGTAAGATAGTTTCTGCTTCTGAAGCCCAAAACCAGAGTGTGTATGTGTACATGTGTGTGTATGTGTGTATGTGTTAGTATTAATATTAATACAGAATACAGTAGTATTCATAGTCATATATATTATATCTGCTACATAAAAACGTATAGAAGAAAAGGTGTAACTTTGATTACTAAAATGGATAGATTCACCTTAATCCTTTCAGATGTGTTAGAAAACTAAGTATTTAGAATTTACTTTCCCAGATATTGAAAATATAATCACATTTAAGATGTCTAGAAACATTTTGGTTATCTTAAGTGATTATTAAAGAAAATTTGGTGTCCTTCACCAAAGAACGTAGTTTCCAACTTACAAATTCAACACCTGAAACAGTTAATATAGTATGCAACATGCATTCATTCATGAATAAAATAAGCGTGCATCCAGATCTCACATGAAGTACAATCTAGGGAAGGTAACATTACATTTCTGATATTTCTTTATTTTCTCCCCTCTCTTCTCCATTCTCTTTTTCTGAAACTTCTATTTATCAAATCCAAGACCTCTATTGATTTTCTATGACTTAATCTCTACTTTATCTCTAATACTTTAAGAATTTGTTTCATTTTGACATACTTTTAAATTAAATTTTATTTTAATTTAGGCAGTTTTTAAACTCCATGAGCTTTTTTTCTCTGTTCCTGAATGTCATGGTTAATATTGAACGTCAACTTGATTGGACTGAAGGATGCAAAGCATTGTTCCTGCGTATGTCTGTGAGGGTGTTGCCAAAGGAGATTAACATTTGAGTCAGTGGACTGGGAGAGGCAGACCCACCCTTAATCTGGGTGGGCACCATCTAATCAGCTGCCAGCGTGGCTAGCATAAAAGCAGGCAGAGGAATGTGGAAGGACAAGACTGGCTGAGTCTTCTGGCCTTCATCTTTCTCCTACTGCTGGGTGCTTCCCGCCCTTGAACATCAGACTTCAAGTTCTTCAGCATTTGGAGTTTTTTGGACTTACACCAGTGGCTTGCGAGGGGCTCTTGGGCCTTTGGCCACAGACTAAATGTTGTATTGTTGGCTTCCCTACTTTTGAGGTTTGGAGATGCGGACTGGCTTCCTTGTTCCTCAGCTTGCAGATGGCCTACTGTGCGATTTCACCTGGTGATCATGTGAGTCAATACTCCTTAATAAACTCCCTTTCATATATACATCTATCCTGTTAGTCCTCTCCTTCTAGAGAACCTTGACTAATACACTGCATCAGGTTCTTGCTTTATACGTGCAATATTATTCATTCTCGGTTAGACTTTATCTTTTATTATCTAGCATCTCTTTTCACTACATATTCTTTAAGTTTTCTTCAAATGCCAGGACATCTTTGGTTGTTCAGTCATAGACACCATTTATGATAGCCCCTTCCACCATTAATTTAAAATCTCTTGGGTAAAATGGAAAGGGAAAGGAAGGGAAGGGAAAGGGAAAGGGAAGGGGAAGGGGAAGGAGAGGGGAAGGAGAGGGGAGGGGAAGGGAGGTCAGGGGAGGGGAGGTTAGGGGAGGGGAGGGAAGGGGAGGGGGAGCTAGAAAGTCTGACTACGACATGTGGGATTTCTCCATGTGGATGAAGTTATTTAAAGGCAGGTTTCTTTTTAGGCTGAGCAGGTGTAGGAAGCCCGATGCAACCAGGGTGACCCCACATAGACAAAGGCTTAACTCTGGGTTCGACTCTCACAATTGTCATCCTAGTTCTCCCATGGCAGCTACTCCCTCTGCCCCAACCCCATTTCTTTAGAGAATAACTCTGTAATTATTTTTCTTCTGATCATCCAGGAATTTCAGCATTCTGTAGCAGGAATGGGAGATCAATAATCTTGTATGTAAGCCTTCAGTGTATGCCCCTATATTCAGGCCCTTCCATAAGCTTGCCCTCAGTTATAGTGTTTCCAAATTCCTGACAAATATTAATCTTTGGTATTCAGGAAAGGTCAATCAGAATTGGCAGGAATTCTTAGGAATTTCCAAACTTATAAGTAGTTTTGCATTTTTCATAACACATTATTTATATGTTTTAAAATAATAAAAATAATCAAACTGCAACCATGAAAATTTTTCTGTGATGGGATCACACTAAATGTTTCAGAGATTTTCTGTAACAAAAACAGCATGATAAATACATGGCTTGTTATTATATACTCATATATTGTGATGAAATATCTTTCAATAACATGTGAAAATAATTTCTTCCTGATAAAGACGTTTGATAATAAAAAACATCAAAAAAAGGCAACTCCACCAATCAGCGTTTCCTGCTCTTACTTTTGACTTGACATCAATAGTGTCATGGGCTGAATTGGGTCCCCCTAAATTTTATATGTTAAAGTCCTAACCCTACAAAATGTGACCACAGAATGTGGATGTATTTGGAGATAGGGTCTTTAAAGAAATAATTAAATTAAAATGAGGTCTTTAGGGTGAGCACACTAATTCAGTATGACTAATGTCCTTATAAGAAGAGGAAATTTGAGAACAGATGTACATGGAGGGGGGACTATGTGAAGACACAGGCCCAGAAGAGAGGCCTCAGAAGAAACCAATCCTGCTGACACCTTGATCTCAGACTTCTAGCCTCCTTGTGAGAAAATAAATTTCTGTTGTTTAAGCTCCCCATTCAATGATTCTTTGTTATGGCAACCTTAGCGAATCAACACAAGAGGATGCCTCCAAATGAGTAGCGCTTTTACGTTGAATGTTAAGCTTTAATTCTTGCATTCCTGATTTTGCAACTGATTTCTTTTGGGATTCAGAACTTGTGAAAGTGTGTACATTCTCCCAGAAATATCAGGAAGAAATGTCTACTTGTATTTGTCAAATCTGAGCTTTTCCATAGGACAGTTAATCTGCTACAAACTGTCCACATTAGTTCAACATTGAAGTTGCCTTGTCAATTTCCTGGATCCGCTCTTCAATCCACCGCCCGTCTTTCCCCAGAAATGTACTGTAATCTCTTGACCATTTATGGCTCCCTTTTTCTTGTTTTGATGGCATGGGACAATATTTCTTTGGCAAGGAAAGGGAGACATGTTCATGAGCTCAATATACCATATTAAACCTGAGAAACTCCAGGAATATTATGTCTCTCCTTTTTTTTTTTTTTGGCAGATTTTGTGTGTATCTACTGAAAGGAAAGGAGAAGATAGAATGTTATTTTCAGATCTATAGAGAATGATTTCTAACATAATTTTAGAGGGCATTAATCTTAGTCTCACTTCAAACTCATGTATGCAGCAATATGGCTGAATTTTTATAACTGAAATTAATTTGTATCCTAAACAGCCCTTATGTTAAAAAAATACTGAAAAAATAATTTCAGTCAATTTTATAATCATCTTAATCAATTCAGGATTACCCTAGCAAATCTGGGTTTTGACACTTCCTCTCTTCCCGGAATTAAACTCATGTCCCAACAAGCATTTTATTTCAGTGGTTTGCTGATGCAGATTTCCCTAAAGCAGTGGGCGCTAGACTCAAATTCTATTCTTTCTCACTTCCACCAGTCTAAATCCAGATCTTTATTATCTCACCCCTGATAAATGTACTCTACATACCATTTTCCCAAGCTGTAGGGTGGTCTCCACATGACTCCAACCACTACATTATTCTGGAGTAAGGATCTTAAACAGCAGGTGCTGAGCACTGTGAAATTTCATGCATGGGCATGTAAGATTTGGTGAATGCTCTGAAAGTATTATATGTGTGTGTGTGTGTGTGTGTGTGTGTGTGTGTGTGTGTTTGCATGTGTGTGTATATACACATATGTATTTCTGGAAAAAGGTCCCTAGTTTTCATTAAGTTTTCAAAATAATAAAAAATAATCTTGGACTACTTAATTTGACCCATTTTTCTAAGTTACCTCAGTCATCACTGGACTCTAAGTATAAGAAACATATTTTCCTAGTTATTTACTCTCCCACTCATCCAGCAAACTCTTTCATATTTTTCTTTTACTTTCTTCACATCTCCTCACTTATCCTTACTCTCAGCTATTTCCCTGAGAAAACAGGTGTAATCAGAACTGGTGTAAACTTCCACCAGTTCTTCCATTCATCCACCTCGGACCCAACCACTCTGCCTGTTAGTGTGGTTGAAGAGAGCTTGTGCCAAGCAAAGGTCAATCCCTCTATTTTTGAATCACCCACTTCCTCTCTCTTCTCAAGGACATCACTCAAGTAAAACCCCACTTTACCTTCTGCATCACCAATTTTCCCTATCTTGCATCTCTCCCCTCAGCATGCAAACGTGCTTTTGATGTTTCTCTGACATAAAGCCAAATTGACACCTTCTGATATGGTTTGGCTGTGTCCCCACCAAATCTCATCTTGAATTGTAGCTCCCACAATGCCCGCGTGTTGTGGGAGGGACCCGGTGGGAGGTAATTGAATCATGGGGTGGGTCTTTCCCATGCTGTTCTTGTAATAGTGAATAAGTCTCATGAGATCTGGTGGTTTTATAAGGGAGAGTTTCCCTGCACAAGCTCTGTTTTTGCCTGCTGCCATCCTCGTAAGATATGACTTGCTCCTCCTTGCCTTCTGTCATGATTGTGAGGCCTCCCCAGCCATATGGAACTGTAAGTACATAATTTGTCTCCTTTGCATTTATCACTTTCTAAAACAATATATATTTTACTTGACTATATTTTACTTGACTATTTTATTATCTGTTTCAAATCAAAGAATGCAAGCTCCATGAGGGCAGGAATTTTGATCTGTATTATTCACTACTATATCATCAGAACTTAAAATGGTGCTGGGTAGATAGTAAGTTCCTTATAAATTCTTGCAGAAGAATTAAATAAATGAATTGTAATCTACCCTGCAGCAGGATTTGGCTCTGTTAATGATACCCTCTTCCTTGAAAGATCTTCTTCACTTGTTTTCCAGATGACATGGTCTCCAATTTTTCTCCTATTTCAATAGCTTCTTCTTCCAGTCCATTTTTATCCCATTTGTTTCTCAAAACTCCAAACTCTTAATGTTGGCATGCCCCAGGATTATTGGCTGAATTGTGTCCCCAAAAATTCATATGTGAAAGTCCTTAACCCTAGTCCTTCAGAATGTAGCCTTATTTTCAGATAGGGTTTCTACAGAGGAAATCAACTTAAAATGAGATTATTAGCATTGGCCCTAATCCAAAATGACTGATGTCCTTATGTAAAGTGAATATTTGGAGACATGCTACCTGAAGGTCATGGCAGAGATAGAAGTGATGCTTCTATCAGCCAAAGGTTGCCTGCAAACCACCTGAAACGAGAGGAGAGGCATGGATCAGATTCTTCCTCACAGCTCTCAGAAGGAGCCTGCCCTGTTGACACCTTGCTCTAGCGTTTTTTGTCTCCAGAACTGTGAGACAATTGATTTCTTTGTTTGAGACACCTGGTCTGCGGTGCCTTCTTATGGTGGCACTAGGAAATAAAAACACTCAAGGATTATGTGTTGAGGTTTCTGTTTTTGTTGTGTTTTGTTGTTTAGCAACACTTGGTCTCTTGCTGATCTCGTCCAGTCTTGTGTTTCTAAATCCCGTCTATATGCGAAATCTCCCACTTGCCCATCTGCAGCTCAGCATCTCCTCTTCATGACATCTCCAACTCCCTACTCAACATCTGCCTTAGTGCATCCAAACTAAGCTCACCTTTCCCTGAACCCTCGTTCCTCCCAGTCTTCTCTGTCTATAGCAATCCCATCCTTCAAGTTGCCTCAGGTGATTTACCTTGGATGTCATTCTTGACTTTCCTCCTTCTTGAACTCCTGGCCTCAAGCAATCCTCCTGCCTCAGCCTCCCAAAGTACTAGGATTACAGGCATGACCCACCATGCCCAGCCTCTCCTATTTCTTGTCTTCAACCCATTCTCAGAAAACCTGACTCTTCTTTCAAGATCTATTCAGATATACTTCTCAATACCTCCAGTGCTTCTGCCTTGGTGGCACCATCATCTGCCACTTGATTTATAGCACTTGCCCCCTAGTTTGTACCCCTGCTTCCACCCTTAGCACTCCTTCACTCTTCTCTCATTAGAGTATCCAGAAAGATCCTGTTAAAGTGCAGTTCAGATAATATCACACCTCTGTCCAAAACTCTGCCATACCTCATCTCACTTCACAAACAATTACAGTGGCCTGTGAGGCCCTACAAGGTCCAGTCCTTAGTAACTTCTTTGACCTCCTCTCCTACTGAGTCCCTGTCCAGCATACTCTGCTCCAGCCACATGGGCTTCCTTGCTCTCCAGATATGTCAGGACTGTTCCCTCATTTGCACTTGCTGTTCCCTCAGCCCAGAACAATCTCTCAGATAGCTACATAGCACATCATAGTCATTCAGTGAATATTTCTTCAATGAATTTCTTGAAGCAATAGGGAATAAATTGAAAAGATTCATATTAATAAAATAAAATTAAAACTCTTTAGTTACACACTCAAATTATGGCTCCATTTCATCTTTACAAGCTTTTTATGTACACTTAACACTTAGAAATTGTCTGTTTTCACTGCAGTGCTTCTCATAAAAATGTCACTTAATAAATATTTAATAATTTGAAGAATCAGATAAGAAAAAGAGATACAAGAAGCTCAATTTACTTCAACTTGTGAAAACTACTTTGCAATTACTGGTACTTCTAGACTAGTTCCTCCTGATGTGGCCATTTGTCCTAATTGTAGAAAATGAAACCAAGCAAAACTTTGCCTTATGGGGATAATGCTTCTTCATTAATGGTTAGGGTCTGACTCTCGCTCTCTTTATTATTTCTTTAAGCTTTTTGGGTGAGAATTTAAGATCCAAGCCTGGAATTATTTTTAATCGCTGCATACATTTATTCTTTCCTTGTTTTATATTAATAGAGTCTTAGTTTTAAGTTGGGTACATGATCACCCAGAAAAAGAAAAGAAAACATACTACATTTCCCAGCCTCTCTTGCAAATGACTGTGGCCATAAGACTATGTACTAGTAAAGGGGATGTTAGTATAAGATATCAGTTCAAAGAGAACTGGCATATAATATTTGCTCCCTTTTTTCTTCCTATAGCCTGCTGCCTGGAATGCATATGTGATGGCTGGAATGCTAGCTCTAATTTTGGATCATGAGGAAAAGTGCCACACCATTGGAGATGAGGGATGAGCTGGAAGGGGTGTAAGTTATTGAGGGTTTTGCTGAGCAGAACCATTATAATAACCCTGACATCTTACTTCTTGACTTACGTGAGAAAGAAATTTCTCTTTTATTTTAAGCCATCATTATTTTAGAACTTGCACACAATCAAATACCACAAAAGCTATCTAGTGCCTAGAACTTTAGAGCTAAAATGAGTTACTGCTGAATCATATAAAATAATCAAACAAAAAAATTATCTGCAATCATAAGCAAGGTCTTTATTTTCTCTCTTTGATTTCTTAAAATTATTTTGGAAAAATAGTTGTGTCTCCAAATGTACTTTCACAGAAGGAAGCTCATATGACCAAAGCAATATTCTGAGTCATTATGGCAAAAATATTTATTATTGAACAACTGAGTGTTTCATTCACTTCACATTTTACACATACTTAACACAAGCAGAAAGGGAAGTTTCAGTGTCAGAAGCAGGGGTCGTTCTCCTTAACTGAAAGACTATCAGGAGAGAGCCTTTGGTGATTAGCAATCCAAATTTGAGATTTTTTAAAACACCATTAAAAATAAAGGTTGCCTATAAAATATGGAAACACATAATATTTTCTGAAAATCTTTTTGGAAGAATGTCTTTTTATCTTCATTGTTACTATCTTAGACATTTTGAGGTTTATTTAACACAGCATTCCATCTGCTTAACATTCAAATTTAGACACACTGATTATCTGTTCTACTCTCCTGAATAGTTAAGTACACTCTATAAATAAACACATCAATTTTGCTCTATTACTACTCTTCCAAAAACGTCTCATATAATTGGAATTAACCTAGCATTTACTTATCATTAAATATATTTTTTTGTTAGAAAGGATATACAGCATATGAAATTGCAGGCTTTTTATGAGTTAAAGACAAAATTTAGAACTCTCAAATACTATTTACAATGTAAACTTCACAGTTATTACATTAGCTAGAATACATCACAACATTCACAACACAATATTTTTATTTGGTTTGGATATTGAAGTTGTTTTCTTGAATTACTTATGTAGAACTCAAAATTTAATTATGTTGCGTATCATTTTCCTTCAAGAATTCTGAAAAAGAAAAAATTGTTGCTTTAGGCATAAAATATATTTTATTTCTAGCATCTTAGTTTCATTCACTGATTTACTTATCTGATAAACACTTATTTCTCTTTGTCCCTTGTTAACAGCCTGTGGCAGGGGATCATGTCCTGGGACATACCAAGAGAGCAGCTTCTAGAGGACTGATTATCAGAGAGGAACTGGAATGTGAAAAGACGTCTAACTAACCATTATTAATGATTCACTTGTAATTTTCACTAATGGATGACCCACATGATTTCCTCTTCAAAGAATTTGTCCAAAGCCACCCATTTAAAAAAGAAAAGAATGGAGGATGGAATCTCATAAGTGATCTTACCATTTACAAAGCACAGTGTGATTAATCAATTCTCCTTTATATTTTAGTGCCTACCGTGTTTCTTAATTTGATGGAGAAGCCTTCTTATAAACACTCTTAGAAAAGCTATATGTAATTAACTTTCTTCTTTGAGCAAAGGGACTTGTTTCTCTGAGATGTCTATAAAAGATAAAGAGTTGATGTGGGCCACACTCCTGCCTCTGCTTTCTCTTAGAGGTCTAAGGGTAATTAGTGGACAAAAGCAGTCAATTAAGCAGGTATCTTCCCAGACACCATGTCCACTCTTGATGACTGTTGAAAACCTTAGATAACCCCATCAGGAACTGAGGTAAGGCCATGAATTGCCTTTAGTTTGAGCATGGGTGAATTTAATCTCCTTAACCTAGTTAGGGATTGGAATCTGGCTCACCTTCAGGTTTTATGAATAAAGTTTTATTGGAACACAGTCACTCCTATTCGTTTTACATCTAACTGTGGCTGCTTTTGTGCTACCATAGCAGAGTTAAGTCACTCTAACAGAAAATAGATGGCTCACAAAGCCAAACATATTTTACTCCATAGCCCTTTAAAATCTGCTAACCTTTGATATGGTGACAGCATGAAATTTCTTTAAGCACTTGCCCAGTATTATAGATTTTTTATGAGCGAATGTGAATATTAATGTAATGTAACTCAGGAAAGAAATATGTCTTGAACCCACATTTATATAAAATCAATTTTGATAGCAAGCTTATTACTTCACAAAGAAAAAAAGTCTATCCATGTTTTTTCTGCTCAAAAAAAATGTTGGCAGAGAATGCTATTAGAGTCATATAGGTAAAACAAACTTACAGGTAAAACAAGCTAAATTTAACTTTTGCTCTATGAAGTTTGCCATGTTTCAAGGAATATAGTTAGACCCAGAATGCCTTGATATTTTCATAGTAATGGGCCATGCTCTAATTTGGTGCTATTTCCCTATACTTAATTGAGGAGCTAACAGTCAATTGTGAGACTAAACCTTCAATTAATAAAAGCAGCATGGGTCGATCCTCAAAAGGAAAGCCCATTTTTCTTGTCAGTGTGAGTCAGCCTCCTCTGTTTTTTTATCTTGATACAAAGGTAGAAATAACCCCAAGTAAGCCAGGAACACTATTCAGATCTCAAAACGTTTGCTTATTGTGAGTGCTCTCTTTTACAAGATCAAAAAAATTTCATGAATCATTCTAAGCTGTTTACTGGGTTGGGGTCCACTGTTGTAGAAGTGTCTGTCTTGGATGAGGTCTCATGATGAGAAACTATTTAACCCTAAGATGTTTCTTACTAAGTGACTCTTAGCTACTTATATAATCAGAGACAGCCATAAGAATACAGAAGGAATGCACGAATATACCCACCACTGGGAAGTTGTCATCAGCTTTGCTCCAAAGGTCTTTTTCATCATTTTTCTAACTCTTCTGGAAAGTCGGGAGATTCTCCCTCACTGCTGCAGACCAGAAAAACATTGTACATATTAAGGCTCTCAGATGAGAAAGGGTCTAAAGAAACTATTATGACATAATGAATGTGCTGTTCTCTGTGCTCTGAAAGTGTATGGGGAGGCTAAACAATTATCTTTGAGGTTTGTTAGTACCTATGAATTATTCATCAATCTTAGAGTTTCTAAAATTATTCTCACAGAATTATCATCTAGTGGGCAAAGAGGTCATCTTGTCTGATCACACCCAAACAGAATTATCCTTAATACTCATCACTTAAACAAAAACAATTGGAATAAAAAGACAGAACACTACACTGTTTATGTATTGTGTCCAATATTTACACACCATAGAGAGATATAGATTTTACAGAATCTAAATATACAAAATACCTAATGGTTTAATTTGATTAAATAACAGTAGTGAATATGCACACGAAGTGAGTTCCATGTGTTACCAAATTGCAATTGACTATGCTTTACATGTTTTAAAAATCATCACTTTTGATGAAACTTGCTCTTAGATTCAGACTAGATGTCTGTATAGTCATCATTTTTAACACTGGCAGCATAGTAAAGTCAACTGGGGAACTCTTAAAAGAAATGTATGTCTAGGGCCACACCACCGAAGACACCGATTTCCTGGCAATTGGTTTGGGAGAAGGCCCAGACATCTGTATTTTTAAAGTTCTGCGGGGTAGTCTAATGTCAGCCAAGGTTGAAAATCACTGCTTCACGTAGTATAGCTAGATAAGTGAGATAGAGAGGTCTCCATGTGCAGCTTCTATTTTGAAAGTCAGTCATGATTCCTCATTTTAGCAAGTTCTCTTTTTCTTTACCTCCTCTTTCCATTCAGAATTGAGTTCAAATATTTCTTTACAGCCATTTGTTTTCTAAGGCGGGTATAGTTGTCAGTGAAGACTGCATCTGAGTGACGTTTGACTGGTACAGGGTCTTCTGAGATGTTACTGCTAAGGAACATGAGGAAAAGGAAATCAAAGAGTTTTCACAAGAAATGATAAATACACACATGTTCCAGGTTTCTTGGAGCCACATAAAAAGCAATTCCCACCCAACTAATTTTCTATCATAAAAAGACTAAAAGAAAAATACAACTAAACCTAAGGATGAAGGAAAGCAAGGAATCATCTGCCATATTTTGGCATGGCCTGGGACTGTTTTATGACACATTCTGTACAGCTGAGCAAATAATTCATCCAAAAATAAAAATTTGGGAATAGCTGAAGTTGTGCTCTGCCATTGGGAGAAATTTTTTTTTTTTTTAAAAAAAACATAATTACTTCTTTAGAAGCTATGCTACCCTGAGCAACGTCATCTAAATATTTGACTGTTGGCCATTTGGAATTCTCCATTTAATTTGAGCAGGAAGTAAAAAGAATATTCTGTTTGACCTTAAAATTTACCTCAGTCTGTACTATCTCTTTTTGATTGTTTTACTGAGTCTTGTTCAATTTGATTGCAGATTGCTAAATGATTGCTACTTGAGAAAAATGTGTGTCTGGAGTCAATGAATATGATATTATGAAAAAGTCTTAGTCCATGGGCTTGATAGATGTTATTGAAGAATACAAGTTATTTCATTTAACTAAATTAAACATTATCAACGAGTTTTCAATTTCAAACAAAGTAAATAACTTGTTAAGAGTGAAAATACAATATTCAGATTGAATAATGATAACATATTTTATAAAAATAATAAATTCTCTTTACCTAACACGTTTTCCCATAAGAGACTCAAGGTACTTTTTGGCAGAAAGTTGACCCAAGAGTTTACTGAAGTCACTGGTGAAAACTCCATCAGCATGCCTGGCATTTCTAAAACAAGGAAGAAAAAAATAGCTATTATTTTGTAAATGGCTTTCTAGAATATTATTATGGCTTATTAAATAACAAAAAAATTATGGGCTTATTATGAAAGCTTCTCATTAAAACTAAAGTTCAAAAGGAGATTTCTTAACACCCTAACAAAAGAGATCTTCTAGTCACTTATATCAAGATATACCCTATATTTCTAGCCCAAGACACTGAAAAATTAAAGAAACAGGCATTTCTAGGAGCACATTTCAATATTCCTCCATGGTTGAATCTTTATAACTATTTCTTTCTAAGAAATATTGGTGTAAAAATATGATCTATTTAAATTAGCTGCTATTTGTACATGGTGCTTTGTGTCTGCCCCACTGAATAAAGACATTCACAATGGGAAAATATTCTGATTTTGGAAAGTTCATAAACCCCAGTACACCTTTTTTTTTCTTTTTCCAAAATATTTGGAAACAAAATCTCTTAAGATAGAGAAGGCATTAAGGCCTATCATCCCACCTTTTCTCTTTCAAATGAAGCACCTTTTATACTTTGTCTGTACCAAGTACTATAGAGCTACTTGGTCTGTACTTGAAATGATGCTCTAGACAAACAGCTCTATGAATGAACAGCTCTATCAGGTATCTTTTCTTTATATAGAGACAAAACTCCTTGGCAACTCTTCCATCATTGGAATGCTAAATGCTGTACTTTTATCAGAATTGGTACAATCTGTGATGTTGGAATTATGTGCAACAGAATGGAAGTGAATGGTGTGTTCATCCTGGCTTGTTACAACCTTTCAGTATGAAAATTATGTACAGCTGTAAGATCTGCAGTAAATCAGGATGAATGAAGCCATGACACATAGAAACCTCTAGTGTTTTGCTATCGGAATAGCTTCATGGTGAGATAAAATAAGCACGTTTATAGTTCTTAAACACATTTTCTAAAATAAAACTCATTGGATAGTTTTATAAAAATAAACTCACCTGGATACATCATAATAGGGTGTGTCATTTTCAGCTAATGCATTTTGCAACATGTCAATGTCTTCTTTTAATGAAACTTGATCAGGTTCATTTGCTCCCTCAAAGGGTATTCTGTCACCCAACCTGATGGGGAAAGTTACACGAGAATAATACATTCTTTTTTCAGAAGACAGTGTGTATGGTTCCGCAACCATTTAAAATAAGATACTTAGACTCTTGGGAAGTATTACCCAGTCATAATATGAGAATAGCATAATTTGACTTAATGGCTCATATAGTTAATGAGAGTATAAATAGGAAATTCCTATTATCCTATAAAGTAGATGCCATATGACTTTTATAAGCTGAATATACAAAACACAAGAGCTACTTAATTCAATCTTATCAGAGCATTAAGCAAACTATACTTCTTTGGTGTAATTTACTATGCCAAGAATATCTTCACTTTGCAAAGTCAAATTTCGTATGTAGAAATATTTTATGCAAAATAGAAACTTGCAAAAAACTAATATTGAATGAGAACTGATAACAATTTATGGATTTGGTGATGTTCAGTATTACCTGTTCCAAACATCTCTGAAGAACAGAGTATTAACTGCTTCTCTCTCTCTCGACCCCCAAGCTTTGCTTCAAATATTTACTTTGGCATTATATATTTCTCTGTATTGACAGAGTTCAAAGAATGTCTCCATAGATGGATAGCTCATCTATGAAGATGAATTTGAATTCAATAAGTTTTATGGGGCCTTCTTTTTTCTAATCTTATGTATTAACACAACTTTAATAAGGGATGTACAATGTTACACTGAAAGACTAAGAATAGTCAAATGCATATATGGAATATGACTATATTTATGGATGCATGCATATTTCAATCACCGGCAACTCTTATAATTTTGTGTGTGCAGATTTTCACTGTTAGGGCAAACATCCAAGGAGCGTGTCAGCTCCTGGACACTTGTGTATCTTTCAGTGATTTGGGAGTTGGGAGTCACTAGCAACTAGTCCTCTGTGGGTCTGAAGCTTAGCAATCAACACAAATGTCCACATTCTTGTGATTGTTCATCTGCTGTGGTAGAACTATTCAGATAGAACCATTTTGTTTAGTTATCAAAGCAACGCAGGAGCTGTATTTAAACAGATTTCACAGAGAACACTAATAGCTAAGAGGTTATTCTCTCTGTTGAGCATAAGTCTACCTTAAGCAAAAAATCAAGAATGACCTAATAAGCAAAGAAGGAAACCAACCCAATTATTATTTTTCCTTTGGAGATACAGTGGTGCCCGTAAACTGAAAGGAAAATTCAAGCTAATATAGTTTTCATTTATTGTTTACTTCTTTAGCATACATTAATAAAGTTTTAAATAAGAGTTGTGTTATACTTTATGGATTTGGAATATATAATATAACATATAGAACAATAAAACTAAGGATTTATGGTCCAAACAAAGTATATCAAAATTTTCCTATTGGGGGAGTGTATCTCAATAGATCAATTACCCCATATTTAATATTGGCAAATTGACTCTGCCTAGATAGATTTCTGTGCAACATGATTTTATACATGTTTCACTAATCAACTACTAGTCTTATGATTATTTACTGATTAATCTTGAAAATAAACTCAAATGTGGTTGGCAACTAAACAGCTTTTTTCCACCAGAAATTGAACTGACTTGAGATAACAATGGATAAAAGCTTATTATTTATCTAAAGATGGTTTTGAATAAAAAGAAAGTGAAAGCCTCCTTTCACCATGTTTGGGAATGTGATCCACTCAGCCCATAAAACTAATAACTGACAGTGTCTCTCATGCCCTGAAAGTGAATTCCAGGACTCAGAATGACCTGATGTTGACAAACACCTCTCACTCAACACATCAAGGAAAAATTTAAATACATAATACATAATTTATACTATTTAGTTGTCCAACAAAATGTATAGGAAATTCCCATTTAGATGAGGAAGGAATGTTCAGATGTTTGAATTGAAAGGGAACTTACCTGAGAGCAGAAGGTGCCCTGTAAAGAGGCCATGCCGAAGTCTGTGAGAAGAGCACACTGAGAAGAGTCAGGAGCACAAGGAGCTGGGCCTTATTTCTGGTGTCCATTTCTGTGCCTCTAAAGAGAGAGAATCACCTCAGTTCTTCCAGCCAAAGATGTCACCAGCAAGGTAATTCTGATTGTCTAGCAGTAATTTTCAATGGCTCTTGCAGAGTTTGTAAAGAGTAATTTTCATCTTGTAGAAAGAGTTAAATTGCAAGATGATACATTCAAAAATCAGTATTTCTCTCAGTGACAGGTGCTTGAATAAAAATTAGAATCCTTTTCACCTGCTGTCTGGGCACATGGTTGGCCCCAGTATCTATTGAATGCCATACTTCTATAGTGCTGGAAATAACCCTGGGGACAATCTTTTCATAACAGGGATGTACCACTCAAGCTTAGTGTATTTTTTGACGAAGGAAACAGCTTCAAGACATTGATTTTCTTCTGCTTTAAAATTTCAGTATCTGACTAATATAAGACTAGAGTATCATCTATTTAATAATTATTCTGCTCGTGTGTGTGCAAATGTATAAATATAATGTGTATATATACATATAATTTTAAAAAAGATTTTGTATATACATTACTTTTTCCTCTTTCAATTGTAGATATTACGGAAACTTATTTCCTTACACCTGGATTTGAACTTCTTAACTCAGTAGTGAATATTAATACTCAAAATATTACTGAATCATATGTTGTCATTGAAATAAATTTTTCCATAAGAGGAAAATATATATTAAAAGCAAAGCTTGCATTTCTTGCATTTAATCAACTTACACATTTCATTTCTAGTTTCTAGATTAAAAGCCTAGGAGTAAGGTCTGTTTCTCTTGCTGCCTATAAAAATTATGGAATTTAAACTTAAGGAAAAAATAAATGCATCTTAGATTCACTTAACCAACATACGAAATAGGAAAAAAAAAGCACTTTAAAAATAAGTTGAAAATTTCAAAAGCAAATGTTCCCACTGAAATTTTCAGTCAAAAATCTACATACAAGTAAACTTTACTTGAATGAATTATTTGTAAAAATCAGTATTCAGTAAAAGAGCAAGCAGGGTAAAGCATCTTACAAACAAAAGAATTCAGAAAATCTATCCATATGAGAGAAATTGAAGTATTTCTATCCTTACCAGGTGACTTGAGAAACTTGTTTTTTGCTGTTGCAAAAGCAAAGCACTATCAAATTCTTTTCAAGAGAGAAAAATTCATTATTTTGTGAGAAAAGTTCCAGAGGCAGGAGGGAAAAAGAAGAGGAAAGGTAAAGTTTTCACTTACCTCGCCCAGTCGTGCTCCCCCGGAGCTGACTGTTCTGGTTTGTTTTGGAGCTGTCTTAGGTGCTGAAGTCCTGGGAGTAAGAGAAAGGCTCCACCAGTTCTCTGCCCTTAGCAATGGCTAAGGGTTGGCTGTTACTGCCTGCTGGTGCTTCTCACTCTACCCTGACCAGCATTTCAAAGCCCATCATTTTATAGGGCTTATACTTAGGACTGAGCAATCACAAAGTGCTCTGAAAGACGTCACAGTATGACGGCCATGGGATGAATAGGGCTTGAAGTTCTTACTTAATTGTCATTATGCCTAATTTATATAAGTTTATAGTGAGCAACTTCAAAATGTAAGATAAGAGGAAATTTACTTTTCTTTAAACAAACAAAGTAGCAAGCTCAATGTGAAATGTTTTAACCTTTAATTAATTGTAAAATAAGAAAATGATTGTAGTGTTATAGCCAGGGCCATTGGGATTCCTTCAGAAAATAAAGACTTCATGTGTAGAAACAAATGCATAAAGCAACAAACACTTATGTTCATTACGCTTATAAAAGTATAATTATACTTTATTACAAAGTATCAATTCTCTTAATATTTTTAATTTTTATGCTATTCATATAGTTCCAGATTTAATCTTTCTTGAAATCTATCCTAACTTTAAAAGCTCTAGAGATAATTTTCACCTTCCTATTATTACATTTCGTCTTTGTTGAAACTAATTCCAAGATAAGTGTTTCAGAAAGTCTCTAAGATAGTAAGATATGCACGCTGTTGTACAAAGCAGTACAAGTAGTGCTATTTCATATTTGTATAAAATGGCACAATTCCCAATGCACTTTTACATACACTGTGTCAAATGATCCAAAAAATAAATTGTTGTCAGGCTATATACCTCAAGGAATTTAATTGTCTTTTCTTTTTAAAGATTTTCCTCATCACTTTTATAAGTCTTTGCATAATGTAGAATTAGTTTTCTACCCTCATCCCCAACACACACACATACTCAAACCAGTTTTGAACATTTCTGATTCAATCACTTGACAGGTGGCTTCAAATAGTTGAAAAGCATTTATATAGTACTTTGATAAATACTTCACTTCTATTTGTGGATTTGTAACTAAAGGTAGTCTAGCACACATTCAATCAGAGTTTAAGGTAAAAATGCAGCCACATGAAAAATTTCCTAAACAACAGAGGAAAATGCCATTTTTCCTTTTATTTTAAAGGCTTTCTGCCATGTGTATTATTTTTACATTTTGTTTCTAAGTTTCATAAGACAGAATGGCTTTACAGTCCTCTTTCTTCTACTTTAAGATTGTAGTATCTATTTCCTTCGTTCAAAGTCAGACTGATCCAGTAAAAGAATATCCTGCTATGCTTAATCATATTTTCTAATCCAGTTACCAGAAAAATTAAATGAATTAAGTTTCAAAATGTCTGGAAATTTGTTTCCCAGTTGACAGCTCTGACTTAAGCCAGAGTTCCTGTGGCTTAATTCCAGGAAATCTTTTTTACCTGATTATTACAAACTAGAGGTTGAAACAGTTCTCATATGGAATTTTTTTATCCTTAGCTCTTCATCACCCAATTCTTAGTGAACCAATTTTATTTAAGAGCAGAAACAGCAAAGCAACTTAATTGAGGGTCACAGACAAATGACTGCTGAATGATAAGAAGAAAAATTTTAAACATAAAAGATGTAAAGCTGATCATTATTTGGCCTAGGCAAGCACTTAGCATTTACAAAGAGTAACTATAGTAGCTTTTCCCAATACAAAAGACAATTGCTTCTATTATAATAATAATAAGATAAAATAAAAAGAAATAATTCAATTTTATTACCTCTGAATAAAAGTAAACTCAACCAAACAACTGCATTTTCTCTTATGAATTTAAACTAGAAAGCAAAACAATTTGAAAATGGAATCATAGCACCATCTGCAGGTTCAAAGTTTTAATTCACAGACTTTATAGAATTGTGTTTATTTCTTCTTTTCTTTCAAGGAAATGAATTGTAAACCAGAGGTCCTGTAGCCAGCTTAACTTTTGGATGCTTCCAGAAAAAATAAACATAAGAAAAAGTACTGCAGTCAAATTTATCCTGAATTCTCGGTTACCATAAAACTTAGTAAATAAGTACAAAGATACAAACTTGAATTTACTGTTTAAATGTGTCTTTTCCGTACTTTGACATATTCTTCCATAATTTGCCTACATTTCTGGCAAAGTTTATTTTTGCCTTAGGCCTTCTCAGTAAAGTGATGTTTGTAATAAGGGGAACTATAATTCATTCACATGGATAGAAAAATCTTCAAGATCCTTCTTTTACAAATAAGTAAACTGATCTCCAGAAAGTTTCAGTAATTTTTGCCACTCAGGTGGTTAATAACAAATACGAGATTGGAAGATAGACCGTCTGATTTTGAGTCAGCATTCTTTCAATTTAGAATTGGTAATATTCTGTAATTGTTGCTATCACCTTTTTGATGCTAGCAGGTCAGATATGGAAATTGACAGCTCATAAAAATATTGGCATCTCCTCTCCCCTTTTTTCACCAACAGAACCAAGAGCAGGGAAATAAAACTGGCATTCTAAATTCAAACATACTGGATGCAAGGAAATTAGATGGAAGGGATTTTCAAGCTCAGGATATTAGCAGAAATCCAAATTTGCCTTTTTTTCTTTAGTGCAAAATACTAATAGAGGGTCCATATTCTTATTATGGATTAAATGCCTAAGCTTGTGCTCTTCTGCCTCTTTTTATGGTGGTTTTACCTGCCTAATTCACCCTATTTCACCTCCAGTCCTGAGACTTAGCCAATGTCTGCGTTGGTAATCCTGAGTGGGTAAGTCTAGATCAGAGGTCTGGAAACTACAGGCTGTGAGCTAAATAGACTGACCCCTCTGGATTTTGTTTGTTTGTTTCTTCATTCATTTGTTTTTGTTTGTTTACATCTCTCAAGCTAAGAATGATGTTTATATTTTTAAATGGTTAAAAAAATTAAATGAACTTTTTGTGACACATGACAATTATACGTTATTATTTTATTTTATTTTGAGACGGAGTCTCATGCACTCTATCATCCAGGCTGGAGTACAGTGGTGCAATCTTGGTGCACTGCAACCTCTGCTTCCCAGATTCAAGCGATTCTCGTGCCTCAGCCCCCAGAGTAGCTGGGACCACTGGTGCCCACCATGTTGGTCGGGCTTTGGTCTGGAACTCCTGAGCTCAAGTGATCCGCCTGCCTCGGACTCCCAAAGTGCTGTGATTACAGGTGTGAGCCACCTCCCTGGCCAAAACTTATATATAATTTAAACGTCAGTGTCCATAAATAAAGTTTTGTTGGAACATAAAAGCATTTCATCATATATGTATTCTCTATAGCTGCTTTTGTGCTACAACGGCAAAGTTGGATAGTTGCAACAAACTGCACAGCTCTCAAAGGTTAAAATAATTACTATTTGATCTTTCACAAAAAAAGTTTTTCAATCCCCTAGATCCTCCTGTTTGGCAGATATTTAAGATGATATGTTTGCTTTAATAGTCTTAAATCCAATATCTTTCAATAACTTGTATTAGGAAATATATATTTGCGTATATATATTTTATATACCTAATGTATAATGTATTATGTACTGTATATGTTATATATACATAAATACATATATTCTATACAATATATTATACATGTATATATGTATAACATACAGAATATATACATACATTTAATATACATGTATACTTTTACTAAAAGTGTACATTTGCATAAGATGTATATACATACGTATATTTGTATAGCATATTAAAAGTTTATATATTTAAAGCATCTATATTAGAGTATATATAAACACTTTCAATTCTTTTAAATTAGAAAATTTGAACTTATTTTCAGGATTTTGTATTCTTGTCATATTAGTGATTTGATGAAAATAATATTACAATAAAGGTAAATTTTCCCTTTAAAGTTACCTATTAGAATTCATTTCGGAATCTAAAAATATATCAGCAAATATAAAGCAAAACAAATAATGATCTAAATGATATGATCGAGGACAACTTCTCCCTTAACTCCAAAACCTCGTTATCTGTCCCACTTACTGATGCTGAGTTTAGAGAAAATTATTCCTTTGTCTCAGAATTTTTTTGCTTCAAATCAAATTACATGTAGAAAGAACAATGCAAGTGCTGCAAGTCATTCGAACTTTATTAGGGTTGTATGTATCAGACGATTTCCTGAAAATAGATTTCAAAAAGAAGGGTATAGAGAAATCACAGGAACACACAATACTAAGATGTGGAAGTTGAAAAATAGAGTATTAAAGATTTTAAAACCAATTTTACCTACTTCACAATGTCATCTCTTATGTATATGTTCCCCCACCACATAGAGTAGTCCTCCCTTATCTGCAGTTTCTCTTTCCATGATTTCAGTTACCTGTGGTCAACAGCAGTCTGAAAACATTAATGGAAAATTCCAGAAATAAACCATTTATTTGCTTTAAACTGTGTGCCATTCCAAATAGCATGATGAAATCTTCTGCCATCCTGCCCAGTCCAGCCTGGGATGTGAATCATCCCTTTGTCCAGCATATCTGTGCTGTCTATGCTACCTCCCAGGTAGTCACTTAGCCAATTTGTTGACAGATGGAAAATACATGGTTTATGTAGGGTTAGGTGCTGTCAGTGGTTTCAGGCGTCTGCCGGGGTGTTGGGAGATGACTGTACACATTCCATGCAACCAGCCTTCAACTCAATCACCCTCTGTGTTTACTATATGGATCAAATGAAAAACAACCATGTCTAATTTCTGGCTTTTAACCTTAAGAAAGCTGCAGTCTAGATGTTAGAATGAAGATTTGGCAAGAATATTTTCTGAGTGAGTTCTCATGGCCCCTCTACCACTACATCTATTCTCCACAGGCCAGGGAAGAGCCTCTGAGATGGGGAAGCTGGTGTGAGTTTATGGTAGAGTGGAAGGGATGGATGACAGAACCCTGTGTTATCAAGTGTAGGGGCTGAACAATAGAGGCTAACTTGGCTTCATTTCACATCTGGTTGACATAAGACAAAGCAAATCATGGAGAAACACTCTGCATAATGGTACGGGAGACAAACCTGGATGATAGTTGCACACCCTGCTTAGGAAAACCCAAAATACCATCCAAGGAACAAAGAGTGGAAAGGGCCTAGCAACGGACAGGTTTTAAACAACCTACCAAGAGCCAGCGTGGGTGTCCACACCCAGGGACCAGATGTCACTGCATATTTCAGTCGATGACAGCCAGCCCTAGACCATCTCCAAAGTGCCCAGAGGAAGCCTCCCAGATTTCACATTGCTCTGTCAGAAGCTTAGATGCTACTCTGAGGGAAAAGAGGAGACAAATCCTCTTTTCAAATCTGAAAGACAACATTTGAAATGACAGAAAATCTGAAATGATAGAATTTTAAATCTGAAAAGTATTGCCTTTACCTAGAAATGATCAAGTTAAACTTTTTTTCCCCTAGACTTGGAGTCTGTCTCTGTAACCCAGGCTGGATGGCAGTGGCACAACTGTAGCTCAAGGCAGCCTCCAACTCCTGAGCTCAAGTGATCCTCCTGCTTCAGCCTCCCATGCCGCCAAGATTACAGGTGTGAGCCACTGCACCTGGCAGAGGTAAACATTTTTAAAAACAAATTTTTGTGTTCATTTTACTCTGTGGCCTGTGAAAATATATACTCACCATTACTTTACAATGGCCTTGAATTGTGTATAGTCATGGTTTGCCTGGGAAGAGCCTGCCAGGGACCCTATATCCTACTTAGTGTTAAAACCAGTTTCAAAGAGGCCCTGGGACCGAAGCTTGGTAACTTTGAGATTTGTCCTAGAATGGAGCACGGGGGCAGGATGGAGGCCTGCCCTGACCCTGGAGGCCACATGTCTCCCTCCCTCTCTTTGTTCTTCAGTTGTTCCAGCTGGTCTCCAACTTTGCCACCTGGTTCCTCACCTTAGGCTTCTTCAACCCATTCCTTGGCCCTAAAGCTAAACCTGTTTCTTTCAGTTTGCCTCAGCCCTAGAGGACCTCCCAGGAGCCCTGAGTTTCGGCTTACTCTTGGGAGAGATCTGACGCCACAGGCTCTCCCCCCAGCTCCCGCCTCTGCTGGGAACCCTCTCTGCTCTTCTTCACTGTTTCTATTTCCTTGAAGGCTGACCTTTATGGACTACATCGTCCACACCCTGGTCCTCTGGCTGCTGGCTGGGCTCAGCAAAAGAGACGTGCTGGTTGGAAATGAAAGGACCAAAGAGGAGGGAAAGAGAGTTCTGGGTATTTATTCCCCTAGGCCATGGCTTGGAAGAGACTACATTCCTCCCGCAAGATTCAGTTTCTGCAGGGTGGCCTCTCTCCTGCAGCCCTAGAGGGGCCAACGGCTCCCTGCTGAGGCTCATTCATGGATTACTCGCTACCTCACTACTTCTACCTCTTTATTAAACTCTCCTCAATTCTACCTCTTTATTAAACTCTCCTCAATTCACCTTTGGAAAGAGCCTTGAGTCCTTCCTGGACCCTTCCTAGTGTACTCCCATTCCCACACCCAATATTTAATTTTAGGATTGGATAGCTTCAGAAGGCCTGCATGTTTTAAAATTTTTGGTATTTTTCATTTGAGTTGGAAGAACTCTTAAAATAATCAATGTGGGAACTTGGAGGAAGGGCACTCTAGCCCCGAGCCGGTCTGTCCAATTGGTGAACAATTGATTTCTGAAGACTGCTGCTGAAACACAAATACATTAGAAGTTCATTCAGGCCCTTGATGCTCCTCGAGTCCCCTCCAGGAAAAGAAGCTGGATCCATTGCTGACACAATTGCAGAGAAAAGGTCAATGTGCTGCCAGAAGCCAGACACCAAATCCTCATGGGGTCTTTGTGAGGAGGTGTAGAGTAGCCTTGGGAAGGAGACTTGAGGCAAACTGGGCCCTGCGTCTCCAGGGCTGCTGGCGCCTGGCCCTCAGGAAAGAAACTCTCCCTGTCAAGGAAGCAGGAGCTGCAGCTATTTGATAAGCTTTTAAAATCACCATTCTTCTTAATCATATATTCTAATATCCTGTATCTGTAGTTACTTCCCTGTACTTCCAAGTCTGGAACACTAATGTTCTCATTTCTGACTCATAAAACCATCATTTTCAGCTAGAAAGAATTTAAGGTAATTTAGTCCTGTCACTTTGTTTTGAGAAATTTTAGCAACTTCATAACTGAAAAAAGGCAAGTGACTTCCAATGAGTAGCGGAGCTGAGATCTGGACCTTTCACCTTTCTCTTCAAGTGGGTTGTGAGGCCAGCAAATTCAAAACCCACAGAATAGAGCATGGAGAGTGGGGAGTGGGGCATGGTTGCCTTGCTGCTGTGACCCTCCGGATTTACCGGGACGGTTGAGCAATGTGTAGTGATGATGTTAACAGGCAGTTCAATCCAGTGATTTACATTTGCTTGCAAATAGTTCTTACCCCAAATGACAACCAAAAGAAATGTTGTTGAGATGCATCCTAACGGGGAGTCGCTTCCTAGGTCCACACTCCTTTCTGTGGCTGCAGTGCCTTTAGGGTGTCTCAAAGAAATACCACGCAAGGGCCGGGCGCAGTGGCTCATGCCTATAATCCCAGCACTTTGAGAGGCTGAGGCAGGTGGATTGCTTGAGGCCAGGAGTTCAAAACCAGCCTGACCAACATGGCATAACCCTATCTCTACTATAAATACAAAAATCAGCCGGGCGTGGTGGTGCATGCCTGTGTTCCCAGCTACATGGGAGGCTGAGGCAGGAGAATTAAGCAGAATTGCTTAAACCTAGGAGGCAGAGGTTGCAGTGAGCTGAGATCATGTGACTGCACTCCAGCCTGGGTGACAGAGAGAGATTCTGTCAAAACAACAACAACAACAACAACTACAAAATAATCGAAATGCCATGGAGGGAAAGAGAGAAAGCCGCTTTTTCTGTCAAAACAGTGCTGAGCCTAAGTATTAGATAGAGAAGGCACAGGGTGCTTCTTTCTTCTCTACATTCACAAGGACTATTCTTGGCATTTTTCTTACTAAGGAAATGAGAAACACTTTTGCAGTCATCAGAGTTTCTAGAAACAGATATCAATGACCTCTGCCTCTGACAATCATACTTATGTGTATAAACAGGTATCAATGACCTCTGCCTCTGACAATCATACTTACACATATACAATCATACATTATGTGTGATGGGGGAAATCAATGTGGGATTCCAAGTTCTTTGGATGACAAAACTGAGGATCCACTAAAGAAGGCCCGGCCTCCATTCTCCCTCTCCTGTGCAACTTCTATAGACTCAAATAGGGTTCCACTAGTTACAACCTTTTTTCTTCCAAGCTCTTTTCCATAATGCTGCTAAAGTGATCTTCCCCCAAAATGTCTTTGATCATATCATTCCCTTGTTTATAATCTTTCTGTGGTTCCCTATTGCTCTTGAAGGAAACAGGCTTGCAAGCCTGGATCACGCTATTCTCATCAATGGTCCCTCATTGTCCCCTCCCCATCCACCCACAATCTATTCTCAGCCACGTGGAACAACTTTCAGGTTCTCAAAAGTACCGTATTCTCTCATGTCTCTGGCTTTTCACACATACCATTTCCTCCCTCAGAAACACCTACTCCAATCTCTTTTTATCCTTCGGGTCTCAGCTTACAGTAGAACATTTTTTTCCAGAAAGACTGTAACCCATTCTCCCATCAAATTTGGGTGAGGTGCTGTGATTTTGGGCCCTTGTTTAACCCCGTATTTCCCCCAGCCTAACACTGAGCATGTTGGATCACTACAGTGACATACAATGACATTTCCTCCATCGCCAGACACTTTTAGCATGCAAAAGCATGTTGCTGTCACGTAATAGGTGCTCAGTAACTATTTCAGATGAGCGAGTGAATGAGATTGAAATTGTACTTATTTCAACTCTATTTGGTTTGGACCTCAAGTCTTTTTAAAAAACTTTTATTGTTTTAGTTTTCAGTTCTTTGGGTCCAATGTTCAATACTTCTTTCCTATTCTCAAATAAAACTTAGTCTTTGTACAGGATGGCTATTACTGAAATCCTACCAGCTTTGTTTTGAAAGATTTCTCAGCCATGTTTCTTTTTTTCTCTAGGCTAAGTTTCATTCGATGATAGTCGTTTTCTTAGTCCTTTAAGTCATCTGAATAATGCTTGATTCATATATTGGGACGTATTTTTAAATGCATAAATGTTTTTCCAGGTCTTGTTAAAAACAAAAATAGTGTAACTTCACAACAGAAAAGGGAATATTTTCTATAAAAATCATACAATTTTTAAATTCTATGATTCATTACCCCTTTAGAATGCCTTTCCAGCCTTGCTTTTATTGCATTTTATCTGTATTTTTTGTGATAATATTTTCTACAGCACACTTACATAATCAATTGATTTAATTATGCCTCTTACTGAAACTGTCTTATGTATCATTATATCCCCAATACCTGGTACATTATAAGTTGCTCCCAAATGAGCGCTGATAAGAATAAACATTCAAGGTGGAAAAGTGGAAAGGTTTTTTTTGATGTTTATTTTTGCAGCCAGTATTACTTAATCTTAATGTTGAATCTCCTCCTTTTTGCTGAAGCAAAAAGAAAACAATCTGGAAATGTTCTTATGTGAAAAAGAGTTCCAATTAATGTTTTAAAGCCTCTATAGTAATTCCAGGATCTAAAATCTTCACTTCACTCAAAAGCAAAGGGGGTTCTATTTAGACTGTTTAAGAGTTTTTCTTAGCATGAATGGGCATATTCGATGTCAAAACGTGTTAGTCACTTTACCTAGACTGGAAACATTGACAAAGTTGGGATTTTTTTTCTTTGTTCTGTGAAATAACTTCAAGTCAATGCATCACATTGGGGAGAAATTATTTAGAAATTCACATTGTTTTTAGAACTTAATATACTTATCCCACACTTCTTAAATTCTATAGCTCGTATACATTTATCACAGGAAATAAAAAGTGGCTGGGGTTTTCCTGAAACTCCTCTCTCAGCTTTGTTAACTGTCTTTACAAACTTGACCTATAAAGACCTTTCAAAATTAATTTCATATTTCTACAATTATTCTTATTAAGAATGTGCTTATGGCTAAAGAAAAATATATCTATAAATCAAATATAACTAAATACGCTGTAAATTTTTATATAAAAAAATTAGTTTTTCAAAAGTAAAAAATATTCGTCCTTTTGTTCTCACTTTCTTGTAAGACAGCTCCACCTAAAAAGGATTTCATCTGGGAGATGTGTACTTGTTTAAAACAAACTGGAGCCTCTTTTGGAAGAGAGTAACTTACTGAAATGGTGTCAACTAATTATGCATTTACGTCAGATGTATACTTTAATTTCCAACACTTCATAAAAGTTAGAACTATTTTATTACTTCTTATTTTTCAAGTTTATATTTCTATTTTTGTACAATGTCTACTTTTGGTTATTTAAGGCTCTTTTGTCAGTTTGCCAAAAATTCTATATGGTTAAACAGTAAGAAAAGAAGCAAATTTCTAAGCACTTTTAGAAAGTGAAATGGAAGTTATCATGCTTTTTTTGATAGGGATAATAATTATAATATTTCCGGCCTGGTACGGTGGCTCACGCCTATAGTCCCAGCACTTTGGGAGGCTGAGGTGGGCCAATGCCCTGAGGTTGGGAGTTCAAGACCAGCCTGACCAACATGGAGAAACCCCGTCTCTACTAAAAATACAAAATTAGCCGGGCATGGTGGCGCATGCTTGTAATCCCAGCTACTCACTCAGGAGGCTGAGGCAGGAGAATCGCTTGAACCTGGGAGGCAGAGGTTGTGGTGAGCTGAGATTGCACCATTGCACTCCAGCCTGGGCAACAAGAGCGAAACTCCATCGCAAATAATAACAATAATAATAATAACAATAACAATATACATATATAAAATATTTAAGAAGGAGTCTGTATTTTTATTTTTATTTTTGCTTCTTACTCTGAATTAAGAATTCTAAAGAGAAAGAATCTTGGAAGTGAATATAAACACCTTCCTCAGATAGATGAAATGAACAGCCAATTGGATTCAATTTTCACCAAACTAAAGAGTTACATACAAATAAATGAAACTGCCTGACAACTTAGTATTTTTTAAAACATAGAATTGAATATCAAGTTTATGACTTTAAAAAAATATTTCAAATTTCAAGTGAAATTAAAAATTGCAAAGGAAGTTATGGGCTTACTTGAATATATGACAGAAAGTTAATATTTTCTAAACCTAAAGCATTCATTGCAAATGGGTAATAAATATTAAATGCCTAAAAAAAGGAGAAACGATATGAATAGAAAATTCATGCAATAAAAACTTAAAATGATCAATTAACATAGTTAAATGTTCCATCATAAATCATTACCTCTGATCAAAAATGAAAGAGGCTTAAGTTAAAATTATAGAAACTCTCATCTTGCAAAATTTTTAAATTCTCTTCATTCTTTGCTGGCAATGTGATACATCAATCTATATCAAAATCATTAAAAATATTCACAATTTAAACCAATGATTCTATCTCTAGAAAACTATGCTAAGGAAGTAATAAAAATAATCCTACAGCAAAAAAAAATACAAAAATATTTAGAATAGTTTTACTTTTAATTGTGAAAAGGTATACTATTGATTGCAGATTATAATTTATTAAAATATTCTAAAAACTACTTGTAGAATATTTTAATAAATTATAATCTCCAATCAATATAAAATAATGTAGGCTTTTTTTTAAGGGAAACTATTTGGCAACGAAGAAACCAATTCTAGTGTTAAGTGTAAAGAGAAATATAAAACTCCCAATATAATTTTATTTTTTTAAAAGTATCCTTTGTGTATCCTAAAAATAAACCCCCAAAATGTTAACAGGAGCTGTATTTTGGATGATGCCATTGATAATACTTTCTTTTTTTCATTCTCTTCTCTATTTTTCAAATTTTTATTATTGATTTTGAGCTGCATTTAATTGAAATACCTTTGTTTCTAAAAGACTAGAAAAACTGTAATGGTGCCTTATATTTAAAATTCTGTGATGCATTATATATTTTTTATCAGCATGGCTTTAAAAACAAAACTAAAATTTTGTTCTGACATGTTAATTACATTTTTTTCTTTCACCATTAAAACAGTAATGTCTCACACATTAGTCCAACCTTCTGAATACTCAACAAATGGTAGCTAAATGTGCTAATCCATTTGGGTTGTTTTGTTTCTTTTAAGCACATACTATGTGCTGGGAAACGCTGTAAACTTAAGGATTAATTTGCATTATCTCATTTGATCTCAACAACTCTATGAAGTAAGCATTATTCGCTCCATATTCAGCAGGAAAAAAAATATGGTATAAAGAAGTTAATTAACTGGCAGAGTGTCATTTAGTTAACGAGTGGAGAAGCCAATATTTGAAAGGTAGGAATTCCATTAATGGACAGTGAAATCCTGAAAACCTCTAGTGAAAACCTAGGAACTTGTCAAGGAATTGGCAAAATTCACTGGAAGATAAAAACGACAATATTAAGGAAAGAACAACAAAATAATTGTAAGTTTATTACAATATAACTATTTCCATTTTCTCCATATTTCCTTTCACAAGTATACATTTTACTTGCTGAAAGTATAATAGATGTTAAACATATGTCTATAATAGATGTTAATCATATGTCTATAATATATGTTCAAAGCATGTCTATATACATGTTAAATATATGTCTATGATAGTTGTTAATGCTGTTTTTCCTTGACATTTAGCCAGACATTTTCCATGCTTTTACAGAATTTTTATAATTATTTATATTTGTGTTTATATAGCTGTTTTTATGTCCCTTAATGTAAGACCCATGGTTTTCCCCACTAATGTTTTCTTATTTTCTGTTACAAATAAAGATATTCTAGATATCTTCATGAATATGGCTTTTTGCTTTCCTTAAATTATTTGATTGGGATAAATTCCTAGAAATAGAATTGCTATGTCAACTGGTGCAAAGAGTCATAAAGCTGGCTGGAGAAACTGAGAGAAGAAAATAAATCACTTAAATAAACTCTTTAATTTTGTACAAGTGAAACAATACTTCCTACACTTCAACAGTCATTGACTAAATGAAGAGATACAGCTATTATATTAGCTGCTCTGGATGCCTCTTAATTGTGAAACCTTAAACAACATATGCATTATACCAGGTCTTGAAAGAGCAGTTACTGATTTCTAGTAGTAAATAAGAGGGTTTATTCTTTCATTCACAATAACTTGTTCTTTTATGACTTAATAGCATTTTGAATGAAATAGATGATGCCTTGTTCCCCACCTAGATCCCTTTCACAGACAGTGGAGAGTGAACATTCCTTCACAAGCAAATAGTATGATCATATTATTGTACATAGAGGGAGCATAGTGTAATGGCTAAGACAGGTGTTCTGGAGCTGCACTGCCCTTGCTTGAATCCCAGCTCCACCACATAAATACAGTATAAGACCTTATGCAAGTTATCCAATCTCTCTGGGAGACTTTAGAAATAGATATAGATATCTCCAATATTTTTCTTAATATACAATATATAATACTAAATCTTAATTTATATATAAACACACACATACATAAGATGCATAGTAATTTTATTCTCATGATCTAGCCAAGACCTTAAGAAGCTTCTACTTCAAACTCTTTATTGCCAGAAAAAAAAAAACTTTTAATTTATTTATAGCTAACAACCCCATTCAGCAAGGTATCTCATTCAGTTACAGAGAAGTACATTTTGCAAGCAATTTATCTTAGTATATTGTTCCAGGAAATTGCATTGCTCAAAGCCAGACAGTCTATGAGTGTCTTATTCAACTCTTTCTTTTGTAATGTTCAAGATAAGCTTTTGGTTATATCTGCTTTAAAAATACTTGTGTTAAACTTATTAACACACTACATGATAAAAACTCAAAGTTTTGTAATTTCATTTGGAAGGCTCACAACATCATTTTCTGTTAAGATCTATATCTTTCCTAGGAATATACCCTGTGCTTACTTCCAAACATATATGAAGCAGGGTTCTCTACCAATTAGCACTAAATCAGCATGTCAACTTTCTTAAGAGGAAGTACAAACCACCCTTGTTGACTGATTCTTACAGCATATGTTTTTATTCTTTAATGTGTCATACAGAAATTTTTTATTCCGAGAAGTAAGCATGGAGCACACTCTCAAAACTAATGATCATGCATGTTCACGAATTTCTTTTTTTAAAAAAAAGTGTATTAATAATGGATGTGCAGCCTATTCTTTTCTCTCAACCTTTTCTAAGGCAAAGTTTCTTTTGTTAAAAAATGCAAACCCTGTTTTCAGAAAAATGCATCCATGACCTTATACACCCACCGATGTACACAATTTACAGGATTTCCTAGAGCTCTCTTTCAAAATTTATCGATTCCCTTTGGGGTCTTGAACCTGGTCAGGAAGTTTTCTCCAGATACTCTAATAGTCCCCTCACAGGACCACGGAAGTGAATCCTGCCTCATTGATATGGTGGGGTTTGACTCAACAGGATTATTTTCACTGATTTTTTTTCTGTCATGATGACAACTCCCTAAATTAAGACACATCCACATAAAATTCCTTGCTGTATTTATCCTAAGGGTATTACTTAGTAATTTGTTCATTGCATCACACAGGATCCTTTTTATGATAAAATTCAAATATTGTTAGGACCTAAAATCAGAACTCACTGTGCTCTGGAATGAATAATTTGTCTTTATCTTATGAGCTCTGTGAATATATATCTGTTCCTATTCCTTTCATTAAGTGCACAGCTAAAAAGCTAAGAGCTAAATCCATGGCCCTTTGTTGGTTTTAACGATGTAAGACTCTGGTTTTTAGCACTAACCTTATTACTGGCTCCACTTTGCTTCCCCTTGGCCCCAACTCTATCATCTACTTTATATTTTTGTTATCTTGTTTAGAACCCCTTTTATAAATATCATATAACAATGCAAAGAGGAAAGAAATAAAAGATGGAATGAAAGAATAAAATGAAGAAAAAAAGGGCTTTTTTCTTTTAACTGTTACATTCCTTTACATTCAATTTCATTCAAAGTAAGCAATTCATCTATGGCTATACCACCCTGAGTGTGCCTGATCTCATCAAAGTCAGCAATTAATTAAATACTTAATTCTGAAATTAAGTAAACAAATATTTTAAACTTTCTATTTCAAAATGTTATAATACTTTAGAAAATTTATATTAAAACAGAAAAGAGTAATAACAATTATCTTGTCAATTTCTGTGATCCATTGGTGATTGCAAAATCTCAGTTGCCAAAACTTCTAAACTTTAGAATGCATGAGGTAAGCATATTTGGAGTTCCTCTTCACCTCTATTTAGGCATTTTGTTTACCTCTAAACATCAATGTCCATGGATATAGCTAAATGTTTAATATAAATGTAGTGACAGAATTCATCATATGGTGATCCAATTCGGTAGCAAGAATTAACTCTAGACTACTTAAGTTAATAATAAAAAGTATCTACTAGGAAAATTTCAAATTTCAATATTACTACAAAATAAGATCTTATTTATTATGAAATATCCAAAGGTTCTACCAATTCAAACCAATATGCATTGATTTCTTAATAAAGGCTCACTTACCAAAAAGTTTATCTATTTATAATATTTACAACTTTGAAATAAAGACAATCTTCTCCAGTTCTTTCAACAATGCTAAACTAAATATTTTTACCCTTTTAGCATTTGAGCCTCCTCTCTACCTGCCTTACAAAAAAACTGGATGATATCCTAATAATTTACACCCTTCTTTGTATGTTTTATTCTCCTGTTAAAAACAGTCTTGTTCTTTTATGTGCTTTAGAAACATTGGAGATAAATTTCCTTTTTAGAAACCTTCTTTCAGCAGCATTACCTCATAAGCATTGCCTGATTTTATAAATCATCTGTAGATTAGGGATCTGGCATATGTTGTTTTATTTTAAAAAACAAATTTCCAAATTTCCAGTAAATGCATTTTTCAGTTTACACTTAAGAAGTCAAAATGTCAAGATGACTCAAAAACAATACATTAAATTGCCAGTGAACTTTACAGATTTGATTTGGTAAAGATAGCACAAGATTCAATGAGACCAAGAGTCTACAATATGCCTGAGTGAGCAATCAGAGATCATTCAGGAAGATAACGTCAAAGGCCAGACCCACGCCACTTATGCAAATACCTTGGGGTGGAATTAACCTAATAGAATGAAACATTTTCCTAAAAAAAAAAATGTCAAAGCATGTGGGAAATGTTACTGAAGTGTCTTTTCCAATGAGAATTTCCATGAGTTATAATCTGTGGAAAAGCATGCATGCACATAGGGAAAGAGAAAGGACAAATGAGTCACTGCACGCAGCTCCCACCTCTTATTTCCACCCAGAAAGAATACTGCTCATGACTATGTTCCCTTCCAGGCAGGTGAATGGAAGTGTCTAAACACCAACATTGCAGTTTTTCCAAGCAACACAGTTGCCTTTGGTGTTTAACACACATGAGCATCTCCTCACTTCCGAAACTTTTGGGGAGGAATTTGAACCATAAGTTTTGCGCTTAACCAGAAATAAGTTTCATGAAGTCGGAGATTTATTCTGAAGAGTTGGAGGACTGAAATCCTTAGAATAATATAGTTCCTGTTTTAAAACTGAGATATGATGTGGGAACCTTTTAACCATCAGTAGGAATTCCACAATCTGGTCTCACAAGATACTTATGATTGAGGAAGAGTATGCTCTTAAAAGCAATCATCTACCTCTAAAGGATAGTCTTGAATCCCACATTTCATTTCACAGCATAAGAAAAGCAGAGACAGGAGAAATCACCACAGTATTCTGGTGAAGGATTGATGGACTGTTTTTAATTTTTAAGACCTGGCTCTTTGTGCCAGTAGACTTTAAGAGGCAAGACTGTCTGTATGCCAAAATGTTAACAAGCAGAAGCACTTATGGAGTGATGGGATAAGGTCTTCTGAACATTTTTTCTGCCATAAAAACAGTGGAAATAAATGGCAAAAGAAAAAGCAACTTGTTCAGTACTCTGGAAATTAACTGAAGACTTGTGACAACTTGAGGAGCATTTATTCAAGAAAAGCAACTGAATCTTGTTAAGAACAGAGACCTTAGTGACATTTTAACTTGCCTATTCCCAAGTCCTTCTTGCCAGCTCCAAGGTAGCCATGAAAATCATCAGGCTTACAGAAACCAACAGCCTAACAGTCATCAGAGAAGTCAAAATGGGTTAGAGCTTCTTTAAAAAGCTCCATGCCTCAGCAGTAGTCACTATTTGACCTGACTAGCAACTTCTTGAAAACCCCATTCACAGGGATTGTCTTTATATAACTTCATTCAGAGCTCACTAGGTGGAAAGCTCCCTTTTTCCTCCAAGGCACTTGTTAAAAACAGTCAGCAGCAACTGTTTGATTTTGTAGCTGCCTGATAAAGAGACACCAGTTGGAGTAGAAAGAGGCTGAGCAAAAAATGTTTAAGAAAACCGTGGAAGGCCAGGCATGGTGGCTTATGCCTGTAATCCCAGCATTTTGGGAGGCCAAGGCAGGCAGATTGCTTGAGCTCAGGAGTTTGAGAACAGCCTGGCAACATGGTAAAACCCCATGTCTACAAAAAATACAAAAATTAGCCAGGCATGGTGGCATGCGTCTGTCATCCCAGCCTCTCTGGAGGCTGATGTGGCAGGATCACCTGAGCCCAGGAGGTGAAGGTTGCAGTGCACTGAGATCATGCCACTGTACTCCAACCTGGGTGACAGAGTGAGACACTGTCTCAAAAACAAAGAAACAAAAAAACAAACAAAAGAACAAGCAAACAAAACAAAATAAAAAACAAATAAAAACAAAACCAAACACACAAAAATAAAAAATGAAGTGTCTATAGGGAAAAGCTCTGACATATTCCTGGGGAATCTAGAAACCCACATACATGTGAAGGGCCATGTGTATGCCCAGGAAGGCTGTGAGAAGGCGCTAATGTTTTAACTTTAGCTCACCTTAAGGTTCTGCACAAGAGCATCCATTCCTTGCATCTTCCATGTTCTGACAGGGTCTGGCATTCCTTGGCTTGTGGCTGCTTCACTCCAATATTCAAGATCAGTATTTCTAGAAATCTCTTTCTGTCCCATTTTCACATCACCTTCTCTTCTTTGTGTCTGTGCCAAATCTTCCTCTGCCTTTCTTATAAGGCCACTTGCTGTAATAAATAAATACTACACACTTATAATAAATCCTAATTGTTTTGAATCTATATTTGAAAACTTTAGTTTTTTAAAAACTAATTTCAAAATTAAAAGAATCTGAAATTACATTGTTCAAAGACTAGTTTAGAAAAGTTTTTCCCATGTAAATATTTTTACATATTTATGTATTTTTATTGCATGCCGCTATTTCATTTTTTGTTTACATTCTTTTTCCATTTTGAACTTATTTTGAATCAGAGACTTTTCTCTACAGCTAATTTTCTCCCAAACATTAATTAATCAATTGTCTTAATTTGTTGAAAATTCAACTCTCATCATAACTAATTTCCCATATATGCCTAGTTCTATTTTAGTATTATTTATTTTCTTCTGTTGATTTGCATGACTTTTAATTTTTATTTTAGCTTTAAGACCAGTTTAATATCTGTTAGGCCGAGGATCTTCTGTTACTTTTCTTTGTCAGAATTTTGATGACATTGTTTCTTAAGTTTTATTTCCACATGACATTTTATCTTCATCTAAGTTAAAAGACAAACAAAAGCAAATATAAAAAACAAAACAAAAGTCTGTATGTCAGAATTCTGTCTTTCATCACATTGAATTATAAATTAATTTGGGTATAAACTATCTTAAAATGTTAGACTTCTTATCCACAAATAAGCCTTCCAAACTTACTTGTATATTCTTTTGCATCCTTCACTCTGTAGTTTGTTTTATAAAGTCATTTCTGCAGCCGAGGCCACATGGTGAAACCTCATCTCTATAAAAAATATAAAAATTGGCCAGGTGTGGTGGCATGTGCCCTATAGTCCCAGCTATTTGGGAGGCTGAGGTGGGAGGATAGCTTGAGCCTGGGATGCAGAGGTAGCAGCGAGCTGATATCGCGCCACTGCACTCCAGCCTGGACAACATGGAGATACCCGGTCTCAAAAAAAAAAAAAAAAATGGCGTTCTCTGATGCTTACTCGTGATGCTTTATACCTCACTGGGAGTGGGCTCTTCAATAATTTAAAGTATGGATGAAGCTAGAAACCATCATTCTGAGCAAACTATCGCAAGGACAGAAAACCAAACACCGCATGTTCTCACTCATAGGTGGGAATTGAACAATGAGAACACTTGGACACAGGGTGAGGAACACCACACACCAGGGCCTGTCGTGGGATAGCGGGAGGGGGAAGGGATAGCATTAGGAGATATACCTCATGTAAATGACGAGTTAACGGGTGCAGCACACCAACATGGCACATGTATACATATGTA
This sequence comes from Homo sapiens, assembly GCF_000001405.40. Taxonomy (NCBI): domain Eukaryota; kingdom Metazoa; phylum Chordata; class Mammalia; order Primates; family Hominidae; genus Homo; species Homo sapiens. The sequence continues at coordinate 152,731,430 of NC_000006.12, read as the reverse complement.
ACAAACCTGCATGTTGTGCACATGTACCCTAGAACTTAAAGTATAAAAAAAATAGAGAAATGCAAACTAAAACCGCTTTGAGCTACCATGTACAATCTATTAGATTAGCAATGATATAATAAATAAAAATTTAATTAAACACACACAAAAAATTTAAAGTAATATTCTTTGTCCTATTTCACATATTTCATCTTGCCCGACTTTTTTTTCACGCTAGGTACACACTAACATACTTTTGCCTGCCCTTTTACTTTCACATTTTCTGAGCCACTTCACTTTAGGCAAGATTTATTGACTTGAAGGTAGGATTTTTTGATTGAAAAGATGTCTTCTGTCTTGTGTATGTGTGTGTGTCTCATTTTTATTTTTATAAAGACAGTAATCTATTTTAATTCTGATATCTTATGCTTTAAATTTTTGTTTTCATTATTATTTTCTGTTTCTACCATTTGTTGTATAACCTGTGCTTTATTTGTCTACATGCCTATTTTCCCAAAAGAGATCATCTATATTTAATTTTGCCAGCAGTTGCTAATATAATTTCAGATAATATGCTTAGACACATATTTCTCAATTTATCAGCTTCAGAAATAAAGCAGTATATATTGAATCCCTGTATTGGTTAGAAATCTTTTCAGCAAGTTATTGTGACCTAATCTAATGTTGTTTATATAAAAATGAAAATTTTATAAAAGGTGATTGTGGTATCTAGTAGATTCCAATAAAGATTTCATTACCTATGAAGGAAAGAGAGATATTCAATAGCTAGGCTTCAGGGACTGCAGGGACCAATGTAACCAAATGCAAGTCTGGTTGCTTCCCACTCGCAAAATCCAATTAACAAGAGTAAGGTCTGGTAGAAAGTCATTTTATTAAACAAAAGTAGTAATGGAGACATGGCCAGATTCCCATCCAAAGCAACCACTTCAATTTTGAGGGGCAAGCCAAGGGCTTAAAAAGGGAAAACTTGATAATGGATGGCACGCAAAAATTGTGCGGAGTACAATGTCTGTGTATCTTGTTCCAGTGGCTATCTTGGGTTTCAATCCACCGGGGAGCATGGGCTGGTGTCATTTCGACAATGGCCAAGTTGTTGACTAGCCACTTTGAAGTAATCTCTGGAATTTTGCACCTGGGTCCAGATTTGGACTTTCCGTCTGAAGATTGGCCCTTGGAACTTCTAAGATGGCACATAATTAGATGCTAGCATACAGTTAGATAAATGTGAAGGGAGTATATATGGTGAGAAAGGGTAGAACATGGAATCTATTTTAAGGCTAAGGAAAATGCTTCTGCAGTTTGCTGCAAGGTTATATCTTGAAATCCAAGAAAAAGAAAAATACAAGTTTTAAAATGCATTTTGAAGTTAAGCTGCCTGGTTACATTAAGAATTTCAATGTGATTGGCACATCTACATTTTACTGCCTCTCTCTGAGGGTTAGTTTAATTCCTTTCTTTCCATGTTGAAGAAAGGGGCTTTTAAATTTTACTTTTTATAGTTTGAGCCATCTGGAAGATATTTGCCTGACTCTGTCTGGATCCCTACCCCAAAACACTTTGCAAAGGCCACTGGATCTACCCAAGTCTGCCATTTGCCCAGTTAGAATGTGGTGGAATCCCTTGTTTCCCTCAGACCCTTTTGGTCTGTTGAGCACCTGTGGTGTAGCTGCTCAGCAGATCACAAGGTTTAAATATGTAGGCTTGAATATTCAGCACACCAACTGGATAAAGCAGGGGGAGTCTGCAGTCTGAGTTTTGACTCTGCAGTTTCTTCCTTAATTTGTGTTTTTCTAACTGCGGCCAATTTCATCCTACCACGAAATGTTCCTGAATTGTGTGGCAGCTGTACCTTGGATTTCAGCTTGGTTCTTTGCATTATACTTCGATGATTTGGTGATAAGACATTCAGCAAGCTACTTTGGTGATAAGACATTCATATGTAAGAGCAATCATTTAACTTTTGAAATTTTTCATACTTATGTATACAGACTTAGGTGTTTATGTTTTTGTTGTGACACTGTATATGTATTCCTCAGGTTGTACAAAACCAAGAGCTAAAAATAGCAGGGCTTATAGAAAAATAAGGTTAAAGACAAACCACTTAAAAAAAAAAACCTGTGGAAATTTGTCACTGGAGCACTAACCAAAACTAACAATCCTAGTAATAATATTAGTGTAGTTAAAATTCCAAAGAACATTCGCGCCTAGCATCAGTGTGAGTCAATACTTATAGCTTTGCATAGAATTTTTATAGCGGTTTTCAGATATTGTTAGAGTTCTTTTCCTTAATTTGAAAAATTCTATTCCTAATTGCTTCAAAACATGAGTGTTTCTCCAAACTGGATATTCAGAGAGATGACAGTTTTGTCCACTTAACTCATTCTCCACAAATCACACCGTGTCCCTAAGCTGGAAAGCACATGTTGTTCTTGATTCTTGATATCCTTGTCAATCATCAAAATTTGACTGTATTCTGTTGCTATTCTTTGTGAATTCTTTTTAATTAATTTATTATCTATTTATTTGAGACAGGGTCTCACTCTGTCACCCAGGCTAGAGTACAGTGGCACGATCACAGCTCACTGAAGCCTCAACCCCCTGGGCTCAAGCTATGCCCTCACCTCAACCTCCCAAGTAGTTGGGAATACAGCCTCCCGAGTAGCTGGGATTACAAGCCTGGCTAGTTTTTTGATTTTTAGTAGAGATGAGGTCTTGCTATGTTGCCCAGGCTGGTCTCAAACTCCTGAGCTCAAGTGATCCTCCTGCCTCACACTCCCAAAGTACTGGGATTACAGGCATGAGCCACCACGCCCTGCCTCTTTGTGAATTCTTAATAGGAGTTTTTAGTTTTTCCACTTTCAGTGTTGTTAAAGGTTTTTTTTTTCTACTTAGAATTCTTTATGTTCATTTTCACCAGTGAATTTCTTAATTTCTTTCTTACAACGATTTTTCCCATTGATCCTGTGAGCTCTTTATGTAAAAGGATTAACTCCTTGTCATGCATTTTGTGAATTTTTTTCCCTCAATTTGCTCCTCAGCTTTGAACAAATACCTTAGGCTACTCCCATCATACCCTACAGTCCTATACTCTCAGATTCTCATTGACCATTTGGCTGTTTGACTTCTGTTACTTAATGGCACCCATTGCCCATTCTTCCTGCCCAACTGTAGTCAGTAATCTAATTTAAGTTTCAGCCCTCTTGTTCTCTATTTTAGCTAAGCAGAGGCTTACCTATGAAGCCTGCTTTTTCCTTTTTTTTTTTTTTCCAGACAGAGGCTCACTCTGTTGCCCAGGCTGGAGTGCAGTGGCATGATCTCGGCTCATTGCAACCTCTGCCTTCTAGATTCAAGGGATTCTCCTGCCTCAGCCTCCCAAGTAGCTGGGATTACAGGCCCACACCACCACGCCTGGCTAATTTTTGTATTTTGAGTAGAGACGGCGTTTCATCATGTTGGCTAGGCGGGTCTCGAATTCCTGACCTCAAGTGATCTGCCCGTCTCCGTCTACCAAAGTGCTGGGATTACAGGCGTGAGCCACCACACCCGGCCTGAAGCCTGATTTTTCAATAAAGACTCTCCCCAGTCTTGAAGTCCCTGAGTCCCTGGCACTCTGAGAATCCCACAGTTCATAAAGGTGTCCATTTCTGCTGTAGCTTTTCAGTAGTGTCAGAGTGACAGCCATTGGGAGCAGGGATTTGTCACTGGCAGCAGTGACACCTGCTGGCCCTGCAGCTCTAGCTCCTGGTCAGGCATTTTGGAACTTGCATCTATCCTTTCCCCAACATACCTTACAAAAGCCACCACATATGCTAGTGCACTTGCATGGCCGTTCTCTATTTTACTTACACCACAATGAAGATCTCATTAAATCTGTTCTTCCAGCATGGCTTCAACTCTCAGAACCACTCTCAAGCTATAGCTACAATATTCTAAGCTCTTCTGTGGTTACAGACACAATGTCTATAACACAAGGATGAGAGATGATCAGAATTTTACCACAACAAAGTATGGACTACTTGCTTTTCAAATCACATTAGGCTCATACTTTGTGTCTCCCCATATCATCTCAGCACAGGGACAGAGCTACAGTGTGTGAGGCCCTGGACAAATATTTTTTGCAGGGCCTTATCTTGTATTTTAAAAATTAGTTAAAAATGTTTTACAAAATTCATGGGCACAAATGAGGTTTAGTGATCTTTCCATATTTTTTTTTTTTTTTTGAGACTGAGTCTCACTCTGTCACCCAGGCAGGAGTGCAGTGGTGCGATCTCGGCTCACGGCAACCTCTGCCTCCCAGGTTCAAGCGATTCTCCTGCCTCAGCCTCCCGAGTAGCTGGGACTACAGGCGCCCGCCACCATGCCTGGCTAATTTTCTTTATTTTTAGTAGAGACAAGGTTTCACCATCTTGGCCAGGCTGGTTTCAAACTCCAGCCCTCCCAAAGTGCTGGGATTACAGGCATGAGCCACCGCGCCCGGCCTCCATAAATATTTTAAGTGAGTTGAGAAGAAGTACTTAGATAGTTATTACCCAGAGATTCTTCATTCTGAGTTAAAGTCACCCCAGATCAGCATGGCAGTACCATTCTGGCTGTCCAGTATCATGTGATTCTGTGAAAGAAATACACTCCCATCAGCAGCAGTGACCTGATTGCCAGGCTGTCCTCCTGAAACTGGGGTTCAATCACAGAGACCGCATAGATAAAAGTCCTGGAGAGCTTCTGAGATAGCTGGTTGACCTGACATGCTAGATACGGGTCAAAGATCACCTGAAAGGGAACGAAAAAAATAAAAAAGGACTAGCATCCACACAGGTCTTGGTGTATAGGCTCATGTGCCCTGTCCAGTTGGCATTGCCAGTCCTGGCCAGTTCTACACACCGAACTGTGATTTAGAAAACTTCAAAGAAGGTAATCTGAAGTGTGGGGCCCCATGAGGCATGGGTCCCACTTGCCTGGGTGAGGGTAGAACTATCCCAGTGTCTAGACTGTGAGGGTCTATTTATCATCAGCCATTCTCTTTTTTTTTTTTTTTTTAGACAGAGTTTTGTTCTTCTTGCCCAAGCTGGAATTCAATTGCACAATCTCGGCTCACTGTAACCTTTGCCTCCCAGGTTCAAGCGATTCTCCTACCTCAGCCTCCTGAGTAGCTGGGATTACAGGCATGTGCCACCACGGCCTGGCTAATTTTGTATTTTTAGTAGAGACAGGGTTTCTCCATGTTGGTCAGGCTGGTCTCAAACTCCTGACCTCAGGTGATCTGCCCGCCTCGGCCTCCCAAAGTGCTGGGATTACAGGCGTGAGCCACCGCGCCCGGCCATCACTTTCTTTGAACTGGTACTCGGGTGAATTTATTTCAAGTTGTAACATTGTAAAAAGATATGAGTAATCTTAAGTAATGGAAGTTTATTCAAAAGATACTGCAGCCATTTTACTCCAGGTCTTTGTTATTTTCGTCTCTCCTTTCCCTTCGAGGTCTCTCAGTGGCAGTTCTCCCATTCTCTCCCTTCATCCCCACCCTCTCACACAAAGCAGGGAAGATCTAGTTCGGTCGGTTACTCACATCTGATACGGAATGCTCTGATCCAGTCCCACATGGCTAGTATAGCAGGCTTGGTCTCCATACAAGTTCATCGCCACTTTTCTCAGAGAAAACCGTGTACCTGGCAGGTGCTAGGAGACTTCGTGGTCTGCCTAGTGCAAGACTCCTGATACATTTCATCAAACTGCCTTCCAAAAGGGCAATGCCAGTTTACCTTGCCACCAGAAATATGTAGGAGCACTCCCTTCTTAGTACATTTGCCAGCAGTGAGGAGATTCATTATTTCATAAATAGTTAGCTATTGTGGGCCGGGCATGGTGGCTCACACCTGTGATCTCAGTGCTTTGGGAAGCTGAGGTGGGCGGATCTCTTGAAGCCAGGAGTTTGAGACCAGCCTGGCCAACTTGGCAAAACACCGTCTTTATTCAAATAATAATAATAATTAGCTAATGTGATAGAAAAAACTACTAGAGTGTTGTTTAAATGTACATGGGCACTTTCTTAGTAGTAACATGCAGTATTTTACCACAAACTTGTAAATCAATTAATTTTTCTCTTTGGTGAATTGCTTGTTTTGGTCCATTACTAATTTATCTATTTACAACTGAGTATTTTCCATATGTATTTATGTGTGCTAATCATGACTTCAAGATATTGGCCATTTTTGCCATATTTATATTAACTTAACTTCTTTCTTCTTTTTTTGTTTTTGCTTGTTTTAGATTTTGGATAAATTTATCTTTTAATGAACAGAATTTTAAATTTTTTTAAATAATCAAAACTGTTAATATTTTCCTTTGTAATTTATTTCATCCCTTTGGCTCTTAAAAAGTACCCCTTTCCTATTTCATAGATTTGCTAAACATTTATTTCAAATTTCCTCTATTTTTTTAGATAGCCATTATTTAAAATGCTTATTCCCTAAATAAAATAATTAAATAATTCTGTAATTATGTATTTAGCTAATGAGATAAGACTCTAAGTTCATGTTTTAAATAAATAATTTACTAATTCTTCCATCTGCATTAATTTTAAAAATCTTGTAAAATTTATTTGTGATGTTCCCTTTCTCCATTATACATTTTTATATGAAAAAGGATTTGTGTCTCAGTCTATTCATTTACAAATAGTCTAGGTTAGGTTTAAATACCAAAGTAAAAAGGAGACTTTTCTTATGCAATAAATTTTAATAAGCTCAAATTCTATAGTATAATTTTCCATCTAATGTGTTTTCCTGATTTAATCTGAATTTTATAATTTCTTGACTCCTTGCTTTTTAGAACAGTGTTGGCATTATTTCATAAATGAATTTTGAATAAAACTTGACATAAATTTATTTTTATTTCACAATCCACAAAACATTTCAAATTAAAGAAATACATTAAAAGTCTCCAGTTTTTGCTTTAATTTCACATTTCATACACTCACAATATTTAGGAAATAGTCATTTTGACTGTCTTATAACTGGGATAAGGGTGCAGCAACAATTCTGCCAGATGGTTAAATGCCCCAGAGGATTTCTGCTCTTCTCTTCCTAATTTGGGAGCTATAAAGCAGTTTTTACTCCCAACACAAATTCTTGATAAAAACCATACTCTTTGCTGATTTTTCATGTTAGACATTAAGGATGACATGCAAGTAAAAAAAAAAAAAAAAAAGTAGCCCTGATACCAAGTTAATATTCCCTTGAAACCTTACTTGGCTGCTAAATTTCTTTGTTGAAAACCAACTTATAACAAATTGGTTATCCGGTTAGCTTTTTTCCCTTTTTCTTCCATTTTCTTCTTGCTCCCTCTTTCTCTTACTTTTTCCTTTTGGCATGTTTAATTAGAGAACATTTTCTATAAGCATTATTAAGAATAATTGTCCTTAAGGAATGATGGATAATATAAGGGAAATGAAAATAATAAAGAAAATGCTACATGGAATCTCTTATTCTTGAACCATGTTCAGACACTATTAGCTGTGACCACTGCAATAGGAAATGAAAAAGAGGGTACTTTTTCACTGAAAATCCCACTGTTCAAAGAAACAAAGAAACGGCCACATAAACTAAATATTCACAATACTGGAAATGAACCACAGACTTTTTGAGTAATACTCCAGTGAACTCATGTCCTTAAATGAGAAGGGCAGCCACAGACATCTGCCCACTGGAACTCTCTGGTGGCCACATTTAGGGATGCATTCTTCCTTACAAGGGCAGCCACCTGTGGAAGTGGATTCTTAAATAACTGTGTGCACCAAAGACCATCTGGCATGGCTTAATCACTGTACAGACTCTGCAGAGAAGTTGGAATTGAGATTCGTAGAGAAGCAAACCAGGAATGATGCCTGATGATTAAGAGTCAATCCAGGAAGGAGAATTCTTCATGGGCAACATCTATTTCAATAACAAACTCTCTCCCCAGTGACTCATACTTATTTGTCTGCAAAGTTACAAAAGAAGATCCCCAGAGAAAGTGCTTTCCAAGTTGCTAGATGTAAGTTTAAGAAAGAAAATTTTTCCCTTAAGAAAAACGTGAGCTTGGTTTTAAACTTGAGGCTTGTTTTTAGGTCAAATGAATTGGATTTTTTCCTGTTGCTTTTCTAACAATGTAACGACAACGGTGAAGAAAAGGTAAATCATCATGTTAGTAAATCCAAGGATTTTGCCTCCAGGAAGTAGATAACTATTCTTGGGAAAAACACATAAAGAGTTTGTCCAGAAAAAATTAGTGTCAAAAATGAAACATCCAATGACACCAAAAGAGTTCAGTTTCCTGTGCTTGAGTCCCACACTTCTTATAATGATCAAATCAAGGAACTTTAGAATGTCCTATGTTCTGTCATTTTGTGCCCACATATTCCATTAAAAATCCAAGATTGGCCAGGCTAATTCCAGCACTTTGGGAGGCCGAGGCAGGAGGATCATCTGAGTTTAGGAGTTTGAGACCAGCCTTGGTAACATAGTGACACTTCATCTCTACTAAAATTAAAAAAAAATTCAACCCGGTGTGGTAGTGCACCCCTGTAGTCCCAGCTACTTGGGGCACTAAGATGGGAGGATTACTTGAGCCTGGGAGATAGAGGCTGCAGTGAGTCCTGATCATGCTACTGCAACTCCCGCCTGGGCGACGGATCAAGACCCTGTCTCAAAAGAAAAAAAAAGAAAAATCTAAGATTGTAAAATGTCAATATGATTCACTTGTCATTCTAAAGAAAGTAAAATCCAAATCCCTTAGAAGATTTTTCTTTAAAGTGACACAGTGATTTTTTTTCTCTTTTTAGTCACATTGGAAGTAAATGAGGATTGTAATCCACAAATATCTGAAGTTTTAATTTTAATTAAAATATATATAATGCATCTTAGCTGATTCTTACATTAGAATCACTATTTTTAATAAGCCTCACATTGAATACAAAATACATAAATATAAAACGCTTGGGGGAAAATATTACATTTTTTGAAACAAAAGGGAAAACGTGTTTGAAGAAAATGTGTTTTACATTGTAATGTCCAACTTGCACAACCATGTTTCAACTTGGAACTCATGAGTTATTTGGGCCATGCCCTCAAAATTCTGTTTAGCCTATTTTTGATTTCCTTTCAATAAAAGACAAGACAAGAAAGAAACAAAAACCAAAAGCCACCCTACTCAGGAATCTGGGAATGCCTTGATGATGGACTCATAGGCAGGTGGGGGCGGTGTTGAAAGGCCCACTCGAAGACTGTTACTGGACCAGTAGTCAGGACGGCTCAGACTGTGGGAAGTGCTGATGGTGGGAGAGATATTGGAAGAAGGGAGAGTCACCAGCTGACTCTCAGTTTCCACAGGAAGTGGTGGACATTGCAGAAAGGGATGGAAAGTAGAAGCTCTGAAACTTGATTTTCTTGGAAAGGAATTTGCTTGTTCCAGGGAAGCTTGTCGCTGGAAGGTGAGACTGGCCAGGCTGAGGTTGCTTCGACGTTCACAGCCACTGTGGCGGTAAAATCCAGTTCTGTTGAGGCCGTGGGTGTAAGAAGACCTAGATCTCCTGCTTGAACTCCACTGTGAGATGGGAGCACTGGCTCTTCTTCTTCGAGACAGACAAATGAACACAGCCCAAATAAATCCTCCAAGTACCAGCCCGATTGCCATGGATACAGTGAAGGACATGATAAGGTCCTCTGAAACAAAGAAAACAAATTGCTAAATCAATTTTTAAATAGGTTTTCAACTAAAAACAAGGGTCAGCATATATACTGTAATTCAAAGAATACATGATTAATTTAAACATACTTTGAATTAGGGAAATAGAAGACAGTGTTAGGTGGATATGAACAAATGGAAGCTGATAATGCTTCCATTTATTCAAGCAGAAAGATACAAAATAACACTTTCAGCTGCGGCATTCCAGGTCACTTAACCTGTTTTATCATCTTTAAGAAATAAAAGATAAAAGTAGTCTTACTTGATGTCATTAATTTATGGCATTTAGTTCATCCATTTTTTACAGAGCTGCAAATGTAGCCCAAAGTTGATTTCCTTTTGAGTTATAGTAGTAACTAATGTGCCAGATTGATAAAGAATTTTGTCATCACTTTGATGTTGCCTTTTCCTCTGTCTGCTTTCATCAATCACATTGATTTCTGCCACCTGCAGTCTTCATGATGCCTCACTTCCTTTGCTCTTTCTGAGACAGGAAGTGCTGGGATAGAACCATCTGGCCAGCTGACTGATTTATGTCATATTTCCTGAACTCCCAGACAGTCACCTATATCTCTGACTCTTTGATGACTTGACCTGTGCAGACTACTGGGCTCTTTCTTGTTTCCCAGGTTCCAGCTCATGCTTCTGTTACGCCCTTGTGATGATGAAATTCCTGTCACCTGAACCTCCATAGAGCCTCGGCTACGTACCAGTATTCTGTAATTTGTAGAACTTGTAATTTGTTCAGATTTCCCTTTCTGGGGAGAAAAATGCCTTTTCCTAATGGAAATGCTACCTTACTGCCTCTTGTAAACTAAATACATATTCTTGAATGAAACTAGGTAACTGAGTCTCCCCTCACCACACCACTTTGCAAAGAAAAATTCTGGGTATTAGAAGACTCCTCCAGCCTGTTGGTCCCCCACATTTCCCCTCCATGATCAAACCCCTTGTCCCCAACGTTTCCCCTCCATGATCTAACCCACAAGTCATGCTCGTTTCTCACTGTACCAAAGCCTGTCATTCTCTCTAAAACTCTGAGCTTTTCCACATATTTGTCCTTTTATCTGAATTCAATTTTTTAAGCTTCTGTCTGGAAAACTCATTCTTCAAGCTCTACCTTCAAGTATCACATCTTCAGTAAAGACTCCTACATTTCCTAGACAAAAATAAGTTACTGCTAAGTAGAAAGGTAAGCTATCATATCTAATTGCTTATGTAGGTAGTCTGTATTGAGAGAGCCATAGCCTGAAAATTAGCTGATGGGTGTTGTGAGACTGGGGAAGAGGAGGAGAAAATAGCCACAAACGTTTTGCTGTTCCTCCCATCAAGAGATAGAGTCTATTTCCCCACCCCTTGAATCTGGGCAGGCTTCATGACTTGCTTTGACGGTAGGATGCAATGGAATTGAAGCTATACAAGTTCAAGCCTAAGCTACAAGAGGCTCAGCATCCACCCTTCCTTCTCTTGGGACCCCTGCCATTGTCAGCATATAAATAAGGCCAGACTAGCCTGCCAGATGATGAGAGACACATGGCCCAGGAACCCCTACTGCCCTAGCCAAGAGCCTGCTAACCTGGACATATGAATGGTGTCATCCTAGATAATTCAGATGCTAGTCAACTCACCAAATGACTGTGACACATGAGCAAAGACCAGCAGAAAATCCACCAAGCTGATTTCATCTCAAATTACCAATCCACAGGATTGTGAGCTAAGCAAATTATTATTAGTTTAAGCTACTATGTTTGGGGGTGGATTGTTACATGGCAAAAGCTCTCTGATAAAGGGTTCCAAACTCAGCTCTGTTCCTAATATGTTTTGTGATTTTTAGGGAATTTGTTTAGACCCACTGATTTCATTATACATATATATAAAGGAGTTAGATTTTATGATTGCCAAGGTTCTTTTTAGCATATTGTAATCTATAATATGTAGACTACCTAGAATGCAGAAATAACAAAACAAACTAATGTTAATAACTACAAAGGAATAATCACTGCTGTCTAATTTTAGGATATAGTTCAGTGTCCTTCCACCATATATTGTCACATTTATCTCCTGTGGAAAAGCTACATTTATTGTGTCCTACTTTCACAATTATCTGTACAAATAATTATATCAACATTCTCTAAAGCAATGGCTTTATGCAAAGTTCCCAGGCACATTTTTTAGTGTATTATATCACTTAATCCTCAAACATCCCAATAAAGGAAATGCTAGCGTTATTCCCATTTAATAGTTGTGGCTACTGAGAGGTAAGTAACAAGCCCATAGTCCCACACCTGGTGAAGGTCAAGTAAGGATCTGAGACCAAAGCATCTTAATTCATAGTTAATTGCTTATTTATTTTCTAAGTGTAAGGTAAGAAAATATTAATCTAAAATGAAAATGAGCAATATAAATTGCATAAAAATTGGTCGATTCAATACCAGAGTATCTTGCAGCCTGTTATGAACAGAAATACTTGAGAGAATGGTGGTTAAATAATATTGTGTGTTCTACAGATATATTTCCATGAATCAATAGCCTTTAGTGGAGACTTTTAAATATCAACAAGCTCAGCTATGGACTCATAGAAATGGAGTTTCAGCTAAAACAAGCTTTTGAAAATGTGTTGGACATAAATTCCTCATTTTATAGATATTGAAACAGAAGCTAAGGTTCATGTGGTAGAATTAACACTTGATTTATTGTAATAATTGATTGGCAAGTATCGGTGGTTAGGGAACTATTAGTTACACTAGTGTATGATACAAATGAGAAGACAAATACTCAAATTTACAAAGTATATGTCCTTCCTATGTGTAAATGTACCTAACCACTACTAGAGTCTGACTGAAGACTCTAAATATCTCAGTATATAAGCAGGCATAATAGATAAAATGTAAAAAGAGATGTTTCCTTGATTTCAGCAAAATGGAGTTAAAACCAGAATCTGAAAGGAGAAAATATATTCAGTTACTCAATGAAAGTATTTAAAGATTACAAGAGTCCTTGTACATGGTCTCTGTGTACGCCCTTTGAGCCTCTCATCTTCTGACAAATCAGATATTCCCAATATAAATGTTATTTATAGTGGAATAATAGCAAACTTTAGATTCGAGAAAAAAATAGAAACTATTTAAATACACAATCAATGAAAAATAATTTCTTGTCTATTATTGTGATTGAGGCCAGGTGCAGTGGCTCATGCCTATAATCCCAGCACTTTGCGAGGCCGAGGTGAGAGGGTCGCTTGAGCCCAGACCAGCCTGGGCAACATAATGGGACCTGTCTCTACAAAAAGTAAAAATAAATTAATTAAATAAAATACAGCAATTGAGTATATTAGCAAAAACAACAAAAATACATGGAGTGAGAAATATATTTATATTTCAGATGACTGTTTTATTTCCAAAATACATTATTGTTCTGATGTAAGAAAACTAGGATAATATCCAAACTCTAATGGGCAAGTTATTATAGAATATATTGGACCATCACAATTTTCTTAAATGACAAGTTTCAGTTTGGGAACTAAAAAGATTATTTTTGTGGCACTAAAACTATAACAATATTTCCATGAGAGGAATTTGACAACAAACCTATTTAAAATGATCATTCTCTGTGGCTTGGTAATACTTTGATTTGATATGGTAAACCTATTGTCTATGCCCAAAATTTGGGGAAATGACTTAAAATGTCATCAAATATTGGGTTATATAGATATCCAAAAAGGATTAAATAATGAATTTAAAATGTACGTGAGAATCATAATAATAATATATACACACAATAATAGGCTATTTAAATTTTGAATGAATATAAAGTAGGATAAGATGGGGGTGCAACGGAAATTATACAAATTACAAAAAAATTGCTTTTGATATGGATTTGTTTAATTTTTGCTCAGTAGAGTACACGCATCATGAAAACGACTTCTTAATCCATAAAGTCAGTAAAATACACACTTTAGAAATTGCATTAGTCTGTTTTCATGCTGCTGATAAAGACATACCTGAGACTGGGCAATTTACAAAAGAAAGAGGTTTAATTGGACTTACATTTCCACATGGCTGGGGAGGCCTCACAATCCTGGTGGAAGACAAGCAGGAGCAAGCCACATCTTGCATGGATGGCAGCAGACGAAGAGAGCTTGTGCAGGAAAACTCCCCCTCATAATAACCATCAGATCTCGTGAGACTTACTCAGTATCACAAGAACAGCACAGGAAATTCCTGCCCCCATGATTCAATTACCTTCCACCGGGTCCCTCCCACAACATGTGGGAATTCAAAATGAGATTTGGGTGGGGACACAGCCAAACCATATCAGAAATCATTGCACTAATTCTTATACCTTGCAGAATATTAAAACACCTACAAATAATACTGCTGACAGAAGAATTTCTAAGACTTCCTGAGGTATATGGTAAAATACTTATCTATCTTCTTAAGCTCCCTTAAGTCCAAACAGCAAAGGCAAATGTAGAAATGCAGAAAGGCAATAAGAAAGAGATGCTGAGTCAAATAACAGGGGTGGTTTTCATACACATTTTTTTTTCATTTAATTATAGTTGATGATTTTTCTGACCTGCCCAAACTAGAATTTAGAAACTGTGTGATGAAAGCAGCATCTACTGGTCATACAGCTTTAAATTTTCATATATGTAATTCCATTCTGGCAGACTTTTGACAATGTATTTTGGGAGCCTTTTTTAAAACCTAGTGTAGAAGAAAATGTAACTGAAAAAAAAGACATTGGCAAAGATATTACTTTTTAAAAAATGATATGCCTTCTTACTTCTCAACAATCTAAGGAGAAGAAAAATGAGCCATAATCTTTCTTCTTAATAATTGCAATATAATGCAACTTATGAGACCAAATGATTACTTTTAAAAATGTTAACTTTCCTTTTGAAAGCAGAAGGAAAAAACTCTAACATTGGTCAGCTATGCCATATAAATTAAATATATGTCATCCTAATTTGTAATACGTACCTACAAAACTAGCAAGTAGATGGCACATAACAAGCCCTCAACGAACACTGGCTCTTACTGCTAATAGTTGTGTAATTTCCTCAAGTCATTTGACCCTTCTTGGCCTGATAATAACAGCCACGTTCGTGTCTTCCAATTTTAATATTGTAATATTGAATATGATTTTTAGTAAATATAATCAATACCTCAAATTCCATCCACTGGTATTAAAATTTAGTAGAGGTCACCATCTAGTGGCCTTGAGTTGAAGCATTCCAACTCTGAAAGTGATTTATCAGTGATGGCAGAATGTAACATTGTTTAAAACATTCAAAAACCCTTTGCAGTTGTTAAGAATCATAAGTTCAATGTTCACCAAAGCAGGCCATGAAGTCCTTGGTATCATAGAGTGTATAGGAGAATGGTTCAGGCAATAGAACTACTTTTGACGAAAAGGGCTTTTAGGGAGAATAATATTTAGGGCATAGAAATTTGATTGATTATAATAATTTAAACAGCCGAGGAGTATTTTCCATTATATCTCATGTGCCAGAACATCTTATTGGGTCTGTTTTCACAAACAAAAAGAAATCCAGAATTCAACTTCTCACTACCCACTCTGCGACTTCACTGATCCAAGTGGCCACATTCCCACATCTGTGACCTGGAATATGGTCTTCCTGCTTCTGTCCTTGCCATATCCCTCACACCCCAACAATGTGCTCAATGCAGTAGTCAGAGAGAACATTATAAAATGTAAGTCAAATCATATCAATCTTCTGTTCTAAATCCTCCACTTCTCCCAGAGTAAAAACAAATGCCTAAGAATATCCTAAAAGTCCCTACTTGATAGGCTCCCAATTATCTGAGCCCATCTCCTCTACTCTTCCTTTGGGTCACTGAGCTCTGTCTGCACTTCCCCCCTCACCATTCCTTAAGTACATCAGATGGGCTGGCTCCTGACTTAGGGCCCATCCCTGGTTGTAATCTATTCCTAAAATTATTTCCTCAGCTATCTGTATGGTTAATTTCAGGTCTTTTGCTTATATGTAAGTTTCTCATTGAGGTCTACCCTGGCTGCTCCACCTAAAATGACACCCTGTCCCACCTCTGAAGCCTAAATGGAATTCTTGTTTTTCTTTTTTCCTTCCTGGTTAATGGAAACTACATTCATTAATTTATACTCTAAGAAAATGTGAATGAGACGCATAACCATTATGAGCTGAAAATGTCATTATGTTTGAAAGATAGGAGGATAACATATATCTGGAAGGTTTAAAAAAGCTTCATGGAAAAAATAAATTGTAGATGCCTTTTTGTGAATGGTAGTGGTCAAATAAACAAAAGGCTTGGAGATTTGAAAGTAGTTTTGATCAAAATTATAAAGCACAAGCCATATTCTGAATATAATTAGTTAACAGTATTGCTAGAGGTGAGGGCAAATTCAAAAGTATCAAGGTAGCACACCCCTTTCTGTATATGATAGACTAACATGTATCAAACCAATGAGAGCAAGCGTACAATGGAGAATAAAATATTTTCTTAAATTTGTTTGAAGCCATCAGAGACTTATCAAAACTATTAAATCAAAGGAGCAAATTCCAGGAGAAAAGAAAATCTTTCATCACAATAATCTGTAAAAAGAAACAAAAATATCTGAGTAGAATGCTGTGCACTATAAGTAAGCTTAGAAAACATAAGTTGGTGTTCAGGGGCTGCCAAGGAAGTTGGACCCTAGGAAACATCCCAGAATCTGGAATTAGGCCCCCTAGGATCTACTCCCTAAGCTTAATGGTAAACAGGAGAAAGACCAGACCTCACAAAGATAAAAATATAGATCAATCCCAAGTTGGACTGAGGTGATCTTCCCCTAACTGCCAGAAGGAAAGTTTTATACATATATATGAAATAGAAAGTTATATACTTAAATAAATTTATATATACCTAATAATGTTATATATATATGTGTTATAAATAATAAATTACAAGTCATCCTAAGAGGCAAGACAAAGTAAACAAAAACTAAAAGAACAAATAGAAAATGGAAAAATATCTGTAAGTTATGAAAATATTTGAATTATCAGACAAAAATATTAAAATAACTTGATTAATGTGTTTAAAAAATTAACAAGTTAAAAATTTTCAGCAGAGATTGAGGATCTATAAAGAAAATTAAATAAAATACCTAATGAAAATTATAAAATATTTTAACTGAATTCTGATAAAATTGTGAAATATCGAAACATGTGAGATGTGCCTAAAGCCACATTCATAAGAACATTTATAGCTTTATAGGTATACATTTTAAAATAAGAAAGCCTACAAAAACAATTATTTCAGTTTCCATATTAAGAAGCTAGGAAAAGATCACTAGCTGAAACATAAGTAAAGTAGCATACAGTAAATAAGAGAAAGCAGAACTTAATGAAACAGGGGCAAAAAAAAAAAAAAAAGAAAAAGAAAAAATAGAGGAAATTATCAAAGCCAGATATGAAAAAAATCTAATAAAAATGAATAAAATACTAATTGGAACGACAAGGATGGAAAGAGGAGAGAAAGAGAAAGAGGGAAAAAGAGTGGGCAGGAGCAAGAGAAAGAGACAGAGAGAAAGAGAAAATCACCAATATCAAGAGTAAGAAATGTGACATTAGAACAGATACAGGCAATAAAAACATCAAGCTAGGATTCCAAATCAGCTTTTATGAACTGACCCTTTCAAGTAATAATGACTATGAACACTGAAAACAATATAAAAAAAAATTCTACCTAAAGGCCTTAAGAATGACCAAATGCTTGTAGCTACTGGAGAGGAGTTGAGACCTGGAAGAAAAGAACAGCAAGTACTAGTCAAGCTCCAGTTTTCAAACCTTTTAACCTGAGGGAAGCTTCCAGTCTGGGACAGGTAAAGCTACAGTCGAAAACCTGCACTGTTTCTGATCTTGAGAAACAAAGGACAGAGATTGTGGAAACAAGAGCTGCTGAGAATGTGAGAGGGAAATCCTGGAGAAGAGAAAGCCAGAGAGGAGAATCCCCAAATTTTATTTATAAACATTTCACATATCTTTGGTTGACTCCTGAATCACACATACGTGGGATGTATTCCAAACAGCACTAGAGAAAAAAAAATAAACTAAAGTGAGATTTAAGCTGCTGCCCAAGGGACAGGCTTTATAGGTTTCTGTAGTTGTAGTTCCACAGAGTTATTTGCCTGTGAAAATAAACTAGGGGGAAAACATACATCATAACACTCTTCAGGGTAATATAGCAGAATCCATTCAAAATGTTCAAGATACAATATGAAATTACTGGGCACATGAAGAAACAGGAAAATGTGATCCATTCTTAAGAGAAAAGACAGTCAACAAAAACAAACTTTAAGATGATCCAGACATAATTAGCAGACAAAAATTTTAAAGCAACTCATATGTCCATATTCAATGATTTCAAGTAAAACACTCACAATGAATAAAATGATAGGAAATTTCAGCAAAGAAATAGAAACTATAAGAAATAACAAAATGGATATTCTAAAACTAAAAAAATGAGAACTAAAAAATTTATACCATGAGCTTAACAGTGAAATTAAAATGAGAGAGAAAAGAATCGGCCAACTTAAAGGTGTATTAATAGAACTTATCCAATTTGAAAAATGGAGAAAAATATTGGGGGGAAAAAGCAAGCCTCTAGGCCTTGTGGAACTATATAAAAATATTTAACAAATGTGCAATTATAATCCCCCAAACAGAGGAAAGGGTGGATGGAGCTAAAAACATTTTGAATAAATGAGGCTGAAATTTTTCAAAATTAGTGAAACAAATTAATCTACAAATCAAGAGTCTCAGTAACATCAAGCAGAATATATATAAAGAACTATGCACGTCATAGTCAAACAGCTGAAGATCAAAGGTTAACAAAAAAAACTTGAACACAGCCAAATTACAAATAATAATAACATTACATTCATAAAAGACAATTATTTAAATACTCACTTTTAATAAGACACGGTGATATTTTAAAGTGATTTTAAAAAAGCTGTCAACTCAGAATTTTATATCCAGCAAAAGTATCCCTTAAGTATAGTAGTGAAATAAATACTCTTTCAGGGGGAGGAGCCAAGATGGCCGAATAGGAACAGCTCCGGTCTACAGCTCCCAGGGTGAGCGACGCAGAAGACGGGTGATTTCTGCATTTCCATCTGAGGTACCGGGTTCATCTCACTAGGGAGTGCCAGACAGTGGGCGCAGGCCAGTGTGTGTGCGCACCGTGCGCGAGCCGAAGCAGGGCGAGGCATTGCCTCACCTGGGAAGCGCAAGGGGTCAGGGAGTTCCCAGGAATTGAACAAGGATACCCAGGAATTGAACTCAGCTCTGCACCAAGCAGACCTAATAGACATCTACAGAACTCTCCACCCCAAATCAACAGAATATACATTTTTTTCAGCACCACACCACACCTATTCCAAAATTGACCACATAGTTGGAAGTAAAGCTCTCCTCAGCAAATGTAAAAGAACAGAAATTATAACAAACTATCTCTCAGACCACAGTGCAATCAAACTAGAACTCAGGATTAAGAATCTCACTCAAAGCCGCTCAACTACATGGAAACTGAACAACCTGCTCCTGAATGACTACTGGGTACATAACGAAATGAAGGCAGAAATAAAGATGTTCTTTGAAACCAACGAGAACAAAGACACCACATACCAGAATCTCTGGGACGCATTCAAAGCAGTGTGTAGAGGGAAATTTATAGCACTAAATGCCTACAAGAGAAAGCAGGAAAGATCCAAAATTGACACCCTAACATCACAATTAAAAGAACTAGAAAAGCAAGAGCAAACACATTCAAAAGCTAGCAGAAGGCAAGAAATAACTAAAATCAGAGCAGAACTGAAGGAAATAGAGACACAAAAAACCCTTCAAAAAATCAATGAATCCAGGAGCTGGTTTTTTGAAAGGATCAACAAAATTGATAGACCGCTAGCAAGACTAATAAAGAAAAAAAGAGAGAAGAATCAAATAGACACAATAAAAAATGATAAAGGGGATATCACCACCGATCCCACAGAAATACAAACTACCATCAGAGAATACTACAAACACCTCTACGCAAATAAACTAGAAAATCTAGAAGAAATGGATACATTCCTCGACACATACACTCTCCCAAGACTAAACCAGGAAGAAGTTGAATCTCTGAATAGACCAATAACAGGCTCTGAAATTGTGGCAATAATCAATAGTTTACCAACCAAAAAGAGTCCAGGACCAGATGGATTCACAGCCGAATTCTACCAGAGGTACAAGGAGGAACTGGTACCATTCCTTCTGAAACTATTCCAATCAATAGAAAAAGAGGGAATCCTCCCTAACTCATTTTATGAGGCCAGCATCATTCTGATACCAAAGCCAGGCAGAGACACAACCAAAAAAGAGAATTTTAGACCAATATCCTTGATGAACATTGATGCAAAAATCCTCAATAAAATACTGGCAAACCGAATCCAGCAGCACATCAAAAAGCTTATCCACCATGATCAAGTGGGCTTCATCCCTGGGATGCAAGGCTGGTTCAATATACGCAAATCAATAAATGTAATCCAGCATATAAACAGAGCCAAAGACAAAAACCACATGATTATCTCAATAGATGCAGAAAAAGCCTTTGACAAAATTCAACAACCCTTCATGCTAAAAACTCTCAATAAATTAGGTATTGATGGGACGTATTTCAAAATAATAAGAGCTATCTATGACAAACCCACAGCCAATATCATACTGAATGGGCAAAAACTGGAAGCATTCCCTTTGAAAACTGGCACAAGACAGGGATGCCCTCTCTCACCACTCCTATTCAACATAGTGTTGGAAGTTCTGGCCAGGGCAATCAGGCAGGAGAAGGAAATAAAGGGTATTCAATTAGGAAAAGAGGAAGTCAAATTGTCCCTGTTTGCAGACGACATGATTGTTTATCTAGAAAACCCCATCGTCTCAGCCCAAAATCTCCTTAAGCTGATAAGCAACTTCAGCAAAGTCTCAGGATACAAAATCAATGTACAAAAATCACAAGCATTCTTATACACCAACAACAGACAAACAGAGAGCCAAATCACGGGTGAACTCCCATTCACAATTGCTTCAAAGAGAATAAAATACCTAGGAATCCAACTTACAAGGGATGTGAAGGACCTCTTCAAGGAGAACTACAAACCACTGCTCAAGGAAATAAAAGAGGAGACAAACAAATGGAAGAACATTCCATGCTCATGGGTAGGAAGAATCAATATCGTGAAAATGGCCATACTGCCCAAGGTAATTTACAGATTCAATGCCATCCCCATCAAGCTACCAATGACTTTCTTCACAGAATTGGAAAAAACTACTTTAAAGTTCATATGGAACCAAAAAAGAGCCCGCATTGCCAAGTCAATCCTAAGCCAAAAGAACAAAGCTGGAGGCATCACACTACCTGACTTCAAACTATACTACAAGGTTACAGTAACCAAAACAGCATGGTACTGGTACCAAAACAGAGATATAGATCAATGGAACAGAACAGAGCCCTCAGAAATAATGCCGCATATCTACAACTATCTGATCTTTGACAAACCTGAGAAAAACAAGCAATGGGGAAAGGATTCCCTATTTAATAAATGGTGCTGGGAAAACTGGCTAGCCATATGTAGAAAGCTGAAACTGGATCCCTTCCTTACACCTTATACAAAAATCAATTCAAGATGGATTAAAGATTTAAACGTTAAACCTAAAACCATAAAAACCCTAGAAGAAAACCTAGGCATTACCATTCAGGACATAGGCGTGGGCAAGGACTTCATGTCCAAAACACCAAAAGCAATGGCAACAAAAGACAAAATTGACAAATGGGATCTAATTAAACTAAAGAGCTTCTGCACAGCAAAAGAAACTACCATCAGAGTGAACAGGCAACCTACAACATGGGAGAAAATTTTCGCAACCTACTCATCTGACAAAGTGCTAATATCCAGAATCTACAATGAACTCAAACAAATTTACAAGAAAAAAACAAACAACCCCATCAAAAAGTGGGCGAAGGACATGAACAGACACTTCTCAAAAGAAGACATTTATGCAGCCAAAAAACACATGAAGAAATGCTCATCATCACTGGCCATCAGAGAAATGCAAATCAAAACCACTATGAGATATCATCTCACACCAGTTAGAATGGCAATCATTAAAAAGTCAGGAAACAACAGGTGCTGGAGAGGATGCGGAGAAATAGGAACACTTTTACACTGTTGGTGGGACTGTAAACTAGTTCAACCATTGTGGAAGTCAGTGTGGCGATTCCTCAGGGATCTAGAACTAGAAATACCATTTGACCCAGCCATCCCGTTACTGGGTATATACCCAAATGAGTATAAATCATGCTGCTATAAAGACACATGCACACGTATGTTTATTGCGGCACTATTCACAATAGCAAAGACTTGGAACCAACCCAAATGTCCAACAATGGTAGACTGGATTAAGAAAATGTGGCACATATACACCATGGAATACTATGCAGCCATAAAAAATGATGAGTTCATATCCTTTGTAGGGACATGGATGAAATTGGAAACCATCATTCTCAGTAAACTATCGCAAGAACAAAAAACCAAACACCGCATATTCTCACTCATAGGTGGGAATTGAACAATGAGATCACATGGACACAGGAAGGGGAATATCACACTCTGGGGACTGTGGTGGGGTCGGGGGAGGGGGGAGGGATAGCATTGGGAGATATACCTAATGCTAGATGACACATTAGTGGGTGCAGCGCACCAGCATGGCACATGTATACATATGTAACTAACCTGCACAATGTGCACATGTACCCTAAAACTTAGAGTATAATAAAAAAAAAAATAAAAAAATAAATACTCTTTCAGGTGAAACAGAATTCAAATTAATCACCAGCACACCTACACTAAAACATGTGCTGAAGAAAATCCTTAGTCTGGGGATAATGAAAACTGGGATCTTTAAGAAGAAATTGAGACCATCAGAAATAGTATCAGAGTAAATATAGAAGACTCTTTTCCATCAATTTCTTTAAAATATATTTTTCTAGCTAGAGCAAAAATTAAAATATTTTCATATGAAATGTATAGTTTATATAGATTTAATATGTAATAATTATAATACAAAGAATTGGGACAGGATATAAATAAATCTATTAGCTTGATTGATTGATTTAGTTTTTAAGAGATTTTAGAGACAGGGACTTACTATATCATCCAGGCTGGTCTCAAAGTTTTGGGCTCAAATGACCCTCCCACCTCAGTCTCCAAGTAACTGAGACTACAGGCACACACCAATGCACTCAGCTATTAGCTTGTTTTTTATATTGAAAATCTTATGTATTCTAAAATATAACTACAAATTATATTAAGCAAGACTGCAGAATGTAAGACTTATATATAAAAATACGTTTATATACTAGCAGCAAACAACTGGAAAGTATAATTACACCATTACAATAGCATCATTAAGCATAACATACCTAGGCATCTTTTTTTACAAAATGTATGCAAGATGTCTGCACCACAAATTTTGAAATACTACTGAAATAAATTAAAGGTCTAAAAAGTGGAGAGATATACTATATTTGTGAATTACAAGCCTCAATATTATTAAGATGCCAACTGCCCTTAAATTTATTTATATAAATAAATTTATATAACTAAATCAACTAAAAGTCCAATAAACAGGCTGTTTGTATTATTTTACAAATGACCCTAAGTTGTATATGATGACAATACAAAGGAACAATAAAAGCAAAGCTGGAAGCATCACACCACTTGATTTTAAAATATACTACAAAGCTATAATAGTCAAAACAGCAAGGTACTGGCATTTACATAGACATTTAGATTAATGAAACATAATAGGGAGGAAGCCCAGTAATAAATCCATGCATTTGTGACAATTGGTATTTGACAACAGTATCAAAAATGCACAATGGGGAAATTATTGCCTCTTCAATAAGAGGTAATGGGAAAACTGCATATCCACATGCAGAAGAATAAAACTGGACCCTTATCTCATACTATATAGAAAAATCAAGTCAAACTGGATTAAAGATACAAACCTAAGACCAGAAACCCAAAAAACTACTAGAGGACAACATAGGGAAAAAGCTTGATATTGATCTGGGCAATTATATTTTTGCATATGACAGCACAGGAAAAAAGCAAAAATAGACAAGTAGAATTGTGTCAAACTACAAAGCTTCTGCACAGTAAAGGAAATAATCAACAGAGAGAAGAGACGCCTACAGAATGAGAGAAAATATTTGCAAACCGTATATCTGATGAGAAGTTAACATCTAAAGTATATAAGAAGCTCACACAACACAAAAGCAAGAAAACAAATAATCTGTTTACAAAATGAGCAAAGGACCTGAATAGACATCTCTCAAAAGAAGCCCCACAAATGACCAATAGGTAGATGAAAAAATGCTCAACATAACTACTCATCAGGGAAACGCAAATCAAAGCCACAATGGAATATCATCTCACACATGCCAAAATGCCTATTATCAAAAAGACAAAAGATAATGAGTGCTGGTGAGGATGTGGAGAAAAGGAAACTGTACAGTGTTGATGAAAATGTAAATTGATGCAGCCATTGTGGAAAATAGTATGAAGGTTCCTCAAAAATTAAAAATAGAACTACCATAGAATTCAGCAATCCCTCCAGGTGTACATTAAAAGGAAATGAGATCAGAATCTCTAAGAGATATCTGCACTTCCATGTTCATTGCAGCATTGTCACAATGGCCAAAATACATAATCCACCTAAGTGTCCATCATCAGATGAATGGATAAATATGGTGACATATATATGCATACACACACACACACACACACACACACATATATGGTTTCTATAATGGAAATGTTATATTTCAGATGCTCTTAGACTTATGATGAGGTTGGATTTAGATAAATCCATCGTACATTGAAAATACCATAAGTCAAAAATGCATTTAATACCCCTAACTTTTAACCAAACTTCATAGCTTAGCTTAGCCTACCTTAAATATGCACACAATACTTACATTAGCCTAAAATTAGGCAAAATCATCTAACAACATCCAGCTTTATAATAATAAAAGGTAGTATTTTTAACTTTAAACAAACTTTTATTACACAAAAGTTGTCACATAATTGGATATTTGTCTACTTTGTACACGATTATTCTCACTCTCCACAGAAAGGCTGCTTAACTTCTCATCTGGTGGTGGCAAGCACCAAAATCCTGATTTTAAGAAAATAGTAGTAAAAATACCTCAGCGATTTAAGTTGAAAGCAGTACATTGTACGTGGCTCTTGTACTCAGTATCAGGAATATACAAATGTCTTTTTATTCAAAAATACAAAATAAATTATCTGTAGGCATGAACAATGACAGCAGTAAACCATTATACAGTTTGTCAACTGAAACCAGTAACTGATGGTTACAGTGATTTCTTAAACATCAGCCAGCCTTTCCTTCATTTTCTCCAACTGACTTCTCTGAAGTTATTGGTGAGGAACTCTGCCTTGGGCTTCCTGTCACAGTTCATTAATAAAGGTAAAGCACTATTCTAGGAGTTAGAACATGCCACCTCTCATACCACCTCCCATTCCACCCATTGCACCCATTCCAGGGTCCTTCTCTTTTTTTAGGAATTTTTGTGACTACAATTTCTGCTGTAGTTAATGGAGAGGCCACACCAGCAGCATCCGATAAAGCAGCTCTCACAATCTTTGTTGGGTCAATAATTGCTTTTTCCACCATATTCACAAAATCTCTGACCATAGCATCGTAACCAACTTCTGAGGAACTTTGCATAATTTTCTCAACAATCAAAGATCTTTCAACACTTGCATTCTTAGCAATGGTCATTGCTGGAATTTTGAGTGTTCTTTTAATAATTTCCATACCAGTTTTTTTATCTCAGTCAGCTGGAGTCTATGAGTCCAAGGCTGGAATACACCAAAGAAGGGGAAAATTTTATAATAATAATAATAAATTAAAATAATAAACATTAAAGATCAAAATTCAAAATATAGTTTCTACTGAATGTGTATCATTTTCATATCATCTTAAAGTCAAAAAAATTGTAAGTTGAACTATCATAAGTCAGGGACCATCTGTATATAATAAGGGAATGTTATTACTCAGCATTAAAAAAAAAATCCTGTCATTTTCAGCAACCTAGATGAACCTGGAGGACATTATGCTAAGTGAAATAAACCAGGCACAGAAGGACAAATACAGCCAGCCTCTAATCTAACTTACCATGGTTAGATTTGGGATTTTTTGGCTACGATGGTGCAAAAGCCATAAGCATTCAGTAGAAACTGTACTTCCAGTACCCATATGACCATTTCGCTTTTCACTTTCAGTATAGCGTTCAACAAACTACATGAGCTATTTAACATTTTTTAATAAAATAGGCTTGGTGTTAGATGATTTTGCTCAACTGTAGGCTAATGTAAGTGTTCTGAGCACATTTAAGTTAGGCTATGCTAAGCTATGATGTTCAGTAGCTTAGCTCTAGTAAATACAGTTTCAACCTGATATTTTCAACTTACAAGGAGTTTGTCTGGATATAACCCCATCGTAAATGGACGAGCATCTGTACTGCATGACTGCACTTATTTGTGGAATGTAAAAAAGAAGAAGTTATAAAAGCAGAGAATGATGATTGCCAGTGATTTGGGGGTGAGGGAAAAAGGGAGATGCTGAGAGAAAAATGCAGTTTCAGTTGCGCAGGAGCTTGGAGCCCTAACATACAATATAGTGACTGTAGTTATGAAATTATTTCTTATACTTGAAATTGGCCAAAAAAGTAGGTCTTAGATGTTCTTACCACCAAAAATAAAGCTAACTACCTCAGGTGATGGTTGTATTAATTAGCTTGATTGTGGTAATCATTTTATAATATATATGTATATCAAAATATCATGTTGGACACCTTAAATATATTGTTTTTATTTGCCAATTATACCTCAATAAAGCCTGGGAGTGAGAAAATACAAAAAGTCACGAAAAGCCAAAGTAATCCTGAAAGAGAAAAACAGTTAATAATATATTGTATAGTTTCAAATATCTAGAAGATATTTTGAATGTTCTTGCACAAAGAAATAATAAATGTTTGCAGTGATGGATGTGCTGATTACCCTGATTTGATCATTACACATTGTATACTTGTTTTGGTGTTTCACTCTGTACCCCATAAGTATGTACAATTATGTGATAAAAATTGTTTAAAAAATAAAAAGGAGAATAAAGTTGGAAGATTTACGTAACTTCAAGACTTACTATAAAAATCAACAAATGACACAGAATGGAGATCTCAGCAATAGCCTTACACTTACATGACCATTTGATTTTCAACAAAGGTGCCAAAGGACTTGAATAGAGAAAGTCTTGGCTGGACACAGTGGCTCAGGCCTGTAATCCCAGCACTTTGGGAGGCCAAGGTGGGCAAATCGCTTGAGCCCAGGAGTTTGAGACTAGTCTGGGCAACATGGCAAAGCCTTGTCTCTACAAATACAAAAAGAAAAAAATTAGCCTGGTGCGGTGACATACACCTGTAGTCCCAGCTATGTGGGAGGCTGAGGTGGGATGATCACTTGAGCCCAGGAAGTTGAAGCTGCAGTGAGCTGTGATTGCACCACTGCACTCCACCCATGTGGCAGAGTGAGACCCTGTCTCAAAAATAAAATAAAATAAAATAAAATAAAATAAAATAAAATAAAATAAAATAAAATAAAATAAAATAAAATAAAAAACAGGGAAAATATTTTCAAGAAATTGTGCAGAAAAAGCTGGATATCAATATGAAAACAATCCCTCAATTTCTACACTATATGCAAAAATTTAATTGGAAGTGGACAGTTATGGATCCTAAATATGAAAGCTAAAATCTTAAAGTCTTAAAGCCTTTAGACTGGGAGGGGGCATTTGGAAACTTTTTGGGCCAGTGATTATGTATCTTGATTGGGCTTTGGGTTACTCAAGTGTGTGTGTCAAAATTCTACAAAGGTTCTGTTATGATTTGTACACTTCATTTTTATGCACCTTATATGTTTCATTGTATGTAAACTTGACTTTAAAGGGAAAAGAGTTGCAAAACAATTGAATTCCTGTTAATGATATGCATACTAAAGTAATTAGGGGGAACTGTATTGATGCCTTTAGTTTACTTTGAAATATATTGACTAATAGAATGACAAAGAAAATGAGTATTATAAAAATGTTACAGATAGAATTCAGATGGTAAGGTATATGGATGTTCACTGTAGAATTCTTCAAATATTTATGTATGTTTGAACATTTTCATAATAAAATGTTGAAAAACTAATGAGAATGGCATAAACAACATTTAAGCAATATATTTTGAAATTTAATTCAAATGGTCAAATTCCTGGAAAACACAAACTCCCTTCACTAACAGAATTGATAGAAAATCTGAGTAGTTCACCATTGTTAAAGAAATGGAATGTGCCATTTAAAACCCTCCAATTGAAAATACTACATATAGTTACAATAGGGAATTTTCCCAAGCACTTAAACAATAAACAATGCCCTCTTATACAAACCTTTCCCAGTAATAGAAAAGTAGGGAAAACGTCCCAATTTGTTTTACAAGGCTTGCATAACATTGATACCTGACAAAGCTATCAGAGAAAGGACAGTTATAGGCCACTTTCTCTCATGAATTTAGATGCAGAAGTTTGAGGTCAGGGATGTATTAAAAAGTCCAGTCTTATGGGTTCCATCTCACATCTGTTGAATCATAATCTCTGAGCATGGAGTCCAGTGAGATGAGTTTTCATAATTCTTAGTAATTCTGATGCATTTTGAAGACAAGCATTTGTAAATGTTTGTTTTTCAAACTTTCTAGGTAACTGAGATAGGGGAACTAATGAATAGACTATTAATATGCAACACAGACATTTCTTTTTAAAATACAAATTGAAAAAACGAATTTGAGACATAGTATTTGTTTCCAAATTTGGGGAAGATATAGTGGAAATTCTTGGGACATATGCCCAGGCCATAAACCTGTTCCCCTCTTAACTTCTTGGGGAACATCCTATGCCCATCTGCTGGGGTGGTCCCTAAGGGCCATATTTTTCTACAGGCTAAAGAACAGTATTTGCTGCTAGTAGCCAGGGATCCCTCCTCTTGACAGCACTTGATCCCCAACAAATCAGTTCACAACCCTGCATCTCATCAATTACCTTAGAGAGAATTAAGTCTGTTAGCAAGGATGCATAGAAAAAGGAAAAGTCAATACTTCACATTTAAATTACTAAATAATTTTTTAAACATATAGAATAAATAATTGTTTGAAAGCCAACATTTTTACTGCAATAGTTGGATATTTCGAAATAGAAAAGAGTGCTTTGAGTTTCTTTGTTTGGTTCAGTTTCTAAAAGCTAACAGCCTAAAGGACTTAAGAACATAACTTTTTATCATAAACAGTATAGGAAAGAATAAACCATGGCCTATGAGTCAATTTCCATGCATCTAAAGAGGAGGAGCTTTGGGGAGACAAAGAGAAGAGCTATATAGAATACGACCTGTAAGGGTTTTGGAGAAGGGAAGCATCACTCTCCAGCCCTCCCTGTGATGAGCTACAGATTGATTAGGGAATCCCAGAGGAACTGGTACTTATTTCCAGCTTCCTGGGAAAGATGGCAAGCCGCTCTGAGAACCCTTGGGTATCTGAAGGGCAGATAAGGAAGTGAGGTAGGGAGCAGGGGACATAGTGTTACTGCATCCAGGCCAAGGGCACCTGATGTAGCCCAACCTCCTAAGGAAGGCTCCTGCAGCTCTAGGGTTACGGGACAATATTGAAAATTATTCTGTGCCATTGAGACAGATGGAGAAGTACCCGAATAAGGGCCAGTAGACCAGAGGGATTTACAGAAAGGAAAAGCCATGCTGTTAGCTAATATTACACAGATCATGTGAGCCAGATTTTATAGTAGGAGATTTCGGCAGTGAAAATCAGAGAAAGGGCAATGTCTCAAAAGCTGATGAGAAATACATGTCAGTAGATGTCAGCAGAGGCCAGAACTTGATCAAGCACAAAGGTCCCCCCTCTCCAATACACAGAATATATAACCCCTCCACCCCTCCACCCATCCACACACCCTCTCCAACCTTAAAGAAAATTCCCAGAGGGAGGAATATGGAGAGATTATAAATCACTGGATTGCAAGTGATCAGGCTTAATTAGATCAAACTTTCACGCTGACATTCAAATCTTGCAGAAATCTGCCTCCAACCTGCCTTACAAACTATGTCCCTGAAACGACCACACACAGAATCTCTAGCCAAGACGTTCTTTTCTCCACAAACATGCCTGGGTGTTTTTACTTCTGCATATTTGCTGGTGACATTTTTCCTGAGCTCCCCAAACCTCTTGAAATGCCTTATTTGTGTCACTGACTCCTAACACATTGCCTAATATGGTCAGCGAACGCTTCTGAGTGAACTAATGAACTGGATGAGAATGAGTTGGTGAGGGAAAAAAATGAATGACTAGAATGTCCTTCTTAGAATTATCTCCCTGTCTGAAATTTATCTTTCTAGGAACAGATAGCACCTCATTTTTTTTCTGAGAAAGATTTAGGGATTATTTCTGCCATATATTGTTTTAACTCATATTATCAACCATTGCTATTTTATCATATGTTATCTTGTATTATTCCACAACTATATAGGTTTGTATGTGCATATGTAGCATATGTATAGACGCATAATTGCCTCCAAGAGCATAATCCTTTTGAGACAGACATTGTACTTTTGGTGAGAATTGAATTAAGTGAATAAATGCAAACTCCTGCAACCACATCTTCCCCCAACTTTTCACAAAGCTAGCCATAAGGAAAAAAATGCAAAGCAAGACAGCAGAAACAACCAAAACTACGTCTTCTACAGGACTCTCAAGTACTGAGAGAATAACTGAGTTCAGTATTTGTCTCCTATTGCCTTAGAGGAGGACATGGCAAATTTTCACGGGCCATGTTTCCTGCAGCTTTCATGGGAATGTTTATAGAGAAAGGAAGTGCGTTAAAGAAAGCAAAAATAGGGAGTGGAAGGTGATAGTCTGCATCTGTGTTGTCACTTTCAGGCTAACTTTGTTGCCAACCCTTGCACTTAAATGCTTGCACACCTTTAGGAAGTT
The DNA here is from genome assembly GCF_000001405.40 of Homo sapiens. Taxonomy (NCBI): domain Eukaryota; kingdom Metazoa; phylum Chordata; class Mammalia; order Primates; family Hominidae; genus Homo; species Homo sapiens. The sequence continues at coordinate 152,700,528 of NC_000006.12, read as the reverse complement.
TTAGTGGGTGATAGCTATGAAAATGCAAGCTATTGTTTTTGGTAATAACCCGATATTATTATGCCATCATTTAGCGCTCATTAAAGTAAACCAGAAAAGTTATATTGGGAAAACAACTTTTTCTGTACCTTAAAGTGTGCTACGTCTGAGCAATTTATATGGTTCAATGTACAAGTTTTCCTTTTCTAAGCTGTTTTTCTTTATTTTCCAAATTCAATGTGCCAAGCAGATGACTGATTTTGGAAGCAATAACAATGCATTACACTGCATTGTACAAGATTCTCAAAATAATATTTTTGAGGAGTCAGTGGTCAAAATAGACATCAATTTAGATACACAAAAGCAATGGAAATTTAAAAGATTGACATTTATATTTCAGGAAATGTATACATTTTATATGTTTATATTTTTATTCACATTTTATACTTCATATTTTTACCCCAGAGGCAATAATACAATCTTTTATATATTTTCCTAAAATCATCAAACATTATATCTGCTCTCCATGTTTCCATTGGCTTTGTTAATGTTTATCAATGTAACACTCCCCTTTCTGGTTTTCATTATTTTCATCTAATTTTCATTACAGTCACATAACAAGAGAAAGGAAAAACTAGTATTTGGCTTTGAAATAACAGGTTTTAATTCCCTCTTAAGCACAGATTTCCATATTAAAAATATCTAAATTTTTAGAATCAATAGGTGAACTCCAACTAAACATTCTCTTATTAATATCAAGTTTATTTTAATCTTTTAGTCAGTGAATAATGATTTGTTTTTTTAAGTAAACCTGAAATTTAATTTTGAATGGTTTGAAAAAAATAGATTGACTTCTACATATTAATTTTTGCAAAAACTACTTTACTTTTGAATAATTTATACAGAACACTTTTATAATGATGAATTTGATTTAGACAGACTCTAGCTCTTTTTCAGTGTGCATTTAGCACTTATTTTCTCTATAAGTGAGGACAGCAAATAATATTTTAACAAGCATATAATCAGACATCTACAATTCAAAGGCTTCTGTCTAGTGCTAGCTACCTAAAATAACCTATTACCAAAGCCTTTCTTTACAATGTACTAGAATAATCTTTTTTCTTCTTCTTAATTCTGTTACATAAATTTATTAGGAGCTCACCAATATCCTTCCTTTTCAGTCTTCCAGCAAACATAAATGTAGGTGAGAAAAAAAGAATGAGTTAATTCTTTTTTTTCTTATGCTGAATTTTAATATCTTTTAAAACCAATAAATATTTGTCCCCACATTTTTCATCTAAGAAAGTACATAGGTTAAAGGACTGGAGTGAATTCTTTTCATGCAAATTTCTGTGATGGTAGACATATAGATTGCTGGGAAAAGTCGGCCACTACTGCTCACTGTTTATGTGAAAGTTCCCAAAACCCCACCTTGAATCACAGCAGAAAGTCTGAATTGTACACTGAGAGGATTAAAAACTTGTTCTGGCCATATAAACAGATCTGTCCATATATACTATTTTCTTCATTAAAGTGTTTTTCTGAATTTAATTTAAATTGCCTCCTTTAATATAAAAATTTCCCTGAACCCAAGAGTACATGTCAACTCCCCATGTGAGCCCATCTTCTTTGTACCTCTAACCTGGAGCAACTGAGTTTTGACCTCAGCACAGTCCCATTGTCAACATCAGGGAACACTGGACTGTTAGCTGTGGCTGGACTCAGACAAAAAATTCTCCAAAAAATACTTTTGTATTGTTCTTTCCCCCCAACCCCTGTGATAGGATTCCATTGAATGTTACACGTGATGTTATTTCCACTTAATCTTTTCTACTATAGTTTTCTCAAATTTCATATTATTCCATGTTTTATTTGTTATACTCTAAAGTCATTCATTTATTTTACCTGTGTTATTGCACTTTAAATTCACTCATTTAAGTACAGATGTTATTAGGATTCACTTTGGAAATTAAAGCATATAACATTCACAACATAAGTGAAAATAGCCTCTATGGAAAATCTCAGTTTCATAAAATAAAATATATAATCTATAACCTTCAAACAAATGAAAGTTAATTTTTCCAACAAAATCTACATGCCATATTCTAAGCAGGAATTACCTCCACCTTATGTTTTTTATTTTTATCCTCACTATTTCCTAATTATATTTTGTAACACCAGCCAAAATCTGTACTTAATACCCAGATTCTTCTTGAATATCTTCATAGAACACTATAAAGACAAATAAATATATAAGTATATATTTATATCTATAAATATATTTCTGCTAATAAACGTATGAAATAGATTTCTGTTAATAAACATGAAAACTTTAAGTAATCACATTATAGTAAACAAAATGTCTCAGAGATTTTCACTGTTTTAATAATCACGCAGTGCATTTCTTACATCCTAATTTTAAATTTTAAACAGTAAAAGAAAATACCTTACCCCAAAAGTTTTCTGGCCATGGACTCCCTAAACTTGTTGTGTTATTAGCCATAATATCCACAAGAAATAGAAGAAAGAGAAGAAAAACAGAAAGAAAAACCAGTATGTCGAAAAAAAGCAGTTTGATTCTATCTCTTTGTAGTACAGCAAGAGAAAAATAATTTTTACACAACCCCTCATATACTTGTGTTCGCATAAAAGGAAATAAGTGTATCATGTTTCCTGCTTTTATACTCAAATTAGCAACTGTTTTTCTTATCTTGGAATTCCACATGGTTCCTGAGACACAAAACAATGTCCTTTTCATCATTTCCTCAGCTAAGTTCCTAAGTTCTCTCCTCTCAGCCACCTCCAAAACTGCTTTTAGGATAACAGGGTTGTGTGTGTGTGTGTGTGTTTGTGTGTGTGTGTGTGTGTGTTTCCTCATCCCCTACTGACATGGAAAGGAAGACTCCAAACTCTCAGCTACAGCACCTTGAATTAAATGTATACAGAATTGAGAAATAGACCACGTTCCAATGCTTGAAAATTAAATTTATATAGTAAATTGGGGGAAAGGACTATTCAAAACTCAGATACTTACTAAATTCTTTGTTGTTGTTGTTGTTGTTGTTTTTGAGACTTAGTCTCGCTCTGTCGCCCAGGCTGGAGTGCAGTGGTACGATCTCGGCTCACTGCAACCTGCCCCTCCCAGGTTCAAGCGATTCTCCTGCCTCAGCCTCCAGAGTAGCTGGGATTACAGGCGCGTGCCACCACACCCGGCTAATTTTTGTATTTTTACTAGAGATGGAGTTCCACCATGTTGGCCAGGCTGGTCATGAACTAGGCCTGACCTCAAGTGATCCACCTGCTTTGGCCTCCCAAAGTGCTGGGATTACAGCCATGCGCCACTGCGCTCGGCCACTATATTCTTAACATGTCTGTTTCTCTATTTGGTATACAAATTTTGAAAGTTATTTAATTCATTTCATAAATATCTAAGTGTAATTTATATAAAATTTGTGTTACTCTTTACTTAGTATTTAGTATGAAAAAACAGTTTCTACATTGAAGAAATATATTTAAAATCAAGGAGGGAAAACATAAATGCAAAATTTTTCATTACAAAGTTTGTTAAGTGCTATAACAAAGGGTACAACGATCTCAGGAATTTGTTTTTTATAGAGAAGTTTGAGAACTGATATAGGAAAGAGTTACATGAAACATTTTGAGAAACACAAGTTAGTTAACATTTCAAGAGTCTTTCCTCAAGCTTTGCTTGTTTAGACTGGATCCTCTGAGGACTTTGGAGGCACTGGAAATTGTGAATAACGTGTCAAACTGCACCTAGTAACTGCGCTAAACTGCATTCCATGATCTGGCTTCATCAATCTTTGAGTAACTCTAGCCTGAACTCTTGCATATATCTTGTATTAATCATATTCTAACTTATTAGTCATTAGAATATGACTTAGTGCAAAGTAGTATTCCTCTTTGTGAAGTCTGTAATATATTCCTGAGTAGTTCTAAGAAAACAACAAAAAAAGACAGTTATATTAATTTTTGCAGTCCTGCTTCTTCCAAAATGAGGTTGTTTCTGATCAGTCTCATTTTTTTGTGAATTTAAGTATAAATTTATTAGAAATTAAAATATAAATCATCTAAGAGAATTATAAAACGTCATAGAAAATTTAGAGAATTCACTGAGCAAATATAAAGACTCACCTCTATAATATTCTTGCTAAAGTTTATTTTCAAATAATCCAGTAAATAAAAGCTCCTACTATTACTTAACAGACAAAAAGGGCTTACATTTCAACAGTTGTCTTTACTTTTCAATATTGTTAACAAAGTTCATAAAAATAGAAAATTAAAAGAACATGTTATTTCTGAAGAAAATGTAATCTGGATGAAAGTATATTGAAATACTAATCACTTTACTGTTCTAAAAGCATCGAGTACGATTCTTAATTACTAAATGTATTTTTAAATACACATTTTGCATTATTAAAGGTTACCTGATTGCAATAAATCCTAATTTCAAAGGTGTATATAATTTCCTAAACACTGCATAGATTGCATTTTCCTTAAAATAAACCAAAATGAGTGGAATGGGTAACTGACATTGTCTCAACTGCCTTCTGTGCAGAAACAGAGCTCATTCCATTTCAGGGCTGGGATACAGGCTGACACTTCCTTTCATTGTTCTATGTTGAACTATGCAGATTTTCTCCCAATGGGTTTTCATTTTTGCAGATGGCCACAACCCAGTCAAAACTCTAAAGAAAATGTGTTTCTTAAATCAGTTTATGACCTAGGAATAGCTTGCTTGTGGACAGCACTGGCTCTTGTCTGTGTATGTAATTTGCTTGGTAAGGGTTCATACCTTTCCCTGGCATGGATCTATCTAAGTGAATGTTTATGTCTACGTGATTTTTGAGTCCCATGACTTGTCATGCCACAACAGGAACTTGATTTTTATCTTTACAAAACTGTTAGGTTTGCTTTTCTACTGCTCATTATTTCATAACCTGGGTCTTTAGGTCTGGGTTCTCCAGTGGTCATAAAGTACATTGAGAAGTTTGTTCTTGCCTCAGATATTCACATGACTTCCTCACTCTCCTCATTCACGTCTCTGGCCAGAAGTCACTCTTCAACAGGCACTCGCTAACCACCCTGTCTAAAGTGTTCCCACTTAAACCATGCTCTGTCTCCTGACCCTATGTTATTTATCATACCCTGACATTATGCTATATATGTGTCTTAGTCTGTTCCAGCTGCTATAACAAAATATCCTAAACTGGGTGGCTTTAAAACAACAGAAATTTATTTCTCAATTCTAGAGGCTGGGAAGTTTAAGATCAAGGGGTTGGCAGGTCAGTGTCTGTTGAGGGCTCGCTGTCTCGTTGACAGTCATCTTCTCGTTGTGATCCCACACTGTGCAAGGAGTGAAGGGTCACTTTCAGCCTCTTTTATAAGGACACTAATCCCATTCATGAGGGTTGGATAACCCAAATCACTCCCAAAGTTCCCACCTCTTCCTACCATCACCTTGGCGGGGAGGATTTCAACATATTAATTTTGGGGGAACGTAAGCATTCAGGGTACATAAAAATGCTTTGCTTTTTTGGTTGTGTTTTGTCTCTTCCACCAGCAATAAGTTTCATGAGGATAGGAGCTTTATTGATTTTGTTCACAAACTGAACTCCAGTGGCTGAAATAGTGCCTGGCATGCAATAGGCTCTTCATAAATATTTATTAAATAGGGAAATGAAATAATTTGAAGGGATCTCAAGATGAAAGTATTTTGGACACTCCAAGTTAATAAAAGTGTCACTGGACCCTAAAAAACAAGTTAAAAATCTCTATTCACATGCATTTTAATAGTTTTACATTTTAACTTATAACAATATCAAATGATACAAAAGAACATCATCACATTTAAGAGAAGGTACATATTTGACATTGAATTTCCTTTTTTAGCTTTATATTTTAAAACTATAATAGGTTTTATCTTCCCAATATTAAATTGACCCAAACAGTTTCAGTAAACTGGGAGTACTGTCAAAACCTATAAGAACTCCCCACAAAAAATTAAAATTTTAAATCTGTTTTTTAATTCAAGTTTTTAGAAAGTAACTAGGAGGATGACTAAAAATATGAACATGTCATTTTAACAGAGTTATGCCTTTTTTCTTCTTTGTTTACATGGTATAAATGTTGGTCTTCTTTTTCTTTCTCTTTAAATTCATTCACTTTGGTAGGGAGAATGACAAAATTAAAAATAGAGGTGATGATGACAACATTAAAATAGAGGTCAGGTGAAAATCTAGCTGTTAAGTTTTAAGATTTTACAAACTACAGTGGAAGTAAAGATAATTTCCCAAGGTCAGTGTCATTAATTTTTTTCTCAGTAAATAAGTCTTCATGAATGTCTGATTGTGGCTATGGAAAGTGATGATCAGATCTGAGAGGGAAATTGACTTAAATCTGAACAATGAGAGTCAGAGCTAGAGGCACAGGGAGAAAGTGCTGAAATCAGTTCTGATAGTTTTTTGGCTGAGTCTTCAGGGTTTTCTACATATACGGCTAAATCATCTGCAAATAAAAATATTTTTACTTCTTCTTTTCTGATGTGTATGCTTTGATTACATTTTCTTCTCTAGTCTCTGGCTAGACGTCCAGTACTACGTTAAATAGAGGTGGAAAAGTGGGCATTCTTGCCTTGTTCCCGGTCTTAAAGGAAAAGTTTTAAGTTTTTTTCCCATTGATTATTATGTTAGCTGTGGGCTTTTCATATATGGCTTTTATTATTCTTTCTATATCTGTTTCTCTGAGGGGCTTTATCATGAATTCATGTTGAATTTTCTCAAATGCTTTTTCTTCATCTATTGAGAAAATCGTGTATGGTTTTTAAGCTTCATTTTCTTAATGCAATGTGTCACATTGATTAATTTTCATATGTTGAATTCTCTTTCATCCCAGAGATAAATCCCACTTGATCATGGTGTATAATCCCTTTAATGCACTCTTGAATTTGGTTTGCTAGCATTTACTGAGGATTTTTGCATGTATTTTCACCAGGGATATTGGCCTATATTTTTCTTTTTTTTGTGGTAGGTTTGTCTGGCTTTGGTATTAGGGTGGTGGCCTCATAAAATGAGTTTAGAAGCATTCCCTCTCTTCTGTTTTTTTGTGAGAATGTAGGACAATTGTTATTCTTTGAATGTTTGAAATCAGTACATTTGCAGGCTACAAAATCAACATACAAAAATCAATGGTATTCTATACACAATGAAAAATCTGAAAAGGAAATTAAGAAAACAATTCCATTTACAATAGCATTAAAAAGAATAAAATACTTAGGAATAAACTTAACTAAAGAGGTGAAACATTTTTACACTGAAAATTATAACATTCTGATGAAGGAAATTAAAGAAAACCCAGGTAAATGAAAAGACATGCCAATGTCATCATTTGGAATTATTAATATTGTTACAATGCTCACTTGCCCAAAGTGATCTAAAGACTCAATGCAATCCCTATCAATATCTTAATGGTATTTGTTACAGAAATAGAAAAAAAATCTTAAGATTTATATGGAATCACAGAAGACCCTGTATAGCCAAAACAATCTTAAGCAAGAAGAACAAAGCTGAAGGCATTCCAGTACCTGATTTCAAAATATACTACAAAGAAACAGTAATCAAATCAGTATGGAATTAACATAAATACAGAAAAACAGACCAAAAGAAGATAATAGAGAGCCCAGCAATAAATCTATGCACCTACAATTAAGTGGTCTATGAAAAGAATGCCAAGAAGACATAATGAAAAAGTATAGTCTCTTCAACAAATGGTATTGGAAAAACTAGATACCTACACGCAGAGGAAAGAAATTGGACCTTTATCTCACACCATATACAAAAGTCAACTCAAAATGGATTAAACACTTAAATATAAAACTTAAAATCATCAAAAGACTAAAAAGAAAACACAGGGGAAAAGCTTCTTGACACTGGTCTGGGCAACAAATTTGTTGGCTATGACATCAAGAGTGCAGGCAACGAAAGCAAAACTATACAAATGGAATTGCATCAAACTGAAAAGCTTCTGCACAGCAAAGGAAACCATCAACAGACTGAAAAGACAACCTACAGACTGGGAGAAAATATTTACAAACCATGTATCTGAGAAGCAGTTAATATCCAAAACATGTAAGGAACTGAAACAACAGCAACGATAAAAACCAAATAACATGATTTAAAAATGGGCAAAGGATCTGAATAGACATCTCTCAAAAGAAGGCATACAAACAGCCAACAAGTGTATGAAAAGGTGCTCAACATGATTAATCATCAGGGAAGTGCAAATCAAAACCACAAGGAGATATCACCTCACACCTGTTGGAATGGCTATTATCGAAAAGACAGAAGAAAACAAGTATCAGTGAGGATTTGGAGAAATTGGGATCCTTGTACACTGTTGGTGAAAATGTACATTGGTACAGCCATTATGGAAAATGGTATGAAAGTTCCTTAAAAAATAAAAAATAGAACTACCATATTATCCAGCGACTCCGCTAGTGAGTACACAGCCACAGGAAATGTAATCAGTATCTCAAAAAGATTCCTGCACTGCCATGTTCATTGCAAGCATTATGCAAAATAGCCAAGATACGAAAACAACCTAAATGTCCATTGACACCTGAATGAGTAATGAAAATGTGGCACATATATACAAAAGAATATTATTCAACCTTTAAAAAGAAGGAAATATTAGCATTTGTGACAACAGAGATGAACCTGGAAGATGTTATGCTAAGTGAAATAAGCTAAAGAAAGACAAATACTGTATAATCTCGTTTTTAGGTGGAATCTAAAATAGTCAAACTTGGCTGGGCACAATGGCTCACGCCTGTAATCCCACCACTTTGGGAGGCTGAGGCGGGAGGATCACCTGAGGTCAGGAGTTCAAGACCAGCCTGGCCAACAAGGTGAAAGCCTGTCTCTACTAAATATACAAAAATTAGCTTGGTATGGTGGTACACGCCTGTAATCTCAGCTACTAGGGAGGCTGAGGCAGGAGAATCACTTGAACCCAGAAGGTGGAGGTTGCAATGAGCTGAGATTGCACCACTGTGCTCCAGTTTGGGTGACAGAGCGGGACTCTGTCTCAAAAAAACAAACAAAAAATAAGTAAATAAAATAAAATAAAACAGTCAAACTCATAGAAGCAGACAGAATGGTGGTTGCCAGGGGTTGAAGGAAGGGCAAATGGGAGATGTTGGTCAAAGAGCACAAAGTTTTGGTTATACAAGATGAGTAAGTTCTGGAGGTCTAATGTACAGCTTTGGCTATAGTAAACGATACCGTACTGTACACTCGATATTTGTTAAGAGGGTAGATCTTAAGAGTTCTCATGAAAGAAAAACATGGTAGCTGTGAAATGATGGATCTGCTAATTAGCTTGATTGCAGTGATCATTTTATAATGCATGAATATATCACCTTAAATACATAAAATTTTTATTTGTCAATTATATCTTAATAAAGTTGACAAAAATTGTTTGAGGTGATATTTACCCTGAGGACGGCTGTGAGACTTCAGGCTGCAACTATAGTTTAGTCAGTGGCATTAGCAGTGACCAACATGCCTTGAGAAATAAACTTTCTAAAGAAACACACTTTAGGCTGGTTGCAGTGGCTCATGCCTGTAATCCAAGCACTTTGGGAGGCCGAGGCGGAGAGATCATCAGGTCAGGAGTTTGAGATCAGCCTGACCAATGTGGTGAAATCCCATCTCTACTAAAAATACAAAACTTAGCTGGGGATGGTGGCGTGTGCCTATAATCCCAGCTACTCAGGAGGCTGAGGCAGGAGAATCGCTAGAACTCGGAGGTGGAGGTTGCAGTGAGCCGAGATGGTGCCACTGCACTCCAGCCTGGTCGACAGAGTGAGACTGTGTCTAAAAAAAAAAAAGAAGCACACTTTAAATCAAGGTATCAAAGAATTCCCAGAGATAAATTCTAAGAAACATGAACTTAAAATTGGAAAAAAAGTCAGTATGCACACGTACTAGGCAGAATGACTTCCCAAAGATGTTCATTCCCTAATTTCTGGAACCTGTGAATGTCACATTACATGGAAAAGGGACTTTGCAGATGTAATTAAGGGAGATTATCCTGGATTATCTGGGGCAGGAGGGGCTCAAGTTAATCACATAAACTCTTAGAAGCAAAGAACTTCCTCTGCTTGGAGTCAGAGAGATGTGGTGGAAGAGAAGAGAGAGAGAATGAGCATGAGAGAGCGCCACATGGAAGGCAGAGAGATGATTCCCAGCATGCCCTGGCTGGTTCCAAAATGTGCAAAGACCAGAAAAAGGCTTATAGGAGCCAAGGGCAGCCCTCAACTGACAGCCAGCAAAGAAATGGGTATATTAGTCCTGCAGTCACAAGGACCTGAACTTAGACAGCAACCTGAATGAGCTTGGAAACAGATTCTTCTCCAGCACCTTGAGTAGTGGGTACAGCTCTGCTGACCTCTTGATTTTAGTCTTATGAGACCTGGAGCAGAAAAATCAGCTAAGCCACGCTGTGGCTTCTGAAAGTGTAATAGAATATAGTCATCGTAATAAGAAAAACAATCAAATGCTTAAGGAGATACTTAATTTTTATTGTATAATACCTATATCAAGAAAATGACAAAATTGAAATTGTTCATGAAAGAAAACTTAAATTTATAAAAAAAAGACACTATGCTCTTGGAATGGGAAAATCACATAAAGATATGTTTCTTCCATTATATTCAAAGTAATACTGAGGCAGGATAGGTCCGTCAAGGAAGTGACCATATTCTCAGGTCACTGTGGTGACCGTGCAGTCAACACAATAAGTCTCAGCATTCACATTGTAATTGAGCTCATTCAAGAACAGTTATCTTCAGTAGGAACTTTCCCCTCTAGAGAGGATGCTCATTTTGATTTTATCTGTCCTCAAACTGACCTTTTGCTCATTTTAATAGTAAAAAAGACACCCTTGGGTGGAGATTTAAGATGCTGATGAGACATGCTACATATGAAGAAACATGTACAGCTACTGCACATGTGCACCCCGAGGACCACCTAGAACATGCTTTCTAGTCACACCTCTTTCCACCTCCTTATGAATAATCATGGCTATCCCTAGTGCCAGTCTTTGCTGTCCCATCCTTATGAGCTTCCTGCCCTGAATTCTCTCTCTCTCAGGGTGCGCTACCTATTCCGCACTCAGCTTTCAAAATACTGTTTTCTTTTGCAATAAATTATGCTACACTTCTTTTGCTGTGTGTCTCTTGTTTGAATCCTTTTAAACTAAAAAGACAAGAACCGAGGTATTACATCAGCCTTCAAAAATACCAAAGATTAATTTACAAAGGTTTTGTTAAGAAAATGTATTTTATTGGATTTGATGTTTCCAAAGTTCTCATGAAAAAGTAAATATGCAAGAATGTTTAAATGAATATATACTTTGATGCATAAACTGCTCTCAATAGATCTATTCCATAGAAATATACCCACAGTTTACTATAACACAGGCTCTGGTCATAAAATTCAGTATCTTTGTGAAATAAATTTTTGAATTGCAAACAAATTAGAAACAGCCTAAATGTCTATTAATGGGGACCAGTTAAATCATATATGGTATGACTACACTGTCAAATTCTATGCATCAGCTTAGTAGATTTAGATAAAACCATACAAAACAAAATAGGACAATCTCTAAGACATATAGTTAAATGAAAAACCAGACTATGTAATAACATTTTTATTTGGTTAAAAAAGGCAGTTGAATAGGTGCGTAGTAAATATGATATGTTATTACATGAAAATACAAAGAAGAAAGCATCAAAATGTTAACAGTGATTAAGTCTGTGGAGGAAAATGGATATGGAGTGGAATGTTAAGGGGGATTTTTACTTTAACACCTTTTACAAATAAATTTTAATGTGTACCTTGAGTTATTATCTTTAAAAAGAAAATGTGATGCATTATTAGTTCATGAGGTTCAATTGCTCATTGTACCTCCAAAAAGCATTCTCTTCGTATCCCGGAAAATGGAATTTTAACTCTTGCATAGCCTCCCAGCTAAAGCCTAACGTTCCAGTATCCCACAGAACCAGGCGCAGCAGGCAATTAAGTGCTGGCCAATCAGACATAAACGGAAGTGCCAAGGGCCACTTCCTGGTCCTGACTTAACGTTAGGATAAATAACCCCTCTCCCTGCATTTTTCATTTCTTCTTGCTGGAATGCATATGATGTGGAAGTTGCTGGGCAGCCATCTAGGACCATGAAATGATAGCAACAAGTTGAGAATGGTAGAACCAAAAGAAGGGGGCTCCGGTTCCTGATAATTGGAGGTGCCATCCAGTCTGGATCTCCTACCAATGCCATTACATAGTAATAAATAATAGTAAGAAATACTATTATCTTCTTGGCCAGGCGCAGTGGCTCACGCCTGTAATCTCAGCACTTTGGGAGGCCGCGGCAGGTGGATCACGAGGTCAAGAGATCGAGACCATCCTGGCCAACATGGTGAAACCCCGTTTCTACTAAAAATACAAAAATTAGCTGGGCGTGGTAGTGGGCGCCTGTAGTCCCAGCTGCTTGAGAGGCTGAGGCAGGAGAATCACTTGAACGCGGGAGGTGGAGGTTGCAGTAAGCCGAGATCGCACCACCGCACTCCAGCCTGGCACAGAGTGAGACTCTGTCTCAAAAAAGAAAGAAAGAAAGAAATACTATTATCTTCTTTAAACCACTATTATTTGGGTTCTGTGTCACAGTAAGCAAAACTATATCTGCCCTACCATAATATTTACTGGTGCTTAACAATGGACTGGATAATACAGAATTTATAGAAGTAACTTATCTTAGCAAACCAAGCTTTTATGTGATAGATATGATGATATCACCATAATATGTAAAACTTTGATGGATTGTATATTCAAAACAAGAGTCGAAGCCATACTGAACAAAAAATTATCAAATTGGGGAAATATTCAAAGGCTATTCAAACATGCATGTGCACTGAGTTGTTTGCTGTCATTGATTTGCTATTTACAGTTACCTCAAATTTAAAGTGTATAGATCACTTGCTAAGTAAGTAATAAAGAATTTATTATAAAGTGCTTGGAAATGAAACTCTAGATACTCTTGTTTGACTTAAAAATAAAAGTGTTACTTCATTTACTGTCACTTGAAAGAAATGAAGAAACATTCAAAACTGTTTAGAATAGATTTGAAAATTTGGGAGGGAAATATCTAAAAAATCAATTAAAATGTCTTTATTATAAAAAATAAAATTTGAAGATAAACAGATTTTGGAAATTAAAATTTTTATCTACTATGTCTGAAGAAAGCTTTTTTTTTTTTCTTTAAAGTAACATGTTTTTTCAACCTATGGATACTATATTACAGATTTAATCTAGTATAGCGGTTAAGAGTGTGATCCCTGTGCAGATTTGAATCACAGCCCTGCCACTTCTTTTGTATGACCTTGAACAAGTTAAGTTTGTCTCTGTGTACCTCTGTTCCCTCACCTTTAAGCAAGTATCTTTACTGATTATAAGATTGCTGTAAGGGTTTAAATGAGTTATCACATATAAAAATATTTAGGTCCATATCCACCATACACTGATCTGCCACAAATGTGAGTTACAGTTTTTTATGAAATATTTATAGAAAAAGTGAAAAAAAATTTATTTATAACTTAAATGAAATGCAAAGGTAAATTAATCAATATCCAACTACTTAACATTTTGATGCAAATATTAAAGTTTGCATCAAAGTTTACTCCATATGTCTGCATGAGTTTAAGAGCTCTTTCATGGTTGAGTTCAAGAGTTCATTCATTGCTTGGGTTTGCCCAATAACTGCATCAAATAGACTGTTCAATATTTCCTTTGCATGTCCTCAAACTATAACCAAATTCGGGGAGAGGAGATGATCTGGCACTCATGGTGATGGGACAGGCATTGAGACTGTTGTGGTATGTTTTGTGCTGCTATAACAGAACACCTGAGCCTGGGTAATAAATAATGAACAGAATTTTATTGGCTCAGAATTCTAGAGGCTAAATCCAAGATCAAAAAGCATCGCCATGTGGCAAAAGCTTTCTTCCTATATCATCACATTGATAAAGAACTGCTGTGCTCCCAGCTAACCCCCCCCCCCAACACATAAGCCTGGAACTAAGTGAAAACAGCTGACCCCATTTTTCTGCCCAAATGTTGCCCTTTTGGCCGGCCACACCCCTATCCTGTGCCCATGAAAAGACTTCAGCTGGCAAAGCAGCACAAGCTGCTGAGCGGTGGGGATACAAGTGGCTGACTTCAGATGGTGCAGCTTCAGGGAAAGATCACCTTCTTCCCGTACCATCCCCTTTCCAACTCCCGTCCCACCGAGAGCCACTTCCATCACCCAATAAAATCCTCCACATACACCACCCTTCAATCCATTCATGTAATCTGATTCTTCCTGGATGCTAGACAGGAACCCGGGTGTCTAGAGGGCAGGGGCTTGGGTGCTTCTGCGGGGCCTGCTCAGAGCCTGCTTCCGCCAGAGAGGAGCGACCCGCAGGTTCCAGCGTTCCCTCAGGTTCGGTACTTGCTTACTTTCAAGCTCCCTCTAAAGGGGAGTGGTCAGCGGCCAGCTGAGTGAAATGAGCCTCTCTAGTTCCTGCCCACGAAGGGGGTCAGGGTCAAGGGAATAATCCCATCTCAACATGGCAGAAGGTAGAAGGGCAAGAGTGAAAGAGGGGAGTGAACTTGCCCTTTTATAGCATTAATCCCATTCATGAGGGCAGAACCCTCGTGACCTCATTAATGCTTAAAGGTTCCATTTCTTTCTTTCTTTCTTTCTTTTTTGAGACGGAGTCTCGCTCTGTCGCCCAGGCTGGAGTGCAGTGGCGCAATCTTGGCTCACTGCAAGCCCCGTCTCCCGGGTTCACTCCATTCTCCTGCCTCAGCCTCCTGAGTAGCTGGGACTACAGGCACCCGCCACCGCGCCCAGCTAATTTTTTGTATGTTTTTTTAGTAGAGACGGGGTTTCACCGTGGTCTCGATCTCCTGACCTCGTGATCCGCCCGCCTCAGCCTCCCAAAGTGCTGGGATTACAGGCGTGAGCCACCGCGCCCGGACCCAAAGGTTCCATTTCTTAATACTGTTACAATGACAATTAATTTTCAACATGAGTTTTGGAGGGGGCAAACATGCAAGCCACAGCAGGAAGCCACCTGGTAGGGCCTGAATAATTCACTACGGCTGGGTGAGTAGTGATGCTTCACTGATTTTCCCTCACTCATATGAATATTTGACTTAGCTCATATGAGCATAGTTTATAGTAGGGGTCCTACGGCCTAGGCGTATTTTAATAAGAAAATTGCTTTAGCATGACATGATTTGCTGTATTGAAATAATACAGGTTCCCAAAATGCATCTGAAAAATAGTGTTCATTCTTGAATACCCCTTAAGTCATTTATTTAAAAACTCATTCTAAAACCCATTAGGATTGATGGCAAATACTTATATTAAATTTTAGAAATCAATTTCATTTTTAAAATAAAAAGTTTCCGAGTTGCTCTGATTTTCTAAACCTACATTTGATAGATTGATATTCAAATTCTCATTAGGCTAGAATCCCAATTGCTCAGACCCAGAAGATATTACTGATTTGAAGCAGCTAAATATTAATATATAGTCTTTTGAGACACCAGACTTCAATTCTTTCTTTTCAATCTTTAGTTTCCCCTTTCAGTCTAAAGATCTGTATCCTTAACTAGAAAAAGAAAAAAGAGCTGAAGATTTTGGTTTCTTCACTGCATCATTGGCTTTTACTTCCTTTGACCTGGCTGTGATCACAAATTTTTAAAAATTATGTTATTAGATTTTCAAGTCTCATTTTGTGTTTTTTACATTTCTGTAAATGTGTAGCATATTCTTGTGCATATTTTTCTATTTTTCCTTACTTTTTCACATATTGCTTTAAAAAAAAAAAGGCTGGGCATGGTGGCTCACGCCTGTAATCCCAGCACTTTGGGAGGCCGAGGCGGGCGGATCACGAAGTCAGGAGATCCAGACCATCCTGGCTAACACGGTGAAACCCCGTCTGTACTGAAAATACAAAAAATTATCCAGGCATGGTGGCGGGTGCCTGTAGTCCCAGCTACTAGGGAGGCTGAGGCAGGAGAATGGTGTGAACCCGGGAGGCAGAGCTTGCGGTGAGCCGAGATTGTGCCACTGCACTCCAGCCTGGGGGACAGAGTGAGACTCTGTCTCAAAAAAAAAAAAAACAAAATAGAGACAAGGCCTCGCTCTGTTACACAGGCTGGAGTACAGTGGCACGATCATAGCTCACTGCACCCTTGACCTCCTCTGCTCAAGCAATCCTGCCACCTCAGCTTCTCAAGTAACTGGGACTACAGGTGCAGGCCATCACATCCAGCTTTTGGTTTGTTTGTATTTTGGTAGAGACGGGCTCTCACTTTGTTACCCAGGCTGGTCTCAAACTCCTGGACTCAAGTGATCCACCGGCCTCAACTTCTCAAAGTGCTGGGATTACAGGGATGAGCCACCACGCCTAGCCATATATTGCCTTTTTCCTGAGTTAGCTTCAGCTCCATTTTTCATAAAACCTTTTCTTATCCTTTTCTGAATTCCTGTTGAAATTTTAGTTAATTATGAAATTGTCTAACTGATTATTTTCTAAATGCCTTCCATAAGTTGAGTTTTTCTCCTCAGATCATGATGCATGCTGTGTGTCTCCTTCATATTTTAAAAATCTTACACTGTCTCTCTGGCATAAAATAGTTACTTAATAACTATCATATTTACCTTGTTTATTCAATAATTGATATGATGTATGACTTATTAACTATTTTGATTATTGAATATTAACTTAATAAAATTAAGTATTGAAATTAAAATAATACTAGTAATTTTCTATTATACACTTATACAAATATAATAAAAACAATGTATATTTAATGATGCATGATAAAGTTTGTTGATTCTTGAGAGAATGGAGTATAGCCTTATTGACAGTTTGAAGGCTTCTGAATGAAATATTAGAGCAAACTTAGAAAGTATCTTCATCTGAGAATTAAAATGTTCATTAAAAATCATTTTATTTCACAATCTACTATACTTACCCCATACTTCTCTAAATGGAATTCATCAGCAAAGGATTGTTTCACTTGCGTCCATGTGAAGAGACCATCAAACAGGCTTTGTGTGAGCAACAAGGCTGTTTATTTCACCTGGGTGCAGGCGGGCTAAGTCCGAAAAGAGAGTCAGCAAAGGGAGATAGGGGTGGGGCCGTTTTTATAAGATTTGGGTAGGTAAAGGAAAGTTACAGTCAAAGGGGGGTTGTTCTCTGGCGGGCGGGGTGGGGTCACAAGGTGCTCAGTGGGGGAGCTTTTGAGCCAGGATGAGCCAGGAGAAGGAATTTCACAAGGTTATCAGTTAAGGCAGGGACCGGCCATTTTCACTTCTTTTGTGGTGGAATGTCATCAGTTAAGGCAGGAACAGGCCATTTACATTTCACTTCTTTTGTGATTCTTCAGTTACTTCAGGCCATCTGGATGTATACGTGCAGGTCACAGGGGTTACGGTGGCTTAGCTTGGGCTCAGAGGCCTGACAGATTGTTTCTGTGACCTGTTTCTCTAGGTAGTTGCACATTTTTCATAGAGTGAGAGCCAGTAAAGTAGTGGGTTGTGCTGATCTGGGGATGTCCTTTAATTTTGCTGCTTTTTTCAGGCAGAGGTCCTTAGACTTAGAGGATTGGGTTGGCCATACTCATCCCTTCATAAGATGCTTCATCATCAGTTCATGCTTTCTAACATTCTTTTGTGTTTATTTTCACCCATCATTTATTATTATTGATTTACTCCTTTCATCCTCATTCAGCACTTCTATTTCCTTTGCTCTTGTTGTACTCGAGCGAGTTAGAAAAACGCCACACTTTGAGACGAATTAAGAGTCCTTTATTAGCCGGCGACTGAGAGACGGCTAACGCTCAAAATTCTCTCGGCCCGGAGGAAGAGGCTTGATTAACTTTTATATCTTGGTTTAGGACGGGGAGGGGGGTCTAGTTAAAACAATTTTAGAGAAGTAAAGTAGGCAAAAAGTTAAAAGGATAAATGGTTACAGGAAAGTAAACAGTTCCAGGTGCAGAGGCTTTAAGACTATTACAAGGTGATAGACGCGAGGCTTTGGGCGTTACCAATCAGACGAATTCTTGGGGACTGCGGGTATAGCTTGCCACAGTATCTTATCAGTTAATTGCATTCTTGGATGTGCTGGGATTCAGCTTGCACAAGTTAAGTCCTTGAGGAAGGGCTTGCCAACGAAAGAGCCAAGATGGAGTCTGTCTGGTTCTTTTAGCGAAGGGAGAGTCAATTCAGGTGGAAACAAGGCTAGGTGATTAAAGGAGAGGGAAAGTCTGAAAACAGGGTTAGTAAAAACCAGGTTGGGCATTACACTCCAACCATTATTCTAATGTGTGACCTATGTATCATTTACTTGGAATGATCCTCTAAAACATATAGAGGGTTTGAATGCATACATTTTTAATAGGCATCATTGTACTTTAAGCTTCATTTTGTCTCTTACCTTTTTCCACATGGCACTGTGTTTTTCAGTCCCATCCATTTTTCTGTGTGAACATCTGGTCTGTTGTATGGCAGTTATTCAATTCAATAGCTTTCTGTGGTGAGTGCAACCGTTTTTTACTTATTAATGAGGAACACATTTTAAAGGTCTCTTTCATAGACACACCTTGGGTCATATTTGGAGTCATTTGTTCCCTGCTCATTTTTATTGTCTTTTGTTTCTTTAAACATTTCATGCATAATCGTTGGAGTTAATTTTGATTCTGATTCCAAGTTCTTAGGATGTAAATGTAGTTTTTTGTCCTTTTAATCGAGTTTCATTCATACTTACTTACTTCCTCATGTATTTGGTCCTTTTTTTAGTTGTAAGTTCATGTTTGGCTGAAGATTATGAGAATCTTGAGTGGCAGGATTGAGGCTGCTTTCCTCTAGAATAGATTTGCATTTTTCTCTCTGCTGACGGTGAGTGTCCTTCCAACCTGGGACCACTTTAATTGTTATCATGGTGTAGCGTTTTTCCACAGGTGCTGTAAATTTTAAGCCCATACAGCATGAGGGCAGATCAATGATTACAAATTCTCAGGGAAAACAGCTCTCTGGAAGCCTTGGAGCTATAGCTGAGCAGAGCAGACGTTTTTCTCATTATCTCTCTTTGCCTACAGGCAGATTTTTTTTGACTACTCTTTCACTAAGGTGGAATTTTGTTAAGAATTGCAGCTTGATGCAAGGGTTTCAGGTTCCTCCTCTCCCCTCCCCTCCCTTCTCTCTCTTTCTCTTTGTTTCCTTTCCTTTTCTTTTTCTTTCTTTCTTTCTTTTCTTTCTTTCTCTTTCTTTTCTTTTCTTTCTTTCTTTCCTTCTTTCTTTTTCTCTTTCTTTCTTCTCTTTCTTTCTTCTTTTTCTTTCTTTCTTTTTCCTTCCTCCCTCCCTCTGTCCCTCTCTCTTCTTTCTTTCCCTTTCTTTCCTTCCTTCCTCCCTCCCTCCCTTCTTTCCTTTCCCTTCTACCCTCCCTCCCTTCCTTTCCCTTCTTTCCTTCCTCCCTCCCTCCCTTCCTCCTTCCTTCCATTTCTTTTCTTTTCTTTTCTTTTTCTTTCTTTCTTTCTTTCTTTCTTTCTTTCTTTCTTTCTTTCTCTTCTTTCTTTCTTTTTCTTCTTTCTTTCTTTCTTTCATCTTTCTTTCTCTCTGTCTTTCTTTCGTCTCTCTCTTTCTCTTTCTTCCGTCCTTCTGTCTTTCTTTGAGTCTTGCTCTCTCACCCAGTCTGCAGTGCAGTGGCATGATCTCGGCTCACTGCCACCTTTGCCTCCTGGATTCAAGCGATTCTTGTGCCTCAGCCTCCAGAGTAGCTGAGACTACAGGCATGTGCCGCCATACCTGGCTAATTTTTGTAGTTTTAGTAGAGACAGGGTTTCACTATTTTGGCCAGGTGGGTCTCAAACACCTGACCTCTAGTGATCTGCCCGCCTTGGCCTCCCAAAGTGCTGAGATTACAGACATGAGGCACCACACCTGGCCCAAGGCCTATCTTTCTTATATCCTGTCAAATCAAAATTTTCCAGACTGTAAATTCCTTCTTTCAATGTTTGTTCCTAACCAACCCTAACTTTAGAGCTTGCTTCCTTCTACAGTTTCAGTTCCCTATTGTTTGTTATGTCTGTTGTCATTAGTTGTTTTTGTTTTTGCCTTTGGACATGTCTCTTACTTTCCAGAGAGCTCAGAAATTCATTTAAAAGTATTGATTTTATTTTTATCCTAAGAGAAATGTTCATTGATTTGGAGGAATACAGGAGTGAAGAGAATGTGTGTGAGGGGAGGGGAGATGGAATAATTTCATTTCAGAAAGGTTTTTTTGTTTTTGTTTTTGTTTTTTGTCTGCAGAATGGAAACTAGACTGAGGGATGTGTAGCTGAGGAAAACAAGTAAATAAATATAGATGACTGCTATTGCACTCATTTGGGAAAAGTATTTTTTGTAATATGTTCTAACCTAGTGGCAATAGAGCTGTAGAAAACTCTCATATTCAACACATATTTAGAAGACAAAAATGAACAGATGTTGTTGAGAATTGGATGGGATCAATAGAACAGGATTGCTGGCATATGTAAATGATGGTTAAGGAGACCTGGATGAGGGTAGATTCTTGGAAAGGTCAATGGTTTAGTTTGGGGCAAGTTGACTTTAAGGTGTCTCTGGGATATTCAAGCAGAGATTTCAGTTAGGCAATTTCATATAATGTCCAGGGTTCTGAAGAGAAGTAGCTTGTGGATATAAACTTGAGTGAGTCTTTGTGTGTGTCATTATTTTTGCTTTGATGGTCATTGAAGAGATGGGTGTTGATGTGTTCAGTCTGAGAGCACATAGAGAGGAAAAAGTGATTCTAGGATTGAACTTCAAGAAACTGATACTTAAAATCTAGGTAGAGGAAGATGAGGCAGAAGGATAAGATAAAGGTAGCAGCAAAAGAGAGAAACCCAGATGGGTGTACTGGTATGGACGTTAAGGAGAAAATATATTTTAAAAAGAAAGTGAAACTCAATATAGTAAGGATATCAATTTTTCCCATTAATCTATAGATTTCATAAAATTATTGTCAAAATCTCAGCAAAATTTGTAGTAAACATAGACAAGTTTAATCTAAAATTTACATGGAAAGGCAGAGGCTACAGATTAGCTGAAACAATCCAAAAAATAATAATAAAGTTGAAGGAGTCACTCTACTCAATATTAAGGTTAACTACATAGCTTCAGTAATCAAGACGATGTGGCATTGGTGAGCAATAGACACACAGATCAAAGAACAGGATACAGACCCAGAAGTAGAAGCACACAAATATGCATAAGTGATTTTTTTTTATAAATGTACAAAAGCAATTCAGTGCAGGGTCATCTTCCAACAAGTAGTGCTGGAGCAACTGGACATCCGCAGACAAACAACAGCAAAATTTCAGCCCAAGTCTCATGCCTTGTGCAAAAATGACTAAAAATAAATTGCAGGCTTTAATGTAAAACTATGAGAATGTAAAATATATAACCAAAAAATGTGGATTTTTTTTAAAACATAGGAGTAAAAATTTGAAATCTAGGACTAAGTGAGGAATTCTTAGATTAGACACCAAAAGTATAATCCATAAAAGGAAAAATGTAAAAATTAGATCTCATCAAACTTTAAAATTTTTGCTCTCTGGAAAAAACCTGAGGATAAAAAAGGAAAGCTACAGATTTGGGGGAAATATTTGCAAACCATATATCTGACAAAGGACCAGTACAAGAGTGTTGATAGCAGCTTTACTCATAATAGCCCCAAATGGGAAATAATTTGCATGTCCTTCAATCAATGGGTAAATGGTCAAACAAATTGTGATATGTCCATACCATGGAATATTACTCAGCAATAAAAAGGGACAAATTGTAGTTCCATGCAACAGCTTGGTTGGATCTTGGGGGAATTATATTGCGTGAAAAAAGCCAATTCCAAAAGGTTATATAATGCGTGATTCTGTTTATAAGACATTCTTAAAATGACAAAATTTTAGAAATAGAAAACTGACTAGTGGTGGTCAGGTGTTAGGAATGGAGGGTGGGGGTGGGAGGGAAGTAAGTGTGGTTATACAAGAGCAATAGGAGAAAATCTTTGTGGTGATGGAACTGTTTTGTATCTTGACTGGTGGATACATGAACTTACACATGTGATAAAATTGCAGAGAAATAAGCAAATGCATGCACACACACATGCACATAGATGTATGTAAAGCTGGAAAAATCTAAATAAGATCAATGGATTGTATCCATGTCAATATCCCAGTCGTAATGTTGCACATTACAAAACTATAGTTTTGCAAGATGTTTCTATTGGGCGAAACTGGGTAAATGATTCAAGGGATCCCTCCATATTACTTCGTAGAACTGCATGCACATTTATAATTATCTCAAAATAAAAAGCTTAATTTAAAAAAAAGAATGAGAGTATAGAAATTCACTAGAAAAAATACACAATTGGATTTAGTAAGGAATTTCAATGCTTTCTGAAGACTGACATGAATGATGGCATGGTGAGTAAAAGAAGACAGAGAGAAGCTCATTAGGAATCAAATCCATCTACCTTGCCAAACCTCAAAGAACCTTGGGACATGAATATGCCTGATTTGAGTAAAAGTATGTGTGAGATATGGGAATGTAAATAAAGAGATTAACTATAAGTATGTTCCTTGTGCAGACTGCTCCCCATTTCCCCTACAAGTCCCCAGCCTGAGAAGAGCATCTGACAGCCTGGTATCCAGGCATTCTCCCATACCATGTCCCCAAAGCCCACTCCTCTACTGCCACTCTCCACTCCTCTCCCTCCTCACCCCTCCTCACCCACCCCTTCCTCACCCCAGGTAAAAAGTGATGTCCTTTCCAAAAAGGTTCTGTGAACTTTTTAGGGAAAAGCAAGACACCTAGTCTAGGGGGTCCATGCTCCAGAGTAAAGCCTATGAACCCTAGCATTTGTGGGATTTCATAGAGCAACAGCCATCTCCCCATCCACTCATAATAAAGCATAGGTCTTCTCTGTAAAATGAGGATTCTAGTAATATTTGGTGTATATGAGTATGGCAAGAATTAAATAAGGGAGTAGATATGAATCCAGATTCGCAACACGTAGCAGGCTATGCAAGGTTTGGTTAGTAAAAATACGGCAACAACGACAACAGTGTTAAATCTAAGGAGGAGAGAGCAAAATGGAGAGCAGGGCTGAAGACACCAGGTGGGAGTGGGGAGTGACTAGAGATGGCTAAAGTGCTAAGTGCAGTGGCTACCGCAGCCCATAGTCCTCTCTTCTCAATGCAGCCACTCCTGCTACGCCCCTTCCACCCTCACTCAGGTTTTCACTTGGCCAGAGGGTGCTCCATGGTTTTGTTTTCATGAGGATTCACATTCAGATCACCTGCCCAGATTCTTTCTGTGCCTGTCTGCCGTGACATCAAGGCAGCTGGTAGAGTTGGAATCAGGAACTCTTTCCTCCTCTCAAATAATTGGAATGTTGGAAATGACTCTAAGGAGTGAAGGAGGTAAGCATCTCTTTTTTTTCCCCCTTCCATAATCTCTTCTGAGACACCAGACCCTGGGCTAGACTTTCTCGTCGACATTCAGGTACTAAAGGAGTCACTGGTGGTCATTGAACTCCAGTGAGCCTTTTTCCTAACCAGTAAAAAGGGCTCCAACAATTTAATCTAAAGCCAGTATCACTAAATTCTATTTGCCTTAAAAGCTCATTTTACATAATAATTAGTTACCAAGTGCCAAAGGCCTTACAATAGAACACTTCTATGGGAAACCATAAGAGCTTCATTTTTATCTTTAAAGTCAGTTCTAATTTGTATTTCTTCTTAAATATAACAATTTAGACTCCCACCAACAATGTAAAAGTGTCCCTATTTCTTCACATCCTCTCCAGAATCTGTTGTTTCCTGACTTTTTAATGATTACCATTCTAACTGGAGTGAGATGGTATCTGATTGTGGTTTTGATTTGCATTTCTCTAATGACCAGTGATGATGAGCTTTTTTTCATATGTTTGTTGGCCACATAAATATCTTCTTTTTAGAAGTGTCTGTTCATATCCTTTGCCCACTTTTTGATTTTTTTTTTTTTTTTGTAGATTCTGGATATTAGCCGTTTTTCAGATGGATAAATAGCAAAATTTTTCTCCCATTCTTTAGGTTGCCTGTTCACTCTGATGATAGTTTCTTTTGCTGTGCAGAAGCTCTTTAGTTTAATTAGATACCATTTGTCAATTTTGGCTTTTGTTGCCATTGCTTTTGGTGTTTTAGTCATGAAGTCTTTGCCCATGCCTATGTCCTGAATGATATTGTCTAGGTTTTCTTCTAGGGTTTTTATGGTTTTAGGTCTTACTTTTAAGTCTTTAATCCATCTTGAATTAATTTTTGTATAAGGTGTAAGGAAGGGGTCATTTCAGTTTTCTGCATATGGCTAGCCAGTTTTCCCAACACCATTTATTAAATAGGGAATCCTTTCCCCATTGCTTGTTTTTGTCAGGTTTGTCAAAGGTCAGATGGTTGTAGATATGTAGCGTTATTTCTCAGGCCTCTGTTCTGTTCCATTAGTCTATAAATCTGTTTTGGTACCAGTACCGTGCTGTTTTGTTACTGTAGCCTTGTAGTATAGTTTGAAGTCAATTAGCATGATGCCTCCAGCTTTGTTCTTTGTGCTTAGGGTTGTCGTGGCTATACTGGCTCTTTTTCAGTTCCATATGAAATTTAAAGCAGTTTTTTCTAATTCTGTGAAGAAAGTCAATGGTATCTTGATGGGGATAGGATTGAATCTATAAATTACGTTTGGCAGTATGGCCATTTTCATGATATTGATTATTCCTATCCATGAGCATGGAATATTTTTCCATTTGTTTGTGTCCTCTCTTATTTCCTTGAGCAGTGGTTTGTAGTTCTCCTGGAAGAGGTCCTTCCCATCCCTTGCAAGTTGTATTCCTAGGTATTTTATTCTCTTTGTAGTAATTGTGAATGGGAGTTCACTCATGATTTGGCTGTCTATTATTGGTGTATAGGAATGCTTGTGATTTTTGCACATTGATTTTGTATCCTGAGACTTTGCTGAAGTTGCTTATCAGCTTAAGGAGATTTTGGGCTGAGATGATGGGGTTTTCTAAATATACAATCATGTCATCTGCAAAAAGAGACAATTTGACTTCCTCTCTTCCTATTTGAATACCCATTATTTCTTTCTCTTGCATGATTGCCCTGGCCAGAACTTCGAATACATTGTGGAAGACAGTGTAGCAATTCCTCAAGTTTCTAGAACCAGAAATACAATTTGACCCAGCAATCCCATTACTGGGTATATACTCAAAGGATTATAAATCATTCTACTCTAAAAACACATGCACACGTATGTTTATTGCAGCACTGTTCACAATAGCAAAGACTAGAACCAACCCAAATGCCCATCAATTATAGACTGGATAAAGAGAATGTGGCACACATACACCATGGAATACTATGCAACTATAAAAAAGGATGAGTTCGTGTCCTTTGCAGGGACATGGATGAAGCTGGAAACCACTATTCTCAGAAAACTAACACAGGAACAGAAAACCAAACACCACATGTTCTCACTCATGAGTGGGAGTTGAACAATGAGAATACATGGACACAGGGAGGGGAATATCACACACTGGGGCCTGTCGGGGACTGGGGGGCTAGTGTAGGGATACCATTAGGAGAAATACCTAATATAGATGACGGGTTGATGGGTGCAGCAAACCACCATGGCACATGTATACCTCTGTAACAAACCTGCACATTCTGCACATGTATCCCAGAACTTAAAGTTTAATAAACAAAAATTAGTTTTTAGCTAAAACTTGCATTCTGTTATTAGTAAGTTTTCCAGCAGCCTACCACTATTTATGATTTTTCTGTTTATATTCTGTTTATATTCTTGTTTTAGGAGCTGGCACGTGTCTTGACTACATCACTGGCATTTTACATCCTTGGTTCTTTGCCAACTGATTTCCTTCTTTCATTCCTTCCACTCTTTCCTCCATGTTTGCTTCTCTGAATTTAAATTTCTTCATTTGTTAATAGGGGTGACAATAACACTCATCACACAGAACTGAGAAGTGATCTAATGAAATGACCCATTTAAAGCATTTCGATCATTAGGTCAGTATACAGCAGCTGTAATTAGTGCCTGATATACACAAAGTCCTATTATTAATGTCTTATGAAAGAATTTGTATTAGAAAATCTCTAAGCTATTCTAGCTATTATTTTGACCTAATTTTATGGTAATTATTATCTAATTATAGTGAGTTCTTGTGTATTTTTTAAATGTCAGGCTATTAATATGAGAAGATAGTTATTTAAAATGAAACAATGGTAGTGGACTTTAACAGAGACAAAACGGGTTTATTCAATGTCTCAATCAGTATCTTTGTAGAAATTATATTTATGCAATAGCACTGAAAATTAAATGACTAGTAGAAACTGAGAAAAAGGAAACAGTAAAACAACGGTAGAAAATGTTTTCAGTAAATGTTACATTTGAACATATATTATTAATTTTTACATGGGAATAGTAGCATGATTTAATGCTTTTGAATAATTTAAAATAATTTTACCTTGAAAAAATGTAGGTAAACAATAAAGAAGATAGTTTGCGTTTTCCCATAGGAAGAAAAAATACGTCTTTATTATACCAATTTGTTCCAGGGGAATTGATGACATGTAGAAGCATATGTCTAACTGGCTCAGATAAATCGTCCAGATACAAAATGTTCCCAATAGCGTTGTCTACAGAATGTACTTTTTTGTCATCAATAAAAATGCTGTCTGAGCTTTGGAAAGGTACCATAGTAAATATAATAATGAATTTTTTTTCCTCTGACTTTTGCTTCCATCAGTCTCTTCTCTGTCTCTTACTGGTCATTGAAATTTTGAAAGCAAAATGCAAGCCAGTGCTGAAGTAGTTGTTTTTAAGCATATTAAAGACTCATTTCCTCTTACTTGGTTCACACCCTTATGAGAGGAATTCCAGGGAAGGACACAGTAGAGAAATATCCTTGAAAGTGTGTGTGTAATCAGTGGATATGTATTCCACTGGGAGTGATTTTTTTTTTTTTATCACACACAGTTTACATTAGTGGGTAATGAATCCCCAAAAATCCAAAGTTCTCAATTTCCAAATACTTTTCATCTCCTAACTGAGATTGTGTTAAACACTCTGAAGTGCAAACTATTGCTTGAAACAACTCTGGTTTATTATTATAACCTGAATTAACCCTCATCAAACTAATTTTAGGTGTATCATACAGGCAATAGATATGCTTCCTTAAAAATAATGGTAATCTTTTAATAACACTTGGGAGTTCATGATTTAAGGGAGCTTTTAGAGGATTGTTTTTGTAACATAATGACTAATTTTATAATAGAAAAGAATCAAATAAGGGACACTTTACAATAAGATAGAGATGTATTGTGTGGGTCTATATTTTTACATAACTTTAAATTTTATTTCTTTTTTTTTTTTTTGAGACGGAGTCTCTCTCTGTCACCCAGCCTGGAGTGCAGTGGCGCCATCGCGGCTCACTGCAAGCTCTGCCTCCCGGGTTCACGCCATTCTCCCGCCTCAGCCTCCCGAGTAGCTGGGACTACAGGCGCCCACGACCACGCCCGGCTATTTTTTTTTTGTATTTTTAGTAGAGACGGGGTTTCACCATGTTAGCCAGGATGGTCTCGATCTCCTGACCTCGTGATCCGCCCGCCTCGGCCTCCCAAAGTGCTGGGATTACAGGTGTGAGCCACCGCACCCGGCCAATATTTTCAACTTATGATAGGTTTATTGGAGTAAGTCCAAGAGCATCTGTACATGTTAACATGTAATTTTTGACATGGAGATAATAACCCAGGGTGTAGAAGGTATAACCTCAGCCTCTTTGCACCATATAACCACGGAACATACAGACAGAAAGAAATGATGCTCTGCAACAAGGAAAATAAGCTGTGAAGTAGTGGTGTTAAAGGAAACCCTTTACATTACACTTTGATGCTAATTGTCTCAATTAAAGACAAAAATGTTACCTTTTTCACATTAAGTGAAAAGAAGCTAGACATGAACAAAGATACATTGTGATGCCATAATATTGCTCTTAGAAATTGACATTTCAAAGTGATTGCCATTAACACTCATTACTATGGATACAGTCAAGAATTCATTTTTTCTGTCCTTCTAACAATGGTTTCAAAGTGGCTGAGCGGAACGGAAGACCTGAAAGTGGGCCGGTGATGCTATAATACTGGAATAATTATAAAACAATCACAAGAAAGCTTGTTTATTCTATAACCACATTATCCTATACGGTGGCCATATTTGTCCATTTAAATGTAAGTTAATTAAGACTAAATTAAATTAAAATTCAGTTTTTCAGTAATGCTAGTCATGCTTCATATGCTTGTAGCTAGCAAGCTTTCATTCACTTGTAACTAGCAGCTGCCATATGGACATCATAGATACAGATTTCCATCAGCACAGAAAACTCTACTGGACAGTGCTGTTTTATAATCACCAGATTTTTTTAAGTTACCCATGAAATTATGTATTACGTATTTGAGGTTATCCGTATTCTGTAAAATAGCAATGACATAGTAGAAATATTCTTCTATAGTATTGAAAGGCTCTGTAACCTCATGAGAAGAACACAAAATTCAGACTCACATAAGTCTAGATTCTAATCTTAACTCTGCTGACTGACCTTGGACATACTACTTTTTGTTTCTAAGCTTTTGTTCCTTCATTTGCAAAATGAGGTAGCAAAATGCTTGCCTCATAAGAAGTTTATAAATATCAGAAATAACATACGTAAAGGTGCTTCCTATGGTGCCTGACACATAGTTGGTATTAACTTATGGTTGTTATTGTTTTTATTAATTAACAAAGGAGAAGACAGTAAAGCTGTCGGTGGTCACAGACACAAGTCATACTTTTGCATAAAAGGTGAATCTTTATTTTCTAGAAAACGTATCTTATAAGCTCAGTTCATTTTCATAGTATCACACCAAAAATGTTTGTGATCATAGTAATCACAGAATAGTGAGGAAATGACCAAGCAAGGATAGGAAAATATATAACCACAAAGGAATCAGTGAGTCAGGAAGAGGATAACGAGAATTTTAAATGGTATGAAGCGGAAAAGACAGAGATAATAAAGAAGGACACAAATATGCAAGAATAGAAAGGAAGAAATAATCTCAGATACAGTTCCTCCTGGAAATATACCAGAAAGATATGTGAAAACATAATGACACAATCAAATAGGGAAGGGAAAATGATTTCTTACTACAAGACTGTGAGGAAACAGCTTTTCTATAAAATTATTTTTCCTGTGCTAGAGAAGCATATAAATCTAAAAGATTAAAGAGAAAAAAAGAAGGCAAAACTGCTGCAGAACATCTACTTCTGGTGTGTTTTTAACCTTATGCATGTTCTTCTAAACTGAAGTGCCACTGTTTTTAACACATAATATGAGTAAGATGAATTAGATATTTAATCCCTCCAGATTTAGTATATATTGTTCATGGTAAGAAGTTTGGCTTTGACGACCAAAATGTGCACTCTCTGAGAAGTTTCATCACAAAAAGGCACTCCTGTAAAGTCATGTGCCTCAATTGCCAGGAGGGGCATATATGAAGGATAACACAGTAATGGAGAACAGAAGAGTCACATGTCACTGTGGCCAAAGCTTCCATAATGGAGAATTAAGGAGTCAATGTGATAAAGCTGCAGAGCTAGGGAGGGATCTCAGGCATTGCCTGTATATTCCATGGGGAAAACCAGCTGCTTGAATTTAACCTGGACACTGGAAGAGATAAGGTGTTTGGAAAGGAAAGCAAATCAGCCCTTTTATATAAGACTGGGGCTTTTTAACATCCAGAATTTGGATGAAACAAGAAGCAGAGTGAAAAATTTGGGCAGAAAATTTTGAAACAGCCCAGAGTTCTCAGACTCAGCAATAAATTTCCATTTGATCTGGGGAAGTAAAGTCAAGATCAAATAAAGATAAAATTGAGACCTATTAATATAACCCAACATGTGTGTATTGAATCCCCATATTTGGCATAAAAGTATCAAGTACTGAGGATGCAATGATGACCAAAACTATCACAACCCCAGCCTTTTGAAACTTAACCATCTGTGTCTAAAAACAGGTAATTTTATTTCAATCACTGTTAATATTGTTAGTTTAATAAACATATATATTCTTATTGATAAAGGCATTTGTTTGGAAAAATCAGTCATATAAAGAGCCTATTGTAAAACCTTATCCACCATCTAAGTACTGCAAGGAGTTAATGAAACTCACCAGAAGATGGCAATACATAACCTCCTATCTCTGCTGTTATAATTGCTAAGGCCAAAAGGTAAACCTAAAAACTCCTATGACACCTCTATTACAATTGCAAATAACACTTTTTATTTTAGTTGTTTGCATCAGGCATGCTATGTATATTATGATCACGAGGCAGTATAAGTATTATCAGATTTACAGGATTTTATTGATAAGTAGGTAGCTAAAAAGTGCAATGTTATAAAAATCTCAGATCTGAAGGCCCATAGCAAGACATCTCTTTGGTCTACTTGCTCTCTTTACCCTTTTCTTATTTTGAACAATGTAGAAGATTCAACAATGGCAAAATTTATGAATATAAAGTATTAATACAATTGTCCTATAAAAATTAGTTGTTTTTACATTTGAAACTTTAGCCTCAATATGTATGTATTGTATCATAAAAATATTCAAGTGTTTTTTATTTTTCTTGAAAGGCAATTCAAAATTTTAGCTTTAATTAGTTATGCAAAGTAGGTTTTGTTTTCCATTTTAAACTCAAAATAAAAATATTTCAGTTATTTCGTCAGTTTGTTTAATGGAACCAGCTAAATATTCAACTATTGAAGTCAACTGAGTTATCCTTAATATGAATATAGCAATAATAATCTAAAATCATGAGTGAATCAGTCATATTCATTAAAATGTGGAAGAAACCTATTATCTATTCAAGCAGAAAAGTATTATTACCCTAGACATCTAAAAGTGGTTGAATAATAAGGATTTGTGTTTAATTTCAGCTGATGTTGTGGTTGATTAGAGTTAAAACTCTAAAAAAAAGGGAGACATAATAAAAACTGTAAAAGTTTGCTCTTCTCTTTATGGAAGTAAAAAATACACTATAGCTCCCAATAGAGATAGGTTGAATAGGCCTATCTCTATTTTGTAAAAATAGTTTGTAAAAAATAAATGCACTAAAGTTCTTGTGTACTATGTAGAAAATGGCCAAATACTCAAGCAGTATTTGTTGCATTTCTTCCAAACTTAACACTAAAATACATTAGAGCACCAAAACCAGTCAAAATTGTGGGAATGAAACTCAAACAACATCCATAATTTAGGAGAAATTTTAGTCACTATAAAATGATGGAACTGGATAAGAAATGAAATCAGTGACTTATCATTGTTCTGACATACTAAAAAACAGAAAGAATGGTTTTCCCCTTCTCTGCAAAGGGAAGTTCTATTTTTGTGGTGAATCCAGAAAACCAGGCATGCATTATTAATGGGAGTAATAATAATAACAAAAAAATTTTTACAGATTTGAAAAAAGATTTAACTAAGTAGCTCAAAAGTATATATTTTTACAGGCAAATCAATTTGTAATCCAGATGTCCTGATTTTTGTTAATGCTATATCTACCCTTGATTCATTAAGAGTAATATTCTATATCTTGAAGGTGTACCATCTCTAATGAGCAAAAATTCCTGACTGTGCCATAATTTTCCTCTCCATTGATATTTCCAGGAATCCTTTGAAAAGTTATCAGTTATAATATGAATCCATAAATATTACCAAATTTGATGAGCAGCCTCTGTCAAACTTTAAATAAGAGTTAATAAACCAAGTAATTTAAGTTTAAATTTATTAAATATATAAGGATAAGCAGTAAGAAAAATAATATGATATTGCTGTAAGTAGGCTAGATAATAGGAGGAAAAGAAGAAAAAATACACTAAATCTGCATTGCTCATATCTAAGAGTCAATAGATACTGTCTAAACATATAGAGACTATGGAAATACTAAATAGAGTTAGGTAGATGTAACATCAGCAAGATAGTGGAGTAGGCAATCTCAGCCCTTGTCTTTCTACAAAAACAGTAACTTAACCACTATTCGTAGGCCAAAAATAACTCTGGGAGAGGTCCAGAGTCTAATAAAGAAGCTGTACCAAGCCCGTGGAGCACAAAAACTGAGGATCGCCTCATAGAAAACAGTAGGAAGCATTTTACCTGTGTAACCTCATATCTCAGGCCTGCATAGCTCAGCATCAAGAGAAATCTTCTTGGTTGCCACTTCATCCCCTGGTGAAAAAGGAGGATAGAAAGATACCGTGGTCCTTACCACTGCCACAGATAACCACAGCCTTCACCACAGAAAATCCCCACAGTCTTTGCCAATGCAGATCTCAGCTAATTGAGCTACACGGAGTCCATGCCATTGTGCCCTGCCCTCCTGCCCTGGCACCACCACATGCACAACCATCCCTCAAATCTGATGCCATCCACCCTGGATCTGATGCTGCCCATATCCTTTGAACCAAATGTCAATGCACCCCAAATCAGATCCATCACTACTGTGTGCCCCCAGAACCAGTGTCCCTGTGGATCCCTGAAACTGGTGCCCGCAAATGTCCCCAAAATTTGTGCATCCCACCCACCTAGCATCCTTGTACTCACCAGCATGTGAAGATCTTTCCTCATAGAAGTCAGTTCATAAAGTCTGGAAAAGGTCAGTGTTCCATCAAATACACAGACAAGCCTTTGAATAACAAGAAAAATCAGGAAAATATAACATCTCCAAAAGAGCATAGTAAATTTCCAGTAACCAACACCAAAGAAATGGAGATCTATGAATTGCAAAATGAAGAATTCAGAATAGTTTTTCTTTCTTTTTCTGAGGTGGGCTCTCACTCTGTCACTCAGGTTGGAGTGCAGTGGCACAATCTCAGCTCACTGCAACCTCTGCCTCTCAGGCTCAAGTGGTCCTCCCACCTCAGCCTCCTGAGTAGCTGGAACTACAGGCATGCACCACCATGCCCAGCTAATTTTGGTGTGTTTTGGTAGAGATGGGGTTTCACCATGTTGCCCAGGCTGGTCTTGAACTCCTGAGCTCAAGCAATCCACCCACCTTGGCCTCCCAAAATGTTGGGATTGCAGGAGTGAGCCGCCATGCCTAGCCTTCAAAATAATTGTTTTAAAGAGGCTTAGTGAGTTACAAGAGAATACAGATAGACAACTCAACAAAATCAAGAAAACAATACATGAAAAAAAGAGAAGTCCAACAAATAGATAGAAATCATAAAAAAGAACTAAACAAGTTGTGGAGTTTAAAAATTCAATGAAAGGAGTTTAAAAAATAAAGAGCTTCAATGGTTGACCCAATCAAACAGAAAAAAGAATAAGTGAACTCAAAGACAGATCGTTTGAAATTATCAAGTCAGAGAAGAAAAAAAATAATGAAAAAGAGTGAAGAAACCCTACAGTACTTATGGGACACAAGCAAGCGAACTAACTTATGCCTACAGGATACCCAGAAGGAGAAGAGAGAGAAAATAGGGAAAGATGGTTATTTGAAGACATAATGACCAAAAAGGTTCCAAATCTGGGGAAGAAAATAGACCTCTAGATTTATGAAGCTCAACATTTCCAAAGAGGATTAGCCTAAAGAAGACTCTTTCAAGACATTATAATCAAATCATTATAATAAAAATCAAGGAAAAAGAGAACTTTAAAAGCAGTAAGAGAAAAACAACTCATCACATATAAGGAAATCACTATAAGACTATCAATGGATCTCTCAGCAAAAAAAAAAAAAAAAAAAAATACATATATATCTATGGCAAGCCAGAGGAGACTTATATTACAAAAAATACTTGAAGGAGTTCTTTAAATTGGAACAAAAACACTCTGCAAGGAACATAACATACAAAAGCATAAATTTCACTGGTAAAGATAAACACATGGACAAATACAGAATAATGTAACACTGTCGTGGTGGTACATAAGTTATTTTAACCCTAATATAAAAGCTAAAAGATAAATATTTGTTAATGGACACAATATAAAAAGAAATTAACTCTGGCCACAAAAATACAAAGTATGAAGGTGGGCAATAAAAGTGTAGAGTTTTGTATGTGATTCAAGTTAAGTTGTCATCAATTTAAAATAGATGGTTATAACTATAAGATATTTTATGGAAGCCTTGAAGTAATCACAAAGGAAAAAAATACCTATAATAGATACACAAAGTATAAAGAGAAAAGAATCAAATCACTCACCCAAAAATATCAAATAATAAAGGAAAAAAGCAAGAGAGAAAGAGAGAAACAACACAAATGCAAAACACACAGAAAACAATTAATGAACTAGCAATAGTAAGCCCTCACTCATCAATAATTACTTAAAATGTAAAGATATTAAACTCCACAATCAAAAGGCATGGAATGGCTGAATAGATTTAAAATACAGGGTCCAGTAAAGTGCTGTTTACTAAAGACTCACTACAGATTTAATGAAACACATAAAATGAAAGTAAAAGGATGAAAAGGTGCACATGGAACATTCTCCAGGATATATAATGTTAAATTACAAAACAAGTCTCAACAAATTTAAGAAGATTGACATCATGCTACATAACTTTTCCAACCACAATGGAATAAAACTGGAAATCGATAACAGTAAGAAAATCAGCATATTCACAAATACATACAAAATAAACAACACGAATATGTGGAAATTGAATCAAAGACAAAATCAAAAGGGAATTTTAAAAATACCTTGAGACAAATGAAAATGGAAACACAACACATCAAAACTTAAGGGATGCAGCAAAAGTAACACTAAGAGGGAAATATATAGCCATAAACACCTATAATAAAAAAGAAGAAAAATTTGAACTAAGCAACCTAACTTTACACCTCAAGGAATTAGAAAAAGAAGAACTAAGCCCAAATTTAGCAGAAGGAAGGAAATAATAAAGACATACACACAAACAAGCAAGATTAACAAATTATCATGATAGAATAAAGATGAACTACATCTTTTATATGAAGAAATGCAAATAGTCTAAACTTATCTATTAATGAAAAGAAATTTCAGATTGACTCTCAAAACAAAATTTGAGTCTGTTGTATACAAGAGATACATTTAAAATAGAATAACTCTGAAAGTTTGAAGTATTTTTAAATAAGCAAAAAAGTACCAAGCAAATATTAACAACAAAAATAACAAATTCACACTCTTGGTATCAGACAGGGTAAATTAAAGTAAAAAAAAAAGCATTAAACAAAACAGAAAAGTATCTTATAACTATAGAGTGAGAAATACACAATGAAATTATGACAGCTATGGGATGTTTATCAACTAATATCACATCAGAACTCATTAAGCAAAATGTAAACCACAGGAAATAAAAAGAAAATAGAAACACATTAGGAATGGAAGTCTTTAATTCACCTACTGTATCAGTTTGCATCCAGTCAAGAGAGAGGAACCCACAGTTATTTTAACAGAGATAATTTAATATAAAGAATTCTTGTCCGGGCGCAGTGGCTCACACCTGTAATCTCAGCACTTTGGGAGGCAGAGGCGGGTGGATCACGAGATCAGGAGATTGAGACCATCCTGGCTAACACAGTGAAACCCCGTCTCTACTAAAAATACAAAAAATTAGCCGGGCGTGGTGGCGGGTGCCTGTAGTCCCAGCTACTGGGGAGGCTGAGGCAGGAGAATGGCCTCAACCCAGGAGGCGGAGCTGAGCTTGCAGTGAGCCGAGATTGTGCCACTGCACTCCAGCCTGGGTGACAGAGCGAGACTCCGTCTCAAAAAAAAAAAAAAAAAAAAAAGAATTCTTAACTAGGTATTTGTTGTGGTTATTTCTCAGAAACAGGAGGGACCCCCAACCAAAATTCTGTTTAGATGTCAAGACTGATGATGCCTCACACACACCAAGACAGTATAGAAAAGTTTATCATCACATCATGGGATTTTCTAGGAACAGCAGGGCAAACTTACCAGAAAGGTCCAAAAAGTCTTTAGAAAACAGAGAAAGAAGACAAATAGATGTTTTTGTGATATTTAGAGGGTGGGGCGGGGCCAAGGTGAGAATTCTGGTGTGGGCAGAGTTTCTATAGTTTGAACTTCCCTCTAGAACTAAAGGAGGGAACACCCAGGGTTTCTCATCAGCTTGCCCACAGGTGAGCAGAAAGGAAAGAAAGAAAGGTGACAAACATCAAAATATATCGAGTCAGGCCCTTTATTCAGTATTAAAGAACTGAAAGGCCAAAAGGAACACCAACACCAAGGAATCACAGGGAGTGCAACTTCAGGAAGCAGCTACCACTCCTAAAGCTGAGGAAGCAAAGGAAAGAGATTGGAGTTATAAAACTTATAAGTTTCAAAGAACAGCTCCATAGAGCTAAAACTCAAACCCTGAGTAAAGAGCCCTGCTTGGCTGGTGCTGGTACCTCCAAGCTTGGTGGAGGGTCCACATGGGCATAGTACCAAGATCTCTGAAAAAATAAATGGGAATGTGCTAAGTTTCAGCAAGCTTGTATTTCTCAAGTCTGAAGGCAGAATCCAAAGCAATTCTTGGGCTTACTATTTTGAAGAAGAGAAAGTTTCAGTAGCTTCTGCTTGATCCTTCCTACCATAAAGGTCCTTCTTCCATAGGTCAGAGAGCCAAAGTGGGATTCTATAAGTTGCTGCATATGTCTTTTCCAGTTATGCATTCCAGAAATGGAGAACTAACCACAGATGGACTAATGAACGAATGTACTTCAAATTTGGGACAAAACTCCATTCATTATCTGTCCACTATAGACCTCCTGTTGATTGATGAAACAAAACAGCATTTTGAATCCTTCGGCACTTACATCAACTTGGAGCTAGTGTCCAACAGTCCGTATAAAGTCCAAATATATCCTTTTTCCTCTCTACACATGACTCTAGAAAATGTCTTGGAAAGAAGATCTACAGTATAATCTTGTGTTAATTCTCCAGTGTCCTTCCTCGAAAGAATTTCATCTTCCCTTCTTAAGAGGCTGTATGTAAAGTAATTCTTCTATTTGGAATCCAAACTTAGAAATATTTTTCTGTTATTTGGATCAAGAACATTTAAGTAGGCTATCAATCTATTTCAACCCTAGGGATATTGTGATCAAATAAATAGCCCCCAGCAAAGATTCCTTCAGGACAAAATATGCTGATATTTTCAACCTCTTATCCACTAAGGTAAGTGTACTCACCTTGTCTTTGGTGATTAGGAGCTGCCATAACCTCTGCCGCACCATTATGTCACACCGTTATCCTGAGAAAAATCAATGAGCCCACCTCTCACCATCATATCCAGGCATCAAAGGACAGCCAACACAGAGCTTTTCAAGGATGCTGCTACTCACCTCACCAGGTATTTCTCAATGCCTTAGTGATAGGACCTCTTATGTCAGGGGCATTCAGGCATCTCAACCTCATTCAGTGTAAGCCACAAATGAATCTAAATTTTAGTCAACTAACTAAATAAACTATTTAGAGTTTAGAGAAAAGTGGGTTAAAGAGTTAATATTTATATTAACTATTTCAAATAATGTTAAAGAACCTTTTAAAAAACAATAAAACGCCTTCTTCAAAACACCACTAGAAAGTTAACTAGATCAGTATGATCCAGCCTCAAAAATATTTTGAAGATCTCATCTCTCCCCTTTGTTCTTTTAATATGCTGAATTCAAAAAGTAATTACTGCACTTTCCTCCCATATAGTTACCTCATATATAAGCAACAACAAAAATATAGTACTATCAGGGATACAATGCTCCTATGTCACCTAAGAGGCTGCAGATCACAAATCTGAGTACAGAATAGTAGGTTTGAAGTGTAAATAAAGAGCCTTGGCATTCCTTGTAGTTACATTACTTCGACCTCTGCCTCCTTCCTTAATCACCTTTTTCTCTGTGGTTCCATGTTTTCTCCCCTTCTTAGAGGGACACTTGTGGTTGGATTTAGAGCCCACCTCAATAATCCAGGATGCCCTCATTTCAAGATCCTAAACTTAATTACATCTGAATAAAACCTTTTTTTTTCTCTCCCAAATCAGGTTACATTCACAGATTCCAGGTGGACATGTTTTTGTAGTGGATGGAGAAGGGAGGGTCACCATTCAACCCATTACATAGGTGTATTAATCCATTTTCAAAGTGCTGTAAAGATACTCCCTGAGACTGGGTAGTTTATAAAGAAAAGAGGTTTAATTGACTCACTGTTCTTCATATCTGGGGAGGCCTCAGGAAACTTACAATCACGCCAGAATGCGAAGGGGAAGCAAGGCATGTCTTACATGGTGGCAGGAGAGAGAGAGAATGCAGGGGAAACTGACAATTTACAAGAACAGCATGAGAAAATCTTCCCCTATAATCCAATTACCTCTTACTAGGTCACTCCCTTGACACATGGGGATTAAAATTCCACATGAGATTTCAGTCGGGACACATAACCAAACCATATCAATAGGATAGTAGAGTTCTATGTTAGCTAGGGTAAGAAACTCCAGCTATTTTACTAGCTACCTCCAAAGCTCAGCTTATTGATCACTCTAATTGCTGTCCAATGCACATTAGTGGGGAGAGGAAGACTGCTCTATGCAGTCATTCAGGGATGCATGCTCTATCATCACGTTGTCCCACCATCATCTGGAACCTTGTCACCTTCACTCAACTGGCAAAGGGGAAAGAGATCATGGATGGTTGTATAGGAGGTTCTAGGGTCCAGGCCAGGAAGTGGGGTACATCATTTTTTGCCCATATTCCATTGGTCCAAACTCAATCACATAGTCCTTATTTCATTGCAAATGAGGCTTCTTGTTGAGTGCTCAAAAATAAGAGGAAATAGGTTTGAAGGGCAGTTTCTGCCACCAGCCATATGTAAAAAAAAAAAAAAATCAATATTATAAATCTAATTCCTATACACATCAAAAACTAGACCTTAAAAATAGAGAATTACCTTACTTTTTAAACTCCTGTGGAACATTAAAGGCAATTGACCTTACATTAAACCACAATAACAATCTCAGTAAATTAAAATAAGTAAAAGTAGAACTAGCAGCATTCTTACTTTCAAATGTAATTAGACTAGTTTCAGTTCTCTTAAGGGCACGTAAGTCCACTGCAGCGCATCCTTTCTGCTAGTTACAACTAAAAACTCTTGGAAAATCCACTCCCCAAAGCACCAAAGAAAAGCCTACCTGAGGACTATGAAAAATACTGAACTGAGAATTTAAAAACAGAGGGGAACAAGTAGAAAACAAATAACAAAATAGTAGACTTCAGTGAAACTATATAAGTAATTGCATTAAGAGTTAATGTTATAAAATAGTACTGCTAATAGGAATATAGTAAGTCATTTTACCATTTAAAAAATTTTAGCCATATTAAACAAATAAAAAGATGCTGATATATCCAGATATTGTTTAAACATGCAATCAATCTAAAAATTATTAATGAAAAATATTGCATTCTTTCTTTTGGAACATCTTTGAAATCCAGTATGTATTTTTACAAGTGTATAGCAATTTGGACTAAGCACATTTCAAGTAGCTAATAGCTACTGTATTGGACAGTAAAGCTCTAAACCTTCCAGTTAAAAGGTTGACAGTCACAGAGTGGGTGAAAGTAAGACCCTGCTGATTGATTATTGGTTCAGTTTCTCTGGAGAGCGCTGACTGATGCCTTCAGACATTATGCAAGACAATTGATCCAGTTTCAGTAAGAAATCAATGGCAGGAAAAATAAGAGGGAAAAGGACAACTGCTTTATACTAAAGAGATTTAACAACCAAATGCATAATTCAACCATGTTTGATCCCACGTTAAAATCACTGTAAAAAGCATTTTCGAACAATGATGAATATTTAATTATAGATTGAATATTAGATGCATCAAAATGCTATTGCTAATTTTGTTACTGATAATAGTACTGCAGTTATATAAGAAAATGTCATTTTTAGAGATGCATACTGATCTGTGTAAGGGTGAAATAACTTGATGTCTACAATTTGCCTAAAAATGATTTGTCAAATGAAAAAACTTTTAAGTATGGATGAAACAAATATAGCAAAGTCTTGAAGATTGTTAAAATTAGATAATGGGCATATGGGAGTTCTCTCTACTTCTATATTTGTTTAAAAATGTTTTATTATAAAAATGTAGAAAGCCACAAATAGAATCTTGTTAATAAAAAGAAAAAGAAATACCTGCTTCAAGAGAGCATATTCGTGAGCCCCCATCCTTTCTGACATCACAGTGAAATCAAAGAATAGAAACACAAAAAAGGAATAACCACAAAATGAGACATATATTAGGAATTAATACCTTGAGAAGGGGAGAGACTACAACAGATTTCCGGGAGAGTTTAGGAATTGTGTGTGTGTGTGTGTATGTGTGCGTGCGCACGTGTAAGGATGAAACCAGCTAAGAAAGCCACAGTCACGAATACCCAACTTGGTTTCTATAGAGCAAACTAGGAACCCTACCTCAAAGTCAGGAAGATAAGCAGAGTGGGAATGAGAAGTAATGCTGAAAAGAAGTTAATTGAAGACGTGTATACACAACAAATACTCCAGGTGGTACTCCTATACCTTTTCCCCACCTGATTGTGCCAATATAGGTGCCCTAACTAAGACGATTAACTGTCTCAGCTTGCCTAAGATTTAAGGAGGGTGGGATGGGGAGAAGCAAATCCTAGAACTCCTCCTAAATAATTTTAATGAGCTTTCTGGAGGAGACTAAGGCTTCTATTGTCAATGTTGATGCCCAAGAGGAAAGTTCTCTTCAATCTGCTAATCTGCAACTAGATAATCACTCAACAAAAGTGATGCCTATTGAATAACACATAGCCCACCCCTTCCCCACACAGGACTTAATTAGAAATTCTTAATTAGCAAAAAGAGAAAAAGAATAAAGACATTTATGTATCACAGAAAGAAAACCCACACCCTTCTCCTGTCCTCTTTCTTAAGTGTAAACAGATACTCAAGAATTGGCAGCTGTATGAGAATAATTGGCTGTTTAAAGGGGAAAGACAGACATACATTAATAAACAAACAAAATTGTTCTTAGAGGAAACCAATAGAGGAAGCCAGATTAATATTCTAAGAGTGATTTAAGTTATTACATCCATAAATAAAAACATTACATACTCAGATAAAAAATAAATGTTCTGTAAGTTCAGCAGCCTAACTCTCTTGTTACATTGCTAGGGGCCCAGTGATATGAAACATGGTAATATCCCTTCTAGAGTAACAGGATTGTTGCTGTGCCTTGCACAGCTCACTGTGGAACAAGAAGTGTGATATGTGTTGAGCTTCCTGGGATTTTGGAGGTAACAATACCAGCTTTGATCAAGTTGTTCTAGTCCATTTACTGTAATTGATAAAGCTACTAGTTTTGAATAGGGCTCAGAGGAAGAAAAGGCTCTGCAGCAGGTCTGGGCTCTGGCAGCCATCCTGACCCTTGGGCCTTATGATGCAGCAGGTAGCAGAAGTCTCTGGGGCAGACAGATGTATAAAGCCTCTGAATAGTCCCATTAAAAGAATAATAGTGCAGACCCTTGGGATTTGGGGAGCAAGGTCGTCTTGCCCTCTTCTGCAAACCACCATCCTTTTTTTTTTTTTCCATAGAGTCTTGCTCTGTCACCCAGCTGGAGTGCAGTGGTACAATCTCAGCTCACTTCAACCTCCACCTCTTGGGTTAAAGTGATTCTGGTGCCTCAGCCTCCAGAGTAGCTGGGTTTACAGGTAGGTGCCACCACGCCTGGCTAATTTTTTGTATGTTTAGTAGAGAGGGGGTTTCACCATGTTGGCCAGGCTGGTCTTGAACTCCTGGCCTTAAGTGATCCACCTGCCTCAGCCTCCCTGAGGGCTAGGATTTACAGACGTGAGCCACCGCGTTCAGCCAAACCACCATTCTTCATTAGAAAAGAAGGATTTTTGGCTTTGGTGGAGTCTGAACACCCAACCATGGGACCATAGGTATACTGGGTTGAATGGTGTCCCCTTAAAATTCATATCCCTCCTGCAACCTCAGAACAACCTTATTTGAAAGTAGGGTCATTGCAGATGTACTTACTTGAGATGATACTGGAATATGGTGGGCCCTTAACCCACTGTGATGGGTGTCCTTACAAGAAAAGAAGAAGACACAAAGCCAGACACACGAGGAGAATGTAGAATGTCATGTGACAACGGAGGCAGATTGGAGTGATGGGTCCACAAGTCAAGGAACACCAAGGATTGGCAGCGACACTGGAAGCCAAGAGAAAGCCAAGGACCAAATTCACCTCTAGAGCCTTCAGGGAGAGTATGGCCCTGCCAACACCTTGATTTGGAACCTCTAGGTTCCAGATTATGGGAGAAAAAAGTTCTGTCGTTTTAAGCCTCCCAGTTTGTTGTACTTTGTTCTGGCAGCCCTAGGAAACTAATACAATGAGTTACCATGCGACCTGTGTTTCATGTTTTGAACTGACCATGAAACCATAAACTTGAGTATACACAGCAAAATTACATTGTAAAGCGGAAGTGGTATCCATGAGGGCTGGCCCCAGGGTGTCTGGAAGGCAAATGCATTGCATGAAGCGCAGACTCTCAGTTTACTACTTTGCTGCCTCACCCTTGTCCCAAACCGAGGACTTCCTGGGGAATTTCCTATGAAAAGTTACAAGAAAATCTTGGGTCTCATACAAAGATGAATTCCTGCTGTGCCA
This sequence comes from Homo sapiens, assembly GCF_000001405.40. Lineage (NCBI taxonomy): Eukaryota > Metazoa > Chordata > Mammalia > Primates > Hominidae > Homo > Homo sapiens. The sequence goes on along the minus strand of NC_000006.12, from coordinate 152,657,610 downwards.
GCCCAGTTGAAAGTGAGCAGCTGATGTACTAAAGCTCACACAGAGATGCCTCTGGAAAAATAGTAGTGATGGAAAGTCCTCCCGGCTGGCAGGCTTTCAAGTGTTACAGATGATAGTTCACTTTGTGTAGAAGAAGAGAGGACCTGAGCTATTGATCTACCATGACTCTTGGACAAACTAGCAGGTTTGTCACCTGAAGAGGGACTTGAAAAGAAGAAAATTAGAAAATTGATTATAAGAAAATTTGGAGGAGAACTATATAGTGGTTTGGAGGGGAACTATATATGTGTGTATATATATGTATGTGTGTGTGTATATATATAACTAACTATATATATATATATATATTTAGTTAGTTGGAGGCTTTGTAAAAAGAAGAAAGTATGAAATATGAAAGTATTTGTTTTCCACCTAATGCTTACCAAGGGCACACCGAGGTGGAGAAAATTCTCAGTAATAAGGTAGACAAGATTACTTCTCAATGGATGTGAGTCAGTCTTTTTCCCATGCCCTGTGCTGCTGATAGGGCCTATGTGCAAAGTGACCATGTGACATAGATGCAGCCTAGGCATGAACTCAAAAACATGGACTTCCCATCACTAAGGCTGACCTGTCTGCTACAACTGCTAGGTACCCAGTCTGCAAACAGCAACAACTAACTGTGACTCAATACAGCCAGCCACCTACTGGATTCTTCCATCATACAGAGGACAGTGATTTATCTATACATATAGGAATGGAAGCAAAATTTATGTCAAGATTTGCCTCCTCACTCATTAACTTCATTAGTATCTCCTCCATTCATCAATGTTAAGATTGTCTGTACCATCTCCTGTGGTCTGAATGTTCTTGTCCCTTCCAAATTCATATATTGAAACCTAATCACCAATGTGATCATATTAGGAGGTGAGGCCTTTGAGAAGTGATTAAATTATGAGAGCAGTGCTCTAATGGGTGAGATTAGTGACTTATAAAAGGAGCCCCAAGAGCTGCCTTGTCCCTACCATCATGTGAGGACACAGTGAGGAGGTGCCATCTATGAGCCAGAAAAGGGGCCCTCACTAGACACTGAATCTACGGGTGTTTAGATCTCCTCCCCTCCAGAACTATGAGAAATAAGTTTTTGTTGTTTGTAAGACTCCTGGTTTATAATAGTTTGTTATAACAGCCCAAACAGACTAAGACATGATAGTATACCACATATCACCTCTGATCATAGGATACAATTTATAGCAAAGAAAATGTGATAGTCAGTTCATGCACATTCACTCCACTAGCCTTACATGTGCTTCAACCCAAATATACTCTTATTTTTTATATTGACAAATTCTAGTTATATATGTTTATGGGGTAAAAAGTAAGGTTATAATTTTTCATATAATATGAGATGATTAAATCAAGCTAATTAACACATCCGTCTCTGCAAATATTTAACATTTTTGTGATGAGAACGTTTGAAATTTACTCTCTTAGCAATGTCAAAATGTACAATACTCAATTATCAACTATATTCACCATACTGTGGAATGTACTTCCAAAATATCAGACTATCCCTCCTATGTAACTGAAGATTTTTACCCTTTGACTATTATCTCCTAGCCTCTGATAACCACCATTCTACTCTGTACTTCTATGAGTTCAATTGTTTTAGATCTCGCAAATAAGTGAGAACACGCAGTATTTGTCTTTCTGTGTTTGGCTTATTTCAATCAGTGTAATATTCTCTACTTCCATCCATGTTGTCACAAATGACAGGATTTCTTCATTTCTGAAGGATAACTAGTATTCTATTGTGTATATACACCACATTTTGTTTATTGGTTTATCTGTTGATAGATGCTTAGATTGATTCCATAACTTGAACATGGTGAATGGTATTACAATAAACATGGGAGTGCAGACATCTCTTAAACATATAGATTTCAAGTCTTTTGGGTAAATACCCGAAAGTGGGATTATCGAATAATATGGTAATTCTACTTTTAGGTTTTTGAAGAGCCTCCATACTTTTTTCCATAATGGCTGTACTAATTTACATCTCCACCAACAGTGTACATAGGTTCCCTCTTCTCCACATCTTTGGCAACACTTGTTATCTTTTGTCCTTTTGATATAGCTATTCAACAGGTGTGAGATAATATCTCATTGTGGTTGTAATTTGCATCTCTGTAATGATTAGTGGTGTGGAGCATTTTTTCATATATCTGTTGGCTAGATATATTTGTATGTCTTCTTTTGAAAAATGTCTATTCAGGTCCCTTGCCCATTTCTTAATTTTATCTTTTGTTTTCCTTGGATAATTTAGATATAACATTTGGAAAGCAGTGCTAACACATAAGTCAGAAAATGTAGAGGAAAATATCTTCAAATAATACAATTTCCATTATAATCTATTTTCTTTTTTTAATTTTACTTTAAGTTCTGGGATACATGTGCAGAACATGCAGCCTTGTTATAAAGGTATACGTGTGCCATGGTGGTTTGCTGCACCTATCAACCCATCATCTAGGTTTTTCTTTTTTTTTTTTTTGAGATGGAGTCTCGCTCTGTCACCCAAGCTGGAGTGCAGTGGTGCTATCTCCGCTCACTGCAACCTCTGCCTCCCGGGTTCAAGCAATTCTTCTGCCTCAGCCTCCTGAGTAGCTGGGATTACAGGCGTGTGCCACCACGCTGGGTAATTTTTGTATTTTCAGAAGAGACGGTGTTTTGCCATGTTGGTCAGGCTGGTCTCGAACTCCTAACCTCATGATCTGCCTGCCTCAGCCTCCCAAAGTGTTGGGATTACAGGTGTGAGCCACCACGCCCAGCCTATCTAGGTTTTAAGCCCGCATGCATTAGGTATGTGTCCTAATGCTCTCCCTCCCTTTGCCCCAACACCCCCCACAGGGTCCTATGTGTGATGATCCCCTCCCTGTGTCCATGTGTTCTTATTGTTCAACTCCCACTTATGAATGAGAACATGTGGTGTTTGCTTTTCTGTTCCTGTGTTAGTTTGCTGAGAATGATGGTTTCCAGCTTCATCCATGTCCCTGCAATGGACATGAACTCATTCTTTTTCATGGCTGCAAAATATTACATGGTGTATATGTGCTATATTTTCTTTATCCAGTCTATCATTGATGGGCATTTGGGTTGGTTCTAAGTCTTTTCTATTGTAAATAGTGCTGCAATAAACATACGTGTGCATGTGTCTTTATAGTAGAATGATTTATAATCCTTTGGGTATATACCCAGTAATGGGATTGCTGGGTCAAATGGTATTTCTGTTTCTAGATCCTTGAGGAATCTCCACATTGTCTTCCGCAATGTTTGAACTAATTTACACTCCCACCAACAGTGTAAAAGCATTCCTATTTCTCCACAGCCTCACCAGCATCCGTTGTTCCCTGACTTTTTAATGATCGCCATTCTAACTGGTGTGAGATGGTATCTCACTGTGGTTTTGATTTGCATTTCTCTAATGACCAGTGATGATGAGCTTTTTTTCATATGTTTGTTGGCCTCATAAATGTCTTCTTTTGAGAAGTGTCTGTTCATATCCTTTGCCCGCTTTTTGATGGGTTTTTTTTTCCTTGTAAATTTGTTTGAGTTCTTTGTAGATTCTGGATATTAGCCCTTTGTCAGATGGGTAGATTGCAAAAATCTTCTCCCATTCTGTAGGTTGCCTGTTCACTCTGTTGGTAGTTTCTTTTGCTGTGCAGAAGCTCTTTAGTTTGATTAGATCCAATTTGTCAATTTTGGCTTTTGTTGCCATTGCTTTTGGTGTTTTAGTCATGAAGTCTTTGCCCATGCCTATGTCCTGAATGGTATTGCCTAGGTTTTCTTCTAGGGTTTTTATGGTTTTGGGTTTTACATTTAAGTCTTCAATCCACCTTAAGTTAATTTTTGTATAAGGTGTAAGGAAAGGGTCCAGTTTCAATTTGCTGCATATGGCTAGCCAGTTTCCCCAGCACCATTTATTAAATAGGGAATCCTTTCCCAATTGCTTGTTTTTGTCAGGTTTGTCGATGATTAGATGGTTGTAGATATGTGGTGTTATTTCTGAGGCCCCTGTTCTGTTCCATTGGTCTAATTATAACCTGTTTTTTTAACAACTGTCCATAAATTTGTCTAATCCACCTCTTTCATAATCTTCTATGTGGGGTCCCTCATTTCTGAGTTTGTGTAACCTACCATATTTTAGTCAGTACTATTTTGGGAGACTGAGTTCCAAAAGTACAACAGATCATTTATAAAGTGGTTCTTTTTATTTGTACTGCGTTTCCCTCCTTGATAATAAACTACCTTTAAAATGGTTTCTTTATATGTAAATCATCAAGTAATAACTTGGACATGATGGTTTTGGCAATAGCTGAGACTGAATAAAAAATGACAACAGAAATAGGAGGGAGGAATATTAACCAAGAGCAGCAGAGGAACTAGTAAACAGATAAAGCAATCAAAAAGAAATAACTGCACTGCCTGAGAACGTAGGAAGAGGGACAGAACAGGGCACAGTAGAAGTGATATGTTGGATTTATTTATATGGAGATTTGTTTCCTGGAATTGTCTTAAGGAAGATTAACCAAGTGGAGAATGTCAGAATTTCTGCTGCAGTAGCAATTTGGAGGAGATAGAAATAGAGAAATAAATTAGGGTGGAAGTGTGGTATCTAGAGAAAATAAATGAAGGACAAAGTGAAAGACGCAAATACACATAGAAAAAGAACCCATGTTTGTTTAAGGTCAATATCTTTCTCCTTGCTACCCAGGTTGAATACTTACGATTTATGGTTGATTTCTCTTTCTTGGCTTCTACATTCAATCAGCTGCTCAGTCATTATAGCTTTTACCTATGAAATGTCTTTCAGAGCCACCTTCTTTTCCTTTCCACTATGATCAGCTTAGTTCAGATCCCAATTTCCTCCCCGCAGTAAACTGATAACAATATTCTTGGCTTTGCTTTCATGGCCTTCTGTTTTGGATTGATTGTGTGCCCCCTAAATTCATATGTTGAAGTCCTAACCTTCAATGTGACTATATTTGGAGATAGGGTCTTCACAAAGGTAATGAAGGTTAAGTGAAGTTATAAGGATGGGGACATTAATCCAAAATGACTGGTGTCCTTATGAGGAGACATAGAGACACCGGGGATGCTCAGGCACAGAGAAAAGGCCATGTGAAGACACAGTGAGAAGGCTACCACCCACCTGCAAGCCAAGGAGAGAGGCCTTCGTAGAAACCAATGCTGGTAGTTCCTCGGTTTCAGGCTTCCAGCCTCCAGAACTGTGAGACAATAAATTTCTGTAGTTTCAGCCACTCAGTGTCAGGTATTTTGCTCTGGCAGCCGTAGCAGACAAATCCATCCTTTCCCTGAGGTTGCATAAAGCTTTTTCAAATGCAGCACCCATGCTGTTACTTCTTTCCTCACGAATCATTAATGACTCCACATAGAGATGAATCACCCTGGTCTTAAAAGCCATTCTTCCTGGATTCACCTTTTGCCAGTCCCCTATTTCAACAAAATATGACTCCTCATCATTTCTACACATGCCAAATAATTTCTTACTTCCATGCTTTTTGCAATTTACATATCTCTATCTGGAAAGTTACTTCTTTTCTTTAACCCAATAACAGCCAGGAGTAGCAGGAACCCAGTCTAAAGAAGTCCCGGGAGCCACCTCTAGTATACGCAGACTGATGCACCATCAGAAAGTCCTTGGGGCAGCAGCCGAAGCAGTAGAGGCTGTAGGAGCCCCAGAAGGATAAAAATGCCTCTGTCATTATTACTGACCTTCCTGTTCTGTTAGTATTTGAAGTCTTCAAGAGAATAAGACTTCCAGGTGCATTGCTTCTGGCTCTTAGCTTGCCTGGCTTCCTGTCATTTAACCCGCTATACTTCCCATTAGGTTTCAGCCCAGCCCCGGCCTCTAATATCAGACCTTGATTAGCTAAAGCAATATAAAGAGGACCGTAGGGCTGTAGCTCAGTAGCTAAGCAGCATATTGGTTATGCTGCCAGCCCAGATCTAGCCTTAATTCTCTGTAACTAGACCCTTCTCTGAACCAATGAGTGGCTGTCTTTTTCCACAATGACCAAACTACTGCCTAATACTCCACATTTGCCACAGTCAAAATTACCATGATGCATGTTCTTAGATATGCCTAATGCCTTCTTGCCTGGAGATGTGCCGATCATCTGATATAGAATTGCCAATCACTTTCTCAGCCATTCTTACATCACCTTGATTCACTCTGGATCTTATCCTGGGCTTAGAATCTTTGTTATTCTGCACATTTTGATTGGCCCAGAATTTCACTTGGAACTTACCCTATGAGAATGATGCCCTTTTAATTTCAGACCTGTTAGAACTCCAATTTTTTCGTGAGAAATCTTCGGAAACATTCCACTGATCTTAACATCCTGATGATTTTTCTATCTTTATTCACATCCAGACTGTGAATAAATCTTACAAGTTCCCAAACATATTAGAATTTGATCACTTCTCACCACCTTCATCACCACCACCCTCTTCCAAGCCACCATCCTCTCTCACTGTGTTGCAGCAATGGACTCTTAATTGGTCTCTCTCCTTCTGACTTGAATCTGTCCATCTATTCTCAACACAGTAGTCAGTTATCTCCTGCAAACACAAGTCACTTCATGTCATTCTTGGGTTCAGGGCTATCCAGGGGATTCCCACCTCTCTTGGAATAATGGCAAATTCCCTATAATGACCTACCAGGCTTATACAGTTTATGCTTCACCACCACCATCATTTCTATGACTTCATCTCCCCCTCACCCACTCCATTCTGGCTACTCTAGCTTCCTTCCCATTCCTTAAATAGAGCAAGGAATTTTCAACCTCAGGGCCTTCACCCTTGCTCTTTGCTCTCCCCAGAATGTTTTCCCCAGCTATCCTCCTTACGACATCCTCATTTACTTTTTTCAGGACTATTTTCAGAAATTACACTAAAATTTCAGCCATTGACTTGACACATCTTTTGTCTCTTCTCTGCTATATTTTTTCTCCCTAGCAGCCATTATTATCCAATATGGTATATATTTGTATAGACATTGTTTGCTGTCTACATTTTCCACTAGAAGATAAACTTTATGAATGCAAAGTTTTCTTTCTTTCTTTCTTTCTTTTTTCTCCCGTGCACTGCTCTAGAAAGCACCAAAAAACATTGCCTGGCCCATATGTAGTAGGTACTCAATAAATATTGAGTGACTGAACGAATGTTGTATACCCTAACTCGGCATATCTGCCTGGATTTTGAGACCTGCATTTGCTGGTCTAGCCTATCATTTTATGCTTTTGTCCCTATCATGACACATGAAGTGAATGAAGGAGGCAGCTGAGGACCCTGCTCTGCAGTGTAATGGCTTGGCCATCTGAATTGCCCAAGGCTAGCTCTGGATGGAGATGGAATGAAGTCCACTGCCCCTACAACCACAGCAGTTGTCACAGTGGGAGCCCCCCGGGACACATAGCAATTCTGTGCTTGGGGAGCCGAAATTAATTATATCCATTTTAGGCCCCGTTGGTTGCCAGATGGATTTTAGAACATAGGCAGAGAAATTGCAAAATGGTGCTCAAAGATAATCAGGAGAAAAAAAAAACCTTTTAGGGTTTAATGTATCCTATTATCAAGAATGTCTACCTCTATTTTATCAAAATATTTCCTGCTTAGTAAACTCATTTTTCTCTTATTTGATCTTCAAGAAAGAGAGAATATAAATTCTCTATCATCCACATGATCATCTTTCACATACAGAACATTTTCAGCCATGAAGCTGTCCTAGAAGTTAAGCAATATGACCCATCATTAGTTAATATCCTTTCTGTAACTGCTGATATAGCTGATGACAATCAATATGGTTAATTAAGATAAATAGTTTGTCTATGCTTCTCACCACTGAGGTAGGAGAATATTTAGATAGATAGATAGATAGATAGATAGATAGATAGATAGATAGATAGACATTATACTTAAAAGGCTTTTTGTTTTGTATTATTTTTTGGAATACTAAGTGGTGTCATAATTATCTGAAGGCCTCTAGGTAAGATTAGTGAGTCAAACACTTCTGGTCTGTAGGCAGCATTGATTGGCTGTCTCTCCAGCATTTATTGTCCTCTCCTATCTTCTTTGCAGTACCCACATTTTAATTCAGATACTGCACAGAATACTTCCCATTTGTTCCTGTCCTTTTCCATTCTGCTCTGTCCTGAAAGAATGACCAGCGTGGGCAGCATCACACTGCTCCTGCATCCTCAGGCTTCTGGTTTGTTTTAAACAATGGGGAATCCCAGTAGAAACAGGAGAAAACAAGAATATCAGAGTGCTAATTTCCCTAGTTCCCTCCCTAAGCTCCTCTGAGGTTACCTGTGTTCTCCCAGGGTCATTGCTCCTATCAATATATTATTCTCTACAGGACTCTTCCTTTGCATTCCAGTAAGCTCTCCCTCCCTGATTTCCTCTGGGCCTGGGATCAATAGCAGCTCTGCTCTTGCTCACTCCAAGTTCCCTGGCTATGTCTTATGGTTCCACTATTCCCCCTTCACACTTTGTAATTTGGCCCTTTGAATAAAACAAACCAAAATAAAATGGACTTCACCTCAAATTACCCTCATCTAGTGTTTGTGACTTCTGACTTCCCTTTCCTTTTGGGGCCAAATACAGGTATCTACACTTTGCTATGTAGGCCATTTGCTTCAGGAAGATGTTATGCCAATGATGGGTCTGACTGGGTGAAAGGCAATCAGAACATTTTATTTTTCTTCACCAAAGTGGTTGGGAGGAGGCCACTAGGCACACAACCTAAGCTAGCCTAATTAGAGCAATATTCAAGACATTCGCATGGAATTTTAGACACAAATACTTTCTCTCTCAGTGGGTGAAACAAAAGTATGTACCAGTCTAATTATTGCCGGTACACATCCAACAAACATAAGGATCAGCCTTAGAATGAACTCAACATGTGGACAGCAGAAAAGAAGAATAGAAAGAAACCAGATCGTTGATGTAAACTGGAATGAATCCTGAAACTTGTCCTTTTGGATTTTTGCAAGCTAATAAATCTCCTTTATTTTTATTTTTGCCTGTGTCCACTGGCTTTTCTTTTCCTGGCATCACAATGCATCTGAACTGATACATGTTCATCTGGTGATTTCTCACAAATTTTCCAGCTGGAAATAGATATGGGTAATGAAATAAACCAGGAAGGAGAAACTCACAAGTAAAGATCGTCTTTCCTTTTCGGAGGCTCCTTGAAGTATTTCCAAGTGGTGGATAAAACTGTGTGTGCTAGTGAGTTCATTCAGTCACTCTGGAACACTCTTGGTAGGAATCCAGTTAAGAAATTATGTAATCCACATGATCCTCTCCCACTGCAAACTCAGCTACAACCTAATGTCATTACTGGCACAGTTATCTTGTAAACAAAAGCTCAGTTCTAAATAGTATTTAGCAAAGCCATTATGCACAAGTCAGATAGACTGATAGTGGCCTATAAAAAAGCTTTTTAAATGATCCAGAAAATGTTAAGAACCTTTGAGAAAAAAAATAAAAATAAGGGCAGACAAAAGGTAGATGATATTAATTAATATATGATAAAGGCAAAGAAAAGTTGCCAATATTCCTAAATAATTACACAAACTCAAGGGGAATATGAAAAGCTCTACAACATCTCAGAAGTGGATGTATCAGGGGATTTCAGAGCTGTCTACTTATCAGAAACCATTTCAGACATAGAACTGTATATCCAAACAGAGCCAAAAGTACAATGACAGAAGTGCTTTAGAGTAGTTAAAAAATTATGAACCAAGAAGAAAGGATAATATTAAGAGCTGAAGGGAAAAAAATATATTTTTCTATTACTTTATACCATGAAACATGGGAATATCCTAATTGATGACCCATTGAAGATCAGGATGTCCCAGAGATTTGAGCAATCAGTTTCTAATGGGTTTGACAATAACGTAACTTTATAATTGATGGTATGTAGAATTCCATAAGGCATAGTGAGATTGGTATGTTCATTCATTTATTTATTCAACAAACATAAATTGAGTATCTTTTATGTGCTTGTTTTAAATGCTAAGAACATAAGAGTTAACAAATATACTGAAATAGCTGCCCTCATGGAGCTTACATTTTAGGGACAGACACAAAATAAATTAGATAAGTAAGAAAATATATATACAATGTTAGTGCTAAGTGCTGCAGAAAAAAATAAAGTATGGCATAAAGGTAGAATGTTCAAAGAAGAGTGGAGGGTGTTTAAAAATTTTATACAGGACATTCAGGAAAGAGTTCACTGAGAGGGTAATGCTTTGATGAAAGACCTGAAAAAAGTTAGAAGGCCAGACATGTGAATATGAGCAACTTTCAGAATTGAATTTGCCCGCAGAGAGAATATCATGGAAAAAGGTCCTGCAGTGGGAGCTTGCCTAGTAACCTTCAGGAACATCAAGGAATGCATGCAAGCTGCGGGTCAGTAAGTGAAGGGGAGGGTTGCAGATGGGGCTAGGTAGTTAATGAGGAGATGGGGCAAATCATATAGGGCTTTATAGATCATAAGAGGACTTCACTGTAAGTAATATGGAATGCTATTAGAGGGCTTTGAGCAAAGGAGTGACATCATCTGGTTTATGATATAATAAGATTTATGTGACTGTTACGTTAAGAGTAGCCTGAAGGCAGCCAGGCACGGAAGCTCACGCCTGTAATCCTAGCAGTTTGGGAGGCCGAGGAGGGTGGATCACAAGGTCAGGAGTTCAAGACCAACCTGGCAAAGATGGTGAAACCCTGTCTCTACTAAAAATACAAAAAATTAGCCAGGCATGGTGGCAGGTGCCTGTAATCCCAGCTACTTGGGAGGCTGAGGTAGAGAATGGCTTGAACCCAGGAAGTGGAGGTTGCAGTGAGCTGAAATCGCACCACTGCACTCCAACCTGGGCGACAGAGCGAGACTCTGTCTAAAAGGAAAAAAAAAAGAAAAAAAAGAAAAAAAGGGTAGCTTGAAGGCTAGAGATGATGTCTAGGGTAGTAATGGTGGAGTTGATAAGTAATAGATTTTTAGATTCATTAGACTTTTTGTAACCTACAGAAAAGTTTCAAGAGTATTACACAAAACTCCCTGTATGCCTTCCAACCAGATTCATCAGTTTGCTGACATTTTGCTCCATTTACTTTCTTTAACCATCCTTCTCTATGTTTCATTATATTATGTTTTCTGAACTACTTGAAAGGATGTTAGAGACATCATGCCCTACAATTGCTAAATATTTTAGAGTCTATTTTCTAAGAACAAGGATGTTCTCTGAATATGTTTTAAAAATAGAATCAACATGTTTGCCAATGGACTGAAGGTGAGCAATGAGAAAAAAAGAATTGTCAAGTATGATGCCAAGACTTTAGGCTTGAGCAACTGAAAAGGATGGAAGTTACCATTAAATGATGTGAGGAAGTCAAACAAAGGGGCAAGTTTGGAAGAAAAGGTCACAGATTTAGTTTTGGACCAGCTTTATTTGGGATGCCTCTTAAACTGCCTGGGAAGGCAATTGGATATAGAAGTCTGGAGTTCAGAAGAGATATCTGGGTTAGATACCTAAATTTGGGAGTTCGTAGCATACACATGATATTTAACACCATGAAATTGAATAAAATCCCCTAGGAATTAGTGCAGCTGGGAAATAGAAAAGCACCAAAGATGGAGCTCTTGGTCCCCCAAAGTCTAGAGGTTGAGGAGATAAGAGGGATGCAGCAAAGGAGACCAAGAAGCAGCCAGAAGAGAGAAAGTGAGGGAAGAGGCAGGTTCAGAAGCCAAGTGAGAAAACTATCTTGAGAAGGAAAGAGGAAATAACTAAATGCTTCTAATAGATCAAGATAGGGACAGAGATAGGAATATTAGGTTTAGCAAAGAAGTCGCTGGTAACCTAGCTAAGGTGGCATGCTGGGGGTGAAAGCTGGCCTGTGGTGAGTTCGGGAGCAAGTGGGAAGAGAGAAATTGCCAACAGAGTGTAGACCACTCTTTCAAGAAATTTTTCTTAAAATTTAGGAGAGAAATGAGGTAGTATTTGGAGTTTAGGTGGTGAACAAGAAAGTTTGTTGTTGTTAATATGGGAGGAATAGCATGTTTATATGCTGATGGGAATGAACTAGCAAAGAGAAAAGAAAGTCATGATGCTAGGAATAGAGAAAAACATTGTTGACAGGAAGGGATAGATCGAATATATAAGTGGAGGAGGTGGCCTTAACTAGGAGCTTAAAGAGTTCATTCCTAGCAACAGAAGACAAATTGGAACATTATATGCAGGCACTGACAACATGCATGCATATGCTAGTGGCAGCTTGTGGAAATTCTCTTTGATTGCTTAAAATAGTAAATAGGAAACAAAGTTAATAGCTGAAAATTTAGATATGGGGGAACATTTGGGGAAATCTGGGAAGATAGGAAAAAGTATGATATTTGTTTAGGGAAGTGGGAGAGTATATTGGTTAGAGAAATAGAGCATTCAGGGGCATTTGATTTAGTGATTTGCCATAAAGGCAAAGACCAGTTAGCATAAGGTAGTGTTCCCCCAGCCATATTCAGCAGTGTGGGTGCAGGCACGAAGTAGGCAGAGCTGAATTTAACAAGGGATGTGTGTTAGCCAAGTGAGTATGACAAGGCAAGAGGGACAGTGCTTGAGGATAAATTCAAGAGGTGAGTAGGATGGTTACATGTGGAATTTAAACCATTTTAAAAGGGATGAACATAAAGGGGGAGATAGACAATGAAAAAAATTGCAGAATCAACTGTCACTGAGCAGCCACATATGGTTAATGTGGGTTATGCACTACATACACGTAAGGTAACATCTTTCAGGTGGGCATCATCCATAAATGGAATTTAAGATTTGGGTACGCATTGTAATTTTCTGAAAGATGGCACTCAACCATCTTGTTTTATCAAAAGTGATCTTTTACAATAGTTTCCAAAAGATGGAGTTGAAATATCTGCTAGGCATGGTGGTTCGTGCCCGTAATCCTAACATTTTGGGAGGCCAAGGTGGGAAGACTGATTGAGCCCAGAAGTTCAAGACCAGCCTGGGCAACATAATGAAACCTTGTCTCTACAAAAAATAAAAACAAAATCAGCCAGGCATGGTGGCAAGCGCCTGAAGTCCCAGCTACTCAGAGGCTGAGGTGGGAGGATTGCTTGAGCACAGGAGGTCGAGGCTGCAGTGAGCTGAGATTGCACCACTGCAGTCCAGCCTGGGTAACAGAGTGAGACTCTGTCTCACAGAAAAAAAAAAAAATCTTGAAGAATTCAAACAAAGGCATCCCAAGGGCCATCGGTGACCCTCCCAATGGATGTGAGGTCCTATTCAGTTGAGGGGTTATTGGAATTGGAATGCAACAGGGAGAGTACTGGGAACAAAAGAGTCAGTGATCAGAGAGTGGAGTGTTTCCAGTTGAGATTATCATCACAAATAATTGTTACTGTTCATCATGACAAGGTCAAGACTATGATCACGGGAGTGGGTGGCTAAGTAGAGGAGAGACCAATGGTCTAAGAAGATCAACTCCCGAAGGAAGCATGGGGAGAAAGGGACAAGAACATTTCACTGGGGAATTAATATTTTAAAATTTATTCAGCAATGCTAAAATGTTTCATTTTTTAAAAAGTATTAAAATCTTAACTTTTAAAATTCTAAAACAATATTAATGTTAGAGTTATAAGAGATTTAAAAGATTTAACTTATTAAAGTAGAATTTCTGTACATTTTTCTTTTTTTTCTTTTTTTTTTTTTGAGACAGTCTTGCTCTGTGGCCCAGGCTGTAGTACAGAGCACAATCTTGACTCACTGCAACCTCTGTTTCATAAATTTAAGCGATTCTCCTGCCTTGGCCTCCTGAGTAGCTGAGATTACAGCCGTGTGCTACCATACTCAGCTATTTTTGTTTTTGCAGTTTCAGTAGAGACAGGGTTTCACCACGTTGGCCCACCTGGTCTCGAACTCCTAAACTCAAGTAATCCACCCACCTCAGCCTCCCAAAGTGCTGGGATGACAGACATGAGCCACCGCGGCCAGCCTAGAATTTCTGTAAATGTTAATTTCAGTAAACATTTGCATTCACCAGTTCACCCAAGTCTGTGTTTGTACTGGATACTGTTTCTCGGCAAACAACCTGCATTCACTCCTCTTTCTGTGCTCTCTCCTGTATCTCTGGAGCTAGAAGTTTGGGCATTACATTTCTCAGGCTCCCTTTCCTGAGGGGTTTGGGTGAAATTTGCATTCTGCCAGTGCTCTCACATGAGATTTGGAAGGCAATGTAGACACTGAGAAATTCTCCCTCCAGCGGCAACGGCAGTAGTTTTACAGAGGCTGGCTGAACACCCAGCTCCCTCACCAGGCCTAGCCTCTGAGCAAGGGCAGCTGTGATGCTGTTGGCGGTTTGCTGCAGTATCTTGACCTCTGGGTGGCAGCAGCAACTTGCCGAGCTCTGGATTGCACTTGCAATGGTGCTTACCTGAAAGCTGAAGGCAGCCTGATGATGATCACTTCTCTAGCCTTTCCAACACTCCTTAAGTTGCTTTGATTTTTCTTTAATGAATCTGGACTGACACAATATTTCATGCCAAGATTGGTTCCAGAGCTTCAAAGATGAGAATCTTGTTGTTTGACCTGGTTGCATTTGCTTACAGTGATGACCTAATTGCCTAATTCTAGTGCAAAATAGAATTATGAAGAGACATGGCACATGGTGGCAAACACTTCCTTGAATTAACACCTGTGGTTGTCGGAAGTGAAGGACCTATTGAAATCAAGAATTGTGGAGACTAAGTTGACCGCTGCTCTAGAGTCTGAAAGTAGGAAAGAGAACGAGAAAGACCATGGGGTGTGTCATCTACTTCTGACTGCACCAGAGACCATAGAAAGAAAATGGCAAGCTGGGAAACTTTACACTTTTGGATCAAGGCCTGGTCAAGGACTAGAGGACTTCTAGGACCCTTGTAGCTACATTGCTGATATAGCCAAAAATCAGACCTAAGGTCCGCTTCTGCATGTTGCAAAATTACAGCATAAAATAAATTCAAAGACTTGCCAAGTCTCTTACATGAAAGCTAAAGTTCTTATTGTAAAGAGTGGGCTATGAGAACTGGAACAGGGGCATTTGTAGGATTTGGGTGAATCCGAGGACTTTGAATGCAAATCCTCCTGAGGCACTTACTTGTCAGGAAAATAAGTCCCTCTGTCCTCGTTTGTCCTTTCTCCCTTGTCAACAGACTATTGATTCCACTACAGGCCATTACGTAACAAGTGGCTCCTAGATTTCTAGAAGACCAAGCCGGACCTCTACTGACTACATCAAGACCCTGACTGATAAAATGCCCCTTAACCTTTAAAAAGTAAGAGAGCTACTTTGATTGAAGTTTCACTGCACTGTGTGTACAAGTTGGTTTTGAAGAGATTTAAGACTAAGGGAGGGAGGTGGAAGAAGAGAGCCATTTGTTGAGTTGCACACGTGTTCATTTGAATAAAGATGCACTTCTGGTAGATCCTGGGGCCGCTGCTTTTGATAAATCCACAACATATTTTAATTACGGCAAGTTTTGTCATGGTATCAACACAGATACTTAAAGTAGGAATGACAGAAGTAGAAATGATTATTCGGGTTGGGCGCAATGGCTCACTCCTGTAATCCCAGCACTTTGGGAGGCCAAGGCGGGCAGATCACCTGAGGTCAGGAGTTCGAGACCAGCCTGGCTAACATGGTGAAACCCTGTTTCTACTAAAAGATACAAAAAGTTAGCCAGGTGTGGTGGCGCATGCCTGTAATCCCAGCTACTCAGGAGGCTGAGGCAGGAGAATCACTTGAACCCAGGAGGCAGAGGTTGCGGTGAGCCAAGATTGCGCCATTGCACTCCAGTTTGGGCAACAAGAGCAAAACTCCGTTTCCAAAAAAAAAAAAAAAAAAAGGAAAGAAATGATTTTTCTCTGATTTCATATGGGCACAATGTCTCATATTTTACAAATGTATAGAACACCATGATGCAGGCATTGGGATGAAGCTGGGCTGAAGGCAATCTGCAACTGTTGCTATCTTTGGTACCTCTTGCTAATGCAGACAGGGGACCTTGGGGGCCCAACTACAGTGATATATAAGAAGAAGATTCTTTGTAAAGTGAGACAGAATGAAAAGACGGATGAGGAGGACAGGCCCTGGGCCTGGTGGAGGAGGAAGTCAGGTTGCTGTCCTGGCAGCTGTCTCTCAGCCTGTGATGGCCCTGGGATTGTATTTTGTTGCTCTCAGGAACTGGTGTCCTAGCTCTATTAGGCTATTGCAATGTGAAATGGAGAGTGATGGTTTGCCAACTTCAGAAACATCTAGACTAATAGTAATAATAACTAGAAGCATAATAATGATGCTAATAATATCTTTCATTTATTGACCACATGCCAGGCACTGAAGTGCTGAGTGCTATTCAGGCATTAGCTCATGTAGTCCCCACAACAGCTCTATGAATGAGATACTATTAGAATCCTGAATTGCAGGGTTGTAAACCTGAATTCACAAGAGGTTAAATTCCTAGCTAAAAATCACATAGGCACTTAATGGTAAAGCTGGGACTCAAACCCAGGCCTTTCTTGCTTTAAAACCCAATACTTTAACCATTATACTTTTCTAACTTCCTGTTGACACATGTCTTAGTCTGTTCGGGCTGCTGTAACATAATACTATAGTACAGGTGGCTCACAAACAACAGACACTTACTACTCACAGTTCTGGAGGCTGGAAGTCCAGGATCAAGGCACCTTCAAATTCAGTGTCTGGTGAGAACCCACTTCCTGGTTGATAGATGGCTGTCTTCTTGATGTGTTCTCACATGGTGGAAGGGGCAAGGACTTCTCCAAGTTCCTTTTATTAGCACACTAATTCTATGCATGAGGGTTCTACCCTTATGACCTAATCACCCCCAAAGGCCACACCTCCTAATACCATGACACTGGGGATAGGTTTCAACATATGAGTTTGGGGGTGGGGGAACATACCTATTCAGTCTATAGCACAACATGGCCTTATGCCCTGTAAGTTTTATCTATTAAATATCTCTCAAATCTGTCTACATTTTCCCACCACCATCACTCTAATAATAAATACCACAGTCTTTTCTAAAGGATTACAGCACCACCTTCCTAACTGGTCCATGTTTATTGATTCTGGCTCCACTTCTAATCTGTTTTTTCACATTTTAGCCAAAGAGAACATTTTAAAACATAAATCTAATCATGTTGCACTGAGAACACTTTAATGGCTTCTTGTAAAGGGCCATCCCTTTGGTTCAGTTTTTAAGACTGGCATAGTCTGCCCTTGGCTCTGTTTCCAGCTGTACTGGGCCCACCATTCCCTAAACCTCCTGGCCCCTCCCTTGCTTTTTCTTCTGCAACCTCATCAGTCTTCCTCAGTTCCTGCAATGCACCATGTGCTTTTCTTCCATAGAGCCTCTGCATATGCTGTTCCTTCTGTCTGGAGCGCTCTCCCAATTTCCCACCTGCTCACGTTCACCTAGTTCCTGCACCTCACTGTTCAGATGTCACTCCCTTAGCAAAGCCTTTCTAATCCCTGAAATAAATTAATTCCCCTCCTTTTTTTTTTTTCTGAGTCTTGCTCTGTCACCCAGGCTGGAGTGCAGTGGCACGATCTCAGCTCACTGCAACCTTCGCTTTCCAGGTTCAAGCAATTATCCTGCCTCAGCCTCCCGAGTAGCTCAGATTATAGGCGCCTACAACCACGCTGGCTATTTTTTTTTTTTTTTGACAGAGTCTCACTCTGTCGCCAGGCTGGAGTGCAGTGGTGCAATCTTGGCTCACTGCAACCTCCGCCTCCCAGCTTCAAGTGTTTCTCCTGCCTCAGCCTCCTGAGTAGCTGGGCCTACAGGCATGCGCCACCATGCCCAACTAATTTTTTATATTTTTAGTAGAGATGGGGTTTCACCATGTTGGTGAAGCTGGTCTTGATCTCTTGACCTTGTGATCTGCCTGCCTCGGCCTTCCAAAGTGCTGGGATTACATGCATGAGCCACCGTGCCTGGCCAATTTTTGTATTTTTAGTAGAGATGGGGTTTCACCATGTTGGCCAGGCTGGTCTCGAACTCCTGTCCTCAAGTGATCTGTCTGCCTTGGCCTCCCAAAATGCTGGGATTACAGGTGTGAGCCACCATGCCTGGCCAACTCCCGTTCTTGAAAGCTCTCATAGCAACATTTGCCTTTGCTTGGAGAATGGGGTTTTATAAGTATTTGTGTGGTTCTCTGATGAATGTCTGGCTCTTCCCCCATCATACTGTAAGCTCCATGAAGGCAAGAGCCCGGTCAGAGTTTGCTTACCACGGTAGCCCCAGCACTTAGGACAATATTTGTTATGTGGTAAGTGTTCAAGCAATAGCTGTTGAGTAAATGGAGCTACAACACCCTTCCCTGGGGTGTGTGAAACTGACAAGCCCTTTGCAAAACTCTAAAATGTGCTTAGTCCTTCTACAGAGGATAAAGTTTAGCTGAGAATGGGATTTCAGCTGTATAGGGAATCAATGCCAGCAAGACAGCTCTATGCTTCTGTCTGTCTCAGCCTGTGAGAACAGAGATTAGGCCTAGTAGAGGAGTTTTAGTTGGTGGAAGCAATGTTTCAGGCTTGTGTTTTAAGTGGCTCACTTCTCAAGTAAGTAAACCCAAGAAAGTAGTTGCTTAACGTGTAGAATAGCAAGTTGGTGGCCAGGTGCAGTGGCTCACACCTGTAATCCCAGCACTTTGGGAGGCCGAGCTGGATGGGTCACCTGAGGTCGGAAGTTTGAGACCAGCCTGACCAACATGAAGGAACCCTGTCTCTACTAAAAATACAAAATTAGCCAGGTGTGGTGACGCATCCCTGTAATCTCAGCTACTCAGGAGGCTGAGGCAGGATAATTGCTTGAACCTGGGAGGCGGAGGTTGCAGTGAGCCGAGATTGCACCATTGCACCCCAGCCTGGGGAACAAGAGCGAAACTCCATCTCAAACAAACAAACAAACAAAAAGAATGGCAAAGTTGGCACAATAACTTTCTACCCATCTTCAAAAGCCGGCAGGGTGGATTGATTCTATGAAGGTAGGGATTGAGAGGGTGAGCTGAGCCATTCTGATCTGTTTCTTCTGAGTGGCAAGCCTGGAAATCTGGACCCCATTTTGTGGCCACTGGGCACAGAGGGCTGACCTGGAATAATTATGCTCTGGTGGTTGTCTCCACAAGGGGCTCTGGGGGTGCCCCAGGATTGTTGCCCTCAGGCAGAGGCAGGGCATACATTGAGAGTGATCCCAAACACTCCTCCTCCAGGCCCAACTTTTGGAGGTAGCAAGTTCTGCAAATAGAGATCCATTGTTTGGTTTCTCTCTCTAAAAAAAAACAAAAGTCAGCACAAAGAAGAGGAACACATCAGATTGGTTTACCAGATTTGTTTCAGATGTTATTATTTTGACACGATCCAGAAGAAGGAGAATTTGAAGAAAATGGAAAGCTAGGCAGTGGGAATGTTGGCAGCAGGTAAGGGAAAGGCAGGCAGCAAAGAGAAACTTCATCTACTTTATAAACTGCTCCTTCCTTTCAGCAAATTTAGAGGATAAATGACTGTTTTGTTCAGATTGGAGATTCAAGGGGGGGATTATTACTTTTAAGATTATTGCAACATGGCTTCGATTATTTTAGCTGCAATCATCCTGTTGGACTTGGACTTCACTGTTGGTGAAGAGAGACTGTGTTTGACTTTGCCTGGATACCATAAAACCACAACAAAATAAATTCTCCTGAATGCTACCAGGCAACACCAAGATCTCTTACACCACGAGAAGGACTTGTGGCCAAAGATACAAATGGCTCCGCAATGTACAGGGTGCATACAGTGCACCTGAAGAACCTAAAAGTGGTTTTTAGAATCATCATAATAAACAGTCAAGAATTAAAGATGTCAAGCGCTTTCTCAAGAAGTCTAAACTTTATACATAACATTAAAAAAGATCTATAAAGCCTGACCAGTCTCCCTCAAATTAAGTTATTTGCTACTGACTTGGCAGCCAAAACGATTTAGGATCTTTCGGAAGTTGATGAAAAAGGAGCCAGCGGGTTTTGCTCTTTGCTCTGCATCACGCCCTTCCTGGGACCATCAGGGAACCTCCCAGCCTTTCAGGATAGGTTCCGCTCAGAAAGGTCACCCGGGCAGTGGAAACCGTGGGCAAAAGTTAGCTGGCAGGACAGCGCAGCTCCTCCAGGCAGCGGAGGCAGCGCGTCCCGGCTCTCAGGGACATTTCCTTCCCACCTCGACCCCCGGGAGGTGGTCCCGGTATAAAGGCTCGCTGAGCGGGTGGGTCACAGCACAGCTTTGCAGCTGCGGAGAAACGCCCAAGGCCGTGCATCTCCAGGAGGTAGGGAAGCCTGCGAGCCTCCGGGTCCCCGCCCCCAGCTCTTCCAGGCACCGGCGCATCCCGGAGCCGGGCGCGGGGCGCGGGGCACGGAGCCGGGGAGGGGGTGTGGCGGGCCAGGGCGGTGCAGGGACCCTGCCCAGAGGCTGAACCGGCCTGGGCGACCTTCCTTCCCGACAGGAGCAGTAGATGCGTGGGGGAGGGCGAAGGGGGAGGCCTCACCCCCCAGCGAGCAGCCGGGAGGAGGAACCGGTCGCGGAGGGCGGGGAGCGCGGCTGAGCAGCCCGGCGCGGGAGTGAGTGTGGGCGAGCCAGCCAGGGTGAGCGCGGGCGCCGGGCCGCGGCCGCCGGCCGCAGCGGGCTGAGATTGTTGTCCTCTGTCACCAGGGCGGCTGGGCTCCCGCAGTCCTGCAGACCGCGCCCGATCCCGGCGACAGGGCGGGCGGACAGCCGCGCATCCCCGGGGTCCCGCCGAGCCTGGGCGCAGAGAGCCGGGAGGAAGCGTTCGCTCGCTTCGCCTTGCTGCTGGGAAACTGAACGAGGCCGAGAGAGAAGGTAAAAGGAAAGACAGAGACTGGGAGACAGGGAGAGACAGAGACAGGGAGAGGAGAGAGAGGTGCAAGACGAACACATTGCAGACAAATTGTCAGCAAGTTTGTGCCTGCACGCTGGGGCTCTGCGTGCTTGATGGGAGGGGGTGGTGGCAGTGATGTGTGTACGTGTGCGATACTCATAGATAAGGAGACTAGGAGGTTGGGGAGCCTCTTTGCATCTCGTACGTAGATGTCCCTATTAATATCCCCCTCTCTGAGTTGTCATTTCCGCTTGTGGCACATCTCCTGGGCTCCAATGGTGCAGAAGCAAAAGGCAGCCAGCCTCTTATTGTGATGGTCGGTACTGTTGCTACTATCAGATGGGAGAGGTAGGGCGTTGAACAGATTCTAGGAGCCTCCCTTCCTCCACCCCCTGACTATTTTAGGAAGGGCTGGGGGAGGGAAATGGCTTGAAGGCTGCGCGGAGGCCCTGGCGCGTCAGACTCCAGCGGCGCTGTCATGGTGCAGTTGCTTCCCGGCAGAGCCTGCACTAGAGGGCAAGAGAACTTTCGTCTCCTCTTTATAAAGATACGTTTCACATAGAGAGATCTTGCATTGCTGGCGGAGGAGTTCTGGGAAATGGTGGTGCACAGGCGGCCAGGTGCATCCCAACGGGCAGGCATCCGTGCAAAACGAAGCAGCCATCAGCCGCACAGGAAGAAGCCCCTTGGGAAGGCAGGCTGGGTGTGCTGACTGGGATCCCAGACTTTGGATGCTGGAAGTTCTGCCCCCTTCCGTAAATAGAGTCAGGTCCAGCCCAGAGGGAAATATCAGCAATGAAGCCTTAGCATCCCACAATGTTCATTTCTGAGCTTTTCGTTTTGGGGTGGAAAACTTGTATCTGAAATGTTCCTGTGAATGTTAAGAAAGTTAAAAATGAATTATTTTTCTCTTCTTTAATGCCCATCCATTTTTTGTCTTCATCTGAGAATGACTTTCCTAAAGACAACATTCGTATACAGAAGCCAGACCTATGCAAGAGAAAGTATAATAATTTTCAATGAGGCAAAGGTCATTAATATGACCTACATCTTCATAAAATGCGAATTTAATCACGAGTCATGACGATTGTTCTTTGAGAGGCTTTTTATTCCCCATGGTGAAAAAAGATTTGTAGTATGGCTAAAAAGTTCCTGATATCACCGGAACAGTGTGACAAAATACATATCTATTTTTTCTTTTCTGTTCATTACTTTGTGGCAGATTTAGAACAAAATGTGAGAGATCTATACTAACTTAATATGTTTCATGCTGAAGATTAAGAAACAGCTTCAGACTGACCCAGATAACAATATTTGCTAGGCTTTGGAAATATTTGCCTAGCTCTTATTTTATAGTCTCACTTTCATCTTTCTGAACTAATGATTTTCACAAACTGGTTTTCTTCTGTCCTCATTGACCTCATTTAAGAACTCTTTTTTACTTGAGTCCTTCCTGCCAGGGAGAGGAGATTGGAAAAAGCTAGTTTGCCATTTAAAAATGTTCAAGAATTGTTTGGTGCTGCACTGGGCCTACTTTCTGATAACTATGCTGCACACACAGCATCTTGGAAATGAAAGGAGGTGTGACTGTCACAGGATGTAGGAAGCCCATAACTGGGCAAGGTTGGTGGCATTTTCACAACTCCAGCTCTAGCTACTGCAGCCACACCCTGTGGTCTGAATGTGACAGGCATGCAGGGCCCAAACGCCTCTGCGAGGTCCTCTGTGTGTCTCCTCTTAAATGTGTACTTCTTTGTGGTCTAATCTAACGAGAACTAATGTTTGGCAAGGTGTGCAATATACTGTAGCAAGGGAAAAAAAGAAGGTTGCAGATGTCTTTGGTTGTAATTTATACTTTAGGCTTACAATAAACAAAATTTAATTATGACACTGAACATCTTTCATGCTGATTTCTGCTATACACTTTGTCTTTTGCTTACTTGTTCATGTTCTTCTATGGAAAAGATCATTTCTTATTGTTACTCTGTATAATTCATACTAGTGAATAAGAAACAGCATTGTTCCCTGATAACCTGCACACATTTATTAGTAATATACTTACATTAATTCAAAGATATCCCTGTTCTTCTCTTTTAGCCATCTTAGTATTCATTAATTAGTACCATTATTAATGGGTGAATAGAGAAAAAAATAATTAAATTTAAAATTAAACAGTATGTGAACTCTCTTCAGCAAAAGACTTGAATAGAAGGGAAACTGAAATTTATTCATGACTAAAAATTTTATTCAATAGTGGGTTTCAATATTAGTGCTATTCTTATACATGTTTAGACATTTAATTAATATCTGTACTTCCTGCTGTTGTGAATCTGTTTATGTGTTTATGTTCTCAGTTCATTTTCTTTTTGGTTAGAAATGAGCCACGTTGTCTCTGGTCATTGCAGGGTTTGAAATTTTCTGCAGTAGTTTCCTAATACCTAGAAATTCAGTTGCATTGCTTATATATATTCTTGTGGCTCAGTAGTATTTCTTCAGTGCTTTTCTTAGTGTATTCCTTTTTAGTCACACAAACAAGAAACTGCTTTAAGAGCCAATGTCCATTCTGCCAAGAGACAGAAAAAATTGAGTTGTGCTATTTCACAACTGTGTTTTTTCACAGGGAGTGATGTTAAGAAGAGTATGCCTTTCAACTGGGAGCATCCCAAATAGCAGGTAGTCCAAATTCCTAAGAAGAGTATGCCTTTCAACTGGGAGCATCCCAAATAGCAGGTAGTCCAAATTCCTAAGAAGAGTATGCCTTTCAACTGGGAGCATCCCAAATAGCAGGTAGTCCAAATTCCTAAGAAGAGTATGCCTTTCAACTGGGAGCATCCCAAATAGCAGGTAGTCCAAATTCCTAAGAAGAGTATGCCTTTCAACTGGGAGCATCCCAAATAGCAGGTAGTCCAAATTCCTAAGAAGAGTATGCCTTTCAACTGGGAGCATCCCAAATAGCAGGTAGTCCAAATTCCTAAGAAGAGTATGCCTTTCAACTGGGAGCATCCCAAATAGCAGATAGTCCAAATTCTCTCTGTGTCCTGAACAAAAAAAAAATGCAGCAGATGGTTATTGATTGGGTGGGTGTTTTGTTTGCTTCCATAGTAGCCTGGACTTTTCCATTACAATACTTGCCCTCCTTTGTTGTAACATTGTTTATATCATCTTCCTCTACCGGCACATAAGCTGTAAGAGGGGCTTGTCTCTCTTGTTGACTGCTGTTTACTCAGTACCATGGTCCCTTACAAATAGCTACTCAATACATATTTATTGTGAAATAATAAATACAGGAATCTTACCTTTCTGAATGTATTTAGCTGCATCATAATCTTAGTTCCTTCCCCTGGAAAAATTTGGAGATGGTGCAGGGACTATTTATTGGTATACAGCCCATGAATGTCCATCAAATTCTCCAATTCCATCCCAATGCCTAGCTTCACTCTTCATTCCCTCTCCTTCGTGCTCCCGCAGTATCCTGCACCTATTAAAAACTGTTTTAATAATCTTGGGAATAGTGAGTTTATTGATGTTCTGGATCTGCCTCTGGTGTTCTGGTTCTGTCATGTCCATAGCCAGAACACTGCTAGGTAAACAGTCTGTTGGAGGATCTCATGACCTTGCACCAGTCGTTGTTTTAGCTCTGCCTTGTGCTGCTATTGGTTTTGGAACAGAAGAGCACACTTGGGAGTACCTCTGCATTTTAGGGCCGTCTCTCATATTGCAGCTGGAGAAACTGGGAACAGGGGAAGGAAAATGGAAACTAGTATTTGCTGAAACTCTGCTACATGCCAATCAATCTGCTGGAAACATGACATATTTATCTTTTAAAAAAATTAATTTAAGCAGGATAAAATTAAACCTAATTTGGCATAAGTATACCTCATTTTACAGATGATGAAAGAAGGGCTCAGAAAAGCTCATTTTTCTTAAGCCTGCGTGCACAGTAAGAGATAGAATTAAGATTCAGCTCCAGGTCTTTCTTAGATCAAAGTCTGTGCATTTCCTGGTACCACACTCTCCTCCAATAGGTAGTTGTTGAGGACCTTCATGCATAGAACCAGCTCAAAATCACCCAACTAGCTGGGATAAAGTTTAGCCTAGAACTGATATTTCCTAATTCCCAGTCTCCTTTTATTACCTTCTTTTTATTAACATCATTTAAATTTCTTATTAAATCATGTAATTAGATAAAGTATCAGTAAAAAGCAAGAAAATCATGATTTCACAAAATAGGAAATATGTGTACATGTGAATGATGAAAGCAAAATGTTTAATGTCTGAAAAAGGAAGGATATTGCATCCACTTTTTTTTGCATTGAAGAGGAAGAGGTTTTCTGGGGATTTTCTCATAAATGTAAAGTATTATGAACTTGATTCAATGAAACAAAAAATATATATCGGGGGCCTAGGATGTGGTCAGGGATATACTTGGTGTCAATGAATGAGATTTTGCAATGTTATAGCCTCTATACCAGTGAAATGTTCACTGTTTCTTTAGAGTGAGGTAAGACTAGCAGTAGTGAAAGATAGAAGCCAAATTGTACCTAGGATAGTATGGATCGTTGATGTTAGAGGCCTCAGTGGAAAATAATGGTGAGTGTTGGTTGGTGTGTTTAGGAAAAGCTTCAAGTGGTATGTGGATCCTGGGCTAGGTATTTCCATTTGTTCAGCTGAAAGTGTTCTTCAGAGGGGTGATGTGAAGGGGTAATGAAGAAATTGCTCCTGAGTTGTTCCAAAGATATGAAGCATGAAGGGGAGAGTGTTTGGATGTAAAACCTATAAGGCCCCTCTTCTGCTGAGCTCAATTAATGGCACCCCAAATCCTGAGAGTCATCTGAGACTCCTCAGATATACACTCTGGAAACCCCACCTCCTTCTACCTATACCCACCTCCACCCCTGGGTGACCAATCACCAAGTCTTACAAATTTTGTTCCCTAAAGCTGTGTTATATTTGATTCTCCACTCACTCTGCTACCTCTGTCTGATTTCCGTCTTTGGTCATCTTCTACCTGGATTCCTGAGATACTTTCCTAACTGATCTTTCTGGATCTTCCAGTTTTGTCCTTCTCAAATACATCCTTTAAAATCATAGCTAGAATAATCCCAATCATACCTTCTCACTTCCAGCTTAAGATCTCTCAGTGGCTTCCTGTTGCCTGCTAGAGAACCAGAACCAAACTTCTGAGCATAGCACTCAGGGCCCTGCGCCATCTGGACACCACCTCACTCTCCGCCCTCTTTTCCACAATGTCACCTTGTAGAGTTTCTCAGTGTCTGACTGGTGATAGTTCCATGTCCCAGTCATGCTGTTTCTCATGCTGAGGCCTTTGCTCAAGCTCTTCACCCTGCCCAGGATGTGTCTTTCGTATGTTTCACCTGAGTGACTAACCCATTTACCAAGACTCAGCTCAAGTGTCTGCTCCTTGCCAAGAAGGACACCTTTCCAGAACACCCACACTGGCTTAGCCACCATCCTCTGTATCTTCACATCTTTGTATTTGCACTTAGCCCTGGTATTTTTGTATTATCTTTTCTATGTTTTATCTCCCACTGTGTCCTAAGCTCTTCAAAAATAGTCTCTGTGTCATATCCACCTTAGTAATCCCAGCATTGAGCTCTGGCACTCTGAATGTGTTAGTTATGCTGTGAAAGTAAGACTGGATGAATACTGGGCACATGCAGGGAAATTCTGAGTTTAATGTAACGAGAGAGAGAGAGGGCATGCACAGTATTTCAGATTAATCTACCAAGCTATGTGAATGTGAATTAGAAGAGGATAGAGGCAGAGTGATTTCTGTTGCAATGATTTAACTGAAATCCCTTTTAATTCCATAATTCTTGATTGAAGGTGGGGACTGTGTGTTAATCATCTGTGAGCTCCAGTGCTGAGCCCAGCTTGGAGTGGGGTATCTGAAATGAAGTGAATGTCTTTAACATACATGCAGATAAATGATATAGATAATAGGTAGATTGGTTGATTGATTGATTTCAGAAAGTTATATTTTTGCATTTGAAAACCTAACTTCCTAATAGCTTAGGGGATCCATTTATAAGGTCCTTCAGGCACTTTTCACTATCTATTATTCTCCCAAATTAAGATAGCTTTTGTATGTGGGCAGGTGGAATATTTTTCCCCAGGATATACAGGCTGCTAATGGGCACACAATTCCAGCAGGGCTATAGGTATGTATGTGACAGCCCAACCACAAGTAATTATTTCTCCATGAAGAATCCCTTGGAGAGTCACCCACTGAGAAGTACCTCTCTAGCCTATAAGACACCAAGTATTGGGTCCTACTTCTAGTATATACTCCTTTCAAGTAGCCAAGAGAAGTTTGCCTCTATCTTCCTACCAATGACTTCCATTCACTGCATCGCTGTCCCATGTCTTGCTAAGTTAGTAATGCTTTCTTGCTCCAGTACATCCTTCTGATGCATTGCACATGGGGCAGCAGCAATGTGCAAAGGTTTGCATCTTTTTTTTTTTTTTAGATAATAGGCTAAAAAGCATGTTACTAGCTTTGCATTCATACATTCTGACCAGATACCAATATATAATAGTATTAGTAATGCCATTTTAAAATAAATTGTAATTCATAATTGCACTCTATTATTTAACCAATCCTTCATGAGCAAAGTCCTTTTATGGACTATAATCCAAGTTATAATATAATTTTTACAGCACTCACAGGCTCCTCTCATTTTCTTTTTTCCTTCAGGAAGGTGCACCATCTCACATGTATGAGCTTTCTTTAGGAGTTTTGCTTTTGCCATTCTCCCCTTCTTCCTCTCTTCCCCCATTCCTTTTTTAACCTTCATCATCATAACCTAGAAATGCAATGGGAACTGTAATCAAGTATCACCTCCCTGTGGGCCTCTTCGGAGGCCGTTTCTTTCTCTTGGTGCATTATTCACCCCCTCTTCTTTCTGTCTAATTATTTCGTTTATGGCAATACCTTCTCTTCAGCTAAACCTAGGGTTAGGAAATTCTTATTTAAAGTACATTTTGCAATATCAAGATTTCAACGACTACTCTCCTACCTCTTCCCAAAGCCCACTGCACCCCCTCCTCCCCTCCCCCTCCCCCCCCCCCCCCCGGCAATGAAACTTAACCAGCCAGGCACGGTGGCTCACACCTGTAATCCCAACAGTTTGGGAGGCCGAGGTGGGCAGATCACTTGAGGTCAGGAGTTTGAGACGAGTCTGGCTAACATGGTGAAACCCCGTCTCTACTAAAAAACACAAAAATTAGCCAGGCGTGGTGGTATACGCCTGTAATCCCAGCTACTTAGGAGGCTGAGGCATGAGAATTGCTTGAACCCGGGAAGTGGAGCTTGCTGAGATCACGCCACTGTACCCCAGCCTGGATGACAGAGTGAGACTGTCCCAAAACAAAAACAAAAACAAAAACTTAACCAATGCAGAGAATTTAGAAGGAAAATGTCCACTCTGCTTCACCCACCCCACCCTAGCCTTAAAACTCTTGAGTCTTTATACATAGGGAGGAAAAAAACTAAATCATACCCATTTGGCTTCTAAAATTGGAGTACTTGAAACTCAAATTTTTAGAATTAAATGGTTTTTACATTTATACTGCTTTAATTCATCAAATTGGTATGAGAAACAAGGATTTGGTCCCATTCCTGGAAAGAGTACAACGCAACAGAGCAAAACATGTGCAAAGCAGGCTAAATTAGCAGACTAGAGAACCCGTGCATATTGAAAACTAGAATTGAGTGTTTTTAGTATAAGGGAAACCACTTTCATAGATCAATGGAAAAAGTTGATAGTTTAAAAAGAAAACATGGAATGAAAGTGAACATTTCTTCTTTTAGCAACCCAATTTTATTTTATATGTCTCATTTATGTATTTATTTTATTAAATATCATGGGAATTCCTAACATTTGCATAGTACTTTGTAGTTTATAAGTGCTTTTCACTAAGTTGTTTCACTTGATAATGGACCAGGCATTCAAATTAAATAGAAATATTTCTCCTTTTAGCACTGTGGTGACCTTCGTAGATTTTTTTTTTATGTTGTACCTTTTCTTTTTTGTTTTTCAGGTTCTTGAGTTCATGTAAGAGGACAGTCTTAAAACGGAAGAAGAAAAAGAAGCAGTTCAGTCTTTGGGAGAGCTGCCTCCTTGTTGAGTGCTGCAAAGGCCTGGAATTCATTTATGACAGAATAGATCTAGAAAAGTCCAAGCATGTTTTCTAGAGTGGTGTAGCCCTGTGCTGCCTCCAGTGAAGAGTCTCTTGGTGTTGGCTTCGTGCTTCCGGAGGGACCATGGCAACCTCCAGAGGGGCCTCCCGGTGTCCTCGGGATATCGCCAATGTGATGCAGAGGCTGCAAGGTAGGGGGAAGAAATTTCAGGTTTTAAAAAAATTCAAATACCATCTTAACCCACAATCAGTTAAATTTGTTTGGGGTTTTACTCAATTTCATGGAATTATAGCCCAGAATGGGATGGATGTCTTTATTCCAGTGTTTTCAAACAGGGCCATGCTGTCTTCAGATGCTGTATTCATTACATAGAAGGAAAAGATAAAAATACAGCTTTTTTTTTTTTTTTTGTAATTTTGTGTCTGCATTAGCATGTCTTACATGGTTATTCATTGTCCAGTTGGGAATTAAGAGTTATTGTCAAATGTACTGCTGCTGTTGTTCAATAATACCAGTGACAATACATCCTCAGTTGTTTTGATAGATTATGGACAAGTTGTGGACATATAGCTATATGCTATTGTCAAATAGGTGAACCAGTGGCATTTCCCAACTAGAAGACCCTTAGATATTTAGAATTTTTTTAAGAAAAATGAGGCAAAAGAGGCCCAAAGAGATGAAACGATGTGATAAGATGAATTGTTCGTGGCAGGGTACAGACTAGTCCTGCATCCCTCAGTGATGCTCTTCTCCAACAACAAACAACAGTGGTTCTCTTCTCTGCTTTTGATTTTTTTTAAGATGGAATCTTGCTCTGTCTTCCAGGCTGGAGGGCAGTAGCACTATCTCGGCTCACTCCAACCTCCATCTCCCTGTTCAAGCGATTCTCCTCCCTCAGCCTCACAAGTAGCTGGGATTACAGGCATGTGCCACCATGCCCGGCTAATTTTTTTTTTTTTTTTTTAGTAGAGATATGGTTTCACCATGTTGACCCGGCTGGCCTCAAACTCCTGACCTCAGGTGATCTGCCTGCCTTGGCCTCCCAAAGTCCTGGGATTACAGGCATGAGCCACCGTGCCCGGCTGCTCTTCTCTGCTTTCTAGAAGAAAACTAACAGGGAAATACTATAGAAACTCATAGGTGAACAGATTCTAATTGTCAATTTTCTTTACATTTATGTTTCAATATTCCTTGAAACAAATATAATTATCACCTGTAGTTATCTAAAGATATTGCTTCTTTGTCATAATCCCAATGATATATTCACTGCTTCATTGTTAGAATCCTAACGATATATTCAATGTCATAAGCCCAGCCTTCAAATGCATGGTTTCAAGGTATAAAAATACCCCAATTTAGAAGAGTTTTGTGCTAGTCTTTGCTAAGAAAGCTTAAACATAATGTTATAGCTTGACTTTTAGGTTTTCTAGTATCTCCAACAAATGATCATTGTGGGTTTGCACAGTATCAATGATATTAATTTGTCACAGACCCACTTTCTTTGCTTATAATGCATTTGCTGTGCATAGCAGTAATTTCCAGTTAAGCATTCTTGACCTTCAAATACATACCAAGCTCTTAAATCGGGGTATTCATGACCCAGAACATGCTCACAGCTATAGAAAATCAGGATATTGGTGGAACTAGGAGTTTCTCCACGTCTGTCCAGAGATCACCAACTTGATTGAGAGCTTCTGTGTTCAAGTGACCCCCCACTCGTGTTTATCTGCCTGGACTGGTTTGTGATGCTTCAGTGTGAGTGGTACATGTTTCCTATTTCTTGTTGACCAATCCCACATGTCATGCCAGAAAGAGCCTTGTTAGATAAAATATCCTTGCTGAATATATAGATGGGTCTAGACCTTTTCCATGGGCTGAAAATTTCTCTGCTTGGGTCTGACCAGCACCAAGGATCTCAGATTTAAGTTGTACATCTTCACCTGGGTAGATGCAATGCTGAATTTGAGTTCCATTCCACTGTCTATGTTTGTCTTGGCTGTTTGTCTGAGGGTAAATTGTTGAACCATTTTGTGCCTCAATGACATCATCTATGAAATGATGGAAAGGAAGTCGGTGAGTCCCTTACAAAAGTGTGGGGAAGATAATAAGGTAGTAAAGCAGATTTTCCTTTGAATATATTAGATGTGAACATTCTCTGGATGACATACATCTTGACCATAAGTGAAAGTTGCAAACAGCAAATTTGAATAAACTCAATCAGAATCAGACTGTGTTCCTACAAACACTCTACTCTTCATTCTGATATTAGTTTGAGTGGAAGTCCTTTTTATTAAGATAATTGGGTTAGGGGTGAGAGGAAAGTGAAGAGTATGGATGATTTAATGTTGTGTTTTATTATGTTTTTTAGTAGATTTAGTTTTGCTTGAGAAATCTGTGGCATGGAGGAAAGAGCTAGAGCCTCTCACCCTATCACACAAATAGGCCTGTGACAGTGGATGCCCTATTTAACATCTACGTGTCTAGGTGCCCCATTTGCAAAATGTGGATTGCTCCCATCTGCTTAGCCCCTCTCAGAACTGTTGTGAAGCTCAATGAGATAATTTACTAAAGGAGATTTAAAAATTATAAATGCTGTGATATGGTGAGCCATTCAAATAGTCATGGAAGAAAACTGGATGAGAAGGCACAGCCTGATAATTTGTTCAATTTTTTCCTGCAAATTTTTCTAACTATCCGGATTTTTGGAGGAATGTTAATAGTTTTGTACACTCTGTGCTGTATAAAACTAGTAATTTTATTACACAATAAAGTAACTATACTTATTGCATTAATTAGCTTTTATTTCTATAAAAGAGAGAGTTATAAGGTGGCATAAGGGTACCTGACAAAGTTAGAAGAGTAAGCCTGAAAATTCAGAAGACAAAACTCCTGAGCACTAGATACTTATCACTAGCCTTTGGTATCAATTACTTCATGTCTATAGGTTATGTTGGCTACAAAATGTAAAGTCTGTACTGCTACAAAATGCAACACATCTAGCCTGCATCAAAGGAAACTGGGTGAAATGGCAGGAAGTGAAAGTGATCTGGCGAGTGTGACTTCACAAATTGATCAGCTGGATTAATTCTGCTGATTCAGTTGGTGACGTGCAGGTCTCTTGCTCTCAGTTGTCACTGTGCATATTTACTAATGCTTTAAGTCCAAAGAGGGGCCAATCTCCACAGAAAGAGGAGATCTGTCCTCTGTCAAGGGTATTTAGTAACCCTGCTTACCTGCTGGAACCTCCAAACAAGTGCCCAAGATCCTAATAAATGGAGGGCTGGTATTATTGCCCAGATAATTAAGACAAATTTGAGGAAAAGTAAATTTCCATTAACGTAAACAGAACCAGAGTTGCTAATTTTCAAAGTTCAAATTCATAAGAACATTCTCCTAGAATCCTTTTTCTTTGTCTAGATATGTATAATGAGTAACTAATGTGTTTGAGGTTTTTTTTCCCCATTTTTGGGTTTCATTGTCATTTCAGACCTGTGCATAACTAATAAAGAGCATGCAGCTTTGAATAATTGCAACTTGGCACTACTCCCTTGCTTATTTAGCTTACACCCATAATTGCTGACTATTTTTCCTGCTTTTAATTTTTATTTCTAGGGCTAGGAAATTAAAGCACACACAGAGATTGCTACATAATTTAGCTGCAACAGTAGCCATTCAATATTTCACCTTTGCCAATATTTGTGCTTGTTTGAGCATAATGTTTTAGGCTGGGATACTGAATTATGAATGAGCAGTCAGACTGCAATGCAGAGTTTCATTTGCTTTTAAGAATAATGAATGTTTCTGGAACTTTACTCAATTTAAATATAACCGTAAAAGCAAATACAGGACAATAGTATAATAAAGGGGTATTAAAACTTTAAATGCACATAATTAGTACATACATTTTCTGCTATTCAAGACCAACTAAAGGGGATCCATTTAACAGGTGGCTTACGGAGTCACTTAGTCACAACTAAGAAAATAAATGGCTGAACTCTTTGGATTATAAACTTCTTTTAGATAGTGACAACATTTTAAGGCTTTTTTGTAATTTTTTATAGTTACTTAAAAAGAACTTGTTGACTGACTTTTATTAACTACATTTTAAATGTGAACATACTGTATTAAACTTTATGTTTCTAAAATGAACATATCAGTGTTGGTTATTGTAGGATGGGGTGACATCAACGCAATCTTACAGAAAAAGTGGTAAATGCCAGAAAACATTAAAATGTGCATGCTTAGGTGTTGTATATACAAAAAAATTAATAGGAGAGTAGGATTATTCACTGCAAGGACAAATTTTGATTATTAAACCTTGTGAATAGATTGAAAGAGAAACAAACAAACAAAAAAGGATAAGCATTTACCCTTGGAGATATAGCTATGAAATTTGCTAAGTGTTCAGTATAAAGTAATCACAATCTCCTCTTGAAAATTTTTTATGAGTAATAAAAACCTTAAACCTTTTTTGTTTTAAGTATAATATTTCTTATAAGTTCATTACACAAAAGAAAACTTCAGACTAACAGAAGTATACTGAAAAGTCAAATGAAATAATAATAAATAATTGATGAAAATGTAACTTTCTTTTAATTTAGCATCATTGGCTATGATCATAGCTTGGAAAAGAAAAAGCTTGGCATCCTGTGAAGATTGAAATGTTTTTATAATGCCTTGATTAATTTTTATACTAATTATTGTTGGCCGCATGTATATCTTCTTCTTTTGCAAAGTGTCTGTTCATGTTTTTTGCCCACTTTTTAATGGCATTGTGATTTTTCTTGTAAATTTAAGTTCCTTATAGATGCTGGATATTAGACCTTTGTCAGTTGCATAGTTTGCAAAAATTTTCTCCCATTCTGTAGGTTGTGTGTTCACTGTGATGAGTTTCTTTTGCTGTGTAGAAGCTCTTTAGTTTAATTATATCCCATTTGTCAATTTTTGTTTTTGTTGCAGTTGCTTTTGGCATCTTCATCATGTAATCTTTGTCTGTGCCTGTGTCATGAATGGTATTGCCCAGGTTGTCTTCTGTGGTTTTTATAGTTTTGTGTTTTACATTTTAGTCTTTAATATATCTTGAGTTAATTTTTGTATATATCTTGAGTTAATTTTTGTATATGGGGTAAGGAAGAGGTCCAGTTTCAGTCTTCTGCATGTGGCTAGCCAGTTATTCCAGCACCATTTATTGAATAGTAAAGCCTTTCCCCATTGCTTGTTTTTGTCAGGTTTGTCAAAGATCAGATGTTTGTTGCTATGTGGTCTTATTTCTGGGTTCTCTGTTCTGTTCCATTGATTTATGTGTCTGTTTTTGTACCAGTATTATGCTGTTTTGGTTACTGTAGCCCTGCAGTATGGTTTGAAGTTGGGTAGCATGATGCCTCCAGCTTTGTTCTTTTGCTTAGGACGCCTTGGCTTTCATATGAAAAAAAGCTCAGCATCACTGATGATTAGAGACATGCCAATAAAAGCCAAAACCATCTCACAACAGTCAGAATGGCTCTTACTAGAAAGTAAAAAAAGTAACTGATATTGGCGAGCTTGTGGAGAAAAAGGAATGCTTACATGCTGTTGGTGGGAGTGTAAATTAGTTCAACCTTTGTGGAAGATAGTGCGGTGATTCCCCAAAGACCTAAAGACAAAAATACCATTCAACCCAGCAATCCCATTACTGGGTATATACCCAAAGGAATATAAATCATTCTATTATAAAGAAACATGCACTCATATGTTCATCGCAGCACTACTCACAATAGTAAAGACATTGCATCAATCTAAATGCCCATTAATGGTAAACTGCACAAAAAAATGTGGTACATATATGCCATGGAATACTATGCAGCCATAAAAAGAAAAAGATCATGTTTTTTGCAGGGACATGGATGGAGCTAGAGGTCATTATCCTTAGCAAACTGATACAGGAACAGAAAACCAAATACTGTATGTTCTCATTATAAGTGGGAGCTACATGATGAGAATACATGGACACATAGAGGGGAACAACAGACACTGTGGCCCATTGGAGGGTGGAGGCTGGGAGGAGGGAGAGGATCAGAAAAATAACTAATAAGTACTATGCTTGATATCTGGATGATGAAATAATCCATACAACAAGCCTCCATGACACAAATTTACCTATGTAACATACCTGCACATGTACCCCTAAACTTAAAATAAAAGTTTAAAAAACTTTATACTTTATTACTCTAACTTAATGACTCTTCTTATTAAAACACAAAACAGTGTCAAAAACTCATTTATTGTATTTAGGCTGAAATCCCTTTGGGTTTAATCTCTCTTTTCCCACATAAATATTGTGTAAAATTATCTCAAATTTAAGTATGATACAAAACAGTGATCATTTCTTTATATTTTGGAACATTATAGTTAAATACATTTTTGATAAATAAATGAATAAATTATTATGCCTAACTTAATGAATTGAAGATAAAATTGATCAAGGCAATTAACCAATTAAATCAATTACATTGGGTCCTACTTTACCTGCCCTCTTTTTGAAGAATGTGTATCTGAATTTTTGTTTTAATCGAGTGGTTTTTTACTATAAAATCAGTTTAAAGATACACATCTTGCCTGAATGAGTGATGTGTTTGTTGTTTTTGTAGATACAATGTTTTGAGCACATTTTCCTTTTAAATGGTATATTACTTGTTCACATCACTTTTATTAATAAATTTATGAAAGTGTTTACATTTGTGTAGTGCTTGGTCCTCTAAGCCTCTCTGTTTGCCAACCTATTTCATCCATCGCGCTTCATGGAGAAAGTGCTTCAGGCCTTCAGGGTCTTCAGTGACCTATAAAATATTCGCTCTCAAATAGAAAAAGAAAACAGTTAAATAAAAAAAAAAAAGCAAAGGTTTACAAATACTAAATTATGGCAAGCAGTCAAATGTAAATCAAATCAATTCAAAAATTATATATGTGTCAGTATATTTTATATGGCATGTAATGTAAATTCACTTTATTGCACCTTTGATATAGTGTGTGGCAGGCCTCTAAAAGTAAGAGTGTCTAAGGTCTACAAATAAAACATAAAGTATCCCTCTATATCTTGTTACCTCCACATGAATTTTTTTAAACATATTACCTTACTTTTGTTACTCTTATGATGTAACATTAAACACATATAGCAAAATTACTTCTTTGACCTCCCTGTTAAAGTCCCAACTTCTTTGGCTGGGATTCCATATTCTAAGTCCATTTTAACTGTAACAGCTTTTTCCTCTAGCTCCTCTATATATCCACCTATGTCAGCCAAATGTTACTACTTTCCATGCTCGGAAGATGTCCTGACTCTTTCATCTCCTTCTGGGGCACCTTCTGGAATGAGCTCAAGTCACTGTTCCTAAAACCTGACTTATCTTCAAGGCCCACCTTCAATGCAACCTCCTCAGCAAAGGCTTTATTGCCAATACAATCAGAAATTTCCTCTCCTTCCTCTAAACCCCTCTAGCTCTTTATAGCACAATATGACAATTATCTTCTGTTGCTTTGTATTGGGTTGTGTGTATGTATCTAACCTATTCACCCAGAATATAAAAACTTTGAGGACAGGAATTGGGTCAAACTCACATCAGTGCCCTACATATTGTCTAGCATAGTGCATTTCATAATATGGACACTTCATAAGTATTTGTTAAGTGCATATAATATAAATAGTTAATATTATATTTATTTTCAATGGGGGAAGCTGGGAGGCCGGAATAGAGGTTATTTTTGACAAGTCAAGAGACAGATGATGGGTTGAACGGTGGATGGGGAGAGAGGTGGTAATATTCTAGATATATTTTGAAGGTAAGACTAAAACAATGTGTTGATGAATTCGGTTTGGTGTATAAGAGAAAAAAATTAAACTTGGTCCTCTCACTTTTAGTTTTGAAATAAAGAAAAACTGTTGTGTGGAACAGCATTGAGGAGGAAAACTGAGACCTTATTTTGGATATGTTACATTTTAGATACCTGGTAGATTTCCAGGAAAGGAGTTGAGTATATGTATGTAACTGTAGAGATCAATGGAGGAGACACAGCAGGAGAAAACATTTGGACGTTGTCAGCACAGAGATAGTGTTTAAAGCTGTGAGATTGGTTGGCACCACCCAGGGAGCCCGGACAGATAAGAAGAAAAGAGGTTTGTGAAATGGGCACTCAACACTGAGGGAAGTGGGGAATGAGGAGAGTCCCACATATGAGACTAAGAAGCTGCAGCCTGTGTGGTAGGAAGAAAAAAGACAAAAGGAAGGTCTGAAAGCCAAACAAAGAATGAGTTCAAGGAGGGAGTGATCAACTGTGTTAATGTTGTTAATTTTCTTTACATGTACATGTTTCTACATGTTCATAATATATAAAAAGAGTATGTGCATTTTATATATAAATATCAGGTCTGAGCCGGTGCGCGTGTGCCTGCCTATCATTTAAAATCATTTCTGGAAAAATAAAGAATGGCTTTGTGCATTGCCCACAAGGAGGTTCAAGATGCTCAGAAATTCACTGGTTAGGAGCAATTCTTTAAGAACACGTTAAATATAATTCTATACCTTATGTAGAGCCCATTTAGACATAAGTCCTCAGAGTAAGACGTCTCTTCTTTCAGGCCCTCCCTCAATCAGCCTCCCTCTCTTGTTGAGTTGGGGACCGTGCTATGAGCTGACAATGACCCTTGAGAAATTCTCCTGTCGGTACCATCTTGGACACTTGTGTGTCACTGCCCCGCCTCTCAGTGCCTTCTTTCCTTGGGCAACCCTCCCCTTAGACGTCTCCACTTTCACCCCTTGACATTATTTCTCTAGATCTTTGCTATGTAACTAAACTAGTATTATTCCTGCTTGTGTTTTGGGGAAGTTCTTTATGGAGTCAGAAATGTCTATTTTCCTTGCTTTCATCATTGTTTAATTAGCTCTGCCAGGGCTCAAATTTATGAAAAGAAAAGAGAAAGTATGGCACTACAGGTGCTGGATTGTCTGGAACATTGTAAACTCTGGGATTTCCTCTCCATGAAAACCTGGATGGAACCCTCCCCAAAAGTAAGGCAATTGAATTGGGGAAATTGCATCTGCATCTGGAAAAACTCTGTTAGCCACTGTGCTGGTGGCTGTGTGACCCTGTTTATGTTGGATCAGAGCTGAGGCCTTGGCGTGGTCTCTGTAAGAGGAGTGAAGACCACGCCAGAGCCCATGAAGTTTAGAGTTCCATGAATGTATAATTTAAGGTAATATGTACTTATAAAGGGGGGAACCAGACTTTCAGTTTCATGTGACAAATCCCTCATATATCTTAAGAAACTTAGAAAAACAATTCACATCCCAGGTTATTATTATTCTCTTTTATATTCTTTCAGATTGGGGCTAATGAGGATATTACACTTTGTGTGTGTGTGTGTGTGTGTGTGTGATTCTCACACCTAAATACCTAGTTTCTGATCTTTGTATGACAGTCTGTAGTTTAATTAAGCAATTGTTAATCATAAGTATTCAGTGTTAATCATAAGTATTCAGTTAATCATAAGTAGTAATTTATTTTAAATAGTTGAGAATTTACTGTATAAGAATATATGCAGCCTTCCCATAATGCTGAGGATAGACAATGATAATTTTCTATTTGTTTCTTCTCAAATAAATACATGGAAACATCTCAAAGAAGTTGGTGACTGCCCCAGACAGATTCAGTTTCAAATTATCCATGTACAATTTTGAATTATTTTGATATCGTGAAATTTGTTAAGTATTCAACAAATGGTTTCTGTGGTAACTTATGTTCTTTTTTGTTTTTTATTGTTCACAATGACCTCTTGGATTAAAAACAAACAATTCCTTCCTCTGCTGATATTAATCTTTCATATTTAGTAAACAGTGGTCTCCACCCACATTAAAAAAGTTATTTACCTAGAATTATGCAATTGCCTTCCATTCATTTGCTTCCTTTCTCCTCACATGTGTCACTGGCACTTTGAGTTCCTTTCATCTGCTCTTCTTTATTCTACTGTTGACTTGTTTACTGACTTGGGAAGAATTTTGAGATTCTCAGGACCTATCTTGGTGTTCTTTGTTGTTGTCGTTGTTATTTGTTGATGTTGTATTTGTTATATGTTGTTGTTGTTATAAGTTATGAGCCACTGCGTTCATCTTGCCAAGAATTACACTGATTCCGTATTCATGGCCTGCTTTTTCAGCTCCTTTACTTTTCTGGGGCTTCTCACAGATTATTTTCATTTTATCCAATTTTGGCTGATATGAGCATTCCTTGCTCTACTATTCAACAGAAAAAAGTGGAATTCTTACAATACATCCAGAAACGTAGGAATTCAACTAGACCACATCCCAATATTGTAATAAGAAAGATCTTTCAAAACACAACAGCAGTGACATCCATTGTCTTCTTCCCTGCTTAGAAGCTTGCAAGGACTCACTATAACCTTCCAGATAAACTCATTATGGTTGGAAGGGTGTCCATTGCCTGACTTCGATTAACCTTCCTTTTTTCATTTCTACTCAGCCTCTATAAACTATGGTGTTGCAATCCCCCGAACAATTTCTAGATTCCTTCAAGCCAATCTCAGTCTCATTTCCCTGCCTTACATGTTCTTTTTACCTTTTGCCTTTCTCAAGTTTCAAGACTCAGCTCAAATCCTGCCTCCTCTGTGAAGCCTTTCCTAATACCACCAGCCAGAGTGAGAGGATTCCTCGTTTGTACTCTACTTTGAACATGTTTCTATTAAGGTGTTGGTTGCATTAGTCTGTAAGGGTTTATGCAAGAAGCTCTGTCCCCATTAGTGTATTAGAACCTTGAAAGTAGGCATCTTGTCTTATTCAACTTCGGATATCCAGTACTAAGCACAAGTAGGTACTCATATTTTTTTCAGCTGACATTTAGTAGGCACTTAGTTTATTCAATCATACATTCATGCATTTAACAAATATTTGTTGGGAATCTACTGTGCTCAAGTCTTCTGAAAGCAAATGTAAACGTAACTTACAGACTTTGTTTCCTCATGGAGCTGTGGTCTATGAGAGTGACATAATAATTGGAGAAATTTAAAAACTGAGTGGTAGATACTATGGGTAAGTATTTATTTAATGAATAGTTGAAAAACTAAAACTTCTACAAAAACAAACACATATAATTAAGGAAATTAACCAGGGTAGCACTCTACTGGATGGTCTAAATTATTTTCATGTCATCTTTTACTCTGCAAAAACACCTTCCCTTTAAAAAGCACAAGTCCCTATAGGCTGGTGTGGTTGTTTAGATGGGAAGGAACTTATAGTTCATAATTTGCTGTTCTTATTTTGCAGATGAAATAACAGAGTTCTAGAGTGGTTAAGTGGCAAACCGAGTTCCTAAGTAGATATTTGAGGGACTTCAGTCTCCGAGAGAATTGAGGGGTAACTTAGTATTCATATATTCATGCATATTCTTTCAAGATTGTTCTTTTGCATAGCTGTTAATGACCACATGATCATTATGGATAGGCGGCAAGCCTGGCTACCTTATTTTCAGGATCCAGCACAAAATAAACAGTTATTAGGAGTAATTAATACACAACAGGGCATAAAACTGTGTGCAGGGCCCATCAGAGTGCAGGACCCTGTGCAACCACTCAGGTCACACACCATGAAGCTAGTCCTGGGAGGAGGTCAGAATTTGGAGGACTTGGGACCCTGAAGACTTTAGGGTCATTGCAGAAGAGGAATTAAGAGGTAGAAAAGTATAAGAAGAATGGAAGTAAAACATCAAAGAGAGCCATTAGCTGTTTCAAATTGTATCTGGAATCAATCTTATAAAAGGGAGACTCTCTCATCCTCATCTCAATGCTCCCTTGACCAGAATCAACACTAGCTTTGTTGTTGTTGTTGTTTTGTTTTGAGACAGAGCCTCACTCTGTCATCCAGGCTGGAGTGCAGTGGTGCAATCACAGCTCACTGCAGCCTCAACCTCCTGGGCTCAAGCAATCCTCCCACCTCAGCCTCCCAAGTAGCTGGGATGACAGGCATATGCCACCATGCCTGGCTAATTTTTTAAAAAATTTTTGTAGAGACGAGGTCTCACTATGCTGTGTAGGGTGGCCTTGAACTCCTGGAATCAAGCGATGCTCCTGCCCAACCTCCCAAAGTGTTGGGATTACAGGTGTGAGTGACCGTGCCCGGCCCAACACTAGCTCCTGAGCACTGTCAGGCAACCTGTCTACGGCTTACTTATACAGAGGACCTGGGAGCCCACCCATCACTTACAACTTTATCTTTCCGGGTTCAAAATAACTTATTATAAAGATGATTTCATGGTTATTTAATGAAGTGAAGCTTGCCTTTACATTTCTTTACAAGGAAAGATCATTTTGAATATTAATTATTTCAATATCAAGTTTCCCACCAAAAACATTTAAGTCATACTGAATAATCATGATGAGAAACTAGTAATTACTTTGCTTATTTCTGGATACATTCATGCTAATTATATGTCTTTAATTTCTCTGTTCCAACAATTAGTAGGAAATGTGATACATGGCATACAAAAACACCGGTGAAAATTTCTGTCTCTGGACTTTGTCTTATTCAGTGAAGATGTAAAAAATTCCTAAAGAGTGCTTTGCTCTTGTGTCTGTAAAAGTCAAAAGGTGTGAAAACACTTTGTTGAGAAAGAATTGCCAAACTCTTGAGTAAGAGTCAGATATTCTGAGATCATTTTGTGTTCTAATGGTATGACACTTCTTTGACTATATAATTATTGTAGGTAAACACCTATGCATAATTAATAAATTTAATAACAAATTAATGTAAAAGATGTTTTAATCAGACTGGAAATGCATGTGTACAAATAATACTCTAACAACTTTTATTTGATTTTATGTTTTTGTTTCTTATGAAATATGTCTCAACTGTGTGATAAAATGGCTCCTTTTCAAAACAATAATTCTTAGCACCATAATAATAATCAAAGAAGGAATGTTATTTCTGATATATTTGAAAGTTTTGTATATTTTGTTCTCCTGTTACTTTGTGCTTTAAAAAAAAATAGTTTCAAGACAACATTGAGTCTTGGAGTCATCTTTATGCATTTAATATGATGATAACAATAGTTGTACAAAACTCCATTAAATATTTATAAATATTTGGAAGACGGCTAATAATATTAAACATCCTACTTTGACAAGTTAACATTACCTATACAATGATCTGCATTTTTTAAAAAGCAAACTTCACTAGCAGGAATAGATATGCATTTTAAAATAGCTTCCTAGGTGACACTTAATGGTTGAAATGTTGTGATCCTGAAAGAGTTATACAATTTCATAATTTTGATGGAAAAAAATCTTTCTTTTTTTATTATACTTTAATAAAGGGTACATGTGCAGGTTTATACGTAGGTATACATGTGCCATGTTAGTTTGCTGCACCCATCAACTTGTCATTTACATTAGGTATTTCTCCTAATGCTATCCCTCCTCCAGCCCCCACAGACAGGCCCCGGTATGTGATGTTCTCCCCTGCCCCCGTCTCCAAGTGTTCTCATTGTTCAGTTCCCACCTATGAGTGAGAACATTTGGTATTTGGTTTTCTGTCTTTGTGATAGTTTGCTGAGAATGATGGTTTCCAGCTTCATCCATGCCCCTGCAAAGGACATGAACTCATCTTTTTTATGACTACATAGTATTTCATGGTGTATATGTGCCACATTTTCTTAATTCGGTCTATCATTGATGGACATCTGGGTTTGTTCCAAGTCTTTGCTATTGTGAATAGTGCTGCAATAAACATACGTGTGCATGTGTCCTTATAGTAGCATGATTTATAATCCTTTGGGTATATACCCAGTAATGGAATTGCTGGGTCAAATGGTATTTCTAGTTCTAGATCCTTGAGGAATCGCCACATTGTCTTCCACAATGGTTGAATTAATTTACACTCCCACCAACAGTGTAAAAGCATTCCTATTTCTCCATATCCTCCCCAGCATCTGTTGTTTTCTGACTTTTTAATAATCGCCATTCTTACTGGTGTGAGATGGTATCTCCTTGTGGTTTTTATTTGCATTTTTCTGATGACAAGTGATGATGAGCATTTTTTCATGTGTCTGTTGGCTGCATAAATGTCTTCTTTTGAAAAGTGTCTGTTTATATCCTTTGCCCACTTTTTGATGGGGTTGTTTGTTTTTTTCTTGTAAATTTGAGTTCTTTGTAGATTCTGGATATTAGCCCTTTGTCAGATGGGTAGATTGCAAAAATTTTCTCCCATTCTGTAGGTTGCCTGTTCACTCTGATGGTAGTTTCTTTTGCCGTGCAGAAGCTCTTTAGTTTAATTAGATCCCATTTGTCTATTTTGGCTTTTGTTGCCATTGCTTTTGGTGTTTTAGTCATGAAGTCCTTGCCCATGCCTATGTCCTGAATGGTATTGCCTAGGCTTTCTTCTAGGGTTTCTGTGGTTTTAAGTCTAACATTTAAGTCTATAATCCATCTTGAATTAATTTTTGTATAAGGTGTAAGGAGGGGATCCAGTTTCAGCTTTCTATCTATGGCTAGCCAGTTTTCCCAGCACCATTTGTTAAATAGGAAATCCTTTCCCCATTTCTTGTTTCTGTCAGGTTTGTCAAAGATCAGATGGTTGTAGATGTGTGGTGTTATTTCTGAGGGCTCTGTTCTGTTCCATTGCTCTATATATCTGTTTTGGTACCAGTACTATGCTGCTTTGGTTACTGTGGCCTTGTAGTATAGTTTGAAGTCAGGTAGCATGATGCCTCCAGCTTT
Source organism: Homo sapiens (assembly GCF_000001405.40). Classification (NCBI taxonomy): domain Eukaryota; kingdom Metazoa; phylum Chordata; class Mammalia; order Primates; family Hominidae; genus Homo; species Homo sapiens. The sequence goes on along the minus strand of NC_000006.12, from coordinate 152,613,699 downwards.
GTTCTTTTTGCTTAGGATTTTCTTGGCAATGTGGGCTCTATTTTGGTTCCATATAAACTTTAAAGTAGTTTTTTTCAATTCTGTGGAGAAAGTCATTGGTAGCATTGAATCTATTAATTACCTTGGGCAGTATGGCCATTTTCACAATATTGATTCTACCTATCCATGAGCATGGAATGTTCTTCCATTTGTTTGTGTCCTCTTTTATATTGTTGAGCAGTGGTTTGTAGTTCTCCTTGAAGACGTCCTTCACATCCCTTGTAAGTTGGATTCCTAGGTATTTTATTCTCTTTGTAGCAATTGGGAATGGGAGTTCACTTATGATTTGGCTCTCTGTTTGTCTGTTGTTGGTTTATAGGAATGCTTGTGACTTTTGCACATTGATTTTGTAATCCTGAGACTCTGCTGAAGTTGCTTATCAGCTTAAGGAGATTTGGGGCTGAGATGATGGGGTTTTCTAAATATACAATCATGTCATCTGCAAACAGGGACAATTTGACTTCCTCTTTTCCTAATTGAATATCCTTTGTTTCTTTCTCTTCAGTGAGTGCCCTGGCCAGAACTTCCAACACTATGTTGAATAGGAGTGGTGAGAGAGGGCATCCTTGTCTTGTGCCGGTTTTCAAAGGGAATGCTTCCAGTTTTTGCCCATTCAGTATGATATTGGCTGTGGGCTTGTCATAAATAGCTCTTATTATTTTGAGATATGTTCCCTCAATACCTAGTTTATTGAGATTTTTTAGCATGAAGCACTGTTGAATTTTGTCAAAGGCCTTTTCTGCATCTATTGAGATAATCATGTGGTTTTTGTCATTGGTTCTGTTTACATAATGGATTACGTTTACTGATTTGCATATGTTCAATCAGCCTTGCATCCCAGGGGTGAAGCCAGCTTGATCATGGTGGATAAGCTTTTTGATGGGATGCTGGATTCGGTTTGCCAGTATTTTACTGAGGATTTTCACATCGATTTTCATCATGGATATTGGTCTAAAATTCTTTTTTCTGTGTGTCTCTGCCAGGCTTTGGTATCAGGATGATCCCAGACTCATAAAATGAGTTAGGGGGGATTCACTCTTTTTCTATTGACTGGAATAGTTTCAAAAGGAATGGTACCAGCTCCTCTTTGTACTTCTGGTAGAATTCAGCTGCGAATCCATTTCTGGTCCTGGACTTTTTTTGGTTGGTAGGCCATTAATTATTGCCTCAATTTCAGAGCCTGTTATTGGTCTATTCAGGGATTCAGCTTCTTCCTGATTTAGTCTTGGGAGGATGTATGTGTCCAGGAATTTATCCATTTCTTCTAGATTTTCTAGTTTATTTGCATAGAGGTGTTTATAGTATTCTCTGATTATAGTTTGTATTTCTGTGGGATCTGTGGTGATATCCCCTTTATCATTTTTTATTGCATCTGTTTGATTCTTATCTCTTTTCTTATTTATTAGTCTTGCTAGCAGTCTATCAATTTTGTTGATCCTTTCAAAAAACCAGCTGTTAGATTCATTGATTTTTTGAAGGGCTTTTTGTTTCCCTATCTCTTCCAGTTCTGCTCTGATCTTAGTTATTTCTTGCCTTCTGCTTGCTTTTGAATTTATTTGCTCTTGTTTCTCTAGTTCTTTTAATTGTGATGTTAGGGTGTCCATTTTAGATCTTTCCTGCTTTCTCTGTGGGCATTTAGTGCTAAAAATTTCCCTCTACACACTGCTTTAAATGTGTCCCAGAGATTCTGGTATGCTGTGTCTTTGTTCTCATTGATTTCAAAGAACATCTTTATTTCTGCCTTCATTTTGTTATTTACCCAGCAGTCATTCAGGAGCAGGTTGTTCAGTTTCCACGTAGTTGTGAGGTTTTGAGTGAGTTTCTTAATCCTGAGTTCTAATTTGATTGCACTGTGGTCTGAGAGACAGTTTGTTGTGATTTCTCTTCTTTTACATTTGCTGAGGAGTGCTTTACTTCCAATTATGTGGTCAATTTTAGAATAAGTGCTATGTAGTGCTGAGAAGAATGTATATTCTGTTGATTTGGGGTGGAGAGTTCTGTAGATGTCTATTAGGTCTCCTTGGTGCAGAGCTGAGTTCAATTCCTGGATATCCTTGTTAACCTTCTGTCTCATTGATCTGTCTAATGTTGACAGTGGGGTGTTAAAGTCTCCCATTATTATTCTGTGGGAGTCTAAGTCTCTTTGTAGGTCTCTAAGGACTTGCTTTATGAATCTGGGTGCTCCTGTATTGGGTGCATATATATTTAGGATAGTTAGCTCTTCTTGTTGAATTGATCCCTTTACCATTATGTAATGACCTTCTTTGTCTCCTTTGATCTTTGTTGGTTTAAAGTCTGTTTTATCAGGAACTAGGATTGCAACTCCTGCTTTTTTTTTGCTTTCCATTTGCTTGGTAGATCTTCCTCCATCCCTTTATTTTGAGCCTATGTGTGTCTCTGCACGTGAGATGGGTCTCCTGAATACAGCACACTGATGGGTCTTGACTCTTTATACAATTTGTGAGTCTGTATCTTTTAATTGAGGCATTTAGCCCATTTACATTTAAGGTTAATATTGTTATGTGTGAATTTGATCATGTCATTATGATGTTAGCTGGTTATTTTGCCTGCTAACTGATGCAGTTTCTTCATAGCATCAATGGTCTTTACAATTTGGCATGTTTTTACAGTGGCTGGTAGCGATTGTTTCTTTCCATGTTTAGTGCTTCCTTCATGAGCTCTTGTAAGGCAGGCCTGATGGTGACAAAAATCTCTCAGCATTTGCTTGTCTGTGAAGGATTTTATTTCTCCTTAACTTATGAAGATTAGTTTGGCTGGATATGAAATTCTGGGTTGAAAATTCTTTTCTTTAAGAATGTTGAATATTGGCCCCCACTCTCTTCTGGCTGGTAGGGTTTCTGCTGAGAGATCCACTGTTAGTCTGATGGGCTTCCCTTTATGGGTAACCCGACCTATCTCTCTGGCTGCCCTTACCATTTTTCCTTCATTTCAACCTTGCTGAATCTGACAATTATGTATCTTGGGGTTGCTCTTCTCGAGGAGTATCTTTGTGGTGTTCTATGAACTTCCTGTATTTGAATGTTGGCCTGCCTTGCTAGGTTGGGTAAGTTCTCCTGGATAATATCCTGAAGAGTGTTTTCCAACTTGGTTCCATTCTCCCCATCACTTTCAGGTACACCAATCAAACGTAGGTTTGGTCTTATCACATAGTCCCCTATTTTTGTAGGCTTTGCTCATTTCTTTTTACTTTTTTTTCTCTAGCCTTGTCTTCTCACTTAATTTCATTAATTTGATCTTCAATTACTGATACTCTTTCTTCCACTTGATCGAATCGGCTATTGAAGCTTGTGTATGCATCTCGAAGTTCTCATGCCATGGTTTTCAGCTCCTTCAGGTCATTTAAGGTCATCTCTACACTGTTTATTCTAGTTAGCCATTCATCTAATCTTTTTTCAAGGTTTTTAGCTTCCTTGCGATGGGTTTGAACATGCTCCTTTAGCTTGGAGAAGTTTGTTATTACCAACCTTCTGAAGCCTACTCTGTTAACTTGCCAAAGTCATTCTCTGTCCAGCTTTGTTCCATTGCTGGCGAGGAGCTGTGATCCTTTGGAGGAGAAGAGGCACTCTGGTGTTTAGAATTTTCAGGTTTTCTGCTCTGGTTTCTCCCCATCTTTGTGGTTTTATCTACCTTTGTCTTTGATGTTGGTGACCTACAGATGGGATTTTGCTGTAGATGTCCTTTTTGTTAATGCTGGTGCTGTTCCTTTCTGTTTGTTAGTTTTCCTTCCAACAGTCAGGTCCCTCAGCTACAGGTCTGTTGGAGTTTGCTGGAGGTCCACTCCAGACCCTGTTTGCTTGGGTTTTACCAGCAGAGGCTGGAGAACAGCAAATATTGCAGAAGAGCAAATACTGCTGCCTGATCGTTCCCCTGGAAACTTCATCCCCATATAGACCTGCCTATATGAGGTGTCTGTTGGCCCCTACTGGGAGGTGTATCCCAGTTAGGCTACATGGGGGTCAGGGACCCACTTGAGGAGACAGTCTGTCCTTTCTCAGAGCTCAAACGCCGTGCTGGGAGAACCACCGCTGTCTTCAGTGCTGTTAGACAGGGACATTTAAGTCTGCAGAAGCTGTCTGCTGCCTTTTATTCAGCTATGCCCTGCCCACAGAGGTGGAGTCTACAGAGGCAGTAGGTCTTGCTGACCTGTGTGGGCTCTACCCAGTTTGAACTTCCCAGTCACTTTGTTTACCTAGTCAAGCCTCAGCAATGGCGAACACTCCTCCTCCAGCCAGGCTGCTGCCTCACAGTTCAATCTCAGACTGGTGCACTAGCAGTGAGCAAGGCTCTGTGAGTGTGGGACCTGCTGAGCCAGCCTCAGGAGAGAATCTCCTTGTCTTCTGGTTGCTAAGACCTTGGGAAAAGTGCAGTATTTGGGCGAGAGTGTCCTGTTTTTCCAGGTACAGTCTATCACGGCTTCCCTTGGCTAAGAAAGGGAAATCCCCCAACCCCTTGCACTTCCGAGGTGAGGCGGTGCCCCACCCTGCTTCGTCAGCTCACCCTCCGTGGGCTGCACCTGCTGTCCAACCAGTCCCAATGAGAGGAACCAGGTACCTCAGTTGGAAATGCAGAAATCACCCGTCTTCTGTGTCGATCACTCTGGGAGCTGCAGACTGGAGCTCTTCCTATTTGGCCATCTTGGAATGGGTCTGGAAAAATCTTTCAAAATCAGCTTGTCTAACTCTGATTTTTTTTTATTTTTTTATTTTTTGCCACAGAGTCTCGCTCTGTCACCACGCTGGAGTGCAGTGGCGCGATCTTGGCTCACTGCAACCTCTGCCTTCTGGGTTCAAGTGATTCTCCTGCCTCAGCTTCTCAGAAACTGGGACTACAGGTGTGTGCCATCACACCCAGCTAATTTTTGTATTTTTAGTAGAGATGAGGTTTGACCGTGGTGGCCAGGATGGTCTCCATCTCCTGACCTCATGATCTGCCTGCCTTGGCTTCCCAAAGTGCTGGCATTATAGGCGTGAGCCACTGTGCCCTGCCCTAACTCCAATTTTTAAAGACAAGTAACTGAGGTTCCTAAAGATTGACGGGTACAAAGTCAAGCATTTAGTTAAGGCAAAATAGGACTGGATTCTAGAGTGTCTGACCCTCTCCAGAGTTATGAAATTGTAAGCATTTTCCCTTGTGATAAAAAATATATACTTCATTAAGAAACATGGCCTTTTTAGCTCTCTTCTGAGTTGAAAAGCATAACTAATATTTTGTGTGTGCTTAATTTATATAAAATTATGAACACTACATTTACCTGTAATTAGAGCACTTATTATAAATAGTTAGAGCTATTGAGGCCATAGCCAGTATCTTTTTCAACTTTGCAAAATGAGGTGAATAGTCACTAAATATTTACTGAATGGATATTAGTGAATTCACCTTGTCCATTATGTGCCTTTGAAGAGAGAGAGCAAGCAAGCAAGAGAGCGCACACACTTTAGTTCATCACTTTAATGTTTTTTATTATTTATTTATTTTTATTTATTTATTTTAAGTTCCAGTATACATGTGCCGAATGTGCAGGTTTTTACGTAGGGATACATGTGCCATGGTGGTCTTCTGTACCTATTAACCCATCATCTAGGTTCCCTCCCCTTGCCCCTCACCCCTCAACAGGCCCCAGTGTGTGTTGTTCCTCTCCCTGTGTCCGTGTGTTTTCATTGTTCAGCTCCCACTTATGAGTGACAACAGGCAGTGTTTGGTTTTCTGTTCCTGTGTTAGTTTGCTGAGGATGATGGCTTCCAGCTTCATTCATATCCCTGCAAAGGACATGATCTCATTTCTTTTTATGGCTGTATAGCATTCCATGGTGTATATGTACCACATTTTCTTTATCCAGTCTATCACTGATGGGCATCTGGGTTGGTTTTATGTCTTTGCTATTGTAAATAGTGCTGCAATAAATATATGTGTGCATGTATCTTGATAATAGAATGATTTAGGATCCTTTGGGTATATACCCAGTAATGGGATTGTTGGGTCAAATGGTATTTCTGATTCCTTGAGGAATCACCACACTGTCTTCCACATGGTGAACTAATTTACACTCCCACCAACAGTGTAAAAGCGTTCCTATTTCTCCACAGCCTTGCCAGCATCTGTTGTTTCTTGACTTTTTAACAATCAGCATTCTGACTGGCATGAGATGATATCTCATTGTGTTTTTGATTTGCATTTCTCTAATGATCCGTGATGTTGGCCAACAAACATGAAAAAAAAAAATCTTGACATCAGTTTTTTTCTGTTGCTTCAGAAGGGCTCTTGCAAACACTTTTCTATAGGACTTCCTTACTCACTGTAGTCACATGAACTAGTAAATTTTAACTATCAGGCTATTGGTTAAAAAAATAAGGACATTCGGCCAGGTGTGGTGGCTCACGCCTGTAATCCCAGCACTTTGGGAGGCTGAGGCAGGTGGATCAAAAGCTCAGGAGATGGAAACCATCCTGGCTAACATGGTGAAACCCTGTCTCTACTAAAAATACAAAAAATTAGCCAGGCGTGGTGGCTGGTGCCTGTAGTCCCACCTACTGGGGGGGCTGAGGCAGGAGAATGGCGTGAACCCGGGAGGTGGAGCTTGCAGTGAGACGAGATTGCACCACTGCACTCCAGCCTCGGTGACAGAGCAAGACGCCGTCTCAAAAAAAAAAAAAAAAAAAAAAAAGAGAACCGAGGCATGCCTTTCCTTTTGCCGGGCGCGGTGGCTCACGCCTGTAATCCCAGTACTTTGGGAGGCCAAGGCAGGTGGATCACAAGGTCAGGAGATCAAGACCATCCTGGCTAACATGGTGAAACCCCATCTCTACTAAAAATATATAAAAAAAAAATTTAGCCGGGCGTGGTGGCGGGCGCCTGTAGTCCCAGCCACTTGGGAGGCTGAGGCAGGAGAATGGCGTGAACCCGGGAGGCGGAGCTTGCAGTGAGCCGAGATCGTGCCACTGCATTCCAGCCTGGGCGACAGAGCCAGGCTCCGTCTCAAAAAACAAACAAACAAACAAAAAAACTCAGAAAAACCAGGACACTCTCTTTTGAAAACTTTGCCATATGATTGATTCACTTCTTTGCATTTGTGTGCTCTTCTATTGGTAAAATGCAGAGTGGCAATTTAGTAGACACTTTATTCCTATGACACATATAAATTGAGCATCTCCTGTGGTCCAGATACTGTTAAAGGTAAGATTCTAACTCTGCAACTGACAGCTATGTCCTGGGCCTTCAGGAACTGTAAAGTTACGATCAAGTTGTAACCACAATTTTGCCCTTGAAGAATTTTGCAGTGAGTTGCTCTGGACAGGGGGCAGTGGACTCTTTGGAAGCTGGTTTAGGTCCTTCCTGGGCTAATGCCGGGTAGCCCCCAGAGTCTCCCTGTGTACTGCTATGCTTCATCTCCGGCTTGGACCCTGGCCCTTCATCACTTTAATCCTCATGCCAGGTTTTAGGAACTAGGCCACATTATGACAGAAATGCCAATGAGATCCCCTTCTTGCCACACTACAGATGGCCACTGGGTTACAGACAACAAACTGTGGCTTTTTCTCTCCAAGCACTGCCAAGCCACAGACTGTGAACATGGAGGGTATTTAAACCACAGATTTGTAATGTTAACATACTCTACATTATCCTAGGGGAAATTGGCTCTGGTTTCATGTCCAAGACATTTAGGAAGAATAGTTGTTAATTATTACTTTCCTGAACTTAATATTTTAACTTTGGCTTTGGGAAGGTATGAACTACTTGAATAACATACTCCGCCTATTTTATTTAAAACCAAGCAATACTCTAATGAACACATACACATCCAAGAAAAAGAAAAAAAATACCTTTTTAAATTAGCAAAAACACCAAGCCTTAATCACAGCTATAAAAATACCTTTAAAGATGTGCATTTAGAAAAGTAAAATTGTTTCTATAAAAAGAGCCTTTCTGCCCAGAAAGCTATGTGTGGAGTTTTAACCTGGAATTGGTTTTAATTGGCTCAGTTATTGAAGCCTCAAAGATGAAGTTGTATCATGGAAGTGTTGACTCAGCCTCAAGTACAGGTCACCAGACTGAAATGCTCTAATGCATTTCTTCTTGGCAGGGTCGCTTTACAATCAGCCACATATTAATGTGAACTTTTATATGTTTGATAAAGATAACTATTTCCTGTTATCCAAAATAGCTTCTGATGTGGGTCAGATTATTGATGTGGAACATTAGACACTCCCTTTACATCTCAAGGACAATCAGTATTTTGAAGTACCAAGTAGCTTTTGTTTCTGATTTAAGAGGGGAAACATGATTCCATTTTTTATTTCTTCATTCCTAGTTAGCTATTTAATAATTTAACGTAGAAAATGTGATGCCTGGAAGATACAAGATTTCATCATTGCTTCTTTAGATGAGAAATAAGTTCAAGTGGAAAACTAGTAAGGTTTCTGTATTTTAAGCAGAGATATTCTTTATAAAATATAGTTGTTATTTTTTAGAATTCTATTAATGGCATTAACCATTAATAGAATTTTTTCCTTTCTCCTTCCTTCCTTCCTTCCTTCCTTCCTTCCTTCCTTCCTTCCTTCCTTCCTTCTTTCCTCCCTCCCTCCCTCCCTCCCTCCCTCCCTCCCTCCCTCTCTCTCTCTCTCTCTCTCTCTCTCTCTTTCTTTCTTTCTTTCTTTCTTTCTTTCTTTCTTTCTTTCTTTCTTTCTTTCTTTCTTTCTTTGTGAGATAGGGTCTCACTGTTTGAGTGCAGTGGCATGATCTCTAGTCACTGCAGACTTTACCTCCTGGGCTCAAGCTGTCCTCCTACTTCAGCCTCCCGAGTAGCTGGGACTACAGGCACACACCACCACACCCAGCTATTTTTTATTTTTTATTTTTTGTAGGGACAGTGGGAAGGGGGCCTCACTATGTTTCCCAGGCTGGTCTCAAACTTCTAGGCTCAAGTGATCCGCCTGCCTTGACTTCCCAAAGTACTAGGACTATAGGCATGAGCCACCGTGCCCTGCCCCCAAAAATTATTAGATAGATTTCTATAACTTTTTTCCAAAATTAAAATAGCTGGGATGGGCACAGTGGCTCATGCCTGTAATTCTAGCACTTCGGGAGGCCAGAGTGGGTGGATTGTTTGAGTCTAGAAATTCAAGACCAGCCTGGGCAACATGGCAAAACCTTATCGCTACAAAAAATAGAAAAATTAGCCAGATGAGGTGGTGCACACCCTGTAATCCCAGCTACTTGGGAGGCTGAGATGGGAGGATCACCTGAGCCCAGGAGGTCAAGGCTGCGGTGAGCTGTGATCACACTACTGCACTCCAGCCTGGGTGACAGAGTGAGACCCTGTCTCAAAAAGAAATAAATAAATAAAGCTTAATTTCCTCAGATTATATAGTAATGCAAGTTCCTTAAAATTCAACCAACATAGAACAGTATAAAGAATAAAGTGATAATCCCTTCCCAATACCACTACATACACACACACACACATACACACACACACACACACATATAAAGGGTTGGAGACTTTATCTGAAAATATTCCATAGTAATGGAAAATTTATGCAAACTCATCACTCTTTTATATCTAGAACATATATACATATATGAACATACATATATGAACATACATACATATATATGTTCTAGATATAGATATACATATGTATATATACAGATATAGATACAGATATAGAGATATACATATTTATATCTATATAGAAAGTATATCTATATACATATACATATATGTATATATAGATAGTATATCTATCTATACATGCATGTATAGATAGATAGTATATCTATCTATATATACATATATGTATAGATAGATAGTATATCTATATATATATATACTCTCTATATATGTATATAAAATAAATAGAGAGATGAGTTTATATAACCCTTGAATTCCTGGGCTTAAATAATCCACATATATATGTATGTATAGATATACATATCTATATATTCTAGAACATATATACATATGTATTCTAGATATAGAATAGGGAGATGAATTTGCATAACTTTTCCATTACTATGGAATATTTTCAAATAAAGTCTCCAACCATTTTCTTCAAATGCAGCCAAACTACCTAACCCAGAACTACCTAACCCAGAAACAGAATAACTCCTGTCACATCCACATCCCCCAACTTGCATGGGAAGTTCTGAAAGGAAACTTATGTCAGGAGATGTGGCTTCATTTCCTTTGATCAGACTTATCATCCTGGGGCTAAGGACAGAACAGTCCATAGCATTTTCGTTTAAAATCGTGTAAACTCATTTTTGCAAAATAACCACCTGTGATATGTTAAAGCCAAATTTAGTCATTATGTTGCAGAATATGGCGTGGAAATCAGGGAGGGAGGCCAAAAAAGTCTCCCTCAACTCTGATGTAATATATAGGCATACTGGAGTTAATTTTCCTGTTGCTTGAATCACCCAGCAACTGCCTCAGTGCTCAGCCTCATCAACTTGTGCTGTGAGTGAGAGTGAGAAGTTGGGAGAAATCTTCAAAGAAATGGGCCCCAAGAAGCTAAAGTCCTGTCTCATGTTCCTGGCAATGATTATTTCACCTGCAGGCTAGTGATCTGAGTCTGAAATTCACAGATCCTCTGCCCTGGTTGACCCCTGGTGCTGCTTCTCCACCCTGGTCTGGCTCATATATGCTCCTCCTGTTCTTTTCTTCATTTTATGGGTATGGCTTGTTTGTCTTTCCTTGAAATGCCACAAAAGGGGCACCTCTCCATTTAAGCCAGCTCTTACAGGAGAACTTCTCTTTCCTGCTGCCTCAGAAAGGCACACACACACCTTCATCAATTTTTGTTATGTCTCTCCCTCCTTTTCCTCTCCCTCTCCCTTTTTTCTTTCTTTTTTCCTTCTTTCTATGAATAGTAGCTACTTAAAACTCAACAGGTATGAATAAAAAGAGGAAGCAACTGTGGGTCTAGTTTCAGATCACAAGAAATCTGTATTTATACCCTACTTGTTCCAGAAAGGATTGAAAATAACAAAAACACATATAATCAGAGGCATTTTGTTTAAATGAAGAATTGAGTAACATGGGCCTGTGGAAAGTACTAATTAACATCACCTTCATTCTTCACTTTGTGCAGATGTACCTGTGTTACCTTGCTAGGATGGTCATATTAAAGTACCATAACTGGGTGGCTTGAACAATGGAAATGCATTGTCTCTTGGTTCTAGAAGCTAGAAGTCCAAAATCAAGATTTCAGTAGGGTGACTCCTTCTGAGGGTTGGGAGGGAAGGATCTGTTCCAAGCCTCTCTCCCTGGTTTGTAGATGGCTGTCTTCTTCCTATCTCTTCTTCATATTTTCTTCCTATGGGTATTTCTGTGTCCAAATTTCCCCTCTTTCTGAGGACACTAGTTATCGTAGATTAGGGCCCACCCTAATGAGCTTACTTGAACTTGAAAGACTTTTATCTCTAAATAAGGTCACATTCTGAAGTCCTGGAGGTTAGAACTTCAACAGATGAATTTGGTGGTGGCAGTGGGTGGAGGTGGCACAACTTAACCCATATCAATATCCAAGTCTTTCTCAAGCTGAGGGTTGAGGAAATTGGGATGGAGGCAGAGAGGAGAGTACAGAAGATGCATTAGGTAACTTATCTCCAAGCTCCTGACTTTGGCATCAAAGGAGCACAGGCACTGGATCAAAATGAGTGGAGACCCAGGGGCAAGACCATCCAGGACAAGCAGCATGTGGGTAGGCAAGATGAGAATGGCCAGGTGAACCCCGGGGATGAATTTCAAAGGCAGGTGTCACTTTTTACACACAGCCTACTTCTGAGTATATGGAATCAGTAATGAGTGGACATTCTCCTCACTCCTGTTTAGATGTTCTCATTTCATCTACTGCTGGGATCTCATCTTAGGAACCAGTCCTCTCAATGACACTTAACTTCCATTCAAACTGCAACTCCGGTTAGATTCCCAGAACTATTGCTAAGTCTAGTGATTCTGCAAGCGTTTCAATGATGGTTTGTCGTGTTTTCTGTGGGTGTTTAAGGGCTCCTCCTGCCTATGGCCTGAACTTCATTTTTACCCATACCTGTTCAGCAGGATAGCAGCCTGCCTGGGTTCTTTGTATATTGGAAAAGTTAGGCATCCACATTCTAATCCTGCTGCGAAGTTTCCTCACCTTGTGTAGGCGACACTGGGCTGTCTTGTATTTGCCTTTTTTGCCCTACCAGATATCTCGATGGCATTGCCAATTAAATGTCAACCTCAGCCTATTGTTCCTTCTTCTTTGGTTTGCCTAAAATATATTTATTAACCCATGGATTAGGTGAACCTCAATTTCTTCAATTAAATTAACCCTATGCCTAGCCAGGTCTACTATTGATCATGGCCTTGACAATGATCACATCATATATAAATCTTGTCTCCCAGTAATTATCAAATGCTTTGCTTCCTATTTTTAGGCATTTGACTTGACTCACTGTTGAACTCTACCAATGTTTCTGCTTTTGATTTGAATGGCTGCTCCCTAGCTTGGTGTAAACCATTTAGCATATATCCCATATCCATTTGAATGAGCAAAGCTTCCTCACTTCTCAGAGGGAGAAGTTTCTTTTGCTGTTTTGTTAGATTTGGAAAGTGATCTTCCCAGATTGTCTGATTTTAAGCTTGCAACTTTAAGACATTGTAAATACGTGGGAAGAATCACAGCATGTTTCCCATCTAGAAAAGATGAAACTGTTTGTTCAGACCTTCACTGGACATTTAGTTCTTTACTAAAATATCATTTTTACCGTAGTTTCATTTAAGTAAGAGTTTTTAATTTCACAGTGCATACATTCATATTCTGAATTACTGAAAAATTTTCTGACTGTATCTCTTTTATTCTTTATAAAATAAAGAGCCATCTAGAGGAAAACTTTCCTCCAGTGACCCCAATTCTTTCCCATCTCTTCGTTTCTCTGAACATCAAGGAAAATTTAGACCTGAAGCAAAGCCAAGAAGAAAGGGAAACATGAACATGAAAATTGGAGCTAAATGATTGTCATTAGTTAAGAGAGAAATACAGAAGTAGATTTTCAGCAGATCCATTTGTTTCTTTTTTGCATTATTTGCCAGCAAACAGATACTTCAACCCCAAGGGAAAAAAGTTACCATAGCTTCTACTCATCCGTAATCAGCCTTAAAATTCTGCACTTAAGTTTCTATGTAAGACAAAGGAGAAGATGCCAAAAAGAAAGGTTTCTGTTTGCTTTTTAAAAAAATAGGAACAATTTTAAAATTGTGAGCTTTTTAAAAAAAATTATCACCCTTTACCAGCCATTTGAGTAAAAAGTATTGTTTGGATTATACATTTTATACCCCAGTGTCTAAAAGAAAGCCATGCATAGGTGAGATCTGTTTGGACTCTCAGTTCCTTCTCACCTGGGTCATGGCAACTGTTCCTTAGCCTCTCGCCATCTGTTGTTTTGTTTCGTCACCTCTTCTGAGGTTTGTGCCGTATCAGAGCTATCCTCCTGTTAAACTGTTCGCCTTTGTTACATACTATATGTGAAGTCATAGGGCTTGTCAACTGCTACTGCATTTAATGGAGTCGTCAGTCCTGATGAGTATTACTGGACTTTGCTGGCTCTTGTTGGCACTAAAGGGGAGACATTTTATAGAATTTACTGAATCTCTTCAGGTCTCACATTATTTTTTGGTTCAACCCAAGTCGTACCTTTTACCTTCCAGGTAGTTCTTGTGTCTCCAGTTACCTCATCTTCTACATTTCACCTACCAGATATCATTTCATGTAGTTCATCTTCATCTATTGACTTGTAGCACCTTGTTAGAGTGTTTGTGTCTGACTTTCTATGCTATAGGATACGTATATGATTTCATAATGCCATTGCTTTTGTAGGATAAGTAAACAATAGAAGACATAGCAATGTAAAGAAAATAATACCCTTGAATACACTTGACTCAAATGAATCTGGCCAATGGATTTTAATTCTTACTATAGAAAGGCAGCAGAATTTTAGTTACATAATGAGCAGTTTTATAGTCAGTAGTTTGGGATTCTTACCAAAGGAATTGACCAAGCCTCTTTCAACTTTTCACAATTTATCCATGTTTATCTAAAAATTAGGCAAAAAACCCTGATGTATCTGGCTCTTGTAGACAGAGTGTCCACAGCACTAATTCCAAGCATTTATTGTTCTTTTGTCGTTATTCCTTTGGGAACCAAAGACATTTTTAGTTCTTTGATCTGATAGTGTCACCAATGTAGGACTGCTCAGCATGTCAAGGGCGGGAAGTGGGAGGAATTCTGGAAAGCCCTGTGGGTGTGTGATAACCTAATGCCATCAGATAAGTAGATCCAAATAGTACTGCACAAAGAGCATTCTTCCTCTGTATTCCAAGCACTTACTAGAGCAGCCTGCAGTGATGTTTTCCTTGGCAGGCTTGTGTAGTCATTATTAGCCAGTGGCTTGTCCATTTTAAAATTGGTGATCATTTGAGGACTCAAGGGGCTGGATTTAGTGTTTTTAATACATTCAGAACGATAATTTTTCTCTCCTGTGAATTTGTAGTATTGAAATTATTAAAGAAACAGTAAATTTCCTTGGACTGTGCTGTTTATTATCTCACGAGAAGGGTGAAAATTAAATCCAGATGTTTGTTCTCTATTTGATTACAGTATAAGACTCAGAAGAGGCCTCTGATCTATTAAGAAAGATAATAACATCACTTGAATTTGTTATTATTAGGCTTCTCTCTGTGACAAAGATGAACAGCAGCAAAACATCTGGATTAACATGGAAGCACAGCTAGATGAAAAATAACACTGTTAATTATATCATAAAATACTCTTCTTGGCTATTGTATTATCTGTCAGATAGATCACATATTGAATGTATATTTATATGTTACCTGCTTCTGTTTCTGCATACAAAGACCAGACTTACCCAGATTCAAGAATTTTGAATTCTTCAGATTCATCAACTGTGATGACTAATTGCCACATTGTCCCTTCTTGCACTCTACAAATGGCAGACTTTCTTTTAACTTTGCAAATGAAGAGGACACCACATTCCCATGATGCTATTTTGAAACTCTTGAAGCTGATTCATTATGGGAAGTATTGCTAAGAGACCATTGAGTTTATGAAAAACTGGCAAATGTGACTTAATTAAATTACTTAAAGAAGAATTGTTTTAATATTTTAATGTGTATATTCAGTTTCTGTATTAGTCAGTTTTCACACTGCTGATAAAGACATACCCTAGACAGGGCAATTTACAAAAGAAAGAGGTTTAACGGGCTCACAGTTCCACGTGGCTGGGGAGGCCTCACAATAATGGTGGAAGGTGGAAGACACGTCTCACATGGCAGCAGGCAAGATAAGAGAGCTTGTGCAGGGAAACTCCCCTTTATAAAACCATCAGATCTCGTGAGACTTGTTCACTATCATGAGAATAGCGCAGGAAAGGCCCGACCCCATGATTCAATTACCTCCCACCGGGTCCCTCCTACAACACATGGGAATCACGGGAGCTATAATTCAAGATTAGATTTGGGTGGGGACACAGCCAAACCATATCAGTTTCTGAATCTGTATATCTGAGCCTGAGCTTTTTTCTCCCTAAGGCCCAGGAAATATTTCCTTTTTCTTACCTCGTTTAAATGTAATAAGGGATGGTGCCTTCGTTACCACTTCATCAATGCAGTGATACTGATACTAAATTAGATGGAGCTCGTGGATCAATTCCTAGTCTTAGAAAAATGAAAATATGTATGTATTTATAAAAATCATCATGATATAAAAAGTAAATAATACTCACTACCATAGTTGCTATAGCGAAAGAAAAAGGGAGATTTTCTAGAGAAGAAAAACATCGCTTGACTATAATATATACTACATATTTAAGCATGTATTTTAGGGATTTTTCCTTATAAATATATTCATAATAGCTACAACAAAAGAAAGAATTCATTACAAGTAGCTGTTTCTTCAGTGGACATGCAGTCTATAATTGTATAATAGTCACATGGTCTCTGGAGTTTGTGCTCACTCATTCTGAACACAGCAGATATCTGGCTGCTGAATTAAATCCAATTCAACAGCCGTTTATCTTGTACTTGCCAAACTATAGGAGGCCAAGGCATGAGGATCACTTGAGGCCAAGAGTTCAAGACCAGCCTGGGGAACATAGTGAGATGCCATTTCCACAAAAAATAAAAATAAAAAAATTAATCAGACATGGTGGTGCACATCTGTAGTCCCAGCTACTCAGGAGGCTGAGGTGGTAGAAGGATCACTTGAACCCACAAGGTCGAGGCTGCAGTGAGCCCTGATCATGTCACTGCCCTCCAGCCTCGGAAACTAGAGTGAGACACTGTATCTAAGAAAAAAGAAAGTTTGAGGCAAACAGGAAAGTGCTTTAGGTAGTTTTAGTTACTGTAAGATGCACGTCTATTTAATGTTTAAAAATAAATTTCTCTCCATATGCTCAATGGGAAAACATGTTGCTCAAAAATCAAATGTCTGTTGGTTTACTAAAATATCTAGAGCCTCCCAGAGCAAGTGTGTGTAAATGAAATCTACCACTTCATATCAATTTAACAAAAATTTTTTATGCTATTAGAGAAATACCTATGATTGGAGAAGAGGGTAAGAGTGATCTTATTGAATTTTATTTTGTCTACCAATTTAGTGCCCACATTTTCCCCAGACATATGGAGGCCCTCATGTTCCTGGCACAGAGGATGAGCAGTTTTTGCTTGTGCCTTTGTCTGTGCCTTTAGAGAGGACCAGTCCTTTGTGAAATAAACCAACTGCTCTGGTAAGTTCGAAAGTCTGTAATGCCAAATGTATTTGACTGTCAAATTCAACAGGAAGGGAAGATGATAAGAAGAAAGATCTCTTTTCAATTAATTTTTAAACATGTTGTTTTGTGAATACCATCGTTAACAAGATATAAATCCTTTACATATCATGCTTCCCATACCTTTTCCTTTCATTCTGCTTACGTACAATACTTACCTTGAAAGTTAGCAGTGAACACTCCCAGTCACCATGCATAGTGGAAAGCTTCAAGAAATAAGAATAATAATAAAAAAGTTAAAACTATAATGATAACTTGGCCGGGCACACTGGCTCACTCCTGTAATCCCAGCACTTTGGGAGGCCAAGGCGGGCGGATCACTCGAGGTCAAGAGTTCAAGACCAGCATGGCCAACATGGTGAAACCCTGTCTCTACTAAAACTACAAAAATTAGCTGGGCATGGTGGCACACCCCTGTAATCCCAGCTACTCAGGATGCTCAGGCATGAGCATCTCTTGAACTCCTCTGGGAGGTGAAGGTTTCAGTGAGCTGAGATCGCCTGGGCAACACAGTGAGACGTCATCTCAAAAAAAAAAAAAAACAAACAAACAAAAAACTGTAATCATAACTTTTTAAAACAAGAAAATGGTCAAAAAATACCTCATAATGTAAAATTGGCCTTAAAGTAAATACTGACAATTGTTCTTCTCTAAGTTCCACCCAGGGACACAGATCACAAGAGGCTTTTTTTTTTTTTTTTTTTTTTTTTTTTTAGATTGCCCTTTTTGCCAGGCACACTCTTTTGGGATAGAAGTGCAAGGAATCAGAAAGAAATATGTAGAATCAACCCCTTGGTTCGAGCCCTCAGTTCTCCACTGTGATGGCCTGATCAGGGCAGCTAGCTCCATCTCTCTTCTCATTCTATGTACAAGCAGATGTAAGGACAAGGTCCCCATTTAGCTATTCAGGATATAGAATATTTGAAACATAATAGCATAGAATTTCAGAGTGGGACTAGACCTTAGAGAACATAGACCCAACAGCCGCATCGTACAGGTGAGGCAGCTGTGTGACCTTGAAGTTTACTGCTTTGTCAGAGCCTAAACTCTAGATTGGCTGCTGCTGTAAAGTTTCCAGAGTTCCCACTAGGGGCAGATGTAGAGCCAATTGCATTTTCCCACAACAGCTCTGTTAACAGATTTCTGTTTCAGTGTTTCCAAATTCGGGAAAGAATATATAGTTTCTGGCAAGGCAGTTTGGAATAGCTAGTGGCAACATTTTTAAGTATTACGATTAAAAAAACCAGATTGCTCATTTATTCATTCACCTACTATTTAATAAACTTCTACAATCCTACTTGAGATAGGGGTGTCAGCAAAAGCATGCTAACGAGTTGATGTTGCATCTGAGACCTGCATGAGAAGGACAGAGCCTTGAAAGCGGGGAAGGCATTCCAGGCTGAGTAAATAACAAACATAAAGGTTCTTGCAATAAATTGAACCAGTGTATCTGGAGCTTGGATGATGATGTGTGAAATCAAGCAGTTGTGCCTTGAAAAGTTCACATCCAGTGGAGATGTTGAGAAATCAGTTTTATTGAACAGGCTGGGGCTCAGAAGAGAGTTCAAGGGTGAGGATATGTGTTTATGATTTGGGAGCATAAAGATGACATTTATCCAGATGAGATTTACTGAAGGAAGAATGTAGAAGTGATCATTGTTCACTTGGTCCTCCCCAGTATTTTTAGTTCAGAACAAAAGACAGGAGACCGCAAAGGAACCTGAAAAGGAGCAGCAGTATGGTAAATAACAAGCCAAAAACAGGAGAAGAGGATGGCTGGGCATCCAGGCTATTGGAGTTTTAAGAATGAGGGTGTAAACTAGCAATGGTAATGTGCTGAAAGGTCATGTCATATGAGAACTGAAAATGAAGCTTGGAATGTGGTACGGTGAAGGTGTGGCATTGATAAGAATGTTTTCATTAAAATAGTGGAGATGAAAGTCTGATTGGCCTAGGCTCAGGAGAGACTGGGAATTGATAAGAATGTTTTCTTTAAAATCATGAGGATGAAAGTCTGATTGGCTTAGGCTCAGGAGAGACTGAGAGTTGAGGAGGTGGAGACTGACTCAGTAGAAATTCCTTGGAAGAGTTTTTTGTACAAGAGAGTTGGGAAACTGATGGTAGCTGGAGGGAGATGTGACATCAAGGGACGTATTTATTTTAATGAATTGTTTTTAGATAGTTTACGATAAATATGGGACACAATTCTGTAATTTAAAATAATTCACCCTGTTTCCTATAAGCTGGGTCTTGTGTAGCATCAAAATAAAATTTCTTGAAGATTTCATAGATTCATTGGATATTAAGTTTAGAATACCTCCTAAAGGTAATATAATCTGACCTTTTAGAACCACTTCCCTGTCCATCTTTGGATAGAGCAAACATCCAAAACCCAGTTCTTTATGTATACTGAACAGAAATATGTCTCTTTGTAACTTCATTCATGTGTCCTAGTTTTATCCCATTGGGCCTCAGGGGACCTTGTCTGGCTGTTCCTGCACATGAGGTGATGCTGGTCTCCTCAGCGTTCCTCTCTTACAGGTCAACACTCTTATGTCCCCTGTCCATTCTTTGTATGATTTGGTTTCAAACTAAAAAATCAGTCTTATGACTATTCCTTACAGTGATCCCTGTCCCACACAGAATGGCAAGACCAGTAGACTTTATGGGACTTCACCTCTTCCCTTGACTTTGTGCACCTGACAATGACTCCTCCCTCCAGCTACTGAAGCCTTTCCAGAAACAAAGAAAATGAAAATTGAGCAGAATGGGATGGGGCGGAGGCAGGGGGTGGGGGAAGAATCTTGTCCTCATCTAAAACATTGGTAAAAAGAAGTTAATGAGAAGGTGGGTGGGTTCTGCTCACTATGGTTTTTTCCAGACCTTAGTGATTAAAGAGCTCTTGTTTGTGGAGGCCCATGTTACTAACATGCTGCGAACATATCTAGGTGCTCTACTTAATGATCTCATACGATTTTCACAACCCTGTAAGTAGGCATTTCTATCTCTGTTTAATAAATGAGAAAATAAAGGCCCCAAACTCTAAATATAGTAAATTGGTCAAGGCCACATGGTTTACAAATGGCACCATCAACATTAAAAATCACAGTCTGTCTGACCTCAAGTCTCTCTTAGACTCAACCTGGCATTTCTCAATGCACTGAGATCACAACTATAGAGTCCTTGAATGTTTTCCGTCCTCTATGTCTTCAAGCTATGTCATTTTTTTTTTTAAAGGAGTCTCACTCTGTCACCCAGGCTGGAGTGCAGTGGCACAATCTCAGCTCACTATAAGCTCTGCCTCCCGGATTCACGCCATTCTCCTGCCTCAGCCTTCCGAATAGCTGGGACTACAGGCACCCGTCACCACACCCTAATTTTTTTGTAGTTTTAGTTGAGATGGGGTTTCACCATGTTAGCCAGGATGGTCTCAATCTACTGACCTCGTGATCCGCCCACCTCAGCCTCCCAAAGTGCTGGGATTACAGGCATAAGCCACCGTGCCCAGCCCAAGCTATGTCATTTCATAACACATTTCATTGTAGTATAATTTTCTTTATGGTACAAGTCCTCATTGAATGCTATCAATAGATTCTTGGAAACTGCAAACTGTAACTTCAAGTGAGATGACTTATAAGGAAACCCATTTGACCACAAGTTAATTGATATAAACAGGAGTCAAGCTCCTGTGGCATATTTCTGGTTGCAAAAGTTTCACCAAACTTCTAAATAAAGACCAAAATACTTCTCATATTAAACATTGAAATAAATGAGTTGTACATACATTTAAGAAAGATAAATACCTACATATTCTAGTTCAGGGTTGCGGGTGGTCAGAGCCCACCCCAGGAGCTCAGGTGGGAACTGCCCCAGCCAGGCTGCTGTTGCATTGCAGGGCACACTCACACCCACACCCACACTCACTCACACTGGGCCCATGAAGACATGCCAGTTCACTTAATAAATACACAGATGATTATATAAGGTGTGATATGATGGATAATCCGGAAGAGAGGCACTAATAAATTCTCTGCCCTCTCATCTGTGAGTGAAGGTGGAGAGGATATTATCAAGTGAAGGACTTTGATTTTCTTTTATACTTTTATTTTAGATACAGAGGGTACCTGTGCAGATTTGTTACATGGCAATATTGTGTGATGCTGAGGTTTGGAGTACAGATCCCATCACCCTGGCAGTGAACATAGTACCCCATGGACAGTTTTTTAACTCACTTCCTCCCTCCACCTTCTAGTAGTCTATAGTGTCTATTGTTCCCAAATTTATGTCCATGTGTTTTCAATGCTTAGTTCCCACTTATAAGTGAAAACATGCAGTATTTGGTTTTCTATTCCTGTGTTAATTTGCTTAGGGATTATGGCCTCCAGCTCCATCCATGTTGCTGCAAAGGACATGATTTCATTGTTTTTATGGCTGCATAGAATTCCATGGTGTATATGTACTACATTTTCTCCATCCAGTCTACCACTGATGGACACCAGAATTGATTCCATGTCTCTGTTATTGTGAATGGTACAGCAAGGAACCTATGAGTGCATGTGTCTTTTTGGTAGAGTGATATATTTATTTATTTTTTGCATATACCCAGTATATGCAAAAAATACCCAGTATATACCCAGCATACACCCAGTAATAAGATTTCTGGGTCGAATGGTAGATTTGTTTTAAGTTCTTTGAGAAATCTCCAAACTGCTTTCCAAAGTGGCTGGACTAATTTACATTCCTACCAGCAGTGTATAAGCATTCCCTTTTCTCTGGAGCCTGGCAAGCATCTGTTGTTTTTGAGTTTTTAATAAGATCCATTCTGACTAGTGTGAGATGGTATCTCATTATGCTTTTGATTTGCATTTTTCTGATGATTAATGATGTTGAGCATTTCTTATATACTTGTTGGCTACATGTGCATCTTCTTTAGAGAAGTGTCTGTTCATGATTTTTGCCCATTTTTTAATGGGGTTTTTTGTTTATTTTATTTTATTTTTTTGCTGTTGATTTAAGTTCCCTATAGATTCTGGATATTAGGCATTTCTCAGATGCACAGTTTGTGAATGTCTGCTCTTATTCTGTAGGATGCCTGTTTGCTCTGTTGATAGATTCTTTTGCTGTGCAGAAACTCTTTAGTTTGATTAGTTCCCACCTGTCAATTTTTGGTTTTGTTGCAATTGCTTTTGGGAACTGAGCCAAAAATTCTTTTCCAGCACCAATGTTGAGAAGAATATTTCCTAGGTTGTCTTCCAGGATTTTTACATTTTGAGGTCTTACATTTAAATCTTTAATATATTTTGAGTTAATTTTTGTATATGGTGAAAGGTAGGGGTCCTGTTTCAATCTTCAGCCTAGGGCTAGCCAGTTATCCCAGCACCATTTATTGAATAGGAAGTCCTTTTCCCATTGCTTGTTTTTGTTAGCCTTGTTGAAGATCAGATGGTTGTAGGTGTGTGGCTTTATTTCTAAATTTTCTATTCTGTTCCATCAGTCTATGTGTCTGTTTTTGTACCAATAACATGCTGTTTTGGTTACTGTGGCTGTATAGTATAGTTTAAAGATGGGTAGTGTGATAACTCCGGCTTTGTTCTTCAGTAGCATTTCTGTACACCAACAACATCTGGGCTGAGAGTGAAATAAACAACACAATCCCACTCACAATAGCCACAAAGAAAATGAAATACCCAGGAATGCACCTACCCAAAGAGGTTAAAGATCTCTAAAAGGAGAATTACAAGACACTGCTGAAAGAAATCAGAGACAACATAAATAAATGGAAAAACATTTCATACTCATAGATTGAAAGAATCAACATCGTAAAAATGGCCATACTGCCCAAAGCAATTGAGAGATTCAATGCTATTCTTGTCAGACTACCAATGACATTTTTCACAGAATTAGAAAAAAACTATTCTAAAATTTCTGTGGAACCAAAAAAGAGCCCAAATAGTCAAAGCAATCTTAAGCAAAAAGAACAAAGCCAGAACTTGATATTTTTAATGAATTAGTATGTGAGACGAGTTTCAAAGGAAAAGTGAATTAGATTGTCCATTGGCAGGCAGAGAACTAGCATAAGCAATGGAGTGGAGGTGGGAAACCTTAAGGTAAATTGGGACACATCCTATAACTCAGTTTAGATGGGACAAAGGATGTTTATTAGTGATCAGTGACAGACAAGTTAGGAAAGCCAGAACCACACCCACAAAGATAAGACTATTATTTTGCACTTGGCAACAAGAAACCATACAGGACTTTTTTTTAAAGTAATAATTGTAGAAACTATGGGAAGCTTGTAGTTTTTTGGTAAATATAAATTACATTTGTAATTATAAGAATAATATAATAATAATAGTTTTTGTCTTTTTGACATGGTAAAATAAAACATTTAACATAAAAAATTAGGTAGTATGCTATGACCTATGTGGAATATTCCAGAAAAAAAAATGGATTTTCTCTCATACATGTCTTAATTTAAATGTGTTGTTATAATCTAAGATTATATTTTGTTATGCCTCAGGTGACTATTTCATTCAGATGAACACAGTTTACAAAGTTATAGTAATAAGACATAATTTTTTTTAGCTGGGCACAGTAGCTCACACCTGTAATCCCAGCACTTTTGGAAGGCCAAGGTGGGAGGATGTCTTGAGGCCTGGTAACAGAGTGAGATCCCATCTCTACAAAATAATAATAATAATAATAATAATAATTAGTCAGGTGTGGTGGCATGCACCTGTAGTCCCAGCTACTCCTGAGACTGAGGCAAGAGGGTTGCTTGAGCCTAGGGTTCGAGGTTACAGTGAGCTATGGTGGCACCACTAGGTGCCCTAGCCTGGGTGATAGAATGAGACCCTGTCTTTAAAAAAAAAAAAAAAAAAAGAAATGTTTAGGGACAAATTGGTTCTGGTTCCTCTGCTGAGTGAAGTATGCTTTTATATATTGAGACAGTAGGTTCAAACAGCAAACTGGTGGAATATGAAAGAATGTGTATTGAAAAAATGGATCCAGCTAAGGTTTGCTAAAGTAGTAGTTTCATTTTGCATTAATGTTTCAAGTGGGTAACTGCAATTCATATTAATTAAGAGAGCCATGCTAGATGGTTATGCCGGGCCTTTGCTGCCTCTCTAAAGGGGAGTCCCTTAGGGCTGGTCACATGCACATGTGATTCTTGCTTGACTCAAAGCTTCCAAATATTAATGGTGATATGAATTGATGGATGAAATGTTGACTGCAGACTTTTTAGAAAAAAGTTCCCATATGGTTCTATTTTTGTACCTTTAACATTGTAACTTCTGACCTGCACTTCTACCGGTTTAGATCCATTTATTACCAAAACTCATTTTTATGATTGATTTTCTGATGAGAAGATGAAGAGTTTTCACACTAACAGGTTTTTACTTAAAGCCACCATAAAAAATAAGACTTTAAAATAAAGAATATTTATATTAAATTTCATGGTAGAAAATGGTTTTCTGAGATTACTAGTAGCCTTTCTCAGATAATCAAAACTAATAATAGTATATTTCATGATTACATAATCCCATGAAATGGCTAACAAATACCCATTATCGCCACTAAAAGGAAGGATTAGAATACAGCATTTGGCCAGGCATGGTGGCTCACTCCTGTAATCCCAGCACTTTGGGAGCCCAAAATGAGTGGATTACCTGAGGTCAGGAGTTTGAGACCAGCCTGGCCAATGTGGTAAAATCCCGTCTCTACTAAAAACACAAAAATGATCCGGGCGTGGTGGGGTTGCTTGAACCAGGGAGGTAGAGGTTGCAGTGAGCCAAGATCATGCCTCTGAACTCCAGCCTAGACAACAGAACAAGTCTCTGTTGAAAAAAAAAAGAGAAAAAGAATACAAGCATTTAAAACTCTTGGCTTTCCTGATTTCTTGCTTGTTATGTGGCTGTAGAGGGTTAAGCCTGGCTTATTTTTCAAAAGGTGCCCTTAGTGCTGGGTGCCCTCCCAGGGACCCACCTGGATGGGCCTTTGCAGGGTGTCCCTACCAGCCTCTTTTGGATGCAGGGTGAAGAGGAAAGAAAGTTAATTACCTAGAAGACTTCAAAATGTGCCTGCCTTTCCTTCTCCCTTCTAATGTTCACCAGAACTGCAAAGCGAGGAAGCCTGGACAGTGAGTTTCAAAAGAGCTCCTCTGGCAAGTCTGACATCCCACACATCCCTCCTCCCCAACCCTTCCTATCCATAATGTAGGGGCAGCTTGACCTGCTGAGAGGATTCTTTTTTCTTCTGCAAGTCTATTCTTGACATTGCTTGTCCTAGAACCTAGTTAGCTACTGATCAGGACTCTCATTGGCTGTCCATCTACTCAGGGAGTAAAAGCACACACAGAAAAAATCCAGACCAAAGAACTTTTAATAGAATAGTTCTTGCCTTTCTGTGTGACATTGTATCACTGATCATTTCAATCTTGAAAATTGTCATCTCTATTTAGCCCAGCACGGTGTAAGCTTCTTCAAGGCACAGATTATATAAGATACTTCTTTATCCTTAATGCCCAGTACAGACCCTCAACAAGAAAGTTATTTTAAATTTTCTTGTGGGTTTTGTTGTTGACATTTATGTTTTATTCACTGCTGCCCACCTTAGTCCTAAGTCTGATTTGAGACATCTGTATCTGATGAAGCAGCTGGGGGTGAGAAGTTAAAGAACTTGAATGTCAGCTAGACTGTGTAAATCTCTAGGTTCTTCAGACAGACAAGTGATAAAGGTGAAGCAGTCTTGAAATTTTACGGCATCTATGTCTAAGATAAGTGTCCAGTTAAATCCTGCTATTATTATTCTTAAACAGAAAAACATTTACAAGCCCAATGTAAGAGTTGGTTCTTTGATTCAAGGTGACTGTCCCTCTTACTTAAATCAATGTAGTATTCCCAAAATCATAATTTATAGTAGTTGAGTTCCATGTGGCAGAAAAGGAATTTCTTCCGGACAATGGTTTTAAAACCATTTCTGTGATTACTAATGGCTATCCTGGATTTTCCAATAAGTGAGAACTCAAGAGAATGGAAACACATAATGCTGCCTGCCACCACAATCTAGCTTGCACCTTACACATCAGAGAGAGGTGTCCTAATCTCACACAGCAATATTGCCACAGCAGACCCTCTACAAGAGAGGATGTGGGAAGGGGAAAGAGAAGAGATTAAATAAGAGGAAGTTGCTAAAGAGATTTAGTTCCCTTTCTGTTCCTTTCTGCCTGAGCAACTCACCCCACAAAAGCAGCTCTTTTTCATTAGTTTTTTCATTATTCTACAGGCATCCTTTGCTTTTCTACTAGTCACTATTTTGTGTGAATTTGATTTTCTCCAATATTGGTCTTTTAAAATGTTCTTTCTTTTCAGTGATATGTATCACAGTGAAAATTTGGCATAACCTAAATATCTAAAAATGGGATATTGGTTAGATAATTTAAGTACAGCCATTCAAAGGAGCAGCAGCTAGCCCTTGGAATAATGGTGTAGGAGTTCTGGTAAAAGATGATAAGGAAGGATGTTTTTATTTTTCCCTGAGACTTATCAAAAGCAACAAAAAGGAATGCAAAAATTGTGGAAAAAATTCAACATTGGTAAACTTGAAAATAATCATACTCCTACCCAAATCTTTAGGATAGGAGTATCTCTATCTGTCAAATAATAGTGATAATTGGATCAGATCAAGTGAAAGACATCAAAGACTGATACATACCACTCTGAAGCTCAGTTAGGATATGGACTTCTCTAAAGATAAGCGAAATGGTCCCAAAATAACCCTTTACAAAGATATGACTTGGCCCATGGGAAGCCATTGTAGATGTGGAGAATGTTCTAATACAGACCGATTTTCTTTCTGAAGAACATCAGAGAATCAGGGCTGAAGAAGACAACATAGAGCTGCAATTATTTTCTGTGACCTAGAATAGACTTAGCAGTTTGTTAATACAGTAATGTGTTACCAAATGGGGGAGTCTTCTAGGAATGTAGGGATAATTCAATATTATGAATTATATTAATATAATTTATCTTAGTAATAACCCAAAGAAGAAACTCTGTACCCATCCAAATGCAAAATAAGTTCTATGAAATTTGCACTTAATTCTGATTTGTATAAAATCTTCATAGTGGTGTGTGTGTGTGTGTGTGTGTGTGTGTATGAGAGTATGTTTGTATATAGCCAGCATCAGTGCTAAGTTTTAAGAACATTCCCACCAAAGTCAGTAGTCACATACCAGCCAATATAATTGGGTACAAATAAATAACAAAAATAATTAGAAGTGGTATGGCAAACCTATCATTAGTTACATATATTATCAATGTATGACTGGAAGACATAAAGGAATTAACTGAAAAGCTGTTAAAAAACAGCAAGAGAATTTAAGAAGGTGGAAGATATCAAATGCGGAGAAATTATATGAGGAAAAATCTGACACAGTCTTTTGAGGAATATATAGAAGAGGACTTGGACTAAATTGAAAGACATAACTTGTTCCTGGACAAGAAAACTCACAATAAAGATGTCAGATAACAAATTAAGCTAAAATTGCACTCTTGAGCAAGACTTTTAAAAAATTTGAATTGTTAGAAATAATTATATTAATTCAGAAAAATAAACATTATATGGTATATAGAAAAAAGTCTACAAAAGAAGAGTTATGAGGGAAACCTAATTCTATTAGATATTGGAATATACTTGCCAACCATAGTAATTTAGACATATATATACTCAGGGTGGAATATGTAGTTCAAAATAGGCCCACATATGTAAGAGATGAGAATATTCATGTCATCATTTGGAGACTCTTGGATAGGGAAGCAGAGGAAAGGAGCTGACTTATTACCTCATGTCTTTGTATTTCACACAGCACACACAGACACCCCAAACACATGCACACATACACACAAACACAAACACATGCGATTTCAAGCAGACCAAAGGTTTAAATACATTTGTCTGCAACTGACATTTTGTAGGCTAAAATCACTTATTTTTACGATTCCATATGGCTTAACCTAAATTTTAAAAGATGAAACCATAGAACTATTTTAAAAATCATGGCGGTGTTTTTCTTTTTCTTTTATAATCTAGTAATGGGGAAATCCTTTCTTAGCTTGTCAGAAACCCAGAACCAAAAAGAAACTGATTTGTACATTTCAGTGCCTAAAAATATCTGCACAACAAAATGTATAAATAAAAAGCAAATGAGAAAGTTGGAGAAAAATGTGTCACAAATATGACAGAAGTTATATAATTTTGTAATAGACAAAGGTCTTTATAAATCATTACAAAAAGGAAAACCAGTCAGTAGAAAATAGGCAAAAGACGAAAACATCTGCACTTAGGCAATATTCCTCCAATTAGAGACGTGCATAAACATTGAGTCAGTAATTTTGTTTCTATGATTTTATCCCACGGATCTATTTGCATTTGCATGCAAAACTAGACCACAAAGTTGTTAATTGCAACATTTTTGATAATGCTAGTATATTAGTCTGTTCTCATGCTGCTAATAAAGACATACCTGAGACTGGGTAATTTATAAAGGAAAGAAGTTTAATTGACTCACAGTTCAGCATGGTTGGGGAGGCCTCAGGAAACTTAACAGTCATGGCAGAAAGAGAAGCAAACACGTTCTTCTTCACATGGCGGCAGCAAGGAAAGAACTGCCGAGCAATAGGGGAAAAGCCCCTCATAAAACCCTCAACTCTCATGAGAACTCACTCACTATTAGCAGAATAGCATGAGGATAACCACCCCTATGATTAAATTACCTCCCACCGGGTCCCTCTCATGACACGTAGGGATTACGGGAACTACAATTCAAGATAAGATTTGGATGGAGACATAGCCAAGCCATATCAGCTAAAAACATCTTATGTTTCCCTATAAGGAACTCTTTATGAATAGAAAAATGCATTCATACCATGCAACATTATGCAGCTATTAAAATATGATGAAGATTTAAATGTAATGTAACGTGAAGATGCAGAAGCATGTATACATTTTTATTCCAGAAATATTTTCTGCATATTTTCTTCACAAGAGTGTAGGGTTACATATAAATATTACGTTAACTTGCTATATTAAATAAGATATGAAAAGTATAAGGCCGGGTGCAGTGGCTCATGCCTGTAACCCCAGCATTTTGAGAGGGTGAGGAGGGAGGATCACTTGAGCCCAGAAGTGTAGAGCAGCCTGGGCAATGTAGCGAGACCTCGTCTCTACTAAAAATCAAAAAAATTAGTTGGGCATGGTGGTACACACCTGTGGTCCCAGCTACTGTGGTCCCAGTGAGGTCTGACAGCGCCATTGCAGTCCAGCCTGGGTGACAGAGCAAGGCCCTGTCTCAAAAAACAAAATAAATAAATAAAATAAGTAGGGATACAGAGAAGCAGATGTTATTTTGCACCAAGGGGAATACATTAAATATGTATTTTGGGTTATCTCTACTTAGATTATAAATTATAAATCACACTAAATTAAGTATAAAAAGTTAAAGTATAGTATGATCCGATTTTGTGATCTCTTTCTTTCTCTCTGTCTCTCTCTCTCTCTCTCCATATTTATTGAAACTTTGTGGCCAGGCACTACTGCAAGTGTATATGACATGTGTCATCTTATTTAAATCTCACCAGAACCCTAAGGAAAACTTTAATTATTGTGCTCCCCGATTTAGCAGATAAGGGTATCGAGGCACAAGTGTCATAATCTGCCAAAGATCACAGAGCTAGGGAGTGCCAGTGCCAGGATTTGAAAGCAGGCAGTCTGGTACCAGAGCTTCTGTTCATAACCCCCAGGCAATAATGCCTTCCTATACATTGCCTCTAAATCCATCGCAAAGATGCACACAGAAGAGATGTTTTTCTCCTTCCTTGTGTGGCTATATCTAGTTTTTAGGTAATGTTGAGTAGGATAAACATATTTGTTAGGACTCCTCACCTCCAGTCCATCCCTGCTTTTTTACTCTCTGCCGCAGGCCCACCCGAGTCTAATTCTCCCACTTTTGCTCTCAGGAAAAGAGCTGATAAATTCAGTCAAATGACCAGTGAGGCATAGTGCTCTCTTCCAATGTCCCTTTTACAGCAGAAATGAACCATTGATTCCAGACTGACAGGCTCATCTGAGTCACTGCCAGCTTTCAGGGGATTGGAGGCTGATAGGGGGATTTGAGGTAGGAGAAATTCTGGAACCTGTAAAAACAGACACAGCCTATTTTACCAGTCTCTGGAAGTAAGGCGTCTTCTGTTTCTCTAAGTTTTCTGATAAAGGTCCCACACATTGGAATTGTTGTAATAAAACAGGCAACATTTATAGATTTCCTATTTTTCTGCACAATCCTCACAGTAACCTTAGAAAGCTGGTGACACTATTTTTATCCTCATAATAAGGGAATGGGGCTCAGTACAGTGAGGTAATGATGCCCAACTAGTAATGATAGAGATGTCACTGCAAAGCCTGTCCTCCCAGGGAGGCAGATATGGGTTGAGGGTGTGAGAAAGGGAAAGTTGTGATGATCCTAAAGGCCCCTCCACCCTGAGTGACCTTCATTTTAGGATGTGACGCATGAAGCCGGGGCACACTAGAAGTCCCAACACACAGTGGTTCCTTAATGAGGGTCACTGATTTAGGATCTGAGCAAAGGTAACTCAAAATATATATTTAATGTATTCCCTTTGGTGCAAAGTAACTTTTATATTACTCAGTAGCAGCTTATTTATTGGTCTTTGTCAATAAAATAATTATAAAATGTATAAGATTTATAACACTTCAGAATCTCTCCACTCCAACAAAGTGACCACTTGATTTTAATAGCACTTCATGATTTTGTCTGTATTCATAGCAAAACAATTACTAAATAGAATACTCTGATGAAAAATTTTAAATATGATTGCAACCTTCTACAAAGTATTTAGAAATTATGAAATAAATTTATATTGTAGAATTACAGATTTCAGCAAATTTTGAAAAGGCCACAATATATGTAAGTGGCCAGTATACTCTTTAACAAAGATGAAGTAATTTTAAAAAAAGATGGAAGTAATAGACACTGAAAACTCCAAAAAAGGGAAGGATGGAAGGAGGCTGATGATTGAAAAATAACTTATCAGATAGTTTTCACTGTTTGGGTAATGGGTACACTAGAAGCCCAGTCTCCACCAGTACCTTATATTCTCTTGTGACAAACATGCACATGTACCCCATGGATCTAAAATAAAATAAAGTTATATATATATTTATTTATATATATGTAAAAAGTTTTGAGCACTGGTAACCCATTTTAAGCTGGCAACATGTATATGTAATATGTAATATATGTGTGTGTGTATATATATAAATTTGACTTAAAATTTAACTCAGTGTGTGTACACACTCATGCACACACATGTATATATACACATATTTGAATACTTTTAGGGGGTGAGTGGGACTAGGTAAGTAATGATATTGTTATTACAAGGAGAGATGTGAGAGATACTATGAGAATGTTTAAGACAAGGTGCTACAGAGAAGGGAAAGAGAACTTCCAGATATGATGATATTATGGGAGATCTTACCTTTGAACTAGGTACTAAGGAGAATTTTTACCAGCTGCCACAGAAGAGCTGAAGGTATTCAGAGTGTCAGGCTAACTTGAAAAACTTCCCTTCAGGCAGGCAGCTGGTGGGAAGTCCTGGCTATGTTTGGGAAGTAGGGGGTGGAGGGGGATACGATTTGGCAGAAGCAAGCTGTATGTCATACAACTAGCTCTATGTGGGTTATTGGTGACATGACTAGGAAGTAGGTTGAGGCCAGATTGGAAAAAGTTTTGAGTACTGGGATATAGAGCAAAAAGCCTGCTAGGCACTGGTAACCCATTTTAAGGTGGCAAGGGAGTGATATTATCAGAGTCAAGCTCTGAAAAATTAATCTAGTGTTCACAAGAAGAGTGAATCGGATAGCAGAGACTAGAGTGGGGAAGACAAGAATAGATGCATAAGAATCAGCAGGGGACATTTACAAAAATTCAAACCCTGGATCCCACCACTGGTGATTTTGACTCAGTGAGTCTGGAGCGAGCCAGGGGTCTGCAATATTAACAAAACCCCCAAGGCATTCTTGGGCTGGTGGACAACTAGGTTCCCTTTAAGAAACATCAAGGGAAAGTGATGAGGTGTTTGCACTAAAACTGGAAAGGGAGGTCTGAGGACAGGACAAGGAATGAAAGCAAAGGTGACGGATGAGACGTTGGTGTAGCGAGAGGGGCCATGAGCAGTGGGAAGTTGGTGTGCTTATGTCTGCTATAGTACTCACCACATGGTAACTGCATGTTTACATGGTTATTTTCCTACTCTGAAGTCCCTACATCATCCTTTTAGGATGCAGTGGCTACTTAGTAAATATTTCTGGAATGACATTATTCTTTGCACCCTCAGAGACTCCTGTGTACTTACTGGTGAGACTTCTGGTCTCTCTCTGGGTAACTGGGAGGTCATTTGATTTGAGGTACAGGCTGAAGGTTGTGGCTGATGGAGAAGCCCTCTCACAACATTCCAGTCCCTGGCCCACTAGGGCATCCCCTCTTACCTGTGCAAATAAAAGTCCTAGTTGATTCAGGCCCATACATGGTTTAGCCTGCTGCACTTCACCGGGAATTCAGAGAGCTGTCAGTGCTATGTTGAGGGCATTCTCAGGGAAGCAGGTCTTTGCACACATCAGTAGTTCCTGAGGCCTCTCTGGAAGATGTATTGTTCATTTTAACTAGGTAGGTTTTGCTGAAGTTTACAAAGTAGAGACTAACTGATCAATGAAGAATGGAACACATTGTATAAGAAGCCAAGAGAAGAGCAACATTACAGGTATTAACAGATGTAGCCCAATGAATGCCAAATACTCTTCCTGCAAATGTTTACATCTAAGTGTACATGTGTTCTGGTCATTTGTGGCTCTGTAACAAATTAGAAAACTCAGTAGCAAAAAACAATCACTTTTATTCTCACACATTTTGAGGATCGGGAATTTTGGATAGGGCTCAGTAGGAATGGCTTATCTCTGCTCCACAATGCCTGGGTCCTCAGCTAGAAGACTTAAATACTGATGGCTAATATGCAGAAGAGTGACACTAGACCCCTTCCTTTCACCATATACAAAAATCAACTCAAGGTGGACCAAAGATGTAAAGGTAAAATCTAAAACTATAAAACTGTAGAAGAAAACCTAAGAAATACTATTCTAGACATAGGCCCTGGCAAAATTTCATGATGAAGACTCCA
Source organism: Homo sapiens (assembly GCF_000001405.40). Taxonomy (NCBI): domain Eukaryota; kingdom Metazoa; phylum Chordata; class Mammalia; order Primates; family Hominidae; genus Homo; species Homo sapiens. Next base: position 152,580,559 of record NC_000006.12, on the reverse strand, counting down.
AACGCAATTGCAACAAAAACAAACATTGACAAGCAGGGCCTAATTAAACTAAAAAGCTTCTGCATAGCAAAAGACACTGTCAACTGAGTAAACAGACAACCTACAGAATGGGAGAAAATATTTGCAAACCATGCATCTGACAAAGATCTAATATCCAGAATTCATAAGGAACTTAAACAAATCAACAAGCAAAAACTAAACAACCCCATTGAAAAATGGGCAAAGGACATGAACAGACGTTTCTATAAGAAGACACGCATGTGGACAAGTATATGAAAAAATGTTCGACATCACTCATCATCAGAAAAATGCAAATCAAAACCATGATGAGATGCCATCTCACACCAGTTATAATAGCTATTACTAAAAAGTCAAGAAATGACAGATGCTGGTAAGGTTGTGGAGAAAAAGGGAACACCTATACATTGCTGGTGGGAATGTAAATCAGTTCAGCCACTGTGGAAAGCAGTTTGGAGATTTCTCCAACAACTTAAAGCAGAATTACCATTTGACACAGCAATCCCATTACTGGGTATATACCCAAATGAATATAAATTGTTCTACCATAAAGACACATTCATGCAGATGTTCATTGCAGCACTCTTCACAATCGCAAAGACATGGAATCGGCCCATCGATGATGGACTGGGCAAAGAAAATGTGGTACATACACACCATGGAATAATACACAGCCATAACAAGAATGAAATCATGTTATTTACAGCAACATGGATGGAGCTGGAGGCCATTACCCTAAGCGAATTAACACAGGAAAAGAAAACCAAGTACCACATGTTGTTACCTGTAAGTGGGAGCTAAACATCGAGTGCATATGGACACAAAGAAGAGAATAACATAGATACCAGGGTCTACTTGAGGGTAGAGGATAGGAAGAGGGTGAGGATTGAAAAACTACCTATTGAGTACTACGCTCATTACCTGGGTGACAAAATAATCTGTATAGTAAACCCCCAACACATGCAATTTACCCATGTAACAAACCTGTACATGCACCCCCTGAACCTAAAATAAAAGTTGGAAAGAAAAAAAAGTGACACAATAAGAAAGGAAAAGAAAATGCTGGTGGCTGGAATCTTCTGAAAGCTCTCTTAATACATCTGGCAGTTGATTCAGGCCTGTGGCTGAGACTTTAGCTGGAACATCTGCCACATGGCCTCTGCCTGTGGCCTGGGTATCCTCACAACATGGTAGCTGAGATCCAAAGGCAGGTGACTCAAGAGAAAGAGCCAGACAGAACTTTTTGCCTTTAAGACTTAGTCTCAGAAGTCACACAGCCTCACTTCTTACATATCCTACTTGTCACAGCAGTCCCAATAGCTCACCCAAATTCAAGGGGAAGGAAAAAAATTTCTACCTCTAAATGGGGTAGTAACTAGGTTCTGGAAGAGCATGTAAGACCAGAAATATTATTGTTGTCATCTTTGGAAAATGCAATCTTCTACAATATGACTTAAAAAAAGAAATACTCTTAGTTACTAAATTTAAACCAATGGAGCCTATTTTGTGAGAAGTAGCAAGTAAAATATCATTATCTTTACTATAGATTTGCATTTCTTGGTTATAGCCATATGAAGTCAAATCTCTTCTGAAATAAATTAGAATATTAACTTAACATCTGTTTCCAAAGACTTGATGGATTTTTAAATAAATAACCTGGAAACAAAAGATGGCTCTTACTGTTAAAAAAAATAAAAAGTTAATGAAATAAACAGAGAAGTGACAGTCATATAAAATGTTATTAGATAAATTCATAAAATAGATGTATGCATAGTAATTAGAGGTCAAATTCTTAATTATGAAAGTTAACAGGAAAACAGGGTTATAGACTTCATAGGGTTAATAAGCCTTAAAAATTTCAAAGGGAATCTTGAAATCAAAGTTAGATACTGGAATTAAAGAATATGAAGGGTTTTGTTTTTATTTTTGTTTTTTTATTTTGTTTTTTGAGATGGAGTCTCACTCTGCTGCCCAGGCCATAGTGCAGTGGCACAATCTCTGCTCACTGCAACCTCTGCCTCCCATGTTCAAGTGATTCTCCTGCCTCAGCCTCCAAGTAGCTGGGATTAGAGGCACATGCCACCACACCTGGCTAATTTTTGTATTTTTTGTGGAAACGGGATTTCACCATGTTGGCCAGGCTGGTCTTGAATTTCTGACCTCAAGTGACCTGCCCACCTCAGCTTCCCGAAGTGCTGGGATTACAGGCATGAGCTACCACGCCAGGCCAAGGATATGAAGTTTTCATATTATATTGTGGTAATGAAAGATGTTAACATTGGGGCAGACCGGGTGAAGGTGTACATGGGATCTTCCTGTGTATTTCCATGTAACTTCCTGTGAATCTGTAAATATTTCATAATTTAAAAACTTTTTGAAAAGTGAAAAAAATATAAAGTTTCAGATTTCATGAATTTAACAAAAGAAAAATAGTTTGCAATTGTTTCACTGCCTATTGTAGCAAAAAAAACCATTTTTGCTATCTAGATTTATATATTTAGTAGAAATAATGACACTTTACACATATACTCCCACACTCACAAAAACACCGCATCAAATCACAGAATATACAGGGAAAAATGCAGGATGTAGAGAAGATGTGGAGTTTGTTATTCCAAGAAACATTTGCTTCTGGTTGTTACTTTCTAAGTAAGGCCTGTTGGATACTATAAGCATTTTGCAAGTAGGCAAGGTATAGTATAGTAAATAAGTAAATTATTTTATTGGCATATTGCTTACAAATCTAAATTAAAAAAAAAAACAAAACAGAAAACTCAAGCTTGTAATAATGGGGAGTTGTGATACAGTCTAAGTGAATGTAGACCTTCACTCCAACTCCCGTCTGGAAAATCACCAGAGTTTAGAAGCATTTTCATAGTTAGAGAATTTTTTTTTCTTTTGTTGTCGTTGAGATGGAGTCTCGCTCTGTCCCCCAGGCTGGAGTGCAGTGGCACCATCTCGGCTCACTGCAAGCTCCGCCTCCCGGGGTCACGCCATTCTCCTGCCTCAGCCTCCCGAGTAGCTGCGACTACAGGCGCCCGCCACCATGCCCGGCTAATTATTTTGTGTTTTTAGTAGAGACGGGGTTTCACTGTGTTAGCCAGAATGGTCTCAATCTCCTGACCTTGTGATCCACCCGCCTCGGCCTCCCCAAGTGCTGGGATTACAGGTGCGAGCCACCGCGCCCAGGCAAGAATATTTTTATGATTTAAAATGCAGTAACGATGTCATTTCTTAGACTCAATTGTTTTCATGGATCTTGGTGAGTTCTTGCAAAGTGGCAATTGTGTTCACATTTCTGCCTAAAACCATGCACCCTAGGTTAGCAATGTGACTTCTTTAAAGCCCTGCATTAATTATACTTCTAATAAGATTCTTTCTATCGTTGAGCCACTTGCAACAGCAAGTTTTATTCTTTGTCAAGAACAAAAACACTTTATTAGCTGCAGTGATTGTAGCCTTCCTATCTGAAGCTCAAATTAATTTAAAGAAATGACAAAAAAATGCCTTCTTAACATATGAACAATTTTGATTGTCTGACAATAAAAGCTGGCATTTTATATGTGTATGTGTCTCTCAAGTTATTTTTAAATTACTAAAAATGCTATTTGCTTTAGACCCCAATCTATTTTCCATATATCTTTTGTTAGTGCTCAATCATGAAGTCAAATTGTGTCTCCATTTCCTGTTTGCTTTGAGGGTGATCTACTCTTCTTTAATCTAATCGGACTAAATGTGATTACACTCAGGGAAGCACAAATTCAAAGTTGGATTTTTCCACTAATTCTTGACAGCCAGATTTAGAGGAGTGTAAAATAATTTCCCCACTTCCTGTAGCTAATTTGAATAGGAAGGTCAAGAATCTGGCTATCTGTCCTTATACCTGCTGTGACTGAAAATATGACAAGGTTTTGAAAGCCTTTGTTCTGTGTGCCCCTGTGTCACTTGGAAAATACCTGTGTCTTTTTGGGGTAGCCTGCATCCCCTAGTAGTTAATTATTTAGTTACTTACCTCTGACAGATCTAACAAGGTAGGCCTTAGAAGTTAATCTGGTGGCAAAAGGAGTAGGTTTAGAAAGGAAAACACACCAAATTGCATAGGATTTGTCATCAAGAAATTTGAGTATAATGTACTCTTGGAAACTGAGTGATTGGAAGAAAAACCTAACACTGTCTAAATACATGGGAGTGTTGTAAACTGCATAGTAGGACTCAAAAACCAAGACTGTGCTATGTGCTAGTATTTCTGCTGTAAATGCCTAGTAATTCCTTATTCCCAATCTGTAGTTGGACCTTGAACACTGGCTCACGCAAAGCAAGTTCTATTGATTTTATTTATATCCTATAGATACAGAATGTGAATGCATACCAATAACTGCAAAAGCAAGCAGCTAACGCAGATTAGAGTTAACATTAGCAAAGAAAGATGGGTTGGTACTTATTTTTTTGAAAAAACACAGCAGGAACAATTTAATAGCTGACTGAATTGCTACCAGAAAGACATGCACAGGCACGTTTGCTGATTAGCCGAGGTCCACTTTGTTCTTATTTGGCAGATTATGCAATAGCCGTTTCCCAGAACATTACTAATAATGCTGCAAGAATTATAAGAGAAAGTTTGTTTACACTGAATATTTTAAAAGAGATTACAGTCACCTCAAGTTGCTAAGATAGAAAGTAATAATGTAGCATGCATTAAATGCCTATTACATTCCAGGCACTGTGCTATGTGTTTTGCATATACATTGTTCATTTAGCTTTCAAGCAACCCTGTGAGGTAGCTGTTAATAGTTTCCTCATTACAGTGATGATGAAACTGATGTTCTGATAGGCTGAGAAACTTGTTCAAGGTTGCATAGCTAGTAAGTTGTGGCAAATCTAGGCTGTTCTGACTGCAAAGATCATGTTTATTTATGTTGACTCCACAATCTTAAAATGGAACAACAGCCTATTGGATTACTGAACTGTAGTGAAATGCAATATAACTTCTCTTTTTCATGTTTTCAGCAGTTTGCATAAATAAATTGTTGAACAACTATTTTAAGATTCTAAAGCTGTGGTTTTTGAATTCTAGTTCGGATAAGAATGACATGAGGAGTGTGTTCCAATGCAGACCTCTAAGCCTTGTCTCAGAGAGTCTTGGGGCATCTAATGCAGAACCCAGGAAGCTCCATCTCTAGTGAGCATTGCATTCTGATGTCATTCGTCCATGAAACACATTTTGACAGATACAAATCTAGAGGCATGTAATTCAGCCCAGACCACTAAATAAAAGCTTCATTCAGAATTGTTCTGCTCAATGCAGTATGACATTAGGAAAAACTTTATCAGGTGTTGCTCCTTGAAATAGTCCTTTAGGGCATTTATTACATTCCCAGATTGAAGACCACCATCCTATACCACCGGAGTTAGAGAAAACCTCATCAACTGTACCCACCACCATCATGTGTCATTCAGGGATGGGATTATAGCTTAGATGGAAGAGTTCTTACATTTCATGTTTGGTACATTCATTCACATTTATTTTTCTTAAGAAAGCATAATTCCAATGGTTATTCTCTTAAAATAAGTACTTCCATGGTGGCTTAAAGAACCTAAAGCCACAGAAATGAAAAGCAAACAAAATTAAAAACAAACAAACAAAACAAAAAACAAACCAAAAACAGCTAAGAGTGAACTGACGTTTCAAGAGTCCTGCTCTATAAGGATTTGACTGAATGGTGCCTGTCCCAAGGATCTGAAAGTGTTAGTGTGCCTGAAAAAAACAGAAGTTAGATTATACATTGGGGAAAATTACTTTGATTACCTTAGTTACTTCAAATACCTTAATACTTTCATGCAAACATATAAAGTGTATATCCTTCAAGTGGGGTTTTCCATGGTTGAGAAACAACTACGGTATTTACTTAGCACCTATTATGCTCATCTCCTTTCCTTCCCTCAAAGCTTCATTTAGTCCAATTAATGAGATAAGATTTGGATTGATTACCAGACTGCTTAAGCTTAATCAACCAACAAAGACTGAAGAGAGTCATGAAAGAAGTGAGAGCAAGAGGAGGAAGGGCATCCCAGTCCTTGTTGTTCAATTACAGCAATTAACTGTCAGGTGCAGAAAGGAAAGGCAAGAACAAGAGCAAAGAGGAGGTAATTACACAGGGTTGAGCTTGGGGATGCCTTTGCAGAGGTGCAGACACGTTTCTGAGGCAACTCTCCAGATCTCATCTACGAAAACAACAAATATATATTATATATATTTCCTCTCTAAACCTACTCCTTTTGCCACCAAATTAACTTCTAAGGCCTATCTTGTTATATCTGCCATATATATATATATATATGTATATATTTATGTGTATATATATATGTGTGTATATATATACATATATATGTGTATATCCCATTATATATTCCATAACTGTAGATTTGGCCCATTTTCTCCATTCTCACCCCGTTATGAGGCTCAAATCATAGTTACAGCTGGGGACTTCATTTAATTTGTTTTTAAGAATCTGTAACTCATAAAGAGATGACTCAGAGCTTGGTTGAACATCTCTAATGTTTTTGCTTCCCCCAGCTCCCACAGCCCGTAAAGTTAAAATATGTTCTGTGCTTCCAACAGGTGAAGCAGAGCTTTGATGCTATTATGCTGTATCTAACAATGAACCTGTTTTGTTTCTTAGTCATAGAAGTTTGCTGTATATGATGCATACTCTTTTAGGATGGGTAGATGCTATTGTTACTGTTAGTTTGATCATTTTCTTCAAAGTTTTAAAAAATAATTAACCTAATTCTTGAGCATATGAATTAGAGTGTCAAGGTAACAGACTTTTATAGGGAAATCTTCAGAAAATGTAGGCAGAAAAGTTATGATTTATGAGAGTCCCAATATTACATTCTTGACATTTCTTGAAGATAGGTTCTAAATCTTCTTGAACATTTTTTCCTGTTTTCAAAATTAGAGAATGGTAAGTTGGGGTCATCTGAGGAAAGAAGAGTTGTGAGCAATGGAATCCAACCTGCTTTTTCATCACTTCTCTTCAGTTTCAGTTAAAAATGTCAGCCTTGGAAACCATCATTCTCAGCAAACTACCGCAAGGACAAAAAACCAAACACCGCATGTTCTCACTCATAGGTGGGAATTGAACAATGAGAACACATGGACACAGGAAGGGGACCATAACACACCAGGGCCTGTTGTGGGGTGGGGGGAGGGGGGGGGATAGCATTAGGAGATATACCTAATGCTAAATGACGAGTTAATGGGTGCAGCACACCAACATGGCACATGTATACATATGTAACAAACCTGCACGTTGTGCACATGTACCCTAAAACTTAAAGTATAATAATAATAAAATTTAAAAAAAAATCAGCCTCCTCTATAGAGACCTCAAGTAGGTAATGCCCAGAGGGGAGTCTCCACCTCTAAGTGCCTCGCCCTTAGAAAAGTATTCCTTTCTCTTTCTTTACCTTTAATTTTTCATTGCCTGAGGATATTCAACAAGGTGTTATCTAATTCGAGCAGTTGACAATGAGGTGTGAATGTCAAATAGACATTCCCAGAAGGAATCCTTCCCAGAAGGTGTTTACATTCCTAAAATGTTTATTAGACCAAAGGCAACTCCCTCTTTCAGAATTTGTGGCTGATTTGTTTTTGTATGCTCTGTTGGCTTTTCCTGCCTTCCCTCATAAACTAAATGACCCAGAAAACATCAACACACATCATTCACACACAACACCCATGAACAAATACCATGGAATAACTTTTATTCCACAGCTTTTGGCATTACACCAATTCATTCCCCTTACCTCCGCTCTCTCTCCTTTTTAAGTTACTCTTCATCCCTAGCGAAAGTGAGTTGCCCTTCAGGAAAGACTTTTTCTGGAACGAATCTTTCCAACTGCAGAGGAGCTTTTGAGTATCTGGCAACGATGAGTAGTATTACTGACATTCTGGTTTTGTGACGTTGGGCGGGTCATAGACTCTGGAGCTGTTTCCTAATCCATAAAAAGTGCTCTTATTCTAGAAATCTATTATTCTGGGAGTCCCCTTATTCTGTTTATTGGCTTTGAAGCTCTTCCAATCCAAACAATTTCTCCCATAAGTCATAGGAAATGAGCACTTTTACAAAAAGCAAGACATTGAGGACTGAAGTGAGTCATTCTAACAGCTAATTAGATTGTTGTGCATTTTGGATACATGTAATTAATGGACCCTCCTTTAAGAATAGTGAGAAGAACTGAATTGGCAAAATGGACAAAAATAGAACATACTTTGGTTTGTAAAAGTTTGAATTTACGTAAGATGGTAGTAACATTACCTCAATTGTTACACTTCATTACAGTAAAATGCTAAGTATTATATTATGCAATGACAATAGAAATATCACTCAGACACCTCAGAAGTGTCATTAAAGATGTAGGCATTATGCAAAAATATATTTGATTTCTACTTGCCTTTTCAAATGCTTCAGGCAAAAGGTCAGTCCAAGATTGCGGTGATAAAGCTGCCCCCACCCCAACCCCTTCTTTAATTCAGGAAGTGACTAGAGTTTTGTTATTGTAATTACAAATATGATAATTTCCTGGCAAGGAAATTTTTAAAAACTGTGATGATGCACAAACTAGCATTGAAAAATTTAAAAAATGCATTGAAAATAACAAGTTAGTTGCATATAGCAAGTAAGTAGAAAATGATTAAAAACTAAATTTAGTTACATGTTACTCTTTCCTTTTTAAATTATTTAAGAAAATACACTAAAATGTTAATCTTTTCTCTGCCAGGGAAAATGCCTCTTTCGTCACAGTAATTGACCCAATACAGATACAGCCATAATAAAACAATTTTGTTTCCTGAGACCCATTTTCTTTCTCTTTGTGGGTACTTTACAGTCACGGATTTTGGGTTAAATCACACCATTTTATTAGTGACAAGAAGTTAATTTGCATGCTTTCTTCCTTCCTTTTTTTTAGGGTAAAAAGTATACACATATAGAAATTAAATATAAATCCTCCCCCTTCATCATGCAGCTGTCATGAAATGCCTCTGAAGGATTGTAGGTGTGTAGCTCTAAATTTCGTGGTGCTACAGGATTCATATACATGTATTCTCCATTCCTTCAGAAATTGCTGGCATTTTTTGTTTGTTTGTTTCTGCACATTGAATTTTTCTTTCTTCCCTTGATTTTCCTTTTCTGAAGACCTAGAGTCAACACAAGTGCCAGTTCTCAGCTAGAGATCATTGCCAAGGCTGTTATTTTAAAAGCAAGCCTAGTAATCAGTACTTTGCTTCCTGTTCTTAAGCAATCTCAGAAGACAAACCAAGTAGGGGTCATTTCTATTCCATTGGGTTAAAAGAAACCTCAGAATGGAACACATTGTAAGGTAATGTTTACAGGTTAAATTTATTGAAACTAAGTAACTGAGATAGAAAGTTGTCAATTGAAAAATATCTCTGTATTACTGTGTAGGTCAAAAAAGACCAGAGTAAACATCAAATTAAATAAGCAGCTTGATTTCTGAGCAAAGTCCCTTCCCTTCTTGCTTTCTGAGCAATGGGATGAATCCCCCTTTGTGCATCCCTTTCTGAGACTGGGCAGGGCAGTCTCGTGAATTCCTCCGCATCTGGCTGCCTTTAGGAGAGAGCTCCTAGATAGATGCTTACCTTACTTATTGCTGTGAGTAGGAGTTTTTTTGTTTGCTTGTTTGTCTTTCTCTTTAGTGAGGTACACTACAAAAGAAAGACTTCTTACCATGATAGTAAGGACTGAACCTTCCTAGATAGCTCCCTTTATTAATTTGTAGAAGGAAGGGGATACCATTGTTTTGATTGCCTCTGATTAAGGGAACAGCTGTTAGTAATCTGCAAGACCCGCTTCCTGGTGGGAATAGGTGCAGCACACCACCCATCCCGAAGTTTGTTGGGATGAAGGACTAAAATAACCCAGTGCTGAGACTGGAGATCCAACGTGGCCTCAGCAAGTCCAGCCTCTAGTGCTGGCAAGGCTGCACCTCCCCAAAAGGGTCAAGTTGACCACGTTGGCCTTTAACAAGCAACCTTTTTGTTTTTCGGAGATCTCACTGACTACCCCATCTACCTGACCCAAAAGGTATGCTAATTCCCTGGCTATCCTGTTCACAGGAGAGAATCTAAATATTATACACAGAGAAGGAAGAGTATGAGTTTTATATATGATATAGTAATGGTTTTATAGGCAGAGATTCAAAAGATTTTTCTGAAAGCGTAATATTTTGATGTGTTCGGGACAATCAAATACCTACATAATATAGAGGAAATAAACTGTTTTAACTTTTATATAGCTTGGTGCTGAGAAAGAACATAGGAGCAACAGAAAATGGAAGATTGTGTTTTTTATTTTGCTGTGATTTCATAATGATCTATTTAGTTATTATTAACATGGAAATAATTGAAGAATTCAGCAGAGTTGTCACACAGGGTCTAGACAACACGAAATAATTGCTAGACTTATGCTTTTTGTTTTTAAATTATTTCAGAAACTAAATTGTAAACTAAATTGCAGGTCAGTCTATTCAGTAGACTGAAATAACTAAGAACACATCTTAATGACAGGCTAAGATCGTATTCAGATCACCTGTAATTTAATAAAGGTGTATTTATTTTATGAAAGTATGGCCTCAAGACTTGTTTCTACAGCTATTTTACTAGCATCAAAAATCAAACAAACATATCTTTACCATCAAAGAGAGGTGGTTTATATACCCAAATTGTTTTAGGCAGAGTGCAAGAATTCACACTTCTAGGGCCATCTCCAAGAAGATCTCTGAATTAATTATACGTGTGGCTCTCCACTGGCAGAGTATTTGAGAGTATTTTGGATGCAGCTTGTGTATATTCTTTTTTCTTCCTCCATTTCTTCTCATCATCCCTAAAGCTGCTTATGACCCATTTTTTCTATTCTACTACAGATATGCAAATCTAGTTGTCATTTCTCACAGTGTAATTATTGATTATCTTTACTTTTAAATCTTTAAAATATGGTCTTTTCTCTTCTTTATTAAACTTACTTAAAAAAATCTAAATTTAACAATGGGCTAAGCTATATAAGCACTGATACATATGCTTTTCAAACATAAACTTCTGTTATCCTACCAACAACCTTATGAGGCAAGTGCCATCATTACCTCCATTTCACAGATGAGGAAACTGAAAGGAGAATCTAGATAACTTGCCCATAAGGTGATGATTAAACTAAACCCAGGAAATTGGATGCATGCTGGGAACCACTGCACCACAAAATTTTCTACAGCTTATGATCCATACAGTGATCCCAAAATTTGATTGTGCATAAGAATCACCTGGGTATCTTGTTAAAGCCGATTGCTGATCTGCTTCTGTAGGTCAGGATTGGAGCCAGGAATTTACATTTCTAACAAGTTCCCAGGTGGTGCTGATGCTGCTGCTCTGGGCACTTTAAGGACCACTGATGTATGATAATACTGAGACTAGGAGCAATAAAGAACTAATTCATTAATGTTACTTAATCTTCATTATAAGAGTTAAAAATACTGGCTTTCAAAAATGGCAACTTATTACAGCTCAAAATCTCTTTCTTTTTGTTTAAAAGTTACCCCTGGATATTATGCTTATCTCATTGTTTTTTAAATTGAATAATGTAAAACTTTATTTCATATGTTTTAAAGACCATTTTGTGAATTGCTGGTCCATATCTTTGCTTACAAATGTAATGGGACTGAAAATTTTTCTCATTGATTTTATTTAAAATTCTAAGCCAGGTGCAGTGGCAAGAGCCTGTAGTTCTAGCTACTCAGGAGTCTGAGACAGGAGGATCCCTGAGACGAGGAGTTGGAGGCTGCAGTGTGCTGATTGCACCCATGAATAGCCACTGCACTCTATTTTGGGTACATAGAGAGACCCTGTCTCTAAATGTAAATAAATAGGCCAGGTGCAGTGGCTCATGCCTGTAATCCCAGCACTTCGGGAGCACAAAGCAGGTGGATCAACTGAGGTCAGGAGTGCAAGACCACTCTAGCCAAGATGGTGAAACCCCATCTCTACTAAAAATACAAAAATTAGCCGAGTGTGGTGGTACGCATTTGTAGTCCCAGCTACTTGGGAGGCTGAGGCACAAGAATTACTTGGACCCAGGAGGTAGAGGTTGCAGTGAGCCGAGATCTCGCCACTGTACTTCAGCCAGCTTGAGCAAAAGAGCGAGAGATGCTATCTCAAAAAAAAAAAAAAAAAAAAAAAAAGAATAAAATAAAATAAAAATTTAACTCATATTTTTAGCACATATTTTCCCACTATACTCTTTGCCTTTATGTTTATAATATGTTGGATATGTATTTTTGATTTTTATGCAATGAAACCTATTCCTCTTTAGTTATTTTTAGGCCTAAAATGTCTGTCTTCATTATTAAGCATATTTACTATATTTTCAGGTAGTTGTTATAGTTTATTTTAATTCCCTAAACCATTTGGTATTTATTTTGGTGTAAAGAGAGGTTCTCAATGATTTTTTTTTCTATTTTCATTTGCCCTCTAGTTTTCCCTAAACTATTCATCAAATGATCTTTCTCATTTTGTCTAGATAGACACAAGTCTCTTTCTGGACTGTGTATTTCATTGCATTCTATGGTGTGTTCTTTCTCTGTTACCACATTGCTTTAATTAATGCACCTTTTACATTTTATTTTTAATATTTGATAGGACAAGCAATGTGTTCCCTTCCCTTGTTACTTTTCCTTTTCATATCTGAGATTTTCTACATGAGGAAGTCAGACCGCCCTCCTTTTCTCCAGAAAGCACCCAGGAAGCTATTTTTTGACAATAAAGATTACTTTTTTTTCTTGGATTTTGCACAAAAATCTGTAAGTGCAAAGTTACTGCTATAATAACTAGTTAGCATTGGAATAGAAGGAGAGTTTCAGGCTGGAGACATCATGGCAGTTGAAAAAATACTCTGTTCTTCTTTTATTCTTCTCTGTTGCCTTTGCTTCAGCAGATGGTAGAAGGACTCAGTGGTAATAATGGAGACAAAAAAATCAATAGAAGCATCCAAATTATCTGTTATATATACTTCACTATAGGCTAATTACGATCTTTACTATTAAAGAAACATGTAAGCACTGTGTAGGTTAGGAAAACAAAATAACGTACAGTTTTATATTATAATGGGAAAAAAATCTTTTTCATTGGCTGAGTTATTAACAGAATGATTAAAATGGTTATGCTTAGCATTCATCCATCTACAAATGAATGGATGAAGAAATTGTGGCATATATATAATGGAATATTATTCAGCTTTTAAAAAGAAGGAGGTCCTGCGACTTTTGACAACATAGATGAACCTAGAAGACTTGCGCTAAGTGAAAAATACTGCATGACACTTAAACAGTAAATCTAAAAAAAGGCAAATGCATAGAAACAGAGAGTGAAACAGCAGTTAACAGGTGCAGAGGGATGGAGCAGTTTAGGGAGATGGGGGACAAAGGGTATACAGTTGCCACACACGCATACACACACACACACACACACACACACACACACACACACAGTATGTGAAGAGATGAATATGTTAGTTTTCTTGGCCGTAGTAATTATTTCACTATGTGTATCAAAACATCATGTAATACAACTTAAATATATACAATAACAAGTTAATGTTTAAAATCATATGTTGAAAAACAAAAGATGCTTGGCAGTGCCACAAAAAAAGTGTTTGTGGATTGTTATTCTACCCGAGATTAGGCCCTTAAATAATGGAAGTCACTCTTACAACTGCGGTTGTTTGTGAAATTAATATTTGAGTCAGGCCAAGCTCTAGGTGGAGTAATCCTATAAAGACACCTTGCTGAAAATGCATCTGTGGTTTCTCTTCCTGCCTGATGTCCATTTGGCATCCACACTCTGTTGATAATCCCACTAAGCCTTATCCTACAGCACCGTGAATTTAAGATTTTGTGCCAAAAATGCTCTTTTAACCATGCTTTTAATTTAATTTGAAAGGTGGTGGATTGGACTCAAATTGCCTCTGAACCTATATTTTGCTGCTCTTGGATCTTCCTGTGTCCCCTCTGCACCTCCTTCCTCTCACACTTCTTAATAGCTGCTATTTTTTTTTAATGTGGATTTTTTTTCTCAAAGCTGGTATTGTTTCTTCCTGAAAAGAAACAACATTGCCCTTGACACTGCAAAACGAAAATACAAAGAAAGGTCATGCTAGTTGCTCGCTTCAGCTTGAGAAGCGAGAACATGTTTTTCTCAAACCTGCCAGCATCTCTGTGTTACCTTGCGTCATCCCTTGTTCCTTCACTCTTATCTCAGTGGGCTGTGATGCTTAACCTTGGTTTTTCACACACACCCCAGGTTCAACACTGGAGGGGTAAGGAGCTAGAAGCTGCTACATTTGCTTGGTTCTTCTTCCCCTGTTTTTCCCTATACACAGCTGTAGTGCTGTGGAAGAAAAAAATAATTTTTCAAGGATGTAAAGGAACTAAGTTTACAAGGACATTAGGTTTAGGTTTTGTATCTTATTTTTCTCCTTGCCCCTGTGCCCTCTGCTCCCATCACCCATGTATGTAGTCAGTGCTTTGCACATAATTTGTGTGCAGTAAATGTTTCTTGAGTCATTTAAGAAGACTGGTCCTCATTTAAGGCTACAAACGATGTTTATTCTAACTTTTAAACCCCACAGTTCCTCCCCCTTAGTTGGCACTGAGTAGCTGGATTTCCAAATGGAAATAAGGCTTAAGTGAGAAATTGAAAAGGACAAGAAATCCTATTTGTAAAACAACTGAAAACCATCTCCCTCTTATTTTTTCAGTTTTTTAGAAATATGCCCTTCCTTAGAGCCTCCTTTTTTTTTTTTTTAAACTTCAGCAGGGAACTTGTCTGAATAAGGGAAGATTTTAAAGCGAAGTAAAGTTTAGCAACCTTTGACCCTTTTCTGGGTCTTGAGTGAATACCAAATGAGAATTTCAAGAATTATAAGGTTGAAGATTTAATGTTGAATATATGGGTATTGGGTCGTCAGACACTTAGCACGTAATAGAGGGTAAATAGCAGTGCCAGTAAATGCCAAAGAGTATTAATAAGTCCATACTTTTCCCTGACTTTAAATTGCTGCATATGCCATACTGGAGGACAAATCTGCTAGCCCTTAGGAATGAATACTAGGTTGTGGGCCCAGCTTTTAAGGATTCAGGATTACTTTATTCCCAGTAATTAACTAACTTAATTGGCCTGAACATGTCAAGATAAATTGAAACCAATGATTTGGATTTGCTCAGTAAATATACCTTTGAATGTCTAAATTCCACAAGAGGCCCTCTTTCTTAGTGTTGAAGCTAGTGGAGGCAAAAGGAACCACATAAATTAATGATCAGGTTTCTCCTGGCTTCTAGAAACTTCTTCGCTTCCCTGTCTTTATTAAATACATATTCTAATAATAAAAGAAAGCAATGGTCTGTTCTATTCCCTTAAGAGAAGTTAATTGCTGCTATCATGTTTAAATCAATAAGAGTAAAAACAAGTATAACAAGTAACTAACATTTATTGATGAATGAATACTATGTGATAAGTGTTGGACACAGCATTTACATAAAATATCTAACTTAATATTTACAGTGATTCTAGGAGGTTTTCATTATTATTTTTGTCTCTAGTTTACATATGGCTAAATGAAGCTATAAAGTGGCTAAGTCACCTTTTGAAATTCTCGCAGTAAATGATGATGCTGGGATCCCGAGTCGGATCTGTTGCACTCCTAGACCCCAAAGTCTGTTGAGGAAATTCATATTTCTTTTGGCCTCTACTGAAGAGTGAGTTTGATTTTTTTTTCCCTAGAAATCATGAGAATAGTTAACATTTTTTATAAGCAAACTTTTGGGGGTTAACAAATTTGATGTTATAATAAACGTTCCTGTCCAGGCACGGTGGCTCACGCCTGTAATCCTAGCATTTTTGGAGGCCAAGGTGGGCAGATCACTTGAGTTCAGGAGCTCAAGACCAGCCTAGGCAACATGGCAAAACCCCGTCTCTACAAAAAATACAAAAATTAGCCAGGTGTGGTGGCATGCCCCTGTAGTCCCAGCTACTTGGGAGGCTGAGGCAGGAAGATTGCTGGAGCCCAGGAGGTTGAGGCTATAGTGAGCCGAGAGCATGCCACTGCGCTCCTGTCTGGGTGACAGAGTGAGACCCTGTCTCAAACCAAAACCAAACCACAACAAACAAAAAACAAACATTTCTTACTCTAAATGAGTCAGAAAAATGAAAACATTTTCACCAGTGATTTTGTTTGTGGTGGTGTTTTAATAGGCATGAGTAGGCTACAACTGATTCGTGTTTTTCCTTGAAATCCCAGGCCAAGAAATTATTTGATTCTAGACCTGGAGAGTCTCACACATCTGTAAACATTTCTTGCTTAAAAATCTAGTCTTTGATTGTCTTACGCAGTATAAAATGGAATTTAAAAAATATTCTTTGTACATTCTTACACCTATATTTGTTTGTCTTTTGTAAGGCTCTTTCTTTAACTGATATTTTATGTGCTTAAGTAATGTCAAACCTCTCCAATATTGTTTGCAAGTTTCAAAAAAATGGTGTGATTCTCTTGGCAACTTGCTATGTGTATTTCTAGTATGGCAATTATAATTTGTAATGAGTGTTTTGCAATATTAGATATTTGGGAAAAATTCCAGAAAGTTCAAAGAACAAATCAGAAATAAACAAGATTATATCTTGTGTAAAAATACAAGAAATTAAATGCCTATGTAATAGTGATCTAAAAAATGTCCATTTAATTTCTTCTCCCAAATTCTAGAATTAAATTTCAAAAGTAACAATTCTGGAAGTTTTTGTAAGTTGGACGATTTTTTTCCAACAAAAATCCCTTAGAAGTTATTAAGATTTTTAAAATTTTTTCCAGCTTTATTGAGATGACATAAAAATCATGTCAATATATCTTTTCAAGGTGTGCAATGTGATGAGTTGATATATTTCTCATTGTGAAACAATTACCACAATCAACACTAGGATTTTAATAAGATAAAATGCCTAATTTTCTAAATATCGAATGAAAAATGTCTCTTTTTTTTCACCAAAAGTGCATCTGAAGCACTTTTTATAAATCGATATGAGCACTGTCTTTGTAGACACGCTGGCACTGGGGAGCGGTGCATTTGGCTAGTAAGCAGGGGGTAAGGATGAAGAATGAGGGAAGAATAGTATGCTTTTATAGAGATGTTGCTATAGTGATAATATCAGGAGAATGCTGCTAGGAGAGTTGGAAGTTCCCTTGGTGAAAGCTGTGTTTGGTTTAGATACGACTGAATTAGGATAATTTACCAAAATCAGTAAAATAGGTGAGATATGATAAAAACAATCTACAAGACTCCGGGTATGATAAAAGGTACTATTTTGTTATTGTTGTCTCTATGTGTGTTTCTCCGTCTCTTTCTCTTTCTGTGTGTGTGTGTGTGTGTGTGTACTCTTTTTCCTCTATTATAATTTGAGTTGAAATACTTCGTACCAAAAGATGAATGTGTGGAGTAGACTTTAAAAGAACTCTAAAAGTTTAAAATCTTTTCTTCCTATTGTATCTGAACCTAAAACTAGTGGAAGTGAAATGAATAATACTGATTTACATTCATCATTTTGGAAAACCTAAAACCAGCATTTATAGTGAAAGCCTGAATAGTGAAAATTTAGATGATTGATATTTAGAGTTTTTTAAAAAAATATATACTTTAAGTCCTGGGATACAAGTGCAGAACGTGCAGGTTTGTTACATAGGTATACATGTGCCATGGTGGTTTGCTGCACCCATCAACCCATCATCTACATTAGGTATTTCTCCTAATGCTATCCCTCTTATCCATTTGTCTGTCAATAGACAGGTTGATTCCACATCTTAGCTGTTGTGAATAGTGTGCAGGGCATATGGTGGTGCAGATGTCTCAGTGATATACTGATTTCATTTCCTTTGGATATATACTCAGTAGTGGGACTATTGGATCATATGGTACTTCTATTTTTAATTTTTTTGAGAAATCTTCATACTGTTTTCCATAATGTCTGTAATAATTTACATTCTCACCAACAATGTCCAAGGGTTCCCTTTTCTCCACATCCTCACCAACACTTGTTATCTTTTGCTATTTTGATAATATACATCCTAATGCATGAGGTGATGTCTCATGGTTGTTTGAACTTGCTTTCCCTGATGTTTTGTGATGTCGAGCATTTTTTCTTGTAATTGGCCATTCGTATGTATTCTTTTGAGAAATGTCTAGTCAGGTCCTTTGCCCGTTTTCTTTGTTTGTTTTTCTGCTATTTAGTTTTTGAGTTTCTAACATATTTTGCATATTAATCCCTTATCAATTGTGTGGTTTGCAAATATTTTCTCCACTCCCTAGGTTGTCTCTTCCCTCTGTTGATGTTCCCTTTGCTGTGCAGAAGCTTTTTAGTTTGGTGCAATTCTATTTGCCTCTTTTTGCTTTGTTGGCTGTGCTTATAAGGTCATATCCAGAAAATCATTGTCTAGTCCAATATCAAGAAGCTATTTTGCCCATGTTTTCTTCTAGTACATTTATGATTTCAGGACTTACGTTTAAATCTTTAATCTGTCTTGAGTTGATTTGTGTGTATGTTGTAAAATAAGGATCCAGTTTCACTTATTTGCATGTGGATAGCCAGTTTTCCTAACACCATTTCCTGAAGGGACAGTCTTTCTCCATTGTGTATTCTTGATGCCTTTTTCAAAGATTAATTGACTGAATATTATATATGGGTTTATTTCTGTGCTTTCTGTTCCAATCCATGTATTGTTTTTTTATGCCAGTACCATGCAGTTTTGATCACTATAGCTATATAATATAATTTAAAATCAGGAAATATGCCTCCAGCTTTGTTCTTTTTCCTTAAAATTGCTTCATGGTCTTTGATGGTTCCATACAATTTTTAGGACTTTTTTTTCTATTTCTATTAAAAATGCCGTTGGAATTTTGATAGGAGTTACATTGAATCTGTAGATCATTTAAGGTAATATGAACATTTTGACAATATTGATTCTTGTGATCCATAAAAGGAAATATCTTTCCATGTATTTGCCTTGTCAGTTTTTTGCATCAATGCTTTATTGTTTCATTATACAGATCTTTTATCTCCTTGGTTAAATTTACTCCTAAGTATTTTATTCTTTTTTATGCTATTGTGAATAGAATATTTTTAAAATTTATTTTTTGAAAAAAATGTCTTTTTGGATAGTTCATTGTTTATGTATAGACATGCAACTGAATTTTGTTTGTTAATTTTGTACCTTATAACTTAACTAAATTTATCAGTTATAACCATTTTTTTGGTGGAGTCTAGGGTTTACTCTATTTGAGATAATGTCATCTGCAAACAAAAGTCTATGTATTCCTTTCTGATTTTGATGCCTTTTATTGCTTTTGCTTGCTTAATTGATTTGGGTAGGAATTTCAGTGTTATGTTGAATAGAACATAGCACTCTGTGAGAGTGGGCAGCCTTGTCTTTTCACTGATCTTGGAGGAAAAATGTTCAACATTTTACCATTCACTATACTATTAGTTGTAGGCTTTTCTTATGTGGTCTTTATTGTGTTGAGATACATTCCTCCTGTACCTAATTTTTTGAGTTTTTAATCATAAAATTATGTTGAGTTTTGTCAGATGCTTTTCATGCATCTATTGAGATGATCATACGACTTTTATCTTTCATTCTATTATTATGGTATATCACATTGATTAATTTGCATATAGTGAACCATTCTTGAATCTCAGGTATAAATCCCATCGACCATGGTCATGTTGAATTTGGTTTGCTAGTGTTTCATTGAGAATTTTCATGTCTATGTTTATCAGGGATATTGGCTTGTAATTTTCTTTTCTTGTATTCTTATCTGGCTTTAGTATGAGAGTAATGCTGGCCTTATAAAATGAGTGTGGAAGTGGTTCATTCTCATTAATTTTTTAAACAGTTTGGGAAAGATTGGTATTAGTTTTTCTTTAAATGTTTGATGGAATTCACACATAAAACCATCAGGTCCTGGGATTTTCTTTGTTGAAAGATTTTTTCTTACTACTTCAATCTCCTTCCTCATTATTGGCCTGCTCAGATTTTCTATTTCTTCTTCTTCTTTTATTTTTCTTTTTGAGATGGAGTCTCGCTCTGTCACACAGGCGGGAGTGCAATGGCACCATCTCAGCTCACTGCAACTTCTGCCTCCCAGGTTTAAGCGATTCTCCCACCTCAGCCTCCCGAGTAGCTGGGACTATAGGTGCATGCCACCACACCCAGCTAATTTATTTATTTATTTTTTGTATTTTTGATAGAGATGGGGTTTCACCATGTTGTTCAGGCTGGTCTTGAACTCCTGACCTCAAGTGATCTGCCCACCTCGGCCTCCCACAGTGCTGGGATTTCGGGTGTGAGCCACCATGCCCAGCCTTCTATTTCTTCTTGATTCAGTTTTGGTAGATTGTACGTGTCTGGAATTTATCCATTTCTTCTAGATTATCCAATTTGTTGATATACAATTGTTCATATATTCTCTTATGATCCCTTATATTTCTGTAGTATCAGTTGTAATATCTCTTATTTTATTTATTTGAATCTCCTCTCTTTTCTTTAGTCTAGCTAAAAGTTTGTAATTGTGTTTATCTTTTCAAAAACCAACTCTTAGTTTCATTGATTGTTTTCTCTTGTTTTCTAGTCTTGATTCCATTTATTTCTGCCCTGATCTTTGTTATTTCCTTCCTTCTCCTAAGTTTGGGCTTAGTCTTTCTCTTTTTGCTAGCTCCTTGAGGTATAAAATTAGGTTGCTTAAAATCTTTCTTTTTTTAAAAATGTAGGCATTTATTACTATAAACCATCCTCTTAGAACTTATTTTGTTGCATCTCCTAAGTTTTTGTAGGTAGTATTTCCATTTTCATTCATCTCAAGATATTTTTTGGTTTCCCTTTTATTTTTTGGCCCATTGATTGTTCAATGAATTGTTTAATTTCCACATATTTGAGAATTTTCAAATTTTCTTCATATTACTGATCTCTTGTTTTATGTTTTTTTGTGGTCAGAAAAGAGAAGACATGATTTCAACTTTCTTAAATATGATAAGAGGCCAGACAGCAATAGCTCATGCCTGTAATCACAGCATTTTAGGAGGCTGAGGTGGGAGGATTGCTTGAGGTAAGGAGTTCTAGACCAGCCTGGGCAACACAGTGAGACCCTGTCTCTACAAAAAAATTTTAAAACATTAGCTGGGCATTGTGGCACTCAGCTGTAATCCCAGCAGCTACTCAGGAGGCTGAGGTGGGAGGATTGCTTGAGCCCAGGAGTTCTAGGCTACAGTGAGTGCCACTGCACACTAGCCCAAGCAACAGTGAGTGCCACTGCACTCTAGCCCAGGCAACAGTGAGTGCCACTGCACTCTAGCCCAGGCAACAGTGAGTGCCACTGCACTCTAGCCCAGGCAACAGATGCGACCCTCTCTCTAAAAATAAATAAATAAATAAATAAATAAATAAATAAATAAATAAATAAAAATTAAATATGTTAAGACTTGTTTTGTGGTCTAATATATTAATATATTATCTATCCTGGAGAATTGTCTGTGTGCACTTGAAAATAATGTGTATTCTGCTGTTGCTGGATGGAATATTCTATATACATCTGTTACATTGTTTAGGTTTATAGTGTTCTTCAAATGTATTGTTTCCTTGTTGAGTTTCTGTCAGGATGATCTATCCATTGTCAAACGTGAAGTACTGAAATCTGCTACTATTAATCATATTGCTGTTTATTTCCTTCGATTCTGTTAGCATTCATTTTATATATTTAGGTGCTCCGATGTTGGGTAAATATATACTTACATTATTATGTGCTCTTGATGAATTGATCCTTTTGTCATTATATAATGATCTTCTTTGTCTCTTTTGACAGTGTTTGACTTAAAATCTACATTGTGCGATATAAGGATAGCCATCCTTGTTCTCCTTTGGTTACCATTTACATGGAATTTCTTAATCCATAACTTTACTTTCAGACTATGTGCTTCCTTAAAGCTAAAGTGAATCTCTTGTAGGCAGCATATAGTTTGATCTTATACTTTTTAATCCATTTGGCCACTCTTTGTCTTTTGATTAAAGAATTTAGTCTATTTACTTTTAAGATAATTATTGGTAGGCAAGGACCCAGTACTGACAAACTGTTGTTTTCTATTTTGGAGTTACTTTATTCCGTTCTTCCTCTCTTGCCATCCTCTTGTGATCTGATGATTTTTTTTGTGGTGGTATGTTTTAATTCCTTTATCTTTATGTATCTACTTACAGATTTTTTCTTTGTGGTAACATGAGGCTTACATGAAACCTCTTATAGTTATAATAGTCTGCTTTAAGCTGGTAACAATTTAACTTTGACTGCAAACAAAAACTACACTTTAACTTCTCCTCTCCCCATGTTTTATATTATTAATGTCACAATTTACATCTTTTTATATTGTGTACCCATTAACAAATTGTTGTAGCTTTAGTTGTCTTTAATACTTTTGTCTTTTAACTTTTATATCAAAGTGACTTGTATGGCACCATTACAGTATTAGGATATTGTGAATTTGACTATATGTTACCTTTACAATGAGATTTTACTTTCATATATTTTCATTTTGTTAATTAGCTTTCTTTTATTTTAACTCAAAGAACTCTAACATTAATTTTTTGTAAGGTAGTTCTAGTAGGGACTAACATCCACAGTTTTTGTTTATCTAGGAAGGTCTTTATCACTCCTTCATTTCTTAAAGACAGCTTTTCTGGATATAGTATTATTGGTTGACAGTATTTTTCCCCCACCAGCACTTTGATTATATTATCCCACTTTCTCCTGGCCTGCAAGTCTCTACTGAGAAAACTGCTTGTAATCTTACGGAGTTTCCCTTATACATAACAAATCACTTTTCTCTAGTTGCTTTCAAAATTTTTTGTCTTTGACTTTTGAAAATTTGATTATAATGTATCTTGGTGAAGATCTCTTTATGTTTAATCTTTTTAGGGCTCTTGGTATTCATGGATATTAATGTTTATTTCCCAGTCTAGATTTGGGAAGTTTTCTAACATTATTTTTTTTAAACAAGCTTTCTTCTTCTTTCTCCATCTCTGCTTCCTCTGAAACTCACATAATATGTATATTGATTAGCTTCATGGTGTTTCATATGTTCCATAGGCTTTCTTCTCCCCTTTTCATCCTTTTTTTCCATTCTTGATCCTCTGACTGAATAATGTCAAGCCTGTCTTCAAGCTTTCTGATTCTTTCTTCTATTTGATTGAACCTACTGTCGAAGCTGTCTATGCAATTTTTTTCAGTTCAGTTATTGTGTTCGTCAGCTCCAGAATTTTTGTTTTGTTCTTTTGTATGGTTTCTGTCTCTCTGTTGAACTTCTGATTTTTTTCAGGTGTTGTTTCCTGATTTGGGTTAGCTGCCTTTCTGTGTTCTCCTTTAGCTCACTTAGCTTCTTTGTTAGAAGATTATGTTAAATTATTTCTCAAGCAGTTCATAGATATCCATTTCTTTAAAGTCAGTTACTAGTATTTTACTTGCCCCTTTGGTAGTGTCATATTTCTCTGATATTTGGTTTGTTGTGGCCTTGAGCTGGTGCCTATGCATTTGAAGACATAGGCACATTTGCCAGTCTTCAGACTGGCCTTAGCAGGGAAAGCCCTTCATCAGTCAGCCTGACCAAGGATTCTGAAAAGGTCAGCTGGAAGGGTTCATGGATAGGCATGCTGCTGAAATCCTTGGGAGGACTGGCCTGATGTTTTCGTCAGGGGACAGATGGTCCTCTCATCATCTTAGCTTATAGGGGCTGAGTTGATATTTTGGACCATGGGAGTAAAGCTGGGACTATGGTCCATTGTGGTGGGCCTGGAGACTGGGTCTGTGGAGGATGGCCTAAAACCTGAGTCCACAGAAAACAGTCAGGCAGTGGGGTGGGCTTTTGGTCTGAGTTCATGGGGGTCATCCTGTACTGGAGTTGGTCTGGCACTTGGGTCTGTGAGGGCAGTCCTGAAACACAGATCTGCATGGGCAGGCCCAAATCCTCGGTCTGAAGGGGCCAACTTGACACTAGAGTTCACTGGGGCAAGTGCTGGAGTCTACTTTGAAGTCAAGTGCTCACTTCACTATTCTCCCTCATATGGAAGTTATCTCTCCATGGTATGCAGTACAGGCTTGGGAAGGGGGTGATATGGGTGGGTAATATAAAACTGTTCTTCATACCCTCTTCAATGTATGTGTTTATTTCTGTGCTCTACTCAGGCACTATATTCCTTAGCTCTCAGGCAGATATTTTTGTTGCATGTGAATGGGTTGTTCAAATTGATGTCTCTGTGAGGAAATGAGCACTGGAAACTGCTATTATGCCATCTTGCTGATATCACTTTGTTTTCAGATCTCTTTTAAAATGTGAGGGTGCCTCAGAATTTTACCTCTTTTTCACTATGTTTACATATAAGATGATAATCAGATGCACTCAAGTTTGCCTCTGGCATCACAGCAGTTTCTCTTCAGTGACTACCTTCAGGACATAGGTAGCTGAACCATTTTCCTTATTAGGAAACAAATGTAGATACAGTAGTAAGTTTTATTCTGGTTTTTCTACATGGAATTTACTGATAACAAGCTTACTCTGGATGTAGATTCTCATATTTTCTAAAGTTTTATATAAAATATATCATGCATTCTTATAACTCATTGAAATTTAGTTATGATGTTTGTTTATATGTAAAAATACCAACATGTTATATTGTTATTTATCAAATTACATGAATTCATTCATGTCTTTACATCATTGCAAGTAACTTTTCTTGGGTTCCAATTGTTCTGGGTTTCAGTGAAATAATATACTTGCTTAAACATATACTAATTTAAAATGCAATCAGGTATTGCTTAACAATGAAGATACATTCTGAGAAATGTATTATTAGGCAGTTTTGTCATTGTGCGTACATCATAGAGGGTACTTACACAAGCCTAGATGGCATAGCCTACTACACACCTTGGCTATGTGTTAATAGCCTTTTACTCCTAGGCTATCAACCTGAATAGCATTTTACTGTACTGAACACTGTAGGCAATTGTACTACAATGTTAAATATTTGTGTGTCTAAACATATCTAAACATAAAAAGTACAGTAAAAATACAGTATTATAATTTCATGGGACCACAGTTGTATATGTGGTCCATCATTGGCTGAAATGTTATGTGATATATGCTTATACTGGGGGAACGGATTGAGAATGTAAACAGAATATCTTTTCCAATTTCCCCAAAGACACAACATATCTATGACAAAGATATAATAATTGTAACAAAAAATATGAGTTTATTTTAAAATCAAGAGTCTCTATTTTACTTCTTTGCTCTTCCTAAGATTTCTCATCATGTTGCTTTTTCAAAATCTCACTTCCCATTTATGAGTATTTGAAATATAAGTCTTCCTCTTTTAAGATGTCTTAAACCTCATTACCTTCTGGTGATTTGAGAAGTAACTGGTTAAAGACAAAAGAAAGTGATGGGTCTGTGTAAAAATTAGAACTTAAGTCCTACCTACAAACATTTAAATTAAAATGTTTTCTTGGAAGGTTGCAGGATGAAGGAAAATACATTTGGGGCCCAGATTCTGCCTACATGCCACTACTTGGCAATCCATGTTTTTTATTTGTGTAGGCTCTTGGGTGATGATGTTTAAGAACTGGAAAAATGGTATCATATTCAGGAGAAATAGTTATGCAAAGGGTGGATGATGATATGGAGGTCAGAGGGGAGAACTAGATAGTGGCTGCCAAAGTTGTCTGGTTAGAGAAGTAAAATGGTACCTTAGATAGGCAGGCTCAGAGGGTAGAAATATACAACCAAGTTTGGTTGGTTAAACTGAGGAAGCATATGAATTAGTAAGAAACTGATAAAAAAAACTAAGATGTCTAAGATGGTTTGGAGAACTCCATGATTGGCTGCCTCAAGAAAGCTATGGCCCCTTCCCTGTCCTTGCACTATCGATCTTTTGATCCAGAAGTCCTCAGACTTTTGATCCAGTCCTCAGAAAAGTGCAAAAGTGGGCCTTGAACACTTTGTTCATTTTGAAATAAATGGAGGAG
This sequence comes from Homo sapiens, assembly GCF_000001405.40. NCBI lineage: Eukaryota > Metazoa > Chordata > Mammalia > Primates > Hominidae > Homo > Homo sapiens. Next base: position 152,554,372 of record NC_000006.12, on the reverse strand, counting down.
GCAGCATCTCTTGGTGGTCAAGTGTTTGGCTGTAGTCCCAAATAGAAATAGGAGCAAATCTTGACCCCCTTTGAATGCAGTGTATCGAACATAGCATACAACTAATGAGAACTACTGATCTCATTATTATTGGGACCGTGCTGCTATTCTCATTGTTACTGGGACTGTTTAAATTTTTAGAGCTTAGTAGTTAACATTGTAGCTGGTGCAGCAGATGACTGGGGCACAGTGCAGACCATGCCCCTCAGCTCTGAGGCCCTCATTCCCAGCTCTCCAAATGTTGCCTGCTGAAGACTCACAGCTGAGCCTCTCCCCAGGACTGGTCCTCAGCCCCGGGGATCTGCCTTTCTCAAGTTATACCTCCTCCCAGGGCCACCCCATATCCAGCAACTGGCCAATACCTGGATGCAAAGTCCCAGCCCCTTGCCTTCATTTTGGACATCTCTGAAAGACTCTCCTAGCTTCAGCTGCATAATTGCATGAGTCCAGCATCTCCCTGTGTCCTAATTCTGCTTCTCCACACTTAAAGTTTTTAGTTCTTGAGAGCACATGCTAAAAAACCTCCTGCTGACAAAATTCCTTCTAGAATTTGTTTCCCTGTTATCCTGACCTGTGACACATGATATAATAATAATACCAAGGCAGATGCAAATATAGACATGTGAAAGGAAAATTATTCTGTGGATTCATAGGTGAGCCAGTTCCCATAAACATTTCCTGCTCTGTTGAGGAGGCTCAAGTAGTAGTAAGATGGGCTGAGAATGAGGATAGACAAGGTTGAAGAACTGGAGATAGGCGGTCAAGATGTCCGTGGATAGGAGAACTCTTTATAGTTTGTAGCTCGGGAAGATAACTGAGCATCATGGCCTAGCTTGGAGGTGCTCTATTGACCAGCTGGATTCTGGCCATATCGTTTTTAATATAGTACGGGGGAAAGGGAGTAAGGAGGGTTTCATTTGACTTTGGCACTTGCTTGCTGAGATACCCATTTCTGACACGGTTTCCTCATCTGTGAGTTGGGAATTGCGTCTACATTGCCTATCTCCAGATAGGTTGTGATATGTAAAGTTATTCTGGAAACCCCAATGGGCAATTTGGACGTGAGAGTAGAATGAAGTGATTGAAGGTATGGGCTTTTGAGTCAGACAGATATCCATGCTCCACGTTTAGTGTCTTGTGTCACCTCAAGGGAGTTGATGAACCTCGTTTGCTCCAGTCTCTTTACATGTAAAATTGGTGAGGGTGGAGGATATTTTCTCATACGGTTATTGCAAAGTTTTAATTAGATAATATGTGTAGTAAATATATGCAACATATGCCTGCCACATACATTCTAAATAGAAGATAGATTTCTATTATTATTAAAAGTAACCTTTAAAATTATTCATTACTATACGAATAAACTTGAGCATGTGAGGTTGGATTGACACTCAGGAAATTTATTTGTGACATCCACCAGCTGCTGTCTCATGTGGAAACCCCTGCAGCTGCCGCGGTGGCCACAGGTTCTGGAGTCCAGTAGATCTTCTATTATGAGGAGGGTCACTAACGCCACGCTAGATCTGAAGCAGCGGAAAGCAACAGCACCACCTGGTGCTCTGTGCAGGATTAACCACTGAGTGCAGGTCTTCCAAGTGGCTAATTGAATTACATGGTGGGGGTTGAATTTGAGATTGCAATTTCTAACACTGGCTCTTTAAACTCTGTGATTTGACCTTATTTCTCAGGTTCACTCTTTTAGGTGCTTGCTGTTTTTCATTTCATCTCCATCTGAGATTTATGAGTTTTGTTGTTAAAATTGTAGCTCTCTTTACGTCTTGTCAAGGGGACAGGTAGTATAAAATATAGGTGAAATTGTGTCAAATTATTGTATCCGTGCTGGATACTGACAAAATAATATATAAATATATAATATAAATATGTAAATATATAAATATAAGTATTTATATGAGAGAGGGAGAGAGAGAAGGAACATTTAGATCACAGGGTGAGACTAAGAAATAATATTAGCAGTAATTTGAAATGCAAAATCCCAAAATGTGAAAATGTAAAATTGTAAAATCCTGAACCTACTTAAGATAAAGAGCAGTAATTTGATGAAAAGCAACGACCAAACTTTGAAAGCACTCTCTGAGAACAGTCATGTTTGTTTGAGAGAACTGTGGGTTTTTTAAAAGTCTGGATTAAATATTGGACATAAAATATACGAACACTGTGACCAGCTTTTCTCCCCCCTTTTCCCCATTCCACACCAAACAATGTATTTTGAATTGTTGAAACTCTTGGTATTGGAATACAGTTTCAGGTTAAAATAAAGTGGTTCTATGAAGGTAGTATTTCAGGACATTTTTCAAGACTCCCTTTCTTTCTGGTGCCCTGGTATTGCTAAGAGCTCATAACAGGAAAATATTTCATAGTTTTGGTGGCTTTCTTGCAAAAGCAGGAGACGCCACATTTTACAGGAGGGAGCTGGCTACATGTGGCAAGTTTGTCCAGCCTCAGCTTGAAGTCCTTCTCAAGGCTTCTGTGTGTGCTCTCTGATTGGAAATAACCTTTCATCCAAGAGATCAGTTGTCTTCATGTTTTCATTAACATGCACCTTTATATGTAATTCAGTAGGAAAACTCTTAGATGTGAAGGCAGCATTTTCTCCTTAGCTTCCATTGTAGCAAACAGTAGGAGGGTAGGCTTTCATGTTTTCCACAAGAATAATCTTTAATCATGTAGAAGTGATATTTTTTAAATATACTAATATATTTCATGTCACTGTTCTGAACTTTTCTTTGCATTTACAAAACTTGGACTGTGATGTAATTCTTTTTGATTCCTGTTTCCCTGATGGACTCTCAGGGACCAAACCCATCCTCTCAGATTGCATCCACAGCTGGTCAGCAGAACGGCTGGTACATGTGAGGGGCACAGTGGAATTCATTAAATTAGTGAATCAAATAATCAGCAAATTGATCTGGTCAAAATTAGATTAGGGTAAGAGTCTGACTACTAAATACTGTTCATTATTCTGTAACTCTTCAGCCTTCATTCCAGTTTCTAGATTTCTGGCGTATTTCCTCACCCCCACTATTCTTTAGCTTCCTTGTTCACATCCGAGTTAATGGTCTTCTCTGTGTACGTGGCAGGTTATTTGTGAGAATCCAAATGAGAAATGTATACAAAACATGAATAAGTTCAAGTGCTGTACAGATACAAGGTAAAAGGTATTTTCATTACTTTACTATCCGATCATTGTCTCCTGCAACATTATATCCACAAATAGAGGAAGGAAAAGGTGTCAGGAAAAAATCCACAAAAGTTCTGCTTGAAACTGTTCAAATGTGGTCTTGATTTAGAACTAAAAGGTTTGAAGTGCCACAATAAGCTGTGCTGTTTTTCCTCCCACTGTATTGATTGCTTTGTGCTCTCTATTGTGATTATTACTCTCTGAGTGCACATCTCCATCCCTGCACTTCTGTGTGATTCACACAACCCTTTATCCGAAAGTCTAAGGACCCCAGCTTTGTTTTCAAACTCAGAATCTTTTGGATTTTAGAAACGTGATACGGTGCACATACTATTTATTATGGTTCACTCTCAATCAGAGTCTGTGGCAGCACCTTGCAATCAAAGACGTTGATATTTCTGCAGAGAAAAGTATGAATTTTCACATTAAGTGGAATAATGAAAGACTATAAATAGTCTTTTCTCAATTCAGGTCAATTTTTTGCTACCAAATTATTTACTACAAAGTTACAAAACTGAGGCCCATCCAAGGCTTCAAGGCTGATGCATCTGTCCCCTCCTCTCTCCCACACCCCCATACATACGAGATGACAAATTCTTCGTGAGATGAAAGCATTTCCACATTGTTGTCACCCTAGAAGCCAACCCAGTGCCTAGCACATTTTCTAATATATGTGTCCTTATATAACTGCCACCATTGTGACAAATACATTAAAATTTGGTAAATTGTAATATTTTTAAAATATTTGTTTTTTAAAAAATAGATTTTGCTTTATATAGTTCTAAAATATTTTTTAGAGGTTAAGAATTATAAGATAAATCAAACACACTATCAGATCTATCCACCCTCTCCCACTTATACCTTCCCACCACATGAGACCAAACTTTCCAGATTTGAATGACATAATTTCAGACATCATAAGATACTTTAATTCATATTGGAAAAATCGTGTAATTTCTATGTAACCTTTCAGCAAAAGTCTTAGATTTACTATATTTTGTCACTTTTCAAATAGATATATCACTAGGGTGTAGGGTACTGCCAGTATCTAATGTGTAAAGGCCAATGACATTGCTAGACATCCTATAATGCACAAGACCACCTCCCACGACAAAGAATCATCTTGCCTAAATGTCAATATTGCTGAGGTTAAGCAACTGTAACTTAGGAACGGAGATAATTATATTCCTTTCATCCCATCTGCCTTAGATTTAAAGTGAAATGATACTACATTTTGCAAATATAACTTTAATGAAATTGGGCTCTTTCAATCTAGCCACTGGTTTTAAATACAAAAGAAATGCAACTCCAATTCTGAAAGTCTTAAGAGCAATGTAAGTCTTTACTGACATTCACTTGAAAAAAAAATTGAAGCAGTCATTAGAGGACTCAACACAGGCAAGACTCCCTAAAAATTCTCTTAACTCATCTTTTCCCTCAAGCCCACAGCTGTAGATAGCTATTAATTTTCTCTCTTCTCGTCTGTCCCTTCGCATCAATCCATGTCAGAACTCATGCAGAGTAACTTTGGTTGCCCTTGTTCTTTGCAACTTTTAATCCATTACTTGTCTGATTAAAACAGGAAAGGCCTAGGAGACAGGCCCAAAGAAATAAGCCTAGAATCTTTTCATTATGGAAAACAGAGTGAGGGAGGAGGAGAAGGACCCCTCCACTCCCACCGCCCCCCCACACATGTAAATGCCTTTATTTCAGTTAGCCTTTGCTGTGTAACAAACTACTCCAAAACTCTGTGGCTTAAGCCAATCAGAATTCATGCTTTCTCACAGTATGTGGATTTGCTGGTTAGTTCAGTTAAATATGGATGGTTTCATAAGGACACATATATAAGACAATATACCAGGCAGGGGGCTGATCTTTAGGAATACGATATTGAGGAAAATGCTTTCTTCCTACAAGGAATTTGTATCAAGTATGTATGGATGTGAGAGAGAGGAGGTATCAGACACATCAGTCTCGAAGTCTTAGGCCTCAGTTTGTTGACTTCACTTGGGTTCACCTGTGGCTGAGTTCATCTGCAGGGCTGACTGAGCTTGAAGATCCAAGGTGACCTCATTCACGTGCCTGGTGGTTAGTTCTAGGTAACAAATGAGACATCTGAATTCTTCCACAGATGGAAACATCTTCTAATATAAACTGCTTTCTTTGCACAGTGGTTTTAGGATGGAGATCCAAGACAGCTAAAACAGAAACTTCACGACCTCTTAAGGCCTAGAATCAGATGACATAAAGTAATTTCTGCTGCATTATTAATTAAAGCAAGTACCATACGAGTTCAGATTCAAGGGGAAGGGAAATTGATTCTACCCCTGGATGGGAAGGACAAAGTCACCATACAAAAGAAGGATGCATAGTTGGACCACAGGATTTTGTGGCCATAATTTAAAATCTGTCCTCTGGTCACTACTGTTTGTTTTCTTTCTGCATGGAAAGTACATTCATCCATTCTCAAGGTATCAAAAGTCTCCTCCAGCCTTTGGTTTGGCATCAAGCTCTAAGTCCTGTGTTGCATCGTTTGCATCTTGTCCAGATAGAGATGAGGTTCCTCAGGTGAAATTTCTCTCAATCCATAGACCCGTTAACTAAAAAGAGAAGTTACCTGCTCCCCACTTCTTCAACATGCAGTGATGAGGCAGGAGTGGGGTCACTTCAATAGATGCTTCTGTCCAAGGAGTGAGAGAATTGAACAGAGGGAGCAATTGTGGTCCAGCCATTCTGAAATCCAGTGAGCCACACGTGGCCAGTTCGTTTTGTCCAGGGGCAAGGCATGTTCCTTGCTATCTTGGTAAGAGATGGCTCAAGATTGCAACTGATAGTTTTCTTAGCCTTCTTCCTAGACACACAAAGTTGTGGTTCCAGTCTCCTGTTCATTTGGAGTGGTGCTGTCCCTTCAGTGAAAGCTGGCTTCCTAAAAACTTGTCTGTAGTGCATTCTGTGCCCCCAAAATCTCAGCTTTGAAACAAACATTGGACACATATGAGGCTGCTGTGGGCAGTGCCCTAAAGATTCTTAGAAGCTGGTTTGTCTAGTTGAGAAGGTCAACTGGGCACTACCTTAAATCTTTCCAAATGTTCTCTTTTTTCCCCAGCCTTATTGAGGTATAATTGATGAATACAACTTACATATATTTAAGTTGTACAGTGTGATGATTTGATATACATATAAATTGTGAAATGATTACCACAGTCAATTAACACATCCATTATGACAGATAAAGAAAACATGACACACACATACAATTGAATATTATTCCTCCATAAAAAAATAAGGAAATCCTACCATTTGCAATGACATGGATGAACCTGAAGGACATTATGCTAAATTAAATAAGTGAGATACAGAATGAAAGGTACTGTGTGATATCATTTATATGTGGAGTTTAAACAAGTCAAACTCTTTCTGAGTTTTCAACAATACTCATACCTTTGATTTGCTGTTACCCTGAAGCGTTTTCTTACTTTGCAAATCTTTTTTTTGGAAAGACTAGGAATAAGAAAATATCTTATTTTTCAGTCCATCATATCCTAGGCCTCTGTGTTTCCTCTGCCTTGTGTCTGCAAATGAAACAGCTCATTTCTGTCTCTTCCAGCACCTTATAATGTTCAGCTAAAAGAAGCCAACTGACACTTTCAGCATTCTGCAAGGAAATCTCCCTAGCCAGAATCATGAGTTCAAGTTACTGCAGGTGACAGAATATATAATGTACAAAATATGTACGGCTCTTTCTCCAATTTCCAATGGCGGTTCCCTCACTGCCCAATCAGCCTCCGCTAATAGGCTCTTTGTGTCCTTCCAATCTCCTTCCCCTATTTGGTCGCAAGACCAATGCCATATGTCTTAGATTTTTGTTAGAGCAACACCACACTCCTGGTAGCAATTTCTGTTTTGGTTAGCTTTTCCTGTGCAACAAACCACCACCAAATCTTAGTGGTGTGGAGCAACAACAGTTTAGGATTTCTCATGTTTCTGTGAGTGAGTTGGGTGTTCCTTCTGCCAGCTGTGCCTGGGCCCATTCACATGGCTACATGCTGGTGGGGTATCAGTTGGACTGGCAGGTCCAGGGCGGCTCACTCATGTATCAGGCAGCTGTTGCTGGCTGCCATCTGAGGTACCTCAGTTCTCCTCCAAGTGACTTTTTTTCTTTTCTTTTCTTTTCTTTTAGCTGTATTTTTACTCATTGAAACACTAGGTGAAATCAGGGTAAAGTCAACTAAAGGAAAAATGGTTATTTCATTCATTTGTACTTAAACCAGTCAAAAAAGTACAAATGTCATTATGATGCAGCAAATACAAGACCTCTTTCTACAAATATTAGCACAACCAACAAATTAGGGGATATAGTAAAACAGAGCCGAAAAGGGTGAGGAAATCAATGAAGTATGTTACAGCTTAACTCTTTACCTCAATAGAGTTTTTAAAAATAAGTAAAGCCTCCCAATCCCCAAAAATAGGAATATACCTTCATCACACCAATTTGTACTTTTATTTCTTATTCTTGAGGTTTAGAATCTATCCTCCAAGTGACTTCTTATTCACGAGGATCTTAGACCAGTTTCCTTGTGTAGAGGTCTCAGAGCAGAGTTGAATTCCAATATAGCCAAAGTGGAATCTCAAGTCCTCTTAAGGCCCAGCCTCAGATGTCACTTAAAATCACTTCTGTCATATTATTGATCAATGTAGATCTCAATGCCAGCCCAGACTCAAGGTCTGGGGAAATGAGACCACCTCCTAAGAGAAGAGGCAATAAAATCACATTGCAAAGGATGCGCTGATCACAATGGGAAGAATTTATGGTCATATTTGGAAATCTGCCACAGCCTGGTCCTGTAAATGTCTTTCATTTATATATTCAATTTTAAAATCTTAACATTGAGTAGTTATAAGCACCTGTAAATTGTCCATTTTCTTGTGTTGGACTATTCAATATACTTTATTCCCTACCCATATATAATAAAGTTAGTGGTAATTTTAGTAATTGTAGATATGCAATCCGGATAATATAATTCTGTTCCCAAATCAAGTCATTTGACTGTGTTTGGTAATTAATAATCATTACCTTGTCACTGTATGCCTTTGCTGTTGTTTTCCCCTTTGTATTCACGTCATTTGGTTGTGGGAAGAAATTCAATCTGCATTTGTCTATTTTTTCAATTTCATTCCAATATTTTATTGAGGTGTATTTGCCTGCAATGAAAATGATGAAAAATCTTTATTAGATACTACCAGGAATAATGTGATTTTAAATGTGTGATTTGTTTTAAATGAACATTTACATTTATATTTTTAGATAATTTAAATCCTTAAGACATGTATTTAAGCTATCATTATCATTAAAGAAACCTATTAGGCATAATAACAATCTGCAAATAAAACCCCAAAAAGTTTATCATAACCTATTGCAAGCTCCTATAAATGTATCAATGCATGGTACTATTTATGTATTTATTTTGCCAGAGATTGCAATTTCATGCTTACCTATATATAATTATGTAAACAGCATTTCTTTCTTCTTAGTATTAATTAATTTATGTATTTTTGAGATACAATTTTACTCTGTCACCCAGGCTGAAGTGCAGTGGCGTGATCTCTGCTCACTGCAACCTCTGCCTCCCAGGTTCAAGTGATTCTCCTTTCTTAGCCTCCCGAGTAGCTGGGATTACAGGTGCCCACCACCATGTCTGGCTAATTTTTATATTATTCATAGAGACAGGGTTTCACCATGTTGGCCAGGCTAGTCTCAAACTCTTGACCTCAAGTGATCCTCCTGCCTGGGCTTTGCAAAGTGCTGGGATTACAGGCATGAGCCACAGCACCCGGACTCTTCCTGGTAATATATATATTAAATGTGATATTAATTACAGATGGATACTTCTAGACATTTACTATTTTGCTCTTTATGATATTTTATGATTCTGATGAAAATACATTATGCATTATTATGTACATACTGATACATGAGATGCTATATCACTCAGTAATAAATTATTATGGAAGAATGTATTCAATATATTAAAATATACTAATTTCATTTACTGTCCAAATTTTAAACATACCATCTGTTAAGTGGATATTGTCATGTATTTTAACATTTTTGTAATTTAGTAAATCTATTTAAAAGGCAGTGGTCATAGGACCCTGTGACACAGTTTTACATCACATATTAGTTGGTACATTTGTTATGTAAGGTAAAATTAAAAGTATATTTAACATGTTTCTAGACAATATATTATTTGTGATTGATTGCAATGGCTGCACAATAACCCAAGCCACCTTTTATTATGATCTTTGTGCTTCCGGGTGCATGTTTAAGTCACCTAGAGTAAACCACAATTGTGCAGTACCCGCAGGTGACTATTAGTATAACTCATCAGGAAGAAAACCATGTGAACTGTCATCAGTTATGATAGTTTCCTAATAGTCAAATGGAATCACAGTTGCTAAATTGGGCCTCATTTGTGCATTTGTTGTATGTCATGATCTTGCCCTGAAATGGCAAAACACTGAGAAAATATCTAAAAATGGGCAAAGAAATGCAGAAATTGAATACCTGAGCCAGAACCCTTTTTTTTTTTTAACTCATTTCTACGGAGGGATACTACGGTATAATATTACCCAGAGCTAGGTGTTTATATAGCCTCAGCTGACTCCAATTCCTGAGGCCTGTAGGACCAACTGCTTTTGAAATACAAGCAATGTGAGCCTCAAGGATGAAGGACCCAGAGAGTATTTGGAACTCCTCTGTGGTTGTTGCTTTTAATGTTACACGGTCTGGCCTTTAGGAACCATTTACGATTTAGGTTATAAGAGAGAAGGAGAATGTGAACCAATTCTACCCAGTAATAATCACCCACACCAAAAACTGGTCTTAAATCAGAGCCTATCACAGCTGTGCAGCACCCAAATTGTAGTGTGGCTTCCCCAGCCACACCTCTCCTCTACCCTGACGCTGCTGTCATCTCATCCATTTTACGATGCCTTTGCAATTGGTCTGAATTCTCATAACTCTTCTTAAGCAGAAAAGCTGAGGACAGAAACATTGTTAATAAAGTTGTTACTTGTTAAATATATTTAAACTGTTTTCTTAAATATAATGACATATAAAGTCATGTGTAGCTTAATGATGGAGTTATATTCTGAGAAATTTGTCTTCTAGGTGAATTCATCATTGTGGGAACTCTGTAGGGTGTACTTGTGCAAACCTAGAGGGTATAGACTATTACACATCTAGGCTACATGATATAGCCTATTACTCCTAGGCTACAAACTTGTACAGCATGTGACTGTACTGAATATTGTAAGCAATTGTAGCACATGGTAAGTATTTTGTGTATCTGAACATGTCTAAATATAGAAAAAGCAATGGGTTGCCCTACAATGGCAGGACATCACTAGACAACTGGAATTTTTCAGTTGTGTTTATAATCTTATGGCACTACTGTCATCTATGAGGTTCGTCATTGGCCAAAAAATCATTATGCAGTGCATGACTGTACTTAAGAACTTTATAGACCTAGTCGTGAAGGTTCATTTTGTTCCCTGTCAACAGCATTAAAAAGAAATGTTATTGTTCATTAAACTTTTAACACAAGTTGATAGACATTCGTTGCATGTTTCTGTTACTTCCACAAATTGAACATTTTATGTTGTTGGTATCAGATTTAACTACCAAATCTTGGGAGTAAGGTTTTCAAGTTTTACATAAAAAATGAGGGTTTGCTGAATAATTAAATTAAACAATTTTTTTCTTTCAGGAAAATAGTAAGTAAAATCAGAAAAATATTTACCTAGAATTCAGCTGACTACGTTTGATAATACAAAAAGTGAATTGTAGGACCTAGTAAAATCTGTTTTTGCAACCATAGTAAAAAAGGAAACACGTAAAGAATTTAACATTTAAATATATGCTGTGCTACAAAAAAGATAATTTGAGGATTCTAAAAAAGGCCATTTAGCTGAAGTCTAACTATAAACTCAGAGATTTACCATCAGATGAAATTGTTACAATACTATTTTTATTTCATTAAAGGTTATAATAGTGAAAATATAACAATTTATATTAAGAAGTAATATATCATCAGATTATATATTTAATTTTATGACAGTATAACATTAACATATTATGCCAATTTATATTAACATTTTTAAACAGTGGTATTTTGTGATGTTTATAAAAGAATGTATAATCTCAAGTTGAGTGTAAACAATTTACATATAATCTAACTGTGTCTATTTTAGATTTTGAATTGGATTTTATGCATTATAAAGTTCCAAATTCCATCCAACCTACCTTGATTGGTTAAGATCATTTTGCCGCTACCTAACTTTATTTATACAACCTAAAGATTCTCAGGTCAAAAAATTTGAACTATAAATTTATAATTTTCATGAGATTAATATTTGATAGATGAATGTGGTAATTTTTATGCTACCCTTGAGTGACAGTATAATGGCATAGTATACTACTAGATATCTGAAGTCTACAACATGGCTGTGCTGCTGGATGACCTTGGTAGTTCAGTGTCTTGACAGTTTTATATGTAAAATGGGCATTATAATAGTTGCTGCTCATAGATCTTGACAAGAATTAATGGATTAATACTTATATAATATTACATGTAATATATAATGATAAATAAATGATAATTAAAATATCAAGTGATTGATTTATCTAAATGTCAGTGCCTGGTATATAGGAAGTGCTACTTATTTTTATACCAATTTGTTTTTTATATACACTTGAAAATTAATGAGCATGTTAAAATATATTAGAGGTCATGGATTCTGTCAATTTTATAGATAGATTCAAAATTTCTCCAAATTAAAAGGTTTTGTATTTATTTTCTTTACTCATTCATTCTTATTGGTCATACTTGCAGGCATTGGGAACCAAGTTGCTGTCCTCCTGGGCTTTACATTCTAGTAGACAAGCAAATGGTCTGGGCTGAAGCACAGACAAGGTCAGAGACAAAGACAGAGATTTGGGTATCATCCCTCAAAGGGCGAGGGATTGAAATTATTTCTTGTGTATGTCCCCCACAACATAGCGTTTACTAGTTTGTGAACAGCTGATACTCAGTACATGCTGGTGGGGTGGATAAAATTCAATTCTTCTTTTGAAGGTATTAAACTACTTCTGTGTGGCTTTTCTCTCTTTTTTTTTCAACTTTTATTTTAGGTGCAGGGGTTACATGTCTAGGTTTGTTACATGAGTAAATTGTGTGTCGCTGAGTTTTGTGTATGAATGGTCTCGTCACCCGGTTAGTGAGCATATTACCCAATAGGTAGTTTTTCAACCCACACCCCCTCCCAGGATACAAAATCAATGTACAAAATTCTGTGGCATTTCTTTTCTTTTTTTTTTTTTTTTTTGAGATGGAGTCTCACTCTGACGCCCAGGCTGGAGTGCAGTGATACGATCTCGGCTCACTGCAAGCTCTGCCTCACAGGTTCACACCATTCTCCTGCCTCAGCCTCCTGAGTAGCTGGGACTACAGAGGCCCGCCAGCACACCCGGCTAATTTTTTGTATTTTTAGTAGAGGCAGGGTTTCACCGTGTTAGCCAGGATGGTCTTGACCTCCTGACCTCGTAATCTGCCTGCCTCGGCCTCCCAAAGTGCTGGGATTACAGGCATGAGCCGCCACGCCTGGCCAATTCAGTGGCATTTCTATACACCAACAACTTGTAACCTGAGAGCCAAATCAAGGATGCAACCCCATTTACAATAGTCACACACACACAATAAAATACCTTGGAATACATCTAACTAAAGAGGTGAAAGATCTATCTCTACCAGAAGAACCATAAAACACTGCTGAAAGAAATCATAGATGATACAAACAAATGGAAAAGCATCCCATGCTTATGGATGAGAAGAATCAATATTGTTAAAATATCCATACTGCCCAAAGCAATCTACAGATTCAACGCTGTTCCTGTCAAACTACCAACATCATTATTATCTCTTTATACCTCTAATTAAAGCCTATCCAAACCCTACCTCTTTTCCTTTCTATATTAGTTCCTCTTGTTACATAGCAAAGTACCGCAAACCTTGAAGTTTAAAGCAACAATCATTTATTATCTCCAAATGGTTGCATGTCAGGAGTCCATGCAAAGCTTAGCTGCATTATCTGTTCAGGGTCTTACAAGGCTATAACTAAGGCATCAGCTGGATTTCATTCTTATCTGGATGCTCAACTGTGGAAGAATCCACTTTTGGGCTCTGTCACAATGTTAACAGAATTCATTCCTTGTGACTGTTTGACAAGGGCCTGGTGTCTTACTGGCTGTTCACTGAGATTGCACTTCACTCCTGAAGGGAGCCTCTAGTTCCTTGCCATTGACCCTCTGCAAAGGAACTTCACAGCCTAGCTGGTTGCTTCTTCTAGGCCAGCAGGAGAATCTCTCACTCCAGTCAGCTAAGCTGGAGTATCATAAAGTAACATGATCACAAGTGTGACATCTCATCACCTTTGTCATATCCTATTGGCTAGACACAAATCACAGGTTCTACCCACATTCTGCCGACACAAAAATGGGGACTCCATGTGGTGGGAATTTTTGGAGGTCACTCCAGTGTGTAGTCACCACATTCTCATCTGGGTGAAGTTCCTTTTTTGCTTCATGTATACGGCTCTATCTTATTGCATTACTGTGTAACCCTTTACTATTCATAGCCCTTGCTTGTCCATTTCCACCTCTAGATATTTTATAGCAGGGACCTTGCCCTATTCAACCCTCTGTATTCCTTTGCACTTAGCATAAAATTCAGCACTTAGTGGTCTTGGTGAATTTTCATTTTTAACAGCTTTGTTGAAGTATAAGTCATCAGTGAATTTTAAGTAAGTGGATGAAGGTAAACATAGGGCTAACAAATGGCAAATTTTAAAGCATTTGCAGATAATTTTTAAAGGAATAGTCTATATGATTATGTAGATCGACTCTTGTTGACTTTTCCCTTCAAGACAATAATTGGTAAAATGAATGAGAAAACGATTTCACGATTCCTTCCAGATTTGTGTAAATAGGACTTTTTCTCATTATACAGCTTCATGAAATATTACATTATTTAACCAGATTTCTTTTTCCTTCTAGATGAGCAAGAGATAGTACAAAAACGAACTTTCACAAAATGGATCAACTCTCATCTGGCCAAGGTAAAGGAAACTACCCAGCATTACAGGTTTACTTAGGTTGAGCCAGTAAATCATTAAATGTCCAGTATAACAAAATGCTTCTGTCCCTGTTGTCACTGTTGCGAATCAATGATACTGTAATCTTATTGGTTGGTCTAGCTGTTGCCTAAGAGTGGAATTTGCTAACATTGCTTCTGGGAAGAAATGAACTTATAGCTAGAGTCAAGAGCAGTTACTTCATGTCAATTCTGTGAATCTTGAGAAACTATTTCATCCAATTATTTTTTCTAATACTAATGTGTGTGTCATATCAAAAGGAGAATTTGTGCTGGATTTTTGTTTGTGTGTGTTTGTTCCTATTTGGAACACAAAGAAGCTATAAGTGATCTATGCTAAGCAAAAGATTTTAGCTAAAGATATTATGATAGTATCAGTGCTCTCATCTCTGGTGCTTTGATTTAAAAAAGTAACCATGGTAATAGGACATGAAAAGGCTAAAATCATTCTAGTATTATCCACTCTGTCATTCACTGATATTAGGTGACTATATGTCTATATATTATAATGTCTTTGAACATAAATGCTAATATAAAATAAATCTTAATCTTGATACAGTATAATAAAATTAATCTCTTGTACTGCTGATGAAAAAATAAGCAAGCCAAGAGACATCATATTTGTAAAAATAAATTCAGATGATGGGACAATTGTGTCTGAATTCAGTTAGAGGATTTGCTGATAATTTTTAAAGGAGTAGTCTATATGATTATATAGTGGAAGTTATGTTGACTCTCCCTTCAAGTCAATAATTGGTTAAATGAATTAGATGATAAAACAATTTTATCTTCAAATTTTTTATTCTCACTTTTGCTGAGAGTGGTGCCTGTAGTATGTAAAGCCCAACCCTACAAGCAGGTTTTGATCAGGGGCTTCCCCAAAGCCATTTTGATAGCGCAGAAGCAAACAAAGCATGACAGTTGATTTTAGTCCCATTCTACAGATTCACTGCTTACTTTGTGTCTGCGCTAGCCTTTGAAGACAGGAAAAAATTAGTAAAACACTTTCCCAGGCCCCGAGAAGCTTGCAATCCAGCCATGAAAGAAGCCTAGAGCGACCTGTCTAGATATAGGATAAACCAGGGTCATCTTTCCTATGCTCTCTTCCCCACAGCACTTGATGAGAAGGGAATTTGGCCCAGTAGTTGCCCCACAATCTGCTCTGTAAAAAGGCAGTGGATACATAGGATTGATGACTTTGGGGCTTATTTTTTAAAGCTTCCGTTGGTCCCATCTGGCAGCTATTTGTACTATGGAATTGTCATCGATTGGGGAAAAGGTTTTGTTTTTTTTTTTCAAAATGAAAAGAGTTATTATTTTTTCATAGTGTACAGAGGTTACGTAATTGAAAATAATATTAATAATGAAACTTTTAGAAAGTGTAAAGAAAGTAAAAGTAATCTTATATCACATAATCCAGATACAGTCATCATTAAGATATTGGACAACACTTTTCTACACACAGTTTCATATAAGTGGTTTTATAGGATATTGTTCTGGAGCCTCTATTTCACCCAACACGTCAATCCATGACAATAGATAGAACTATGTAATTATTGTAATGGCTAAATAAACTTTGTCATGTTTATCTGTGATGAGTTAGCCAGTTGCCTGTGGAGGGTTATTTAGGTGGTTTTCAGTTGTTTCATATTATATAAAATACTACAGTGAAAGTCCTGGTATACGTTGTTTGAACACTTGTATGATATTTTCTTCTTAGGATAAATTTCTAGAAGTAGGTAGTCAACAGCTATGCACAATTATGATTTTAATATATTCTAAGATCTTCTAAGAATCCCCATTTCCTTGCACTATTAAAACACCCTTCAAAGTTTTTAATAGCTAGAGGTTGGAACTCAACCCTGGAATAATGGCAGTGATGAGCTTGTCTCCCCTTTCATGTTTGATGTTTCCTTGCATGGTAATCCAGGTATACATAGCTCTGTGCTTTGGAATGTTTTCAGATAAACTGACAACCAAACCGTTTATGAGTTAAATTTACCATTTCCAAATATAGCTTTAATAATAGGTAGTGGCAGGTTTAAGAGCTGGGATGTTTAGTTGAGAAGAAAGGAAGTTGATCCTTTTCTCCTAAAGTTCTTCTATCTTGGGAGCACTGGGAGCTGTTCAGAAGATGCTTAGGCAATCAGGCAGGAGAAAGAAATAAAGGGTATTCAATTAGGAAAAGAGGAAGTCAAATTGTTCCTGTTTGCAGATGACACGATTGTATATCTAGGGGCACTTTTTAATAGGAATTTTTATTTTTGTGCTTGACTGCTTTGCTCAGTTGCAAATTAATATACTTTTGACTTTTAATTAAATAAAAAATCTTTTACTGATGACATTTTATTCTAGTGTAACATTTCTTTATAAATATTATGATAGCAATAAGAAGAGATAGTATGCAAATAAGATTGCAATCTGTTTTTTAAAACATGCTTTTATTATTTTTTCTTTTTTACATTTGTTAATTATTATAAGTAAAAATATGCTTTTCTTAAAACAAAAATCTTATTATAAGTAAGAAAAAAACCTAAGGATTTTCTGTGTTTGTGTTTTTATTCTATTTTTACTACACAAATGTTAGATCATTAAAACTTGTGGGTATAAATATCTGTTCTTTTTTGATGTTTATTATCAAATTGAAGTCTTAATGCTTCTCCAATTATGTAAAACATTGCAAATCACAAATTGTTGATATAACATTAACAATTGGCGGGTTGTTGTTATTTCATATACCTGATAATTTCTTTCAGGGATGGGGCTCTATTGTTAGACATTGAACCTATAATTTTCTCACTTTTCAAGAAGAAACCAGTATCTTTCTATTCTGTTAGCTCTGTTAATGAAAGAAGGTGGAGTATTTTATTAAATTAGCCCAATATTGATTTTTAGTGATGGTTTTTCAAAGTCAAGTTTCTGACTCACATCTAGCTTATCAGCACTTATTGAGAAAACATGTTCCTAAATTCTTACCACGTGCCAATTACAGTGCCTTAGCAACTTTATCTCTTATTTATTTAACCCTCACACAAGAAAATGCATTATTTTTATTATTTTGTAGATTATGAACCAGAAGCTTAGAGTTCTAAGCTTAAATGGAGAAAAATGGATAGACTGAAAAGATGTTTAGGAGTGGACTTGATAGAACTGAGTAATTAATTGGAATCTTGGAGGGGAAGGAATCAAGAATGACTTCTAGATTTCTGACTTGAGCAAATGATTGAGATTATTCACAGATATAGGGAATACAAGAGGCTTGGGGGGAAAGCTAGGAAATTCAGTTTAGAAGGAGAAATTAGTTGGTAAAGGTGAACCCATTCGATTTGGCAGTTTGGAAGTCATTGGCCGCCATTGGGAGTGGCCATGTTATAGTAGAAACTAGACTCTAGCGAGCTGATGAGTAAATGAGAGGTAAGGATGTTAGTACACTTAATATATATTACTATATATATTGTATATATATATAAATATATATTACTATATATAGTTATATATATAAATATATATATTACTATATATAGTATATATATAAATATATATATATTACTATATATATATTAGTATACTATATATATAGTTATATATATATATTACTATATATATTGGCGCAGAACATTGGATTTGGTAAAAGCTGTTTTAATAAAGGGTGGTCATGAGCCTGCATCTGTATAGAAGGGAATGATCAAGAGCTTGTAGAGAGGGAGAGGCTGAAAAAGAAGGCAATGAATGGGATTCTGAAGGAACAAGGCGCCCGAGGAGGCAGAATGAGAGAAGAAATCAAGAGCAGAGGTGGAGGGTGTAGGTTTGTTCCAGAGCAGAGATATCTCCCCTTCTCTGAGACTAGCATTGGGAATAGGAAAGTGGGTGTGGCTGTGTCTAACTTTGGGATAAGCAGAGAGATGAAGACAGAGGTGGCATGGACTTAAATTTGAAGGAATTCTCACCTAATGACCATGGATGTCTTAGGCCTAACAGCATAGGCCTTGCATTTTAGGCAAAGAAGTTATGTTACGATGAATATATTTAAAATTTGACAGTTAAAAATAGTTCTTTCACATTTTAAAATATATCTTAAAAAATTCCTACATTTTATATAAAATTCATAGACTGTTGTAGTTATTTAGTACTTCAGCCACCCAAAGGGAACAATCTTTAAAAACCCTTTGTAAAAAGTTAGATGTTTAAAATTAGGCATGTATAAGCAATCTTAATATTTATATTGATTATTTTCTATTATCAAATGCTTGCAGTTTCATATTTTCTCTCATTTTATCAAATAGAATGGAATATTGTATCTTTATTTAAACACCCTTGATTCAATCTTATGATATTTGACTGTGAGATAAATAGATTGCTTGTCACTAAGCCCTTTGAGGAAAAATAGGTCTCAAATAGCCATGTTTTAGTGTTTCTATAAATGGAGCTTCTTTTCAATATAGAATGAGCAGTCCTTTATCCTTCTGTCAGCCTAAAATTTATGGAGCCATCAACAAAAGGCACTGAACATTTTAAATACTGTGTTTGGGATGAACTCAGGCATGATATGAGCATCTTCTCACTTTTCAGAAAAACTGCAGAAAAAAAATTTATAAAACATTATTTAGGTTCCCTATTAATTGCTGGGATTGCCGTAACAAAGTACCACATACTGGGTGGCTTAAAATGAGAAATTTGTTATCTCAGAGTTCTGGAGACTCGAAGGCCAGGCTCCTTCTAAGTCTCTGGGTAGCTGCATTATTTCAGTCTCTGCCTCTGTGCATGTCTGTGTCCAAATTTCACCACTGTGTGAGGGCACTAGTCATATTGGATTAGGACCCATGCTAATGACCTCATTTTAACTTGATTACCTCTCTAAAGACTCTATTTCCAAATAAGGCTGCATTCTGCAGCATTTTGGGGGGTTAAGATTTCAGCATATCTCTGGTGAGTAGGCACAATTCAACCTATAACAGATTCCATTAAGAGCACATTTTGTTTTAATACCAAGTTAGATGCATACAGTCTTTTAAAAGGAACATTTTGGATTTTCCATGTTTTTTCTAAAAACAAATCCATGCTAATCATGAATTTAAATGACATCTTTATAGTCATAAAATATCACTTTAGTGGTGGCTTTCATCTTCTTTAGTTGTCTTTCCACCAGCAGTGCTGAAAGATAACATGGAAACATGTTCCGAATAGAATTTTACTCCCATCTGTTTCCTTGTACACATTTTGGTGAGACTATTAATGAGCTCAGACAGGAAGATAAAGAGGCAAAGAGGAAAAGGTAAATGCAATAATTCACCCCCCCAAATAATTTTTTAGTTGTTTTTCTCAAGCTACAATAAGTAGGTGAGATGATGGATATGTTAATTAGCTTGATTTAATCATTTCACAATGTATGCACATACCAAGATATCATCTTATATAACAAATATATACAATTTTTATTTGTCAATTATATCTTAATAAAGCCAGGGAAAAAATAATTTAATTTGTCAACCCTAAACATTCTAATAAATTAGTTATTTCCAAATATGTAATTAAAATGTTATAAAGGAAAATTCCCATTTCAAAATGAATAGCATTTGTTAATTTATTTATAGAATATATTAGTTTATGGATAACAAAGATCTAGATCTCACAAAGTTTATGCAGACTAATAAACATTTTGCTAATATTAATATTTGTCAAAGTTCCTTCTTTAGAAATATATTATTTTATTTATTTATTTATTCATTCATTCATTCATTCATTCATTCATTCATTTATTTATTTTTTTGAGACAGAGTCTTGCTCTGTTGCCCAGGCTGGAGTGCAGTGGCATGGCTTGGATCACTGCAACCTCCTCCTCCCGAGTTCAAGTGATTTTCCTGCCTTAGCCTCCTGAGTAGCTGGGATTACAGGAGCCCACCGCCATGCCCAGCTAGTTTTTGTATTTTAAGTAGAGACGAGGTTTTACCATGTTGGCCAGGCTGGTCCTGAACTCCTGACCTCAAATAATTCACCAACCTCAGCCTCCCAAAATGCTGGGATTACAGCTGTAAGCCACCGTGCCCAACCAGAAATATATTTTATTTATCATACATTTATTCAACAAATATTTTAAAATGCTGTTTAATAAGCTAGAGAATATTCTAGGTGCTGAAAATGTAGCAGTGACCAAAACAGAAAAAAAAATAACCATCTCATTATGAAGCTTATATCCTAATGGGGGAGATGGACAGTAAAGAAGATCAAGAAGCTCTTCTGCTGAACGTAGACTGAAGAGAAGCAAGGGCAGAAGGAGGGAGATAAGTTAGAGGTTATTGAAGCCATCTGGCCAAGGTACTGGTGACTTGGACCAAGATAGTAGCAGTAGAGGTGATGAGAGGTGGTTGGATACTGGAAGACTTTTGAAAATGAAGCCAACAAGATTTGTTGATGAATCAG
The DNA here is from genome assembly GCF_000001405.40 of Homo sapiens. NCBI lineage: Eukaryota > Metazoa > Chordata > Mammalia > Primates > Hominidae > Homo > Homo sapiens. The sequence continues at coordinate 152,533,507 of NC_000006.12, read as the reverse complement.
ATATTGAGTGTGAGCAAAAGAGAGGAGTCAAGGGTAACCCCAACTTGTACCAAATAAATAACTTGGTACAATAATGCTTTTATACTATATAGTAAAACAAACTTTATTACATCTGAAAATTGTTGAGAGCTGAGTTTTCCAAGCAGATTTAAAGCTGAGCTGGAGGGCAATTATTGCCTTTGGAATATTTATTCGGAATTGAATTAAATAATCGAGGAAGTGGAAAGGATTATGCTATCTGTCACAGGAAACAAAAAAGAATGGGAAGGACCTTCCCACCTTTGCCAAGCAGAAGTGGAAAATGATCACAACAGTGCTGTTACAAAGGCAGTGAAAGAGAAGCAGATTACACATACAGTTTTTAAATTACTACACTTTGTTTCTGAAGATATTGGAAACATTCAATTAGATTTGCTGAATAAAATGACAAAACCTGTTGGACATTAATTTTATTTGACTACTGTCAGTGGTTATAATCATGATTTACTTGATCTGGTCCAAGGATACTTTGGCATTTTGATACATATACTGTGGAGGGTTCTTTGCCAACCTTTGGGGAGGTCACTTGCTCCATATCTGCTGGTTAACCTCTCTTCCTTCCCACTTCTCTATATTACTGTTGTTTAACTTGCTGTTCCCACCCAGAAGATAATCATCAGAGCATGCAAAACTCCAGACTGGTCCTGGGATGGGAATTTTTCTACATATACAATCTCTTAGCTTGTGAAATAATTCCTACCTGAAACTTATATAAACCAGAAGTAGTGGTTTATCTGGTTCTACAAGTTATGGGTCGTTCTGTGCACAGAGGTTTCAAGGGTGCACAGAATGCACATGGAGAGTCAACCCTTGCCTTGAGACCTCCCTACATGCTCTGCAGAAGAAAATGTTGTGACTATCTCAGGTCATGACTCTTCATCCTGTTCAGCAACCCTGACTGTGCTCAATAGTGTGTGTGCCTCAACTGAAGTAAATACTTAACTGTGGCATGCGCTATTCTTCTAAGCATTTTCTGGTTCAGTTTTATTGGTATCACTAGGTACCTAGCAATCACAAATATTAAGCCATAGGATATGTGTTTAGTAGTTTAAAGTAAAATATTGTAGCTTTTTTTGATGATAAAATGTTTTGAGAGCTCTTTTCTCAAAAGTAAAAACCATTTACTAGAAGACTAAAAGTGATTATGGATGATGGCAAATGAGGTCCTAGATGGTCCTGGTGTGAGACAGGTGATTTTATCATTTTCTTTGTTAAATACTAAATTATTAATACTGAAAATCTACTTTATAGCTGCATGATATTGGTCAATACGGATTCTAAGATTGTAGAAGATTTGTAGAAATTTGTACCTCATACAGTGATGATATGCTAGTAATGTTTCAAAGTAGGTTTCTATTCTTCCACAAAGCAGCCACTATGTAAAACAATATGTCAGTTTTTCAAAAAATAAGATAAAAATAGAATTAACATGTAGTTCAGCAATTCCACTTCTGGGTATATATCTACAAAAATTGAAAGCAGGGTCTTCAGGAGATATTAATACACTCACGCTCATAGTAGCATTAATCACAATAGCCAGAAAATGGAAACAATGCAGATGCCCATTGATGGATGAATGGATGCAAAATATGTGGTATATCCATACAATGGAATACGATTCAGCCTTTAAAAAGGATGGAATTCTGGCACCTGCTACAACATGGATGAACCTTGAGGACGTTATAATAAGTGAAATAAGCCAGTCACAAAATGACAGATACTGTGTGATTCTACTTATAAGAGGTATCCAGAGTAGTCAAAATCATTCAAAAGAAAATAGAATGGTAGAATGGTAGAGGCTGAAGGGCAGAGGGAATGGCTAGTTGTTGTTTAATGGGTACAGAGTTTCAATTTCACAAAATGAAAATGGTGGAGATCAGTTGCACAATAATGTGGAAATATTTAACACTACTGAACTGTATGCTTAAGAAGATTAACATGGCACATTTTATATTATGTGTATTTTAGCACATTTAAAAATTAAAAAGTTAAACTACATTCAAAAGGGACATGTCTCAGTCCCCAGTAGATGCCTGAAGCCACAGACAGTACTGAACCTGATCACTATCCACTAGAACACATTTCTGTTCATGTCCTCTACCCACCAATGTAACACCTTTTCCATCTTAACTCAGCACTTATCATTTACTCTGGCCGTAACTTTTGTTGAGGTGTGACAGCCAATTTTCCTTTTTCACAGTTTCACAAATAAAAGATTTATTCTTACCATGGATCTTAGCAATCTCAAATTTTTTTTTTCATTTTCTTATTGAGAACTTTCATCTTTTCACGTAAAGGAAACACTTTACAGCATCTTGTTGGCATATCCAAATTGACAGCATCAGTACACTTGCACTTTGTGGTCATTATTAAGTAAAATAAGGATGACTTGAACACAGGCACTGTGATACCGAGGCAGTTGATCTGATAACCTAGACAACTATGAAGTGACAAGCAGGTGGGTCAGGTTGAGTAGACAGCATGAATACCCTGGGCAAAGGGATGATTCATGTCCCAGGCAGGGACAGCTTAAGATTTCATCACACGGCGGGATGTGGTGGCTCACGCCTGTAATCCCAGCACTTTGGGAGGCTGAGGCGGGCAGATCATGAGGTCAGGAGATCGAGACCATCCTGGCTAACACGGTGAAACCCCGTGTCTACTAAAAATACAAAAAAAATTAGCTGGGTGTGGTGGTGGGCGCCTGTAGTCCCAGCTACTTGGGAGGCTGAGGCAGGACAATGGCATGAACCCGGGAGGCAGAGGTTGCAGTGAGCCGAGATTGTGCCACCGCACTACAGACTGGGCCACAGAGCAAGACTCCGTCTCAAAAAAAAAAAAAAAATTTCATCACACTATGCAGAACAGTGTGCAATTTAAAACTTATGAATTGTTTCTTTCTGGAATTTTTTGTTTAACATTTTCAGACTACAGTTGACCCTAGGTAATTGAAACTGCACATAAAGGGGGACTGTTTTAGTAAAAAAAAAAAAAAAAAAACCATACAATTAGGTTCTTCTGAAGATATGCACTTCTGTTTTACAGAACAAATTTACTTTTGGTCACTTATGTGAGTGGGAGTGGGGAGACACTGATATTTAAATTGTTACACTCAGAATAGTGTTTACACACTAAGAAATTAGACACGTCAGTTGTGCCTCATTTTGTTGCAAGTAAATAAAATTAATTTTAGATGATTTAACCAAGAAGAAAGAGCTATTGAAAGGCTACTAGTTGTCTCAAAGTATGAGAAGGAAAAGCCAACTGGGCAAGACAGACTTAACTCAGCAGGCCTGCGGTGCTCAGATGCTGTGTTCCAAAGACGGGCCTGTCTTTAAGAATAGACCTTGGCTGGCTTCTGGGAGATAATCTGAGCCCTTGGAATATTCTGCCCCAGTAGTGTGGTTTTCTATGCCTGAGACCTTGAGCCACACTATATTTATAGTGAACATCAGTTTTTGTTTGTCCTGGGGCCTTGGCAATACTGTACCACCTTGATAGATCTTTTTATGCTAATAATGTGATTTGGGTTAACTTTTTTTTTGCTGGGGTTGAGGGTGTGGGAGAGAGCTGGAGCTGAGTAGCTGAGGTCAGTCACATGGATATTGCTTGTCTATGTCATAGACCCCCCAGTAAAACCCTGGACACTAAGACCTGGGGGAACTTCCCTGGTTGGGAACACTTCACATGGGTTGTCACATGTCATTGCTAGGAAATATAAGTACATCCTCATGTGACTCCACTGGGAAGGGAGAGGTCATTCACCTCTGAAAGACTGTGCATAGTTTCTCCTGGACTTCACTACATGTGTCTTTTTGCTTTGCTGATTATAATCTGTATCTTTTTGCTGTCATAAGCTGTAACCATGAGTTCAGCAGCACTTCTGAGTTCTGAGTCCTAGTGAATCATCAAGCCTGAAAGTGTTCTTGGGAGCCCCCAACACACTGACTAACCCAGTTGTGAGAAGGACAGTCAGAATGGCTCTTGGGACCTCAGCAGCATGACCTGATGACACTAGTCCCTAGGTCACTGCCATGGGACAATGTAATCCCAGACATCTTCTGGACCCAAGCAGAGAATATGATGGGCCCAGCTCAGGCCACTCACATACAGTATGAAATGAAAATTTAAGAAGTTCTCACATTTAAGTATTATATATGAAATAAAAAATGTTCATGCATAAAGTAATTATGACAAAATAGTCCTTCTATAGACTACATACAATATATAAATTCCAATATTTAGTAGGTATTTCTATGACTTAGATATTACTCAAATTTAGTGAGTGTTTCATAAGGATAAAAGGAGAAAGATAATAAAATAGGAAGAGAAGAAAAATGAATAAAATATTGTTAAACATCTAAGTGTGCTGAGTGCTATTCTGTGGACTCCTACCTGCTATCTTGTTTAATATTCACAGCCACTACCTATGGGAACACCATCCTCTCTTTAAAAGCAAGGAATCTGAATCTCAGAGACACTAAGTGACTCGGATTAGAGCCCAGGATTTTATACTTTGAGTCACCTTGTTAGACAGGAAGCTTAGTATAAAAATGATGGTATTAACATTAATTTTTCCTGAATAATACACAAACCCATAAATGTAATTCATATTTATTATCAATAGAAAAAGTACTGACTGATCAGCTGAAGTGCCTGCTACTGTACTAGAAACACTAACTTTATTAACTTCTAAAAGTGAATTTAAGAAAGACTAAAAACGTAATAATAGAAGCATCGTATGTACTAACATATCTAACATATACTGGCATGGACACAAGCCAGCTCAAGTCACATCTTTATTTTCCATTAAGTCAAGATCCAATAAATTATCTGCATCTCTAACTCTCCCTTTTGACCTTCAGCACTATGACCCAAGTCTTATCAAAGTCACCATATTGGTGGTATAAATATTTGTACATGTGACAGGAGAAATATTTTAGCTGAAAGATTTTCTATTAAAATATTGTTCCAAAAATTAAATGTGAGGTAGTCATCATAGTAAAGGTCCCCCTAACTGATTGTTTGGTATATATAAAGAATACCTTATACAAACTGGATGGCAAAACTTGTCCAGTAATTACTAATTTTTTTTATTCTGGTGTAATAAAGTCTCTTTATTGGCTTCACACAATATTTACATTCATTCATTCATTCATTCAGTCAGTCAGTCAGCCAGCAAGCCAGCAATAGATATGAAGTGCCTGCCACATGTTTGACAAAGTTTAGGAGAGGTCGCTTACCTGGATTTAAGAGTCATGTATAAGCAGAAAAAAATTTGTAAAGAACAAAGGACTCAGGATTGAGTGGTGAATGGCCATGGTTAGGAAGAAGAGAGGAGAAAGAAAGAGAAAGGGCTGTGAACTAGGCAGTCTGGTCACAGAGTTTTGGGTAGGAACAGATCAGGGAGAGAATGGTATTGGCAATGTCCCATGCAGAGGGGCCAGTAGGCTGCTGAGCTGTTCAGCTGTCGCTGCTGATCGGAAGGCCAATTCCAGGAGCCTTGTGGAGGGAACAGCTGGAGGGAAAAGGAAAGCACCTGCAGCATGAGTAGCAACAGAGGAGGGAAAGAAGAGAGGCAGAAGTGAGGTGAGAGGACGTGTTCCTCAAAGTGGCAGACACCTGTGTATTTTTAAAATCGAAACAGATGAAGATGTGCATTTTATCATTTTTGGGTGCAAAATTTCTTGAAATCTTTATTATTTTATGAGAATTCCCTGCTTTCCTTACTTTTTGCATATTTATAACAATGCATGAAAAATTTTATTTGCATTTGCTCACTGAATGTATCAAACATTTATGAACTTGTTCCTCATTGTTTTGCTTGATTTAAATAATTTGGGTACAAGTGGTTACTTTGAATGATAAATAGACTGCATTTTTAATGACCGTATATGGCTAATAACAATAATTTTGATTCTTATTGCACCAAATAGTTTTCTTTGTAATGGCTTCTTTTATTCTGATGAATTTTATTTATATGCTTAGAATATAAAGTCACTATTACATTTTTGCTATGTAAGTAAGAAGCAGCGTGAATGGTGGAATTTGAAAGAGAATGATCAAAAATGAAAACTCTGTTATTTTTGAACATGTATTTCACAGCATGAGAACAAAATGTATTCAGCTATTCATTTTATAATGAGAGAAAAATACATTTTAACTTAGAATTGTACTATTCAGACATTATAATTCATGCAGTTGTAAGAGAAATATAAATGCTCTACATCAGTTGGTAGAGAAAAAAAGTTACATTCCAACCAAACATTTGGAGTTAAATCTCTTACATAGAACACATTATTTTTTAAAGAAAGAAAGAACATTGAAAGTCAGGAATTGAGCATTAGGCCTTTAACAAGATTCAGTAAGAATCAGAAAGCTATAAAGTTTGAATTCAGATGCTAAATGGAAAACAAATTCTGATTCTGTGATAAATCAGTGAACACCTCCCCTCTATTGACCATCAACATTGGCATAATGGCTTCTTTACTTTCTCCTGAGCCAAGATAGACCCTAATTCAATGTTTGATGAATTCCCATATATTGAGTATTTTAATAACCTTCATAAAAAAATAAAAGATGCTCCATGAATTAAAGGTGGTCTTTGGCTTATTTTTCCAGCAGCGATGATAGATTTGCACTGATCGGTCTGTACTTTTGTGCTTATGATCTTTTGGGTTCAATGCCACACTGAAAGAAGGTTCGCTAGATTCACCAGGCTGTAGAACACAACATAACAGCTAACTAACCCACAGGAAGATTGAACCTGCAACCTTAGCTCTGCTGACAGTGCTCCTCTAGCAGGTCACTGAGCTAATGAGGTTGCTGTGGTGAGAATGTCCTATAGAAGGGCTGCACCTTGTTAAGCCCCAGTAATGTGTCTTGCACAAAGTTAAGCTGAGGTTGGTCCATGCAGCTCTTGCTCTGCTTTTACGTCCTGCTATAATCTCTCTCTTATCTTTTAGGTTGATAGTATCCTCTTTTCCTTCCCTTATCCCACACCATCCTGCCCTTGTCAAAAATCACTTTCTAGAAAGAAGCTGGTACATACATTAAGGCTCAAGCATTAAATCTTCTGAGGTTTTTGAATATCGAGTTTTATCTCCACTGGATTGTTTTTCTTCTCACAGTTATCGAAAGGCAATTGGCAACTCAATCCAAAATAAAGAATTAAAGTATATAGAAGCCTCTCCTACAAATTTCACCACCATAAGTAACAAAGGTGAGAGAGAGAAAGAGAGAAACAGAGAGGGAAGAGATATTTTCTGCACTTATTCCTCTTTGCTTTTACAGCGGAAACCTCCAATGGTGGTGGACGATCTTTTTGAAGACATGAAAGATGGTGTTAAACTGCTTGCCCTTCTGGAGGTCCTGTCTGGGCAGAAACTGGTAAGAATTTTTTTGTGTGATCATACTTGTCAAATTGTTTCCATTTGGAATTTGGGGACTATGGAGTTGAGAGTGCTAAGATGTGCTGCCCAGGTAAAAGAAAGTTATTTGTCGTGGTTGGTAGTATACTGGAAACACTGCTGGCACTTCTACTTCTAGGTGCAAGGAATATATTTCCCTTCTTGTTCCTGCAAACCCCTAGTGCATTTAAAATGTTATGTTTATAATAACAACCTTACAATTAAGAGTAAAGAACTTCATCAGTAACTTAACATGATTAACCATTGTATCTATACGGTATACAAGAAGATTAGTTGCAAATTACCATCTTCCTCACTTTAAGTGTTTGTCTTCCATTTAGAAAGAAATGTTGGTCCATATCTGTGTATTTATATAGTTGTTTATTGAAAATTAAGCAGGAAACCAGTGTGGCATTTTTCATATTCTTGTTGACATCATCCATCATCCATCATTTGTAGCAAGAACAGCCTGTTCAGAGTTGTTTTTATGTGCTGTGGAGCCAGCAGAGTGAAAAACAACATTAACAGTGAGCTAGAAAGTACATTTTCTACATTGTCAAATAATAAATTATCTCTTCTTGCTTATCTCTTTTTCATTTCAGAGTAGTAGAGCATTAAGTAGTTTGTAAACATAAATTATTTATAAATAATGTTTACCATAATTTGGAAAAAGGAATTCAGGAAATAATTTTCAAGATGTTGGATAACACACTAGACACAGAGTCCAAAATTGAAAGTCCATTTTTTCTTTATCACTTGTATCTTGGCAATAATGACACAATCATTATTACTTGGATAACTGAGTTTTTAAAAGAGGATTTTTACCTCTTCAAAATTAATTTCCATTCATTTTGTACAGGGAGCCCTCAAATAGCTTTTGTAAGAGTTGTTTGTTGAAAAACATAAACTGGTAATAATTTTGCATCAGTCGTTTAAGTAATTGGATTCCCAGGTAGCAGATGCTTCTGGCACCCCATGTCTCATCTCAGCTACATCAGTGGTAGACATTCCCATATACTCTGACAGCTTCTTTCTTCAAGCACTCGTAGTATCTGTCTGGCTTTCTGCCTCAGGGCTTTTCTTAAAGGCACAAGTTGCACAGAGCAGCTTTGAAGTGTTGGGGAGTTAGTAGTACCAAGGGACCCTCAACCAATGGATATGGGAGTCTATGAATAAATGCTCCACCCTAAAATTACAGGGTAATTCTGAGACAGGTGATTCTGAGGCATATTTTACACATGTCTTATAGAGTTCCCATAGAGTCATCAGTGGGACTGAGTTCCAGTTGCCAATAGCAGTAACCCTCAATAGCACATCCTTTGTTAGCTTTTCCTCCTTCCCCATCTCGCTCTCCACACATCCTCATTCTTGCCACCTGGGATCACCTCCCTAGTAAGCTACATGCACCCAAGTGCTTGTCTCAAGCTCTGCTTTGGAAGGAATCAAGCTAGACATATATGAACAGGCAATTTGGAATGTATATAGGCATATGCATTAGCTAAAGATACTAGATAAGCATTAGGTTGTGGGAGTCATTAGATTGAAATACATACTCCCTTGATTACCTGATATAACTGGCCATTTAGATATATCCTCCTGAATTAAGCTATTTTCTTGAAGGTTAAAGGAATCTTTATGTGAATATTCATGTAGGTATTCAAGAAGTTTATGTGTCATTCTAAGTGTTTATTGACATATGCAAGTCAATAAATGTGATACATCATACAAACAGAATTAAAAACAAAATCTATATGGGCATCTCAATAAGTGTAGAAAAAGCATTTGATAAAATCTAGCATCTTTTAATGATAAAAAGCCCAACAAACTAGTCATAGAAGGGACATACCTCAAAATAATAAAAGCCATATATGACAAATCCACAGCTAACATCATACTGAATGGGGAAAAGTTGAAAACATTCCCCTTGAGAACTGGAACAAGACAAGGATGCTCACTTTTGCCACTTCTTTTAAACATATTACTGGAAGTCCTAGCCAGAACAATCAGGCAAGGAAATGAAATAAGGGGCATCCAAATTGGAAAAGAGTAAGTCAAACTATCATTGTTTGCTGATGATGTGATTGGATACCTAGAAAACCCTAAAGACTCCTCTAAAATTCTTAGATTTGATAAACAAATTCAATAAAGTCTCAGGTTACAAAATCAATGTGCACAAGTCAGTAGCACTTTTATATAGCAACAGCCACCAAGCCGAGAATAATATCAGTATCAGTAATTCAATTCCTTTTACAATAGCTGCAAAAAATATCTAGGAACATATTTAATCAAGGAGTTGAAAGATCTCGCAAGGAGAACTACAAAACACTGCTGAAAGAAATAATAGATGACACAAACAAATGGAAACACATCTCATACTCATAGATTGGAAGAATCAATGTTGTGAAAATGACCATACTGCCCAAAGAAATCTATAGATTCAATGCAATTCCTATCAAAATACCAACATAATTTTTCACAGAATTAGAAAAAACAATTCTAAAATTCACGTGGAAGCAAAAAAGACCCCAAATAGGTAAAGCAATCCTAAGCAGAAAGAACAATTTGAGGCATCACATTATCTGACTTTGAATTATACTACAAGGCTATAGTTACCAACACAGCATGATACTGGTATAAAAGTAGATACATAGACCAATGGAACAGAATAGAGAACTCAGAAATAAAGCCAAATACTTACAATCAAATGATCTTTGACAAAGCATTCAAAAATGTAGATTGAAGAAATGACATCCTATTTAATAAATGGTGCTGGGAAAACTGGATAGTCACATGTAAAAGAATGAAACTGGACCCCTATCCCTCGCCTTATACAAAAATCAACTCAGGATGGCTCAAATACTTAAATCTAAGACCTGAAACCCCATACAAATTCTAGAAAAAAAAACTAGAAGAAAATCTCTAGACATTGGCCTAGGCAAATAATTTTTTACTAAGACCCTAAGAGCAAATGCAACTAAAATAGAAATAGATAAATGGACCTAATTAAACTAAAAAGTTTCTGCAAGCAAAAGAAATTATCATCAGAGTAAACAGACAACCCATAGAATGGGAGAAAATATTTGCAAACTATGCATCTGACAAAGGACTAATGTTCAGAATCTACAAGGAACTCAAACAAATCAGCAAGAAAAAAGACAAACAATACCATCAAAACGTGGGCAAATGACATGAATAGATATTTCTCAAAACAAGATACAAATAAGTAATACACATGAAAAAATGTACAACATAACTAGTCATCAGGGAAATGCAAATTAAAACCACAATGAGATACCACCTTACCCCTGCAAGAATCGCCATTATTAAAAAGTCAAAAAACAATAGATGTTGGCATGGAAGTGTTGTAAAGGGAACGCTTATACACTGCTGGTGGGAATGTAAATTAATACAACCTTTATGGAAAAACGGTATGATTTCTTAAAGAACTAAAAGTAGATCTACCATTTGATACAGCAATCCCACTACTGGGTGTCTACCCAAAGGAAAAGAAGTCATTATTTCAAAGACACCTCACACGGATATTTATAGCAGCACAATTCACAATTGCAAAGATATGGACCCAACCTAAGTGGCCACTGACCAGTGAGTGGATAAAGAAAACGTGATATATATACAACCATGGAATACTACTCAGTCATAAAAAAAGAATGAAATAATGTCTTTTGCAGCAATTTGGATGGAGCTGGAGGCCATTATTCTAAGCGAAGTAATTCAGGATTGAAAACTAAATACTATATATTCTCACTTGTAAGTGAGAGCTAAGCTATGGGTACACGAAGGCATATAGAATGGTATAATGGACTTTGGAGACTCAGAAGGATGAGGGTAAGAGAGGGGTGAGGGATCAAAAACTAAATGTTGAGTGACAGGTGCACTACAATCTGAGACTTCACCACTATATTATTCCTTCATGTAACGAAAAACCAATTGTACCCTAAAAGTTATTGAAGTTAAAAAAAATGGAACAGGAAATTAAGTTCATTCTAGCAGAAAAAGGTAAAATTGAATTCTTATCTCATGGCCTATACAAAAATTAAATCTACATGAATTAAGGACCTACTGACAGTAACACTCTAAACTCTTAGAAAACATGGGTGAATATGTTTTAGACACAGGGATAGGAAAACAATTATTCAATAAGACACAAAAATATTGACAATAAAAGATTGCTATATTTAATATATTAAAATTAAGACTATCTTAAAAATTAAAAACCTTTAAAACAACTGGCAGAAGTTACAAACTTGTTGAAGATATTCACAATTCATGTTGTAAAAGGATTAAATCAGGAATATATAAAATACATCTTCAAAACAATATGGGTGCAAACAACCCAAAGGAAAACCTGGGCAACAGATGTGAAAAGGCATTTTGCAGAAGAAACTCACATCACCAATGAACAGAGGAGGAGAAGTCCCCATTGCTGCTGATCAGGGAAATGTAAATGGAGACTGCAATGAAAAAGAGTACATATACATTTTACATATATTCAATTGAAAAAAGTATGTTTAAGGTATCTGTCAAAATCAAATGTTGGAGAGGATACAGATTAGCAGGATTATTTTTGCAATGCTGATCAGAATAAAAAGTAGTACAACCATTTTAGGAGAGTTTGATATTACTTTACAAATGGAAGTCACATTCCCTTCGACTCAGCAATTCTACTCTCAGGTACATGTCCAAGAGAAACTGTGCTTGTACAAAAGGTGAGAAGTACAAGAATAATCATCAACATATCAAAATATCAATAACCTGGAAATAGCACATTCATATCAGAAGAAGAGTATAGAAATAGCACATTATGTAGCTTTTGAAATGAATGAAATACAGTGAAAGGCAATGATATGATGAATCTTAGCAATATAATGTGGAAAAGTAGGTCTCAAATGATTAATACAGTGATGCTCTTCATATAAAATTAAAAACTAAGCATTCTTTTTAAGAAAGCGTGTGAAAGAAATGAATCTCTATAAAATGGCAAACACTAGACTGGAGTTAGTATGACGGGTGCCCTCAATGTAGTCAGATAGGAGGATGGGATTAATGGTGGTCATATTTTGGGATATGGCTTTCATACTTAGTTGTGGGTCCTGACTTTGTTTTAGGTTGCAGGTTCTGGGTGTGTTTTACATTTTTAAAAATAATTAACTAATAAGCTAAATAAATGGGCTGTGCACAGACCAATGATGAGACTGTGTCGTGTCTAACAGAGGTCTCAGTAAATAATTTCTGCTCTTAGACATACAGAAGACTAAAAGGCAAATGCATTAACAGATAATCTGAGAATGAATGCACTTATTGAGTGAATTAGTATATCTTCAGAGTGCCATGGGGAACACCCCTTTATGTATTTGCTAACCTTTATAGAAAGTGAACAATGTTGGTTGCTTTTGAATATTCTTCAAGTATATTTTTAATCCATTTAAATAGATCTTATAACTAACATTTTAATATGCAGATTTTGTCTCATTCCCTTTTTTACCCCACTTTTTACAGCCTTGTGAACAAGGACGCCGGATGAAGCGAATCCATGCTGTGGCTAACATTGGCACGGCACTCAAGTTCCTCGAAGGAAGAAAGGTAAGAGAGAAACAAAAACAAAATGCCCAAGGAAGAAGGTGTGGGCATACTTATGTTTTCAGTATTGGCTCCTATCTGTAGTCAGATAGGAGGATGGCATGTAATCTATACAGCCTAGACATACAATATCATTGTATTATAAAATACTCTTAGATTTATGGAGAAGTTGCAAAAAAGAAATTTTATTTCTACAGTTCATTTCAGTGTCTAGTGTTAAGAGCTTACATAACCATAATACAATTATCAAAGTAAGGACATTAAAATTGGGATGATACTATTAACTAAAACATAGACATTAGTCCAAGTTCATCAATGTTCCCTCTATTGTCTGTGTCTGTTCCAGGACCCACTCTAGTATCACATCTTACATTTAGTTGTGTCTTCCATTCTATGACAGGTCTTCATTCTTTCCTTGTCTTTCATGACCTTGACACTTTTGATAACTGCTGGTCAGTTATTTTGCATAATGTCTCTCAATTTCAGTTTGTATGATATTTTCTCGTGATTAGGTTGAGTTTAGACATTTTTGGAAAAAGTCCCAAGAAAGTGATGTCATATTCTTCCCAGTGCACCATATTAGTAAATGTAGGGTGCTGATATGTCTTATTACTGGTTACATTAACTTTGAATACTTGGTAATGTGGTGTCTGCCATGCTTTCCTATGGTAGAGTCACTGTTTTTCCCTTTATAGTTGGGAAATAACTTAGGAGAGATAATTGAGACTATGCTAAGTTTCTGCTTTTCCTCAAACTTTTGCTCACTGATTTTAGTATCCATTGCCTTCAATAATTATTTCTGTGCTACTTGCCTAATGATTTTCTGTTTTCCTCATTCCTTCTATATTTATTAATTGGAATTGTTCTGTAAGAAAAAGATGTCCTCCCCCACAATTTACTTATTTATTCAATTATTTATTCCAGTAGGGACACATGTATATTTATTTTGTTACGTAGTTAAAATTCATCATTATACTCATTGTTATTATTTTGTCACTCAAATTGTTCTAGCTTTGACCGCTAAGAGCTCCTTCAGGCTTGCACCTGTACCTTTTTAATATTGGCTCATAATTTTTCAAGCAGATTTTTATTTGCTAGAACTACAGATATTCCAGGTTTTTCTTAAATTTTCCCTCCCCAGTCCTGGAATCAACCACTTCTCTAAAGAGGCTTCGTTCCTTTTAGTGATGAGTGGCATTTAGAAACCAAGATCTAAATGCTAAGTATTTCATTGCTACTGGGGCATCATTTCTCCTAGGCCCTCTCAGCAAATAGATTAGAAAATGTATATGTTTATTTATTTATTTTCTTTTTTTAAATTATTATTATACTTTAAGTTTTAGGGTACATGTGCACAACGTGCAGGTTTGTTACATATGTATACATGTGCCATGTTGGTGTGCTGCACCCATTAGCTTGTCATTTAGCATTAGGTATATCTCCTAATGCTATCCCTCCCCCCTCCCCCCACCCTACAACAGTCCCGGGTGGGTGATGTTCCCCTTCCTATGTCCATGTGCTCTCATTGTTCAATTGTATATGTTTATTAACTCATATATATACATATATCTGTGCTTCTCTCTCTCTCCTCTCTCTCTCTCTATCTCTGTATGTGTGTACATGTATATACACATATACATATGTAGCTTCTCGCACGTGTGGGTAAAACATTAGTTCAGACTAATACCTCTGATTCAAGTTAAACACTGCAAGTTTTACTCTGGCCTTATGTCCTTGTTTCTGCTTTCTCTGATAATGAGAAGGCTTACTCTCATCTACAATATATTTACTTATTTTTTCAACCCTAGTGTGTTAGTCCATTCTCACATGCTATAAAGAAATACCCAAGACTGAGTAATTTATAAAGAAATGAGGTTTAATTGGCTCATGGTTCTGCAGGCTGCTCAGGAAGCATAGCTCTGGCATCAGTTTCCGGAGAGGCCTCAGGAAGCTTACAATCATGGCGGAAGGAGAAGGGGAGCAGGGACGTCACATGGCCAGAGCAGGAGCAAGAGAGCAAGGGGCGAGGTGCTGCACACTTTTAAACAACCACGTCTTACGAGAACTCACTCACTATTGTGTGGAGGGTACCCAAGAGGGATGGTGCTAAACTATTGATAAGAACTCGCCCTCCTGTTCAATCGCTTCCCACCAGGGTTCACTTTCAACATTGGGGATCACATTTCAATATGAAATTTGAATGGGGACATGTATACAAACTATATCACCTAGTATACACATCTAGTATGTCACTAACCCATGCCCCTGTGAGAAACAGATTTACAAACTAGAGAACAGGATTTGTGTGTAGTTCTTTTTGTCTTTAGCATTACAGTATCCAGTCAAAAAACTATTTTTGAAATGTTCTTAGGTTAGTTCTATTCTTCCCCATCCCCGTCAGTGGGATTATGTCATTATCTGTTATAGAGATAGGTTCATTTGTTGTTGTTTGTGTTCTATTTTGTGCCCCACCCCCATCCTGGTCGATTTTATTTGTTTTAAAGAGTGGGACATTGTTATGGTTCTAAAATAATAAACGTTTTATTTAAAGAAGTCAAACTCCTTTCTCATCCCTACTACTCCATTCTCATTCCCTGCCTCTAACTGCATTTCCTACCTTTAGATAACCAGTCTCTCTAGTTTCTGACATACATTTTGCATTTTTTCCACAAATAAGATGTGTTTTCATATATCCCCGTCTTTCTTACATGAAGGATAGCATACCATAAATGCATTTTGCTTTTTTCACTTATCAATATGTCCTGGAAATCATCCCACATCAGTTCATAGTGATTTCTCTACTCATTTTTACAGTTACACAGTGTCCCATTGCCTAGATATGCCATAGTTTATTCAACCACTCTCTTATGAATGGGAATTGGGTTGTTTCTAGTATTTTTAAAACACAAACAATGATGCAGTTAATAACTATGTGCATAAGTGCTTCCATATAATTGGAGGTGTATCTCCTAGGTAAATTTCTAGAAGTGTGCTTGCTAAGTCAAAAGGTAAATGCACATGTAATTCTGGTAGATATTACCATATTTCCCTCCAAAAGGGTTGCACCAATCCTCTTACATTTAGCCTTTTCTAATTTGTGGGAATTGAGGAAGCCTGTGCTTAGTAATACCAAAACTAGTTTTATAAATGGAGATCCAGATACTCCTAGAAAATAGACCCATTCAGTTATTTCCTTCTCAGTTTATATGCACTGAATTAATTAGATTACAAATGCATAATTGATGACTTTCTATAAGACAGGAACTCTAGAAAATACAAATTTACAGAAAACTTAGATTCTAGCCCTTAAATAATCTACATTGTTGATAAGTTGGTAATGCAATGAATCAGTATACATTTCAGTCAATTGTGCAAATTTCATGCCCAAGAGAGATTCCAGGCATTAGGATAGTGTGCAAAACAATTTTAGCTTCTTATGCAATATCAGGCAGTGTTTCCAGATCACACTAATCTCTTTCTTATTGAAGGGTTTCTCTTCTTTCTGCTCACCCTTCATTAATTTTTCATTGAAAGCTGAATGAAGCCTTGTTAAACAGGATATTTAGAGTTTTTCAGGACCAGATGCAGTGGCTCACACCTCTAATCCCAGCACTTTGGGAGGGAAGGGTAGGTGAATGGCTTGAGCCCTGGAGTTTGAGATCAGCCTGGGCAACATGGTGAGACCTTGTCTCTAAACAAACAAACAAACAAACAAATTAGCCAGATGTGGTGGCATGCGCCTATGGTCCCAGCTACTCGAGAGGCTGAGGTGGGAGGATCTCTTGAGCCTGGGAGGTTGAGGCTACGGTGAGCTGTGATCACACTCCAGCCTGAGCGACAGAGCAAGACTCTTTCTCTTAAAAAAAATAAAAATAAAAAATAAAGATAGAGTTTTTCAGGTCATTCATTCTCCCATTTCAGCTGTATGACAACAGTGTCCTACTTCATTCTGAGTTATATTGATTGGCTGGAATACAAAAACAAAATTCCTCTTATTAACTTGGAAGCCTTGGCGAAAACTTTAACAACTTCACCTATGAAAGGCATTGTTTATAAAGAAGACTTGTTTTCACAATGTCCATTTTCACGGAACAACCCAAAGTAAAAAAAATAAAGTTTAAATATATTTGCTAAGCACCAAAAGTAGTGTCTTGAGAATCAGAACAAAATGAAAGAATTTCTCTTTTTTCCCCACAAGTCTCTTAATCTTTTTAAAGTCACCTCCTCCCCACATCTCCCTGAAACATTCTTGTCGGCCACACTCTCTTGCACTTCTGTATCCTATGGCCTCACAAAATGTTTGCCTGTGGGAAGTAATGAGTTTTGGAGGGTTCTTTAGTGCCCTCCCACTTATTATCTTAGCATTGATCTTTACAAGTTAAAACTTATGTCTCAATCATATTTTTAGAAATTTGTCTTTGATCTTTGTACTGACTTTGTCTTCCATTTGGATTTTTTTTCTTTTGATAACAGGACATTTATTTAATCCTTTTATTCTTATTTAGTTTGACTTAGGGAATAATGAAGGTATTCCTCATTTTACTGGGGAAACCCTAACAGTGTCCTTAGCTTTTCTCTTATTTGCAGGGCTATTGAAAAAACTTATGTAAGAATCTGATGAGAAATGTGTAAATGTGACTGTGGTGAACAGATTCATCACCATTTGCCACAAGTTTCTTTCTCCAATGAGGTGTCAGGCAGATCATTCAGCACAGTAATACAGAGAGCCAACCACTGACCATCATAGTGCAGACAGGGGACATAAATTCAGATTCCTGTGAGGTCCAGAAAGGTGATGTAAAGGAATGAGGTGAGTTCCAGGCTAACTGTGGTAACAGGAGAACTGAGTGGTCCTGCGTCCTGTCTGGAAGAGGGGAGCAAATAGTTCCAACTAAAGTAACCTCAGTGAACTGCAAGAACTGTGATCCCTGGTTTTCTAATTTACAAAGAAGAGCCAGTTGTCTGGACTTTTATTAAAATGTAATTAATGTTTAAAATTCCTTTAAATTGTGTATTAAATAAGGCAGGCAGTTGACTACTTGCATTATTGTTGAGAATGAGGTACCTGATACCTCATTGTAGAAAGCAACTAGTGGAAAGCAGTAATGGATTTATTCATTAAGTTTTCAAATTTATGAAGAAAAGCTAGTAACATGGATGTTTACTGAGAGTTTTTTGAAATTTATTTCCAAATAATTCAAATTTTTTACTTTTTTTCTTTTCTTTTCTTTTTTTTTTTTGAGACAGACTCTTGCTTTGTCACCCAGGCTGGAGTGCAGAGGCACAAACTAGGCTCACTGCAACCTCCACCTCTCAGGTTCAAGAGATTCTCCTGCCTCAGCCTCCCGAGTAGCTGGGACTACAGGCATGCGCCACCAAGCCTAGCTAATTTTTGTATTTTTAGTAGTGACAGAGTTTCACCACATTGGCCAGGCTGGTCTCGAACTCCCGACCTCAAGCTATCTGCCCGCCTTGGCCTCCCAAAATGCTGGGATTACAGGTGTGAGCCACCACGCCTGGTCTCAAATATTTTTTTAAACATCTGTGAGCTGTGCATTAGTCCGCTTTGGCTGCCATAGCAGAGTATCACAGACTGGGTGGCTTAAACTACAGAAATTTATTTTGTCAGCGTTTTGGAGGCAAGAAGTCCAGGATTAAGGTGCCTCAGGGTTGTTTTCTGGGGAAGCTTCTCTTCCTGGCTTGTAGACAGTTCCCTTCTCTTTGCGTCCTTGCATGACATTTTCTTTGTGTGAGTGTAGAGAGGAAGATCAATCTTTGGCGTCTCTTCATTTTTTTTTTTTTTGGTATTCATTGTTTTTTTTTATTATTTTTTTAAATTATACTTTAAGTTCTGGGATACATGTGCAGAACGTGCAGGTTTGCTACATAGGTATACACATGCCATGGTGGTTTGCTGCACCCACCAACCCATCATCTACATTAGGTATTTCCTAATGCTATCCCTCCCCTAGTCCCCTACCCCGTGACAGGCACTGGTGTGTGATGTTCCCCTCCCTGTGTCCATATGTTCTCATTGTTCAACTCCCACTTATGAGTGAGAACATGCAGAGCTTGGTTTTCTGTTCTTGTGTTATTTTGCTGAGAATGATGGTTTCCAGCTTCATCCATGTCCCTGCAAAGAACATGAACTCATCCTTTTTTATGGCTGCATAGTATTCCATGGTGTATTTGTGCCACATTTTCCTTATCCAGTCTATCACTGTTGGGCATTTGGATTGGTTCCAAGTCTTTGCTATTGTGAATAGTGCTGCAGTAAACATACATGTGCATGTGCCCTTATAGTAGAATGATTTATAATCCTTTGGGTATATACCCAGTAATGGGGTTGCTGGGTCAAATGGTATTTCTGGTTCTAGATCTTTGAGGAATCACCACACTGTCTTCCACAATGGTTGAACTAATTTACACTCCCACCAACAGTGTAAATGCGTTCCTACTTCTCCACATCCTCTCCAGCATCAGTTGTTTCCTGACTTTTTAATAATCGCCATTCTAACTGGTGTGACATGGTATCTCGTTGTGGTTTTTATTTGCATTTCTCTAATGACCAGTGATGATGAGCTTTTTTTCATGTTTGTTGGCCTCATAAATGTCTTCTTTTGAGAAGTGTCTGCTCATATCCTTTGCCCACTTTTTGATGGAGTTGTTTGTTTTTTTCTTGTAAATTTGTTTAAGTTCCTTGTAGATTCTGGATATTAGCCCTCTGTCAGATGGATAGATTGCAAAAATTTTCTCCCATTCTGTAGGTTGCCTGTTCACTCTGATGATAGTTTTTCTTCATCTTTTTTAAGAACACTAATCTCACTGGGCCCAGCGTGGTGGCTCACTCCTGTAATACCAGCACTTTGGGAGGCCAAGGTGGCCAGATTGCTTGATGTCAGGAGTTCGAGACCAGCCTGGCCAACATGGCAAAACTTCATCTCTACTAAAAATGCAAAAATTAGCCGGGTGTGGTGGCGCATGCCTGTAATCCCAGTTGAGGCAGGAGAATCGCTTGAACCTGGGAGGTGGAGGTTGCAGTGAGCCAAGATCGTGCCACTGCATTCCCTCCTAGGCAACAGAGTGAGACTAATCTAAAAAAGAAAAATCTGATTAGATTAGGGCCCCATGCTTATGAACTCATTTAACTTCAATTATCTCTTTAAAGACTCATTCTCCAAATACAATCACATTGGGAGTTACATTTCAAAATATGAATTTTGGAGGGACACAAATAATAATTCATTCCATTCAAGCCTCTGTCTTATAACTCAGACTTCTCCAGATTACATGGGCCAGGTACAATGGTCTAGTCCAGGATTCTCAAGCACTAATGTGCATCAGAATCACCTGAAGGTTTTAAGACACTTTCCAGAGGCTCACTTCCTTAGTTTCTGGTTTAATGGGTCCAAGGTGAAGTCTCAGATTCTATATCTCTAACAAGTTTCCAGGTGACGTGCTTGCTGCGACTCTGGGAATCACCCTTTGAGAACATCTGGCTCAACATCCTTCTGCTCTGGTTTTATCTGTCAATATGGTCCCATCTTCCTTCTGGCTTCTGGAAATTCTTCATTCTCTTTGGATGTGTCTCTATTGCCCATCCTACCCTCCTAGGCTACTAAGAATGTATTGTAAGTTCAATAGGATTTTGCAAGAGATGGGAGGTTAAATAAACAGACAAACCAACCTGTGCTCCCTAAACTCATTGTGAAACACATTTTGGGGCAGATAATCATGAAAAACATTTTTCTTCACAAGTTAGGCAAAAGATCCTTTAGCTTCTGTAATAAATTGAATATGTTAACAATGTACAATTTCAAGTACAATTGGAACTGGGTCGAGGTAGGATAATCAAATTATATTCAATAGCACTTTTTAAAAAATGATGCACAAGGAAAAGGAAGAAATTTTCCCCTGTGAAATTCATTAATCTTATGGATATTAGCATATATTATAAATTTTTTGTGTATGTATGCTAAAATGGATGTGGAGAAAATTCTAGAGAAGTTGTAAAATGAAGCTCTCAAAATGATCCTAGAGATCATAGTAGATTCTTTCATAAAAAGTTAAAAAAATTGATGTTCTTTATTTTCCATAAAGATATCTTAAACGTCTTATACTGATTGATTCAAAGGAAGTAGATATACAAGTTTGTAATCTATACCAGTTCTCAATTTTTATTTTTTGTCATTGAACCTGATGAATGAACTTCACCAGTGAGACAAAAATCCCATAGGTATATCTCAAATCATTTACAATGATTTTTGTGCTAGCTTTTACTCCACCTCTGTGATGTAAAACTAGTAAATTTAAACTTTCAAGAGTAAAGTATTTGTGAAATGATTTTGCATCTGACACAAATTTAAATAAAAAAAATGTACAAACATCTGAGCTTTTTATTAATAACACACTTCATGAAATCTTGGCTGAGAATTATTGAGCTAGAGGTCTGAAGGGTACTTTATTATTATTTGTTTTCATTTGTTAGGAATTATTAAAAGGATGTTTTTGATGGTAGGCTATAGAAATTGAATGAGATAGACTTAACCATGTAAGTCCATTTTGTTGGGACTTAGCAAACAACTTTGTAGTGGATGAAAAACATTAGCATGAATAATTTGGGTCAATTGTACATAGATTGACGTCTCTCCTTAATGCTTTATATGTCATCACCCAAAAGTAGGGAACTGAATGCTAATAGGCTCTGTTTTGCTATTTCTTGCCTTTCCTTTGTTTTTCTTTAAAACGTATTACCACAGTCAGGTTCTAAACTGACTACCTACCTCTTTATTCCCTTTGAACAAATAATGCTGATTTTGAAAGATGATTTATGTATATCTATTATCTTCTCCCTTTGTTTTTCATGTCAGTCCATGCACAGAGGATCACCGGTTAGTACAAATTTTAGAATTCTTAACTCCTGATTTTTATAGGTAAAAGGGAACATAAGTTACCTGCTATTTGGTAACAAACTTCAAAGTAAGTGCATCTTCTTAAACTTCTCATTGCAGTTTCTTTTAAGCTCCAGTCAACCTCTAAATATAAATAATAACATTTTTTTTCTGTTTGACATTTTTGTTGGTAATTGCCTGCATGTTATATTTTTTCAACTTTAAACAAAAGAAGTTTCTGAAATCCATTTTATAGTTTTTACTTTGTACACCTAACAAATCCCCCTGAAATTTTCACTGAAACCTTGTGCTTGTTTGTTTCGGTGCCTCACTCTACTTACTCCCATGTACTATTACATAGGCATGATCAAATCTTATTGATGTCTACTAAAGGCCTAATTGTTACATAATTAAATGAGTTATAATATTCTAGTACATTACTAGTACAGTTTCTCTTTTTTAAACAGATTAAATTAGTCAACATTAACTCCACCGATATAGCTGATGGCCGACCCTCAATAGTTCTTGGATTGATGTGGACCATTATTCTATATTTCCAGGTATTGTGCTACAGTTCCTCTTTCAGTTGATGCAATGTCTCAGAGGGAGATCATGGTGGCCATTTTAATAATGCTCTCATTTGCCATATCTTTGGGGTTGATCCTTAACTTAGCAGAAATGTACCTTTCACACATACGTTGTTTCTTTGGTAGGAGAATTTCCTCTTCTCCCTTGCAAAGCTGTTGCATGTGGAACCTCACACCCCGAAGAACTCCAGCAGAGGTGCCCAATCTGAAAAGCGAGCACCTCAAGATGGAGATGAAATATTGTTGCAGAAGGAGCTCAGGAAAATTTTCTTTTTTCTTTGGAAAGGAGCACTTCTAAACTCCTTTTAGACATGAAGGGGAGGAATGAACTTGCCATTCTATTCAGAATAATTGTTCTAACCATTAGGTTTTAGTTGATTAATTCATTCATGTATTCTACAAATATGGATTATTGTATGTAAGATACACTAGGGGTGCAATGGGAAGTACAAAGAGGAGTAAGATATCAATCATGCCCTTTAAGAGCTTGCATTTTGTCAGGAATGTCAAGAGTGTTAACATAACTCATTTGTTGCTGGAAAAGTAAAACATCTGAGGAAATAATAACAAAGATAATGCTTATATTTTTGCTGGCTGTTAACTCACAAACAGATTGAAGAGTTGACCAGCAACCTGCCCCAGCTCCAGTCTTTGTCCAGCAGCGCATCCTCCGTGGACAGCATAGTTAGCTCTGAGACTCCCAGCCCACCAAGTAAACGGAAGGTGACCACCAAGATCCAAGGAAATGCTAAGAAGGCTTTATTAAAGTGGGTTCAGTACACAGCTGGCAAGTAAGTATCAAGAGTTTGTCTAAATTTGAAACCGTTAAATTGAGTTATGAATGTTACTAATTGCAACTTCTAATGATTGCGAAATGTGAAGAGACATTTGAATGAATGGCTTTGCTTTAGCGCTTATTTCACTCTTGCCTTGAATTGAGATATAAACACAAATCACCACTAATACTCTAGGAAAATGCTCTTAAAAAATTAATTTTTTCTTTATTCATGCAATTGGGCCTAATTAATTAAACTGACTAATCCTAAACTTTGAGTAGCATGAGGGATAATTCTATTTAGGTCATTGTTTAGAGTTTCTGCTCCTATTAAATAATCTTTATATAAATAAACTTGAAGTTTAAACTCGGTTATCTCTTCATGAGACTATTATGTTCTATTTAAGAACTGTGTGAACTAAGGTACACATTCCAAAAACATTT
Source organism: Homo sapiens (assembly GCF_000001405.40). Lineage (NCBI taxonomy): Eukaryota > Metazoa > Chordata > Mammalia > Primates > Hominidae > Homo > Homo sapiens. The sequence goes on along the minus strand of NC_000006.12, from coordinate 152,509,764 downwards.
TTTTTTTATGTTCTGAAACTTTCTAGCAATTTTAGTTTTTAAATTTTTTCCCTTTGGTCTCATTTTTTATCTAGAGTGTAGATTTTTTTGTCAACTCTAGCTTTGTGAGCTGAGAATTTGCATCTAGTTTTCAGTTTTCCTCTAGGCATAATAAATTTACATGTGTATACATTTATATGATAATAGTGGATAGAAAATGACTGCTCTCAGCCAGACGCAGTGACTCATGCCTATAATCCCAGCTCTTCGGTAGGCTGAGGTGGGCATATCACCTGAGGTCAGGAGATCGAGACCAGCCTGGCCAATCTGGTGAAACCCCATCTCTACTAAAAGTACAAAAATTAGCTGGGCGTGGTGGCGCGTGCCTGTAATCCCAGCTACTCGGGAGGCTGAGGCACCAGAATCGCTTGAACCTGGGAGGTGGAGGTTGCAGTGAGCTGAGATCAAGATTGTGCCATTGCACTCCAGTCTGAGCGACAGAGCTAGACTCCATCTCAAAAAAAAAAAAAAAAAAAAGAAAAAGAAAAAAGAAAAAGAGTGCTCTCAAAAAGTACTTTCTCATAGCAATTTCAATGGAGTTTTCAGTTGATTATATAAGTATTTTGTAGTCTGATGTGATCAGGGGTAAGTCCTTTCATGTAGAGTATGCTTTTGTTTGATTTTCCTAAACAACATGTAAAATTACTCATTTTTTATCTTGTTTTGCATGCTTAAATGTAATCTAAATTTGATTCTCTACTTCTGGAAAATAGTTGTAAACAAGTACTTATAAAATATTGAGGTACTAAACATAGGGAGTTCTATTTTTAAGGTGTTTGAAGAGCAAAAATAAAAAAATAAAAAGAGAAACAAAGGATGTAATTAGTGTTGCTAGTTTATGTTGTTTTGTTTAACTTTTAAAGTGTGTTGCTGGTTTTCTAATTTGGGCTATGTTTTCATGATTCAAGTTGTAGTCAAATATATTTCTGAAAACAAAGCTTTGTGGCTCTTTAGAATCTGAAGTAGAAATGAAATAAAAAACCCTTCCCACATTGCTGGAACACTGTTTAATTGCATCCACAGTGGCATTACTAATCTCTCTTACAACTTAACTGGGCAGGGAGAAGACTGGTGACTGCACACTGATGTGTCACGATGCTATTGCAATTAAACTTTGTAATAATGTCAAGGTGATATTCTGTGGTCCATTGCTTCACACGACATTAAATTAACCAAAAACAAATTGATTTTCTTTTAATAAAACAGTAGCTTGAAGTAAACTCAAATTTAATGCTGTTGGAGTTATCCAGCATTTAATTTAGTTTCATGCATGCTATGTTGGGTTTCAAAGATGTGCAAGAGTCTGGTGACAGCTCAAAGTCATTGCTACAACTTATATGTTGGTAACATCAGTGGAAGTTTTACTTTCCTTATCTGGGCCAATGTCCAGAATCCTGGGCCTGAGGGTTCTCCACCCGTGAGCAAGCAATAAAATCCATTTCTTTTGTAGCTGCATAAATTGTAGAGGTTTGGGGCGATGACTTTTCTCTGCCATAAAAATTCTGTAATGAACACATGATTCCATGATGCTACCAAACTGTTGATAATTTTTTCTAAAAACTGCTTTTTACACTATCCCAGTATGTACTTTTCAAGCAACTTATTATCTAACATGTGTAAAAGACTTTAGAATCTGTATCCATTTTGAGGTATGAGTGATGTTATTCCTAAAATCATAATATTTCGTGGGACTCTAGTTTGGAAGTTCATCACACTCATAAGATTGAAGATGGTGGGAAATGATAAAACATCCAGTAAACACTAGACTAGTTATCAGGATGTATCCACTGTTTTCGTATAAAGTTTAAAAATATTTGAGAAATAAATTTAAAAATGATTTCAGTAACATAAGATAGTTAAGCCCTCTAATTGCTAAAACTAATTTCATCCACTATCAATACATATTATCAGAAATAAAAGCTTTAAGTTATAGCATATCTTACATTTGCATAACTATTGTCACATTTATAAGAAGAACAATTATATTTTCTGACAAAAATTAGTAAGGTAACAAAATAAATAAATATATGCATATATGTAGTTATTTAAAAGCAGCTTGAAGTAAATACATATTAGAGGTCAGAAATGCTTATAAATTGGGCACTGTTCATCACTTCTTTAAATGCTGTGTCTTTCTTTTGGTTCATATCTAAAATTCTCAAATAAGAGGTTTGAACTAAAACTAAAACTTTTAAGGAATATTACCTACTACTTTAACTGTTACAATAGGAAACAGTGTGTGTGTATGTGTGTGTGTGCATACCTACATATATTTTTTCAACAAATATAGAAGAAATAAAATGTGCTGAAACTTTTTAATTATTTCATTACAGTAAATATTTAGAAAAGCATATTATGTATTTCTCTTTGAAAATGTCTAAAACAATACATAAGTTCAAGAAAATTAGAAATAGCTAATTACATGGTGAATATTTATTAGCTAATTATTTATTTACACCCCACTTAATTTTGTTAAAAACTAATTTGAGGTGGCTTAACAAGATAAAAAACATTTTTAAATGAGGAAATGTGGACAAAGAAAAATAAAATGAAGTCAGAGTTGGATTACAAATGAGTAGATAGAAAGGACATACTGTTCAACCTGCATGACTGTCAGCTGTCTGCTGAAAAAAATTATATCTGTACTACCAGAGACAAGCTTGAAAATTAGAGAAGATTCAAGATTACTTTACAATTTCTGGAGTCTCATAAAATTGTTTTTAGGATATTTATTGATGAAGCCAATGATCAAGCTCAATGATGCATAATATATTTTATGCAAACAGTGTACATTGGTAAAACATGTTTTAAAGTGAATGATAAGTTGTCTACAATAAAATTTAAGGATAGGCTGTGCACAATGGCTCACACCTGTAATCCCAGCACTTTGGGGGGCCGAGGCAGGTGGATCACTTGAGGCCAGGAATTTGAGACCAGCCTGGCCAACATGATGAATAATACAAAATGTTTGTATTCTTATTGATTTTTTGTATTTTTTGTATTCAATAATACAAAAATTAGCCAGGTATTGTGGCACATGCCTGAAATCCCAGCTACTTGGGAGGCTGAGGTGCAAGAATCCCTTGAGCCTGGGGGGTGGAGGTTGCAGTGAGCCGAGACTGTGCCACTGCACTCCAGCCTGGGCAACAGAATGAGTGAGATTCTGTCTTAATAATAATAATAATGATAATAATAATAATAATGGACACTTACAAACTTATTATATTAATCAGCATACCATTCAGGTTGTATTTTTTCATGAAAATTTTGAGATTCTAGTAAAAATTAATTGAGCAATATTTTTGCTTTAGTTAGAGACATCTCTAAGGTTAATGAGACTAACTTTTTAAAAAGAAGCTACTAGATGACTTTATCCATTGAATGTTCCCTAGTTAAGTGATCATATTTGCAGGCCCTCCACTTATTCAAGGGGTGCAGCCGATGCTCAAAATCATCTTTACAACTCTGTTTTCGGAACTGCCTTTATAATTGATAAGTTACATGTAGGAAAAAAAATCATTCATTGTGAGCTTGCCTCGCTTCTCTTTTCCAAGGGCAAAATATGGCTACCAACTTGATTCAGTTTCTTAATAACTGGCTTTGAGTTAATCAAATCCGCCATCAAAGAAAAAAGATTTACCACCACGGCTTTGCCCTCAAGACAATTACCAAAAAGGAGCTTAAAAACAATTTTATTGGTGGAGTAATTGGAATTATTGTTTGCATTTAGGTGGAATACAGGGTCCTTTGTGAACACTTTGAGATATAATTGCAATATTTGCATTTGTCTATTCTACTGCATTTGAAAGTATTCAGCCACATTATCTTAGTCTGTGATAACCTGTGTACAACACAGTGCTGCTTCCCATTAGAAACGTGTTAGCTCTTTCTACAAAAATTTACAGTGGTTAATTACTGTCACTTTTGGCATCTTTATAATTTGGTTTCTTAAAATTTTTTCAGACATTTTTCTCTAAATTGATTTTTCTTTATAAAATAAATGTAAACATCCTTCAATAGCTCAGCTGGTAGAGCGGAGGACTGTAGGGGATTGAGTATAAAATAAATGTAAAAATACGCTTTAACTTAACTATCTTAATTGCTGAAAAATCCAACATAGAAATCTCTAAATATAGAACCAGAATTTCGACATCTTATCTTGTTGCCCCCTAAAAATTTTGTTTCCCTTAATTTTTCTCAAATACAATGAACTGATACAGCTCTCTGCATATCGTTGGTGAAAAGCACTGGATTTTGCATGAGGCCTTGAAGAAAGTGCTTGTATCTATTCAGAATGTGACATCATTTTATGTTTTTATAACACAAAGGCAGACTGGAATAGAAGTAAAAGATTTTGGGAAGAGTTGGAGAAGCGGGGTTGCCTTTCATTCAGTTATTCATGCCATTCGACCGGAATTGGTGGACTTGGAGACAGTGAAAGGCAGATCCAACCGAGAAAATTTGGAGGATGCTTTCACTATCGCCGAAACAGAACTGGGGATCCCAAGACTGCTAGATCCTGAAGGTAGGCTGAATATTCATTGACTGTTATATACCTTAACACGGAGGGTTTTTATGTCTTAAACCCAGAAATACACATGACTTCCAAGATTCTATTGGAGGCCAGAAAGCTGGAGAAAAGTGGCAAGTAATGGTATTTTCCTGCATCAATTTTCTTCTGGATAAATATCTACCACCATGGTTGGGGTAAAATATGATCCCATTGCTCCAAACAGCACTTTGGCATTGGTATGTCAGTCGGGTGAACTGGACTTAATATACTTAAGGGTGGAATGAAAGTTTTAGAAGTGTGTGTATGAGGGGTAGGTGACAGGATAATATAATTACTCTATATAATCTCAGAGGTCTGAAAGATGTAGATTATTCATACTTAGAAATGTTGTTAACCATGCAGTGTTTTGGTGTCAATCAGCAAACTTCACAAATGTTTGACTAATATTTGTCATTTCAATTGTTTGGCACGTTTTTTGGTAAGGGCGTGAGTGCTAAGACTTTTTGGAAATGGAGTGAACTCTTTCAAGCCTTCAAAAGACAATTTAGATGCCTTTGATAAACTTTTATAAACTAATAAGTTGTTATGTTGAAACAAAAGTATCAAAGTGAAGTTTCCAAATGTCACAGATAATTTCTTATTTGGGCTGGCAATTATGGACATTTCTACCAGTGAATGCAGAAATGTAAATATACAGTGAAAGCAAATTATTTTTCCCCTCTCCTCCCTACCCTTCCTGGCCTCTGGTAACCACCAATCTACTCTCTGTTTTCATGGGATCCACCAAAAATTATTTTTAAAGATGGAATTTCAGACTGAACTTCCCTAGCTCTAAAACAAAGAGGATAGACTTGTGTTTCCAAGAGTAAGTTACAGAGACCCAGTTAGGTTTCCTCTGAGATGAAGGGCCCCATGGAGATTCCTTGCCATTTTAGGATTCTGTTTTTGAGTCCCACTCTGCCCCCACCCCACTTTCACTAGGATATCAAAGGGCTTTCTGCCTTCTTTCTGCACAAAAATAAATCAAGGGAAAAACACATATTCCAGCCATCGACTTCAGAGGATGTATCAGAGCTGACATTATTCCTAGAGTGGGATGAAAGGAGAATATGCATGATTCTTTCATATCCACCAGACCAGAAGATCTTAATATTTTCTTTGATGATTAGAAACTGAGGTTGCCTAAATACAAGGCTATCCTAGATATAAGACATTCCTCTAATTTCTTAATGAGAACTTCCCCTTCAAAAAGTTATTTAGCCAACTTGGATGTATAAGCTTTTAGGAATACAGATTAGGTAGACCAAAAGCTATTATAATAATTATTTTATGATTTACATATATAGTTAACAGCATATACTATGTTAAATCATGTATTAAATATTGCTTTTCTTTCCACTTTCATATTTCCTGAAAAAAAAGTTTTACTCAACGGTTTGACTCATCACCTTTGAGTCATTTAACAAATTTCAGAATACATTATCTTCGCTTCCTTTTAAATAGTGTGAGTTGCAGCACTCTTTAAACCCTATATTGCAAGTCTCTAGAAATTATACCTCTAATCAAAAAGAACTTTTACGAAAGATTAGATTAGTTTTATACTTCATTGTGGCAATTTGGTTTGCTTTCTGCTCTATAAATTGCTCTGTAAGATATAATCATTTCTATTGCCTTTAAAATTGATATTTAAAAGACTTGTTTACAACACGTTTTACTTATGCATTCTTACCTCCATGTATAATTACTAAATCTGTATGAATTTATTTGCCTGATTTTTACCATTTGTATTAGATAAATATCTATAAGCTTCAAAATCACAGTGATTGAGGGCTTCTCAGGCCCTCGAAGAGTTTCCCTCGAAGAGTGCTTGATTGCTCAAAGCACTGTAATTTGGAGAGAATGCTCCACAAAGAGGAGGCTGCCCAGGAAATTGAATATAAGGCATCTGCCTTTCTTCTAAAGTGAAATTTGTGGGGGCAGAGAGGGGGCTTGTCTATATTTGGCCATATATAGTGTGTGTATATATATATATATGTCATTCAGTGTCACACTTGTAAGCATTTTTGTACTTCCTATTTATGCCAGTTCTAAAATTTACATATTATTTGTGTTCTATTCACTAGTATGAATAGAACTAGTATGAGATACTGTATGAGGAATCATACCGTATCTCACCCATTTGGGAGATACTGTCTCATGAGATACTGTATGTCTTATTTAAATGACACATATGCTACTTTCTTAAACGCTGTTTGTTTAAATGTGTCATCTTTCTGAGTAATATAATTTTCATCATGTAATATCCAGACTAAATTTGGTTTACCCTCCTCCCCGTCCAAAATTCTAAATAGTACTTCTGTTTTCCTTCTGCGTTTAGCGTTTTTGGTGTGATAGCTAGATACCAAACTTGTATTATCAAAATCCAATGAATGCTAATTAGTTTATTCACATTTCTTTTTTGTTTTTTCAGACGTTGATGTGGATAAACCAGATGAGAAATCTATTATGACCTATGTAGCCCAGTTTCTGAAACATTATCCTGACATCCACAATGCAAGCACTGATGGGCAAGAGGATGATGTAGGTATTTGCTTTCTTCAAGTATCACTGGTATATGCAATGACAGTGACTCAGCTTTTTGAGTATACTGTTCTCAAAAAATTAAATTTGAATGCATTTTAATATGAGACCAACTGATTTTAAAAAGCTATCACCAAATGGGGTGATGATTAGAGGAAAGGGTTTTTCTGGTTTGTATGTTGGATATATTAGAGAAAGCATTGCTAATAACAAATGTAAGGTATGTGATGCTGGTACACTAAAACTGAGAAAAGATAGCAGTGTTGGGAACTCCATCTTAGTGATCTGAGAATTGAAGTAATTGTATTTCTGTCATAGCATTTGCACATCTAGATCTTTAATCCCCTCGCTCTGGTTGATCTGATCAAATCTAATTTTGACTTTTGGATTTTATTACATCTATTGACAGCAAACATATGGAAGTAAGACGCAATTTGTAAAAGTTCTAATTATTCACTGTCATTAGATTTTTCAGCCTTTAAATAATTTAAATAACATTAACATTTTTCATGCTGCTCAAATTACATATGTTAATTGTCATAAATTTTTTAAATCAAGAAAAAAAGGAAAAGGAAAAAATTTTCTGTATTTGACCTTCTAGAGAGAACCTATACTAGAGAAAAATTAATATGTTGATGTTAATTCCCAACATTTGTATTATATATGGCAGATACATACAATATTTTAATAAAAATAGAATTATGGTATCCATACAATTTTATAATTTTCTTCTTCCATGAACATTATAAAGAATTCTGCAGGTCAACTTATGTATGTACATTAATTTATTACTCAATCTTGTTTTAATTTATAATTTTTGTTGTTATAAGCAATGCTTTTATGAACAATCTTGTAATAAAACATTGTTCCGAGATTCTTTCCTTTTTTTTTTTTTTGTGAGATGGAGTCTTGCTCTTTCGCCCAGGCTGGAGTGCAGTAGCACAATCTTGGCTCACTGCAACCTCTGCCAGCCGGGTTCAAACAATTCTCCTGCCTCAGCCTCCTAAGTAGCTGTGATTTCAGTTGCACATCACCATGCCCAGCTATTGTTTTCTGTTTCTAGTAGAGATTGGGTTTCACATGTTGGCCAGGCTAGTCTCAGACTCCTGACCTCAAGTGATCTGCCTGCCTCTGCCTCCCAAAGTGCTGGGATCACAGGCATGAGCCACCACGCCTGGCCAAGATTCTTCTTTAGAAGTGGAATTCCTAGGCTAAAGGGCATACAAAATTTTAATGCTTTTAAAAATGTTTTTCGTGTTGCCTTGTAGAAAGTTTGTCCTATTTCACACTCCAACCAGAAAGTTTGTCCTATTTCACACTCCAAGACACCAGACTGCCTGTTTTCCTGTTTTTTTAAACAACGGACATGACCATTCTTTTAATATTTTTGAAGTAGTATTGTATTCTATTTTTAATTACATAGAGAGGTGGATTCACTGCGGAATTTTAAATTAATTAGAAGTTGCTCCTCCTCTTCCTTTCTCCTTTCTTCCTGAAAAAAATAATTATAAGGCAAATGACATCAGGAAAAATAAGAAATGGAATTTTCAAGATGTGTGAAAAACTGTCTGTCTTCACTGTTCAGGTCTCAACTGGAGTTTTCAGAGCAATTTGAGATGACAATGAAGAGTAATAAGAAAACCAAAAAATGTAAAATATGTTTTCTTTTTTTTTTTTTTTTTGAGATGGAGTCTCACTCTGTCACCCAGGCTGGAGTGCAGTGGTGCGATCTCGGCTCACTGCAAGCTCCGCCTCCCAGGTTCATGCCATTCTCCTGCCTCAGCCTCCCAAGTAGCTGGGACTACAGGCGCCCGCCACCACGCCCGGCTAATTTTTTTGTATTTTTTAGTGGAGACGGGGTTTCACTGTGTTAGCCAGGATGGTCTTGATCTCCTAACCTCATGATCCTCTCACCTCGGCCTCCCAAAGTGCTGGGATTACAGGCGTGAGCCACCACACCTGGTCAATATGTTTTCTAAATAGACTTAGAAACATATATAAAGAAGAAAAAGGCTAAGGAGCATAACCAAAAGCTTACAAGTAGACATCACGCCAATAGTTAGAAATCAGTGACTTCATAAAAGAATAAGCAAAATAGAGGTAACTACTGTTTCCTAGGTCTCTAAATGAAATTAATTTGGCATTTGATAGAAATATGTTAGCTTCTTAAAAACAATAAGTTCAGGGAACCTCTTTTGTTCCTTGCCAGGATTGGGGCACAAACATTGGCCACCAGCGTGACTTAACTATAGTTATTACTAGTAAAGTAATTGTTTCTAAAAAGCACCACAAATGGCTAAAGCAAAGACTCCATGTGCAAATGCTGGCATGGATTGATGCAAATATTTTGGAGTCATCTGGGGCTTGCTGGGTTTTGATAATATTGCTGTGTGAATAAGAAACTCTATAAGAAAACACATTAGACTTACCTCATATAGCACAGAGAAAATCCATCCAAACTTCCATCTGGTTTTTATACGTGAAGTCCTTATATTACCCAGATGGATTTATATCTAATTTGGTGTCTGAGGTTTTACTGTTTTAGAGTCTCTGACATTAATCATCTCTCCAGATTAGTAAACTGAGTGGCTGGAAGCATCTAAAAAAACAAAAGGAGATGCTTTAGTTAATGCTCATGAGCAGGAGTTTAATGCAAAAATCCTTAGAGATTCGAAACACACAATCTATTGATATAGGCTTTTTAATATACTTTACTAAAGAAGCTTTATTATTTTCAGAGGTTACTTTAATCATCCAGAAAATAAATTCTGGTCGTTAAAAAAATTCCCTCTATCCCTTTCCTAAAAAGAGGATGCATATGATTTATTCAGGCTTATTATCTCAAAAATTAATTTTGAGGAAAATGTATTGGAAGCTTCGCCCTTTTTTAGTGGCATTTGTCATGTAGTACATAAACATCTAAAACTGAATATTTTGAATAATGTATTTTTTTGTTATGACATAGGGCTTATATTTAACAGTTAATGGTAACCTAATTCTGTCTAGTGAACCTTTAATATTTTGTAAACTATGCGTATTAGTTTTGAGCCCTCACCTCAAAGTACTCAGTATTTGTCACTCAGCTCTTACTCTCTTAATTCATTTTTTTAAAAATTCTTGGCATGAACATATCTACCAGGCTTTCATTTTTGTGTGTATTTGATTTATATATCCCCTTTGTGATTTTATTTGAATTAAGTATTTTATCGATACCATTTTAAATATGATTTTCTTACTGAAAATCGACATCACCATGGGTTTTTTTAATCTCATCCAATAAAACTGATGAACTTTTCCCCTTAAGATATTTCTTGAATAATTAGCACTCAGTCATAAATAAATAAAATAGGTCTATTGGCTTATCTCATTCACCTTCTAAACTTTCATTTATTTTTTCACCCATCTGTTCTTCCATTGCAACAAACATTCCTGACTGCCCTAAGAAGCACAACACATTCTTAATTCTTATGAGGACAAAGAAACATGTGTGCTGTGTATATTTATAGGGAAAGTAATATGAGTCCATATACCTCTTCTTTACATAGTTTACCTTCTAAAATATTTAATGTTATTTCGAGATATGTTTACAAAATATATAGCTACATATGACTATTTCAAGTTAAAAATGTGATATTCTAGGAAATGATGTTGCCTTATTGGAGTTGAATATTTTTGTAGTTTCAAAAGCTATGAAAATGTCTTAAAGTAAATATACCCTTGAAATGATTGCCTATTTCTCTAAAGGCGGATGCCTTTCCATTGATTTTATTCTTGTTTTCTAAATAATTTTTGACCCTGATTTATATTATATTTCTATATATTATCTTTTCATATTGTTAGGAAATACTTCCAGGTTTCCCATCTTTTGCAAATTCTGTACAAAATTTTAAGGTAAGATTTAAGTAATCTTGCATTGATGACCTCTTTCAAACATCCTGCATTCTGTAGCATTTTAGTCATTCCCTTGCATGTTTTTGTCTTTATGTATACATTTCTCTTAATACTTTAATCACATCATTTGCGTTTCCTTTCTAACAGAACAAATAACATACATATGTGTTACCAAATGTTAGTGATAGTCTAAGCTACTCCCATGGACTTGCCCATTAATCTTTCATTATAAAATGGTATCTATCAATTAATTTCTTCTTTATAATACTTAATAACACTAATAAAAAGGACTTACAGTAACTACGTATGGTGTCTTTAAATGTGACACAGAAAATAAAAACAAAATAAAGGTTTAGTTTTGTATCTTAAAATGTTAGCAGAGAATCAATGAACAAGGTAAGTATTCGATCAGCTTGTCAGTCTGAGTTTCCTCACTCTCTTCTGCTCAGTATTCGGTCTCATGGTTTAGTAAAATTCATGACATGTCATGGGTGCTCAAAAGATATTAGCAGAATGAATGGTTATGAATTCCTGTCCATATCCAAGTTATTGAATGCATGTCCCATATTTCAGCTTTTCCGTTTTTCTTTATGTTCCATCTAGGCCACAGGTTAAGGATATTTGTATTTATATCAACATTGGAATAGAAAAATCAGAAGCAACTAATTTCATATCAGATAGTAAATTTTTTAAATATCATGCTCCATAAAGTATGAGGTTATGTATATGTGAACATGGTACACAAATGTAAATGTGACTTATGTGTCTGTGTTTGTGTGTGTGTGTGTATGAGTGAATGAGAGAGAAAGAAAAACAATAAAGTGAAAGAAAAAGTAGAGAGAATGCTGGCAGTATAGCTGCTTGGAATTTAGATATAAGCAATAGGTTGCCACGTCTTCTGAATGTGTGTGAAAGTTATCAGTTGAAGAAAAGCCCTAGACTAATGGGCTATAAATATTGTTTTGTACTTCATTTTTCTCTTAGAAAGGAGAATGTTGAGTATATAAATAGCGACATCCTTCTCACCTTATTGCAATCTGCTAGACACTTTCCAACCATTAGAAAGTCATTTACTAAATAGGCTCTAATAAAGTTATTTTAAGAACATAACCCTTTTCTCTCAGATGACTTTGTATAACAAATAGCTCCTCTTCAGGGCAGTCAAGTGCTTTTTAAATCCAGAAGTTGGTGAGCAGCCTGTCCTCAGGCTCACAATGAAGTCTTGTGCTCACTGTTAGATGGGTCACTTCTGGTGGCCACACTGACCTCTGGTACCTTGGGTACACATCAAGAACAAGTTTTCTCTCTGAGCTCATAAGAATGTGGTATCAATGCTTTTCTGGGCATGAGAATCAACTGATAATAAAACATGTACCTTAATTATATTCACCTGTTCATTCAGAAAAGACATCCTGGGAAGAATTGAAGCTTTGTAGTCTTGGGCTCCAGTTCCATTTCTTTCTACTTTTAACTGAGTTTCTAACTTATTGCTTATTCTGCAATCATATATTGAGTGATTCTGAGTGCCAGACACTGTGTTAGATGATGGAGATTAAAAAGATACATAAGGAGTGTCAAACGTGTCCATGTGAAGAGCCCACCAAACAGGCTTTGTACGAGCAATAAAGCTTTTTAATCACCCAAGTGCAGGCAGACTGAGTTTGAAAAAGGAGTCAGCAAAGGGAGACAGAGGTGGGGCAGTTTTATAGGATTTGGGTGGGTAGTGGAAAATTACAGTCAAAGGGGTTTTTTCTCTTGCAGACAGGGGCAGGTGTTACAAGGTGCTCGGTGGGGAGCTTCCGAGATTCATTGTCCAGGAGAAAGAATTTCACAAGGTCACTTGACCAGTTAGTGTGGGGCAGGAACAAACCACAATGGTGGAATGTCATCGGTTAAGGCAGGAACCAGCCATTTTCACTTCTTTTCTGGTTCTTCAGTTGCCTCAGCCATCTGAATGTATACGTGCAGACTTGGACTCAGAGACCTGACATTCCTGTCTTCTTATATTAATAAGAAAAACAAAACAAAATAGTGGTGAAGTGTTGGGGCATTGAAAATTTGTGGGGGATGTTTCTCAGAGCTGCTTCGAGCAGGATTGGGCTGATGTGGGAACCTAGAGTGGGAGAGATTAAACTGAAGAAAGATTTTGGGGTAAGGGGTGATATCGTGGGGTTGTTAGAAGGAGCATTTGTCATATAGAATGATTGGTGATGGCCTGGATGTGGTTTTGTGTGAATTGAGAAACTAAACAGAAGACACAAGGTCTGAATAAGAGAAGGAGAAAAAGAGGTAATAAAGGACTAAGAATTGGGAGGAACCAGGACATCCAGTTAGAGAGTGCCCAAGGCGGTTCAGCGTAATTATTTGCTTGGTTGGCAAGTTTTTGGACTCTATCCTTGAGTTTTTTTATGTTGTCATACACCAGGCCAGATTGATTTGGGTAAAAACAACACTCTTCATTTAAAAATATACAGAGTTCTCCTTTTTCAGCAGTAAGTCGAGGCCTATTCCTGTCTTCTATATTAATAAGAAAAATAAAACAAAATAGTGGTGAAGTGTTGGTGTCATGAGGGGAAGAGGAAGCTGTTCAGTCCTATTTGCAAATTGAATTTTGGGAGTAAGGAAAACTAGTGTGCACGTGCCTGTCCTATTAGCAGGTAGACACATGTAGGTAGAGGAGTCACAGAAGAAGAGACCTTGTGCAACACTGGAAATGCAAAGTGAAAAAATGAGAAAGAGCACTAAAAGAGGTGTCTTGTACCCAGACTCCTAGTATTATATATGAAGTTTCTGTGCCACAAAAGAAATAGCACTCGAATATAAAATTTTCTTTTTAATTCTCAGCAAGGCAAGTTACTTCTATAGAAGGTTGCACCCTTACAGATGGAGCAATGGTGAGCACACACTTGGACAAGGGACGGGAAGGGGTTCTTATCCCTGATGCACGTGGCCCCTGCTGCTGCGTCCTTCCCCTATTGGCTAGGGTTAGACCGCACAGGCTAAACTAATTTCAATTGGCTAATTTAAAGAGAGTGACAGGGTGAGTGGTTTGGCAGGAAAAATGGTTATGACAGCAGGTCATTGGAATGAGTCAGGGTGGAACAGGTAATCAGAATGAGTCAGGGTGGAGCAGGTAATCGGAATGAGTCAGGGTGGAGCAGGTGATTGAAATGAGTCAGGGTGGAGCAGGTAATTGAAAAAGTTTGCTTTACGAGGAAGTTAAGTTTAAAAGTAGAAGGCAAAGAATTGAACCTACTGACATATTGATTCTTTGAAAAGAAATTTAGAACTCATATCTAACACTAGGGATCCAGCTAGGGCAGCAGCCATTAGAAGTTGTAATGGGGATTGATGGGACAACTGGGTAGAGCGGGAGGCTAAATTGAGGAATTATGTCAACAGAAGGGAGGAGATGACCGCGGTGGCCTTCTCAGACCCTGAGGGAAAGGCCTCTACCCATCCAGTGAAAGTGTCTGCACAGACCAAGAGGTATTTTAGTTTCCTGACTCGGGGCATGTGGGTAAAGTCAATCTGCCAATCCTGGGCAGGGGCGAACTCCCTGAGGAGTGGGAGAATAGCAAATGGAACACTGAGAAGTGATTTCCTTGAGGATAGATTTCCATGATGGAAAGGAAATGAGAGGTTCTAAGAGGAGGGCTAGTGGCTTGTAACCTACATGGAAGAGGTTATGAAAAACGATAGAATGGAATGAGCTGTAAGGCTGGAAGGAGGAATTTTCCTTGGTCAAAGAACTATTTGCCTTGAGTAGGGAGGGATTGATAGGTGGAAACTTCAGTGGGAGAGTGAGTAGGAGTGACTGATGAGAAGGAGAAAAACTGGCCATGAGGGACATAAGTAGGAATACTGGCTGCTTCTTTAGCTGTCTTATCAGCATAATTGTTGCCTTGAGCAATGGGGTCTGAGGCTTTTTGATGGCCTTTGCAGTGAAGGACTCCAGCTTCCTTTGGAAGTAAAGCAGCCTTGAGAAGAGTTTTTATTAAAGAGTCATTAACGATGGAGGACCCTTGCATGGTGAGGAAAACTCTTTCAGCCCATGTAACAGCATGGTGGTGCAGGATATGGAAGGCATATTTAGGGTCAGTATAAATATTGACGTGTAGTCCCTTTGCAAGAGTGAGGGCCTGAGTTAAGGCAATGAGTTTGGCTTGCTGAGAGGTAGTGGAGGAGGGCGGAGCAGTAGCCTGAATGATAGATGTGGAAGATACTATAGCATAGCCTGCCTTTGCTGGTGAGTGGCAATTAGGCCTGGTGGAACTGCCATCAATAAACCAAGTGTGATCAGGGTGAGGAACAGGAAAGAAGGAAATATGGGGAAATGGAGTGAATGCCAGGTGGATCAGAGAGATACAATCATGGGGGTCAGGTGTGGTAGCAGGAATAATGTGGGAGGCCAGATTGAAGTCCAGGCCAGGAACAATGGTAATTGTGGGAGATTCAACAAATAGTGAGTACAGTTGAAGGAGCTAGGGAGCAGAAAGTATACGCATCAAGTGTGAGGAGGAAAATGGATTTTGAAAGTTATGGGAACTGTAGAGTAAATGGAGCATAGCTTGTGATTTTGATGGCCTCTAAAAGTATTAAAGCGGTGGCTGTCACTGCATACAGACATGAAGGCCAGCTCAGAACTGTGCGGTCAGGTTGTTCGGATAGAAAGGCTACAGAGTGCAGTCCCGGCTCTTGTGTAAGAATTCTGACTGCACAGTCCTGTACTTTGGCTGCGTGTAATGAAAAGGGTTGGGATGAGTTAGGGAGAGCTAGTGTGTGAGCAGCTTTTAGGACAGTTTTTAAGGAACGGAAAGACGAGTGGGGAAAGGATTTAGGATCTATGGGGTCAGCTAGGTTTCCTTTTGTATGATGGTTTAGTCAGGATGGCAAAAACAGATATCCAAAGGCGAAAGTACCTAACTATGCCTAGGAAGGAAAGGAGTTGTTGCTTTGTAGAAGGGGTTGGGGTTTGGGAGATTAGCCGGACACGATCAACAGGGAGAGCATATGTGCTTTTATGAAGAGTTATGCTGAGATAGGTAATGGATGAGGAAGAAATTTGGCCTTTGACGGGGGAGTTGCATTATCCTTTTGAGAATAGATGTTGGAGGAGCAGGAGGATGTCCTGTTGGGAAGATCTGTAGGAGGGGCTATAAAGTAGAAGGTTGTCAAAATATTGAATACGGTGAGAAGCAGATGGACAGAAAGAAAGTAAAGTATGAGAAAGGGCTTGACTGAAGTAATGGGCGCTGTCCCTGAAGCCTTGCAGCAGTACAGCCCAGGTAAGTTGCTGAGACTGATGGGTATCAGGGTCAGTCCAAATGAAAGCGAAGAGAGGCTGGGATGAAGGGTGTAAAGGAATAGCAAAGAAAGCATCTTTGAAATCCAGAACAGAATAAGGGGTTGTGGAGGGAGGTATTGAGGATAGGAGAGTATATGGGTTTGGCACCACGGGGTGGATAGGCAAGACAATTTTTTTGATAAGGTGAAGATCCTGGACAGGCTTTAGTCCTCTCAAAGCCTGTTGTGGGATGGGATACTGGTGTTGAGCAGGGTAAGGATGATTAGATTTTAATGGGATAGTAATGGGCATGTGGTCAATTGCTAGGGAGGGAGTAGAGTTGTCTCATACTTGTGGGTTCAGGTGCAGGGGATACAAGAGGAAGACATGAAGGAGGTTTTGAACAGGGGAAAGGGTAGCAATGAGATGTGGCTGTAGCCCAGGAATAGTCAGAGAAGCAGATAATTCACTTAAAATGTCTTGATCTAATAAGGGAACTGGGCAGATGGGGATAACTAAAAAAGAGGCATAAAAGACTGTTTTCCAAGTTGACACCAGAGTGGGGGAGTTTTAAAGGGCCCAGCAGCCTGGCCATCAATATCCACAACAGTTATGGGGGCAAGGTAAACAGGCCCTTGAAAAGAAGGTAATGTGGAGTGGGTAGCCTCCGTATTGATTAAGAAGGGTATGGACTTACACTCCACTCTAAGAGTTACCTAAAGCATCTGTGATGGTCCAGGAGGCTTCCGAGGTGATTGGGCTGTGTCAGTCTTCAGCCGCTAAGCTGAGAAGATCTGGGAAGGAGTCAGTCAGAGAGCCTTGGGCCAGAGTTCCAGGGGCTCTGGGAGTGGCTTCCAGGCAAGTTGGACAGTCCTATTTCCAGTGGGTTCCTGCACAAGTGGGACATGGCTTAGGAGGAATCCCAGGCTGTGGTCATTCCTTGGCCCAGTGGCCAGATTTCCAGCACTTGAAGCAAGATCCTGGGGGAGAAGGTCCTGGAGGAATGCCTGGCCACTGTGGTTTAGGTATTTTGAAGTTCTTGTGTGCTGGAGATGTGGCTGGGGTTTCTCTCACAGTGGAGGCAAGTAATTGCAACTCAGAAATAAGTTGCCGCTTGGCTGACTCTTCTCTATTATTGTACACCTTGAAGGCGAGATTGATTAAGTCTTGTTGTGGGGTTTGAGGGCCAGAATCTAATTTTTGGAGCTTTTTCTAATGTTGGGAGTGGGTTGAGTAGTAAAATGCATATTGAGAATAGGACGGCCTTCTGGCCCCTCTGGGTCTAGGGCGGCAAAGCATCTAAGGGTTGTTGCCAAACAGGCCATGAACTGGGCTGGGCTTTTATACTTGACGAAAAAGAGCCTGAACACTAACTGATTTGAGAGAGGTCAGATAAAGAAAAAGGAGGGTTAACCTTGACTCTGCCTTGAGCTGCAGCCACCTCTGTAAGAGGAAATCGTTGGGCAGGTTGGGGAGGGCTAGTCGTGGAACAAAACTATAAGCCAGACAGGGTGGGAGGAGGGGGAGGTGATAGAAGGATTATAGGGCTGGGGAGTGGAGGCTGAGGAAGAATTAGGACCTGGCTCAGCCTGGTGAGGAGCAGCCTGGTGAGGAGGGGAGAGGTCAGATGGGTCCATAGAAAAGGAGGATTCAAAGGACTCAGAGCTTGGGGTGGAGACTGAAGGAACAGACAGGAGAGAAAGAAGATTTGTGATGAGTCGCACTGGGAGCAGAGACTAGGGAGGGACTGATGTGTAAAAGAATGCCTGGATGTCAGGCATCTCAGACCATTTGCACATTTTTCAAGAAAAATCATCCAGGTCTTGTAAGATGGAGAAATCAAAAGTGCTGTTTTCTGGCCATTTAGAACCATTGTTGAGTTTGTATTGGGGCCAAGCAGTGTTGCAGAAGAAAATAAGGCAGTAAGGTTTTAGGTCAGGCGTGAGATGAAGAGGTTTTAAGTTCTTGAGAACACAGGCTAAGGGAGAAGAAGGGGGAATGGAGGGTGGAAGCTTGCCCATAGTGAAGGAGGTAAGTTTAAAGAGAAAGGTAGAGACACAGAGAAGGGGGTGGTGAGCAGCCCTGGGCTGTAATGTGGGTGAGCAGCCAAAGCAGGCGTCTCCACAATTGATTTGCCACCAAGGGAATGTGGGTGAATGACCAAGGCAGGCGTCCCCACAGTGATCAGACACTAGTGGAATGTGGGTGAATAATCAGGCAGGCATCCCCACAGTGATCAGACACTAGTGGAATGTGGGTGAATAATCAGGCAGGCATCCCCACAGTGATCAGACACTAGTGGAATGTGGGTGAATAATCAGGCAGGCATCCCCACAGTGATCAGACACCAGTGGAATGTGGGTGAATGATCAGGGCAGGCATCCACACGGTGATTAAACACCAAGGGAAGACTGTCTTCCCAAGTCCGTGACCCACGCTGGAGTTTTGTGTCCACAGATAAAATGTGTCTCCTTTGTCTCTATTAGAGAGGAAAAAGAACTGGAATTGGAAGGACAGGGAGATTGAAAGGTAGCGAGAGAAGCTGGAGAAGAGAGTGAAAAGACCGCTTGCCCGATTTGAAATTGGTAAGATGTTCCTTGGGCTGGCCTGAGGACCCAAGGTCATAGGTGGATCTTCTCATGGAGTGAGGGTGAGGACAGGGGACTGGTCTCCTGAAGGAATCCCCCTGTCCCAGATCTTCAGCACCAAATGTCACGTGTGTCCGTGTGAAGAGCCCAACAAACAGGCTTTGTGTGAGCAATAAAGCTTTTTAATCACCCAAGTGCAGGCAGACTGAGTCCGAAAAAGGTAGATAGGGGTGGGGCAGTTTTATAGGATTTGGGAGGGTAGTGGAAAATTACAGTCAAAGGGGGTTTTTCTCTTGCAGACAGAGGCAGGGGTTACAAGGTGCTGAATGGGGAGCTTCCGAGATTCATTGTCCAGAGAAAGAATTTCACAAGATCAATTGATCAGTTAGGATGGGGCAGGAACAAATCACAATGGTGGAATGTCATCGGTTAAGGCAGGAACCAGCCATTTTCACTTATTTTGTGGTTCTTCAGTTGCCTCAGGCCATCTGGATATATACGTGCAGACTTGGGCTCAGAGGCCTGACAAGGATTTTGTGTAGTTGTTCCTAGATATTCACAAGTGATTGGTTCCAGGACCCCCAAGATAGCAAAATTTATGATGCTCAGGTTCCTGATATAAAATAGTGTAGTATTTGCATATAACCTACACATATCCTCCCATATACTTTAATCTGTAGATTATGTATAATACCTAACACAAAGTAAATGCTATTTAAATAGCTGTTATACTGTGTTGTATTTTGTTTGTATTATCTTTATTGCTGTATTGTTATTTTTATTGTTTATTTTCTGAATATTTTCAATCTGCTATTGATTGAATCTAAGAAAACAGAGGGCTGACTTTATATAATGCATTTGGGTGAATATTAGCGCTGAGGTTGTCACAGGATCATAGAGAAGTGTTCTCAATATATGATTCCTTCACCAGCAGCATCAGATTCACCTGGGAACTTAGACATACGGATTTTTGGCTCTACCCCACATCCACTCAGCCAGAAACTCTGGGGGTGGTGCCCAGCAATTTGTGTTTTTATAAGCCCCTCAGATGATTTCTAGTGTGTACTAAGTGAGAGAACCACTGGCATAGGAAACAGATGCCCTCACTCAGACTTCTGGGTTAGAAAATCTTCCTAGAGTAGGTTGTGCCTGAGCCGAGTTCTGAAAAAGGCATTATCCAAGGGAAAATGTGGTAAGTGTTTAGGCAGAAGACAACTGCTTTTGCAAGACAAGAAAGTGAGAGAAGGCATGGATCATGAGAATGTGACAACCTCTGTACTGGACATGCTACATAGATTACCTCTAATTCTCAGCAAAACAATTGAAAGGGTCCGTGATGATTTAACACACCCTTTAGTACATCCTGTAGTATGACAGTAGAGAGGTTAACGAAAAAAAAAAAAAAAAAAGACACACCAAGCTCACAGAGCTAATGCATGGCAAAGCCAGAATTTGAAACCCAGTTTAGCCTGCCTCCATAAATGGCATTCTTTCCATTCGGAAACATCACCTGCCAAGGGGGACAGTCATTTTACCTGTGTCACAGCACTGTCAGCAGCAAGTGAGATGCTGGAGTTGCATTTTGTAAATGCCGAAAAATCATGTACGGTATGATTATGAATACTTGGCATTCTTATGAGACACTACATCTTGATGAAAAGTTAGGATATTTTCACTAAATCAGTGCTATTATAGAATGGCCCTTGTCATTATTTGTGAAAATAAGTATGAAAATCCCAATTTTATTTTTCATTTTTGAGATGAGTGGTGACCTGGATACATTTATTCACCAAATAACTTGATAAATCTCTAATAGGTATTATGTTCCCAGGGTCTAGGAATACTGTGTTGAACAAGATAAATGTGTTTTCTGTCCACATGGAGATTGTAATACCTAATATCAGTTTAAATAGTAATATAGACAAGTCACCCAATGGTATTCTGGGTGTAACTCCTCAAATTCAGTCAAAATGAATCCCATCTAGAACTGTCTTCTGGGTTACCAATGGCTTTGGGTAGGAAGCAACCCACAGGACTGTGTTTCTACTCCAGCTATTACTCTTATTATTTGTGTACTTAGGAAATTCCCTCCTGGTCACATTTTCTTTATTAAATTAGCGTTACTTGGCAAAAAAAAAATGGAGTTGGTTAATTTCGTTATTCAATAAGATAACTAAGATACTTTTCTAGAGTTAACTTTTGCTTCTTACTGTCCTAAAGGTGGGGGTAAGGAGAAAGGAAATTTTTCAGAGACAGTTGGGACTTACTAAATATTAAGTCTCTTCTAGAATCAGTCAAGTATTAATCAGCAATTAAATAAATGCACAGATACTAATAAAATTGTAATGTCTCCTCATTTCCAGAGAGAAGACAGAGTAATTTTTAAGGAAATGAAAGTTTGGATAGAACAATTTGAGAGAGATTTGACAAGAGCACAGATGGTGGAATCAAATTTACAGGATAAATATCAGGTATTGTATGGAGAAGATTTTTGAATTTTTCAAAAGCTATTTTTGACTAATATTTATATATGTCATTTGATCTCCATTTAATGCTTCAAATTACATTAATGAGAAAAGTCTTTAAAGACATAACATTCATTACCCTAAGTTTGCATATAATTTAATAATTGTATTTCTAACTTATGTAGATAGTCTTAAGTTGCATTGTGTCCACACTATATATGGAGCACTGAGGCTTCATCACTTTTCCATAACTCAGTCTTATAGATGACTTGGAAAACAAATGCAGAGTCATTGTGTTTATAGAACTCATGATTTTTTTTTTTTTTTGAGACGGAGTCTCACTCTCTCTCCCAGGCTAGAGTGCAATGGCGTGATCTTGGATCACTGCAAGCTCTGCCTCCTGGGTTCACACCATTCTCCTGCCTCAGCCTCCTGAGTAGCTGGGACTACAGGCACCCACCACCACACCTGGCTAATTTTTTGTATTTTTAGTAGAGATGGGGTTTCACCATGTTAGCCAGGATGGTCTCAATCTCCTGACCTCGGGATCCACCTGCCTCGGCCTCCCAAAGTGCTGGGATTACAGGCGTGAGCCACCATGCCCGGCCAGAACTCATGATCTTATAGATCTCACCTAACCCAAAAATCTACCAAGAACAAAGAGTTGAGTCAAATTGAAAATTAGTATAAAATAAACTGAATTTAACAAAGGATTGCAACATGAGTATTGGAGGGTCCATTAAAGGGATCAGTTTCGACTGCGACCTGCCTAGTCCAACACCATTGCATTCAAGTTGAGCTCAGAGTTAATGTTTTTCTCCAGTCTGACTACAGTGTCATTAATTGGACTTCTGCTTCTGATTTTCACTTCCAAGACACAAAACACAGTTTATTCCCATTTACAAAGTGTGATTTCAATAGCAAAGACACAGAATCAACCCAAATGCCCATCAATGTAGACTGGAGAAATAAAATCTGGTACATATACACCATGGAATACTAGGCTGCCATATAAAGGAACAAGATCATGCCCTTTGCAGGGACATGGATGGAACTGGAAGTCATTATCCTCAGCAAACTAATGCAGGAACAGAAAACCAAACCCTGCGTGTTCTCACTTATAAGTGGGAGCTGAACAATGAGAACACATGGACACATGGAGGAACAACACACACTGGGGCCTGTGGGGGAGTGGGAGAAGGAGAGCATCAGGAAGAATAGCTAATGGATGCTGGGCTTAGTACCTAGATGATGGGTTGATCTGTGCAGCAAACCACCATGGCACATGATTACCTATGTAACAAATCTTCCTGTACATGTACCCTAGAACTTAAAATAAAAGTTGGAGAAAAAATAAAAATTAATAAAAATTGTGATTTATTTGATGCAGCATTATCATTTTTCCCAATGTAAAACATCAGTCCCTTTTAGTGGCAAAATTAAATATAGTATATTCTGAATTATATTCTGTAATATATTCTACTCGACATCATATTTCAGTCATTTCTGCTACAGAAAAAGGTCAAATGAAGTGAGAACTTCAACATGGTAGACAAAAGATTTATCTATGGCATTAGTGATTTTATATAATTGTATCTTTAAAATATGCCTGAATTTAGGTGGATGATAGCATCAATATTATATTTGTCAAACTTAGCAAAGCAATAAATATGTGGTTAATATGCATGTACTCTTTTGCTTTGAAATTCAGTGTAAGCTTTTTTCCCCAAAATAAAATTTTCTGGGCTGAGATCCATTAAAAAATGATTAAGCCAGTAAATGGAGAAAAGAATTGCAAGAACAGAGTGAATATACTTATTTAGTCCACTGATGAGGTTTAGGTTTGGCACCAATTATCAAAAAATAAATTCCAAGTTATAAAGCTATCTGTTATACAGATGCTAGTTCATGAGGGAAACAAAGGCTTAGGAAAACAGAAAACAGAAATCCTCCTTTCAGCCCGAAGGTGATCACTAGTCTCATAAAAATGGGTTTAGAGTCTCTCTGAAATCTGAATTTAGGGAAAATTTCATTTCATCTTTACATTCTGTAATCAGCATTTTAAATCTCTTTCAATCTGTAGCAAATGCTGCATTTTCCAGTTTTTTCACTCAGAATCCTGTGGAATAAAATTTAAAAGTTGATTTGATGTTTTGTTTTTTTTTAAATTTATTTTTTTGTTGTTTTTTTTAATATTTTTTTTAGTCAGAGTGTCACTCTGTCGCCAAGCTGGAGTGTAGTGGCATGATCGTGATCTCAGCTCACTGCAACCTCCGCCTCCCAGGCTCAAGCGATTCTCCTGCCTCAGCCTCCTGAGTAGCTGGGACTACAGGCATGCGCCACTATGCTCAGCTAATTTTTGTATTTTTAATGGCGACGGGCTTTCACCATGTTGGCCAGGATGATCTCAATCTCTTGACCTCATGATCCGCCCGCCTCGATCTCCAAAAGTGCTGGGGTTACAGGTGTGAGCCACCGTGCCCAGCCTATGTTTTGGTATTTTTAAAATTCCATTCAGTTAGAGAAAATGAAAGAAAACCTTGTAGATAAAATTCTAGTTCACTATCTCCCCCCAGTGTTCTTCACGTGAATTTACATGTTTGTTTATAATTTTGAAATTCTTTTAGTTGTGTTATCTGCTAACTTTTGTGGGGCCATTCTCCTGTAACATAATTGCACATTTTAATTATCTTTTCATTTTATGTTTAGATTTGGAGTCATATTTTAGGATGGGTTAATTTAGTTAATGTAAAATATAAAACTTTAAAAATTGTTTTAATGTTAGCATTAAGCTTATAGTTAAGTCTACATATAATACATTGATGTCAACTGTACTGTGATATACTTAATATTTTAATACCATGAAATTAAAGCAAAGGATTATCATGTAAACATGGTCCCCTAAAGTAAACCTCTTTATGCAGGCTTACTTAAACACAAATCTAGACAGCTTTAATTCTGCATTATTTTGATATATGCAATTTCTATTTGTAAATTGTTTGGTACTTGAAGTAAAGCAACTATCTTGATTATTAGCTAAGATTTATACTCCTGTTTACTATGATTTCCTGACAAACATATACTGGTACACAAATTACTTTACTAGAAATGAGAAATCCTAGGCTTTAGTCCTACCTCTACTACTTGTCCTTGATAAGTCATTTCTGGGCTTCAGAATAATAATGCATGTGTAGGGTGATGGAGAGAACCAGAGAGGATAATATGAAGAAAGCACTTAGCACAGGGTCAAGCTATGTCAGGGCTTGATGAATGACAGCTGCTATTAGTATCATAACTACCGTTATTATTATCAACAACATATATTGAGTGTTATCCAAATAGAAAAGATTGTTATTTAGGAAATGTGCTTTCCTTTGCTTTTGCTTTTTTTGACTCATTGCCATACTGTTGCTGTTTTTCCTCTTTTAGTCATTTAAGCACTTCAGAGTTCAATATGAAATGAAGAGGAAACAGATTGAACATTTAATACAACCATTACACAGAGACGGTAAATTGTCACTTGACCAAGCATTGGTAAAACAATCTTGGGATAGAGTGACCTCCAGGGTAAGTTCTCCCACAATTAGTTATACTGAGCTTAATAAATTTAGAAAAGAATATTTTTCATCATCTATTTCTACACAGTGGTATGGCAACAGGTTCTACTGCCTCTGTCTGAGGCTAGAAAGACTTAACTATGGGAGAATCTTTGCCTCCTTGTCTAGTTTTCCTGTAAGTTAATGGAAGTCTTTGGTTTAACAGCTATTTTCTTGCCTTGGCTTCCCTCTATGTGATATCAGCAATTAACTAGATGATAGATTAAAGTCCTGAGACCATCTGGATCACTTCACACTTTACACAACTTCCTTCTGGGTGGTTTAGAAGAGGTGACTCTCTGGTCTTGTAGCAGATTCTCCAGAGTAGAGCCACAGCAACTTCTTGTATTCTAAAATCATGTTTCATCAACAGTTAATGACCTTCCTGTGTTGACATACAGTTTTGCATTCTTTAATTCAAGCATCTTTTTTTATCTGATCATGAATCTGAAGGAAAATTGCTCAGTATCTTTCATATTCATATTCTTCATGCTTAAAGGCCAAGATTTCAAACCCCTGGAACACTTCTATCACTAATAAGAATATTTGTCTTGAACTTACCATATATTCTTTACTTTATTTTATTTTGTTTTTGAGATAGTGTCTTGCTCTGTCACCCAGGCTAAAGTGCAGTGGCACAATCACAGCTCACTGCAGCTTCAACCTCCTTGGCTCAAGCAATCATCCTACCTCAGCCTCCCAAGTAGCTGGGACCACAGGCATGTACCACCATACTTGGCTAATTTTTTTTTTTTTTTTTTTTTTTTGTAGAGATGAGATCTCACTATATTGCCCAGGGTGGTTTTAAACTCCTGGGCTCAAGCATCTCATCCATCTTGGCTTCCCAAATTTCTGGGATTACTGGAGTGAGCCACTGCACCCAGCCTAATTTTTTTTTTGATAGTCTCATTTTTTCTAGTGACTCCATTAAAGAATAGGCTAGTTCCTAAGCACCTCAACTCATCCCACCTGGCTTTCCAGTAAGCTAGGAAATGTGTCTGAGAATTGGGTAAAATGGAAGAGATGGAGAGAAGGGTAGACAATCATAGGATTATAGAAAGAATCCTTTAAACCCATCTTTGTCCAGAGCTGCTTAGATAATCCTCATTTTTCTGAACTTGTTCTGATCACGTGGGAGGTTTTAATGGGATTCTCATTCCGACGACCAAGATACACATGTGCCAGGTGTATAACTGCTGCATCCTCCAAGCATGTCACCAAACCTGATCCCTTCCCTTTCAGCAAAAGCCACACTGAAAATCAGTGGGTGCTTCATGCTACTCCTGTAAGAGGAAAATTGCTTACACTTCTGATAATATTCTTCCATGTTTAAGATGTATTTTCAGTTTCTTCAAAATTTGCTTTTAACTGTAATTTTCTCCCCATCCCTAAAGTGTCAAACTCAGAACACAGACATTTGCTTATTTGATATTTATTAACTTAGCCTGAAATCATTAACTTAAAGCTTTATGTATGCTTTACTATTATTTGGGTGCAATTTTATAAATTGCCATCTGTATTAAAGATATTTTACTTTTCTGCTTTTTAAATTTTAGCTCTTTGACTGGCATATACAGCTTGATAAATCTCTTCCTGCACCTCTGGGCACCATAGGTGCCTGGCTGTACAGAGCGGAGGTGGCCCTGAGAGAGGAAATAACCGTTCAACAGGTCCACGAGGAAACAGCAAACACGATACAACGGAAACTTGAGCAACATAAGGTAAAAATTCTGGTTGGAAAACCTTGCAGCATAACAGCCCTACTGTGGTCTGGAGAGGTAGCCTAGTTACAACCTGCTCTGGCGGGGACGCCCCAAATATTAATTCTACATGATCGGAGACGTCACACCTTCTTAGAGTTCTCTAATTTGATTGTTTCTTTCTTACACTGGTTAATGACGGTTCCAGTGGGTTGACTTCCTGAGATATTTTCCATACCTGTGTGGTATTTTTTTCATCTGCAGCTATCTTTGTTATTTCTGTTGTTATATATTATTTTTCAAAAGATAAGCATAGATGGTATGCATTTACATAATAATGTGGCCGGCCATTGGCTCCAGACCTCATTTCTGCCTCCATTCTCAAAGGAAGGCAGGCAGAAGTTCTTATGTCTTGGTGCTGTGGGGTGGGGGTAGAAGGAATGGAGGCTGTAGGAAGTGGTGGGGTTAGGCTTTGATGGTCTCTTAGTCATTTGGGATGTTTTAAACTTAGTATATGATCAGTTGTATATGGTATAATTTCCAATATATTTCCTCTTTGTGTTTTGTGATATTACAGGCCTAACTAAAAATGCCGTTTTTCATTAACATCACATTAATGCAATCTTGCATTTTATGCAATTGAATTTGTATACTTCATTTGCTGTAATGTGGTGGGGTATTCCTGCATATGTGAAAAATAGAGATTTCTACTCCTGACTACACATGGGCAATGTATAGCCCATGTATATTTTCTGCCAAATTATTGATATTTTTGAAAAATTACCCCAAGGAAATACACTGTCCTGTATTCTAGACAAGATCATAAAGCAAATTTACAACAGATTTTATTGCCTTTTATTATTTTATGCCTCTCTGGGGCTTTACTTTTGGAGCTAGATATACAGAGACACAGAGATGTGATGCCATTGCCGATCTTGGCCATTTCAACTTGACAGACTCAACCTCAGACAAGCTCATCAAACCAGATGGCCACGGCAAGATTTGATGATCTGCAGAGGCCATCACTCAGGGTCCTGCCTCCATTTCCTCTTGGCCTTTTCTGATACTCAGTGCCTTTAGACACTTTTAAAGTTGCTGATGATCTCTTAGCTCCTCTCCTCCCCCAATCACCAACGCAGACAAACACACACACTGAACTCTCTGTCATTTGGCTTCTCAGATGCAAGCATGACTTTGGGGTCTTCTTCATCTGTGCAGATACTCACAAATAAAAGCGGGGCCTGCTTATCTGTGCCTTAGTGCCCTAAAGTGGGGGCAGCTATGCCGTAAGGGACCCAGAGTTCAGGCCTCATACGAGATCAAGTCACAAGAATTTTCCTGGGATTGAATCAGTTTCCTGGGCCATGTCAATTTTGAATCACCCCAGTATATTAAAAATAGAGAAAAGTGTGAAAATAGTATTACACAAACAATAACATCTTTAGCAAATTAGCAACTAAGCATATATAACACACAATAATTTTTTCATGGAAAACTTAATTGAAACTATTTTTTTACCTTAACTGGCATTTGTTTATTTATTTATTTTTAAATTGCAGATTCAGGGGGTACATGTGCATGTTTCTTACATGAGTATATTACATAATGGTGGGGATTAGGATTCTAGTGTACCTGTTACCTACATATGAAACTATTTTAATTGATGTAAATATTTGATACTAAAGAAGTCAACTTAGAATTTTAAATGAAATGTAGAATGTATATTTATTGAGAATTAAATACGTTAATTCAGCAAATAGGCATGGTAGCAAATATTCCTACTATGTGCAGGTTTTCAGCTCCAGGGCAACAGGTGAGGGGCACAGACGAGGTCCAGGCGTTTGTGGTGCCTCCAATCTAGAGGTCTGAGAAGCATCTACACAATTGTTCTTTGTATAATACCTTTAACTTTGACTTAAATGTCCCACCACAGAGAAAATGCCAGACAATGTAACTGCTATTTACTAGTTAATTATAACAGTTTGTAGAAATATTAATTCAAGGCACACTATAGACAGTAGTATCTCCTACGGGGGAGTGAGTCCTAAGTTGGCCAATGCACATGCTATCTGTGTGTTTCAATGGCTATATGATTTCAGGCCCTTCATGAGCCCTTCTAGCTCCCTTGAGAGACAGTGAGAGAGAGACACCCTGTGCCAACCCCCAAGAATACAGCTAGAACAATCTCTCTGCCAAAGTCTAGTGAACAAAGCA
Organism: Homo sapiens; assembly: GCF_000001405.40. Lineage (NCBI taxonomy): Eukaryota > Metazoa > Chordata > Mammalia > Primates > Hominidae > Homo > Homo sapiens. The sequence continues at coordinate 152,480,891 of NC_000006.12, read as the reverse complement.
TAGAAACCAGAAATGAAGTGGATCAGGGAGAGAGAGAGGGGCAGGAGTTGGAGAAAATGGTTATCTGAGGCAAACAAACAAACAAAAACCCAGAAAGGACTAGACTGAAGAGAAAACTAAGGAATGTAATAAAGAGATAAAGGTAAAAAGCAGCGACAGGGGCTCAGGCCAGGTTCAAGGTGAATATTAGAATGATCTTTTCATTGAGGTAGGAACTTCTACTAGGCCTGGGCATGGGTACTTAAAGTAGCTCATAAAACAATTAAATTGTCAATTTTAAAATCAATTCTCATTTATTGAAAAATATATATTAGGAGCCTATAATAAGCTAAGCTTTGAGGGTGAAAAGCTTGAATTATTATTATTATTGAAATGGAGGCTCGCTTTGTCACTCTCAGACTGGAATGCAATGGTGCGATCTTGGCTCATTGCAACCTCTTCTTCCCAGGTTCAAGCGATTCTCCTGCCTCAGCCTCCCATGTAGCTGGGATTTCAGGCATCCACCACCATGCCTGGCTAATATTTGTATTTTTAGTAGATATGTGGTTTCGCCGTGTTGGCCAGGCTGGCCTTGAACTCCTGACCTCAAGTGATCCGCCTGCCTCAGCCTCCCAAAGCGCTGGGATGACAGGCATGAGCCACCACGCCTGGCCAAGTTTGACTTATTAAAACAACTAAAAATTATAAGTTTCCTCAATGGCACCAACTCAGTCTCTCGATTTGATGTAACACCTCTGTGCTGGTATATTGGGCTCACTTGGAGATGCAATAAATTGGGAAAATCACAATTTAGGAATCATTGATGTATGATCAAGAATGTTTGGGAATATTGTCTTCCCATCTTGGTCTAAAAAGTAATTCTGGTTTTTGTCAAGAAAACTTGAACAAGCTATCAAAGTTACAATGCTTGGTTTTTTTCATTCTTCACACCTTTTAAAAAAATAACACAATTTCAACACTTAATGCATAGGCAACGTTTGCAAGTTGGATTCAGATCATTTTTTAAAGGTGTGTTTCCGAGAGTTCACTTTGTGAATGGTTCTGCCAGTGGTTTTGTTTTACTATTTCTGAAAAATTAACGTATATATGTATATATGTGTAAGAACTTATGTATTCTGCAAAACATAGTGTACCTGTATTATCTTTTCTATTTTCCAGTTACCCTAATGTTCAGTTATCTAGAAAAATAACAATAACCATAGCCAACTATTATGGAGGACTTAACCATGTTTCAGTCCTAAGTATTTGATTTTTACCAAACACTTAACATGACGGATGTGAGATAGGTATTATTATCCTTTTTTGCTGATGAGGAAAGTGTAGGCAGAGAGAGGTTAAGTGACTTGCCCAAGGTCACATAGCTGATGAGCCAGGTTGTCTTCAGCACTAGGCTTAAAATGTGACCACAAAGCTATTGCTTATCATACTTGTAGAGTGATTATACTGACTAATTTATTATTCTTAGTATTGATTTGGCAAAGTAAGGCTTTCAGTCATAAGGAATCATGAAAGTAGCCATTAGGCTCTGCCACCTGCTACACATCCTTATTGCAGTTACCAACCCTACCTAGGTCACTTGCCTTCCTTTCTTGAAGATTTTATTTCCTGGATGACAATGCATGTCATAATTCTTAATAACTTCAGTAACCTAGAGATGATCCTCCCAATATCATGACCTCTCAGGTTCTTGACCTCTTCCCCCAGGATCCTGTCCTACACCCAACCCTAGCCACTCACTCCACAGTCATAGCCTAGAATGCTCATCACCAGTAAATGAGACCCCTCCACAAGCTCTTTGTCAAGTACCTTCCTCTCCAGTCAGACAAGGCTTCATCTCCTCTGTGCCCTATAATCTGTTACCCTACCACCTTTTCACTGTATCCTGTTCTCTTTACCATCTCCTTTTGTGCTCTGCTTAAATGCAATGTAAAAGCCCCACTCATCCACATCCTCGCTTGCCTTGTCCGTATTTCACTTTGTTTTAGTGTCCTGGTAAAAACACAATGCCGGTGAAAGCCAGCTCTTTGCCTAGTTCATGCCCACACACATGTAGCTGACTGTGGCTGGAAAAAAACACACCCCCAGGCGCGATGACTAACCCAAGTGGGCCCTTAATGGTGCCTGGCAATCAGAAGGCATTTCCCGACTCCATTCCCTCTTCATTTCTGGGACAACTATTTCATATCTTGTCTCTTCAAACCTTCCACACCTCCTCCCCATCCTCACTCTTAGCTGATGACATTACTTCCTTTTTCTTTGAGAAAATAGAAGCAATCAGAAAAGAATTGCCACCAGCTCCCACGGCCACATCAACCCACCTACGCAATTGCATCTGTGCCCGAATACACGCTCTTCACTTCTGTTACTATGGGTGAACCATCTGTGCTCTGGGCCGAGGCCAACCTCTCTATGTGTACATTAGATCCCACCCTCTCTCCAAAAGGTAATTCCTGTCCTTCCTCCCTTCTCTATTTTTTTCTCTTTCTTTCTTTGTTGGAGTTTACTCATCCACATACAAATATGCTGCCATTAACTCATCTTTAAAAGTCTTTTTCTTAGCCCCACTTCCCCTCCCAGCTACTGTCCAATTTTCTTCCTTCCTTTTACAGCAAAGCTCTTTGAGAGAATTGGCTCTTTCTTCTTTCTAAATTCTCTTCTCTCATTCTTTCTAAAATCCATTCCAATCAAGCTTTTATCTTGCCATCTACCATGTGAAGTTTACCAGGCTTTGCCTCATTCCTCATCCAATGGCCAGTTCTCAGTCTTCTTACATCACCTGTCACAAACATTTCACATAGTTGTCCCTTTACCCTTGAAAGACTTTCTTTAAGGCATGGTGGCTCATACTTATAATCCCAGCATGTTGAGAAGCCAAGGCAGGAGGAGCACATGAGTCCAGAAGTTTGAGACCAACCTGGCCAACAAAGCGAGACTCTGTCTCTACAAAAAATAAAAATAAAAAATTAGGCATAGTGGTGCATGCCTGTAGTCCCAGCTACTCGGGAGGCTGAGGCAGGAGGATTGCTTGAGCCCAGGAATTAAAGGCTGCAGTGGGTAAGCTATGATTGTGCCACTTGTAGTTTCCTTCCTACTCCCCTGGCTGTACCTTTCTGGTCTTCCCTATTCTTTCAACAAATATCTGTTGAGCTTTCTCAGTTGCAAAGCAGTGTTTTAGGCATTTGTGATACATCTGTAAGCAAAACAGACAAAAATCCCTTCCCTTAATTTACCTTCTAGTGAGAGGAGGCAGATAAAGGTAATAAATATAAAAAATAAGTAAATTTAGGTTAGAAAGTAAAAGGACATGGGATATTAGGTGTTGTTGCAATTTTAAATAGGGTTGTCAGTGAAGCCTCATTGAAAAGATGACATCAAACAGGCAAGCATATTCCCTACCTTGAGGTCTTTACCCTTGCCATCCTTCTGGAATGTTCTCATCCCTCAGTCTGAAACATCCTCTTACTGATATTCCCGTTGTGTTCTTCTTCATCTCTTTAAGGCCTTTACTAAAAGGTCCCCTCTTCATCCACCCTTTTCTGGCCACCTCTTTTGAAATTACAACTTCCCCCAAACTCCCCTTCCCCTTTCCCATTTGATGTTTCTCTTTAGCATTTATCATCATCTCAACTGTTACCAGTTTTAATCATTTATCTTATCTTTTGCTTGATTTTCTGCACTATAATGTCAACTCCATAAAAGTGGGAGTTATTGATTTTTTTTCACTGTTGTCTCCCCATATTCAGGCTCTCAAAATTGCAATTGGGTCAATATTGATAATGCATACTTTCTAAAAATGTGTGCATTTGACTAAGTCTTCAGAATTATTAGCATAAAATTGTTCAGAATATTGTTTTATATATTTTGTGGTGTTTTCTGTGCCTATGTATATTTCCCCAATATTGTTTCTTTGAACTGCCTCACTTTCCTTAATCACACTTTGGCATTGTTGATTTGCTCCACAATGTTCTAACCTTCTTTTTTCATCCATTTTATTTCTTTCTTTTCTTTTCTTTTTTTTTTTTTTAGATAGGGTCTGGCTCTGTTGCCGAGGCGGGAGTGTAGTGGTGTGGTCATGGCTCACTGCAGCCTCTGCCTCCCAGGATCCAGTGATCCTTCCACCTTAGCCTCCCGAGAAGGTGGGACTACAGGCATGGGCCACCACACCTGACTAATTTTTGTATTTTTTGGAGAGATAGGGTTTCACCGTGTTGCCCAGCCTGGTCTCAAACTCCTGGGTGCAAGTGATCTGCCCACCCTCCTAAAGTGCTGGAATTACACGCATAAGCTGCAGCACCCAGCCCCATTTTTTTTTCCCAAAGGAATGACAGTATTTTCATGATATGGCTGCTATGTGAGAATAGACTGGGTTAGGAATGGAGACCAGAAGCCAGGGTACCATTTCCATCATCCAGTTAGAGTGCTTTGAACAAGGGAAGTAGCTGTAGAGATGGTGAGAAATGGACAGATTCTGAATATGTTGTGAGGGCAGAACAATTTTCAGCATTAGATACATACCGTGAAAGAAGAAGAGTCATAAATGACACTATGATTTGGGGGCTGTGCAACTGAAAAAACAGTTTCTATCAATTAAGAATAGGAGACAATGAAGCGGCTTTGGGAGGAAAGATCAGGAATTCAGCTTGGGGCATGTTGAGTCTTTTTCTCATCCAAGAGGATATGTGGAGTAAGCAATAGGTAAGAGAGCTCAGGGAAGAAGTACAGCTTGGAGATAAAAATTCGGAGTCATTGGCATCTAGAGGGATGTTTAAAGCTCTGAGACTGGATAAATTAAATAAAGAAGTATATACAGAGAAGAGAAAGGGACCAAGGACTGATCCTGGAGGGAATCCAGTATTAAGAGATTGAAGAGTAGAAGAACCAATAAAAGTCTGAGAAGGAGCAACCAGTGAAGTTGGAGGAAATCCAGCTACAGTGTTGTCTTAGAAGCCACGGGAAGCAAACGTATGGAGGATAGGGTATTTTCAGAAGAATTGCCACAGTGATCCTTAAAATGCAGCTGAGATAATTTCACCAATCTGCTCAAAATTCCTAGTTGGCTTCCATTATCAAAACACCACAAGTTCTTATAAAGACCATTCCTGCAGCCCTTTCCCTTCTTTACCCAACAAGCTGCTATAACACTTGCTTCCTTTGCTCTATCTCATTTAGAGAGGCATGTTGATAAACCCCACAGTGATGTTGATAGTTCAGGTTCTCCTTACAGTTCTATCAGTTTTTCCTTTATATATTTTGAAGTTTAATGGGCATGCTCAAGTTCAGGAATAATGTACCTTCTAGTAAGTTGAAAGTTTAATCTTTATGCAATTAATTATAGATGGTTTCCAACTTATAGTGATTCAACTTACAATTTTTGACTTTACAGTGGTGCAAAAGCAATATACATTCAGCAATGACATGAGATATGATATTCTTATATGAGATATTCAACATTTTATTATAAAATTTGGCTTTATGTTAGATAATTTTGCCAAATTGTAGGCTAATGTGAGTGTTCTGAGCACATTTAATGTCGGTGAAGCTAAGCTATAATGTTTGGTTGGTTTAGGCGTATTAAATACATTTTTGACTTACAACATTTTCAACTTACAATGAGTTTTATTGGGACATAACCCCATCATGAGTCAAGGAGTGACTGTACTTATAATGCTTCTGTTCTGAAATCCATTTTGTCTGATATTAATGCATTTATATCAGATTTCTCTTAGTATTTGCCTGACATGTGTTCCATTTTATTAATTTTAACCTATCCATGTTCTTAATGATTAGGTGTATCTTTTGTAAAAAGAAGATAGTTCTGTTTTGTTTGTTTGTCCAATTTGGTAATCTCTGTCTTTTAACTAGTAAATTTCTACTTTATTCACATTTATTTATTATTATTGATATACTTGAATTTGTTTCTAGCATCTGAGTCTTTGCTTTCTAACTGTTCTACTTTTTCTTCTTTTCTACTTTCTTGCTATTTATAAGTTGATTAAGGAGGTTTTGCTTTTTGTCTCCTTCCTCATTTTTCTTATTCCATGGTTTTATTTCTACTAGCAAGAAAGTTATAAACTCTAGTTGTACAGTATGATTGCCCTCAAAATTTGACCTTAGATATTTAACAAAATTGAAAGTTAGCCATATCTTAACCCCCTCTTAATCAATATAAGTAATTATGAATACTTTAACCAAACCACTGTCCTTTTTATCTTACACATTGTTGTCAAGTATTAAATTATTGACATTTTTCTAGCATGATAAGTTTGTTGTTTCTGCTGGTTCTCACTCATGGTGGCTTGTTTCCTGTGGTTCGTGGTCTCTGCTTTCCTCCTATTGTATTTGCATTTGCTAATAACCTGGCCATGTTAGCCCTCATTGAGGGTTCTGACTAAATGGAGGAGATCTCATTTCAGTGTCCTCATCCTGTTCACATTGTAAGACTCAATCTCTCTCAGCAGTGGTGTAGATATTTGCCCAGGACAATCTGGATTTGTCTATTTGTTTTTTGCCTACAGGTCTGTGATCTAGTTTTTGGGTCATGTTTTACTAAGAATGGGGGACCTAAAATATTTCATTTACTTCCTGTGAACCCAGCAAGGTGAATTAAAATCATATATTTTGCCCAGCATCTAGCTGCTTTATAGTGAGATGGCCTTTCAGAGGAATCAGTGACATCATGCCAACTGTTGAAGTTCTTTTTTTTTTTTGAGACAGAGTCTTACCCTGTTGCCCAGGCTGGAGTGCAATGGTGTGATCTTCCCTCACTGCGACCTCCACCTCCTGGGTTCAAGTGATTCTCCTGCCTCAGCCTTCCAAGTAGCTGGGACTACAGGTGCACGCCACCATGCCTGGCTAATTTTTTGTATCTTTAGTAGAGACGGGGTTTCACCATGTTGGCCAGGCTGATCTCGAACTCCTGACCTCGTGATCCACCAGTGTCCGCCACCCAAAGTGCGGGGATTACAGACATGAGCCACCACACCCGGCCTAAGAATTTCTTTTATCATATGTGTGAAAATGTTTTTGTTTGGGTAGCTTGTAAAGACTTTTTCAATATAGTAGATACTTAAAAACTGTCACAAATCAGAGCTAGCTGGGGTGATAACTCCAAGTGTGCTCTGCAGTCACTTGGGAAAGTTTCAGCCCAACCATAAGCTACAGTAATGTGTCTGTGTGTGGTAAAGGAGGTAGAGAATGGCTAGAATACTCATCATCAATAGCTGCTCTAAGAACACCTGTTTGTTCTCTACCCTCCTGTGATGAGTTCTTGGCTTCACATAATACCCTCCCTTGAGGCACACATGACTTGTGAGTATCTCTGCACTTACCTTCAGAGTCAAAGCAGGTCAAAATGTGATCATAGCAAAATATATCAGGTTAGAAATAGTTTGGCCCTAAGGTTTTTCTACCATGTTAAAATGTCATATGTGGGCAAGCATATACAAACCTGAACATTTTAATTTATAATAGAAAAGTTTTCACTTGTCCCACCAAGTGTGTCTCTTGATTTTAGGCTGGTTTTGCTACTAATTTCTCTAATTTGCTAAATTTTAGTATGAGATAAAAATATTAATTTTAATGTATTATTTTGGTGGTCTAATATGTCTTACTTTTTCAATGAGTGACACATTTTTAAGTACTGTATTTATTCTGCAATCAAGACACAAACTAAGCTCTAGAAATTAAGGCATGAATCTCCTTTCACCTGACTTCTTCCTTGCTTCTATGTGAGAAATTGGTGAGGGAGTGTAAAATACATGTACATCTTTTTAGAAATTAGTTTGTAAATGATGAAAAACACAGCAAACAAATCAAAGAAGATTCAAATTAACCTAAATAAATGAATCAAACCTGTGGAGTTCTATACAGTCTATAATTAATATTTATTAACATCACATTTAATCTTCTCACTGTGTTACCTATGGGGTATTCCCTGCACTTGTTTGAAATTTTCTAATCAAAAGGGTATTTCAAAATATATTGTAATATGATTGATTTACTTTAGATGGCAAGCAAATACCACTTTATAATAGTCTGCATGCATTCAAAGTAAAATAACAGTAGAAAGCCTAATCTCTTTTGCCATTAAAGGTTTCAATTTGTCATGCTCAGTTTTAAGCTTTTAAAAACCAACATATCCAGAAAGGCAAAAAATACTAAAATCATTTCATAGCAGTAATTACATTTTCCTTTGGATCATGTGCCTTTAAAACGTCTGAATGCATTGCTGTGCAAGTGTCATGTGTGTTTAAAAGATGCATAATTATTAGATGCAGTTCCAGCATAGTGTTTTAAGTACAAGCACCCAGCTCCTATTCAAGGTAAGAGCCTTTGACAGGCACCAAGCTGCCTCTGAATGTGGCAGCGGGATCAAATTGTTGAATACATTGACTCATCGGTGCGGGCTGGAAATTATGCTTCTTAGCCCTCTGTGAAACATGTTTTTCATTTTTTATTTTTTTTTAAACTGTATCTTAGGATCTGCTTCAAAACACGGATGCCCACAAAAGAGCATTCCATGAAATCTACCGGACCAGGTCTGTTAACGGGATTCCAGTGCCACCTGATCAATTAGAGGACATGGCCGAGAGGTAAGAGAATATCTGCATTTAAAGGAAGTCTCTTTTTAAAACACTAGGTGGACGCTTTTTATATTTCTTTTATTTTTTCATGATTTTTTTTTAACAGAGGCGCCTACCTTTGGTAAATAGAAAGCGGGCTCCCATAAGACATGCTAAGAATGCCACCATTCTAATGTATTATTAACTGAAAAGAGTGACTCTGAATTTATCCACAGCCTAGAAATCACAGAAATGGTTTCTTCAGAGGCTGTATTTTTGTTCAGTACTGTAAGGAACATTATGTAATATTGCAAAAACAGCTTATAAAAGAAACAGACGAGAGATGTGTTGGCAGGGGAAAGAACTAAATCGAAGACTTCAATCATTCATGCTTTGCTTTTAAATCCAGAGCTAGAAAAGGAATCGGATTTCCAGAAAATGATCAGCCAGAGTTAGAAGAGCTTGTGGCTGCATTCTATTTAAGGCTGACATGTAACAGGTTAAGTAAGCATCAGTTCTGTTACTATTAGTTACATTCTATAAATTCTCCCTGTTTTATTTCTAGGTTTCATTTTGTTTCCTCCACATCAGAGCTACACCTAATGAAAATGGAATTTTTAGAATTAAAGTACCGTCTGCTCTCACTGCTGGTTCTTGCAGAGTCAAAGCTGAAGTCTTGGATCATTAAGTACGGGAGGAGAGAGTCAGTGGAGCAGCTTCTACAAAACTACGTGGTGAGTCCCCCGTGCTTTGACAGAGAATTCCTATGAGCCATGGATTTAGCAACACAGTTCAGTTTCTTTGATGTTGTTATTTTAATTCTTGAATTTAAACATAAAGATAGCGTGTGTTAAATGGGTTAGATACAAGTTTATGAGCTTTTCAGAATTATCTGAAATCTAAACCTATTTCTTTGGAATTTGATTATTTAAAATCCCCTAGTTCAGTTTAGTTTAATGCTTTGCTGCATTAATCATATGGGACCATCCTGACTGGCTTTATTGATTTTTAAAAAAAGTTTTTGTATTGCATACCCACATTTTTTATTGGAGGTCACCATTTCAACTACATTAAAATACTTAAAGATTACCTTCATGTCTTTTAAAATTCAACTATGACTAGTTTAGAACCATTCTCAAGTGTCCAAATGGGAACTATCTATTTTTTTTAGATTGTGTCCACTGTGTCTTTTTTTACCGTAATTCCCTGGGCTTCATTGCCTCTTGTGTGCACCCTGGAAGAGTAACATTTTATCTATGAATCTCTGTACCAACTTAATTTTTAAGGATTATCTCACATTTTGGGCTATCAATATAGATAATTCTATGTTTACTAGAATCATAGACCTGCATTGATGAAAGAATTTGTTTGCTCTGTAACTAGCAGTTTTCACTTACATGTAATTAGTGTATTATAGATACTAAAGACAGGTTATTTCTTAGTTAATTAAACATGGCCATCCTACAAATTAATTTTCAATGCAAATTTGCTCATAAAATTAATGTTAATAGAGTATCTTAGTCTTGTACTGTTTCATTTATGTTTAAACACAAATACTATGATAAATCAATGATCTTTTAAAATATAAACCCATTTGTAACTTGATTAGTCACAGTGACTCTAAAACATGTTCTGCTTGAAGTACTTATTGAAACCATATTTTCACTGAAGCATCTTAGAACTATAATCTGTTTTGCTACATTTTAATTTCATTTTCTGTGACGGGTGAACAACATACAGTTGAGAAAAAAATGATTTAACTGCTTTACAGTAAAATCTTTCCCTAGATTTACTAAAATTGTCTAGGAAACATTTGTTCCAAAATGCAAAATCTGTTATGTTCCTTTACTCATTTTTAGTTGTTTTGGAAAGTTATGAAAAACTTGATTTTAAGCTTCAAGCAATTACGTTAGTTCTTCAAATATGAAATACAAATATGCATGTATATTTTCAGATTTAGTCATGCCAAATGATACCCTCTCAGCCCAGTAGTTATTTATACCAGACACAGTCTTTGTTCTGGATATTTCAGAACAGCCAATCAGATTTAAACAGCTAATAAGACTATTCCACCAGGTTAATGTTCCAACACAATGATATTAATAATTCTCTTTTTCTCAAATGATATGTGAATAAACAATTATTAATGATAAAAACGTTAGTACTCCCTGCCTACTTCATCAAGTTCACTCAGCTACTAATTCCAAACTGCCTTGTAACTTTCATAACTATTCATAAAATTGCTGATTATCCTACATACGTAGCATGCTTTAATTAACATTTCCTAGTACTCTCATCTGCTACTGAAGAATACCTACTTATCACTCGTGTTTCTTTTCTGTGAAGGGTTTTAAGGTAATTTTGTTTAATAGTTTTGATAACCGTGGAGTATGGAGCATTTCCCACATGCCAAGTGTTTTACATGCATCATTTTTCATCTCAGTGATGGCCCTACAGACTGGGGGTTTCACATTGTTTTAGATACCAAGGAGCCAGTGCAGGAGCACTGAGGTTCCATAGACTCAAGTCACTTGCTCCTGGCGGCACACGCTCCAGGTGGTAAATTGTGGAATCAGAAATTGAATCCATATCTTTCCAAATCAAAAGCCCTTGAGCTTAAGTGCTGAATATCACAATCTAAAAAAAATTGTAAAAAAAATTTTTAACTTAACAGACCAAATCATTGATATGGTATCTTACGTCTTAGTGATCTAAAGAATGTAATTCACATAAATATCAGTTCAATTTAATATTGGTCCATACCTGACAATATTTTACACTTACATACCTGTAAGTGTACTGTGAAAGCCTCATAGTTGCTATTAGTTATATATGAGGCAGCATGGTTGTAGTGGTGGGGAACTGATGAAGTGCAGATACCAGCCACTAGAACTGTGTTTGGTCATGGTTTAGCTACTGAGCACCCATGTGTCTGTGAATAACTTAATTTCTAGAAGGCTTAGTCTTTCCCCAGTGTTTAATAATGATAATGATGATGATAATAATAATAATAATGAAATGGTAGGAATTTTTCTAGGGAACAAAGACTGACATATACTGTTTTTATTCTATGTTAACACCTCATAGAGCCTCTCTTATCCTTTTAGAGTGTTATGGAAAATCATTCATTATAGAACAGGCTATTTCAAAGAGGCTGAAAACTTTCAAATAAAATCACAAATCACCAAAGTCAGTTTTGTAAGTGCAATTCTTTCCTTGGTTTACACCCCCCACACTCCCCCAAAAAAGGGCTGGGGGCAGCAGCTCACACACACCTGTAATCCTAGCACTTTGGGAGGCTTAGGTTGAAGAGTCACTTGAGGCCAGGAGTTTGAGACCAGCCCAGGAAATATAGTGAGACTCTGTCTCTACAAAAAATTTTAAAAATTTAGCCTGGTGTCATGGTGTGCACCTGTAGTTTCAACCACTCAGGAGGCTGAGGCAGGAGGATGGCTTGAGCCCTGGAGTTCACGGCTGCAGTGAGCTATGATCTTGCTGCTGCACTTCAGCCTGAGCTACAGAGTGAGACCCTATTTCAAAAAAATAAAAATAAAAATAAAGTATTATAATAAGCTACATGCTTCTACATCATCTAATAACCAAAGTAATATTCAGGCCATAAATTTTCCGTAATTATATTTTCCTTAGTCATAATTCTCAATTCAGACTTATCCGTCCTGCAAAAAAGAAAGAATACTTTTTTTAAGTGTTAGAGAAAGAGAATGTACATCCAACTCAGATATGCAGCCACTGAGTGCTTAAAGAATTCTTGGAAAATACTTCACAAATCCTTTCTATCATTAATTTAGGCCACATGCCATTGGTAAGTGATTGCATGCTGTAATGCAAACCAAAAGGTAATTGGTTTAGTCCTTGCTGTCAGAATTGTTGACAATGACCAAAACATGTGCTTCCATTTCACCATGGAAAAAAGAGGCTAATATTTCAATCTTTCACATGAAAGAAAAAAAAACAGCTCTTGAAATTGTGGACTGTGTGAATGCAACATAGTGTGAATATTCATTTTATTATTCATAATTATATTTTAATGTAAATAGTCTTGATAAACCTCTCCTCAATGTTAATTTTAAATATCTCGAATAATCTGGCATAGTTGCATTCAAGTGAAATTGATGAGCTTCATATTTATTATATTTACACTCATCTTGTGAAAGTAGAAATGCGGTCACTAACACTAAAGTTAAATACCAAAAATAAGTATGCCATTTACTTTTCTTGAAGCACCATCAACTTTAAAAGTCCCCTGATTAAAATGGCTTATTTGTTGAACTTGGGATCCAAGTTTCAACCTCATTTTGAAAGAAATAAATGAATCTTGTTATTATTATTTTAAACATGCATTTGTATTTTTCTGACAGGTGTGTCTAAATAGCTTACAGTAAAATGGAGATTTAGCAGTTCTGCCAAAGTGATTCAATAGATAAAATAATCCATATTGCTAAATGCATTTACTCCATGTTCAGAAAAAAAGGACCAAATTAAATGGACCAATACAAATTTAAAATACAAAATAGGTATCTTTCTTTAAAAATTAATCATCCAGTCTTCCTAATAGCCAAATTCAAAAATACATTAATGAGTGTCTACAGCATTTATAAAACATTCTTTCTGAAAACATTCTCCCCTCTTTCCTGCCTCGTGGACCAGAAATTAAATTGGAAATAAGATTTTCTCACTTGTTCATTTTTAATTATTTTGTAAACTTCTCTAGGAAAAGCATATTTAAGTCTTCCTATGAACCACATGCACTATTTCCCATTTCTTTGACACTTAGAAAAATTGTTTTGCTATTAGCTTCTTGAAATTTGTACCAATACTAAATGCAGATTCTTTTCTAAACTTTGCCAAATATAATTATTTCTTCAATTTCTTACGCAGTATCTTGAACATTAGGTATAATTTTCCATTTTTGATCAAATAATGAATTGCTTGTTTAGTTAAATTATTCAAAATTTAAATTCTAGTAAATTATTCTTTTCTCAACTGGGTTGTAATAAGAAGATATAAGGCTAAATAGTGAATTAATCAGAATACTATTGTCTGACTTTATTCTCAAACAAATAAAATAAAGCCAATTAAAGTTATTGAATGTAGTATTCATCATGGAACCTCTCATTCCAGCTTTCTCTATTCACTTTATCCCTGAAGAATAGTTAATTTATAAGTAAATGCTTTATAAACATAAAATGATATGAAATATGTTATAGATACAATTTTTAAAATGTTATCTCAAAACAGTTATCAATAAAAATCCAGAGATTTCTATGAAATTGCTGCATGAATAATGTTTCCTCTGCACACAAGTGTCTTGCATCTCTATATTAAGCATTCATCAGCGTGCTATACAAGAATTCAGCTGGTTTTTGAAGGCTAATTTTGTATTTATGACCGTGACATTTATCAAGTATTTTAATAGATTCAAATCATAGGAACTCATTATACTATCGCAAGAAATTAAAGAGCCTTTGGTGATATGTTCTTAACTGTAATTGCATTAATTTTCTACTTTCAAGAAGTAATAATAATCTTTGAAACGCACATTATTTTATATTCCTAAAAATGAACAATAATAACATTTACCTAAGAACTTTTTTGTCTATTCTCAATTTTATAGTATTCACTTTCCAGTAGTGATTCTATTATATATATAAATTACAAATAGATATATAAACATGTCTTACTGCAATTTTTCTGTAATAGGTCATTGAAATGTGAGACCATTGATAACATGGATAGAATATGTAATTATTTCCAATTTTTCTACTGACTTTTTATTTTAAGGGAAGCATTTGTGCACCGTCATTTATTTATAATCTGGAGTTCCTCAGAGCAGTCATTCACCAGGATTAATGTTCAAAGAGCAACAGAATTCCGCAGCTGAGACACAGTGGGACACTTTAAAATGTTCTTCTAAATTTAGTGCTTTCTAAATGTTAGACCCAAGTTCTCTGGAGAAATTTCTGTCTCTTCAAAAAGCAAACCCTTGGTTGGTGAAGAAATAGAATATTTTCTCAGTCCTGTACTGGGTTAGAATCAAAAGCGTGGAATCAATTTATGTGTTCAGAATGATCTTAGGTAATTTGTAGCAGTGGAATTAATTTTATGTTTTCAAGAAGACTGAGATTAACAAATTTGGGTAAACTGTGCTTATAGCTATACTGAAGAAAATTGACTTTGGCATTCTACATGAGCCTAATGTTTGCTATCTTCTAACCATTCCTCCTTTTCTAGTCTTTTATAGAAAATAGCAAGTTCTTTGAACAATATGAGGTGACATACCAGATCTTGAAACAGACAGCTGAGATGTATGTCAAAGCAGATGGTTCAGGTAAAACATACTACAGAATTTGTTGCAACGTAGACTGCAGTAGAATTTAGAGCCTGCAGGTTTCTATCTGATCAGATCATTCTTTCTGTCCGTGGAATTTTTGAGTGACCTTGCCATTGGCCAGGAGAACACATACTGGATTCAGTTCCCTTGGCTTTGTACAATGCCTAACCTGCATAATCATTGTGTGTGTGTGTGTGTGTGTGTGTGTGTGTATGTGTTCTTCTAAGAGAGAACAAAATAAGCATTCATTTTCTAAATTGCATCTAAGGATTAAAGGCAAAAGCATAGAATACGTTAAGGATTACCAATCAAGTAAATGAGAAATTAATTAGTGTAAAGACACAATTTGTAAAATACATTTGTTTTCCATTTGTAATTATGTCTGTCATATTTGTTGGAAATGAACTCTGGCATTTGTGATGGATACTATTGCACACCAATGTATAAGACCATAGAAAAAAAGGTGTAGAGGATTTAAAATATGAGATAAGGGTTATAATTGGTTTTATCTGTTTCAGTGGAAGAAGCTGAGAATGTGATGAAATTCATGAATGAAACCACCGCTCAGTGGAGGAATCTCTCAGTAGAAGTGAGGAGTGTGAGGAGCATGCTGGAAGAAGTGATCTCTAACTGGGATCGCTATGGCAATACAGTGGCTAGTCTGCAAGCCTGGCTAGAGGATGCTGAAAAAATGCTCAATCAATCAGAAAATGCCAAAAAGGTAAGATTGGTTCATGCAAAAAGAAAAGACGTTTGATGTATGTAAAAATGAGAGACTTTTACAGCGTAGCTCACTAGGGGGTCGCATATATTTACAAGTGTCACTCAAGAATCTTGACTTTGCCTGAAAAGTTGCACTTTCAGGTTAGCAACAGACCAATAAATACACTGCTTAATAGAAGCTGATGGAGGGTTGAGTAAATCCAATGGGCAGCAAAGGGGAGGGCACTATATTACCCTGAAGTCTGTCTATGAAGGGGAGTGTCTAGGGCCCCAGCCTTCATGGATTTCCTGATTTAAGAGAGGATGAAAACAACTTTGTTTTCACGTAGTGCTGAAACACATACTACTGGATCTATGTGGTAGCATACGCCAGTTGAACAACTGGACCATGACATTTGTATCTCGTTAGATATTCTGTTTTGGATTTTATCAACCTTCAAGCAAGGGTCTCATTCTGGGTAGGAGTGATTTATTTTTTGGCCAGTTATAAGTGTGTATGTGTGTGTGCCTGTGAGAGTTACTGTTTTATGTTAATGTCACTTATATGTAAATGTCACATGAAATGGACTGATTTCTGCTTATATACTTCCTAATGGGAGCCTGGCATTTTTACATGGAAAATCAATTTATATGTAAGTGATACTAAAAATGCATGCATTAGAATTACCACATGCCATCCAAGATTGGTTCATCTATTATTGTTTGGACAAGTAGATGTATCACTTTTAAATGTTTTACCATTCCATATTTCATGTAGATCAACTATTCTTGTGTAGCTGAGGGAGGCAATAACTATGTACCCATACAGATTTTGGCTTTTCTGATTAGACTGGCAGTGCCCTAGTGGATGTCATACATGTTAATTTGATCAAAAGAAATATAACCACCAGAAACAGAAGTGTTCTAATCTATTTATATATGTAGGAAAGTCCTCCCACACAAGGCTTACGAAATGGATTTTGAATTATCTTTGGTATCCTTGTTTTTCACTGTGATGTGTGTTGTGTGTGTGCGTGTGCACACATACGCTTTATTTAAAATGAGTTGGAAACTGTTTCATTGCCAAGAGGGAACCCTTAAATAAATAAGAAAGTGTGTTATTGTACTAAGTGCTCTTGACTCAGATATTTAATTTAAAATTTTTTGCTTCGATGGTTTATCTCCATGATTGCTAATTATCTTAATGTACTACACTGAAATTTAAAAATCAAAAGTAGCAGGTCAAAAAGAAATTATTAAAGAAAGCTATTCTTTCTTTAAAAAGGAATAAAAGCCCCAACTTTACCACCACACAATCTATGCATGTAACAAAATTGTACTCATACCCCATCAATTTATACAAATAAAAAAGGAAGCTATATATTTCCCTAATGTATTATGCCTTTTATATGACTCTGGCACTGGTATTTACTAGCCTGAAGGTTATGCACAGGTCTCTTACACTTACAGAAATTCAGCTTTTTAATCTGTAAAACAGAAATAACAGAAAATGGTCATCATGTTTTGTTTTGTCTTCGGCAAATGATATGGCACAATTGTTCTTATAAAAAAAGACAGTATCTCTAGCTCACATTTTGAAACTTTTTATCAAAAATGTGCATTTTAAAGAGATTTGTGATTTATCTTAAAATTCACATGAATGTTAAAACAAAAATATTTTTCCTACTTTAGTCACTTTCATATCAGTCACTGATATTTGGTTTATGGTTTATGATATTGTGCATTATTTATTGTTTAGGATTTTTTTCGAAATTTACCTCATTGGATTCAGCAGCATACTGCCATGAACGATGCTGGCAATTTTCTAATTGAAACCTGTGATGAGATGGTTTCCCGTGACCTGAAGCAGCAATTACTGTTGCTAAATGGGCGGTGGAGGGAGTTGTTTATGGAAGTCAAGCAAGTATGTCTTTCAAGTCTATATACACCTCAACGTGTATGTGTTACAAATGTGATAAGTAGTCTGTTTAGAGAGAATGCTATTTTTAGAGCACGGGTTTATTAAGGCAAAGCATAGATATGTTTAAAACCGGTGTGTTTTATGGTTGGTTCTTCATTCTTTTCCATGTATAATGGAGGAATATTACACAAATGCATTAGTTTGATTAAGGATTATGTTGACATATGGAGCCTACTTATATGGAATGATTCTCGTTTCAAATCATATTTCTTCATTTTCATGCTAGTTTCTTTTTTTCTTTCAAACTAATTGGACTTACTTCAAATTTATCTAAAATGAGAATCAAAGATTAGAGTCTTTCTTACCGGATAACAATTCCAGCGAATATGTGAAAGTGAAAGTTGTGGTTCCAGTGGTCGCAGCTAAATGGCTTTCACGATGTTCCCTCCTCCCTTTCCTTAACAGTATGCTCAAGCTGATGAGATGGACAGAATGAAGAAGGAATACACAGACTGTGTTGTTACCCTGTCTGCTTTTGCAACGGAAGCCCATAAGAAACTTTCTGAACCCTTAGAAGTCTCTTTTATGAATGTCAAGCTATTAATTCAAGACTTGGAGGTGAGGGGTTTCTGAATCAAAATGAAAAGCCTACTCTGTTGTGAGAGGAAAGATCAGCAAGTTTATTCAGATCATTGCAAAAGCTGTTTCTGTGTCTCCTGGGCATCATTTTGACATGTCTGTATGTCCCAATTTGCACCTGTCAGAAAAAAATGTATTGAACATAAAAAAGACATGACTTGATCATATAAAGTAACTTCAAATTGTTTCTCAGTTTGGAGATTTTTTTTTTCTACAACCAAGTTAAAAAGTATTAGGAAAAAACAGGAGACATCTATAGATAGCACCCGCACCTAAATACTTTCAATAATAAAGGATTTATTGCATGAACTGTGGTATTTGCATATTTTGAATAGCCTGCAGCTCTCACAAATGAAGTAGTGGAAGAATTTTTAATGACATGGTAAGATTTTGCAATATATTGTTACATGAGAAAAGCAAACAACAGTATCATTCTTTTGTCTTTGTAAAAATTTTAAAATGGGTGTAAACACAGGAAAAAAAAACTTAATGATGTATAGATAAGATGTTGGCTTTGGGTTTTACTGTGGGAGAAGACTATAAGTAATTTAAATTGTCATTATCCTAATATTTCTAATTTATAAGTTTTTATAATGGCAATGAGTTACTTTTTTTTTTTTTAACGAAAACCAGTCTAATTTTTAAAGTCAGAATTCCCCCACATTTTAAATATACATTTACATTTTATTTTATATTTCCATACTACATTAACATGGGATTTGTTTTGGAAAGTACAAAGATCATTTCAGCTAATCTTGATGTTTTGGTCACTTTTAAAGGAAAATTTTATTAACTATATAATATTACCAATATTTATTAGTAATGAAGGGAAGCAAAAACTGGAATCGTCGAAAGTTTAGTGTAAGTATTGGATTTTATACAGTGCATATTGATTTTTGTTCTGCCTTCTGTGGAATCCGGAAGTTAAGAGGAAATGTGTCATGTATGAATCTGGCTGTTTCAATGATTCATGCAGGATATTGAGCAGAGGGTGCCTGTGATGGATGCCCAATACAAGATAATTACAAAGACAGCACACCTCATTACCAAAGAAAGCCCCCAAGAAGAAGGAAAAGAAATGTTTGCGACCATGTCAAAGCTCAAAGAGCAGCTAACCAAGGTGCGAAAATAATTTAATGCACAATAGGCTGTGTGACACCAACAGTGCCTTCAGCTTGCTTGCTACCTCCTTCTCCCCATGGGCAAAGTGTTTACTTGTTAACGATGCTTTTGTTTCTAATTGGGATTCTCAATTTAGTAACTTTGTCATGAATTAAAAAAAATAAAACTATGATGCTGATACCAAGTATTACCTCTGTTAATTTAGAAGTATTATAGCTATATTTTAATAGAAAGTTAGATACTTTTGGGGAACGGTTACATGTGATAAAACCAAGAGAGGGAAAGAGAGATAAAGAGAAAAAGGAGATGAGGAGGAGGAAGAAGAGGGGATCATAAATTTAAATGAGAATTGGTTAAGATTTGTTTGATATATCTCCACTCCAAACTTATTTGTGCAATTTTCTGCAAGCATAGCCACAAAGCTGTGGAAATTCTGACCTCCTCATCTCATGGAGCTCACTTAGGCTTAGAATATATACATTTAGGCCAGGTGCAGTGGCTCACGCCTATAATCCAGCACTTTGGGAGGCCGAGGCGAGCAGATCACAAGGTCAGGAGTTCGAGACCAGCCTGACCAACATGATGAAACATCGTCTCTACTTAAAAATACAAAAATTAGCCAGGCATGGTGTCGTGCACCTATAATCCCAGCTACTCAGGAGCCTGAGGCAGGAGAATCACTTGAACCCGGGAGGCAGAGGTTGCAGTGAGCCCAGATCGCGCCATTTCACTCCAGCCTAGGTGACAGGGCGAGACTCTTTGTCTCAAAAAAAAAAAAAAAAAAAAAAAAAAAAAGATTATATACATTTATACCTTTTCTGTACAGGGAACTAGATGGATGTAAGCACTAGTCATAAGCATTTTCTAGTCTATTCAGTGATTTTCCTTAAGAGCTTTGGAAGTTCCATTGGGATTTGTTATCTATCCAAATATGAATTTTAGGAAGATGGTATTGTTTGCAAAATCCACCTAGATTGGGTAATTAATTTCTAGTAAAAGAGAGAAGTGATTATAATAAATGAATGGAAATATTTTAAAATGAAGAATGGGAAAACAAAGTAGAAACAAAGTAGAAGACCCTGTTAAATAGGAAAGAAAGGTAGAAAGGAAGAGAATAACCTCTGTGACATCAGTGGTAGGGAATTAATGAAAAAGAATGCATTCAAAAAGCTAAAATAGGAAAAATCATGACCATAAAAAAGAGAAAATTTTATCTATCAATATGGTATGTATGAGAATGTTTATGTTCAGTTCATTTTATTTTAACATTCAAGTTAGAATTATTTATAATTTAAAGGTTGTGGGCAATAATGATAATATTGGCTACTAGTAAAAGCTGCTAAACAATAAGTACAATTTGAAGTCAACATTTCCAATTTGATAACTCCCCAGCAGCTTTCAGGGCCATAGCTGGGCTTGCACATCTTAGCCTGAGCCATGCTTAGGTGTTCAGGACAACCCCTGAGAAAGCAAATTGTCATTTGCCTTTTTACTGTTTCAGATGCAGCATCTTGATAGGTTTTCTCTTCTACCCAGGAGAGATCAATAAAACACACTGATTTGTATACACATTAGTAGACTCTCTTGGTTTTGTTCAAGGTAATTATATCAGAGTCTTGTTGCAGTAGCAGGATGGTAACTTTCTTTTGATGAGTGTATACTTCAGGCAGTATATCCTAGAACATAAAAACGTTTCTTCATACATAATTCTATGTTTAACAGTAGAGCAAAATGTTGCCCTCTCCCACTTTCTTCAAGGATTACTTTTTGGAATATGCCTCATCTGGTTAGAACATTATTGTCTTTATACTATATGAAAAACAAAGAATGGCTTACTAACAAATACTGATTAATTTCCTTTCCCTGGTTATCTGAAAGTATGAGAAGAGGTGGGAAGTTCTTGGAGGATGAAGAGTAGACACCTCCTGGAGCTCTTGATTTCCAGGAGCTAGTGGCCTCATCTTTAAGACAATGCAGGTCTATAAACTAAAACATGTTTTACAAGACAAGTGACAGGTAAGGGCTGCATCAGTTTGGACTACAGAGCCCTCCCCTAGCATGGGAAGCTTCATGAATAAATTGGTGTGACTTTAGTGCTTCGGATGAGTAGGATGTTGATAAGCAGGGAGCAGCAAAGCATGGAGCTGGTGGGAGGCAGGAAAGCACAGGCCTGTCTGGGAAGAGTGAGTCAACAGGTTTCTAAGTTTATCAGCAGTCAAGGGTTCAAGTAGGCGATCTCTTGAAAACAAAGCTGGAAGACACAGGTTGGTCTAGGTAATATAATAATAATTCATGACTGTCTTAGGTCAGATTTCAAGGCCAAAGTGAAAATGAGTTGCATGGTTTATGAAGTATAATTTGATGCCATCTGGCTCACTAAAAACAATCATTTAGATGAGAAAGTGCTATCCAGATGGACGATTTAGATGAATTTTCATGAGAAAACTCAGTAGCCATTTATTTGTCTCAGTGGTACAGCACTATTATTTTTCACAGCAAAATTTGACAATATAGAGGAAATATCATTAAAGAAATGTCTTTGGATATTTGTAAGCACCAAATGATCATGTCACTAAAGAAAATGTTCCTCAGAGCTATGAACGTTCCCTGAGCTAGTGGCACTTAATGGTCTTTCATGGAATTTTTGTCTTTATGTTTTTAAAGGTCAAAGAATGTTACTCCCCACTCCTTTATGAGTCTCAGCAGCTGTTGATTCCGTTGGAGGAATTAGAAAAGCAGATGACGTCCTTTTATGACTCACTTGGGAAAATCAATGAAATTATCACAGTTCTTGAGCGTGAGGCACAATCGAGTGCCCTTTTTAAACAAAAACATCAGGTGAGAACAATCCTTTTCAGGAGACAATTATTCTAAAGCATGTGTAACAAGACCAGGGTGTTGCTTACAGGAATAGAAATTCAGTGAGGACAAGAAACATTTTTCTAGAATAGTACTACTAACTCAAAACAAAAATACATGTCTTGTCCAAAGATGAAAATCCATTCACTGTCAGTGCAGGGGCTATGTGAGCTGTTTGTTTCCAGGGAATGGTCTAGCTGGACTCAGGTGCAAACCAGGCTCATTCATCTGAATCAGTAAGTTCACTGAGTTGAGCAAAGTTAGAAAAAATGGTTTGTTTTGAGCACCCAGCTCCCCTTTCTATCAATGGAGCAACATTGTGATCTGGCAATACTCAGCAAGCATTTATAAACATCTGCTGTGTGCACGCGTAAGCCATGCATCCTGAGCCCCAACTACAGAAAGTGCAAAGTTCACAATGTCTCTGTGAAATAAGGGATGTGTTATAGAGATGGAGCCAAATCCGCCACTCTAACTTCAAACATTAAGGGTACCCATAATCAAAGGACTTTCTATTATTTCTCTGCTTTGTATTTATTTACTTTTCTTAGAGTTCCTGCCTACTAGCAATAGACCACATATAGTCTATCCTTTTAAAAATACAGATAAGAATTTATTTACATTAAACTTTTTATGGGCTTTGTTCATGAAACGTGATCCCTAGGTTTGCTAGTAGAAAGACACTATAAGAAAATTAAATAAATATCCTGTCTCTACATTACATAACTAAAAGATAAATATATATAAATTTTATATGTATAAAACTTATACAGAGAGGATATTTATATAAAATATATAAATATTTGTATTATATATACAGATATAATATTTTCCTTCTTATATTGACTTTCTTTTGGAGAATCATTTACTGTTGCTTCCCACACATAGCTTTAGGCATTACCTGCTGCCTTGCTGATTGACGAAATGGTTAATTTCACTTAAAAAGGCATACGTGCCTTCTTTTCTTGATACTTTGAAAACAGATAGATAGATAGATAGACAGATAATTTGATATATATTTATATACATATAATAAAAACAATTGCTTTCCATTTTCATCCAGTATCCATAACCTCTGACTTATGAGATCTTTACTTTGCTTCTTGAAATATGACAGTTTAAACAACCTTGAAACTCTGGAAATGTGTTTGATGTGATAATCATTTTTCTTTGTCTCATTTTTAGTAAACAGATTGTATGCATAACAGTCTCCTACTGAGTGTTGTAGTTAATTGGGTTATTTGGTTTATTATAATGAACCTGTCCATCAGAGGAGAGAGACACTAATGTACAAAAGGTTTGCCACTGCATTAATTGACATAGGTTCATGGGAGGAAGGTAGCATCATTAGTAGAAAGAGCCGAGAGTGTCTGAAATGAGTCTGACAGATATTCAGATCTTAGATCTAATATTGCAAATTAGGAAGCTTTGATTAGCTTTAACTTCCTCACTTTAAGATGAAGGCTACAATACCTGAGTGTAAAGCTTATTGCAGATATTACATTAGATACACCATAATGTCACTAGCATATAATAAGTGGCACTATATGACTGATAGCATTATTATTATTATTATCTGTAGTGAAGCCACAATGATTATACCACCAAACTGCATTCTCATTGTATTGGATAGAGATTATCTTTCATTTTTAGACATGGTGATATCTCCTACATTTCTAAATTTGTACAAGTTGTCATTATACAATCTTTCCATAATTAAAATAATGTTCATAGCATTATTAATAATAAAATCTAATAATACATTTTGGACTTATATTACCCTTTTATCTCCTAAGTTTTCAAAAGGAAAAAGTATGTCTTTATTCTGTTTTTCCCAAAACAAACAAACAAAAAAACCATGCTCTTGATATTTGCATCTGGATATCCAAAAATGGCATCCAAATGAGCAGTTTGAAGTATTTTTCTAACGCAGTTGAGGATACTGAAATGCAAATGGTGTAATTCAAGCCAAAAAATGACCCTCTGCCTTGTGCTGGGCTCAATGATTTCCATGCTGTCTACTGCCAAAATCACAATTGCAGGCTACAAGTCAGAGGTGGAGGTGTCTGTAAGTCACCATTGCATCTTGTCCTGCAGATGTGCAGCAGTTGCAAGTCTTCCCCAAGTGCATCGGTCTGCTGCCTTTTTTTATTAGGATCTGAACCCTACCATTTCATTAATAAGGCTGATAGGTTGTACACCTTCAAATATTATAAATTTAGGATATACTATATATATATATATAGTGCATCTCTTTCAGCAAAGTGAATGTGCATTGATGCTCAATTTGTTTAGTCACATTAAAACCTGATATGTATTCATTGATTTCATGATTGTTCTCTCAATAAACAACAGGCCTATCATCTTACTAGAGGAATGCAGACCTAGACAACTTTTGATGCTCTATCATTTTCTTAATGACAATAAAATGTACATGAGGTATTTAAAAATCTCAAAAAAAAAAACTCTTTGTAACATTTAAATGCCTTATATAAGAAAGCACTGACTTCAGTGATTGTTTAAAATTGAGATCTTTTGAAATGTTCCACCATACTTTTGGTTTTACTTATTGGTGTTAGAAGCCTAAAAGCTATATAATGTTGTTCTTATTATCTGTAATGGTCACTCTCTTTCTTTCTCTCTCACTCTGTCTTGTAAATAACATTGTTGTGGGGTTTCATTTCGTTATAGGAACTGTTAGCTTGTCAAGAAAACTGTAAGAAAACCTTGACACTTATTGAGAAAGGCAGTCAAAGTGTTCAAAAGTTTGTGACCTTGAGCAACGTGTTAAAGCATTTTGATCAGACGAGGCTACAAAGACAGATTGCAGATATTCATGTTGCTTTTCAGGTAATTTGCTCTCCCTGCTTTAGAGCTGTGAGCCAGGGAAAATGCAGAGTGAGGACAAGAAACCATCACTCGTGCTTTTGGTCTTGCTAAAACGCCTTACCTGCTGGTGTTTGGAAGCCAATCATTGTCCTACTTTTTTACCTAATATTAATTAATATTGAAAAGAGTTAATTATTCCCATGATGATGAAATGTCTTTTTTCCAAGTGCTTTTTAAATGAATAATACCCTCTAACAAAATGATCCTTTCAGTAATGAGAAAGCAGCATCACATTATGATTGTTTTTCACATCAAGAGTATGGTAAAGAAAACTGGAGATTGGAAGAAGCATGTGGAAACCAACAGTCGCTTGATGAAGAAGTTTGAGGAGTCTCGAGCAGAGTTGGAGAAGGTACTGCGGATTGCTCAGGAGGGCCTGGAGGAAAAGGGGGATCCAGAGGAGCTCCTGCGGAGACACACTGTGAGTCCACCCTTTAGGGGACACTTGACCTGAATACATGGACAAACAACCTTGGAGGAAAGCTTAAAAAAGGCATGCTGATCTGATACAGAAGGAGAGCGGGCAGATGAGTCAGGGAAGCAGAGACTTTTTAGGTATGAGACCCAAAGATATGGTGAGCAAAAAGAACTTCAAGAGAGTTGGTGAGCTGACTTGTCATTGGCCATTCCTAAGTCCCCAGAATAGTAGACAGTCATAGAATAATTCAAGTTATCCAAATTACTAATTCATTATTTAGCTTGCAAATTCTTCTATAACTAAAGATTCTTTTAAACAGATAACTCGAGGTGACTAGCTAAGTCCTTTGTGCTCATTTTATACATTCACCATATCATAGTATAGATACTGTGTCACTTGAAGTCTGGTGGCTGATACACAACTTGTCCCAGTATCTTCATGTTTATCATCTTCATGTTTATCATGAAAAGCCATCTTCATGTTTATCATCTCAATATCAATATTGGGAATATTAGTCATAATGTTCATGAATGGTATATGGAAATAACCAGCACTCTGAGAACATGTATTTGAGTTATCTTTCCTGACATTTCAGTGGCTATTTGTATAAACCACACTCTCAAATGATATATGCAATGTATTTGTGATTCTGCAGACTAGATTTAGGGTTAATGTCTGTGACCACAAAACACAAAATATCTCATTCAGTTTATTCACCTCTACAGTATGGTACTTCTTGTTTTGAATCACCGTTTTTACAAAATAATTCTGCATGTCTACTCCTGAGACTGTGTGAGACTTAGTCATATGTAATATGTGCATGTGTATTGTCTTTATCTACTTGACTGCCAGAGCAAAATGCCATAGACGGGTGGCTAAAGCAACAGAAACTTATGTTCTCACAGTTCTGGAGAAGGGAAATCTGTGATCAGGTGCTAGTATAGTAGGGTTCTGGGGAGGGCCCTCTTCCTGGCTTGCAGATGGCTACCTTTTCCCTGTGCCCTCACATGGCAGAGAGAGTGAGCTAGCAAGCTTTCTGGTGTCCCTCCTCATAAGCGCACTAATCCTATCATGAGGACCCCATCCCCATGACCTCATCTGAACCTAACCACCTTCCAAAGTTCCCATCTCCAAATACCATATGAGTCTGAAGAAGAACACAATTTGGTGCTAGCATGTGTGCCTATGTGTGCACATGTGTGCTTCTGTGTGCACATGTGTGCTTCTGTGTGCACATGTGTGCTTCTGTGTGCACATGTGTGAATGTGACAATGGCTCATGATGAAGCATCAGGCCCTGAAGCACTGTGGTTGGGGAATGTGGAATTATGAAGCTTAGTCCTGGCTTCTGTTCTGTTCTTCTGACTTCACCAAAGGGGAACCGAAGCTCTATCGCTACAGAATCAAGGTTTTGGCATCTCCCCTTGGAAGATGAGATATTCCTTTTGGAATATTCTACCAAATTTGAAAATCACAAAGAATTTTTCTAAAAAATAAAAAATACTAGTAGAATTTCAGATATGATGGCTTCTGATTCATAACTATAGGTGCACATAGTTCATCCTTAAAAAACAATAGTGGGTGCCTGGAAGTCTGCAAGAGGGCAGCAGCTGGCTGAGAGGCTTGTTTGGAGGCTTAGAGGCTGATTGTGCCTGGTGCTGCCTTTTCGTCTGTCCAACACTCTTACCCACTTTCCCCTTCCATGTCAGGAGTTTTTCAGTCAGCTGGATCAGAGGGTGCTCAATGCTTTCCTGAAAGCTTGTGATGAACTCACCGACATCCTTCCAGAGCAGGAGCAGCAGGGGCTGCAGGAAGCTGTTCGAAAGCTCCACAAACAATGGAAGGTGAGTCAGGACAGGACGGAGACACCGTGCATCCTCAATGAAGGGAGAAGCTTGAGCGTGTTAAGGTCCAAATGTAAGAGAAATTTAGAAATTCCTGGAAAGTCACTGTAACTATTTCGCTCATTTAAAAACTCAAAAAACTGGACTTAAATAAAACCTGATAATATATGATAGAATTGTGTTATTCCTATTTATTATCAGCATCAATTTTATCCTATTACTCGAGCATTCTTTTTGGTTTCCTGATTTTTTTTTAATCCAGGGTGCAAGAACATTTAACTTATTCTAGCAACATTTCATAAGCTTCTCTCTGCTGAATAAATCTTGCTAGGTATACCTACTGAAATCATAAAACATGTATGTATAGTTTCTGCCCCCCAAAGATTTTATCATCTAGTTGAGATAGCTATGATCAAAAAATATAAATGAAAACATTTTGTAGTCAAGAATTCAATGATGAACAAAGCATACCCCTCTTCCCCCCAAGAGCTTAAGAGTTCAGTAAAGGAGATAATTAGTTGCAAATAATACAAGTATAAATATGATAAATCCAAATGTGCATATATTTATGAAAGCTTTGAAAGAGGGAGGTGGAACCACTTGGAAATTGGAAAACAGCGAATCAG
Source organism: Homo sapiens (assembly GCF_000001405.40). Lineage (NCBI taxonomy): Eukaryota > Metazoa > Chordata > Mammalia > Primates > Hominidae > Homo > Homo sapiens. Next base: position 152,452,959 of record NC_000006.12, on the reverse strand, counting down.
GTAACTAGTTTTGAGCCAGAACTTTACAGAAGAAGCAGAAATGGGAGTAAGCAGGGGGTGACACAACAGCACAGAAGGGAGAAAGCAGGAGAGCGTGAAGCGGGACACGGGGGCCCGCGGGCTTCCGTCTGACTTTTGTGTCATGGGCTGTGGAAGAACCATGGGAGATGAGCTGAGTCTGTCCCATGGAGGCTGACTTCAGACTGCATGTCAGATTCTGGAAGTAGCTGCAGCACAGTGGAGACCCATGGAAGGCTGTCTTCCTTGAGGTAGACAGGAGGAAGACAGCTCTAGCTTTAGGTGAGTGTGTACTACCTTGAGGTGATATTTCACATGCGCTACATGGAGGAGTTTTGGAGTTCAGAAGATTGGCAGCTGAAACTCTCTCCATCAGGTTGTCTCACTTTGTGTATTTTTAAGATCTCAGTAACATAAGCTAAATAATTATCCCTGTGCACAAGAAAAACACAGTTAAAGAAATATCCTTTTTACTTGCTATATTACTAAATTTGAAAATTCAAGTTTTTCATTAAAAAAAGGATTCTTAAAGAAATCCAAGCTTTGTTAGATGTCTTTGAAGCATATCATATTGTAAATGTATTATGGAATAAAGACTATAACTGAAGGTTGTATTTTATTACACACACACACACACACCTCTAGGATTTAATCTAGGTGGGACTTTCCATAGGCCCACCTCATTTTTCTCATCAGTCATCTTAGTATTCTGTTTCAAAGGTAATCCTTTAAAATGCCATAGGATAGAAGTTAGTTAAAATTAATTATGGGACTAAAGGTAATGATGAAGCTTATGTTTATCATTTAAAAGAACATGAAATGTTATGTAGTGTTTGAGTGCTTGCTTGCTTGTTTCTCAATGTATGATCTAAGGAAAAGAGGATATGGCAGGTGGTCAGCAGCCTGGGCTATGTTTTCTTTTTTTTTTTCTTTTCTTTTTAAAACTTTTTTTCAGTAATAAGCTTTCCTCATGTTCTTTCTTTTTGAAGTGGGTATAATAGCTGCCCCTCCTACCTCACAAGGTCATTGACAAAATCAAAAGGGACACATACAGGGGAAAGGGTATGATTTAAATCTATGGTAAAATCCTAGCTTTTGTACTTACCCCTGAGACTTAATGATGTAATCTGTAAAATAAGAACATTAATACTGTGCAGCACTGGCCAGACTTAGTGGCTCACGCCTATAATCCCAGCACTTTGGGAATCTGAGGTGGGTGGATCACCTAGGTCAGGAGTTCAAGACCATCCTGACCAACTTGGTAAAACCCTGTCTCAACTAAATGTACAAAAAGTGGCTGGGCATGGTGGTGCTGCCTGTAGTCCCAGCTACTCAGGAGGCTGAGACAGGAGAATCGCTTGAACCCAGGATGTGGAGGTTGCAGTGAGCCAAGATCGCACCACTGTACTCCACCCTGGGCGACAGAGCGAGACTCCATCTCACCAAAAAAAAAAAAAAAAAAAAAAAAAAAAATACGGTGCAGGGCTACTGTGAAAATTAAATCAAGTAATCACTGAGGAAACACCTAACCCACAGCAGACTGAAAGGATTTGCTGTGGTCCTGGTACTTGGAAAAATACAAAGTAGAGAGACCAGGTGTGGAAAGTAGTGACCCATTCACACTGGCCCTAAAAGGAATATGTTATGGTTTTTGTTTTTTTTTTTGCCACTTCAATTGGGAATGTACATAATCAGGAACTTCATCCTAATTTTCTGAATCTTCCTATGGAATGTAGGATCTTCAAGGAGAAGCCCCTTATCATTTGCTTCATCTGAAGATTGATGTGGAGAAGAATAGGTTCTTAGCCTCTGTAGAAGAATGCAGAACTGAGCTGGATCGAGAGACCAAGCTGATGCCCCAGGAAGGCAGTGAAAAGATAATTAAAGAGCACAGGGTACGTCTCCCACACCACAATGTGGATAGCCGTGTCAAGTCACATTGTTCCATAAAGGATATTACTAATATTTTGGTTTGAGTCTGAAAAATAATAGCTTAATTACTCTACCTTGGTAGTCTGCGTGGGAATCTTCCTTTGGTTTTTCTGTGAAAATGTAGAAGTACTGTGTGGCTTCTCACAGGGATTATAAAAACATTTATTACACATTAGGTTTTCTTCAGTGACAAAGGTCCTCATCATCTCTGTGAGAAAAGGTTACAGCTCATCGAGGAACTCTGTGTGAAACTCCCAGTGCGGGACCCAGTAAGGGACACACCTGGAACCTGTCACGTGACTCTCAAAGAGCTCAGAGCTGCCATTGACAGCACCTACAGGAAGCTCATGGAAGACCCAGACAAGTGGAAGGACTACACTAGCAGGTAGCCTCAGAATGGCCTCCAGAGAGGGGTGTAGTCAAACTTAATTCTGTTAGTTCGGAGATCATGACAAAACAAGAAATAACTTATTTCATATTTCTTGCTCATGTTCTCGTACAAAAATCCTTCATTTAATAAAAGGAATGGATTTTAGTCAGAATCAGGGTGAGGCACTTTGTTTCCAAGTGACCCAGATGTTATCTCTTTGAGGCAAAGTTGGCCAATCCCTTTCTCCCCAATATCCTTATGTATTAGTCCTTTCTCACTTTGCTAATAAAGACATACCTGAGACTGCGTAATTTATAAAGAAAAGAGGTTTAATTGACTCACAGATCAGCATGGCTGGGGAGGCCTCAGGAAACTTACAATCATGCCAGAAGGGGAAGCAAACATGTCCTTCTTCACATGATGGCAGGAAGGGGAAGTGCAGAGCAAAAGGGGGAAAAGCCCCTTATGAAACCATCAGATCTTGTGAGCACTCACTCACTATCATGAGAACAGCAGCAGCGGGGTAACTGCCCCCATGATTCAATTACCTCCCCCCAGGTCCCTCTCATGACATGTGGGGATTATGGAAACTACAATTCAAGATGAGATTTGGGTGGCGACACAGCCAAACTGTATAATCTCATATCCCTAAAGGGTGGCTTCTTCCTCTATAGGTTCGTGTCTCACCCTGGTGGGGACACACGAGGCCAGACCTCAAGTGGTCCCTTCCTTCTTTTCAGGTGCTCATTCCCTAGAACACATCTTTTTCCTTAGCTGAGCTCCCCCATCACCCTGCCCCTAGTAACTGAGCATAGAGGCGGCCACCCCTGCCCTTTAACATGAGCTTCATGTTAAAAGAATAGTTTCCAGAAAAGTTATTAATCAATTTGGTAATCACTTAATTGTTAAATTTCCATGAGTGAATTCAAAATAGAAAACATATTCTGATCATTCTGGTATGTTCTCCCTTTAATAAGAAAGTGCTTATGTTATTTCAGATTCTCTGAGTTCTCATCTTGGATATCTACAAATGAGACACAATTAAAGGGGATCAAGGGTGAGGCCATCGATACTGCCAACCACGGAGAGGTTAAACGTGCCGTTGAAGTAAGTTCAGGGTCATTATTTGCTAGAGGAAAATTTCTCATAGTGGAAGAATAATGTTAGAGAATCTAACGGTTCTCTGCTTTTTTCTTTCTGGAAAAAAAATAAGTTCTTGAAAATTGTCTTTAAAATAAGTCCCCTTATATTACTGTGGAGCATGTAGAGTTTTTTCCTATTGAATCCTTGGTAGCTTTGAGGGTTAGTCATGCTCCGTGGTGCCACAAATGCATCTTTAACTAATGGGGAGTCCTGAGTGGAAAATTGCATGCATGGGCGTATAACCCAGTAGAAACTTAAGAATCATCATGGAAAACAAGAACACTGTATGCTTTTATACAATACATTTTCAGCCATGCAAAAGGCAGGTCACAGAAAGATCAGGGAGCTGGGCAAGGTCTCTAGGCATCCTTTCTATGTGACATTAAGCTGGATTGGTTCATTTCAGCCTCTATCAGTGTGGGTACAGCCTGAAAAACCCCACCAGGGCCACAGAGCCTCAGGCTCAAACACAGTTTGCATTCTGTAAATGGCACTCTCTCACTCTTAGACACATAATGTTGTAAAAAGTCTTCATCTTTGAACATTTTTAACCCTTGCACATCACAAAGTTGCCACATAGTTGCTGTTGGGGAGAATATATTTCCTTTCTGTTCCTGTCCTTTGAGTGTTTGTTTGTTTGTTTGTTTGTTTGTTTTTTGAGACAAGGTCTCTGTCACCCAGGTTTGGAGTGCAGTGGCACCTTCATAGCTCACTTCAGCCTCGACCTCCTGGGCTTAAGCAATCCTCCCACCTCAGCCTCTTGAGTAGCTGGGACTGTAGTCACATGCCACTATGCCTGGCTAATGTTTGTATTTTTTGTAGAGGTAGGGTTTTGCCATGTTGCTCAGGCTAGTTTCAAACTCCTGGGCTCAAGCGATCCGCCCTGCTCGGCCTCCCAAAGTGCTGGGATTACAGGTGTGAGCTATTGCCCTTGGCCCATTTCTTTTTCAATTAAATTATACAATCCCCTTAAATGCTAGTGGTGCTCAATATCATGGTATGCATATGGAAGGATATCTACATTTGCTACTGGTTGCTTGCATCGCACAAAAAAAAATTCACATCCTAGAATGAAGAGATCACTGGGGTCTGGAACCAACAGTTTCCTGGCTGGTGTGCATTTGCCCTGGCAAAGCCCTGGAGTGGCCCTGGTTGGGGACCCCTGCTCTTGAGCCACCCCAGAACTGCTGTAGGGAGGACAGGCTGCTCCAGTCACCACTCCCTCAGTCAGCAGCCCTTCAAGGTCTGAAGCCCTGGAGTCTTTCTAGCATTTTCTTATCAATAAAGCCTCGCTTCCTAAATTAGAGCTGTGCTCCCATTTATACTTCTTGCTATATGGGATACTGGCTTCTAAAAGCTAATAAAAATTCAGCAGAAAATGTAAGTTAATGAAGTTAAAATAAATCTTTAGAGCATCCATAACAATATTCAACAAGTAGACTCTTCAATAAAAGAAATCAGCTGGTTGAAAAAAAGAACTTTCATTATTTTTTCACAAAATATCATCTTCTTTCCAGCTCAAAGGAAGTGAGATAACAAAGTGTATGTATGTTATAGTTGCCAATTGTGGCGTCTCATATTTTTCTACAGTATTTTTAGAATCATCTTTTTTCCCATCAAGGACATATCTATAAGTATCTAACCAATCTAATTATGAAGCTGATTCAAGAATAGACAACAGTTTTCTTTCAAGCACTTGTGGACTTTTGTTAAAAGTACATACAAAAAGTAAACTAAGCAGGCACTGTATTGCTGAATGATGTCTGGCTCTATTCTGCTCCACCTGCAAACCTTTTTAGGCTGAGTCCTTTATTGCTGGAAAGTTATGATTTCACAATTGCACTGTGTTCATCAAAAGTGTTCTCTCATTTCAGGAGATCAGAAATGGTGTTACCAAAAGGGGTGAGACCCTCAGCTGGCTGAAATCCAGGCTGAAAGTTTTGACAGAAGTTTCTTCTGAGAATGAAGCCCAAAAGCAGGGAGATGAGCTGGCAAAATTATCCAGCTCTTTCAAGGCTCTTGTGACGCTGCTGTCAGAGGTACAGCATTTACTCACACTCTAAACAGACAGTTCTGAGTGAGGCATCTGGAAGGTTCTTTTTCTTCTGGTTGTAGTTTAGCAAGTAATTTTATAAAGAAACCATAGTTGAAACAGAATTGTTGTTATGCTTTTTTTGTATGAAGCTTGTTGGGAAAGATGAAGAGGATGTTTGATGTATGGTCTGTGCCATTATTGGAAATGTTAGTTCAGGTTCATGACCTATATCTGAAATATAAAACTTGTCAAATCCACTGTTTTTACTCTTATAAAAAGCATTGTTATTTTATGGTCAGCTTAAGATAAATCATGGAGGCTAAGAATAAGGCTTAGGGTCAAAGAAATCCAGGATTAGAGTTTAAATGTGATACCCTACCTCCTAGGTAACCTTCAACTTACGTAACATCTAGGTCTTGATTTCCTTATTTATAACACAGGGTTAAAAATACTCACTCTAAAAAGAAGTATCATGAATTAAATGCAGTAATGTATGTTAAGCACATAGTGTAGTTCCTGAAACAGAGTAAATGCTCAATAGCTGGTTCTTAGTAATAATAAAATATTCAGTGTTTAATCAGCAGGCCAGTGAAATTCTCTTCCTAGTGCTTTGATATGCATTTTAATGTTTTTCTATATTCCTTTATAGATTAAAATATACAAACGCATCTACTTCATTTCCAGTAGGGCCACTTCCACCATCAGCAAAAATATTTTTACTGACCAGGTTTTTATATAAATCTAAGTTTGTGCTTTGGAAGATAATGTAAGAACGTAAAGTAGAATAGATATTTACCAGTATTTCTTGAAATCATTTAAGTAGAAACTTGCATGGAAAAATGGCCTAATGGATTACAAGAAAATGACCACAAAGCTCTGTTTCTGAAAATCTGAAATTCTCCACAGAGATTTCTCATCTAACAATTCATCTGTTAACCTTCATGTTTTTAATCCATTTAAATCTGCTTGAGACTCTAGTGCTGAATTTACATAAGCCAAAAATACTCTGAACTGCTTACGATTTTAGTTTTATGTGAGAATTTTTATATATAAATTAGAGTTTCCCTATGAGTTTTTGACAAATTGAAAATAGTTCTATGATTAATCAAATTTTGGAACATAACCTATTTCAATCCTTTGATTATCCATCTTTCAAAGCAACGGCCACATTTAGCCAGTTGCCTGTTTTGCTCTTTCCTTCCCTCTTTTGGTGACAGGAAAAGCAAAAACAACATTCTAAAAAGTTAGTGTACATGAAGGTGATCTTTGAGCCAAGATCAAACAAATACTTGTCGTTATTCACAGACAAGCTTGTAATATATTTTGTCTCACCAAAAAAAAAAAAAAAAAAAATTGACTGTCTTTAAAGTTAGAAGTCAGTAGTTTCCCTAACATTTACCAAGGCCATTTGCTTTATCTTCCAAGTACTGTCATGATTTTGCCCCAGGACTTATAGTAAGAATCTCTCTCTAATGAATGTTCATACAGACATTAATTTTTTACACACTCATCTGCCTTAAACTTCTGCATAATTTATATTAATACCCTTTTCCACTACTTGATCACTTACTTAGTGAAAGCAGAAAGAGAGGAAAGGAGAAAAACACATTTTGTTTACAGATAGATTTGTATGAAGAGATGGATGTGGCACATTCAGCCCCTTTCTTTGATAATAATTCATTTAGTATTTAAATTAATGTTGAACACAATGTGTTTGCAATTGTCCAGTGTAAGAAAAAAAAAGACTGTGGGTGGATGCACAAGATACAGTGAAGAGTCATTATTTCAATAGATTTGCTCTGATTTATATTGAAATTGGGAGTTTGTGGTTTTCGTAAGGTCTCATTGCTGCTTGTTTGGAGAACAGATTGCTCTCCTTGGAAAAACTTAGATCAGAAGAGAGTCAAAGAAAAAAGATAGGATAAAAGAAGAAGAAACTGGAAGGCTTCTGTGGAAAACAAATGACAACATGTAAAAAGGAGGATCTTAGTGAAGATAAAGGATAGGCTTCGAAAACAAAGGATGTTGGTAAAACTGAAATAGAGGAAGCAGAAATTAGACAAGAAAATTCAAAATTTAGGGAAATGATAAGGAAGAGAATCCATTAGATGACTACAAAATTGTAAATTATATTTATTTTTATGTAGGAATATTGGAAGCACATTTATAACAAATACTCTTTTATTCTCTTTTTCAACTCTACAAATGTTTTCCTATTTGTTTTAAATAATACGGACTCACTTTCTTGTAAGGCACTTTTATAATTAGGTTTTAGTCACGCAATTATAATGAAAGAGACCTAAAAGGCAATATATATATATATAATATATGCAGTTTTGTTATCCTTCCTTGATTACCAGGTTGAATGGGTTTTTAATATGCCCCAGAGCACCATATCGAATAAAACCTGCAAGCCCCATAAATGATTATGAAATTTAATGATAATGGAATAAGGCTGAGTAATATGAGAAAGAATAAAAGTTAAAGATCTGTGTTTATATGTCAAGTGGTTGAGGTAGACTTTGTGCACAGTCCTAAAATATGTAAGATTACATGATCTTCAACAGGGGGGTTTTGATCGAAGAGTACAAACATTAAGTTCTAAGATGAAAAAGTTCTGGTGGTGACTGCAGTTAATATTACCTATTGTATACTTGAAACTTGCTACGAGAGTGGACCTTAAGTGTTCTCACAAAAAAACAAAAGGAGAAATATGTGAGATGACAGGCTAATTAGCCTGATGTGGAGAATCATTTCACAGTCACGTAGTACACCTTAAATATGTACAATGTTTATTTGTCAATCATACCTTACCAAAAAAATTATACAAACTTCAACAAGTAGCATATGATTTACGTGTTTTTTTTTTTCATGAAAATATAGGTTGAAAAGATGCTAAGCAATTTTGGGGACTGTGTCCAGTACAAAGAAATAGTCAAAAATTCTCTCGAAGAATTAATTTCTGGCTCTAAAGAAGTCCAGGAACAAGCTGAGAAGATCTTGGATACTGAAAATCTGTTTGAAGCACAGCAGTTACTTCTTCATCACCAGGTAAAAATGCCTCTTTCTTCCAACAAGATTATGTAAAGTTGATTTGCTACTGAAAGAACCAGAGAGATAAAGAATACAACCACTGGCTTGAGAGAGTGGGTGAGGGGGCATGGGAAGGAAGAGTTGAATGGCTAAAAGAATTTGGCGCTTCTGGGTTTTGCTTTCTCTGTTAAATATTAAACATTTCAGGATATTCTGCAACATAAATTTCCAGACCGAGTGACTTGATGACATCAAAAAGTTCAAGGAATACTGTGGAGAGAAAATTGATTTAGCTATGAAAAACTGCACAAAACGTGCTAGATTCTCCTTTTCAAAACAGATGGAAAGGCATAGATGGACCAATTGCTTCCTATTTGAGATCACTGTTCTTTTGTCATTATATTAAAATCTTTCTCTTCAACTTACAACGCTGAACACACTTTAGTTTGAGAAATGATGACTTACTTGAAGTACTAGACCTTCCTGGAGTGTACACTCTTATAAAGATTAGAACTAGAAATAAAGAAATTCTGGTATATATACTGATAAGAAGCTATTTTAATCAACTTAATTTCTGATAGTCTGGTAGTGCACATTACAAATGTTTGCATAAAAGGAATATATACCTTGTTAAACGCAATATAAATGGAAATTTGATTCAAATAAAATATTTTAATGAAAAATTCTAGCTAACCTGATACACAGTAGCAAAATGGTAGCTAATTTATATAATATGTTTGTGTGTGTATTATATACATATATATTCTGTAATATATAAAAACGGAAGTTGCATTAAAAGTATGTTTAAAATCCCAGCCTTCAGGATTTCTAGATTTACTTAATAATTATAAAAAGGCTGAGTATAGGCCGGGCACGGTGGCTCACGCCTGTAATCCCAGCACTTTGGGAGGCCGAGGCGGGCGCATCACGAGGTCAGCAGATCGAGACCATCCTGGCTAACGTGGTGAAACCCCGTCTCTACTAAATATACAAAAAATTAGCCGAGCGTGGTGGTGGGCGCCTGTGGTCCCAGCTACTCAGGAGGCTGAGGCAGGAGAATGGCATGAACCCGGGAGACGGAGCTTGCAATGAGCCGAGATTGCCCCACTGCACTCCAGCCTGGGCGACAGAGCAAGACTCTGTCTAAAAAATGGCTGAGTATAAAAAATTAATATTTGGTGTTACATTGTTCTCAATCATTGTGAAATGGTTTTTTGGGTTTCCATTTACTTTAGGTCCAATAAATTTAAGATTATAGATATTTATGTTAATATTTTAAAATGCTTAGGCCAGGTACTTTTTATATGGGTGCATTTACTTTGTGAAAATTTATAAGCTGCATATCTGAGATTTATGTACTATTCTATTTGAAGATTATACTTCAATAAAAAGTTTACTTTAAGACAATTTCCCCCCACAAAATCTCAGCAAATTAACCATTCCGAATATACTTAGGAAATAAATATTTATTCATTTATTTTTGGAGACAGTGTCTCACTCTGCCACACAGGCTGGAGTGTAGTGGCACAATCATAGTTCACTGCAGCCTCGAACTCCTGGGTTCAAGTGACCCTCCCACCTCAGCCTTCCGAGTAGCTGGGACCACAGGCATGTACCACCACACTTGGCTAATTTTTTAATATTTTTGTAGAAACAGGGTCTTGCTATGTTGCCCAGACTGTTCCAAGCTTTTGGCCCCAAACAGTCCTCTAGCTTTGGCCTCCCAAAATGCTAGGATTACAGGTGTGAGCCACTGCACCGCCCCTGGCCATAAATCTCTTAATATTTGCATTTTAATAAAATAAATAATTTTTAAAAATTGGAGTTGGGACTTTGTGTTTTTAAGCAGAAAATAATTATTTAAGAAGAATCATGTCAGATGAATTGTTTTGCCAGACTCTTCCTAGAGTATTGCACAAAATGCTAAATATTCTCCAAATTTGCACACAAAACACGAAAGCCAAATTATTTATGTTGTTTACCATTAAAAACATACAATATTTATAAATAATGTTCATCTTTGACTAATATAGCAACCGACTACCATTTCAACTGTTAATCTTAGCTTTAAAATACATTTCGGGCCCACCTTTCTGTACTTCTGTTAAGCGTGGGTGTTGATGTCCCTACTTAGCTGTTTAGAGAGCACAATTTATATCCATCTGTTGAATAAATGCTTCTAGCAAAAGACAAAGCGGATCTCAGCAAAGAAGAGAGATGTGCAGCAGCAGATCGCGCAGGCGCAGCAGGGAGAAGGGGGGCTGCCTGACCGAGGCCACGAGGAGCTGCGGAAGCTGGAGAGCACACTGGATGGCCTGGAGCGCAGCCGGGAGAGGCAGGAACGCCGCATCCAGGTAGGAGCCGGAAGTTAGGGGCCATTTAAACAGAGGCTGGGCAGTGTTCACTTCCGGTTGTGCCTCATAACACCAAGGCGAACCTTTGTTACCGCCTCTGATGTTTCAGCCCTGTGTTAAATTCTGTACATGAACCATCTTTTAATCATCACATCAGCCTTAGAGATGGATATTGGAAGTTGCACATTTTGCAAGTGTGGATGCTTAAGAAGAAAGAGTTTGAGGACTAGGTGCTGTATCACACAGCACTGATCAATAATAAAGCCAGGATTTCATCCACACTTTTCTGAATCCAGAAATTTGATCATGCCATTTCACTTTTCCAGGAAGCCATGCAGCCACACATTTATGCCACCTTTATGCTTTATTGGGATGTTGACACATTACCTTTAAAAATGTTTCTGAGTTTTTGCCAACTGCTTAATGCTCTCTCTTCATCTCCTTGTCCCTCTCCCTACCTTCTTCTGTGCTTCCTTTCTTGTTTGAGACAGATTGAGAGGCCTTTTTTATTTTTTTGTCACTTATCTACATTTTAAGTAATATCTTTACATTTCTAAGACTTTACAAATTATAAAAAACTCAGAAATCATCTGAGTCCATGTGTCCTCTCTTTTTGTAGATGAAAACATTAACATAGAGAAAAGAAATTCTTACAGAAGATACTAGAATCATCTCTATTCATTGTGACTGTGTGAAATTTGAAATGAGAATTCGCTGAAAGTTGACAGTTTTGCAAACGAATGAAAATATGATAGTATTGTGTGACATTTGTAACCCATTTGTTGTTTATTTTTTCAAATTTAGGTCACATTAAGAAAATGGGAGCGATTTGAAACAAACAAAGAAACAGTAGTAAGATACCTTTTTCAAACAGGTTCCAGTCATGAACGCTTCTTGAGTTTTAGCAGTTTGGAAAGTTTATCTTCAGAACTGGAACAAACAAAGGTATATTATGGCTCCTTGGTACCCAATATTCAGAAAAAACAAAGCAAAACAAACAAAATGATTTCTCCTCCATTATTACTATTAATTGTTATTGTTAATTTAATCAATACTTACTATTTATTGATGACCCATTCTTTCAACATATTGGAGAATGAAAACATAAGTAGGATTAAACATCAAGAAGTAAAACAAAGATTTTTATCAAATTGGAAAATGGTTAGTTCCCTAATAGATGTGTATAGAGTTTTTAAAATCTGGAGGCAGGCCGCGCGCTGTGACTCAACTCCTGTAATCCCAGCATTTTGGGAGACTGAGGAGGGCAGATCATGAGGTCAAGAGATTGAAACCATCCTGACCAACATGGTGAAACCCCATCTCTACTAAAAATACAAAAATCAGCTGGCCATGGTGACACACACCTGTAGTCCCAGCTACTCGGGAGGCTGAGGCAGGAGAATCGCTTGAACCCGGGAGGCAGAGGTTGCAGTGAGCCGAGATGGCACCACTGCACTCCAGCCTGGCAAGAGAGTGAGACTCCATCTCAAAAAAAAAAAAAAAAAAATCTGGAGGCAATAATATTTTTTAACTGAACCTTAAAGGTCAGTAAAACTTAGTAGAGTTTGGAGCAAAATACAGACATTCTTTGGAAGGTGGAATGGCATAGAGCATACAAGTGTTCTGAATAGGAATTCTGTGTTGTAAAATAGAACAATGGGAAATGAATTTGTAAAGGAAATTTGGCCCATATTTCAGAGTCTTGAAGACCTAAAGCATTACTTTCTAGGCAACATGGAGCCAGACTTGTTGAAGGCTTAAAAGGAAAAGCCACACGATCAGAGCTGGGCTTTGGATGAATTTTTAGGCAGGTGTAGAAAAGTGACTGAAAGTGTGAAAGACTGGGGTCATGGGATCCATTTAAGTTATTGCATATGGGCATATGGGAGTTAATATGGGCATAAATAAGGGCGGTGGGGTGGCAGGTGTTACACAGAAACAGATACAAAAGATGTGGAGTTCACAGGAAGATAGGGAAACTAACCAGACAGAGTGAGTGACGAAAATGTTGATACCTGAGGTTTTGAGTCTGACGGAGACAATGGAAGTGAGATGGGGGATGTGAACGAGAAGTTGTTCATGGGAAAAGATGACCAACTTCATTTTGGAGGTAGCGATTTTGAGACTCCAATGGGGCATCAAACAGACCGTATTTAGTAGGTGTACTTGGTGAACCCAACCCTACAAGCTCAAACACCTTGGACACTCTAAGCAGACCAACCAATTTGTACCAAGCATTGAAGTTCCTGTGGTGCCTCTTTGGGGTTTATAGAAAGACTGAATTAGTAGAGAAATGAACTAACCGGTGTCTTAGAAAGAAGAGCCTTGTGCCCACCCTTCCCTAGCCTTTAGCAAGAAAACCTTTGTGTTTCTGTTTTCTTACCTGCAAAAGGCTTCACTCTCTCCCATACTGCTAATTTTTTGTTTCTCCTAAAAACTCACTGAGGATTTTGAAGTTTTCTAAGACCACAGACTCTTTCAAGTCTATACGATATTCATCAGTCATTTAAATAGAACATTATTTTAATTTTTAATTTAAATTATTTGGCCGGGTACGATGGCTCATGCCTGTAATCCTAAAACTTTGGGAGGCTGAGATGGGAGGATTGCTTGAGGCCACGAGTTGAGACCAGCCTGGTCAATATAGCAATACCCCATCTCTATTTTAAAAAATAAATAAATTATTTCGTGTATTAAAAACGTATCAGGTGCCTTTTATAAATACAAAGATGTTTATTGGGTTAATTTCCTAAATGTTTCTGACCACGTTCCAGCCAGAGTTTCTGACCCCCTATGATTCCATTTGCACTAATTCCTTTGGATCAGTTTAAGTACCTGTAGATTGAAACAAATGGAATCTTTTGAGTCTTGTTATTCAAATTCTCCTTTGTCCATGGTCTTCTATGCTTTGGGATTGATGTAATAATATGAGGTGACATTTATCAAACACATATAATATGCCGAATTAATTATTTGATGTTTATCATCGCCTTTAATCCTCAAAACAGTCCTAAGAAATAGGTATCATTATCAATCGTGTTATATGAGGAAGGACACATAAGGCACAAAGTTGGTGATGAACTCACTCAAGATCTGCGGATCACTAAATAGTGAGGTTGGGATTTCAATCCAAAAGGTCCTTTTCCAGAGCCCACATCTTTAGTCACTACGTTATTTTTTCATTCAAAAAACAGAGCCATTTTACTAATTGCCTATGCTCACTGCCAATCTAGAATCATTGTTCTCCTGTAGTTCTTTGCTCATTTTGCTTTGTTATTACAAACCTTTATTCAAGTTGATAGCCCTTGAGTAGTTGTGCTAAGGAATGGTTATGCTAAGGGACTTGAGTGTCCTCTGTGTACTGGTGTGTGTGATAGAGGGTTCATAGCAATGTCATGTTTAATCTTGAAAATAAGATATGGCTTTAGTGATGAAGAAAGGAAAATTCAGAGAGATGTGGCCAAAGGTCACTCAGCTAATGAAGGTTGGAGCCTAGGTTTCATCCCAGATCAATCTAATGTGAGTCAATTTTTACCTGATGCATCCTGCTGCCTGCCACTCATATGTTTTCTAAGAAGTTAGAGATAAGGCCTTACAATGTTATTCTGTTTTTGTTTAATTTTGTTTTTTTATCACCATCATTCTGCTCTTTCGATTTCTCTGCATTATGCTTTTTCCATACATAGCTCACATAAAAAGCTCTAAAATTGAATGTATATAAGCATTTTCAAACATTACTTTTTCCATGTTTTTCCTGGGTTCTGAGAAACACTAGCAGAAAAAAATAAAACACTTTATTTTTCACTTCTGATTATATTCATGGGATTCTAAGAGATCATGTGGTGATTTGTAATCTCCACAATTGAATCTACCATGACTGTCAGATATAGTAACAGTGGGTGCTTTTATCCAAAGAATTTAATGTTGTGACATTAGCAACTACCATATTTTAGTGTACTATAAATCTCTATGCCATAAGGAAGCTGTACTTATTCATTTTTATTCTCTTAAATTGCAACGTAGTTCTCTGAAGTAACATTGATTTTTTCTTCTTCTTTTTTGAGACAGAGTCTCACTCTGTCACCTAGGCTGGAGTGCAGTGGCACAATCTTGGCCAACACTGATATTTGTTGGCCGAACTCGTGATATTTCTATGAGAACATTAAGTCTTTTAAACATGAAGATATAATAGTATTATTTAGTAACTCTATCTTATATGGTACTATGTTCTAGGAGATGCTCTTACTGAAAAGCTGACTTTGGAAAAATACTTATATTTCTACATTATTCATTTAGGAGAAGGGAGTTGATCAAAATTTAAACCTCCTGTGAGATTCTCTTACATGAGAAGAAGTGAGATACCAAGTACATTTTCTTCACTTAGGTTATTACTGGGTTTACCTTTTCTAATTCAGCATTCAATATAATTACTTGACAAAATTCAGGTAACATCTAATATTTACCAGCCACATACATACTAAATCAACTTTTCAATTAAAATAGTTGAAAATAAGTATTTTCAACTATTTTAAAATATTTAAAATAAGTATATTGGCTTAATAAATCATTTTGTCCTCAAGTTTGTATGAGAGACATAAAAAACAATAATCAGTATCTCCAAGAGTGTTAGGCACTTTAAAAGTAAGATTGCTAATAGAATGCTAACAGTAACCTTCTAAGAAAAGGATTATCATCTGCATTTTACATGAAAGAGCCTGAAAATAATTCACCAAAGTCAAACAACTAGTGATCCTGGATTCTAGCCCAGGCTTGACTGGTTCAAAACTTATATTCTCTTTCCATCATGTGATACATGTGTATGTAATAAATAAGATTTAACAGCACTAAGATTAGATTATAGCTCTTTTCAGAGAACTAGTTAACAAAATGGCTTGATTACTTCTCTCTCTCTTTTTTCTTTGAGACAAATTCTTGCTCTGTTGCCTGGGCTGGAATGTAGTGGCGCCATTATGCCTGCTCACTGCAGCCTCTATCTCCTCTCACCTCAGCCTCCTGAGTAGCCAGGACTACAGGCATGCACCATCATGCCTGGTCACTTTTTTTTTTTTCCCTAGAGATGGAGGTCTTCCCATTTTGCCAAGGCTAGTCTCAAACTCCTGGCCTCAAGTGATCCTCCTGCCTCAGCCTCCCAAAATGCTGGAGTTAAAGGCATGAGCCGTCATGCCTGGCCAAAGATCATTGATAGTCTCTTTTGACTAAGATATTACATTAAATAAATAAATGTTTCTATTCATTGGCCTAGAAATCTATTATGTCTATGATCAATCACTATTGATTTTGTGAACTGGCCTGTAATAAGTAAGCATATTTGTGAATAAATTAATTATTATAATGGATCTAAGAATTCTAAACAATGAGACAAAACCAGGAAACAAAGGAGAAACAATTTTTGTGAGTATTATTGGAAAACTATGAAGGCAAATAGCTGGTTGTGTATAGAAAATTAAAAAGTTAGCCAGGCATGGTGGCACCTGCCTGTGATCCCAGCATTTTGGGAGGTCAAGACTGGAGGATCACTTGAGCCCAGGAGTTCAAGATCAGCTTGGGCAACATAGTGAGACCTCATCTGTACAAAAATCAGAAAATTAGCCAGATGTGGTAGTGCCTGCCTGTGGTCCCAGCTACTCAGGAGGTTGAGGTAGGAAAATCATATAAACCCAGGAGTTGGAAGCTGCAGTGAGCCATGATTGCACCACTGCATTCCAGCATGGGCAAAAGAGCAAGACCCTATCTCAAAAAAAAAGAAATAAAATAAAAAACTGTTAGCAAAGTGTCTATTTTGGCCATATGGAAATAAGTCAGATTTATTGTTAAGAACAATGTAAGATCCATACATGTATGACTCTATGTCTTCATCCACCCATCTGTTCTGTATGCAATATGTGCACTTTATTTGAGGGCAGAGATAAATAATATAAAGTGCCTACCTAATGATCATAATATTTTTTCTAGGAGTTTTCTAAACGGACAGAAAGTATTGCAGTCCAGGCTGAGAACCTTGTAAAGGAAGCTTCAGAGATACCGCTTGGGCCCCAAAATAAGCAGCTGCTTCAACAGCAGGCCAAGTCAATCAAAGAACAAGTCAAAAAATTAGAAGACACGCTTGAAGAAGAGTATGTGATTGACAAGTCCTAAACTTTCTTCTCTGAGATAAAGTTTCATACAATCTTTCCTGTACCTTGTATTCAAAACACTCTTTTAAAATCTCAAAGTGTCTGTGTATTTCAGCATGTTTTGAGGAAACAACTCACAGTTCAAAAGAAAGTATCGCTAATACAGAAACCAATATCTATAACAGAGCCCAAAAAATATAAAGGATGTGGGTTTTGCATCTTAAACTGATCATGTTCATGAGAAAGCCATATCTATTCTATTCTGTGGCCTTTGTACATTGTAGAGGGAATCTTGAAAAAGAACTAATATTTAAAATAATTTTTTTACTATATTATTCTGCTGTCACCATTTAGAGCGAAAAGGAGATATTTTGTTAGTGTAGATTCCAGGCCTAAATACACATCACATAGACCATATATCTCCAACCTGAAGAAGCTCCTGGAGCTTGTTTACAGTGCCTCGGTATTCAAGTTATCCTGACTAATATGCTCTTTCCAGAAATTAACTTTAAAATATTTTATTTTTAAACTTTTAATGTTTGTTTATCTGAAAAAAAAAAACTGCTTGGCCTATTGATATCCTGTTATATACCCAAAATATACAAAAAAGTTTGGAGGGGAAAAACATATGAGGATACAGCCAATATTATTCAAAACAATATGGCTAAACATTTCTATTTTTAACATAATTTAGTGGCAAATCAATGATACATAATAGCATATTATTATTAAGGGACAGGCCATCATTTCTAAGGTGGGTTTTAAAATGTAAAATGTGTTTTTAATACTATTAACAGCTTAAAATTAACATTTTACATTTGCCTAAACTTTAAAATTTGATACATATTTTATTTAAAACAAATTATGACTTGAAATTTTGAGGACTTTATATTACATTAAATATTCTCTATCAAGTTATGGAAATAGTAAAACAGAGTTTATTAGAAAGGAATTTACTTCTATTAAGAATAGCCATTTTAACCTTTATTTAATTTAAAAAGTTGCAATATAACACAGCTTGCATTACCTGTACTGCTGACAGCATTAGGCACATTCAGGGTATAAATTTGAGACTGCAATATTATTTAATTTGACAGTCAATGATGCCACTCTATTTTTCTTGATGTCTTCAAGTGCCTTTTGGTAAACAGGGACATTCTTTCACTTTTTTTTTTTTTAACCCAAGGACTTACTAGTTCAATTATATACTGTTAGTTTCTTAGTCTTTTTCTAAACTGAAAGCCATAGTCACCTGGTTATACATGCATAGCTAATACAAATTAGAAATCTATAGTTGAAATTCTGTTCACTAGATTTGTTACAAATAAAACCTATAAGTTGTCTAAAAGTAGTTAGGGTGCTCATGTACAATAATTTATAAATGTCTTTTGGAATCAGGACCATAAGACATTTATGAAAATGGCTGAAGTCACAAAGATTATACATCGCAGGATTAGCTCTAATAATAGAAACAGTTCTTGCCCGGCAGCATGGGATTGAGATCACGAGCTCTGTCTTGATTGATAAGATGCAGTTTATAAAGGTATTTCTATAGAAAGCATCACTGCAGTGTCTCTCCTTTAAGTGTAAGAAGAACATTTCTTTGGAAATAGGACTATTGAAAAGCTGTGTACACTGAAATCTTTTCTGGCATAGTTTATAAAAATAAGTCCTGGCAACAACTGGTCACATGCAGAGTTTAATTAGATTCTACCTGGATTCAAACCCCTTTGGACCCAGCAATGTTTTGTTCAAAGTGCAGTTTCACTCAAAGTGTAGATACTGCCTCATTAAATGTTCATTCTCAGAGAAGATAGGAAAACCTGATAAACTACTCAGAACAACTGTGCAATTTTTTTTTTAGCGTGAATAGTTTCAACTTTGAAATGGTCACAAATGTCTTCATTATCTCTTCACCTGGTGATTTCAAGGAAAATGTGTTGTTGTTCTCTATTAAAATACTGAGTTTTATTTACTTAATTTGGTTAATTTTAGTATTAAAACCATGGAAATGGTGAAAACCAAGTGGGATCATTTTGGCAGTAATTTTGAGACTCTGTCCGTCTGGATAACTGAGAAAGAAAAAGAACTCAATGCCTTGGAAACTTCGTCATCTGCCATGGACATGCAAATCAGCCAAATTAAGGTGACCTGCTCACACATTATATTTATAATCCATGTCTAGCTTTTAAGAACTACTTTCTTACATTTCATCAAATGCTGTTCGGTCCCAGGACAAGACTTTCATTGCAATGTGACTATTAAAATTAAATTCATACATTTTATCAAGCTAAGAGGTCTGGATTAATACTGGGCAACATTTATAGTTGGAATTATGTATTCACATTGTCTGACTTGTGCATTCAAAGTTAATATTGTGTGAAATATCATTAAAATATTTTTATGGTTACATTAATTCTTTTCCTTGATTTTGAATTAACCTCAATAGAATGCTCTGCCGGTTCATTATACAACATGAAATGTATTCATCCTGTACAACTCTAAAATCCCATTCCCAATGTCTAGTTCAAGTATTAGTGGTACTTACCCACACCAATCACAAGGAGGAGTTTGAAAAGCATCTTTCTTAAGTGAAGCAGTTCTACTCCATGGTTATGATGTTTTCATTTATGACCTTGGAGCATGGACAGAGGTCCTCTGATTCCTTACCTCTCCCAGCTCTAAAATGACCAGGTGGATAGACTATCATTGGCCACTTCATTCAGACAGTTCAAGAAGAAAAATGGGCTTACAGGGGCTTGGAGTGTTTATTTCTCTTTCTTTTATACAATTTTATACCACACATTTTCAAAATTCAGCCACTTTTTCTACCTCAGCTTTTTTTTTTTTTGGAATGGGAAAACCCTCTGCTATTTCATTCAATTAAATATAGTAAAATAAATACCAAGGTGAGGGAACATTTCACACTGTGGCTCAGAACAAGTCGTTACCATGTGGAGGGTGGGAGGGTGCAATGTTGCTCAGATAAGATTACCCGCTGTGCAGATCATCCTTGCTTCTCACACATCTTTTGCAATCAAGCATACATGGAGTTTCATATACACAGTCTGCTATGTCTTCTTTGGTATACCAGGAAAAATAGATGTGAGGCCATGGAAGAATATTCATTAAATATTTTTAATTGTTAAAATTGTTTTTAAAAGTTGTCATTTAATCATTTTCACTAAATTCTAAGAAAAAAGAATAGCACATTTAAATAGTTTTGTCTCAAAAATGTCCCCTTTTGAAAATTAACACACATTTTTCAACGTATTTATTTTTTCTATAATTCATTTACTATTATTTCCACCCTTATTCCAGAGCTTCTGGAATATATCAACTATCTAATGTCATCTCATTGTTATTCTCCAGAAAAAAAGATTACATGTTTTCTTAAAATATATATTCAATTGTCTATTTTTATTTTATCAGACTAGAAATACATTTCAATACGTCCAATAAGGCATTTTTAAAACTATCTAAAATATGTAAGTGAATATGAATACCAGGAAAAAGATATTTGCTAGAAATAAGCAAAGTTACAGTGGAATACACTGTCCTATGGAAATTGGTCTATTAGGTTCATGTTTTATTTCCAAACATAAGACTACATTATAGGAAAGGTTTAAAATATAGTAACACTTGTAATATTTTTCCTTTAAAACGATCTTAGGATTAAAAGTAATGAAGCATTTGCCTTGTTGGAAGATAAATACACTAAGCCCACTTTTGTTCATTATTACATGCCATTTCAAATGACTGAGTTCTTATTCCTAACTTATAATTGATAAATGATAAGAACATATGCTGGGTTCGTCTTCCATCTTCTTCTCCTGGATGGATTTATTTTTACCACAATCCAACAATATGATTGAGTGATTCGTATATATGAATTTGTTGATGGCAAGTATTACTCTAATAACTAAGAGCTCGGTTCTTAACTAAGTTTGTTTCACCGATGTGTTACAAGCAACTAGAACAATTATTAGTGCTTTGTAGACAACCTATATTTTTTGAATTTATGATTAATTTTTCTAAAAAATATAATCTTAAAAAACAGCAAAACAAAGGAAGCCTGTATAAATGCTCAAATAACAAATATTGATGAGATATACCACTTCATTCATTCATATGAAAAATAAAAATGATGCATATCCGACATTTATGTAAATTATTTCTGATTGCCTCAACTAGGCAGAAATTATTTCTGACTATGGTGTCTCATCTAGACAGAAGTCAAAACTTTATTTTTTTCCTAGGGCAATAGTATTTTCCATTTAAATAATCTGAAACAGAGACTTGGCTGAATTTTTGATGTATTTTGATTGAATAATTTGGCCCTTTTTCTCAGAGAAATAATTTTCATCTTCTTATATACAAACAAGCTTCTATGTTTGTGAGAGACACTCCACAGACACACATAAACACATGTGCACATGCACACACTTCCTTAATAGTTATCAGTATTTTTCAGATGTTGGTTAACATGTAAAATGTCCTTTCTTCCCCCAGTTGAAATAAATTGAAATGACAGTATGTGGGCTTTTCTCTGTCAAGTACATAGCAATGAGGTCCCTGGATCAGCAGCCTCAGCATCAGCTGGAGATTTGTTAGAAATGAAAATTCTTGAGCCCCACCTTAGACTTAGTAAGTCTGAATCCCGGAGAATAGGGACCAGATGGTCCTAGTGCATTCTAGCTTTGGAAACCACTGGCATCAAGAATAGATGATAAGTTTGAAAAAGGAAAACTACTTTTAGGTAGGTGTGCAGTTATTAAACCTTTTAGTAACATATAAAATACTCAACTGAATTTTAGAAAAATAAGTGAATGTCAGTATTTAGCATTCTAATGAGTTACTGAAACACAATGCTTCCCCAGCTCAGTTAATTAAAACGCCTAATTCATAACGTAAACATAATTCTCTGTACCTTCAGAGATACTGTAAGTGTCCCAGGGACATCTCCTTGCTTACTTCACTGCAAGCAAGAGTAGCTATTTCTCCGTATGCTCTATCCAGCAAGCACCCCCCAACCCATCACTGTATTTTGCAGACATTTTCGGCATATCTCATCTCCCCAAACACATGGTGTTTGCTCACAGCTGCGCTCTAACCATCCAAGTCTTCAAATATCAGTTAAGAAAATATTCCCTCTTTGCAGATAATTGTATCATTTCAGGAAGGCAAGCTTGCTCAGCCTACATTGTCATTTTTCTTGTTTTAACTATTAGGTCACAATTCAGGAAATAGAAAGTAAGCTCAGCAGCATTGTAGGATTAGAAGAAGAAGCCCAGTCTTTTGCTCAGTTTGTTACCACTGGAGAATCTGCTCGAATTAAAGCCAAGTTGACACAAATAAGAAGATACGGGGAAGAGCTTCGAGAGCATGCACAGTGTCTGGAAGGAACAATCCTGGGACATTTATCTCAGCAGCAAAAGTTTGAAGAGAACCTTAGAAAGGTAAGAATTGATCCACCTATACTTAAGTTTACATATTTCACATTGTATTTGTGGGTAAGTGCAATAAATACTTTACAAATAGTGGAATAAGAGAAAGACATAATTTGTGAAATAATGGGACATGTTGATTTTAGATGTTTAAAGAATGCATTTTATAATTACATTAAAAGTTATCCATAAAAGGTAGGTATGCCATTTTCTCAGTAACTTTTTTTTTTGTCTTGCTATGTATCTTTCCCACTGTTATTTTTATATTGCACCAATGTTTTAGATCCAGCAATCTGTGTCTGAATTTGAAGATAAACTTGCTGTTCCAATTAAAATATGTTCTTCAGCTACAGAAACATACAAAGTTCTTCAAGAACATATGGTAAGAGTATGCTTCAACATTTCTACTATTTACCAACTTAAAATTTGATAATTCCCACTTGAAAAGAAAATACAGTAAACTTTTTAAGAGAATTGAAATTGGAAAAATGTTTATATTAGTTGAGTAATTATATAGATCTAATGTATTCACTTTATATAATCCAAGACATGTAAGGATGTGAATAAATTTTCATTAAAGATGTATATTAAAGGAGTATTCATTTCAAATACATTTCTCTCTTTTAATTAGGATGAGTAACATTTTTAGAGCTTAGCTTTAACAACCCTGTTACCTCTTGCCAGCATTATAAAAAAGTACATGTGCAAGGAAAAATATATGTGTATAGCTGTCTTCATATTTTAACCCACTGTACTCAGATGTTTAAGGAATATATCCTCACTGATCTGTTTCCAATGATTGGTTTTTCTCATCATTGCGAATCTTCTGCAAGGCTACAGACAGATGGCTCTGGCAGAATTTAGGGGGAGGAACAAAGGGGGATAATTACGTACAAAGAAATACTACCGTACATTAATTAATAAACAAAAATACAAATATGATTCATATTGCATGTTCATGTGTGCACGAACATTTATAAAGGTGTATGTAATAGAAAACAAGCCATTGACAAAGGCCATCTGGAAGAGGGAGTGAGATTTCTATTGTTTAAATATTGATAATGAGAATACACTTTTGCGTTACTTATTTGTAATTTCTTAATACAAAAAATGAGGAAAAGTAGGAGAATTCAGTGTGATGAAATTATTTTTATAGACAACTAAGTTAATAATGGAGGACCAAAGAGGCTAATATTCTACTTTTCCGATATTTAGATTTCCTAAAGCAAGTTGTTTTTCTGTGTCTTGATTTCCTAATCTGTAAAATGAAGGTAATGAAATAACATACCTCTTAGGGTTCTCAGGAAGATGAAAAGAGTCAATACATGGGAAGCAGGTAATGCAGGGCCTGCCACATTCTGAGGCACTGTGTCATTATTATTATTATTATTATTATTATTATTATTACTATTGAGATAGACAGTAGCTTCTTCAGCCATAATTCTTTTTATATGTATTTTTTGGAGTGATTATAGCATGTTACATGTGGGTTTTGTAAGTTAAGAATAGGGTTTTTAAATACGTATTTAGCATAAAATGACTAATAATCTTCACAAGTTACCTAAATTGTTAAGGGAAAGTTGAAAGTTTTTAGATAAATAGCAGTGCATTCTTATTTGAAGAAGTGTCTCCATTTTCGTTTTTGATTTCTGTATTTATGAAGTCACTTTCTTCTCATTTTCACTATGTCTTGCTGCAAATCATGGGCACAGACCTTTTAAAATAGATATAACTCTTATTTGTTTTTGGGGGTGCACATGTGATAATTTAATATATTCATATAATTTGTAAAAGTAAAATCAGTGGAATTGGGACCTTCATCACCTAAAATATTTGTGTTTTATTTATTCAAGAAACATTCAAACTATTTTCTAGCTATTTTGAAATATAGGATAGATTATTGTAACCTATAGTCCCCCTACTAATCTATTGAACACTAAGTCTCATTTCTTCTATCAAACTGTATATTTGTACCCATTCTTAGTGCTATTCCTGTTTATTATGACTGAGGGAAAATATTTTGCGATGATCGGTGTCAAAGAAAAATGCAGGCCTCGTTGGCTCCTGTGCTTTCACTGCATTCTTCTCGCACTCTTCTTAGGATCTCTGCCAGGCCCTGGAGTCACTGAGCAGCGCGATCACTGCCTTCTCAGCCAGTGCCAGGAAGGTTGTGAACAGAGATTCCTGTGTTCAGGAGGCTGCGGCTCTACAGCAGCAATACGAGGACATCCTAAGGAGGGCGAAGGAGAGACAGACGGCGCTGGAGAATCTGCTGGCCCACTGGCAGAGGTGAGCAGCACTTTTCCTTGAGTTGCTGCACTACTAAATAGGAAATTCTGGATTAGCAGTTCTTAAAGTGATGGGGAGTAGTTATCCCAGATGCAAAAGACGTGAACTTGTGGGTCTACTGTAGGAAACTCTTGATCTTTGTTATAAGGCAAAGATTCCTGAGAGTGGAGAGGATATATATGGGTCTTTACATATTATCCAATATAAATGTGAGTGCAGGGACACAAATGAAAATAAAAGGAGGGATTTTTGTGCTGGCATATCTAAGACTGAGATAACTGAGGCTGTATTTACTATGGTTTGTGTTGGACCCTCCAACTTCACAAAGGTTTAATCTGCTAGCATGATAATTTTCAATAAATTTGTTTCTGCTCTCTGCTTCCTTTAGGCTAGAGAAAGAACTATCATCCTTTTTGACCTGGTTAGAGCGGGGTGAAGCTAAAGCCAGTTCCCCAGAAATGGACATTTCTGCAGACAGAGTCAAAGTGGAAGGTGAACTTCAGTTAATACAGGCAAGTTCAAGGAAGTGTGAGGAAGGAAAAAATAAAATGCTTTTTGTTACAGTTACATTATTTAAAATAATAAAATAAATAAACTTGTACCTCCCTTCTTGCTTTGGTTTTGTGATTCCTGAAGCATCATTTGACATCAGGGTGTTCCAAAAAGAAGAAAGCAACCATGACCTGAAAGGGAGAGAAACTAACAATGAGAACTTTGTGATGATCAATTTCCATGATGTGTTAGAAAATCCTGTAATGTAATGCCCGGCATCTGAATAACATGGTTTGGCAAAGGAGTTGAGGAAAGGATGGGTAGGAATATAGATGAAAGAGGTTGGCTATCAGTTCATAATTTCTGAGGCTGGAAATAGGTATAATCTCTCTACTTTTGTAATTATATGACGTTTGGGCAATAAAGGGTGTTCTTTTAAAGAAATAAGTAATAGAATGTAGAAAGAAGTCACAGTAATGATTATTCTTATGGAAGACAGAAAAAAATGAATGAGCACAAATGTAGGTAATAGGTAGAAAGACAAAGTTTATTTCATACTTGAAGAAGCCAATTTTTTAAACTTAAAGAAAGAAAATCGTTGAGTATAATTGAAGCTAAAGGCAATGTTACTGATTTCTAGAGATTAATAACTTGCCTTAAATGATACTGTCTATGCTGGAAAATTCAACAGTCAAAATTGCTTCTCAAAAAAGATTTATTGTATTACAGATTTATACTCCAACTTTCTCCCATCAACTTTTATAAGACGTTTAAGAGGAAGCTACGTTCTTTTGCCTTTTGTAATCGCTTCTCTGAAAACTCTGTCACCAGTGTCTATAGCATCGGAATCTGTGGCCCCACCTTTAAATGTTCTCCTTCCTTGACTTGGGGGGTACTCCATTCTTCTGGTTCTCCTGCCTTTCTGGTTTATTAAACACTGGTGTCTGCACTCATCTTCCACAAAGTCCCTTCTCAGAAACCTGTACTGACTGTTTCCCGCCCTGACCATAAAGGGCAATCCTGATCTACAATCTGGTTCCTGTCTTCTTGCAAATACATGTGGGGTATTCCCAGAGGGGAGGGACTTCACAGCTCTTTTCCTTATAAATGAAGACACTGACTCAAGGCTACATGGGCATGTAAAACTGTTGCTGCCCATCTCCACGTGGAAACTAAGTGCCATATGACTGAGAGGACTGCAGACTCTGTTACTCCTGCATCCTGACATTGCGTCAGTAAGGCAGCCTCGCCTCGTGGGCTGGACCTGACTTGTGCATTCCTACCTCCTGGCTCTGCACCCTGCGCTGTTTCTTTCCCTTGTACCCAGCATAAGTCGCAGTTCTGCTTTATGATCTCACCTGTCATCCACAGGCTGTGTATTCCTTCCTCTAATCCCTTTAGCAATCTTGCTTGTATCACCTATGTGGCCTCACTAGGAAGGGAAGGAGAGCATTTTGACAAGTATCTACTATCTGCTGTGCCATACCTATCATTTCACTTAATATTTTTTTATTATTATTACCTATCTATTGGAGTGTTTATATTTTATCTTTTGTTAGGTAGGAGCCACAACTTTTATGCACCTCACAGCACTTAAGAGATTCGTTGACTGATTACATTTTTAAAATGAAGGAGTTCTGTTGCTTAAAAGTAAAATGAAGAGCCCTTAAGTTCTCCAGTTTGGCCTAATCTAGACTCTAAATAGAAAGGCAGAACATGTCCCAGGCTAGAATTGCATCTCTCTTATTGTTAGCTGTGCACTGAGTCTCTCCGGCAATAGTTTTTCTTTGATTCTCTTTGCCTACTCAGTCTCTTCATCGTGAAAGAAATTCTACAGCTTCTAGATTTGCCTAACTTAGAACTCAGACTCCAGAAAACTTATTCAGGTTTTAGTCGCATTTTATTACTTGATTTAGAAATGGATCCACTTAACCTTTAATGGAATGGAACCAAATTCCCCTAAAGGTTAAGTGGATGAACCAAATTCCTTTAAAAGGTTAAGTGGATCCATTTCTAAATCAAGTAATAAAAACTCTCTTCAGCCTGTCCCGAATGACTTGCATTTTGCAAGAATGCGAATCCTTTGGACAACAGCCGCCTGTGCCGCATGGTCCTTACTTTTCAGTCCTGTTAGGATGAGATCCGTAATGTCTTGTATTTTTCAGGCACTGCAAAATGAAGTTGTATCCCAGGCCTCATTCTATAGCAAACTTTTGCAATTGAAGGAATCATTGTTCTCAGTAGCCTCCAAAGATGATGTGAAAATGATGAAACTACATTTGGAGCAGTTGGATGAGAGATGGAGAGATTTACCACAGATCATTAACAAAAGGTTGGTTCTAAAAGATAAATCTTCTAATATTGTTCATTTGTTTTTAAATGATGAGCATATAAATTAAGAAAGCATAGTTTTGTTTACTTTTATTTAACTCAACTACTCACCTGATAACTACAGAAGGGAAGAAAACTTTTATTTTGAAAATCAAGGTCCACAAAACTGAGCATTTCTGATGAATCCCAATACAAAATTTAGTCTTAAAATAAGGGCAAGTTATTAAACCAGTTGAAATAGATTAAAGACGGTAGGATTGCTAATGTATGTATTATTTATTGCTTAAGCTGTTTTTGTATAGGAAAAAAATGGTACCTAAAATTTTATCTCACATGACATTTCTCAACCAGAGGCATTTTATACACATATGCTAGTCCATTTCATTTTAATATAGATCTTCTGGAGAGAGCAAGGGAGATTATTGATAAATGGAGGCAAAAATGGATTAAATCTTAATTAACTAGGTGATTAACAATTGGCATCTATACCTTTCCAATATACCAGAAAACAAATTTTCTCTTTAAATTGGTATTGATCACCCATGTGATCTTAGGCATTTAACCTTTCTGACCATTTAAAAAATTAATTCATTCAGCAAATATTTATTGACTTTCCACAATGAGTAGCATACTCTTCTATGTGCTGGAAATAGCAGCAATAAAGAGTTTCATCCTTTGCTTTCATGGAGCTTATATTTATTCTATTATTTATTTATTCCTGTATTCAATCAATCAACAAATATATATCAGGTGCCTGCTGAGTACAAGGTACCATATCAGACACCAAAAGCCATAAAAATGAACAAAACCTAACCCCAAATAATTGACAGATTAGTGTGGGAATAATGAGGGGTGAACACGAAGTATTATAGGATCAAAAAAAGGGACATTTGAATGGTTTCAGAAATTTACGGAAAGATTTGATGCCACCTCTTGAAAGGTGAGCAATTTTCTGTAAAACAAAGCAGTAGCTGCCCTTTGCCTATCCCTTAGAGGGAAAGTAAGGGACTTTTAAAGTGATACCAATGTGTGAAGGCATTGAAAATATAATGTATGCATATAAGGATAATGTGTAGAAGATTTTATAAGTATTAAAATGTGAAAGCTGATTTAACAGTTGAACTTTGGATACAAACCATTTTAATAAATACTAGTTTTGATTAAGGGATTATTTTTAATATGTTTGGATTCTGATCTCCAATCACCTATTATTTATTAACTAATTCATTGATTGGTCCCTGATGATATCCCAGGCACCTTTTTAGGTGCCGAGGATACAGCAGTAAGCAAGGCAGGTCCATGGTGTGGAGAGAGGGGAGGAAGGAACTGGGCGGAAAATAAATACATAACTAAGCAAGTGAACAAACAAGACGATTTCAGGCAGTGTTCAGTATTATGAAGACAACAAAACAGGGTAGCATGGCAGGGACTGCAGGATGGTGTATCTTTAGAATGGTGGTCAAGCGAGACCTCTCTGGGGAGATGACATCAGATTAAGATCTGTGGGCTGTGCAGGAAACAGACCCACACAGGCAAAGGGAGCAAAAATGGCAAAAGCTCTAAGGCAGTAATGAGTTGGTTTTATTGGGAGACAGAGAGGAAGTCAGTGGGAATATGGGGCAGAGCTGTGTCAGATGAGACCAGAGAAGTAGATGATGTGAGGTTTCTTGTAGACCACAGTAAGGAGTTTGGGGTTCTGCCTTCTTAAGTGCAATGGGAAACCACCTAGTGTTTAAGGACAGGGAATGCCCTGTTCACTTGAAATCATGTTTACTTATTATCTAGAGAGTATATTGTAAGTAGGCAAAGGTGGGAGGGAGGAAGCCAGTTAGGAGGCTGTTGAAGGTCAGGCAAGAACTGAAGAGGTTTAGACCAGGATGAGAGCAGTGCAAATGGAGAGAAGAGTGCAGAGTCAATGTATAGTGTGTGTTGGTGGGGAGGGAGGAGTGGGGGGATTATAGGGCTGAGGCCCTTGGCCCCCTAGAGGTTAGAAAATCACTGACATGAGGCAGATTAATAGAAAAGGCATATAAATTTATTTAATGTATATACACAGGAGCCTTCAGGATGGAGATCCAAACTCCATACATTTGACATACAGAATATATGCCATATTGAGGTTACAGAAAGATTGTGAGCTCAGAAAATGGCCCAAAACAGGTTTTCATGTTAAGACAGGTTATTGGAGGGAGAAAGGAAGAGGCTTGGCTAGCAAAGCTGGTCTTGTTATGTAGATGAAACCTCACAGGTATAGCCCTCAAAGAGAATACATGGTAAAGGTCTTTTTCAGGTCTTTATGGTGTTTGACTCTCAGTTCATCTTTCCTAGATCTGGACAAAGGCAGGGCTAGCTGCATTAGTGCAGATTCTCTACAGATCTACAGAAGCAAGTTTATTCCCCAAAAGACAGCTTTGCAGGGCCATTTCAGAATTTGTCAAAGAAATATATTTTGGAGTAAAATATTTTGATTTCCTTCAGTTCCCATTTTGAAACTTAAAAAACATTTCACGTATTAATGTGAAATGCTAAATGGAAAGTTTTGAAGAGATTTGTGTTAAAGTTTGTTTGATAGAGATTGGGTGTGATGGCTCATGCCCATAATCCCAGAGTTTTGGGAGGCCAAGGTGAGGGGATTGCTCAAGGCTGGGAGTTCAAAACCAGCCTGGGCAACATAGCAAGACCCCATCTTTACAATAAATTTTTTTCAAAAAAGTATCCAGGCATGGTGGCATGTACCTGTAGTCTCAGCTGCTCAGAAAGCTGAGGCAGGAGGATTGCTTGAGCCCAGGAGTTTGAAGTTACAAGGAGCTGTGATCACAGCACTGCACTGAAGCCTGGGTAACAGAGTGATACTTTGTCTCAATAAAATAAAAAGAAAAAAAAAGGCTATTTCATAGAGATAGACAAAGGAGTGGAAAAGCAAATTAAGATAAACAGAAAAAAAGCAAACTGAAATATATTGTTGCATGTCTTCTTTAGTCAGTCTCTTAGTCCTGAGAATAGATCAGTTCAGTTAAATAGCTGTGTCCCATTCCAGAAAGTGGCATTGCAAATGGGCTGGGCCTCTACATATGATGCAGGCAAACAGATCTTTAATAAGAGACATTTCTAAGGAAACAGAAGAAAAACAAAGTTTAATATCTAGAGTAGTCTATAGACTTGTTTTTCTAGAGTTTGTGAAGCATCTTCAGATTGCAGTAGCAATCTGAACAGATTTTTCTGGATTGTAGTTCAGTTCAGATGAATGGTCGAGTGAATTTTCTGAGAAGTCAATACATCAACAGGCACATAGGTTGTTTACTTACAAGTTTCTGTTATTTCTCCCAAAGTTTAGTTGCCTAGCTTCAGTTTGTGGGGCATTAAGGAAAGCAGTTTTGGCTGAGCATGGTGGCTCACACCTGTAATCCCAGCACTTTGGGAGGCCGAGGTGGGCAGATCACCTGAGGTCAGGAGTTTGAGACCAGCCTGGCCAATGTGGTGAAACTCCATCTCTACTAATAATACAAAAATTAGCCAGGTGTGGTGGCAGGTGCTTGTAATCCCAGCTACACAGGAGGCTGAGGCAGGAGAATCTCTTGAATCTGGGAGGCAGAGATTGCAGTGAGCCAAGATCACGCCATTGCACTCCAGCCTGGGCAACAAGAGTGAAACTCCATCTCCAAAAAATAAATAAATAAATAAATAAATAAATAAATAAATAAATAAATAAAATAAGGAAAATGGAAGGAAGATTTGGAAAACCTTAGTTTGGAAACTTGCGGCCAGGAAACAATTCAGGATTCAGTCCAAATTATGGGAACATAATAAAAACTCAAAAACAATGAACAAAGTTAGATTCTAGTAACATACATACTGTAGTTTTTTTTAAAACATAATTTTTCTCTCTTCAGCCCCCAATTTCTACCAAAGACAAATCACAGTAGGATCAACTTATTTGCAAGATAAATTTTAGTCTTATTATACTTGGCCTAATTATCCATATAAAGTGCAGCAAGATTAGTGATTGGCCATACAGGCTTTTTAAAAATTGGCTTTGCTGCTACGTTTTTCATAAGAAATCTCAGATTAGACTTTCAAAAGTCTCTCAACATTAACCAAACAAAAGGTTTATCTGTGCCTGCAGATAATCTGTATGAATTGGGTGAATTCCTTTCTTCTAAAGGTCCTAATATAACTTGAGATTCCTGGGCCTGTCAGAAAGTGACATTCTTTACTTACCACAGGTCAGGAACTTTATAAAGGCATCACATAGAAAAGTATAAGGCCAATCTTCCCAAGGGCTTTTCATTGGTTCTATAAAGTTTTTCTGAATTCCTCAAAGCAGTCTGATCATATCTGAAAATATGCCATTCCAGTCAAAGCCTTGGTAAAATAACCAATGTTTCCAATTGTGTCCTGTGACAAAACATATTGAACTTATACAAATAACTATATTACCATACATTAAGAATGCTCACAAATAGTCTCCAATTTCTGGAAAAATCAAGTAGAGAGAAAAAATATACTACAAATTTTGCTCACAGAAGTGTAGTTTGCCCAATTTGTTGTAAGCTATAGACAATTCAAAGAAAAAAAAGTTATCTTGACTTGGAAAGGAAAACATAAAAAGAATCAGCAATGTTTCAAACAAAACACCACTAAAAAAAGTATTTCAGGCCTCTGTTAGTTCAGTCCTATGTAATTAAATCTTGTTCTGCTTAATGTTGGGTTAGCAAATCTCACGAATGTATTTTTAATTAGAGTCCTGGAAGTTTTTTCTTTTGAGACAGAGTCTCACTCTGTCACCCAGGCTGGAGTGCAGTGGCATGATCTCAGCTCACAGGAACCTCTACCTCCTAGGTTCAAGCAATTCTCATGCCTCAGCCTCCTAAGTAGCTGGGATTACAGGTGTGCACCAGCACACCTGGCTAATTTTTGTATTTTTAGTAGAAATGGAGTTTTGCTGTGTTGGCCAGGCTGGTCTCAAACTCCTGACTTCAAGTGATCCAGCTGCCTTGTCCTCTCAAATTGTTGGGATTACAGGCATGAGCCACTGCACCTAGCCATGGAAGTTTTTTCTTAGTTCAATAGTATAGTCTCCAAAGTTATCAGAAATCTGTATTTTAGAATACTTGCAAGAGTCCTTTCCATGAATTTCCTTAAAGAAAAAGCAAATTTTGGATTGCAGCTGACTGTAAACCACTTTTTGAGAAGAATAAAAGTAAAATAATAATTGTCTATGGATGACAAAAGTCATAGGCTAGCCATGGTTAAAGACACGATTAAAAACTTTGGTTACTTCTGTGGCACACAACAATTGAACATAATGATAATTATTACTGATAACATATACTAAGGCATCAGAATTACAGGAATTTCATTCAATTTTGGAACATATGTTATGCTGAGAGGGTATCCATAGATTAGATGCACTCGTAAAGAAAGGACAAGATGAAGAGTGCCTCATAGGACCAACAGGGTGAATGGTGGCAATGTTCACTGAGACAGGGAAGATTGTGAGTAAAGCAGGGTTTGGGAAGTAAAAAATATCAAGAGGTATAGAGTGTTCATGTGTGACAACATTGCTTTTGCCCTTGGGTAAGCTTAATTCCCAAAATACATCATTAATCCTTTCTGTTTACTTATGGGACATTTTAACTTTAATACTTTGTCTACATAGGATTAATTTTCTTCAGTCTGTGGTTGCTGAACACCAGCAATTTGATGAGCTGCTGCTTTCCTTTTCTGTCTGGATTAAACTGTTTCTCAGTGAATTACAAACTACCTCTGAGATTAGCATAATGGACCATCAAGTAGCCCTTACTCGGCATAAGGTAAAGTGGTTTTTTTTTTTTTAAGATTGAAGAAGAATTTCTTCATAAAAAAGTTCTTGAATTAAAAAGAGATGCAACATTTTAAAAAAGTTTAAATGGTGAGAATTTAACTTTTTATTTATATGAAAATGTTTTAATAATTGAGCATATGAGTTAAGGCAATGAATTATGCAGACCAATTAAGCAGATAAAGCCACTTCAGATAAAATTGGCAACCATCTTAAGACACTTTCTCTTCATAGTGGAGCAAATGATTGCTAGGATAAAGTGATAAGAATGTCCATTTTTAAGCTTCCCAGTTTGTTTTATTTCAAAACTGAAAACTAATACTGAATTCAAATACTTTAAGGATATAGTTTTTCTGAATTACTATTCAGCTTTAAAATGATTTAAAGCTTATTTCCCTTATTTATAAATTATGCATATGGAGGGGTGAAAAGATCTTTCCTCTGCTCTCTGAACGTTCAAATAATTTGAGTCTATGAAATGAACTGACAATAGACCAATTAACAGGAGAAATGGCAAACACATTTATTATGTGCATATTGTATGGGAGTCCCACAAAATATGAGACTCTAAGAATAACCAGATGACTAAAGTTTTTATGTTATACAGAAAGAAATAGGGGCTGGGGCTTCAGGAGGGTAGTAGGGACAAGCTATGGGAGGGTGAGGGGAGGAAATGCACTGTGAACAAAGGCTGTCTTATTATGCAGAAAAAGTTTCTCAGGTAGCACACCTCAGAATTACAGATGGCAGCCTGTGCTAACAGTCTTTCCAAGTGAGATGTCAGACCTTAAGGGACTTTCCTGTGAGTTATTCCTCCCTGGTTGATGATTATATTTCTTCTGGAGGAACTTTCCTTAGTCAGATAAGGGAGCATCAGGAAAAGCTCTTCTCTGAATTTGCTGCTCCTCAGGTTCTCTCAGTTTAAAGTCCAAAGTGACATATTTTAGGGTATCATTTTCTGACTCCCCAACACATTATATCTATCCTGGCACCAGAAAACATTCAAAAATTCCGATATTGATCATAAAGCATTGAAATAATGGAGATAAGCTACATAGTACGCATATAGCAACATTTAACAATAGAATATTTCATATTTATTGAGTGTTCACTCCTTGCTGGGTTGACTAATTGGTTCTGTGGCAGGGAAAAGCAACTTTCTCCTACCTTCAGGACAGGAGATAGTTTTACATCTTGGGGGAAGGTGCTCAGTGAATTTAGGCTCTACCATCCAAACAGACTGAGAGAGAGCAGCTATCTTCCCTGATGATTACATTTCAAAGAGATGGCTCCCAGGTCCTTCAGAAAAATATTACGGAGGTAGAAAAAACTGGCCAGAGCTTTAAGAAGAGTTACATCTCAAAGGGGCAGAGAATAAATTTACAATTACAAGTTTTCTAAAGTAAATGCTCTAAGAAAAAAGAAAAGGTCAGGATCTGCAGTCAAGAGGAACCTATCTGAAGTTTAGTAGTCAAACAGAGGAATCTTAAAGTCATTGTTGTCAAGATTAAGATAGGTGATAATTTCTATTTAATGGAAACCACTGAGAATGTTGCCAATTTTCTGCTAGATTTTAAACATGATTTATTGTGAGCTAGTCAAATTTCCTATACAGAAGTCTTGCATAAAATACAACTCGGATTTGGAACTAATTTAATGGAAAAAGATTTCTTCATGGATTTTGTGGATAGAAATTGTTAGTTAAAAAAATTAAACATTTAGATTTTTAAAGATTTATATGTATACACATATACATCTTTTAAATTTTTAAATTTAAAATTTTTTCACATACATGCATCTTCTAAAATTTAAAATTTTTAAAGTTGAAATATTAAAAATATGAGATATCTAAATACAAATATTTGTATATAAATGTATACATATATGCATCTTTAAAATGTTAAAATTAAAATGTAAAATATATGTAAGCATCTTTAAGAATCTTCCAATGTTTTTATTTCTTTTAACTAACAATTTCTATCCACAAAGAAATTTTTTTCACAGAATTAATTACATAGTTCCAAAACAGAGTTGTGTTTGTTTGTTTGTTTGTTTGTTTGTTTGAGACGGAGTTTTACACTGTTTCCCAGGCTGGAGTGCAGTGGTGCAATCTTGGCTCACTGCAAGCTCCGCCTCCCGGGTTCATGCCATTCTCCTGCCTCAGCCTCCCGAGTAGCTGGGACTACAGGCGCCCACCACCACGCCTGGATAATTTTTTGTACTCTTAGTAGAGACGGGGTTTCACCGTGTTAGCCAGGATGGTTTCGATCTCCTGACCTCGTGATCTGCCCGCCTTGGCCTCCCAAAGTGCTGGGATTACAGGCGTGAGCCACCGCGCCTGGCCCAGAGTTGTGTTTTATTTAACAAATGTGGATCAGCAAAACAGAAAATTTTGTGAATTTTCTAAGATTCACTGTAGATGACCTTTAAGTACTATACTATCCATGGCACCTAAAATAGATCTTCACATCACAAATCCTGTAAAATACCTCTGCCATAGACTGTAGTGTATCTCAGGAATCAATAACTCTCTCTTCCCTTCCAGGACCACGCAGCAGAAGTAGAGAGCAAAAAGGGCGAATTGCAGAGTCTGCAGGGTCACTTAGCAAAGTTGGGTTCTCTGGGCCGTGCTGAGGACCTCCACCTCCTGCAGGGAAAGGCTGAGGACTGCTTCCAGCTGTTTGAGGAGGCCAGCCAGGTTGTGGAGAGGCGGCAGCTTGCCCTGTCCCATTTGGCAGAATTCCTCCAGAGCCATGCCTCTCTGTCCGGCATTCTCCGCCAGCTGAGGCAAACAGTGGAAGCAACCAACAGTATGAATAAGAACGAGTCTGATTTGATAGAAAAGGACCTCAATGATGCTCTTCAAAATGCTAAAGCATTAGAATCTGCTGCCGTCAGTCTGGATGGCATTCTTTCCAAAGCCCAATACCATCTGAAAATCGGGAGCTCTGAGCAAAGGACTTCCTGCAGAGCCACGGCTGATCAGCTCTGTGGAGAGGTAGAGAGGATCCAGAACCTTCTGGGAACCAAGCAGAGTGAGGCAGATGCTCTGGCAGTGTTGAAAAAAGCATTCCAAGACCAGAAAGAGGAGCTTCTGAAAAGCATTGAGGACATTGAAGAAAGGACTGACAAAGAGCGATTGAAAGAACCTACCCGCCAAGCTCTTCAGCAGAGGTAAATAGGAAACTGTCACGGCCACTTGTCTCTTTTCTTTTGTATTTGTTCTGGAATTAACTTTTATGCAAAACTTTATTAGTACTGTTCAAGGAAAATAAAAACTCAGGACCCCAATTCACTCTGCCAAAAGAAAGAAATTAAGCTGAGTTGAGTCATGCAAGCAGCTGCCTTTCCTTTTGTTCCTAAACAGATAGATACAGAGAAAAGATTAAATAATTCCATAGGTAGCTACTCTATGTTCACCTTGTCTTAGGTAAAGTGCTGATTTACTGAGCACGAGATGAATTCGTAATTGACTATTCCCTGCCTGCTTCTTTTCTCTTGCAACACATGGATTAACCTTATTCTGTCTCTTTCCCCTCCAGCCCATTTTTCCCCTTTAAGTGTTGAAGCCCTCAAAATCATCTTTGGAGAAAGGTATAAACCACAGACTGTTTCTGTAATTTCATATTTATTTCTTCCGGGCATGTCCTTAACCTTGGCAAAATCAACTTCTAAATTGATTGAGACCTGTCTCAGATACTTTTTGGTTGATAGTACCATATTTAGCAATTTCTTCTTCCTCTTCTTTTTTTTTTTTTTTTTTTTTTTTTTACCACTTTGAAGATAAGATTAACGACTAATTTGACACTTGAGACGTACTAAAATTTCTTTGGATTTCCCTAAAGTCAGTTTATGAGCAAAGAATATGTAGATCTTATTATCTGTTTTTAAACAATTTTTTTACTGATGGGAGAAGGGATTCATCTTCTATAACAAGAATGAAGGCAGAAGAGAAAGGTAGTGATCCTAGTAGTTTTGGTGGTAAAAAGTATGAGGAAATTCCTCCTTGGTGGCTGAGAGCCTCTTGGTAGAGACTGGTGCAAGCTCATTAGTTCAGAGGAGAGGGCAGATGTTGGAGGAAAGAAAATGGTGTGAAACAGTTCTCTTGTAGAGGGGAGCTTAGGAAGGTGATGAACTGTCATTTGAGCTCTGTGTTCATTTAAAGTGAAACCAATCAGCTTGGCAGAGTCATTTTCTACAACTGCTTTTAACTGTTTGCTTAGAGGTATGGAGAGGCAGAGGAGTGGGTTTAAGTAAGCAAAGCTGAGCTTTTGTCAGGTGAGTTCATTTGAGAAGCAAACGGGTCAAAGATAAGTTCCCTTAGTAAATTTGAAAAGTAACTGTTTTCTTAAAACTGTAGCCTTCTTTTCAATTTTTTTTCTTCTTAATAGAACCTTCTGACTCCTGTTTTCAGGGCCACTTGCTCTTCCATTTTTTTCAGTGGGCAAAGAAACAGCTGAAATGCATTCATGCCAAGGTATTCATAATTGGTAAAGATTATGTTGTTCCTGAAAGACCATTGCTGGTTGTTTCCTTTTAACCAGAATCAACCATTATGTCGAGGATTTAGTCAGATGATAGTGGAGTCAATATTGGGACTGGGCTCCTGAGGTTATACCCTTTATAGGCAATAAATTATCTGATTAGTTTAAGAATAAATTTACAAAAGGGAATGATACTTGGGAAGAAAAAATAGCCTCCAGAATAAAGAGAGAACAAGGTGCCTAGTGTCACTCACCCTGGATGCCAGCAGTATCATTGGTGCTGCAGGGTGTCATGGCCTTCTTAGACCAAGCAGACAGGAGATCCTCAAATTGCCAGAGTAGAAAACCCAGGTTGAGCTCAGGAGCCACATCAGTACCCACAACACTGCACTCACCAAAGTCACACATCGGGTGCAGAAAATGTTGTATTGAATTAATGGACTTATTTAAATTCCAGCCATACTAATGCTTCACTGTGCCACCTTGGGAAAACCTCTTCTCTTCTTGTAAGGTGGGGATAATAAGAACACCTGCCCCCAGCCACCATCTTTTAGGAATTAAATGGGATAAAGCATGTAGACTCATTGTGTGAACTCTACAGTCCTATACCAAACTGTAAGAATGAAGAGTAAATGGCTGCCTCTTTGTGGCCACTTTTTTTTTTCTTTGAGACAGGGTTGTGCTCTGTCACCCAGGCTAGAGTGCAGTGTTGCAATCATGGCTCACTGCGGCCTCAAACTTTTGGGCTCACATGATCCTCCAGCCTCAGCCTCCCAAATAGCTGAGACTATACACATGTACCACCACAGCCAGCTAAATTTTTTTTTTAATTTTTTGTAGAAATAGGGTCTTGCTCTGTTGCCCAGGTTGGTCTTGAATTCTTGGTCTCAAGCAGTTCTCCCACCTTGGCCTCCCAAAATGCTGAGATTATGGGCATGAGCCACTGTGGCTGGTGATATGGCCACTTTTTATAAATGCTGAGATACTAATAGATTAGGGACAAAAATGATCATTTCCTTATGGTAATCTTTTCAACAAAGTAGGTAATTTAAGTTTAAAAAAAAAAAGTATATATATATATATATATATATTCTGCAGAGCTCAGTAAAGCTAATTTGATATTGAATGAAACAACTGTAATCCTTAAACACTATTATTTACATGGATTGAACCTCATGGCCCAGAAACATTTCTTACCAAAGATTTTACAATAAGTATTTACCTAGTTAGCCTATGAGATCAGCCTTAGTTTTGAAAATCTTCTACCATCAAAGCAAAGTAGAAAGAAAATACAAACTTAATAGAAGGTTGATGGTGAGTAGTAAGAATGACTTTCAATGTTTTCTGAGGTACAGTCTGAGTTATTTTGCAAAATTAACTTTAAAAGTACTTTTTCCATTGATAAACATTAATTTAATTTCTGTGTTAAAAGTTTTTCTAGCTGTCTAAATGAGTGCTTTATGGACTCATCATATACTTACGGAGAAGAAATATTCATTTACTACCTTTAGTAAATTAATAGGAAAATAACATTTTAATTCACAGGTTAAGAGTGTTTAATCAGCTAGAAGATGAATTGAATTCTCACGAGCATGAACTATGTTGGTTGAAAGACAAAGCCAAGCAAATTGCCCAGAAAGATGTAGCTTTTGCACCTGAAGTTGACAGGGAGATAAACCGCTTAGAGGTCACCTGGGATGATACCAAAAGACTAATTCATGAAAAGTAAGTCAAAACCCACCCAGTTCTTGTTTTTAGCTTCCCACTTATTATGTGACATTGGGACATTGCCTGTTTTGTGTTGATGTGATCAGTAGTTAAATATCTTTTACCATTTTAGATATTCTGTGTCACTTTCATAACATTGAAAATTTACTTATTTCGACAGAACTTTATTGAGAAGGTTGCTTTGAGATAACAATTATAGGCCAGGCACGGTGGCTCATGCCTGTAATCCCAGCACTTTGGGAGGCCAAGGCAGGCGAATCACCTGAGGTCAGGAGTTCAAGACCATCCTGGCCAAATAGTGAAATCCCATCTCTACTAAAAATACAAAAATTTGCCGAGTGTGGTAGAGGGTGCCTGTAATGCCAGCTACTTGGGAGGCCGAGGCAGGAGAATCACTTGAACCCTGGAGGTGTAGGTTGCAGTGAGCCAAGATTGCGCCACAGCATTCCAGGCTGGAAGACAGAGCAAGACTCCTTCTCACCAAAAAAAAAAAAAAATTACATGTGAAATTGAATGCTTAAAGCAGGAGTTGTCAACAGTTATGAAGTACTACCATGACAGCCTTAACTTTTAATTTTCTACTTTTTTTTGTTTTGTTGTACTTGTTTGTAATTGAGGTATAATTTAAACACACTAAAATTTACTTTTTTTCATACGCAATGCTATCAGTTTTGACAAACTTATGCAGTTGTGTAACTATTAAATTTCACAGTGAAAGTTCTACCACCTAAAAAATGGCCTTATCTTTTCCCCTTGCCCTTAGGCCCCCTGCAACCAGGAAGCAGTTTTCCACATCTATAGTTTTGTCTTTTCTTAGAATCATTTATAAACAAAATCACATAGAATGTGACCTGGCTTCTTTTATCTAGCACAACATATGTCATTGTGTGCGTCAATAGCTGATTCATTTTTTTTTTTTTTTTTTGAGACGGAGTCTCGCTCTGTCGCCCAGGCTGGAGTGCGGTGGCGCTATCTCTGCTCGCTGCAAGCTCCACCTCCCAGGTTCACGCCATTCTCCTGCCTCAGCCTCCCGAGTAGCTGGGATAGCAGGTGCCCGCCACCACACCCAGCTAATTTTTTTTTGTATTTTTAGTAGAGATGGGGTTTCACCGTGTTAGCCAGGATGGTCTCGATCTCCTGACCTCATGATCCACCTGCCTCAGCCTCCCAAAGTGCTAGGATTACAGGTGTGAGCCACCGCACCCATCCAGTTCATTCATTTTTTATAGCTGGATATTCCACTGAATGGGTGTACTACAGTTTATTCATTTACTAGTTGATGGACAATTGGGTTCTTTCCAGTTTGGATGATTATAAATAAAGTATTTATAAACATTCACATTCAAGTTTTTGCATGTACGTAAGTTTTTATTTCATTTGGGTAAATAATCTAAAAGTGAGACTCTGGATTGTATAGCAAAATATATGTTTAACTTTATAAGAACCTGCCAAACTATTTTTCGAAGTAGTTGCACCATTTTGCACTCACACCAGTCTTGTGTAAGATTTCCAGTTGCTCCACATAATTTCTAACACTTGGTATTGTGACATTTTTGTTTATTTGCTTGGTTGACATTCTGCTAGATGTGTAGAGCCATCTCTGTGTGTGTGTGTGTGGGGGTGTGTGTGTGTGTGTGTGACTTTAAGTGCTCCTTGTGGAGCAGGACTAACTAACTCATAGGCACTGTGCTCAGAATTGGCACATTTTGTTTTTAATTTGTATATCCCTGATGACTGACGTTGAACATATTTTGTTAAGTTATTTGCAATCTGTATGTCTTTTTAAATATTCAAGTTGGCCGATTTGGGTGATTTTTTTTGTTATTGAGGTCTTTTTATACAATCCCAATCAAAACGCCCACAGACTTTTTGTAGAAATTGACAAGATGATTTTAAAATGTATACATAAAAGCACAAGACCTACTAGAATAGCCAGTACAGTTTTCAAAAAGAATTGGAGGACTTTGCTGGCAGCTCTGGTACCTAAAATAAATAAGTAAGTAAATAAATAAATAACAAATGAAAAAGGATTGGAGGACTTATACTAGCTAGTTTCAGTGTGGTACAGGCTGAAGGATAAACATATAAACGAGTGGAACACAGTCCAGAAATAGACCCAGACATATACAGTCAATTGTTTTGACAAAGATATAAAGAAAGTTCGGTGGAGAAAGAATAATATTTTCAATAAATGGTACTAGAACAATTGGACATTCATATGCATTTTAAAAAATGACCCTCAACATATATTTTACATCATGTACAAAGACCTATTAAACAAAATTCGGAGCACATTATATAATGTAGACTATT
Source organism: Homo sapiens (assembly GCF_000001405.40). Taxonomy (NCBI): domain Eukaryota; kingdom Metazoa; phylum Chordata; class Mammalia; order Primates; family Hominidae; genus Homo; species Homo sapiens. The sequence goes on along the minus strand of NC_000006.12, from coordinate 152,411,035 downwards.
TCTGTAGGCATTTTAAATTGAATCATGTTGTGCAAACTTTATTCCATATTATTAAACATTATCCTACATTGTGATTTCTTAGAGGTTGCACAGTGTCCTATCATAAGAATATATCTGGATTTATTTAATTATTGACCTGTTTTTAACATTTTGGTTATTTCTATATTTTCTCCTATTACAAATAATGGTATGAAGAATATCACTTTACCTAAATCTTAGTGCACATAATTTTATTTCTTTGGAAAATCTCTAGATGTAAACTTGCTTGCTCAAAGGCATTTTATTCTTTTGTTGTTGTTTCTTTTATGAGATAGTCTCCCTCTATCGCCCAGGCTGGAGCACAGTGGTGTGATCTTGGCTCACTGCAACCTCTACCACCCGAGTTCAAGCCTTTCTCATGCCTTAGCCTCCTAAGTAGGATTACAGGCATGCGCCACCAAGCCAGGCTGATTTTTGCATTTTTAGTAGAGACAATATTTTGCCCTGTTGGCCAGGCTGGTCTCGAACTCCTGGCCTCAAGTGATCAGCCTGCCTTGAGCACTCGCAAAGTGCTAGGATTACAGGCATCATCCATGGCGCCCAGCTGTTTTTTGTTTGTGTGTGTGTGTGTGTGTTTGTTTGTTTGTTTAAAAAAAAAAAAAAGCCTACAGCTTCCAATATTCCCAGAGGGTCTCCCATCCAAGTACTAACCAGGCTGGACCCTGCTTACCTTCACAAGATCAAATGAGAGAAAGTGCATTCAGGCTGATAGGATTGCAGACTACCTTATTTTTATAAACAACAGCTATCTTCTCCTTTTGACAGTCTTCAGGGTAGTCATATCCAATGAGAATTTATTACATTGAGATGGAAGAGAAAATCTGATATATACTTTAATTATTGAGTAATCTTTTTATTTGTTAGTTTTGGGCTATGTTTTGTTTTATTGTTGTTTTCTTTCACACAACATATGCCATTATGAAATAATTAAAACAACATGGAAAAAGACAATTAAAAATATATATATTTGGATGACTCATCTATGTAAGTTTGAGTTGGCAAGAACATATATTGCTTCTTTGTCATTGAGTTCATAGATTTTGTTTCAATGGTCATTGAGTTCATAGATTTTGTTTCAGTGGTTGCGTGCATACCTCATTCACGGAGAATATTTTAGACATTGGAGTAAGTAGGATTAACCAGCAGCACTAGTTTGAGGACAGTATGTAGGAATCCGTCTATGAGTATTAATACCTTTACGTAGTGAAACATCAAGTCCAATTGCAGGCAACTCTCCCTTTTCCTGATACATGACACCAAATAATATATTTTCTTTAATCATTACAGTCAGGGTCAGTGCTGTGGACTTATTGACTTAATGAGAGAATATCAGAACCTGAAATCAGCTGTATCTAAAGTCTTAGAAAATGCCAGCAGTGTGATTGTAACCAGAACTACCATAAAAGATCAGGAGGATCTTAAATGGGCTTTTTCCAAGGTAAAATTCAAAATGTGTTTATGTTGGTATTCTGCTTTAGTAGATCTGGTTTTTACTCATAAAGCAGTTATCTGCACTATTCTTATCAGTATACTTAGATGTGGGTAATTCATGCTAATGAGCTCAACTTTTTTTCCCCTAGGAATGCTGACATTCTAGGATTCTAGCAATTCAAGAAAATGGTGTTATATATATTCATATAGTTAATTAATCTCACTATCACTAATTTCTGCATAAGGTCAATTATGAATTAAATTTCTTAGAGACAAATGGTTTTAAACTCATGACTTATCACTGACTATTTTATTAATTAAGAAATCATTTATCCACAGCATGAAACTGCCAAGAACAAAATGAATTACAAACAGAAAGACTTGGATAACTTTACCAGCAAAGGAAAACACTTGTTATCTGAGCTGAAGAAAATTCACAGTAGTGATTTCAGCTTGGTGAAAACAGACATGGAGAGCACCGTGGACAAATGGCTGGATGTAAGATAATCACCTGGGATTCTGTGAACTATTTAAATATTCACATTCCCCAATCAAATTTTTGGACAAAGCGTTATTCAAGGATGTGAATTTCACTTTTTTTTTTTTTTTTGGAGACAGAGTTTCACTCTTGTTGCCCAGGCTGGAGTGCAATGGCGCAATCTCAGCTCACCGCAACCTCTGCCTTCTGGCTTCAAGCGATTCTCCTGCCTCAGCCCCTGAGAGTAGCTGGGATTACAGGCATGCGCCACCATGCCCAGCTAATTTTGTGTTTTTAGTAGAGACGGGGTTTCTCCATGTTGGTCAGGCTGGTCTCGAACTCCTGATCTCAGGAGATCTGCCTGCCTTGGCCTCCCAAAGTGCTGGGATTACATTTGTGAGCCACCGCACCCAGCTGAATTTTACTTTTAACATTTAGTACTAAATGCAAAATGAGAGTCTGAGGAAAAACCGTGCTCACATAAAGTTTAGAAATAATAAAATATGTATCTGCTTTGTAAAAACTTATTCTCAGACTTTTGGGAATTTCACTTGATAGCCTCAGTCATAACAAGTTATAACTCTGAATGTTTTTCTTTCCCAAACTATGAAATTATAGATAAAAAAGAAGAATTTATGAACATTCTATAGAATATTACACCATAACATATAATAATTTTAAGTAATAAGGCTATAATTTTGCATTGGAAAACATTGCACTTGTAATTTACATCTTTGGGTTTTAGTTCTTGTTCTGTCACTTACTAGCTACGTGACCACAGAACAAGTCACTTGATTTTTCTGGAAATATAGATATCAAGCCATAAATATTTTACATTACCTTCCAGCTAAAAAATTCAGTGATTCTGTTGCCCTCCTTCTATCAAAATCTAGTTTCAGATGTACAGTGGTTCCCCTACTTAAGCTAAATTTACCAGTTAGACTTTGATATTTGTGTAATATAATAAAATAATTTGGGGACTGCAGAAAACCCTACATGCTTCCACTTTTAAAAGAACATTCTTTGGCTGGGCGTGGTGGCTCACACCTGTAATCGCAGCACTTTGGGAGACCGAGGTGGGCAGATCACTTCAGGTCAGGAGTTCGAGACCAGCCTGGCTAACATGGTGAAACCCCATCTCTACTAAAAATACAAAAAATTAGCCGGGCGTGGTGGCGAGCGCCTGTAATCCTAGCTACTGTGGAGGCTGAGGTGGGAGAATTGCTGGAACCCGGGAGGCGGAGGTTGCAGTGAGCTGAGATCGCACCACTGCGCTCTAGCCTGGGAAACAGAGTGAGATTCCGTCTCAAAAAAAAAAAAAAAAAGAACATTCTTTTATTTTTTTTAACATGCTATTTTTGTTTTATTTATAGCTTTTGGGATTTTAGTGCATATCATTATAGGAAGAGTGATAAGCAATACTATTTTATTTTAATGTGCAAAATTGGTTGCTTTCATATGCGTTATGTTATAAATATGTTTGAATCTAATTAATGCTAATTATACCTCAGCATTAGAAATAAAAATGCTTATTGTTAATGCTTTCAAAAATAAATACAACACTGTTCTTGATGGACCTTTGTCCTGTAGAATTCAACCTTATATTGAGTTATAGTAGATTCCAATGGACCTGTTGTTGTTAGTATCCCAATTTACAAATGAAAATGCAATGTCTCAGAAATTCAAACAACTCTCCCAATGACAGAAGCAATCTATGTATTGGTTAGCATTTACGTGAGTTGGGTGCACTTATTAGATTACAATAATTTTTGTGGAACTGTTTGTCCGTCAGAATATACTTTTCTGATAAAAGAAGCATTGGTACTTTGGTTGGGGGATGATCATCTTACGCCTCTGACTATGAATGCCATGGCTTCTGTTTCTCTCCTAGGTATCAGAGAAACTTGAAGAAAACATGGATAGGCTGAGAGTAAGCCTGTCCATTTGGGATGATGTACTGTCAACTAGAGATGAGATTGAGGGATGGTCAAACAACTGCGTTCCACAGATGGCAGAAAACATCAGCAACCTGGATAACCACCTCAGAGCTGAAGAACTGCTTAAAGAATTTGAGGTAAATTGACTGTGTTGACATATGGCAGCTGGTGGCATATTGTTGACCAGAATATGAAAAAAAAAAAAAGTCTTTCTTAAAAGTTTATTCTTCTTTTAACTTTTATTTTTTATTTTATTTTATTATTATATTATTATTATTTTAGGCAAAGTTTTGCTCTGTCACCCAGACTGGAGTACAGTGGTGCTCCAGATCTCGGCTCACTGCAACCTCCACCTCCTGGGTTCAAGCGATTCTCCTGCCTCAGCCTCCTGAGTAGCTGGGATTACAGGCATGCACCACCAGACCTGGCTAATTTTTGTATTTTTAGTAGAGATGGGATTTCACCATGTTGGTCAGGCTGGTCTTGAACTCTTGACCTCAGGTGATCTGCCCACCTCAGCCTCCTGAAGTGCTGTGATTACAGGTGTGAGCCACTGTTCCAGACCTTATTCTTCTTTTTAGAGACATAGAAGAGCATTAGAGAACTCTTAACTATCTTTTGCTATTTAATTTGAACAGGTTATGAATAAAAGGGTTTTTTTTTTTTTGCATTTTTATCTATGCTTATTTAGGGCTCTTTAAATCATTAGTAGAAAAGTAAAAGTTAATTGTTCCCATTCTTCGGGGGATATGGCATCCTTCTACTTCAAAACCAAATTGGAAGTGTTTGTAATTTAGTAATGTTTAGTATCTATTTTTCCTTATTCAAAAAAATCCCAAACTGCTCACTGAGTCCTTACCATGTGCTCTTATTATGCCAGGTAGTGGGGTTCTTCCACTTCCTTTTCAAAAATGGAAGAAAATTGGAGATTGGAGGGTCACAGGCTTCCACAAAGAGTCCCTGACCTTTTAAAGTTCTAGTCACCAATTCACTTTAAACCTTTTTATTCCTATTTCTTGCAATCATTTGTTAATCATTCTTCAAATTTTTAATGAGCACCTAAGATATGTCAGGCACTGTTTTAGACATTGAAAATATAATGGAAAAACAGAAAGTCCTACCCTCGTGGGATTTGCATTATTTATATTACAATATATATTATATATAAAATATCAAGTAGTAATTGGGCTATGATAAAAGTGGAGTAGGGTAAAGAGAAATAGAGTAAGGAGATAGTGACTTTGGTCCAGAAAAATATACATGAATGAATTGCATTACCTAACTTATTTGTCTCTGATCCAAAGAACATTCTAAATGTTTTATTATCTAATTCCAATCTCTGAGGGCAATCAGAAGGAGAAAAAATTATCCAGACTAAAAGTACAGGCAGGGGTGATGGATACCGCAGTGTCCTCAGCTGTTATCTCTGGTGCTAAACTAACATTACAGCTCCAAAGTGACCTGTGCTGGATCCAGCTTATACCAGCTTGCAAAAGTCAATTGTTAAATGTTCAGGAATTTTGGGAGCCACTGTTAAAAACAACCATTATTAAAACTTAAATTGTAACTAAATTTACAAAATAAGTTCCATTGAATTCAAAGGTAATGACAACTAAAAACATATCACTTTTCATTATTCTTCTACATATCACTACTGTTACGTAGGCCTTTGAGTTATTGACATCTATTGTATCATGGTTGAAATAATTTAGAACAATGTACTGCTGTGTATGTCTTCAACTCCATGTTCTGTGACGTCATGTTGTAGCTTACCATGGTGGTAAATGCTACAAATCAGGGCTCTTTGTAGGAGGTTGAGAGGGAGTTGTTAAAGTAATCAACTACTATTGACCTCAGAAATCCAATGATTCAATATGCTTCCGAGCCACATTAGATATGACCAGGTTCAGTTACTCACAGAGATGGGTTCTTTATGTTACCCACTGTCTGTGTGACACACTAGCTAATAAAATCAGTGAATCAGATTCAGCCCAGTGCCCACAGGGCCATTCCCGCTGCAGTATAGTGAGTGTAGGTAAGTAGCAAGATTCCTCAGTTGCTCGGCCAGCTTCTGGAGAAAGCCAGAGGCCCTGACAGCTCATCACGTCTTCCAGTAAGGAAATTCCTTTCTGAATTGAAGGCATCAGGAGGTTTGCTAGTGTCCACAAAGCACCAAAATACCATTTTTGAGAGGAATAGTTTATTAAATGCCCCTTTGTGGTTTCATATAACTAATGAAGTTTACAAGCATCTCATTTGTTTCATAATTCTTTGATCTTCTTTCCTCTTCTTTATGTTACTGTTGGTGCAAAAAAAGGCAAAATATTATGTATCAATATCGTAATGAATCTGTTTCTGCTTTAATATCCTTTAAATTTTTATTTGAAACGATTCATTCATATTACACATAGTCTATAATAACTAGGCACTCCTGATGTGTACTTGCTTTGAAATGCTTCTTCAAGAGTTTCATGCTGCCATAGTAACCAGTAATATTAAAGTTAATGAATAAATGACAGTTAGCCTATTGAAAATCCCCACTGACTCAAGACTTTGGGTCAGTGTTTAATTTTTTTCCAGGAGGTTTTTTTTTCCTAATACAAAGGAGTGGAGAAAAACAAAGTTCTGCACACTCCTTCACATTCCCAGTGAACATTAATTGTAACATTTTCCACGTTTGTACATCATAACAGCCCTCAGAAAAATGAAACAGATTTTTTTTTACACTGGCTTAAAGTTGGGGTATTTCGACAAAGTTAGCTCTTCTTGAAATTATTAAATGCCAAATATAGCATGTCAGTGTTTTTGATTAGTTATGTTTCTTCCCTTTTGGCAGTCTGAAGTTAAAAACAAAGCATTGAGATTGGAAGAACTGCATTCCAAAGTTAATGATCTGAAAGAATTAACTAAAAATCTAGAAACACCGCCAGACCTTCAGGTAAGCATTTTGTAATAACTACTAGACTTCCATCCATTTTGTAATTACTACCATATACTAGACTTTCTCTGTCTCTGTGTGTGTGTGTGTGTGTGTATATATATATATCTCATATATCTATATCTCGTATATATCTATATCTGATACATATATCTCATATACATCTATATATGTATCTCATATATATATATCATATATATGTATATCTCCTTTATATGTCCTCGATGTTATCATCATCACCATAATTCCAAGGAAACATGTGGATTGTATCAGACATGGGAGTCAAAATATTAATATATTTCCACATTCCTTCAGCCAGTATTAATAGCATATTTCCAACTCGAATATTATAATAAGGGTAGTTCTTTTTTTGCCTACTGAATTTCGGAAGCATTTCAGCCAAGTTGCCTCATGGACCATTTCATGTCTAGACAGGAACAGAACCCCCTCTTTTTTTGGTGTTTTTGATGTTGGTTGTTTGTTTGTTTATTGAGACAGGGTCTCACTCTGTCACCCAGGGTGGAGTGCAGTGGTGCAATCTCGGCTTACTGCAACCTCTGCCTCCCAAGCTCAAGCAATTCTCCCACCTCAGCCTCCCTGGTAGCTGAGACTACAGGCACGTGCCACCATGGCAGGCTAATTTTTTAAATTTTTTGTAGACAGGAGGTTTTGCCATGTTGCCAAGGCTGGTCTTGTACTCCTGAGCTCATGCAATCTGCCTGCCTCAGCCTCCCAAAGTGCTGGGATTACAGGTGTGAGCCACTGCGCCCAGCCTAGAAACCCTTCTTATGAATGTTGATGTTCTTATTGATATTTTCCTAATGCTGTTACTGAATAACTGGGTTTAGAGGGATCACCACTATAAACCTCCCTTCACGGCCCTTCAGATGGCACAAATCCACGGGAACCATGAAGCAGGCCAGGGTAGATCAGCACTGGTCAGAACACCTGGGCTACTTCAGTGCCCAAGCCCTGGAAGCATCCAGCATGGTGGGTCTCTTTTGGCTGGCAGCCCCACTGGCTCCAGGCTCAGGTTTCTGCTGCATCCCTTTAGCTTCCATATGTGTTGCTGCTTCTGTTGATTTTCTCTACATTTCCTTTCTTCTTCTTGTGCTTTCTCTTTGATTTGCTACTTTGGGCTAAGCAATCAATCTAGTTGATCAGTTATGCTTTTGCTCTGACCTGAGACTGCTTGTTCAGCAGTACCATTAGGGATGATATACATGCACAGGAATGCTAGAAGTTTCGTGTGAAGTAAGAAGACACAAAGGAGGTGCTATCCATATGCAAAAAAGATAAAGAGTCCTTATGCATGCCGCCTGTGTTGGGGATATCAATGGTTAACAGTTGGACTTTTACAGAGTTGAGCAGGATCTTCAGAGAGTTATTGGTGTACTCTAGTCTTCTCTTTCTTCCTTTCTCTCTCTCTCTCTCTCTGTTTCTCTCTCTCTCTGTCTTTCTCTCTCTCACACACACACACACGTGTGCACATACATGCACCCCTATGTATACTCAAGGAAGAGGTGAGGGGGTGGCTTACCTTACCTCAAGGCAGAAGGGTTCCGGCAGTGCCACCTGAAGAACAGGATATTTGTCCCCTGCATTTGGCAGGCATGGGAGTCTGATCTCTATCCCCCAAAGAATCCTAAAAGTGACAGACAGGCTGGCTAACTGCTGCTATATTTGCCAAAGGATAAATGATGGCTTGTGGGGTCCTGCACCTCAAAGTTAGTTGGAGGTAAATGCCAGAGGTCACTCTGGCCCAAATATGAACCAGGAGAGGAAAAGAAAGGAAGAGACCACCATATGAGGATATTATAGGTGGCCTAAGAAGGCTATCTGGAGGATAAACAGACCTTAGCAATGAGAAGTTAAAGAAAGGCCTCCAGGCTGAGGAATGAGAAAGTAAAGAGCCAAAGAACAGCGCACTGTCGTGTCTAGGGAACTTCACTGGGAAGTCCAAGCATGAAAAAAGTCAGAAAAACACAAGACCAAGGCCTATGGGAGGAGGAATGAATGCTAAACCTTGCCTGGCCTAGAGGGCACAGATGCCCATCCAGTGAGTCAGAATGCCTCACCCGCCTCCTGCCAGTCTGAGCCTATGGGAGAAAGAAGCCTTACACAGGGTGGCAGAATAGAAATAAAATGAAGGAAGAGAAAGAAAGATATTTACTCCCTTCCACACTGTTGGTCTCCTGCTCCCAGCAGATCTGAGGTGGGGGTAAGAATAGAAGCCTTCAATTTAAGTTAAGTTCAAAGTTTTCATTACCAAATAGGCCAGGATGTTTGAATTGTGGAATTGAGATTGTTTTTCAATGTATAGTGACTATATGTCCTTTGACTAACTAGGGGGCCATAGAAGTCGACCCTCCTCAGCTATATCATCCAGGGAAAAGAGAATAACTAGCCCCACTCAATATTTTAAAGCAACAGTGGGGACAAAAATAAAATTGTTTTATGATAAAATCCTACAGTGATGTTTGCCCCAGATAGTGTTACATCTGAGCAGACAATGGGTATTTCCAGGGAGAATCAAGAGCAGATTTTTGGTCACCACCTGGGAATTCTGGGTAGGTCTAGCTCTACTTTCAGAATGCCCTCTCACATCTTCCCTGGAACCTCAGTTAGAGCTTCCACTCTCCCACCCAGTGTTAACACAATCCTTCCTCTTTCTATTTGCCCATCACTTCATGTGTTTGGCAACTGTGTCCACTGATTTTCCTTCTTGGAAAGGCATATTAACATTGGAGCTGGCTTCCATGATGAGACTTGTGTGGCTTTGACAATTAAGCTGCACGTGAACAGAATTTCTACTGAATGAGTATTCTTCTGGTCTTCAGAGATATTGATGAAATCTTGCTTGATATTTAGTTTATAGAAGCAGACTTAATGCAGAAACTGGAGCATGCCAAAGAAATAACTGAAGTAGCAAAAGGAACCCTGAAGGATTTCACGGCTCAAAGTACACAAGTGGAGAAGTTTATTAATGACATAACAACATGGTTCACAAAAGTGGAAGAATCGTTGATGAACTGTGCCCAAAATGAGACTTGTGAAGCATTGAAAAAAGTCAAGGTAGGTAATAAACTATCATTAAGTGCTTCCATTCAAATGGTGATTGTAGTTCTGTTTTGTGGTGACTATAATAAAAAATATAACCTCTGCTCTCAGTTACCCATATGAACACCAGACCAACTTATTTATGACATTGAACACAGCAAAGTAAGCAACACGTGAAGAACTGGGTGCAGGTGTTCAGAAATCAAAAATGAATACCTTGAAAATAGAAAGCATGTGTTGCTGTAGTGCCTGCTCAGAGTCTATGCTTGTTCAAAGTTTTTTTTTCTTTTTTATAAAAGGGTGGAGCCTCTGGAAGAACTATGTGACTTCCACAAATTTTCAAACTTGAGTATCCAATAGTTTTTCATCACTTAATTATATTTATTGGTCACTGTGACTTCTTTCATCCAGATAATGTATATTTTTTGAAAAAGAAGAAGTTGAGAAAACATTCTATTTCCATGTTTTCTATTTTTTTATTTTTATTTTTTGAGATGGAATCTCACTCTGTCACCCAGGCTGGAGTGCAGTGGCACAATCTGGGCTCACTGCAACCTCCCCTCCCAGGTTGAAGTGATTCTTCTACCACAGTCTCCCCAATAGTTGGAACTACAGGCACCCACCACCATGCCCAGCTAAGTTTTGTATTTTTAGTAGAGATGGGTTTCATCATGTTGGCCAGGCTGGTCTCGAACTCCTGACCTCAAATGATCCACTGGCCTCAGCCTCCCAAAGTGTTGGGATTACAGGTGTGAGCCACCACACCTGGCCCATTTTCATGTTTCCTATCCATATTAATAGATAACATTCCTAATTAGCTATCTGTAAAGGACAAGCACTGAGTTGACTTTTCAACAAATGCAATTTGTTCTCTTTTAGCATATTTCCTTACTGTACTAGAAACTGAGGTCTTTTTTCCTTTTTTTTTTTTAAATTAACTACTGGTGCTTTTGGTGAGCACGTGACTCTGAAACAAAGTTCAAGTGTCTCATTGAAGAATGTGAACTGCGATGGTCTCTAATCAATTGACTAAACCCAAGATCATGGACTGGAATCTATAAGGACCTATTCAGTTTGCTTGAAATGCTAAATTATACCTCACCTCCTAACTACTTCCCAACAGCTGTTTGTTCCCAAGGAGAACTGGGCAAAATTCTGAAAGAATCAGTACAGATCTAGTACAAGTACTCAAAAACGCACCAAAATGTATACACCATGGAGTGGATTCAACAATGTCAATTTCAGATTGTAAAACAGTACCATAGTGAAGTAAATGGAGTATTTCTCTCAAGTTATGAATATCCTTCATAATATACTTTTATTCTGTAGGATATACAAAAAGAACTTCAAAGTCAACAAAGCAACATCAGCTCTACCCAAGAAAATCTCAATAGCTTGTGCCGCAAGTACCACTCAGCTGAGTTGGAGAGCCTGGGCCGTGCAATGACTGGTCTGATAAAGAAACATGAAGCCGTGAGCCAGTTGTGCTCCAAAACCCAGGCCAGCCTGCAGGAATCTCTGGAAAAACACTTCAGTGGTGAGTTCTGAGGGGCCTTAGCATGAGTAGTTTGTTTCCGAGAAAGAATCCAAACCAAATGCTGCCTAGAAACTGCCAGCAAAAGTTTGAGGAAACTTTCCAGGGTGTCATTTCAAATTTGTTTGTGCTTTGCGATTTGAGCAATAGAAGTGCTGTGCTGGAGGCTCTCACCCTATGCAGAATTTTTTCTTTCTTTTTCCTCTTTTTCCCAAGAAAGCAAGAGTTCACCATCTTGATGATTCTGAATTTCATCTGCATTTTCTATATATAGCTCATGTGTGTGGAAAATTACTTCCACTGCTCAAGTGGCCAGCAGCCACTGTCCAAACAACTGCTGAAATTTTTTATGCTATGATGAAGTGACACAATAAACTTAGATGTTGGTAGAAGCCATGAAACAGGGCAGCCATAGGGTCCAGGAAATTGCCCATCCTGTGGCCCTGCCTCTGCTTTCCACACAGCTGTGCCTGACATGGATCCACCATGACTCCCCAAAAGAGGAGGTGGTTCCTCCCTGTGCCATCAAAATGGCTTTAATGTCCCTGGAGCATTTCTCTCCTTGCACTTTTTACATATTCAGGCAATTAATTATTTTTCTTGACCCAAAGAGAAAACACAACAGGATATTAGACATTCCAGGAACATACATTTCTTTTTAGTCTTTCCTCTGAGATAACTTCTCAATTCTACCATGAACATTCATGGCTGTAGATCATACTGTATTACTTTATATATTATTATTTTCTTTGTGGAATATTTTGTAAGGCAAGAGGAGATGAGCTAAAGGCCAGAAATAATTCATGTGGTAATCCTGGGAGCCCATTCAATGTTTTGGATTTGCTTCTGATTTTTTATTTTTATTTATTTATTTTTTCTTTCAAAAGAGTCTATGCAGGAATTCCAAGAATGGTTTTTGGGAGCAAAGGCAGCAGCAAAAGAATCATCAGATCGCACCGGTGACAGCAAAGTTCTAGAAGCAAAGCTCCATGATCTTCAGGTATAGAAGCTGACATCCTTTTCCTTCTTCCCCAAAATGTACTCAGGTGCCTGCAGGCAGACCTAAGTTATCTCATTTCCCAAATCTTATCTGAGCCAATCTTTTCCTCGTCCCTAACAGAATTAGGCTGATTGAGTCAGAAGGAAATAGACAACATGATAAGTATGTTGAGAAACAAGTTGGGGCTACAGAATTTCCAGATCCCTTTCCTCTCTTTTTTTAGCCTATTGACAATTCTTTGAAATTCATTCTAAACTAAACCTAGTTTTAATTTTTATAACAATAAGAGTATAATAATTGTATCTGTATTATATGACTATTGTGGAGGAGTTTTAAAAAGAAGAAGACATGGTTTGTGTTTTTTAGTAATTTATGGTCTATAGTTAGAGATAGGAGATATTCAAACTAAAATAATAGATATTACAGGTTTTATAGGTTTTACTGACTGAAAATGTATGAGCTTAGGAAGGAGAAGGCCATGGTGAAGTAGAGTTAAGAAATGATTTACAGAAGAATAGGCTCAAGTTAGGTTTTGGCCAAGCTTGTCAAGCAGCTAATCCGAGTAAAGCACTATGTTAAGTATTCTAAAAAGTAACCTTTTTCTTTTTTTTTTTTTTTGAGATGGAGTCTTGCTCTGTCACCCAGGCTGGAGTGCAGTGGCATGATTTCAGCTTACTGCAACCTCCACCTCCTGGGTTCAAGTGATTCTCCTGCCTCAGCCTCCCAAGTAGCTGGGATTACAGGTGTGTGCCACCATGCCCAGCTAATTTTTGTATTTTTAGTAGAGACGAGGTTTCACCATGTAGGCCAGGCTGGTCTCAAACTCCTGACCTCAGGTGATCCACCCGCCTTGGCCTCTCAAAGTGCTAGTTACAAACATGAGCCACCATGCCCGGCCAAAATAAATCATTTTTAAAAGCTAATGAGAACCATGAGGATTTTGTGGCCTAATGGGGGATAAAAATGATGTTGAAAATTCATTAGATTAGAAGTTAACGATAGAAAGATCGTTATAGTAAAGGAAGCTGGTTTTGCAGGAGGTGTGGAGAATTCAGATGTAGAATTGTCTCCTTTTAAGCTTGAGGTGTAGCAAACGCCACAAGGAAATGCCTGAGTAACAGGTGACATACCACTCTAGAGCTCTGGGGAGAGGCAGGGCTAGGCCTGGACTCTGGAATTCTTTTGCTTTGTCAAAGCCCTGTCCAAGCATAGATTTTCCAAGAAAGAGATGCAGACCAGGAAAAGAAAGGGCCTGAGGATTTCGCATGCAGGGTGGATCAGGGGAGGGGCTGGAGGCAGCTAACCAGGTAGAGGATCTCACATGAACCCTGAGAGATGGTGGACCTGGACCATGTTGGGACAGTGAGAATGGGGAGAGACTGAGAACAAGACCTTGGTGAGAACGTCCTCGGTTCCAGCTCAGCCTTGTTTACACTTTGTCCTCAGTGGTTCCAGTGGCTGGCTGACACCATTCTCAATGAGGAGCCTTGGTTGTGCCCAATTGTATGCATCATTTTTACTCCAGCCTTGTTAAGCCATTTTCCTTTGGACTCTGTTTTTCTTCTCCTGCTTTACTACTTCAGCTCACAATTGTAATGCATAGTCCCATGGACCTATTACCTTTATTTCCTGAAACAGAACATTTTGGACTCAGTCAGTGATGGGCAGAGCAAACTTGATGCAGTGACTCAAGAAGGACAAACTTTGTATGCACATTTGTCTAAACAAATTGTCAGTAGCATTCAAGAACAAATCACAAAGGCCAATGAAGAGTTTCAAGCATTTCTGAAACAATGCCTTAAAGATAAGCAGGCTCTTCAAGACTGTGCTTCAGAACTTGGAAGGTAGGTTAGTTTAACAAACATAGATTTCATCATACACCAAGTGTGTTTTTAAAGGCTTAGAGAAAAGAGTCATGTGAATAAATAAATAACGTTTGACACTGTGAGTTTAAATTATAATAAGCTTTGATCATAAATACAGGTGATACTAGGGCAATAATCAATTTTTCGGACTCTGAAGTTATGACTTGGCTTTTTTTAATATAGAGAAAACAAACTATATTTACTAGTAACTGAAAATTATATAAATGCATATAATTTTTATTTGGTTCACCAATATATAAAGTTCTGACACCTCAATTTTTAGATTATACAAGGTTTTTCCTTGTATCCACTTCATTTGGGATAGAGTCATAGCAGAAAACAATGATTGAATTCTGTGGATCTAGATTCCAATAAGTAATATATGGTGAATATACGATTAGAAGGGGAGAAAGAGCCACCTATGACTAGGGTGAGAAAAGATGTCAGTAGAATCAAATTGTCTTTCTGATGGCAGAATAATTTGCCTGACTCTTGCCCAGCTTTCTTGGAGAGCTTACATTGTTTCCAAAACTTAGAGCTCTTGAGATATATTTGAAAATCCCTTAAGAAACAAAGACACAGAGGCCACTTTCCCTTCTCTTCCCAGGGACTCCACTGCCCTACTTATTCACTGGCCCCAACTCAAGGGTCTTTGTAGTAAGTCACAAAATTAAAGTGCACATTGACATGAGAATGTAATCTTGTTGGCAATTACCAGCTATGAAATCAATTCATATCCATTGGCCCCAATTCAGGGGTCTTCGTAGTAAGACACAAAATTAAGTGCTCATTGACGTGGGAATGTGATCTTGTTGGCAATTACCAGCTATGAAATCAGTTCAGCTAGGTGAGATGATTCTTTTCCTGCTTGGATCTCAAAAGAAATTGTCATGATTTTCACTTTGTTATTAAAATAAGTGATAATTTGGGTGGGTTAGTTGTTAAGTTTTGTTTTGTTTTTGTCACTTGAACATTCATGAGGTCTTAATTGCCATTTAAAAGACATTGTGACCTCAGCTATTAAAAGTAATTTATCATAACAAGCATGTAAGAATTTCTCTAAGGCATTTTCTTTCCCTTAGCTTTGAAGATCAGCACAGAAAACTGAACTTATGGATCCATGAAATGGAAGAAAGGTTCAATACGGAAAACTTGGGAGAGAGTAAACAGCACATTCCTGAGAAGAAAAATGAAGTTCATAAAGTTGAAATGTTTTTGGGAGAACTGCTGGCTGCAAGGTATGGTCCAGAAATGGAACAGGTCCTTTACCTCTTACCATGTTTTAGACTAGTTGGTTGGTTGGTTGGTTTGGTTTTGATTGGTTAGTTAGTTGGTTTGTGGGTAGTGGTTTGTGCTGTCCTTGAATGTCTGGAATACAGAGGACTATGCTGCACTCTTTGCAGCAGTGCAGTATTCTGGTGAGAGTGCAGGATGGAAGTAAGAAGCTCATCTGCATTCCAGATCCACCTCCTGTTTGTTCAAGAAATTGGGCAGGTCACTTATCTCCTGTTGCTCTTGATTTTAGCCTTTAAACATTGTGTTAATAATACTGTACTTTCCTCTCTGAGGTTATTTTGAGGATCAATTAACATAATGTGAAGCTGATATGAAGGAAAGAAAACCACAAATTCACAGTGACTGTAAAGATAAAAAAAAGAAAAAAAGAGTGCTTGCCAGGTGCGGTGGCTCACGCCTATAATCCCAGCACTTTGGGAGGCCGAGGCAGGCAGATCACCTGAGGTCAGAAGTTCGAGACCAGCCTGGCCAACATGGTGAAACCCTGTCTCTACTAAAAATACAAAAATTAGCTGGGCGTGGTGGAGGGCACCTGTAATTCCAGCTACCCGGGAGGCTGAGGCAGAATTGCTTGAATCCGGGAGGCAAAGGTTGCAGTGAGCCGAGATCATGCCACTGCACTCCAGCCTGGGTGACAGAGTGAGACTCCATCTCAAAAAAAAAAAAAAAGGAAAAAGAAAAAAAAAAGAGTACTGTATATGTCAATTTCCATATGTTATTCACACATTTCAGCTTCCAGTTCCATTTCCCACCCACCCATCCTTGTAATCTTAATAAAGTAAAAGGTATGGTCAAGTCTGACTTTCTTTGTGGTCCCTGTTCCCAACTACAGTATTTATTTCTTCATTGCTTCCCACTGAGAAAACGTTTCTGGCTCCTTTCCCAGGCAAAGTTCCCTGATCTGTGCTTTTGACCCTACATTGAGGGCTTTGCTCCCAAATTTGTGCTCCACCCCTGGCATTTTCATTTGCTTGCTCTCCTTTGGAAGATAGGATACTTTCCACAGGGAAGTGCAGCTTGGCTTTGGCTCCTTGGGCTCATTACCTGTCCTCTTAAAGAGCCAGTGCATCTACATAAGAAGCAGAAGAGGATAGCACCCACTCTACTTTATCAAATAAGTCAGAAACAATCATATTAGAAATCATTCTACTATAAAGACACATGCACATGTATGTTTACTGCAGCACTGTTCACAATAGCAAAGACTTGGAACCAACCCAAATGCCCATCAGTGATAGACTGGATAAAGAAAATGTGGCACAAATACACCATGGAATACTATGCAGCCATAAAAAGGATGAGTTTCATGTCCTTTGCAGGGACATAGATGAAGCTGGAAACCATCATTCTCAGCAAACTAATACAGGAACAGAAAACCAAACACCGCATGTTCTCACTCATAAGTGGGAGTTAAACAATGAGAACACATGGACACAGGGAGGGGAACATCACACAACGGGACCTGTCAGGGGATGGGGGCTTAGGGGAAGGATAGCATTAAGAGAAATACCTAATGTAGATGACAGGTTGATGGGTGCAGCAAACCACCATGGCACTTGTATACCTATGTAACAAACCTGCACATTCTGCACATGTATCCCAGAACTTAAAGTAAAATAAAAATAAAAAAAGAAATTCCAGAATTCAGATCATAGTCATTTTCTGTTTCCACTGAGTCCTCTTTTTAGTCAAACATGCCCAGTATTCCTTGTCTTGAAAAACAAACATACAAACAAATGCACAAAAGAACCCATGCTGATAACTACTTGTTGGTATGCTAGTTTGATGACTGCTATAAATTGTCCCTGAAATACATTGGAACATCTCTATGAGCCCTTACTATAGTGTAAGCTCTTCATTTACTCTATGAACCCCAATTTCCAGCTATGAGTTTCTCAAGATCAGTGACTTAAGATCTATATCATTTCTGTTCATTATCTAGTATAGTGCCAGAAAATAGAAAATGTTTGCTGAATTAACAGAATACTAGCATCATTGCAACCATATAACTTTCTGAAAACTACATTGCACTTAAATTTTGCTTTTTAAATGTTGACTCGTGTCTAGATACAATATAACACACCCAGACCTACTTCCCTTCTTCCAGATGTTTTAAATGGTTTTCCATAGTCTCAGCTTTTATTTCGTCTCTACAGGCTGCTCATTACCTTCCTCTGTATCTGCTTCTCCTGCCATCATTACACCAAAACTGCGTTAGAGAAAGTGGCCCAAATATACTTCAACACCAAATTCAAGGTCTTTTATGTTCCTCATTGTTTTTCTAATAATTGCGACTTTTTCGCATTGATAAGCATGCAATCCTTCTTGCAGTTTCAGTCTGATATTCCAGGACCAGATGCTAAGAGATCTTAGTGTGCTTGTTTCTGGGTGCTTTCTCTCCATCCTGGCCACTTCTGCAGACAATCCTAACACACTGTTCTGCTCATTCAGGTTCTCCACGGGGCCACCTGACTTCTCTCACTGGCTTGCTGCTTGCTCCTCCCAGTCTTCTAGATTTCTTTTCACCATAATATTTCACTACTTGAAATATTTTAAGGAAATGCCCTATATAAAAGTACCTCAGCTTAAGACTCATTGAATTTTTATCATGCATTAAGCAATTTATCTCATAGTAAGAAGGGAAATCTCTTTTCTTGAATTATTATTTAACTCAAATCATTGCTTAAGCCACCTTCTTGTCTCACCAAACAGATAACAAGTATAATAAATGTCTTTTAGAGTAGGTGTTTTTATTTTATTTTATTTTATAAGTTCCAGGGCACATGTGCAGGATGTGCAAGTTTGTTACAGAGTAGGTGTCTTGTTGTATAACTCTTAGCAGATCTCAGGGTGGCCCATAGGATATATTTGCATAACAGCCACTCCAAAAAAATTTGAAACATTCAGTTTCCACGAGAGATTTGCTTTGTGTTCTTTTTCTAGTAGTCACAATAGTTTATGTTAAGACATCCCATGCTACCCTCTGATATCCTGGGCTTTTTCCTGGTAAATGTGCAGATAAGAATTCAGAACTCTATAAAATGGGAATAAAACCAACCAAGCCACATAGTGCTTACGTTTTCCCCTTGATCTAATTAACATGGCTCCAAACTAAGATGAGCTCAATACACAAGATATAACAAGAAAGCTCATAAGTGCTCCTACAACAGCTTTTCGAAAGAACATTTTTTTTTTGCACTTAGTCTCTGCACAATATTGTGTTGGGTCTTGGGAACATAAGATGAATATAATGGCCCTAGCTTTTAGAAAGTGAAAGGCTTTTGGATTGAGATAGTCGGCATACATGGCGATAGAGCAAGACAAGGAGCAGAGGGCACAAAGAGGTCCCACAATCCCCACCCACCCTGAATTGGTGTGGATGCTCCTGGGGATGTGATGCCTGCGCCGAGCTTTGAACAGGCAACTAGGAATGCAACAGTGCTGAGCAGAAGGGTTTTCATAAAGGAGGAATCTCCATGTAGATACAAGACAGCAGGGGTTTTGAGAATTTCAGGGAGCTTTTCCTCATCTGACCATTAAATAGGAATGCAGAGATGCTACGGAGAAGCCTGAAGAGGCAGCTGGGACCATTTTCTGAATTAAATTTCTGGAAATACAGTAAGTAATACAGTAGGCTCCACCACTGCTATTTGGATGCAGGCACAGCACAGACTGAATGTTATCCCCTGATAGGTACTGACAACATTAGGAGAGATCATAAGAGAATGAAATAACCAGGTCAGTTCCCAGCATCTTTATTTAAAAGGCATGTCAGCTATGAGCCTGTGTCTGGTTACTGCTCCAATATCAACAATCATTTGTCACTCCCCTGCACTCCAGGATGTCAGAATTAATTTTTTTTCTTTTTTTTTTTTTTCCTTTTTTTCAGAGAGTCTCTTGATAAGCTTTCCCAGAGAGGGCAGCTTCTGAGTGAAGAAGGCCACGGTGCTGGGCAGGAGGGCCGCCTGTGTTCCCAGCTCCTCACAAGCCACCAGAACCTACTTAGAATGACCAAAGAGAAACTCCGGAGCTGCCAGGTGGCCCTTCAGGAGCACGAAGCCCTGGAGGAAGCACTGCAAAGCATGTGGTTCTGGGTGAAGGCCATTCAGGACAGACTGGCCTGTGCAGAGAGCACTCTTGGGAGCAAAGACACCCTGGAGAAACGGCTGTCACAAATACAGGTACATGCGACACCAGCCAGACACTGACAACTGCTGAATGCTAATTTGATTAGATTCACAAGTGCTTGTGTTGTGTCCTAATTGTTCTGTAAGCCTCTAAATGAGGATTGTGTGGGCAAAATGGAGAAATTGGGCAAAAAAGGATACAGAGGCATCATTTTTCCCCTTTGTAAGAGGAAAATGTTATTTTAATAGCTTTAAATAATTTTAAATTTGATTTAGTAAATATTCAGCAAGCGTTACTGAATATCTACTCTGCTCCAAGCACTCTGCAAGTTGCTGGGAATATAGAGATAAAAGTTAGGACCCATTTTCTAGGAGTTCACAGTCTAGGGAAGACACCAATCTGTAAATTGTTACTTTCAATACAGTCCGTGTGTAGGGGCCATGATTAAAGCCATCAAGGGTATATTGAAAGCTCAGAGGAGATCACCAACCCAGACTATAGCCAATGAAGCTGACCTTGAAAGAGAGAAATTAGCCAGCCAATTAATGTAGGGGACTGCTGGGTTTTAGACAGATGTGTCTTCATTTTCAAAAGAATGTATTTTCACTCTTTGAAACTGAAGTCAATAAAATTATACTTTCTAGGCTAGTGGTCCTAGTTTTCTAAGAATTTATATTGGAATTAATCTTTGACTCCTAGACTCCCAGATACCTAATTTTGAGTCAATATTATATTGCAATAGGGCCCAGAGTTTGTTGTTTTCATTTTAAGGTAAGTAAAGTATTCCTACTTCAATTCTTATGGAAAACTACCATTTTTTTAAAATAGAAGAAGGTTTTTACATGCCTACTGATGAGTATTCTTTCTTCCTTCCCAGGATATTCTCCTGATGAAAGGTGAAGGGGAAGTTAAGTTGAATATGGCCATTGGCAAGGGGGAACAGGCCTTGAGAAGTAGCAACAAAGAAGGTCAGAGGGTGATTCAGACTCAGTTAGAGACCCTTAAAGAAGTGTGGGCTGACATCATGAGCTCCTCCGTCCACGCTCAAAGGTACAGAACCTATTTTTAGAGTTTGTTTAAGTCCAATGCAGTGACTTAGTAAAATGATGGAGCAGTACTGAGGTCTCCTGGGGTGGAATTCCCAAGCATTTTACTGTAGCTTGTAGGCATGCCTGTCTTTGTCTAAGTTGTGTTTTCCATAGGGCGATGACTGGTTTTTGCTTGTTATTGCTTTGTTTCTGTGTTCTTACTTGCATTTTTTAAATATTTAAATCTACCTATTATCTCTTCTGGAATCTTATGTGACATGGGCTCAGCAAAACATCTCCTTTCAAGCCATCCAAGCAAGAATATATGGTTCTTTAATAACTTGAATACATTTTAGCTTAAGGAACATATGGAAAATTAAGCTATTGGCAGCTGTTGAGCTTAGTCGTAAATCTATTCCTCAACTAGAAGTCATACTACGCCCATTTGCATTATAGGAAATGTGTAGGATGGTTTTGATTGTCACAGTGACGAGGGAATATCCCTGGCATTTAGTGACTGAGGCACAGAGAGCTCATATCCTACAAAGTGTGGAACATTCTCCCACAACCAAGAGTCAGTCCATCCAGAATAGAGCCCAGCCGTAGAGCCTCTGTTGAAAATCATCTGTACCAGATGTTGATGAGGAAGCAGGGAAGTCCTTGATTGTTATACCAGGTAGTGTTTTTGTTGTAATTATAAGTGAGAGATTTCTCCCTACCTCCCTCTTCTCAGAGTATCCATAAATAATCTGGCTCATTTGTTGGACAAATGACCATCAGTCTGAATTACAGTAAAAAAGAGCCATATTCTGATGGTTATATATCCTGTTAGATCATTGACACACTGGGTGCCCAATGTGATCATAACAAAATAGATGAATAGAAGATTAAAGTTCATACAAAGAAGGGGATAACAGACACTGGTGCCTCCTTGAGGGTGGAAGGTGGGAGGAGGGAGAGGAGCAGCAAAAATAACTGTCATATGCTAGGCTTAGTACATGGGCAATGAAATAAATCTGGGCAGCAAACCCCCATGACACGAGTTTACCTATACAGCAACTCTGCACACGTACCTTTGAACCTACAATAAAATTTTAAAAATATTTAAAGAAAATTCAAGTTCATTACAAAGCAAAACAAAAATAACACTACAGTTATCCACGGCAATGTGAACAAAAATCCCTGGTTACAACTAACAATTTGGAGGGTTTTTTTGTTGTTGTTATTATTGTTGTTTTTTCATTTAATATGGAGCATAGGCAGTGACTCTCAAAGTCAGCAGGATTTTGCATCTTAGTAATAACTCACAATGGTCAGCAAAGAAAAAAAATCAGATGCTATCATTGTCTTACTCTATATCATAGACTGCTGGAGCGTGAACTAAGCTTCCAGAGGCTTGGCTTAGGCCAGTTTCCTAAAACTTCATAGGAATATGGGTAGATATTTTTCAGATGTTAGAATAAGATGTTACATGCAGGAAGCAGACTCTGGTCCTTGACTCCACTATTTCAGCAAGAAATTAAATTTGACAGTGACATATTGAGTGATAGCAATGTTCAAATTATTGCATTAAAATAATGAAATAAAACAGAAAGGTTTTTGCCCTCTAAAAGCTCAGACACCAGCACAGGATGTATTTTGGAATACTCTGACTCAGACTATGTTACTAACCATTTTCAAAACACATTGTGGAGTTGTAGAAGAATGCAGAGTCTTGGCTCATGCCTGTAATCCCAGCACTTTGGGAGGCCAAGTTAGGCAGATTGCTTAAGCCTAGGAGTTTGAAACTACTCTGGGCAACGGGGCAAAACTATGCCTCTACAAAATATGCAAAAATTATCTGAAGTCACAGTCAAAATTCAAAGAAAGAGAAACAAAATATAAAAATTAGCCAGGCGTGGTGGCACACACTTGCAGTCCCAGCTACTCGGGAGGCTGAGGTGGGAGGATCACCTGATCAGAGGACACAGAGATTGCAATGAGCTATATGATTGCACCACAGCACTACAGCCTTGGTGACAGAGTAAGACCCTGTCAAAAAAAAAAAAGGCGGGGGGTGCTTTTTAGAAAATTATTTGAGGAACAGGTAGGACTGTAAAGCCTGCATGATGAGGTTCCAATGGATCAATGGATGCAAAGATGCAAAAGCAACAGTTTGAGCAAATACTGGAAGTTCATTTACCACAGGATTTTAATTTCAGACTCATAGGCTTGTATGCAGGGGGAGCTGGGGAAATCACTGCAGATGAGTTTAGAATAGTTTGTAATGCTTAATAATGGAGGGATTTTTCTTAAATGCCAGTCTGGAGAGCGTTTGGTTTGACTATGGAGAAAGCTATTATATTTGTGACTATTTTTCTTATAAATACTTGAGCATTCATTCACACATTCGACACAAAAGCACTGTATATTGTGTGTGTGTGTGTGTCCCCAAATGAAAATCAACCTAATGATAGATCATTTACTCAGGAAGGATACCTTGAATTTTGAATTCCAGTCAACAAATAATCACCATCTGATTTTAATAAGATAAACTATTGATAATTCCAAGAAAATTAAGAACTGATCTATATGAAATAAAATTTCATTGATGTTCCCATGCTGATTTTAAACAACATAACATATAAATGTATATTGCTCATTTAGAATAGTTAGCATTTGGAAGACAAATTCCAGATGCATGTATGACCACAACTTCTTATTTCATGTTTTAATATAGATTGACTTTGTTCAAAGGACCTGTGGTAAGGATCTTATGGATCAGAGAAGTAGTGTTTCTCCCTGCACTCAAAAGCAACATTTTCATCACTTCCAGTAGCATTCAATAAAACAATTGGCATGGATGTCACGACTTTGTGATTGGTTTTCAGTAGAGATGTCAAAATAATTCATTTTTGTTAATATGTGACATTAATTCTAGCACTTTAGAGTCTGTGATTAGCCAATGGAATGACTATGTAGAGAGGAAAAACCAGTTGGAGCAGTGGATGGAATCAGTGGATCAAAAAATAGAACATCCCTTACAACCACAGCCAGGTCTGAAAGAGAAGTTCGTCCTGCTTGACCACCTCCAGTCCATCCTGTCTGAGGCAGAAGATCACACGAGAGCCCTTCACCGTCTAATTGCGAAGTCCAGGGAGCTCTACGAAAAGACAGAGGATGAGTCTTTCAAGGACACAGCTCAAGAGGAGCTGAAAACACAGTTTAATGATATAATGACTGTTGCCAAGGTTAGTGCTTTATATTGAAAGTAGATGCTTTATAATACATTAATACAATATATTGATTTATATTAATAATATAATGACTGTTGCCAAGGTCAGGTAAAGAAGAAACTGTGGATTAAATTGTTGGAGAATTGGCTGCTCTAAAACTATTTGTACATTCAGTAAATGGGTATGACATAAAGATCATTTCTTACTATGAATGCCTATTCATTTTTCTCTTTCTACAATCTTGGGATTATTCTTTATTGCTTATTTTTCTCTTTCTCCGCTTTTTTAGTTAATCTCTCTACTTTGCACATCAAATGTCGCCGTTAAAGTTGTTTTTCTTTTGCTACACTTATATTTGTTATATTAAATGCAAGTCTATTTACCGTCAAGATTCAGTCGTGTACGAAATATTGTGTTCATCTCTCATCTTAGTAAAAACGGTTTCTATTTTCCAAAGTATAAACTCCTTTATATAATATCAAAAATATCTTTCCAATTCTCTATATGAATCTTTCATTTCCTTCATGATTATTCTTTGGCATATTTGTAAATATTATAGAAATTAAGGGAGAGAGTTGTTGTTGTTTGCTGCTTTTTCTTTTCTTTGGTTTGCCTTCTTGGGAACTGACTCTTTTCTTCTTGACATTATGATTATTAATAGATGTGCTTGTTTATCTTCGTTTTCATCTTGTTAATGATTAAGAGCTATGACTCAAGTCAAAAAGACGTTAAGTTTGAATTCTGGCTTTGACACTTTTGAATGTGTGACTGGCCACAATTACCCATTACCTAACCTCTCTAAGCTTGAGTGTCTTTTCCTATAAGATAATAATAATAATAGTATCTTCCTCACAGGACTGTTATGAAGATTAAATGACCAAATGCATTTAAAGTGCTGAACAGACTGCTGTACACCAAGCTAACAAATAATTGCTTTAATTAGAATGGTTATGATAATAATTATTAAGAGGATTTTTAGTGAGGGATGTTAGCCAACATGAATTAAGCATGATTTCCATACTAAGGTAGAAAATAGTAAACTTACAGGAAAATAGTTGCTTTTCCAAAGCCTTGACATTTAGTTAAATTTGATAGTTTCTTCTTAAGATATTAAACTCAGAGAAAATTCAAGAACAAGAATGAAATTTTCTGAGATGTGTTAAGAGACCTCTATCAGGCCTGTTGTCTTACCTGAGTTCATGTTCTCAAAAGGACCACTGTTAAGGTAGTCTTTTCTTTGTTTACTAGGAAAAAATGAGGAAAGTGGAAGAGATTGTGAAAGATCATCTAATGTATTTAGATGCGGTCCACGAGTTCACAGATTGGCTCCATTCAGCAAAGGAAGAACTTCACCGGTGGTCAGATATGTCTGGAGATTCATCAGCCACCCAGAAAAAGTTATCAAAAATTAAGGTCAGGAAATGAACAGATGCTATATCTACATTGCTTCATTCCTTCTTGAGTACTTTTGATAAAGATTTTGTAGATAAGATTCTGTTATTTAAAATGTTTCCTTCCTGTTTTCTATTTGATGCCTCACTGATTCTACACATAAACAAGAGTCATGAGAAGAATTCAAAAGACTTTACACTTATGAGCACAATGTAACATTGTCTTTACATTTCTGTATGCAAATGTGCTTGTTGCCGTAATATGACAGGCTAGGAAATGGCTAATTTGGTGGGCTGACAAAACCAGATACTATTGTTTAGCACCATAGAAGAAAAGTTTATATAGTAACTTAGTTAAATGTATTCTAACAATAACCTGAAAATGTCATTCTGGATGTTTTGTTCTGCTTTTCTAGACGACATCCAACAACATAATAGAAGGGAGTACTTCAAAGGACCTTAAAATTATCATCTCGTTTACTCTGCATAAGGACAATTTCTAAAACAGAAATTTACCTTTCTGGGGGAGTTTCAGACTCTGGTATCTTTTAGTAAATTTCTAGTTGCTTAAATATTAAATTGTAATCATTTTCCCCCATGGAAAATGGATTTTAACATTAAAATGAAGGAGCAATGAAATCCTCAGTGGTTTAGTTTTAGAGGAGGAAATGTTAGGAATAAATAGTGTAATTGTGGCCAGGAATTTAAAACTCAGATTGTGTTTTGATTCCAAGATCAGAACATAAAAGTCATAAAAATTATAGCTGATGGTTACAATTGTAACCACATTTTGCAGATCTATTTTTTTTTTTTTTTGAAATGGAGTCTTGCTCTGTCACCCAGGCTGGAGTGCAGTGGCACGATCTTGGCTCACTGCAACCTCTGCCTCCTGGGTTCAAGTGATTCTCCCTGCCTCAGCCTCCCGAGTAGCTGCGATTACAGGTGCTGACCACCACGTCTGGCTAACTTTTGTATTTATTTTAGTAGAGACGGGGCTTCACCATGTTGGCCAGGCTGATCTCAAACTCCTGACCTCAGGTGATCAGCCTGCCTTGGCCTCCCAAAGTGCTGGAATTACAGGCATGAGCCATGGTGCCCGGTCCCTGAAGATCTGCTTCTAAGTGCTTTAAAAGTATTATCTTATTTAAATCTTATGACTATGTATGTTTTAACTGAGATAATCACATAAAACCACTTTTTAAGTCCTTTTTTTGTGTGTTATTCTTTAAAATTCTTCTTTGATACATTTCTTCGTAATATTCTGATTTATTCATCCATCCTTCCATCTATCCATCTACCCATCTATCCATTTATTCAGCCAGGACTGTGCATTCCCTAAGGAACTTGCAGTCTAGTGAGGAACAGCGATCCACAAACTGGTCTTTATAAAATAATACAAAAAATGTAATGAGAGCTTACTGTACTATTAGAGTTCAGGCTCTGGAATCAAAGAAACCCAATGCCACATCCTCCTTCTATTGGCTTTCTAGCCGTGTCTGTCAGCAAGTTACCTGATGTCCTCAAGCCTCCACCTCTCAATTGGTTAAAAAATACATACATGAAAATAGTACCTGTCTGATAAAGTTGTTTTGACAAGCAAATTAGATCATACACATAAAACCTGTAGCATCATGCCTGGCACATAGAACACACCCAATAAGAAAATCCAGTGGATTTGGTAAATGATTGATTAATGGGCTATAGCATGACAAGGTGGGAAGAGTCAAGGATGATGGTCAAGTCTTTGCCTAGAATCCACAGGACTATTACCACCTGAGGAAAATAATTGCATGCGGAGGAGCCTGGTGATAGAGGTGAAGACATGAGCTGTTCATTGATGATCAGATCCAGTTTGAACTGCCAGGTAGTAGTAATGTCTTGGGGGCAGTTGTAAATTCAAGACTGAATTTCAGGTTAAGAAGACGGATAGAAGACATGGAGTTGAAAGTGATTAGTGTCTAATTTGTTGTTAAAGCCACTAAAACAGATAAAACCAAGACCTATGTATAGAGCAAATAGAACAATGGGCACAGGACCAAAAGCTGGGTACTACCAATATTTAATGAGCCATAGGAGAAAATGATTTGAAAGGTAGAGAGAAAAAGGAGGGGAAAAACAAGAAGGGGAAGAGTAGGAGGGTGTGATGCCACTGAGGCTCTAAGTAGAGAAGGTGGTCGCCATCACAGGTACAGCAGGAGGCTGCCATTAGGAGGAATACTAAAGAATCCCAACTAGGTTTGACAATGAGGCTGTTGGGCAACCAGTCTGAGAAACATTTGCACAGCAAGGGAAGGTGAGAAACCAGGTTACATGGATTTAGGAGTAAATGGCAAGTGAGGAAGAGGAGATAGCAGAAATGGACTAATGTTTCAAAAAGTTAATAAATAAGAGAAAGTAAGATAATTCTTTCACAAAGGCTGCTTCCTGGGTTGACAAATACTCTTTTTTATTGAGAAAGCCTTTATAAAGTGCTTCCATAAAGACAAGGAATATGGGAGAAGGAATTGGCAGAAAGAAATTGGGATGGAGAAAGTGAAGACTATCAGAAACTGCCTCTCAGAAGTTCAGGTCCAGCCTGAATGTAGGTTAGTGTGTGGGTGGTTTTAAAAACCTTGGAGGAAATACATAAAGCACCTCCTCTGTCCTTCAACACCATACCTATCACATCCACAGGAATAATCACTGAGAAAAGGCAACTCTAAAGCAAAATGTATATGGGTGTGAGGGCGGGAATGTACATATGTGTGTATGTGTATATCATATGTTTAAAAATGTAAATACAAGATAAGAAAATATATGCAAAAGCCATTTCAAAACTCTTGACAATGATGATGTCCTTATTCAAATTCTGAATGACTAGATTTCTGATTGCAAATATTGAAGTGTTCCATTTTCATGCTAAGGAAAATTGGGATAAAGCATAAGAGAGTATTTTGGGAAACTTCAAATTTGAAATTGCTCACAAAGGCAAAATAATTACAAGTATTAAGGTCTATTAGTTAGACATAGCACTGGTTAAAAAGTTAGATTTTTTTCTTCATCAAATAACTACTATACACACTAATAAACAGTGATGGTTTTTAGAATCCTGCTGCTGAGAAGGTTGAATATACATATCATGCTGTGTGTAAGGGTTTTCATGTCATTGTAATTTAGACTACTGCACAACTGAATACTAAATACTTTCAAATGATCTATATTAAAATATGGCTCTATTGTATATAATTATGAACAGATATATTTATTTCAAGTTAATTTAATGAGATGCAAACTATATTATATAGACTAGTTAAGACATACTTTATGCTTAACATAATTTATTAAGCATGCTTCATACTTAACATTCCAATGTTTCTTTACTTGCTAATTGGTCATTGATTTTCTTCTTGAACATTTTTGTGCCTGATTATCTTTTATTTCTATTTAATCCGGTAGTAAAGTCATAATTTTGTAATAATATTAACAAAATCCTGCCTTTAGCAATAGATATGTAAATATATAAACATCGGATGATTATTTCACCAAGAAAAATTTTAGTAAGAGAATCTATTCTCAGAAATGCTGCAATTATATCAATTTAACAATGTGATTTAATTTTATCTTGTTTTCCTTTACAGTATTTGTGTGCTTTAAGATCGAGCTAAATTGTTAACTTGGCTATAGCTAAACTGTTAAATTTCTAGTGACTTTTTTAAGGTAAAAAAATACTAATAAATGTACTCAGTCTAGAGGTTACTTTAAACTTTTGAGTAAGTCAGTCTATGAATGAATTATTCATTTTATATGCTACAAAAATGTTTACTTAGTATTGAGGTATTTGGAATCGAGTAGGGCTCATTCTTTTGCTGTGATGAGTCTGCTTGATTCCTAGTAGAATGGAAGTGTGATTTAAGCCACCACCCTGTTGAAGAAGATGAATTGAGTATAGAGACCGTGAGCAGAACACAGTTCTGCCACGATCTTTATTTACTTGAGCATCCACTTTGAGGGAAATATGGGTTTAATCATTCACAGGAGCAATCCACCACAGGCAAACACTTGAGTCACTAAACATTTTCACGTGTGCGAATAATGCCTGATTTCAGGGTCTCTGTTTAGTCTGTTTCAGGATATTGAGGATTCTCGGGATTTTTTTGCCATAAGCCTTAGGCACTCGTGATGACAACTCCCGCTATTATAATTTAAGAGTGGACAGATGAATTGATTCTGGGTCCTTGTGGCACACTTGTTAAAACTTCCTGGCAGGACAGGGTCCCCCTGTGTACACAGTTGAAAACTTGCAGTCCAAGTGACTCACAGGCTCTTCAGTTACCATGGTGATATTCCATTACAGGAGCTGATAGATTCCAGAGAGATTGGTGCAAGCCGTCTCAGCAGAGTGGAGTCGCTGGCTCCCGAAGTGAAACAGAACACAACTGCCAGTGGGTGTGAGCTCATGCACACGGAGATGCAGGCCCTGCGTGCCGACTGGAAGCAGTGGGAAGACAGTGTATTCCAAACGCAGAGCTGTTTGGAGAACCTGGTCAGCCAGATGGCCCTTTCGGAGCAGGAATTCTCAGGCCAAGTGGCTCAACTGGAGCAGGCCCTGGAACAGTTCAGTGCCCTTCTGAAAACCTGGGCTCAGCAGTTAACCCTCCTGGAAGGCAAGAACACGGATGAGGAGATAGTGGAATGCTGGCACAAAGGACAAGTAAGTTGGCTTCCTGTTTTCTATTGGTGGTTATGCTTTAAAAAATGTTTTGACTTTCATCATTCCTTAAAAAAAAAATCTTGCTAACTAAAAACACGCAACATGCACACTTGGAAGAAGTATTTATCTCATTAAATAAGCAAAGTCTGATTTGTTTCCTTTTCTTATATATCAAACTTTTGTAAAAATAAAGATTTGGGTTATTATTTGCGGTAGGAAACATTTGTTGTTAGTGGAGACATTTTACTTTCATTCCTATGGTGTAAGAGTCTGTAATACTGTATTCAGCCATTCAGTCTGAAAAATGGCCTGTGGGCAGGGGCATAAATAGACAGAGAGTCATAGCTGTTTTCTTGCCAGTTAACTATTTCATACAACTAAATGATTGAATTTATAGCCTTAAAAGACTCACTTGGTAATCTCCTACAGCACAGCAAATAGTTATCTCCCCGATTAGCTCTCCTCTGTGTGGTTTTGACAGCTGTTCTTGAATTAGCCTGTTAACAGAACTCTACGTCACCCTCCCTGGTCACCTTCCCGAGACTTTTTTTTTTTTTTTGAAGCTAATGGCAGCTTCTTTAGAATGTGAGAAAGGGAAGCCTACAAGGGAGACCGAAGAATGAGCAAGAGTGTAACCTCTTCTTCGTTTCTTTCACTGTTAAACAGTATCTTTGAAAGCCTTTTCAATATTTCCAGTTTTATAATGCCCTGATTCATGGATGTCCTTAAAAGGAAATTTAGTAAACTTCTCTGCTCCTATTTATATTACAATCATTTCAAAATAGCTCCTGCCAGTAAGAAAGTCATGTAGTATTTCCAGCAGTGTCTGGTTTTAAATCAAGTATTTGAAACAAATGCAGCATGCCATAAAATAAAGCTTTCTACCTCTTTATGCTACTCTATTTATAATGATTCTAGGTTTGGGGGTTTGTTTTTGTTATTCTGTTCCATTTCCTGTCCTTTAGATTTATGTACCAGAATAAAGCATAGAAATCAGTTCTGTCACAGAGGGACAAAGAAGTTGATAATTGCTCTACATGGTATAATATGAAAAAATCAGTTACACTTTCTTGGTTCCTTTTTCTTTCCCTTTCTTTCTATTCCAGTCACAGAGTGAAATTTTTAAAAAGGAAAGATTTGGCTGTGCCTAGATTACATTACTATTCTGTTCATTATTTTTACGTTGATATTATTAGTAAAAATAATGGTTGAGGCCTATAAAAATATACATGAGAATGCAGTAGTAAATATGGGTTTTCAGTTGTGTTAAATAGTTCAAATGTGACAGCCCTCTGTGTATGTCTGCTTCCAGATTTGACTCCAGGGTCAATGCTTTTGATGACAATGCTACATTGCTTCTCAATATTCATGTTTTCTTTTATTTCTAATAATGGCATTTTATCTAAAAGTGGAGATATTTCTATCACAATGAATATGTAAGAAAATGTTAACAAAATAGTAAATATGCTAGGGTTCTTAGGGCATTGTTTTGCTTTTAGGGAGGACTTGTCATTGTTGATGATCACAATAAGAATTAAAGTATTTATTTTATGCAATTAGATGACAATACTCAAGAAATTCTTTAAAACATAAAAACAGATGATCTATAAAGTATATAATATAATATTGTAAAAATAATTCTATTTACTATGTTTGCGAAACTCATTTATCTTAATATCCTTTGGGATATTAGCTTTGGAAATAATTTTCTTAAGCTGTATAAGGTGGAAAGATGCATTCTAGAACTTAACAGAATCAGAAATACATAAGCTGATATTTATATATTGACTCTACTGACATACTTTAGGATGAAGTTATAGAAATGTTTTAAATGTAACGTTTTGGTCAAAAACTTTTCACTTTTAATGTCATCCCATTCATAAGTAACTGACTTGAATCTCCAGTATTTTTATGTTTTTGTTGAATGCTAAGTTTCTTTAGTTCTTACAATGTTCTGTCTTAAGTAAAAGGTTCCATATGGTGTAAAATAGTTGGTCCTAGTTTAGTGTTTGGAATTTCAGAGAGAAATTGTTTAGTTGTTGATGAATTTTTGTAAATAAAAATGTCTTAGACTCCTCCAGCCCAGACACCGAGTTAAATAAAGAATTGACAAACCAAGAGAATGTCATTCCTGCTCTCATAATCACAGCCTAGGTGGGGAGATACGCAAGCATAAAGCCAATGTGGATACTCCTTGTGATGAATGTCTGCAAGGTCCTGTGTATCCTCAGATGAGAAACCCGAAGAGGTGGGAAGGAGGGCAGGGGGTACTTAAAGGAGTTGTTATTTGAGTTGAGTCTTGAGGTATAATTAAAATGTGACCTGACAGGTGAGGTAGAGGAACAGCATCAAGATGCAGGATCATTGAGGAATCAGAAAACACAAGAGAGGAACCTAGAGAGGAGGAATCAGATTAGGAGGATGTAGTGCCACCCCCAAAAGAAATAATGAATATGTAAGTGGGTCTGTGAAAGTCAACGTGCAGAGGCAAAGAGGGGAATGATGAAAGGAGCTAAGACACAGAATAAGCTAGCCTGGATATCTCTTGCATAGAGTGAGAAAGGAAACAAAGGGAGAGGCCCGGATGATGCTTAATCTTCTGATTGACATCAGCGGGGGACAGTGGTGCCATTTACCAGGACGAGGAATGAAGCACAGGGCTGGTTTGTTGAGGGATGTGGTTTCTTTACAAATCTGGGCCATCTCTTGACAAATATCAGACAATAATGGTCACAGCAAAGCTATTTGAGTAGTTACTCATCTTTTTGCCCCTCCTCCTTAATTTATTTTGTTTTTTTGCTTCAGTGCTACTGTTATCCACAGTGTTTACATATTTGGGAGTCATTCTCCTTCTGATTTTATGAATTAGACACTTAGTGTGCTAGGAACTGTGCTAAGTATTTGACATTCATGATTTCATTTGTTCCTTGTGACAATCCTATGAGAGGAACACTCTGAGTGCAAAGCACCTTGTGTAACTCAGATGACCATGGCCTCGATTTCAGAGGTGTACTTTTCAAGTCCTAAGGCTTTATTTTGGATTGGGTGTACACAGTAATGTAGCTATTCATGTGTCTCCCTCATCTATTAAATTGTGAGCTCTTCAAGAACAAGAATCTTACCTTTATTCGTGGGGGGACTTGGGTCCCAGAATCCAGCAAAATGCTTGGCACACGGTAAACATTTAGCAAATATTTGATGACTTTATGAATGAAACTATGAAATAAATGAATTACTATTTAAACCAGACTCATGGATTATAAGAAATTTTTAATGTAAAAGTTAACTGTATATACAACATAAAATCAATTGAAACAGGATTCAATTTTGGAGATATATATATATATATATATATATATATATATTTTTTTTTTTTTTTTTTTTTTTTTTTTTTTTTAAGACGGAGTTTCGTTCTGTCCCCCAGGCTGGAGTGCAATGGCACGATCTCGGCTCACTGCAACCTCCACCTCCCAGGTTCTAGGGATTCTCCTGCCTCAGCCTCCCAAGTAGCTGGGATTACAGGCGCCCACCACCACAACTGGCTAATTTTTGTATTTTCAGTAGAGATGGGGTTCACCATGTTGGTCAGGCTGGTCTCGAACTCCTGACCTCAGGTGATCCACCCTCCTCGGCCTCCCAAAGTGCTGGAATTACAGGCGTGAGCCACCACACCCGGCCCTTAATATATATATTTAATCCAAAATAAGTGTTGCTTTTCTTTAAAATAATTTGTTTTCACCTTTAAACAATATACATATCTCCTGATGGCCTAGTCCAACTATTTATAGACAATGTAGGCTATTTTTTCTTTTTCTTGTCTTATTTTTAAGTCATTTCACCACTTAATCACTTAACTACTTTGCAGTATTTGATGCTAGAGTGTCTATCCATGGCAAGAAAAAAGGGACAAATGAGCCAGGTGCTATTATTTGTCAGAGGAATCCTGAAAACAGGCTTCATTTCTTCATTGAATCTACCATGTTGGTTCTTCTCTCACTAATAATTTATAATATGATTGATGCATGTATAGTGTGAAGATATGGAGATCACCCAATGTAAGTGCTCGCTTCTTT
Organism: Homo sapiens; assembly: GCF_000001405.40. Classification (NCBI taxonomy): domain Eukaryota; kingdom Metazoa; phylum Chordata; class Mammalia; order Primates; family Hominidae; genus Homo; species Homo sapiens. Next base: position 152,376,932 of record NC_000006.12, on the reverse strand, counting down.
GTCTCATTATTTCTGAACAGGAGATACTGGATGCTTTGCAAAAAGCAGAGCCTAGAACAGAGGATCTCAAGTCTCAGCTGAATGAACTTTGTCGATTTTCCAGAGACCTGAGTACCTACAGTGGAAAAGTTTCTGGCTTGATTAAAGAGTATAATTGGTGAGCATGAACCTTATTGGTGTTCAAGATATTTTTATACAAATTAGAAGCTAGAAGTTTATTTTAAGGTGTAATTTCAAAATAATATTAGTTCAGCATTAAATATATTACTAAGTGAGGTAAGTGCACATTCTAAGAACTGGTGATTCTATCAAACATGATTTTCATCAACTTTATCGCTTTTTCCTGCCATTAAATTTTTGCGTCACCTTTTCAGTCTTTGTTTGCAAGCATCCAAGGGCTGCCAGAATAAAGAACAGATTTTACAGCAAAGATTTCGAAAGGCCTTCAGGGATTTCCAGCAGTGGTTGGTTAATGCAAAAATCACTACCGCCAAGTGTTTTGATATACCTCAAAATATAAGTGAAGTTTCAACTAGTCTTCAGAAAATACAGGTAAGGGTGTTATCAATTAATTCTAGTAGCAGTGCTGATGTGAACTAAAGTTAACCTCTAAATCAAGGGTCCCCATCTCCTGGGCCGCGGACTGGTACAGGTCCCTGGCCTGTTAGGAACCAGGCCGCACAGCAGGAGGTGAGCAGCAGGCCAATGAGCGTTACTGCCTGAGCTCCACCTCCTGTCAGATCAGCGGTAGCATCAGATTCTCATAGGAGCCTGAACCCCATTGTGAACTGTGCACACAGAGGAACTAGGCTGTGTGCTCCTTCTAAGAATCTAACTAATGCCTGATGATCTGAGGTAGAACAGTTTCATCCCGAAACCATCCCCCCTGCCCCACCCCATCTGTGGAAAAATTGTCTTCCCTGAAACCACTCCCTGGTGCCAAAAAGGTTGGGGACCGCTTCTCTAGATCTTTTCAGAAGGGCAGAACATATAAAAGTTTTGCGTAAGAAATTCAAATTTCAAATAAATCCCCACTTAAAACAATTGCTTCTGTATATGAAGAGGAACCAGTTCATTTATATAAATGCACACTATTTTTATATATTAATGGTGATCCAGGAAATAATAAAACGTTTTTTCTATGTGACAAGCATTGTTCCTGAGCACTTTAAGTGGATTTTCTCATTTAATTTTCACAACAACCATTTCAGGTATGTAAATTTGTTACTGTCAGTGTACAATAGGGTAAAAGCGTCAGTGAGGTCACAGAGCTGGTGTGTTAAGATAGCCAGAGCTGCGGTTATATTTTATGTTTGTTCATTTGGGTTTATTTTTCTAGTCTTTTTTTTTAACCTAACTGTAACTTCATGGTGCTAATTCACATACCACCTTCATTCAATAGCAGCACTTTTTAAGCACAGTTATTGAAATTGCTTTTCGTACCTGTATGTCCGCTCATTTCACATAGCAGCAGTTCTGAGTGATTGGTTATGAAATTTGAGTTTCTTTCAGAGGGCACAGGTATGTAGAACACTGTGTGTAAGCACTCGTGCTTGAAGTGTCTCTAGTAGGAGCAGACTCTGAAACAGTATTGTTCATATGTAGTTCACCTTTTTAAATTCTTGGTTAATAACTTAATATAACAGGACAACTCTGCCTGTGAAAATTTGCTCCATTTAAAATTCTTCCAAGCCAGGCGCGGCGGCTCACACCTATAATCCCAGCACTTTAGGAGGCCACAGTGGGTGGATCACTTAAGATCAGGAGTTTGAGACCAGCCTGGCCAACATGGAGAAACCCTGTCTCTACTAATAAAATACAAAAATTAGCCAAGCGTGGTGGCAGGCGCCCGTAATCCTATCTACTTGGGAGGCTGAGACAGGAGAATTGCCTGAACCCAGGAGGCAGAGATTGCAGTGAGCCAAGATTGCGCCACTGCACTCCAGCCTGGGCTATAGAGCAAGACTCTGTCTCAAAAATAATAAAATAAAATAAAATAAAATAAAATAATAAACTAAAAATAAAATGTAAAATTCTTCCCGTTTTGCTTCAGGCTGGTGGGTAGAACTGCAGAAACTCAATCACCTATTTTTCTATATTGGAGAAACACAGTGCTATTTTTCTTTTCTTTTTATTTATTTATTTATTTATTTATTTTTGAGAAAAGTGTTTACTCTGTCACCCAGGCTGGAGTCCAGTGGCCCTATCTTGGTTCACTGCAACCTCTGCCTCCCACGTTCAAGCAATCCTCCTGCCTCAGCCTCCTGAGTATCTGGGATTACAGACATGCGTCAACACGCCCAGCTAACTTTTGTATTTTTGGTAGAGAAGGGGTTTCACCATGTTGCTCAGGCTGGTCTCGAAGTCCTGGGCTCAACTGATGTGCCCGCCTCGGCCTCTCAAAGTGCTGGGATTACAGGCATGAGCCACCACACATGGCTAGTACTGTTTTAGAGGATAGCCTTTGGCCTTTTCTCTGACCCTCCCACCACAGCATGCCTCCATGGACAGGGATGGCCATCCATTAAGACAAATGTCCTGGCAAAGTTTCTTTAATCAAAATCTATGACAAAATATCTATGCTTCTGTTTCTTGTCAGAATAAATAACTTTGAGCTTGTGCTTTCAATTTCTTCTTTAGCACTTGAAAATATTGAGAATCGACTGTAGAATACAGAATCTACCCATTTTTCTAGAGGAAGACTATTCTTTGAGCTCTAGCCACATGAAAGGAAAAGTATATACTGTAGCTACACTTTATTAAACTACACTTTGGCACTAGGTCATTGACTTGTCCTCATAAGGACAACCCTATGAAACACTCTCTTGTTATTTTTTTATATAAGCTGCTACTAATAATGTAATCTGCTCCATTTAATAGCATTTATTTGAATAAGATTCCCCACGGAAATTCATCTGCTGTCTTTTCCTAGGGAGAATTGTGCTTCTGCTGAGCAGATTATGTGTTTTTATCCAGTAGGCTCTGCGAGTCTTGTCCCTGGTTGTGTTTACTCTTTCACTTCGGCAGCTAGGATCCTCAGAGCCAAAATCATAATCCAGCTCCACCAACTATATGGAACTACAAGGCATTTGTTTTGTAAACGAGTCTTAGCCAGAGTTTATTTTATTTTACAGCTCTTATCTTCCCTTGGTCTTCATTTCTTCTCCTGATTATTTTTATCAAATTTTTAATATTTTATGAGATTGCTCACCACCTTTTTGAGACAAGTCAGAATTTAGATTGGTAAATAAAGTAGTTTGCAACTTGACTATTAAAGGATAACCTGGGTCATTTAACGTATACAGTAAAAAGAGCTTACTTCCTTTTCTTTGACTTTATTAAGAAATAATAGAAGGTGGGTGTGGTGGCTCACGCCTGTAATCCCAGCACTTTGGGATGCCAAGGTGGGCAGATCACAAGGTCAGGAGATCAAGACCATCCTGGCCAACATGGTGAAACCCCGTCTTTACTAAAAATACAAAAAAATTATCTGGGTGTGGCAGCATGCACCTGTAGTCCCAGCTACTTGGGAGGCTGAGGCAGGAGAATTGCTTGAACGCAGAAGACGGAGGCTGCAGTGAGCCGAGATCGCACTACTGCACTCCAGCCTGAGTGACAGAGTGAGACTCCATCTCAAAAAAAAAAAAGAAAAGAAAAAATAGAAACAACACACAATATTTTCATTATGGCTAATTCTATATTTTCTTTTATAGGAGTTTTTGTCAGAAAGTGAAAATGGACAGCACAAGCTAAACATGATGCTGTCTAAAGGGGAACTTCTGAGTACCCTGCTGACCAAAGAGAAAGCGAAAGGGATCCAGGCCAAAGTTACAGCTGCAAAAGAAGATTGGAAAAATTTTCATTCAAATCTCCACCAAAAAGAATCTGCTCTAGAGGTATATATAGCCAACCACATGGAAGCATTCTGTGTTATTTGTTATTGTTGTTGTTGTTAGTGAAATCACAGTTTCTGTATATCAAAGCCCCCTTGTCAATGATTTTGGTTACCCCTCTCAGAACATAAGAAGACAATGGGCTAACAGTAAGGAATAGCCCAATGCTAGAAGTGGGAGCCTCCCTGAAGAATTAAGTAGCTTCCTGCATGTTAGGGTCTATTGTCACTGACTTGGCCTTGCACTCTCCCAGCAGGAACAGCCAGTTTTACATTTCAGCAGAACACTTAGCCTTTCATGTGAACTGTCTCATTTCTGGAAGGTGGTCTAGGAGAATGATCAGGAATATCTACATAAGCTGCAAAATGCTGCAGATGAGAGTGTATATTATAACTAATGCAAATACCAGGTAGTAGGTTTTTAGGCATTAAGTATGCAGAAACAATGTTTATATAATTTTATTTTCTCCACACACAATAGAAGATGAATCTATTATAACCATAAAATAATTACTGCCACAATATAATTATTTTTTTTCCGTCTGAGACTATCTATTTTATGTATCGACTCTTCTTTCAGAGGAAAATTTAGAGGCATAGAGGGTATCTTTTCCTTTTAAAACACTTTTTGGCAGAATAGATCCTTCATTTGTTTGTGACCATTATTAATGAAGGTTGGAAAAAGATAATGATAGAGAAATAATATTCAGTAAGAGAAAATGTGTATTTCCTCAATTATTTCCTGATCCAAGACCATTGATCTCTGTTTTGTAATGGTGACTGTTTTTTCGTGGCCAGCATCCTCCATTTAACAGAGTGATAACCATTGTGCCTAGAAATGTTTCTTTAATCCTTCAGGGATCGTTAATGCTATGTGGTCTGAGCTCTGAAGCATCAGCTGCTGAGTGTAGCATATTTAGCATTGATTACAAGGTTATCTAGTTCAAGAGATGCCCAAGAGTAGGTGAGTAGGTCATGAATTGCCTGTTTTCTTAATCTGCTGTTCCCCTCAGAATAGGTATCTATCTGTTTTACTTGATTCTTTCCTTTCCTTTTTCCCTTCCTTTCTCTTCTTTTCCTTTCCTTTCCTTTCCTTTCCTTTCCTGTCCTGTCCTGTCCTTTCCTTTCCTTTCCTTTCCTTTCCTTTCCTTTCCTTTCCTTTCCTTTCCTTTCCTTTCCTTTCCTTTCCTTTCCTGTCCTGTCCTGTCCTGTCCTTTCCTGTCCTTTCTTATCCTTTCCTTTCCCTTCCCTGCCTTCCCCTCCCCTCTCCTCCCTTCCCCCTTCCCTTCCCCTCCTCTCCCCTCCCTCTCTCCCTACCCGTCCCTTCCCCAACCCCTTCCCCTCTCCTCCCCCTCCCCCTTCCCCTCCCCTCTCTCTCTGCCTTCCTCTTCCCCTTGCCCTCCCCTCCTCTCCCCTCTCCTCCCCTCCCTTTCCCCTCTCCTCTCCTCCCCTCCCCTCTCATCTCCTTTCTTTTTAGAACCTAAATTCCTGATCATGGTCCCCCATTTGCCCTGTTTTGTGGTGTATTAGTTCATTCTCACGATGTTATAAGGACAGACCCAAGACTGGGTAATTTATAAAGGAGAGAGGTTGAATTGACTCACAATTCTGCAGGGCTGGGGAGGCCTCAGGAAATTTACAATCATGGCAGAAGGGGAAGCAAATACATCCTTCTTCATATGGTGGCAGGAAGGAGAAGTATGAGCCAAAGCGGGAAAAGTCCATTATAAAACTGTCAGATCTCATGAGAACTCACTATCATGAGAACAGCAACATGGGGGTAACCACCCCCATGATTCAATTACCTCCCATTGGGTCCCTCCCAAGACACATGGGGATTATGGGAACTACAATTCAAGATGAGATTTGGGGGGGGACACAGCCAAACCATATCAAGTGGCCCCATGAGGCTCTAGTAACAGGAAGATGGAAACACCTTGAATTTATGAATTTAATTATTCAACAAATATTTGTTGAGCATCTTCTATTTGTGAAGGACTAGTCTAGGCTCTGGGGCTATAGCAGAGAATAAAACAGAACCAAGTCCCTGCCTTCATGCAACCTAAATTTTGGTAGAATACTCCAGAAGTTATTTTGGTATTTTACATTTGTGAGATACTAACTTTTCAAATGATTCTTACAGCTAACCCATATCCCTCAGAGGTGAGTAAGGCAGATGTGATTTTCCCCATATTGTAGACGACCCAGACCAGATACAGGTGGAACCTTGAACTATTCTCTCATAAGTTTCATTAGCTCTTGCCACTTAGATTCTTCAGCTAACCTTTATGTACTCCCTCTTGGACAATACTACCTAAAGTACTGGTTGTTTTTACAGCCTTTAGTTGACTCACAGGGTAACATAAATAACAAATTCACATTCACGTCCACCTACCACTTTATAAGTAAGAGACAGTAGATGCAGACACCTTTGCTAAAGTTAGACAGTACCATATAAAACTTTATCAAACACATTTTACACCTAGGGTACTACATAGTAACTGTGAAAGTATTATGACATTCTTATGTGATAAGCACATAACATTATTTAGTATTTCTTATCACTTGATAAATCAGAATAAATTATTTATTAACAACATAATCACATAAACTACATGGATATGCTACTTCTTGTACCCTCATTAATGAAAATCAACCAAATGTTGACTAACATTTCTTTACATTCCTGTAAGGTACTATGGTGTGTCTCCGGAAGTGTCAGACCCAGGCCCTCCCCTCATGGAGCTTGCAGTCTAGTTCTGGAGACAAGGCACACCTGTGTCAGATGAAAATTCACAATCCAACCTAGTCTATGATGAAGTATATAGGCATGGTATAGACAACAAATGCTCTAGAAGTTGAGAAATGGGTGTGATCTCAGAAGTGGGCCAGAGAGTTAGGGGGGAAAAATTCTATTTTCAAAAGGAGAACCCTAAAAAGTTCTTAAAGGATATTCAAAAATTGTGTTTGTGCCAAGGTAAAAGATGGAGTGTTTCAGACTTTGGAGCGGGCTTGGTTTTTTTTTTGTGGAATTTTTTTTTTTTTTTTTTTTTTTTTTGAGACAGAGTCACCCTCTGTCACCCAGGCTGGAGTGCAGTGGCATGATCTCAGTTCACTGCAACCTCTGCCTCCTGGATTCAAGCAATTCTCCTACCTCAGACTCCTGAGTAGCTGAGATTACAGGCACATCCCACCATGGCTGGCTAATTTTTTGTATTTTAGTAGAGACGGGGTCTCATCATGTTGCCTAGGCTGGTCTTGAACTCCTGAGCTCAAGCTATCTGCTCACCTCGGCCACCCAAAGTGCTGGGATTACAGGCGTGAGCCACTGTGCCCAGCCTGGGTGGACTTTGAATGCCAAGTGAAGGACCTTGGACTTGCTATTAAAATATTTTCTTGTCCTGGACACTATCTAAAACCTTGCAGAATCTAAAGATCCAAATGAAGGACTTTGAAGTAAGTGCTGAGCCTATCCAGGACTGGCTGAGTAAAACTGAGAAGATGGTCCATGAAAGCAGCAATCGCCTCTATGATCTGCCAGCAAAGAGGAGGGAGCAGCAGAAGCTCCAGGTGATGAGCCCGCCTCCCCGTAGCCCCATCTGACCTAGTCTTTGTCCGTCCTCTGTCGACCTTACAGATGCATGCTCAGCACCCTTGAGTTAGACTGTGCTGCCGTGAGACATAGTGTGTTTTTCCCCATTTCTGGTGGATTTTATGTTTTCTGACTTTCCTTGGAAGTATGATTTGTTTCCTTCCATGATTTGTGCTCCACGGTGTGTAGATTGGAGATAATAAAGCCTCCAGGGTACACGGACTGCCTGCCAGTGTTGATTTCCATGTTCTCTGGGCCAAAGCTTCGTCCGCGATGTGCTTTTCCCCAGCCTCTGAATAGTAACTTGCTTGTGCTTTTCAGTCTGTCCTTGAGGAAATACACTGCTACGAGCCTCAGCTCAACAGGCTGAAAGAGAAAGCTCAGCAGCTGTGGGAAGGACAAGCTGCCAGCAAGAGCTTTAGGCACAGAGTGTCGCAGCTGTCTTCTCAGTATCTAGCGCTAAGCAATTTAACAAAGGTAACGCCTGGCACGTGCTGTGTGTGAGTGTGATACTGATGTCGCAAAATTGGAGTTGCAGCAGGTTCTGCAGGGTGTGCATTGCATCCTGACCCGCCCACAGTGTGGGTCTCCAGGTCAGCAGTAAGGGGCGTGTGTGCTGTTTCCTTAGCCTTGCAATCTGAGTTCATCATTGTTGTTGCATAAGCTTGATGTGGCTCTCTGAAAAGGCCGAAGGAGGTTTCAAAGATTGAGGAGACTTTCAGTCTTCATTATTGCACAAGATATTCCTTTTAATACTGAAATGATATGTTTCCCAGGGCTTTGATTTGGAAGACTCAAATCATAAACATGATTTTTTTTGTTCTAAATAATCCCAGAGTTTTTGTTCTAAATAATCCCAGATTAAATTACTTTAGAAAAAACATGGATTCTAAACAGTTTAAATTTTATTAGATTAAATATAATGATATTTTTAAAAAATTCATCTGAATCTTTGCATTCATTATATAGTAGTCAAGGATGTGTTGATTGAGAGTTTCAGTTCAGATTCTAGAGCAGAGCTCAAAATTGGCAATGGTTCAGACAACTGATTAAACCTCTTTTCAAATAGCTTAGAAGAAAATAAATGGAATCCTACTACAATCTCATTTAGAACATTCAGCCATTTTGACGTAGATGGTAACGTAGACCCATTTTGAACTGTGTGTTGCAGACCTATCTTGAGCTTTATGTGGCTTATAACCTTTGTTTCCTATGTTTTTAACTTTCAGGTGTTAGAATATAGGGACACTGGTATAATTTAGTCTTTAATTTGGCCTCATCTGTTCTGTAAGTGTGCATTTACAGAGGGTCTGCTCATTTGGGTCTTCAATACACATCACTGAAGCAGTCACACTAGCTTAGGTCTGGGAGTAAATAGTCTATGTTTACACCCATTTTTATTCTATGATTGTTATTTTGGATGTTTTTATAAAATCTGGCACATACCTAAGTTAAGATAAGGAATGAATCATCTTAGAATGAATGAAGAACATCTTTCCATTCCTTTGTATTTACTTAGATACCAAAAGTAATCGATATATGAATATTTTGAGAGCTGTAGATTATTCTTGCAAAGTCTTCACTGTGTTAGATATAACCTATAATTGATAAACAAAACCATGTGTATGGTCCCATGTTTTAAAATTTAGAGATATTACAAAAATCTCAGATTATTTTTTTTTTAGAACTCTGGCTACAATGTAGGTCATGTGGGTTGTTGTGTCAGGTGAGCCTAATGTGATATGTGAAAACTAGAAACTACTTTGACCAGTCTCCCAGACAAGGCATTAGGGAGAAATTTTACTGATTTAAAATAATCATGATAGTCATAAAGAATTGGAGAGGCATAAAATTGTAACTTTTTTTTTTGCTTTTGACCCAGTTATTCTAATAGTTTTATGATTTAGAAAGATCTTTAACATATCTCATAGATTTAGGCCAGACTTGCCTCGTATCTGTGCAGCGTATGAAGCCATGACTGATTGCCTTTGTTTCAAACAAACTGTTAGCTTTGCAGTTTGTCTCTGTGGGATGGACAGCTCGAAAACCATTTCTGTCATTTCCAGGAGAAAGTGTCAAGACTGGATAGAATCGTTGCAGAACACAATCAGTTCTCTCTTGGGATTAAAGAATTACAAGACTGGATGACGGATGCGATTCACATGCTGGATTCATACTGCCACCCGACATCCGACAAAAGTGTGCTGGACAGCAGGACGCTCAAGCTCGAGGTGTGCATCTTTACACAGAAATATCTCCAACCTACAGAATTTGTTTTTCTCAAAATTTCCCGTCTCCATCCACCTGGGGTGATGATGTCACATTCTCTCCATGATAAATCTCAGATGCTTTGTGAGTGCAACGCTGTCTGCCTTGGGTGCACATGCCAGAGAATTCCTGAATCATCTGACCCCGGATGTTTTCCAAAAAATAAAATAAAATAAAGCCCGAATGTGATTACTTGTGTGATCACTTGTTAAGAGGCTAGTTTTAAATGAGATCACAGACATATTCATTATGGGAAAATATTTTGAGGAAACATTTTATAGGGCAAAACATTTTCCATCTTTTTCCACTCACTTGTCTTCCTGTATTTAGCCAATTCTCCTCCCATCCCAAGTTATGAGTTCATTTTCGCATTTGTGAAGAAAATAATGAGTCTGCATTCATTTGTATACTGGGTGCCTTCTAGGAGACCGGCACTCTGTCTTGACACCAAGGAATCAAAGGTGAATAACATAGTCTTTTTCCTCAGGGGTTTTACTGTCTGAAGTTGGAGGTCGAAATATAGAAGACAACAACCACAGATGCAGATGTATTTATGGTGTTATAGACATACACAGGAGTGGAACCGTGCAGAAGGGATGGGGTTGAAAGTTGGGAGAGATTTCTTAGGAAGTGTGATAGGTAACCCGAGTTGTGTGGGGTTTAAATTTTTTTTTTTAATAAAATTAAGACAGAGTCTTGCCTTCTTGCTTAGGCTGGTCTTGAACTCCTGAACTCAAGCAATCTTCTTGCCTTGGCCTCCCAAAGTACTGGGATTACAGGTGTGAGCCACTGCGCCCTGCTATAAACCAAGTTTTTGTTCTGTTTTTGGTTTTTGTTTTGTTTTATTTTAGACGGAGTTTTGCTCTTGTTGCCCAGGCTGGAGTGCAATGGTGTGATCTCAGCTCACCGCAACCTCTGCCTCCTGGGTTCAAGCGATTCTCCTGCCTCAGCCTCCCAAGTAGCTGGGATTACAGGCATGCACCACCACGCCTGGCTAATTTTGTATTTTTAGTAGAGACGGGGTTTCTCCATGTTGGTCAGGCTGGTCTCGAACTCCCGACCTCAGGTGACCTGCCCACCTTGGCCTCCCAAAGTGCTGGGATTACAGGGTGAGCCACCGCGTCCGGGCAAAACCAAGTTTTTAAGAATGATAGGGAGAATTATTTTGGCAAAGATAACTGGGTGGAGACTTGGGAATGGTGGCAGAGAGGGGAAAAGTGTGAGGAACAGCCAGAGGAAAGAACAGCGTAGTGTGTGAGAAATTTCTACCAGTTGCTTATTGCCACAGCAGAAACTGGTGGCAATGGGTGGCTGAAGCTGAGGCTTTGGAAGTTGGCAAGAACCACATTATAAAAAGAGATGAAGCTTTGTCTTTTAGGCAACATTATCAGTTTTATAACTTGGAATTAAAACTTCCTTCTGGCCGGGCGCAGTGGCTTACACTTACAATCCCAGCACTTTGGGAGGCTGAAGTGGGAGGATTGCTTGAGCCTAGGAGTTCAACACCAGGCTGGGCATCGACCTCACCTTTACAAAAAAAAAAAAACATTTAAATTAGCTGGCCATGGCAGCATATGCCTGTAGTCCCAGCTACCAAGGAGGCTGAGCTAGAAGGATCGCTTGATCCCAGGGGTTTGAGGCTGCAGTGAACTATGATTACACCACTGCACTGAAGCCTGGGAGAGAAAGATAGACTCTGTCTCTAAAAAAAGCAAAAGAAGAAACTTCCTTCTCACATAGAAAAAGAATAGTACTTATGAAGAACATGAAATATATAATCTATTTCTATGGGTTTTTTTGGTTATAGAGACCATAACATTTATAAGCTCTTCATCCTATAACCTTTGAGAAATCATGAATTCTACTGTACTATATTTTTCCCTTGTTAAAACCAGTAAAGTAAAACTTCATTGGAAGGAAGGGATTATTCAGAGAAGACTGCAGACCTTCAACACCAAGGCCACTTAGTAAAAACCAGCGGGTAGCTGGTGACTGGCATTCACCAGCAAGCCACTTCCCCACCCTCTGTCTCAGCCGACTGGGAGCTCCAGGGCTGGGCACAATTGCATATTATTCTGTGATCTTTAGGAGCTCTGCAATATTTAAAGCCAGCAATGTTAAACATACAAATGACAAAGGACTTCTGTATGTGTTTTCACAGGCTCTATTATCAGTCAAACAGGAAAAAGAGATTCAGATGAAAATGATAGTGACCAGGGGAGAATCTGTCCTTCAGAATACTTCTCCAGAAGGCATTCCCACTATTCAGCAGCAGCTGCAGAGTGTGAAGGATATGTGGGCATCCCTTTTGTCTGCAGGGATTCGTTGTAAAAGGTGAGGGAAACTACAGCCAAGCACTGGGGAAGCTATTACTAAAAGATCAATATAATACTACTGAACAGACCATTCCTGTGGCCGGCTTCCCTTCCCTTCCCTTTCCTTTCCTTCCTCCCTTCCTTCCTTCCTTCCTTCCTTCCTTCCTTCCTTCCTTCCTCCTTCCTCCTTCCTCCTTCCCTCCCTCACTCCCTTTCCTTTCTTCCTTCCTTCCCCCTGTTTTCTCTTGATTCCTCTTTCTTTTTCTTTCTTTTTTCTTATTAGAACAAAAGAAACTGGCAGATGTAATCTCACATTTAGATTGACCTGAATACTGTGCCAATGTGGTAATATAACTAAAAATGCATGTTTCTTTTTGTTGTTGTTGCTAACATAAAAATACAAAAAAAAAAAGATTCATAATGTAAAAATATAAGGATTAAAACCAAGTAGTGGACTTGGGAGGTAAACCCAGGAAATACAAATAGAGGAGTGGGAAAGAAATGGCAGGCAGGGGGAGGGCAGTAAGTAAAGGGTGTTGTATTAGCCCGTTCTCACTCTGCTAGGAAGACATTCCTGAGATTGGGTAATTTATAAAGGAAAGAGGTTTAATTGACTCCCAATTCCTCATGGCTGGGGAGGCCTCAGGAAACTTACAATCGTGGCGGAAGGGGAAGCAAACACATCCTTCTTCGCATGGCAGCAAGAGAGACAAGTGCTGAGCAAAAGGGGAAAAGCCCCTTATAAAATCATCAGATCTCATGAACACTCACTGACTATCACGAGAACAGCATGGGGGAAACCACCCCCATGATTCAATTACCTCCCATTGGGTCCCTCCCATGACATGTGGGGATTATGGGAACTACAATTCAAGATGATATTTGGGTGGGGACACAGAGCTTAACCATATCAGGTATGTTATCAAGCGAGTTGCCCACCGTTGTGAGCAACTGCAACTTAATCCAGTCAGGCAATGCTGGGAGCTGGTATACAGTGTGAGCCCCAGTTATCCCATCCAAGGGCAGGGGATCTGGAGTATTTAGAGACAAACTCATATGAATTAGAAGAGCAGTTGAGGGCTGCCCCTCAGGGTGAGGCTCCCCTGTGCCTATATTGCCCTCAAACTGAGAGTACATCAGGGGCTAGAGAATGTCTTCAAGCTAAGAGATCTAGGAGCAATTAGAAGTCCAACTGGACTGTGCTGCAGTGGTGTGATCCGGGGGTGTGGATGGATGGAGCACTTACAGTGTCTGCTACAAAAGGACCCAAAACCTGGTAGTACAATTAGGCAGAAATGATTAATGGAATTTATTTATTTTTATATTTATTTATTTATTTATTTATTTATTTATTTATTTATTTATTTAGTTTGAGACGGAGTCTTGCTCTGTCGCCCAGGCTCCAGTGCAGTGGCACGATCTCGGCTCACTGCGAGCTCCGCCTCCCGGGTTCACGCCATTCTCCTGCCTCAGCCTCTCGAGTAGCTGGTACTACAGGCGCCCGCCACCATGCCCGGCTAATTTTTTGTATTTTTAGTAGAGACGGGGTTTCACTGTGTTAGCCAGGATGGCCTTGATCTCCTGACCTCGTGATCCACCCGCCTTGGCCTCCCAAAGTGCTGGGATTACAGGCGTGAGTCACCGCGCCCGGCCTGATTAATGAAATTTAAAATATAGCATGTGTAGGCCGGGTGTGGTGGCTCACGCCTGTATTCCCAGCACTTTGGGAGGCCGAGGCAGGCAGATCACAAGGTCAGGAGATCAAGACCATCCTGGCTAACACAGTGAAACCCTGTCTCTACCAAAAGTACAAAAAAATTAGCCGGGCATGGTGGCGGGGGCATGTAGTCCCAGCTACTCGGGCGGCTGAGGAAGGAGAATGGCGTGAACCCGGGAGGCAGAGCTTGCAGTGAGCCGAGATCGCGCCACTGCACTCCAGCCTGGGTGAGACGGCCAAGACTTTGTCTTAAAAAAAAAAAACTAGCATGTGTATTGAGACAAGGGAAGTGCTTAACTTATCGATAAAATAAATAATTAAGTTTTACTATTTAGACCAAGTCAGGAAATATTGTCCTTTTATTTCATTACGATTTTCTGATATTTAATCTCACGTAAGGTGGTTACTGTTCTTACTTTTCTCTCCTGCTCTCAATGTCCTGCTCGGTTTGATAGAGTTAAGTGTTGCTTCTCTCCCTGCCCAGAGCTTTGGCTCCAGAAAAGACCCACTCAGGGGATCTCTCTCAGTTTTGCCTTTGAGGCTCCCCCAGTGTCTCGTGTCCCCCCAGCCGCTGACTCTTGAGTTGATAGCTAGTTCCATGTTTCTGCATATTGGCCTGGGTTTAAATGTTCCTTGCTTCCTGAGGCTGCCCTTCAGACCTGGACTCAGTGTCCTTAAGCCCTGGGCAGCCTGCTCACTCCCAAGCAAGCTTCTTCCTGATCTCTTGACCCCTTGCTTACTGGAGTGGATGGAGCAGACACAATGACATTTTAGACTCCTAAGGATTCTCAATGTGGATTTATTGTCCTTTCAAATCCCTTTCAGCCAACTCGAAGGAGCTCTCTCCAAGTGGACAAGTTATCAGGATGGCGTTCGACAGTTCTCCGGTTGGATGGATAGTATGGAAGCCAACCTGAATGAATCAGAAAGGCAGCATGCGGAGCTGCGGGATAAAACAACGATGCTCGGAAAAGCCAAGGTGAGAGCTGGATTTCAGATTCCATGTGTTTTCTCACAGGCTTCTTTAGAATGCCACAGTCAGACAAAAATGGGATTACGTGTACCCTAGGGCAGTGCACATAAGCAAATTACGTTTGGGGCTTTTAGTATAATCTCTAAAGGCTTCTTAAACTGGACTTTCATTTGTGATTACTTTATTAGTGAGTGAAAATTTTTCCTTCCAGGAAAACCATGTAGATCCATGTTTTATGATACAAACCATTTAAAATGTAGCACCATGAAATATCTTTTAATGTCTTCAGCCTGCTCATCATTAGGAAGTCTTCCTTTTTTTTTTTTTTTTATCACATCCCTTTGTGTTATCTTTTGTGCATTCGTCATAATGCTTACATTAGTACAGTACTACATGGAAAGATTTTTTTAAATAAATAAATAATGGCATGTTCTTAAAACTTATTGGCAGTAGTATTCAAACATGAAGTTTTACAGTCCTTTGGTTTATAGCTGCAGCCTCACTCCAGGGCATGATCATCGGTCAGCCTGTTCCATCACCCCCTTACCATTATCCTAAACAGCACTTGTGATCTTCTACACAGAAATCCTTTAACCTCTCACATTCTCTATTCCTGCTCATTTGTATCACCTCACCCTGAATATATTACATTGGAAACCTCATTATTCTCAGTGCCTTCTTTCTCATTGCCACTTTGCATCTGGCACTAGGTCCTACTGATCCATCCTCTTCACCTGAACTGGAACAGACTCCTAATTTTTCACCTTGTTTCTTGCCTCCATCTATTGTTATCTCCTATAAAGATGAATGTCTCACTTCCTGCCTGAGGTCCTGTGTTGGCTTCCCATTGTCTACAGGATAAGCTCAATCTCCGTCACCTGGTTTGTAAGAATGGAAATAAACTCCTCTGCCATGCTCCTTTCCTTCATGCTCCCAGCCTCCTCCCTTGCGCTCTCCAGCCTTGCTGAATCTCACACTATCTCCTGAACATGCCACAATCTTCACAATTCTGTGTCTTTGCATAATCTCTTCTCTTTTTACAGAAGGTCCTTGCTCTGTCTCTGCCCCTGGCAACCTCCTACTTATCTTTCTGAATGAATTTTGAAGTCATTTTAGCTATGCTACACCACCACCGCTCAGGCTTGATTCATTGTTCTGTTCTCTCATAGCCCTTGGTTCAAAGCTCTTTATCAATTTCATATATATTTGCATGTCCCTCTCCTTCAGTGAATAGAGATGCTTAATTTTCTTTATATCCTCAACACTTGGCTCTCTGTCTGACACAGAACACACGCTGAATAAAAGTTATTTAAATGACTAAATGATCTTATGTGACCTATGCCAAGGTACTTAATGTTTCTGGGTCTCATTTATGCATCCATAAAATAATATAATTATAATTATCTGCTTCATAAATACCTGCATGTATTATCTGTTATAATAATTAATTGCTTAATTAATTGGATTGTTCATCTATTCAATCAACATTTATTGAGAAATTGCTACATGTAGGGACTGTGCCCGATTCTAGCAGTAAAAACAGTCAAGCGTATGTTAGTGGGGATGCATGCACTCAGTAATAAATGTACAAATAAATAATTTTAACTGCTGAATACTATGAAGAAAAAAAAAGTAGTGTGGTGTGAGAGAGAATCATTTTGAAAAGGCTCATACAGCTTGTTTGAGGCCAAGGGAGAGGGACAGGAAAGGCCTCTCTGAAACAGCAGACATATAGTCCATGCACTAAAGAATTTAAGCCAGAGAAATGAGCCTGGGGAGGAGTTGAGGAACCAGCATTCCGGATAGAATAAAAAGCAGGTCCTCGGGCCCTGTGGAGGGAAATATCCTGGTGCAGTGGGGAGCTGTGAGGAAACAGGCAGGTGTTGTTGCAGCAGAGAGTAGGCAGGGAGGGGCTGCAAGGGGAGTTTGATGGAGAGACAGAGCCTGATCCTCCATTGCCATGCCAGCTGCTCTGAGGATTTTCCACTTGATCCCGGCAGCATTGGGACGATAATCCAGGTTTTAAGCTGAGAAGCGACACGATTCAACTTTTAATTGCAAGACATTATATCACTTAGACTGCTGTGTGGAGCATGAAATAAGGGACAGGGAAAGAATTGGTGGCCAGGAATCTGCCTGGGATACCACTGCAAAGTCCAAGTGAAAGAGGAGGGCAGCCTGGGCTGGGGAGTTTGCAGGAGATGTGGGGACAGATGTCGCAGTATAATAGGAGGTAGAGCTAACAGGATTTCCTAATGGTTTAGAGGACGGAGAGCTAGAGAGGACGCTGGAACAATTCCCATGTTCTGGGTTGACCGTCTGGGTGGGAGGTCATGGCATTTGCTGTTTGAAAAGAGATGGAAAGAGAAGGGGGCTTCATGGGGGCTGGGGTAGAATAGGGATAGGGTGAACATCAGGGGTCCATTTCTGGACATAATCAGTTTGAAATGTTAAGAGTAGAAATATAAAGTAGTTAATTGGTAATTCATATGTTAGAGAAAGTTCTGGACCAGACATAAAATACACACACACACACACACACACACCCATGCATTCACACACATATCTGTGTCAAATAGATAAAATGATGGAGGAGTGGACGAATAAATAACCTGAGGTCACTTGTCAACTGTACAATTAAAATATCTTGATTTTAGCAGTGTCGTTGATGTGATGGTGCATGAATGGCCACTTTATTTTTCTTAAATGCTCTCTAGTTATTAAATGAAGAAGTGCTGAGTTACAGCAGCTTGCTGGAGACCATCGAAGTCAAAGGGGCTGGCATGACAGAACACTATGTCACCCAGCTAGAACTCCAGGATCTACAGGAACGATACAGAGCCATCCAAGAGAGGGCCAAGGTACGGCAAAGCACTTTCCTTGTAGACTCACCAAAAGGGGAGTGTTTGGAGCTGTGCTCCTTTAAAGACTCATTTATGTTCAAGAATGACAGGCTTGGGAAAACAGAACAAAAGCAAAATGAATTTTTAATATTTTAAAGGAATTACTGGCAAAATCAAAAACCTTCAAATATTGTTAGTATTATGAAAGCTATGAAAGTAAGATAATTTTCAACTAAAAATTCCTAGAAAGGTACCAACTTAAAAAAAATTCTGGACACCTTCAATTGAAGACTCATAAATGCCTTATTATGTCTGATGATGAGAGTTTTCTAAGGTGGGAAATAATCACTGATAGTATTAATC
This sequence comes from Homo sapiens, assembly GCF_000001405.40. Taxonomy (NCBI): domain Eukaryota; kingdom Metazoa; phylum Chordata; class Mammalia; order Primates; family Hominidae; genus Homo; species Homo sapiens. Next base: position 152,358,969 of record NC_000006.12, on the reverse strand, counting down.
ATTCTTCATTTAGTCCTCACAAAGAAAATAAATATGCTTTTTCAGAGCGCATTCTACTATGGAAAATTTAATCCACAGTACGTCCAAATCTTCATTTAAGGCACAATATAAGAATTTCAATTTTCTTCATTAGCAAAAGTGAATTTTTATGAAATTAGTAAAGTGAATTCATTTCTTAGCCTGTTACATTTTATAAGGTGTTCAGAGATCATGTAGTTAATTCAACAAAATAATTAATGACACTTTTATTCCTGAAATATTAGGTTTTTATATTTTTACATAAATATTGAAGATTCATGATTCTAGGAAATAACTCATATTCTAATGTCTCAATAATTATACTTTTCTAAAATTACAAAAGTGAATTACAGCACACTGATGCTTTATAAAGTAATGTGTTCCTAACTTCATTATTTTAAATGCTAATTATAGGAAGCCGTAACCAAGTCTGAAAAACTTGTCCGCCTGCACCAAGAGTATCAGAGAGACCTAAAGGCATTTGAAGTTTGGTTGGGGCAAGAACAAGAAAAGCTCGACCAGTATTCAGTTCTTGAAGGTGATGCCCACACTCATGAGACAACATTGCGTGATCTTCAGGTAAGGCCTCCTTTATCCTAAAACAAAGGAATCTTCATTCTGAATATGGAATTATTATTTTAGGCAATAGGAAGTTAATAGAAACCTTGAGTCCAGTGGCTAGTTGATACACATTAAGTGCAATCCCCATAAGGTTTGATCAAGAACATTCTGAGACCTCAGCAGTATGCGCTAGTTGACATCATTTTGTAGGCAATTTAGGTAGGACAGGACTAGCACTTGGGGGATTCATGGAGCTGCTAGGGTGGCCCTGACAAATGGCTGGAGATCTAATTGATGGGGTTTTCTGGCTTACCTGCCTGTTTCTCCCTAAGGGATCACATCAGATCTGGGGGACAGCGGCAGAAGTCATTAGAAGGTGACACAAAGTCAAACTAGTGGCAATATCTTGAACCATGTAGTTTTAAGCAAAACCTGCCACATTGCTGATGGTACCGGTTCGGGCTCAGAGTTCTAGAAGAAGGAATTACAGAAGTAAAAAAAAATAAGTGTTAGTGCCCAGGCCAGCGGGCCATAATTCACGGTGAGATGCCAGACATGGTGGAGAAAGTGGTCACAATCTATATACTTATTTACTCATTCAGTATTTACTGGATACTTAATACAGTACAGATACTTTGCTAGCTACTTCAGGCAAAGATGATTAAGATATGATTTCTGTCTTCAAGAAACTTGAAATCTGATGAGGAACACAAACCCATAGAAAGATGATTATAAATAATATGGCGAGGACATTAGTAGACTAATGTAAGGGGTCTTATGGTAGCATCAAAGAAGGGCCCATAAACTTACCTTAAGGAATAGGTAGGAATCAAGGAAGTTCACCAAGAAGGGGCCACCATGTACAAAACAAACAGCAGAAGATGGAGGAAGGCCAATGAGACCACTTTATGTCCCACCAGTGATGTGTTGGAACTTACAAATGTGCCATCAGTCCTGATCAGAGTTGGTTCAGGATTGGGTAAGTTTTACCTACAGCTTGAACAAGGTGGGAAAATCAGGGACCATCATGATTATCAGTCACATATAAAATTTCTGGCTTTTTCTACTAGTTCTTGGAAATTGTATAATGGCAAGAGAATGGGGTTGGGATTGGGAAGTTGGGACTCTAATCCTTGATGGGACCCAACACTAGGTGACTTCAGGCAAGAGACAACTTCTCTGACCCAATTTCATCCACAGAGTTGTAAGGATTAACCGAAATGGAAGAAAATCTTATTTAAATATACGGTCTACTCATGAAGTAAGTAAATACTAAAAGTTAGAAGGGTCACAATTTCCTTAGCTTACTTAAGGGTCTCATCCATCCTGCCTCCAAAGAGTAGGATCCACAGGTTTAGCTGTTGTAATTTATTTGACTAGAATTGACTATTTTCTTTACATAACCCTTCTTAGTTCTACACTACCAACATCACTGGTAAGCAAATGCTGAGCTCCCTGTGCTTTTGTGTAGAACTAAGTCAATAGTTACCCATCACCAGCAGATGTTGCTGTTGCTCTGGTCAAAAGAAAATATTTCACTTAAGCCGGTATTCGTGTGGTGCAAACCTAACCTCCCCCTGATTTCACCATGCATTAATTCTTACATTTTCTATTGTGAGCCACCACAAAGGTTAAAAAAGAAGGAAGATGCTAGTGGCAGGAAGCAGTGGTGGAGAATTGTGATGCTGCAACCACAAAGCAGAATTTCTTCAGGATCCTGATGTTCTGTAGCATGTACATGGTGTAGGGATTGGCCAGTAATGTGGAACATATTCAGAAATTATTTTGTATAACCTGAAGGCCTAGTTTGGGTCATAGAACATATATATAGTTTATATATTTTTAATATAATATCTTTAATATATTAATATATATTAATATATTATATACACACATTTATGTTACTTATAGATTTTATATATTTAACAATATTATATATATATTTATTTAAATATTGAACTATTTTTTCCTTCAGAATACAGACTTGAAATTTGGGATATATGAGAATTTATTTAATAGAATATTAACTTGGATAATAGATAAAGTGGTTACTTATGAACTATGGAAAAGATGTTGAGAAGATTAATAGATTAGTCAACTACTGTCCAGGGCCACAGTGTCTGTATTTTTAAATAAAATATTATTGGAATGCAGCCACACCCATTTATTTATGTATCGTCTGTGGTTTTTTTCATACTACAATGGCAGAGTTAAGTCATTGCAACAGAGACCTATGGCCCACAAGATCCAAATTATTTACTATCAGGCCTTTCATAGAAAAAGTTTGCCAACCTTGAATTAGGAAAATAATTATAAAAAATTATCTTGAAAAAAAGTCTAAGAATTTTAGAATAAAGTTTATGTATTTGTTGCCAATTTGATTAATATTTTACCATGTATATCTATAGTTCTTCTCCTTCCATGTGCATATGTCTTTACATTATACTGTGCTTGAAGTGACATCATATTTGAAGAAAAATTTTCTATTAGTTGAAACCATGTGAGAATGTTATTTTTGTAAGAAAAATATTTTAGCAATCTTAAGTGGTTTTTAAAATATAGTATTGAGAAATACTATGTTTTAACTACATATACTGATATTTTTAACATTGTTGATGGGATTTGACTTGATTTATTTTACTTTGGGTGATCAGATCAAGTGACAGTATAGATTTATGTTTATCACCAGAAATATAAGTGTGCCATGTTGTTTTACCAATATCTTTAAGGATATAAGATTCTTTTTGTCCTATAAAAAATAGCATATGCTCTTCAAAACTTGATTTATACTAAATTTGTAGGGTAAATCTTTGGGGTTTAGGCTTTGGTGGAGGAAATTTATTTGCACCTCAGAGCACCTGGTGGGCAGGTGTGATGAACCAATTTCCCAAGTTTGTGTGCCCTGCACTCTCCAGTTTCAAATTTTCTTGGCCACCACAATGCCTAGAGTACAGCTTTGGCAAAAGATTCCTCCTTAGGAAGCAGAAGGTTCATTGTTTCTTTCTCAGTCACAAATGTAGCACTGAGCTATTCAATGTCAAAGCAAGAAGCTTAAGTCACTTTAAGCAGATTATGAGCTATAATAAGCCTAGGTCATTCTTTTAAACAATAGCCCTTTATTCACAAGTGTTTTTGCCTGTTAGCTAAAAAGTCAAATTTGGGAAACTGTTGATTGAGAAAAATATTGGGGTGTGTGTGTGTGTATGTTGATTATTTTAATTGAAAAAGTTTTAGGAATCCTTCTGACTTCGGAGAAAATATGGTTAGGGACATATTTTTGTATAGGGCATAATAATAAAATCATTTTTTTCTAATGAGAAGTTCAAGTGGGCACAGTTGGCTTGGGCAAGACATGCTAACCCATGCAAGTGTGAAATATGATTGAGAGTGACAGCCATACCTTTTTCTCTGCAGGAGCTACAGGTACACTGTGCAGAGGGGCAGGCCCTGTTGAACTCAGTGCTGCACACCAGAGAGGATGTGATCCCATCAGGTATCCCACAGGCAGAGGACCGGGCTTTAGAGTCTCTCCGGCAAGACTGGCAGGCTTACCAGCACAGGCTGTCCGAGACTCGAACTCAGTTCAATAACGTGGTGAACAAATTGAGGCTAATGGAGCAAAAGTTTCAGCAAGTAGATGAATGGCTCAAAACAGCAGAGGAGAAAGTTAGTCCCAGGACCAGACGTCAGTCTAACAGGGCAACCAAGGAGATACAATTACATCAGATGAAGGTACAACTCATGTAGATTCCTGATCTTTGTCAAAGCTACAGTTACCTTGCATAGTTTGTTTCATTAAGATATTTAGTAACTTTTATCCAAAGCTTAGGCTTTGCAAAATCTTTTTGATTACCTAGAAAGTTAAAATAAATCACAATGGAGCATTCCTCTTACAGCAATTATTTCATAAATTAGTCTTTGATACAAGGTAGTTTAATGTAACCATTTTATATTTTCTTTCCATACCCTATTACCTTGTTTTGTGAAGATACATGAATGCTTGTATTACAATAATTTAAGTTTATGGTTCTGATATGAAATTGCTCCAATATAGTTCATTGAAATAGTACTTGAGAATTAGTTTTATTCTAAGTTTTATGCAATTTTAGTGCACACATCTAAAATAATGCTTGAGCCTTAGGAATTTATTTTCATTATCCACCCATTTTAAAATTGATCTAGGTACAATAGGAGGTCTAAAAAATTATGCCACTTTGTTTTCATGTTTATTTATTTTATTTAATTTTTTTGGAGACAGAGTCTTGCTCTGTCGCCCAAGCTGGAGTGCAGTGGTGCGGTCTCAGCTCACTGTAACCTCTGTAGCCTGGGTTCAAGCGATTCTCCTGCCTCAGCCTCCCAAGCAGCTGGGACTACAGGCGTGAGCCACCGCACCTGGCCTGTTTTCATTTTTAATTTTTGAATTGAAGTGTAATAGATACAGAAAACTATCCAACTCAAGTGTACAGTTTGTATCACATTGTTGTAATATAATATTTATGAAGATAACATATGGCATTTTCAAAATTAAATCTCAAAATAAACATCTTCTAAACCTACACTGAAACCATTTCCTATAAGAAGATATACATTTGGCTTATTCGAATGGCTAAGATTGAATCTTTCCCTTCGATACTTTGTCATTTCAGAAGTGGCACGAAGAAGTGACTGCATACAGAGATGAAGTTGAGGAAGTGGGAGCTAGAGCTCAGGAGATACTGGACGAGAGCCACGTGAACAGCAGAATGGGTTGCCAGGCCACCCAGCTGACTTCCAGATACCAGGCCCTGCTTCTCCAAGTGCTGGTGAGTGGGTCACCAGGTGCTCAGCATAGACCAGCAAACTTCGCCAGCCAAAATAGCCTTCCTTTCACTAACATCCAGTGAAGATACATATTCATCAACAAAGGCCCTGGCACAGGCCTTTACTTCACCATTCAATTTTCTCTTTTCTTTCATAGGAACAAATAAAATTCCTGGAGGAGGAGATTCAGAGTTTGGAGGAATCAGAATCATCCCTCAGTTCCTATTCTGATTGGTATGGCTCTACTCATAAAAACTTCAAGAATGTGGCTACCAAGATTGACAAAGTAGATACAGTAATGATGGGGAAGAAATTGAAGACGTTGGAGGTAGGCACGCATACTTCAGATTTGTATCCAACCTTTCCGTTCACCAAGCTGCCCCATTCTCCTGCATAGATACTGGAAACACAGGTGATCATCCCAACCATTATGATTGGTGATCCTGAGCTCATCATTTTACTTGAAATACTAAGTTGGCTCCTTAAGGCCAAAAGCTAGCTTTCACTTATTGATGATGTGTTGTTATCAGAATGACTTACACATGGACACCCATGAAAGTCTTCACTGAATTCCAGTGTGACACTTCAATATTAAGAGAAAACTTTCTCTCTCAAATTAATGGCCCAGTGCTTGTAAAGAGTTTAAACTCAGGTCTTTAGAAGGAGATTGCTAAGGATGAGAGAAACATCAAGTTCTTTTTCAAGTCTCTGATTTGGAAATGATATATTGATCAAGACTTTTAGAACCTATATTGAAATAAAGAAGCCAAGGTTCCTGATTCCTGGCACGTCAAATCTGGTTATGAATGTCAACAACTTATTTTAAAGGGAAATAGGTGGACTTAAAAACAGGCCTTGAGAAACCTTTCTTTAAAAGGAAAAGAAATGGCCAGGCACAGTGGCTCACACCTGTAATCCCAGCACTTTGGGAGGCTGAGGTGGGTGGATTGCTTGAGGTCAGAAGTTCAAGACCAGCCTGACCCACATGGTGAAACCCTGTCTCTACTAAAAAATACAAAAATTAGCTGGGCATGGTGGCACGCACCTGTAGTCCCAGCTACTTTGGAGGCTGAGGCAGGAGAATCGCTGGAACCCAGGAGGCGGAAGTTGCAGTGAGCCAAGATTGTGCCACTGCACTCTAGCCTGGGTGACAAAGTGAAACTCCATCTCAAAAAAAAAAAAGAAAGAAAAGAAAAGAAACAAGACTACCTTTGCTCCTACTCACTCTCTTTTTCAGGTTTTGCTCAAAGACATGGAGAAAGGTCACAGTTTGCTGAAATCAGCCCGGGAGAAAGGAGAGAGGGCTGTTAAATACTTGGAGGAAGGCGAGGCAGAGAGGTTAAGAAAGGAGATTCATGATCACATGGAGCAGTTGAAGGAACTGACCAGCACTGTCCGGAAAGAACACATGACGCTGGAAAAAGGTCTTCATTTAGCAAAGGAATTCTCAGATAAATGCAAAGCACTGACACAGTGGATAGCAGAATACCAGGAAATTCTACATGTTCCTGAAGAACCCAAAATGGAATTATATGAGAAAAAAGCTCAGTTATCTAAATACAAGGTAGTGTGTTTACTCATTGACAGATGCATGCAGAGGTCACACAGAGACCAAATGGGAGGGAGGTGATTCTTGCTGGGTGTCACCCGTAACAGCTGCTGGAATGCATCCCGCATGTGTCCGTTCTGCAGCTGACCAGTGATGCCATGACCTATGGAGATTTATTGGGTTAAATCCACTACCTCAGAGTTATTTTTGCATTCAGAGATCTGATACTCAAAGATTGTATCAATATATTTATTGATTGTACGTATCTGTCAATCAATGAAGACCTTTTCTGATGCGTGAGCCAGGTATTTGGATCCTCCAGGTAAAATCTTGCTGGCATCAGGATCCCATATCTTTCCCATATTGAGGCTTCCCTTCATCTTCTGGTACCTAAGGCTAGAAACTGACCTATGGTAAATTGAAAATGACATATCATATTTATAAGAAAATAAGTTCTAGTTAACAAACTCGAGCTAAGTTCCTTAGAAACTGATTTTTGAAAGAATAAATAGTGATGTGGCTATAGCTATACATGACATAGACACAGGTACTTCACCCACTCAAATTTTTGAAGCAATTATGCAAGCTTATATGTGGAATAATTTGTGTTATAAATTTGATCTGGATGATTGAGTGATACCTTTTAAGGATTACAGTGTGCTGGCTTACCCCAAAGCTTTCCCTGTTGGAAGCTTCTGTGACGGCCTCTTCCAGCCAATGTCTATTTCTATCCTTGGCTTCTCTGCCAAGCCCGACAACTTGTCTTTGAAGAGGCCATATAAGAATCACAACCTCTTCCTCCTGGCCACTGAGTTCTTGATAGATTTAAATAGTGCCTTTAGCCTATCTCAGCAAGGTCACAACTGGAATTGTTCTTTCTAACTCCATAAATAGCTCAAACTGGAACTAACTTCATGAACTCAAAATCAAAAGATAGTGGCCTTTTTATGTTGAGATTTTTTTTCTCTGATGAAAGGAATAAGGTAGAAGCCAGAAATATAAACTATATTTAATTTAGACAAATATAACTATTTCCCATCCTTTTATCTCCACATAGGAAGGGCCATTTGATGTGTGACTCTGCTGTTGTATTTAGAAACTGTATTCGTCTTAATAAATCACTCTCTCTTTAATGTCTTGCACCTATTGCTTCATAAATATGAACAATCTTTCTTTGAGGTAGATCATCTCTTGCATACCATGGGAATATGTATGTATTCATCTTGTCCACGGAGATGAGCAGGCTCATTTTTTTTTCTTTGTAATTCAAGTCACTTCAACAAACGGTGCTGTCCCATGAACCATCAGTAAAGTCAGTGAGAGAGAAGGGTGAAGCTCTTTTGGAACTGGTGCAGGACGTCACTTTAAAGGACAAAATAGATCAACTTCAAAGTGATTACCAGGACCTGTGCAGCATAGGAAAGGTAAGGAGAGATGAAAGACTCCGTAAAAGGGTTTATTTTCCAAAATGTGGGCCCTGACTCCTTTCTCTCTGTCATGTAATTTTAAGGCCTGGTACGGGTTAGTATTTTTTTTTATTCAGATGGATATTTAATTGGCATAATGACTATGTTGTTTTCCATTCCTGGTAGTTTTCTAAGTAGCTCTAACTACCCTGTGAGTTGCACTGGGTTTTTGTAATACAAAACAGTTTTGAGTAGGTTTTTCACTTGAAAGTCATCTCTGATGGACACCTGGTTTTGCAGGAGCATGTCTTCAGTCTGGAGGCGAAAGTCAAAGACCATGAAGACTACAACAGTGAGCTCCAAGAGGTCGAAAAGTGGCTGCTGCAGATGTCTGGCAGACTGGTGGCACCTGACCTCCTGGAGACAAGCAGCCTGGAGACAATCACCCAGCAATTGGCCCACCACAAGGTACCCCTGACCTTTAAAGGGCTGCCTTTGGGATGGCTTCACCAGTGTGTGTACGCATGTGTCTGTGCATGTGTGTGCATGTGTGGGGGTGCACACACAGGTGCATCTCTGGTTTATAATGATTGTACTGAGAGAATCAGGTCTGTATTAGTCCGTTTTCACATGGCTGAAAAAGACATACCTGAGACTGGGCAATTTACAAAAGAAAGAGGTTTGTTGGACTTACAGTTCCTTGTGGCTGGGGAGGCCTCAAAATCACAGTGAAAGGTTAAGGCACATCTCACATGGCAGCAGACAACAGAAGAGAGCATTTCCAGGGAAACTCCCCTTTTTAAAACCATCAGATCTCATGAGACTTATTTGCTATCATGAGAACAGCACAGGAAAGAGCTGTCCCCATGATTCAGTTATCTCCTACCAGGTCCCTTCTACAACACGTAGGAATTCAAGATGAGATTTGGGTGGGGAGACAGCCAAACCATATGAAGGTCTGAGTCTCAAGCACTTCTGACAATTGACAACAATTGAACTTGATATTCAAGTGAATCAAGAAGAGTTGAATCCTCGCGTTGAACTTCTGAACACATTGCTGCATTTCCCCCAGCTAATAATTTTTATCTCAGAATTTAGTCTTTATGGAATCTATTTTAGAAAATGCAGCCAAAGGCATCAGAAAGTCTGGATTCTAGGCTGGACTCTTCCCCTTCCTGGAGAGACAACTTAGCCTATCTGAGTCTGTCCTTTCTCCTTTAGGATGATAACAATACCAGCCCATCTCATAATTGTTGTGCTAATCACAGGAGATAATATTTGTGAAGACATTTTGTAAATCACAAAGTACAAAACTAATATGAGGAGTTCTTATCTTTGATATAGGTGATAGGCTAAAAGCACTATTTAAATCTATCAAGATAAGAACTTAATAATATGTATTTTTAGTAATCGTGTTTACCACGTGATAGACGTTATGGTCACAATTTCATGGAGCAACTGATTTGTGATCTTAATGGAAAACAAGTTTACTCATCATGTGGTCAGTGTCTGACAGTGCGTCTTAGGAAAGCCAGTTAGCCCCTCTGGGCTGCAACATTTCTGTCTATAAGAAAGGATTTTATTTAACAAATATGAATAAAAAAGTAGCTACACAATACCTTCTGGTAGGCACTGAGGAGATGACAATCCAGAAGGTAGTCTACCCCATGAATGGCCTCATGATGGAGTGGTTCTGTTCCAACTCAGAGACAGAGTGGTTCTTTTCAACTGAGCATATATGATAACTGCTAGCCCAGCGCTGTTTGTAGACCCTGGACTGCTGAAGGGCCACCCAGGTTTCCTATAGATATAATGATGGGTTACCCAGGCTACCCTATGTTGGATTGTGTCACTTGTCATTAGCATCATATAACAGGAAAAAAAAAAAACACTAGAACTTGATTTTATTTATTTATGTATTTATTTATTTTTATTTTATTTTATTTTTTTGAGACAGAGTTTTGCTCTTGTTGCCCAGGCTGGAGTGCAATGGTGCAACCTCAGCTCACTGTAACCTCTGCCTCCTGGGTTCAAGCGATTCTTCTGCCTCAGCCTCCCAAGTAGCTGAGATTATAGGTGCCCTCCACCATGCCCGACTAACTTTTGTATTTTTAGTAGAGACAGGGTTACACCATGTTGGCCAGGCTGGTCTCTAACTCCTGACCTCAGGTGATCCACCAGTCTCAGCCTCCCAAAATGCTGGGATTACAGGCGTGAGCCACCGCGTCTGGCCAGAACGTGATTTTTAAAAAATAAGTTATTCTTCCCTGAGTCATCTATAAGAATGCTCACTAAAGAATGCAAGTGGACATGGTGGTGTGAGGTGAAATCAGGCCGAGCTGTGTCTAAAGCCTGGGGGCTGTGCCATACCTTGACTGTGTTGTACAACCTCACTGTGATTCAGTTTCCTCATCTATAAAACAATGATAATACACATTCGTCAGGCTTATATATAATTCCTGGACTATAGCAGGTACTTAATAAATGATAAGTTTAAATGCTATTTTCATTATTATAAACAGTAGTAGATGTAAGTTAGATATTACAAGAATTAAAAATTAGATATTACATTATTACAGAAACTAGAATTAGATTATTATATTCGTGCAAAAGTAATTGCAGTTTTTGCCATTAAAAGTAATAACAGGCCGGGCGTGGTGGCTCACACTTGTAATCCAAGCACTTTGGGAGGCCGAGGCCAGCAGATCACTTGAGGTCAGGAGTTCAAGACCAGCTGGCCAACATGGTAAAACTCCATCTCTACTAAAAATACAAAAAAAAAAAAAAATTAGCCAGGTGTGGTGGTGGGCACCTGTGATCCCACCTACTCAGGAGGCTGAGGCAGGAGAATTGCTAGAACCTGGGAGGTGGAGGTTGCAGTAAGCTGAAATTGCGCCACTGCACTCCAGCCTGGGCAGCAGAGTGACACTCTGTCTTAAAAAAAAAAAAAAAAGAATGACAAAAAACACAACTACTTTTGCACCAACCTTATAGAAATAAGATATTATATAAAGTTGATGAAATAGTAATTAGATTGTTTTAGATAAAAATTATGCCAGAATTATAACTTATTAACCTGAAAAATATAGGGACATCTTTTTGTCTGGTAATAATACCATGGAGTATTATCTCTCTGAGACCAGCCATGAACACATTCTAGTGTTAAAGGTTACTTCATCATTCCTTATGTAACTAATCTCTTAAACTCATTGACTCTTCCTCTTGGAGTATCCCTGAAAACATACATGTGCTTTTGTTTTCATTTAATATATAACTAAGGTAAATTGCAAGATTCTTTCAAAAACAATATTAAACAGTGAAATAATCTATCTTAAACTTTGATGGATAAGTTACTTAAAAGTAGAATTCTGAAAACTCTGTATTGGTTTCACTTTTGCAGGCAATGATGGAAGAAATTGCTGGTTTTGAAGACCGTTTGAACAATCTTCAAATGAAAGGTGATACTTTGATTGGCCAATGTGCAGACCACCTGCAAGCGAAACTTAAACAAAACGTGCATGCTCATCTGCAGGGCACAAAGGACAGCTACTCAGCGATCTGCAGCACAGCTCAGAGGGTGAGTGCCCCCAGAACATTCCACAGTGACAAGGAATTATGGGGAGAGGCTGTGCAGTCTAGAGACTTTTTACAAATAGAATCGATGCTCAAATCTTTGGATTCGTTTTGGTGTGTTGCCAGACAGGAAATACGAGGATAAATTTCACAGTTGCTATGTGAACACAAAACTAACATATTTTGTATTTGATTGATGTGACTAAGCAGTGAATTTCAGATATTGGTTTTTTTGTTTTGTTTTGTTTTGTTTGAGACGGAGTCTCACTCTGTCGCACAGGCTGGAGTGCAGTGGCGCGATCTCGGCTCACTGCAAGCTCCGCCTCCCAGGTTCACGCCATTCTCCTACTTCAGCCTCCCGAGTAGCTGGGACTACAGGCGCCCGCCACCACGCCTGGCTAATTTTTTGTATTTTTAGTAGAGACGGGGTTTCACCGTGTTAGCCAGGATGGTTTCGATCTCCTGACCTCGTGATCCGCCCACCTCTGCCTCCCAACGTGCTGGGATTACAGGTGTGAGCGAATTTCAGATATTGTTTTATCCAATTTGTTTATTCCATGAGTTGATTGTGAAAAGGTTTGTTAAAAGTTGATTTGGGCCGGGCATGGTGGCTCAAGCCTATAATCCCAGCACTTTGGGAGGCCAAAGCAGGTGAATCACTTGAGGTCAGGAGCTTGAGACCAGCCTGGCCAACATGGTGAAACCCCGTCTTCACTAAAAATACAAAAATTACCTGGGCGTGGTGGCAAGCACCTGTAATCCCCGCTACTCCGGAGGCTGAGGCAGCAGAATCGCTTGAACGTGGGAGGCAGAGATTGCAGTGAGCCGAGATCGCGCCACTGCACTCCAGCCTGGGGGACAAAGTGAGACTCCGTCTAAATAAAAATAAATAAATAAAGTTAATTTGTTTGTTGGTAAAAGGAATTTGAGGAAATTTAAAAAAGAAAAAAATAGTTGATGTGTTTGAATAGAGGATGTGTTTTTCTTTGCACACGATCAATACTTTCTAATTTTCCATTTATTTTGTAGCACAAAAGTAAATTTATTTCATATTTTTCACAATAATTATTTTCTTTTTAACTGTATGCAGCCTGGGTTCTAATCTAAATCAATATTTGTTTGCATTCATATAGAATTTGAGAAACGAGTAACTGACAAATATGACTTACACTTAAGTGGGTGTACTTCCACTAAAACAGAATTCTTAATGTTTTAGAAATAAGTGTAAGAGGGGTAAGAATGGCTATTTTAACAAAAACTTACTAAAATAGGTAAATTGCTTTCTATTATTCTAGAATTTTTAAATGACACTAAAAAGAGTTTTTATAAGCCTTTAAACTTAGTATTCTGTGTATTTTTGTTTACTGGACTAGCCAGTAAGAACTGATGATATACCAGTGACGTGGTTAGAGTGGTCCATGTTCACCATAATAATAAAAAAAATTCTGAGTGACATTAGTAACTTCCTAGACTTAAAAAAAAAAATTCACCTTCAAAGGTTAACAAAAAGAACTGGTGATACATCAGTGATGTGGTTAGAATGGTCCGTGTTCACCATAATAATAAAAAAAATTCTGGGTGACATTAGTCAACTTCCTAGACTTAAAAAAAAATCACCTTCAAAGGTTAACAAAAGAGGACTACAAGAATCTAATAAATAATTGAAAATGATGACAAGGGGAGAAAAGGGGGAGTGAAGAGAGAAAATGAGGCTACACATAGAACTTTCTGGTGAGTTCATTCGTTCACTCATTCAACAGAGATTTCTTGCACACTGTCTTCCTTCACAGTGGACATTTTCTTTGTATTAGGGATACAGTTTAATTTGTTTTAATTGGTGGATGTTGGAAAAGCCAACATAATTTTTAAAATTTAAAAAGTGGATGAAATTCTAAGAACATAATCAGAACTTCATAATTAAAGTTTGCAAAAGTGATAAAGAGAACAAAACACCATTCTTTTAAAAATTCTGCTTGGAATAAGAATAAATAAGGGATAAACCCAATGTCAGACGAAAGTGATGAATTTAAAAGATGACAGAGAAAAGCAGAATTCAATGATTGCTTCTATTGTCTCAATAATGAAAGAAATGCCAGGTTAAACTAATTTCCTTCTTTTTTCCTTTTTCCTAAATGGAAACATCCCAGATATATTTTCTCTTGATCTCAAATAGACACATAATTTTTCTTAATATGTCTTATGGATAAAATGAAAATTGGTTGGCTTGTTAAGGATTAATTAATTAAATAGACATATCAGAAAATGTATGAATTATTCTGGATTATTTTTGCCCTGGAACATAACTTCTAAGATGAAGTGAGGACATCCACCTCTCCACTCCTCATGTTATAATTTAGTTCAAATTTTACCCTATCTCTATTGCAGAAGCATCTCAGTTAGAGAAACATTGGTTATCTTTTTTTGAGATCATTTTTTATTTTTACTTTTAGTTGCTAGCTTAAACAAAAAGTGCAATATTTATACCATAGGAAGAGAAGCTGCAAAAACCTCTGACTTATGTTTATGACAATTAACTTCAATGATTTTATGTATTCTAGCATGCCTCTACGGTTATATTTACCCTGCTCATGTTCTCTTCCCCTAATCCGGATATTACACTGTGATGTGTGGTCCGAGAAGTTATCAACTGGGGTATAGGCATTGCATTTTGCAACATCTGGGGAGACATACAACTGCCTTAGATATTAGATGAAATTGCAGAATCTTGGGGGGAAAATCCATTTAGATGTACTGGTCATGTTTCATTGAATTTGAATGATCTTTATAGAGGTAGAAAGCAGTTCTCATAATCTCAGCATGATTGTATTGTCTCAGATGTACCAGAGTTTGGAACACGAACTTCAGAAGCACGTCAGCCGACAAGACACCCTGCAGCAGTGCCAGGCCTGGCTTTCTGCAGTCCAGCCGGATTTAGAGCCAAGTCCTCAACCACCTCTTAGTAGGGCAGAAGCCATTAAGCAGGTAGTAAACTCCTGAAAGTTTGTGTTATTCTTGTGAATCATTCAGAGCGTCAGTGAAAATGTGTGAAGTACCTATGATGTGCCAAACTGTATTGACTCCTGGGAATCTAAAAGTAGGAAGAAGGTCTGAGGTTGGCTCTAGTGGAGTTCATGTGCCAGCCAGAAGATGGACATGATACTGAGGGGCCAACTTGGTAGACTAGAAAGAGAATGGGGCCAGGCGTAGTGGCTCATGCCTGCAATCCCAGCACTTTGGGAGGCCAAAACGGGCGAATCACTTGAGGCCAGGAGCTCGAGACCAGCCTGGCCAACATGGTGAAACCCCATCTCTACTAAAAATATAAACATTAGCTGGGCATGGTGACGTGCACCTGTAATCCCAGCTACCCTGGGATTGAGGTAGCAGGGTACCTACCCGCCTGAGGCTGAGGAGGCTGAGGCAGGAGAATCGCTTGAACCTGGGAGGCAGAGGTTGCAGTGAGCCGAGATCATGCCACTGCACTCCAGCTTTGGTGACAGAACAAGACTCTGTCTTGAAAAATTAAAAAATAAAAATAAAAAATAAAATAAAAGAATAATGAAAATAAACTATTAAAAAGAAAAAAAAAAAAGAAAGAGAATGGGGCCGGGCATAGTGGCTCATGCCTGTAATCCCAACACTTTGAGAGGCCAAGGCGGGCCGACCACACAGTTTCAAGAGTGCAAGACCATCCTGGCCAACATGGTGAAACCTCATCTCTACTAAAAATACACAAATTAGCTGGGCATGGTGGCAGGCGCCTGTAATCCTAGCTATTCAGGAAGCTGAAGCACGAAAATTGCTTGAACCTGGGAGGTGGAGGCGGAGGTTGCAGTGAGCCAAGATTGCGCCACTGCACTCCAGCCTGGGCACCAGAGTGAGACTCTGTCTCAAAAAAAAAAAAAAGAAAAGAAAACGAAAGAAAGAGAATGGGCACTGTAACCAAAGATTAATTCTAATATTTATTCTGTTGGGGGACCATGGGTAAGTCGCTTAATTTCTCCAAGCCTTCGAGATAGTTTCCTACTATCAAAAGTGACATTTATAAGTATACTTACTTCTAAAAGTTATAATGAAATGCAAATATCACACTACAGATAAACGTGATTTATAAACAGAAAAGTAATACTAGCTTCTTGCATAGTTTTGGGGCAAAAACAAGGTGCTTCATAGATAATTATTGAATGGATGATGAATGAAATGTTAGTTTTTATCATGTGAAGGGAATTCTATTCCATATTAATTTGACATCCACATGCTGAAAATGTTATTGCTGAGACTTAATCAGAATATGTGGGAAATATTTTTTTTAAACTTTTGTACTAAGCAGCTTTTGTATGCAGTGTTGACTCCGTGGGAAAATATTTTAGAGGAATTTAGTTATAAAGGTTATTGCTGCCAGATACGAATTAACAGTATTTAATAATTTAATTTTTTAGCACAAATTAGAATAGCATAATGTATTTGATCACTGAGTCCACATAAAGAATGTGTCTAGTTAATTTGTCCCCCGAAGTATACTTTCTAAAGGCTAAAATGATTTACATTGTCATTCAATGGTTCACAAAAGTGTTCATATTTTACTTTATAAGAATAGAATCAGGACAAATGAAACATAGTTCTCCTTGAATCAAGAAAAATGAATTAAAGACTGCCTATATTCTACTTTTTTATTAGACTGTGAGTTTCCTTGACCCACAAGCCACCTTGTCTTGTGGCTGTTTGTTTCCAATGCACTTTATTCAGAACAATTCAGACCAACACTTAATCTTTCTCCTCTGTTACCAAAAAAGAAATAAAAGAGATAAAGGGAGAAGAAAGTATTAATGGCAGTGATGTTTTGCTAGAGCAGGAAGAGATTTCCTACACATACCAGAGTAAGCCGTGGTCACAGGAGGATACTGATCCTTCTTCCAGATTACGTGACTGTATGGTTCCTTGTTTCTGCCTCTTTCACATGTCTCTCAAAATGGTCTTTGGAAGTAGCCAGAGAAGGGAGTTCGAGGTGGTGGAGACACTTGGACTACAGTCACTCTGAGGAGGAAAGGTTTTTTATTTTGTTCCCTTTTTTTATTTTTTATTTTTTGTTGTTATTTCTTTTGTTTTAGTTTTTCCCTTGGCAAGTGCAATAAGTCCTCACTTAATTCCATCGGTAGGTCTTAGAAACTGAAACTGTAAGCAAAACCATGTACAGCAGGTCCTCAAATAATGTCATGTCCTTCAATATGCAGCTTTGTTATAGCATTGATGAGAACAAAAGTTGTTTCATTATACAACTTCCTGCTTAAAGAAGTCACGGTTTCCAAGAATCTGCTGACGACATTAAATGAGGACTTACTGTGTTCATGTAAAATTGACCAGGCCCTTAGTGGCTGGTGAGCTTGGATATGTGACTGGAGAATCCGCTTACAATGGGCATGGTACCAAGATGCAGTGTGTATCCCCAACACCACCCGTCTAGTAAACCCAATAAACCCTCAATACATATGTGAAGATAATACACTCCCCGCTGCCACAAGAAAATGGCACATGGATTCGATTCCGTTCAGAGTGCTATATGTTTTTAGAAGGCATAAAATGTGAACTTTAGGGAATGGGAAAAAGTACTATAAGATTTTTCTGTAAAGTTGATTTTAGCAAACATCGTTTGCAGCTGTGTGGTCACTAACACTCTATATGCTGCTTCCAGTGCTTTCGGAATCAGATCAACTATATAAATCATACCATCATTCCTTTCAATTAAATATGTTCATAAAATACAAATTCTGACAACTTATTCTCTTCTCATATCCAAAAGTTGTTTGAGACAAATAACTTTCTCTGGGTCATAGGTGCATGATGTGGTACTTGTGCACAGTGGCTGATGACTCACAATACCATAGTTCGCTTGTACATTCAATTGAAAAGGTGCTACTCCTGACTTAATGGGAAATTGATCTGTGTTTATTATATCCACAGGAACACAGCATGTCTAGGTAATCCACACAGTGCAGAGGAAAAATACTCAGATTGGAGTCACAAAATCAGGCACCATGATTGACTCTATGATTTGGGAAAATCCTGGAAGTCAACTTTATCCCTGCAACTTGTAGTCAATACTGCCTTCCTTATTTATCCCTATTTATGTAGTAATCAAGAACCACTTCTTACTACCTCAGCCACCACCCCCTGTCAGGCCATCTTCATGGTTCATCTGATCCCTGCAGTAGCCTAACACCTGGACACCATAGCTGCCTGCCACCCCTGTGGCAAGCCGTTCTCCACGTGATGTTCGGAGGGAGTCTTTGAAAGCCTGTTTCAGATCATGATGCTCCCGATATTTTCCCATCACACTTAAATTCCAACTTTCTTACCACGGCTTATGAACAGGCTGATTATAGAATTTGTTTTCTCAAATGGAACCTTCTTGATAAGACAGAGTCTGCTTTACATAATCCAATGGGACTAGCGCAGTGGTTCACAACTGGGGTGGAGGAGATGGTGACTTTGCTCCTACAAGGGACATTTGGCACTGTCTGAACACGTTGTTGGTTGTTACAACTGGGAGTGGTGGGGACACTGCTGGCATTAAGTGGGTAGACGCGAAGGATGCTGCTGACGTTCTAGCAAGCTATAAGTCAGCCCCACAACAAAGAATTATTTGGAGTCAACTGTCAATAGTTCTGAGTTGAGAAACTCTAGACTAGAGACAAAACCCAGCAAATTGGGATGTATGGTCAGCTCTCCTTGTAAGGGGCTCCATGACTTGCCCCCGCCCACCCTCCGACCTCTGCTCACACCTGATTCACTCTGCTCCAGCCTCAGGGCTTTGCATTTGCTGTCTCTCTACCCACCACATCCACCTGCCTGGAATGTTCTTACCTTATGCCATGCCATGCATTCAGGTCGTTTCCTCAGAGGGGCCTGGGAGATACACTGTCCCTGAAGTGGCAGTCCTTCTTCCTCATACGCTATCTGCTTAGCACCTTGATTTTCCCACATGATATTTAAAACTACTAAACATCCCAGTGCAAGTTTGTTTATTTATATATTATTTATCTCCTTCCTAAGAATGTCAACTCCCTGGGAGCAAGGGTTTTGCTTTATGGGCTGCTCTATGCCCAGTATCTAAAATGGAGCCTGAGTAGAATCTGCGCATCTGCAAAGAAACACATTTCTTTGTTTCTATAAATAGATTAAAGATCCACCTGGAGAAGCCTTTCTTGGGCTTGTGGAAAGAGAATAATACAAGATGAATCTCCTGCAAAGTAAAGAAGCCCAGACATCTGTGTTTTAACCTCACTCCAATGAAACCTACCAACTCACGGACCTTTGCCTTCTGTCTCTAAGATATGCAAAAGCATGTTAAGAGGCAGGACAGCGTAGGCTACAAATTCTTTCTCTGGAATGGAAAATAAGCTGGCATGTGAGCAAATAATCTGGAAAGATTATAGAAGTTTCTTGCGTTTTCCCCTTTCCCAGACCATACAGAATACTTTACTTACAAGGAGAAGCAAATGGTGGACAAATAAATCCCCATTGGTGATTTAAATTTTTTCCTGTGAGTCACTAATATATGTCACTTGAACACAATGGTGAAAACACTGAGCATAGCAAGACTATTTTTGAAATGTCAACAGAATATTCCAAATGATACAAGTATTTGCTATCTAAATAGCTGATGCATCTCTTTCACTCTGATAACTGCCTTTTCCAGGTCAAACACTTCAGAGCTTTGCAAGAGCAGGCAAGGACCTACCTAGATCTCCTTTGCTCCATGTGTGACCTGTCAAATGCTTCGGTGAAAACCACAGCAAAAGACATTCAACAAACAGAGCAAACGGTAAGAAAATGAAAAATCACATTGAATTTGTTTGTTTTATTATATTCTCTTGCTTGAATGTTTCATGTGAGATTGAAAGAAAATAGCTCTTGGCTTGTTCTTGCTGTATGTAATGGTTCTACAGCCATTATAATAAATAGATATTTGAATTTCAGCTAACTCATAGAAAATTAAGCACATCCTGACATTGATGACATCAGATTGGGACTGAATCACTTAGTCCCATTCATTCGCTGCCCATTAGAACCTTTCTTTTTTCTCCTCCTTAATGACCATTCTCTCAATTTTCCTATCTTGCCACACCTTTTTTTGTTCTTTTCTCCTTTTCCACCTTTTTCTTTAGGCAATACTTAATATGAAAGGGGCTCTTGACCCTTTCTTTATTATATCAAGGATGTCAAAGAGCATGCCATCTGTCACAATCCTTCTAGTTCATTGGTAAAGTGTGGTGTTCAGAAGGATTTTGAAACTGTCTGGGCTATGATGAGCTAGCAGTACCGGCCCACACAGACAGATGGCAGCACTGGAGGCGTATTTTCCCGGCTGCTGCCACTGCAGCCTTAAACTCTTCCATGAAACACATTTGGGTTTGTTTGCTCGTTTGTTTGTTTGTTTGTTTCTTTATTTTGAGACACTCTGCCAACCAGTCTGGAGTGCAGTGGCGTTATCATCACTGACTGAAGCCTCAACCTCCTGGGCTCAGGTGATCCTCCCACCTCCGCCTCCCAATAGCTGGGACTATAGGCACACACCATCACACCCAGCTAATTTTTATACTTTTTGTAGAGACAGGGCTTCGCTGTGTTTCCCAGGCTGGTCTCGAACTCCTGGGCTCAAGCAATCCTCCCTCCTTGGCCTACCAAAGTGCTGGGATTACAGGCATGAGCCACCACGCCTGGCCCACACTTGAGTTTAAAAGAAAAATAAGACTTAGTTTTGGTATTTAATTTATTAAATATTCACAGAACAGTAAAATGATTCACAGGAAAAAAATGTCAAAATAATAAGGTTTTTCTCTTTAATATTATCAAATCTGTTTTTAAATCCTTACAAAAGACGATGTAACCCATTTATTTTATTTTATTTTATTTTGGAGAAAGAGTCTCACTCTGTTTCCCAGGCCGGAGCACAGTGGCGCAATTTTGGCTCACTGCAACCTCCGCCTCCCACATTCAAGCAATTCTTGTGCCTCAACCTCCCGAGTAGCTGGGACTACAGGCACACACCACCATGCCTGGCTACTTTTTGGTATTTTAGTAGAGAAAGGGTTTCACTGTGTTGCCCAGGTGGGTCTCGAATTCCTGAGCTCAGGCAATCCACCTGACTTGGCCTCCCAAAGTGCTAGGATTACAGACACGAGCCACCATTCCCAGCCAATGTAACCCATTTATTTTTACAGAAATGATTTATTGAAACAAATTACACAGCTTCAAAAACCAGTGAAGCAGATCAAAGACATATCCAAAACATTAATAATTCAGCATGTTGTAAGACAGATGAACAAATGTGCAACAGAGAATAACAGAAGTCTTTTCTAGTTAACCTTAACACCAAATTCATGAGTCATACAGATGAATCTACTGAAATGCCCAATGGGAAAAACCATCAGAGCAGCTTTAGACCTAATACATTGATAAAACTTATTAGAGTTTCGCTGGGCGCAGTGGCTCACTCCTGTAATCCCAGCACTTTGGGAGGCCAAGGCGGGCGTATTATCTGAGGTTGGGAGTTCGAGACCAGCCTGACCAACGTAGAGAAACCCTGTCTCTACTAAAAATACAAAATTAGTTGGGTGTGACGGCGCAAGCCTGTAATCCCAGCTACTCAGGAGGCTGAGGCAGGAGAATCACTTGAACCCGGGAGGCAGAGATTGCTGTGAGCCGAGATCGTGCCATTGCACTCCAGCCTGGGCAACAAGAGCGAAACTCTGTCTCAAAAAAAAAAAAAAATTATTAGAGTTTCACAACACTGATTAAAACCATATAGCATAACTTGTAGACATTTAAAGTCTTTAGGAACCCTACATTTTTTTAAAAAAAATCTGCTTTTCCTGAAGCAAATAAAGAAGTACTTTTTAAATTTATGTATTTGTGTGTGTGAGTTTGCGTGTGTATGTGTGTGTCAAATGAGTGCACAGGCCAGCTGGAAAGTTCCATCTCTGATTCATTAACCATAAATGTTTCCATGTATGGTTGCTAACTTTTATCTCTGTGTTTTCTCAAGATTGAACAAAAGCTTGTCCAGGCCCAGAACTTAACTCAGGGCTGGGAAGAGATCAAGCACCTGAAGTCTGAGCTCTGGATTTACCTGCAAGATGCTGATCAGCAACTGCAGAACATGAAGAGGAGGCACTCTGAGCTGGAGCTGAACATTGCACAGAACATGGTTTCACAAGTTAAGGTGGGAATTAATTTGCCCCCAAGGGAGATAAAAGAGGCCAACAGAGTAGAAAACCTGAAATGTGTTCAGTGTATTCACTTCAATATGCCTGAGTGTCTGTCAATCCTTAGACATTAATACAACTCTTTAAGGCAGAGGTCCCCAAGCCCCAGGTTATGGACAAGCACAAGTCCATGTCCTGTTAGGAACCTGGCCGCACAGTGGGAGGCGAGCAAGCATTAATGCCTGAACTCCACCTCCTGTCAGATCAGAGGCCACATCAGATTCTCATAGGAGTGCAAACCCTACTGTGAACTGCGCATGCAAGGGATCTAGGTTGCATGCTCCTTATGATAATCTAACTAATATCTGATGATTTGAGGTGGAACAGCTTCATCCTGAAACCATCCCCCTCCAGCCCCATTCACGGAAAAATTGTTTTCCACAAAACCCATCCCAGGTGCCAAAAAGTTTGGGGACCGCTGCTTTAAGGAATAGCAAATCTGAACAAACATCATTTGGTGCCAGGGAAAACAGATTATAAAGTAGACATTCAAATATATTACTGAAGCTTCAGATGGCCACTTTCATCAGAAGACATTCATACTCTACATTATTCCTGAGAAAAGCAGGTGTGATTTAGTCTACAGAGTAGACTGCTTAGTCAGAAAACTCTGTGACTAAGCAAACATGGAACATTATTCTTTTTTTAGATTTTCATCACCATATTATGCTAAAACTGTAGGACTGTAAGCTTATCAATTCATTAGTTATATATTTGAGCTATATGTAATTAATTTAAAGTATAATATAAATGCAGTTTGTATTACATATTTATATATAATTTAAATAATTTAAAATATATAGGAAATTGTGGCCGGGTGTGGTGGCTCATGCCTGTAATCCCAGCACTTTGGGAAGCTGAGGTGGGCAGATCACTTGAGGCCAGGAGTTTGAGACCAGGCTGGCCAACATGGTGAGACCACATCTCTATTAAAAATACAAAAATTAGCCTTGCGTGGCACATGCCTATAATCTCAGCTACTTGGGAGGCTGAGGCACGAGAATCATTTGAACTTGGGAGGCGGAGGTTGCAGTGAGCCATGATCATGCCACTGCACTCCAGCCTGGGCCACAGAGTGAGACTCTGTCTCAAAAAAAAGGGAAAAAAGAAAATTATAAGTGTATTAACTTAATTGGAAGTTGGGTCAGATTTTAAATAAACTTAAAGATGTTTTTTCTCTGTGATTATGAGTCAATAATAATATATTGTCTACTGGAGTGCTGTTTGCAAGTACAGAGAAAAAAGAGAATAGGGATCGGGATAATAAGATTTATTTTTTCTCAGAAGCATGAACTCTTTTTTAAAAAAATTTGTGAACCATCCTAGAAATTTAATTTTTTAAAATGTATTTTATAAGAAAAGTTTTGTTTATTATAAAAGGCTTAGAAAATACAGAAATGTCTTAATAAGCAAATTTAAATCACAATCACTTATGATACTACCATTCAGAGATAATAAACAATGCCAATATTTTGCTGTATTTGTTTTAGATATACACATAATAAAAACATTCAAGATGATACTCTTGTTAACATTTTAATTGTGATTGAACCTAGCTTTAAGGACAAAATTTCATATATCAGTCAGGGGATTTAAGAGGTGTTTTTTGGGTAGTGGGAGTAAATGGCAATGGGAGTGAGCAGTGGGGAAGTATGGAAGTCCATGAACCAACCCCTTGGAGGAAACACTATCCAAAGAAATGATCCTCTGGCCACATATTGGGCTGGCAGAGATGGTATCTTAGAGGTTTCTTTTTGCTGTGTATGCAGGGAGTAGATGAATCTAAACCATTGCCTTTCCACTTTGCGAATGTACTCCAGCCTTCCCCAACTCTGTACATAACACCACTGCCCACCTGGTGACCCAAGCTACTTTGCCTTGTCTCTGACATTTGGAAGGTTTCCGTCAGAGGCGTTCAAACCAGAGCGACTCCATCTTGAATAGGGGCTGGGTAAAATGAGGCTGAGACCTGCTGGGCTGCATTCCCAGAAAGTTAGGCATTCTTAGTCACAGGATATTTAGTTAAGGGAACAGGTTAATAATGTTTACTGAACAGATCCAGAACTTGACAGATCCAGGACTTAGCAGACCTAGGAAATGTCCTAATGTCCTGATGTCTTGAGAATAAAAGCACCCTTAGTTTAAGAATAAATTTTGAAAAACATGAACTCCTTAAAAATTCTTAGAAAACAAAGGCCGCACTTCAAGGTAAGATAATGACTTTTTTCATTAATGACTGTAATGTTTCACATGTATTAGTTTTTCTTTATGCCTCTTGGAATAGTACAATAAAAGAATATACCACAGCTACCCTGAATCTTGCACACGTGGGAATTAACGTTCATAAAGAGGTATGGTGATTTTTAGATTTTCTCTTTGTTTCCCATAACTTATTATACATTCTTCAGTTTTTTTCATATTAAGGAACTTAGAGTGTTTAAAGGTCTTATGTCTGTGTTGCTCTCTATATTTATTTGGGCATTTCTTAACACATTACATATTTTTTGTTGCTGTTATCCTTTAGGATTTTGTTAAGAAACTACAGAGCAAACAGGCATCCGTGAACACCATAATAGAAAAGGTGAATAAGTTAACAAAGAAGGAGGAATCGCCTGAACACAAGGAAATAAATCATTTAAATGATCAGTGGCTCGATTTGTGCCGTCAGTCTAACAACCTGTGCTTGCAAAGGGAAGAGGATCTTCAGAGAACAAGAGATTACCATGACTGTATGAATGTTGTTGAAGTGTTCCTAGAAAAATTTACTACAGAATGGGATAACTTGGCCAGGTAACAGAAATTCTCCCATGGGTCACCAAAATGCTAAGCCAGACATTTCTTAATATCTATAAAAATTTAAAATGTGCCCAGGTGCAGTGGCTGATGCCTGTAATCCCAGCACTTTAGGAGGCTGAGGCGGGTGGATTAGTTGAGGTCAGGAGTTCGAGACCAGCCTGGACAACATGGTGAAACCTCATCTCTACTAAAAATACAAAAATTAGCCGGGCGTGGTGGTGCATGCTTGTAATCCCAGCTACTTCGGAGGCTGAGGCAGGAGAATCAATTGAACCTGGGAGGAGGAGGCTGCAGTGAGCCAAGATTGCACCACTGTACTCCAGCCTGGGTGACAGAGCAAGACCCTGTCTCAAAAAAATAAAATAAAATGTCTTAGGTATAACATCTATTGTTTATTATTATTAATATTGGTAAGTAGAACATCATTATGAACCTAACGTTTTCAAATGGATATAGAGTCATGGTTTTCCTAGCTCGATATTGATTTAACCAGTGGGTAAAAGAGAAATGTTTGAAAATGGTACCATTTTCTCTGTGACCTCAAAGAATATTCTAAAAATATTTCTAATTTTGTTTAATTACAAGTTATGGGATATCATCTATGAATTCATGAAATGAATCCTTCTTGAACCTATATGCTCCCTAGTTTCTTATCAAGTCTATAAGGTAATGAATGCATTCTGTGTAATTCAGTCAGGTTTTTTTCTTACAAGAGTCTAGAAATTCAGTTAATTTGTGTCTTTTGTGATTTTGTAGTTATTGAACCCCTCTTAGCTTTCTTCTTTGAAAAATAAGAACACACACACACATACTGGATCATTATATGAAACCATTCCATACTTTTGATCACTATAATTGTTAAAATCTACACTTCTTCTGCACCGATTTACTAGTTTACAGCAAAGAAAACTGCAAATATTGTTCTAGATATCATGAAATCATAGTGGGGATTTGGGGTTTTTTTGGTATACCATTTTCTGGTTTGTTTGCTTTTCTTTGATACTTAACATTTACTCGTCTTTGGGATTAGTCCAGTAAATATTAACAACTCATATTTCTGGCTCACAGTAGGCCCCACAGACACCTGAGACTTAACAGGTCCAAAACAGAACTCCTCATACTGCCTCCCAACCCTGCTTTTCATACTTCAGAACTGATCATTTAGTAAAAAAGACTACAATATTCCATTTTTTATGTGTGCTTCATAGTCAAAGGGATGAGAATTCTTTACATTTCACACTTATTACTAAAGATTACTAATGATAAGCAAAAAATATCCAAGTACACAATTAAGTAGCCATTAGATCTGTTGGTTATACCTTACAGATTGTACTACCTAGAACTATATTGTTTGTTGGACCCTCTTCACAAAAGAAAGCACATAAATCATGCATCACTTATTAATTTCTTTCAGTATCATTTTCTAGAGTACACTAGATCAGTGCTTCTCACTGTTTAACATTACACAAAACATCCAAGGATCCTGTTACCATATAGATTCTGCTCAGTTGATAAGAGCCAGAGGAAGATAAAAGCATATTCTGATTTGATTGGAAGGCATTATCAGCCAGAAAGAAGTAGGCAACTTGGTTTGATTCAACTTCTAGTATTGACTTCTGATGAGACTTGTATTCCATAATTATAGCACTTCTGTCAACAAACCATGAATTGAACTACTCTCAATTGTTCTAAGCTCAGAAGATCCACTTAAAGAAATGGTGAAGTGTCAGCCAGGAGTAGTGGCTCATGCCTGTAATCCTAGCACTTTGGGAGGCTGAGGCAGGTGGATCACCTGAGGTCAGGAGTTAGAGACCAGCCTGACCAACATGGTGAAACCCTGTCTCTACTAAAAATAGAAAATTAGCCGAGCATGGTGGCACATGCCTGTAATCTCAGCTACTTGGGAGGCTGAGGCAGGAGAATCGCTTGAACCTGGGAGGCGGAGGTTGCCGTGAGCTGAGATCAGAGCATTCATTGCACTCCAGCCTGGGAAACAAGAGCAAAACTCAGTCTCCAAAAAGAAAATGGTGAAGTGTAATTTAGCATAGTATGAACAAACATCGATATTGACTACAGCTAATTTGCTCTTATACCTTTCCATGTATTTTCAGATCTGATGCAGAGAGTACAGCTGTCCACCTGGAAGCTTTGAAAAAGTTAGCATTGGCATTGCAGGAGAGAAAGTATGCTATTGAAGATCTGAAAGATCAAAAGCAGAAAATGATAGAGCATCTGAATTTAGATGACAAGGAGTTAGTCAAAGAACAGACGAGTCATTTAGAGCAACGTTGGTTTCAGCTTGAGGACCTCATTAAAAGGAAAATCCAAGTGTCAGTCACCAACTTGGAGGAGTTAAATGTGGTGCAGTCCAGATTTCAGGAGCTAATGGAGTGGGCAGAAGAGCAACAACCCAACATCGCCGAGGCCCTTAAGCAGAGCCCTCCTCCAGATATGGCTCAGAACCTTCTCATGGATCACCTGGCCATCTGCAGTGAACTGGAGGCCAAGCAGATGCTCCTGAAATCGCTTATAAAGGACGCAGACAGGGTCATGGCAGATCTTGGTCTCAATGAGCGACAGGTCATCCAGAAGGCTCTCTCTGATGCACAAAGCCACGTGAATTGTCTCAGTGACTTAGTGGGCCAGCGAAGAAAGTACTTAAACAAAGCCTTGTCCGAGAAAACCCAGTTTCTCATGGCAGTGTTCCAGGCCACCAGCCAAATTCAGCAACATGAGCGAAAGATAATGTTCCGTGAACACATCTGTCTGTTACCAGATGATGTGAGCAAACAAGTCAAAACATGTAAGAGTGCACAAGCCAGCCTCAAGACTTACCAAAATGAAGTCACTGGACTTTGGGCCCAGGGTCGCGAACTAATGAAGGAAGTCACAGAGCAGGAAAAGAGTGAAGTGCTGGGGAAGCTTCAGGAATTGCAGAGTGTCTATGACAGTGTTTTACAAAAGTGCAGTCACCGGTTACAAGAACTAGAGAAGAATTTGGTTTCTAGGAAGCATTTTAAGGAAGATTTTGATAAAGCTTGCCACTGGCTAAAACAAGCAGATATTGTTACATTTCCTGAAATCAACCTAATGAATGAGAGTTCTGAGCTTCATACACAACTGGCTAAATACCAAAACATTCTTGAACAATCTCCAGAATATGAAAATCTTCTACTTACGCTGCAGAGAACTGGGCAGACCATATTACCATCGCTGAATGAAGTCGATCATTCCTACCTCAGTGAAAAGCTAAATGCTTTGCCTCGACAATTTAATGTAATTGTTGCCTTGGCTAAAGACAAGTTCTATAAAGTCCAGGAAGCAATTCTTGCTCGGAAGGAATATGCTTCCTTGATTGAGTTGACAACCCAGTCTCTGAGTGAACTTGAAGCCCAATTCTTGAGGATGAGCAAAGTTCCCACCGACCTGGCCGTTGAGGAGGCTCTTTCTCTGCAAGATGGTTGCAGAGCCATTCTGGACGAGGTGGCGGGCCTTGGGGAGGCGGTGGATGAACTGAACCAGAAAAAAGAAGGTTTTCGCAGCACAGGTCAGCCTTGGCAGCCAGACAAGATGCTGCACCTTGTCACCTTATATCACAGGCTGAAGCGACAAACAGAACAGAGGGTTAGCTTATTAGAAGACACCACCAGTGCTTACCAAGAACACGAGAAGATGTGCCAACAGCTGGAGAGACAACTGAAGTCTGTAAAAGAGGAGCAGTCCAAAGTGAATGAGGAAACGCTGCCTGCAGAGGAGAAGCTCAAAATGTATCACTCCCTGGCAGGAAGTCTCCAGGACTCAGGGATTGTACTGAAACGAGTAACCATACATCTTGAAGATCTTGCCCCACACCTTGACCCCTTGGCTTATGAGAAAGCCAGGCATCAGATCCAGTCCTGGCAAGGGGAGTTAAAACTGTTGACTTCTGCCATTGGTGAGACGGTGACAGAATGTGAGAGCCGAATGGTGCAGAGTATAGACTTCCAGACTGAGATGAGTCGCTCCCTGGACTGGCTGAGGAGAGTGAAGGCAGAG
Source organism: Homo sapiens (assembly GCF_000001405.40). Classification (NCBI taxonomy): domain Eukaryota; kingdom Metazoa; phylum Chordata; class Mammalia; order Primates; family Hominidae; genus Homo; species Homo sapiens. The sequence goes on along the minus strand of NC_000006.12, from coordinate 152,329,966 downwards.
CTCAGTGGGCCGGTGTACCTAGACCTCAACCTGCAGGACATCCAAGAGGAAATCAGAAAAATCCAAATTCATCAGGAAGAGGTCCAGTCCAGCTTGAGAATCATGAATGCGCTGAGTCACAAGGAAAAGGAGAAGTTCACAAAGGCCAAGGAGCTGATTTCTGCGGATTTAGAACACAGCCTCGCTGAGCTCTCAGAGCTGGATGGAGACATCCAGGAAGCCTTACGCACCAGACAGGTGGGTATAATAGGACTTCACTTCTCTTTTTTCCACTCTGCTTATTTGTAAACAGGTACAAGAAATTCGTTTGCTTGGTTATAATTGCTTCTTTAAATATTTCTTTCGAAATACTACACAGAAGCATCTTCAGCAGTGACTTAAATGGTTATTTTAATTGTTTTTCGTTTTGTTTTGTTTTGTTTTGTTTTTTGGGTTTTTTTGAGACGAAGTCTCGCTCTGTTGCCCAGGCTGGAGTGCAGTGGTGCAATCTCGGCTTACTGCAACCTCCGCCTCCTGGGTTCAAGTGATTCTTGTGCCTCAGCCTCCCGAGTAGCTGGGATTACAGGCACCCGCCATCACATCCAGCTAATTTTTGTATTTTTTAGTAGAGACAGGGTTTCATTATGTTGGCCAAGCCGGTCTCAAACTCCTGACGTCAAACGATCTGCCTGCCTTGGCCTCCCAAAGTGCTGGAATTATAGGCGGGAGCCACCGTGCCTGGCCAGGTGATTTTAATTGTTTATGTGCATGATATTCATTTTGTGTGGTTTCCATCTTGACTTCACTTTGCTTATAACAGTGATGCCTCAGTGATTTCTCACCTTAAAAGAGATGATAAATGGTATTAGTAACATAATTAATATTATATATTAGTACATGGATAGTACAACTGATTAACCATGAATAATTAGTGATGCCCTTTGTAAACAATGTGAAGGCTGGTATTTCTAAAATCACCTGCTAGATGAAGAGTCTAAATGGAGAGAGGCAGACAATGCAGCCCTGACCTTGCCAATAAGCCACATTTTTGTGGGGTATCCCATTAGTTGCCCCATCTCTTCACCCCCTCTGTGGGGATGAGTGCTGTCCTTCTCCTGCTTCCCTGTAGCACAGCAGAAGAAAGACTAGAATACTCGTAATTACTTGACTTGGGGATAACAAAAAGAAATGGGAGCATGTACAAAACTTCCCAGATTGGCCTAATTGCAGCTTGCTCTGGGGCTTGCAAGTTCTGTGCATTCAAAAATAAGAAGAGGGCTGGGCGCGGTGGCTCACGCCTTTAATCCCAGCACTTTGGGAGGGTGAGGTGGGTGGATCACCTGAGGTCAGGAGTTTGACACCAGCCTGACCAACATGGTGAAACCCTGTCTCTACTAAATACAAAAAAAAAAAAATTAGCTGGGTTTGGTGGTGCATACCTGTAATCCTAACTATTTGGGAGGCTGAGGCAGTAAAATCGCTTAAACCCAGGAGGCAGAGGTTGCAGTGAGCCGAGATCATGACATTGCACTCCAGCCTAGGCAACAAGAGTGAAACTCTGTCTAAATAAATAAATAAATAAATAAATAAATAAATAAATAAATAAAATAAAATAAGAAGAGAAAAATAGTGCCTAGAGGATTACTTCCTTTAACTTCTTGGCCCATTTTCTCCATGTCTGTCTTTAGTCCCTGTGATTCTAGGAGATGTCAACCAACCCTTTAGGTAAAGGATAGCTTTCGTCAGGATAATACAGCAGCTATAGCCTGGGAGGAGGGCACATCTGAGTTTTAATGGCAGCTATTTGATCTCAGGAAAATGACATCCTATAAGGCTCTGTCCCTCTTTGTAGAAGAGAGATATTAATGATTCTTTTATTAGGTTTATCTTCTTAGCATTGGGTCTGACACGAAGTAACCTCAGATGAATCTTAGCTCTCATTTAACTATATTTTCTGCAGAGGTTAAGGTTAACACTTTAAATAGTAAAAATTTTAATATTGGATAAAATCATAATAAACTTCTTAAAATTCTGACTTTTTAAACTAAAAACTAGTACACTTTAACCTTTTCATGTTGATTCAAGGCTATTGCTTATACAAATTTTAAACTATTTTTCTAGCGCTATTAGTATAAATAGAGATATAGAATCTAGAATGTAGAGTAAGAACAGAAGTTAGCAGAAATTTTCATTCTTGAAAAACATTTGTCAGGTAAGCTTGCTTCTTTTGGTGAGTTTTGAACCAAACTCTTAAATCTACTAAGATGTCTCTGCTTGTGCCATCTTGTCTTATTGATTATCTTGGTCCAAATAACTAAAGGTCATGGTTCCTGGGGCATTTCTTATTCCCTCCGCTGATTCTATGCTTTGCTGTCCCTGTTCTTTCCCTAATTGGTGCTCATCTTATGGGTACTTTCTCTACCTTTTCTATGCATCTTCGCTTGCACAGTTGCGGCTTATCTTGTCTAGTCATTGATGGCTGGTTAGAGTGTTTCTTTTCCTTCTGGAATTGAATGGACCAGCCATCCAGACTTAAACTTTTCAACTTTTCTATTTTAGTCTGTATACAAGACTCACAGGTTACTATTTCGCTTCCAGAAATTACTCTGTGGCTCTGTGGTCTGGTAAATGCCAGTTTGGAAGTTTGATGTTGCTATATTTCTTTTTTTTTTCTTTTCTTTTCCTTTCCATGTTTGTTTGTTTGTTTGTTTTTTGAGAGACAGAGTCTGGGGTGCAGTGAAACGATCTCAGCTCACTGCAACCTCTGCCTCTCAGGTTCAAGCAATTCTTGTGCCTCAACCTCCCAAGTAGCTGTTACAGGCATGTGCCACCACACTCAGCTAATTTTCGTATTTTTAGTAGAGACACGGTTTCACCATGTTAGCCAGGCTGGTCTCAAACTCCTGGCCTCAAGTGATCTGCCTCCCTCAGCCTCCCAAAGTGCTGAGATTACAGTCATGAGCCAGCACGCCTGGCCGTGTTGTTATACTTCTAACCAACGGAGACATTACTGCACTTTGATAAACATCCAGTCTGCCACATATTACTAAGCATCATATTATTTCTTAGAGAGGGAAGTTTCAGAACTAGTCAAGATACTGACATAAATTTCTATCCCATTTCTGTCCTTATTATTTAATTTAATGGCAGTAATAAAATTATAACAAGAATAGCAGAAGGAAAAATCAAGGATAATGATGATGGCACCACAAAAATATTCCACTAACTTATCAATGCACTTACACACATACGCCCATGAGACTAAGGACTGGAAAACAAATGAGTGAATAAAACTCTTTCCTGCAAACACATTGCAAAGGAGAGTTGATTATGTTTGCAATTGCTGTTTTTCAGGCTACCTTGACTGAAATATATAGCCAGTGTCAAAGGTATTATCAGGTATTTCAAGCAGCCAATGACTGGCTTGAGGATGCCCAAGAATTGTTACAGCTGGCAGGCAATGGCCTAGACGTGGAGAGCGCAGAGGAAAATCTCAAAAGCCACATGGAATTTTTCAGTACAGAGGATCAGTTCCATAGTAACCTGGAGGAGCTCCACAGCCTGGTAGCCACCCTGGACCCACTCATCAAGCCAACCGGCAAAGAAGACCTAGAACAGAAAGTGGCTTCTCTGGAACTCAGGAGCCAGAGGATGAGCCGGGACTCTGGTGCCCAAGTGGATCTCTTGCAGAGGTATTTCAGGATGTTTTGTGTTTTATGTTTTAGTGAAATGAATTTCCACACTGAAAGTAGTAATACACGAATGATATACATTAGCACGTAAATTCATTTTTCCCTGAGTATCATTAGACATACTGACACCAGAGCTTCGTGTAGAAATACGTGATTTCGTGCTACTTATCAGTTTCTGTTGGACTCTTTCAAGATGCACAGCTCAATGGCACGATTACCAGAAAGCAAGGGAAGAGGTTATTGAATTGATGAATGATACAGAAAAGAAATTGTCTGAGTTTTCTTTGTTGAAGACTTCGTCTAGTCATGAAGCGGAAGAAAAATTGTCAGAACACAAGGTCAGAGTTTTGGGCCATTTAAAAAAAATCCTTTTTCTATAATTATAATGAGTCTTTGCAACATGATCAATAAATCTTCATTTCTACCTGGACTTTTTTCAATGTGATAAGGATGCATTTAACAACATTTTATAGAAGTTTTAAGTTTATTAAATGCTATTACCTTTTAGGATTCCCATTGGAAATGCATAGCTAAGATGTTCAGAGCAATTTGCTTCCGATAAGATGTGGCACTTAATAAATGTCAGTGAATACTTTTTGTTGATAACAGATTAAATAAAACTAAAACGTTAATAACTGAGTCTCCCTTTATCAGAGCAATATAAGGAAAAAATGTAACATACTAAAATATTGCATTTGGTTCACTTGCATTTGTGCTGCTTTTTAAAAATGAAAAAAATGTCATCTCAAGTAGCAAAATACACTTTTGTTTTTAATAAATAAATAATATTCACCTTACCTCTTTAAAAAGCTTTAAGACTCACTCTGGTTAAAAAATAAACATAAAAGTAAGAGTACCTAGAGGAGAATAAACGTATGTAGAAACATTTCCTTTTGCAGGAATTTTGGGCTTTACCAAGATCCATAGAACTTTATAAAATTAAATTGATCTCTCCCTTGTCTCCTCTCTTCCGTCCTCCACCCCCAACCCTAGGCTTTAGTGTCAGTGGTTAACTCTTTCCATGAGAAAATTGTGGCCCTTGAGGAAAAAGCTTCACAACTGGAGAAAACCGGAAATGATGCCAGCAAAGCCACCCTGAGCAGGTCAATGACCACCGTCTGGCAGCGCTGGACACGCCTTCGAGCTGTGGCCCAGGACCAGGAGAAGATCCTGGAAGATGCAGTGGATGAGTGGACGGGCTTTAACAACAAGGTAGTTTCCACTGTCCATGGGCTCACCTTTCTTTCCTCACTAATTATAATGTATTTTGAAACACAGTATTTTGCCCCTTTTTGAAGTCAGCCTTATGAAAGTAATAAAGGCTTTTTAAAATCTGTTTCAGTGACATAAAAATTAAGTTATGAAACAAAGTACAAAATGCAATGTGCAGTTTAGTCCCAAGTCACAGTCAAATTATTTCAATGAGAAAAACCAAGCAATTAAATTGTGAAAGGAGAACAAGCCCATTTTGCCCCATTTGCTTTCTTTCTTTTTTTTGACGGAGTCTCCCTCTGTCGCCCAGGCTGGAGTGCAGTGGCGCCATCTCGGCTCACTGCAAGCTCCGCCTCCCGGGTTCACGCCATTCTCCTGCCTCAGCCTCCCGAGTAGCGAGTAGCTGGGACTACAGGCGCCCGCCACCACGCCTGGCCAATTTTTTGTATTTTTATTAGAGACGAGGTTTCACCTCGTTAGCCAGGATGTTCTCAATCTCCTGACCTCGTGATCCGCCCGCCTCAGCCCCCGCCAAGTGCTGGGATTACAGGCGTGAGCCACCGCGCCCGGCCCATTTGCTTTCTTAACGGCCTTGAAAAAGAATGAGATACTTTTTCTTTACCATGAAACCTGAAAATGAGCAGAAATTTGACTCATTACCCAAATTGTATATTCAACTTTTTCCTTTTTGGAGTCTTGCTCTGTCGCCCAGGCTAGAGTGCAGTGGTGTGATCTCAGCTCACTGCAACCTCCACCCCCTGGGTTCAAGCAATTCTCCTGCCTCACCCTCATGAGTAGCTGGGATTACAGGCACCCGCCACCACACCTGGTTAATTTTTGTATTTTTAGTAGAGACGGGGTTTCTCCATGTTTGTCAGGCTTGTCTCAAGCTCCTGACCTCAGGTGATCTGCCTGTCTCGGCCTCCGAAAGTGCTGGGATTACAGGCACGAGCCACCACATGCCTGGCAGCTTTTTCCATCTTTAAAGGTTTAATGTTTTAAGCCATTATTTTCCTTTATGATTTAAAGGCACTCATTTATGTTAACTTAAATATTGGAAAGAGTATTTTGTTTGCTTAGTTTTTTTTTAAAGCTTTTTCTGTATTAAGTATAGTCTCTGATTGTCCTAATATTATTTTGAGATTAAAGCTTTAAACCCAGAGGTATAGAGGTGATATCTCCTTTCATGTTAAGAAGGTTGCTCAGGTTCCAGTTTCCTAACATGTGGAATTTATATCATCATCTTTAATTGGCTTCATACACTAGTGTGTGGCTTTTATGGGAGTTACCCTATTTTTTTCAGTTTATTTATTATTGAACTTCATAGTATGTACATTTGTCATCAGGTTAAAAAGGCCACTGAAATGATTGATCAGCTGCAAGATAAGTTACCTGGAAGTTCAGCAGAGAAAGCATCGAAAGCAGAGCTCTTAACTCTTCTTGAATACCACGACACGTTCGTTCTGGAGCTGGAGCAGCAGCAGTCGGCCTTGGGCATGCTGCGGCAGCAAACCCTGAGCATGCTCCAGGATGGAGCCGCCCCAACCCCTGGGGAAGAGCCTCCGCTCATGCAGGAAATCACCGCCATGCAAGATCGGTGCCTGAAGTAATTAAGCACCTACTTTCATTCTTTTGTTTGTTTGTTTGTTTGGAGTCTCGCTCTGTCGCCCAGGCTGGAGTGCAAATGTGTGATCTCGGCTCACTGCAAGCTCCGCCTCCCGGGTTCACGCCATTCTCCTGCCTCAGCCTCTCTGAGTAGCTGGGACTACAGGCGCCCGCCACCACGCCCGGCTAATTTTTTGTATTTTTAGTAGAGACGGGGTTTCACCGTGGTCTTGATCTCCTGACCTCGTGATCCGCCCGCCTCGGCCTCCCAGAGTGCTGGGATTACAAGCGTGAGCCACCGCGCCCGGCCCCTACTTTCATTCTGTTACTGAACTTGGCCTTGGGATAAGTAGGTTATGAAGTATGAAGGTGCTCCTTCACACCACCTTGAAAATGTGGGGATCCGTTCCCATCACTCTTGCTTTTCCGTTTCCTTAACTCTTCAATCGTTTGTCTGACAAATACATATCTGATAGTACTTAGAGATACGATGGTGAACCATACAGACTCAGTGTCTACCTTCATGCCGTTTACAGTCAAGCCGCAGAGAGCTAGGCAACTAAGGCAGCCTTTGTAGTCAAGTGTGAAAAGGGAGCTGAGGGAATCCGAAGCAGAGACAAGCAGCCGAGGAGAGGGGTCAAAGAAGGCATCCCTTCAGAAGGGGAATTGAAGCAGAAGCCTGAGCGGGCTGGAGCTAGGCATTGAGTTTTGCAAACAGGGAAATGACATGTAAGAAAGGAATAAACGTGTCACTTTCAAGGAGCTCCTTGGGTGATGCGGGGAGGGGAAGGGTGATTCAAGAGAAATGAAGCATGAGATGGAAACCATTGAGAGCTATTAAGAACTTAGATTTGATGAAGCTTGAGAACTCATTGGCCATCTGGGGTGACAGGGATATAGGAGCGCAGTCCAGGTAAATAATAGCCATCGACTAGCAGTGAATTTAGTAGAAAGAGCAAGTTAATCCTGATGTATAACCAGCCCTGACTCACTTCTTGGGCCAGAGAAAAAAATATTCATTGATAATTTAATTTCTACATTTACAAATATTACCTCATTCATGTCCTTGCATTTCACCTCTTTCCCTTATAGGTGATGTCAAGGTAACCTAACACTTTTTAAAATCTTCTTACCAAATTTACATTAATTCAAATAAAGACTTGAAATTTGTACATTATTAACGTGATTAATTATGACATTTCCAAAGCTTGATTTTTTTCTTTAAAGACTACTTTCTATTAGATAGCTATATATATTCCAATTACACATTACTTTTAAATGTACCATTTTAGGAGATTTCCAAAGAGGAAGTAAATAATGAAATAATCTCCAGGCTACTTTAAATAGGAAATTGATTGCAATTTAGTGGCATGTGAGACAGTCAACTCTCAGTTTTTCAAGGATAAATTATTTACTTTATATGACATTTATACATGAACTGCAGTGTTATTTAACAGTGTTGAGGAAGTGTCTTTTCTTTCAAAAAAGATACTAGGTTTCCCATTTCTATATATGTATTGGATAAAATGTTGCCAAGTATTAGGGGGTTCCTTTCACTTCACTTCTGTTTTATCCCTGTAATGTTTCTGAAGCATGCAGGAGAAAGTGAAGACTAATGGAAAGTTGGTGAAGCAAGAGCTGAAGGACCGAGAAATGGTGGAGACTCAGATCAATTCTGTGAAATGTTGGGTTCAGGAAACGAAAGAATATTTAGGGAATCCAACAATAGAAATAGATGCTCAACTTGAAGAACTTCAGGTACAAAAAAGTCTCCTCATTCTCTTTACCCATCATTTCAAAAACAATTGCCCTGATTTTAGTTGAACATACTTGTTTGTATTTATTGAATATTGAATTAAAAAATTTCAGAAGTGTGTTATATAAAAGATATTTAGTATTACTTCATGGGATTTTCCTTTGTTTTTTAAAGTGAACATACTTTATATTCAGAGACAAAAGAACAATGTTGTATTAAGATATTTTTCTAATTCCACACTTAATTATATGTTGATGAAAAATATACAGCCTTGTCTATAACAGTCCCCTTAGAAGGTTCCCAGAAATTTCTTATTTTGATCTTTTCTTCAGATTCTCCTAACAGAAGCCACAAATCACCGACAGAACATTGAAAAAATGGCAGAAGAACAGAAGGAGAAGTACTTAGGTCTTTATACCATATTACCTTCTGAACTCTCCCTTCAGTTGGCTGAAGTGGCGTTAGATCTAAAGATCCGAGATCAGGTAAACCTATGATCAAGAAAGAGTGTCTTTCCATTTTGTTTATAGGGTCAGTCCTCTTGTGTGAGAGTTCTTGATTTTCACAATAATGTCTTCTTGGAGACAGAGTTAAAAAAAATAGATGGCTATAAAACAATAATATTAAATTAGAAGTCTTTTTCATAGGCAAGATGATCATAGATATGACCAATAATGCCATACAATTAAAGATAATTTTTGTGCTTCCCCTCACCTTTAAAAAAAGACTTAAAGAAACAAAAAGTAAGATATGTTTCATGTGTTCAACAAATATTTAGTGAATGCCCAGAGTGTGCCAGGGACTCTTCCAGCTGTTATTTTATTTCAGCAGTGCAACAAAATGTCAGTTAAGTAGGTGAAGATGTTGGAGGAAAGGGAAAAATCAAAGAAATAAAAATAAGATCAAGGCAGGGATGAAGTTATTTCCTAAAATGCATGCGGGTGGGTCCCCTAATGTTGCTAGAGAAGAGCCATCATTTTAACCCTAGCTTCTAAACACCCAAGGAAAAGAGTAAATAGAAACATAATCCTGTCTATAACTCTAAAAAACAAATATTTTTGTTTCTTTGAGAAGAAATGCATAGTCCTTTTTGGTGTTGAGACCAGAGTGAGATTTCTGTCTCTGGTCTCATGAAGAGCACAATTTCATGTAGTGAAAATAGGCTCAAATATCATCTGTATGGAAATATAATAGATTTTTCGGACTCTCTTGGTGGCTTAATGCTAAAGCTATTAAAGTTTAATGAAAACCCTTCTATATGAGACAAAGAGAAGACATACTACAATTCTAAATTGCTACATGAAATAGAAAGTAATATCCCATTGTACAAACTGTAAAACTCATACAGTTGTGCTCTACTTTTGGAATCTTCAATGTATGATGCAAAGTGTTTTAAAAATCTCATCAAAATCTGATCCTACTGCATCATGACTTTGACCTAAACTACTGATAAATGCTCTTTACTATTTTAAGTATTTAATTGATATATTTGGCTTTTCTTCTTAGACATTGGAAGATCTACTGGGAAGGATGACTTGGCAAGTTCATGGTCTTTTTATATTTTTGAGACAGAGTCTCGCTCTGTCCCCCAGGCTGGAGTGCAGTGAAACAATCTCAGCTTACTGCAACCTCCTGGGTTTAAGCAGTTCTCGTGCCTCAGCCTCCCAAGTAGCTGGGATTCCAGGCATGCACCACCATACCCGGCTAATTTTTTGTATTTTTAGTAAAAAGAGACAAGGTTTTGCCATGTTGGCCAGCCTGGTCTCAAACTCCTGGCCTCAAGTGAGCTGCCTGCCTCAGCCTCCCAAAGTGCTGGGATTACAGGTGTGCACCTCTGTGCACAGCCATGGTTTTTCTTTGTTTGTTTGTTTGTTTTTTTAGTTAAAATTTAAGCTTTTCTCTGGATTAATTTTCCTATCATAGCCTTATTCATATGTATTTCATTTACTTTGACACTCAAAATAATGAAGGCCAAAACACACCATTAACTCTCTTTTAATGGTGTGTTTTCTCCCTACTAAAGAGGTTTTTTTAAAGACCTTTAACTACATAAAGAAATGTTTCTTCTCTTTAATGTCTTTTCTTCGGCATTTTATTCTAAGCAACAGTGTGAATGTTTGTTATCAAATCAAACCAAAGTCACTGGAAATTTGTAAATGCGAACTGTCTTTTTTCACCTTCCTTTCCATTGGATGTACTTAATGCTTGGTTGGCATACTATAGAGCTGTAGTCGGAAAGTTACAAAAAGAGTTAACAGATCATTAAGAGTCATTTATTAAAAGGTGCTTGGAAACAAATCAGTGTGCTTCCAACTGTTTGGGAGGATTTTCCATCTTATGAAGAAAAAGGCTTAGAGGAGTTTGTGTGCTCAAGGTCATTACGTTAGTTAATGGAGAAGATAGGATTCAAACTCAGCTGTCTACACAACCATCTATAATGAGTATTCTGTAAATATTTAATAAGTGAATTTCTCTACACACATTGCTTGTATCTTTGCTGGAACACAAGGAGTGCAGTAAATACTTAAAGATAGTGAAGTCAGGGAAAGCCAGGAGGGCTTGTAACTAATCGCACATCGCTGGTGTGACCAGGTGTTTCAATGCCAAAGCAGTTAAAATGTGTCTTGTCAACATCATTTGAGATTTTTAGTATCTATTATTCACTTTTAACCATGGCTTGTTTTGCTGTTCTTACTGATTTTTTTAGATCCAAGACAAAATAAAAGAAGTTGAGCAGAGCAAGGCCACGAGCCAGGAACTCAGCCGGCAAATTCAGAAGTTAGCTAAAGACCTCACAACTATTCTAACTAAGCTGAAAGCGAAGACAGATAATGTAGTTCAAGCTAAAACTGACCAAAAGGTAAGAAGTAGAATTTTAAAGGGTACTACTGAATGAATTAAATAGTTTTTGGAGTCAGTTTTACTTGGGGATATAGGATAAAAACCTTTTAGGAACCTTTTTTAAAACCAAATAGTAACAGCAGGTGGTAAAGAAATTTTGTAACTGAAGCAACACAGATCCTCTTACATAATTGATCATTATAATTGAACAGTATTAATAAATATACATGCATGAGTGTGTACGAAAGAAGAGCGTCAAAGGACTAAGTGATGATTTAGGAATACAAGTATATAAATTCCAAACTGAATTGTGTCCTTGGTAGCTAAATCTGTGTTCTTCCTCTGTTGATGAGTTCAGGGACTCTAATCCTTTTTGGGTGGGGCAGAAGGAAAATGTTAGCCTTCTCACTCAGCCTCATAGGAAATAAACACCAGCATTACAACATATCCTGCCCTGCCTTTCCAACCGAAGAAACAAAAATGACCTGATCATAGTAGAATTATAGTAGAATTATTCATTATAATATTTGGCTTTGACAAAAATCAGTCTGATCTCGGGAAACCTGGAGAAATTTATTTTCTGTACTCTAATGTTCTTTCATTTTGGTGACCATCAAGGTGCTGGGAGAGGAATTAGATGGCTGTAATTCAAAGTTAATGGAATTAGATGCAGCAGTACAGAAATTCTTGGAACAGAATGGCCAACTGGGTAAGCCACTGGCCAAGAAGATAGGAAAACTGACTGAACTTCACCAGCAGACCATTAGACAAGCTGAGAATCGGCTCTCCAAGCTCAATCAGGTATGTGTTCCGGGCCAGAAATCCAAATCGTGTAAGGCAGAAACTTCCATGTTCTGCTTTTCTCTTTTGAAAATAAATTAACATAAATAAAAAGATAAAATGGACAATGAGAGAGTAGTTTAGGTGTAGCTTATTTCATGCTACACTTGTGATCCTAAGACTTAGGTATAAACCAGCACTTACTTTATATCCAGCCATATGATAAAGTCACTGACAAAGGTGGTCCTACAAATGGACTTTGGAGTGAATATTTTGTAAAATGGAGAAGTATTTTGTAGAATGAATATTCACCCATTAACGTGTTTTATGAAATCAGTTTGGGGTGAATTCAAGTACCTTTAAGTAAGCTACATATATATCAGCTTACGTTGACTTAATAGATTCAGATTGCACGTCTGTAATAATTGTTGCATATAGACTAGACTTTTGAAATCGATTAATATAATCAGGGACAAGTTAAAACCAGGAGTTGGTAACCCATTAATTATAGTTTGAAACTTTGCCTGCTAGAATCCCCACTTGCCACCTCCTTACCCAGGGGAGGGTGAAGGAAGGGATAGAGGAAGGCCTGGCATGGTGGCTCATACCTATAATCCTAGTACTTTGGGAGGCTGAGGCAGAAGGATCACTTGAGCCTAGGAGTTTGAGACCAGCCTGGGCAACATGGTGAAACCTACAAAAGATTCAAAAATTTAACAGGGCATGGTTGGCACGTGCCTGTGGTCCCAGCTACGTGGGAGGCTGAGGTGGGAGGCTGAGCCCGTAAGATTGAGGCTGTAATTAACCATGATCCAGCTGCTGCATTCCAGCCGGGGTGACAGTAAGACCTTGGAAAAAAAAAAAAAAGAAAAAAGAAAAAAGAAAGAAAAAGAGGAATAATTCAATCATATTAAGAACTTGAGCTTTATCCTAAGGTCACTGAGAAAGCTTTGACAGATTTTAACAGGGAAACGATCTTTTGATACCATTGAATATCATAGGTATTATAATGATCAACCCCTAAGACTGTTGTGTCCAAAGAGAGAGAAGACTGATTTATAGCTCAAGAAACTGAGGAGTTTACATTTGTTACATTAATGTTACTGGTTTTTCAGGCAGCATCACATTTAGAAGAATACAATGAAATGCTTGAATTAATTTTGAAGTGGATTGAAAAAGCTAAAGTCTTGGCTCATGGAACTATTGCATGGAATTCTGCAAGCCAGCTTCGGGAACAATATATTTTGCATCAGGTAACCTTAGGAAAAATAATCTTTAAAAAGTAACCAAGGGCAATTTGATTTAACTGGGTAGACTGACACAACACTTAGAGGGCTGTGATGTAAAATTTTTGGAGCTACCAGATAAAAAGAATGCTAAGGTACCCCTAAGTTGTTCAGTAGTTGGACAGAAAGGAGCTTCTCATGAAATTTCATGAAATTGAATAAATAAATATCCTTGATCTTCCCTAAACCTACCTTACACCAAGACCCAAACCAATCAGCCTTGTAGAACTCATTTTCTGTAGCTTCTTTGAAATAATTATCTGCAGGGATCTGGTGGGAAATTCTTTCCTGTGAAGAGATGCAATGAAGTGTGGAAAGATTCTAGACTCCACACTCAGACTGGTGGGAAAACCAAGCTCCGCCATGCAGGGCTGTGTGATTTGGAGCAGAATGCTTTGCCTCTCTGAATTCTGTCTTCTCATCATTTGTATGAAGACGTAAATAATATTCGTATTTCAGACTTATGAGATCAAGTGGTTTAAGGTACACACGTGCAAACGTCTGCCTGGCACATGCAGGTGCTCAGTGGGAGATCTCCCGCCTCCTCCCTCAGCCCTCACCCAGGCCTGTCATCTGGCCTTCCACAGGAGGTCGGGCAGCCCAGAGCAAGCCATGAGTCCACATCACATGCTGGCTATGTTAGTTCATTTCCTCTGAAGTTACATGAGAAAAATGTTCCTTTTCTGTCAGTCACGTCATCCAGGAAATTATTTCATCCTTTTGTAACTTAAGCTTAAATTAGACACAGATAGTTAATAGGCTAGTTATCATATAATAAAATATAGGGTGACTTTTATAGGAGTTACATGGGTATCGAGTATTCTAGATTTTTGTCTCTTATATTATTTATGTATCCTTGTGGCCTTTAAATGAATCCCTGTTTCCATTCTTGTTTACAGGGTTCTAGATCAAAGCCTCATTTTTCCATTTTTGGAATGCTTTAACAGCTTCTAATTTTTCCCTATATTCACAGTCTTTCTTCTCTGATCAATCTTGCGTATTCTTCCCACAATGTCTTTCTTAAGCAACTCCAATCTTTTGCTTTAAGATATGCTTAGATATGAACAGACAGGACTTAAGTTACCACTGATTTGAAAACAATGAAAAAAAGCCAACATCCTTAGAAGTCTAGAAATGCAAATTTCAGCAAAAAAAGAGAGGAAGAAAGACAAACTTAACTGTCACATTCATACTGTTTCTTTCAAGTTCATATTTAAGGAAGTGAGAGCTCTCAAACATTGCTGGTATCCTGGTAAAATCTCTTTGAAAAATAATTGGCAAAATGTATGGTGATTGTCAAAAATGTTGCTACTCTGGGCCACGTGCGGTGGCTCACACCTGTAATCCCAGCACTTTGGGAGGCCGAGGTGGGTGGATCACAAGGTCAGGAGTTCAAGACCAGCTTGGCCAATATGGTGAAACCCCATCTCTACTAAAAATACAAAAGTTAGCTGGGCATGGTGGTGGGCACCTGTAGTCCCAGCTACTCAGGAATCTGAGGCAGGAGAATCGCTTGAACTCGGGAGGTGGAGGTTGCAGTGAGCCAAGATCATGCCACTGCACTCCAGCCTGGGTGACAGTGAGACTCCATCTCAAAAAAAAAAAAAAAAAAAAAAAAGTTACTACTCTGGCCTGTTGGCTCCTTTTGGACTCCTTTTTATGGCTACAATCCAAAATATAGAAAATATTTTCCACAGTATTAATAACTGTAGTGAAAGTTTAAAGAAAACTTAAATGTGAAATAATTTTTTTCCAAGTAAATATTTGCATATAATAAAATATAATGAAGTCCTTAAGGTTATCATGACTTTTTTTTTCTTTTTTGAGACAGCATTTCGCTCTATCGCCCAGGCTGTAGCTCAGTGGCGTGATCTCAGCTCACTGCAACCTCGTCATCATTGCAGTGAGCCGAGATCACGCCACTGAGCTACAGCCTGGGCAGGTTCAAGTGAATCTTGTCCCTCAGCCTCCTGAATAGCTGGAACTACAGGCACGTGCCATCACACCTGGCTAATTGTTGCATTTTTAGTAGAGATGGGGTTTCGCCATGCTGGCCAGACTGGTCTCAAACTCCTGGCCTCAAGCGATCTACTCGCCTTGGCATCCCCAAATTCTGGGAATACAAGCGTTTGTTTATTTATTCAACAAACATACAGTCCTTTCCCAAACTAGGACTTTGGTTAGGCATTTAGGGTACAAAGGATATTCCCTGTCCCCACCCCAGGGAGTTGATTATTTAGGGGAGGGGACAGATAGAAGGAAACAGTACAATATAGTGTGATTTGTGCAAAGACAGAGGGCCCAGGTGCTGAAGGAGCCCACAGGAGTGTGCTCAACCCAACCGCCCACCAGGGGTTTAAGAGGAAAGTGCAGAAAGGCTTCTCAGGAAAAGGTGATGATGGGCTGAGTCCTGAAAAACATGACAGCCTACTTGTGGAATGTGTTTAGATAAAAATGTATGCTGAAATCCTAGCAGTAAATGTGAGGAGTGTTTTCTGGTGCTGGTACAAGGGATAAGAGATAAGAATAGAGAGATAAGAAAAAGATCCTAAAAGTCTGTTGGGAATTTGGACTTTATCCTGAAGTCACTCTGAAGCCTCTGAAACTGATATTCTGCCTGCAAAGGACAAGTTCAGACTTGTATTTTCAGAAAGCAAATTTAGCAGCCTTTGGAAAACACATTGAGGACAGTAAGACAATATAAAAGATGGTTTCAGTATTTCAGTAGAAGATGACAAGGCCTCTCTTTGGAGATTAGGAGGAGAAGACAAAGTCAAGAGATACTAAGCAGCTGGAATTCTCCAATTTGGAGACTGAATTGGGTGAAAGAGAGGGAGGAGTCAACGATGAAAGACAGGGAGGAGTCAAGGATGATTCCCAGGTTTCTATGACTCGAGCAGTAGGGTGGGTTGACTGCATCATGGGGCACAGTGAAAAAGACACCAGGTCCTGAGATGATCTGGCTCAGAAGCTGAAGAGAGAACGCAGACTGTAGACTCTTTTGGTGAGTTCTCACGTGCCCCCTTTAGGAAGTAAAGCAGCCTGTGTTTATTTAAAAAGAGTGCACTGTGAGAAAAGCCATTGTGTTCTTTGAGAGGCCAAGAGGGGTGGATCACTTGAGGTCAAGAGTTCGAGACCAGCCTGGCCAACATAGTGAAACCCCATTCTCTACTAAAAATACAAAAGTTAGCTGGACGTGGTTGGGAGTGCCTGTAATTCCAGCTGCTCGGATGGCTGAGGCAGGAGAATCGCTTGAACCTGGGAGGCAGCCGTTGCAGTGAGCTTAGATCGCGCCATTGCACTCCAGCCTGGCCACAGAGCAAGACTCCATTTCAAAAAAAAAAAAAAAAAGAAAAGAAAATCCATTGTGTTTTTTCTAATGTCAGAGATGTGAGAACCAGAGTGACTTCGTAGGGGCCTGAATAGGGGCTGGGTAAATGAGGATGACACCTATTGGGTAGCATTCCCACGTCAGGCATTCTTAGTCACAGAATAATTATGGTTAGACAGGTTGATAATGCTAACTGAAGATACCCAGGCCTTAATAGATCTGGGAAATAACAGACTCAGGCAATGTCCTGATATCCTGGTATCTTAAGAACAAAAGCATTCTTGGATCTATATTTAAAAAATAATTTTAACATAGATTCTTATAGAAGACAGCAGTTACACAAAGATCAACAATCTTTTGTCACAGGCCCTTGCAGAGCATATCTCCGCCGTGATTTTTTGCTTTGTTGTCTTATATATAAGCAGACATTGTACCTAAGGTGGATGCATTTCTTTTCCTGCTTTTGGGGACACCCTGCTTTGTCAATGGAGTAGCCGTTCTTTCATCCCTTTACTTTCTTAATAAACTTGCTTTCATTTTACTCTGGATTTGCCCCACATTATTTCTTGCACAAGATTCAAGAACCCGCTTTTGAGGTCTGGATTGGGACCTTTTTCCGGTAACGCTAAGGTCGGGTGAAAAAGAAAGATGGAAAACTATAGTCATGTTATGACCTCAATTATTAATACCTAAAAATGTGCCCAAATGTATCAGCAGTTAACTCTTAAAGTTATTTCTGGGTTATAAAGTGATGAGATATTTTGTTTTCTTCTTTATATTTTCAATATTTTCCAAGTCATATATTTTCTATTTGATATATTTATATAGTAAATATATATTTAAATCATTTAAAATAATTAAATTATTAATAAATATACTTAAATTATACATTTACATTAAATATATATTTAACAGATTATATATATATATCCTTACTATATATATTTATGTGTTAAAAATAAATATATCTTGTATAGGGGCTGGGTGCAGTGAGTCACATCTGTAATCCCAGCACTTTGGGGGACCGAGGCTGGCGGATCACAAGGTCAGGAGTTTGAGACCAGCCTGACCAACATGGAGAAACCCCGTCTCTACTAAAAATACAAAATTAGCTGGGCGTGGCGGCTCATGCCTGTAATCCCAGCTACTCGGGAAGCTGAGGCAGGAGAATCGCTTGAACCCAGGAGATGCAGGTTGCAGTGAGCCGAGATCACGCCATTGCACTCCAGCCTGGGCAACAGGAGCAAAACTCCGTCTCAGAAAAAAAAAAAAAAAGATAAATATATCTTGTATAAATACATATCATATATCATATACAGATAAATATTTATCTGTTAAATATATATTTATAAACATTTATTGTGAGAAAAGAAAGTACTTCATTAAAAAAAGTCTATCGCCGGCTGTGCGCAGTGGCTCACGCCTGTAATCCCAGCATTTTGGGAGGCCAAGGCCTGCGGATCACGAGGTCAGGAGATCGAGACCATCCTGGCTAACACGATGAAACCCCGTCTCTGCTAAAAAATACAAAAAATTAGCCAGGCGTGGTGGCGGGCACCTGGGTGCGTGTAGTCCCAGCTGCTCGGGGGGCTGAGGCAGGAGAATGGTGTGAACCCGGGAGGCGGAGCTTGCAGAGAGCTGAGATTGCGCCACTGCACTCCAGCCTGGGCGAAAGAGCGAGACTCCGTCTCAAAAAAGAAATAAATAAATAGTCTATTGCCTAAGAATAATATCCTATTCCTCATTTCTCCTCTTTACACATTACACACCCCACTAACTGTGTGTTCTAGATTCACGCATCTTTGTACCTATGCATATGCTGTTCTCTCTGTCTGAAATGTCTTTCCTCTTCCCCCTCATCTGTCAGATCCCAAAAGTCCTTCTGACTGGGCTCAGATGTGATTCTTCCCGGAGACCTTCTCCCAATCTTCCCCAAGTTGCAGTCATCTCTTCACACTGGCTTCTCTTTCGTTCTACTTTTCATAGACTGTACATTGAATGGTTACTTATCCATTGTATTTCTGATAGACCCAGTAGATGATACCACTCTGAATGATCAGGGATGTTTTTGCTTCTCTTGATAGTTATTGCACGTATCTTCTACCCCTTTGTCTCACTTAAAGCAAGTGAGCCAAGGTTTTTGCTTGTAATGCTCTTGTTCTTATTTTCATTTCTTAGACAAATATGAACTTCAGTCGTATAGAATATGAGAGCTGAAAAGTGATTCTTTAGTTTAAATATGAGAAAATGGAGACCCAGAGATACAAATAAGACACCTAGTATGTTTGGGTTTTTCACTGCTAGAATTCCTATGTCCTGTTCTCACGAGGGGGCAGCTTGGGCTTGACCGAGCAGGAGCTTCATGGTCCCACACGTAGTATGACATGTGACCTCTGCACATTGTTTACAGTTCCTAAACTGTGATTTCTTTTTCTGTGAAATAGTTATAATAGTAAGTGGCTACCAAGTAGAAAGTGGTCATGGGGGGTGAAGGTTAAACACAATAACGGACACACAGAACTTACACAGGGCATTTTATGCCAAGCTATATTGAATATCTATATCCCTCTACCTGCCCGTCAATGTCATGAATATTGACAATTCACTCTAGACCCTGCTAGAAGAATCCAAAGAAATTGACAGTGAGCTGGAAGCAATGACTGAGAAATTACAGTACCTCACTAGCGTGTACTGTACAGAAAAAATGTCTCAGCAAGTGGCAGAACTGGGACGGGAGACTGAGGAGTTGCGACAGATGATCAAAATTCGTTTGCAGAACCTCCAAGATGCAGCTAAGGTAAAAAAAGAAAAAAAAAAGAAACAGAAAAAAATGTCTATCATTGAAAGAAAATGGCAATGCCACTATGGAAATAGTGCTCACCTGTGATGTGGTTTCTTGACTGTGATGTTATTCTTCCCCTATGGCTTTGAACTTCAAGTACAATACATTGATATTGACTCTCTAGGATATGAAAAAATTTGAAGCAGAGTTGAAAAAGTTACAAGCTGCCTTGGAGCAAGCCCAGGCAACACTGACTTCTCCAGAAGTTGGACGTCTCAGTCTCAAGGAGCAGCTCTCTCATCGGCAGGTAAGCCAAACTAACTTGGAGTAAATAGGGACAGGGACCTATATTTTTAAAAGAGGATAGTAAGGAAAAATGCCTCCTAAACTCAACACTGTTTTATTTTTTTTAATTTATTTTTAAATAGAGACAGGGTATCCCTATGTTGGCCAGGCTGGTCTCGAACTCCTGAACTCATGTGGTCCACCCACCTCAGCCTCTCAAAGTGCTGGGGTTACAGACGTGAACCACTGTGTCCAGCCCCTAAACTCAACACTGTTTTAAACATTTTTTTTTTTTTGCAAAATGTTTATAACTTGCAACGTAACTATAATTTAGTGCCTTTTGCTTATGAAATAAATGATTTAAATATTAAATTTTTGAACTATGAAATTGCATTTTCAGCATTTGTTGTCTGAGATGGAGTCACTGAAGCCGAAGGTGCAAGCAGTGCAGCTCTGCCAGAGTGCCCTCCGGATCCCCGAGGATGTGGTTGCCAGCTTACCTCTCTGTCATGCTGCTCTGCGGCTGCAGGAAGAGGCCAGCCGGCTGCAGCACACCGCCATCCAGCAGTGTAACATCATGCAGGCAGGTGCAGGGTACCCACACCAGTAGAGCAATTGCTGATGAATCATGGGCTTCTTTTCTTAGCATTGTGTGGGCTCAGCCATCAAAACACATCCAGGGTGTTGAATCTGACAGGCTGTTGTGGTTTTATAAAATAAGGAGATTAAAATGCTGTCATTTGGATCACCCACAAAAGCCTGGGGAATGCTATATAAAAAATATCCTTGGTGAAAATTATCTTTTAGTGATATTTTTAAATAAATAACTTGTAAAGATTAATTTTCTATGCAATTACATGTTTTTATCTCTTATTATTCACCTGAGAATCATCTACAAACTGATAATACAGGTTTACTGTTATCTTGTGTTACAGAGTTTTTTTCATATTTCAGCTTATTAAAGCATTAAATCCATTTTCTTTTGAGTGCCTAAAAAAATGCACTCAAGTATAATTCTTAGTCTCTTTGCCTAGTAAGAGAAAATCATTTACCAGGAAGAAATGACAGTGTTTACCTTATGTCTCCCTTCAACTAATAATTCTTGCTTTATCCAAAAATTGTATCAATAGCATCTCACTAAAATCACTAGTGGCTCATTTGGTCAACTACCCTTTCCTCCCTGTTATCTTGTAATTTGTTGGACAGAAAATTCCTGAGGCTAAAAGTCATTCATACTTCATATGTGTATATACTTTTGTTTGGTAGAGATGGGGGTGTCACCATGTTGCCCAGGCTGTATTGAACTCCTGGGCTCACATGATCCAGCCACCTTGGCCTCCAAAAGTGCTGAGATTACAGGCTTGAGCCACTGCGCCCAGCCCATAATTCGTATTTTTATTCCCTACCGTAGCACTTAGATAAGTGTCTTACCTATATATTCAGTATTTGTTAGATGGAAAAATGAAATAATGTTTCCCACACTGCTTCACCCTTTCTGACCGTCATGTTCCATCTTCAGGACGATATCAGTAGGGAAAAGAGAGAGAAAGAATCCTAACCACTTAACTATTTTGATTCCATCAATAATTTTGCTACAACATTTTAGAGAGAAAGTTCTGAAATATCTACATAAAGTGAGGAATTCAAACCATCTAGGAATTTTACCCATCATTTCTTTATTCCCTACCTGTACAGGTAAATAGGAGTTAAACTACAGAATCACTTACCTAGTTATTGGTAGAGAAAAAAAACTGTCTATCTTTCTGTTTTTTTTTTTTTTCAAAGGAAGCTGTGGTACAATATGAACAATATGAGCAAGAAATGAAACATCTCCAGCAACTGATAGAAGGAGCTCACAGAGAGATTGAGGATAAACCTGTTGCCACCAGTAACATACAGGAGCTGCAGGCTCAGATTTCTCGGCATGAGGTGAGAGGAATGTAGGCGAAATACCGAGGGCAGGAAACTGGCTTGATTAGAGTATATGTTTGGTTTCTAGAGAATGGAAGAGAACAGTTTCCCCTGTCCTGCACTTAATGTGTTCAACTCTTGAGAGGCCTCTTTGGCTATCTAAGCATTGTGAGTGCCGTTTTTGTTGATTCAGTAACACGTGCGTTCCCCTTGATTCCATAACCTCTCTACACGTTGTTCGTATTATATCCTTTGGGACCCACTGATTATCATCTCCTGCACCCAGAATTCTCACAGTTAATACACTAAAACACAGTCCATACCCTGTTTTTAATGCCTACGAGAAACAGCAACGCTTAAAGCTTTGCTGCATTGATCTCTGTCTTGGTGGCTCACTCCTGTAATCCCAGCACTTTGGGAGGCCAAGATGGGTGGATCATGAGGTCAGGAGATGGAGACCATCCTGGACAACATGGTGAAACCCCGTCTCTACTAAAAATACAAAAATTAGCTGGGTGTGGTGGCATGCGCCTGTAATCCCAGCTACTTCGGAGGTTGAGGCAGGAGAAGCACTTGAACCCAGGATGCAGAGGTTGCAGTGAGCCAAGATCGCGCCACTGCACTCCAACCTGGCGACAGAGTGAGACTCAGTCTCAAACAAACAAACAAACAAGACTTAATATTTTAAACATTTTCTTCTTTGACATATTAGTCATTTCAGTTCCTCTCCCCAAAATCAGAGGATGGTCCAGGTTGTTTACTTTGCTAATTTTCAGATTGGGCCAGCTAACATGTGCCTCGTTTTCAAATGTTCTTTCCTTGTTCCTTTGGCATCATTATGACCTTAGGACTTGACCACTCCTTGTGCAGTCCCTGTCCCAGACATCATAGTCCTTGAGTGATTGAGCTTAGCAGGGAATTTCCTTTCCTGACCTGTCAATTCCATATAGGTCAAATTCACTCTTTCCCTTGGGGGCTGGTTCATAGCACTGTGAATTTTGGTAAATAACTGGGAGAAGGTTGTCTTATTTTTTCTGTACTAAGGATAGAGTATATGGAATATATCCTTCCATATGCTCTATTTTAACTTTGTCATGAGAAAAATGAACAATTTTTCCAAACCACTCACATTGAGATTCTCAAAAGATTCAAGGTATTGCTTTGTAAGGATGAAAAATCTCACCCTCTTCTCCAAATGCAATTAATTATTTAATTTCTTGACATCTACAAACATTAATAATTTTCATTTATATATGACTTACAAAATCATTTAAATATCCCATCTACATTTACTCCAACAACTGTAGACATCATCTATGTTAATGATTTTTCTTACACAATGGTTAAATGAAAGTGTTATGTAGATTTTTGAAACCACTGTTTATGTAGGTCTATATGTTAGACTATATATTACATATTTATTTTGAAACGATTTTTAATCCCATCTAGGAAGATCCAAAATTTTGTTGTAACAACTCTTCTATCATGGTACAGATATTTTTAAAATCTTTTCTGGAGTAATAATTGTTATTACTACTAAACTTTTTTGTTGTACGGTTTTTCTTCCCCAAGAAACTTGTGCTTTTTTTTTTTTTTTTTTTTTGAGACACAGTCTTGCTGTATCATCCAAGCTAGAGTGCAGTGGCAAGATCATGGCTCACAGTGGGATCATGGCTTATTGCAGTCTGTACCTACTGGGTTCAGGCAGTCCTCCCACCTCAGCCTCCAAGTATTTGGGACTACGAGCATGTACCACTACCTCAGGCTAGTTTTTGCATTTTTTTTTTTTGTAGAGTAGAGACAGAGTTTCGCCATGTTATCCAGGTTGGTCTCAAACTCCTGGGCTCAAGTGATATGCCTGCCTCAGCCTCCCAAAGTGCTAGAATAAAAGATATGAGTCACCATGCCCAGCCAGCTTTATGTTTTTTAAAGTAACTTACAAAATTTTACATCACTTTTTTATACCAACTCTATGAGGTATTTATTTATTTATTTATTTATTTATTTATTTATTTATTTTTTAGATGGAGTCTCGCTCTGTTGCCCAGGCTGGAGTGCAGTGGTGCAATCTTGGCCCACTGCAACTTCCACCTCCTGGGTTCAGGCGATTCTCCTGCCTCAGGCTCCCGAGTAGCTGGGATTACAGGCGCACATCACCATGCCCTGATAATTTTTGTATTTTTAGTAGAGACGGGGTTTCACCACGTTGGCCAGGCTGGTATTGAACTCCTGACCTCAAGTGATCCATCTACCTTGGCCTCCCAAAGTGTTGGGATTGCAGGAGTGAGCCACCACGACTGGCCGGGGTAAGGATTTTTTTAAAATCATCTTTATTTTACTGACAAAAAAACTGAACTTAGAAAAAATGACTTCCTGAGCTCCTAAATCTAGTAACTGATTGAAATTGGACTCAGTCTCAGTATCTTTGTGTCCAAATTCCGTGATTTTTCTTCCACTGTAACAGAAACTATCTGGGCTACTTAATTAAACAAAAGAGAATAATGAAGTCCCAGGAAAATAAATGAGTCCCCCAAGGTCACAGAGTGAACTCAGCTCAGTCAGCAGTGGACTATGTCTTCCTGACTCTTGGTCCAGTGAGCTGTTTATTTTGTCACATTTTCTTCCACAGTTCTGAACATCCATGTTATGTTTGTTAGTTTTAAACCAACTGTGACTTAGAACACATTTTCATGTAAAAAATGATGCAGTCCTGTGTGAGCTTCATTGTATGTATAAAACAAACACAGGAAGGAAAGTGCTGAGTGGAGAAAGCTTAACTGATGATAACATACAAATTGGGAAGAGGGTTTCTGCCTGTATTTTCTGTCTTGTTTTAATTGAATCTCAATCTTATGGTGAATCTAGTTTTCTTACAAATAACTTTAAAAATAACTGATCATTTATTTATGCCTAAGGAATTCAAACTTTTAAAAATAATTTTTCGGCCAGGTGTGGTGGCTCACACTTGTAATCCCAGTACTTTTCGGAGGCCAAGGCGGGCAGATCACAAGGTCAGGAGTTTGAGACCAGCCTGGCCAATATGGTGAAACCCCGTCTCTACTAAAAATACAAAAATTAGCCTGGGTGGTGACGGGTGTCTGTAGTCTCAGCTACTCGGGAGGCTGAGACAGGAGAATCGCTTGAACCTGGGAGGTGGAGGTTGCAGTGAGCCAAGATTGTGTCACTGCACTCCAGCCTGGGCAACAGAGAGAGACTCTGTCTCAAAAAATAATAATAATAATACTTTTTCAAAAGTTGCATTTAATTTGAAAAAAATCATCCTGCCACTTTTAAATCATAGGAGAGGATACTCACACCTCTTTTCTTTCCGCCTGATGCGGAAAGCCTGCTCATGAATACCAGAGACTGGCCACAGAGGGCTGCTTGTCTTCTAGCGGCCACTCTACCTGAAATTCCTACCTTTATAAACATTTTCAGAAATTTTATAAAGAGAATGGGTAACATTAAACCAAGTGTTCCATTTTATTTTAGTGGATTTGACCACAGCTTGAATAACCAACCCTCAAAGGTAATGAGATTACAAGAGGTTTACACTTACAGAAGCAAGTCGTAGAGTACTATTTCTCAGTGGAAGTCACGTGCATTGGAGTCACATGGGCTAATTATGAAGTGCAGACTGTCATACACCTGGTAAATCAGAACCTTTGGAAGTGGTGACCAGAGTTGCATTTTTTAAAGAAACAATCCAAATGAGTTTTGTACACAATAAGGTTGAGAATTGCAGCTTAAGAAATGGTCACTTGCTGTCAGTGTGGGCACATCTTTGCAGGATACTGTAGCAGGGAGCTGTGCCCAGCCATGTGATTACAAAGGGTGGAAGGCCTAATACTAACTCTGTCTACTTCATAAAGATTCCTCAAATTGCCGGGCATGGTGGCTCACGCCTGTAATCTCAGCACTTTGGGAGGCCAAGGCAGGCAAATCACTTGAGATCAGGAGTTCGAGACCAGCTTGGCCAACATGTCCCTACTAAAAATACAAAAATTAGCTGGGCATGGTGGCGCGTGCCTATAATTCCAGCTACTTGGGAGGCTGAGGCAAGAGAATGGCTTGAACCCCGGAGATGGAGGTTGCAGTGAGCCGAGATTGCGCCACTGCACTCCAGCCTGGGTGACAGAGCGAGACTCCATCTCAAAAATAAAATAAAATAAAATAATAAAAAAGATTCCTTCAATTTTTGTATAATGGCAAACCATTGTGCGAAAGCTTGGTGACTTGAAATTCAAGGAGTCCAGTAATCTGCTAGAGCTCTTTTCTAGTATTAACTAGTTGCAGTAAATGTCATTTATTGAGTACCCACGTGCTAGCCACTAGACAAGATATAGTAAATAGCTATTCAATCACTGTTTTTAAAAATCCTATTAGGTTTAATTAACTGCATCCCCAGAGGTAAAGAAGCAATGATGTCTACTTTTTAAATCCTTGTTTTAAAAATTCCTATACTATTAGGAGTCAAGAAGACTGACTGCCTGCTGGCTGAGTTCTGCTGGACTGTTTTTTGCTCCACTCGGCTTCAGTTGGGCAGGAAGAAACAAACAAAACAACAATAATAACAAAATGTGTGTGTGTGTGTGTGTGTGTGCATGTGCACACGTGTTTTGCATACAGTCAGCCCTCCATATCCATAAGTTCTGCATCCATGAATTCAACCAATCATGGATGGAAAATATTTGAGGAGCAAAAAGGATGGTTGCATCTCTGCATGTTGATCTTCTTTTCTTGTCATTATTCCCTAAATTGTACAGTATAACACCTATTTATAATGCATAGCATCTACATTGTATTAGGTATTATTAGTAATCTAGAGATGATTTAAAGTATTTGGGAAGATGTGCATAGGTTATATGCAAATACTATGCCATTTTACATCAGAAACTGGAATATCTGTGAATTTTGTATCTAAGAGGGTTCCTAGAACCAACGCCCCTCAGTTACTGAGGGATGACTATGTGTACATATGTGTGTGTGCATGTGTATATGTGTGTGTATATATATGAATGTATGTGTATGTATGTACACAATTATTTTAAAGACATTACAATTTAATATTTTTGTCACAAAATGTGTTCTTTTTTTTTTTTTTGAGACAGAGTCTCACTCTGTTGCCCAGGCTGGAGTACAGTGGCACAATCTTGGCTCACTGCAACCTCCATCTCCCGGGTTCAAGCAATTTCTGGCTAATTTTTGTATTTTTAGTAGAGACAGGGTTTCACCATGTTGGCCAGGCTGGTCTTGAACTCCTGATCTCAAGTGATCCCCTCGTCTCAGCCTCACAAAGTGCTAGGATTACAGGCATGAGCCACTGCACCCGGCCCACAAAATGTGTTCTATGTGCACAATAAATGACAGCCTCTGAAACAAAGAAGCCAAAAAAAAAAAAAAAAAAAGAATAATAGTTTTGTACTTTTAGGAATCATGTTTTGAAATATGTATTTTCGTTTTTTAAAGATGCAATAAAGTATAATTTTAATATTTGATACTTAAAATATTTAAGCAAGAAAGTAAAACTTTAATATTTTAGAATTACCATACTCCTAAAATGAATCTATAGTTACCTTTTTAAGGGTTATGTGCTATCCAGATTATATTTCCAATAAGCTCTTAATAAAATATTTAAAACCTCTATCTCTCATAATATATTTTTTCATTCTTGTCTGCTCAAAAACAAAAACAAAAAAACAATTATTTTTTCAAAAGCAAGTGAAATTAAAAGACACTAAATCCGAATTGCATTTCAAGTTTAAAGTTCTAGTTAAAGCCTCAGCAACATTTGAGACATGATGAAGTGAGCAAGAAAAAATTTGATGAATATACAAAATTTTTTTGGGGGGTCAATCTGCATTAAAAATTGGGATTTCCATATGCAATATCTAGCCTATCTAAAAAAAATTCTTAGAGACATAGGAACAGACAGGCTATTGAGTATGTGACCCTATGTAAAATAAATGACTGTCATCTCTGTTGAATGTACTCAGTAGGGTAAGAGCTGAGCCTTGCATTTTTTTTGGTGTGGTTTTAGCCATCACATGACCTAATTTCCATGGCAGGAACCATCTGGTAAATTTCAGATGCTTTCTGCTTTTAAAGAGAGTTGTCAGTTCCTAATGTTGCGGAAGTTCATGATTCCATATGGGGCCTCTCGCGATTAGAAACCACTCATTCGGCCTCATCCCCTCATTTCTCCTTTTGTACCGACGCGGGGACGCGGGCTCGGGCACTTTGGCTGTGCCTGCGCCGCGCCGCGCAGCCTGCGGTCTGGCTCGGTAGCGAGATGCAGGAGGACTCGCCGCCTACACATCCTGCCTCCCGGGCCCGCGCGGCTCTGCGCGCTCATTGGCTCGCCCTGCAGGAAGATGAACGCTACTACTTCTGTTTCCTTTTGATGCTGCTCTGACACCCCGGTGGGGGAAATGTTTCCTCAGGAGCTGGCGCAGAAAATTAAGGGCTACCAGGAGCAGATCGCTTCTTTGAATTCCAAGTGCAAGATGCTGACGATGAAAGCCAAGCACGCCACCATGCTGCTGACGGTGACCGAGGTCGAGGGGCTGGCGGAAGGGACAGAGGACCTGGATGGGGAGCTCCTCCCCACGCCTTCGGCCCACCCCTCTGTGGTCATGGTAAGGATCCAGTGGGTCCCCGCGGCTTTGCTCTTTGACTGGAGCCTGGCGAGTGGCTCCATGTTCCCTCTCCGTGGCTGATTTCAGGGACCAGCCTTCGATCTTGCAGATTCAGAGGGAGGAACAGATTCCTTAAGTCTCTTTGACTACCGTTGGGCCGGGCCAATCTTTGACACTGTAAACAATGACAGTTAAAATGAAACTATGTGCTCGAGACAGCTGAATTACTTAACATGTCAGAGGTCTACCCTGTATTTGTTTATAATTTCGCAATAATACTGAGAGGCTCTGAGCTTTAAACAATAATTTACTTGCACAGTGTTTTAGTTGTCTGGGGGATGGGAAATTCATGGCATATATATTTAGTTGTGGTCTCCACGCTAACTAGCTAACTACATATGTGCATGTACTCTACTGTATAAATGTGTAATACAATTTAGAAGAACAGCTATTGTTAGAAAAATATGAAAACAGACCGTCTAAAGCTTGGCTTTGGATTAAAATAAATCAACTTTGTTATTTTCTATTCTGCACCACTATTTTCCTATACACTTGCCATCTAAAATGCATTGAGTATTTTGGTGACTATAATGTTTCCCAGTGCTGTGTGTTTTCCCTTATATGTGCTGTGCCTCAGGTAATGAGTAACCATACCTGAGCCCATTTGGCAATAACAGTACTTTGGGTGCATTTATCTTCCTACCATATTTGAAACTTGAGATGTCCACAAAAGACCAAGCTTTATTTCACAGACCTTTTCTCATTTGTATGATTCGTGATTTTTCCAGTTATTTATAAAGCCACAAACTCTCCAAAGAAAGGAAAATAATGAAGTATTTAATCAACAACAAAACTTCAATGTCATATGCACCCCCATCCCTGATTGTTTTACAAATGATTACTAGCATCATATTCTCTTGAAGACAGAACTTTTAAATACTAACACAGGATTAATATGTGAATTCGGGTCCCAGTAATTTTAACCTTCGTTTTATAATTAACTCTGTTTTGGCCTGTGCCTGAACAGGACTTATGTTAACATAGCTAATTGATTTTCATGTCCTTTGGGCTACATTTTACGTGGCAGATGACTGCAGGTCGCTGTCACACTTTGCTGTCACCGGTCACTGAGGAGTCTGGGGAGGAGGGAACCAACAGTGAGATTTCCTCTCCACCTGCCTGTCGCTCCCCTTCACCTGTGGCTAATACAGATGCTTCTGTTAACCAGGTACCTCCCAGTTGGCATTCCTCTAGCAATAATCTCTGGGCAGATGCAGGACTCCATTCTCTGTTTCCATTAGATCGTGGGTATGAATCTCAGACTTTGTTGCATTTGGTTCCAGGGACACACTATTAGGTGTTATAGTTGCACAAACTATGATTGTCATGTGTCTCAGTATGTCATCTCCTCTCCTGGGCTACAGAAAGTGGGATGAACAAAAATTAGGTCATGGGAATGATAGCCCAGAAGGCTCTGTTTTAAGACATTATGGCCTTAGTTTCCAGCAATCATCTGGAATGGGGTTCTGCATCCAACAGAAAATAAAAGATGTGTGTCACCATTGTAAAATAACGTGATTCGATGGCTTTATAACATGCATTGAAAATAGTGCTGGCATTTACCAGCTCAGATTTTGAAGACAGGAAACTTCCATTTATTATGTCAGACTTCTTCTTTATTTGCAACTTGTGTACCAATGTAAGGAATGTCTGCCATATTTATACTAGAATGCCTACTAGATTTGAGTGTTTAACTTATCTTTCAATAATCTTAAATTTTATTTTCTATAAAATGGGGAAAATAAAATAACCATTTAGTTATAAGAAGCCTTTTACCATGTATTAAATGTAGATAATACTAAATTAAATGTCAAAAAGCTTTTATGTCAAATGTTAGATAGAAATCAAAAATATGCCTTTATAGTAACCAAAGACTTTTAATGCATGTTAAGTAATACTTTATTTTTTAGTGAAGACAACTAAAAAATGTAAACTATTCTATGAAATTACATTTTTTCAAAGAAGTTGATATGTATTATTAAGGGAGAAGCATTAAACAGAGCAAATGTTTTATAACCTGTATTATAATTCAATTATATTACTTTTATTTTAAAGCAGAAGCATTCAGACTGTCATAGGATTTCTGTGATAAAGAGAATCCCCCCTCATTAAAAAAAAAAAGGAACATCAAGGTGATGAAACCTTTAGTTAATACACTTACACTGTTCTCTTGGTAAAAATCAGGATAGCTCTAGGGAAATTATCAACTCATCCATTTGTCAAGTACATTCTGACACCTGCTCAGCGTGAAACCTTGTGTTGGTTCCTGAGGATGCAGCTGAGAAGGAGTCAGCATGGCCCTACCTGCAAGGCCCTGACAGTCTAGAGAGAAAGGCAGACATGGGACAGATAATAACAATGTGATCAGAGGAAACTAAAAACAGCAACATAAAAGGAGAAGTTCAGGGAGCCGTGGGGAATTTGGGAAAGTGTTTTTCAAATTCTCATTTTAAAATATGTATTACTCATTCTTTGATGATTTGTCCTTCCCTATGGTTACAGATGTTATTACAGAAATTAAGCTATAGTCGGCTGATTATTATATAGAAAAAATTGTTCTATTTAATATGGTTTAGGTTCTCAAATTTTTCAAACTGAATAATAAATACTTATTTGAGACTTTGTGGAAAAAATATACCTTTTCTAAAACTGTAAATCTCCATGCTACTTCTTGTAAAGTGTCAAAGGATACATGAAAGTGCCCTAAAAATGATGAAACATGCAAATATTTCTATTATTATTTCTTGACATTAACCACAAAGCTTCATCAGGTCCTAAAACTCAGTGAGATTAGGCTTTGTTTTAATTCTTCCCCTCTCCCCTAGTCACAGGAAAACATCAATTAAATTGCATTGTTAATCTAAAATACTTACATGTGATGCTGCAAAGTAGGGGAAAATGCCTTTACTTAGATTAAGACACACAGCTTTACTCTGAGGGAGCTGTTAAAAAGGAAATGTATTATGCTTGGTGTTCATCAAACAAATCAACCCCATCATTACGGCCACATGTTATTTTTGTATAGTAATGTCAGTTAGAAGACAATGAAAAAATATGACACCATGACCGGTGATGCACTGGATTTATAAAATTGTCTCTTGAAACTGAGGAGGACATGTAGGATCCCCTTAAGTTTCAGTTTTCAGATTAAAAACCCTGAGTTTTGTGCACAGAATGTGTACAGCTGTTTCAGGGAGCAGCCAAATAGAACTGCTTTATAAAATCACAGTTGTTAAAAAAAAAAAAGGTTTTGTGCCTGCTGTTCCTGCAAGTAGATCTCCGTTATATAACTACCTGGTCCCACTCACAGTGTATTCTGTCTCTGACAGTAGCTATTAGCTAAAATGTAATAACAGTTTAGCTTACTTGAAGGTAGAAATACCGAGGCATTCCTAGATTTTGCTGTAGGCTTCTTGATTCCCCTTAGAAGCAAGCCAAGGCTTAGACTCTGCAGAAGAGTTGAGGGAGGAATACATTTGAAAAGAGGGAGCAAGAGTGTAATGGGAAAATCATTGGCCTTCAAGTTAAAAGCTCACACTGAGTTGCAGCTCTTTCTCCTCTAAGCTGAGTGCACCTGGGAAGTCCCTTGATACCCTCATTTGTAAGTGAGAAGCAATACTACTTAATTCACAGCATTGTGAAAATGAAATGTGACATGAATCGTGAAAGTGCTTTTTAAACTAGAAAATACTGATCAAATAGTAGCTACAGTTGTCCAAATTTATTTCCTTAGGAATCTACTCATAAGTCTTATAACTTAGGCACATAAGCAATGAGAAACGTATTTGTAACAGTGACTCCTCACTACATCAAGTATTGACTTTAGTAGTTATTTATAGTACTGAGTGATTTATTTTAATTCAATTTATGTATGTACCTCAAATAAATAGAAATTATTCATCTATAAAAGGTGACATATTTTCAAATCCTTTTAAGAAACCAGGAGTTGTCATTCATATCTGTAGGCATGAGCCACGTGCGCGCGCACACACACACACACACACACACACACACACACACACACACAGAGTGAGACTGCCAGAAAAAAATTATTTGTAATAAATTTATTTTATTCTAGCTCTTTTGGGAGCCTTCTGTATTTATAATAGAGTATCTAATGTAAAATGTTTACACCATTTAAAGGCATTCCTGCTTTTCCTTATGGACAGTAATAGTATTACTTTACATGTATATAAAATAATAGAATTTATATAAGTGCATTTACAAGCATGATTTATTATGAACATATAGGCCTGCCTGTTATTTGCCAAACACTCCACAATGTGCTCAGGATGAAGACGAAAAGCAGTGACCCAGACAGCCCTTAGGGAGCTTACAGTGTGTGTGAGGACAGGCAAATGCTTACAAGAGAAGGTGGCAGGTAGTGTGGCCGAGGGCAGTACAGTGTTGTGGGAGGGCCTAGAGAAGGCACCTAAACTGGCTGGAGTCAGGCAGAGGTCAAGGATGGCCCCCTTTAGTTTTAAGGGAGGAGCACAGTTAGGCAGTTGGAGTGCAGTTGGGTCGTGTGAGATGAAGATTTTCAGGCAGAAGAAACCACCTGTTGGAAGCTGTGGAGGCGGGAAGCAAAATGGCCCATCCAGGCAACTGCAAATAGTTTCAGTGTAATTGGAGAAACATTGGAGGAGGAGGAGAGGGGGAAATGAGACTGAGAGGGATATGGGAACCACATCATGGAGGCCCTGAATGCCACAGGAAGGAATTTCAGCTTCCTCCAGAAGCTAATATTTAACCACTGAGGGAATTTAATGAGAAGCTGTGTACAGAACTGATACTTCTGGATCAATGTGGACAGGAGAATAGAAGTGTGCAAATTCAGAGCCAGGGGAGCTGTTAGAAACAGAAGTTACACAGTCTCATGCTTGGTCCACCCTGGTGATAAAAATGAGAGAAACAGGCCAGGAGGGACTACAGAGGCCAGGAGGGACTACAGAGGCCTGGACAGCTCCTGCTCCACATAAATGAGGCAATGTCTCCTCTGTTAGCATTACTTTAACAAAGACACAGGGCCCAGTGTTACCATACCTTGTGGTTTGCAAAACAAGCTACGAATGTGAATTTTAATGAAATCTCTCTATCTTCATGAAGAGAGATTTTAAACAATTTAAAACATTGTATAAGCCACACTAAATATGTGCAGGTCAGAGGCAGCCCACAGGCTGCCAGTTTGCAACCTTTGAGTTAGGAAGCTGTTACTGTAATGAGAACTTGAACCAAGGCTGTGGCCAGGATATGCATCGTTAGCACTCCATCCTCCCATAAGCAGTGGATGTTAAGGGGGAGGAGAAATCAGGAATAAATCCCAAGTTTATAGCTTAGGTGAGAAGACATTCCATTTATTGCAAGATGGATAATACTTCATTGTTTTTTCCTAAATTGGTTCCTTTTGGAAATGTTGACTTTGAAGAGCCTACAGGATATGCATGAACATCTGGATATGTGAGTCTGGAGCTTATCAATTCACCAATATTGGCGAGTGAGTGGAAAACAAACTATAAAAGAGAAAGAGTGAATGACTAGAAAGCTGGGAGGAGAACAGAGAGATTTTTTAGAAAGTGTTTCCGGAAAGGGTTTGTCAGTGCTATTGAATGCTAGAGGTCTGGCAAGGGAAGGGATGAAAATTCATCATTTTTTGTCAAAGAGAAGAAGCTGGTGAGAGCAAGCTCTGCAGTCATCAGGATCAAAGTCCAAACTGGAATTTAGAAGTGGATCGAGGGTGAGAAAGTCCCATGAAAATCACCCTTTCAGAAGTTGGATTATGAAATGAAAGGGAGAAAACAAAGAAATTAGGATGGAGCCTGTGTGTGCAAGTGCATTCACGTGTGACGATCCGTCACATTGTGAACTGTGGACTTTTTAGAAAATGTGATATCCTTCAAGAAAACAAATAAAAGAAACAGTGCGTGCAGGTGTTTTTGGATGGAAGAGAGAAAGTCAACAAAGCCAGAGAGGATGTTAATAGACCAAGATCCTTGAAAAAGCAGTTTATGGGATTCTCAGAGTCTGTGGGAGAGTCAGGTTTAAGCAGTGAAACTGGAAAGCATAAGATAAGGGTGAGTGTGAATATACATAGACTTTTGAAAATTTGAGAAGTTGCAGTATCTCCTTGACAGCTTGGATTGCATGTGTATGTGTGTGTGTGCGTGTTTGTGTGTGTATGTGTGTGTGTGTGTGTCAGTAACACACACACATGCATAAATGACTCTGGATTGAGTCATGTTTGCGGGTTTCCAAGTGGATGAAGTAAAGGTTAAAAGAGCAAGAGAAACAAGAGTCTTGGCAAGAAAGGGGTTTAAGTAACTTCAGACATAACTACAAGTCCAGCTGAGCGATGACAGCATACAAGGGTGTGGAGGACTGAAGTGGGGTGGGAGTGAGTGAGGATCAATGGATCTAAAGCTATTAAGGACATGAAGAGTAATCCACTCAAGACAGTGACAGGGTTAGGAATAAAGAGGAAGCAGTCTCCATGTTCCAATATCATCAATAAATGTTGGGGACTCATCTGGAGACCTCAGGAACAACAACAAAATGGGTAGAAGCTGTCATAGTCACTCAAATATTATTTCATATAATCCTCAATCCCACCCAAGATTGGACCAATGAGTGAACCAGTGTGCAAGATATAAGTTATTTGCTCCAATTATATAGCTACACAAGAGGAGAATTTCGCTAGAATCTCAGCTGTCCCAGTCTGAATTCATTCTACCGCATGACACTGCTACATTTGTTTCTCAGACGGCTGGAGCCTTCTTCAATACTTTTTACCAATACATGATTCTCAATAAGACTCAGGTATTTTAAGCTGACATAATTCCCTTCAACAGTACAACTGCAAAAGCAATGAACTTTATAATAGCAATTACTCCCCCAATTAAATTTCTACTGAAATACAGATAAATAACCATAGAAACAGTTAAAAACCATCTTTACTATATCTCTTGATATATCTTTACTATATCTCTTGATATAGTAAATTTTATCAGTACAAATAAAATATGTAATGTTATAATAGGTTTAAAAAATTTGAAAGCATGATATTTCATCATTCACTTTGTTTTTTTTGTGTGTATACTTTTAGGAAATGCATAGAAAACCTTTATATTATTTGTTTCTTAGAGTAGTGGTAACTTCCCCATTACATTTTTCTTATTTAATATCAAAATATTTAAATTAATTCAGCAAATGATGAACCCACAGATAGTGAAGATCTGGCTGCATCTGTAGATTTAATTTTATTTAAGTCAAGTAGTTTTTAAATTATTTAAAACTTTAATGAATACATTCGACAACATTTTAGGAACTAGATCATTAAGATTCTCTTTTTTTGCTATTCTAATCAACCTTTAAATACATGTGTACTGCTTAAATCCTTTGTATTTCCATTTAACAAACATAGAATAAGATTGAGTTTTGGCAACTTGAAATATTGGTAAAGTTGTTTTTTGATATATATAAACCAAAATTCTGAAACAATTACAGTGTGCTTTGATACAGTCTTTACATTTTTCTTGTCACAAGAGTTTACTAATTTACTAGTTTGTAGTGCCCCATGAAAGGTGTAGATCTGAAACCTTTCCTTGACATGACCAACAGTACCCAGAGCATATTAATCTAGACTTTGTCTTTTTGTTTAATTCAATACTGTGCTTTGCACTCACAGGACATTGCATATTACCAAGCCTTGTCTGCTGAGAGGTTGCAGACAGATGCTGCAAAAATTCACCCCAGCACATCCGCATCCCAGGAGTTCTATGAACCGGGATTGGAGCCATCCGCTACTGCCAAACTGGGTGATTTGCAGCGTTCTTGGGAAACCTTAAAGAATGTGGTAAGTCTTCAAGGTGGACTAGTTTATGCCCACCAGACACCAGTAACCTTAGCGATTGTCTTATGAAATACATGCAGAGAGTTTACATATCCAGTCCACAGTTGAGTACCCTATGTTGGGCCACAGAGGTAAAGCACTGAAGAAAGAAATGTTGTAATCTGAAAGATAAGGGGCTGGGAAGCATTTGGTAATATCCCTTTTCTGGTGTAGATCAGTGAGAAGCAGCGCACACTCTATGAAGCTTTGGAACGCCAGCAGAAGTACCAGGACTCCCTCCAGTCCATCTCTACGAAGATGGAGGCCATTGAGCTGAAACTCAGTGAGAGCCCAGAGCCTGGCAGGAGTCCAGAAAGCCAGATGGCTGAACATCAGGTACAAATAGCCATGACTTCAGTTTCCTACTTGATTGAATAAGGCACTGTTGTGACTGGTTGGCCTGTCAGGCATGTGTTTGAGACAGCCAGGTGACTTTTTAAAAATTTTTTAACCTTATCAGTTCTTCCAGAGTAAACAAGGGTCCTAATGGTGGTCATTTCTACTACTGATTCAGGGAGGGATCTGAGAAAAAGAGAGAGAGGGAGAGAGAGAGAGACATGCAGACCTTGAATCTAATTAAAGAAAGCTACATGCATTTATGTTGCTTTTTAACTTTGATTACACAAAATGTGTTTCCTTAGAGTTGCCAAGTTATTTTGATTTTGTTGTGAGCCATTGTTGTAAGAATAAAATATACTCCAAATCTACCTTTTCTCGATATTGTTGTTTTAAGAAACTTAGCCAGGGGGTGCCCCTCCATTATCACTTCAGAAAATACATCTCAGACTTCATAAGTTCTAAGTCTCATCTTGTGATTGTCCCTGACTTAAATCATTTTTTAAAAGGTTAAACTAGGCAAAATATTAGCTTTACATGAAAAACAGAGATCATTACATTAATCTAATGCAGAAAGATAATGTTAAAAATGTGTCAAGTTAAAATGCATGCTAAGAAATGTTCAGAAATTAAAGTCTGGTTAATACTTTAGCAGTCTAATGAGGTACGCTGTTAAAATTATATTTATTTTGTATAACTGGGGTCTAAGGATACTGAGGCACACATTCTCCTACATATTCATCACCGTGAGGTAGGAAAATGCTGCCTGGCTGGGACAAGAACCCAGGAGCATGTGACAATCCTTCAGAAGGCAGGAGGAAAGAAAGATATTTTTAGATGTTAATTAAGAGCTATGAAAGCATGGCATGGTAAGCATGTTTATCAACACAGGGTAACTTAACAGCTTTAGGAGTGAAACGTTGTACTTTGTCTTTCTTCTACTTTACATCTTTCTAGTTTTGGAAGCAGGATAACCTTGGAATAGACTGCCTGTTCATATGTGTAGTCAGATAAAGTTGCATTCTTTTGCAGTATATATCTTTCAGTATAACATAAAAATGAGAACATTTCATCTAGAGACAGCATATTGAGAAATAGTGGTTTCAGGTTTTTTACACTCTTGTGACTTCTGAAGATAGAGATCGAAGTGCATAGCGTCCATTTTTAGGCCTTATTTTGGTAAAAAACTACCTTCTGTAGGTCTTTCTGCTATCCCACAGTCACCCACCCTTAGCCACATTTGCAGAGGATGCTATGAAAGCACGAAATGAGAATTAACCCTTGTTATCCAAGACCAGACCAATCAGGAGGATGGTCAGGGGCTTGGGGGACTATTCCAATGCCATTTACTTCTGAGCTTCCCCCATTTTATCACTAGACTGCTAGTCTCCCAAACCCCTCTCCTTTCTAAAGGGGCCTCAGTGTCTCCCAGTTCTCTTTAGCTGCTACTTCAGTTTTCTGTTGCCAGCGGCCACCTCTTTCTGATCTGAAGGGGTGTCCCTGTTGCTCCAGTGTGCTCCCTGTGGCTCCTAGGTCTTCCTTGCTCCTGCGGTTCTGTCTGTCCAGCTGTTCCCTGCACCTCTGCTTCACTGTACTGGAAGGAGCCAGAGAGCTTCCTTCAGGTTGAGTATGTGCTCCTCAGGCCAACCTCGATGGCTGTTCTGTAGGAGGCCCCGTTCTTTAAGCATTCAGAAGGAATATAGTGTAAATTATGCAAGGGCTGGATTAGAGTGCATTTGAGAGTCACTCACTCAGATTATCAGATGACGATGTTGCAGAAAGTTTAAGTAGTTTGACCCTCTCTCCAGCTTCAGGACATCTCCACCTTTGTTCAAGCCCCCATTCTTGTGGCCCAGGAGGCTGCCCACAATTGCCAAAGACCCATCACTGGCTCCCACAATAGTTAGGAGCTGCATGAAAACAGGATACTGGTGGCCTGCTCTGCCCTTCCAGAGTTCGTACATGAAAATGCAAGTTAGCTTCCAATCAGCACCACCACCCTGTTGCTCAGGCATTAGGATGGAAACACACATAAACTGAATGTGGAGCAAAATGATGATTCTGTTCAAGGGATTTAATGGAGACAACTCAAAATTGCACATTAATTCTGATAATTATAAATTAGAAGTGAATCTGTGACTTTTCTTGTCATTAAGGCCAACCACATGACTTTTTTTCCCTTTCTAAGTTGGTAGTAGTCGTACTAGCCATCACAGCAGTAAGGAGGTACAGCTAATTTAGTGAAGATTACCAGTCATTGGGGCTTAATGGTTTATTAAGAGAGAAAATATATTAATATATCATATTAATATAATTGCATATATTAATATATCATATTAATATAATTGCATATATTAATATATCATATTAATATAATTGCATATATTAATATATCATATTAATATAATTGCATATATTAATATATCATATTAATATAATTGCATATATTAATATATCATATTAATATAATTGCATATATTAATATATCATATTAATATAATTGTATATATTAATATATCATATTAATATAATTAGAACATATTAATGTTCTAATGAGAGGGAAAGAAAATAGCAATAATGTAGAATTTAGTATATAATTTCATGTATCATCACATATTTCATCTGAGCTATTTTTGCTACCTTTTGCTGTCTGTGCCAGAAGTTCTACAAGTTCTGGAACACAGCTGCCCACATGAAAAGCTGGTGGTATCACAGTATCTAAATTTGTTCTTAGCTTCAGGAATGGTACTTTAAAAATGTCAAGCACTGTTATAGAATTACTATTTCTAAATTTCAACTGAATGGGTGTGAGGAAGTCCAGTATGGTTTTTTATATTTCCTAAAAAGTAATAGAAATACTTTAGTTTTTATTTCTTTCCCAACACTCTCTTGGAAGTATTCATGTTTTTTTAAGGAGGTAACCTAATTCCTACATTTTTCCTTTAAACACTTGTCTAAACTACTGAATTTGTGTGGAATGCTGTGCCTTTCTGGTTATCCTCTCTAAATTGTCTTATAGATTTCTTTTTTTTGAGACAGAGTCTCAGTCTGTTGCCCAGGCTGGAATGTAGTGACGTGATCTTGGCTCACTGCAACCTCACCTCCCAGGTTCAAGTGATTCTCCTGCCTCAGCCTCCCGAGTAGCTGGAATTACAGGTGCTTGCCACCACGCTGGACTAATTTTTGTATTTTTAGTAGAGATGAGGTTTCACCATGTTGGCCAGGCTGGTCTCGAACTCCTGACCTCAGGTGATCCACTTACCTCGGCCTCCCAAAGTGCTGGGATTACAGGTGTGAGCCACCATGCTTGGCTGTCTTACAGATTTCATTTTAAGGTTTGAATGCAGTTCATGAGCTGACTTGTGGCTGTTGTACTGACTGTTAAGCCCTCTGTCATTGCGACCTTATTATCATGGGCATCTGATGCTTTAGGGACATGTGTTGCCACACAAAGCTCAGTGATATATAGCGCACAGAGGTCTGTGGTTATTTTGTTTTGTTTTGTTTTTTCATATATGTAACAACTAAAATAGAATGTGAGAAGAACTGTGGTCTCTCATCTGATCTTGGAAGTTAAGCAGGGTTGGGCCTGGTTAGTACTTGGATGGGAGACTGCCCAGGAATACCAGGTACTGTAGGCTTAAAAAAAAAAAAAAAAAAAAGGCTGGGCGCGGTAGCTCATGCCTGTAATCCCAGCACTTTGGGAGGCCAAGGCGGGCGGATCACGAGGTCAGGAGATCGCGACCATCCTGGCTAACATGGTGAAACCCCGTCTCTACTAAAAATACAAAAACTTAGCCAGGCATGGTGGTGGGCGCTTGTAGTCCCAGCTACTTGGGAGGCTGAGGCAGGAGAATGACGTGAACCTGGGAGGCGGAGCTTGCAGTGAACCGAGATTGCGCCACCGCACTCCAGCCTGAGCGACAGAGCGAGACTCCGTCTCAAAAAATAAATAAATAAATAAATAAAATAGGAAACATTTCAGCCTGGCCAACATGCTGAAACCCCATCTCTACTAAAACTACAAAAATTAGCTGGGCATGGTGGTGCACACCTGTAGTCCCAGCTACTCAGGAGGCTGAGACAGCAGAATTGCTTGAACCTGGAAGGTGGAGGTTACAGTGAGCAGAGATGGCAGCTAGGTGACAGAGCAAGCTTCCATCCCCCTAAAACAAACAAACAAACAAAAACTTGTGTTCATGTAGACAGTTCTGAAGGTCACATAAGGTCCGTGTTTCTTTTCACCCTTACTATTAAAGAGTTTTTATGTTAGAGAAGCTCATGGAACTTCTCTAAGCTATGTAAGTGTCATACACATGCCAAGTTTGCAATTACAAATCAGAAACCCAAAAGCATGCATTTCATCTCTTTCTCCTTATCTTGAATCATATATTGTCGGGTAGCTGCTGGCCACCAGCTCTTATACTCAGAGTTATGGGACTGAAGACATATTTGATGGCTAAATTTTTTTTAATTGAGGTGAAATTCACATAGCATAAAATTAACCATTTTAAATTGTACAATTTAGTGGTATTAGTACATTCACAATGCTGTACAACCACTGTCTCTCTCTGGTTCCAAAACATTTTTATGACCCCAAAAGAAAATCTCACGCCCCCCCTGAGCCTGGCTGCTAGATCTTGAAGTTAAAAACTCTAGCTACCTTCCAAAAATGTCCACTCATCTTTAAGAGTAAACTCAAGCATGAGTGGAGAGGACTGCTTCTAACAAGATTTAAGTGAGGCTGGGCACAGTGGCTCACACCTGTAATCCCAGCACTTTGGGAGGCCAAGGCAGGTGGATCACTTGAGGTCAGGAGTTCAAGACCAGCCTGGCCAACATGGTGAAACCTTGTCTCTACTGAAAATACAAAAATTAGCTGGGCGTGGTGGTGCAGCCTGTAGTCCCAGCTACTTGAGAGGCTAAGGCAGAAGAATTGCTTGAACTCAGGGGGCGGAGGTTGCAGTGAGCTGAGATCGTGCCACTGCACTCCAGCCTGGGTGACAGAGCGAGACTGTCTCCCAAAAAAATTAAAAAAAGATTTAAGTGAACAGTTCCAGATTTTCCTAATTCCTTTATTACTGACTGCAGAACATTCAGAGAGCTATTTAAGAACATTGTGAGTTTTAAATGGCAGCTGATACCTTCAGTGCACACCTGGTTGGTCAAAGCCAATGAGATTTAATGAGGTAGTGCTGGTGAGAGTTACCAACACATCAAACAGAAAACAGAAATCTGCTTGTGGGCTACAGTTAGTGGAAAGTAGGTTAAATGAGATCTAACAAGGACTTTGAGGAGACAGAGTTTGAAAATTTGGAATGGCAACAGGAGTGGGTAGGAGGCACTATAAATGTAAATGTGTGTGGAAAGGCACAGAAGAGAGGATGAGAATGAACACAGTGTGAAATTGTTAGGAGGCTCTTCTTGCTTGTACAGAAGGATCAGTGTAAAAAAAAAAAAACAAAGACATAATAAGATCCATCTAATTATGGAGGAGCATTTAAAATCAAACCAAATATAGATTTTATACTTTTAGCATTCAGGCACAAAACATTATTATGAAATAATGGAAAATAATTTACTGAATGGAAGTTTTTGAATGTATAATACTTTGAATGTATAAAAAATACTTTGCATATATAATAAACAATATCAGTCTGTAAATTCATTGCAATCACGTTTTAAAAATTGCAGCAAGTTTTTTGGTGGAGGTTGACAAGCTAATTCTAAAGTATACTGCAGGCTGGGTGCGGTGGCTCATGCCTGTAATCCCAGCACTTTGGGAGGCTGAAGCGGGCAGATCACTTGAGCCTAGGAATTCAAGACCAGCCTGGCCAACATGGTGAAACCACATCTCTACTAAAAATACAAAAATTAGCTGGGTGTGGTGGTGCATGCCTATAATCCCAGCTACTCTGGAGGCTGAGGCAGGAGAATCACTTGAACCTGGGAGGCAGAGGTTGCAGTGAGCCAAGATCTTGCCACTGACTCCAGCACGAGCAACAGGGTGAGACTCTGTCTCAAAAATAGTAATAATAATAATAAAGTATGCTGCAAATGTGTGGGAAAATATATATTAAAAATGCCAGAAGTAAAGAATAACCAGGACAGTCTTGAAAAAGATTAATAAAGTTGAAAGATATATCCTACCAGATAGGGAGATTTATAAAGCTACAATAATTAAGATTGTGTGGTATTTGCACAAACAGCCAAATGGGTTGATGGAACAGAATTCGAGCCCAGAGCAGAATCACATTTATACAGACACTTGACTTGTGGCAAAGATTACACTGCAAAACAATGGGTGAAAAAAAGAAGAATTTTCACCTCTTTCTACACTGGACATGAAAATTAAGTTTATGTGGTTTGTAGATCTAAATGTGAAGTTATTACCAAAAAAAAAAGTTTGAAAATAATACTTTAAAATATCTATGGTGAATGATCTTTTTAAAAAACATTCTAATCCATCACAGACGGATACTTTAGTAAAATTAAATCAAATGCTGCTTGGATGTCATAA
The DNA here is from genome assembly GCF_000001405.40 of Homo sapiens. NCBI lineage: Eukaryota > Metazoa > Chordata > Mammalia > Primates > Hominidae > Homo > Homo sapiens. The sequence goes on along the minus strand of NC_000006.12, from coordinate 152,287,067 downwards.
CTGTCAAATTACTATAAAAGTTTCTTAGCACTTGCTCTCAATATGTTTATCTCATCATAAGCCAGTAACAAACATTGTGCAGACTGTTATTATTCTGTGGACCACGCTTTGAGTAGCATTCTTACAGAAGATAACGTATGCGAATGTATTCTATTTATGACCTTGGATTAGGCAAAAGATTTCCTATATAGTATACCAAAAGCCCTAACAATAAAGGGAAATATTGATTCTATTAGACCATGATAAAATTAAGAACTTCTTTCCATCAACAGATATTATTAAGGAAGTCTCTTCCCGTTAAGGGAAAACCATGCCTCAAAGTGGGAACAGATTATTTGCTATATGCAGAACCAAAAGAAACACAGGCACTCCTATCCAGAATATACAAACAACTCCATACATCAATAAGAAAAGGAACAACTCTAGTGGAAAATGGGCAAAAGATTTTTAGCAGGCAGTCACAAAAGACACTCAATCTCATTAGTCATCGGGGAAATGGAAATTAAAATTACAATGAGATTCCACTATTAAACCCACTAGAAAAACTTAAAGTGAAAACAATTCACAACCAGGCGACAGTGGAATATGGTATAATGATAAAAATGGGTTAACTCTTTCTCCGTGCAACAAAATGAACGACTCTCACAATCATGAAAGGAGCCAGACACAGAGCAGTGCATCGTGTATGACTCCATTTCTATAAAGCTCAAATAAGGGCCAAAGTCCCCTGATATTTACAAGTTAACACAGTGGTGATTTTTGAGGACAGCAGTAGCAAGAAGGAGGAGGTCAAAAGAGCTTATAGAATCCTGGAAATATTCCATTTCTTGATCTGGGTAGCAGCAGCATGGATATATATAGTTGGTGTGCTTATAATCTGTTCACTTTTCTAGATGTATATAATATTAATAGTTTATTTAAAAATTAATTGTCATGATGATATTTGATATTAGGAAAAGATAAGGGGTTTTTGCTGTTTAACATTGTGAGAGCCCACTCTGAGGAGGCACTGCACTTACAGTGAAGCCTCCAGTCCTGTGGAAAAGATAGGAATTATGCAAATAAGGGCACATTGGAAACTATGAAATGCTGGCAAATATAAAGCCTATGTTACTTTACTTGAAATCATAGTTGCCGCTCTGGTGATAGAGCCTGTTTTTCCAACTTCATTGAAATCCTAAATAACAATTTCTCCTGTGAAGATTCCATCTAAAGAGCAAGTCATAAAATACTCCAAAAAAGAGAAATAAAATCAAGTATAATTATGATAGACAGGAAAACAGGGTGCTATGAGAGAGAATGATGGAGATTTTCTTAGGATTGGGTGGTCATGAAAGGCCTCTCTGAAGATATGACAATTAACCTAAGAGCAAAGGATGAATAGAGCCATCTCACACAGAGCGGGAAGAGTTTTTCGTGTTGAGGGAACAGCATGTTCAAAGGCCCTGAAGCCAGGAAGTGACTGAAGTGGGGCCCTGGAGTGGCTGAAGAAGGCTGGAGTATGGTGAGCAAGAAGGGAGTGTGGCACACGAGGCAGGAAGAGTGAGACTACACGAGTGTAGTAACAAGTTTGATTTATTTCACAGCAAGAATCCAGTACATATTTCAAAGCAGGGGAGTGAGAGGACCTAATTGATATTTTCAAAAGGTTGCTGTAATTGCTTCATATAGACTGGACTGGAGCAACAAGAGTGTAAGCAGATAGACTCATTAGTAGACCATTATATAGCAACTCAGTCGAGAGAGGAAGTTGACTTTGGCTTCAGGTGGGGGCAGTGGGGATATTCAGATATACAAGATATATTTTTGAGATAAAAGCCATTGGACTGGGTGATGGTTTGGATCTGGTGAGTGAAGGAGAGGAAGGTGTGAAGAGTGATTCCCAAGTCTCCAGCTTGAGCCATAATGAGAGGTGGTGGAAGACAGGCGGGGAAGCAGGATTAGACTTAACACTATGCAGACACCCGTGAACTAGGTAAGTTGAATACACAGCCTGAAACTTAGGGCAGGTGTCTGGGTTAGGGATGTACCTTTGGAAGTGCTCAGGATTAGAAAGCATTTGAAATCTTGGGAATGGAAGACATCACCCGGGAGAGACCCTTATTTTTTAGAGTTTGGTAAATGAGAAAAATGAGTAGTGTGACGACATAGAAATAGGTTACAGGTTTCTCCCATCCTGTGAGAAACCATGTGAGTTTTGGACTAGAGTTCAATGCTGTTTCAGATTTGGGGAAAGCAACAGGTTAATGTGGGAAAATCATGTTGAGGAAGAAAGTAATACATTTTATTTTCAACGTTGTATTGGAGACTCTTAGAAATGATTGAGAAATGTGGTGGCTCATGCCTGTGATCCAGGCTGGAGGATTCCCTGAGGCCAGGAGTTTGAGACCAGCCTGGGCAACATAGCATGATCCTGTCTTTACAAAAAGTAAAAAAAAAAAAAAAAAAAAAAAAAAATTACCAGGTGTGGTAGCACACACCAGTCCCAGCTTCAAGCAGGAGGGCCGCTTGAGCCCAGGAGTTCAAGATTACAGTGAGCTGTGATCATACCACTGCACTCCAGCCTGAGTGACAGAGTGAGACTCTGTCTCTAAAAAATAAAAAATAAGTTGGTATTACAGATGATCCTTGTATTACAGATGATCCTATTGAAAACTAGAAAGATTAATTAAGTTGTTCAAACTCACTTTGGTTAGTGATACATACATAAAATCAGAAAAGTCCTGGCCTTTCATTTAGAAATGTAGGTGAGTAGGCTGCTATTTGTTGATTGATTAATGATTCCCAGGTGAAATCTCTTCCGCTAATCCCAATGGATGTGAGACTCAGCTAGTGCTAATGATCCCTCAGTGAAGAAATGAATACATGAGTGTGATTCCACAGTCTTTCCTCCAGGCATTGATGGATGAGATTCTCATGCTCCAGGATGAAATCAATGAGCTCCAGTCCTCTCTCGCAGAGGAGCTGGTATCCGAGTCTTGTGAGGCCGACCCTGCGGAGCAGCTGGCCTTGCAGTCCACGCTCACTGTCTTAGCCGAGCGAATGTCCACCATCAGGATGAAAGCCTCGGGGAAACGGCAGCTTTTGGAGGTAACCAATAACTGTAAAGTGGCCTCCTCACTTCTGAGTTAACTTTTAACGTTGTGTTACCAAGTATGTGGGTTACTTACGTATTTACATTTTCATTGCTTCCCTCTCCTAAGCTGGGATTGTGTTTCAAGAATGGTCTCCACGGCCGGGAGGGGTGGTTCACACCTGTAATCCCAGCACTTTGGGAGGCTGAGGCAGGTGAATCACGAGGTCAGGAGTTTGAAACCAGCCTGGCTAACATAGTGAAACCCTGTCTCTACTAAAAATATAAAAATGAGCCAGACATGGTGGTGTGTGCCTGTAGTCCCAGCTACTTGGGAGGCTGAGACAGGAGAATCACTTGAGCCCGGGAGGCAGAGGTTGTGGTGAGCCAAGATTGCACCACTGCACTCCAGCCTGGGCAACAGAGCGAGACTCTGTCTCAAAAAAGCAAACAAACAAACAAACAAACAAAACAAAACAGTCTCCCGAATAGAGTACAGTCAGTGTGTAGCCATGAATATGTCCTTTGACTCCTTTCTGACTCATTTCAGGCGTGAAATATTGAGAATGTGGAAAGCAAATTCTTGGTAGACATGAGCCTTGTGAAGAATAATTGTAGAGGATTTGCATAATGGTTTGCTATGTTTACACGACAGCATTTGATGGATGATATTACTAACACTATAAAGAATAAATCCTACTTAGTCACTGTTAGCCAATTCAGACATAGTAATTCATGAAAATACTCTTGCTATTCTGGTTCCCACGTTACTTAATTTAAATATTATTTAATATAGAGACAAATTTGGGCAGCAGTAATATCTGTGTTAAAAATCAGCTATCTTCCTTTTTTATTTGTTCTCTCGTAAATTCTTGGCCCTAAGCTTCTAGGCTACTCATATTGTTGCTCCTGTAGTTTGGTTAGACTGGAGGCTCCCTAAAGACCTTTACAGTATCTATCATCTTGTATCTCTTAGCAGCTTCTCTGGCACATAATGGGTTCTCAATACATTTCTTATTATATGAACTGAATATTATTTTATTTAGCTGCTAATTACACCATAATGCAATTAACCATGACCCTGTTGCTGGGTGTGTAGTCTCTCTCTAGTTTTACCTATTATATGATTAGTCAAATAATATATTCATATATTAGATTTGTGCAAAAGTAACGGCAAAAATCACAATTACTTCTGCACCAACCTAATACTTCTTGTATTAGAGAAATTTAAAGCCGATGTGTCTGCCCTACTTCTTAATTTCTATTTTAAATGGTTTAATAAAATTAATTTTAAAATAATGAATTATTCATAAAATAATTTTTAAAATAAAGTATTTAGAGTATTTTAAAAGTTAACTTTTAATTCATTTATATTGTCCCCAGTAACTCTATGAAAAACTTGTGGGGGTTTCAAAATGAAGCGATTGACGTCGATTTTTTTTTCAACATGAATTATTTGCAATCATTGAAAAACTCAGAGAGCTAACCTAGAAATTTGGATTTCTCCCTTTACTGGAGATGAAAGTTAACACTGGGCCACCGCTTCCCACAGGGATCAATTGCCTGAAACTGTATGTGGCTGCTGTTTTAGACAGGCCGCATGTTTTTCAGTTTGCCACAGTCTCCATCACTCCCTACTCTTCCCAGAAATAGAGGTCCGGTGTCTACTGCCATTTACCAACCGCTTTATGCCATTGTTTTGTTCTAATCCTTGACTGATTTCCATCATTTCTATTACTGCCTGGTCCTATAGGTATGTTATTTGAGAATACCTTGTTCAACTCTAGGTACACATTAAAATCACTAGGGAGTCTTTTTAAAAATACCAATTTTGAGACTCACCCCTAGAAATTCTGATTGTTGTTCTGGGATGTGGCCTAAGCAAAGGAAATTTTTAAAAGTTTTACCAGTGATTCTTATGTACAGCCAGGGCCTGGAACCATTGCTTTACTGTGTTAAATTCTCAAGATTTTACCTTAGCGTGATCTATATTACCTTCTACTGAATTCAACAGGAGAAGTTGAATGATCAGCTGGAGGAACAAAGGCAGGAACAGGCCCTGCAGAGGTATCGCTGTGAAGCCGATGAGCTGGACAGCTGGCTCTTGAGTACCAAGGCCACTCTGGACACTGCGCTGAGTCCACCCAAGGAGCCCATGGACATGGAGGCCCAGCTTATGGACTGCCAGGTACCAAAATGGTCTCAAAGGAATATGTCAACATCATGAAGCACATTTTTTTAAACTACAGAAAACATACTATAAAAAGGCTTGGTGTGGATATATGATTTTTCCCAACCCATAGACTTTATACATTTAAAGAATAGAAAAGTAATACATTATAAAAGCTTAAATGAAATCCAAACTTGGACTCACTTTTTGAAAAACATTGACCACAGTGTCTCCGGCTTCCTAAAGGTCATGTTTAAAAACTGTAGATACCAAAATACCATAATATCTGTATTTAGTACTTATTAAGGAATACAAAGCCAATGGGGAGAATCAGTAGCAGTGAGTCAGACTGGAAATAAACACAACAGGAAGTATCTCTAGGTGCTCTGTTACAATTTTGGTTCTAATCCTGATATATTATTCGGAAAACTTTTCCAAGTGTCAGTTTTAGGCAAACAGGGAGACTGAAGATGGGAAGGCTGTCTTTTGGAGCAGAGAATGTGTTTTCCACCTATGTTAGGGCTCTAGGAATTACTGTGAGGAGTAATTGCATTAAAGTCTTTATTCTAATGCTATTTTCTTACCTCTTTATTATGGAATTTTTCAAAAATGCATATAAGTATAAAGAATAGATAATGAAGTCCCATATGCTTGTCATCAAACTTCAATGATGATCTTCATATTTGACTTCGCACATGGGTGAAGTATACCTTAAAAGCTTTTTCATTTTATTAACTAGGAAATATCTAGAAAACCCTGTCTAGTCTTCAGGGTTAAGTATCAATATATACAACTTTATATTCCTTTTTTTTGGACTCAGAGGAAATATGTGAAAATCATTACTTAGTGCACACTAACTTTTTTCTTAATTTACGGTACACCATTTTGGCTATTCTTATTTGTGATTTGAGATTCATAATATTGATCATTATCATTCGGATTTTTTAATGCTTTAGGAAACTTATCTATGTGTATCCAAAGCACTGTTATTCTTTGCCATGATGATAGAGATTAATTAGCCATATGCAAGTTTTTCTGCTCTTTATATCTTCTTTCTAATGTTTATTTTTTGAGAAGAAACATCTATTAGCCCATTGCCTTTTGGCACTTGAAGTTACCACCCAAACTAACATTTCAAAGTTATGTTTTATCATACTGCCACCTCTCTCTTGTGAAGATATCTGTTTTTATTGTAACACATAAAGTCCATAAACCAGGTAATGTATTTCAATACTTTTCCAAAGTATTAAAATAGTGTTTTGACCATACTTTAAGACAGGGGTGTTCAATCTTTTGGCTTCCCTGGGCCACATTGGAAGAAGAAGAATTGTCTTGGTCCACACATAAAATACACTAGCACTAGATGATGAGCTTAAAAAAAAATTACAAAAAAAAAATAACATTTTAAGAAAGTTTCTGAATTTGTGTTGGCTACATTCAAGGCTGTCCTGGGCCACATGCGGCCCATGGTCCGTGGGTTGGACAAGCTTACTTTAAGAAACTGGAAACATATTAAATCACACCAGAAAATAGTTTTTAAAAATCTAATATTAAATTACTACATTAAATTAATTCAAATTTTAATTAGATTCAATTAAAATCTTACATATAAGCCAGCTAAAATCTTGTCAGTTAAAATCTAATATGAATTCAGTTGCACACTAATTATAACGGTGACTATTACACAGAATTGGAACCACGTGATGTCCTTTGTGGGTCTGGGCACTTCATTTTTGTAGGCTGTTTCCCCCATGGAAGTGCTAAAAATTATGTTTTCAGTTTTACAATTGCTGTGGTACAAAGACTTACATGATTCGGAATAGATTTGTTGTGATGTATTCCATATTATTATATTCAGTTTTTTTCTTTTGATTTTAAAAGAAATTAAAATCAAACATTTTCTTGGGGCTCTAAAAGCATCACAGACCCTCAGCACTGTACTTGCTGTGCCTAATGGTAAAATCAACCCTGCACAGAATTATGTTAATTTCTTAACAATAATCCTCAGGAAATCATCTTTTAATTCCTATTTTAATAAAAGTATTACTCTTCTACTTAGTTCTAGTTTTTTGGTTTGATGTTATATTCTTTTTTTTTTTTTTTTTTTTGAGACAAGGTCTCACTTTGTCACCCAGGCTGGAGAGCAGTGGTGCAACCTCAGCCCACTGCAGCCTTGACTTCCTGGGTTCAAGCAATTCTCCCACCTCAGCCCCGCAAGTGCGGGGAGTACAGGCACGTGCCACCACGCCTGGCTTATTTTTTTGTATTTTTTGGAGAGACGGGGTTTCACTATGTTGCCCAGGCTGGTCTCAAACTCCTGAGCTCAAGCGATCTGCCTGCCTCGGCCTCCCAAAGTGCTGGGATTACAGGTGAGAGCCACCACACCCAGCCTGACTTTATATTCTTAATTTTGATTTTGTATAGGGAAATGAAGTATCTTTTCTCATTAACAAATTACTTTATTTAATATAAAGAAGAAAGTACATTTCAAAGGGTGCAGAATTAACATAAAAACAATGATTTATAAGGAAAGTAAAACTTTTTTTTGTTTTTTTTTTTAGTCTTTTTTGTTTTTTGTTTTAAGTCTTATCTAGGAAGAAGAAAGGCTATTTTTCTTTTTCTCTAATTTAGTCTCCATTTTAGAGGAGACCTTGTCTCAAAAAAAAAAAAAAAAAAAGAAAAGAAAAGAAAAATTGAGAGGCTCAGGCAAATTTTTTATGGACCCCTCTAATACCATAACAGACAATTAAAAGTCACCAGACACAGTGGCTCACACCTGTAATCCCAACACTTTTGGAAGGCTGAGGTGGGAGCATTGTTTGAGCCCAGGAGTTTGAGACCAGCCCAGGCAACAAAGTGAGACCTTGTTTCTGTTGAAAAAATAAAAAATTTAGCCAGGTGTGGTGTCACATGTCTGTGATCCCAGCTACATGGGAGGCTCAGGCAAGGGGATCCCTTGAACCCAGTAGATGGAGGCCGCAGTGAGCCATGTTCATGCCAAAGCACTCCAGCCTGGGCAACAGAACAAGACCCTCCCTCAAAAAAAAACAAAAACAAAAAAGGGCCAGGTGCAGTGGCTCTCACTCCTGTAATCCCAGCACTTTGGGAGGCCGAGGTGGGCGGATCATGAGGTCAGGAGATCTAGACCATCCTAGCTAACACGGTGAAACCCCGTCTCTACTAAAAAACAAAACAGTAGCCGGGCATAGTGGTGGGCGCCTGTAGTCCCAGCTGCTCGGGAGGCTGAGGCAGGAGAATGGCGTGAACCTGGGAGGCGGAGCTTGCAGTGAGTCAAGATCGCTCCACTAAACTCCAGCCTGGGCGACAGAGTGAGATTCTGTCTAAAAAAATAAAAATAAATTAAAAAATATAAAAAAAAAGCCTACAGACTACTTACTCGTCAAGGCCGTGGGAAAACTACAAAAAATCATGAAAGCCTGTCCGTTTCGTAAAAGACTCCAAAGGGCTGTATTTCACTGTGGGAAACAGTCTTTGCAGAGGCTGGGGAGATGTGTGAGTTTCATTCTTATTTCTGTTGCTGCAGAATATGCTGGTGGAAATAGAGCAGAAGGTGGTGGCTTTATCAGAACTGTCAGTCCACAATGAGAACCTGCTGCTGGAGGGCAAAGCTCACACCAAGGACGAGGCCGAGCAGCTGGCTGGAAAGCTGAGAAGGCTCAAGGGGAGCCTGCTGGAGCTGCAGAGAGCCCTGCATGATAAGCAGCTCAACATGCAGGTGAGGGTTCCAGCCGCTGGCCCACAGCTGAAAGTTGGCACACTGTTCACGTGCTCCTTCTAAGGTTTGCCAGGTAAAGGAACAGGTTGGCGGTGACGCGTACTTGTGTGTGTACCTGCTTTACGCTGACATTTTAGCATGCAGCTTTAAGTTTACACTCTTGGACTTTGGCAAACATTTGCAAATAGATTTTGTTAGGACTACTAACAACAGCTGTTCAGCGGAGTGGTGGAGGCAAAAAGCACTCTGACATGAAAGTAACAATGAGAGGAGAGGAACTGGAGAGGGAAAGTAAAGGCTACTCCAGGAGTGTTGCTGTAAAGTGGTATATAGAGGAATGAGATAAGCTATAAGGAGAAGTGGGTCAAAGAAAATTTTATCTCTTTTTTTCTTTTACATTCATCACAATTTGAGTATTTCATTTTAAGATCAGAAAAATAATAAGTTTACACGTTGATGGAAATAACTCAATAGAGGAAAAGTTGGTGAAAAAGGAATGTGGGCAGGGCGCCGTGGCTCACGCCTGTAATCCCAGCACTTTGGGAGGCCGAGACAAGCAGATCACTTGAGGTCAGGAGTTCGAGACCAGACTGGCTAACATGGTGAAACCCCATCTCTGCTAAAAATACAAAAAAAAAAAAAAATTAGCTGGGCCTTGTGGTGGACACCTGTAATCTCAGTTACTCGGGAGGCTGAGGCAGGAGAATTGCTTGAACCTGGGAGGTGGAGATTTCAGTGAGCCGAGATTATATCACTGCACTCCAGTCTGGGCGACAGAGCAAGACTCTGTCTCATAACAAAAAAAAAAAAAAAAAAAAAAAAAAGAAAAAGAAAAAGGAGTGTGATTGCAAGAACAATCTTCTTGTTGGGGAGGAAACGGATAGGATAAAAAGTACACAGGCCAGGTGCGGTGGCTCACACCTGTAATCCCAGCACTTTGGGAAGCCAAGGCTGGCAGATCATGAAGTCAGGAGATGGAGACCATCCTGGCTAACACGGTGAAACCCCGTTTCTAATAAAAATACCAAAAATTAGCCGGGCATAGTGGTGGGCGCCTGTAGTCCCAGCTACTTGGGAAGCTGAGGCAGGAGAATCTCCTGAACCTGAACCTGGGAAGCAGAGGTTACAGTGAGCTGAGATCGCACCACTGCACTCCAGCCTGGGAGACAGAGGGAGACGCCGTCTCAAAAAAAAAAAAAAAAAAAAAAAAGAGTGCAGAGTTTGGTCTTCCCTACCCTTCTTGCTAAGTAAGCCAGGGACCAAATAGTTTAGAAGCCCATTAGCTGCCCCAACCCTATAAGCATCTGATGGTATCATCTGCTCCTTCTTGTGGCCTAATCCAAACTGTGCCTTCCTTTACCATTTACACCTTTCTCCTGCAATAATGGTTGAGACCAGGCCAATCTGTTCTCCAAGTAAAATGAGGAGGGAGGGAAAGCATCTATGTTGGAATACAAATACTGGTAGGAAGTAGGACATAAATATTGTTAACGGAAACTTCATGGAAGTTCACTGTGATTGCTTCTGTTTTCTCAGTGTGAGGATGATTGTTAGGACTAACCTATGTATTTTTTTTTTCGGCTTTTTGCTGATGATATGATTATATGATATGGAAAACCAAACTTAATCAACTAAAAACTATTTAGAAGCAATGGAGAAATTTAGGAAGATGACTGGCTTATTAAAAATATGAAGTTAGGTCATTGAAAAGCATAAAAGAATCCAACAAAAAATAAAAATTAAAAAATGAAGTCAGCCGAGCACAGTGGCTCACGCCTGTATCCCCAGCAATTTGGGAGGCCAAGGCAGGTGGATCACCTGAGGTCGGGAGTTTGAGACCAGCCTGGCCAACATGGTGAAACCCCATCTCTACTAAAAATACAAAAATTAGCCGGGTGTGGTGGGGCATGCCTGTAATCCCAGCTGCTTGGGAGGCTGAGGCATGAGAACTGCTTGAACCTGGGAGGCAGAGGTTGCAGTGAGCCGAGATTGTGCCACTGTGCTCTAGCTTGGGCAACAGAGTGAAATCCTGTCTCAAAAAAAAAAAAAAAAAAAAAAGAAGTCGAGAATTTATAGTTTTTACATAGACAAAAAACAAGTTAGAGGAATAATGTAATATCCCATATAAAATTTTGAAAATGAAGAGTTTTGAGGGATTATTAGTCTTATCATATATGTGTGTGGATTTTTTTTTGTTTTTTTTTTTTTGAGACAGGGTCTTGCTCTGTCACCCAGGCTGGAGTGCAGGGACGCAATCTCAGCTCATTGCAACCTCTGCCTCCCAGTCTCAAGTAATGCTCCCACCTCAGCCTCCTGAGTAGCTGGGACTATAGGCGCGCACCACCTGCCTAGCTAATTTTTTTAATTTTTTGTAGAGATGGAGGTCTCTCAATGTTGCCCAGGCTGGTCTTCAACTCCTGAGCACAGGCAATCCACCCACCTCAGCCTCCCAAAGTGCTGAGATTATAGGCGTGAGCTACCATGCCCGGCCAGTCTAATCACATATTAAAATACAATATTACAATAATTAAAATAGTTTGGTGTTGGCGCAATAAATATGTGAACAGAAAATTAAACAATAACTATTCCAGAAAGAGATTTGGTATGTAAAGGAATTTGATAAATATTTTAGGTGGCATTACAAATCAGTGGACAAAATATGACTCACTCTGTAAATAATCACTTGAAACGTGATAAACTGTATTTTCTACCCCATATTTTACAGAAAAATGTATCACAGGTGGATCAAAGATTTCAATATAAAACTTAAGTCTGCAAGGTACTCAATGTATGATTTTTTTTTTTTAATCTTAGGATAGGGAAAACCTTTGCCAGTATACCCCAAACCCATAATTTTATAGCTTCTTTTAAACTAATACATTGGCAGGGCTTGGTGGCTTATGCCTGTAATCTTAGCAGTTTGGGAGGCTAAGAAGGGAGAATTGCTTGAGCCCAGAAGTTCAAGACCAGCCTGGGTATCATAGCAAAACCCCATCTCTACAAATAATAAAAACATTAGCCGGGCGTGGTGGCACACGCCTGTGGTCCCAGCTACTAAGGAAGCTGGGATGGGAGAAGCTGGGAGGAGGTGGGAGAATCCCTTAAGCCCAGGTGGTTGAGGCTGCAGCGAGCTATGATTGTGCCACTGCACTGCAGCCTGGGTGACAGTGTGAGACGCCAACTAAAAAAATAAACAAATGGGCCATGGCTCCCACCTGTAATCCCAGCACTTTGGGAGGCTGAGGCAGGTGGATCACCTGAGGTCAGGAGTTCGAGACCAGCCTAGCCAACATAGTGAAACTCCGTCTATACTAAAAATACAAAATTAGCCAGGTGTGGTGGTGGGAACCTGTAATCCCAGCTACTCAGGAGGCTGAGGCAGGAGAATCACTTGAACCGAGGAGGCAGAGGTTGCAGTGAGCCGAGATCACGCCATTGCACTCCAGCCTGGGCAACAGGAGTGAAACTCCATCTCAAAAATGAATAAGTAAATAAATAAATAAACAAATAAAAATGAAACTACTACACAAAAATAAAAAAGTTCTGTATGACCCCCCTTCCCCACCCCCAAAAAAGTAACCAAATTGAAAGACATAGACAGGGAGGAATGAGTAACACAAAATAAAACAAAAGACATAGACAAACAGGGAAGAAACTATGCAATTCACAAATCTTTTGTAAAACAATAAGGAAAGATCAAATAATAGAATATGGACAAAAGATATGAAGAGATAATTCACAGGAAAAGAAATATAAATGGACAATGAACATATGAAAAGACGTTTGAACTCTGTGTTGGGTAAATAGATGCAAATAAAAAATATAACTTTTCACTTGGATTTACACACTTGAAAATGCACATGCAATGTGACTTTGTAATTAAAGTCAAAAGAAAAGGTTACACATACTAAAACTGAACAGAAGTAGAATGATTTTCTAGCTGTAAAAGTAGACAGCAATTCACCTAGTTTTGTAAACAGCTATTATAGGTCTAATATATAATGCTTTCTTCTATTTTCAGTGGTGATCTCTGAATGAACTTAATTTCTAAAGAAGCTAAAATAAAGGGAAAGCCTTGAAAGTTTCCTAGGTAGGATAGCAATCATTTATAAAGCTCTTATTACTCCCTTGCCCCACCCTACCGCTAGAGGCAGGTAGTAAGGGAAGGGGCGGCCTGATCCTCACTCACAAGCACAAGAGGGATTAAACAAGGCAGGAACCACAAATTCCAAGGTCTCGTGGCCTGGGAAGGGCAAAACCAATGAGGGGAGCAGGCCCAGCCTGGCCCTTGGCAAGCTGGTCTCCTGTCTAAGAAGCAGCTGTTACTAAGCTCTAGCTATTATCACACAAGAATTTACAAGTGGCATTGCTGGATCTTCTAGTTTTTCAAGAGATAGGGAATGTGGATTTATTTCTAAAGCCTCCCAACTTTTAAACGTTGACATTTAAATCTAAAATTTTAAAATAATTTGTGTGCCAAAGAAAGCATATCCACAAGCCAGGATTGAAATCTGTTTATCTTTTTCCCATTCATTATTAACGAGGTGACCTGGGGCAAGAGCCTTAAATTTTCCACAACTTTCTTACGGATCAGTTTTCTCATCTGTAAAATATGGATAATAATATTTAACTTAAAAAAATTCTTTAGAACATGTGGAAAAAATAATCAAAAAGAAAAAAAACAGTGAGGATTTAAATGCAAGTAATACAATAAATGCTCAAATTGCAGCAGTTAAAATAATTAATAACAATAACCAACTGTTTCCAAATCACATTCTTTGAGACGAAGAAGCTTCTGCTATGCTGAAAGGCCAGGCTTGAGACTTAGCGGGCTGGACTGAGCATGTACACACCACTGTGGTGTCCACACCCAGCAGATCCTGCCCAGGTCCACGGGAATTCTTTAAACTGAGTCAAGTCCTGACCCTGCCCACATTGGGTGAAGTGTAAATACAGAAAAATGTGGTAGTGTTTTACTACATGGAAATTGGTTACTGTTTATTTTTAAACTATCTATAAATTCCATCATCTTTCATCTAATGAAGTTCCCAGCATATAAAATATTACTAGATCTTTTAAAATAATTAGAGCTTCCTGGAAGATTGTTTTTCCATCTGTGGGAAGAAAAGGAGCCCTGTTTACATTATTATTGCCATGAAAAGGATCATGTCCCTTTATGTAGAAAACTAAAAATAATTTGGAGTTAATCTGAAATTAACTAAAGTTAATTGCAGAAAACAAATCATCCATTAAATGCAGCCCTCAGCAATGTTAATGCTCTTTAATTGGGGCTTGGATGATTCAGGAGGGTTGGAATACCTTCCTAAGTCTGTAAGCACACCATTACTTAGTGCTACTGAAGCTGGGAGATGGTAATACCTCTTACCTCCATTCCTTTTAACTAATTTGACTTGCATGGGTATCAGTGAATGACTATGCTTTTTTGTTTCCTATCAAATAGACTGCTTCTCTATGTGAAGATCTTAAGGGCATGTAGTAAGATCTCCTGAATTACGTGGTATCTTCATGAAGCTGGGTCTTTTTCACACATTATCATTCATTAAAAGAACAGAGAGATTGCCCCATAAAATAATAAAAAGCTTTATAAAGAAATGTTTTATGTAATGTTTAGCACTGCCCAGTCCTCATTCATCTTCCAAGGAATGTTCCTGGCAAAAGTGGTTACTGTTCTAGTATTTCCAAAATAAAGTTTATGTAGCCCCACCCAGTGGGGACTGGTGACAGAAACCGCCTAACCTCTGCATTCCCTAGGCATGGCAGAAAACTGTTATCACACCTCAGAGAAAGTAATTACCATAATTACATTCCTTCTGGCTGCACCTTCTTATCCCCAGGGGAAAGAGAATGAAATTTGAACTGGATTCTTAATCATGGTTTGCTTCCTGTGGTCCAAGTCTTATGTTTCACAATGACTAAATCATTCAGAGAAAAATTCACTCACTGAAAAACTGAGTCTAACCGCATAGAATCTGAATATATATCTGTGCATATAAAAGTGAGGAAGTTGTTAAGACCTAACATTTCGATTGTCAGTGTTCCAAATCCAAATTTGGTGTAAGGAACTTGAGCCAACCTCTCTCAATCAGACCATAGTAACTGGTGTAGAAGAGCGTGTTGGGCTCAGGGCTCGGAGAATTTTCCAAGGGAGTCTTCAGGCCGGGCTCTGAAAAACAAATTTTTGCTGAAGAGAAAAGCAGAGAGGAAGTGGCCTGGATCCCACAAAAGCAAGTCAGCAGGTCATGGCCAGGGCCACTACTTTGGCAGCTGGAGCAGCTCTGATGGGGACAACTTTCAGTCTCGTCCACTGATTTCTTGAGGCCATTTTCTATGGGTTCCTTTTGAACTGCTGTTTCAACTTTGCTTGGAAGAACCAGGATCTTTTAGAGCTTATTCTTAGAAGGTGGTGGAGTCTTAGATGAGAGAGAATCTGTTTTCATGCAGAAAATCATGGGTTCCAGTTCTGGGAGAATGCCCATCCACCCAAACTTCCCATCTCTAGGAAAATCACTGCTTATCTTTGAGAAATTCCGCAGAAGGTGGAGAATTTAGTGTCACTAGTCACCCATTCTGAAGGTCTTGCAAAATGCAACTAGCATATATTAGACCATTGCACCCCCGTTGTTCTACCTAAACTGCAATCTCTGGCTGGATCATCTGAAAGGAAAGGAAGTACCTCTGAGCTCGGGTGGGCTCAGAATCTGGGAGAAAGTTTTATATACTATTACCTACAGGTTTTTACTGTTCATTTAGCTTCAAGCACCGACACCGCCTTGCAAAGATAAAGATAAAGTCTATTAGACAATTTAATCATGAGATTCTAATGAAAAAAAGAAGAAACAGAAAGGTAAACAGATCCCATCTATTTCCCTAAAATGGTGAGTATAAAACTCTGAAAATAGGAGAGCGAGAGAAGGGTCTCTGTGGGCAGTTAGGTTGGATGAGCTGGAATGGCTGGGTCCCATGTTGTGCTCAGACATTGCAAAGAACAACCAGGGGCAGGCGAGCAGCAGCTCCAGAAATAGATGGCAGGAGGCTCCTCCGTGGAAGCAACCTGTAAAATATCCTTCCTCTGCCCCATGGTACGCCAGCCCTGCTGTCCTCTTCACTGCTCTGTTCTCTCTGAAATGGCAAATTTCTTTCACCTTAGGGTCTTTGTGCCAACTGTTCCCTGGGTCTGAATGCCCTCACTCTAGATCTTTGCAAGGCTGGTGGTCTCTCGTCATGCAGAGTGCAATTGTCTCTTCTAAAGATGCTTCCTTAGGCCTCCCTAAAACTTTCTATCCCATTATCAGTCTCTGTAGGCCTTATCTTCAGCTCAGTTATCTGTTTGTTTATAGTCTAACTCCCCACCAGGGCCCTCATCTGGCTTCCAAAACACTCCCAGCTTCTAGAACAGTGTCTAGTGAGTGCTTATTAAGTAGTGAATGAGTTATATTGAAATTATAATTTATCCTTTGACAGATGAATCTATGTGAGTAGAAAAGCTCTCATTCAGAACTAATCCCATTTGATGTGCAACATTTTAGGGCCTTTCAAATTCCATTAGAATAATCAGGCAGGAAGGATCAACTCTTGCCTAGGTGCTGAGTCATTACTTTGGTCTTTCTCCTTTAGTCAGACTTTCTCCAAGCCAGCTTAGCAATGGGCCAGTTTCTGGTGATGGTGATGGAGGGAGTGAAGGGTACTTTTTCAGAGATCTCACCTTTAATAATCACACCACTGACCTCTCAAGGCTCAATTAAGCTTTGAATTTGTAAAATGGTAACCACACGTGCCCACAGTAAATGACTTTTTTTAATGTGCTAATTGATGGTTCTGAAAGAAAGACTCTTAAAGAGTTTTCATCTTTGAGTACAGTCTATTAATTATGTAGGTCAGTCTATAAATATTATTATATAAACAGCAGACTCTCAAAGATAGAGAATTCTAGGAATAATTTAAATCTATCGCCCTAGTAGGGTAGACACAGAAGGTTTACACAGACCAGTATCAGGGATGAGGCTTCCTGCCTAGTTCAGTGTCTTGGGACTTGAGTTACTGTGGTGGAGGTGAGGCTCTGTGACATAGAGGTCAAGACCTGGTCTGTGAAAGGTGGAACAGAGGATGTCCAGCCGGCCTGGGAAACCCTTGTTTAGACTCCTTGCCTCTATGCTGCAGTACATTTTCTCCCATATGAACTGAGAATCAAATTTAAGTTCTTACTGAATTCCAGAGAGTATGATGCCTTACAGAACAGTGAACTTTTTGCTTCTCAAAGACATTAAAATGTCTTTGATTAATAATCTTTTAGAAAAATTTTTAGGAAGATTATTCTAAAAATCTTTCATTGTCTGGACCTGGATTAGAGAAAGTGACATAAGGCAGGGTAATGCTTTCACGGGAGAGACACAATTATTGTGGGTAATGATCATTTGAGAAACAGTTTACCTTTGTGTGACTTAAAAAACAAACTCATCAAAGGATCTTGAGTTATGTTTTTGTGGAAAAAAAATCTGGAATATCTGATGACCACATTGGTCAGCTAAAAGACTAACCTCTAAATATATGGGTTTTCCCCTCAAACAGTTCTATGTGTGATTATCTGTATGTTGTTCTTGCTCCTGCAAATGCCATAACTTAGATGGGTTTTGTGTTACTGTTTTTTTTAAAAAATGTGGTTTCACATCCCAGTGGAGCCACTTTGGTATCATTACATAGATCACACCAAAGTAGCCTTCTCTCCCCTTTGGTTAAGGTTTTCCGGTGTGTAGCATGACTTGATTTCTGCCTCGTTAAAAGCAGGGAACAGCACAGGAGAAGGAGGAGAGCGATGTTGACCTAACAGCCACGCAGAGCCCCGGCGTCCAGGAATGGCTGGCCCAAGCTCGCACCACATGGACCCAGCAGCGGCAGAGCAGTCTCCAGCAACAAAAAGTAAAGTGTTTCCTACCTCTCTCTAGCTTGCAGATCTGCCCAGAGAAGAACCTGAGAGGCATATTTCAGAAGGACAGACAAGTTGCTTCTGTACTAAAGACAGAGTGTCTCTTTATCTTCTCTTTGAATGAAGCAAGATGTTGGTGTTTCAGTGTATTGACTCATGACCACTGGGATGATTGGTCATTTGAAAATCCAGTCTTTAAGAAAAGCTTGTGTTTAGGTTTACAAATAGTGTAACATGGCTCTCATCTTCTTTACCAGAGATACCTATTCTGTTTTCAGATTTGCCCTCTGAATCTATTTAATTTTAATATAAATCTCAGGAAAGCCTTTTGAGGTTTGGTGAAAGTGTAAGTTGCATGTTTGTTATTTTTTTTAATGAATGCAGTTTGTATTTTTACTTTCAAGTAGATGTCGTTACAAAATAGGATTGCTAATTGTTGCCTAGTGAAACAAATGAACTTTGATGAATAAGAATGATTTCTCATTGGTACCTTAACTGTATGTAAAAAGCATATTCAAATATTTTATTTTCTCAAATAACAAGAGGATTTATTATAAATAATGAAGAATTAAAGCCAAATCTATTGATAACCTAATTTATCAATTAAGTGGAGAACTTAAAAAGCCACTTTTCCCAAGGATCTATCCTTTTAGCATGACAATATTGATTTTGAAAAATGAGAGTACATTTTGTACCACTTGAGGGCACTATTGCCCGGCAAAATTTTCTTTTCCCATTGGTGGTTTTTTTTTTTTTTTTAACCCCCAGATTTTTCAGAGGTATCCTGTATCAAAGCAAAAGAACACTACAGAGTACTTTGGAGACACATTTGAATATTTACATAAACCTCATGCTTTATGCAATATGCAAACTTAAAAGCTCACTACCGAAGTTCTCTGAGAATTTTATAGCTAGAACTATGATTGTAGGCAATAATCATAAAGTAGCAAATGTGTTTGCGTTTGTCCTTTCCCTTGAGCAGGAGTTAGAACAGGAATTAGCCGAGCAGAAGAGTCTCCTTCGCTCAGTAGCCAGTCGTGGAGAGGAGATTCTAATTCAACATTCGGCGGCAGAGACCTCTGGTGATGCTGGGTATGTTTCAAAATGCTTCCATTTTCTCTTCATTGTGTTTCCCTGACATTTGAAGAAAAGTAAACATCTCACTCAAAATTTTATTTTAAACATCTTCTGCAAAATTTAGTCATCTTATTTTTACTTTAGGGTAGTAAATGTACCTGCATTTTGAACATTCTGTTGCATTGCCTGAGCATAGCGCCTGTAGTAAGCTTACTTGTTTGCCCTCCTTCCAGCCTGCGCAGCCTATCTGTCCAAAGATGCTCATGAGTTCATCTTTTTAATCGAATAAGAAATGCATTATAAATGAGATGCATGATGTTTCTAACTGAATGATTGTATCTCACTGGAGAGCATTCTCTCTGTAAGAGCTTATCTTGCCCTAACAACATTCTAAAAAATAAATGCAGGGGCCCGTTAAATATTTTGAAATCTTGGTCTGGAGTGAAGACTTTCAAAGTCTTCTACACAGAAGAGTCAAGAAAAATTAAGGAAGTTGGAGAATTTTCAAGTTGAAGACTTTTATTTAAAAGGTCATAGAGGAATTGCAGCAGTGTGGAAGCACCACTATATTTTGAGGCAGGTCTGAGTTTTATTCTAGTTCCACGAAGGTCACTTTGGAAAAGTCACTCGACTGTGAGCCTCCTCTGTAGAATTTAGAATAATAATCCACTAAGGTCATCACAGAAGTTTTGTGATAATTATGAATGTCAACTGAGAGGATATACAGGAAAACTTTCTTTGAAATCTAAAACATAAAAAAAAAAGTTTTCATGCAACCTCTGTGTTTATGTATTACTAAAAGTTGTAATTTGGTAGTATCCTTTGGCAAATAACTTTGACTCCATTTCCCATTTCTGAATAGTCATTTTTTAGGGGAAGTAACATAAAGGAGGAAATATGTATTATGAAGGTGGTTTTGGAAATATTATTTGTAATACCAAATAATTAAAAAGACATAAATGCTCACTACTATAAAAAAGTTGAAGAAAATTTTATACATATATAATCTTAACCAAAAGTGATGTAACCGTATCAAAAAATAAATGTATGATGCTAAGTAAAAATGTGATATAAAGTTGAAAGTAGAGTATGTGTGTAGATAAGAACTAGAATAGACCGTCAATAATAAAAAAAACATTTTAGAGATGGACGACATAGGAATTAAACTTTTTTTTTGCAGTTTAATCAGTGCTGACATATGACGTCAATGCTGACTACGTACAGTCTGTTACATATACACACACATATATACATATATACGAATTCTGAGGGCAAGTGATAGGAGAATAAACAAACTAAAATGCAATTGCAGCAGATATATTGTGACAAAAAATGTAGGAAATAGGAAGGCATTCAAGAAAAGGAAAACAAAACAAAAATCTGTGAAAGTTTTGACATGGCTAATAAATATCAATGTAAAAGAATAGGAATGAATAGTATTATGGCATCTATAAGCAGGGACTGACTTTAAATAACCCTAAAACTGTAAAAATTGCCTTAAAAATATAAAGGAGTTTAAAAACTGTCTGTTGTGTATCATGCTTAAAGATGCTGATTAGACCATGAATATGTGTCTGTAATAAACCCGAAGTGAGACTGTTTCTTTCATGTTGATTGAGCCAAGACTTGCCTTCACGTTACATTCCAGGTCCTCTAAAATGTTTACTTATCTTGCATAGTTTTCTGAATATTTTTGCCAAACAAATATTTTGACAAAGAACCCATCCAGCATTGCTTCCTCTCTGTATGTATCATCACTAAAGGAGCAGAAGGGATCTTCTGCAACTTTATTACCATATATATTTTTTTCTTTCCTTGGCCTTTAGCTTTGGAAAGGACCTAAATGAAATACAAACAACTGTAAGTTACTCTTTCAAATATAAAAAATATTTTAAAAATAAATTTGCAGTGCAGTACTGGCTTTCTATATAAGATCCACTTTAAAGACTACTTATAAATTCTTTAACTTTTACACAAATTTTTAAGAAACTTCACCTTTATATGCAGTTGATAACAGCTCAGCCTGTTTTCAAGCCTTTGGGTACCAGGCAAACAATTAACCATGAATTAATGATATCTACATTCCAAAGTAAATATATATGTATATATATATAAACCTTGCTAGGAAAAAGCCTGATATTCAGCCCTTAACTTGCCAGCTGCTTTTCTAAGACTATAAATGTGACTTGGTTTGTGTGAGGAAACCTCTGTGGGAAGGGCATGACCTACTTTATAGAGTCACACATTTGCCGTGTAAGGAATAAGTACTATGTTACTTGTCGAGGGTTGATGGAGGGTGCCTTCCAAGATTACTAAGGAAAAACAACTGGAAATTTGTTGATGTCAATATAAAAGGAAAGAAGAATAATTTTCATGGGGAACAAAAGGCTATGTTTTAAAAGGTTTGCTACTGGTGTTGTACGTGTGTCAATGATTAAATGTAAGACTATAAATATTAAATATTCCTCTGGTTTTATTACAAATTTTTATGTAAATACAAATGAATTAAAAGTGCTATACTATAGGCTATTACCACAAAAGAAAAAAGCAATAAAGAAATTTAACCTCATAGGAACTTCAAAGCTTTTTAAAAATAATTTTTAGAAAATAGAAAAATTCAGATACTAATATTATAGACACTCAACTGAAGGTATCAATTATGTTTTGGCATTTTTTTCACTCGCCATTATTTTTTGAGATATATGCATGTTGAGATATAGATCTAGTTCTTCATTTTAACTGTTTAATAGTATTTTATTTTGTGAACATAATTTATTCACCCATTTTCTTATTGCTGGATATTTGCACTATTGCCATTGCCATTATTATTATTGTTACTATTGCTTTTTTTTTTTTTTTTTTTCTGAGACAGAGTCTTGCTGCGTTGCCCAGGCTGGAGTGCAGTGATGCGATCTCAGCTCACTGCAACCTCTGCCTCCCGGGTACAAGTGATTCTCCTGCCTTAGCCTCTCGAGTAGCTGGGATTACAGGTGCCCACCACTATGCTTGGCTAATTGTGTTTTCAGTAGAGATGGGGTTTCACCATGTTGGCCAGGCTGGTCTTGAACTCCGGACCTAAGTGATCCACCCACCTTGGCCTCCCAAAATGCTGTGTTTACAGGTGTGAGCCACCACGCCCAGCCCTAAGATTGCTGCTTTTAGCATTGTTTAAATTAACTTCCTACATGTCTCTCAGATGGGAAAGATTCTCTGCATTATATCCTAGGAGTGGAATCCCTGCATCACACATTTTAAGAGTTTTATTTTTCTTGAGACAGGGTCTCACTCTGTCACCCAGGCTGGAGTGCAGTGGTGTGATTATAGCTTACTGCAGCCTTGAACTCCCAGGCTCAAATGATTTTCTTGCCTTAGCCTCCAAAGTAGCTGGGACTACCGGCATGTACCACCATGCCTGGCTAATTTTTGAATTTTTTTTTGTAGAGACAGGGTCTGGCTATGTTGTCCAGGCTGGGCTCAAACTCCTGGGCTCAAGTGATCCTCTTGCCTCAGATTCCCAAAGTGTTGGGATTACAGGTGTGAGCCACTGTGCCTGGCCAGTTTACAGAAATTTTAAGTCTTATTTCTAGAGACTTATCTAAAGACACTGTTGTGTTTACATTTATTCTAAGAATAATTGGCTTTGGGGTACCACAGAGTATTATCCTGCCAACACACTTGTTATTCTTTTTTTTTCACTTGAGCAAAACGCCCTGCATCAAAATATTAATTAATATCTAGTATTCCTTTTAGATGACACGGTTTTAGTTAGGACTTCAAAGGTCCTGAAGAATGAAGATCCGTGGAAATTCAGCCACCCTAGGTTGTTCCTGTTTTCATCTTTTTTTTTTTTTTTTTTTTTTTTTTGAGATGGAGTCTTGCTCTGTCACCAAGAAGAGTACAGTGGTGCAATCTCAGCTCACCACAACATCTGCTTCCTGGGTTCAAGTGATTCTCCTGCCTCAGCCTCCCGAGTAGCTGGGACAACAGGTGTGCGCCACCATGCCTGGCTAATTTTTGTATTTTTAGTAGAAATGAGGTTTCATCATGTTGCCCAGGCTGGTCTTGAACTCCTGATCTCAGGTGATCCACCTGCCTTGGCCTCCCAAAGTGCTGGGCATGAGCCACCACACCCAGCCCATTTTCGTCATTATTAACCCCCATTTATTGAGTGGCCATTATTTCCCAGATAGGGTTATAGGCCTTATGCATGTATTCTCTTTCATTCTCATAATCATGCAAGGTAGATACTATCTTCATTTTAAAGATGAGAAGATTGAGGCACAGAGAAGTGAAACAAATTACCCCAGTGTCACAGATAATGTGCTAGAGGGAGGGTCATAATCCAGGTCTGTCTCACTCTAAAAGTTAAACTTGGCTAGCCATGGTGGCTCACTCCTGAAATCCACAAATTTGGGAGGCTGAGGCAGGAGGATCATCTGAGTTCAGGAGTTCCAGACCAGCCTGGGAAACATAGTGAGACCCTGTCTCTACAAAGAATTAAAAAAAAAAAAATTAGCCAAGTCTGGTGGTGCATACCAGACTTGGGAGGCTACTTGGGAGGCTGAGGTGGGAGGATTGCATGAGCCCAGCAGTTTGAGTGTACAGTGAGCTGTGATCACACGAGTCCACACCAGCTTGGGTGACAGAGTGAAACCCTGTCTCAAAAATAAATAAATAAATAAGAGCCATACCAATCTCAGATGTCACATTGCTGCCTACCTTTAAGGATGACACTGCAGGGCCTTCCTCCCATATCTCTCTGCACTATCCCTCCGTGTCCTGTACTACCTTCCTAGGTGCTGTACTGTCTCTCTGTGTCCTGTACTACCTTCCCAGGCTCTATACGATCCTTCCTATGTCCTGCACTACCTTCCCACGCCCTGTACTATTCCTCCATGCCCTATACTACCTTCCCACATCCTGTACGATCATTCCTGTGTCCTGTACTACCTTCCCAGGCCCTGTACTATCTTTCCGTGTCCTATACTACCTTCCCAGGTCCCGTACTATCTCTCCATGTCCTGTACTACCTTCCCAGGCCCTGTACTATCTTTCCGTGTCCTGTACTACCTTCCCAGACCCTGTATTACCCCTCCATGTCCTGTATCACCTTCCCAGGCCCTGTACTATCTCCCCGTGTCCTGTGCTACCTTCCCAGGCCCTGTACTATCCCTCCGTGCCCTGTACTACGTTCCCAGGTCCTGTATTATTCCTCCTCAGGGTCCTCTACTACCTTCTCAGGTCCTGTCCTATCTCTCCATGTCCTATACTTCCTTCCCAGGCCCTGTTACTATACCTCCATGCCCTGTACTACCTTCGCAGTTCCTGTATGATCATTCCCGTGTCCTGTACTACCTTCCCAGGTCCTGTACTATCCCTCCATGCCCTGTACTACCTTCCCAGGTCCTGTACGATCCTTCCTCTGTCCTGTACTACCTTTCCAGGCCCTGTACTATTTCTCTGTGTCCTGTTGTACCCTCCTGTGTCCTGCACCGCCCTCCTGTGTCCTGTGTTTTCTCTGGACTCATAATCGTAACTCTCCCTAGACTAACACATTTTTAAGGTTTTGAACTAACTTTTCTGCTATTTGCCAAAGGATACTAGTCTGTAATCGTGCTATAATTTTTTATTCCAAATGTTACAATTATTTTTATTCAATGCATTTTTAAGTATCCCTTCTGCACATGGTTCAGTTTATCAATGAGTAGGAATATAGTTGCTTTATGATTGGCCTAAACATTTTTGTTATTTTTAAAGTGTAAGCTAATAACTAAGGTAATCTTATTTCATTTGAGAAGCCAGGTCTGGTACACACAATAAGTTACCTGTCTTATCACTTTTTTGTGCACATTGTAAACTTAGATTATTTATTCTTCTAATAGCGAAAAACCTGATGTGTTATCCCAGGAGTTGGGGATGGAAGGGGAGAAATCATCCGCTGAAGACCAGATGAGAATGAAATGGGAAAGCCTACATCAAGAATTTAGTACCAAGCAGAAACTACTACAGAATGTTCTGGAACAGGAACAAGAGCAAGTGGTATCAAATATTTTACATTATATATTAACTAATATAAAAGATGTAGAGTTTATGCTGAGGGATTATAACTGTGCAATCAACTTAATTTTCATGATCAATTTCAAACTAAGACATGACACCAATTTTTCACTCTACATTTTTCTTAACAAGTCTATTTCACATTTCCCTTCATAATTATATATTTATATGTGAAAATTTATTTGATTTATAGACAATATTTTTCCTCAGAGATGATTAATATCTGATTCCTTATTAGCCTAAACCATTACATTTTAAGTGCCCTCTTTTTGTGTGTGTTTTGCAAACTTGAAAAAGTAAGGATGGAAATCAAGGATATGCACATCTAGGACAGAAGGATTTCCACAAATCTGGAACTCAATTGTGAGGCCATCTTATTTTCCATTGCCACTTCCAGTATTTAATAATTTCAGGAGATCTTAATGAGAAACATATTGGGACGTTGGTGGGTCTAGGGCAGGGAAGTGAAGCCAGTGGTCAGCTGGAATAGTTATGGACCCATCTGCAAGGCTGGTTCCTGGGAGGGATACTGTGTGCTGTCGGGCTTGGTTCCACCAGGCATGCCAAATCCAAGGGAATTGAAGACAGCAACAGATGGTTCCAGATAATGGCTATTACTTCACTCTAAGCAGAAGCCAGGGAACAACTGGAAGTCAGAGGACTTAGAAAGTTAGAGGGCAAATGAGGGAGTCAGGAACACAAGCCAGCCTGGGATGCCTACCACAGCTGTGGCCCAGAGGAATTCTTCAGATACAAGACTAGTCCTTTGTCCTGGGCTAGCAGCGTCCATCTAGGCTCATTCCAAGTCAGCAGTATTATCGGAGTGAATTCTAAAACCTTTCCTGTTGCTCTGCGGAAGCTGCTGTTTCTCTGCTCTGGCCAGAACTAGCTTAGGGGCTGGGAGAGGCTAAACCAGAAGCAAAGGGTGTCAATAACTGTAGTGAATTGGAGGAGGGAAACGCTGGAGCTGAGAAAGTAGGCATTAGAAAGCAGGCGCAACCTGCCAGAGTTAAATGGAAGGAGATGGTCTAAAGCAGGGCTTCCCAACCCCCAGGCTGCAGACAGGTATGGGTCCGTGGCCTGTTAGGAACTGGACCTCACAGCAAGAGGTGAGCGGCAGGCAGGTGAGCATTACTGCCTGAGCTCTGCTTCCTGGTTAGAACAGTAGCAGCACTAGATGCTCATAGGAATGTGAACCCTATTGTGAACTATGCTTGTGAGTGATCTAGGTTGCATGCTTCTATTATGAATTTAATGCCTGATGATCTGAGGTGGAACAGTTTCATTCTAAAACCGTCTCTCCCACCCCCGAGAAACCAACCCCTGGTGCCAAAAAGGTTGGGGATCGCTGGTCTGAAGGTCATAAGGTGTCCTGTCATCTGTGGATAGCCACACATACGTCTCTCCAGAGCCACGCTTTCTATTCTGTTTTTATAAAAGCACATGCTTTTGTGAATTTTCTGCCCCCTCACTTTCCCTCTCTGGCCAGGAGGCTTCTTTACCTCTGTCTGCAGAAATAGCCACCAGCTCTGCCCTGGGAAACTTAAAGCACTGTATTCCTGGAAGCAGGTGTCCCAGAATCGTATCCACCCTGGCAAATGGTGCCCTATACTTTTTGCGTGGACCTCCTCCCTGTATTTTAATTCATCCTTCCTCAAATCCCTGATAAAATGTCCTCCAGACTCATAGCTCAAATTCCTTGTTCCTGATACGGATCTTCTGGACTTGACTGCTAGCTCTCCCTTCATATTCTAGTATCCCTCCAATCCTTTGAATAGGAGAGGTATGTACAGTTCTGAATCAGGGACTGCAGTCTTTTCTGACTATCTTAAGTTAGAGAAATCTACGATATTTCTAGATTCTGTGCTTGCGTATTATTCTCCATTCATAAAGCACCTGTGTGATTCGTCCGGCATCTGCAGACCTCCTGGAGGTCTCATCCATTACCCGCTTTCATCTTCAAGAGCTGCTTTTGCTCTCAGTTGGAGCCGACACTCCAGCGTCCTCCATGCTGTGCTTACTGAACAAACCTTGCCCTGCTGCCACTGACATTCCACAATACCTGGACTGTTCAAATTTAGGTTCATGTTGTGCCTCCCTTGCCTTTGGATTAGAAATAAAAGCATTGAATGTTCTTTTTTTAATGACATTTTTGCATTTGAGTGCTTTGTTTCAGCAATCGCTGGTCATTTGTACAAAGTGCCTCATAGGTTGTTTTCCTCTCTGTGGTGTGAAAAGGTGAAGGAAAAGAGAGGGAAGAAGCAATTTAGCTGTCAGTTTCCAGGCAGAAAGGAGTGATCATATAATGAGCACATTTTAAGTTCTAGGTGTTAACATCGCTAACAACGTTGTGGTGAGGTCAATATTATCTCTACTTTGTAGACCTGGAAACTGAGGCTTAGAGAGGGTCTTGCGACTAAGAAGAGGTGAATCTGGAATCAGGAAGCCGATATCTCTGTTACCTAAGTCCCTCCTCTTTCATACTACCTTAATGGCAATTTTGTATCCTAGAAATACTTACTAGTTTCATATGTAAAAACAGGCACATTTTGGCCTAAAGTTCACTAGGTCAAAGGGCACTAACCTCTTAGAGCAATTTTTCTTAATCTGTTTACTTCCAATGTATTTAATGCTTCCATGCACAACAACCTACTTGGCTTCAGGGTGAAATACAGCTCCTGCTTCTGAGAACCTATAACCCGAATAAGGAAATAGTGCATACATTTCTAAAAAAAAAATTAGGCAACTATGACAGGATCCATAAGCAGGAATTCAAAGGAAACAAAGGTTAAGAAAAAATAGTCAAAAGTTGCTATGATCGGTATGGAAATTAAAGTAGTAGATTTTAAGGGGATGCTGGGTGGAGGATATCCCAGCTGCAATGGGGAATGGGCTTGGCATATTTACAGGATCATGAGTAGTCAGCCTGAAAGGTGAGGAGGTATTTTGAAAAGTCAAAAGAGACTGATGGCTGGGTGCAGTGGCTCACACCTGTAATCCCAACACTTTGGGAGGCTGAGGCGGGCGGATCACATGAGGTCAGGAGTTCAAGACCAGCCTGGCCAACATGGGGAAATCCTGTCTCTACTAAAAATACAAAAATTAGCTTCATGTGGTGGTGCACACCTGTAATCCAAGCTATTCAGGCGGCTGAGACAGGAGAATCACTTGAACCCGGGAGGCAGAGGTTGCAGTGTGCCAAGATCGCACCACTACACTCCAGCCTGGGCGATGGAGCAAGACTCCATCTCAAAAAAAAAAAAAGAAGAAGAAAAAAAGAAAAAGGAGACTGAGTTTGATTGAAAACATGGTCAAAAGTTTGAATGCTACACCATATCATTGCCCTTATTGGGGAGCCATATGTATACCTAAAAGAGTTTAGGGGAAATGGGGTTAATAATGAAAGCAAAGAGATCAGTCTAGGAGTCTTGTATTTAGGATGGATTATTTCACTATAGGTACTACTAAAACCAAGAAGAAAAGTTGAGAGGAAAGCTGTGATAAGATTTCTTTATGATTGCTAATAACTTTATTTAGTCAATTTTAAGAAAAATTACTCTATTATTTTGAAAAACTACATATATGCATTATAATAATTCGCATAATGCAGCCAAGTGCAAAGATGAAAATGAAAAGGAACAATTGTAACAATTCCCATATTCTGTAAATCAATTTAATCTTTAAATTCCTCAGTGCTCATAACCAATCCTTTCAGCATATCTTTTTAATTCCTAAATTTTTAATTTTGATCCAGCTCTCAGGTATTAATTTCATTGTCAAATAACTTTTTTCAAGAAAACTCAGGTTCTATCATGTTTGGGAATATCAGCTAGTTGCCTCTATATTGGATGGACAGTTTTCTGTCATACTTTTATCCCTTCAGAATTTGTATTTATATCTATTTTTCTCTTCTGGCATTGAATGACGCTTTAGAAAAATCTAACATCAGTCTACTATTTTTCCCCTTATTTATTTTTTGTCATTGTTCTCTGTATGGATGCCAGAAGAATTATTTAGTTTTCTTTAAGTTTCAACAGCTTATCTAGGCTATGTTTGATGTTGAGTGTTCTGCTATCATATTTTTCCTGTAACACAATGTACTTTTTTTATATTTAAGAATCAAGGTTTGCTTTTTTATTAATTTTAGGGAATTTTTTGGCATGATTTAGATGTATTTTATGCTATATTTATTATATCTCTGCTTCAGGGACATCAATTATCCTTGTGTTAGATCATCTTTTTTCTATACCTATTGACTTATTTTTAGTTGTACTGATCTTTGTTTTTTTAAAATTTGGATTTACTTTTCATCTGATTATTGCAAGAGTTTTCTCTATGCCAGTGATTCCATTTTCAGCAATGTCTGTTCTCATCCTTTCTGTTTCTAATTTATTTATGTCTTAATGTCATTTATTTCATAAAATTTGCAAGCCACCTTTTAATTTAATTTTCTTTTTTTATAATGTCATCTTTTGTGTGTTTTGAAACAGGGTCTTGCTCTTTTGCCCACGCTGGAGTGCAGTGGTGTGATCTCAGCTCACTGCAATTTCTGCCTCTGGTTCAAGCAATTCTCGTGCCTCAGTCACCTGAATTGCTGGGATTATAGGCGTATGCCACCATACCTGGCTATTTTTTGTATTTTTAGTAGAGACGGGGTTTCACCATGTTGGCCAGGCCGGTCTTGAACTCCTGGCCTCAAATGATCTGCCCACCTCAGCCTCCCAGAGTGCTGTGATTACAGGCATGAGCCATCGTGGGTGGCCTGCTTTATTTTATTTGTATATAATATTTGTACATATTTCTGGTGTATAGTGTGATGTTTGGATACATGTATACAGTGTGTAATGTTCAAGTCAGGGTAATTAGCAGACTCATCATCTCAAACATTTATCACTTCTTTGCGGTAGAGACATTCAGAATCCTCTCTTCTAGCTATTGAGATATACAATATGTTATAGTTAACTGTGTTTGACCTCCTGTGTAATAGAACACCAGAACTTATTCCTCCTATCTGTCAGACATTTTTTTCCACTGCTTAAAAAAAAAAAATCCATCCATGGAAACATTGCCATTGATGCATCTGGCCACTGTGTTCAGTGGACATGGTATGTTGTAGAAGTTATATTTCTCTAGAAGAAATTTTCATATGGACAGTGTTTTCAGCATCTATTTCAGTATGCATTTCCAAATGAGAATACTGGGACATAATGCATATGCTCTTCAACAAGCTGCCTTTGTTTGCCTACAGCTTTATAGCAGGCCAAATCGACTCTTGTCTGGTGTGCCACTGTACAAAGGGGACGTGCCAACCCAAGATAAATCTGCAGTTACATCTTTGCTGGATGGACTGAACCAAGCCTTCGAGGAGGTTTCATCCCAGGTAAGGCTGTGTTATCAGTGTGTTTGGCTTGGTTTATAAGAGTCTTGTTTTGCTTGTATTGATTTGCCTGGCCTCTGTGAGACTGTTGCATCCACCCCTGAGCATGAGACCCAACACTAGTGATAAGCGCTGAAACAAAGATCACTGGACCCTGGAGTCCCATCCTATTTATTTATTTATTTATTTATTTATTTATTTATTTTTTAGACCGAGTCTCACTCTGTCACCCAAGCTGGAGTGCAGTGGTGCAATCTCGGCTCATTGCAACCTCCGCCTCCTGGGTTCAAGGGATTCTCCTGTCTCACCCTCCCGAATAGCTGGGACTACAGGCGTGTGCCACCACACCTGGCTGATTTTTTTTTATTTTTTTTATTTTTAGTGAAGACGGGGTTTCACCATGTTAGCCAGGATGGTCTCGATCTCCTGACCTCGTGATCCGCCCGCCTCAGCCTCCCAAAGTGCTGGGATTACAGGCGCGAGCCACCGCGCCTGGCCCCATCCTGTTTCCTGTTTTTTATTTTATTTTATTTTATTTTTTTCAGAGTCTTGCACTGTCACCCAGGCTAGAGTGCAGTGGCACGATCTCAGCTCACTGCAGCCTCCACCTCCTGGGTTCAAGTAATTCTCATGCTTCAGCCTCCTAAGAAGCTGGGACTACAGGCACATGCCACCACGACTGGCAAATTTTTGTATTTTTTAGTACAGATGGGGTTTTGCCCTATTGGCCAGGCCAGTCTTGAACTCCTGACCTCAAGTGATCTGTCTGCTTTGGGCTACCAAAGTGCTCAGATTACAGGTGTGAGCACTGCACCGGCCCCATCCTGATATTTTTCCTGGATTTTCAAAACACTGAAATTGATTATTTGACCCTGTTTTGTGTTTCCCAGAGTGGAGGGGCAAAGAGGCAGAGTATACACTTGGAGCAGAAGTTGTATGATGGAGTCTCAGCCACCTCTACTTGGTTGGATGACGTTGAAGAACGTTTATTTGTTGCCACAGCACTTTTACCAGAAGAAACAGAGACTTGTCTCTTCAACCAAGAGGTAGGTTTAGTAGTTCCTGCCTGTGTGTGTATAACATTACAAAGCACTTGACATTTTGATGGGATAATTAATTTTATGCATAAAGAAAGTCAAACATAAAACAATTCTAATAATGCAGAACATAATTGCTTAAATGCAGAATATTTATAGTTCGCATTTTCATTCTTTGTCTTGTGTAAGTATGAGGGAAAAATGGGAAACTCTTTGTAGAAACACTGTTATGTATCACAAATCTTCCAAATACGAAACACATGCTTAAAAAAAGTACCAAATTCCTAAATAGCACTTTACATTGCTCATTATTACTAGTGAATGAGGTAAAGTCTCTGAGAGCAACTTCCTGAAATGTATAGAAGTATTTGAAAGAGGTTCCAGTTGTCTTAGGTCTGATTATTACTAAGCAGCCAGAGAGATCTAGTTGACTTTCTATGAGAAAATAACATGATTTGCATATCAATTCATGTATCTAAACACTGAAAAATGCCCTTTTATCACCTCTAGATTCTTGCCAAAGACATTAAGGAAATGTCTGAAGAAATGGATAAGAACAAAAACTTGTTTTCCCAAGCTTTTCCAGAGAATGGTGATAATCGAGATGTTATTGAAGATACTTTGGGTTGTCTTTTGGGCAGGTTATCCTTGCTAGACTCAGTAGTGAATCAACGATGTCATCAGATGAAAGAAAGACTTCAGCAAATACTAAATTTCCAGGTAAGTAAGATATTATCAAAGGATACGTGACCATTCTCTAGGTATTCAGTAATAGTCAGTCACGAGTCTGTGTTACAGACCTGGTTGTTGTTTTTCTAAATGCGTAATGAAGAACAAGAGCATTGTAGAAAATGAAGGGGGTTGAATTAAAGGATTAGAAGCTAAAGATTTTTTGCTCCTAGAAATGGAAGGTTGAGAAAACCACCCACTTCAAACTAAGGACTGAATAGAATTCAATCAATAAAAGTCAAATTTATGGATCATTATAATTATAATTTTTAGTTACTAATACCGGAGTTTAAACACATTGCGAAAGAATATGCAGAAAATGGCCGGGCACAGTGGCTCACGCCTGTGATCCCAGCACTTTGGGAGGCCACGGCAGGCAAATCATTTGAGGTCAGGAGTTTGAGACCAGCTTGGCCAACATAATGCAACCCATCTCTACTAAAAATACAAAAATTAGCAGGGTGTGGTGGTGCAGGCCTGTAATCCCAGCTACTTGGAGGCTGAGGCAGGAGGATCGCTTGAACCCGGGACGCAGAGGTAGCAGTGAACTGAGATTGCACCACTGCACTCCAGCCTAGGTGACAGAGCAAGACTCCGTCTCAAAAAAAAAAAAAAAAAAAAAAAAAGAGTATGCAGAAAGTGTTGGAATATAGAAAGGGCCATAGACTGTAGTACCTAAGAGTCTTTGAAAGTGGCTGTGGTCTAATTACTTCTACCTGTGTTAAAATGTGTTACGTTACTTTCCAGTCCTAACTCCTCAGACTTACTGCCTTTTAGCCCCATATTATAATTCTTATTGTGTGCTTAGGAAACTTTTCCTATGAATATATACCGGAACAAATGCAAAAGCTGCTGATAAACTTTTAGTGCTGATTTTTCATTCCTAATAAAAAGCACTCTTTGAGAATACATAAGTTTTAATTGAATGTTATTTTTAACCAACATGAAAGATTTTATAAAATAGAGACATGTCATTAGGGCCAAGAGTTTCATGTGGAGTTTTGATTTGCAAAAAAAAAAAAAAAAAAAAAAAAAAAAAAAAAAAAAAAAAACCAAACCACTACACATAAATGTAGCATTAGCCAAGAAACATGGAATTTTCACGAGGCACAAATTACCACTGCCTTCTGGTAGTCTACATTCTTAAAACCACAGAGTAAAACCATCACAAACATTTGAGTTTCATTTTTTTATTCACAAAATATTTTCTCATATTCATTGTCTTTAATCTTTGCGACATCCTGCAGACGTTGTTCTGATAATAATTTTGCAAAGTCAGAACAGTAAAAATTAAACATGTAGTCTCCAAAGCTAACAGTCTGGGTTCAAATTCCGGCTTTGTCACTTACTGCTGTATAACTTTGCGGCTTGACTTCCATGAACCTTGGTATCCTCAACTGTCAAATCAAACTCATACTCATATTAACTGCCTCATAGACTGTGGTGAGGATGAAATGAGTTGAGATGTGTTTAAAATACTCTGAACAGTGCCTGATACATAGTAAACACTCAGCAAGTGTTGTTATTGTTATTAGTAGTAGTATTATAAGAGATACAGGATCTAAAACCAAGAGAAAGATTAAATTACTTCAGTGTTACTCAACCATTAAGAACTAGAGCCAGGATTTTACTCAAAGAATATATATATTTTTGTATTTTATCATATTAGGGTGATCTCAGGGAAGATGGAGAATGTGGGCCTTCATTAGAGTCTCTTAAATTTTATCCAATATCCTTTGCCAGTTGATGGTACCACCAGCAACTCAGTCTTGTCCCTGAGTCAGTGGCACTGCTATCTAGCAGTCTTCCCTGATAGTTACTGCCCCCAAGATGATCAAGTCAGAATCCCCGAGTGCCTCAGCAGTCCCTTTTGCTCTCATTCCCCATATCTTTTGTGAATTGCATTTAGTATCTTTAGTACTTTCATACTTTTAAACTTTATTGGTAATTATCACCAGTCACAGTAAAATATGAATTAGGCATGAATGCTCTGGAACTTACTTTGTTTTAAGGATCTAAGAGAATCATGGAATTCTCTTTAAATCACGTTCTCTATTTTTCTTCTGCCAACAAGTTTCTATTTGTTGGTGGCCAGCTCACGAACAAAAAGACATTTCAAAATATTTGTGTTCCAATTTAGTTGAGAGAAACTTTCCAATGTTAACATAATTAAAGGTCAAGTCACAAACTATTTTCCTTTTTGTTTTAACTTTGCACCAAACACCTTGGTATGCTGTCAGTCCTCAGCAGTTACTGGAAGGGTATGCCTTCATTCTGCATTTAATCTTTCAGGATTAGCTTTTGCCAGACTGCTAACATTATTCTATACCAAAAAGACTATTTGGAAGGATGCATAGATGTTATGTAGATGTACATTACATATATAGAATCACAATAAAGTCAATTATGAACTATTTTGTATTTCAAAAATTTTACCCATGGACGTAACCTCAAATTCCCCAAACATATAATTGTGTATTGTAAATTATTTTGAAAATTGGAAAATGAATGAAAGAATTCTTTAATGAATGAGTGAGGCAGCACAACTGATTTTATTTATTTTATTATTTATTTATTTATTTATTTAATTTATTTATTGAGACAGAGTTTTGCTCTTGTTGCCCAGGCTGGAGTGCAATGGGGAGATCTCAGCTCACTGCAACCTCTGCCTCCCGTGTTCAAACAATTCTTCTGCCTCAGCTTCCCAAGTAGCTAGAACTACAGGCATGCACGCCATGCCCAGCTAATTTTTGTATTTTTAAGTAGAGATGGGCTTTCACTGTATGTTGGCCAAGCTGGTCTCGAACTCCCGACCTCAGGTCATCTGCCTGCCTCCACCTCCCAAAGTCCTGGGAATACAGGCATGAACCACTGTGCCCGGACACAACTGGTTTTAAAGCTTGAAACTTTCTGCAAATCTGTTTCTCAATGGCTAGAATCCTGCTCCTTTTTGCCCTGCCAATAATTCCAGTGACTATTAAGAAAAAAAAAGTGATGTATTTTATGTTTGTAATATATGGATACCTTAATTATCCTGTTGTATCGCAAGTGTAATAATACAAAAATAGTTCAATTCTTTGCATTTTTATTTTTATTTATTTTTATTTTTTTTGAGACGGAGTCTCGCTCTGTCACCCAGGCTGGAGTGCAGTGGCGGGATCTCGGCTCACTGCAAGCTCCGCCTCCCAGGTTCACGCCATTCTCCTGCCTCAGCCTCCCAAGTAGCTGGGACTACAGGCGCCCGCCACTACGCCCGGCTAATTTTTTTGTATTTTTAGTAGAGACGGGGTTTCACCGTTTTAGCCGGGATGGTCTCGATCTCCTGACCTCGTGATCCGCCCGCCTCGGCCTCCCAAAGTGCTGGGATTACAGGCGTGAGCCACCGCGCCCGGCCTGCATTTTTATTTTTAAGAAAATGTCAATATCCATGTGATTACTAGCACCTCTTAAAGTTTTTATTTAGTAATTTTAAAATCAATCATATTCTTTGCTTTACTATCTTCTTGACTAGTCTCTCCCAATAATCAGTCTGACTTCCAGAAATATGAACTCTGTGTTTCCTACCACCTTGAGTAGAACATAGTTAAGAGAGAAAATATGCTATTAAAAGCATAAAAATGGGCCGGGTGCGGTGGCTCACGCCTGTAATCCCAGCACTTTGGGAGGCTGAGGCAGGTGGATCACCTGAGCTCAGGAGTTCGCGACCAGCCTGGGCAAGATGGTGAAACCCCGTCTCTACTAAAAATACAAAAAATTAGCCAGACGTGGTGGTGCATGCCTATAGTCCCAGCTACTTGGGAGGCTGAGGCAGGAGAATTGCTTCAACCTGGGAGGCTGAGGTTCCAGTGAGCCGAGATCGCGCCACCGCACTCCAGCCTGGGTGACAGAGCAAGACTCTGTCTCAAAACAAAACAAAACAAAGCATAAAACTGGCATACAGGAAATCTATCTATGCACTCTTCATTTCTAACCCATGTTATGTTATATATACTTAGCTACTCATTTAGATTAACTGGACGAATGTCACTATACACACATATGTAGATAATGTAGGCTTCTGTTCAAGTGAATGCAGGACATCTTTTACTAGGTTTAAAAACAGATAAATGTGTGATGGTTTTAATGGCCCACGTGACCTTACTCTGAACACAGTTGAATGATACAGACCTAGTAACTCATATGTAAAACTATTGTTTCTAGGATTTTTCCAGGGCTGTTATTATAATTTCCTATTTAGTTAGCCACTAGACTTGCAGATTGCTTTGAGTTTTGGTTAGTGGCAACTATTCTAGTTCTCATGTTCAGCGCTATATTTTCAATTTTATAATTTTTACTGCATAATGCACCCATTATTTTGCTTTTTAGACCTGAATTTACATTATAAAGCCTTCACATGTTCTTATAGATGTTTTTCTTCCTTGGTACGATTATCCTTCCACTCATTAGACAGTCAGAATGTTTGCATGTTGGTGATGTGCGTGATCAGGCCCTGGTAAAGAGGTCCTGAGTTGAGCTTTAACCTCTGACAAATATATTTTTGCTGACTATTATGAAATAGAACTTATTTGTTGATATTTTAGAGAAAAAAATACATTTTTTTGGTAATTTTTTTTTTTTGAGATAAAGTCACCCAGGCTGGCATGTAGTGGCGTGATCATAGCTCACTTCAACCTCAAACTCCTGAACTCAAGGGATCCTTCCACTTCAGCCTCCCAAGTAGATAGGACTACAGGCATGCCACTGTGTCCACTTATTTTTTTTTTAAACTTTTTGTAGAGACCGGGTGCACTGTGTTGCCCCGGCTGGTCTTGAACTCCTGGCCTCAAGTGATCTGCCTCAGGCACCCAAAATTCTGGTATTACAGAGATGAACCACTGCACCTGGCCAAAATTTTTTATAATTTAAATATTCTTCTAATTTATTATTCCCTGTGGAATTAAGTACCAAAGTTCTGATAGTTGTCTCCTTTTTATACAAATCTAACTCAATATAAATATATTTGGACATTTAAATGAGTAATATTTTTGAACAAAATACCTAACAAGATCTTTTTGTGTTGTCTCTTCACATGTTTTTGGCCATCATGGATAATATTTATTTTCTAAACTTCTGGATGGCTTTTTTAAAGCTTGTGCAAATTTTCCAAAAATAGAAGAAGAAACTGATGGAGGGAGGGAAGAAGAGGAGAGAGCAAAATGGAAATCATATGATTCTTAAGTATCATATTATTTCCCAAATCAGGATAACACCTATAGGTTATTTCCCTAGATAAGAGCCACTAATATAATATTTCTGTGCAATGTTTGACTGTGCTCATTTATTTCGGATGTAATGAGATTAGGGTGACAAGCGTTGCTTTTTACATGTATGGTTCAACTTCATTTGTGTTATGTAGAAAATACTTTGGGTAACAGATTCTTCAGGAGTCAGTTTTAGCACATAAGTAAATTGTTACCAGTTCCTTTTACCTTCCCATAGCACAGTATTGTTTCTCCTGGAAATTAAATTTCTGTGCCTCTATGTTATTTCTTAGAATCTGTGTTATATTTACAAGTATTTTGAATTCCCTGTTACACATTTTGAGTTTTCCCGTTGCTTTCCTCCTTAGAATGATCTGAAAGTGCTGTTTACATCACTGGCTGACAACAAATACATCATTCTGCAAAAACTGGCAAATGTGTTTGAACAGCCCGTAGCAGAACAAATAGAGGTATTTATAGCTGCCTTTTCCTAGAAGAGAAAATGCATAGAGGAGATATGACTTACTATGAAATTTTGAATATTCTATGAAAGATTAATGGCTCACAGTGGCACTTTTGTTTGTAGTATTTTTGTTTTTGAGTACTGGGTTTGAA
Organism: Homo sapiens; assembly: GCF_000001405.40. Lineage (NCBI taxonomy): Eukaryota > Metazoa > Chordata > Mammalia > Primates > Hominidae > Homo > Homo sapiens. Next base: position 152,249,015 of record NC_000006.12, on the reverse strand, counting down.
TAACATACCAGGTGACATTGACTCTGTTACTTACATCTGCACAGAACTAGGAAATGTGAGCTGGGAAAAGGTATCCATGGCAGATGCTGACCTGAAGGAGTTTTCTGCCCAATGATGAGATTAGATATGAACCTCAATGACATAGGGCAGAAAGTCAAACTGTCCTGGGAGTGGTACTGACAAAGCATTATGGGTACTCAGACCCTTCTGGCCTCCAGCAGGGGTAGGATTAGGGAAGCTTTGTAGAGGGAAATTTGAACTGAACCTAAGAGTTTGGACACACAACAACAGGAAAGAAAGATATCACGGTAAAGAGGACAGCAAGAAAAAAGGCACAAATTGTTAGAGAATTCTGAGCACTTAGGGAAAAACACAGGTAATTCTATTTTAGCTGAATTTAAGATAAATGAAAGTGACTGAGGACAAACAAGATTGGATATGTAAATTTAAGGCAGTTTGTAGGGCCTGTTGAATGTGTGACTTTGGACTTTATTCTATAAACTAGTTACCTGTACACTTTATTTGTTGCATGCCTCATTAGCTAAAAAAAAAAGGAAATAAATATGCAGCATAAGTGTATGTATTTTTATTTATTTATAAATTATAAGCAATTTATGTTATAAATCACAATTAAATTCAGCCAAATTTATTTTCAATTTTTGTTTGTGTACATGCTACAACCAAAATTGAAAATTAATGTGGTTGAATATAAATGAAAGATGTGGTGTTTCATCCTGGTAAATCATCTTGCACACTCTTGGGTGTTTAGACTCAGCTGGGAGATCCCTGGCCATGGAAAGTTGTAGGGGATGTTTGCAGGTAAAAATGAATGGCAGTTCTAGATCTTGCTTCTGGTTAGTTTACATGACAGCACCAGGGTCAGGAAACAGGAGATCCATCATGAGGCTTCATGTAGCTGTACTGGAGAGAAAGAATGAGAACCCAAACTGGCATGATGGCATGAAAATGCAGATAGAAGAAATGGGAGGGATGTTAGAATATCTCCTGTTTCATAAGCTAAGTAATTGTGAGAAGTATGTGTTTTAATAGAATTCTCTGATTTAATTTCAGCGAACTTCCCGGGAATCTATGGATAGACGATAGAGAATAATCTGACATATAATATGTGTGTGTGTGTGTGTGTGTGTGTGTGTGTGTGTTAAAGAACACCTCTCAAAATAGTTTGCAAAACTGTGAGTGTGCATTTTTCTTTTTATTTATTTTTAAAAATATATGTGTGTGTGTGTGTGTGTGTGTGTGTGTGTATATATATATATATATATATATAATAAAAAATATATATTTTAATATGGAGATAGGGTCTCACTTTGTTGCCCAGGCTGGTCTGGTCTTGAACTCCTGGGCTCAAGCAGTTCTCCCATCTCAGCCTCCCAAAGTGTTGGGATTACCGGTGTGAGCCACCGCATCCGGCTGTGCATTTTTCTTGACCATAATTTCATCTGCTTTTTAAAGAGATTTCTCATTTCTCCCCATGAAAAATCTTTTTGTTTTTTTTCTTGGCTTATAATGTATGTGTGATTCCAAAAAAGACTGGAGCAACTGTAGTGATGTCTTGCTTTGGATTTCTAATATGAATTATGAGATATGTATGATCACAAGTAATAATTTTTACTAATTTTTGACCAATATAACTGAATGTCACAGATGAAGAAATAACCAGTTAGATTTTTTTCTTTGAATAAATGGAATGCAACTAATGAACGTGCTAATTCCATGCCTACCCAACTTGGATTAAAAAGGCAATAACAGCAGAGGGCATGGGGAAGACACACCTCACTCAATATAGTCATCTCTTGAGTTGTGCTGTTCCAATCCAGAGCAGTTCTCTTGCCTCATAAACCTGGTGCACAGTTGTCTTCTTGGATTTCCCTTCACCACCATCCTGAGAATCCCTTCATTTCTTCCTATGTTGGATCTTCTCTCTTCTGAATCCCAAGTCTTTCTCTTTACTGCATTGCTTCCTTGTTTCGTTAGTGCATGTCCTTTCTTAGAAAGGGTACATGATAAGTGTATTTTTCCAGATGTATGTCTGAAAATGTTCTTATACCATGTTCACACTTTATTGATCGCTTTGCTGTTTTTATGTGATCCTTCAGGGTCATTTGTTGAATATGAATTCTTTTGGAGTTTCAAGGCTTTTTCTTCATTGTTTTCTAGCTCTCAGTGTTGTCTTAAGGAATCTAAAAACATTCTAATTCCCAAAGGTTTCCAGTGTCCTGAAATTTCACAATCACATGCCTTGGGGAGGATCTATTTTTATCCACTGGGCTGGGAGCTCAAGGGACTCTTCTGATTTGGCAGCTCTCATCTTTCTGTTCTGGAAAATTTTCTAATGATTTATTTAATACATTTCTTTCCTGCATTTTACCTGTCTTCTTTTCTGGAGAACTCCTTTTTGTCAGATACTCGGGTTCAACCCTTGAACTGTCTTACCAAGAGACCTTTCTTTGTCTTTTTGCTCCGCTTTTTGAGAAACGTCCTCAATTTCAACTCCAGACTCTTGTACTGAATTGGCATTTCTGCTCTCACGTATTTAATTTTCCCGGAGCTCACTTTGGTTCTCCGAATGATCCTTTTTGTAGTATTTTTTATTTTTTTTAATGAATACATTATCGTTTATATCTTTCTGGGTATATTAATGGTTTTTTTTTTGTTGTTTAAAGTTCTACTTTTCCTGTATAATCTGTTTTCCTCCAGCTTGCTTTTATTTGTTTGCTTCTGTTAGTCCCCATCTTTCATGTCATCGAAAGGCATATTGAAATCTTTTGTTGCCTATTCAGGTTTAGGATGGAGGACTAAACAGCTGAAAGGGAACTCTGTGTGTGGATGGAACATGATAATTTTAAGAGTTCCTGCAGGATGGTCTCTATGGACCATTTATTTGTTAGAGAATCCTTCTGTCAAATTGTCAGGCCTGTCTTATTGGTGTGTTCAGATATTTTTCCCTCTCATCTCTGGAGACTAGAGCCCTGACTGCAGCACTTCTTGCCCCAGGGAGAGAAGACTCAGGGGCCCCACATTCAGCATGCAGGGAGCATCCAGTTATTTCATCCCTTGCTTTCAGTCAAGCACTCAAGCTCACAGCTGTGTCCAGTGCCCCTCTGTCTGTTTTACCTTCTCCAGAGAACACACTTTCAGTCTTTTACCCGGGAAGAAAAAGGGACAGTATGGAATAAGGAGGGGCATCTGTGGGTTAACTGTCCTTTAAGCAGCTCTTCACTAACCCTCCTTACTTAGCACCCCAGCTTACTTCACCCAGAGTTCCAGAGATTTCTGTTGCTCTGAAGTGGGTGGTGGAGATCCTCCACTGGTTTAGAATTCAGCTTCCCCAGATTTCCTAAGTCAATTATCATGTATTCTTTTGACTTCTAGCTCCCAACATATTGTTGGCATTGTTTTCTTTTCTGTTCCCTTGTCCTTTTAGATTTATGGGGAAAAAATATGCCAGAGAACAAGCAAACAAAATACTCACTCTGACTGTAGGGGGTTTTCAGGAAAGAGAACATTGGACACATGTGTTTCAGCTGCCATCTGGAGTCTTGTTTTTGTCCTCCTTCAGGGGCAACCTCTGTTGCCCTCTTTCCAAACGCCTGCTTAGGCTGCTCCAGGATTTGTGGTCTGGTATCTCCCTTCTCTGATCTCTGCTAATGGGGATGAGTTGCATTATCGAGTATAGTACTTACTTATATTCAGCCTTGCTTTATTTTTCTCTGTTTACTCTGGCTTCCTAACCAGACCATCAGCTCCTTGAAGGACAGGATGAGATCTTGTTCTGCTTCTACAGACCTCACACTGGGAAGACAAGGCTTAGCAATAGCAGCCACTTGAATACTTGTTGACTGATTGATTTTCCACTTCACAACAAGGAGCACAGATTCTTTGACCATGCTGTAATATATGTTTTGTTGCCTCGCTGAATCTCTCTCCAAAGATGCTCACAGCTACGTTTCAAGGACAGCAGAACATGGTCCCTTAGAAAATCTCAGGCAAATACCTTTTTTTAACTATGTCCTAAATGATGCTCTTTTTTTTAACTATTGCTTTTCAAAACTCCCTTTTTTGTTTAAGCAAGACATCCTTCTCCCAGCCCTCTACCCTGACTTTCTCCTGCCTCATTATCTGTAAGATAACTGCTCTGTACTAATGAGGGGACTTCTTCTGTTTTCTATATACCCTCTGAACATGGCTTTCGATTTGTTTTATTGAAATGATTCCTTTTGTATATATTGAGAATGTTTTACATGGAGAGGAGGAACACAGAAAGAGATACAATAATCACATCTTCCGTGGGGAAATTGTTCATGGGAGTTTTAATAAAATGTCATGGATCTTACTTAGGCAATACAACAGGCTGAAGATGGACTCAAAGAATTTGATGCAGGAATCATTGAATTAAAGAGGCGTGGTGACAAGCTACAGGTCGAGCAGCCGTCCATGCAAGAACTCTCCAAGCTCCAGGTGCAGCCTTCAGCCAGTAGTATTCAGCTGCAGGGGTACATCAAACTTGAAGTCTAGAAAAAATCACTTTATTTTTCTTGGCTTTCTTTATAAAATTCACGCCACTTAGGTCCTAACCTTTCTACCAAGCAACTCTTAGAAAATTTTCTGAAGCTTAACATGTTTAGTACAAGGAAATGAGTTGTTTTCATGCTGCTAAGATTCATATGTTTTTCTGACAGTTACTTTATTATTATTCTCATGGTTAAGCATTACAGTATAGTTTAGTTGTAGCATATTATTTTCTACTGTAGAAAATAGAATAACTTTTAATCCTACCTAGAAAAATTTAAAAAAGGGATATCTACCCTCGTATTGCACTATGTCTTCAAATACTATTTTAAAAAGCAAATAATCAAAGTAATACTTTGTAGAAAGTGTTTTTTTCTAAGGCAAGCACTATAGTTTATCCTCCATATATGTTTGAATGGAATAGAGACATTGTTTCAATTCTAGAACAACAACAACAAAAATTAAACTAGAAGGTAGTTGAAATCTAAACAGACTTCCTATCATCCTTCAGGAACAGAGAATAATGCTTTGGGTTAATTTCCTTTGCTAGATCTGACATTTAGGCAAGAATCTGATATTGGGGTAGGAAGAAGATCCTTGGATATTAGACCAACAAAATTTAGCATCAACTAGGCAAGCAGTTATGTTCGATCAAGAAAAAATTGTGTACAACTGTGTACAGTCACACAGACACACATGTTAGATTTTCTCTGTGTGCAGAACTATTGAGAACTGGTAACCTCAGTCCAGTACAGGGTTGTGAGTTCTTTCTTTGAGAAAATAAAATAGACCTTATAAACAAAAGAACATTTTTATTTTAACTGTATCTGTCCTTTATCTAACATTTCATAATATCATAAGCCCACCTCCCCCACTTTGTACTTTTTTAGACAGTTTTCCGACAGCACTTAAGCATCAGGTGTAAGAGTCAAATGTCATTGCCGTAAATAGGCATTAAAATTGAACTCTTCCAGATTGAACCATTTTGGCCTGCTAAACCTTAATGTGATATGTTAATCAGGTCCGTATGCCTCAAATAAATTTTGTGTTTGGTGTGTCATCATCTCCTAAAATGTCTTTCCAGTTTAAATAGTTATATACTCCACCACATTTGGCAAAAATATTGCCTTCTTAAGTTTGAAACTCTTTCTGCTCACATTAAACTCCCCTATTTCTCTAGCTCTTTGTTTGAGGGGTAGTCCCAAATATGATTGTTATTTAGCAGGAAAATGTTAAGGATATTATATTCAATTGCTCTGAAATTATATGAATGTTGAGAATACTATAAAAATGGGAATTACATTTTCTATGACATGTCCCTCAGCCACATGGACAGTTTTTCAACAGTTTTACCCCACATCTTATCATAAACTATTGATATCCTGAGAAAACAGTTGTCAAATCTACCTCATGTATCATTTCTAGGAAACACTTTTACATGTCCTTTAAAATCTTAAAATATTAACCTTATTTTTTATAGACATATCTTTATTTCCTTTCATATTTTAACTTATTAAATTTTTATTTTGTAATCAATCTAAATTGCATTTTGATATGTGGCATGAGATAAGACTTTATTTTTCTTCAAAGAGTTGAGTTGTTTCCACATTATTTATTGAATATTTATTTTATCCTTTCAGTGACTTCATACTTACATTTTTATGAATTCAGTTTTTTTTCAGTTTCTCCGTTGTGCTTTATTGTCCGTTAGAAATAAAATAAAATTTAAAACAGCAAGATAAGAATACCAAATAAGATTAATGAAAGAACTTGAACCACCAGGTATCAAGACACAGTAAAGTCACAACGAATATCATAGGCATGAGAATAGAGGTCCAAAGGTCATTTCTTTGTGAAACATGTTTTCAAAGTAAGGCTCATAGAAAGACAAGCAGATGGCCTACAGGTAGAGCGTTTCCAGGAGGCACATCCCTGAAGGCATTTTCTTGGTTGGGTCTCGGGCTTGGTGCGTTCATAGTTCATATGCTTTTAGAGGGTTGCCAGAATATGAATTGAGAGTGAGTCTTGTGGTCTCTGCTTCTTAGGACATGTATGATGAGCTGATGATGATCATTGGCTCCCGGAGGAGTGGTCTGAATCAGAACCTTACACTCAAGAGTCAGTATGAGAGGGCCCTACAAGATCTGGCTGACCTGCTAGAAACTGGTCAGGAGAAGATGGCAGGAGACCAGAAAATCATCGTGTCTTCCAAAGAGGAAATCCAGCAACTACTTGACAAACATAAGGTACATAACAAAAAAGAGTGATAGAGAGAAAATGTAATTGGAAAGCATGCTCTCAAACCCTGATATATATTTAGTAAAACCTAATATTCTCAGTCTTTTATGAGTTCTTACTTGTATAAGTTATTCTTTAAAAATGGCCAAAAAATTTATATTCAAACCCACTGGCTTTCAGTAGCACAGAGAAATTATAGGGGATATGTTTCTATAATGTTGTAAATTAAAAAAGAAAACCAACTTACCTGTAATTTTACCTATCAGTTCCTCACTAGTATTAGCCAGGCTTTCTCCCTAGATGAGCTAAAATCAAAGGAAAACTCAGAGCCTCTCTTCAAAGGAGCCCATCTTCATTCTTAACTCCACTTTTCCCTGTGTTTCCTTTTTGCCCATTTGTCCACCTGGTCCCAGTTACCCTCTTTGCCCTCCCTTGTCCTCGTCAAGGACTCCTCGCTCACTCCTTGCTCTCCTCTAGAAATGCAGAGCTGACTACTCAGATCCAGGGTTGGGTTGGTGTCTTTTACATGCATTGTTTAGATCCTCTGACCCTTACACATATGCTCCTCTAGTTGCTGTAGACTTCAGACTTTCTCCCTGGGAACAGCAAGGCCGTTTACTATGTAATCAAACTTGGGAGGCCCGAAATCACTCCATCATTGTGTGCCACAGCCAAGCTCAGGTTGGACACTACTCCATGGTAGAAGAATGCGTATTTCACACACACACACACACACACACACACACAGCTCTTGCATTATTGGCAATGATTACGAAAGCAATTTTGCCAGTCCAGAAACCCAGCCTTCTAGACTATGGGAATTTCCTGTAGGGAAACTAAAAAAATCCCATTGGGTTATAGAAGTTTAAAATCTTCTACCATTGTGTAGCTCTCTGGTGGCTTGTAAAGGTGGGTTTTTTTTGTCTTTTTCAAATTGTCGTTCCTATTTTTTCCCAGACGTTTTTGTCCAAAGCTTCATGATTTATTAAAACCTTATCATTTGGCTTTGAAAACATTGCTTTAAAGTCCACAGCTGGTGTTTCTCACGTTGTTGACCATAGCAATAAAAGATCATTCTGAGTTATTCCAGAGGGGAAACTAGGATCAATGAGTATAAATAACAGGGAAATAAACCTCAATAGAAAAAGAACTATAAAAGGAGTAAGCTGCCATTGAGCAGACAGCCCTTCTGGCCATGAGAAGTCCAGCCAAGGCTTTTAGGGGAGATGGGCTTGTAAAAGGAATCTCAGCTTTCATTGCATGTTGGGCTAGATGAACTTCAAAGTCTCCTCCAACTTTAGGACTCTGATTTGGTAATTGTTGGTTAAAAATAATGATTCTAGCTTCTACTCACCAGCCCATTTTCTGAGGGAGAGTTCTGCAGTGCTGGTGAGAAGCACAGATAAAGCCACACTGCCCTTGGGTTTGAACCCCAAGCTCTGCCGTGACTAGCTATGTGACCTTGGGCAAGCTACATAGACTGGGGGGACTCAGTGTTCTCATCTGTAAAACTGGAAACAAAACTGCCTATCTCATAGAGTTATAGAGTTGTTAGGAGGATGAGATGAGTCAGATAAAGTATTTATGGAGTGCCTAGCAAACAGTAAGCACATAATTAATGTTAACTGTCATTATCAGTTGCCAGCTCTTCCATTTTATCATGGTACTGGGAACAGGAAATGAGATAAGCTCAATCTCCATTCTCCAGGGTCTATTATACACAAACGGTAACATTTCAAAAACATTAGTAGGATGGCGCAAGGCCTACAGTTATGTTATGTGTAGGTATAATACAAGGAAAGCAAATTTATAATATCAATCAGTGCATATAAAGCTGTGCTTGACAACATGGAATGAGCACGCAAATATCCTAGAAGTTCAGAAAGTAGAGCCCAAGCCCAGCCATGGAGGAAGGAAAGCAATGTTTTTTGTTTGTTTGTTTGTTTGTTTGTTTTGAGATGGAGTCTCCAACCAGAGCTCCAACTGTCCTGGCAAAGAAAAACTCAGAGCCTGTCTTCAAAGGAGCCCACCTTCGTTCTTACCTCTACCTTTCCCTGTGTTTCCTTTTTGCCCCTTTGTACACCTGGTCCTAGTTGCTCCCTCTGCCCTCCCTTGTCCTGGTCAAGGACTCCTCGCGCACTCCTCACTCTCCTCTAGAAATGCAGAGCTGTCTACTCAGCTCCAGCGCTGGGTTGGTGTGAACTCCTCTCCACCCAGGCTGGAGTGCAGTGGCACGATCTTGGCTCACTGCAACCTCGGCCTCCCAGGTTCAAGCGATTCTTGTGCCTCAGCCTCCTGAGTAGCTAGGATTACAGGCACACACCAGCATGCCCGGCTGATTTTTGTATTTTTAGTAGAAACGGATTCCACCACATTGGCCAGGCTGGTCTTGAGCTCTTGACCTCAGGTAATCCACCCACTTCAGCCTCCCCAACTGTTGGGATTACAGGCGTGAGCCACCGCACCCGGCCCTAAACCAATTTTGATTCTAACATAATATATGAATGAGTTGCTGACTTCTTTCTTCCTGAAAAATTGCAGGAATACTTTCAGGGCCTGGAATCTCATATGATCTTGACTGAAACACTCTTCAGAAAGATAATCAGCTTTGCAGTCCAAAAGGAAACCCAGTTCCATACAGAGCTGATGGCTCAGGCTTCTGCTGTACTGAAACGGGCTCACAAGAGGGGTGTGGAGCTGGAGTACATTCTAGAGGTGAGACCATTGATGTCATATCTTCTGTGCTGCAAACTTCCTGCTGCAAAATAGACCTTTAATGCAAGATGTATCTATCCATGCAGTTTGCCTCACATAACCTCAGAACTAGCTGCGCTCTCGGGCTCAGGACTGCACTTTTCCTATGGTTCTGTGTTGCTTATTCCCCCTGTGTTTTCTGTGTACATTGGGCTATCTGCTGTGCCATGTCGAAAGTAAGATAGATACACACTGACTTCAGACTATGCATGAAGATATTTGGGGTTTTGATATTCAGACTGATAGCTTACTTAAGAGTATGAAAAATGTAGAAATAGGCCAGGTGCAGTGGCTCACACCTGTCATCCCAGCACTTTGGGAGGCTGAGGCGGGTGGATCACTTGAGGTCAGGAGTTCGAGACCAGCCTGGCCAACATGATGAAACAAACCAACATGTTGAAACCCCGTCTCTACTAAAAATACAAAAAATTAGCCGGACGTCGTCGTGGGTGCCTGTAATCTCAGCTACTTGGGAGGCTGAGGCAGGAGAATCACTTGAACCGGGAGGCAGTGGTTGCAGTGAGCCAAGGTCACACCATTGCACTCCAGCCTGGGCAACGGGAGTAAAACTCTGTCTCAAAAAAAAAAAAAAATGAAAGTAAAATGTAGAAATATTTTTTTCTGTCCCAAATGCGGTTGCTCTTGGAACAGAGTAGTGCTCAGTGGTGGCTACTGGCAAGCTATAGAACCCCGTGGAAATGTAGGACATTATTGATGGAACAGTCCCCTTTCTTTCTTCAGTAACTGTACCAGTTGCCCTAAACTGTTCCTGCTTTCTCATTCTTCCTCTTTCCCTTGGAAGTTTTAGAGATTATAATCTCTCTCCCCTTTGTGGACTTCCCCACCCACTCCCACAATATTACTGATCTTAACTGGGTTGCCTGCAGGTCGTATTTGCATTTTTTCTAAATGGGATTTTCCCTGGGCCAACATTTTCATAGGTAGCTAACCCCCAAATCCCAGATGTGGAATTCCCTGATGTGGAATTCCCTATATTTTGGAGAGACATCTACCTTTAACGTTTGAAATCTCTGTAATAATAGTTACACTTTATTGACATGTCAGGTCCCTGGCAAGACTTCTTACATTTACATGAATCCATCTCATCTTTATCATAACCCTTTGAGATAGAATTTTGAATCCCTGTTTCAGCAATGAGTCTGGGAGCAACTGTTTGCCAAGACACGTGGTTAATTGGTGGCAAAGTCAGAGATCACACCTTCATCTGTCTGACTTCACGACCTGAAATGTGTGTTTCTCCATGAAACTTACCTGATGACACCATTTAAATTGTAGCCCCACCAGGCACACACCTGGGCACTCCCTCCCACCCCTACCCAGTTCTGTTTTATTCTTCCACAGCACAAGAACTCTATTATACCATACAACTTATTGTTTGTTTTTGGTTTATTGTTTATTATTGATTGCCTGTCTCTCCTCACTAGAAGGCCTGGGTTTGTGTCTGTTTTATTTACTCCCAGATCCCTAGGCATTGAAAATACCAGGCAATAGATATTTGGTAAGTGTATTTAAAAAGCATGGGTTTCTACTACTGTGCCCTGTTGCCACTCCAACTGCACAGTGAAGTGAGCATACTCACACTGAGAAACTGCTGACCCACAGCGTAAATTACTGGAAAAGACTTCAACTGATCTTTTAAAAAGTGTTTTCCAGTTTTAAATAAAATAAAAGTCTGAACTTAGGAATAAGTGATGTGGTATTTTTCTTTAACAGAATATATAAACTATATATTCATATTTATAGATATGTTTCATATGCAAATGTAATTGATTTGTTTACTCGTTACATGAAAGGCAAACATCCCCATCCTTTTGACTTAAATCCTTACTGTGGTAAAGAATAAAACCATACATACCTGGGCTAGATGTGGTGGCTCATGCCTGTAATCCCAGCACTTTGGGAGGCTGAAGCAGGAGGATCTTTTGATACCAGGAGTTTGAGACCAGGCTGGACAACATAGTGAGACCCCCATCTCTACAAAAAAATTTTTTTTAAGTTAGCCTGGTGTGGTGGAATGCGCCTGTGGTCCCAGCTACTTGGGAGGATGAAGCAGGAGGATCCCTTGAGCCCAGGAGTTCGAGTCTACAGTGATCCATGATTGTGCCACTGTACTCCAGCCTGGGCAACAGAGTGAGAGCCTATCTAAAAAAAAAAAAAAAAAAAAAAGTGCATACCCAATAGAAGGTACACTGCATACATTATTCCATTTAATCCTCATGATGGAGAAGATAGCTATTATTATCCCCATTGTAACGTATGGAAAAGAGGTACAGAGTTTAGTAGCTTACTCACAGTTGTAAAGGGGCTTAGTGGCAGATTCCAGAGCCCATTCACAATGCTTTCAAGGGTCACCATTTGATTACTTGCTTTAAAGCCATCTTTTGCTTCCCAAAGCAAGGCCCAACGCAAACATCTCTGATATAACTTTAAGGAGAGACTGTCAGGCACGTATTTTGCACCCAAGGAAGAATGTCTTTCGCTAATGAGGGTTTTTTTAGCTCACAGACTCATGTTGTGTTTCTAGACGTGGTCCCATCTGGATGAGGACCAGCAGGAGCTCAGCAGACAGCTGGAGGTGGTGGAAAGCAGCATCCCAAGCGTGGGTCTGGTGGAGGAGAACGAGGACAGGCTTATTGACCGCATAACACTCTACCAGGTTGGTGTTACAAGCCGCCACATTGCCTTTAGAAACTTACCAATAGTTTTAACAGAATGTAAACAAACTTGTGATCAATTATTTTATTAGTACTTTTACTTTTCTTTCAAGTTATTGACATTGAAAGGAGATAATGTTTCTGTTATTTATAGTTGGACATTATTAAAAGTCTTTCTTTTTTCTTTTTTTTACTGAGAGCTCTTTTTGAAAATTCAGCCTCCACCAAGCATTTTCTGTAGTTTATGCTGATGCCACACAATTCTTGAAATAATAATTTGACAGTTTTAAATCCACCTAAAGTCATTACCAAAAAAAAAATAATAAACAACAAAAGGAGACTGTCTATACTTAAATATAGATGAAACATCTTAAAGTTTTCAATGTTACTTGAGTGAGTATAGTTTAAGTTTGAATAACAGGTAATGGGAACATTGTAGGTACCAGAGAAATTATAATTCTTAAAGACAAAAATTGCATATCCAAACTTTTAACTCAATAATTTCAATATTTTAGCATTTAAAATCTAGCCTTAATGAATACCAGCCCAAATTATATCAAGTATTAGATGATGGGAAACGACTTCTGATATCCATCAGCTGCTCAGATCTAGAAAGCCAACTAAATCAACTTGGAGAGTGCTGGCTAAGTAACACCAATAAAATGTCTAAGGAACTTCACAGACTGGAAACAATATTGAAACACTGGACCAGGTAATACAATGACTGTTTTGTATATTTTTAGATAAGTGCTGCATTGTATTAATAAGGCTAGTGCGGGTGGGGGATGATGGCTCAAACCTATAATCTCATTACTTGGGTGGCCAATACGGGAGGACTGCTTGAGGCCAGGAGTTCAAGACCAGCCTGGGCAACATAGTAAGACCCCAATCTCTACAAAAAAATTACAAAAGGACTAGGTATGGTGGCACATGCCTGTGGTCCCTGCTATTGGAGAGGCTGAAGTGGGAGGATTGCTTCAGCCTGGGAGGTTGAGGCTGCAGTGAGCCATGATCATGCTACTGTACTCCAGCCTGGGCAATAGAGTGAGACTGTGTCTCAAAAATAAATAAATAAATAAGGCAAGTAGATATTCACTTGAAAGTGACATGGCTCCTCTAGAAACGTATTGTATAGTTTGGAAAATAAAGATAAGCAGAGGCCAGGTGCAGTGGCTCACGCCTGTAATCCCAACACTTTGGGAGGCTGAGGCGGGCAGATCCCCTGAGGTCAGGAGTTCGAGACCAGCCTGACCAACATGGAGAAACCCCATTTCTACTAAAAATACAAAATTAGCCAGGCGTGGTGGTGCATGCCTGTAATCCCAGCTGCTCAGGAGGCTGAGGCAGGAGAATCGCTTGAACCCGGGAAGGGGAGGTTGCAGTGAGCCAAGATTGCGCCATTGCACTCCAGCCTGGGCAACAAGAGCGAAACTCCATCTCAAAAACAAAAGAAAAGTAGAAAGTCCCCACTTGGATTCTTGTATACTCATATAAACATATAATTAGAAGTGAGCAGGGAGGCAGATGCATAAGGCACCTTACCTTTGAGTTTCACCCTCCCTTGCCTAATCACTGTGTCTGAGATATCACAGTAAAGCCTGAGAGGGAGAGAAAGAGAAAACATGGATTGAGAAGCAGAAGCTTCTCAAGGGCAATGGGAAGCATTCAGCGGGGTGGAGGGTTGATTTTTACATAATGACATAGTCTGTGTCTAAGCCGCCTTTATTTCAAAGGACTTTTTGTAACCATCATCTAATATTTTCTAAGTAGCATCAATGTGAAAGAGTAGGGGAAAGGTATTTTTATACCCAGCTTAAAGACAGGCCAGCGGAAACCCAGAGAGACAGGCTTGATAAAGGTATCAATATGAAGAAAATTTCAGAGTGCCAACCTCATGCATTTTTCTTCTAAATCTTCAGACCTCTCGTTTTAAAACTGTTGGCATTGGTGAGTAACGTAGGTGAGTAGAAGATAGGGATGAAATGTTTACTTAATGGACTCCATAATATACTTAACAGATATCAAAGTGAATCTGCAGATCTAATTCACTGGTTACAATCTGCAAAAGACCGGCTAGAATTTTGGACTCAGCAATCTGTGACAGTCCCACAAGAGCTGGAAATGGTCCGTGATCATCTAAATGCTTTCCTGGTAAGTCTAAGAATCTAAAGCATTTGATTCAGGCCTATAAGTTAGGCCTGACCCATACACCAGTAGAAAAGAAGTCAGGCCGGGTGCGGTGGCTCACACCTGTAATCCCACACTTTGGGAGGCCAAGCAGTCAGATCACGAGGTCAGGAGTTCGGGACCAGCCTGACCAACATGGTGAAACCCTGTCTCTACTAAAAATACAAATATTAGCCGGGCGTGGTAGTGCATGCCTATAATCCCAGCTACTCAGGAGGCTGAGGCAGGAGAATCGCTTGAACCCGGAAGGCAGAGATTGCAGCGAGCTGAGATTGTGCCACTGCACTCCAGCCTGGGCAACAGAGCGAGCGACTCCATCTAAAAAGAAAAAAAGAAAAGAAAAGAAAGGAAGTCAACCATCAGTGGATATACTTAATAAACTAAGCTATAGAGAATATATTAATGTTGACTATGTGTGTTCCATAATTATGCAAAGTAATAGGGCTCAGTGACTCAACACTGCCTCTTACAAGTAGTTCTCAAGTCGGGGCTTCGTAGTTTCCTTTCATTCGAGGGCAAGGGTGTACTGCTTTCATTTTCTTTTGAGTGTTCAGCATAACCCCCTCCAGGATGTAAAGGAAATTGTTTCATGCACTAAATTGGTCGCTTTCCTTTTAATGAATGGTCTAGCTATTTAACCCTAATTTGAACATCGCTACTTGTTTCAGGAGTTTTCTAAAGAAGTGGATGCCCAATCTTCCCTGAAATCATCTGTTCTGAGTACTGGAAATCAGCTCCTTCGACTAAAAAAGGTGGACACAGCCACGCTGCGCTCTGAGCTGTCGCGCATTGATAGCCAGTGGACTGACCTGCTAACCAATATCCCAGCCGTCCAGGAGAAGCTCCACCAGGTACAGAAAGGATTGCTTTCGTGGGAAATAGCTGACTTAAGCTATTTGACATGGAGAAATACATTAATTTGCTTTTGCTCACAAATTTATATCAGCTTTGTCCCAGACACCTGGCCTCTTCTCTCTCCCGTTGTATTAATATTAAGAGTGAACTCTGGCCGGGCGCGGTGGCTCGCACCTGTAATCCTAGCACTTAGGGAGGCTGAGGAGGGTGGATTGCCTGAGCTCAGGAGTTCAAGACCAGCCTGGGCAACACGGTGAAACCCCGTCTCTACTAAAATACAAAAAATTAGCCTGGCGTGGCGGTGTGCGCCTGTAGTCCCAGCTACTCGGGAGGCTGAGGCAGCAGAATTGTTTGAACTGGGGAGGCAGATGGAGTGAGCCGAGATCGCGCCACTGCACTCCAGCCTGGGTGACAGTGAGACTGTCTCCAGAAAAAAAAAAAAGAGTGAACTACGCTACAAAGCCCTGCCCCAAAGGCATTTCCTCTGAGGGTTTCTTTAATGTGTGTATGTGGGTGTGGGTATGTGTATTGGAATGTTTGTCTGGCTTTGTTTAAACTCTGTTTTGTCTCAGATAAAATGTGGACAGTTACATACACTTTTCTCATAAAGTGAGTGGTTATGAAGATTTAGAACGTAATATATGTTAAAAATATCTTATGTATAGGAGAGCAACTGGCATTCAGTAGATGTAAATAATCCTCTTATCTGAAAATACACCCACCTCCCCTGAAATCCCAGAACATTTTATCTTTATCTCTCTTTGACACTCATCACTGTGTTTCAGGCAGGATAGCTGTGTTTTGTGTACATGCCTAATCTCTCCTAAGCAACAGCTGTGCGCCCCCAGAGGGCAGGAACCAACCCACGTTCATTGCTATATCTTTCAGCACCACACAGAAGTTGATATACAAAGATTTTAAATGATTGCTTTTGTTCCTCCAAATCATCGTAATACACATATGCATAAATGTGTGATATGTTAAGTAAGATTTCGAATTGTAAGTAGTGTATATCAGCTAAGGGCTGAGGAAATTGGCTATGTTCTTAGGAATAAAGATTAGAGTGCCAAAAACTCTAGAAAATGATAGCTTGTAGTGTGGTATTTTTCTTTCTTCTTTTAACATTCCTGAGTCATAATATGCAGAGATTTTACAAGATAATTAATAAAATACATCTGTTGAATGTTTTCTGGTTAAGTTTTTTTAGACTCATAAAACTAGTTATAAAATAAGAATAATATTCTCTTCTTTCTGGTGCTTTGATTAATTAGTTAATGTTTATACAGTGTTTACAGTATTGGATATCAAGTGAACATAAAATGACTATTATTCCTCAACATTTGCCTGATGTTTAACTTCAAGCTTTCAGAAAGGGTAAGATCTCCAAATGTCATTAAGGAGTGTTATCTCTCTTGGTACATTTTTAAGAATTATTGTAGGGTTTTTAAGTTAGCAGAAGTTGGGGTTTCCATTTTAACACTTGGGACTGGTTCTCTCCCTGACTTGGACAGCTCCAGATGGATAAACTGCCTTCCCGCCATGCCATTTCTGAAGTCATGAGTTGGATTTCTCTAATGGAAAATGTTATTCAGAAGGATGAAGATAATATTAAAAATTCCATAGGTTACAAGGCAATTCATGAATACCTTCAGAAATATAAGGTAATTAAAATTTTTTGTTTTTAACTTTTCATATTTTCAGACCATTTTATTTGAAAGAACTAAAAAACTCAAATTATGGTAATCAAGTCTTGGAATGTATGTTTCCTACACAGTGACCAGATAGGAATTCAATAGCAAGAAAAATGCATTATCAGTTATAGAAATAAGAAGAAATATCCAGTACTAGGAATGATTTTGAATAATTTTGTGTTATTAAAGAATTACAGAAATTATAAAAATAAATTTATAAATATTTTATAGTGAGGTTATATAATTTATCTAGTTCTAAATCTTCTACCTAAATATATATATACACACACACACACACACATACACACGTATATCTGTGTTTATGTTCATATAAACGTATACAAATATATATTCGGCTTCTAAAAATAATGGGTTGTGTGAACACAGACAAATTGTGCCATTTCAGCTGAGTTATGGAAGTGATAATATTAATATTAAGGTTACTTAAGGCTTTCCAACTCCTGGAAAACTAATGAGACATTTATTGTATAATCTTATTTTCTCCTCTTTTTTTTTAGGGTTTTAAGATAGACATTAACTGTAAACAGCTGACAGTGGATTTTGTGAACCAGTCCGTGCTACAAATCAGCAGTCAGGATGTGGAAAGTAAGCGTAGTGATAAGACTGATTTTGCTGAGCAACTTGGAGCAATGAATAAAAGTTGGCAAATTCTGCAAGGTCTAGTAACTGAGAAGGTAAGCCAGTGGCTTCCCACTGTCCAGATTTACATGAAAACCCCAAGAACAGGCACACTCTGTAAGGAAGACTGGGTTCACAAGTAGCGTGGCTATACTGGGCAAAGAACGCTTCCAATAATACCGCTGAAGGTTAATCACCCTAAACTTCCTTTAACCTGTTGATGATTTTCTCTTATACATTCTCTGCTCTTTGTATATTTTATGGTGTTTCAGTTTTCTAAAGATGCCTCTTGATTTATTTTGCCTTTGCTTCAAGTTGACTTTAGTCCTTTCTTGCTTCCCAGTAATAGTCATTGATTCATACTTTATGAAATTCATTTATTAAATCAAGCTTGCCCAGCCCGCGGGCTGCATGCGGCCCAGGACGGCCTTGAATGCAGCCCAACACAAATCCGTAAACTTTCTTAAAACATTATGAGATTCTTTTGCAATTTTTTTTTTTTTTAGATCGTCGGCTATTGTTAGTGTTCGTTTATTTTATGTGTGGCTCAAGACAATTCTTCTTCTTCCAGTGTGGCCCAGGGAAGCCAAAAGATTAGACACCCCTGTTTTAAATCATATATACGATGAACTGTATTTTAAGAATTCTTAATTTGGAGAAAATACTGGCTAGAATAATTAGTCTGCTAATGATTTGATTTTATTAAAATAAAGTTGCAAATTTCATTTTATTGTGTTTGTTCAGATCCAGCTGTTGGAAGGCTTATTGGAATCTTGGTCAGAATATGAAAATAATGTACAATGTCTGAAAACATGGTTTGAAACCCAGGAAAAGAGACTAAAACAACAGCATCGAATTGGAGATCAGGCTTCTGTTCAAAATGCACTGAAAGACTGTCAGGTAACTTGTCCAGGTGGCTAACATGCACCATCTCACAATTTCATAGCGTATGCTAATATGTTTATAGGCCTTGAGAGTTGCAAGTTAAATATTTTTTTAAATATTTAAAAGTTGCATTTAGTAACAAATTTTGCTGATTTTGTGAGTTTATAGGGTTTTTTTTAAAATACATTAGGTTTTTTTCACTCGTTTTTAAAAATTTGAAATTATGAAAATTTTCAAACATACTCGTAAGTAGAGAGAAATGCTATGAACCCTGTATACTGAGCATCAGATTTAATAATTGTCAAGATTTGCAGCCTGGGCAACATGGTGAAACCCTCTCTCTACAAAAAGCTACAAAAATCAGCCAGACGTGGTGGTGCTTGTCCCTGTAGTCCCAGCTACTCAGGAGGCTGAGGTGGGAGGATTGCTTGAATTCAGGAGATCGAGGCTGCAGTAAGCCATGTTTACACCATGGCACTTCAGCCTGGGTGACAGAGTGAGACCCTGTTTCCAAGAAAAAAAAAATTGCCTAAATTATTTCTTTTTCTAAAATAGATATCATAGTAAATACCAGACATCATGTCACTTTATTCTTACATACAATATATATCTTTGAAAAATAGACATTTTCTTAATGCATCCATATTATTATCACCACCAAAAGTTTAATAATTTCTAATATTATTTTATGTTCAACGCATAATCCTATTTCCTCGGTTGTCTTTAAAATTTCTTTTATATGTTAACTTATTCAAAATAAGGATGCAAACAATATGCATATGCTACATTTGCTTGTTAGATCTCTTAAATCTTTTGAATATTTTTTTAAGACCATAACCTGTCGCAGAAGCTGTTGATGGGTGCCATGTTCAGGATTGGCCTATGAATGTCCTTAAGATGTTTAATTTGTTCTTCTCTCCTCTGTATGTCCTATAAATGGAAGTTAGCACTAGAGGCTTAGTTGGATTCCCGTTCACCTCCTCTGAACAAGCACTTCACAGTGGAATTCCTATTAATTAATTATTAATAATATCCCATTATTAATTAATAGGAAGTATCCATGTTACTTCCTTTTTTGTCACATGGAGAAGTACACAGAGTGTGCTTGTTCTACTCTGAGGGATGCGGATTGAAAGTTCAGGTGAAGCAGTAACGTTCCAAATGTTTTCCAGTGACTCAGGGACACACAGTCTTTCCACAGGTCTTCTTGTGTGCCCAAAAGAAAAGTGAGCTATTGCAGTTAATACAGTAATAAGATTTTTGAAAATAATTCATGAATTCATATATTGTTACAGATTATGACTGTTCCCTTATAGTGTTTCCTAAAAACAATTGAAAACTAAACAGTGAAGTAATTCTACAGAAAAGCTTCTCTCTGCAAATCTTGTTTTTCTATTTCGGGTTTCAGAAAGAAAGAACTTTGGTAATGATCTCTCTTCCAATCATTATGTTTTCTGTTTGGGACACATATAAAGAGAGGTATATTTAAGCACTTAATCAAAGCTTTTCGGTTCTGAAAAGGAAGAGAAGTGCTGGCTCCCCAGCTAATGGATTACAATTTTGAGACTGCATAAAATTGATAAAGAAAAACATCGTATAGAGAATACCTTGAAGTAATAATAGTTTTTTTATTTAATAAAAAAAAGCCTCACATCAGAAAATGGGTGCTTAAAGACTGAAGATGAAGAACATGCCTCAGCTAGTCTCATTGCATTTCCAACTTTCTAGAGGCCAGTGGTATTTCTGATTTAGGCCATAAATTCAAAAATCTACAAGTAATCCAGAATTTCAGCTCTTTACTTCTGAGGACAAAATGTCATAACTTTTGTTGAGTTCCTAAATTAAAACATATCCATTGATTTTGAAAGGTAATTCTGCGTATTAGAATTAGCAAAGTGAGGACCTTCTGGTTGCATGGTTGTGATAAACTTTACTGTTGAAAGACTGAAATACCACATTAATACCATTTGCATTTTCTTTTATTTTTTCCACTTCTTTTCTTCCATACTTTACTTTTTCTCTCTCTTAGTATTTTTTTCTTCTCTTTAACATAGCTTTTTCTGCCATTTTCCATTTTGTTTCTTCTCCTGTTCATTTCTTCTATTTAACAGGGAGACACCTTACCATCTGGAAAATATAGCAGCAGCTTGACCATGTTTTACCAAGTGTAGGACCTAAGTTTTAGTCTTTCAGAGAGCCAGGTCAGACAGTGTCAGGAGGGAAAGCTTAAAGTGTGGTTGAAAGAACTTTGTACTGATGCCGGTTCATGATTTCAAATGAAAAGTCATATCTTTGAAACAAAAGACAGAATGAAAGTAGCCCATATAATTATTTTGGGACAACGCATATAAATAAATCACAATGGCCTAACTGGAAGGTTCTATTTGGCTATACTACAGGTCTTGATACAACTGTCATTTTTGAGAAATTGTTTTTTGGACCAAAGTGTGAAATTCAAGCCAGTATACTTAAATTGGTGACTGGATTCCAGCTTTATTTTGTTTTAAAAATCTTGAGTATTTTCCCAGTCTTTTATAGGTGATTTATTAATTTAAACCAACATAAAACTGATATTTATGAATTAATCGAAGTTAAGAATGTTTTATTGTTTTTAAAAATGGTAGGTTTGGCCTTTCCCCTTTTTGATCAGAAACAGAATCATCTTTTAATTATTATTGAAAGCAAGGGAAACACACCTTTATTTTTTATAAAATATATATTTCAGCCCTGTTTCCCTCATGGGTTTTGCTCTTCTACCAACATACGTGTGCAGGGCATTTTAGAAATAGTTTCTAAGCAATGGAACATTCATTTAATATTCCTCACTGAGAAAAAGTTAACATCATAGAAAAATGAGGATAAACTCAATTTCTAATTGTTGAATTTTAGAATCATATTAAAGACATATTGGAAGGATTGTTTCTGGTCTTTTAATCTCTTTACAGAAATAGAAAAGTTCTAAATAGTAAATTAATTATATTTCCTATACTACACAAAGGACCTGTAACCCCAGCAATCACTATATTTATTCTCTGGTAATTATCAAAGCTGTCAAAATAGTGACAAAATTATAGAGTGGAAATAAGAGAACAATATGAAAAACAAAAATGATCACTTTAAGCTGCCAAATGCGTGAGTGTCTAACTAATTAACCAAAACAAAAATAGCTTCATGATAATTCAATAGAGAAAAATAAATAAATTTGCACTGAAACATGGCACATTGCCAAATGGCTAAACATAATAATATCTTGCATTTAGCTACTTTTTGACAGCTTAAAATATATTTTATATATATTTACCTAATTTTATCTCCTTGGAGTAAGGAGAAAATGTCTTATTATTACTATTTTAAAAATGAGGTAGAGAGAGATTAACAAGTTGAACCATAATAGAAACAGAAATAAAAGAGGCAAAAATTATTTTTAAAGAGGCATGACATTTGAAATTAATATAACAGAGACTGGACTCCTCATTAACACCTTATCAGCAGCACTATCCAATTTCAATCTTATTACTCATGTATGGATCATGAGGGGGGTGAAAATATTTTTTATACAATTGAGGTGTTATCCAAAGTTAAAGTATTTGGGAATTTTCTCCATTCGAATCTCCAAGAACTACAAATCTGCTTTTAGTTCTGAGGGTATACTTCTGAATATGGGACTGTAACCATGCCTTAATGCCTGGCTTTTCATATCACCCCAACATGGGATTTATATTCCCTCCACAGTCTGAGGTTCAGCCGACTCCTTCTGGCATCAGGCTGGGAGTCCATAGGCTCCAAAGACTGGGTTCTAATCCCCACTCCATCCCTCACCAGCTCTTTTACCCAAGACAGGTCGGATGACTTGATCTTCAATTTATTTATTTATAAAATGTTGATAGCAGTCTCAGTCTGCTTCACTGAGCTTCTCAAATTTTCAGATGGCATTAAAATAGAAATTAGGGTTATGATACAGGTTCAGTATGAGCTCCAGATCTTTTCTTCATTTTGCTTTTCATTCTTGAACATTTTATACTGACAATTATGAATGCATATCCCAAATAAAATGAGGATTTGATTCATCAAAGAAGCCTGAAGCCTTTCAGAATCACATAGAATTCAGAGTATTTTAGAGAGAGAGGATCATACAGATGATCTTTTCCCATCTGAAGTCAGTCTTCTGATTTCCCATCTGAAGAAACTGAGACCCAGTAGAAATTTCTCACCTACCCAAAGTGACTCAGCTTTGGGTAGGTGAGTAGTAGAAATGTGACTAAATCTCAGATACTAGGGCCCAGAATACCACATTCGATCACATTTCTTCCTATGAGGTAGGCAGCGTAACTTTTTGAATACCAACATATATGAACTTAATAATATAAATAATATTACAGTTTCTGACATGTATTTCTTTCCTCACAGCCTCTTGAGAAAATTACATAGTACCATTTCCTTATCTGGTAGAATATCAAATTTTACTTTTTTAAAGTTATGCTAATTTGCCATGTGTAAAAAGATGACTTTTTTTTTGCATTTGAGTGTAGGAAGAAGTACTTCTGCAGCGTGCCTCTTCTGAAAGAGATAAGCTTTTTGGATTAGTAAAAGGTTTTTAGGACATGAAACTATAATGGCCCAATTTCAGTGCACCCCAGAGTTCCATAATAGAACAATTTAAAGTGACTATTTTTTAAATCTTTCAGGATCTGGAAGATTTGATTAAAGCAAAAGAAAAAGAAGTAGAGAAAATTGAGCAGAATGGACTTGCTTTGATTCAGAACAAGAAAGAAGACGTCTCTAGCATTGTCATGAGCACACTGCGAGAGCTCGGCCAAACCTGGGCAAATTTAGATCACATGGTAATATTGCTCACAGAAAGCCAGCTCCAGGACCGTGTTTGCCAGCTCTGTCCAAACTCTGGGTTTTGGTTTTCCTAAAGTAGCAGAGGAAATAATCAAATCTATACATTATCTCCTTGTACTTTTAAGTCCACTTCGTTATCCTCTTTTTTTTTTTTAAAGTCTAGTTTCTGGTGTTTTCTAGAATAAGCCTTTATTTTAAACATTACTCTCTTAATGATCTCATCCATTCCCATGGCAATAGATCATTCTCAAACATCTGTCTCCAGCCTGGCAAAAGATATACAAAGTGGATATCTGTATCTAAGTGATGCAAACCAAGCTAAACACTTTTCTGACAGAGATAAATAATTATGAGGAAGGAATATCTTAGATGTTTTGTCTTAAGATATTTATCTGAGTGTGTGTGTGTGTGTGCGTGTGTGTGTGTGTGTGTGTGTTTGCGCATATGTGAGATAGATATGGATATTGTTATAGCTATAGATAGATTTCACTTTCTGGGACCTGACTACCTGTATTCAAATTGAAATTTCTCACATTCTAGCAGTATAATCTTGGGTAATTTTCATTACCTCTTAGTGTCTCAGTTTCCTCATCTATAAAATGGGGATAATGATCATACCTATCTCATAAGGTGTTGTGAGGATTAAATGAGTTAATGCATTTGAAACACTCATTTAATACAATTCTTAAACTGTTTTATTAAAAGTATCAACCTCTTATAACTTAAAAATATATATACATATATGTATATATATATACACATATATATGTGTATACATATGTATATATGTATATATATACATATATATATATATTTATCAGTTACCCTTTTAAGCATTTCCACTTAGAACTGAGTGTTTAAAGTGTGGAAGGCATAAATTTCAAAGTTGATACATTTTACCTTTTAAATCTTTTTCTTTTTAGTTTTGTTTGTTTATGATACCTGAAACCCTGATGAAGTTCTTAGATGTTAATATTTTCCCATCAATTGAATATATATTCCATCATTCTAGATATTATGAAATTATAAGCCATATTTGTCTTTTTCAAAAGGTTGGACAATTAAAGATACTGCTGAAATCAGTGCTTGACCAATGGAGTAGTCACAAAGTGGCCTTTGACAAGATAAACAGTTACCTCATGGAGGCCAGATACTCTCTTTCCCGATTCCGTCTGCTGACTGGCTCCTTAGAAGCTGTGCAAGTTCAGGTGGACAATCTTCAGGTAAGGAATTAATTTAACACATCCTTAACGTTCATTTTAATTTTAGAAAACTGAAAAATTACCAAATGGAGACATCATCCTGAAATATTGCCATATGTTGTTTACGTTTAATTATTTTTTAAGATCTTTAAAATTAATTTTACCTGTGTTATTGTTACTTGAGCAAACTTGCCTGTGTGTGCCAAATTCTGGATTAGCTGGTATATAACTAAATGGTTTCCAAGATCCTGTTGTAAAAAAATATTCACATCGTCTTTTATACAATGATTTTATGCCCAACTGAACCTCCTTGATTCATTGTCACTGCCTTTTGTCTTCCTTTTCTCTTCTTATCTGCATCTCCAAACATATTCTAAGGAATGTTCAAAAGAAAACACAGAGAAAAACGGCAAAAGTGGTAAATGTTTAAACCATTCAGTTGCTTCCATTCAGTAAAATATCAGTGGCCTATCCAGCGTGTCCACAGAATCTTCCTTTCTAGCACTTACTGCTTGGTTTCCTGTGGGTCCTTTGTCATTGTGTCCATGTAAAATGATATCCCTGATGTTTGTCTTCAACATAGCACTCTCTCCTGTCTCAGGTCACCGCCCTCAAATTCCTGCTGCCCCCACTCTCCTGTGCACCGGGCCACTCTCACCTGTCACTGCTCTTTCTTCTTGGCTAAAGAACACAGACTATGGGATGGGCAGGGCAGGCCCCTAAGGGATGGGAGGCCAACAAGAGACCAGCATGTGCCCTGCTAATATCTAGTCCGCCTCCCTGGCCAGCCAATCAAAGCTTCTATGTTGCTGACCTCAGATGCAGCCTGCCTTCCTCTCCTCCCCTCTTCTCCCCTCCCTTCCCCTCTCCTTCCCTCCCCTCCCCTCCTTCCTTTTTGAGACAGAGTCTCGCTCTGTCGCCCAGACTGGAGTGCAGTG
This sequence comes from Homo sapiens, assembly GCF_000001405.40. NCBI lineage: Eukaryota > Metazoa > Chordata > Mammalia > Primates > Hominidae > Homo > Homo sapiens. The sequence continues at coordinate 152,223,576 of NC_000006.12, read as the reverse complement.
GTGCTATCTCGGCTCACTGCAACCTCCGCCTCCCGGGTTTAAGCAATTCTCTGCCTCAGCCTCCTGAGTAGCTGGGATTACGGCATGTGCCTCCATGCCTGGCTAATTTTTGTATTTTTAGTAGAGATGGAGTTTCACCATCTTGGCCAGGCTGGTCTTGAACTCCTGACCTCATGATCCACATGCCTCAGCCTCCCAAAGTGCTGGGATTACAGGCATGAGCCACCATGCCCGGCCGACTTTCTTAAGGAAATATTTTTTTTAGGGTAGGGTGGAAGAGAGGAAGGACAAATTTGTCTATATAATTTCTTAACCCTTAAATTGTCGTTACTAAGGATCACGAAAACTTCTTCTGAGGATAGTAAATTTAAAAGCACATCTTATAACTTTGAGGAGGTTAGAAATGCTTTTTAATTTAATATATGTTATGTTTAATACTTGCAAGAGCTGTCTTAAGACATGAAAGGATTAAGGGTCTTTTCCTTGACTGTTTTCATTTGAGGGTAATCAGATATTGGTGTTAAACAGTACTCGATTTTTGTAGCCTACTTCACCTGTGGAGTTTTATGAAGAACTGAGTCTGTCACCTCAGCACTATTTCCAGAGAAACAACTTTCTTTCAGTTCCCTTACTGGTCCTTGGTAGCAGACTATTTAGATAGGCTTGGTAGAAGATGCCAAACCTGTCTGATAAATATTCTTTGCTTTAAGCAATCTTGACATATACAGTGCATTATTATTAATTATAGTCTCCATTCTGTACGGTGGATCACTAAAGCTTATCCCTCCTGTGTAGCTGAAACTATGTTCCTTTTGATCAACATCTTTCTTTTCCCCATCTAATCCCTTATCCCATGCCCTGGTAACTACCATTCTACTCTCTACTTCTATGAGTTCAACTTTGCTAGACAAAAATGGATAAGTATGTGAGGTAATGATATGTTAATTATCTTAATTTATTCATTCCACAATGTAAACATATATCAAAACATCATATAGTACCCTACAAATACATACAATTATTATTTGTCAATTGAAAATCATTTTTTTAAGTTAAAAATAATTCTTGGCAAGGAAGAACACCCAGAGATAAAGCTTGGCAAAGCTGTGCCTTCTTAGAGTCTTCATCTTCGGGAGTTTGTGGTAGAAGCACTGCGGGTATGTAACAAAATAGAGACCTGGCTTTGGCTTTGAGTGTCAAAGAGATCCACAGTTTGGCAGATAGCACGTTACATAACACCATTGCCATGGCTTTGTTAGAAACAAGAGCTTGGGGTAGCAAGGAAAATGAGCACTTAAAGGATTTCTCAGCAAGGCAAATTTACTTCTGCAGGAGGGTGCCACTCACACTTCTGGCTGCTGCAAGAGCACACTGAACAAAGGAGAGAAGGAGTTTTTATCCCTAACGCAGTCCCTATCCCTGCATCCTTCCCCTGTTGGCTAGGGTTGGACCACTCAATCTAAACTGACCTCAGTTGGCTAAGACTTAAACTTTTCCAATTAGGGTAAATATGTGATTCTCAAGGGAGGGAGGGGTAGGAGTGGTCCCTGTGTTACAGCACAAGGCAAGTTTGGACATGTCTGGGCAAGTCAGGACACAACAAGAGCAGGAGGGCTGCTCACAGGCCAGAAACAAGAAAGTACAAGGAGGTGAGGCCTCTGAACCAAGGACAAGGACATTACACAATTAAACCCTTTGAAGAGGAATTTACCATCTCTGGCAGCTTCCTACCAGACAATGGACAAGGGCACCCTATGTGAGTTTTTCAGCAGAATGCAAATGCCAATAGAAGAAGGCTTCATTGCTCAGAACCTCTTCTCATAGCCAAAATAACAAAATCCTACAAAAGAGAATAAATGATTATCTAAAGAAAGCTGATAAAGCATTGGTGCTAAGTCATGCCTGGTTTATACAAGTATATGTACATATTTATGAAAACATATACAAATTCCTTTTAAACTTGCTTATTAGAATTTAGATCCTGTTATGTCATCTATGGGTCTTTTTTTTGGGGCAGAATCTCCAAGATGATCTGGAAAAACAGGAAAGGAGCTTACAGAAATTTGGCTCTATCACCAACCAATTATTAAAAGAGTGTCACCCACCCGTGACAGAAACTCTTACCAATACACTGAAAGAAGTCAACATGAGGTATGGAGTATGTTAACTTTACACACTATTTATATCACAGCCTTATTATAAATAATGATATAATTAAAACAATGACAGTTTGAATTTGAGCTATATAGATTCTATTCCTTTAAACTTCTCTTTCACAACATGAATTTAAGGATAAATAAATGTAGTGAAGAGATTTAGAAAGAATTAGAAGTACTGTACACCCAAAGATTGCCATCATCCTCATTACCTACCCTGAAACTAGGAATATGAAACATTAATTTTTATTATGTTAACTAGAAATGATTATGTCTATATTCACATGAACCAGGATCATGAAAAATAAAATAGCACATATCCACATTTGGTGAGAGGTGGTAATCTGCTCATGAGTGTTGGTTATTATTTCCAGATGGAATAACTTGCTGGAAGAGATTGCTGAGCAGCTACAGTCCAGCAAGGCCCTACTTCAGCTTTGGCAAAGATACAAGGACTACTCCAAACAGTGTGCTTCGACAGTTCAGCAGCAGGAGGATCGAACCAATGAGCTGTTGAAGGCAGCCACAAACAAGGACATTGCCGATGATGAGGTTGCCACATGGATTCAAGATTGCAACGTATGTTCAGGAGCTACCTTGTTTTCCCCACATGCCCTTCTTAGACTGCCCAAGTTTAGCTTTTGGTCTGTGTAAGCTTTGGTATGTCTTTCTATGTGAGACAGTTACCCAAAAATAACTGTCTTAGGATCAAAGAGCCTGCCTGATTTTCAGAACACAGGTGCACATGCATCAGACTAAGAGGTCTCCTCCCATTGTTTTATTTTTTAAAATGAGTTGTTTTCCCATTTTTCCTAGTGGAATTTAGTCAATGTGAAAGATTGAGGCTCTTTGTGTTTTCTAGGGTGGTCAATATAAGACATGACCATATGGGGAATAGTGTTCTATCTTTAAAAAATCTTCTGTTCCAGATGTTGTCCATTTACATTCATTAACTCCTATGTAAGCATCTACACAATAGTTTCATCTAAGATATTAATGGTAGAAAGAAGTCTTTCTCTCCTAATTTACTGGTATACTTCTTTTAATGGCTTTTTAATAATTCTCTTTTTCACTGTAGCTGCCAATAACCTACTTAAGGGTTTAAGGAACAGCTCTTCTCTTGTTTCAAGCATTACATGGCTCTTACTATTTGTCCTTATTTGTCTTTATTTTTAAGAGCTTGTTACGAGGATCTTTTTATAAACTTTTCCAAATCAGTTTATTAGAATTAGGCAAGCTATAAAAACTATGTAAATAAAAGTTTAACCTATTCTAATATCTTCAACCTGAATAATCACTTTAAAGCTAAAGATGGGTATTTTAAAATAAAGATAATACAGTGCTTTTTTCATCCACATAATTTGTGTGTACAAGAACTGTCATTTTCAATACTCCTGAATTGAAATACACCTTGTCTGTTATCTGTGTCAAGCGTAAAGAGCCCTTTGTTCTTCTTTCTCTCACAGAAGTCACTGCCTAGGCATAACATGACTGAGTGGGATACCAGCAACAGGTAGAAGAAGCAGTCACTTATTATCTCTCAATGATAGGATAGAAAGCAGAAACAGGGAGTTTCCATTGGCTTATATTTTTTAACCTGTAGGAGGGTCCCACAGAAAGTGGAGGCAAAGAGATCCCATGGAAAAGAATGGGAATACAGGCTACTCTCACCCCCTGCTCACCAAAATCATCACTGTGTTCTGTACCCTACTGAGATAGGAGGTTGCTGTACTTGCAATAATGTGACCACACATATAGAAGACACCACGGACAAATTCCTGGTGTGTATGATAATAATAGAAAAAGGAAAAATATAACATTTTGTTTTCAATTTGATACAAATTACATAAAGAGGCAGGAAAAAAACTGCCAAAATATTTCCAGTTATTGGCTCTACTCTTGGGTCATGTTTGTTTTTTTTTTTTTTCTTGTTTATGTATGTTTTTCTGCATTTCCCCAAGGTCCTGTAATGAACCTACATAGCTTTTACTAACAAAAGAGTAATTATATATAGCCATAGGTTATATGTGTATAATGTATGTTTAAAATATTAACATAGCATTTTAAAAAATGGGGTTCAGTGCGTGTTCATTTTTCCACAGGTGAAGTTTATTTAGCCTAATAATATGATCCGTAGGAATGGTGTGTTTCTACATGTGTAGCCCTTTGCCGATTGCTGTTTATGATAAGGAGTATCAACATGCTTCAGAGTGGGCATATTTTCACCTCTTCTAGGACCTCCTCAAAGGACTGGGCACAGTTAAAGATTCCCTCTTTTTTCTCCATGAGCTGGGAGAGCAACTGAAGCAACAAGTGGATGCTTCCGCAGCATCAGCTATTCAATCGGATCAACTCTCTTTGAGTCAACACTTGTGTGCCCTGGAGCAAGCTCTCTGCAAACAGCAGACTTCATTACAGGTACAGAGCTCCTATTTAGTATCTTCTGTATATTGGCTGTTCTCTAATATCTGGGCACAAACACAGAAAAAGAATTCCTTGTCATGGCAACAATGCCTCCTTCAAGACTCAAGAAAATAGCAAGTAAACAAACTTGGAAGTTCTGGTGGGGACGATGAAGGTGGACGTTTTGCGCTGTTCTCTGCCAAGGAATTTTAAAATCGGTTTAAGATGCAAGCCCCTGAACCAATGCCTGCCACCATGGCCTGTTCAATTAATAAACACTAAGCGGCTTTAATATAAATATTCGTGTTTATTTAACTCAGACTTTTACAAGAATCAGAAGATTTTTCAGACGTGTTGTTTGATCATGTATTTAAAGAATAATTTGAATTGTTATTGACTTATGGTGCATAGAAATAATTATAGTTTTTAGAAAAATTACATAAAGAAGATTTAAATTGTTATAGCTTTTTTTATAGGAACGTCTAGAGAATGGCAATTTGATACAAGAATATGAAAAATAATTTTAATATCCACTTGCCCTTTTACCAGACTTTATTAAAATACCAATTTTTTTTTTTTTAACTGAAATACCAATTTCTTTTGTGGAAAAAAAGGCTGGAGTTCTTGATTATGAAACCTTTGCCAAGAGTTTAGAAGCTTTGGAGGCCTGGATAGTGGAAGCTGAAGAAATACTACAAGGGCAGGACCCTAGCCACTCATCTGACCTCTCCACAATCCAGGAAAGGATGGAAGAACTTAAGGTAAGTGTGTTCAAATCTGAGTCCCAGATCTTTTACCATCTGTCTTCAAAAATCTTTTTTTTTTTGAGATGGAGTCTCACTCTGTCGCCCAAGCTGGAGTGCCGTGGTGTGATCTCGGCTCACTGCAACCTCTGCTTTCCGGGTTCAAGCGATTCTGCCTCATCCTCCCGAGTAGCTAGGATTATAGGGGCACGCCACCACTCCTGGCTAGTTTTTGTATTTTTAGTAGAGACGAGGTTTCACTGGTCTTGAACTGATCACCCGAGGTCAGGCCTCCCAAAATGCTGGAATTACAGGAATGAGCAACCACACCCAGCCCTGTTTTCAAAATCTTAAGTGAAACTCAAAGCTGATGTAGACCCACTCTTTCTTTCGAGTGAGCCCCCAGTGAGACTTTCTCTGGCAAACAGTAGACTGTGTGCTGGCAGTGGGCACAGGCTGATTTCCCAGCTCACTCCTGGAAGCCACCTCACTCCTCCCTCTTTCCACCGCTGGAAACCACCTCACTCCTCCTTTCCACGGCTGGTCCCTCTCCATGTTCCTGTACCCAGTCCATCACCTCTCTATTAACTTTTGAACCTCTCGTCTCTGTTTCTAACATCATCTACTCCTAGCTCAATCTACTCCTATCTCTCTGAGACCCTACAGCCGCCTCCCACAGATCTGCATCCATTCACCCAACCTCCCCTCCTCCTGGCTGTCAGAATGACCTTTTTTGTTCTTTTTAAGGGTTTTACTTAATTAGCTTGATTTAATCATTCCACATTGTGTGAAAACATCATATCATACTCCATAAATATATACGATTATAATTTGTCCATCAAAAATAATTTAATAATTTTTTTTTCTTTTTTTTTTTTTGTGACGGAGTCTTGCTTTGTCGCCCAGGCTGGAGTGCAGTGGTGCAATCTCGGCTCACTGCAAGCTCTCCCTCCCAGGTTCACGCCATTCTCTTGCCTCAGCCTCCCGAGTAGTTAGGACTGCAGGTACTGTCCACCACGCCTGGCTAATTTTTTTTGTATTTTTAGTAGAGACGGGGTTTCATCATGTTAGCCAGGATGGTCTCAATCTCCTGACCTTGTGATCTGCCCGCCTCAGCCTCCCAAAGTGCTGGGATTACAGGCCTAATGTAATACTTTTTTAAAAAAAAAAAAAAAAAAAGGTTTTACTTAGTTGTGAATTTTTTTTTTTTTTGAGATAGAGTCTTGCTCTATTGCGCAGGCTGGAGTGCAGTGGCACGATCTCGGCTCACTGCAACCCCTGCCTCCCAGTTTCAAGCAATTCTCCTGCCTCAGCCTCCCAAATAGCTGGGACTACAGGCATGTGCCACCATGCCCTGCTAATTTTTGTATTTTTAGTAGAGATGGAGAGGGGGGTGGTTCACTATGTTGGCCAGGCTGGTCTCGAACTCCTGACCTTGTGATCCGCCCTCCTTGGCCTCCCAAAGCACTGGGATTACAGGCATGAGCCACTGTGCCCTGCCAATTGTGAATGATTTTAAATATTCAATCAAGTAAGCAAAATAATTCAACAGGCATGAAAATTTTATTGTATTATTCCCTTGGTTAAAGCTCTCAAGGTTTCCCACTGCTCTTAGGGAAAAGACCATGTGGCTTCTCAAGGCGGCATCCTGGTTCCACCTTTCCTGAGGATCTTATTCTGTTGCACCATAGCCACTCTCTCCCTCCAGCCACTCCCGTGCCACTGTGCCCGTGATATTTCCTCTCTCTGGATTTGTTTTCTTGTCCTCGTCAGCTCACTCCTCACTAAAAAGAGTAAAGTCCTGGTCATTTTGTTCAATGTCACTCTCTTAGGAAAGTCTCCACTGTCTGTCCAGGACCAGGCCCCCCAGTGACACATTTTCATAGCACACTATTGTTTTTCTTCCATGCTCTATCATGTCATTTAATTACATTCCTGTGAGTAGGGGACTACTGTTGCACTTTTGACTACTAGAATAGTATCTTATTCCCTGTAAGTGCCACGAGGGGAAGGACTGTGTCATGGCTATTTTGTTCATTGCTGATGTCTACCCATGGACATTATGCCATTTAACAGTTATATTTTGGTTTCAATATTTGAGATTTATTCTTTCTTCAAAAAACATGAGTCTTTTGCAGAACATGCAAAGAGAAGACACACACATAGCCAAAGGTGGCCTGACATTTTTTCTTTCCTGTAACCAATTTCCTAGATGGAGATAAGGATACCCATGGGAAAATCAGAACCGACAACATTGTCCTGTGTTTGAAGGGAGGGAAGAGATCCAAAAGAATAGATTGCTCTTTTGATTGAGTCTCACCAGCTGTGGGGTGGCGGGTCAGAGACCTAAAACTGGAGCTCTTAAAATGTGTGGTCACTTCATAGCTCAAGTGAAATCTTATTTTCTCTAGCAAGAACCCAAGGAGGTTCGTTTACCCTCTTCCATTTACTAGCTGGCTGGCCTGGAGCAATTTACTTAGTTTCTGTGCCTCCCTTTCCTCCCTTGTAAAGAGAGAATAGCAGCATGACTTATCTTATGTGATCGTTTTGAGGATAAAATGAGTTCTTACTTGTAAAGCTCTTGTCAGTGCTTGATTCATAGTAAGTGCTCAATAAACGTTAGCTATCACTGTTATAACTTTTGTTAGTTGTGAATAATAAAGGAGGAAATTAGCATGAACAAATTAAACGTAAATGGTAAGAAGTAAGGTCTTTTACTTATCAGCATAATTTTCATCCTTAATCAGTTCTGTCAAGAATTGCCTATGAGTAAATAAATCAAGTAAATAATATAATACTTGTAATATAATTACATATGAGTAAATCAAGTAAATAGTATATGTAATATAATACACGTAATAAAAATCAAGTAAATAATATAATACGTGTAAATAAAGTAAATAATATATTTGTATGTATAAACCATACAAGTAAATAATATATCAAGTAAATAACAGAATACACGTTAAGTAGTCCATAAAGGATAATGAGTAGCTTGAGTAGCAATAGCAGCAGCAGCAGCAGTTTAGACTGAAAAGTAGATTTGGCTTTTCGCTATTCGTACCTAGAGATTGTAAGTAAGTGGCCTAGAAATGCAGAGGCCACTAGACCGAAGACCAGCTACTTCCTGAAATCAGAAATTCACTGCGCACTTTGAAAAAGTTTTGACTTTTTTGACCATGGTGCTAAACCTACTTTTAAATCTTCCTTCTAGGGACAGATGTTAAAATTCAGCAGCATGGCTCCAGATTTAGACCGTCTAAATGAGCTTGGATATAGGTTACCCTTGAATGATAAGGAAATCAAAAGAATGCAGAATCTGAACCGCCATTGGTCTCTGATCTCCTCTCAGACTACAGAAAGATTCAGGTAGAGTAAACAAGAGATGTCTTGGTTGCTCCAGTTGTCTTAGTCTGGTTTGTGCCGCTATGTCAAAATACTACAGAATGCATAATTTATAAAGAACAGAAATGTTGAACAGTCTCACAGTTCTGGAGACTGGGAAGTCCGCAGTCAAGGTGCTAGCAGATTCAGTTGTCTGGTGAGGGCTGCTCTCTGCTTTCAAGAGGGCAGGTTTTGCTGCATCCTCAGGAGGGGAGAGTTGCTGTGTCCTCACACAGTGGAAGGCAGAAGGACAACAGTGCTGAACGCTGTGTGAATCTTCTTTTAAAAGACCCTTAATCCCATTGACAAAGGAGGAGTCCTCATGGCCTAATCACCGTGTAAAGGCTCTGCCTCAGAATACTACCAACATTCACCACGAAGTTTCATCACCTGAATTATGGAAGGGATACATTCACACCATAGCACCAATGTATCAATAGAATATAAGCTCATGACTTGTGTATGTTTATAAATTCTGATCTTTCCCATAACACTGACAAAATTTGAACTAAAAGTGGGAAATTCAAATTGTAAAGTCGTTTCTCATGTTTAGTGTACTAAATAGCACTTTAATCAGAAAACTCTTTTAAGTGAGAATATATTAAAAGTATATACATAATTTTTATCATTTTAAAAGAGGTACATTTTAAACTTCTACATTTTTTCAACTTTCTTTCTTCTTTTTTTTTTTTTTTTTGAGACGGAGTTTCATTCTTGTCACCCAGGCTGGAGTGCAAAGGCACAATCTCGGCTCACTGCAATGTTGGGTTCAAGCAATTCTCCTGTCTCAGCATCCCAAGTAGCTGGGATTACAGTCACACACCACCACACCCGGCTAATTTTTGTATTTTTAGTAGAGATGGGGTTTCACCATGTTGACCAGGCTGGTCTACAACTCCTGACCTCAGGTGATCTGTCCACCTCAGTCTCCCAAAGTGTTGGGATTACAGGCGTGAGCCACTGCAACTGGCCTCTTTCTTCTTTTTTAAAATAATTTTACCACCTGACATGAAAGCTTTGTGGTGGTTCAATTAGAATTGAGCACAGAGATTATTTAATCTAGTTTTATATGCTAGAGAAGTAAGAATAAGCAGTGAAATAACCATTGTTCCTTGCCCTTTGTTCTTTCAGCAAGTTGCAGTCATTTTTGCTACAACATCAGACTTTCTTGGAAAAATGTGAAACATGGATGGAATTCCTAGTTCAGACAGAACAAAAGTTAGCAGTAGAGATTTCAGGAAATTATCAGCACCTTTTGGAACAGCAGAGAGCACACGAGGTAAGTTGTATCAGTAGATTTGGGGGTAATAAGAAATTTTTAGGCCCTTAGAAGATGCTACGAAATGCTGTGTGGGAGAATTAAAATCATGCCCTTTGCACGAGTGTCTAAATGCATGCATCATTTTGCCTTCTTTCTTAAGCTTGAGGTTTTGATAACTTAATTATAAAAATGTAGTCCTATTCGCTGCTCCATGATTGTTTATAAGCACGTGTCAATCTTCAGTTCCTTGTAAAGTATAATGCCAGAATTGTGGTTAAAGGCTACTTACTCGAGACAGGCAAAGTTGGTGGAACGTGTATAGATAGTTAGACAATTTTCAAACTGGGTTAGAGACTACTTTAATATGCCAAGGACAATTGCTTAAGAGACTATGCTTTGATCAAAAGTCTTTAAAAATTTTGTGATCTTCAAAGAGCGTATATGAATTTTATACCAGGAAATCAATCTATCAAATGTCTCCAGGTGTACCTCTTGATTAAATTGCATTATAATTATTTCTTAAGAAACAAAGAGGGAGAAGAACTATATACACAAAGTAAATTAATAAATTTGCCCACTGTTAATCCTTATGTTGCTATTTACCGGTATAACTAAGTCAGTTTGTGTATTTATGAATGATATGCACATGGAGAGATAGGTCTTACCTAAGAGAAAAGAAAAACTTAATTCAGAATTTTTTAAATAGAAAATTTAAAGATATCTAAGGTATTTTTAAATCCAGTTTTGTTGAATTGACAGATGATGAAATAATAGAAAAAAGACTACAATGAGATTGCATCTCACACCCACAAGGATGACTATAATGAAAAAATAACAAATTTTGGTGAGGGTGTAAAGGAATTGGAACCCTAATACATTGCTGATGGGAATGTAAAATGGTGAAGCTGCTTTGGAAAACAGTTAACATAGAGTTACCATATAGAGTTACGTAGAGTAATCATATAACCCAGAAATTCCACTCCTAGGTATATACTCAGGATAAATGAAAATATGTGTCCACACAAAAACTTGTGTAAGTACATTATTTATAGGAGCATTAGTCATAATAGCCAAAAGGTGGAGACAACCCAAATGTCCATCAACTGATAAATGGATAAATAAAATGTGAAATGTCTATATAATAGAATACTATTTGCAATAAAAAGGAATAAGGTACTGATATATGTTGCAACATGTATGAACCTTGGAAACATTATGCCAAGGGAAAGAAACCAGTCACAAAAGACTACATATCGCAAGATTCCATTTACAAGAAATGTCCAGAGTAAGTAATTCATAGAGACATAAAATAGATGAGTGGTTGCTGAAGGCTGGAGGATTGGGAAGAAATGGGGAATGATTGCTAATGAGGATGGACTTTCTTTTTGGGGCAATGAAAATTCTAAAATTGATTGTGGTAATGATTGTAAAGTCTGTAAATATAATAAACACCACTAAATTGAACATTTTAAATGAGTGAATTGTATGGTATGTGAATTGTTACTCAATAAAGTTGTTTAAAAAACAGTAGAAATAATTCGAAGGACCTTCTCTTGAGTTTTTTAAAATAGTGAAATAAATTTATTAAAATTTATTAATTTTAAAATTTAAAACTTAAAAACAGTGAGTTTTAAAAGACAGAAAAAGACTAGGCTATTTTTTTTCTTTGACTTCTTTAACGGTCCTAAGCTATTCTCTAAGTTTTGAATATGGACCATATTTTATATACAAAATAAACCAGAAAACAAATTGTGCATTAACTTACTTTATTAGGTGTTTTTGAAAGAAAGAAGAGAAATATAATTCTACTTTTGGTCATCTAGTTTTAGTAAACCAAACACTAAACTTTATCTTTGAGTGTATCTTAATTGATGATTTAAAAATAAATGATTCCTAAACTGCAGGATTTCACACATTTTCTGGTTCAGCTGGTGATAGCTTTCATAGTCTTGCGAAAACTAGAATATTTGGAAAGTTATCAGAGAACCGATCACTAAAATTAGGAACTCTAAAGTATGTTCTTCTTTTTTTTAAATTATAGTTGTTTCAAGCCGAGATGTTCAGTCGTCAGCAGATTTTGCACTCAATCATTATTGATGGGCAACGTCTTCTAGAACAAGGTCAAGTTGATGACAGGTAGGATCTTTGATAAATTATTACAAAGAAAGGTTCCAGTAAATTAGTCATTTTCTTTTTAATGAGCAGATTGGAGGGCATATATCCAATCTTCCTGAGGCAATTGAACTGTAGTGGGGCCTCAGTAATTGGAGGAGAAACTTGTCTCAATCTCTGAAATGAATGAGTATTGAATCTTTTTTGGAGAGCTGCTATTATATTATATGAAGGGCATAGAGTAATTGGAAATCACCTAGCCAACCTTCACTAGTCATCTGTAGGAAATGGAATTAATGAATAGATCAGCATGAACCATATCAATGACCTATCAACGGTTTGTAAACAGATGCTTCTAATATTCTTATATAATTACAGAAATTTTTTTGTAAAAGGAGCATAGAGATCACTAGCCCATCTCTCTTACTTACAGATGAAAAACCCAAAATCCACAAATGTGAACTGATTTGACCAGGGTCACAGAACTAAGTAGCAGCAGAATCAGGCCTGGAGCTCATGTCTGGTTTTCAGTCAGTACTGGATCATACCAGCCAGCTTTCTCATGCCATGAGAATTCTGTGTTTGAAAATGGTTTGCTACCTTAAGTCAGATTACATGCCGCCTGAAATCTTTTCTTCCTTTTCATTTACAATAGCAAATTATCTCTTTATTAAAAATGGAGAGGTAAAAATTTAGCTTCTCCCCAGATTTATGGTATGAGAAATGACAATTTCATACTATATTTACATTTCCTAGGAACAATATTTACTTTATCTAATCGACTTTCCGTGGTGATATTTGGAGTATTAGCCTCATGTGTTCTATTACATATGTATACCTTTCTCATATTTAGGAACCAGTAGTTGTGACTAAAATTAATTTGATATTTTTTCAAAAAATAAAAAATAAATTATTTTTATTGAGAGTTTTGTCTTTAATGTTGTAGAAGCAATTTCAGTTTTAAGTGGCTATTTCTTTGGAAGTACATAAAAGATCTTCATGGTTAAGCTTGGAACAACAGAATGTGATATTATATTTATTCTACTCTAAGTAAGCCAAACTTAAATGGGAGCTTTCCTGAGAATTTAAGGCCTTGAAAATAAAACAAATTCAAATACAATTAACTTTTATCTTTTGCTTTATCATTTCTTAGCCAACTCTATAACAATATTATAAATGTTTGAGTCATTAAGTAAAATAAAAATTAAATACTCACATGCAAGCCAGCATCTATTAACTTTTCAATACTAACATTTAGGGAAAATACACCAAAGAGATGAAAATGGGAGGTTAGACTTGAGGGTAAAGAATTTTGAAAGTTGAAGGGAAAAAAAAATCAGATTAGAGCCTACTGACAATAAGAAGGCCTCAGATTGCAAGTGTATTTTGTTCTGAAAGTTAATTTATGAGTTACGTTTTTTAGAGCTTCAAGTTCAGCACAGGGAACAGTGTCATGTTTTAAGTAATTCCTCATGCTGGCAGGTAGTTTGGGACAGCTTGGTTGTATCAAGAGAGGGTGGGGAATCCTAAGAGGCCTTGGATGGTTACCTGGTAGGGAAAGCAAGATTATACGATATTCTCAAGTCCTGGAGTTGTACATTTTCTGCGATGACAGATGCTTGTAACTTTTAGGGAAGTATCATGAACCTAATTCATCACACTTGAATGCTAGTACATTGATTAATACAGCAAAATTTCCTTTCAAAAACAGAAGTCATCATCAAAATCTAAGTAGCTATCACATGGATTTTTTTTTTTTTTCTTTTTTGAGACAGCGTCTTGCTCTTTCGCTCAGGCTAGAGTGAAGTGGCGCTATCTCGGCTCACTGCAACCTCCACCTTCTGGGTTCAAGTGATTCTCCTGTCTCAGCCTCCCAAGTAGCTGGGAATACAGGCACGCACCACCACGCCCGGCTAATTTTTGTATTTGTAATAGAGATGGGATTTCGCCATGTTGGCCAGGCTGGTCTCAAACTCCTGACCTCAGGTGATCCACCCACCTCGGCCTCCCAAGGTGCTGGGATTAAAGACGTGAGTCACCGGGCCCGGCCCATTATGGATCTATTTTTAAGATGAGAGGGCATACGAAATTTTTTGCAGAGGCTTTACTTAGTACATTTTATTTTTAATACTTGTTTTGTTGACGTTGTCTGGGTGTTATTCACCTTTTGTTTAAGTTGAGTCATTAAATAAGTTTCTAGGACTAACAGCATATTTGGTTACAAAATCAAAGTTTATAGTGGTTCTGGATAATAGGAAGTTTCAAGAAGATACAAGTTCACAATAGCAAGTCCAATTCAAAGTTGATGCTACCCTCAAGAGAAGAGGATAGTATATCTGAGGAAGAAAAGCAAAACTATTGTAATAGAGAAGTGCAAGTGTTTAGTATTAAAGTGCAACATTACTTGCACTTTAGGTGTGAATAACACTGTAATCTACATAGAAACTCATTCTGTTTCATGCGGGACAGACTCTTACTAGCCAGTTCTAGAGCCATAAATTAAATATTAAATAAAACGTAATAAAGAACTACCTATATTTTTTTAAAGCCAGAAAACAGAGAGGTAAGAACACATTAGAAGACCTGATATACTTTAGCCTGAACTTGAGAAATCTTAAGTAAAATTTATTATTTCTAAATATATTAATGACATTTATACAGACTATGATAACAAGTTTTCATCTTTCTAAGAATAAAGTGAAGTCAGCCTACAATGTAGAAGAGATAATTCAGATGAACATCTGGAATGATTTGCTAAAGGTTGGGGCTGTTTATTGTGAGGGAATACTGAGAGAGTTTATGGAGTACAGTTTTTAAAAAATCTTTTTAAATTACATAATTTGATTCAAGTGGCTTATGATTCGAACTGAAGACAGAGGTTCTACATAAGCCTTGTTCCACACATTTTCCTGCAGTGTGTCCCACAAGATGATATCATCATCACGAGCTGCACATGTTGCTATGGAGCTGCTTAGGATTTGCAGCTATTCCCGTTGCACCTGCAGCTGTCCACTCCTCCCCTCTCATGCTCTCAGGGAGACAGTGAAGGACAATGACCTTATTGTATATTTGCCTTCAACCTATGCTGAGACATGAAAACACTCACCATTTGCAAACACTGGTGGTTTAATTTTAAAAATTAATTGCAATAGACCCAAAACCCAGTAAGAGATCATGGCATGATATTCAAAAACCACCGCCCTAGATCACTTCTCAGGGCTTAGGGTTGTTGACAGTGTATACATTGGCTGATTGCGTAACTGCATCCAAGATAACAGTGCTTTTTTACCATGTAATTATTTCTTCACTAGGGATGAATTCAACCTGAAATTGACACTCCTCAGTAATCAATGGCAGGGAGTGATTCGCAGGGCCCAGCAGAGGCGGGGGATCATTGACAGCCAGATTCGCCAGTGGCAGCGCTATAGGGAGATGGCAGAAAAGCTTCGTAAATGGTTGGTTGAAGTGTCCTACCTCCCCATGAGTGGTCTCGGAAGTGTTCCTATACCACTGCAACAAGCAAGGACCCTCTTTGATGAAGTGCAGGTAAGATGCAAAACACAGTGTTCTCACACCTCTTAGGCATTTCCACCGCACACTTTACCTTCGCCTCGGTTTTTCAAAAGGACTCTAGAGTGACATTGCAGCTGGGACAAACATTGTTCTCAAATGTCAACAGAAATATACAAAATGATTGCAATACAAAGCCCATATCTAATGGTGAAATGATAGTAAGCCCCAGCCTCTCACAAAGGCTGCTTACACTTCACACACTATGGCCTGCCGCAGCTCACTAAATCCCAGCAGGGATGAAAAGGTAATGGCAAGGGAAGAAAAACTTCATGTTGCTTGCATACATTTTATTCTTGAGCAATTTAAACACGTAACTTGAGTATTCCAAAGAAGACAGGAAGCCCTGTCCTGTTTGAGTTCTTTGTTCATTTCCAGGTTGCCCCTTACCTTCAGGCTTCTAGCATCTTAGAGAGATATCTCCTATCACTCTAGTGAGTTCTCCCCAGTGTATCCAATGAGTTCCTCTTCCCTTAAAGTCACTGTTCTTTCGTTCGTTTCTCCTCCAAATTTCTCTGAGAGCCCTCATTCGCAGACATGACTTCAACTGCCCCCTGCCAGCAGAGAAGGGGCATATTCATATCTTCTGGTCATATTTACCTGCTGTGCTTTTGACTTGTGTTTCTAACCACCTTGTGAGTTTATGTCTATGTGCATCACAGATGCCTTGTACCCTGTGGGTCCCAGCAGAACCTGTGGTCTCTGGACCAACTTTTCTCCCTTTCCCATCACACTTCCAGGAAGTGCCATTAGTCTAGGAATCCTAGAATAATTTGAGAGCTATACTTCTCCTTGTCTATCATCCCCTTATCTAATCTCCCTAACTCTACATCCCTGCTGCCACTGCCTTGGTTAGGTGCTCGCGATTTCTTGCCCAGATAGACAATAGCTTCCTAATCTTAGTATATCCAACACACATCCTTCTTCCATTCTACTTTTACTCGATTCCTGAGTGCTTTTATGAAAACTTTAATCCCAACATCAATATTCTTCTGTGAACCCCAGTCACTTTTAGTATAAAAACCAAATTTCTGCAAGATGTCGTCTGGCCTCATCTCCTACCACTCTCTCACATGCCATCCACACTCCAGCCACTGAAAACCATACTTAGTTTCCTGAATTTATCATATTTTTCTCATATAGTGAATGTGCGCATCCTCATTTCTCTGTGAGAAGGTGGCCTCTCCTCCACTCCTGATCACACTCATCTCACCGCACCAGGTCCTTCTTAATCTGGTGAAGTTCATGTCTCGCAAGACACATTCAGCCTTTACTGCTTTGAGGAAGCCTCTCTGCCTCTTGGTGCGCCCCCTGCTGGGTCAGATGTCCCTCTGTATTTCCACGCATCAATCTTAAAGAGTGGTTATCTTATTACATCAATCGTACTTACCTTGGAGACAGAAACTAAGCCTGTCTCCATTGTATTCTCACTCATTTATTCACTGGTGCATGCATGTGCAAAGCACCACTACGGTAAATGCTTGCTGGATGAAAGAGGGCAAAAGTTAGGGCCATTTAAAAATCCTTATGGGAAGGAAACGATGAAAGAAAGAATGAGAAAATAAAAAGCTATGGTTCCTTTCAGTTCAAAGAAAAAGTGTTTCTGCGGCAACAAGGCAGCTACATCCTGACTGTGGAGGCTGGCAAGCAACTCCTTCTCTCGGCGGACAGTGGCGCTGAGGCCGCCTTGCAGGCCGAACTCGCTGAAATCCAAGAGAAATGGAAATCAGCCAGCATGCGGCTGGAAGAACAGAAGAAAAAACTAGCCTTCTTGTTGAAAGTAAGTTCAGTTAGAAAAAAACGAACCAAAAAACCCTTTTAGTCGTTGTACTACTTCCTCCCATTGTTATTCTACAAATCAAATAATGCAAAGATCATGAAATAATACCCTGCAGTATTTTGATTCTCTGTGTTTTATTTAAGACTTTGTCTTATCTTGCACAAACTGGAAAAGTTTCCCAATTTTCAGCATTTAATTTTTCAGGACAACCTCCCAACAAAGTAAAGTCTAATAAGACTGTCTAAGCTATGAATTCTGATTAATGACCAGTATGAAACCTTAGCCATGTGATGACTTTATAAATCCACACAGAAATTCAAAGGGTAGGTTCCACTCCCTAATCTGAGACTCTAAAGTGGTTTTCAAGATTGGTATCTCTTCTTTTATGGAAGGGAAAAACCAATCCAGAAAGATACTCTTAATTTATCTTAGCTGATCCAAGCAAGTTGCCATGAGATAAAATCTCCAGGAGGTGTATTAAGCCCTTAGTTGGATACAGATCACATACTGATCACACAGTAAGTTTTGGAAAATGTAGATTTATCCGGACCTCCCACAATATGCTTTTCTCTCTCACTCTTCAATTGCATGTATAATGCATAATTAAATGAGCAGTTTAAAAAGGACAGGACCTCTAAAATAAGATAATCTCAAGTTAAAATCATGGTAAACCAAGTGACCCAGTTAACTTAGCCTATCTAAGCCTCAGTTTCCTCATCGGTAGAGTGGGTATATAATTTCACCACCTCCATGTGGCCATTGTGAGGACTTAATGAAATAATGATAGTGAATCATGTGGTACCTTACCTGGCTCATACTGAGCGCTAAATGAATGATAGTGATTATCATAGTTGATGTTATTACAATCTTTAAAAGTAAAGACACCTAAATGTTATGGTCCTGTATATGTTGATAATCACCAACACTTCAGTGAGGGTATCTATTAAATTTGGCCTGTCACATGTTTGGATCAAAGGTAATGACTAAGGTTAATAGAAAAGATTTTGCTTTTTTTTTTTAATGCTTAAAGTGTGCATACATACCCATTGGATTTATTCTATTGAATTTTATTTAATAATATATTGCCTTCTGTGTAGTAAGCAATCCATCAAAAATGCCACTGGACATCTATAAAAAACTATTATTTGCACACAGCACAGTTTCATCAGTAATGTAATATGCCAGGTTCATTTTCTTCCTTTTGCTTTTAGGAAAGGATTTAAAACATTGTAACTCATCCTGTAGAGAACATGTTAATCATATATTTTTTTAAATTTGTGATGTGATTTTTGGAGATGTTTCCAAGACTTAATAAGGCATGATGTCTGAGTCACTACATTTGCTTTTCTTGTCTGTCTGTTTGTTGGTGTAGAAAACATCCACTTTAATAGATATTTGCAGGCTCATGACATTAAGTTATTTCCTTATAATTCACGTCATAAAAGGACTTGGTTATAGATTTAGAATCTAAGTCATCCTTGGAAAGAGGAATCCCTCTTCTGTTCTTGTTAAAGTTTATTTTATTTTGACTTTTACACTACATCCGTTTGCCTAAGAAGGAATTTATGAATCTGAATTTTGATGTTTATATAGCCTCATTTTAGTCTATTTTTTACCCCAGCTATAATACTTATCTATATTTAGCTTTTAATACTGTTAGTAAGTATGCCAAATATAGGCATTATAATTCCATGCTCTGTATGTTCACCTTCTTCACTATCATCTCTTAATTTTGTTCTGAAAAGTAAGAAGCTGATCTTTTTTATCTTTCTTTCTTGTTTTTTTTTCTTTTTTTTTTTTTTGACATAGAGTCTCCCTGTGTCACCCAGGCTGGAGTGCTGTGGTGCAGTCTTGGCTAATTGCAACCTCCACTCTTCTGGGTTCAAGTGATTCTCGTGCATCAGCCTCTCAAGTAGGTGGGATTACAGGTGCACGCCACCACGCCTGGCTAATTTTTGTATTTTTAGTAGAGATGGGTTTTCACCATGTTGGCCAGGCTGGTCTCGAACTCCTGGCTTCAAGTGATCTGCCCTTCCTTGGCCTCCCAAAGTGCTAGGATTATAGGTGTGGGTCACAGCACCCGTGATGATCTTATCTCTTTTAGATCAATAAATTTTTATCAACTGTATGTTGATCAATTCAGGATGTTTGATAGTTTTATTGAGAATGTTGTTTAATTTAAGCAGAAAGAGAAACTTTTTGTCTACCCTCACTATGGTTAGCATTGATAAGCTAATTGTAGCCCTGGGAACACAAAGCATAAAACAAAGGAGAATTTGAACAACTCTGTCCCTGATAGACAATTTTTTTTTGTTTTTTAAGAATTTTTTTTTCTGGTAATTGGGAAGAGGGAATGTGGTTATGCACTCTAAGAAGTTCTATGAAGGAATTTTAAAGAGAAATGAGACTTGTGCCAAATTCTCAGTTCAGTTTTTGAATAAAGACATTTTGAGTAAGGGGGCACTTTAGTCAACACTGCTTCCAGAAAATAGTTGTGGTAATAACACCTCTGGGTTGTTATGCTCAAACTAAGGTGTCAGGAGAGAAGTAGAAATAATCCAGATAAGAAAAGACTGATGATAATGGAAGAGATATTGTGAAGGAAGATGGAACATGATTTGACACCATATTGACAACTAAAAGTGATTCTAGTCATGATTCTAGTTGTCTTGCTTTGGAATTCTGTAATTCACGGTGTATGGAGTGGCCACTGGGGAGATGAGTGGGGAGCAGGAAGGCCTGGATTGGAGAGTTTGACAAACGGGCAGTGTTGGACAACATGAAGGAGACTTGTTTAGTTGAAATTAATTTTCACTGGCACTAAGACACCGGATAGGAGTTAATGTGTAGATAAGGTGCTATAAAAAAGATCAAGCTCTGCTGTGGTTCCTGTCATTTTTTAAAATTCTACTTTTTTATTACAAAAAAATTACGTGTGTCTGATTTTTAAAAATTAGGTAATAATTTAACTATACAGAGTAAAAAATGAAATTTCCCTTATTGTGCCATCCAAATTCTCCTATATTCTCAAGAGGTAACCATTGTTACCAGTTTGCTGTGTAACCTTTCAAAACATAACCACACAATAGATGTTTTATTTTGTCAGTACATAGAGCTCTACCTCATTCTATACTGCCTATCTCTACCACCTGCCCTGGCCTATTCCTCTCCAGAGCACTTACTGCTACTTTGCATATTAGATATAGATTTCTTAAATTGTGCATTATCTCTCTTCTTCTACATCTTAATTTACATGGGTTTTTATATATTACACATTTAATCCTTTGCTACATATGTTTCAGCATGAACAAGATAAAGCCAGTCAAAAATGCCATGCTTTTGTAGTGCATATTTCTCTTTCTGTAAGACATGCCATATCCTCTTTTTTTTTTAAATCCCTTATAGTACATTTGGGAAAGGGTAGACATTGGGTGTAGTTATGGATGGGGTTAAGAAAGAGACAAGGTACTGAGATTATAGTCCTACCTCTGCAGATAGATGTGGATTCAGATAACATTCTTGGATACCCATAATATTCTGGTCATTGTGCTTGATGCCTTGACACTCATTGCTTCCTTTGGGCTCCAATAAATATGGAGAGTTTGTATTTTTTCCATTTTCGTAGGGAAAATGGAAACATAGAGCATTATCTGCTTAAAGCCACACAGATAGTCAGTAACAGAGTCAGTTTTGAACTCAGCTCTTCTGATGACAACAGCATGTTGCCTCCCCTGGCAATGAGTGTGGGCATACCTTCATATTGTTCATCAGCGCAACTTTGTTCTTTTTTTTTTTTGCTTTTTTTTTTTTTTTTTTTTTTTGAGACAGAGTCTCGCTCTTTTGCCTAGACTGGAGTGCAGTGGTGTGATCTCAGCTCACTGCAACTTCTGCCTCCTGGGTTCAAGCAATTCTCCTGCCTCAGCCTTCTGAGTAGCTGGGATTATAGGAGCCTGCCACCATGCCTGGCTAATTTTTGTGTTTTTAGTAGAGACAAGGTTTCACCATGTTGGCCAGACTGGTTACAAACTCCTGACCTCGAGTGATCCACCCGCCTCGGCCTCCCAAAGTGCTGGGATTACACGCGTGAGCCACCACACTCAGCCATCAGTGTAACTTTCATTCTTTCTCTGGGAATGAAGAAGAGTGTTTCTTTTCTTTTCCCCCCCCAGTTTCCTACATCAAAAACATCTATGCTATTTGTTTTTATTCCCATGATAGGACTGGGAAAAATGTGAGAAAGGAATAGCAGATTCCCTGGAGAAACTACGAACTTTCAAAAAGAAGCTTTCGCAGTCTCTCCCGGATCACCATGAAGAGCTCCATGCAGAACAAATGCGTTGCAAGGTAAATTACTGAACTGAGATTTTCACCGTCACCTGTGTGCCTCTGCTGGAATGTCTTTGGGGCCATAATCCAGTCAAACTCTTAGGTTATCTACATGCAGATACAAGATCCTAGTATATGACATAAGGACAGGCAACTCAGGTGAAACTTGTATGGCTGATTTATTGCAGTTGATGAAATTATAGACTAGTTTATGGATTACTCCAAGGAAGCAAATGAAAATTTAAAACACATTAAAAGATATTTAAAAGCTGAGTCAAGAGCAATAAAGTCATTTTTTTTGAAGCATCCACACTGGGGAGTCATTCTACCAGAAGAATCGAGTCTACAAGAAGGAAAAAAAAAAAAAAGGATCAACAGCCTGGAAAATCTGCAGACAGTGGCCCTCCAAAGAACACACCCTGCCCTCTAGACCATTATGCAAGGAAAGGGGGAAAAATAGCTTATCTCAGTGACTGCATAGAGACACACAATCCCTAAATTGCTCAGGGCTCTAAGTACTTAAAGATTATGATCAACACTTCAAATGGTACTTGGAAGCAAGTCAGTAGCTAATACAGATCACTCCCTGGATTATGAGCTCACCGAGACCAACACAATTCAGTGGCTATAAGATTCATGCCTTTCACATCTTTGTAGCCAAGTGAAATGTCCAAACAGCAGTTCTTTGCTGAGCAATAGGCTGATCATATCAAACGTACCTTTAAAAATGTTTTTCTTTCAAATTAAACATGCCCTTGTGTTCCCCAGTCATTTGCAAATTATTGCTCTAGGGTAATTCTGTTAAAAATTCGCATATACTTAAATGACTTGGGTTTTAATTAGAAATTCTCTGCCTCACTTTGGCAAAGAAATCCTAAGCATTTAAGAGATGATAATTGTTAAAGAGGTCTAGAAATCATGAAAAGTGTGGCTATAAGAATTTTTTCTTCAGTTGTAAAATCTAAGGATATTATTTGAAACTTGAAAAAGGCAGATTTAGGAAAGTTAAAAGGTAGTATATTTTACATCATGGATGGAAAGTGAAAGAAGTACTATCTTGAGCTGTTACATTCAGAAGTATGCAATGGTTACAAAGATTAAAAAGCGCATTTTGAACCTGTGATGATAAATTTATTAAAAATAAAGAAGCCGGGTGTGGTGGATCATGCCTGTAATCCCAGCACTTTGGAGGCCAAGGCAAACAGATCATTTGAGACCAGATGTTCAAGATCAGCCTGGGCAATATGGCAAGACTCCATATCTAAAGAAATTTAAAAATTAACCAGAGTGGTGGTGCTTGCCTGTAGTCCTAGCTACTGGGGAGGCTGAGGCAGGAGGATCACTTAGGAATCTGAGGCTGCAGTGAGCTATGATCACACCACTGCATCCAGCCTGGCTGACAGAGTGAGACCCTGTCTGTAAAAAAATAAATACATTAAAAATTATTAAAGAAAACTTCTGCAAAGCAGGAATGGGCATTTATTAGGGGCTGTGACTATATTGGTGTTATCTCAGTTGGCATTAACAAAAGCTCGTGAAAACATTTATTATTGCCCCTTTTCAGAAGGGAAAACTGAGGCCTCTGGAAATTTAATAACTTTTCAAAGTCAGTAAATATCTGGGTTGCCTGTATCTACAGGCTATATTTTTGCCACACTGACTCGTTTAAGGGGTTGGTATACTGTGCGTCTGAAACAGTTGGTTTTTGGTGGTGGTGTTATTATGTACTTTTGTTAAATCCATATACAAATCTGATGCTCGAGTTGGGGGGGTAGAAATCGGTGTGAAAAGTGGAAAATCTTTCCAGTGGTATAACAATTGAATATGTTTAGAAGTATTAGAAGAAATGTTGCATATTTAATTAACCTAGATGGTTTGGTCTTTCAGCCAAATACTGTTGCCATGGGGCGTCATTTTTTATCTCCCAAAAAACATGACAGTTACAAACACACGCTGCTATTGAGTGTGTAGATTTAAAAAATGTATTTTCGTCTAGTCCTGCTACTCTTCCCCAAACTGCCCTTAGCAGCAAAACAAGGCAATTACCTGGAAAATTCAGGCTAAAATCTTGTTTGCCTAAATTGCTTGGGAAGTTAGCCTCAGACAGCACCGCTAATTGCCATTGCCTTTGGAAACCTTTCTACCGTGTAAAGACACATAAAGGGAGGGGAAACGGCACATGAAATACTCTATTTATACACAAAACTAGCTGGAATCTAAAAACAACAGCTGGTTATACAAATTGCAAAACTGGTAATTGGTCAAAATATTGTAAAAACTAATGTCAACTCATTCAAATATTGCTATATGAATTTTTTTTTCTTAAATCATTCCCCTAAAAGACAGGGTACATAATCTTTTTTAGTAACTTAAAGAAATGTCTGATCCTGCAGAAAATGTATTCAGTGCATTGTTTTAAATTGAGTAGTAACAGCAACAGATCTTCTCAGCTATTACATTATAAGTATAGATCACAGAATGTAGCAACTCTATAGTGCTTGAAAATGAAAGTTAAATTTAGGTGTCTGTTTTTAAAAATATTTCATCAGTGTGATCAGCAATTCAGGACAAAAAGAAAGGATAAGTTAGAGGTTTATGAAGTCAGTCTAAAGTAAAGAAGATCAATACAGTGATTAAACTTCAATTTAGGAAAAAAAAATTTTAAATCAATAAAATGATGAGTAGATGGCAGAAAGATTCTGCAGGCAATCATACTTTATCAGAAGGACTTAGCAATTTATCAAATTATGTGGAAGCAAATGAAATATGGGCAAACCTCATTTTATTGCACTTGTTTTAGTGTGTTTCACAGATCCTATGTTTTGTTTTTTGTTTTTTGGTTTTTTTTTTTTTTTTTACAAATTGAAGATTGTGGCATTGCTGCATAGAACAAGTCTACCAGCACCATTTTTCCAACAGCATGTGCTCACTTTATATGTCTGCATAATTTTGGTAATTCTCACAATATTCCAAACTTTTTCTTTACTGTTATATTTGTTACAGTGATCTACAGTCAGTGTGACCTTTGATGGTGCTATTGTAATTAGTGGCACCACACACTGTGCCCATAGAAGTCAGCAATCTTAATTCATAAATGTAGCATGTGTTCTGATTGCTCCACCAACAATGTTCCCAATCTCTCTCCTTCTCCTCTGGCCTCCTTATTTGCTGAGACACAACAATATTGAAATTAGGCCAATTCATACAGTGGCCTCTGAGTGTTCAATTGAAAAAAATCTCATGTCTCTCACTTTAAATCAAAAGCTAGAAATGATTAAGCTTAGTGAGGAAGACATGTCAAAAGCTGGAACAGGCCAAAAGCTAGGCCTCTTGTGCCACAAACAGCCAGGTTGTGAATGCAAAGGAAAAGTTCTGAAAGGAAATTAAAAGTAATACTCCAGTGAATGCATGGATGAGAAGAAAGCAAAACATCCTTATTGCTGATACAGAGAAACTTTGAGTGGTCTGAATAAAAGATCCAACCAGCCACAACATTCCTTTAAGCCAAAGCCTAATCTGGAGCAAGGTCGTAACTCCCTTTAATTCTGTGAAGGCTGAGGGAGGAGAAGTAACTGCAGAAGAAAAGATGGAAGCAGGCAGAGGTTGGTTCATGAGTTTTAAGGAAACAAACCATCTCCATAACATAAAAGTGCAAGGTGAAGCAGCAAGTGTTGAAGTAGAAGCTGCAGTAAGTTATGCAGAAGATCTAGCTAAGATCATTGATGGAAGTGGTTACCCTCCCTCCCTCCCTTCCTTCCTCTTTCCTTCCTTCCCTCTTTCTTTCCGTCTTTCCTTTTAACCTTCCTTCCTTCTCCCCTCCCCTCCCCTCCTCTCCCCTTCCTGACAGAGTTTTGCTCTTGTTGCCCAGGCTAGAGGTAGATCAAACAGCCCTATGTTGGAAGAAGATGCCATTGAGAAATTTAATAGCTTAAAAGAAGTCAATGCCTGGCTCGAAAGCTTCAGAGAAAAGGCTAACTCTCTTGTTAGGGGCAAATGGAGCTGGTGACTTAAAGTCAGTGTTCATTTAACATTCTGGAAATCCTAAGGCCTTTAAGAATTATGCTAACTCTACCTGTGCTCTATAAATAGAACAACAAAACCCAGATGGCACCATATCTGTTTACAGTACAGTTTTACTGATATTTTAAGCCCACTTTTGAGACCCACTGCTCAGAAAAAAAAGGCTTTCTTTCAAAGTATTACCACTTCTTGATAATGCACGTAGTCACCCTAGATATCTGATGGAGATGGAGATGTACAAGACTAATGTTGTCTTCATGCCTTCTAGCACAATATCTATCCTGTAGCCCATGGATCAAGGAATAATTTCAACTTCCAAGTCTTATTATTTAAGAAATACACTTTGTGAGGCTATAGCTGCCATAGATAGTGATTCCTATGATGGATCTGGGCAAAGTAAATGGAAAACCCTGTGGAAAGGATTCGTCATTGCAGATGGCAGTAAGAACATTCCCGATTTGACCTGAGGAAGCAGAACAAGATGGCTGAGTAGAATTCTCCACTGACTGTTCTCCCTGCAGGAACACCAAATGTAACAACTATCTACATAAGAAAGCGCCTTCATAAGAATAAAAAATCAGGTGAGCAATCACATTACCTGATTTCAACTTCATAGTACAGAAAGAGGCAATGAAGAGGGTAGGAAAGACAACCTTGGATTGCCCACACCACCTCTTCTTTTCGGTGCCCCAGCAGCAGCCACATGGCACGGAGAGAGCATCTGTGCATATCGAGGAAGGAGAGCCCAGCAGTTGGTCTGCATTGCATTGGAGCTCAGTGCTGCCAATACCAGGCAGAACTCAGCTGATGCCCACGGAGGGAGCATTTACACAAGACCTAGCCAAAGGGGAAGCTCCCATCCCAGCCAACAGAATCTGAGTTTTGACAAGCACTTGCTACCATGGGCTAAAATGCTCTGGGGTCCTACATAAATTTGAAAGGCTGTCTAGGCCACAAGTACTACACTCCTAGGTGGGTCCTAGTGCAGTACTGGGCTTGGAGCCAGTGGACTTGGGGGTACATGACCCGGTGACACACCAGGAAGACAGCTAAAGGAGTTGTTGTGCCAATCCTCCCCCAACCCCAGGCAATACAGCTTGCAGCTCCAAAAGACACCCCTTCCTTCTGCTTGAGAAAAGAGGAAAGAGTAAAGAGGACTTTGTTTTGCAACTTGGATACCAACTCAATTACAGTAAGATAGGGTACTGGGCACAGTCATGAAGCCTTCATTCCATGCCCTAGTTTCCAGACATTTCTAGACACACCCTTGGCCAGAAGAGAACCTGCTGCATTGAAGGGAAGGACCTAGTCCTGGTAAGACCTATCACCGGCTGACTAAAGAGCCCATAGGCCCTGGATAGTCAGCAGTGTAACCAGGTATTACACACTGTGGGCCTTGGGTCAGATTCGGAGACATGCTGGCTTCAAGTGTGACCTAGCACATTCACAGCTGCGGTGGCTATGAAGAGAGTCCTCTTCTGCTTACAAAAAAGAGAGGCAAGAACAAAGGGGACTTTGTCTTGTAACTTAGGTACCAGCATAGCAACAACAGGAAAGAGCACCAAAGAGGCTCCAGGGGTACTCAATTCCAGGACTTGGCTCTCGGGTGGCATTTCTGGATCTACCTTGGGCCAGAGGGGAGCCCACTCCCCTGAAGGGTAAGTTCCAGGCCTGGCAGCATTTACCACAAGCTGAGTTGAAGAGCCCTTGGGCCTAATGTAAACATCAGCAATGGCCTGGCAGTATTCCCCACGGTTCTGTTGTGGCAGTGGACCTGGGGAGCGACTCCTCAGCCTGGGACAGGGAAGGGAAGAGTGGAAAGGACTTTTTCTTATGGTTTCGGTACCAGCTTATCTGCAGTAGAACAGAGCACCAGGTAGATTTCTAAGGTTTCCAACTCCAAGCCCTGGCATCTCTCGACCACCTGGGGCCAGGGGGAGCTCATTGCCCTGAAGAGAAGAACACAAGCCTGTATGGCCTAGGGCCTTGACCAAACATAGAGAGTAGCCAAGTAGTGGTTACAGTGGGCCTTGGGAGAGAGCCAGTGCTGTGCTGGCTTCAGGCCTAACCCAGTACAGTTCCAGTAGTGGTGGGGGATCCACAGGGGTACTTGTAACTCTCCTCTCCACCAGTACCAGGGAACTCAGCACAGAGAAAGAGACGCTGTTTGTTTGGGAGAAAATAAGGAAAGAGAACAAGAATCTCTGCCTGGTAATCCAGATAATTCTTCCAGATCTTATCCAAGACCACCAAGGTGGTTCCTCTATCAGTCTGCAAGAACCACAGTTTTAGTGGGCTTGGGGTGCCCCATGATGCAGATTTGACTGCAGTGACTAAAAACTTAGGTCACAACTCCCAGGTCCCTTCAAATACCTGGAAAACCTTCCTAAGAAGGGTAAATACAAACAAGTCCCGACTACAACTACAATAAATACCTAATTCTTCAATACGAAGACACCAGCAAACATCTGCAAGCATCAAGACCATTCAGGAAAACATGACCTAACCCAAAAAATACCAATAAATAAGACACCAGGGACCAATTCTGGAGAGACAGATATATGCAACCTTTCAGACAGATAATTCAAAATAGCTCTTTTGAGCTGGGTGCAGTGGCTCACACCTGTAATCCCAGAATTCTGGGAGGCTGAGGTGGGTGGATCACCTGAGGTCAGGAGTTTGAGACCAGCCTGGCCAACATGGAGAAACCCTGTCTCTACTAAAAATACAAAAATCAGCCAGGCATGGTGGCACATGTGTGTAATCCAAGCTGCTCAGGAGGCTGAGGCCTGAGAATCGCTTGAACCCAAGAGGTGGAGGTTGCAGTGAGCTAAGATTGCACCACTGCACTCCAGCCTGGGTGACAGAGCAAGACTCTGTCTCAAAAAAATAAAAAATAAAAAAATAAATGTAAGAAAACACAGAATGAATTCAGAATCATATCAGATAAATTAAAGAAATTGAAATAACTAAAAGGAATCAATCAGACATTCTGAAGTTGAAAAATGTAATTGACATACTGAAGAATGCATCAGAGTCTCTTAATAGCAGAATTGATCAAGCAGAGGAAAGAATTCGTGAGCTTGAAGTAAGCTACGCAGTCAGAGGAGACAAATGAAGAGGAATAAAAATCAATGAAACATGCCTACAGGATCCAGAAAATAGCCTCAAGAGGGCAAATCTAAGACTTATTGGCCTTCAAAAGGAGGTAGAAAGAGAGATGGGAGTAGAAAGTTTATTCAAAGGGATAACAGAGAACTTGCCAAACATAGAGAAAGATATCAATATCCAAGTACAAGAAGGTTATAGAACACCAAGTAGATTTAACCCAAAGAAGATTACCTCAAGGCATTTAATAATTAAACTCCCGAAGGTCAAAAATAAAGAAAGGATCCTAAAAGCAGCAAGAGAAAAGAAAGAAATAACATAAAATGGAGCTTCAGTACATCTGGCAGCAGACTCTTCAGTGGAAACCTTACCGAACAGGAGAAAGTGAGGTGACATTTTTAAGGTGCTGAAGAAAAAAACCTGTTACCCTAGAATAGTATAACCAGTGAAAACGTCTTTCAATCATGAAGGAAAAATAGACTTTTTCAAACAAACAAAAGCTAAGGGATTTCATTAACATCAGACCTGACCTACAAGAAGTACTAAAAGGAGTTCTTCAATCTGAAAGAAAAGAATGTTAATGAGCAATAAGAAAGCATGTGAAGGTGCAGAACTCACTGGTAATAGTAAATACACAGAAAAACATAGAATATTATAACATTGCAATTGTGTTGTATAAGCTATACCTTTTTTTTTTTTTTTCGAGACAGTCTTGCTCTGCTGCCCAGGCTGGAGTGCAGTGGCGGGATCTTGGCCCACTGCAAGCTCTGCCTCCTGGGTTCATGCCATTCTCCTGCCTCAGCCTCCTGAGTAGCTGGGACTACAGGCACCCACCACCACGCCCGGCTAATTTTTTGTATTTTTTTAGTAGAGACAGGGTTTCACCGTGTTAGTCAGGATGGTTTCGATCTCCTAACCTCATGATCTGCCCACCTTGGCCCCCTAGAGTGCTGGGATTACAGGCGTGAGCTACCGCGCCTGGCCTGTATAAACTATACCTTAAGTAGAAAGATGAAAAGATGAGCTGATCAAAAATAATAACTACAACTTTTCAATATATAGACAAGTATGATAAGATATAAATAAGAAACAACATGGCTGGGCATGGTGGCTCACACCTGTATTCCCAGCACTTTAGGAGGCCAAGGTGGGTGGATCACTTGAGGCCAGGAGTTTGAGACCAACCTGGTCAACATGGCAAAACCCTGTCTCTAACAAAATTATAAAAATTAACCAGGTGGGGTGGCGTGTGCCTGTAGTCCCTGCTACTCGGGAGGCTGAAGCATGAGAATTGCTTGAATCTGGGAGGCAAAGATTGCAGTGAGCTGACAAAGTTAAAGTGTAGAGTTTTTACTAGTTTTCTTTTTGCTTGTTTGTTAGTTTGCTCATTTATGCAATCAGTATTAAGTTGTCATCAGTTTAAAATAATGTGTATTAAGATATTATTTGAAAACATCATGGTAACCTCAAGTCTGAAAACATTCAGTGGATACACAAAAAATAAAAAGCAACAAATTAAAACATACCAACAGTGAAATCACCTTCACTGAAAAGAAGACAGGAAGGAAGGAAGGGGGAGAAGACCATATAAACAACCAGAAAAAAACAAATAATAAAATGGCAGTATTAAGTCCTTACTTATCAATAACAACATTTAATATAAATGAACTAAACTCAGAAGACATTGAGTGACTAAATGGATTAAAAAACATAAGACCCAATGATCTGTTGCCTACAAGAAACACACTTCATCTGTAAAGACACACATACACTGAAAATAAAGGGATGGAAAACGATATTCTATGCAAATGGAAAGCAAAAAGGGCAGGAATAGCTATACTTATATCAGACAAAATAGGTTTCAAGACAAAAACTATAAAAAGACACAAAGAATGTCATTATATGATGAAAAAGGGGTTAATTCAGCCAGAGGATATAACAGAAGTTATAACATTTGTAAATATATATACACCCAACACTGGACCACCCAGATAAATATATAATATATATTTATATGTTTGAGAACAGCCTGGTCAACATGGCAAAACCCAGTCCCTACTAAAAATACAAAAAAATTAGTCGGACATGGTGATGTGCTCCTGTAGTCCCAGCTACTTGAGAGGCTGAGGTGGGAGAATCACTTGAACCCAGGTGGTGGACGTTACAGTGAGCCAAGATCACACCACTGCACTCCAGCCTAGGTGACAGACTGAGACTCTGTCTCAAATAATAATAATAATATACATTTAATTTTTTTCCTTGGTTTTCTGTCACTTATGTATGCTCATGTATCCAGGTATATAAAGCAAATATTATTGGAGCTAAAGAGAGACATTAGACCCAAATACAATAATAGCTGCAGTCTTCAACACCCCACTTTTAGCATTGGAGAGATCATCCAGACAGAAAATAAACAAAAAAACACTGGAGTTAATCTGCACTGCAGACCAAATGGACCTAACAGATATTTACAGAACATTCATCCAACAGCTACAAAATACACATTCTTCTCCCCAGCATATGGATCATTCTCAAGGATAGACTATATGTTAGGCCACAAAACAAGTCTTAAAACATTCAAACAAAAGTGAAATTTTATCAAGTATCTTCTCTGATCATAATGGAATAAAACTAGAAATCAATAGTAAAAAGAATTTTGGAAACTATACAAACACATAGAAATTAAACTATGTGTTTCTGAATGACCAGTGAGTCAATGAAGAGGTTAAAAAGGAAATAGAAAAATTTCTTGAAACAAATGATAATGGAAACACAACATACCAAAACCTACGTAATACAGTGAAAGCAGTACTAAGATGGAAGTTTATAGATACAAGCACCTACATCAAAAAAGAAGAAAAACTTCAAATAAATAACCTAACAATGCATCTTAAAGAATTAGAAAAGCAAGAGCAAACCAAACTCAAAGTTAGTAGAAGAAATAATGGAGCTTAAAGCAGAAATAAATGAAATGGAAATGAAGAAAACAATACAAAAGATCAACAAAATGAAAAGTTTATTTTTTGAAAAGATAAATTGACAAACCATTAGCCAGACTAAGAAAAAAAGAGAAGATCTAAATGAAAAAGGAGACATTACAACCAATACCACAGAAATTTAAAGGATCTTTAGCGGCTTTTATGAGCAACTATATGCCAATAAATTGGGAAACCTAGAAGAAATGGATGATTTCCTAGAGACATACAACCTGCCAAGATTGAACCATGAAGAAATCCAAAAGCAGACCAATAGCAAGTAACAAGATTGAAGCCATAATAAAAAGTCTCCCAGCAAAGAAGCCCAGGACCTGATGGCTTCGCTACTGAATTTTACCAAACATTTAAAGAAGAACTAATACCAATCCTACTCAATCTATTCTGAAAAATAGAGGAGGAGGGAATACTTCCAAACTCATTCTACAAGGCTACTATTACCCTGCTAACAAAACCAGACAAAGACACATCAAAAAAAAAAAAAAAAGGAAAATTATAGAACAATATCTCTGATGAACATTTATGTAAAAATATTCATTAAAATAATAGCAAACTGAATTTAACTGTGCATTAAAAAGATCATTCATCATGACCAAGTGGAATTTATCCCAGGGATGCAATGATGGTTGAACATTCTCAAATTAATCAATGTGTACATCAGATCAACAGAATGAAAGACAAAAGTTATATGATCATTTCTATTGATGCTGAAAAGCATTTGATAAAATTCAACCTTTCCTGATAAAAACCCTCAAAAAACTGAGCATAGAAGAAACATAGCTCAACATAATAAAAGCCATATATGGCAGATCCACAGGTAGCATCATACTGAATAAGGAAAAACTGAAAGCCTTTCCTCTAAGATCTGGAACACAACAAGGATGTCCACTTTCACCACTGTCATTCAACATGTTTTCACTTATGTGTGGGAGTTAAAAATTAAAACAGCTGAACTCATGGAGATAGAGAGTAGAAAGATGGTTACCAGAGCTTGGGAGGGTACATGGAGGCTGCAGGGGTGATGAGGATGGTTAATGGTTACAAAAAATAGAAAAGTATTTGATAGAACAACAAGGCAAATGTAGTCAGTAAGAGTTTAATCATACATTTTTAAATAAATAAAAGGGTATAAATGGATTGTTTGTAACACAAAGGATAAATGCTTCAGGTGATGAATACCATATTTACTTTGCTATCATCTATTAAAATATCTCATATACCCCATATATATGTACACCTACTATGTACCCACAAAAATTAAAAATAAATTTTATTTTCACAAAAGCAACATTCATGATTCATGGGAGGAGGTCAAAATGTCAACATTAACATGTGTTTGGAAGAAGTTGATTCCAGCTGTCGTGGATGACTTTGAGGGGGTTCAAGACTTCAGTGGTGGAGGGAGTAGCTCCAGATGAGGTGGAAACATCAAGAGGACTAGAGTTAGAGATGGAGCCTGAAGATGTGATTGAGTTTCTGCAATCT
Source organism: Homo sapiens (assembly GCF_000001405.40). Classification (NCBI taxonomy): domain Eukaryota; kingdom Metazoa; phylum Chordata; class Mammalia; order Primates; family Hominidae; genus Homo; species Homo sapiens. The sequence continues at coordinate 152,190,235 of NC_000006.12, read as the reverse complement.
CATGTTAAAACTTGAATGGATAAGGAGTTGCTTCTTATGGATCAATAAAAAAAGTGGTTTCTTCTGAGACCAGACAAGATTGGGCATGTTTAGGGTGGTATGGCCGTCAACAAGAAAGTGGCTTCTTGAAATGGAATCTACTTCTGGTAAAAATTCTGTGGATATTGTTGAAGTAACAACAAAGGATTTCAAGTATTACATAAACTTAGTTGATAAAGTAGCAGTAGGGTTTGAGAGGATGACTCAAATTTTGAAAAAAGTTCTGTGAGTACAATGCTCTCAAACAGCATCACATGCTACAAGGAAACTTTTGTAAAAGGAAGAGTCATCAGTGCTGCTTAAACTTCATTGTCTTATTTTAAGAAATTGCCAGAGCCACCCTAGCCTTCATCAATCACCACTGGATCAGTCAATGGCCTTTCACGTTGAGCCAAGACCTTCCACCAGCAAGAAGATTATGACTTGCTGAGGCCTCAGATGATCATTAGCATTTTTAAACAATAAAGTATTTTTAAATTAAGGTATGTACATTGGTTTTTTTAGACATATGCTATTGCACATTTTATACACAATAGTATAGTGTAAACATAACTTTTATATGCACTGAGAAACCAAAAAATTTGTGACTCACTTTATTGTGATATATACTTTATTTCAGTGGTCTGGAACCAAATCTGTAATATTGCCATGATGTGCCTCTAGATCCCAAGTTAGATATTTAAATTGAGGGCTATACAAAGGAAATTCTATCAAGAGGGGATTCAAAAACACTTCAGAAATCATTGGCAGGAGATGTCCGTGGGTATTCAAGTTTGTTTTTTTATTTAGGAATTAGAAAATGCAGTTGGGAGCTGGACAGATGACTTGACCCAGTTGAGCCTGCTGAAGGACACCCTCTCTGCCTATATCAGTGCTGATGATATCTCCATTCTTAATGAACGCGTAGAGCTTCTGCAAAGGCAGTGGGAAGAACTATGCCACCAGGTAAGATAAGTTCTAAAAATGGAATTATCTTGATGATGGAAAATTGGGAGATGAATTTGAACGTCAGATGGGTTAACCCACATGTGGACCCGGCCCATAATTCTTAGTACGGACAAAGGAAGAACACTGTGGTTACTACCAGAACATTTCAGATCAATACATTTATATTTTACCACATTTTAGAAAAACCTAAACTGGATTCTTTTTCTTTCACTTTTGCTGGCTGGCATTTTATATATATATATATATATATATATATATATATATTTTTTTTTTTTTTTTTTTTTTTTTTTTGAGACAGAGTCTCACTCTTTTGCCCAGGCTGGAGTGCAGTGGCACAATCTCGGCTCACTGCAAGCTCCACCTCCCAGGTTCACGCCATTCTCCTGCCTCAGCCTCCCAAGTAGCTGGGACTACAGGCACCTGCCACCATGCCCAGCTAATTTTTTGTATTTTTAGTAGGGATGGGGTTTCACCGTGTTAGCCAGGATGGTCTCGATCTCCTGACCTTGTGATTTGTCCGCCTCGCCCTCCCAAAGTGTTGGGATTGCAGGCGTGAGCCACCGTGCCTGGCCGCTGGCATAATATTTTTAAGAGAAAGCACAATGTTATGGTTCACAGATGTGATTTTGCTGGGTAGATATACTTGAAACGTGAAAAACTACTGTTGTATTTGCAACATTAGCTAATACTGTGGAGCTGGTTTTGTTCAGGGAATATTTATTATCACTTTTAATTTACTGTAGTTGTTTCCTGGTAATTTATATTCATTTATTTTTAGTCATACTTTATTCATTTATTAAATACCTTCTATGTGCACAACGTTTTAAAAAAATATCCCAGATTGACTTTGAGTTGGAAATGAAAGGGAAAGATTGGTGGAAAGGCAGCGAGAAGACATCCTAGGCAAAGAGGAAAAACAGATTCAAAGGCTCATAATGAAGAACAGACCCAAATGCCTTGAGGTTATGTTCTCCAGGAAGCAGGGCCCTGTCTTTGTTACTTCTATACCCCGAGTGCCCTGCCTGGCACATAATAGGCTGTGATACATCTCTGTTAAATGGATCAGTCATCTTAATAATTGTGATGTTAACAAACTGTAATAAATGTCCCTATCGTCAAGTTTAAACTTGATCTGAGACTAAAATCAGTCTAGGAGAATGTGTACAGTTAAGAAGAAAACCAGGCATAAACAGGTAAAAACAATGTATAAAACTGTCTAAAGGACCCAGGTGTGGTGGCTTATGACTGTAGTCCCAGCACTTTGGGAGGCTGAGGCGGGTGGATCACCTGAGGTCAGGAGTTCAAGACCAGCCTGGCCAACATGGTGAAACCCTGTCTCTACTAAAAATACAAAAATTAGCCGCGGATGGTGGCGGGTGCCTGTAATCCCAGCTACTTGGGAGGCTGAGGCAGGAAAATCACTTGAACCCAGGAGCCGGAGGTTGCAGTGAGCTGAGATCACACCATTGCACTCCAGCCTGGGCAACAAGAGCGTAACTCCATCTCTCTCTCTCTCTCTCACACACACAAACTGTATAAAGATTTAAGCAAGCTAAGGCTAGTGTGGATGGCAAGGAATAAAGGAAATGTTTCTTGAGATGGATACATTTTGAATTGAGTTTCGAAAAGGGGAGTGGAGGAGACTGATTGATGGGAGGAAGCAAATGAACACTCTGACAAGGTGGCAGTTGGAGCAGAGGAACTGGCTGGAAAAAGCTGGTGTGGGAAGACTGAGGAAGGGGCTGTTGAGAGGGGGCTCTTATGTCCCTACTCTTATGTCCCTGCCAATTGTGCTGCCCTGGGATCTCTTTTGTCTCCCATCCTCCACCCTTTCTCTGACTTTAGAGATGCTTATCCTCATACTTCAGGAACCATTAAACAGAGTTTAAGAGGCTCAGAGCCTCTTGATTGATGTGATATCAACAAGAAGTGTATTTTCAGGAAAATTTCTCTCTGTATATTTAGGTGAAAACCCATGTTTTTCTCAATCCGTGGGCCAACAGAAAACTCTGGAGCACACATGGTAGATGTGTGAGCAGTTTCCTATGAATATATACTTTTTAAAACGGGGGATACATGTATGAGATGGCTTTTACCAACATGTTAATGATTTGAGTTCAAAATGAATTTGGCTACTTTCACAAAGCTTCATTTTCTCAGTGAACACAATGAGGAATTTACATGGATTTACGCATAGAGGGTAGTAATGCTAATCACAACACTTGATTCATTTCTGAATTCTTCAAACTGAAAGCAATACCTTATTATACAGTAAATCATCCTATAATTTTGCAATGTAAAGACTTTATCATGATGTATCAAAATGAAAGATATTTGGTGGGTACAAATTGTGGGAAATTATCACAGCAACCTTCAGTTACGTTTGTGAGCCCATTCATCTGTTTTTCTTAATTTTAGGAGAAGTCTAGCACTACCTGCTCTCTTAATATTTTTTAGCATGTTCGATGAATTGAATTAGACCAGATCTATTGCTTTAGCTAAATGATGCCTGTGAAGCCTTCAGAGAGATAATATTTTAGAGATTGGATCCTGTTTGCTTCAAACATGCCATGAACTTCCCTCCCCAAAGACCTGGATTATGCCACTCTTCCTGCCGACACTGTTTCTTCCCTTCTAATTTTCTTCTTCTTCTTTTTTTTTTTTTTTTTTTTTTTTTTTTTTTTTTTTTTTTGACACAGAGCTGCTCTCTTGTTGCCCAGGCTGGAGTGCAATGGTGTGATCTCGGCTCACCGCAGACTCCACCTCCTGGGTACAAGTGATTCTCTTGCCTCAGCCTCCCGAGTAACTGAGATTACAGGCATGTGCCACCACGCCCTGTAAATTTTGTATTTTTAGTAGAGACAGGGTTTCTCCATGTTGGTCAGGCTGGTCTCCAACTCCCGACCCCAGGTGATCTGCCCACCTCAGCCTCCCAAAGTGCTGAGATGACAGGCGTAAGCCACCGTGCCCGGTCTTCCCTTCTAATTTTCTAACCTGTTTTCTTTTACATTCCACAACTCCTGTGATGTCACTTATGAAATTCTCAGCCCTCAGTATGTTCTTGGTCCTCTGAATTCTTATTTCTCTTTTGGTTGTGCCATTATGTGGCATTGTGTTATTATTCTTTTCAATGTTTGTGACCTCATTCCAAGAATATGAGGACTTTGATATGCAAAGACCATTTCTTTGCATCTTCAGTGTCTAGAGTAGCTAAGTGTTCATGATGTATTGTTTATAATGAAGACATTATGGCATCGATTCTATTTCCTCATACTTACGTTTCTCTTAGTGTAAAATAATGACAAGATTTTGAATATTTTGAAGATTAAGAAGATTATGGTTATGCAATACTTTTTGATTTAGGAAAAGTGTTGTATAAAAATGCCATGGAATTATTGCTATTATTAATTGCTAAAGTAGTCATTCATATGTTGTAAAATTGTTCTCCAGACTTAGATATATCTAGACAGCCATCTGAAAATATATTTCAAAAGCTGATGTTGATCATGCGATATGCTGTAAATAGATTAATAACTTGCACCTGTGAGGAGACTAAGACGTTAAAAAGAAACAGCAAACGGAATACATAGTGTTTTTAGAAACTTTCCATGTTGAAGTGTCTTAATGCTTGAAGCTAAAGCGTACTTACGTTATTAATACTTCAGTCTGAAAAATAATATTTAAACCAATGAGAGTTTAGTCATGGGTTTGATCAAGGTGCCAGGATGTAACTCTAAGGAGGATATAGATTAGTTTCTCGTTCTTGAGTTAGTTGTTTCTGGTGAATTTCTGTCAAGTATGAAACCACAAAAGGAAATGAGCTTGTGCCCATGTCTCATTGTAAAAGTCAAAACTTGAGTTCAACATAACATTATCCCTACTAAGGAGCAAGTAGTCTGTTCCTATTCTGACCAAAGCAGTTGATGAGGAGTCTGGAGTACCTGGGACTGGCGATGAGAATGCGGAATAGAGGCCGTGAGTAAACATTGCAGGGCAGAGTTAATATATTAAAGTATCTGTTTTCAAGTAGACAGCCCAAATGTTTTGTTGTGCCTGTGTACAGCCAGAGCTTATACTTGTTTTTATTCTGTTTTGGTTTGTAGATTTGTGTGTAATTCTAGCTGAAATATAAGTATATGTCATCATCGTAATTGCTCGTTGTTTTGTCAAAACATCATGGTAAAAATATTTCAACCAGAAAAGGATGTATTTCCTGTTGAGCTGCTGCACACTCTGAAGGTTTTAGCTGGTGCTTCTCAGCTGTTGGCAATGCAATGTATTTGTGCCCTTGCAAAAACATAAATAGGTGCTAAGCTGATAAATAATTTGAGGGTTCATCTGAATCCAAAGAAAGAGATGGTAATGTTTACTTAGTATATAGACTAAATACTAGATGTACAAACCAGAAGGAAGATGCCATTGCCCTTATCTTTTGAAAAGCGTTTGGCCTGGGTTTGCACCCAGTGCTTGTAGCCTCACTGTGTCTTTTTTAAGGTGTAGCTCCGTGGTAAGAAAATGAAAGCAACATTTTCATGGTGTGTGATAAACACAAGGGATTTAATATATATTTTATCTATCTATCTATCTATCTATCTATCTATCTATCTATCTATCTATATATGTGTATAATCCAGCTGCTTAGTGGAGATATGGAATACATGAGTGTCAAGGGAGGAAAAAAAATTTAAAACTTAAGTGATGCCCTGTAGTCATGTATAATAGTACTAGTAGCAACAGCATAGTAATGGCCAGCTGTTGTCAGGTCTTTAATATATATCAGTCAATTTCTTTCTTTTTTTTTTTTTTTTTTTGAAACAGAGTTTCACCCTTGTTGCCCAGGCTGGAGTGCAGTGGTGCGATCTTGGCTCACTGCAACCTGTGCCTCCTGGGTTCAAGCAGTTCTACTGCCTCAGCCTCCCAAGTAGCTGGGATTACAGGCACCTGCCACCATGCCCTGCTAATTTTGTATTCTTTTAATAGTGATGTGGTTTCACCATGTTGGCCAGGCTGGTCTCAAACTCCTGACCTCAAGTGATCCACCTGCTTCAGTCTCCGAAAGTGCTGGGATAATAGGCGTGAGCCAGTGCGCCTGGCCATATCAGTCAATTTCTTAAATTACTCTCTTATTTCTCTAATATTACCATATTGATAGGACAGTGCTGGGCACATAGAGACACTTGTTTACTACAGACAATAAACATTTGTTTAATGAATTTTTGGAGCAAACATAAGAATAATTTCCAAATGAAAGGAGTAAGTCGTAGAGAAAATGAGGGACCTTGTCCTGATCATGCAGTTAGTCAGTGATGGATGAACTATTTTTGAATATCAGCTGCCTCTGGATATTTAATCATATTTGCACCCCATGTCAAAGACTCAAACTTTGCTGGTCTTATCTTGTACTGATTCTAAACAAGTGCCCCAAATTTGTCCAACTTTCATATTCCTTGTCTCTGGAATGGGGATAATAATACTTACCTATGAAAGTAATAGGTAATATTTTTCTATTTTGGGACCATCCTCCCTGCAGATATTGGTGAGTAAAGGCCTAGAGTTCATTCTTGGCTTATGGCCAAGATTCGGGGGCAGTGTAAGGAGTTACTTGTTCATCTTCAGTCTGAAGGGCAGGAGTTTCGATTCTTTTTCTTTTTTTTTCTTCTCACTCTGTTGCCCAGGCTGTAGTGCAGTGGTGTGATCTTGGCTCACTGCATCTTCCGCCTCCCGGGCTCAAGCGATTCTCCTGCCTCAGCCTCCCGAGTAGCTGAGATTACAGATGGCTGCCACCACGCCTGGCTAATTTTTGTTTTTTTAGTAGAGGTGGGGTTTCACTATGTTGGCCCGGCTGGTCTTGAACTCTGCCCACCTCGGCCTCCCAAAGTGCTGGGATTACAGGCATGTGCCACCAGGCCCAGCTTCGATTCATAGACAATGATTATTTTGGGCAGTCCAAATAATAAGAGTATAGTTTCAGTTTGGCCATCAATTGAACCGGGATTTTAACTACCAGCCAGACTCCTGACTCTTGCTGCTCTGTGAATGAAAGGGAAAAGGCCGTATTCACCAGAGAGTTCTCAATCTGAGAGATCAGCAGAAGATCAGAGTGCACGCGGCTCTCAGAGCTAGAGGGGTAAGGGGTCCTGGAAGGATTATGTTCTTCAGTGCTATTTGGGGTATGGTGTAAAGTGACAAAATTTGTCCCCAAAACTTTTAAATCTCTGTTTCCTTAGCTTTTTCCATTTCTAGTAGGCCCTACCCCAAGTTCACTGCCCTTTGACTGTTCTGTATTATTCTGCCTCCAAAAACCTCAATGAGAAACTAAATTATACTAATGGGGAAATACTTAGTAGGTTCACCAGTGTCACCCAACCCAGAAAAACTTTTACTTTAAAAGATCATAATTGAATCAAAAGAATAAATTTCTCATGGTGGCCTTTCAAAATTTATGGTAGGTTATGGGGCTCACTCTCTAGGCAACTCACTATGCCTAAGGCTGGCCTTGGGATACGTATCCTGGGCTCCTGGACTAGTGTACAAGGATGTAGAATCACAGATATTTAGTTTTGTGTTATCTGTCTAATCATTAACAGAGCAAATCCAAGACAGAATTGATAACTAGAAAGTGTATAATACCTTAGAAATATTTTCATTTTCATTTTAAAAAGGAAATTTGTTTGAAATACATAAAAAGTAAATGTATTAAGGAAGGAAAATGTCTTAAAACAAAATATAGCAAAATGTTAACAGTTTGAGCCCAGGGAGTATGTAATGAGTGCTTACCATCCAATTCCTTCAGCTTTTCTGTGTCGGAAATGTTTTGTAATAAAATGTTGGGGGTAAAATAAAATCAATAGGGATATGTTTAATGCAGTGGAATGAATAGTGGAATAGCTAGCATTATGAACAAGACTGTGGAAGAACGTCTTCAGACCTTCTTACCAAATCATATTATGTTTTGCCAACGTGTAGTTTAACTCAACTAGAAACATTCCTTAGTATTTCAACCAGCACTATGAACACAAGAGTATTATATTTTGAAATCAGAAAATTTTAGAATTCTGGAAAGGATAATTCTAGACCTAGAGATAGGAAAACAAGCCCATTGTATATATATAATGTATAAGAAACTCTCAGAACTCAGTAATAAAAAGGCAATCTAATTAAAAAGCAGGCAACGGATTTGAGTAGATAATTCTCCAAAGGAGATATACAAATGGCTAAGAAACATGAAGAGTCTCAGTATTGTTAGCCTTTAGGGAAATGCAAATCAAAACCATCATCAGATACCACTTCACATCCATTAGGATGGCTGTAATCAAGTGTTGGTGAAGATGTAGAGAAATTGGAATCCTACTACTGGTGGGAATGTGAAATGGGCAGCCACTTTGGAAAACAATCTATAGTGTTACCATATGACCAAGACATTCTACTCCTAGATAAACACCTAGGAGAAATGAAAACATGTGTTCATACAAACACTTGTGCACAAATGTTTATAACAGCATTATTCAGAATAGGCAAAAAAATGGAAACAACCCAAATAAGATGAGTTGATAAATGCAATGTGGTATATTCATACAATGGAATATAGTCAGCAATAAAGGGAATGAAGTATTGATACATGCTACAATATAGGTGAATCTTTAAAATATGCTAAGTGAAAGAAGCCAGTCATAGAAGACTACATATTGTATGATTCCATGTATATGAAATGTCCAGAATAGGCAAATCCACAGGGACAGAAGGGAGATTAGAACTGGGAGGTAAGTGAGGAGGAGCAGTAGAGTAACTGCTGATGGCTACAAGGTTTTCATTGTTGTGGTGGTGGTCATTGTTGTTTGAGGTGGAGTCTTGCTCTGTCACCCAGGCTGGAACACAGTGACACAATCTCGGCTCACTGCAACCTCTGCCTCCTGGGCCCAAGCGACTCTCCTGCCTCAACTTCCCAAGTAGCTGGGATTACAGGTGTGCGCCACCATACCTGGCTAATTTTTGTATTTTTAATAGAGATGGGGTTTCACCATGTTGGCCACGCAGGTTTCGAACTCCTGACCTCTAGTGATCTGTCCGCCTTGGCCTCCCAAAGTGTTAGGATTCTGCCCGCCTTGGCCTCCCAAAGTGTTAGGATTACAGACGTGAGCCACTGCACCTGGCTTTTTTTTTTTTTTTGGAATGATAAAAATATCCTAAAATTGATGATGGTGGTGATTCACAAATGCTGTGAATATACCCAAAAGCACTGAACTGTACATTTTTAAACAGGTGATTGTATCATATGTGAAATACATCTTAATAAATCTGTCATGCGAAAAAAAAAGAAGGAAAAGAAACAAAATTAAATAAATAAAAATGAAAACTGCAGAGAAGTAGAGGAACTTGCCTGGAGTCCACGTGTCAGTATGGAGCTGAGCCTTGGGGCACCTGCCTCCATTTCAGGCCGCTTCGCTTGGATGCTGCCCGCTTCCTCACTCTCTAGATACCTGAGGCTCATTCTTCCATCCCTTCTTTTCTTCCTTTTCTTCTTCCTTCCCTATTTTTACTCTTTTCTTTCATCTTTCTATTCCTTTTTTCTTTCTTTCCTTTTTTTTCCTCCCTTCTTTACCATCTCTCTTTCCTTTTACTTCCCTTCTTTCCTTTCTTCTTTCCCTACTCTTTTCCATTTCTTCTTTCTTTTTTACATTCACTGGTCATGTATCCTATCTATCCTGAACCAATTGTGTGAAGTTGCATTATCCAGAACCTTTAATAAGCTAATGTGTATGTGAATCTTCAGGAAAGAACTAGAGGATTCAATGTCTCCCACTTTATAATAGCAAATCCTAGACTTCAGGAAACAGTGGGCTAAAAAGATGTATGACTATCATTCATTTTAGTCCTAGTTTATTTGCTATTTTCCTTGGAGTGTGGTCTTCTCTCTGATAATCATTTTGCCTATTCTCCCATTTTAAACTTTTCAGCTCTCCTTAAGGCGGCAGCAAATAGGTGAAAGATTGAATGAATGGGCAGTCTTCAGTGAAAAGAACAAGGAACTCTGTGAGTGGTTGACTCAAATGGAAAGCAAAGTTTCTCAGAATGGAGACATTCTCATTGAAGAAATGATAGAGAAGCTCAAGAAGGTATGGAATGCATGGCTACTTAGGTTTTCATTCTTCATAAGGCTTATGTGTACTTTTCACAGGTACAGAAGGTGGCTTTACTCACAATTACTTTCCTGTCAAAGGAGCAGTATATTTTAAACATTTTATCTTTTTAATATAAAATAAACTTGCAGCTGGGCGCAGTGGCTCACGCCTGTAATCCCAGCACTTTGGGAGGCTGAGGTGGGCAGATCATGAGGTCAGGAGATCAAGACCATCCTGGCCAACATGGTGAAACCCTGTCTCTACTAAAATACAAAACATTAGCCTGGCGTGGTGGTGCGCGCCTGTAGTACCAGCTACTCTAGAGGCTGAGGCAGGGGAATCACTTGAACCCAGAAGGCGGAGATTGCAGTGAGCCGAGATCGTGCCACTGCACTCCAGCCTGGTGACAGAACGAGACTCTGTCTCAAAAAAAAAAAAAAAAAAAAAAAAAAAAAAGGATATCCAGCATAAAATAAACTTGCATAAAAAGGCCTGCTTTACACATAAAATATATAGAATACTTGCAATTTGTGATGAAATAGAGCATCTACTATTCAGTTCAGTATTTGGGGGTCTTAATTACCTGTTCAGTAGGAACCCTTTATATGTATTATTTTTCTTTCCTTTTTTTTTTGTTTTTTGTGTATTTTTTTTTGTTTTAAAAAGGTAAAGCCACTAGAGAGAAACTGAAAGAAAACATTCTTAAGATAAATTGAATTGACATTTTCTCTCTAAAATATGATTTATAGACCACAGATAGGAATTAAGAGTTTCCTGATAATTTTGGCTTCATATTATTTTAAAGGTATGTATATCTTATCAAATTATTTTACATATTCATTTGGATCCAAAACATTTCTGATGTCTATATAAAGCTGATCAAATTTGCTAGCATTTTAAAATTTTTGATGATTTCGGCCGGGTGCGGTGGCTCACGCCTGTAATCCCAGCACTTTGGGAAGTGAGACAGGCAGATCACCAGAGGCCAGGATTTTGAGACCAGCCTGGCCAACACAGTGAAACCCCATCTCTACTAAAAATACAAAATATTAGCCAGGCATGGTGGCACATGCCTGTAGTCCTGGCTACTCAGGAGGCCGAGGCAAGAGAATCACTTGAACCCAGGAGATGGAGGTTGCAGTGAGCCGAGATTGTGCCACTGCACTCCAGCCTGGGTGACAGAGTGACACTCTGTCTCAAAAAAAAAAAAAAAAAAAAAGAATTGGGTGATTTCAGTGTTGTTTCCACAGTGCTTGTGAACAATCAGTGATTTTAATGTTATTTTAATTTGTGCTTCTCATTAGTACATATCACCATCTAATGTACAATGTATTTTTTGTATTTACTTATTCATTGTCCAAATGGAGACCCCACTGATCTGTCAGCTTTCCAGGAGCATGGGCTTTGTCTAATTTTGTTTATTGCTATATCCCCTGCACCTGAAACAGTGCCTAACTTCTCATAAGCACTCAGCCAGTATTTACTGCATTTATTCTGAAAAGAAATATAAATGGTTATTAGGAAAAATTATTTCTATCCATATGCACACATAGAAAATTAAAACATCCAAAGCCAACATGTACTATTAATGATGTTACAAATCTAATGGATTTGCCATTAGATAAGCCTTTATGTATCCAATTTGCTTATCCATTGGATAAATCCAAATGGATAAGCATTTGTTTACTTGATATTGTAAAACTTAAAACTCTTGGCTGAGATGATACAGATTTCATTTTAGCATCTGCTCACGGTTGCCCTTTGCTAAGTTGCTGGGTGTCAGAGAATGCTGTCAGTGCGTGATTCATGCACTATAGGTAGTAGAGTAAAATTTGCTATAGAATAAATTTTGATTAAGTTTGTCTCTATTCTCATTGCTTTTTTTTTACTAAATTTAGGATGTATATTGTGAGAGTGTGGGGAAAAAAACCATCTCTTGAACAATCTATAACCAGAACTTAAAATTTAGAAAAATTTCAGCTTTTCATATAGATAATTTTATTACATTGTTTGGCACAATGTTAGGAATATTATTTAAAATGTTAACTATACTACCTCGTATATTAATAACTCATGGGTTTTTTTTTAAAGGGCTTTTGAGTTTTCCTCTTTGTGGCGTCTCTTTTGTAAAGGAAAATAACATCAAGGTTTGGTAATTTTGGCAACATAGAAAAAGGCAGTTGTCAACTGGGAAGTGCTAATAAGATGAAGGAAAAAGAAAAAGGCCATTCATAAAAAAAATTGAAGCCAAGATATTAGTGTCTGTTGGTATTAACACTCAAAAACAGTTTGATTTTAAAGACAATCCAAGAGGATTATTTTATTATAAATACTTTTTAAGTCTTAAAGTAATTCCCTTGAAAGAAACACTTCTCAATAAAATCATCTCAAATGTTTGCTGAAATATTATAATGTTAATAAATACATTCAACGTATTGGTCTTTGAATCCCATTGTGTTGAAATAACATAAAAAGGAGGGTGGGTGGGGCTGCAGGTATGAGGACAGCAGTCAGCCCTGGAATGGAATAAAGTTTTGTTGGTCCCTACCATTCCCCTGGGGCCCTTTGGCTTAGGTAAATGACTTGGGAGGATAGCTCTGTTACCACACTAACTTTAGACCAAGAGAAGGTTAAAATGTTCACACTCATATAATACCCGTCTTCATATATTATTTTGCTGAGAAACTATTTATTACGTAACAGGAGCTTAAGCCAAAAATAAAAAAGTTGATCCTAAAGACTGGATCCTGTCACTGTGGCAAGAGAGTAAGAGGGTCATTGGGGATAGCAGTGGCAGTCAGGGGGAGGGGATTGTCCTTTCATCGTCAGTTAAATCACACCATTTCGTGCTTATCTCTTGCAAATAGTCCATATGGAGTCTGTCCTCTTTAACTCAAACAATCTAAGAGAAGCTAGCACAGAAAGTGAGTAAATTAAGAAGGTTTGAGGCCTGTCGATTCTCTATAGTTAATAGTTATTATTATTGAAAGTTAATTTATCATTGATTTATTTACTGCAAAATATTGACATTGTATAGAGGATTATCTCTTTAAAATGAAGGAACTCTTTTAAAATATTCCTCACAAATAACATAATTGACACACACATTCACATTTATATATATACCTATATATCAATTGCATATATATATGTGTGTGTGCATTTTATAAGTCTCTCAGCAACTATTTGTCTGAGAATTTATTCTAAGTATAACATCAGGTTAGTGATGAGAGAAATAAACTATAATTTTCCAATATTAAAATCTTTTAAGTTTTATTTTTTATATCTATCTTTTATTGTTTTTTAATATGTATTTCAAGTAAATAGGAAGCAGCATCCTATTTATTTCGAGAACCTCTATATAAAAATTTAATCCCAACTCTGCATACATACCAAAAATAATAGGCACTACTAATACTTGTGCACATGGGCTGATATCCACATGGTATTCCTATGCTCAAACTACTTCCAAGCAGTAGAAAGCAGTAATCATCATGTTTCTAGTAGAGCTGGGCTGGATGTATTAAGAATATGCTTTCTGACCTCTGTGATTGCTATTTATTACACAGGATTATCAAGAGGAAATTGCTATTGCTCAAGAGAACAAAATACAGCTCCAACAAATGGGAGAACGACTTGCTAAAGCCAGCCATGAAAGCAAAGCATCTGAGATTGAATACAAGCTGGGAAAGGTCAACGACCGGTGGCAGCATCTCCTGGACCTCATTGCAGCCAGGTAAAGAGGACCTGAGTCAATAGGGCACGTGTGGGCAGTATTTTAAAGCCTTTCAGTCTGCCTTTCATCAGCCAAAGATAATCCAATAAATCAGTCTCTCTTCCTGGGTTATCTCACCATTTTCAAAACTGTTCATGCTCCTCTCATAAGTGGCACTTTAGTTACCTTGAAAATTCTCCTCTTACTTTATAAATCTCATGTTGTTTGTATGTAGCTGCGAGAAAGAGAGAGAGAGTCATATCCAAACAAAACTAATTCCCAAGAGAAAATTCTTTATTTTAGGGCTTCATGGGTATTCAAACTCCTATCAGGAAGAAACTGCTGACCAGTATTTGTGGAGAGTGTTTTTGTCTGCAGTAGCAAAAAAAAAAAAAAAAAATTACTAAATCTCTGCCATATTTTTAGTTAGCAAGGTATAGAAATAAATCTGATTATTGCCACTCTGCTCAGTTGTAAAAATCAGCTGCTGCATTATAGTAATTTTGTGTTGAGCTTTAGTGCTAACTATAAGTGTTTGCCTCATACCTAAGAAGAATATTACATTCACTTTCTGTTGCAGAAGGGTAGGGTTGGGTAAGAGAGATGAAAGTCAAAAAGAAAAATATATGAGGGTATTTACTAGCAATATAAAAGTCTAATATGAATGATGCACTATGTTATAAAAATGTTCTATGCTATTAATATAAAAAGGAGATGTCTTATTTTAGGTGAATTTGGCTTCATGTTGGAACTTAGGCACCCTGAGGTCAGGAAACTTTCTCCATTGTATTCACTACATATCACAAGCACTAAGAACAGTGCCTAAATACGGACTCAATGAATACTTCAGTGCATAAATGAATATTTGAATATTTGAGTAAATGTTCTTCATGGCAATTAGGAGAGTTGGAATGTTACAAATGGTGCCATTTGGGGTCCATCCCACAATACGCTTTTAAAATCTGGGTTTCTTTCCTTAGCCGTGCTGCATAAAAGTGGACGTGAAACAATGTCCTCTGCGTACCATGTGCTCATCAAAACCGCATGTGGGCACCACAACCCTGTATGCTGATTTTGAAAACATTGGATATATTTCTTTTCTATAAGAGAGTTATCAAAAAGTATCTAACTCAAGAAAGTGAGATTATCTTTTAGTGACAATGAAACAAAATGGAATAAATGTATATCAACTTTTTATTTATTTATATTTATTTATTTATATTTGAGATGGAGTCTTGCTCTGTTGCCCAGGCTGGAGTACAGTGGCACAATCTCAGCTCTGCAACCTCTGCCTCCCAGGTTCAAGCAATTCTCCTGCCTCAGCCTCCCAATCCCTGGGACTACAGGCATACACTACCACACCTGGCTAATTTTTGTATTTTTAGTAGAGATGGGGTTTCACCATGTTTGCCAGGCTAGTCTCAAACTCCTGACCTCAGGTGAGCCACCCGCCTCGGCCTCCCGAAGTGCTGGGGTTACAGGTGTGAGCCACCGCACCCAGCCTCAGCTTTTTAAATGTTTAACCATAGCACTGATATAGCTAACATTTATTGAACACTTTGCTGATTCCAATGACCATGCTACGGGTTTCATAGGCATCTTTTTGTGTATTGTTCATAATGTCCTTTGAGGTGGCCTTATCATTATGCCCATTTTACAGATACAGGGGCTAAGGTTGAGGCTTGTCCATCATCACGCACACATTGTGTGGCACAGCCTGTGCTCAGACTCCAAAGCGCGTGTCCTGGAGTGCTGTGCCCTCCTGCCTCTCAAGTTTGTGACTTCCTTTTCCCTGTTAGAGAGAAGACAGTTAAATGGAAGATAAGTTCTGTTTTTGATCTCGACAATCTAATTTCTCAGTTCTTTGTAAAGTACTTACAATGTGACAGTGACTGTGAGAGTCAAGATAAAATGACAGAACTGAAGGAGAACTTCTCCTTTGAGAAGTTCAGGATGGGAATGGAGTAAAACAATGAGATAAATAGGAGCTCTGGAAAAGGCACTATAAAGAGATGGAAATAATATTTTAGCTTAAACTGGTCTCGGAGTTTCAACAAATGTATATTTTAAAATCCCAGTGCTGTGTTCAGTCCCACTTCTCCCTCACTAAAATGATAACAAAATCCTGTTTCAGAAGGAGGAATTGAAGTCCTTCAAGCTATAAATATCCTTCTTAGGGAAACTGCCTGTTTGGTAAACATCCCCCGGGGAGTTTTTTGGTCAAATTTGACTCATAGATTGATTGACATTTCCACGTAATCCAGTTAAACTAGTTAATATTATTTTCCTACTTTTAGTGACTCAGTGATGTGGAGAGTAAGGATGCACTATGTCAAAGATATTTTAAATCAGATTTAATGTAATCTAGTCATAAGCAGCTAACTTAGTGTATGCCCAACTATGAGCCAATATTACAGCAAATGAGTTTGCTGCTGTCTCCTTGAATTCACATTTATTTATAACATATTTTGTCTGGCTGTTCAGTGGAGAGTTTTCTAGATATTAATTGTTTACTTTGCCAAAAGACATATTAATAAACTTGAATCAATTACATGTTTATAAGGTACACATGCTTCTCACTATAGTCACTTATACAATACTAATTTTTGTTTCCTCTTACATAAAGCCTCAGAATACCCAGATAAAATTCCACAGGAGATTTTTGTATATATGTTGCCTGTTTCTAATTGCCTCCTTCCAAATTAGACTAGATTAGGCACTGATCATTGAGCCATCCTGGAGTTTAACACCATGTTAGAGTCACAGTCACCCTTGCAGCTTCTCCTGAAAGACACCCGGCTGTCACATCTGCATTGCATTTCCTTGTTTATTGGTGCTTCGTTAGTGCACAGATTGGATGCATGTTTCCCACACCCATCCTCAACTGTGAACTGCCAGCTGAAGTATTAGGTTTCTATGATTCAGTCCATTCACCACTCTTGCCTCTTCCAGCGCTGATGCACTAAAGCAAAATATAACCCAGTGTATGCCTTTCGACATTTCTGTCCTGTATTGGTGCTCTTGTGGGAATGGAGAGGTTATTTTTGAAGATGATAGTATTTTTAGGTGAACATCTCAGCTAATAGAAACATGAACTGTGTCTTTAATATTCAATCACAGAAGCAACAAAAAAGAAAAGAAAAAGATTTACTGATAACAAATCTATTACATACATAAAAATAGAACGCATAATTTAGAGTCAACTTGACATCACCATCAGATTAGTTTAGATTACTCTGAGTACAAAATAGATGTGCTTTGCATTGAGTTTTTAAATTGTGTTGTCAAGCATTGTCAATTTTTTAGGGCAACAAAAGTTGCTCAGTTACTTTTAGGACTCAGTGAATAATGTTCTAGTGTCCTTTCCATACTTTCTAGATCTGCTGTATGTAATACAGCAGTCACTAGCTACGGATGGCTATTTAAATTACAGAATATTTAAATTAACTGAAATGGAATAAAATTAAATTACTCCTTAATTTTAATTATGGTCAGTTGCACTGGCCACATTTTAAGTGGTCAATAACCCCATGAGGCTAGTGGCTACCTTATTGGACCCTGTACAATGCAGAACATTTTTATCATCTCAGAAAGTTCTGTTGTTCAGCAGTGGCCTAGATAATTAAAGTACCTCTGAGCCCTTGGCTTTTTTTAAAAGTCAACATAAGAAGCTGTCATTGGTGACGCATCACTCTAATTTCTGTAAAACTGCCTTTAAGAATACTGGCTCTCGTTTTGTCAATGAATCCAGTGCAGAAAATCCACATAGCAATTTCTCTAGAGCTCAGGACTAAAAGGAAATCTGTCTTTTTAGTATTAATTCTTCAATGTTTCTTATCACAGACAACGAATTAGTAACATTTCTCATCTTAGCATCTAGGAAGGTCAAATTCAACTTGCGCACTCTGTTGTGATGATTTGGGGGCAGGGAAGTGGGTAACTGGACCTTCTAATAGAGAAAATTCTTTTTCTCTCGGCTAAACCTAAATCCCCATCACCAAGGCAAAAGCATCCTTTAGTTATTTGGCTGTTATCTTTTTGTTTTTCTCAATAGCAGCTTTTTTGGGGATATAATCCACATGCCGTATAACTCATCTATCTAAAGCATGTAATTCAGTGATTTTAGTATATTTATAAAGCTATGCATCTATTACTCCAATCAATTTTAAAACACTTTCGTCAGTCCCAAATAAAAACAGTTACCCATTAGCCGTCACTCTTTTCTTCCCTCCTCTTCCTTCCCCACTTCTCCCAGCCCTGGGAAACTACTAATCTACTTTCTGTTTCTACATGTTTACCTGTTCTGAATAGTTCATATACATAGGTCATATAATATGTGGCCTTTTGTGACTGGTTGTTTTTAATCTCTATATTTATTATAATTGCCTCAACATTTTGTAGAAGTAGAGTAAAAACAAGTAATTTTTTAAAATGATTGAACGCCTACTATATATGAAGTACTATGCTTCTTGCTATAGGGCAGAGGTTGGCAAATGTTTTCTGTAGAGGACCAGATAGTAAATATTTTTAGTTTTGTGGGCCAAATAGTCTCTGTTGCTATTAGCGTGTTATTATAGAGTGAAAGCAGCCATAGAAAAATCTGTAAATAGAAAACCATGGCAGTGCTCCCACAAAATTTTGTTTACCAAAACAGGTGGCCTGCTCTAGGGATATAAAGATGAGAAAGAAAATGGTCCCTAACCAAATAAGTGTCATAATGCAAGTACACAAGCGTTCCTCACTGCAGGGCCTCTTCCTTTCTATTCTCTCTTCCTGGGCATTCTCCTGCCTGCCCCTGGCCTGGCCAGCTCCTGATTGGTTCTTCCTGTTTTTCCTTCTCTCCAGATTAGATCAGATTCTTCTTACGGGCTCAGTAGGCTTCTCCTTCATAGCATTTCCCTGAACTATGTGAAATCTTGTGTGATCAGTCATTTTAAGCCTGTTTTCTCTGCTAAAATGTAAGTGTATCTAACCTTGATCACCATAGTAGTCCCAGCCCCTGACCTTGTTCTTTGCACATAGCAGTCACTCCCGTATTTGCTGAGTTTCTCAAATCTAAACCATAGGGTGGAAAACGTACGCACACAAATGAAAGCATACACAAAGCAAAGCATTGGCTTCGGGCTTCAGCTGCCTGAGTCATAGCGTGATTCTGCTTCACCAACTTGCTTATCTTCTCAGCACCTCGGTTACCACATGTATAAAATGAGAATCATAATAGTAGCTAGCTCAGAAGAATGATTAGTGGTTTACCACTGTATTAGTCCATTTTCATGCTGCTGATAAAGACAACTCGAGACTGGGTGATTTATAAAGAAAAACATGTTTAATGGACTCACAGTTCCACATGGCTGGGGAGGCCTCACAATTATGGTGGAAGGCGAAAGGCACATCTTACATGGTGGCAGACAGGAGAGAATGAAAGCCAGGCAAAAGGGGAAACCCCTTATAAAATCATCAGATCTCATGAGATTTATTCGCTACCACAAGAACAGTCTGGGGGAAACCACCCCCATGACTCAATTATCTCCCATCGGGTCCCTTCCACAACGCATAGGAATTGTGGGAGCTACAAGTCAAGATGAGATTTGGGTAGTGACACAGCTAAACCATATCAACCGCTAAGCATAGAATATGTTCAATAGAGGTCAGCTCTCATCCCAGAGGGAGTTCAAAGGCTGTGGAGGTAAAACACATATGCAGTGCAAGCAAGGCTTTGTGAAGTTCCTAGCAGCTGCCCTCAGGAGGACTTTCAGTTTAAAGGGTGTTCTACCCACGTTGGAGGTCAAAGGAAATGAAATTCTTGGAATTCACGGCTGGTATTACCTAAGGGTGTTTGAGTCGGAAGGTGCCTGGTAAGGATCAGGAATGCATTGATGCGATGAGCACAGAAACAGCACAGAACTAATCAAGAGGCCTGAGTTTAGTCCACCTGGTTCCTGCTGTGTGGCCCAGGTCTTACTGAGTAACTTCTCTGAGCCTCAAGTTGCTCATTTTCAAAGTGTTAATGAAACTAACTGCCACATCTCCAATGAGAAAATGCAAGGGAAAGGACTGTGTTTACTATAAAACAATGTCTATGCCAGTCTCATTCTTTTAGAAACCTGCAGAGTATTCCATAGTATAAATATACCACAACTTATCTAGGATTTTCTGTATCAATGAACATTGCCATTTTTGCTCTTTGAATAATTGTATCTTTAGAGCTTTGCCTTGTCTCATATTTAGTTCATTGGAATACATATATTATGCTAACAATAATAAGCATGAAAAAAATTTCAAATTTTTTAACTCCATGAGGTAAACTAAATAAGGTAAAAGAAATTAAACTAAGGAAATTATGACAATAAAATGTTTTGAAGACTTCAGGTTTTTTAAAATGTTAGTCATAATCAAGAAAAAAACAAAGTTGCCTATAGTGGTAGATTCATAACCAATATATTTCTTTAATCAAAGTTTAAAATATTTTCATTTCTGATTACTAAAAATACATTAATATAAGAAGAATGATTGTTTTATAAAAGAATTCACAGTACAATATCTTTAAGTACTATGTTTTCTAGAATTTATTTCTTATATAAAATGCAGTTTTCTTTAATTTTTTATTTTTTTTTTTGAGATTGGGTTTGCGCTGTCACCCAGGCTGTAGTGCACTGGTGCAGTAATGGCTCACTGCAGCCTCAGCCTCCTGGGCTCAAGCAGTCTTCCTCCCACTTCATTACCTGGGACTACAGATGCATGCCACTGTGCCTGGATAATCTTTTGATTTTTTTTTTTTTTTTTTTTTGAGATGAGGTGTCACTTTGTAACCCAGGCTGGCAGGTGTATTTCCTTTTTTTTTTTTTTTTTTTTTGAGATGGAGTCTCGCTCTGTCACCCAGGCTGGAGTGCAGTGGCGCCATCTCAGCTCACTGCAAGCTCTGCCTCCCAGGTTCACGCCATTCTCCTGCCTCAGCCTCCCGAGTAGCTGGGACTACAGGTGCCCGCCACCACGCCCAGCTAATTTTTTGTATTTTTAGTAGAGACAGGGTTTCACAGTGTTAGCCAGGATGGTCTTGATCTCCTGACCTTGTGATCCACCAACCTCAGCCTCCCAAAGTGCTGGGATTACAGGCGTGAGCCACCAATGTATTTCTTTTATTAAGAAAATGTGTTTCCTGTAGTGTTCTGTTTTAAAAACAGTCAACTCACATGACCAGAACCAGATGCTTTGTTTTATTTTAGTTACAAATCATCATGTAGTCCTTTTTGGAAAGAACTTAGCAAATTTTCATTATTTATTTAATATTTATTATTTATTTGTGTGTAGTTTTTAATCCCCTAAAGGATGTAAAGCATCCAGCATTAATCATATTTTATTGAATTATAGGAATTAATAATTTGGGGACTTATTTTCTTTAAAAGTATAAATTATTAAATTATCATCTGCTTAGTGCAGAAAGTTTGGAAACTCTTGAAATTCACAAAAGAAAAAGAGTTACCTGAAGACCCCCTGAGCAAATGAATATAGTTATTTTTTTAATTGTCTTAAAATGAAAATGTTATTTTTGTCATCTACATGATTATTTTTAAAGGACAAAAGTTTTGCATATGTAAGGGAGAATAATATTTCTTCCTTATTTTTCCTCCCCAAATAGTCTACTCAAAGATAAAGAGCATGTACTTTCCCACCTTCGCAAACAACCCCTAAAACTCTTGCATACACTACCGAGCTGGCATACTGAACCCAAAAAAGAAGGAAGTTACTCCTTTTGCTACTACCATTTGCTGTGTTTGTGGACATTTTGTTTGTTTGCAGTGGGATGATTTGTTTTCTTTAAATAGCTTTCCCAGCATAACAAACTGCCCGCAAGAAAAGTTGACTGTCCTTACAGAACAGCAGAGTGTGTGCAGCCGATGTTGTTTTTGCTGTCCTTTCTTTAGACCTGTAGCTTCCTCCTCCTTACAGATTACACTGAGCTTTTTCCCCTTCTTACACTCGTGGCCTACATTCCAGGAGATCAAGCCTGGCACATGTTAATGAATGTAGGTTTTATTTAGAAACATGACCACTTGTCACTGCCCAGTGTCATGTTATCGGGCAGAGACTACCAACATTTGTCTACAGTGAGCATTTTCATACTTCTATACACAGACAAGGGGAAACTTTCATCCCCACGCAGGATATAGCTTTTTGCTCTGCAGAGTCTAACTTTTGCAAGTGGAAGCTTCATGGTGGTGGCGGAGGACCTGAGTGCCCTGAGGATGGCAGAGGACAGCTGTGTGGATGCAGATCTCCCAGATTGTAACTGCGATGTCACAAGGCAGGCATCTTCTTGAGTTTCTTCCATTGTACATAGCTTTCATGTTACGTGGGGTTTGTAGGATAGACGCTGGAAGCCTTAATCCAGAACTGTTTTTGCCAATGTTACATGAAGAGGATTGGTGTTGGGAGATAGCTGGCCATGTGGACTCCCAAGAGTTATTCGTTGGTTTGTTTTCTAGTACCTCTACTGGGCATGCAGAGCTGGACAAAAAGGTTAATGGACTTTATTATGACTCTGTATTCCAGTTGTCTCTGGACCGTATGCGTCATACAAGGAGTATGGCTAGAGTAGAGAGGCTGAGACACAGGAAAGCGATCCAGAAAAAGACTCAGTTAGTCCATCATCTGCTATTTAAAGGATGGGCTTCTGATGAAACTGAAATTTAGCCTTAGCTGGTTCACAGCTTTGTAGTTGAAAGCTTTCCTTTCATGAAATAAAACTATTTCAGGGCTCTAGAAAATGCTGTGTGTTTGAGAAAGTTGCTTTTGTTTGTGCTTGTCAGTAAGTTTTAGTCCCTAATATGAAGCTTATAAAATATATGTGCAAAGTGTACAAATTAATGTCTAAAATAGTAATTTAGTGCATTATGCAAATGTTTAGTTCATGATTTTTTTCAGTTAGAATAAAAATATGACAGGAATTTTTTTAATATGTTTTTCTTTACTGTATCATCCCTCAGATAAATTTCTACAAATGAATAGGATTTACCCAATGGTAATTTTTGTTCTATTATATTTAGAATTTGGACTTTTTGTTTTGTTTTGGGTTATGGATATACTAAATTACTTTGAAGGAAAGTGGTGAAATATAGATACAATATATATAGATATATAAGCATATATGTGTAAGTACGTATATACATATTTATGTGTGTTTGTATATACGTGTTTCAGTGTTAAGAAGCTGGACATTTGGATTTCATAGTAGAATCCTTTTCAAGAAAGGTCAAGTGCCTGTGATACACACTGGACTGTGAAAGAACCATAAGCTGCAGGGACTTACAGATTTATCAAGCTGCTAAACTTACCCAGACATGTGACGTCTGCAAGTATCTAATTTGAATGATAATCCTGGATGCTTACCAAAAGTAATGTTGCTCAGACTTCTCACGATGATAGATAAATAAAAATACTGTGACGCTTCACCCAAAAATTATCTTTAAAGAAATAATGGAAAGAAACATGGGACATTTCTCCTAAAAAAAAGAATGATCCCTGTCCTGCAAATAAATGTCAAGTTTAATAAGCCAAGGCTTATTAATCCTACTACCCATGCCCTACAGGCTCACCTCTGCTCCCCCAGCACACATGCACACTGTATTTTGCTATTTGTAGTAAAAACACAATTTTTAAAAAAATGAAAAAGAACTGCTTAAATGTTCACCCCCGTCGACTTTACTAAATTTACACATTTGCTTGAAAGAGGAACTTGTCCCTAATGGACTATATGAACACACATTTCCATGTCATGATGCCCTTGACATATTGCATACTAACCACTCTGACTTGGAACTCATTCGATATTACAAAAGCTATCCTGTAATTTATTTTTCTAATGTAGACGGTCCTATGGAACAGTGTTTACTTGCATCCTTTTGTGCTTTGGATCTTTTGATCATATTTGTGAGTTTTGAACCAAAAAAACGAATGAATTTTAGTACTTGACAAATAGAGCACTGGCAAATGTTGAATCTAGAAGTAAAACTTAATACACACTTAATATCAAATAAAAATTTTAAAATGAAAACATGTTAATTAAATAAACACAATTCGCTTAGAATATTCATTATTAATGTTTAGCAACCACTTAAACAGTACCCAGTTTAGTGCAAAGCACTGAGTTTAGCATGGCCGGGGTAGGGAAATAGCCAAATATAGAAATTCACATTTCCAGCTTTCCAAGGAAGTTACCATGGAGGAGACCAATTAATGCATGAATAATACCAGGGAACTAAAATAAGGAAGGGAGAAAACAAGCACTCCAACCTCTAGTAAAACCCTGATGACATTACCATCCCCAAGCCTAGTAAGTGTTCAGATCCTACGAAATCTGAAGTCATGCAGGAGAGGCTGCTGAGAAGACATTCCTACAGATGTAAAAGCAGGACGGACCTCTCTGTGCTGTGTGCCATTCTTCAGGCCTCTTCCAGTGGGTTTATTGATGGTAAACTCTTCTTTCAGTCTGGGGCACTATGGCCAGAGCCATGTAAAATTCCATGTCCATGCTGTGGTCGATCAAATGCACTCCATGAGCTTTGTACCCAGTAGCCATAATAAAACTGTCATTCACTGACTGATGCCCAGATGAATTTTGTCTTAGCCATGAGAGAAATGTGAGTGAGTTGTATGTAAAAGTTCTTGGAAATAGTGTTCAAGGCCAATGCCTTGAAGTGTCTGGGGGACAGGGTACAATTTGTATTTATAAAGCTAATTGGGGAAATCTTATCTCGAGTGGAATTGTAAGTCACAATAAACATTGTAACATATTTTCATTTTCTACCAAAAGAATATATTGTGAAATATGAACATAATTTTTTAAATACACATTTTTTAAAACAATAAAAGGTAATGTTCCTGAGGGTTTTTACAAACTGAAAATGTTATTCAAATAGAAGAATTATTAATTACAATTATTAAAATATAGATATTATTAACAGCTGACCATAGTGAAAATCCTTTAAGAGCATTTATATGACAGTGCTTTGAGGAAAAATGACAAAAAGGAAAAGCGATCATGTTGTCAAATGACTACATTTTCACTTGAGAGAGACACATTGATTTATTGAAACTGGAACAGAAGTGATGATAACAATTTTAAGCAACTAAAAATAAATCAAATGTTCAAAATACTTTGATTATGAGACATTTTCTTCGGAACAGTGTGTCTTGATCAGAGAAACGTATCAGAACCACCTGGCGGTGGTGGCTGGTAGTTGGCACCTGTGGTTTGAAAGCACCCTCCACTGACTGTGTGACAATCCCAGCTTGAGAATCACTTCTTTAAATGCCTGGAAGTAATGTGGGGGTGGGGGAGGGGGCGCGAATATCTGATGACTCTAAGTGTATAAGTTGTCAATCTTTGAGAACATTCTATTGCAGATCCCTGCCTTTAAATGTATCACAAACCTAGAGTCTTACAAGTCATGTTGCTCTTGACATATTTTCAAGAAGATAGATACCTCTTCAGTTGAGCCAAGATGACACCCTAGCAGCTTGAAGTATTTTGCTCATCTGCTGTTTACCTCTGTTATGAGCAGTGCCAATTAGGTGGCCATATTTCCTGAACCAAAAGGCGAGACTCATAGTCTAAAGGTAGCAGCAATTTTTAAATAAGGGCACTAATAGATCATTGATCATATGCTTATTATCACCATGACCTTTCTCTTTAGAGCAATCTGTGTACACTCAGCCATGTCAGGCTCTTAACAGGGAGTCAATAATTGATTTTTGCTGTAAGTAGGTAGTAATGGAGTTGAGAAATACTACCTGTGGTTCTTCCCAAACTTCTGATCACACCTTGCTCACACTGGGAAAACTGTGTTCAAAACTAATTTATCTATCTCTGCTCCTGTGCCCTGGACCCCTGCCTCCTCTGCATCCTTGCTCCTTTGTCTGTATTCATCTCTAATTTCTATCCTCCTTTGTCTTCTGTCTTTGGCTTCTTCCACATGAGTTTCTAACTCTGCCTAAAAAGATTGTTAAAGCCCAGTGTTCTCCTCTGCACGCTAGAGAAACATGAGTGGGCCTCTCGCTGAAGTGGGACATTCCCCCTTCTCTGCCCACAGGGTGAAGAAGCTGAAGGAGACCCTGGTAGCCGTGCAGCAGCTTGATAAGAACATGAGCAGCCTGAGGACCTGGCTCGCTCACATCGAGTCAGAGCTGGCCAAGCCAATAGTCTACGATTCCTGTAACTCGGAAGAAATACAGAGAAAGCTTAATGAGCAGCAGGTAAGACTTAAAATGGAAATGGAATTAATAAGCCATGGAATATCTGTCCTCCTGGCCAGGATGATGGGGTGGGCATGAGATGGTGCCTGGAGATGGAAGGTCAGCAGGGAGCTAGGCAGGACTGGTGAGGAAGGGGGCTTTGCCTAGGCAGGCGATTGAGGCCAACAGGTTCCATGTCACTGCAGAGTTCAGCCTTACAAAGATGGTTGTGCCATTGTACAGTTAGTGTCATCCATCCACCAAGAAGCCTTCTAAGATGGTAGGTAAGGTGGAGTTGCAATTACGTATCTAAAACAGTGCTAACAGATTGGTTTATTTATTTGAGAGTCACTAGCCCTAGCCCACTACCATACACTTAGACAGGACTGAAAGGAGCCCCCCTGCCCCCGACTTTTTTTCCTGTGTATAGTGTTTGGGGAAAGATTACAAGGCATACTTAGAATTTTTCAAGTTGAAAAAATTTTGTTTTGCAAAAAGGATTGCATGACCTGCAGATCGCACACAGTAATTCCACTTTCATGTGTGTAGCAAAGACAGAATATCTCACTGGCGGCGTACAACCCAACAAAGCAAAAAGGGATGATCCTGGAAAATGTATACAGAAGAAATTTTCACCTCCCATTCCCTCCCTCATTTATTCTTTCTTTTTTTTTTTTTTTTTCCTGAGACAGAGTCTCACTCTGTTGCCCAGGCTGGAGTGTAGTAGTGCGATCTCAGCTCACTGCAACCTCCACTTCCCAGGTTTAAGCGATTCTCCTGCCTCAGCCTCCCAAGTAGCTGAGATTACAGGCATGCACCACCATGCCTGGCTAATTTTTGTATTGTTAATAGAGACGGAGTTTCGCCATGATGGCCAAGCTGGTCTCAAACTCCTGACCTCAAGTGATCTGCCCACCCTCGGCCTCACAAAGTGCTGGGATTACAGGCGTGAGCCACTGTGCCAGGCCCCCTCATTTATCCTTGCTAAGTATATCGGACTCCAGTTGCCAATAGCAAACACTGTAAATCCCCCGCTAGAGGTATTGTTACTCCATGCATTTAGGTTGCTTTGAATATTCTATCCACACTCTGGTTCTCTCCATTACATTTAGGCCATTGCAGCAAAGTTGCTTAATTTTAAAATGCTATAAAATGTAAATACCTCCTATTTTTAAAATCTTATAGTTTATGTACTTACTTCATTTTACAGACTATTTAAGCCAATGAAATAGGTGTCAAAATACAGTTTTGGGTGTTGAGGTTTTTTTAATATTAAAATTATCATTAAAATTTTTTTCTTTCTAATGAATATATAGTAATTGTACATATGTGTGGGGTACAACGTGGTGCTTCAATGCATATTTTCATAGTGTAATAATCAAACAAACTGAGGTAATTTGATTACCATATCTATCACTTTAAACATTTATCATTTCTTACAATACTCAAAATCTTCTCTTCTAGCTATCTTGAAACATACACTATATTCCATTGCTTTAAAAAAACTGTTAGCAAGACGTTTTTCAATTTTTATGAAATTAAAGTTTTCTGATGGGTGGTGATGTTTGAGATTCTGATGATTGAATTGTAGGGATCCTGGTTGGCATCCGGCTTCCCAGATTCTTCCAGAGAACATGGTAATGATGTCTATAGTGATGAGTTGAAATGCAAATGGCGGGTATCGTAATTTCACAAGTGTATGAAAATCAACAAAATATCTAGTTAAATATGGCAAATTGATCATATGTATTTATAGCCCCACCTACTACTAAAACCCCAATAAAATGATGGTAGAGAGGGAAAAAGGTTAAAACCACAATGGCAAAGAGAACAGGAGAGAAAATGGTAGAGATGACAGACATCCAACATAATTTTGCAAGATAGAAAGTGGATAGATCAGTGATGTTGTTAACAGAATGGAGGGTGGAGAAAGTTGATTCATGCCACAGAGTTCGAAGAAGGCTCAGAAAGTGGAGATCAGGTGAAGCTGAAAGTTGAGTTGCCTATTGAGCTGTAAAATGGAAGATTACTTGAAAATCTGAATAAGGTGTGCTGAGACTGGCAGATTCCTCCTAAGCCCAGCCAGCCAGGGAACTCTGCTTCCTTTACTCAGGTAGAAGATCAGATGATTACTCTCTGGAGAAAGCAAACCAGAGGGACTCTGGGTTTGGGGATCAGGACACCGTGGAGGCTAGAGTCACTATGTTAAAAATGGGGAGATGATGTGACTGGCTCAATACCAAATGCTAGGGCTCCCAGCCCGCTTCCCCAGCTTGGCTCCCACTATGTCAGTACCCAGGCTTACACCCTAGCCAGGAGATTGGAGCATCCTTTCTGGAGAACTGATCAGACAAGCAAAAAGTACCTTCAATTAGTGATACTTAAGGTAACCCAGAAAAGGCCAGACCCCTGCCTAACTCTCCACAGGGAAGCCTCCCAGTTGACATACTTTAGGTGCATACACAGCTTCTATAGCTGACTCATTCTTGAATATGTGTGGGTAGGCAAGAATCCTCACCACTTAAGAAAGCTTCTACCATTAAGAAAAAAAAATAAATAGAGGGAAATAAAGAAAGGAACAATCAGAGGAAACACATTGTAGAGAAAGAAAATGTAAACAAAACAAAACAAACAAACTCACAGAAATGAGAGGTTTTGCATTCATAAAATGATAGGATGCCATTTTTCTTTAAAAAAAGCATTCAGAATGGAGACTATCTTCCACAGAGTAAAACAAAAAGATAAATATATGAAAAATAGGAGAGAAATATAGACATAAACATAATAAAATTAACAATAATGCCAGAGTTTCAAAATCCAATTCAGTTATTTTGTAAAAGTCCCCTGCTAAAAAAAAATAAAGAAAATAGAGAGGAGAAAATTACCATAGTAGTAATGTAATATATATATTTATTATTAAATAATATATGTTTATTATGAAATAAATAATGTAGTAATGTAAAAATATATTTTATATATTTATTATTAAATATATATTTATATTTTTGTTACATTACTACGATGTTAATTTTCTCCTCTCCATTTTCTTTATTCTTTTTTGGGGGGACTTTTATAAAATAACTGAATTGGATTTTGAAACTCTCGCATTATTGTTAATTTTATTATGTTTATGTCTATATTTCTCTCCTATTTTTCATATATTTATCTTTTTGTTTACTTTGTGGAAGATTACACGTATATGTGTACACACATTACACATATGTGTGTGTATATATATTCATATATATATCTAAAATGAAAAACATGCATTTGCAGATGATAAGGGCTGTATGAGTGCCCAGGAAAATGTAAAACAAAGCAAAGCCACACTGTAAAACTGCAAAACACAAGGGATAAGGAGATCCTAAAGGTTTCCAGGATGAAATAAACTCTGGCTTCTCCAAAACAATACTGGGAGCTGGAAGACAATGGCTCTAACTTCAGAAAGCGGAGAAAAATTCTTTATAATTTAGAATTTTATACCCTGCCACTTAATATCTACAAATTTTACCTCCTATGTACCCATTTTCAGGAAGCTAATGAAAGGTATGCTGCATACATGAAAGTGAGAGGAAAATACACTTCATACTTGCTACACAGGCTACGTACTACTATGCTATATATGCTGCATATGCTACACGCACTAAAGCAAGAGGGGAAATGCTATTCAACTCAGGAGAAAGAAAAAGGGAATTCCCAGAGTGAAGGTGCAGGAAAGTCCCTGATGACAGCTGTACTGCAGCCAAGCCAGCACCTGTCCAGATGGGAGCAGGGGCTCTGGGTGCTCTAGGAGGGATGTTTCCAGGAGGAGCCAGGAGGGGCTAGATTATCTGATGGGCTTAACCACTCCGGAAGGAGTTTTATTAGTTCAATAAGAGAGATAATAGAAGCAAGCATTATAAATTAGAGAGAGAGAGAGGATTGTAAAATCCAGGAAAATGAGTTATCAGGAGATCGAGACCATCCTGGCCAACATGGTGAAACCCCGTCTCTACTAAAAATACAAAAATTTAGCTGGGCATGGTGGTGCTTGCCTGTAATCCCAGCTACTCGGGAGGCTGAGGCAGGAGAATCGCTTGAACCAGGGAGTCGGAGGTTGCAGTGAGCGGAGATCGCGCCACTGTACTCTAGCTTGGCGACAGACTGAGACTCTGTCTAAAAAAAAAGAAAAGAAACATAACCATAGTATATTTTGTTCCTCAAATGTGAAAAATATTAAATAACCATAATCATGAGAACAGTGATTATTACCCTAGCTCTAAGTTGTACTGTAACAGTCATTAGAGTTCAGTCAGCCATGTAGAAGTTTATTTCTTCTCTACTATACAAGAATTCATAAAGTATGGACAAATCAAGCAGTAGCTATGTTACTTAGAAATAGAGAAGTTATATATTACTGAGAAATATAGAAATAGGTTGAATGTGGCGGCTCACCCCTGTAATCCTAATACTTCGAGAGGCCAAGGCAGAAGGATCACTTGAGGCCAGGAATTTGAGGCTGCAGTGAGCCATAATCACACCCCTGCACTCCAGCCTGGGTGACAGAGCAAGACCCTGTCTCAAAAAATTAAAAAGGGTAGAAGTAATACCAGAAGAAAGAGCTGCAAGAGATGGAAATGGTTGCTCCTGAACAGGTGAACTCCGGGGTGGAAAACATGCTGCTTTCTTCAGAACCTGCTAGTCGTTTTTTACTTTTTACTACATTAAATATGCACATATAGCTTTTTAATTAAATTTTAAATTAAGACTTTAAAAAGTCCTGTACACCAGTGGTTAAAAGTAAACTTTCTGGGTTCAGATCTTGGCCTCACTACATTCCCATGTGATCTGGGACAAAGCCATAACTATTTGAACCCTTAGAGCCCTGATTTATAGAACGCCAATCATCAGAGTCCACACCACACAGTGTGATTATACAAATTACTAAGAAGAAGCACTGAGCACAGTGCCTACCTAACACAAAGTCAGGGCTTGATACATTTTATTTTAATCATGTCACAGTTACCACAGTTTCCCTTGTGGAAAATTTTTAAGAATGATTCTGTCCCTACTAAAAATACGAAAATTAGCTGGGCATGGTGGTGCGCGCCTGTAGTCCCAGCTACTCAGGAGGCTGAGGCAGGAGAATCGCTTGAACCTGGGAGGCGGAGGTTGCAGTGAGCCGAGATTGTGCCACTGCACTCCAGTCTGCAGACAGAGCGAGACTCCGTCTCAAAAAAAAGAAAAAAAGTTGAAGCTGAGCCTAAAACTTTGTCTTAGGGCACTTATGTATGATTATAAATCCCCTCAAATCTTAGGGTTGCTATTTCATATATTGATTTTAACAAAAACTTTTGAGTATTTAGGGAAAATGAAATAAAAATGCTAACTTTCTTAAATGCATGGTTTATGTCCAGGGGCCTAACACTTCTTCCAAATGTATATGCTTGCACAAAATGTAGTTTAAGACCTCAAATGTACTTGGTAATCTCATTTACAGAATTATTTGTCTTTATATTTATCTTTAAGCAAATACTAAGTTTAATTTTTATATTACTTCATTTTATATTTTTTAGAACAGCAATTCCTGTGACATATTGTTTCATGTAAGTGAAGGAGGTTATGTCAGAGATTTGAAAGGACTGTTTATACAAATATAAATATTTTAGTAAAATTTATCGTCTAGTGTCTAGTTTATAAAATCTCCAAAATTAATTAAAGGCACTATGACATTTGACAATAGCTAGTGTTTGCATAGATGTTGGAACATGGCATCAAGGAAAAAAATAAGAGGAAGAGCAACACAAGAATATAAATCCCGGGTATCTGCGTAAATTGAGGAATTTTTAGAGCAAGAGAAAAAATAAGCAAATTCAAGAACTTCCTGATAAAAGAAAAGGAAAACACATTAAGGACATTGATGAATATAGTAAACAAAAAATGATACTGGTAGAGCTTACTTTTAATAATGGAATACTTACTTGGAGTAAATGGAGTTAAAAGTTCAATAGAGAAAACAACATACAATTTGAATTTACATTTTATACAGTTAAAATGAAGATTTCACATTGTGGGACTCCAGGGAAATCCAATGCTTTGTTTTTATCATAAAACATTTTACTTCTGCCCTACATTAAAAGTTGCTCTATGCCAGGCGCAGTGGCTCACACCTGTAATTCCAGCACTTTGGGAGGCCGAGGTGGGCGGATCACCTGGTCAGGAGTTCCAGACCAGCCTGTCCAACATGGGGAAACCCCGTCTCTACTAAAAACACAAAAATTAGCCAGGCATGGTGGTGGGCGCCTGTAATCCCAGCTACTCAGGAGGCTGAGGCAGGAGAATGAGGAGGAGAATCAGGCAGGAGGTTGCAGTGATCTGAGATCATGCCACTGCACTCCAGCCTGGGCGACAGAGTGAGACTCCATCTAAAAAAAAAAAAAAAAAGAATTTGTTCTCTGAGGAAACTGCTGATGTCATGCATGATATAGAACCTAGGTCCCTTAAATAGTCTTTCTACATCTTTGTGGGGCACATATGATATTTTGTTACATGCATAAACTGTGTAATGATCAAGTCAGGGTATTTGGGGTGTCCGTCACCTCTGGTATTTATTATTTCTATGTGTTGGGAATGTTTCAATTTCTCTCTTCTAGCTATTTTGAAATATGCAGTACATTGTTGTTAACTATAGTCATTCTACTCTATCGAACATTAAGACTTATTCCCTCTAACTGTATGTTTGTGTCTATTGACACCTCACTTCATTGCCCCCAAACACTCTTCCCAGCCTCTGCTATCTGGCGTTCTACTCTCTACCTCCATGAGATCAACTTTTTTAGCTCCCACATACAAGTGAGAATGTGTGATATTTGTGTTTTTGTACCTGGCTTATTTCACTTAACATAGTGACCTCCGGTTCCATCCATGTTGCTGCAAACAACATAATTTCATTTTTTTATGACCGAATAATATTCCATTGTGTATATATATGCCACTTTTTCTTTATTTGTTCGTCCATTGATAACCATGTTACCTTTTAATGATGGTGGAATTAACTGTTTAAAAAAGAATGCAAATCAGCTGGGCGTGGTGGCTCACACTTGTAATCCCAGCACTTTGGAAGGCCTAGGTGGGTGGATCACCTGAGGTCAGGAGTTCAAGACCAGCCTGGCCAACATGGTAAAACCCTGTCTCTACAAAAATACAAAAACCAGCCAGGCATGATGGCGGGTACCTGTAATCCCAGCTACTTGGGAGGCTGAGGCAGGAAAATCACTTGAACTCGGGAGGCAGAAGTTTCCATGAGCTGATATTGTGCCATTGCTCTCCAGCCTGGGTGACAGAGTGAGACTCCATCCCAAAAAAAAAAAAGTAAATCTTTGGATCTTAAAGCCCAGTTCTTGAGTGCCAGGTCTAGCACATGCATATATACAGGCCCTTGGTATCTACGGTTCTACACTGGTGGATTCCACCAACCGTAGATCAAAAGTATTTGGAAAACAATTTGCATCTGTATTGAATACATACAGACTTTTTATTCTTGTCATGATTCCCTAAACAATACAGTATAAGAACAATTTCTATAGCATTTACATTGTATTAGGTATTATAAGTAATCTCAAGATGATTTAAAGTGTATGGAAGGATGTGTGTAGGAGGTATGCAAATACTACAGCATTCAATATCAAGGACTTAAGCATCCATGGGTTTTGGTGTCCGAGGGAAGGTCTGGAACCAATCCCCTGACAGATACTAAGAGATGATGATTGATTGATTGGAATGAAAGTGATGTATTCGTGAAGTAGAGTCTGGGGCAAGATTCATTTTTTATTGATTAAAGAAGTTAGTTTTACTCTTAGTGTAGACCATTTCATTTGTTCAGTTTATATTTTGGCATTGCTCGCATAGCCAAAATATTTCTACATCCATTTTCTAGTACTTTTGAGCTTGCTGGATTTCATAAATGAGGCTCAATAAATGTCATACATTCAAGGAAATTAAATATTTGTCAAGGTGTAGCCTAGCCATTTACCAACATAGGTTGCTTCAGTTTCTCTCATCTGTATACATGTAATTGTTGAATAAAGCCTGTTACGTTCCCCTGCAGGAGCTTCAGAGAGACATAGAGAAGCACAGTACAGGTGTTGCATCTGTCCTCAACCTGTGTGAAGTCCTGCTGCACGACTGTGACGCCTGTGCCACTGATGCCGAGTGTGACTCTATACAGCAGGCTACGAGAAACCTGGACCGGCGGTGGAGAAACATTTGTGCTATGTCCATGGAAAGGAGGCTGAAGTGAGCTGGGATGCTGAAACAGATAGGGAAGAGGAAAGACCAAAAAGAAAATAAAAATCACCCAGAGTATCCACTGTTCACTCTTTCCTGTTCGTTACAATGTCCAAAAATAGCTGTGGCTTCCCAAACTTACTATTGTCTACATTTAGTTGGGAAAATAAGTAGGTATAAAGGTAATATATAAATATAACAAGCCAAGTTATGTCTGACCTAACAGTTGAAATATAATACGGAAACATAAAAATACACCCTTGTCAAACAAGCATAACATTACAGAATGTGTGGCTGTGAGAACAGTAACATTCTTTTATTAAAAATTAAATAATAAAAGCAGATTTATCTTTAAGCCCTTTGAAATTCAAGGTGGCAGAAAATCGTGCTGTGTTACAAAGTGATCATCATGGCTGTGCTCTCTGGTAAACTGTTGAAAGCTTAATATTTGTCCTGCTGTCATAGATTAACTTTTGTCAGTGTGAGTTGAATGTTGGACTTAAATGGATTTTCCGACCTCGTCTTTATTTCCGTAAGACACTGGCCTGAGTGCACACTGTAAACCTGGTGTTGCTTTTCTAAACTTGGTGCACACATTCAAGGCAGCTCGTGTGATGTGCTTGTAATTTTCAATTTGACTAATTCAAAATCCAGAGTTGCAGGACGTGTTTTTAAAAAAATAAAACAGCCGTTTTATTTTAGCTCAAGCAGTTGTCTCTCTTGCTCTCTGGTCAAATTTGGCTCGAGGAATGGTTATCGTTTGGCACAACAGTTGCCTCTGTGGGCACCCTTAATCCAGTCGCAGGCAGCAGACCGGGTTCTGGAGCGAAAACAGTCTCCAATAATCTGAATCTGTTCTTTCATTTTCCGCCCCAGAATCGAAGAGACGTGGCGATTGTGGCAGAAATTTCTGGATGACTATTCACGTTTTGAAGATTGGCTGAAGTCTTCAGAAAGGACAGCTGCTTTTCCCAGCTCTTCTGGGGTGATCTATACAGTTGCCAAGGAAGAACTAAAGAAATTTGAGGTAATCTATAATTCCAAATTTTTAATCCTTATTTTGCTATTAAAGTAGCCAGCTGGTAGTTGGAGTTCCAAGACCTAAACTAGCTGTTCACCACATGTTATCTGCTCAAATTGCTGCGTGAGGACTTTGCAGCCATCTTTATTATGACCTCATACGTAGTCATACGTATGAAGGGGGAAAAAGAGGTTTTTATTTTAAGATTATCAAGAAGCATAAATACTGTAGTAATGAAGAGAGATTCTATTAGAAAAGAAGAATCGTGATTCCTCCCAAAAGATCTTGGCATGATTTTTATTTCAGAATTATTCCACAGTCAACCATCTTTTCTAAGATTAAAATATGATTTTTTTAAACCATAAAAATCTACCTTCCACATACATTTTTGTATTTTCTTTACCTAATCGCAGTGTGTGTGTGTGTGTGTGTGTGTGTGTGTGTGTGTGTGTATTTGATAAAAGAGTTGACTCTAGAATGGAATAAAACATTTTCATTATAATTCATTTCTAATTACACAGTGAAGAGTAGTACTGGTCTTGAGTCACCAAAACTTTTCAATTACACTGAGATGAAAATAGCTGTAGTGTAATCATATTCATAAAGAAAGAAGTTATCCAAGAATTGATTCCAATACCTTGCCTGCTTGCACAATCTCGAGTCCACTCTATCACTGTTGTACAATGAAGCTCTGACTTCTCAGCTGCCTTTCATTTTCATGGAAGACCTGACCTAGCCCAAAATTGACCATTTTTAAATTTGAAGGTGTTTTTCCCTTCAGTTCCCACTAATAGGCAGTTGTGTACTCAGGTATGTTAACAGCAAAGAGTTCAGAAGCATTCTGACCATTGCTAATTATGCCCCCAAGTTCCTCGAGATGTTTAGAAATAAGACTGAAAATGTAATGAAATGTAGCTGCATTCATTTTTACCTTGCAACATCAGGTAACCAGGCATTTTCTGAGGCCTATGATGGGAAATAAGAAGTTCGCTTTTTTATTCTTATGGAGTTTAAAATCTCAGGGTTGTACATGGACAGCTATATGAATCTAGAAAAATGTTCAAATACTTTGAAATGGATGAATTACTCTGATGTCTGAATGGTGAATGAATTCATATGTAACTATACCACTAAATTAAAATAAACAACACTTTTATTCCTATATAAAAGATACTCCCTTAGAAAACTACTAGTAAAAAGCACAGTAAACTCTGCAGTAGATTCCAGGTCATCTCGATGTGAATGAATGCTAGTGGAGAGCTGCTCAACTGCATCTTACACACTCCCTTCATAAAGGTTAAAACCTTTTATAATTGGCTTATACTGCAAAGCAGATTATATAAGATTCTTTTTGATGCTATTTTAGACTCTCAGATTTTAAAGCAAAAGTTAGCCTTATAGTTAGCTTCTATAATGATTGATTTTATTATTTATCATGAATTTTGTAGTTAATTTTCTTAAGAGACAGAAATGAATTGCAGAAACGAAGTTGTGCTTGGGGGCAGTCTTTAGCTGGTCCAATCGCATGAACGTTTGGGATGGACATGGGTGTGCTGGGGTATCTGCCTGGGGGTACTCCAACCTTACCCCAGTGGGCAAACATGTACTGGGACTTCCAGTCATGGCCAGAGCTGAACTTTCCTTACCACTCCCTTTGCTGGAGAAATAACTTAAGGTTTTTAGACTGGAAGCTAGGATTTCCTAGGATGAAGGCTCTGAAAGCAGCTCTCACAAGGAAAGCAATTTAAGAGACAGAAATGTGGTCACATGTAAACAGTGTGATGAGCCAAGGAAAACAGAATTTGGGGATTTGATGAGTGCGGTTCAATTTATTAATTATAGTTTTCATTTTGGTCTAATGCCAAGATAAAAATCAGTCATAAATCATACAAATGATTTTTTTTAAAGCTTCATTTTATTTTGGCCAAATGACTCTTATGCTATAGGGCTCTTCTACATTGGAGGGAAAAGGCAGAAAAGAATATTTTACCTTCAGAATCTCTAAACTGACCCTGGGATAGCCTCAAAAGTAAATTGATGCTACTGTGTGGGTGGTACACTAGCTCTAACATGTTTTATAAAAACTAATTAAATCACAGGAACAACAAAAAAGAAACAGAGCATGTTCCAAATTTTTTAAAATATAAAGTTACTTGTATTTTACTAAATTACTTTTCTTAAAAGCTTATAATAGCTTGATTTTTTGGAAGACCTTTTGCAAAAGGTAGTTTTAAGTTTTTTCCTAATGGACAGCAGAATTGAGGTAATTTCTAGATTTTTAGAAAAGTACATATTTTACAAATAAACAGTTCCATTATAGATATCTTTTTCTCCATATTGACAGCAGAAGTTGTCAACATTTCAAACTCACATTTCCACACACACGTGTATATTTTTTATAGTGGTTTGCTTTGTGGGAATATTTGTTTCCAGGACATTAATTATTTTTAAAGCTACGTGTATATGTGTGTGTATGTATGTGTGTGTGTCTATATATGTGTGTTGGATGCGTGTGTGTTTATTCATTACTACTCCCCATTTTCATATTTTTTGATAGATTCTCCCTTTCCTTTAAGTTACGCTGACTAGATGACTTTGCATTAACAAGGGGAAGTGTACCGTTATTAGACATCATTCTTTCCCTCTGTGATAGTGTAACTTCCCATTCTCCCAGACGCTACAATAAGAAAACCAGGAGCCACTACTGAGAGTCCTTCGCTGATTTCTCACACTGATATGCTTCTCTGTGGCCTTAGGCTTTCCAGCGACAGGTCCACGAGTGCCTGACGCAGCTGGAACTGATCAACAAGCAGTACCGCCGCCTGGCCAGGGAGAACCGCACTGATTCAGCATGTAGCCTCAAACAGATGGTTCACGAAGGCAACCAGAGATGGGACAACCTGCAAAAGCGTGTCACCTCCATCTTGCGCAGACTCAAGGTTTTTGCTATGCCTCATCTGTAATTTAGAGGCCAGAGGATGGGACTGGGCCATTTGAATGCAGTCTTGAGACACAGTCTCAGTGATTTTGTAAGAATGGGATGGCAGGAGGAGTAAACCGGGGAGTGATATAGCAAAGGATTGCAGGCTTCTCATTGCTTGCTGAGAAAATGACTTTACAGAACACTGGAATTCGCTGTGCCATCTCCATATGTTTAGAAGGACTTTTAATAAAAATAATTGTTACTACTTTCCTCTTGCCTTCCAGCATTTTATTGGCCAGCGTGAGGAGTTTGAGACTGCGCGGGACAGCATTCTGGTCTGGCTCACAGAGATGGATCTGCAGCTCACTAATATTGAACATTTTTCTGAGTGTGATGTTCAAGCTAAAATAAAGCAACTCAAGGTAATAGATTATTTTTCAAGTTACCAAAGTGAAGAAAGCCTGAAAATGAAAGGATTTGTGGCTCTTTTGTGAAGAACATAGCAAATAACTTTTCTTTTGAAAAATTAGTTCTGGACTGCAAAAAAATTCAGAAAATGTAAAATATATAAAAAATCAGATAAAGAGCACTACCCAGAAATAACCACTATTGCTTATATCTGGGTAGTGCTCTTATCTTATTTGATATCGATATTGTTGTTGATATTTTTCAACAGCTTGATTGATTTTCAATCAGCTTGATTGCCAGGGTGTTAGGGATGTTCTGCTGTTGTTGTTTTGTTTTTTTTTTTTTTAGAGAGAGTCTCACTCTGTCGCCCAGGCTGAAGTGCAGTGGCGCAATCTTGGCTCACTGCAACCTCCACTTCCCTGGTTCAAGCAATTCTCCTGCCTCAGCCTGCCAAGGAGCTGAGATTACAGGCACATACCACCAAGTCCGGCAAATTTTTGTATTTTTGTATTTTTTTAGTAAAGATGGGGTTTCACTATGCTGGCCAGGCTGGTCTCGAACTCCTAACCTCAAGTGATCCAGCTGCTTTGGCCTCCCAAAGTGCTGGGATTACAGGTGTGAGCCACCCTTCCTGGCCTTGTTGTTGTTGTTTTCGTTTATTTTTTCTAATGTGTTTGTAGCACCTTCACATGGTTCCTTTAACCTCCATGTTGCAAAGCAATACAACTTTCCTATGTCGGGATTTCATTCCTCATAGTCTGCATTCTTAGATGCCAAGTTAATTTTAAACACATTTTGTATTTTTCACTATATAATTCAAACACAGTGGCTAGCTAGAAATTCGAATAGGAGGGATATACATTAGATGTAAGGATTTCCTAAAAGTGGGAGTATTTAACAAATTGAGTGTTTTCCAAGGAAGCTTATGAAATTTTCCTCCCAAGATAGATGGATTTTTTTAAAGAATGGTCATGACGCCCATAACCTTTGGGTTGTTATGATAAAACAAGGAACTTGCCCGTAGACATGGATTCTCAGGATGGAAGAAACAGTAAACCCTGCTATTCTGCCTCACCCTCTCCCCTGATTCCTCTCTCCTGTCATCTCACAGGCGAATCAACATTTACATCCTTCCACAGAAAGTTTCTGCCAAGTGTAATTGAATCTTGTCCCTTGGGACCCTGGCAGGATGATGGAAATTATTACTACCCTCTCTTCTCTCCTGGGAGTCTTTTTCACCATTGGACAATTCAGCTCTTCCACAATTTATTATTGTATTGAATTAAAAGTGAACACTGAAACATACCCAGTGATTTAAATCTTTTGCAACACATAGAATGAGTCTAAATAATCCTCCTGGAATTCCTTGTTTTTCAAATCATAACTTTACCTGCCTATGTTCTGAAATAATAAAAGAATCACCTGAGAAGAAGGCGTGGCATTGGATGGCTTCTCTTAGTCATGTTTGACATAGGATGAGGATATCTGAAATTAAAATGATCGGGATATTTCTTTAAAATGCTACATTTATTTCAGTGACAGTATATTGACTGCCATTGCTTTCATTAGGGATAACCAGTGCTGTCAACTTACGGTGGGTTTGAATATTTTCCCCTGTTATTCTCTACCCACACTACCTGTGATGGTAAATTTTATTAGCCAAAAGCGCTTTTCTGATCATGGAATTCGAATGTTTCTATTTATGACTCCTGTTCTGGCTGAAAATGCATATGTTTTACTTTAGAAGGTAATAGACTCTTGTCTTGTGATTGTATATGGTCAATTAAATAGCCCCTACATGTCTTTTTTAATGTAATGAGAAATACATCTATTATGATTCTTTTATATCAATGTAAGCAACAACAATAGCAAAATCACATGAGATTTGTACTCCCTAGGCCTTCCAGCAGGAAATTTCACTGAACCACAATAAGATTGAGCAGATAATTGCCCAAGGAGAACAGCTGATAGAAAAGAGTGAGCCCTTGGATGCAGCGATCATCGAGGAGGAACTAGATGAGCTCCGACGGTACTGCCAGGAGGTCTTCGGGCGTGTGGAAAGATACCATAAGAAACTGATCCGCCTGCCTGTATGTAACATTGATTTTCTTAGTTGTCATTAAATCTAAAGAGA
This sequence comes from Homo sapiens, assembly GCF_000001405.40. Classification (NCBI taxonomy): domain Eukaryota; kingdom Metazoa; phylum Chordata; class Mammalia; order Primates; family Hominidae; genus Homo; species Homo sapiens. The sequence continues at coordinate 152,149,432 of NC_000006.12, read as the reverse complement.
ATAAGTCGTGTGGGATTGGGTTGTATTGATAGTGGGTGAGAGCTCAGACTCTGGAGCTGGAGCACCTGAGTTCAAGTCCTAGCTTTGTCCTACATTGTCGCTGTCACCTTCGGCAAGCTACTCACTTCACCCTTCTTGCCTCAGCTTCCTCAAAAGTGAAAGTGGTTTAGTAGCAGTAACTACCCTGTACAAAGGATTGTTTTGAGCATTAGATGAGTTAATGTATACAAAGAGTTTAGAAGAACATTTGGCTCATATCTTCTATGGAAGATAAATAAGAATCTTTTGATCGCAGAAACATGGGGCAGCACTGCTCTAGAGAAGCCTCTAGAAGAAATAAGAGAAGCCTCTAGAAGAAATACAATAAAAGGAAGCAAAGTGAACAGCTTCTTAATTGATGAGGTTAGGTTTAGGTGAATTTTCATTCTTCCATTTTCCTAATTGCTACCATAATCACATCTTACTTATAGAGATGTTATTAGAGTATTTGGAATCTTCTACGATCAAACCTATTTTATATCTGGGCTATAAGGACAAGCTAAGGTCTTAGTAATTTGCTCTTATTTCCGATCCTTGCCAGTGTGTAGGTGTTGTGTGGTGGGCATGGTAGTAGATTGCCTTTCTTTATAATATTTATTTAATCTTATATTAATTATTTGAAGTATGTTTTAATGTTATTCCCATTTTACCAACAATGAAACTGAGGCTTATGTAGGATAATTTATAAGACTTTTTAATTTTTTCCCACTCAAAAAAAAAAAACCCTGTGGGATGCCTGGGACTGTTATTCCCATTTTATAGATGAGAAAACTGAGGCCCAGAGGAATTAAGTTCCTTATCCAAGCTTAAACAGGAAGCACACAGCGTAACTGAGATTTCAACCCAGACAGTCAAACTCTAGAGCAGCACTGTCCCCTGTATTTCTGTGATCAGAAGATTCTTATTTATTTGCTCATAAGAAGTTAAAAATTGTCCCCACATGGTAGGCAGGTGGCCCAGATAAGAAGCTAGTCTGACCACTACAGTGACAGGGTTGCCTTGACTTCCCTTCTAGCTCCCAGACGATGAGCACGACCTCTCAGACAGGGAGCTGGAGCTGGAAGACTCTGCAGCTCTGTCGGACCTGCACTGGCACGACCGCTCTGCAGACAGCCTGCTTTCTCCACAGCCTTCCTCCAATCTCTCCCTCTCGCTCGCTCAGCCCCTCCGGAGCGAGCGGTCAGGACGAGACACCCCGGCTAGTGTGGACTCCATCCCCCTGGAGTGGGATCACGACTATGACCTCAGTCGGGACCTGGAGTCTGCAATGTCCAGAGCTCTGCCCTCTGAGGATGAAGAAGGTCAGGATGACAAAGATTTCTACCTCCGGGGAGCTGTTGGCTTATCAGGTAGGAAAGAGCCTCTCCAGTTTGCCAGCTTAAAGGAAAGTCAGAGGGAATTAATATTGCCCTGGAAACATGACAGCTATCCAGAATCATTTGCTTCCTTCTTTCATGCGGGGAAATTGTACCTAAGTGAACACTTAGATATGAATGTGATTATAAAATGCAAAATTTGGTGTGGCCGTTGATTTATTCCACGTAGATTTGTGGTAGTAGGTGACAAGCGCTTTGCCAGGTTCTAGGGATACACAGTTCCTCTTCTTCTCCCAGAGCTTCCACTCTAGTGTGGGACACAGTGAGAAACCACTGTATGAAGTGTTTGGGGCTCAGATGGCAGTGTGGTGGCAGGACACACAAGCAGGGGCGACAAAGCCGGAGTCCTGGGAGAGACTTCGGGAAAGAAACCATGGAGCAGAGTCCAGAGGGTGAATCGCAGTTGGTCAGGTGGGCTCGGAAGTGCTTAGAGGAAGAAAGGAGGGGAAGCCTCCCTGCTTTGTGATTGGCCTGGTGCTTTTGATCATTGGCAGTTTGTCTGGAATGACAGGCATGGAATGGACAAAGTGGAGAAGAGCCTGGCTGTGAAGCAGCCTGTTCACCATGGAAAAGAGCTGTGGCTCCTATCCTGAAGGTCGTGGAGCCACAGCAGGATCTGCGGAGGGAGGTGCTGGGATCCTCCCTCCTCAGGGATGTGCAGATTTTCATATTGTATCTTTCTGGATACCACAGGGAGAAGGGCATATTCAGCGGAGAGAGTCCAAATGAAACCTTTTACAACCTCAGACAGAAGTAGGGTGGTGGCCTGAACTAGGGGAAGCAGAATTGGGAATGGGGAGAATGGGAATGATGTGAGAAATCACACAGAGAAGACTCCTCCAGAACTCTCAGTCCATTGAACTGGGATGGAGGCGATTTTCTGGGCTGGGCATCTTGGTGAAAGATGCAGGTGGTCCTAGGCCCTGAGGACCACAAGAGGGAAGGAGCACTGTGGGTGCAGGTGGGCAAGGGAGGTGGGGCTGTGAGAGCAGGGAGGGGATGAGTTTGCTTGTGTGCATCCTGATCTTGAGATACCTGCAGAATATCCAAATGCAAAAGTCCAGTCGTAGATGCACGGTGTGAAGTGCAGAAGCCAGAAATGCAGATTGGGTAGGTATTCACATGTAAATGGCAATGGTCCTGGAGTGAACGGAGGAGCTCCCACAGGAAGAGTGTGTGAAGGAAAACAAGAAGGACCACCACCCAAGCCACACATGCAGTGAAGGGATGGACAGAGAAACAGAAACTCTGTAAGGAAGGTGAATAAAAATAGAATAAAGAGTTGGAGGCTGATTTGTGGCACTTGGAAATGTATCTCATACATTCTGTCAAAGGACATCTGGGGAATTTCTGTTTGGTTCTGGTGGTTCACATCAGATTCCCAAGGGATGACACTGTTCTAAAAAGAAAATGATTTCTCTCATTTCTATTTTGTCTTTACAGTAAGGCCTATTAGTCAGGCATATGGCATCTGAAGCAGAGCTGTCCAAAACCAGCCACTGGCCAGTTGGGACTGTTGAGCTCTGAGATGGGACTGTGCAAATTGAGATGGGTTGTGCGTGGAAAACATGCTTACATGAATTTCAAAGACTTAGTACAAGAAAGAAAATAAAATATTAATAATTATATTGATTACATGTTATAATCCCTGTCTAATGTAGTGTTAAAATTAATTTTATAAGTTTCTTTTTACATTTCTAATGTGGCTATGAAACCTTTAAGATTACATATATAGTTCACATAGAAATATATGGGACAGCGCTGCTCTGGAGTCTGGGCTGAAATCTCAGTTCTGCCATGTACTTTCTGTTTAAACTTAGATAAGGAACCTAATTCCTCTGTGCCTCAGTTTTCTCATCTATAAAATGGGAATAACATTCCCAGGTACCCTATAGGGTTTCTATGTGATAAATTTGTGCTCAGACCAGAGCCTGGCTCATAAAAACACTCTCAGTCACTGTGAGTTCTTTTTTTTTTTTTTTTTTTTTTTTTTGAGACGAAGTCTAGTTCTGTTGCCCAGGCTGGAGTGCAGTGGCACAATCTCGGCTCACTGCAACCTCCACCTCCCGGGTTCAAGCGATCCTCCTGCCTCAGACTCCCATGTAGCTGGGATTACAGGTACCTGTCACCACACCTGGCTAATTTTTGTATTTTTAGTAGAGATGGGGTTCCACCATGTCGGCCAGGCTGGTCTCGAATTCCTGACCTCAGGTGATCCACCCGCCTTGGCCTCCCAAAGTGCTGGGATTACAGGCGTGAGCCACCATGCCCCACCCACTGTGAATTCTTATGATTCATTTCAGGAAAGCTTTGGTGAGCCTGCACGCTCCTCTGTGCGCTCAGGAGCTATGTGTCTAGAATAACTGACTTCCTTTTTTTCCCCTAGGAAAGTTATTTTCCTGCACAAGGGATTCAGGGTTTCCAGAACTTAGCTGTCAACTTAGACTGTGCTTTTTTTGCAGATGTAATGATCCCCGAAAGCCCTGAGGCCTATGTAAAACTCACAGAAAATGCAATCAAAAATACCTCCGGTAGGCACAACAAGCCGGAGCCAGCCTCCCTCCCTCCCCTGTATAGCAATCCTCCTCTCTTAGCACATCTGCTGTCTCTCTCCCAGCTTTGTGGCTCTAGCATGTTAAGGCACAGCCTTCCTCTCTTACTGCTGTACTAGAAAAAACAGCTGGTTAAATCCACACCAAGAATAAGATTTCACTAATTGAGCGAAATAAAGTAACTTCTCAACTTGTTAAATGGTGATTGGTCTCATTAGGTATAGACCTCTCATGTCCATTAACTGCAGAAAATATGAGAAGGAAAACCCAGTCATCAGCCTCTGCGCCCTAGTGTTCTACGTGGTGTGGTAATTTCAGCTTCACTGCATGCAGACCTACCTGTGGCTGGAGACTCAGGGTGCAGGCTCTGGTCCCAAGTCCGCCAGCCTGCATGAGTGACCTTTGGCCCATCCACCACTTTATCCTCCTCATCTCAAGAATCCCGTATGAGACAAGGGGTGAGATCAGATTTCAGCTCTAAAAAATATATGTAATTTTAATTTAAGAGGTCGTAAAAGATAATTTGAAATGAAAAATGTATTTCACGGTATGCTGAGCCATAGATAAGAACAGAACTATTCCTGAAACAAGAAGAATTAAAGAAAGAAAAATGGAACTAGTTTTGCTTAGTGTTGTGTTAGACAAACTGTAGTGCAGGAGTTCAGGATCAGTGATGTGGGATGTCGGCGGGGAATAGAGTTTGAACGCAGTGATATGATATTGAATCACGGAGTTACTAGTTTACGCTTCAGTTTTTGAAGAAAATCAAAAGGACAGAAAGCAAAGTAACATTACTGAGAGGGTGATTCCCAGGGAGGGACCTCTCCTAGGTGTATCTAGAAGGCCTTTTTTAGAAACAAATAAAAACATTTAATAAAGCTTACTAATATTTGTTCTGCTTTCACCCCATGCTAGCTTCACTGATGATCAAATGTTCCTGTGTAGTTCGAAGACTTTGACACACACACACACACACACACACACTCTCAGTAATTTTACAAAGAAATGTTACAACTTTGAGAGGAGAATGAGCCAGAATTCTAGGCTATGAGTAAGAACCTGCCTAGATGGAAATGTTAAAATCTTAGCTTTCTCCTGGTTTTGTTTCAGATCTTAGATAAAAAGCAAGTCGTTGCTAGTTTGATATCTCTGTATATATCTATTCTGAGGCACTCTTTTCTTGATTAATGAATTTATGCCTTCAGTAAATGATGCAGCAACCTGAGCCTTCCGTGACACTATCTTCCCCTGAGGTGCATGAAGAAAAATCAGAGGGAGGATCTTCCCCTGCTCACTAAGCGATAGCAGAAAGAACATGAGAAAAAGAACAGCTTTCTCCTTACTGAGATGCAGTAGACACCATTGCAGATTTTTAGAAAGGCCTTCCACACTGACAACATTCAGATGATCAGGGGTTCAGCTGGAAGAGGGTCAGGTGCACGAAGCTGTTCAAAACGGACTGGAGAGCCGTTTTGCGACGTCCGATCTGCTAGGGCTCTCAGTCAAGCACCTTCATTGGTTTGGCCATTTTAATGTCTAACCCACCGGCACGATGGTACTAAATTTGCTTTGTAATTACCCACACCTGCCATTTCTATGCTGCTGTAACTGAAATCATTTCTGAAACTTCTCCTTGAATATCAAGCTTTAAATAAGTCAAATAGTTTGTCCAGTAAAGATTCTTATGGTTGCCACCGCAGGGGACCACAGTGCCCTAGAGTCACAGATCCGACAACTGGGCAAAGCCCTGGATGATAGCCGTTTTCAGATACAGCAAACCGAAAATATCATTCGCAGCAAAACTCCCACGGGGCCGGAGCTAGACACCAGCTACAAAGGCTACGTAAGTATCCTGGCCATCCTGATTCCGACCTGTGCGAAACCACAGTTCTGTGTCAAAGAACAGTTCGTCTGCAGCATCAGGGCTTTATGTGGTCTCTGAATACCATGCTGCCCTTGAACTCGTGAACCTGGATGTGCAAAGCCAAGCCCTGTTATTAAGTTACCATTTGAGTAGAACTTGTCTGTTTTTAGGCCCACAAAACTGTTGTAATGACAAACCTGTTCCTTTACACTGAGCACTTAGGGAGATCCTTTTCATTGAGAGCAACAAAATACTTTGGCTCCCAAAAGTCATTAGGCATTTTTCCAAATTCAACTAATAATTTTTGGACCAAGGTTATCCTTGGAGCAGCAGATTTTAGCTAATAGATTACTAACATGCAGTTTTTTTGGTAGTTCTTTTCCTGGGTTCACCGAATGACCTTGGGAATGTTTTTCTCTTCTGTTTTTTAGTGTGCTCATTCTGAAGAAAACAGTTCTAGCAAGAGGGATTTGGGGAAAAGATAGCAAGGCATTGGATATACTACCAGTTCTATCTATGCGGCTATTGGCTATGTATGATAAAGTCTAGCAGAGGGTTATTTGCCCTACTCGAGTTACTGACCAGTTAATTTTCCCTAGAGAACTACCTGCTTTCCTACGCGTACTTAAGGAAGAGAATTTTAAAGCCAGTCTCTTCTCTGCCTCACGTCTTCTTTCATATCCAAAAGACTGGTTAGTACAAGGAAAGAAAAATGAATTTCCCCAAGTCTGGTCACAACTCACATGTTCTACTCTTTGAAATTAGGAAAGAAAACTGTTCTAGCTATATATGTTGATTTTATTATCCTTATAATTACAGAAGAGCGGTCAATTATGAGTTTGTTTCCTGTTCAGTTTGGCCTATTATACCAACTTCTATTATAGTGAAACCACTTTTTAAAAATACCTATGATATAGTTTTATGGTAATCATACTGACATCACTGGGATTACACTTAACCTCAATCAAAAGTAATCAGAATAACAGTCCTACTGGCATTGTGATTTGTTAAAGGATTTATGGTAAGCACAGCAGGAGTATCTTGAAATGATTTGTTCTTTTAATCTTTGAATACTGTATGTGATATTAAAAATGAATTTGGAAGCTTTTCTTTGACTTTAGAATTTAGTCCCTTGATGCCTATTAAACATTGCTTACATTTTTTTTATAAAACAGCTGGCTTTAATATTGCTCTATAATTTTAAGTATTTTAATTATTTAATGCAAGAAAGTTCCCATGAGATTTGTCGTAACATTAACGTTCCCACATTTCAATTTAAGAAAGAGAAAGAGGGAGCAGCTTGCCAAAAATTATATACTGCATTGCCAGCTGAGGGCTCCGAGTTTTAAATTGCAGATTGGTTTAATCTGTTTTGAGTCATGAATCGTAAAGAAACTTGAAGGACTTCTCGTGCAAAATCATGTATGCAAAGTATATCTTTAAGGCATTGTTTTTTGTATATGTGAATGTATCACCTGTTTAAAAGGCATGTTTTTGAACTTTGCTTATTTAATTTTTTTTTTTTAAGAGACAGGGTCTCACACTCTGTCACCCAGGCTTGAGTGCGGTGTCATGGTCTTAGCTCGCTGCATGCAGCTGAATTCCTGGGCTCAAGCAACCTTCTCACCTTAGTGCCCTGAACAGCTGAGACTACAGGTGCTCACCACCACGCCTGGCTCATTTTTAAAATATTTTATAGAGACAGGGTCTTGCTATGTTGCCCAGGCTGGTCTCAAACTCCTAGGCTCAACTGATCCTCCCACCTCGGCCCCCAAAGTGCTGGGATTAGAGGCAGGAGCCACCGTGCCCAGCCTACCTCTGCTTATTTTTTCTTTTTTCTTTTTTTTGAGACTGGGTCTCACTCTGTCGCATAGGCTGGAGTGCAGTAACACAATTATGGTTCACTGTAGCCTCCACCCTCTGAGCTCAGGTGATCCACCTCAGCCTCCCAGGTAGCTGAGACTACAGATGCATGCCACCATGCCCAGCTAAATTTCTTGTATATTTTGTAGAGACAGAGTTTTGCCATGTTCCCCAGCCTGGTCTCAAACTCCTGAGTTCAAACAATCCATCTTCCTCGGCCTCCCAAAGTGCTGGGATCACAGGCCTGAGACACCACACTCGGCCATCTTGGCTTATTTTTAGCAGGGTGGCACAGAGGAGCCAAACACAGACACTTCTCTTGCTGAGAAATTACAAAGAGATTTTCCCCGGAAGCTTTTGCACTCATGAAGATTTGGGTGACAGGGGCCGGTTGTTTATGTCTAAACAGATGAAACTGCTGGGCGAATGCAGTAGCAGTATAGACTCCGTGAAGAGACTGGAGCACAAACTGAAGGAGGAAGAGGAGAGCCTTCCTGGCTTTGTTAACCTGCATAGTACCGAAACCCAAACGGCTGGTGAGTGCGTAGCATCCAGTTCAAGAGTGAATGAAATAGAAGATCCTGAAGCACTTTGTTAACAGCGAAATTCCACTTAGGGGGCTTGGCCTTCTTCTACACCGTTCTATCCTGAGAACTTCCTTCCAAGTTATAACAGTCTCCTTTTTTGTTGTTTGTTTGTTTTTTGAGGCGGAGTGGCGCTCTGTCGCCCAGGCTGGAGTGCAGTGGCGCTATCTCGGCTCACTGCAAGTTCCGCCTCCCAGGTTCATGGCATTCTCCCGCCTCAGCCTCCCGAGTAGCTGGGACTACAGGCGCCCGCCACCACGCCCAGCTAAATTTTTTTGTATTTTTAGTAGAGGTGGGGTTTCACCGTGTTAGCCAGGATGGTCTCCATCTCCTGACCTCGTGATCCACCCGCCTCGGCCTCCCAAAGTGCTGGGATTACAGGCGTGAGCCACCACACCTGGCCAACAGTCTCCTTTGACAGTGAGGGGATGATGCATGCCATCATGGTAGTGTTTGCCCATGTTTCATTTATTATTATTATTTTTAATATTGAGATGAAGTCTCGCTGTGTTGCCCAAACTAGACTCCAACTCCTGGGCTCAAGTAATCCTCCCGCCTCCCCTCGAGTAGCTGGGATTACAGGCGCGCACTACCACCCCAGCTCTCATGTTCCAATTATTTTAATGCACTGTTTCTCACATATCTAATCAGGCATTTTATATGTGTGTGCTCAGAGCCCTATTGTAGACAGGATCCAAGAATTGAACGATCGTTCGTGCTCATGACTGCTTATTACTTCGTAAAGCTCTTTACAGTGTGAATGCCCATGTAACTAACTTTTTTGCTTCATTATTATTAGAAATACAAATAGAAAAAACACAGCCATTGTACCCATGTAACTGTTATTTCCAGATGACAACAACGAAAATGCCCAGTGGAATTACTTTTCTTTCTGTTGCTATTTAAAATTGGCTGCCAACCTATGTTTAAAGCATTTCATAAACATCACATGTAGAGGAAAATAACCTCACTGTTCTATGCATGTCTTGCCAGGTGTGATTGACCGATGGGAGCTTCTCCAGGCCCAGGCATTGAGCAAGGAGTTGAGGATGAAGCAGAACCTCCAGAAGTGGCAGCAGTTTAACTCAGACTTGAACAGCATCTGGGCCTGGCTGGGGGACACGGAGGAGGAGTTGGAACAGCTCCAGCGTCTGGAACTCAGCACTGACATCCAGACCATCGAGCTCCAGATCAAAAAGCTCAAGGTAGCTGCCCCTTGCCTTTCCCACGGCGGACAAACAGAGAGCCACCGCGTGAACGACCGTGCAGATGGCACCTCTAGTTCGAGCTGCTCTTACACAGCAGCAGAAAAGGGATCTAACAAAAATGAGTGAGAATGCTCTCCTCACCTCCAGCCATCCCAAATTCCTGTATTCCACAAAGATGGTTTTCTTTTTTTTCTTTTCTTTCTTTCTTTCTTTCTTTCTTTCTTTCTTTTTCTTTCTTTTCTTTTTCTCTTTCTTTTTCTTTCTTTCTCTCTCATTCCTTCCTTCCTTCTTTTTTTTCTTTCTTTCTCCTTCTTTCCTTCCTTCCTTCCTCTCTCCCCCCTCCCTCCCTTCCTTCCTTCCTTTCTTTTTTTTTTTTTTGATGGAGTCTCACTCCGTTGCCCAGGCTGGAGTGCAGTGGCATGATCTCAGCTCAGTGCAACCTCTGCCTCCCAGGTTTAAGCCATCCTCCTGCCTCAGCCCCACTAGTAGCTGGGATTACAGGCACGCACCACCATGCCTGGCTAGTTTTTGTATTTTTAGTAGAGATGGGGTTTTGCCGTGTTGCCCAGGCTGGTCTCGAACTCCTAACCCCAGGTGATCCACCCACCTCAGCCTCCCAAAGTGTTGGGATTACAGGCATGAGCCACCGTGCCCGGCCACAAAGATGGTTTTCAAGGGCAGAAAAGGGGACCATATTGTAGAACTATACACCATGTAAATAAGCACACACGATTTAATGAATTGATATTTTAAGAAATGTCCAATTAAAATTTCATGAAGCATCCAGGTACTTCTGGGACCTACAAGAACTCTTTGTAAGGGAAATACAGAATGACCTGGCTCCTACAGGCCTATATCTAGAGCTGGAGAGAAATCCTCTCCAAAATTGTATCTGCATGAATTTGTGGGGGACATAATGAAGTTATTTGACCTCAAGTAAGTGAAACTTCTGAAATTGATTACAGTAGTGGTAGAAGCAATTTTTGCTGTAATAAATAAAACTATAGAGTAATTGTGGTGAAACACCTGGCATTTGCGTTTGATTTTGGCTTGGCCCGCATGGATATAGTACACCTTAACTCCAGCTCTAGATCTTAAAATCCTCCTTAACCCAGACACTAAAATGCTTTAATATATGGAGACTATTGTGAGCATCTCATGAACTGAGAGCTCAGTTTCTTTTTAAAACCCATCAGTGCTTGTTTTTTCCTGTTTGGACAGTATTAAGATGTGCTCCTCCTCAAAATGTGGCCACCTAGGCTCTCCGGGGTCAGGATAAGGAATGAAGTGTGTGCTGCTTTTGTGTTTCTGTGGTTTTAGTATATGCTTTTTATTTGGGGTTGATGTTTTTTGGCTTGCTTTTAGTGATTGTGTGATTTTGTTTTATTTTATTTATTTATTTATTTATTTATTTATTTATTTATTTATTTATTTTTGAGACAGAGTCTCACTCTATCACCCAGGCTAGAGTGCAGTGGTGCGATCTTGGCTCACTGTAACCTCCGTCTCCTGTGTTCAAGCGTTTCTCCTGCCTCGGCCTCCTGAGTAGCTGGGACTACAGGCATGCACCACCATGCCCGGCTATTTATTGTATTTTTAGTAGAGACAGGGTTTTGCCATGTTGGCCAGGCTGGTCTCGAATTCCTGACCTCAAGTGATCCGCCCGCCTCGGCCTCCCAAATTGCTGGGATTACAAGCATGAGCCATTGCGCCTGGTCTGTTTTAAATTTTCAAACAGAAAACTTCAAACAAGAGAAATGAATCTCCCCTCCAGGTGATCCAAAAGGTGCATCCCTATAGAAAGGCCTCTACACTACCCCATGAATTTCAGGACAAAGTACCACGTGAGAGAGATTTACAATGGCTGCATTATGAAATGCATTTTTATCTAGAGTCCCTAAATTACTCTAGTAAGGCCATGTTGCATTATAACCAGATTCCTTAAAAAGTTGATGAAGCAAATGCTGGCCAGGGTCTGAGACCTCAGAGAGATTAGGGTAGGGAAATAAGACCTTGAAAGTCATCCGGCATGACAAGAAAAAAGACATCCTCCTTTGTACTTTCTCCTGATGCTTCCTGTCTGTATTTTCTCTGAATAAATCTGTGGAATAATCAAGTATTTTCCACAGTGTCTCTTAAACCCATGTTGTCTGTGTGGTTGAATCTATTCTACAGTATGTTAAGAACCTATTGAAAAGTGCAAAATCAAGACAGATTGGGAACATTGCAGGGCTAGTGAGAAATGATTTCAAAATGCAGCCTAGGTCAATGTGACTTCCAGGATCTCTCACCCTAACTGGATTGGGGGATTTTAAACAGTACCTAGATACTCAATTACTAATACAGACTCCTGTGCTCAAGTTCTTGGAATTGAGCACTGGGTGTTTTGGAAATGCACAAAGCCAAAAATCAGTCACCTGGTTTTTGTGAAATCAAACCTAACTGGTTAGCTCATGAAATACCCAATTCATTCTCTCTACCTTCACATCAGTGTGGCACAGGCAGTATTCTCAGCCTGTGGGCCACTGAGCCTGCAGACTCAGTACATCTGGATCCCAGGGCCCTGGCATCTGTTTTCTTTGCTTCATTTTTAGGCCCACAAATTTGAATTTTGTTGTGGTTGAACCTCTGTACAGAGTGTGGACTCAATCATACTCCTTAATGAGGTCATTGCCTAGCGTTATTGTTGCCTCCTACAAGACTCCTCTTTATTCCTCCCCCCTGCACCCCCTACCCTGGCTGAACTCTAAGTTCCCATTTGATTTTCAAAATGGTAGCTATTCTGAAATATGTGGCAGACCTTCTTTGTTCAGATATATTCTTTAAAAATGTGGATTTGTGTGTGTGAATGTATTGAGGCTGTTGTGTTCCATGTAACATTCTGTTTCTGACGTTTTCACTCTACACCCTGTTTTCTTAAGATTCATCCATGTTGTTAAGTACTCATCTAATTCATTTCTTCCAACTGCCATACAGTTCTCAGTGGTACGCACCCTCTGTCTTTTACCTAGCCATCCTGTTAAGGCCAGTTTAAATTAATGGATCTTTTCATTCATGTGAAACATTTTCAAGGGAAAATATCTTTGTCATTATTGTCCTTGTTTGATTGTCTTTTTTGTTCTTTTCAGGAGCTCCAGAAAGCTGTGGACCACCGCAAAGCCATCATCCTCTCCATCAATCTCTGCAGCCCTGAGTTCACCCAGGCTGACAGCAAGGAGAGCCGGGACCTGCAGGATCGCTTGTCGCAGATGAATGGGCGCTGGGACCGAGTGTGCTCTCTGCTGGAGGAGTGGCGGGGCCTGCTGCAGGATGCCCTGATGCAGTGCCAGGTCTGTAGAGCTTTGGGCAGGAGGTGACTCAGAGAGAGACATTAGCAATTTAGCTGAGTGTGTGACTTGATGTATCATGGTTTCTAGAGGGACGCAGTTGCTCCCCAAAGTCAGTATTTCAGTGAGATAACCTTGTGCCCAAACTTTTCATTTTACTGGAGCATTTCTACATGTTCATGATCATGTTCAAAATCTCTAGGTCCTATCTTCTGTCCAGATAAGAAGAGACTATTCCTCATGTTTATCTCCGTCGCAACGCTCCTTCTATGACTCATTCATTTATTTCCTTTATTTATTCAACAGATATTTACTGGGCAAGTAGGCAGACCCTTCTTGAACATCAAAGTGAGCATTGCAAATATTTGTTTTTCCATTCATACTGTAATTACTTGCTGGGCGTCCACCATATGGCAGACGTGGTGCTAAAACATTGAATACAGCATGGCCTCTGCTTTTGTTGGGGAAGACAAGATCAATAAAATGCAAGCAAATAGTTAAACCAGATACTTGCAGACGTGGATGATAAAAGTAACTGAGAAAAGCCACTTTGAGAGGGTAGTCAGGGAATTTATTTGGCTCTTTGAGCTAACATTGGAAGGATGTTGCTATGAAGGTAATATAATAAATGGAAAGTCCCAGAAGCAGGAAAGGACTTAGTGTCTTTAGGAACAGAAAACAGGCCATTGTGACCAGAGTGTAGTCGGTGAGCTGAGCCAGGGAGTGAGAAGAAAGACTGAGGAGGTGGTCAGGAACCAGATGGCTTTGTAGGTCCAGGCCAGGAGATTGGATCATATTCTGAGCGCCATGGAAAGCCCTGGAAGGAGTTGAAGCCTGCTCTCCAGGTTTATATGTGCCCCAAGAGTAATATAATAGTTCCTTGAAAGCGGGTACCTAAACTGCTGTTTCACCTCTGCACCCACTCCTAGTACAGTGCCTTATCTGTAGGAGATCTTTAGTAACTGTATGTTGAATAAATAAATGGATGAATGAATGAGTGAATAAATGAATGAATGAAGGGGATATGAGATTCAGCCTAGGTGGGCCTTAAAATATGGAAAGATTTGACTACACAGAGAAGAGAGGGCAGCAGAGTTGCTTCCTTCCAAACTGTATAATAGCACTACCCTTTTTTCAGAAATAACGTATGTTGATGCCAGTTTTCCTTTCGTCTAAATTGTCCTCCAAGTAATAAATTAGATGCTTTTGGTAAGAACGTGAACTCACGATCAGGTCATTACAACAGCACCAGTGCCTTCCTCAGAAAGGAGTTGCATGTATGTTCTTAAAACCAAGTATGTTTGCTAATGGTGGCAGTTGAAAGACATTTAAGTTTTGAGAGAAATAAAAATATTTTATTTACAGTTACTTTAAACTGTTTTCTGTAGGGTTTCCATGAAATGAGCCATGGTTTGCTTCTTATGCTGGAGAACATTGACAGAAGGAAAAATGAAATTGTCCCTATTGATTCTAACCTTGATGCAGAGATACTTCAGGACCATCACAAACAGCTTATGGTAAGATGTGTGAACTCTGGCAGCCTCCAGTTATTTTTAGCAGGGTTGCATTTCATTTACAGAAAATGAATATAAGTGGTAAGTGTTGTTTCTTTTTTTTTAACTTTTTGCATTATAGTCTCTACTTTACACTTTTTTAACTCCCTGTGGTTTCCAATCTTTGTAAAGCAAACATGTGCATAGAAGATGATATCTGCTAGCTTTAGAATCTGATTCTAAAGTTGTTGCTCAGTTGTAAAAATCTTAGTGTTCTCAAGCAATCTTAATTAGCTTGTGTTGTTTATTAAGGCAGCTTAATTTAAACTTCATGTTACATCTATGGCCCAAAAGTATATTTGGTGGCTTGTAGTAAAAGGTCATTAAAATATTAGAATAGAATGAGACAATTAAGTCTTTTGTTTGTTTTTGTTGTCGTTGTTTTTTGAGACAGAGTCTCACTCTGTTGCCCAGGGTGGAGTGCAGTGGTGCGATCTCGGCTCACTGCAATCTCCGCCTCCGGGATTCGAGCAATTCTCCTGCCAATTCTCCTGCCTCACCCTCCCGAGTAGGTGGGACTACAGGTGTAAGCCACCACGCCTCACTAATGTTTGTATTTTTAGTAGAGACAGGGTTTCACCATGTTGGCCAGGCTGGTCTCGAACTCCTGGCCGCAGGTGATCCACCTGCCTCAGCCTCCCAAAGTGCTGGGATTACAGGCATGAGCCACCACACCCAGCCGAGTCTTTCAAAGAGGAATTAAATACATCAGATTAAACATGAACCTGAGCATCAAGTTTTCTGAAAGCCAAGACAAAATGGGAAACAAGGAGTAAACTTACTTTCATTATCTGGCAAAAACAAAACATACCACTTCTCAAGGAAGGAGAAACTTTTTCTAGCACTAAATTCAAGAGGAAATTAACTGGTAGACTCTTATACAAGGATCTTTGGACAATATAATGTACAGTATATTTA
Source organism: Homo sapiens (assembly GCF_000001405.40). NCBI lineage: Eukaryota > Metazoa > Chordata > Mammalia > Primates > Hominidae > Homo > Homo sapiens. The sequence continues at coordinate 152,134,149 of NC_000006.12, read as the reverse complement.
AGTGACTTTATAGAAGATAAGGAAGCATATTTGAGTTCCATTAGAAGAAAATATTATGCACTTTGTAGCTCTCTGTATTTTTAAAATGTTATGTCTTAACATTTAACACTCACCTAAACTACAGAATTGGTACCTTTTAATTCAGTACCATAATAGTCTTAGAAACCTAGAGGAAATAGCTGTGGAACTGCATTTTTACTTCACTTTGACCTCTGGCATCAAGCTGTGAATGACGAATCACCCCTTTTTTTTTTCAAATCTTGACTAGATATCAGAGGATACCTAGACATACTTCTGCTTCGCTATATTTAATGTTGTGCTTTTCTGTTTAAAAGATTATCTTACATCTCACTTGCATACTAATCTATATTTTAATTACTGTCATATATACATTAACTAATTTGAACCTTCCAATAATACTGTGGACCAGGCATCAAATCAAACTGAGATCAGAGACGGTCAGGGGTCTTATAGAATATTTTTGGCAGAGGCAGGATTAGAACTCAGGCCGTGAGCTGCTGCATCCTTTAGTGTGTGAGCTCCACGTTTGATGCTCAGGTATAATTTCCCACCAAGTTAAGTTGATTGCATTCTGCACTTTTGGAGCTTTTGCCAATTATCAAAAATGCTTAGAAAAATTAATTTGTTTTTGTATGCATAGCAAATAAAGCATGAGCTGTTGGAATCCCAACTCAGAGTAGCCTCTTTGCAAGACATGTCTTGCCAACTACTGGTGAATGCTGAAGGAACAGACTGTTTAGAAGCCAAAGAAAAAGTCCATGTTATTGGAAATCGGCTCAAACTTCTCTTGAAGGAGGTCAGTCGTCATATCAAGGAACTGGAGAAGTTATTAGACGTGTCAAGTAGTCAGCAGGTAAGCAATAAACAGACATCATCGTGTAGCATTTCTTACTGGAGACCAAAGAAGCATCATCTTCATGCATTTTAGAAAGACTTTAAATATAGTACTTGTCAGAATGGAGTGTCTCCTTTCAGCCACTGCTCTTACAAGTCCTGTCTCAAAATAAAAAAGCAGCCACATAAACTTTTACAACAGGACACTGCTTTTGATTCTGTTAAATCCAAAAGCTCTCTTGTTGTTGCTACTAATGCTATTACCACAACTGCTGTGGCATTTTATTTCACCCTGTTTAAGAATTTACACACTTTAATTACACAGCCATGGTAGAGCAAACCAATTGTTGTATCTGAGTTTTGTATTTAACCACTCTCAGGCATGAATTCTCCATTATGTATACAGAAAAAAAAAAAAAAATTAAAAAACAGTCCTCTGCTCATTTAATTTTTTATATTTTTTTTTCTACAATCAACTCCATTGTGGTATTATTGGTTTTGAGAAATGCATTTGCAGGTGAGATGTGGTGATGCCTGGTAAGATTTCAACCATTCTGCTGTGAAATCCTGCCATGAACACATGCTTTGCCCTGCTGTAAGCATGCAAAAGAACAATCTACTCTGAATAGCAGCAGTGTCTGAAATAGTAAAGTCCTCTAATGCAAAAAGGCAGACTCCTAGATGACTATCTTTTGTTTCCAACTGGAATGTATTGACTTCTGTTCAGCCTGAGTGACCAGCAGGCTCTACAGCAGGTGTCTTCCCCTCCCAAGCCAATATCAATTCATTCATATCCATGTCTCCAAGAAATAATAAAGCTATAAGTGAAACATAGCAATAACAAAATCATAGCTATATTTTCCAGAACGGCCAAACGGACAGCTAGGAAATCCCAACACACTAGAAGAATTTGGCCCTATTCTTGTACCTGTCTGGTTCCATTTTCCCCAAGGAATGGTTTGATTTTTATGGTGGAGACATGGGGGTGGATGGAGATGGAGTGGGAGATAACGTGGTGCAACAGAGGGCCCCCATGGGTCTGGGACATGGAGTTGTTAAAAGAATCTTTCTCCCACATAGGATTTGTCTTCCTGGTCTTCTGCTGATGAACTGGACACCTCAGGGTCTGTGAGTCCCACATCAGGAAGGAGCACCCCAAACAGACAGAAAACGGTAACTTTCCACTGGTCGTTTTCAGTTGGCCCATGGGAGTGAACACTGGGAAGTGACAGTATTTGCACCCACCACAGGGTTCACAGGCAGGCGTCCCCTCCAGAGGAGGGCTGTCACACAGGGTAGCGCGCTTCCTCAGCCCTGCCACATCCCCTCCCAGCACGCGCTCAGGAATGGAAAAGAGCGATTCTGGTTTTCAAAAGAATCAGGACTCAACGTGTGGCTGGTATGCAGGGAGAACATTTATTTTTCTTGCTCAAATAAGAAAATTTCCAGAATGGTGCCCATTTGTCCCTTTGGTGGCTCCTTTCTTCAAGCCATGGCTGCCACGACTATCTTAAAAGGTAGGCCTCCACTTGCGGGGCGCCTCGGCTGGAGGTGCACAGAACCGTGAACGCCTGTGAGCCATTGACTCGTTAAGGCAAGTGGAGGTTCTGTTGACTCTCAAGCTAAGCCGCTTCTGGGTGGTGGTCCTGAAGGTTTGCGGCAGTTGTGCCACCCCTAAAATGGCAACAACTCACCCACAGGCCTTGGCGGGGGCTGCCTCACTGAACACAAAGAGGATGAAAGGACAAATTCGGCCCCTGCTACCCTCTATGCCTTGATTTCTCTGTGTAATTAGAAGCTTGTTTTTTGTTTTGTTATATATTTTTTGTCCAGCTTTATGATTATATTCATTCCATTTTTCCTTAGTTTTTAGAAGTTTTGATTTCATTTGACTTTTTTGTTATAAACATTTATGTTCTATGCTGATAAATGTATTATCTTTTTTAGGATTTTTTTTTTTTTTTTACTACATTCACTAGTTTCCTATAGATCCTAGTTTAAGAATGTGAAGGAATACTGGCTTTTCAAGTCAAATTTTAACCTTTCTTTAAGTTGAATATTTAAGTTGGGCTTCATCACTACAAAGACCAATCTCATATTGCCATTGTTATTTCTTATGGGCCAAGAATTTTAACACTGTTTTACTATTCTAAAAGATGAAAAAAAATATATTAAGTGTCTTTGAAATATGTGATATGGCATAGTGCATTTTACATTTATTGTATGTAAATATACACATGTGTTTCTACCATGAAAAGCCATGAGAATTATGCCCACCATAGTATGGACTCCAGAATCCCAACTTAATGTTTTATCAGTGGCTAATCACATAGATATAAATTTATTTTACTTCTTCAACAAAAGAAAAGCCAGTTTCCTTAATTCATGGGTACTGATCATTTCATTTGATTTATTTTTCCTTTGCTGCACTTTTAGTTTAATTTTCATTAGTAGCTTGTCTTTATTTGCCTGGACTGAACATTCTTCTTTCTTTACCCCCTGTTCATTGCAAACAGCCACGAGGCAAGTGTAGTCTCTCACAGCCTGGACCCTCTGTCAGCAGTCCACATAGCAGGTACCTCCTTCTCCTGGTTTCCACACTGTTCTAGAACCCCAAGAGGATGATGAAAATTGTCCATGACTTAGGTTGACCTATATCTGGTCTGCCTCAGGGTAGTTGGGAAATTACTCATTTCAGTCCACACCCTTTCCTCATACATTGGAAGAGAAGTTTCTGAATGAAATGTTCAAGTAAATTTCAGAGCATAAAATATTTGGACTCCGTGAAAATTCTGTTTGTCTCAACATAGCCCATCTGGTACTTTTCATCAAATTGTCAATAAGGATTTGATTACAATTGGTGGCACCACTGCCATTTGATTCATGGCAGACTTTTATCATCCTCTTTATTTCTAGAGTTTACAATAAGACAGGTAATCGATCAGTGAATTCTTTTACCATTCACAAAACCCGCATATCTGAATAAAATATACTAACATCCCCAACTTTTTATTTTATTTTCATGTTTTATCCAGATTGTGGGTTTTGGAGTCTCAAAATGGCAAGTCCTAATTTGGTGTTCATTGGAAATTTATAAGTACCTTCTCTCTTCTGCTTATCCTAAAACTTCCCTTCATCCAGCACACCCAGCCACTCACTTTCCGGGCACTTGGCAAGCTCACTCTGGAACCCGCAGCAGCCAGTGCCCCTGCCCAGTCACCTCCCGAGAGCCGACTCACAGCTGCCACTCCGCGCTTCCTGCCTGGCCTCCAGCAGCCCCTCACTCCCGCAGTTAGCAGTGCTTTGCCTTCTTTGTTGTCGGTGTGGTGTCTGTGCTCCTCTGCTCCTCCACTGATCAGTTCAAGTTTCCCCAGACAGCTTTCTAAAAAATGAAAACACTGTCCTCGGAGCCTGTTTTCATTCCAGTCCCTAGCAATTCACTGTTAAAGTAGCTTGTCCCTCTGGAAACTTATCACCACTGAGCAGGAATCTGAATTCCTGGAAGGAGGGTGGGGATGAGGAAATGTAGAACTGTAAACAACCCTTGAGTAATAATTTTAGTTTTCCAGCTGTACATAAGGGACTGGCTATTTCATTTGGTCCTTCCCACTCGGCTGAAGTCAGGCAGAACGTATTTTCATATGTTCTCTGGTTTTAGACCTCCCTGTACTGTTTTTTTTTTTCTTTTCATTTCCTTTGGTTTGGTTTGAAGACAATTTTATGAGTTTTTTTTTTTCTAGCCTAAACAAAATAGCAATAATAAAGTATGGAGAAAAACTCTTGGGGACTTTTGAAGATAATGACGAGCATCCGCAGATGCTCTAAGGTTTGCTCAGCCCCCTATAAGTAGAGACAGTTTCTTTTAGGCAGATCATTGTGTTATATAGTCCATCTTTTCCCCACAAATTGCTGATGTACCATGAACAGAGATGAAGAATATCCCCACAGCATTCCTTCGAGGATACCAGAGATCAGTTCTTTGGTTGATACAAATGATAGTGACGAGAAGGGGGAAAGCGCTTATGTTATGATGCAACGCCAACAGCAGTCACTCTTTGGTTCCCAAATATTGCGTCTATCTGCTCTCCGCATTGTTTCAGACAGCCACATAGATCTTTTGAAAATGTCGAAGGCATCGTTTCTTAGGGCAGCAAGTGCTTCCTCATGCCTCCTAACAGGGCTTTGCAGCTGGGACAGCCACATTCTCACTACGACACTCGCAAGGCGCCTTTCAGCTCTGCTCTGTCCAGCACGGTTCATTAACATCTTTCTGAGCATTCAGCACAGTGTTCACTTTGCTACTCAGGTGGGACTGGAACATAAATAATCTTCACCTGAATGGCAAACGTCATCCAACACCTTCACAGACAGGTTGTGGTTGAACATTCTTGGGCTTCGTTACCGTCGGTACCTCTGTTTGGGGCACACCCAACCCCGAGAATGAAAGGCAGAGTCTGCTGGGGAAGAATGAACTTCACCCACAGTCCAGGCTGTCGTGGTGTTCCTTTACATTGAGACTTGAGATATCTCGTGTTTAATCTTGCACTGGTCCAGCAAATTGGAAAGGTTATTGCAGAAGCATAAATAGTTTAGAATGTTGTTTCCAGCAGTCTGCAATGGGAAATTTTTAGATACGCATTCTTCCTGAGAGGAGAAAGAGACTGAGTTGGAAGAAACTGACTATTAGTTTGAAGGGAGGAGTTACTCATTTGGTTTCTTTGTTGTTGTTTAAAGTCAGATGTTAATATTATACTAGCCTGTTACATATTTCAATTTGATTTGATGGTGGTGATTCTGTATCTTCATACAGTATTTTAAACCTACATATGAATTGATGCCAATAGGTACTGAACACCTACTAAATTTAGGCCCTGGGCCTACAAAATTAATTCAATGTGATTCCTACCATTAAAAGACTTGCAGTATATCAGAATCTAGAGATTCCCTAAATCGTTACAGGGAGCTCCCTAGAACTTCTTAAAATTAGAAACATAAAAATCTGTGCATACATTCATAATAACCATATTTGTGACTGTTATTTGAGGTTAAACACACTTTAGAAGCATGCTTTCAAAGCAAATGCTTATGATGGTCTAGCTGGTACTTTTTCCCTACGTTTGACTTAAAATTTTCTAACCTTATCGCCATTAATTCTTCAAAACACTACTGCAACTGAGTTGAAATTGACAGCTAGAAAGATTTCACTCCAATTTCCAGCAAGGCAAAGGAATAATTGCACTGTAGTCCGGATGTAGCAAATTGATGACTTCATTCTAAAGCTTAGAATTGTAAAATGCAAAATTGCCTTGGGCACCTTAGGTCTCTGGCACCTTCTTTACAGAGAACTAAGATGGAATGAGAAGTGGCAAATGACTGGCCGAAACACTGAAAGAGGGAAAAAAGCCCTCATTTAAAAATGTATTCAAGTTAATCAGATACATTTAAGCAAGGGCAGTGGGGGTTTTTTGCATGTACACTAGGGCCTCACTATAAACACTACTCAGTTTCTTGTAGAATTTGTTTTGAAGTCTTTTCATTATCTGGGGATCTATTTATTCAAAGCATTCAAAGAGCCTCAGCACAGAGCCTCTCCCCTCTAAGGCAGATTGCTCACCCGTGCCCCAAGGAAAGCTGTAGGGTAAGGCTCCGATAGGTTTCTCTGTTGCTATTTGAGGTAGGCCTTCCTGGTGTTTCTAGGGAACAAGACAGGCAGTTTGAGAAATTTATCACATGCTTGAAAGCACTATTAATAAATCAGGTATGTTTTCCCGAGAGAAAAGGCCGAATCCAGCCAACCCCTAAGGGTATGAGTCGGCACACCCTTGGTATCATTATACAGATAATAGTGATAAGCTGCTGACATTCATTTAGTACTTAATGTGTTTCAATTATTTAGTGCTTAATTGTATACATGCTAAGCATTGTATGTGTTTTACCTCATTTAACCCTCACAAGAATCCCATGACATGGCTATATTCCCAATTTATAGACAAGGACACTGGGGATTAGAGGTGTAAAGATGTAGGATTTGAACCCAGGTCTCCCCTGACTCCAGACCCTACCCCGTTAACCGTACCACTCTGCTGAAGGGCCATTGATGGGTAGAAGCCTTTAAACAATGGTTTTAGAGCTGAGGCCACCACAGGCTGCCTCAGGTAGTTTAGGATTAGCAAGAATGTTTGGTTTGGAAAAAAAGAAGACCTGGGTCCTAACTTGATTCTGGAAACTTGTCTCCTGAACCATATATCCAGGAAACACTGGGTTTCAAAGACAAGACACATAAGGGCAGGATCAAGATCACGGACAATCTAGATGTTTCTGCAAAATAAATCTGTTACATACTGCCAGTGTTAGCCGAAAAGTAACAAAATAAATTAGAAGTTTCTTCTCATTTGGCTTTAAATGATGCATGCACGAAATTAACTCATTTTCATTTCCTTGATTATAAACAATTTTCAAAGTGAGTCATACCCTATGTGCATGGCATTCAGACTTCTCACAATTGTGTGTCCTACACACTTTCTTTTGAAGGGTGTGATTTTAGCCACTACTCCCTCCCTGCCATTCTCCTTATCCCGCAATTGTCTAGGTATTTTGGGACAGAGATGAAGCAACTCCTGGGCAGCTATTTACCTGGAAATTTGAAGGAGTGAGGGAAGTGAGAAAAATAAATAAAAATTTACTTGTAGCAAATAAGCACGTTTTTTGCTGGACAGAACTATCTGATATATCTGTATTGATGATGTTCCTTAAGGAGGCTCACACATTTAATTTTTCCTATATAAACACAATCTAAACTGGCATCCATGTATGTAATAAGACCAGAGGAGAATGACCAGTGGGTAGTCAACAAGTTGCCTTTGTTCTTTCCCTTATGAAATTTCCCAAGACTCTAGAAACTTAGGTGATTTTTAGCACAGTAGCTAAATATTAAAAATAACCCTTTCCCTGGGACCATTAGCTTCTTGATACTAAAATCGCTAGAACAAGTTCCCCCTGAAGATGAGGCAGCTTTGGGCATGTTGAAACTCTGGTAATTACCCCAAGGGGACAGGCATTTTCCCAGTGGATAGTTCGGATATTTTCAAGGGCAGCCAGCTGCACGGACAGTCACTGAATATTGTGTGTTCTCTCTGTCCCCATCTCAGCCCATGACTTCTTCCTAGCTTGGCGTTCTTCAGCATTAGAAGTCATGCACAAATTAAATTTTAATAAAAAATGCTCTGATGCTGTTAAATGTGCCATGTCCTTCAACAGACTCCAACATAGGAGTCCACATTCTGTAAATGGTGACATTTTTATCAAAAATGGGCAAGTAAATTAGTCTCTCTGGCCTTCAGTTTTCTCATTTGCAAAGATGAGGGGTGCATTAATATCCTAAAATTATTTTGGCTGTCATGATTTATGATTCAATGGTTTGCCATTTTTCTCAGGAGTGAACAGGTCAATGGGCAGCCCTTGTTTTGATCTTGATCTTTGACCTAATTGCACAAAGAATTTAACAGTTGACAAACAGGAGCTATTCAGCTCTGTCAGATTGTACTATCAATTATATATGTAAATCTTCCCATCACTAAAGTTCTTAAATGTCTCCTAATGAAAATTAGTCAGGTATTTAATAACTAGGAATTGTGGGAGCTCTCTTCAGTCACTCTGTTATAACTCATCTAGCTACAGGTGTTGAGTGTTGGTTGCCAGGGCATATTTTAAAGTCAGGGGAAGGATGTTTTGAAGAAAATTTGATCCAAAGTTTGTGGGTAGCTATCCTATCCTTCTTAAGACACTTTAAGGCAAACCATTGAATCATTGCAAATGAGAAAACTGAAGGCCAGAGAGACTAATTTACTTGCCCATGGTCATGTAACTGCCTCAAAACAAAATGTCCCCACGTCCACACACGGATTTGATGATCTGCAGGATACTGTGAGGCCTTATGACCAGAGGCTTTAGACACGAGGAAACCACTTGTTTCCAAATATTTTAGGATGCAAGTTCAGGATTCTCTTCTTTGCTTCTACATGTGAGATACCTGTGAAATGAATACGACCTGAATTACCATTACCATTATTCCTATCACCAACCAGCAAAACATTTCACAGCAGAGAGTGCGGTGGGCAGGGATTTTGGAAGCCTGAGTCCCTGCTAGGCCTCTTCCTTTAACTGTAGAATCTGAAGCAAGTCATTCAGCCTGTCTAGAGTCTCCAGGTTCTGGTAGTTAAAATCACAGGGTTGAAATCTTCTGCCACTGGCTGTGTGAGCTTGAGCCAGTTATTTCACTTCCCTGAGCTTTCTTTCACATCATCTGTAAAATGAAGTTAATAAGTACACACCGCAGAGGACTGCTGTGGGGATTAAATGACAGAACCCAACATAAATGCTCAGAGTGCTGCCTAGCAATTAGAAGAGTAAACATGAACTGTCCTTAGCTACTCCCCTACAAAATTAGGAGATGAACTGGATGCTCTCTAAGGCCCTGTCTCAACATGAATATTTTATGCTCAGGTAACTCAAGAAGTTTCTATTTTCCTTTTCCATTAATAAGGTATATGACATACTTCTTTTATGTTCTACTATATTTTCACAAAATATACTTTTTTTTTCCCTCAGCTTATTAGGAATAACTCATTGGTCTTAGCACAAGGGCAGTTAATCAGTTTGACCACTAGATGGTGATTGAGCTCTTGTGGCTTCTTGGGAGATTATTTATACTGACAAATCAGTAGAAGACAAAAACATCGAACAGTAAACTTTAAAGTTAGAAGACCATCTATGCTAATTTGAAGAGGTTAGTGAAGAGGTTGACACCTAGAGATGAAGTGAGTTGTTCAAGGTTACATTACCCTGCCGTTACTTGTGTGGATTTCAGAAAAGAACATGCTTCCAATTTAAACCAGTGATTTGATTTTTCCTTACACCACAAGAAGTGTATAGAAACACTGCGTGCTGCCTGTTTCTTGGGGTTTCTGCAGAACCAATATCTGTTTTTGAGATAGAGTCTCGCTCTGTTGCCCAGGATGGAGTGCAGTGGTGTTCCGATCATGGCTCACTGCAGCCTCCGCCTCCCGGGTTCAAGCGATTCTCCTGCCTCAGCCTCCCAAGTGACTGGGACTACAGGCACACGCCACCAGGCCTGACTAATTTTTGTATTTTTACCATGTTGGCCAGGCTGGCTTGAACTCCTGGCCTCAAGTGATCCGCCAACCTCAGCCTCCCAAAGCGCTGGGATTACAGGCGGGAGCCACTGTGCCCAGCCCTCTCCCATTTTTCTTTGATGGTTTAATAAAAGAGTTTTGAATACTCCCTCTGTTCCCTTCTAAGGGGATTCTATCTGTTTTTAACATTTATTTTCTTAGGTGTCACTCCGCATCCCCCACCGATATTAGGGTAGTCTGTCTTCAGAAATTAATAGGTAATAGGTGAGCTACAAACATAGTGCTTTCTTCTGGACCAAACCTACAGTTACCAATACAGCTTTCACACGCTCATATTATTTCAGTAGCCTCACATACAATGTCCTTATCCTTGGTGATATTAAAACTCTTAAGGAATTTATACTAGTTGTGAGGGAGTGTTTCTTTTGGCTACATCTTTTATTTTTGTTCATTCAATGTTGTATGGGTCTGAGTGTACACCAAATGCCTGTCGTAAACAACATTTCTTTCTTCATCTTTTCTGCTAGTAACCAAAAAAAGGTAATGGCTGTTCACAAAAAGAAAACAGTAGCACCCAACTCAGAATCTACTTCCAGATTCTGTATTTTCCAGGCAGTCCTTCTTAAGAGTTCTGAAACCTGTACTCAATCTCTAATGCACTGTTTAAAAGGAAGATAAAAGTGAAATAGAAAAACTTGTCACTTTGAGTGTAGAAGGGGCTGTAGGATGACAGTCCATCCTCCTCAGAAAATGGTGTCCATTTTCCAAAGTAATGACGTCAGTGATAGGATCAGCCTAGCATCTACATCATACAACACCAGTGTTCTGTAGACAGACTCCACTGCTATTCCTTGTTCGTACAGCTTTGGAACCCGCTAATGTCAGGGCCTGATGCTGATTCAGTGCAAGATGAAACCAGGGTATGCTCTATGATTAATGAAGCTTTTATGGGTCTGTGCAAAATGACAAAGACTGTTTTTATTTTTGCTGCATGGATTTTGGCATATCCAGGATGGCTAGATGGGATACTTGGTATGATTCTGACAGCAACTAATTTTGCTTAACAATGTTCATGATATTCTTAAAACAAAAATATGCTGCATCAAATATCTACATTTTAATTATTCTGGATCTACTTAATTCATGCTAGTAGAATGTGTATAGAGCAGTTATTTTCGTTGATAGAAAATGTTTCACCACATTAAGGGGTAAAAGGAGTAGAATTTGAACCTAATTACTTACGTTTAGTTGACTGACTAAATGTTTATTTCTTGTCAGTGCAGTTTCCAACAACCTCATTTGATGGTGGGGGGTGACCTGGGCACACTGTGGAAGGCTGGCAGCTGATCGCCAGGCTGGGGTGTGCTTGGCATGGCCCTTTAGCTTCCAGGAAGGTGCAGAGGCAAAAAGCAGCGTCCCTCCGACACTGGAGTTATCTGAGTAATTTATGTCCATTCTTCTCTCAGGTCCACAAAAGGTGGCTCCGATTCCTCCCTTTCTGAGCCAGGGCCAGGTCGGTCCGGCCGCGGCTTCCTGTTCAGAGTCCTCCGAGCAGCTCTTCCCCTTCAGCTTCTCCTGCTCCTCCTCATCGGGCTTGCCTGCCTTGTACCAATGTCAGAGGAAGACTACAGCTGTGCCCTCTCCAACAACTTTGCCCGGTCATTCCACCCCATGCTCAGATACACGAATGGCCCTCCTCCACTCTGAACTAAGCAGATGCCATCTGCAGAAGTGCTGGTAGCATAAGGAGGATCGGGTCATAAGCAATCCCAAACTACCAACAAGAGGACCTTGATCTTGGCGAAAGCCCTCGGTGTGGCAGCTTTAGCCCTCCTCCAGATCACATGTGTGCAAATTATGGCTTCAGAGGTGGAAGATAAACAGTGACGGGGGAACAAACAGACAACAAGAAGGTTTGGAAGAAATCTGGTTTGAGACTCTGAACCTTAGCACTAAGGAGATTGAGTAAGGACCTCCAAAGTTCCCCGGACTCATGAATTCTGGGCCCTTGGCCCATTCTGTGCACAGCCAAGGACTTCAGTAGACCATCTGGGCAGCTTTCCCATGGTGCTGCTCCAACCATCAGATAAATGACCCTCCCAAGCACCATGTCAGTGTCGTACAATCTACCAACCAACCAGTGCTGAAGAGATTTTAGAACCTTGTAACATACAATTTTTAAGAGCTTATATGGCAGCTTCCTTTTTACCTTGTTTTCCTTTGGGGCATGATGTTTTAACCTTTGCTTTAGAAGCACAAGCTGTAAATCTAAAAGGCACTTTTTTTTAGAGGTATAAAGAAAAACTAGATGTAATAAATAAGATCATGGAAGGCTTTATGTGAAAAAAGTTGAATGTTATAGTAAAAAAAAAAAGATATTTATGTATGTACAGTTTGCTAAAGCCAAGTTTTGTTTGTATTGATTTCTTTGCATTTATTATAGATATTATAAAATAGTTTGTCTGTGCTTTTTTTTCCCTAAACAAATAACTCTAAGTTTCATTATTAAGCAGGCACTGATCAGAATGCAACCTAAATGATCATTTTTCTGTGCAATGAATGAAGCTGGAACATTAGTGTATATTAAAGGAAAAGGATGGCAAGAGGCAGCATGGATTTAGACATAGAAGACCCCAGGTGATTCCTTTTTTTCTCTTCCTTCCATAGTCAATCAAATCTCCTGAATTCTTGTTTCCGGAAACCTTTCATCCTCTATTCTCCATTCCTTTTGCACATGGGAGAGGCTTCCTAGGAGCTGATATCTGAGGTCCCTTCTCCATTCCATTGCGAGCAGACAACAGCCACAGAAATCTTCTTAAAGCACACTTCTGTTCAGATTCCTTCTTTGCTGCAAAGCCTTCTATTGTTCATTGTCTACCGGATAAAATACAGTTTTCTTCTATCATTTAAGTCCATATGCAATGAGATTTTATTTTGCTCCTCTGAACTTGCCTACTATAGTGGACTTCATGGAATTATGTGATGCTCGTGGCATTTTAATGTATCATTTAATAATTCTGGGGCACATAAAACTCAGGTCTCTGGCTTCTCTTCTGGTAGACAGCTCTGGTGCCCTAGTCCGGAGCACATATTCCTGCATGGCAGTAATTGCCGGAGCTTGTTGGCTGCTGTCCCTTCCAGAATTGGGGGAGAGAGAGAGAGTATCTCCTCTTTGTACTTGTAAACCTTCAACTTCTCTCAAGGTCTGTGTCACCCTAGCCCCAGAGGTATTTAAGTTTACAAATCCTGCTCTAAATTGAGTATTTAAACCAAACTGAGGCCCTTCACCTTGCCTGAAACTGCCGTCTGTGCTTTCCATAATGCAGGTAGTCTGAGTCCATCTCAACTAGGGTTCCTGGGGTTTGCTAGATTTTCCAAGTCCCGGGCTTGCTTCAGACCTCCTAGTTCAACCTCTGGGATGGGGCCTGGGAGCCGGCATTTTAAAGAGATGCCTGAGGAGACTTTATTCCTCCTAACTGCTGAAAAGCACTGCCCTCTGCTTCCTTAACTTCATTCCTCCTTGCCTGCCCCACAGGACTCAGCTCACAAGCCACCTCCTTCTTGAAAAATTTCCTGATCACTTTCACACTGTATTTAAGACTTCTCTCTACTACTCGGCTTCTTGCCGTCAGATTGTCTGTATCTTATGGCCCATGAACCCATCGTGTTCCACAGGGAACACGATGGATCGCCCCCCGCCCACTGTTATTTTATAGAGAAGACCACCTCGTGGTTAAAGTGTCCCATCTTCCCGCTTCTGGAGAGGCTGTGAGCAGCGGTGGCCATTGGCGTTGAAGGGTGCCCTGCACCCTCATCTGAGATGGAGCACTCTTCAGGCCTCGCTCTTCCCTCACTTTCCTGTCACTCCTCCCGATATCTGGAAGGAGAAGTCCTCCCTCCAGAGCAGTTTTGCCCTTCAGGGGGTATGGAAATCCCACACAATGAAGAGTGTCATCGTGGAAAAGGCAAGCGCAAAGAGACTTCAGAAGCATTTCTTCTCCACATCACTGTCAACTGACTTCCTCCTAGGCATCTCCCGTCACTGAAGAATCAAATGGCAAATGTTGCTGAGAAAAACATTTGGTTTCAATTAAGAAAAATCTTAGCATACATTCCATCTGTGCCTTTCTCAAAACCCTGTGAAACCCCCAAAGGGGTGTAGAACATCCATTTCCATTACATTTTTGAAGATTTAAACAACAGAACCTTCGAAGAAGTAGGGAACCCTGGTGAGTGCAAACATTGAACCCATGAGGTCGTGGCTCTTCCCCAGATGATTGATTGGCCAATTTAGCAAGGGCCACGCCAGACGCAGATGATGGGGAGATGGGTATGGGGCCATGAGCATCCTCACCCGCACCCAGCGGTTGCTCTGGCAACAGAGAGAAAAAGCTTCATGGAAGGGATGTGGGATGGTTTAAAGAATAGTAAGGAGATAAAAGGACACTGATGGCTGCTGAAGAAGCTTCCATTTCTGCAGTGAGGACAGTCAGGAGCCCTGCTGTGGCCTGGAGAGAGGGAATGGTGTCCCAAGTGAGTGCTGGGTGAGGAAGGGCATAAAGAGACCATCCACTGACCAGGAAGGATGGGAAGGGAAGGGTTAATAACATGGTGGTAAGGAGATTTGCACAAGCAAATGGGAAATATTAGAAAAGTGAACAAAGAATCCAATATAGCTAACATGGAAAAATAAGGCATTAGAATCTAAAAGTAGTAACTTAATAAGAAATCCCGGGAGAAATGAAAGGATTTTTTGGGAAATGATGGCTGAGGAGCAGGAATGTCCCTCCTGGAAAATGGACCCACAGTAGCTTCTCTTGTTTTTGTAAGAAGTGAGAAGAGAAGACTTCTGAAGGCCCAGATGGGAAATTCAACATGCCGAGGCCTGAGATTTACTATAAAAATGCAGGTTAGAGTAGATTGATTGATAGCCTACACCCCAGGGCCAAATATTAAGACATTATAGCTACAAAACTTAATTGACAAACCACATAAAAGATCGTAAAGCAAAGAATAGTGGAGAGAGATGATTTATGAAAGCTAATCGTGTCCAGAAAAGCCGGGCCTCCCAGGGCTGGTCTGGGCTGCCTGAAAGCAGCCCAGTGGACAGGTTCCTTGTTCGGTGCAACCAATTCACCAGCACCATCGCCAAACCTTCACAGGGGATTGTGGAGAAATTGAAATATCCTGAGTGTGTACCAGATAGGTCCAGAAGTGCCTGGGGAGAGCAACAGACATTAATCTCTCAAGTAGTTCACTGAATGCCCACTATGTGGCAGGAACTGCTCCAAGCTCCCTCGGGGAGTCCTCTCGGGGAGGACCTCAGAAGTTCTTGTGTTTGTTTGTTTTATTTTTATTTTTTATTTTACTTTAGGTTCTGGGATACATGTACTGAACGTGCAGGTTTGTTACACAGGTATACATGTGCCATGGTGGTTTGCTGCACCTATCAACCCATCATCTAGGTTTTAAGCCCTGCATGCATTAGGTATTTGCCCTAATGCTCTCCCTCCCCTTGCCCCCCACCCCTTACCTCCTACCCCCCTGACAGGCCCCAGTGTGTGGTGCTCCCTTCCCTGTGTCTATGTGTTCTCATTGTTCGTCTCCCACTTATGAGTGAAAACGTGTGGTGTTTGGTTTTCTGTTCCTGTGTTAGTTTGCTGAGGATGATGGTCTTCATCCGTGTCCCTGCAAAGGACAAGAACTCATTCTTTTTTATGGCTGCATAGTATTCCATGGTGTATTCATGCCACATTTTCTTTATCCAGTCTATCATTGATGGGCATTTGGGTGGGTTCTTGTTTAATGACTCATTAAAAGCAGTCACCAGTGGGCCTTTGACATAGAGAAGAATCCATATTTCCCAGCACCAGTTATGTCCTGAAATGGGATGAAGGCAAATGAGGAAACTAGAAGGGAATTTAATAGAAACAATATCTAATTTAGGGGAGGAAAGGGAGATTAAAGCTGTTAGATCTCTATTTTCTATGAGCAAATTCCTCTGCTTTTAGCTTCTTGGTCACCCAGTTTATGTTACAGTGGGATGTGTTTTTGAAGAGTATGAATGTCCATCTGCAGAAATGGAGGCAGGTGGAGTGGTTTATAAGCATGGAGGCAATTTTTCACTTAGGTATAACACTGAGAAGTTAATTCAGGAAACAGGTGTTTTTCTGAGTGTGGTCATCTCAATTTTAGATTTAGTAGTACCCTGGGGTAACTGTGGCTGATTGTCATACCTAAAGTCACCCAAAGATAATGAAACTGAAAGCGAAGGACTTTTATTCTTCAATTCCCAGCTTCTCACTAACCTGTCCCTTGAAGTTTTAAAATATGCACCAAGAATCCACTGGAGGCTACCACAGACAGGCCTAAATTTGGGAGAGAACCCTCACTCAGATGAATAAGTGCATGAACAAGGTGCAGCCTTCTGCAGCCGAAGGAAGCTAAGGGGGCTGGACAGTTGGGAATGATTAATGAGAAGCAGGGTGATGTGCTGTAACACAAGCTGAACAATGAGAACATTTAATCTAGGGAGCTGAGGAAGCCGGTTGGGACTTGGATATAATCTTTCTAAAATATGAAGGTCACAGAAAAATAAATCAGGCTCATGAATTTGCTTAACCTGTTACCTAATACAAGAGTGGGAACATAACTGAATTTGAAAACCGCAATTATGTCAGGAGAAGAAAGTCCTGGGTAAGCCTCGTCACAGATTTGATGCTACAGGCAATCGAGAAGAAATCCAGATCTCCCTGCTGAATATTCACATCAGAGCCTCACAGATGTGCGTTCCCAGCTCAGGCTTAAATCCTGCCGGACACATTCTTGGAGCTGTTGTTGGGCTCAGAAAGCAAAGCTGCCAAGCAGCTGCCAACTTCGACAGCAATTCCAGGCAGCCAACCCCAAACCCCATTTATTGGCAGGAACCCAGTGGAGGCCATGTCCACCCCTTGCCCCACACCTCCTTGTGGGATTTACAGGTTGAGTGGACACTGTAGGGATGTAAGTAGCCATGGCTTTCAGAGTGGGTTTGGCTCACCTGTGGCTCAAAGAATCAATATTACCTGGAAACCTGTTAAGAATGCACCACATTCAGCCCTAGGGCTGGGCTTCCAAGCTACCACCTGCACTGGATTTCTCCATCTTTGGGCCCTTTAACTCTCTCCAGTTGGCCATGATAGCAAGCAGTAACAGCAAGCTTCCCCATCCTCCTCCACTAACTCAAAATATATTGGCTTCACCGAACAATTGGTTTCCATATAAATCTGGATTTTTATTCTGAACTCTAGTCAATGGTTAGATCTACCTGGCCATTACTGTTTTAATTATAGCAGTATGTAGTATAATTTATTATAATGATGTATATATTTGTATAATATAAAAACAAAATAAAATAGATATAAATAATACAAATATATAAGTATGTACTATAACTAATAATATAGTATATTTGTTACTTCAAGTTTTAATACATCTTAGGAAAAGCCTCATTTCTTTCTCGCTGTGTATGTGTCTATTTTAAAGGCTAATTGTTAAAAAAAAGTCAATTATTTTGATTACAAAAGATCCTCTTGTGTTTCACAGAAAACTAAGTTTCCTATCTACTCTCTCTACATCATCTCCCGCTTTTATGTTACCTTTCTAGGCCTTTTGATTTTCTTATGCAAACAACATATACATTTTTAAGAATTGGATCTATTCTTATTATTCTGTAACTTGCATTTTTCACTTAACGATGTCCCACAGACATATTGGTACCTGTGCCATCATCCTCACTGAGTTAGAGATCTCAGTATCTCTTTTTCAACCACTGGTTTCTTCCAGGGTTTGTTAGGAATCACGGCTGCAGTAGACACTCTTGCGTGTATATGCATGTGTATCTTTTGATAGTGCTGCTTTTATTTCTCCAAGATGTATTGTTCAAAGTGGAATTACTGAATCAAAAGGTATGTACATTCTTCTTTTAGTAAATTTTAATAAATTCTGCCCGTTTGCTTTCTAAAAAAGTCGTGATGATTTACACTCCCACCCACACCAGAGATGAAAACCTCCTTTGCCTCATACCCTCCTTTAATGTACACTAGTGGTTTCCAAATTACGGGACTTATTCCCAAATTATTAATGTTCAAAGTCTGTACATTAGACTCTCTCAGGAAACTTTTAAAAATGTAGAACCCCAGGCCATACCCCAAACCAATTAAATTGGTAGCTGGGGATCAGTAGTTACTTGAAGGTCCCCAGGCGATTCCCAGGTGCAGACGATTGGGAAGGGCTGGCCTAGATGCTATCAGTTTTCTAAAAATATTGCCCAATTGAGAGCAACAGTAGCTCATTGTTTTTAAAATTTGCATGTCCATGGCTAGTTTGTATAATAATTGTTCCATTTGTATTGCCTCTTCTGTGAAGTCTGTTTTGTGCTCCATTTTTCTTTTATCTTTTAATATTATTTTCAATGACCTCTTTGCATATTAGAAAAATTAAATCTGGATATGAAGTGTCCTGACTTCATATAGTTCTTTCAGTCACACAGAAAGTTTCATTTTTATGTCATCAAACCTGGCAGGTTCTTTTTCCTTGGTAGATTCTAGTTAGTCTACATTAAGAAGGCCTTTTTTTATTTTAAGATTATGCAAAAGTTTCTTTGCATTTTCTTCTAGTAGGTCTATAATCTATCTGGAATTATTTTTGTCATTAGTATGAAGTAAGGAACTAGTTTGTCATTCTCCAAATGAATAGATAATTGTCCCAAAACCAATCAGGGACAAGACAGAGAGGCCCCCTGTTGTTATAATTTTCTAGCAACCTAGATGTTCATCAGCAGGAGGATTGTTGAATTAATTATAGTGCATACCTAGTATTCAGTATGGCGTAACTATTTTTATAAAATGAAATCAATCTATATGTATTGATTAGGGAAAATGCCTACTATATATTCTTACATTTTATAAAAACAAGATATAGAATAATATGATTCCATTTTGTAGGGAAAAACTCGTGTATATAGTAATGGCATGAAGCAAGGTGAAAGTTTGGAGAGACATGTGAAATATAAGGCTTGACATTTTGACTGCAGTCAGAGTGGGGAAAGCACTTTAAACATTTGTATTTAAATTACATCAAGGAGCATGACTTGTTTTTTAGATCCAAGTTGCTATAAGAATAATGATAATTTTAAAAGACAAAAGAAAAGTACTTCAGTTCTTATATGAGGAAACATTTGACTTGCTTTTTTTTTTTTTTTTTTTTTTTTTTGAGACGGAGTCTAGCTCTGTCACCCAGGCTGGAGTGCAGTGGCGCGATCTCGGCTCACTGCAAGCTCCGCCTCCCGGGTTCACGCCATTCTCCTGCCTCAGCCTCCCAAGTAGCTGGGACTACAGGCGCCCGCCACTACGCCCGGCTAATTTTTTGTATTTTTAGTAGAGACGGGGTTTCACCGTTTTAGCCCGGATGGTCTCGATCTCCTGACCTCGTGATCCGCCCGCCTCGGCCTCCCAAAGTGCTGGGATTACAGGCGTGAGCCACCGCGCCCGGCCTTGACTTGCTTTTTAATTAAAAAACTTTTCTTGGTATGCCCGAAATAAATGTTAACAAGTCATTTATTAAAAGTGGCCAAATTCTAATGGATGACTTTGCTCTAGGTTTTCATCTTAAATGCATGGTTGGTTTCATGGCATAAGAGCAAAGGCCTGATTTGAGGTAAGGAGGCTCCCTGACTGGGGGATTTATGAATCCTAGGAGATGAGCTTTCCTAGGAGAGATGTCCAAATGAGACCTACATGTTCACAAAAACCCGCAACTTCCTAAACTACCACCTGCCTCCAGAAGTCACCCTGCTCACAGGTGAAATCAGTTCTTGAGTCGCAGACTGGTCCCCAGAAATGATGGGGCGGGGAGGGACAGTGACTCGAAAGTCATAGGCAGCTTCTCTACCTGTACCTTTCTTTCCTGATGCAGGTGCCAGAGAGTCAGCCTGCTTTCCTTCTGCGTTGAAATCTGTTCCCATTCAACAGCTTCACACAGGATTCTGCCCACCCAAGCCTGGCTTGGGCACGGGGCTCAGTTCCTCCCTCCCACACCTTCCCTATGGTGTTTGCTAATCACAGTGGGAAAACTGATAGAGTAGCTAATGATCTGGACATTTATAAAATCCCTTTTGTCCAAATCTTACAGAGGCTCCTTCCATAACATAAACTCTGGAGCCAAAAATACCTTGGCTCAGTCCCCAGCTCAGCCACTTCCTAGCTGTATAACCTGAGCAACTTACTTAAACTTTCTATTCCTCAGTTTCTTCCTCTGTAAAATGGGATAATAATGGTGCCTCCTGCGTGGGTTGTTATGACGTTAATACATTAATGTATAGGATGTGTTGATGAGGACTGAGGGACAGTTAACGCTATTTTAGTCGTTCCTCTAGTTTGGTTTTGGAAATCGCTATTGGGAATTACCAGATCTTCCCACACTTGTTTTTAATCTTTTTTATGAGGAGAAAGTCTCTTAAAATTGTTAAAATTGTTGTTTCTTTCTTTTTTAAGATTGTGGTTAAACACACACACACACACACACACACAATATGAGATCTTCCCTCTTCACAAATGTGTCAGTGTACAGCTCAGTTCGTTACTTCTCAGCACAATGTTGTAGGGCAGACCTCTGTCTCAGACTCTCGACAGCCCTGCGGTAACTGAGGACTCAGCCAGTGGGAATGGAAAGACTCCCTCCCAGATGAGTGCATTTCCCAGGCCCTCCCTTTCCAGGTGCCCCCCGCCCCATGCAGAGGACCACCTGTCAGGGACTCTTACTCCTTTCATCAGGAGGGTACCTGTGGCTTGATGGTGCCTGACAAAGGTCAGGGAATTACAGTCCCTGCCTGTTTTTATAGGCCCTTGAGCTAAGAATGGGTTTTATATTTTCAAAGAATTGTAAAGCAAAGAGAGACAAACAAACAAACAAACAAACAGAAATGCCTAAACTACTTACTCTTTGGCCCTGTACAGAAAAATTTGCTGACCTGTGATAGAGCCACCCAAGACACACAGCACTGGCGGCAGGGTGGGACAGGCAGCGCCCCGGCCTTTTGCGCTTCTTTCTCCTGAAACAGTTCTCAGAATGGGCATCCTCTTTGGGTGAGCTCAGCACTCGCCCCACCTCCATCTGACTGCCATTTGGGGTTCTTCCCTGAAAACACGTTCGTGACATCCATCCATGAAGAATTCTCTCTTTCATTTTGATGTTCCCTTTTTGTTTTTTCTTGGATTCTGTAGGGGGTCTTGGGAACAGGGACTTCACGTTTTTGTCTTCAGAATGGAAATGGCATGGTCTTTTGCAGTGGGCTCAGAAGGTTCTGCAAATCCCTTGGCCGCTTCCAGTTTCCCTTGTTCGTTTCCTGGTTGGGCGCCTGCCAGGTCAGCTGCTGGTGCTGACATCAGGAGTGCCAGTAGCTGGCCCCTCTGCAGAGTTTCGTTCTGGGGCTGGGTATGTCCCTCCGGCAAGGAGAGCACATAGGTGGTTTCCCAGAGCTCGGTGGGAATGGGCAGTGTGGCACCAGGATGGTGACATAGTTTGGCTGGTGATAAACCTTGCTTATTCAGGGTTTTCAATCCTTTTGATTGGCTTGATGGGATCCCGGGGGCATTGTTAAGCCCTTTCTTCCTTTGGTGGCCTTTGTGTACTCCAGAGGCCTAAATATCCCTGGTAGCTGCTGAGGTCTTGAATCTCCAGTGTCACAGAGTTGCTGGGGAAAGGAGGAACTCACTAGTCGGGGACACTTGACTTGAAATGAGATACAGGAAATTTGAAAGGGCATCTATTTTAACTTTCTGCTTCTAAGCAATCACAGAAAATAGAGGAAAAAAATCTCCATATTGTTTCAAGTTCTCTGACATTGCCTTTCCATTGTTTTTTAAACCTAGATCAAAGTTTAGCTGCTTTTTCCATAGACAGAAGCCTGGAGCTGCCTTGAGTTCTGTCCTTTTTGGGTTCAGGTCTTTCTGCTGCCTGGACCCAGGTTCTTGTGATGCTGGGCTAAAACCAGTGGGTACCAACATTGCCAAGTAACTAAAATAAACTTTTCCATCCAAACCTCCAATCTTTTGACAAACCCACTTAATGTTTTTCTTTATACACGTTTCTTTAGCATTTGAGAATGGATTAGATTGTAGGGATTGTTAAAGGGTGTTTAAAAATATTTAGTAATAAATTCAAAGATGAATTGATGGAGTGTTTACTCTAGTTTGTAATCCGTTCTTAGGGAACCATCTGGCAGCTCCAATTTTGGCACCATCAGCCCTTCCCTCCAATTGGAAGGAAATGCTTCCCTTGCTGGGGTTGAGCCCCAAAACTGGTCTGCGCCTGGCGTCCTCAAGGCACTGAGACCACGTGTAAAGCAGCTACCGAGACAGCGACACGGTTCCTGCAGCTGCCTGCACCCTCTCTCTGCCCTTCTCCCCTCCCTTCCAGCCTGTGGTCTGGGGCCCTGGGTATTGAAACATGTTCTTTCTGGTTGGAAATGTGGAAATACTCAGGAATCTTTTCAGCTTAAACTCCATTGAGTCCGGGGTGAACTTGAGAATTTAATCAGCTTGTAAAAATGTTAACCGGCTCACAAACCTTTCACTGGCCTTTCCCACAATTACTGATTTCTCAATGAAAAGGCAGCTGATGGCAGGTTGCAGGTCCGCAGAAAGGCCTAGCAGCGCACTGAATCTGGGAAGTCGCTCGGAGGGCTGTCTGTCCTGCAACCCTTGGGGCGACTGGCTCTTGGCAAACGGCCTAGCGTCTGCCACTTTGGAGTGCATCCCAGGCACCCAGCCTGGCCTGGCCACTGAGGTCAGCCCACCCACTTTCGAAATCACTTTTTTAAATGTTTGCCCAAAGGCTTCCTTGCTCCAGTTTTATCTTTTTTCACGTTCATTTAGTGAGGTGACAGTTCCTAGTTTGTCAGTTCTACATAGATGCCAAGTGCTTTCACTGTGGGCTGTGGTCCCTTCCTGGGCCATGAGATGGTCTTGTGGCAACGGGGGGAGGGTGAGCCTGCCCCAGAAACTGTCAGAGGCTGAGACAGGCCCTGCTGCTAGTGAGGGTGCCACCGCTGCAGGCTTCAAGGTCTCAGGTCATCGGCTAGAAATAGAGCTCCTCCTGGTGCCAAGGTACAGAGGAAAACCACTCCTCAGCAGGAAGCAGAGGCAGGAAAGGGGCCTCAGAAACCAAGAGCACTGGCACCCCCAGGTGCCAGGAAGATGGTGGAAGTGCTCCTCAAGCTTCCCTACCCAACGGCTGCCCACCAGAAAGACAACCGGGACACATTTCTCCAGGATTTGAGTATGGACATAGCTTTCAGCATCCTGTCCAAGGTGTCATATTTCTTTGATGAAATACTCCTTTTGCGTTAAAAGTTCTTATGAGTTTTTCTTTCTCCTCAGAAAATGTGAAAGCTTGCTTAAATGCAATTTTTGAAAAAAACTTTTATTTTGGGTTCAGGAGTACATGTGCAGGTTGGTTATGTAGGTAAATGTGTGTCATGGGGGTTTGGCATACCGATTATTTTGTCGCGCAGGTATTAAGTCTAGTACCCATTCATTATTTTTCCTGTTTGTCTCCCTCCTTCCACCCTCCACCCCCCGATAGGCCCCAGTATGTGTTGTTCCCCTTTATGTATCCCTGTGTTCTCATCATTTAGCTCCCACTTATAAGTGAGAACATGCAGTATTTGGTTTTCTGTTCCTGCATTAGTTTGCTAAGGATAATGGCCTCCAGCGCCATCCATGTTCCTGCAGAGAACATGTTCTCATTCTTTTCATGGCTGCATAGTATTCCATGATGTATATATACCACATTTTCCTTATCCAGTCTACCATTGACAGGCATTACATGCAAAACTAACATTCACTCTAGTCCTTGAGTAAAATTCCATATGTACTCAGCAACTCTCAGTAATTCCTAGGAAGCTCAACCCTGGTCTAAGAAGTACCACTCATGTTTAAAGTCAGGAAGACTAATTTCATGTCTGCCATTCACAAGATTTCTGACCTTTGGGAGTTGCTTAACTGCCTTAGGCTTCAGTTTCTTCATCTGTAAAATATAATAATTTATCCTTATATGGTAGCTGTGAGGATTACCTGAAAAAGTGGTGTAAAACTGGTACGTAGCTTTTGTGTGTATGAATGTGGGTGTGTATGCTGTCTCACAGTAGAAAGAAAAATCAAAGAACATTCCATCTGCTGAGGGAATCTTTTCAACAACATTGTAGCTTCATGGTTATGGATCCATGCAGAGGTGTCTCCCGTTGCAGGAAATTCTCCCCACCCTTCCCTTCAACCGGCACCCCAGGTTATCTATAGGCAGTTCTGTTAGAAAGTGTATCTCTGTCTTGAACGAACATCTTTTCTCTGGTCTCAGCTCTGCTCTTTTGGTGGTATTCACAAATATTGCAACTGTTTTTGTTGTTGTTGTTATCGTTTGAGACAGAGTTTTGCTCTTGTTGCCCAGGCTGGAGTGCAATGGCACAATCTCGGCTCACCACAAACTCCACCTCCTGGATTCAAGTGATTCTCCTGACTCAGCCTCCTGAGAAGCTGGGATTACAGGCATGCACCACCACACCCAGGTAATTTTGTATTTTCTTTCTTTCTTTTTTTTTTTTTGGTAGAGACGGAGTTTCTCCATGTTGCCCAGACTGGTCTCAAACTCCCTACCTCAGGTGATCCGCCCGCCTTGGCCTCTCAAAGTGCTGGGATTACAGGTGTAAGCCACTGCGCCCAGCCCCAAATATTTTAACTGTAAGCCACCACGAATGTGAACTTAAAACTAGCTTCTTAATGCACATAGTCCAAATAATGAAAACTATGAAAATTTACTTATTTAAGGCGTATGATGTAGTTTGGATCTGTGTCCTCGTCAAATCTCATGTCAAATTGTAATCCCTAGTGTTGGAGGTGGGGCCTGGTGGGAGGTGATTGGATCATGGGACGGAGTTCTCCTGAATGGGTCAGCACCATCCCCTCTGGTGCTATCCTTGTGATAGTGAGTAAGTGAGTTATTGTGAGATCTGGTTGTTGAAAAGTGTGTAGCGCCTCCCCACCTCCCTCTGCCTTCTCCTCCTGGCAAAGTAAGAAGTCCTTGCTTCCCCTTCACCTTCTGCCATGATTGAGTTTCCTGAGGCCTCCCCAGAAGCTGAGCAGATGCTGCCATGCCTCCTGTACAGCCTGCAGAACCGTAAGCCAATTAAACCTCTTTTCTTTATAAATTACCCAGGCTCAGGTATTTCTTTGTAGCAGCGTGAGAATGGGCTAATACAACGTACATTCTGTATTTTTGGAGAAGCAAATCTAAACGTGGTAATTCTGAGTTTAAATGTTCCCAAAGGCTTAAGAATATCTAACACTGGAGAATGTGCTCTTTACCTAGTATGTAATCCAGCCCCAGTCAGGCATTCCTACATTGGCACACTCCAATGGGTACATTTAAAAGCTCCATAGATTGCTCAGTATTCTCTCAAAACCTTGCTGATCCCCAGAAATAACACATGGCATATGTAGACAAGTCTGCTCCTTGGTGTTCTGATAAGAGAAATAAAGGATGGACAGGGTATGTGGAGAGGTGAGATCCCCAGCTATGGCTGAGAGAGAGTATTGGTAAATCCTCACTCCAAAAAGAAACTATAAGGTTGAACAAAATTGACAAAAACAACTATTTCAACACTCTGCAAGTTGACCAAAGATGTATAACAATCTGAGAAATGTTTATATTGAAAAATTGCTGAAATTTGTATAAGTACAGTGCAGATTTGTGGCATTCTTGCCTGGGGCTGCTCCCACCCTTACCTCCCCCAGTTTGGTCAGCAACAGAACAAGGCAGGTAGAAGGACCGACAGCTTTGTTGCTGCAGTCACAGGGGAGCTCACTTGATTTGGTGGATGAGTGTGCAGGGCCAATGTCTTCACTAGCTTGAGGTTGTGGCCGTGGCAAGCACATTCCTGGCTTAGGCTGCAAACATGCCTAGGGGAGATCAGAGTGTGCCCAGGCTAGCTAGCCCCTGACTCCTGTCTGACCATGACGGCTGTGTGCATGTGCAGAGGAGATGCAAAGGGGCCCAGCAAAAAATTGAGTCAGAGTTGAAAACAGCCTGAAAATTGAATGCATTCTCCAGCCACATACAGATCCATCGGTGGAGGACAGAAGCCTTGCTGGGTTAGGGTGTTTGAGCCTAGTCATTGGATACACGCTCAGCTGTGGAGATAGGGGCAACTCTGAGAAAGTCAGGCTTAAAAATAAAAACAGGAATAATAATTTAAGAACCTAGCAGAAATATCAGAAGCCAAATACTAGTAGAGGCAAGTCTCATATATTTAATTCAGGTGAGTTATTTAAAAAATGAATAAAAACAACAAAATCAAGCAGTAGCAACAAGCAGGGAAGAATAAGAATCCAGAGTTGCTACAATAGGGTATCTAAAATGTTCAGTTTTCAATAAAAATTAGGACATATGTAAAGAAACAGGAAAATGTGGCCCACAATCAGGAATAGCAGAGGTCAAAAGAAACTATGTGTTTCCCAGATGCTGGATTTAGCAAAGACTTGATGTAGCTATTATAAATATGCTTAAATATCTGAAGGAAACCATGTTTAAAGAATTAGAGTATGACAACAATGAATCAACAAATGGGAATTCTTAAGAGACAGAAATAAGTTTTAAAAAATCAATTTTTATTCTGTAGTTGAAATATACAATAATGGAAATAAAAATTCACTAGAAGAGCTCAACCTCAGATTCAAGAAGGCAGAAGAAAAACAAAACAGTCCCCTGGAAGATAAATGAATAGAAATTATGTAATTTGAAGAACAGAGAGGAAAAAAGGCAAAAGAAAATAAATAAATGCTCAGAAATTTGTGGGATTGACATCAAGCATACCAACATATATGTAAAGAGAGTCTCAGCAAGGGAGGGGAGAGATGAAGGGGGAAAAACATTATTTGAAAAAACAATGGCTGAAAACTTCCCAAGTTTGATGACAAACATCACTTTACACATTCAAGAGGTTCAGTGATTCCCAAGTAGAATATATACAAAAAGATCTACACCAAAACACATTATAGTCATACTGTTCAAAGATAAAATCTTAAAAGCAATAAAGAAAAAGTAACTTGTCAGATACAGGTGAGCATCAAAACATGGGTGGCTCTGATTTTGTATTGGAAGCAATGGAGGCCTGAAGACAATGGGATGATATATACAAAGTGCTGGGCAGGGCATGGTGGCTCACACTTGTAATCTCAGCACCTTGGGAGGCCAAGGCAGGAGCATTGCTGGAGCCCAGGAGTTCAAGACCAGCCTGGGCAACATAATGAGACCTCATCTCTACAATAAATAAATAAATAAGCAAACAAACAAAATTAGCTGGGTTTGGTGGTACATGCCTGTACTTCCAGCTACTCGGGAGGCTAAGGTGGAAGGATCACTTGAGCCTGGAACATGGAGGCTACAGTGAGCTGAGATTGTGCCACTGCACTCCAGCCTGGGTGAGAGAGCAACACCCTGTCTCAAAAAACAAAACAAAGCAAAACAAAAAGTGCTGAAACAAAAACATCAATGATCATCAACCAGGAATTCCACATTCAAAAAAACTACAAACCGCGCTTCAAAAATGAAGGTGGAATTAATATATTACCAGATAAACAAAGACCAAGATAATTCGTTACTAGTAGACCCACTTTACAAAAAATACTAAATGAATTGCTTCAGGCTAAAAGAAAACGACACCAGACAGTAACTCAAATCCACAGGAAGAAATGAGGCACACTGGAATTGGCAAATACGCAGATTAGTATTTCTAAAGTCCATAAATTTTTTTCTCATTTCTTGTCAATTTTTTTAAAAAGATAGAAAGTAGTTTAAGGCAATAAAATAACATGGTTGAGCTTATAGCATATATAGATATAATATATGTGGTAATAAGAGAATGGAGCTGCATTGGAGCAAATATTTTCATTTTATGTCATCAGATTTAAGTTACTATTAATTTGAAATATACTGTGATAGATTAAGATGCATACTGAGGCCGGGCGCGGTGGCTCACGCCTGTAATCCCAGCACTTTGGGAGGCCGAGGCGGGTGGATCATGAGGTCAGGAGATCGAGACCATCCTGGCTAACAAGGTGAAACCCCGTCTCTACTAAAAAAAAAAATACAAAAAATTAGCCGGGCGCGGTGGCGGGCGCCTGTAGTCCCAGCTACTCGGGAGGCTGAGGCAGGAGAATGGCGTGAACCCGGGAAGCGGAGCTTGCAGCGAGCCGAGATTGCGCCACTGCAGTCCGCAGTCCGGCCTGGGCGACAGAGCGAGACTCCGTCTCAAAAAAAAAAAAAAAAAAAAAAAGATGCATACTGAGCAATCACTAAGAAAATAATTCAAAAAATAATTAAATTGGCTGGGCCCAGTGGCTCACACCTGTAATCTGAGCAATTTGGGAGGCTGAGGCAGGCGGATCACTTGAGGTCAGGAGTTCAAGACCAGCCTTCCCAACATGGTGAAACACTGTCTCTACTAAAAATATAAAAATTAACCAGGTGTGGTGGCGCTCGCCTGTAATCCCAGCTACTCGGGAGGCTGAGGCAGGAGAATCGCTTGAACCCAGGAGGCAGAGGTTGCAGTGAGCCAAGATTGTGCCACTGCACTCCAGCCTGGGTGACAGAACAAAACTCCATCTCAAAAAAAAAAAAAAAAATTAACAGAGGAATTAAAATGACACCCTAAAAATATTTATTTAACAATTTGGGGGGAAAAGGTTAAAGGTTTTCTGTTAGATCCCACAGGTTAAGGGCTCAGTCCCACAAGACTGCCCCCCATCTCAGACACCAATTGCAAAGTACTAAGTTGTCACCTATACCTCTGACCAACTGGTTATAAATTGGAGTTTCCACAAACCCCTCCTTGGGCTTGATTCATTTGCTATGGTGGCTCATAGAACTTAGGGAAACACTTATATTTACCAGTTTATTATCAAGGATAATATAATGAAAAAGATACAGATGGACAAATGAAGAGATGGAGAGAGCCAGGTATGGGGGAAGGTGCGAAGAGCCTCCGTGTCCTCTCCAGGTGGGCTGTCTTCCAGACACCCCCAAGTGTTCACCAACCTAGAAGCTCTCTCAACACTGTCCTCCTGGGTTTTTTATGGCAGCTTCATTACATAGACATGATTAATTACATCAGTGGCCACTGATGATCTATTCAACCATCAGCCCCTCTCCAGAGCCTCTCAAGAGCCTCTCCAGAGGTCAAAGGGTAGAGCTGAAAGTTCCAACCCTTTAATGCCATGGCTGATTCCCCATCCTGAGGTTATCCAGGAGCCCACCAGGAGCTGCCTCATTAGAACAAAAGAAGTTTCTATTGCCCAGGAAATTCCAAGGGATTTGGGAGCTCTGTGTTAGAAACCAGGGTCAAAGACCAAATATTAGAACAAAAGAGCCTCCTAGCACCCCTGTCTACAAGAGTTTTAGAAATTGTCTCAGAAACTGGGGCCAGAGACCAAATATATATTTCTTATTGTACCATAATATCACTAAAACAACGAAAGGCAGTAAGAACAGAGGAACAAAGACAGGAGGCATGTACAAAACGATAATAACGTGAAAAATGTAAATCTAAACATATCCATCATTCTATTAAATGTAGATGCTCAGACAGGGCAACAATAATTGTGATAAAAATAGCTAATGTGGATTGAGTGCTGACTATGTGTGGTACTATCCTGGGCACTTCACATGTCCAGTCTTGTAATCTTCACAGTACTGCTATAGGGTAAGTGCTATTCTTGTTTCTATTTTAGAAATGAGGAAACCATTGAAAACAGGGATTGAAGAACTTGCCAAGGGAATGCTTGGACAAGAAAATGAATTAGTTTCCTGAAATCCATGTGACTCAAACAATGAGAAGACCCTCAACCCATCCTAATAAAGAAATGAGTCCAACGTGCAGTTTCGGAAGACTCTGGAGAGGGAGAAGCAGTGTCAGCCACGGTCCTTCCATACTCTCCATGAGCGAACCATGTGGTCTTCATAAAAGAACCCTTCCAGGCAGATGCACTGTCATCTCTCTTTACAAGTCAAGAAACTGAGGCCCAGGGAACTCAACTTGCCCAAGGTGATGCAAAAAAAAAAAAAAAAAAAAAGGTAGAATGAAGATTCAAACAGTAATCTAGCTGCAGAGCCTGTGTGAATATTATGTTGCATCTCAGTAAGTCCTATACCCACCCCCTCCCAATTCATCAGTTAAATCTGAGAAAATGGGTAAAGGAAGCACGCAGGTAGCTCCAAAAAGGGAAGGGAGTCCTGAAATGGAAACCTGGGGTGGGGGTGGACCAATTGTTCCTGCTTTACCTTCAGAATGAGGGAGAGGTTTTTAAGCTAATTATATCATTTCAGATCACTCATTCTTCCATTCACTCATTCATTCATAAATAACCACTCTCAAGCATCCTTCTTCTCCCTCACAGGGAAGGATTTGGGCCAGGCATTAAAAAACAGCAACTATGTTTAATGAGCACCTCAGTTAGTCCTCACCACCATCGTGTGAATTAGGTGTTATTACTTATCATCATATTGTTGATAAGGAAGCCGAAACTCTGAAAAATCAACTGCCAATGATCATAAAATTTGTAAGTGGTGAAGCCAAGAATTGAGGCCAGTTCTGCCTGACCACAGTGTCCACACACTTCCTGATACACCTGGGGGTGTTGGGCAGAGGGAGTGAGGTGAGGAGAGGCTTTAGCATTCAGACTCACTGTGTGTGACAGATCGTTTAACCACTTTGATTTTAGAGGATCAGTGGTGAACTGCTAGCAAGAAGTGGAGCTTACAAAAAACAAACTCGTTGTCTTTAGTTTAATTCTTTATTTGAACATCAAATAGGTTGAGAAAATTGTTTACAGGTGCTCGAGCATCCCGCTGGATTCTTTTTCAAAGTGCAAAAGAGGTTTACAAGTGTGTTTCATTAAACAAAGCAAAGCTGCGACAAAACCGAGTCACATCAGTAATAGTATGCATCGGCAAAAGGGCATATTAATCCATCAAACACAATTTGGCATTTGAGCCTTTTCCCATAAAACAAGAGCTCTACACTGAAGAGTATGTAGTGCACAAAAAGCATTGTTTATCACCTGTGAGAGAACAGAAACTGGCATAATGTCACTTATTAATTCAAGTCTCTATAACCAATGACCTCTCTGTGAATGCAAAGGGGTCTGTGTCTCAGGCACCTGCTCATGGGACAATATGTTGTTTCTAGGGTGCACAGCTCTAAACACACACACTGACGATGGGTTTGGAACATGGCAGCATTTACATATTTTAAAAGTTCAGGCACAATTGGATGCAAAAAAAAGAATAGAAATTTTTCTTGAATCTCAAAAGACAGTGCAAAATTGAAGTGCCATAATAGAGGCAGCAATTACTTAGAAAACAATTTTAAATGACTAAAAACGAGGCCACACTTTAATTCAATTGGAAAGGAAATGCAGTTGGAAACAGAGCATAATTAACGCTACTGAAAAGATGGATATTTGGGACCAAAGTTCATTTGCTCCAGTTGAGAGTAAGTTTTCAGGGGATTAACTTGGGAATGGTGCAGTGTAATCTAGATCACGCTCCCAAGACCTGCACCAAAGAGAATTATGGTTGCCTTTTGAGCTACTGTATGACTCTATTTGCCTTTCACATAACTAGCTTCCCCAAGCAGATCTGCCTGTGAATATTAGACATTACTATGGTGTTAGTGATCACTCCCAGTACCCACAGTCCATCTCATAATTGGAAAGTATGAATAGGAAAGTATTTGTAATCAGTGTCATGCAGGGGAAGGAGTACTCTAAGCCAGTGGCCTAAATCAATGGCCATTTCAGTGTATAAGATTTCAAGGTGAGAACACCTTAATGTGATCAAAAGTAAATTATCAGTAAGTCCCTTATTTGTTCAGCCCTCAAAAGGCATGGGCTATGGCTTGGTTAAACATATCTGCAAGGTTACTAGGGAAATCAAATCAAAGACTGCACTTCCTTAGGGGTTAGATTTTGCAACCTACATTGATAGGGTCTTCTCTTTGGATGACCTAGCCTCTCATAATTGCTGCATGATGGCATTATAGAATCATTACGGCAAGCTAGGCAATGGCGAAAAGAAACACAGACCACTAGCTATTCCATGGACTTTACTGCTGATGTTGTTCTTTCTTCTCTAGAACTGAAGCTGCCATTTTAGAAATGGCTGTAAATGGAGCTAGTTGATTTGTGGTCTCCAGGGCAGAAGTGGACTCTACTGAACCCTGGTGCACACCCAGAATTAACCATTTTCCTCCAAATACTTTCAATACTCTTCTTAATATATTTGCCATTCCCCAGATTCCTGAATCCACTTCCCCACCATACCTGAGCCCCCCAGATAAATCACATCTTTTACATTTTAACTTGCCTCAGAGTGGGGGAAAGCAGAGGCAAGAGTTTTTTTTTAAATCATGTTCCTACACCCAATACCAACATCAGCCAGAAAATATCTGCTGTCCATTAGTGGCACTTCAAGTAAAAATACAAAGAGATTTCCAAAGTTGCTGGAGACCCCTGGGCGAACATTTCAATCATCTGATGTTCTCTGCCCACTTCAAATGTAGTAGTATCTTAACATGAATAGAAACACATTGGATGAATAATGTAAAACCTTCCACTGTATAATTGTTTGGCTTTAGCTGGTATTACATCGTCTAGTCCTAGAAATTTTTTTTTGTTTTATTTTAATTTTTTTAAAAGAAAATCTAAGTATAAACATTAAAAAGAACCCACTGACCCATTAGCTACTGTCCAAAAATATTACTACTGATATTTTGGTAAAAGCAAAATTAGCTGCCCTGAATAATTTTCCTTTTCAGGCATAATCTTTGCTACATAAGATTGTCTGTCATTCAGTATCCAACAATAGGCATCTGGATTAGTGCTATTTTGTCTACTGTGGATACAAAAGTTGATATGAAATGTGATCTTCATTTAAATGAATAATCACCAGGCTTTAGGCATAAATGACTGTATACATGACAAGGTAGCTTGAAAAGTATACAAAAAAAAAAAAAAAAACTAAATATTTTTCCTTGGTTTTTGCATGTTAACCCAGTCAAATTAAATCCAGAACAGAATTACTACATTCAATTGTCTGATAAACAAGCAATGTAATTTCAAAAAAATATATATTATACTATATAAGGTGCTTCTTAAACAAACTAAGGTGCTTCTTAAACAAACAGCAACAAAAGAATTATGTTCTTAAACATATCCTTAACACAGATACATAAAATTGTCCCCAAATTTAAGTGCACATAAAAACTTTTTTTTTTTTTTTGCCCTCCCAGATTCTCAGTCCTTTGGTGATCACTTAACTGGACAATCAGAAATGAATGAAATCCACTTTTCCAAACAAGACATACCAAGAGAAGCCCGAGCAGCTCACCTGGGTCATTGGCTAACACAGACATCACCTCTCAATAGGGTTTCAATTACAGACAATAAGGTCACCCAGAGGAAATCAAACATTCTTTTTTGTTAAGAAAAAGGAAGTAACCCATAATTGTGCTAGAGAAGCAAAGGCCCAGGGAAGGCTGCCCTGTGGCTGGAATGAGCCTTTCTTTTTTAGCCTATAGGTCAAAGGAAATTGAAGGAAATGAGCTGGCAGGAGTGGAGGCGGTAGGGAACGGGGCGGGGGAGGAAGGGGGAGGATTTTCTTCCCCAAACCAAACCCTGATTTTGGATTATCTCTAAACCACCAAGGGCATACGTAATCTGACCAGGCCCCAGTCAGCCTGAGTAGTGACAGCAACGGTCCCCACCCTTCTCCCGTGCCCCAGGGTGCTGGGCCAATTGTAGGAACACAGCTGTCTACAGCAGCTGTGACAGCTGCTTCTTCCAACCAGGGCCACGCTGGGAAATGAAGAAGAGCTGGACTACCCCAGGGATCCCAGGGCACCCCCAAAGGGCAATGCGGGGTCTGCAAGGAATGTTCCTAGGTAGCTGCAGCCTGTGGCAGGGCCACCCTGAGCAAGTCTGGCTGTGCCTCAGAACTGTATCCAGTTTCTGCCCTACTTTCCCTCTTGTTCTCTAGTAGCCACAACAATCCTGCACAAGTACTGTTCAGCTCCATGCCCCAGGGCTAAATGCAACACCAGGGCCCCTGCTCCTTTCAACTACCATTTACCCTCATCATGCATCACCACAGTGAACAGTTCACCCCTGTGTAAGGCACACACACGCCGGGAAGATCCAAGTACAGTGCCCACTGGAACAGGTCCTGAAGCTGACCTTACTGCAAGTTCAGGGAGGGAGGGCTTTCTTTTGTAACACAAAAATAAAAACAAAAATCAGGAACTTATCCCTCATATAGGGAGACTTAACTAAGATCAACTTGCTGCTCTCCATAGGTCCATGGGAGGCATGAATTAACTGGAACCCATGACCGGAAAGCCAGAGGCAGAGCTTTCAGCACATCTGAATCTGCAGTGTATCAAGTTAAAATAGTCTTGCCAACTAGGGGATCTGCCTTCCCTGTGTGCCCCTTGTATTCCTATAGGGGGAATGAATTGACAATCACCAGATACTCTGCTACAGTCATATAAAAGCTTTAAGGTGTACCACTTTCATAAAAGGATGCATTGCCATAGGAATACAAGAGGGTGCTATAATAAACCCTTGACCTAGCTTTCTCCAAGTCACCAATTAAAGGAGCCACTTTAAATTCTTTGCTGTGGCTTATTCTTAGAGCCATTTAAAAAGTGCTTATCAGAGGCAAAATGTCTACTCTCCAGGCCTGGGTCTCTACAAGTAGCTTAAATGCACAGAGTTATCTGAGCCCCAACCCATAGACTGAGTTCAGCTGTGAAGAGCTACGGGAATCCTCACGCTTAGTAACATAGCAAGGGGGAAAGAGAGCTGTTACAAAGATTTAGCCTTGGAATCCCTTTGGCTGTTCCCAACAGAAGACAGAAGATGTGCCACTAAGAACTGAGCAAGCAAATGAATGGCCACTCATCTAGAAAGCCATTGGTGTTGGATGCATGCCGGAGTGTATGCAGGAGACAGAATTTGGCTAAAGTGGTGCATGATGAGGGTAAAATGCAGCAGGGATTATCTGAACCGTGTGGGAGCCAGGGAGCTCTCAGACCGTGGCAGGGAAACCCTCTGCCTCCCCCGTGATGTAATACTTTTGCAAGGAATGCGATGAAGTAGAGCCCGCAGTGGCCAAGTGGCTTTGGTCCGTCTCCTCCACGGATGCCCCTCCACGGCTAGTGGGCGCATGTAGGCGGTGGGCGTCCAGCATCTCCAGCAGCAGGTCATAGAGGGGCACCACGTTCTTGCACTTCATGCTGTACAGATGCTCCATGCCTTTGTTACTGTAGGTGGGAAGACACAGAAAGGACTACTTTAGAGCCAACCCGAGCCCCAGGAGTGCTGAAATCCCTAGAAGGGGAAGGAAGAGGAACTCCAAAGACACTTAGCAATCTTTCTTTCTTCCTGTTTAAAGACCCACTTTAGGATGGGAGCTGGGAAAGCTGAGGGCTTTCAGAAGCCCTAATCTGGAACTCATGGCCGTGTGTTTTTCATTTTCCACCTCCTACCAGGGCGGTCCCACCCTCACACTCTCCCTGCAGCCACTTTCAGGGTATTTGCTATGCAGGTGACTTCCATGGACCTCCGTGGCCTCAAATGAGATCCTATTCCCCTCCAATAGGACCTAAATGCATTCAAATAGGATCGCCAAAGCTTCTAAAAAGACAACATGAGATATTCAGCCAAGCAGGAGTGGGTATTTTAAATGAGTAAAGCAGTTCAAGACGCTCCATTGTTAAATCTCTCACGTCACTTCCCATTTAACTCAGAATACGATCTAAATGCCTTTCCATGTTCAACAAGGCCCAACTGGTCCAGCTTCCATCCATGTCTCC
This sequence comes from Homo sapiens, assembly GCF_000001405.40. NCBI lineage: Eukaryota > Metazoa > Chordata > Mammalia > Primates > Hominidae > Homo > Homo sapiens. Next base: position 152,098,179 of record NC_000006.12, on the reverse strand, counting down.
AAGCTCTTCCTGCCTCTCTCCCCTAATGTGCTCTCCGGAGCCACACTGATTTTTGTGCTGCCCTTAAAGGAACTAAGCTCCCCCAAGACTTAGGGGACCTACACTTGCTGTTCCTACTTGCTGGGATGAACCTTCCTCCGGTCTTCAAATGCCGCCTCCTCGGAAAGGCCTACCGCTACCCAGTGGCAGCAGCCTCAAGCCTCTGCAGGCTCAGCCTTCCTCTTTCACACCGTTCTGTTTTTCTCAGCACTCTTATCACTGCCTGAAATTCTCCTTTTTATTTATTTGTGTTTATTCTCCCGCCTCCAAACACACACGTGCACACACTCACACCCTCAGTGCGAATTCCTAGAGAAGCAGGCTTTATCCTGTCCCCTGCTAGGCCTAAAACAGTGCCCAGAGCTCAGTTCACGTTCAGGAAAACAAGGGGGGAAATGGGCAGCGGGAAATGGGCAGAGGGAAATGTAGGCAAATGGCATTCTCCTTTCCCTACTCTCCTCCTCTGCTCTCCTCCACTAGCCACAACTCTGCTGCCCCACCACACTACTGGTGGCGGGGGTGGGGAGGAGAACAACTATTATCTAGTTTGAAATTTCTTTTAAAAGAAATATGTATCATGAGTAGCAGGACCAAGAGAAGGTCTTAGAAAAATTTGCATTTTTAGTAGGGGAAAATTCAGCTCAAGTTGGAGACTTGCCATGAAAACACAACATCAAAGCTATTCAGGGCCTACAGCATGATCTAAATTACTTGTTTAAGTGTTACTTTTTTTTTTTTTCATTTAAAATGCTATAAAAGTTAAATGCCCCCTGGATCTGCCACTGTGTTCCTTGTGCAACCTGATGATTCACGTTTACAGTCAGATGAAATCTGATATTAAATTCTCTGAGTAGCAACATATGGCTGGGGCCAAGCTTACTTAACAAAATAGACTTCTGCGATTTAGATTGGCTTAGTGAGGAACCAAAATATTATTATTATTACAATTGTGTGTGTGTGTATGTGTGTGTGTGTGTCAGAGAGAGAGAGAGAAAGAGAGAGAGAGAGAAAGAGAAGCAACCTCTCCAGCTTTTCACACGATTCCAACAGAAACTCTACAGAGCTTTCTCCCTGCTGCTGCCCTCTGCCAGACGTGGCCAGTAAAATCAGCCAGGGTTGTATATTTAGTGCAAATTTACTTAGTATTAACTAATTAGGCTTGCTAATGCTGACAAGCAGTTAATGGATTTGAAAATTCAGCAATTCCTTTCAACAAATAAAAACACCCAACTGCAATGCATTGAATCTACAACATCACCGAAATTCCCAGCTCAGAGTCAAAGCTAATATGTTTTCCTCCAGGGTAAGGTTATTCTCTCAGCCAGGGATTTTGGCATCTAATCCACTCATGGCTTCCCTCTCTATAATACTCATCAAAAGAAAAAGACAGGGGAGACTGGAAATGTATACTCTGAATGCAGTCACCTACTCTACCTGACAGACGTGATTCCTTCATCTGTTACACAGGAATCCTTGGGGAACCCTGAGAACAGAGATTGCAATCACCTTCTTACCAAGTAGAAGCCGAATTCACAGGGCAGGGAAAAGCCTGCCATGAGCCATTTGTTCATCCATTCATTCCCTCATTTCTTTGTTCACTCACTCAGTAGTAATGTTGGGGGCATATACCATATGTAAGTCTTCACATATGGCACTGTGAGGGATACAAAGAAAATGAGATACATCTATTTTCCCAGGAGCTAATAATTTTTAAAGGTTGTCTCCGGAAAGGGTGGTGCCTGGGAGTTTAATGGAGCAAACTTCTTACCATTTGAATCACGGTCTAAGGATTTGAAGGTCCCTTAAAAATGATCGAATCCAACCTCCTTAAGACATCATAGGCCTTCCCTCATAGCCACTAAGAGAAGGAATCTCTTTCATTCCTAGGGTCCTGGTGTAAGCCCAAGGTCATGTAGGCTTCATCACCCATGAGTACCTGTCCTTTTAGTGATACCACTTGACATCGTCATTGTGGCTTCATCACCCATTGGCACCTGTCCTTCTAGTGTCATCACTTTGAATCATTGTTGTGGTCCTGCTGGAGTCTGCAATAAATAACCCAGCAGTCTCCCCATCTCTTCCCTGCAGATGAGGTCTACTTATGGGAATGGTATCCACTAAGCTTTTGGCTAGCCAAATTACAGGACAATGGAATGGAAATGAGACCACTTTCACCTTTTGGCATAGAAAGACTCTATTTTGTCTGCTGATGTCCTTCCTTAGCTCTTACAGAAAACATTTGTTGAGTATTTACTATGTGCTCTACATCATGCTAGGTGATATTGGGTAAGCAAGCCATATTGCAATGATGGCTCACAGAGTTGTCAGTCTAAATGGGCAGAAAAATAGTAAAATGGGCAGTAACCATAGGGAAGAACAGAGTGTAAGTTCCAACTAGGTCTTAAGGATTAGGAGATGCTTCCTGCAAGGAGTGAGATCTGAGCTATGATAGGTTAGATTATTGCTCAGAAATAGTCATGACCCCGGCAACATGTCCCTCTTTGACTCTGGACACCCCACATGCTTGCTTGGCCAATGAAATGTCAGTGGACATGAGTGAAAGAAAAGAGTAAAATGCACTTGCCCAAACAGGATCACTTTCTCATGCCTCTGCCATTGCGATGAGAACATGTCCCAGCTAACATGTGGGTACAAGGAGGATAGGAGACATGAGGCATAGAGCAGAGTCACCCTGGCCTCAGGCAGCTGCCTCCCAGATGTGTGAGTGAGCCCAGCTGAGGTCAGGAGGGCTGACCGCCAATCTGCAGCCTGAAGAAGAACCTCCCCCCGATGACTCATCCAACAGTCAGCTATTATGGCTAGAGCTCAGACATGAGGAAGTCCTTGTAAGCTAAGTAAGGGCTGAATCATAAGGAGTAATAAAAACAAAGTGAAAGGGTTTATATTTTATCTAAAAGCAATGAGAACTTAAGGGTTTTAAGCAGGAGGATGACATCAGATTTGGTTCTAGAATGATCACTCTGGACACATCATGGAGAATGATCTAGAAAGGATCTAGATTACAGGCAGGGATACACATCCAGTGACTGGCACAGAAGTCCAACAGAAAATGATGGTGGCTTAGACTAGGGTAATGGCAATGGGGGTGACAAGAAGGGGTTCAACAGGTATGAAGGAGTCAACATTGACTCTCCGTGAGGCATCTGGCCCCAGGGTCTCTCATTTAGAATATCCGAGTGTACACAGGGACCATAACAGATGTACCCAGTGTCTTCAGGGGATGTGTACATTCACTGACTTCTCTTGATTGGCCCCCTCCTCCTATTTGCACACTGCACCCAATCTCTAAACCACTGCCCCAAAGCACATGCTTTAAACCAAGCGTAAGTATCGCTTCCTCTATGCCTTCTCTGACACTTGCCCTGTGACCCTCGCAGATTTAAAACCTCTCTCTTCTGTCCTCCTATAGCATTTATGCTTATTCTATGCCAGGAACTGTCACAAGTGCACTCTCCATATGCAGGCACCAGTCCTTCCCGGCCAGCTGTCACATAGGTTTGGGGGCATGTTTTCTTTATGTCTCTCCTGTAGGAAGCCCACAGATGCCTCACCTCATGTGCCTGATGTGGGAGAGGATGAGGAGGAGCTGGGCCAGCCGCTGGTGCTGCTGCTGCAGGGTCAGGCCTGCCTTGGCCATCAGGTGGATCAAAGTGTCTGTGATCTTGTCCAGGACTCGGTGGATATGGTCCTTCTCTTCCAGAGACTTCAGGGTGCTGGACAGAAATGTGTACACTCCTGAATGCGCAGAGAGAGAGTGAGAGAGAGAAGCTCAAAGAGGATGAGGTCTAGGAGACCCAGAGTGTTCATGGGATGTAACAATGAGCCAGTGCCCTTCCTCAGCACAGTAGTCTAGCAATGGGGATGCTCTGGACCCATTTAAAACCGGGTTACAGTGTAAAATTCCTAATGCATTTGCAAGTCTCAGAGCACCAGCAAACCAAGGAGGGCTCCTTTGTATGAGCCATGACCCAGAAAGGGGCTGTTAGCCTTGGGGCCTGTCATGGTAACATGGGCCACCTTTTCTCAGACAGGTCTGACACCATCATGAATTGTCCATGTAATGTAATTGACCATGTAACTGACAACCCTGTGAGCAGCCACTGTTGTTCCTTTTCACATCAAGAAACAAAAAGGCAGAGAAAGTCACTAACCTGCTAGGGAACTCGGATAGTAGGTAGGCAGAGCTTAGATGAAACCCAATCTGCTGACTCCACATGTGGTAATGATAAAGGAGACGCTCTCTCGGGAGACGTGTGAAACTCGTGGTGAGATTCAGAGACAGAGAGTGATGAGCGATTGGCTAAGTGACTGGAAGGTGATTTTTCCAGGTAGGATTTCTGTTTTAGATCAAGTTTGAAGTCTAAGCACTTTTAAGCCTCAGCAGAAAAGTTTATGATGTGGATGGGGATAGGCCACTTGAAAACCGCTGTTTTTTACGGCCACATAAGTTTTTCCTCTCTCGCCTATTTTCTGAAATAGATCCTGCTGTCTGGGCCCCACAGATAGATCCAGGACAGAAAGTGAGACCATCACAGTGCCTGGTGCCTCTGGACAGCCTCAAGCCAGAAAATAAGAGCCTATTTCTGAGATTGTATATGAGGTTGTGAGACAAAAGTTTTTTCTTCTCGCATTGCTAAACTGAGAGGATGAGAATACGAGGCTCTGAATGGCCCTCTTCCCAGCACATGGAACTCCTGTCTGCAGAAAGGAAACTACTGACAACAAGGAGAGGTGATAGTGTGGGGGGGTGAGAGAGAGAGAGAGAAAGAGAGAGAGAGAGAGAGAGAGATCCAGGTAGTAGGTAGTAGTCACAAGGTCTTAGTTTTTTTTTTTTGTTTTTTTTTTGAGACAGAGTCTCACTCTGCCGCCCAGGCTGGAGTGCAGTGGCACATCTCAACTCACTGCAACCTCTGCCTCCCAGGTTTAAACAGTTCTCTGCCTCAGCCTCCCAAGTAGCTGGGAATACACGAGCCTGCCACCACACCCGGCTAATTTTTGTGTTTTTAGTAGAGATGGGGTTTCGCCATCTTGGGCAGGCTGGTCTTGAACTCCTGACCTTGTGACCCACCTGCCTCGGCCTCCCAAAATGCTGGGATGATAGGCGTGAGCCACCACACCCCACCAAGGTCTTCGTTCTTACATTTTTTTCACTTGACCTTTGAGCTTTCATATATCCTTCCTAACACACGTATCAGTGAATCCCCTTTTTGCTTAAGATAGTGTGAGTTGGATTTCTGTCGCTTATAACTGAAAAAATTCTATTACAAGAAGTTGAGACCTCAACCCAAGGACAGGAAGAAAATGAGTGACCGTGAAGTAAGAAGTATTGAGAACAAGAGATGGGCAGGATGGAACAGGCTTTTTTGGGACTACAAGGATGCATTTTCTAACACTGCAGCAATAAGCTCCATCCTGCCTAATCACAGCGCCTTGCAGGGAGGAGATGACAGTATTTTTGTTTTCCAGATTATGTGTATTTATAGTAACACTTTTTGGTCATACCACTATTCAGCCCACTGACCATCTCACAAACAAATTCCTTCTCCTCCCCTCTCCCCTTCCTCATCAGCACCTTCAAGAGCTAAAGGCTCCCAAGTTTATCAATCCCTGACTTTATGCGGATAACATGGTGACAAGTTACTGCTCACGTAGCAGTTTGTAGGTCGGGTATGGGAGAAACATCTACACAGAGGAACTCATAGTAAACAGAGTTGTAACTGCCCAGAATGGAAAATGGCTAAGGTTTAAAACTAACGTAACAATAACAACAAACCAGAATGGTCGGGATCTTGGTTTCCATGCAGTTGAATAGGATAATGTAGCTTTTGGTACCCTGGGGCACCTTGATCTAAAGCAAACAGCACAGAATGAGTAAGCAGCAGAGAGACAGCAGATTAAGAAGGAAACTGCTGAATTACTTCACTTATGTTCCATGTGGGCTGTTGGTAGAGAAAGAATGTGTCTATCAGAAAAATGGGCAAACCTCCCATGGCCGTGGTGTTGGCCTGGAGGTGGCAGATAGCAGAGGGTGTGAGCTGGGAGGTTAGGGCTAGGAGGGCCTCAGCTCTTCTCCCCTTTTCTCTGCCTCTCACAGTCCTCTGTGTCATCATACCCAGTGCAGCCTCACATCCCCTAGAGCCTCTGCCTCCGGCTGGATATCCTAGGAACCCGCCCAAGCCACAGGGCTGAGTTAGACCAACTTGGATGATGTACTTTCTACCAATTTCCTTTTTTGTTCCCACCCAGGATGCTGGCCTCATTCACCAATAATCCCTTTCTTGTTCAAGGAAATCACAGAATGGAGACTCAAACAGCTTGGATGTCCCTGCCTGGAAAGGTGACATGTGTGCCTCTCTTCTCTTCTTATTGTTTGCACGGTGTGAAGGCACACCGTGCTGGGACCTCAGCGACCCCAAGAGACAGCATTTCACCATGACCTTGCCAATGGAGGTCAAAGACATGGCACTCGGCCTCTGGGGAGTGACTTTTTTCTTGGGCTGCCAATGTTCCATCCTCCTTAAGGTGCGTGTGGGTTCCTTCATCCAGCATGCACTTACTGAGAACCTAGTGTGTGCATAACTATGCTAAGGATTCCAAGCCTTACTTCCTTTCAAGTGTTAATGTTTTAAGAGCAGATATTGCCTGCAGAGAGAGAATGTTCTTAACACGGACTCTCAGGATGCAGGCCATTTGCAGAACAAGCCTGTTTTTCTAGTCCTGTTTTGGCATCAATACAGCTTATCATCTCATCCTTGTCAGCAGATGCTTCCTAGTTGTGCAAATATACTGAGAAATAAAAATAGGTCCTGTTGAAATGCCAATAGTTGACAACAGCAGCCATCTTCTTTCTGGACTTTTCTGGCAAAATGTGGTCCATGTGTGCTGCCTGTTGCCCTTCAGGGGCCATTTGGGAGAAACAACAGAAATTCAGATTCCCAGAATGCTTCGTGTGCTTTGGCAACCACTGCAAGAGCAAAACAGGGCTGCTGGTAATTTCCATATCCCAGGTGGTCTCTCCCACCCTGGATGGCCACACCACTGTGCCCAGCAGCATAGAGCAAGTGAGCAGACAGTGTGGACCCTCAAAAATATTATTGCAACAAGGTAGGCTTTTGCAACTCTGGAGATTGCTCCAAATCCCAAAGATGGAAACAAGAAAAAATCTATATGTCATTAACCAGTCTTGAGGTGCTGTCAGCAAATCTGAGCTTCTAGGCAATCTGGATCTTGTAGCCAATAAGGGGATATTTAGGAAGAGTCTGGGGAAACGGAGTGGTACAAACGAAAGGGGAGTGAAGCCACGAGGACACCCCCATGTACAAGACATCTCAACCCAGTCTCTTGCTCTCTCCCTCTCCCTCACTCTCAATTCTGCTGTCCCTCACCTTCTCTCATTTTGCTTGGACATTCTCCCTTCCTTTTCCTCTTTCCATCTCCACCCCAGAGGAACCCCCTTCTCCATTTCTCAGCACTTTTCTAGATAATGGAGTCTTCCGGAAGCTGGAGGAGCTGTGCTGTACACTGCAGTGCCTGTGCAGTGTGGCTGTGCCCAGAAGGAAGCTCTAGTACAACTAGGGGTCCCCTTGCCATGGGCCTCCATGGAGATGGGGGACACATCTAAATGTCTCTGGAGAAGTAAGAGATGCTGATGCCTATGGCTTACCAGATGTTTGAGGACAAACTCTTCAAGCCAGGCCAGATTTTCTATCTGTTCCCAAAGGAAGGATGTGACAGCAGACCCTGAAAGAATCCTTCATTCTATCGCATCTTGATCAAAAACAGAATGACTCAAAGGAAAAAGTGAAGAAAATTCCTCAAGTCACAATTTAAGTAGTCTGGACCAGAAAGCTGCCACTCAGCTTGGAGAAGGAGGAGATTTCAGCATTCTCAGAGGTACTAGGGATGAGTCACACATCAGCCTTTCGGGTGCCCTGCCAGGGACTCATTCTACAACCAAATAGTGTGCTTGCTCAAAAGTGCCACTGAAGCTGACCGTCCGATGAACACCATGTTTGTTGTATGCTTCTCCTATGATTGTGGTTCTTCTGTGGTTCCGGGAGTGGCACTGTCCCTAACAGGGTGTTTGGACAGCCCGAGGCTGCTGCTGCCACTTCGTGGAAGGGACTGTACTGGATGTCCTACAATGTGCAAGGCAGTCCCAAACAATGAAGGATTTGTTCCAGTTCCTATGCCTCTCAAATGCCCTACTGAACTAAATCTACTACAAATAAAAATCTATAGTGGCTGGGTGCAATGACTCATGCCTGTAACCCACCACTTTGGGAGGCCAAGGCAGGCGGAACACTTGAGATGAGGAGTTCAAGACCATCCTGGCCAACATGGTGAAATCCTGTCTCTACTAAAATTACAAAAATTAGTCAGGTGTGGTGTCAGGTGCCTGTAATCCCAGCTACTCGGGAGGCTGAGGCAGGAGAATCACTTGGACCTGGGAGGTGGAGGTTGCAGTGAGCCGAGATCGCACCACTGCACTCTAGCCTGGGTGACAGAGTGAGACTCCGTCTCAAAAAAAAGTAGTGAAAAGTTTTGAAAAGCTTTCACATGGCTGTGCCCAAAAGGTCCAGTGTATGAACTGGTTATAGAGAAGGAAGTTTAAATGGAATATATTTTCTCCAAATTATTAAATAGCTTATTCACTTTATGCAATTTGGCAATTGAATGTATTATGTCAGCTTTTCAACCATGCATTTAATTGAAATGATTTCAGTGCAGTTGAACAGGTACTACAAAAACAATACAACCGGATGTAAATATGTAGAGAGGAGATGTAAGACTCTACTAAATAAAATTAGAGCCAACAATTATAAAATAGTACACATCAATGAAATATTGTTGTTGCCTCCTATATGTTTTAAAATAAATTTGTAACATGATAAGAAGTCCATTTTTGTGCAATGTACATATTAAAATTATTTTGAGGTTTGTATCTGTTTTACATTGACATCGTCTCCAGAGTTTTCCTGATAGCCTCTTACATGTTTTTTTGTTTGTTTGTTTCTTTTTCCAATCCATCTTGTCTTCTCCATTGCTCATCCAAAGGATATCATCTCCAAGGCCTTGTTAAGTTCTAGAGACTGACTGAATATTTGCCTTGAATGTAGTGGGATATTAAGATAGGATAAATGTTTCTATCCATTTTGGCTCTTTTTCATCTTATAACAAAGGGAATCACTTTGACAATACACTTATAATAAAGCCAGACTCATTTGCAAAATTACTTCATTTTTTATTCTTCTTTCACTTCCACAGTCTTTCAATTTTCTTGGCGTGTGTTTTAGCCCATTTTCTGTTGTTTATAACAGAATACCTGAAACTGGATAATTTACAAAGAAAAGGAATTCATTTCCTACAGTTATGGAGGTTGAGAAATCCTAGGTCAAGGGGACACATTGGGTGAGGGCCTTCTTTCTGCTGGGGACTCTGCGGGGTCCCGAGATGGCTCACATGGCAAGGAGGCTGAGTGTGCTAGCGCAGGTCTCTCTTCCTTCTCTTATAAAGCTACCAGTCCCACTCCTGGGATAACTCATTGATCCATTAACCCGTTATTCCGTGAATGGTTTCAACCACTCATGAGCGCAGAATCTTCTTGAACCAATCACCTCTTAAAGGTCCCACTTCTCAATACTGCCACATGGGGGATTAAATTTCAACATGAGTTTTGGAAGGGACAAACATTCAGACCACACGGTAGCATATTTTTACTAATCAATTTTTTTTCTCTCCTTTTATCATACACAAATAGGTTGGTTAGTTTTTAGTTTTCTCAGTCTGGTGTCCATCTCTTGCTCTACTTTTTCATATGCCTGTACTTCTTGGACAAAAAGCCTCTGATCATCTTCTCATAGCCAAACATTCATTATAAGTACATATAAGCATTTTATTACTTTATTATGTTTCCTACTTTAGTCAAGCTTGGGCATCTGCATTGAAATATATATCATTTTATTTTAATATAGTTTAATATAATTTCTCCTTTATATGATGGTTATAAAATACATTACATTTTTAATTATATGTACAGGTAAATTATTACCTATTTGTTTCATTTAAGAGTAGTCAAAGGAATATGTATGTTTTATTAGACTGGTAGTTTGTTATGGCAATTCAAGGAGATTTTTTCTCTTAAGGTTTGTGAATCTCAAACTTGGCTGTCTCTCAGAATCTCCCGTGGAGTTTTACAAGATGCAGCTGTCAGGTTCCATCCAAACCTGATGATTGGAAGCTGAGGGTGGAGCCCTGATATCAGTGCTTTTAAAACACTCTCCATTAACAGCCATGATGACAAATCACAAGACTATCTTAGCTTCTTTGTATTGTGGCTACTAAAATGTAAAATCTTGAAAACATGGATTGTATCCTTGTTTTGTGAAAAGAGCCCTATCACAATGCTACAATGACTTTAAGAGGATGATCTATCCATGGATATCTTTGCTCCTCCAAGCCTGTTCTGCCTTTCTGGCTGGACTGGTTAGAATGGAGATAACTCTTAGGATGACCTTGGAAGCCACCCATTCATGATGACAGAGCCCTCAACAGCCTGAGTCCCTGAGTGACCACATAAAAGAGGGTTATGATATCAACATGTTCGTGGACCCAGCATTGTTAAGTAAATAAGAAATAAACTGCTAGGTGTTTGAGCCATTATACATTTTGTAGCCTATTGTTATAGTAGGTGTCCTACTGTAATGCAAGATGAGAAGTATTTTATGACTTGCTGATGGGAAAGTGAATACGTTTGTATAAAGAGGAATAAAGACAGAGGAATGTTTTGTATACCTCCTTTTGTGGCCATTTCCTACATTCTTAAGGCTTTAGTAAACTTTGAGAAGTTATTTAGAAGTCATTTCTCTTCCCTAATGCCAATACTGCCACACTTTGTTATGGAAACCACAATCTAAATTCTGGAACCACCTAGACATCCCCCATCATGCTATCCATTCATTCGGAACACTAACATACTTCATAGCAACCAATTTGCTCAAAGAACTAAGGGGAAAGCCTAAGACACTTGAATGTTTAGTTTGATAAAGCCCTCAACATTAAAACCCTCAACATTACTGAAGACTTCAAAGAGATTGCTTTATGGCACAGAGGAACTGACTTCTCATTACGTGAGTTGAATAAAGAGATTATTGCTTTGGGAAATATTTGTTCATAGATAGGAAACTTCCATCCTTCTCCTGATGTGTAATTGTTCACCTGAAAGGTGAAGAGCCTGCTCGTAACCCAATCCTTGAGCAAATGTGTATTGTTAGACTAGTGTGTATAAGACCATACACTCATCAAAGTCCTCTCTAAGAGGTCTCAAAGAGAGACGACAGTGAAGATGAGTGTTTTTGCTGGAACCCAGCAAGGGAACATGGCAGTGCTGTTCATTTGGTATTGCTATATTCCCAGCTGGCACAGATGACTACATAACCAACCACATGCCTCTGATTCAGTGACATTTTTCAACTTGGTATAATTTTTTAGTGACGTCTACTAGATGTTCTAGAAAGTAAATACTTGGTGCATCAACACATTCATAGTGAAACTGATGAACTGGTTCAGTTGACTTGAGAAAAAAATCTTACATGTGCACTTTTTAAAAAGAATTTAATGTCTCACCTTTAAATATAAAGTCCCAGTTTTTAATTTTTGTAAGAAATATTATATTTATTTAAATATTAATTATTAATAATAAAATAAATATTATTTATTTAAATAAATATTAAGTATTTATTTAAATACATTTTGTAATAAATATAGCCTTTGTAATAAAATATTATAGCCTAATAGCTTTTGGGACAAAGCCATTACGGATCTATATTTTCCTTAGGAGCCTTCTTTTCATTACTTGTATCTGTAATATATTTTAAAACAATCAGGGTTCTGGATTTCCTACTCCACAGTCAGTTACTATCTTCCCAAGGTCAGAAAGGAGATGATGTAAAGACACATTTGGAAAATGCACAGTCCATCTATTGCAGAGGAGTTTGCAGAAGGTTCCACGTGGAACTTCTAGTCCCACTGGGGTGACCTAGTCTCAGAGGCTTTGAGGGTTTCCTTTTTTCCTAGAAAAGGCAGACCAAAACATCCTGGATACATTTGTTTCCCTGGATCCTACCTTTTCTTGCCTGGTATTTCAACAATAATTAAGCCACAATGCAGAGCAGGAAGCCTCTCTTGCACACTGTGGAAGATTGTGTTTTCCAAGGATGACCACACCAATATCTCCTATCCACAAGCTTTTCTACAAGGTGTTCTTGGCACTCTTCCCATGGAGATATGGGATCTGGGCCCTCTCCCTTGAAACTGAGTGGACTCATGACTCACTTGTAATCAACAGAAAGGGCTGGAAGTGACACATTACCACTTCTAAGTGCATGTCGTAGAAGGCTATGAAACTTTTTTTTTTTGTCAGCTGGGACACTTGCTTCTGGAGCCCTCGCCACTTTGTGAGAGGTCTAGTGTCCTATGCTGGGATATCAGACAGGTCTCCCAGTTGACAGCTCCAGCTGACGTCCCAGCCAACAGCCAACATCAATTGCTAGCCTATGAATAAAGATGCCTCAAGGTGGTTCCAGCCCATAACTCTCAAATTACCCCTGGTTGACGACTCTCCCCATTTAAGACTTTAGACATTGTGAACATGAGACAAGCCATTCCCTCTGTGTCTTATCCAAATTTATGATCCATAGAGTCCAAACTTTTTTTTTCTAGCTGTTAAATTTAGCAGTCAGCAGCAGTAACCAGAACACACTTGGACATCTTTTTTTCTTTTTGTTTTGTTTTGTTTTGTTTTGTTTTTTTAGAAAGAGAGACAGGGTCTTGCTCTGTCACCCAGGGTGGAGTACAGTGGTGTGGTCATGGCTCACTGCAGCCTCAAACTCCTGCGCTCAAGCAATCCTCCCACCTCAGCCTCTCAAGTAGCTGGGTCTATAGGCACACACCACCATGCCAAGCTATACCTAGACATCTATGCCAGACACTTCAGGAGGAAAGCGATCCAGAAGAGGAAGATAGGAGATTTGACTCCTGACCTGATACACCAAGAGGTGGAATAGAATTTCAATGCTTCCTGCCCCATGTTATAAACTCTGCCTGCCAATGCTCTGGCCTAGCTCTCATCCATGCAGTCAGCGGTAAGGGCTTCAGTGCATCCTATCAGCTATAGTGTGAAGTTAATGGTTTTCATAGGAGACCTTTAGTCTGATCACCACCAAGGTGATTATCAAAACACATGGATCATCCCCTAACTGGTAAAGATCTGTACTCCGGTTTCTCACCACGGAATAAATGACTTTGAATTGTCAGTTGCACAATCCTTGCCAAAGTCCTACTTGTGAGAAATAGACTTTGTAGAACTTTGTCTGAAAAAGAGTTTTCATGTTGAATAACTGTTTTTTTTTTTTTTTCAATTAAAAGCCTGTGAACCTTATAATAAAATGTGTTCTTTTTGTTTTGGCCAGGCAAAGGAAATTTAGAGCCAAACTTGCAGTCCATCCTGGGAACTGTAAAGATATACTTCTGTGTGTGTGTATGAGTTCATTTTCACGCTGCTGATAAAGACATACTCGAGACTGGGAAGAAAAAGAGGTTTAACTGGACTTACAGTTCCACATGGCTGAGAGGCCTTAGAATCGTGGTGGGAGGTAAAAGCCACTTCTTTTTTTCTTTTCTTTTCTTTCTTTTTTTTTTATTATACTTTAAGTTCTAGGGTACAGGTGCACAACGTGCAGGTTTGTTACATAGGTATACATGTGCCATGTTGGTTTGCTGCACCCATCAACTCATCATTTACATTAGGTATTTCTCCTAATGCTATCCCTCCCCCAGCCCCCCAACCCCTGACAGGCCCCGGTGTGTGATGTTCCTTGTGCTGTGTCCATGTGTTCTCATTGTTCAACTCCCACCTATGAGTGAGAATATGCAGTGTTTGGTTTTATGTCCTCATGATAGTTTGCTTAGAATGATGGTTTCCAGCTTCATCCACGTCCCTGCAAAGGACAGGAACTCATCCTTTTTTATGGCTGCATAGTATTCCATGGTGTATATGTGCCACATTTTCTTTATCCAGTCTATCGTTGATGGACATTTGGGTTGGTTCCAAGTCTTTGGTATTGTGAATAGTGCTGCAATAAACATATGTGTGCATGTGTCTTTATAGTAGCATGATTTATAATCCTTTGGGTATATACCCACTAATGAGATCACTGGGTCAAATGGTATTTCTAGTTCTAGATCCTTGAGGAATCACCACACTGTCTTCCACAATGGTTGAACTAATTTACACTCCCACCAACAGTGTAAAGGTGTTCATATCCTTTGCCAACTTTTTTGATGGGTTTGTTTTTTTCTTGTAAATTTGTTTAAGTTCTTTGCAGATTCTACAAAGATATTAGCCCTTTGTCAGATGGGTGGATTGCAAAAATTTTCTCCCACTCTGTAGGTTGCCTGTTCACTCTGATGATAGTTTCCTTTGCTGTGCAGAAGCTCTTTAGTTTAATTAGATCCAATTTGTCTATTTTGGCTTTTGATGCCATTGCTTTTGGTGTTTTAGTCATAAAGTCTTTGCCCATGCCTATGTCCTGAATGGTATTGTGTAGGTTTTCTTCTAGGTGTTAGGTCTTACATTTAAGTCTTTAATCCTTCTTGAGCGAATTTTTGTATACAGTGTAAGGAAGGGATCCAGTTTCAGCTTTCTACATATGGCTAGCCAGTTTTCCTAGCACCATTTATTAAATAGGGAATCCTTTCCCCATTTCTTGTTTTTGTCAGGTTTGTCAAAGATCAGATGGTTGCAGATGTGTGGTGTCATTTCTGAGGCCTCTGTTCTGTTCCATTAGTCTATATATCTATTTTGGTACCAGTACCATGCTGTTTTAGTTACTGTAGCCTTGTAGTATGGTTTGAAGTCAGGTAGCGTGATGCCTCCAGCTTTGTTCTTTTTGCTTAGGATTGTCTTGGCTATGCAGGCTCTTTTTTGGTTCCATGTGAGCTTTAAAGTAGTTTTTTTCCAAGTCTGTGAAGAAAGTCAATGGTAGCTTGATGGGGATAGCACTGAATCTATAAATTACCTTGGGCAGTATGACCATTTTCGTGATATTGATTATTCCTATCCACGAGCATGGAATGTTCTTCCATTTGTTTGTGTCCTCTTTTATTTCGTTGAGCAGTGGTTTGTAGTTCTCCTTGAAGAGGTCCTTCACATCCCTTGTAAGTTGGATTCCTAGGTATTTTATTCTCTTTGTAGTAATTCTGAATGGGAGTTCACTCATGATTTGGCTCTCTGTTTGTCTATTATTGGTGTACAGGAATGCCTGTGATTTTTGCACATTGATTTTGTATCCTGAGACTTTGCTGAAGTTGCTTATCAGCTTAAGGAGATTTTGGGCTGAGACAATGGGGTTTTCTAAATATACAATCGTGTCATCTGCAAACAGAGACAATTTGACTTCCTCTTTTCCTAACTGAATACCCTTTATTTCTTTCTCTTGCCTGATTGCCCTAGCCAGAACTTCCAACACTATGTTGAATAGGAGTGGTGAGAGAGGGCATTCTTATCTTGTGCTGGTTTTCAAAAGGAATGCTTCCAGGTTTTGCCCATTCAGTATGATATTGGCTGTGGGTTTGTCATAAATAGCTCTTATTATTTTGAGGTACGTTCCATCAATACCTAATTTATTTAGAGTTTTTAGCAAGAAAGGCTGTTGAATTTTGTCAAAGGCCTTTTCTGCATCTATTGAGATAATCATGTGGTTTTTGTCATTGGTTCTGTTTATGTGATGGATTACATTTATTTATTTGCGTATGTTGAACCAGTCTTGCATCCCAGGAATGAAGCTGACTTGGTTTTGGTGGATAGGCTTTTTGATGTGCTGCTGGATTTGGTTTGCCAGTATTTTATTGAGGATTTTCACATCGATGTTCATCAGGGATATTAGCCTAAAATTCTCTTTTTTTGTTGTGTCTCTGCCAGGTTTTGGTACCAGGATGATGCTGGCCTCATAAAATGAGTTAGGGAGGAGTCCCTCTTTTTCTATTGATTGGAATAGTTTCTGAAGGAATGGTACCAGCTCCTCTTTGTACCTCTGGTAGAATTCAACTGTGAATCCATCTGGTCCTGGACATTTTTGGTTGGTCCAAACCTTGGTTCAGTACCTGTTATTGGTGTCTTCAGAGATTCAACTTCTTCCTGGTTGAGTCTTGGGAGGGTGTATGTGTCCAGGAATTTATCCATTTCTTCTAGATTTTCCAGTTTATTTGCGTAGAGGAGTTTATAGTATTCTCTGATGGTAGTTTGTATTTCTGTGGGATCGGTGGTGATATCCCTTTATCATTTTTTATTGCATCTATTCGATTCTTCTCTCTTTTCTTCTTTATTAGTCTTGCTAGTGGTCTATCAATTTTGTTGATCTTTTCAAAAAACCAGCTCCTGGATTCATTGATTTTTTGAACGGCTTTTTGTGTCTCTGTCTCCTTCAGTTCTGCTCTGATCTCAGTTATTTCTTGCCTTCTGCTTGCTTTTGAATTTGTTTGCTCTTGCTTCTCTAGTTCTTTCAATTGTGATGTTAGGGTGTCGATTTTAGATCTTTCCTGCTTTCTCTCGTGGGCATTTAGTGCTATAAATTTCCCTCTACACACTGCTTTAAATGTGTCCCAGAAATTCTGGTACATTGTGTCCTTGTTCTCATTGGTTTCAAAGAACATCTTTATTTCTGCCTTCATTTTGTTATTTACCCAGTAGTCATTCAGGAGCAGGTTGTTCAGTTTCCACGTAGCTGTGTGGATTTGAGTCAGTTTCTTAATCCTGAGTTCTAATTTGATTGCACTGTGGTCTGAGAGACAGTTTGTTGTGACTTCTGTTCTTTTACATTTGCTGAGGAGTGTTTTACTTCCAATTATGTGGTCAATTTTAAAATAAGTGCAATGTGGTGCTGAGAAGAATGTATATTCTGTTGATTAGGGGTGGAGAGTTCTGTAGATGTCTATTGGGTCCACTTGGTCTAGAGCTGAGTTCAAGTCCTGGATATCCTTGTTAACCTTCTGTCTTGTTGATCTGTTTAATATTGACTGTGGGGTGTCTCCCAGTCTCCCATTATTATTGTGTGGGAGTCTATGTCTCTTCGTAGGTCTCTAAGGACTTGCTTTATGAATCTGGGTGCTCCTGTACTGGGTGCATATATATTTAGGGTAGTTAGCTCTTCTTGTTGTGGCTGTCTTTGTCTCTTTTGATCTTTGTTGGTTTAAATTCTGTTTTATCAGAGACTGGGATTGCAACCCCTGCTTTTTTTTTTCTTTCCATTTGCTCAGTAGATTTTCCTTCGACCCTTTATTTTGAGCCTATGTGCATTTTTGCACGTGAGATGGGTCTCCTGAATACAGCACAGTCTTGACTCTTTATCCAATTTGCCAGTCTGTGTCTTTTAATTGGAGCATTTAGCCCATTTACATTTAAGGTTAATATTGTTATGTTTGAATTTGATCCTGTCATTCTGATGTTAGCTGGTTATTTTGCCCGTTAATTGATGCAGTTTCTTCATAGCGTCGATGGTCTTTACAATTTGGAATGTTTTTGCAGTGGCTGGTACTGTTTGTTCCTTTCCATGTTTAGTGCTTCCTTCAGGAGCTCTTCTAAGGCAGGCCTGGTGGTGACAAAATCTCTCAGCATTTGCTTGTCTGTAAAGGATTTTATTTCTCCTTCACTTATGAAGCTTAGTTTGGCTGGATATGAGATTCTGGGTTGAAAATTCTTCTTTTTTTAAGAATTTTTAAGAATGTTGAATATTGGCCCCCACTCTCTTCTGGCTTGTAGGGTTTCTGCTGAGAGATCCCATTAGTCTGATGGGCTTCCCTTTGTGGGTAACCCGACTTTTCTCTCTGGCTGCCCTTAACATTTTTTCCTTCATTTCATACTTTTTAAATCTGAAAATTATGTGTCTTGGGGTTGCTCTTCTTGAGGAGTATCTTTGTAGTGTTCTCTGTATTTCCTGAATTTGAATGTTGGCCTGCCTTGCTAGGTTGGGGAAGTTGTCCTGGATAATATCCTGAAGAGTGTTTTCTAACTTGGTTCCATTCTCCCCATCACTTCCCAGTACACCAATGAAACATATATTTGTTTGTTTCACATAGTCCCATATTTCTTGGAGGCTTTGTTCGTTTCTTTTCACTCTTCTTTTCTCTCATCTTGTCTTCTCACTTTATTTCATTAATTTGATCTTCAATCACTGATATCCTTTCTTCCACTTGATCAAATCAGCTATCGAAGCTTGTGCATACATCACGAAGTTCTCATGCTGTGGTTTTCAGCTCCATCAGGTCATTTAAGTTCTTCTCTACACTGTTTATTCTAGTTAGCCATTCATCTAACCTTTTTTCAAGGTTTTTAGCCTCCTTGCGATGGGTTAGAACATGTTCCTTTAGCTTGGAGAAGTTTGTTATTACCGACCTTCTGAAGCCTACTTCTGTCAACTCATCAAACTCATTCTCCATCCTGTTTTGTTCCCTTGCTGGTGAGGAGCTGCAATCCTTTGGAGCAGAAGAGGCGCTCTGGTTTTTGGAATTTTCCACTTTTCTGCTCTGGTTTCTCCCCATCTTTGTGGTTTTATCTACCTTTGGTCTTTGATGTTGATGACCTACAGATGGGGTTTTGGTGTGGATGTCCTTTTTGTTGATGTTGATGCTATTCCTTTCTGTTTGTTAGTTTTCCTTCTAACCGTCAGGCCCCTCAGCTGCAGGCCTGTTGGAGTTTGCTGGAGGTCCACCCCAGACCCTGTTTGCCTGGGTATCACCAGCGGAGGCTGCAGAACAACAAATATTGCTGCCTGATCCTTCCTCTGGAAGCTTCGTCCCAGAGGGCACCTGCCTGTTTGAAGTGTCTGTCGGCCCCTACTGGGAGGTGTCTCCCAGTCAGGCTACATGGGGGTCAGGGACCTGCTTGAGGTGGCGGTCTCTTGGTTCTTGGAGCTTGAACACTGTGCTGAGAGAACCACTGCCCTCTTCAGAGGTGTCAGACAGGGATGTTTAAGTCTGCGGAAGCTGTCTGCTGCCTTTTGTTCTGCTATGTGCTGCCCCCAGAGGTGGAATCTAGAGAGGCAGTAGGCCTTGCTGAGCTGAGGTGGGCTCTGCCCAGTTCAAGCTTCCCTGCTGCTTTGTTTACGCTGTGAGCTACTCAAGCTTCATCAATGGCAGACGCCCCTCCCCGCATCAAGCAGCAGCATTGCAGGTTGATCTCAGACTGCTGCGCTAGCAGTGAGCAAGTCTCCATGGGCGTGTGACCCACTGAGCCAGGCAAGGGAGGGTATCTCCTGGTCTTCCAGTTGTCAAGACTGTGGGGAAAAGTGCAGTATTTTGTCAGGAGTGTACTGTTTCTCCAGCTACAGTCTGTCACAGCTTCCCTTGGCTAGGAAAGGGAAATCCCTTGACCCCTTGCACTTTGTGGGTGAGGTGACACCCTGCCCCAGTTCGGCTCACCCTCCGTGGGCTGCACCCACTGTCCAACCAGTCCCAGTGAGATGAACCAGGTGCCTCAGTTGGAAATGCAGAAATCACCTGCCTTCTGCTTCGATCTCGCTGGGAGCTACAGACCAGAGCTGTTCCTATTCAGCCATCTTGGAAGCAACCAAAAGACTGATTTTTAAATGGAAAAAAAAATGTTTTCCTGACAGAGTATAAAAATATAAAAGAGTATCTAACCCACTGCAAAGAGAGGTCTTATGAAATTCAAGGGGTGAACCCTGGCTTTCTGTGAAAAGAAAGGCCGTCTTGGTCAAAGTAAACATAGGCACTTGCAGTCCATATCGTCAGAAGAAGGACAGCCTGCTGCTCCAGCAAGTATACTTCTTCCTTATGCTTGTGAAAGGCACTTCTTACATGGCAGCAGCAAGAGAAAATGAGGAAGATGCAAAAGCGGAAACCCTGATAAAACCATGAGATCTCGTGAGACTTACTCACTACCACAAGAACAGTATAGGGGAAACTGGCCTCATGATTCAAATTGTTTCCCACCAGGTCCCTCTCACAACACTTTGGAATTATGGGAGTATAATTCAAGATGAGATTTGGGTGGGGACACAGAGCCAAACCATAACATTCCACCCCTGGCCTCTCCAAATCTCATGTCCTCACATTTCAAAAGCAATCATGCCTTCCCAACAGTCCCCCAAAGTCTTAACTCATTTCAGAATTAACCAAAAGTCCACAGTCCAAAGTCTCATCTGAGACAAGGCAAGTCCCTTTTGCCTATGAGCCTGTAAAATCAAAATCAAGCTAGTTACTTCTTAGATACAATGCGGGTTTAGGCATTGGGTAAATACAGCAGCTCCAAATGGGAGAAATTGGCCAAAACAAAGGGGTTACAGGGCCCACACAAGTCTAAAATCCACCAGGGCAGTCAAATTCTAAAGCTTCAAAATATCTCCTTTGACTGAATGTCTCACATCCAGGTCATGCTGATGCAAGAGGTAGGTTCCCATAGTCTTGGGCAGCTCTGCCCCTGTGGCTTTATAGGGTATAGCCACCACCACCTCCAACCCTGACTGCTTTCACAGGCTGGCGTTGAGTGTCTGTGGCTTTTCCAGGCACATGGTGCAAGCTGTCAGTGGATCTACTATTCTGCGGTCTGGAGGACAGTGGTCCTCCTCTTACAGCTCCACTAGGCAGTGCCCCAGTGGGGACTCTGTGTGGGGGTTCCAACCCCACATTTCCCTTCCTCATTGCCCTAGCAGAGGCCCTCCATGAGGGCCCCACCTCTGCAGCAAATGTTTGCCTGGGTATCCAGGCATTTCCACGTATCTTCTGAAATATAAGTGGAGGTTCCCAAACCTCAATTCTTAACTTCTGTGTACACACAGGCTCAACACCACATGAAAGCTGCCAAGGTTTGGGGCTTGCAACCTCTGAAACCGTGGTACCTCAGCCCCTTTTAGCAATAGCTGGAGCAGCTGAGATGCAGGGCACCAAGTTCCTAGGCTGCACACAGCATGGGGACCCTGGGACTGGCCCACAAAACTGTTTTTTTCCTCCTAGGCTTCCGGGTCTGTGATGGGAGGGGCTGCCATGAAGACCTATGACATGCTCTGGAGACATTTTCCCCATTGTCTTGGGGATTAACATTTGGCTCCTTGTTACTTATGCAAATTTCTGCAGCCAGCTTGAATTTCTCCTCAAAAAAATGGGTTTTTCTTTCCTACTGCATCATCAGGCTGCAAATTTTCTGAACTTTTATGCTGTTTCTCTTTTAAAACAGAATGGTTTTAACAACACCCAAGTCACCTTTTGAATGTTTTGCTGCTTAGAAATTTCTTTTACCAGGTACCCCAAATCATTTCTCTCAAGTTCAAATTCCACAAATCTCTACAGCAGGGGTAAAATGCCACCAGTCTCTTTGCTAAGATATAACAAGAGTCACCTTTGCTCCACTTCCCAACAGTTTCTTCATCCCCATCTGAGACCACCTCAGCCTGGACTTTATTGTTCATATCACTATCAGTATTCTTGTCAAGGCCATTCAACAAGTCTCTAGGAAGTTTCAAACTTTCCCACATTTTCCTGTCTTTTTTGAGCCCTCCAAACTGCTCCAACCTCTCCCTGATATCCAGTTCCAAGATTGCTTCCACATTTTCGGCTATCTTTTCAGCAACACCCCACTCCTTGTACCAATTTACTGTATTAGTCCATTTTCGTGCTGCTGATAAAGACATACCCAAGACTGGGAAGAAAAAGAGGTTTAATTGGATTTACAGTTCCACATGGCTGGGGAGGGTTCAGAATTCAGAATCATGGTGGGAGGCGAAAGGCACTTCTTACATGGTGGTGGCAAGAGAAAAAATGAGGAAGATATAAAAGTGGAAACCCCTGATAAAACCATCAGATCTCATGAGACTTATTCACTACAATGAGAACAGCATGGAGGAAACCACTCCTATGATTCAAATGATCTCCCACTGGGTCCCTCCCACAACACATGGAAATTATGTGAGTAAAATTCAAGATGAAATTTGGGTGGGGACACAGAGCCAAACCATATCAGTGTGATAATCTGTCTCCTGGATTTATTATTTTCTTCAGATTATCCTCAATTTATAATGATGTGTCAAATATTGGTTTACCCCTTTACATTACATAAAATTTGGTAAGGCATTTCAAATCCTCTGTGGAATACATAATATACAAATAAAATCATGAAAATGACACCCCTTCATTCCTTGCCAAATCAATGAACAATGTTAATGTGAACAGAAGTGTTTATAAAACATCATGAAACACCTATCTGACACTTAGACTAAAATGCAGAAAAAAAATGACATACGATCTGAGCATATATAATTGGCCAATATGCACATGTCCATATCACCCTAAATTGAACAGCCTGCTTAATAGCCTGCAAAGCTTTGCAATAGTCACTAATAAATGAGAGTCATATCATCTTGGTTCTGGTTTGCAAATGTATCACATGAGCCAGAAACCTTCAAATGTATTTTCCCTCTTTTTCCTGGGCTAGAATTGAAGTGGCTGAGAATTCTCTCTGATTATTTTTAAAAAGATAACTAGTGTTGAAAGTTCCTCTCTTTGAGAGATGAGTGGGCAAGTGAATGGTGCATATTCTTTAGGTGTATTGTTTCTATCATTCTAAGTGAGCACTACGTGGATGAAAACTGTATTGAAAAAATGTCACATGAGTGTTTATAACAGGTTTATCTCATTTTTCCTTAACGAGAGGAAGGTTATATTACATTGGAAAAATAGAGCCACAGAATTCCAGAATCATAAATCTTAAAAGGGCCTTAAGATGATCATCTAGTTCAGTGGTCTTTAAAACATTTTGAGAGTAAAAACCCCTTTTAAAACAAATAAAAAGGTGAACCTCATGTAAAGTCCTCATATGCAATCTGGATGAAGTCAAACTTCTCTGATTAAAGCAAGAGAAATGTTGCGGGGTGGGGGCACCAAGCCCATTCACTCCAACTTTCCCTCACTACCCTGTGCACCTATCCTCTGGTGACCCCATGGCTTCTTCCACAATACTTGGCTTCAGCAGAAGAAAGTGTAAAAACCACTGATCTCCAGAGAATGAGAAGACAAGCCACAGACTGGGAGAAAATATTTGCAAAAGACATACCTGCTAAATGACTGTTATCCAAAATATACAAAGAGCTTTTAAAACTCAACGATAAGAACGCAAACAACCTGATTAAAAAAATGGACCAAAGAGTTTAACAGACACCTCACCACAGAAGACACACAGATGGCAAATAAGCTTATTAAAAGATGCTCCATGTGATATTATCCAAAAAATGCGAATTAAAACAAAATGAGATACCACAATACACCTGTTAGAATGGCCAAAATCCAGAACATTGACAACACCAAATGCTGATGAGGATGTGGAGCAACAGGAACTCTCACTCATTGTTGGTGGAAATGGAAAATGGTACAGCCACTTGGGAAGATGGTTTGGCAGTTTCCTTCAAAACTAAACATACTATACAATCCAGCAATTGTGCTCCTGAGTGTTTATCCAAAAGCATTAAAAATGCATATCAACACAATTACCTGCACATGGGTGTTTACAGCAACTTCATTCATAATTGCCAAAACTTGGATGCAACCAACACATCCTTCAGTAGGTGAATGTATAAATAAAGTGTGTATAATCCAGACAATGGAGTAGTAGTATTCAATGATAAAAAGAAATGAGCTATCAAGCCATAAAAAGACATGGAAGAACCTTAAATGCATATCACTGAGTGAAAGAAGCCAATCTGAAAAGGCTACAAACCTTATGATTCCAAGTATATGACATTCTGGAGAAGGCAAAACTGTGGAGACAGTAAAAAGATCAGTAGTTGCCAGGAATGGGGTGGAGGGAGGAATGAATAGGAGGAGCACAGAGGATTTTTAGGGCAGTGAAATTATTCTGTATATTACAATAGTGCATACATGTGTCAAAAGCCCTAAAATGCCCAACGCCAATGCAAACTATGCACTTTGGGTGATAATGACGTGTCGATGTAGATTCATCAGCTGTAACCAATGTACCTCTCTGGTTGGGGATGCTGATAGTGAGGGAGACTGTGTATGTGCGGGGGCAGGGAATATATGGGAACTTTCTGTACTTGCCACTCAGTTTTGCTGCAAATCTAAATCTGTTCTAAAAAATAAAGTCTTTAAAAATAAAATAAAATAAATAAATTTTAATGTAAAAAATGAAAAACAATGATTCAGTACAATTACTAGGAAATTGTTGGGAAACTGAGGCGAAAGGAAGTGAAGGAAGTGGGGTTGCAGATGCTGCATCTGGAGGGGCTTGAGGCGGGGCCGCTAGCCTGGACTTGCCTGAGGTCGGCCAGTTGGTAAATAAGTGGTAGAGCTGGAACTAGAACCCAAACATCCCTCACTTCTGGCCCAGTGCTCAAAAGCTACACAAATAATTTCCTAACTTCAAGGTTTGTGAGAAACTAGAAATGACTGCCAACAGACTCGCCTCCAGAGATATTTGAGAAAACTAATAATTTTCCTGGAATGATTTAGAAACAATTCTGCATTTCAAAACAGGGTGCAGGATGGTGTGGAGAAAGGAAGAAGTGGCAGCGAACTGGCATCTTTTAAGAGTCTCTTTAATTAAGGATTTTCACCAAAATGTTGACAATGGTTACTTTTGTGTGGTGAAATTATGATTTCTTGGGAGATTATTTTGCTTGGTGGCTTTTCTGTATTTTCCAAGTTCTCTGCCTTGGTCATGCATTACTTTCGTAATTTGGTGGAGGAAAATGCTATTAAAAATACAAAATCGAAGTCCCTTTCATTCCTATTATTTCATGATCTTCGTCAACACCTGGACTGTTGAGAGGGAAATCTGGCTGATGAACGGATACTCCAAAGAAAAAGGAGTTTGCTGTATGGGTATTACTTATTACTATTTCATAATATTTCTATCATCCTTAAGGCTGCTCACATTTCCGAAACTCTTCAAGGCTGGCCATTTTAGCAGGAAGTGGGGCTAACAAATTTGTAATTAAAGCTTCTGTGAATAATTTTCTTAGTTGGAAATGCCTCTGGCATGTTATCACTAGCCTGAGCTACATAAGCAAGTACAAAAGATCAGCTTCAAAGCTGAACAACACATCATCCTCAGAGGACTTGCAATATGCTAAGAAAGCATGGCACTAAGATTTTTCTAGAAGGTGCTGAGTGTTTGGCTTTCACTGAATGTGAAGGTTACATTGTCTAACTCAATGATTAATACTTGCTATTCAAGGAGAAAGGACAGATGTGTTGCGTGTCAAGATGAAAGTGAATTTTGCATTCTGGGTTTCATCCATAACTGTTGATTCCAATTTTAAAGAATAAATAAATGTTCCCCTGCCAGTCCCCTCCTGACATTCATGCATAACTGTCCTCAGAGCTAACTACCTGTTCCAACCTGGACCATGAAGCCTAAGCATCTGCTTTCTGTTGCAGAGAATCTGGAGAGTAGACAGCACTTGGTCCTTCGGGCCTTAGTGGGATTAGACAGGGCACTTTCTGAACCAACATCTCCTTGATCACTAGAGAAAGGCACAGCTAGAGTGATAGCAAAACCCCATGTTCAGTCCCGTGTCCAGTAGCTTCCTTCAAGCTCATTACTGACCAGGGAAGGACATGCCAATCACACAAAGCAAACAAAGTCTTTGGAAGAGGTTGTCCTTCCCTAGAAAAGTTTTTAAAGAGAGATACACTCACAACAAATCAACCCTCCTCTTTCTTAAAATATCACTTAAAAAAAAATCAGTGGCAAAGAGCCCAAAACAGAGGATAAGACATAAAATGCAAATGCTTTGAGAACTCAGACTGCCTGGAATAAGCAGTTCATCAGCATTGTGTCAGTGCAGGTCACAAAACTTAAAATGAACATAACAAGGACCTATATAGATACTAAAATGAAGAAAATGCTCTGAGAGAAGATAATTTGTTTCAAAAGGAGATGTTTATAATAGGATCTATGTAGAAATTCCTGACTGTGGCTCTTTTAGAGGAGAGGGCAGTGGCTGAGCAGCGGGGAAGCCGTCTACCCTCCATAACTCTCCTCTGTCTCATGGCCCGCATTGCATGATAAGGTTACATTCATGTGAATGCTTTCATACACTCTTGGTAAAAGTGTAATTGATAGTTTCCTGGGGCAGTAGGCAATATGTATGAAGAGCAGGCAATATGTAGCAAGAGCCTTAAAAATGTTTATACCCTTTTCACCAGCAAATCAATTTCTAGCAACATATACAAAGTAACAATGAAAAGTGAGCAAAAGATGTATGAAAAAAATGCAAAACAAATGTTATTTATAATCCTGAAAGAGAAATCACTTACGTGTTTAACAGCATCAGATTTGTTGAATAAATCATGTTGTATCATCATGACTGATTATATAGTTATTTAAAATCTTATTTTTAAAGAAAGTACATGTATATAATCCTAATTAGAATATGTAAATATAAATATGAATATATGCATACACAGTACGGATGGAGAATAAAACAGTACCTAATACAAATTGTTAGTTTAAGTAGGTATTGTTCTAAGAGCTAACTTGTATTAAAAATAGCCCTATGAGGTAGACGCTATTATAATCTCCATCTCATGGGCAAGCACACAGAAGCACAAAGGGTTTAAGCAACTTGCCCAAAGTCAGACAGCTAAGAAATAGCAGAAAGGGATTTGATCTTGGAATCAAAGTCCCTCGTTCTTAACCCTACACTCCTTTGCAGTAACATAATCAGAACATCAACATGGTTGGCTAATGTCAGGTGGTTTTATATTTCCTTAATTTATTATTTTGTTTCTGTAAATTTCATAAAAATCCAATTTAGTGAAAACTATTTTTATATCACAATTTTATATTTAAAAAGAATAATTTTCTTGTTATATCTGTCTTTACCATCAGATCATGAGGTCTTTGAGGTAGGAGCTGCCTTCCTAATTGTTACCACTATTGATATGAGCACTGGGTCGCTGCTAGGGAGTTGTCCCTAGGTTTCAGGGAGCAGTCCCTATGCCTCACATAAACCACACTGTAGGAACTACTACTCTCTCTATTTTACAGATGAATCAAGTAAAGGCAACTTTGTATTTCTACCACTTAGCACAATGCCTGGAAAGTAGTAAACACTCAATAAATGGTGATCAAGCTAACAAACAACGGTTGACAAAGCCACAGACATCACTCTGTTCCATGGAATATTGCTGTCTTTCTTATATGCCAGAAGAAAAATGCAACCTAAAAAGCACATCTAAAGTAAAAACTCAGAGGAAATGGAGCTGAATCAACCACAATCAATTTCAGTCTGCAAAAGCAGCCACGGGCCCTCTGGCGGAAAGTGCTGGAAGAGGTGGAAGCTGGTGGGGAGCTCAATGACCCCATGGGGGAGGCCATGCAGGGCAAGATGGAACTCAACGCAGGGAGTTTGCTTTTCCATCCTTCAGCCCAAGAGAAGCAGTTGGAGGGAGCGATGGGGCCATGAGTGGCAGATGCAGATGTACATATTCTGGCTAAGTGCTGTGAGTTTGGTCTAGACTCAAAACTTTACAGAACAGTTTGATGTTCCATTTCAATTTTTCAGGAAAGCATACATATTCTATTACATATGCTTTGAATACCCATTGAACAATTCATAGTATGTCTTACAGGGAAAGAAAAATTCATTAAAAAACAATTATTCTACTTTTGGGCTCAGGAAATAAATGGAATTTTGTTGTTGTTTCCTTAAGGTTTTCTTCAGTTCAAGTTTTAAAGTCTTTTAGACTATAGTTTAGTATGCTGGGAACAAGGACAGAGGGAGGGCACCTATGGCCTTTCCAAATATATGGCCTGATTGCACCTCTAGTTCTTTGATTAGTGTAGGGAGGTCTTGACTTCAAAATTTTGGTAGGATATTAGACTGCTGAAGATTTTTTCCTTTGAAATAGAGAGTACTACAGAAATGGTGATATTAACTTAGGTTTTTGCACTATCTTATACATCACAACACTATCTTATACATCATAACCTATAAGGTTGACAGTACTGCTTAGAATTAGAGGTCCAGTGACTTGATGAGACATTCACTGGTAGTTTAATGTTGTTGCCAGAAATTCCCTTGTGTCCTTCTGACTCCAGCTAATCCTACTCATCCTTGAAATCATCTTCATAAAATTAACAAAACCAAATTACTAGGTTTTAAACAAAAGCATAAGCTTTGAATAGAAACACAGCTAAGCATTAACCAGCCTACCCTACAGCCCAGAGGTCCCCAGCTGCCTGGGTTGCAAACTGGTACCAGTCCGTAATCTGTCAGGAACTGAGCCACACAGCAAGAGGTGAGTGGTGGGCAAGGAAGCATTACTGCCTGAGCTCTGCCACCTGTCAGATCAGCAGTGGCATTAGAACCTCATAGGGCTGTGAACCCTACTGTGAACTGCCCATGTGAGGGATCTGGGCTGTGTGCCCCTCATGAGAATCTAACTAATGCCTGATGATCTGAGGTGGATCAGTTTCATCCCGAAGCTATCCCCCACCCCACCCTACACCACCCCATCTGTGGAAAAATTTTCTTTCATGAAGCTGGTCCCTGGTACCAAAAAGGTTGGGGACCGCTGCAATAGCTCACTTTCTGACAGCCACTTAACACTTCAAAGTCACGTAGCCCCTGTCACAATGTCCTAACTTCTATAGATAACATCTTTGATGCTAAAAAAAACCCCTCAAGTTTGCCATTTTGAGATATTTTTCAGATCCTGCATTCCAATGGGTTCACTGCTGCCAGCCAGAGTGAGGACCCCCTCCGAGGAACTGACCCAGTGCAAGAATGGAGTTTCTATATCCTTATTGTCTCCTCTCCTATGTCCTAACCAATCAGTTACCCCCAGCTCCTCAGCCTCCTTCTTGCCAGAATTCTCTTAAAAAGCCTAGTCCCAGACTTTTTCAAGAGGTGGATTTAAGGTTTCCTTCTGTCTCCTTATTTGGCTGCCACACAATTATTAAACTCTTTCTCTGCTACAGCTCCTGCTGTTTGGTGTACTGGTCTGTTACCATGCAACATGCCATCAAGCCTGGCGGTTCAATAATGTCCTCGTCACTCAGCAAAGGATCAGTTCTCAGCTAAGGACTCCTTTGCTGGGTCTCTGCAGCACTCAATACTTACTTTCATTACAACCCTGAACTCATAATATTAAAATAATTGGTTAATTATCTTTGCCTCCTACCCAACCCAGTCCATGGAGGAAGTGGACCTTACTCATTTTTATGCAGGCAGTGCCTGGCACAGTTCCAAGCATTATCAGTAGCTCCCCTGCAGTTTGCAGAATGGGTAGTTTTGTAATATACTAGAGAGCTATTTTATTTTAGTGGAAATTCAATTGTCGATGCCAGTAGTTTTCAAACTAGGTTCCACACGCTCCTGAGAATTAAAGATGGATTCTCATAGGTCTTTAAATTGTCTTTAAGAATTTTAAAATTTTATGCTTTTGTCTTAATGACATTCCAAAAGACATGAAGACATTAATATCAGAGTGTTCTGCATCAATTAAGTCAATGGTTCTAAATCCCGGTCACAAATTTTAGTCTTGGGGGATGGTTTTAAACAAATGTTGATATTAAGGCACCACTCTGGGATAATTGCATAGGAATCTCTGGGTGTGGGTGCTCATACAGAGATTTTTCTCAAAGCTCCCCTCCTCCACACCCCCAGATGAATTGTGTGGTCAGTCTTAAGACTCACCAATCTAGATAATCCATGGAACCCTGAACTGTTTCCTAAGTAACACATTTTTCACAGATGCTTATGAATGCCTTAGAATCTAGCAGTTATATTTTAAGTATCTCAACTAAATACAGAAGCAAACAAAATGCATAAATGATGTGTTCCTGCCAAATCCAAATGATGGACGTTGCAGAACACTGGGCGAGCAAAGGTTTTGGCACAGTTCTGAGCGCAAGCAAGTGCTGGGAGAGCCCAGTTGTGGCCACATCCTTGGTAGCCTCTCATGTCAGATGCAAAGAGGCCAGGAGTCTGCCCCAGGCATGTTGCAAACAGCAACTTAATTACACAAAACATTGTTATTATCAGTTTCCCTCTTAGTTTGTATTTAATTTAAGAATTTGTTTTGCTTTTATACTTCCATAAGAGCTATAAACATTTGCAGTTTATATTTGGTGCGGTTGCCAATTTAAGTAGAAGCTACAGTCATTCATATTTAAGCAACATTGGCATACTAAGAACATTTTAAGTCAGCACTGCGGGAATCAGGGGAGCATTTTTTCCTTTTGTTTTAAAAATTTTTTGAGATGGAGTTTTGCTCTCATCACCCAGGCTGGAGTGCAATGGCACGATCTTGGCTCACTGCAACCTCTGCCTCCCAGGTTCAAGTGATTCTCCTGCATTAGCCTCCTGAGTAGCTGGGATTACAGGTGCCCGCCACCGTGCCCAGCTAACTTTTTGTATTTTTAGTAGAGATGGGGTTTCACTGTGTTGGCCAGGCTGTTCTGGAACTCCTGACCTCAGGCAATGCACCTGCCTCAGCCTCCCAAAGCATTTTTTCCTTTTAAACTGGGTCCATACATTATTCAAACTTAATGCCAATTTACATAATGTCTGGACCCTAGAGAAGGTAGGATAAAATGGTAATCAAATTGAGTATCTGGGAGATGGCATTCTCCTTTGTTGGTTCTCTTGAGGACACAAAGTGATAGGCAGCTTCTCCTCCTGAGGTGCTGAATGTGAATGGAAAATGGCTCCTAACATCTAGAACAGTGCAAGGATTTCCCGTCTTTCGACACCTGCTGCCTTTTCTCACCTCCCACAAATTCATGCTAAAACTCCCTACATTTTCCCCAGGCTACAGGCATTTTGTTGGTTTCCCCAGTTCTCAGAAGCTCCAAGAGAATCTCTGCAACAAGATGCAGGAGCAAATCCACACCATTTGGGACTTGAGATGATTCTATTCACAGAACATCTTCATCATGGGAATGCAATCTTTTAACCTGAAAGCGCAGGGGTGAAATTCTCCTGCAGAATTTCCAGGCAGGGATTTATTTATTACCTGCTAAGAAGAACAGAGTAATTTCTTTCATAGTGACAAAACTAAGGCTTTGTATTTGGAGGGCATAACTAAAGCTTAGTAACACTCATGTGCATCTACTGTGTGCTAGTCATGGTGCAAGATGCTTTACTAACTGGTCATTCTTTCAATTGTCACAACAATTCCATGAGTTTAAGTATCATTATTTCTATTTTTTTATTAGGCTCAGGGAAGCAGCTTATCAAAGGACATCAGTCATCCCCCTTCCGCCAAGGAAGTGGCAGAGTTGCTTCTCCTGAATTCAGTCCTCTCTGATGACAAAGTCCATGCTATACCATGTTGTCAGGAAACTAACAGGAGCCATGAGGCTTGCTTAAGGCAACACCAAAAGTTGGTAGCAGAGAAAGGCTCCAAAGTTGAGTGGCTGCCTACAGAATACAGTCAGCCAGAGAAGAGACAATGAACCACTTAATACTATGAAGTGCCATTTATCTCAAAATAATGACAATAAGCCAGCTCCCTGGAGAGGAAGCTTGGCATTACAAAGGACTCCAGAGAGAACAGAATCCAATCTTCTCCAATGTGACAACAATGGGCATACCTGACAATGTGCCCATTTACAATTTCCAAGGGCCGTTCCTGTCAGAAACCTTCAACTGTTGAGAATTAATGATTTTCAGTGTTTACAGTCAATATGTTTAAAAAATGTTCTTTCATCTAAATACAGGGACTCTCTGAATCACTGTCTTATTTCTAAACATAAAAACATAAACAATCTGAGTAATTGTCTAATAATATAAAGTGAGTGCAAACAATCCAGATCTGGAGAAAGAAAATAATCTTTGTGATGAGAACTTGTTATAATTAAGCATGAAACAAATACTTCCTTGACCAGAGAGTGGCTTCTGATCAAAGCAAACAGAATGGCATCTGCTTCAGCATCCTTCGTTTCATGAGGGCACCATCATGGCAAGATGTGCCACATTAACAAAGCATGACTATATGGCAGACAGCAGCTGGCACTGCTTCATGTTTATGTTTAACATATATGTTCCTGTTTGACATTCCATAGTCCCTTTTTTGCTAAACACTAAAGTACACATTTTAGAGATGTTGCCATAATTCTTTCTCCTATCTTGTTTTCTCTTAACTTTGCACCTTGGGTATTTAAATGTCTATGAATTTTGACCCATATTCCTCTTTATTATTCCACCAATTGAAAGAGAAATGTTGTCTGAGGATCAGTTTTGGATGAACAGGTGAACAAGGCTATAGCATTTCAAGAGCATAAGACATTTCCAGGGGAACAAGTGGCCCTGTGAACAGTGATGCAGAAGCCAGCAGCACACAGAAGGCATCCGGGTAACTGGAGAAGGTTTGAGGAGTCAGGAGAGAAAAAGAGGACCTACGGTTGAAGAGAGGACAGAGGGCTGGAATCATGGTCTGGCTGGTTCTCCAGGGAGAGAAGTAGATAAAGTTACCAGGGAGGGAGGTGCATGAGGCTCTTCAGAATTAAATATATAGAACTGTGGTTAAGAGCGGTTTAGAAAAGAGGTAGAAATAATTATTAAATTGAATGTGAAGGCCAAACCAAACATTTATTAGAGAGTATAGGTTTTTACATATAAAGCTTTGACATATGAATTTTTCTGAGCCTTGAGGAACTTTCACTGAAAGGGTGGTTTTCTGATAGAGGTGGATTCTCAGGGGTTATGAGGCTAAAACCAGGGCCCACTGATGAATGATGCATGAACCCATGTGACTCCACAGCAATTCACCATAGAGTTTTCATCAGGGTCTCTCAACGGTAAGTCCCAATCACAATCAATTATTATCCACAAGATAAATGTTGCTCTAAGTTTTCTCTAAATCTAATTACGTGGCATAATTAATAGTCTCAGGATAACAGCCATGGTCGTCTCTATTGTTGGTGTTACCCTGGAGTCCCCACTTTTTTTTATTGTAAGCCTTGCTAAAGGCCTTTAAACTAAAACACTTCATTACACTGAAAAAAGGCATGAACCTACTCCGTTTAAGCCAGAGATTCTCATCAGTGATGATGATAGCTGTTGTTGACTAAGGGCCTACAATGGTCCATGAACTGCAATAGACACTTCCTACACAATTTCCCCCTTATCCACAATAACCCAAGGAGATGGGTCTTGCTTTTTCCATTTAATAATTTGATATCATCTAGATCTGTGGAGCACTGAAGAGCATGATACATTTCAGAATGGTAAGAACAGATGGGAAAAATGAGGACTTTCCAGGTCCTCCTGGCCATGTCTAGCAAATAAGCATCTATTAAATGACTGAATGATGTAACATCTGTTGACAGTCCACAGGCTAAATAGACTGTGAGGAATCCAAAAAAATACAAATAGTTTATAGGGAGATTAGGAAATACATGCATAAAGAGTGAGAGAAAAATCCAGGTTAACTTTAAAAATGCAAAGAAAAAAACCCCACACAACAGTAACATTCAGTTTTGTATACCTGGCACAAAGTCCATAGTAGGAACTCAATAAACATTGAATTATTGAATAAATGAATGAAATCAACCAACTAACCAAATCCTAGACTGTGTGGTAGTGACTGTAAGAATTGAAATAGTCTAGAGAGGAAATTCATTATGGACTGGGGTAGTCGCAAAACTTCCCGAATAAGGTGAGCTAGGCCTAGAAAAATGAGAAATAATTGAATGATATGCAGGAAAACTGAATTCCCATTGGGCAGAGGGGATACTGTGGGCAGGCCCAGAGTCTCCACCATGGCCCCCTTTGCAGCTCCAGCTCCCATCCTTCCTCCGCAGCTGCTGCTTCACGGGCTTTTGCCCTGGGCCCATCACTTCTGTTCTGATTTGCCCTACACTTCAGCTCTGTCCAGCTAGTTCTCAGAATGTCTTGAAGTTGGCATCTTGGATTAACCAGGAATGCCTCTGTCCTTTGGTGTGGAGTGGAAAAACAAACAACGTGTGTCCTATGGATGATTCCGGGTTTTTGCAAGCAAAGTAATAAATTATTCTAAATGGGGCAGAAATGATGACGAATATCTCCCACTCCCAAGCAGCTGTGAAAATGGCTTCCCATGGAAATTTTGGCATTTGAGAGACCCTCTCCAAACTTCCAGAAAGACATTCCGAGCAGGTCCTCACAACAACCTTTCAATTCCCCTTGTGCCTCGGCCACAAAATCGGGGCCAATATAAACCCAGCCTCCTCAGACCTTGGCGACTGGGGCTCAACACAAAACCTTGGGTTCCTCCATACACTGAGGTTTTGTTTCCCAGGTGTCAGAAAGGCATCTTCTAGCTCAGGTTTCCTGAGCCGTTTCCAGCTTGGCTTCTGTCAGAGATTCCTGGAGTCAGAGTCACTTGGTCATTGGTCTCATGAGAGGTAGAGCTGCCCCGTATCAGGGCCATGAATCAGTTGGACTTTTAGAAAAATCCATATCTCCAGTTGTGGAGAAAAATTGTTGATTGTGGTATGACCACATGCTTCATATGACTGATTGCTTTTTTATTCTGAAAAAGGCTCCTAATGCTACAACATTGTGTGTCAGTCTTGCCCTCTTTGATGCTGTTTTTCAGGAACAATAGGAGACATGAGGAGCCCTGCTCAGCAGCAGATCCGCTTTTCTGGGGCACAGCTCACTTTTGTAGGGAAAAGAGTGGTTTCGCTTTGTACAGGGTTGAGAGACAGCTTCTGTTTGCTTACTGCTCTCCTGAGCCAGCAGTACTGTCCTTGATAGAAAAGAGGAGCTGCCAGCCGCTGTGTTATCTCATGAAAAAGACAACTATAAACTATGTCAGCATACAGTGCCTTGAATTTCTACAATAGCGTTTCTGCCCTTCAAGAGCAAAGAAGTGCCAAGAAGATCCTAAGAAAGAAGTGCACAGAAGATCCTAAGAAAGAAGCGAAGGAACAAGGATGGAGTATGAAAGTTTAACTAGTCTGAGAAGGAGGCAGACAGGGGCCAAATCCTGCAGTGAGAAATATAGTCTTGAGGTTTGGGTGCCAGTCTTTAATAAAATACTTTCTTGTGAGGGCTGAAAGTTTTTTCCCCCTGGGTTGTAAAAACCCTGGGTCTATGAATCCAACTTTTTGGTGGCAAAAATCCTGATATTTCTTGCATAATAGTTTTAAAAACTCACTCTGCCATAGGAACAGAAACAAAACAATAAT
This sequence comes from Homo sapiens, assembly GCF_000001405.40. Taxonomy (NCBI): domain Eukaryota; kingdom Metazoa; phylum Chordata; class Mammalia; order Primates; family Hominidae; genus Homo; species Homo sapiens. The sequence goes on along the minus strand of NC_000006.12, from coordinate 152,062,907 downwards.
GCAGGAAAAGTCTATATGGATCTGGAGGAAATATTTTTTATTACTGAGATCAGAGCATCCACTGTGTGGATCATACAACTCTGGCTAATTTTACTTCCTGTCTGGGGTACTTTTTCTCAGTAAAAGTTCGGGGTGGGGAGTCTTAACACTTAATAGGCCTGCCTTCTCTGAAGTTCCCAGATTGCCCACATGAAAGCTGTCAGCACGTGCCAGCCCTCCACCGAAGAAGGCACAGGTTCAGGACCTGGCACCATGTAGCTGAGTGGCACTGCTCCCAGAACTCTCATCCAATAAAGAGCCATTGTGGGATCTGGACCCTACAATGTACAGGACAAACGACTGAAATGAAAAGCACAATGCACGTGAGTGGAAACAGAAACCTGAATGGAGTGGTAATCACTTCCTTAGTGTGGATCACATCATTTATCATGGGACTTCATTCTGTAATTCAGTCCTTGCCTAGTGTAATAGTACAGATTTCCATTTATTAGTTGATAAGTGAGAATGATTACTGTGATAACCATTAGGCAACACAGGTTACTAGTGGTGGTGGGGAAGAGAAGTGGAAAATTGTCATGGGAGGTGGGAAGGGATTGGCATTCATCAGAAAGAGACAAAAACACAAGAAAAGAGAAGGAAGGGCTGATTCCATTAAGCAACACAGGTTCCTAGCAGTGGTGGGGAAGAAAAGTAAAAAATTGTTAGGGGAAGCGGGAAGGGATCAGCACTCATCAGAAAGAGACAAAAACACGTGGAAAGAGAAGGAAGTGCGGATTCTCTATGTATGTGATCAATACAAGCTGCAATTCAGCTATTGAGGAATTTGAGACTATGTCTAATGGCATAAGAAACTAAGTCAGGCCCAGAGATTCGAAATAGCTATGATTTCTATGTGAGAATGAGGGATGAGGCACAAAGTGGGGTTAGAGCCAGGGGGAAAGGTGGAGCTTAAGGGGAGCTGCTGTACCGCTGATACCCAATGTGAGCTTTAGGTCCCAGAGGCTGTAGAGCTAGAGCTTAGATCCAAATACCAAGAGGCTAGGAGGAGTCAGGGCACTAATTCAGGCTGAACCATAGTTTCCATCTTGGTGACATAGAGTAACTCTTTATACAACAGCCAGCCTCACTACATTGAAAACAAAAACAAAACAAAAACAAAAACAAAAACAAAAAACAGATGTTGCTCTTAGCTAAGCTTTCTCAAACAAATAAATACGAAGGGGCAGTAGAATCAGACTTCATAGAGCAAATGGAAAATGTTCTTTCAGCTGGACAATTTATTGCATTCCACATTCTTCTGTTTTAGAAACAGGTTTTTCTATCTCTAAGCCAACTATATTTTTAGCTAGTCAGTTTTGACCAGAAACATGGTCTGTCTCAAATAACCCTCTTTCTTTACTATCTGGAGCCTGGAATTGGTCACAATTTCTTAACAGAATTACTTGGTCTACTTATTTTCAGACATAATATAACTATCAACTAACATATGTCTATATACATGTACCATTTGAATAAAAACATCCTATCTGTGAAAGCATACAAAAATTTTAGCTCAAAGGCCATTTGATTCAATGCCAAATTACAATTTTTCATGTGTCTATTTGGCTAGCATGGTTCTACCTTTATAAGGAATCTGCAATGTTGGTAGGTTATTTTAAAACGTGTGTCAGTAGTTTCTTTCTATTTATGACATTATGCCTTTGGAGTGGGTAGATCGTATCTGGTTGAAAACTACAAATAAACATTTCATCCAGCATTGAGTTATCTTGTGTTATCAACTCACCAGAATTAAGCAAAATAATAGATTTGAGGCACACAAACTCCTCTCCCTGCAGATTCATCATGCGGAACCGAGATGATGTAGCCAGCAGCATGTCGAAGATCTCCACCATGCCCTCTACACATTTTCCCTGGTTCCTATGAAAACATAGCAAAAATAAATAAATAAATAAAAAGATTAAAAAACAGAAAATCTTCCACAAGACATGAAAGGGTTCACATTCATAAAAATCCACTGGTTCTAAATCTTTAACAAAAAACTATCAGCCATTGTCTTCATGGAATATGAACATTCATTTGAATTCTAGAAGGCAAAACAAAAAAATAATTTCCCATCAATAAAACATTCTCATTTCAACTTCTTAGAAGAGGTAGGTAGTTCAGTCCTCAAGTCTGCCATGTTAAATATGGAGTTCTTCAACCTATGGGTAATTGAAAATGATCAAGATCTGGGTAAACGATTTATCTAATACACGTATATTGATCTGCTACTATATTCTAAACAATGTGGTAGTTCTGGGAATAAAAACAGGGCCTCGGCTGAAGATGCTCATAGCCTTCAAATAATGTAACAAGTCCTGATGGTTGTGTTTTGTAGTGCTTTTGAAGTACAAGAACAACTACAATAACTATGGGCTATGGTTGGGCTGAGCCCATTGGTATTGCAGGAGATGGTATATAAGTAGGTGGCATTCGAGTGGACGCTTTAAGATAATGTAGGGTTTCATCAAGCAGAGATGTGAATGCCTCCTTGGAAGAGGGTCCTAAACATGGGAGGAGGAGCAGCATGAAAGAACATAGAGCAGTGTGTTGGAGGTCAGGAGATGGCAGATTAATCTGTGAAAACAGAAAAATGTCAGATCTTGATATTTTTAGAAGTTCAGGCTTTTAACCTTGGCATCAAGAATTTAACATTAGTAGTTGCAACTATTAAATAAGCAAACCAAAGGTGCATAACATGTAGTACTTAAAAACATGTGTCTGTATCTTTTTTATTGGGTTGTTGAAGAATTTAAATGAGATACTACACACGAAAGGAATTCATTTATTTTTTTCTTTATCACAAGTTGAATTTTGGCATGATGTGTTTGACGGGGTTAGAAAGAAGTTAAAATATTTTCTGCATGCACAAATATATATTTGTGAAATATATAAACAATTAAAATATGAACACTAAACATATTGTTTAGCACCTTGTTTTGTTTTTAGTTAATAGACCTTGGAGTTCTCCATCAACTTTTTTTGACAGCTCAATATGTCTTCACTGAACTGAATGCTAAACTTTCTTCAATCACTTCTTTCTTGGGTGACATTTCTTTGCTTTCAAGTATTTTGTTGTTAAAAACATTTCATTCAATGACTATCCTTATGTTTATGTCTTTGGATATGTGTACAGATAGCTATAGAATAAATTCTTGGAAGTAGAATTGCTAGATAAAAGGGCTTATGTATTTTAAATTTTGATAGTTCAAACATTGCTTTCAAATAGCTTGTACAATAGACTGTTGATAAGAGAATATATTGGTATAGGCTTTCTCTAAACTGCCTGCTCTTGTCCTTTGCACGTATTTTTCTGTTATTTGTCATTTTCACATAGATTTTTAAGAGTTCTTTAAATATTATAGTAATAAGCCATTTGTCATATGTATTTTTAATTGTTTTTCTTATGGTTTTTTGTTTTTTCTTCTGATGTTGTTCCTGGTATTTTCTTCTGCAAAACATTTAATAGAGAATTAAATTTATCGAACGTTTCATTTATTCCTCTAGAACATTATGTCTTGCTTTTAAAAGCAAAGAAAAATAAATAAAAAAATTTTACATATAAATATATACAACATAACATATAAAATTATCTTATATTTCCTTCTAGTATACTTCCATGCTTTTATGTTTAAATTTTTGATCTTCTGGGGTTTATTCATTTTTATAACAATTTTATTGAAAGATAATCACATAACATAACATTTGCCCATTTAAAGAGTGTGATTCAATGGATTTCAGTATATTCACAATGTTGTGCAACCATTTTTGGGGATTTATTTTGGCGTAAGGTATGAGAAAAAGATCCAATTAATATTTTTTCAACTAGCTCATTAGTTTTCTTTTTCACAGACGTTCTTTTCTTTGACTTAAAAATGTTGATTACTTCTGATATATTCATATACTTCTTAGAAGTGACCTCTAAGATTAGCATTATTATTTCCATTTTCCAAATGAGGGGATTAGGACTCAAGATTGTTACGTCAAATCACATTGCTTATCAACCAAAAGAAAGAACTCCAACAAGAAGATCTTCTTCTCTGTCTTTAATTCTTGCTCTACTTTAATTCATTCAACAAGATTTACTGAGAGCCTATTACATACTAGTTCTTATGCTCAACACTAGAGTACCAAGAAGAAAGCCATGGGCACTGTCAGTAAAGAGATCTAGAATGGGAACAAGACAGGGAGAAAGCCAGGTGCAAGACACAGGAAAAGTTCTAGAAAGAAAGCTTTTTGCATCTAACATCAGTCTCCCCAGATTCAACCCATCTCAATATTGAAGAAATTGTCATCCTATTCCCAAATAAAGTGAAATGAGGTTTTTTATGTAAAGTGCTTAGAATGGAGTGTGGCACACAGTAAGGATCACCTTTAAGTATTACCTATAGATATACTGATAAATACATGGATATGTCAAGGGAGAGGTTGGCCTTTTAACTTGAAGGAGTCAGAAAAAAACTGCCATGCGCATTTTGCTTTGACTTTGAAAATCTGGATGCATGGAAGCTCTATAGAAGCACAGCAGGAATTTCAAGAGGTATGCTGCCCAATGTGTGGCTGGCAGAGTGCTCACACCAAAGGCTCCATTGGCATTGAGTGGGGAGAACATACTAGAAGTGGGTTTTTCTTGTCATGGAGTTGAATTTTTTTTTTAAGCAGTTCATCTTCTTTCTAGTGAAAAAATAAACAAGGATAGGGGAAAATGTTTGGAGGATGAATCTTTAAAAATAACAACTCATAGCCAAAATAGAGAAATGTTCCTTTCTCAGTATAACGTCTCTGTTTACTTAACAGACTGCACACCGGCAGGGGAGGAAGTCTCAGTGTGGGAGGGAGCCTGTGTTCACCTGCTGTGAGCAAAAGTTCAGTTCAGAAACTGAGAAAGTGGAGACTTAACAATTCTCCTTTCTTCTTGTCCTTTTTCAATCGTCTCCCATAGTTTCCCACGAAGAGCTCGTTCTTGACTCTTCCAGCAAGAGTGTATTTTTCTCAGCCTCTTCTCACTGGTATCCTGTTATTCCTAACCAGGAATTATTACCTGTCAACAATATAATGCTTGCTCTACAGCACACATTAGGAGCTGTAGACTGTGCCCTCAGGGATGGTGTATACCCCAAACTCTCAATTCAGTTCTCACGTGTGTGTGTGTGTGTGTGTGTGTGTGTGTGTGTATGCATGTGTATGTTCCTTTAGGGAATGTGGAGGGGGCATATGTTGACTATTAATCATAGACATATTATGATAGGAAGACCCCAGAGCCTACCTTCCATGCAAACACATGTGCTTCATGTTTTTGTGGTGTACATCTGAACTTTGAGGGCTTCTGGGGGGATATGCAATGCAGTGAAGCTGCACTTTTCTAAGCAGTACTGTTTAGAGGCTACAAGAAGTTTATCCTGATATATTCTTAAGAATAAAATCACCCTGTTTTTCAATGGGAGCAACTTAATTGGTCTAAGCACTTTAGTGAATCCACTATTTGCATAATAAATAAAAATTATGTACTTTGATGATTCTGATGATAGTTTTGCTAAATTATCCAAATGTTGCTTGAATCTCAATGACTGGCCAATTATGTGGTACCTATGGGTCTCTCACTAGCATTATTACAAGGTGAAAAGGCTTGCCACGTGAGCTAGTGAAAAAGTGATTTGTCAACCTACAATCTGGCACATATCTATGTGGACTTTGAAGATGAGATAGATACTTGTCACTTGCCTGATGCAAAGGAACTCTTCAGTGTCTACTGAGGTCATTATGCATTGTGGTCAGGGCTTCATTTTCAAAGTCTAGCCAAAATATTCTATACTAACTTCAAGGGGCAAATCAGACTAGAGCATTTAGCTCAATTTCAGTGGGTATGGATGGATCAACGGCATCAGAAATGGGGTGATTCCTAGGAATCTGGAAGTAACATGACTGTAAAAGACAAGATTAGTCTAAATCCATGAGGTGCTCCTGAGGCTGAGAAGCACGTGGGGCATGGAAAAACAAGATTTATTTTTAAAGGAAGCACACAGCTCCAGTCATAGATCAGGAGTAGTTTATCAAGCAGACCAGCCTATGACTCCCACTGTGAGACGTGACAGCCTGCAGTGATGAACTCCTCCATGGATTATGTCAGTCTGGTTTTCAGAGCACCTCAAAATCCCCTTGTGGGGAGCCTTGTTCTGCTACTTATCTTCTTCAAATGTGGTCCATTTGCACTTAAGTAATGGGGGAAAGAACCAGACTTGACAGAGCATTTGCTCATGGCATGTTCTGGAAGTTTCTCCTCTATAAAAATAAAAGCCTGTTTTTCAGAAGCCCTAAGGCATCTCTTCCTCCACATGTAAAATAAAGAGCTCTAACGAGGGTGTACAGATCAAACCTTCACTTGTATATCTTCAAAAATATGCCTTACAAAATGTAAGGTTACCCATTAGCATCTCTTTATATAAAAGGAAACTGATAAATGGAAACTGAGAAAACCCAGGGGATCAACATAAGACATTTAATTTAGCTGTCCTGAAGAAAAGTACAATATGGTTTTAAAAAGGTAACAAATTAAGATGCTGTTCAAAATCAATAGTGGCAAGATTAGATGTATTGAAAGAGCTTCTTTATCTTCAATGCTACAAAATCTCTCAGCATGTGCTCAAAATGCTGAGACTCCATAAATATTTATATGATCAAGAGGTTTACATATGCAGCTCTGAAGTATGGAAGAAAGTGATGAAGATGGAAATTGTAAGTGATATATCTTGAAAGATGAAAATTTTAAAATGAAAGTTGTTTAGACTCTTGAGTCCAGCTGCCTGGGTTCAAATCTTGATGCCACCATTTACTAACTTTGTGATCTTGAACAAATTACTTAAACTCTGTGTGTCTGAATGAGTATACAGACAGAAACATCACAACGTACTGTAAGTTGCAATTAACATTGGGATTTGATGGCTGTTTGATACAGCAGTTAGCCCATGTAGATTAAAAAAGAAATTGGTACTAGAAGTGAATACTGCCATGAAAAATGTTTACTTCCTAATGCCAGGTAGTAAGAAAACATAGCAAGCTAGGGAGCCCTCTTACAACACTGCAAAATATCTGCTGTGAAAGAACTTGGCAGGTAGGCTACATGCCTGGGGAAGTGGTCAAATGAGACCGATAGTGTGTAGTGGACACTCTGGCAGTCATTAGTAAGGTGTTGCGAGAAAGACGTGAGATCAGGCAAGAACTGAATGATTCTCAAGCAAAAATGGAAGGGAATGGAGCAAGATCAAAGATAAATGGCCTTACAAGATTGGAAGAACCAACAGTTTTTGGCCATGAAATATTAAGCGATGAAAAGTAAAAGGGTCTTGGGCATGGAAGACCAAGTAAATCTTCTTTGTTTACAAAGTAACTCAGTCTTATGGCAAAGGGTGACAGCAGAAGGGTATTTCCTTGCCATCCAAACTTATTATTTCAAGTAGTCTCAAGGGAGTCACCGTTAAGTCACGAGGGAAAGGCTGAAGCGCTAAGAGGCAAATAAGAATATCAGGCTTGTCGGCGAGGACATGAGGAAAAGTGAACCCTGGCGTGCTTGGTTGGATATGTAAATTACTACAACCATTATGGAGCTACTACAGAGGACCCTGCCCAAAATTAGAAATATAATTACCATTTGATCCAATAATCCCACTACTGGGTATATATCCAAAGGAGATGAAATCAATATGTTGAAGAGATATCTGCACTCCCAAGTTCACTGTAGCATTATTCACAATAGCCAAGATATGGAATCAACCTGGGTGACCATCAACAGATGAGCAAAAAAAAATAAAATATGGAATATATGTACAATGGAATGCTACTCACCCTTTAACAAGAAGGAAATCCTGTCGCTTGCAACAACATGGATGGACCTGGAGGATATTATGTTAGACATTGCTCCCAAATGACCAAAGGGCTATAAGAAATGTCATTCCATAGCACCCTGCTTTACAGATTCGAATCATTTCCAACTGGCATGATCAGTAAAGGAACAAATAGTATGTAGCATTTGATGTGGGTCTCAAAACATTGACTGAGTGAGGAGGAAAGAAATTTCAGGAATTTCCAGGAAGATTGAATGGTACTGGAAAGGCCAAGAGGTGGGAGAAGAGAAGACCTATTCAGGGAATATTGAGTAATCTAGCTCATAGACTTTGCTATTTGTAAAGAGAGAAACTGGCAAAGAGGGCTGAGTCAGACTGTGAAGAGTGGTTAATAAAAGGCTCCTGAGATGAAATGGGAGATAATGTGTAAGGGAAGACCATTAAGAGCTTACCAGTGGGTGACACGATCACGTAAACACTTTTGTTGTGACTAATTTGGCATCAGTGCGCAAAGGAGATTGGGGGAGAGAGACGAGTCTGGAAGAGACGGCAGGTAGGAGGAGGGGGAGAGAAGACGTGAGACAGCACCGTGGTGATAAAGAGAAATCAGGGCTATTCTGAAAATCCTTTGTTGATCTGAGGGAAAAATCAACAAGATTTCAGCAAATGATCCTCGGTGTTAGGCAATAAGGAAGGATTTAAAGACTCCTCTGGAACTGTATGTTAGGATGGATGGAAAGATGATAAAAGAAAGCAAGAAATTAGCAGAAAGAGGGAAATTCAGAGGTTTGTCTGAATTTCATCTTTAAGGGAAGAAAATATCTTCCCTTAAAAATGATTAGTTTAAAATTTCACGAGACTAAGTCAAGATGACAACAGAAAATTGAAAATGTGGGTCTGAAACTTGAGAGAGGGACAGCGCTAAATATATCAATTTGATGAGTTTTTTTTTCACTTGCTAAGATTGGGTATCTTTTCAAATAGGCTTGTTAAAATATACCTCATCTTTTAAATGAGTGCCTGGTATTTCACTGTGTTCATATGTATTTAACTGCTCTGATTATAGGCATTTATATTATTTGTAATTTTCAGCTACAACAAACAATGTGCAATTATTCCTATACATATATTTTCTACACTTACAAAAGTATGCAGGAAAAAATCCTTACACATACAATAGCAGAATCAAGGGGTGTAAACATTTAACCTTTTACTAAGTATTGCCAAAACGCCTTCCAAAAAGGTTATACCAATTTACACGGCCTCCATGAAAGCATAAAATATCCGGAAATACAAATTTTGGAGATATCTGAATAGAAATCACTGAAACTGGGAAAGCAAGTGAGCTCACTAGGGAAGAGAGAGAGAGAGAGAGAGGCAGACAGAGACAGAGACAGAAAGAAGGAGAGAGAAAGAGAGATTAACAGAGAAACAGATTGAGAGAGAGAAAGAGGGAGAGAGGGATTGAGAGAAAGAGAGGATAAGAGAGAGAGGAAGAGAGAGATTGAGAGAAAGAGAAAGAGAATGGGAGAGAGACTGAGGAAGAGAAAGATTGAGAGAGAGGGAAAGAGAAAGAGAGACTGAGGGAGAGAAAGATTGAAAGAGAGAGGGAGAGACAGAAGGAGGAAGGGGCAAGAAACTGGCAGAGGGAGGCAATTTGGGAGCAACAGCATATCCAGCGTGATAGGACAAGGTGGAACCAATCAAGAGGACAAATGGTTGAATGGTCAGAGGTGTGGCTGGATAGGAGCGACCAAGATGTTGAATGTCAGAAGGTCCAAAGGAAAAGATGGTAGAGTGAGATAGACTAAGGGAGGGACTGAGGGAGGGAGGGAAGGAGACAGTAATGAAAATAGATGAGTGCAGAATCAATATCATCACAGGAGAGAAATACCTTTTTCTAACTCGAGGATATGAGAAGAAATAAATGTGAATGCAGAAATTCTGAGAGGTTAATTTTTTAGTAAACAATTTTTTTACTAAACAAATGTGATATTATTTTCAGAGAATATGGGAAGGTAGCCTGAGCCTGGAGCCTCCAGGACCTCAGAAGCATCAGTCAAGGCTGCTAGGGCCCTGGATGGGCTAAGGCACAAACTCCTTAGCAATGTCCTTGGGTTTCTGGCCCTTGTTCAATCTCTTCAAGTCCATTTCTTACTGCCCACCTTGCAATTTATACTGCAGGATACTTGTGAACAAAGGCAAGTTTTCCAGAACACTTGCCCGTGCTGTCTGCTTGGATCACCACCGCCCACCCCACCTCACCCCCATCCTGCCTTTGGAGGTGTCCTTCTCATCTTTCAAGGCACAGATTGGGTCCAGGGAAACTTCTCTGCAGTCCACTATGCTCTACTCTTTCCTCCTTTGGGTTATATGCTTTTCCTCTGTGCTGTGAGACTGTCCTTTATATCAGACTTTTTCTGTAAAAGACCACGGGGTAACTATTTTAGGCTTTGTGGGGCCATTACAGTCTCTGTGGCAGCTACTCAACTCTGATGTTTTAATGCAAAAGCAGCTTTGAACAAAATGTAACCAATGATTATGACTGTATTTATTTATTTATTTTGTAAATAAATAAAACTTTATTTACAAAAGCAGTAGCAGGCCAAATTTGTCCTGTCGCCTATACTTGGCCCACCCCTGCCTTATATCACTGTTCTACATTCAGCGAGCTTATTGAGCACTGATAAAGGGTAGATGTGTGTTCCCTCCAAATCTCACATTGAAATTTGATCCCAGTGTTGGAGGTGGGGCATGGTGGGAGGTGTTCGGGGTGGATCCCTCACAACTGTTTTGGTGCCATCCTACCGTAATGAGTGAGTTCTTGCTCTTTCAGTTTATGGGAGAGCAGGTCGTTTAAGGAGCCTGGCATCTCTCTTGCTCTCTCCTTTGCTGTGTGAAACGCCTGCTCTCTCTTTGCCTTCCACCATGAGTAAAAGCTGCTTCAGGCCTCACCAGAAGTAGATGCTGGCGCCATGCTTCTTGTACAGTTTGCAAAACCCTCAGCCAAATAAAACCTATTTTCTTTATAAATTACCTGGCATCAGGTATTCCTTTATAGCAGCACAAAATGGACTAACACAAGCCCCGACCACGGCCCCTGCTAGTTGATAAGAATATAGTAATGACCAGGACAGCAATGTGTCTTTCTCAAAAGGAGCTTACAATATATGTGGGCAGAAGATAATTTTTAAAACATAAAATTTAAAAAAAAGAAACAAAGTTGTAATTAGTGGTATGAAGGGAAATGCATGGTATTTTAATATGCTATGGTAGTGAAAACCAGGGACTCCCTGTGGAAGAGAAGTTTGAAATGGTGAGGGACATCCACATGGACCTTAGAGAATTGTGGACCTGGAGCTCAGAGAAACACTGGGGTCTGGAGAAGCAGTTTTGGGGGTTGACAAGGGAGACTGCCTGAGTGCACAGAGGGAGAGGAGAGATGGGGGAAGACAGCCTAAGAGAAAGATGAGCCTGCAAAAGACATACAGAGAAGCAGGGGGAGGTAGAAGAAAGCACCAAGGAGGAGGGGTGTCCCAGGTCAAGAGGAGGCGTCAATTCTGTTGATGTCTAAAGAAGTCAAGAAAGAGAAGCATGGATTTGCAAACCAGATTGAGATCCTAGTCAGTTTTTTGTTTTTGTTTTTGTTTGCTTGTTTGTTTTTGTTTTGTTTTCATCAGTGCTGGGCAGCCTGGGGATGGAAGTGAAGAAAGTAGACAGTGGATGTGGCTCAAGGCAGATGACTGACTCTCTAGATATGGAGAAAACTTGAGGGCACAGAAATTCTAGAAGGTAATCTTGCAGTGACTGATTATGGGGCTTAGTATGAAACCAGAGGAAAATGAAATCAGAAAACTGTTTATGATAAGAGAATAGAAAGTATTATAGTAAGTATCAAAGACCAAGTAGGCTCAGAAGAAATAAGGGGTGGGAGAAGTGGAGGCTACAGAGATTATAGTCCTAGAGAGGGAGCTTCTAGTCTAAGATGCTGCTGCTGGTAGAGTTCCTAGAGGTGGCATCTACTCTACATCTACTCTACTAATGCAGAAGTAAAACCAAATAACGGAAATGTAAAAGCTTAAGAACGCTGAGACCACAGTGCCTATCCTTATAACAAAGCACAATATTAAACAGCTGAGTGACAATTGACAATATTAAACAGCTGACTGACAATTGACAAAAAGCCTGTTTTGAAAAATTACCCAGGACCCATTTGTTTCTGACTCTTCAACAACCTCCCAACTTTGAGATGTTTTCCTCTGCAGACGATTCTGAACAAATGCAATGATCTGAAGGTTACAAGAATGGGATTGATGATCTCACCAGAAGGACAGCATGTCTCTCTCATGCCCAGCCTTCCTTCTGCCCACTTGTTAACATGCAAAGCTAATGGCCTTGGGCAAAACTCTATGTTTATATGTTAGTGTTCTTTAACTGTTGTAAGCTATGGGTCAAGGCAAATGGGCTAAAAATATATCATGATAACCCGCAAAAATGTCATTCCTCTTAGAGAAGGCAGTGTCTGGATACAAAATTAAAGAAAAAATGGAAGAAAATTAAAACAAATAAGAGAAATTTTTAAAATATGGCCAGAGGATCATCATCTTAGAGTTATTCTGAAAAAATGGAGGTAAAAACCATGTTGCATGATTCATTTAGAAGGATTATATTTCAAGTGGAAATGACTTTTGGTCCATTACCTTAAGAATGGTTGGTATGAGACTGAAAGCCAGTGCTATCTTCCCTGAGAGTTTGAGGAATAAATGCATGGAGCAATTTAGCAGCAGTTTAGAAATGTAAAGTTCTCAGAAGGCATGTTCCCAGCCAAGCAGATCTTGCTGAAGAAGCTGGGAAGTATGATTGCAGGAAAAAAGTTTCAGTTCTCTGCTTTTCCTAGCTTAAATCCATATTTCACTTTGTTGCTATTATTGTCTTTTTAAAATTTGAAACATAAAGGAATCTATGAAAGGAAGCCGACCAACAGTGGTGCCCAGTGGATAGATTTCCAGTGAAATGGGGGGACAAAAGCAAAAAAGATTCTTTTTGTGTAAGGAAGTCCATACTTGTTGAAAACAAAGCAGGAAGTGAGTATTTCTCTCAGGCAGTATCATTCAGAGAGAGAGAGAAAAGTCAGTCTCCTTCAGAGACCTGCCTTGTTGAGGCATTAAATCCCTGACTACTATGGGGTGGAAGGGGCTGTGACACGTTACCAGGTCATCCACACACATCCATTTCCACTTCCAACCCCTCGTAGGATGAAGGCCCTCCCAGGGTCCTCTAATCACATCCCTGGCACAGAGCCAAGAGGAACCTCACTCTCTCTTCCTCCCTCTTTTTTGCAGCCTCCACAGGCGAACCTCAACTTTACAAGAGTCACTATGAGCCTGCCTCTAAATCCTGGTGACAGAGGACAGATAACTGACACACCCTTTACTCACCCAGAAGAACTCAGACCCTCTCCATTCATGCTGGTGCAAATGGTTATTGTGGAAATTACAGAGAAAATGTTCAATTGGCCTATGGAAAAGATGTGTCTGGACTTTAGCTTGAATCATGTAGTCACATGATGTCCAATTGTCTTTCTTAAGCTGTCTGTCACACGGGAGTAAGACTCCATGCTACCCCTTGCTATTTACTTTTTTCACATCAGGGAGCTGATAGCCAGAAGAGTTCTTAAGCCAAGAACTCTTTATATATTTTCTAATAAATAGAACAAGCCTTAACATGTCCTCTTTTCTTATACTTTTGGGTGCTAAAGTGGTAAGAAAGGAGGTTAGAGTTGGTTATTACAGATGCTTCTGTCAGAATGTGTAAAACACACTTCTGGGTTTGAATGGTTTGCCAAAGGGAGATGGAATTCTATACTTCTATAGATAATGATCCACTTGAGTTTGCTTGTTCAGTTTACATAGTTTAAGAGCTAAAGTAAGTCCCTAGAGGAAAATTCTGTAATGGTTGTGCCTACTCAAATATCCAGCTGAAAGGAGATTTGATCAATCTTTTAAAATGCCCACATCAAGTATGTACCACAGGGAAGAATACCTCAGTTATTCACCTTTTGTTTAAATGTTTTGGAATAACACAGACACAGCAATTATGAAGTTTTTCTCTGCTCTACTTAGATGAACAGATTCTGTTAACTAAAATGAAGGCAAATGAATGAAGAGAGTTCTATGTTATATATCTGAGAGCAGGGTCTCTATTTTTGATACACTGACCATTGTTTCTCTGTAAAAAATACAATTAATACTTCATCTTCTCCGTAACTCAGTTTTAGCTGAATACTATTTTTTAGTCCATTGTATATGGCAGACTTTATGTTAGGCACGAGGGACATAAAGATTCATTCATTCCTTCACGCAGTAAATATTGAGTTGGAATCTCCTATGTTCGAGGCACTGAGTTCAGTGCTGAAGGTTTAACAATGAGCAACACAGACACAGTTTTGCCTTCCTGCAGGGTACAGTTTAGTCAGGAAGCAGACATTAAACACACATATACACTCACAATGCTAAAATAAAATAAAGCTGTTAATTTGATCAATGCCAAGAAGAAAAAGAATGGGGCTTATAAGAGAATACAACAAGCGGTGCAACTTAAATGAGGGGGCAGGGGAGTATCTGAGAAGCCCTCTGTGAGTGAGTGACTTTTTTTTTTTTTTTTTTTTTTGAGATGGTGTCACACTTTGTCTCCAGGCTGGAGTGCAGAGGTGCGATCCAGCTCACTGCAATATCCTCCTCAAGCAATTCCCCTGCCTCAGCCTCCCGAGTAACTGGGACTTCAGGCACATGCCACCACGCCTGGCTAAATTTTTTTGTATTTTTAATAGAGACGGGGTTTCACCATGTTGGCCAGGATGGTCTCGATCTCTTGACCTCGTGGTCCACCTGCCTCGGCGTCCGAAAGTGCTGGGATTACAGGCGTGAGCCACCGCGCCAGGCCGAGGGAGTGACATTTAATCTCAAACTAAATAACTAGCAATTAGCCAGGAAAAAAGTTGGGAAGAGTGTGCCAAGAAGAGAGACATGCGTTTGGGTCTTGGAAACCAAAAAAAAAAAAAAAAAAAAAAAAAAATGCTTGAGGAGTCAGAGAAGCTGAAAGAAGGTTGACATCCTGGAACCCTGTGACCCCAGGCACAGTGGCCCTGGATGAGCCTGGAGAGCCGGGAGCACATAGTGGCCACAGGCCACAGGAAGAGGTCTTAATTCCCCCGGCCAAGCGACATCAGAGCAGTTTTCAGAGAGGAGTAACCAAAATTTGTGTTTCTCTTATACTTTTCTTAAAATGTTTATAAATGTACAGGGTACAAATGCAATGTTGTTACATGCATAGATTGCTTAGGGGCCAAATCAGGGCTTTCAGGTATTCATGGATTTGTATTTTTCTCTGCCCTCAAGGAACTCACACAGGGCAATTCCTTAAGTCTCTATAGCAGGACGAAAAGAAAACTCACATTTCTTAACCCGTTCATTCCACTGGCAAAGCTCTTGTGCACACAAAACCAAAACAAAATGCAACATACAATATTTAGGCTCCATCATGGCCATTGAAATGCCTGAAGTAAAGACAATGCCTTTCTTTCCCTCTTCCTCTTATAAAAAACCTTAATCCACTAACTATCCTTTCCATGACACTTTTCCAATACAGTGTTGGAGTTCCAATAACTAAACTAATGACCTAGGAATTTTCATGTTGACTTCTCACAGGAATTCAGTCATTCACTCAGTTAGAATTGACCAGGTTCTTACTAGGTCCTAAGCACTTTGCTAGTTGGTGAAGGTCCCTTACTTTCCATGAGCTTACAGTCAAGCAGAGGCAAATAAGAGACAAGAATAAAAGACATGGATGAGATGATCTCCAACTGTAGTATGTTCTACTAGAAAATAAAACAGGGAGTAGCAAGTAGGGGGCAATTTTAGTTTCCTTGTGGTTGAGAGGGTGACATTTAAATGAAGGCGTGAGTGACAAGATGTTTGGAGATATTCCAGACTTCATTTTTAAAAGAGAAAAACTTAAAGTGTTCTTCATGAGGGTAAGAGGTGGTTATTTTCGTGGTTGGTTCCAAGGCTAGGAAAAAGTGTTCTAGTTTTGAAATCCAGTAAGGAAGACCAACAAATGCCAAACAATGCAAGAAACTTGCAATGACAAAGTAGAATTAAAAGTGGCCTAAACCCTCCCTTCCTCTTAGAATTGCCAGCCTTTTCATGCTGAATTTGGAGCTGCAGCTGTCAGGAGAGTAATGCTATCCATGGAAGCCAGTTCACAAACAAGGCCTGTGAGCAGAGTCAATGGAAGATGGCAGGACTTCTCAGCCCACATTCAAAACAATCAATCCTATTTTATTAAATATATCTTTCTTTTAAGATTACAACTCATTGGCAATTCTTTTGTCTCTTTCATTCTTATTTTGTCTTCTTTTACTATGGACAATCTTTGCCTTGAGTTCACCATATAGTTTCTACTTTGTAACTTCATTTCACGCTTCTCAATCTCTTCTAACCTCACTCAATGAAAATACAGTCAATATGTAACCACCAAGTTAAATACTAGTTTGTTTCTTGAAGCTCTTGCATATAAGTACTGATTTGGAAGTGCACTTTAATTTTTTTCTTTTGATTAGAGTAAAATCTGAAAAGTGCAATGATTTGGCACTGTGCAGCAATAGGTAGCATTCATTATGTAACTAGTAACAGGCGCTGGACCAGCAAGGAGCAGGCTTTTGTTCCTGACCCTACTCTATTAATAAATAGTCTAGTCTGCAACCTTGGACAAATCACCTAACCTTTCCGGAATTCCATTTCCTCATATGCAAACAGAGAGGCTGGATTAAATCACTGGTTTTCAACTTATTTTTAGAAGTGGGATCCTCTTAATAAATGAAATTATATGTGATGCTGCAACTACAAAACAGAATCAACGTCCTGTTTTATAACTGGAAGGGTGTCCCAAGACCCACTCCCTCTGCCTTCCTTCAAGGCAACTCCTCAGCCACTTCCATGAAAAGTCCCATAGAGCACAACTTGCAAAGTGCTGGCCTAGATCTCAGGTGTTATTCCAGTTCTAAAATAATGATTCAGTGACTTTTTCAGTGCAAATAGGACAATAAGAGTCTCCCAAATGATCATTCAAATGCAGAATTAACATTTTGTAGACTTACTAACTTCCACAAGAAGGTAAAAGTGTTCACTCTTTTTCTTTAATTACTAAGCTCCACTTCTAGTGACCAAACTTCTTAAAACACTGTTATTCTTTTCTTCATTTCAGCACCAACCTCATAGGTTAGGCGATTCAGCTCCACCACCAACACTAACAATAGTAATATAGTACCAATGAAAGCTAACCTTCATTGAGTTCTTACTCAGTGCTAACAAGCATAGTCTTGGTACTAGATATCTAATCACTACAACTCCACGAGAAAGGTACTGTTGTAATAGAAAAAAACAAAAAACAAAAAACTGAGGCCCACAGAGATTATGTGACTAGGCAAAATCACACTGTAGTTGGTAGCAGACCTGCAGTCTGGCCGCAGAGCCTCGTGTCCCTAGTCTCTGCTATGCCTGATCCCATCCTCCTCAACCCTCTAAGAGGCCTCTCTGGGACTCCCCTAACACCAGTGGATCTGAACACAGTGTGGAGTACCATGCCCTGGTTGATTCTCACATTGTTCCTACACTGAGGCTTTGAAAATTCCTACAACTCTTCACTCCACAGGTTCCAAAGTCTTTTCAATGGCCAAGTGCACGGTGCCAGTCCTGAGACTAAGACTTGGCAGCTTGGTACCAGGTTCGTCAATTAAAGATTCCACTGCTCTTGCATCTTCTTCCCATGCCCCTGTAGTGAGCCATTCATCTGCTCACAGTAATTGTCCCTTCTGCTTCTCCATGTACCATTCCACACTGCCACTTCTTCCAAGATTAAGACTGAGTTAACATGCACCCACAGACAGCACTTGCTACCTCTACCTCTCTCACTTGGCAGTTATCTAATTTATACTGATATAAGCCTTACATGTAACTGTTTTCCTTTCTTCCAATAGATTATGTACTCTCAGATAACAGCAATGAGTCATGTTTTTCCCTATATCCCTAAAGCCTAGGGTGATGGTTAATACTGAGTGTCAATGTGATTGAATTGAAGGATGCAAAGTATTGTTCCTGAGTGAGTCTGTGAGGGTGTTGTCAAAGGAGATTAACATTTGAGTCAGTGGACTGGAAGATAGAGACCCATCCTCAATCTGGGTGGGCACCATCTAATCAGCTGCCAGCATGGCTAGGACAAAAACAGGCAGAGGAACATGGAAGGACTAGACTGGCTAAGTCTTCCGGCTTCCATCTTTCTCCTGTGCTGGATGCTTCCTGGCCTCGAACATTGGACTACAAGTTCTTCAGCTTTTGAACTCTTAGACCTACACCAGTGGTTTGCCAGGGGCCCTCAGGCTGTCAGCCAGAGACTGAAGGCCGCACTGTCGGCTTCCCTAGTTTTGAGGTTTTGGGACTTGGACTGGCTTCCTTGCTCCTCAGCTTGCAGACTATTGTGGGACTTCACCTTGTGATTGTGTGAGTCAATTCTCCTTAATAAACTGCCTTTTATATATACATCTCACCTGTGAGTCCTGTCCCTCTAGCGAATCCTGACTAATACAGATTTTGGTACCAGGAGTGGTTCTAGAGGAACAGAATTTTACGGATGGATTTCTTTAGATGGTTTTGGGGTTTCTGGAGTTGGCTGCTAAATATGATTAGACGCCAAAATGCTAGGGACTCTACTTCTAATAGTGTGGAGAACACTGATAGTCCTTGCTGTGAACTGTGTAGAGAGTTATGCAAAATAAATGCATCTGATACTCCTGATTCACTGCTCATGAGAGGCAAGGAGTTTAGTGACTTTATACCTAATACCTTTAACCATATGTGGAGAACCAAGGAATATAATGAAGCTAGTTGGTTGCTCCTAAGTTCACTAATCAAAGTGATGAAAACAAAAAAATGATGAACTCAGGGATTCTATCTCCCAGCTCCAGAACCACATTCTGAGCCTCAAATCTTCTAAGATTGCCCTGGGTTCGAGTCTTATCTCCTGTAGAGAAAGAGCTGAAATTGCGGAAAATCAGACACAAGCTCTTATCATGTGAGTGGCTGACCTGCAACGAAAGGTACGTGCACAGCCTTGCCAGGTGTTTACTGTTAAAGTGACAGCATTGATTGAAAAAGAATGGTACCCTGCAACTTGGAATGGGGCCATGCGGGAGGACCCTGATAAGGCTGGGGGCACTGAGCTTCTAAATTCTGATGAATCTTTTTTACCAGAGGAAACAGGCAACAGAGGGGAGGCAACATCCCCTCCTCCACCTGCGCTGCCATCAGGCTTTTCACCTTTGTCTGAGGAGTTTAACCCTGCACTGCCTAAGGCATCAGCGATGACCTCCCTTGAGGCAGTTGCCAGGAAAGACGATGTTGATTCTCCTAAGGACCCACCCTCAATACCCCTGTTTGCTTATAGTTATAGAACTAGACTAAAGTCCCGGCAGGCCCCTTAGAGATGAGGTTCAGAATGTGACCCACAAGGAGGTGCGCTACACTCCAAAAGAACTGCTTGAGTTTTCTAATTTATATAAGCAGAAATCTGGAGAACAGGCATGGGAATGGATATTAAGGGTGTGGGCTAATGGTAGAAGGAACATAAAGTTGGATCAGGCTGAATTGATTGATTTGGGCCCACTAAGCAGGAATTCTGCATTTAATGTTGCAGCTTGGAGAGTTAAAAAAGGTTCTAATAGTTTATTTGCTTGGTTAGCTGAAATATAGATCAAAAGGTGGCCCACTGTGAGTGAGCTGGAAATGCCTGATCTCCCTTGGTTTAATGTAGAGGAAGGGATCCAAAGGCTTATGGAGACTGGGATGGTGGAGTGAATTCGTCACTTTAGTCCTACTCATCCCAGCTGGGAGAGTACAGAAGATATACCTTTGACCAGCACATTGTGAAATAGATTTGTGAGGGCAGCACCTGCATCCTTGAAGAGCTCTGTGATTGCTCTTCTCTGCATGCTAGATATTATAGTGGGAACCACAGTCATTCAACTACAAAATTTAAATACAATGGTAATAATTGGATCCTGAGGTGGCATGGGCCAAGTGGTGGCACTCAAGCATCAAGGCAAGGTGGGTGCAATTACCGTAAAGGTCAGCGGAGGCAAGGCAACAATCAGAATAGTCTGACTTGTGTAGAGCTCTGGCATTGGCTACTTAATCTCAGTGTTCCTAAAAAGTGAAATTGACAAGAGGCCTACTGCATTCTTGCTTAATTTATATAAGCAGAAAACTTCCAGGTCAAGTAGACAAAAGACTAATTTAAATTAAAAATTATACAAAGAATCACGGCCCCTCAATCAATTTGCAGACTTGAACCAGTTTATAGACCCAGAACCCCTTGAATGAAGGGGAGGCTGGGTCCCCTTGAGGAAGGACCCCACTACATTGCTGACAATTTATGCAGTGACTCTTTCTCCCATCCTTCCCCCAGGAGACCTCTGGCCTTTTACCAGGGTAACTGTGCACTGGGGAAAGGGAAATAATCAGACATTTCAGGGACAACTGGACACTGGCTCTGAGCTGACGTTGATTCCAGGGGACCCAAAACATCACGTGGTCCTCCAGTTAAAGTAGGGGCTTTTGGAGATCAGTTAATTAATGGAATTTTAGCTCAGGTCCAACTTACAGTGGGGCTGGTGGGTCCCAGACTCATCCTGTGGTCATTTCCCTAGTGCCAGAATGCATAATTGGCATAGACATATTTAGCAGCTGGCAGAACCCCCACATTGGCTCCCTGACTGGTAGGGTGAGGGCTATTATGGTGGGAAAGGCCAAATGGAAGCCATTACAGCTGCCTCTACCTAGAAAAATAGTAAATCAAACACAACATTGCATCCCTGGAGGAAGTTAGTGCCACCATCAAGGACTTCAAAGATGCAGGGGTGGCGATTCCCACCACATCCCCGTTCAACTTTCCTGTTTGGCCTGTGCAGAAGACAGATGGATCTTGTAAAATGACAGTGGATTATTGTAAGCTTAACTAAGCGGTGACTCCAATTGCAGCTGCTGGACCAGATATGGGTTCATTACTTGAGCAAATTAACACATCTCCTGGTACCTGGTATGCAACCATTGATTTGGCAAATGGCTTTTTCTCCATTCCTGTCCATAAGGCCCAGCAGAAGCAATTTGCCTTCAGCTGGCAAGGCCAGCAATATACCTTTACTGTCCTACCTCAGGGGTATATCGATTCTCCAGCTTTGTGTCATAATCTTGTTGGAGAGATCTTGATAGTTTTTCTCTTCCACAAGATATCACACTGGTCCATTATATTCATGACATTATGCTGATTGGATCCAATGAGCAAGAAGTAGCAAACATACTGGATTTATTGGTGAGACACTTGTGTGCCAGAGGTTGGGAAATAAAATTGACTAAAATTTAGGGAACTTCTACCTCAGTAAAACTTCTAGGGGTCCAGTGGTGTGGGGTCTGTCAAGATATTCCTTCTAAGATGAAGGATAAGTTGCTGCCTTTGGCCCCTCCTACAACTAAGAAAGAGGCACAATGCCTAGCAGGCCTATTTGGATTTTGGAGGCAACACATTCCTCATTTGGGTGTGTTACTCCAGCCCATTTATCAAGTGACCTGAAAGGCTTCCAGTTTTGAGTGGGATCCAGAAGAGAAGGCTCTGCAACAGGTCCAGAATGCTTGGCAAGCTGCTCTGCCACTTGGGCCATATGACCTGGCAGATCCAATGGTGCTTGAAGTGTCAATGGCAGATAGGGATGTTGTTTGGAGCCCTTGGCAGGCCCCTATAGGTCAATCACAGGGGAGGCCTCTAGGAATTTGGAGCAAGGCCCTGCATCTCCTGCAGATAACTACTCTCCTTGTGAGAGACAACTCTTGGCCTGTTACTGTGCTTTGGTAGAAACTGTATGTTTGACTACAGGTCATCAAATCACCAAGCTACCTAAATTGCCTATCATGAACTAGATGCTTTTTGACCCATCTAGCCATAAAGTGGGTTGTGCACAGCAGCATTCCATCATCAAATGGAAGTGGTATATACATGATCAGGCTCAAGCAAGTCCTGAGGGAACAAGTACTTTACATGAGGAAGTAGCTCAAATGCCCATGGTCCCCACTCCTGCCACCCTGCCTTCTCTCCCCCAGCCTGCACTGATGGCCTCATGGGGAGTTCCCTATGATAAGCTGACAGAGGAAGAGAAGACAAGGGCCTGGTTTACAGATGGCTCTGCATGATGCAGTCACCACCCAAAAGTGGACAGCTGCAGCACTACAGCCCCTTTCTAGGACATCCCTGAAGGGCAGCAGTGAAGGGAAATCTTCCCAATGCACAGAACTTTGAGCAGTGCCCCTGGCTGTGCACTTTGCTTAGAAGGAGAAATGGCAAGATGTGTGATTATATACTGATTCATGGGAGGTAGCCAATGGTTTGGCTGGATGGTCAGGGACTTGAAAGAAGCATGATTGGAAAACTGATGACAATGAAATTTGGGGAAGAGGTATGTGGATGGATGGACCTCTCTGAGTGGTCAAAAACTGTGAAGATATTTGTATCTCATGTGAGTGCTCACCAAAAGATGACCTCAGCAGAGGAGGATTTTAATAATCAAGTGGATTGGATGACTCGTTCTGTGGATACCACTCAGCCTCTTTCCCCAGCCACCATTGTCATCGCCCAATAGGCCCATGAACAAAGTGGCTGTGGTGGCAGGGATGGAGGTTACGCACGGGCTCAGCAACATGGACTTCCACGTACCAAGGCTGACCTGGCTACAGCCACAACTGAGTGCCCAATTTGCCAGCAGCAGAGACAAACACTGAGGCCGCGATATGGCACCATTCCTCGGGGTGATCAGCCAGCTACTTGGTGGCAGGTTGATTATACTGAACCTCTTCCATCACAGAAAGAACAGTGGTTTGTCTTCACTGGAATGGGCACTTACTCTAGATATGGGTTTGCCTATCCTGCAGGCAATGCTTCTGCCAAGACTACCATCCATGGACTTATGGAATGCTTTACCCACTGTCATGGCATTACACACAGCATTGCCTCTGAACAAGGCACTCACTTTATGGCTAAAGAAGTGCAGCAGTGGGCTCATGCTCATGGAATTCACTGGTCTTACCCTGTTCCCCATCATCCTGAAGCAGCCGGATTGATAGAACGGTGGAATGGCCTTTTGAAGTCACAATTACAATGCCAACTAGGCGACAATACTTTGCAGGGCTGGGGCAAAGTTTTCCAGAAGGCTGTGTATGCTCCGGATCAGTGTCCAGTATTTGGTACTGTTTCTCCCATAGCCAGGATTCATGGGTCCAGGAATCAAGGGGTGGAAATGGAAGTGGCACCACTCACCATCACCCCTAGAGACCCGCTAGTAAAATTTGTGCTTCTTGTTCCACAGCATTACGTTCTGCTGGCCTAGAAGTCTCAGTTCCAGGGCGATGAATGTTGCCACCAGGAGACACAATAATGATTTCATTAAACTGGAAATTAAGATTGCAATCTCGGGCTCCTCCTACCTCTAAGTCAACAGGCTAAGAAAGGAGTTAGTGTTGGCTGGGGTGACTGACTTAGCCTATCAAGATGAACTCAGTCTACTACTCCATAATGAAGGTAAGGAAGAACATGTGTGGAATACAGGAAATTCCTTAGGGTGTCTCTTAGTATTACCAAGCCCTGTGATTAAGGTCAATAAAAAATGACAACAACTCGATCCAGGCAGGACTACAAATGGCCCAGACCCTTCAGGAATGAAGGTTTGGGACACTCCACCAGGTAAAGAACCATGACCTGCTGAGGTACTTGCTAGAGGCAAAGGGAAAACAGAATGGGTTGTAGAAGAAGGTAGTCATCAATAACAGCTACGACCATGTGATGAGTTGCAGCAACCAGGTTACTGTAATTGTCATGAGTATTTCCTCCTTATTTTGTTAAGAACATCTTTCTGCCTGTATACACTTGTACTAAGACAATATCTTCATTTTACTTCCTTTCTTTTTCCTGTATCATGTGACATAAGATTTAGTGGCTTACAACCTGGGAGGTCAAGGTGGGTGGATCACTTTGGGATCCACCACTTTGGGAGGCCGAGGTGGGTGGATCACGAGGTCAGGAGTTCAAGACCAGCCTGGCCAGGATGGCAAAACCCCGTCTTTACTAAAAATACAAAAATTAGCCAGGTGTGGCGGTGGGTGCCTGTAATCCCAGCTACTCGGGAGGCTGAGGCAGAGAATTGCTTGAACCCAGGAGGCGGAGGTTGCAGTGAGCCAATATCGCACCACTGCATTCCAGCCTGGGCAACAAAGCAAGACTCCATCTTTTAAAAAAAAAAAGTATTTATTGACTTCATATCAGCATTTAAGTGTTGTTAACTTTATGTAATAACATTTGGTTTGGGAATTGGTGCATTTCTGGTTGTATGAACGATAGTTGTATTATGTTCAGTGTAATTATGACATTATTGTCTGTATTTGGAGATCATGTATGATTTAAGGAGATGTATGTGGGATCAAGTTGACAAGGTGTGGACTTGTGATGGTTATTATTGAGTGCCAACTTGATTGTATTGAAGGATGCAAAGTGCTGTCCTTGGGTGTGTCTGTGAGGGTATTACCAAAGAAGATTAACATTTGTGTCAGTGAACTGGAAGATGGAGACCCATCCTCAATCTGGGCGGGCACCATGTCATCATCATGCCAGCGTGGCTAGGATAAAAGCAGGCAGAGGAACGTGGAAGGACTAGACTGGCTGTCTTCTGGCTTCCATCTTTCTCCCATGACGGATGCTTCCTGCCCTCAAACATTGGACTCCAATCCTTTAGCTTTTGGACTCTTGGACCTACACTAGTGGTTTGCCAGGGGCTCTTGGGCCTTTGGCCACAGACTGAAGGCTGCACTGTCAGCTTCCCTATTTTTGAGGTTTTGGGACTCAGACTGGCTTCCTTGCCCCTCAGCTTGCAGATGGCCTATTGTGGGACGTCACCTTGTGATGGTGTGAGTCAATACTCCTTAATAAACTCCTTTTCATATATACATCTATCCTATTAGTCTTGTCCCTCTAGATGACCCTAATACACCTAGGAAAGTGTTGATATTATTTATCAACAATAAATATTAATGGTGGAGTGAAAAAGCACTGAAATCAGGGTGAAGAGTCTTGATTCCGGCCACTCTCTAGCCTTGTGATCATAAGCAACTAAACTTAACCACTATAAACCTCATTTTTCCAGCAGAAAGATGTGCTTTGTAAGGTCTAACTTCATATCCTCAAAAAGCTGTTCTAGGGATAATTGAGAAAATGTGTAGGGTAACACATTATGAACCACAAGCATGACACCTATTACCAAATTATCACCACTTAACACTTACCTTTATTTTCTAGAAGGAATGCCTCTAAGGCTTTTTAAAAAACAACGCAGTTTAGGGAAGGGAAGGGTAATAGCTCATAAATGCTTAGTAGAAACTGAAATGAAAAATGCACCGAGCTTCATTAACAGCAAAGCGCAACATCATTCACGTGATTTCAGAGGCCTGGTGAACCTTTCCACTCCATCCAGAGGATATTTTATCTTTGCAGGCATTTGTACTTGCATTTTCAAGAAAGAAATAAGAGATTATCTTGATATCTTGTATGGCTAAACATGTTTTCCTCATCATTCTTACTATAAAGGGAAATGTCTTGGTTTTTGTTTTGTTATTTGTTTTTCTCTCTCTCTTTTGCATGCTCACTCTCTCCCCCTCTCTCCCTTCATTAAATATTTCCCAGGCTTTAGGCCCGACCATACGGATAGAACTGATATCCTTAGTCCAACAGAACAACACTAAACTAAGCCGATGCTATTGCTCTAATTTACCAGAAGCTTCTTTAAGAAATAAATGTAAAGCAGGGACTGAAGTATAATCCTACCATCTCATCAGCAATTGGCACTGCAATACATTATCCTGGAAACAACTGGTAAACACAGTAAGCCCATTTCTGGGCTTTTAGAAAAACATTGCTCTCTTTTCTTTCCCCACCCAGTGTATTCCCAAGGACTTAATGCTGCACTCTGACCTAGCCCTCAATGATGGTTAAAACTGATTCTGAACCAAAGGTAAACAGGGTTCCTCCCCATGCCTTGGAGAGCTCCAGTCTGCAGAAAGCTAATGAAGCCCTTGAAGCAGTATCTTGTCTTCCATCCACACTTTATTGAAATGCTTTTGAGTCTTATTGTGTTGTAATTACATACTATAGAAAACTCCACCAACCTCTATTTCAAGGTTTGGGCCCATGACTCTCGCTAAAACATTTCAGTTCCATTTTCCAGAACATACCATTTCTAAATGCATCTGTGAGGGCCCTCCACAAGTATTTTCAGTCCACATTTCAGAAAACTTGAAAGTGACGCAGGTTCCTGACTTAGTTGATGGTGGGTAAAGGGAATGCCATTATGAGTGGTGGAGGTTGTTTTCTTTTTTCTTGCCATATTCTCAGCATAATATTTGATTCTTACAAAAGAAGTTTGATAATATAACTGTATATTTTATAAAGCATAATAAAAATAAGTAACCATTTTTCCAGCAACCTGTGTTTTGTTTTTTGTTTTGATTTTGTTTTTGTTTTTGTTTTTTGAGATGGAGTCTCGCACTGTTGCCCAGGCTGGAGTGCAGTGGCACGATTTCAGCTCACTGCAAGCTCCGCCTCCCAGGTTCACACCATTCTCCTGCCTCAGCCTCCCAAGTAGCTGGGACTACAGGCACCCGCCACCACGCCCAGCTAATTTTTATATTTTTAGTAGAGACGAGGTTTTGCCATGTTGGCCAGGCTGGTCTCGATCTCCTGACCTCGTGATCTGCCTGCCTTGGCCTCCTGGGATTACAGGCGTGAGCCACCGTGCCTGGCCCTGGTTTTTTAATTAAAGTTGTTGATTTTAAAAAGGTTGACTTTATTAATGTTTCTTTTATGGTTAGTACTTTTGGTGCCATGTTGAAGACCTAATTCCCGACCCTGAGATAGGTATTTTTCTATGTTTTCCTATAAAAGTTTTAGTTTTGGCTCTCCATTAAGTCCTACATTCATCTGGAATTATTGTTTTTACATAGAGTAAAGAAGGATTAAGTTTTTTTTTCTATGTAGATATCAATTGTGTCAGGACCATTAACTTACTAGTTCCTCTGTTCTCCTGTAGTCTCAATGCTCGTTCTGATATAGGTCAGTTTTTCATAAATGTAGAGTTTGGTTTCTGAACTGTATTTTCTATTTATTTAGTCAATGTGCTTATTTCTATGCCAATGCCATACTGTATTAATTATTATAGCTTTATGACTTTAGAACTGAATTATAGTTTTTTACCCCATCTCTCAACTTTAATTTTCATCTTCCAAGAGCATTTGATTATCTTTGGTACTTAGCCTTTTCCATATACATTTTAAATGAGCTAAATATATTGATTGGACACGCACTGAATTTATAGACCGATTTGTCAAGAATTGATGTATTTTCAATAGTGAATCTTCCTAACCATAAACATGGTATAGCTTTCTTTTTAATGTTTTATGATATTACTGTCTTCCAATAGAAGTTCATACTTGTTTCTACAGAGCTCCTGCTATTTCTTTATTAAATTCATCCCAAAATACATGATAGTTTTGATTGCTGCTATAAAATGTATATAATTATAAATTAAATTATATAAAATTATATATGTATAATTATGTTTTGTATTTGTGGTTCATATAAATAGATTTGATCTTTGGTATATTGATTAACTAGCCCTTCTTGTAGACATTTGGTGGGATTGTATATTAGCAAAATAACAAAGGAAGTTCTTATCTAAGAATGTTTTAAATAGGATATATTAAGTCTGACTAAATTGTTCATGGTTTAAAAAAAACTGGAATTTTTAATTTTATGGGATGCAGCTGCTAAAAGAAGGGCATGTAATCTCACAGGCTTTCTATCTCATGACTAACAAAATACAAAGTTGAGTAGCATCAAAACTAACATGGCTTCCTCTAAGCAAATTTTTGTCACGTGCGTAGTTAGCAAACATCTATCACTCCAAAAATCAAAACACATTGCAGCAAAGAAGAAGAATCCTTTTGAAGTTCCATGTGATAGTTCAGAGTCTTTACAGTGATGAATGATGCTGTGTTTGCTTGTACCCATTTTTAGCTTGTATCCTTTGCTAGTCGTTAGTAAAAACCTCGTTAAGATCTATGATTCATGTGGGTCTGCACTGACAATTCGGCTCTTTGTGGCACTTCTGTCCACAAAGCAGATGAAACTGTAGCCCAGTTATTTCAGAATGAATTAAAAAGACTGAAGAATCTGGTCAATGCTTGGAAAGAGTTAGTTGCACATTTCAGAAACAGAAAACTCAGAAATGATATGGTGAGGCAACAGAAAAAAAAATACGAGAAATTAAACACTTTAGAACTGAATTTCTAAAAAAGGAAAAACATTCAGAACATAGACTTAATTATAAGGACACACAGCAGACAAACTCTATGGACAGCACAGTGACAGAAATAAAGGATGTGAAGATAAAAATTAAAACAAAAGAATGAAAGGATTTAAGAGAAAGTCATATAGAAGACAGGTAAATGGTATCCTTTGTATGTATGAACAGGCCCCTAAAGAAGAAAATCAAAGCAATGCAGCCAAACTAGTATTTATTTATTTATTTATTTATTTATTTTTATTGTACTTTAAGTTTTAGGGTACATGTGCACAATGGGCAGGTTTGTTACATATGCATACATGTGCCATGTTGGTGTGCTGCACCCATTAACTCGTCATTTACATTAGGTGTATCTCCTAATGCATCCCTCCCCCCTCCCCAACCACACAAAAGGCCCCGGTGTGTGATGTTCCCCTTCCTGTGTCCACGTGTTCTCATTGTTCAACTCCCACCTATGAGTGAGAACATGTGGTGTTTGGTTTTTTGTCCTTGTGATAGTTCGCTCACAATGATGGTTTCCAGTTTCATCCATGTCCTTACAAAGGACATGAACTCATCCTTTTTTATGGCTGCATAGTATTCCATGGTATATATGTGCCACATTTTCTTAATCCAGATCATTGTTGGACATTTGGGTTGGTTCCAAGTCTTTGCTATTGTGAATAGTGCTGCAATAAACATACGTGTGCATGTGTCTTTATAGCAGCATGATTTATAATCCTTTGGGTATATACCCAGTAATGGGATGGCTGGGTCAAATGGTATTTCTAGTTCTAGATCCCTGAGGAATCGCCACACTGAATTCCACAATGGTTGAACTAGTTTACAGTCCCACCAACAGTGTAAAAGTCTTCCTATTTCTCCACATCCTCTCCAGCACCTGTTTTTCCCTGACTTCTTAATAATCACCATTCTAACTGGTGTGAGATGGTATCTCATTGTGGTTTTGATTTGCATTTCTCTGATGGCCAGTGATGATGAGCATTTTTTCATGTGTCTGTTGGCTGCATAAATGTCTTCTTTTGAGAAGTGTCTGTTCATATCCTTCGCCCATTTGTTGATGGTGTTGTTTGTTTTTTTCTTGTAAATTTGTTTGAGTTCTTTGTAGATTCTGGATATTAGCCCTTTGTCAAATGAGTAGATTGCAAAGATTTTCTCCCATTCTGTAGGTTGCCTGTTCACTCTGATGGTAGTTTCTCTTTTGCTGTGCAGAAGCTCTTTAGTTTAATTAGATCCCATTTGTCAATTTTGGCTTTTGTTGCCATTGCTTTTGGTGTTTTAGACATGAAGTCCTTGCCCATGCCTATGTCCTGAATGGTATTGCCTAGGTTTTCTTCTAGGGTTTTTATGGTTTTTGATCTAACATTTAAGTCTTTAATCCATCTTGAATTAATTTTTGTATAAGGTGTAAGGAAGGGATCCAGTTTCAGCTTTCTACATATGGCTAGCCAGTTTTCCCAGCACCATTTATTAAATAGGGAATCCTTTCCCCATTTCTTGTTTTTCTCAGGTTTGTCAAAGATCAGACAGTTGTAGATACATGGCATTATTTCTGAGGGCTCTGTTCTGTTCCATTGGTCTATATCTCTGTTTTGGTACCAGTACCATGCTGTTTTCGTTACTGTGGCCTTGTAGTATAGTTTGAAGTCAGGTAGCATGATGCCTCCAGCTTTGTTCTTTTGGCTTATGATTGACTTGGCAATGCGGGCTCTTTTTTGGTTCCATATGAACTTTAAAGTAGTTTTTTCCAATTCTGTGAAGAAAGTCATTGGTAGCTTGATGGGGATAGCATTGAATCTATAAATTACCTTGGGCAGTATGGCCATTTTCATGATATTGATTCTTCCTACCCATAAGCATGGAATGTTCTTGCATTTGTTTGTATCTTCTTTTATTTTGTTGAGCAGTGGTTTGTAGTTCTCCTTGAAGAGGTCCTTCACATCCCTTGTAAGTTGGATTCTTAGGTATTTTATTCCTTTGAAGCAATTGTGAATGGAAGTTCACTCATGATTTGGCTCTCTGTTTGTCTGTTATTGGTGTATAAGAATGCCTGTGATTTTTGCACATTGATTTTGTATCCTGAGACTTTGCTGAAGCTGCTTATCAGCTTAAGGAGATTTTGCGCTGAGACGATGGAGTTTTCTAGATATGCAATCATGTCATCTGCAAACAGGGACAATTTGACTTCCTCTTTTCCTAATTGAATACCCTTTATTTCCTTCTCCTGCCTGATTGCCCTAACCAGAACTTCCAACACTATGTTGAATAGGAGTGGTGAGAGAGGGCATCCCTGTCTTGTGCCAGTTTTCAAAGGGAATGCTCCCAGGTTTTGTCCATTCAGTATGATATTGGCTGTGGGTTTGTCATAGATAGCTCTTATTATTTTGAGATAGGTCCCATCAATACCTAATTTATTGAGAGTTTTTAGCATGAAGGGTTGTTGAATTTTGTCAAAGGCCTTTTCTGCATCTATTGAGATAATCATGTGGTTTTTGTCATTGGTTCTGTTTATATGCTGGATTATGTTTATTGACTTGCATATGTTGAACCAGCCTTGCATCCCAGGGATGAAGCCCACTTGACCATGGTGGATAAGCTTTTTGATGTGCTGCTGGATTCGGTTTGCCAGTATTTTACTCAGGATTTTTGCATCGATGTTCATCAGGGATATTGGTCTAAAATTCTCTTTTTTTGTTGTGTCTCTGCCAGGCTTTGGTATCAGGATGATGCTGGCCTCATAAAATGAGTTAGGGAGGATTCCCTCTTTTTCTATTGATTGGAATAGTTTCCGAAGGAATGGTACCAGCTCCTCCTTGTACCTCTGGTAGAATTCAGCTGTGAATCCGTCTGGTCCTGGACTTTTTTTTGATTGGTAAGCTATTAATTATTGCCTCAACTTCAGAGCCTATTATTGGTCTATTCAGAGATTCAGCTTCTTCCTGGTTTAGTCTTGGGAGGGTGTATGTGTCGAGGAATTTATCCATTTCTTCTAGATGTTCTAGTTTATTTGTGTAGAGGTGTTTATAGTATTCTCTGATGGTAGTTTGTATTTCTGTGGGATCAGTGGTGATATCCCCTTTATCATTTTTTATTGCATCTATTTGATTCTTCTCTCTTTTCTTCTTTATTAGTCATGCTAGCAGTCTATCAGTTTTATTGATCTTTTCAAAAAACCAGCTCCTAGATTCATTGATTTTTTGAAGGGTTTTTTGTGTCTCTATCTCCTTCAGTTCTGCTCTGATCTTAGTTATTTCTTGTCTTCTGCTAGCTTTTGAACGTGTTTGCTCTTGCTTCTCTAGTTCTTTTAATTGTGATGTTAGGGTGTCAATTTTAGATCTTTCCTGCTTTCTCTTGCGGGCATTTAGTGCTATAAAGTTCCCTCTACACACTGCTTTGAATGTGTCCCAGAGATTCTGGTATGTTGTGTCTTTGTTCTCATTGGTTTCAAAGAACATCTTTATTTCTGCCTTCATTTCGTTATGTACCCAGTAGTCATTCAGGAGCAGGTTGTTCAGTTTCCATGTAGTTGAGCGGTTTTGAGTGAGTTTCTTAATCCTGAGTTCTAGTTTGATTGCACTGTGGTCTGAGAGATAGTTTGTTATAATTTCTGTTCTTTTACATTTGCTGAGGAGTGTTTTACTTCCAACTATGTGGTCAATTTTGGATTAAGTCCGGCGTGGTGCTGAGAAGAATGTATAATCTGTTGATTTGGGGTGGAGAGTTCTGTAGATGTCTATTAGGTCTGCTTGGTGCAGAGCTGAGTTCAGTTCCTGGATATCCTTGTTAATTTTCTGTCTCGTTGATCTGTCTAATGTTGACAGTGGGATGTTAAAGTCTCCCATTATTATTGTGTGGGAGTCTAAGTCTCTTTGTAGGTCACTAAGGACTTGCTTTATGAATCTGGGTGCTCCTGTATTGGGTGCATATATATTTAGGATAGTTAGCTCTTCTTGTTGAATTGATCCCTTTACTATTATGTAATGGCCTTCTTTGTCTCTTTTGATCTTTGTTGGTTTAAAGTCTGTTTTAACAGAGACTAGGATTGCAACCCCTGCCTTTTTTTGTTTTCCATTTGCTTGGTAGATTTTCCTCCATCCCTTTATTTTGAGCCTATGTGTGTCTCTGCACGTGAGATGGGTTTCCTGAATACAGCACGCTGATGGGTCTTGACTCTTTATCCAATTTGCCAGTCTGTGTCTTTTAATTGAAGCATTTAGCCCATTTACATTTAAGGTTAATATTGTTATGTGTGAATTTGATCCTGTCATTATGATGTTAGCTGCTTATTTTGCTTGTTAGTTGCAGTTTCTTCCTAGCCTCGATGGTCTTTCCAATTTGCATGTTTTTGCAGTGGCTGGTACTAGTTGTTCCTTTCCGTGTTTAGTGCTTCCTTCAGGAGCTCTTGTAGGGCAGGCCTGGTGGTGACAAAATCTCTCAGCATTTGCTTGTCTGTAAAGTATTTTATTTCTCCTTCACTTATGAAGCTTAGTTTGGCTGGATATGAGATTCTGGGTTGAAAATTCTTTTCTTTAAGAATGTGTAATATCGGCCCCCACTCTCTTCTGGCTTGTAGAGTTTCTGCCAAGAGATCCGCTGTTAGTCTGATGGGCTTCCCTTTGTGGGTAACCCAATCTTTCTCTCTGGCTGCCCTTAACATTTTTTCCTTCATTTCAACTTTGGTGAATCTGTCAATTATGTGTCTTGGAGTTGCTCTTCTCAAGGAGTATCTTTGTGGTGTTCTCTGTATTTCCTGAATGTGAATGTTGGCCTGCCTTGCTAGATTGGGGAAGTTCTCCTGGATAATATCCTGCAGAGTGTTTTCCAACTTGGTTCCATTCTCCCCATCACTTTCAGGTACACCAATCAGACGTAGATTTGGTCTTTTCACATAGTCCCATATTTCTTGGAGGCTTTGTTCATTTCTTTTTATTCTTCTTTCTCTAAACTTCTCTTCTCACTTCATTTCATTCATTTGATCTTCCATCACTGATAACCTTTCTTCCAGTTGATTGAATCAGCTACTGAAGCTTGTGCATTCGTCACATAGTTCTTGTGCCTTGGTTGTCAGCTCCATCAGGTCCTTTAAGGACTTCTGTGCATTGGTTATTCTAGGTAGCCATTCGTCTAATCTTTTTTCAAGGTTTTTAACTTCTTTGCCGTGGGTTCGAACTTCCTCCTTTAGTTCAGAAAATTTTCATCGTCTGAAGCCTTCTTTTCTCAATTAGTCAAAGTCATTCTCCATCCAGCTTTGTTCCGTTGCTGGTGAGGAGCTGCGTTCCTTTGGAGGAGGAGAGGTGCTCTGATTTTTAGAACTTTCTGTTTTTCTACTCTGTTTTTTCCCCATCTTTGTGGATTTATCTACCTTTGGTCTTTGATGATGGTGACGTACAGATGGGATTTTGGTGTGGATGTCCTTTCTGTTTGTTAGTTTTCCTTCTAACAGTCAGGACCCTCAGCTGCAGGTCTGTCAGAGTTTGCTGGAGGTCCACTCCAGACCCTGTTTGCCTGGGTATCAGCAGCGGAGGCTGCAGAACAGCGGATATTGGTGAACAGCAAATGTTGCTGCCTGATCGTTCCTCTGGAGGTTTTGTCTCAGAGGAGTACCCGGCCATGTGAGGTGTCAGTCTGCCCCTACTGGGGTGTGCCCAGTTAGGCTACTCGGGGGTCAGGGACCCACTTGAGGAGGCAGTCTGCCCGTTCTCAGATCTCAAGCTGCATGCTGGGAGAACCACTACTGTCTTCAAAGCTGTCAGACAGGGACATTTCAGTCTGCAGAGGTTTCTGCTGCCTTCTGTTTGGCTATGCCCTGCCCCCAGAGGTGGAGTCTACAGAGACAGGCAGGCCTCCTTGAGCTGCGGTGGGCTCCACCCAGTTCCAGCTTCCCAGCCACTTTGTTTACCTACTCAAGCCTCAGCAATGGCAGGCGCCCGTCCCCTAGCCTCGCTTGCACCTTGCAGTTTGATCTCAGACTGCTGTGCTAGCAATGAGCGAGGCTCTGTGGGTGTAGGACCCTCTGAGCCAGGCACAGGATATAATCTCCTGGTGTGCCGTTTGCTAAGACCATCGGAAAAGCCCAGTATTAGGGTGGGAGTGACCCGATTTTCCAGGTGCCGTCTGTCACCCCTTTCCTTGGCTAGGAAAGGGAATTCCCTGACCCCTTGCACTTCCCAGGTGAGGCGATGCCTCGCTCTGCTTCGGCTCATGCTTGGTGCGCTGCACCCACTGTCCTGCACCCACTGTCCAATAGTCCCCAGTGAGATGAACCTGGTACCTCATTTGGAAATGCAAAAATCATTTGTCTTCTGCATCACTCATGCTGGGAGCTGCAGACTGGAGCTGTTCCTATTCTGCCATCTTGGAACCGCCCCCTATTTATTTTTTTTTGAGACAAAGTCTCACTCTGTCGCCAAGGCTGGAGTGCAATGGCGTGATCTTGGCTCACTGCAAGCTCTGCCTCCCGGATTCAGGCCATTCTCCTGCCTCAGCCTCCCGAGTAGCTGGGACTACAGGTGCCTGCCACCACACCTGGCTATATTTTTTGTATTTTTAGTAGAGACGGGGTTTCACCATGTTATCCAGGATGGTCTCAATCTGCTAACCTTATGATCTACCCGCCTCGGCCTCCCAAAGTGCTGGGATTACAGGCATGAGCCACCGCACCCGCCCCCAAACAAATATTTAAAACTATAAATCAAGAGAATCAAGAAGTCTGATTTGAGTCTACATATTCAAAAGACATTCTATGTACCTAGGAAAACGGACCTAAAATGTTCAATGCAGAGACATATCTTAATAAAAG
Organism: Homo sapiens; assembly: GCF_000001405.40. Lineage (NCBI taxonomy): Eukaryota > Metazoa > Chordata > Mammalia > Primates > Hominidae > Homo > Homo sapiens. The sequence goes on along the minus strand of NC_000006.12, from coordinate 152,027,728 downwards.
TATTGCAATTTATGTTTATATTTAAAAATTCAACATTCAGACAAAAAGTCCAAATCACTAATGAGGGAAAGAAAATCAGACTGGCATCCAGCTTCTTGTGAGCAACATTTTATACTACAAAATAATGAAGCAATCACTTAAAAATACTTGAGAAAAAATGTAAGCCAGAGATTTTGTATGCAGCCAAATTTCTCAGCATAAAGTCCAGAGAAAAATAATTATAAACATTTTTAAACCAAAGAAAAAAGAGTTATCATGAGCTCTTCCTGAAAATAAACAGTAAAAAAGCTCCAGACAACCAAAAACGATTAGAGAATCATCAGCATATAATCTGAAGGTGGACATTAAATATCTTAATAATAGAGCTAATATCAAAAAATGGGGTTGGGGCTAAAGAAATGTGCATATAAGTATTATAACTTCTAATAATGTAGAAAAATATAAGTAATAAAAATAAGATGAGAGGCTGGGTGCGGTGGCTTACACCTGTAATCCCAGCACTGTGGGAGACTGATGGGGTGGATCACTTGAGGTCAGGAATTCGTGACCAGCCTGGCCAACATGGGGAAACCCTGTCTCTACTAAAAATACAAAATTAGCCAGGTGGGGTGGCTGATGCCTGTAATCCCAGGTACTTGGGAGGCTGAGGCAGGAGAATCGCTGGAACCCGGGAGGCAGAAGTTGCAGTGAGCCGAGATCGTGCCATTGCACTCCAACCTGGGCAACAAGAGCGAAACTCCACCTCAAAAAAAAAAAAAGAGAAAAGAATAGCCATGGAAGTTATTATTAGCTTACAATTACCTCATAGGTATGTGCTGGAAGTAAATTGATATCATTTGATTTTGACAAACCAAGTAATAGAGGCTTAAGTATAATTAATATTACAAAGTTTAACACTGCGTTATTACTAGTGACTAGGACTGGAGAGTGCTCAGGAATTAAGTTACTAGCTAATTTTACTACTGCTCATAGTAGAAAATGAATGCTTTATAAAGGAAGAGTTGACTAAGTATGCATAAATCTAACAACCAGAACAAAAATACAAAATACCTGAAAGCAAAATAAATTCAATAAATCAATAAATAGTAAATAAAGAAGACAATTTAATATATAATAAATATAAAATAATAGAACAGATCTTGAATTAAACTGTGTTGGTATCAATAAATATGTATTTGTGTAACTCATCTATTAAAAGTATTCTCAGATTGACTAATAAGTAAAATCCGATTGTAGACTATGTAAAATAGAAACTGAAAGCAAAGCTCTTCTTGTGTTTAAAATAAAGATAGAAGAAAGATATATTAAACAAGTGAAAACAAAAAGGAATCAAGAGTCATGATCTTGATATTAGATAGGGTAAAATTCAATCCTTCCAAAATATTAAATAAATCAATAGCTTTTTAACACAAAAGCCATAAGGCATAATAAAGAGAAAGCAAACATAAATACTTATGCAGCAGATAATGGATCATTAGTTTTCATTAAGCAAAAATTATAAGAAGATAAATAGACATGGGCATAGCTAATATTTTACCTTCTATCTTTATAAGGGTAAATAAACCTTCATTTCAAGTATACATGGAACATTTTTGAAAGCTGAAATTATATTAGACCACAAAAATATTCAGTAATAATTGTAATACAAGCAGTATTCTCTGATCCCAAGGCCAAAAGTATTTATAAACAGTAAAACAAAAAACAAAACAAAATGCCCATCCAACCTGGAAATTAAACTGTCTATTAAACAACTCTTGAATGAGAGACAAAATAAAACATGAAATTGCTGAATTTTTAGGAAATAATAATAATGAAAGTAAGATATATTAGAATCTATGGGGCCCAGCGAAAACTGATGCTTTGAGAAAATTCTGAGCATCAGTTACCTATATCATGAAATGAAAATAAATTAAGTATCAACTCAAAAAGCTAGAAAATGAACTAAAACATTAACTGATAGCAGAATGAAGGATTTAATAAAGCTAAAGGCATAACTTAATGAGTTAGAAAGCAGAAAACTAGTAGAACTAATAAAATAAACTTAAGCTAGTTCTTTGAGGAAAAAAATCAACAAAATAGAGGAACCACTAGCTGACCTAAGTTTCTAAAAGAAGCATAAATACACAAAATAAATTATACGGTCAAAGTAACCATCAAACCAGAGAAATTTTTTAAACATCATCAGAAATCATTTGTCCAACTCAATGTGAAAAATTGGAATACCAAGAAGAAATGGATAACTTTAACAGAAGATTTGATATACAATATCTGACTCCAGAAGGAATAGAAAGTCTAAGGAGACCAATTACTACAGAAGAAATAAAGTTTCCAGAGAGCTCACCTATTAAGAAGTCACCATGTCCAGGTGCTTTCAAAGGTAGAATTCTACCAATATTTTACATCTTAAAGATCAAATAATTCCAATTCTACTTACACCTTCCAGGACATAGGAAAAAAAAAAAGAAAAACTTCCAAACTATTTTTGTAATGGATGTTTAACACTGGTTAAAAAAAAAAAAAAAAGCGTGATGAAGACTACACACAAAGCACAAATTTGACACCAAACTTTCTTATGAATTTTGATGCAATAATGACAATAACCTTCATTCCTATTAAAAGTACTTAATAATTCAGAAATTCCTATAAACTTTGTAACATGAATGAATATTCAAGAATAAGGAAATGGTGCCTATGACTGCTACTATTTTTAGAAGACATTATAGGTGTCATCCAATGCCACTAGCTAAGAAAAAATCTTTTAGACACTTTGGAATAGAAAGGAAAAGGTATAACAATCTCTATTTGCAGACAATATGATTGTATACTAGGAAACCCCATGGACTTTCTAGTATATTTATATATGTATTTATATGTGTATAAACATACATATAATGTGTATATATGTGTATATGTACACATATATGTATATTTATAGATACATACATATGTATATTTATAGATACACATATAAATACATATATAAATACAATACATGTATATATTATATAATATATTAAAATATATTTATGTATTATAACTATATATAATATATATTTTTATATACATATATATCTATATAAAATAGGTATAATATTTTTTAACCCTGCACGTGGCATCCAATAGGCACAAATATAAAAATTTGTGCAAAATACACATAAGGATACTTGAAAACACTTCTGAAAGACACAAAGAATATTTAACAAATGAAAAGGCACCCCTTGGTCTTAGATATGAAGACTTAATGTCATGGAGATATCAGTACTTCCTAAGCCAATTTATATTTTACATAATTTCAATAAAATTATCAATAAATTTACTTATAGAATTAAACAAGTTAATTCTAAAGGTCACATAGAAAAAGAAACAAGGAAGAATCCACAGTAAAACTCTGAAAAATCAAAGGGCAATATTTGGTGGGATAGCATGGCCAGAATTAAAACAATGTGCACCTTCTATAAACAAAGCTATGTGATATTGATCCATTAACAGATGAACAAATCTTGGTACAGAATTAACATATTAGAAAAAGACAAGACTACAGAGAAATTTACTGTGTAATTAAGGGTAGATCTCAAATCACTTGAGAAATACTGACTTTTTAATAAATGGTGTTGAGACAACTGAATATACATTTGGAAAAATATAAAAGCCATTCTTTATTGCATACTGTATATGAAGAGAAATTCCAAATTGACCCCTAACATGTAAGGGTAAAAATTACTAGAAGAAAATATAAGTGAATGCAATTATAACTTGGGGACACGGAAACTCTTTCTATGACCCCAACATATGTGACAGTGTTCCAGTAACATTTTATTTACAAAAATGTAAGGGAGTCGTATTTGGTAAGCAGGCTAAAGTATGCCAACCCCTGCTATGAGGCTAACTTCCATGTGCAGAAACACTGAGGATAGAGGAACAAGTTAAATGACACTGCAAGGAAGCAATCAGATATATCCAGACAGCTACAAAACAACTTACCTAGTCTCCACAGAAGCTGGAGAAAATAAATTAAGTGGAAATTGTTATAAATTCAAATAGACAGACATTAATGACCTAATGTCTAATATATGGAACTTGTTTGGACTCTAAATTGAATAAATCAACTATAAACAGACATTTTTGATGTAGAAAAGAACTGTTTTTTAGATGATATCACAGAATTATTATAAGTTTATTTGGTATGAGAATGGCATTGTGATTATCAAGAAATTTTTTTGTAAATGCCTACTGATGTATGATATTTAGGATTTGTCTTTAAAATGTTTTAGCCAAAAATAAACAAAGAAAAAGGACAAAATGAAATGAGATTAATGGATTAAGCAATGGGGCAAAATTTTAATAACTACTGAATTTGGATTATGGGCAGATGAGATTTCTTTGTATTATTCTCTCATTATTTCAGTTTGAAAAATTCATAATATTTTAGTTTAAAAAGTTCCCTTTGATGCTGTTGCTATCAAGAACTAGAGCCCCACTGTTTTCCTCACTGACAAATACCTCAAAGAGCTGGTTTATAGTTCCTTTTTTGTAATATTCCACCCCCATTTTCTCTTTTATAAATTATACTTAGATTTAACATATTATACTGCATTTTATTCCTCCTTCCTCTTTACTAAAAATGCTCCCTTTAGAAACAATGAGCTCCTGATGAACAAATCTTTAGTCTTTTTCTTCTTACTCCTGTCCATCTCTCTGGTATTTGGCCCAATTCACCATCCTTTTTCTTTTTCTCTCTTTTTTTTTTTTTTGAGACAGAGTTTCACTCTTGTTGCCCAGGCTGGAGTGCAATGGTGAGAACTTGGCTCACTGCAACCTCTGCCTCCCAGGTTCAAGTGATTCTCCTGCCTCAGCCTCCTGAGTAGCTGGGATTACAGGCATGCACCACCAAGCCCGGCTAATTTTTAATTTTTATTTTTAGTAGAGACAGGGTTTCTCCATGTTGGTCAGGTTGGTCTCGAACTCCCAACCTCAGGTGATCTGCCAGCCTCGGCCTCCCAAAGTGCTGAGATTACATGCGTAAGCCACTGCACCCGGCCCATCCTTTTTCTTTTGAAAGACACCCTTCCTTTGGAACAAGGAACTTTGTACCTCTACTTCTCAAAAAACTGCCTTAACCCCAGGCTGGGACTCTTTTTCTACCTAAAACCCTGAAAAGTCAGCCTTTTAAGAGGTCTTGACCTCAGGCCTTTGGATACCTTTTCTCTATTATCTTGTCTAGTCATCACATTCGTTCCACACTTTTAGCTACGGAGATGGCTCTCAAATTTTTTATCTTCAGCTCTGATGTCTCTTCTGAGCTCCAAATTTCTGCCTGGAATAACCTTCAGGATATCTTCCCTGCACTTTAAACCCAACATGTATGAGGAAAAACTCCTCGGAGTTGCTCAACATCTACCTCTCTCCTGTCTTCCTAATCTCCATCAATAGCATTGCCATCCTTTCAGTCGCCAATACCGCAAATCTGGAAATCTTCCTTTCCACACTCCAAGTCACACACACTCTGAATTAAGCATGCTCTCAGGTTCTGCTTTCCTCAGAGGCTAAGGTGGCTCAATCCACAGGCCCAACTGCACACAGTAGTGATGCTTGTCATGACCACACTTGGAGATACATAACCCTTTTCTCTCAGGGGTCCGAAGTAGAAACCTAGTTTCCAGAGTGCCTGAGTATACTGAGCATGCAGTGTATTAGTCCGTTTTCATGCTGCTGATAAAGACATACATGAGACTGGGCAATTTATAAAGAAAAGAGGTTTAAAGGACTTACAGTTCCACATGGCTGGGGAGGCCTCACAATCATGGCAGAAGATGAAGGAGGAGCAAAGGGATGTCTTGCATGGCAGCAGGCAAGAGAGAATGAGAGCCAAGTGAAAGGGAAAACCCCTTATAAAACCATCAGATCTTGTGAGACTTATTCACTACCAGGAGAAGAGTATGGGAGAAACCACCCCCATGAGTCAATTACCTCCCACCGGGTCCCTCCCACAACACGTGGGAAGTATGGGAGGCTAAAATTCAGGATGAGATTTGGGTGAGGACACAGCCAAACCATATCATGCAGTAAGCAGTATTCCCGTAACATCTCATCATGTTTGTTACATCCCCTTTTCTAATGATAAAGTCATGATGGATCTCAGAATTGGCACCATTGGAGAATGGTAAATAAGTAAGCAGGTTAAGAAATTGATTCTCTGCTGTGGTGTAACAATCAAAGACATGGACAGTGTGTTTTCTATATCTCCTTTCTATTTGATAAAAGAACACACTGGGTGTATTAGTCAGGGTTCTCTAGAGGGACAGAACTAATAGGATATATATAAAGGGGAGTTTATTAAGCATTAACTTACATGATCGGAAGGTCCCACAATAGACTGTCTGCAAGCTGAGCAGCAAGGAGAGCCAGTCCGAGTCCCAAAACTGAATATTTTGGAGTCCAATGCTCAAGGGCAGGAAGCATTCAGCATGGTAGAAAGATGTAGGCTGGGAGGCTAGGCCAGTTTCCCCTTTCACGTTTTTCTGCCTGCCTTATATTCGCTGGCAGCTGACTAGATCGTGCCCACCAGATTAAGGGTGGGTGTGCCTTCCACAGCCCACTGACTCAAATATTAATCTCCTTTGGTAACACCCTCACAGACACACCCAGGATTAATACTTTGTATCCTTCAATCCAATCAAGTTGACACTCAGTCTTAACCATCACACTGGGAAATAGCAAATAAGAATATTAAATGACTTAATGAAGATCTCTAAAAGCATTAAAAGAAAAACTTCATCTTTCTTCTTATATTAGGAGTCCACAGGGAGAAATCAATTATACCAGGGTAGAGATTAGAACTTAATTCTAGATCATTAAGGGCACATAGCATGACACTAAAAATAAAAACAATTGCAAATTTTAAAAGAAACAGATATTGACAGACTAACTCCATTTATTTGAAGCCAAACCTCTATCCATTCATCAAATTAAGAACTGATGGGCCAGGTGTGGTGGCTCACACCTGTAATCCCAGCAATTTGGGAGGCCAAGGCGGGTAGATCACTTGAGGCCAGGAGTTCCAGACCAGCCTGGCCAACGTGGCAAAACCCCATCTCTACTAAAAATGCAAAAATTAGCCAGGCATGATGGCGCATGCGTGTAATCCCAACTACTCTGTAGGCTGAGGCACAAGAATTGCTTGAACCCAGGAGGCGGAAATTGAAGTGAGCCGAGATCACACCACTGCGCTCCTGTCTAGGTGACAGAGCAAGATCCTGTCTCAAAAAACAAACAAACAAAAAAAAGGAAAAAATAAGAACTGTTGTCATAGAAGAGATCCAAGCAGTACTAACACATTGGCATTGGTAATATTTCAAAGATGTACAAACTGGGCTCATCTACCTTGATAGACCCCTGCCAACATACTCTGCTTTCCCCCTGCCAGCTCAAAAGAACCAACATAAGGAATGATCTTGCTTTTAGAGTTATATATATTACAGTATGCTTCTAGGCAGGATAAATGGATAATAAGTCTAGTTATACTAAATACTCTGCATGGCAATGTCAAGAATGAATTCATATATGCATACATGCATAAACCAGCGATTGGTTTTCACTCAGAATCCATAGCGTTTAGAAAGTGATGGAGGAAGATACACTAGATGCGAATGATGAGAGGCTGGTGAGGGCCTGCTTAGAATGCCCTGCTTTTGAGCAGATTCATTTGTTTATTCATATTACACTACCACTCAATAGTAAACTCCTTGAGGGCAGGAGTGCCTCTTACACATCTCTTTTCTGTGTGTCCTCCAGTATCATACAGCGCCCTATGGATATGCTGGTACTTAGTAAATACCTGTTGAGCTGGGTTAAACTGAATCCTAACTAACACAAACTTGAAAGTGGCCAACCCCCTCTTAAAACTGGATTTTAGAGGCATCCATTAAAACAAATGAGGATCTTTCTAATACCATCATGGACAGGTGGCGGTAATAAATACAGATGTCAGAGTGGAATTACTTGACGGTCCCTGCATAGTATATGTAACTTAAATATTATGAGAATATTTTTAAACTCTCAAAAATATTATTTTGATTATACTTTAATAAATTCAGTTAATAATAAATGGTGAATAAAACATAATGTGGTGTGTAAAAATGTTAAGAAGAGTCAAATTAACCTCCTACACAGCATTAATACTTTGGTTGGGCTCACGCCTTTCCCTCTGGAGTAACTTTACATTGAGTGGATCCTTACTGCTTACAGGCTTAAGTCTCTTAAGAATTTTGACTTGCAGCTTAGCATATTTTATAATACAGTGCTGCTTAATTGCTTTTGTTTTTAAGGAGAAATTTTACTTTGATTTTTTTTAGCTTTATTCCAATAGAACCCTTCCAAGCACTTTGACGACTGATAATCTTGTTGATCAAAGTGACTTTTCCTGGAATTCCAATATGTGTGTGTACGTGTGTGCCTGTGTTTAACACCTTTTTTGAGATATAGTTCAGGTATCATTGAATTGGCCCATTTAAAGTGCATAATTCAATTGATTTCTAGTCAAATGGATATTTTGATTTATCTTCAATAAGAAGTGGCAATCATAATGGCAGTTTGGCTCACTTCTCCTTTCTTTTGGTCTCAGTTTTTCTCCTAAACAGCTTACAGTTTCATATTCCCAGAATTGGGCAATAAACCAAAGACTTTTAAGAGTCAGTCAAGTGGTATCTGCAGCTGAGCAATTAAGGGCTGAGAACCAGAAAGAATCAATGGATCCACAGTCAAAATAGAAACTAGCAAAACTCTTTCCTATCTGTATTCTCACACATTGAATGAAATGTACTTTAGAAGACAACCCAGAACAGAGTCCTATACATTAAAGCAGTTAAGTAAGTGTTGGCTTCCTTTTTTTTTTCTTTTTTTACTCAATTCCATATGATAGAGTGAAAAAAAATTAACATGAACAAAGTTCTTGAGGTATGAATGGAGACAAGAGGCACGCAAACCCTTCAAGGGCCCAGGGCCTAAACAGTCCTGGAAAGCGATGGTGGAATCCAGTAAAGCTGACAGTATTCCTGAAGCCGTCTCCTGCCCAGGACTGACTTTGCTGAAAGGATCACTCACCGCTCCTCCCACCCCCAAAACCTGCTCCTTCCACCCCCAACACCCCAGCTACTACAATGTGTGCGGTCCTCCTTTGAGTGTACCACCCATTTTTCAGAGGGGAGAATTTGAAGAGGGAATATAAAGGGAGGTCCTACTCTTCATGTGAATCAAAAACACACGTGGATGAATTCAACTCATTTCAGAACTTTTTTTTTTTTTTTTATCATTCTTCCAAGTAAAAAATCTGCAAAGAATTTACCTGAAGTTTTACATGGGGAAAAAGATAGCTAATAAATATGTTACTGGAAGCATTGATTTTTGGGCATTTTTTTTTTTGCATATTTTTTTTCTGAAATATTTACAATAAACAACCTAAAATGAAAATGTTCTTGTTTGTAGAGAATGACTTTTTTTTTTCTATTTAAAATGAGTTTATCATTGGAAAACAGTCTGCTATTTAGTAGAAGAGGCAAATGTTCTTTCTGGTGCAGCAACCTGTTTTTCTCTTAAGGAGGAGAATTTATACCTATTTTATGCCTACAAGTAAAAGAACTTTCTGTTGTCCAATACTATTTCCTGCAGGCAGAGCCTCCTGATGCAGGAGTGATGGAAAGAACTAGAGCAACAACTCTCTGGCCAAAGGCTTAGTAGAGGGAATATTCTGCTTGTTGAATTGGTCCCTGCTTTTCAAATGGATGAATAGTTTTTTTCTCTGAGAGTAAATAGGAGTCAAAAGAGAGTGCTTTGGCTTCACTGAGAAATCCGCAAATATTTCTCAGAATTTGTTAGCATGGAAGGCGCCAGTAAAACAGTTCCTTAGAAACTGGATCATCTTACTAAACAGGCAATTTACATTGTTTCTTCTAACACCATTTACTAACATCTCTAACATCTCTTTGAAAGCAAAGAGACCCCACAAGGAATGAGTAGGATGAACACTTTTGCTCCTGTTTTCAGTCTATATTTTTCCATCATGAGCACTCAAGCAGGACTAAATGAAGAGAGGCATTCCTAGTAGACACAGAGGACATATTTTGTGTTTTCTAGTGCCAAAACACACCAAAGGATTAGGTGCTAGAATGGAAAACAAGTTTTCTCCATTTCCTGATTACTTTCACAGGCATTCTTAGTATCTTTAACTTTCCTCTTGTAAAATATACACACACATGGACACACACACCCCAAGAGAAATCACTGGGTTCTTTATTTATACCTTATAATAACCTTTATTTCTTGGTTTTCACAGGAAGAGATGACAGCATTAAGTGTTTGGAACTCACTGCTGCAGGATACAGAGAAGAACTGGAAATTGTGACTAGGCTAAGCATGGCAAGGATAAAATTGGCCTATAAGCATATGACTACTAGGAAAGTTATAAACTAACAGAATCAGTATATCATGGGTTGTCATCAGGAAGCCAATCAAGCAATCATTCTTTTTAAATGGACACAAGATAGGAAATGTATCCTCTGCTCACAAATGTGGGATGGCAGCAGGTTTTTTTACTCTTATAATCACCAAACCCCATTTGCCAATACTAACATTTAAGCAATTACAAGAAAAGACTAGGGTAAGTTCTAGCATCCTCATGGTCTTGTAAGGGACCTACAGGATAGTCTTATAAATGCCTAGATTTGCAAAGATTTGAGAGAACAAGACATCATTACAATCAATTGAAGATGAAATCCAGGCTCCAGTTAGCAACATTGGTAATCCATGGGTTGCAGGGCTCCTGATGACTTCAAGCTATCTTTCCCCCCTATTTCTACGCAAATGAAAACAGCCTATGGAGACAGTTGACCTTGCAGAGGTAGTGTCACAATGCCTGAGATATGAGAAAAATGATGAAATTACCATCATCTGCCTCTCAGCTGTCAACCACTTAGCTTTTAAAGTTATAAGTATCTACTATTTGTTGCTAAAAATGTTTACTATGTACAATGTGATGGGACAAGAGCAAAAAGAAGGCCCATGTGTCATCTGCATCAGAGAGCTCTATTTTATTAAAGGGGTTAGGAACCTGTAGGGCAAAGACATAAACAGTCTTCTCAGCTGTCACTCAGAAGCCATCTTCTACAAGTATAAAATCTCAGATGGGCTGTTGGTCACAATGTTTCACTGTTAATGCATCTATCAATGCCATCAAAAGCAGTTATCCTCAAACACCAAGATGGTAATTAAATAATATTGAAATTTAATAATATTTAGTGCATGTTAATGATTAGAAAGGTAGATAATTTAAAAAATTATAGACCATATTTTTAATATCATGTTATTTGTAAATATTAATATTTAAATATAAATGTATATGTATTTATACACATTCCTCATCATTAACATATACCTAATGTATTAGTTTGTTCTCATGCTGCTAATAAAGACATACTTGAGACTGGGTAATATATAAAAGAAAGAGGTTTAATTGACTCAGAGTTCCACATGGCTGAGGAGGCCTCATAATCATGGCGGAAGGCAAGGAGGAGCAAAGTCACATCTTACATGGCAGCAGGCAAGAGAGCTTGTGCAGGGGGACTCCCATTTATAAAATCATCAGATCTCATGAAACTTATTCACTACCACACTAACAGTATGGGGAAAACAACCCACATGATTCAATTATCTCCACCTGGCCCCACCCTTGACACCTGGGGATTATTACAATTAAAGGTGAAATTTGGGTGGGAACACAGCCAAATCATATCACCTAATTATTTTTAACCTGTAGAGAGACCTTAAGGATTTTACTTCATAAGGGGTTTGATTATGGGAAAGATAAGAGTCTTTGCTTTTCCCCATTTGAAATTCCAAATGGCGAAATTTGGAATTTCAAATTTGGCATATAAGCAGACATATAAGCACACGCCAAATGCGCTTATAGATTAAGAAAATCTTTCCAAAACACATAGATATGTATTTATGCAATGTTTTTAAAAGAATAAGTGGGGAATTGATGAGTAGCAATGCACAGGAAGTGAGTTGGATGGGAATAACAGCTGCCATGACTATCAGAAGATGTAGATTCTTCTGATTTGGCCACAAGCCACCTGGGTGACCTTGGCCAGTGCAATTAACAAATATTTGTTGGGTATCATGGAAGACTTCGTAAACTGGAGATCACACAAGACGAACAAGATCTGGTTTTTGACCACAAGAAGTTTATGAGCTAGTAGGGAAGGTAAGAAGACATCCAATCATAACTAATATGGTGGAATGAGAATAATAAAGAGAAAAGCAAACCAACTACAATGGAAACTTAGAAAAGGAAAAGAAAGAAAAGCCTTTTGTATATATAAAGGCTGAAGAGGAGAAAGTTTGAAGGAAGATTTTATAAAAAGACGGCACCTGAAATGAGCCTTATAGGTAGATATGACTCTGATAAGGAACCGTAATGGTGGAGGGTCTCTCAGAAGCAATGGAAGAGAAATTCGAATGTGTGAAGTTCAGAATTCAGCCACCAGGTGTTTTTAGCCTGGACAAGGGCTCACTGGGTCACCTGTGACTCTTCAGAAATTTGCGTTTGAGACACTTGTAATAGTGATTCATGATTATTAAGATAAGAAGTCTACACAGTATTTTCTTTTCTTTTTTTGAGACGGAATTTCATCCAGGCTGGAGTGCAATGGCACAATTTTGGCTCACTGCAACGTCTGCCTCCCATGTTCAAGCGATTCTCCTGCCTCAGCCTCTCGGGTAGCTGGGATTACAGGCATGAGCCACCATGCCCGGCTAACTTTGTATTTTTAGTAGAGATGGGGTTTCTCCATGTTAAGAATTGAGAGAGCCACTGAAAGGTGAGTCAGGAAGCATCATGATCACAGCTGTGCCTTAGAAAGCCTTCTCCAGCAGCAGTATGGGAGATGGACTGAAAGAAAGAGTAGCAGGACCAAGAAAGTGAGTCAGTGGTGCAGAAGCAAGGAATCTGCAGCAGAGACAACCAGGACCTGTGCCATGCAGAGGAATGGGGATAGAGGGGAGGTCTGGATTCAGAAGCAGTTCATAGATGACTTGATAGTTAACTGGATAATTTGGTGAGGGAGAAGGTAGAATCCATGGGTAACTTAAAGCTTCTAGCTTTAGTGTCTAGGTGAGTGTTGATGTCACCAAGACAGAAAAGAAAAGGAATAGACTTGTTGCAGAAGATAAAGTGAGTGTGCAGTTTAGAGTACAGTGTGTCTGAGGAGCTTATAGAACATTGAGTTGGGAAAGCATAGAGTGGTGATTCTCAACCAGAGGCAATTTTACCTCCCCCACCCCCTGACACAACAGAAGATAGGTAGAAATGTCCGGAGACATTGTTAGTTATCGTAACTGGAGGAAGTGGAGGTTGCTACTGGCAGCTAGCTGGTGGAGTCCAGGGATGCTGTTAAACATCCTAAAATGCACAAGACAGCCCCTTGTATTAGTCTGTTCTCAAGCTGCTAATAAAGACCTACCTGAGACTGGGTAATTTACAAAGAAAAAGGTTTAATGGACTCACAGTTCCTTGTGACTGGGGAAGCCTCACAATCATGGGGAAGAAGGAGCAAAGTCACATCTTTCATGGCAACGGGGAAGAGAGAGAGCGTGTGCAGGGGAACTCCCCTTTATAAAACCATTAGATATCATGAGAAATTCACTGTCATGAGAGGAGCAAGGGAAAGACCTTTGCTTATGTTTCAGTTACCTCCCACCGGGTCCCTCCCATGACACATGGGAACTATGGGAGCTATAATTTGAGATTTGGATGAGGACACACCAAACAATATCAACCCCTCAACCAAGAAAGAATGAAAGAATGATCTGACCCAAAATGTCAATAGTAAAGAGACTGACAAATCCTGGTCTAGAGGTAATTCAAATTTCCGATCTGAAGTTTTAGAAAGTAGGAATGAATAGAGATGAGAACTTTTAGTCATTCATACTTCTGTGAGAGAGGAAAGAAAATTAGCCACCACTGGAGTGTACAGAAAGGAAAGAGAAGGCTGTAGCTGATAAAATCCTAGGCCATATCACCTCACTGGCAATATGAGTTTTTTGGGTGCAGTAATGTCAAAAACCTTCACATATTCAAAATGCAATTATTTGATGACTGTCCTCAAGCAAGTGTGTACTCAAGAAGATAGATAAGATCACCACACATTATATGTATCAAAACATCACTGTGTACCCTATGAATCTGCATAATTGTGTCAACATTATAAAAATTGAATTAAATTTTAAAAAAGAAGATAGATACAGATGAGGATGGAAATCAAGGAGCAAATGAGTTATGAATGTCCAAAAACCTAAACATGGTAGACACTCCAGGCAGTAGGCAGGGAAATGTTACGTGTGGTCTAAGATTTTCATTTGCAAACTTGATATCACTTGGTTACAAAACCACACTGCTATAAGACAAAAAAATTAAGAGGACAGGAGAAAGAAAGAAAGAGGAAAGCAAAGGAAAAGAGAGGAGAAATGAGATAGGAAAAAATGGAAAGGAAACAAGGAATGGAAAGGAAAGAACACGGTAAAGACATCCTCTATAAGGCTGACAGAATACATTGTGAGTACAGTTCTAAGGAACAAGACTAGTGGCCATTCTTGATAATTTTGTGAAACTGTGATATCAAAATATATTCCACAGACAGCAAAATATGCTTCTTAAACTGTATCACCACTGTTTTTCAAAAGCTGTGTTAACACAAAATGACAAAACAATAACCAACACCTTGTACAATTCTCCAGTACTTAAATAAATTTTGCTGCAACTCTGCTCCAGGCACTTGGCAGGTGTAGAAAGATAGTGAAATGCTCTGAAGTAAAGTACCATGCAGAGATGCACTGTGGGCAGCCTGGCAGCCTTAGACTGCTTGGCACGGAGGCAAAATAGGATTGCAAGAAACAACAAAATGGTTCTTTCTCATCCAAAATGTTATGTAGCCCACAAAGACAAGATTTACCTGGAAAACAGAATGCTATGGCAGCAGACCAAAGGAGGCATCACTGAACATGAGAGTGGGAAGACCATGTGCCCAGCACAGGAGGTAACAGAGCATACCGGAGCCAGAAAGATCTTGAATTTGAACTCTGGCTCCACCATTTAGTGAGCTTTCCTCTTTTTGCAAGTAGCAGGATGTCTCTGAGATTTAGTTTCCTTTCTGGTAAAACATGGATGATGACATTCCTGCCTCCTAGGAGTCCGGTGATGATTAAATGAGATAATATATGTAAAGTGTTTAGCATCACAGCTGGTGCAGGGTGGAGACTCTATCAGTGGCAGCTGCTATTGAGTAATATCTAAATTCTATGACTCTAAGCAATGACTGAAAAAAAAAAAACAATGGGACCCACATTCCAAGGCAACCCCAGAATGGTATGTTAAAGAAGGTAACATATTTGAACATGAAAATGAATTTGTCGACCTGAATGTGACCTTCAGAACTCTGGTCAAATTTCTTCATTTTACGGATGGGAAAATTGGAGAAGAAAATGAATAGGCTATTGTGGTATGGATGTACAAGAAGCAACAACAGATTTTAATTAAAGAGAGGTTATTATAATTTTTATATGATACAAGTTGAAGATGGAGTTAGAAAATTACCATTCATAATGACAGAGAGAGAGAGAGAGAGAGTGTGAGTGTGTGTGTGTGTGTGTGTGTGTGTGTGTATTAGAAATAATAGAATTCTTCTGAGGTAATGTCTAGCAGAAAGTTATCCTTAGCTTTCTGTGAATTTGACTAGGCTTCATCACCCCCAATGCACTCTTTTGTTAAGTAAACATACCTAATAAAGTTCTCTGAAGCTTCACCGAGAGATGAATAAAATAGTTTCATGAATGAACTATGATCGTAAAGAACATGCTACTCCTAAGCTACAGCCAGGTCACTTACCTGTCCAAGAGCAAGTTAGGAGCAAACAGTAGCTTCCCTGGGTGCTCCATGGAGCGCCAGACGAGACCAATCATCAGGATCTCTAGCCAGGCACATTCTAGAAGGTGGACCTGATCATGGAGGGTCAAATCCACAAAGCCTGAAAACAAGCAAGAAAAACCCTGCTGACTCAAATGAAAAAGACTCATTACTGGTGAAATTAATGCAACAGGGATTTGAACTGACAAGGTCTATTTTCTACTAGATGGAGTAAATGCAATACGAACATACTTTATAGTGAAGTCAAGTAATTATTTTTAAAGTCTAGCTATCTCAATGAATTTCAATGTGGCATTAAGTTTCTTAGTGCCATAGTGTCACATCTACAGAAATGTACCAACTTGAGCAACACACTTAGCTTTCTATAAAGTGTTATACTCAGTGTGAAAACTTGTGTGCCTTCTACTTAGACAGCTATAATAGTAACCTGTGACTGTTCCTCATTTCTGTTTGAGTAGAAGATGCTAAGGTGCTAAGAAATTTAAATTACTTGCCTTATGCCCAATAGGAATTGGGGCACAGGCAGAATGAAAGTCACTAAATTTTTATTTCTTTGCTTCGTCCCTAAATCACACTCTTTTTTTGTAATATGTAAAAGAAAGACTCAGAAAACTCCATATATAAATAAATCACTTGGGATAATGAGTCAGATGGAAAAAAAGGTGACATTATGATTACTTCGGGTAATAACCACCAAAATGTGTTCTTGTTTTCTAATGGTGAACTAGGAGATTAAAGCTTTCTCCAATCATTACTGATAATATTGTGGTTACCTAATAACAATAATGAGAAGGAGGTAGGAAGAAAGGAAGGAAGAAGGAAGGAGAAAAGCAAAAGGAAGAAGAAGAGGAGGAGGAGGAAGAAGAAGAAGGAGAAGGAGGAGGAGAAGGAGGAGAAGGTTTGTTGAGCCCTTACTACGGGTAAGAAGCAATCCTAATGTTTCTTGTACACAATTTATTTATGAATACAACAACCTGAAGAGGTAGGAACTGATATTCCCATTGTACAGATGAGAAGACAGATGCTCAGAGAGCTTATTTGTCTGTTGAAGCCAAAACCTGTGCCCTTGACCACAATGGACACTATATCTTCTGAGCTCCACTTAATTAGAGAATTTGGATCAAGTGACTAAATAAATCACACACCACACACATTAAGATACGCCAGAGTGACAGGGACATTAAATAAATCAAGTATCCATGAAGTTTGCTGCCTTCCAAATCAGCCCCCTATTCTTTTGCCCTAAGATATCCCATCATAGTCTGTTTCCTTCCCTTCTCTCTTTGCCCTCAACCTTTCCTTCCCTCTTATCCATGGGAATGACTCTAGGAATCCTGTTGAGTGTATGTGTGTGCGTGTTCTTTTCTTTTTCTCTCATGAATATTACACTTTTATTAGCCAGCTATACTTGTGTTGATGAAAAAGACAAAATGGAATTTTGTTTTCCTTTAACAATCAAGTATGAATGGTCTGCTTACAGGATGTTTCTTCTTGGGGTTCTTGGAGGTAACAAAAGCTCATCATTAAACAGGTAGCTTATCATTTCTTACATGCTTAAGTATCATCTTTCAGATAATTCTTATATCCAAATAGATAATGATCCACATAGGGAAACCAAAGCTAGAGACAGACCTCAGAGTCTATGGCCCTCTCTCTTACCATCATTTCATAATCAAAGCTCATCAATTCTATCTTGAGGTAGCTATAATTTTCTCCTTTTTCATTGCCACTGTTAACCCGCTAATTCAGCTCCTAACAGTCTCTTACCTTTTTGTCTGACTTCTTAACTAAGCATAATTATTTTTAAGACTTAGCCATGTGGTTGTATGTATGATGAACAGTTGATTCTTTCTATTCCTAAGTGGTATTCCATTGCATGGATATGTCCTATAAATAAATACGATGTATCCTTTCATTGGACATTTGGGTTGTTTCTAGTTTTTGGCTATTACAAATAAAGCTGCTAGGAGCAATTTATTTACAAGTTTTTGAATGGATATATGCTTTTATTTCTCTTGGTTAAATACGTAAGAGTAGGATATCTGTATATAGCATGCCAGGTGGATGTTTTAGCTTTTTAAGAAACTGTCAAACTGTTTTCAAAGTAGTTGTAATGTTTACATTCTCACCAGCAAAACATGAAAGCACCAGTTGGTCTACAACCTCACCAGTGCTTGCTATGTTCAGTCTTTTTAAATTTTATACATTCTAATAGACGTACAGAGGTATCACACAGGAACGGTGGTTTTATGTGCATTTTCCTAATGACTAATAAGGTTGCACATCTTTTCATGTGTTTTTTAACAGATCATTTTGCTATACTGTATTCAAATTAATCATGCATGTATCTGTAAATCCTGCTAGACCATATACTCACTGTAGGCACAAGATGCATGATTCCATCAAATTTTGCATTTTTAAAGTTTAAATTTATTGCACCTTCCACTACATCACTCAGCCATGCCAAGGCTCATGACAGTGTAGCCTGTCTCAGAGCAGGTGTCTTTCCATTGAAAAGAGTGGATTCCACTCATGTAAAGAAGGACTTGGCATCAGGAAAAATGAGAAAGTGGGTGGCTTTGTTTATAAGGATAAGTAAAAGATGAAAAAGCAATGATTTGGTTTCAGATCCCCAGGGGGTGGGGGAAGGGAGGGAACAGGTATCTCTACAGCATGCAGTGATTTACCTGTAGGATGTACTGGGTCAAAAGGAACTAGTCTTGCTCTCAAGGAAACATCTCCGGATGCAGCAGCAAATGTTCCTCTTTCTCAATACCCACGATCTCATAGGATAAGCCAAACTGGTTTTGGTTTAAGTGATCAGTACTTAAAACGAAAGCCCTCTGGTTTCATTTCTTAATTTCATAATTCTTTAAGATTTCACCCCAATTTTTTAGGTTAAGTCTCATAATAGTAATGTAAACTTACACGGTACATTAAACTTATTGCATAAATGTTAACATTCAAAAGGGAGGCTTTGTCTCTCTTCTCATGACATTTGCTATATGTAATATTGCCACCCATGATGAAACCTACCTCGGATTATCTAACACCCTAAATAAACCTCAAAAAGAATCACGCAGGATGATATCTGGGTGTGTCTCATGAGTTACAATTGCAGCTGACCATGTAACCGATCAATATGGAAAACCAAAGGCCCCTTTCTGATGAGAACGTTACATGTTAAATGGAATTATAATTTTTAATTCCCACTTTACAGTTCCAGTATTATTTAGGTCTGACAGTTTTAGTGGCCTTTTGGAAGCCAAAGAAGCTCCCCATAAGCACTTGTGCCACATAAGGATGGTGATCATGGAATCTGTCTGAAGTATGTCTGTTGGTAATAGTTTTCAGTCGGAGGCCAGCCGGATTGCTCGATCCTTCCGTTGAAATGTTGTAGACCTCTCAAAAAGAGTCTATTTAATTATCTTTCCCAGCTGTGCATATTGCCTGCAGACAAGGGTTATTAGATCTGTTGCACAGTGTGCTCTGCAAGTTCCTGGGTCAGGGTTGGGAGAGAGTGTGCAGGAAAGGTTATCAAGTAACCTTCTCAATGAATGTGAAGACTATGAAAGATTATTAGATGGAGTGTCTCTTTTCTTCCAATATACTGGTCTCGACTTTACCACACAGCATCTAACTACCTTTTCAGCGTGGAATAAATATCCATGAGATGCCTTCAGTTCATAGCCAATGGAGAAAAATAATGTAATAAACCACATGCAAAATTATATTGGGCCAACTATGGATAGACATCAAGTTTCAAGACCTTGGTTTATTTTCCTGATAAACAGGAAGAATGTTCTGATATGCAATTCCAAATGAACCTGCTATAATAATTTAGAGGCATTCAAAAAGTAAATCCTGTTCTCTCCTGAACACTAGAAAGTGTCACCAATAATAACGTGGGAGCTTAGCAGCTGCTACGGGACATAAGGAGAGGTATCAGTGATAGACATTCTCGCAGGTGGCAAGTGAGAGGTGATTCATCCCGCCATCACTTGAGGACCTCCATCTCAATGACATGGGGGCCATGGGCCTGTGGCCTTCACACAGGAGGGACAGAATGCATATCGAAAAAGTAGTAAGAATAGTTTGATAAGACTAAGTGAAATCAGTTGCTCAGAAATCTCATTTAATAAAATAAAGTTTTTTAAAAGCAAACTCAGGTTTTAATCCCTAGTCTATATTCACAAGTCCCAGTAATAGTGAATCCAGAGATGATATATTGAAAACAGAGAGAAATGCCTTAAAATGCTCACTCCTCACCCCGCATATGGGCAGTAATCTGGCTAATAAAATTGAGGGGAGTCTCTTTCATGGCACAATTCACCCCTCCATCATAAATCAGCTCACTACTTATAGCTTCATCACCAAGCACAGACATCCCTGCCTTCTGCCTTCCATTATACAGTAACGGTTTTTCCTCCAAGATGTGTTAACTTTGTGTTGACTGTGAAAGGAGCTCATAGCATGTCCACCTCCCTGCCCCAGGCCTCACGAGATCCTGAGCCCTCTCTCCACTCTGCTCTACTAGGGACTTCTTACAAATTGCCTAATTTGCGTTGGTACACAGAGATTCTTGAAGCCTCACCCTCTTTTACTGAGTGTGGCAAGGCTCTTAGAAATGATGTTGAAAAGTGTGCAGAGATCTCCAAGCAAAATGACTAATATAATCTAAATCCTTGTAAAGTTCCACACTACCTTGGAGTAAAAGATAAATCAGGGTGGCTCTTCAGTAGAGACATGAAAAAAAGTAAGCACTACAGTAATTATATTCCTGCTTCCATGGGATACAGTCTATGAAGATTCAAAGCAGAAACACTGCAAAAGAAAAAAGCAACATTTCCCTGAGGAGTGCTATTTACAAAAAGCTAGGTGGTTGGTTCCCTCAGTAGATTCACTGGAAAAAAAAATATTGGTTTCCTGACCTTCAAAAGAGATAATCATTTTCTCAGTCATATGATGACCCCAATGTTCTCCAAAATGTCAGTCATGAAATTGCCTGTTGCATTTTTTTTTCTGTATTGGCTTTTCACTCAATAGAAGAAGAGTTGAATAATTCATCTCTTTCCCTTTCAATGCCAAAGACTCAGTGCAAGAGTACAGTATGGGAAAAAAATAAATCATGGAAGGAAGATTGTGGCACAATGATGGCTACAAGCTAAATAAAACTTTGGATTTCTGGGAGAAAGCTTATAGAATATATAGTATCAGAAGAACTAGACTCCTGTGTAAATACCAAGCAGTCTTCACGTCCCATATTTTGCGATTTATTCTCCAAAAAATAGTAACTTATTGCCATACCATGGATCATGGGCCCTATCGTTCCTATAGTACAGTTGAAATGACCTTCCTTCTCTCCAAAAAAAAAATGTTTGGACTCTCTTATATGCAGACTCATTAAAGCTATGATTCCCATTCTGTAACACTTTAAGATATCTTCGATAACAGGACAAACACTTAAAAAAATTAAGAAAATGGGTTTAATCCATTTAAATAAAGAATGTCACAAACAACTCTTACCAAATATGTACTACTGTTAGAAAATAAAATAAATGCAACATCCATCACCAAAATAAATAGTAATGGAATAAATAATCACTTGTTTTGAAATATTGTGAGTCTCAATGCTAGAAGAACATGAGCTTTCTCTTGAACCTACCCTACATCACCATCACTGTGACTATTCTGGTTTTGCCCTGCCATAATAAGGAGGTGTGAGCAGCTCTCACCCTGACCCCCATCCCATATCATACCACCTATCCAATGCTCTTATGCAGCTGCCACACTAAATAACCACCTTGCCAATATCAAGCTGACTCTTTCTTTCTTGAGGCTACAATAGCCTTCGTCCACAGGCCTGAGGACTAGCTATTTCCAAATCACATCCCAACATGGGACTTTCTGATTATCTGGAGGGCACACTCCCACCCATCTCCCAACAGAATGAGGAGGGCAGAAGTAATGAAGTCATGAGCTGAAAAGTCAAGAAGACCTGACTTTCAATTCTTCTGTGGTCTACAGCCATCTAATTAATATCTCTGAAAGCATTTCCTGTCTGTAAAATGCAGATGGACTGGCCTACCACTTAGGGTTACTGTAAAAATTAAGGGGTTAGCAGATGTCCCAGAAAGCCATGGTAGCTACTCAATAAATATTAGTTCTATTCTCTCCTTCATCCCAACAGGCTGCAATTTCTGCCCAATAGAAGAAAGCATTACTTTTGCAAAACACCAAGAGAAATGTTTTGTTTTAAAATATTTTAGGTTTATAACTTCAAACTTAAATTGGGCAGTTTGTGCTTGCCCTCATTCATGATGTCATGTTGTATTTTCTGTTTATGTTTTTCTTTTCATTTATATATAAAAATAACCTAATAAAAAGGATAAAAAGGCATCCTGGACCTCAAATAGCCCTATAAAAACAACATTTTTCATGATTTAAAAGGAGAGGGAACAACAGCATGTGGATTATATTTTGCCTAAAATACATGTGCAAAGAAATGAGAAAAGAAAGCACGTTTGGGGTTTTATTACACTCCAAGCATTTCAAGATGTTTAGCATGTCCAGAATGCAGCTGTCTTCATACACCCCCAATTAGAAATAGTTGATGGTTTTCTACTGAACCCAGCAGCCCTCCACACTATGTTTGCTGCTGTCTATTTGCCTTGGGATAGACAGAACAAAACTCGCCTTGTAGTGACTACTTGCCTTGGGAAACAAAGTGGTGTTCTTCAGGCAAACGCTATGCAGTAAAAACCAGTGGTAAGAAAAAAAACAAAAAACTGAATTCATTTGAGAAAAAATTGAAGAATTTAGTCCAGAAGTTTTACAATAAACAAAGGTACTGCTTCTTAAAATAAATGGTGTATGCCTCAAATAAATACCCCATATTAAGATGACCATTTCTTGAAAGAAGTATGAATGATGAAGGTCATGATATCTATGTAAATATGCAAACTTGCCAACTTTGACTATGCAATCTGATAACAGCACTGTGTATTACTTTATGTAATGTAATGAAGACATTTCTGACATTACCCATTCCTTCAGAACAATGCAACAGAACTTATATCTTACTCTGAGATTTTTTTTTTTTACATATACAGATTCAAAGGTGATGTTTCTGTAGTATATCTCAACTAAAAGCCAACAGGATTGTTTATGATAATTCTACTTCTTCCTCATTTTTATCTAAATAGAGGATAAAAACCAGTAGAAGGCCTGCAGTATTTCCTGGAGCTCTCTACTGTAATGCATACATGAGGTATAAACTACATGGCAAAGAAAGTCTCTCCTTTACCAAGACCTTAAATACGATGAGTGGCTAACTCATTGTAGACCAATCATTAAGAAAAGAAACCTAAAGACAAAACTGGTTTCAAGTCTGCCCAACTGTTGCTTGGTTTTCAACTCCAACCCAAGTAACCACACTCCTTATAATGCTCCTTTGAAAAATTATTGGTCTTAACCACAAAACTGCATTCTGACTCTACTTCAAACATTCTTTAGCAGCTTTTCCCTGCTCTGGACATCAGCTCATGTGCACAGTTTAGTCATCCTGTGTGTCTGTGTGTGTACCATATTGTAGTTACATTCTACTCACCCACTAGTATTTGATTATTTTTACACATCAACATATAGGACATAAAAGCAGTGTATGAACTTCTCTATTTAGAAAGAAAAATGAGGCTTATAAAGCCCTTCAAGAAATTAAGGTTTAGAATTATAGATTGTAGCTTATGTAAAATAACTATAATACAAAGAGAGAAATTGTTCTTTACTTTAAATATAAATTTTATGAAATATTTCCCATAACCTTTATTCATCAGTTTAGTTTACCACATACCTTTTAATGGCTAAATATGTATATTTTTTCAAAAGCTGGATATATCTTAATTCTGATCACGATATATACAAACTTTTAAAATACTGGGTATATTCTTTTTAAAAATGTATGGCCTCACTTTTTGTAGGAAGTTGATATGAGAAAATGTCACTTGTATCTTTGACAAAGGGGAGTATGAAGATATTAAGCTGTATCCCTCCTGTAAGCATTCATTTCTTTGGCAAATTTCTCACCAAATTTGGTAACAAGAAAAGGTTTTCCTCTCCTAAATAATTATGCTCCTATTTGTTACCTAATAAGAGAATGATGACACTACTTACAAACTTCATGCAGCCCCACCATCAGGAAGCACAGGTGTTAAAATGTTCAAAAGCAGTAATAATTTTACTTGTTTCATGGGAAAATGATTGCCTCACTCCTACTTGTTTCTGGATCTCACACTTGACTGTATTATTGAATTACTAGGTACCTCATAGGAGACTTTGCAAAGTAGACAGATAAATAAATCATTAAAATATGTATATTTGTTTTCACACACACACACACACACACACACACACACATAATTACCCTTTTTTCCCTCCATTTAACAAGTAAGTTGTTTGATGACAGGTGAGGAAGTAGTTTGTCAGGAGAAAAGAATTAATCTCACAGCTCTATCTGACTCCAGAAAGAAAAATAAGTCAAGACTTTCAGATTTGAGGATGAGACTTGGGGATCACAAAAAAATAATGTCCCTTAGAGAAAACAAAGCAGATGGCAATCCTACCTTGTTACCAGCCCCATCTGTATTACACTCAGAGCCTTGGTTTATGAAGAGATGGTTGTCATGACAATAAGCATTTGAGAAGAGTTCTGAAGAAGCTGATGGATTTAAGAGTATCTTCTAGCTTCCCAATTTTCCAAACACACACAAAAAAACCCATCCCCACCCTCATCCCCAAATAAACAATTATAATACTTCTTATATTTGCTACAATTATGCTATGTAGATATTATGAAATTTTGTACTCTCTCTTATCAAAATCTCCTGGGAGTGACAGAACAGATCCTTACTCTGATACAGCACAGCTTGAAGGTAAACTAGTCTTTTATTTTTGTTCAGCAAAGGCAATTGTATTAACCACAGCTTCTTTTTATTTTTTTCCTTACACGCTCAGAAAGAAATCAATTTCAGCTTAAATGAGAAAGGGGAAAAAGGTAAAAGAAATTATTTTTCAGTTTCTGAGAGTAGATTGCAAACTAAAGAAGGGAAAAAATTAATAAACTATGAAGTAAAGTACTTAAGACTGCCCTTTTAAGTGCTTGTCAAATGGACAGGAAGGACAGCTACTGTGGAGTGATTCCGAGTTACCTGACAAAGAGCACAGACTGGCTGCATCCGAAAAGTCAACAAGCACTTGTACCTTGGAACATACATTCTTTCCATCAACCTAGAAGCAGATCTACGAGCATTTCAAATACTATTGTCATCAGTCTGCATTTTCCAGATAACTGTATGCTCCTGGTAAACACTACAAATGTCTTCAAAACAAAAACTACGAGGGAAGTAGACGGTCTCTTTTTTAGAGCAAGTCTCCAAACCGCATGGACAAGGATAGCTTCCTCCCATCTCCACCCAGCTCAAGACCCTCCATGAAGCCAAAATTGATGACAACACTGTCGTTTTAGTGAGATATTCCACACACACACACACACACACACACACACACACACACTTGATTTAAAATCTAGAGGAACACCTGTTGTTGCCAAGAACCCAGGGACTTATAGTTCTGGAATGGATTAAGAGCAAAAAACAAGAGGCTTATATTCCCATTTTCTACTTAAGTTCAGAATGTCGAAACGGGAGTTTTACAAGGTAAAATTGCCAGAAATGCTGAGCATCAAAGCATATGACAATGCTTCAACTGGGAAGCCAGAGAAAAGCCCTATGGCTCCATATACAGAAGGAGTGGGCCCAGCCAGTCAGGAGCCCTTTGGGGTCCAAGGGTCTCACAAGCACATGGGGGGTTAATTCAGAAAAGACTTCTCCCTTCCCTCCAGTCTTTCTATAGTTCCCTATCTCCCATATTCATTCCATTATCCTACACAAATTTCAGCAACAAAGAGAGAGAGCAACCAACCAAAGAAAGGAGAAAAATTCATTTCAGTGTCTTCCACCCCACCTTTGAAGTCAGTAACCACTGAACTTGTATATGCCATTCTAGAGAGAGGCCAAAAGGAGACTGGAAGCCAGAAACTATTTTTCTTTAACCCATGGTGGATTCTTTTACAAGCACAGTAGATCTTGCCAGGTCATTAAATAGCCACTCTAAAAATAAAGTGGGTAGCTAGGTACTACAGTTGGGATGTAGTTTGTCCCCACCAAAACTCATGCTGAAATTTAATTGCCTGTTACAATGTAGCAGTGTACAGAGTTGAGGCCTTTAAGAAGTGATTAGGATGTTAAGATGTATTCATGTCTTTCTCATGAGAATAAATTAGTTCTCCAGGGAATGGATTAGTCTCATAGTTACAAAGTGAGTTAGCCCCTTTCGTCCCCTTTCTTTCTCTTTGCATGTGCCCATTTCTCCTTCCAATTCTCTGCTGTGTTATGACACAGCATGAGGCCCTCATTAAAGGATGGCCAGATGTGGCTGTCTGATCTTGAACCTCCCAGCCTCTAGGATTGTGAGTCAAACAAATCTTTATAATTTGTACATTACCCAGTCTCAGGTATTCTATTATAGGAACAGAAAATAGACTAAGACACCAGGCCACCCTGTAAGAGAAACTCTCTAGACTCTAGATGCTAATTACTTTGAAAGTAAAAACTATCCCATATCTTGCTAGTTCAACATGGCCTCTGGCTTGGTACTAGGTCTCATCAACAATGTTGGCTCCCTAAGGATTACAACAGGAACTACAGCAGTATTTCCTAATAAAGATAAAGAGTAACCGTATTAGTTTCCTCGGGTTGCCATAATCAAGCACTACAAAATGGGTGGCTCAAATCTGCCTTACATTTAGTAGTAAAAATGTATTCGGTCTTCAAGATTGCAAAGCCTCTTGTTCTAAGTATTTTAGGTTACAAATGAGAATAGTTTGGATTGGGGTTACTAAAAAAGACCAAAAAACAAAACAAAACCATAAACCCCTCCCACATACAAAACAGTGGCACATATACCAATTAAAGCAAAGTTTACAAATATTTAGCAAGGCAGAGAAGGAGGTGTCTTTTCTTAGATACAAGGACATGCAGGTGCCGTCACTGAAATGACATAGACCGTTGTTATTCCATCTCATGATGACAAGACTAGAGATTGTCCTAGAAGAGAATTGACTTATCTCAGGAAATCATTACCTGGGCTCTAATTTGCTCAGGGAATGCTAGAATTAAAAAAAGGCAGAATCACTCCTTTCCAGGAAAAGCTAATTAGATATCATATTTATATAAAGAGAAAAGTATCTGTTGACTACCTTCTTAGAGTTCCAAGTGTCTCAACAGGACTGTTAAGTTTTTCTATGTAGAATATGATATTATGAGGATGGAATGTGTGATAGAAGGGATAATGGGCTTTGTTAGGTCCAGCTTTGCCACTTATGAGTTAGGTGATTTGGGGTCAATTATTCAATTTCTGGTGCCTAGCAGAGTGCCTTCTCTTAGTGTATGCTCTATGGATATTTTTTGAATGAATGAACGAATTGTTCTGGGTTTCAATTTCTTCATCTGCAAAATGAGAATGGTAACACTATCCCTGCAGCATGTTATGGTGAAAACTAGAAAGAATATATAAAAAGTATCTATCACATTCCCTGGAAAATATGGGTGGTCAACAAATAAATGGTACCTATCATTGTATTACTTCCTTTTTCATTATAAAAAGTACCAAATATTACACAGATAGCAAATTCTCTACTTACCACCTAACCATGAGCTACACATATAAAATTTATAGGTTGAAACACACACATAAGAGAGTTCTTAAATATTTTTATTCCATTTGGAAATCTGGTATAGTCTACAGATGACTTCTCAGATTAAGGTTTTAAGTGCATAAAACAAAATATTTTTAAAAATCACAAAATGAAACAAGTTATACTGAAATCCACTTCTTAAAAATGCCTGGGTATTTATGGACCCCAGGGTAAGAGCCCCTGATAGGATAAGGATCAAAGTCAATGACTTCCCAGATGATCAAAGGCTGCTGGAAGACTGTCTCATTACATCTTTTCAGAGGACTGTAGGAAACATTTTGATTCATTACATATTTTCTCTCGAATCCAAAACACAACAGACTAAGTAAGAATTTCATGCATCCTACATGGCAAACAAGATATCTCTTTCCCCATCTCCTGCTTTTCTTGTAATGCTCTCATAAAATGATTGAAGAGCTAAGAAAGTATTATTAACTACTGGAAATGCTTGTTATATATAAGACAAACAGATTTTTAAAAAGGTTTCAGTACAAATCTAGTAAAACAACTGCTATTTAAGAGCAGGTACAAGAGTTGGCCTTAGTGACTCACTGTCGATGATGACTCACTTCATCAACTATTAAAGGAAGTCATTAATATCCTTAACTAACTAAAGAAACTCTGTGAAAATGCATCAAGATTTGAAGATTAAATGTAAATGCAAGCCTTAAAATAGATTAATAAATTATAAGATGATTTTGAGAAATCAAAATCATTTTATTTACTTTTAAGTGATAGCAAAATCTGTTAATATGAAGCTATACATGAAATAAACAGGTAAAACCTCCAAAATACATGTTTCTTGCCTTTCAAATCCCTTGTAAAGATTTGCCTGAGGTATGAAGCTTTCTCTGGTGCCTGAACAGGCATGGCCAGCTGAGGACTGGCCAGGAGAACCAGGACAGCAACTCAGACATTGACGCTGATACAACCATTACAAGGGTGTTTGGAACAGATGATGTAACTCTGTTGGACTGTCCACTCAGCCCTTTTTGTACAACATCTGTGGGTTCTGTCCATGACATCTTAGATACCAATAAAAGTCCAAATTTAGGACTAGGAATCCATGGCAAAAACCAAATCATTCCAATGGCATGTAGCTACATGAAAGGATGCTGTTTTGGACAGCAAATGGAGGGGAAGGATACCTAAACTTTGGAATGTAAGTTAAGAGGAAGAAAACAGATCCTAAACATAAATACTTGAAGGGTAACCAAACATATGAGAATTAACTCCAGTTGTTCAAGAAAACAATTGATATAGTGATATAGTCTCTATCTGGGGTCTGCAAGATCATGTACGATTAATAACATGCTTTCAGGAAAATGTAATTGGTTGAGTGAAAAAGGTTTCTGATCCCTTCCTTAACCTTTCCCCAGTTCTAGAAGATACTCCTCCTCCAGTGCATGACTTCCTGAGTCATCTGTGTGCTAGACTCACTAGGAAGGAGGATGCATTTGCCCTCATCTTGGCTTTTCCCAAAGAACCCAGCACGGTGCTTTTCACAAAACTGATATTCAAAAAGGATTCTGAGTGAATGTTTGCAAGAAGCTAAAAAAGAACAGAAAAAAAAAAGAAATAATACTGATTTTATTGGCAACTATAATATCCTCTTGGTATGGGCAGCTAGACTAGGCCTCATTATATTTGAGGCTATGTGTAAATTGCACAATTACATGTAAATTTTACATAACCATTTAATACCCCCCACTGCCACCCCAATGGGGATGCTTCAGAGAAATAACAAAGGTAAAGATAAAAATTTAAGAACAGTCCTAGCTACACAGAAAATCTAAAGCCATAACATATGAGAGCAAATAATTTTCTTAATAAGCCCAAGGAAAATATCTAATTTGTTAAGTGGGATATGAAACCAATGAGTTAATGTGAAATTTTAAAACAGAGATAATAAGTAACATGAAAGATTAACCAAAAGCTAACGTATAGAGGAACAAAATGCCAAGAAGTAACAAGAAGAGCTGGGGTTTCCCTCATCACTTCTGAAAGCTTTGGGGACACCTCTAAGCGCTCTTTCCCTCCCCGTGGCTTTCCTGGGCTTGCTTTCGAATCTTTTCAGGATGGTAGCATCTTTAAAGATTTTCCATTCTCCATTACTGCTTTTCTTTTATTTCTGTGTTTTTTCTCTTCTGCCACTCCATCCAGTGGAGTTTTAGCAAAGTGAACACGATTTAAAGTTTGAACTCTATCAAAAATTTCAGATAACTTTTTCCCTGTTAAAAACACAGTCAATGTCAAGAAAGAGGCGAAAGTGGAACCACAGTTTGCTGAAAAATTACCTAGGTTCTTGGATCTATCTGTCTCCAGCAATCATAGCTTTTCTGCATATTGCTTCTTAGGGCTTATTTTCCTCCCAATGCATCCATATTAGCAGTCATAATGTGTTATACTTGTCCATTTGAAGTACCTACAGCTATAATATTATCCTATGAGATACTTTGTATCTTCTGACTCATTTTGCAACACTGGGGCTATGATTACAATTAAACCTTTATCAGAGTGTAAAAAGCATTCCAAGTTTCCTAAGGTTGCCACAAAAAGATTACAAGGGTTGGGGTTTATAGTGACCTAATGTCTCAATTTCCATTTCTTGAAGGATCTACTATAGGATCTTTTACTTATTTAGTAGTTGATTAGTAAATTCAGTGTTGATTGAATGGATTTAAAAATAAATAATTATATTTTTAGAAAATTCAGAAGCCAGACATATGCCAATACTGACTTCCTACAAAGACTGATCAGATCCACCCCCATTAACTAGATTTGCACAAATCATCCAAAGCAATGAACGGTAAGATGCTCTTCACACATTGTTTTTGTTTTGTGTTGCTTTGTTTTTTTTTTGTTTTTGTTTTGGCCAGGACTAGGAAGTCTACTTACATAGGGACAGTACCTGCTTTTTGGTTCTTATTGCCCCATTTTACTAGCTGGGATGAAGTAGTAGAATAACACCATTGGATGGTCTGGAACATGTTTGTCACTCAAATCTCCTTTGTCCTTAATAGATAGTGGATGGTCTCCTACTTGTTTGAAATTACCCAAAAAATGAGATTCCCTGTACTTTACTCCAAGCGTGGCACTTATGGATTTGCTCAGTTAAATCAATATATCAATAACAATTTCATTCCTCAAATAGTTACTGAAGACCTATTACATTCAATTTACTGTGTGAAGGATTGAAATTAGCATACTTTTACTTTTGTCTATTGAGATGGATGAACCTCAAAGTCCTACGTTTACCCTCTATACGCATGCTTATCACTGTCTATTGCTAGAAAGGGAATGATATCTCAAGAGGCATATAACATGGTCTCATATTAGTGGTATCAAAATAAGGCACTGCAAGTCTTGGTACCCAATCCAGAGGCACCATTTGCAATCTAAGAAGAGCCCAGAGGAGAGGAAAATTGGTAATGAATCAGTGGGGAGTCCACGAAGGCAGAGGGGCTTTGGCACAGCCCAAAAGACAGACAGAAATGAAGCTCTCAGGACTCAAGAGGAGCCTCATTCCAGGCAGAAGAAGGATCATGGAAACCACACAAGCGGGTACTAACAGTCAGGAACAAATAGAACACATAGAGAGGACAGTGGGAGGTCCCCCTGGCTAAAGCAGAGGGTGTATTGAGAGAAGGAAACCTTTGCCTCAATGGATCGTAGGCAAACTGAGAAGGACCATAACACCTTGCTGAGAAGTTTGAATGTGATTCCTTGGTGACCACAGCAGGAGGTCCTGAAGTCCCTGTCCTTCAGATGCAAACAAGGAGGCTGTCCCATACAGACTATCAGGGAAAAAATGCACTGTTTATCAAAAGATATGAATGTTCTTGACAGGCAAAGCCCTGCTCAAATGAAATGGCAGTGCAGGGAGATGATATTCAGTGTGATGCAGCTGTGAGTACTTAAGAGTGTGGCCTGAACCCAGCAGGGCCTTGGGTGAGATCTCAGCTCAGCTACTTCATAGTGGAGACACCATGAGAAAGCTATGTAACTTCTCCAGGCCTCAGCTTCTTCAGCTGAAAATGGAGCTTAACAAAAAAGCACTTTCCTCATAGGGTTATCATGAAGAGTAAAGAAATCAGTAAGTATAAAGTGCTAGAACAGTGTCTGGTGCCTGGTCATTACTCATTAAGTGTTAGCTCATTAGCAGTTGTTGTACTCATTGTGATTCAAGGTGATTCAATCCAGTTGGCATAAATGTATTTTTAGGGCACCCACCTTCCTTTAAAATTCTTACCATTCATGTGGAATAAATAAAATCAAGTAACAATAATAATGATAATTCAAATGATTTGTATCTTCAAAAAAGTCTAACTAGAAAATAGAAATTAAGGACACAATGTAGTTAGAATTTCAATGTTGAACTTAAAAATATCTTTTTCAAATATCTGATGTATATCTTAAGTCATAATTTTACTTGAAGCAGGACTTCCCATATATTTTTGCTAACCATTAGTTCATGTCCCTAGGAGAATTGTGTAGAATTTTCTTTTGTGTCTCATACTTCCTGTCATGTAAGTGCTCAATAAATCTTGGATGGATGGATGGAAGGACGGATGGATGAATAGACGAATGGATGGAAGGATGGATGGATGACTGGATGGACAGATAGACTGATGGACAGATGGATGGAAAGACGGATAGGAGAAGGAAGAAAGGCAAACAAGCAGGCAAGCATGTCAGATGTCACTTGTCCTGGAACAAGAAGTCAAAAGCCCTTTTATGGATTCAGGAGTTTTGGATCCCGGGCCACTACCCATGTTCCTAGGGGCTGCTTTTCATGCAGATTGTCAGCTTCCAAAGGTAGCAAGGGACCCATGACTTCACAGTGGCTGCTGAGTGTGTGCTCCACATGGTCTCACCCTCCTTGTATCTTCCCTAAAAAGACCCCACAGCTGGGTTTGAGAAACACTGAAGATATGAGAAGGCATATGAAAGGCATTATGGTTTCCCCTTTGTATCTGGGAAAATGACATTATTTAATTATTATTGATAAAGATTAGTTTATTAAGTCAAGACAAAACGCCTGCCTTGGAAATTGATCTTTCCAATGATAATTTCTCAAATGAAAATACCCTAAGCACAAATGTACAGGCTTGACTCTCTCCCTTGCTCATTCTTACCCTCTTTATCAATGAGCATCTATTTCCTGATATTTTTAAAATGAGATTTATAGGCATGCTGGTAGTTTGCTAGAATGCACTGTATTGTATTTTAGAGAAAAAGAAGCAAGGAAGACTCCTTACTTACTCTGATCCAGTTTCCTGGACTCACTTTTGATGAAGAGACTCATTTTGGACACTGCCCACTGTCACAGATGGAACAACAAGGACAGGGTTTGTCACCCACGGGTCCTAAGTCAGCAGCTGAGGAGCATATTAGGGCATCAGCTCACCCTTACGGTCTATCTGGAGGAATGTTTTACAATTTAATTCAGCAAGTTTTTAATGAGTATATATGTGTCTAGCATTGTATCATGCTCTGTGAGAGATACAAATCAGAGACCAGAGATCGTATTTGGACAGTTTACTGCAAATTTAGTAGAGCTTATTTTTTTAAATGACAAGGTTCCAGTCTTAAAGAGCCAGCATTAATGTTTTCCATATCATGTGGGCATAAAAGACTCTAATCTTCAGGCTAGAAGGGACCTCAGAGTTGTATAGTGCAGTCCACTTGTTTGATACATGAGGAAACTGAGGTCTAGAAAGGAGAAGGTATTTGGCATAAACCATATCCACGGAACATGTAAAATTCAAACTGAGTACTCTCAAACTTTTGTCACTAATCTGGCTGCCTCTGTGACCTTGGGCAACTTATTTACCATCTCTGTAACTCAGTTTCCCCATTTAAAAATAGTGATAATATTAGTAACTACCTTCTAGGGTTGTTAGGAGAATTAAGCAAGTTAGTACATATAAAGCATATAGTGCCTGGCATAGAGACTGTATTCTAGAAGTATTCATTATTATCATTATCATTATTTTGCAGTTTAAAAAAATAGAGAGAGATATCCATGGTAGAATTCCTCATACTGCTTCATCTAGAAAGAAAAACTAAGTACCATATTAAGTGGCAGTGTGTCCAATGGAAGACATTGGTGCAGATCCTGGCTTCTCCACTAAGAAGCCGTGTGGCCTTGGGCAAGACACTCAACCTTTCTGAACCTCAGTTTCATTATCTGTGCAATGAGGACAGTAACACCCACTCTGCTTCCTCCCAGGTTGTTTAAAAGTTCTGTTGAGATATTGGTTAATAAAGCAAGTTATGAATTGCTAAGTGCTGTACATGTCAGGAATAGTAGGGCAGAAAACTAGGATCAAAGCCAGAGAACTTGAGAAGAGCGGGATCTGCAAGGAGCCAGAGCTGGAGCTGGTCCCAGGGTCTGGGAACAAGGCATGTGCCCTCGTGCTCCTCTGGTCCTTTCCTTGACTTGTTTTCTTTGTGGCTTGAGTTGTACAATTTGGTAAGAAAGCTGTGACTTTTGAGAAGGAGATAGATAGGTCCTGTTCACTTGCTCTGGGCCAAGTCCGACCCAGAGAAGAGAAGCTAATATTATTAAATAGATCAATACATCTAGCTCCACACCTTGCTGGCTGTAATGCAAAGGCGTTGGGTGTCTCATTGGACAGTATGTCAGCAGCACTTTGGCAGCTGAATATGGTTTTATTATCTCCACAGAGTTCAAGATGTTTTCTCCTTTATAGATTGGCAGTTGCCCAGGACAACTTTGTATTTTACATATATATAAAAATCTTTAGATTACAGAAGAACCAGATGGCCTAATTTATAAATTAACCACTAAAACCACAACTCGTTTATTGTCATGAAGTACAATTTACCACAGAAAAAGATCCTTTTGCTCTTCATAATTTTATTTTTCAAACCTGTGAGTGGGGGAAGGATGTCAGAGACTCCCCCATCTCCCCCATCAACTTTTTGCAATTCAAGCCAAAATTACTGAAATTAGCGAGCTAAGTAGGCTTAACTAAACCAAAAAGCATGCTTTGGCACAGGCATCGCAAGTACTAGATAATATATGTTATAACAGACATATTTACAAAAAACTTGGTAGTCTCCATTTCCTCAGGTTCAGATCTCTTTTTAATCCGCTTCTCTTATCTACCACTGGGGTAGGTAACTAAGACAGTGCTCTACACGAGTCACAAAAAAAATCATTCTTTTAATAGATAAGGGTGCCCACTGGTCCACCACTGCTTATGGAAGCAAATCCACATGCTTCAAGAAACGTATCACTTTTCCATCCTTTCCCCACCCACCTTGCCAACCTCATCTTCCAAATTCCAAGCTACAGTGCCTCTGTCCTCAAGAAAGTGTCTTGAGTGTCCCTAGAATATGACATCCTATTTCTTTCTGGTCTTATGTTTTCACTCACAAAAACATTCATTGTCTTCTATGTATTGGGTGCTATCAAAGATAGAGAGATATAAAAACGCATAAGAAAACATAAAAGAACCTTGAAAACATTATGTCAAGTGAAATAAGCCAGGCACAAAAGGAAAAATGTTGGATGATTCCATCTATATGAGTAGTTAAACGCGTAGAAAGAGAAAGTAGATGGGAGGTTTCCTGAGGCTGAGGGCAGGAGGAAATGGAGAGCTATTGTGTAATGGATACAGAGTTTGCCTGGGATGATGAGAAAGTTCTGGAGATGAATGGTGATAATGGTTGCACAACAGTGTGAATGCACTTAACGCCACTGAGCTATACACTTCAAGAGGTGAAAATGGTAAATTGTACGTTACTTATATATTATCACAATACATTTTTAGGGCATAACAAGAAAAATGAATAAGACACAATTTCTGCCCTCAAAGAGCTCACTGTTGAGTTGGAATGAGCAGAAAACCTTAAATCAAAATGGCAGATGCAGTAATACAGAAGCCTTCCCCGACACCAGAGAGACTCAGCCTGGTGTCAGGGAAGTTTCCTGGAAGAGGTGATGCCTGCTCATGTCAGTTAAAAAGAGGGAAGAGCAAGTCAACCAGGAGTATGGGAATGTCTGCGACGAGATGAGTGGCCCGATAAGATGAGGAAGAGGATCCCCTGAGAAGGCACTCCTGTCTGACTGATGGAGCAGCCTGGAGGGGAAGAAAGCTCAGGGTTTGTGTGGGGAACTACACTCAACTTAGCACTGCAGAAACAAGGGGAGAGGCAGAATCACAGACGTGAAGCAGAAGTACTTCTAAGCTTCTGCTCATCGTGTCATTTCCACCACGATGTCCTTTCCCATCTGGCCCCTGCTCCTCATGCCATTGAGACAAGTCTGAATCATCTTCCCCAAATCAGTGTGGGGGCCGTTTTCTCTGTGAAATTTTCTCTTCCTAAGGTAACTCAGGATTATCTCTCCTTTCTCTAAACTCTCATTTCTCTGCCATCGTTTTGTTCCTAATCATATACTATTCTGGGTCTAATTTTCCTTCAACCGTATTTGGAGCCCCTTGAGGGCTCAAAATGTATTTTTTTTTTTCCTTGTAGCACTTAGCAGGTGAGATTAGAAACTCTTTTTAATAAATGTTTTTTGTAGTCAAATTCTTCCTGAATTTCCAACTACCAGTGTCTAAGAAAATAAAAATAAAATGCGAAACCAAATTCTACAGAATAAATGTTTCTTCCTAAGAAGTAATTCATGTATGGTAAAGAAGTTCAGGAACATGAGGCTATTCAAGATCTCCAAACCTCAGAGTTACCCAAATCAGGTCAGTATTTTCTCTGTCATCACAGAAAATCAGGAGTTATACATCCTGGAAATTAACTTACTGTCTGTACAGAGCCAAGTGAAATGGGCTTTTGGCTTAACATTCTCCTCTTAAACACCAGTCTCCTCAGAGCTATATTAGGAAAAAATTTAGTGCACTAAAGAAGTGTAGACCTGGATTTAGAAGGTATGGTTCCTAGACTTTCTCCTGGTGGTATTGTGTGGATTTGGGCAACTAACTTAATTCTTCTTTGTCATTTTTCTTTTTAGTGTAGGAAACAAATTTATACATGTTTATAGATAATCTTATCTATTCCCATATATATAATATGTAGCAGATAGGCAAATTAAACTATAGAATTAAAAGTGGAAGGGAAAGGTGACCTAATTTTTCACTGACCTGTACTGATAATTATTTACATACTTAAGTCACAGGATGCTACATTGCCAAGGTTGAGAAGACGTCATTTCGTTATTGTGTGGAGAATGGTTCTCACTGTCCATCAGAATTCAAGCTTCCCTCCCACAATGTACAGTAACCACTGGGAGTAGGCTTCTTATCCAGAGGCTGCATTTCTCAGCCTCCCCTCTGCAGCTATGGGCCACCATGTCACTAGTTCTTCCCCATGGAATGGGAGCAAAAGAGATGTTCCAGGTCCAGGTCAAGGCAGTCAAGAGGGCTATATCCTCCACCTTCACTTTCCTCATCCTAAAGTTAGATGCAGAGGACTTCAAGGTTGCAAGGGATTACACAGCCACAGAAGGAAGGAGATTGGTTCCCTGCATCACCATGTGGAATAGAGTCACCCAACAACAAGGAACACCAGCAATGGACTAAAAAAATAATTTTTTACATACTGTGTTCAGCCAGTATGTAAATTTGGTAGGGTAGCTAACACTACTCTTTCTAACATAACATGCAGATATGTTTCTCTCCTTTCTGTCTGTACTGCACACACACACACACACTCATTCCACAAATGGAATATCACCAAAAAAATTAAACAAGCAAAAAATACTGTACTAGTTATGGCTAATCATAATTTCTACTACATTTCAGAAGATGTTTAAATTATTTAAGTTCAATAAACTTATATTTATTAACATTATAAATGTTTTTATTGTAATTTACATTTATTAACATTACTAATTAACCACTCATCTAACACTCTACTGAGGACTCATGAAATGTATTTACATGAAAACATTGGAAGCCTACATGTTTTGTAGATGTAGATGGTAGATGATGCATATTTGTACACGGAAAGAAACACAAATTGGAGGACAGAAAGCATGTAGTGTCACAGAAACAGATAGGCTAACACAGAAAAAAATGTACATCTACCCTACCCTTAAGACATGTATACAAAGTATGAGTGAAAAACAAATTCTGATAGGAAGTTAATCCAATTACTAAGTGTCAGTGTCATACATTAACATAAAGGTATATTAAAACTAATATAGATATTGGGAAAATGCACAGAATAATCCCTTTACTTACTTACCATGAGATCCCAGTGATCTGAGGACAACAATGTCATAATACATTAATTGATTATAGATGGAAGGTAACAGGATTCAATGCTATTTAGACCCTAAGCCAGTCTACATATATTTCAACTGCAGAAAAATATTAGTGACCAAATCTGATTCTGTGTTTATTACTACATTTCCTTTCATTGCCCTGTACAAACCATTTAAACATGAAATGGTTTTAAATATAATGATTTTTTTAAATACTTTTGAAGTTAATTTTTTAGGTTCAGAGGTAACTATAAATGCCATAATGTAAACACTACAATTTTGGGGGGAATTATTGAGAAAGACAGCATAGGAAAACTGTAGTAATGAGACACGAATGTGCCATATTCACAAAACATTTATTAAACCTGTGCTGGATCATCTTGTTTTTGATTAAGACATGTTTTTGAAATTTTTTATCAACTAGACAATACTTACAAGAGAGAGAGAATATGCTGTTGATGTTGGGTCTGCTTAACAGGCCTTAAATTTCATTTTTGAAGGCCTTAAGTGGGCAAGATCCAGATAAAACAGTAATCAAATAAAAATATTCCCACTTAATTTACATGGACTAAATAACTCTCTCTACATAGACTTAATACATTAAGGCATGCATTCTAATTCAAGAATCTCATCTTATGAATTTTTGTGGAGCGGAAGATCCAGCTAGGAGATGCATCGGGATATTCAGGAACACATAGATCATCTTTATAAAGGTATTATTCCCCATGCCAGTGTGTAATCTTTTAAAAAGTGCCTTTATCATCCAAGTCCTCAGTTTTGTAAAAAGTATTGGTGAAATTCCTAACCAATGTGCCCGACTTTAATGTTTGGAAAATAAAATGAAAGAAAAAAGATATTTTTTTCATATACAAGTATATTTATATATACAAATATATACTCATATACAAATATAACTCCGATGCAAATATATCCTTTTTGGAGGGAATTTTTTAACATTTATTTTAAGCTCTGGAGTACACGTGCAGGTTTCTCACATAGGTAAACTTGTGTCATGGGGGTTTGTTGTATAGATTATTTCAACACCCAGATATTAAGCCTAGTACACATTAGTTATTAATATTTTTTCTGATCATCTGCCTCCTCCCACCCTCCACCCTCCGAAAGGCCCCAGTGTGTGTTGTTTCCCTCTATGAATCCACAAACATATTCTTTAAAGCAGGGGTCCCCAACCCTGGTTAGGAACTGGGCCGCCCAACAGGAGGTGAGCAGTGAACGTGCAAGTGAAGCTTCATCTGTATTTACAGCCACTCCCATTGCTCGCATTACTGCCTGAGCTCCACCTCCTGTCAGATCAGTGGCAGCATTAGATTCTCATAGGAGCACGAATCCTACTGTGAACTGTGCACACAAGGGATCTAGGTTGTGCACTCCTTATGATAATCTAATGCCTGATAATCTGTCACTGTCTCCCATCACCCCCAGATGGGACCGTCTAGTTGCAGGAAAAGAAGCTCAAGGCTCCCATTGATTCTATGTTATGGTAAGTTGTATAATTACTTCCTTATGTATTGCAATGTAATAATAATAGAAATAAAGTGCACAATTAATGTAATGTACCTGAATCATCCTGGAATCACCTTCCAGCCCCCACACTGGTCCATGGAAAAACTGTCTTCCACAAAGCCAGTCCCTGGTGCCAAAAGGGTTGGGGACTGCTGCTTTAAAACTATACTGAGTTTAGGCTTTTAATTCCACTGACTCCTGAATTAAACCCAAACAACAGGCAAGGGAGGTGATTATTTGCACTCTTTGTCTTATTGGGGGAAGGATATACATATATATAAAGTACAAGTAACAAAGCAATAGATGCTTAAAAGTTAAAAGATAGACATGGCATACTCTTTAACAATAATAATCCAAAAGCCTTCTAAAAATAATAACAGCATACAAAAAGGAAAAATTCTTAAAAGTGCTATCAACTGGAGGCATATGACATCAACCACCCAAAGACTTTGGTGAGCCGGATGTGGTGGCTTACGCTTGTAATCCCAGCACTTTGGACCCAGGCTGCAGGATGAGAAATAATCTGTGAGGAAAGGTAAGTGATCTGCCTGGAAAAGACCAAGGTCTCAGAGTAGGACTCCTTCCCTGCAGGGGGGATGGGTGGAGCAACTGTCGTAACCTATCTTTCTAAAATAAAGTCTGCCACGTAAAATGGACCCCGGCAGATCACCTGAGGTCAGGAGTTTGAGACCAGCCTGGCCAATATGGTGAAACACCATCTCTACTAAAAATACAAAAATTAGCTGGGTGTGGTGACACATGCCTGTAGTCCCTGCCAGTCAGGAGGCTGAGGCAGGAGAATCACTTGAACCCAGGAGGCAGAGGTTGCAGCGAGCGGAGATTGCGCCACTGTACTCCAGCCTGGGCAACAGAGCAAGACTCTGTCTCAAAACAAAAGAATAATTTTAAAAAAGACTTTGGTGAATTCCTGAAAGAGAGATGATTGCTGGGTGGGTGCAGTAGGAGGAGATGGAGCATCTCAACGACACTCAAGCACAGCAGAGACCAGAAGCCTGAGAGTCACTGTTCACAGCAAAGCCCATTTGGACCCAGGCTGCAGGATGAGAAATAATCTGTGAGGAAATGTAAGTGATCTGCCTGGAAAAGACCAAGGTCTCAGAGTAGGAATCCTTCCCTGTAGAGGAGATTGGTGGGGCAGCTGTTGTAACCAATCTTTCTAAAACAAAGCCTGCCATGCAAAAATGGACCCATGGGCGCGCACACACACACACGTGCTCGCGTGCACACACACACACACACATGCTCACACACATACTCCGTGAGCATACAACAAAAACTGAGAGGCAGAGAAAGAGGAAAGGAGAAGGGAGAGAACAAATGATTCATATTCTTTAACTTTCATACCAAGATGTCAAGACATTCTGCTTGAAGTTGATAAACCAAGAATTAGAGCCATCAGCAAATCATTAGAATTATAAGAACTGGTCAAAATGGTTTCCACTAATGAAGACACAGAAGAGAATATGGCAGAAAAGGGGACCTGACACTTTTTCATTTAATATCCAACTGCACTTGAATTATTTTGCCTCATGCACATACCTAATGAGTTTTCAAAAATAGATCTAAAACAACAAGTTGGTCCACAAAATGTGCATTTTGTTCATTACATTCACATTTTATTGCCACTTTTATAATCTTACTAAGACAAATAAACTGCTTTCTCCATACCAAGGGGCCTGGGGGATGCTCACAGGTATAGGAGAACTAGAAGTTTAATTCAACATAAATGGTTGTATCTGGGGAGGAGGAAAGTGAGAGCTGTTTCTCCACTAAGTGATGGTGTGTTACAATACACAGAAAAAGAAAAGCAACAATGCCTTTATCTAACATTTTGCTCATCACAAATTTTTGCACTAATTTTGATTTTTTACAAATATCGTATTAAAATATTACCTCTTGAATTTGATTTTTCTTAAATTTTGTATCAAAACCAGTGCTTCATTCATCTCACACACCTCACCCCAGTCCTGGCCCCGTTATGAAGATGAAGAAGGACAGTCACATCCCTTCCATATCACGCCTTCTCCACAGCAGCAGCACTGAGCCGCTCACCCAGACCACACACATCAAAACACAACTGAAAATTAAGAAATGAAGAAACTTATCAACAGATTAACTTATTATGTCTAATGCCTGAAGCAGGCATATAATCCACTTAAAAAGCTGTAACAATTGGGGCAGGCACGGTGGCTCACACCTGTAATCCCAGCACTTTGGGAGGCTGAGGCAGGTGGATCACCTGAGGTCAGGAGTTCGAGACCAGCCTGGGCCAACGTGGTGAAACCCTGTCTATACTAAAAATACAAAAAATTAGCCAGGGATGGTGGCACACACCTGTAATCCAGTTACTAGGGAGGCCGAGGCATGAGAATCGCTTGAACGCAGGAGGCGGAGGTTGCAGTGAGCCGAAAACATGCCACTGCACTCCAGCCTGGGGGACAGCGTGAGACACTGTCTCAAAATAAATAAATAATTTTTTAAAAAGTTATGACGATTGCCCCATCCGACATGGTATAAGACTGATACCTGACCTTTCAACTCTTCACAAGATCCACTGGCCTCATCTATAGATCAGGTTTATTTTCTTTTTCTTTTTTTTTTTTGTTTGTGTTTTTTTTTTTTTTTTTTTTTTTTTTGAGACAGAGTCTCACTCTGTTGCCCCAGCTAGAGTGCAGTGGCGCAATCTCGGCTCACTACAGTCTTCATCTCCTGGGTTCAAGTGATTCTCCTGCCTCAGCCTCCCAAGTAGCTGGGATTACAGGCACATGCCACCATGCCCAGCTAATTTTTTTGTATTTTTAGTAGAGATAGGATTTCACCATGTTGGCCAGGCTGGTCTCAAACTCCTGACTTCAGGTGATCCGCCCGTCTCAGCCTCCCACAGTGCTGGGATTACAGGCATAAGCCACCACGCCCAGCCAGATCAGGCTTATTTTCAAAGATTGGTGTCCCATGAAGTCCAGCAGCACAGCCATCTCACCAGCATGAAATCCCACTGGAGTGCAATCCAGTTGCAGGAAGGAGCACATAACGTTATGCTGAGT
Organism: Homo sapiens; assembly: GCF_000001405.40. Classification (NCBI taxonomy): domain Eukaryota; kingdom Metazoa; phylum Chordata; class Mammalia; order Primates; family Hominidae; genus Homo; species Homo sapiens. The sequence continues at coordinate 151,985,099 of NC_000006.12, read as the reverse complement.
GACACGTTTCATTTGTGTAGTACTCTATGTTGGGGGACATTCATACATACATTGATATGCTATTTCATTGCATATCAACTCCATGAAACGGGAATTATTCTCTGCTATTTTAATGATGATGAAATTAAGGATGAATGTGATTAAATTAGTTGTGCAAAATTAAAGAAGGGACTAGATCTTGAAATCAGGTTTCATGGCCCCAGGATCAGTGCTGTTTCCTCCACAGTTATCTCAAAATATCCAACTATGGTGAACTAAAGAAGGATAATATTTAGAATTCAAAGAAAAATTAAGTACTCTAAATATTTGTTAAAATTGTCTGAGATTTCAGCATGAGTAGAGATTACTTTGTAGAAACAAGGGTCATAAAAGCAGAATCTGTCTATAAGAAATTGAAGCAGCTTATTCAAGAAAGAAAGACATTTCTAACACAGATGAAAAAACAGTGTCATAGAAGTAATACGTACAAATAACAGCCCATCAGTGCTCAGATTACACAGCCCAGGGTGGACTGCAGGTAGTGGAGCTGGACTGTCTACTCAGACACAGCTAGTGTATAATAACAGAGGGAAAAATCATTGTGTGTAAAAAGTTCTGCATTTGTACATACGAGTGCCATTACTATTGATTTTAGCCTAACTTCAAGTCCCAACATTGATTACCAAGTTAGTTGTTGCTAGTGTTTGGTTCTCCAATGGAATCCTGCTTACATTATTTCCTCATAGTTGCGTTTAAATGGCCATCTTACCATTTTATGAAAGTCTCTGATTTCAACTTAACCTATACATCTCAGAAGATTAAAAAAAAAATTAAGATTGATGGGGAAGTAGCCTTAATAGAAACACCTGATGAGACAACAGACATATGGGTTAGATGTTAGGAAAAGCCTCCTACAACTAGAAGGATGATGAGATACTAAAAACACAACCAAGGATAACAGCAAAAATTCCCTTTACTGAATATTTTTAAAAGTAGACAATTATCTTGTGGAGAATAGTCTTGAGAATCTTTCAAGATGGACCAGGCTGTTCTTGCCTGTGAGTTGTCTGTCTGTGCGCCTCATCTTCAGGGAGAGTTGGTGGAAACAAAGCAACAGGCAAAATCCATAGTCAACTGGATAGAAATCTGCAAATTGGGGAGTTTACTTGATCCTTACCAGGGACTTGAAATTTAAAAATAAGCAACATTCTGAGGACTCTCTAAGGGTCTTAACTGGCAGAGGAATCAAGTCATCTGACTTTAAATTTTCTATTTGTCTCAAGGACACGACTAACATCCTGGAAAGGTGACAAATAGCAACCACTTCTGCCATTGCCCCAGGTATTCAAGTAAAAGAGCTAAAGGCAGGAATGGAATTTGACAGAACCCTGGTTGACAGCTGAAATGCCAATAAGCAAATGATAACAGACCTCAGAAGCCATCAAAAACCTTCTGTATGGGCCATGTTGTCTTGGCCAATCATAGGCAATAAGATGAGATTTATTTTTTAAAAAAGCTTTTTTTCCATTGGAAATAAATAGGCAAAGTAAATTTACTTACAGCTCAAAAAAGTCCTATTCACAAGGTAACCTTGAAGGTGACAAGCTGGAAATCTAAGCTTCAGGAAGCCACAGCATTTGGCACACCCAGGATCACACATATATCCATCCTTTCTGAAAAATGGGCCCATGAATATTTAGACACCAAGCTACTTGAGCTCAGGAACTATGTCTCACCAGCACCCACACCATGCACCTCCCATAATTCATGTTCAATAAATTACTATTAAATAATTAAAGAAGTCTACTGTTGCTCCTTCACATGCTTTCAAAAGATTGAATTGGAGTAGTCGCCCTCCTCCTCTCTACGTGGTGAATTTTTATTGGTTTTTCAAGACCCACTTCATTGATCCCATTCTTAACTTCCCGGAGCTTCCAGTTCATGAGTCTATTATAGCACTTGTTGCACTGAACTGTCATTCTAAAGCTGTACTATCCAATATGATAGCCACTGGCCACCTGCGACTATTGAACACTAAAATGTGGTCAGTGCAGCTAAGGAACAGAATTTTTCTTTCATTTATTGTCATTAACTTACATTTTTAAGTTGATAACTCAGTTATCAGAAACACTTTCAAGTATATTTGGAAGAACTTGGTTATGTGAATTTACTTTTTCAACCCAAAAATATATTAAAGCTAAACAGAGATCGAATATCTCCGATGACATTTAGCATTAAAATTGAGATGCACTGTAAGTATAAAATACAAATTGAAATTCAAAGATGGTACAAAACAAAGAATGCAAAATAGTTGACTAATAATATATTCTATTGATTACATGTTGAAATGCTAATTTTTTTATATAGGACTAAATGAATATATTATTAAAATTAATGAATATATTATTAAAATTAACGACCATCCTGGATAACACGGTGAAACCCCGTCTCTACTAAAAATACAAAAAATTAGCCAGGTGTGGTGGCGGGCGCCTATAGTCCCAGCTACTCAGGAGGCTGAGGCAGGAGACTGGCTTGAACCCGGGAGGCGGAGCTTGCAGTGAGCCGAGATCACACCACTGCATTCCAGCCTGGGTGACAAAGCAAGACTCCATCTCAGGAAAAAAAAAAATATTAACTTTGCCTGTTGCTTTTTACTTTTTAATGTGGCTACTAGAAAATTTAATATTACCTACGTGACCTGAATTATACTTCTATTAGACAAGCACTGTTCTAGACATTCTATGAACACTTTTTAAAAGCTACTCAATGAAATAAGCATTTTGCATGTTAAACATGCTTTACCAGAAAGGAAACATAAGCGCCTTTAAAAAGTCATGGAATACACCCAGAAGCACATTAAAGTGAGCTTCGAGCCAGGTGGCCAGGGCTTCAGAGGCCCAGGTCTCATCCCTCTTTTTCCCTGGCGTTTAGGTGTGTCAGCCTGCCCATTAGGCATGTCAGCACAGACCCTTGCCTTAATCATCTTTATATCTTCACCAACTGGCACACAGTAGGCAGCCAATGTATACGTTTTTATTGAATGAATTAAACAGAGTGAATGAATAAAGTGAGATTGTCTATATCATTACATTGGTAACGTGTAAAGGAATCTGTGTGATCTTAAATTCAAGTTTAACACTATGTAGAGGATGAAAATGAACCTTATTTGTCTAGACGCACAGCAGAACTCCTTAGCTTGATGTTTACATCTGACCCAAGAAATATGTCCCCTTTTGAGGAAAACATGTTTAGGAACATGAAGAGTTTAGCCTAATGACAGACAGACAAACTGCTGGAAGCCAGGTGGGACAAAGAACTATGTCTACCGATGGAGTAAGTTATATTACAAGATTGCATACATTTGAATTTCTAAAGTTCAATATAGTTCAGATTTGCTCAAATTACAGCAGCAATAATTTTTTTAAACAGACAATCTTATAGTCTTAGGTTTAATTTCAAAACAGAGTTTTTAATAGGCATCCTACACGTATTTCTCAAATCCATTCTACTGAATGTGATAGGCCATCAAACAATGCCTTATGTTTAAATGTGGATTTGTTTTTTAAGGAGAAAAACTCAGCATCCATCAGAAGAAAAATAATATAGCAACTTTAGCCTTGATATTTCCCTTGGGTCGAAAGTTTCCATAATACTATTTTCTTTATTGTCATTTACTCTAAGAACAAATTCAATTCAATTCCACAAAAATTTCCAGATATCTGCTGGGGCACCACTCACTGTTCTAGATGCTCTTATTAAAAAGTGAATAAGACCATGAACGAGAAACTTCTCCAGATCTCTGGTTTTATTATTTCTTTCCTTTCAGACCCACCCTTGAAAATGAGTCATTACTTTAGAAATGGCAATATAGGGGGAAATTAAAGCAAGGTGGTAAAGAAGCAAGGCAAGATAAAATACCTCCAAACCTTAAAATGCAAGATGAACAAGACTAGAACCACTCCACAGATACAAATAGAAACTTCTCAGAACATCCTGCACAGGATATGAGATGAAACATAACCCTAGAGTTCTTGGTCTGGTCATTTTTTTCTAATCATTGGAAAATAAAATTAGTCTCCTACTAAGATACCTGCAGCCATTTTAAAACTTCAGATGGACTGGGCGTGGTGGCTTATGCCTATAATCCCAGCACTTTGAGAGGCCAAAACGGGTGGACCACAAGGTCAGGAGTTTGAGACCAGCCTGGCCAATATGCTGAAACCCTGTCTCTACTAAAAATACAAAAATTAGCTGGACGTGGTGGCACGTGCCTGTAGTCCCAGCTGCTTGGGAGGTTGAGGCAGGAGAATCGCTTGAACCCGGGAGGCGGAGGTTGCATTGAGCTGAGATTGCACCACAGCACTCCAGCCTGGGCAACAGAATGAGACTCTGTCTCAAAAAGAAAAAACAAACTTCAGATGGCTCTGGTTTGCAAAGTTCATCTATCTGAACTTCTTTTGGGAAAGGTAACCCAGACATGCTACATGATGCAGATGGCTGGTCTAATCTGGTCCTTAAGGGCTACTCCAAAGAGAAAAGAATGCAATGGTAGTTAACAACCAATGAGTCGTGTATCTTTTTGTCACCTATATAGAAAAGAAAGTTTTTGATTTTTGTTCAAACAAACAAACAAAAAATGCCTCCTATTTAGGAAAAAACATATGTTGTTTCCTTTATTGCTTCTCCCCCTCCTAAAATCCAGAAATTGTCCTTGAACAGATGCCAGACACTGAAAATTACTCAAAGCATTATAGTGACACATCAAAGAGAGAAGAGACTGGGAAATTAATTGCAACAATTTTTTGGACACTCTAACAAGTGCTTTAACTGGTGTGTAGGAGTGTCAAAATCCGAGAATGCAAACAGGGAGGACTTTAGAAGAAGAATACAAATTGGAATGTAGCTTACCATTTGAATTTATTTTCTTCTCTGGTAAAATTAGCAAGCAACACGTTCCAAGAAAACCCATCACTTACCAACCAACAAAACGGCTAACTTTTCCCTAAGAATCTTTTTGAAAAAGTGACAACTAGAAGTACATTGTTTGTCTAAATCTTTCAACGTCAGGCAAGTAAATATTTAACGAAATGTCTTGTCATTTAAAAAAAATACATGCAAATAGCTAGGCAATAGCATTATGCAATTTGGAAAATCTGTCCTGATTATCTTTAAGGTTCTTAATGACCACTGTATAACAAAATAAAGTATTTCTTATTGAAAAACCAACAGCAAAGACTCTGCTTGTTGAGATTACAGCAGTAAAAGCTCATTAAATTTTAATCTGTGTGCAATTTGGTATTTACAAAGCAAATGTGCCTAAGATTTATGTTCCATTATCTAAGAAAAAGAGATTAATTTAAAAAAAAGCAACATTGCAAACATTTCTGAAAAGGAGGAATATTTACCCAGGTTAGAAGAGATTATTTTCAAGAACTTCAGAAGAATTATAGATAATTAATTTTTAATTGCTAGTCATTCTTATCTATTCATTAAAGCAGGTTCCACACTCTGCCTTCCTGAGTTACTGTACATTCTCAAAAGTAAATTAAAATATGATTTTATATGATTGTATTTCTTCAGAAGTCACAGTTTTATGGCATTAAAATAAGGGCATAACTCTCTTATGATTATGAGACTAATCATTTATTTTACTGAGTTTTAAAAAACATATCAAGTCATCAATAAAATAATAAAGGAGGAAATGTTGTATATTTAATGTCCATTTTCTCCTAAAATCATTTTAGGATAATTTAAACCAATTTTGTTCTTAAAAAAAATAAGTAACCTTGTTCTCTACCTGTTCTAGAAGATGGGCTTTTACTATAAAAGTTGTATTTATAATTGCTATCGGCTGGAATGTGTCCCCCCAAAATTTATACGTTGAAACCCTAACCCCTAGTGCCTCAAAATGGGACCGTATTTGGAGATAGAACCTTTAAAGAGGCAAATAAGTTAAAATGAGGTCATTAGGTGGACCCTAATCTAGTCTAACTGGTGTCCTTGAAAGAAGAAAAAGTTTGGACACAAGAAAGACACCAGAGATGCAAGATGCATAGAGCACTTCAAGCTTCATCCTCCTCCTCCCGACTTACATACTATTATTGTTTCATATTTTAGTTCTACCTAATCATTTAACCTTCAAATTAGACAGTATCATTGATTCATTAGTTATTCTTGTTTCTATTTCCTCACATATTTCTCAATATTTGACTTACCATTCTTTCTTGCATATCAGACATCCTTTCTAGAAACCTAAACTACATCCTCCAACAGTTTCTTTAGTGATATTTGTTATAAGGGATGGTTTTTATTTGATAATGTCATTATACTACCCTCTTTTTTTGAAATGTAATTTTACAATGTACACTATTTTAAGTTGAAAATTATATTCTCCCAACATATTGAAGGTGTGCCACTGGCTTCTCATTTTCAGTTGGCATTGAGAACTCAGTCATCTGCTTGCCTCTTCCTTTAACTGCGATAGACCTTTTCTCTCTGGCTGCATTTTCAAGATAAGCTCTTCATCTCTTATGCTCTGCCAGTCCATGAAGATGGATCTTGGTGTGAAATTCTTTTTACTTTTTCTTGCAAATTGTAGGTTTCTGAATCTGTGGATTGGTGTCTTTCAATACTTCTGGAAGATTCTCAGCCACTACATTTTTTGAGTTTTGTGTTTTTTCTTCCTCTTTACTATCTCCTCTTTAACTCCAGTTAGAATTTATTACACCTTCGTACACTGTTCTCCATGTCTCCTAATGTTCGTATTGACCATCTCTTTATCTCCCTAAGCTTAATTCTGGACCTATTCTTTGGATATATTTTTCAGTTGACTAAATCTTTCTTCTGCTATATCCATTCTACTAATTAACCCATCTAATAACTTTTTTCACTATAATTATTATACTTTTTTATTTCCAGATGCCCTCTATTGGATTTTATTTTCATATCTGCTTGGTCAATTTTTCAGCTGTTGACTTTGTGCATTTCAAGCACCCTTCTACATCTTAAACATATTTCACACAGAACTTTTGTATAATGTATTTAAATCAAACTCTGAAGCCTCTGAGTCTGATTCATTTTATTTAATTTTTAAGTTTTGTAGGTATGAGTCTGATTCTATTGTCCCTCTCTTTCCTTGTTTTTTTTTTTTTTTTCTTTTTTTTTTTCCTGCTGTCTCACTCATGGTGGTTATTTTCAGAAGGGTCAGATGTTTTGTGATTTCTAAGGGTTGGTGCATACACTTGAAATTCCATTCCCCAGTAAAGATTTGTGTTTCCTCTTCCCAGTCCCCTGCAGTCACTTTTTTTTATTATTATTATTTTTGAGATGGTGTCTCACTCTGTTGCCCAGGCTAGAATGCAGTGGTGCGATTTTGGCTCACTGCAACCTCCGCCTCCTGGGTTCAAGCAATTCTTGTGCCTCAGCCTCCCAAGTAGCTGGGAATACAGGCACCCACCACCACTCTAGGCTCATTTTTGTATTTTTAGTAGATATAGGGTTTCACCATGTTGGCCAGGCTGGTCTCGAACTCCTGACCTCAAGCGATCCACCTCCTTCGGCCTCCCAAAGTGCTGGGATTACAGGGGTGAGCCACTGCTTCTGGCTTTGCAGTCACTATTGACCTAGGTCCACATTAAAGCACAAAATCTGGCTATGGATTTTTTTTTTTTTTTTTTGCACTACACAGATAGCATCCATCCTAGCTGAAATCTCTCATGAGGGCTAGCTTGTGGTTAACATTTCTCTAGGAAGCTGTTTTCCTTTCCCCTACCCAGAGCCAAAGTTGTACGAGACAAGTGTTGTTACCATTCCTTTCTGCACAGAGTTCATTTCTCGGTCACCCCAATGTCACCACGGATTTACCATTTGGAACCTCGGATTTCTGTGGGAATCTTTGGCTGGATTACATGCCAGTCAAAATGGAAACTTAAGGCCATCCAGTGTCATCAATATCTTCAGGCTGGCTTACCTCCCAGGATTCTGCCTTCACTTATTTTCACTCTCTACAATGGCATACTTTCTTGCCAGCTCAGTAATACATTTCAAAAGATATGTTTCAACATATTACCTAGCACTTACACTTGTTTTCAGTGGGTTTTTCATGGCATCTAGCCACCATACTTCCAACAAAAGAAGTCTCTAAATAAATTCTTAAAGACTTCAAAAACCTCAGTTTAAAACTCCCTTACTATATTTAGTGGTAGATTTATTTTTTTAACTATGTATTTTTATATTTACATATATTTTATACATATATATGTATAGCAATTCTGTGAGTGCCAAAAGGGAGAGCATTATCAACACTTTTTACTGTTAAGGGCATACCCAAGTAGAGAGGCAAACACTGCATAAAAGGTTAAATATTTAAGATATTAGGTGATGATGACTAATATAAACATCATTTAATCTCTATCAGTGATTAAAGTTTTTGAATTCTTATTAATTCTATGTTCTGTTTGTCTAAATAGGACAAATAATAACAGCAAGAGAATTACTACTCTTATGATATTTCTCCATTAACCCATATCAGGACATATGAAATGTCATAAGAAATATTAATACTATTCTGATGAGATACTTCACTGTACTTTCCAGACACATAGAACCTCTAAAACCAAAAAGGTTTTATAGGCATGGTGTGAAAGCAAGCAGTTAAGTCAATTTGCTGCAAAAAAAAAAAATAGTGAAATATGTGGCTTAGTGTTGTGTTAAATGCTCCCTCCCCACCAAAATGTAACCAGATGATGGATTAATTGTTTTATGATTCAGTTAATATGGATAGTAGTTGAACTCAGCCCAAATCTCACATAAACAGAATAGAATCTCAGAGTCTTAGGTGAAAACAAGCTAAGTCACGATGGTATCAAATAACAATCACACTTTCATAGGCTACCCTCTTCTTCCCTGTTCTTCTGAGATTTGTTTTTTAATGAAAGAATAAAGCTTCTTTTATTGAGCATTAAAAAAAAACAACAAAATCTTAAACAAAAGAGATGAGAACCTCTTACAGGTCTGGGGCTGGTAAAAGTAATATACACCATCACCATCTCTATCCTTGGAAAACAATGCTCTTTGAAGTTAGCCAATGTAATATTATATATCTGAAGCCAAGCTGTAGGAACAGCTGCCAGTGGGTGAACAGTAAGGTCAAGTACACTGCAGGTATTTCACACTGCCTACCCAGTTAAGGGGAGGCTCCTTGATCTCTGCATTCACAGGGAATTGTTCAGAATGACCAGCGTTTCTCTAAACCTTAGGTTTATAGATAAGACTATAATGACAGATTGTGAATACCAAGTTTGCTGGCTAATTCTATATGCCAACTTGGCTTGACCGTGGTGCCCAGTTGTTGGTCAAACACTAGTCTAAATGTTGCTGTGAAAGTACTTTTTAAATATAATTAATGTTTACAATCAGTAGACTTTAAGTAAAACAGATTATTCTCCATAATGTGTGTAGGCCTCATCCAATCAATTGAAAGCTTTAAGAGCAAAGACTGAGGTTTCCCCAAGAGGACGGAATTCTGCCTTGAGACTGCAGCAGAGAAATCCCGCCTGAGCTTCCAGTCAGCCAGCCTGCCTTACAGATTTCAGACTAGCCAATGACCGCAATGGCATGAATCAACTCCTTCCAGATGAATCTCTTTTTGTCTTGATTGATTGATTGACCAATCAATTGATCCTACTGGTTCTGTTTCTCCAGAGAACCCTAACTAATACATCAAATTGATATAGACTTTTATTAGAAAAAAAAAACAAGCTAAGGGAAAAAAAGAGTGGGGGGAGTTTACTAAGCACAATATTGTAAAGGGATTGCCTGAGTGAAAATGAGCAGCATTCAAAGTTGCCTCCATTCTTTTACTTTGTGTGAAGCATAGAGACAACCTTGTAGGAGATGCATGGCATTCCATCCTTAGAAGTAAGCTACTAACATGTGGCCAGTGGCCAGGCCAAGAGGACAGAAGGGACTGAAAGATAGGTGCCTCAAAACTGTGCTAGCCAGGTCAATCTTCAGCAAGATCTAGTTAAGTTCAGATCATAAATTTGAATTGTACAGTAACATCCCAGCCTCACAGCTACCCCATTTCCACCCAGCCTGAGTAATCTAGGAAAAGTCCAGGTGAAAAGAGTTTAATCTTGCTCAGCAGAGCAAAGGAAAGAGAAAAAATAGCTGACTTCCGCTGTGTAGTAGGGATGGGCCTAAACACAGGAACAACAGATCAAACACGTAGAAAAGACTAGCGCTGCTAGGCAGAGACAGAGCGAGTCAGAGAGGGAGCAAAATAGTGAAGACGGCTTTGGGGATCAACACCCTTAAAAACCTGTTATAGTTTCAAGAATTTCATTGCTTGTCTTAAAATGTTTTATTTCACATAGGAAAAAAAGACTAAGATGTATTCAAATGGCAGACTTATAACAAACATTTGTATGGTGTTTATAGTTTATAAAGCACATTCATATAGGCTTTTATCCTCACAGCAATCTCTAAGGTTGGGAGGGCAAGTCCTAGTATTATTCCTCTTTCACAGGTGGGAAAGCTGAGGCCCAGTTTTAATGTAATTTGGCATGGAACGGAGTTGAAATGTGAACCCAGATTTCTGATTGTAAGTCCTAGGCTCTTTCCTCTCAGGTCAATATCACTATGATCTGTACAGGAGATCATGGATCCTGTAATCAGACCACGTGTTTCAGTGTACTGGTGATGTGTGACCTCCGGCAGCCTCTGTAAGCTGGCTGTGACTTTATTCCTTCCCTCAGCAAAAAATGAAGATAATAACAATATTTGCTTTATAAATCATAGAAAACATGTAAAGTGCTTAGCCAAGTGCCTGACACATAACAAATACTCAATAAGAGTTGGCGCCACTCTTATCTCAATGATTAAATTAGATCATTGTGTCATCAGTTTGTTCATTTCCTGTTCAGTACATTTTAGAAAAATATGGAAAACACAGAATCAAATGTAGTAGCATCTAACAGGCATAGCACATTTTGTTTTTGTTTTAAATCAGGGGTTGAAAAACCACAGCCCAGATGACCCCTCATTTTTAAATAAAGTTTTATCAGAACACAGCCATGCACATTCATTTACATATCATCTATGGCTGCTTTTGTGAGACCAAATACTCACAAAGGCTAAAATACTAACTACCTGGCCTTTACAGAAAAAGTTTACTAACCTCTGCTTTAAATCAATGACGAAAACTGAAAAACAACCCTTTTAGGTACCTGACATGAAGTAACAAGAATAACAGGAGCACGAAGGGCCTCTGAGTCTGAATTATGAAAGCTGGGGAGCTATGTTTTGCCAATCCTGCATCTATTCAGGAAGCATTTACTGAGTGTTCAACAGGACGCAAAACTTCACTTTCTATCAAGGTGGCATTCATACTTATTGGCCCTCCTGTGAAATTGTGTTCTGCTTCTGGAAGCATTTGGAAAGTCATGGTAACTTCTACAATGACTTTCTCAGTGCCTGCTAGAACACATCAGGACAGAAAAGGGGTAGACAGAGGGCCTGCGGAGGCTGGTACTGGGAGCATAGTAGACTCTCAGGAAAAAACATCACTTAATAGCAGTGACAGCTTTGTGTTTCCAAAACACTCAGCCTGAGGAATTACATGGCGGATTCCCTGGTATCTCCCAGAGTAAAATTGGTCACCTCTGCAGACTCTGCAGTAAAGTTAGCCAAGTTATCAAAATAGGAGTAGACTGAACATCCAGTTGTATTCTTTAGCTTGTGTGCAATTCAGGAACAAATAAAGCAGCACACTCTTGAATGCAGACAGAATATAATGGCTCTACTATCTTCTACTACCTAGGTATTCTGGGCAAATTACTCAACCCCTCTAAGCCTACTTCCTCTTCAGCAAAAGGAAAATATATACCCACTACACAGAGCTATTGTAAGGATTAAATGAGATAATCTTTTGGTTGCTGTGATGATTAATATGTAATGTCAACTTGATTGGATTGAAGGATGCAAAGTATTGCTCCTGGGTGTATCTGTGAGGATGTTGCCAAAGGAGATTAACATTTGAGTCAGTGAGCTGGGAAAGGCAGACCCGCCCTCAATCTGGGTGGGCACCATCTAATCAGCTGCCAGCATGGCCAGAATAAAAGCAGGCAGAAGAACATGGAAAGACTAGACTGGTTTAGTCTTCTGGCCTACATCTTTCTCCCATGCTGGATGCTTCCTGCCCTCGAATTTCTGACGTGAAGTTCTTCAGCTTTGGGACTCTTATACCTTCAACCACAGACTGAAGGCTGCACTTTTGGCTTCCCTGCTTTTGAGGTTTTGGGACTTGGACTGGCTTCCTTGCTCTTCAGCTTGCAGACGGCCTATTGCGGAACCCAACCTTGTGATCGTGTGAGTCAATACTTCTTAATAAACTCCCCTTTATATATACATCTATCCTATTAGTTCTGTCCCTCTAGAGAACCCTAATACAGGTGCCATTAACATCTACTTTTCCATGAAGACCATTCCCCATATTTAAAAATTGTCATAATTGGATGCTAGGTTTTGTCAAATGCTTTTTCTGCATCTATTGAGATGCTCATGTGATTTTTGTTTTTAATTCTATTCATGTGGTGTATCACATTTATTGACTTGTGAATGTTAAACCATCCCTGCATCCCTGGTATGAAACCCACCTGATCATAGTTGATTATCTTTCTGATATGCTGTTGGATTCACTTAGCTAGTATTTTGTTAAGGATTTTTGCATCTATATTTATCAGGGATATTGGGCTGTAGTTTTCTTTTTTGTTATGTCCTTTCCTGGTTTTGGTATTAGGGTGATACTGGCTTCATAAAATGATTTAGGGAGGATTCCCTCTTTCTCTGTCTTGTGGAATAGTTTCAGTAGGATTGGTATCAATTTTTCTTTGAATGTCTGATACAATTTAGCTGTGAATCTGTGTGGTCCTGGACTTTTTTTGTTGGCAATTTTTTTTATTATCATTTCAATCTCGCTGCTTGCTATTGGTCTGTTTAGAGTTTCTAATTCTTTCTGGCTTAACCTAGGAGGGTTGTATATTTCCAGGAATTTATCCATCTCCTTTAAGTTTTCTAGTTTATGTGTGTAAAGATGTTCATAGTAGCTTCCAATATCTTTTGTATTTCTGTGGTATTGATTATAATAGCTCCTGTTTCGTTTCTAATTGAGCTTATTTGGATCCTCTCTCTTCCTGGTTAATCTCACTAGTGTTATATCCATTTTATTTATCTTTTCAAAAAAACAGCCTTTTGTTTCATTTATCTTTTTTATTGTTGTTGTTTGTTTCAATTTCATTTAGTTCTGCTCTGATCTTCGTTATTTCTTTCCTTCTGCTGGGTTTGGGTTTGATTTGTTCTTGTTTCCCTAGTTCTCTGAGGTGTGACCTTAGATTGCCTATTTGTGCTCTTTCAGACTTTTTGATGTAGGTATTTAATGCTATGAACTTTCCTCTTGACACTGCTTTTGCTGTATCCCAGAGGTTTTGGTAAGTTGTATCGCTATTATCATTCAGCTCAAAGAATTTTTAAATTTCTCTCTTGATTTCATTGTTGACTTAATGATCATTCAGGAGCAGGCTATTTTGTTTCCACGGTTTTGCATGGTTTTGAGGGTTCTGGATGGAATTGGAGACCACTATTCAAAGTGAAGTAACTCGGGAATGAAAAACCATACATCATATATTCTCACTCATAAGTGGGAGCTAAGCTATGGGTATGTAAAGGCATAAGAATGATACAATGGACTTTGGGGACTCGGGAGAAAGGGAGGGAAAGGAGTGAGGGATAAAAAAATTACAAACTAGATACAGTGTACACCGCTCGTGTGATGGATGCACCAAAATCTCAGAAATCACCACTAAAGAACTTATTCATGTAACCAAACATCACCTGTTCCTCAAAAACCTGTGGGAATAAAAAATAAATAAATAAGTAAAAATCAGTCATCATTATTTCCCCCCAAGTCTCTGCTAGCTAGGACAAGTACATGGTAAAAATTTAATACAAATGCAGCCAAGAGGCATCTATTAATTATCTATGGTGTATAAGATGCTATGTTAGGCACTCATGGAGTACAAAAATGAATCAAATATGCCTACAGCCTGAAGGAAATCAGGCATGTCCACAAACAACTCTGGTATGGGTGAAATATAACAGAGTAAAGATACAAACAGCAAGATGAAATCAAAGGTTTTTATTGGGATAGAGGTGGAGAATGTCATAGACATAATAGCATCTAAGCTTGGCCTTGTGGGATTTGAAACACAGAAATGGGCACTCTGAAGGGGAGAGAATGAGGTGGGGAAAGGCACAGATGAGGTAAATGAGTGAATTCAACAGAATTGGAAACTGTCTTGAACAGGAGTTTAGAGAGAGCGAGGAGAATAAAAGCTCTGTGCTAAACCGAGAAGAGGCTGGCTGCCCTGCTGAAGAGCAGAAGCTTTCAAGCACAGGAGTCCTGGTCAGCTGTCTGGTGTTCCCCCATGTAATGTGTTATTAACAATAAAGTGTGAATAATTCCCTGTACAGCATAAATTAGAGGAGATTCAAGGTACTCTGTGCCATAGCATTTCTTTAGTTAACTGAGATCTGTCCCCAAAGGGCCAAGTTCCATAAGCACTAGGGCTGTGACTGCCCCATCACCAAGCTTACCTTCTAGAAGACCAGAAAGACTCAACCTTGAAGGGATTTGCTTCCCTACAAATTTTTGTCTGTTTCCATAAAATTTGTATATGCTTGTGGGAGGGCTTCTCACCTGGAAGTTGCAATAGAAAGACAGAGATGCTGTCTTGTATGCTACGACAGAAAGACAGAGATGCTGCAGTCCTGGAGGAGAGGAACCTGTGACAGAAAGCAAGCCTTCATTAACTGCTGTTTTCTACTACTCTATATCACTGGCCTTCCTTAACCTTATTTACTGAATGCCGAGCACTGTGCTAAGCCAGTACAAGATCAGAGAATCAAACGTGGATTCCACCTTGGAAAAGGGTCAGCTGTCATCATCATCAGAGCCATGGTAAGGGCCTTTCCGGGGGCAGAGGGAAGAAATAACGGGAAGGTGAAGCGTCTAGAAGGCAGAAGCCCAGCAAAGAGTCTTGTACAAGAATCAAGAACAGCTGGGAATGAACAGCGGCAATATCACTAGAAAGGAGGGGACACATAGGGAGGCAATGAATAAGTTCATTTAAAATTAAAAAAAAAAATTTGTTGTGTTTTAAAAGGAAAGCGAAGTGGAGAGAGAAACACACCACTAACAACAACAACAACAACAACAAAAGCACAGAATAGGATTAGGAGATTTGCCTGAGACAATGAGTGTAGTTTAATTTCATCAAGCTCCAGTGTCCTGAAATGAAAAAACGTCTAAGGTGTTTATGCTCACAATGGAAACAGGCTAAGCAAGTCAGCCGAAGCTGCCCGCACTGCTGTCTGCTACAAGAAGACAGGTAAGTGGGAGGGAAAAGCGCTTCCTGCTGACTCCACATTCTATTCCTACTGTTGCCAAGGTTGCCTCCTGTTCAGATCCCACCACAGCCACAGCACTGCAAATGGAGAAGTTATGCCACCACCTGCTGCTGGCCCACTGTCTACTGGAATAATTAAAGGATGGGAGACATGGGAAAATGCCCTTGCATGTGTGCACACACACACACACATTCCCTCAAAAGGGCACTTGCTTGCTCTACATCTCAATGGCTCATTTAGAAAAATGGAATATAGAACTCCATTTTGGTCTGCTACTTCCTTCTACATGAAAATAAAGGCCAATTTTTGATTACAGGTTTATAGAAGTTTGACTCTGGACCCAAACTCTAATGATGGTATAATAATCAAGTTCATAAATCTACATAAATATAAAATATTTTTTAAAAATAAACCAATGGTAGGAAACAGATGGGATGGATTGGCACAGAATTTAGAGTAGATGGAACAACAACCCAACACATCAGAGGTAACCAGGTTCTTCCTGGAAGCCAGAAGTTCACCAATGCAAAGCACCCTGGAGCAACTGTGAAGAGAGTTTATTAATGCACTGCATTCAGAACGGCGTAGAGAACTGTGTCCTTCCCTACTGCCCAATACTCCTGCCCTCCACTCAAAACTGAAGCTCTGCTTGCTAAAAATGTGGGTGATCTGAGTGAGGAAATTTCCTGCTGTGGGTTTTGAGGCCAGAGAGAGCTTAAGAACCTCCAGATCTTTACCACAGACGGAAAGAGGGATACAAATAAATCAAGACGGCAGCTCTGACCAGGACCTGGCACAGAGGAAGTCTTCTCCATTGACATGGTTCCAGTCCATGGCCCAAGTTGCTCCCACCAGCCTGAAGGTGTGCCTGCGAGAGGAAATGCTCCATCCACTGACCCGGAACCAGATCAGCTCGCCCAGTGTAGGGAGAGGCATGGCAGGGAAACTTTTTCACATAACTGTAGTGGAGTCACCTTGACTCCCATTTGTAAATATGAACCCTACAAATAGACCACCATGGACCACTGGAAAATCGAGAGAAAGAAAGAGAGGACACAAGAGAACAAACATGATTAATATGTCATAAAAAATAAAATAGAGATCATTCTGGATATTAGCCATTTGTCAGACGGATAGATTGCAAAAATTTTCTCCCATTCTGTAGGTTGCCTGTTCACCCTGATGATGGTTTCTTTTGCTGTGCAAAAGCTCTTTAGTTTAATTAGATCCCATTTGTCAATTTTGACTTTTGTTGCCATTGCTTTTTGGTATTTTAGTCATGAAGTATTTGCCCATGCCTGTGTCCTGAATTGTACTGCCTAGGTTTTCTTCTAGGGTTTTTATGGTTTTAGGTCTTACATTTAAGTCTTTAATCCATCTTGAGTTAATTTTTGTGTAAGGTGTAAGGAAGGGGTCCAGTTTCAGTTTTCTGCATATGGCTAGTCAGTTTTCCCAACACCATTTATTAAATAGGGAATCCTTTCCCCATTTCTTGTTTTTGTCCGGTTTGTCAAAGATCAGATGGTTGTAGGTGTGTGGTGTTATTTCTGAGGCCTCTGTTCTGTTCCATCAGTCTATGTATCTGTTTTTGGTACTTAAACAAATTTACAAGAAAAAAAAACAACCCCATCAAAAAGTGGGCGAAGGATATGAACAGACACTTCTCAAAAGAAGACATTTGTGAGGCCAACAAACATATGAAAAAAAGCTGATCATCCCTGATCATTAGAGAAATGCAAATCAAAACCAGAACGACATACCATCTTATGCCAGTTAGAATGGCAATCATTAAAAAGTCAGGAAACAACAGATGCTGGAGAGGATGTGGAGAAATAGGAATGCCTTTACACTGTTGGTGGGAGTGTAAATTAGTCAACCATTGTGGAAGACAGCGTGGTGATTCTTCAAGGATCTAGAACCAGAAATACCATTTGACCCAGCAATCCCATTACTGGGTATATACCCAAAGGATTATAAATCATTCTACTATAAAGACACATGAACACGTATGTTTATTGTGGCACTATTCACAATAGCAAAGACTTGGAACCAACCCAAATGCCCATCAATGACAGACTGGATAAAGAAAATGTGGCACATATACACAATGGAATACTATGCAGCTATAAAAAAGGATGAGCTCATGTCCTTTGCAGGGACATGGATGAAGTTGGAAACCATCATTCTCAGCAAACTAACTCAGGAAGAGAAAACCAAACACCACATGTTCTCACTCATAAGGGGGAGTTGAATAATGAGAACACATGGACACAGGGAGGGAAACATCACACACTGGGACCTGTCAAGGGGTGAGGGGCTAGGCGAAGGATAGCATTTAGGAGAAATACCTAATGTAAATGATGGGTTGGTGGGTGCAGCAAACCACCATGGCACGTATATACCTATGTAACAAACCTGCATGTTCTGCACATGTATCCCAGAACTTACAGTATAATTAAAAAAAAGAGATCATTCTGGCAGTAGAGTAGTTTTAAAATGTTCTTTTCCATCCTGAGAGATTGCAACAGCTTATTGCATCCATAAAAAAGGAGAAAACTGCAATGAAAAAGGAGAATGGTGGGATCAGATTCTTCCCCCTTCATAGCCTTTATTTTCCATCCCACTCTAAATAAGGGAATGCAAAGCAGGATTGTCAATAGAGGTTTGAGCAATGATCACGTGAAATAGGGATTTGCTTGTCCCACTACAGTGACAGCAAAAATTAAGCTGGAACTTCATTTGGAAGTGAGGGATAGAACAAAAGAAGGGTTTCTGATGGAGGCAATAACTTCTGGGCATTGAGGCTTGAGGAGGCCAGTAACAAAATGTTCGCCCATCGTGCCCTGCATTCAGAGTGTACTCCTAATCAGCTGTGGATAAGGGTGTGCTCTTTCTAAATATTGCAGGATATAAAAAGTTTCAGGACAAAAGTACTATTAGCAAAATAGATTCTTAGAAATTAAAAATGTGGTTGCCAAAATTGAAAATTAAAAATGCACAGACTGAATAATAAAAAGGATATGACTGAAGATCTAGTAAGTGATGTCTTACGTGTAAGAGAATTCTAAACATGGTAGAAAAAGAAAACAAAGAGAAAAATGTAGGATAATCTGAAAGACATGATAGATAATGGGAATGCTATATCTATCAGAAAGACATTCAAGGAGAAAAGAGAGACAACAAAAGAGAAAAAGAAGCCAAAACATAACAAAAAATTTCACAGAGCCCGAATAAAATGAGACTTTAATTAAAAAGCCTATTGAGGACCTACAGGATTAAATGAAAGAAGCCCTAACACCTAGAGACATGATAGAGAAGGTTCATCATTCTGAAGATAAGTAATATTTTCTCGGAAGAAAATGCCAAGTGATATGAAAGAAATAAGAGTCAGAGTGACACCAGAATTTCTCATTAGCAGCAATGGATTTTAGAATATATAGTGGGGCAGTATCTTCAAAGCCATGAAGGGGAAAGAATTTGAAAGCAGAATTTGATACTCTGTCAAACTATTAGCAAATGTGAAAGCAAATTTTTTGGGTATAAGAGAGTTCAGACAGTACATATCGATTCTGAAAAATTACTCAAGGATATATTGCAATCAAAAGAAAAGGAATCCACGAAAGATGAGGTAAGGCACAGCAAAGCAACTGCTGAGTTGGATCCAGAAGGAATGATCTGTATGCTTAGTAAATACCTCCTTGAGCGTCACTGTGTGATTACAGTAACTAATATTTACATAATAATGTTTTGAATGCTAGTTGTATAATCAAATTTCACATAAAATATGAAACAAATTTTATAACCACAGAACAGTAGCTATTATAAACCTTATCAACCTAAAAGCAATCATTTAGCCAAAAAGGGGAGAATGGGTAGGGGAAAAGAATGGAAAAGAAGGGTAAATGTACAAATTATTTCATCTCTCATCACAAGTCACCAATAGATATGTCCAAAGTTGATAAGTCAAAAATATAGGTTTATTATAGGTATATTATATAGGTATATTATAAATATAGGTATATTATTTAACAGTGGGTGAACTGAAAAACTATAATCGAACTCATTAAGTAGGTAGAGGGTAGGAAAGTGAAAGGAAAGGTATATGTACTAAATTCCTTACTCTCAACAATTGGGAGGCAATAAAATGATCTAAACTTCAGGGATGTATTATATAAAGCTCTAAGGATAACCTTTTAGGTAATGAGATAGAGTGGATGAGAAGAGAGACTTGTACTTTTTCTATATATCCTTCCACATGAAATTTCTTTACCATTTGTACTCATTATTTATGTGATTCCAAAGCTAGACAAAGATATTCAAAGAAATAAGCAAATAAGTAACTTATACACATATGTATGTAACAATAAATATGTTTAAAAACTATAGCAGATTTGAAAAATTCTTAGAGATATATATATATACTATGGTTTGGAAAGACAGTCACTGCATATTAACTGAAAAATAGCGAGTTTTGGATCAGATGATACATGATCGCAACTGGGTAAAAATAAATTATGTGTGTATATGTGTATGAACATGCCTAGAAAAAATCTGGAAGCAGATTCACAAAACTGTTTAACAATGTTCACCTACTAAGAAGTGGTTTTAGAGGAGTTGAACATCATAGCTTTTGCCTCTTAATACATAAACTTCTTTATCATTTTCATGTTTTTCAACAAGCCTGTATATATCGCGTGATTAAGAAAATAGGGGCCGGGCGCGGTGGCTCATGCCTGTAATCCCAGCACTTTGGAAGGCTGAGGCGGGTGGATCACGAGGTCAGGAGATCGAGACCATCCTGGCTAACACAGTGAAACTCCGTCTGTACTAAAAATACAAAAAAATTAGCTGGGCGTGGTGGCGGGCACCTGTAGCCCCAGCTACACGGGAGGCTGAGGTAGGAGAATGGTGTGAACCCAGGAGGCAGAGCTTGCAGTGAGTGGAGATCGCACCACTGCACTCCAACCTGGGTGACAGAGTGAGACTCCATCTCAAAAAAAAAAAAAGAAAGAAAATAGGGAAATGAAATTGTCTCTGTTTGCTGATGACATCATCATATATACAGAAAACACCAAAACTTTTATCAAAAAACTGTTAAAACCTGATAAACAAATGCAGTAAAGTTGAAGCATACAAAATAAACATGCAAAAATCCATAGCTTTTCTATATAATAATAAAGAATTATCCAAAAAGGAAATTAAGAAAACAATTCCATTTACAATAGCAACAACAGCAAAATACTTGGGGTAAATTCAACCAAGGAGGTGAAACACCTGAATACTAAAAACTACAGAACACAGATAAAAGAAATAGAAGAAAACAAAAATAAATGAAAAAAGTATACCTCTTCATGGAGTGGAAAAATTATTATTGTTAAAAAAAATCTATGCTATCCAAAGTGATCTGCAGATTCAATGCACTTCCTATCAAATTTCCAATGCCATTTTTCACAGAAATAGAAAAAATAATCTTTAAATCTGTATGGAACCACAAAAGACCCCAATTAACCAAAACAATCTTGAGCAAAAAGAACAAAGCTAGAGGCATCAAACTCTCTGATTTCAAGATATATTATAAAGCTATTGTAATCAAAGCAGTGTGATACTGGCATAAAAACAGACACATGAATTAATGGAACAGATTAGAAGGCCCAGAAATAAACCCGCACAAGTAAGATCAACTTATTTACAACAAAAGTGCCAAGAATACACAATAGGGAAAGGACAGCCTCTTTAATAAATGGTGTTGGGAAAACTGGATATCCACATATAAAAAAATGGAAGTGACACTTATGCCCTATTAAAAATCCATTCAAAATGGATTAAAATTTAAAGAAAAGCACTGAAACTATATAAATACCAGAAGAAAACATAGGAGAAATGCTCCATGACATTGATCTGGGCAATGAGTTCTTTGGATACAACCTTGAATGCACAGGCAACAAAAGCAAAATTAGTTTGATAGCATGAAACTAAAAAGCTTTCCGCACAGCAAAGTAAACAATTGACAAAGTGAAAAGATAACCCACAGAGTGGGGGAAAATATTTGCAAACCATAAATCTAATAAGGGGTTAATATTCAAAATACATAAGGAATTCAAACAATTCAAAAGGAAGAAAACAAATAAGCTAATCAAAAATGGCCAAAGGACACGAATATCTGAGTTTCATTTTCTTGAGAAAGATAATCTAAGGAGTTTCACACTTTGGGATACCAACTGTGGTGAGGGTGGGTGAAGTCCCAGGACTGAAAACAAGCAGCTACTAAGTCTGCATTCTGAATGCTGGGATCACTCTTACCCACATTTTTACTTTCATGAAACAGACAACCAGGCTTTTACCCCCTGGAAAGAGATTGAAAAATTATAGATCTGGAGAAATTAATCCATTCCAGAGAAAACATTGCACGGAAGCTCATTAATCCAAACATTCTGCTCAAGGAACACACAGGGCTCCAATTAACATTTTTAGTTCGTTATGGTTAAAAAATGAATGGATGGTCAAATATTTATGACAAGCCTCCAAAATCAAGAGCAAGAGCAAAGGAAGGGAGGGAGGGGGGAAGGAAGGCATGAATGGAGGAAGTCTAGAGAGAAGAGATAATTTGGGGACCAGAAAAAGTGTTTTTTAAAAAACCTATAATGAATATCCTCAGAGAAATAAAAGGACACTGTAACAGCGAACTCAAATCTATGCAAAACTATATGCTTATATTATTCATTTTATATATATTTATAAGAAACATTTAGAGGACAAAGAATATCTCTTGGAATTTAAAAACAGGACAGGCACAATTTTAAAAAACTCATTAGAACAATTGGAAGACAAAGTGGAAGAAATCTTAAAAAATAGTCCTGCCTACCCTTACCCCATAAAAGAAAACCAACTTGAAAGGGTCCATTAAGTGTGTGCCCAGCACAATGAATGAAAAAGAGCAAGCACATGATTACGCAATTTCAGAACACCAGAGATCAAAGAGCCACAAGGCTTGGGCGAGATAGGGGGCTGTGGTAAGAAGCCACATACTTTTGTTTTGTTTGTTTGGTTGGTTTGGTTTGGTTTTTCCCTTGGTTGTGGTTGTGGTTTGTAAGGGAAAGAAAACTCTATCGCTATTTAGTTTGTTGCTGGATTGCTGTAGTAAAAGATCCCATTTGAAAAGGAATGACATCAACCAGGGGCCCAACACTACATCCGGGATATGTGTAGATGGCTGAGGTCAACACCCAAGCAGGCAAGTGGGGGATGGCAGAGTGGAAAACCCATTTCAGGGTGCTCCCGTGGTCCTCTCAGGGAACAGGGGGCAGAACTATGATGGCTTAGGTAACCCACTTGGGTTTTAAGAAACCATAAAAATTATTCCATCTGAGCCTCCTAAAGGGCCTCAGGATAAGAATAAAGAGAAAGCAGGTCTCTGGCAGGACTCCAAACACACCTAGGTGCATGTTTCAATACATCCATGCAGAACCCAATCTCAGAGACTCCCTTGAAGCAGCAGAATGCCTAGAAGACGGCAGAAGCTCTTGATCCTAATTATAAGAGACAAGCAGCAAGCTAGTGGATCCTACTCCCTTTTCACTGTCCCCTAGCCACTCAACATCCACTCCCTCCTCACCTCCATTGTTTTCCACAGTCATTCATCAGCATCACTGCCTCACACACAGTTTCCACTTCCTGGTCCCTTTCTTGACTCATCATACTCATTTTCCAGAACTGCTGCCCTGTCAGATTCAACTCTCTGCCAGCCGCCCATGCTGACAATCCGACTGAAGAAGAGCCCACAACTACACCTCACAACCCAACACCGGGTGGGCTTGTAACGCAGCTCAGCAGCCATGCTATTTACTTTCCTTCCCCATTCCATTTACTTTCCCTCTCTCCTAAAAGACTGTGGCACAACTACTCTTGCCGCTTTGACCTCTCACACTGTCTGCCCCATGTTCACTCTCAGCTGATGAACTTGCTCCCAATTCCCTGAAGAACTGAAGCTGTCAAAAGAGAACATCCACAGAACCACATGTGCCCAAAGCAGCCCACTCTACCTTCCTGCCTGTCCTCCTCTGTGAGGACACTCCCTCCTCCAGTGCACAGGGTTCCACCTTCCTATCTATGTGATGGCATCCCAGTAGCCATTCCCCATCTCCCTCCTTTGAAAGAGCTGCTTATACTTGCTGCTTCTAATCCCTTCCCTCCCATTTTTTCATGAACTCATTCCAAGTATATCTCCACCCCCTCCCTCTATCACGGCTGCTCTTGACAAGATGGAAAATTATCAATTCTCACCCTACTTGACCCAATAGCAGCATTTGATACAGCTGATCACTTTTTCATCTTATACCATCTTCATTTGTCTTTCACGATGCCACAGTGAGATGGATTCCATTTCAATCTCCTTTGCGGGTTCCCTCTCTTCTTTCTGACTGTCCCAAGGCTCAATCTTTGGTCTCCTTCCCTTTCCTTTTTACACTCACTACTTTGCTAATCTCATTCATCATCTCTATGCTGAGGACCCATAACATCATATCAAGTCCAGCCTCTCTCCTAAACTCCAGATTTCTCCACTCAGATGGTCTAAAAACATCTCAAATTCAACATAGCCAACACTGAACTGATTTCCTCCTCAAAAACTTGTTCCACCTGTAGACTTCCCCATATCAGTTGTTGACTCAACTTTTATCATTGTTCAGGACAAAATAATCATCCATAACTGAATTCTTTCTCTCACATACTACGCCCAGCCCATCGGGAAAATCCTGTCAGCTCTACCTCAAGATATATTTGAAATGTGGTCACTCCTCACCATGTCTCCATTACCACCCTTGTCAGAGCCACCATCGGTCCTCATTTATCACCTAGATTGCTAGAGCCTGTCCTAGCTGCTCTCCCTGCCTCAATCTTTGGCCCCCTTTGGATGTCTTCTCAACCCAGTAGACAAAGAGAACACTTGTGACAAGTCAGATCATGCTCTCAAAGTCCTGCAATGAGTCCTCATTTCCTTCAGAATAAAAGCCAAAATCTTAGTGGCCACAGGACCTTACTTTCCTGATCACATTTTCTCTCACTCCTGCCTCACTCTGCTCTAGTCACATTGGTCTTCTTCCTGTTTCTAGAATATTCCAGAACTGCTCTTGCTGTCAGGACTCTGCACTTGGTGGGCCACTTGCCTGGAATGCTGCTCCCTCCACATGGCTAACTTTCTCACCTCCTCCTTCAGGTGTTGCTCAAAAGATCTCTCAATGAGGCTTACTCTAACTTGACCCTCACCCTGCCCTGGCACTGCTGTCTCCAGCTCTTGTTTTCTTTTGTCCACAGTTCCTGTCAACTTTCAAAAATAGATAATTAAGTTGTCCACCATGTTTGCTTTCTTTCTGTCTCCCCCACTAGAATGTTAAGCACCGGGGAGGCAGGGCTTGGTGTATCCCAAAAACCCAGAACACTGCTGGGCTCATAGCATGTCCAGTGAAAAGTGCCGAATGAACAAAGCAATCAATGAACCTGGAGCTGCCATTTCCAACCAGACTATGGGCACATTAAGGCAGTTTTTCTCTAAGTTTTTTTAAGTGTGGAGATTCCATTTGATCCATAAAATCTGAAGACCTACCCCTAACACCAGTATGTGTCAGGAACTGTTCTAGGAACAAAATGGATTAAAATTTCTGCCCTCATAGAACTTACATTCTATTGGCTCCATGGATTTATAAACACTTGAACACATAGTACATACATGTGTAAAACATATTATTTAATGTTTGGTGATCATATAGAGTAGTGAACATCTTACTTTAATGCATGTATTCTCAACAGGAGTAATTATTTTCTCTGACAGGACAAATGTTAGTTCTGGAGGTCAAGAAATCTTAAATATTACAGTGGCTTGTAGTCTTCCAAAGCTCAACCAACTTCAGTTTATTTTTGCTCTCACCAAATGCAATTTGATACAATTTTTCTAATTAAAAAAAAAAGAATTGAGACACCACAATAATGTGTCAGGCTTCCTGGGTGCATAGATCTCAGATTCACCACCCATGCTCCAGAAAGACCCCCAGCTTGGCTGTGGAACCTCTAAGGTTGCAGGACTACAACCTCCTCAAAAGCTGGTGGAGGTAGGAGCCTCCCACTGCACAGCGTTGGCACGGGGACTCTTCAGTGACATATAGGAATATAAAGATTGAGAAAAAGATGAGAGGGCAAGGGAGAGACAAGGAAAAAGGCTGTGTTTATCCTAAGAAACTTTTTTTAAAAGGAAAAAATAAAAGCTCATGAGAAAATAAGCATTTGACGTTGTTCATGGATAGAAAAAGATGTGTGCCGCACCAGTGATTCCTAACAATTAAGAACTTATGCTGTCACAAATGACTAAGTGATCTTTCACTAAGGTTGATTAATGACATAATTCAAACAAAGATGGAAGAGACAACCCAACCTCTACACCTGAGAAGGCAAGGGTTGAATAGGGGGCATTTCCTGCTAAATACTTAGTCTTGAGATGGCCAGTTCACACATCAGGGAGTGTTTACA
Organism: Homo sapiens; assembly: GCF_000001405.40. Lineage (NCBI taxonomy): Eukaryota > Metazoa > Chordata > Mammalia > Primates > Hominidae > Homo > Homo sapiens. Next base: position 151,959,137 of record NC_000006.12, on the reverse strand, counting down.
CTTGCACACTTAGGTGGAGAGTTCTGGAGCTCGTCAGAGATGCCCATCCTGGCTTCCCAAACCCTTCATCCCACTCTGTTCTCCTTGTTGATGGCAGCACCCTCTGCAGATGCATAGAACTCCTCTCCGTAAACACACACACGCACACACACACACACACACACGGAAACTTTTTCTCTTCCAATGGAAGCGGTAGAACTCCACTTCAAACTTATCATCTTTGAATCCCAAAGAGGGGCAAAAGAGAAGTGATGCAAAAACTTCAGGACATCAAAGCTGTTGGCTCGCAACCAGCACTGAGGCTGGGTTCTGAGGTACAGGGGAGTGATGCTTTCTGAAAACAACTATTCAATGTCTGTTCACCACTTGTACTCAAAACCACGTTGTTCTCTCACGTACAGATAATTTCCCTTCAATATAAGAACTGTTCTTAGAGGTAAATGAGTGTGTGCATTTTGATCTATAACACACATTTTTAGAAACATGTACACAGTACAATCTCATGTGCACAGAATCTCAACAGTCAAATCGTTTGAATGACCAGAATTTTTCACAAAGCCACAAGATAACAATGAACATTCATGATGACCAACTGCCACATCCTGCAATACTTTCTGAATTACATGATGAAGCAGCATTGTGCAATGGCCTTATGGGCACACAGGAACCACACTGCCCAGAGCTCCGCCACTCCTTAGTCAAGCTAGTTATCATCTCAATGCCTCTGTTTCTTTATCTGTAAAATGTCCACAAAAATAATCCCTAACTCATAGGGATGTTGTGAAGATAATAAACACTCAATAAATGGTAGAGATTTTTTTTCCCCAAAAGAGCCTTAGTGTGAATTTATTATTATTGTGTTCTAATTCCTTTTCAAAGTTATAATCTATCTATGGTATAAGTTGACACCACGTCAGAATATTCATTACAAGATATCTAATTCTAAAATTGTGAAGTTTATTATTGTAGCATGGACTGCTATTTGCCCACCAAATATCCATTCAACTCTTTTTATTAAAAGAACTCATTTATTCCAGGTACAATTGCACAGCTTAAAGACTGTATTTTCAGCGTTCCTTTTAGACAGATGTATCTGAAGTTCTGACCAGTAGATATAACAGGAAGCACAGAGTGTGATGGCTGAAGCTCCAGTAGCCCCATTAGGCCAGGAGTCGACCTTGAGAATGTAAGCCTGTCCCAGGATAAGGGAATCGAAGGTCAGATGAGCTTGGGTCCCTTTGACTGTGGAGTTGCCATACCACTGGTAAAATAAGTCTGGACTAATTTTATGTGAGAGAAAAAAATAAACTTTGTCTTGGTTATGCCAAGGCTTTATCTTGGGGTTTTCTGTAATATGTGGTTGATTCAAATCCTAAAACAGTCACATCTGAAATAGGATTTATTCTACAATAGATTCTATTTCTTACCTCTGTATTCTTGTACCTAATTCATTTAAGTATTTGCATGTATAACTACTTTAAGCTTGTAGGATAGCTTAAAGCACTTAAATGTAGCCCCAAATCACTAGTTAGTATTAACTCCGAAAACTGGCAGGGGTCAATACCTAGAATTTTTTTTTCTTAACTGTAACAACATGTAAAAACAAAACAATCAAATTTTAATTGTTTTTGGTTAGTGGTAATAAGATTGTTTGAAGAGAAAGGCATGAAAGCATGGAGGCAGATCACAAAATACAAGTGAAAAGAAATACACAAGCTGAATGTTTAAAATGCTTTTTAGAAACTGGTTTCTATCCTAGTTTTGCAAAATTCCAGGCTCTCTCATGATTTTTTTGTATAGTTATGTAATAGTCTTAAAAAATTAGGCTCAAATTAATTATATCCAAATCCTCGAAATCACCAACAATGATAATAGCGAATATTTTTGAACACTTACTAGGGGACTGGGTCGCCCAATGGCAAAAGTTGTGTCCTTCAACGGCTGTAATATACAGACATGTGGGTCGCACGTGGTGGTTCACACCTGTAATCCCAGCACTTTGGGAGGCCGAGGTGGGCGGATCACGAGGTCAGGAGATCGAGACCATCCTGGCTAACACAGTGAAAGCCCATCTCTACTAAAAAATACAAAAAATTAGCCGGGCGTGGTGGCGGGCACCTGTAGTCCCAGCTACTCGGGAGGCTGAGGCAGAAGAATGGCATGAACCCAGGAGGCGGAGCTTACAGTGAGCCGAGATCATGCCACTGCACTCCAGCCTGGGCAACAGAGTGAGACTCCATCTCAAAAAAAAAAATTTTATATATATATATATATTTATATATATATATATATATTTATTTATATTTATATATATTTTTATATATATTTATATTTACATATATATGTATGTATACAGACATGTATTTGTCACATGGAAGAGAGAGAAAGGAGAAGGGTTGTTTTTTTTGGAAAAGAAAGTCAAATAATGATAAAATGATACAACTCTTTAAACATGCACGATCACTTCTTTAGCCTATGCTAAGTTTCAGTAAAAGTGTCCTAGAATTCAAATTGTTTCCCTAATACTAAACTATTCTATGTTATTAACCTTTCTCTACCTCAGTGCTGTCATCCATAAGTTGGGCATACAATGGGGAAAATAAAAGCACTCAGCTGAGTTAACAGGGGTAAAATGCTTGGAACAGCACCTGGCACACAATTAGCTACTATCTGCAACAGATAAATTAGTAAACTCTGCTCCATTTCTGCTCCTTCATGTGTGAAATGGGCAGAGAGTAATAACAGTATTCATATTCCTCATGAAATAACTGGTACAGTAGAATGAACGTTCTGTGAAGGCAGAGATCTGGTCAATTTTGTTCTCTGGTGTGTTTTCACACACAGAACTAAAAGAACTAAAAACAGAACTACCATTCAACCAAGGAATCCCACTACTGGGTATATACTCAAAGGATTATATATCGTTCTACCATAAAGACACATGAACGCGTATGTTCATTACAGCACTATTCACAATAGTAAAGACATGGAATCAACCTAAATGTCCACCAATGGTAGACTGGATGAAGAAAATGTGGTACATATACACCATGGAATACACTGCAGCCATAAAAACAAAGAAAGAGATCATGTCCTTTTCAGGAACATGGATGGAATTGGAGACCATTATCCTTAGCAAACTGACACAGAAGCAGAAAACCTGATAATGCATATTCTCACTTATAAGTAGGAGCTAAATAATGAGAACACATGGACAAAAAGAGGGGAGCAACAGACACTGGGCCTACGTGAGGGAGGGTGAGAGGAGGAGAGGTTCGGAAAAAAAAATACTGTTGGGTACTATGCTTAGTACCTGGGTGACAAAATAATCTGTGTACCAAGCCCCGAGCCATGAGTTTACCTATATAACAAACTTGCACATGTACCCCTGAACCTAAAATAAAAGTTACTTTTTTTAAATAACAGTTCCTAGCACACAGGAGTTCATCAAATAACTGTTAAATGAAATGAAACTGTTTGTACTATTATTATCAGATGCTGTCAGAGCCGCAAGTATCACCTATTTCTATTTATTTATTCCACCTTACTTCATTGGCTTATTGATTTATCTTCTTGCAATGTGTTTATATTCTTATCTAAGAATCAAATCTAAAGTTTTAGATAAGAGAAATCCCCTATGAATTTAATATCATTTTTATCCTATTTTTGCTATGAAATGTCTGTTTCTTTTTTATATATGCTACGGAAAGTATTATAACTTTTCTTTATTTTGGTAAAATGTATATAACATAAAATTTACCATTTCAACCCTTTTTATGTATGCAGTTTAATGGTAGTAAGTACATTCACATTGTTGCACAACACCCTATCTAGCTCTAGAATATACCCTCTTTTTAAAAAATATTGCTTCTATGGTATGTTAAGTTTAGTTTATTAAGAGTAATCAAGGCAAAGCAAATCAGAAATTACTTAACTGGGCAATAATAACCATTTACCCATTTTGACAATCACTGTCATGCTAAAGATTCTGTCAAAGTGGTCTTGCTATTTGTTAGGCAAACAAATCTATTTAGGTAGATCTCTTTGATTTTATGAGATTGGGGCTATGTGTTTTGACATGTATATGTTAGATACTAATTGACTATTTGATTTTATTTACATACTTGTAAATCTTTTCAATTTGAAACCTCTCATAACCAGGTTCAGTGGACCCTCCCACTTCCACAGACCCAATGTAAAGGCGGCATTGGTCTGGATCACAGTTCAGAGAATTACAAGATCTACTTGGGAAGAGACAACATATTTTTCAGGTTATATCTCTGAATTGTAGACAGCAATAAAGAAAAAATAAATCTGATTGTATTCCATTGCTGCCTTATTGATGCAAAAAGAAAAACACTGACAGATAGAACTTGAATGCATGTTTTGGAAGATATTCTTCTATAGCTCAGGGCCTTGAATGAATTTTTATATTTAAACCATTCATCTACCTAGTTTGAAAATATGCATTTCAAATGCCATAAGCAAACATCTTGACCAGGTAAAAGGAATCAAATGTTATGATGTGCCATGTTATTCTATGAAGAGACACTTAACATCTCCAGAGACGGAACTGCCCACCGTTTTATTGGGGTTTGTATTTATGAAAGTCACATAATGAATACATGTAACACTACAAAGAGAAACTTTAATTCCCCCTAAAAAAGGGCACTTCCATCATTTTATTACATTTCCCCTTCATTTAGCAATCACACTTCTGCTTTTTCCTACTATTGTGTGAGGGGCTTTGCTAGATACAGCTAAGTGATAAATCCTAGACTAAAAGGACAAGGCCACTTGTTTTTAAAACTAAATCATGGTGAATTTGTCTCAAGAATTGTAAAACAGAACTTAGATTTTAACACGTCAAGCAATTTACTTACAAGGGAGAATGTTCCTAAGAGAAGTATCCATTCAAAGTTGAGCAAACTGCATGGAACAGTTTAGTAACCAAGGCAACAGAATTGAAACCTTAAGATTCCCTGGAACTAGGGGTTCCCAATCAAGAACAGTTAATTTCGTCAATGAATTAACATTCTATTTCAATGTACAGGCGCGTGCTTGAGACAGGGGATTTAGTTCACGCTAGCAAGAAAAATGCCTAATGGGGGTAATTAAGAAAGGGCTAGAGGCGGGGTGAAAGGAGAGATGTAATAATTGTGCCAAAAATCAACAGTCAGTTTAGGCTGTAGTCTAAAGTAAAGACAACAAAGCAAATCTACAGGTTAGAGCTCTCTGGTTCCTGTGAAAGAAGGCAATAACATAAAAGTGGTATGAAACAAATTTCAAATATATTCAGTGAGCTTTCTCTAGAAAGTTATCGGTTACAGAGGGAGTTATATAGGAAATAGGTGAATTCTTCTCTTTTAATTCTGCTCCACTGTAAGATTCCCTCCAAGGTCCTCACTGTATTCTTTTTTTTTTTTAGACGGAGTCTCACTCCGGCTGGAGTGCAGTGGCGCAATCTCGACTCACTGCAACCTCTGCCTCCCGGGTTCAAGCGATTCTCCCCGCTCAGCCTCCCGAGTAGCTGGGACTACAGGTACCCACCACCACACCCAGCTAATTTTTGTATTTTTAGTAGAGACAGGGTTTCACCATGTTGGCCAGGATGATCTTGATCTCTTGACCTCGTGATCCGCCCACCTCAGCCTTCCAAAGTATTGGGATTACAGGCATGAGCCACCGCACTGGCCGGTCCTCACTGTTTTCTATTGCCTCACTCACTTAGCTCTCATTAGAGGCCACACTGATTTTCTCCCCTTTTTGCAGTTCTCTGGTCTTCAACTCCTAAAGAAAATTAACCTCTTTCATCACTACGATGTAACCTCCATTGTAAGGCAGCAAAGTTCGAACTTTGGCTTGGCTATGTTGGTACTTAGGGCACAGAGAGGTTAGCACACAATGGGTCTAAATATACCACTGTTTGGGGATAAATAGCTTCCAGGGATCTGGATGCAGAATAAGCTAAGCCAGAAAGATTCAATGCAGTCACCTCAGAAAGTCAGCCACATGCATCTTGGAGAGGCCTTGTGGTTTCAGGGCCATTCTAAGAACGCAGCTATACTATAGTCAGTCCAAGCGGTCATCACATTAAGGAATCTCAATTTGTGAAAACTAGTATTTCAATAAAAAAGGAGAACACTTGTTTTGTTAAAGGAGTGATAACTTCACGTGGATATTTGTCATAGGTTTTATTTAAATGAAAGCTACCCTGACTACATTAAAATATGATTTATTTAATTTAAATTTATTTTGCACATATACGACTTTTAAAGAACAAGTTCATTGCTTAAGCAAATTAAACTCAGATTGTAGAAATATTTCTCATTTGCAAAGTCTTCTGGATAAAAATAGATACCCAGCCAATAAAGACTATTCATCTTTTCATTTCAAAAAGGAAATTCAACCATAATATAAACTCATCATCCAGCAACAAATATACCATGAAGGAAACAAGAAAATAATTAAGAGTTATTATTGTGTCTTAGACCACAGTTGATTCAGTCCTGCAAGATACTCTGGACCAAGGACTAGTTTTTGTTCTGTGACAGCAAACTCAATTCAAAATTGTATTTGCTAAGCAGTTTGAAGTTTCAAAAAGGAGGTAGGAAGTCAGGCGTCTCATTAGGAGAAAAAATGGGCAGGGAATCTGAATAGAGAGAAGGGAGTTCAGGGAATAAAACAAGGGAAAAATAAAATGAAGACATTATGTGAAGGGGAGAATGGCAGGGGAAAGCGTGGGCCAAGGAGATTGTCTGACTTAAGCAGTTAATATTGGAAAGTAGAAATCAAATAGAATGGTCACCAGCCTTTTTACAAAGGTCTTTCCCAGAGTCTGTTGAAGAAAGACTCTTCCTCTCAGGTTAGGCACCCTGAGGCATAATCTGGTTCTGCATTTTAAACTTTAGGGGATACTATTATTTATCTGTTAAAACAATTACTAAGCTAGATAATAAAGTCCTAATGCCAAACTGTTAATTGAAGTGCTGTCTCTCCTAATATTCATGTCCACCTGAACCTTTACTTGTGGTCGTATTTGGAAATCAGGTCTTTGCAGATGCAATCAAGTTAAGATGAAGTCATACTCGATTAGGGTGGGACCTAAATCCAAATGATCAAAGTAGGATGTAGACCAAGCTGGTGACAGTGGAACAGGGAAGAAGCATAAATTTAGAGATGGTGAAGAAGAGGACCCAATGGTACACAGTAAAGAGGAGACAGGCACACAGATGATTCCACTGTTGAATGAGGAACAAGGGTGGAGCCCCTGGCAGAAGGGAGAGGAGTAGGAGAAGCAACTGAGCTTGATGGTAAAGGGACAAAGAGGAAAACGGCTAGTTTGTTTGCAGAGGCTAAAAGTTTAACAGCTGAGGTTCTGAGTGGACTAACTTTTCAAGTTGGTTCAAAGCATCAGGAAGAGTGAAAGAATTTGGGAGGACAGATGGGAAAAGTGAGAATGGAACATCCTTCACTCTTGGGGAACAATTTTGATGTCCTATTACAACCAAATGGCACTTCACCTGATTACCTCTTATCAGTACTGGTCTTATTTGAATGTCTCAAGTCTCATAGATTTCTATCTTTTATCTCTAAGATTAATTAAAAGTTACTAAATATGTCCAAGCAGGACAGATGAATCACACTATCTATGCAGTTAATATAAATTAAGTGAAACTATAACTTTGAATAAATTTTTTAATTTTTGATTTCAGAATTGGAAAAAATAATCAAACGAGTAGGCCAATGGGTCATATCTTTCCCCCTACTTTAAAAGCTCTTAACCAGTAGTAAACTTGGAAGTCAAGTATAAAAGAAGTCTGAAAAATACTTCTGTAGGAGGCTGTTCGAATGAAACCGAAACAACTGTGGAGCCATCTGTAGGAAAACGACATTGGAGCCCCAGCTCACACAGCATACCAGGATGAATTCAAATGCATCAAAGATGCAAAAAAAGGATAAACTACTAAAGTACCAGAGGAAAACATTATTCTGAAGGGTAAAATCTTTTACAAGGTATTTATGAGGTAGATGCATGAAACTGTTAACAATTATAAATTAACTTCTGATGTGTAAACTCTTACAATTATAAATCAACTTCTAAGCCTGTTCAGTGAACTACTTGGGCAGGCAGAAGAGAAATATACAAGAGTAAATGATTAGCCAAGTCTATACTAGATGAGCCAAACCTTCCTCCTTAAATCAATAGCTCCTTATTTCTTTTGCCTCAAAAATACAATAGAAGAAAATTCTATTTTTAATACACTTTGTATTAATTTCCTAGGGCTCCCATACAAAGTATCAAAAACTAGGTGGCTTCAAAAACAACAGAAATGTACGCCTCACAGTTCTGGAGGCTAGAAGTCTGAAATCAAGGCCATACTCTCTCTGAGGGGGAGAGTCCACTCTTGCCCCTTCTAGTTTCCGATGTTAGCCAGTAAACCTTGGCATTTCTCAGCTTGCAGACCCAGCACTCCAGTCACATGACCGTCCTCTTCCTGTGTCTCTTCATATCATCTTCTTCTGTGCATGTCTGTTTCTATGTCTAAATTTCCCCTTTCATTAGAATGCCAGTCCTTATTGGATTAGGGCTTGTGCTAATGACTTCACTTGAAGTTGATTACCTATATAAAGGCACTATTTCCAAAGAAGGTCAGATTCTGAGATACTGGGGGTTAGGACTTTAACATGTCTTTTTGAGGAGAGACAACTCAGCCCATAACACACTTCAATCATAATCTATCTATTACTTAAAACACACATTCTCCATGCCAAATCCCCCTGGAAGTAGCAAAGCCACAGGCCAACATTCCCCACAGGGTGCCCTGGGGACACCACAAGTCCACTACGTTCAACATAAACACACACTGACCCAGACTCACTGTATTAGTCTGTTTTCACACTGCTCATAAAGACACATCCCAGAGTAGGCAATTTACAAAAGAAAGAGGCTTAATGGACTTACAGTTCCATTGTGGCTGGGGAGGCCTCACAATCATGGCAGAAGGTGGAAGGCACATCTCACATGGTGGCAGACAAGAGAAGAAGAGCTTGTGCAGAAAAACTCCCCTTTTTAACACCATCAGATCTCTTGAGACTTACTCACTATCACAGGAACATGGGAAAGACCTGCTCCCATGATTCAACTACCTGCCATGGGTCTCTCCTACAACAGATGGGAATTCAAGATGAAATTTGGGTGGGGACACAGGCAAACCATATCACTCACTGACACAGAACCTGGAGGAGGGTGGGCAAAATGCCCCAGACATGTTTCTCAAATACTCTCAAGATGAGAAAGGGATTTTTAAAGGTTTAATAGCATCCAGGCCAATAAGCATCTATGAGGCTTCAAAGTTTCATGTGAAAGAAAAATCCAGTCAACAGCAGCTGCTTTCCTTGCGTTTCACCAGAGCTTCCACGGGAGCAGTAGAAAGCTGGGTGGGGTGACTTGGACATGGAACACTTGCAAAAAAGCTGCATATTGCCAGTCCAGAGGGGCTGCCATCATGCCTGCTAGGGCGATTCCAGCCCAATCCTAAGGCTCTTATTATACAGTGGGTGCAAAATCTAAATGGCAAATCTTGTCCTTAAACAGAGGCTTCTGTCATCTCTCCAGGATGTCACCCATATGTCCATGTCATGTTATCTTTCATTACCTTGCCAAAGCATGCTGGACACCACAACAGTTTGAGAGCAGGGTTTACTGGTCCAATGACAGGTTGGGAAGCAGAGTGCTGGGAAGCCCTGCTAAATCTCTGAAATCTACAGGAACCTCCCAGAATTGAGTGTGTTCCTTGTAGATGCTCCCAATTCCCAGACTGAGGTATTACACCTTCTCCGGGAACCCTCATCCCTACCCACTTTAAGTTTCCAATTTCATTCGCTAAGTGAAACTCACTTGCAGATAGAGTTGAAGCCTGCTAAAGTCCTCAGAGCGCATGGCTCCATATTTCTCTAGCTGTTTCTCTGTCCCTTACAAAAGAGAGATTGGAAATGGAAATAGAATCTCACTATGGTGGCTGTCAGGGAGATATCAGAACAGCAGGTAGATTTTGAGGAGAGGAAAAAGGAGAAATGTCACAGCCTTAGAGAGCAGTTCTAGTTTATGGGAAAATTGAGCTGTAACAGGGCTCAGAGACTTCTTAAAATTAAGACTTTCAAAAATCACCTTTCATTTGTTCATTTATTCATTTATTCAAGCACTTCCTGAGCTCAAATCTGCTCATTTTAATGATGAGGATGAGGATGAGAGGCAGAGAAGTGAATTCCTGGATTCCTGGGGAATACAGACACAGAAGAGGCCTTGAGCCCTGGAATAACTCACACAACCATGCATCCTCGAGACAACACAGAAACTTCCAAGAAATCTGAACTTGGGGCTGGTGGGAGACATGTCCAGAAAGAGGAGATTGCCTACCCCTGGGGCCAAAACTGAGCAAGGAGGCAACCTGAAGTAAATGACAGGGAGTCAGGACTGAGGAGGAAGAGGGGCCTTCTAGAGTGTTGATTAGAGGGGGACTCGGCAGGAAAGGGGAAGGAGAAGGTCGTCTAGTTTGCCACTAAAAGAATGAGGAAGTGGTTAAGGTGACATGTTTCACAGGAAGCCAAGCTGCCACTGAACTGCCCCTTTTCCTCTTTTCCTCTTCCTGGGCCAACACTCTGAGTGCACTCTCCCAGATCTGTGCCCAGCAGCAGTTCATGAGGCTGCTACACTTTGGGTTATAAGTATTTAACAGGCAATAAAAAACTCAGGGCTAGATATCTATCCAAATCTTCATAAAATATATAGAACTATAGCACAGACTTGAAGTATAAAATTGCTTTCGAGACATGTAAAATTATGGTGAATTTTGGAAAGGGCTTAACTTTCAATAAATCAAAATGACACTTTGGTGACACAATTCAAGCTTCTGGGGAAAAAAACTCAGATGTATTTCATTAACACTGAAACTAAGAATGAACCACTCAATGATGCAATTGAGTGTGATGCTGAAATCAAAAATACAACCACTCTTGCAGTCATATTTTTTCCTTTTTAACCTTCAGCTCAATGATATTACATTTATTGACTAGTTTCACCATGTGTAAAATAATAGTAAATTAAGATTTAATTATCTACTTTTAAAAAAACTGAATTTCTACCCAGGGATAAGGCTATAAAATTCCTATTAAATATAAACAAATTTCAGAGCAAACAATAAGGAGAAAAGTCTTCTCGATAGATAAATATCAAAAAGTAGATACATAGTATGTGTTATAAAAAAAACATCTTTTGTCAGAGCTGGCTTCATAGGTTTTATCATTCTTGTTGCTACTGTTGTTTTTAAACTGCAAAGAGAAAAAAAATCATTTCTTAAGGTCATCTTTATCCAGGTCTACCAGAAGTACTTTATGGATTGGAACTTGACTCTCACACTTGTATGATGCATTCTATCCCAAAGCTCTTCACATCTTAATTCTGAGTAGAGAAACATATCAAGTCAAAAAATAAGCCCCAGGGGTTAATGAAAAGGAAAATTCAACTTATAATCATCAACATTTGAAAATTCTGACAATATTCTGTTAATTAAAAGAAAGAAGAAAGAAGCACTTCTAGAGCTACTAAGCCCAAAGTATTGACTATTTTTGTTAAAAATTCATCATTCAAAATGAAGTCAATTCATAGTTTTTGTTATATTGATAGGTATTCTGAGGATTATCCAAATGTTTCATGAGGGTTTTTGTATCATATAGCTAATTCTGGGTATTTCTAGAACTGAAATTTTGCTATTCTTCTTACTAATGACATTTACTATTTCCTTCTTTATTTATTTATTTAGAGACAGAGTCTCATTGTTGCCCAGGCCGGAGTGCAGTTGTGGGGTCTCGGCTCACTGCAGTCTCTGCCTCCCAGGTTCAAGCAATTCTCCCACCTCAACATCCCAAGTACCTGGGACTATGGATGTGTGCCACCAAGCCTGGCTAATTTTTGTACTGTTTTGTAGAGACAGGGTTTTGTCATGTTGGCCAGGCTGGTCTTGAACTCCTGACCTCAGGTGATCCACCCGCCTCGGCCTCCCAAAGTGCTGGGATTACAGGCATGAGCCACTGTGCCCGGCTTATTTCCTCTTTTAAAACTTACTATTATTATTGTCATTCTCAAACTATTATCTCATAAACGTTATATTGTCTATATCAGATATTCAGTGTGGGCTATGTTTTTTAAATAACAGATGGTATTTGAATATATAAAAGATATAAATCCTTTTCAAAATGTTGCTTTGTCTATTTTTCTGAAAAGTTTGACAACCATCTGTAGAGCTTTTGCAGAAGACTTTTTTCTTCCCTCACTTTTAGTCTCTTTAAAATCAATGACTATTTTTATTCTGCTTGGTCAGGCAAGTAGGCCTTTGATTTACAACAGCTGTATTCCCATGGAACACACACAAACACACATACATATAATTTCATTTTTGCCTTTATAATTCTTTTTTTTAATTATCAAGTAAGAAGACATAGTTTATTGGTCTAAGGATTTTGGAATCATTCAGGTCTTTTAAACGAACATGATGAAGTTACAGAGTGGTTTTGTTACACATCTCATTGCCATAATTTTGTCTAGCTCTGGCTTTAATAATTGTATTTTAACTATTGCTAGCCTGTGTATAATATTTTCCTTTCCTTGACTTCTCCATTTTATTCCTAAATTCAGAAGATTATTGATGTGAATTCTTCAACCACTGGTAATGTATTTGAGCTTAATTCCAGTTGTTTAAAATGCTCTTCAACATTATTATAAAAATGTCATGATGGGAATCTACTGATACACATGAAAATGTCTGTACTTGAGTTCAGCAGTGCTCCAGAGCTAATATTCCCAAGATTTCATAAGGGAAAATATATGTTTACAGGAAAATAAAACTGAACAGCAACCAAGAGTTGGCTCTCAAATATATGACCATTAGTTTCTTTGCTTGTTTGTTTGTTTCTCTTTCCCTATAATATAAGAACAAGGCAATAACAAATATAAAGAAAAAACTTACAGCCATATTACAATTAGATTCCAACAATTAACTTATAATGTATCTGCTTCATATGAAAATGCTAAAATATGTAGGTACTCAAGAAAACTTTTCATTCTGAAGATGACCAGAAATTTTTGTTTGCCAGTTCGACTGACACTGAAAACCTACATTTGCCTATTATTCTCCATGCTTCCATGTAAACTAATAACCACTCAACCACCAAAATGGTGGCCTCTAACAAGGCTGGGTTCTGGTACTGCTGGCTCCTTATTCTACGGCCCACATGTTTATATACTGATAGATGCAAATACATGTAAGATTCTCTAAGGCCAGACATAAGTTCACTTGGCCTATAACAGAGCAGTGACCCTTGAAATGCAAGTACAAACTCCACATTTTTTTAGTTTCATATAAAACATTTCATGCTTCATAGGAAACAATTAATTTCATCTATTAAAAGAAACCAAATGAGAAAACCTCCAACTAAATCTATCACTCATTTAACCTATAAGCCCAGAAAAAAAATTTAGCTTCTTCTTGCCTCGGTTTATCTACATTAGCTCCTGAACGAATACACTGGGGCAGGGAGAAAGTCATTTTCTAGTCTTGTTGCCATACAAACTTGAGTTCTTCTCCCTGAATAACAGGAGTAACAGTCCAATTTTACCAGAACACCAGTTCTGAGAGAATCAACTGAAGGAACAAGGTATCACTTCAGCCACTGTGTCTTTCTAAAAGTTTCTTTCAGGGATGATACCTTAATTTATTTTTCCATTGCCTTTCTCTTTCTCCTAAAACACTAAGCATACACCAGGTTGGATAAATAATTGGCATTCAGTAAATACACTTATTATTATCTTTTTAATCCATAAAGATCTTTCTCTTTTTTTGTGTGGTTTATTTTTTATGACACGGTCTTGCTCTGTCACCTGGGCTGGAGTGCAGTGGCACTCCACACAAACATGGTTCACTGTAGCTTTGACCTCCTGGACTCAAGCCATCCTCTCACCTCGGCCTCCCCCATAACTGGGACCACAGGTGTGTGCCACTGCATCCAGCTAATTTTTAAAAATTTGTTGTAGAGACAGGGTTTCGCCACGTTGCCCCGGATGGCCTCAAGCTCCTGGGCTCAAGCAATCCTCCCACCTCAGCCCCAAAAAGTGCTAGGATTACAGGCACGAGCCACCACACCGAATCTTAAAAATCTTTTTAAGATAAAATCGTTTGATTAATAATTGAGATGTTTTCAACAAAGGTCATTAATATTACAAACTTTTGTAGTTCATTTAGTGTTAAAAGTTTCTGCTACTGTGAACATACACTATTAAATAGTTTTACCATGTAGTGTCCACCCTAAATCTTTTTGGTAAATGAGATGGGTTAAAAATAAATTATGTCAATTTAAGAATTTCAGTCTTCTAGATTCTGATTTAAAAATATTATTTCCTAATCTCCTGGAAAATTACAGTGTATTGATACTGAAAATGAACACATCTCCTGTAACCTTGAAACCAATTACATAACATGTTATTGCTTCTTTTTCCCCCACTATTTCTCCCATGACATCACAACAAGTTCTTGAAAAGCTATTGACTCTTAAAAGCTGCGCTTCGCATTCTTACCTGGCACCCTCTTCGCCCAGTTGATCATGTGAACCAGCTCCCTGTCTGCCAGGTTGGTCAGTAAGCCCATCATCGAAGCTTCACTGAAGGGTCTGGTAGGATCATACTCGGAATAGAGTATCGGGGGCTCAGCATCCAACAAGGCACTGACCATCTGGTCGGCCGTCAGGGACAAGGCCAGGCTGTTCTTCTTAGAGCGTTTGATCATGAGCGGGCTTGGCCAAAGGTTGGCAGCTCTCATGTCTCCAGCAGACCCCACTTCACCCCTGCCCTCCCCATCATCTCTCTGGCGCTTGTGTTTCAACATTCTCCCTCCTCTTCGGTCTTTTCGTATCCCTGAAAACACAGGTGGAAAAAAAAATTAGTTTATTTTTTTCCCGTGTAAACTTTTATACAAAAAATTTTCAAAGCTAACCAGCTTTCATTTTATTTGAAGAAATACTTTCAAGCACAGGTGAGCTGGTAAGTGTTCAACAAGTGGCTCTCCAAGAGAAGAAGAAAAAGATTTCTATTTGTAGCAGTTTTCATGGTGTAAATACTACCACCATAACATGCCAATTTTCATGGTGTAAATACCACCACCATAACAAACTTCAGGCCACTTGTCTGACATCAAATGGCTTACAAAACTCCTGAAAATTGAACAGTAGGCTTTGGTGAGCCCATACAAACTGATTCCGACACACTAGGTAGGGGTGTGTGTGTAACAGGTGTTATAAAAAGAACAGAATTCTAATTTTAGTTATTCTTAAAATAGAATTTAGCATCCAAGACTACTTCTGCTAGGAATATTCTTTTAATAGTAAATTAAAAGGGCATTTTTAAAAGCATTTAGTCCAAGTAGACTTCTTAATGGGCAAGACTAAATAAGAATGACTTGCTCATAAGGTATATTACAGCCTCTGGCCCCCTGGGGTGCTAAGTCCTTCACTGTTACTAACCTGCTCCTCATCACCCTAGGATTGCCCCAAGTCCCTCAAGTCATTTACTGGATTTTAAGCTTTTCACAAATGTATTTGTTTTTTCCTAACATAAAAGTTGTAAAATTCTAAAAAGAGTTTGTTTTATTTGATAATTTCCCCCCAAAGGTGGTTTTTTTTTTGTTTTTGTTTTTTTTTGTTTTTTTTTTAAGATGGAGTCTCGCTGTGTCACCCAGGCTGGAGTGCAGTGGCGGGATCTCGGCCCACTGCAAGCCCCGCCTCCCAGGTTCACGCCATTCTCCTGCCTCAGCCTCCTGAGTAGCTGGGACTACAGGCACCTGCCACCATGCCCGGCTAATTTTTTGTATTTTTAGTAGAGACGGGGTTTCGCCGTGTTAGCCAGGATGGTCTCGATTTCCTGACCTTGTGATCTGCCTGCCTCGGCCTCCCAAAGTGCTGGGATTATAGGCATGAGCCACAGTGCCCGGCCCCCCACAAAGGTTTAGCCAGTTGTGGTTCTCACTAACTAAATTACGAAATGGGGTGAAGAGGGGGGATCCAATCTTTTTGCAGTGATTCTTTGAGGTTTGGGCTCAGCACCTTAACCTGAAAAAGGCCATACTGTACTGCTGAAATGTATTAACATCTGCAAAAAAACAACTATTTTAAAAAGACAAAAAGCTTCTATATTTTCAAAGAAGTTAATCTCTCCAATATTTATCAGACAGCATAATTCTTAGATTTATATGAAGGAAGCAATCGTTTTGATAAAAAGTTAATACAACTATTTTTAATATCAAAGACATGAGAAATAAATGCTCTTTATAACATATCACTTGTTCTATTACTTTATAACAAATAACTAGCGTGAGAATTTTGTCTTATTTTGTTTTAATTTGTCAAGGTATTTGGACAAATGTGTGACTGAAATATATATATGTTTTATATATATAATATATTAAATGACACTTCAAAAACATAGAGAAGCCATGAACTCTTCCTATTTGCTCAGTATTAAAATAAGTACTTCTCATGAAATAGTAAAAATTATAATAAAGATTATTATTATTTCTAATATGCATTCAGCACTTACTATATATTTTAAGCATTTACATACACTTTACATGGAAGCACTTTAGAACTAATTTAGTTCTCACAATAATCTTGTAAGTTTGAGAAACCGTTACTTAAAGAGATGAAGCAACTTGTACAATATCATTCTCTGTTACGTATGATTCCAGATTCTGGCTCTGAAAAGAAGTTTGCTTTTGTTTTCAGTTAAACAGAGATTTTGAATTTAATCCATTATGTAGGTACAAACTTAACAAGTTTCAGGACATTACGTAGGTACTAACTTAACAAATTGAGGGACACCTAAAAGTAAAAGATGAGAACAATGGCACCTGACCAGCCATTGTCCTGGATCAGGCATTTCAACTTTTATTGCCAGATTTGCCAATTAGATCACAATATCTGAATTAAGGGAGATGCTATGTCCACTCTACTCTCAACTCATCAGAGCATACCTGATGTATCACACTTATTGCTGGATCCTGAAACTAGCCTACTCAAGTTAGAGTAACAAGAAGGGTAAGGAGACATGAAATCAGGTTATATAGTGAGTAAGTGAGGAACAACGAAGGGTTAGCCTAGAGAAAGGAAAACATGGAGGAAACCTGAGCATCTCCCGTAGATGGGTTGTTCTGCATAAGACGGGTTCAACTTGTTCTTTATGAGCCCAAAGGCTAAAATAGAAGCAGGGTGTGGAAACTTTTTAGTTAGTTACAGCTCAATGTAAGGAAGCAGTTTGTAATAGTCAGAGCTGACGACAAAGATAGAAGCTGCCATCATAGGAGACGATGAGGGGTATCACTGAGGGTTTCCAAGAAGAGGCTAGATGAAGACTTTCAAGGGGGTATTCCCAAAGGATTCCATTATTCAGAAAGCATTTGCACTAGTTGACCTCCAGTAGCCCCTCCGATGCTGAGCTTGTACTATATGACTCTACCATCTTCTATTTGAAACATTAGAAAAAAAAAAAAAATGTAAGAGCAAGAGCCTTGCGGTGGACACCAGAGAAAAAATGTCAAAAGCAAAGAATCTTTTTAGGTTCAGATTTCTCAGGAAATTCTGAGGTCAGAGTTTTGAGAAGATAAGTTCTGACTTGTATTTCCCTACTTCGTGTGAGGACTGGGGTAAGAAAATGCCTGGTTCTTCAGTATTAGTCAGTGTATTACCCAAATACGATTTATACACCTACTCTACAAGTTTAGAAAGAAATTAACAATGCGATCAAGCCTTACAGGAAAGATGCAGCAGTGATTACAGTCTTTAATAGCGGATCTACAGAGAGAAATAGAAGCAAGAGATTTGACTAAAAAAGAAATGGTTAGAAGGTGATATTGTTTTTCCTAAGGTGAAATCAAGAGTAACCAAATTATAACTACACAAGCATTTTACCTTTCCAAAATAAAGTACTTTAAAAATAATATGCTTCTTTCATGAATGTAATTTATCTTACTTTAAAAAGATTCCAAAGAACAGCACTTAGGTTAATGAAACAAAACGAAACGTAGTATTACCACCCACTTTAAAAGGCTTCAGCAGTCATACTAACGCTAATCTACTTTCCAGCAGAAGAATTTTAGAATCAATTCAGAAACTGATATTGGCAGTAATCAAAAATATTTTATCAAAGTATTTGTTCATTTAGTAAAAATCCGTTCAATACTTACAATGTATATTCACGGAAGATGCAGTGGTAAACAAAGACAGATCATGTTACCCTCCATCAAGTTTTCAGCTTGGAGGGAGGAAGACATTGATCAAAAGTTATTCAATATTCGTTGAATGAATTAATGAACGAATGAACTGCCGAAAGCACAGTGGATGGGAGGAAGTGACTGGGGAAGAAGGAGACAAAGAAAACTTCTCTAAGAAAGGATGTCACATTTAAATCAAATCATGATATTTCCCTTCTTGGAGGAATTTAGGAGCAGACTACTTAGATGGCTTAGTTGTAGTACTATGTAAAGAAGTAAGTGGAACCACCACACCCATTTACGTCTCACAACTGTATGATTCAGGTTGTTGAATACAAGACACACAGGTTTTGGCTTTGGAACAACAAAATACGACTGGAAAGATGAGGAAAGAGATGACTATTTATAAAATCATCAAATAATCAAGTAGGTGAAAGTAGATTCACTTAGCGCTAACAAATATTTTCTTTAATGTACTGATATGGTTTGGCTGTGTCCCCATCCAAATCTCATCTTGAATTGTAGTTCCCATAATCCCCACATGTGGGAGGGACTCAGTGGGAGGTAACTGAATCATGGGGGCAGGTTTTTCCTGTGCTGTTCTCATGATAGTAAATAAGTCTCATGAGATCTGATGGTTTCATACAGGGCAGTTCCCTTGCATATACTCTCTTGCCTGCTGCCATATAAGACATGCCTTTGCTTCCCCTTCACCTTCTGCCATGACTGTGAGGCCTCCCCAGCCATGTGGAACTGTGAGTTCATTAAGCCTATTTTTCTTTATAAATTACCCAGTCTCAAGTATTTCTTTATAGCAGTATGAAAATGGACTAATATATATACCCTAAATGAACGATATTTTCCAAATTCCAAAGTCCCTATGAAGTATACAAACAAAACAAAAATATTATTGTTTTTTGTTTTGTACAAACAAAAAACAGAGATTTTGTTTTTTTGCTTCAGTTAAACAGATTTTGTTTCAGTTAAACAGAGATTTTGAATTTAATCCATTATGTAGGTACAAACTTAACAAACAAAACAAAAAAACAATAATATAAAATATTATATGGCCAACTGCATGTGATAGGATCCCAAGGGTATGGTTCAATGAAGAATGGATCCTCTTCTACATGGGAGTAGTAATTTTGCACATTATTGGTGATAATATTGCATAGACATTTTATAGAAGTTCAAAAATATCTAACTAGAATTGAGTGGAAGAAGGTAAAAAAAAAAGGATGCGACTTCTATTTCAATTTTACCCTAGGTTAAGTGAAAACTGCAAATCAGAAATAACAGCCTGTGTCACTATGGAACATACAGCTTATTCTTAATTATATAGAATGGTGGACCACAGGAGTGGCATGGATAATTGAAATTCAAAGAGAAAATTTAAAACTCATTCCTTGCTTTCTACCAAGACATTTTCTTGAATTGTTAGTAGAGCAGCAACATAGAGTGATATGGATTTTACTTAAGTTCACCCCCCAACTGTCTAACTTTTGTTAACTCTCAGGGGAAAAGCCAAAAGGTCAAACTACCAGCTCATAAAGCAGAGGAAAAAAACAAAGGAAACAATTAGTTTAGATCATGCAAATATTAAACAGGCAGCCTCTTGACAGTCAAGAAGTTTACTTGCAGGGACCAACATGTTGGCTTGGAATGCCATACACACAAGATACATTGTCATTCATACATGAACATGCCATTTTCCAGAATGGTTGAGCAGTATATTCAACAGCACAATAGAGATGTCGTGCCCTGGATAGCTAGTGTACACTGTCATTATAGCTCAAGTTATGTAACTGACTAGACAATATTTGCATCAAAGCAAATTTCTTTGAACCACTTTTCAAAATTTTAACCTTAACAATTATTGAAGAATTTTTCTAACAAGACCCACCTGTTTTGTATAAGGGATCGAGATACCAAGCTCTCTTTCATCCTGCAAGCCCACTGTAAGTGTGCAATGCCACCAGTTTGAATTTCATCTCCTTGGGTTAAAGCAACTATAATATCCTCGTCACGTTGTTGTAAGGATTTAGAAAGGCTCAGTATAAAATTTCTACTTAGTAACAATCAATGTGGATTTGAATGATTCTAATCCACCCTAGGAGGTGTTAACTTATGGGAATTTATTAAAACAATAAACTCAGGCAATAGGAATGAGGAGGAAAGGGAGAGAGATGGTACAGAGGGCACTCTCCAGGGGAGGTGAGCCCTAAGGAATCTCTTCAAAGTCGGCCTGGACTTGGAAGCTAGGTGGAAAGGCAGTACAGGCGACAACTTGTGGCAAGGTGAAAGGAGCTAAAGACACATCAACTGCTTAAATAATTATGTCCTGGCCCTAAAATAAAAGGATCTGTCCTAATGAGTCAAATGCCTAATGAGGCATTTTCAAAGACTACCTCTAATTACTTCACAGTTTGTTTAATCATCTGTTTTTTTCATTCTTTAAATTCTTTGGCTTGGCTATTGTATCTCAGAAAAAGTTAACATACTGCCTGAGTATTCATTAGGAATAGAATTCATTGGATTATGCTTCTAATGCACTCTAATTTTTAAATTTTCTTTCATTGAAATGAGTTTTCTTAATATGCTATGCTTCCAGAAAAAAAACTAGTATAATATCAGTAAAGTTATTTCTCCAGTTTCCCATGACTACGTTCATGTATTATTAGATATTTCAAACATTTGCATAATCACTTTCTTTTGTTTCTCAATAATTCATGGGGTATTAAAAGGCAAGACAAAGAAATACACTAAGAGGTTTTAAATTCAACATGTTAAAGAAAACGGGAGTGCTAATTCATTAAGAATGAAATAAAGACAATAACTAATACAACTTTCTGTGGAGAGACTCCCCAGTATCAATTCTAACACTCTCCCTTCAAGTACTATAAGGTTAAGTACTGTCATTGTCCCCAATTTAACAGAAAAGAAAGAAGTTCAGATTAACTACCATGCTCAAGGTCATACCACGGGCAGCACAGAGGTTACAATCGAGGTCTATCTGCCTCCAAAGTCTCTGTACCACAATGTCATTGACTGTAAAGCATTGGTAAGATGATTATATCATGATATATCATTACACTACGTAATTTATGTAATTATAGATTATTATTATTAGTGTTATCACAGCCTCTAAATGTTTCAGGTCAAGGAGCTATAAATTATCTGGTTCACTTAATGCTACTTAATGTTCTTTCCTTCTCTCCTTTCATACCTACAAACTCACCTTAACTACTAAGCATTTCCTCACATGTCCCTGCCTATAGTTCCCTCCTTGCTGTCTTTAAGCCTCCCTCCTAGTTCATAGGTTCCTTCTTGCCTAGATCATTGCAACAGTTCCTAATTTGTCACCTTGCCTATCTTCAGTCTTCCCTCCAACCCAATTAACTGATCTTGTCTATCTTCCGTCTTCTTTCCAATCACTCAATGACTGCCTTAGCCGTCAGCAGGAATTAACTATACTCTGAAAACTCTTGGCAGTTCTATGGGGCTACCAGAGGTAGTGCTGTTGAGGTTTCTGGTCATCTCATACCCGCCATTTTGTCTAGAGCAGCTACGCTTTTATATGTATTTTTTATATTGGGATTAGGGGAAGAATTTATTTTAGATAGAGTTTACTGGTTTTATTTTACATTTTAAAAGCTACTGATCTCCTGAATAAAATCAAACTCTAAGATTCATGAATTTCCACACATAGTCTCAAACTACTTTTCAAACTTATCTCTACAAATCCCTTCCAAAAACCTTTGTTTTTTATAAAACAAGGATAAGCCTGTGCCCCTTTTTATACTACTTCCCAACACCACCTTGTTCTTTTTCTATGCCTCCTCTTGTATTGGCCTTGAAAACCAAATTAACACCCCATTTTATCCATAGTGAATCTTGGACCCCACTCTAGTTTTGTGGCCCTACCTCCTCTGTTCTTGTAGTTTTTCTTTCCTGTGCCATTCATTTGGCCACTATGATGTGCTACCTTATACATATACTTACACCTAGGTTCCTCCCCACTTGCTGTGGCCTGAAACTTCTCTCCAGTCTGGAAACAATCAGAAGGCTCACCCCAATTTTTTTCCCTTTCTTACAAAATAACATCCTGCACTGATTGATGTCCAAGGTTTAAAGACAACAGTGTCATGTCCAGTGTTTTGTCCAGTTTTTGTTTGTTATTATATTTTCTGGTGGGAAGGTAAATGTAGCCCTTATTATTCCACCTTGGCCAGAAGCAGAAGTTTCCAATAATTATTTTGGTCATCTGTTTAACAAAATCCTTTAACCTTGTCTTTTCTCATTAACAAACTGTCAATTTGAAATTCTTAGTTTCTTCTTCTAGAGTTTTGCTGGCATGGACCTTATTAGGATTTCCCTTTCTTTTCCCATAAAGTGTAACAAGCAAAAACAATTTCAAGCCCAACTGAGAAAAATTAGAGGGTGGGGAAGTAAAGATTACGTTTAGTAGATAAAGGGTGCCCAATTTACCACCCCCCAACTTCTCCTACATGGCAAGTTTAGGGGCCTCATTTCCTCAAAGTTGCTCTCCCCAAGCCTTAGAATGAACTATGGTTCATTGCTTCCAATCAGCAAGTCTTGCCTTCCCCACCTGCTGACCGTGAGAACATTTCCATCTTCATTCATCTAATGATGCTCTCTGATACAGATTACAATGACTGGGAGACAAGGTTGTTGTCTATCCCTTTACAGTGGAGCTTGGGAGGACAGCACAGTCCCGATGACCTCAGATGAAGGGTCACAATGCAAATATTACTCTTTCTTTATTAAATGTGATAATATACCCTGTTGTAGGAGCAGGTTCCCAAGGCAAGTTGGAAAGGTCCTCCTGTTTCATGTTACATAATGAAAAAGGGCACAGATTGATGTGACTGATCTCTAGGATTTGAATACATCCCAAAGTAAGACTGTTCTGTTTCAGAATCTTCTAGAAGTTCAGAATCACTAAGAAATTCAGAATCACCTAAAGTTACAGAAATTTAGAAAAGCTGATGACCAAGGAGAGATTTCATCATTTGTTGGAGTATATTAAAGTGAGCTGTTCTTTGTAGGATGTTTTTTGGAAAATATTGAAATCTGTAATGAATTAACTAATTGGTGTAATACTCATTTGTTAATTCTTGGTTTCCCAGCATCTTAGCTGCCGTCCTACATTTGGTGAATTCCCTAGTATGTGAGTTGGTGGGTGTCAGGACTTGCTTTCCATCACAAAAGCTACAAGGACAATTACTGTTTTCTGTGGCTCCAGACTCTAGGGTGAAGGTAGGTGACCTGGGCCCCACCTGCATGCAGCCTGCTCCCTGTGACTGTGAAGTCTGGACATAGGACAATTCAGTCTGCTGTCCTGTGGTAGATCTGCAGTCCAGGAGTGAAGGCAGTGGCTCCTGCCAGGCTGCCCCCAAGGCACCACACTGGTGAAGTGCTGGCTGCTATGCCATGCTGACTGCCTCTTGGTTTCCACCTGTTTTCCAAGTCTGGTTATTCATCCTTCACGTTAAATCTGTGATCTAACCAAAATTACTTCAGTAATTTCTTTTTCTGCTGAAGTGAGAACCAGTTTGTCTTGCTTGCAATCAGTAATAATAATAATGATGATGATGATGGTAAACTAACATTTATTGAGCACTCGCCATATCCCAAGTGCTCATCTAAGCTCTTGACAAAGTTACATCATGTAATTTTCAAAGCCACAAGGCAGGTGCTATTAGTATTCCTTATTACAGCCAAGGAAGCTGACACATGAAGCTGGGGTTTGAACCCAGGCAGGCTGATTTCAGAGCCCATAATTTTAATTACCATGGCATAACTGCCTTAGAAAACACTGACTGGCACAATCTGTAGAAACCTACATGCACTGTCAATCAATATAAATGTGTTCTGTGTTTACATATGGGGCTCTAGAATCCTGAGAGGGCAAGCTATTATATAAGCCAGAGCCTCTACTGATCCATTATGGATATGATCATGATTCTGTAATTGCTGGAATTATCAGCTATAACGTTTCTTATTAGAGATTACAAATTGCACACATCCTGGTCTAGAAATTCTTTTTTAAAAATAATTTCCCTGTTTTCCCACTGATGCTTTTATTTTTGGAAATTATTTACCTATTGATAGATTCTAGTGCTTGAATATCAGATGTAATAAAATAGGCTATTATTCTGCACATGGAGCGGACAGGCTAAAACTGCTGTCTCCTACCAAAATTAGCTCTCAAAATCATCTTCATCATGATTTTTTAAAGGTACTACAACTGGTTGAGAATGGTTAAAAGAGCCCCCAAGGAATGGAAGAATGTCATGTATCACTTATGTAAAATGTACACATGCTCATACACTTTGAATCAATTTTAATTTTATTTTATTCATTCACTTAATACAACAAAGTTATTGAGAGTCAGGCACTGCTCTGGGGCAAAAAGCCAAATCCCTATCCTCACAACGTCATATTTTTGTGAGGAAGTTAGACAATAAACAAATAAATATATGATATCTGATAATGGTAAGTGCTAGGGGAAAAAACAAAGTGGAAAGCAGGTGGAGAGGGTGTTTAGATCAGGGACTACTACTTCTCTGTGCTGTAGAAACCAGAATGAAGTGAGAAGGGTGAACGAACAACACACAAATACTGACACTGGGAAGGAAACGGGTTCAAAGGTTTCTAGTAAGAGCCAAAGACCAGAGAGGTCACAGCAGCCTGAACAAGGAAAAAGTAAGACAAGGGAGGCCAATCCCACAGGGCCATGCCAGCTAAGGTGAGAGCTTTGCATTATACTCTGAAAGAGATGAGAAGCCACTGCTTTCCATAGAGCAGAGGAGTGCCAATGATAGGGTTTATAGCTTTGGAAGAACTCTTGGCTCTTGGAAGAACTCAAAGATCAAAAGTTACAAAATAAGTTAGGAAGCCATTGCAGTTGATGAGGTAGCAGGGGGTTTGTATTAGGGTGATTTTAAAAATGCTGAGAAGTGGCTGAGTTTAATTTATTTTGAAAGTAAAGCCAATAAGACATGCTGATGGATTGGATGTGGAATGTCAGGAAAGAGATAAACAATTGTGATTAGGAATTTGAGGGCTCTACAAAGACAAAAACCACATGATTATCTCAATAGATGCAGAAAAAGCCTTTGACAAAATTCAACAACTCTTCATGCTAAAAACTCCCAATAAATTAGGTATTGATGGGACGTATGTCAAAATAATAAGAGCTATCTATGACAAACCCACAGCCAATATCATACTGAATGGGCAAAAACTGGAAGCATTCCCTTTGAAAACTGGCACAAGACAGGGATGCCCTCTCTCACCGCTCCTATTCAACATAGTGTTGGAAGTTCTGGCCAGGGCAATTAGGCAGGAGAAGGAAATAAAGGGTATTCAATTAGGAAAAGAGGAAGTCAAATTGTCCCTGTTTGCAGACGACATGATTGTATATCTAGAAAACCCCATTGTCTCAGCCCAAAATCTCCTTCAGCTGATAAGCAACTTCAGCAAAGTCTCAGGATACAAAATCAATGTACAAAAATCACAAGCATTCTTATACACCAACAACAGACAAACAGAGAGCCAAATCATGAGTGAACTCCCATTCACAATTGCTTCAAAGAGAATAAAATACCTAGGAATACAACTTACAAGGGATGTGAAGGACCTCTTCAAGGAGAACTACAAACCACTGCTCAATGAAATAAAAGAGGATACAAACAAACGGAAGAACATTCCATGCTCATGGGTAGGAAGAATCAATATCGTGAAAATGGCCATACTGCCCAAGGTAATTTACAGATTCAATGCCATCCCCATCAAGCTACCAATATCTTTCTTCACAGAATTGGAAAAAACTACTTTAAAGTTCATATGGAACCAAAAAAGAGCCCACATCGCCAAGTCAATCCTAAGCCAAAAGAACAAAGCTGGAGGCATCACACTACCTGACTTCAAACTATACTACAAGGCTACAGTAACCAAAACAGCATGGTACTGGTACCAAAACAGAGATATAGATCAATGGAACAGAACAGAGCCCTCAGAAATAACGCCGCATACCTACAACTATCTGATCTTTGACAAACCTGAGAAAAACAAGCAACAGGGAAAGGATTCCCTATTTAATAAATGGTGCTGGGAAAACTGGCTAGCCATATGTAGAAAGCTGAAACTGGATCCCTTCCTTACACCTTATACAAAAATCAATTCAAGATGGATTAAAGATTTAAACGTTAGACCTAAAACCATAAAAACCCTAGAAGAAAACCTAGGCATTACCATTCAGGACATAGGCATGGGCAAGGACTTCATGTCCAAAACACCAAAAGCAATGGCAACAAAAGCCAAAATTGACAAATGGGATCTAATTAAACTAAAGAGCTTCTGCACAGCAAAAGAAACTACCATCAGAGTGAACAGGCAACCTACAAAATGGGAGAAAATTTTCGCAACCTACTCATCTGACAAAGGGCTAATATCCAGAATCTACAATGAACTCAAACAAATTTACAAGAAAAAAACAAACAACCCCATCAAAAAGTGGGCAAAGGACATGAACAGACACTTCTCAAAAGAAGACATTTATGCAGCCAACAGACACATGAAAAAATGCTCATCATCACTAGCCATCAGAGAAATGCAAATCAAAACCACAATGAGATACCATCTCACACCAGTTAGAATGGCAATCATTAAAAAGTCAGGAAACAACAGGTGCTGGAGAGGATGTGGAGAAATAGGAAGACTTTTACACTGTTGGTGGGACTGTAAACTAGTTCAACCATTGTGGAAGTCAGTGTGGCGATTCCTCAGGGATCTAGAACTAGAAATACCATTTGACCCAGCTATCCCATTACTGGGTATATGCCCAAATGACTATAAATCATGCTGCTATAAAGACACATGCACACGTATGTTTATTGCGGCATTATTCACAATAGCAAAGACTTGGAACCAACCCAAATGTCCAACAATGATAGACTGGATTAAGAAAATGTGGCACATATACACCACGGAATACTATGCAGCCATAAAAAATGATGAGTTCATGTCCTTTGTAGGGACATGGATGAAATTGGAAATCATCATTCTCAGTAAACTATCGCAAGAACAAAAAACCAAACACCGCATATTCTCACTCATAGGTGGGAACTGAACAATGAGATCACATGGACACAGGAAGGGGAATATCACACTCTGGGGAGTGTTGTGGGGTGGGGGGAGGGGGGAGGGATAGCATTGGGAGATATACCTAATGCTAGATGACGAGTTAGTGGGTGCAGCGCACAAGCATGGCACATGTATACATATGTAACTAACCTGCACAATGTGCACATGTACCCTAAAACTTAAAGTATAATAAAAAAAAAGAGTTTGAGGGCTCTAATGGAAAAAGAAGACAACATACAATAAAAGATGGGTAATATAAGCAGAAAGATAGAAATTTTAAGAAAGAATCAAAAGCAAATGCTAGAAATGTAAAAATGGTGTAACAGAAATGAAAAATGTCTTTGAGGACTAATCAATTGATTCAACACGGCCAAGGAAATAATCAGTGAGCTGAAAGATAAGTCAACAGAAACGTCCCCAACTGAAATGTAAAGAATCAAAAGAATGAAAAAGCAAAAGGTATAACAAGCATATGCATAATTGGAATACCAGAAAGAAAAAAAAAGAAAGGCGAAGAAGAAATATTTGAGGTAGTAATGGCTGAGAACTTTTCAAAATTAATGACAGACACCAAACCACAGATCCAGGAAGCTCAGGGAGTATCAAGAAGATAAATACATGCCACTCCTTACAAAAAAACAAAACAAACAACACCTAGGCATATTGTATTCAAACTGTAGAAAAACCAAAGACAGGGAGAAAATCTTGAAAAAGCCAGAGCCAGGGCAGGGAAGCACCTAACCATAGAGAACAGGATGAAATACAGCAGATTTCTCTTCAGAAACCGTACATTAATAAAGAAAGTGAAGTAAAATATATAAAATGTTGAAAAAAGTGACCAATTTAGAATTCTAGA
Source organism: Homo sapiens (assembly GCF_000001405.40). NCBI lineage: Eukaryota > Metazoa > Chordata > Mammalia > Primates > Hominidae > Homo > Homo sapiens. The sequence continues at coordinate 151,930,799 of NC_000006.12, read as the reverse complement.
TGCAGGGAAATTATCCTTCAAAAGTGAAGGAAATATTAAAAAAAAATCAGACAAAAATTCAGAGAATTCATCACCAGCTGACTTGCCCTGCAGAATATGTTAAAAGATGTTCTTCAAGCAAGAGGAAGGTGATATAAGTCAGAAACTTGGATCTACATAAAGCATGGAAGATAATCAGAGAATGCATGAATTAAGGTAAAATAAAAGGAAATTTATTTTACACAGGATTCTAAATTCTTTCTAAATTCTTAATTGACGTAAACAATAACTGCCTGTTTAAAATCATAATAGCAGCAATGTATAGGTGATTATAGTATATAGGTAAGTGAAATGAAATAAATGACAGCTATGTCACAAGGGACAGTAAGGAGGAATTGAGAATACTATGTTATAATATCCCTATATTTCATGTAAAAAGGAATAGTGTTATTTGAAGGTGTATTTAGAATACTTAAAAATGTATACTGTGAACTTTAGCGGCACCACTACAAAAATTCTTTAAAGAAGTATAGTTAAGCCGGGTGCGGTGGCTCACTCCTGTAAACCCAGCACTTTGGGAGGCAGAGGCCGGTGGATCACCTGAGGTCAGGAGTTTAAGACCCCAGCCTGACCAACATGGAGAAACTCCGTCTCTACTAAAAATACAAAATTAGCCGGGCATGGTGGCACATGCCTGTAATTCCAGCTATTCGGGAGACTGAGGCAGGAGAATCGCTTGAACCCAGGAGGCAGAGGTTGCGGTAAGCCAAGATCGCACCATTGCACTCCCGCCTGGGCAACAAGAGGAAAACTCTGTCTCAAAAAAAAAAAAAAGAAGTATAGTTAATACTCTAAGAGAAAAGATAAAATGGTATGACATACATTGCTCAAATAAAACTACGAAAGACCAAAAAGAAGCGTTTGGCAACAAATATGAAATAGTTAATAAACACAGGTTTATTTTTATTCAAATATATCAACACTTGCTTTAAATATAAATTGTTTAAATATACCAGTTAAAAGATGGAAATTGTCAGATTGAATTTTAAGAAAGACCAAACTATATGTTGTCTACAAAAAGCCCCACTTATTGATTTATTTATTTTGATTCTCCTGCCTCAGCCCCCTGAGTAGCTGGCTGCCTCCACACCCAGCTAATTTATTTTTACTTTTTAATTTTTATTTATTTATTTTTTATTTTACTTTAAATTCTGGGATACATGTGCAGAATGTGCAGTTTTGTTCCATAAGTATACATGTGCCATGGTGGTTTGCTGCACCTATTAACCTGTCATCTAGGTTTTAAGCCCAGCATGCAAAATACTTTATTTGGTATTTATCCTAGTAATAATGCCCACTTTAAATGTAATAACTCTGATATGTTAAAAGTAAAGGAATGGAGAAAGATACACCATGCTAACATTCACAAAAATAAAGCTGGAGTGGCTATATTAATTTCATGCAAAGCAGACTACCAAAGAAGGAAAAGTACCAAGGATAAAGATGATGATAAAGGGGTCAGTTGTTCAAGATGATACAACAATCATAAATATGTGTATATATGTGTATACCTAACAAAAGTGAATCAAAACACATGAAGCAAAATGATTGAAACTAAAAGGGGAAATAGACAAGCCCAAACCATTATTATACTTAGAAACCTCACCATTCCGCTGTCAGTAATTGCTAGTGCAAGCAGGCAGAAAATTAATACAGATATAGTTGACCTAAACGGTATGATGAATCAACATGGTCTAATTAATATTTATAGAATACTCCATCAAACCACAACTTAATACACATTCTTCTCAAGTTCTGATGGAATACGCACCAAGATAGACCACATTCTGGGTCACAAAACACCCTTAACAAATTTAAAAGAACAGAAAGTGTACAAAGTAGGCTCTCACACCAAATTGGAAATAAATTAGAAATCAACAGAAAGATAGCTGGAAAATATCGAAATATTTAGAGATTGAACAACACACTTTTAAAGAACGTATGAGTCAAAGAAAAAGCCTCAAAATAAATGGTAAACTATTTTGAGCTAAATGAAGATAAAAATAGAACATCAAAATTTGTGGGATGCAGGAAAAGCAGTGCTTAGAGAAAAATTCATAGCATTAAGTAAATATATTAGATAAGAAAAATATATAATATCAATAACCAACCTAAGCCACCACCTAAGGAAACTAGAGAAGAAAAAAACTAGATAAGCTTAAAGCAAGCAGAAGAGAAAGAATAATATAGACAGTTCCCAACTTAAGATGGTTTGATTTATTATTTTTTTTGACTTCACAATGGTGCAAAAGTAATATGCATGCATTCAGTAGAAACTGTATTTTGAATTTTCAATTTAGATCTTCTGTGCTAGCAATATATGGAACAATACTCTCACTTAATGCTGGGCAGCAGCAGCAAGCCGCAGCTCTCAGTCAGCTATGTGATCATCGGGGTAAACCATCAATACTCTATAGTGTGTTTTGTTGCCAGATCATTTTGCTCAACTGTAGGCTAATGTATGTGTTCTGAGCACATTTAAGGGAGGTTAGGCTAAGCGATAATGTTTGGTAGGTTAGATGCATTACATAAGTCAAAAGACTTATGATATTTTCAAATTACAGTGGATGTACTGGGACACAACCCCATCATAAGTCAAGGAGCATCTGAAATTAGAGCAGATGCCAATAAAATTGAAAACAGAAACATGATAAAGAAACTCAGTGAAACAAAAACTGGTTATTTTAAAAGAGCAATAAAATTGATAAACTTCTATTCAGGCTAATTAAGAAAAAGAAGCCGGGCACGGTGGCTCACGCCTGTAATCCTAGCACTTTGGGAGGCCGAGGCAGGCAGAGCACTTGAGGCCAGGAGTTCAAGACCAACCTGGCCAGCATGGTAAAACTTCATCTCTACTAAAAATACAAAAAAAAAAATTAGCCAAGTGTATTGGAGCATGCCTGTAATACCAGCTACTCGGGAGGCTGACACATGAGAATCACTTGAACCCAAGAGGCAGAGGTTGCAGTGAGCAGAGATCACACCATTGCACTCCAGCCTGGGTGGCAGAGTTAGACTCTGGCAAAAAAAAAAGAGAGACAGAAAACATAAATTACCAATATCATAAATGAAAGAGAAGTCACCACGACTGGTCTCTTGGAGATTAAAAGGATAATAAAGGAATATTATGAACAACTCTATGCTCACGAATTTGATAATTTGGATGAAATGGACCAATTCCTTGAAATACACAAACTACCAAAACTCACACATGGAGAAATAAATAGCCTAAATATCTCTATATATATTAAATATATTGATTCAATAACTAATTACCTTCTAAAGAAATCATCTGGCTCAGGTGGTGGCAAGATTACTTCTAACAAATCTTCAAGAAAGAAATTGTGCCAATTCTCTACAATCTGTGTTAGTAAACAGGCAGAGAAAACACATCCTAACTCATTCTGAGTCTAGAATTATCCTAATACCCAAATCAGATAAAGATATTATAAGAAAGTAAAACTAGAGACCAATATCTCTCCTGAGCACTGGCACAAAATCTCAACAAAATGTTAGCAAGACAGAACAAACGATGCATAAAATAAATTATACATCATGAACAAATGGGATTTATTCCATGTCTGATGGCAAATTCAACATTTGAAAATAAATCAATATAATCTGCCACATTAACAGTGAAAACGGGAAAAGTCATATGATCATATTAATTGACACAGGAAAACTATTTGACAAAATTCAACAGCTATTTATGATTAAAAACTCAGCAAATTCAGAATAGACAGAAATTTCCTCAATTTCATATAGGAAATTTAAAAAAACAATAGCTAACATTATTCTTAATGACAAAAAACTAACCACTTTCCCCTGAAGATGAGGATAATTCTAAGATATCTTATCTCATTCCTCCTATTATACATTATGCTAGAAATACCAGCAAGTGCAATAAGGCAAAAAAAGAAATAAAAGATATATAGATTGGGAAGGAAGAAATAAAACATCTTTATTCACAGATGGCATGATTATCTATGCAGAAAATTCCAATGAATCAACAACAACAACAAAATCTCCCCTGGAACTAATAAGTAATGATGCCACGGTTAAAGGATCTAATGTCAATATACAAAAGTCAATTTCTTTCCTACATATCATCATGAATAACAGGAATTCAAAGTTTAGAAAATACCATTTATAATAGTACATTCAATACTAAGATATAAATTAACAAAGTATGTACAAGGCCTATATGTAAAAATCTATAAAACAATGAAAAATGAAAGAAGATCTTAAAATGATGAAGAGATAATAGAGATTGAAAGTTCAATATTATTACATGTTCATATTATTCAATATTGATAAAATGTCAATTCTTCCCAACTTAATTAACAGATTCAGAGTAATCTAAATCCAAATCCCAATAATCTATTTTGTAGATATTGACAATTGATTCCAACATGTTTAAAGAAGGGCAAAAGACCTAGAATAGCCTTTAATACTGAAGAAGAACAAAATTCTGAAGAAGGTGGAGCACTTGCACTATTTCATTTCAAGACTTACCATAAAGGCTACAGTAATAAAGGCAGTATGGTACTGGTTAAAGTATAAACAGATGGACTAGTGAAACAGAGTAAGAAGTCCAGAAATAGATCCACACAAATAAGGTCAACTGATCTTTGACAAAGAAGAGCCAATTAAATGAGAAAAAGGTCATCTTTTCAGAAAATATTGCGCTGATTACCCTTAAGATATATATAAAAAGAAAATGTTGCTGAAGCAACTGGACATTGATGTGGAAAAAGAAAAACTTATACACAAACCTTACACCTTAAACAAAACTTAAGGTGAATCATTGATCTAAACATATAATGCAAAATTATAAAACTACTTCTTGAAGAAAACAGAAAAAATTCTATATGATATTGAATTTGGTAGTAAGTTTTTATATACAACACCAATAGCACAATATGGAAGAAAAAAATTAATAAATTGGGCTTCATTAAAATTTAAATTTCTACTTTGAAAAAAACAATTAAGAGAGTGAAAAGATAAGCCACAAACTGGGAGAAATTATTTGTGAAACACATGGCTGATAAAAGACTTGTAATCAAAATATACAAAAAAACTCCTCAAACTCAACAAAAAGAAAACAAAAACCCAATTTTATGTATGTACGTATGTATGTATGTATGTATTTTGAGATGGAGTTTCATTCTTGTTGCCCAGACTGGAGTGCAATGGTTCAGTCTCAGCTGACTGCAACCTCCACCTCCTGGGTTCCAGTGATTCTCCTGCCTCAGCCTCCCAAGTAGCTGGGATTACAAGTGCCCGACACCATGTCCGACTAATTTTTGTATTTTTAGTAGAGACAGGGTTTCACCATGTTGGCCAGAATGGTCTCGAACTCCTGACCTCAGGTGATCTGCCTGCCTCAGCTTCCCAAAGTGCTGGGATTACAGGCGTGAGCCACTGCGCCCAGCCCAAAACCCCACTTTTAAAATGGGCAAAAGATCTGATGTACACCTCATTGAAAAATACATACAGTTGGCAACAAATGAAAAAATGCTACATATCACTAATCATTAGAGAAATGTAAATTAAAGCCATGATGAGATATCATCTCACACCAGTCAGAATGGCTATTATTAAATACTAAAAAAACAAACAAACAAACAAAAAAAACCAGATGCTGGGGAGGTTATGGAGAAAAGGGAAGACTTATACACTGCTGGTGGGAGTGTAAATTAGTTCACCCATTGTGGAAAGCAGTGTGGAAATCCCTCAAAGACCTAAAAGGAGAATTACCATTCAACCCAGCAATCCCATTCCTGGGTATATGCCCAGTGGAATATAAATTGTTCTACCATAAAGACACATGCACATGTAGGTTCATTGCAACACCATTCACAATAGCAAAAACATGGAATCAACCTAAATGCCCATCAATGGTATGCAGGGTTTAAAAAAAAACAATGTAGTACATAGACACCGTGGAATACTATTCAGCCATTAAAATAAAAAGAAAGAAAAAAAACACGAGAGCATGTCCTGTACAGGAACAAGGATGGAGCTGGAGGACATTATCCTTAGCAAACTAATGCAGGAGTGGAAAACCAAATACTGCATGTTCTCACTTTTAAGTGAGAGATAAATAATGAGAACCAATGGGCATAAAGAGGGGAACAAGAGACACTGGGGCCTACGTGAGGGAACAGAGTGGGAGTGGGGAGAGGATCAGGAAAAAGAACTATCAAGAACTATGCTTAGTACCTGGGTGACGAGATGATCTGTACACCAAACCCCTGTGACACAAATTTGCCTGTATTAACAAATGTACATATGTACCCCAAATCTAAAATAAAAGTTACAAAATAAAATAAAAATAAAAATTAATTAAAAAAAATACAGTTGGCAAAAAAAGTATGTGAAAATATCCTCAATATTTTTTGTCATTAAGAAATTGCAGGCCGGACGCCGTGGCTTATGTCTGTAATCCCAGCACTTTGGGAGGCCAGGGCGGGTGGATCACAAGGTCAGGAGTTCAAGACCAGCCTGGCCAATATGGTGAAACCCCATCTCTACTAAAAATACAACAATTAGCCGGGTATGGTGGCAGGCGCCTGTAATCCCAGGTACTTGGGAGCTTGAGGCAGAGAATTGCTTGAACCCAGGAGGCAGAGGTTGCAATGAGCGAAGATCGTGCCACTGCACTCCAGCCTGGGCGACAGAGCGAGACTCCATCTCAAAAAAGAAAAAGAAATTGCAAATTAAAACAATCAAACACTACTACACATCTATTACAATAGTTAAAATCCAAAACACTGACAAAAATCAAATGCTGACAAGGATGTCGAGCATCAAGAACTCTCATTCATTGCTGGTGGGAATGCAAAATGGTACAGCTATTTTGGAAGATAGGTTGGCAATTTCTTATGAAGCTAAACACATTATTACCACAATGATGCAGAAATTGAATTCCTAGATATTTACCCAACTAATTTGAAAATACACATGCACACAAAAACCTGCACAAAAATGTTTAGAGCAGTTTCATTCATAATTGCCATGAATTTAGAAGCAATCAAGAGATTCTTCACCAGTGAGTGGATAAATAAAAGTATTATTCAGTGATTAAAAAGAAATGAGCTATCAGACCATGAAAATATATAGATGAAACTTACATGAATATTGCTAAGTGAAAGTAGCCAGTCTGAAAAAGCTACATATTGTATGATTTCAATTATATGATATTCTAGAAGAGACAAAAGAAAGATATTAAACAGACCAGGGGTTGTCAGGAGTTCAAGGTGGGAAGGAGGGGTTGAATTAGAGAAACACAGGATATTTTATAGAGTAGAGAAACTATTCTATGCTACAGCGATAGAAACTATTCTATTCCATAGGAACTATATTACTATAATGGTGATACAATACATTAAATACTTGTCAAAATCCATAAAGCTTTACAGAACAAAGAATAGACCACAATGTATCCAAACTTAAAAAGTTAATTTAGGATGTCAGGGGAAACTGGGATGGAATGCACAATATTACAAAAGAATTTAAATGTATGACAAATACATGAAGCAAACTCACTAATGGACTTAGGAAAATAAGGCGCTAACCTAAGTGACTCGGAAAATGAGTAAGTGGAATCTGTTAGAATAAAGGCAAAGGAACTGTATATAAACACTATACTCTAGTTGATAAAGTTGTTTCGTACATGAGTACAGATTAACAATTCTGAAACTTCCATAGAAGTATAGTGGAATTAAATAATTAAGTAAATAAATAGCAGATGGTAGGAGCCAGGTTTCTCACTATTGGTATAGGAAGTGACAGATAAGTAAGAGGAGAAGGCTAGAATGTTCCATGCTGTTGCAGGTTAGAATTGGAGACATCAGTAGGTACTCAGGTTTAGCCTAAGATAGATACAGATGGTTACAAATAGAAATATTTTTATATGTGTGTAGATATATAGGTTGGTACACACACATATATCTCTTTGCACTATCAGCTTAGAGGATCTAGAAGTAACAACACACAATAACAACAAGTACACCAACAGCCCATATCTTGGTTTTCATTGAAGGAAATTATTGCTCCTTGGAGAAGTGGCTGATCATAGAACTGGGGCAAAAAATACAGAAGATAAGTCTGAACTATCTTGTAGTGACAGAAAGTAAGAAAAGGCTTTTAAAAAACCCTACAATGATATGTAAGAAGCCAAAGAGATACAGGAGCCAACTGAAAAATCTCCAAATGGCCAAAGCTGGAACAAGATGAGCTACAAAATAAAATAGTATTGGACTGTACCCAAAGCATAAATATTCATGGGTTCTAGATGGCTGATACTAATTGTTGACTAAATAAATTAATGGAGGAGAATAGACACTTCCAAATAATTTATAGAGCTACTCCACCCTTAAAGAGGTAGAGCATATCTTCTCACTCCTTAAATATGAGCTCCACTTAAGTCTTTAATCCATCTTGAATTAATTTTTGTATAAGGTGTAAGGAAGGGGTCCAGTTTCAATTTTCTGTATGTGGCTAGCCAGTTCTCCCAGCACCATTTATTAAATAGGCAATCCTTTCCCCATTGCTTGTTTTGGTCATGTTTCTCGAAGGTCAAATCGTTGTAGATGTGTGGTCTTATTTCTGAGTTCTCTATTCTGTTCCATTGGTCTATGTGTCTGTATTTGTACCAGTACCATGCTGTTTTGGTTATTGAAGTTTTGTAGCATAGTTTGAAGTCCCCTAGAAGAAAATCTATGCAATAAATATATAGGCACAGGCAAAGATTTCATGACAAAACTGCCAAAAGCAATTGCAAAAAAAAGCCAAAATTGACAAATGGGATCTAATTAAACTAAAGATCTTCTGTACAGCAAAAGAAACAATCATCAGAGAAAACAGGCAACCTACAGACTGGGGGAAATTTTTTGCAATCTATACATCTGACAAAGGTTTAATATCCAGAATCTACAAGGAACTTAGACAAATTTGCAAGAAAAGACAAACAACCCTATTAAAAAGTTGGAAGAGGACATGAACAGACACTTTTCAAAAGAAGACATTCATGAGGCCAAAGAACATATGAAAAAAGCTCAACATCACTGATCATTAGAGAAATGCAAATCAAAACCACAATGAGATACCATCTCACACCAGTCAGAATGGTGATCATTAAAAAGCCAAGAAACAACAGATGCTGGCGAGGTTGCAAAGAAATAGGAACACTTTTACACTGTTGGTCGGAATGTAAATTAATTAGTTCAACCATTGAGGAAGATGGTGTAGCAATTCCTCAAAGATCTAGAACTAGAAATACCATTCAACCTGGCAATCCCATTACTGGGTATATACCCAGTGAAATATAAATCACTCTATTACAAAGATACATGTATGCATATGTTCACTGCAGCACTATTCACAATAGTAAAGGCATGGAATCAAACCAAATGCCTATCAGTGATAGACTGGATAAAGAAAATGTGGTACATAAACCCCATGGAATACTATGCAGCCATAAAAAGGAAGGATATCAAATCCTTTGCAGAGACATGGATGGAGCTGGAAGCCATTATCCTCAGCAAACTAATGCAGGAACAGAGACCCAAACACCACATGTTCTCACTTAGAAGTGGGAGCTGAACAATGAGAACACATGGACACAGGGAGGGGAACAACACACACTGGGACCTGTCAGATTGGGGTTGGGGGAGGGAGAGCATTAGGAAAAACAACTAATGCATGTTGGCTTTAATGCCTAGGTGATGAGCTGACGGGTGCAGCAAACCACCATGGCACACGTTTAACTATGTAACAAACATGCACATGCTGCACATGTACCCCAGAACTTAAAATTAAAATTAAAAAAAAAATGAGCTGCACAAAATGGCTTCTTCCAAAAAGTACTGTATGGACAGGGAGAAGAGTAACTGTATAATACAGAAACCTGACAAATACTATCTCAAGCCAGATGATCAAGGTTAATATCAACAGTGATAAGTCATATTGATGGCATGTACCCTTGATACGATGTGATGACAATCACACTTAACCTCTGTGGTCTTCCTCCCCAAAACACATTAAAGCCAGTCAAACCATGAGGAAAACATCAGACAAATTCAGACTGGGAGGCATTCTACAAAATGCCTAAACTACCTGGGGTATCAAAAACAATGAAAGTCTCAGAAACTGTCACAACCATGGCGAGCCTGGGAAGACATGACAACTATACATACCATATCCTGATGGGGTCCTGGGACAGAAAAAGAACATTAGAGGAAAACTTAGAAAATCTGAATAAAGTATAGATTTAGTTACTAATAATGAAACAATATTGGTTCATTAGTTATGATAGATGTACCATATAATGTAAGATGTCGATAATAGAGGAAACTGGGTGAGGCATATATGAGAACTCTCTTACTATCCTTGCAATAATTCTGTAAATCTAAAATAAATTTTTAAAGTTTGCTTTCTTCAAAAAAAAAAAAAAGCAGTCAAGGGCAAGAAGTACTTTCATATAATATTAAAATTAGTTTTACGTTGCCCCTTCACTGTTTGGAATGACTAGTCTCTACCATTCATGCTGCTATGTTGATGGCGCACAGCTGAATCATCCTACCTTAGAGTTTGAGTCAAAATATAATTTTATAATAATGATTGCATTGTATGTACTGAAGACCATGAAGTTGGTAAAGATGAAAAATTAAAGTTGTCAGAAGAACCAGCCTATAAATAAAAACTACAAAGATTCTATCCTTGCTGCTTAAAAAGCCTTTATCTCCACCTTCATGGTGCAAAATAAGCTTTGGTAATTGGGTAAATAAGTTCAATCATGTTGCAGCTGTTTATATGTTTCTAAGGAAGACATATGCATATACATATACATGTACATATACATATACCTGTGTGTGTGTGTTTCTAGAACATTCTTCCTCCTTCATGTGTCTTCTTTTCTTCCTTGCTTACTTAACTCCTACTCATCTCTTTGAGTTCAGCCAAATGTTCCTTCCTCAAGTAAGTTTTCTCAGATCCTCTATAATAATCAATCAACCAAATACTGCTTTTCACAACACCCACTGTTTTCTCCTTCAGAGCACTTATCAAAATTACAACTAAAATATCCGCTGACACTTTAATGTTTAAATGACTGTGTAATGTCAAACTGATTACATTGATGGGGTCAACATGTTCGACATGGGGTCAACAATTTGTAACCTCAGAATCTAACACAATGCTGTAGTGGGCCTCAATTAACATTTATTGGATGATAGATGTATGTGTGAATTTATTACAGTGTTATTTTCAGAGCTACCACCTCTGAAAAGTTCTAAGACCACTAAAAACACTATTGTAATAAAATTGGCTCCCAGGTCATCAATTACTTGATTCCAAAAATTCTAGCTTATCTTGGGCACTAAATTTTTCTTTAAATGAAAAAGGAAAAACCAGAAGTGTTACTGAGTCTCAGAAATGCACATTACATTTTTGTTCCTTAACACTGAATATAACACAAATTTAAATTAAAAACTTCTCCAATTAAATAACTAAAACAATCACAATAAAATGTCAAAGACCATTCAATTGCAAATTGCATGAAAGCAGGGACTGCATCTGTCTTGTTTACCATTGCTTGTGTCCAGAATATCTGTTACACTTCAACAGGTATGTGTCTGTTGAATACATAAATAAGCCTGGGCAGGACTTCATATTAAGGGACACATTAATATTAATGACACAACTTTGATATATTTAAAATATCTTGGCTACTATCAGTTACTGACATTTTATTATAGTTGTCTTCAAAATAGTCCTTTCTAATAATGCAACTCATTTTAAATAATCAATGTAAGTAACAAATCTTATTGCTAAATAAAAGAAATAAGTTAGGATCAGTCTTTCTGCATTAAATCCCTTGATCCAGTGGTATATCTTAATTTGCCTGTGACGTGATTTACAGCTTTATCCCTCCATCCCTTCCCTATATTGCCAAGCTTTATTTTCATTGTCTTATATAAGTTTGGAACAAATCTGTTAATAGTGAGAAGGAGGTTATACACATAGCACACGCAGGATTGGTTCATTAGTTCAGTTTTCTTAGAAGTTATTAATTGCCAACTTTTCCACCATGCTACTGTGACAACCACCAGTTAACTGAATTGTTGCAGATGCTGTTTACTAACTGCTTCTGTCCTTCCCTCTCATCCACTAGCATGTCTACCACCTTCTCAATAAACTAGCATATTTATGGGTAACCATAATACCTCATGATGTCATCTGCCAGCACCCAAATTCAAATACACTGGCAAGTTCTCATAACACTATAGTCCTTTGGGGTGATACACCATTGTGAACCAACTGCCCTTGATAAGTCTACTTAGGCACAGATGAGCAATGATTTCTCCTGGGGGTGCAAAGGGCACATTATCCCCTTTCCTCCTAAATTAGAACTCAATCATACCCTCTCTCATTGCTACACTTGCATGAGATTTAACCAGGGCCTACCAGGGTGGCAGATCTTGTTCCTCAAGCCCAATGTGGGTTCTCCTTCATCCCAGGCTCCAGAGTTAGGTTCCTACCTGCTGTGGCAAACTCAGCAATGAGGGAAGGGAGCAGCTGCAACAGCATGACTGAAGAAAACTCAATTCACATGCTGTCAGCCCTACCTGCTCATGTCTGCCCCATCACTGGGTATCTGCCCACAAGTTTACAACAGCCCAAGCCTCTGCCCTGCTGAGCTGGAATGGACTGACTGAAAAGCACTTGACAAACACAAACTGCTGAATAATCACAGGGATTCCCCTCTGCAATTAGCATGTGTTTATATTTACAATTCATTTTAAAATATGTTATTATTTTTCAAATTAATTCTTCTGCAAAGCAAATACGTAGGGAGCGTGCATCTTCATCTTTTTGCTCAATCATATTGGCAAATTATCATTTACTTTGATGACATTTGTTTCTAACTTAATTTTTAAAAGTTACTGCAACGTTCCTTTCCCAACTTGTTGCTCAACACTGTTTAGCCGAAGCAACCAAGGAGGCAGCCCTCATAGAAGAATGAATTGTTTTGAAATTTTCCGAGAAGTCCAGGCAGGGAGCATCAAGAATGGGAAATCAATCACAGGTTACCACACCTTTAACTGCATGTCAAATCATGCTAACTTATCCGAGCAACAGAAAACCAAGAGTCAAGGCCTAGATCAAGTAACTGGCAAGTAGCATCCACATGTGTTCTCCATGACACCCCTTATGACCTAAAACTATAATGTTCACTCTTAAAACTACTGTGTATTTTATTTTAATAAAAATTCTGCTAATAAAAACATTTCTAGAGACAGCCGTGGCAAGCTGTTCTATAAGAGTCTGATTTATTAATAACAAAATTTATGGGCTGAGAAGAAAGGGAATACATATTTTTCTTGCCTGGCTTCATTTCCCTGTAATATCTCAGTGATGAATCTCCTACTGGTTGGCATTCTGTAGCCAAGAGGAATAACTAAGACACCAAGGTTCAGCCTGTAAAGTTCTGTGTTCTCCCATTTCTTAGCAGTTTTGCAACTCAGGAACTGCAGTTTTCCTTCTCTAGCTTGTAAAATAAACAGTAGTCTCCCCACTTTGCCATGGATCTCTTCTTTGTCTCATGCTGATTGGTGTAGAGCTGAGTACAAACCAAGCCCCTGTTGTCTTTAATTTGGTCATGGAGGAGTCTTCCCAGGATTGCTTGAGTCACCAACATCCAATTACATTCTCTTGGACAAGAAGTGCCTGCCAGTGGGATAGTCATCATACAACAATTCTACAATTGGGTCACAAACAAGTTCATGCTCGCTGGAGATTTAATAAAGCCTCAAGCGGGTGCACATCATATTTCTCGAGACTTAAAAAGGGATATTCATTTTCATAAAGTCTCATTTGTGAACTCTGTCACCTTAAATATATTAGACATCTCTGACACAACCTAGAGTATCAAGGCCCAGAGTACCAAAGCCCAGTGCTGGGCAAATTATGGACTCAATAAATACTTGTTGCATGACAAACTTATGTCTTATCTAGTGGTTAATAGAAATCCCTGGGTTTAGCAAGCATGACTGTTTCCTAAAATATTGATCTGGGCAAGTCCTGGTATTAGAGGATGATAAAATTAAGAATTATGAAGAGCCTGAATCATCACAAAGTTTTACCACTCAAATTTTAATAGAGAGGTCATCGAAAGAAAATATCTCACTCTTCTCACTAATCTGCCAGAAGCAATTCTTTCTCACCATGCTTATTCCAAAGGAGGTACCTATTGCCCCAAGCAGAGAATTTCTCTCTGAAATATGCCACCTAAATTAAAAAATTTCTTAATAAGAACTGTGTCTAGGTCTCTGTATTTTCACTACTTAACTCTGTGTCTTGTCAGTAGATTAGCTTTTCTAAATAATAATCGATGAATGTTTCATGTATTGAATTGAACCAATGTCTTCAGAAAAGACAACATTCCACCAAGGACAGTAGTATTACCCCAGAGCCAGGCTCTCCTCTATAGAAATTCCACGTTCCTTTTCTCTGACTATATTTCAGCATTAGCAACTCCCCATTAAAACCAAACAAAGTAGCAGATCTATTATACTGTGATTTGTTCCTGAATATCAAATATCTCACCCCATCTGATTTGAATTCCATTATTCATTCTCACAAGATCTTATCCACTTTTCAGAAAAATTAATGCATCTCGATGCAGGCAGCGTGTCCACATCTGTTCATTTCACCAATTACCAACTGGATCCTTTGCTTACAATTGCCAAAGCTGAAATTGTATTGAAAATATCTCAAACAAGCTTGTTTATCAAATGTCAAATGCTAAATATATACTGCTCCAGAATATTTGTCCTTCAGTGGGAAAATACTTAGCAACCTGACATAACTACTGGTTTCCTATAGAGAGAGAGAGAGAGAGAGAGAAAGAGAGAAAGGAGCCTCCAGTCAAAATGCAAAGGCTGATGTCAGTGATATCAACAACAGGGTAGCAGAAAAAAATCCAAAATCAGCTGTCCAGTCTTAAATCCAGGTAAGATACATTTATAATATTTTCTTTAAATCTATAAAAACAGTTGAAGTCCTAGGTAACTCATCAGACAGACATGATTAATAGTCCAATGATAAGTAGAACATACTAAAGCTAGCTCCATTTCATCATTTGATTTTTCTGAAGTCCTAGTACTTTGTAAAGATAATTAAGTGGTTCCCTGGCCTTATATGTATTACACCTGTATCCATTTCTAGAAGTCATTCATTCTGTTCATGTTTAGTAGAAATCAGAAGACATGATAAAGTCAGAAGTCAGAAGTTATGGTAAGAATCAGAATGAAAAGATTGCGGCCCAAATAAGGGGGAAATGCTCCTGTTGCTATAATTTCAGAGAAAACATAGACCTTATTCATAGCTTACAAAATTGTAAATAATTAGTATTTTTCACAGAGACACATAGATGGAGAAATTAATAAGCAGAATTCCATGCATTCTTGGTAATGAAAGGGCTTTCCCAACAGCAGAAAGGGAGAATGCAGAGAAATTTCACCCCTCTTTTTTGTTTTTCATTTCACCTTTTTTTTTTTTGAGACGGAATCTCACTCTGTCGCCAGGCTGGAGTGCAATGGCATGATCTCGGCTCACTGCAACCTCCGACTCCCTGGTTCAAGCAATTTTCCTGCCTCAGCCTCCTGAGTAATAGACCTGTTTTATAACTGAATTAGAAATATTTTAAAAGCCAGAAACAATATTTAGTTGACATTTAATCAGATGGGATATTCAACCTAATGCTTTCTTTAAATTTGTTACCAAAATTTCCGTTGGTATAGGAAGTGAAAGGCAAGTTAACTATTCATGTAGTACATTTATCAAAAATGATCAAAACCTTCTTTTATTAAAATGGTTACAACTAGGTTACAGTGTACGTGTCCTGAACTCAAAAGTGTATACTTTTTAAAAGGACAAGAATTACCTTATGGAGTGCTTACGGTATTATGTACTATGGAGGACGCTTTATATGTCACAACACTGAAACATCTGAGATATTTACCCCCATTTTATAAACAAACAGCTCAGGGAGGTAACAATGACTCAACCCAAAAGCATGTCACTAGGGACTGACAAAAGATTAGCAAGGCAGCTAATCCCAATGTCCATACTCCTTTTTTCTGCTATACTTCCTCCAGTACTAGTATGATTTGTTAAATATCTAATAAAATGGTGATTTGCCTTGTGAGCTTGTTAACCCAGTATATGATATACGCAGATTCTCATTCTTATTATTTCTTGGTATTATATCCATTATAAGCTATTTTTCTTCAACTTCATTGCTTACAATGCAGTCACCTGAATATGATAGAAAATTCTCTCACATTATGTGATGATTTTTAAGTCATTCAGAAGTTATACATTCAGTATGATGAAGTAAGATGAAAAGTTTGGTTCAATCAATAAGCAGATGGGTTTTAAATATGGCAATATAAAGATGATAAAGTCAAAATAAGACCGAAGCCTTTTTTTTTTTAATGAAAAAGTAGACACAAGTACAAAGGATAATCTGAGAAGTCAAAGAAATTGTGAGCCCTGAATTGCAGAGAATAGAGCAGAGTAAAAAGTTCCTTACAGTAGACAGAAGAAAAAGAAGAAAATTGGCTCACAGAAAATGATGGGGGAATTGGAGACAGACATAAGGAAATGATAGTTATTTTTCCTATGATTTTAAATTGAAGGAATAGAACACAGAGATCCTGAAACTAAAGATTTTATTTTGCAAGGAGAAAGCACATCAAGACCACATACTGTAGAGGGAAGAAAAAATCTAAGTTCTGATGAAATGGACTGAATGAAAACAAGAATAATTTTTTAAAATTTCTAAAATGATACTTTGAAAATTATAAGATTATCACAAAAAGGAATCATTTTTTAACTAAGAAGCAGAGTGTTAAAAGAATTTTCTAGTAATTTGATGGTGCTTATAATTTTTAGCCCAGTACATTAAAAAAAAGATCTGATACATGTTATTCTTCTTCATTATATTTTTACAAAATCTGAAGTATCACACTGGGCAAGACTCAGAGTTCTTTGGAAGAAGGAAATTAAAACTGAAGATGTATGGACTAAAATGGGAAAAAAGATCATTTTGATAACCAAGTCCTATAGAATAAATTGTCCTAATTAATCTTCATAGGTATTGTAATAATCACAATTATGAAATACAATAACTGGCTTACCTGTCAAGGATATCAGTTAAATTGTCATTTTAATAATTCTTCCTTGCACCAGTGAATGTTACTATTCAAAATGGGGTGACATTTAACAGGACAAACTTGTTAAAAATAAAGTGTATGCATGTACAAAATCTTAATTATAATTACATAGTCATTTGTGATCATTTTCAATAGTTCTTGGCAAAGACAAATGAGCATAATGAGGTCCATTCACAGACCTGTGTGTTCTGTTTACGTGTGGGGGAGGAACCCAATACAAGTGTCCTAAAGAGCAGAAGGGCATGTGACGTGACAAAGTAGGTGGAGGTGAAAATCCGCACGTGGTGGGAGTAGAGGCCGAGGGTCATAAGGTTTCTAGTAATCTTAGAAAGTGATTTTCACCAAAAGTCAGTAAATACTCAACTGGTAAAATGGCTACTTTTCATTTATTTTATTTTATTTTATTATTTTTTATTTCTTTTTCATTTATTTTACTTTTAGTTCTGGGATATATGTGCAGAACGTGCAGGTTTGTTACATAGGTATACATGTGCCATGGTGGTTTGCTACACCTATCAACCCGTCATCTAGGTTTTAAGCCCCACATGCATTAGGTATTTGTCCTAATGCTCTCCCTCCCCTAGTCCCCCAACTCCCGACAGGCCCCGTTGTGTGATGCTCCACTCCCTGTGTCCATGTGTTCTCATTGTTCAACTCCCACTTATGAGTGCGAACATGAGGTGTTTGGTTTTCTGTTCCTGTGTTAGTTTGCTGAGAATGATGGCTTCTGGCTTCATCCATGTCCCTGCAAAGGACAGGAACTCATTCTGCTTTATGGCTGTCTTTTCACTTTTTAATAAGTGTAAAGAATATTAAGGTCGATATTCTCCCGCTCTTATTGTTCCTGATATCCTAAGACTCTTCCGTGGTGCCCTACTGAGATGTTTATACGGATGTATTATTAGAGCCTGAGATCTAGCCCTCTCTTGGATTTCACAAATATCATAGTACAAGGTAATTACTGACACCATATTTTCCTTTGGTGGGATTAGAAACCTTGAGGCTATTGTCACCAGCTGTTCACCTGTTCCATAAAACAATATGGATTGCAAAGGAGATAACCTCTATGATCAAATTGTTTTTAAATGGTCCCTGCACCAAAAAGAAGTTAGGGATTGAGTTAGATGCTGCTACAAACACTGTAATAAGGGAGACACGTGAAACAAAGGTAAGCTACGCAAATTAAAGCAGGCATAGTCCTTCACTTCAATTGACCAAAATCTGTTTCAACCGAATTTGAAAATTAAGAAATTCAAAAACTATGCTCCAAACATAATGTAAGATACAGCGCCTATCAGACACGCTGAATGCTTTGAAGTTTCTCTTATATTCTGCCTTCTCTCCTTCACCTCTCCATTTCAATGTTTCCAGTTGTTAGTACTATTATTCATCAGCACTCTCTGTGGTGATAGAAATGTTGTATAGTAGCACTGCCCAAAATGGTAGCCACCAACCACTTGTAGCTACTGAGCACTTGAATACAGAGAGTGCAACTGAGGTGTTGAACTTATAATACTATTTAATTTAAATTCATTTACATCTAAATGGCCACATGTGGCTAGTGGCTACCTACCGGACCGTGCAGTAGATTAATGTGCAACAATCAAGCAATATCCGACACTGCTTTGCAGAGCTCGAGGATAACAAACAGCAGCCATGTCCATGGTGCTCAATGCCGGGTGCATGTCAGAATCACCTGGGAGCTATGGGAACAGTTCTGATCACTGGGAACTTCCTGCATAGAGTCTCAGCTAACTGGTGTGGGGAAGGGCACTGGAAGTAAAATGGTCATTTCTAAAATCAGAACTATAAAGAAACTAAGTAAGGAAGAGGTTCCAAGGATCAGTCTTTCTGGCACTGTATTCATTTTACATCATGCAGGAAGGCAGCTGTGAGTGGGGAGGGAGGCCTCCCAGAGGCGAGTCAGAGCAGGTTACAAAATGAGACTGCCCAGTTTTGAAGCCTCTGATTGATTTGAGAGAATGTTCCAGGGAGCTGTAAAGATGCAGGGAAATGAACCATAGGAAAGACGTGGGGAGAAACAGGAAGACTCATTGAGAATAAAACAGAATTATAAAACTAGTAACAACTGAACCCATTAATATAGTTATTGAAAATACAGTAAAGAAAAGCCATGCAATAACCATAACTTCCCTATTATTATGTTATCAAAATATCTGAGACTAAAATGAACATTTAATCACATTGGTTAGCACGACGGATAGCCTTTTTGATAAAATATGCTACTGACCAGAGGGTTCCATACTTTCTAAGTTATACGTCTCTATTAGGAAAAAATATTTGAACAAACACTCTCAAGAAATGTACATATTTAATTACATTAATGCAGGACTCCCCAGCCCCCAGGCCACAGACTGGTACCAGTTCATGGCCTGTTAGGAACTGGGCCACACAGCAGGAGGTGAGCAGTGAGCGAGCATTACTGCCTGAGCCCCATTTCCTGTCAGATCAGCGGCAGCATTAGATTCTCATAGGTGCGCAAACCCTATATGTGAACTGCACCTGCTCAAGGCTGTGTGCTCCTTATGAGAACCTAATAATGCCTGATGATCTGAGGTGGGTCAGTTTCATCCTGAAACCATCCCCGCTGCAATCCATGGAAATACTGTCGTCCAGGAAACCAGTCCCTGGTGAGAAAAAGTTTGGGGACCGCTGCATTAATATATTTGTGTATTAATATATTATGTACATCGAAGGCATACAAACTGAAATATAATTTTCATAATGAGACTTTAAAAAGTAAGAGATTCTATTACTTTCTTCCTGCACTTTAATAGATTGCTTTACCAATGGCCTACTTTCAAAACTACTTTGAAAACAATGGCTATACAATTTGACAGGAATATTTAGAAATTGGCCCATTAACTACAGCTTGAGACAGATACTGATAAAATTTTCATCATCATTTTATAGAGGGACAAACTGTGGCACAATCCAAGTCTCCAAAATGAGTTCCTGGCTGTCACTGTGTTGAAACTCAACAATTACCTGAGCATTCATCATCACAACCAAATGAGTTTGCATTTTATAAGTTTAAAAAATGAGTGCTAGTTATGGTTGAATATATAGCAAAACTAAGAGTACAGGCCCATTTGGGCTTTGTCCTGCTCATATATTTATAATTGTTAATTTACATTGTTCCAATATAGGATTTGCTGCTACCACTTACTCTAGTATCTAGATCTGTTCGGTTCAATCCAGTAACCACCAGCCACATGTTGCTACTTAAATTTAAATTAAATTTAATTTAAATTGAATTAAAAATTTAGTTCCTCAGTCACACCAACAACATATCAAGTGCTCAATAGCCACCTGTGGCTAGTGGCTATCAAAATGGGTAGCCACAGAACACTTCCATCATTTCAGACAATTCTATCAGACAGTGTCACACTAGATACATAGTATATCCTTCTGGAACTATGTCAGAGATAAAAAGGGTGGTACTGCCAATTGAATGTAATCTCTGCCTAGTTTTTCAATAATGATAATTGGTTACAGCATCCCTTCTTTGGTCCTTCTGTCTCCACGCTCATAGATTCTTATGATTAGATTTGTTGGGGCCCCCCACCTACAGTTCAGTCCCTCCCTGACCCCAAGCCAGGTATGTCAACATTCCTAGCTTGGCGATCTGGTGAAGCTTATAATTCAGTCTGCCCAAAGACACAGAAGACTCTACTTCCACACCCAAGGCCTGGGCAGACAGCTGAGTGGTTCACTACACATCTACCACTCCTCACCTGCACCACTCTCTGATGGCTCAGTTGGCCAAGTTCCAGGGGTCATGCTTCTGCCCAAGCCTTCCTAGGTGCACCTCAGCCCTGAACCCAGTGGTGGCTGAGGGAACCTTTGATGACATTTACCCATGCTTCTTCCAGGAACAGACTCCACCTCCAGAGCTCTCACCTGATGGAAGGTGTCCCATCCTTTATAGTCAGACATCCTGACACCGGTTTATGCAGTCACTGCCATCTGAAGACTTTCCTGGTGTCAGAAGCTCATTCTTTGCTACATGTATTGAATACAGTGCCTTGGACTGACACCTACTTTCTGAAGCCAGTTCTGTTATTCTCATCCTCTGCTGTCCTGTGGCCTAAGGTGCTCTAGAGTCTCTCTACCCAGCCTCAGCAGATTCTCTTCCTTGGTCCCACAACCAGATTCAAGGTGGAGACTCCCCAAGTCATGGCCTAGTTCACTAAAACATCTCTACTCTTTTGCCTCGCTGTAAACGGCTAGCAGGCCATGGAAGCTGTGCCAAAGAACAGGGTTT
Source organism: Homo sapiens (assembly GCF_000001405.40). Lineage (NCBI taxonomy): Eukaryota > Metazoa > Chordata > Mammalia > Primates > Hominidae > Homo > Homo sapiens. The sequence goes on along the minus strand of NC_000006.12, from coordinate 151,909,226 downwards.
TTCCCTTGAGCTTGACTGCCCTGTAATGGGATAGAAACCACGACCTTGGTGTTATTAGCAGCACGCTCTCACCAGCTAAGCTAACCGTCTCTAAGTTTCAGTGGAAGTTTAAGGTCACAGAGATTGGGTTGCCCTTTTCCATTTTATTCTCCAAAGATAGAGTGAATTACCTTGATTGCAGAAGTTGCCCAAATAAAAATATTTCAACTTTGAGATTTTTCAGAACAGTATGTACTTGTAGTGAATGTGGAGCAAGCCATCAGAGTAAGTTACCCTATGTCAGTTACAGAATCTCTCCAAAAACAAAACCTGATGGCAGTGGGACTCCTTGCTATGAAAAAAAAAAAAAATTGCTTTAAACATAAAATCATCAAATCTCTGCCAGTTGTGGCCTTAAGAAAACACATTCAAATAAAAGGATAGGGCACAAGTTTTTGTTTCAGAACAGTTTTTTTTTTCTCAATTGTTTAGAAAGATTTCATGATTCACAGAAACTCTGCTCCTTATTTGGCGCTGTCTCAGTTACCTTCAAAAGAAACTTTGATACAGGGATAGGAAAGTTAACTTATTTCTCTACTGCATCATGACATAACTTTTTAGGGAATGCACACCAATTATCCACGCTTCAGTTTTAAGCAACGAGTGAGAAGAGTATGCAGTTAGAGGCTTAGCTGTATTCTTGCTGTTTGCCTCAGTGGCTGCCTTCCATCACCAAAAAACACAAATGTAACCAACAGGCATATTAACACCCCAGAAACAAGTCATCTGCTATTGACATTTCAATATCATCATGATGACATTGAATGAACTCATTCAATGATATTTGTGAACTTGCCTAAAATAGAGCTAAGTATGAAATGGGGAATAAAATAATTAACTGTTGTGAAATTTATCAGCAAGATACAATAATGATAATACACACAGGTATTAAAAGATAGCCAGTCAATCTCACTCCTCAAAGACAGAAATAAACATTTAAAAAAAAGAATTTCCGTGAAGAAAGATTTCTAAAAATGAAAGAAATGAAGGAGAAATGTTATCCTACTAAACCTATATAAGAATATCAAAGTTTTTTATTTTATTCATAAACGATTCATGTACATTGTTAAAAACATAAGGGGAAAGGAAGAAAAAAAGAAGGAAATAAAAGTCATACATAATCCCCTTACCCAGGGCTAACCATTGTTAACCTTTTGTTACATACCCTTCCAGAATCACATATTCATTCATTTATTCACCCTCTTTGTTATTGCTCAGTATAAGCCTATATAACTTAAAATGCTTAAATACCATTTGTAATCACTTTCTTCATGATCTATTTCATGTCAATAAACACATTTCTATATATCACAGTTTGTGATGCTTGCAGAGTAATCTTTTTATATGATGTACCATGATTTCTGAACAAATCACCATTGGTTCCATTTTGACAATATATGGCGAAAGTCATGAAAAAGTACCTATCTTTTGGCCCAGTGAGATAATTACTGTGGCGTGCAAGGATTTAGCAAGAAAAGCTGTTCCCAGTCATGTTGAAAACTGTGAAGTTAGAAACAAAAACATACAATTCGGGAAATAATTAAATAAATTATAGTATGTCCATGCTGGAATATTAATGCAGCTCCTCTAATAATTTTGACTTGAAGGATCCCCAACAGCATGGGAAAATGTTGAATGAAGAGGCAGTATAATCCCAAATTTGTAAAACTTCAAAAAAAAAGACATACCTGAAACAATTTAATAATATAATTTTTAAAAAGATATGTCTTTAAAATATCAGTAAGATGAGACAGCTATGAGTAAATTTTAATATGTAAGATATTTTGGAGAAAATTGAAAAACTTTATTAGAAGTCATTCAAAAAGACCTAAAATAAATGGAGAGTTATATAATGTTAATGGGTAGGAAGACTAAATATCATGAAGATGTCAATCCTCCTCAGATTAATTTATAAGTTTAATGCAATCTCATTAAAGTTTGATTTAAAAACTCATTTGAAAGCAAAAGTAGCCATAAATAGCCAAAACAATTTTGAAGAAGAACAAAGTCCCTTTCAAGGATTATAAAGTCAAAGTAATTATAAAGACACAGAAATTAAATTGCTTTTAGTGTAGACATAGACAAATAAAGAAATAGTGAAGAGAGCTCAGAATCAGATTCTCTTCAACAGGACAACTTCATGCCTAATGGAGGTAGCTTCACAGATCAACAGGGAAAGAATGTATTGCTTAATTGCTCTGGGACAATTTGGTTATTCAATGGAAAAAAATTAAGTTATATTCCTACCTCACATAATAAACAAAATTCTCTTTCAGGTGAAATAAGTAACAAAATGTGAAAAAAAGCAAAGTTTTATTCCTTTTAACAGAATATAGACAAATAACTTTATAGCGTCCAGGGAAGGAAAGATTTATTAGACAGGTCTTAAAGCACAAACTATAAAGAAAAAATACGATAAATTCCACAACTTAAAATTTTCTGTGAAACAGATGATACCATAAAGCAAAGTCAAGCTGCATACTAGATGACATTTATAATACATAAAATAAATTAAAAGTTAGAATTCAGAATATATAAATATCTGTAAAAGATTAGTAAGAAGAGACTATCCAATGTTTCTGTGCATTTTTCTTGCCGGTATTTTGTTGCTATAGTATTTGGAAATAAAAATTCAGGCTGTTGTATATGTCTTATTAAGGGATCATTTTTCTAAACCCAGGCAACTATTTTTTAATAATTGTGTAGTTCATTTTCATTAAATATTAAAAATGTCTTAAGAATCCTAGATAAAATTCACTATCAACTTATTTTTAAGGGTAATTATGTATTTCTCATTTCCATTTCAAGACTCTAAACTGCTTTTTCTTAACTAGGTCAAAATTAACCTTAACTAACACACTTTTTTAAAAAAAGTCTTCTGTTTTAACACAAAATGTATACGTTTAATTTCCTGAATTGACTAAGTAAACTAATTTGTCATTTACAAGGTGGGGTGGAGATACAGTTGATTGTTAGAATTTATCCTTCTCTACCTGTCCTACTACTTCTGTGGGTGGCTTTTTAAATATCTCATAGTTCTTAATCTCTTATAATTTAAAAAATATGGTGTGTCTAATTTAGTAGTTTATTTTACTGTCCAGCATTAACTTTTTGTTAACCCATTTACGCCGAGGTTGCAATTTTTTGAATTTTTGCATGAGTGAAAACTCAGACCTTGGAGATGACCTTGAGCAATAGGATATAAATAACTCCCACATGCTTAGCGTTCCAATAATGGAACGCTAGGCATAAGTGGGTTTCATGTATTAATCTATTGCCCTTGAAATGTCTCACATCTGTCTTCAACCATTATTTCAGGCATGATTGTGGGACATGCCAGTGAAAACTGACTTAGGTTTTTACATGTTGAAATAGTATTTTTCGCTTTCAAACAGAAAAGGCTATCTTGCCTATAAACTATGCTTGTGATTCTCATGAAATCTTTCTTATATTTCTATATTTTTCCTTAAATTCTTATATGCCCAAATATGGAGAAATAAACTCTAAGAGCAGCTGAACATCTTACTTTAAACCAAAAGTTCCTTTTTTTAATCAAAAAATAGATTATATTAGCCTGTCTTTGAGGATTATGCCCTAAATCTCAAACTTTAGTTAGAGGAATATTTCCTTTTATTAAGTGGCTTCATTATACTTTCTTAAATGACCTCTTCTCTGAATTTAAATCGATTTTTTTCTATTGTTAGGTCTATCAGTTCTGCCTCAATTATCATCAGCTCTTCATGTAATTTAGAATCAACCAAGTTTTAACCCAAACATTTATTTGCAGTTGCACATGGTCCGGATATTGTATCCTCTTCTGGTGTGTTTACTGCCTCTCGCATTCTGAGACATTCTAAGCATAATGCAATACATCAGTAATCTACCACTTTCCTTTTGTCAGCCCATACCTCTTTTTGTCCTTTCTGTTTTTAAAAGGAGTTTCAGGTCACTCGCACCTCCTTCCTAGGTTGTTTCATTTCTGAGCAGTTGCTGAGTTTCCTCCACCAGCTCTGCCTTCTGCTGTTTGAGTTCTCTACTCTTTAATAAAACCTGGGTGGTTCATTGGAGTGTTTTTATTTTTTAAATATTCCCAATGTTTTAAAAATTTATCTCACTGGAGTTTGTGCTGCTGTTTGTTGTTTTGCTTTTGTTTCTGTTCTTAGTTCTTTGGCCTTGTATCAGACAACTCTCTAATTCTTTTAATTGGGTTTAAATCAAAGAAATCACCTAGTATTGTTGCTACTTTCCCATCGTCTCAGTGGGTGCAAGGGCAAGATGCAATCAGTGAATAACAACAAATATAGATGAGCACTTTCCTGGCCCATTACCAGTACTAAATGCCAAAAACCAACATCTTGGGAGTAAATGATACATCCACGTGAAACGAATCAATTCCACATGTTCAATATTGAATTTGGGGAAGGACTTAACTGAATAAATGGTGAACTACAGCCCTAGAGTAAACATAACAAGTTAATCCAAAATCGATTATTATTAAAATGCTTAGCACATTTTTAAATCTTTCATTTAATAAATTAAAACCATATTTATTGAGAGAGAAAGAATATGCATGAATGTGTTAAAAACCAAAATGAGCTATTATCTGCTTGCATAAAAGAATACCTGGAAAATTCATGATGGAACTGTCATATTACAACTAATAATTTATAGGGAATCCCCAAGTATGGCATAAAATGCATATTTTTGAATCCCCCACGAAACAAAATAATAAACATAAAAGTATAATCTAAAGAGAAAAACACAGTAAAGATGTTACACTGAGAACTTCCCAAGATAAATATCTATATAGCAGTGTCAGCTGCTAACAAAATTATTCATCTTACTTATGATAGTGTATACCACTAAAATATCTCAATAATAAGGGAATCTTACTTTGACTTAATTTTAGAAATGGCTTTACTACTCCCTAAAGGAGTGCACAGTTTTATTTATTTGTTATGATAGTTGTAATATTTGGTTTTATGCTTCAGATTACTAATAAATTTTCTACAGGTCTATGCACTATGCACAAACAAAAGTGAGAAAGTGACAGAGACAGCAAGAGAGATAATTATGATATTATGGTTGTGATATTACTTCAGTCATGCTTATGTGACCTGAATAATAGACTTATATCAAGGGAATAGTTTAGCCAAGCGCTGACATAAATCACCACTTCTCTTTTTTCCTTTATAATTTAAACTCACCACTAATAACAAATATTGACAAAAATACTGCTGTGCTAGGAATTAAATAGCAATGTGACTGTCTCTACCTCTAGAAATTAAAATTTTAATTGGACAGATAGGAGATAAATATATTTTTTTAATACTAAGTTGTCAGCTTGGCTCAACTTGATCTGGAACATGGAATATAATCCTATATCCCATTCAATTAAGCGATCAATAAACAAAGATACATCACATGCAGTGCCAAGCAGCCAGCTGGGCACTGGTGGGACAGCATAATCCAAGGGCCAGGGGCTCACCGGCAGGGGTGCTCTTCCCTGTGAGAGGTCAGACTGGCATGAGCCTCAATGAAGTATTGGGGTCAGAGCTGAGTGGCTGTCATATGCATGGATGATTAAGTCTAGCAATTAAAGAAAATAAGTGGTCAAGTAAAGGACTTAGAAGTCCAAAATGAAAGCCTAGTGTAGATGGGGTTCTGTGGCATGCCCAAGATCAGAACTGGAGGTGAGGTAGAGGGCAGAGGCCAAAGTATATGTTCAAACCAGAATGAGGTCAAGCAGTGTTTAGAACCAAAAGCTGTCACTTGTTGATGGAAACGGCTCTCTCACAGTTGCAAATCACTACACACCAGCGCATCCAAGTTGCCCTCAAGCTGGCAGGGTACAAAGAGCTCAGTACCTGGATTAACACAGGAGCTGAGACAGCAGCTCACCTAACTTTCTGATTAGACACAGAGACAGAATATGATAGCAATTCAGAAGGAAAACATGATGACTTCCAGGGAATTCTAAATGAGCTAAAGAGAAAGGCATTAGTAAATGGGGAAAGTCACTACTAATAAAAAAAATTACTAAAAATGAACTTCAGATTGAAGGGAGGCATACGGGACAAAATACATTCTGTCGTCAATGAACAGAACAGTTTCCTGGAGCCAAAGGCTTGCTAGGAAAGTGGGAGACAATGCCTGAAAAAACAGGTGTAATTCGGAAGGTGGAGGACTTTGAATGCCAGGATTAGAGGGAGGCTAACTTGTAGGTTCCTCAGGGCAAGGTACTGCATTTTATGTATCACTAATTATCCAAAGGGAACCAAAGTAATTAATTACTTAAGAATTATAGTTTCCTTATAATGATGACAGTATACTAAAACTGGCATTTTATTTAGAGATTAGATTAAATCCTTGTGGGAAAAATTGAACGTACTTTTCATTACCCATTGTAACCAATTTATATGAAGGGCTCACCATAAGCCAAATACAATAGAAGCTTTACATGCCTCCTTATACATACTTACTAAGTTAGTATTATTATTGTCGTTATTTGACAAACAAAGAGACAAAGGTCTGAAGAGGTTACGTATCTTGTTCAAGGTTACACACCTATCAACAGAGCTAAAATTTGAATGCAAGTAGTCTGATTCCAACAGCTAAGACTTAAACCACAATGCTACATAATACATGAATGATATCTGACATCTATACATCAATTTGTGATTATCAAAATAGAGTTCATGTCTTTGAGTCTCAGAATAGCTTTATGGGGTAGTTGGTGTTTTCACATAGTTATGTTTTCTATGAGACTGGAACCACAAAGAGAGAGAAACAGATCTAGGATGGGTACGACTTTAACTTGACAATAGAATATACCTCCAAGAACATGAGCCAAAAGGGCCAGAAACCTTGAGCTTCCTTGATCCCTGAGAGCAAGATCAAAACTGGTGGGTGAGGTGATACAGCAGGAATTTTTAGGCCAACTCCAGTCCTAGGTCCCTTGAGGAATGGAGGAAGTTTGGTCCTATTTTTTGTGAATGACCTCTTTTCACTTTTAGGTTGCCTGGATGTTGTGGTCAGTGATCACATCTTAAATCCCCTGTGTCAACAACACCTTCATGTAGTAAATGCTCAGTAAAGGTTATCTGTAAATGATTTAGGCCAAGAAGTTTGGATTTGGCTTGGCATTTGTTATGTAAAATTTTCAAAATAAAACTGCCAAAACTTCAAACATAAAATAAATGTAATACGTCAAGGCCAAAAAATGGTGGAAAGGAGGCAGGACTAGATTGCAGCTCTCACTTGGATGAACAGAGCAGTGTGTGGAAACTCACACCATAAACTTCTGCTCCAGAACTACTACAGGAATATACCAGGAAAGCCAAGAGAATCCACAGACCCTGTGAAGGAAGCAGTTTGCTCCTACAGGACCCAGGAGACACCCCAAATACTGTGAGTGCCCAAGCTGTGAAAGTAGGAAAGGGGGATAGCCCACCCCCGAACACACACCCTCACTGGGGAATCTGCAGCTCCAGATCATGGGAGAAGGATATGAACTTACCTGGAGCTGATTTAATTAGACAGCTGAGTGAAATAAAGGGTAGAGAAAGCAAGGGGAAAAGCCCTGTGGGCTCTCTGGGTCCCCTAATAAGCCATTTCTACCTTGTCTCACAGGGGTCCTTGGGGAGGGTGGCCAGAGGAACTGGGAAAAGACCACAGCGAGAAGGAAACCTCCAGCTGAACTTTGTAACAATTCCAACCAAACATGAAGTCACCTGGCCAGAACTTGGGGGAGGGAGTGAATTTGGTGTACAGATTCAACAGGAAGGGAGGCATGAAAGCCCTACTTACATTCTTTGCTGGGAGGCTGGTAGCCTGCGGCAAGTTCTTAGCCTTGCTCATCCGCTGCCTGCAAACAAACTTGATGCTGTTGGTAGGGCACAGGAGTGAGACCGGTTTTGGGGGTTGCAAGGGAGCTGGGTGAGGCCTGTAACTGCCGGCTTTCCCCCACATTCCTGACAGCCTGCATGACGCAGCAGAGGCAGCCATAATCCTCTGGGAACATAACTCCATTGACCTGGGAACCTCACCCCCCTGCCCCACAGCACAGCCTCAGCAAGACTCACCCGAGGAGAGTCTGAGCTCAGACAGTCCTAGCCTTGCCCCACCTGATGGTCATTCCCTATCCATCCTGGTAGCTGAAGGCAAAGGTCATATACTCTTGGGAGTTCTAAGGCCCTGGCCACTGCCTGATCCTCCCTATACTACCACAGCTGACGCTGTCTTGAAAGTGCCACCTCCTGGCAGGAGGCCAACCAGCACAAAAATAGTGCATTAAACAACAAAAGCTAAGGACCCCTGCAGAGTCCATTTCACTCCCCTGCCACCTCTATCAGAGCAGGTGCTGGAATCCAACGCTGTGAGACCTGAAAACAGCCCATAGCACAGGACTCTGAGCAGACAGCCCCCAGTACTAGCCTGGAGCCTGGTAGCCCTGCTGAATGGCTAGATCCAGAAGAGAAATAACAGTCACTACAGGTCGGTTCCCAGGAAGCCACATCTCTAAGAAAAGGGGGAGAGTACTACATCAAGAAAACAACCTGTGGGACAAAAGAATCTGAACAGCAGCCTTGAGCCCTAGTACTTCCCTCAGACATAGCCTACCAAATGAGAAGGAACCAGAAAAACAATCCCAGTAATACGACAAAACAAGGTTCTTTAATACCCCTCAAAAAATCACACTAGCTCACCAGCAATGGATCCAAGCCAAGAAGAAATCCCTGAGTCACCTGAAAAAGAATTCAGAAGGTCGATTGTTAAGCTAATTAAGGAGGCACCAGAGAAAGGTGAAGTCCAATTTAAGGAAGTCAAAAAAATGATACAAGAAATGAGGGGAGAAATCTTCAGTGAAATAGTTAGTATAAATAAAAAACAATCACAACTTCAGGAAATGAAGGACACACTTAGAGAAATGCAAAATGTTCTTGAAAGTCTCAGCAATAGAATAAAACAAGCATAAGAAAGAACTTCAGAGCTCAAAGACAAGGTTTTCAAATTAACTCAATCCAACAAAGACAAAGAAAAAAGAATTTAAAAAATGAACAAAACCGCACTCAGTGCTCAATGGTGCCCAGGCTGGAGTGCAGTGGCGTGATCTCAGCTCGCTACAACCTCCACCTCCCAGCAGCCTGCCTTGGCCTCCCAAAGTGCCGAGATTGCAGCCTCTGCCCGGGGCCACCCCGTCTGGGAAGTGAGGAGCGTCTCTGCCTGGCCGCCATCGTCTGGGATGTGAGGAGCCCCTCTGCCTGGCTGCCCAGTCTGGAAAGTGAGGAGTGTCTCTGCCCAGCCGCCATCCCATCTAGGAAGTGAGGAGCGCCTCTTCCCGGCCGCCATCCCATCTAGGAAGTGAGGAGCGTCTCTGCCCTGCCGCCCATCGTCTGAGATGTGGGGAGCGCCTCTGCCCTGCCGCCCCGTCTGGGATGTGAGGAGCGTCTCTGCCGGGCCGCCCCGTCTGAGAAGTGAGGAGACCCTCTGCCTGGCAACCGCCCTGTCTGAGAAGTGAGGAGCCCCTCAGCCCGGCAGCCACCCCGTCTGGGAAGTGAGGAGCGTCTCCGCCCGGCAGCCACCCCGTCCGGGAGGGAGGTGGGGGGGTCAGCTCCCCGCCCGGCCAGCCGCCCCGTCCGGGAGGGAGGTGGGGGGGTCAGCCCCCCGCCCGGCCAGCCGCCCCGTCCGGGAGGGAGGTGGGGGGGTCAGCCCCCCGCCTGGCCAGCTGCCCAGTCCGGGAGGTGAGGGGCGCCTCTGCCCAGCCGCCCCTACTGGGAAGTGAGGAGCCCCTCTGCCCGGCCAGCCGCCCCGTCCGGGAAGGAGGTGGGGGGGTCAGCCCCCCGCCTGGCCAGCCGCCCCGTCCGGGAGGGAGGTGGGGGGGTCAGCCCCCCGCCCGGCCAGCCGCCCCGTCCGGGAGGGAGGTGGGGGTTCAGCCCCCCGCCTGGCCAGCTGCCCAGTCCGGGAGGTGAGGGGCGCCTCTGCCCAGCTGCCCCTACTGGGAAGTGAGGAGCCCCTCTGCCCGGCCAGCCGCCCCGTCCGGGAGGGAGGCGGGGGGGTCAGCCCCCCGCCCGGCCAGCCGCCCCGTCCGGGAGGGAGGTGGGGGGGTCAGCCCCCCACCCGGCCAGCCGCCCCGTCCGGGAGGGAGGTGGGGGTTCAGCCCCCCGCCCGGCCAGCCGCCCCGTCCGGGAGGTGAGGGGCGCCTCTGCCCGGCCGCCCCTACTGGGAAGTGAGGAGCCGCTCTGCCCGGCCACCACCCCGTCTGGGAGGTGTGCCCAACAGCTCATTGAGAACGGGCCATGATGACAATGGCAGTTTTGTGGAATAGAAAGGGGGGAAAGGTGGGGAAAAGATTGAGAAATCGGATGGTTGCCGTGTCTGTGTAGAAAGAGGTAGACGTGGGAGACTTTTCATTTTGTTCTGTACTAAGAAAAATTCTTCTGCCTTGGGATCCTGTTGATCTGTGACCTTACCCCCAACCCTGTGCTCTCTGAAACATGTGGTGTATCCACTCAGGGTTGAATGGATTAAGGGCGGTGCAAGATGTGCTTTGTTAAACAGATGCTTGAAGGCAGCATGCTCGTTAAGAGTCATCACCACTCCCTAATCTCAAGTACCCAGGGACACAAAAACTGCAGAAGGCCGCAGGGTCCTCTGCCTAGGAAAACCAGAGACCTTTGTGCACTTGTTTATCTGCTGACCTTCCCTCCACTATTGTCCTGTGATCCTGCCAAATCCCCCTCTGCGAGAAACACCCAAGAATGATCAATTAAAAAAAAAAAAGAAAAGAAAAAAAAAAAAAAATGAACAAAACCTCCAAGAAGTTTGGGACAGAATTAAACAACCAAACCTAAGAATAATTGGTGTTCCTGAGAAAGAAGAGAAATCTAAAAGTTTGGAAAACATATCTGGGGGGATAATTGAGGAAAACTTCCTTAGCCTTATTAGAGACCTAGACATCCAAATACAAGAAGCTCAAATAACACCTGAAAAATTCATCACAAAAAGATCATTGCCTAGGCACATTGTCATAAGGTTATCTAAAGTTAAGATAAGAAAAATAATCTTAAGAGCTGTGAGGCAAAAGCACCAGGTAACCTATAAAGGAAAACCCATCAAGTTAACAGATTTCTCAGCAGAAACCCTATAAACTAGAAGGGATTGGGGCCCTATCTTCAGCTTCTTTAAAGAAAACAATTAGCAGCCAAGAATTTTGTATCCAGCAAAACTAAGCTTCTTAAATGAAGGACAGATACAGTCTTTTTCAGATAAAAACAACGCTAAGAGAATTCGCCACTACCAAGCCAGCACTACATGACTACACGAACTGCTAAAAGGAGCTCCAAATCTTGAAACAAATGCTGGAAACACATCAAAACAGAACCTCCTTAATGTGTAAATCTCATTGGAGGTATAAAACAAAAATACTACTAAAAAAAATCCAAGGTATACAGGCAACAAATGGCATGATGAACAGAATAGTACCTCACATCTCAATACTAACATTGAATTTAAATAGCCTAAATGCTCCACTTAAAAGATACAGAATTGCAGAATGGATAAGCAATCACCAACCAAGTATCTGCTGCCTTCAAGAAACTCACCTAACACATAAGGACTCACATAAACTTAAGGTAAGGGTGTGGAAAAAGACATTCCATGCAAATGGACACCAAAAGCAAGTAGGAGTAGCTATTCTTATATCAGACAAAACAAACTTTAAAACAACAGCAGTTAAAAAAGACAAAGAAGAGCATTATATAATGATAAAAGGCCTTGTCCAAAAGGAAAATACCATAATCCTAAATATATATGCACCTAACACTGGAACTCCCAAATGTATAGAACAATTACTACTACACCTAAGTAATGAGACAGACAGCAATACAATAATAGTGGGGGACTTCAATACTCCACTGACAATACTAGACAGGTCATCAAGACAGAAAGTCAACAAAGAAACAATGGATTTAAATTGTACCCTGGAACAAATGGACTTAACAGATCTTTACATAACATTCTACCCAACAACCACAGAATATACATTCTATTCATCAGCGTATGCAACTTTCTCTAGGATAGACCATATGATATGCCACAAACAAGTGTCAAAAAAACTAAGAAAATTAAAACTATGTCAACTACTCTCTCAGTCCACAGTGGAATAAAACTGGAAATCGACTCCAAAAGGAACCTTCCAAAACATGCAAATACATGGAAGTGAAATAACCTGCTCCTGAATGATCATTGGGTCAACAATGAAATCAAGATGAAAATTTTAAAATTCTTCGAATTGAACAATAATAGTGACACAACCATCCAAACCTCTGGGATACAGCAAAAGCAATGCGAAGAGGAAAGTTCACAGCCTTAAATGCCTACTCAAAAACTCTGAAAGAGCACAAATAGACAATCTAAGGTCACAAATCAAGGAACTACAGAAATAAAAACAAACGAAACCCAAAGCCAGCAGAAGAAAGAAAATACCAAGATCAGAGCAGAGCTAAAGGAAATTGAAAAAAAAATACAAAAGATAAATGAAACAAAAAGAAGCTGGTTATTTGAAAAGATAAATGAAATTGATAGACCATTAGCAAGATTAACCAAGAAAAGAAGAGAGAAGGTCCAAATAAGCTCAATTAGAAACAAACAGGAGATATTACAACCAACCCCACAGAAATACAAAAGATCATTCAAGGCTACTATGAACACCTTTACACACATAAACTAGAAAACCTAGAAGAGATAGGTAAATTCCTGGAAAGATACAAACCTCCTAGCTTAAGTCAGGAAGAATTAGAAATCCTGAACAGGCCAATAACAAGCAGCAAGATTGAAATGGTAATTTAAAAATTACCAACAACACAAAAAGTCCAGGACCAGATGAATTCACAGCTGAATTCTACCAGACACTCAAAGAAGAATTGGTACCAATCCTATTGACACTATTCCACAAGATGAAGAAAGAGGGAATCCTCCCTAAATCATTCGATGAAGCCAGTATCACCCTTGTACCAAAACCAAGAAAGAACAAAACAAAAAAAGAAACCTACAGGCCAATATTCCTAATGAACATAGATGCAAAAATCTGGCCGGGCGCTGTGGCTCACGCCTGTAATCCCAACACTTTGAGAGTCCTTTGAGAGGCCAAGGCAGGTGGATCACGAGGTCAGGAGTTCAAGACCCGCCTGGCCAACATAGCGAAACCCTATCTCTACTAAAAATACAAAAATTAGCTGGGTGTGGTGGCAGGTGCCTGTAATCCTAGCGACTCAGGGAGCTGAGGCAGGAGAATCGCTGGAAACCAGAAAGTGGAAGTTGCAGTGCCACTACACTCCAGCCTGGGCAACAAGAGCAAAACTCCATCTCAAAAAAATATCCTTAACGAAATACTAGCTAACCAAATCAAACAGCATATCAAAAAGATAATCCACAATGATCAAGTGGGTTTCATACCAGGGATGCAGGGATGGTTTAACATATGCAAGTCAATAAATGTGACACACCACCTGAACAAAATTAAAAACAAAAATCGCATGACCATCGCAATAATCGCAATAGATACAGAAAAAGCATTTGACAAAATCCAGCATCCCTTTATGATTAAAACCTTCAGCAAAATCGGTATACAAGGTACCTCACTGTAATAAAAGGCATCTATGATAAACCCACAGCCAACATAATACTGAATGGGGAAAAGTTGAAAGCATTTCCTCTGAGAACTGGAACAAAACAAAGATGCCCACTCTCACTATTCAACACAGTACCAGAAGTCCTAGCCGGAGCAGACAAGAGAAAGAAATAAAGGACATCCAAATTAGTAAAGAGGAATTCAAACTGTCGCTGTTTGCTGATGATATGATTTTATAACTAGAAAACCCTAAAGACTCCCCCAAAAAGCTCCTAGAACTGATTAATGAATTCAGCAGAGTTTCAGGATACAAAATTAATGTACACAAATCAGTAGCTCTGCTATACACCAACAGCAGCAACCAAGGTGAGAATCAAATCAAGAACTCACTCCTTTTCACAATAGTTGCAAAAAAAAAAAAAAACCAAAAAAAACAAAAACTAACCAAGAAGGTGAAGGACCTCTACAAAGAAAACTACAAAACACCTCTCAAAGAAATAAATCATAGATGACACAAACAAATGGAAACACATCTCATGCTCATGGATGAGTAGAATCAATATTGTGAAAATGATCATACTGCCAAAAGCAATCTACAACTTCAATGCAATTCCCATCAAAATACCACCATCATTCTTCACAGAACTAGAAAAAAAATCCTAAAATTAATATGGAACCAAAAAAGAGCCCACATAGCCAAAGTAAGACTAAGCAAAAAGAACAAATCTGGAGGCATCACATTACCTGATTTCAAACTATACTATAAGGCCATAGTCACCGAAACAGCATGGTACTGGTATAAAAATAGGCATGTAGACCAAAGGAACAGAGTAGAGAACCGAGAAATAAACCCAAATACTTACAGCCAACTGCTCTTTGCCAAAGCCAACAAAAACATAAAGTGGGGAAAGGACACCCTATTCAACAAATGGTACTGGGATAATTGCCAAACCACATGTAGGAGAATGCAACTGGATCTTCATCTCTCACTTTACACAAAAATCAACTCAAGATGGATCAAGGACTTAAATCTAAGACCTGGAACCATAAAATTCTAGAAGTTAACGTCAGAAAAACCCTTCTAGACATGGGCTTAGGCAAGGATTTTATGACCAAAAACCCAAAAGCAAATGCAACAAAAACAAAGATAAATAAGTGGGACTTAGTTAAACTAAAGAGCTTTTGCACAAAAGGAGCAGCAGCAGAGTAAACAAACAACCCACAGAGAAGGAGACATAATCTATACATCTAACAAAGGATTAAGATCCAGAATCTACAAGGAACTCAAACAAATTAGCAAGAAAAAAAACAAACAATCCCATCAAAAAGTGGGCTAAGGACATGAATAGACAGTTCTCAAAAGAAGATACAAAGTGGCCAACAAACATATGAAAAAATACTCAACATCACCAAAGATCAGGGAAATGCAACTCAAAACCACAATGCAATACCACCTTACTCCCACAAGAATGGCCATTTTCAAAAAATCAAAAAATAATAGACGTTGGTGTGGATGTAGTGAAAAGCGAACATTTCTATACTGCTGGTGGGAATGTAAACTAGTACAACTACTATGGAAAACAATGTGGAGCCACCTTCTTGCTTGATCCCTCACTCCTAAATCTCTCTCCTCTAATCTATGAGAACACCAGGATAGGTTCAAAATTAAGAAAGTCACTTCTCTGCTTAAGATCCTTTATGGTTCCCATATCCCTCAGGGATCTCAAACTCCTGGTTTGACAGATAAAGACTTCTATGTTGGTACTGCAGCCCAGCCTCAGCTCCAGCAGCCTCCTTAAGCACAGATCACATGGTCAAATGAGCACTAAAATCTGGCTGGTCCAAAATAAGATGTAAGTGTGAAACACTTGGAGGATTTGGAAGTCTTAGTGAAGGAAAAAAACATACATAATGTATCAATAATTTTTAAATGTTGATTCTGTATTGAAATACTATTTGGGGTATATTAGTTAAATAAAATATATCACAAAACTTAAAAAAGTAATAATGATTAGTCTTGTAAAGCAAGCGTTTAAAAATATAATCACCTAAAATATAAAAAATATAAATTTTATATATAAAATATAAAAAATATAATCACCTAAATATAATTCTGTATGTTCCTCACCAATTTTTATTTGCTGAATCAAGCATAAACTAAACCATGTATTATCTCCAGGCATGACCAGAACATTTCTTTTCTTTTTTTGAGATGGAGTCTAGCTCTGTTACCCAGGCTGGAGTGCAATGGTGCCATCTTAACTCACTGTAACCTCCACCTCCTGGGTTCAAGCAATTTCCCTGCCTCAGCCTCCTGAGTAGCTGGGATTACAGGCGCTCCCCGCCATGCCTGGCTAATTTTTTTTTGAGACAGAGTCTTGCTCTGTCGCCCAGTCTGGAGTGCAGTGGCACGATCTTGGCTCACTGCAAGCTCCGCCTCCCAGGTTCACGCCATTCTCCTGCCTCAGTATCCCGAGTAGCTGCGACTACAGGCGCCCGCCACCATGCCCGGCTAATTTTTTTATATTTTTAGTAGAGACGGGGTTTCACCATGTTAGCCAGGCTGCTCTGGAACTTCTGATCTCAAGTGATCCACCCAGCTCGGCCTCCCAAAGTGCTGGGATTACAGGCGTGAGCCATCATGCCCAGCCAATGAGAACATTTCTTTATAAACAACTCCCTCTGCTCTTCATCATAGGATGTCTCTTAAGGCTGACATATATTTCTGTAATTTCCAAAAAGACTGGCCTCAAGTGTGTTGGTTTATACCTACTGGATAAGTTTTCAAGCAGACATAACCAGACTAGCCTATGCGATATTTAATCAGGAACTTTCCAAAATTCATTATCTTTTTTGGCCTCTTCCTTTCTCTTTCCACAAGGCAGAAACTAGAAAGTCTCACCAGCTCTTGGGATTCCAGTCTTAGTCATGATTATTACATCTCTAACAGAAAAAAAAAAAAAAAAAAGCTTAGTTATCTTTTCAGAGTCCTGCCTCAACAAACTTGATTTTTGAATTTTTTCTTTTATGTTGCTGGTGATTTATAGCAATATATGGCCATCTTCTCATTTCACTATCATGAAAGCATCAAACTCATTTTTGTGACTCTCCATTCAGAAGAGATTCACTTTCCACAATGACTAGTGAAGACAATAACTCTGCCCATTCCTACCGGTTTTTACAGTTGCCCGCAGTTGTTCTAAATTGAGCTTGAAATGTAAATATGATAGCTGCGGCAGTTGCTCCCAACCCCCAATATACACTTGTATATACTACCTTTAGCTTTGGATTCTAACCATTCCATTGTTAATCTGAACTTAGATCATAAAACATAAAATTTAAGATTTGAAACATACTTCAGCTGGCATTTTTCAGAAGTAAAAACTGAGTGAAGAAAAAGTATGTGATCTGCCCAAGGTTCCTAGGTAGTAGGTAAAGAGTCAAGTTTAATTGCACGCTTGGCCCTTAGCTGGGACTCCTATTTGACAAAATGATGTTTTTATATACCAGAATGGGCATTTTAAAACAAAATCAGACTTTCAAAAATAGAATTATCTAAAAACAATTAAAACCTTGGCTGAAAGATAAAAATGCCCCTTTTAAATTATATTAAATATTAAATAATATTAGGTAATTAAATCTTAAGTAGGTCTTTTTAAAGTATCTGTGACACCGTCTATATAAATTTATTTTGGTACTTCTGCTGTGCAACTAAGCCAACATATGATTGATGTTTTTGTTGAAGAGGAGTAATATCCTGTGCCCACCGTAACATTTCCTAAGTCACAGTTTTGGTTTATGGGATATTAATATCTTACTCATGCATATGTCTATCTCTCATGACACTTTATGTTACTAACAGGTCAGCCAGGCAGACGCATAACAATGAAAGGAGCATTAAACCATGGGTCAGGAGACTTGGTTTCCTGTCTGAGCAGTTAACTTAGCTTAGTGATTTGGACAAGAACAATCCAACTGAAAAACAAAAAGGTGCACTAGATGATCTTTAAGTTCTTTTCAGCTCTAAAAACTACCCATTAGCCTGATCACAACCACTGAAACAAACAAAAAAAAGCATATGGAAATTCCTGGGGACTTACAGAATTTTAAAGTAGCAATTCATTCATATAATTACTGCCCCAAAGTTCTGCATTTTATAGGTTCTATCTACGGAAAAAGTCCTTACATCATATCAAGAATCATTTATTTTTGCAAAAGAAAATTGTACAAACAAGATAAACCCTTTCTGAAATTTTTGCCTGGCCTTGAGTCACTGCCAGCATTTCTTGTAACATTCAAGGTAAGGTGAGACGTGGTCATTCCTGAAAAGGTACATAAAGATACCTCAGTTTTCTTCTGATAGGAATCAAAATTATCTCTAAATAAGCAATCAAATAAATTGAGTATTAAAAAATTAATCAAAGTTATGTTATAAACAGTTGAACATAGCCTGGTATAACTATAAGATCTTTTATGTAAGCCTTATGGTAATCACAAAGCAAAATCCTGTAGCAAATATACAAAAGGCAAAAAGTAAGAATTCAAAGGATACCACTATAGAAAATCGCCTAATCACAAAGGAAGACAGCAAGATAGGAAGAAAGAGATACAGTGAGTAAATGGATTTAAAAAAACAAGACCCTGTTATATGATGTCTAGAAGAGATTCAATGCATGGTTAAGAAAACACAGAGAATGAAGGCGAAGGGACCAAAAAAGGCATTCTATGAAAATAGAAGCCAAAAGAAAGCAGAGACAGCTATATTTATATCAAATAAAATAGGCTTTAAGTCACAAACTATAAAATAAGACAAAGAAGGCCATTAAATAATGACAAGAGGGTCAATTCATTAAGAGGATATAACAGGTGAACATACATATGCACCCAACATTGGAGTACCTAAATGAATGAAACAAATATTAATTGATATGAAAGGGAAGATAGACTGTAATACAATAATATTGGGGAACTCAGTACCCCACTTTTAGCAATGGACAGATTATTCGGACAGAAAATCAATAATGAAAGTTCAAACTTAAACTATACTTTAGCACAGATGGACTTAACAGATACATACAGAATATTTCATCCAACAGCAACAGAACACACATTCTTCTCAAATACACATGGAACATTATCCACTGAATGTTAGATAAAACAGTATAGATCATGGCCTGGCACGGTGGCTCACTCCTGTAATCCCAGCACTTTGGGAGGCTAAGGTGGGCAGATCATTTGAAGTCAGGAGTTTGAGAGCAGCCTGACCCAAATGGTGAAACCCCATCTCTACTAAAAAATACAAAAAGTTAGCCAGGCATGGCGGTGTGCTCCTGTATTCCCAGCTGCTCGGGAGGCTGAGGTATGAGAATAGCTTGAACCCAGGAGGCGGAGGTTGCAGTCAACCAAGATTGAGCCAGTGCACTCCAGCCTGGGCAACACAGTGAGACTCTGTCTCAAAAAAAAAAAAAGAAAAAAAACAGTATAGTTCATATGTTAGGACACAAAATAAGTCTTAATAAATTTAAGAACATTGACACCATATCAAGTATTTTTTCCAACCATAAATAATATGAAACTATAAATCAACAAGAATAATTTTGGAAAATTCACAAATACTTGAAAATAAAACAACATACTCAGAACCAACCAGTGGGTCAAAGAAGAAATAAAAAGAAAAGTTGAAAAATATCTTGAAACAAATGAAAATGGACACACAACATACCAAAATTTGTGGGATGCAGCAAGAGTATTTTCAAGAGGGAAGTTTATAGCAATAAATGTCTTCATCAAAGAAGAAGATCTCAAACAATCTAATGTTATACCACAAATAACTAGAAAAATAAAAATAAACTAAGCCCCAAGTTAGTAGAAGGAAGAAAATAATAAAGATCGGAGGAAAAATAAATAAAATTGAGACTAAAAACACAAAACAAAAGATCAGTGAAACTACGAATTTGTTTTTAAAAAGATAAACAAAATTGATTAACCTTTAACTAGACTAAGAAAAAAAGTGAGAAGACACAAATAAACTGAATCAGAAATAAAAGAGGAGACATTACAACTGATAGCACAGAAATGCAAAAAATTATAAGAGTACTATGATGAATTACACACCAACAACTTGGATAACTTGGAATAAATGGATAAAGTCTTAGACACATAAACCTAGCAAGTCTGAATCATGAAGAAATAGAAAGTCTGACCAGACCAATAGCTAGAAAGAAGACTGAATCAGCAATAAAAAGTCCTCTATGGAAGAAAAGCCCAGGACCTAATGGGCTTTATTGCTGAACTCTACCAAATATTTAAAGAACTAATACCAATCCTCAAACTCTTCCCAAAAATTGAAGAGGAGGGAATACTTCCAAACTCATTTTACAAGGCCAGCATTACTGTGATACTAAAGCCAGACAAGGGTATTACAAGAAAATTAAATGTCATGCCAATATCCCTGATGAATATAGATGCAAAAATCCACAACAAAATACTAGCAAAATTGATTGTCATGACATGAAAAAGAATCATTCACCATGATCGAGTGGGATTTGCCCAGGGATGCAACGATGGTTCAACATATGCAAATCTATAACTATGGTACACACATTAACAGAATGAAGGACAAAAACCATACAATCATCTCAATAGAGGAAAAAATGCATTTGACAAAATTCAAAATCCTTTCATATCAAAAACTCTCAACAAATTAAATATAGAAAGAGTGTACCTCAACACAATAAAGGCCATATATGACAAGCCTACAGCTAACATCATACTCAATGGTGAAAATTTGAAAAGTCTTCCCCTAAGATCAATAACAAGACAAGGATGCCCACTCTCACCACTTCTATTCAACATAGTACTGAGAGTTCCTGCCAGAGCAATTATGCAAGAAAAAAAATAAAGGCATGCAAATTGAAAAAGAAGAAGTTAAATTGCCCGTGTTTGCTGATGACATGATCTTACACATAGATCATGTAAGTATAGACTCCACACAAAAAACTATTAGAACTAATAAACAAATTCAGTAAAGTTTCAGAAGAGAAAATCAACATACAGAAATCAGTAGTGTTTCTATACACTAACAGCAAACTATCCAAAAAAAGAAATCAAGAAGAAATTTCATTTATAATAGCTATAAAAATAAAACAAAATATTTGGGAATAAATTTAACCAAGGAAGTGAAAGAATTGTATGCTAAAAGCTATAGACATCAATAAAAGAAACTGAAGAAGACACAAATAAATGGAAAGATATACCATACATAGACTGGAAGAATTAATATTGTTAAAAATATCCATATGACACAAATCAATCTACAGATTCAATGCAATGCCTATCAAAATTGCAATGACATTTTTTACAAAAGTGGAAAAACAATCCAAAAATTTGTATGGAACCACAAAAAAACCCTGAATAGCCAAAACAATCTGGAGCTAGAAGAACAAAGCTAGAGGCATAACACTACCTGACTCAAAATATACTATAAAGCTATAGTAATTAAAACAGCATGTATTGACCAATGGAACAGAATAGAGAACCCAGAAATAAATTCATTCATTTAGAGCCAATTAATTTTTGACAAAGCTGCTAAAAGCACACAATGGAGAAAGGACAGTTTCTTTGATAAATGTTTCTAGAGAAACTGGATATCTACACACCGAACAATGAAATTGGACACTTATCTCATGCCGTATACAAAAATCAACTCAACCTGGATTAAAGACTTAAATGTTAGACCTGAAACTGTAAAAACTACTAGGAAAAAAAAAACCAGCTTAAGAACATGGTCCTTATAGGGATTGTTGTGCTGCCTACACTCATGCTTCCTCCAGCTGAACTGACAGTCACAGAGGCTGACCTGCCTTCATCCCTAATAGGTAATGGAGGGCCTTGATTTTCATACCTAGAGGATGAAGGAGTTAGATTAGATCAGTGGCTTGCAAACTGTGTTCCTTGGAGCCCTAGGGTTCTAAGAAGGTTTCTCATGAACATCATAATGAATAAAGAGAGGGTATGCCAAATCAACTTTTATCTGTTTCATAGATGACGATCTGCTTCTGCTTGTGGAAACCAGAGCTTGATTGATATAAAATACTGTCAAACATTGGATTCATTAGTCTTTAAGGTCCATATGTGATTCACTTACTTGATTCAGTATATTTGTTTGCAAATAAAAAATTATAATATGGGGAGTTTTTAATAAATATCTATTATATGAATTAATAAAATAATAGTTTCAATATCATAAATATATAGATTAGATTACTGCTTAAAACAACCAGTCTCTCTTTGGTAAAGAGCAGCTAGCTTTTCTTTAACATTTTTCTTAAATTCAATCCTAAATAGGAGCACCCCAACCTACCTTTTGAGGAAACTTGGATTCACATGCAGCTACAAATCTTCCACAATTATTCGGCAATCCAAAAAAAGTAATTCACATCTACATTTTTAATTTATTAATTTGATTCTACCATCATGAACATTAATAATTGGTTGTATACTTTTTTTTTTTTTTTTGAGATGGAGTCTCATTCCGTCACCCAGGCTGGAGTGCAGTGGTGTGATTTTGGCCTACTGCAACCTCCGTCTCCTGAGTTCAAGCAATTCTCCTGCCTCAGGCTCCCAAATAGCTGGGATTACAGGTGGGCACAACTACACCCAGCTAATTTTTGTATCCTTAGTAGAGACGAGGTTATACCATGTTGGTCAGGCTGGTCTCAAACTCCTGATCTCAGGTGATCCACCCGCCTCGGCCTCCCAAAATGCTGGGATTACAGGTGTGAGCCACCATGGCCAGCCGGTTGTTTACTTTTGATAAAGGATAGCCAATGTAGGATTAAAGAGGATTCCAATCGCAGTCCCCAGGTTGGGAGTTTATCCATCAATAAAGCAAATTACGATAACTCATAGTGATAAATATTAAACCCAAGCAACAGGAAAATATTTTATTTTCCAGTGTTTCATTGGGCTTCTGAATCATTCTGGACACATGTATATTTCCCTGTCTATATTAGTAGTATGTTATTTTCTCACTTTAAAATTATCCCGTTAATTTTTGGATTTATTTGTTATTTTGGAATATTTCTAAAAATTATACTGCAACATTTGTTATTAAAATAAATAAAGACTAGTTGACAATTACTACTTTATCTCAAATTTCTTCTTAATGTGTTATAAGGAAACATAACCAGAATAGTCAGTCCAAGAGTCCTGCACATCAATTGATTTCTATGTGCCAATTTCCTCACTGCACAATGAAAACCTTGCCTCAAACACGCCTCTGAATCTATGGTAAGAAAAAACCTTTCACAAATTCGTGTAAATCTCTGGCATCATAAAATGATAAATAACACATCTCACTTGTCATTCAGCTATATTCAGCATATGAGATCAGAAAAGAAAAAAAAGCTTAGGTGTTTAAGCCAAGTTTTTATTCTCCACAAAGAAATTAGAAATTTATATCTTGTAGAAGTGATGAAATTGCCATTCTCTTTCTTTCAGCTGAAAAAAAAAACCCAGCAGTGCTCGTATATGATGAAATTTTTAACTAAGATAGTAATTATTTTTAAGACAAAAAAGATATGTAATAGCTAACACTTGTGTGGCACTTTAGATTTATATTTTCCCATGTTACGATTTGTCATCTTCATGACAAACTCATTAAGTAAAATTTATTTATTTGTTTATTTATATATTTATTTTTGAGACAGAGTCTCACTCTGTTGCCCAGGCTGGAATGCAGTGGTGCAATCTCGGCTCACTGCAACCTGTGCCTACTGGGTTCAAGTGATTCTCCTGCCTCCTCCTCCTGAGTAGCTGGGATTACAGGCTTCTGCCATCACACCTGGCTAATTTTGTAGAGACGAGGTTTCACCTTGTTGGCCAGGCTGGTCTTGAACTCCTGACCTCAGGTGATCCGCCCACCTCAGCCTCCCAAAGTGCTGGGATTACAGGCGTAAGCCACCGTGCTTGGACAATAAAATTTATTTATCTCCATTTCATATTTGAAATTAGTGAAGCTCATAAAAGTGACTTTAACAAGGTTGTTCAGCAAGTTTGAGGAGGAGCCAGCATTTGAACACATTTATCTTTGGAAGAGTTCCTCTTTCTACCAAACTCAGCAAAAAGGCCACATTCTTGAGTAATAATATATGTCTTGGATGTCAGGTGTCTGAGTAATACTCTGAGTTGGACTAAACCTGGGAGTGGTTGTTTAAAGCTCTAGACTCCCATTCTGATCATTCAATATTTGAGCCATCTTGCAACCCAGTCTCCACTTGCCGTTGAGATTTTTATTTGCCGCTTCCCATGCAAATGTTCTCTTTATACTGTGAGGACATTGAGGGAAGGGACTACAATCTTATTCATATTTGCTTTATTCCCAAGGGTTTGCATATAAGAAGCCCTACACAAATAACTATTTAAATGAATTGAATCAATTCATTAATTAGTGCAAAAAAATACTTCTTGAACACCTACCTTGTGACTTGTTTCATGCAAGATCGGTAAACAAGACACAGAGACCCCCCACCCCCGCGCCATCATGGAGTTTATGGACCATATGTAAAGACAGACATTGAATGACTAATAATAATGGTGATAAGAGCTAAGAGAAGAGCTGTTTGCCATTAAAGCTAGAACATGAATTTTCCAGCACCTTGATTTTGAACTTCGAGCCTCAGGAACTGTCAGGTAACTGTGTAGGCCTTCCTGAAGAAGAGACATGTAATCTACAACCTAAAGTTCAAGAGGAAGGAGACAAATGAAGAGGAAAAAGCAATGCAGAGAAACCAGCACATGTACTAGGATAGAAAAGCACATTCCCGAAAGTGCAATTCAAATCCTGCATCTTATAGAACTACCATGATTCAGAACCAAATCTAATAATGATGCTGGGATTTTCAGAGGCAGTAAGTATTATAACAGATTAAAATTGTTAGTTCATGGAGACAAATCATGCACTCTTTTGGATCTTTACAATAGATCTTCAGTGAATTTTTTCAGCCTTGCTATGAAAATAGGGAGTAGGTCTGTGGTTCTCTTTTAACTGAAACTAAACTTTTTATTTCATAGGTAGAGTTTCAATATCCTAGTTGGTAACCAGCCTGGTTAAGAAAGTGGATTGTTGTGAACCCTAATGGTTGAAAACATGTTGTAAAGATTTATTCAGTCACAGCTGGCCTTTGCCATGTGACTGCACATTTTATAGTTAGTTATCATTGTACTTCCAGTTGTAAATTAAGGCTTTATTCAATGGGATTTTTCAAGGAGTTGTTATAGAGGGTATCCTGTGGCCATGTGTGGTATTCCATGTTGTAGAAAATACAATAAATTATATTGATTTATGGCAAGTACTTTATACATATCATTAAAATAAGATGTTCTCACGGGCTATAATTTTATGAATTTAAAGCTTCATTTAAAACTTATGTACATATAAAAACTGCCAGAAAGATACATGTTTTCCTTACATGTAAAGAAATACTGAACAATCACTGAGTAACCCCTATGGGATATTGCCACATACTGAATTGTGTACCCTTAAAACTCATATGTTGAAATCTTACCCCCTGGGCCTCAGAATGTGACTGTATTTGGAAATTGTACCTTAAGTGAGGTGATTAAGATTCAATGAGGTCCTGTGTGTGGGGCCCTAATCCGATATGACTGGTGTCTTCGTAAGAAGAAGAAGAAGCTGTGGATGCCCCGAGAAAAGGCCATGTGGGGACACAGAGAGAAGGCAGCCATCTTCAAGCCAAGGAGAGAGGCCTCGGGAAAAATCAAACCTGCCAACACCTTAGTCTCAGACTTCAGCCTCCAGAGCTATGAGGCAATTGACTTCCGTTACTTAAGCCACCCAGTCTATGGTATTTTGGGAGGGCAGCCTGTTATGAACTGTGTCCCCACAAAACTTGTATGTTGAAGCCCTAGCCCCTGGTATGACTATATTTGGAAATAGGGCCTTTTTGGCGGTAACTAAGGTTAAATGAGGTCATAAGGGTGGACTCCTAATCCAACAGGGCTTGTGAGAAGAGAAAGAGATACCAAGAGTGCTCGGACGCAGAGGAAAGGCCATGTGAGGACACAGGCAGAAGACGGCTAGCCACAAGCCTAGAAGAGAGGCCTCACAGGCCGGGCATGGTGGCTCACGCCTATAATCCCAGCACTTTAGGAAGCCGAGGTGGGCGGATCACCTGAGGTCAAGAGTTCAAGACCAGCCTGGCCAACATAGAGTGAAACTCCGTCTCTACAAAAAAAAAAAACACAAAAATTAGCTGGGTATGGTGGCACACACCTGTAGTCCCAGCTACTTGGGAAGTTGAAGCAGGAGAATCGCCTGAACCTGGGAGGTGAAGGTTTCAGTGAGCTGAGATAGTGCCACTGCACTCCATCCTGGCCAACAGAGCAAGACTCCATCTCTCAAAAAAAAAAAAGGGAGGGCTCACTAGAAACCAAATATTCCAGCACTTTGATTATGCATGTCCAGCTTCCAGAATTGGGAGAAAATTAATTTCCGTTGTTTAAGCCACCCAGCCTGTGGTATTTCATTATGGCAGCCCTAGAAAACTAATACAGATATATATTTTACAGTCATCAATATACATGTGCAAGTGTGTATGGAGCCATCCACAGTCTGTTGTGTACAGTCAAATTATCTAGATTCCTAGGAGAAAACAGTGGGGAGACTTTTATTATGTCTTTGCATATATGAATTTTTGTTAGATTAAAAATGAGAATGCGTAATTTATATTCATGCAGCCAGACCGTATCTGGATATTAATTACAAAAAAAAAAACAGAATCGGTTTTATGAAATGGGGTCAATGCATGGGTACCCCTCACATTTTAAAAATTGTTTTGGACATATTCATGACTTGATTATTTCAGCTTTCAAGGAGAATGTATGGAAGAGCCTGTGCTTAACCTACATATAATCGCCAAAGAAGAATATTAAACCTCGACTCCACTGTTTCAAATAAAGCTTTTCTTATGCAGCTGTTATATTCCTGTCACTTACCAAGTTACCTTAAGACGCATTTTGTAAGTTTAATTAAGCCTGACTAATTCTCCAACAGTACAAAGAAAGATGAATTCCTTAAATATTTAATCCATATGACTCAAGTGTCATTTTCTGAATGTAGCTGTTAAATTCTTGGAATTAATTACCCTTTGAATTAAAGCTGCTTTTTCAGATGTTCAAGATGTATAGTCATAGTCACAGCTCACAGAATGCGTAAATTCAACATTGCATCTCTTCACCAGGAGAATTTATTCCAAATGCTGCATTCCAAACCTCAACCTGTCTGGCGTATTTATGACCCCGGGACTATGAAACCTGTCACTGTAAGCTTGTTAACAATCAAGCTTGTCTTCATCATAATCTCCATTCTTGGTCTTTCCTCTCCTTCCTCCTGCGTCCCAGTAAGAATGATTTAAAGGTTAGCTGCCCACTATTTGCAAAATCACTATTCCTTTTCATTGAAATTTTGTTCTCCTTAAATCACCCCAAGCTTCACCTCCTTCAGAAAAGAAACGGGCTTTTCCCTATTACAATCAGCAGGTAGCACCATCATCAGCCCTTCCCTCCCTTCAGTATCCTTCTGAAACACTAAATGAATCCGTTACTTTATTTATTTATTTATTTATTTATTTATTTATTTATTTATTTATTTATTGAGACAGAGTCTCACTCTATCACCCAGGCTGGAGTGCAGTGGCGCCATCTCAGTTCACTGCCCCCTCCACCTGCCAGGTTCAAGTGATTCTCCTGCCTCCACCTCCCAAGTAGCTGGGCCTACTGGCACTCGCCACCATACCCAGCTAATTTTTGTATTTTCAATAGAGACAGGGTTTCACCTTGTTGGCCAAGCTGGTCTCGAACTCCTGACCTCAGATGATCTGCCCACCTCAGCCTCATGACTTTATTTTAATTACACATTTTCTACTTGTTCTCTTCCACTACACTGAAGGCTATCCAAGACTAGAAGCAATGTTCCTCAAGATGAGACTCCCAAGAATACAATGAGGTCAATCAGGCAACCACATTTATGGGGCTCCTAATATTCCCAGAACTGGGATTCAGTTTCCAGATTCCTGTATGACAAAACTGGAAGATCGGATACATGAGAAGACAGAAAACCACACACACACACAGCCACAAAGACCACAAAAACACAAACCCACAGTCACAAACCATGCATGCTCTGACACTTGTTAGTGTAGTGCTCAGTAATCAACTATGCCAGCACCATGCTAGACACTGAGGTTAAGAAAGTGGCTGGTTCACTCAGGTTCTAAAGGAGAAAACTGCCTTTTGATTGAAATTCACATTCCTTAAGGGATGATAACAGACTGGAAGGCTATAAATTAGCTACTCAGCTTTCACATTTACAAGTCTCAATTTAGGGAAAGTTTATCCTCAGATATCATTTTCTAGCATTTGCAACATAAACAGTAACTGAAAAATATTTCTAGAATAATTTACTAAGCACTCTTCGTTTCCTTCCATCACCGCCTCCCACACACCTTTGATTTAAAATATAATTATTTACATTGAAAATCCAAAACACAAAATGCCATGTTAGAATTTCCAGTTCCAGACACTTCCACCTTTTTAAAATAAAATGGATTATGAAAATACTTTTGTTGCAAAGAAAAATAAGAATAGAAAAAAAACAATTAAAAGAAAAAAACACAAAATTCCCATGGTGTTATTCCAATGGGTAGAGCCAGCACTGGGCGGTGGCCAGGGCCATCCCCAAGGGCCCCTGGGAGAGATGTACCTACCACCTTTCATCATTCCCACTTCGTAGCATTTACGGAGCCGGCAGGCCTGGCAGCTCTTCCTCCTGTTTTTATCAATGGTGCACTGGTTGGTGGCTGGACACATATAGTCGTTATGTCCTATTAAAAGCAAGAGGACAGAATTAATATTATTTCAGGAAACTTAGCCAGTCAGAATCTACAGGGAAACCTTTTGGAGGCTGTTTTCCTATCACTTCCTCAGCCTTACTATGTTGCTCCCCAGCCTGCCTGCCTTTTTCTGTCCTTCTTGAAGTGCAAACAAAACCTCTCATGGGCCGGGCACGGTGGCTCATGCCTGTAATCCCAGAACTTTGGGAGGCCGAGGCAGGTGGATCACGACGTCAGGAGTTCAAGACCAGCCTGACCAACATGGTGAAACCCCGTCTCTACTAAAAATACAAAAAAAACCTGGGTATGGTGGTGTACACCTGTAATCCCAGCTACTCAGGAAGCTGAGGCAGGAGAATCGCTTGAACCCGGGAGGCGGAGGTTGCAGTGAGCCGAGATTGCGCCACTGCACTCCAGCCTAGGCAACAGAGTGAGAATCCATCTCAAAAAAAAAAAAAAAAAAACAGAACAAAAAACCTCCCGTGGACTTAATTTCTACAGCAGCCAATTGCTTCAGGAGTCCTTTGGGCAAGTCACCTTCAGTTCACACAGTCTATATTTTGTAGCACCATATTTTATGTGGTTATATTTTCTCAGCAGATAAGGTTTTTTGGTTTTGGTTTGGTTTGGTTTGGTTTTACCAAGACTGCTTGCCAAAATTGTTGTGAGGGTAGAGCTTTTAGAAATAGAGTTTTCAGAGAGAGAGTTTCAAAGTAGCCCTTCTTAAAATATAATTTAAGTCGGTACTCACATGCAGCACAGAATACCTAAAGTCAAGCCGGCTTGGTGGGCTGGGTGGTGACGAAGTTCAGTCCTTCAGTTCACAAATTAGTCCATGACTGACTACCTGGAGAACTCTGAGCAAGCTACCTGACATTTCTAGATCTCTCTTTCCTCCTCGCTAATCTAGAGGAAATCATGGAACCCACCACATCCAACGATTCTAAGAATTGAATGTGAGAATGCAGGTTAGGAGTTTACCATAGTTCCCCGGATATAGAAAACACTCAAAAGATGTTCGTTGTTGTTACCGTTATTTTATGATGAACCCTCTTTCTTTTCTCTCTTGTTGATTGACTCTCTCTCCCTCAAATGCTCCTTACTCATTGGCTTTGATCACATGCGAGACTGTCCCATAAAAGAGTCTCCCTTGCCCCACATGCTCTCTAACTTCCATCTTCTATCTTATCCCTTGTTCCCAGCTGAACTCAGAAACGTCTGCACATGAAATCTCCTTTTCTTCACCTCTCTTGCATTGCTCAACCCACACCAATCTGTTTTCCACCTTAGTTACCCCAAAAAAGCAACTTCCCTAGGATTACCAATGAATCGCGTTGCCAAATTTTACAGGTATTTTTCAGTCCACATCCTACATAACCTATCTGAAGCAGCTTACAATGTTGATACCTCCCTTCCCGCTGTGAGACAGGCTTTTTCCCTTGGCTTCCATAATCCCAAACACCCCAGTTCCTTCTGCCTCTCAGGCTGCAGCCTCCCGGTATTGTTTACAGATTCAATTTCCTCCATCCAACATTAAGCCAGAGGTGCTCAGGGCTCAATCCTAGGTCTTCTTCTTCTCTTACTACTCCATATTCTCCCACAAGACAATCTAGTGCATGTCCATGGCTTCCATCATCACCAAATGCAGATCACTCAGAATGTACGCTCCCAACACAACCCTCTTCTCTGAGCTCCTGGTACATATGTCCAGCTGCCCACAGGAAGTTTCTGCTCTAAGATTTAGAAGTCACCTCCATCCCTTTATCCCTCAAAATAAATCTGGTTTATAGGGAGCAGAATATTAAAATTCACAAACTAATAAATATTGGCATGTTTTTATAAAGTCTGTCTGCATAAGTCTAAATTCTTACATATCTTGGGGAAATGTCCTGAATTTAGACTAAGGAAGTTATGTATACTATTGTAAAACATGGTTCTCATTCTCCCACCCCAAAACTGAATATATATTTCACACCCTAGTTCAGATTCTCTGCTTAAGTCTCTATTTTTTTCCATTTACTAAGGGCAAGATGCAACATGCAGTGAAATGTTTTAACTACAGAGCTCTTTGTTCTTTATTCAACTTAAGGGTCAGGCCCAATTAGAAGAGGGTGGAGTGAGGACTTGACAAGAAATGCTGGCCTCATAAAACTTGGCTTTCCATCTTTAAATATACATTATAAAAGTCACTGTATACACGGGCTTCAGATCAAATTAACATTTGCACTCTTCTATTGCATAACAGAAACCAGCAAACTAGTCAGCAGAGTTATAAACCTGTAACTTCAGTAAAAGACCACACACGGATTCAGATATCCAGACACAGTTATTATTTTTAGAATTGTCCTTATTAATAGGGTCAAACTGAAGAAGTAATAGAACCAGAAACAAAACTTATCTGTGCAGATGCTAACTGCAAGCAAAAAGTGTATTCTTCTGATACCCTAAAGAAACTTTCAGTGTTTAGTCTCCTGTGGTATTTATGCAGTATATGCTGATATATTTCAGCTTTTAACAAAAAATGAGTATATGGCCAGGTGTGGCAGCTCATGCCTATAATTCCAGTACTTCAGGAAGCTGAGGTGGGAGGATAGTTTGAGACCAGGAGTTTTAGACCAGCCTGGGCAACATAACAATATCTTGTCTCTACAAAAAAAAAAAATTAAATATTAGCCTGGCATGATGGCACATGCCTGTAATCCTAGCTACTCGGGAGGCTGAGACAGGAGAATCGCTTGAGCCCAGGAGGTCAAGGCTGCAGTGAGCTGTGATAGCACCACTGCACTCCAGCATGGACAACAGAGCGAGACCCTATCTCTAAAAAAAAAAGAATAAAATAAAAAATTAATTAGTATACATTAAGTTTCAGAAGAAAATAGTCAATAACCATTCAAACCAAATATTACTTTGACTCACTTTCTCCCCAGAGCCAGTTACTTTGTAAGCCAGAAGAAGACAGGAGAACTGAATTGGGTCAGAGACCAGTTGGCTGAGTCTCATGTTTGCACTGGCCATCCACTGTAGATATGTATCTTTGTAGAACCAAGTGAAATTCCTGAACTAACATGTTTAATGAATAAAAGGTACTAGATTTTTACAATTGAATTCGTCTCTTAACAAAAATGGAAATAGATGTACAACAGAATCATGTTCATACGGCAAACCTTTTGTGACAAAGCTAGAATTGATAAACTGACAAAAAGAAAAGTTTAATAAATACATATTTGATATATGCAATTAAAACAAATTCTTATTAACCAAACACTATTAACAACTATTTCTAAGTCTTCAGCTCACGTCAGAAGAAGAAAAACAACAAAGTAGTTTTTTTTCCTTAATGAGTGTAACTTGGTCAATATGTGTTATTAAAGCAATTGATTTAAGTTGCATTAAGATAGCATCGGGAGATATACCTAATGCTAGATGACGAGTTAGTGGGTGCAGCTCACCAGCATGGCACATGTATACATATGTAACTAACCTGCACAATGTGCACATGTACCCTAAAACTTAAAGTATAATAAAAAAAAAAGAAGAAATTCTTTTTAAATTTTATTATCTGGTCTTCTCAAGATAATGCTTGAGAAAATCTTACTGAAGTAGAGTTGATTTTCTAAAAAACAACTCACACCAGTTGTCTTAGTGAAACATAGCAGTGTGTGTGTGTGTGTTTTTTTTTAACTGAAAAGACAGGACTCGATGTATGTGACCAGACTGGCCCGAAAAGTCCTTCTGTGCAGGCCCGGATGAACCAAGCCCATAGGGCCAAAGCCACGATGTGATGTTCAGGTGAAGGTTTGGAAAAATAATCCGCACTATTTTCTTGCCCATCAAAAGATAAAAATAAAAAGCCTCTGGAGGAATCTAAGGTTTGACTGGCAGGAAGTGGAGGGGACAGGAGGTGAATGAGATGGAACCAGAAAGACAGGAAGCGGGGAGAGAAAACGCCTCTCAGTAGGAATCACCGGGCCCACCCCAGCCCCTGCAGCAACAGAAGGACCCACATTCAGCTTTTCCCCAAGCTTCCCTTGTTCTTTTTCCTTCTCTTCTGATTTTCCCTCCTTTGGTAGCAGCTGGTTTGGCTTTGTTGTCATTACACAGAAAGTCTGCATTTGTTAGTTGTGAAAATAAATAATGGCCCGTACATATGCAGAGATTCAAAAGGAATATAAAGACAGGCCAAGCAGTTGCCTGAGAGAAAGCCAATATAATATTGCAGGTCTCTCCTTTTGTCACCTCTTTTCCGTCAGTATTTTCTGGTGGTCACTTCAGATCAAATCTCTTTCCTGAGTTTCCTGAATGTCCACCTGCCCCTGTCCATCAAGACTTGACTCTCTCACACTCGTCAAGATGGATGTGCCCCAGACAGAACTGACGACTGTCTTCTTTCCTCGCCAGTCTGTTCCTATTCACTTCCCAGCTGAACCAAGAAATGTCTGCACGTGAAGCCTGAAACATGGGCATTATTCTAGATTCAATCTCCTTCCTCACTTGACCCTCCCTCCCCACCTCCCACCACAGGCACACAGATCAAAACAAATATTTTCTAATTATTTTTCAAAGCGAAACCAATTTTGCGCTGGGCACCACCATACCTTCTCCAGCCCAGATCATTACCACAGCCCACCGCAGGACCCTTTGCCTCCAGCCTTCCCCCGCCAATCCTTCCCCACAGGGTGGCCACAGTGATTTTTCCTAAAATCATACGCCATCAGGCCACTATCCTGCCTCAATGTCCTGAGGCTCCTCCAAGCTCTAAAAATGACATCTAAATGCAATGCCTTCACAGTTTGCAAAGCTCTTATGTTTTTCCTTGCCTTCTCTCCCCGCTCTAACTCCCATCCAAGCTCTGATCATGTCTTTCTGTTGACACATGCCATGCTTCTCACCCCCAGGACTTGGCACATGCTCTTCTTCTTCATGGAAACACACTTTTTCTCCTCTTGGCCCAACTGACTCCTACTCATCTTCTAAGTGTGCCAGTCAAGATGTCAGTTCCTCTGTGAAATCTTATCTGCCCTTCCAGCCATGCTTAGTTTGTGTCTCATCATAGGACTTACTATGTTGGGTTTTAACTGCTTGTCTCAATGCCCAGATCAGTTTAGGCATGGCAAGGGATGGGCCATATCTGTCTCATTTATGGCTATTGATCCTGAGCCCAGCGCATTCTCACACACATAGTGGAGCTCAACAAGTATCCAATATCTGAACAATACTGAGATGCTAAAGCTCCCCTCACCCCCAACTTCATTTGTGGAGCGCAGGCCTCCTGAGGGGGATGACTGGGGTTCTATAAAGGAAGTAATGAGTGGGAAGGTGAGGACCCTGAACAATATGATGGCCATTCTACCTCAGGACCCCAAAACTCAAATCCACAAGAACAAGGCTTGGTTCTAAGCAGGGGCAGTCTGCTCTTCAGCACTGGGTGAGGCCAGACATGAACATAAAGCAGATGTTCATAGATGAAGAGGGCCAGGAAGGGATCCATGAAGCCACGCATTGCTCATGAATTATCCTCACTACTCTTTCCGTTTTGAGGCCTTGCCTCTTTCCTAATATGACTGTATTTCATGATTGCCCCAAAGAAAAATCAACATATTCAAATTATTCCAAAGCTTGTTTTATATAGAAATGTTTTTCTGAATTAAAATGCCATTTTCCCCTGCTATAATACGTTGGTTATGGAGACATTTTAATATGGTTCATTTTACTAATAATGATTTGTTTTCATAGTGTGTTTTAACTTTTTAAAATTTCTATTCCAAGATTTTACTAAACTCTACAAGATTAGCAGTTTCCTTGAATCATCTCCCCATTCACCACCATCACCAGGAAACACTTTAGCTTTAAATAAAATAGGTCTATGGTATTATTTTCCTAGAAATAAAAATCCTTATAAATGAAGTATTAACAAGGCTGAAGAAAAGGCATATCTTGATCAAAGGGTTTCTTACATATAAACTACATAAACTGTCATGTAACTGACTGATTTTATGAGAAGCTGAAGTTCAGAGTACTCGTCTCCTGGCTTAACAGTTGAATATTAAGATACTACAAATATTTGCTTCCATCATAGCCTACAAATTTGAAGATCAATTTGTCCCAATAATGCAATTCTGTGCCATAAGTATGTGGTGTAGTTATTTTTCCTTTATCATAACTTCCTAACTTTATGGAGTCAGAAATCGTACTTGAATGGTTCTTTCCTGCTATTTCCATCTTGAATTGGCACATTTCAAAGTGCTCCACAAACTACAACACATCTAGGGATTTAATTTGTGACTAGAAAACTTCAAAATATATCACATCTATTCTTGCTTTATAATTTTTTAAATAAATGCATTCCCTAAAGAGATATACAGTACTCTGAAAAAAAATTAAAGTCAAGGAGACTTTCATAAGGTTAGATTAAAAGGCAAGTTATGTAAACCGGGAAAAGGTGTCGTCCCATTAAGGAATAAACACTTAGCATTCCTTATCAACATATACAAACATTTAGCTAACTGTTCATATTTTAAGGCTCAGAAATAAAAATGAATTCTAAAAGAAAAATGAATTCTCCAATGTTTAAGCACTCACACATCAAATAAGAGCCAATTTTAGCTAATCCTGCGAAAAAGCCTCATTGGAGGAGTCCGACAAAATAATATTTTATTTTCGAAGTCCTATTTTTTATACCCGATTGACCCATAAATGTAGCTAACATATATAAAGCTTGGCTACCTTTACAGTCTCCTTATTAAAGGCACTCATCGAATATTTACATAAAATTAACTATGGTTTATCACATTTTGAAGCATCCAGGAACTATAAATAATTTAAGTTGACAAGTAAGATGTCAAAATCTGACTTCCTTTCTACTTCTAAGCATCAGTATGTTTTCATAGAGTGTTAAATACAGCTTTAAATCTGATGTGAAATCACAAGTTTCTATACATATTTGGCCAAAGGAAAACCTATGACATTTTAGTTTTATCAGTGAAAGACTATATTATCCTTTAGGTGTTAAGGTACAGACAACATAGTTTTGAGCTGTAACATTTGGGAAAATAGTAAGAATCTGCACGTGAATTTTCAAAGCACTGTTATATAAACCAGCAACTGCCCAGGCCTGAGTAGACGCTTCC
The DNA here is from genome assembly GCF_000001405.40 of Homo sapiens. Classification (NCBI taxonomy): domain Eukaryota; kingdom Metazoa; phylum Chordata; class Mammalia; order Primates; family Hominidae; genus Homo; species Homo sapiens. The sequence goes on along the minus strand of NC_000006.12, from coordinate 151,873,518 downwards.
AAGAGCCGTTCCTGCTCTGGCTTGTTCATTTCACACTTGTGCTCACTTCCTATCTGGGGGTAATTCCATAAGCTTGTCTAGCCAAATATTCTCTCTACCAAGGAAACCGAGTCTTCTAGGTACTGAACATCACATGCCAGGAAGTGTGTTATACATTGATTGTTTCATTTAACCCCCTAGGAACTTTATGAGGAAGGAATTATATTAATCCTATTATACAGATGCAAAATTATAATTGAAGTTTAAAAGCCTGATTTAAGCCACACAGCAAGCAAGTGGCAGATGGGTTTTGAACCAAGGTCTCCTTTCATTCCAGAAGCTGAACTCTTATGCATTCTAACAACCTCCATATATGGAAAGCCCAGCTTCTCCAAAGGGCAAGCTCTTCATTCAAGAATGGTATCTACTTTCCAGATTGCAATCATGCAAGGAATCTCTGCAACTGTCTGACCACCAAGTGTTCCGCTTCTTAGGAAGCTCATGTATAGGAAAGAAAAAGTGAGGAATTAACACAGCCAACCCAATGTTACTGTCTTCTATTTAACATATCTACGAGACAAATACTTACTAAGACCACACCAAAATTAAGTTATTTGGGCAATACTTTGACTTATATGACAAGGATGAAATGCACAGTCCAACTCCCCAGCCACAACGGTACAAGGGAACAGAAGTCTTGTCCTGCCTTACACTCTGAGAAAGATATTGACTTTCTGCAGTACCTAGTGTCTGTATCTACCCCAGCCCTTGACTCCTGAGTGATGCTTTGTCTTGGTAGGACCACCCACATTATCTACTGTAACCAAAGCAAAGAGGGAGTATGGGAATAGCAGCATAGAATTAGAAAACAGGTTCAAACAATGATATCATTGGAACTCACTAAAAGCAAAAAGAAAAGGAAGACTGGCAAAGAATTTGTTATAGAAAGAAGAATTCAAAATGTTTTTACACAAAAGTGGGAATGTATGATTGTCATAAAACATGAAGGATTAAAAGTATTCACAGTTATGCCAAGGAAAAAAAATCATACCAAAACATCTACTAATCATCTTTGAGTAGCAAAGTAGATGAGGCAGAGAGAAGATGTGAAGAAGTTTTCAACAGCTTTGCCAAATAGTTAGGGCTAAAGGGAGGAGGAGGAGAAAGTCAAATATTCTAATAGATTGTGCCAGGATATTTTGAAAATTGTTCATACCATTAATCAAAAAAAAGATCTGAATTGGGACAGGGGTGGCAAGAAGTCGTATGGAACAATTTAAAACCTGTTGATATGAGATTTCCGTCATAAACTCAAAGCGACCTCCCAGCACGCTGTTGTAAATACAGTTCTGAAGCTTGGAAGTTGTGTCAAAATGAAGTGGGAGACCATGTTCCACTTCCAACAAGTGGAAAGCAATTCCACTTCCAACAATTCCGCTTTGAGGTGTAGACCCAAAATAATTGAAAGCAGAAACTCAAATAGATATTTTTATACCCATGTTCATAGCAAAATTACTCAGTATACCCACAAGATGGAAATCATCCAAATGTCCATCAACAGACAAATGGATAAATAAAGTGTGGTCTATCCATACAGTGGAGTATTATTCAGCCTTAAAAAGGAAGGAAACTCTGACACATGCTACAACATGAATGAATCATGAAGACATTATGCTAAGTGAAATAAGCCAGACACAAAAGGACAAATATCACATAGATGCACTTACATGACGTACCTAGAATAGTTAAACTCACAGAGACAGAAAGTAGAAGAGAGGTCAGCAGGAGATGTGGGGAAGGGGAACTTGGAGTCATTGTTTAATGAGCACAGAGCTGGCCGGGCACAGTGGCTCATGCCTGTAATCCCAGCATTTTGGGAGGCTGAGGCGGGCAGATCACCTGAGATCAGGAGTTAGAGACCAGCCTGCCCAACATAGCAAAACCCCGTCTCTACTAAAAATACAAAAACTTAGCTGGGTGTGGTGGTGGGCACCTGTAATCCCAGCTACTTGGGAGGCTGAGGCAGGAGAATCTCTTGAACCCAGGAAGCAGAGGTTGCAGTGAGCCGAGATTGCACCACTGCACTCCAGCCTGGGCGACTAGAGTGAAACTCCATCTCAAAAAATAAAATAAAATAAAAAATAAGTACAGAGCTTCACTTTGGGAGGATGAAAAGTTCCGGTTGCACAAAAATGTGAATGTACTCAATGCCACTGAACCGTACACTTAAAAATGATTAAAGTAGTAAATTTCATATTATGTATATCTTATCACAATTTTATTTTTATTTTTAATATATATATTTTTAAATTTCAATAGCTTTTGGGGTACAAGTGGTTTCTGCTTTCATGGATGAATTGTATAGTTTACCACAATTTTTTAAAATGAAGTTGAAGGCTGGGTGTGGAGGCCTGTTTTCCAGGCACTTTGGGAGGCTGAGGTGAGGGCATCACTTGAATCCAGGAGTTTGAGACCAGCCTGGGCAACATAGCAAGACCCCAGCTCTACAAAAGTTTTTAAATTAGCCAAGTGTGGTAGTGTGGTCCTGTCATCCCAGTTACTCAGGAGGCTGAGGTGGGAGGATCACTTGATCCTAGGAGGTCGAGGTTGCCCTGAGCTGTGGTTGTGCCACTGCACTTCAGCCTGGGGGACAGAGTGAGACCCTGCCTTAAAAAAAAAAAGAAGAAGAAGAAGAAGCTGAAGATGTAGGAAGCATCTACATGGGGTGGGTCAAGAATAGGAATAAAGTTGGCCTGTTCAGATTCCCTTCTGTGCACCATGCACTGGGCCAAGGACTGGGTAGCAGCAGAACCCACATGCTTCCCATGGACCAGGTGCTGGGCTAGGTGAACTCAGCATTTTGCCTCATCTAATCATCACAAGCAATGAGTTAGATTACCCTAGTTCCCATGTTACAGAAGCAGAAAATGAGACTCCAAGAAGTTGACTCACTTGTTCAAGTTCTCTTGGCTAGCAGATGGCAAAGCCATGATTAAATCCAGGTCTGTCGCATTCACAAGTCTTTCAGGAGTGCCATGGTAGGGTTGGTGAAATAAAAAGAACTTGACGATGACTGAACAAGAGCACCTAAATATTAAGTTATATTTTAAACTATAATAAAAATATTATTCCCTGATGGAATTACTATATGGTATCATTGGGAGGGCATTTCAGAAGCAGTAATAAAACTATTTCCAGAACCCATGATTCCTAACACTTCCATAGTTATATCTCCCAAAATATGAAAGAGTAACCCAAAAAAAGTATTCATCAGTAGATTATGGCATATGCAAATCTTTCTGGAAAACCTTTCCACATACTCCAGAATAAAATAAAGAAAAAAAGAAAAAGTAGAAAGCAACGTATTAAGGAAATAAATAAGAAATTTATATTCTGTGACAGAACAACTGCAGTATTATGTTTGGAAATAAATTTTGACTCACATATTAAAGTGAATATCTCCAATTTACAGCCAATGCAATGAGCCAAAGAAAATGAAATAGGATTTGGCTGTCTCAGTGAACACATTCCTAAAAATCCAGTGAGGACATTCAATGTGCCATGATTTGAACTATTTCACAACCACATCTGTACACAATGGCATGCAAATAAAAATGGCATGCCTTAATAATGCATCCCAAATTATATTTTTACAGCTAGTCAGTTCTAGTTAATCTTGTCAGTGACAACCACCACCTCCAAGAGACATCTTACTTTTATTATTTAAAAGGAAGAAAAATATATTATTTGCATCTAAGTAAATTTTCAAAGAAAAAAAATTTTTAAAAAAGGAATTCTAGGAAAGAAATTTGTCCTGGAAAGTTTCTTTTTCTAAATAACACAAAGTGAAGAGGAAAGCCTCTATCTATTTGCCCTCACTAGACCCCAGTCTGTTGAAATTTTGGCCAGGGCAGTGACATGATCCCTTTTTTTGTCCAACCTCTAACTTACCATCTGCAAAACCACAATTGTTTTAAGCACCTGGCAAAGGATCAAACCAACAGCTGCAATAAAGGAAAACATAATGAAATCAGTGACCACCATCTCATTGTAATACCTCAGGGACAATGAACCGCTTTCAGTAATGCTTCTCAGGGCTCATCAAATAAGCAAGTGCTATTCTACAGTCCAGAAAAGGACTTTCTGAAATTGTTCCTTCTGGGACAACAGATAACCATCAAAGAGGAGAGAATTGTGACGACTGGTGTGATTACTTCAATGCCATGCAGCATTCAGCTCACCTGTAGACCCCTCTCCTTCACTCTGTTCGATTATTTCCAGAGAATTATCCAAGCTTTCCTCCCACTTGTACTCATTTGAAATCTAAACTATGGTGTCCAAAGTAGTAGAAACAATTTCCAAACTGTTCTTGTCCTAAGCTGAAGAAGCAAGGAAGAGGAAAATGATCTCGCAATCAGAGCAAGAGGGTAAAACTCAGAACCCTGAACAGGACTGTGCTTACTGCCCTGCCTTCCCAGACTCATAAATAAGTCCATTTTCCATCTTCCAATTTCTGGGCCATTTTGGTGCTTTGGGAGAAAATAGAAAAGACGGTTCACTAAGCTCTGGTGTGGGGGTGGAATATGCATGTCTCTCAAGCTGTCACACCTGAACGTTCCCTTGTACACTTTCGACCCTCTAAGTGCTTAATAAGGGGTTTCACTCATCTTCAGGAGTCCCCCCAAATTAACTTCGTAGGAGAAGTTCCTCCCAGGTATCCTGATAAGAGTAATGAAAATAAATTGTTCTATTGAAAAGACACATGCACCCATATGGTCATCAGAACACTACTCAAAATAGCAAAGACATGGAATCAACCCAATTGCCCATCAGTTATCCTAGATAAAGAATATATGGTATATCTACACCACGGAATACTACACAGCCATAAAAAAGAATGAAATCGTGTCATTTGCAGCAACGTGGATGCAGCTGGAGGTCTATCTAAGCAAACTAACATAGAAACAGAAAACCAAATACCATGTGTTCTCACTTATAAGTGGGAGCTAAATATTTGGTACACATGAACATAAAGACAGAAACAATAGACACTGGTGATAACTAGAAGTGGGAAGGAGGAACAGGGGCAAGGACTGAAAAACTATCTATTGGGGCCAGGCACAGTGGCTGACGCCTGTAATCCCACCACTTTGGGAGGCCGAGGTGGGCAGATCACCTGAGGTCAGGAGTTCAAAACCAGCCTGGCCAATATGGTAAAACCCCATCTCTACTAAAAATACAAAAATTAGCCGGGCATGGTGGTGTACGCCTGTAGTCCCAGCTACTTGGGAGGCTGAGGCAGGAGAATTGCTGGAATCTGGGAGGCGGAGGTTGCATTGAGCCGAGATCAAGCCATTGCACTCTAGCCTGGGTGACAGAGCGAGACTCCATCTCAAAAAACAAACAAACAAAAAAAAACAAAGAAAACAAAAAACTATCATTGGGTACAAAAAACTATCATTGGGTACTATGCTCATTACCTGAGTGACAGATTCATCCATATGCCAGACCTCAGCATCACTCAATATACCTTTGTAACAAACCTGCATATGTACCCCTGATTTTTAAAATAAAAGTTGAAAAATAAATAATATGCAAAAATAAAAAAGGATTAATGAACAAACACTTGGGTGCTTCTGAATCAATGTCAAAGGGTTCCTGTAGTACAAGATTAACACACGAATTCAGTCATCCCTGTTTTTAAAATTGGTTTAAGTCCACCTCAGAATAAGAAAACAAACTAAAAGACAGCCCGTCAGACCTAGAAATAACTACTAATTGTAGGTCCTTGAGGAATCGCCACACTGTCTTCCACAATGGTTGAACTAATTTACACTCCCACCAACAGTGTAAAAACGTTCCTATTTCCCCACATCCTCTCTAGCATCTGTTGTTTCCTGACTTCTTAATGATTGCCATTCTAACTGGTGTGAGATAGTATGTCATTGTGGTTTTGATTTGCATTTCTCTTGACCAGTGATGATGAGCTTTTTTTCATATGCTTGTTGGCAGCATATTTATGTTGTTGGCAGTGTAAATGTCTTCTTTTGAGAACTGTCTGTTCATATCCTTCACCCACTTTTTGATGGGGTTGTTTGTGTGTGTGTGTGTGTGTGTGTGTGTGTAAATTTGTTGAAGTTCCTTCTACATTCTGGATATTAGCCCTTTGTTAGATGGATAGATTGCAAAAATTTTCTCCCATTCTGTAGGTTGCCTGTTCACTCTGATGATAGTTTCTTTTGCTGTGCAGTTGTTCTTTAGTTTAATTAGATCCCATTTGTCAATTATAGCTTTTGTTGCCATTGCTTTTGGTATTTTAGTCATGAACTCTTTGCCCATGCCTATGTCCTGAATTGTATTGCCTAGGTTTTCTTCTAGGGTTTTTATGGTTTTAGGTCTTACATTTAAGTCTTTAATCCATCTTGAGTTAATTTTCTTATAAGGTGTAAGGAAGGGGTCCAGTTTCAGTTTTCTGCATATGGCTAGTCAGTTTTCCCAACACCATTTATTAAATAGGGAATCCTTTCCCCATTGCTTGTTTTGTCAGGTTTATCAAAGATCAGAGGGTTGTACATGTGTAGCATTATTTCTGAGGCCTCTGATCTGTTCCAGTGGTCTAGATATCTGTTTTGGTACCAGTACCATGCTGTTTTGGTTACTGTAGCCTTCTAGTATTTGACCCAGCCATCCCATTACTGGGTATATACCCAAAGGATTATAAATCATTCTATTCTAAAAACACACGCACACGTATGTTTACTGCAGCACTATTCACAATAGCAAAGACTTGAAACCAACCCAAATGCCCATCAATGATAGACTGGATAAAGAAAATGTGGCACATATACACCATGGAATACTATGCAGCCATAAAAAAGGATGCAATCATGTCCTTTATAGGGACATGGATGAAGCTGGAAACCATCATTCTCAGCAAACTAACACAGGAACAGAAAACCAAACACTGCATGTTCTCGCTCATAAGTGGGAGCTGAACAATGAGAATACATGGACACAGGGAGGGGAACATCACACACTGGGGCCTGTCAGGGGGTGGGGGGCTAGGGAAGGGATAGCATTAGAAGAAATACCTAATTTAGATGACAGGTTGATGGGTGCAGCAAACCACCATGGCACGTGTATACCTACGTAACTAACCTGCACATGTATCCCCAAACGTAAAGTATAATAAGCAAAAAAAAAGAAATAACTACTAGTCTACTTTCTTAGCTTAAATAACAATTTCTCCTAACAAATAAAAATAAATGAATGAATAAAACCTTTACAGGATGGTTGTTTAATAGAACAAATACAATCTATGCATAAGAAGAAATGTTCTATATTTATTTGCATGGTAAATTTAACTCAAACTAGCGTAGATGATCTGGAGCATTTCATAGTTCTTATGGTTGGGCACAGCTTCTTCGTTATTTGCTGCTTTGGCCCTGCACTCAGACAAAGAACTGTGTGAATATTAGACATTCAGTAAACAAAAGCAGGAGTGGTTTTAAGGTCTACACCACCTGGGCACCCACACAGCTCAAGTCGCAATGGTCATACTGCGCTGGCAGGAGAGTTATCTCAGATAGGATGCGCCCCACATCAGAAAGCAGAGTTCTCATTTCTCAAGGGTGTTTGGCTTCTCAAGCTGCATTCCATCCACATCCCATTCTAGCTGATGAGAAAAGAGAGCCCGGAAAAATCTAGCATCTCCGTTTCCTCCCCTCTCCAGAGCTAGCCTCAGGAAAGAAAACAATCCAGCTGTGTGGCCTAAACATGCTACTTAACATCCACAGGCCACACCCAGGTCCTCATCGGTGAAAGGAAAGAGATGTATCTGTTGTTCGTTAGTGCCCATTCAGTTCTAAACTTCAATTATTCTCTTTTCTCACTCACCTGAGGTCTATGTCTCCTTGTCGTCTGGCTTCTTGATGTCCCAGATTGGTGATCTTTTTACTGCTTTCAAAGAGTTTACCTAAATGTTGTAGCAGCTGCACTAAATTGCAGGAATATGGGCCTGTTTAGGGAATGTTAGCTGTTTGAGTCCCAAGCTCCATGCGATCCTGGGTGAAGCCCAGGTTACCCTTCTGGGATTCTTGATATGTCCGTTGATGACTGCTATACAACCCAATGAAACAATATATGCAAACCCTTTGTCAACTGCAAAACTTTGTGCCAATAAAAGGTATTATTACTCCATACTATGGACTAATATACAGCCATTAAAAATGAATGAGTGAGACCAATATGTACTTATATGGAAAGATCTCCAATACACATTATTCGATGAGAAAAGCTAGGCACAGAATAATGTGTAGAGCATAAGGTAATGTATGTTAACAAAATATCTATGTGTGGGGTGTGTGTGTGTGTACATATGTAATTTTCAGAAGAAATTGTTAATAGTGTTTACCTATTGAGAAAGGGACTGTAGATTTTTTAAATATTTTTTATTATACTTTAAGTTCTAGGGTACATGTGCACAATGTGCAGGTTTGTTACATATGTATACATGTGCCATGTTGGTGTGCTGCACCCATTAACTCATCATTTACATTAGTTATATCTCCTAATGCTATCCCTCCCCCCTCCCCCCACCCCACAACAGGCCCCAGTGTGTAATGTTCCCCACCCTGTGTCCAAGTGTTCTTATTGTTCAATTCCCACCTATGAGTGAGAACATGCAGTGTTTGGTTTTTTGTCCTTGCAATAGTTTGCTGAGAATGATGGTTTCCAGCTTCATCCATGTCCCTACAAAGTATATGAACTCATCCTTTTTTATGGCTGCATAGTATTCCATGGTGTATATGTGCCACATTTTCTTAATCTAGCCTATTGTTGTTGGATATTTAGGTTGGTTCCAAGTCTTTGCTATTGTGAATAGTGCCGCAATAAACATACGTGTGCATGTGTCTTTATAGCAGCATGATTTATAATCCTTTGGGTATATACCCAGTAATGGGATGGCTGGGTCAAATGGTATTTCTAGTTGTAGATCCCTGAGGAATCGCCACACTGTCTTCCACAATGGTTGAACCAGTTTACAGTCCCACCAACAGTGTAAAAGTGTTCCTATTTCTCCACATCCTCTCCAGCACCTGTCGTTTCCTGACTTTCTAATGATCACCATTCTAACTGGTGTGAGATGGTATCTCATTGTGGTTTTGATTTGCATTTCTCTGATGGCCAATGATGATGAGCATTTTTTCATGTGTCTGTTGGCTGCATAAATGTCTTCTTTTGAGAAGTGTCTGTTCATATCCTTCACCCACTTGTTGATGGGGTTCCTTTTTTCTTGTAAATTTGTTTGAGTTCTTTGTAGATTCTGGATATTAGCCCTTTGTCAGATGAGTAGATTGCAAAAATTTTCTCCCATTCTGTAGGTTGCCTGTTCAGTCTGATGGTAGTTTCTTTTGCTGTGTTTTCAGTCTTCAGATACCCCAGCAAAGAACAGAAGCTCTTTAGTTTAATTAGATCCCATTTGTCAATTTTGGCTTTTGTTGCCATTGCTTTTGGTGTTTTAGACATGAAGTCCTTGCCCATGCCTATGTCCTGAATGGTATTGCCTAGGTTTTCTTCTAGGGTTTTTATGGTTTTAGTTCTAACATTTAAGTCTTTAATCCATCTTGAATTAATTTTTGTATAAGGTGTAAGGAAGTGATCCAGTTTCAGCTTTCTACATATGGCTAGCCAGTTTTCCCAGCACTATTTATTAAATAGGGAATCCTTTCCCCATTTCTTGTTTTTGTCACGTTTGTCAAAGATCAGATGGTTGTAGATGTGTGGTATTATTTCTGAGGGCTCTGTTCTGTTCCATTGGTCTATATCTCTGTTTTGGTACCAGTACCATCCTATTCAACATAGTGTTGGAAGTTCTGGACAGGGCAATTAGGCAGGAGAAAGAAATAAAGAGTATTCAATTAGCAAAAGAGGAAGTCAAATTGTCCCTGTTTGCAGATGACATGATTGTATATCTAGAAAACTCCATCGTCTCAGCCCAAAATCTCCTTAAGCTGATAAGCAACTTCAGCAAAGTCTCAGGATACAAAATCAATGTGCAAAAATCATAAGCATTCTATACACCAATAACAGACAAACAGAGAGCCAAATCATGAGTGAAGTCCCATTCACAATTGCTTCAATGAGAATAAAATACCTAGGAATCCACCTTACAAGGGATGTGAAGGACCTCTTCAAGGAGAACCACAAAACCACTGCTCAATGAAATAAAAGAGGACACAGACAAATGGAAGAACATTCCACGCTCATGGATAGGAAGAATCAATATCGTGAAAATGGCCATACTGCCCAAGGTAATTTATAGATTCAATGCCATCCCCATCAAGCTACCAATGACTTTCATCACAGAATTTTAAAGTTCATATGGAACCAAAAAAGAGCCCGCATTGCCAAGTCAATCCTAAGCCAAAAGAACAAAGCTGGAGGCACCACGCTACCTGACTTCAAACTATACTACAAGAGACTGTAGATTTTTGAATGAGACCAGAGAAAGACTTTAACCTTTCATCATGTACAATGTTGTACTGCTTAACATTTAATCTTGTGTATTCATTTGCTGTTTTTTTTTAATAATCCATAAAGAAGAACTGTATACTTTAAAAATTTCAAGCCGACACCAGCCTGGCATCTACAATCTTCTTTTCTTTTCTCGTTCTGCTACCATCCCATCCTGTGGTTATTTCCCTACAACTCACAGACTAAGCAATAAACTTCACCACTAGAACCTTGTTAAGCAAGAGAAAACTACTACAGTTCTTTCACACAGAATAGGAAAAAGGCTAAGTGTGAGCTGTGTTTTCAGTCTTCAGATACCCCAGCAAAGAACAAGCAGCAGGTACCCAAACCGCAGGTGAACACCGCAGTCTGTTTCTGGTCTGATAGTCACAAATGTATTTGTAACTCTCCTCCCCAAGCTGGGCCAATTGCCCTTGGCTTTCAGCTCACCCAAACCTTTAGTCCTACAGGGCCTTGGTCTCCTCTCCAAATAAGAGGACGGAATTGTCCTTAACCTTCATGCTACACCTGGTAGGATATAAGGAGACACACAGGAGCATCCTAGTTTCTATCCATTGCATGGTAACAGCCCCATTTACCCTTGGCAACCAGGACTAACTCCAGCCAACTCTGTGGCCCCCATCTGTTGCCTGTTAACCTAGTGGGATGAGGAGCCAGCTATTATCAGGTGACACTCCTCACTTCCAATGGCCTTTCTGGAAGCACTCCTTTCCCTTGGAGAAGGCAACAGAACACAATGGTTAAGAGTCAGGCTTTGCAGTCGTACTAGTCAGATTCAACACTGGTTTTGTTTCTTACATACCTTGGTTTCCTCATCTGAAAAGTGAGATTAATTACAATGCTGACTGCTTCAAATTTTATGGAGGATTAAATGAGATGATGCATTCAGGACACGTAACATAGAGCCTGGAGCAGGGCAAGTATTCATTACACATTAACTATTATTATTAGATATTAAATCTCCAAACCAACAGAGCTCAAATTTGTAAGGACAGCATCTAAACCACAATACCCTCAAACCAGTTTATAATAACATCATTTTCTCAGTAAACAATCCATTTTTACCCTTAAGTAATTTTCTTCACATCATATAACTTGTTAGGCTACATTTATGCAGTCCATTGTAAATCATGCAAAACACTTGGTCCTACGCAAAAAATCCACTCCAGTCAGCATAAGGCTAATTGTCAGGGCTGAAACTATTCTAATGCTGGAAAAAGCAGGCAAAAAAAAAAGTGTAAGAATAAGAGCCATTTACTCAAGCCTCTGAACAAAATACATTCAAACACCTTTTTAAACAACCAAGAATTACAGTCTAAACTGTCCAGGAATGTGGGGAAGTCATAACATGCCTCTTCCTGAGACCCTAACCCAGATGAACAACTCACTTCTGGGCTTTGCAGTGAACGTGGTCACCTCTGCTGCCCGGCAGGTTAAAGGACAATGCTCATCTACAGTTTGAAGTGAGCCCAAAATGATTAAGCCAATCTGCGGAACAGAAAAGTACTCTGATTCCTGATTCATGCTACCTGAATTGTCCTCATTGCTTACAAATGAGAACAGGGAAGAGGAACTGTATTTTATTTAACAGAATATATTTCAAGAAGCATTCAATTTGATATAATTACCTTTTTGCAATCTATTCTCCTTCTACTGATTAATAATTTGGTGCCATTCCAAACTCCATTTTCAGGTAGCAATTATAAAGGTTATTATGAAATTTAGCTTTTTAAAATTTACTACAAAATGCTTGGCTTGTTTGGAAGCAGGGCCCCATTCTTCGGGAGTGTTCTCATGGAAAGAGACATAGCAGGCTGAATGGAAAATGCAGACTTACCCAGCCATGAGAGAAAGGATATTTTAATAATTTATACATCCAACCAAATTTAATTTAAAGTTGTTTACCTTTAATTCCATACTGTGCAAACTAAATACCACCTTTGTTATTTTTTAAAGTATATTTTAAGTCAGGGAAGGCCAGTTAAAAACACAAAAAAGGGCAATGTAGCAATCAAAGATTGCTAAGAAACTGTATATTTGAGCCCAAGGATACATGACCTCCGCTATCTAAAGCTTCGTGTTCATGAGGTTTAAAAAAACAAGAACAAAGCTTAGGTAAGAGGTAGAAATCCACAGGGAAGTTTTTAAATGTTCTGATCTCTTCTTTTGATTTTATAGCAGAAATGGTAACACATCATATAACTGGCTATGCTACATTTATACAGTCAATTGTAAATCATGCAAAATACTTGGCCCTATTTTCAGGTGCTGGCTATGAGAAAGAAATTTGTGTCTAAGAAGTAAGGTGCATGTTTCTTTTTGTGTCCAGCTTGTTTCACTTAACATAATGTCATCCAGGTTCATCCATGTTGTTGCAAATGGCAGGATGTCCTTTTTGAAAGCTGAATAATATCCCATTGTGTATGTGTGCATGTATATACATATGTACATGTGTGTATGTCTGTGTGTTTGTATATACACACATATATATCACACAATTATATATACATATATCACTCCCTCTATATATATCACACACACTATATACCTATATCCCACAATTTCAGGCATGGAATAGTGGAGAAAATAGAGAGGTATTGGTCAAAGGGTACAAAGTTGCAGTTATGTAGCATGAACAAGTCTAGAAATCTAATGTACAACATGATGACTATGTTTAACAATACTGTATTATACACTGGAAATTTGCTAAGAGAGATTTCAGGTGCTCTCACTCCATGCCCCCCAAAAATGATAACTAGGTGAGGAGATTGATGTTAATTAGCTTGACTGCAGTAATCATTTCATTATGTATATGTATATCAAAACATCTTGTACACCTTAAATATATACAATTTTATTTTTGAAATAATTAAAAATAATAAAGAGAAAAGTAAAGAAAGAAGAGGTAAAAGTGGATTTAGAAGCACAATAATTAAATGTTAAATTATTTTCTCTGCTTAGTCTCAGAGCAGAAAGATATCTATAGGGAATGGGATAGAGCCAACAAGAGGTAATGATGCCAATGATTCTTTACAGAGCACCTGTAGGTTAAGCATGAACTCTAATCACTACATCTATCCAGCAAGGTAGGAACCAGGGTGCCATTCACAATTGAGGAAATGGAAGTTCAGAGACATCAAACATAGTAGACATCAGCATCAGGGAGGGAGGTAGTGATTGGCTCACAATGATTTCACAGGGCGAGCCCCAGGGATCACCTCTGTACATGTTACTGCCTCCTGAGAACAGCTAGTTGGTCCAGAGGTGTGTCCCAAAGCTGGGCCAAGCAGAGTCCTTCTCTAATATTTGCTAACTGCAAGAATGCCACAGGAAGTCAACCCTGGCAGCTGTTGCCAACTCTGCTTCCCACCTTAGGGAAAATGCATACTTGCAGACAGAGAACGCGAAGCTGACACATGGAGAAGAGTGGCGGTAAGGCTAAGGTCCTCACAGGGTCTGAGTCCCTGGGTCTGTGATCACTAAGGTCTGGTTGCACCCTGCCATGTTTGCAGTTAGCCAAGACACGCAAGTAAACCTTCCATTGAAATCCATTCCTCTCTTTTACCCCCACCTCTACCCAAAGCTAGTTTGAATTGGATTTTGCTCACTCAAAACTAAAAGCCTTAACTAATATGTGAAATAATTTTTCTAAGACTAAACAGATAAATCGTAACTATTTTTCTATGGTGACATAATAATTTGTATAAAAATTTGATCTATAATTTGTAAAGCAAGTTCTCATGTAATAACCATTTTTATTAGCTACATGTTACAAATTGTGATAAAATATGATCTGGATTAAAAATTCAAAAATACATTGAAGGTAAAGAATAGGCATGCTATCTTGCATACAAGACATGAAAAAAATAAGGGAAAGAAAGGAAAAAGGAAAAGTTATTGAACATGAAGTCCTGTTTTTCTGACCCTTCCATATCTACTGCCATATTGGCAGGTACAAAGCAGATAGCTGCACAGTGACTACTCCTGTAGTTTTTCTTAGAAGAATGCTACTGTAACCTTACCCATAGCCTTTTAATAACAGTTCACCCCACTTAACTGGTAACTGAAACAAAGCCAATTATAAAGAAGGGAACAGCCTCTACTAAATCTTACAGAAGTAAATTGGTCTCCTCTGTTATTTCTTGGTAAATGATTCAGTCTTTAATTTCTACTCTTTTCATTTCAAATATACTATTAAGTATTTAAATAACCTCATACTGCACACTCTAAATCACAGTGATCCCTAATCCAGGTATAGTTCTAAGCAAAAGAGGAGTCCTAAACAAGATTGCACCAGACCAGTAATGATTGTTGTCTTGTTTCTAATTAAACAAAGCTAAACTCCTCAGGGAAAAAAAAATGAAGCAATGGAAAGTACTATTTTAATTCACAGATAAAATGCTTTAAAAAAAAAAAAAAAAACAGGAACGGATCCAAAGGCAGGGTAATGGGTCAGGACACATTCAAACAATCAAAGTGAGGGTCAGGCACTGTTTCCAGGCTGATGAGTCAGTGTATCTAGTCTATGTGTGTAGCATGCTCTTCACATGTGTGTAGACCTCATGGCTAGTATATGTGCAACTGCAATCAGTGACAGATCACAACCCAAAAAGGCTAGCTCTTCCTCTCTGGAATATAGAGCTAGGGTTAATAATCACTGGCTGCGTGACTGAAATATTTTACCCTTGCTGGTCAGGCCAGCAGCTGTAAAGACCTAGATTCCTGGTGGTACTCTATTATCAACACAGGCTTTCCTCTGCTATGATTTCTCAACAACCCAAAGGAATAATATTGTATTGGCCTCAGCTACCTGATGTCCACCTGACACAATTTCTCTTGGGCTCATGGATAATGAACGAAAGCTGAACTTGAGTGCAAATTTGACCTCTTGCAAACAGACAGTCAAAATGATTTGCAAATAAAGTGTAAAGATTTGGTAAATACAGAATAATCTTTCTGTACTGAGGGAAGAGTAAAAAAAAGTTAGTATATAATTAATCAATTGCAGCATGGATTTTTTAATGAAGTTTTTATTACAGAAGTAAAAGATGTTTACTGTGGAAAAATAAAAATACAGATATGCAAAAAGAACAAAATTTATCCATAATCCTATCATTCAGAGATAGTCACTGTTAATATTTTGTAGTACACATTTCAAAAGTCTATACCCATTGCAACTGGGTGTGGTAGCTCACATCTGTAATCCCAGCACTTTGGGAGACCGAGGCAGGCAAATCACTTGAGGTCAGGAGTTCGAGACTAGCATGGCCAACATGGTGAAACCCTGCCTCTACTAAAACTACAAAAATTAGCCAGGCATGGTGGCAGGCGCCTGTAATCCCAGCTACTAGGGAGGCTGAAGCAGGAGAATCACTTGAACCCGGGAGGCAGAGGTTGCAATGAGGCAAGTTTGCGCCACTGCACTCCAGCTTGGGCGACAGAGCGAGACTTGGTCTCGAATTAAAAAAAAGAAAAAAAAGTATATACACATTGGTGTGTGTGTGTGTGTGGGTGGGTGGGTGTGTTTGTGTGTGTGGGTGTGTTTATGAAGATATATATATACAGTGGCCCCTCAGGATCTGTGGGGGATTTGTTCGAAGACTCCTCAGACACCAAAATCTATAGATGTTTAAGTCCCTTATATAAAATGACATAATATTTGCATATAACCTACGCACATCATCCCATATAGCTTAAAACATCTCTAGATTATTTATAATACCTAATACAATGTACATTCTCTGTAAACAGTTGTTATATTGCTTAGGGAATAATGACAAGGAAAATCTCTGTATGTGTTCAGCACAGACACTACCATCCATTTTTTTCCAAATAGTTTTGATTTGCAGTCGGTTGAATCCATGGATGTTGAACCCACAAACATGGAGGGTGGACTGTACTTATGTATGGACTTATGTACGTGTGCAGCCATATATGAATACACACGCACACACAAAGTGTTTACAAGAAACTCTTGAATCAAACTTTTTATCTTGCCTTATATTCAGAAACAAAGTAGCCACCAAAAAAGCATTTTATAAGCAATAAATGTTACCCAGAGCCCTTCATGGTAGGGCAAAAATGTATCTTCAATCAGGAAGTTTGACACTGATGCCCTTACTTGGTCCAGTAAGGAGATGTGGGAACAAAATCAGAAAAAAAGAAGGGTACTTCATCCCCAAAGTTATGCTAGCACACACCTTGCTCTTCCAGCTCCTCCCCGGGATTTACAGAAAGTCAGGAGAAATGCAGTCAGAACAGGTGGCAGAGTGAAAGAAGCCCATTTCTGGGACCTAGATTCATATTTTGCTATTATCTCATGTGTTTACACCAAGTGCATCAATAGTACCAACCTTAAGAAAAAGTATTATATAGGGAGAAAGAAGGCGAGAGGAACTGAATCTTCCAAACACGTTGTATATAATTGATAAAAGCTGGCCAAAGCATTTTCTTCCTTCTCTGAGATCAGTTTTACTGCCACAATTTTAAAAATTCAAGAGTGTATCTAAGTGTATCATCTACTAATTGTTCATGTTGTGGAAAAGTTTATGTCAACTCTTAGAAGCAAAAGTCTCTAGCCATTTTTAAAAACATCCTTTCATAAATATCCCATAGAAGTAAAGCCAGAGGAAGAAAATCAAGAAAGTTGCAAACATAAAAATTATGGCGTATAAGCTAAGCCTACCTTAATAAATTGTAGCTTGGGACTAGTTGTTTCCCTTCATATCATAATAAAAAGTATCAAATACACTTACCTCCATAATAGCTACATTATCTATACCTACATTATCTATTGCTCCTCTTTAGGAGCATCTTTAGATTTTATTAATATCACTCCCATGTCAAACTTCAAAAGTAAGTTAAAATAGTACATCACTCACATCCTAGAAACAAAATATTATTCAATCTCTGGATGCAAAATAGATTTACTGCTAATGATGGTGAAACATATATATAAGAAATATGTTCGAATATATTACAAATAGTTTTTTTAAACCCACACTATTCTATTAGGTTGGTGCAAAAGTAATTGCGATTTTGCCATAAAAATACACAGTTATCACACATGCAGAATTGAGCATGCAATGACTAACGACAAATCACAGGCCACTTACAATTAAGTAGAACTCTCTTCATGGTTCTGTGGAAAGGTATCTATTGAAACACCACCTCCTCCATAAAGTCTTTGAGTTTAATCTAGAGCATTCTGTTTTCTCTTGCCTCTGAACTCATACCATTTTTTTCTGAAATACCCCTTTTTCCCATTATGCTGCTTTGAGGCATCACTTATAGTGCTGAATTTAACTCTTCTATTGTTTAATGTGCATTATCACAACCTTTCACCTTGTGTATAAGCAGAACCCTTAGCTGGATTTCAGGGTCTATGGATGATATATCTTTGCATTTCTCCTAGAGCTAAAATAAAATAGTCATTCAATACATATCTGTTACATTTTATTTTAAGTTTAAGTCTCTGAGCTCAACAAGTTAACCCTCTCTAGGGAAGAGAATGTGAAGAACTTCAACAGGGAGGTCTCTAGGTGTGGACAGAGTACAAATGTGCTATGAAGAGTGAAACAGGGAGAAATGAAAAATGAAGTGAAGAGAGCAAAAATGGGGCTGGCCTGCAGGCACTTGTAGAATAGGAAGAGTAATCAGCATGCTAGCAATCAGAAAACAAACAAAATAAAATAAAGAGAAAAACCATCTCCATGGTGATTATAATATACCATCATGGCTTAACTGGTTAATAGTGGTGGCAAAATATACTTTTAAATTATTTTAAAACGAGCCAGGCACAGTGGCTCACGCCTGTAATCCCAGCACTTTGGGAGGCCAAGGCAGGAGGACCACTTGAGGTCAGGAGTTAGAGACTAGTGTGCCCAACACAGTGAAACCCCGTCTCCACCAAAAATACAAAAATTAGTTGGGTGTGGTGGCCCATGCCTGTGGTCCCAGCTACTCTGGAGGCTGAGGCAGGAGAATCGCTTGAACCTGGGAGGCAGAGGTTGCAATGAGCCAAGATCGCACCACTGCACTCCAACCTGGGCAACAGAGAAAGACTGCGTCTCTAAATAAATAAATAAATATCATTTTAAAACGAAATCCCTTATTAGTAACTCTGAGGTGTCAAAAGCACAAAATAATTAGGAATTTATACTATTTTATGAACTATAATTTATCTTTTATGATGTATAAGGAAAAATATTGTGCACAGCACTTAATGAAATGCCCTAAAGTGATGCAGGCATTCTTTTAAATCATTGCACTTAATACAAAAGTTCATATTTATAAACATAATCTAGCCACCCAACCTTGGGTGCTAATTTAGAAATTCTCTACTCATTCACTCTGTACTTCCTAATACATGATTTTGAAACTGCCACACTAATCAGAGAAAGATGATGCTTATTTGGATAAAATTGAAAGTCCACATACTCTTTCCCCAGGAAAACAGAGAGAACGAGTGCTTATTACAGAAATAAATTGTAATTTAATAATTAAGTTGTTTTGTCTTTGGTTCCTTCATTTCTTAGCAACTGAAAAACTGAAATGTCTTTTTATTTCCGCTAAAGGAAAATGGAAATATGAGGAAAATAATAGGAGTGCTTTCCCCACTATGTTCTTTTCTCAGGTAAGCCATATCTTTCGCTTAAAAAAAAATCAAATCTGCTCTCTAACCCACACGTAAGTGGAAAATTAACAGAGTAGCCAGAACAAGTTTTACAAAGTAAATGTTAGACTTATGAAATAGATTTTCCTTACATGTTGTTATTTTTCAGCCAAATAGCCAGGCAAGCAGGTTACAAGATAACCTATATAGTGCTGACATAGTGTAGTATATAGCTTAAAATTAGCAACCTACGTCTAAAATACTCATTTCTCTGAATGAGTATCAGAGATACAGACCATTCTCTTTAAAAGGATATAAAGCTACTGACAACAGTTCTCTATGAAAAAGAGAGAAATTTGGTGGAATTAGGCCACGAACCATGGTTGTAAGAACAGTGTCAGCACATAATTTTGAGGACGAGTTGATGCCTTTTGAAAATGTGCCCATTAAAACCTATCTATAATTTTTATGGGAAATTATTGCCACTGATAAACAAAGCTTTCTAATGGAATTGTTGATGAGCTTAACAACCATATGTGGGCACAAACTCTACTACTTTAATGGAAATAGTCAATGGCATGACCAGGACAGAACCACTTAGTAGGGAAATTGGAAATTTAATTTTGATCAGATGAACAAAAAATGAAGAAAAATGCTTGAAGTGGTAGCAGAAAAAACACCAGCGATTAAAAACATTTGGAACCTTTGCTTACCCTTCAAAGGCATTTGTTGCCATGGTTTTTCAAGACCTCTGAAAGCTTCAGCTGTGTCCACAAAAGCTGCCAAGAAATAGGGGTTCTATACTGATTTTATTTGTCAGAGGCATTTTTGTCTTAATTATCTCCAAGATAAAGATGACTTAGCCAAAGGGAGAGGAAAAAAGAAGAACTACTGTCATTTCACAGGTTGAAAGGCTGTGATTTAACTCTTCTGAGTTCTTCAAATATATGCGTGCATGTGTGCACAAACACATCTAAGTTTCACAGGATCGCATTAACCACTAACAAGCACTTAACACTGGGGATGTCATTCTTACATGGAATGAGGTTTTCAGGCCTTGACTTTCATGGTGTGTCTTTCTATTTCTCTGATGAGAAACAGTAGCCAAACACCTAGCAAATTTACCAATACCTGAAGTTAATGCCCGCCTTTCTTTCTCTTTCTTTCTTTTTCCTTCTTTCTTTCTTTCTCTTTTTTTTTTTTTTTTTTTTTTTTTTTTTGAGACGAGTCTCACTCTGTCGCCAGGCTGGAGTGCAGTGGTGCAATCTCGGCTCACTACAACCTCCACCTCTCGAGTTCAAGCCATTCTCCTGCCTCCACCTCCTGAGTAGCTGGGACTACAGGTGCACACCACCATGCCTAGCTAATTTTTGTATTTTTAGTAGAGACGGGGTTTCATCATGTTGGCCAGGATGGTCTCAATCTCTTGACCTCATGATCTGCCTGCCTCAGCCTCCCAAAGTGCTGGATTATAGGCATGAGCCACCGCACCCGGCCATGACTTTCTTTTAAAAAGTTTCATTGCAAAGGCTTTCACTTGAAAATTACATGACAGCTCATATGTGTACACACTAAAACTCTGCTGCCCTCAGCCTCCATAGTCATTTCTGTTGCACAGTATGTATGTTAACACATGATGGAGAGTAAAACACGTAAGTAGAAATAAGGGAAGGATTATGCAAGCTCTGGGTCCGAAAAGGAGGCTATGAACTGCCACAGTATAAATAATCTGCAAAAAAAAAAAAAAAAACACCTGCTTGGTTCTTGTTTGGACATCATAAAAATGCTTATATTTGTTTCTGCAGTTTACTATTTGTACAGCTTAATGTGCTGGTAGCAGGATGTTCTTTCTGAATTGTAAGCTCCCAGAGAGCTGCATTTGGCCCTGTAGGACTAATTTATCATTTTCCTGTTTAGAAGGGCTTTGCACATACACTTTTTATAATAAGAGTGTTTCTTACAAGGTTTGGTAAGATTCAGGGAATGCTTATATTATTATGAAAATCAAGAGGAAGGTTTTAGAGTTATTTCTCCATTATTAATAATGTGCAACCTTCAAGAAGTATTCAGACCATTCTTTTCATCAAGTTTCTTTAAAATTAATTGAGGAAATTAATTCAAATCCCCACCCCTGGAATATCCGCAGAGAGCTGATTCTGTTTCTGTGGCTGCTGGATAATTCCATCTGGACATCCAGCTATCATCTCAAATGCAGCATGTCTAGAATTGAACTTATCCTACCCCCTGATGACTGGCCTTCCTCTTGGTGACCAAGTCATTCATTTCTCAGTTCATTCAGTCTATGTCTGAACCTCTTTAACTCTTTTATCTCCTGGATAACCCATATTTAATTACCTTCAAGCAATGTATATCCTTTCATTATAATATCCTTTATTCTATTCCCCTTCTTTCCATTTCACAAATACCAAAAAGTACAGATTTTTAGTACATCTAAGCTAGTTGAATATCAGCCAAATTGGTCTTCACGCTTTGATTCTTTCCCTTCTCTGGTCCCTCCTATATACCTCTGCCAGATTAATCTGCATTAAAGACTCTTTCATCAGCCGGGTGCGGCGGCTCACGCCTGTAATCCCAGCACTTTGGGAGGCCAAGGCGGGTAGATCACCTGAGGTCAGGAGTTCAAGACCAGCCTGGCCAACATGGTGAAACCCCGTCTCTACTAAAAATATAAAAACTAGCCAGGCATGGTGGTGGACGCCTGTAATCCTAGCTACTCGGGAGGCTGAGGCAGGAGAATTGCTTGAACCCAGGAGACGGAGGTTGTTGTGAGCTGACACAATGCCACTGCACTGCAGCCTCAGTGACAGAGTGAGACTCTGTCTCAAAAAAAAAAAAAAACTCCTTCATCATACCTCTCCCATGTTGAAAAAGTATAATGTTTTTGTGTTGCTAAAGCCCACAAACTGATCCTAATTTCCATTTATTCTTTTATTTATTTATTGAGTGACTCTGAGAATATTGGGCCCTCACCTTTAAGGACTTTACAGTCAGTATGGGACAGAACATGGGCAATCAAATATATGCAATACAATGGAATAAACTAATATCGAGGTCCCAGGAGAGAGAGAATTTCTGCATTATCTTCAGGGGCTTAACAACAGTCACTTTTGATTAGGGTTCGAAGAATTTTTACAGGTAAATCTGGAAAGAAATTCCCAGCAAAGAAATGGAATCATCATATTTGTAGAAGAACAAGGAATTCACTGTGTCTGGAGTGCCTATTTCACAAGTAAAAATGGTGACTTTAAAATGACTAGAAAGATAGGCTAGAACAAGATTGTGGCAGTCCTTGAACTCTTGTTTAAGGACCATTCCATGGGCTATGGAGGTCATTAAAGGATCTTGTACTGCGTATTGACATGATCAGTGATTTGCTTTATGACCACTAATAGAGTGGCAATGTGCAGAATGTCTCGCAACAAGAAAAAAGACATAAGCAAACGGCTTAGATGAAGGAGAAGGCAAATGGAAACAATAAATTATTGCAAGCATCCTGGTGAAAGGTAATGCAGCTAACTCAGCAATGGTAAGTGGATGAAAATGCATTTAAGGAGATAGACTCAATAGAGCTATGCAACAGCTCTGGAAACGTCAGAGCCAGAGGCTGCAATAAGAAACAATGGAAATAACTAACTCCCCAGTTTGAAGTACGGATGCCGGAGGGAGTGGCAAGGGAACTGTCACACACAGCAGGCAGAAGGAGGGGCTGGTGGCAGAGGGAAACACAGGGGAGTCACTGAGAAAATCAGGCTGGGGCAGGAGCTAGGAGCAAGATTTGGGAGATATTGGTGCAGCTGTAACACTTTAGGCCCCAAATATTATGTTATTATATTAGTTTCCTAGGCACCAGCAATCTTTGGTGTTCCTTGCTTTGTAGATGTTTCTCTTCTGTCTCCTCTCTTTCTTTCTCCTTCTCTCTCTCTCTCTCCTCCCTCTCTCTCCTCCCTCTCTCTCCTCCCTCTCTCTCTTCTCTCTCTCTCTCTCTGTTATCATATGACATTCTCTTCTCTGTGTTTGTGTCCAAATTTTCTTCTTATTCTAAAGATATCAGTCACATTAGATTAAGGGCCCATATACTGAAGTATATACTGGAAGTATACTGTGGGTTACACCACAGTATAACTTCACCTTAACTAATTACACCTGGAATGACATTATTTCCAAATAAGGTCACATTCTGAGGCACTGAGCATTAGGACTTCAACATATCTTTCTGGGAGACACAATTCAGCCTGTACCAGACATATATATATAATTTTGTATATATATATAAAATTATATATATATAATTTTTTATATATATATAAAATTATATATATATAAAATTATATATATATATAATTTTGTATATATATACAAAATTATATATATATATATATATATATATATAATTCCCTAGGAAACTAGGTGGAAAGAGAAGGATGAAGAAGAAAAAGAAGCTGAGATTGAAGACAGGACCCTAGAGAATGCCCACTTTAGAGAGCTGAGGAGCAAAACAGAAGGAGAGGACAATAAGCCGTGTGTTCTCTCAAAGCTGGCTTACTCAATTTCTCAATACTGTTTCACATTTCTGGAATTTTCCTCCAAACTACCATTTATTTGCATGCTTATATCAAATGTACCACTTGCATTAACACTTCTCTTACCAACCTAACCCAGTGACATTTCTTCCTTCTCAGAGAGCCTCTAGCAGTTTTTATCTATCATTATTATTTTTTTTTTTTTGAGATGAAGTCTCACTCTGTCGCCCAGGCTGGAGTGCAGTGTCGCGATCTCAGCTCACTGCAACCTCCACCTCCCGAGTTCAAGCAATTATCCTGCCTCAGTCTCCTGAGTAGCTGGGATTACAGGCACATGCCATCACAACTGGCTAATTTTTGTATTTTTAGTAGAGACAGGGTTTCACCATGTTGGTCAGGCTGGTCTTGAACTCCTGACCTCGTGATCTGCCCATCTCAGCCTACCAAAGTGCTGGGATTATAGGCATGAGCCACCACATCCGGCTATCTATCATGACTCTGACCCTTCGCCATATTCTACTATTTAGTAGGGACGTGCCCAACATGACTAAAAGCACTGGAGCTATAGCAACAAACAATGCTGAACAGAAATCAGCTATCACTGAGTTTACATCCAAGTTTGCACGGTACCTGATGCAGACAGACAATAATCAAACAAATGAATAAATAGGAAAACTTCATAAGAATTTGAGAGCTGTAAAGAGAAGTAAGAGTAGTATTACTCGTGGAAGGGTAACACTACTTCTGAGAAAGTGACTTTGGGCAGAATCTGAATGACAAGAAACCAGCCAAGTAAAGATCTGGGTATTTCAAGCAAAGGGAAAAAGGGAACCACATGTGCTGAGATCCTGAGGAAGGAACATGTTGGCGTGTTGGGGGGAATAGCAAAAAATAAATAAAAATAAAAGCTGGTGTGCCTGGAGTACAGTGAATGGGGGAGAAGGAATAGGAGAGAGAATATGTCGAATGTTTTCAGCTGCAGAAGGAAAATTTTTCTCTTGAGAGTAAGATTTACACTGAGAGCTGTAAACTCAAGACCATAGGACCTGATTAATATATCTAAAATATCTCTCCTGCTGTTGCATGGAAACTGAATCGTATAAGAGCAAGTGTGGAAATACGGAGACCAAAGAGTTAGGATCCCAATTGTATCTCTGAAAAGATAAAACAGTTACATGATGGGCGGGCAGCCTCCACTTCTACCCCATTCTCTAACCTTTTCCAGACATAGGGGCATACATCAAGCCAGAAGGTGACCAGACACAACTATGAAAATAAATGTAAGAACCAATCCACTTTAAGTGAACAAGAGTGAGTCCCCAAGCCCAAAAGAACTAAGATCTCTTTTTTTTTTTAAATTTTTTTTTTTTATTATACTCTAAGTTTTAGTGTACATGTGCACATTGTGCAGGTTAGTTACATATGTATACATGTGCCATGCTGGTGCGCTGCACCCACTAACTCGTCATCTAGCATTAGGTATATCTCCCAATGCTATCCCTCCCCCCTCCCCCGACCCCACCACAGTCCCCAGAGTGTGATATTCCCCTTCCTGTGTCCAAGTGATCTCATTGTTCAATTCCCACCTATGAGTGAGAATATGCGGTGTTTGGTTTTTTGTTCTTGCGATAGTTTACTGAGAATGATGGTTTCCAATTTCATCCATGTCCCTACAAAGGACATGAACTCATCATTTTTTATGGCTGCATAGTATTCCATGGTGTATATGTGCCACATTTTCTTAATCCAGTCTATCATTGTTGGACATTTGGGTTGGTTCCAAGTCTTTGCTATTGTGAATAGTGCCGCAATAAACATACATGTGCATGTGTCTTTATAGCAGCATGATTTATAGTCCTTTGGGTATATACCCAGTAATGGGATAGCTGGGTCAAATGGTATTTCTAGTTCTAGATCCCTGAGGAATCGCCACACTGACTTCCACAATGGTTGAACTAGTTTACAGTCCCACCAACTAAAACCATAAAAACCCTAGAAGAAAACCTAGGAATTACCATTCAGGACATAGGCGTGGGCAAGGACTTCATGTCCAAAACACCAAAAGCAATGGCAACAAAAGCCAAAATTGACAAATGGGATCTAATTAAACTAAAGAGCTTCTGCACAGCAAAAGAAACTACCATCAGAGTGAACAGGCAACCTACAACATGGGAGAAAATTTTCGCAACCTACTCATCTGACAAAGGGCTAATATCCAGAATCTACAATGAACTCAAACAAATTTACAAGAAAAAAACAAACAACCCCATCAAAAAGTGGGCGAAGGACATGAACAGACACTTCTCAAAAGAAGACATTTATGCAGCCAAAAAACACATGAAGAAATGCTCATCATCACTGGCCATCAGAGAAATGCAAATCAAAACCACTATGAGATATCATCTCACACCAGTTAGAATGGCAATCATTAAAAAGTCAGGAAACAACAGGTGCTGGAGAGGATGTGGAGAAATAGGAACTCTTTTTAACAGAGCTCTACAAAGCAGATGAAGCCAGCTAAATGGGCTTGAGTTCTTTAGCAAATAAGTGCCTGCTTACCGGCCACAGCTGTTAAAGGAGCTATCCAGGGTGCTGGACTGTCTCACCCTGAAGCTTTCTAAGGCCTGGTGGATCAGGCTCTCAGTTATACCTGTAGGACCTAAGGTCCCCACTGCATTGACCCATAACCAGACTCTACCCTGATACCATGTCTTCCTGGCCAAAGATCATCTGTAAATCAATACTTGCCTGGGCTATGTCTGTCTGATCTGATGAGCAGCTTCTGTTGGCACCTTATAGAAATAATATAAAATGGCAACATAGCTAGTGGTGTATAGGTAGGCCTGAGCCCCCTCTACGCCACACAACCTTCTGAAATAATAATGAAAGAGAAGCAGTGAGCTCAGTGGAGTCCTTTTTCCTTGAAGTAATACTCAAAGGTAGTATCTGGCTGCTGAAGCTACAACCAGATCTGCTTATATAACTCATCCCAGGGACTCTGTCTAAAACACATCTTAAGGAACACTACTTCTATGCCTGCAATGATTAATAAACTCATAAAATATCCAATTTTGCCCCTTCTGACTTAAATAGCATCCTTCACTTTGCTTTTTAAAAAGAATGCGTTTCACTGGAGGCCATTACTCAATCTCTTAAGTAATCAAGTTTGTACACTAAGTAGTGGATGAAAATTTGTATGCTTTCAAGCCAAACACTTTACCTCTTCAACCAAAACACTTAGAACATGAGAATAATCTGATGTACACTCATTTCTAGCTCTCTTCTTAAGTAACAAGGAAAACAGGGAGAGCTGCGGCATCTTCAGAACTTCCCACCTACGTGTCAGACCCTTCACCATCCTTAAATGTGTTTGAGGGGCAGTGTGATTTATAAAGAGTCACAGACAATTTCAGCAAAAACTTTTTAGTTCCAAGTTATCAAGACTATGATGAGAAAGCAGAACTAGAAACCCTTAAACTTGTTGTGGTATTTCCCTTTTATACACACAAACAAATCAAATACATGGAAATGCTTTTAAAGTATAAAGGAAATCAATTACTTGGTTTTTACACAGTCTAGGATTAAATCCATGGCCCAGAAATGTCTTTGTTTAACAGTACATTAATTTTGTTAAATATTACGCATAGAATTCCCCGCGCTCTGCCTTTCCTCCTGGTCTTCACTCATGGACTCATTCACATGGCTAAACATGCATTCCCTCCTTCTTCACCATGCTCCCTTGACTCACCCTCCAGATTTAATCAGGAAACCTCTGATAGCCAGACTCAACCACCACCAGGACTGAGTGGAGTTTGGATCCTATAAGACACTGCCTTCACCTCTATCTTGACACCATCATCTAATTGCTGGTTTATCAGTCTGTATCCCCCTTTACCTCACAAGTTCTGTGAGGGTAGGGACCAGGTTTTTCTATCATTGCATTTCCAGGGTCTTGCATAGGGCTTTGTTAGTAAAGCTAGTCAATGAATAAGTGAATGAATGAAGAACTGAATAATTTTAAGGTTCCTCCCTATATCTAAAAGTTAATAACTCTGCCTTCTTTCTAGGCTTCTTCCAGAACTTTGGACTCAATATTTATCCCATTTTAAAAGCCTAAGATAAGTGACTTCACACTATGATACACAAGAAGTTTCTGAAACCAAGTGGAATTGCATTTTTATAGGCTACTGTTTCAGTAAAATTCTACTAGCTGGTCTGCGTATACAAGACGGCGATAAGAGGTTTTTGTTAGTGGTGGTGGTGTTGTTTTGTTTGTTTTTTGAGATGGAGTCTCACTCTGTCACCAGGCTGGACGGCAGTGGCATGATCTCAGCTCACTGCAACCTCTGCCTCCCAGGTTCAAGCAATTATCCTGCCTCAGCCTCCCAAGTAGCTGGGACTACAGGTGTGCACCACCACGCTCAGCTAATTTTCATATTTTTAGTAGAGATGGGGTTTCACCATGTTGGCCAGGATGGTCTCGATCTCCTGACCTTGTGATCCACTCGCCTCAGCCTCCCAAACTGCTGGGGTTACAGGCCTGAGCCACCACGCCAGCTGAGATACTTGTTTTTAACTATCAAAGAGTAAGCAGACATTTTTCAAAATGTTTGAACTTGAGATAATGCCATACCAATGAAACATCTCACACTGTATTCGTTGATTTTTAGAAATATATTTTCCTTCTGTTTTTTCTGTTCTTAATGCTTAGAGACAATACTAAATGTTATGGGAATTTATATAATTTTATCTTAAATGCTGAACAAAAATGATGTAAAAAATTTGTGAGAATATTGCCATTGTTTCTCGGAGGAAGATCATTTCCACTTTCAATCTTAATAATTTTAATTTATAACTGGTATTTTCATTTCTTACATCTCTCTATTGTTTTCCTTATCTTTCTCATACAGGTAACACTTTATCAATACTGACTTACTTTCTGATTGTATCATGAGAACAAGTACATTTACTTCCTCAAATAAATTTCCTAAATACATTTTAAATTTTGTGGTATTATGGATTATGTCTTACACTTTTTTTTTATTTCTCTCGGAACATCTAATCAGGTATAGAGTAAGTTCTCAGTAAAATGTGAATAATCAAAACTTTAGATTTAAAAATCCCCTATTCCCTTCCATAAATAAAGGTATTTAGATCAGATAAATAAACATTAAATCAGGGATCGGCCACGGGCCAGGGCTGATCTGTTACCTATTCTGATAAATAAAGTTTTATTAGCACATAATCACTTCCATGTGTTTACAGGTCACCTTACAGGCTATAATCCAGTTCGGTAGCTGCAACAGAGACTGCATGGCCCTTGTAAAGCCTAAAATATTATTATCTGGCCCTTTACAGAAAAACTTTGCCAACCACTGCTTCAAATCATTTTTACTGATGAGGAAACAGTCTCAGCTCAATCCATCCAGTTGTGCAGTTAGACCTATCTACTAACCATACCTCTGTCAGACGCTCTTTCACTGCCAAATTAAATGCTTGGTAAAAACAATGGTATTTTAGATTATATAAAATCAAATAAACAGTAAAACCACAAATTAAGAGAGTTGTCAAAACACCTCTAAGGGCTTATACTAACCTAAATCAAAATATAAATGTCATTTTTTTCTGAATTAAAATAGCATCATCTAATAAAATTAAATAGCCTGTGTGCATATATATATTTATATATGTTTAGAAAAATAATAAATATATTAACTTACATTTAGAATTTATTTCTATATATATACACACACAAAGATTACTATTGAGAATATCATTAATTGTATAAAAATACCAACAAAAAAGTCCATGTGTCTCACAGCAGAGTTCTAAAAGATGTTAAAAGCAATGTGTCGAAGAAAATGCTTTTAAAATAGACCATGTTGACCTCACATGCTACTCGATTAAGATATGAACAGCTTTTAAAAAAAAAAAAAAAGTCCCACTGGCAACGGAAGGAAAAATAAATACTATATACCATCCCCCAGCTTTCATCTCATATCAGGGCAGGAAAGAGCTATCACAGAAAGTCCATGAGAATCACTTCTTCAATCAGTGTTTATTAACTTAGCGGACTCTGGTTTTCAACAAGTTACTTAAATCTGGGTTTTTGTAGAAGGAATCACATGAAAACTCCATCAGAAATATTCTTAGTGTTTATACTAACCTTCACTTAAGCTGAAAAGGTAAAGAATAAGAAGAGAGAAAAATGCCCCACACTTAAGATAAAAAATGAATTTGGTTAGCCTAAGCTGCTGTCAGATCTCTGTTCCTATCAGATAAAGGATATTCAGCATAGGTATTTTAGGTAGTAAAAATGATTAGTGTTTCCCCAGGGTATCCTATTATAATGCAATAATAGAGACATTTCTGGAGTAGAAATAAAGTATAGCTCTCCGTATATTAGCTATAATTGGCAAACTATAGACAAGAAAACAATGGAGGCAGGCGGGAAAATGAAATGCTACAGGTAGATACTTAATAACTGTTTGATAAAGATGATATCTCCCCATTACAAGACACCAACCACTGAGTCAGCTCATAGCAAAATATCCTGTCATCCATTGAGACAAGAAAGAGATGGAAGAGAGAAAGGGGAGAACAAGCTAAACTAGAACAAAACAGAATATTTGCCTGGACAAGGCCTGAGTAGAGAGATAATTATGCATGGACAATTAACAGCATATACCAGATCATATAGGCAAAGTTGCCTACCAAACATGAATGTCCATCTGGCATTCCCCAGTCAGGGCACAGACAACATTTCTTTTTTCCTCAGAGATCCAGCTAGTGGAATTCTTCTGTAGAGTTGCTCAAGACTGATTGAGTCTTGCCAAAGGAAGGAAGCGGAATTACTCAGCCTCAGCTGCCCTGCCATGTGTCAACTCCTTCTCCTGAGATCCTGTCTCTTCTCCATGTTTCTACCAAAGATACTAGTGGACCTACTAGGGATTCATGTTTTGTACAAATGGCTGATTCTATGTCTTCCTTCCTCAGTCGCTTTGGCTCTTAGGATCTGCTCATAGGATCAAAAATAGAAGTCGTTTTCAACACACTATTACCTTGAATACTTCTCTTGAAGAAGGCCTTGCAGCCCTCACAGGACCAGACTCCATAATGGTAGCCTGAAGCATAGTCATTGCACACTGCACAGTAGCGAGTCTCCTTGGCAGATTCCATAGCCATACTTCCCTTGTCATTGGTACTGGCCAATCTTTCTCTGCCACCCTGGCGTCGATTATCTGAATTTGGCCTGGGGGGAAAAAAACAGTAAATCCATTAACATTAGAAAAGCAAAACATGCACTCTCTGGGAGATGCAGCAGATCCACTTTATCCTGACATTTTGAAATAATGAATCATAATGTAAGCTAATCTTTCATTACCTCTTGCCGTCTGTTGCAGCAAAAGGTGTTGCCTATTATATTAACCTTGAGGGGAAATTGTTTATTGCAAACTTGTTTTAAAAACATACTACCTGCACCAGAATATGTTACCTATAAAAATGACAAAATGAAATTAGCTGGTTTCTAATAGACTTAATGTTTTTGCAGGAATATACAATTATTTCAGAACCATTAGAGACCAATGCTCATCCCAACTCTAGACCACACTCAGGGTCTCTGGGAAACAGAGACAAAGCATAAAACAGCTGGGACATTTGGAACTCAGATGAACTGATGGACAACACAGAACATGTGTCAAAAAAATAACAATTCAAATTTTTACGTCATTGCCACATAACCCTGGATATCAGTTTTTATAACTTGAATAATGTAATTTGAAAATACTGTTCTTCAATATTCAAAACTCCTCTTTAGGAACATGTAGAGACTGAGCATGGTGGTTCATGCCTGGAATCCCAGCACTTTGGGAGGCCAAAGCAGGAGAATTGTTTAAGCCCTGTAGTTTGAGCCCAGCCTGCACAATATAGCAAGACTCCATCTCTATAAAAATGCTTCTTAAAAAAATTAGCTGAGAATGGTGATGTGTGACTGTAGTCCTAGCTACTTGTAAGGCTGAGGTGGGAGAATCACTTGAGCCTAGGATGTCGAGGCTGCAGTAGGCTATGATTGATCATGACAACTCCAGACTGCGTGAAAATCAGAGGAACACAGAAAAAAAAAATGTAGAAAGAGAGACAATCAGAGGAACACAGAAAGGAAACTGAAAATGAACAGTAAGAAAATTCTAGGAAAACCAAGAAAATAAGGAAGTAAAATGCTTTAAGAAAGTAGAAAGCTAAAAAAAAATGTAGGAAGAGAAGAGGAACACAGAAAGGAAGCTGAAAATGAACAGTAAGGAGATTCTAGGAAAACCAAGAAAATAAGGAAGTAAAATGCTTTAAGTAGAAAGGTTTATGGAGAGGATGATCAAGAATGGCAAATGGGGCAGAGAAGTCCAACAAAGCAAAGACTGGTTAAGTGAATTCAGACCTGACAAAGCAGACTCTTAGCAAGGAGTTTCCTTAGACAGGTACAGGCACAAGCCAAAATTCAGCAGATGGAATGTAAGGAGATGAAAATGAGGGAAGGCATTCCTTTGAGAACTTGGAGGAGAATAGGAAAAGATACAGATAGGGTGGCAGCTGAAGAATATAAGACCCAAGAAAATGAATTTTTTAGAATGAAGAGACTTGAGAAGGCCTCGTGTAGACTGAAGGGCATGGGCCAGGAGAAAGGGAATGTTTGAAAGCACAAAGAGGAAGATAAAAGAATAAAGCCAAGAAGGAAACTAGAGGAGTTGGGATTAAAAACACAGGTAAAAGAAATTGCCTCAATGAAGACAACTTGAAGAAGACTGGAAGGAAGGAGGTAAGGAAAGTAGAGGAAGATGAGTTTGCATCTCTCGCCAGACCAGACATAGGAGTAGATGTTATATTGGCCCAGGACTTGGCAGGCATGTGCAATCAAATAAAGGTGGAATAAGAGCCCAGCACAGTACCTGGCATGTAGTTGGCACTCCATAATATATTTAAATGAATGGAGAGAGTGTTCAAAGTTGTATAAGAAAGAAAGGTAGGCAGACATTGAAAGTATAGATGGAGTGAAGGTTCCTGTGAACATTTTTTAAAAAATGAAAATCCTAAGATGAGCTAAAGTCAATTGATGATAGCCCTTCCAGCAGGGTCTCTTGGCAAAGGAAGCTCAAGCTTCCTGCTTCCAGTCCCCACCCAAATACCCGAACCACACTGACTTTCACTGGCGCTCCCCTTCACAAGCCCTGTCTTTCCTTTTAGCCCAAATTGTATAACCTCTCCCTGCCTTCTCAGTCATTATTATGGTTCACAATTTTGTGGTAGTGGTTCTCAAACTACATTTGCCATAATATTCACAAAATATTGGCTCCTTGGGTTGAGTACGTCTGACTTTGCCAATTTCGTCCATTCTAAATAACTTAGTTCTGAGGTTGGCAGCCTCAAATAGGAATTCTTTATTTTTTAATGTTCATTAGAGAGCACTGGCTCACAGTTTTCAATTCTAGTTCATATTCTGTTACCCATCTCTTTCCATTTCACCACCATGCTGTTGAACCCACCCCCATCAACCTCAAATCTTTTTATTGCTTGTTTACTAATATCCTATGCATGATTCAAGTCAGTAGGAAGCAGCTATGAATATCTAACTGTAGAAGCTTAGTGCCTTTGGAGGTGGGAGTAGATATTTAGCAAGCATGAAATTGATAGATTCAATGTCTTATAAGCCTTATTAATTGTTATATCTAGCTCAGTGCCCAGCACATAGCAAGCATTCAATACATGTTTGTTGAATGAATGAAGGAATAAGTGAGTGAACAGTATACGCATGGCCAGAAGTTCCAATGTGTCAAGTATCTTCCCACCCACGCCTACATAATAAAATGCTATATTTTTTAAATTGTGGTAAGATATATATAACACAAAATTTACCATCGTAACCACGCTTAAGTGTTCATCAATTCAATCATGTTAGATATACTCACATCATCGTGCAACCAGTCTTCAGAACATTTTCATTTCACAAAACTGAAACTCCATACCCATTCAACAATAATTCCCCATTTTCTCCTTCCCCTATCCCCTAGCAGCCACCAATCTACTTTTGTTCTCTGTGAATGTGGCAATTCTAGATACCTCATTAAGTGAAACCCTACTTTTGCTTTTTGTGTCTAGCATATTTCACTTAGGATAATGTCCTGAAGGTCCATGATGTGACTAATATGCCATTGTCTGTATATACTACACAGACTTTGTTTACCCATTCATCCATCTATAGACATCTGGATTGCTTCTACTTTTTGGCTATTATGAATAATGTTGCTATAACTATGAGTATACAAATATTTCTTCAAGACCCAGATTTTTAATTCTTTTAGATATATACCCAGAAGTAGAATTACTGGATCATATGATAATTCTATTTTGATTTTTTGAGGAATCACCAGTGTTTTCCACAGTGGCTGCACCATTTTACATTCTCATGAACAAGGCACAAGGTTTCTATTTGCTCTATATCCTCTCCAACACTTACTCTCTTCTTTTTCTAATATAGTAGCCATCCTAATGAGTGCGAGGGGAATACTGCATTTTTATGTCTTTTGCCTGAATGCCTCCCTTACCAGCCACTCCTAATCCCCATAAACTTGAATCAACATCCCTGTTCTGAACTCTCTAGAAGATTTTTTTATTTCTCTTCTGCTACTTACTATATTAATCTTCAATTGATTAATTCTCATTTCCATTACTATCTGCAAAGTTCTTGGTGTCTTATTCATCTTTAAAATGCCATGTGCTTAGAGCATAGTGCCTCACTTGGAATAGGGACTCAACAACATTGATATCAAATGACTGAATCAATAAATGTATAGTTTCCACAATATAGATAGAATATGTAAATACTATTTTTATAAATATTGACAAAAGATTTAATAGCGAGAGCCCATTTTCCTCAGAAATAGCAAAGATGTATGCTGTCAGCAAAATGCCATTCATCTACATTTTATCTCTAAGATGACCCCCAGCTTACTGAAAATCAACTGCAGACTTTGGGCATAGAAATAGAAGGCATCTAAAGAAGACGGGGAAACTACATGGGCTATATTCACTAACCATAAAGGAACTTTTTTAGCCAACTTAGAAATCCATGTAAATAACATTGTCAATTATCATTTTGGCCCAGACTTACTCCATAAAGACTGTCAAAATGTTATTTAAAAAAAAACAAAGAATATAAACTAAAAGGCAAGAGCGGTCTTCCTCTGGGCTCCAAGACCCTGTGGCACGTTGAAATAATGTTCACGTTGAGTATCCATCAGATCAAGATAACATAACTTCCTCTAGACAGAGAGCTGTGTCCTCAGAATACAGACTAACACAGCCCATCCATGGGCAGCAGGAAGGAACAGACTGGGAGGTGTCCATGTCTGGGCCATAAGGGTGGGTCAGGCACCAATCTGGGCTTCTCTGAGTACCTATGGCTAGATCAGTCCCAGCAGATGGGCCTAGGTACAGGTCCCCACCTCCTCTCTTCCTGCTGCTCTCTACCTGGCCTTGGCCCACTGCACCTGTCATAGACCTGGCATTTTTAGCTTCACAGCTCTTTAGTAGAAAGTGCCTATACCATGTCTAAGTCCATCCTTCTTCTGCTCCTTCGGCCTCAAAGGCCCTTTGTTTTTCTGTACCATCACAGTACCAAAATGAATGTCTCTTGCTGGGCACATTGGCTCATGCCTGCAGTCCCAGCTACTCAGGAGGCTGGGACAGAAGGACCGCTTGAGCCCAGGCATTCAAGGCTGCAGTGAGCTATGATTGCACCACTGCATTCCAGCCTGGGAGACAGAGTGAGAGCCTGTCTATAAAAAATATATAAAATAAATTTTAAAAATTTATTTAAAAGACTCTTATTTTCCTTCTTTAAAAGATTCAAAATATTTCAGGGTTTGCTTTCCTAAGGGGAGACTTCACAAACCCTAACCGAGCCCTATCCCTTTATTATAAGTGAAGGTTTACCTACTTCTTTAGCAAAATTACTAAGATACCTCCTTCCTTGTAAAATTCTTCTTTTTCTCACTGAGTTGTCACCAAACCTGTACCGTTTCTCATCTTGGACACTTTCTCTTAAGACTCAGATAGAAAGTTGACTGGTTTACCAAGCTACACATTAAGACATTAGATGTCCTTCAACCTAACAGATGCCTGTAGAGATTCTCTGGAAAGAAATAGAGCTGAAGATCGAATGAGAAATGAACGCATCTATGACAATGCATTACAACCACGAAGCACCAAGTGTAGCTAAGGAATGAAGAATAGCAGAAAAAAGGATGTCCAGAAGCATGAGAGATCATATAAAAAAGACACAATACCACTGCATCTATGGAAATAGGAAGCTTAACTGCCTTGATCTAGTTCGACTACTAAATATTTTCAAATGAAATCACCGATATTACATATTCAACATAATTAAGAGGGATGTCTGGGCTGGGTGTGGTGGCTCATGCCTGTAATCCCAGCACTTTAGGAGACCAAGGTGGGTGAATCATGAGGTCAGGAGTTCAAGACCAGCCTGGCCGAGATGGTGAAACCCCATCTCTGGTAAAAATACAAAAATAAGCCAGGTGTGGTGGCAGGTGCCTGTAATCCCAGCTACTCGGGAGGCTGAGGCAGAGAATTGCTTGAACACAGGAGGCAGAGGTTGCAGTGAGCCTAGATCGTGCCAGTGCACTCCAGCCTGGGTGAAAAAAAAAAAAAAAAAGAGGGATGTCTGAAGGTATTCATATTGGGTCCAGAGAATAGAATCTCTTGGACCAAGTAAAAACAGAGCATAATAAAAACTATGGGCCAATAAAATTTTCATTAATCAAAGGAAAAGTTTAAAGCTCAATGTAATCAAATACTGTTGTTTTTCCAACCATAAATAACGATACCAGCTATCCAAAAGCATTATTCCCCTGATTAGCCAAGCAGTTTTAAAAATTTAAGAAGCCTTGGTTTTTAAAGGAAATATTTCTGTAAAGCTAAATTTAAAGAACCAACAAATAGATGTCCACTTCCTAGAAATGTGGTTTAATTCAGTTCTAGTGCAATAACTTCATAAGGCTCCCTCATCAAATCAAGTCCCCAAAGCTATGTACACTCAAAATTCCCTATACTTGTTTTTCATGGCACTTACCACAATTTCCAATCCTATATTTGGGTGATTATTGACAAGTGTATGTTCCCCTAGTAAACAGTAAACTCCAAGAAGGCAAGAATCATGTCTCATTTGCTCCCAATTTTAACCATATACAGTAGGTCCTTGATATGGTTTGGCTGTATCCCCACCTAAATCTTATCTTGAATTGTAGCTTCCATAATTCCATGTGTCCTGGGGGAACTCAGTGGGAGGTAATTAAATCATGGTGGCAGGCTTTTGTCTGTGCTGTTCTCATGATAGTGAATATTTCTCATGAAATCTGATGGTTTTATAAATGGCAGTTCCCTTGCACACACTCTATTGCCATGTAAGACGTGACTTTGTTCCTCCTTTGCTTTATGCCATGATTGTGAGGCCTCCCCAACCACGTGGCACTGTGAGTCCATTAAATCTCTTTTTCTTTATAATTTACCCAGTCTTGGTATGTCTTTATTAGCAGCATGATAACAGATTAATACAGTCCTTAATAAATATTTGCTAAATATATCTCCTACATCTAACTCATTACCAAATTTCATCAATTATTTCTTCAAAACACTCTGCCTATCTTTCTTTGAATTCCTTGTTTTTCCATTTGTGTCTGAGAGATCAACAATACTCCACATTTGAATTACTAGAATTACTCTCCTGCCTCCAATCATTCCTCAAACTCATCCTGCAAGCCACTGCCCAAAGAACTGTCATAAAGTACAACGTTCTCCTTTGAATACCTTGTCGTTTCATGTATCTGTGACCACTGCCTTTTCTTTGGATCATAAACCTGTTTGAGAATGTAAAAAACACTGAAACTATCTTTTCCAGAAAATACACATAAAAATCTCAAACTTCTGCCTATATTCTGGGAGTGATAAACCGGGAAACTCAAGTTAAAAAAAAAAAATCATCATTATATAGACTTAAGTCCAAATTCTTGAATTCCTTGCACCAACTAGCATTGGTCTCTTTGTAGCTTCCTAAGCAAAATGCTGTCAAATTCACCTCTGAGAAATTGCTCACACTACACTCGCCCACATATTCATTGTTTCCTGTCACCTACACACATTTCATCTCTCCTGGAAAATCAAGCTCTAGTTCCAGACAATTTATACGACTTATCTTAAGTATTACAGTTCACAGGGGTTCAACTTTGCATTCTTAGATACGTAACACCTTCCCCACATCTCATGACATCTAGTTAGACACTAGCTTCTATGTCTGGCAACCACTCCACTTCCGTTCCCTTTGCAGTATTTTCTTTCTCCAGCAGGCTCCTAAACACCAGTGTTCCTCAGGGCTCTGCCCTCAGCCCTCTGCCATTCTCAGATGATATTTGCTCTTTGTGGAATCTCTGCCACATCCAACTGCTGTCCCACACCCCTCCCCTGGACTTCAGACCTATGTGCTAAATACCCACTCTGCACCTCCACATGAACAAACCAAAGAAACCTCAAAAACTCAATGCATGCAAAATTAAAATAAGTATCTTTCCCAGAAAGCCCTCTCCTACTCCTGCACTCCCATTTTGCCCCTATGATCTAGTAGAAGCATTCCAGCATGTTGTTCTCTGTGCCTAGAGCACCCTTCCTCTTCTCTGAAAAACACCTGTTTATCCTCCCATTCTCAGCTTAAACTGCATTTCCTCCAGGGAGCTTTGCTGGCTCCTGGGGTTAAGTTACAGATCCCGAACTCTCCCTATTATAGTAGAGATCTTTTCACTCCCCTAACTCCAAGCCCTCAGCAGCTTCTCACCACAACAAGAGTAAAGCTCAAGTCCTTCCGTGACCTGGAAGGCCCAGCATGACCCCCTGCACCCTCACCCTTGCCTGCCCACACTCCTTCCCTTGCTCCCCAAGTTCCAGGTGCTGCCACAGCTCTTCCACAAACACATCCAGGACCTCCCTGTCTCAGCGCCTTCTCCCTGCCTGGCTTTCTCACACCATTCTAAACGAGCCTATTACTTTCCATCCTCTTACACTGGTTTGTTTTCTTTTCTTTTTTTTTTAATTATACTTTAAGTTCTGGGATACATGTGCAGAATGTGCAAGTTTGTTACATAGGTATACACGTGCCATGGTGGTTTGCTGCACCCATCAGCCCGTCATCTACATTTGGTATTTCTCCTAATGCTATCACTCCCTTAGCCCCCAACCCCCTGATAGACCCCAGGTGTGTAATGTTCCCGTCCCTGTGTCCATGTGTTCTCATTGTTCAATTTCCACTTACCAGTGAGAACATGCAGTGTGTGGTTTTCTGTTCCTGTGTTAGTTTGCTGAGAATGATGGTTTCCAGCTTCACCCATGTCCCTGCAAAGGACATTACTTCATCCTTTTTTATGTCTGCATAGTATTCCATGGTGTATATGTGCCACATTTTCTTTATCCAGTCTATCATTGATGGGCATTTGGGTTGGTTCCAAGTCTTTGCTATTGTGAACAATGCTGCAATAAACATACGTGTGCATGTGTCTTTCTAGTAGAATGATTTATAATCCTTTAGGTATATAGCCAGTAATGGGATTGCTGGGCCAAATGGTATTTCTGGTTCTAGATCCTTGAGGGATCATCACACTGTCTTCCACAATGGCTGAACTAATTTACACTCCCACCAACAGTGTAAAAGTGTTCCTATTTCTCCACATCCTCTCCAGCATCTGTTGTTTCCTGACTTTTTAATGATCACCATTCTAACTGGCGTGAGATGGTATATCATTGTGGTTTTGATTTGCATTTCTCTAATGGCCAGTGATGATGAGATTTTTTTCATATGTTTGTTGGCTGCATAAATGGTTTGTTTTCTCTATGGCACTCACCCCTCCCCAACATCAAGCCAAGCCAGATTTTAATGTGTTTACTTATTGTCTGTCTTCCCCAGTGAAATGTACGCTTCATTTCCTCCAGCACCTTGAAGACAGCTTGGCATAGAAATAATTGTTGAATCAACATGTGCATAAATAAATGACTGATGCAATGGGCAAACCCTTTGCAGTGCTCTTCCCTGCCTTACCTGTATACCATAACCTCCACTGTGGCAGGGACTGTGGTGACCTCACTTGCCATGGCCTCCCAGCTTATTCTTAGTGTCTGATACACAGTTGGATGATTAATAAATATTTGCCATCTCAGTGAGTGTATGGACATGGTGAGTCCTCTGCCAATCCTCCCAAATCCATGCCTGCCACACCTCCACATTGCAAACCTGTCCTCCCACACTGCAGCAAGAGCCAGGCAGGGTTCTACCATGCAAAATGGACCTTCATGTCTCCTCCACGGCTACCCTAAGGCTTCAGAATCTTCTTTAGATGGTGGGCCCCAGAAAAATAGCTTTAGCTTTAGTTACAGACTCACAGATTTTACTTATAATCTTAGGGCATTCACAGGTCTCTTGAAGTCCATGAATGTCCCACCCAAAAGACTTCAGAGTAAGACCCACTGGCCTACAGGATAAACACAGTCTCCTTAGCCTCAGCGCATTGTAACCTGGCCACAGTCTGCCTCTCCAGCCCTACCCTTCCCTGTGATGGTTAATTTTATGTGTCACCCTGCCCTGACCAAGTTAGTACACCTCTAGCCTTCACTCACACTCCTTTCTATGTTGGTCAAAAGGCAAAAACCTCCTGAGTGACAATTACCCCTTCTCAGGTAGCAGCCAAAAAGAGTTAATTGTTTCTCATCAGAATCTGCATGTGGCCCCAGAGCATCATGTATAGAACTATTCTGGAGTCCTTATCATCATCATATAACTACGTGTCCACTGTGCATCTCCAGAAAAGAGATCCTATTATAGTCATCTTTGCTTCTCAGTTTCCACCACGATACTAACAATAGCAGCCATTCAACAGATGGTTGTGGAATGACTAAAATTCTGTGTTCCTTATTGCATGCCTTGCCTTCCCAACTAAGCTTTTCAAGAGTATGGATACAGTATTATAAGTATTTATATAACACCCACACACAGAGACACATAAAGCACCTGGAATCGCACTTTTCAGACAGAAAATACCCAATAAATACTTACCGAATAAATTAATCAATAGAGAATTAAGAACAATTTTGCCAGAAGCATAGCTGAGTCTGTTGCTCTGACAGAAGAATGTATTCAGGTAATGAGAAGCCAGTTATCAATGCTTGTATGTGTGGCAACATCCCAGTCCATCTAAATGTGGTTACCTGTGTACCTCTCTCTGCTTTAAATATCACTATGGATGGACAGAAGTTGGAGGCAGTTTGTGTCTGTGACCATAACATACCTCCTGGGTATTTCTAATTGCTATGCAATTTTGTATGTATTTATTTTGTATCTATTTATTTTCCACAAAAGTAAATGTATGTTCTTAAAAAGAATTGACAAGAAGGACTCTACCTAAAATGATAGAGTCTGGAGAGGAAAATCCTGATCCTCCTTTTTAGGAAAGCTCAAGGTAAATGACTCCTGGGCCAGGTTTGGGCAAACCCTAACCATGTGGTAGCTATGTTCTGGGGTAGGCAAGTTAAAAATTGTTTCCTGCATGACAAAATAGGTCCTCCCAACTTTTTACAAATTACTCTAGCTCTTTTATACTGTTTATCTGAAAACTTAATACATCTATCTCATATTATCTATTTAGTGATACAATATTTATTTAATTTTATTTGTAATCATGGTGTCTTTTAGTTAATAAACCAAGGCAGGTAATTCTCATCCCTAAAAAGTACAGAAGAAAATTTCTTCCACAAAAATGACTGGAGATAGATACAGTTCAAAGAAGCTCCACGAAATCATCTAGGGAGAACGTTATGGCTGCTATTTCAGCTTCTGCACAAAGATTAGACCGCAACTTAGACTTCTGGAAAACCCAGCACGACCCTTGGTTTAATAAAGTGAAAGGGGCTGGCCAAGCAGGTGAGCAGATTTTCACACTAAATTGATGGTTGTGGCAGGCACTATTTTAAGCGTTTTACATGGATTAATTCATTTAACCCTTGAAAGTACTCTAAGCAGTACTACTACAACACCAGTTGTTTTAGAAATAGTAACCAAGGTAGCCAAGGCACAGAGGAATTAGGCCACTCACCAAAGTTGTACAATCAGAAAACAGGGAGTCAAGGACCCAGGCAGTCTGACCCCAGAGCCTGGGCTCCTGGAAGAGAGCAGGATCCTTGGGAGCCCACCCAAAGGGCTCACAACCCAAGAGCAAATTATTTCACATCTGGAAACAAAGTCATTACCTCAGATCTCATCCTTAAACCCAGAAATACTAAATCCCATTAGAAATCACCTGCAATTAGCTGGGCATGGTAGCTCACACCTGTAATCTCACTGCTCTGGAAGGCTGCGGTGGGAGGAATGCTTCAGCCCAAGAGTTAGAGACCAGCCTGGGCAACATAGCAAGACCCCAACTCTACAAAAAATTTAAACATTAGCCAGGTCTGGTGTGCACCTATAATTCTAGCTACTCAGGAGGTTGAGGTGGGAAGATTGCTTGAGCCCAGGAGGTCAAGGCTGCAGTGAGCTGTGACTGTGCCACTGCACTCCAGCATGGGTGACAGAGAGAGAACCTGTCTCAAAAAAAAAAAAAAGAAAAGAAAAGAAATTGTCTACAATTATTTATTGTAAGGACAGCAATACTTCTTTGAGGGGAAATGCTAATTTAATTTATAATGCAAACGTTAAGAACTCTGTTGAGTTCCATGAAAACAGAGTTAATGGAGCTGAGAGTCATATAAGAGAATGACTTGATGAAAGTTTGAATGTTTCCTAAAAATATGATTACAGATAATACCTAGTTTAACTCACAAATAGAAAATGATGCATCATTAATGCTCATATATACAAGTTCTGAAATTCTTTATGCACAAAGAACATTAGCATTCACCATTCAAAATTTAAGGCTCTCGGTAAAATGTCAAGAGGCTTTCCCACTCACTTAAGAAAAATGTCTTCACCCCAAAATACAAGCAAGTGTTGATTTTTCACACTAATGGGAAACAAGAATAGACTGGAAAAAGTTCCCTAAAAACCCATTTAGTCTGTATCTTTTTATCTTTTGTCAGTTACTAATGTGTAACCAGATGACCCAAGCTGAGTTTCACCACCTCTCCTTTCTTTATTCTTACCAATCCATTCCAAGTGCTAATGAATGGTGAGGTCTGGGAACCCAAAGATACAAGAAAGAAGGCATATGGATGATAGAAAAAAGGTAAGTCGAGAGAGAGAGAGAGCTGCAATTTGACACCACATCTTCTTTTTTAAAAAGCCTGACTTCCAGTCTAATTTCCTCAGAAAGCATAGCACCGTATTGGGAGACAATAACTTGATTTACCTGCAGAATTACTACGAAATTCATTCATTTATTCAACAGCATTGAGTGAGCATCTAGCTGAGACCAGCCAGGGAAAGTACCGAGAAAAAGGACAGATACAAATGG
This sequence comes from Homo sapiens, assembly GCF_000001405.40. Classification (NCBI taxonomy): domain Eukaryota; kingdom Metazoa; phylum Chordata; class Mammalia; order Primates; family Hominidae; genus Homo; species Homo sapiens. The sequence continues at coordinate 151,830,298 of NC_000006.12, read as the reverse complement.
AGGAGAAGAGAAGGGGGAAGCCTAAGAGAAAGGAGCCCAGAAGGAAGAGAAAGCATCCAGCCTCTGCCTTGGAAAGCTGACACCTCAAGGCAGAAGACTTTGGCCCTTGGGAAATACACTACAAGAGTCCTAGACCCACTGACTAACACAAAAGTACAGAACTCCAAATATGAAAACCCACCTGCTTACACATTGGCCCCTGGCCTGCTTTTGAATGTGATCCATAAGTCATTTCATTTATGATCCTATTCAAAAGATAGGACCAATATGTCATCACATAAAATTCCACACACACACATGTCCAGAATTGCAAATGGAAATTTTTACTACAAAAATTATTTGGGAATCTGTGTGTCATTAGGGATCACATTGCTGTCAATGTGACAAATTTCAGGAAAAAGTAAGAGGAGCAGAGTATTGTGATGAAAAGATCTAGACTGACTCATACTCTTAAGTTCTGAACAGAAAGCTGCCAATAACAATTACATGCCTTAAACAAGTCACCGAACCCCTCTGCACCTCAGTTTCTTCATCTGTAAAATGAGAAATTACAACTATGTTTGCTACATTCCCCATCTGGCGCTACAATGGTGTGACCATGATTTTATCCCTTGCCTCCGACCAACAATAACATCTGTAGCCAGCTAGAATTTCTTCACTGCATCCAAGAGGGCAAAGCCCATTTTTCAAACCCTTTCCTTAGAGAAATAAAATGGATAAAAGATGAATTGGGAAGGGGTGGTAGCCCTGCATTTAAGTCTTCTTAGCACTCCCATGACCGTGTAATGATGACAAATGGCCGTTTCATCAGAGGAAGCTGTCAGTGATAGCCATTGCGTTTCTAATGCTAAAATGATTTTCCCACAAAAAAAATCACTTTTCTAAAATGAGGCATCAGAAAACAGACAGAGAAAGGAAACTAAAGGAAAGGAAGGAAAAGAGAGACAGAGAAAAGGGGAGAAACACTTCTGTATATCTGACATATTCTTTGTTCAACGAACACTATCAGTAATGATGGAGGTGGGAACTTGAATAGAAGATAAAAGAGCTGAGATATCAAAGACAAAGTAAACATAATTCATCTATTATGACATTGCCTAGGTTAGCACACATGGCTGGAAAGAGTCCAACAGCATATGAGTGATTCTGGAATAAAAGAGAAGTTGGGCATCATGTAAAATTAAGAGAGGTTCTTTTTCCACAGAACAACTTCAACAGTGGCAAGGCCGAATTCTTAAACATAATCACACACCAGAAATTGTGACATCTCTGAGCAGATGCTAAGGGACCTCTTTGATGCGAAAGTTAAAACTAAATCTTCTGGGTTACTCTTCCTTGACTTTCCTATCCACCCTACAGTAAGTGAGGTCAAAGAGCACCCTATCCTTTTGCTGCTCATGTAACAAAGGAAAACAGTCTTGCTTACTTTTAAGAAGACATAGCAGAGCCTTCTGCAGTGCAGTTTGCAGACAATGTCATCTGGAGACTCTGGGAACATAGGCTGGGAAATGTATAGAGTTGCAGTTATATGGATGTCATGGTGACAGAGGATTGGGTTGATGTGTGTGATATGCCCTACCAAGGCAGCAATTCTATGACTTGTTTAGAGTTTTGGAGTCTGGACATGCTATTACGACCTCTTTGACTTAGAGTAACACCTACATATTGCTCTCTGGAACACTTTAACCTCTCCCTCCAGATTCATCTCCTTCTGTTCCTTCACTCCCCTTCCATGTACTTTGCAGCCCAGCAACAAATTACATGACATTCCCAAATCTGCCATGCCTGTGCTTATCCTTATGCCTTGGCTCATGTTTTTTTCCTGCCAAGAATAACCTTTTCTAGCCCTTTCAAGTCTAGAGAAATCTTCATCATATTGACTCAGCTTCACTCTGCTACCTCTCTTCTTTGTACCACTATCTTCTCAGCCCTCATCACACTGCACTGAAAGCTACAGTTACACAGGTTTTATACTTGTTAGACTATGCTGTTATGCCTATGAGCAGCATGTAATAAATAGGAGGCAGCCAATGCATCATTTGAATTTTCTTAAGTTCAATTCGATTCAAATGAATTGTGTAGAACTCATTCCGTGATATCCCCCAAAATAATTAAAGATACCTTGAGAGGTCAGTAAATCAGTCCTGACATGTGCCTAGTTACCTGCACAAAGTTCCCATAGGCAACAAAAGACAATAGAGCAAAATAAATTTTAATTTTGGATAAGTCACTTCCAGTTTACTAGGATTTTCTAAACCAGTATCTAAGGGACTTGGGACCAAGTTACATAATATGTAAATAATTCTGCGTCATTTTCCTCATTTGAAAATAAGAATAATAGCATTTTCTCTAGCTGGAGAGATGATGACATTGTATAACATTTATGAAAAGAAGTTAAAACTCATGAAGCCAGATGCTTGATGTTAATCTTTAAAACCTGCTTTGAAGTGCATACATATAGTCTTTCGGTAAATGGACTATGCTGCAAAGGTTTTTAATTACCATGCAATACTTGACTCCTCTCTCATGTCACATCCAACCCCTCAGGAAATTTCATCAGCTCGACCTTCAAAGTGCGAATCAATACAAACTCTTGATATTTAAAGACATAGTGTTTTAACTTTTAAAATATAATGGTATTATAGTTGGACTTTTAAAAATAGTCATCATCCTTTGGAAGTGTAGACGGAAATATTTACAAATGAAACATCATAGTTGAAGCTGGGCGATGTGTACATGAAGGATCGTTATGCTCTTCCACTTCTGTAAAGATTTGAAAACGTTCACAATAAAATGTCAGATCAGGTCATTCCTCTCTTTCAAACCTTTAATTGGATTTTCGACTCACTCAGAGTAAAAGCCAGAGTCCTGAGGACTCTGTCCCCCACGTTCCTCTCCTTACTCACCTCCAACTTCTTTTTTTTTCTTTTTTCTTTTTCTTTTTTTTTTTTTTTGAGACAGGGTCTCGCTCTGTCACCCTGACATGATCTCAGCTCACTGCAACCTCCACCTCCTGGACTCAAGTGATCCTCCCATCTCAGCCTCCCAAGTAATTTGATCCTCCCATCTCAGCCTCCCAAGCAATTGGGACTACAGATGCATGCTACCACATCTGGCTAATTTTCTTTGTATTTTTTTGTAGAGATGGGGTCTCACCATGTTGCCCAGGCTGGTCTCAAGCTCCTGGGCTCAGGTGACCCATCTGCCTCAGCCACCCAAAGTGCTGGGATTACAGGTGTGAGTCACCATGCCCGGCACCTCCAACTTCTTACTCCGTGCCAGCCATGCTGGCCTCTGTACCTCAAGACACCAGGGATGTTCCCACATCAGGGCCTCTTCCCTGCTGTGCCCTCAGCCTAAATTGCTTTTCACCAGGATATCTCATGGTACTATTCCCTCCCTTATTCAAGACTTTGCTTAAATGTCACCTGTGTAATGGAATCTTTCCCAATTTGTCAATTTGTCCCATTAGACAAATAGATCAATAGTTCACTGATCTATTCCCAGTGCTGATAACAATACCTGGCATAGAGTAGATGGTCAATGAATATGTGTTGAATGAATAAATGAGCAACGTGGGTCAGCCACCCCATGAAGTTAGCTGGAGGTTTTACAACATCAACAGAGTGAGGTAAGAGCACGGGAGACAAGCCACCATGGTCACTGTAAACCAGGCTGCCAAACTGATTTCAATTACTGCTTACAAGGAGGAAGAACAAGGATCCCATGTGGTGCCTAGGAAGTCAACAAAGTTAATAAAGCAGAGTTTTCTAGAGCCTGAGGATCAAGTATCCAGTAGGAAAGCTGCCCTTTTACTTTTCAGAAACATCTATCCCAGGCCTCGCAGCACAGGCTGACACATTCTAGCCTCTGCATTGGAAGAGCTTCCTCTCATTTCTAGACACTATCCTCTCATGGTTTTGTCTAGACAGCGGAATCAGAAGCAACCTAAAATCTCTGAATATAAGGCTCAAATTCCCAGGCTGTAACTCATTCGCTCTTATGTTCCTATAAGATTTGGCCTTGCAAAGAAGAAAATCAACTATATATCTTTATTGCCCTTATAGGTGGTATTTATAACTTTTTGTATTGAGCTCAGAAATCCACTTCCTGATGCTCCTGCTGTAGTCTAAGCATGCTATGCGAAGCAAGGTGTGAGCATGCCATGAAGCCAAAGCCAAACCACACAACCAACTTTCAATTCCTTCCCCGCCACCCCCCTCCCCGCATCCCAGGGCTTTCTGCTCAACCTGGCTCATGTCCAACTGGGGCAAAATCACTCAGCTGTTACCTAGTCACCTCCACTTCCACCTGCAAAAGCAACCAAATTCCTAAGTACCCAGAACCCTGGAAAACACATTTCTTTCTTTTTTTTTTTTTTTTTTTTTGAGATGGAGTCTTGCTCTGCCACCCAGGCTGGAGTGCAGTGGCATGATCTTGGCTCACTGCAACCTCCACCTCCTGGGTCCAAGTGATTCTCCTGTCTCAGCCTCCCGAAGAGCTCGATTACAGGCACGTGTCACCACACTTGGCTAATTTTTGTATTTTTGGTAGAGACGAGGTTTCTCCATTTTGGCCAGGCTGGTCTCAAACTCCTGACCTCAGGTGGTCCACCTGCCTTGGCCTCCCAAAGTGCTGGGATTACAGGCATGATCCACCATACCTGGCCAACAACACATTTCTAACCCTCACTCTGGCTCTTACTCCCAAACATGCCTTCCATCGTGACTCTGGGAATTCTTTAACGGCCTCAGGTTAGGACTGAGTAAAAGGAAATATTTTGAGGACCTGAGAATTCTCACTTCCATTCTTTTCCCAAAAAGCCTTCAGAGAATTTTCCCCCAGAAAATGGCACAAGTACAGTTAGTTATCTGACCTATATTCCAATAATTTCTGGAGCATTTCCTTGTCTCACTGTCTCCCATGCATATCCTTTTGTTCACACCATAGCTCTGATTTCTTTACAAACCCAACCACGTATTGGAGAGCCCCAGTCCCACAAGCCCGCTGTAACCATGAATCCCTTGTGCAGCATGCCATCTCCCAAGCCACCAGAGTCACGATCAAGCTCTACCAAGGCAGCCACCCCCAAAGTGTTGCAACCTGAATAGGTAGAGGAGGGGAGGGCAGATCTCTTTAATGTTTATCTAGACAGGAGGTTTGCTTTTGTCTTCTAAATCTTTCACACTTCAAAAAGCATTTCAGAGATTTATTTCTCTGAAATACTCTTTTCTGAAATCCAATTAAAAAATAAGATAATTTCCCCAAGACAAAAAAGAAAGGTGCTATTTTTATAATACTCATGATCTTACTCATTCACAAAAGTTACCTAATCCATAGTTTTGAAAGCAAGAACTCTTTTTTTTCTTTTTTTTTTTGAGATGGAGTCTCGCTCTGTTGCCCAGCCTGGAGTGCAGTGGTGCAAGCTTGGCTCACTGCAACCTACACCTCCTGGGTTCAAGTGGTTCTCCTGCCTCAGCCTCCCAAGCAGCTGGGACTGCAGGCGTGTGCCACCACGCCCGGCTAATTTTTTGTATTTTTAGTAGAGATGAGGTTTCATCATGTTAGCCAGGAGGCCTTGGCCTCCCAAAAGCAAGAACTCTTTTTTACCAGATTCTATTTCTTCATGTTCCCTTCATACATTGTAACATTTTCCCTTATACTTTAAGTATCCTTCTTCTTAAATGTTAGACCTAAAACCATAAAAACCCTAGAAGAAAACCCAGGCAATACCATTCAGGACATAGGTATGGGCAAGGACTTCATGTCCAAAGCACCAAAAGCAATGGCAACAAAAGCCAAAATTGACAAATGGGATCTAATTAAACGAAAGAGCTTCTGCACAGCAAAAGAAACTACCGTCAGAGTGAACAGGCAACCTACAAAATGGGAGAAAATTTTTGCAATCTACTCATCTGATAAAGGGCTAATATCCAGAATCTACAAAGAACTCAAACAAATTTACAAGAAAAAAAACAACAACCCCATCAACAAGTGGGCGAAGGATATGAACAGACACTTCTGAAAAGAAGACATTTATGCAGCCAACAGACACATGAAAAAATGCTCATCATCACTGGCCATCAGAGAAATGCAAATCAAAACCACAATGAGATATCATCTCACACCAGTTAGAATGGCAATCATTAAAAAGTCAGGAAACAACAGGTGCTGGAGAGGATGTGGAGAAACAGGAACACTTTTACACTGTTGGTGGGACTGTAAACTAGTTCAACCATTGTGGAAGTCAGTGTGGCGATTCCTCAGGGATCTAGAACTAGAAATACCATTTGACCCAGCCATCCCATTACTGGGTATATACCCAAAGGATTATAAATCATGCTGCTATAAAGACACATGCACATGTATGTTTATTGTGGCACTATACACAATAACAAAGACTTGGAACCAACCCAAACATCCATCAATGATAGACTGGATTAAGAAAATGTGGCACATATACACCATGGAATACTATGCAGCCATAAAAAAGGATGAGTTCATGTTCTTTGTAGGGACATGGATGAAGCTGGAAACCATCATTCTCAGCAAACTATCCCAAGGACAAAAAACCAAACACCGCATGTTCTCACTCATAGGTGGGAATTGAACAATGAGAACAGTTGGACACAGGGTGGGGAACATCACACTCCGGGACCTGTCGTGGGGTGGGGGTAGGGGGGAGGGATAGCATTAGGAGATATACCTAATGTAAAGGATGAGTTAATAGGTGCAGCACACCAACATGGCACATGTATACATATGTAACAAACCTGCACATTGTGCACATGTACCCTAGAATTTAAAGTATAATTAGAAAAAAAGAAAAACAAAAACAAAAACAAAAAACAAATAATAGTCATTTCAAAAAAAATTATCCTTCTTTACAATTAGCAATAATTACAATTATCTGAATGACAGCAATGTCATTGTAGGTTTAATCTAAACCTATGTCATCTGTTATAATCAATAATAATGACAAAAATAAGGATGCAAATTCTACATCAGCATGCCTCCTTTCCTGGTAGAAAAGCAGGTGGAAACGGGCACCATAACAGAAAACCTCCAGCCTTCAAAAAATTAAGCCCATTAAGCAGAAAGGCAGCATGGCTAGGGCTGCCAGATGTAACCAACAAAAATACAGGACATTCAATTAAATTTGAATTTCAGATAAACAACAAATAATATTTTAGTATAATATTGCATGGGACATGCTAAAATGTTATTTGTTATTTAACTGAAATTCCAGTTTACCTGGGCATCCTGTTTTATCTGACAAGCCTACATATGATTCTTCTAAGAGAAGGCAGCAGAGATGCATGAATCTGGCCACAATTACAGATCTGAGCTCAGGACAATAGGAAATCATCACACGTTTAACCATGCTTTTCTCATCAAGAGACAAAAGTCTGTTTCGGACATAATTAAGCAACTTTGAAGATGCACTAAGTCTTGGGCCAGTGGGATATCACATTAGGTTACTGTTCCTGTTTACTAAAATTATGTAGGAGTTTACAAAAAAGAAAAAGAAACAAGCTAATGAACCTTCTGATTCACATAGCTTAGGTTACCAAAAAGAAACTCCCTCACCTTTAAGAACTCCCTGGCACAGCGTCATGAGGCGTGCAGCTTTCATTTCTCTTTCTCACTTCCTCTCCACCTGCTGGAGCTCTCCTTCATGGAGATTCAATTAGAAAGGTTTAGCCTGGACTTCGGGAAGATTTAAAATGATCATCTCCCAAGGAGAAGAAATATTGACTTAGAAAAAGTTACCATTGACCTAATCTTCCTGTGTTTAGCATCATCTGTCTCCAAGGAATCACCAGAATGCAGGATGCTGAGCAAAGCCTCTCAGAGTATCACGAGGGGAGTGAGCTTTGTTTTCAGCTCCTTAGAGGAACTCATTTTGTTGCAAGGATCTTGACAGTATTTTCAAAACCAGAAGAAAATACATTTTGGCCTTCAATTTTTCACCGAAAGGAAAAGAAATGTGAAGGACAATCTCAAGAAGTCCATACTAACTTCACCTACCTCAAATTGTTTTGCTTCTACATGTATAAAAGTCATAAAATATTGATATCAAGAACATATTAATCCCTACATTATCTCTTTACAGCATTGTGAATTGTAAGATTTTTTCATATCTCCTTTTAAAATTTTTTAACTGACAATTCTAGCAGTTCTTTGACTCATTTAAAAAAAATCAAAGTGAAAAAATGCTATAGTTTTGTTTAGTTATAAATTCTATCCTGATAAATATATATCTCTGTAGAATAAGTTGTGTCAAATCATCTTGGTGTAGTACAGTTACAACCCACCAGCCATGCCTTTCTTTAACACATGTAACGGGGACATTAGTTATACTTCCGACATATGGGTCCATCAATTGCCATTCTTATTAAACTTTCATTTCATTTCCTGGAACAATATTAAACTACAAGGGGAAAATTTAATAGTAAACAGTATATAACCAACATCGGGCTTAGTCATTAGTCTCAGAGAAGACACATGTTTTTCAACATGTGGACCAGGTAACTAAAAATGTCTATTGTAACCTGGCTGCTAGATCAAGCACAGATCAAATTATTTTTTTAATTCTGTCAATACTAAAGTGAAATATCTATAATGAAATAATGCAAGTTCCATTTTCACATTGGTGATAGTGGACTAAAAATAGCACCCAACTGCTTCAGAAATCTGAAAGGAGACAGTGTAAGTCTCCAGGGAAGTCTGGCAAGGTCACTCCTAACCTTTAAGCCCTGGAAACAGAAAAAAAGAAGAAAAACAAGGGAATCTTCAATACCAAAGTAAACAATGTATGGTTATTAAATTAAGAGTAAATAATCTAAATGGAAGTATAGGAAATAATTCATCACTAGAGAACTAACACCGACTCGACAAACAGAGGTTAAAAATTCTCACGTGAACCATATACCAATTAAACAGATGGCCTGTCTAGACAAGCATGGCTGGGGCATTCACTTTAGCCATCATTATAATGTTGTAGTGACCAGAATTAGGTATTCTGTCATCCTGCTTGCTTGAGCTTCTACTATAAATGCTGGAACAGTAGCAATGAGTATGGCATGGTCTGATGCCCTCGGTGAACAGGAACTGGGCATGCCTCCATCTATTAGGTGTGAGGTAGTGGTCAGGAGTCAGAATAGAGGACCTAGCCCTGGTTCTGTCTCTACCAGCTGGGAAACTTTGGGGGAAGTTCCTTCACCTTTCTAGACTTTGATTTCTTCACCTGGAAAATATAAAAGGTAGGATTCCATCATGTCTAAGGCCCCTCCTAGATGACAATACTATGATTTTATGATGTTATTTGTGCAAAGAGACGATTGCACCAAATTACACTACAATTTTACCCAGATTTTAAGTTCTCAGATGGGTTTCACATGCAAAGAAATTCCTAAGGTTGCTACCAGCAAGTCTTTGTAGAATTTCATTTATTGGCTTCTGATATTAGAAGGAAAAACATCCCCCTACTTAATGGAAAATTGTTTAAACATGCTTTTAGCAAGGATCATAAAAATAGCCATTTCCCATAAAAATAAAAGCAGCAGCCTCGGGACACAGTCTAAGATGAAAGCATTGTCACAACTAAAATAAAGACAAGGAAGTAACAAACTAACTGCCAAGTAAATTGATCAGCAACAGAAAAATCCTGTCAATTTCTCTGCATAATGTCGTGGGTTAAAACCTTAAGCTCCAGAGTCCAAATTCTAGATCTAGAATCCCTAATTCTCCAGTACTGGTTGTATGACCTTGGGCAAGTCACTTCCCCTCTCCAAGTCTTAGTTTCTACGTCCCATAAAATGAGAATAACAATAGTACCAGCCTCTTATGAGAAATGTAAGGTTTAAACAAGATGATCATTAAGGTTTTCGGCAAGGCACCTGGGTACATGGTGTTCAAAAAACACTAGCTATCAGTGTTCTTTAAGTTATTTCTCTGATTCTTAACAGTTTACCCTTATTTTATTAATTCAATATTCAGCTCTATAAGTTAGTAAGCATTTATTCTGTCCAAGGAACTGGGCTGGAGCTCTGAAGAGTACCACTCAGTTCCTCTTCACAACCTCACCTGCCCTTCTTTGTCTGGCTAAATCCTCATTCTTAAAAAATTCAGTTGAAAGGGTCACTTGCTCTATTAAACCATTTTGACCTCCATATCAATGGACCAAGATCCTCCATCTGGTTAAGTGCCTCTCCTCAATGCTCCTGGCTGTCTCTTTTCTATCACAGTTCTTATTCTACTGTTTTTTCATTGTCTATCCACTTGTCATCTCCCTCACTCAACCATAAACTCCTTGATGACAATGTTCCCAATCTCTGCACCTACCACCAAAGCCAGTACATGATCAACATCCAGTAATGCTTGCTGAGTGAATGAATATGATAAATGAATTAGGAAATCTATGAAATTACTCTAATATGCCTTATAAGAGTGGTCCCCAACATTTTTGGCACCAGTTCCATGACCGGTTTCATGGAAGACAATTTTTCCACAGATGGAACTGGGGATGGTTTTGGGATGATTCCAGTGCATCACATTTATTGCGCACTTTATTTCTATTAGTATTATACTGTAACATATAATGAAATAATTATGCAACTCACCATAATGTAGATTCAGTGAGAGCCCTGAACTTGTTTTCCTGCAACTAGACAGTCCCATCTGGGGGTGATGGGACACAATGACAGATCATCAGGAATTAGATTCTCATAAGAAGAACCCAGATCCCTCACATACACAGTTCACAGTAGGGTTTGCATTCCTATGAAAATCTAATGCTACCGCTGATCTGACAGGAGGCGGAGCTCAGGCATAATGCAAGCGATGGGGAGCAGCTGTAAATACAGATGAAGCATCACTTGCATGCCCACTGCTCACCTCCTGCTGTGCGGCCCAGTTCCTAACAGGCCCCAAACCAGTACGAGTCCATGGTCCAGAGGCTGGGGACTGCTGCTCTATACATTAATAAAATCTATTCCATAGAGGGGGAAGACAACTCTATTTACAACTAAAATGAAAGGAATTATCTGGTGATTACAGTAAAGGTACCGGGAAAAGGTGCTGTATGCACACAATGCACACCGAACAAATGCCAGGTGGAAAATTCACCTGATAGGGATAGCATTTGAGCTGAACCTTGACTTCTGGGTAGAATCAGCCTAACAGAGATGGAACAAGAAGAAAGAAGGGTACATGGTACAGATGAAGATCACTATGAAGAAGAAAGTAGGAACATGCCATTTAAACATGGCTCTTTCAACAAGAGCTTCTTGGAGTAATAGTTAGGAGACTGATTGGAACCAAATACAAGGGCTTGATTGCCACACCATGGAACATACATGTTTTCTCTGACTGGCCTGAGGTCTTTTATGCAGAGGAAGAACCAGATCAGGTTGGGGAGTATATATGATATATGTATATTATATATATATATGTATACCAGGTATATATATGTGTGTGTGTGTGTGTATATATGTGTATATACACACTTTAGGTAGTACACTCTAGTAGCTTATGATTAATTAGAGTTTGAAAGCCCAAAAGCTGAAAAACCAATGAGGAACTCCTAACAGCAATAAGAGAAAACTGACCCTGTGTAGAGAAAGGCAAGAATGACATGACAGACATCTGAGAGGAAACTTCTCATCAGTGTTTTTAAGATGTCCTAGAAAATGACCAGTACTGCACTGCTGTCAACTACAGTCATTCAGTATAAGAACTCTTGCAAAAGAATGTTTCTACAAGTTACTTGATAACTTTGCTAGCTATTCCCTAATATCAAACACAACCCTTCTTAGAAAAGGGTTGGACTCTTGATAGAAAAGCAACATTGGTTTCACTGATCACAATTGCTGAGCATCAAAAACAAAGAACCAAGACCCAGAGAGCCCTGGGACAGGGGTTGATAATCCCTCATTGTGTGGAGCCCAAAACCTGTTAGTCAAGTAGTGTGGGCACTAGAGGAGACCCATGTTCACTTCTCACCCAAACACTTGCATTTATACATATCTCTGAGATTTTGAAGACTTGCTTTCAGCTGCTTATTCTGAGTTCACATGAGGAAATGAGCGGGCTTGAGGACTGAGGACCAGACACCATGGGCTTCTATACCAAGCTGGAGTGCCTGAATGCCACTTCCCTCATCCATAAATTCGTCTTCTACAACGCAAAATTGGACTGGGGAAGCATTAAAAACAGTATTCTATTTGTGGAAAGGATTTTGCAAATACGTCAGAGGGAGGACACGAGGAGAGCTTTAATTGAGTCCTCCTCCACATTTAAGACTGGTTTAAGGATTCAAACTTACAGGACTTTCCAACCATGCAACTGGAAATTTTATGCAATCAACAATTGTACTGATATTTGGGATTTTATAGCTGTATCAACAATGCTAGAGGTTATGTGTACCACTAACAGCCTGAATTGGTGGCAACTCTCTGATGAACCAGAGGGAAAAAGAACCCTATGAAGGGAAGATATGAGGGCTTAAATTACCTTCAGTTATCTAAACACTTAACAAAAATCGAATTATACAGGCTAACTGGCACAGGTGTGTGTTTGTGTCCATGTTTTAGATTGCTTCCTAATGTTATCTTCATATCTGGTATCAAAAATCTGCATCTTCATACCCTTCAATCTACCTTCTTTGTATTTATTCCATATCAAATGCAACGGCCAGTCTTGAAACTTATTTTGGAAAGCTGAGGAGTAGAATTGAAAGCTACTGTGATCTTTCTCCCCAGCACTCCTTTTACCCTCTGCTTCTGAAATCCAAGAGGCCCAAGGAAATGAAGACTTGGAAATCTAGCAGACCTGGGTTTGAATAGTGCTCCTCATGGTTAGAACAACAGCAAAACCTTGAGGCACATCACTAGTCTCACTTCCCTCCATGTCTCCATCCTGAAGACTTGGAAATATCCTCCATCTAAAGTCATAGGAAGAGTAAATGAGCTTTAACTGTAAATCAGTGAGAAAAGCCCCAAAATTTGTTTTGTTTGTTGTTTTTCTTAACTACTGATTCAAGCTTCGACCCAGAGCAATTGTCAGAACTGCTGAAATACAACCTGGATCTCAGTAGTTTTTTAATCATCTGGGTGATTCTGAAATAATCCTTGATTTGGATATTCCAACCAACGTGAAAAAGACGTCCTTGTAGATGCTCCCTAAGTATGAGCTTCCAACTCCTTCTTTCTCACAGTTCCCATTTTTCCAAATTACAGAAAAATTCCTTCCTTGCCCTCTGTACATCATAGCTTCTCCATAAGCTGCTTACCTCAGCTTCAATTAATTCCCTCTCTGGGATTGCTTCAGTCCACAATACTTAATGCCCCTCACTCTTTTTATTGATTGATTAATTTTTACTGATTTGGAGTGCCTTTGTTTTTGTTTTTGTTTTTTTGTAGAGACAGGGTCTCACTGTGTTGCCCAGGCTGGTCTGGAACTCCTGGACTCAAGCAATCCTCCCTTCAGTTCCTCAAAGTGCTGGGATGACAGGCATGAGCAGCTGCACGCAGCCAAATTTGAAGTTTTTTTTACAGTTGTTTTGTTTTGTTTTTGTAGCACAGTACCTGGCATGTAATAAGCACTTCAAGAAATACTAGCTTCCTGCTTCCTTTTGGTTGCAGAAGTTTAACTTCTAATCACAATAGGGTATTAAAGTTAGTCACTTGAAGGCAAAATAAACAAATATAGGGACATTCCAGACCCGTAGAGAATTCCCATACTCACCTTCTTCAGGGTATAGTACTCAATTCCCTTCCGAAGTAGTAATAAAAAATAATGACTTGTTATGTGCCAGGAATGTTATAAGCCCTAGACATCTATGAATTTGTTTAATCCTCACATCATCCAAACGATGTAGCTTTTACAGATTAGGAAACTGAGGCACACAGTTAAGCAATTTGCCAGTGATGACAACTACACAGGAGTCACGCCAGAATAGAAATATAGCTGCTGGCTCCCAGACCTGTGCTTTCATCACTCTATTATACAGAATCGATTCTCATTATTCATGGTACTCATGTTCTATAAAGTCACCTCAAACACTGAATTAGCAAATACTGAACCATTGCATTGAGGGGAAAATAGGGTAGGTTCCTGGGAGCCTTTGGTCACAGCATTTTTGCCAACTCATTAATACATAACCTTGTTTTATATGTTTTTCTGTTCAAAAACACTGTATTTAATATATCCTGTTGATTCACCATCATTGAACTCATGGCCAACAGCATTGTAACTCATGCCTGAATAAAGCTTATCAAACACGTATTTTCTCTTAAGACACGTCAGAGCCTTGTCTTAGAATCCCTAGACAGTACTTCAGGACCATGCTTAGGGGCCATTTTAAACAGCAAAATCATCAACAGGGATTATGAAAATGCAAAAATCATAACACGAAGTAGATAGCAAGAGGGACACTTGTTTATAGTCTGAGGGCTGCAAGGAGAAGTGAGCCTTGCTCAGCCTCAGCTGGGAACATATACGTCATATAACTCAAATTTTTTTGCCATTCCACACGTCTGCAAAGGACTGAGAAAGCACCGTGAGTGTTGACTCGAAGGTTACAAATAAACGTCAGTAAGTCAGCGAATTTGCAAATACAGAATCCATGAATAATGAGGGCCGACTGTACTTGGAATGCTGTGTGGAGTCCTTTTTCTACTTTTGTTCCTGAGAAAGAGAGATTCACAAACTTCCCACATTCTTCCAGTGGCATCTAAGGATCCCTTCCTAAATGGCCTTTCTCCCAGCCAATAGACTGAAGCAAACCATGTCCCTGATGCTTCCTGCCCACCACCATCCATTCTTTCAACCAACAGCTTCTCCGGGCTTTCACGTGCCATGCACTTTGCTAAGAGCTTGAGGGAAATACAGCAATGAAGAAGAGATGATTTCTGTTTGGACCAGTGCTCAGGGATTCCTCCTATTAGAAATCAAAGAGGCTTCCAAAAGCCCTACAATTTTTTCCCTGTAACTAAAGAAAATAGCTTCTCAATGTAACTAAATTTTATCTCATACGCAAATTGGAATGTATACCCTTTCACTCTGAATTGCTTGAAATATTCCAGGAGAAATAAATACAACTCTGTGTAAGGTCTTCTAAAAAAGCAGAAGTCAAAGTCACCAGAAAGAACCTTTAAAATCAACTATGTTTCTGACAATGTTGCTTTCGAAACTGTTACCCCACTCCCGCAAAATCACCATTGAAAAATACCTTTGTGGTGTAATTAAGATTAATCATGAATGCACTGAATGTTCAGAAATGAGTGTTTTTGTTTTTGTTGATTAAGTGGGAAGTTACAGTTAGCAAAAATGCCTTGTACACGTTCACATGGATCTAAAACTCCTGAAACCAAGTTTACTGGGAGACAACAGTCAAGACTACACTGTTAGTTTACACATGCAGGAGATTCTGGTATTAGAATCTCACCTATTCATGCTATAAGACTTCCCAGCTGCTAGGTGCAATGCTGTTGCATGAACTGCTGGGAAAACAAAACCACACTTTATATAGTCTAAGCCCTCAATGAATGACTCAATTTGGAATAAGGTAGCCAAATGAATGAATGAACAAACTTTCAAAGAAATTCTACTAATTGAAAATTTCTTCTTTATTTTGTTGAAGTTTCTATCCTCAGAGACAAGAAAAACATCACTTTTTGAAACTTTTAATCTAGTTAATACCACTCTGAGTTATTACGGTATATTCTTATACTGGCTGAGGTAGGAACTCTGTTTAGCCCTGTTCCAAATTTCATTAAAATAACAGATGAGACAGGTCAATAAAGAAATAAACCAGAAAAGGTGAAAGAAAAATATCTGAGAATACACAGATGGAACAACTAAAACAGAAAAGAAAAAAGAAAGCTTAATAGGGTAAAAGAGGCCAAAAACTCTTTAAAGGGAGTTTAAACTTCTATGTATTAGAAAATAAAGCAAATGAAACAAGAAAATATGAGAATGGACTCAAAATTCTAAAAGACCTACAGAAGAAAGAGGAAGTACGCCAATGTGAAGATGACTATTTCTAACATCATTTAATTGCAGGAAACTAAAAGAGAACATTGTCTTTTGCTTTCAGGGCCATAAAAGAAATCCCAAGCCGCCCAACAAGTCAAGGAGCCAAGAAAACTGCCCAGGAAGTAGTGCCAGGTAAGCACAAGTTGGCTGCTGGGGCCCCTAACTTGCCACCGTTTAGGAACAGGCAGAATGAGCCCGGGACCGAAGGATGGAAGACAGAACTGGAACCAAGGAGCGTGGACCTTAGGGCCCGGCCAGTTCTACGGCTTCTGAGAAGGAGATGAGAATCTGAATAACAAAACTGCAGAGGTCTTCCATTCCTCCTGGGGTTGACAACATTTGGGGAACTCTCAAAAAGAACCCACCTGAGCTTTTCAAGGGCTCATTTGGAAATGTCTAGTTCTGAACATTACTTAATGGATTTTATTAACTTTAAGTGAACTTTTATAATTTTCCCAAGTGTAACTCATAGGATCTCCAAAAAATAGAACATTACCAAACAAAGAAGTCTACTATCTTATTAAAGATGGCACATTTATTTAAAGTAGATATTATAAGAACAAACTAATTTGTCCCTCTAAATAGTTCAGAGGAGAGACAAAAAATTTTCAGTCTTGCTTGGAATTTTGGGTTCTTTTAAATTTTTTGTATAGCAATTATAGGTACTTAATAAGTTTCTAATATTATTGGTAATATCATTATTAAAATTTTCAGACTATGGAATTAGAATTCTAAAACAATGAGCCAAGTAGATTTAAAGGATTGGATTTCTGTATAGGATGAACATCTCCAGGGTCCATAGGAGGCATCCAGAAATACCACCTACCCAAACTGAGACAAAAACTTCATTTTCATCATCATCGTCATCATCAAAATCATGGATCATTACCACCACCACATCACTTACAAGCGGGTTGTAAGAAAGTCATACTCTTTCTTATTTGCCCACGTTTCTTGAAATTATTACTTTATTAAACTACATAAAATTGTGTCAGTTGAGACCAGAATAGTTGTCATTCTGTGCTTCCTATATTTTTTGAGGTGATCTAAAAATATACACATAATTTAAAACATTGTTGATTACTGCAAAACTTTCTTCAGAGTCCCTCCTGATATTATCCAAGGCAGAGAATTCAGCAATTATGGTTTCTTCCCTCATGAGATTAAGGATATTATAAAGGTGCTTCCCGTAACCTCCAGCCCACTTAAATTCTGGGATTTCAGAGATCAGTATGAGTATATTTTAGAGACGAAGTAGCGAACAGCTCAGACATACTTTTTTTTTTTTTGTAAGTGACATTACACGTCAATTCACTGGCGGAGTTTAAAATATAAAACCCCTCAATAACTTTGGTGAACTGCCTCCTTTCCATGAAGTCCCTTACACTTTCGCTTTGGCTGGTTTCAAGTGGCTGTATTTTTTGGATTAATAGAGCATCTTTCTCTGGAGTATGCATATGGTTCTAAACAAGTGTAGCCACTCTGTTTTCCTTTCTTTAGATAAGCAAACTGAGACAGAATTAAACCAAAAGACTAATTTGCTCCTCTCCATTCAAAGTTGTCTGGAAAAGAAAGAAACACACTTAGCACGCTGCTCTCTCTACTGGGTTCTTCTAAAGTTACATTAAAAATAATAATGAAGTCACAGGGAGGGGTTAAGATGTATTAATTTCATGCTGAGTACGGATTTTAGAAAAATATAATTAAAATTCATATATTTCCTTATGTAAAATTGTTTACACATAATCAGGGTTTTGACTTTCTTTAATGTATCTGTAAAATAAATGTTCTTTATGATAACCTGGTAAGCCAGGCTGCAGACAAATGTTGCAGATGGTGATAAAGATTTTACTTAAATTTGACTTTCACAGGAAAAGATTTCATATAATCATCATTCTATATTTATAACAAAATTCCTGACCACTTAAATCTGTTATTTCCCAGCTTTTTAGCCTATGAAAGCACCAAAACAAATATTAACATGTGAGTAAAATAATAAAAACACCTAATGTTTGTTTAGTTTCTATACCACTTTCACATATACAATCTCACTTAACAAAGTTACTATTGTCTCATCATTCATTAATGGTAAGTCTGGCATCTTTTCTAGTTTTTCCTGATATCTATGGTTCCTCCCCTTGGCAGTTTCTTACACCTGTCTTACATATCCTTAAAACTATAAGAAACTAAAAGAAATCCCAAGCCGCCAAAATTCTCAAACCTGAGAATTTTCCCAAATTATGAATGTCATAGACTAAGTATAATCACAAAAGTAAATAACAACTTTAGCCAGGGATCCAAATTAAATGAGTGTGAGAAAGATTAGAATAAGTGGCAATTATCCTTCAGGAGCTTTCTTCCAAACAGGTACAAGCCACATGGAGGAGGTGAAAATGAAATGGGGATTGAAGATGTGATTCCGTTTTCATCCGAAAATATGCTCATTCACCAGGGAATATGTGACTCTGGACTATTCTTAGACCAGCACAAAGTGTCACGTAATCAGTAACAATTTAAATTAATAAAAAAGTAAGATCAGAAAGGAAGGGGGCTGAAATGTTATCTAAGTAAAAGGAAAAATGTATCGGAAACTTGAAACTTAGTCACTTAAATCTCACTTTGGAAATCAGTCTCTATTCAAAGTTGAGAAAGAGTTTCAAATGATCACCAGTGGAAAAATTAGTTGTCCAAAATATGCAGATGGCCAGGATACAAATTAGCAGGGCATTGATTTTGATGCAAAAGATTTATACATTTGCCAAGTTTTTTGGAGAAGTGAGAGACGTCTAACTTTTAAGAATACTGAGTAATAAAACTGAAATAAGCATGCAGCATTAAATTCCTAATTAGAACTTTAAAAAGGATAGTTGATATAGTTAAGCTTCATCTTTAGTTTTATTCAAAGTTCCTAAGTTGTTTGAAATCTAAAAAAGGAACCCAGGATAAGATGACTCCCTGTTTCCTTCATTGTGAAATTTTGAGTAACATCTTGCAAAATCTCAGCTTGCCAAGTAACAAATTTATATTAATAACAATTTGCTGGGACATGTGACAATCTTTCTCACATTATTATGCGTCCAGAGAAATTTTATCTATTACATTTCTTCACACATAGATGTGGCTGCATATTATGGAAGAAATGGAAGAAGGTAACCACAGCATCTCAATGCTAAATGACGTGACCTTCACATAAATTCTCTGAACATCCAGTGGGACACTCGGGAGGACAGTCCACATGACAGCACCATTCTACAATAGAAAAGTTAAGAATCAGATAGTAAAACTTAGCCTAAATGACTAAAGACACCAACCTAATTTATAAGGGGAAAATGAAGACAATCAAAATAGCCTTTTGATTTGTATAGGTAAAAACAACCAGCCACTTGCCTGAATTTTTTGTTTTCTACTGAACATATAATATTTTAGGCCATTAGCTTTCTAATTTTTTCTTTGAATTCAATCCACAGTAAGAAATACATTTTACATCACAATCAGCACACAGAAGCACATATAATTAAAACAGATTTTCAGGAAACAAAACTTATCCTTACGAAATACCATGCACTCTGATATTTTCTATTATATTCCTTTCCATTTTAGTCCTTTTAAAAAATATTCTAGACTCACTAAACTGAGTTCATGACCCTCTGGGTCATGACAAGCAGTTTGAAAACACTGCTTTCAGCCCCAAAACTTTTGAGAACTACTTAAGAAACTTAAAGTTTCCTAAAAGAGCCCAATCAATCCTTTCCTTTATACCCAGAGTCATTTAAGCAGAAAAACTGAGAGGGGAAAAATACTAAATAATATCTGTCCATATGAAGAACTTGCATAGATGCTTCTTTTCCTTGCTGGATAATAACAGGCAGAATTCTAACAAAAGAGGAAAGATAATCCGGGAAATAAAACACAGGAAAAATCATTCTAAAACTGAATTTCCACACAGAGTCCCATTTGTGCAAGTTTTTTTTTTAATTTTTAAGTTCCTTGTCTCTTTTTTTATTATTCTAAGAGTGTTTGAATATCATGTAATGCAGAAAGTGTAAGATAGGGCATATTACACTGATACCACTTATCACTGGGATGATGAACAATTTTGAATAAGATGCGATCCCCTCTGTATTTGACCAGGTTCACTTTGTAATTATTAGCAAGGCAGTAAATAATCTACCAAGGAGCAGTCTCATTAGTGCCCATTGAAATTCAGCAGCATTAATTTGCAATAAAAGAACTGAAAATTAAATAGGGAAGAAAATGGTTTCTGGAGTCCATCATAAGGTTATGGAATTCACATCATACCAGTGCCTTCCTTCACATCAAGCAGTTTTAAATGTTGTGTGGAATTAGACTTAATCGCTGTACTTTGTTCTTCCATTTAAAAAAAAAAAGGTGGGCAGAAGAAATCCTTTTTCTCTGTTTTAACCCTAAATTAAAACAAGTAAAATTAATTTGAAATATGCCAACCTTTAAAAGTTTTGTTCATTGTTTGTCTTTTGAGTAAAGACAGCTTGGATCTGCGTGGCTGTGGGATGCTCTAAATTTCTCCAAGGCGGCTGAAGATGCACACTGAATACCCCCAGAATCTGCCCTTCAGTATCCTCTGGGGCCAAACTGCACTTTAGTCCCCTTCCTTCTGCTATAAATATCCCTGGAAACAGAATACTGAACAAAAACTGGTCCACGGCTTACAAGGCAGAAAGATATAGGGACACCAGTCCGGATACCAGTGTACAGTTGGGAAATGCCTAATTCAGGACCCAGCCATGTGGCGCCCTGAAGCTTCCAAACCCAGTCCGGGGTACACCTGTCCTGTGGCCACCTAGGAAGGTGTTCACCAGAAGCGCCCACCTAATCCCTCTGCAGGCCCATCAGGAAAACAAAAAACAAAAAACAAAAGGAGAAACTGGGCAAGAGAAAATGGGAGGGAGAGGAGAGGGAGAAAGAACAATTCTTGTAGGGAAAAAAATTAAAATGAGGACACACAACCTTCGCCATTGAAGTCACAAAGTGGTCTCCTGTGTCCTGGACCGGCCGCGCTCCTTCCACAGTGGCTGCGAGGCGCAGACCCTGGCTGACCCGCACGCCACTCCGGGGCATTCTCCCCGGGTGGGACAGGCTTGTCACTGGGCTGGCAGGAGATTATTTTTAAGCACTTGTGCTTCCATATGGCTTGTTTTAAACTCGCGGGACACCTACAAATTTCCGGCTGTCAGAAGTCACATGCCAGCAATCCGCTCCAGCGCGGACTCAGCCAGCTAACTCCGAAATCAGACCCATTCAACTCCCAATCGCTCTCTAAAGCCCCAGGACGTGGGGTGGGGAGGAGGGGAAAGCGGGTGACAGGAATCGCTTCCCAGAAAGTCATCATCATAGCTGACATATTTCCAATCAAATAGTCTAGATGAAAGGAAATTTGGGGAGCACATTAAACAAAAACATTAAAAGGATAAATAAAACTCTGCTGAGCTCTGCTAACTCCAAACACCCCCAACTTTAAATGCCAAGAGCGAGACCTTCCCAAGTGACTCAAAGCGCCCCGTGTTTATTTGCCTGGAGGTGTTTTCCCCCACAAATAACTGCTGCTTTGTCTGGTTTTCCAACGTGTGTTTTGTTAGGAAGCCCGGGCTTTCGGGTCTGCCTCTCGCACGGACGGTAAGTGGGTGGAGAGTACGTTTTTTTCAGCTGCCCGGCGAGAGAACTTGACTCTGAACGCAGCGCGGGCTGCACGCAGAACCCCCGGGCTGGGCCGCGCGCCCCGGGCTCCCTGCGCGCACCCTCGGGTCGCGCGTCCCGCGGCTCCCGCAGCTCCCTAGGCTCTCCCTTCTCCCTCCCTCCCTCCCTCCCTCCTGCCGGGCGCGGCGGCCACCCCGACGGGCGGCGCGGGCGCGGGTACCTGTAGAATGCCGGCGGGCCGGCCTCGCGCACCGTGTAGCCGCTGGGCTCGTTCTCCAGGTAGTAGGGCACCTGCTGGCCGTGGGGCTGCAGGAAAGGCGACAGCTGCGGCGGCGGGTGCAGTAGCATCAGCGGGCTCGGAGACACGCTGTTGAGTGGGGGGAAACCCCCCAGGCCGTTGGAGCCGAACGCCGCAGCCTCAGACCCGGGGCCGTAGGGGAGGCCGGTCTGACCGTAGACCTGCGCGTTGGCGGCGGCCGCGGCGTTGAACTCGTAGGCGGCGCCCTCGGGGTAGTTGTACACGGCGGGCTTGCTGCTGTCCAGGTACACCTCGCCCAGGGGCCGCTCCAGGGGGATCTTGAGCTGCGGACGGTTCAGGGGCTCCAGCTCGTTCCCTTGGATCTGATGCAGTAGGGCCATCCCAGATGCTTTGGTGTGGAGGGTCATGGTCATGGTCCGTGGCCGCGGGCAGGGTGCAGACCGTGTCCCCGCAGGGCAGAAGGCTCAGAAACCGGCGGGCCACCTGGAAAAAGAGCACAGCCCGAGGTTAGAGGCGACGCAGCGCATGTCCCGCCGACACGCGAGCTCTGGCCCCGGCCCTGCCCCGGGAGCCTGCGGGTCCGGTGAAGCCGGGCGACCCGACGGGAGCAAGTGCAGTCCCAGGACGAACGCCCTCCGCCAGCTCCTGGGCTCCCGGGCCTCCAACTTTAAGTACTGGTCTCCCGAGCTCATATGCATTACAAAGGTGCTGGAGGACGGCCAGGGACTGTTGCCTTGCCCTGACATTGGCTTAAACATCACTCCAGGCACAACTCGATTTGGAGCGATCCCAAAGAGCAGCTTCCCTGAACTTTACTTTACTTGTCGTCGCTGCTGGATAGAGGCTGAGTTTCACGGCCAGGGGGCGGGGGCGCACGAGGATCTGCTAAAGGTGGCCCAGGGAAGACTGGGCTTAAAATAAACGCGAAAGACGGATCCAGGGGCCGGCTTTCTCTAATGTGCTGCCTTATGTGCCCCGTGCCAGACTCCGATATATCTCTGTTTGTCTCTCTTTCTGTTTGATTCCCCCTCCTCGTTGGCTAGAAATACGTAGTGTGTACATAGGATGACCCTGGGGAGGACTACACTGTAACCGAGATAGGGCAGATAGAATGGGGTGTGCGGTTGCATACGCAGCCAGCCACAGACAGCTATATTTAGCAGCTGGGGGAACTGACAGGGGGCATCTGAGGGGAAGGGGGCGGAGATTCAGGGTATACATATAGGAAGAGCTGCATTTTGCCATCAGGAGAATGCAACCTGCCAGGACCTCAGTTTCTTCCTCTGCAAAATGCTCCCAAAGTAGATAGACCCTTCCACAACCTTCTGAGATTCTCTCAGCCTGACTTGTGTGTTTATGTTGGACCACAGTACTGTACTTGGTCCCATTAGGAATTCTCATGTGAAGGATGATTCAGAAAAACCTTTGGTTAGGGCGCACATGGGTGTTCATGCCTTCCACAGGTTGGTTATGCAACCAAAACTTCAGAAAACTGAATATAAAATGTGACCTTTTCATACCAAACATAACCTCAGGTCACGAACCAAAGCTTTGGCAATTATGTTACATTGTCGGTCTGGTCCAGCTAACAGATTTTTAAAATGCATTTCTGCATGTCTATCCTTTAGTCCTACAACTCGATCTTCTCGGTTCACTTGGGCTAGGATATGCAGAATCAAATATCCAGATGAAAAACAAATAGAAAAAAGTTTTTAACTGAATTAAAAGTTAAACATGCACACGCACATACACACACACATATATGTGTATATATATATATATATATATATATATACATATTAAGGAGACAAAAAATAGGTGAAGTATATCATGCGTCTATAATCTTGGATAGTTTATACTTTTGAATAAACTTCCTTTGCTGCAGCCTAATAGACTCTGATACAACTATCAATACTTTGTTTTAATTGCTATCCCAAACACCCAACAGAGTATCTGACGAAGTGTTCATGGTCTATCTAAATGCCAAGCTTACTGTTACTAAGAGTTACATTTTTGACTATTTTATATCAAGTATACATTTTATCTAATTCTTACAAAAATAGACCATTGTTGGACAATATGCAAATGTAGCTGAAGCCAAAATCGAGTTTAGCATTAATGACTATAGATTGTCAGCAAATAAAGGGTTAAAAACACATTAGGTGCATCGCAGATATTTCCCTTTATGGCCAGCAATCATTACTTTCCAAAGCAATTTTTTACAGATGATTTAATTTCCATAAATCACACTTTCAATTTTCAAATGCCTTTTTAAAACACATGCAAAAAGCACTTCATAGGGCTCTTAAAAAATGTGAACCTGCCAAATTATATGCAAATGGCACAAAGAATCCTACAAGTCCTGAAAGAAAAAGGAGACACACACATACCCCCATGGAGAACAGCAATCCTCATCTCCCTGCTAGGATACAGACACTAGCCAGAAAGGTAAGTTGCTTTCTCAAAATGCTAAAGCTACAGAGAGAGAAATCAAAACAAGCCTACCCTGCTGGATCAAGAACGTCTTTCCAGAAATGTTCCATGGGCTTGTAGAAGTCAAGGGCCGAGAGAGTGAGAAGGAAGGAAGGAATGTGCTCGCATGTGCGAGTGGCTCAGTGTGTGAACTAGGCAGAGAGAGTGTGTGGATGTGTTTGTGCGTGGAATGGCAGGGATTCGGGAAGCAGCCAGTAGGCAGGGCACTTGGCAGCCCCTCCCGGCAGACACGCAGCTGGGCTACTGCACAGCGCTGGATGAATGGCAGTGGGGAGTGAGGGGAGACTTGCTGTCTGCTCACAGGGAGCAGTGTGGCACA
The DNA here is from genome assembly GCF_000001405.40 of Homo sapiens. Lineage (NCBI taxonomy): Eukaryota > Metazoa > Chordata > Mammalia > Primates > Hominidae > Homo > Homo sapiens. The sequence goes on along the minus strand of NC_000006.12, from coordinate 151,805,513 downwards.
GCCAGAGAAAGCTGTACTGGGGAGGAGAAACCCCAGCCCCTTTGCCCCTACCCTTGGAGGCTGGAAAGTACCCTATGCTTTCTGCTGCCACCCCAAGCAAGAGGAAAAACAGGCTTGCTGTGAATCATAGTCTTACGGCTAAAATAGAATGCCAGTCAAAAGTGTATGGATATCAAGTTTACAAAATAGGACATGGGTGGTTTTTCCGAAAGAATATAATTTAACAATAAAAGCCTTCTGGGATACATGTGGATCAAATGCCTTACTGGCCCTAGCCCCCAGTCTCTGAACAGAGGCATTGCCATGCCTCCGATTGCACCAGGAAACCAGACTTTGGAATAAATGTTTTGGCATTCTAGGGATGTGTTTCCAGCTGAAATGTAATACTCCTCCACTTCGTTAACCAAACCCACAAACCTTTCCATGAATAGCTCAGTTGACTGCTTTCTGTAAACATGTGAAAAATACGTATTATTAAAAGCCTAGGATATGAACATAAGATAAAGGTAGATACCTTTGTTTTAAACTGATTTTAGGCTTTCGAGTTGCACTGACCGTGATTGGGAACGAGGTCTCTCATTTCCCAGTGGCGTTCACATGGATCCACCTCTTGACCACTTTCTCAACTATTCTCTCGGCCATAGTACTAACACGCAATACTGAGGTGCTCCTAGAGTGCCCACGCTCAGGGTCCCAGGACACATGACACCCAATGGAGGCTTTGTTGCCAGACATTAGTCACCACCTTGGATATTAAATGACTCTAATCACAATGCCAGGAGTGGCCGGTCTCTGGCCCTGGGACACTATGCAGTTACTGAGAGATTTATGAGTGGCTCTTGAGACCAGTACAAAAAAGAAATAGAAAGCCATAAAAATGTTAATGATGCCATCATGCAAATATATGTTTTTGTGCTTTGAAAGACCCCCAGTATTGCAGTGTTTGAGCACAGGAGAGCTCTCTCCATAGTCAGTATTGAAAATAAATACTGGATATAAATAAATATTGAAAAGAAAGACTGTTACCCTTTGTTGGTGACAGTGGTGCCTCCTGTAGGTCAACAATGGCCACCCATGCTCTAGACCAGTCCCAGAAAAAAGCAAGAGTATTCAGGGAGGGAGGAGAGAGGAACAGGGGAAAGGAGAAGGAAAGGAAAGGGGATCTGCAATTGTTCACTATTGACATAGGAAGAATAAGAAGGTTAGCTGTCTCCTCACAGGCTTTGATTGTTCAGAGACTTACAATCAAAGTTAGCCCAAGAAGTTCAGTAAAGGCAGTTTTCTTAACCACTTTCTCTCCAGCATTCTCTTCCAAACTCATCTTGGTGAGCCTTGTCCCTGGGCTTGGTGAGCATGGGTGGGAAAGTATACTGTGCTACGCCGACTTTCCTCTTCTGCCTTTGGCAAAAACTTCACTCGGGCTCCCAGCTCTCTTGGCTTCCCTCCCTACCCTCTCCTGCTGGACACACACGTTCCAGCCGTGACTTACTGGCTCTCTCAGGTGAAGAAGGGTAAAGATTGATCTGGCTCCTCCGTTGAATGTGTCTCCAGCCCCACTTTTCCAGCGGTCTGCTGGGCATTGCAGGCTTGTTCAAATATGAGTCACCATTCTCAAACATGGTGTTCCTCTCAACTTCCCCGTGTCTGTGCCCAGCATCACTGTCTCTCCAGCCACCCAGATTAAAATCTCACTGTCTTCTTCGAGGGCTGATTTTCCCTTGCCTTCCACACCTAATCAAGAGGCAATTCCTAAGCCTTCTAGCTTTACAATCTCTCTTTTTCCATTGCATTTCGGCCACTCCCTTTGAGACCCATTACCTTACCTGTCCTAACGGCCTCCTAAGGACCACTCTGCCCTTTCCTCCCGGACTTCATCCTAAACCCTGCAACCTGTTTACTTTCTTGGATTTTTTTTTACTGCTTCAGGATCCATCTTGACATGACCCAGCTCTGTCTTTAACCCAAATCATAGCTTCCCCCATGAGTTCAGGGCTTCCTCTCTGCCCATAACGATCCTTCCTAGTCCATCTCCTCCGACTGTAACCTATGCTTCAGCCAAGCAAAATTTTAATACTCCAAGAACTCAAGGCTTTTCTTTTCTTCTACCTTAAATCCCCACTTTCTTGGCTTGTCAGGGGAAAGCATGCCTCTTGTAATAGGTCCAGCCCAAATGCTACCACATTCATTATTCCTTCCTTTAGTCTCTATTCAAAGAAAATTTCCTCTCCTCTGAATTCTAGTAGTAGTTATCATGCATTTATCAAATTCTTCCTGAATTAGAGTTATTTATCTGTTTTTTATCTCCTCATGCTGCTCATAAGCTCCTTGAGGACAAGGTCTGGCTAGAATTACTTGGGAATTATGAGAACCCAGCACTGTCCCTGGCCATGTTAAGTCAACAAATGTTGGTTAATTTATTGATATAGATACTTAAAAGGACAATGTAATATTATAGGTGTCTGGATTACTATCTCTAAAAGTTAACTTTCCATGTGACATTCTACCATTTTTTTTTTTTTTTGAGACAGAGTTTCACTTTTGTCACCCAGGCTGGAGTACACTGGTGTGATCTCGGCTCACTGCAACCTCTGCCTCCTGGGTTCAAGCGATTCTCCTGCCTCAGCCTCCCTAAGTAGCTGGGATTACAGGTGTCCGCCACCACACCCAGCTAATTTTTTTGTATGTTTAGTTGAGACAGGATTTCACCATGTTGGCCAGGCTGGTCCTGAACTCCTGACCACAGGTGATCCACCCGCCTCAACCTCCCAAAGTGCTGGGATTATAGGCATGAGCCATCACGCCCGGTCTTTCAAAACTGTTTTTGCTAGAAGATTATCTTTGTATCTTCATGCCAACTGAGGCCATAAAGTCAAAATTTAAATTCGTACAATCTTGAGGCTTAAGTCTGCAATTCTTGGCAGCATGATTCACAAGAGAGCTCTGAATTTTTAGTTCGCAAGCAGATAATACTATGACCAAACATAGCTTCTTCTCTAGCTCCATTAAAAGCATTTTACATTTACAAAAACATTATTCCTCCAAAAGAAACATGAAAGAAAATAAATGTGGAACTATCTCCGTAATAGCTTATACTACTAGAAATGGTTCCTTCACTCTGAGACATGAAGGTTTGTCTGTGTTCAAACTTATTATTGTACTGATTATAAATGCTCTGTTTGGAAGCTTATTTTTGAGCATTTATCTGATACCATCAATTTTCCTCTAATGTGGAAAAATAACAAAGAATTTCCCTTTAAGTTTCTGCTCATTTTCACAAATAGTTTGGTCACTTATTTTAAGGGTTTTTGATTAGCTCCTGGACTTTTTTCACCTGACCTTGAGTTTTTGTTTCTTGAGGCAAAATTTATATACAATGAAATACATGTATCTAAAGCATACCATTTGATGAATTTGACAGATGGATATGTCCATGTAACAATCATCCCAATGAAAGTATAGAGTATTTCCATCACCCCAGAAATTTCCCTTTGTGTCCCATTCTAATAAACTCCCAACCCCTCTAGGCAACCATTGTCCTGACTTCTATCACCATCTGGGCCAGGTGGCAAAATAAATCTATGATCTCTATGGACCATGATCTCTTACAGATTGAAGTGCATGTACCGCATTTCCTACCAATGGCCCAGCCAGCAAAGTGCTGGGCATGCAGGTTACTAGGCATCAAAGGACGGAGCTATCCTCTTCTCAGTCAGACTCTTCTTGCTGCAATGGGACCCCCAAGGCCACAGAATTGTCCTAACACTCTAGTCATGAATCTTTAAGTACAATGGCTTTTAACATGATCAAGTTTTACCCAAGTCTGCAAGGGTACACATTAACAAGAAGTCAAATGGAATCAGTATTCTTTAACATGTTTTTAAACAGCCTTTTCTTTCCCACTATCTCTCCAAGGAAAAAAATGCATGATTTGTGACCAAGAATCACGCCAAAGACCCTGACTCTCACAAAGCCTGTGATCTCAGATCCCATTTCCTGGCTTCCCACCCAGGACTTGATGAAGACAGTTTGAATTTTTTGGTTGTCAGGCAGCATGACTGTTCTTGATTATGAGTCAATGAATGATTTGGATTTAACTTGCAAGCTTAATAGAATTTAGTAACTTTTATCTTACATTTTCTGGGAAAATTTCTTTTAACAATATTTTAGGATCTTTTTATATAATGTACCTATGTTGCATGTAATAGAAGACAATGTAGAAAGTACTTTCACTGTAAGTGCCATGAGTGATACAAGAATTCCAATTATTCCAATTATTGTTACACTGTGTCCCTCTCCTTCCCTTTATCTGTTGTTTACTTGAGGAATTTCATTGCCAGCTTAGAGTATTATTTCTCTATGAAGAGCAATATCTAGATTGTGCCTAAATTCACTTAGATTCAGATAGTCCTATCTAATGTTAAGAAGGGCCTTTACACACACACACACACACACACACACACACCACATAATCAACCAAGAACCATCCCCAATTTCAGAGCCAGCCTAGCCAAATGATTTTTTTTAAAAAAAGACAGAGGAGATTTGAGCAGTTTAGCATTTTCAGCCTTTCAGCCTTTCAGCTCTTTCTTCCGATTTTGTGACCACGGCACCTTCCCATTCTCCCTAAGCACCCAGGACTTCCATGTTTGCGAGAGCTCCTCCCTTCTCCCAACCTGCTCAATGACAATCACACTGTGGAGGGAGTAATGCATTTATAAGCATGCCAGTGAATGACTCATTCATTCAATTCACTCAAAAAAATATTGATTAGCTGTATTTACCAGGACCATTTCTAAGTGCGGAGAACTGTTTTGGTCAGCTCAGGCTACTGTAACAAAATACCATAGACTGGGTGATTTAAACAACAGCGATTTATTTTCTCAGTGTGGGGTTGGGGTGGGTCCTGGAGGAGGTAGAAGGAGGAGGACAGAAAAAGAGAGAGCTCTTTTTATAAGGCCACAGTCCTATCAGAGTAGGGTCCCAGCCTTAAAACATCATTTAACCATAATTACCTCCCAAAGACCCTATCTCCAGATACAGTCACATTGAGTGTTAGGGCTTCAATATGTGAATTTGGGTGGGTAGGGGAGCATAATCTGGTCAACAGCAGGCATCCCAAAATAAACAGAACAAAAACCTCTGCCCCCAGAGAGCTGACTTCAGGGGCTTAGTGTTTAGTCCTATTACAATGGCCCTTCCTGCTCAGGCTCTTCTGAGAGCCCCTCTTCCTCTCCCTCCTCTCAGGTGTGGGTACCCCAGGATTCAGCCCCTAGACCCTCTTCCCTCCTCTGCATACCTTCTCCTGGATGATCACAACCACTCCTTGTGTTTTTACTTTCATATATACATTGAAAATTTCAAAATAGAAATCTCCAACCAACCTCTCTTTCCTGACTAGGAAGTCCACTTTGCCAGGTACCTATTAGACATTTTTACTTACATGTTCATTCATTCAATAAATATTTATTAAGCTCCTCCTATGTACTAGCTACTTGAAGCTCAACTTGTCCAAAAGTAACTCAAGAGCCAAAGAACTTGAATTACTATCCTCATTTATCAAGAGTCCCCACCCTCCCCAACAGGTACTATGCTCCTCCCATACTGGATTTCTTTTAAGTTCCTCAGTCCCTCTGGACTTTCTCTGGGTCTAAATATTCACGTATGCAAATTACCCTACCTGAAATCTTCCTCCCATCCCTTTTCATCTGACATACTCCTACTCATGCTTCAAGTCTCCCTTGAGACATCATAGCCACCAGGAAGCCTTCCTTGATTTCCTGTTGAGTGCTACTCCTATAAATGCTCGTATCTCCCTAAACATTCTCATTATACTACTTATCATGCTGTTGGATTTCCTATTTGTCTCTCTGCTTCCCCAAGTTGGCCTGTAAATTCAAAAAGGGCACACAAGGACTCTGTTTTCCAAAGACACTAGTCCAATGTGAGCACAATCCCTGATGTGTAGTTGTAGTTGGCCCCCAACAAATACTATTTGAACAATGAACTTGTAAACTCCTTCCAGACATCATCTCTGCATTAACTGACTTCCTCAATGATTTACCTCGAAAGAAGTAACTATAATAACTGAAATTTAGAACCAGAGCTTGGAGGACAATTGGGGAGCAGATTCATATTTTCTAGAACAACTCACATTCTTTTCACACAATAGACAATTAGAATGAATGTTTCTTTATAAGTTGTTGAGTCCAAACTCTTCATTGCACTTATAAAGAAACTGGGGTCCTGAACAACACAGGAGACTTGCTGAAGGTCATGCAGCTTGAGGAACTGGAATAGAATCTGTGTCTCCAAACTTGGAGTGCCTCCTTCTTTCTATCCCACCCTCAGCCTCTCTGGGTAGATGCCGCATTCTTCTGACTTTTAGTGTGGGCCTTGCTTGCTCAGCTTAAATAAAATTAAGGGACTAATTGGTGGCTTAATGAACTATTCTTAGAGTCTCAAAAATGCCTAAATCTTTGGAAACTACAACAAGACTGCCTTCACATTCCCAAATCACTGATAAAGAAATGGGAAGAGCTTGAGAACATAAGTTAAAAACATTGAAACAACTGTGTTCAGAGACATAATTTGTTTTTTGAACATGAAGAAATGAGTAATCTACCTTCCATTCATTACTCATCAGAAGAGAGTTCATTTAGGTCTCATGCTTATATCTGTATAATTTGAACTGAACATTCTAGCTAAAGAAAAAAATTAGACCTTTCCTATATCTGCTAAATTGTACAAACTTGCAAATATAATACCTTCAACAATAACAGCAAAAAACCCTACTTGTTTTATTTGATTTGACACAGTTCAATTTCCAAAAGAATCTAATTTGAAAGATATTGAAGCTATCATACTCATTGGGGAAACTATTCTGTGATCAAAAAGTGCTAGCCTTCCTAAAAATCAGCCTTTTAAAAGAACTGGAAAGATTATTGGAAATAACATAAACATTCAAAGACTCAAAAGAATTTAGTGTAAAACTTTTGGTTGATAATTGAATAAAGACATCACTTTTAGTGACACTTGTCAGTAGGTTTTTGTACCATAAATCCAGAAGGAAACAATAATTCCACAAATTCTTATACCAAATTCTAATAAATGGCTAATGGCACAAATTGTAAATTTGTTCCCTTTTCTCACCCTGCCCTTCTCCATTTCCTGTCCTGAATTTGCATCTACTTCCTTATCATGCTGTCGAGTTCATCTCTTCACTGAGGGCTTTCCAAGCCAGCCCTATCCAATCTCTATTCAACATGGGTCACTTAATGAGACCCAGAATTCTAATCAAAACCCACAGCAGAAAAAAAAACACCTGGCCAGCCAATGTGTTCTCCCTTACGTATGTGTCCTCATCTCTCTCAGCCTCCCTTTCCAACAGGCTCAGTCACTGACACTCCTTCCTCAACACAGCCTTCTCAGGCCTCGCTTTCGGCAGTGTACCCAGAGTTCAAGATGTACAACTGTCCCACCCACTGAATCCTCAAGTCATCAAAATGCCAGTTTGCTCAAGGTCTTAATTTAAGTCTGCAGTTTATAGGAATGCATCTGATTAATTTCCTTTCCCACCTCATATGTAGGTATTTGAATTTTAAAAATGGAAATTATATTAAACTGAGAAAATCCTTACGTAGAGAACTGATAAAATACAAAAAAGAAAACATAGGACCTGGGAGGACATAGCGCCATGCAAAGCATATTCTGCTCCTTTCTTTCTCAAGAGGCATGAAGATTCAAAACAAGAATGAGCTGTATCAAACCATCCCTTGTTAGCCCCTGGAATGCCTAAGTAAGTTGTTCTTCACATCCCTCCTCCCCCTGCAGGGATCATCATTGTTCTTATGTAAGCAATTAATCATATGTAATAAACAAGCACAAGCAATGCCTGAAGGTAGACTTATGGATGTCATGGAACATATTCAACAGCAGTCAAATCAAATAGGCTAATGATTTTCCCAAAGGAAAAATGAGGAGAGAGTATTCCAAATACCAAAAATTCACTCTGTTGCTACTTGCAATGCTAGAGACAGAAAATATAAAAAGGAATAAAGTCCTTTCTAAGTCCTAGTGTAAAATACCCAAAAGTTTAAGTCTAACAGTCCCATTTCCATTGGCTTTTCTTTCATGCAAAATGTGATCTTTGACCCCTTCTGGCATGCTGGTTTAGCTTTCTCAAAATGGACATCAGAACGACTGAACTAAATATAACTCTTGCTCAATCAGTCTGGACATGCTTATTCTTGGAAATAAATGCTACATTCATTCAAACAAATGTTTTCCAATCAGCCCAGATTCATCCTTCACTATGTGCTTAACAGACTTTCCCACCTCTGCCCATGAGACCCGGTTACTTTTTTGGGTAATCTAGCACTAGCTAAGTAGCCAGTAACACTTGTAACCCCAGTGACATGCTCTTCACTTTGCTGAAAGGAATTACAGTAGAAACTCTGAACTATAATCTCATGAGTCCTAGCCTATGCTCCCTTCAGATCTCACTCACAATGACTGTAGTAGCATTGTGTATACTCTTGAGAGCTTTGTAGTGGATCACCCCAACGTATAGGTTGGGAGGAAGGTGGTTGGCCAAGGGAACTAGATTGGCTCGGCCTCTTTCGGAGCTAGGTTGATGGTGAAGATGATTTCTGTTGACTCCAAACTACTGCTATGTGAACATGATCACCAGTTCTGGAGACTTTTCCTTCAGACTGCTTTGACAACCACCAGTTTTAAAAAGGGAAATAATATTAAACATCCTTTCTAGTGTTCTTTACTTATGATCTCTCTTCTGAGCCCTCACCAGAAGCGTAAGGTATTTGGTTGGTGCAAAACTAATTGTGGTTTTTGTCATTAAAACTAATGGCAAAACCATTACTTTTAAAATTACTTTTAATGGCAAAAACCACAATTACTAATAAATCCTGATGGCTGTTAACTGAACATCTATCAAGTGTTTTACAAATGCCATTTCATTTTAAAATTGTATTTTATTTACTCTTGATATATAATGCAGTTGGTGCTTTAAACTTGAAAAGATATTTTCAAAGTCATAGTGGGAAAATCTTTCACCTCTGCCTGCAACCCACCAATTTTCCCTCTCTGGAGACAGCTGAGGTCGCCAGTTTTTAAATTTCCTTCCAGAGATATTCTACACATATTGAAGAAAACACACACACACATTCTTCCACACCCCTTTTTAAAAGACCCAGATAGTAACATGCACCTTATTTGTGCCATGTGTTTTTTTTTGTTTTTATTAGCAACATATCTTGGATATCTTTCTATTTCACTAAATAAACATCTTCCTCATTTTTTGTTTTGTTCTGTTTTCTTTTTTTTTTTTTTGAGACGGAGTCTCACTCTGTCACCCAGGCTGGCGTGCAGTGGCCCAATCTCGGCTCACTGCAAGCTCCGCCTCCTGGGTTCACGCCATTCTCCTGCCTCAGCCTCCCGAGTAGCTGGGACTACAGGCACCCGCCACCATGCCCGGCTAATTGTGTTTTGGTTTTTTTTTTTTGGTATTTTTAGAAGAGATGGGGTTTCACTGTGTTAGCCAGGATGATTTTGATCTCCTGACCTCATGATCCGCCCACCTCGGCCTCCCAAAGTGCTGGATTACAGGCGTGAGCCACCGCACCCGGCCACATCTTCGTCATTTTTGATGACTGCATAGTATTCCATGCACAGAGGAATTCTAGTTTATTTTACCAGTTCCCCATTAATGGCAATTAGGTGTGTTCCTAATATTTTACAATTATCAACAATGCTACAATTAGTAAATTTGTACATAAGTCAATTTGCACATGAGTAAATATGTGCGGTGTTAATTTTGGTAGATGTAACCAAATGCCTTCATAACGCCTGTACAATTTAAACTCCCATAGCCTTACAAATATGATGGATCTTCGAACTTTTTGATGCTTTTCAAAATAGTATCTCTCCATGCAGTTTTAACTGACACTTTTTTACTATGATTGAGGCCAAGTAATCTATCTTTCCAGATTTTTTTTTTTTTTTTTTTTTGAGATGGAGTCTCACTCTGCCGCCTGGGCTGGAGTGCAGTGGTGCGATTTCAGCTCACTGCAACCTCTGCCTCACAGGGTTCATTCAATTCTCGTGCCTCAGTCTCCCAAGTAGCTGGGATTACATGTATGCACCACCACACCCAGCTAATTTTTGTATTTTTAGTAGAGGCGGGGTTTCGCCATGTTGCCCAGGCTGGTTTCAAACTCCTGACCTCAGGTGATCCCCCCACCTCAGCCTCCCAACGTGCTGGGATTACAGGCATGACCCACCACACCCAGCTCTTTTCAGACATTTTTATTTGAACATTATACCTCCTAGTGGTTGTGTGATCTTGGACAAATCAAGGTCTTTAAGCTGAATCTATAAAATTGGGGCAATTTCCACCTCAAAGAGTTGTTGCAAAGATTAAATGCAATGATATAGGAAACGCAAGTTCTTCTTGCTATTTTGCTCCATTATTTTGACCATAGTTGACAATTCCCGGGGCCCCAGAAGCACAAGCTAATAATGAATGAAAGGTACTGAGAGTGTGATAAAGGTCAGAATTGTGTGGCCCAAAGGTTTTGGACGAAATAAAGAGCTGTTGTTGAAGGCGTGCTTACTATCATTCCAAAATGACAGTTTGCTTGACACATCATTGAAATTTGGTACAAATTAGCAATGTTTCTCTGGGGACAAAGAGTAGCCATGCATGTTGGCACCTTAGGTGTGGAGAACGTTAACACCAGAAGCAAGCTATATAAACTTAAAAACCAAAAACTCACGAGTCTAGTGTGTTTTTGGAAATGAATTGTTGCAATGCCAGTTTTGACTATTTGCAACATTTTCAGACCCATTGTAAACCATCTATTGCTCCCACTGAGACATTGTATAGTCCAAGTAAATATCTATTATCAGATTTTAAACCTTTGTAAATAACGGGTAGATTGTTGACAAAATTGTGACTGTCATGTTGAGAAAAGGACTTTGGCTTTCACAAAAATAAAAAAAATTTGGAAGTAATCTTTCAACTATCAGGCATTAAGATCTTTTGATCTATTGCTAAAATGCTTGGAACTCAAATGGCAAATGTGTGTACAGTCTAATTTAGGATCCCTTTATATACAAAATTATCAGTAGAGTTGAAGCCATAAACCACTGAATTTTTCTTAACTTTATCTTTTAGTCTTTCCATTTATGTCATCGATAAATACAACTACTAGATCTGAAGATTATGGAAACCCATTTGGACTCCAATAAGAGGAAAACAATGATTGTGCCCTAGTTTTAGTGGAAAGAAAAGGTCTTATATTTATGGTTAACTTTTCACATTTGCAAAAGAAGCCAAAGAGTTGTTTTCATATTAGGAGAAAATCCAGTTGTTAACATATTCATGAGTTTTCTGATCCACAGCATAGACATCAAAGGAGAGTTTATGCTAACCCTCCCTTCCCCATTTTGTTACACTCGATCACGATTTTTTTAGAACACAGTGAAGAGAACATTAAATAGCCTATCACTACAGAAGACATCCTATTCTCCTAATATGTTTTAAAATATGTTTTTATATTGCAAGTACATGAATTTAAAATTAATAAGTTAAGCAAGCAGGTTTAATTTCTCTCTGGGGAGCAGGTAGGCAACCAGCTATTACAGGATATGTCACTTTGAATTACACATATTGTTTTACTGTTGTGGTTTTTTTACTAGACTTCGAGGTCACTTCCAGCCCCTAGCACACTGCCTGGGCACATATTTGGTGCTCAGTAAATATAGTCATGCACCACATAATGATGTTTTGTACTGCAGATATGACAGTGGTCTTGTAAGGTTATAATGGAGCTGAAAAATTCCTATTGCCTCCTGACATTGTAGCTGTCCTAATGTCACAGCACAACACATTACTCACGTGTGTGGTGATGCTGGTGTAAGCAAACCTATTGTGCCACCAGTTGTATAAAAGTCTGGCAATACAATTATGTACAGTACATAATGATTATGATAATAAATGACTATATGACTAATTTATATATTTACTTTACTACAGTTTTTATCATTATTTTAGTGTACTCCTTCTACTAGAAAAAAATATTACCTGTAAAACAGCATTAGGCAGGAGGCAGGTCCTTCTGGAGGTCTTCCAGAAGCCCATATTATTATCAGAGGAGATGACAGCTCCAGGGGTGTTACTGTCCCTGAGGACTTTCCAGTGGGACAAGATGTGGAAGGGGAAGACAGTGACATTGATGATCCTGACCCTGGGTAGGCCTAGGCTAATGCATGTGTCTGTGACTTTGATTTTTTAAAAAGGTTTAAAACTTTTTTTTTTTTTTTTGAGATAGAGTCTCGTTCTGTCGCCCAGGCTGGAGTGCAGTGGTGCAAACTCAGCTCACTGCAAGCTCCGCCTCCTGGGTTCATGCCATTCTCCTGCCTCAGCCGCCCGAGTAGCTGGGACTGCAGGTGCACACCACCATGCCCGGCTAATTTTTTTGTATTTTTAGTAGAGACAGGGTTTCACCGTGTTAGCCAGGATGGTCTCGATCTCCTGACCTCATGATCTGCCCGCCTCGGCCTCCCAAAGTGCTAGGATTACAGGCGTGAGCCCCCGCACTCAGACTAAAACATTTTTAAAAACTTAAACAGAAAAAAGCTTATAGAATAAGGATGTAAAGAAAGAAAACATTTTTGTACAGCTGTACAATGTGTTTGTGTTTCAAACTAAGTGTTATTATAAAACAGTCAAGAAGATTTTAAAAATTAGAGTTTAGGCCAAGTGCAGTAGCTCACACCTATAATCCCAGCATGCTGGGAGGCTGAGGCAGGAGGATTGCTTGAGTCAGGAGTTCAAGACCAGCCTGGTCAACATAGCAGAACCCAGTCGCTACAAAAAATTTAAAAATTAGCTGGGTGCAGTAGTGTACGTCTGCAGTACCAGCTACCCAGGAGGCTGAGGTGTGAGGATTGCTTAAGCCTAGGAGTTCAATGTTGTAGTGAACTATGATTGTGCCACTGCACTCCAGCCTGGCCAACAGAGCAAGACCCTATCTCTAAAAAAAAATTAAAGTTTATAAAGTAAAAAAAAAAATACAGTAAGCTAATGTTCACTTATTATTGATTGAAGAAAGAAAAATTTTTAATAAATTTAGTGTATCCTAAGTGCACAGTGTTTATAAAGTTTACAGTAGCATACAATAATGCCCTAGGCCTTCACATTCACTCATCAGCCATTCGCTGACTCTCCCAGAGCAACTTCCAGTCCTGCAAGCTCCATTCTGGCAAGTGCCTTGTACAGGTGGACCATTTTTTATCTCTTATACCATATTTTCACTGTGCCTTTTCTATGTTGAAGTGTGTTTAGATATACAAATACTTACCATTATTTTATAGTTGCCGCAGTATTCAGGACAGTAACATGCTGTACAGGTTTATAGCCTAGGAGCAACAGGCTGTACTATCCAAGCCTAGATGTGTAGTAGGCTATACCACTGAGGTTGGCATAAGTATACTTGATGATGTTTGCACCATGACAAAATCTCCTAACAACACCTTCCTCCAAACTCATCCCCATCATTAAATGATACATGATTGTATTGGAAGAGAATGAATAAACGGATAAGATTATTTGAATTTGTTGTCTAACTTTGTGTAGATAAAAGGTTTTTTTTGACATTTTACCTGTTGTTTGGGGTCATACAGTATTTTCCAGGTATTTATTATTATACTATCTGAAATATAGAACAATATCCATTCCTCAAGAATTATAGGAGGAAAACACAGGTGCTCACTGGATTACCTGAAAGCCACATGTCTCCATAAGACCCAGCTCTGCCCTGCCTTAGGAGTTCAAGATGGGCCCTTCGTGTTGATTGCACTGGCTCTCCTTTGAGATTCTTGAGTCCCAGCTCAGCCCACAGCATGGACTTCTCTTAATGACCTTCAGAAACTCTGTAACAATGTGGCTCATGTATTAGTCCATTTTCACACTGCTAATAAAGACATATCCAAGACTGGGTAATTTATAAAGGAAAGAGGTTTAATGGACTCACAGTTCCACATGGCTGGGAAGGCCTCACAATCATGGCAGAAGACAAAGGAAGAGCAAAGGCGCTTCTTACATGGCGGCAGGCAAGAGAGCTCGTGAAAGAGAACTCCCATTTATAAAACCATCAGATCTCGTGAGACTTATTCATTACCACGAGAACAGCACGGGAGAGACCCGCCCCCGTGATTCAATTACCTCCGACTGGATCCCTCCCATGACACGTGGGAATTATGGGAGCTACAATTCAAGATGAGATTTGAGCGAGGTCACAGCCAAACCACATCAGCCTGTAACCACAGATCCACCACACAGCTGATAAAGTCAAAAGATGTGAATAGAATGAGTGTGGAGACCCCTAAAACTGCACACCTGGCAGCAGACCAGCCGTCTGGGAGGTGCTCTTTCTATTCATGACCAGATGCAATGATTCTACTCAATCACTGTAAACAATTCATGATCAGTTATAGCATTTATTGCTTATACTGGTACTTTTGGGAAAACTCACACTATCCAACATTACATAGTTAGGTTTTTTTCATGCCCAGGAATTTCATTATAACATCAATTTGCCAAATAAAATTATAAACTCCTTAAAGGTGGAGATTAACTCAGGGATCAATTTAGGAATACCCAACAGATGTTCGTGGCCAATAAGGTTGGCCTCATTATTTTAGTCTTTTTATTAACTGAATTAAGTGATTTGCTGGGCAAGGGTTAAAAAAGCTGGAACATGTTCATTTGGTCAAATGAATGTGTGTATATAAACAAAATGTTAAAACAGAGCTATTTAGTCCCTGTGTTGGGCTGAGGTCCCCAGATATTAAATGGCACATTCCAAAGTAAAGTCTAAGGTCACCATGTGGGATTAAAAAAAAAAAAAGCAGCAAGAAGCGTTTCTCTCTTCTCTCTTCTCTCTCACACATCAAGCATACGAAAGGATCAAGAATTGGGAAATTAGAGGATGTTCGAAGATGTTTGCCATGAACCCCTTCCACAACAGGTGGAAGAGACAGGACATGGCTGCCCTCATCTGCAGCCCAGGGAAAAGGGCTTCACCAAAACCCTTGGAAGTATTGATTCATGTCTGCCAAGAATTGGTGGACGTGGTGACACCTGAAAATCTTAAGGATAAGAGAACTCTGGCCCACCACTTTGGTGGCACGCAAGAAAAGCTGTCTGTGTCGTCGTGGGGCTGTGCACCCAAAGTTTGCGGAGGAAAATGGAGCTCATGTGGGCCACATGCAAGAGAGAATCAGTGCAGGTTCAGTTTGCATCCAGCCCAAGTGGGCTACCCACAGGGACAGATGACTTCAATAGGAAGTGTGTTGCTAATTCTCAAAGCTGAGAAGGCCCATCACAACCAGCCAGAGGGTGTGGTGCCACCTGCATGGAGGGATCCACAGGGCAAGATCCCAGTGCTAGAGCATGGGGGTTATCCGAAGAGCCCATAAATGAGGCCCTGAGTGAGGGGGGGCAGCTCCCAACACCTTCCAGACTCAAACACAACAACAACTCACGCCAACGTTCCTTAGCTCTCTCCCCACCTCCTGACCCACCCACTTCAACCTTGTAGGGAGTAGAAATTCAGGCTGGCTTTAAGATGCACAAAGACAAATAAATGGGAGGGAAGGAAAAAGAAACCATCTTCCTCCATTACACTGCAGGCAGCGGGCTTGTATGGGGCCAGAACTGGGAAAGGGGAGGAGTTGTGAGATGAAATGAAACTCACACGTTTGATATTTACATTGGGCTGGTTATATAAATTAGTGACTAGTGGCCGTTTATGACTTAGAAATGACCAGAAAGTCTTGAGATTTGTTTTACGTTTCCTCCAGGGAAACAAATGTAAAAGCACAGTGAATACTCTATTTATACTCCATGGGTCCTGCTTTTCAGCATAGTAGTCACATTTCTATTCCTTCAAGGAATTTGCGTCTATCATTCACCCTCCCCACTGCCCCCAACAATGCCTTCAATATTTAGAACAAATGGATCCTATAACTGATAGTTTAGACTAACTAGGGTCAGCCAGGAAAGTGAACATATCTTATTTTTCCCATATTTGTTCATTTATAAAATACATAGTGTGCTATTGTATTGATACATGTTCATTATGAAACTCAAAATCAGAAAGTAAAAAGAGGTTTGAAAATGTAAAGAGAAGTTCTACTATTCAGGACATCCCCTTTGGAAGCTATTGCTGTAAGGTAACATCATCTGACTCAATAAAAAAATTTTCCTTGGCTATTTTCCAAAATGGCTGCACTAATTTACATTCCCACTAATTGTGTAATAAGGGTTCCCTTTTCTCCACATCCTCACCAACACTTCACCTTTTGGGGTTTTTTTTTAACTTTTATTTTAAGTTCAGGGGTACACGTGCAGGTTTGTTTCATAGGTAAACTTGTGTCATGGGGGTTTGTTGTACAGATTATTTCATCACCCAGGTATTAAGCCTAGTACCCATTAGTTATTTTTCCTGATCCTCTCCCTCCTTCCACCCTCCACCCTCTGATAGGCCCCAGTGTCTGTTATTCCTCTCTATGTGTCCATGAATTCTAATCATGTAGCTCCCACTTACAAGTGAGAACATGCAGTATTAGGTTTTCTGTTCCTGCATTAGTTTGCTAAGGATAATGGCCTCCAGCTCCTTCCATGTTCCTGAAAAGGACATGATCTCATTCTTTTTGGTGGCTGCATAGTATTCTATCATGTATATGTACCACATTTTCTTTATCCAGTCTACCATCAATGGGCATTTAGATTGATTCCATGTCTTTGCTATTGTGAATAGTGCTGCAATGAACATATGCATGTATGTGTCGTTATGATAGAACAATTTATATCCATTTGGGTATATACCCAGTCATGGAATTGCTAGGTTGAATGGTAGTTGTATTTTTAGGTCTTTGAGGAATCATCATACTGTTTTTCACAATGATTGAACTAATTTACACTCCCACCAACATTATATAAGTGTTCCCATTTCTCTGCAACTTCACCAGCATCTATTATATTTTGACTTTTTAATAACAACCACTCTGATTGGTGTGAGATGGTATCTCATTGTGGTTTTGATTTGCATTTCTCTAATGATCAGTGATGCTGAGCTTTTTTCATATGCTTGTTGGCCACATGTATGTCTTCTGTTGAAAAGTGTCTGTTCATGCCCTTTGCCTGCTTTTTAATGAGGTTGTTTTTTTCTTGTAAATTTAAGTTCCTTATAGATGCTGGATAGTAGACCTTGGTTAGACGCATAGTTTGCAAAAATTTTCTCCCATTCTGTAGGTTGTCTGTTTACTCTGTTGATAGTTTTATTTGTTATATAGAAGCTCTTTAGTATAATTAGATCTCATTTCTCAATTTCTGCTTTTGTTGCAATTGCTTTTGTCATCTTCATCATGAAATTTTTGCCCATTCCTATGTCTAAGATGGTATTGCCTCAGTAGTCTTCCAGGGTTCTTAGAGTTTTGGGCTTTTCATTTAAGTCTTTAATCCATCTTGAGTTAGTTTTTATATATGGTGTAAGGAAGGGGTCCAGTTACAAGAAAATGATGCCCTCTCTCACCACTCCTATTCAACATAGTATTAGAAGTCCTGGCCAGAGCAATCAGGCAAGAGAAAGAAATATAGCACATCCAAATAGAAAGAGAGGTAGTCAAACTATCCCTATTTGCAGATGACATGTCCCTATATTTAGAAAACCCCATAGTGTTGGCCCAAAAGCTCCTTCAGCTGATAAACAACTTCAGCAAACTCTCAGGACACAAAATCAACATACAGAAATCACTTAGCCTTCCTATACACCAAAAATAGTCAAGCAAAGAGCCAAATCAGGAACACAATCCCATTCACAATTGCCACAAAAGAAATAAAACACCTAGGAATACAGCTAACCCGGGAGGTGAAATTCTCTACAAGAAGAACTACAAAACCCTGCTCAAATAAATCAGAGATGACACAAACAAATGGAAAAAACATTCCATGCTCATGAATAGGAAGAATCAATATCAATAAAAGGGCCATACTGCTCAAAGCAACTTATAGATTCAATGCTATTCCTATCAAACTACCAGTGACATACTTCACAGAACTAGAAAAAAACTATTTTAAAATTCATATGGAACCAAAAAAAGATCCCAAATAGCCAAGACAATCTAAGCAAAAAGAACAAAGCTGGAAGCATCATGTTATCCAACTTCAAACCATACTACAGGGCTACAATAACCAAAACAACATGGCACTGATACACAAACAGACACATAGACTGATGGAACAGAATAGAGAGCCCAGAAATAAGACCACACACCTACAACTATCTGATCTTTGACAAAGCTGACAAAAATAAGCAATGCAGCCAGGCACGGTGGCTCATGCCTGTAATCCCAGTACTTTGGGAGGCCAAGTGGGGTGGATCAACTGAGGTCAGGAGTTCACGACCAGCCTGGCCAACTTGGTGAAACCCTGTCTCTATCAAAATACAAAAATTAGCCAGGTGTGGTGGTGCACATGTGTAATCCAAACTACTTGGGAGACTGAGGCAGGGGAATCGCTTGAACCTGGGAGGCGGAGGTTGCAGTGAGCCAAAATCGTGCCACTGCACTCCAGCCTGGGTGACAGAGCAAGACCCCATCTCAAAAAGTAAAATAAAATAAGCAATGGTGAAAAGACTCCTTATTCAATAACTAAGGCTGGGATAACTAGCTACCCATAGACAGAAGATTGAAACTGAGCATATTTTTTTTCTTTTCAAGGACACATTCAATGCCTACCAGAAAAAAAAAAAAAGTCTTAATAATTCTTTATATGTCAAATTACAGATTTTTTAAAAAATCAACCAAAGTCACACTAAGAGGTTCAGTTTTTACCCTTGTCTAAAGCCAAAAGTCTCCTTCAGCAACATTTGTGTATATAAACGTTTGTTTGTTGTTGACATTTAAAAGCGTGAAATCGGGAGAAAATGGCATGTTTGTTTCATCAATGACTCTCTAGATTAAGTCCAGGGAAGATGAAATTAAAAAGGGTCAGTTAAAAAAGCTTTATGCCGTGCCAGGTCTCCAGCTCACCTTTGCCAGCACAGTGAGTTCCTGCCCTGCAGCGTGCTTGAAACCGGGGTGGGGCAGGAGAGGCAGCCTCTCGCTAGAGGGTAGAGGTGCCAGGAGGCTCGCAGCAGTTGCAAAGACCTCTTATTTTGGAGGTTGGTCCTGGCCCCACTAGAATCAGAAAGTCTCCTGGGAAACAAATCCCACTACCATCTCTTCTCCAGCAGTTGTGATCCAGGGCATCCTTGTGACTTTAATGTTAAAATTATGTCAAAGTCAGGAGTACTGTGAGCACCCTGTGCAGACAAGCCAGGCAGCCCTCAGATGTTGGGGCGGGCAGGGCCTTGGAGGTCATCTGGTTTAATGGGGTTCAGTCTCTTTCCCACTCACCTGAATGGTGACGCTTACCAAGCTTGACACAGTCCTCTGTCTGACCCCAGGGTGGCTGTGATCTTTACCGCACCAAGATTTTCCTCCCACATAAGAAATTTTGAGAATAGAAAGGACATGAATAGAGGAATAATTAACCCCTCCTTCACACTCAACACACAGGCATCAGATAACAAAGTGCCTGTACTTGAATCACACTTCCTTCCTGACAAATCTCATTGCTTGATGGCACTACCACAATGCAGTCCAGGATTGCTTACCCATTATCACCTCTTTTTGTACAGATGGGAAAACTGAGGTTCTAATGGGTTCAATGGCTTGCCCAGAGTGACGACCCAGAGTCATGGCCTCATGTGTCATTAAAATTGACAGGATTTGTGTTTTGAGCCACCTCCAAGTAAACCTAGACTTTACCTGCGGTAGTATGTTATCTTCACTTTGTCCTGGAATCATTCAAAGCCTCCCTCTTGAGATTTTACCTTCCCAGAAAAGCTGCCAGCCCCTCAGAGCATGTGAGGTAGGAATTTTGAGAAAAAATGGTCACACTGAGATATTAATGGGCTTTCTCAGGATTCATTGGATAATAACAGAGGTATACCCTTACTCTGTGGTTCTCAAAGTATGGGCTCCAGGGCAACAGCATCAATATCATCTGGGAAATTGTAGAAGTATAAATTCTTGGCAGAACTGGTTCCTTCCCTTCTTTTACATCTTTTCATATCTCCACCCAGATGCCATCTCTCTTGACCATTCTGTCAAAGCACTCCTCCCACTCCCCGTCTCCAGGCTCATCTTTCACTGTCCTGTCACTGGGGTGCTTTCCTGCTCATTACACTTTCTGTCTTGGTCACTGTGATGGCCAATTTCAGGTGTCAACTTGCCAAGGTTATG
Source organism: Homo sapiens (assembly GCF_000001405.40). Taxonomy (NCBI): domain Eukaryota; kingdom Metazoa; phylum Chordata; class Mammalia; order Primates; family Hominidae; genus Homo; species Homo sapiens. Next base: position 151,785,140 of record NC_000006.12, on the reverse strand, counting down.
GCACCCAGTTATTTAATCAAACATGAGTCTAGATGTTGTAGTGAAGGTATTCTGAAGATATGGTTGACACCAACCATCAGTTGACTGATTGGCTTAAATGACAACTGATTGTACAGTTCCCCCTCATAACATGGGTGGGCCTTGCCCAATCAGTTGAAAAGCTTGTCAGCAAAAACTGAAGTTTCCAGAGAAGAAAAAAATGTCCCTAGAATGTAGCATTAACTCCTGCCTGAGTTTCCAGCCTGCTGGCCTGCTCTACAAATTTCAGACTTGCCAACCTCTGCAATTGCACCAGCCAACCAATAAATATTATAAAGACATGAATAAAAGGCACAAGTTGGGGTGGGGGGAGCACTCATGGGGAAACTGTTCAAAAAACTTATCTTTGGTGGGAAGGATATGTTAAAAGAACTAAAGTAAGTCCTGGCAGCTGGAACCCAGGAGGGGAAGTTACACTAGTCACTTCTGTAACTGTAACACTGGTTGCAATGCAGGAATGGGAAAGGTATTCCTTATAACTCTGAGTCACATGTTGCCTAACTCAGTCTGGGAAACTTGTGACTTTTTCTCTGATCTTAGCACTTAAAATACAAACACTAATTTTTAGATTTCAATCAGAATGTTATTTGATGGAAACATGGTACAAAGAACACCCATTAAGGAAAATTTAAAAATATTTTATCCTGTTGACTTCATTTTTTTAAAGTGTTTTTATATTTAAAAACATATCTTCTCTATAAAAATATAACTTCTAGAAGCTGGAACAATTTGAACAATAAAATAAAGTAGTATTGTTTTTTAGCCCAAAGTCTAAAATAAATATCCATGAAGCTATACTGATATAAATAATTCAATAAATAAATAAATAGGGGAGAATAGACAAATCTCCCATGCAGAAGAATTCCAAATAATTTGTGTACATACACAACTCTCAAAGAGGGGAAGCATAGCTCCCCACTCCTTCATTGTGAGCTGTGCAGAGTGACTTCCTTCAAAGAGTACAGTGTGGAAAGGGGGTAAGGAAGGACTTTACAGAGGAGAAACTAGACAAATACTACCCCAGCCAGTTGGCCAAGGTCAACATTAGTTGTCATAAATCATATTGTTAGAATATATGCTTGATATGATGTAATAAGAATGGCATTTCATTTCTGTGGTCTTCCTCTCAAAACACCTGTAATACCAAGTTAATCATGAGAAAAACATGAGACAAATCTCAGTTGAGGTACATTCTACAAAACGCTTGACCAGTATTCCTCAAAACTGTCAAGGTCATCAAAAACATGGAAAATCTGAGAAACTCATGGCAACAGAATGTAATGTGGTATTCTGGATGGGATACTGGAATAGAAAACGGACATTGGGTAGAAACTAAGGGAACTGGAATAAAGCATGAATTAAGTTAATAATAAAATAACAGTATTGGTTCATTAATTGTAATATACCATACTAATGCAAGATGTTAGTTACTAATACGGGAGCTGGGTGTGGGTTAGATAGGAAATCTCTACTGTCTTCCCAATTTAAATCTAAAATCTAAAACTGTTCTAAAATAAAAGGTGTATTTAATACACATATCTTTTATGTAAAGTGAAGAATTAAATATGAAGTTATTTTCTAAATAGGCACATACAGAGATTGTAGCACCACTCTGTATTAGACTACTATGAAATCAATCCATTTCAATTATCGTCTATACCTGGGCTTATGAAGTGCCTGTAGCAGTGACAGATTCCCTCTGCCTGTCTTGCCCTGCATGTACCAATGGAACTTAAGAACCTGTCTCCTGACAACAAATTGCGTGCCCTTCTCCAGCTAGCAAAATAGCCAACATCTCCCCAGGAGAAGAAGAGATAGACACAGGGCTGGTGCTGATCCCTTATGGGGATCAATCTCCCCAAAGCAAACCAACTTTACACATAGACACTGTGTAAAAGTGGTTTGGTTTGGGGAGCTGACTGGGGCTGGATTTCAGCCACCACTTGCTCCTCAACCGAGCACAAGTCACTGTGACAGTCATTGCAGTGTCCTTGGGGGACACAGGATGACAAGTGGTTGCTGGAACTATGGAAGTATGTATCAATAATATTACATATACCATACGTTTAAATATTTATCTTGAGGAATTAATCTAAGATACAAACATTAAGGTGATGGTATTAGAGTGGTGGGGTCAGTCAGTGTTTCAATAAAACTCACCTAAACACACCAGTAAGTCAGACATTTCTGGTTCATTACAGTTTATTTCCAATTTTAGTGAGCAGATGTGGAGTATGGGAAAGAGCATGGATGTGGCGGAGGAATGGAAGGTGTATTTAACGTTTCAGTTGCCTTTGATTTACACTTAACATTTTTCCACATTTGGCCAGCACTTAATTGTCCATTCACACATTCACTTCATGTGTTTAAATGATTAGATTTCTGGAGGAGAGCCATAATACCAGGGTAGCTTGATTTATAGAAGGCAGCCAGAATAATGAGGAATGTTAAAATGTGCACCTCCACACACATTTAAATAGGTGCACACATTTCTGGAGGGAAATATGGAAGTATGTATCAAGAATATTACATATACCATACCTTTAAATATTTATCTTGAGGAATTAATCTAAGATACATACTAAGATAACAAACAGAGATATCCATTGAAGCATCATTTACCGAAAACTTGGAAGCAAACTTAAAAAACCCAAACACTTGTTAAAGGGGAAAGGGTTAAATAAATCTTTATCTAACATTGAATTATAATACTATTCTTAAAAACAATTAATTCCAAAATAGACTTACCATCTTACGTAAAGTAAGAAAATGAGATTATAAAAACACATTCTTGTTTCTTTATAATTTTTAACACTTTCTATTTCATATTTTTACATGATGATACATTAGTTTCATAAATAAAAAAATACTCTTAAATGTCTTCCTTTTTTTCATATCCCAAACAAGGATGGAGAATCAGATTCAAGTTTCCAACTCCAACAGGTTGTTGATTGATCTGTAGTCAATCAAAATTTGAAGTCTTCAGTTTTAAAACTAAGGATTTGAACTCAACAATCCAAGATCCCAACTTTTTCTAATTCCATGATTGACCTGTCTAGAACATACATTTCTCCACCACGTTACAGTTAATGAAGAACTTTTCCCATGTGCATCTCGTCCTTAGTATTTTAGTTATTATTTCCTCAGTACTACTTACCTCTGCTTCACACACTTCTTTTTCAAAAAAGCAGAGTAACAATAAAATCATTTATACCAGACACTCTAAATAGCTCTGTGGTTCCCACTGTAAATTTATTTTGTAAAATATAGCCTATGCTGAAAGTAGTTTTTTTTTTTGTGCACAATACTTTTTTTTAAAACAAACACTTGTCACTGTTTAGTAGGAAGATATTTTATTCTGCCTCATTAAATAAAATGTTAGAGTCATTCTGACCTGCCTGGTATACAATTTGGGTGTGTAGCAGTTAGCAAATATCTTGCCCTCTTAGTGAAAATAGATGAAAACAGGAGAAAGGAATGGAAACAGCGAAGCGGTGGGATGTAGGGGATCAAACATTCTGGATTGGGAGTCAAAACATCAGGGTTTCAGTCTCAGGTTCTCTCTTCTTAACTAGTTGTATAACTTCAGTGCTATGGTTTGAATTTTTGTCTCCTCCAAAGCTCATGTTGAAATGTAATTGCCATTGTAACAGTATTAAAAGGTGGTGCCTGTGAGAAATGATTAGGCCATGAGGCCTCCACCTTCATGGATGGGATTCATGCCATAATAGAAGCACAAATTCAGCCACATTTTACCTCTTGGCCCTTCCGCCTTCCACCATGTAGACACATCCAGAAGGCCCTTGCCAGATGCCAGCACCTTGATATCAGACTTTCCAACCTCCAGAATCGTGAGCCAATAAATTTCTGTTCAATATAAATTACCCAGTCTCAAGTATGCTCTCTTATAGCAGCACAAAATGGACTAAGACACTTAGATAAATTAATTAATATATTTGAGTCTCAGTTTCCTCATCTCTAAAATTAAGGAATTCTATTAAAATAATCTTCAAGGGTTCTTCCACTTATGAAATTCTACTTTGAAAGAAGTTTTAGAAGAAATGTATAGTTTGAAAGCAAAAGAAAAAATTAGTTTCATTAGTATTTGCATTCTACAAAAAAGATCACCAAAATCTCAATATTTTAAAGCCCGTTGTATTTAATAATTTTGTACTACATTTTGATTTAAAACTAGGTACAAAAAGTTTGAGACAATGTTTAGCTGGAAATTTCTACAACACTGTGATTATATGGACAGAGTGACAAAAACAGTTTCAGGACTGAAGAGAGTTAGATGCTGAACTAGGGTAAGAGTTTTGGGCTGTGATTTTGACACCAAATGCTCTCCTGAGAATGAGGAGAATCAATGGACTGATCTTTAGGAATCAGTGACATCAAACATAAGCCTAACTCGCATTTGAATTCTTCCCAAGTCAGGGCTTCACCTTTTTGGAAGAAAAGAAAGAAAACAAAAACTTGAAAGTCCAGCATTTTTCAATCCTGGCTACCACCTTAGAATCATGAGAGGAGTTTTTAAATAATATTCATGCCCAGGCTACCCCACACCAAGGAAATCAGAATCTTGGGGGAGTCAGCCATAGGTGTTTTTTGAACTCTCCTGAGTAATTCTTTTGTGCTGTCAATTGAGAACTACTGAGTTAAATAAGAAAACATGAGAAGATGGAAGGAATGATGACTGCCAAAGCAAAAGGCAGGGTTTTTTTTCTTTTTCTTTTTCTTTTTTATTATACCTTAAGTTCTGGGATACATGTGCAGAATGTGCAGGTTCGTTACATAGGTATACATGTGTCATGGTGGTTTGCTGCACCCATCAACTCGTCATCTACATTAGATATTTCTCCTAATGCTATTCTTCCCCTTGACCCCCAACCCCCCGACAGGCCCTGGTGTGTGATGTTCCCCTCCCTGTGCAAATATGTTCTCATTATAGAACTTGTGGAACTCACCCACTTGTGAAACTTGTGGAACTTGTGGAACTCACCCACTCATTATGGAACTCACCCACTTGTGAGTGAGAACATGCAGTGTTTGGTTTTCTGTTTCTGTGTTAGTTTGCTGAGAATGATGGTTTCCAGCTTCATCCATGTCCCTGCAAAGGACATAAACTCATTCTTTTTTATGGCTGCATAGTATTCCATGGTGTATATGTGCCACATTTCCTTTTTTTTTTTTTTTTTTTTTGAGACGGAGTCTCGCTCTGTCGCCCAGGGTGGAGTGCAGTGGCGGGATCTCGGCTCACTGCAAGCTCCGCCTCCCGGGTTCACGCGCCACATTTTCTTTATTCGGTCAAACATTGATGGACATTTGGGTTGGTTCCAAGTCTTTGCTATTGTGAATAGTGCTGCAATAAACATACGTGTGCATGTGTCTTTATAGTAGAATGATTTATAATCCTTTGGGTATATACCCAGTAATGGGATTGCTGGGTCAAATAGCATTTCTAGTTCTAGATCCTTGAGGAATCGCCACACTGTCTTCCACAATGGTTGAAATAATTTACACTCCCACCAACAGTATATGTGTTCCTATTTCTCTGCAACTTCACCAGTACCTGTTATATTTTTACTTTTTAATAACAACCATTCTGACTAGTGTGAGATAGTATCTCATTGTGGTTTTGATTTTCATTTCTCTAATGACCAGTGATAATGAGGTTTTTTTCATATGTTTGTTGGCTGCATAAATGTCTTCTTTTGAAAAGTGTCTGTTCATATCCTTATGGGGAAAGGATTCCCCGTTTAATAAATGGTATTGGGAAAACTGGCTAGCCATATGCAGAAAACTGAAACTGGACCCCTTCCTTATACCTTATACAAAAATTAACTCAAGACAGATTAAAGATTTAAACATAAGACCTAAAACCATAAAAACCCTAGAAGAAAACCTAGGCAATACCATTCAGGACATAAGCATAGGCAAAGACTTCATGACTAAAACACAAAAGCAATGGCAACAAAAGCCAAAATTGACAAATGGGATCTAATTAAACTAAAGAGCTTCTGCACAGCAAAAGAAACTATCATCAGAGTGAACAGGCAACCTACAGAATGGGAGAAAAATTTTGTAATCCATCCATCTGACAAAGGGTAATATCCAGAATCTACAAGGAACTTAAATAAATTAACAAGAAAAAAAAAACAGGCTTTCTTTAGCAATATACAATTGCTGCTCTGTATGCTATGCACAAAACAAGACCAAAGGTGCTTACCCAGGAGAACTTGCATGACAGCGAAAACAAATTTTTTGGCAAAAAAAGTATCTTTTTTAATCACATAAAGAAATTTCCACAAACCATAATCTCACAGTTGAGATTCAAAATCTCACAGTTGTCAAAGCATTAGTGGTTTCTTTCCTATGATTTAAAAGTTGTAAATATGGCAGGTATGGTGGCTCACACCTGTAATCCCAGCACTTTGGGAGGCTGAGGTGGGCAGATCACTTGAGGTTAGGAGTTCGAGACCAGCCTGGCCAACATGGCAAAACCCCATCTCTACTCAAAATACAAAAATTAGCCAGGCATGGTGGCACACACCTGTAATCCCAGCTACTGGGGAGGCTGAGGCAGGAGCATTGCTAGAACCTGGGAGGTGGAGGTTGCAATGAGCCGAGATCATGCCACCGCCATCCAGCCTGGATGACAGAGCAAGACACTGTCTCAAAAAAAAAAAAAAAAGTTGTAAATATACATAACATAAAATGCATGATTTTTAGCCATTTTTAAGTAATGGCATTAAGCACATTCCCAGTGTTGTGCAGCCATCACCATTGTCCATCTCCAGAAATTCTTCATCATCCCAAACAGAAATGTTGTACCCATTGAACAATCCTCCTTCCTTTCCACCTTTGGTCACCTCCATTCCACCTTTCTATCCCTGTGAATTTGCCTATTCTAGGTAGTTTATATAAGTGAAATCATACAACATTTCTCTTCTTAAAAACAAAGAAATTGAGAACAAGGACTGTCGTGATTTTCCGAAGAAAGTGGAAACTTCTTTTAAAAATCAGACGAGGAACCAATTGCGTCTTGGGTAGTTAAGTGTCAAGATGTAGATTTCCTGGTTTTACACACTCTATTGTACATTTTAATTTTTTATTTTTATTTATTTATTTATTTATTTTTGAGACAGAGTTTCGCTCTTGTTCCCCAGGCTGAAGTGCAGTGGCGCAGTCTCGGCTCACTGCACCCTCTGCCTCCTGGGTTCAAGCGATTCTCCTGCCTCAGCCTCCCACGTAGCTGGGGTTACAGGCATGCACCACCGTGCCCGGCTAATTTTTGTATTTTTAGTAGGGTTGGGATTTCCCCATGTTGGCCACGCTGGTCTCGAACTCCTGACCTCAGGTGATCCAACTGCCTCAGTCCCCCAAAGTGCTAGGATTACAGGCATGAGCCACTATACCCAGCCCTATTGTACATTTTAATCACCCATGGTCACCCACTTCCTATGAGTTCAGCATTCTGGCCTCTGTTTCTCTATTGTGATTTCCAGTCCCCACATGACCCTTCTTACATTAACCTTTTTAACCACAATTCCCTCTGCATTAAATCACCAACATTCTCCACATGTGTCCAGTGAAATACCTAACTCACCCTTTCTTTCAGATTTCCATTGCCTCAACCCTAACCAATACCCTTACTTGGGACTGGTTAAAAAATAGAAAATAGGCCAGGTGCGGTGGCTCACACCTGTAATCTCAGCACTTTGGGAGGCTGAGGTGGGCAGATCACTTGAGGTCAGGAATTCAAGACCACCCTGGGCAACATGGTAAAACCGTGTCTCTACTAAAAATACAAAAAATTAGCCAGGCTTGGTGGCAGGTGCCTGTAATCCCAGGTAATCAGGAGGGTGAGGCAGGAGAATCGCTTGAACCAGGGAGGCAGAGGTTGCAGTGAGCCGAGATCACACTACTACACTCTAGGCTGGGCGACAAGAGCAAGACTCTGTCTCAAAAAAAAAAAGAAAAGAAAAGAAAAGAAAAGACCTCAGAGTTGTACAAGCCTTTCTCTGGCATTTTATGCTCAGAGCCAGCTTCCACACAAGCCTGGATCAACCTTTCTCAGATGCCATTCACATCCCCCCAAATACCATTTGTACCTTTTTGCCTATCCCATAAAACCTGAATGTCCGCCTGCTAGCCCATCCCGTCAAACTCACGTATATCTCCCTATAAAAAAATGCCTTCTCCAGCCAAGCCAATCTGTGGCCACTCTTCTTTTCTTTTCTTTTCCTTTTTTTTTTTTTTAAGACGGAGTTTCACTCTTTGTTGCCCAGGCTGGAGTGCAGTGGCGTGATCTCGGCTCTCTGCAACCTCTGCCTCCCGGGTTCAAGCGATTCTCCTCTCTCATCCTCTAAAGTAGTTGGGATTACAGGCACCCGCCACCAAGCCTGGCTAATTTTTGTATTTTTAGTAGAGGCATGGTTTCACCATGTTGACCAGGCTGATCTCGAACTCCTGACCTCAGATGATCCTCCTGCCTTGGTCTCCCAAAGTGCTGGGATTACAGGCGTGAGCCACCCCAGCCGGCCTCCGTGGCCAGTCTTCTGAATGCAACGTTCTATCCCTGCCTCTGCGTGAGGACTCATTCAGCAGAGCTAATTCCCTGGTAGTTAATAGCCACTAGCACCCACAGCTCCATAACTGGCTTGAGCTGCCAAGCACTCCTGTCAGTCCTTTTCTTCTCACACCAAGGGCAGAGAACAGACAGCCTCTGCTTTGTTATCTCTGATAAAATGTCTGGAAGAACCACTGGTCTTGCCCCACAAATCCCTCCTATTCTGAACTGAATTCCTGGGTCTCTTTTTCCTAATATTTCAGCCTGTGGTTTCGGACTCGAGCCAGCTTCTTTCCACCCAGGCACTATGTCCCCAGTCTATTCACCTCCCATTTATGTTCTCCAGGCCTCCAATGGATGTTTCTGACTCCTGCTTTCAGATCCCCTCTGACCCAGCCTCTTTCCTCGAACTTGCTTTACCTGCTCTTCCTGCCTCCAAAGTCCTGAACATTTTTACTCGCAACAAAAATTATCCACCCATTTCCTATATTCTTCTCTCTGCCTCCTTTCAGGGATTTAAGATCCGCTCACCTTCATTCTTACATGAAACTGACTTCCTGACCACAACCCTTGCTATTCAGATCCTAAAATTCAGCACCTCTTCTGGTTAAACCAGACCCCTGGGCCTGACGTTTCTTGCCCTGCCCAGTTCTGGTGCTATCTGAGACCTAGCATAGCAGGCCTTGAACAATATCTTCTGTAGATTCTGCTTCTCTTTGCCCACTGCTCTAGGCTGTAGCCTCTAGGACTGTTTTGGGTTTTTTGGATTTTTTTTTTTTTTTTTGAGACGGAGTCTCGATTTGTCACCCAGGCTGGAGTGCAGTGGCGCGATCTCGGCTCACTGCAAGCTCCGCCTCCCGGGTTCACGCCATTCTCCTGCCTCAGCCTCCCGAGTAGCTGGGACTACAGGCGCCCGCCACGGCACAGCTAATTTTTTTGTATTTTTAGTAGAGACAGGGTTTCACCGTGTTAGCCAGGATGGTCTCGATCTTCTGATCTTGTGATCCGCCCGCTTCGGCTTCCCAAAGTGCTGGGATTACAGGTGTCAGCCACCGCGCCTGGCCAGGACTGTTTTAACACGCTAGTACAGGTTGAGTATCCCTAATCCAAAAATCCAAAATTCAAAATGCTCCAAAATCCAAAACTTTTTGAGGGCCAAGATGACACTGAAAGGAAATGCTCACTGAAGCATTTCAGATTTTGGATTTTCAGATTAGGGATACTGAGCGGGTATGAAAATATTCCAAAATCTGAAATAATCCCAAAGCCAAAACAATCTGGTCGCAAGCATTTTGGATAAGGGATATTCAACTTGTATTACTCTCCATCATGGAGTTCTTCTGTTTCTTTGGGTACTTCCTCTCCACGGGACAGACTGTTTTCCTTTTAGCATCTACTTTTTGTCCTGATTCCTTCTTTCACCTCTCCTGCCACTTCAGTCCTTGCCCAGAGAGGAGTCATGCATATAAATTTCGAAGTTTGATCTTTCCCCAAGTCAAAGGGCTATATTGGACTAAACACTGGCTCAAGATCCACCTCAACTCATTATCTTCTTAAGGTAAGATGAGGGATAAGTCAACTAAAATTATATTAAAAGTGAAATCTGACAAATGCAGTGAAAAGCAGTTTGAATGTAGAGCTCTTTATTTATAGTTAGTTATTTATATAATGGTGTTACAGTTATTTAATGTATGGTTATGTACAGTTATTTATTTAATGGTGTCTTCAAGTCCCAAGTTTTTTCTGCATACCTAATCAGCTAATTCTGTTGATATACCAATAAAGATCTAGAAAGGTTTTGGCTTCTTTCATTTTAATCCTACGAATGTTCAACACCATGGATGAAGGATACTTTCCCTTAATATAGACTATCTAAATGGATCATCTCTAACTGCTGTGATCATCCTAGACTTCTACAGTTGGAAGTTGGTGGACAAAAGCAATAACATCCCAGCCCTACCAGTACTGTGTGAGGGCCAAGGTAAGAATTTGTCACAAGCTTCTTACAGCTTTCAATATTGAAGGAAGACCACAATGTAGTACCACTAACCATCCATGACTAATGAGTCCCCAGTGATCCAGAAACTGTTACCTGTTCTTGGCATACGATGCCTTGTTCAGGGACAGAAAAGTTCAAACAACATAACTTAACTTCAAACGAAATGTCAAAGTTATTCATTATCACAAAACAACCATTTGTTCCCGAACTCCCAAACTCCATTGTTTTCTGTGATATGCTATACTTCACCAAATGGAACCTTTCAATGTGACCAAAGCAAGCTTTTGAAAGTAGAACAAGTGAGATTGAGTGGCATTCCCCATCTTTGGTTGCCAGTACCTTTTACAAACTAGTGAAATGGTTATTATAGTCCAAATTTATTGCAAGGTAAGTCAAAACTGACCAAACCTTTCCAGAAGCCCTCTCTAACTCCCTAATGACAATGTGCCATACAATAGCCCTGTTTAATCTAACTTCTTCCAACTCTACAAATACTTACTGAACACCTATTTCATGCAAAGCATCATGTCCCAGTCTGTCCCTCACTCTTATTTCAGAAAGCTTTCTCTTTACTAAGGATGTCAGGTGTGTTTATTTCGTTGAAAGCCACCGAACACCATAACATTGCTGATAACAATTCAAAGAGAAATTCACCCACAGACATTGACCTAGGAATCAATTTTCCAACTATAACCTCCACATCCCAATCCTTTGCCACCAGAGGAGATGAGAGATTATTCTTTCAAGGTGATTAGATTCCATTCTTAAGTTCTGCTCTTTACTCTACAACAAGCAGGGTCTCATAAACAAGTGAAAAAGAGAAGATGTCAGGATTCCTACTTGCACAGAGATCCTTGGAGTAAGAAAACAACCTGAGTCACTGGGTTGCCAGCCAGGAAGGCTCCCTGCCTCCTCCTATAGACTTCCTCTCCACTAGGACCAGGGTAAAGTCTCCGGTTGCCTGCCAGCAGCTGCCTTCAAACATATGCGTCAGCCAAGGCAATTATCCTTGTCCATAGGCTTTCAGCTTTCTATAGAAGGAATGAGTGAAGATTGTGACAAGGCCTCACTGTGATCACAGATGAGAAAGTGTAATCATTTCCCAAGGTTGCTGGAACAAAGCACCGCAAAGTGGGTGGCTTAAACATCAAAAATGTATTGTCTCACAGTTCCAGGGGCTAAAAGTCCAAAATCAAAGCATTGGCAGGGTTGGTTCTGTTTGAGGGCTGTGATAGAAAATCTGTTGCATGCTTCTCTGTAGCTTCTGGGGGTTTGCTGGCAATCTTTGGGGTTCGTTGGCTTATAGAAGCATCACCCCCCACTCTGCCTTCATCATCACGTCTTTCTCCCTATGTGTGTGTCTCTGTCCAAATTTTCCCTTTTAATAAGGACACCAGTCATACTGGATTCCTTATAAAAAGGACTGGCCAACCCTAGTGGCCTTGTTTTAATTCCATTAACCCTGTAAAGACCCCACCTCCAAATAAGGCCACATTCTAGGATACTGGGGTTTAAGACCTCAACATATCATTTTTGAGGGGGACACAATTCAACTTATAACAGAGAGATTTTAAGATCCTGGAGGAAAAGAGTGTTTAATAATCCAAGAAGCAGTAGATTTGAGGCATAGTCAAATGAAGAGGAGGACTTTTTTATGAGCTGAGAGGAATGGTAAGACTACTAGTAAGGCTTTACAATTTGTCCATTTTACAACCACCCAGAGCTTTTCTCTTTGTAACCTCCCTGTGGAGCAGTCCTTTAGCATTTACAAATATGTTATAAAGGCTGCACATCTGAAAAGAATATGAAGTCTGTGATAGTTGATTTGCTAACCGGGATTTTCCAGTCAGCACAATCCAACTTTGAATTGCTCACTAGCATGCAGCTGCTCCCATCCTTCTTGGCCCTTCTATCTGGCCTCACTGCACTCAAAGCTCCCCTCAAAAGGGGCCTCAATCATAAATCCCCAGAAAAGTAGACAATGTCTGTCTGACAAATAGTTGAAGAATCTGCCATAGAGTTTGCTAAATTTTGCCTTAAAATCTAAAGGAGAACTGAGTCTAGCCACCACTCCCTTCTTTTGGACATACCCATGACCACACAAAGTGCCACCCACCACCCTTTGTAATATGATGCAAAAGTTATTACTGAAGTTATTGGCAATGCTGTTCTCTTCATTGTTTTATGGTGTAATCAAGAAACTTTGGAGAGATTCAGATTGGTGCATATGTTGGAAGGGCCACTCTTGCATGACATTTGGGTGCCATGTCACAGTGCCCAGGACAACTGAGACCCCTACAGGTACCTCACTTCCTGTTGTTCCAAATCTCCATTCCTGTTCCAATTCAATAAATCCACCATTACTAAAGTGGTTTCCCAGCAACTACGGGTGTGTACTGCCCTGTTAGAAACCCACATTGCTTGCTTTACCATAAAGCCTTGCGTGTTGCATTTGTTAGTAACAAAACCAAAATGAGGCATTTAGGCAGGAGGTGGGAAGGTTGAGCTGTTCATTTCATTAGAAACATTTACCCTTCTTTTCAAAACAACCTCCTGAGAAAAGCAGGGGAGTTTTGATTTAGCAAAAGAAAATAATAGTCAAGCAGTGTATCAACAAATTAATTATTTAAACATATTCCATTCCAAGTAATTTCTTACTCCCCATAGTTATTTGTCAGTTGTTGTTTTTTTTAATTACAAAATAACACTTGTTCATTTTAAAGATTCAAACAATACAGAAGTGGGTAAAGTAAAAAGTATAATGTAAAAAGTGAAAATCTCACTTTACTTTTCCTAACCTCACTCCCCAGGGGTAACTGCGGTTCATAATTTAGCAAATATCTAAACATATATATTTAAATGATACATATGCAGTTGCTTATTTAAAAATATAGGATCTATTTGACATTTGCATGGCAACTTGCTGTTTTTCACTCCATGATATATTAAGGACTTTCTTCATGTCATTCCATGTTTCTTTTGAAAAAATACAATTTTATTTTTTGATCAGTGGTGAAATAGCAACAAAAGGTGTAACTACATGAACACCGGCGGCCAGCCTGCCACAAGAAATTCCAGCCGTATTTCTCATGAAGGACTAAATTTTCAACAGGTTATACTGGGAAAAGTAGAAACTTTAGAACAAAGCAGACTGAAGAGTATTTCCAGTGCCGTGGACAAAGGTGGGGGATTTTCATTGCCTCCAAGTGCCCAATTTTTCTACTAAGAGAGGATAAACGCTTTCAATTACATGAATTCCCATCAGGAGGACAACAATAGGCATGGATACAATTCTATAGCTCTTGAGCAATAAAAAGTATATCACAGGCTAGAGAACGGGACAAAGAGAAACAGCTCTGCCTCCATAATAAGGGGAGAGTGAGAGTCGTTGTCTACAGAATGCTGCTGGAGCACATTAACTGAAAATTTTAAGCAAATAAGTTGGACACTATTTTCCAGTGATTTACAATAGTTCTGTAGAAAAACTCTACTGTAATCCACCATGCTGCTGGTGCATAGCTGGGGCATCTCACTGGTTTAGGTGCTTTCTTTATATGTCTACTGTTTCCTTTTTCTTTTTGTTCTTCTTTCTCTCCTCTTCAAACTTTTTTCTCTGCCATCTGAACACTTTTAGTTTCTTATTTTTTTTGCTGAGAAACAACTGAAATTGTCAAACCAATTATCTCCAGGTCTAATGTGATAGATTAGGTAGATTTCTAGAAAGAGTCTTCATCTGTCTAAACTCCTTGTGCCTCCCATTGTGACAAAATCTTTGAAAAAAAAATTGACTCAGTCATATTTATAACAGTAAAATTACATATGTAACCACTTAATGATACTATAAACACTTTTTGCCTAAAATTCTAAATCTTGGCTTAATTCTCCTTTGCTCTATATGTATAGACAAAATCCCGTATCACCTTTACCGCTTGGAAAGAAATGGTCAATTTGAAGATTCTTCTTCATAGTTTAACCAGCTTCAGTTGGTTAAACATTGAATTAGGGTTATATTAAATTACATATTAGTTACATTTATATATTAATTAGATTTAATAACTGATGTGTTATGAAATCGTTGGAATTATGCCTGCCTTTATTAGTGATGGCTATATTTTAAATTCTATAAAATAAATATTTCTAGAGCCTCTTCATTTAAGAAATGTTTATAACAAAATATCTTCTAAGCAAAATAGCTTTCCCATTTTAATTTCATTAACATTCTGAGTTCAGCTTTTAGAAAACTATGGCAAGTATTGCATAATATTTTCTTATTTATAAATGAAAAATTAAGATTACATAATGCTGAAGTGAATTATCCCAGGTCTAGGTCTACTAGAATGTCAACACATAATTTAGATTCACAAAGCATCTGAGTTGGTTGCTGAGGCAAAGAATTTCCTTCTTAACTCACCTATCATGCCCATCTCTCCACTCATCTATTCCATTCAGGCTAATATAACTTGAGTTCTCCTCATCCCTCTTCATCCCTTTTTTTTTTTTTTTGAGATGGAGTCTCACTCTGTCGCCCAGGCCGGAATGCAGTGGTGCGATCTTGGCTCACTGCAACCTTCACCTCCCGGATTCAAGCGATTCTCCTGCCTCAGTTTCCCGAGTAGCCGGGACTGCAGACGCGTGCCACCATGCCTGGCTAACTTTTATTTAAAACTCTTCCATATACCATTATGCCATCATATCTTACTACAATCTTCCTTTCCTGTTGTTCAAAAAAATCTTACACTCTTATTTCCTCTGAAGCTTATCGATTGATGGGAATGGAAACATAAATAAATATCCAACTCCCAATTGGACATCTTCACATGGACATTTTACAGAAACCTCAAACTTAGTATATCCCAGACTGAACACATGATCTAGCCCCTGCGTAGCCCAGTCTATCTTCCTGCTAGTGTTCTCCATCTCACTACACCATCCACATTCAATTACTTTTAGCCTAGATATTCAGTGTCCATTCAGTCAATCACCAACTCTGTCAATTACAAATGCTAAATGCTCTCTGTCATTCCACGACTCACCATTCACTCCACTTTAACTTTCCCCTTGCCATAATCACACTTACAGGGTTGGGGGAGGGTGTGCGCGCATGTGGTCAGAGTCGAGATCAGGGCTATTGAGAATTAGAATAAGTTTAATACCAAGTCATCACTTCTAACTGGTATAAAAAGACTATAATAGTTCCTCCTTAGTCAGAAATAAAAGTGAACATTTTCTTAGATTCCTGGAAGCTGCTATTCAATATTATAAGCCTTTGTTAATAAATGAGTTTGATTAGATCTTTTCTTCTGTGGCCCAGAAGCCAGCGTGGAGAGATGCCTGGCAGAAGTAGACTTCCAAGTCCAGATTTCCCGATAATGTCTTGGTGAAACGACTGACAATTCTGCTATTCAGATCTACCTAAATACGTAAGTCAATATCAAGATAATAAAATGTTCCAGGATCTGCAGGACTGGTGTGCACATTACTAGGCAGTATCCATACATAAAAGCACAGAAACGTGCTGTCAGGAAAATGAATTAAAATATGAAGAGCTATATTTTTCTACATAGCCCAGGAAGTTATATTCTGAATTTACTAGAATATCAGTGACCAACTCAGATTGTCATTACCAAAGGTTCTTTGACCAGCAGGAAAACACAAGGCACAGGAAAGGATGGACCATTTTCCTTAGTTTTATAAGAGCCAGGGTTATTGCTTTTCTTTTAAGTAATTTACGAGTTAAAGGAAAGGTTGAGAAAATGGTACAAAATATTCCCATATACTTTTACCTACATTCCCCAAATGCTAACATTTTATCACACTTGCTTTATTATCCTGTCATCTATCTATCTATGAACTTATCTATTTTTTTTTCTGAGATGTTTGAGAGTAAGTTGCATATAGCAGCATGTATTTCCAAAAACAACATCTTATGTTTTAACTTAACCCCAGTGCTTTGATCAAAGTCAGGAAATTCACATAGGTACAGTATTATTTTCAAATCTATTGACCTTATTCAAATTTTGCCAATTGTCTTACTAATGCCCATTTTCTGACCCAAGACCCAATTCAGGATTATACTTGCATTGAGGCATCCTGTCTCTTTTAGCCTCCTTTGGTCTGGAACTGTTCATGACCTTGACAATTTTGAAGAGTTCTAGCCAGCTATTTTGTGGAATGCCCCTCAATTGGGGATTTTGTGATGCTTCTTTCAGGTTATGGATTTTTGGCAGGAACATCACAAGAATGAGGTTGTTTCTCCTTTGTGTATCATATCAGAAGCACATGATGTTAATGTGTCCCACTACTGATGTCACCTTTGATCACTTGGATATGGTAGTGTCTGCCAGATTTCTTCTTCTCTGTAAAGTTACTATTTTCCCTTTGCAATTAATAAGTATCCTATGTGGAGGTACTTGGAGACTTTAAAAATATCCTGTTTCTGGTCCTGTTTTCCCTCACGAATTTTAGCATCCACTGGTGATTCTTGCTTCAAATAATTATTGCTCCACATTCCCCATACCTTACCTTTTTCCTGGACACACAGCTGAAGTACAGTGCCTAGTCCCCTCATATCTAGGAGGAATGATATAACTAATTCTAGCGCATAGAGCTATAATTGTAAGGGGTATATGCCCCTTCTAGGTTTGCTCTCCCCACCCAACAAATGTCTCCTATTATTCTGCAGGTTCTTTGCTTGTCAGTCAATTGGATGCATAAGATCCAGCAGAGAACACTAAGAAGGCTTTGGTAGTTGTGGAGCCACTAGACCTTAGCATCTGTACCATTCAGGAAGTCCTATGAACTTGGGTTAAGAAAATCTTTCTTTTAACTGGAATTTGACATCTCCCTTTGTGAATACAGATGGCAGCTATAATAGTGTTAGCAATACCAATGTCTTTGTCACCAAGATAAATCATATATATTACCTATCACGCTGTATTCAGTGCAGACATCTTGAAATATATTTACCTATCACTAATTTGAAATTAACTTTGAATTTTAATTATTAGATCTGTCACTATATCTTTTTTTTCTTTTATCACATTTAGAAACTGTCCTGAGAGGAGATTTATTGGCTTCACCAGACTGCCAAAGGGGTCTAAGACCTAAAATAGGTTAAGACAGAAAGAGGAGTTCCCTGAGTCACTGCATTTTGAGGACAACCTAGGGAAGGAGGTGGGGAATATCTGCAATAGAATTTGCATGAGAGAAAAATAAACTTTTACTCTCTTAAGCTGAGATATATGCTGTTATTTGTTCAGCAATTATCTTATCCTGAGTAATCAAGAGAATAAAGTTGTAAATGTGGAAATTATATGCAAGGGAAGATGGTTGAGGCCATGGGATTGGATGTGATTGTTAAGAAGAGAGACAAGTACTGAATTTGGGGCAATTGCTACATTTTGGAAAAGAAGACAAAAGAAACAGATGAAAGAATGATCTGAATAGAAGAAAGAGAACCAGAAATACGTGGTGTAAAAGATTCTATGAACCTGAAACCATATTTTCATTTCTCAGATGTCTTCATATAGAATAAGTCCTTATCTGTTGTCTGGAAAGATAAGAAGCTAAACCATTTCAGTAGATTTGCTCAACTATATCTGTCATTTACGAGATGACAGGTATTGTACTTCTCTAAGTCTAGGTTTCCTTGTCTATGAAAAAATTGCAATGCAGATTACAGAAGGTAATGTAAGTAAACACATGCAAAAGAACCTACTACAGCTTCTGACATGTATCTATCGCTAGAAAAGTTAGCTATTTTTCTCCCCAGTCTTTCCCCCTTCCTACCCTCATTAGCAATCCATTTCATGTATTAGAGTTTAAAAGAACTAAAGAGTATATTAAGAAAACTGTAAATTTTTTCTTAAGTCAAAATCACAGCATTTTAGACATTATACTTGCCATAGTATTCAAGCTATAAAACTCAGCAAAATCATTATTAAAATTCAAATAGAATCTTGATATTTTATTTGGAAAACAGATTGAGTGAAAAAAAGAGGCGTGTGATTTTTATTTGTTTTTTTTTATTTTTTATTTTTTTGTTTGTTTTGAAATGGGGTCTCACTCGATCACCCAGGTTGGAGTGCAGTGGTGCAATCTTGGCTCACTGCAACCTCCGCTTCCCAGGCTCAAGCAATCCTCCTATCTCAGTCTCCTGTAATTTTTAAATGTCAATCAAAAGCAATCAAAACACCAAACCATCATTTATTGGAGTTTAGTATCAGAGAGTCCTCACGAGCTATGCAAAAATGTTGTTGGTCTTCAGGAAATCCACCTCTGAATCGCTCCTTCTTTGTCCTTAGTACCTCGTTCCTTGTCTCATGTTCTCCTACCACAAATGCAATGCGAAGAGGAAGAGAGGGGTGCTTCAAAAATCACAAATTTTATACAGGTACATATTTTATTGTTAATTTCTTTCAACACTGGATATGGATATTTTATATATAAATATGAAGCCCTGTATGCATTCCTTAAAATTCAATTACAAAGTCCAGTGGAACATGAAAACATAGATTAATATTGCCACAGCATGTGAGGGAAAAACTGTCTCTCATCTACTTTGAAAAGTTTTATTAAGAGTCTCTTGGAATCACCATGTCCAAAACACGGATGTGCATAAACCAACGCATTTTGATAACAGTTCTGTAATTGAACCCCTTTCTCCTCTCACCCTAGAGTTTCTTGAACTGAGGAATGAGTAATATCCTGGACTAGAGGCTGAGAGATTGTTTTCATAAGCAACAGCCATCTGTGCAGAATAACAATAGAGCTGAAAAGATTCTGACCTATGTTACCAAAGAATTTTCCAGATAATTCAGACTCTTTCTATGAAAAGTGCCAGAATCTGAGTGACAAGCCCAGGCAACTCCTCCATGTAGTTTTAGGAAGAAAGTGCTGCCATCTACAGGGTCGACATGGAACTAATGCTTTAAAAAAAGGTGGAGAACCTACTGGATCTTAAGGTTTTAATTAGCTATAGGAAAAAAAATAGCAATAGCATGGCTAACGAGAGTAACACAATGTGTCCACTTTAAAATTTTTATTCCAAATATATTCTACTTCTTTGCTGTCCAATACAGCTTTCATGTGGCTATGAAGCACTTGAAATGTAGCCAGCGTGACTGAGGAATAGTTTCTAAATTTTCATTTCATTTTAATTAATTTCATTGATTTAAATTTTAAAACTGATACTCAATTCAGTCATTGAAAACTTTTAAGTATGCTTGTAACAACTTAGGTGTCTGAATCTATTTTTTTCAAATGTAAATTTTACGATATCTATCTACAGATTAAATATTCCTAATAAAAATGTAGCATCTGAATTGCGTGTGCTATAAGTGAAAAACGTACACCACATTTCAAATGTTTAGTACAAAGCCAAAAGAATGTAATATTTTTCATTAATAATTGTTATATTTAGAACATGTCAAAATTGATATTTAGCTATATTATGTCAAACAAAATATATTATTAAAATTACTTTTATTGGCTTCTTTTTACAATTTTAATGTGATTACTAGAAAAGTTTAAACGACACGTGTGGCTGACAGATTTCTGTTGTACAGCACTGTTTCCATTGTACAGCACTGTTCTATTTTTCTATTGTACAGCACTGTTCTAATTGATTCAAAAAAAAGAAGTAAATATGTTTAGCTGTTTAGTGCTTACAGAATCACATGAAGTGCTAGATTTACAAATGTCGTATTTGACCTCAAAATTAAAGCAAACGTGTAACAGACACTGATGCCATTATGGATAAATGTAACATAATTTTTAGAGGAAATGATCTCGTTCGGTCTTCAGTGATCATCATTGTGACTGATAGACATCTTAAAATGGTAGAAAATTTGGATCTTGATGAATGTAACAACATAACCGTTTTTATCATGGTTAACGAACTGGTGACAAGAAGCACACATTGTAAAGAAATTCCACTAAATTTGTGTCCTGTTCCACTTCTTCCATCGATTTCCAGCATTATCTCCCCGAGACTATATCTTCATTGCGAGGACTGACTCCCTGCGCTCAGCAGCCCCCCACTGGCCGTCCTGACAAGCGCAGTGCAGACTTCTCCCTGTGGTGCCACCCCTTGGTCTTTCGCGGCTGAGGCAGTCCTTCTCCAAAGTAAAAACATCTCCTTCATCAAGGATGTCTTCTTCCAATCTATAACATAAAAATCCTATCTCCCCTCTCCTTCTTCTTCCATACTCCATATGTTTAACACATTCTTCTGTTACTCAGGCAGAAAAAAAATAAATAAATAAACCAGACAGGCCCATGACTCAGTTAGCAGATGCCCACACAAAGATAGGGTGGCCAACCGTACTGATTTGTTTGCCCAGGACTGTCCCAGTTTTAGCATTGAAAGTCCCACCTTCCAGGAAACCCCGGTCCCGAGCAAACCAGGCCGGTTGGTCGCCCTACTTGCCAATCTCGCCTGTTGACAGCAAAGCCAGAGACAGGAGAGCCACACCCCCGCGCTTTGCTCCAGCAACAGGGAACTGCCTGTTTCCCTGCTGACTTTAACCTC
Source organism: Homo sapiens (assembly GCF_000001405.40). Taxonomy (NCBI): domain Eukaryota; kingdom Metazoa; phylum Chordata; class Mammalia; order Primates; family Hominidae; genus Homo; species Homo sapiens. The sequence goes on along the minus strand of NC_000006.12, from coordinate 151,763,999 downwards.
CTTCCCTTTACCCACAGGGCCGCCCTTCCCCTTCCCAGCCCCCTAACTTACCTGTCGCCCTGTCATCCTCCAGGCATCACTCCCCGTCCAAGGCCTTCCGTCACTCCTCTGGCGCAGGTAAGTTGTACCTAACCACGTTGTATTTTAATTCTCTGTCCAGTTCCCAAGTTTCCCATCAGCTGTAAGCTTAAGTCAGGAGTCTTGTTCATTCTTGTATTTCTGTCATATATTAGCTGAACTTGTGAGTGAATGTTGATTCGTCTTAGAAAGGCACCTGGGCTCTGGGTATATTTTGTGGGCCTTCTTCCAGGAATACACTCCTCTTCTGACATAACGACCAACGACAAACTGTTTTCCAAGACTGGACGTCTGCATTTCCCAGCCTTGGAGAATCTTTCCCCAGTCTTAGTCTCTCCAACACAGTAGGCAACACCGTCCTGTCAGTAATCCCTGACTAACACCACCCCATTCCACCCCTAGGGGGAAAAAAAAGACGCACATATGTACGCACATCAAAAAGTTACAGCAACAATAACCAAAAAATTCCTTGCTTTCATTTTCAACACTGGCTAGTAATTTTTGCCTTTGGGGGTTGGAATCGCTCAATATGCATATTTCTTTCCAACGTGGGAGAAAAGAATGCACACAAGAATGCAGCAAAGTGGAGAGGATGCGTAGAAATAATGAAAGAAGTGTACCTAGAGGTGATTATATATGGAAAGACAACAAGTGATCTCAGAGTGGCAGGTAGTGACAAGGATGCAAAAAAAAAAATCAGACACAGTCCTACTTGTCCAGGAGCCAAGGTGGTTATAATTTGGAAATTACATAGGTGTGTTTTCTAGATATTACACAACATATAAGGCAATAAATTGCTCTTAGCAATACAGAGAAAAATGTAAACTTTCAGTAAACATTTTAACATATTAATTTTATATATTTACTTTATGTATTTTAAACTTATCTATTTTAATATATTTAAAATAAAAATTACATCTTTATATATTGAAATATATTAAAAATATTTAAACTATTAATTTTTGTTTGTTTGTTTGTTTTTGAGATGGAGTCCCACTCTGTCACCCAGGCTAGAGTGCAGTGGCGTGATCTCGGCTCACTGCGATTTTCCTGCCTCAGCCTCCTGAATAGCTGGGACTACAGACACACGCCACTATGCCCAGCTAATTTTTACAGTTTTAGTAGGGACGGAGTTTCGCCATGTTGGCCAGGCTGGCTTTGAACCCCTGACCTCAAGTGATCCACCCACTTCAGCCTCCCAAAGTGCTGAAATTACAGGTGTGAGCCACTGCATCTGGCCTATTAATATATTTTAAAACGTTAGATTATTAATGGTCACTTTTGAGTGCTAATTACGTAAAATAACTTTACCTGTATGATTCTCAAAGCTCTATGAAGTAAGTTCTATAATTATCTCCATTTTACTGAGAACTTGTGGCACAGAAAAGTGAAGAAACTCATCCAAGGTCATAGAATTTGTAAATGAAAGAGCTGGGATTTAAAGAGGCCCCTTAAAGGTGACAGCAACCCCCTGGGATGCATAGAAACATGTTCACACCACTCTCCAATAATCAAACAGCACACCAGCAAAACTAATTTATAAAAAATAACTTGCAAAGCCTATAACAGTTTCAGCATGCACCATGCTGTTTTACTACAAGCTGTACAACATGCTTCCCAATGGATGTTCTAAAAACATGCATACACCTTAGTAAATGTTTATTTCTCATAGGATAAGCCCATGCATGAAAGAATAGATAACGGTGTCAGAATGATGAATTCATTTTCTCCTTCATTTAAGTTAGAATGATAGTTCTTTTTCACCTGAAAGCGGTGTTAGAAGTGTTGTCAACCTTAGCTGCTCAATGGAAGCACCTGGAGAACTTTAAAAGCCACTAAGATCTGGTTACCATCTGCAGAGGTTGTGATTTCACTGGGACTTTTAACCTCCCCAGAGGGTTCTGATGTGCACTCAAGATAAAAAAGCACGTTTTGTTTAGAGTAAGCAGAAGAATTTCAAGGTGTGTCTCCAGATCAGCCATCAACTTCACTTGGGAGCTTTTTAGAAATACAAATTATTGCACTCCCTCCTGGATCTACTGAATAAGAAATTCTGAGGGTGGGGCCCGGCCTTCAGTGTCATAACACACCCTCCCTGTGATTCTGATACTCACTTGAGTTTGAGAACCACTGATGGAGCCTAATTCCTTCAATGAGAGATAACTGAAATCCAGAGAATTTAAATTTGCTTCAGGTCACATGACCCATCCATGGTGGGGCTGGCTATGAAATGATAATGATAGCTAGCATTTATTGAGGGCTTACTGTTCTAGATGGACTGTTTTGCATCAACTAATTAATGTGATCACTGCAACGTTAAAGGGATATGTTCTATTAATATCCTATTTTACAGATGAGGAAACCAAGCCACAGAAATTGCTCAGGGTCACAGGGCTGAGGAGTAGAAAAGCAGGGATTTGAACACCTCCCCAGTCAGGCATGCAATGGGAATATGCCCAAAAACCTGTGAATCTTATTCTAAGAAAGAGAAGTGGGTGAATCTAAATTTCCTATGCAAATGGTTAGGAATAAGAATGACAGAGCCTAGGGTAGTATAGGCCTAAATCTTCATTTCTATTCATGATTGTTTCTACTATTTTAAAGTATTCCATGAGAATGATTATTATTTTCTTTAGTTAAATATCTAATATATATGAAAAAGAAGTATTAAAAAATAAGGCTAAAACGTAAATATTTTAAATAAACACCTGCCAACCACCAAGGTATTGCTGTTCTAGTTTTTTTTTTTAATGCTTTGACCTACATTTCCATGTGTTGAATAATTAGTAGTGGGAAAATGGTATTGGATGAGATATTAAGAAATGTTTGCATACCCTTCGCCCAGCCACTATTTCTCAGGAACAGAACAGCATGCTAGTAGAGAGCGATGTATAGTTACCTTCTTGAAAGTAACATCCTTAGCCATAAATCCATGAAATGTGTACTGAAACATATCAGTATGCTAATAAGCACACAAAAATATTTTCCAATATTCCAAAAAGGTCTCAATCATAGAGTTTTTTATCTTTTAATAGATAAGTGAAACTTTAATCGATCCATTATTTTCTGAACATCTTATCATAGTAACAGTGTCTACCAATTTCTGTAGCACTTTACCAAGAGCTTGCAGCTTCACACATAGCCTCCATCTAGTTCTCACAGCAGTCTGTGGGATAAGTATGTGCAGTGCGTTTACTGTCATGGGTTGCGATGGGGAAGAGCAGGTGCTGGGGGGCAGCAACTCGCCTCGGAGGACTCAAAGAAGTGTCTTACCAGAGAGCATTAAGGGAGCAGGCTGGGGAGCGCAAATAAGCCTATCTGCAAATTCCACATTTACCATAATAGGTCCGGGAAGGAGAGAACAAAACAAAGGATAAGCCAAAATATTCTTCCTAAGACAACAAAGAAAGGACACAGATAATAGGATGGCTCTCAAGATGGAAACACAGAGAAAAGAAGACAGAAGATTACATTATGCTGAAGTCTGAATTGGACAATGGATTTTTAAGAGGAGGGATATTTAATATTCTATTTCTAGATGCTTGTTTGTTGCAATATAGACCCTTTCTTCAATGGAGTTTTCCACCAACTACAATGCCTTGTTGGGTGGTCTTGTGTGGGATTCAAAGAAAGGCAATGAGTTCTACCTCTGGACCCACCCAGTGTGGAACACGACTGTGACCCAAGGGAGGTTAAAGTGACCCACTAATTCAGAAAGGAAGAGCTGAGAACCAAAGAGAGCCCTGAAGAAACAAGTCTCCTGGGAATATGTATATATGGACGTGGTAGGGGAATTGGTCTTCACAAATTGAAGATTGAGCCAACCTTCCCTAGATTTTCCATGATAAGGTGATCCCTGATGTCAGCTTACTCACACATATGCATGTGTGTTTCAGTTAGGTTGTTTAATAAACCATGCATAGACTAATCTGTAGGATAGATTTAGGCAAATTTGATTAAGCTTTTACTGATTTTATAATATTCTGAATTTTACCAACCCTTTCAGGTGCCATTACTTTGAATGGCAAAAACCGCAGTTACTTTTGCACCAACCTAATACCTGAAGGATCCAATTCTGATGATCAGAGAAGCAAAGCTGTACTTTCCTAAGAAGGACCCCTGAGGAAGGTCTGTTCCTTCTTGGGTATGCCACCTGATATACATCCGCAAAAATATTTGTAAAATGTAACCATAGTGCCATGTCATTTTATCAAAAATGAAAATGTGTCCAAGATTTCCATCATCTAAATATCAGCCACCAACTGGTGTTCTGCAGCGTCAAAGCTGCAGGGCATGCTGGGGAAGGCTAAGGAGATACTAAACTAGCTTCAATTATTTGAACACCTTAAATACAGTAAAGAGCCTCTAATTATTTTTCCTGTTATTCTTTTTTTATTATTATTATTATTATACTTTAAGTTTTAGGGTACATGTGCACAATGTGCAGGTTAGTTACATATGTATACATGTGCCATGCTGGTGCGCTGCACCCACTAACTCGTCATCTAGCATTAAGTATATCTCCCAATGAAGAGCCTCTAATTTATAAACATAATTTTAATAGATCAGCAGGACCATATTGTCCTATGTAATGGAACTCACAGGAATATTCTGGTTTTATGTTTGGTTTTCTTTTTTTTTTTTTTTTTTTTTGAGACAGAGTCCAGTCGCCATGCTGGAGTGCAGTGGCATGATCTCGGCTCACTGCAACCTCTGCCTCCCGTGTTCAAGCAATTCTCCTGCCTCAGCCTCTTGAGTAGCTGGGACTACAGGCACGCACCACCACACCCAGCTAATTTCTGTGGTTTTAGTAGAGACAGAGTGTCACCATGTTGGCCAGGATTGTCTTGATCTCTTGACCTCCTGATCCGCCTGCCTTGGCCTCCCAAAGTGCTGGGATTACAGGCGTGAGCCACTGCGTCCGGCCTTATGTTTGGTTTTCTAGACCATGTAGTAGATTTTGAGAAGTTTATTGTTATTACTCCCAAGTTGCTAGTAATTTTTATTTTAACTCATTGTGATGACAAGAACACTGGAAAGAGACTAGGAGAGGCACCTTTTCATGCTTAACTCTGCCAGCAAATCAGTGTGAGACCCTGGGTGAGTCACTGCCTGTCCTCACCCCCAGCTTCCTCTCCTTCTTCTTTTTTTTTTTTTTTTAATTTGAGACAGAGTCTCACTCTGTTGCCCAGGCTGGAGTGCAGTGGCATGATATTGGCTCACTGCAACCTCTGCCTGGTTCAAGCAATTCTCCTGCCTCAGCCTCCTGAGTAGCTGGGATTACAGGCACCCACCACCAGGCCTGCCTAATTTTTGTAGTTTTAGTAGAGATGCGGTTTCACCATGTTGGCCAGGCTGGTCTCGAACTCCTGACCTCAGGTGATCCGCCCACTTTGGCCTCCCAAAGTGCTGGGATTACAGGCATGAGCCACCATCCCTGGCCTTCCTCTTCTATAAAATGAAAGACTGGGCTAGATATTCTCTAAAGTCCCCAGGAACTCACACATGCTATATTTTTCTGATCCTAAATGCATCATTATCATGACTTCTCTTGAAGTATTGTAGAACAGCTAATGAAGAACAAATTGGTTGAAGACTATTAAATAAATACATAAAAAGGAACTGAGGAGACGAGTATATTTTAAGTTGCATTATGACAGGATGTCCCCAGAGGCATCTAAAATAGTAAAAGTAATTTGCTTCTTAGCATCCATTTTGCTACCTCTATTTGGGAAAACAAAGAAACCAGCCCATAACTACCCAAATTCCTACTAAACTTCTACCATGCAGGTGACTCTAAAGAATGCTGAACAGCAAGACCATGAAACTACAAAGAATTCATATGGCCTGCACATTCAAAACTCCCAGGGATTTTGGAGACTTTGCAAAACTTTCCATTCCTAAAATTGTATAAGCCACTTTACAGTTTATAAAATACCTTGCTTCAGAAAACAGTCAAAGGTAAATACTCCCGTACATTCAGCCTCGAAATGGCCTCTGTTTAGAAGCACACTCTAATAGGTTCCTCAAGGTCAGACCATTGCCTTATTACAGGAAATGGATGAAGTCATTCCTGGCTCTCAGTTTTTCTGAAAAACTACCTGCTTTCTCAGTTTCACACACCACACCCCTCTATAGCTCTTGTTTTGTCTCCTCGGTCGTGGCACCTGTTCTGAGAACTGAAGCTTTCATCTTGGTTCTAGTAGCACATGAGAAAACACATTTGCAAAAGCACAAACAAGCAAAGGGGTCCAAGCGAGAACTTCAATGTTTGGGTGAAACAACAGCTAAATTTGTTCACAGTAATAATAAACATGCATGAGCTCACTCTTTCAGAGAGCAGTAATTTGAGCAGCAATTCTGAGGTCAGGATCCAAGGTTCTAGGCCAGCTCCAGCTCAGTCTGCTCTGACCAGAATATATTTCTTCCAGACTCTCAGGGTCTTGCTTTCAGCCATTTGGGGTACAAGAAAGGAAGATGAGAAGAAAGGCAAGAGACAAGAGAGATGGAAACTTTTTAATATGTCCTTAAAAGCCTCTTTATAGAGATGAGTAATAAAAAGATTGGGGCCAGCAAACATTTCCACATTTTCTCTAAACAGTTATAAAACTGAGAGTCTTCTAAGGTCAGAGTTAAAGTAGTACAGCCTTGTTTTTGTATTTTAAATGTTTTCTTTTTTTTTTTAATGGAACGTTAAAATAGCCTCAGTACCAGTAAAAGGTGTGCACCAGAGTATTATTGGATTCAGGAGAGAGGTAACAGGACCCACTGAGTAGGGAGGTTAGACAGTTCTGATGTGAACCCTCACTAATGCAAAGGAACTCTCTCTGTACCCTCACACATACACATTTTTCTCTCCTCCTCCAATCAAGAAATGATATCCTGTGAGATCATTTATTTTCTTTTTAATTTTTATTTTATTTATTTATTTTGAGACAGAGTCTCGCTCTGTCGCCCAGGCTGGAGTGCAGTGGCTCAATGCCGGCTCACTGCAACCTTCGCCTCCAGGGTTCAAGCGATTCTTGTGCCTCAGCCTCCCGAGTAGCTGGGATTACAGGCATGCACCACCACACCCAGCTAATTTTTGTATTTTTAATAGAGACGGGGTTTCACCATGTTGCCCAGGCTGGTCTTGAACTCCTGACCTCAAGTGATCTGCCCGCCTCGGCCTCCCAAAGTGCTGGGATTACAGGCGTGAGCCATCACGCCCGGCCCATTTAATTTATTTTCACCAGTTAGAATTTGTTACTCTCAATTTATTCAAAAACTATAATTGACAGTACCTACCGGCCAGTACGGTTATAAATATTGGAAATAGAGCATTGGACAAAACAAAGAAGTCTACCCTCATAGAGCTTATATTCTAGTGTAGAGAGACAGACAAATAAATAGGTAGCATACACAGGAGGTTAGAAAGTAATACCAGCACTTTGGGAAGCCAAGGTCAGGAGTTGGAGACCAGCCCGACCAACGTGATGAAACCCTGTCTCTACTAAAAATACAAAAATTAGCCAGGCATGGTGGCACGCGCCTCTAATCCCAGCTACTCGGGAGGCCGAGGCAGGAGAATTGCTTGAACCCAGGAGGTGGAGGTTGCAGTGAGCCAAGATTGCGCCACTGCGCTCCAGCCTAAGTGACAGAGTAATACTCTGTCTCAAAAAGAAAAGAAAGTGAGATAGGAAAAAAAATTTAGTAAGGGAGTAAAATGTACATGGGGAGGAGGGAAAGAAGATGGAGGAAGATGCAGTGTTAAATATGGGGGCCAGGGAAGGACTCATGGAAGTGAAATTTTAATAATCACCTGAAGAAAATGAAGGAACAAGATATGCACTTGAGGAAATAGCAAACAGAAAAGTTCTGGGTCAGAGGCATGTTCAATGCACTCAAGGGGTAGCAAAGAACATGACATCAGAAGGTCAGGAGGGGGCCATGCAGATCTGACTGTTACTGAATGGAAGTGGAGAAGATGGGGAGTTTTTGAAAAGAGTCATGGCTGGGCGCGGTGGCTCACACCTGTAATCCCAGCACTTCGGGAGGCTGAAGCGGGCAGATCACCTGAGGTCAGGAGTTCAAGACCAGCCTGGCCAACATGGCGAAACCCCTTCGCTACTAAAAATACAAAAAGTAGCTGGGCATGGTGGCTGGCACCTATAATCCCAGCTACTTAAGAGGCTGAGACAGGAGAATCACTTGAATCTGGGAGGCGGAAGTTGCAGTGAGTAGAGATCATGCCACTGCTCTCCAGGCTGGATGACAGAGCAAGATTCTGTAAAAAAAAAAAGAAAAGAAAAAGAAAGAAAAGAGTCATGAGGTAACCTGATTTCCATTTTTAAAGGACAGAGCTGACTGGCAGGACAGAGCATGGGCAGGAAAGGCAGGAGCAGGGAAACCAGCTCTGCGGCGGCTCCAACACTCCAGGGAACTCTGGTGATAACTAAGAGCAGGTGGGTAGCAATGGCAGTGATAGGAAGTGGTTAAATTCCAGATAGCCAACAGGATACTCTGATGTTTAGATGAGCCCATGGAAGAGAGGAGTCAAGAATGACCCCATGGTGTTTGGCTTGAGAACTGGAAGGAAGGATCTGCCATAAATCAAGATAGGACTCATTGTAAGAAGAGGAGGTTTAAAGGGGAGATTTGGAATATGTTTTTTGTGTTTTGCTCTTTGCTTTTTTTTTTTGGTTTTGGTTTTGGTTTTTGTTTTTTTTTTTTGAGGCAGGGTCTCACTCTGTCACCCAGGCTGGAATGTAGTGGTGTAATCATAGCTTACTGCAGAATCAACTTCTCAGGCTCAAGCAATCCTCCCGCCTCAGCCTCCCCAGTAACTGGGACTACAGGCATGCACCATCACGTCCAGCTAAGTGTTGTATTTTTTGTAGAGACAGCTTTTCTCTATTGGCCAGACTGGTCTCGAACTCCTGGGCTCAAGTAGTCTGCCCACCTCAGCCTCCTAAAGTGCTGGGATTACAGGCGTGAGCCACCACCCCCAGCCCAGAATTTGGTTTTAGACATGTTAAGTTTGGCAAAGTTCTTAGAAATCCCAGTGGAGATGTCACGTAGCAGTTGGATGGACACGTCTAGAGTTCAAGGAGAAAGGGAGTGATAGGTGGTGTTTGAAGCCATGACTCCAGATGTCAATCTAAGGAGAGAAGTCCAAGGACTTAATCTGAGGAGCACCAGTTTTGAGAGATTGTGGAAAAATGGAGCAACCAGCAGAGGAGACTGAGAAAGTGAGCCAACAGAGAAAGAAAAACCAGGAGGGCAAAGTATGTTGGAAGCCGGGTCGAGGGAGGTCTCAAGATGGAGGGAATGATCAAGTAGGTGAAATGTGGCTAAATGGTCACATAATATAAAAACTGAAAAGTGACATCGGATTTAGCAGTGGTCCCAGGTAAGATAAATGAAGGCTGACTGCTGCTGTAATATGGGCACTAGCCTGAGAGAAATCAATCAAGGTTTAGCTAAATAATTAGAAATTAGGAAAAAATTCTTATCATTTCCGATTGTCCTTTGTTTCATAAATCTTACTTTACAGGCCAAAGGCTAAATAAAATAAACACTCTTTTATCCATCCCTTATGCAAAAAAAAAAAAAATAGCAATAGATAGAGATTTTTATGTTCTCTCCAGCAACAAACTTATAATAATAGACACTTCTTAGCTAACAACAGGAGGTTTAACTATTTTTCACTTTTCTAAACTTCAGGAAATTATAAGCGACTTTTTTCTTAATTTAAAATAAACGTTTGCTTCTTTTCCAAATTATAACTGGAATTCAAAACTGTTTATTTCCATTGACTATTTTGACTTGAGTTTTTGTTCTCCATTTACTCTGTCCTTCCTGCTGCTTCTGAAGGTTTTCTCTGTTTGTGGGAGCATCTCTGATTTCTCTCTTTTTATCCCCTGCAATCTCTGACTCCTCTCCAGGTCTTCATTCTGCATCATCATAGTCGATTTTATCTTGGGCACCATAAAATTCTATTTCTTCCCGCAGTAGCAGGCTGATGTCACCCACAGAACATAATGGATTCTAGGAACAGGCCCACAAGAGGAAAAGTGGGCAAGTACAAATATAGGTAAGAGGAAGAGAGAAGCTGGAGGCTGGGGAACTTAACCATGTGTTTCCATTCATTTCCACATAAACCAGTTAAACCAGAAACTGGAGGATATAGAAATTCCATGTCAACAAAGTTAAGCCAAACTTTTACCTAAATAATTTGACACATTGAATAGAAACACTACGGCAATATCTGTGCACCCAAACTGTTGCTACTGGTTGGGAGCCAATACATTAAAACACAATCAGGCTGGGCACGGTGGCTTATGCCTGTAATCCCAGCACTTTGGGAGGCCAACGTGGGTGGATCACTTGAGGCCAGGAGTTTGAGACCACCCTAGTCAACACGGTGAAACCTTGCCTCTACTAAAAATACAAAAATTAGCCAGGAGTGGTGGCATGCACCTGTATTCCCAGCTACTCAGGAGATTGAGGCAGGAGAATCGCTTGAACCACGGAGGTGGAGGTTGCAGTGAGCCAAGATCACGCCACTGCACTCCAGCCTGGGCGAGAGTCAGACCTTGTCTCAAAAAAAAAAAAAAAAAATGCAATCAAATAACCCATTTTGAGAATAACTTCCTATTTGCATAAATTTTCCAAACTGGTTTGTGTATATAGAAATTGTCTACTTCTCAATGGCTGGCAGGACAAACCAAAATAGTGACAGTTTGTAGGATCTTTTTGGCAGGATACCATAATCCTAGCTTTAAAGCACGTCAACAGTTGAAGAAGCTGTGTAGTTGGTGACTGTGTTACCAGGCTAGCAGTGTAGTGGGTATGTTAAAAAGCTGAAATTTTAATACTTATGATTTATTCGTTATGGTGAATCTCAGAGTATGATCAGCAAATAAAAGTTACTACATGTTCAACATTAGATTTGATGATTTGGTGTTCTTGGCTCTTTTAAAAAATTATGACTGAGAATAAAGGAAAAGTACACACTCCAGTTGCAATGAAATGAATTATTAGCCTATTGGTCTTATTAGAACCTAGTAGTTCTGGAAATTGCTTAACAAATGTTTTTCTCCTACAATATCCTCTAAAAGAGAAAAAGCAGTAAATCAGAGAAAGAAACATCATACTGCTCAGAACCCTCATAAATAGTTTCTGAATGTAAGCATTTTTAGAAAAGAATATTAAATATTTTTAAATGCTGAACACATGTTAAAATAAGTACTATCTGTTGAAAATAACGTTTTAATTCTATAGTGTAGTCCTTTCCATTGTGGTGAATTTGACACATAGAAAAGAAGTCAAAGAGCATATTTTTTCTACAGTTTTGCAATTTTGAACTGTAATTTTTTTTTATTCTGGTGAAAACACTTTGCAGAAAATTATGGAAACATACATAGGGAGCCTGCAGCAATATTATAGATTTCTAAAAAAAAAAAAAAAAAGCAGTTGCAGTATAGATATGAAAATTGAATTCAAAATTAGGAAGTAAACTGATAAAACAGTATTTAAAAATAATGCAGTTTAAATGTGTCATTGCCTCTACATTTACCCCATATTCTAAATCATTATTAAGAATACATTTCAGAGTGCGTCCATTTTGCCATTGCTAATTTTTCTTTATTATCTCAGAGTATGAGTAAGATTTTTGCTATTTTTTTAAAAGGCTACATTAAGATTCAGCCTCAAAAGAGGTTCAATTCCTAGTAACTGCAGGTGCATGGCACTTACTGCTAATTGGACATGGCTGCTTTTAGCAAATCTGGTAGCTGCTAAAAGCCACTGTTGCTGTGGGGCTTCCTCGCCAGCACGCAGGGCATGGTACTATTACCTCTCCACTACCAAAGCTACATGTCTGCAAAATTTGCCAACTAAAATACCCAACCAACTCCTTCACTTAAATGCATAGAGACAGAAATCTCAAAGAGCTACCTACAAGGTCTCTGCAAGAAAATGCGGACCTCTCAATGCATATTAAATATTCTCATTAAAATATTTCGGTAATGTATCTTCCTGTTAGAATATGTTGTTTTGAGCCCTGTAACCATGCAGAGTGGGTTTCAAAATAAAATGCTGCTATTAGCACATTAATAATGATCTTCTCTCCTGGTGTGCTGTACCAACTGGCTGGTACATTATAGTTTTGGAAAATATTGTGAACCAAGTTATATCTATGTCTCATATCATTTTTTGTGTTTATGTAGGATGTTTGTTCTGAGAAAACTAAAAATACTTTGTTTAAATTGGATCACATTTTACCAGTTAAGTGAACCTTACCAGGTAAGTCTCCAGGTTTGGATATTAACTCCTTCTATTTGGGATTTTTCCCCCCTAAATTTCTCCCTTCAGTAGAAGGTGTTCACTTTTATCAACAGTGATTTCATAAACCATTCAAAGTCTGACAAAACTGCCATCGGAGCACCATTGCTGTCATTCATTTTCCAAGACCCTGTGTCTTATTCTCAGCATTACATGCGTTCTATGATGATAAGTTGGGTTATCAGAAAGGAGTCACTGGGAACATGTGAGAAGAGAAAAAACCAGAAGTAGTAACATTAAAATAATCAAACTTTTACTCTCAAACAGATAATAAATGAATTGCCTAGCTGTACAATTATGGACCAAATATATGTAAAAATTATACAAATGAGCATGTGTTTCCTCCTGTTTTATAGCTTGACCCCATAAATCATAGGCCTCAAAAAAATCCCAGTACAGAGCCTTTCCCTAAAGAAGTTAATATCACCCATTTTAGGCAAATTTGTCTAGGATCATATGGCAAAGTCAGGCTCAGCCAAAAATTGAAGCCACTAATGCTGATGCCAAGCTGATTAAATGTTTCCTTAAATATCTAACTTGTCTATCAAATGCTGTTTTAAGTATCTGAAGACTAGTACTCAGACTCTTACGCTATTTAAGCTTCAGTTCTCCAAGGCTGTCTGCTTTTGCTGCATTTTGCATAAACGCCATTTTTTTCCTCCATTTGAGTTAATTTTCCAGGTTCTCCTCAAATAATCCTTGGCCTTCTGAAACAAAAGCTTACAGAAACAGGATAAACAGTTTGAACTCTGACTTTTGTTTTCATTTGTGAGAACGTGATTTTTTTTTCAACTTTCTAATCACAGTCATAAAATTAAGCCTGGTTTTCAGAACGAAGTTTACCTGATTCTCAAGTCCCGTATCTTCAAAAATTGCACATTTGATGGCAAAATACAAAATCTGTCTGAAAAGGTCTTGTTTTACTGTTAGCATTCGAGAAGAGACTTCTACTTCAAGAAAATCAAAGGATTGTTTCTCACCCTAAAGGAAAACTATGTTGGAAAGCTTGGCAAAATTATACCTGGTCATTTATAATTTTTCATTAGACACCTGGGAAATGTTCTTCACTAAAAGAAACCTTTTAAAATTCCTAAAGAATTAGGCTCCTTGCTCACCAGTATTATGAGAACATTGACCCAAATCTGGGACTGAGGAACCAAATGCCACTTTTCCCCCTTGCCCGCCGTCCCACTAAACATACTGTACAAATTACCAGTCACCAACTGTCCATCAGTGTCCAAACTGCCATTGCTGAGAACGATTTATTACACAGCATCGATTATCAGGGACAGTAACACAAATAACTTTTGCTTTCTGGAAAACGTTTGCCATAGGAAAAAATATACTCACAAGTGTACAAAAAGAAAAATTCAATTCCTGTAAATGTGGATGTACATAACCAGAGCTGAATTTTTTTCATGAAGAGTTTGAATATATAAAACTCTTGAATCTACATTAAAAACTAAACCATGAAGAAATATCCCAAAAAGTAGGTATTAGTTTACATGACACAATATGAAATGTATCTAAGTGTCATTCTCTGATAACACCCATCTATATTCATGTCTCCCTCCCTCATTCCTTTTGTATTTAAAACCTGACATGTCAATTAACACCTTACATAAATTGTATTTCATAGCATTTATTAGCTGAGTGTTGAAATCATATTGATTATGTCACCATAAGATGTTCTATAGAATAATCTTGTTTATTAATCACTTGAGGTCTCTGTAACTTGTTTCTGAATGAGATTGTCAGATCTGTGTTGACAGAGCTCTGTCTAGCAGTTCTTTTTCCCCCACGGAGCTAAAAATATCAGAGTAGCACAGCGAGCTGCCTCTCTACCAGCCTCCCAGACTGGGGACCCTAGCTCCGTGATCCCCTTCCTCCAGAATAATGTGGAGGCACAGGGTCACCCAGTTAGACTTCATTTTCCAAGTCTACCCTGCAACTAGAAGTGGCTTGCCAGTGTATTTTCAGAAGTAATGTGTACAATTTCCATGTTTCTTGCTTAAGAGGAAATGGCTATGGGGAGAGGTTGATCAACTGGTACAAAGTTGCAGTTAGGTGAGAGGAATCAGTTCTGGTGTTCCATTGCACAGCAGGGTGACTGTGGCTAACAATAATGCATCGTATATTTCAAACTAACTAGAAGAGAGGATTTTGAATGCTTTACCACAAAGAAATGATAAATGTTTGAGATGATGGATTTGCTAATTACTCTGATTTCATCATTACACAATGCACACATGTGTCAAAACCTTTCATTTTTATCCCATGAATATGTACACTTACCATATGACAATCGAAGTTAAAATAAAATTTTATTTTAAAAATGGCTTACTCTCCTTACTCTCATGTCCACTTTTCACCCTTTTCCACAAGCTTTTTTTTTTTTTTTTGTCTTTTCCCAAAAGCAATTTCCCAAGTATTTGAGGGTCCTTTTTTTTCACAGTAGCTTAGCCTATGGCCTAATATACACAGCTTATTGTATAATACTTGCCTCTATTTCATGTCCATTATGCTTATTGATTTATATATATATGTCCCCCTTATTAGACTATATATTACTTGTAAGCAATGTATGTTTCTTATTCATCCTTCTCTCTAGCACTTAAAGTTCACCTAGCATACGATAAATGCTGAATAAATGCCAGTTGAATAAATAAATGAACCAATCACCTTCTTCAATTAGCAAATGGATATACTATGTATTAAGGCAAATTTAGATACAATCTCTATGCCTGCATATTTCTCAGAAATTTGAAAGCTTTAACCATATTATCTGGAGTTCAACTTCAATGTTGAACTTCAAGCTTTATAACATAAACTTGATTTGCCCCTTATAGGTCAAATCAACTTTTACTGAACTATTTTTTACCTACCACATTGGCCAAGATGGGAAAGGCTGATAACACACAGTGTTAAGCTGGAAAGATTGTGGGCTAATAGGCACTCTCATCCCCTGTTGATGGTGGTATATAGCAGTATAACTTGTTTTTTCCTGTGAATATCTTCACAAATGTACTCAAGAACAATTGTATGTCTTGTGGATGCGCATGGCATTACTTATAAGAGCAAAACCAACCAAAATGCCCTTCATTAGAAAAGCTGTTAAAACGAACGAAGGTACATCGTCACAAAAAATACTCTGCTAAGAGTAAAAAGAATGAGGCAGGTCAACCTGTTCTATAGCAATTGCTCTTAGGTATATTATTAAGTGATAAAGAATGATACAAAATAGTATACTCCTACATGTGTTCTTGCAAATACATATCTAGGGATACGTCATATGTGCATAGACAACTTTCAAGGACTCTAGAAAAAAAACTGTAATTCTGGGGGGCTGTCTGGGCCTGAAGAATACTTTCTGCATGTTTCAATTTTACTTTTACTCCATGAATATGTCACTTTTTTCAGTAGTTTTACCACTTCATACCCATTATGACAAAACAGATAATAGCAAGTGTACATGACAGTGTAGGGAAATTGGAGCCCTCACACATTGCTGGTTGGAATGTAAAATCGTACAGCCATTTGGCAGTTCCTGGAAGTGCTAAATATAGGGTTACCATATGACTCAGAAATTTCTCTATTAGGCATATACTCAAGAGAATTAAAGATGTGTGTCCACACAAAAACTCACACACAAACGTTCATAGCAATTTTATTTGTAATAGCCAAAAGTGGAAACCCAAATGTTCATCAACTCATGAATGAGAAAATAAAATGTAGTACATATCCATACAATGAAGTCTTATTTGGCAATAAAAAGAATGAAGTACTGATACATGCTGCAATATAAATGACCCTTGAAAACACTATACTAAATGAAATAAGCCAGACGCAAAAGACCGCATATTGTATTGTTCTATTTATATAAAATGTTCAAAATTAGATTCCATGGAGACAGAAAGGAATTAATTGTGGCAATGATCGCACAACTCTGTGAATGTACTGAAAACCACTGAGCTTTGTACTTTAAATGGGTGGATTTTATATTTTTATGCAAAATATATTTCAATAAAACTGGAAAAAAAATAGTTTTTAGAAGCATTATCACATACATGGTTGCACCTGATCTTCATACCCATTCTGAGAGGTAATGGTTGCAAAGAGCAGATGAGATTGTGTTGACAACAAAACCCAGAAAGAAAAATAGCATGAGTTTAAAGAAGGTCTATCATCATAAACCTGGGTATTTACCTTTCAGAAATATTTCTGTAGTAAAAGAAAAAATTTACTCATGGTTTGCCTTCCACAACCCATCTGCTTATTCAGTGATTCATTCATTAGAAACTATTCCAGTCACCTAGATTGTATTTGTGCTGCACTCACTGAATCTCCCAGTGTTCCCTCAGCATTCACAATCTAAGAGCTTTCTGGGTACGAAATGTTCTATCCATCACATCTTCAATTTATGAACTACTAATTGACTAAAAGGAAGGGGGATTTTAGATCATTGATTAGTCCACATTTTAAAATCATTAGTTAAAAGAGACATACGTGTATATTTTTTGCAGATGACAATATTGATATGTGGGATGACACAAGGAAGATACAACAACCTAAGAATGGATAGCTTGTGCTAGAAAATCAATTACAAAATCTTATATGGCTTTTCCTCCCTGCCAGATGTCATTCCGGCATGTTGCGTATATTAATTCATGTAATGCCACCACAATCCATTATTAACCGTATTTTACAGATGAAAAATCTGGTGCTGTGAGAAGCTTGCCCAGTGGCACTCATGCAGCTGGCAATGGCCAGAGCCAGGATTGGTGCCAAACACTTGACTCCAGAATCCCTGCTCTTGACCACTATTCTACCCACTCCATACCTAAATCCCAGTTCGTTATATAAAAGAGTTGTGACATAGTATGTTTTCTCTCATAATACTTTAAAGTTAAATCAAATTCATATTGTCACCCTAATTAGTACCTTTTTTCACCTCAAATCAGACTCAGTTAAGATAATCTTTGTATTACAAATAGCATTTCAGTCTCAACTACCATATCACATGTAATCACTATCATATCAGCTGTTAAGCAGCTTTGATTGATGCCTTTTCCCTGTATTTTGGTGTAAAATACACCTGAGGTATTAAAAAGGTTTGACTTTTGTGTTCAGATGCATAGGGTTGGTTATAAAACACAAAAATAATGATGACTCATTTAAGACAATCACTGAAGCCCATCATCATTGTTGCAGGGACAATTTAAAGTTACCATCTTCTTCGTGAGCTATGTCTAAAATGACACAAACCCCACAAATTTAATTTAGTGTTCTCATTCGAGAAGATAAGTTGAAAAATTAAAACAATAATTATCATCTGATCCTGCAATCCTAATCCTATATACACTTCTGTGTATATATCCCAAAGAACTGAAAGCAGAGTCCTCAAAGAGATTTGCACACCTGTGTTCACAGCAGCATTATTTACAACAGCCAAGAAGTGGAAGCAACACAAATGTCTACCAACAGATCAATGGATAAACAAAAAAATGTGATATAGAGACAAAATGGAGTATTATTCAGCCCTGAAAAGGAAGAAAACCCTGTCATGTGCTGCAACATGGATGAACCTTGAGGACCTTGTGCTAAATACCATATGACTCCATTTATATGAGGTATCTAAAGTAGTAAAATTCACAGAAACAGAAAGAATAATGGTGGTTGCCAGGCCTTGGGAGGAGAAGGAAATGGGGAAGGAGTTGTTGGTAAATGGGTTACAGTTTCAGTTTTACAAGATGAAAAGCTCTGGAGATCTGTTGAATATACTTAACACTAGTAAACTGCTTTAAAAAATCAAGATGGTAAAATGTATATTTTATGTTTTTACCATAATTAAAAATAATATAATTTTTTAAATTAATGACTTCTAGTTTTACCTCAATGATAAAAAGTCTCTGGTAAAGTTTGAGGCCTTGAATGTAGGTGTCAGAATGTGAAAAATATGAACCTGTGACATACAAAACTTACCAACAAAGTCTTAGAGTTTGGGATGGTGGATGGTTGATTATTTAAAATATAACTTAATGATTATGATTATATGATATATGTCATAATTTGTGAATGTTAGTCTACCCATAAAATGAAAGTTTGTTGTCTTCCAAATGATGCTAAAATAGATTACTAGTCCTGAAAATGTGGTTTCTTATGGGTTCCTCTAGTCATTTCAATAGGATAAATGTGCTGATAACACCCCATTAATTAAAGTCAATGGCTATCCCATAAGCACCAATGCCACAGTAAGCAACCAAAGCCATACCATGCATATATATCCAGGCCAAATGTCTCACTCAGGCCAGAAAGAGACCAGCTAAGAAGTCAAGGATGGCTGGGATGGGGTAGCAAGTGGGGAGAAGGAACACAGTAAAATTAGGAGGTGGGTTGAGGTCATGCTAGATAGGACCTGGAATTTTATGTTGAATATTTGAACTATTTTATAGAAACTAAGGAAAGAATAAAGTTTTTTTATTAAGGAAAGGACATAATCATATCTGTGTATAAGATGAATAACTGGTAGTATGGTGGGAGATGGACTCTGGTGGAGAAGAGCTAAGAGCAGGGAGAGCTGTGAGGAGGCTACTTCAACAGCCTGGACAAGACAAAATGGAAGGATGAAAATGGACTAAACATTTAGTGCTCGGACAACTGGATAGCCACATGCAGAAGAATAGATTTGAACCTCTACCTCACACCATATACAAGTCATTAATTCTAAATGAATCAGACCTAAATATAAGAGCTGAAACTATAAAACTCTTAGAGGAAAACAGAGTTGTAAGTCTCCTGACCCAGGATTAGAAACAGTTTCTTAGATATGCACATAAAGCACAAGTAACCAAAGGAAAAGATATACAAACTGTTTTTCAACACAACTAAAAACTTTTGTGCATCCAAGGACACTATCAAGAAAGTGAAAAGATTCACAAAATGGGAGAAAATATTTACAAATCATATATTTGATAAGGGTCTACTATCCAGAATATATAACGAATCCTTACAACTCAACAATAAAATTTAAAATCATCAAATTTTTAAATGGAAAAAAATTGAACATACATTTTCTCAAGGAAGATATGCAAATGGCCAATATGCCTGAAAAGATGCTTTATGTCATTTATCATTAGGGAAATGCAAATCAAAACTATAACAAGATACTACTTCACACACACTGGGATGGCTATAATCAAAGACAATAACAAATGTCGGTGAGGATGTGGAGAAATTGAACCCTCATGCATTGCTGGTAGGCATATAAAATAGTGCAGCTGCTTTGGGAACCATTTTGAAGATTTCTCAAAAAGTTAGATAAATACAGTTAGCACATGTCCCAGGAATTCCAGTCCTAAGTGGGTACCCAAGAGAAATGAGAACATGCATGCATACAGAAACTTTGCACATAGCCAAAAAGTGGAAATCCAGTTGTGTACAAGCTAATGAGTGGATAAAGAAAATGAAGTATATTTATATAGTAGAATAGTGTTCAGCACAAAAAGAAATGAGGTGCTGACACATGCTGCAATATAGATGAACCTCGAAAACAGTATGCTAAGTAAAAGAAGTCAGTCACAAAAGGCCACATGTTGTATCATTCCATTTATATGAAATTTCCAGAATAGTACTCCACAGAGACAGAAAGCAGATGAGTGATTATCAGGGGCCGGGGAAATGGGAAGTGACTAAAGGTAGGGAGGGGTGGCTCTGGGGTGATGAAAATACTCTACGATTAATTCGTGGTGAAAGCTGCAGAATTCTGAATATGTTAAAAACTACCAGACTGTACATTTTAGATGGGTGATTTTGTGGTATATTAATTGTATATCAAATCTGTTTGTTTGTTTTAATAAATGACACATTGGGAGAGTCTTTGTGTGGAACTATTTGGTGACTACCTGTTCTAATGAGAGATGCCACCATTGAGAAGTTAGAAATTCTGGAGATAAGGTAAACTGTTACTGTGATCTCTGTAACATCAGAGACCAAGTTCTATGAAGTATGTAAAACCTGAAAATAAAATGTGATGCTTGAACTCAGTTTTAGGATACTAATTACTGAGTCAGAGGGCCAAGTTCAGGATGCCATGAGTGGTATTTCTGCTCCATATCCACACACTTGTTTATTTGCTTGAAAATTTGTTTTAGATTTATAAGTGCAAGTAAAGCACTCAGTAAATAGAGTGATTTAGGTACTTTCCAACAAATGGCTCTTGTGTACTTTGCACATGAAATTGCTGAGGCACATCAGGAGACGGAAGGAGCTCATGGGCAGGCAAATGTGACCAGAATGTCTCTACTGCAGTCTAAGCCCCCACGATCAAGTCCACCCCATGCCCAAGCCCTACATGCCCTTGCAGGTACCTCCCCTCCCACCAGGCCTTCCCAACAGTGTCAGCCCCCAGAGCTCTCCCTCCTCTCATCTCCTGTATCATTTACTGCCTGGCCTGCGATCCCAGTCCTGGCTGTTCTTGGGAATTCACCGGAAGCCCCTGGGGAGCTTTCTTGGCACTGTAGAGTTTTGGACCGACGTCCAGATCTATGGAACTGAGATCGAGGAGAGTTTGGCTAGCAAATCTGCAATTTTAATAAGCCTCCTAAATGATTCTGAAAGAGGCAGCCTTGAAGGGCTTCATATTAAGCACCATTCAATTTTCGTCTTATCTCCATCTTGTATTCTCAACCATCTGTGAGACCTGAAGGAAAGAAATTAGACATATTTCTTTGTATATATAACATCTAGCCCATTCATTAATTCATTCCCTCAAAAATATTGATTGAATGCCTGCTATATCCCCGACCCTATTCTAAGTGTAATGACGATCAATGAATAAAACACACACTGTCACTCAATAAATTGCTGGTGATCCTGATGATGATTCTATTAAGCTGAATTCAACACATAATAGCAAACACTTAATAGCACTTTTTATATGGCAGTAACTGTTCTAAGCATTATTTTTATCAGCTCCAAGTAACAAAGGAAGGCACAGAGAGGTTAAGCAACTTGCCCAAGTTTCCGCAGTTAGGAACTGGCAGGGACAAGAGATGAGCATGAGCAAGCCAGTTCCAGAGTTAGCGCTGGTAACTGCTCTGCTGTGTTTGTTCAGCACATGTAAGGGAAACAATATTAATGATGCCCTGCCCTTCTATTACCAAAAAGACAAGAAATAGCAAGTGTTGGTGAGCGTGTGGAGAAAAGGGAACCCTGTACCCTGTTGGTGGCAGTGTAGATTGCTGCAGCCATTACGGAAAACAGTATGAAATTTTCTCAAAAAATTAAGAATAGAATTACTCTGTGATCCAGAAAACCCTCTTCTGAATATATATCCAAAGGAATGAAATCACCACCTCGTAAAGATATCTGCACCCCCGTGTTCATTGCAGCACTATTCACAGCAGCCAAGATATGGAAACAACCTAAGTGACAATTCATGGACAAATGGACAAATGGAATATTATTCAGCCTTAAAAACGAATGAGATCTTGCCATTTGCCACAACATGGATGAGCCTGGTGGAGGTTATTGTGCTAAGTGAAATAAACAAAGACTCAGAAAAAAATTGCATCATCTCATTTATATATGGAATCTTTTATTAAGTCAAATATACGGAAATAGAACATAACACAGTGGTTATGGGGAGGGTTGGGGGAAGGGAAGAAAATGAGAAGATGTAGATCAAAGGCTATAAAGTAGCAGATATAGGATGAACAAGTCTAGAGATTTAATCTACAACATGAGAACTATAGTTAATCATATTGTACTGTATTCCGCATTTTTGCTCCATGCGTAGATTTTAGTGTTGGATAACAACGTGAGATGATGGATACGTTAGTTTGCCTCACTGTAGTAATCATTTTATTATCTATATATATCTCATCACGTCATGTTGTACACCTTAAGTATACACAATAAAATTTACTTCAAAAAAATAATTAATTTTGAAAAAATCAAGTTGTACATCTTAAACATATACAATGTTATTTGTAAGTTATACCTCAATAAAGCTGGAAAAAATACACCAAAAAACAGGGAGCATATTGATAACCCAATCATCTCTAACTGCTGGGCAATTTTTCTGCACTTGAAATTTCCTAAAACATAAATCATGTAAATGAACTATGCTTGAAGCTATACCAATAAAAATGACTATTATTTTTTGGGCTCAAAAAATACTCATACTCTGCCCTTATCCCGTATGCGCTCCTCGGTAGAGAGCTATACTATGAAATGAAAAGTGCCATAACAAAGAAATAAGCTTAGGCATAGAGGAGGACTGAATGAATTATATTTTTAAAATATGAGGCCTTTATAGTGCAACACATTTAAGCTAAGCCTTGATACTGGAGTGAGGAGGAGAAGGAGGAAGAAGAAAAAAAGCAGGAAGAGGAGACAGGGAAGGGGAGGAGAAGACAGTTATGATACCAGAAAGATTATCATCAGGGCACAAAGGATAGAAAATGGACATTGCTATGAGTGCTAGGGAGCAGCAGTGACTGACGGGCCCGCCTCTCACACCCCAGTAAGAAGCGGAAGCATTTCTTCCCTATAAAGGAAGCTGGCTGGCCAGGAGGCAGACACAGCCACCACCAGGATCCACATCTCTGCTGATGGCAGCCACAGTGGGACATCACAAGTGCCCACAGCAAGCAGAATATAGAAAAGCTGCTGCTGCTTAAACACTAGTGGTCTTTGAGCCATGTTCGCCAATCTGAAGAACAGAACATCAGTCCCAACACTTTTTAAAGAAAATCCTAGGGTTTAAGGAGAAGAGGTAGAAATGCTAAACCAATGACTAAAAAGAAATTTTCAGAATCAACAGAATCAAATAGAATATTGGGCATCAGATTCAAAGAACGGTTAACATAGACACAGGCAGATAGATGAGACAGACACACACATGCCAGAAACAAGTTCTGAAAATATTTTGCTCCGTTACAAAAAACTGTGTAAAAAAAATTGATCAAAAAATAACTAAAGAAGCTCCAAGAAAGTAAGAGGACTATTCCCAGAGAACAAAAGAAAAGCTCAAGACAGAGGAAAAAATGCTGAGGTAAGAGTTTCCTGGAGGTGAGAGCCATTTTGTCAGCTGTGGGATGGCACAGTGGCCCAGGACACAGCTCAGATACACAGCCCAATCAGAAGAGACAGAAAATGGCCAGGTGTGGTGGCTCACGCCTGTAATCCCAGCACTTTGGGAGGCCGAGGCAGGTAGATCACTTGAGGTCAGGAGTTTGAGACCAGCCTGGCCACCATGAGAAAAACCTGTATATACTAAAAATACAAAAAAAAAAAAAAAAAAAAAATTAGCCAGGCATGGTGGTGCGCTCCTGTAATCCCAGCTACTCAGGAGGCTGAGGCAAAAGAATCACTTGAACCCAGGAAGCATAGGTTGCAGTGAGCAGAGGTCGCACCACTGCACTCCAGGCTGGGTGACAGAGCTAGTAAGACTCTATCTCAAAAAAAAAGAAAAGAAAGAAAAAATCAGTGGCAGAAAATGGAAAGATCCCCAGAGACTATTTGTTTCAATATACATAGGGGAACCCTGGCAATAATACAGGCATAAGTCTAAAGTGATCCATTAAATCTGCAGTGACAGAGGAAGCCAAGACAATGTCCAGTGTGCTGCCCCTCACATGGTTGGTTCTCAATAAATATTGCTGGATGAATAATGGAAAAAAGGGATGGAGAGAGGAAGAAAGGGAAGAGATGACAAATAAGGACCATGTAGTAGAAGACTGCGGCCAGAATGCTAAGAAATGCAACTAAAAGGTATGAAAGAAGGGGCTTCTGTCTGAAAGAAATAGAAATTGCTATCAGTAAAGACAGAAGTCCAAAATGAACTTAGAGCATACACAATGGGGCCAACAAGATGAAATAAAACAATTTGCCTTCATCTATGGCATGGCCATATTTTGGAAATGGGATCAAAGGGGTTCGGGGTTATCATCTGCATACCCTTGCTTGTCATTTGACAGTCAAGGAGAAAGGCTTAGTGAAAAATCAATCCTTGAGGTTTGTTACACACAGGACTTTGAAAATGGTTATAGTCATGGCTCTGCTGGCCACAGCTGTTTTTCACTTTGACAATACACAATCAGAATGGGACTTGGAATCCCTTGGTGTCAATGAGAAGAAATAAGGAAAAGCCATCCACATAGAAGATAAACAGAAAATACCTGGTGCTAGAAAAATTCCCCAGAAAAGAACCTGTACCCTGATATAAATCTGATTGACTGAGATTATTACAATGGTTACAAGACATAACATCAAGAAACACCATGTTTATTTAGCCCTTACTTGCCAGGGACCTTGCTAAATGCTTTTCATGCCTTAGCTCGTTTGGTCCTTGCAACTCTGACATAGGTACTCCATGACATTATCCCTATTTTAAAGACTAGAAATCTGACAATTACCAAGACTAAGAAACTTAACCTTGATCCCCTAGTGGTCAAGACAAGACAGTCCTACTTAGTGAAGCCCCTTCTTATGAATAAGATAAAGCATGAAATATTAGAAGGGACTCAAGATAGAGAAGTCTCTACCAATCATCCATATTCCATGGTTTGAAAATGGCTGCAAGTATCCTGCTGCCTTCAGATACTAGAAATTCTTGCTGGGTGCTGAATGCAGTACTAATATTTTAAGCTAACAGAGGTAGGAATAGAGGTAATCAGAGTATCAACATTGTCCCAATGCCTTCCTTAGGGGACAACTCCCAAGTCAATATAAAGCTAATTAGTCATTTCATTTTAATCAACTCCAATTCAAAATTAAGCCTACTTTGACTACAGGCATTGAATTCCAGCTCATGCACATTAGAAATTATTTCACAAATGAGGCATATGTGAAATGTAACTAACCCACAGAAAACAAACATCTTCCAACTACAAGTTTTCATAGACAGCTTCTAATTTATGATATTGCTCTTATAGAATATGTGGAGCTGGAGGGATGTCATTTTGGAAACTTTTTAAAAACCCTGACAGAAATGTTATGTTCAGAACAATTGATCCTCATGCCTATTAGGATGGGCTACTGTCAAAAATAACACCCAAAAAATAGCGAGCATTGGTGAGGGTGTGGAGAAATTGGAATCCTTGTGCACTGTTGGTGGGATTGTGAAATGGTGCAGCTGTTATGAGAAAGAGTATGGCAGTTTCCGAGAAATTTAAAAATAGAACTACCATATGATCCAACAATTCCACTTCTGGACATATACCCAAAATAATTGAAAGCAGGGTCTCGAAGAGATATTTGCACATCCATGTTCATACTAGCACTATTCACAATAGCCAAAGCCCTTGTCAAAAGAATCTAAGTAAACAAAGAGACAACACTAGCCTCTGATCATCCAGGAAAATCCAGGAAAATCATTCACAAATCAAATCAAAATGATTGATAGATTTGATTGCCCAAAAAGACTTCCATAGCCACACCAAAACAAAACAAACAACAACAAAATAAGCCTACCACCAGAAAACAAAATTGAAAAGACAACAATGAAATGTGAAATAAAATTTACATCATTTAATACCAATGGTCGGTCATCTTATTTCACAGCAAAGACTTACAAATCATCATCAATAACAAAACATTAAAACCACAATTCTAAGACTGCTCAAAGAACACTGGCAAGTATTTGCAAAAGAAGAAATATCCAAAGCTAATTAACAGATGTTAATATTTGCAACCCTTCCCTTATAATTCCCTTATAATGCAATAGTAGGTAGGCATCAAAAATAATAATATCATTATTTGATTATTAATATGGAATAATTTCCAAAATATATTGTTAGGTGAAAAACACAAGGGCAAAAACAATATATGTAGTATGCTTATTTGTGTGTGTACCCTTATACCCTTCTTTGCTTGTATATGCATAATTATTCTAGGAAGGCTAGTCAAGGAAATGGTAACAGTGGTCGCCTCCTGAGAGGGTTACTGATGGATGTCTGGGAGGCAGGTGCTGAAGGTGCACTCATTTTCCACTGCACAATACTTTGTTTCTTTGACATCTTGAACCACATACATTTACTCAAGGAATAGATAAATTTTGTTAATTTTTGAACTTTTTGCAAATCGCAAAAAAATGCACATTGATATGAGAAACTTTTTCTTTTGTTTTGTCTATTAAAGAAACAGAATAGAAAGAAAAATAAGCCAGAGGCATCCAGTATCCAGAAAAATAAAAACTTTTGTTCATTGCTTGCATTAATGGGACTTGAAACAATGTTTCTTGAGGACAATTGGCAAGATGAATAAAGAGGCTTCAAATGTGCATCTCCCTTGCCTCAGCCGGTGATTCTAGGACTCTATCGTAAAGAAATAACCAAACATACGTCTAAAAATAACATGCACATTTGTTGCAGATTTGCAAATAATATGTCTTAATAAGAAATTCAATTATGGAAATGATGTACTTCCATAAAATAGAACATTATGTAGCTGAAAAAAAGCATGGGGAAGAATAATAATTTTTGGTCTGGGAACATACCAAAGGGAGGCTACCAAACAGTACGTGTGAAAACAATTAGCATTTTCATTTTTTATAAGTTTATATGTACATACAAATTCAGAAAGTATATATAGCTAAGTTTTAAATGTTTCCTTTTAACAGATACCTTTGAATGATGGGAAAATTGATGCTATTCTTCTCTTATTTTTTATCTCATGTTTTTGAAATTCTCTGCATTAAATACAGCACAATTTTTAGTAGAATGGACTCAGGAGCCAGCGTGCCGAAATTCAAATGCCTACATTGCTGCTTGCACAAAGTCACAGAGCCTCTCTCTGCCCCAGTCACTGTACCGCTTTCCTATCTGTAAAGTGGGGATAATAATAGTTACTGCAACAAAGGGTTATTGTGAATTCCATGAATTAATGGAAGCATGCCCCTTAGAACACTACCTGGGCCAGGCGCGGTGGCTCACGCCTGTAATACCAGCACTTTAGGAGGCCAAGGTGGGTGGATCACCTGAGCTCAGGAGTTCGAGACCACCCTGGGCAACATGGGGAAACCCTGTTTAGTAGAGACTAAAGTACAAAACAATTAGCCAGGCTTGGTGGCTTGTGCCTGTAGTCCCAGCTACCAAGGAGGCTGAGGCAGGAGAATTGCTTGAGGCCGGGAAGTGGAGGTTGCAGTGAGCCAAGATCACGCCACCACACTACAGCTTGGGCTACAGAGTGAAACTCCATCTCAAAAAAAAAAAAAAACACTACCTGGAATACAGTAAGTATTTATTGTTTTTATTACTTTTAAAATTAGGAGAAAAATCTTTTTAAAACTCAAGTTTATGATCCACAATACAATTTCATTGTTTATTACATGTAACTTAGAGTTAAAAAGCAAATGTATATGATCTGAGGGACAATGAATGAGAAAATATTTAATCTGAAGATTCTTATAATGGAAAGGACAGTATTAATTTGGCCTTCCAAGTTTAAAAAGGTAAAGAGCCTTCTATTATATGCTAGTCTGTTTTCACACTGCTATAAAGAAATACCCGAGACTGGGTAATTTATAAAGGAAAGAGGTTTAATTGACTCAACAGTTCCACATGGCTGGGGTGGCCTCAGGAAACTTACAATTATGGCAGAAGGGGAAGAGGCATGTCTTACATGGCGGCAGGTGAGAGTGACAGCGTGTGAAGGTGGAATGGTCAAACACTTATAAAAACATCAGACGTCATGATAACTCACTCACTATTATGACAACAGCATGGGGGAATTGCCCCCCATGATCCAATCACCTCCCACCAGGTACCTCCCTTGACGTGTGGAGATTATGGGGATTACAATTCGAGATAAGACTTGAGTGGGGACACAGAGCCAAAGCATATCATATTATTCATATCTTAACATAAAAGCAAACAAAAACAAGCCCATAAAATCCAAGGACCCTGGGTACAGAGTACACTACTCGAGTGATGGGTAAACTAAAATCCCAGACTTCAGCACTATACAATTCATGCATGTAACCAAAAGCCACTTGTACCCCTAAAGCTATTGAAATGAAAAAAAAAACAAAAACAAACAACCAAGTACCTCCCACTGAGGCAAGACTTCCGAAATATTATCTTCTAGGAGGGGACCATCTCATTTGGACACCTGATTGTGTATTCACAAGCAAGGTGCATTTTTCTACTAAGCTTATGGTTTCTGAGCAAGCACAACAAAAAATGTTTCAGGGAAGTTCTGTGGGTGATAAGAAGAACAAAACTTTTTACCAACTCTCTGTGGGAGACTAGTGATCAGGACCATCCTACTTAAATGAGAAATCTGTTGCTAGGATTCCAATGCTTCAAAAATCTGCAGGACAACAGGGGACTGATGAAACAAGGTTGGCAAGAGAGAACAACAGACCATGAGGACCACAACAACGCATTATGCTAAGAAACCTAGTCCAGAACTATGAAAAAAATCTGTGGATGTTAGATTGGTTCTATGAGCTATCAGCCATCCCCACAATAACACAGCCATGAAAGATAGCATCCTTGTCTAATGAAGAAATGGCCAAAGAATATAATTTATTTATTCACAGTCTGCTTTATTAATGTTTGATTTTAATAAAATCAAAATGACTTAACAAAGTCATAATGAGTCCAATGTTTCATTAGTATCTAGTCTTCATTTCAGTTTTCACATTTTTTTAAATCTTTTGAAGGTTGGAGGTGGGGTGGTGTTTCATGCCAGTAATGCCAGCACTTTGGAAGGCCGAGGCAGGCAGATTCCTTGAGGTCAGGAGTTCCAGACTAGCCTGGCCAACATGATGAAACCCCATCTCTACTAAAATACAAAAATTAGCCTGGCATGGTGGTTCAAGCCTGTAATCCCAGCTACTCGGGAGGCTGAGGCAGGAGAATCACTTGAACCCAGGAGGCAGAGGCTGCAGTGAGCCTAGATCGCACCACTGCACTCCAGCCTGGGTGACAGAGAGAGACTGTCTCAATGAAAAGAAAAAAAAAAGGTTAGCTTTGCCCTTATACAGGGAGCAGCAAGATGCCAAAAAGTGCAGCAAGAAGCCCTAACCTTGTCACCCAGGTGGTGAGTCCCTCTCCCCAGAGAGGGCAGGAGCAATGAAGTGGGGCTGAGCAAGGCACAAGTGGGGCTTTGTCAGCTAGATGCTGGGAAGCGGAAGCACTCATAACCATATTTTATAGCAACTGAGGTGGCCAAGACCCAGCATTTGAAGCCAGTGGCACAGGCTCCAAAAACAGCTCAGGGAAAAATACCCTTCAGTGACCTTCAGAATCATGGCTGCCACAAAGAAGATGGAACTTGACGTGGATTGTGTCCACTTCTTTGGCTGCATCTTCTTGTACTTGATCACCCTTCTCATTTTCTCACAAGCAGCCAGGCCTGTTGCATGGCCCAGTAGCTAACTCAAAAAACCCAGGGAGAATATTCCTCATTTAAATAAAACTTTGCCTTTCTTAAAATACCACCATGCACCAAACCAACCCTTCAATCCTACAGCCAATTAAAACTTCCATTTCTGCACTGGTGTGAGCTGAGGTGTTACAGGCAAAAAAATCTGACTCAAGAGCTTCATACGCAGTTGGAAATTGAGTGAACTCTCTCACAGTTTCAAAGTAGGAGGGACAACCCAATTATCCCAAGTGAATATGTCATCAACCAAATTTGTAAAGGAAAATAATTGTGTAAGATAGAGGCATCCGGTGGAGGGCAGAAGTTTATCTGTGACTCCAGGAAAATCAGGGTGAACAGCCTGACCCTTCCCTTCAGAGAGACAGCTCCACAGGATCTGGGCCCTCTAGAGTCTAGCAAGAAGAAGAAAAAAAATCCTAATACTGGGGGCAGCAAAATTCTTCACATCATTGTTTTTTCTCACCTATTTGTTTCTTTTTTTCTTAATTAAGCATATGGTATAGAGTGGTTAGGAGGAAGGATTCTGGAACCAAATGGCAGGGTCGCAAATTCCCATTTTACCACTTCCTAAATGCAAGGTCTTTTCAACTATAAACTGGGGACAACACAAATTTCGTAAGATTGTTGTGAGAATTAAATCTAATTTATGTGAAGTGTGCCTG
This sequence comes from Homo sapiens, assembly GCF_000001405.40. Taxonomy (NCBI): domain Eukaryota; kingdom Metazoa; phylum Chordata; class Mammalia; order Primates; family Hominidae; genus Homo; species Homo sapiens. The sequence goes on along the minus strand of NC_000006.12, from coordinate 151,733,538 downwards.
ACCCACAAATTTGCCTTATATGTAGTAGATTATGATGAGGAGGAAGAGGAAGATAAGAATGACGATGACAATGATGATAGTTATAGGGCATCTGCTATGTGTGGCCCCAGGCATTGGAGATGGCTTATGTTCCTCATCACAAGAAACATACAATTAAGCAGAGGGAATGGACATGACACTGATTAATTTCACTATGTGATGGTGCTGTGTATATTTGATCTGGGTTAGAGGTGCTATAGAGTATGGTGGCCAATAACTTGGGCTCTTGAGTTAGACAGTCTGGGTCCAAATACTAGCTCGACTACGTACTGTGTGGTCCCAGACAAGTCATTTCACCCCTCAGTGCCTCAGTTTCCTCAACTGTAAAATGGGAGTATGAGAATCACCTGTTTCACTGCATGATTGCAAAGATTAAAGGAATCAATATGGTTAAAGTACTTAGAAAATGACACCATCTATAATAAATGTTCCATAAATAAATGTAATCTGTTACTGTTATCTGGGCTTTTCACAGGTTCATAGGTTGAGAGCTTCAGGATAAAGGAACAAGAGAAACAAAGAATGACGGTGGTGAGAGAAATCATGAGAGGGAGTGGAGCACAGGGTATGTGGACAGCAGCCCTGGGGGATGCAGCTGCAGAGGTTAGATTCACAAAGTCAAAAACTTCTAGTTCTCTTCCTGTCCAAAAGGCAGCCATCTCTCTCAATTTCAATAGCATGATTTGTACTACCCTTCATGGGGCATGGTTACAGTAGTTACAGTCTGCAAGATGAGATCTGACGGCTGGTAAAAAACTCCCTGCCCATATATCCCCTATTAGCCTCTCTGACAACCCAAAAAGCGTTTTTATCATAGAAGTTAATTCTGGGTTAAGGGACTATATCCAAAAATGCTCTTAAAAAGCAATAGGTCAACTGAAAAGGCAATCCAACTAATCAACACTCACTAGCATAGAAGAATGAGACAAACCTCATAAAATCACACACACACACACACACACACAAACACACACACATACACAAACATAAAGGAACCCTATTTACCGACACGTAAATCCTTTCTGGTTTTCATCAAAGAAATAGTGTTGCTTGCTCATAAACAGAATAACTTCAATTAGCAACGATCACTAAGTCCTTAGTTCTTTGGAATTATATTGGCAAGGTTATGAAACCACTTTTTACCTTGCAAGTAAAAGGGATCACATACAGTATGTGACCACAAGATACTGGTTGCTTTTTTAGTTTAGTTAAATAACTCATACTTTTTTTATATAATGTAAATTATCCGCCTGATGAGACTCATGCCCTATGAACTTGACTGGCTATTTATAGTGGCAATTTTATAATTGAAATAAAAATGTTCTCATAGAAGAGAAAAGAAGCATGGCTTTCTTAAACTCTATTATAAAAATTATCATTTCTAACTTGAAGAAACTGCATTTTCAGATTTTATCTCTCAAAAATGACAGAAAGATTTTCAGAGTAAACAGCAGGCAGTTAATAAGGGTGATCTAAGGTGCAGGGTGCCAAGAGCAACTCTAGGCACCTTTTCTCATTGCTCCCAATTCCACGTCCTGCTCTGTTTCTTGTCTTCTACTTCACAGTGGACCCATATCATTATGGCTAGCACTTTCTTCTTCTGATTAGTGGGAAAACAGCACTTTCTACTGATGCAGAAATCTGCTGCAGTCTATCAAGACATAACTGTAGATTTAACCTCGATCTTATTCTTGCAAAATGAAAGTAGTAATGTAAACACCTTATTCTGTCTCCCTGATGAGGGAGAAAATTATAAAGGTTATTAGAAACCAAAGACCCTGCAACTCAAATCTCATAGTGATTACATGTCTATTATTCCATGTGGCCAGAATAAAATATGATCAGTTTTCCATCATGAGTAAGCCATGGCCAAGACACTGGGTTAGCATAAACTCTCTGAGGGTTTATATGTGTCTTGTACAAAGGCTTTGTTGGGAGCTGACCTGGCACGAGGCAGCGAGAACCTGGCACCATTTCTAACCGTCTCTCTTGTGACTCTGTCCCTGGCATCCATGGGACAAGCAGCTGCCCATGTCCACATTGCTCTAGGTGCCCAGCCAGCCAAGCCCAGTTCTTCCAAAGAATTAAAAGCAAACCCCCCAAAAAACTTATCTGCCCCCACATTTCTTTTTTTTTTTTCTTGAGAGATGGAGTCTCACTGTGTCACCTAGGCTGGTGTACAGTGGCGCGATCTCAGCTCACTGCAACCTCCACCTCCGGAGTTCAAGCGATTCTCCTGCCTCAGCTTCCCAAGTAGCTGGGACTACAGGCATGCACCACCACGCCCAGCTAATTTTATATTTTTAGTAGACACGGGGGTTTCACTATATGTTGGACAAGCTGGTCTCAAACTCCTGACCTCAAGTAATCCACCCATCTCGGCCTCCCAAAGTGCTGGATTACAGACATGGCCACTGCGTCCAGCCTGCACCCACATTCTATCTGCTAATCAATAATCCCCTGAGCAGATGAACAAGGCACAAAAGAATGAGTGTACTCCTCACTCTTAGGTGACACAGGCTCCTTTCCAAAGAGGCAAGAAGAATGTCTTTTTTATGATTAGTTGTATGCAAAGATTCTTCTAACAGCAGCTTGGCTAGACAGAGAAAATTATATCTATTTAATTTAATGACATATTAAAAATCATGCAAAAGTGGTCTCAAAGCTAAAAGGAAAAATTAGGATGAATGTTTCACCAGGGAAGACTGATAAGAATGTCTTCAGGGATACTCTTTATTCTTGAGACCTCAGCATGCCCGGGAAGCACAAGCAGTCTAGTTCCTAGTGATGTCAAGACATTCAGTACAAGATGTTGCTCCCTCTCCATCCTCCTTGACTAGAGCAAACACCAAATGGAAACAATTAATTGTGAAGACACATATTTATGTGTTAATGATTCATGCAGCAAGGCCAAAGCTAGACCCCAAAAAAGAAAGAACTGTCAAAAAGGAGCTAGTGAGGAACTCGAATGGGAGAGGTGGGACAGGTTTTGGCCATGGCACCAGCCAGACCTGGAAAAGCTGGAACTCAAGACCCTCTGAGAAGCAGGACACACATGGAGACAGATGAGCTCTGGAAAATGGGAGGCCAGACCAGAGTAGAAGATGGTCAGAAAGGGCAGGACCAGTGAAGGGACCAGACCAGTCCAACAGGTGGAGGCAGGGAGTTCCCCTCAAGAGTAAAGGGCAAGCAGAGCTCGAGACAGGGGATGTGAAAGCTGGCAGGATGCAGGGATAGAGCAGCAGATGGTCAGCCCCGGGGGGTCGAAGGCAGCAGGGAGAGAAGCCCCAGTGCCAGGGCTAAGGACCAGGATGCCTAGCCCTGGGAAGACAAACAGGGACTAAGCAGAAGCCCACCCTCTGGGACCTCAGAAATCTAGGGATTGATGTGCATAACAGGAACAGGAACCCCGGAAATGGGCCAGTGGGAGAGGCAGAAACTTGTAGCAGAAACCAAGAAGGAAGCAATGACTAGCTTTAGGGCACAATTCAGAATGGAGGCAGACCAAGACTAAGGTGATGCTGAGTCACAGGAGGCACGATCCCAAGCTCTTTTTTTCTTTTTTCTTTTTTTCTGTACAGACGAAGTCTCACTATGTTGCCCAGGCTGATCTCAAACTCCTGGGCTCAACTGATCCTCCCACCTTGGCCTCCCAAAATGCTAGGATTACAGATGTGAGCCACTGCACCCAAGCTCTCTTAATTCCTCCTGACTAGAAAGAGCCCTTTGCCACTTTCAGCTTTGTTGCTGATAATTCTATAACCTTGGGCAAATTACTTAATGTCTCTGAGCTTCAGTTTCCCCATCTGTAAATAGAGGAATAGGACCTACCACACAGGCTTGCCATGAGGTTCAAATAAGATAATGTGGGTAAATCACTTTAGCACAGTCTCTAGCACATGGCAGGGCTCAACAAAAGTCACCTACTTTCCTTTACCCTACTACTTCCAGTTGATTCCTACTAAACTCTAGGTGTTTTAAAGATAGGTCCAAGCATTATTAATTCCCCTGCGTACTCTGCTCAGTTCCTGCCTCAGTGCCAGGGACACATAGGCCACATATGCTCCATGGTGAATAGAACTCACAATAAATAATGCCTTAGTCCATTCAGCCTGCTAAAACAAAACACACTATAGACTAGGTGGCTTATAAACAACAGAAATTTACTTCTCATGGTTCTGGAGGCTGGGAAGTCCAAGGCCAAGGCATTGGCAAATTTGGTATCTGGTGAGGGCCTGCTTTCTAGTTCACAGACGGCACCCTCTTGCTGTGTCCCTAAATGCTGGGAAGAGCAAGCTAGCTCTCCTAGGCCTCTTTGCTGAGGGCACTAATCCTTTTCTTGAGGGTTCCACCCTCATGGCCTAATCACCTCTCAACAGCCTCTCCTCCTAATACCATCATCTTGAGAGTTAGCATTTCAACATACAAATTTGGAAGGGACATAAACATTCCATCCATTGCAAATGAACACCAAAAGGAGAGCACAGTGGTTGTGGAATATAAAAGTGTTCATGTGTCATGGCATACTAATAATTTTTCATTTTGGTGTCTGAAAAAAATTAGGTTTTATCTACATGCATTTTTAGCATCACCTTTTCTAGATCAAATCCTGTATTTTAGTACTGGTTTATGTGGTTCACACTAATCTATGTCCATTAAAATCAAGTAGAACTCCAGAGTGAGAAAGCACTTTTGCTGTCTTTTTCTATGGTGTTTTCTAGGCAGAGTGGGACTGCCCAGGGCACCATCAGACATTCTTTTTGGTAAACAGTGAGGGGTGGAGGGTAGGAAAGAGAATTTTAAAAGGAGGCGCATCAAATGTGTGGATGGGGGGCAGGTATGTTCCTTATGTTATTGTGGTAGTGGTTTAATGGTTGTATACATACATCAAAACTTATAAAACTGTACATTTTGAATATCTGCAGTTTCTTATATGTCAGCTATACCTCCACAAAGCTGCCAAAAAATTCAAAGGTATAAGTCATTGAATATTTCAGATATCATAAATGAGTTTGAAAATTATTCAAGGTTTTGGATCAAGCTACAACACTAGACTACTCAGTGTTTTCTTTTGATGAAAAACTTTCTGATAGACAGATTTAAACATTTTTCAATGTTCAGTTGAATTTTCCATTTACAGGATGTCAGAGTGAACTTTCTTCTTTCTCATATTCACAAATAACAATAATAATAGCTGGAATTATAATTACTTCTATGGGCTGAGAGTGATCTGACCTGTGCACTTTAATGTATCATTTAATCCTTAGAATCTTATTGGGTAAATAGAACATCATCCTCCTTTATAGAGAAGGATACTCAGAGCTAAGGTCCCCTGCCACATAAGAGGGAGGACTGGCACTTCAAACCAGGCAGCCTGAGTCCAGAGCCCAAGCTTTTAAACACAAAGCTGTGAGTGTCCTGATTTGGCTGTGAGAAAAAAATCTCCTCTCCCATTGGATATACTCAGTCAAGGTGCTTGGCCTTCCCCTGCCATGGTTGCTGTATTAGTTAATTTTCACGCTGCTATGAAGAACTGCCTGAGACTGGGTAATTTATAAAGAAAAGAGGTTTAACTGACTCACAGTTCCAAATGGCTGGGGAGATCTCAGATAATTATGGCAGATGGCAAAGGAGTAGCCAAGGCACGTCTTACATGGTGGCAGGTGAGAGACAGAGTGAGTAGCGAAGGGGGAAGAGGCCCTTATAAAACTATCAGATCTCATGAGAATTCACTATCACGAGAACAGCAAGAGGGAAACTGCCACCATGATCCCATCACCTCCCACCAGATCTCTCCCTAGACAAGTGGGGGTTATGGAGATTACAATTCAAGATGAGATTTGGGTGGGAATATAGACAAACCGTATCAGTTGCTATTCTGGCTCCTATTTTTGCTGAGTCTGATTCATCTACTTTTCCCTTAAAAAAAGATAGTATATTATAATCAAGTTGGATTTAGTTCAGAAATTTTAAAATGCATTTGAAAATTAATGAATCCAGCCAGGCATAGTGGCTCACACCTGTAATCCCAGCACTTTGGGAGGCCGAGACAGGCAGATCACTTGACGTCAGGAGTTCAAGATCAGCCTGGCCAACATGGGGAAACCCCATCTCTACTAAAAATATAAAAATTAGCCGGGCGTGATGGTGCACACCTATAATCCCAGCTACTCGGGAGACTGAGGCAGGAGAATCACTTGGACCCAGGAGGTGAAGGTTACAGTGAACTCAGACTGCACCACTGCACTCCAGCCTGGGTGACAGAGCAAGACTCTGTCTCAAAAAAAAAAAGAAAAGAAAATTAATGAATGCAATTCACCATAGTAAATAAAGAACAATATTCATATGATCATCTCAGTAGATATAGAAAAATTGGTATATTTATGTTACTCAACAACATATCATTAGCAGCATATTAATTTCTTAATTTTTATATTACTTCATTTTTTTAATTGCTGTTAGCCAAGTTAGGATTAACTACCTGAATCTGATAAATGGTTCTACAGAAATCTGTAGAGCAAACATCATTCATAATGGTGAAAAGTTAAATGCTGCCCTGCGATCAGGAGTGAGAAAAGAATGCCCACCATCACTTTTTCTTCCCATTGTAGTGAAGGATCCTAGTCAATGCAGTAGGTCAAGAAAATAGAATAAAGTTACGGAGCTAGGAAGAAGAAATAAAAATGTCACTACTCATATATGGCATGTTGTATATTTGGAAAATCCAAAAGAATCCATAGATAAAATTATTATAATTAATAAGTTAAATTAGCAAGTTTGGCAGATACATGGACAATATGCAAAAATCTATTGTATTTCTATGTAGTGTCAACAGTTAGAAACTGAAATTTTTTTAAAACTCTTGACCGGGCGCTGTGGCTTGCGCCTGTAATCCCAGCACTTTGGGAGGCCGAGGCGGTTGGATCACGAAATCAGGAGATCAAGACCATCCTGGCTAATACGGTGAAACCCCGTCTCTACTAAAAACACACACACAAAAATTAGCCGGAAGTGGTGGCAGGCGCCTGTAGTCCCAGCTACTCGGGAGGCTGAGGCAGGAGAATGGTGTGAACCCGGCAGGCGGAGCTTGCAGTGAGCCGAGATTGCGCCACTGCACTCCAGCCTGGGCGACAGAGTGAGACTCCGTCTCAAAAAAAAAAAAAGAAAATCTTTAATAATAACATAAAAGTGTCAAATACTTATGAACAAATGTAACGAAAGATGTGCAAGTCTTCTGCATAGAAAACTATACAAACTATAAAAAATAAAGAAAAGTTAAACAGGGATTAAATAGATGGAGGGATATATCCTAGTCATGGATTGTAAATTCTTTCTCCGCCTAAATGAGCCAGAATTGGTTTCGGCTTCTTACAACTCAAGCACCCTAACTGGTACAGAGGTTTTAAGTTGAAGGTACCCCCCACCATACAACTGATTTCCGTGCCCTGCATACATCAAACACCCCTGTGGTTTTCCACCTCTTTATTTTTGCTCCTGTCTTTCTTTATCTGCCCAAATCCACTCATCCAACACAAGCTCACCTTTTTATGAGTTCTTCCTGTGCAACTCAGTTTAAGTTCACTTCTTTTGCCTTGAATTCAATAACAATTTTTCACATGTAATTAATCTTAATAATATTTGCAAGTTCCTATATTGACCATCTATAAATATTTGTTATTTAACTTTTCACAACTCATCTCTCCCACTAGAATGTTCTCTCCCAGAGGACAAAATTCAGACCTTATATTTCTTTCACTCCCTGGTAATGCCCTTCATGTAGAAAATGCTCAATATGCATTTACAAATGTGATTTGTTTTGGAAGCAATATGTTGCCACAATTACTGGATAAAAATTAGATGACACTTTGGCTCAAGCCAAGTAGATGCAATAGTCCCAGATCTAAGACATCTAAGATTTATATGCTTTTTCTCTATTAATTAGAACAGGATGACAAACAATAATCCTGGGAGCCTCACCAATTCTCAAGAATTTACTCAGAAAACCAATAATTGGAGACTTTACCAAGAAACTCTATAGTCTCAAATCAAAGAACATAGACTCAAGATTTCCTAGAAAAACAAACAAAAAGATTTAAGACTTTAAAAAATAAATTCTATGTCCTTGAAGTATTACAATACTAGAGGGACACTATTACATTTACAACCACCCCCTGCCCCCCACAACCACATGACCTCAAAACACATCAATGATGTTTGGCAAACACAAAAGCTATGCTCCAATCAACAAATATCACTAAAAGTATATTTAGTGATATACTAAACCGCCCTGGGGGGAATAATAGGTTTAATGAGTTGTCATAGAGAATACTCTGCAATTCCTTAATCAGAGGCCAGAGGTGGGAGAATTTTAATAAATCTACAGTAGAAAGTATTCCGTGGGATCACACACAAAATGAAAGATCTTATCTTTTTAAATACTTGACTCTGACTTTGAAATACAAAGGAAAATACATAGAATGTCAATGAATGTGTTCCCTAATTTAATGTGCTGACAATACAGGATAAAATACCTGAAATTCAGAAACGTAACTCTTAAAATGACCAAATAAAAGCATATTTTATAGGTTACCTGAGATTCCTAGCAGGTGAATTATGAAAAAGATCCATAAATTGGCATCAGATGTTACCATCTGTAATAACTCTGGATTTAAATCTGAAAATGAAAAAGCAGGAATACAGACCAGGATGGACCCAGGACAACCACTAACACTATTAACGCTGGGCGAATTTCCCCCACCTCACAAAAATCTGTCTTCAGGATGGAGTTGGCTTAGCCAAGAGCACATGCAACCATTCCTTTCACAAACAGTAGCCCAAAAGAGATACAAGATGTTCTTCATCTTGTAAATTCCTCCAGCAGAAGTGAAGTAAGTGTGTGTGTGTGTGTGTGTATGTGTGTGTGTGATTGTTTGGGTGTGTGACTAGGTGTCTATTGTTCAGGTTAGAAGCATCATACGGTGATCCTTGACTGTCCAATCACATTTCTGTATGTGTATCTCTAGGGTAATCGGGTGGGGACCTAATCCTTTAAATGTCCGTTTCTGAAGGTTCTTTCTCTTGGACTTATTAGTTTCCTCAGACAACACCCCTCCAAACTCCTTCGTGGGTTGTAGGAGCTTTCCTGTCAGTCTTGAGGAAGGAGGGGCTAGGTGTTGTCCCCATTTAACATGATAGCCTTCACTTCATTTCTCTGTTTTCAGGGAGTCATTTACCCCTCTCTCCTAAGCGGTAGAATAATTAGAAACTAGGAAGGTATTTGTGGATCTAATTGCTCCTTTTAAAGACTTTACACCAATTCTGCTTTCAGTCCCAGCCTACCCCCAGCCTTTAGAGGCATCTGTCGCTTCTAGATCCCAAGCCTATCTGGGGTCCCGTAGTTAGATGGGCTCACTGCTCATGCCCCTGCCCCCACAGGCGTGGGTTCCACCTGAACTGCTCTGCTAAGCCTTCTACCTTCTAGAATTCCAGTATTACTCCAGCTTGCTTTAGTGTCCTATCCCATCTGCTTGTACCTATGCCTTTTTCATTCCTTTATTGTCATTTTATTTTTTAGAAAATTTTATAGATTTAGGGGGTACCAGCACTGTTCTTTTGTTTGTTTGTTTTCCCACGATGGAGTCTTGCTCTGTCACCCAGGCTGGAGTGCAGTGGCATGATCTCGGCTCACTGCAACCTCGGCCTCCCGGGTTCAAGCGATTCTCCTGCCTCAGCCTCCCGAGTAGCTAAGGATTACAGGAATGCTCCACCACGCCCAGCTAATTTTTGTATTTTTAGTAGAGACAGGGTTTCACCGTATTGGCCAGACTGGTCTCGAACTCCTGACCTCAGGTGATCCGACCACCTCGGCCTCCCAAAGTGCTGGGATTACAGGTGTGAGCCACTGTATCCGGCCACAAGCGCTGTTTTGTTACATGGATATATAGCAGAGTGGTGAAGGAGCAATCAGATCCATAGATACCCTCCTAGTTTACAAACCTTCTTCCATTTAGTAAAGAGGGGTAAATGTTTCCCTGAGAAGACAGAAATGAAATGAAGGCTATCAGGTTCAATGGGGAAATCCCCTAACCCCTTCTGCCTCAAGATGACAGCAAGTCTTGTATCACCCACGCAGGAGTTTGGAGGAGTGGTGACTGAGGAAACTAAATTTCCTCTCAGTTTCTGAAGAGGAAACAGAGAGAAATCAATCACCAGAATAGTGTAGATTGTACCCATCAAGTAATTTCTCATCCCTCACCTCCCTCTTCCCCTCCCACCCCTCAGAGTCTCCAGTGTTTATTATTCTGCTCTCTATGTCCATGTGTACACACTATTGATTAATAGCTCCCACTTGTGAGGACAGGTCTTTGTGGTCATTTTAGTAGTGTTTTCAAAGAAGTAGATTTTAGAAGTCTAAACAGGAGATTCTGGTTATATTTTATAGTAATCTAAAGGGCATCTCTCTAATTAAATAATTCCATATGCTCAGTGCCCACCACACCATTATCCCCTTCCAAATCCATAGATCAAAAAGTATGATATCCTGCTTTTATATACATTGAAAACCACAATTGGGGGATACAAAACAATATCTTTCAAATGAATAATGAAGTTTTTTATAAGCCCAGACCCTGAACTTCTCTAACCTTTCAGGTATTGTACATTGCTTCTACTTCAGTGTGATGACCTGTAGCCTACATTACAGCCACATTTATAGGCGTTTTCTGGAAATAGAGACAGGCTTCTAATAAATGTTATGAAATTTAGTTTGCTTAAAAGTTCTGATCATCTGCCTCCCAACACGCCTTTACATCGCATTATCATGCACTGGCTCAGATAATGAATTAGCTTTTAATAGGATTTTGCCCCAGTGGCTATATGCAAAGTTGTAAGCTGCTTGTGATCATTACTGTTTTAAGGAAAGACAATGGTTTTGGAGACTCTCAGCCGTGTCAGTGCACATGTTCTTGCTTCCTCTTTCACGCCAACAGCACCAGCTTTCCCACACAAGGACAAAGCTTTGGACAGTTTTTCCTCTTCTTCCAGTATCTTTGCCCCTATCTGCCTTTTTCTCTGATTGTCACTGCTCCCTCCCTAAGCCAGGCTCTTTCCAATGTAATCTTCTTCTTCCATGAGGGACTTCTCAATGAAATCCTTGCTTTCACCGTGTTTCTTCCCTGTTCAAGGACTTCTAATGGCTGTCTCTCACCTACAGAGAGAAGCCAAAGCTTCTGAGCAGGCAGGTATGTTCCACCATCGGTGCACACAATCAGTGCTGAAGCACAAGCCTTCACTCCTCCCAGGCACCTGAATATTCCGTGCTCACTCCAAAAGGACTGATCCCTCGTTCAGGGGCTGTCCCCATCCACCTAAGTATACCCTTCCTGACCTCAATTATTCCCAACAATTTTCCAAGGTCCTGACTATAATCTACCTCCCTAACAAGACTTTCCCAGTGCCTCTGGGGCAGATCAGTCTCTTAGGAAATTAATCTGTCACCATCTGTTGGAAAGCAAATCACTTTGCCTGGTATCACTTGACTAGTTTACTTGTCTGTGGACTTGCTTCAAATAAAATGAAACATATTTGGCATGTACATCCAGCTCCCTGAGGACCCACTACAATGCAACGTACATTTGTTTAACAAATATTTGGTGGATGAATGAATTGCTTTTGAAAAAGAATGAAATCTTGTTGAACAGCTATGCCAAAAGCCCATGGTCACAACTGTAAACCAATTAGTCTGATATACTGAATTTCTGGAAAGGAGAGGTGGGGATCTTTCTAGCATCTCATACAGTATCTTATTCTCCCAGCTTTGGGCATGCTGCCTAGGCCCAAGAAGACACTCAACATAGATGATAAACAAATGAATGAAAATCGTTAGCATCTTCCTTTCCAAACATTCTAGTCCCATGATTTGCAAAGAGTTGGTGGGTCTGTTCTGATTTTGCTACCAAAAATTTCTTTTTCTAATTTTAAAATACCAGCAGATGTACTTACATGGCCCTATCCTCTTCTATCTCCCCAGGAATCTCGCTCCATCAATTATCCATCATGTTCTGTATTACAGCCAAAATGCTCTTTCTAAACCCACATCTGATTTTTGTTATTTCTGTCTTAGTAGCCTGACAGTTCATACCAAACCCTTGAGTGATCTGTGTACTCCCAATCTCTCCAGAGAGCCCTGGATTCTAGCCGTAATGAACCACTTACGACTCCCCTAACTTGCCAAGTCCTATCTTGTTACCCAAATGGTTCTTGTTGCCTCTTTCCTGAAGACTCACCTCCAACATGTTGCATTAGTCCTTCAGATAAACATCTATGAATCCTTTAAAATTCAGCTCCAATATCACCTCCTCCTGAAAGACTTCATTGGACAAAGTTAAGTTCTTGTGCCTTTGTTTCCATAGTGCTTTATTGATGTGGCAAATGTAAGACTTATTTCAATCCTACAAATTATTTGTTTGTGTCTCTCACTGTACTGTAAGCCCATACTAGGAGATATGTTGTGTTGATGTTTACATATTCTCTTTATATTACCAGCACCTACCATAGTGTCTGACACTTAACAAATGGTTTGATTAAATAATTACCTTTATAAAGTAACATGAAATTCAAAAGAAAATAAACAATGCAAACCACTAAAAGTGCATTATGTCCTTACAAGGACAAAAGTAAATTATGTCCTCATGTCCTTCATGTCTTGGCTCAAATGTATGTTAGACAACCTAAAATTGGTGTTTTATTCCAAAAAATGATTAAATAATTCTTCCTATATTTAAATTTATCCAATCATATCTTTTCATGTAACACTTCTCCAAGTGTATCCCAAAGAATACTATAAAAGCAATTATACTTGTTGTTTTTTAAAGAGTTTCGTGATCAAAAAGCTTGGAAAAATTGGGGTAAATAAGTTAATAAAGGTTTTTCTAATACAAATTTCCCAAAGGCTTTAATGTGCTAATCTGCACTGTAAATCTCTTAAGAAGCACAAAGTTTGCAGCATTTTTCTAAACTTATTTGAACTTTTGCAATGGAGCATCTTGTGGAATTCATTTGGAAAATACTACTTGCTATATATCTGTTTAAAGATAAGTCTCTCTGCTCATTTAAACATGGAGTGAGAGCAAAGCATGAAGGCAAAGGGATATTAAAGTATAGTACTTACCAGCTATGCATATGATCCTAAACTTATTTAACCTCTCTGGGCCTCAATTTTCTCACCTTAGGAAATGAAGTTAATGATACTTGTTTCAGCAGGCAGATTGCACAGTTTGAATAAAATGCTAGAGGTAGAACACTCAGCATATTGCCAGACACATGATAAAGGAAAAGTAAATGGTAGATATAGAATATTAGCAACTTAATTTATCATCTTGTAACCTTAGGCTGACAAAAAAAAGTGAGCCAATGGATTACCCAGATCATAACATTTCATAACACTCTGCCCTTTCTTTATTATTATCAACTACTAAGTTTTGACCTTGCATTCTCTCTGACAGCTGCTAGTTTAGTCATGTAGCTAGTTGAATCATGTTTCTAAACAGACTAGTATCCTAAGTCAAATATTCCTGACCCTTCAAACATTAAAGGGAAATACATAAATATACTCAGTTGCTAACGTGAGCATCTTCCAGTCTCAGTAGCTCAGTAGTAGGGAGAAACCTACTATAATTTTCTGCGGCTCCTTTACAACTCTTTTCTCTGCTAGTGAATGAAAAGGGAAGAAAAATTCATAAAACAAGATTTTCCTAGTGATCTAAGGGAAGATCACCATATTAATCTGCTCGCCAATTAAGTTTTCACATGAAAATGAATTGTAGAGATAGTATGAAAACACTTCTGAGAAAGTTTTCAGTTACATTTATCCAAAGCATTACCCTCTGAACTCCCCAATCAAAAAGCAGTTCACCTGCCCCAGCACCTCCTGAGTCCTCCAATCTTTTCTCCCTTGCTGGGCTCCAAGTACAATGGACTCCAGTGATTCTCCAGTCTCGCAGAAATGCTCCCACCTTAAGGCGTAACACTGGCTCTTTCTTCTGCCTGGAAATTCCTTCCCTGGATAGCGACTGTCTCACTTCCTCATGTCCTTCATGTCCTGGTTCAGATGTTCTCAGGAAGGCTTATCTTGACAGTACTCTTGCACCCTTCCTCCACACCCACACAGCCAATCTGCCTTACCTGGCTCGACCTTTGCTCTTTCCTGTAGCATTTACCACCTTTTGACATCTAGACCTACTTAAGTTTATTGTTAATCATCTGCCTGCCTCCACCACAAGATGTAAATTCTAGACCACAAGGTGTAAACTCTACACCACGAGATGTAAACAACGGCAAGATGTTAGTCTAGGTTGTTTACTGATGGAGCCGAGCATCCAGAACACTACTTTGACATAGTAAGAGCTCAATATTTTTTGGTTGAATGGATGCTATAAATTGGATTGTATCCAGATCGCAGATGAAGGCAGAGCCTGATGACATGGACGTGACGAAGGGAAGAATGAGGAACTACCAAGATAGGGGTGCTTTTCTTCTTTCCTCACCTCCAACTGATTTAGGGTGTTTCTCCCACTGCCTAATATGCGGAAGAAGAAAAGAACAGCTAAGATAAGAGAGAAGAGGGGAGTGTCATGGTAAGAGAAGAAAGAGAAAAGGTAGAGCCACAAATAGACACTCATCTGAAAACAGGGAGAACAAAGTTGAAGGCTTCCAACCGGACTCTGAGCAGAGTTCCACTCTACTCTGCTCTCCTTTTCCCTTGATGAAATTGAAACTAACTAAAAGATATTTTTAAGGCCTAATAAAACTGCATGATTTAAACAGACATCACTAATTGTCAGCAAACAACAAGGATTTGCTGGGGCACCATAACCTATTTTTCAGTCACTTAGATAGTAAAACCACTCCTTCACCTCTTCATTCAGCCCATTGTCAAGGACAGATGTGATTTCTTTTTCTCCCAGTCCTGGTATAATTTTTCACACTAATACGATATTTTAGTAATGGGTAGAAAGGGAAAAATCTCATGCATGGTTTTAAAATGAGAAGCCCAACTCCTTGGTCACCAAAAATAATTCATTATTTAATTAACTTGCCAAGACTTCTTGTTTGCTTAGTAAATGTTAGTCTCTGTGCCTGTGCTGAAGCATTAAAATGGTAAGTTGCAACTCTTGGTTATAATTTAGTGCACTGTTTTTCACTTATGCTCCTTGTCCAGAGAGAACCTTCCAGATGTAGTTGACTTCCTCAAGACAATTTCTTATTACTAATTCATAGACAAGAAGGTATATCTTTTGTGTATTCTCACCAACCAAGATATTTTTATTGAATTTTATTTTCCCATTTTATATTTGAAAAGAATAGATTTTCATATATTTTTCAAATACAAAATGTTATACCATTTTGTCACAATGTTTTCATTCACTTATTCATTCATTCATCAGATGTCTATTGAGTGCTACCAGAGGCTGGTTAGGTGATATGGTTAAAATGGTGAGGAATAAGGAAAATGTTGTCTTAAATTGTATGTGCAACACCAACAAAGAGCTCCTCCACACTCCCCAGCACCTTTGCTCCTTGAGAATTACTGATTTAGTATAGCATATAAATTTAGTATTGAATTCCATCTAAAACTCTTGTGTATATGACTTTTCAAAGCACAATTATTCCTATTCTCATTCTTAAATTTTATTAATTCAATTATCCAATTCAATCAATTATCTAATTCTTAAATTTCATTAATTTATTATTATAAAAATCATACATGATTAATATGGACAATTTGGAAAATATAAAAAAGTGGAAGAAGCAAAAATGTTTCATTCATAACCCTACCACCGGGGTCAGCCAATATTAATGGTTTAAGACATTTTTTCCTTCCAGTTTTATTCCTTTTCCTGGATTAGCTTTATGCTAAAAAGAAACATAGCAAGAAAGCCAATATGAAGAAAATTAATCTTATGGAAAAACCTAACACAAGATCTAAATAATGTAGAAATATATCATGTACTTGGATTACAAGATACTATCACAAAGCTGTCAAATCATTAGGACATACATATAAGTTTATTACAACCATAAACCAACTATGCTTTGCTCTTACTTGTTTCTATTCTTTTTTAATAAAGCTGCAGAAAATTCATTCAAAATAAATATGGAAGACTGAAGGTTGAAAACCAGACCAAGGGGCAAGATGGCCAAATAGGAACAGCTCCAGTCTGCAGCTCCCAGTGAGATTAACGCAGAAGACAGGTGATTTCTGCATTTCCAACTGAGGTACCCAGCTCATCTCATTGGGACTGGTTAGACAGTGGGTGCAGCCCACAGAGGGTGAGCCAAAGCAGGGTGGGGCATCGCCTCACCTGGGAATCCCAAGGGGTCAGGGAACTCCCTCCCCTAGCCAAGGGAAGCCCTGAGGGACTGTGCCCTAAGGAACGGTGCACTCCTGCCCAGATACTACACTTTTCCCATGGTCTTTGAAACACACAGACCAGGAGATTCCCTTGGGTGCAGACCAGGAGACTCCCTTGGGTGCCTATGCCTCCAGGGCCCTGGGTTTCAAGCAAAAACTGGGCAGCCATTTGGTCAGACACCGAACTAGCTACAGGAGTTTTTGTTTTTCATACCCTAGTGGCTCCTGGAATGCCAGCGAGACAGAACCATTCACTCCCCAGAAAAGGGGGCTGAAGCCAGGGAGCCAATGTTCTAGCTCAGTGGATCCCACCCCCACAGAGCCCAGCAAGCTAAGATCCATGAGCTTGAAATTCTCGCTGCCAGCACAGCAGTCAGAACTTGACCTGGGATGCTCAAGCTTGGTGGGGGGAGGGGCATCCGCCATTACTGAGGCTTGAGTAGGCAGTTTTCCTGTCACA
The DNA here is from genome assembly GCF_000001405.40 of Homo sapiens. Lineage (NCBI taxonomy): Eukaryota > Metazoa > Chordata > Mammalia > Primates > Hominidae > Homo > Homo sapiens. The sequence goes on along the minus strand of NC_000006.12, from coordinate 151,716,628 downwards.
GTGTAAACAAAGCCACCAGGAAGTTCAAACTGGGTGAAGCACATCGCAGCTCAGCAAAGCTGCTGTAGCCAGACTGTCTCTCTAGATTCCTGCTCTCTGGGAAGGGCATCACTGAAAGAAAGGCAGCAGTCCCAGTCAGGGGCTTATAGATAAAACTCCCATCTCCCTGGGACAGAGCACCTGGGGGAAGCGGCGGCTGTGAGCACAGCTTCAGCAGATTTAAACATTCCTGCCTGCTGGCTCTGAAGAGAGAAACGGATCCCCCAGCACAATATTTGAGCTCTGCTAAGGGACAGACTACCTGCTCAAGTGGGTCCCAGACTCCTGTGCCTCCTGACTGGGAGACACCTCCCAGCAGGGGTTGACAGACACCTCATACAGGAGAGCTCTGGCTGGCATCTGGTGGGTGCCCCTCTGGGACAAAGCTTCCAGAGGAAGGAACAGGCAGCAATCTTTGCTGTTTTGCAGCCTCCATACCCAGACAAACAGGGTTTGGAGTAGACCTCCAGCAAACTCCAGCAGACCTGCAGCAGAGGGGCCTGACTGTTAGAAGGAAAACTAACAAACAGAAAGGAATAGCATTAATATCAACAAAAAGGACATCCACACAGAAACCCCATCCAAAGGTCACCAACATCAAAGACCAAAGGTAGATAAATCCATGAAGATGAGAATAAACCAGTACAAAAAGGCTGACAATTCCAAAAACCAAAACACCTCTTCTCCTCCAAAGGATCACAACTCCTTGCCAGCAAGGGAACAAAATTGGATGGAGAATGAGTTTGATGAATTGACAGAAGCCGGCTTCAGAAGGTGAGTAATAACAAACTCCTCTGAGCTGAAGAAGCATGTTCTAACCCAAGGCAAGGAAGCTAAGAACCTTGAAAAAAGGATAGAGGAATTGCTAACTACAATAACCAGTTTAGAGCAGAACATAAATGACCTGATGGAGCTGAGAAACACAGCACAAGAACTTTATGAAGCATACACAAGTATCAATAGCTGAATCAATCAAGCAAAAGAAAGGATATCAGAGATTGAAGATCAACTTGAAATAAAGCATGAAGACAAGATTAGAGAAGAAAGAGTGAAAAGGAATGAACAAAGCCTCCAAGAAATATGGGACTATGTGAAAAGACCAAACCTATATTTGATGATGTACCTGAAAGTGACAGAAAGAATGGAACCAAGTTGGAAAACACTTTTCAGGATATTATCCAGGAGAACTTCCCCAACCTAGCAAGACAGGCCAACATTCAAATTCAGGAAATACAGAGAACATCACAAAGATACTCTCGAGAAGAGCAACCCCAAGACACATAATTGTCAGATTCACCAAGGTTGAAATGAAGGAAAAAATGTTAAGTGCAGCCAGAGAGAAAGGTCGTGTTACCCACAAAGGGAAGCCCATCAGACTAACAGTGGATCACTCTGCAGAAACCTTGCAAGCCAGAAGAGAGTGGGGGCCAATATTCAACATTCTTAAAGAAAAGAATTTTTAACCTAGAATTTCATATCCAGCCAAACTAAGCTTCATAAGTGAAAGAGAAATAAGATCCTTTACAGACAAGCAAATGCTGAGAGATTTTCTCACCACCAGGCCTGCCTTACAAGAGCTCCTAAAAGAAACACTAAATATGGAAAGGTAAAACTGGTACCAACCACTGCAAAAACATACCAAATTGTAAAGACCATCAACACTACGAGAAACTGCATCAACTAATGGGCAAAATAACCAGCTAGCATCATAATGACAGGATCAAATTCACACATAAAAATATTAATCTTAAATGTAAACAGGTTAAATGCCCCAGTTAAAAGACACAGACTGGCAAACTGGATAAAGAGTCAAGACCCATTGGTGTGCTGTATTCAGGAGACCCATATCACATGCAAAGATACACATAGGCTCAAAATAAAGGAATGGCGGAAGATTTACCAAGCAAATGGAGAGCAAAAAAAAAGCAGGGGTTGCAGTCCTAGTCTCTGATAAAACAGACTTTAAACCAACAAAGATCAAAAAAGACAAAGAAGGGCATTACATAATGGTAAAGGTATCAATGCAACGAGAAGAGCTAACTATCCTAAATATATATGCACCCAATACAGCAGCACCCAGATTCATAAAGCAAGTTCTTAGAGACCTACAAAGAGACTTAGATTCTCACACAATAATAGCGGGAGACTTTAACACCCCACTGTCAATATTAAACAGATCAATGAGACAGAAAATTAACAAGGATATTCAGGACTTGAACTCACCTCTGGACCAAGCAGACCTAATAGACATCTATAGAAGTCTCCACCCCAAACCAAGAGAACATACATTCTTCTTAGCACCACATCACACTTATTCTAAAATTGACCACATAATTAGAAGTAAAACACTCCTCAGCAAATGCAAAAGAATGGAAATCCTAACAGTCTCTCAGACCACACTGCAATCAAATTAGAACTCAGGATTAAGAAACTCACTCAAAACTGCACAACTACATGGAAAGTGAATAACCTGCTCCTGAATGACTACTGTGTAAATGACAGAATTAAGGCAGAAATAAATAAGTTCTTTGAAACCAATGAGAACAAAGACAGAACATACCAGAATCTCTGGGACACAGCTAAAGCAGTGTTTAGAGGGAAATTTATAGCACTAAATGCCCACAAGAGAAAGCAGGAAAGATCTCAAACTGACACCCTAACATCACAATTAAAAGAACTAGAGAAGCAAGAGCAAACACATTCAAAAGCTAGCAGAAGACAAGAAATAACTAAGATCAGAGCAGAACTGAAGGAGACAGAGACACAAAATAAACTTCAAAAAAAAATCAATGAACACAGGAGCTGGTTTTTTGAAAAGATTAACAAAATAGATAGACTGCTAGCCAGACTAATAAAGAAGAAAAGAGAAAAATCAAATAGACACACTAAAATATGATAAAGGGAATATCACCAGCAATCCCACAGAAATACAAACTACCATCAGAGAATACTATAAACACCTCTGCGCAAATAAACTAGAAAATCCAGAAGAAATGGATAAATTCCTGGACACATACGCCCTCCCAAGACTAAACCAGGAAGAAGTCAAATCCCTGAACAGACCAATAACAAGTTCTGAAATTGAGGCAGGAATTAATAGCCTACCAACCAAAAAAAGCCCAGGACAAGATGGATTCACATCCGAATTCTACCAGAGGTACAAAGAGGAGCTGGTACCATTCCTTCTGAAATTATTCCAAACAATAGAAAAAGAGGGACTCCTCCCTAACTCATTTTATGAGGCCAGCATCATCCTGATACCAAAACTTGGCAGAGACACAACAAAAAAAGAAAATTTCAGGCCAATATCTCTGATGAACATTGATGCAAAAATCCTCGATAAAATACTGGCAAACTGAACCCAGCAGCACATCAAAAAGCTTGTCCACCACAATCAAGTCAGCTTCATCCCTGGGATGCAAGGCTGGTTCAACATACACAAATCAGTAAATGTAATCCATCACATAAACAGAACCAATGACAAAAACCACATGATTATCTCAATAGATGAAAAAAAGGCCTTCAATAAAATTCAACACCCCTTCGTGCTAAAAACTCTCAACAAAGTAGGCATTGATGGAACATACCTCAAAATAATAAGAGATATTCATGACAAGCCCACAGCTAATACTATACTGAATGGGCAAAAGCTGGAAGAATTCCCTTTGAAAACCAGCACCAGACAAGGATATCCTCTTTCACCACTCCTATTCAACATAGTATTGGAAGTTCTGGCCAGGGCAATCAGGCAAAAGAAAGAAATTGAGGGTATTCAAATAGGAAGAGAGGAAGTTAAATTGTCTCTGTTTGCAGATGACATGATTGTATATTTAGAAAACCCCATCATCTCAACCCAAAATCTCCTTAATCTGAAAAGCAACTTCAGCAAAGTCTCAGGATACAAAATCAATGTGCAAAAATCACAAGAATTCCTATACAGTAATAACAAACAGAGAGCCAAATCATGAGTGCACTTCCATTCACAATTGCTACAAAGAGAATAAAACATGTAGGAAGACAACTTACAAGGGAAGTGAAGGACCTCTTCAAGGAGAACTACAAACCACTGCTCAAGGAAAAACGAGAGGACACAAAGAAATGGAAAAACATTCGATGCTCTTGGATAGGAAGAATCAATATCATGAAAATGGCCACACTGCCAAAAGTAATTAATAGATTCAATGCTATCCCCATCAGGCTACCATTGACTTTCTTCATAGAATTAGAAAAAACTACTTTAAATTTCATATGGAACCAAAAAAAAGCCCGTATAGCCAAGAAAATCCTATGCTAAAAGAAAGCTGGAGGGATCATGCTACCTAACTTCAAACTATACTACAAGGCTACGGTAACCAAAACAGCATGGTACTGGTACCAAAACAGATATATAAACCAGTGGAACAGAACAGAGGCCTCAGAAATAACGCCACACATCTACAACCATCTGATCTTTGGCAAACCTGACAAAAACAAGCAATGGGGAAAGGATTCCCTATTTAATAAATGGTGATGGGAAAACTGGCGAGCCATATGCAGAAAACTGAAACTGGATCCCTTCCTTACACCTTATACAAAAATTAACTCAAGATTAAAAACTTAAATGTAAGACCCGAAACCATAAAAACCCTAGAAGAAAACCAACGCAATACCATTTAGGACACAGGCATGGACAAAGACTTCATGACTAAAACACCAAAAGCAATGGCAACAAAAGGCAAAATTGACGAATGGGATCTAATTAAACTAAACAGCTTCTGCATAGCAAAAGAAACTATCATCAGCATGAACAGGCAACCTACAGAATGGGGGAAAAATTTCGTAATCTCTCCATCTGACAAAGGGCTAATATCTACAAGAACTTAAACAAATATACAAGAAAACAAACAACCCCATCAAAAAGTGGGTGAAGGATATGAACAGACACTTCTCAAAGGAAGTCATTTATGCGGCCAACAAACATATGAAAAAAAGCTCATCATCACTGGTCATTAGAGAAATGCAAATCAAAACCACAATGAGATACCATCTCACACCAGTTAGAATGGTGATCATTAAAAAGTCTGGAAACAGGCCAGGTGCGGTGGCTCACGCCTGTAATCCTAGCACTTTGGGAGGCCAAGGCAGGTGGATCACGAGGTCAGAAGATCGAGACCATCCTGGCTAACACAGTGAAACCCCGTCTCTACTAAAAATACAAAAAATTAGCTGGGCATGATGGCGGGCGCCTGTAGTCCCAGCTACTTGGGAGGCTGAAGCAGGAGAATGGCATGAACCCGGGAGGTGGAGCTTGCAGTGAGCCAAGATTGCACCACTGCACTCCAGCCTGGGCAACAGAGTGAGACTCCATCTCAAAAAAAAAAAAAAAGTCAGGAAACAACAGATGCTGGGGAGGATGTGGAGAAATAAGAATGCTTTTACACTGTTGGTGGGAGTGTAAATTAGTTCAACCATTGTGGAAGACAGTGTGGCAATTTCTCAAGGATCTAGAACTAGAAATACCGTTTGACCCAGCAATCCCATTACTGGGTATATACCCAAAGGATTATAAGTCATTCTACTATAAAGACACATGCACATGTATGTTTATTGCAGCATTATTCACAATAGCAAAGACTTGGAACCAACCCAAATGCCCATCAATGATAGACTGGATTAAGAAAATGTGGCACATATACACCATGGAATACTATGCAGCCATTAAAAAGGATGAGTTCATGTCCTTTGTAGGGACATGGATGAAGCTGGCAATCATCATTCTCAGCAAACTAACACAGGAACATCAAACCAAACGCCACACTCATAAGTGGGAACCTAAGGACACAGGGAGGGGAACATCACACACTGGGGCCTGTCAGAGGGTGGGGGGCTAGGGGAGGGATAGCAATAGGAGAAATACTTAATGTAGATGACGGGTTGATGGGTGCAGCAAACCACCATGGCATGTGTATACCTGTGTAACAAACCTGCACGTTCTGCACATGTATCACAGAACTTAAAGTGTAATAATAAAAAAAAATTCAATTTACCATAATTTTATTGACCTTTTCTTTATATAAATTGTTGCTTTTGTAGGTCAAAAAGTGGTCAACTATTGGCAATTTCATGTTTCAAGCTAATATTTTGGAGCTACGTTGCTGATGTTTGTTGGTTCGGGTTTGTTATATTTTTCTGATATATTGTGTGATAAATATTTTTTACTTTAAAGTCTATTTCATCTGCCATTTATACGGTTGGAGCATCTTCATTTTGATCAGTATTTTAAAAATGTAATCCACGTATCTTTCTTCTGACTAAATCCTATTTGGACTGAAAAAAAAAAAGGAAAACCAGGCTAACATTATAAATAATATTAATGAGTAGGGAGCATCAAACTTGCCAAATGTTAAAAGAGACTATACAGCTATTATAATCAAAGCAATACGTCTCAGGCCTGGCAACAAATAAATAGATTAGTGGTTTAGAGAAAAAAAATCTTTAAATTGATGCTAATATAATTTAATTTATTGGAGAAAAGATTATTTAACATGTGATGTTTAAACAATTCGTTCTTTATATAAAAAGAGATGCAGTTGAGCCTTCCACTTTTATATAAAAAAATTCCAGATGTAAAAAATACTAAATATTAAAAATAATAAAATAAAACATAGAAATTTTTAGAAGAAAATTTTAGAAAATAGGAGGTGGGAAGACTCTTTGAAGTAAGATAGGAAATTCAGAATACGTATAGGAAGAAAAATTTTATTTCATACAATTATTTTTTAATTTTGTAGCAGAAAATTATAAAAGTAAAATCAAAGGAGAAATTATTGACGGGGTAAGATTTAGCAATCCACTGACCAAAAAAAAAAAATCTATAGAAAAAATGCTCAGCATCACTATAATCATCAGAAAATGGAAATTAAAACCACAAAGAGATATCATCTCACACCTGTTAGAATGGGTATTATGAAAAGGACAAAAGATTAAAAGTGTTGGCAAGGATGCGGAGTAAAGAGAACCCTTGCACACTGTTAGTGGGAAGGTATGTTAGTACAGCCACTATGGAAAACAGTAATCATACAATTACCGAATGACTCAGCAGTCCCACTACTGGGTATATGCCCAAAGCGAATGTATTCAGTATGTCAAAGCCATATCTGCACTCCCATGTTTATTACAGCATTATTCATAATAGCCAAGATGTAGAATCAATCTAAGTATCCATCAACAGATGAATGGATAAAGAAAATATGGTATATGTTCACAGTGGAATACCATTCAGCCTTAAAAAAAGAGAAAAATATTGTCATTTGCAACAACACGGATGAACCTGGAGCACATTATATTAAGTGAAATAAGCCAGGCACAGAAAGACAAATACCAAAAGATCTCACTTATATGTAGAGTCTAAAAAGGTTGATCTCATAGACATAGAGAGTAGAATGGTGGTTACCGGGGCTGGGGCAGTGTCGGGCAGAGGGGTGGGAGGTGAGGGTTGGAAAGACATTGGTCAAAGGATGCAAAACTTCAGTTAAATCGGAAAAGTAAGTGCAAGAGATCCACTGTACAACATGGTGACTATAGTTAATAACAATATATTATATTCTTGAAAAATGCTGAGAGGTTTTAAGTGTTCTCACCACAAAAATGATAACTTCATGAGGTAACGCACATGTTAATTAGCTATATTTAGCCATTCCACAACGTGTGATATATATATCTCGATATTGATATATCAAGATATATGTATATCTCAAAATATCATATTATACACAATAAATCATACAACTTTATCTGCCAGTTTTTAAAATCTGTAATAGTCAAAGAACTTTTACAAATTTTTAATAAGAGAAAAGCAACCATATAAGGGAGAAATAGGTCAAGGATATCCATTGGTAATTGACAGATAAGAAAATCCAAAGGAACAACAATAATGTGAAAAGATGCTTAAGCTCATTAGAAGTCAAGAAAATGAAAAGAAAATTAACAATGCTTACTCATTAGATCAGGAAAGATTAGAAAGCAGGGAAATAGGAGTACTAGTGAGGAAAATGATACTCTCCAACATCACTAGTGGGACTGTGATTTGCTATAATATTTTTAGAAAATAATATGAAAAAACCAATAGAAATGTAAAAATACACATACCTTTTAAACCAGCAATTCTACTCCTGGGACTTACACCATAACAATAAAACCCCCAATTACTAAGAATATATATCTAAGAATATTTGTAATGACAGCACTTTTTTATATGTTGAAAACTGTTCACAACAGAGTATCAGCTGAAAGCAGATTACTTGAATAAGTTATAGTAAATTTATACTGCATGCAACTACTGAAAAGAATGAGATAGATCTATAAGATTTATCAGAATCTTTAAGACATATTGCAAAGTGACAAAACCAAGATTCAGAGTAATACACACACACATATATTATGTATATAACCTTATCCCACAATTTATGATAAAGAAGGACCATTGCCCTGAAAAATCAGTGCATGTGTAAATATTGGGTTGTGTGAGCATGGAGAAAAGAGTAGAGGATACACATCAACCTGTATTTGTTGGTTTCTGTGAAGGGGTACAGAACAAGAAAAGAGAAAGGAAAAAGGGAGGAAAAAAGACCCCCAAGATCTCTGTAACATAATAGAAATATGCATGGCACTGTAACAAGAGAAAATGTAAAAAATAAAATTCTATCTGTCAAATTAGTGGAAATTACCTATTATATTTAATAATAGAATAAGTTCATAGACAAGGACTACAAGAGGCATAGCCAAATAAAATCATGATTTGATTTCTAGATGGGATTTTGAAAAATTTTTGCTTGGAATTTTTAAAGAGAACTTCTACAATACAATCATGTTTTAAAAGGAAGTAAAAAAAAATATATCTGGCAATACTCCTTAAGGACTTTATAAAGAACTTTGCCCCTTGACATTCTATTTCCACTTTTTGGAATTACTCTTAAGGAAATAAATGGTGGACCACAATCCTTGTTAAAACACCTAAGTAGTGTAAATAAATTCTAATGTTAAATAAAATCTACAAGATACAACATCATTTCAATTTGCAAAATATATACCTGTGTATCTATTTTATGCATGTATTTTATATATACATATAATGTGTATATATACATATATACACTACATATTACAAACGGAAATTGTGTTGTATCTTAGATTTTTATTAATTATATTGTGGGAATATTTTATGTTTTTTAATTTACATATATACACACTTAAATATGTATACCCACACACATACATATTGCTAAGAAAAAGATGAAAAGAAAATGTCCTAAAATATTGTTAGTGATTATCTATAGCTGATGAGAATAAGTGATTTTTATGTATGTCTTTATGCTTATCTCTTTTCTAAACTTGCTAAAATTAATATGCATTCAACCATATGCAAAAATGTAATAATCATTTTTAAATGGAAGCATAAGAAAGATAATGATTTCATTTTGAAATGAACATTGGCATTTCTAGTCAATTCTACATGTTCAGAGGCACAGCCTGCCTCCAATGCTCCTTCAACATTAGAGCTTTGTGCTAGACGCTCACTAACCTAAACACACGGCTTACATCCCTTGGATAAAGGTCGAAGCACAGCCCTCTAGCAAACTATCCTGCCAGTGTCATATAAACCCTGGAACACCACAAATCCTCACGTTTTGAGGACAAATCCTTCCAGTAGGCAGCTCTCAGAGAGGCTATACAGAAAGCCTTCCTATGATTCCAAACCAGTAAAGCTGTTTTTTTATTTTACTTCTACTGAATAGCAGTCATGATTTATTTCTTCAGGTTTCCAGGTAGAACAGATTTCTATAGTTTGGTCTAAAGTCTTAACACTGGAAACACTTCCTCCATGTGTTCTGTGGTTTCTCCTCCTGAGTAGAAAGGATATCAGCTGAAACCCTAGGCAAGGGCAGGCTGTGGGAAGGCAAGCAAGGCTGCAGGGGTGATCTGGTGTGCTCTCGTGGCACAGCAAGGAAAACCAATAAGCTTTGCTCTTATCCCAGGAACCCTACCCTGAGAAGACCTGACCCGCCAACAAGGTAAACAATGGCCCTGTGGAGCCTGCTTCTTCCCTCCCACCTCTCTCCTGCCCCGCCCTGGGATGGCCTTGTGCTTCCTGGTTGAGGCAAACAAGGATGCCCGCTACCTCTTCTTCCCAAGACCCAGTAGGATTGAAGAAAGTTAAACAGAAACAGCAGTGGATCACTTTCAAGCCCACTAGTCAATCTCTCCTGTTGCCAAAGTCAGTTGAAGAAATGGGTCCTGCATGTTGGAGCTGAGTCAAAATCACAAAACTATGAAGAGCTTTTCAATACTCAGCTAGTAACAAAACATTATTTCCACTTTGATGAGCAGCAATATATTATTGAAATAGGCGCCAAAGCAATGGCTGAATGTCGCAATAGGAAGAAAATGTAAACATCTATATGTGCATGCAGGGTCTTAGGTCTTAGCTGATTCCAGCTGCTGGTGTCTGGCTTTCTCTGGCATCATGGAACCCAAAAGTCCAAATAACTAAGATTTTTCACTGGTTGTTGTACACACACAGCTTCAGACTGTACAGAAAATTCTGGTACCTCTTATTTGCTATTATGTGTCAGGCCAACAATATGACACATAGAAAACTAGTATAATCCACTGTGTGACCTTGTTAGGTAGACAGACCAAAATAAATGGAATAAACCAGCTGAATCTTTTAGACTCAATCTACCATAATCAAAGCATGTACTAAGGATCCTCTTAGCACACACCCAGACTGATAAATTAATAAAACCAGTCCCTTCCTCTTGCCACCTGACATAAAGGCAGGAATTACAATAAACAATACTGGAATATATTTACTGGGTTGCAGCTTACTTAGAGACAAGATTAAAGCAACAAGATAAAGTCAAAACTGGGAAAAATCACAGCAGATAGGTACCTGTAAGAATGGAAATACAGCAGAGAAGTAATTTGTCCTAAATAGAGAATGAAGAGACATAATGGCAGCTTATTCATTAGTGGAAATGGACACATATTATTATATTGTAGTCAGTTCTTGATTATTCATGTGTGATTTACCAATTTTTTGGCTTATCCTTCTCTCTGCAAGCCTTTGTACATCTGAGTCATCTTCTTTCCATCTTTTCCATCATCTTTTCCATCTTTAGTTCATATGTGTTTAGAAACCCCCAAAATAATGATATAGATCATTAACCCATATAAAACTTAATTAGGAAAGCAAAACTGATGGCATGGCTATTATACTGGTCAAAGGATCCTTTCACCTCTCCAGTTTGGGACCAAATCTGATGACACATTTTCACTAGAGGAAGAGAAGTCAGCATGGGAATTGAGCTTGATAAATAAAATTATTAGTCAGCTAATCCTAGCCTGTTGTCTTTCTGCTAGGTAAAAGTGTTCCAGATATATATAATCTGTCAGCTCTATTAAGTATCATTTATAGGCAGGAAAAATGTGCTCTTATGATGATCAGAGTCCCCATATCTCGCACACAATGGGGATACAAATATCATTTCACAGTGGAAGTCTGAGTTCCTCATTCAATGGATGACAAGCTCCCTATGGGAAGAGATCCTTCCTTTTTATACTGCTCCTATATAGAGGGCTTAGATCCTGAAGTTTCTGAAGGAAACTTCAGGATCTAAGCCCTCTGCCTGCATACATAACCTGGAAACCCATATTTACAGGGACCAAGACCTTGAGTTATTGTCCTAAGTTCATGTCCTGTCATATCATTGCCAGCTGGGTAGTCTTTAGCAAATTACTTGATTTTTCTAAGCCTTAGTTCGCTTTCCTAGAAAGTGGGTTTAATGAAACCCCCTCCTAGAGCTGTTGTAATGACCGAATAAACTGTTTTCTATAAAGTGCCATGGAGAGCAGAAAATAATCTGGTGGGTAAATGAATAGGTATCACAACTGTCATTCTGCAAACTACTTGACTGAGCTCACTGACTCCAGACATGACTAAGTAGACCATAAAAGAAATGGAACTTTTATGTTTTAAGTTAAGAATTGACTTTTGTGGCCAGGGGCGTTGGCTCACGCCTGTAATCCCAACACTTTGGGAGGCTGAGGCGGGTGGATCACCTGAGGTCAGGAGTTCAAGACCAGCCTGGTCAACATGGTGAAACATAGTGAAACCCTGTCTCTATCTCTACTAAAAATACAAAAATTAGCTGGGTGTGGTGGCGGGCACCTGTAATCCCAGCTACTTGGGAGGCTGAGGCAGGAAAAATCGCTTGAACCGGGGAGGCAGAGGTTGCAGTGAGCCAAGATCGCACCACTGCACTCCAGCCTGGGTGGTGACAGAGTGAGACTCAGTCTCAAATAAAACAAAACAAAAAAAGAATCGACTTTGTAACTTGAGTGTTGTTTCTTAAAAAAAATATGAAAGAGTGGGAGTGGGGGCAACCCCATGGGTGGCTTCTACACTAACCTATCAACATACATTTTACATCTTTTATTTTTTAGCCCTTAGAATCTTTCTACTCAAGATCAAATTTTAATATTAATAGAGCCAAATATATTTGATTATGGGAGAACCACTGATGTTCTGTGTTGTTTATAAATTGGAAAGGCAGCAAAAATGGAGGAGAATTATTCTGGTGACCCAACCTAAGTGACACAGTTACCCAGGCAGATGCGCAATAGCGTCTAGAATCCCAACAGTTTGTCTCAGGTCTCTTTCAAAATCTCAGCAACAGCACCTTAGACCTTTCTGGAATCAAAGTTTTGGATCTAAGACTTCAAAGTGGGGAAAGCAATGCAAGACTACTCAGGGACTGACATGTGTAGAATCAAAAAGAGAGAAAGGGAGGTATATGCTGAAAATGGTATGAGATCCATACCCCCAGTGACTTGCACTGGTTCTTCTACTTTGTTCAGCCTCAGCCAGATGGAAGACTCGTTTCTATATTAAAATCTTTTTTCCCCCTCCTTCATTATCTCTCCCTGCTGCCCAAAAGAGGAATCAAACTCACTGCATCAAGCTGGCAAAGAGCTACAGGCGCCTTCCACTTGGAAGTAAGAAGCTAGAGCAGCTCACCCATTAACATTTCTGTGATTCACAGGAGAGCTCATTCACAGCTGCTCAGACTCTGAGCAGAGAGATTAGAACTAGAACTGTTTAAAATTCCTAAGCCAGAGGAGTTTCACGGGGCGGGGTGCTTCTAAACAGCCTGCAGTCAGCCATGCCCTTGCAGACAAGGCTCTGGGGGTTCCACATGCACCTCCAGCCTCAGAAGACTGGCCTGACCAGTCCTGCAGCTGTTTTGAGGACAGTAGCTAAGCCTGGAAGTGGTGACTTTATTTACCATTTTTGGTTAGTCACTAAGTAAAGTCTTTGCCTAGAAACCTTCATTTCTTATGCAGTAGGGTAGAAAAGGTCCAGCTAAAAATTTTCCTGAAATACTTCACCAAACAGGCCAGTTCTACAATTAGGAAATTACCACGCTGAGTAATATTTGCCAGTCTGGTTTTTAGTGAAGTCAGGTTTCGTCCACTGGCATCTCAAGCTGATTGGCAGACAGACCTAGGTCCTACACCCAACCCCTCCCTTGCAATTTGGGCAGGTTATATTTTTAAAAGTGCAGACTTCCTGTGCTTTTGAACATTTTGAAGGCTAGGATAGTATTCACAAATCAGGGGTGCATTTAATCTTTTATATCACATGCCTGCTACTGGATTTGCAAAATGCTGCATAGATACACAGCCTCTCAAGTTGGCTTCTAGGCAATGGTGACAATTTGCACTTTCTAGAGGCATGACTTTTCAAGAGGTTTGTGAACTAGTTTTAAAATGTTCTATGGAGGAAATGAGAAATGGACTTGACAGTCAGTAAGTTATTTTATCTTAATTTTAAATAAAAAATAATGTAATTACTTGGTGACCACAAATACAAGTGGCATGGCTTGTCTTTTCCCTTGTGAAACTGCTACCTGTTGTTTTGAATAATTAAATTCAATAGAAATGTTTCTTAATGATTGAGAAGGTTAGAACTATGTCTCTATTTTTAGGTAGGTCACTGAATATGTAAAGTCTAAATTCTGAAGATATTCCCCTATTTTAGGGTTAAATTAAAAGCACACTCACATTTTGCTTCCTATTAGCACCATACAACTGGCAAGAGGAGAAGGAGGTTGTGAAATTCAAATCAAGAAATGTTTTCACTTGCTGGAAACTATGGTAAAGCTCTGAGGGAAAAAAGAATGAAAAGCTCTTTCTTAAGAAAAAAAAAGCTTGGATTTTCCCTACTTAGAGTGGACTATTGAGTATGTAAATAAATTGGTTAACCTCTCTGATACTATGCAAAGAAACCTCACCCACACAGTAGACTTGGGGATTTTTTTAAATGGTGGTAGTGCACAGATTGTATCCTTAATTTCAACCTAAGCAACGCATGTAGAGTGCCCATCAGATAGTAGGTGTACTGCTAAGCCCCTGACAATACACACTTGATAATGAAAGAAATTAAATGAAAAATCGTTCTCCAAACTGATGACCAAATTAGATCTTATCAATTCACGGACAAAGTCAGGAGAGAGAAAGAGGAAACTAGTATGTTCACACATACCTCAGTGATGGTTCAAAGTTCAGATTAAAATCTACATCCTTTTTCAAGAAGTGCTGTGCTGATATTTGGTACCGCAGTCCCGGAGAATGTGAAGAGATCTTTGTGCTTACTCCTTCCTAGTTTTCTTCTTCCTTTTGTTTTTTTAACAGAGAAGGAAAGGGAGATGTGGGTGATTTCTACAGATTTCCTTAATTAAAGCTAGTTTGACTCCCCACTTAAGTGAAATAAGGCTGTTAAAAAGAAAAGTAGTCTCACTTATCAATAGGCACTGAAGAATCAATGTTTGGCTTACCTGTTCAGATCAAATTCCTTGATTACATTATTTTACAAAGCTGAGTAGGGCTTAAGCTAGTTACCACTGATGCCATTGGCAAGTATTTCTTCATTCACGCACAGGCCATAATCCACTACACCAACTCAGGCCCACGGGATGACTTCCATTTCTTCTTCTTCTTTTTTTTTTTTTTTTTTTTTTTGAGATGTAGTGTCGCTCTTGCCACCCAGATTGGAGTGCAACGGTGCGGTCTCGGCTCACTGCAACCTCCACCTCCTGGGTTCAAGCATTTCTTCTGCCTCAGCCTCCCAAGTAGCTGGGACTACAGGCGCACACCACCACGCCCGCCAGCTAATTTTTTATCTTTTTAGTAGAGATGGGTTTCACCATGTTGGCTGGGCTGGTCTCCAATTCCTGACCTCCGGTGATCCACCCACCTCAGCCTCTCAAAGTGCTGAGATTACAGATGACTTCCATTTCTATAGATCCATTTTGCCATTAGAAATTAAAAAAAAAAAAACTCCCAGCCCACAGTATCTCAAATCACATGTGCAGCAGCAGAACAAAACCTGCTGTGGCTGTGATAGGTATGATTTTACCACGAAGATTCAGACGTTGTTACATGGTTGAAAAAGCAGTCACTGCACAGAGCAAGTGAGAAATTGAGCAATGCAACTTAATACAGCTTTTCCCTATTGCTTATAAAACAACGTTCTTAATTTTTAATTACATGTAAAATTCTTCTGAATTTTTACTTTAAGTTATTTCAATAGACTCCCTTGGGGTGCTTTAAGAATATCCCATGGGGCACTTTTTTACTGTGGGTCATCAGCCTAAGCTGTTGGAAAAAGGCCCTGGGTTTTTTTGGTTTGTTTTTAAAATGTTGTATAACAGCTTTAAATGTGCAAGACATGATAGAGTGGGGGAAAAAAACTTGTTGAATTCTTAACTTTGTTTTTCCATCTGAAATATTAGTATGCCTGTGTTTTTATTTTTTCCTAATTCCAAGCAACAGTGAACCTAATTTACAATTTTTTTCTCAAAAAAAAAAAAAAAAAAAAAAGGAAAGTTTAACATTGTATTAGGGAGGCTTCAGAATTAGCAGGTGCACTCCAACAGATTTATAGGGGCCAGTGGACTGATAGCTGTATTTTAGGACTGGGAAACATCTGCTCAAAGTAAGTAGTTTATGGTTTCCATATCAAATAGAAGAAAAAAATACCACACTGGTCCTCAGACTTTGGTAGTTGTGTTTTTAGAAAACCAAATTCACACAAATTCTATTCTAGGGGACTTGTATATTTCATTGCTATGTTCTACTAAAGTTAAGGAGGTACAGAAATTGCTCCATGAGGAAATGATAAAGGTCAGAGCCTCAGAATTTTAAGTGGAAAATTCATAAGCATGCATTATGGAGGGAAAAAAAGGCTAATTAAATATAACACTCAACTAAACTATAAAAAAAGACTTGTTTTCTCCATGTAAGTCAGATTATATGGGCTTCCTCCACCACTTCAACCCACTAATCTAAAGTAATGAAATGCAATCTCTGGAAGTACTCAGAATTAGACATGTAACAGATAATAACAGAGATTTGAAGAAATTTTGCACAAACATGCAACAACCTTAGGAATGAACTCTTTTTTTTTTTTTTCACTTGTCCTCTAGTCTCGCTCTAAATAACCACATGAAGTAAGGAATTGGCTGTTATTCAGTAAATTTGGACTGTGGACACTGACCAAATGGCTTGACATTCTACCTCCACCCCTTATCCTATTTTCAGTCCACATTTTCCCTCCACGGTGACTTTCTGGTTATATATTATCTGGTTTGGCCGTCTCCACTGCCCACTTCAGATAATTGCTCAATTCTCAACTTGGCTTCTTGCTGCATAGGCTTGACCTAAGAGAATGGATGAAGAAAGAGCCAGCATTTTCCTTTGATCTCTCAGAACTCAGGATTCCATTATATAATCTACCATAAATCCTGGCAGTCGAGATTGACACCAACATTGAAACTTGCCATAATATGACACTCCTTATTGATTCATTATGTATTCTGACATTTCTTCATTAACACGAACTCAATACTGCAGTCTGTCAGTGATAAGAAATTTTTCTTAGTTGCCTTCTCAATATTTTTGAGGGTTGCCTTGGTTAATTTTTCTCTTCTGCTATCTAAGCTTCATATGCCAAATGTTCTAACTGGCTATCTGCCTCTAAGGTTTAAGCTCACAGATGTTTCCTTGTGTCCACAGAAAATACTACTCCGCTGAGAATAGTTTTGATAAATAAAATTGGCAATAAATTTAGAACCAAAGAGCTGGATAAAGAAATCAAGTGCAACCCATGTTATCCACACTTTTGTAAATCTACAAACTTGTCTAGTATACCCAGTAATAGTAGATTCTAGGAATCCCATCAACAAAGTAAAGTCTTAAATAATCCCAAAACCTCCTTCTATGTAGCAGTACAAATCTTTTCCCCTACTAAACATTACCATGGCTTCTAACAAGCAGAGAATTGGCACAACAAATTTCACTTCTATTCCAAGTGCAGAGGGAGGAGTAAAATGGACAGAATCCAAATGTCGAGAAAGAAGTGAAGAAAGGACCCTGCAGAGCCCAGATAGGAATAATACGTGAACTGTTCTAAGTGATTAATACTCCACTACATTAATACTGCTTATGCAACACGAATGCTGTAGTAAGCAGGAGACCTTTGCTTTCTGCTTTTTTCCCTTTCCTAGAAAACATTTTCCTAGGAGTCTTTCCCTTCACAAATGACATGTGAAGGAGCTATATGCTTGATTTGTGAAGATTGAGTGATCCGGAGGAATAGGACCGTCAAACGGACAAGAGCAGTGTTCTTCCTGTTGAATGTTATCATGTCACCCTCTCCTGGTACTTCGCTGCTCAAAATTCAAAGCCCAGGCATTTCCACCATGGAACATTCTCAGGAGTGTAGCATCATCATTTGAGATTTACTGTAACTGAAGTGAAATTATTTAGTGGGTTTGGCCTTTTTCCCTCCCGACTCTACCCCCAGTAGCTCCTTGCCTTTTCTTTTTAAATTGTTGCTCTAGCCTTTTATTTCCCCTTGGAAGAGAAGGAAAAAGAGGAAATCAGAAAGGACACTCGTCCTCCTTCCCTCTACCCACAAATCACAGAATTTAGCTTTTCCATTCCCATAACTGTAAAGCATTTTAGGCAACTGCAGGAGAGATCACAGTTTTCCTTTCCAAGCAGAATCCTAAATCAGTGCAATGAAAACATGTCTGTCTTTTATTCCCAGCACAGATGCCCATGGGTTTGGTTGTGTTTATACTGTCAGTATCTTAAGTCACTTTTTTTTTTTTTTAAGACAAGATCTTGCTCTGTTGCCCAGGCTGGAATGCAGTGTGCAGTGGCGCTATGTCAGCTCACTGCAGCCTGGATCTCCTGGGCTTAAGTCATCCTCTCACCTCAGCCTCTCAAGTAGCTGGGACTACAGGCGTGCACCACCACACCTGGCTAATTTTTGTATTTTTTATAGAGATGGGGTTTCGCCATGTTGCCCAGACTGCTCTCAAACTCCTGAGCAAAAGCAATTCACCCACCTCGGCCTCCCAAAGTGCTAGGATTACAGGTGTGAGCCACCAGCATTAAATGTTCTGTCGCCCAGGCTGGAGTGCAGTGGTACAATATTGGCTCACTGCAACCTCCACCTCCCGGTTCAAGCGATTCTCTTGCCTCAGCCTCCCTAGTAGCTGGGACTACAGGCGCATGCTGCCACACGGGGCTAATTTTTTATTTTTAGTAAAGAAGGGGTTTCACCATGTTGGCCAGGCTGGTCTCGAATGCCTGACCTCAGGTGATCTGCCTGCCTCAGCCTCCCAAAGTGCTGGGATTACAGGTGTAAGCCACCACACCCAGCCCTTAAATCACTATTCTAAGAGAAGTTTGCTAAAGGCAAAAGCTATAGAATCATAAAATACTACAGCTGCAGGGACCACACATTTCCCCTAGTCCAAAGATGCCATCCATTTTGTGAGGGAAATGAGGTGTTAAAAATAAAAGACTTATTCAGTACCCAACATAAAGTACCTATTTAATAAATATAAAAAATTCAAATGGTCTGAATCCTAATCTCACAGAAATATGATCATTTTCTTCTGCATCTATATCTTGTCCAAAGAAAATAATTTTACTATAAAAATATTCCAAGTAAACAGCATTTTACACATATAAGGCATACTGCCTTTCAAAATTATATCACTTAGTCTTCATTGTATCACTAGTATAATGTTTTGACGGCTGTCTGGTAGTTGTTATGCCCATTTTACAGTTAGGAAGATGGGGCACCAAGCTTGCAGCTTCTCACTGCGCACATCAGTGGCACAGTCCCATCTTTTGATTCTCAATACACTTCTTTCTCCACCAATCATTTCTGAAACAAAATCTTTACAACCATAAACAATCATGATTGCAAAAAACAAGTCCTAAAAGATTTTTTTTAATGGTGTGACACCTCCCTTGAACTATTTCCCTCACCTCCGAATTGATGTACCCACTCTTCATCTGAAAACTTCAATCCACACAGTATTTTTCTAAGGTTAAGTCTTTATTTCATTCCAATCCTACACCAACATCTTTAATGCCTACAAGATAAAGTTCAAGCTCCTTAATAGGACATCTGACTCTCCACTTCTAAATTACCTCCTACCACCACCTTGCACTTTTCTTAACTATGTTTCTGTCAGACTGATGGTTTCCCAAAACCACCTCCCCCATGCCTTTCATTATGCACCTCCTTTTCCTTGTATTTTCCCATGTAAACATTACCTGTCCTTTAAGGTCATGGTCAAGAGTCGCTTCCTACCCAAAGCTATCCCTAACCATCCTGCACCAACCCAGAAATACCTTCTTCTGTTTACACTTCCTCACCGTGGTGCTCAGCACTCTGCAAGCACTCTTCACATTCTACTCTGCTGAATTGTATTAGTTGATGTTATGGCTTTAGGCACATATTGTAGTGTGCTACTCTGTAATAGTCACATATCATATTATGTGCCTTACTGATCACACCTGATAGAGATTGTCTAGGGATCAAGGAACATGCCAGGCTCAATCTCACTCTACAATTATGTGCCAAACACCAGTGTGTACCAGGCACTTCCCAAGGCACAGGGTAGAAAACTGAACAACCCCATCTATGCACCCGAGGCACTACTTATTTATTTATTTATTTATTTATTTATTTATTTATTTATTTATTTATTTGAGATGGAGTCTCTCTATGTCTCCCAGGCTGGAGTGCAGTGGTGTTATCTCAGCTCACTGCAACCTCCGCCTCCCAGGTTCAAGCGAATCTCCTGCCTCAGCCTCCCAAGTAGCTGGTATTACAGGCATGCACCACCATGTCCGGCTAATTTTTTGTATTTTTAGTAGAGATAGCATTTCACTATGTTGGCCAGGCTGGTCTCAAACTCCTGGCCTCAACTGATTCACTGGCCTCAGCCTCCCAAAATATTGGGATTACAGACATGAGCCACCATGCCCAGCCCTGAGGCACTTTTAATCTAGCTGGGAATAGAGACTCTAGGACAAGCCATAATAAACCACAGCAAGGCCCTTGTCAATATTACTCATTTCTTAAATAAAATTAGAAAAAGAATTTAACAATATGAGTTAAATTAAACTATGCATATATTGGATTCTAAGTAACCTTAATCCTTAAATATTCTTTCAGAAAACTTGATGCAGGTACGATTTCCAAAATTTTAAATTTTGTAAATTTTGTAAAATTTGGAATTTCCCAATAAGGAATTTCCAAAATTGCTTATTAGAAAGAAAGAGCAATTTGTGTCTTTATTTGTCACATAGTTTTAAGGTGAAAGATACTAAAACGGATTACTATATGTGATGCAATTATCTTTATTAAGCACCTTTCTTTACATGGTTTTAAGCAAATAAATTCTGACCAGTTATTGCTTCTAATAAATAATTATTAGAGTACAAAAGCCAAATTTCTTCTGTCAGATACACTCAAATTTTCTTGTTGATTTCTTGGTGTCCTTAGTAACGTTCCAAAAGGAATTATTCCAATGAGACCATTTCTATGAACAGCAGAGGAAAGAAGGATCTCAAAAATGCAGATCATCCGTTTGCAAAAGGACCTTGATGGCTTCCTCTGAACCAATCTAGGGGAGGAGGTATGTTTAGGGGAGCTGAGCTGCTGGTCATTTTGACAAGGAAACAGTTGGAAAAAGAAATGTCAAAAAGCCAGTGGCACTCTCCTATTCCAGCAAAAGTCAGGAACCTCAGCAAGTCTACTCACACTAAGCTCTCTAGGATTGTCAACTTGTTGGGGCCTGTCTCTGCCTCCTTGTGATTGGCCTGTGTGTTGTCTTCAAGGCAGCAAGAAAGGAGAACTGGAAGACTGCCCATGTTATATCCATTCTTAGTAGGAAAACCCAAAAAATTGAGAGTGGGTGGCAGCTTTAAATAGGAGACTAAATCCAAATGAAGTTATTAAAGTCTGTGCTTAGGGAAACCAAGCTCCAGGTATGCATTCAACAGGGATCTTGATGGTTTTTACAACAGAAAGGCTAGGGAAGCTCCTAGCTACTTGTCTTCTCAAAAGAAATCAGAGAGCATCCCACAATACTGGAGGGGTGCCGCCAGAAGAGGATTACCACCATCCCCTCAAAACCGCATCCATACTGCTGCTGTACTCACATTCCAGCTTTGCCACATGGCTGGGAGGCGGAGACTCCCCACCCACACTTCCACCCTGGCACACTTTCTGTTTTTGAGAAGCATAAACCAATCTGCCCCTCATATCTATCTCATAGCACTACAGCCAGGTGAACCCTCATTCACTTAGTGGGAAGATTTTACATGGAACTAAGTAATAATTTATGCATTGCATATAACAACTTACTTTTTTTTTTTTTGTCTTTTTTTAGATGCAGTTTCACTCTGTTGCCCAGGTGGGAGTTCAATGGCACAATCTCGGCTCACTGCAACCTCCACTTCGCGGGTTCAAGCGATTCTCCAGTCTCAGCCTCCCAAGTAGCTGAGATTACAGGCCCATGCCACCACTCCTGGCTAATTTTTGTATTTTTAGTGGAGACGGGTTTCACCGTGTTGGCCAGGCTGGTCACGAACTCTTGACCTCAGGTGATCCACCCACCTCAGCCCCCCAAAGTGCTGGGATTATAGGCGTGAACCACCAATCCCGGCCACAACTTGCATTTTATAAAAGTGAACTTTGTACAAAACTCTTTTACATGCATTACTTTATTTAATCCTCATGAAGAGCCACAAAACTTCTGTGACTCGGATGTAATTATTCCCATTTTACAGATGAAGTTGCTGAGGCTAAGAGAGGGTGTAATGTTATCTCCCATCAACCCCAGATGCTTAACCTGCTTTCCCAAGGCCAAATTCATATTGATTACAAACTTTAAAAGTTAATACTGTCTCAAGTAATGGCTAAAAGCATGAGCTTTGGAATTAGATGAGTTTATCTTCAAGTCCTAGGGCTGTCACTTTTGAAGCTGTGTAATATTGGGCATGTTACCTAGCTTTGCAAAGCCTTAGTTTCCTCATTTGTACAACAGGAATCATAACGTTGTTCACCACCTGGGGTTGCTGTGAGAATCACACGTAATAACACTATAAAAAGCATCGCACAAAGTAAGAGCTGCCCCAACCTTAGGTGCTACTATAGTTGTTATTATTACCACCTCGTGGACATATGTTATGGGGCCAGAGTGGGAGAGACTATCTCAGGTCTTTGGTATCACATTGAATTAGAACATCAGCATACAACCGGGTATGCTGGCTGACGTCTGTAATCCCAGCAGTTTGGGAGGCCAAGGCGAGTGGATCACTTAAGGTCAGGAGTTTGAGACCAGCCTGGCCAACATGGTAAAACCCCGTCTCTACTAAAAATATGAAAATTAGCTGGCCATGGTGGCACATGCCTGTAATCCCAGCTACTCTGGAGGCTGAGGCAGGAGAATTGCTTGAACCTGGGAGGCGGAGGTTGCAGTGAGCTGAGAAAGCACCACTGCACTCCAGCCTCGGTGAAAGAGCGAGACTCCATCTCAAAAAAAAATCAGCATAGAGCTCTATGTGTGTATGGACTAAGACATTGCCCAACAATGAAGCAACATGCTTCTGTTGATGTGAAAGGGAATGTGAAGCATTTGTAACACGTTTTTGACACGCTCATCTCAGCAAGATTTTTTTGTTACCCTTCTCATCACAAAGATAGTCACAAAGGAGAGGAATGATGGAAGAATGATGGAGGTTCCTGGACTTTCTCTTCCAACACTTTATACTCATTACAGAAGCAGCAGCATTTCAACAGATGGTACGCTCAGTTGATTGGATTGACTGCCCTTTGCTTTTTAGATCAAGTTTCCAGTTATGATCAGATGTTCATAAATTCCTAGCAGCTTTGGTGCTGACCTTGAATTATTTCACTGATTCAACCAACATGTATTGAGTACCAGGCACTGTGCTAGGCTTAGAATAGAAATAACTTCCTCATACTGAGTTTCTAATGCTTGGAAACTGCAAGGAGTTTAATGAGTGGCTTAATGTCATTTATTCCATATAATATATCTGGTAGCTACTGTTAGTACTCCCACTTTGCAGATGAGAAATTCAAGGCATGAGGTTAAATAATCTGCCTCTAAATTGCACAGCTAGAGAGTGGTGGGAGCTATGGCTGGTACTCAGTCATTTTCCATGGATCTGAATTAAACTACTTAATATCAGAATTCTTACTGAAGAGTGATCTGCTGTGGAAAACCTGAGCAGAGGTATCAGCTTTCCAGCGAATATTTTTAGGGGCAGATGGATAGGGTAAGCCCCTTCATTCTCCGAAAGAATCACAGACTTTCAGAGAGAAAAATGTTATACGCCTTAGATAGAACGATAAAACTCAATGATGTGTACGCTTTTGCTGTTGGGTCCAGTGGGAATGATTCAGAGGAAGTCTACTGAGATGTTGCCCAGAAGGCAGGCACACCATCATCACTCTTACCTGTACAGTGCACGCCTTTCAAAATAGCACTTCATTAGACAATATGCAGGAGGTTTCACAGATGGCGCCTCTTTCTCGGAGATTAACAATGGAGACCCTCTCCTGATAGAGGTGGATGGACAGGACCATATCTCCACTGCCATAGATGAAGACTATGCTATGACTTTTTTTTTTACAGTGTGGATGGTCTACCCAGAGCTGGGTCACTCTCTTCCTTGCCCTTTTTTCCGAATAGCCAATCTGCAGTCCTGGAGCACAGCTGTTCCCTATTCAAAGCAAAGTAAACTCAACCACCAGGCCGTCAGCCCAAGCGATTGTTCTGAGCAACTAGGATAAATGAATGCAGACAGACTCAGAGAAGACCTGCAGATAACCATGTGAAAATGTTTAGCAGATGCCTGATGTAAATACTTACACTGTGTGGAGGTTTAGAGTGAGTGTTTGAAGGGAAGGTAGATGGTAGCTAGCTCTAAACCCAATATTGAACAAAAAGACACAGAGTTATCAGAAACGAAAGATAGTTGGACTTTGTTCTTGCTGCAAGTTTAAGACACAAGAGCTTTATTCCTTTCCTTGACTGTCACAAGCAATAAAATGAAACACGTATCTCCAAATGTCCAAGAAAAATCTTCTACTCGTAAATACGACGCTTGTATTCTTAAGGAAAATTTTGCTTTTTTCCTACATGTCGTATCTTTTACCTACATTGTTTTTATTTGTAATTTCCTTGAAAATCTGACATTCTAGAGTATTTTATCCAACTGCTACAGCATTATCTGCATGCATTCCAAGGCCTAGTGGGCAGTCATCACAGGATATTAACAAAATCAAAGAAAATATTTGCTTTTGAGAAATAGGAAGGGATTTTATGGTATACAAATGGACCCTGAACCATCCATGGTTCTCAAACATTCTCATCCAATTTAAGTTCTCTGTACGTTTCAGAATTCAGTTCAAATACTTCTACCTGGTCTTCCTGTTTACTCTCAATATTAAAATATGTATATACCACATTCAAAACCAGATGAGTTTCCCAGCAACCTCATATACATGGAGTTGCTCTGTAAGCCTATTAGATCTGGCACATAAAGGCATTAAAAATCTGGCACCTTTAAGCAGGAACCATTGCCATGATCACAAGTCCTGATTAAGCCCAACCCTTCTATCGAGTAAATTGCTTTAAAATCTTTTAATCATGTTGGCTCCTACGGACTTGTTTGAGAGAATACTGGTTATCTTCTTGACAAAGTATGAAACTTACAGTTCAGCGAGCATTTCCTAAGACATGTGGCATTCCTCTAACCAAAATGAAAGTATTCTGCCCTGTCTTGTGACTGCCACATCATTACCCGAGTAGCCCACTGCTATATGTGGTGGAGTCATTATGTATGTGCCATTGTGAGGCAAAAAGGAACTGAGAAAATGGGACACCAGGACTCAAAAGAGCTTGCTTAAAATCAGAGGCCCATTTCAAGACAGAGGGGCTCGTTCTTTTGCTGCTAAATGTGTAGCTTTTCAGAAAACTTGACTGCCTTTAGGAAACAAATAATGGCTTATTCACATCGCTTAGTTCAAACTCACGTAAGTTATGGCTCCAAAGATTCAGAAAACAGGTAGTGTGTTCATGCTACTCTGAGATTTGTCCAATTAAGAGCTTATAAAATTCTAACACAGTTCAACAATACAGTGTCTCCTAGCTAGTGCTAGATCCAATACATTTATGTTATCTGGAACAGACAGGCAGCCTGTGTGTGCTGTACTAAGAAAAGGGTAGTCGGATTGCCCTCTGCCTCAGCTAAATATTATTCTAGAAGTGAATTTCCACTGTACCAAGTTTAGATTTCACATTTTATCATCCCAGGAATACTTGCCAGTAACTTTGCAAAATATCCTTGGAGCAGAAAGACAAAAAAATGAACATTTTTTAAAGATGAGAGGTAAGCTCTGAAGTTACAATATGCTTGTAAACAGTAGCACATTATATCAAAAAGGAAAAAATAAATTGAGAAGAAATAGGAGTACCTACTTGAAGAGAAGATTATCACTCAGAGACTGTCTTCTTATGCTATAGAATGGGCAGGAGAAAGGAGCATGGACCTTTCGAGCCTGTTAAAGAGCTTCTGAGCATGGAGCCTGCATTTTCAGTTTTGGTAAAATCCGTTCTGAGTCGGTAGACAGGAGGCTGTTATGACCATGAAATTAGGAAATGCAGTAACTCAAAAATAAAGAACTAGCACCACCATTTGACTAGGATTGGAAAATCTCATTGAAAAAATAGAGGAGGGGGTGGCCTTGCTTTTGCCAAGCCAGGCCCGAATCTAACTTTCTTAGCACTTCCATTAAGATGGATGTTCAAGAAGAGGTAAATCATGTGTTAATCTGCCTGAAATATTTTTTATGCCATCCAGCCGATTTTCTCTTTATTCGTAATAAAGCTTGAAGTCTAGACAGGCATGTGGAGTTGGAAAAAAAAATAAAACATCATTCAGCACATAAATTTTGTTAATCCAAAGTTAGCTACAGCTAAACTAAAAGCAGGGGCAAGGAAATATCTTCTGTGAGTGTTTTTTGGGACTTTCTTACTCAGGCATGGACTCAAAAGCCCGCTCTGCACTTCTTGTTACCGATTAATGAGGTTCTTGACTTCGGTAACCTGCAGAGGTCTAGCTTCTCACACTCTTCAGCCCTTCCTTCTGTCATATGATCCTTCCATAAACTGTCCGGTATTTCCTGCAGCAATTTTTAAGTTTATGAGGTTATTGATTGTTTGTTTAACACTAAGATAAACATTTTAAAGTAGCAAAGGGGCTGTAAAATCATATTAAAAATTTTTAATAATATTGACATTTTAATATCTCATCATGTCTGGTGTGGTTTATGCAGTAGGTACTTTAAATGAATTTTTAAAAATATTTTCTCTTTTTCTTCTCTACAAGCCTTGAAAAAAGGCTGGCTTTCTGGCAGTGAGAATGGTAGAATGGGGCGGAGGCAGGATCTCCCTCTTGCTACTGTATTTCTCTCTGTCCCAGTACCCAGTACAGAGGAACACCTGCCAAGTAAGAGGTGCATCTCAAAACTGGCATGGGAAAGAAAGAAAACCAAAATAAATAATCAACACTTTAAAACATTTTGAAATCAATGATCTTAACTGTCTTCAGTCTTCTCTATACTTATCAGTTAGCCCATAAAATAATTTAAATATGTAAATTTGTCTGAGAGTAACTTCTCCAGAATACATAGAGCAGGACACATTTTAGTTAATATGTAAAGTATTTAATTGCAATTGACTGAACATAAAATCTCAACAAGATTCACTTACACAAGGAATAATCATGTATACTAACGCATTGTGGGGGTTCTGTAAGCATTTTTATTGTGTTTATTATGATTTCTGGTGAAAGGTAGATTATTGAATAACATGCTCTGAACAGTTCAAGTGTTTTGAAAGCGAAATATTTTTTCTAAATTAATTAAATCTTTCAATTATTTTAGTTGCCAGAATGGGTGAAGTATGCTTTTCAAACAGCATTTAGCTACCTGTTAAAACCAGTTTTACACATCAATACAGAGATGAAAATTACATAGAGCAACAGTTCTCAAAATAGGACAGCTAATGAATTCTGAACTGAAGGTTATAGATTATTTCCTTTTCATTAGAAAATATAAATGTACAATGTATATTGTATGTAAATTATAAATTAACTTAATTATCCTTTAAAAAACTATTATTGATATTCGTTTGCATTCCAATATGTGCTTTCTTGAGTGCAAGAGAATAAAAATGACAACAAATGTCTTCTGAGCATATATAGTCATCCCTTAGTATTAGGGTTGGGATATTGGTTCCAGGACAAGTCCCTGATATAAAATCACATAGTATTTACATATATCCTATGCACATCCTCCTGTATACTTTAAATAATCCATAGATTACTTATAATACCTAAAACAATGTAAATGTGAAGTAAATATGTGTTATACTATATTGTTTAGAGAATGAAAAGAGCAAAGTCATGTTCAGTACTGGCACAATTTTTTTCCTGGATATTTTTTTCTTTTTTTTTTCCCCTAGTATGCAGCTATTTTCCTAGATATTTTTTATCCAACCAGAGGTTGATTGAATCCTCAGATGTGGAACCCACAGATATGGAGGGCTGGCTGTACTAGATGTCAGATACTAGTTTAAGTATCTTTGTAGCAACCCAGTGAGGTAAGTACTACTAAAAACCCATTTTGCAGTTGAGGAAACCGTGGGATACTGAGATTAAGTACCCATACCAGCTGCGGCCAGGGTTCAAACTCACATGGACCAACTCAAGCCTCCATGCTTTTAAAGCTCCATTTCAGAATCTGAACCAGCACAAGGAATTACACACAAGGACACACTATGGGAACACACGTGCTTTGTATGTGTCATGAGAGGAAACTGTTGACAGGTTTATCAGTGAATGGGTAAAAACAGTTCCATCAAATCAATCCAGAAAGGTTGTTATGAATCATTTTGAAGTTTATTGTTCTAATGAAATCACTAAAAATAAAAATGTGTGCTTGGACCAATACATTTTTTAAACTATTCTGTGCTTTATTATAGGGAAAATATATATATATCCTTCAAGGAAAAGTGTCTAATTAAATTGCATTCATCACTATTAGACAATTAGGTTGAACAATTAAAAAAGAAGAAAACAACAATTTAAATGAAGCAGTATAATACAGTGTAATTGAAACACAGGACAAATTTAATCTCGTAAGTATAATTTAAAGAGATGTATCATGCCATTACACCTGATTCCCTCACACACATTTTTCAAATGAAAAATAAAGCCTGACATTTCATCAAAATCGTGCTATCCACTACATCTTTATTTTTTTAAAAAAAGAGGGTCAACACACATTCCTTGGTAGTGTCACATTGTTTATTAAGAAGCACAGAACAATGAAATTCTAGAAATTTTTCAGGTTCCAACCTTTTTGTGATACATTCTCCCATTCCAGAAGAAACCACTAACAGCCTGGCTTCCACAAGCACAGTAAAGCAGAAAATGGATGCAATCTGTCTGGGTTGTTCAAGCAAAATCCTGCTGTGATCTGGGTGATTCAGGCTAAAATAAAAAATCAGGTTTTTTATTTGGACTGTGTGTTTTTATCTGCCACCCCAGATGATAGCAGAGTCTGGGACTCAGTTACATAGTTAATTGCCAAAATTCTTTATTCGTTCTTCTCAGCAAAGATGTTCCCACTGGGCACTGCTCAAAACACTATCTCAGTTCTATCACTCTAGCAAAACAGCTCTGGGCTTCTGGCTTTCCTCGTGAAGAGCAACCAAAATTGAAACTCTGCTTACCTGGAGATATCAATCAGTACCTGACCACTCACTCACTATCGTTCTAAGGAAAATTGCCATGCTCTCAGCTCCTGTTACTTGAACAACCAACTCAAGTTCATACAACCTCCCCACCCTACGCCCACTTCAGATCACAGCTAACTGGACCATGGTGAGACACCCAACCAAAGATCAGCCAAACTATAGACTGGCCAGTGACCTAGGACATGACCAAATGTGAAAAAGATGAACTGGACCAATCATTCAAGCTCTGAGGGTATGAATTTGGAAACCTGCACTGAGGTCATGAGCCGCAAAGGACAAGGGCATGTCTCAGGGTGGCATGGAGGCCAAAGTAAGGAAAGCCTCCTAGCAAGTGAAGTTATGCAGGAACAGAGAAAGCCCATGAGCTGAGATAACACATAGGGGGCTCTGGACCCATGAGCACATTGCAGGGTCTGGCTATAGCCGCATGGTTGGCTATAGTCACTGACAGGGTTGTAGAATTTCCATAATTTCTTCTATAGCCCTTATTACCAGGTATCCAAGGGCACCTCTGGTGGTCTTTCCCATCAGAATAGTGTAACCTAAGAGTGTTTAGCTACCTTAAACATGCATCCAGGGCCTAGGTGCTGGTTGGTTGGTTGGTTGGTTGGTTGGTTGGTTGGTTGGTTGGTTTTGAGATGGAGTCTTGCTCTGTCACCCAGGCTGGAGTGCAGTGGCGCCATCTCGGCTCACTGCAAGCTCCGCCTCTCGGGTTCACGCCATTCTCCTGCCTCAGCCTTCTGAGTAGCTGGGACTACAGGTGCCCGCCGCCACGCCCGGCTAATTTCTTTTTGTATTTTTAGTAGAGACGGGGTTTCACCATGTTAGCCGGGATGGTCTCGATCTGCTGACCTCGTGATCCGGCCGCCTCGGCCTCCCAAAATGCTGGGATTACAGGCGTGAGCCACTGCGTCCAGCCCCAGGTGCTGGTTTTTATAGCAGAGGCATAAAATCCATCAGTAGTCCACTTTTCAGTGTCCAGATCTAGAGTGTTCGACAACGGAGCCATAATATGACCCATCCTCAATGACACTGTATACTGTCTTTTACTCAGTATGAAAGCCCTAGTTCAAGCTTATAGGGATAAAAATAGTCTCTTTCTTCAAATTTTTTTAAAACTATCTTTCTTCAAATGACAATGTCAAGCAGAAAATACTTTTGGAAGAAATCAAGAAATTTGAGCCTAGAAGTTCAAGACTAGCCTGAGCAATGTAGAAAGACCCCGTCTCTAAATAAAAAAAAAAAAAAAAAAAAAAAATTGTTTTAATTAGCTGGATGTGATGGCATATGTCTGTGGTCCCAGCTACCTGGAGGCTGTGGTGGGAGAACTGTTTGAGGTTGCAGTGAGCCACGTTCGTGCCGCTGCACTTTTGCCTGAGTGACAGAGTAAGACCCATCTCCAAAAGAAAAAATGCAATTGAACTTTACATTTCATCTGTAGAAAGGCTTTTAAAATCTGCTTTCATAAATTATGTGCCTCCTCTTTATATACACACATATATATAAAGCCATAAACATCTTATGTGAGGAAATAATTATGAAAAATTTTCTATTAGAAGAATAAATGGGCTATCATATTTACAGGAGTGACAAAGGAAGCAACATTGAAGAAGACAATGATTTAAAGCAAAAACATTATTGATACTGCTGAACCAAAATAGCTTTCTGACCCTTCTTACTCCCCATCTGCCCCTCAGTCTTCTCCCCACTCTTCCAGACATCTCGATCACCAGATACACAAATGCACACACTTCTCAGCAGGAAGCAAGGTCTCAAGTAGGATCCAGAGAAGGCTGGCCCTTCGGGTAGTTTACGTTTGTCAACTACTAAGGTGTACTTCTGAGCAGAAAGGAGAAATTCACATATTTCCTCTAAGGACAAGAGGCCAGTGGCCGGGCGCGGTGGCTCACGCCTGTAATCCCAGCACTTTGGGAGGCCGAGGCGGGTGGATCATGAGGTCAGGAGATCGAGACCATCCTGGCTAACAAGGTGAAACCCCGTCTCTACTAAAAATACAAAAAATTAGCCGGGCGCGGTGGCGGGCGCCTGTAGTCCCAGCTACTCGGGAGGCTGAGGCAGGAGAATGGCGTGAACCCGGGAAGCGGAGCTTGCAGTGAGCCGAGATTGCGCCACTGCAGTCCGCAGTCCGGCCTGGGCGACAGAGCGAGACTCCGTCTCAAAAAAAAAAAAAAAAAAAAAAAAAAAAAAAAAAAAAGAGGCCAGTGTCAGACAAAAATGATATTTAAATACAGCAGAGACTCTGTTGCTAAGTTTAACTTCCCAGCTTGCACAAACTCCGGAATTTTAGTGAAAGGAGCAGTGGCTTTACAGAAGAAAAATCTCTGTAAACCCCTCAGAACAAACAAAGTGAAGCCTTAATTCCTGTACCAGGTACCGATTAGCAGTGGAAAGCGCCTGCCTTGAGGCTTCCCGTTTGCAATGAAACCTAGTGGAAGAGGGTCCTGCCTATGGGTGCCTTTGATTGGCACCAGCAGCCGCAGCCTTGGCCCCCCAGCACTGGGGGCTTCTGTGAGCCCAGCAGTGATATTCAGCACCTGCCTGTTCACCTGGCCCCGCAGGAAGGAAGAACCAGAAAGAATTGCAGGTTGCAAACAGTTGATAGAAAGCAGAGATAAAATATTATTGTGTTATTGTTGTTTTCATCCTATTTTTATTCCTGGGCTGAGATATTCTGGGGAAGTTTGGATTATAAGAACTGCAGGCTGTATCTCCAAAATACCTCCAGCCTCCATCCCTTGTTTGTCCTACTCCCTGTCACAAGTCAGATCCTCTTCAGCTCTCAGCTGGACTTTTGCAATGGTGTCCTAATTGGTCTGGTTGCCGACAGCCTCTACCATTTCGAATCCGTCCAACATACCTTCACCAGATTATGTTCCCGATTAATCATCCTCACCGTGTTACTGCAAGATTAAATTAAGCACAAACCACTTACCATATCCCTGATCACCCGTCTCCAGCCAACCTCTCCAGCCTTCAACTTCAGTCAACCTCTCTTTCCCTGCTCCCACCATCCTATGCTTGGATTTCAGCCCCTTCTCTATCTAGGTCAGGTGTGATCCCACCACTTCCTCAGTGTTCATCTCAAAGCACACCTTCTCCATGGAGACCTTCCTGATGGCCCAACATCATCCTATTCTACCCTTCTCTGAATCTCTCCACATGCCACTTGTACCCTTCTCCTCTAGCAACAAGCACTACTGAAGCATCTCCTCTGTGCCAGCAAGGAAGAACAGATATGATCCTGAGGAGCTTGTGTCTAGGAAGGGAGACAAATGAATTGTATGACACGTAGCCAGGTGTGGTGGCTCACGCCTGTAATCCCAGCACTTTTTGAGGCAGGGGTGGGCTGATGAGTTGAGCTCAGGAGTTCGAAACCAGCCTGGCCACATGGTGAAATCCCATCTCTACTAAAACTACAAAAAAAAAAAAAAAAAAAATAGCCAGACGTGGTGGCACATGCTTGTAATCCCAGCTACTTAGGAGGCTGAGGTGAGAGAATTGCTTGAACCTGGGAGGTGGAGGTTTCAGTGACCTGAGATAGCACCTCTGCACTCTAGCCTGGGCGACAGAGTGAGACTCTATCTCAAAAAAAAAAAGAAAAAAAAATGTATGACAACCTGATAACTAATCAGAATTCACACATTTACAGAACACTTGATAACACTCTTAGATAAGTGGCCAATTCAATCTAGTCCTGAGTTACTTCTGTATCTCCCATGCCTCCTACCACCAATGGATTGCAGTTGATTGCAGGCTACCTGGGAATATGGCTTACTCCACCTACATCCAAGGTGGTAGTTCACACAGGGCCTGGTGAATATATGTGCTTTTTTTTTTTTTTTTGATCAAATGAATCTCCATTTAAATTGAGGGGGCAGGAAGTCCTGTTCCTCTCCAATCCACATCCCTCTATCATCCCCAATATCCAAAGAGACCTGCATTCACCTTGCTCTCCAAGCAACAGAAACAGCAGACTCTGACCATTTACAGGGCTACTGAGCAGCCTCAGTCCCCAAGTACACCCACCTGGGCTTGTAAACCTCCCTCTACAATACCAAAATCTGTACTGGAAAGGACATGTCCCCAAGTCCCAATACCGTCAAAGTATTTGAAATAGGAACAAGAAGTAAAAGATAAAACATAGAAAACAAAGAACAAAACTAGATAATGACATCGGAGACAGTACATATTTAAGCAGCCCAGTATTGACATAAGGAAGATAAGAGGATAAGACCAAAGAGCAGGCATTTGGATCACTAGGTCACCATAAGTACAAAATATGCTTCACCCGGATAGTAATATGAGTCTAATTTTCTGTCATCATTTAGAAAATGAATGCATTTAACATCATTTTCCTCACAACTAAATTTTGGCTCAGTACTGTATGTTCATATTTCTATTTCATAAAATTTTTGTAGGCTCTCCTGGTTTTCTTACCCCATTCTGCATCACAAACATCCACATGGGGGGTCCCCAGGGGATTTGGAATCCCCTGAAATCATATCCAAACATTTAGGTACATAAGAATATGTGCATTTTTCTGAAGGAAGAGTCTGAAAACTTCATCAAATTCTTAAGGAAACCTAAACAAGATTCAGAATCAAAGGAATGGGTTTACCACTGCAAATGGAATGTCTAATAACTCTTCCACGTATACTATTCTGATATTTTTCACAATTTGTAAATATTGCCTATTAGTTTTCCTTTTCAAATTAGCCCCCTTTTACCAAATTCATGAAAGTTTACAAGCTGCACCTTTCTTCTAAAATAAATTGGGATAGTCATTTCTCATTTTTGAAATTTTACTTGTAAAACTCCAAAGAGATCTTGATTTTCAAAACTTTAGGTCTACTCAGCAATTATCAAGTTGTGCTGTGAACCAGCTCCCGGCAGCTCAGAATAAGAAACACATGAAACTCCCTCCAGGGAGATCCAATTCTGTCCTTCCCTTTATACCAAAAAAAACTTCCTACAGGAGGAAACGAAAGATGGGAAAGCCAACCTGAGCACCTGGAATAGCATCAGCCTCTACCGTGCAATTCAATGGTGCCATTTATTTTTCTCATATAGGAAAGCAAAGGAAATAGAGTGAAAACAAAGGTGCACACAGATTAAACAACAGGCTATGAAAACAGTGACTTGGGCATGGGAAAATAATCAAACACTCCATGTGAAAATCAAAAAACCTGTGCTAGGAAATAAAAGGTTGAATACTAAAGCATCCGATAAACAGTTTTCCTACGGGGACTCAGACAGCTGATAGGCCTGTGAGTGTTTGTAACTCCAGATGTTTTAACTTTTCAGTTTCTCCGCGCCCTGTGTGGTGATTCTGCACTTAGGAGATTTATTTAAACTGCAGCCACCGGAGACTGCCAGCTGCAAGCGACCCCAGCACCTCGTGGTGAGCAGGTCTTCCGGAATCACTACAACTGTCGCAGGTGGGGCCTTGTTTGCTACTTGTTGAGACGTTTAAAAGACATTTTGGCAGAAAGCACCGCCTCCCCCACCCCAAGCTGGACCCCGCGTCCAGCTGTGGGCCACCACTAAACCCACAAAGCGACCGGATCCCTTGGAAGCGGCGGCCTGGAGGAAGCAGCCTGTCCCGAAGAATCTGTGCATTATTTATTCAGGCAAAGAGGATATTCATTTCAACCAGGACGGGAAATGTTCGATTATGTAACATTGGGGACGAAGAGAATGAGGCTTTTTTTTATTTTTTCTTTTTCCTGGAGAAAAGTGTTGCGAAATAGTCCAAGAACAGCTTCCAGTTTCCACAGTCCCTGTGCTTCCAGAGGCTTCTAAATGACAAGATCAAGGCGCCTGAGAAGCTAGAGAATTGACGAGCACGGGACCCTCAACAGCTCCCCCTGAGCCTCCCCCACCCCTCAGCACCGCCGTCCCCTCCTGCCATCAGGAGCGTGGAAAGCTCTTGCTGTCGCTTTCATCAGTCATCTCAGAGTCTCCTCGGTCCAATCGTCCTGAGGCATTTTCCCCACCTGTTCACACTCCAGCGCAACCCCAGAAACAATCGTTATTTCTATGGTCTACTGCACAGAGCCAGCCAGAAATATAATTAAGAATCATTCACAGGGATGTGCAAACAAGACTGGGCTTGACCAACACATCAAAATTTCAGAAGACGAGCTGGGGACCAGAGAGGTAGGTTCACAGAAGAATAAGTGAAGGTCCAAACCAAGGCCCCAACTGGTTGACTGAGCAGGAACAAGGACGTGCCCGGCAGCCATCCCAGGCAGCTGGCAGGGCTCTGAGTGGGCAGAACAGGTAAGGAGGCCAAGCAGCAGGCCAGGAGAGCCTCAAGTCCTCCCAGAGACGGGGCGTCTACCCCTGGGAGACAAGGACACCAAGCCAGGACTTCATCCCAGTGGAGCAAGGCAAACCCAGCGACTCGAACAGGATTTCAGGGGTTAAGGAGGAGACCGGTTCATTTTTTTTCATCCAATAATTATCTCCTGAGCACCTACCATGTGCCAGGCATTGTTGTAGGTGTTAGGAACATAGCTGTAAACAAAAGAGACAAAGATCCCTGACCTCCTGAAGCTTATATTCTAGTGGAACAAGGGAGGAGGCCAACTATTACGGACTGAAAGATTTGTGTCCCCCCAAAATCCATATGCTGAAATCCAAACCCCCAATATGATGGCGACAGGAAGTGGGGCCTTTGGAAGGTGATTAGGTTGTGAGGTCAGGGCCTTGTGATGGGATTAGTGCTCTCATAAAAGAAACAAAAGAGCTCTTTGATCTCTTTCTGCTACATGAGGACACAGGGAGAAGGTGGCCATCTGGCCGGGCATGGTGGCTCACGACCCCCCAGCATTTTGGGAGGTCGAGGTAGGTGGATCACTTGAGGTCAGGAGTTCAAGACCAGCCTGGCCAACATGGCAAAACCCCGTCTCTACTAAAAATATAAAAATTAGCTGGGCGTGGTGGTGTGCACCTGTAGTCCCAGCTACTCGGGAGGCTGAGGCAGGAGACTCACTTGAACCTGGAAGGTGGAGATTGCAATGAGTCGAGATGGCACCACTGCATTCCAGCCTGGGTGACAGAGCGAGACTCCAACTCAAAAAAAAAAAAAAAAAGAGAAAAGAAAAAAAGCAAGGTGGCTGTCTGCACCTGGAAGAGGCCCTCACCAGAACCAGACCATGCTGGCACCCTGATCTCAGATTTCCACCCTCCAGAACTGTGGGAAATAAATGTCTGATTTTAAGCCACCCAGTTTATGGTATCTGTTGAAGCAGCCGAGCTAACCAATAAATAAAATATATATAGAAAGAAAGTCAGATGGTGACAGTGCTAAGGCGATGATTAAGCAGGGATTAGAGATGGGGAGTACAAGGGTAGGGACTGGACTTATAAGCCAGGTGATCAGACAGGGTGACTGAGAAGCTGATATTGAGCAGCTACCTGAAGACTCAGAGGAAACAAGTAGCTAACTGCTGGAAGAGCATTCTGGACATAAACAGCTCAGAACAGTAGCAAGAGCAAAGACCGGAGTGTCCCAGGCACAGCTGCAGTCACAAAAAGGACACTAGTGCAGTCAAATTGGCACCAGCAAAGGGCAGAGTTAGGAGAGGAGGTGGTAGAGGTAACAGGAATGCTAAGGTGTGTGGGGCCTCATGGGCCAGCCAAAAGGGGTTGGCTTTTACTTTCAAAGCTAAGGAGAGCTCTTGGGAGGCTGAGGCAGGCAGATCGCCTGAGGTCGGGAATTTGAGAGTAGCCTGGCCTGGCCGACATGGTGAAACCCTGTCTCTACTAAAAATACAAAAATTAGCTGGGTGTGGTGGAAGGCGCCTGTAGTCCCAGCTACTTGGGAGGCTGAGGCAGGAGATTTGCTCGAACCTGGGAGACGGAGGTTGCGGTGAGCCGAGATTGCGCCACCACACACCAGCCTGGGTGACGGAGCAAGAATTCATCTCAAAAATAAATAAATAAAGCTAACGGGAGTTCAATAAGGGCCTTTTAGGCCATGTTAAGAGAAGAAAACAGGCCACATGTGGGACACGTGGCATCCTTGAGTCACACGGGGGAGGAGTTGGCTCTGAGGCATTGCCTTGGAGATATGAAACAGATGTGTCACCCACATTCAAGAAACAATTTTTCCACAACTGGGTCAGGACCTTTGGTAAGAAAAAGACCACTGCAATTTTAATAAAGGCAATTCATACTTCTGTTTAATGCCACTTCATGTTCCTGGAGTTCAACTAAAGAAAAATACTTTTTTTGAATGTCAAGAAGGGTCAGATAGCATGGGACCAGGCCAGAAGAGGAGGCCTACTGAGAGTTTATAAAACCCAGTGGTGGCTGGGTGTGGTGGCTCATGCCTGTAATTCCAGCACTTTGGGAGGCCGAGGCGGGTGGATCACAAGGTCAGGAGATCAAGACCATCCTGGTCAACAGTGTGAAACCCTGTCTCTACTAAAAATGCAAAAATTAGCCAGGAGTGGTGGCATGCACCTGTGGTCCCAGCTGCTCTGGAGGCTGAGGCAGGGGAATCGCTTGAACCCAGGAGGTGGAGGTTGCAGTGAGCTGAGATTGCGCCACTGTACTCCAGCCCAGGCAACGGAGTAAGACTCCATCTCAGAAAAAAAAAAAAAAACCAGTGGTTTGTATTGAGCCCAGACAGGTGTCTGATCCTAGGCTAGGACTCCTTCCCCGGAAACACTTCCAGAAGCATTTTTCTGTTGGTTATCAGTGGTTCCCAACTTGGCTTTGCAGCTACGGAGACTTTACAAATATCCATGCCGAACCCACACCCACAGATGTTCCGATTTTTGGGGAGAGACTCAGGCATCAACTTTTTTTTTTTTTTTTAATATGGAGTCTCGCTTTGTTGCCCAGGCTGGAGTGCAGTGGCACAATCTCGGTTGAGTGCAACCTCTGCCTCCCGGGTTCAAGAGATTTGCCTGCCTCAGCCTCCCAAGTAGCTGGGATTATAGGCGTGTACCACCACACCTGGCTAATTTTTGTATTTTTAGTAGAGACAGGGTTTCACCATGTTGGCCCGGCTGGTCTCGTACTCCTGACCTCAAGTGATCCACCTGCCTCAGCTTCCCAAAGTGCTGGGATTATAGGCATGAGCCACTGTGCCCAGTCGGCATCAATGTATTTTTTTTAATTCTCCAGGTGATTCTCATGTGCAAGGAGAATTGAAAAGCACTAGGTTGGATTCATCTTTTTTACCACTTCTATCCATCTGTTCCACGCAACACCATACATGTGCCTCACACACCTATAATCAAACCAAACCATGACAGCCAATTGCTCAGGCCACCATGTGTATACACTTGCTTCCTGCTTCTTTCATTACGTTTTATTAATTTTTTTACAAATGTAACATGTTTAACAGTACCACCTAAGAGAATGTGTGAGTTTTCATGAGTAAAGAAGTATAACCCCTGAGAAGCAGTTTCAGCATTTGAGAAAATAAATCTGAAACAATACAATCTTCCAAATTTATACCAAACCCTCCTCCCTTTGCAAACTCTGCTTCCCAGGGCGACTCTATTATTGACAATGTGGGCAAAGGGGTAAACAGGAAAAAAAGCCGTGTTCATTTCAAGCCACTAAGAAGCACAGGCCAAAGGAAAAATAAAATCAATCAACCTTTGCCAAGTGGCAAAGAACAAACCAGTGGGGACTGGAGTCCTATAGTCAGCTTTTTAAAGAGTATTATGAACAATAGGGAACAAATGCTGCGTAATCACTCAAAAGATTTACAAACAATGCGACAGAACAATGCAAACTGAGTGAATACTACTGGGTGGATGTTTACTCCGCCAAGAAAAACCGGACACCCTAAGCCTCACTAATAAAAGGCTCTGTGTGTACATTCATTCACAGTGACCCTCTCACCCAGAGAACCATGGGCCTGTCAGTAACATTCTCTCTTCTTGCCTTAAAAATCATTTGGAGATATTGTCATCAAGCACATTAATTCCCATTTTACAGAAAGGGAAATAAAGGCAGGAAGAGGTAAATTAATGTGATCAACAAAGTGGCGGTCAAGCTGCCCCAGGCATAGCTAAGAGTAGAAACCTATCGTTACTGGTGTCATCTCTAACCACAAATTTTCTATCCACTTTCTCAAGAAAATCAGAGTCTTAGTTTGATGTTCTAAAGCCTAACTCAAATTTTTCTTCTTGCTCAGCTTGGTACCTGTAGTTGCAGCTACTGGAGAGGCTGAGGCAGGAGGATCCCTTCAGTTCAGGAGTTTGAGATCAGCCTGGATGACAGAGTGAGACCCTCATCTTTATGGATATATATGTATAAAGAACAAATTTTTCTTCTTTTCCAAAACCTCTTTTGGGTATTCTCCCTTTGTCTTTCTTTCTCCATACTCTGTCTCCATCTCCAAACTGCGTTACACAGTTTGAACATGTTATAGTTAGCTCTCAGGGACCATCCAAACACAGCTTTTTCTTCTGCTAGGATTTTGGTGAATATATGTGTCTTGAGATAAGCAGCCATCTGCTAGGACTTGTTGATGTTCTTTATCAGATAGCAGTTTCTCTGGTGAGGCAGCTTCCGCGAGTGGGAAGGGGTAGATGGAGACAGGGTGCAGATAAGGGATCTCCAGGATGCCTTCCCATGAGGGGTGCTAAATGCAGCGAGTGAGGGTGCCAAGTCTGGGGAAGGAAGGCTGCCCATGTGTTGGGTCTGCTAATTAGCACCATTTGAAAATAATTATGACAAGACCACACAGGGAGAGCATGATATTTCAAGCGTAGCCGACCATTAAGTAAACAGGAGCACTGAACTATATTTCCTTGGTGATTGTGAAAAATCTCCGAAAAGATGGACAGAGGCTGCTGAGGACCTTAGTCCTTTGCAGGAACCAGAAGGAAAAGCCCAGGCAATGCTTCACTACCACACTCTGATTGCTACCAAATTGTTGAGTGTTCTCCATTCATTTCAGTATTTGTTCATAAAACAGGAACTTTCATTATTAATAGCTCAGGAGAGAGAGATGGCTGGTGTCTCTCACATCCCTGTCCCTTCATAGCCCTTGGAAGACCAAACAGAACCAAGTATGGACCTGGCTCACCGAGTTGGGAAGGTACTGGAAGGGGCACTAGTGAAGCAGGCTGGCCTCCTTCGGGCACCTCCTGTCTGCCCACCCAACCTCTCCTCCCTGTGACCCCTGCACCTTTGCTCTTTGACTTACACCAGTTCTTTGTCCTACTTCCATTCTGGCTTGCTCTGCAGTCTCATCTTTATGGTGTTTCTAACTCTCTTGCTTTCCTCCCTTCTCAGATGCAGTCCAAACCTTGACTCTACCTCGTAACTCATTACCACCTCCACCTGTGCCTTGGAATCTGCAGGCAGGTGCTGGCCTTCCCTTCTGGAGACCACAGCCAGCTCTCTGCTGCCCCCACCTGGTCCATAGCAGAACCTGCAGACGGTAACCTGGCAAATTGGTCCTTAAATCTATGGCGGCTTCACCAGTTTCCGGCATCAATTCGAATTTTGCTAATTTTGTTTCACCATAGCCTGGCTTGACTTACGGGTCTCAAACAATGCTTAATGTTTAATGGCCAAATTATGCTAACAAGCAAATGATCAAACTTAGGGGAAGCACTTTATTTTTTAAGGTAAGTGCAAAACAGTGGTAGCATTGTGATCATTCTGAAAAATCTAGCCTAAAATGATGGCTTTTTTGTTTCTAATCACTAGAACACACTATGTAAGTGTAGAGTTATTCCAAAATGTGACCATTTTTGTAACACTGATTTTTTTTTCATTCCAGTTCAAATTTCCTATAATAGTAGTAACAGACGGTGGGGAGGAGGGGAAGAAGGAGGAAGAGGAGGAAAAGGAGATGACTCAGCTATAGTTCCCCTAACCCTCTTGGTTTATGAAGCAGCTCAGAAACTTATTAGAACAAATTCCAGCATCCGAGACCACTGAGCTAACCATCCAACCACCCACACCCAAAGAAATAGCAAGAACATAAGTTTGGACCTGACCTGCTCAGCTCTCCACCACAAGCCTCTGGCTAGACTCAGGTACACAGTAGACCCTCAGTGAGTACTTAGTGAATAAATCAATGAATACGCACGTAATTAGTAATGTTTTCTAAACCATACATTCACTCAGTGCACTAGAAACACTTGTTATTTTATATAGTCTGGCAATATAACAGCACTTGCTTCTAATATTGTACTCAATAGTACAAGTGCCATTCTCTCTCACCCTTAGTTATTTCTATTAATAACTTCAACTCCATATTATATATTTTTAAATGGCCTAGGAGTGAGAAAAACATTTATTTTCATAAACCATCAAGGAATTCCACTGCTATGATTGAAAAATAAAAGGTCTGAAAATACATGTCTACATTTTTTCACCTTTTGAAAACATAGCATTTCTCAACAGAAATCCAATGCAGTTTTACAAATATTCTCTTGTCCATGAACTTTCACTGACATCCAGAAGGTATAACAGTGGGGCAGGTGAGTTTGGTGGTCTTAGGCAGAATGGAACTGCAACTTAGGTTCAGTGGAAAATGATGCAATTTCCTTGCAAATCAAAACCACAATGAAATACCGTCTCACGCCAGTTAGAATGGCGATCATTAAAAAGTCAGGAAACAACAGATGCTGGAGATGATATGGAGAAATAGGAACACTTTTATACTGTTGGTGGGAGTGTAAATTAGTTCAACAATTGTGGAAGACTCTGTGGCAATTCCTCAAGGATCTAGAACCAGAAACACCATTTGACCCAGCAATCCCATTACTGGGTATATACTAAAAGGATTATAAATTATTCTATAAAGATACATGCACACGCATGTTTATTGCAGCACTATTTACAACAGCAAAGACTTGGAACCAACCCAAATGCCCATCAATGATAGACTGGATAAAGGAAATGTGGCACATATACACCATGGAATACTATGCAACCATAAAAAAGAATGAGTTCCTGTCCTTTGCAGGGACATGAATGAAGCTGGAAACCGTCATTCTCAGCAAACTAACACAGGAACAGAAAACCAACCACTGCATGTTCTCACTCATAAATGGGAGTTGAACAATGAGAACACATGGACACAGGGAGGGGAACATCCCACACCAGGGCCTGTTGGGTGGTGGGGGACAAGGGGAGGGAGAGCATTAGGACAAATACCTAATGCATGCAAGGCTTAAAACCTAGATGACAGGTTGTTGGGTGCGGCAAACAACCATGGCACATGTATACCTATGTAACAAACCTGCACATTCCCCACATGTATCCCAGAACTTAAAGTAAAATTTTAAAAAAAAGAAAATGATGCAATTTCTTTTATAATGGAGAAAAATCACTTGGTTGTAAAGTCCAAATTAAGCACAATGTGGATAGATAGATGTGTAAACACACACAAAATGGCAAAAAGTGATATGGAGTGTCCTTTTTTTCAGTGACAAGCTGAAAGTTTGTACTCCAACCTGGAGTACAATGCCATAATCATGGCTCACTGCAACCTCAATTTCCTGGGCTCAAGTGATCCTCCCACCTCATCCTCCTGAGTAGCTGGCAATACATTTGCACGCTACCACATCCAGCAGTTTTTTAATTTGTTGTTGAGATAGGGTCTCACTATGTTGCCCAAGCTGATCTCAAATTTCTGGCCTTAAGTGATTCTCCCACCTCGGCCTCCCAAAGTGCTGGGATTACAGGCATGAGCCACCATGCCTGGCTTAATTTGGAATTTTTTATAGATTATATTGATAAACTCAAGATTGAGATCTACAGTCTTAGAAAGATAAAACCCAAAGACCCAGGACTACATGATGACAGCAAAATTGTCCACGCTACTTTGAAAAAGAGTCACGTTAATACCAAGGCATTTTGATTAGTTGTGGAAAACCTGACCAAACAAGATAGAGAGATTATGTAATATGAATGGTACACTCTTACAAAGGAGATACAATAATTAATAAAGTGAAGCGTCCAAACGTGAAAACAGCCAAATATATAAGGCAAAAACTATTTAGAAGTCCAAGAACTTGATTAAAATTTAATTATAGTGGGAGACATCAATATATTTCTTTTAGAAGTGAATCAATATTATATTCATTTATCTACATTTGCTGATCATACAGTGATCCTTATGTCTTTCAATTAGAGAATTTTTTTCATCTATCCATCAACCATTTACAAAATTTGATCATGAAGCCGGGCGCCGTGGCTCATGCCTGTAATCCCAGCACTTTTGGAGGCTGAGGCGGGCGGATCACGAGGTCAGAAGATTGAGACCATTCTGGCTAATACGGTGAAACTCTGTACTAAAAATACAAAAAAAAATAGCTGGGCGTGGTGGCGGGGGCCTGTAGTCCCAGCTACTCGGGAGGCTGAGGCAGGAGAATGGCGTGAACCCGGGAGGCAGAGCTTGCAGTGAGCCGAGATCGTGCTACTGGACTCCAGCCTGGGTGACAGAGTGAGACTCCATCTCAAAAAAAAAAAAAAAAAAATTGATCATGAATTTGAGCACAAAGAATGTTAAAACATATTTTTAAAAAAGGTTTAGGGCGGGCATGGTGGCTCACGCCTGTAATCCCAGCACTCTGGGAGGCCGAGGTGGGTGGATCACCTGAGGTCAGGAGTTCAAGACCAGGATGGCCAACATGGTGAAACCTCGTCTCTATTAAAAATACAAAAAAATGACCTGGCGCAGTGGCTCACGCCTGTTATCCCAGCACTTTGGGAGGCCGAGGCAGGTGGATCACCTGAGGTCAGAAGTTTGAGACCAGCCTGGCCAACATGGCGAAACCCCGACTCTGCTAAC
Organism: Homo sapiens; assembly: GCF_000001405.40. Classification (NCBI taxonomy): domain Eukaryota; kingdom Metazoa; phylum Chordata; class Mammalia; order Primates; family Hominidae; genus Homo; species Homo sapiens. The sequence goes on along the minus strand of NC_000006.12, from coordinate 151,672,513 downwards.
AATACAAAAATTAGCTGGGCACGGTGGCATGTGCCTGTAATCCCAGCTACCTAGGAGGCTGAGGCAGGAGAATCGCTGGAACCTGGAAGGCAGAGGCTACAGTGAGCCAAGATGGTGCCACTGCACTCCAGCCTGGGCAACAGAGCAAGACTCCGTCTCAAAAAAAAAAAAATACAAATACAAAAAAATTAGCCTGGCATGGTGGTGTGTGCCTATAGTCCCCTCTCTTTTTTTTAATTGACAAATAAAAACCGCATATATTTTTGGGTACAATGTGGCATTTTGATACACACATACAATGTGAAATGATTAAATCAAGCTAATTAACATATCTACCACCTCACATACTTATCATTTTTTTGTGGTAAGAACTTCGAAGTTGTCCAGGTGCAGTGGCTCACGCCTGCAATCCCAGCGCTTTGGGAGGCCGAGGTGGGAGGACCGCTTGAGCCCAGGAGTCTGAGACCAGCCTGGGCAACATAGGGAGAACCTGTCTTTATTTATAAAAATTAAAATAATATTTTTTGAGAGTCTCACTCTGTCACCCAGGCTGGAGTGCAGTGCCATGATCTAGGCTCACTGCAACCTCCATCTCCTGGGTTCGAGCAATTCCCCTGTCTCAGCCTCCCATGTAGCTGGGATTACAGGCACCCACCACCATGCCTGGCCAATTTTTGTATTTTTAGTAGAGACGAGGTTTCACTATGTTGGCCAGGCTGATCTTGAACTCCTGACCTCAGGTGATCTGCCCATCTCGGCCTCCCAAAGTGCTGGGATTACAGGCATAAGCCACCACACCTGGCCTAAAATAAAAATTTTAAAAAGAACTTTTAAGTTCTACTGTCTCAGCAATTTTTAGGTATACAGTGCATCATTATTAACTACAGTCACCATGCTGCACAATAGGTCTCCAGAACTTACTCCTCCTATCTAACTAAAACTTTGTGCCCTTTGACCAATATCTCCCCTTTCTGCCGCATTCCATTTCCTCCCCAGCAACCCACCATTCTCCTCTCTGTGTCTACGAGTTCAACTTTTTTGGATTCCACATGTAAGTGAGATCATGCACAATTTGTCTTTCTGTGCCTGGCTCCTTTCACTTAGCACGATGTCCTCCAGGTTCATCTACGTTGTCACAAGTGATAGAATTTTCTTCTTGTTTAAGGCTGAATAGTATTCCACAGTGTATACATACCACATTTGCTTTATCCATTCATCTGTTGATGGACACTCAGGTCGATTCCATATCTTGACTATTGTGCATAATGCTACAGTGAACATGGGGGTGCAGAGAAACCTTTGACACTGATTTTATTTCCATTGAATATATACACCCAGAAGTTCACCCCTTCACTTTCTATGTATTATTTTACTTCATGATTTTCAGATAAAATTAAGTATGACTCAATTTCCTCTAACTCCTCTCCACTTCAAAATCTGTCTTCCGGCCAGGTGCAGTGGCTCATGCCTATAATCACAGCACTTTTGGAGGCCGAGGCAGGCAGATCACTTGGGGCCAGGAGTTCGAGACCAGCCTGGTCAACACGGTGAAACCCCATCTCTACTAAGAATACAAAATTATCCAGGTATGGTGTTGCAGGCCTGTAATCCCAGCTACTCGGGAAGCTGAGGCAGGAGAATTGCTTGAACCCGGGAGGCGGATATTGGAGTGAGCCGAGATTGCGCCACTGCACTCCAGCCTGGGCGACAAGAGTGAAACTCCGTCTCAAAAAAAAAAAAAAAAAAAAAAACGAAAACAAAAATTAGCTGGGTGTAACGGCGCAAGCCTGTAATCCCAGTTACTCAGGAGACTGAGCCATGAGAATCACTTGATTCCGGGAGGTGGAGGCTGCAGTGAGCCAAGATCGTGCCACTGCACTCCAGTCTGGGTGACAGAGCAAGACTGTCTCAAAAAAAAATTTTTTTTTAAGTGCCTTCTTCACCTAGACTTGCCTCCCACTTTTCTCACATATTACAGAAGGATGTATTCATTTATTTATTCAACAAACGTTTAACTGGGCTCCTACCATGTGCCAGGAGCCAAGGATACTGTGATGACCAGGCAAGAGGTCTCTGCTGTAATGAAGCTTATACGTTGGTGAAGAGAGGCAGGCAGTACACCAATAAATAAATAAACAAGGAATCACCAAGTGAAGATCAATGCCATGTAAAGATGGAAAAACGGGTAATGTAAGGAATGTTGAATGGCTACTTTGGACCTGACGGTCAGGGAAGGACTTCGGAATTTAAAGTGAGAGCTGGGTAAGACAACAGATTCAGCCAAGTAAGAAGCTGAGGGAAGGGCTCTGCAGGAAGATAGGCTAGCTAGAGGAAGGCCCGGCCACGACCATCTTGGCAGCTCTGAGAAAATGCAAGATGTGCAAATGGCAGCGGGGGAGAATGGAGGAGTTACGGCTAAAGAAACAGGCCAGAGGCTGGCCCTGGTGGCCTTTGGAGGACCAGGTAAAGAAAGTAGATGTTATTCGAAGTGCAAAGTGAGGCCATTTTTCCTCCCTCCAATACTAAGTTTTCCCCATGCACTTACTCCCGTACTTTTGTCGTGGATCTAAATTTGCCTCCAACAAATCTTCCGTGTCTTCCATTTCTTCCCTCTCCCATGTGTCCTTCTCCCCAATGCAAATGTGTTTTACAATCTCTCATCCATTATAAGAAAAACCTTGTGTTGATTCTGCTACTCACTCCACGTCTCATTTATACTCATCTGCACTAAATTTCTTTAAAAGTACCCTCGTGATAGCAAACACATAGACTGTTTATTACGGGCCAGGCTCTGTGCTGGGAGCTTTCTGTTTCTGAACTCCTTCCATCCTTCCAACAGCCCTACCAAGTGGTTACATCATGATCTCCATTTTACAGAAACTAAGACCACATAGTAACTTGCCCAAGGTAACTCAGCAAGCAAGTGCCAACCCCAAGATCCACATTGAAACACTCCAGCACCTGAGTCCCTGCCCTTCACCCTTGGTTCGGACTTGATACCCCACCTCCCCAGGTTGTGCTGTTGCTCTCTCACACTTTAGAATCAGGCTTTTGCCTCCTCAGGTTTCTTGAGCAGGTTTCATGAGCAGGTTTCTCGAGGACATCATTGTCCTTTACTCCTCCACCTTCCTCAAATTCTCTGTAGGCTTGTTATTGAATACTTTCTCCATGGTGGAATTCACCCCTCCTGTACTTCCTCAGAAGCTCACATTTAACCCCTCTCCCCACTCCCCCAACACTACCCCCTTTCCAGAAACCAGCAACCCCAGCCTGGGCCGCAATGCAGCTGCTTTCTCACTTGTTCTGTTCTCCCCTGGATTCCCATCTCTCTCTCTCTCTCTCTCTCTCTCTCTCTCTCTCTCTCTCCCAGCTCCCAAAGAGCTTCCTACCACTGTTGTGAGTCGCCCCGAAGCACGGCTCTGGCCAACAGCTTGCTCAGAAATCTGCAATGGTTTCACATTTCCTCTAGAGCAAAGTCCAGATGCCTTTAGCCTGGTCACAACCTGCCTTTCCAAATTAATTTGTCATGAGTCAGCTTCATGTAACCTGACATGAACCCTCACTATTCTCATAAATGCCAAGTGCTCTCCATTCTCCTTGCTCTTCTCTCTACCTGGAATGGCACCCCCAATCTCTAAGTGGCCAAATCCTGCCATGTTCAAAGGCCAAGTTCAAATGCCCTTTCTCTAATAAAGTAGTGTTTCTGCTCTTTTAAATCTTTAACAGGAAAACCAAATGGAGAGGACCCATAGGAAACCCAAGTGTCTGGCTTATCCCACTTCTATGGTTTGAATGTGCACCCTCCAAAACTCAGGAGTTGCCAGTGCGATAGTATTAACAGGCAGGGCTTTAAGAGGTGATTAGGCATGAGGGCCCTTCCCTCATGAATGAAATTAGGTGCCCTTATAAAGGGAACTGATAGAGTTTTTCTGGCCGGGTGCAGTGGCTCACGCCTGTAATCCCAACACTTTAGGAGGCCAAGGCAGGCAGATCACGAGGTCAGGAGATCAAGACCATCCTGGCTAACACGGTGAAACCCCGTCTCTACTAAAAAATACAAAAAATTAGCCAGGCATGGTGGCGGGCGGGCACCTGTAGTCCCAGCTACTCAGGAGGCTGAGGCAGGAGAATGGCATGAACCCAGGAGGCGGAGCTTGCAGTGAGCCAAGATCGAGCCACTGCACTCCAGCCTGGGTGACAGAGCGAGACTCTATCTCAAAAAAAAAGAAAAAAAAAGGGTTTTTCCTCTTTTGCCCTTCTACCTTCTGCCATATGAGGACACAGTGTTCCTGTCCTCTGGAGGCACCATGCATGAAGCAGAAACTGAACTTTCATCCGACAACCAATCTGCTGGTGCCTTGATCTTGGACTTCCTAGTCACCAGAACCACGAGAAATAAATTGTTTTGTAAATTACCCAGTCTCAGGTATTTTTTATAGCAGCACAGAATAGACTAAGACACTCACTTAACATCTTTGCTACATTTTCATGATGAATATGCCTTTCTTCCACAATCAGATTATATGATCCTTGGAGTCTGATTTTTCTCTTCATCTCTTTGGCATTTTGCCCATGAATGCACTTAATATTTGCTGGCTGATTAATATGTACATACAGCAATATATGAAATACACATAATTTCTCTCTTTCCTGGATGATTCTTCCTCCTCACTCTGAAGGAGGAGGCTTCTATCTGAAATCCCTTTGTAATGAACTTGCTGTGGCTCATCAGCATATTTTGATGTCCATAGTAGACTTATGAGCAACTCCTTCTTTCCATAGAAATGCTTTGTCGCTGTCTTCCTCTCCCTGCAAACAAGGACTGGGACTACCATCCATTGCACTCTCCTAGCCCAGTTCAAGATCCTGTATAAACAGTCTCCAGGCAGTCACAGTTTGGATGACAAGATCTTCAGGGTCTTTGCAAGCAACATCCCTGTCTTCTTGAGTTAAATCTTAAGTTCCTGGCATCAGGCAGGAAGCCATGTAGATACAAAATTATAGAAGACCTGTGCTGGAGGGGAGTCTTAGGTATCAAATAGACCAGCTCCCTCACAAATGGGGATCCTGAAGTCTGGAAAGTCAAAATGATTTGCCCAGTGCTTTAGGCTTTCAACAAATATTTAGTAATGTATTATGGGCAACTTTCACTGTGCTAGGTTCGAGGGCTACTGTGATGAAAAAGATAAGACCCTATAGTCCTGCATCCATGACATTGACTGTCTAGTGGGAAAAGAAACTAATAAAAAACAATTTTTAATAAAATGACAAGTGTTCTGATATGTAAAGTATTGGTGTCTATGGGAACATACAAACTCCATGTGGAAGTAAAGGATGGTCTACATAAAGAATGAGTAAAGACCATTCAACCCAAAGGAAGAAGGGAGGCTCTAGTTATCCAATGAGATCTGGGCCAGACAGCAAATCTATGAATTTCTGTCTGTCTCACTCTGTTTTTGACTCTAGCTCTGTTTTCTACTAATTCTCCTCTTCTAACTCTAATTTGCTATGACATTCAACTACCCTTCCATTTTCCCCACCTCTCTCCTCTCCTGCCTTCCCTTTCTCCTTTCTTCTCCTTCTAGCCCTTCCCACTCTGCTTGCCTTATGACCTCCATCTACTCACTTGAGCACTTAAGAACCTTCCACTATTTAACTCTGCTGGGTTTTGGTGCACTGAGAGTAAAAACAGAACCTTCGTCCTCCAACATGTGCATTCATGCATGCCTTCATTCGTTCTGCAACCCTTGCTGCCAACTATATGTTCCCTGGAGGAGGAGGAGGAGGAGGAGGAGGAGGAGGAGGAGGAGGAGGAGGGGGATGGGGAAGAGGCACCAATAGGGTGAGTAAGAACCCAGCCAAGTAGAGGTCTGCTTCTCAGTGAAGGTGCTCTGGCTGCAGAAACAGATGTGCTAAGGCCAGAAGCTCCAGTACTTTGAAGGAACAGAGAGCTCATAGAGTTAAATCAAGAAGAAAACTGCAGTGGACCCAGCAAGGTCAGTGGAGGCTGGATAGAGGAGACCAATGGCCCAGGAGCTGTGGGTACTTCTGTCATTCTTACTCACCAGGAACCTGAATTCCTTGGGTGGCCCTTCTACCAGAGAACAGGAACATGCACTTTTCCCTGTAGAAATGGTTGGGATTATTAGCAAGAAAATGTACTGTGAAGGTGTTAGTAGGATGATGGCTAAAGGAAGTGCGTGTGTCTCTCTCTCTCCACACCAACCACACAACTTTTTTTCCTCACCTCTAATAGCTGAAAAAGAGGGTCAGTGTCTGCACTCCTCTGGGCATGGAACTTGTTGAGTTTTTTAAAATATCTCCAAACCTAAGATTTAATTTTTCCAATGTAGCTTTTCTTCCCCTCTACAGCTTTAAATCAATTTCAGAATGCCAGTTACTTATGAAAGACACATTTCAACAATTTTCTATGAAGAGCCCAAAGAAAAGACACTGAAATTAGCCAATTTCTTCTGATCATGATAGTTGTGCTAATGGAATTTTTTCCCAATAATTTCTTAGTTTTTCAATGTAATTCTTTAGGCCCTGCCCAAGTAAAATGTAATTTTTAAGTGATACGAGGAAATAACCGTCTAAGAGATTTAGGCAAAATGAAATAAAATACCTAAAATGATTTGAGAACTAGAATGGTGCAAAATTCTTGTCTCTGTCTCTTCGAGGTAATAATTTGAGATAATGTCTCTATATTCCTAAGAGAAAATATAGTTGAAAATAAAACCATTTCTTAATATGCCATTCTGCTCTGGGAAAATGTAATAAAACATTGTATGTAAGTCATCTGAGGTGATTTAGAAATCATTGATTTTTGAAGTATTTGAAACCTTTTAAGTCTCGGCATGGGAAAGGGAGGGATGATGAATTCAGCGAAAAAAAAAGAAAAGAAAAGAAACAGAAGCTGTGGAGTGGAGTGGTGGAGAGAAAAGGGCTTGCCCAGATGGGAGGCTGTGCACACGTGGTCAAAATCTGCGGCTCCAGATTGACAGAGCTTCACTTGCTAGGATCTGGTGGCTTCCAGCTTTGGAGTTCTGGGCTTCTGAGTTCAGAGATCACGATCCTCTAACTGCATTGTCTCTTTAAAACAAAATCTCTCTGAGGCCAGTTTAACGATGAAATTAACAATGATTTAGAGGTCGTGACAAACACTTCTAAAAAACAAACCACTTAAAAAATCTGCGGACTGCATGAAGCTCAGGTTCAGGTCCAGTTCCTGTTACCCTGTGAATCCTCTGACCTTTCCCACCTCATTTTCTTGTTTAATGGAAGTCTCTCGAGCCAGGAAAATTAGAGAACTCCCAGGGCTTCAAGGCGACCATGCTAGGTGCAGCCGTTTGCAAAGAATATTAATTCTACCAATCCTAAACCACCCTCCACACACAGGCAAATGGAATTTTGGTGTTCACAAAACTTGATTTGATTTTTATCACTGCTATTTCTGTTCATGATACTAATAGTAATACTACAAAAAATATTTTAAGGACTACAAGTTTTTGGCAGTTAAAGCTGGCATGTTATCTACCTATTTAACAATTGGAGGCAGTAATTGGAAAAATACTTCATAAACCCAACTTGTCATAATAATAAAATTATGATGAGAGTTACCGTTTCAGTCTTTCATTCCTACCTCGTTCTCAATTCAGGAAGAAGAACAAGTTCTTTTAGAGGTGCTTAAAAGAAAGCAAGAAAAACACAGACACAATACATTTTTCTTAATTGACTTTCAGCTAAAACATCGAATGCTGTTTAGTGTGAAAAAGAAAAAAGTAGAACTTTACTCATGGAATAGGGAAATTTAGATTACTGTTTTCAAAACTTTAAGAAAACAGTGCACTCTGGGCTGAGAAAAACACTGTTAACGGTTTTCATCAGGCAGGTGCTGTGTGTATCAACGTGTTTGGGTGTTCAATCGTTGACCTTTATCAGATGGGCTGGAAAGTAGGGATTCTGGCAGGTCACTCTGTCGATATATCTGTGTCTGGTATTTTTCAGCCTAAAGAGAAATTGCCTTTTTGTGTTATCTAAAGCTTCATCCTCATTATATCCTGATATATTTTAAATGGTTATTTCTTAGTTATTTCTTCCATGATAGTTTTTCAATAAGCTACTGGGTTCTGTCACAGATAATAAACTAGAAATCATATCAGTATCAATGTTCAGTTCTTAATTTAAATTACTTGAAACTCTGGTAATGGTATCCTTGTTTATCTGCTTTTACAGAAGGCTGACCTTCTCCTAGTAACCTATAAAAGTAGAGTTCACTTCCATCAGGTGGTAATGTGAGTTTTCAGCCTGTCCTGTGATTTAAACACAGTTTTCTCCATGGAATCTATAATTTCTCAAGTCTAAGTCACCACTTCAGCCTTTTCTTTTTGACTTCTAAGTATGCTTACCTTTACTCATCTAGCAAGAATGTGATGTACCTGGGATGGCATCAAAGAATATAAAACAAAGGGCAGTGGAAACACTGCTAAAATGCATCCAAGATCCCTCATAGAAAGAACATCTTTAAACAACAGAGTCCGGGGCAGAGGGAATCAAAAACCAACACCACCAAAGGAAGCCGATACCAAATAATAGCACTTCAATAGGAAAATGACATGCTCAATGTTCCCTTTTGAATTAACTCATTTCACCTTTTTGTAGTTATTGTCTTATCCCTTCACTCTCAGGAACAACAGGTGCTTTGTTTTATACCATAGCCATAAAATAGGTACAATCAAAACTTGCAATGTGTGTTTCCCTTGCATTGTTCCTTAATTGTTCTATGTATAAGGTTTTTCCTCCAACAAGATTGTCATCTCCTTGAATATAAAGCCGTACTCTGTGGGGCCACTGTTAGCACCAAGCACAGTTCTGGGGACACAGTGAAAGCTCAGACAAAAAAAATGCATGATATTGAACAAAGCAAGAGAACACACCTAATTCCCATGTCTGTGATTGATTTGTTTCATAATCCAAAGAAAGTGCATTCATGCTTCAATTATTATGGGCAGTTAATGTTTAAAAAAATTGAAACAAAAGGTGCCAGCCCTTCTAAGAGAACTGTTTGAGTCAATGCTAGTCAAGTTCTTACTAAATGTACTGGGCAAAGTGCTGACAATAGGACTGCTTTCTAGAAATCTCAGTTGATCTCAGCAGAAAAAGAGATTTTGAAATAAAAGTGATGAATATATAAATATGAACATGATCCATATGAATGGGACTTTGAAGTACCAACCTACATGAAGCTCTATAGGCCATTAATTAATAAATTAGCTAATTTCTAAACCACCTCCTTACTGTAGTGGAGACAATCTCAGTGCCATTCCAGGCATTACACAAAACACCCTGTATTTGTTATCACATGCGATTAAATAATCACCAAAAAGAAAGCTGAGGCTCAAAGAGGTGAGCAACTGTATCCAAGAGCACTTAGCCAAATCCCACCTTACAAGAAACCAGCTCAAGCCCTCCATTTAACAGACTAGAATAATGACACAGATAACTTAAGTGGTTTATAATGAACTCAGGCTTAACTATTCCTGGAATCAGGTCTCCTGAGTTAGAGTTTAAGCATGCTTTCCACTACACAGAATAAACAGTGACTTAATTTACTAGCTGCACAAAAGTTTAACAAGAGTTTTCCAGACAAACATGGGAACGATCCACAATTTTTTCTTATAAACAAAATTCTTCGTTTAATACATGCTAAAGACTTCGAAAACTCTTCTTTGCCACTAATTCTGAAGAGAAACTAAGAAGCTAAGAAGCAGTGCAGTTGTAACTCAGCTCTGTCTCTCCCCTGTTCTCAGAAAGACGGGCAGAACCTCCCAGAACTTCCTCATGGTACATCTTCTCTTGCTGCTGCCACTTTCTCGCCTGTGGTCCTCTCTTCTCTTCATCTCACGCCCTGTGGATTTGCTGGTGCAGGGTTGAGGGATAATGAGGTAGAAAGAATTGGCAGCAGGAGTCCCGGGCAGTACAGCACAGACGCTGAGCTGGTCCCAAGACCCAGACAAACCTGGCTTTGAATCCTGATTCTTTCATTTCCCCACTACTGATTGGGGGCATGTTATTTAACCTCTATTTCCTCCCCCTTTAATAATGGTACCTGCCCCATTGGTTGGTATAAAGAGGAAAGGAAATGATCAGTTCTCAGTCAGTATTAACCATGATTATTTTCCAGAACTGGAAAATAAACCTATATTGTTGCACATAAACCAAATACAGGAAAAGAAATGATGAAACTTCGACTTCTGTGATAAGTGGCAAGAGAGTTTATAATCACCCTGTATATACAAGCAAGGCCATATCGATTGTGAAAATATCTAAATATTTTCACCAGTTGATAGAGTCACTAAGGTGAGTCTCTCGAGCGCCCTCCTGTGCCATCCCAGTGGCAGTGGCCCTTCTGCAGGACTGCCTCCTTTCACCTCACTCCAGCAATAGTTAATACATTCACACCTGGCAGAGTGGTGGCTGGATGGTGGGGGAGACACCAGGACCCTGCTGTGTGCCAATGGCACACCTTCTAATTGGTTTAGGTGCCTGAGACTTGGTAATTTATAAAGAAAAGAGGTTTAATTGACTCATATTTCCACATGGCTGGGAAGGCCTCAGGAAACTTAAAACAATCATGGCGGAAGGCAAAGGGGAAACAAGGCACGTCTTACATAGCAGCAGGAGAGAGAGGGAGAGAAAGGGAAACTGCCAAAGACTTTTAAACCATCAGCTCTCCTGAGAACTTACTCTCTGTCATGAGAACAGCATGGGAGAAACTGCACCCATGATCCAATCACTTCCCATCAGGTCGCTCCCTGGACATGTGGGGATCACAATTCAAGATAAGATTTGGGTAGGGACACAGAGCCAAACCATGTCAGTGCCCAAACAGGCCACAGAGCCAAAACTTATTGGTGCTCAAACAGGCTGTGCACATAACTATTTTGAATATTTGTTTGTGCTGGGAAAAATTATTTTGTGACATTCAGCAGTCTTAAGCACCAAAATAAATGCTATGCTCTTGAGAACAAAGTGAGGGCTTGTGGAACCTGTGCGTGCATTAGGAAACAAGACATAGGACTTCTTCCCCTGATTAGAAGCCACCCCTCACCAGGAGATGTACCTTAGGGAACAGAATGCAGGCTAAACTTTACCCTCCACTTGCCTCTCATCTGGACACCCTGGTGCAAAGCATGGCCTTATAGGCAATTGTCCACTTCCCACTTTCATCTCCTGGATATCAAAATACTACAAAATGGAAATGATACCAAGCTGCAAAATCTTTGTTAAGGAAATCCAACAAAGTTCTGGTTTTCCCCATGATATCCACATGGTGCTTTCAAAATACAAAATTGTAAGAATTTTCTAAATAATTGCATTACATTATTTTTTTAATTGTACTATAATTTTTAAAACAATCTTACCATTGTTGAGACACATCTCCTATTTTGTTTTGTGTCTATTGCACTCACTCTTTTATCGGTATCAGTATCCGTCAATTTTAACTTCACATTAGAATCAGCTGGGAAGCTTTTATTTACAAATACTGATGCCTGAGCCGAACCCCTAATCAATTAAATCAGAATATGTGGAAGTGGAGCCCAAGCATCAGCATATATTTTAAAGCTCCCCAGAGTATCTCGTGAGTGCGAAAGGTTTAAAAGCACTGTCCTACAAATGCTAGAGTCATTTAGAAATGAGGCAGTGTATTGGGGCTTACCAGTGTATGTGCACATATATGTGATATCTTTCTTTCTATTTATAAATATTTATTGTGAGTTAAATATACATACAAAAGAGTCTACATAACATATACGTATGCTTTAAAAAATAACAATAAGAAAAAGAACACCAAAATGTTGTCCACTCAGCCAAAGAGCTAGAAAATGCAAGTACTTCTAAACAAAATATTTTTGCCTCTGCCTGTTTCAAATTTTAATGGCTGGACTCCTACTGTATGTGTTCTGCTGAGACTTGGTATTTTGTGCTTAAAATTTTGATGAGTTTTACATATTTTTCATTTAACCCTCACAACAACCCCATGAATAAAGTTTTGCAGATGAAGAAACTGAGGTTTGAAAGGGCCAATAGTTTGACAAGAGTCACTTTCTAACAAGTGGCAGAAGTTGAGTTAGAACATAGAACTGTCCCTCTCAAAAGCTTAGCCACTGAACTATACTGAAACTAACCACTGTACTGAACTTACTGCAAAATCATGAAGAAGAAATAAAGTCACTGCCTCACAAAGTTAAGAGTTTAGGAACACAACTGTACCTTTTCCCATCGCCCAAACTCTGCTGTATTCACTGAAGTTACCAGCCCAAGTCTTACAATCCTGTGGAGTTATTAGGAATTTTACATTTTCCTATAGAAAGGATTTGTTCAATTCTCCTGCCAGATAAGCACATGTAATGAATGTCCATTCTGATTTCTTTGAAATTATTGAATTCTAAAGTGCTAATCTGATGACTATACAGACATATCTATTTTAAGGTGGACATAAAATGGACATACGGTAAGTGCTAGCAATTCCTGTGTTCTTTTTACCATATTAAATAAAGATATCTTTCACACAAGCAACTGTCAGTAGTAATGTTTTACTTTAAAGACTATTATGCCTAAGAGTTCCTTTTGTTTTTATACATTTTGCCCCCTTAATTTGGCTTTAATGATCAGTCATAATCTGCTATGAATTTTAGGGATAAACATTTGAATGAATGTGTACATCACATACATTCATTTTCTATTCTTTTTTCAGTTTAGTTGAAAGTCACACTGTAGACCTTTAGATTGTTGTTTTGAATAGAAGCTCTCAGTGAGACTGGAGTGTTATTAGAGAAGACATTGCCTGCTGAATTACTCCTATTAAGGGTCTAATTCCCAGACGGTACCCACAGTGAGGGAGTGGAACCTTCTTTCATGAGGCTGACTCATGGAATCCTATAGATAAATCGGAATGCCAATTCATTAGCATTCATTAGCCATGAGAAACTCAATGGTAAAAGGCTATGAGAAACTCAGTGCTAAAAAGGACTGGAGATTTGCATCATTGGACAATCAAATGGGAAACCACTTTATGAATGGAACTTTGCAGGAGGAACAATGGAACCAGAAGAGTGGGGAGCTCTTGGCTGACTCCCAGTAGGAAAGGCCTGCCACTGGGACTAGTCATCTCCTCTAATGGTCAATACTTGCCTTAGCAGGCCGGGCACAGTGGCTCACGCCTGTAATCCCAGCACTCTGGGAGGCTGAGGTGGGCGGATCACCTGAGGTCAGGAGTTTGACACCAGCCTGGCTAACATAGTGAAACACCATCTCTACTAAAAATACAAAATTAGCTGGGCATGGTGGCACATGACTGTAATCCCAGCTACTCAGGAGGCTGAGGCAGGAGAATCACTTGAACCCAGGAGGCGGAGGTTGCGGTGAGCCGAGATCACACTACTGCACTCCAGCCTGGGCAACAAGATCGAAACTCCATCTCAAAAACAAACGAGCAAAAAAACTTGCCTTAGCATATCTTGGTTTAGGCTCCCCGAGCTTCCTTCTTCTAAGCCTTAGACTGGCCATCTTCAGGAAAACCTGTTCTTGCTCATCTATGCCCACATGCAATATGATATTTAAAACCTGGATTTAGACTCAAACTTGGCTGCTTTACTAGCTTTGTGATCTTAGATATATGAATCTTCCAAGCCTCAGCTTCCTTATCTGTAAATAAGGAATAATACTCTCTTCCCTCAGGTGTGTGGAGGGATTAAATGAGATGATAACTTTGATACATTTAGAACAGTGCCCAGAATATAGAAGGTGCTAAGATATGATATCTCCTGTTATTTTTAAACAATAATGTTAAAAGCACATATTAATCCCAGAACTTAAAGTAAAATAAAAATAAACAAATAAATAAAAGCACATATTATTTATAAATATACACTTCATATTGGCATCCAACTATTATGTGGAATGGAAAACAAAATGATGATATTGACTCCATAAAATAAACAGCAGTCTTTAGAATAGAGTTTGGTGCATAAGTGGGAATCAACTATTTTTATTGAATGAGGAATATTAATGAGAATGATTTTAACAAAACAGCAAACAATAGCACTGGTGTGCTGTGTGTGAGTGAGGATAGCTCAGGAATACCAGAGGGGAAAAGGATTTCAGAATCAATAAGTACTTTCGTGAGCTATTTCACAAAAATGACATGAAAGAAAATATTTAGAGATACGGAAAAGGTCAAACTAACCTGAAACTCGGTTTTATTGACAAAAGTTTAAGTTACCTTTAGCATATTTCATCATCCCATAATCAGGACCATCAATAAATATTTACTGAGTGCCTACTGCAGTCAAGACACTGCAGTGTGGGCTGCAGTTAACGTCCAGGTGATGGGAGAATTGCTTAGAAGTACAAGGTACCTTTCTTGGATGGCTAAAATCTAATTGGAGAGTAAGGCATAGCATAAAAATAAATCTATAGAAGAAAAATCGTTAAACAAAACTAGCCTACAAAATTTTCCAATGTTTTTTGGGATGCACTTAGATGGTTTTAAATTTTAAAAATATTTTGAAACATAAAGCTTAAAAGAGTGAACAACTCTGGTCATCATACTTTTTTTTTGCCAGAACCTCACTAGAGGAAGATATTAGATTGGATGATATGAAAATGCCAATATATAACCATTTTTTACATCCAAAAAAACCCAAAATTTCATGTGGTTCAACCTTGATTTCAATAAGCTATTTTTGAAAGCTGGATACATATTGAAATATGTGTAACATTTGCAGTCCATCTACTCTGGACTCACGCTAATTCCTTCTGGGGCCTTTTCAGATTCAAGATAGATTTGCAGGAAAAAATGCATAATATTTAAACTAAGGGACTGGAAAATTAGCATGAAAAGTTCACCAGTGATATGGAAAATTTCACCCAATACATTTTGTAAAGAACAAAAACCTAAACACCCATGGTAGATCCACTTCAGTAAACCATGTTAGTACAGCAACATTATCCAACAATAAAATTTAAGAACAATTTTCTCCCTAAGGGACTCATTTTCCTTAGAAAATTATGCAAAGTGTGAACAACTGTGAAATACAATTGTTACCCAAAATATTTAACTTAACAATAGATTGAAAACTATTATAATGTAATGTAATTTACAATGACTAAAATTTTAATTTTAATGGTTAGTACCCATAAAAGTTATCTAGTTTAATTAATTTCCCTTTTTCATTGGTGCAGTGGGTCTTAAATGTATCTATATTTTGCTACATCTTTTTAAAACTTTAAATTCCCACACATTAAATTTCTCTACAACTGCCTATCTAAATCAGTTTTTAATGATAAAGACATATGATGCCCCTATATGAATAGACAGAGAAAAAACTAAAACAAACAAAAACTGTATTCCCCCTGTGTAAGATATAGACATTTATTATCATTGAAAAGTTGTTTGGCTAACTTTACAGTCCAAAAATTCTCCTAACTGGAAAGATTGTCATTATAAATTAAAATCTCCAAAAACCTCCACACCATGTATGAAGTCTTTGAAGGTATCAACCATTGTGCCCATATATATCCCACAGCCTTGTCTTGGTATCACCTTTTGAGACACAAATGTTCTTTCTATGGCATGTGCTTTTATCCTGATGTGTGAGGCCTTGGTCTGATAACCTCCTTACATAGTCATCTTAATATTCAGTTGTCCAAGGGAAAGTTAATAGAGTAGAAAAAATAAAAACTTACCTTCTTTGGTAGCTACAGAATATAATTCACAATCAAAAGGATTGGTATCAGATTTTGGAGATATTTGAGGCTCTGCGATTATTTCTCTGACTGCTTGGAACCTTAGAATCTACCAAAATAAAATCTATTAATCAAATATTTTTTTTGGACTAAGCTTACACAGTTTGTTCAAGCATTGGTAGCAAGTCTGGAAGAGTCATCTCTGCTTTCGGGAAAATTATGCTGACTGAAAGAAAGCACAGAACAATCGTCTCAAAACCGTCAGTAATTTTTCTAAAGGATGTCAAATGTGCACTTCACAGTGAGGGAAAATGTTGGCCAATACTGTTGTTTGTGATGAATACATCACATACTAGTGAAAATGTGGTGTAGCAGGTAGCAAGTTTCCATTCTGTGCACTGGAACTGAAAAACTGTACCTAGAAAGGGTATTCTGAAAAATACTAATTATATGGACAAAGCCTTAATATTCTTAATACAAAGAGCTCTTAAAAGTCTATTTTAAAACGGAACATGTGAACATAAAAACTAATAAAAGATTTACAAAGGACAAAATAATAGAGATCAGTAAACATAATTTTTAAAGGTCACTGTTAATTGGAGAATTACAAATTTTTTAAACTGTGTGCTATCAGGTTTTAAACATTTATGGTGGTGATAATGTAGGAAGTAGGCATTCTCAAACACTGCTGGCAGAAGTATAAAATATTCCTA
This sequence comes from Homo sapiens, assembly GCF_000001405.40. Taxonomy (NCBI): domain Eukaryota; kingdom Metazoa; phylum Chordata; class Mammalia; order Primates; family Hominidae; genus Homo; species Homo sapiens. The sequence goes on along the minus strand of NC_000006.12, from coordinate 151,656,050 downwards.
GAGCAATATGACTTTATTCAAAATCTTAAAATACTCAAGGAAAAAAAGAGCTTTTCTTCATCTACAGTTCAAAATAATATAGCTTAAAACTATATTATTCCTAGGCCTATGTATAACAAGACGTCTTCAAAATGTTGCCTTCTTATGCATGAATATTATGTAATTCTACTTATTTAGATCTTCTTTAATATTTCCCAAGAAAATTTTTCCTCTAAGAAGTTTTTCTACATCTTATGTTAGATTTATTTTCTAATGTTATTGTCTTTTTTCTGGTATAGTGAAATGACATTGACTTTTGTATATTAATTTTATATCCAGCCCTCTTGCGGAGCTCTCCTACAATTTCTAATAATTTGCCTGAAGATTCTTTGGAGTTTTTTCATGTAAACGTGTATATCATCTGAAAATAATTAGTTTCATTTCTTTCTTTTCAATCCTTATATCTGACTTTATAGTTCTCCCAATTTTTGTCATATATATTTTGAGGCAGCTTAATTGGGTATGTATACATGTTTAGAATGGATATTTCTTGGTGAATTGAAACTTTAACCTTGTGACTTTCTCTATTACTATAATGTTTTTTATCTAAATGTGAGCTTTATCTGATACTAATACAAATGCACCAGCTTTCCTTTGTCACTCTGTGGATATTTCCATCTTTTTATTTTCTGGTTTTGTGTATATGCTTTAGGTATGTTCACATGAAAAGCATATATCCAAATTTTTAAAATCTCATTTAATAGTTCCTTTCTTTCAACTGGCAAATTTAACCTATTTATAGTTATTGTGATAGTGATATATTTACACATCTTTGGACTATTTTATTTTACTGTTTCAATTTGATTCAGGATTTCTATTTCTTTTTAATGCCTTCTAATTCTTAAAAGTTCTGTGTTGATACCTTCCCCCAGCAAGTCAAGAATTGAGCCCGATCTCACGTCCCTTGGCTTTCTCCCATGTTTTCATCAACCCCCTTAATGTTGATACAATCTGGAATTTTAAGTCTGAATAATATTAACGAAGTTTTCCTTTTTGTATTCTTTGGTATTTCTCATATTTTTATGTCAACAAACTTTACTAAGTCAAGTGACTATCTTTATTTCAAAGCATCTCATGTGTGTGTGTGAAGGTGGAAAGTCTTGGGTACCAAAAAAACCAGTTGATTATTCCCTTCACCATGAAATACCCACTCCTGTCAGTGCTTCATTTCCAGCTCCCGGCAGCCTGGCAGCATTAGAAGGAGATTTTGTTTTTTTGTTTTTTTCCTCTAGCTCATTTTTTTTCTTCAACTGCCTACTGGCAGACAGCTCCTCACTGCCTGGACTTCACCTCTGAGAACGGCCTTCTGGGCTGCAGCTCTGGGGGCAGGCACCAAGTGTCCTGGGGCAAAAGCCGAACTCCAAAAACTCTATCTGATCACTCCACAGCCACACCTGAGGCCTCTGCCCCAAGCTGCAGCCACCACCCCAACACACACACCTACACACTAATGCAAAACAATTCTCACAGATTTTTCCAAATCTTGATGTTTTCCTTCTATAATTTTTCCCTATGTGACAGATGAGAACCAGTAGTCTTAGCTAGTTCAGCATCTTGTAAGAACTCAAACCTTAGAAATGTGTACGTATAAGAATATACCTCACTGAATCTTTATAATATTAAAACATCGTTTTTATTTTTTAAAATCCCTGAGTAGGGTTTTTAAGAAATAGGTTTGATATATTCATAGGATAGAAAACAATGTAGCCATTAAATTACACTGTAGAAAAAATGTCAAATGATGTGGGAAAATAATCTTGATATACTGATAAAGGAAAAAAGTCAGTTTACAAAATAGGATTACAGTATGACTTGAGTTCTCGTTATAGATATATACAAACACATGTTTACACAAAAATCAATATTATAGAGCACGTATTAAAAAAATGCCAAACAGGCTGGGCGTGGTGTCTCACACCTGTAATCCTAGCACTTTGGGAGGCAGAGGCGGGCAGATCACTTGAGGTCAGGCGTTCGAGACCAGCCTGGCCAACATGGTGACACCCCATCTCTACTAAAAATACAGAAATCAGCCAGGCATGGTGGTGGGCACCTATAATCCCAGCTACATGGGAGGCTGAGATAGGAGAATTGCTTGAACCCAGGAGGTAGAGGTTGCAATGGCACCACTGCACTCCAGCTTGGGTGACAGAGCGAGATTCTGTCTCAAAAAATAATAAAATAATAAAATAAAATAAAAAGCAAAAGCAGAATAAAGTATGTGGTTCTGTTAATAGTATTTTACCGGTGTCAATGTCCATATTTTAATAATGTACTAGAGTTATATAAGATGGTATCATTGTGGGGAGCTGGGTAAAAGTTACATGGCAATTCTGTACTGTTTTTGTAACTTCTTGTGAGTCTAATTTTATTTTAAAATAAAATGTTTAAAAGTATACATGGTAACAGACTTTCTTTGGGGAGGGGAGGTAGTTCTGCTTAGCAGACATACCTCCTTTATGACACCCCTTGATTCCTTCTGGAGAGGAAGAGAATAAAAATTATCCCACTGTGAACAGACAGACTTGAGGGGATTCTAAATCAAGGCGCTTTCGTATTTCCAAGCCAAATGCATCCACAGGGTCTATCACAGACGACTTCAGCAAGAATATTCCTCTCATAGCCAAAGTATAGGGATCGGACTCAAGCTTGTCCAATCAGACCCTCTCTCCAGGGACTTTCTATCTTGATTAGAGATGCAATGAAGGAAAGATGCTCAGAGGCGATTTGTTCCCACCTGGGCAGATAGCTTTTGTTGCCCAAATTCCAGGGTATTTTTAATTGACAAATAAAAATGTATTTATGAATCATGTACAACATGATTTTGGACTACATACACATTGTGAAATGGCTAAATAGAGCTAACTAACATACGCATTATCTCACATACTTATTTTTTTAAGTGAGAACACTTAAAATCTACTCTCTTAGCAACTTTCAAGAATTCAATACAGTCACAATGTTATTAACTACAGTCACCATGTTGTACAATAGATCTCTTGAATTTATTCCTCCTGCCTAACTGAAATTTTGTATGCTTTGACCGATATCTCCTCAACTCCTCCTTCCCCAGCCTCTGGTGACCACCATTCTACTCTCTGTTTGTATAAGCTCAACTTTTTTTAGATTCCACATATAAGTGAGAATTTGCAGTATTTGTCTTTCTGTGCCTGGCTTAATTCACTTAATGTCCTCCAAGTTCATTTTAACCTGGTCTTCCAATTGTTTGTCATTCTATGATTTACCAAGCACCAGTCTGAAATATTCCCTTTTTGTTTGAGTTAGCCAAAGCCAGAAACTAAAAACCATAACTTAATAAATGATGTCTTATCCATCCCCATTCCAAAACAAAGATTTCAGTGAACTTGTCCTAATGTGAACTCCCTTCAAGTTAGGGAACATGGGTGAATAGTTGGAATATTTGTCCCGTCCAAATCTTGTGTTGACATGTCATCCCCAGTGTTGGAGGTGGGGCCTGGTGGGAGGTGTTTGGGTCATGGGGGCGGATCTCTCATGAATGAGTTGGTGTCCTCCTCATGGTAATGATTCAGTTCTCACTCTATTAGTTCATGCAAGAGCTGGTTGCTTAAAGGAGCCTGGCACCTCCTCCCCCACTCTTGCTCCCTCTCATGTGACATGCCTGCTCCCTCTTTGCCTTCTGCCATGAGCAAAAGCTTCCTGAAGCCTCCCCAGAAGCCAAGCAGAAGCTGCTGCCCTGCTTGTATAGGCTGCAGAACTCTGAGCCAAATACACCTCTTTTCTTTATAAACTACCCAGCCTCAGGCATTCCTTCATAGCAATGCAAAACACACAATACAATTGGTCACAGACTCTTATCTCTTAGAGTGAAAGCTCAAATTAAAAAATTTCTCAACTCCGCCAAAATTTAGTAGCAGATTCTTCTTATTTGTTTCTCTTGGGTCTCTATACTGATAACTTTACCAAGAAGTTTTGACTACCAGATCAATTTTGGTAGCCAGACAAGCTTTATGATTATCAGTTTTGCCTCAAGAAAATTCTCTACCAACATTTAAAACTTCTGCTGAAAATTCCCTGGAATTTTACTTAAGCAAATGAAGCATCCTTTTTTTTTTTTTTTTTTTTAACAAATCAGGAAAGTGAATCACAGGTAAGACTATAGACTTTGGAATCAGAAAGACCAGATTTGAAGCCCGTTTTCACGGTGTGCTGGGATTCAGAGCTTGTGCAACTTACCTGATCTCTTTGAGCTTCTCTTTCCTCCTTCGAGGTGATCCAATTAATTCTTGTGGATTATTTGGAGTACAAAATAGGAGTTTCTGTACTGCTCCTGAAACTGTCAGCACAGAGCAGACACTTATCAAACCCTTGACTATGCATCAGACAGAAGAAGGACAAGGAGGAAAAAAAGGAGAAGGAGACAGAGAAAAGAAGGAAGAAGAAGAAGAAGAGGAAGAAGAAGGAAAGGACCGGGTGCGGTGACTCACACCTGTAATCCCAGTACTTTGGGAGGCCGAGGCAGGTGGATCACTTGAGGTCAGGAGTTCAAGACCAGCCTGGCCAACATGGTGAAACCCCATCTCTACTAAAAATACAAAATTAGCCAGACATGGTGGTGCACACCTGTAATCCCAGCTACTCAGGAGGCTGAGGCAGGGGAATTGCTTGAATCTGGGAGGTGGAGTTTGCAGTGAGCCAAGATCACACCACTGCACTCCAGTCTGGGTGACAAGAGTGAAATAGTGTCTCAAAAAAAAAAAAAAAAAAAAAAAAATTAGCTGGGTGTGGTGGCATACACCTGTAATCCCAGCTACTAGGGAGGCTGAGGCACGAGAATCACTTGAATCTGGGAGGTGGAGGCTGCAGTGAGCCAAGATCATGCCACTGCACTCCAGCCTGGGTGACAGAGCAAGATTCCATCTCAAAAGGAAGAAGAAGAAGGAGTGGATGAAGGAGGAGGAGAAAGAGAATGGAGGAGAAGGAGAAAAGAAGGAAGTAAAAGGAGAAGGGAAGAAGCGAGGAGAAGGAGGAGGTTGGAGGAGGAAGAAGAAGGAGGAGAGGGAGGAGGAGAAAGATAAGGAGAAAAAGAAGGAATGAAAAAAAGAGGAGGAAAGGGGAGGAGAAGAAGAAAAAGAAAAAAGAGAAAGAAATGATGGTCCTCCCTCTCCCATAAAGACCAAGGAACTTAAAATGCTTTAAGTTTTTAAATTGTCTCATATACATTATATTTGTTATCATCATAGCAGACACATGAAACAGATAAAGCAAGTATTATTTTTCCTGCTGTAGTAAGAAGAAACTGAGGCTTCATGCCAAGTTAGGGGCAGAATCAGGCCCAGAACCAAAGTTTCCACCCAGCATCTGTAATTCTCTCTGCCTGGTCCACATTTTGTAGAACATTGGTAGGTGACACCTATAACTGGCTAGTTTAGAAACATCTCCCTCCCATGCCAAAAACAGGATGACTGCAACTCATACTACAACCTGAACAAACCTTTCACTATGCAAAAAAGTTAGGACATTTTATTGATACATAATAGTTGTACGTATTTTTGGAATACAATCAAATGTATAGTTCAAAATAGCTAGATAAGAAAAGAACTGGGGAGGCTGAGGCAGGAGAATGGCGTGAACCCGGGAGGCGGAGCTTGCAGTGAGCCGAGATCCCGCCACTGCACTCCAGCCTGGGCGACAGAGCGAGACTCCGGTCTCAAAAAAAAAAAAAAAAAAAAAAAGAACTGGAATGTTTCCAACATAAAAAATCAGGAGTTTTTAAAATATGTGCATGAAAGTAATCAATACTAAAATCATCTCCTTGTTTAGTCATAAAATAATGGCAGATATACCTAAAATATTTTCAGATTACTATGGTTTTACCTAATGAACATAAGCTGCAATGTTGCTCAACGGAGACTGCATATTATGTGATATTTCTGAGCTACACAAGCTTTCTAATCAGCACAGTCATTTGCTTGTGTGACAGTCACATGCCAGGATGAAATCTGACTTCTTAGTGCTCCTCTGTTAGAGAAAAGATGGCCTTGTTAAAAATTACCTCTCCAAGGTTCCGGTGCAGTGGTTCATGCCTATAATCCCAGCACTTTGGGAGGCCGAGGTGGGCAGATTGCTTGAGCCCAGGAGTTCGAGACCAGCCTGGCAAAATTGTGAAATTCTCTCACTATTAAAAACAATTTTAAACCTTAGCTGGTGTGGTGGTGCGTATCTGTAGTCCCAGCTACTCAGGAAGCTAAGGTGGGAGGATCATTTGAGCCCAGGAGGTCAAGGCTGCAGTGAGCTGTGATTGTCCCACTGCATTCAGCCTGGGCAACAGAACAAGACCCTGTCTCCAAAAAGAAAAAAAAAAGAAAAAGAAAAAGAAAGAAAGAAATTACCTCTCCATATTGTTTTTTTGTATTTCAATTATATCCCTTTTAGGGTAGGGAGAACAAATATTTCTTTTTTTTTTTTTTTTTTTTTGAGACAGAGTCTCGCTCTGTTGCGCAGGCTGGAGTGCAGTGGCGCGATCTCGGCTCACTGCAAACTCCGCCTCCCGGGTTCACGCCATTCTCCTGCCTCAGCCTCCTGAGTAGCTGGGACTACAGGCGCCCGCCACCACGCCCAGCTAATTTTTTATATTTTTTAGTAGAGACGGGGTTTCACCGTGTTAGCCAAGATGGTCTCGATCTCCTGACCTCGTGATCCACCTGCCTCGGCCTCCCAAAATGCTGGGATTACAAGCGTGAGCCACCGCGCCCGGCCAGAGAGAACAAATATTTCTAGCAAATGTATCCTTGTAGAGATCATAGATCATCATCACGGATGGGAGGCAAAACTAGATGGCAGCTTCGACTCGGACGCACAGAACAGCGTGCAGAGGCTCACATTGTGAATTTCAGCTCCAGAACAACTGCAGGAATAAACCAGGAATCCCAGGAGGACCCACAGACCCTCTGAAGGAAGCGGACTGCTCCTGCTGGACCCAGGAGACACCCCAAATTATGTGAGTGCCCCAACTGCGGAAGTGGGAAAGGGAGATCCTCCGCCCTGGAACGCACACCTCCTATGGGGAAACTGAAGTTCTAGTTTGCAGGAGAAGATTCTGACCTTATCTGGAGCTGAGTCAATTTAGATAGACAAGCAAAACACAGGGATAGAGGAAGCAGCTGGAAAGGCCTGGGGAGCTCGCTGGGTCCCCAAGCAGGCCACTCCTGCCTGGCATCACAAGGATCCTTCAGGAGGGTGGCCAGAGGCACGGCGGAAACACCACAGGAAGAAGGAAGTCTCCAGCTGAACTTTGTAACAATTTGAACCGGTCAAGAAGCCTCCTGGCCATAACACGGGGGAGGGTGCGAATCCTGCGTGCAGACTCCACAGGCTGGGGAAGAACTAAAGCCCTTTTCTTTTGCCACTGGGAGGTGGGCAGACTGCGGCAAGTTCTCAGCCCTGCTTACCCCCTGCCTGGAAACAGACTCAGAGTTGTTAGCGGGGACACAGTGGGCGTGAGACCACCCCTTTGGATTGCGCAGGAGCTGGGTGAGGCTGGTGACTGTTGGCTTTCTCCCACTTCCCTGACAACCTGCATGACTCCGCAGAGGGAGCCGTAATCCTCCTAGGTACACAATTCCATTGACCTGGGAACCTCACTCCCATCCCCTCACAGCAGCCACAGCAAGACCTATCCAAGGAGGGTCTGAGCTCAGATCAGGCCTAGCCCTGCCCCCACCTGATGGTCCTTCCCTACCCTCCCTAGTAGCTGAAGACAAAGGGCATATATTCTTGGGAGCTCTAGGACCCCGCCCACTGCCAGTCCCTCTCCACACTACCATAGCTGATGCTGTCTGTAAAGCGCCACCTCCCGGCAGAAGGCCAACCAGCACAAAAATAGAGCATTAAACCACCAAAGCTAAGAACCAGGGATCCGTTTCACCCCTCTACCACCTCCCCCATAACAGGTGCAGGTGTCCATGGCGGAGAGACACACAGACAGTTCACACCACAGAACTCAGTGCCAACAACCCGCAATACCAGCTCACAGCCTGGTAGACTTGCTGAGTGGCTAGACCTGGAAGAGAGATAACCATTACTACAGTTCGGCTCTCAAGAAGCCACATCCATAGGAAAAGGGAGAGAGTACTACATCAAGGGAACACCTCGTGGGATAAAAGAATACGAACAACAGCCTTCAGCCATAGAACTTCCCTCTGACAGAGGCTACCCAAATGAGAAGGAACCAGAAAACCAAATCTGATAATATGACAAAACAAGGCTCTTTAACACCCCCAAAAAAATCATACTAGCTCACCAGCAATGGATCTAAACTGAGAAGAAATCCCTGATTTACCTGAAAAAAGAGTTCAGAAGGCTAGTTATTCAGCTAATCAGAGGCACCAGAGAAAGCCAAACCCCAGTGCAAGGAAATCCAAAAAACAATAGAAGAAGCGAAGGGAGAAATAATCAAGGAAATAGATAGCATAAAGAAAAAACAATCAAAACTGCAGGAAACACTGGACACACTTATAGAAATGTAAAATGCTCTGGAAAGTCTCAGCAATAGAATTGAACAGTAGAAGAAAGAAATTCAGAGTTCAAAGACAAGGTCTTCAAATTAACCCAATCCAACAAAGACAAAGGAAACAGAATAAGAAAATATTAACAAAGCCTCCAAGAAGTCTGAGATTATGTTGAATGACCAAACCTAAGAATAATTGATGTTCCTGAGGAAGAAGAGAATTCTAAAAGTTTGGAAAACATATTTGGGGGAATAATAGAGGAAAACTTCCCCAGCCTTGCTACAGACCTAGACATGCAAATACAAGAAGCACAAAGAACAACTGGGAAATTCATTGCAAAAAGACCATCACCTAGGCACATTGTCATCAGGTTATCTAAAGTTAAGACAAAGGAAATAATCTTAAGAGCTGTGAGACAAAAGCACCAGGTAATCTATACAGGAAAACCTATCAGATTAACAGCAGATATATCTCTCAGCAGAAACCCTACAAACTAGAAGGGATTGGGGCCCTATCTTTAGCTTCCTCAAACAAAACAATTATCAGCCAAGAATTTTGTATCCAGTGAAACTAAGCATCACATATGAAGGAAAGATACAGTCTTTCTCAGACAAACAAATGATGAGAGAATTTGCCACTACCAAGCCACCACTACAAGAACTGCTAAAAGGAGCCCTAAATCTTGAAACAATTCCTGGAAACACATCAAAACAGAAACCTCTTTAAAGCATAACACAGGACCTATAAAATAAAAATGCAATTTAAAAACAAAAAACCAAGGTACACAGTCAACAAAGAGCATGATGAATGCAATGGTACCTCACATTTCAATACTAACATTGAATGTAAATGGCCTCAATGCTCCACTTAAAAGATACAGAACTGCAGAATGGATAAGAATTCACCAACCAACTATCTGTTGCCTTCAAGAGACTCACCTAACACATAAGGACTCACATAAACTTAAAGTAAGGGGTGGAAAAAGACATTTCATGCAAATGGACACCAAAAGTGAGTAGGGGTAGCTATTTTTATATCAGACAAAACAAACTTTAAAGCAACAGCAGTTAAAAAAGACAAAGAGGGATAGTATATAATGGTAAAAGACCTTGTCCATCAGGAAAATATATATGCATCTAACACTGGAGCTCCCAAATTTATAAAACAACTACTAATAGACCTAAGAAATGAGATAGATAGCAACACAATAATACTGGGGGACTTCGATACTCCACTGAGAGCACTAGACAGATCATCAAGATGGAAAGTCAACAAAGAAGCAATGGATTTAAACTATACCTTGGAACAAATGAACTTAACAGATATACACAGAACATTCCATCCAACAACCACAAAATACATATTCTATTCAACAGTGCATGGAACTTTCTCCAAGATAGACCATATGATATGTCATAAACAAGCCTCCATAAATATAAGAAAACTGAAATTATATCAAGCACTCTGTCAGACCAGAGTGGAGTAAAACTGGAAATAGACTCCAAAAGGAACATTTGAAACCATGCAAAGACATGGATATTAAATAACCTACTCCTGAATGATCATTGGGTCAAAAACGAAATCGGATGGAAATCAAAAAATTATTTGAACGGAACGACAATAGTGACACAACCTATCAAAACCTCTGGGATACAGCAAAGGCGGTGCTAAGAGGAAAGTTCATATCCCTAAACATCCACATCAAAAAGACTGAAAGAACACAAACTGACATTCTAAGGTCACATCTCAAGGAACTAGAGAAACAAGAACAAACCCAACCCAACCCCAGCAGAAGAAAGGAAATAACCAAGATCAGAGCAGAACTAAATGAAATTGAAACAACAACAAAAAAATACAAAAGATAAGTGAAACAAAAAGCTGGCTCCTTGAAAAGATAAATAAAGCTGATAGACGATTAGCAAGATTAACCAACAAAAGAAGAGAAAAAATCCAAATAACCTCAATAAGAAATGAAATGGGAGATATTACAACTGACACTGCAGAAATACAAAAGATCATTCAAGCCTACTATGAACACCTTTATGCACATAAAGTAGAAAACTTAGAAGAGATGGATAAATTCCTGGAAAGATACAAACCTCCTAGCTTAAATCAAGAAGAATTAGATACCCCGAACAGACCAATAACAAGCAGTGAGATTGAAATGGTAATTTAAAAATTACCAACAGAAACAAGTCCAGGACCAGACAGATTCACAGCAGAATTCTACCAGACATTCAAAGAAGAATTGGTAGCAATCCTATTGACACTATTCCACAAAATAGAGAAAGAAAGAGCCATCCCTAATTCATTCTATGAAGTCAGCATTACTTTAATACCAAAACCAGGAAAGGACATAACCAGAAAACTACAGACCAATATCCCTGACGAACATAGATGCTAAAATCCTTAACAAAATACTAGCTAACTGAATCCAACAACATATCAAAAAGATAATTCACCATGATCAAGTGGGTTTCATACCAGGGATGCAGGGATGGTTTAACATACACGAGTCAATAAATGTGATACACCACATAAACAGAATTAAAAACAAAAATCATATGATCATCTCAACAGATGCAGAAAAAGCATTTGACAAAATCCAGTATCCCTTTATGATAAAAACTCTCAGCAAAATCATCATTCAAGGGACATACCTCAATATAATAAAAGCCATATATGACAAACCCACAGGCAACATAATACTGAATGGGGAAAAGTTGAAAGGATTCCCTCTGAGAACTGAAACAAGACAAGGATGGCCATTCTCACCACTCCTCTTCAACATAGTAGTGGAAATCCTAGCTAGAGCAAACAGACAAGAGAAAGAAATAAAGGGCATCCAAATTGACGAAGAGGAAGTGAAATTGTCGCTGTTTGCTGACAATATGATTGTTTACCTCAAAAACCCTAAAGACTCCTCCAGAAAGCTCCTAGAACTGATAAAAGAATTCAGCAAAGTTTCGGATACAAGATTAATGTACACAAATCAGTAGCTCTTCTATACACCAACAGTGACCAAGCTGAGAATCAAATCAAGAACTCAACCTCTTTTATGATAGCTGCAAAAGATGAAATAAAATGCTTAGGAATATACCTAACCAAGGAGGTGAAAGAATCTGTACAAGGAAAACTACAAAACACTGCTGAAAGAAATCATAGACGACACAAATGGAAACACATCCCATGCTCATGCATGGGTAGATTCAATATTGTGAAAATGACTGCCAAAAGCAATCTACAAATTCAATGCAATCCCCATTAAAATACCACCATTCTTCACAGAACTTGAAGACACAATTCTAAAACTCATACGGAACCCAAAAAAAGCCTGCATAGCCAAAGCAAGACTAAGCAAAAAGAACAAATCTGGAGGCATCACACTACCAGATTTCAAACTGTATTATAAGGCCACAGTCACCAAAACAGCATGGTACTGGTATAAAAATAGGCACATAGACCAATGGAACAGAATAGATAACCCAGAAATAAACCCAAATACTTACAGTCAACTGATCTTCAACAAAGCAAATGAAAACATAAAGTGGGGAAAGAACACCCTTTTGAACAAATGGTGCTGGGATAATTGGCTAGCCGAATGTAGGAGAATGAAACTGGATTCTCATTTCTCACCTTATACAAAAATCAACTCTAGATGGATTAAGGACTTTCAGACCTGAAACTCTAAAAATTCTAGAGGATAACACTGGAAAAACCCTTCTAGACATTGGCTTAGGCAAGGATTTCATGACCAAGAACCCAAAAGCAAATTCAATAAAAACAAAGATAAATAGCCGGGACCTAATTAAACTAAAGAGCTTTTGCACCGCAAAAAGAACAGTCAGCAGAGTAAACAGACAACCCACAGAATGGGAGAAAATCCTCACAATCTATACATCTGACAAAAGACTAATATCCAAAATCTACAATTAACTCAAACAAATCAGCAATTTTAAAAAATCCCTTCAGAAAGTGGGCTAAGGACATGAATAGACAATTCTCAAAAGAAGATATACAAATGGCCAAGAAACATTCAAAAAAAAATGCTCAACATCACTAATGATCAGGGCAATGCAAATCAAAACCGCAATGCCATACCACCTTACTCCTGTAAAAACGGCCATAATCAAAAAATCAAAAAACAGTAGATGTTGACGTGGATGTGGTGATCAGGGAACACTTCTACATTGCTGATGGGAATGTAAACTAGTACAACCGCTATGGAAAAGAGCGTGGAGATTCCTTAAAGAACCAAAAGTAGAACTACCATTTGATCCAGCAATCCCACTACTGGGTATCTACTCAGAGGAAAATAAGTCATTATACAAAAAAGATACTTGCACACGCATGTTTATAGTGGCACAATTCACAATTGCAAAATCGTGGAACCAACCCAAATGCCCATCAATCAATGAGTGGATAAAGAATCTGTAGTATATATATACTAGGGATTACTACTCAGCTATAAAAAGAAGAGAATTAACGGCATTCGCAGTGACCTGGATGAGATTGGAGACTATTATTCTAAGTGAAGTAACTCAGGAATGGAAAAACAAACATCATATGTTCCTACTGTTATATGGGAGCTAAGCTATGAGGATGCAAAGGCATAAAATGATACAAAGGAGTTTGGGGATTTGGAGGGAAGGGTTGGAGGGGGCAAGGAATAAAATACTGCAAATAGGGTGCAGTGTATACTGCTCAGGTGATGGGTGGACCAAAATCTCACAAATCACCACTAAAGAACTTACTCATATAACCAAACACCACCTGTACCCCAATAACCTATGGAAAAAGAAAAAGGGGGACAAAGTATCCTTTTAGTGAAGAATGGCAATGAAAAGAGATACTTATGTTCTACCATAAAATAACAGCTGGTTGTCACCACAATTTTAATAATACAGTTAAGAGCCCATAGTGAATTTATCAAAACGTTTAATCTATAAATGAAGATGCAGTTCAAGGAAGGCTCATGACATGTTGGGTTTGAAGACTTATTCAAAATTATCACTTTAACCACGCCCCCCAACACTCCATTTTTAGATCATGAATCCAAAGATCAAAGAGGTTGAGTAACTTTCTAAGCTAACATGATGCAGAGCAGTAAGACAGTGGGAAGATGTCAAGATCTGGAACCTAGAATTTGAGTTGTGTCTCCACATCCTGTCATTTCTATCATCTTTCTTGTGTCATTTTTTATCTTTTTGAAATGGAGTCTCTCACTGTCACCCAGGCTGGAGTGCAGTGGCACTATCTCAGCTCATGGCAACCTCTGCCTCCCAGGTTCAAGCAATTCTCCTGCCTCAGCCTCCCGAGTAGCTGGGATTACAGGCGCCCGCCACCAGGCCAGGCAAATTTTTGTATTTTTAGTAGAGACAGGGTTTCATCATGTTGGCCAGGCTGGTCTTGAACACCTGACCTCAAGTGATCCACCCACCTTGGCCTCCCAAAGTGCTAGGATTACAGGCATGAGCCACTGCGCCCCAGCTGCAGTATTTCTGTCTTACAAGTTTATCTCGTAACATCTGTTTGGCATGTCAGGGCTTTCTCTTATTTCTTGGACTGTCAAGGGTACCCCTTCTATTCTAGTCTGATTATAGATTTTTTTATTTCCTTTTTAGACCAGATCCAAAAATTCTAATATTTGAAAATATGAGTGCCTGAAGGAAAGAATAGAATGGAAGAAAGGCAGTACTCAAAGCAATAATAAAGAAATACTCCAGAACAAACAAAAATCCTCAGATTGAAAAGACAAAAGATGAATAAAAAATGAATCACGCAAAACAGTACTGTAAAAATTTCAGAACGCTAAATATAAAGAGAAAATCTGAAAGTCTTGCAGAGAAAGAGATAAAATAAAAACCAATTATCAACTAAGAAAACAGAATGAGATCATCAGACTTTTCTTCAGTAACTCTGAAGCAAAGATGACAGTGAAACAGACATCTCAAAGGTTGTATTCGGCCATTCTTCCATTGCTATAAAACATATATGAGGCTGGGTAATTTATCAAGAAGAGAGGTTTAATTGGCTTACAGTTCTGCAGGCTATACAGGAATCATGGCACCTGCATCTGCTAAGCTTCTGGTGAGGCCTCAGGAAGCTTTTACTCATGGTGGAAGGTAAAGCGGAAGCAGGCACATCACTTGGCAGAGCAGGAGCAAGAGAGAGAGGAAGGAGGTACCGCTCACTTTTAAACAACCAGATCTCATGAGAACTCATTCACTATCCCAAGGACAGCACCAAGCCATGAGGGATCCACCCCCATGACCCAAATACCTTGCATTAGGCCCAACCTCCAACATTAGTGATTACATTTCAACATGAGATTTGGAGGAGACAAATATCCAAACCGTATCAAAGGTCAAAATACAAATATTTCTAAGCTCAGCCAAAGTGTAAGAGCAAATAAACACATTATCACACTATAACATCACTAATCACAAACTTATGTAAACCATTACTGGAGATGTTCTACAGGGGGAAAAAATCTGAGACACAGAAAGAAGATCAAAATAATGGTGACTACTAGAATAAGAATAAACTTAGATCAGTGGAGTGGAATTGAGAATTCAGAAATAAACTCAGGAATTTATAGTCAACTGACATCGACAAGGGCAACAAGAAAATTCAAGGGAGAAAGAGAGCCTTTTCAACAAATGGTGCTGGAGCAACTAGATAGCCACATGCAAAAGAAAGAAGTTGGACACCTACCTCACGCTATACAAATTTTAACTCAAAACAGATCAAAGACCTAAGGGCAAAAGCTAAAATTATAAAACTCTTAATCCAGGCACAGTGTCATATGCCTGTAGTCCCAGCTACTCAGGAGGCTGAGATGAAAGTATCACTTTTGAACCCAGGAGTTTATGACCCACCTGGGCAACATAATAAGACCTTGCCTAAAAAAAAGAGAGAGACAGAGAGAGAAAGAAAGAGAGCGCGAGATAGGAAGGAAGGAAGGAAGGAAGGAAGGAAGGAAGGAAGGAAGGAAGGAAGGAAGGGGAAAGAGAAAGAAAGAAAGAAAGAGAAAGAAAGAAAAAGAGAAAGAAGGAAAGAAAAAGAAAGAAAGACATAAATCTTCATGACATTGGATTAGGCAATTATTTCTTAGCTATGACACCAAAAGTACAAACAACAAAACAAAGAATAATGATAATTTAGACTTCATCAAAATTAAAACTTTTGGCTTCACAGAATATTATTTAAAAATGAAAGACAACACACAGAACAGTAGAAAATATTTGCAAATCATATATCTGATAAAAGATTTGCATCTAGAAGATCTAAAGAGCTCTTACAATGCAATAATAAAAAGAAAAATAATACAACATTTAAAATGGGCAAAAGGGGTGAATAGATATATTTCCAAAGAAGATGTACAAATGGCCAGTGAGCACATGAAAATACGCTCAACATTATTAGTTATTAGAGACATGCAAATCAGAACCACAATGAAATACCACTTCACACCCACTAGGCTGGCTCCAGACAGTAACAAGTGTTGACAACAATGTGGAGAAATTGAATCCTCATGCATTGCTGGTGGGAATTTATAATGGTGCAGCTGCTTTGGAAAAAAGTTTTGCAATGTCTCAAAAGGTAAACATAGCATTACTATGTGACCTAACAATTCCACTCCTAGGTATATCAACAAGACAAATAAAAGCACACATTCACACAAGAACTTGTATACAATGTTTTTAGCAGCATTACTCATAATAACCAAAAAGTAGAAACAGCTCTAATGTTTACCAATAACAAATAGATTTTTTAAATGTAGTATATCCATACAATGGAATATTATTCCCCCATAACAAGGACTGAAGCACTACAATATGGATGAACTTCAAAAAAGTTATGCTAAGTGAAAGCAGCCAGTCACAAAAGGCGACATATTATATGATTCCATTTATATGAAATTTCTAGAATAGGCAAATACATAAAGACAAAAAGTAGATTACTGGTGGCTTAAAGGTAGGGAAAGTTGTGGGAGGAAAAGGATGGGTTTCTTTTAGAAAAGACAAAAGCATTCTAAAATGAAATTGTGTTGATGGTCACAAACTTTTTGAATATACTTTTAAGAACATGAAAATGCACACTTTTAATTAGTGAGCTGTAAGCAGTGTAAATTGTATTTCCATAATGACGTTGTTTTAAATTAGTTTTTAGCCAGGTATGGTAGCTGACACCTGTAATACCAGCACTTTGGGAGGCCAAGGTATGTGGATGGCTTAAGCACAGGAGTTCGAGATCAGCCTGGGCAACATGGTGAAACCTCATCTCTACAACAACAACAACAACAAAAATACAAAAATATAAAAATTAGCCAGGTGTAGTGGCACATTTCTGTAGTCCCAGCTACTCTGGAGGCTGAGATGGGAGAATCACCTGAGGCCAGGGAGTCAAAGCTGCAGTGAGCCATGATCACGCCACTGGACTCCAGCCTAGGCAATGCAGCAAGACCCTGTCTCAAAAATAAATAAATAAAAGAAAGAAATTAGTTTTAAAAAAACTAATCTTCAAAACCATTTTAAAAACAATATGTAGACAGTGTTATAAGCATTGAATTATGCTGAAAAGGCTGTTAATAAACCAAGAACAAGGGGTTAAAAAAAAACTAGTGCAATACCACTAAAGCAGTATTCAGAGAAAAAATTCAGAGGCTTAAATATATTCATTAAAAACCAAAAAGACTAAAAATAAATGAGATAAACTTTCAACTCAAGAAATTAAAGAACAACAAAATAAGCCTCCCCCCCCAAAAAAGCATAACAAAGGAACAAATAAATAGAAATGCAGAAATCAATAAATTTGAAAACACAACTAAAAGAAAAATTCAAAAATTGTTGATCAATTAAACTTAAAGCTTTTCTTTGAAAAGGACAGTAAAATAGGCATAAACATAGCAGGAGGCACTCTTGATGATGTGCTTTTGTTTTCTGTCCTCTAACTGCAACACTCTCTCCAAGTATTATGTTCATTCAAGGTGCCCCTCCCTCAACTCTACAAAACTGATCTGAGAGAGGAGCCTCCCCCGTCTGCTTTTGCCACCAGGCTCAGTGGAGACCAGTTCAGCCATTGTGAGAATTCTCCAACACTACAGTATCTTTTGTTTGTTTGTTTTCTCTTAATGTGGTAAGAACATTTAACATGAGATCTACCCCCTTAACAAATTTTTAAGTGCACCGTACATTGTCACCTCTAGGTAGAATGTTGTATATCAAATCTCTGAGCTTATTCAACTTGTTTAACTGGAACATTATGCCCATTTCTTAGTAACTCCCCTGTTTCCCTTTGCCTCCAGCCCCTGAAAACCACCATTTCTCTCTTTGATTCTATGAATGTGACTATTTCAGATATCTTATATAAGTGGAATCATGCAGTATTTGTCTTTCTTTGACCGGCTTATTTCATTTAGGATAATGTCCTAAAGGTCCATCAATGTCATGCCATATGATAGAAGAAGCAGAATATCCTTCTTTTTCATGGCTGCATAATACTCCATTGTATGCATATACCGTATTTCATATCTTGGCCACTGTGAATAGTGCTGCTATAAACATGGAAGTGCTGATATCTCTTATTACCATGTAACCCAGCCTTCCCACTTCAGGATATGTATCCAAAAGAATCGAAATCAAGATCACAATATCTTGATGATTGTGAAAGGGCACAAACAGGTGGAGGCAAAGATGGTCATTGGGACAGTGGGTGTCATGGATGATTCCCTCATTGTTGAGCCTGCTTCTCCCAAGATTCTGAGGTGAAGCAACAGATATCACAGTAATCTCTGGTGTTGACACAGTCATGAGCCATCATTTTCTGAACTTCACAAAAGAATCTTACAAAAAGTAAAGTGATTATAAAAAATTCATCAAAGACAGACTCAAGAAAACCAAAGCATAAAGAGTAAAACCTTTACAACCAGAGCTGCAGAACAAATCAAGCACATAAGCACATGACACTAAGAATACTTACATTAACAATTGGTAGCACTTACGTGCATCAGACACCATTGTAAGTTCTTCACTTATATTAACTCATTTAATTTTCATAATATTGCACAGTAGGTACTATTATTGGCTCCATTTTCCAAATAAGGACATGGGGCAGAGCACTTAGTTAATTTACTCTAGTTTACAATGCTAGTATGTGTGGGAGTCAAGATTGACATACAAGCCCTCTAGCTCCAGAATCTATATGCTTAGCCACTATAAGTAACCCCAGTAATCTAAACAACAACAAACATGAATCCAGATGGCAGAAGGATATTTTGACTCAATAAATGATTTATTTATGTGTGGCTTTTAAAAAGAAAAATATTCACAAATACGACTAACTATTGTGAATTGATCACATGTCATCATAGCTGGTATTGCTTTTCCTCATTCACAGAACATCAAGATTTAGACATATGAATTGATATAACCTTGAGTTCTATATATTTATTTTGATTTATACTTATTCATAATAGAGGCTTTTTAAAAAATTACACACATCATCCAAAATAAAACATCAACTTTTAAAATGTATGATTTAAAAATATGAAAAATACAGAGATTTTGAAAATAAGGGTAGACCAGGTAAAAATTGGTAGCAAGAAACATAAAATCTATGTAATATGGTTGAATTTCTAAAAACAATATGAATTTCAATATTAGCACAAGAATAAATAAACTTAAATATACCAGTTAACCATAGAATAAGTTAGAAAATTAGTCAAAGTCTAGCTCCTTAAAAAAAGGCACAGGGTCCAAATAGTTTTATAGGTAAATTCTACAAAATTTTCAAGAGACAGGTGCTATAAACAGACATTTTCTAGTCCTGGGGTCAGGAAACAACAGCATAGTTGGCTATTGCCTGCTTTTGTGAAGATTGGAACACACTCTCGGTCATCTGCATACAGCCGATGGCTGCTTTACTGCTACAAGAGCAGAGCTGAGTAGTTGTGACAGACCTGTAAAGCCTAAAATACTTACTGTTACTTTACAGAAGTTTGCCAACTCCTGTCCTACAGAAGAAATACAATGATCAATGAATACAAGTGGTGGCCATAAAAATGCACCACTCAAGCAGGACACGGTGGCTCACACCTGTAATCCCAGCACTTTGGGAGGCCGAGGAGGGCAGATCACGAGGTCAGGAGTTCAAGACCAGCCTGGCTAACATGGTGAAACCGCGTCTCTACTAAAAATACAAAAATTAGCCAGGCGTGGTGGCAGGTGCCTATAATCCCAGCTACTCAGGACCCTGAGGCAGGAGAATTGCTTGAACCTGGGAGGTGGAGATTGCAGTGAGCCAAGATTGTGCCACTGCACTCCAGCCTAGGCGACAGAGCAAGACTCCATCTCAAAAAAAAAGAAAAAAGGAAGAAAGAAAGAAGGAAGGAAGGAAGGAAGGAAGGAAGGAAGGAAGGAAGGAAAAAGGGAGGGAGGGAGGGGAGGGGACAGGAGGGGAGGGGAGGAGGGGAGGGGAGGGGAGAATGCACCACTGAGATCTTTTGCTGTAGGAGTATAATAGACAGACACCCTGACAATCGAAAGCACTCCTGTGTTCACCCCAAGGCCATGCTGCCCAGGGGCTGCTTCAAGCCAGTGACTAAACACAGCAAGGCTATTTATATGGATCCATTCCTGCGAGATATAGGACTCCTCTGAGAGGAGACTTCAGCTCCAGGGCTCCACAGCAGCCTGAGTGAAACATTTAACTGTTGTTGATGTTTGATATCAATTGTTAGTAGAGAAACTGATTTTCTCACATGGACGGGAAATTGAATAGGGCTAGTGATTTCACTTTACCTCATTTTTTGTTAATATTCAGAAGAAGAACCTATTCATATATTATTTTCATGAAGTGTATGTGTGTATGTGTGTGTGTGTGCATGTGTGTGCATGTGCATGTGTGTTTTAAATTGAAGTGGTAGCAATTCTCTTCTTTCTCCCTATGGTCTATTGGGTAATAAATATTTGAGGGTTCACAAATAGTGCGCATCTTATGTATGCACAATCTATAAACTCCTTCAAAGATGAAGGTTGCAAAGAAATTGCATTATCTGGGGGTTCTTGTTCTACTAATTCAACAGAAAATAACTGCTCAGTTATCAGAAAAGAATACATAGGCCAGGTGCAGTGGCTCACGCTTGTAATCCCAGCACTTTGAGAGGCCAAGGCGAGTGGATCACCCAAGGTCAGGAGTTCGAGACCAGCCTGGACAATATAGTGAAACTCCGTCTCTACTAAAAATACAAAAAATTAGCTGGGCGTAGTGGCGGGCGCCTGTAGTCCCAGCTACTTGGGAGGCTGAGGCAGGAGAATGGCGTGAATCCGGGAGGCGGAGCTTGCAGTGAGCCGGGATCCCGCCACTGCACTCCAGCCTGGGCGACAGAGCGAGACTCCGTCTCAAAAAAAAAAAAAAAAAAAAAAAAAAAAAAAAATTAGCTGGGCGTGGTGGTGGGCACCTGTAGTCCCAGCTACTCAGGAGGCTGAGGCAGAAGAATTGCTTGAACCCAGGAGGCGGAGGTTGCAGTGAGCTGAGATCGCACCATTGCACTCCAGCCTGGGCAACAAGAGCGAAACTCCATCCCAAAAAACTTTTTTTAAAAAAAAAGAATGCATAGAGCACCTACTTCCAATAAACTTTCAATAATAAGAGAGGGTTCAGTGAGGATAGATAGATGGATAGATAGATAGATAGATAGATAGATAGATAGATAGATAGATAGACAATATAGATATAGATAGATCGACAAGAAACCCACATATATATATATATAGGCAAGAAACCCATATATATATATATATATATATATTCAGTAATTGTCCAGATGTATCAAAGTACACATTACACTATGGTTTGTAATTTGCTGTCAGTGGCACCCAGACTAAGCATCAGATAGAAGAACTTGCTGTGTTTTCCAAGCGAGTTTTACAAAAGGAAATGACTGGTCATGAGGAGTTGTGAGAACCGAGCTGTCATTCTTTGAATGTGGTAGATGTCTCTGTCCTTGAGACTCATAATTAGATAAAACATTCTGAGAAGACCATGCCTAGAACAAAACCTCATCTAGGCCATATGACAATTCTTTTCCACTCAAGCAGCCTCACTTTCATGGGTCGCATTTACTGAAGATGAGATAGTTTATTTATCTGCCCTCACAATCCATCTGCTCCTGATATCTCTTTAGTGAAGTCTTTTAATATTATGAGGTGCACATCAATTCCTAATGGCAGCAAGAGTCCATGTTTTGACTTCCCTGAAAAACTTTAATAACTCATAGTTAACATCTTGTCAGCCTTAGCACTCTCTTCCATATTAGATCATAGAGCAAACTTGGAGCAGGATTGAATCATGTAAGCAACAATGTCTTCTTAGTGTGTGGGTTCTATGGCTGTAGCTAGCAAACTAAGAGATGGATCACTGATTTGAATCAATTCAAATCCCAGGAGTTGGTGATTCAGGTTCCACTGAAGCCTGGTGTAGGGTCTATAACAGGTGGCCATCTGGGATTGAAGCCAACCCACAGTCTTGGCCCTTTACCCACCCTACCCTGGGTATGCTCAAAATATGCCTGTCCCACCAGGAACCCTTAAGAGCAAGCGTCCTTGGTCAAAGGTCAGCCACAGTACAGAGAAAGAATATCAGCAGAAAGATACACTAGCCCAGTGCACCTGGACAAAGGCATAGCTCACTCCTGTCTCTTAGCACCATAGTCTTACTCTAATCGTGCCTCTAGATTCCAAGGGTTAGTCTGCCTCTACCAGGGAGAACTGGCATTCCTCCCTTGCTTTATGCAAACACGACTTTATCGTTCGTGCATTTGTTTGATGTAATAATGGCAAACATTTGTTGAACCCTACCATAGCCAAGCAGTTTTCACTTGCATTCTTATTTAACCCTTACAGCTACTGTACCCCATGAGACAGGCATTACTTTTGCTCCCATTTTACTGCTGATAAACAGGAGATTTAGAAAGCTACTTTGGCCAAGATCACACGGCTTGACAATGGTGAACCAGGACTTAGGGCTAAATCTCTCTGATTCCAAAGCCCAAGCTACTGGATGGACTACTACATAATATGGCCCCAAATGTGTTAGTGCCACGAGCTGGTCATCTAACAACACTTAAGATTGTTTCTGACAAATCCAGTTTCATAGAAATTTGAGAATATTTTTAAACTGGTATGCAGCCATCCATATATTTATTCATTCAAGAAACATTTGTTGAGGGTCTACTATGTCTCATCCCAGATGCAGCCAAGTTTCAAATATTAGGAAGATACTATATCTTAGGAACTCACAGGCTAGTAAGGGAACAGAAACACGAATAACCATAACACAATAAGATAGAAGGACAACAATGAGAATACATCAACAGGTTCCCTTCTTTACAGACTTTTCCTATTTCTCAGCCTTTATTTAGATCATGTATTCTTTGGTAATTTTCCTAACTACAATTTTGCAACTCACAAAGAAATTTTGTTATATGCTCTCCCTCACATAAAAAAACAGATTTGTTAAAGCATCAATAATTTAATAATTCTTCCTCAAACATTTGATCATGATAGCTAATATATTTCTGTTTATTTTTTAAACTTATTTTTTATTTACACAATGCTCAGATTAATTTAAATCTCTCAAACATTATTACCTTAAAAACTGTTCTGGGAGGAAATATTTGCAGAAGACATATCTGATAATGGACCATTATCCAAAATATACAAAGAACCCTTAAAAGTCAACAACAAGAAAATGAACAATCTAATTTTAAAATGAGCAAAAGATCTGAACAGACACTTTGCCAGAGAAGATATACAGATGGCAGTTAAGCATATAGAAAGATGCTGAACATCAAATGTCATTAGGAAACTGAAAATTAAAGCAATAATGAGATACAAACACATACCTATTAGAATGATCAAAGTCCAAAGCAACACCAAATGCTGCCAAGGATGTGGAGCAACAAGAACTCTCATTCATTGTTGGTGGAAATGTCCCTTTAGGAGACAGTTTGGCAGTTTCTTACAAAACTAAATATACTCTTACCATACGATCCAGTAGTCATGCTTCTGAATTTACCCACGAGTTGAAAACTATGTCCACACAAAAAGCACGAAAATGTTTAAAGCAGTTTTATTCATAATTGCCTCATTTTGGAAGCACCTAAAATGTCCTACCATGGGCAAAAGGATAAATAAATGGTGGTGCATCCAGACAATCGAATATGATTCAGCCTTAAAAAGAAATGAGCAGCCAAACCGTGAAAAGATACGGAGGAAACTTAATTGCATATTGCTAAGGGAAAGAAGCCAATCTGAAAACGCCACATACTGTGTGATTCCAACTACATGACATTCTTTAAAAGGCAAAACTGTGGAGAGTAAAAGGATCACTGGTTGTCAGGGGTAGGAGGGGGAGAGGGATGATGAGGCAGCACACAAAGAATTTTTAGGGCAGTGACACTACTCTGTATGATACTATAATGGTGGATACATGTTATGATACATTTGCCAAAACTCACAGAATTTCCAACATTAAAAGTGAACCCTAATGTAAACTATGCACTTTGGTGTGTCACTGTAGGTCCATCAGTTGTCACAAATGTGCCACTCTGGTGCAGGATTTTGACAGGAGAGGCTGCGCATATGTGGAGGGAGGGAGTATGAGGGAGATCTCTGTACATTTCACTTGGTTTTGCTCTGAACCAAAAACCGCTCCAAAATATAAAGTTTATTTTTTAAAAACTGCTCATTCCAAATTGATTTCTTATCTATTCTAGCCTCTAATCATGTACTGAATGTATTTTTCCTTGAAGATCTATAATCTTCTCCAATGTCCAAACCACTCAATTCATTTCATCTAATGCAATGAACAAAAAGCAATTCAGGAAAGGGAAGCTGAGTCGGTGGGACACAGCAGTGCTGGTGCATGTACCAAAGCCATCCCACAAAGCAAGGAGATGCTTCATGTCAGATATATTCTGCAGCTACAGTGCAAACAGGCCCATATCCCTTCTAATACAGTCCGGTTCAATACTGTCTAGTCAAGCTCTCAGAGCTCTCTTAAAATAACCTGAATCCCTACTCCACTCTTCTTACTAACCACATGTTTTGGAAAAAAACACCATTAGGGTGCAACTGGCACTGACATTTTCCAAATAAAACATTTATTGCTAAAAATATAATTCGTCTTGTTTTTCTCTTGTAAACACTAGTTTTGCTGGCAAATAGAAATAAGAGTTGCAATTATTGTGGTGAAGCGGTTGGAGTGCCTGTGGGTTTTTTTTTTCTTCCTTTCTTTCTTTTTTTCACATTTCCACAGGCCAACAGCTGCAGTGCTGGCTTTCCCAGCAGCCAGGACTCCTGAAAACTCCCTAGGTTTCTTCTGATGGACTTCCTGGCAACAAGGCATGGGCCCCTGATGCAGATATGCTACTTTGAGCTCATTGAAAGCTCTACTGTTTTCCCACAACTGTTCATTTGCCATTGGTATGATAGCATCCGTGCTAAATTTTTATTTTGGTATAAGGTTATGTCTCACACTATTTTATGGAGGGTGTTTCAGCCATCTACTGCTACGCAGCAAACCACCCCAAAAAGTCAGTGGCTTAAAACAACAATAATGCATTGTTTGTCATGATCCTGTGGGTCGACTGGGCAGTTCTGTTCATAACTGGAGTCCCTTATGTGGTTGCATTCAGCTGAAAAATTGGCTCAGGGGTGGGCTCCAGTGGGATGCTGGGATGACCAGCCTCTTACTGCATGTGGTCTTAGGATCTCTCTTCAAGACTAGCCCAGTCTTCTCTTCTTGCATGGCATCTGCATTCCACAGGGCAAGCCCCAGTGTGCAAGGGCTTACCAAGCCTCTGCCTGCAGCACACTTGCCAATGTCCCATTGCCCAAAGCCAGTCAGTTGGCCAAGCCCAGAGTCAGTGTGGGTTGGGGAAGGATTGCAAAAGGACATCAATACTGGAAGGTATGACTCACTGAAGACCATCCAACAGTCTATCCCAGAGGGAGGAAAAGATAAGTATTTGATTACAGTGATTTAGTCTAGAGATAAAGCCATTAAATATGAATACATGATGATTGGACCTATTAAGGGCCTCATATTAATATTAATAATAACTTATACATATTGATTTGATAATATGCTGGGCACAGGACTAAACTTTTCATATCTATGATTTTACTTACCCCTCCGACCAACTATAGGAGATTAGGACCATTGTTAACCTTCATTTTCTAGATGAGAGAACCAATGCCCAGAGGTAGAAGCAAACAGCCAAAGTGGGGTTCAGATTAGAGGCCAGTGAGTACACCTAGAAATTCCATGCCCTTAATACCCATGTTATCAGACTCCTATGCAGAATGGCATAGAGGTCCCCACTGTAGTGAAAGAGGCATGGCTTTAAAAATTCAGCTTTAACATTCAATTGAAGCCAATCAGCCTGATCCCCAAACCAGGAAGTCGGAGTGAACTCCCACAAACACAAAGCTCTCTGTTTGGCAGGCGTCTTTCCTCCTCAGCCAACTCACCTGGACTTCTGAGTCAGTGGCAGACGCCTAGGTACAGAGCAGTTCCCACTCCCGTGTAGGACAGGGCACAACCTGGTCAGATACCCAGCTTCAGGCCTGACAATGGGCCCCTCCAAAGAAGAGGCAGAATAGCATGGGAGAGAGAGAGCACAGCAGGGTCAGACCAGCCAGTGGTGGGTTAGGGGAAGATTCAATTACATAGAGCTTACAGTGTGCTCAAACACACCCTGGTGCATAAATAAATGGTGACTATTATCATTAAGATTATGGTTAGGGGAAGATTAAATTACATAAAGCTTACAAAGTTTTCAACACAGTCTCTGGTGCATAAATAAATGGTGACTATTATGAAGATTACGATGAAGTGGTTTGCAGAACTGTTTTGGAAACTGCCGTTTTCCTGTAACTCATCACACACTCTGAAAGAATCACACAGAGGATTCTACCATCTCTGCGAAGGACATCATTGCCAGCTTCTAAGGACTATTAGCAGAACCATGCGGACTATATATTGGCTTACATATAAGAAACCATAAAAAAAAAATTTAAATAAGCTAATTAGCATTAAAAAAGTGATTCTCAAAAGTGTGCAACCATGTTCCCCAAAGTCACAAATTATATCCTGTCAGTAGGTACAAATGTCAGCTCAACCTCTGCACTGAGGGTAACCAGATTGCATGGGTGAAGAATCACATTGAATTGGGTTCCTTTTAGTCCTAGTATTTTACTTAATTTTGTGTATTTTTGCTAAAAGAGAAAAAATTTGAAAACAAATATTAAGAGTCAAGTGTTTAAAGAGGCATGAACGTTTTGCAGATCTTTTTCACATATTTTACAAGTTTGGCATTTTTCACATTGCTACAACCATACACAATCAAAGTGTCATAAACATGACCGGCACTTGCGTTAAGTTTATAGAGGTGTTTAGGGAAGTGTTTTAGGTTACTTACTGTCTTAGCTCAGGCTGCCATAACAAAATACTATAAAATGGGTGGTTTAAACAACAGAAATTTTCTTCTTACAGTGCTGGAGACTAGAAGTCCAAAATCAAGGTGCCAGCGTGGTTGGGTTCTGGTGCTCTCTCTTCCTGGCGTGCAGAGACATAGATGCCTTCTTGCTGTCTCCTTACAGTAGAGAGAGCGCAAGCTCTCCAGTCTCTTCCTCTTCCTATAAGGGCACTAATTTCATCATGTGGGCTCTTCCTAACGACTTCCTCTAAACCTAATTACCTTCAAAAGGCCCCACCTTCAAATACCATCACATCTAGGTTAGGACTTCAACATATGAACTTTGGGGAAACATATTCTTTCCTTAACACAAATTCTTCCGGTTTCCTTAAATGCAATCACAACCAAAAGAAAACCATAAAAGATATGAAACCAAAATAATGCCCACAAATCATCTGTTCAATTCTCTGTTGCTTTTAGATATCAGGGTCCTAAAAAGAGGAAAATATGGCTAAGGAAGAGATGAAATGGGCAGCTGAAGGACCCATTAGAAGGTCTCTTTTTTCCAAAAGATAAAAATTACCGTCTTGCTAATAAAGTTTGTGTTGAGGGGTTTTGTTTTGACTTATATTCACCTTGAACAAATAATGAAAGCAACAGAGACATCCTGGAACAGTAGGAAAAGTAGGAGGTGTGAGTCATCCAAAATTGAATGTGAATTCCATGCTTTCACTTTCTAGTTTAATGACCTTGGGTGAATCCCTTTTAATCTCTTTAAGCCTTTCTCCCTCATCTACAAAAAGGAAAATCATAATTTCTTCATTAAGAGCTATTGTAAGGACTACACGAGTGATTGTGCATGGAAATGCTTGGTGTACTATTTGGCACAGATGAAACATGTGTTAAACGTTTCTTTGTTCTGCCTTCTCAATGGGCTTTTCTTTTTTGAAACCAATTACCTTCCAACCAGCACTGCATCAGGAAAAAAGTTCTCATTGAAAGCCCCAGTTATTGGTAAATATAAGCTTTTACCTAAAAGCTCTACATGAAGAAATTAAAGTCTTAACAAATGTTAACAGTGTAATTAACAATTGCTTTTCAAACATGGGGCAGGTGAATGAGTCATGCTTCTCACATTCAATATATACCCCCATGCTCTCAGAATGAATCATTAGTTTTACACCTACATGCAAAACCAGGAACTGGACTAAAGCCAACTAATATTTTTCAGGAGTACAACAGTTGCTTCTAAAGGCACACCATAGTGCATTTGCCATCAAAACTCCCTCGTGGGCTTAATCCATCCTCTAGTAAAAGGTACAAGGTATAGACTGGTCAACATTTCCCTCAGTTTTCCTACTAGGTAGGTGTCAATCCGGTCATTACAACACAGAACTATCACAACGCTCTCATTTACAAACAAATAAACTGCTGGTCCATGGACTAGAAGCTACTTTTGATCCTCAGTTCACTATGCAGTTTATCATATCACTGAGTCCCTTCTGTGAGCAGCCTTGAATTCTTTCTGTCAATTCAGGACAGGGGAAGGAATAGTATAAAATAGTATCGTAGATATTGTGGATTGGCACTCAACATCCATTTCTCCCTTCTTGTTGTGAAGTGTTTTTCCAAACTGCCAGTTATCGTCCATTAGTCCATCACGAAACCAACTTAGTGGGTCAAGACCAGCATTTCTTAATGGAATGAAATAGCATGGAATAGCATAGCACTGCTCAGCATAGACTAGAATTGAAACCATCAGGGTGCCTCAACTGTCTTGTGAATCTTTTATTTCAGGTAGATGCGTATGTGACTGTATGTATGTGTGAGGAAAATGATTCTACAGTAGAATATGTCAGAACTTTTGGAAAACACTCTTCCAGCATGCCTTTCTGTACCTCCATCATTGGGAAGCTGAATGCTATGATTCCAGGAATCCCTTGAGAAAGGATTCCAGATGTGATTTGGATTTAGCCATTAGATGCCCGAGTGTGAGATGTGGACGATGGCAGTGGTCACACCTCTACTGCCACAGCTATTTCTGATGGATGCTCTTGGACTTCTGTGGCATCATTAGCAGAGGATGCAGAATATGGTCACTATTCTGTGGTTCCTGAGAGGCAGGGTAAAAGGCACACATTTTGTGGTCCAGATAGCAGCAGGTGCAGTAGGGTTCTAGAATTAGCAGTAGGAGGGAAGGCACCCTGAAAGCGGTGGCTTCAGGATTAGGGTCGTATCAATGCAATTCTGCATCCACCTAGGCGTAGCAGCAGCAGCTCTCTTGGTGGTTTAGTTCTGTGGTGGGCCTTTGGGAATTTCTGTGGAAAGCTCAACCTCAAGTTCATTTCTTCAGCCCTCACATGATTCTGTAAGCCACCTAGTACCCTATAATAAATCCCTTCTTAGGCCGGGTGAGGTGGCTCATGCCAGCACTTTGGGAGGCTGAGGCAGGTGGGTCATCTGAGGTCAGCAGATTGAGACCAGCCTGACCTGACCAATACGGTGAAACCCTGTCTCTACTAAAAGTACAAAATTACCTGGGCATAGTGGTGCATGACTGTAATCCCAGCTACTTGGGAGGCTGAGGCAGGAGAATCACGTGAACCTGCGAGGTGGAGCCTGCAGTGAACCGAGATCATGCCATTGCACTCCAGCCTGGGCAACAAGAGCGAAACTCTGTCTCAAAAAAACATAAAAAA
This sequence comes from Homo sapiens, assembly GCF_000001405.40. Classification (NCBI taxonomy): domain Eukaryota; kingdom Metazoa; phylum Chordata; class Mammalia; order Primates; family Hominidae; genus Homo; species Homo sapiens. The sequence goes on along the minus strand of NC_000006.12, from coordinate 151,626,336 downwards.
TAAAAATAAATAAATCCCTTATTGCTTAAGCCACTAGGAGTAGCACCTATTCTGGTACTGTACCCTGTTGCAATTAACAGGAAAGAAAAAACTAAATATTTTTCTGGTACTCAACATTATACTGGAACTCAGTTATAAATTTCTATTGGATAATTCTGAAAAGAAGCTGAAAACTGAACACAGATATTTTGGGGTTTATTTTGTTGTTTTTGGGTTTTGTGACTCCTCTAGCACCAAGTGATCAAAAAGTACTTATGACTGACAGATTGATAAAACCATATGATGGAAGTCACAAAAATGGCTGAGTATCTTCATAACCAATTGCAGAGAGAAGGAATTAATCTGTTGTAGGTTTTCTGGAAGACTCTGAGATGGAGATTTGGATGCAGAAGTTTAGTCGAATCGCACACTCAGGAGCTAAACCTGCAAGAAAGTAAAAGAGCAGGATGGGGAGGGACTGGCTGCCCTGACATGCAGTTGCAACAGAGGCCTCCCCAATCTTACAAGAAAGGAGGGGTTTGGAAACTGAGATGACCCTTCAGAGTGGTCCTGCATGGAGGGAAAAGGGCCATGGCTGTGTACCCCTTCACTGGCTAGCCACTGGATGAGAGTTGCCCTTGGAAAGGGTCTGCGACCCAGGATGAGATAGCTCCCTTCATCCAAGGGCAAGAACTTGGAAGGGACCCAGATGTGGCTTGTCAGAAGTCATTTGCTCTGGGCAGCTAGAGAACAAGTGCTTCAGTCCTACAGCAGGACTGGGGTACACCACGACATCTGCTGCTGAGCACAGACAAGCATTCCTCTTTATCATTTCTTTATAGCTTCCTAAATGCCTTGGGAAGACATTCACAGTCCTATAGGAAAACTGGAAAGGTGTTGTTCTGAGTATGTAAATGACTTTCAGCATGGTAGCAACAACAAAACCCCTCTTCCACTTAGCAATACTCCAGCTACGCGTGATTTTCTGATAGAACATAGTGAGTCTGGAGCCAGAGAGCATGAGTCCAGGCTTTGACCCTATTTTCAATTTCCAGATCAACAGCGGGTGCAATCTCTCCTTTTATATTTATTGTTCGTTACCACTTGAATAGTGGCTTTTTTTTATACTACCTCTTCCCTACTTTCTGCTAAGTCAAGAATTAACCACAGGATTACCCAAGGGATTGCAGGGAAAGTAGCTTTGTGAAATGGAAAGTTCATGGGACCAGGAGTTAGGAAACCTGGAGCCTGTTCTCAGTTCGGCTAATTCATTCATTCTCTCTCGCGCTCTCTCTCTCTTTCTCTTTCTCTTTCTCTTTCTCTCTCTCTCTCTTTCTCTCACTCTTTCTTTCTTCATTTCCTAGGAATAACCATGCCTGCCCTATCAGAATTATTGTGGAGATCAAAAAAAGTAATGTATGTGAGAACATTGTAGTAAGAGTTATAATACATCTGTAAGCTATTATCATTATTGGTCACCTGCCCACTTTGTAATTACGTAAATTATGCATTGAGAATCCATTCAAATCTCTATACAGATAATGGTTAAAAGTCCTGGTCCATAAAGAGAGGAGGATCCAATCCACCTGAATATTCAAACTCCATTCTATCAGCTGATTCAGTCAGACATTCAACAAATGCTCACCAACTATGGGCCAAGCACTAGACATGTGATGAACAAGCCTACAGGAGGCAGCGTGGCTCGATGTGAATCATGTGGACTTTGAAGTAACACAGAGTAGATTTCTATTTTACCTTAGGTGGCTGTAAGCTTCATTTCTCCGAGTCTCAGGGTTTCTTTGTCCACAAAAGGAGATGCTACTATGGGAAGTTGTTGTAAATAAGCGTTGGTCTAGCTACACACAAGATGCCATGGAAACCCCCAGTTGGGTTACCTACCCCAGCCTTAGGATATCAGAGAAAACCCTCTTGTGCCTTCAAACTGAGTCCCTTGTGTTCTCATCATTCAGCTCTCATTTATAAGTGAGAACATGCAGTGTTTAGTTTTCTGTTTCTGTGTTAGTTTGCTGAGGACGATGGTTTCCAGCTCCACCCACATCCCTGCAAAGGACATGATCTCACTCCTTTTTATGGCTGCATAGTATTCCATGGTGTATATGTACCACATTTTCTTTACCCAGTTTTTCACTGATGGGCATTTGGGTTGATACCATGCCTTTGAAGATAAGCACTTTAAAAGTAACACAGATTTGCTCACAAAAATGAGAACACTGGAAGAATGAAGAAAAAAGCCAGGTTGAACGGATGATGGCATGAATAAAAGGTGAGACCAGAAAGACAGCATATACAGGACACTTCCAAGGGGCTCAACTGGGGAGAAGAAGACAGAGGTAGGGCTCTGAGGAGAAGTTGCTGTGGAGTAGAGAGAGGGATGTCTTTGAGATGAGAGAGATTTGAACATTTTTAAATGCTGATGGAAATAAGTCATTTATGAAGGTGAGGTTGACAACACTGGAAAGAGAGGAAAACAATTGATGGGGCTAAGTTGCTGTGGATGCAAGTGCCCAGGTAGAGAAAATAGCTGAGACAGGGAGAGGCAAGGAGGGAAGGGGGGGTGTGGACACATATAAGGCTGTATTAGGATGTGATATTGAAGGTGTTTCCTATAATGACTTCTATTTACTGGGTGAAATAGGAGATGAGATTGTCTGCTGAGGGTGAAGAGGGAAGACACAGGATGAGAGCCTCAAAGGAAAAAAGAATATTTGCAAAAATCATTTTGGAAAATAACAGTGAGATGTAACAGGGAAAACAGTGCAGCTTTACCAGTTAGGACAGGAGGCTCAGATAAGATCAAAAACCATGAATTTGGGATGCCACTTAGCTGTGATTTCATGTGATTTTCTCCAGCTTCATTCAGTGGGGCAGGAAAAGCAGCAGAAACATTGATAGTTGGGAGTAATTCAAAGTCGAGGACAGAAGGGCAAGGGAACAACGAGTTAAAGGTGTTAGGAAGAGAATGATTGAAGAAATGAACCTTAATATCTAGGCTGGCTCCAGATGGAACGAGGATGGGCAAGACTGGGAGGGAGAAAATAGGAGGACCAGGGAAACGCAAAGGCTCAAAGGCTCAAAGCACAGCTATTTGGGAGTAAGAGATAAAGGTTTGGGATGGTAAGAGGTTGTAGAGCTTTTTAGTTAAGATTTCAGAGATGCATAAGTTCTAGGTGTTAGTCCTGACAGGCCACGTGTCACAGAAGTGTGTGTGTGTGTGTGTGTGTGTGTGTGTGTGTGTGTGTGTGTGTGTGTCTCACCAGCTGCCCTTCCTTTGGGGAACTTTCCCTCTGTCATTACATGTGGTCCTGGTTGAACAGGTAATCCTAGAGCGTCACCCGACCCCAACCTCACTAACAGTGGTTGGCATGGAATGCAGGCTGGTGAGTGAGTTCATCCACCTGGCTACAGTGATTGGTTCAAGGATACGTATATGACCTGGAAGAGATGATCAGCCTCTCGGCTAATATTTTTGGCATGGACACTTGGAGACAGGGGGTGTCTCTTTTTCTCGACTCATGGTGGGTTTTTTTGGTTTTGTTTGTTTGTTTTGTTCTGTTTTTTTGCCCAGAATGGTCTTGAACTCTTGAGCTCAAGCAATCCGCCCTTCTCAGCCTTCCAAAGTGCTGAGATTACAGGTGTGAGCCACGTGCCTGACCACATGAGTTGTAACAATCATGCAACTGCTTGTGATCATCTCTTCTGGTAGCATGGAGGAACCCATGTGCGGAAGGAAAAAGTCAGGCCAACATGCAAAGACAAGCAAAATCAAGTCAACATGAGAGATGGATAGAAGCAGAAAGAATTCAGACACCAATTCTGAACCCCTGGATCTAACAAAGCTGAAGCTAGTCTACCCCTGAATCTTTCAAGCAAGCCCCCAAAATTCTCCTTTCAGCTTAAGGTAGTCTAAATTGGATTACTATAAGCTGCAGTCTAGGATGTGAGTGGCTGAAACAACAGGAGGTAAAAGTATGGGCACTGAGAAGGCCAAGGAACTAAAGATATAGGCCAGGTGTGGTGGGTCATGCCTGTAATCCTGGCACTTTGGGAGGCCGAGGCAGGCAGATCACCAGGTCAAGAGATCGAGACCATCCTGGCCAACATGGTGAAACTCCATCTCTACTAAAAATACAAAAATTAGCCGGGAATGGTGGCACGTGCCTGTAGTCCCAGTTGCTCGGGAGGCTGAGGCAGGAGAATCGCTTGAACCCAGGAGGCGGAGGTTGCAGTGAGCCAAGATCGCACCACTGCACTCCAGCCTGGTGACACAGTGAGACTCTGTCTCAAAAAAGAAAAAAAAAAAAAAAAAGGTATGATGTCACATGAGTTGGCTTTATGGGCATTAAAGCTACCCAAGATGAAGGCAGCACCCGGTGGGGGTAGTGAAGACACCTATGAACCACTTGCAAAAGTCTAAAGCAGGGAGAATAGATAGGCTTTTAGTAGGTAACCCCAATGAGGTCTAGAAGAAAGTTATCCATCTATCAGCTAGCAGGAGCCTCAAATGAACCATGTGTTTATACAAAGGCAGAGGAATACGGTATGGAAGCACATAGCGGAAAGAGAAGCATACAGACCCCACTTGCTAATGAGAAGCTAAGTGAAGTGTCCAATAATGTGGATAAAATCACTACTGCATCAACTGGGTGAGACTTTCCAAGCCAAAGGCTACATAACCATGAAATGCTTCCCCAGTTAAAATGAGACTCCATTTCTGAGTCGTAAGTATTATGACAATATCAATAATGTAGATTTCTTTAACAGCTTCAGCCTGCCACCCCTGGACCTTGAATCACTTGCTGTTAACCTGTAAAACAGACTGTAAGGTAAAACTGGAAATTTTAGATAGGTCAAGCTTAAATTGTTTTCCCTAAATGAGATGTTTTTATGCATCGATTTAGATGTCTCAGACAGTGACCAGAATAATAACCTCAGTGCAAAATCACTATCACTCAAGTGTATTTGACAGAAGAGTTAGTATTAAATATTTTAAAGCCTTATGTAAAAATCATATCAACCTAGTGCATTTTATTGGACAGCATAAAATATACATGGATATTATAGAAGAACAAAATCTAACCTAAAAATTCAAAGCTGGCCTGCCAACTCTGGAATGATTGCCATAAAGGGAAATCCAACAACCAACTGGCATTTTAACAAAGAAGAAAATGGCTTTATTAAAAGTTTTCAATTTGTCCAAATGACAAACACTTAATGTGTATATGGACTGTATACATGTACAGAATTTATTGTTCCCATTTCATATACCCTTTTCATTAGAAGTCCCTAAAGATCATATTCAAACATTTTTCATATTTCTGAGTATGTTAAAGATCACTGTAGATCATTCTGTGTATGTTAAAGATCACTAGAGTCACACAGTGGAAATATTATATAAACATATATTTGGATAAATGGAATGTAATTTCATGTAATAAACAGAAATTACAGTACTAACCACTATGGATCATTTTTAGTCTCTTACATGAATCCTGATATAAAATTAATGATATCAAATCAAAAATGAAAAAAAAATTTCATGTTTTTAAAATATTATTTAAAATATCTTTGAATAGCGTAGAAAATAAATTTCCCAAGAAACTAAATCAAGTTTATTAAAGATTATATTTGGAAAATGAAAACAAAGAGAATGTACAAAAACAATCTCCACTCTCATACACCCACATCCACCCATAACTGCATTTATGGGTGCATGATTCAGGGTGGGGCAGAGCCACTCAAGCTCCGAGAGCCTCCAGAGACCCAGTGAAGTCACTTCCTCCACTCAAGGTGATTTTCGATCCAAAACAGCAGACACTACTACATCTTTGGAGCATGTGAAAAGGGGTTGGTGGGGAAAACTGCAGGCCTCCCCTAGAGGAAATTCAAGACTGCCTGTCCTGCCTCTGGCCAGCCTAGTGACCTCAGCCAGGGCTGCGCAGGTGTGTTTACTCACATGCAAAATACTACTTATACTGTCCTTGCACATGAAGGAGATAGCTAGGCAGGGATGCCCGCTCCACAAGCAAAGCCTGGTCACTCTCCCTCTGTGTGGTCTGTCATCCAACCAACAGGTGTCAAATTCATTCGCTTTCTTTTAGGTTTTTCTGTTTCTTTCTTTCTCTCTTTCTTCTTTTTTTTTTTTTTTTTGGAATCATCCATTCTACATTTATTGGTAGTTTTCCTAAAAGAAGATCTTCACTATTTTTTCCCATTTTATCACTTATTGTCTGTAGCACTGTGGATTCTCAGATTTTTAGTTATTTAAAGTATAACAATCAGTGCATTTGTCAAGCTTAAAAAATTAAAAATATTTTAATATAATCTAGGACTTAGTCCACATTCAAATTTTTACAATTATTGCAAGAATATTTTATGCTTTTTTTCATTCAAACCAAGATCCAATCTAGTTTTGACCCTTGCAATTGATTGTTTCATCTCTTTAATTTCTTTTAGTCTAGAAGAAAGAAGCCAATAATTTGCTTATTATGACTTTGACTTTTTGTTGTTGTTGTTTTTTGAGACAAGGTCTCTCTCTGTTGCCCAGGCTGGAGTGCAGTAGCGCGATCTCGGCTCATTGCAACCTCCGCCTCCCAGGTTCAAGCAATTTTCGTGTCTCAGCCTCTCGAGTAGCTGGGATTACAGGCATATGCCAACATACCGGGCTCATTTTTGTATTTTTTGCAGAGACGGAGTTTTGCCATGTTGGCCAGGCTGACTTTGACTTTTTGATGACTCACGAACGGTTGGTTGTATATTTTTCATTTTCTCCTAATGTTCGGGTGCACCAGATCTATTTCTTTCCCTTTCCTTTAATTTCATGCTAGAGCTTCTTTTAAGGACAATAAAAAAATACATCTTATATGATAGAAATAAGATAAATTGTCCAAAAGAGTAACACATTTTTCTCAGTGAAGTTAAGAATATGATTCCCTGAAAAATTTGTAAAATAGAAATTTAAATGGAAAACAGAAAGTGACAGGAATTCATAATAAAATCCTGATCTTAAAAAGGTACCATTGCTGTGGGTGTATTGGATATATTGGTGAATAAGACTATATAGGATTTCTTCATCTTATAGGGTTGGGCTCCAAATAAAGCTTTCCATTTTAAAGGACTGAGACCAGCCCTGCTGAAACATTAACAATTACCACCAGATATAATCTGGTAGCAACAGTTAGAACAGGCAAGTTTCTTACAGGACCTGAGACCTATGTAAGTTTGATCCAAATGAATTAGGTATATTGCTTTTGCTTTTTGAAGAAATCATATAGCTTACACTTGTAAATCTGTCATTTTTGGACATTAACTTTTTTTTTTTTTTTTTTTTTTTTTTTCTGAGATGTAGTTTCACTCTGTCGCCCAGGCTGGAGTGCAGTGGCACAATCTTGGCTCACTGCCGCCTCCGTCTCCTGGGTTCAAGTGCTTCTCCTGCTGAGTAGTTGGGATTACAGTCATGCACCACCACACCTGGCTTATTTTTGTATTTTTAGTAGAAACAGGGTCTCACTATGTTAGCCAGGCTGGTCTTAAACTCCTGACCTCAAATGATATGCCTGCCTTGGACTCCCAAAGTGCTGGGATTACAGGCATGAACCACTGTGACCAGCCCGGACATTAACTCACGATGGCAGGGTTATTGTCCTTCCTCTATGCAAACAATTCCCACCAGCATCACAGAGATTCAGGAGAAACAGATTCTGCATAGCAGGAGAAGAGGTATGGCTTTTGAGGCAGGGCCAATGAGTTGTCCATCCTGGTCCCACCACTACCCAACTGCAACCTTGGATAGGTAACTTTATGTCTGAGCCCCAGAAAGGTTGTAAATTAAAAATGTCACAGCTTCTCCACATGGTTATTGTGAGAACTAAATCGGCTAGTAAAGCCCCTGACTTAAAATAGATACCTCCCAATATTATCTCCCACTCCCATTTCCCAATCTAACTCATGCAATCTGGTGGAATTCTTCTGGATCCTAAAATGCTAGTAAATGAAATAATAGGCGTTTTTAATGCTGAACGTTTATCTAAGGCTGACACTTTTGAGATCGTTTTTGCAAGTGATGCATTCTCACTATATCATCAAAGCATAAAATATTCACAAACTGATCAAATCTCAAAGACATGAGGAATTTGTGAAATTGGGAATTGTGTGCCATGTCTTATGGCCACCTCTCTCAAGAGATACAGTGTTCAATGAAGAAGCTGTAAATGGCCTTGTGGGTGCCTCTCTTGCCCAGTAGTCACATCTTTGAGGCAGGCACAGGTAACAAAGTGATGCTGATGTGAATGGACCAATCTTTCAAGACACTTGATGATTTCATAATCAGGAAGAGCAAGGCTGGTCACGTTCAAGCCTAGCATCTGCGACACCACCTCCCTGAAGTCTGCCAGCTGCAATATCAAACAGAAACTCATTAACTGGGAGAACAAAATGTATCAACTACTGCTGAGCCAAATGCAACAAACAAAAAACCTGTAGAAAACCCAGGTTTGCATGAGGTAGGGAAATTATCTACTCTCTTCCTAGTTCTCTCACTTATAAAATACCAGATTCCAGATAAGTCACATCAACTGCCAACCTTCAGAGATTTCACAATCACTTTTCTGATGAGCCAACTGATGTGGTATTGGCTACTAAGTCAAGAATCCAAGTTAAGTAACCATGAATGAGACCCAGACCTCACTAAGCCTTCATTTTCTCATCTCCAGGTTGGGATTAACCATACACCTACGTCGAAGGGCTGCCCTGAAATTCAGATCACATGAAATGGTGACTGTGTGTGTGCTCTGCATACTAGGAAGAACTAAACAAATGTTGGTGGGGTTGTGCCCATGGATGGTAAACATGCTTTGGGATTTTAGCTGGCTGATAACCTCTTACACTAAAAAAAAAAAAAAAAAAAAAAAAAAAAAAAAAAAAAAAAAAAAAGAACAAACAGCAAGAAAGTATAAGCTAATGAAAACAGGAGGACTTCTAAATTACTATCAAGTCATGTCACACAGATTGCCATTTCACAAGCCATATTCCATGGGACTGCTCTGGGACTTCTATTTGTCCATTGAAGAAAGAAAAGTAGGGGCTGGGGACAATGGTTGAAATATGCCTCATATCCCTTCAAATTCTCATAGGCTGGTTTCTGTGGTTCTAGGTTAATGCAAAAGCAGATAAATCAGGGCATCTGGCCAACACCTCATTAAAGGCACCCTCCATTTTAGAAAAGGGATGATCCAAACTGAATACAGTTACATCCAAGAGAATGCCACCCAAACAGTCCCACCCCAGGCTCATTTGCTCTGCAACCCGCTTCCCTTGCAGAGTCCAATTTGGGAATGGTTTTTAGCTATTACAGTTTGAATTTTATGACCCCTCAAAATTCTTATGTTGAAATCTAATGACCAATGTGAAGCTATTAGGAGGTGGGGCCTTTGGTGGGTGATTAGATCATGAGGGTGGAGCCCTCATGAATAAGATTAGTGCCCTTATAAAAGAGGCCCCGGAGAGCTGCCTTGCTCCTTCCACCATGTGAGGACACAGCAAGAAGGGGCTGACTCTGAACCAGGAAGCTGTGCTGTGCTCACCAGACACTTTGATCTTGGACTTCTCAGCCTCCAGAACTGTGAGAAAGAGATTTCTATTATTTATAAGCCACCCAGTAGATGGTACTTTGTTACAGCAGCCTGAAAGGACTAAGACACCGACCTAGTCTCCCTGATGAAAAAGTTTCTCTCAGACTTCTACCCTTTCCAATGTGGCCAAAGCTTTTCATTCCGAAGAAGTTTCCTTTCTGAGAACGCTCATTGTGTCGTTTGGCTTTCCCCGTCTCTGCTTGACACATGAACCAAAACAGAGGCAGCCAAAGCAGGGAAAAAAAAATCCTAGGATCAGAGTCCACTCTATGCCCTTTTGAGCTTCAAAAGGAGAAAGAGACAAAAGCCAAAAGCAATGGAGGTCAAGCTGCCCGGTACATGTTTCTTTACGCCTGACCTCCTGATGGACTCACTAGATAAAATGCTCCTTCTTGTAGCCAGCAAGCAAATGAGTACTTTTTTATGGCTTACATCTGTGCCTGGTCGGCCATCAAGTCTGGGTGCCACTGTTTGAGATTTGGGGCTGTTTCCTGCAACTGATCTCTGCTACAGATAAGGCTTCCCTCCTGAGGCCAAAGCCCTGGTTAACGTTAAGAGCTCTATGATGATGCAAACTTCAGAGGCGATCACCTAACATAACAAAAACCTCCCCAGAACCAGAACCTGTTTTTTCACCAAAACCCTTCCGCTGCTTGAATAAGAATGTCTTTTCCTTTCCTACAATTTGTGCCATGGAAATGTGAATAATTTTTCTTAGCGGGGTAAATCATAGTGGTTACTTGAATGCCAAAAAGATGCTGGAGGGGCAGGTGGATATGTTGAAAAGATATAGAAAGCTTTGTAAATTGCTTTTGAATAAATATGTGACTAGTTCTCGCTTCGGGAGCACATGTGTTAACATTGGAACGATACAGAGAAAATTAGCACGGCCCTCGTAAAACGATGACATACAAATTCATGAAACAGTCCAAACTTTTTTAAAAAGAAATGCATGAATAAGTATTAATATCAAGCTCTTGAATTGTCCTGTCATTTCCTAAACAAGGTTTCATCACCAGATTTAGACCCACCTGCTTTTCTCTCTTTTCTGCTTCTTCCAGAGATTTTTTTAGTGTCTTCATTTCACTGGTTACCACTTCTATCATGTTTCTGGCCCTTTCTTTATTCTCCTTAGCCTCATGTTCTGTGGTATCCAGTTCTGACTTGACAGACATGAGCTTTTTCTCAGCTTTCTCCTTCATCTTCTCCAGTTGGTCTCTGGATTTGTTTAGATCTTCAATGGCTTTAGTCTGTTCCAAAGTTTTAATCTAGAAAGTCAAGAGAATGCTGATAACTCCTTTTGTATTTAGTTAGGAAAACTGTATAAACATGACAAATCAGAAGTCAATGGAATTCACTTCATACCCTTTTTATGAATAAAGAATGGAGTTCATCCCAAACAGTTAGAGATTTTGCTAAGCATATGTGCTGGACAAACATGTCTTAAGACAGTTACAGCTAAAAACAACACATTAGAGTACCCTTATTTGAAAAATCAATGAGATAAAACTGTAGACAGCATAATTCTGGGGTCAGATTTTAAAATTAAGCCTGCTGGTATGTGCACACACACTCTATGAGGTCCATAAGCAAAAGCACCTTCAACTTTCTGCCCTGACCAATGGGACATTGCTGGTATATAAACATTAGGAAGAGCAAAATGTCCCCTCTTCTAATGCTGTATCCCATGAGAGCCCCACCTTAAATCCACCTCAGCAAGTCTTCACAACTGCTGTGAGGAAAATATAGATGGGCAGTTTTTCAGAAGCGTCTTCTAACTTTACCAGTGAGTCTGGGAGGTGAACAGCTGCAACTGTGGGGAGGAGTGGTGTCTTCCTCTGAGAAGCTGTCCCAAGATCTTAAAGCCAAAACACACAGTATGCTGGAGGGTGAGGCACATTCTCCGTATTAGCTTATTACTTAAGATTAGGCCAGAGTTACTTACAAAAAGAATTTAAGGCCAGATGTGGTGGCTCATGCCTATTATCCCAGCCGGCCAGATCACCTGAGGTCAGGAGTTCGAGATCAGCCTGGCCAACATGGTGAAACACCATCTCTACTAACAAAAAAAAAAAAAAAAATACAAAAGTTAGCCAGCCATGGTGGCAGGCACCTGTAATCCCAGCTACTCGGGAGGCTGAGGCAGGAGAATTGCTTGAACCCAGGAGGCAGAGGTTGCAGTGAGTCAAGATTGCGCCATTGCACTCCAGCCTGGGCAACAGAGCGAGACTCAGTCTCAAGAAAAAAAAAATGAATGAAATTCTGACACATACTACAACTACAACATGGATGAGCCTTGAAAACATCCTAAGTAAAATAAGCCAGACACAAAAGGACTAATATTTTATAATTCCACTTATATGAAGTACGTAGAATAGGCTAATTCATAGGAATTGTATGTAAGATAGAAGTCACCAGGGGCTGGGGAAGAGGAGAAATGAGAGCTATTGTCTGATGGGCACAAAGTTTCAGTCTGAGATGATAGAAAAATTCTAGATGTGGATAGTGATAATGGTTGCACAACACTGTGAATGTACTTAACACCATGGAATTGTACACTTAATAATGGGTAAAATGATATATATTATGTTATTTTTATTTTACCACAATAAAAAAAAGAATTTGAAGCAACTTCACACAGACACAAATTGTTTTCACTGATCATTAAAAATATCAAAGGATGGCTAAAATAAAAAAGACAGACAATCACAAGTGTTAGCAAGGATGTGAGGAAGCTAGAACTCTCATACACTACTGGTAGGTATGTAAAATGATGTGGCTACTGTGGAAAATAGTTTGCCAGTTTTTAAAATATTAAACATAGAATTACCACATGACCCAGCAATTCCATTCCTAGGCGTATGGGCAAGAGAACTGAAAACTTATGCCCACACAGAAACTGTACACAAATGTTCATAGAAGCATTATTCGTAATCACCAAAAAGTAGAAACAACCCAAATGCCATCAGCTGGCAAATGGAAAAACAAAATGTGGTATAGCCATACAATGGAATATCATTCAGCAGTAAAAAAGAATAGAGTACTGGGACATGCTACCACATAGGTAAACCTTGAAAACATCATGCTAAGGGAAAGAAGCCAATTGCAAAAAAACACATATTCTATTATCCCATTTATATGAAAGATCCAGAAAAGGCCAGGGGCTAGTAGGAGGACAGAATGGGGAGCAACCACTTATGGGTACAGGGTTTCTCTTGGAGGGGATGAAAATGTTTTGAAATATGATAGTGGTGCCATTTGCTATATATGTGCATATACTAAAAATCACTAAATTGTACACTTTTTTTGAGACAGGGTCTTGCTCTGTCACCCAGGCTGGAGTGCAGTGGCACAATCTCAGCTCACCGCAACCTCTGCTTTCTGGTTTCGAGCAATTCTTGTGCCTCAGCTTCCCCAGTAGCTGGGATTACAGGTGTGCGCCACCATGCCCGCTAATTTTTGTATTTTTAGTAGAGATATGGTATTGCCATGCTGGCCAGGCTGGTCTTGGACCCCTGGCCTCAAGTGATCCTCTCGCCTCAGCCTCCCAAACTGTTGGGAATACAGTGCACCCAGCCTAAATTGTACACTTTTAAAAAGTGAATTTTATGGTATATCAACTGTATCTTAATAAAACTCTTATTTGAAAGTGCATTTACAAGGAAGCTCTTTAAAAGGATCAAAATAAATTAACCTGAAATAAATAAATAAACATATCAGTAAGGAATGAATAGACAAAGAGCAAACAAAGCAAACAAAGACCAGTACAGCTCTGAATTTAGTCTTGCGCTTCCTGACAATTGAGGTAAACTGTTCAGGTATATTCTCAAAGAAAAAGCATTATTTTGTGTTTTCGTTTTGTGGTTAGATCATTAAAAAAAAACAAGTAAGAAAGTAACAGAATAAAAGACACCAAATAATAAGTATTTGCTGTTTTCTTCCTTCCCTCCCATCCCTTCTTTCCTAAGAAGAAAAGATGTTTTCTTGATGCATCTATTTTTATCTAATTGCTTCTAGGGTAGAATTTGGGTAAAGGGGGAGATTGTCAGGAAGGAAGCAAGCCAGGGAGGCTAAACTGACCTACACGGTAAACAGCTGAGAGAGAAGTGGGGAGAAAAATGAAGTCTATGCTAACTAGGCTGCAGGAAAGCCTTCCTGACGAAACCTAGAATCATGCAAGAGGGAACTGTGAGAAGGCATTGGTGTTGTGCAGCAATGTAATGAGAGAGAAAGGGGAATGAGAATGTTGCTGCCCCAATGAATGAATTTCTTTGTATTTTTTTACTGATGATAATAAAACAAACAACTGTTATTTAGTTGCTCGATTCCTGATTATGTATTGCTGAAGGGCTTTGAGATGACTATGACTTACGTTGATGACATGTGGAGACTACTGTCAGAGATTGAAATCTCTCCCTACGGTTGGGCATAGAGTGCATCTTCACTGTGGCTGAGCATCTGAATAATGGCACAAGTGAGCCTGTTCTACACTCTGAAGGCTCTCACTATCCCACTAGAAAGTCTGAGGAATGGGAGCAACTGTTCTAAGATTAGGACATGATCTAGAGGAGATGTGACTGCTTGGGATATAGATGTCCAGATGGAAAAAATCAGATTTATTTATACCATTTTGTGTGATATCACTAAATTGAGGAATCCAGAGTCAAATATCTGCTGAACTCATAAACTAGAAACCAGTTTTGGCCAGGCGCAGTGGCTCATACCTGTAATCCCAGCACTTTGGGAGAACAAGGCGGGTGGATCACGAGGTCAGGAGTTCGAGACCAGCCTGGCCAAGATAGTGAAACCCCATCTCTATTAAAAATGCAAAAATTAGCTGGTTGTGGTGGCGGGGGCCTGTACTCCCGGCTACTCAGGAGGCTGAGGCAGGAGAATCACTTGAACCCAGGAGGTGGAAGTTGCAGTGAGCAGAGACCACACCATTCACTCCAGCCTGGGTGACAAGAGTGAGACTCCGTCGCAAAAAAACAAAAACAAAAACAGTTTTTACCTACTATAACCCATAGAACTTCTTAAGGCACAAAACTTCTTTTGCTACAGTCTGAATGTTTGTGTCCTCCTAAATTCATATGTTGAAATTCTAACCTCCACAATGATGATATTAAGAAGTGGGACCTCTGGAAGTTGCTTAGGTTATGAAGGCAGAGCCATCTTGAATGGGATTAGTGCTCTTATAGAAGAGGCCCCAGAGAGCTGCCTCACCCCTTCTACCATGTGAAGACACAGCAAGAAGGCATCATCTATGAACAAGGAAGCATGCTCTCACCAGACATCAAATCTGCTGGCACCTTGATTTTTAACTTCCCAGCCTCTAGAACTGTAAGAAATTTCTGTTGCTTATAAGCCATCCCGTTTATGGTATTTTGTTATGGCAGCCTTAATAGACTAAGATAACTTTCTTTCTTTTTTTTTTTCAGATGGGGTTCTGCTCTTGTCACCCAGACTGGAGTGAAGTGGCACAATCTCGGCTCACTGCAACCTCCGCCTCCCGGGTTCAAGCGATTCCCCTGCCTCAGCCTCCAGAGTAGCTGGACTGCAGGCGCACGCCACCACTCCTGGCTAATTTTTGTATTTTTAGTAGAGACGGGGTTTCACCATGTTGGCCAAGATGTTCTTGATCTTCTCACCTTGTGATCCGCCCACCTCAACCTCCCAAAGTGCTGAGAGACTAAGACACCTTTCTAGACAGAGAGGAGGCCGATGGCAGACATTCTCAGATAGGTTTGTAGCTATTGACCTGGCTGCATCAAAGGAGATGAAATCCCTTAGAAATTGACAGCTTCTATGAAATTTACAATCAAGAAGGCATAAGAACAACTGCTGCAGCTTCAGAACTATGCAGAAAATAAAATGTCAACAGCTGGGAGAAAAAATTCTAAGTGAGCAACAGAGCCAGTGAAAAATATCACCAGTAGAGCAGGCACCTGAGACAGGGAAATGGCACCCACTAAGTGCAGGTCTACAGGGGCTGACCTTGCAGACCATTTATGGATCCCAAGTTACCAAAACCCTTATTTGATTATGAACTGCATAGTAGATACCAATACATCAGAGCATTGTCTCAATGTTAATATCTATCTGTGCTGATTGTATTGTGGTCATGTAACAGAATGAATGCCCTTGTTCTTAAGTGATACGTGGGAAAATATTTGAGGGGTGAAGTGTCATGATGTTTGCTACTTACTCTCACATGCTTTGGCAAAAATAAAACATCTCTCTCTCTCCAGGCAAAATATAGTAATCAGTAAAATATTAACAATCTGTGTGAAGGGTAAAAGAGTATCCATTATACTATTCCTGCCATTTTCTACAGCTTAGACATTTTTCAAAACAATTAAATATTTTCAAAACAAGAAGTTGGGAAAGGGAAGTATTGATCATGGATCATACTAGTAGAATTTTTTTGATATATATGTATACATAATTATAAGTTACATAAGCATATTGCTCAAAATAATATATTCTGTAGACCATTAAACATTTTATAAAATGGGGACATTACATTGATTAAGTAAATATCAATGTTTAAAACAAAGTGATCTCCCTTTAAAACAAAGAGATTCCTTTCACTTACAAACTATCTCACTGCTACAAAGAAAATATGTGGCAAATGGTAAATTGCTGGGATTGGTATGTTGAATTTTAAACCTTGTATTTATAAAAGAACAGATACATTCAGCCTGTCTGTTCAGATTGGGAAAACATTTACAGTGGGCTATCTACCAAAGGTGATGGAACACAGCTTGGAGGTCTAGAAGCTCATGAATCAAGTCCTAATGAGAAGAATTTGTTGCCAAGAATCTCTAAAAAATATGAGACTTTATCAGAATCCTCAGGGCTGCCTCAATCTTTGTTCCCAGGAAGCAAGAACAAGTAATGGAGCTCCGAGCCAAGCCACCAGGGCAGAACAGGGAGCCAATAGTGGTGAAGAAAGCCTCAAACCCAGCAACAGATTCCTGAGAGTGGAATGGGACTAAGTCGGTTTCTTAATCTTCCTAAGGGAACTCCTCAGACCCAGCTCAGAGTTCAGCGAGAGACTGTGCCCCTAATTTTCTTCCAGTGGGACAGAACTGGTCATAAACAAGATTGATGTGCCACTCAGACTCTAGCAAGGGCAGAGAAGGTTCCAAGTGTGCTTTGCTGTCATAAACACTGTATCTACTGTCTGCTTCCTTAAAGAAAAGAATTTTAAAATCTGGTGAACAATTCTCTCATGTTATAAGGGCCAAAGACCCAGAAAGGGAAGATGATCAAATTTAAATTTTGGTGTGTTGGCTCCCTGAGAGGATCTAAATTCTCCAGCTGGAAGGTTTCAGGAAGCTGCATTGAAAACACCACCCAGTAGGAGCCAGGAAGTGAACTCAGGCTCTCTGAATGGGATAGGACAGCAAAGTGGGAGATTCTTTTGATGGCCCGAATAGATGCTGTGTCCCTCTTTGAAAAGGACACAAAAACTTAACTAAGTAGCAAACATCATCAAGATGGCTAACTAAAGGCAACCAACACTCATCTCTACCCCAAAGAAGGACCAAAACAACAAATAACCACACATCAAACAGTGTCTAGGGAGGAACACTGGAATTCAGCAAGGAAGTGACAAAGACCTTCTGAGATGCAAAAACTCAGGAAGGCAGCATAGAAAGGAAAGCAAAGCAGTCAGCCAGGATCAGCTTGGAGCAAAGAGAGACTTCCCACTGAAGGAAAAAGGTAAGTGGGAGATCCCTAACAGTCCACAGTCATATCATGGACACCTATAAAGTTAGCTACAGGAGACCACAGCCCTTACAGGACACAAGCGCAGTATAATGAGCTGCCTGGAGTCCATGTGACCTCATTATTCCAGAGAGGAAATTTATGCTGAGGCAAACTCACTTCCTGAGACTGAAAGTGCATGCTCCCCAGAGCCTGACAGCCACCTACTCATGGCCTTCTGCCATGACCACTGGCAGTCTGACCCCACTTCCAGTGGTGGGACCACCTCATCTCTGCATGTGTCACCAGAGGCCCAAGGAACAGCCTGCCATGCATCTCCATCCCCAGCAAAGCCACACCACAGCCTCCACAAAACACCACACCCTAGGCCACTGAAGTACTCACAGATACTGCTAACATTGATTACAGCTAAAGAAATCATACAGAGACTACACAACGGTACCCTCCCAGAACCAAAGCCAAAACACCCTACCCAATCAACAATATAGGCCATATCTACAGGAAAAAGTCTTTCCCTACAAAAGCGGTTTCATAAAATTGGAAGAAGTGTTTGTTTCAACAGATGTACAGATACAAATGTAGGGACACAAGACACATGAAAAAAGCAAGTACACCTCCACAGGAACACAATAAAACTTCAGTAACAAATCCCAAAGAAAAGGACCTCTATGAAATGCTTGACAAAGAATTCAAATCATGATCTTAAGGAAACTCAATGAAATAAAAGAGATAATTCAATGAAATAAGAAAAAATCATGATCTGAATAAGAAAGTCAGCAAAGAAATAAATATAAGAAAAAGAACCAAGGTTAAGTCTTGGAACTGAAGAATTCAATTAATAAAATTAAAAACATTATTGAGAGCTTCAACAATAGACTAGATCATGCAGAAGAAATAATTTCTAAACCTGAAAACAGGTCTCTTGAAATAACCCAGTCCAAAAAAGAAAAAATAATGAAGAAAGTCTATGTGGCATAGGTACACCATTAAGTGAACAAATATTTGCATTACTGGAAGTTACAGAAGGAAAAGGGATGGAAAACACATTAAAATCCTATTCAATGAAATACTAGTTGAAAATGTCCCAAGTCTTGTGAGAGATATAGACAGACAGAGACAGGAAGCTCAAAGATCCCCAAACAGTTTCAACCCAAAAAACCTCTCTCAGGCACATTATAGTCTAAAAGTCAAAAGTCAAAGACAAAAAGAGAATTCTAAAAACAGCAAAAGAAAAGCATAAAGTCACATATAAGTGAACTTCCATCAGATTAACAGTGGATTTCTCAAGAGAAACCTTACAGGTTAGGAGAGAATGGGATTCAAAGTGCTAAAAGGGAAAAAAAAAATGCCTATCAACAATACACAGCCAACAAAGTTATTCTTTTTCCCAGACAAGCAAAAACTGAGGGAACTCAACACCCTTAGACAAGCGCAAGAAGAAATGTTTGAGTCCTACATCTAGAAGCAAAAAGATATTTACCAGAATGAAAACACATGAAAGTTAAAACTCACTATTAAAGCAGATACACAAATGGGAAAGAGAAAGGAATCAAATGTTATCACTACAAAAATCACCAAACTGCAAACTGCGAAGATAAACAATAAGAGAGGAAAAAAGGAACAAATGATATATTAAAAACCAGAAAACAATTACCAAAATGAAAGGAGTAAGTCCTCACTTATGAATAACAACCTTGAATGTAAATAGTTTAAATTCCTCAATTAAAAAATATAGACTGAAAATACATTTCTCTCCAAGGTCAACCCCCGTAGACCCACACTTAGTAGGGGATATTTTTCTGTCTCAAATGCCTGCTCTACTGATGCCACCACAAACAAACAACAAAATGGCAATAACAAGATCTTACTTATCAGTAATAACATTGAATGTAAATGGTCTAAGCTCTCCAATTAGTGGCTAAATGGATTTTTTTTAAAAACTCAACTATATGCTGCCTATAAGAAATCAACTTCACCTGTAAAGACACATAGACTGAATGTGAACAGATAGAAAAAGATAATTTCAGCAAACAAAAGCCAAAATCAAGCAGAACTAGCTATACTTAGAAAACAAGCTAAATTTTAAGTAAGAAAAAGATGAAAAAGGTGATTATATAATGATGAAAAGAACAATTCAATAAGAGGATATAACAATTGTAAATATATATGTATCCAACACACCCAGATACATAAAGCAAATATTGTTAGAGATAACAAGAGAGATAAATTCCATTATAATAATAGTTGAGGACTTCAACACCTCACACTCAGTATTGCACAGATCCTGTAGACAGAAAAATCAACAAAGAATTCTTGGACATAAACTATACTATGGAACAATTTGACCTAATTAACATTTACAGAATATTTCATTCAACTACTGCAGAATACATGCTCTTCTCATCAGCACATGGAATATTCTCCATGATAAACCATACGTTAGACACAAAACAAGTCTCAACGAATTTTTTAAAATAGAAATCATACCAAGTATCTTTTTAGACCACAGTGGACTAAAATTAGAAATCAATCACAAGAGAAACTTTGGAAATTCTACAAATACATGGAAATTAAACAACATGCACCTGAATGACAAATGGAGTCAAGGAAGAAATTAAGAAGAAAATCCAAAAAATTCTTGAAACAAATGAAAATAGAAGCACAACATATTAAAACCCGTGAAATACAGCAAAAGCAGTACTAAGAGAAAAGTTTATAGCAATAATGCCTACATCAAAATGATAAAAAGGTTTTTGTTTTCAAAATGGTGGCATAGGCCAGGTGCAGTGGCTCACGCCTGTAATCCCAACAGCTTGGGCAGCACAGGTGGGTGGATCACCTGAAGTCAGGAGTTCGAGACCATGCTGGCCAAAATGCTGAAACCCCGTCTCTACTAAAAATACAAAAGTTAGCCAGGCGTAATGGCACGTACCTGTAATCCCAGCTACTTGGGTGGCTGAGTAAGAAGAATTGCTTGAACCCGGGAGGCAGAGGTTGCAGTGAGCTGAGATCACGCCATTGCACTCCAGCCTGGACAACAGAGTAAGACTCTGTCTCAAAAAAAAAAAAAAAAATGGCGGCATAGAAGCAAGCTGGTGGCACTGTCCCCCGGAACCCCAAGATATACAAAAACAAAAACAAATACACAGCACCAAGATTATCACCAGCAATAGCCCAGAACTCAAATATAAAGATGAGACAGTTCCTGGAGCCAGAGAGAAGTGAAAAAACTCTAAACAGAGAGTAAGAAAATCAGACTTCCATAGCCACAATGCCCCTCCCCTCAACCTTCCCAGCACCACAAGTGCAGAAAACCTCCCCAGACTCATGGTTTCTACAATGGAAAAAGTAAGATCAAGGTGAACAACCAACTTCCCCAACATCTTAAGTTCCCTGGTAAGAGGACAGTTTCTGCCTCAACCCACAGAAAGCAGCTACTTTGAGTGCCTGAAGGGAAAAATATATCAGAGGACAGCCAGAGACAAACAGGGGAGACAGCTCTTTAACCTGACTGAAGGAAATGCCAAATCAGAATGGCATCTGTTCAGCAGGACCACACTGTAGGAGGTATGTTCCATACATCTCCTGGGCATGAACCCTTGCTAGCCTCCCACACTGCCAGAATATCCCCTTTGCGACATTTCCCATTTGGGATAGGCAATGCTCCAATCATTGACTAGAGCTGAGGCAAACACAGGCTTGAGGCATCCTCAATCCATGTATCAATACTATTCTACCATAATAAAGCATGAAATCCTGTCATTCACAGCAACATGGATGAGTCTAGAGGACATTATGTAAAGTGAAATAAGCCAGGTACAGAAAGATAAATACCACATATTCTCACTCATATGTAAAAGCTAAAAAAGTTGAGTGCATAGATGCAGAGAGTAGAATTGTGGTTATTAGAGGCTGGGAAGGGTGGGGGCAGGGCACAGGAAAAGGTTGGTTAATGGATACAGAATTACAGCTGGATAGAAGGAATAAGTTTTAGCGTTCTAAAGCACTATAGGGTGATTCTAGTTAACAACAATTTATTGTACGTTTTCAAATAGCTAGAAGAGAAGATTTTGAATGTTTCCAACTAAAATAAATGATAAAATATTTGAGGTGATGGATACACTAATTACCTTGATTTGTTCATTATCCATTGTATACATGCATCAAAATATCACTCTGTATCCCAAAAATATGTACAGTTGTTATGTGAAACTAAAAATGAAAGAAAAAGGTGTAACTAAGCAGGAATGTAGCAGAAATCAAAGATGAATGTTCAGATTTGCAGTCTGGGCTCACTTCCCCTCCTTCCCTACCGTAAGAGCACGTGTCGAAATCAGGGCAATTAGCATTATCCATCGCCTCAAACATTTACCATTTCTTTGTGTTGGAAACATTCAAAATCCTCTTTTCTAGCTATTCGAAGATATACAATAAAGTATTGTTAACTATAGTCATCCTACAGTGTTATAGAACACTAAAACCTATTCCTCCTATCCAGCTGTAATGTTGTAGCCATTAACCAACACACCTTTCTCAGCTCCTAATAAGGACACACCCCTCCACTCCTTCACCATCTGACCCCCAGGAGCATGCCTCTTGCTGGAGATCTGCTTGCTGTATACGTTCAGAAGTGGGAAAAGCTCAAAGCAGTCCCAGAAATCCAATGGATCTACATCATCGGAGCTGAGTATGAGATGGGAGCTCAGGGGAAAAAAATTAAGAAAGGCTATACTCGTTGGGTTGGAGAAAGTTCTGGAGTGGGGAAGGAATGTGGGGAGAGGCTGTCTTGTGTGGGAGATATAAAGAGAGTTAGAAAGTGGGAGAGAACTTCACAGGTGGCTGAAGAATGTTAATCCCTTTTGGTGTTTCCTTGAAAGAGTGCAATGAAGATAATGAGCTTTCCACTAGTTTTTGGTTGTCTGACTGCTGATCTTCGGCCATAGCTCCTTACTAAGGTTGGGCCACATGATATAGGCTGATAGCTGATGGCTCTCCACCAAATAGCTATTCTTACTTTATTTCTTACTGTACAGAATAAAGACCCATTTCTCAGACCGACTTCACTTAAATGAGGTCCAGGGACTAAGTTACTAAGTTCTGGCCAATGGAGACATAAGAAGTGTTGTATCATTCCTGGAAAGCAGCACACAGGGTGTCCTTCCACTGTCCCTCCTTCCTGATGACTAGAGTGAAGCTGGAGCCCCAGCAGCTAGCTTGGCCTAAAAGATGGCATTGAGGACTAAAGCTATTGCTAGGATACTGAAGCAGAAGGTTGAAAACTGAGGTCACCAGGTGCTTCTTTCCAGTGAGAAGGGAATAAATGCCTCTCCTCTCTAAGCCACTGATATCATGGGGTGTTTCAATATATTGAGCTGAAACTAATGATAACTGATGCAGGCCATAAAGCACCTAGCATGATATAAATTACACAAAGCACTTTCTTCATCTTCTGCCATTCTGCCCCATGATTTCAGTACTTGGCATTTGCATTTGTGTATAAGGCTATGTTTGTGCCAATTAGTAGTTATCCTGGGCTAATAAGAAAATGGTAAAGGCAGAGTTAATACATAAATAATGTGTTCATGCAAAGTGAAAGCCAAACTATGTCATGGCATAGGTACAAATAAAGTATCTGCAGTATTAAAATAAAACACATGGTACAATAACTCCTATACCCTTAGGGAAAACAAACTTTAAACATGCCAAACTCAAAAGATAATAAACTTTAAACATGCCAAACTCAAAAGATAATAAACTTTAAACATGCCAAACTCAAAAGAACTTGCATCATGAGCAGTTGGTACCACACATTCTTATTAATGGATGTATTAGTCCATTAATGGATAGTATATAGTCCATGCTATAAAGAAATACCCAGCTGGGCATGTTGTCTCACGCCTGTAATCCCAGCACTTTAGGAGGCCGAGGAGGGTGGATCACCTGAGGTCAGGAGTTCACGACCAGCCTGGCCAACATGGTGAAACCCCATCTCTACTAAAAATAAAAAAACTAGCCGGGCATGGTGGCACACGCCTGTAATCCCAGCAACTCAAGAGGCTGAAGCAGGAGAATCGCTTGAACCTGGGAGGTGGAGGTTGCAGTGAGCCGAGATTGTGCCATTGCACTCCAACCTGGGCAACAAGAGCGGAACTCCATCTCAAAAAAAAAAAAAAAGAAAGAAATATCTGAGACTGGGTAATTTATAACAGAAATAAATTTAATTGACTCACAGTTCTGCATCGCCGGGGAGACCTCAGGAAACTTACAATCATGGCAGAAGGGGAAGCAGGCATGTCTTACATGGTGGCAGGCAAGAGTGAGAGCATGTGAAGAAGGAACTGTCAAACACTTATAAAACAATCAGATCTCATGAGAACTCACTATCATGAGAACAGCAAGGGGAAAACCGCTCCTATGATCCAATCACCTCCCTCCCTCAATACATGGGGATTACAATTCAAGATGACATTTGGGTAGGGACACAGAGCCAAACCATATCAATGGTGATTTTAGTAAAATAATCTATCACATTGAATTAATATCCCTAATTTTTAAAATTCTATTTTATCCTTTGTTTTGATTTTTGAACTGATATGGATTTCATAATATTAAGAAACATAATAAGATTAAGAAATTTCTATGTAGTTTTAAGTTTGTATATTGTAAATATAATAAAATTATTTTAACTCAATACAGGTAGGGGAATTCGTGAAAAAACATTTTACTTGCAAAAAGGATTTCTATTATACTTATGTTTGCCTGCCAAATTAAAATGTAATAGTATCTGGAAAGGTCTACTTTTTCTTGGTCTAGAATTCAGGAGTAAATTTACAGCCTGGGTCTTAAAACAGAAGATTTATATAACCTAGGCATCAAGGTCTTCAATCATGGTTTTGAAACAGACATAGAAACGAGTACAAAAGCTTTGACCCAAATGTTCATAGCAGCCTTGTTCAGAATAGCCAAAAGTGGAAACAATCTAAATGCTCATCAAATGCTGAATGGACAACCAAAATGTGGTATATCCATACAATGAAATATTCCTCATCCATAAAAAGGAATTATGATGGTTAATTTTATGTATCAACTTGGCTGGGCAATCATGCCCAGATACTTGGTCAAATATTTAAATGGGTAGACTTTGCATAAAGCAGAGTGCCCTCCATAATGTGGGTAAGCTTCATCCAATCAGTTGAAGGCATAAGCAGCACAAGACAATGAGCTTCCCTCAACACAAGGATAATCTGCCAGTCTTCATATTTTTACTACAATATCAGCTCTACCTGGGTCTCCAGTCTGTCAGCCCATCCTGCTAGTCTCCATAATTGCATGAGCCAATTCTTTAAAATAAATCTCTCTATATAGATAGAGAGATGATTGATAGACCGATGTAGATATTTATATCTACATATATCTGTCTGTATACACACACAAACACACATACACACACACACACACGCACTGTTTTTCTGGAGAACACTGACCAATTGCTTCTGTTTTTCTGGAGAACACTGACCAATACAGGAATGAAGTACTGATCCATGGTACAACATGGGATGAACCTTGAAAATATTAAGTATACTCATACTAAGTAAAAGAAGTGATATGGTTTGGCTGTGTCACCACCCAAATGCCATCTTGAATTGTAGCTCCCATAATTCCCATATGTTGTGAGAGGGACCCAGTTGGAGATAACTGAATCATGGGGGTGGTATCCCCCAACTTTTCTCATGATAGTGAATAAGTTTTACAAGATCTGATGGTTTTATAAGGGAAAACCCCTGTCACTTGGCTCTCATTCTCTCTTGCCACCGCCATGTAAGAAGTGCCTTTAACCTTCTGCCATGATTATGAGGCCTTCCCAGCCATGTGGAACTGTAAATCCATTAAACCTCTTTCTTTTGGAAATTGCCCAGTCTCGGGTATGTCTTTATCAGCAGCAGGAAAACAGACTAATACAAAAAGCCAGAGACAAAGGCCACGTATTATATGGTTCCATTTATATACAATTTACAGAATGGACAAATTTATAAAGACAGAAAGATGACTGGTTACCAGAAGTTGAAGAAAGGGTAAATGAAGAATGACTGTGGATGGGTGTGGGATTTTGGGGGAGGATGTGGGAGGAGTGATGCAAAGTCCTGGTATTAGATAGCGGTGATGTTTGTACAACCTTGTCAATATACTAAAAACCATTCAATTATACACTTTAAAAAATAAACTTTATGGCATGTAAATATTTCTCATTTAAAAAAAAACCATAGAAATGTAATTCAAATTATTATTTTATATTGTCCCTCTAAGAGTGGTAAAATTGTTAATTTAATAAGTGTAGTGGTTTGAGTAGTGCCTTCCCAAAAGCTGTGTCCACCCAGAACCTCGGAATGTGACCTTATTTAGATAAGGGCCTTTGCAGGTAATGATTAAGGTAAGAGTCTCATGATGAGATCATTTTGAATTAGGATGGGCCCTAACACCAACAATGGGTGTCCTTATAAGAGACAGAAAAGAAGAGACACACAGGGGGAGGTCACGTGAAGGGGAGGCACAGATTGGAATTATGCAGCTATAAACCAAGGACTGTTAGCGGGATTGAGTATTAAGCCACCCAGTTTGTGGTAGTTGGGTAGCCCTAAGAAACTAATACAGTAAAGCTATTTTTGCTAATGTTCAGAAATATTGCTTTATGAATAGTGAAATTAATACAGGGACAAGCTTAAGGCAATGTACAATGGTGGATAGCTGATACCGGTAATCTGTCTTGGAAATTGATTTCAGAAGTCTGATATTTTGGATTTGTATCAAATACAAAACAAAAATCTATTCTGTATTTGATATCTCATAAATGCATGAAGTTGACACTTACTGTGTTAACAAGTTAGAGAGATCTCTGTTCTACACTGGAAGGAAGACTTAACATTCCTTTGAAATGTGTAGGGGCCCGAGTAATTCTTGAGTCAGTCAAACCAAGTCTCTCCTATACCTTTCCTATTATCTTATCTGTAAAAGTATGTGGATCTGTCTATTCAAAATAAGGCAACCAAGTAAATACGCAAGCCAACTTTATTTACTTTCCTAACTCTCTTCTTTTCATCCAAGTATCCCGGAAGGGTATTGCACTGTCTTTGTTTTCATTTCTCTTTCATCCCTGAAATCTGACTTATTCTCAGAACCCTCACCCACTACCACCATGATCCGCACATGCTTGACTCACAGATTTTCCAAAGCCAAGTATAGTGGACACTCCTTCAGTCATTATCGCACTGCTGTACTTGGTATAGTTGACCACAGCCTCATTCTGCTCTCTCTCTATCTCTCTCTCTGTTTCTTCTCAGTCTCGTTCCTGACAATTTTATCCTCCAATGGCTCCTCAGGACCCAGAGGATAAGTCCAAACATCTTAGTGTGACACATAAGGCTCCATGTGATCCAGCCCCTGTCCACTGCTCAGCTTCTTCCCCTCCCCAACTCCCAGACATTGTCAAGGCATCAGCAGCAGCCAACCAGACCTCCTATTCACCTATTATTGCATTGACTGTCACTCATCCTCATCCTCTACTCCAAACAACTGTTGTTTGATCAGAAGCAATGTTGTACCAAATACCATGACAGCACTAGGAGGTAATCTATGTTTATAAAGTCTTGGCAAAGACAGAAGACTGTTTGATTTTTCAGTCTGAGTTCAAGAAACACTGTACAGCTCTGATTTTGCCATATCCTTGTCTACATGAAAGCACCTCCCTATGGGTAAGAGAAATTCTTCAAAAGTGTTAGATCAGGTCTGCAAATTCTCCTTATTGTTCTCTAAAGCCCCAAATTTTGTTTCCTTTTCAAAGGTGTGCATCACACATTGGCTATAATGGTGAGGTTCCTTTTCCTATTTTGTTCAATGACATTCTCCAACTATTAGCTGTCTTACCACTGGTTTCCATTTCTTTAACTTTTCTTTTCTAGCTTCTTTGGAAGTGTCCAAAGGCCCTTTATTCTCTCTAACAAAGTAGTACTCCTGTATCCTTATAAGCAAAGATGTCAGAGGGGATGAGTGCCTCTGGCCTAGGGATGAACACCCGCACATCCTACAATCAGGAGCAGCTGGTGCAATGTCCCAGCCACATTAACTTTAGGATAATCTGCATAGTCCTTTGGATACAGGAAACAAACTCCCCACTACCGTCACCCCAAATGGTTAGAGCAGATGGTATTTGCAGCTAACTGCATTTCTTTGGGTTTAAAATTTGTTTTTATTCATACAATGCCATCTTTAGGGGATTCTTCTCTCCCCTCCTTCTTTCTGAGATGATAACTGGGTGGAGGAAAGTCCTTGTGATTTTAGAAAAAGTGATTCTGGCCCTCATGCTGCCCCTGAATCTCTCCTATATCTATTATTTGACTTGTGAAATTTGTGACGGTCTCTCACCAGAGTCAAGGCCACATCATTGGTCTCAGCTAATTCAAGGCTCGGCTGTAGCTGCTATTGGGCCACAGCCTAGGTGATGACCCCAGGGCCTCTGATGGAGGGTCACTTTGTCCCTCAGTTGAACCGAACACCCCCATCTGCTCCTGTAATGAGCTCTCCAGCTTGCGTTTCAGCTGTCATCCATATCCCTCACTAGTGAAAATGGAACTCCAGGCTCCAGGGAATTGAGGTGCAATCTAGGCCCCCAAGATTCATCACCATTTGCAGCCTCTTCCAGCCAGGATTAGAGCAGCTGATGCTATTCCACCCTATTCCAAATCCCCACTAAAGGTCAGTCTCAAGTTGCAAAGGGACTGTTGAGGGGATTTACCTCTGATATTTCCTCCCCACCCATGGCACCACCTCAGATGCTTTCCCTTGCTTCCCCCCTTCCTTGTATTCAGATGTGTCCTTCTCTGGGGGGTGCCCGTTCTCCCCTTCTCCAAGGAAGTACACTTCAACTTGGCAGTCTAGCCCCAATGGCAGAAGGGCTTCAGCAGGGAAAAGAAAACTACCCAGAAGGGAAACTACAGTGGAAAATATGTTCTAAAACATGGTCCCCACTACACATGTTCAAGGGCTGGCTTAATTCCAGATTCTTTTTCCCTGCTTGTCTGTTTCCAGATTCGGAAACCTTCCAAAAAGCAGTTTCAGAGCATTGTCTGCAAAGAGCCAGGATGTTATTGTCCACTGTACTTGCGATTTGCACACCTGCTGAGGATGATGTGTGCATATTAAGTTACATATTATTGCCAGTGGCACACATGCATGACACGTAAATCTTTTGATTAAATTCTTGTAAGTTTCCATTTCTTTTTGCTCTGCCTTCGTTAGAAGTTGAACACCTTGAATATAGGAACTGTCTCCCCAGTTCTGGTGACCTTCTCCACTGGACTTGGTAATGATGTATCCTACAGAGCACAACGTAAATACCCTTGCCTGCCTGACTCTTTTCAGCAAACAGTTGTGCCCATTTTCTCATTTCTTCCTAAGCAAATTCCAATGTGATTAATCCCTGCATCATCACTAATAGCAGTCACCAACACTTTGGAGAAATGTATTTCTTTTCTGGACTTAAAACATCACCACTTTTTGGCCAGGCGCAGTGGCTCACACTTGTAATCCCAGCACTTCAGGAGGCTGAGGCAGGTGGATCACTTGAGGTCAGAAGTTGGGGACCAGTCTGGCCAACATGGTGAAACCCTGTCTCTACTAAAAATACAAAAAAATTAGCATGGCATGGTGGTGCACACCTGTAATCCCAACTACTTGGGAGGCTGAAGCAGGAGAATCACTTGAACCCAGGCAGAGTTTGCAGTGAGTGAGTCAAGATCATGCCACTGCACTCTAGCCTGGACAACAGAGCGAGACTCAGTCTCGAAAAAATTTTTTATAAGGCCAGGCGCAGTGGCTCACGCCTGTAATCCCAGCACTTTGGGAGGCCAAGGCGGGCGGATCACCTGAGATCAGGAGTTCGAGACCAACCTGACCAACATGGAGAAACCCAATCTCCACTAAAAATACAAAATTAGCCAGGCGTGGTGGCGCATGCCTGTAATCCTGGCTACTCAGGAGGCTGAGGCAAGAGAATCGCTTGAACCCAGGAAGAGGAGGTTGTGGTGAGCCAAGATCACGTCATTGCACTCTAGCCTGGGCAACAAGAGCGAAACTCCTCCTCAAAAAAATTTTAAAAAAGGAAACATCACCACTTTTTGACTGACTTTTCACCTAGCAATGATGGCTTCACTTCAGATATTGAAGAGACACTGAATGGATATGTACCCTGATTTGTGTCATTTTTGCATTTTTCCCATAATTCTAGAAAATCAGAGGAGGCTTTCATCTTTCTTCTTCTGGCGTGTCCCGATAAAGCTGTCATTCTTTTGCATAAAACATTGACAGTAACCAGCAAAAAGCAACAACAAAATGAAGCCAAGCACTTGCCTTCAGTTCATTGGTGTCGGCCAGTTTGGCTTTGAGCTCGGTGTGCAAGTCTCGACACGTGTTCAGCTCTTTCTGCAGCCTCTCCACCTTCTTCTGCAAGTTCCTGATGGTAAGATGCGCGTTGTCCCTCTCAACCACCAAGGCCGTGCGTGCCTGCTTCTCCTCCTCCAGCTGGGCTATTTTCTGCCGGAGGAGGCTCATGTGTAATTCTTTGCTCTCCAGTCTCTCTTTCTGTGTCTTTAGCTGGTTTGATGCAAACAGGGATTTTTTTTTTAATAATTGAACAATAGTAAATATAAATGAGTTACCCAGATAATGTTGATCTCTATCTACACCTCAATAAGAGTAATTTGTAAACCATCAAAAAAGTCATTGGATTCCTTTTCCTGATTGCATTTTTTACTCATACCCTTTCCAAGAATTAATTGCATACCTAAAATCTGAGACAAAAGAGCCCCAGAAAATGTGCAGGAGTCAGCTTTCCACATCTGATGCTCTCTAACATTATGTGCATCATCATAAAAATGTAAAATTACTTTTAAAAAACTCCTCAGATGAGTTTATCAGAGCAGAATGTAATAAGACAGAGAGACAAAATCCTGTCCAACATCTAACGGCCACAATATCTGCACTGGCATTTTCTGAAATAAGATACAATGCAAGTGAGTACTGTAAACCTAGACTGGCTCATTTCAATCCCTTAGAACTGGAACACGTGGCCCCCAACATGAGAGTGGATATATATCAACTTTTTTTTTTGAGACAGGGTCTCATTCTATTGTGCAGGCTGGGGTGTAGTGGCATGATCACAGCTCACTGCAGCCTCTCCCTTTCAGGCTCAAGCAATCCTTCCACCTCTCAGCCGCCCAAGTAGCTGGGACTTGTGATGCATGCCACCACACCCAGCTGATTTTTGTATTTTTTTGTAAAGACAGGGTTTCATCATGTTGCCTTGGCTGGCCTTGAACTCCTGGGTTCAAGAGGTCCACCTGCCTCAGCCTCCAAAAGTGCTGGGATTACAGGTGTAAGCCACCACACCTGGCTGAGAGTTGATATATTTTTAAAGTAAGATATACCAAGGAGATTTTTAAGTAAGCTTTGCTTTAAAGCTTTGCTTATACATATAAAATCTTAGAAATAAAAGGGACTGTAAGAAGGTTTCTTGGTCTTTATTATATGTCTGGCCTGTAAGGTCCACAAACTAAGCAGAGGATAGCTCCTCAAACATCATTTATCATTGGTAACCAAACCTAAAAAAGGAAATTAGAGTGATATTTAAGAAAATGACTATGGACTCTAGAGGGGGAAGAAGCTTCCTAGGCTCCACATGTCACAATTAGTAGATGGAATATTAAGTACAGAAACCTCTGTCATCTGCTATAAACATCAGAATCAGAATCATATATTATCAAGTGTTCAAGCTGAAGACCATCAAAGTTCCCCTAATTATCTACTCTGCACTTGTAAAGTGGTAACAGGTGGAAAGACTTACTGAAATGCTGCTTTGAGTATCCTGCCTAACAGTGACAGCTGTGTCCATACCCAGATCATTTTTGAACAAGACCTTTTTAATATTTATCTAATCAAATTCCCTTTCTTAAGCTTCTTCATGTCAAATTCCACTCCAGGCTGGGCATGGTGGCTCATGCCTGTAATTCCA
Source organism: Homo sapiens (assembly GCF_000001405.40). Taxonomy (NCBI): domain Eukaryota; kingdom Metazoa; phylum Chordata; class Mammalia; order Primates; family Hominidae; genus Homo; species Homo sapiens. The sequence continues at coordinate 151,594,917 of NC_000006.12, read as the reverse complement.
GCACTTTGGGAGGCCAAGGCGGGTGGATCACCTGAGGTCAGGAGTTCAAGACCAGCCTGACCAATATGGAGAAACCCTGTCTCTACTAAAAATACAAAATTAGCCAGGCATGGTTGCAGGTGCCTGTAATCCCAGATACTTGGGAGGCTGAGGCAGGAGAATCACCTGAACCCGGGAGGCAGAGGTTGCAGTGAGCCGAGATCGCACCATTGCACTCCAGCCTGGGCGACAAGAGTGAAACTCTGTCTCAAAAAAAAAAAAGAAAAGAAAAGAAAATTCCACTCCATTGCAATTTTACACTGGTAAATTCTATAAACTGGTAAGTTTAATAATTATATAATTATTAAGAAGTAATGGTGTTGGACACTGAGAAAAAGAATCAATTATCTGAGCAGAACTTTGGAAAGAATGGTAGCTGAATTTAATGTCTCTAATGGTAATAGGGTTTGTATGCTATCTTTTATAAAATATTCCTCAAGATATGGTAGTGGAGAAGAAGCCAAACATGAATACAGCATATTCTGTGAGCCAAGGGTTTGAAAATGTTATTTATTAAAAACTAACAACTCCTTGGGGTATATAGCATCCCCATCTTAAATATGAGGAAACAGAGACAGAGAGGTATATAATCTGTTCAAGGTCACACAGCTTGATGGAACCGAATTGGGAGCCCAGATGTGACTCATTATACAGCATCTACACTGGAATTGTATCATAGCATTTCTCTCCTAAGAACTATTATAAGAATACATCTGTGTTTTCCTATTTCTTTCCCCAATACCAATAATTATGTAACTAATAATTATATTTTATACCTTTCATCTATTCATTCATTGATTTAGTATAAACTGTTTCTAACTCTTCCTTTGAGTGAAGAAAAGTAAGCCCTTCTCTCTCTGCTAGAATTTCTAGTGCAGCTGAGTTTACAAATGCAGAGGCTGCTAAATGTCCCCCCAGTTCTCCTCTTCTCCCAAAGTAATAGAAACTGTGAATTTTTTTCTAGCTAGGTAAATGGCTACCCAGAGTAAAGCCTACATTTGCAAGCCTCCCTTGCAGCTAGGTTTGACCACCAAAACATATTCTGGCCATGGGATATAAACAAAAGTTCATGTAGCAAATTCTGAGTGCCTTTTTTAAAGATGCCTCTGCTTGTTCTTTTGCAGCCCTATTCCTCACTCCTTTCTTCTCTTCTATCTCAAACACAGATATATAATGGTTCTGGGCACCATTTGGAACCATGAGAATAAGGATCACCCTAGGGATGGGAAGTGAATCAGCTGAAATGAGCCTGGTTCCTTGAAGACTTTACAGAGGAGAGTTGCCACACCAGCCCCAAACTTCCTGTCTCCAGGAATTTGTGTGAGAAAAAACAAACAAACAACAACAACAAAAAACTTTTACTTGCTTAAGTCACTGCCATTGTGGGTACCCATTACACACAGTGAAACACAACCTTAGGTGACAGATACACTTACCAACTCTTCAGACTTGAAATTGAGCCTCCAATTCTAAATACATATTTTTATAAGAGCCTTCCTAGCTACACTGGTAAACATGGTGGCAGTACATTATTTTTCAATGTTTGGGTTTTTCAGAAATTTCTTCTCTCAATACTAGCAAGTTTCAATATCTCCTACCTTTCTCTGCAAATTGTGGGCAATGGTCTTGTTCTCAATGACTGCATTGCTCTCAAGACGAACCAGCTGCTCTGTTCGAGCTAAAACCACGTCCAGCCGCATGTCAAAGCCAAGTTCGGCAGCCATCTGGTCCAACTTCATTTTCTGAGAAAGCTGATCCAGAAATTTAAGATACTAAACCCAAGAACAGAAACAAAAATGGGACATGAAAGTCAAAGTTAATGAGTGATCTCACAGAATCTCTTCCTCTTTCTCCCAAGCTTACAGGTAATTCTCCTTTGCAGAGAGCATGGAACGGAGCACGGACTCTGACCCATATGTGGTAATAAATTCCTGAACCACCCTGCCAGTTCCCTGCCTACCCCTTGTCTGAATGCTCTTGACTCTCCTAGCCCTTGATGTTCATGTTCAATCGAATATTATATACTTTTCTTAACTCTGCCAAACAACACATTTGGCTATGTTTGATGACATCTTCATCTCTCTGCTTCGACAACTTGTTGCTGCAACCATGCCCCTCTCAGGCTAATCTAGCCCCTGGGATCCACCCATTGATATGGTTTGGCTGTGTCACCACTCATATCTCATCCTGAATTGTAGCTCCCATAATTCCCACATGTTGTGGGAGGGACCTAGTGGAAGATAATTGAATCATGGGGGCAGTTTCCCGCATACTGTTCTCATGGTAGTGAGTAAGTCTCACGACGTCTGATGGTTTTATAAGGGGAAAACCCCTTTTGCTTGGCTCTCGTTCTCTCTCTTTGCCTGCCACCATGTAAGACATCCCTTACTCTTCCACCATGATTGTGAGGCCTCCCAAGCCACGTGGAACTGTGAGTCCATTAAACCTCTTTTTCTTTATAAATTACCCAGCCTCAGGTATGTCTTATTTATTTATTTGTTTATTTATTTATTTATTTTGAGACAGAGTCTTCCTCTGTCACCCAGGCTGGAGTACAGTGGCTTGATCTTGGCTCACTGCAGCCTCCGCCTCCCAGGTTCCGGCAATTCTCCTGCCTCAGCCTCCCAGGTAGCTGGGATTACAGGCACGTGCCACCATGCCTGGCTAATTTTTTTGTATTTTTAGCAGAGACGGGGTTTCACCATATTGGCCAGGCTGGTCTCAAACTCCTGACCTCAGGTGATCCACCCATCTTGGCCTCCCAAAGTGCTAGGATTACAGGCATGAGCCACCGTGCCCAGCCTATGTCTTTGTCAGCAGTGTGAAAATGGACTAACACACCCACCCATGCACCTTCCTTGGGAATTTTTCCCACCTAACTGGGCCCTGGCCTCAAAGGTTGTCACTGGCAACTTAGCCGGTTGTCACTGGCAACTTAGCCAGTTGCCACTTTACTCTTCTTGGGCTCTACAGAGCACTCCAAACTCAAAGCTCACCATACAAACAAAATTTCGAACAACATTTTGGGGTCTTTTTTATTAATTAAGATATTTTAGAAAATTTCTTTAAAATTTTTTAATGCAGGGCCAGGTGCGGTGGCTCATGCCTGTAATCCCAGCACTTTGGGAGGCCGAGGAGGGCAGATCACAAGGTCAGGAGATGGAGACCATGCTGGCTAACACAGTGAAACCCCGTCTCTACTAAAAATACAAAAAAATTAGCTGGGCGTGGTGGCGGGCACCTGTAGTCCCAGCTACTTGGGAGGCTGAGGCAGGAGAATGGTGTGAACCTGGGAGGCGGAGCTTATAGTAAGCCGAGATTGCACCACCGCACTCCAGCCTGGGCGACAGAGCAAGACTCCGCCTCAAAAAAAAAAAATTGTTTAATGCATCCAAGTTAAATGAACACCTCCCCCCTAAAACAGCGCTGTATAAAGGAAGTCAAGATTCATATTTTAGCAGTCTACAGTTAGAAAGCTATTTAAAGGTTTTCCTCTGCTTGATTTCCGTGGTTTATCTGGCAAGTCCACACATAGGACAATGCTTACTAAGTGCTTGCTGGATGAATAAATCAATCAATGAGCTTTCTATATCATCATTTTATGATTTGGGTTTTATCTTTGATATTTTCTTCTGATTGCAATAACTTATCCATCTGGCTTATTCAGGCAATTAAATGTTTAAATAGGTACAACTTCCTGCCAACTGAAGCACACCAGATTAAAGCCCAGAACTAGCTATGTTTTAATTATCAGGATGAAATTATTTATAAGTGTATATTTTCCAATTTTGGCAAATAGCATACATATGAATACAATTTTATCTCTTCTTTATAAGTCACAGTCATTGCAAATATCACTTATTGCATTGTGCTACAATACCATAAACTGCTTTTGTCTCTACATCCTCAGGTTATCACTGTTTAATGCTGTATCAGCTATCTGGAATTTTTAATTTTTAACCTGTGTCCATGAAAGTGACCTAACTGCTATTGCTTGTATTTTACATAAAATAGATAAGTACCTATTACATGACGGTATGAAACCCTCTTTCTTTCTATTTCTACATATGACCCATCCATTTACTAGGCCAGGACTACAACAGGCAAAAAGGGATTAAGACAAGAGCAAGCCGAGACCCCAAAGAGAAAGTTTCTATTTCAAGGATTTTGTCTCTATTTCAAAAGATTAAGGTTACTAGAAACTTTTAACTTCATAGAAATGAAGGATTACTGTATATATTGTTCATTTGAATCACAGTTCAGCATAAATAAGAAACTGCATTCTACTGTCTTTGAGTCTGCCAGATTACCTGCATTTAGCATTTAAACTCTGTGCAACTTTGCTTTTCAATTTACATGATACTATCCATCCTTACCAGAACGTGCATTTCATATGCAGTTAGCGACGGAAAATTCACGACGGACAGAGTTAGCTTACATAATTTGCTTTCATAACTGAGAGTTATTTGAACATAATCCCAATTAAAATTAATGATTCATTTATAGTAAGGGAAGGGAAGAAATACCAATCCACCTGAAATTCTTGCCTTTAATATATTTCTTCTATAATTCAAATAATATTTATTGACTCTTTCTCTAGGCCCTGGAGAAATACAGGAAAAAATGATTTTTTCTGGCCTTAAGAAGCTTGGTATATTTGGAGAAGAAAAAATTTAAAAACAATCCAATAATGGTAAAAAGTACCATGAGAGAGGCAGATGCATGTTGCTTGGAGAGCAAAAGGAAAGATAGGTAAGTCTCTTAGGGAAGACTGCCAGAGGAAGTGGTATTTGAGCTGAATCTCGAAGAGATTGCTGCTGCCAGGTGAAGGAGGTAAGGAGAACATTCTCTCGGTGAAAATAGCAGTGGGCAATGTAGGAGGCAGCTGGAGGACGCCAGACGAGTGCTGCTACAAATCTGCATGGATGTCTTTAGGCTCCGTAATCACCGCAGACCCCACCAGGGTCCTGCCACTCCCAGAAGGCTTCTGAGTTTGCCCCTGCTGGCAGGAGAAATTGCAGGGGAGAGGGAAGATGGAGAGGCCACCTGGCCAGCTCACAGAACGTGGGGCCATGGAAAAAGAAGGAATCTGTACCTGATCCTGGGGGCACCAGAGAACCACTGACCAGTTTTAAGATAAAGAAAGATAAGATTAGGCATACCTTTCATTAAGACCTCCCTGGCAGCAATGAAGAGAGTAAATCTGAGGCACAAAGAACAATGCTGGGAGCTCAGTTAGTAGGTTGTTTCCCTAGTCCGTGTTAATGAGCACAATTCTCAGAGCCAAAGCACAGCTGCTGGATATAGAGATGGGGGAGGCATTGGAGATCTAGTAAGGAGACAGGATTTACAGTGCTTAGGAATTGATTAAAAAGAGGGAAGTGTTGAAGATGGCTTGGGCAAATGGAGGCAGATTACCACCATGACTGAAGCAGGAGAGGGACAAATTTGAGCAGATGTCATTTCAGTTTTGAGTGTATTTTGGTGTTCACGGACCATGCAGGTGAAGCTGTCCAGCAGGCAGTTAGATGGCTTCCAATTTACATTACCATACTCAGGTGCAATATTTCATTTTGTTTGGTCGTGGTTGTTTTATTGTGTTTGTTTGTTTGTTTGTTTGTTTGTTTTGAGAGGGAGTCTCTGTCACCCAGGCTGGAGTACAATGGCGCAATCTTGGCTCACTGCAACCTCTGCCTCTCAAATTCAAGCGATTCTCCTGCCTCAGCTTCCTGGGTAGCTGGGATTACAGGCACACACCACCACACCTGGCTAATTTTTTGTATTTTTAGTAGAGATGGAGTTTCACCATGTTGGCCAGGCTGTTCTTGAACTTCTGACCTCAAGTGATCCACCCACCTCAGCCTCCTAAAGTGCTGAGATTATAGGCATGAGCCACCACATCTGGCCTGTTTTTGGTTTTTTGTTTGTTTGTTTGTTTGTTTTGAGACGGGGTCTCACTCTGTCACCTAGGCTGAAGTGGTATGATCTCAGCTCACTGCAACCTCCACCTCCCAGGCTCAAGCTATCCTCCCATCTCAGCCTCCCAGGTAGCTGGGATCACAAGTGTGTGCCACCATGCCCAGCTAAATTTTGTGTTTTTTGTAGAGATGGGGTTTCACCATGTTGCCCAGGCTGGTCTTGAACTCCAGAGCTCAAGCGATCCACCTGCCTCAACATCCCAAAGTGCTGGGATTATAGGTGTGAGCCACCAAACCCAGCCAATATTTCTTTACAAAATCAAATTTTCCACCATCACACCTTTACAGACATCTAACAGAAAAAGCTCCCTTCACTCTCCCAGACTTCTCAAATCTATCCCCTATTTCCATTCACAAAACCACTACTTGGTTCAGATCTTTATTATCTTCTGAACTGGGCTAGTCTGAACTGGACTATCTAACTGGACCAGTCAGGGAGCCACCAACTGGGCTCCCTACCTTCCCTCAGCTGTGTCCAACCCTTGGAAGGCGAGGACTTTTTGCTTATCTGTGGTGGCAGATACCTCAAAAATTATGCATGGTTGTTTTTTGTTTGTTTTGTGTGTGTGTGTGTTTTTGTTGTTGTTTGTTTGTTTTAGCTTATCAGCTATCACTACTGTTAGTGTATTTTACGTGTGGCCCAAGACAATTCTTCTTCTTCCAATGTGGCCCAGGGAAGCCAAAAGGTTGGACACCCCTGCTACCCTCTAAGCGAGTCTGACTTGAGGGAAATCTTTCTTTTACTCAAAAACCTTCTCTGGCTTCCCATTACCTACGCAGTGAAGCCTGAGTCATTAGACTGACCCATCTCGATCATTCCTATAGCTGCCTCCAGTGCCATCTCACACCTTTGGTTTCGCCAAGTATCATGTCCCAGGCTCCCTGCACCTCATTCATTTCCTGAGCCTTCTTTTCACACCTCCATTTCTTCTTTGTTCCTGCTATTCTTTCTGCCTCAAATTCCTTCCCACCTCTTCTGCCTGACAAATTCCTACTCATTCTTTAATGCTCCCCTCTTCTGTGAAGATGGCTCACTTACCACACAGAAAAAAAGTCATTGCTCCTTTTTCCAGGTTTCTGTTAAATTTTATACCTGTCTCCATCATGGCACTAATTGTACTATTTGCACTAATTGCACTATTGCACCATTGTACTATTGCACTAAGCGCACTAATTGCACTATTGTACTATTACGCCCCGATCTCCCTGTCTCATCTGCTAGACTTGATTTTCCACAGACACCTTTGGCACATCTTTGCATATCCAACCTCAATGCAGGCATGATGATTCCTCAATGTTTTAAGTACAGAAGAATGAAAAGGAATATGTTACTTGAGTGTACATGTTTCAACTTTAGGGCATTTTTCATGCCAAATTTGGCATCGAGGCTCTTGGGCCTGTGTGCCTCCCTTTCCCTTCCCACACTCCCTCCTGCAGACTCTTTCAGTCCATACTTTCCCCGCCATCCTGTCCAGCAAAACCTTTCTTTGATCTTGTTTTTCACAGCCACTGCCTCATGCCTCTCTTCTCTTTGGTCACCAGACTTCACACTGGTCTACTAGAAGGTCGCTCCCCTTCCTCTCAAGGATCCCCTCAGCACAAACAAACTGGCTTTTGCTCTCCACCGCTCCACCAAAACTGCCTCTCAAAGATCACTGACAGTCTCCCCACATTCGAATCCTCAGTGCGGGCTCCTTCTCTTCCCGTCTAACTCTCCTCTCCCACTGGGTTATCAGTGCCATTGTTTCCGAGACCCTCCATGCCACAATCTCAGCTCCACGGGGACATCACGCTATCTTTCTAAAATACTGCAATGTGGCCTGGCACGGTGGCTCACACCTGTAATCCCAGCACTTTGGGAGGCCGAGGCGGGCAGATCATGAGGTCAGGAGATCGAGACCACCCCAGCTAACACAGTGATACCCCGTCTCTACTAAAAATACAAAAAATTAGCCGGGCGTGGTGGCGGGCGCCTGTAATCTCAGCTACTTGGGAGGCTGAGGCAGGAGAATGGTGTGAACCCAGGAGGCAGAGGTTGCAGTGAGTCGAGATCACGCCACTGCACTCCAGCCTGGGCAACAGAGCGAGACTCTGTCTCAAAAAAATAGAAATAATAAACATAAACATAAAATAAAATAAAATACTGCAATGCTCACACTTACCACACTTCATATTCTACAGAGTAAAGAACACTCCATCTTCATAGTCTAAGCCATTCCAGTCTTTTCTCTTGCCACAGATCCACCGAGAATAACATGTTCCAGCCATGGAGGATTCACCATTTTGCGTCCTCTGAATATACTATGCACTTGCCAGATTTCATGCCTTTCTTCAAACTGTTTCCCCTACAGTATCTGTCTCCTGTCTCCACTATAATCTGACTTATCTTTCAAAAATGAACTTAATTATCTCCTCTCCTATAAAATCTTCCCTTTATCTGGAAGTTCCTACAGCACTTTATTAATTCAATACATATAACATGTGTAAACTTATAGTACAGCAAATTATCTGAGTATCTGTCTCCCCTATTGAATTATGAGCCTTTAAGATCAGGAACTGTGTATTATTCATATTTTAGCTTGCCAAACCTTTAGGACCTCATATATGGTAGGCATTCAATAAATACTCGTTGAGTTTAATTAAATTAATTTGAATCAAGGAAGCTCCAAACCCATTGTTCCTTGAAATTGACTTAACCAATTAAGTCCAGGACTTAACCAAACTAAATACTGTAAAATTCAGGATATTTTCAGGTAAAATTTTATACTACAACAGATGCTTCCACTCATGGACATGCCCTCGGGTCATTACTTTTTGTTTCTCAAAATTCAAGTTGTCTCGCAAAACACCTCCAGAAACCAGCTCTGCCTCCAGGTGTGTCAGCTGACCCTGAAGAGTCTCCAACATATTCTCTGCTTTCTGGGCCCTCTGGAGAGCTTTCTGGTGAAACCCAGACTCCTTTCCCAACTGTTCAACAAGCTCAGATATTTGGGCTTCAAGCTGGGAGACCATCTGGAAACAAAGAAACAGATCAAGAATAAGCCTTGTTTCAGATGCAAGGAAGTGTTCACATCTACTGCTCTGCCTAAGCAGCATAACTGTTTATGATACCAACTTCCAGATTATTTGTAAAAATCCCATTTAAAATATGTAATTGATAGCTGTATTTGCCTCTGTTTGAAATAATCTACTTTCATTATTGAATTAAATTTTTCGATTGGTATTTTTAATTTTTATATAATTCTTTTATCAGGTTAATCAATAAAAATTTATGGATAACATTTACTTACCCCAAAACTATTGCTAAGAGTTTCAAAGTTTAGTAGGAAAAAGAATTAAGACAAAAAGTACTGTAAAAATCTACAAAGAGTCATTCCCCAGAAAAATTCTTTCACCATTTTGAGTTGACTTAAGATTAGACAGTGAGATAATCTTGGTAGGTAACATTGAGGTATTACAGGGAATTCATGTACAGATATATGCTTTTTCAAACTTTTTTCAGCTTTCTGTTGAAGATTGGTTACCTATGCCCTAAACTCCAGGGATGCTGACTCTACACTACATAGTTATAGAGTAATACCATTTTTGCATTGGAGAGGTCAACATCTCTTTAATATGGTGACTCTAAATAAGGTCAGTGTCAATGTACAAGAGAGCAGGGGAATCTGAGTACTGTCCCATGTTAAAGTCCCTCCAGGCTCTCCACAACCCACCTGATTTGCCCAATGCTCCCATCCTTCCCAGGAGTTCCTCTTTTTGTCCTGATCATTCCCTTAAACCAAGAGTGCAAGTTTACCAAGGACCTCAGGGACACTCTCAGAAAACTCAAACTGATTTTACTAAATCCAGTTTCATAAAATGTTGAATTCAATAAAACCACCAAGCCTAGGGTGATAAATTTGTTTTCTTTCGATGGTTTATTTTGGAAGAGAAGAGGGAAAACATAGTATTTACATAACAGTACAGTACCATTCTCACAGAAATGGAAACATCCTGACTGTTTCAGATTTTTACTGTCTAAATTTTTAAAAAGAAAACAATTTCTGTTTGCCCATCTATAAACAGCCGTGCTTAAACACGTAATCTGCCTTTAAACTTTTTGAAAGGCTATTATATGGGAGAACAAAAGGATTTGTTCTGAGTTACCCTCGGAGCCTATATTGAGAACCAACAGGTATAAATCAGAGAAGAAATTCCATATTTATGAAAGGAAAATGTTTTCCCCAGTTCCTATAATTATAAAGTAAGATATCCCCATGAAATTTCTTTTAACCACAAAAAGTATAAACAGGCAAAAAACAATCCCCTGTGATCCCACCACCCAGAGGCAAAAGCCATTAATATTTTTAAATAATTTGTTTTTGTGTATTGTTAAAATATAGTTGAAATATTATACATGCAATTTCATGTCTTTGTTTTTACCTAATTATTCTCATGCCGTTTGAAATTCTTAATTAACATTTTAATGGCTGCATTAAGAATTCATCATGAGAATGTGTCATCATTCACTTAAGCATTCCTTTCTAAGAAAGGAAAAACTCTTCCCTGTGAGGTCTGAGAAAAAAAATTAAAAATAATAAATAATCAAAATAAAGAAGAAAGGGAAAACTTTACAATGATTACAGCTGTGTAAAGACACTGTCCAGTAGGGAGTGGATTCCCAGTCACCGAAGATGGCCGGAAATTGGCTAACTACAGGCACATCTCACTTTATTGCACTTACTTTATTGCTCTTCGCAGATATTTTAGTTTTTTACAAATTGAAGGTTTGTGGTAACCCTGCATTGAGCAAGTCTATCAGCGTCATTTTTCTGACAGCACACGCTCACTTTGTGTCCCTGTGTCACATTTCGGCAATACTAGCAATATTTCAAACATTTTCATTACTATGATATCTGTTATGGTGATCTGTGATCGGAGATCTTTGATGTTACTATTGCAGTGTTTGGGGTGCCACAAACCACTCCCATAATAAGTCAGTGAACTTAAATGATACATGTGTACGTTCTGACTTTTCCACTAACTGGCTGACCCCACTTCCTCTCCTTGGGCCTCCCTATTTCCTGAGACACAACAATATTCACATTAAGCCAGTTAATAACCTTACAATGGCCTCTAAGTTTTCAAATGAAAGGAAGAGTCAGGCTGGGCATAGTGGCTCACGCCTGTAATCCCAGCACTTTGGGAGGCCAAACTGGGTGGATCACCTGAAGTCAGGAGTTCAAGACCAGCCTGGCCAACATGGCGAAACCCCATCTCTACTGAAAATACAAAAATTAGCTGGACGTGATGGCTCATGCCTGTAGTCCCAGCTACTTGGAAGGCTGAGGCAGGAGAATCACCTGAACCTGGGAGGCAGAGGTTGTAGTGAGCCAACATCACGCCACTGCACTCCAGCCTAGGTGACAGAATGAGACTTCCATCTCAAATAAAAAAAAGCGAAGAGTCGCACTTCTCTCATTTTAACTCAAAAGATGGAAATGACTAAGCTTAGTAAGAAAGGCATGTTGAAATCTGAGATCGGCCAAAAATTGGGCCTCTTACTCCAATTAGCCAAGCTGGGAATAGAAAGGAAGCGTTCTTGAAGGAAATTAAAAGTGCTACTCCAGGCCAGGCACGGTGGCTCACGCCTGTAATCCCAGCACTTTGGGAGGCCAAGGTGGGTGGATCACCTGAGGTCAGGAGTTCAAGACTAGGCTGACCAGTATGGTGAAACCCCATCTCTACTAAAAATACAAAAATTAGCCAGGCGTGGTGGCAGGCGCCTGTAGTCCCAGCTACTCAGGAGGCTGAGACAGGAGAATCACTTTAACCCGGGAGGCAGAGGTTGCAGTGAGCTGAGATTGCGCCATTGCACTCCAGCCTGGGTGACAGAGCAAGACTCCGTCTCAAAAAAAAAAAAAAAAAAAAAAAAGTGCTACTCCAGTAAACACACTGATACAGTGTGGATATTTGTCCTCTCTAAATCGCATGTTAAAATTTGATCCTCACAGTTGGAGGTGGGCCTAGTGGGAGATGTTTGGTTCATGGAAGCAGATCCTTCATGAATGACTTGGTGTCATTCTTGCAGAATTGAGTGACTGCTCACTCTTAGTTCCCATGAGCTCTGGTTGTTGAAAAGAGCCTGGCACCTCCTCCTCTCTCTCCCTTTCTTTCTCTCTGGCCATGTGATGCCTGCTCCCCTTCATCTTCTGCCATGAGTGAAAGTTTCTTGAGGTTCATTGCCAGAAGTAGATGGCACTGTGCTTCTTGTATAGCCTGCAGAACCATGAGCCAAATAAACCTCTTTTCTTTATCAATTACTCAGCCTCAGGTATTCTTTTATGGCAACACAAAAGGACTAAGACACACACAAATGATAAGAAAAAAAACAGCCTTATTGCTGATATGGAGAAAGTTTGAGTGGTCTGAATAGACATCAAACCAGCCATAACATTCCCTTAAGCCAAAGCCTAATCCAAAGCAAGGCCCTAACTCTCCTTAAATCTATGAAGCCTAAGAGAGGTGAAGAAGCTGCAGAAGAAAAGTTTGAAACTAGTAGAGATTGATTCATGAGATTTAAGGAAAGAAGCCATCTCCATAACATAAAAGTACAAGATAAAGCAGTAAGTGCTGATGTAGAAGCTGGGGTAAGTTATCCACAAGATCTAGCTAAGATCATTGATGAAGGTGGCGACACCAAACAACAGACTTTCAATGTAGGCAAATCAGCCTTCTATGGGAAGAGGTTGCCATTTAGGACTTTCATAGCTAAAGAGGAGAAGTCAATGCCTGCCTTCAAAGCTTCAGAGAACAGGCTGACTCTCTTGTTAGAGGTTAATGCAGCTGGTGACTTGAAGTTGAGGCCAGTGCTCATTTACCATTCTGAAGACCCTAGGCCCCTTAAGAAATATGCTAAATCTATTCTGACTGTGCTCTAGAAATGGAACAGCAAAGCTGGATGACAGCACATCTGTTCACATCAAGTTTTACTGAATATTTCAAGCCTACAGTTGAGACCTATGGCTCAGTAAAAGATTCCTTTCAAAATATTACTGCTCATTGACAACATACCTGGTCACCCACGAACTCTGATGGAGATGTACAAAGAGATGAATGTTGTCTTCACAGCTATTAACACAGCATTCATTCTGCAGCCCATGGATCAAGGAATAATTCTGACTTTAAAGTCTTATTATGTAAGAAATATACTTCATAAGGCTACAGCTGCCATAGAGAGTGATTCCTCTGATGGATCTGGGCAAAGTAAATTGAAAACCTTCTGGAAAGGATTCACTACTCTTGATACCATTAAGGACATTCATAAATCATAAGAGGAGGTCAAAATAACATCATAGGTGTCATCTATGAGATGATTCTGAGGGGTTCAGGACTTCAGTGGAGGAAGTAACTGCAGATGTGGTGGAAATAGCAAGAGAACTAGAATTAGAAATGGAGCCTAAAGATGTGACTGAATTGCTGTAACCTCATGATCAAACTTGAATGGATGAAGAGTTGCTTCTCATGGATGAGCAAAGAAAATTATTGAGATGAAATTTACTCCTAGTGAAGATGCTTGAACATTGTTGAAATGACAATAAACATTTAGAATATAACATAAATTTAGCTGACAAAAAAGCAGCAAGGTTTGAGAGGATTGACCTCAATTTAGAAAGAAGTTCTGCTGTTGGTAAAGCGCTATCAAATAGCTCACATGCTACAGAGAAATCTTTTGAGAAAAAAAAGAGTCAATTGTTGTTTTCAACTACGTTGTTGTCTTATTTTAAGAAATTGCCACAGCCACCCAACCTTCAGGAACCATCACTCCGATCAGCAGTAACCATCAACATTACAGCAAAACCCTCCACCAGCAAAAAGATTATGACTTGCTGAAGGCTAAGATGATTGTTAGCACTTCTTAGCAATAAAGTATTTTTAATTAAAGTATCTATATTGTTTTTTAGATATAGGGTTATTGCACACTTAATAGACTACATAGTCTAGTATAAACATAACTTTTATATGCACTGAGAAACCAAAAAAAATTGTGTGACTCACTTTATTGTGACACTTGCTTTGTCGCAGTGGTCTCTGAGGTATGCTTATACCAATTAAGAATGTTGCAATGCAGATTGAAGTGCTACATGAGGAAGGTTAGACCACCTGAGCTCTAAACTCTTCAATCCTGTGCTTCCATGGCTCTCAAGCTTCCAGACATTCAATTAATTTAACACTTCTGTGTGTGTGCTTGAAATTAGATATTTGATGGTAAGCTATTCAGAGCCACATCCAAGGAATTACATTTACCAAGGAAATTTTTAGTGTCATCCCAGAACATGAAGCTCTGAGAAACCTCATTTCTTATTTCCTACCTTTCCTGCTTACCAATAATAAAAAATCTACTGATACATTCATAGCTATATTAGTAAGTATAACTTACTAATATAGCAGATAAATCTGATCTTAACGCAAGAGAAACAGTGTTTATCTTGGTATAACAAATAATGTAATCTACAGAAAAATGTCCACAAGATGCTGCCTCCCAAGGGACTGATTTGCATTATTAGGAGTATAGCACATCAGGAGATGTGGTTTCACGTTGGACTGCAAACAGGAAGTGAGTATTTCTACCTGAAGACCCTTCAACGTCTCCTATACCACAAATGACATAGCGGAGAGAATGAAACCAAAGAGAAAATTGATTCAATAAACCTCAAGCGGAGAGAGGGAGAACTGTGTGATCAGTTAGCCATAGTCAGCACACCACCGAATTTACTGGAAAAAAGCAAGCCTTCTGTAGACATCAATCAGTATGGTCTCCATTCTGAAGCTGATGCCCAGAGTAACTGCAGTAAGTTAGACTAAGGGAGTGATACTGACCCTAAAGGAAGATGTAAGCATCTGACGTAGACCAGAGTGCAGGACGGAGGCTTTGGAGTCAGATAGCCCTGGTTTCAATTTCCCCTGTACCACTTACTAGCAGGTTAACTGAAGCAAGTAACTAATCTCTCTGAAATTCGTAGACTTTGCTATGAAGACTCAATGAGCTGATTTAGATAATTTACAGTATTTCACACCATATTGAAGTTCAACACATCGTGTCCATTTCCGTCATCAGGGTTACTGCTCCAGTGTACTGGTTCTGTCAATCCTATGCTGTCGCCATGAGGAGCTAAAGAACCCTCCAGGAATTGTCCTATGTCATGTTTCTCAAACTATTTTCAGCATAGTCTTTCTCTCAACTAGAAGTCTTTCTAGGAAGAACAAATAAGGGACAAATGTGTTTGAATCAAAGGCAAGAAGGTCTCTCTTGCATCTTCACCCCATCTGGACCTGAGGGTGCTCTACAGAGCCTTGAGACTCAGCGAAGTGAGACTTTAAAACCACTAATACGTAGATCGCTGAAATTTGCAGGGGATACCTGCCATGCCAAGATTCTTGTGTCCAGAGAGAAGAAAACAGCTGAGAGCCCTCCTGCACTCTATCAGATCACAGAACGTAGCTTCAGAAGCTTATTTAGGTGTCAGTGCACATGACACCACTAAGTTTTTTTCTAACTAAATTTAGATAAATTAATTCAAATAAATTAACTTTCCATTCTGACTTATTCTTGGGAACATCAAATGCCAGTGCCTGAGTGAACATATGTGCTCCACCAAAACCGTAAACTTGTGCTGTTTTTCACACCAAAAAGTCTAAACAATAAATAAGCCTTTCTTTCTTTTCTTTTCTTTTTCTTAGGATCATTTCTTAACATATACCTGATATTCTATGGGACAAAATGCACCAGATATTTCAACACTAGAGGTGGGCAGTGGAGGGTGAGGGGTGAAGAATACATACCTTTAAACAAAAAAGATATTTTTTTGTTTGTGCTTTTTTTTTGAAACAAAAAGCACAATATAGTTAAAGAATAAGCTGCATGGTTTTTAGAAGTAAAGTCATAATGCCCTAAAAGATTTAATTCACTCCCCAGGGACAACTATGCATTGATTTCACCAGAGAGACAATTTTGTCCTAAAATTAAACCAAATAGAAGCCAAAAAGTTCTACACTGAAGAAAGAGCCATTTGGGTCACTTAAAGTCCAGTTCCTTTTAGACATAAACTCTTTTCCAATTACTCAAGCTATAATTTGCACTTGGGGAATATGTAAGTTATCAGGTACTAGAAAGTGTCGACCAAATCCTCCTTCCCTTCTGTCGGCTTGTGTGACCAGCACTGTTGACTGGCTAACTCTATCCCACCTCCTCTGTTCATCTCAACTTTTGTTTTGAGTTAAATTAGGTCCCCCTCAAAAAAGATATGTTGAAGCCCCCCAGTACCTCAGAATGTGCCTTTCTTTGGAGATCGGGTCTTTAGAGTGGTGATGAAGTGAAAACGAGGTCCCTAAGGTGGACCCTAATCCCAGATGACTGAGGTCCTTATAAGAGGGGAAATTTGGACACGAAGACCGACATGCATAGAGGAAGGCAATGTGAACACACAGGAAGAACACTATCCCTACAACAAAGAATGCAATGCCTGAGGCCAGCAGAAGCTAGGAGTGAGGCATGGGACAGACTCTCCCTCACAGCCCTCAGAAGGAACCAACCCTACTGACACCTTGATGCCAGACTTCTCATCTCCAGAACTGTGAGGCAAGAACTTTCTGTTATTTAAGCCGCCCAGTTGCGGTACTTTGTCGTAGCAGCCCCAGGAAACTCATATAACTGGAGAGGCTGGAAAAGCTGAAACTTCCATCTGTTCGCTCTCTCAGATGCCTCTGTAGCCCGGAGCAACCGCACAACATAATTTTGGATAATGAAACGTCCCAAATGGAAGTGTGCTGGTGCTTCTGGGAAGATGCTCACTTTAGTAGGTGGCAGGGTTAAGAACAGAGCAGGAGAATGATAATCGGGCTCTGAGATCAGAATGGGGAGGAGGGGGCTGTGAAGCACATCTCCAGTCCTTCACAGCAGAGATCACCAGCCTTTTTGTCACCAGAGACTGGTTTCGTGGATGACAATTTTTGTGTCAGAATGAAACTGTTTCACCTCAGATCATCAGGGATTAGATTCTCATAAGATGCACGCAACCTAGATCCCTCGCATGCACAGTTCGCAATAGCGTTCACGTTCCTATGAGAATCTAATGCCGCTGCTGATCTGACAGGAGGTGAACTCAGGAAGCAATGCTCGCTCGCCCACCGCTCACCTCCTCCTGTGCAGCCCATTTCCTACTAGGCCAGGCACTGGTGCGGGTGCGCAGCCAGAGGGTTGGAGACCCTTGCTTTATAGCATCGGGGGGGGTCCCCACAGCTCCCACAGAGCCCCTGGACCAGCAAACACCTCAAGGAAGGAAATAAAGCCTTAGGTGTACCTAAAGCAGAACAGGAAAAATGTCCAGATAGAGGTGAAGAAGAAAACAAAATTGCCTCAAAATTCTAAAGTAAAATCTGAAAATGTCGTAACTTTCTGTCATTGTGCAAGAAGTCATTATTTCATAAACAACTGCTATGGTGTCCTGAAATTCCAAGGCTAAGTAACATCTAAATACTCATTTAGAATTCGTGGGAACCTGGCAGTAGAACATTCCTCTAAGACAGTGGTTTTCAACTGGGGGCAATTTTGACCCCCGGCGGACATTAGGCAGTCTCTAAAGACATCTGTGGTTGTCACAAACTGGGAAGGGGAGTGCTACTAGCGGGTAGAGGCCAAGGACGCCGCTCAAAATCCTGCAATGCACAGGACTGGCCCCCAGAGCAAAAAATTATCCAGTCCAAAATGTCAATAGTTCTGAGGATGGAAAACCTTGCTCTAAGATATAGTAAAGCTTCTAAAAAGAAGATTAGATCTTGCCAGAAGCAGATATGCAAGGAACAAGTAGAAATGACGTGCTGTAAAAGTGTGGGTGGTGTCCTGAATTCTACTGAGAATTGCAAACACAGGAGGGGAAAAATGGATAGCACAGGGGTAAACAAGACAAGCAACGTTCGGGAAGCAGGAGCCGGCCTGAAGCGGAGAATCTGCCAAGCTGAGCCTGAACCCGCCGTGGAGCCTTCACATCAGAATTACTCAGCCACTGACTGTGTGCGTAGCCATGGCAGCTGGCAGGGACATGCAGCCTCCTCAACAAACAGATTCATCAATTTGTAAAGCTCCCATTCTTTAGAAACATTTCTAAGACAATATATGAAATCCATTTTCTCCTGATTTTACGTGAAGATGAGTCACACAAGACACCAGCTATATGCTTGATTTCAGGCTTTTAAATAGGGAGGGCAGCTATTGAAAAAAATTACAGGGTAGGAATGGCAGACAAAGGCACTAAAAAGACTCTGAATCATTCTAATTTTTATGGGGAGTGGGAGAAAGCATACCCAGCTTAACCAATTTACATCATTTGGCTTTAGAAAATAAACATATACATCATGCTGATAATTATGCGCCTTGTTTGGGATTAAAGTAGTTTTAAGAAACTACTTGAAAATATAGAAGTGGAAAGCAATAAAATGAAATGGCAAAAAAAAAAAAAATTAGCTATTGAAGTACAGATGCTCCTCGACGAATGGTGAGGTTGTGTCCCAACAAAGACGTGTTAGTTGAAAGTTCCTTAAGTCAGAAATGCATTTAATATACCTAACCTACCGAATATCATGGCTTCGCCTACCCTACCTTAAAAGTGCTCAGAACACTTACATTGGCCTATATTTGGGCAAAATCATCTAACACAAAGCCTATTTTATAATAAAGTATTGAAAGTCTCATGTAATTTGTTGAATACTGAAAGTGAAGAACAGGATGGCTGCATGCACACTCAAAGTGTGGTTTCCACTGAATGTGTATCACTTTCACACCATCGTCAAGTTGAAAATTTTTTAAATTAAATTTTCATGAGCTGGAAATCGTCTGCATATCTGTTACCATTTAAGGAAATGACTTAATGAAGCTTATTTCCAAACCTATAAATCATTTTCTTTCTCAAGTACCTCCATGTAAACTGAGTCACAAGAAAAACTAAGTTACTCGCAGAGACCTCTACACATTAGAGTGGAGGACAGCCAATGAGCACTCCACATTTTATCTCCACAAAGAGATAGAAAATGCACTTGGCAGCCGGGCACGGTGGCTCACGCCTATAATCCCAGCACTTTGGGAGGCCGAGGCGGGTGGATCACAAGGTCAAGAGATCGAGACCATCCTGGCCAACATGGTGAAACCCCGTCTCTACTAAAAATACAAAAATTAGCTGGGTGTGGTGGTGCATGCCTGTAGTCCCAGCTACTCGGTAGGCTGAGGCAGGAGTATTGCTTGAACCTGGGAGGCGGAGATTGCAGTGAGCCGAGTTTGCACCACTGCACTCTGGCCTGGGTGACAGAGCGAGACTCCATCTCAAAAAAAAAAAAAAAAAAAAAAGAAAGAAAAGAAAAGAAAATGTGCTTGGCTAAAGGGGCCACTAAGGTTGCTCCTAGAGTATGCGTGAATTTCAGAGAATTTTTTTTTTTTTTTTGGACAGAGTCTCGCTCTGTTGCCCAGGCTGGAGTGCAGTGGCACGATCTCGGCTCACTGCAAGCTTGAATTTTGGAGAATTTTTAAAGGGAATTTACTATCACTAAAGGAAATTGACAAATGCAACCCTGAACTTTGAGTTAGTGATTCTTCTGAGTTTTTTAGTAACATTAAAAGATGGTAAAATGCGTTTTCTCCTTTCAAGCAAGCACGACAGCAATAGAAGAAATATTTCATAATGGAATTATACAAGGACTTTGGAGATCATTTACTTTAAAGTCTCATTAACTAGGACTTCTATAATTTAGGTTTGATGATAATTTAAACAAAGCCTGCACTGAAGTGGACTCTGCTAGGTAAAGCTTTATAGAGAAAGAGAGTTCTTGATAGTAGAAACAAGATGACAGAGTTAAACAAGCCTCAATCATATACGTGAATTAAACCATTTTTCTCCATTTGTTAGATAGGACCCCTGAAAGACTGTTCAGGCCACCAACACATTATGAAAAAAAGGAGAGAAGGAGGAAGAAGGAGAGGCAACAGCAGCAATAGTTAATATTTATTGTTGTGACTTGCCAGGCAATGAGTTAAGATCTTTATAACAATTTTTTTCATTCAATACATACATGAAACAATAACCTGATCGGCCAGATACCATTACAGGTCTGGGAACTTTTATCTGTAATTCCAAAATCCAGGTTTTTTCATAACTCATTTACTGACAAAGCTTGGCCTGACCTGACCCAGCTGGGCAGCAAATCCTGACCCAAAATGACAAGAGGCTATTTGCGGTCTTCATTTATCCCACTTACTGTTGCTCGCGGGCTTAGCTACAGACCTGTGAATGTGATTGACGGTAGGAAACTGTCCCAGACACCACAGTGGAGGGCTGTGTAAGGCTGCACTCTGCATTACCTTTCTAAGCTCTGAAAAATTCTGAACTCAAAAACACCGTGGGCCCCAAGAGTTTCAGGTAAGGGGTCATGGAACCTGTGCTAACCCCTTTCTGTAGATAAGAAAACAAAATCTCCGAGGCCGTAAACTCAAGAACCTACCCAAGCTCACATGGACAGTGAGTGAATGTACAGCAGAGACGGGATTCAGCACCAGGCAGGTCCAACTCCAGAACCTGCATCACAGTTAGATGTGGCTTGTGGGACTGCCATGCCTTTCCATTAAAATGGAAATTAATACAACCACATTTAAATTATACTTTTTTTAGAGACAGGATTTGCTCTGTAGCCCAGGCTGGAGAGCAGAGACGCAATCATAGCTCACTGCAGCTTCAAACTCGTGGGCTCAAGAAATTCTTCCACTTCAGCCTGCCAGGTAGCTGGGACTTAATTTTTATTTTCAGTAGAGAGAGGGGTCTCACTATATTGCTCAGACTGGTCTTGAATTCCTGGCCTCAAGTGACTACATTGGCCTCCAAATGGACTGGGGTTACAGGCCTAGGCCACCAGGCCTGGCCTTAAGTGATGCTTTTAGCTAATTGAGATAAGTCACTGATATGGTTTGGCTGTGTCTCCACCCAAATCTCATCTTGAATTGTAGCTCCCATCATCCCCACGTGTCGTGGGAGGGACCTGGTGGGAGGTAATTGAATTATGGGGGTAGCTTTTTCCCATGCTGTTCTTGTGATAGAGAATAACTCTCAGGAGATCTGATGGTTTTATAAAGGGCAGTTCCCCTGCACACTCTCTCTCTTGCCTGCCACCACGTAAGATGTGCCTTTGCTCCTCCTTTGCTTTCTGCCATGATTGTGAGGCCTCCCCAGCCATGTGGAACTGTGAATCCATTAAACCTCTTTGTCTTTATAAATTACCCAGTCTCGGGTATTTCTTATAGCAGCGTGAGAATAGACTAATACAGTCACTGAGCATGCTAAATGAATGAGCTCACTGTTCTTAAGATGTCTGTAAACAGCCATGACCCACTCACCCGGTCCCTGCTTTCTTCCCGGCTGTCCATTTCTCGAATCTTCTCCAAAATGGTGTCCTCAGTGGACCCAGTCATGCTCAATCTGCCCCTAAGGAGGGCTGCGATTTTCTCCCTAAATGAGAAGTACTGGCTTTGTGAGGTTGTGACTGCATCCTGACTGGCCTTCAAACTCTTCTCCAACTCAGAAGAGCTTTTCTTCAGGAGGCTCACTTCCTGCTTTGAGGCATCCCAGACCTGCTGGCCAGCAAGCAGCCTTTCTTGGAAGATCTTAACTTCCCTTTCAAGAGCTTCTTTTGCTTCTACAGCACTGAGCAGGTCCTAAAATGATTACAGAAAGTGAAGACAATACCATTAGAAGTCAACAGGGTACACCTGCATTTGCTATGGCAAATTCATTGACTTTGCCTGCTAATGACTACAAGGGGTTGGGTTAATTACTCCTTCCATTTTTAACTCCAAGTTCCCTATAGTCTCCTCATAAAGTTATTAAATCCCAATGGTATGTCAGGAAAATTTAGGTGTCTTAAAAACAGAAAATGGGGCCAGGCGTGGTGGCTCACACCTGTAATCCCAGCATTTTGGAGGCTGAGGTGGGTGGATCACTAAGGTCAGGAGTTCAAGACCAGCCTGGCCAACATGGTGAAACCCCACCTCTACTAAACAAAAATACAAAACTTAGCGGGGCATAGTGGCGCACACCTGTAATCCCAGCTACTC
Source organism: Homo sapiens (assembly GCF_000001405.40). Classification (NCBI taxonomy): domain Eukaryota; kingdom Metazoa; phylum Chordata; class Mammalia; order Primates; family Hominidae; genus Homo; species Homo sapiens. The sequence goes on along the minus strand of NC_000006.12, from coordinate 151,572,774 downwards.
GGGAGCCTGAGGCAGGAGAATTGCTTGAACCTGGGAGGTGGAGGTTGCAGTGAACTGAGATCACTCCACTGTACTCCAGCCTGGGCAACAGAACAAGACTCCATCAAAAAAAAAAAAAAAAAAAACACAGAGAAGGGATATAAAATATAAAATCTGGGTTAGAAAAAAGAAGGAAACTTTGACACATAAGCCTTTTCTGTGTGGAATACTGGAAAGAGTTAATAAAAACAAATCATTGGATAACATATTAGTAGATTCAGTCCATATGTAGAATATGTTTATAGAACTATCTTTCTCAAGCTTGGTGTATACGGAAATTTATTTTTAATAAACAGTAAGCTCTCAGAGTCCTAGCTAGGCACTAACAATTATTTGAATAAAGATGCCCCCTCAATGCTATTTTGAATAATAGAGGAATATTCTCATAAAAACATCATTGCATAAAACTATTCATTGACTTCCAATATCCAATATTCATTGCATATCCCCTTGTCTCATAAAGACAACGCAGAAAGAACCTGAAGAAAGGAAACAGAAACAACTAGCCATTTGGTAGGTGGGAGGATTAAAAGTAGAGGGAAAGTATCATACTTAGAAGAATAATCTTAAAGAATATAATATGGGCTGGGCACAGTGGCTCACTCCTGTAATCCCAGCTCTTTGGGAGATCGAGACAAAAGATTGCTTGAGCCCAGGAGTTGGAGACCAGCCTGGGCAACTTGGTAAACCCCCATCTTATATAAAATAAAATAATTTGCCATGCATGGTAGCATGTGCTATGGTCCCAGCTACTTGGGAGGCTGAGATAGGAGGATTGCTTGAGCCTAGGAATTCAAAGCTACAGTGAGCAGTAATTGCATCAGTGCACTCCAGACTTGGTGACACAGCATGACCTTGTCTCAAAATAACAACATAAGAACATAACATGTGAAATTAGGTTCAGAAAAATAATGAAGGACATAAAGAAGGTTACCTGTGTACTTAATTCTATTTACCATAATCTAGAATGGCCCACAGAGGCACCAAAGGAGGATTTTTTTTTCTCCCGGGACGGAGTTTCACTCTTATTGCCCAGGCTGGAGTACAATGGCACAATCTCAGCTCACCATGACCTCCGCCTACTGGGTTCAAGTGATTCTCCTGCCTCAGCCTCCCGAGTAGATGGGATTACAGGCAAGTGCCACCACGCCCAGCTAATTTTGTATTTTTAGTAGAGACAGGGTTTCTCCATGTTGGTCAGGCTGGTCTTGAACTCCCAACTTCAGGTGATCTACCCGCTTCGGCCTCCCAAAGTGCTGGGATTACAGGCATGAGCATCTTTAAAATTGATTTTTAAAATTATTTTTTAACATCAAGTTCCAAAATACATGAATTCACATTAAGAAATATTAAGCGGCGTGTTAACTAGCATGGCTGTAGTATTGCTACCTAGTTAACTGGTAAAAAAAAAAAATTATTAAAAATAGTATGTTAGAGGTAAAAAGCACTAAAAAGAAACACAATATTTTTAAATAACAGACTCTACATCTAAATGAGCTGATAACATTTCAGGCTGCCAGTTAAAATGCAGTCACCTCTTTTGCATTAGAACTGGGCTTTAAAAGAAATTTCTCTCCATTAACAGCTTGGAAACAGGAAAAAGGATAGCCTGAAACACTAGTTCCTATTTTTTATAGGAAACATAACATCTTATTTTTTCCATTATGGTGACTTTTTTAAAATCAAGGAAGTCTCAGGCATCAATTTGAAAGAAAAGTCACAGAGTAGATATGTAGTTAGAGAAGCCTGCCCTTTTCAGAGATGTAATAACTCAACTAATTATGGAATCTATTTTGTAAAATGCCTTTTGCTTTTCAAGGTCTTGGTTTCCCCTTTCCTTTGCTAAACTAGTCATGTCTGTAGAGAAGCCCCACTGTTGCTGCTAATTAAATGACGGTCCTTAAAAGTAGAGTCAAGGACACTTTATCACAAATTCAATATTTTAACAGTTTACAGATTTCTCTTCAGATCATAATACAATATCTTCTCACTTGCTCAATTAGAGTAACTAGTATCAGTAAAGGTGATAATAAATTGGGGCATATTTTACTTGGAAACTACGGTCGTTCCTTGGTATCCTTGGGGAATTGGTTCTAGGACCCCGGAAGATATGAAAACCTGAGGATGCTCAAGTCTCCCATATAAAATGGAATAATATTCTCATATAAGCTACACATATTCTTCTGTATACTTTAAATCATCTCTAGATTACTTATAATACCAAATACACTGTAAATGCTAGATAAATAACTGTTATCATGTGTTGTTTTTATTTGTATTATTTTTATTGTTGTTTTGTTATTTGTATTGGCTTTTTTCCATATTTTTTTATCTATAGTTGGTTGAATCCACAGATGTGGAACTTGTGGATGCAGAGGGTCGACTGCACAGTCTGATGTGTGGTTAGAAAATTGAGGTCCTAAATTCAATGATGCTGGGATGGAAATTAATCCTAATCACTTTAGAATTCTAAAACCATATGGAATATTATATATTCACTAAAGACCCTCAAAATACACAAAATATATCTCAGATGCTTGTGACTTATGGAGTTACTGTCAATTTGGAGTAGACAACTCAACTGGCAGCCAACACCACAAGACCAATAAACACAATTAAAATATTTCAACTATGAGGAATTTTTCTACCCCAATATCATACTAATGTTTCACTGACTTCAAGAAAAGGGCCAAAACAATCCTCTCTAACAAATCCAAAGAACGTTTTCTTTTTAAACCTAGGCATCAACATTTATGTCTAGTGAAAATCACAAAATCAGTTTGTGTTCATAGAATACAATGGTGTCTGTGAGCAAGTTGGGTTTCTCTTTTTCAGGCACATTCAGCTCAGTGAACCCTAAGCTGTTTCTTGTATAAAATGCAGGACTCGAGAGCCAGAGTGACAAGGCCTTGGGGATGGTCGCTCCCTTAGTGCTCTGATTAAGTGCTGCAGGATTCAGGGGCACAGGGCTGATCTTCTGGAAATAAATGTCCTCAGACTGCAAATGCAATTACTTGTTCACCTATCAGGAGAAAGCCATCAGAGTGGATTCTGGTTCCATGGCTACCTCAAGGATACGCCGAAGCAAGCGGCATAAAATAATGTGACATCAGTACCACTGGCCAGGACCTGGGGATTGCTGTCAGACCACACTGACATACAGGACAAGAAACATAAAGCTTCCTGTGAGCAAAACCAAGACTGACCTCCACAGAGGAAATCACAGAGGGCAGGCCCTATAGACTGTGATGGGGATCACTTAAAAAATTTTTTTATAATTAATAAGTCTTTAGGTTCAGTCTGACTGAAGCGACAAATGTAAAATGATTCTTTCAAAATTACTTTTAACAAAAACTTTAATAAACAATATGATTATGGCATTCAATTTAGCTTCCCATTTAAATGCACGAGTCTGCATTAAGTAATGAAACCATCCAAAGGTTTGCGTTTTAAAAACACAATTGATTCCTGTTCTGTTGCTATTTTATGGATTTAGATACACATGAGATCAAATTGCCACTCAAAAGTACAATGATTATCATCAGGACAGAGAACCTGTGGCTTGAGCTTAATTCCTTCAATCCTAGATCAATTTTATAAAATAAAAAAATCAGTTGGTTAATTCTACCTACTGCAGTTATGATTAACAAAAAAACTCAGAAATTCCCCCAAACAGGTAGTCTCATACATTGCTGGTGGCAATGTGAACAGGTATAATTTTGGTATAAATTGTTGGCATAAATACATAACAAAACTTAATATGCACTTATCTTTTGGCCCTGAAGTTCCAGTCCTGAGGATATATCTATAAGATAGGTTACTAAATATAGAAAATGAGGAATATGTAGTTATCCAATTATAATATAGCAAAAGACAACATACTACATGAATATTCTTTGATATGTAACTTCTTAAACAAATATGAGACATCCATACTATAGAATATGATGTAGTCTTGAAATGAAATGGGGAAGTTCTTTATATACCAATATGAATGATTCTCCAAGATACAGTTAGTGAAGAAAGTAAGGTGTTTAATAGTGCATCTATACAAATAACAATGGTACATAGTATAGTACCATTTGTACCTTTATGAAAAGAATATCTCTAGAAACATGCACAAGCAACTGCCAATTCTCATCACCTCTAGAGAAGGGAATTGTAGCCAGGGGTTAGGAATGAAAGGAAGATGTGATAGAATAGTGGCAACTATGAAAACACCGGGGAATTTTAGTCCATTTAAAGTGTTGAGTCAACAGTGATATGAGCACAAATATACACATGCACATGCACACACCCATTCCCCCCTTCCCAAACTTGGGCTGCATTCACAAAAGTAAAGTATTTAGAATGAGAGAGGTGATGTCCTGCTCTATTTCCTTCGAATTACACCAAGCCTGAAGTTTGGCATTCAGTTCTGTGATTCAAACTTTAATACAGACAAAACCCTCCTTGGACAGCACTATTCAAACTTACATTCTGGTACCACTCCTGCACCTGCTGTTCACAGTCCCAACAAGATCATTTCAGAAATTGAGGGTAAGATATTAGCAATTTCTATAGCAAGTTGACACTGATGCAACATCCAAATACCATAGACTCCCTTTTTTTTTTTTTTTTTTTTTTTTTTCAGAGTCTCACTCTGTCGCCCAGGCTGGAGTGCAGTGGCATGATTTCAGCTCACTGCAACCTCCGCCTCCCGGGTTCAAGCGATTCTCCTGCCTCAGCCTACCGAGTAGCTGGGGTACAGGTGCGTGCCACCATGCCCAGCTAATTTTTGTATTTTTAGTAGAGATAGGGTTTCACCGTGTTGGTCAGGCTGGTCTTGAACTCCTGACCTTGTGACCCGCCTGCCTGCCTCGGCCTCCCAAAGTGCTGGGATTACAGGTGTGAGCCACCGCGCCCAGCCTATACTCCATTTTTGAATGAAGTATGTACCTATTCACTCTTTGTTAGACTTGTGTGGTAAGTGGCTAGTGGTGAGAGTTGCTATCTGTTGTACACTGAAGGAACAGGCTACAGATGTGATATTTTAAGGCTGGTTTGCCAACTATAATCTAAATAAGTATATAAAATCCAGAACCCATTTCTTTCCTCAAAAGAATTTCATCATATTTAAACATAACTATACCTTTACAAAATAAACTAATAGAACTGTTGACAGATGAAGGATTGAAGATGGATTTTGAAAACACATTTGTTTCAGACGGGTATGGTGGCTCACACCTGTAATTCCAGCACTTTGGGAGGCCAAGGCAGGTGGATTACTTGAGCTCAGGAGTTTGAGACCAACCTGGGCAACATGGTGAAACCCTGTCTCTATCAAATATTTTTAAGAAAAAATAAACAGAAAAAAAAGGAAAGCTGAAATTACAATTGTTTAATTTGAATACAAGGTACCTACAAATATATTGAGCTTGTTGAAATTGCTTTAAAATCTATTCTCAACAAACCTCTGTTAGATTTGTTTTCTACTGTAAGTATCTGAAAAGCAAAACATAAAAACAGTTTCACAGGGGTCAGGCACGGTGACTCACGCCTGTAATCCCAGCACTTTGAGAGGCCGAGGCAGGCTGATCACCTGAGGTCCGGAGTTCAAGATCAGCCTGACCAACATGGAGAAACCCCGTCTCTACTGAAAATACAAATTAGTTGGGTGTGGTGGTGCATGCCTGTAATCCTAGCTACTGGGGAAGCTGAGGCAGGAGAATCACTTGAACCCAGGAGGCAGAAGTTGCAGTGAGCTGAGATCGCACCATTGCACTCCAGCCTGGGCAACAAGAGCGAAACTCAGTCTCAAAAAAAAGAAAAAATTTCCTATACAACAGGCACTGAAAGCAACATTGTCATCAATCCAACCAAGATTAACTAAGTGAACTAGCAAGAAGCAGCTGATTGTCACAAACTTTAAATACTAACATAAGCAGTATTCATTCAAAGTGTGTATGTAGAACTTAAATACAGGGAATTTTAGTCATAATAAAACTTATGACTAAAGAACAACAAAAGGAAGGCTATGAGTATAATAGTGATACTAGTGATTCATTATACTAATCTCCTACACACAAAGAAGAATGTGTACAATTTGGGTAATTCTATTCTTTCTCTCATGTTTATTCTGATTTTCATTATCGAAAATTAATTTTATGTCTGTGGCTTCTAATACTTAAAAATTTGGACTTGTGCTTGGTGTATCTTATTAAATATTTTTTTCTGTTCATTCATTTTATAGAATTTAAATAATTTTTTTCTATTAATTCATTTTATTGTATTTTATAGAAGTATTTGTCAGCAATGGACTGGAAATAAGGAAAAAAGTATTCTTCCCCAAAGATAGTTTGAAAAAAAAATGCACATTCAGAGTTTAGGAAGGAGAATGGCAAAAGTCTTGAAATCATGTTCTAAGAGGAAATGTTAAAAGAACTGGAACATTTATCCTGTAGATGTATTCAAATGATTGGAAGACTCATGTAGAAGGAGGATTAGGTTTCTCCTGCTCAGGCCCATGAGCCAATAGAATGGAATCTTCAGAGAAACACTTTACTTCAAAATGAGGAAGACCTTCCCCAAATCTGAGCTTTCCCAATGACATCATCAACTCTGGAAAATTAGAATTCAGCTTAAGTTTGAAATTCTCAACATTGACAAAATCAGTACTAGTTGACAACAGATTTAGCTGCCCAAGAGGCCAGTGTGTTCCTGGGCTTCACTACAGCCCTGCAGACACTCTGCCCTGAACTGATCAGACTGTGCTTGGACAACCACCGACAGTTCCCATCTGGAAATTGTAAAAGGGACACGGCAAAATGGAATGTGCTCAGCATCACATGCTAAGATTAGACCCATAATAAAAATATTTATATAATCATGTTATTTAACATATGGATTTAACTGATTTTAAATTTTTAGAATGAACCTACAGACAAGCTACTAAAGACTTAGTTACATGTACAGAATAGAATGTAAACTTGGACAAGGTAAATAAAATAATATGGTAAAAACCGGGAAGTATATAGAAAGAAGAGGCTAAAAATTAGGGGACATTAGAAGTTCTCAAGGGGCAGGGCTTCAAGATGATGGACTAGAGGCATCTATCAGCTGCCCCTCCACAAAGAAGAATAAAACAGCGAGTAGATAATCACAGTTTGAATAGATCAGCAAAGACAGAACATTGGAATTCAACAGAGAACCAACAGGAAACACCTAGGGCAAGGAAGGGGAGGAAAGAGAAGCAGCCTGCTTGGTTGGCCAGGACTGGCTGGGAGCACAGAGAAGCTCCCCAATGCAGGGAAAGGGGAGTGACAGACCTGCAGCGTCCATACTCCCATCATGGATTCCTCCAGTCCCAGCCACCAGAGAGCCCCTCACAGGCCCAGAGACCAACATAGGGAGCTGTCTGCAGACCGCACAATGGCATTGCTCCAGAGCTCAGGCTGAATCCCAAACACCACCCTGAGTCCTAGGCAGCTACAGCAAGATGCCATTTTGAGAGCCAGCCTCCACCAGACATCACCCTGCCTTGGGGCCCAACAGCCCCTGCATCTCCACATCCCAGGAGCCCCACTGCCATACCCCACCTGCAGCTGCTGCTTCAGCTGGCTGCTGCTGCCAGGGCCAAAGCCAAGCCACTGCAGCAACCCCACCCCACTAACAGCAGGCCACCATCGCACATATACAAGTGTCCCAAGGACAGGCTCCCCAACGCATAGGTGCCAACTGGGGCCAAAGCACGTGCTCCCCAGCTGCCTGCCTACAGCTGCAGCCACTAAAAGCAACCCCACCTTCTCCAGCAGCAGGGCCCCACTGCAGCTACCGCCTCCCCTATCAAAGCACTCCTCCAGGAGTCCAGGGATCACCCCACCCTTGCACATCACAGCCAGTGCTGATAGGCACCACCAGGGGGTCTGAGGACAGGCTCACCTGGCTTTGCTCTGCCCCTACCCCCACCGCAGTGCATGAAAACACCATCTGGGGACTTGGGGATTACTCTGCCACATCCACCATCATTAGCACCTGAGCACTTCCACCAGGGACCTGAAGATGGACTCACTCACCCTGTTGCTACCACCACAGATGGCACCCACCTGCACACACAACCTGCAGGCGCAGGGCCTGGCCTGCCCAGCCATCACAGCCACTGTCAACACCAGCACAGACAGCTTGAGAGCCAAAGCATTGTCCCACAACTGCTACTATGATAGCCCATGCCACACTGCTGCCCAGGGACTGAAAGACCCACCTGCTGCTGCCACTGCCAGTATAGACCCACCTAGACCTGCTAAGACCAGTGCCAGCAAATGCCACCCTGCGGCCTAAGAACAGGCACTCTTGGCCCACTGCTGTTCCCATCGGGGCCTGAGGACTGGCCCACCTGGTATCCCTGTCCCCAGCAAAACTTCCCACAACTCCACCAACAACCACACCCTAAGCTCTTGAGGAAATAATGGACACCAATGACACTATTTACAGCTGAACAAATTAGGAAACTACACCGCTGCACACACCCACAATCAGAGCCAAAGTGCCCTACCCAACCAACATCACAGATGCATCTCCAGGAAAACATCCTCCCCTATAAAAGCAAATCCAAAATATTGGAAGAAGTGACTGTCACACCAGATGCACAGATACCAACATAAAGACACAAGAAACGTGCAAAAGCAAGGAAATATGATGCCTCCAAAGGAGCACAATAGGACTCTCCAAGATGGCAGACTAGGGACATTGAAAGCCAGTTCTCCTCAGAAAGAAGATCAAAGTTACTAGTGAATGGACAAAATGTGAATGGAAAACTGAAAGAAGTGAGCCAGGACCTGTCAGAGTGCCCACAAAAAGAAGCTGAGCTGCAGAAAAAGAAAGCAACAAGAGGCTGGCAGAGATTGACCCCTGAGAAGCTCAGAGCCCCACAGAAAGGGTAGGTGGGAGAGCTTCTCTGCCCCACTCACCTCTCTGACTATCCCCTGACTGTTAAACTGCTGGTGAGCCCCTCTGCCCTTGTGATCCAGGTCAACACTATTGGGGGCATCTGAGAACTTCTCAGGGACAGAGAACTTGGTGGCCAGCTCACACAGACGTGCCCACACTCCCCTCACACCTGAGCTGAGACTGTGGGCACCATACTGGTAATGCACCCATAGTGGGAAACAGCCCTGCCCAGGGACTCTCCAACCTTGAGTCACTGTACCACTAGATCTCTTGCAAACATACCCCACAACCCATTCTGACTTTGGCAGGTGCAGGGGACTCGTAGGCCCCAAGGAGCAGCTGCATCCCTGGAGATTTAACTCTCAACATGGGACACCTCTAAGGGAGAGGGGAGCACAGCCCACCAAGTCCCTGTTGGGACAAAGGAAACACAGATAAGGTGCCAAGTACTAAAGGAGGCAGTCCCATAGCCAGGGAAGATATGTAGAGAGCGGTCATCTCCACCCCACTTATGCAGTTATGGACACAAGAGTGGTTCTTCCCACTAGGGGCCAGTGAACACATACTTGGACATAGCATTTTTTTGTGCTCTTCACAGCAGCTCTACCATGCTGAAAGTGAGCCCCATGCTGCTCAGGCTTTTACGAAGGGAAGGGACCACCTCCCCTTCCCTACACAGAATGGCACCATCCCGGAAAAGGAAGACAGACAAACCATGGAGGTACCTGCTCTGGTCTGGGGGAAGAGACTCTCCCCTCAGCCCATTTTGGTGGTAGTCATCAGAGGGGCATACTGGTGGCCTGCAGCCACACTGTGGCCAAAAACCAAAGGACCAAGTCTTTATGAAATGAAAGTCATGAGCCCTGCAACAGGGGTTTGATAGGGAAGCAAATCACTTTTCTGCTGGCTCAGGGCGAAAAGCAAGGACACTCCCCAGCCCCTCCCCTAAGGCCTCAGCACACCTACACCTCAACACCATCTCTTCCCACCCACTCCTCCCCCAAAACGCATCAAGGCACCTGCTTTCACTGGACATCAGCCTACCTGCCAGCTCTTACTCTTAAGCACCATTTACTGGACTGCAGTTTCAACTGCACTACCAAATACAAAATCTGCTACCAGAAGAGCTTAGTGCTATTCCACAAAATAAGTGCCCCAGGACTCTGCACCCCCAGCCCTACAGAAGATAGAATATCTAAACAGGAGAAAGAATTTTAGATCCTGACAACCAGTCTTTCTAATTAGTTCTTACAGCCAAAATACAGCTTCAACAAGCATGGTCTGATAAAGCCACCACACAGAAGCTATCCACAACCAAGGAACATATACAGCACTTTGGCCCTCTGAAATCACCCAAAATGAAGCCAAACGATCACACATAATATATATCACAGCCATACCCCTAAGAGAAAAAAAGAATTTAAAAAAGAAGTCCCATTCAAACAATAGCAAATTCAAAAATAAGAAGCAACATTTCCCTGAGAAGGACTCAGTGCAAGAACTCCAGCAGTACAAAAAGCCAGAGTGTTTTGACACCTCCAAAGCATTGCACTAGCTCTCTCACGATGGATCTTAATCGGAACAAAATATCTGAAATGACAGATAAAGAATTCAAAATACGGATTGCAAGGAAACTCAATAACATCTGAGAGAAATTTGAAATCCATTACATAAAAAACCAGAAAAATGATTCAGGATATGAAAGATTAGATGCCCATATTAAGAAAAAAGACAAATAGAATTGCTCAAATTGAAAAAAATCACTAAAGTAATTTCAAAATAATGTTAGAGCTTTAATAATAGATTACACTAAGCAGAAGAAAGAATTTTAGATCTTGACAACCAGTCTTTCTAATTAACCAAGTCAGACAAAAATAAAATTTTAAAAATAATTTTAAAAATGAACAGAGTTTTTGAGAAATATGGCTTTGACCAAATCTTCACAAATCTTCAACTTATTGGCATTCCTGAAAGAGAAGATGAAAAAGTAGTATACAATTTGGAAAACAGATTTGAGGGAAAAATTCAGAAATTTTTCCCTAATCTTGCTAAAGAGGTTGACATCCAGATTCAAGAAATTTAGAGAACTCCTATGAGATAGTATACAAGAAGACCATTCCCAAGGCATATAGTTATCAGACTATCCAAGGTCAATTAGAAAGAAAAAACCTTAAAGGCCCCTAGAAAAAAGGGCCAAATTACCTAGAGAAGAAAACCTATTAAATTAATAGTAGACTTCTCAGTAGAAACTTTACAAGCCAGAAGAGATTGAGGTCCTATTTTTAGCCTCCTAAAAAGAAAAAAATTGCCAGCCAAAAATTTCATACCAAACTAAGCTTCATGAATGGAGAAATATAGTCTTTCCCAGACAAGCAAACAGTAAGAGAATTTATCACCACCAGACCAGACCTACAAGAAATGCTCAAAGGAGTTCTAAACATGGAAATGAAAGAATAATACTTGAGACTATAAAAGCACACATAAGTACAAAGTTCACAGACCCTATGAAGCAATTACACAATTAAGACTACAAAGCATTATAGTCAATAATAATTTAACTGTACATTTTTAAATAACTAAAAGAGTATAATTGGATTGTTTGTAACAAAGGAAAAATGCTTGAGGGGATGGATATACCCATTCTTCATGATATGATTATTACACATTGCATGGCTGTATCAAAATATCTCATGTACCCCATAAATATACACACCCACTATGTACCCACACAATTTTAAAAAAAAATTTACTAGATAAAAATTAAAATAATTTTTACTTTAAAAAAAGACTACAAAGCAACTAGTTAACAACACTATGACAGAAACAAAACCTCACACATCAACAGTAACTTTGACCATAAATGGCCTAAATGCTCCACTTAAAAGAAGTAGAGTGGTAAATTGGATTAAAAAGCAAGACCCTACATTCTCTTTCCTCTAGAGACCCATCTTGCATGTAATAACACACACAGGCTTAAAGTAAAGGGATGGAGAAATATCCATCACACAAATGGAAAACAGAAAAGAGCAAAAGTTGCTATTCTTGTATCAGATAAAACAGAATTTAAACCTACAACAGTAAGAAGAAAAAGAAAAGAACTACATGATGATAAAGGGCTCAATTCAACAAGATTTAGCTATCCTCCTAAATATATATGCACACAGATTCAGAGCACCCAGATTTATAAAATACTACTATTAATAGATATAAGAAAAGAGATAGCCATACAATAATCATGGGAAACTTTGACACCACATTGACAGCAATAGGCAGATCATTAAGTCAGAAAACTAACAAAGAAGGTCTGGACTTAAACCGGACTTTCAACAAGATGGACCTCACAGACATCTATAGAATACTGCACCCCACAACCACAGAATGTACATTTTTCTCATCTGCAAATAGAACATTCTCTAAAATTGAACACATGCCTCAGTCATAAAGCAAGTCTCAATAAATTTAAAAAGAAACTAAATCATATCAAGCATCTTCTCTGACCACAGTGGAATAAAATTAGAAATCAACACCAAGAAAAACTCCCAAAACCACACAAGCACATGGAAACTAAACAACCTGCTTCTTAATGACTTTTGAGTAAACAATGAGATTAAAGCAGGATTTAAAAATTCATTGAATGGAATTAAAATAAAGATACAACATATCAAAACCTCTGGGATACAGCAAAAGTAGTGTTAAGAGGAAAATATAGTGCTAAATGTGAAAATATATTGCTAAATGCATACATCAAAAACATAGAAAGATCTCAAATTAACAACCTAACATCACACCTAATGGAACTACAAAAACAAGAACAAACTCAACCCAAGGCCAATAGAAGAAATAACTAAGATCAGAACAGAACTAAATAAAATTCAGAGCCAAAAAAATATAAAAGGATGAGCAACATAAAAAGTTTCTTTTTTGAAAGGATAAACCAAATTGACAGACCACTAGCCAAGTTAACTAAGAAAAAAAGAAGAACCAAAGAAGCACAATCAGAAATGACAAAGGTGACATTACAACTGATACCACAGAAATACAAAAGATCCTCAGAGATGACTATGAACATTTCTATGTATCCGAAAATCCTAGCCAGAGAAATCAGACAAGAGAAAGAAATAAATGACATCCAAATTGGAAAAGAGAAAGTTAAATTGTCCCTCTTTGCAGACAACATGATCTTATATTTAGGAAAGCCAAAAGACACCAAAAAAACTCTTAAAGCTTATAAATAAATTCAGTAAAGTAGCAGAATACAAAATAAACATACAAAAATCAGTAGTGTTTCTATACACTAACAATGAACTACCTGAAAAAGAAATCAAGAAGGTAATCCCATTTGCAATACCAACAAAAACATAAAATAATTTATAAATTTAACCAAGGAAGGGAAAGACTTCTACAAGGAAAACTACAAAACACTGATGAAAGAAATTAAAGAGGACACAAACAAATGAAAAGACATCTCATGCTCATGGATCAGAATAATTAATGTTGTTGGCTGGGCACAGTGGCTTATGCCTGTAATCTCAGCACTTTGGGAGGTCAGGGCAGGTGGATCACTTGAGGCCAGGAGTTCAAGACCAGCCTGGCCAACATGGCAAAATCCTATCTCTACTAAAAATACAAAAATTAGCCGGGCATGGTGGCATGTGCCTGTTGTCCCAGCTACTCAGGAAGCTGGGCACGAGAATCATTTGAACCTGGGAGGTGGAAGTTGCAGTGAGCCAAGATCACACCACTGCACTCCAGCCTGGGAGACAGAGCAAGATTCTGTCTCGAAAAAAAAAAAAAAAAAGATAAATTAATGTTGTTAAATGACCACATTACCCAAAGCAGTCTACAGATTAACTGTAATCCCTGTCGAAACATTAATATTATTTTTCATAGAAATGGAAAAAAATCATAAAATTTCTATTGATCCACAAAAGACCTTAAGTAGCCAAAGCAATCCTGAGCAAAAAGAACAAAGCTGAAGGCATCATACTAACTGACTTCAAAATATACTTCAAGGCTATAATAAACAAAACAGCAGGGTATTGGTATGAAATAGACACACAGACTAAATGGAACAGAATAAAGAAACCAGAAATAAATCCACATAATTATAGCCATCTGATTTTCAACAATGGTGCCAAGCATATACATTGCGGTAAAAGAGAGCCTCTTCAATAAATGGTGTTGGGAAAACTAGACATCCATATGCAGAAGAATGAAACTAGGTCACTATCTTTCTCATCATACACAAAAATCAATTCAAGATGGATTAATGACTTAAACCTAAAACTATAAAACTACTAGAATAAAATGTAGAAGAAACACTTCAAGACATTGGCTAGGAAAATATTTTAGGGCTAAGATCTCAACAGCACAGGCAACAAAAACAAAAGTAGGCAAATGGGACTATATTAAACTAAAAAGCCTCTACACAGCACAAGGAACAATCAACAGGGTGAAGAAACAACCTGCTGAATGGGAGAAAATATTTGCAAACTATTTATCCAACAAGGGACTAATATCCAGAATACATACAGGAACTCAAGCAAGTCAACATTAAAAAAAAAAAAAAAAAAAAAAACACTAATCTCAATAAAAAGTGGGTGAGGACATGAATAGACATGAATAGAACATGAATAGACATGAATAGGACATGAATAGAAGTTCACGAAAGACATACAAATGGCCAAAGGTTTATTTATTTATTTATTTATTTAAGATAGAGTCTCGATCTGTCACCAGGTTGGAGTGCAGTGGCGCAATCTCGGCTCAGTGCAACCTCACCTCCCAAGCTCAAGCGATTCTCCTGCCTCAGCCTCCCGAGTAGCTGGGATTACAAGTGTGTATCACCACGTCCAGCTGATTTTTTGTGTTTTCAGCAGAGATGGAGTTTGGCCATGTTGGCCAGGCTGGTCTCAAACTCCTGACCTCAGGTGATCCACTCACCTTGGCCTCCCAAAGTGCTGGGATTTGTCCCAAAAGGTTAAGTTTTTAAAATGCTCAACATCACTGATCATCAGGGAAATGCAGATCAAAACCACAATGAGGTATCATCTAACCCCAGTTAGAATGGCTATTATTAAAAAGACAAAAACAAATAAACAAACATAACAGATGCTCGCAAGGATACAGAGAAGAGATAACTTTTGTTAACACTGTTGGTGGGAATGTAAATTTGTATGGCCACTATGGAACACAGTATGGAGATTTCTTAAAAAAACTAAAAATGTAAATACCACACATCCAGCAATCCCACTACTGAGTATTTATCCAAAGGAAAGGACATGAGCATAACAAAGAGATTCCTGCACACTCATGTTTACTGCAGCACTAGTCACAATAGCAAATATACGGAATCAACCGAAGTGTCCACCAACGGATGAATGGATTTTTTTTTTTTTTTTTGAGACAGAATCTCGCTCTGTCACCCAAGCTGCAGTGCAGTGGCGTGATCTCGGCTCACTGCAACCTCCGCCTCCTGGGTTCATGCCATTCTCCTGCCTCAGCCTCCTGAGTAGCTGGGACTACAGGCGTGCACCACCACACCCGGCTAACTTTTTGTATTTTTTAGTAGAGACGGGGTTCCACCGTGTTAGCCAGGATGGTCTCGGTCTCCTTACGTCATGATCCACCCGCCTTGGCCTCCCAAAGTGCTGGGATTACAGGTGTGAGCCTCTGCGCCAGGCCTGAATAGATTTTTTTAATGTGGTATATATACACAATGGAATACTATTAAACCATTAAAAAATGAAATCATGTAATTTGCAGGAACATGGATGGAATGAGAGGTCATTATGTTGAGTGAAATAAGTCAGGCCTAGAAAGACAAATATCACATGTTCTCACTCATATGCAGGAACTAAAAGAGTTGACTCATATAGTTAGAGAGTAGAAAAATAGATTCCAGAGGCTGGGAAGGGTAAGTGGGTGGGAGGAGGGATGAAGAGAGATTGGTTAATGGATACAAGCATACAGTAGATAGAAGAAATAAGCTTTAATGTTTGTCAGCGAGTAGGGTGACTATAGTTAACAATGTATTGTATATTTTGAAATAGCTAGAAGAGAGGGCTTGAAATGTTCCCAACACACAGAAATGATAAATAGTTGAGGTGATGAAGACCTTAAATACCTTGACTTCATCCTTACACATTCTATGCGTGTAATAAAATAGCACACGTACCCGTTAAATACATACAAGTATCGTGTAGCAATAATAAATAAAAAAAGTAGGAGGCATGAAATTCTTCATATTTCATAGCAGAAAGTCTTTGCCAAATACTGCCTCAAATTGATGAATCAGGAATAAAATTGTATTACTTTAAAGTTTTAGTTTTTTGTTTGTTTGTTTGATTTTGTTTTGAGACAGGGTCTCGCTTTGTCGCCCAGGCTAGAGTGCAGTGGCTCAATCTCAGCTCACTGCAAACTCCACCTCCCAGGTTCAAGTGACTGTCATGCCTCAGCCTCCCAATAGCTGGGATTACAGGCATGCACTACCATGCCCAGCTAATTTTTGTGCTTTTGGTAGAGATGGGGTTTCACCATGTTGACCAGGCTGGTCTTGAACTTCTGCCCTCAAGTGATCTGCCTGCCTCAGCCTCCCAAAATGCTGGGATTACAGGCGTGAGCCACCACAGCTGGCCACTTTAAAGTCTTAATGGTAATTTTCAAAAGAACTAAAAAAGAGAATAAGTCATTTTGTAGGAGTCTTATAAACAGCTTTTCTTTTTATTATAGAGATGGAGATCTCACTATGTTGCCCAGGTTGGCCTTGAACTCCTGGCCTCAAGTGATCTGCCAGCCTCAGCCTCCCAAAGTGTTGACATTACAGGCATACGCCACCATCCCCAATCCAGCTTTAATTTTGTATAATATGGGCAGATATTATTTGGTGTTTGTTTTCATTTTAATTCCTCACCCACAGACTAGAACTCCCCCAGCCTCACAGGCAATAAGAAGGAGGGTTCAAGTAAGAAAAGTTTGAAAGATCTAAGGCTGTTTAGCCAGAAGAAGAGACTTAGAAATCCATAATAAATGTCCTTAACCATTTGAAGGGTGGCCATAAGAAAACGGATTTTCATTTATTCAGTGAAATTTCACAAGTGAGTAACAGGATGAGGAGTTGAATTATAGAGACTCTAATCCTGACTTGCTACAATACGGAACTGTCAAACAGTTCACAAAGATGAGACGGACCTCCTTATACAGTAGTGAGTTCCCCATTTCTAGAAGAGTTAAAGGAAAGGTTGAACATTAGCTAGTCAGGGAAATTGTTTTAAAACATGATTCTTATTTCACATAGAGAGTTAGATGATCTAGATTCTAAATGGCCTGAAGGTCACTTCCAACTTTATGATTCTAGAATTGTAAAGAGGTCTGTCATTTCTTCAGTAGTCTATCTCATCTAGTCATTTCTTACTTCCAGGAACTATTTCCATATGACTATAAATTAATCTCATGTTTATCTTATCCCCAGGTAAAAGTAAATAACTAGGAAAAGGAAATGAAAACACTGAACACCAATTGTGTGCCAGACACGTCCTAAGTATTTTATGTATATTTTACCATTTAATTCTAACGTAATAGTAAGAGAGCCTTATTTTCCCATTTTACAGATTTTAAAAACTGAGGTCCAGGCTGGGCACGGTGGCTCACATCTGTAATCCCAGCACTTTGGGAGGCCGAGGCAGGTGGACCACGAGGTCAGGAGTTCGAGACCAGCCTGGCCAACATAGTGAATTGAAACCCCATCTCTACTAACAATACAAAAATTAGCTGGGCGTGGTAGTAGGTGCCTGTAGTCCCAGCTACTCGGGAGGCTGAGGCAGGAGAATCATTTGAACCCAGGAGGCAGAGGTTACAGTGAGCCGAGGTCACACCACTGCACTCCAGCCTGGGCAATAGAGCGAGACTCTGTCTCACAAAAAAAAAAAAAAAAAAAAAACTGAGGTCCAAAAAGATCAAGCTACGTGCCTGCAATCACATAGCCGAATGATTCTGGAGCCAGGATAAAAACCCAAGCAGCCTAATTAAAGAGCCTAGCTTCTTAACCGCTCTGCGCAGTGTCTCTCTGTCTTGCTCTCTCTTTTTTTTGAGACAGAGTCCAGCTTTGTCGCCCAGACTGGAGTGCAGTGGTGCCATCTCAGCTCACTGCAACCTCTGCCTCCCAGGTTCAAGCGATTCTTCTACCTCAGCCTCCCGAGTAGCTGGGATTACAGGTGCCCACCACACGCTTGGCTAATTTTTGTATTTTTAGTAGAGATGGGGTTTTGCCGTGTTGGTCAGGCTGGTCTCAAACTCCTGACCTCAAGTTATCCGCTTGCCTTGGCCTCCCAAAGTGCTAGGATTACAAGCTTGAGCCACTGCACCTGGCCTGTGCAGTGTCTCTCTTACATACTCCACTGTAAGCTAACAAAAAAGGCAGAACTGACATCATTGCAAATCCAGGCCTGCCTGACTCTAACACCACTTTATTTCCTAGCTTTAATTCTTGCTAGTAGAATTAAATGCAACATGGAAGTTTAGTTTCTGATCTCATTGATTTTAACTTCTGTAATTCATAGGAAATGGGTGTGTGGCTTGCCCAGGCAAAATGACTACTTTCCTCAAATAGGTTATTCCTCAGTAGGTTATTTCAAGAAAACCAAGGGAAAAAGTACCAAGTACCAACTTTTGGTAGTTTTTAAGACATACTTCAATATGAACTACTAAAATATTTTTAAGTAATATATTTATCATATATATGACAAATCACTTGGATTTTTATTTGCGAAATTTTCTTGAAGGAACTGAAGTAGAGTCTTCAAGCAGATCAGAAAAGCTGAGTTATGTAGAAACCACACCCTAGTCCTGTGGCTACTTCTACTTCTGCAGTCCTTCTGGACCTCACTAATAAAGTAAGTTTCCTACCTCAAAAATAGAGCTTTAGAAAGCATTATGAAGACTCTTCCTGAGTCTGTTAATGTGTCAGTAAAACCACCTGATGGTATTTTTAAGTAGTAAATCTTCGGGAGGCACAATCCTATGAATAAAGTACTTTATTAAAGACCTCAAGTTTTTTTATTGCCCATATAATTTTTTTTTTTACAATTTTTATGATTTTGGCAGGAACTTCATCCCAAAGTGAATGTGTTTCCAAAGTCTGAACAACATTGCATCAGTCATTACAAGTGAAGACACTTATATAAGAAGAGGAATAAGTTCTGGTTTTTGAATGTGCTATTACAACACATTTCCTTACTCGTTTCCTACTACTGATCTCTAGAGATGCATTTTTATAAATAAATATTAAATTCTTCCTAATAGTCAAGTCTTTTTTAACCCCTCCTCTCCCCCTAATATTCAAATCTTGATAATTTAATAACTACTAGTTATAATTGAATTAAAATTACTCACTGAGGACATTTGTATGGCTATTTATTATTGTTGTTCCACTGACTAATAAATAGTTTCTGGCATCAGACTTGTATGTAGGATGTAACTGTGAATATATATGGAAAGAGGATTATTGCTGAAGGTACAATAATGTAATGATATGGGTTCAAATCCTAGCTTTGCCATTTAATAGCTGTGTGAACTTGAGCAAAGTGAATAACCTCTCTGATCATTAGCACAATGACTGGGCTAATGGTAAGTATTCAATAAATGAGCATTTATAAATCATCAATTTTGGTTTCTAAGCACCATTCACCAGTCTTAGGAACCAAAGCTCTTTAAAGAATTGGCTGGTAGGCCAGGCGCAGTGGCTCATGCCTGTAATCCCAGCACTTTGGGAGGCCGATGTGGGTGGATCACTTGAAGTCAGGAGTTCGAGACCAGCCTGGCCAACATGGTGAAACCTCTCTCTACTAAAAATACAAAAAATTAGCCAAGCATAGTGGCACGTGCCTGTAATCCCAGCTACTAGGGAGGCTGAGGCAGGAGAATCACTTGAACCTGGAAGGCAGAGGTTGCAGTGAGCTGAGATCATGCCACTGGACTCCAGCCTGGAGACAGAAAGACTCTGTCTCAAAAAAAAAAAAAAAAAAAAAAAAAAAAGAATTGGCTGATTTGGCTGGTTTTAGTTCAGTGGCCTGAATATTGCAAGAAAGCCTGTGATGACTTCTTCAGCCAGAGATCGAGGAAGACTTGAGAGACTAAAGGACTCATGCTACAAGGTCACAGGGTACATCCTGAAGGAGCTTCTGCCGGACAAATTTGGAGAATTTGGAGCACTGAAAGAGAATAATTGATTATAACACAGTAAATAAATAAAAACCCATGTGTCCATAGAATTGAAAACAAAAGGAAAGAAAATAAAGAAAGCTTTTCTTTAGAGAAGACTACTGCCTAATAGATGGGAGGAATGACGAAATTAGAATATCACCACTTTGCCACCCATGATGTAATAGTTAATCCAGACAAGAATCGGCGTATGCTAACATCACTAGGTAAAGTCAGAGGGAACAGGAATAACCTGATAATGATCACCCCATAGAAACTTAACTGCAGAAGAGAAAAAAATGTACCCTTACGCCAAAGAGATTCGTAGTCAAACTTATCGTCACCAGCAGTGGAACACTCTAACATTATTTGCCTTCTAATAGAATGCAATGTGAAATATAATACATAATATTCTTGCCAAAAGCCTTAACCTGAATCCAATCCAGCCTCTAGATCCAACTTTTAAGTTTACAGGATATAGAGAAACAAGTTAAACCACACAGTGAAGAAAAAATCAGGCCACTGCTCTGGACTCTCCAACATGTCAATGCTATTTAAAACAACAACAACCAAAAAAAAAAAAAAAAACCTGACACTAATCAACAAATGCAGTGAATTAACCTAGGTAGGTTCCAAATTTGGGGAAGAAAACTGCTGTAAAAGACATTCTTGTAGCAAGGGGTGAAATGTGAATGTGAAATGATACTAGATTATTATTAGCTAAGCCAAACTTGGTGGCTTAAAACAACAAACACTGATTATCTCACAGTTTCTATGGGTCAGGAATCTCAGCACGACTTTGCTGGTGGTGGTTCTGGCTCAGGGGCTCTCCTAAGGTTAGGGCCAACCTGTTGAGCAGGGC
Source organism: Homo sapiens (assembly GCF_000001405.40). Classification (NCBI taxonomy): domain Eukaryota; kingdom Metazoa; phylum Chordata; class Mammalia; order Primates; family Hominidae; genus Homo; species Homo sapiens. Next base: position 151,551,752 of record NC_000006.12, on the reverse strand, counting down.
TGCAGTCCTCCCCAGGATTGACCAGGGGACGATTCCCTGCTGGGCTCACTCACATGGTAGCTGACAGGCCTCAGGTCCTTACCACGTGGGCCTCCCGAGAGGAGGCTAAGTGTCTTCACCACATGGTAGCTGACTTCCCTCTCCCTAGACCTACCTCACACCATGGCCCCTGGCTTCCCTCAAGAGCAAGTGACTCCAGAGAGATCAATAGAGTGTATTTAAGACAGAAGCCACAGCCTTTTTATAACCTAATATCAAAAGTGATATCCATCATTTCTGACATATTCTATTCACTAGAAGGGAATCACTAAGTCCAGACCGTGCTCAAGAGGAAGCATATAAAAAAATGTATGTGCTTGAAAACCACCACAGATGGTATCCGGCATTATAGTTAACTTTCAGATGCAGCAGTGGTATTGTGGTTACATAGGGCAATGTCCTTATTCTCAGGATAAATATGCTGACATAGTTAGAGGCAATACTTATGAAGTCTGCAACTTATTTTCAAGTGATTCTGCAAATATATCTATGTTTATGTAACAATAAATAAACAATAACAAATACATATTATGTAAAATAATAAAGCAAATAAAACAAAATGCTAACCATTGTTGCATCTGGGTGGATGGTGGGTGGGTGATCATTGTCATATTCCTTCACTCTTTCTATATATTTGAAATTTTTTAAAAGACAATGTTGGTGAAAAATAATGGTAAGTTATTAGGTTGATGCCATTAAAAGTAATTGCAAAAACCGCAATTACTTTTGCACCAACCTAATACTATGGACTGATTTGTATCTTCCCCAAAATTCATACTTTGAAGTCCTAACCCCCAATGTGATGGTATTTGTGGGTGGGGCCTTTGGGAGATGATTAGGTTCAGATGAAGTTTTGAGGGTGGGGACCTCACGATGGGATTAGTGCCCTTAGAAGGAAAGACATCATAGCACTTAGCTTGCTTGCTCTCTCTGTGACATGTGAGGACACAGGGAGAAGGCAGCCATCTACATGCAGGATGAGGGCCCTCACCAGAACCTGACCATGTTGGTTCTGATCTTGGATTTCCCGGCCTCCAGATTTGTGAGAAATACATTTATGTTGTTTAAACCACCCAGTCTATGGTACTGTATTATGGCAGCCCAAGCTGACAATGAGGGCATTGACAACAATAATAAACTTTGCACTTTCCACAGAGTTAATGTGTCAGGAGAATAAAGCTAGTGGTGCGAAGGGCCTTTTGATGCAGGGAATTAATTGAAAATAGAAATTATCATCATGACTGTGCTTTCCAACTTCCCTTCTCACCTCAGTGTGGCTGTCACTAGACAGAAAAGGCCCAAAAGAAATTCCTGAAAAGGCAACTCCTTCTCCTGCACCCACCAATTCCCCAGGCCCCTCCTCAGCCTGTGGGCCACCACTAGCCCTTCACCCACAAGGAGGCTCCCTTTATCAGCATCAGTCCTTAGCTGATCTTAAATTCCATCTGCTGGGCCACTGCCATTCACTTTTTTCCTATGTACTTTTATTAACTGATTGTATAAGCTCGTTTTTGCTTTTGGAAATGGATCATTATTATTAATCCCATAATAAATTTCTTTATCACAAAATTATAGTTAAGGGATTATACAATGTTAAAAAATACATATGGTATTAAATAGCTCAAATAGGTTGCAGACCATTTGAAAAGATCAGCCAATTCATTGTGTAAATAAAAGTTTACAATTCAGTCACTTCCCTTTGGCAATATCTGTCAGAATTACAAGGTCCATGTCCTTTGGCCCAGCGAGTCTACTTCTTGGATTTTGTCTTACTGATATATCCTCCCACATGAAGAATGATATAAGATTACTCATAATAGCTGTATTGACAATAATGTATAGTATATTGCCACTTGTGTTAAAAAATAAATAAAAAGAGAAACATATAGTGTGCAGAGTGTGTCAACATTTGTGTTAAAAAGAAATTAAAAGAATATGTATATATGTGTGTAAAATATTTCCAGAAGAGTATATAAGAAATCACTGGGGCAGGGCTCAATGGCTCATGCCTGTAATCCCAGCATTTTGGAAGTCCCAAGTGGGAGGATCACTTGAGGCCAGGAGTTTAGGACCAGCCTGGGCAACATAGTGAGACCCCGTCTCTACAAATAAATTTTTTAAAGAAAGAAATTGTTAACAGAAAGGTTGCCTCTGAAGAGAACTGGGTGGCTGGGGAGAGGGGTATGGGGAACATGTTTCACCATATACTCCTGTACATTTAGAATTTTGTTTCTTGTAAATATATTACCTATTTGTTCAAATATATTAAATTTAAACTTTTTAAGATCCTATAATTTAACTAAAGTAAGACATCTTCTCTACAAATTCTTTAATTTTAAGTGTTTTGTATTCCTTTTTTCCATTATTTAAAAAAATGTGGCCAGGCACAGTGGCTCACACCTGTAATTCCAGCACTTTGGGAGGTCAAGGTGGGCAGATCACTTGAGGCCAGGAGTCGAGACCAGCCTGGCTAACATGGTGAAACCCTGTCTCTATTAAACAAAAATTAGACCGGCCGTGGTGGCTCACGCCTGTAATTCTACCACTCTGGGAGGCTGAGGCGGGCAGATCACGAGGTCAGGAGATTGAGACCATCCTGACTAACACGGTGAAACCCCATCTCTACTAAAAATACAAAAAAACAAAATTAGCCGGGTGTGGTGGTGGGCCCCTGTAGTCCCAGCTACTCGGGAGGCTGAGGTGAGAGAATGGTGTGAACCAGGGTGGCGGAGCTTCAGCAAGCCAAGATAGCACCACTGCACTCCAGCATGGGTGACAGAGTGAGACTCCGTCCAAAACAAAAAAAACAAACAAACAAACAAAAAAACTAGCTGGGCATGGTGGTGGGTGCCTGTAGTCCCAGCTACTTGGGTGGCTGAGGCAGGAGAATTGCTTGAACCAGGGAGGCGGAAGTTGCAGTGAGTCAGGATCGTGCCACTGCACTCCAGTCTGGGTGACAGAGTGAGACTCCTTCTCAAAAATTAATTAATTAATTAAAATTTAAATTAAAAAATTTTTAAATGTACATATATAGCCAATGGCCTGTTCAAGTCACTTTGTCCCATGTCACCCCCAACCCTCCTGCTGAGTGCAGGCTCTTAAAATTGTGATCAATAAAAAAAATCGTAATCAGTAGTTCTAGGGCACTTATCTGACATCCATCTCTTCCATTTCTGCTTCTTCAACATGGTCCCAGATGCACACGTATACTTCACATATCATACCTGGTTCAGCTTCTCTTTCTCTTCAGTACAGGAGGCAGCTTTTTTCTGCTCTCTGTTGACTTCTGAAGCCAGCCTCATGATCGTTTCTCTGCTAGCTTTTGCTTCCATCTCATGGACATTTATAGTCTCTTCAAGAATAACAATTTGTCCTTTCACGAATTCATTTTCTTTGCGCAGGTCTCTAAGCTGAAGAGAAAGCAATTACAGCTGTCCTATAAAAATTAACAATTTCATCATTTTCTCTAAGCAAGTCACATCTATAGACTGCATTATCATATGAAAAATGTAAGAGCACTATCCCTACATGGACTGGAAAGGTCACATTTTCAAAGGCAGCCTGTAAACTCTGTTTTAGACCTGGGGGTCAAATTCAAATTATCCAAAAGGTGGCCACAAGGCAAGGATAATGAAGCCAAAAGTGTCCCGACGGAACACACATCAGCAAACCTGCTAAATACATCAGGTAAGGTGAAGCTCTACAGAGGCTACAGTAGGCGATGAAGCAAGGGACTTGCCTTCAGCCCATGTCCACTCAGACCTTCTGCAGTCAAGTCACCATGTGGCACTGGAGGAAATACAGAGAACACACGGCCATGCTTTTTAAAAAAATATTCTTCTATGTAATATAAGCATAGGAAAATTCTGAATAACAGCTCAGTGTTTATCATAGGGAATTGAGATTAGCAGGGCTTTTGCTCACTATGTTGTGCATTGGAATGGTTAACTGGGAGCATTTATAAGATTTACAAGGGGAAAATAAAAGCCAGCAGGCTCCTTGACCTCAGGGAACGAGCCATACAGACAATTTCACTCTGTAGGGCCAGGGGGAGGCCTGTAGGGTGACTTGAGACCCCTCAGGACAGGGCCAGCATTTGTGTTGAGACTCTCCGTGGAAGTGATATACCTTTGAGCCTCAATGCTCTGAAAACATGGTGCCCCACTCCCAACTCATGCTGTTCCCTCTCTCTCCAACACTCTTCCTCACATTTGCATGATCTCTCTCCTCAATGGCCCTCAAAACTCCCGACCTCACGGGGGCGCTCTTCAGACAGTGTCCAACACCTGTGACTTGCTTCCCTCTCTATCCCTGCATCCTGATTTGTTTTTCTGTATTGCACCTTTCACCATGTGGAGCAATCGTAGATATTTATTTGGTTATTTCTTCACTATCCTTACCCTTTGAAAATGAAATCTCTAGGCGAGCATAGACATAGTCTTGTCTCATTCACTGCTATCTCTCCAGCACTCAGAACAGTGTCTAGCATATAGTAAGCACTCACTAAATATTTGTGAAATGAAGGAATGAATGTCTAATTGTTAGGAATGCATGGTTCCTTGCGAATGCGTGTGCACACGTGTTTATGAGGGCGTGTGAAAGCGAAGGAACAGTTTTGAAACCAGAGCCATTTTGTTCTTGGAGGAACACCTAATGAGGCTGAAGTCTTGGTCAAGACAGCAGACTTCCTGATCTGGGCCAATTTTTTTTTTTTTTCTTCTTAAGACAGGCACCTGCTCACGTGGCCGAGATGCCAAAGCTCCAGATTCCTACCCTGTGTCGTGAAATATAGATTCCATTACTGTTCAGGTAAGCTGAGGCCAACAAATCCCAGGAGGAAATTGCCATCAAAAAGATGGTTTCTTATTCATTGTTCCCAAGTGGCAGGAACCCACCACACTACACAGGGCAATGGGGAAGCACCAGGGCCAGTCAGGAGGCAGAAGAAGTGGGGAGAAAAGCGGGCGAGAGGCTTTATTGTCGCCTCCACAGGAAGGAATAAGCAAAGCAGAGTAAGCAGACTTAGGGTTGGCTATTGAATGATTTCAGTGGCTCTTGGGGTGTAGGGGCTGACCCGAGCTGTCTGGGGGGCTTAGGGCAAGGGGCAGTAATCTGCAGGTAACAGCCAGTTGTAGGAGGTGGCTGGGGAGTGGGCTCTGGATTGGTCAGTTCACACGTGAAAGCTCTGCTGGGAAGGGCAGGCTCTCCCGGCTCAGCAAGACCCCGGAAGTCAAAGCATTAGAAATACAGAAAAGACAAGGACATGATAAATGTAGTAGAAACACCCTGATTAGCACCTGGAGATTGTGTCCGATAGAGAAAAGTGTGTCACGGAAGAAGCAGCTTCTGAATTCCCTTTTCTTGTCCCCATCATTTGGTTTGAAAGATAATTCTCAAACTACAAGTGGACTTTTACAGCTGAGTTCCTGGTCACAAGTTAGCCATAGGGAGGAGGAGAGGCATCCAGCACCCATGAGAGCATCAGGTGGACCCATGGTCCCAGCTATCAAAACCCATCCGTGAAGTGGAATACTTCCCAAAGTCGAATGAAGTCATCTTGCGGCTTTCAGAGAGGACATTTGGGAAGCTCACTAGTAGACACCTGAGAGGTGGTTTTCAAAAATGGCTGCATGATAGGCCAGACGTGATGGCTCACGCCTGTAATCCCAGCACTTTGGAAGGCCAAGGTGGGAGAACCGCTTGAGCCCAGGAGTTAGAGACTAGCCCGGGCAATATAGTGAGACCTCATCTCCATTTAAAAAAAAAAAATGATGCATGGGTGCTGGGCATGGTGGCCCACAACTGTACTCACAGCACTTCAGGAGGCAGAGGTGGGGTAATTGCTTGAGGCAAGGAGTTCAAGACCAGCCTGGACAACATAGGAAGACCTCATCTCTACATAAATAAAATAATTAGCCAGACATGGTGGTGCATGCCTGTAGTCTCAATTACTTAGGAGGCTGAGGCGGGAGGATCACTTGAGCCCAAGAAGTCAAGGCCACAGTAAACTAGGATCATATCACTGTACTCCAGCCTGGATGACAGAGCAAGATCTTGTCTCTAAATTTAAAACAAACAAACAAAAAAAAAAAACAACAACAAACGGCTGTATGGAAATCTGTCAGGAAGCAAGGATATGAAAGGTTTGTAAATAGCCAAAGAGAACCAAATACTTTCAGGTACCCTAATGAAGCACTATGGGCCAAGTGAATTATTCAGTTATTATTATTTATTTCTGACTTAATGGTAATCTACCATTAAAGTAGAATTTTTGCTATTTTGTTTTGTTTTGTTTATTTTTTGAGACAGAGTCTCACTCTGTGGCCCAGGTGGAGTGCAGTGGCTTGATCTCACTGCAACCTCCGCCTCCTGGTTCAAGTGATTCTCCTGTCTCAGCCTTCCAATTAGCTGGGATTACAGGCACCTGCCACCACGCCTGGCTAATTTTTGTATTTTAGTAGAGACGGGGTTTCTCCATGTTGGCCAGGCTGGTCTCAAACCCCTGACCTCAGGTGATCTGCCCGCCTGAGCCTCCCAAAGTGCTGGGATTACAGGCGTGAGTCACCGCGCCCAGCCACTATTTGGTTTTAATGTAAATTTTTAAAGTACTTTAGATCTCACACTCAATCAGTATCCTAAAAATGACATGCAGCTGCTTGTGTGAGTATATGTCTGGCTGTAACTAAAAGGAAAAAAACTCCCTAAAGCAAATGGTTACAATGAGTAATTAACTCTATATGACAACCTAAATATATTTTAGACAAAGCCATTAATCTCTTTTGGAGAATAATTAATTCCAATAATGCTAGAAAAGATCTTGGAATTGAGGCTCAGGCAGGTGACGTGACTTGTCCCAAGTCATACAGTTAATTAATACTACACTTGGTCTACTGTGCCATTCTCCTGCCACCCCCAAACTCAACCACAGCACTTCCTTTCATGCCACATGTCAGAATCACCACTACATTTATAGACTTTTTAATCTGCATACAGACACCTTTAAAATTAAATCTTCATCTGATGCCTTGTCATTCCTCTCATCTGGATCCAAGCAGTCACGCAGTTGAGTCAGAAATTCCTCATGTTTCCTGCAATTCTTTGAAACTTGTTTCTTATTCTCCTCATTTTCTTTTGAACACTTTCTGTTAGGCAAATAACAAATAAGTCAGAATTTAACACCATGGAAGATAACATTCATCAAACCAAGTCAGAATATAAGCTCTATGGGGGAAATAATTGTCATTTTCAACACAACACAGTTTCCCAGACACAGAGCAAATTATTGTCACAGAAGCCCTATAAAGCCCTATAAAGGAAGGAGAAAAGTGGCAGCAATTTTGGGACACCTGTGCTTTGCAGAAATATAAGGAAATCTTCAAGGCATTGTGGACTTAGTAACAGGAGGGGAAATGAATTCCCCTAGCCTCAACCCTTTAGGATCTCTAAAAATGGAGGCACGTGTCTAGAGCACACACAATCCACATAGCCATGGGTCTTCATTGGGGCCTCATGGGGAAGGAGAGTGCTACCACATTGGTTCTAGAGAACCAAGCTTCATTTTATTTTCAAACTTTACAATACAGTGATTTATAAGGGTCCTGGTTCATGGCCAGGCATAACTATAATATCAAATACATCAAAAGCACAGAAGGTTCTTGCCTCTGGAAAGGAGATGTGTTCAATCACCAGCAAAGTTCATTATTAGTTTTCACACTCCCTCAGTCTTTAAAGTGTATTGGAAGAAAGGAAAGAAAATCAGTATATCGAAGAGATGTCTGAACCCCCATGTTTACTGCAGTTCTATTCATAATAGCAAAGATAGGGAATCAACATAAGTGCCCATCAGTGAGTGAATGGGAAAAAAAATATGATATATACACATCGGAATACTACTCAGCCTTTTAAAAGAGTGAAATCCTGTCAGGAGTGGCAATATGGATGAACCTGGAGGATATTATGTTAAGCAAAATAAGTCAAGTACAGAAAGATAATTACCTCATGTTTTCACTCATATGTGGAAGCTACAAAAAATTGAACTCGTAGAAGCAGAGTAGAATTTTGATTATTAGAGGCTGGAAAGGGTAGCGGATGAAGGAGGATACAGGGAGGTGAGTCAATGGCTATAAACTTATAAAGATAGTTATAAAGTTATAAAGCTAGATGGCAGGGGTAAGTTCTAGTGTTCTGTAGCACAGTAGGGTGAATACAGTTAACAAGAATTTAGTTTCCAAATAGCTAGCAGAGAGGATTTTGAATGTTCACACACAAAAAAAGATAAATATTCAAGATGATGGATTTACTAATTTCCCTGATTTGATCATTATACATTGTATACATGTATCAAAATATCACTCCATATCCCATAAATATGTACAATTATTATAAGTCAACTAAAAATAAAAGGAAAAAAAGAGCATTAGGAAAGTACTAGAATTGGCCAGTCAAGGAAAAAGGAAATTTATGGTCCATTATGAATATATTGTTTCAAATCTCAGATAGGTTTGTTGAAATAGTATGGCCTATTTCTAATGCTTTAAATGTTAGCAACTAAGAGATTGTCAAAAATAGGCATACTTTAAAGGCAAATTAGAATCATTTCAGTAATTTAGTGTCATTTTTTAAATATCCAAGATAATAAACATGATTATTGCTTTTCCTTTTTACCATGTTGAGTGTTTACTGCAAATTCCTTCACGCTATTCAAAGATTAACAAAGCATGTAATTGCAGATACTCAAAGCATATCAGATTTCTATTTAGAAAAATGTGTAACGATAAAAGACTAACTTCACTATATTTCTGAGTTCTTATTTTAGCATATGAAAGGTAAAACTCTTCAGTCTTTTGGACCCAGGAAAGGCATAATTAATTGTATGGTGCTGATTGATATACATATAGGATTCCATACATTAACCCCAAGATTTCAATCTTTCTTCTCCATTCCAAAGGTCTCTAAACTACTTCCATTTCTATTTGCAATTCACTTGACCCAACAAAGTTTCAGGAATCTACCCTAAGAAAATAATCACAGAAATTTAAAAATATGAATCACATAGATATTCACTGCAACTTGGTTTATAGTAATTTTTTTAGTGGAACTAACCTAAGAGCCTGTAGAAATAGCCAAAGTGATTGAGTACATTATGGTATTTCAAGCAATGGAATACAATGGGCCATTTAAAATTATGTACTAGGCTTGGCACAGTGGCTCACGCCTGTAATCCCAGCTCTTTGGAAGGCCAAGGTGGGAGGATTGCTTGAGGCCAGGGATTCAAGACCAACCTGGGCAACATGGCAAGACGCCATCTCTACAAAAAAATTTAAAAATCAGCTGGGTGTAGTGGCATGCACCTGTGGTCTCAGCTACAAAAGAGGCTAAGGTGGGAGGATTGCTTGAGCCTAGGAGGTCAAAGCTGCAGTGAGCCATAATTGTGCCACTGCACTCCAGCCTGGGTGGCAGAGTGAAAACCTGTCTTAAATAAGTAAATAAATAAAATTATATACTAAATGAGTTTTTAAAATATTTATAACATATGGCCAGGTACAGTGGCTCACTTCTATAATCCTAACACTTTGGGACACCAAGGCAGGCAGATCACTTGAGGTCAGGAGCTCGAGACCAGTCTGGCCAACATGGCAAAACCCCGTCTCTACTAAAACTACAAAAATTAGCTGGGTGTGGTGGCACATGCCTGTAATCCCAGCTACTCAAGAGGCTGAGGCATGAGAACTGCTTGAACCTAAGAGGTGGAGGCTGCAGTGAGCCAAGGTCATGTCACTGCACTCCAGCCTGGGTGACAAAGCAAGACTCTGTCTTAAAAAAAAAAATATATATATATATATATATATTTATATTTATATTTTTTATATATACTTATATTTATATATATACATATATATATTTAGAACATATGATTCAGTAAAAATAGTACACTACCTAAAGTCATTTGTATATGATTTTCTGAAAAATCTGTTCAATAAAATATTAATATTAATTATAGCTTTTCTATAATCATGAGGTTTTAAGTAATTATTAATTTCTTCTTGGCACTTTTCTGTATAAAAAATATTTTTTACAATATGCATATAGTGTTTTTATTACTCATTTATTTAATAAATACTTATTGAGTACCCATCATACACCAAGCCCCATTAAAGGTGCTAAAGATACAACAGTAAACAAAAGAGATACAAATCCAGCCAGGCGCAGTGGTGTGCACCTGTAGTCCCAGCTACTAGGGAGGCTGAGGTGAGAGGATCACTTGAACCCAGGAATTTTAGGCCAGCCTGGACAAGATAGTGAGATCCCCATCTCTGAAAAACAAATTATTGACCTCATGGAGCTTATGTTCTATTTGGAAAGATGGACAATAATCAAAATATTAATATGTGTAAAATGTATAGTACATCATAATAGGACTAGAGAGAAAAAATTAAGCAGGAAGGAAAGAGGGGCAAGAGATATTAGAGGAGTAAATTTTTAGATATGTTATTCATGGAACATCTCACTTGGAAAGTGCCATCTGAATGAAGACTTAAAGGAAATGGAGGCAGCCATGTGATATCTGGGGGAAGAGCCTTCCAGGAAAAGAAATTAACAATTGCAAAGGTCCTGAGGTACAATCAGGTCTGTCAGGTTCAAGGGACAGCAAAGAAGCCAGAGATCTGGAATAGAAAGAATAAGGGGGAGAATGGTAGCAAAACCAGGTCAGGATGAGCCTTTTGGCTCATAGAAAACACTGTCTTTACCCTGAATGAGAACAGAAGTCACTGGAGGACTCTGTGCTAAGAATTGACATGATCTAATTTGTGTTTTAACAGGATCATTCTGGCTGCAGGGGGCACAGTCAGAGGCAGGAAAACCACTCCTATGAACCAAATATTTCTGTCCTCTGAGAATTCATATGTTGAAGTCCTAATTCCCAATATGATGGTATAATATTTGGAGGTTGGGCCTTTGGGAGGTAATTAGGTCATAAGAGAGGAGACCTCGTGAATGAGATTAGTGCCCTTATAAGAAGGGACACTGGCTGGGTGTGGTGGCTTATCCCTATAATCCCAGCCCTTTGGGAGGCTGAGGCAGACAGATCACTTGAAGCCAGGAGTCTGAGACCACCCTGGCCAACATGGTGAAACTCCATCTCTACTAAAAATACAAAATATTAACTGGGCATGGTGATGCACACCTATAATCCCAGCTACTTGGGAGGCTGAGTCACAAGAATTGCTTGAACCCAGGAGGCGGAGGTTGCAGTGAGCCAAGATCACACCCACTGCATTCCAGCCTGGGCAACAGAGCAACACTCTGTCACAAAAAAAAAAAAAAAAAAAAAAAAAAAAAGCAGCAGCAGAAGAAGGAGGAGGAGGAGGAGGAAGAGGAAGGAAGAGGAGGAGGAGGAGGAGAAACATGGAGAGGTGATCTCTTTCTCTGCCGTGTGAGGATACAGCAAGAAGGCATTCATCTACAAACCAGAAAGAGGACCCTCACCAGGAACTGAATAGGCCAACATCTTGATCTTGGCCTTCCCAGCCTCCACAACTACAAGGAATAAATTTCTGTCATTTAAGCCACCCAGTATATGGTATTTTTCTTATAGCAGCCCAAACCAACTAAGACAGAAATTAGTACCAGGAGTGGGATGCTGCTGTTACAGATACATATTACAATACTCCAGGTGAGAGTTAATGGTGGCTTGGACCAAGTTAGTGACAATAAAGGTGATAATGGAAAACTGACACAATTTAGATTTGTTTTGAAGATAGATATGATGGGATTTGCTGAAGAATCAGACATGGAGGGTGAAAGAGAAAGAGAACCAAGTTTGATAGCAAGAATTTTGAAATGATCAACTAGAAGAATGGAATTATGATCACATGAGATGAGGAAAAGTACAGAAGGATTTTGTGGGAACACTGGGAGCTCCGTTTTGGACACATTAAGTTTGAGATGCCTGTCAGAGATCCACATGGAGATATACAGTAGCTAGTAAGATATGTGGTTCTTGAGCTCTGGGAAGAGATCCAGGCTAGACACAGAAATGTGGGAGTCACCAGCATTTAGATTCTTAAAGCCATGAAACTAAATGATATCACCAAGAGAGTAAATTTAGACACAAATGAGAAGAGATTCAGGGGCTGATCCCTGAGGTACTCCAGTATTTGAAAGCCAAAGAGATGAGGAGAAACAGTGAAAGACACTAGCTAGCAAGGTAAGATTAGAAAAAGAAAAAACCTAGGCATGTGTAAAGTCCTGGAAGCCAAGAGAAGAAGAAAACGGTTCAAAGAAAAAGATCAACTGTAACTGATGCTACTGATAGGTCAGGTAAGATAAGACTGACCATTTAACTTGCACTGTGCACTCACTGATGACCTTAATGAGTGGTTTCAGTGGAGCAGATTCCAGAGAGAGAAGAGAAATTGGAGACCATGAATACATACAACATTTTTTTTTTTTGAGACAGAGTCTCTCTTTGTTGCCCAGGCTGGAGTACAGTGGTGTGATCTCAGCTCACTGCAGCCTCCACCTGTCCAGGTTCAAGCAATTCTCTTATCTCAGCCTCTCGAGTAGCTGGGATTAAAGGCACCTGGCACCACGCCCAGCTAATTTTTGTATTTAGTAGAGACGGGGTTTCACCATGTTGGCCAGGCTGGTCTCAAACTCCTGACCTCAAGTGATCTGCCCACCTCAGCCTCCAAAAGTGCTGGGATTACAGGTGTGAGCCGCCATGCCCGGCCATACATACAATGTTTAAGGAGTTTTTGCTGTAAGTGGAAGTAGAGAAAGAGGACAGGGGCTGGAAGTATTGGGTTATTTTTTTAAGATGAAATAAGTAAAATAAATACCATGTATTTTGTTACTAAAGATATTTAACTCATTCGTAGAATTTTAAAATATATTTTAGGAACAACTCATTCCCAATTTTGTCTCAATAATCACCTCTTGTCAGAATGAAGTGTGGAAAACCTAGGTTTCATGAGTTCTCTGCATAAACTAGCAATAAAATCTAATGAGGAATGTTCAGTGTGATCTGGAGTGGTCTAGCTTCTGGGATATTTTTATAACTGGCTACTAAATAAATACCTACCTCTGTGTACTACCCCACAAGCTCAGGGTTAAACTCTACTTAGAGAAATCTTCGAAATTGTGTAAATAAGCATTTGCAGCCCTAATTGATAGGCTATAAACATGCTTAAGACAAGGCTGTATTTGTTAAGACTCTTGATGACATTTAGAAATGAGCCTTGGAAAAATTTGTCAAGACTCCAAAGATATTTGAGGTCAATAACTTTTTTTCAAATTGAGTTTAAGGGCCAAGTAATGCAAAATGCCAGTACTTTCAAAGACATATCTTGCTATCAGAAGCTAGTATTTTAATGCTAGCTAAAGCGAAAAATATATTGCAGTATCCTTACTGTAATTTTTCATTTAACTCTACAACTTTCTTCTTTAATTCCTGGTTCTCCTTGATTGCAGCGTGAGCTGTGATTTCTGTTCTGATTTTAGAAGTGGAAAGTGCTGCTGATTCTTCTTCTAGTTCCTGAACTCTGTCTCTCAAAGAGGTAAGGAGAGATGATTTTCTGGCATTGTTTTCCTTGTAGCTCTCCATTTCAGCTTTCAGTTCTTGACAGGAGACTTCTTTAGAAAGCATCTTGGATCGGAGGTCTTGAAGCTAACATGGAAAAGAAGTTAAAAAAAAAAAAAACCTTAACAACATAAGTTTGAATTATCTTTAAGAAACCCAAAGCCATCATTTAAATGTTCACTCTTTTATTCATGACTTAATCTAACTTTATTTTTTTTCTAATATTTGTATCTGTATTACCAAATGAGAAATTATGCCTAAATAATGGACTTTATATTCTATCTTTTCCAAAACCAATTGAGCAATGTCTTATGTTGTTTAGTCTCATTCAGGAGACATTTATGATGTTGATTGCATAAGCAATAAAATATTTTGCAATGGTCCACATTTTCTAAATCTGTATTGCTATTATTGCTGCTGATAAACAGTCAGACAAGGAACCTACAAACCATATGATCTGTGATTTCACAGCCATAACTGTTCCTCACTTAAATACAGACTACTCAGTATATCACTATATTTCTCACACTTATCTCCTGGATTCTAACTGTGAGTGATAAATAAAAATAACATTTAAATTTCTGGGAAAAAAAACATAGGAGAAAAGAAAAACCCTTATAGGATTTATATAAAGAGAACATTTTAACTTTTATGAGTTCTGTGATATCGAAATGCTGAACAATATATGTGCCCTATTGAGTTAAAATGTCAGATCTACCCTATGAGAAAAAGTTATGAAAGCATCTACTTCTTTGGAACTGTGAGTGTGCATACATACATTTATTCACACACACATTATCAACTCATCGTTCTATGGGGTCCTGGCAGCCTTAGTGAGAAATCACAGGCCAGTCTAGAACTCCTTGGGGCCACCAGGCTATAAGCAGAATGAGTTTAGGAAGACTCTCAGAAACTCCACTCTAAACCCGAGCTAGCCTACAGGGTAGATGGATCCCACTCTTCTTCCTAGAATTTCCCCAGCCAGTTGGAACTACCACAGGAAAGGGATTCAGAATTCCCTCTTAAGAACTCCAGATTGCAAGCAACCCACATTAAAGGAAGATATTCTGAGAGATGCTAAATTTCTCTGAGGCCCATGGAGCTTTACTTAACATCTTCAGGCGCCCCCAGATCTCTCAAGGCTGTATAGCTCCTCTGAGATCCAGAATTCAGCCCAAGCCACCTAGCTTTACAATCTGGCAAATGCATAACTTTTCAGGAATTCTAGGGGATAGGCACAAGAGAACAAGTTTCAACTTTGCCAAAAGCCTTAAATCTATATCCCACTGTCCTATTTCTAATCACTCCTACATTCTGTCTCTTTTTCTTTTTCTTTTTTTTTTTTTTTTTTTTTTTTTGAGATGGAGTCTCACTCTGTCACCAGGCTGGAGTGCAGTACTGTGATCTCGCCTCACTGCAACCTCCACCTCCCGGATTCAAGTGATTCTCCTGCCTCAGCCTCTCGAGCAGCTGGTACTACAGGCGCTCACTACCACACCCAGCTAATTTTTATATTTTTAGTAGAGACAGAGTTTCACTACGTTGGCCAGGATGGTCTGGATCTCTTGACCTCGTGATCTGCCTGCCTCAGCCTCCCAAAGTGCTGGGATTACAGGCGTGATCTGTTTCATTTTATAAGAAGCTAAGAAGGCCCATTTCTGAGTGCTGGAAATGCATTATCTTACCTCAGACTGAGCACATTCAAATTTGACCAAAGTTGCTGCAAGTTCACTTCGAGCATTTTGAGCCACATTCCGATAGTGGTTTAACTGCTCCCGCGTGACCGGGACTTCCGAAAGATGATCGTAAGTTTCCTGGTAGAATTCCCCCAAAATACAAAATATAAAGAAGAGTGTTAAACGATCTTTTCCGTGCAGCTGCACAAAGCCAGATTAAAGGCAGAAGCATTCTTTGTATTCCAAATATGTCAAACATGCTACGCAGAGAAGTGTTATGTTCAGACCATTTGGTTCTCATTCTCAAAGTTCAAAGGGAAGCAGGAGAAAGTTCGGGAACAAATGATGTGCTCCTCCAGGATGGTGATGAGGTTTGTCATTTAAGAATTGGCCTATGGCAGAGTGTGTTGGCTCACATCTATACTCCTAGCCCTTTTGGAGGCCAAGGCAGGAGGATTGCTTGAGGCCAGAAGTTCCAGACCAGCCTGACCAGATAGAGACAGCAAGACCCTATCTCTACAAAAAGAAAAAAAATTTTTTTTAATTTGTCAGGCAGGGTGTCATGACCTGTAGTCCTATCTACTTGAGAGGCTGAGGCAGGAGGATCACTTGAGCCCAGGAATTTGAGGTTTCAGTGAGCTATAATTGCACCACTGCACCCCAGCCCAGCCAATAGAGAGAGAGAGACTGCCTCTAAAAACAAAAAAACAAAAAAAGATTTTCCTTCCACCCGACTCAAATGGTATTTGACCTCTGCCCAGAATCAATAGACTCAACAAAGAATTATCAGAGAAGAACAATGCTACATCCTGTGTAACGAGGGACAGTTTTCGTTATTTTTCTTTGTCCAGATCACAAAGATGATCAGCTCATTTCTTGTCTGTTGATTAAAGTGTCTCATTTATTTATCAAACAGATCATGTGATATAAATGTAAAAGGCTGTCTCCTTTGTAACTATTCACTATGCCTTTTATACTCAGTCTCATAACCTCATAACCATCATATTCTCAATCTCATAATCTCATATCCATGAATCATGAAGGCAACTGAAATGAACATGTGAGACGAGAGATGGCAGTGTCACACATGGACAGCCCCTGCCCATCTGGAAGGGAACAGGTCTCAGCTCCACTGGTGGTTGCAGATACAGAAATAAGGATTTCCAGCCTGGCCAAACCACTCCAATTTTGGAATTTCCAATTCCAAATCATTCCAGTTTTTCAAGACAAGTCATATATCCAGACTTTTTGAAGTGTAAATTCCCAGTTTTTGCAGGTTGGCAACTGATTTAAATGTTTAAAAAAGAAACACATATGAATCAAATAAACACACCTGCAGAGCAGATTTGGTGGGTTTGGCCTGTGGGCTGCAGACTGAACCCTCTGGTCCTGTTTCCATCTGACTCATGCCATATGCCTGCTTCCTTCAAGAATTATTACTGAGGTTGGATATCTACACCACCTCTATGGAGTTTCCAAGGCCTGTGGTCTTTGTGAAAGACACAGAAGAAAGCCATTCATTTTTGAAGGAATACAAAAGAGGTCACATAAAGGAGGATTTCCTGGAGTATTTAAATGGCCTCAGGAGGCTCAGCGATAAAATCTATTTAAGACTGCCAGAGACTACTCCACTACCAGCAACTACTGTTTGATATAGTCATGAATGCAAAAGTCTTCTTAAAGCTCATAACTTTCCAACAAGCGTCATGACCAGTGTGATTCAGTCCACAAAATGCCAAACAAAACCTTCGGAGCTCTTAGTAATAGCTACTGTTTGCCAATCATAGCACAACCAAGAAAATGGTAGATATGTACTCTGGGGAAAAAGCATAAGAAGTTTAACTGAATCTCTTATTAGAGAACCACATCCTGTTCAGACTCATTCAATAGTCGGAGGGTCTTCTCCACCCTGACCACCACACCATATTTTCTAAACTAGGCCATATGAGGACATACGTCACTTATAAGAGATTTCACCTATAGTATGTATGGCATACCATTTTATAAAATTTATTAGGAAAATAAGTTTCCCAATGGCTATGATTATTTGATTATTTCTTTCAATGACTAACATCTTTTTTTTTTTTAAGAAAAGAAGCTAGACCAGGTGCAGTGGCTCAGGCCTGTAATCCCAGTGTTTGGGGAAAATGAGGCAAGAGGATCACTTGAGCCCAGGAGTTCCAGACCAGCCTGTGCAACAGTGAGACCCCATCTCTACAAAAAATTAGCTGGGCGTGGTGGCATGTTCCTGTTGTCCCACCTACTTGGGAGGCTGAGGTGGGAGGAAGGCTTGAGTCCCAGGAGGTCAAGCTGCAGTGAGCTGTGATCGCACCACTGCACTCCAACCTCAGCAGCAGAGCAAAACCCTGTCTCAAAAAAAAAAAAAAGGAATGAATGAATGAATGAACGAGAAAAGAAAGAAAGAAAAGAAGCTGTGTATTAAGATATTATTCCCTTAACACTGGAGTAGGGACTACATTTGGAGAGCTCTTTTGATGAGTGAGTTTAGAAGGTAGGTGCTGAATCTAAATCACCCTCAGAGTCCAACAGACTGGAGATTGTCCACCAAGTGGTATTTACTGATAGCCTACTCTGGATCAGGCAATGAGCTGACAGTCTAAAAAGGGAAAGAGAATTTATCAAACAACCACACTTAGAATTGTGTAATTACAAAATGAAATAAATGCAAGGAAGGCAAAAAGGCAGCTAACAAAGGAAAATGACTTCAGATGAAGGAGGTGGAAGGAAAGAGTTCCCTAAAGAAGTGATGATTTTTTTTTTTTTTTTTGAGATGGAGTTTCGCTCTTGTTGCCCAGGCTAGAGTGCAATGGCACAATCTCGGCTCACTGCAACCTCCACCTCCTAGGTTCAAGCGATTCTCCTGCCTCAGCCTCCCGAATAGCTGGGATTACAGGCATGTGCCACCACGCCCTGCTAATTTTGTATTTTTAGTAGAGATGGGGTTTCTCCATGTTGGTCAGGCTGGTCTTGGACTCCCAACCTCAGGTGATCTGCCTGCCTCAGCCTCCCAAAGTGCTGGGATTACTGACATGAGCCACTACGCCCAGCCAGAAGTGATGATTAAATAAGAATGAAATAGTCGGCCAGGTGCGGCGGCTCACACCTGTAATCCCAGCACTTTGGGAGGCCAAGGCGGGCAGATCACAAGGTCAGGAGATCGAGACCATCCTGGCTAACATGGTGAAACCCCGTCTCTACTAAAAATAAAAAAAAATTAGCCGGGTGTGGTGGCGGGCGCCTGTAGTCCCAGCTACTCGGGAGGCTGAGGCAGGAGAATGGCATGAACCTGGGAGGTGGAGCTTGCAGTAAGCCGAGACCGTGCCACTGCACTCCAACCTGGGTGACAGAGCGAGACTCCATCTCAAAAAAAAAAAAAAAAAAAGAGAAATAGTCAAGAGGTATTGAAGCAGGAGCTGCCCACATCATTCAAATAGCAAAAAGGCCATGCAAGGGCCCTGCGGCAGGGATCTGGCCCGTGCAGGCAAGGATCTGAGAGAAAGCAGCGATGCCTACAGACAAACACAGACAAAAAATAGTGGCAGCAGGGCTTAAAAGGCAGCTCTGAGGTCATTAATATATTTTGTATCTGGTAGGACTTATTTTTCTGAATAACCCTGGCTATTCTTACATATTCATTTTCCCATATGAAATTCAAAATCTTCTTGGAAAATTCCAAAAAATTTTGTCGATATTGTTACTGGGGTCATGTTAATTTTATAAATAAACTATAGAGAATTTATATGTTTTAAATGTTGAGGCTTCCAACTAAAATCATTTTTCTCATTTGTTCAAGAAGCCTTATTCTTTTTTTTTCTTTTTTTTTTTCTTTTGAGACAGAGTCTCCCTCTCACCCAGGCTGGAGTGCAGTGACGTAATTTCGGCTCACTGCAACTTTCACCTCCCAGATTCCAGCAATTCTCCTGCCTCAGCCTCCCGAGTAGCTGGGATTACAGGCATGTGCTATGACACCTGGCTAATTTTTGTATTTTTAGTAGAGACAGGGTTTCACCATGTTAGCCAGGCTGGTCTCGAACTCCTGACCTCAAGTGATCAACCCACATTGGCCTCCCAAAGTGCTGTGATTACAGGCATGAGCCACTGTGCCCAGCCAAGAAGTCTTATTCTTATTAGCAATTTAGATTTACTATATTTTGTAGTTTATCTCTAAAAATATTATCTTTTTGTCATATTGTAAATGGGGTCTACTTATTCCTATATATTAAATATGTACCTAAATATCTTTTTTATGTTTCTTATTGTTTGGGATTGTTTTCAATAGATTCTCCTGGGTTTTGCACTGTAAACATGCAAATCATTTGTAAATAATGAAAATTTCACCTTCTTCTTTCCAATTTTTATACCTCTATTCCTTTTCTTGACTAATTGCATTGGTTAATAACCCCAGAACATTTGATATGGTTTGGATGTGTCCCCACTCAAATCTAATGTTCCCACTCAAATATCATCTTGAATTGTAGTTCCCATAAACATACAAGTTGTGGGAGGGATTCAGCAGGAGGTAATTGAATCATGGGGGGCAGTTACCCCTGTTCTCATAGTAGTGAGTTCCCATGAGATCTGATGGTTTTATAAGGAACTTTTCATCCTTTTGCTCTGCACTTCTCCTTGTGCTGCCATGTGAAGAAGGATGTATTTTCTTCCCCTTCTGCCATGATTGTAAGTTTCCTGGGGCCTCCCCAGCCATGCTGAACTGTGAGTCAAATAAACCTCTTTCCTTTATAAACTACCCAGTCTCGGGTATGTTTTTATTAGCAGCATAAAAACTAATAACACATTGTTAAACATTAATAGCAATAACGGACATTTTGTCTTGTTCCTAACTTTCATAGGAATGTATTTGGGTTTTCCCCCTAAACATTATGGTAGACTTAAGCCTTGACATCCTGGGTTCAGTTGATCCTCCTGCCTCAGTCCCTCGAGTAGCTAGGACTACAAGCATGTGCCACCACACCTGGCTAATTTTTTGTATTTTTGGTAGAGACAGGGTTTCACCATGTTGACCAGGCTGGTCTTGAACTCCTTGCATCAAGTGATTTGCTTGCCTTGGCCTCACAAAGTGCTGGAATTACAGGTGTGAGCCACCATGCCTGGCCTGATTTTATTTTTTATATTCAGTGCTTTAAGTCTATCTTAAATTTATTTGGTTTATAATGTGTAAGTACAGCTCTAAGCTTTCTTTTTTCAATCTCATTCATGAAGCCTCCACCCTCATAACCTAATCATCTTCTCCCAAAGGTCCCATCTCCTAATACCATCTTCTTGGAGGTAAGGATTTCAGCATATGAATTGGAGGAACAACACAAACATGAAAGCCATAGCCGACTTTCTAAGCACAAAAGCAATGCAAGAACATTCAAGAAAAAGTGCACAGATGACAACAAATTTTTTAAATGTGTAAGCAGAATTTAAAGTGAAAGAGCAAACTGGAAAAATATTTCCAGAAATAATACAAAGAATCAAAACTTTAATATGCAAAGAGCCTATTCACACCAGTAAGAAAACCAATGACCTAAGAGAAAACATCTATAGAAGAACTAACAATTATCAGAAGGGCCATAAATGGCTAATAAAATGAGAAATGTCCCACCTCACTCATCATCAATTAAATATAAATTTAATTATTATTTCTGATCTTTAAAACTAGCAACATTTTAAATATATTTAATAATTAAGCATATTGGCCAGGTGCAGTGGCTCACACCTGTAATCCTAGCACTTTGGGAGGCTAGGCCGATCATGAGGTCAGGAGTTCAAGACCAGCCTGACCAACATGGTGAAACCCAGTCTCTACTAAACATACAAAAATTAGCTGGGCATGGTGGCATATGCCTGTAATCCCAGCTACTCAGGAGGCTGAGGCAGGAGAATCACTTGAACTCAGGAGGCAGAGGTTGCAGTGAGCCAAGATCACGCCACTGCACTCCAGCCTGGCTGACAGAGCGAGACTCTGTCTCAAAATAATAATAATAATTATTATTATTATCATTATTAATCATATGAAAAGATAGTTCTATAAGAAAGACATGCTAATACACTGCTCAAATAAAGATAAACTGGTACAAAATTTCCAGAAAAGTATTTGGCAATATGTATCATTAAAAAATTTTTAAAGTTAACACTATTTGTCCTGGTGAATTTCTTTCTCATGATCTTATCAAAAGAAATGGAAATAAACCCAAAAATTAAACACAAAAATATTCAGAAAGGTACTCTTTAGCAACATTTTCAAAAAATCTGCCATAGCAAATATTTAAAACAACTAGAGTTCAAAAATAAAAGAATGTTAATATAAAGAAAAAACAATACTGATACAGTCACACAATGAAATTATATTCAGTAATTAAAAATTATATTTTTGGAGAAAAATGTCATTAGGTCCTGATACATTAATCCTCATAAATGGGTTGATGCTGTTATTCTGGGAGTAGGTTAGGTATCACCAGAGTGACTTTGTTATAAAATAAAGTTCTCTCTCACTCATGCTTTCTGGCCCTTCTACCCTTCCACCGTGGGATGACCCTCACCAGACACCACACCATGCTTTTGGACTTCCCAGTCTCTAGAACTATGAACGGAATAAACTTATTTTCCTCATAAATTACTCAGTCTGTGGTATTCTGTTATAGCAACAGAAACTGGACTAAGACACTGCCGCTCCACTCTCCAATTATCTCCTTTATGAAAATACTCATACATGTGCATAGAGATATGTATAAAGATATTCGTTATACCATTATTTTGTTTTTGTTTTTGTTTTTGAGACAGAGCCTAGCTCTGTCAGCAGGGTGGAGTGCAGTGGCTCTATGTCAGCTCACTGCAACCTCCGCCTCCCGGGTTCAAGCGATTCTCCTGCCTCAGCCTCCCGAGTAGCTGAGACTACAGGCATGCACCACAATGCCCAGCTAATTTTTGTATTTTTAGTGGAGACGGGGTTTCACCATGTTGGCCCGGCTGGTCTCGATCTCTTGACCTCGTGATCCTCCCACCACAGCCTCCCAAAGTGCTGCGATTACAGGTGTGAGTCACTATGCCCAGGAATACAATTATTAGTAATAGCAGCAAGAAGGATGAGGATGTTGAAACCATAAATTCCTGTTGACAAAGCAATTATCAAATAAAAATATTTCTATACTATTGAATCCTATGCAACAGGTAATATGAGATAGATCTGTATGCTTTGGCATGGTAATATCCTTAAGACATCACTGAACAAAAATAAGATAATATAAATTCATTGTTTGTTACTGTTTTTCATAAAACACATGCAGGAGGAAAAGTATTGTGTTTTTGTCTATAAATATATTTAGAGACAAGAAAAAAAAGAATTTTACAGAATCCCCATCACCTGATAACAGTACTTACCCCTGAGGGTGACACGACAATTGGAGTTGTGGTGAGAGGCGCAGTGGTTTGACTTTTTCAATAAGGATGTATTTACTCATTATTTGTACAACTAAATATAATTTAAAGAAAAGAAAAACACTGGGAATAAGTGTTAACTATGGTTATCTTTTGGTTGTAAGGTAGACTTTTTTTTTCTTTATTATATGCTTATATATACATATATATATATTTTGAGACAGAGTCTTACTCTGTTGTCCAGGCTGGAGTGCAGTGGCACGATCTTGGCTCACTGCAACCTCTACCTCCTGTATTCAAGCGATTCTCCTGCCTCAGCCTCCCAAGTAGCTGGGACTACAGGCATGCGCCACCACATTTGGCTAATTTTTGTATTTTTAGTAGAGATGGGGTTTCACCATGTTGTCCAGGCTGGTCTTGAACTCAACTGATCCACTCGCCTCAGCCTCCCAAAGTGCTGGGATTACAGGCATGAGCCACCACACCCCACCTATGCTTCTATATTTACAAATCCTTTACAATAACTGTATTACCTTCACAATTAGAACATTCCCTCTTAAATTTAAAAAAAGAGACAAGGACAGACAAAAATCACCAACCCTGCTATGCTGTGTCTTTATGAAGAAGGTGATGACAAAGAAACAACCATAGGTAACATAGACTTGAACAGATATGAAAGCTGACATTTTGGGGGTTTTCTCTCTTAATTCAGCCCTCCTGGAGTTCATAAAATTTTCTGAAAATTCTTCAACTTTTCCTGTATCAAACAATCTTCCCTTAAAAAAATTTTTCCCCTATTTAAAATGGCAAGATTAAATAAAAACTCATCCATTTGTCCTCACCTGAGGACAATCTAAGTTATTAGGTACCTCTCAGCTAACCCATGAAGCAATTTTAGATTAGTTTTAGAGAGCCAACTACATATGATTTGATTCTGCTACTGATATTATTATGATAATGATTGAAATTGTCTCACGGGGTGGCTCACAGTCTTTTCAGAATAAAGGGTGGTTTCAAAGCTCAATGGCATAAAGCAAAGATAAGCTTATTCATAATTTAGTATACAATGTGCCAAATTATCTGACCTGGGGACAATGTCTTGGGCCAGTCTTGCTACTATGGTATTTAGTTGTCTTATTATCCCACGGACGAAAAAATAAGAAGAAAATCACTGCCTGCCCCTAACACACAAAAGCTCCTAAATCCATTCCATTCTTATCATTCTATCCCATAACCAATCTACTCTTTGTCCCAGCATTATCCCATGCTGCAGTGCACAATTGTATTACCGCAGGCTCTTCCATTATGGAATGCCTCCTTGTGCCTGTCTCTTCTCTACCTCTCCCTCTCTCTCTTTCTATTTCTCTCTCCCTCTCTTTCTCCCCACGCCCCCACCAAGCTTCCAGTGGTGCCCAGTAAGCAACTCCTTCTAAGAAGCTCTCCCCTACTGTCCATGTTTTTCTCACTACATAAAGTTTCTTCCCTAATTTACAGTGTATACATTAAGTCTTGAAAGTTGCATTTCTCCAATGTTATCATTCATCCTGTCAATTTTTGACTATTTGCCAATTCTCCCCACTTGGGAGGACTTTCCTGGCCCTCCTGGTTTTCTTCCTTCTTCTATCTGCTCGTGGTTTCTGGGGCCCACTAGAGCCTGCAGAGGAGAGTGTGGCAGCTGTGAGATCCAGAAAATATATCTGAGCATCTATACCTTAGCATTTGTGGGAAAAGTTTTGGAAGAAGACATTTCTGCATAAAATCAAGTACGGTGAAAAAACTGATCATATTGTTTTTACATTATTTTCCATCTCTTTTCTCTTGGGTGTTACTCTTATTCAGTTAAAAATCCTTCTAATATGGCTAAGCTCGATGGCTCACACCTGTAATCCCAGCACTTTGGGAGGCTGAGGCAGGTGGATCACTTGAGGCCAGGAGTTCGTAGCCAGCCTGACCAACATGGCAAAACCCTATTGAAAATGCAAAAAAAAAAAAAAAAAAAAAAAATAGCTAAGCATGGTGGTGCACACCTCTAGTCCCAGCTACTCAGGAGGCTGAGGCACAAGAATTGCTTGAGCCTGGGAGGCAGAGGTTGTAGTGACAATGATGGTGCCACTGCAATCCAGCGTGGGTGACAGAGTGAGACCCTGTCTCAAAAAAAATTCTTCTAATTCAACATCCTTGTTGAAGTGAAGGCAGCATTCTAAAATATTCTTAACACTCTTGCTCCCCTGAGTCTTCTTTTCATTGAGTGGGCAGGGGCTGCACTTAGAAAAACTTTCACTCTTCACAAAACAGTCCTGTTATTCCCTCACCTAAAAATCAGGCAATTAAGGCCTAAAATGGGAATTATATTGCTGGACAGAAAACAAGTAGAAGGCCAGGGGCCGTGACTCACGCCATAATCCCAGCTACTCAGGAGGCTGAGGCAGGAGAATCGCTTGGACCCAGGAGGCGGAGTTTGCAGTGAGACAAGATCGCACCACTGCACTCCAGTCTGGCGACAGAGCGAGTCTCCATCTCAAAAAAAAAAAAAAAGGCCAGGCGGGGTGGCTCATGCCTGTAATCCCAGTACTATGGGAGGCCAAGGCAAGCGGATCACTAGGTCAAGAGATTGAGACCATCCTGGCCAACATGGTGAAACCCCATCTCTACAAAAAATACAAAAATTAGCTGGGCGTGGTAGCGCATGCCTGTAGTTCCAGCTACTAGGAAGGCTGAGGCAGGAGAATGACTTGAACCTAGGAGGTGGAGGTGCAGTGAGCCAAGATCATGCCACTGCACTCCAGCCTGGACATCAGAGAGAGACGCCATCTCAAAAAAAAAGAAAAAGAAAACAAGTAGAAGACAGATGAAAGAAAGAAAGAGAGAGAGGAGAGAGAGAGAGAAGGAAGGAGGGAAGGAGGGAGAGAGGGAGGGAGGGAAGGAAGGAAGGAAGAAAGGAAGGAAGGAAGGAAGGAAGAAAGGAAGGAAGGAAGGAAGGAAGGACTGGTACCAGATCTGGAAGCAATGATTGCTTTTCTTTGCTGTATAACAAATAAAAACAAATTTAAAGTATGCTTAATGGAGGGATATGTAAAATGTCCCAGCTACTGCAGGAGACACTTTTCTTTCCTGTATAATAAATAAAAACAAATTTAAAGTATTCTTAATGAAGGGACATATAAAATGTCCCAGCCACTGTAGGGGACACTTTGGCATATACCCTGTGACCCACAGTCCTACTTCTAATTTTATATGCATGTTCATGTTTTGTAAGTGTCCATCAATACATGAATTAGTTAACTATAGTGTCATGCACATCTGTATGAAGAGACCACCCAACAGGCTTTGTGTGAGCAATAAAGCTTTTTAATCACCTGGGTGCAGGCGGGCTGAGTCCAAAAAGAGAGTCAGCAAAGGGTGGTGGGATTATCATTAGTTCTTAAAGGTTTGGGATAGGTGGTAGAGGTAGGAGCAATTTTTGTGGTCAGGGGGTGGATCTTACAAAGTACATTCTCAAGGGTGGGGAGAATATTACAAAGTACCTTCTTAAGGGTGGGGAAATATCACAAAGTACATTATCCCAAGGGTGGGGAGGGTGTATTGTCATAAGGTCAATTGATCAGTTAGGGTGGGGCAGGAACAAATCACAATGGTGGAATGTCATCAGTTAAGGCAGGACCTGGCTATTTTCACTTCTTTTGTGGTTCTGCAGTTGCTTCAGGCCATCTGGATGTATACGTGCAGGTCACAGGGGATATGATGGCTTAGCTTGGGCTCAGAGGCCTGACATATAGTACATTCATAAATGGAAATCTCCAAAGCAGTTAAAAGAATCAGACTAGGCTGGGTGTGGTGGCTCACGCCTGTAATCCCAGCACTTTGGGAGGCCGAGGCAGGCGGATCACAAGGTCAGGAGATTGAGACTATCCTGGCTAACACAGTGAAACCCTGTCTCTACTAAAAATACAAAAAATTAGCTGGGTGCAGTGGCGGGCACCTATAGTCCCAGCCACTAGGGAGGCTGAAGCAGGAGAATGGCGTGAACCTGGGAGGCGGAGTTTGCAGTGAGCCGAGATTGCACCACTGCACTCCAGCCTGGGCAATAGAGTGAGACTCCGTCTCAAAAAAAAAAAAAAAAAAAAAGAATCAGACTAAATCCATTTGGATCTATTTGGAGATAAATAGATCTCAAAAACATACTGTTTTTTAAATAAAGTAAATTAGAGAACAAAACTAACAGTATGACACCATTTATGTCTTAAAAGTACATACCAAACTTTTGTGTATAGGCACAATGTGTATAGGCACATTGAAATGAAATGAAAAAAGTATTTTTAATGGTCTGAAGGACACTCACCAAACTTACATCATAATAACCTCTGAACAATGGGAGAAGATGATCAAGATTAGAGGTGGTTGTCAATGGAAACTGTAGCTTCATTTGTAATGTTCTAATTTTTAAAGAAAAAGTGACTATAATTTTAGTATTAAAATCAATTTCTTAATTAAGTAAAAGACAACTGGAAGCATGTTTTAAAAGTCCAATTTATTAGGTTTTCAGTTTTACATCCTAATATTCATATATTGCAGCCTTCAAGAATCTGAAAACTGTTTGTGAATTCCATGTTCATGAATTCTTTATTGGCTTCAGAGGCCACAGGAAATCCTGAACTTGGACCCCTGCATGGTCAAAGTAGAAGTCAAAAGGAGAATCACTGAGTTCCAGCTGAGAGAGGAGAAAGGAAGAAACTAGTCAGGCAGACAGTTAGGGTGGGTCCTCAGATGAATTCTTTCGAACTGAAGAACAGCCTGCAGGCACAGATAAGGGAACTTGCACAGGGGGGCTTGCCCAGACATGCCTGCAATGGAAAATTCCATCCCCTAACACATGCATAGTAAGGAGAACAAAGCAATATGGAGTAACTTAAGCTAAGCGCCCACATGTGCACTAGGAGGTCAGGGTGGAGCTACCAGAAATTTGCACCTTATGCAAATGAGATGCCCAGCCCTCATCGGTTTCTTACAAAAGCCTTTGCATTCAACTGCAAAAACCAGCAACCCTCTTCTGGATCCCCTCTCCCCTGCAGTGAGCTTTCTCCTTTCGCTTATTAAACTTTCGCTCCAACCTCACCCTTTAATTCTCTTGGTCCTGAGACAAAGTACTCCAGGTGATAACTCACACAAAGAGACCAATACATTGTGGTGCATTGGCCAGTCTGTAACACAGCAGTGTTTGCAATGCTTTTGTTGTGCAAGTACACATTTTGACTACATTTGGGACAGGAAATTCATTGTTAAAATAAACGGAATATAAATAGTGTTCTGGCCAAAATATTAAGTGTCTTCAAGGATTAAAACAAGAATTCAATGATTTTTTTTTTTTTTTTGAGACAGAGTCTTACTCTGTCACCCAGGCTGTAGTACAACAGCACAATCTCAGCTCACTGCAACCTCCACCTCCTGGGTTCAAGAGATTTTCCTGCCTCAGCGTCCCGAGTAGCTGGGATTACAGGCGTGCACCATCACGCCTGGCTAATTTTTGTATTTTTAGTAGAGACGGGGTTTCACCATATTGGCCAGACTGGTCTCAAACTCCTGGCCTCAAGTGATCCACCCACCTCAGCCTCCCAAATGCTGGGATTACAGGCGTGAGCCACCATGCCTGGCTGCCAAGAATTCAATTTTTTTTAATACTTTTATTAACTGGGAAAACATCTCCAATTAGCAAAGGATATGCCAGAGAGAAAATTAAATAGCTTCTGTGATGCACTAAATCCTTGCTTTATTTTCCAAGGTGTCCTTAGCTCTGCCTGAAGAAGACTCAATAAAAATAATGCTGCTTCATCATTTCTAGGACCCATTTCTTCTGTTAGACAGAATCCATAGCATCCAGCTGCACAAACTCCTGAGAGCAACAGAGCCTCCACAGTGGCCCATTTTGTAAACACATGAGAAGAAAGTGGGAAATTGTAGCAGTATGTAATCTTCCCATGTCTCACTTTAGCAGAAATCAACCTTCCTATAACAATTCTACTGTAACTGGAAAGCGGTCCCATTCCAGACCCCAAGAGAGGGTTCTTGGATCTTGTGCAAGAAAGAATTCAGGGCAAGTCCACAGAATAAGGTAAAAGCAAGCTTATTAAGAAAGTAAAGGAATAAAAGAATGGCTACTCTCTAGACAGCAGATAGAGCAGGGCATTCTCGAAAGCAAGAAGAGAAATGCGCACACCTTAGGTGCGATGCTTGTTTCTATGTAAGATACGATGCTTGTTTATATGCAAGGTTGTTATAAAGTTTCAGTGCCACAAAAGGAATAGCACTCGAATATAACATTTTCTTTTTAATTCTCAGCAAGGCAAGTTACTTCTGTAGAAGGGTGCACCCTTAAAGACGGAGCAATGGTGAGCGCACACTTGGACAAGGGAGGGTAAGGGGTTCTTTTCCCTGATGCACGTGGCCCCTGCTGCTGTGTTGTTCTCCTATTGGCTAGGGTTAGACTGCACAGGCTAAACTAATTCCCATTGGCTAATTTAAAGAGAATGACGGGGTGAGTACTTTGGCGCCAGTCAGGGCAGAGCAGGTAGCAGGTAATTGGAATGAGTTGGGGTTGAGCAGGTGATCGGAATGAGTCAGGGTGGAGTAGGTCATTGAAAAAGGTTCCTTTACAAGGAAGTTAAGTTTAAAAGTAGAAGTCAAAGAATTGAACATACTACATATTAATTCTTTGAAAAGAAATTGAGAACTCATATCTAACAAGATACAATGCTTGTTTACATGTAAGATAACAAAGCAAAAAACATGAGGAAGATGTTCTCTACAAGGCCTTGCAATAAAGGATTGTTAATCTTTGTGTAACTACTGTCTTCTGCAAGAATCTATAGTATTATCTTTAAAGTGAAATTTTTTTTTTTTGACATGGAATTTCACTCTTGTCACCCAGGCTGGAGTGCAATGGCACAATCTCAGCTCGCTGCAACCTCCACCTCCCAGGTTCAGGCGATTCTCCTGCCTCAGCCTTCCGAGTAGCTGGGATGACAGGCACATGCCAACATGCCCAACAAATTTTTTTTTTTTTTTTTTTTTTTTTGAGACAGAGTCTCGCTCAGTCACCCAGGCTGGAGTGCAGTGGCTCGATCTCCACTCACTACAAGCTCCGCCTCCTGGGTTCACACCGTCCTCCTGCCTCAGCCTCCTGAGTAGCTGGGACTACAGGGGCCTGCCACCACGCCCAGCTAATTTTTTTGTATTTTTTTAGTAGAGACGGGATTTCACAATGTTGGCCAGGATGGTCGCTATCTCCTGACCTCGTGATCCACCCTCCTTGGCCTCCCAAAGTGCTGGGATTACTGGCGTGAGCCACCACGCCTGGCCCGAAACTTACGCTTAAACTAAGAATGCTTTTGTTCTTAAGACAGTGGGACATCAAGACATTTCCTTGGTCTATTTCCTGGGTCACTTAAGTCCTGGGTCTGTTCAATAAACATTATTAACTTGTTCCCTTAACTGTAAATATCCTGTTAACTAAGAATGCCTAACCTCCTAGGAATGTGACCCAGTAGATCTCAGCCTCATTTTACCCAATCCCTATCCAAGATGGAGTTACTCTGATTTGAACGCCTCTGATACTTGCAATGAGACAAAGTCCACAATTAGATTTTTATTATTTTCTTTCACAATTTTGTTTTCAGAACAAATAGTATTAACAGCAGATTACAAATCTTATACTGTAGTGCTTAGCAACTCTCATTACTTATCAGAAGGATAACAAGAGTGTCCTCAACACTCTTTTTGGGACAGGCATAGGTAGACTCCAGTTTAGGATCCCATCCTTTCAAAAGATGGAACCCACTGTCTCCTTTATAACCAGAGCTCACCCTCAATTTAATAAAGAGAGTAACAGGAGGCAGCTGGGGAGGGTAAGAAGGAATCAGAAGCCAATGAACAAAATCAGCAAATGAACAGCATGCACACCTTCATAGTAATCCTCTCATTCTTCTAATATTTACAATTTAAACTCTTCCCAAGCCATTTTTGTAACCACCCAATGGGTTCACCTTGCCTGCTGCCTAGACAGAGCCAATTTATCAAGACAGGGGAATTGCAATAGAGAAAGAGTTAATTCATGCAGAGCTGGTTGTGCAGGAGACCAGAGTTTTCTTATTACTCAAATCAGTCTCTCTGAGCTTCAGGAATCAGAGTTTTTAAGGATAACTTGGTGGGTGGGGGGAAGCCAGTGAACCAGGAATGTTGACTGGTTAAGTAAGAGATGGGAAGTTGAAATTGTCCTCTTGTGCTGAGTCAGTTCCTAGCTGGGGGCCACAAGATCAGATGGGCCAGTTTATCAATCTGGGTCATGCCAGCTGATCCATCAAGTGCAGGGTCTGCAAAATGTCTCAAGCATGGATCTTAGGAGCAGTTTAGGGAGGGTCAGAGTCTTGTAGCCTCCAGCTGCAATGACTCCTTAACCATAATTTCTAATCTTGTGGCTAATGTCTTAGTACTACAAAGGCAGTCTAGTCCCCAGGCAAGAAGGAGGTTTGTTTTGGGAAAGTGTTGTTATCTTTATTTTAAACTCTAAACCAAATTCCTCCCAAAGTTATTTCAGCCTACACCTAGGAAGGAACAAGGACAGCTTAAAGGTTACAAACAAGATGGAGTCAGTTAGATTAGATCTCTTTCACTGTCTCAGTCATAATTTCGCAAAGGCGGTTTCATTATTTGTCTGCCCAGGGTCCTGTGTCTGTACATCTTTGCCGATCACAGTTCCCACTGACCATATTTCTGTCTTTCAGTTCTCCTCTCACAGCAACCCCTGTTTCTCCCTCCTGGCACTTATCACAAGGGGAAGGAATAAGCTGTGTGTTTAATTTTTAATAAGTAATCAATGTCTTCCTCCCTCCCCTACTCAGGACCTCACAATGTAAACATGCAATACTTATTTGTAGAATTAAGTGAATGAATGTGTCAGAGGCATTGGAACCAGAGTGGCTCCATCTTGAATAGGGGCTGGGTAAAATGAGGCTGAGACCTGCATCTCCCAGAGGTTAGGCATTCTTTATCACAGGATGAGATAGGAGATCATAAAGTATAGTCACAAAGACCCTGCTGATAAAACAGGATGCAATAAAGAAGCTGGCCAAAACCCACCAAAATCAAGATGGCAATGAAAGTAACCTCTGGTCATCCTCACTGCTCATTATATGCTAATTATAATACATTGGTATGCTAAAAGACACTCCTACCACTAGCATAACGATTTTCAAATGTCATGGCAACTTCAGGTTATTACCCTGTATGGTCTAAAAAGAAGACAAACCCTCCGGTCTGGGAATTCCTCATCCCTTTCCTAGAAAACTCATGAATAATATATGTTGCGGGAAGTCAGGAACCCCGAACGGAGGGACCGGCTGGAGCCATGGCAGAGGAACATAAATTGTGAAGATTTCATTTTAATATGGACATGTATCAGTTCCCAAAATTAATACTTTTATAATTTCTTATGCCTGTCTTTACTTTAATCTCTCAATCCTCTTAACTTCGTAAGCTGAGAGTGTACATTACCTCAGGACCACTATTGTGTTATCTGTACAAATTGATTGTAAAACATATGTGTTTGAACAATATGAAATCAGTGCACCTTGAAAAAGAACGGAATAACAGCGATTTTCAGGGACCAAGGGAAGACAACCATAGGGTCTGACTGCCTGCGGGGTCGGGCAGAATAGAGCCATATTTTTCTTCTTGCAGAGAGCCTATAAATGGACATGCAAGTAGGGAAGATATCACTAAATTCTTTTCCCAGCAAGGAATATTAATAATTAATACCCTGGGGAAGGAATGCATTCCTCGGGGGAGGTCCATAAATGGCCGCTCTGGGAGTGTCTGTCTTATGCAGTTGAGATAAGGACTGAAATACACCCTGGTCTCTTGCAGTACCCTCAGGCTTATTAGGGTGGGGAAAAAAATCCCACCCTGGTGAATTTGAGGTCAGACCGATTCTCTGCTCTTGAGCCCTGTTTTCTGTTGTTTAAGATGCTTATTAAGACAATACATGCACAGCTGAACATAGACCCTTATCAGGAGTTTTTGATTTCGCCCTTTGCCTTGTGATCTTTGC
The DNA here is from genome assembly GCF_000001405.40 of Homo sapiens. Taxonomy (NCBI): domain Eukaryota; kingdom Metazoa; phylum Chordata; class Mammalia; order Primates; family Hominidae; genus Homo; species Homo sapiens. Next base: position 151,518,955 of record NC_000006.12, on the reverse strand, counting down.
TTTGCCCTTTGCCTTGTGATCTTTATTGGCTTCAGAAGCACGTGATCTTCATTCTCCTTTTTGCCCTCTGAAGCATGTGATCTTTGTGACCTGCTCCCTGTTTGTACACCCCTTCCCCTTTTAAAGTCCTTAATAAAAACCTGCTGGCTTTGCAGCTCAGGTGGGCATCATGGTCCTACCGATATGTGATGTCACCCATGGAGGCCCAGCTGTAAAATTCCTCTCTGTACTCTTTCTCTTTATTTCTCAGCCGCCTGACCCTTAGGGAAAATAGAAAGAACCTACGTTGAAATATTGGGGGCTGGTTCCCCTGATACATATACCCCTTGTTTATCACATAATCAAGAAATAACTATAAAAATAGCCAGCCAGCAGCCCTCGAGGCTGCTCTGCCTATGGAGTAGGCACCCTTTTATTCCTTTACTTTATTAATAAACTTGCTTTCACTTTACTCTGTGAACTCACCCAAATTCTTTCTTGAACAAGATCCAAGAACCCTCTCTTGGGGGTCTGGATTGGGACTCCTTCCTGGTAACAAATGTATGCTTTTTTTACTAACATCTTAGTCCTCACATTTGATTGACTTGACAGTCTCGTCCCATTCTCATCTGCTAAACCAAATCCCCTCAGCCCCTGGAGCTGCCTGATTTCTCCAAGATCCCACCCCCTGGAGATGGGCTGGCTTAGAAAGTGCACAGATTTTCCCACACTAAGAAAGATAGCTTGCAACACTCCATCTCAGCCTGGTCCACCCAGAAGCATTAACAAACTAAAAAACATGGATGTATACCATAACTACAAGTCAAAAGGAGAAAGGTTGCCTTCTTCTGGACTCTGTGGCTGTTCTGGGACATGCTTCTCCTGTACCATGGCAGGACCATAAACTGAAGGCAAGGCCCCACCTTGCTAGTGTTTCGTATAATCTTTACTGTTTGCAAAAGGCCTGGATTTTTGAGAATTCCTTTAATTTCCATCCAAAGCTTAAGGGCTATTTCTTATCCAGTGTGAAAACAAGAAAGAATGAAAAAAAAAAAAGAAGCAAATGGCCGTAAAGAAAAATTAAAGGAGGGAAAAAATAAGAGGAAGCACAGGAGTATTATATATGTGCTGTGAGTATTGTACACTTCCTAGAGGTAGACCACAGCTTGACTTGGCCCTTCCAAGTCGACAGACATGAGTCACATTGATACAGGAGTTAAGAAGAAATTATTAGTGGCCGGGCACGGTGGCTCACGCCTGTAATCCCAGCACTTTGGGAGGCCGAGGTGGGTGGATCACGAGGTCAGGAGTTCGAGACCAGCCTGACCAACATGGTGAAACCCCGTCTCTACTAAAAATACAAAAAGAAAAAAAAAATTAGCCAGGCATGGTGTTGGGCACCAGTAATCTCAGCTACTCAGGAGACTGAGGCAGGAGAATTGCTTGAACCCAGGAGGCAGAGGCTGCAGTGAGCCGAGATTGTGCCACTGCACGCAGCCTGGGTGACAGTGCAGGACTCCATCTCAAAAAAAAAAAAAAAAAGAAGAAGAAGAAATCATTAGTAAGGGTATGGGAGTCCTCAGTAAGGTTTTCTTTTAAATGAAAAGCAGCCCCAAAATAATTTTCTTTTGTTTTTTGTTTACTGAGACACAGTCTCACTCTTGTTGCCCAGGATGGAGTGCAATGGGGTGATCTTGGCTCACTGCAACCTCCACCTCCCAGATTCAAGCAATTCTCCTGCCTCAGCCTCCCGAGTAGATGGGATTATAGGCATGTGCCACCACACTTGGCTAATTTTGTATTTTTAGTAGAGACAGTTTCTCCATGTTGGTCAGGCTGGTCTCCAACTCCTGACCTCAGGTATCCATCCACCTAGGCCTCCCAAAGTGCTAGGATTATAGGCGTGAGCCACTGTGCCCGGCCCCAAAATCATTTTCTTTCCTAACAAAGAGCAGCTTGTAAAATCAAGCTGCAGGCATAGACAAGTAAGCTGGAAGCTTGCATGGGTGGAAGTTGGCAGTTGTGCCAAAAGGAAAAGGCTTCCTGGGACTAGGCATGTTCATCTTCTCTCTTTTTGCCAAAGCATGTGCACAGTAAGGAAAAGACAATATGGCACCAGCCAGGCAAAGACTCCATTTGCATAATAAGATTAGGGTGGGACCACCAGCCTTCCCCACGCACTAGGTAAACATCGCACCTGGTTGAACCAATCTCTGGGCCCTACGTAAATCAGACACTGTCTCCTCAAGCCTGCCTGTAAAATCTGGTACAGTCTAGAGCTGACCAGTTTTTCCCTTTCAGGAACTCCTCTCTCTTTCAAGGGAGAGAGCTGTTCTTCTTTCTCTTTCTTTTGCCTATCAAACCTCTGCTCCTAAACTCACTCCTCATGTGTGTCTGTGTCCTTAATCTTCTTGGTGCGAGATGACAAACCCTGGGTATTTACCCTAGACAACAACACCGCTTCAACATGATTTACTAGGACCTCATGGTAAAGCAAAGAACCTGCTCAGTTACAACACACCCATTCATGACAAGAAATCATGACAAATTTCAAAACCCACAAAACAATCTATCAACTAAAAATAACATTCTAAGCCTTCCAACTGACTGAATGGAGACCTCCTCTTGGCCAAGGGCATTCCAAAGTAAACCTGAAACTAGTTCAAGCCTTGATGGAAAATGGAGGCCCAACATACTTCATTATACCCTTCTCCCTTTGGAATTCAGACACAACTGACCAGCATTAACATTAAAACAGAGATCTTAAGACTGAGAGAACAGACTCCTGTAGCAATAAGATACCAAATTCCAACCTGACTCTAGTATAGCATTATATGACAGATAACAGCCCTGAAAGAAATCGAAGTATTTTACCTCAAAATATATTTGTCTTTTCTTTTTTTTTTTTTTCTGAGACAGAATCTTGCTCTGTCACCAGGCTGGAGTGCAGTGGCGCGATCTCAGCTCACTGCAACCTCTGCCTCCAGGGTTCAAGTGATTCTCCTGCCTCAGCCTCCCGAGTAGCTGGGACTACAGGCATGTGCCACCACACCCAGCTAATTTTTGTATTTTTAGTAGAGACAGGGTTTCACCATGTTGGCCAGGATGGTCTTGATCTCTTGACCTCGTGATCCACCCGCTTCGGACTTCCAAAGAGTTGAGATTATAGGCATGAGCCACTGCGCCACACTTTCTTTGTCATATTTTTAAGTGGTCCTGCAAAGCTGTCTCTTGTGAAGGAAATGTATATTCTGTAAAGAATCTCTCTCCTTTATTAGGTCTTTTCAGGAGAGTCTACCACCTTTTATTGGTCTGATAAGAAGACATTTACCATCTATTGTCTCTGAAGCCTGCTACCTGGAGGCATCATCTATATAACAAGAACCTGGGCTTCCCACCTGCACAGTGGCTCACGCCTACAATCCTAGCACTTTGGGAGGCCAAGGCAGGCAGATCACCTGAGGTCAGGAGTTCCAGACCAGACTGGCCAATATGGTGAGACCCTGTCTCTACTAAAAATACAAAAATTAGCCAGGTGTGGTGATGTGCACCTGTAGTCCCAGTTACTTGGGAGGCTGAGGCAGGAGAATCGCTTGAACCTGGGAGGCAGAGGTTGCAGTGAGCCAAGATCACACCATTGCACTTCAGTCTGGGTGACAGAGTGAGACTCCGTCTCAATAAATAAGTAAATAAATTGATGGAGACTTGTCTCAGATACTTTTTGATTTACAAATCTAATGGCGTAATGCCAATGCCTAAAACAGGGTCCAAACAATGTAGTCCAAGTAGACATCTCTCCCAGGCTCTTGCATTTCAAGGATAATTTTGAAGTAGAGCATAGAATGAATGAAATGCATATTCTTCAGCCAATCCTTTATAATAGCATTTGACTACATTTGTTTAGTTAATATAAGAAACACAATTTCCAAGACCTCTTGTTCAGGTATTAAGAGTGCATTCCTCATCACCTTGATCCAGTTTCTTGCAGAGACCAGGTGAGTGAGTGTGAAGGCCTCATTTATCTGACACCAACCTACCAAGCTTTCAAAAGTCACATAGCCTAAGCTGATGTAATAATGTGAAGGCATTTCAATATTAGGATGGAAATGAATGGTTCTGCCAAGGCTTCATCCAAAAAGAATGGAGACTGAAGCAAGAGGCTCCTCACTGCTCTCCCTTCCGACTCACTTTGTGCCGACCTAACCTTTGTGCTGCCACAAAGTAGCCACTCTGAAATGCAGACCTGATCCATCTTTCCCCACCTACAAAGCTGCCCACGATAGACAAGGTAAGGAATAAACTCCTTAAGGTATGTGAGTCTCTTCTCTATCAGCCAAAACCCACATTCCCAGGGTTTCTGCCTCAATGCCCAATATCTAGCCTGACCTCCAGTCACATGGAAAAAATTAAATGTGTCTCGGCATGCCACAGAGCTTTCATCGCTGTTTCACCTTCTGGGTTCTTCCTCTTTCTTCACAAGCTGCTTCTCCACTGGGCAAAAGTCTGGGCCCCATTCAAGAGTTGGAACTGGCATTTTTGTGAAGGCTTCCTAGGATCCCCAGGCAAAATTTCCCTCCCTTCCTTCCTTCCTTCCTTCCTTCCTCCCTCCCTCCCTCCCTCCCTCCCTCCCTCCCTCCCTCCTTCCTTCCTTTCTTTCATTTTCTTTCGTTTCTTTCTTTCCAGGATTTCACTCTGTCATCCAGGCTGGAGTGCAGTGGCATGATCACGGCTCACTGCAGACTTGACCTCCCAGTCTCAAGTTATCGTCTTATCTCAACCTCCCAGGTAGCTGGGACTACAAGCACGTGCCACCACGCCCAGCTAATTTTTGTAATTTTTTAGAGATGGAGTTTCACCATGTTGTCCAGGCTGGTCAAAATTTCTTTTTATCCCAGTTACCACTCCTGCCCACATGCTCATCTTGCTTTATTTATCTTGGTTAATATTTCTGTGATTGTCTAATCGATGAAAAAAATGAATGCCACCCACAGTCTTATCAGAGATAACTCTATTGTATTTTGATGCATTTCTTTTTTCTTTTTTTTTTTTTTTTTTTTGAGACAGGGTCTCATTCTGTCATCCAGACTGGAGTGCAGTGGCATGATCTTGGCTCATCACAACCTCCACCTCCCAGGCTCAAGCGATTCTCCTGCCTCAGCCTCCGGAGTAGGTGGGATTACAGGCGAATGCCACTACTGCCTAGCTAATTTTTGTATTTTTAGTAGAGACGGGGTTTTCATCATCTTGGCCAGGCTGGTCTAGAACCCCTGACCTCAAATGATTCACCCACCTCAGCCTCCCAAAGTGCTGGGATTACAGGCATGAGCCATGGTGCCTGGCTTTTTTTTTTTTTTTTTTTTTTTGAGACGGAGCCTCTCTCACTCTATCATCCAGGCTGGAGTGCAGTGGTGGGATCTCGGCTTACTGCAACCTCTGCCTCCCAGGCTGAAGCAATTATCTTGCCTCACCCTCCCCAGTAGCTGTAACTACAGGTGTGCACCACCATGCCCAGCTAATTTTTGTATTTTCAGTAAAGACAGGGTTTCACCATGTTGGCCAGGCTGTTCTTGAACTCCTGACCTCAAGTGATCTGCCCGCCTTGGCATCCCAAAGTGCTGGGATTACAGGCGTGAGCCACCATCCCTGTCTGATGCATTTCTTTATAGTGTTTTTCTAATACAAATATATCATGTGCTTTTTAAAAATATAATTGGGGTTATACTGTAACTACAACTTTACAACCTGTTTTCTACATTTAATATTAATATTTCCCCAAGTGTTCTTTTAAAATGTTAACAGCTGCACAATATTCCATCATAAAGCTGTATTTTAAGTTGACTACTCTCCCGCGATTCGACATTTCGTTCTCTTTCTAATTGATCACTATTATAAATCTGTTAGAATTCTGACTGTTTCCTTAGGATGAGGAAAGTTGTTTCTCTGGAAAAGAAACAACTGAGTCAAAGGAAATAAAAATTGTTTTGATACACATTGCATAGAAAATAGCACCAACTTACACTCCCACCAATTATGTACCATAGGTTCATGACTTTAAGGGTCACTGCTTAATCAGTTCCTTCTCAATATTTCTATATGCCCTTTAAGAGGTGTCTGTATTATAATATTTATCACACGAAGAATAATCATAGTAGTAACATTAGTCATCCTTTTTTTAAGGACTTGGTATATACAGACGCAACATAAACACTTTACTAACATTATTGCACTCAACCCTTACAACAGTTCTTAGAAAGGAGGAGGAACTCGGTTAAACACTTTACTAACATTATTGCACTCAACCCTTACAACAGTTCTTAGAAAGGAGGAGGAACTCGGGCTTACCCAAGGACCCACAGGCAACGAGTAAAGCAGAACCTGGATTCAAACCCACAAGTCTCTGATCCTAACACCCATGCTTTTACCCTGGGGTTTGTAAATGTTTTTGTCTGCAAGCTCTTGGTATGAGTTTATGAAACAAATTTAAATATGTGTTTATTTTAAAATGATATACTACTGGGTCCGGGTGCAGTGGCTTATGCCTGTAATCCCAGCAGTTTGGAAGGCCAAGGCCCGTGGATCACTAGAGGTCAGGAGTTCGAGACCAGGCTGGCCAACATGGTGAAACCTCCTCTCTACTAAAAATACAAAAATTAGCCAGGTGTGGTGGTACACATCTATAGTCCCAGATACTCGGGAGGCTGAGGCAGGAGAATGGCTTGAACCCAGGAGACAGAGGCTGCAGTGGGCCTAGATTATGCCACTGCACTCCAGCCTGGGCAACAGAGCGAGACTCCATCTCAAAAAAAAAAAAAAACAAAAAAAAACGGTATACTGCTGGGTGCAGTGGCTTACCCCTGTAATCCCAGCACATTGGGAGGTTGAGATAAGAGGATTGCTTATGCTCAGGAGTCTGAGACTAGCCTGGGCAACATGGTGAGACCCCTGTCTCTACAAAAATTAAAAAATTAGCCAGGCATGGTAGTGTCCCTATGGTCCCAGCTACTCAGGAGGCTGAGGTGGGAGATGGCTCAAGCCCAGGAAATCGAGGCTGCAAAGAGCTCTGATCGTGCCACCGCAGTCCAGTCTGGGTGGCAGAGACTGAGACCCTGTCTCAAAAATAAAAAAGATATACATATACTACTGTACATATTATGCACGGTACCAAACATATACAAAAATGTAAATTAAGATTAAGATAAACAAAAATTCAAATCTTATCTTCTTGGACCTCTCAAAAACATCTTGTGTTTTATGTCTACCTACTAGAATGTAAGCTCCGTGAGAGCAGGCCCTCTGTTTTCCAGTACTGTGTCTGCAACAGTGCCTGGCAGATAGTATGCACTCATGAAATATATGTTGGGCATTAATAAATGAACGAGTCAGCTACAAGGTTGTGTGTTTGAAGGCAGAAGCTAGAAATCAATTATATTTTTATCCTTAGCACCAAGCACATTTCCTAGCACATAATGAACACCCCATAAATATCTGGTGAATGAATATACATTTAATGTTTGTTGAATAAATTAATGGATGGATAAATGAATGAGCACATGGATGGGAAGATAAATAGACAAACAGAAAGGCTTCTTCCCTCTGGTCACTTTACAGGGTTAGCACGTCAAAGATAAAAATACCTGGCTGAACTTAATTATAACACTTTACTAGTGTTATACTCTAGGGGGCAAACAATAGCCCCCTAGAACAAGTATAGATGGAATTTCACTACGTCTTGTAAAACCAGGAAATAATAAACCCCCTATTTTAAAAATTAGCCCTCGCTAGACAAAAACTTAGAAGCAAAGTTAGTGAGTTTTAGAAGAACTGGAAAGCGTAGTAGACAGTCGACCAAGATACACTGGAGAGGCAAAGCCATGAATTGTTCATCCACATCTTATTAGGTAAGGACAAAACTATAAAACATCTATAAAATACTTACCTTGAGGCTGGGTGCAGTGGCTCACACCTGAAATCCCAGCACTTTGGGAGGCCGAAGCAGGTGGATCACCTGAGGTCTGGAGTTCGAGACCAGCCTGGCCAACATAGTGAAACCCCATCTCTACTAAAAATACAAAAATTAACCAGGCATGGTGGCAGGCACCTGTAATCCCAGCTACTCAGGAGGCTGAGGCAGGAGAATTGCTTAAACCCAGGAGGTGGAGGTTGCAGTGAGCTGAGATTGTGCCACTGCACTCCAGCCTGGGTGACAAAGCGAGACTCTATAAAAAAAAAAGAAGAAGAAAAAAAACTTACTTATAAAATTATAAACCTTAATATTTGTTAGGGTGAAAGTCCCTTTCTATCTAATTTACGATTTTTCTGTATCTTGTTATGAGTGTCCTGACTAATAAGTTTGCAATTATTTCCTTAACTCATTCTATCTTTAAAAGCTCCTCATCACCTCCTTTGCAATATCGAATCTTAATCTCAAGGGTTTTTTTTGCATGGCAGACGTACATTATGGGAAATTATATTAACACACCCTCTCTGACTTCAGTATCTTTATTCTGTAACCTCACTGATATATGACATTTAAATTCACTTGTTAATCAGAAAACATTAAAATGCTTTGTTTTGCCTTTTTCTTCAGTTTTTACTGTAATAAATAACTCATTTCTAGAATTAGCATAAGTGTGAAATTTTTCTCGGAAGCTCTTTTTCTACCACAGAGATAGAAGAATGGCTTCTGGTTCATCACTGTAGCCCCAGTGACTGAGTATCAGTAAATATTTGAGGAATGAATGAACAAAATGACACAGTAAGAATTCAAACCAAGACTTTCTGACGCCAAAGCCCATGCTCTTACTCAGAATGTTTTTTTGTTGTTGTTGTTTGTTTATTTGTTTTATGGGCTTGTTTGTTTTTGAGACGGAGTCTCTTTCTGTTGCCTAGGCTGTGGTGCAATCTTTTCTCACCGCAACCTCCACCTCCCAGGTTCAAGCGATTCTCATACCTCAGCCTCCTGAGTAGCTGGGATTACAGGCGCGCACCACCATGCCTGGCTAATTTTTGTATTTTTAGTGGAGACGGAGTTTCACTATGTTGGCCAGGCTGGTCTGGAACTCCTGACCTTGTGATCCAGCTGTCTTGGCCTCCCAAAGTGCTGGGATTACAGGCGTGAGCCACCACGCCTGGCCTCTTACTCACAATGTTATTGTCCCATATATGCCTGGCTAAAAGTTGAAATGATCACCTTTCCCTAAATTGAATGATTTTCTGATGCTTGATATTGCTGTCTCCAAGACTATTGTAACAATCACTTGCATTTCCATAAGTAATGTTAAGCTCAAATAATTGATTTAATTTTAATTAATTCATAAATCTCTTTCTAACCACTTTTTGGAAAATGGATTCTTCCACGTTCATAACTGTACACATTCATAAATGTACAGATTGGATCTTGTTGATTTGGGAGCTTATAATTTAGTTTAATATAAAGTTCTATGAAGCTTAAAAATATCTGTTCAAGTTAGTAAGATAATTTCTTAGGCTGGACTCAAAAAATTAATTAACTTCAGGTCCTATTTTAAGCAACTAGCAGTTTTTTAGCATTTGTACAGGATCTACCTCCATGGGAGGTATTGGGTATAGCTGTCAAGAATAATGAATGCAAATTTGGGAACAATGTCACATATGGAATAGCCACTGAGAAAGGAATGGTGGAATGAGAAGTCCCTGTTGACAACGAGATGAGACACTTTATTCATCATTATCATTCATAGATAGATAGATAGATAGATAGATAGATAGATAGATACATAGATAGATAGATGAGACAGAGAGAGCGAAAGGGGGGAGAGAGAGAGAGAGAAAGAGATCTTTCCACATGTTAAAGATTTTAGAACTCTTCCCAAATGGGATTTTTTTCACTTCACTTATTATTAGACACTTGATAAATTTTAGTTTAAAATGAAAATTTTTCTAAGATGTAATATTTATTTTTGTATTTTTTTTTTTTTTTTTTGAGAAGGAGTTTCGCTCTTGTTGCCCAGGCTGGAGTGCAATGGCATGATCTCGCCCCACCACAACCTCCGCCTCCTGGGTTCAAGTGATTCTCTTGCCTCAGCCCTCCAAGTAGCTGGGATTACAGGCGTTCGCCACCACGCCCGGCTAATTTTGTATTTTCAGTAGAGACGGGATTGCTCCATGTTGGTCAGGCTGGTCTCAAACTCCTGACCTCAGGTGATCCACCTGCCTCAGGCTCCCAAAGTGCTGGGATTACAGGCGTGAGCCACCACGCCCGGCCTATTTATTTATTTATTTATTTGAGACAGAGTCTCACTCTGTCACCCAGGCTGGAGTGCAGTGGTGTGATCTCAGCTCACTGCAACCTCCACTTCCTGGGTTCAAGCAATTCTTGTGCTTCAGCCTCCTGAGTAGCTGGGATTACAGGCACACGCTACCACTCCCGGCTAATTTTTGGGGTTTTTTTGGTTTTTTTCAGATGGAGTTTCGTTCTTGTCATCCAGGCTGGAGTGCAATGGCATGATCTTTGCTCACTGCAACCTCTGCCTCCTGGGTTCAAGCAATCCTTCTGCCTCAGCCTCCCCAGTAGCTGGGACTACAGGCGCCCCCCCACTATGCCTGGCTAATTTTGTATTTTTAGGAGAGGCAGGGTTTCACCATGTTGGCCAGGCTAGACTCAAACTCCTGACCTCAGGTGATCCATCCGCCTTGGCCTCCCAAAGTGCTGGGATTATAGGCGTGAGACACTGGGCCCAGCAGATGTAATATTTTAGCTCATATGTTGAGTGGTATGCTTGAAACCTTAATAAGCTATTGATTTAAATTAGCTCCTCAGGAATATTTCCCTTACATAGACTTGAAATATAGTTAATGCCATCTTCCAAAAGAGCAATGCTCTAGTGCCACAAAACTGTGGAACTAGGGAGACTGAAGACTGTTGGATGTCATTTCAATACTCATCAGTTTCATATCAACCTATAGGAAGAGGAGCAAACAACTTTAAGACTGAATTTTCTATTATCTATCACCTAGTAGTAACTCTTCTATTATTAATATTTATCAATGTTTTCTTTTCTTTCTTTCTTTTTTTTTTTTGAGATGGAGCTCACTCTGTTATCAGGCTGGAGTACAGTGGCACGATCTCGGCTCACTGCAACCTCCGACTCCCTGGTTCAAGCGATTCTCCTGCCTCAGCCTCCCGAGTAGCTGGGATTACAGGCACATGCCACCACACCCAGCTAATGTTTGTATTTTTAGTAGATACAGGGTTTCACCATGTTGGCCAGGATGGTCTCGATCTCTTGACCTCGTGATCTGCCCACCTCGGCCTCCCAAAGTGCTGGGATTACAGGCATGAGCCACTGCGCCTGGCCAATATTTATCAATGTTTTCTACATAATGTTTCTACACACAGTTTCATCTCCCTACAGGGCTGCCTTATAACTTTTGTGGGCCCTATACACTTTTGCCTTCATGGGTCCCTTCTTTCATAGAAGATATTAAAAATAATTTTTTGTGACTGCATTAGTATAAAGATGAATATATCAAAATATTATGTATCAAAACACAGATGCTCCTGAACTTACAATGGGGTTGCAACCTCATAAACCCATGGTAAATTTGAAAAATTCTAAGTTGAACCATCATAAGTTGGGGATCATCTGTAATTTTTTCAACTTCAAAGCTCATTTTTTTTTCTCTACTGATTAAAAAAAATATAGAACATTCTCATGGATCCTTAAAAGTATGTTAGGCTACCGTGAGCACCGATGGATTGGTCAGCCCTGTCTCTCTACGAAATTGGGCAGGGGCTACAACAGGCTCTTCCCAGCTTTGGGTCTGTGTGTGAAGTACCTGTGGGCCTAGCTATACCCTGCCCTCTGTGTGGGCTCCAGATCCCCTCATTTCAACAAACCCCTCAAGCATGGAAGGACTCACAGTGAAGTTCCCCTGTGTATTAGTCAGGATTCTCCAGAGAAACAGAACCAATAGGATGTGTATGTACATAGAGAGAGATTCATTTTAAGGAACTGGTTTACAAGATTGTGGTGACTGGCAAGTCGGAAATCTGCAGGACAGGCCAGCAGCCCCGAGACCCAGGGAAGAACTGATATTGCAGCTCAAGTCTAAAGGGATTGTGGAGGCAGAATTCTCTGTTCCTTGGGAAATCTTAGTCTTTTCTCTTTAGGCCTTCAATGGCTTGGATGAGGCCCACCCACATTACAGAGGGCCATCTACTTTACTTTCAGTCTATTGATTTAAATGCTAATCTCATCTAAGAACAAACAAACAAACAAAACCAAAAAAACTTCCCAGCAATACATAAAATGAACCATCACATCCTGTGTTTCCAAAAGAGTGTGGTCTTAAGGTTAATACCAGACCATTACACAAGGTTACAAAAATCTTCATGCAAATATCCCTGCCAGGATTGGAGAAGGAATAAACTGTCTCCAGGTCAAAATGATGTGAAATGAAACTCTATCGCCTGCATCTTGAATAAATCTATCTTTGTAAGCTTGAATAAATCTGAATATTTTAATTTCACTGTTAGGTAAATGTCAGTCTGCCCATTTGCCTTCACGAATAGAAGCACAGGCATTGATCTCTACTCAAATGGCATGGTTTAAAATCGTGAACCAGACATGACTTTAAATAGTTGGTTAATTACTATCAGAAAGAAACACTTAACAGCCAATATGGTCAAAACTATAATCATTTCTTGGCAATTATTCTCTAAAATTCTAATTGTCAATTCTAAATAAATCCACGTAATAAGTCAATTCATTCCATTACTTGGAGGTATATTTTGTGGGTAGATATTGCTGATGGGTCCATGAGGATATAACTCAGGCCAACACTGGAAGATTTCCAGAGCTATAGAATTCTTTTATTTCTCTATTTATTTTTTAGAGACAGGGTCTCACTCCATCACCCAGGCTGGAGTGAAGTGGTACAAATCATAGCTCACTGCAGCCTTGAACTCCTGTGCTCAAGGTACCCTCCTGCCCCAACCTCCTGAGTAGCTGGAACTACAGGCACACACCACCATGCCCGCTGTTTGTTTGTTTAATTTTTTTGTAGAGATGGGGTCTCACTATGTTGCTCAGGCTGGTCTTAAACTCCTGGCTTCAAGAGATCCTCCTGCCTTGGCCTCCCAAACTGCTAGGATTATAAGCATGAGCCACCATGACCAGCCTAGAGTTCTTGATTTTTAAGAAGTAGGCTTTCTGGAACAGAAGTAGAATTACAATTTCAAAAGCATGGTTTTGCATATCAATAGCAAAGCCTTGAGGAGTCACAGCACAAGAATCCTTGCTTTTTTTTTTTGAGACGGAGTCTCGCTTTGTCGCCTGGGCTCTAGTGCAGTGGTGCCATCTCGGCTCACTGCAAGCTCCGCCTCCCGGGTTCACGCCATTCTCCTGCCTCAACCTCCCGGGTAGCTGGGGCTGCAGGCACCAGCCACCACGCCCGGCTAATTTTTTTGTATTTTTAGTACAGACAGGGTTTCACCGTGTTAACCAGGATGGTCTCGATCTCCTGACCTCGTGACCTGCCCACCTCGGCCTCCCAAAGTGCTGGGATTACAGGCATGAGCCACCACGCCCAGTAAGAATCCTTGCTTTTAATCCTAGAGTGGAGAACAATCCGTATGGGACCCATTTTCCCACCTGAAAGGGAATGTGTGCCACCAACACAGGGGAAAGGGGAGGCAGGACCAGTGCTGAGATGCCGCCTGCCCTCTTGGGACCTGGATGCTTGGTGGGCATAAACACTCCAGCTGGTTCCTGGCTTCCTAGTATGCAGGCCACTGAGAAGGGAACCTCTCAGAGAAGGTCTGCGGGCAGCACAGCTCCTAGGAGTAGAATGAATGACAAAGACTAAGAGAAGTGCCCAGGAGGCCAGCGGGCAGCTCCGCGGGCCACCAAGTCCAGGTGACACTTTTTACTCTCTACCTGACTTGACCTCCTTTTTGGGCCTTGACACACAAATCACTTACTGCTGGGGAATCCTCCTTACTCTCACGCCCCCATTCTCTACTGAGCGTCTCTCCTTTTTCCCACTTCTCTAGCCCTCCACTCAGTCCCTACTGCAGCTCACTTCCTTCACCCACTCACAACTTGATATTTGCTGGGTTCTGTCCTCGACGCTCTCTCCTCATCACTGGGACATTCTCACCGGTTTACTTCATGCCCTCCTGCGATCTCAGCCACTTCCAGTATCTAGTAGCTCCCAAATCTGCATCTCTAACTAGAGACTGACATTTCCAACCGTCTAGTGACCATCATTTGCATGTCCTGATGGCACATCAAGGTCAGCATTACCCCCTGACCATCACCACCATTGCCCCAGTAACCTCAGCAAAACTTCCCATCCCTCGTCCCTCCCTGGTCTGCTACAGCACACTGTGTAATTCTGTTTGTTCATTGTGTCTGTCCCTCTAGGTCCTTCTCTGAGACCATATATTTACTCTAGTGATGCTTGCCTTCTTCCTTTTTAAAATTTTATTTATTACCAATTATTTTTTATTGGTAAAATTGGTAAAAATTTTATTTATTACCAATTATTTTTTATTGGTAAAATTGGTAAAAATTTTATTTATTACCAATTACTATTTACCTAACTCAACTGTAAGTAAGCTCCATAGTTGGAGTGAAACAATGCCTTCTACTTTTTAACTCCATTTGTTGCCTGGCACATAATTTTTTTTTCATTTTTATTTCAATCCTACGGAAAAGTTGCAAGAATAATCCAAGGAACTCAAGTATGTTTCACTTTGATTAACCAATTGTGAGAACATTGTGCTACATTTGATGTATTCCTTTCTCTATGCGTATATTACAATATGATTGCTGAATCATTTGTGAGCAATTTGCACACACTATGGTCCCTTACCTCTAAACACTTCAGCTTGTATTTTCTAAGAACAAGGACATTCCTCTTCATACAACTGTCAAATTCAAGAAATTTAACAATGACACTATATTATTCACCAATTATCTCAATAATGTTCCTTAGAGAAACAATAAATGCATTGCATGTAGCTGCCAAGTATATTTAGTCTGTTGAATCTGGAACAGTTTTGCAGCCTTTTTTTGTCTTCTGGCACAAGGTTCCATCTGCAATGCACTGAGAAAAACACACCTCTTATCCAATTGCCAAAAGTGCCCCAAATGATTAACTTGAATCTAATCATGAGAAAACATTAGATATACCCAAATCGAGGAACATTCCACAAACTGCACTCTTTCTAAACACATTGCTGGGCGCGGTGGCTCACCCTTGTAATCCCAGCACTTTGGGAGGCTGGGGCAGGTGGATCACCTGAGCTCAGGAGTTCAAGACCAGCCTGGACGACATGGTGAAACCCCATCTCTACTAAAAATACAAAAATTTGCTGGGCGTGGTGGTGCATGCCTGTAACCCCAGCTACTCGGGAGGCTGAGGCAGGAGAATTGCTTGAGCCTGGGAGGCGGATGTTGCAGTGAGCTGTGATCGCACCATTGCACTCCAGCCTGGGTGACAAGAGCAAGATTCCACCTCAAAAAAATAAAAATAAAAATAAAAATAAACACATCAAGCTCATTCCCACCCAAGGGCCTGGCACCGCTCTTGCTGTTTCTAAGACTATTCCAATTCAGCATGTTATCTCCTTGGGGAGCCAACCCTACCCACCCTACCCAGACTAGACTTTAGCCCTCACCCCATTCCATCTCCATCCTGTTATTCTGCTTTATTTTCTTTTCAAAGGACTTAACACTCTAAAATTACCTTGTTTGTCTATTTGTTTACTTTTTAAAAATCTATTTCTCACACCAGGATATAACTTTTTTTTTTTAAATGTAGTCTCGCCCTGTCGCCAGGCCAGAGGGCAGCGGCGTGATCTCGGCTCACTGCAACCTCTGCCTCCCGGTTTCAAGCAATTCTCCTGCCTCAGCTTCCCGAGCAGCTGGGACTACAGGTGCGCACCACCATGTCCAGCTAATTTTTTGATTTTTTGTATTTTTAGTAGAGACGGGGTTTCACCATGTTGGCCAGGATGGTCTCCATCTCTTGACCTCGTGATCCTCCCACCTCAGCCTCCCAAAGTGCTGGGATTACAGGCGTGAGCCACCGCACCTGGCCGCGGATATAACTTTTGTGAAAGGGGGACCGTATCTAAAAGAGCACCTGCTTGAAAATGGGCACTCATTTTAGAGTTGGTCAAGGAAAAAAGTTCTTTATCTTCAGTGCCTAACAGAGTGCCTAAGACTCAATAAATGTTTGTCAAGTGGGTGACTAATACAATGTATGATTCACTAAGCAGAATATTTATGGTTCCCATTTCCTCCTGAGTTTTCATTTTTGCTTACTCCAAACATTCATAAGATTTCAACAATAAGAGTTCCTTTTCAGTGTTCAACTATCCATTTCTTTTAGTCTGAAGTAGAAAAGACTTAGGGAAATGGGACAATTATAGTCAAGTCTTAAAATTGTTCCTTCTTGCACAGATATTGAGGTTAGACTATGATGGCCTTAATATGCTGAAAAATGCATTTTTATATGAAGCTAATAAGGAAGATTCAAGAAGAAAAGCATAAGGGAAATTCAGTCAATGAAAAGGAAGTCATTTCAGTTACTCAGAAATATAATTCAGATATTTATTTTTATGAGACTGACCCACTCCCTATGGCACTAATGAGGGAACTCAGATATTTATTGATTTATTATTTACTAATTATTATTGTCATTATTATTTTTAGAGTCAAAGTCTTGCTCTGCACACAGCCTGGAGTGCAGTGGCGTGATCGTGGTTCACTGCAGTCTCTAAACTCTTGGGCTCAAGCGATCCTCCAGTCTCAGTATCCTGAGTTGCTGGGATTACAGGTATGGGTCACCATGCCTGGTTTAGACAGTTATTTTTATGAGCAATATCTGAACATGTAGATATATAAACTATCAGCAATAGCTGTGCTGGTATCAGTAAGAGAAAGAATGAGGTGCTACTGGTCTGCCTCAGCAATGCCTTTGAACTTCTCTGCCTTAGATCAAAGCCACCAAAGCACCAATATCAAAGGAAAGAAAGTTGGAAGCAAAACAAAGAAATAAGGAAACCTTGGGTAAAAGAGCATAGCATAAATAATTCCTGGCTCAGCAAATGTTACTCCCTTTTTCAATTAAAAAAAATCAAGTTGTCCTTGAACATGGAAAAAAGTAAGTCTTTATAATTATTAGTCAACTCAATTCAAGTACAAACCAAGGAGTATTCACTATTGTTTGAAATACACTACACATTATATTTGGTAACAGTAAGTAAATACACAAGCAGTCTCTTTAAAATATGCAAAGAAAAAGTTTGGCATTCAAAAAGCTCTCCCCTACCTTTTCTTTGAAGATTTTATCTCATCTCTAAAGCCAGGTGGTCAAAGAGCAGATAGATACCAAGAGAAACTAAATGTTAAAGCTAAAATGAAGTTGGATGTGTAAACGGATTAACTGGTTATCATTTATTGAGACTTTTTTATTCTGAAATAATTTTAGAATTCCAAAAAAGTTACAAAACAAAACAGAGTTTCTATATGCCCTCTAGCCAGCTTCCCCTAATAATAACGACTTATACAACTAAGGTAATCTATTAAAACCAAGACATTGACATTGTTACAACACTATTAACTAAGTAATAGGCCTTATTCCAATATAATCAGTTTTTTTTTCACTAATGTCCTTTTTCTAGTCCAGAAGCCATTTAGTTTTCATTTTTCCTTAGTCTCCCCAAATCCTGACCTTGACACTTTTGAAGAGTCCTGGTCAACATATTGTAGAATATCCTTCAAGGTGGGTTTGTCTAACGTTTGCTCATAATTAGATAGTCATTATTTTTAATAGTATAAAGCATTTTAATTTAAAACAAGGGGAAACATTTAATTACTCATCTAATTCACTTCCTACCAATAGAGTACAATTTCTAAGCTTTTGTCTGGCTTATTATTTCATAGACAAAAGGCATTTATTCCCTTGGGTAATTGGGGAAAAATAATCCTGTTAATTTTTACAGCCACATCCCAAATATTTTACATATTTCTATTCTTCACAGTGACGTCACCAAATTTGCATTTTAGCACTTTTAGCAGCTCTCTTACCAAATTTTTGTCTGGTTGATCTACAAAATACTAAGAGATATGTTTAAAATATTCTCTTTAGTTGTGGATTTGTCTATTTGTCCTTATAGATTTTTGCTTCTGCCAATTTTTGTTTTTCTATTTTGATGCTGTGTTCTTAGGAACATATACATTTAGAATTATTACAACTACCTGATGAATGAAATTTTTATCATTATTTAGTGACTCTCTTTACCACTACTAATGCTTTTCTTGTGTTAAAGTATTTTGCATAATATTAATATAGCCAATCAATTTTATTTTGGTTGTTATGTGCCTGATACACATTTTTATACACTTTTACTTTCAACCTTCCCATATCTTTTTGTTTAAATGTGTCTTTCATAAATAGTATATATTTAGATTTTTTTAATGCAATATGGCTTTTCTTAGTTAACTAAGCATTTTCTCCATATATATTTATCATAATTACTGATATGTTTGTATTTCTTTCAACTATAATTTATGTTTTCTTTTTTCCCTATTCCTTCTGTTTCTTTTTCTCTATATTCTCTTTTTGGGGGTGGTGGGGTGGAGATTGGTTTTCTTTATATCTAGAGAAGGCTTCTGACTTAAGTTCATATGAAGACATGCAACTAGAGTCAGATCTCTTCTTAAACTTGATTTTGAGAAAAAGGAGTAGAACAAAAAAAAAAAAAACAGAGCAAACCAGAAGAGGGAGGAAATGGTTCTTTAAAAAGTGGAAATAGATACTACCTCATACCCATTAGAAAGGCTACAATAAAGGAAGAAAACACACAGAAAATAACAAGTGGGGGTGAGGATGTGGAGAAATGAAAACCTTTGTGCACTGCTGGTGAGAATGTAAAATGTGTGCAGCCACTACGGAAACAGTGGCAGTTCTTCAAAAAAGTAATAATAGGATTACCATAGGATCCAGCAATTTCACTTCGGGTATATATCCCTCAAAATTGAAAGCAGGGTCTCACAGAGATATTGGTTCACTCATTTTCATAGCAGCATTATTTACAACAGCCAAAAGATAGAAACAACACAAGTGTGCAGAGACAGATGAATGGATAAACAGAACATGACATATGCATACAATGGAATATATTTCAAGCTTAAAAAGGAAGGAAATTCTGATACATGTTACATCATGAAGAAACGTTGAGGACATTATGCTAAGTGAAATAAGCCAGTCATTGAAGGACAAATACAGTCTGATTCCACTTATACAGAGAGAGTGCGTAGAATAGTCAAATACAGCATGATTCCACTTATGCAGCGTGCCTAAAATAGTCAAATACGGTCTGATTCCACTTATACAGCGTGCCTAGAATAGTCAAATACAGTATGATTCCACTTATACAGCATGCCTAGAATAGTCAAATACAGTCTGATTCCACTTATACAGAGTGCCTAGAATAGTCAAATACAGTCTGATTCCACTTATACAGCGTGCCTAGAATAGTCAAATACAGTCTGATTCCACTTATACAGCGTGCCTAGAAGAGTCAAATACAGTCTGATTCCACTTATACAGCGTGCCTAGAAGAGTCAAATACAGTCTGATTCCACTTATACAGTGTGCCTAGAAGAGTCAAATACAGTCTGATTCCACTTATACAGTGTGCCTAGAAGAGTCAAATACAGTCTGATTCCACTTATACAGCATGCCTAGAAGAGTCAAATACAGTCTGATTCCACTTATGCAGCGTGCCTAAAATAGTCAAATACAGTCTGATTCCACTTATACAGCGTGCCTAGAATAGTCAAATACAGTATGATTCCACTTATACAGCATGCCTAGAATAGTCAAATACAGTCTGATTCCACTTATACAGAGTGCCTAGAATAGTCAAATACAGTCTGATTCCACTTATACAGCGTGCCTAGAATAGTCAAATACAGTCTGATTCCACTTATACAGTGTGCCTAGAAGAGTCAAATACAGTCTGATTCCACTTATACAGTGTGCCTAGAAGAGTCAAATACAGTCTGATTCCACTTATACAGAGTGCTTAGAATAGTCAAATACAGTATGATTCCACTTATACAGCGTGCCTAGAATAGTCAAATACAGTCTGATTCCACTTATACAGCATGCCTAGAATAGTTTAATACAGTCTGATTGTACTTATACAGCGTGCCTAGAATACTGAAATACAGTCTGATTCCACTTATACACCGTGCCTAGAATAGTCAAATACAGTCTGATTCCACTTATACAGCATGCCTAGAATAGTTAAATACAGTCTGATTCCACTTATACAGCATGCCTAGAATAGTCAAATTCATAAAGAAAGAAAGTAGAATGGTGGTTGTTAGGAGCTGTGGGGAGGAGGAAATGTGAAGTTATTGCTTAATGAGTACAGAGTTTCAGTTTTGCAAGATGAACAAAGGTTTGAAGATGGCTTGTGGCAACAGTTGCACAACAATGTGAATGTACTTAATGCCACTAAACTGTACATTTGTAAGTTAAGATGGCAAATTTTATGTTATATGTATTTTATATGAGGTTTTTAAAAGTAGAAATGATGGGAAGAAAAAGGAAAACAGACTTTAACTCCTTTATAGTTAGCTATGACCAGCTCTAAGTCCTTTGTTTTGAGGAACTATAGCTGCTGATAGAGTGTGTTGCTATTTACATTTGCTTCTCATAACAATTCTGTTGATAGTTATTCTAATTAACCCTTGTTTTACAGAAAGGAAAGAGATGCTCAAATTCCCAACAATGGTATCTACTGGAGCTGTAACTTTGATCTAGGTTTTCCAGGTATGTGAAAACACTGCCACAGCAAGAGAGCCTACAAGCCACCATATGTCTGTGGCTTCTCACTGGTGTCAGAGGATTTGGAATCCAAGCACTTTCCACAGAACTATTGCTACAGCTTTTTGCTGACTGGTGATCCTATTTTATAATTAGGTCACTTTTCTTTTTTTTTTTTTTTTTTTTTTTGAGATGGTGTGTTCAGTGGCACAATCTTGGCTCACTGCAACCTCTGCCTCCCAGGTTCAGGCAATTCTCCTGCCTCAGCCTCCCCAGTAACTGGGATTACAGGCACCTGCCACCAAGCCTGGCTACTTTTTGTATTTTTAGTACAGACGGGGTTTTACCATGTTAGCCAGGATGGTCTCGAACTCCTGACCTCAAGTGAGCCTCCCGCCTCAGCCTCCCAAAGTGCTGGGATTACAAGCATGAGCCACCGCACCCAGCACATTTTCACTGGGTAGCGTTATTTCAAATGCATGACAAAGTTATGCAGTCTTACTGAAAGCTATGTTTGTAAACTTCCCCCAAAGCATATCTCTTTCCTTCATGTTTGGGCTGCTCCACTTCAATTCTCATAATATTGCTGTTAGTATTTGTCACATTTTCCATCCCAGTAAGGCTGTGCTGGTGATCGCATTATAGGTAAATCCAACTTGAGAAGAGTGCAGCATTAAATTTTAGTGTTGATGAAGGAGTAATCTTTTTATGTGTCTGTTTTTCTTGATTGTAAACTCTTTTTTAATTTTTATTTTATTTTTGAGCCAGGGTCTTGTTCTGTTGCCCAGGCTGGGGTGCAGTAGTGCGATCAAGGCTCACAACAGCCTCAACTTCCTGGGCTCAAGTGATCCTCCCACCTCAGCCTCCCAAGTAGCTAGGACTACAGGCCATGCCTGGGTACTTTTTGTGTTTTTTGTAGAGACGGGGTTTTGCCATGTTGCCCAGTCTGGTCTTAAACTCTTGGGCTCAAGCGATCCACACACCTCTGCCTCCCAAAGTGGATTGTAAACTGTCAATTCTTCATTATGAGCAGGGTCAATCTCCAATTCATTTTTGTATCCTCTGTCCCTCCTACAGATTCTCAAAACACTGACTATTGAGATGGTGGCTGAAGTACTGATGGAAGCATTGGTGATGATGGTAGGAGTAGGTGCAGTGGTGTTGACACCAAAGCAAATTCCAAAAGTTACAAAGAATAACGATAGCTAATATTGATATGCACTTATTCTGTCAGACACTCTCTTGAGTGCCTTACATTTATTAACCGTGAAATCCTCAAACTACGTTATGCGATAAGTTTTATGATTCCATGTTTTAGAAGAAAAAACTAAAATGCTGATACATTAATTGTTTTGACCAAGATGTCACAGATGAGTGGTATAATCAGGATTGTTTGAATCTAGTTTTGAGTCTAAAACTAGTATCTCAGTCTCTACAGTATTTTACTTTTCCAGAAAGTTGCAGACTATCACTGCTTTGTAATTTAATGTTTTCAGTCTGGCATGGTAGGAAAAGTACAAAGCTTTTGAAAGAAAGATACAAGTCCCTGCTCCATCATTTCTAATCCAGTAAGCTATTTCCTCATCTTATATAGTGAGAAATTTCTGCCCCGCCTATCTAAATTATAAGATGATCTCAGATAAAGTATTTTGCAAACTGAACATTTAATTGTAATAAATGCTGCCTTTTCTGCAGCTACTTTTGTTCTCAATAAAATTTAGTTATTTTAAGCCAATTAAAATCTCATGCTTAATGGACATTTTCCTTTTGTAGGCAGTGACTTATGCTAAAAATTTCTATCCGAATCAATATTATTACTCAACTAATATGATTTCTTATTTATTGCTAAAGGGGAAAAATCTGGCAGAGGCCACCAGCTGGGGACATCACCAATAATGGGATAAGCTGATATATGCCCCTCCTGATGTGATACTCTGAGACATAACATCTCTTATGTTATTCCTACCCAAAAATCTAATCACGAAGGACAATCAGAGAAACTTACTCTATAAAACGAATGACCTGGACTCTGCAAAAATGTCAGTATCATCAAAGACAAAAACAAACAAACAAAAAAACAAACAAAAAAAATGTGAAGAACTGTTCCAGGTTTGAAGAGACTGGAGACATAACTAAATACAGTGTGTGATCCTGAGATGGAAAAAAAATTGGCAATAAATGGCATAATTGGGACAAGTGGCAAAGTTTTAGTAGGTCGTGTATATTAGATAATATTATTGTCACAATGCTAAACATCCCGATTTTGATCATTGTATGTTCGTTAGAGAATGCCCTTATTCATAGGAGATAACACACCAGAGTATTTACAGATGAAAGGTCATAGGGGACCAGGCATGGTAGTGCATCTCTGTAATCCCAGCACTTTGGGAGTCTGAGGCAGGTGGATCGCTTGAGCTCAGGAGTTTGAGACCAGCCTGAGCAACACGATAAAACTCTGCCTCTGCAAAGAACACAAAAATTATCCAGGCATCATGGCATGCCTGGAGTCCCAGCTACTCTGGAGGCTGAGGTGAGAGGATCGTTTGAACCCAGGGGTGTCAAGGCGGCGGCGAGCCGAGATCGTGCCACTGCACTCGAGCCTGGGTAACAAGGTGAGACCCTGTCTGAAAAAAAGAAGAAAGAAAGAAAAGGAGGGAGGGAGAGAACAAGAGAAAAAAAGGAGAGAGAAAGAAAGAATCATGATGGCTGTAATTTACTCTCAATGGGCTCACCAAAAAAAATATATATTAATAATATAAAAATACCACATACTTATGTATGGTTAAGACACCACATTGGGATAAAAATTAATAAAGTCAAATATGAAAATGTCAGATGAAAGAAAAAACATCTAGTAACTGGCCTCTGAGTTAGAAAGAAAGAAAAAATAGTTTTATTTGCACACAGTGGTACTTATTTTCCACAAATATTCCAGGAATCAGAGAAATCTAAATACAGGTCAGATGTAAAACAACAATCAAAGCTGCTGAATATTAGAAGAATTCCGATGGCACGTTGGAGAATCCAACTCATGTTTTGAATCCACTACATCCCCCAGGGATATCTATGGTCAGTACACAGCGTGGTAGGAAAAGTCCAAAACTTTGGAAAGAAAGAAAAATCCTCCATCATTTACTAATTGGGTGAGTTACTTGCGGTTAGCAGTTGAGCTGAACACAATTCCCCCATCTCTGGCAACTACTCCCAATACACACGATACCCGGTGGGCCCCGATGCCAAGGCCAAAGGGGGATTCTTAACCCAGACTGAGCCAGCCAGATCTTCTTGTGCGCCCAAGTATGCATATGCCCGTGTTCGTGTGTGTGCGCGCCCGTGTTTGTTCGCGTATGTGCCTGTTCGCGTGTGTGCACGAGCGTCTGTGTATGCGCGCATGTTCGTGTGTGTGTGCGCGCGCGCATTGGTACATCTAATACCTGAAAGTCCCCAGTACCTAAGTAACTCCTGGGAGTAAATGAGTAGATGCATTCAGGAACAACTGAATTACCAACGTTTCTGGATTACTTCGCAACGAAAGGGCCGGTGACTCTACTCCGGGCTGGCCCTCCTCCTGCCACATCAGATTTTCCAGAAATTGCTCCGAAGCACACTTCAGTAGCTAAGCAGGGAAAGTTAAATGAAGGAATTCTTTGCTCCCAGGGGTGGCGGGGAGGAACTGCCCGGCCACAGTCTTTCGAATGTCACCGGTTTAAATGGTCAGAGAAGCAGAGTGGCACAACCTAAAATTCAGACGCGCTCCGCAAACTCCGGTCCTGCCCATCCCCTCCTGAAATCAGCGCCCTGGCAGTCCCAGGCCACAGCCCTCGCGGGCACAGAGCTGCTCTGATTCTGCCCACGCCTCCGGGAGGAAAAGGGTGCAAATCAGGGGCGCCTCGGCCCCTCCTGGGTCGTCTATCCCCAGGGCCACCCCCGCGCGCGGCCGGCGGCTGGGACCGTACCTCGGGCGCTGGCGAAGCGGCACCCAGCGCGATATGGCTGGTGCAGTCCAGGCTCATGACGACCCGAGCCCGGGGGCGCGCTCGGACCCGGAACCGGCCCTGAGGAAGCGGCGGCGCCGGGAGCCGGCGGGTGGCGCGGGTGTCTCCTCGGGCAACGGGTAAACACCGCGGGGACGCGGCGGCGCGCGGCTGCGCGCGAGTAGGGTGGCCCGGCCGCAGGAGGCCGGGGTGGACCCCGAACCCCCGAGCGTGGCCTCCGTGGCGAGGGCCTGCAACTGAGCGGCCGAAACTGCCAGGGCGACCTGGGGGGAGTCGGCGGGGATAACGGTCGGTCCTCCCGGTGGGACTCTGCAGTGAATGCAATTCCAGGCCTCATCCTTATGTCAGCGATAAATACAGCCAGTGGGCACTGTGAACGGTGCTGGCGCGAGTGAGGCATAGGAAACTTCACAAGGGTGAACGGAGCATTTATTTAGCACACACTGTGTGCAAATGTGTCTGCGAGCGTGCAACCTGTGCAGGTCCGGGTCCTGCGCTTGGTTTAATACTCAGCTGTCCCAGTCTTGACGTTTTTAGGAAGTTTTGAACAAGGTGTCCTGCATTTTCATTCTGTACCGGGGTCCACAAATTATGTAGCCTGCCCTGGTGTGCGTTCTTTCATTTCACCTTCTCAACAACCCTGCCTGGAAGTACGGGTACTAGTAATACCAGTGTTAGTAACAGCCACAGCTGCTCATTATGAAATACTCGTGCTCGTCCATGCACTGTTCTAAGTGCTTCCCACGTATGATCAATCTCCTTAAATGAAACAAGATTATGAAGTGGATGTTAGAATAATCCATCTGCAAGACAAGGCAACAGTCACAGGGAAATAAAATAAAATTTCCAAGATGTACAGGGTAAGTGGTAGAATGAAGATCAGGCTCCAGATCATAACACTAAAGCACAGAGAAGATGAGTAACTTGTTTAAGGTCCCACAATTTGTAGCAGAATCTGAAAATGGAATCTGCATTCACCTCACTTTAAAGCTTTTGGTGGGCCAGGCGCGGTGGCTCACTCCTGTAATCCCAACACTTTTGGGAGGCTGAGATGGGTGGATCACTTGAGGTCAGGAGTTTGAGACCAGCCTGGCCAAGAAGGTGAAACCCTGTCTCTACTAAAAATACAAAAATTAGCCGGGCGTGGTAGCGGACACCTGTAATACAGCTATTTGAGAGGCTGAGGCAGGGAAAATCATTTGAACCTGGGAGGCAGAGGTTGCAGTGAGCCAAGATTGAGCCACTGCACTCCAGCCTGGGTGACAGAGCAAGAATCTGCCTCAAAAAAAAAAAAAAAAAAAAAGAAAAAAGCCTTTAGTAGACTCCTATGCTGTTTGAGACACATGAAATCAAACAGGTGGGAGGATTGCTTGAGGCCAGGAGTTTGAGACCAGCCTGGGCAATACAGCAAGACTCTATCTCTACAAGTTTTTTTTTTTTTTTTTTAAATTAGCCAGGCATGGTGGTGCACACCTGTAGTCCTAGCTACTCAGAAGGCTAAGGCGGGGCCAGGTGAGGTGGCTCATACCTATAATCCCAGTACTTTGGGAGGCTGAGGCAGGTGGATCACCTGAGGTCAGGAGTTCGAGACCAGCCTGGCCAACATAGTGAAACCCTGTCTCTACTAAAAATACAAAAATTAGCTAGGTGTGGTGGCACATGCCTGTAATCCCAGCTACTTGGGAGGCTGAGGCAGGAGAATCGCTTGAACCTGGGAGGCGGAGGTTGCAATAAGCTGAGATAGCACCACTGTACTCCAGCCTGGGTGACAGAGCAAGACGCCATCTTAAAAAAAAAAAAAAAAAAGAAAGCTAAAGCAGGAGGATAGCTTTGAGCCCAGGAGGTCAAGGCTGCAGTGAGCTATGATCACCACTGCACTCCAGCCTGGGCGACAGAGCAAGAGCATGTCTCTAAAGACAACACAAAAAGGCAAAATCAGAGCTATGGCAGCTTTTCTTGGATTCCATCAGTCATCCTATGTGCATTCATATTGACCCTGAGGATTTCTTCATCTGGACAATGGCTTTTGAGCTCACGGTAACTTTGCCATATATCTAATCCAGAATCATCTCAAGGCTTTCACTTGATGCACCGTTAAAGAAAAAGTTCTTAATGAAAACTTAGGCTTTCAGAAATCTCCTATTAATAGTACAATTTGGAGTAAACACATTTTTAAGTTGTAGTTTTTCCTTGCAGTAGAACCACTACAAACTTGTCAAATTTTCTTTTCTTTTTTTTTTTCAAACAGAGTTTCGCTCGTTACCTAGGCTGGAGTTCAATGGAGCGATCTCTGCTCACTGCAAACTCCGCCCCCTGGATTCAAGCGATTCTCCTGCCTCAGCCTCCCGACTAGCTGGGATTACAGGCATGTGCCACCACACCCTGCTAATTTTGTATTTTTAGTAGAGACAGGGTTTCACCATGTTGGCCAAGCTGGTCTCGAAGTCCTGACCTCAGGTGATCTACCTGCCTCCACCTCTCAAAGTGCTGGGATTACAGGCGTGAGCCACTGCGCCCGGCCAAACTTGTTAAATTTTCAATGAACCAACACTGCCAGAGGAAACACAAAATTGATGAAAACTCAAGACACCTGGAAGAGAACCAGATGGAAATCCTTCTCCATTAACTCTAATCCAATTGTTTAAGAATCCCATGTCATAAAGCCTAATTCTGCTCAGTTTGGTCAACCTTGTAGCTCTTATTCATGAGAATAGAAGATATAAATTTGCAGTCTTTAAAAATCAGCATGAAACAGATTTTTCTCTGTATAAAACAATGTGATTTTGTGGTAACTGGAGGCAGAAAAAGTACTTGGCTCAGCCCTCCCCAGATGCCTTTGAGATTTCTGGGATATCAAGACATGAGCCAAGTGACTCTTCAAGCAGCATCTGATGATGTGATGACGTCAAAGAAGTTGAGCTGGGGGGACCCCGAGGTCTGGACCTTGGAGGAGATGACGATTTGGGCTAGCTGGGACCATGGTGGTAGAACATTTCAGGCTGGGAGTTGGAGGGGGGCGGTCTCTAGGTCTGATAACAGTTTAAGCAAAGGAGGGAAGAAAAAATGTACAAACAAGTTCCAGTCCAGACCTCTCACAAAACCCCGTGTGTGGGCAGCACCGTGTGGCCCACAATACCTCCGTACAGACCTCTGTTTTGGAGTTTTCTTGTGGTGTCGTAAGTTTAGAACTCTGGTTTCCTCCTTTTGCTTGTTTGCTTGTTTGTTTTACAGATGTACATGTTTCTCACGGGAACATTTGTAATATGATAACTTTTGGAGCTTTTGACTTCCGATTGAAAACTTGTCACTGAAATCACTCCTATGACATTTTAATTGTCTAAAGGTTGTTTAAAAGAGTAGGCTTAATTTTAGTATTTTCCTAAACACTTGCTGTGATCTAAATGTTGGTGCTCGCCACCCCAAATTCATTTGTTGGAACCTAATACCCATTGTGATAGTGCTAAGAAGTGGGGCCTTTGGGAAATGATGAAGTCATGGGGGCACCACCCTCATGATTGACATTAGCCCTTCTAAAAGTGGCTCGGATTTGTTAAAGGATACAAAGTGACAGCTAGACAAGGGGAATCAGTTCTAGTGTTCCATACCACTGTTTGATGACTACTGTTCACTATAGTACATTATATAGTTTCACATAGCTAGAAGGAGGATATTGAATGTTCCTAATACAAAGAAATAATAAATGTTTGAGATGATGGATCTGCTAATTATCCTGGTCACTATATATTATTTGTATCAAAACTTCACTATGAATCCCATAAATATATACAATCATATGTCAATTTAAAAAACACATTAAAATTTTTAGCCGGCGCAGTGGCTCACGCCTGTAATCCCAGCACTTTGGGAGGACAAGGCAGGCGGATCATGAGGTCAGGAGATCAAGACCATCCTGGCTAACACGGTGAAACCCCGTCTCTACTAAAAATACAAAAAATTAGCCGGGTGTGGTGGCAGGCGCCTGTAGTCCCAGCTGCTTGGGAGGCTGAGGCAGGAGAATGGTGTGATCCTGGGAGGTAGAGCTTGTAGTGAGCCGAGATTGCACCACTGCACTGCAGCCTGGGCGACAGAGTGAGACGCCATCTCAAAAAAAAAAAAAAAAAAATTAAAATTTTTAAATGAAGAAAAAATTTTCAAAAGCAAAATTCTTTCTTAAAAAGACATATCTATCTATATCTATATATAAAGCAACATTTCTGAAACTTAAAAAATGTGGCTTGAGTGAGCTCCCTTGCTTCTTCCTCCATGTGAGGATATAGCAAGACAGGCCGGGCATGGTGGCTCAGGCTTGTAATTTCAGCACTTTGGGAGGCCAAGGTGGCCAGATCACCTGAGGTCGGGAGTTCAAGACCAGCCTGAAACCCCATCTCTACAAAAAATTAGCCAGGCGTGGTGGCGGCTGCCTATAATCCCAGCTACTCAGGAAGGATGATACACGAGAATCACTTGAACCCGGGAGGCAGAGGCTGTAGTGAGCCAAGATTGCGCCACTGCACTCTAGCTAAGTGACAAAGCTAGACTCCGTCTCAAAAAAAAAAAAGAGGACACCGCAAGAAGGTGCCATCCATCCATAAGGAACAGGAGGAGCTCACCAGGCACCAATCTGTTGGCTCCTTGATCTTGGGCTTTCTGGCCTCCAGAACTGTGAGAAATAAATGTCTATTGTTTATAAATTCCCCAGTCTAAGGTATTTTTGTTATAGCAGCCTGAATGGACTAAGTCCTAGCTGAACGAAATGTTCTCAAAACCTGCAAGCAGCTCCTTCAGTCATCTACCAGAAGATTACTTGGTGAAGTACAGACCACTGAAACCTGCTATTCCAAGCGAGTGGCAGCTCTTAAAGGTCTTTAAAGCCATTCTCAGTCCTTTCCTAGACTTGTTTCACTTGTTTGCTGATCCTGATTTATCTAATAAATGAACACTCTTCAGCAATGACTTTAATTCATCCTAAAACAGATCCCCGTCCCTTATTTGTTCTATTGTGACATAAAGTTGGTTGTCAAACAATTTGTCAGTGTCATTTCCAAAGATTTTCATACATTTCATTTCATTTATTTTAAGGTCCATTTTCTATCTTTCCCCATACATATGACTGTTTCCAATATATTTTTACACCTAAAATAAATGTGATCCATCTTATAACTTTATTATACGCTAAGCTTAGAGAACCACTGAGAGCTCACTTTATGAAAAATAAACTGAAAGACCTTCAGTTTCACTATTAAGGTAAATCACAATTGTTCTTTTAAAAAACATCTTATCAAAAATGTAAAGTACATTTCAAGACATTTTAGTTGGGTAAATATAAGGTTCTAAAAAACACCTACAATAAACATATTTTTCTGGTCCTATATGATGTTTATTTGACTGTAAATTCAATACATTTGAATTCTGTTTTAATTGGTATTTTCTTAACTAGTCAAAAAGATTTGTTGTATATAATATAATACCACCATTCATGGTCTTACTGAAGTGATCTTTCAGTTGTGAAATTGCAAGTTTAAAATACTTTAATATTCTTGGAAAAATTTAGAGGGATAAACTGGGCAATCAATGTTAACATTTTTCTGTTCTAGGAGGAGAAAGCACTTTCTAGCAAAGGACTGCCAGAAGGACCACATCACATGTTTTTTTTATAGGAAAAGTGTCAACCAATCGGGAGGATTATGGAAAGTCTGGGGTGAAGCAAGAGCTCCACGAGCCTTCTTTGAATCCTCTGTCCTCTGAATCACCTGGCAGCCAATTATTCCTAAAGTTTTTTTCCCTTTGGGGGTTTCCCTAGAAGAGCTGAAGTCTACTACTAATAAGAACATAATTAGTTTGGGGGATGAATAACATTTTTCTTCACTAAGGCTCAAAGTTAGTGTTTCCTATCATCAAAATTTATTCCTAATTTCCACTTTTTGTTGTTGTTGTTGCCCAGGCTGGAGTGCAGTGGCACAATCTCAGCTCACCGCAACCTCCACCTCCTGGGTTCAAGTGATTCTCCTGACTCAGCCTCCCGAGTAGCTGGGATTACAGGCATGCGCCACCATGCCTGGCTAATTTTGTATTTTTAGTAGAGACGGGGTTTCTCCACGTTGGTCAGGCTGGTCTCGAACTTCCAACCTCAGGTGATCCACCTGCCTCGGCCTCCCAAAGTGCTGGGATTACAGGCATGAGCCACCACACCTGGCCAAATTTCCACTTCTTAATGCTTATCTGGAATGAAAATTTACATGTTTCATCTTTAAAAATGTCATTCACACAGATGGGTACTGCTAACTATTGCTTTCATTTCATAAGCATGTGATTTAAATTGAGCATATTAATCACTCAGAAGGCATCTATAAAATTACCTTAGATTTTTATGTTGATATTTATCTTTTAGCATGTCATTACGCTGCAGATTAAAAGCCTCCAGTTGAAGGTTAGATGGAAGCTCCTCAACTACAGTTGAATATTAATATATTTTTGAAATATGGGAATTTCCTTTGCATGTGCATTGAGGGCTGAATATTTGTGTGAGAATGAAGATTTCACATCTTGTTTTAAATTTCATCAGCATAGAAAGGATATAGGACAGCTTGACAGCCTGTACTTAGAACAACATTAGCAGTTATTGCATATAGTACTGTCTTACCTTGTAATTATACCTTGAGTTGATTAATAAATATTACCAACTCTACAGCAAAAGCTAATTTCCAAAGCCATTCAGTATTCAATAATACTGACTGAAGGCTGTGTTTCTTATTTGGAAAAACTTTCCATCTCAGCCCTGAGTTCAAAAAATTGAAATGAAACATTGTCACCACTGATCCATCAAATTTCTGTGCATCAGAGCAAGTCAGGATATATGGTTTCTATTTCCAGCAAAAACTTGTAGAAGTGACAATGGTTAAGTCCACAAGAGCGATGAAGTTCAACATTTACACTACTGACTTAATAATGCCTGATAAATACAAATATTTTCTGTGATGTGTTTGCTGATGAATAATATCATGAAAAACCACAGGCTTTTCATTTTCAAAAGCTTTGTAAATGTACCCAATTAAACCCTTTTCTGGTGAACACATATTTTTACCGTCATCAGTTTTAACACATCTTATCAGATTCTACTTCAGATTGTACTGAGTTCGTGTTTTCTGTTTCTATTAAAATATTCTCACCTGTATTCTCTCCACACAGGCTTTTTTTGATTACTTCAGTCTTAGCACTGATATTTCAAATAACAACTGCTCAGTATTGTTAACATTTGTGAACTTGTCAAGAGCCAAAGAAAATCATTTGCCTTGTTTTTAAGGCAAAAATATGTTCATGTTGCTCCCAACATCCTCAACCCTGAACAACCAGTCTCACTGAAAGGCAAGTTTATCTTCTCTAAGAGCACGTTTCTTTGGCTGCAGCAATTAAACATGATTTAATGAACTCAACATTGGTAAATGGCTCTCTTTGCCTGGCTAATAAATTAACCACTCAGAAACTGACTTTGGTTGCGGCCTCATTTTATCTTTTATTTTTGTGAGACAGTTCTGCTGTGGTCAGATATTCCATTTTAAATTTTCTAATTTTTCTAACTGTTACTTTTCTGTGAGTTAAGGATATTATAACAAGTGCTTAGTCTAGTTATGTCAATGTCTAAGTATTCTTTTAGCACATCTATAGTGTCATGTTTATAGTAAACATAATGCTTTGGCATTTAATTCTACAAATATAATCTACTATCCACTGTCTTAAAAGCATGACATCCAAAATCCACGTTTCTTGTATTAACATGATGAGTAAGCTCTGGTAATTTTAAAAGTAAAGTAAATGTCACCATAGTACAATACATACGGTACTTTACCAAACACGGTAGAGTTATAACTGTACCCCTATTATTTGTGATTTGTGGATGAGCAGGGCAAAATGATAAGAGCACCACATGTAGTCTCTTTTGCAGCCCCTCAATCCTGCTGTTTGAGTGTGAAAGTAACCAGAGACAAAACATAAACAAATGTGGCTATGTTCCTATAAAACTACCTATAGACCCCAAAATTTGAATTTTATGTCACTTATCTTCATGTGTCACAAGATATTATTATTCTTTTTTTTAAAAACCAACCAAAAATTTAAAACTGACTCTTAGCTTATGGGCCATATAAAAACAGGTAACTATGGGCCATAGTTTGCCAACCCCTGGTCTAGGTCAAAGTTTAGGATATGGGTACATTTTTCAATTGGAATCAACTTAAGCTAAATTATTTAGTAAATGATTGCATAGGTAGTATTCAGATACAGCAAAAGTCATACAGATGATAGAGGAATGACTAACACTTGGAGAACACCATACAGGGAAACAATGGAATTACCCAGCAGTGCTGAGTGAGCCCTTGAGGTTTATGGTAATGATTTTAAAATGAAACCAGTCAGCTCAATTGTATGATTTTTCTCCTATATGTTTCCATTGTTTGAGAAAATGGAACATAGTTACCTTCAGCCAAGGTCAGGGTTATGCCAGGAAAGTAAGATAGAGAGAGGAACAAGGTAATTGATTGTATTTACAAGGGAGTCATTATAATGATGGATCATAGAATTTAAGCTGGATAGTCAAGAAAATGAAGAGAGGAAGAAAATAAAGGAATATAGGAGTTTGAAAAAATAGAACAGGATCAATGACTGAGAGGTCCTGATGAGGTCAGAGCATTGTTGCAATGGGGCTATTCCAGTTAAGGGAATTGAAAGGAGAGTCGGTGGTGGGCAGAGTAGGATGCTTAAAACCAGAGATAGTGCAGTTCCTGGCCTAGGCTGTAACCATGGGAATAGGTGGCTCAGTTGAAATATTGCAAAAAAAAATCATTGATTCTGAGGCATGTCATCAACGAACTGAATGGCCAAGATTTTGGATGGGTCGCATAGCTGGATGCTGATGTCACCAAGGATGTTGACAGAGGAAGACAGCTAAGAGCAAAAGTCTTCAATAGATGTAGTACTTAAAAATTAGAGGCTGGGCACGGTGGCTTATGCCTGTAATCCCAGCACTTTGGGAGGCCAAGGCGGGCAGATCACCTGAGGTCAGGAGTTCAAAACCAGTCTGGCCAAAATGGTGAAACCCCATCTCTACTAAAAATACAAAAAAATTAGCCAGGTGTGGTGGCAGGCACCTGTATTCCCAGCTACGTGGGAGGCTGAGGCAGGAGAATTGCTTGAGCCCAAGAGGCAGAGGTTGCAGCGAGCTAAGATTGTGCCACTGAACTCCAGCCTGGGTGACAAGACTGAAACTCTGCCTCAGAAAAAAAAAAAAAACAATTAGAGCTGATCCATGGAGTTGGCAGCTTTTTCCTACACAAAAACTAGCCTTCCTTTTTGGTAGCTGGAAATAACAGATTGCCCAGTGAAATTGTTGTGGTGTAAAACATTTTCCCTGCTTTAACCAAGTTGCCAAACAGTAGATTAACCCTTAATTTAAAATGTATTATAAATGAGATCTGGTTTCATATATATGAAAACGAAAACCAAAAATACAGAAAGTATACGAGAGATCTCTTTTCTTTTTTTTGCTCAAGAACTACAATGTCCTTTTAAAAAAATACTGAAAGCTGGCGAGGTGTGGTTGCTCACACCAGTAATCTCAGTGCTTTAAGAGGCTCAGGTGGGAGGGTGGCTTGAGCCCAGTAGTTCGAGGTTACAGTGAGCCAAGATCGTGCCACTGCACTCCAGCCTAGGTGACACACGGAGACTATCTCTAAAAATAAAAATTAAAAAACTGAAAGTCCTTGGATTTACCCCTGGACTTGAAGGCCCTCTAACAGTGGTTAAGTAGACACACCCTGGAGTAAGGGTGTCTGGGTTCAAATCCTGTCTTTGCCATTTCTGAATTCCCTGATCTTGGATAAGCTTCTCAACCTCCTAGGGCCTATCCCTCATCTGTAACATAGAAGTAATAGCAGTGCATAATCCATGTGGTTGCTTTGAAGATTAAGTTATGTAATGTATGTAAAATGCTTAGTCTGCAGAACCTAGGACAAAGTACAAAATAAGTATGAGCTATTAGCATTGCTCTTCTAAAACACAGAGCAGAGAATTCTCCCATAAGACACCACAAAGAAGGGCTAGCAAAGCAAAGTGTTTACTCTTACTCTAAATTATTCTGAAATTTGGAAGATCTTTGGCTTAATTTTTTTTAACTACTCAGTATGTAAGAATACATTTTTGAAGCATTTTCTTTACTTTTGGAAAATAGGAATTTTAGAAAGGGGTTGGAGCAACAAAGAGATGCCTTGCCTCCAGGAACTTAGAACTATCAATTGGACTATGGGCCAGGCGTGATGGCTTACGCCTGAAATCCCAGCACTTTGAGAGGCCGAAGTGGGAGGATCACCTGAGTCCAGGAGTTTGAGACTGCAGTGAACTATGACAGGCCAGTGCACTCCAGCCTTGGTGACAGAGCGAGACCCTGTCTCAAATAAATAAATAAATGAAATAAAATCAATCAATCAATTGGCCTCATATGGTTAAACCAAAGCAGAGGTATCCCAAACATCTTATAAAGACACGCTATCTCCCCAGCCAAGACAGAAATTTAACTAAATATATGAATACGTATAAGAAAAGCATATGATAATCACAAGACAGATTATTTCACAATGGAAACTGTTTGGGGAGCGGGGAAGGCTGAGAAGATAGTGGACCTCAAATGCCAATGTCTTGTCCATTTAATAGCTCAGTTTCTCATCTAAATTCATAAAAATCAAGATTTCACCCTCAAAGCCTGCAAGCCTGTGGCTACAAAGCCCTCCCCAGGACTCGTCTTCCCTCAGGATCCCTGTCCATTCACAGGATGTGCCCGTGAGCCGTCAATAGAACAGGACGTTAAGGTTGCCGTTATGACCATTGTGATGGTTAATACTGAGTGTCAACTTGATGGGATTGAAGGACGCAAAGTATTGAGCCCGATGTGTCTGTGAGGGTGTTGCCAAAGGAGATTAACATTTGAGTCAGTGGGCTAGGGAAGGCAGACCTACCCTTAACCTGGGTGGGCACCATCTAATCAGCTGCCAGCAAATATAAAGCAGGCAGAAAAACATGAAAAGGCTAGACTGGCTTAGCCTCACAGCCTACATCTTTCTCCTGTGCTGGATGCTTCCTGCACTCAAACATCGCACTCCCAAGTTCTTCAGCCTTGAGACTTGGACTGGCTTCCTTGCTCCTCAGCTTGCAGATGGCCTGTTGTGGGACCTTGTGATCGTGTGAGTTAATACTCCTTAATAAACTCCATACATATATGTATATATCCTATTAGTTCTGTCCCTCTAGGGGACCCTGACTAACACAACCACCAAAGCGAGGTTACTCAGGATTATTCTAAGGTAGCAATGAGAAAATGATATTGCTCCCACACGTTGAAGTTCTAGAAAGACCAACGGTAAAATTCCTCCAAAAAGATGATAACTTGACTAACATTCCGTTAAAATCAACCTCAAAAGTAAACATGGTTTCTAAACGAAAGAAAAAAGACAGCTTCTTCCGGATCTTTAAAATGCCCTTATTAGTTTGGAAAATCTTATGGCTTTGGGTGGTGGGAGGGGTTAGTGTGGGATTTTCCTGACCCCATTTTAGACATGTGTCAGATTTCTTTTAAAATTGCGCCAACTTTCTTTCAAAAAGCAACAAATACTTCTTGTTTTTAAAAGCTGAGAGCAACGACTGTTTCTCATATGTACTTACTGCCCTGGATTCCCCGTGTTGATTCTAACTTCCTGCTGAGGTTTCACAAAAGCATTCAAAAACATTTCAGTAAGTTTTCTGATTCAGACCAGGCTGGATTTTTATTACCAGTTGAAGTTTAGCCAATCCTATATATATATATATATGTGTGTGTATATATATATATATATATATATATATATATATATATATATATATATATATATATGTATGTATGTATATATAAAGTGATTCTCATCTGCCCCTCTCAGAAACATCATCATCATAAATTAGTCTAACTTTTGGAAAGATGTTTTATCTTCTGCTGATTTCACAGATTTAACCTCAATTAAAATACCCTATTTATAAACTTGCATTACTGGCCATAAATGTATTTGGTCTGTAAAACTTCCTCTTATAAAAGAGAGAAGGAAGCAAGACACAGGAAGCTGAGCAATCAGCTAATGATTTTTTTTAAAAAATGAACACCTCAGCCTTCCCAGAGACAGATGTCCCTTGAGATAGCTCCTAAAAGTGTTATCACTAGATACAAAACACTGATTTAAGACCATCAACTGCTTCTATTTCATCTGATAAATCAGCCTGCTGAATACAGACCACTGATCAGAGTGTACAGTGAGTTAAAGAGAGAGTAAAAGGTACTCAACTCTGTCTTCAAGGATGTTCAGATTAACGAGGAATGATGAGATTCATAAAAGAGAAAAAACAAAATCCTCTCACCTTGGCCTCCCAAAGTGCTGGGATTACAGGCATGAGCCACCTCGCCCAGCTGACTTCTTAATTTTTTGTAGAGACAGGATCTCACTATGTTGCCCAGGCTTGTCTCAAACTTCTGGCTCCAAGCAATCTTCCCACCTTGGCCTCCCAAAGTGCTGGCATTAGCCACTGTGCCCAGCCTAGCCCTTACTCCTTTTAAAGCCAATGAAACTTTGTTCAATTGGAGTCTTTTTCAGGAGCCCAGTATTTAGAACAGATCAATTTGGAGATCCCTCTGTTGACCTTGTAAACAAAGGGTGAGGCTCTAGAGTCCCACTAACATCCTTCTCCATGACCTCCATTGTCCATGCCACCCAAAGTCCCCAAAGTACCTCCACAGAACGCTTAGTGCTCAGAAAAGCACAGGTTGAAAACCAACAACCGATAGGACAAAGTCTATGTTTTCAGAGTTGCATTTCTGATCTCTGGGAGATCTTATTATTCGTCCTTAAATAGTAATCTCTGGGACCACAGAAAGGGCAGAAGACTTGGAAGTCATTGGGTTCAAGTGCCAACCCAGCCACTTACTAGCTGTGTGGACCTGATTGAAGCTCTATTGCCTCACAGATCAAGTAAGTGTAATAATACCTATGTCATAGTGTTCTTATGGTATACATATGAATTTTTTAATAAAGTATGAAATACTTTGCAAAACGTATGATAGAGTGCTATTTTTATGGGAGGTGACGTAGGTGGTGGCAAAAACAATAGGCTGGGACCCCTTGACCTTGTTCAAATACAGGTTCTGCCATTTGTTACCACTGGCAAGTGTCTTATTCTGAGTCGTGTTATTTCATGTGTAAAATGCAGTAAATAGAGCATTGCATCCAGACACGAAAACCTCCAAAGGAAGAAGGGGGATGTCTCTTCATAAGCTGTTTTGTAAGAGCAAGATGATGTTTCCCAGAAGCATCCAGTGACCTTGCCTCACCTTGGCTAGAACTGCATCCCACCCGTAAAGCAATCATTGGGAAGCGGGGGTGGTATCAACACGGGGAAGGATCCCCAGACAAGATGGTGTCTGCGCCAGCAAAAGACAAAGAAAAAGACTTTTGTATAGTCATTCAACAATGTTCGCTTCAATTTCTACCCTTGGAGTCCTGCTGCTAGGCCAGACCCCTCAATGCTACAAAATACTCCTCCATTCCATGAAGAATTTCTATATATAGTGTCAACAGTCTACAATGTGAAATTTTTTCAATGGATTATTATTTTATTTTTTTTTTGAGACAGAGTCTCACTCTGTCGCCCAGGCTGGAGTGCAATGGCGCAATCTCAGCTCACTGCAACCTCTGCCTCCCAGGTTCAAGTGATTCTCCTGCCTCAGCCTCCCCAGTAGCTGGGATTCCAGGCGCACACCACCACACCTGGCTAATTTTTGTATTTTTAGTAGAGACGGGCTTTCATCATGTTGGCCAGTCTGGTCTCAAACTCCTGACCTCGTGATCCATTCGCCTTAGCCTTCCAAAGTGCTGGGATTACAGGCGTGAGCCACCATGCCCGGCCAATGGATTCTTTTACCTGAAAATAAGTTCTAGCCTTTGGTTCTTCCTTACTAATACATTTAATTATATCTTCACGATTTGTCTTATAGAAACCATTTTAAACTTCCCATAAAAGCAGTAAACTTGCAAAAGTGTGTTGTTGTATAAGAGATACCACCAACTGGCCGGGCGCAGTGGCTCACGCCTGTAATCCCAGCACTTTGGGAGGCCAAGACGGGCAGATCACAAGATCAGGAGTTCAAGACCAGCCTGACCAACATGGTGAAACCCTGTCTTTACTAAAAATACAAAAATTAGCTGGGCGTGGTGGCGCGCGCCTGTAATCCCAGCTACTCAGGAGGCTGAGGCAGGAGAATCTCTTGGACCTGGGAGGCAGACGTTGCAGTGAGTGGAGATTGTGCCACTGCACTCCAGCCTGGGCGACAAAGCGAGACTCCATCTTGGGGAAAAAAAAAAGGAGAGAGAGAGATACCACCAACCTGCCCAATGTGGAGGTGGGAGTCATCACTTTATGGATGGAAGTCAAGATGGGACTTAGCCAATACTTCAATGAGTTCAACAGATTAGCAGAGAGAAAAAGTAGAGTTTTCCATGAAGAAAAAAAATGACATAAGCTAAGTAGGAAGAAGGAAGTAGAATTTTCTACAAAGATAAAGTGCCAACTTTTGTGCAAGGTCAAATAGGATTGCTTGGTGCATGGCAAAAAGCACAAGCAATTAGATCCTAAAATCACACACAGAGCTAAAAGTGAGTTTTCTGCTTATATATAAGAACATTAAGTAGCAAAATGAATGAAAAGCTAGCTAGATTTTGTGACCTATCTTCAAATTACATACTTATTTAGTAACAGAGCTGGGACTGGAAGGACGCTTGCCCAAGTTATTGACTCTTTGAATTCATCTCAATAATGGAAGTGGCTGATGAGTCTTCTCCAAGACCACAATTATTTGGATTTCAGTGGTTCAAATCACATTCCATTTGAGAAATGATGAGAAAAAATAAAAAATAAAAATGGAAAATTAATGCATACTTTTACAGATTCATGTGAAGTTGGACCTCATTTAGTTTTAAACAGTTTATCAGTAATGTTATCAAAGATAAGGCAGGAATTAGATTGATTTATACAAGTAGAATTTTGGATTTCAAGTTGAGAGCAAAACACAAATTTTCTATCATCCATTTGGTTAGAAGAGTGAGCCAGTGCGTCCTGGTCAAATCATTTCCACCTGTTCACAAAAACCATTTCCCTCCAAAATCTTACTCACTGGCTTCCAGCTGCTTGGTGGCCCGAAACGTCCTTTTCAATTGTAAAAATCCTCTTAATAATAGGTTAAGGATGACTCAATCCTTGTACACATGTGAAATCTTCTGTTTCTTTTAAAGATCTTTTGACGGCATGGAGCTGGACAAGAAAGGCTTCGCATTAAGTGAAATTTGAGATGGAAAGAAAAAAGTACACTATAATGCATCTCCTCTTTGATTCAAAAAATTAAATAAATGGGATGGGCGCAGTGGCTCACTCCTGTAATCCCAACACTTTGGGAGGCCGAGGCAGGTGGATCACGAGGTCAGAAGTTCAAGACAAGCCTGACCAACATGGTGAAACCCCGTCTCTACTAAAAATACAAAAATTAGCCAGATGTGGTGGCGCTTGCCTGTAGCCCCAGCTACTCAGGGGGCTGAGGCAGAATAATCGCTTGAACCCAGGAGGCGGAGGTTGCAGTGAGCCGAGATCGCGCCACTGCACTCCAGCCTGGGTGACAAAGCAAGACTCCGTCTCATAAATAAATAAATAAATAAATAAATAAAATCAGTCATGCCTTTCATCAACTTTGTGAAAAGGAAAGAGAATTGGGGGAAAAGGAAAAAAAAAAACAGAGCACATGTTCATAACTGTTTTTGTGCCATGGACTCCTCCAAATAAAGTGTGTAAATGCCTTAAATAAACAACGCAAAGGGAAATTTTACATAGAAATAGTTAACAAAACATTAAAAACAAAAATCTGTGGCCAGGTGTGGTGGCTCACACCTGTAATCCAGCACTTTGGTAGGCCGAGGCAAGTGGATCCACCTGAAGCCAGGAGCTTGAGACCAGCCTGGCCAGCACGGTAAAACCCTGTCTCAACTAAAAATACAAAATTAGCCGGGCATGGTGGCCAGCACCTGTAATCCCAGCTACTCGAGAGGCTCAGGCAGGAGAATTGCTTGAACCAGGAGGCAGAAGTTGCAGTGAGCCGAGATCGCGCCGCTGCACCCCAGCCGGAGCGACAGAACGAGACTTTGTCTCAAAATAAATAAATAAATAAATAAAAACGAGAGGAAAAAGCAGTTTCCCTCCCCATGATAAACAGTTACTTGATATTGACAACTTGGGGCTATGAGTCTAATGCAAACACTATTCTAGGTGGACTAGAGTAACCGGGTGGCTCTTAATAATTAGCAGTATCTGAAGACTTTAGTTGTCCGAAGATGTTCGTTTCAGTTTTTTTTCTAATACCAAAATTTTTGAATAATCTATATAGCAAAATAAACTATG
The DNA here is from genome assembly GCF_000001405.40 of Homo sapiens. Lineage (NCBI taxonomy): Eukaryota > Metazoa > Chordata > Mammalia > Primates > Hominidae > Homo > Homo sapiens. Next base: position 151,477,646 of record NC_000006.12, on the reverse strand, counting down.
ATCTAGTCATATGATGAATGTAGCCATTTAAAAATCACATTCTTGGCCTGGGCACGGTGGCTCATGCCTGTAATCCTAGCACTTTGGGAGGCTAAGGCAGGAGGATCGCTTGAGCCCAGGAGTTAGAGACAAGTCTGGGCAACATAGGAAGACGCCGTATTTGCCAAAAATACAAAAATTAGCCAGGTGTAGTGGCAGGTGTCTGTAGTCCCAGCTACTCGGGAGGCTGAGGTGGGAGGATCTCTTGAGCCTGGGAGGTGGTAGTTGCAGAGAGCCATGATCGTGCTACTGCACTCCAGCCTGGGCAACAGAGCCAGGACCTGTCTCAAAAAAAAAATAAATAAATAAATACATTTTTGAAGAATTTTTAACAAATGGAAAATTGATTATAATATTGAAGGAACAAAGCAGTCTTTAAAGAAGCATACACTTATCAAAAACTCTCGGGCCGGGCGCGGTGGCTCACGCCTGTAACTCCAGCACTTTGGGAGGCTGAGGCGGGTGGATCACCTGAGGTTAGGCGTTCAAGAACAGCCTGACCAACATGGTGAAACCCCATCTCTACTAAAAATACACAATTAGCTGGGCACAGTGGCGCATGCCTGTAATCCCAGCTACTCAGGAGGCTGAGGCAGGAGAATCGTTTGAACCCAGGAGGTGGAGGTTGCAGTGTGCCAAGACTGCGCCACTGCACTCCAGCCTGGGCAACAAGAGTGAAACTCCATCTCAAAAAAAAAAAAAAAAAAAAAAGGAAAAAAGAAAAAAGAAAACCCTCAATTATATAAAATATATATTCCTTTGTTCATTCAACAAGTACTATTGATCTCCTTATATATGTCAGGCTTTCCAACAGATCCACTTTATCCTTCAGAGTTCAATTTAAATAGCATCAGCACAGAGTTTTAAAGAAATATTTCAAGGCCAGGCATGATGGCTCATGCCTGTAATCCCAGCACTTTGGGAGGCCGAGGTGGGTGGATCACTTGAGTTCAGGGGTTCGAGACCAGCCTCACCAACATGGTGAAACCCCGTCTCTACTAAAAATACAAAAAAAAAAAAAAAATTAGCCAAGTGTGGTGGCGCATGCCTGTAATCCCAGCTACTCGGGGGGCTGAGGCAGGAGAATCGCTTGAACCCGGGAGGCAGAGGTTGCAATGAGCCTAAATCACACCATTGCACTCCAGCCTGGGTGACAAAGCTAGACTCCATCTCAAAAAACAAAGCAAAACAAAACAAGAAATATTTCAAACACTGGACTGCATTACCTATCAATCAGTCATTCATTGAGCAACTACTGTGTTCAATTGTGTGTAGGACAAATACACAGAAGATACAGGTGGTGGCTGCCCCAAGAAATGTAAGATTAGTGGGAATCGACAAGTTAGAAGTGTCTTCTGTATGAACTGATGTTCCCTTTTATTTTCTAAAAGGTTTAAAAATGGGGTGAAGTAATAGTAAATAAACTGAAAACGAAAAACGTGCCACACCAAAGAAAAGCAAAATGGGAAAAAAAATCGGGTTTTACAGAATATTCAGGTGGCCACTAGGGGGTGCCAGAATGTTAATACCTTTCAGCAAGTTTCCAGTTTCCCTCGGGTAATTTGAGTTTGGGATTCAATGTAGTTTAAATTGACCGGAATTAACGTTTCTTTTTCCAGCAAAATGGTAAGAATGTGACTCAGGTCACATAGTTCACAGTAGACTGGTGCTATGATTTGAATCTATCCCCTCCAAAATTCATGTGTTGAAACTGGTGGCCAATAGGGTGATATTAATAGGCGGGGCCTTTAAGAGGTGATTAGGTCAGGAGGGATCCTCCTTCACAGATGGGTTTCAGACTCGTCACGCGGCATTCAGCTCCCTTGCCCGTCCGCCTTCTCCACGTGAGGACACTGTGTTCCTCCCCTCCTCCAGAAGATGCAGCAAGAAGGCACCATCTTGGAAGCTGAGACCAGGACCTCACCAGTCCACAAACCTGCTGGCACCTTGATCTTGGACTCCCAGCCTCCAGAACTATGAGAAATAAATTTCTGTCGTTTTTAAACTACCTAGTCTCAGGTATTTTGTTATAGTGGCACCAATGGACTAAGACAATCAAGAATTAGAAATCAAGTATTTATGAGTCTCACGCCATTATTTAGTACCAGGGTCATATTGCTATGCAGAAAAAAAAAAAATCTCCTGGCGGGGCACAGTGGCTCACGCCTGTAATCCCAGCACTTTGGGAGGCCGAGGAGGGTAGATTACCTGAGGTCAGGAGTTCGAGACCAGCCTGGCCAACATGGCGAAACCCTGTCTCTACTAAAATACAAAAATTAGCCGGGCATAGTGGCAGGCACCTGTAATCCCAGCTACTCGGGAGGCTGAGGCAGGAGAATCGCTTGAACCTGGGAGGCAGAGGTTGCAATGAACCGAGATTGTGCCATTGCACTCCAGCCTGGGGGACAAGAGGGAAACTCCGTCTCAAAACAAAACAAAACAAAACAAAAAAACCTCCTATCCATCTAACAGGAACCAATTAGTAAACTAAACAAACAAAAACCCCACAAAAAGTAAAACGACAACAAGAACAAAACCAACCAACCAAACAAAACTTAGAAGTTCGAAAAATACTTAAGAATTAAAAAAAAAAAAAAAAAAAAAGGCTGGATATAGGCACATGCCTGTAATCCCAGCACTTTGGGAGGTTGAGGCAGTAGTCTCGTTTGAGCCCAGTAGTTTGAGACCAGCCTGGGCAACGAAGTGAGACCTCATCTCTACAAAAAAAATTTTAAATTAGCCAGGCATTGTGGTGCACACTTGTAGTCTCAGCTACTTGGAAGGCTGAGGTGGGAAGATCACTTGAGCCTAGGAGGTCGAGGCTGCTGTGAGTGCCTGAGCGAGAGAGCGAGACCTCGTCTCAAAAAAAAAAAAAAAAAAAAGTTTTAATGATATGATTCTGCTTTTTTATCTTAGAAATGTAAAAAAAAAAAGTATGTCTATACATAAAGAAGAACTTAGCAATATATACATCAAATCTTAACAGGGGTATTTGGAGATGGTGTTACCACTGTTGTTGTTTTTCTGAGTTTTCTTTTCCTCTGCTGTATTCATTTGCTGCAATTTCAAGATATCACTTAATACTTACCAGGAGTGTCAGACATGGCATGAGCACTTTATCTAGGTAATGACATGAATGCATAGAAGTGTTCAAAGTCTTCTCCACTCTCAATCTAGCAAAAAAAAAAAGAGGGTAGAGACAAAAAGAGGAAAAAAGACATTTTGTGGCAGATGTTCTGGAATAAGGCTTAGTGGGAGTTTGGGCAGAGGGCTGTGTTAGAAAAATGATTGGGAGAGGAAATTTTAACAGCAACTTTGAACTACATTTTCAATACACTCTGGGGTTTTCTTAAAATGCAAATAAAGGTTTAAACTGTGTTGCTTTTTGTGGCTGGTGCGTTTTCTTTTATAGAAACATGACCTTGAGAATAAGCAACTCGGATTTTGGCTTTATAAAGGTTCAAAAACATTACTGCATTTTATCAAACACAAACACTGCCTCAAATTAGTACGAAAAGTTGGACCATGGCTGGGCGCGGTGGCTCACGGCTGTAATCCCAGCACTTTGGGAGGCCAAGGTGGGCAGATCACCTGAGATCAGGAGTTCTAGACCAGCCTGGCCAACGTGGTGAAACCCTGTTTCTACTAAAAATACAAAAAAAAAATTAGCGGAGCGTGGTGGCGTGCACCTGTAGTCCCAGCTATTTGGGGAGGCTGAAGCAGGAGAATCACTTGAACCCAGAGGCAGAGGTTGCAGTGAGCCGAGATTATGCCACTGCACTCCAGCCTAGGTGACAGAGCAAGACTCCTTCTCAAAAAAAAAAAAAAAAGGAAAAGAAAAGAAAAGCTGGATCATGCCAACAAATCTTGTCCACTTGCTGTTAAATAAAAACACCATTCTCTGCATAATTATTTACCTGCCCTTCATCTACATTTTCATCCTAATATACCTACAATACTGGATCTACGTCTTGATAAAAATGTATTGCATGAAATTTATAAGCTACACTTACTTCATATGTAGGTGTGGTAGCAGTTAAGAAACAATTAAAGATGCTATTTTGGGAAGGCTACTCAGCTCTTCAGTGGAAAACCCATTCACACCCCATTGCAGAACCTCAGCTTTCTCACTGTGCTCGTCTACACCCATACTAAACATGTGTAGGCCACATTTGCTCAGGTGGAAACAAGAGTGTTGGAAGCAGGATGGGGGGAGTGTTGACGGGGGTTGAGAGAAGGTTGGCAGTCCCTCACTTTAGAGACCCTTAAGAGGAGTTTAAGCAGCTCCAACACCAATGTTTTGCAATAAAAGTATTTATCCAAATTTAAAACGTTTGTGCTGCAAACTGATACCATCAAGAAATTGATAAGACAACACACAGAATTGGAGAAAATATTTATAAGTCATATGTCCAATAAGAGACCTGTATCCAGAAAATATATATATATATTATTTATACATATAGTTGTTGTTGTTGAAACGGAGTCTCGCTCTTATCGCCCAGGCTGGAGTGCAGTGGCATGATCTTGGCTCACTGCAGCCTCGGCCTCCCAGGTTCCAGCGATTCTCTTGCCTCAGCCTCCTGAGTAGCTGGGACTATAGGCATGCGCCACCGCGCCCAGCTAATTTTTGTATTTTTTAGTAGAGAAGGGGTTTCTCCATATTGGCCAGCCTGTCCTCGAACTCCTGATCTCATGATCTGCCCACCTCGGCCTCCTAAAGTGCTGGGATTACAGGCATGAGCCACCACGCCTGGCCAGAATATATATATATATATCTTTTTTTTTTTTTTTTTTGAGACAGAGTCTCACTTTGTCACCAGGCTGGCATGCAGTGGCATGACCTCGGCTCACTGCGACCTCCACCACCCTGGTTCAAGCGATTCTCCTGCCTCAGCCTCCCAAGTAGCTGGGATTACAGGCATGAGCCACCATGCCCAGCTAATTTTTTGTATTTTTAGTAGAGACAGGGTTTCAGCACGTTGGCCAGGATGGTCTTGATCTCTTGACCTTGTGATCTGCCCGCCTCGGCCTCCCAAAGTGCTGGGATTACAGGCGTTAGCCACTGCGCCCAGCCCAGAATATATCTTTTAAACCTTATAACTCAATAAGAAGATAATGTTTAAATGGGCAAAGGAATTGAAGACATCTTCCCAAAGAAGATACACAAATGGCCAATAAGCACATGAAAATATGCTCAACATTATTCATTAGGGAAATGCCATTCAAAAGCATGAGATTCCCACTTTGCACCCAACAGTTCAGCTATAGTCAAAAACACGGATACTATTAATAACAGGCCAGGCACAGTGGCTCACGCCTGTAATCCCAGCACTTTGGGAGACTGAGGCGGGTGGATTACTTGAGGTCAGGAGTTCAAGACCAGCCTGGCCAACATGGTGAAACCCAGTCTCTACTAAAAAAAATACAAAAATTAACTGGTGCATGGTTGTGCGTGCCTGTAATCCCCGTTACTTGGGAAACTGAGGCAAGAGGATCACTTGAACCCAGGAGGCAAGGTTGCAGTGAGCCGAGATCATGCCACTGCATTCCAGCCTGGGTGACAGAGCAAGACTCTGTCTCAAAAAAAAAAAAAAAAAAAGAGTAACAAGTGCTGACAAAAATGTGAAGTTGGAGCCGTCGTGCATTGTTGGAAGGAATGTGAAATGATGCAAACACTTCGGGGAAAGTATTTGACAGACACACAAAACATTACAGTTACCATATGATGGAACACTTTCACCCCTACATATATACCCAAAAGAAGTGAAAACATACACAAGTCTTGTACATGAATGTCATAGCAGCATTATTCATAATAGTCAAAAAGTGGAAACAACCCAAATGCCCATCACCTGACAAATGAATAAAACGTGGTATATGTCCATACAATGGAATAGTATTTGGGCCGGGCGCAGTGGCTCACAACTGTAATCCCAGCACTTTGGGAGGCCTAGACCGGTGGATTGCTTGAGCCCAGGAGTTGGGGACCAGGCTGGGCAACATGGCAAAACCTCATCTCTTAAAAAAAAAAAAAAAAGTATTCAGCCATCAAAAAAGATGAAGTACTTGTAGAGTCCTAATTAGAGAAGTGTTGGGACTGACTGACACATACAACTGATGAACCTTCAAAATAAGCTAGTCACAAAAGACCGCCTATTTTGATTCTATTTATATGTAATGTCCAGAACATTTAAATTCATATAGACAGAAAGATTTGTGGTCGCCAAGTGCTAAGGAGAGGGCAAAGGGGAATGACTATCAATGGGTACTAGTTTGTTTTAGCTGTGACAAAAACAACCCTGTGAATATACTGAAATACCGTACCCTTTAAATGGATGAATTGTATTTATATTTCAGTAAAGCTGTTTTAAAAAATCAACTGGGCCAGGTGCGGTGGCTCACACCTGTAATCCCAGCACTTTGGGAGGTCGAGGCGGGCAGATCACGAGGTCAGGAGATAGAGACCATCCTGGCCAACATGGTGAAACCCCGTCTCTACTAAAACTACAAAAATTAGCTGGGGTGGTGGCCCGCACCTGTAATCCCAGCTACTTGGGAGACTGAGGCAGGAGAACCACTTGAACCTGGAAGGCGGAGATTGCAGTGAGCTGAGATTGCGCCACTGGACTCCAGCCTGGCAACAGAGTGAGACTCCGTCTCAAAAAAAAAAAAAAAATCAACTGGTGAGGCTGGGCACGGTGGCCTTGCCTATAATCCTAGCACTTCGGGAGGCTGAAGCCAATAGTTTGAGACCAGTTCTGGGCAACATAGTGAGACCTCATCGCTACAAAATAAAAAAAATTAGCTGGGCATGGTGGCACACACCCATATTTTCAGCTACTGAAGAGGCTGGGGTGAGAGGATCGCCTAAGTCCGGGAGGTCAAGACTACAGTGAGCTGTGATCATGCCCTGCACTCCAGCCAGGAAAACAGGGCGAGACCCTGTCTTAAAAATAAAACAACACTAAACTAACATTAAAACTTAAAAATTAACTGGTGAAAACATAGGTAGGCCCTTCCTCCTGCTAAGCATTAAAAAAAATTCCACCTTGACCTGACTTCCTCTTCCTCAGTGCCACCTTTCTCGCACTAGTTTGCTTCCTTGCTCTTTTTCATGGGGGAGTGGGGGTGCTGAACTACTTCCAGTGCTGGAGCTCACACGGTGGCTATGAAGTCAACCTAAATATACAACTGTGTTCTAAATTATGTCAAATGCCTACAAATAATTCTAATATGGAAGCATTTTACAAACTTACTCTTTAAAATAGGCACACATGTGGATAAAGAAACACAGTAGATTCAAAATGTACAGCTTTATATAAACATTTTGCAAAAATCTTTTTTAATACTTAGCAAGAGCATAGACTAATAACCTTTTATAAATGATATTTAATAACTGCTTTTGGCAACATCTAGAATATATATTATGTCTCTTTTTATATAAATCTCATTTTTAATCTTCCTTTCTTGACTTTTCCCCACTAGAAAATAAAACCAAGGAGATTTTCAGTACAATTCATTTTATTATTTTAGTGCAACAAAACATTTCCAGATTTATTTCCAATTTCAGTTTCAAAACAAACTGACCTGAAATTTTTAGTATTTACTATCTGTGACAATGACCAATAAAATGTGTAAGAATATAAAAAATAAATTCATTCATTGTTGGTAGTACTCCAAATTCAATGCATAAGAACCTTTTCTATCTAAAGCATTTTCCTAAAACTGCAAACTAAAAATCTGATATTTAAAACATTTATGTGGTAAAATAATCTCATTTGATTATGGATATCATAAATAGAATATAAAAGATATTACATTTCTTCAAATACCATTTGTTTCACTGTGTTCAATTTTGAGTTTCCTAACATCCATTCTACAGGTCAATCAAAATACAAAGGCGTGCAAATGAAACAAGCTATTGAAATGAAATAAAATTCAAGAATAAAAGTTAGAATTAACTTATGAGGTAACTTTTATGTAAGCAAACATCACAGTTGTAAGAAATGCCTCTCTTTACAAAGAGTCATTAAGATGCGCATTTTCCTAGAGCTATTATTTCATGTGCCCAAAATCAAGCAAAATAAAATCCCATGCTTCCTGGAATATTAAATACCATGCAGTGTACTATTTAAGAAAAGAACAAGGTTAACTAACTAAAAGCAGAACTCACTTATTTTTTGCTCCCTAGCCAATTAAAAATAAGTTCATTAAAAGCACTTGAAATTATATATTTAACCTGAAAAAAAGTTGCTAAAATTCCAATATAAATGTAAATATCTTTAACTTGCTTAACCCAGCTATCCCCAAAACAGTGTAGTGGGGCAAAATGTTCAAAAGAAAAATCATCCAGTGCACGTAGATGGGCACCAAGAAGCTAAGCTTCCCTGAGCGCGTACAGAGCCGCCAGGCGACTCAATTCACGTGCTCCTTTTCTGGGGATGAAAAGGTGCTCACCAGATCTTTCTATGCAACTGAGAGCTCCTAAATCAAGTCAAAGGGGACCATCGTACTGAAATATTCCATATTTTCCAGTGGTCCACCAGCTGGGCTCAGAGGCCAGGAGCTGTTCCCCTTGCCCAGGCTGCAGACCAACCTGAATTTCAGCTTTTAATGTTCTTATGGTACAGAGTGGTGCAGGATGGAAGCCATTCAGAGCCTGATGAAATGGAACAGAAAACTCCCATTTTCTGTCACCTGTCAACTTCCTGTAATTCAAATCACCCTTGAATAAAATTAAATGTGCCTTCTGTAGTTCAGCATATAAGTCAGGTGCAACCTGAGGCATTGCACAGTACTCATGAGGCAGAGTCCAAAATATATGATTGTGGTAAACCCATTTACCCATTTTAATATACTCTTCCCAGTCAGCCCCACACTTGGACATCCACTTATGATTACTGTGTTTTACCTGTTCAATTAACCAATTAAAATCATGTATAGTAGTATCAGAAACAAACCATGGAATTGTTTTTCCATAAAAATGAACCTCAGTAGCCAGTTCAGAGGACAACAAGAAGTCGGCTAATATTAAATCTGTAACAAGCTCAAATCCAGAATTATCGAGAACAATATACACTCTAGTAGCAGAAGCTTTTTCTCTTGTTTTCTTGCAATTGCTAAGCAATGACCAAAGATGTTCCATATCATTCAATAAAATGAAAGGTTTTAGGTCTTCCAATGAATTTAGTACATTGGTATTCTGAGAACTACTTTCTCCACCTGAGAGAGACAGATCACACTTATTTCCCCACAGTGAAATCTGAAAAAGAAAAAGTACAAAATATTCACCCTTCTTCTGAATAGCCAACAAAACTCCATTATGTAGCGGGATGGGGGGACATTGCTAAAAAACTACTAAATATCTACAAAACTCTTTACATGACCATCAAATCTATACTTTCTCTAACAATGCACAAAAATTATTTCACATGATGCTGTATTAACAAGATAAAACTGAAATTTTTAATTCATCAGTATGTAATGGACTTAAAAAAACTGGTTTCAATTATTTCAGCACTCACATTGTTTATTCAGAATAAAAGTTTTTGCAGCTTGCAGATATTAGAACATCATCGGATGTGTGAAGAGAGGCTCAAAGTTGCCCATATAATCCAGAGTCAAGAGAAGAAATAAAAGTTTATTTTTTCCTCCTTGGCCCTGCAGAACTGTCCAGTTTCTTTCACTAATTGCATAACCTTAGGACGTGACACCTCTCTGGGATTTGGTTCTCTCATTTGTAAAATTTAAAAAACTGAACAAAGTGATATCTAAAGACGCTACTTTTTAAACAAGGTCATGTTAACTAAAGACCCATTGTAATCAATTATCTTATTCAGCTTTAAATTGAATTAATACTCAATTACATTTTGTAGAAAAACAGTATGTAGGCCTATTTTTTTTTAAGCCATAAAATTACACGTTTAGGACTTCCAGCTCGACCTGGGTTCAAACTCAGCATCTTCAGTTTATGATCATCAACAAATTACTTAAGCTCTCTAAGGCTCAAGTCCTGCAACTGAAAAACGAGATACTAGTACTTACCTCACAGAATTATTGTGAGAATTGATATAATGCATGTAAATAATGTACCAAATACCTGGCATATAGAAGTACTCAATAAACACTAGCCAAAACAGACTCTACTCTCATTTGTGATTTTTTTTTTAATAAAGATGGGGTCTCACTATGTTGACCAGGCTAATTTCCATCTCCTGGCCTCCAGCAATCCTCCTGCCGTGGCCTCCCAAAATGCTGAGATTATAAGCATGAGCCACCTTGTCAGGCCCTCATTTGTGATTTAAAATAAGGAGAATGCATGTTCCAACCAATAGGGTTTTGTTTTTTTTTTTTTTGAGATAGAGTCTCCTCTGTCACCGAGGCTGGAGTGCGGTGGTGCGATCTTGGCTCACTGCACCTCTGCCTCACGGGTTCAAGCTTTTCTCCTGCCTCAGCCTCCCAAGTAGCTGGGATTACAGCCGCCCACCACCACGCCTGGCTAATTTTTTGTATTTTTAGTAGAGATGGGGTTTTACCATGTTAGCCAGGCTGGTCTCAAACTCCTGGCCTCAGGTGATCTGCCCACCTCGGCCTCCCAGAGTGCTGGGATTACAGGTGTGAGCCACCATGCCCGGCCGAACAGTATTATTTTAAAAAGAGATAAATGAATAAATTTTTTTTAAAAAAAAGGCTTAAATAATAACTAAAGTGTCCAAGGTCACCTTTTTCTAGAGTTTCCTGAAGAAATTCATACAATGGTGTCCACGATGGCCTTCAGCGACTGAGAGCAGGTTCTGTGCTAGCCTCCTGCACTTTCCCTTCACACCGTCTTCCAGTTTGTAATGGCATAGCTCTTTGTGCAATTACTTCATTGTCTATATTCCCTCAAGATTACAAGTTTTGATAGGGAGGATCAGCCTGTTCTTGTTTTACCACTACGTGCCCAGCACCTAGAATGGCATTTGACACAGTAGCCCCAGAAATGTGTGTGTCGACAGTGGGAGAGTGCTATGACTTTTGAAAGAGATCAACATTCTCTGAAAACGAGAATGTTTTCAAGCTTCCCTTGAAACGTTAACCTGTTGCTCACTGCGGACACCAAATGGAGGCAACTCTGGCCCCCTTCACTTGGGAGCACAGTGACAGTGTGAAGAAGTTGTTAGCTAAATCAGATGACAGAAAATAGATGCATGCTCATTCTTCTTCATAGTTTATTATACTATGGGACAAAGAACACATTCAAAGAAGATGATTCCCTGAAAGAATGGGCTAGCTAGGAGTCAAGAACTAGCATGCCAGTCTTTTTTTTTTTAATTCCAAGGCTAAGCATAAGGCAGAGTTAACAGGAAAAAACAAAAAACAAGGTTTATTAGTTAACAATGTCCTGGGCCAGGCAAGGTGGCTCATGCCTATAATCCCAGCACTTTGGGAGGCCAAGGTGGGCAGATCACCTGAGGTCAGGAGTTCAAGACCAGCCTGGCCAACATGGCGAAACCCAGTCTCTACTAAAAATACAAAAATTAGCCAGGTGTGGTGGCATACGCCTGTAATTCCAGCTACTCAGGAGGCTGAGGCAGGAGAATTGCTTAAACCCGGGAGACGGAGGTTGCAGTGAGCTGAGATCGTGCCACTGCACTACAACCTGGGCAACAGAGCGAGACTCTGTCTCAAAAAACAAAACAATGTCCTGACAATTTTTGTTTTGAACTCAAAATATGCCTTTATTTGTGACTTTGCTTGCCCTCGGGGTCTCACCAGGGCTTCGTCTCCAGGTATAATCTGTTAGCAAGTTCTGTAGCTTCTATGTTCAAAGAACACCCAGGCTCTGGTGATGTCACTAACTCTTATGCTACCAACTTGGCCCCAACCTCCCTCCCCAAGTCATTTTCAGACCAGCTCTCCCCATTTCCACCTTCAGCCCCTGCAGTCTATTCTCAGAAACATTCCTTGAAATAGTCAAATAGCATTACCTCTCTGTTCAAAACCCTCTGATGGCTTCTGTTTCACTTTTAGTAAAAATTTATTTAATACAAGCCGTTCTGTGTCCCTTCCACCCCGCTACCTCTCAGTAACTACAGGGTTTCCTTGCAATTTTTCTCACCTCTCCATGTACTCCGCAGACATACACCTGACTTACTCCTTCCCTGCCTTCAGGTCTGTGGCCTCAGCCTCCATGGACCCTTCCCTGGCAGCCCTGATCCCTTCTCCAACATTCCCAACGCCCTTTTCCTGCTTTATTTCTCTTCATAGCACTTTCTAACATTTCTTTTTGAAAGTCTTCCTCACTTTTTCTGGAAAATGTGAGGGCTGGGGATACTGCTGTGTACCACGTCTCCTAATAGTTCTGATTCTAATAATGTGTTGTAAATTTCAGGATGTTTGCATGAATTAAAAACTAAACTGAATACAAGATAAAGAAATGTAATGAAACTGTATTAATGGGCCAACTGAATACCCGAGTATTATCACCTACCGATGCTAACAGCAGGCTGTATCCCAGGCTCTGTGCTCAGCACTTCACATGCAAGCATCTAGTTGAATTCTCACATCAAATTACACAGTACACATTATCCTCACTGAACAGAGGAGGAAACTGAGGCCCAGAGAAATTAAGTGACAGGCCTCAGGTCCAAACACAAATTAGCCACAGAGCCAACACACACCCAAGTCAGCTGGGAGACCAAATTACTATTAAGAATTCTTTCAAGCATGACAAAAGCTAAGCAAATTACTATGAAGTATTCTCTCAAGTATGACAGAAGCTAGGAAGTCAGATAACTTCTTTGCCACTAAAATCATAGCCAGTGAGAGCAGAAAAATATTTCAAACCCATTTCTAGCAATTAAATGGATTTTCATCTTTTAACACCACTAGATAAAAAATCATCAATTATAGCAAAGAAAAATATTTACATGTTTTGTTAACTGTATAGCAGTTTATTTTCTGTTTAAATAAAACATACTCAGAAGATTAATGATCACATTTACCTGCAGAAGTTTAAAAAACTCATCTTTCAGCTGATTTTCATCTAGGTCTTCAATAGTTCTTATCAATTGTTGCAGGTGAGTACATAAAGCAATGATGGATTCCTGTGACCCATAGAAATTTTGCTCTTTTGATTCTTTAAATACATCAAAGTAATCGATTGGTGGACTAAAGTAGGAGAAAAACAAAGTGAAACATTTTAGTTTGTACATTTGGATAACTGCAGTTCTTGAAAGAAAATAGCACCATACAGTCTCAATAATCAGTGCTAACAGAAACTAGATATAACATTTATCTAATTAACTAGAAAAACTTAATACTAAATAATCAAATTACACAAAAATCTCTCAAACTCATTTTAATTGTCAAAAAAGTTCCCAAATCAAGTATTTTTCTGGACATATTAAATAGTGATAGTGACTATGCTCATAATTATCTACCTAGCAGGGATTCCAGGGCACAAGAAGGAGAAAGATAAATTTCAAGACAACTGCTTTAGTTCAACAAACATTTTTTAACCACCGATGTGGCAGAGTTCCAGTAACAAATGTATAGAATATAAACAGAATATTTGAATACAATGCAGCAATCATTAACAGAATGAAACACAGAGTATGATGGAAATACAATGAGTACTTAAGATAAATCAGACAATACTATTGTAAGTTTTAGAAGAATGATAATTTTTTATCACTAATTTTAGGTATTTTTGGGCAACTTTAACCAAAGGTGATATATGTGGCATGGCTACACCTTCATGTTTTCCAGTGAGAGATTAAATCATATTATATTGGCCTAAGAAAATCATAACTAAGGAGATATAAATACTAATATAATAATCTTTACTGAATTGAATATAAAAGACATTCAGATTATTGGGTCTTCCAAATTAGCTACTTTTTCCATGGGTCATTCATGTTAGGGTAAAAACAATCTAACACTGATGTAATCGGCTTGATTTGTTTTGTTTTGTTTTTTTAAATAACATACCAGTATTTAAACATCCAAATGATGGCTGCCTCCTTCCAGCCAGTCAGTCACCTCGGGAAGCTACACCCTTATTCCAAGGGCGCTGCCATTGCTCAGAGCACTTTTGGAATTCCTCTTTAGGAATTTTCTTCAGAACCTATGGCACATCATTAAACCTCCTGTCAGTGATCACATATCTTCATCCTTTGGAGTCAATTTATTTTTGGAAACAGCCAAAAGTCACTCGGAGTGATTTCAGTAGAATGAGGTGTGTGATCAAATTGGATAAAAACTTTTTTTTTAATCAAAAATGAGTAAAAATACAGGAAGACTAATTTTCATTTTGAGGCATGTAAACTGGCTCTGAAAGAAGTTCCAAATAATTCAAAGATGGTTTTAGCAATGGCAGCACCGCTGAAATCAGTCAGTCTCTCAAGGTGACTTAAAAGGATAAAAATCATTCGGATGCACAGACCCAATCCGGCCCACCACCTGTTCTGTCTGACTCACATGCTAAGAGTGGTTTTTATATTTTTGAATGGCTGAAAACAAAGTGAAAGAAAAGTAGTATTTTGTAACACATGAAATTCAAATTTCGGTGTCCGCTGAATAAAGTTTCTTTAGAACACAGCCATGCTCATTCTTACATATTATTTAAGGTTGCATTCACACGACAATGGCAGGTTCGGCAGCTGCAACAGAGACCACATGGCCCCTATGCCTAAAAGATTTACTACCTGGCCCTTTACAGAAAGTTCTAATAAAACATGTTCTAATGTTTTATTAACAAACCATTCATTAAAGTCACATCTCATATTAAGAATGAGCCTTATTTTCGTATTTAAGAGAGTAAACTCACATAACTATATATAAATTCTCATTTTAGAATGTTTTCTATTTTAGAATCTACTAAAGCTGTGTATGTACACACACTATGACCCAGTGATTCACTTCTAGGGAGGGATATATCCAACAGATGTATTCATACATATGTTCAGCAAAAAAGTGTCAGAATGTTTATAGCAGCATTCTTCCTAACAACTCCAAACTGAAAAGTACTCAAATATCCATCACAACGAAGTAAACAGATTGTAATATGCTCATAAAATGCAATATTATAAAGCAATGAGAATGAATGATCTATAATTATATTGTAACATATGGATGAGTCTCACAAACATAAAAATGAGTGAAAGAAGCCAGACACAAAACTATACACTGTATCATTTCATTTCAGTAAAGTTAAAAAACAGGCAAAACTAACACAGGTCAGAACAATGGTTATCCTTGAGGAGTAATGAAGGCAGTGACTGGAAAGGGACTCAAAGTGGACTTTTGGGGTCTGTAAGGTTCCGTCTCTTGATCTGGGCACTGGGTACACAAGTATGTTCTTGAACACATAAGACATGCACATTTTTCTATATGTATATTACACTTTATTAAAAAGTTTTTCTAAAAATCTAATATTTTCTCTGTACTTTCATCTTTCAATATCTGAAGTGTATTTACCTAATATGTTTAAATTTCACATATGGCTAAAACTTTGAATCTTAATTTAGACTGGCAGACTATTGCATGTTTCAGTGTAAAATGGTAAATCAATATAAACATGTCTTTTATAAAAGCTGGTCAGTCTGGAGTTGCCATTGACCTAGGATAGGGATCCCCCATAGAAGAACCTAAAAATTAGACATTTAAGAATTACTTCAGTGCTGGCTCCATTGTAAGATGGCTCTTTATCTGCCACAGAAACCGCTTTGGGAAGAGTTCTACATCCGTGATTGTGCAACATTCTAGTTTCTTGAACTTAAAGATGCATGTTCCCTCTATCCCATTTAACAATCTGTTCGCTGAACCAGTGGATATCATCACTCCCTGAGCTTCCGAAAGAAAAACTGATACCCAGGCCCCACCCCAGATAAATTAAGCAATTTGTATTTATTCCAACACAATAATCTAAAACTATGTGGTGTTTTTTTTGAGACGGAGTTTCGCTCTTGTCGCCCAGGCTGGAGTACAACGGCACAATCTCGGCTCACTGCAACCTCCACCTCCTGGGTTCAAGTGATTCTCCTGCCTCAGCCTCCTGAGTAGCTGGGATTACAGGTGCCCATTACCATGCCTGACTAATTTTTGTATTTTTAGTAGAGACAGGGTTTCACCATGTTGGCCAGGCTGATCTCACACTCCTGACCTCGGGAGATCCACCTGCCTCAGGCTCCCAAAGTGCTGAGATCACAGGCGTAAGCCACTGTGCCTGGCCTAAAAATACGCATTTTTGAAGCCACCTTCCTTTTCCCCAACTGGGTCATAAATGTGCAGCCAGGTTTGTGAAAATCTGCTCTAGGTATTTTTAGTCTCTGAACCTGATCAACCTCTAAAATCAAACTCAGAAACAGCATTCCTCTTGCCTTAAACACACAAACTCCACCAACCCCACTCAAGATGCCACCCAGTCTTTCAACACTTTGGCAGCTTTGGCTCCTACCACAGATATTTTCCAAAATTAGGAAACCATCACCCCGAATTTCAGACTACTCTCAGTCCTTGACAGGCATCTAAATCTACTATTTGGGAAGAATGGCTGAATAAGGACACTAATCTGATTCACACAGACCAGGCTCAAATCCTGGTTCCACCACCTACTAGCCATGTCACCTTGGGCATGTTAGAAATCTCTCTGAGCCCAATCACCTAAACTGTTAAAATGGAAACCATAACAACGCCTACATTTCACTGGGTTGCACAGTCACTAGAACATTGCTAGTTACTGACAGCTCCTTACATCTTCTGCTGTTCTGCTGGGGTGCCTTCTCCATGCCAAGCAGTGCACCGGAGTTTTTTTTGTTGTTTTTTTGTTTTTTTTTTGAGACAGAGTCTTGCTCTTTCACCCAGGCTGGAGTGCAGTGGTGTGATTTCGGCTCACTGCAACCTCCGCCTCCTGGGTTCAAGTGATTCTCCTGCCTCAGCCTCCTGAGTAGCTGGGACTACAGGTGCGCACCACCGCGCCCAGCTAATTTTTGTATTTTTAGTAGAGACGGGGTTTCAGCATGTTGGCCAGGATGGTCTCGACCTCTTGACCTTTTGATCTGCCTGCCTCGGCCTCCCAAAGTGCTGGGATTACAGGTGTGAGCCACCGCACCCGGCCTGCACCAGAGTTTTAATAGTGTATTTTGCTTTTAGATCAGAAGTTCTAAAACCTACCTATCAGAAAAAACAACAAATTGTGATATGAAAAAAAAATATATAGGCTGGGCGTGGTGGCTCATGCCTGTAATCCCAGCACTTTGGGAGGACGAGGAGGGCAGATCACCTGAGGTCAGGAGTTCGAGGTCAGGAGTTCAAGGCCAGCCTGGCCAACATAACGAAACCCCATCTCTACAAAAAATACAAAAACAAAAAAAGTTAGCCAGGCATGGTGGGAGGTGCCTGTAATCCCAGCTACTCGGGAGGCTGAGGCAAGAGAACTGCTTGAACCCGGAAGGCAGAGGTTGTAGTAAGCCAAGATCGCGCCACTGTACTCCAGCCTGGGCGACAGAGCGAGACTCCATCTTAAACAAACAAACAACAACAAGAACAACAACAACAACAAAATATATACGTGTGTGTGTAAGATTAAGACAAAAAAGCTAATGAACAGATTTTAAAGTTCCATATGTTTCCCAAAATAATTTTATTTTACAATTAGTGCTGACTTGATAGGTCACTTTAAATTGTCCTATGCTATGTTTAGGAACAGATACCAAAGGATTCCTCTTAACAAACCTGTATTTTTGGAACCTGTGCTTATTAAGGATAATCCAATCATCCCCATTAACTTTTCTTTGGCACTATAAATAACAGTTTTTTGTTTTTTGGTTTTTTTAAACAGTCTCGCTCTGTCGCCCAGGCTGGAGTGCGGTGGTGTAATCTTGGCTACTGGAACCTCCGCCTCCCAGGTTCAAGTGATTCTCATGCCTCAGCCTCCGGGGTAGCTGGGACAACAGGCATGTGCCACCACACCTGGGTAATTATATATTTTTTGTAGAGACGGGGTTTCGCCACGCTCACCAGGCTGGTCTCAAATTCCTGACCTCGAGTGATCCACCTGCCTTAGCCTCCCAAAGTGTTGGGATTCCAGGCATGAGCCACCACGCCTGGTCTAAAAACTAGTTCTCTATCAGATGTTTTCCTAGGAAAAATTAAATAATATAAACAAGCCTAGAAAAAGTTACTTTGAAACATGTGTACTTTTAAAATCTTTTTCTAAACTAGCCTTTTTAAAAAAAGATGAAAGATTAAGACTATAATACAATAGTATGATTCACTGTTCTCATGACTCCTTAAACCAAGTAAGTTGTAACGTTTATTATCTATTTCAATAAACAAAACATATGCTTACTTTGTCCCATCCTTATTTATATAAATGTAACTATTTCAAATTTACATTTTTTACTCAATAAGCAAAACTTCTTTTATTCTAGAAGTCTTTGTTGGAATCTTTAATTAATTCACGCTTTATTTATCTATTTTATTGAGACAGAGTTTCACTCCGGTGCTCAGGCTGCAGTGCAGTGGTGCAATTTTGGCACACTGCAACCTCTGCCTCCCAGGTTCAAGCAATTCCCATTCCTCAGCCTCCCAGGTACCTGGGATTACAGGCCCGTGCCACCATGCCTCGCTAATTTTTTTATTTTTAGTAGAGACGGGTTTCGTTATGCTGGCCAGGCTGGTCTCGAACTCCTGACCTCAAGCAATCTGCCCACCTCAGCCTCCCAAAGTGCTGGGATTACAAGCATGAACCTCAGGGCCTGGCCAATTCGTACTTTAGATATTTACTCTTATGTCTATTCTAGGCAAGTAGATTATAATTGCCAAGAATCTGTTAAATTGGTAACAGCTATAGAAATGTCCATCAGTAACATTTGTAGAAATGTCCATCAGTAACATTTGTAGAAATGTCCAACAATGCTATTAAGATTTGCTAAACTCAACCAAATTCAAGCTTCCACTGGTGCTTATTTTTAAACTTATCCTTTTACAATTTCAGAAAAAGTATAAATTATCTAAACATTTGATAGTTGATGATTACACACGTACCTCTGGATAATTGCTTCATGAATTCTTCGATACATGTAACATTCTACCAACAACCACGGTGAGTAGAACCATCTTGATTTTCCATCACTTTCATTTAAAAGACTCTGTTGATATTCTAGGTACTGATTCCATATATCAGTATCAACAAATTTCTCAACCAAGGGGATAAATGGTTTATCTGTTTGCAATTCATTCCGTAATTTAGAAAGGAGAGAGATAGCTTTCTTTTCAGCTTCCACGCCTTCCTGCAAAAATACAAGAAAAATAAATTGTGTGTGTGTGTGTGTCTGTGCAATTCCTCTAGGGTAACATATTTTTACAGACTTAAGAAGAAAAGAAAAATGTTCAAAACTACATTTTATTTCTTTAAACATTACATTTAGAACTCTTAAACTGAAAATCAAAAAACACACACAGATCTCATATGAACATAATCATGCCTTATCTACCTAAGTTCTGGCCTTTCTGTATCTTCGGTGGGATGACCATTACCACAGAGGGAAAGGAACCCCTGCCAGATTTTCCATGTCTTTCATGCTTCCATACATATTCTTCTTTCACCATTGACACCACTAGAAAAGAAACTGTGGGCTTTCTGAGGTTTCTTTTGGTAGCTCAAATTTTTTTTAACTTGTTTTCCACCAAGTTCTAGCTAGGTGAGAGATGACATATGCTGACAAACAAGGCACTACAATATTATCTCACATAACAGGCCAATTGGAGTGGGGACAAATGTAATGGGATCAGAATGAAGTGAAAATGACTTCACACCTTGGTTTTACATTAGCAAGATTCCTGCTCCATTAAAAAAAAAGAAAATGTAAGCCTAATAAGACACGTATATAATAAAATGTAGAGAATAAACATCAAGCCTGAGTATTTTTATAAGATCATTTTTATCATGTTGATATTTAGTCCCTACTTTCAGATCTGTAATTTTCTCAATATAAACATCTCTCCAATCTTTCTTTTGTTCCAAGTACAATTTATTTTGCTGCTAGAAAAAAAGATTGAAGCTTTCGAGATTCTGCAGGTTCAGAAATAGAAGAAAAGAAGTTGTAGCTGACTGTTTTGAGAGGAACTCCCCCTCCTCCAAATCTCTTCCCTAAAGTCTTAAACTTCAACTCTTTAACTATAAATTCCAACAACTGAGGTTTTACAGGGTGTCAGGCACCCTTTTACAGAAGCATATACCTAAAAAGGCTAATGGATTAATAGTGATGTCACTGCCACTTTGTTCACTTACTTGAATTGAATTCAAACATTTACTGAACCCTGTATGTGCCTGACACTAACCTCAGGGCCAGAGAAAGATGAATAAAGCCTGGTCCTGTCTCCAAGAGACACACATCTGCCAAACCAGGTAGTCTAAGGGCACGGACGTTTGACCGCTGAGGTGGGGGAAGATAGAAAACTGTGTGGCATGGCTCCTTCGGAGATAAGCCTGGCCCTGCTATAGGTGGGGGCTTAGGAAGCTAGAACACATGAGGCCCAAGGAGAGTGGCCATAGGTATAACAGAGGCATGAAAAAGGGACAGAAAGGCTACCAAAAGCAGACTTTATCTGTGTCAATTTACATCTTGTTCTGTGCTCAGTAGAGTGTGAAATGGGGGAGGGCTGGAGAGACAATAAACTCTGCCTTCAGTCACCTGGTGATTACGGGCATACAGGCCAAGTAGCAATATACTAGGACTTCATTAATTACTACATTTTAGATCACTCTGGCCGAAAAAACTGAAATTACAAAAGCATTATGGGGCCAGGCACAGTGGCTCACGCCTGTAATGCCAGCACTTTAGGATGCTGAACTGGGAGAATTGCTGGAATCTAGGAGTTTGAGGCTGCAGTGAGCTATGACTGCACCACTGCACTCTGCCTAGTAGACAGAACAAGACCCTGTCTCAAAAAACAACAACAAGAAAAACAAAAGTATTATGGTAATTTGCTTGCGTATATGACCAAATACTAAAGTGAACTATCCAAATTTGGCTAAATTATACTTGTGTGATAAAGATATGTCAGTTACCAAAATTATGTTTATGTGATAAACATTAAAACCATTCAGCAATATAATTGTCAGTGTCTAAATTAAGCCGGATTTTAGCAACAAGGAACAACAGGTAATCCCTGTGTTATGCCAGGATTAGTTTTAAACAAGACAATATAAAAGAAGTTGAAAGAAGTAGAACATTACACTCAAACTGCATGTGTGTTATCTTGCTCCATTTCAATTTGGCCAAGGAGAAAAGATCACCAACCATTTCTCTAAATTTTTGTTTTCAACTCTCAAAAAAAATGTACTGGTATATGTATGCTCTTTTACAGTCTATTGTGTAATAGAAAGATTACTGAACCTACAAGTTTAAAGACCTATGTCTAACATAACATGTGGGGAAAAGCAAGAGAGATCAGATTGTTACTGTGTCTGTGTAGAAAGAAGTAGACATAGGAGACTCCATTTTGTTCTGTACTAAGAAAAATTCTTCTGCCTTGAGATTCTGTTAATCTATAACCTTACCCCCAACCCCGTGCTCTCTGAAACATGTGCTGTGTCAACTCGGAGTTAAATGGATTAAGGGCGGTGCAAGATGTGCTTTGTTAAACAGATGCTTGAAGGCAGCATACTCCTTGAGAGTCATCACCACTCCCTAATCTCAAGTACCCAGGGGCACAAAAACTGCGGAAGGCCGGAAGGCCGCAGGGACCTCTGCCTAGGAAAGCCAGGTATTGTCCAAGGTTTCTCCCCATGTGATAGTCTGAAATATGGCCTCGTGGGAAGGGAAAGACCTGACCGTCCCCCAGCCCGACACCCGTAAAGGGTCTGTGCTGAGGAGGATTAGTGTAAGAGGAAGGCATGCCTCTTGCAGTTGAGACAAGAGGAAGGCATCTGTCTCCTGCCCGTCCCTGGGCAATGGAATGTCTCGGTATAAAACCCAATTGTATGTTCCATCTACTGAGATAGGGAAAAACCGCCTTAGGGCTGGAGGTGGGACATGCGGGCAGCAATACTGCTTTGTAAAGCATTGAGATGTTTATGTGTATGCATATCTAAAAGCACAGCACTTAATCCTTTACATTGTCTATGATGCAAAGACCTTTGTTCACGTGTTTGTCTGCTGACCCTCTCCCCACAATTGTCTTGTGACCCTGACACATCCCTCTCTCGGAGAAACACCCACGAATGATCAATAAATACTAAGGGAACTCAGAGGCTGGCGGGATCCTCCATATGCTGAACGCTGGTTCCCCAGGTCCCCTTATTTCTTTCTCTATACTTTGTCTCTGTGTCTTTTTCTTTTCCAAGTCTCTCGTTCCACCTTACGAGAAACACCCACAGGTGTGGAGGGGCAACCCACCCCTTCAATAACATAGTTATTTGGATTTTTCCTCATCCATTAATTGAATGGACAAAGTGATTTCTAAAGTCCTATTCTGCACTGAATGCTAATGAGTCCCAACTTGAATCAGTACAATGTGTCAATCAATTATAATTCATATCACTGAGCTTTGCATAGCAGCTTGAACTTCCAGGACTCAAGATCTCAAATTAGTAATATAAATACTGCAACTCAAATTAAACTTGAAATTTAAAAAGCTCTTCTAAGCAACTCAATTGCTTAGTCACTTGACTAAGTCAATTGCAAGTCTGTTGCCCAGTCACCAATTACAACATTGCATATATTAGAAAATACATTCTGAAGTCTAAATAACTGACAGAATTAATTATTGGAACACAATCATTTTCTAAATTGAAGATTGGCTGTTCTATCTTCATTTCAATGTATTACCTTAAAAACAAATAAATACTTGGCCCATCTATTGATTTTTACATTTAAAGGAAAATTGATACCTTCAAGAACTATTTATTATGTTTCTGTTGAGAAATTAACAAAAAATTAAAAGTTAAAACAATTCTTACCTCTCCGTGTTTCTCAAAAAATTCACTTTTATGTCGATGCAATGTATCAATAACCTTAGTTAAGATCTGTGGTATTCTGTCTTTAATTGTAAGATATGCAAATGATCTAGAAAAGAGTCACATGCAATATATAACTTAGCAGCATCAATACTAGAAGACTGGCTATCTTTTAGTTTCTGGAACACTTCATGTATATTAAACTCCTCATACAACTATTAAAAGATAGACAAGTATTGTATGATTACTATATTAAGACATAAGAAAACCTGGAAAATTCGCTGGTATGTCATGGAAGCCAAACTGTCTTGGTGCCTCTAATCCCAGATTCTCCCATGGAGTCTGTTTAATCATTCTTATCTTTCCTATTCTATTGCTTTTATTTTCCTAAATCAGAAACTCGCTTAGCAAAGTGATAGGATAGGGAATGGATTAGCTTAGAAATCAAACAGGCTCTTGTCCCAGGTCTACTATCTGCTAAGTCACCTGCTTAGAAAGATGAATGAAGCAATGCATCTAAAACCACCTAAAGGGTCTAATGTGCTTGAACAACATAAAGAATTAAAGGTACTTTTAAGCCTGTTTCTCTCCATTCTGTCTATTTTCTAAGTCAATTTTAATTATTTTCAAAAATTTTCCCCTTCTCTGCCTTCTCTATCTGCACAATGGACTCCTTCCATCCTATTCTGCCCCTAAGCAAATGAAGGCGTGCTACTGTCTCTTCCCACTCAAAAAATCAGAGATTTTATAGAAGTGTTCAAGAATGAAGCAAGCTGGAGATGAAGAAAAACTTATACCTGCATTAAAAAATTAAAGATATTCTTGATTTTATTCATACAAAACCCAAGATTTACAGATTATCATTTTATATCATTCTAAGGAAATACATGATACAGGTAGAAAAAAAGCTTTATTTGGTGGAGAAATTCTGTGCAGTTTTAAATATAGAGCACAGAGCTTAGCTGACTAGTGTTTTTATCTCCAGATCACAGGAGACAATTGTTAAATTACTAGATTGTAACTTGGGTATTTCTTCAAAAGGTTTCCTCAAATGATAGCTATAGAACTTTAAGAAAAAAACTGCACACACTTTCCGACTCTGTGGTGCTTTCAGTACCACCCAAAACAGTGATTAGGTTTTAATGCGCATAATAACTACGTTGATCAGAATTTAATTTTTAAAAATCATTAATAAAAGAAATCACTAATACCTCAGAGGGTGAGCAGGAACATTAAATCAACTGTCACTTGAATTTTCCCAGGCAGTAGGTATAGTAAGTCCTTTTTTGAGATTTTACTTTAATTGGAAAGTATTACTGTTTTCCTAACTACTACATTTCCTGCACCTCTGGAACAAAGTCTCTGGCCAGGACTGGAGTGAGGCCAGAAGCCCTAGGGCGCAAAATTGAAGGAGATACTCTCTATACTTGCATGACCTGAAACAGTGACTGCCTCAATTTGGGGCCATTGGCGCCACTTTGTTGGCCTCAACCTACTTTCTGCCCAGGTTTATTTTCTTCAAAGTGTTCTCGTCTTTTGCAATATTTTGAAGTAAGGACAAATTTCAAATATAAATTTGGCCATTCGATTTATGCAAATGGATGTTATTTGCACGGTCACCCACAACTTTACCCAAGAATCAGTAGCGTGACGACTATAAAGCAAAAAACTAGACAGTTCTTACTGTGAGATTACGATTTGATCAACAACAGGGAGAAACCCGTTTCTTAATAGCGCTGAGATCCCCAACTCTTACGCAGAATTTTAACGCCCCCAAAGCGCGTCTATTAAAGTGAATAAATAAAAAGTGACCGCCAGGAACAGACCGCGAAGCTGACCCCTGTCCTGATCCTTACGAGCAGCCGCCGCGGGCAGGCTCCCTCCCCGGGGCCGCCTCCCTTCGCCTCCGAGCCAGTCCGCGAAACCCGCAAAGGCGCCCCGGAAAGCCGCGCCCGGCGGCGGGACTCGAACGCAGCCCACCGGGGAGCGGGCGCCCTCCGCTTAGTCCCCACAGGCTCCCGGCGAGGCCCGGCTTTCCGCAAAAGTGGGGAGGAGAAAAGCTAGACTAACCCCACGTCCTGTCCTGAGAGAGACGCCGGGACGACAGCCATCACTTTCCGCGATCCCGGCCGCAAAGCTCGGCTGTTCAATCGCCGCAGAAACAGAGGCGGTACCGCCGCGAAGGAGGAGCTGAGAATGGGGGTGGTGTGGCTTTAAAAAAAAAGTGCTTTTGAATAAAGAAACTTTATTTGGTGCCCGATCAAACGGCAAACAGTGGCTCGCCAGAAGACCCAATCTTCCGGGGACGAAGGCGGGGCCAGCGGAGGGCGACTAGAGGAGCGGATATGGAAGCGAGCGAAAGCCGGAAGCAGGCAAGGGACCGGGAGGTCCCAGGGCCTAGGGAGCGGAAGAGGTCGCGGCGACGCGGCTCACGTGGTCAGACAGTCACGTGGCCCGAGTTTCTCCCGCTAAGTGGGACCAGAGTTCAGTGCGGCTGCGCAGTAGCGGGGGTGGGCGGGAGCGCCCTTCCAGGAGATGGGTTGGCTGCAGTAGTGAGAGGCTGGGGGTGCGGCTCTTTCCCTGCAGTCCTGCCGAGGAAGCGTGCGTCCCTGGCGCTTCCTTCTTCTCTTCCGGCGGAGAGGTTAGTGTATTGCCTTTTCTTTAGCAGCTCGAGTGGTCCGGCTTGGAGGTCTGCGCCCTGGCTCCTGGCCGCCCGGAACGTGTACAGTTACGGGTTACGCCAGTGCGGCTGTGACCCTTTGCCTCTTACCGTGATCTTTGGTCAGCTTAGCTGGGAGTAAAAAGCACTCAATTAATGAACCCTTTTTTTGAGCCAGTGCACCGCGGTAACTGTAGAAATCGATAAAATAATTTTGAGTTTGAGGAATTGAACGGCATACTCCCAAAGATGAGCGCCACTTAGCTCTCGAATCGTAGCCTAGCTGTAATCGATTTTCTTAATTGGTGTAATTGTTCTCTAAAAGTTGAAATGTGCCCGGGAACTGAGTAACTGCCTTGTATTTCATTTTAAAAATTCGATCGAATGCCTACTATGTGCTGGGCGCTATTGTCAGGAGATATAATAGGAAAAAACACAAATCCGTATCCTCAGGGAGCTTCCATTCTGGAAGGAAGACACAAAAATCTGCCCTTTCCTCTTATTTTTTTCCTTTAGCTTTGTGTCTCACGTATTTTACTGATTTACCTCGTTTTGTCTGTCACTCCCAATGCAAGGTTCAAAAGATTCAAAAGATAGGATTTTTGTCTATTTTATTTTCAGCTGTATTGTCAGCAACTAGGACAATACCTGGCACATGATAAGAACTGAGTTCGTTTGCAGTATGAATTAATAAACTAAAAATTAAAGGTGTGCAAGTGATGTTAAACAATGGAGAAATGCAAAGTGGAGGAAGATAAGAGAATGGATGCTGGTTGTGTTTTTTTTTTTTTTTTTTTTTATTGATCATTCTTGGGTGTTTCTCGCAGAGGGGGATTTGGCAGGGTCATAGGACAATAGTGGAGGGAAGGTCAGCAGATAAACAAGTGCACAAAGGTCTCTGGTTTTCCTAGGCAGAGGACCCTGCGGCCTTCCGCAGTGTTTGTGTCCCTGGGTACTTGAGATTAGGGAGTGGTGATGACTCTTAACCAGCACGCTGCCTTCAAGCATCTGTTTAACAAAGCACATCTTGCACCGCCCTTAATCCATTCAACTCTGAGTGGACACAGCACATGTTTCAGAGAGCACAGGGTTGGGGGTAAGGTCACCGATTAGCAGGATCCCAAGGCAGAAGAATTTTTCTTAGTATGGAACAAAATGAAAAGTCTCCCATGTCTACTTCTTTCTACACAGACACGGCAACCATCCGATTTCTCAATCTTTTCCCCCCCTTTCCCCCCTTTCTATTACACAAAACCGCCATTGTCATCCCGTCCCGTTCTCAATGAGCTGTTGAGTACACCTCCCAGACGGGGTGGTGGCCGGGCAGAGGGGCTCCTCACATCCCAGTAGGGGCGGCCGGGCAGAGGCGCCCCTCACCTCCCGGACGGGGCGGCTGGCCGGGCGGGGGGCTGACCCCCCCACCTCCCTCCCGGACGGGGCGGCTGGCCGGGCGGGGGGCTGACCCCCCACCTCCCTCCCGGACGGGGCGGCTGGCCGGGCGGGGGGCTGACACCCCACCTTCCTCCCGGACGGGGGCTGGCCCCCCCACCTCCCTCCCAGACGGGGTGGCTGGCCGGGCGGGGGGCTGACCCCCACCTCCCTCCCGGATGGGGTGGCTGGCCTGGCGGGGGCTGACCCCCACCTCCCTCCCGGATGGGGTGGCTGCCGGGCGGAGGGTCTCCTCACTTCTCAGATGGGGCGGCCGGGCAGAGGCGCTCCTCACATCCCAGACGGGGCGGCGGGGCAGAGGTGCTCCCCACATCTCAGACGATGGGCGGCCGGGCAGAGACTCCCCTCACTTCCTAGATGGGATGGCGGCCGGGAAGAGGTGCTCCTCACTTCCTAGATGGGATGGCGGCCGGGCAGAGACGCTCCTCACTTTCCAGACTGGGCAGCCAGGCAGAGGGGCTCCTCACGTCCCAGACGATGGGGGGCCAGGCAGAGGCTGCAATCTCGGCACTTTGGGAGGCCAAGGCAGGCGGCTGGGAGGTGGAGGTTGTAGCGAGCCTCGATCACGCCACTGCACTCCAGCCTGTGCACCATTGAGCACTGAGTGAACCAGACTCCGTCTGCAAACCCGGCACCTCGGGAGGCCGAGGCTGGCAGATCACTCGCGGTTAGGAGCTGCAGACCAGCCCGGCCAACACAGCGAAACCCCGTCTCCACCAAAAAAGTACGAAAACCAGTCAGGCGTGGCGGCATGCGCCTGTAATCGCAGGCACTCGGCAGGCTGAGGCAGGAGAATCAGGCAGGGAGGTTGCAGTGAGCCGAGATGGCAGCAGTACAGTCCAGCTTCGGCTCGGCATCAGAGGGAGACCGTGGGGAGAGGGGGACCGTGGGGAGAGGGAGAGGAGGGAGAGGGAGAGGGCTGGTTGTGTGTTTTTAATGTAGTGGTTGGGGAAGGCTTCACTGGGTAGAAGACATTTTAGCAAACATCTGAAGGAGGTGAGGGTGTGAGCCTTTCAGATCCCTGGGAGAAGAGCGTAAGGAACAGCAAGTGCACAGATCCAGAGACCAGAATGAGGAGCAAAATAAGCAAAGGAGAGTGCTGTCAAAGTGGTGATAAAGGACAGATAATGTAGTGCCATGCAGGCCATTCTGAGGGGTTTAGCTTTTTTTTTTTTTTTTCGTTACAGAATCTCACTCTGTCGCCCAGACTTTAGTGCAGTGGCGCGATCTCGGCTCACTGCAACCTCCACCTCCCGGGTTCAGGCGATTCTCCTGCCTTGGCCTCCCGAGTAACTGGGATTACAGGCACCCGCCGCCACGCTCAGCTAATTTTTTTGTATTTTTAGTAGAGACGAGGTTTCACCATGTTGGCCAGGCTGGCCTCGAACATCTGACCTTGTGAATCACCCGCCTCGGCCTCCCAAAATGCTGGGGTTACAGGCGTGAGCCACCGCGCCAGGCTTTTTTTTTTTTTTTTTTTTTTTTTTTGAGACAGAGTCTCGCTTTGTTGCTCATTCTGGAGTGCAGTGGCGCAATCTCCGCCTCCCAGATTCAAGCCATTCTCGTGCCTCAGCCTCCCAAGTAACTGGGATTATAGGCCCATGCCACCATGCCCGGCTGATTTTTGTATTTTTAGTAGACACGGGGTTTCGCCGTGTTGGCCAGGCTGGTCTGGAACTCCTGACCCCAAGTGATCCCTCCCAAAGTGCTGAGATTACAGGCGTGAGCCGCCATGCCTGGTTGGAGGGCTTTGGCTTTTATTAAGTGAACCGTGAAGCCACAGCTAGATTTCGCGTTGAGATTCAACTTCAAAGGATCACTTTGGTTGCTGTGTTGAGAAGAAACTGTAGGGGGCCCAAAACAGAATCAGGAAAACTGGTTAAGAAGCTATTATAATAATCCATGGGAAGGATAGCAGTTTGGATCAGGTAGTATTATTACTGATGATGAGCAGTGGTCCCTAGAAGGCCCTTGGGATTTACTGAGAAGTTGGATATGGAGAATAAAGAGTCAAGCTGGACCCCACGTTTTTGGCTTAGCAGTTATAAAGATACTTATTACTGCTCATGAATGGGAAAGACTGGGAAGAAAGGGATGCAAGGGATTCTAGGGGTATAAGGGAGAGGTTAGAATGGTAGACCATGGAGTGTAAACTGGATATGGAGGAAGTGAAGTCATGGGGAGTGAGAGACAGTGAAAAGGTGGTTGGATCATTGACTTGTGGGTCCTGTTGGGGTTGAAGAATTATTGGAATTGGGTAATAGAAGGAGTGAGATGCAAAGATAGGAGGTGGTGCTTAGAGAGTAAAATGGATGAAACTGAGATGAGGAGGTCCGATGTATTGATAATGACAATAGGGCCCTGTCTGATAGAAAAACAGTGTAAGGCACAAATGTAATCTTAGGCTTTCTAGAAGGTGCAGTGATAAAAATGGGCTGGGTCCGGTGGCTCACGCCTGTAATCCCAACACTTTAGGAGGCCAAGGCAGGTGGATCACCTGAGGTCAGGATTTCAAGACCAGCCTGGCCAACATAATGAAACCCCGTCTCTACTAAAAATACAAAAAAATTAACTAGGCATGGTGGCAGACACCTGTAATCCCAGCTACTCGGGAGGCTGAGGCAGGAGAATCGCTTGAACCGGGGAGGCGGAGGTTGCAGTGAGCTGAGGTGGCACCACTGCACTCCAGCCTGAGTGACAGAGCGAGACTCCCATCTCAAAAAAAAAAAAAAAAAAAAGAATTTACTCAAAGAGAATAAAAAGAATCCAGGACTGTAGACAAACTTCTAAAATATTTTATAGTTTCTTCAAAATTAAGTGGTTCAACTGGCATGGCATAGTACTAATTAAAGGTGAACTACAGTAGCCAATTGGACTAGAATGAAGCACAGAATGCGAGCTTTTGAAGGGATTTTGGAAGCAGCAGGTTCTACCTCCTAAATATCACTGTGAATCATCTTTGTCCTTATCCTGAAGAGAGGTAGTAAATACAAGGTAGTGGGTAAGAGTGTTGACTTTGGAATTGGGAAAGCCTGGGTTTTATTTTAGTTACATCTCTGCAGCTTCTTAACGGTGAGCACTTAGCCTCTTTAAACCTCAGTTTCCTAATCAGTGAAATGGGATCATTATGAGGTGAAGCCGAGCACTTAGCATGTAGAAAGCGCTCAGAGTGATGTCAGAGTCTGTCTTGTTTCCTCCTACATATCATCACCAAAAATTTGTTTCATGAACATGCATTTGACCGTGTGACTCTGAGTTAAAAGCTCAGCTTTCTCCCCACCTGTAGAAACTTTTTAGGATGACTTTATATATCCTTTGGTGATCTGGCCATCGGCTCTTTTGGTCCTTACCTCCTGCAGCTCACTCCTACCTCCCCGAGATGGGGAGATGAATAGGACTCCATGCCTGGGGTGTTTAACTTGCTGATCCTTCTGCCCTTTCAAGACTCAGTTCAAATGTCACCTCTGTGACAATGCCACACTCTTCACATGCTCCTTTCTCTGGACTAGAGCAATTTGTGCATCTCGTTCATTTTCCTCTGCTAGACTTTGAATTCTGAGATCATTGATTCATCTATCTCTAGCACCTAACATATTATTTTTAAAAAAAGAATTATTGATTACTACGGTCTAACTTTTTTTTTTTTTTGAGACAGAGTCTCATTCTGTCGCCCAGGCTGGAGTGCAGTGGGGCAATCCTGGCTCACTGCAACCTCTCCCTCCCTGGTTTGAACGATTCTATATCTCAGCCACCTGAGTAGCTGGGATTAAAGCCACTATGCTTGGCTAATTTTTTTTTGTATTTTTAGTAGAGATGGGGTTTTGCCATGTTGGCCAGGCTGGTTTTGAACTCCTGGCCTCAAGTGATCCCCCCAGCCTTTAGCCTCCCAGAGTGCTGGGATTACAGGCGTGAGCCACCATGTGTGGCCTACTATAGGCTAACTTTAAAATAACACATTTCATACTGTAAATAAGGGGGAAATTCTGTTTACCTTGTCTGGAATGTTCATGTGTGTATCTGACATGCCTCGCACTCCCATGCCCAGCCCCAAGCTGAAAAGCACCTTCGCCTTCTAGAATCAGCTTAGATCTTTCTGGGAACCTTTCCTGATTTTTTTTTTTTTTTTCCTGAGACAGAAAAAGGGCTGGAATGCAGTGGTACAATCATGACTCACTGCAGCCTCAGTCTTCTGGGCTCAAGTGATCCTCCCACCTCAGCCTGTGAGTAGCTGGGACTACAGGCATGAGCTGCCATCACACCCAGCTAATTTTTAAATTTTTGTCATTTTTGTAGAGATGAGGTTTCACCATGTTGCCTCAGCTGGTCTGGAACTCTTGGACTCAAGCGATCCACCTGCCTCAGCCTCCCAGTGTGCTGGGATTACAAGTGTGAGCTACAGTGCCTGGCCAGCACAGATTTTTATATACTTGATATGCTAATGAAGTAAATGAAGTGGTCCCATCACTATTTTTTTTAAGGTTCTTGTTATGTCAGTAGCTTTATAATCTTGTAATCTTCCAGGAAGAAGGCCAAATGTTGCTAAAGGCAAAGTGGCAGAAACACTGTACTTATATTTTTAACCTTGTTCTTTTACTAGAATTAACTTAGAATGTATCTGTTTTACAAATTTTTCTAACAGAAATATGCCTGCTACCTAGGGAAATATTATATATGTTTTAAACATTAATTTAAAAACTTGAACTTTGAATTCCTTTTCTTTTAGCTTGGGATGTGGTAATGCCAGCCACACTCCTCAGAGCCGTGGCCAGATCTCATCATATATTATCAAAAGCACATCAGTGCCGAAGAATCGGTCATCTAATGTTAAAACCACTTAAGGAATTTGAAAATACAACATGCAGCACACTGACAATACGTCAAAGCTTGGATTTGTTCCTTCCTGATAAAACAGCTAGTGGTTTGAATAAGTCTCAGATCCTGGAAATGAACCAAAAAAAGTCAGATACCAGCATGCTGTCTCCATTAAATGCTGCTCGTTGCCAAGATGAAAAGGCACACCTTCCAACCATGAAATCCTTTGGTACTCACAGGAGAGTGACCCACAAACCAAATCTGTTGGGTTCTAAATGGTTTATAA
Source organism: Homo sapiens (assembly GCF_000001405.40). NCBI lineage: Eukaryota > Metazoa > Chordata > Mammalia > Primates > Hominidae > Homo > Homo sapiens. The sequence continues at coordinate 151,445,450 of NC_000006.12, read as the reverse complement.
AAATATTAAAGAGGCATTTCTCATCTGTATCAACGGAAACATTTGTTCCAAAACAAGACTTCCCACAGGTGAAGAGACCACTAAAAGCATCCAGGACCAGACAGCCATCCAGGACCAACCTTCCAGTTCTGTCTGTGAACGAGGTAAAGTAGGGGTGGCCGTGGCTCTCGTGCTTAGTGATCATTGCTCATGCTAAACCAGTGTGCGTTGCACCCCAGCCTTACCGCCAACGTAAGAGAACTAGCAGTCACTCAGACTTCTTCATCAAGGTCTTTGAAGCCTAATAAATATCCAAAGGGATTCAGAATCTTAATTTTTAACAATTAATGATACATATAAAAACAAAATACAGGTGATAACACATGAAAATAGAGTTTATAAAAGATTTGGTTATTGGTCTAAGGAAACTGAAAAAGAGGACCAATATTAAGTCCAGTCTAAGAATGGGACTGTAAAAAAAAATAAAATAAAAAAAAACAAACTAGAAATTCTTCATCAAGTTAAAAAAAATTGTAACTCTGCAGACAGATAAGCCTTTATTAGGCTGTGGCAGTTGCATGGGGCGGTGAAATGACACGGTAGGGTGGACTCCAAAAGCAGCAGGAGAGGAGGGCCCAGCTTTTTTATCCTCTTAAGGTTTAAGGGGGTATTTTTTATTCATCCTTAAGGGGTTTCTGGGAATTTTTCTGCTACAATTTGCATTTCTCCTTCAGTAACAACTTAAGGGTCAAGATCAAGCCCTTGATAACCTTTGTATCTTGCATAATACCTAGAACTGTACCTTGTACTTAAATGTTTATAAGAGGATCTTTAATGCCGATAGTCATCAACTTTAAAGATATTTTAAACTTGATGAAGACTTCTGAATCTATCAGAAAACAGGTTAGAATGTCTGTCTTCAAGTCTTGATTCTGAAAAGTAGCCCCTGAGCCTGTTTCATTTTGGCTGTGTTTTTATTACTGTGCAGCTGACACCCCTTGGAAAGGTATACATACATACCTTTACTCATCCTCTGATTCTGAATCTAGCAATGAATGAATGGTTTTTGTGTTGGATTCTGGAATGCTTTCAATTCTTGTGTGGTTACTCTGAACTCAGGACGTGAAGGATGAAGTGTTGTGCAGCTACTGTTTCCCCTTTCCTTTTGCTGGAGCTTTGGGGTAACCTGGGAAATTCAGTATTTAAGTGTCCGAGATGGCATTAAGTGTAAAAACCTGAATTCATGGCAGCTCCAAAAAAGAGAAAGCTCAACTCACTTTGTTCATTTGTAACGTCTAGCAGCACAGTGCATCAGGTTTCTTAGGAAGAAGCTGATAGGTCAGAGATGTCCCTAGGCTATTTCTTTGGGCCATCCTTAGACTTGGAAGCAATTTTCCTAAATACCGTATCTATTTTTCTTTAGATTTTTTTTTCTACTTCCTTCCAGGAAAGAATTTGAAGTAGATTTTCAACATTCAACATAGTTTCAAATGAGATAATAAATACTTTCACATATTAGAGCAAATAGTTGACATGAACAGAGAAATGTTATGAAGTACCTGAAATGAATAATCTAGTTGAACATTTTGTTTTGAGAAGCGCAGTAATTAAAAGAGGAACTCCTCCTGGGATTTAGTGTTTGTTGTTTATTGTTGTGGGAGAGGGCAGAGTAAAAACATAAAAATATCTTCAGAGAAATAACTTTTTCCAGCACTGAAATTAAGGAGTTAGTTATTTCATGGATTCTGTTATAGGAGACATTATGTAACATGATAGACAATGACTTCAGTTGGAGTTTGGCAAGAGCAAGTCGCATGCTGTCTTTCTGAAAGCACAGGGAAATAATAGAAAATCAGATGTTTCTGGCTGGGCGGTGGCTCACAGCTGTAATCCCAACACTTTGGGAGGCCCAGGCAGGCGATTACTTGAGGTCAGGAGTTCGAGACCAGCCTAGCCAATATGGTGAAACCCTGTCTCTACAAATATACAAAAATTAGCCAGGCGTAGTGGTGCACACCTGTAATCCCAGCGGCTCGGGAGGCTGAGGCAGGAGAATCTCTTGAACTCGGGAGGTGGAGGTTGCAGTGAGCTGAGATCATGCCACTGCACTCCAGCCTGGGTGACAGAGTGAGACTCTGTCTCAAAAAAAGAGAAGAAAATCATGTTTCTAAAGTGGTCTGAGATAATGTAATTTTGGAACATCATTTTTTGAAGATTTTACTTTTCATAGAGAAAGCAGTCTTGGCATGACTAGGTAATATGTCCCCAGGACCAAAGACTGACTTTCCTCTGCCCGAAATTGAGGGCCACTCCATTTTTATACGGCCATCATAGTGGTAAACCCTTTATACCACTTTATACCATCAAAATGGTAAACCCTTTATACCATTCTTGACTGAGACAAGGAAAAGACTCTGCTTTGTGTCAGAAAGCATGTGGACTTTATTTTGTTCCCATAGTTGCACCCAGCTCATCTTTTCAGCTCTGCAGAACAGCGTGCATCTGGAGTTGGCTGAATGAGGTTTCAGTCACCCTGTCTGTTGGAATTAAATCTTTACCTGGTCTCATTTTCAGAGATCATAATCTGAGATACTCAACCCACATCCCTTTGGCTTACAATTCCTAAAAGCAATAGTGGATCCAGTGGCTTATGCCTATAATTTCAGTGCTTTGGGAGGCTGACACAGAAAGACCACTTGAGGCCAGGAGTTGAAGACCAGCCTGGCAACATAGCAAGACTCCCATTTCTAAAAGACTTGGAAAAAAAAAAAAAAAAAAGCCGGGCTTGCTGGTGCGCAGCTGTAGTCCTAGCTACTCAAGAGGCTGAGGTGGGAGGATCGCTTGAGCTCCAGGGTTCCAGGCTGCAGTGAGTCGTGACTGCACCTCGCTCCGTCCAGCCTGGGCGACAGAGTGAGGCCCTGTCACTAAACAAACAAGAAAACAATAATAGCAGTGCTTCTTGTTAATGTCCAGTCTTTGAAGAGAACAGCAGAGGATGGGAACGGCAGGTCTGAGTGGCATGGAGCCCGACACCAGGGAGAATGTTTTCAGGCTAATAGCACTGTGTTACAGAATCACTGGTGGACTGTTAACCATTTTTTTGAAAAATGAAATAGAATAGAAAATAACAGAATACATTGCTCATGATAAACGTAAATACTGGTTTGTGAAGCTTTTGTGGCAATTGGTGTGTAAGCATATATGTGTATATGTACTATGTTTAATGATTTATAGGTTGTAGTCAGAAAAACTTACAGGATAAAGCGTGATCTTGGTAACGTAAAATGTATCTGTGTTTTTATAGCTTTAATCTCCAATCAGTATGTTACAGGAGAAAAGGCATTTTTCCTTAGTATGATCTATCTACTCACAGTACTTCTGACATCAAATATATGGGGACCTCTTCCTCCTCCTACCAGCCAGTTCTCCAATTCTCCAGACACTAACAAGGTGTCCTGCAATTCAGTTCAATTCCAGCACTAGCCAGAGTTAGTGCAGACGCCAGTTAGTTAAGCTCAGCCCCACAAGACTGCCCTCCCAGTTGACACCTGTGCTTCTGACCAACCAGCTCTATGACAACCATCCCCTCTTCAGGTTTGATTATTTGCTAGAATGGCCCACAGAACTCAGGGAATCATTTTATTTATGTTTACTGGGTTTTTTATATAAAGTATGCAAATGAACAACCAGATGTAGAGGTGCACAGAGTGAAGTCAAGAAGGGCCTGGAACTTAGGAGCTTCTGTTCCTCATAGAACTGGGCTGTGCCACCCTCCTGGCACATGGATGCATTGATCAACCCAGGAGTTCTCCAGACCCCATCATCTGGGTGTTTTTAATGGAGGTTTCATTGTGTAAGCCATGATTAATGATTAACTCAATCTCCAGCCCCTCTCCGTCCACCAGAAGTTAAGGGTGAGGCTGAAAGTTCTAAGCTTCTAATCAAAGTTTGGTCTTTCTGGTAACCACCCCCCATCCTGAAGCTGTCCAGGACCCACTGAGAGTCACCTCATTAAAACAAAAGATGTTCCCATCACTCGTGAAATTCCAAGGGATTTTTAGAAGCTCTGTGTTAGTAACTGAAGGCAAAGAGCAAATACTACAACCAAAAATGCCCCTGTCACTTAGAAAATTACAGGGGTTTTTAGGAGTCTGTACTGGGAACCAAGGACAAAGACCAAATGTAAATGTATTATATCACTATAGAAGCAACATTGCTGTAACACACTAATTTTCTTCAGTAATACAGTGTAAATGAAAGTATAATTTTTAAAAAAATGTTCTGATCAGAGCATGCGATGCTCCTAAAACAAGAATCATATGTAGATTTCTAGCCCCATCTGCTGGAACATGTCTTCTTTGGCCAGAAAAACAAAACATACTAAAATACAGTGGTTTGGGGTTTTTGCTTTTTGGGTTTTTTAAAACATTTTGAAGTAGAAAAGCCCTGAATATCATAACTATTATCGGTTGGTTTGACACATCTATTTAACAGGAAGGTGTAGATCCCCATCCTGAAACCCAAAATATGCTTTACATATATATGTAGCTAATGCTTAATAAGGATTCACTGTAAAAATCCAGAAAAGGATGTATAAAAATGAAAGCTGCTCAGAAAACAACAGCATCTTTAATAAAGAAAAAAAAGCAGACAAGACATTCCATGATTCTCTTTCCTTTTACCAAATAGGCTAAAATAAAAAAAGCAAAGAAAACAAAACCAAAACAAAGTGTCTAAAACGTCAAGTTCATCTATTAATAGAAGAAACCCACAACTAAGACTCAGAGCTAAGAAGTTTAAGGAGAATACAGAAAGTAGTGTAGCAAACCATATAAGCTGAGTGACATTGGATAGAACTTTGAGCCAAACTAAATGGGAGATCCCAAGAGAAGGAAAGGGGACAGTTGACAGTCTGGAAAACCTACAACAAAGATCCTTAGGATGGCCAAGTGAAAACAGATTGTGTTTAAAGATTTATTCATAATTTATTTGGAGCTTAGAATATATTTTCTCATAAAAATAGTGATTGACTTGTCCTGTCCTTGAGAGTTGAAAATAGTACACATTCTCAATTTGCCGTTAGTGTCGGAATATTCACATAATTTGGGATACCAGATTGCCCAAAACTCAGTTCTGAATATATTGAGCCTTTTATTTTTATCTCCAAGTGGCGGTTTTTAAAACTGACCTTTTACCTTGATTTAAAATAATAGTGCCTGGCTGGGCATGGTGGCTCACGCCTGTAATCCCAGCACTTGAGGCCGAGGTGGGCAGATTACCAGAGGTCAGGAGTTTGAGACCAGCCTGGCCAACATGAAGAAACACCGTCTCTACTAAAAATACAAAAATTAGCCAGGTGTGGTGGTGCATGCCTGTAATCCTAGCTACTCGGGAGGTTGAGGCGGGATAATCACTTGAATCCAGGGGGTAGAGGTTGCAGTGAGCTGAGATCGCACCACTGCCCTCACGCCTGGGCGACAGAGGAAGACTCCGTCTCAAAAAATAATAAATAGGCCGGGTGCGGTCACTGATGCCTGTAATCCCAGCACTGTGGGAGGCCGAGGCGGGAGGATCAGATGAGGTCGGGAGTTTGAGGCCAGCCTGACCAACATGGAGAAACCCCGTCTCTACTAAAAATACAAAAATTAGCTGGGCGTGGTGGCGCATGCCTGTGATCCCAGCAACTCGAGAGGCTGCGGCAGGAGAATCGCTTGAACCGGGGAGGCAGAGGTTGTGATGAGCCAAGATTGCACCATTGCACTCCAGCCTGGGCAACAAGAGTGAAACTGTCTCAAAAATATAATAATAATAAAGTAAAAAACAGAATAAAATAATAATGCCTGCCACCGCCATTAACAGACCTTGTACTCTAATGCCAAGCTGTATATGGGACAGTTGCCAGCATGTCTTCACTGGCACTATAAAATATAGCCAAGAAGATAGGCTCTGAGAGTAAGAAGTCTGTGTTGGTTAGGAGTAATTTTGTCCTGGCTCTCTGGTATAAAGCTCTCAAATGTAAATCCGGGTGGGATAATGGACTCAGCTCTGTCTGCAACATGCCACTGTGCAGAGAAGCACTCTCATGCATAAGCTTTTTATGCTGTAAACTATAGTAGCTGAAATTAAATGCCACTTTTTCAGAGGTGAATTAATGGAGAGCCTGGTGAAATTCAAAGCTTTTTGATGTATAAAACTTGATAAATGGAACTATTCCATCAATAGGCGAAGTATAACAACCTGTCTACATAGATAGTATGTAATTTCTGCACAGGTCTCTGTTTAGTTAATACATCACTGTATATCAATCTAGAATCTTGCTCCAATAAAGGAACATAAAGTTGTGTTTTGGTTTTGTTTTTGTTTGAAACGGAGTCTTGCTGTGTCGCCCAGAGTGCAGTGGTGCAATTTTGGCTCACTGCAACCTCGGCCTCCTGGATTCAAGGGATTCTCCTGCCTTGGCCTCCCAAGTAGCTGGGATTACAGGTGTGTGCCACCACGCCTGGCTAATTTTTGTATTTTTAATAGAGCCAGGGTTTCACCACGTTGACCAGGCTCGTCTCGAACTCCTGACCTCAAGTGATCCATCCGCCTCAGCCTCCCAAAGTTCTGGGATTACAGACGTGAGTCATTGGGCCTTGCCAAGGTTTTTGGGTTTTTTTTGGAAAAAAAAAAAAAAGTAGTACACATTCTTAGTGCAGATGGGCTTGGCCAGTACCACATGATGGTGAAGCAGACGTGAGACAACAGGGAGAGGCAGGGACAGTGTGGGCTGGAGACCCTGGGCCCCCCTACTCTATCCTAGTCCATTATTATAGCCAGATCTTCCACTCGGTCAGATGATGATGGAAATCTGGATTTTGTGTGAAATCTCTCAGTTTATTGTTGACAAGTCAATTTGAATTTTAGAAACGTGATGTAGGTCAACTCTTGAGTTGGATGGTTCTCCGAGCTGCCAGTTTACAACTCCGATTCTAGCAAAAGAGACAGCCTCTGCCATTTTCAGTACAGCTACAGGAAGATCCTTCAGTGGACTAGCTTGTGACCTGCTTATCTCCTTTTTGTGCCTCTTGCTCTTCCCACTTCAGCCCAAACTAAGCACATGAGCTGTAGCCATCACAGAAGTAATTCTGACATCCAACCTAATGTACTGTGATTTCACCTAGCAAGCTTGAGTGAATTTGCCAGGTCTTGCAGAGTGGAGCCTACCCGATGTCTCGCCTGATGCCCCTTGCTAGGATTCCTTTCTTTCAGCTGGCCGAATCTTTACACACATCGTACATCAGCTAGTTTTAACTCCATGAAGCCTTAAAAAGAACTAGTGCTCACAGGTCTAAACCTTAAGCACGTGCCTGTTCCCTGTACTCTGGTAACTCCTGATACATTTTTATTTGTATATCCCCGTGTTCCTACTTTCATATGTGACTATGGGAATTAGCTAATTTGGAAGGAATTAGCAGTTATCTGCTCATAATTAGGGTACTACATCCATTTATCCCCACATTCCCCAGTAATTTCAGCTTGTCTGACTTTTTTTCTAATTGGATTAGTCTCATTTTGTTTATGAGTAGATACTTTATTGATTTTGGATTTTTCAGTTTGCATGGATCCTCAGGTTCTCTGTTATTCCTCTACCTTTAAACCACGCATCAGAGCTGTGGAACAGATTGAGGAAGGGCAAATGGGGTCAGGCCATTTCATGAGAAAGAGCCAGGAGATACAGAATGGAGGTGGGAGGAAGGAATGAATTAATATATACTTCTCTAGAATTTCATACCAGGAATATACAGAATGGGAAAGAATTGGGGAGCTGAGAGGAGTAAATCCTAAGAATAAATGTTGATTTAGTGACTCATAAACTTGTTTTGGCCAACTAGAATCTAACAACTACTGAACAGTTGTGTTAGCCACAGTCCTGAGCACTTTGTTTATTAGCTTATTTAAACTTTACAACAACCCCATAAAGTAGGCATTATTGTTATTCTGATACTCTTTTAAAATTGTAACCAACTTCTGTGCCTAAAATCTTAACTCTTATGCCAATAGCTTTCAAACTTTATTGACCACATCTTATAGTGAGAAATATATTTAACATTTTACATACATAGCGACCTAGAGTAGATACATAGATACATGTAAGTGACAGAAAACTTCATAAAATAGCATTTCCTGTGAATAATGCACTGTAATATTTTCTATTTAGTTTTATTAAAAAAGCTGTTTTGGGCCAACTAAATTGGTATCAGAACTCACTAATGTGTTGTGACTTACAGTTTGAAAAAACACAGCATTGAGCCATAGTGCTTACCATCTGTATTTTATATAGACACAAGATGACTTTCCTCATGTGTGCAAAGGCAAGATGGGGCATGAGACAAAGTACAAACCAAACCAAGACACATGCTCAGATTTACAGACCTTTTTGTTAAATGTTAACCAGTGTAAAAATACTGTAATTCCTTTGGGGATTTAAAGGAATCTGCCTGTACAAGAGTAGTTACAAATTAGGAAATGACCTCAAATACTAATGTTGCTTTGAAAAAGAGTCATGGAAACTCAGGGTTGGAGAGACTTAAACATTCCATCCAGTCACCCATGTGATGCCTTAATCATCTCTATTTTGCATTCAATCTGTGCTTGAGATACTACCAGTTGAGTGTGGCTTCCCTTTCAGAATAATCCATTCCATCTTTTTGCCTGGCGGGAGGGAGCAAGTTCTTTTCAAGATTGAGCTGAAATTTGCCTCCCAGTAACTTCATTCTCTTCATCTTCATCCCATCCCTTGTATCACCCTTGGAGATGTTTGAAGAAAATTCTGGAGTTCTAGCTTTGCAGAATGGAGTCCAGTAGGGTGCTCAGCAGCCGTCACAGATGCTTCAGCCTCTTGGTAACCCATGTTATGCTCATTTCCCTGGAACAGGACCTAATGCACTGCACAGCATTTGCAACGGCAGATGAGTATCATCTGGGAAATCTGTCTCAAGATCTGGCCTCCCACGGATATGTTGAAGTAACAAGCTTGCCTAGAGGTACTTCTTCTTGAACCTGGGGCCAAGTATGTTAAAATGTATTGGATAATTTTCCTATGATACTATCTTAAGTATGTATTTGTTTGCAATTCATTTTCTTTTGAAAGGATTGTATCATAAAAGTGGATGTTGAATCTCTTTATAAAGATGACAAAGTTAAGAATTAAAATGTATTTACAGAGAACTCATTAAAATCAGTATGATTTATTAAGATTATTTATAGGATCATTATTACTTGAGGTGGTCAGAGGTCATACTACTTCATTTCTAGCACATTAAGAAGTTATTTTAGTTTGTGTGTGTCTGTGTGTGTTTTGTGTTTTTTTTTTTTTTGTTTTTTGGGATGGAGTTTCACTCTTGTTGCCCAGGCTGGAGTGCAATGGCGCGATCTCAGCTCACTACAACTTCCGCCTCCCAGGTTCAAGCGATTTTCCTGCCTCAGCCTCCGGAGTAGCTAGGATTACAGGCATGCGCCACCACACCTGGCTAATTTTTGTATTTTTAGTAGAGATGGTGTTTCTCCATGTTGGTCAGGCTGGCCTCGAACTCCCAACCTCATCTAATCCTCCCGCCTCGGCCTCCCAAAGTGCTGGGATTACAGGTTTGAGCCACCACACCCAGCCCGTTATTTTAGTCTTATAGAAGAACCATGAAGTTGATAGACATGGGGAGAGCCTTTAAAAAAAAAATTTACCAGCTCAATCTAATACTTTAAAACAATTAGTTAGCCGGGTGCAGTAGCTCACGCCTGTAATTGCAGCACTTTGGGAGGCCGAGGCGGGCAGATCACCTGAGGTTGGGAGTTTGAGACCAACCTGACCAACATAGAGAAACCCCTGTCTCTACTAAAAATACAAATAATAATAATAATAAAACGATTAGTTAGAAGATAAAAATGAAAAAGAAGAAAATTAAAATGAACTTAATTGAGGATTTTTATGGTGAAATCAGGAAGGATTCTTGAGAAATGGCTTGCTTTACATTAATTAAAAATAATTTAGGCCAGCCATGGTGGCTCAGGCCTGTAATCCCAGCACTTTGGGAGGCTGAGGTGGGTGGATCATTTGAGGTCAGGAGTTCGAGACCAGCCTGGCCAACATGGTGAAACCCCATCTCTACTAAAAATACAAAAATTAGCCAGGTATGGTGGCACGAGCCTGTAGTCCCAGCTACTTGGGAGACTGAGACACAAGAATTGCTTGAACCTGGAGGGTGGAGGTTGCAGTGAGCTGAGATCATGCCACTGCACTCCAACCTGGGCGACAGAGTGAGACTCTGTCTTAAAAAATAAATAAATAGGCCGGGCGTGATGCCTCATACCTGTAATCCTGCACTCTGGGAGACTGAGACAGGCAGATCACCTGAGGTCAGGAGTTTCAGACCAGCCTGTCCAACATGGTGAAACCCCACCTTTACTAAAAATACAAAAATTAGCTGGGCGTGGTGGTACGTGCCTGTAATCCCAGCTACTCAGGAGGCTGAGGCAGGACAATCACTTGAACCTGGGAGGTGGAGGTTGCAATGAGCCAAGATCGTGCCACTGCACTCCAGCCTGGGTGACAGAGCGAGACTCTGTCTCAAAAATAAATAAGTTACTTAGAACATTTTGATAAACTTTTACAGTGAAACTCAGGATAGCTCAATACCCAGAACATTTATTAATTTACCTAAGAGTAGCAAAAATAGGTTGAAAGCCTTCCTATAACAGTGGAAATTCTTAAGACTCAATCCCATAGAAGATAGTTGAAATATCATTGTGATAATCCAAACAGACCGTTTGTGTGATTAGGTGACAAAAACAAGCATAGTTGACTTAGAAAGACAGAGCTATGTCTAGAGCCCCTTGGTATGAAAATTTGCCTGGAGGTATTGTTGGCTGATGCTGAAGGCTGCCAGCTGTGTGGTCTGTGCTTCACAGAATTGCAGGCTTCACTGCCCTGGGTTGTTTCAGTCGATTTTATTTTGCTTTTGGCTGTGTAGGCAAACTCTGTCCTATGTAGGATGTAGTAATTAACAATTTAGAAAAAAAAAAAAAATCACAGTTTTGGTCTGTGTCTGAATTGCCCATCACCCAGCCTTTACCAGAAATTTCTGAAGCTTTGAGGATCCTAATTTTATGTTAATTCCGTTAAGACATACAACCTTTTGCAAATTAATAGTATATTTTTTAATTGATATATTAACATTGGTTGTAATTTATATTATGGAATATATGCTTATGATAAATATCACTATACTAATATATAAAGCAACTTCTTATGATGAATATTGGTATATTAGTATATGTTTTAACAATACTTAGGCCAGGCCCCGTGGCTCATGCTTGTAATGCACTTTGGGAGGCCAAGGCAGGCAGATGGCTTGAGCTGAGGAGTTCACGACCAGCCTGGGCAACATAGTGAGACCTCATCTCTACAAAACATAAACAAAAACTTAGCCAGGTGCGGTGGCACATGCCTGTAGTCTAAGCTACTTGGGAGGCTGAGGTGGGTGGGGCGGGGGGGGGTCCCTTGAGTTCAGGAGGTTGAGGCTGCATTGAGCTGAGATCATGGCACTGCGCTTCAGCCTGGGAGACAGAGCAAGACCCTGTCTCAAAAAAAACAAACAAACAAAAAAAAAACTTTTTTTTTAAATAGTTGCAGGTGGCTGCAGTGGTAGCCCCTGTAGTGATTAACCTTGAAATCACATATGTTTTGAAGTGGTCAGTATCTTTATTTCTGTGTATTTTCTATTGCCCTACTTTTTATACTTTAAAATTCAGCAGGAGTAGTAGTTTGGGAATGTTAAAATTGCATTATTAATGAAATGGTATTTATAGGAAGAGAATATATTAATACTTCTTCAAATTTTATTTTTAATTTTGTAGAAAGAAGTTTAATTCTTGACACTTAGTTGTATGGAACCTAAGACTTTATTAATTATCTGGACTAGTGATTATTGAATCAAAATGGGCATGAATGAGCTCTAATATTAATATCACAGGTTGTTGAATGTTTTATAAAAGTAATTGCTGATCTTTTTTTGGTGGTCGTATTTGCATTTTTATATATTAAATCCTTTCAGAGGCCTTAGTAGAAAGATGGTGATTGTGTTACAGAGCACTCCATGGTATATAAAGAAATGATCTTAAGTACTTTATTACAGTGTTTATAGGTGACTCTTACAACTTGTGTTACCTTGACATAGCTTTTTTGTTCGTTTATTTTAAATCACAGATGCAGCAAATATTTTGGTGATGGGTGTGGAAAATTCTGCAAAAGAAGGTGATCCTGGAACAATATTCTTCTTCAGGTAAGACAGGAAAGAAACCCCATTAGGTGATGATGGGTTTGGGTCAAGTAATTGTGGTCTTTAAAGGTGCAGGCATACCTTTCTTAACAGTAAATGTGTTCAAAATGTATTTGTGATTTAAATTTATCATTTAATTCTTATTTAATCTAGGAGAGTTTGTCACTTTTAGGAATTCTCTGGTAAACCCTCTTATAAAGTAAAGAATATTTCAAACAAGTGAATGATCTTCCCCGGGGTGTCTTTCTTTGTAAATTCGGATTTTCATGGACTAAATTTCTGGAAAGCAGCCAATTTCCCATTCATCTTTAGTGCCCCTTGTCAGACTCCTGCCCCAGGGAAACTCCCGCTACCTCCCTGCTGTCTCTTCTTGCCATTTTCTTTTTTTTCTCCCTTCCCCTTTGGTAGCTCTTTAAAGTTTTAGCTTACCTCTCCAGAGGTTTTAGACTAGGAGACTCACATACACACTTATTCCTTTTATCTAAAGGCCGACTCAATACTAAATACTCCACAGTAGCTGCCTGGGAATGATAACATGATAGAACCGTGTGAAATAATCTCATTTATCCTCAGCACACCGATGAAGGTCTATTTTGCACCTGAGGAAACTGAGGGTCATAGGGATTGAGTTACCCATAGTCATGAGACTAATACGTGACAGAACAGAAACACATGGACCATCTGTAGGAATCCAAAGTTGAGTAAAGTTCTTGTGGTCATAATCCTTATAGTTGATGATAAGTGGAAGTTCTTTTTTCCTTTCAATGCCTACCTTCCTTTTGACCCCATCTTTAGAGAGAATCAAGATTCCAACATTTAATTCAAGTAGAGTAATAGCATCCCTGTTGTTCCGAGTGAGGAATTTAGATTTGTGAGGGACTCTACATCAGCACTGTCTAGCAGAAATACAGTGCAAGCCTCGGCTGGGCACGGTGGCTTATGCCTGTAATCCCAGCACTTTGGGAGGCTGAGGCAGGCAGATCACAAGGTCAGGAGTTTGAGACCAGCCTGGCCAACATGGTGAAACCCTGTCTCTACTAAAAATACAAAAAATTAGCCAGGCACATGGTGGAGGGTGCCTGTAATCCCAGCTACTCAGGAGGCTGAGGCAGGAGATTCACTTGAATGCGGGAGGCGATGGTTGTGGTCAGCTGAGATCGTGCCATTGCACTCCAGCCTAGTGACAGAGTGAGACTCTGCCTCAAAGAAAAAAAAAAAAAGAAAGAAAGAAATATAATGCAAGCCTCATATGTAATGATACATTTTCCAGTAACCACATTTTAAATATTTTTAAAAAGATAAAATTAATTTTGAACAACACAAATATGTTTCTTAACATATTAACATGAAATTAATTTAACAATGTATTTTATTCAACCCAGCATATCTAAAATATTATCATTTCAACATGTAATTAATAATGATATTTTTTCACTTGTCATACTAAGTCTTTGAATTTTGCTGTGTATTGTACACTTACAGCGCATCTCAGTTTGCACCAGGCATGTTTCAAGCACTCAATAGCCACATGTGGCCTCTGAGTACCACATTGCACAGCACAGTGCATTCCTCTGGTTGGAGGAATATGCAGTTCACCAGACCTCTCTTCTGCCTGGAAGGGATTCTCTGAACTGATACTGTGGCTGTGGCTTGAAATACCTCTCAAATCCGTATCCTGAAACCTTATCCCTGCCTATTGTAACAGCTTATTGTCTCCCTGCCTGCCTGCTCACCCACCACCAGTCTGTTTGTCTATTGTAAGCAGGGTCATTCTTCAGTGGCCATTTCTGACCACTACACTCTCCTGCCTAAATTTCCACGGACTATGAACAAATTCTCTATCACTGCATAAAGTTCCCTTCTGGATTGTCCCCTGCTTGCCTCTTTATCCTGCTTGCCCACTGCTTGACCACATCTGCAGCCACGCAGCTACTGGCTGTTTATTCTGAGATGCTGCTCTGCTCCGTCCCACCTCCTCTCTGAGCCTGTGTGTCCCCTCTGCTATGTTGTCTCCTCTTGTTTTCTCATTTGGCTGCCTCTGCTAGTCCTTTAGCAAAGGGGTCCCTCTGGTGTACATCTCATGGTATACTCTGCATACTCTTGTAGCACTGATCACACACTATTGTAATTGGTGGTCTAAGTGTCAGTCCCAGTCTTTTCTAGATTGAGGATAGGAATGAAATCATACTTATGTTTCTATCACAAATACTAAGCATGGACCCACACATATACTAAGTACTTTAGAAATGTTTCAAGAATAACGTGGAGCCATTAATATTTTTACCTTTCTTTTATTTCCTCCTTTCCTTCCTCCAGTGCACTGACCCTGAGCTATAGCTCCTGTTTTTATTTACTACCTGAAACAGCTTCAACACGTCAAACTTGAGAAATCAAAACAAATGCATTCGTAGTTTTAGACCCTAAATAATGTTAAAGCCATAATCGGATTCAGAGGGCCTCCTGTGGTGTCACTGTAGTTCTGTTCCAAGCACTGTGAGCGTGGGGAGCATTATTCCATAGAGGCCTTTAACCATCTGATGCTTAAATTAACCACCATCTCTTTATTCCACAAAAATCCAGGCATAGCCCTTTATTCCTTGCACATAGTAGAGTCTGCCTAATGAGAGCTAAGACAAGGTCTCAAAAAATTTCCTTATTCTGATTTCTGTGGATCAGAATTGAACCAGGTATGAAAGAGTCTACATACGTGAAGTTATATAGTATTACAATAATGGCTATTTGTTTGGCAAACCATGTGAGAAATCATAAATTTTGAGGAGGTCAGGTTTTATCAAGAATTTTATTTTAGCTCTTATTGTAGGAAGTTCACCTAAGGACCATAATATCAAATTAGTAAGTACCATCATATTTTGAAAAATCGCATCCTGTATACATTCTAGAAGTTACATGGTTTTATATACGACCCTAAAGAATGTATTCCATCTGTATCTTAGTTGTTTCTTTTATTTTTTTAAATCAGGGAAGGAGCTGCTGTGTTTTGGAATGTGAAAGACAAAACTGTAAGTGTAAATAAAAATGTGAAAATATAAAAATTTAGTTTTGTGAGAATGAATTGTTAATTAGCACATACTGAAACATTAGAAGGGAAATTAATAGATTATGCACAACTTATTTGCTCTGCATTACATGATACTTATCAGTTTCATCTTCCAAAATATATTGTATTTTGGGTTAAGATTTCCTGCTTTTTCCTTTCTCTAGACACACACTAATTTGTGGAGAATCAGAACCATCCTAACTATACTGCAGACAGAAGTACTGTAGACTTTGCATGTTGTACTATACAAAATGTATGCAGTTAATTGGAAGCTGGTTGCATTGAGTGTTCTTTTAAGTCAAGTTGTCTAGAACTTACTACTCATGGGAAATAATTTTTTCAAGATCCAAATCAAGATTTGTTTAATACAACCATTTTAGAGGCAAATTGGTAATCTACATTAAAGCTTTATATTTAACCCAGTAATTTTACACCTAGAAATTTATCCAAAGGAAATAATCATAACTATTCGTGATGATTTTTGTACAAAAATGTTCATCAGAGCAATATTTATAATGGCAAAAATTAGAAATTACCAAAATACACAATAATAGTTTGTTAAATCATCCATATACTACAGATATACTATAGATCCCCTTAGAAATCATGTAAAAAAATATCTATTTCTGGGAGATTGCCTATATATATAATACAGTTACATTAAAAGAGCAGATTATACGGCCAGGCATGGTGGCTCACGCCTGTAATCCCAGCACTTTGGGAGACCAAGGCCGGCAGGTATCTTGAGGCCAGGAGTTCGAGACCAGCCTGGCCAACATGGTGAACCCCATGTCTACTAAAAATACAAAAATTAGCTGGGCGTGGTGGTGCACACCTGTAATCCCAGCTACTCGGGTAGCTGAGGCACAAGAATCGCTTAAACCTTGGAGGCAGAGGTTGCAGTGAGCCAAGGTCAGACCATTGCACTCCAGCCTGGGAGACAGAGGCATACTCTTGTCTTCAAAAAAAAAAAAAAGCGGGTTACAAAATATAACCAATATAATCTCAGAACTGGTTAAAAAACATGCTTTATACAATCCCAATTTTACGAAAAGGAAACACACACAGTAGGTGGTCGGGAAGGGAACTTAGAGAAAAGAAAATATAAATGACCAATAAATTTAAGAAAATACAAGTTGGCTATTTGAAGTTGCAAAGATGTAAAAGGCTGATAAACCCCATTTCTTAAGAGTAGTTTCATAAATGTTGAGATTCTACATTTGGAAAAACTACTTTGGAGAGCAGGCTAGCAATATTATAAGTGTGGGCCAGGTGTGGTAACTCATACCTGTAATCGTATCACTTTGGGAGTCTGGGGTGGGAGGATCACTTAAGCTCAGGAGTTCCAGACCAGCCTGAACAACACAGTGAGATCCCATCTCTACAAAAAGTTTTTAGAAGTTAGCCAGGTGTGGTAGTGTGTACCTGTAGTCCCAGCTACTTGGGAGGCTAAGGCAGGGGGATCGCTCGAACCCAGGAGTTTGAGGCTGCAATGAGCTATGATTGCATCACTGCACTCCAGCCTGGGTGACAAGGTGAGACCCTGTCTGTTACATATATACATATTGTGTAAGTCCACATATCTTTTGATCTAGCAATTCCTAAAGAAGTATTCCCACAAAGCCATGAAGACCTTTGCACAAGTGTGGCACATCGCAACATTGTAATGGAGAGTAGAAAAAATTCCCCATGGAGGACACACCTAGGTTGGTTAAATAAATTGCAGTTCGTCTGTAAAGGAAAATAGTGTTGAAAATGTCATGTGCATAATATGATCCTATTTTACATAAAAAGCAGCATAAATATGTACATATATACACATAAAAAGTCTGGAAGGATATGCACCAAGTTTAATCATGGTTGCCTCTGGGGATTAGGATTTCAGTACAGAAGAGAGAAAGAGATGATCACCTCCCACACCTGTGTGGCTTAATTTTTTATTAGTATGTTGGGCTTTACTTTTTATTTTTTATTTATTTATTTTTTTGAGATAGGGTCTTGCTCTGTCACACCGGCTGACATTGGCTCACTGCAACCGCCACCTCCCAGGCTCAAGCCAGCCTCTCAGGTAGCTGGGACTACAGGTGTACATCACCACACCCAGATAATTTTTGTATTTTTTTGTAGAGACAGGATTTTGCCACGTTGCCCAGGCTGGTCTTGAACTTTTGAGCTCAAGGATCCACCCGCCTCTGCCTCCCAAAATGCTGGGATTATTAAAGAGATTTAAAGAATACAAATTATAATATTACTAGTGATTTTCCTTGGGTTGTGGGATAATGATAACCTTGATTTTCTTCTCCATTCTCATCTGTGTTTTCCAAATGTAAAAACAAATGAACATGTCATCCTGATTACTTTAATATCACAATGGATTTGATTTGCCTTTTCCTTAAAAACATGCAACAGAAATAATGCCTGTAAGTGTAATGAAGACTGTTATAAGCATTAAAATCATAACATACTTGAACTGAGGGAGTCAGTTATGATTTCAGATTAATCTTCCTTTTCTTCTAGATGAAGCATGTGATGAAAGTTCTAGAAAAACATGAAATTCAGCCCTATGAAATCGCACTGGTACACTGGGAAAATGAAGAACTTAACTACATAAAAATAGAGTAAGCAACTTTTCATCAAATTTATGAAAGGGGCACTTGGAATAAATTAGGTAAAGCAATAGAGGAGACAAATTATTATGCATATGGAAACTTTTTTTTTTTTTTTGAGACGGAGTCTCACTCTGTCGCCCAGGATGGAGTGCAGTGGCACAATCTCGGCTCACTGCAACCTCTGCCTCCCGGGTTCAAGCAATTCTCCTGCCTCAGCCTCCTGAGTAAGTGGGACTACAGGTGTGCACCACCACGCCCAGCTAATTTTTTGTATTTTTAGTAGAGACAGGGTTTCACCATGTTGGCCAGGATGGTCTGGATCTCGACCTGGTGATCCGCCCACCTCAGCCTCTCAAAGTGCTGGGATTACAGGCGTGAGCCACTGGACCTGGCCTGGAAACTTACTTTTAAGAAAAAAGTGGCCAGGCGTGGTAGCTCACACCTGTAATCCCAGCACTTTGGGAGGCTGAGGCAGGTGGATTACCTGAGGTCAGGAGTTCAGGACCAGCCTGGCCAACATGGTGAAACCCCATCTCTACTAAAAAATACAAAAATTAGCTGGTTATGGTGGCGGGTGCTTGTAATCCCAGCTACTCGGGAGGCTGAGACAGGAGAATTGCTTGAACCTGGGAGGCGGAGGTTGCAGTGAGCCGAGATCACGCCATTGCACTCCAGCCAGGGTGACAAGAGTGAAACTCCGTCTCAAAAAAAAAGAGGAAAAAGATTACTGGTACAAATACAAAGTCTAAACCATATAATAAATATTAGAAGATAAACATAATTTTTTGAACTTCTCAGGCTATCCACAAGTTAAAACAAGTCAGTAGTATAGCCCCAAAATGGAAATGTTAAGTTTCTAATCAGCCTAATCCAATAAAATAGTATGCATTTATCAAATGAACCTATCAAATTATTCCAGTAAATTTTTCTCTTAATCCAGTTTTTTCCTATTGATTTTGGGGGGTGGGGGTATGAAAAGGAAGTATAGTGAGGGGTCAATCTAAGAGACCCACTTGTAGAAGTGTGGGTGCTGGAAGAAGTGGGACCTGGTGTACCAGTTTCACTAAGATAAATGGGTAGGCAACAGACTAGCTGATTTTCCTGACTCAGCCAGAGGGAAAAAATGAAGAGATGTTAGGGCCGAGACAGAGGCAGTATGAACAAGATGGTAGTGTCTTTTTCCTCATGGAGTTACCTGTCTAGTGAAATATGAGTCTTTGCAGGTTCTTAAGAAAGGTAGTGTTAGCCAGATTTGGTGGCTCACACCTGTAATCTCAGCACTTTGGGAGGCCAGGGTGGGAGGATCAACTGAGTCAGGAGTTCAAGACAGCTTGGCCAACATGGCGAAACCCCATCTCTACTAAAAATACAAAAATTACCCGGGCATAGTGGCGAGTGTCTGTGATCCCAGCTACTTGGGAGGCGGAGGCGGAGGCAGAGAATTGCTTGAACCTGGGAGGCAGAGGTTGCCATGACCTGAGATCGCACCACTGCACTCCAGCCTGTGCAACAGAGTGAGACTCTGTCTCAAAAAAAAAAAAAAAGCGTTAAAAGCAGAGCTTTGGGAAGACTTGGAAGAGAGACAGAGACTAGCTATAGAAAGACCAGATGGGGATAAGAGCTGAGTAATCAGCGCTCACCACCAATAGGGCCAGTCACGGTTTTCTAAGTAAGTGCCTTCCATGTATTATTTCATTTAATCCTGGGGAAAACCCTATAATTGCAGCTAACTGGCTTTCCGATGAGATTTATTGAATCCTGTCTTGCCAAAGGGCACCTGACTGTGAGTCAGCCTGAGCCCAGTGGTGGCTGCAGTCAGAGGTAAGGATATAAACCTGAGAGAGACAGCAAATGAGCAGCCTGTAGTTTTATTATCTTTAGTAGTTACTCAGCCCTTGGCCTGCAGATACAGCTCCTGTGAATCCCCTTTCTGTGTTCTATTAGGTTTACATTAAAATGGCAAAAACCGCGATTACTTTTGCACCAACCAAATACTTCCATATCCAACTACTGCTAGACC
This sequence comes from Homo sapiens, assembly GCF_000001405.40. Lineage (NCBI taxonomy): Eukaryota > Metazoa > Chordata > Mammalia > Primates > Hominidae > Homo > Homo sapiens. Next base: position 151,425,470 of record NC_000006.12, on the reverse strand, counting down.
CTTGTGTGTGTGTGTGTGTACGCTTATCCACACACACACACACACGTTACTGTACAGTCTGTGAGGAGTAAAATCCTCAGTGCTTAGGATCCCAGAGTCAGTTATTTTGTTTCGTCAGAAAGACTGTCCTGGCTGCCACCTACATGGTTATTATGTGAGTTCTGCCATGATTCCAGGGATCTGCTCAGCTCTGTGGCATGGGCCCAGTTTACTCATAAAGCATCTTGTGACCAAGCACAGTGGCTCATGCCTGTAATCCCAACACTTTGAGAGGCCAAGGCGGGCAGATCACTTGAGGTCAGGAGTTCAAGACCAGCCTGGCCAACATGGTGAAGCCCTGTCTGTACTACAAATATAAAAATTAGCTGGATGTGGTGGTGCACTCCTGTAATCCCAGCTACTCAGGAGGCTGAGGCAGGAGAATCGCTGGAACCCAGGAGGCGGAGGTTGCAGTGAGCGAAGATCACGCCACTACACTCCAGTCTGGGTGACAGAGCAAGACTCCGTCTCAAAAAAAAAGACCTCTTGTGACTGCTGTCTTTGCTTTCCTTCCTCCATCTGAGGCTGTCATAGCAGATGCCGCCCTCCATCAGGCCCCTTGTCCCCCTCCCTTTGGCCGTCACTTCTTGTCTGACATCTTTTGTGAAGGTTTACCCTGTCTTTTTTCCATTTGCTTGTGATGTTTATATTCACACATTCCGCTCTTCCCCTGTCCCCTGTCTAGGATTCTCCACAGTCACATACTCATTTTTCACAACTTCCTTGCCTCCCTCCCCAACCCCATCATGTCAGTGTGATTTTAGATTACACTCCATATATAGTTTTATATGCAGCATTTTTTCACATAGAAATTTACTGTGAACGTTCTCCTTTTTATTAACTATCCTTCCAAAACACACTTTTAAGTTTTTCTTGTGTGGAGTGACTATTACTGAGCCAACCCCTACTGAACATTTGGTTTATTTCCTAATTTTTTACTCTTAAACACTGACCTTTTTTTTTTTTTTGGAGACAGAGTCTTGCTCAGTCTCCCAGGCTGGAGTGCAGTGGCGTGATTTCGGCTTACTGCAAGCTCCGCCTCCCGGGTTCACTCCATTCTCCTGCCTCAGCCTCCCGAGTAGCTGGGACTACAGGCGCCCGCCACCACACCCGGCTAATTTTATTTTGTGTTTTGAGTAGAGACGGGGTTTCACCATGTTAGCCAGGATGGTCTCAATCTCCTGACCTCGTGATCCACCTGCCTCGGCCTCCCGGAGTGCTGGGGTTACAGGCGTGAGCCACCGTGCCCAGCCAACACTGACCATTTTTTTAAAAGTTTTCAGCTGGGCAAGGTGGCTCGCACCTGTAGTCGCACCACTTTGGGAGGCCGAGGTGGGTGGATCATTTGAGGTCAGGAATTCAAGACCAGCCTGGCCAACATGGTGAAACTCTATCTCTATTAAAAATACAAAAAAAATTAGCTGGGTGTGGTTACGCATGCCTGTAATCCCAGCTACTAGGGAGGCTGAGGCAGGAGAATCGCTTGAACCTAGGAGACTGAGGTTGCAGTGAGCTGAGATCGCACCACTGCACTCTAGCCTGGGCGGCAGAGTGAGACTGTCTCAAAAAAAAAAAAAAAAGTTTTCTTGTATACAAATTTTTCTTTGCATCTTAGATTATTTCCTTAGGATAAACTCCTAGAAAGGGAATTACCTGGACCAAAGGATATGAGAACATTTGTAACACTCTTGATACAAATTGTCAAAATGACCTCCAGAAAGATGATATGGTGTCTTTTTCAAAGGAAAAGTTAAAGTGCTTTTTAAGATTTAGAAGGTATTATCTTTTTGCTTTTCACAGGGGACAGTCAAAACTTCACAGGGGGGAAATCAAGTTAAATTCAGAGCTGGATTTAGATGATGCCATTCTAGAGAAGTTTGCTTTCTCCAATGCTCTATGCCTTTCTGGTAAGTTACTACTGCTTATGGGATAGGGTACTACAGTTGTCATTTCACTGAGGGAAGTTTAAATAGTCACGATTTTGGTATATTTTCAGAATACTCAACAAAGCCTTAGCATTCCTTTTCCTTTTTTTCCCTCCATCAGAAAAAATATCTAGTATAAAAGATAGTACTGTGCTGAAGTTACTCATTCCTTATTAATTGTATTAATAAAGCTTAACCTCTCCAAAAGTATTTTTTAGATGATGATTATATTAGCCTTTGTTTTTTTCTCTTCTCTCTATGCGATTGTTATTCTTAGATAGTCTCTAATCCAGACAGAGAAGCCCAGCCTTGTGTGACTGGGCACAGGTCCCAGTGTAGAAAAACATACTCTAGTGTTCCATAGGAATGGGACCCAGAGTCACAGTGGCTATAAGTTTGTTCTGAAAGATCCACATCCCGAATAAAACTATACAAGTTCTTTAAGAATTTCTTTTGCCAGCAGTCTACCTTAGGTGGCTGCTGCAGCGTCCTGTCCATCCCACTCTGAGGGGCTTCGGAGATTTCTGAGGTTTACTCTTAGTCCTGAGGAGTGAAGGGGAGGCCAGGAAAGTCTTAGTCGCGCCCTATCTGCAGAGCTACCCATGGTATCAAGGTGTACCCTACCCTCCTCAGTTTCCAAGATGTAATACTAGAAAATCAAGAGTTCTACTAAATGTAGCTTTGGTCTTCCAATAGGGCATGGAAAGCGATTCAGTTTCCTCTATCCACTTTAATTCTGTCCTTTATGATAATTAACTATTCTTAAATTATATTTTCAAGGTTTTAGTACTTTTTCTTAAACTATTACTGAAATAGTAGTGAAGATGCTGTGCAATTATGTATTTTATATACATGTGAATATGATGATAAAGAAATGTTCCATTATTAATTTTTTTCCCAGTAAAACTGGCAATTTGGGAAGCATCACTGGATAAATTTATTGAATCTATTCAGTCAATTCCTGAGGTAATTATATCAATTTTATGCTTATTCAAGGATTGATTTTTATATGTAAAAAATATGAATTTCCCAATATAACAATATATAGCTATCCATCAGTATCCATGGGAGATTTGTTCCAAGACCCCACTGGATACCAGAATCTACCAGTGTCCAAATCCCTGATATAAAATGGTATATATTTGCATATAACCTATGCATATCCTCATGTATACTTTCAACCATCTCTAGATTACCTAAAATACCTAATATAATGTAAATACTATGTAAATAGTTGTTATACTGTATTATTTAGGAAATAATAACAAGAAAAAACAGTTTGTACATGTTCGGTACAGATGCAACCATTCTTTTTTCTCAAAATACTGTCAATTTGCAGTTGGTTGAATCTGCAGTTGCAGAACTTATAGAGGGCCGATTGTTTAGGAGTACAACAACATTATTACAAACAATAAGAAAACTACAGTAAACTTAAGAACTCCCAGTTACATATAAAATGACAAATTAAGAAACTTCATATTGATTACTTTTTACTTTTTAAAACTTCAAATTGTTTCCTCTGTTGGTGCAGTATTTTTTTTTTAATATTAATATAATTGAAATGGGGTCTGGCCATGTTGCCCAGGCTGGTCTTGAACTCCTGGGCTCAAGCGATCCTCCTGCCTCGGCCTCCCAAAGTTCTAGCATTACAGGCCACGAGCCACCATGCCCGTCAGTTGCAGTATTTTTAATGTAACTGAATTAAAGAAAAAAGTGAAATGTTTCTCTCTGAGAATGGAAATTATGACCACTTTTCCTGATTTAAGAAAGTGTTTTGCTAAATTATGAGAAAAATAGTGGTATGAAAAATACATATAAAGTTATATTGAAATTTCAGTATACATTAAAAATCATCATATTGTAATTAACTGTGTCTTTATTGTGAAAGAGTAATCTAATTATACTTCGGAAAGGAGGCCCTGCTTTTCTACTAAGAGATTAGGAATGTATATATCATTGAAAATGCTGATGAGAAGGGAAATGAAAAAAGAGAATATACAATTTCTACCTAATAAAATTATGAAATTTCAAGGTGAGTTAAGACATTAATCTGGGAGACAGCCATCCTAAAAAATATTTACATAGGATCCAAATTATGCCACTTCAGATTTTGCCCTGTTGACCTAATGCTTATTAGAAAGAGAGATACATGGTTTTTTGGTTTTTCCGATTCCCTCTCAACTAGGCTTTAAAAGCTGGGAAGAAAGTGAAACTATCTCATGAAGAAGTTATGCAGAAAATCGGTGAACTCTTTGCTCTAAGGTAAAAGTTTTCTCTCTAAATAAAATATTTCATATATTTAACAATCTCAAGAAAACATTCCCATAGTTCTGTGGTGAAGAGCAAACATTTACACGTTTATGGGAACTGTAGCTGTTTTCATTTCATTGATTATAAGCAGGGAGAACTCTTACCCATTAGAAGTAGTTGGGCTGTGTTAAGACTGTACTGAAAGAAATCACGCATGTGCAAAAGAGATCACGATTCATCTACATTAAACCCACATTAAGGAGCACAGTAGGTGTTCTTTGAAGGTAGAAAGACATATTCCTGAATTTGGTTAATGGGAATTCTCTGTAAAAATATATCACTGCATCATAATGCTAAATAGGCTTAATTGCTACAGAAAAGTTTCTTTGAATCTGAGACACCAAGATGCCACTGGAGAGAAAAACTGCTGCCAGTTAAACTATGACAATACTTTTTTTATCAGAGGATTAAAATTTTACACTTACTGAAATATCTTTTAATCTTAGCTGGATATAAATTATATCACATTCCCTCTTGGGCATATATGAAAAGGAAAGCATAAGAAAATAAATTATTTAAGGCAAAGACAAGTAAGTCTCAAGTGCCACCTGTCAGACACCATTAATTTTAAGATGCCTCGAGATGTTAAAATGGGAATAACTATGTCTAAAAACTGATGAATCATTTTAAATAAGTATCTGGAAAGGTTTTCAGCTTTTATTATTCTTGTAGTTGTCCCAGGATTTACGGAATGAAACATCCCGGATGTTGGTGTTTTTCTCACAGGCAGCATTGTCCAGTTTATCCCTTCTAGCATGTGGAATGAGTTACCAGAGCTCACTGCAAATGTTCACCTAAGACTTGTTTTTCCATATTCTCCTTAGATGCTCTGCCTGGAGAGAAGTGATACAGTGTTTCATTGTCTGTGTATCTCTCATAGCTCAGGACCTATAGTTCAGGGTACCAACAAAACTTAAAAACCCATCCATCAGGAGCATCCTGCAGCATATCTGAAGCCTCAAATTCTCTGAGAAGTAGGGTAGAGAGATTCTTCTCTCCTGTTCTCTTGGTCATGCAAGCAGAAATTGATGTAGTGAATTATAATATCCAAACTGAATAGTTAGGACTAAATATACGTAGGTTTGTGAATAGTTTCTATAAAGGCTTACTTTTACTATCCTGTTTCCTTACCTGTACAATAAAAATGCTTATTTGTTAATATAAGGAATGTGATACATCTGTGAAAATAAACATGGCAGATAATATTAGATTAAAAAACTAAATCTAAATTTATATAGGGTATGATCCCATTTGTGTAAGCAAATAAAAATATTCATGTTTATCTTTATATGCATACACATGTACATGTGTTTGCTTGCACACACATGCATGTATGAATACAGAAAGATCTGGAAGTACACAGCAAAGTGTCTCTACAGGCCTGTCCTTGGGGAGAATAAAGGATTTAAGTAGTGTGGTAGCATAAGAGAGCCTACCATTTTTCTGAATCCTTCTCTAGGATATTTTCCTTTTTTTTTTAATCGTGAACAGGTATGTATGTGTTACTTTTTTTTTTTTTTTTTTTAAACAGGGTCTTGCTTGTCACCCAGACTAGAGTGCAGTGGCATGATCATAGCTCACCAAAGCCTTGATCTCCTGGGCTCAGGGATTCCTCCTGCCTCACCCTCCTGGGTAGCTGGGACCACAGGAGTGCTCCACCACACCCAGCTAATTTTAAAAATAATTTGTAGAGACAGGGTCTCAAACCCTTGCTCAAGCAATCCTCCTCCCTAGGCCTCCCAAAGTGCTGGGATTACAGGTGTGAGCCACCACATCAGTTTATGTGTACTTTCATAACTTAGATTTTTATTTAGTTAAACATCTAAGTGTAAGGCCAGGCACGGTGGCTCACACCTGTAATGCCAGCACTTTGGGAGGCTGAGACAGGTGGATTGCTTGAGGCTGGGAGCTCGAGACCAGCCTGGCTAACATGATGAAACCCCATCTCTACCAAAAATACAAAAATTAGCCAGGAATGGTGGTGTGCGCCTGTAATCCCAGCTTCTTGGGAGGCTGAGGCATGAGAATTGGTTGAACCCAGGAGGCGAAGGTTGCAGTGGAGCCAGGATCATGCCACTGCACTCCAGCCTGGGCGACAGAGCAAGATTCTGTCTCAAAAAAGAAAAAGGCTGGGCACGGTGGCTCACATCTGTAATCCCAACACTTTGGGAGGCCGAGGCCAGTGGATCATCTGAGGTCAGGAGTTCAAGACCAGCCTGACCAACATGGAGAAACCCCATCTTTACTAAAAATACAAAATTAGCCGGGCGTGGTGGCACATGCCTGTAATCCTAGCTACTCGGGAGGCTGAGGCAGGAGAATTGCTTGAACCCAAGAGGTGGAGGTTGTGGTGAGCCAAGATCGCGCCAATACACTCCAGCCTGGGCAACAAGAACAAAACTCTGTCTCAGAAAAAAAAGTAAGCACAGACTTCTTATATTAAAATGTAGAAATTAAGAGAGAGAGTGTGTATGTTTATGCTTGCTTGTCTAGTGTTTGCATAAACACTGGAAGGATACAGCGGAAACTAGAAGGGATTACTGATAGGGAAAGATACAGATAAGAATAAGAGTTAAGATTTATCAATTTTTACCTGTTTATATCTTGATCTGCTCAGGAGGCTGAGGCAGGAAGATCACTTGAGCCCAGGAGTTTGAGGCTGCGGTAAGCTATGATTGTGTCACTGCACCCCAAACTGGGTGACATATGAAGACATTATCTCTAAAAAAATTTTTTAAATAAAAAACAAAAAAGTGTGGACATATTAAATTTTTTTTTTATTTGAGATGGGGTCTCACTATGTTGCCTAGGCTGGAGTACAGTGTCACAGTCTTGGCTCACTGCAGCCTCTGCCTCCGAGGTTCACATGATCCTCCCACCTCAGCCTCCCAAGTAGCTGGGACTACAGGCATACACCACCACACCTGGCTAGTTCTTGTATTTTTTGTAGAGATAGGGTTTCGCTGTGCTGTCCAGGTTGGTCTTGAACTCACAGACTCGAGCAATCTGCCCGCCTTGGCCTTCCAAAGTGCTGGGATTACAGGCATGAACCACCATGCCTGGCCCTAAAATTTTTAATAAAAAAAGTTTAGGCTGGGAATGGTGGCTCACACCTGTAATCCCAGCACTTTGGGAGGCTGAGGTAGGCAGATCACGTGAGGTCAGGAGTTCGAGACCAGCCTGGCCAACTTGGTAAAACCCTTTACTAAAAATACAAAAAATTAGCCAGGTGTGATGGTAGGCACCTGTAATCCCAGCTACTTGGGAGGCTGAGGCAGGAGAATTGCTTAAATCTGGGAGGCAGAGGTTGCAGTGAGCTGAGATCATGCCATTGTACTCCAGCCTGGGTGACAAGAGTGACTCTGTCTCAAAAAAAAAAAAAAAATTGAAAACAAAATGAGTTTTTTTCTGTGTACTTCATAAATAATGTTGGTATTAAAGATTGAATTAATTTGGTTCAGAAGTTTGAAACTCATTTGTAAATTTTATTTACATGTTTGTTGGCAGTATTTTGCAAAGGTCAGCATTAACAAATGTTTTCAGCCACATGCAATGCCACATGCCTGTAGTTCCAGCTACATGGGAGGCTGAGGCAGGAGAACAGCTTGAGCCCAGGAGTTCAGTTTGCAGTGAGTTGTGATCACACCACTGCACTCCATCCCGGGTAACATAGCAAGACCCTCTCTCTTACCAAAAAAAAAAAAGTTTTCATAAAGCACTATGTAAATATTAAATACAATAGAAACAATGATTTTTAATTCAAGATAAATAAAAAGTTATAATTTTCCTTTTTAAAGGCACCGTATAAACTTGAGTTCAGACTTCCTGATTACTCCTGATTTCTACTGGGACAGAGAAAACCTGGAAGGACTTTACGATAAAACGTGTCAATTCCTTAGCATTGGCCGAAGAGTTAAGGTACGTATTTTGCACTTCTAATGAGAGAAAAAGACACGTTGTCGCCTATAAGTTGAATATGTTTAACTGCTTGCAGAGAAATATCTTGTTTGACTTCCATTCAAATCTCTTTATATTTCCCCTTCTTGTCCTCTGTACAGTCACTTCAATTTTTTGTGTCAAAGGATCTTCTGATATTAGCTCTACAGACTAGATAAGGTTGGTGAATAAGATGAGAGTTTGGAAGCCTAATGGTCCATCAGTAAGTTCTTGTCAAGTTTCAAGCAAGAGTTCATGACTGCTTCTGATCTGTCATGGTGACAGTGAGAATAGAAATAAATTTAAGAAAGAATCATGTAAGACAAATCAAGTGATGGGTAATAAGAGGCCATGGAGAAGAAAGAATAAAGGATGACTGATGTTTGCCTGGAGGTGACAAGTAGAAAGGTGGAAAAACAATAATGAGAGGTCAGAGAGGGGAGGTGACAGACTAAATCTAAGATATGCTGAGATTAGAGTAGCAACAAGATATCCAATTAGCTCCGTCATGCAGGCATTTAGAAGGGCAGAAGCAAAGTCGGGAAAAGAGACGTGTATTAAGAAATCCCAGCACTTTGGGAGGCTGAGGCGGATGGATCACCTGAGGTTGGGAGTTTGAGACCAGCCTGGCCAACATGGCGAAACCCTGTCTCTACTAAAAATACAAAAATTAGCCAGGCATGGTGGCATTCTCCTATAGTCCGAGCTACTCGAGAGGCTGAGGCAGGAGAATCACTTGAACCCAGGAGGTGGAGGTTGCAGTGAGCCAAGGTCGAGCCAGTGCACTCCAGCCTGGATGACAGAGTGAGACTCCGTCTCAAAAAAAAAAAAAAAAAAAAAGCTGTAGTGATGGAGGTAGACCACATGGGGAAAGAGCATAGAAAACAGAAAATTGACATTAGTACAATGTGTGCACATAGTTCTGTGACATTTTGCCACATCTATAGATCCATGCAACCACATGATCAAGACACAAAACTGTGCCAGGTGCGGTGGCTCATGCCTGTAACCCCAGCACTTTGTGAGGCTAGAGGTGGGCAGATCACTTGAGGTCAAGAGTTCGAGACCTGCCTGGCCAATATGGTAAAACGCTGTCTCTACTAAAAATACAAAAATTAGCTGGGTGTGGTGGCGCGTGCCTGTAGTCCCAGCTACTCGGGAGGCTGAGGCAGCAGAATCGCTTGAACCCAGGAAGTGGAGGTTGCAGTGAGCTGAGGTCATGCCATTGCACTCCAGCCTGGGCGTTGCAGCGAGACTCCATCTCAAAAAAAACAAAACAAAAAGACACAAAACTGTTTTATCACTTTTCCTCATGCTACCCTGTATAGTCACACTGCCCTCCCCCTACCCGGACTGTCCCTAACCCCTGGCAGTGAGTAATCTCTTCTCCATCTCCATAATTTTGTCATTTTGAGGATGTTATATAGATAGTCATACAGTATGTGACTTTTTTTTTTTTTTTTTTTTTGAGACGGAGTCTTGCTCTGTTGCCCAGGCTGGAGTGCAGTGGCTCAATCTTGGCTCATTGCAAGCTCTGCCTCCCGGGTTCACGCCATTCTCCTGCCTCAGCCTCCTGAGTAGGTGGGACTACAGGCACCCGCCACCAAGCCCAGCTAATTTTTTTTTGTATTTTTAGTAGAGATGGGGTTTCACTGTGTTTAGCCAGGATGGTCTCGATCTGTATGTGACTTTTTAACTGGCTTTTTTCACAGAGCATAATGCCCTCAACTTGGATCCATCCAAATTGTTGCTTGTATCAAAGTTCCTGTCTTCCTGTGGTTACTGAAACAATTTTTTGGTATTTCATTTTGATGTTACTTTTTAATATATCTCGTTGCATAGATATTTAGTAGTTGCTCTGGTTATTACATCTTACGTATATAACTTATTACAATCTACTGATTTCAACATCTTGCAGATTAAATGAAGTATAGAATCTTTATTTCCCTAATGGATGATTGGATGCAGAAAAAAAAAAAGAATTCTTATTTCTTTTATATTCCTTTACCCTTCCGTATTTATAATTTTCTTAACTATTCTTCTGCAGACATAGAAAACTTCATCAGATAATGTTATAATTTTTGCTTCAACCATCAAACATAATTTAGAAAACTAAGAAAAGCAAAGTCTGTTGTATGTGCCCATGTTTTTATTCTTTCTGTTCTTTTCTCCTTCTGATCTTCTAAGATTTCTTTTACTGTTTTTTTTTTTCAAGAACTTTATTTAGCCATTCTTTTAAGGTAAGTCTAGTGAGACAAATTCTCTTAGTTTGTCTTCATCTGAGAGTGTATTAATTTTCTCTTCATTCTTGCAGGATATTTTCCTAGAAATAGGATTCTAGGTAGACAGTTTTCTTTCTTTCAGCACCTGAAAAATGCCATGCCACTTCCTTCTGACCTCCATGGTTTCTGACGGAAATCTGCCATAATTCTATGACATCTACATTTTATCTTTTATTATCATTTCACAAGGTCTTTGAGGCTCTGTTCACTTCTTTTCCAGTATATTTTGTCTCTGTTAAGATTGGGTAATGTCCTTTGTTTCATCTTCTAGTTGATTGATTCCTTCCTCTGTTACATTCGTTCTGCTGCCCAACATTGAGTTTATTTCATTTATTATATTTTTCAGTTCTAAAATTTCCATGTTTTTTTATTTGTATCTTCTGTTTCTTTGCAGAGACTTCCTGCTTTTTCGTTTGTTTCAAATGTGTTCAGAATTGCTTGTTGAATCATTTTTATGATGGTTGCTCTAACATCATCTAATAATACCTAACCTCAGATACCTCTTGATATTAGTGTCTACTGATTGTCTTTTCTGATTCCCTCCAACTAATTTTAATACCTCCAGTTTCCCTCATTGCCTCAAGTGTTCTGGCTTGATATACAAGGTCCTTCCTATTGTTTCTGTTTTTCAATCATATTTCCTACCAATCCCCACATTCACCTTGTATCACATCAAAAATAAGTGATTAGCCTGGGAAACACAATGAGACCTCATTTCTACTAACCTTTTTTTTAAAAAAATTAGCCAGGTATAATGGCATGTGCCTGTAGTCTCAGCTACCCTGGGAGGTTGAGGCAGGAGGATTGCTTTAGCCCAGGAGTTTGAGGCTGCAGTGAGCCATGATCACGCCACTACATCCCAGTCTAGGTGACAGAGTGAGACCCTGTCTCAAAAAAATAAAAATAAAAAATACATGATTTATAATTTCAAAAACCTACCATGGCTTATTGAATGCTATGTTCCACTTTAGTGTCTACATTTTTTTCCTCTAAGCTAGACACCGCCCCTTGCAAAACCACATCAAAGCTATCTGCAGTTGTCACTGATCTTGGCACCACCTATTCCTCTGTAGGTGTCTTCCAGCACAGGACAGTAGAGATCATCACCACTCGGCAAGAAAACCAAGCTATGTTGCTTTTAGCTGACACAGAAAGATTGATTAGTGATGGTTTAGGAATCAAATTCAGTGGACTCCATCAACACAGTTTTAGATAACAGAGGTGTAATTAGACACCGATTTGACAGTCCAACTGTCTGGTCAAACATGAAAAGCACTGGACTTTCCTGGTTGTCGACTGTGCACACAGGCTGAAGATCCAGAGGAGGAAAGGGAGGGATACTAAAAGCTTTATACAGTTGAGGTATTTCCTGTGGTTGTGTTAGCTATTGCTGTGTAACAAATTACCCCAAAACTTGGTGGACTGAAACACCACTTACTGGCTGGGCACGGTGGCTCACGCCTGTTACCCCAGCACTTTGGTAGGCCAAGGCAGGCAGGTCACATGAGGCCAGGAGTTCAAGACCAGCCTGGCCAACATGGTGAAACCCCATAAATTAGTCGGGCATGGTGGCATGCACCTGTAGTCCCAAGTAGCTGACTCTGGAGGCTGAGGCATGAGAATCACTTGAACCCAGGAGGCAGAGGTTGGACTGAGCTGAGACTGCACCACTGCACTCCAGCCTGGGTGACAGAGTGAGACTGTCTCAAAAAATAAAAAGAAAAAAGAAACACCACTTACTATTTAAGTTTTTGTGGGTCAGGAATCAGTGCAGCTTAGCTGGGTCCTCTGATTCTGTGTTTCTCACAAGGCTGCAGTCATCTCAGAGATTCACTTCCTAGTTCACTCGTGGTTATTGGCTGGATTTGGTTCCTCTCAGGCTATTAGATTGAGGCCTCAGTTCCTCATAAGCTGATGTCCAGAAGCTTCTCCATAGAGCATCTCACAACATGGCAGTGTGCTTCATCAGATGAACAAGTAGGGGAGTGATATGGTTTAGATCTGTATCCCTGCCCAAATCTTGTGTCGAATGGTAATGCCCGTGTTGGAGGTGGGTCCTGGTGGGGGGGTGACTGGATCATCAGGGTAGATTTCTCATGAGTGGTTTGGCACCATCCCCTTGGTGCTGTTCTTGTGACAGTGAGTTCTCGTGAGGTTGTTTAAAAGTGTGTAGCACCTGCATCTCCCCTTGTTCGCTCTTCTTCGCTTCTGCCATGTAAGGTACCTGCTCTCCCTTCACCTTCCACTATGATTGTAAGTTTCTGGAGGCTTCCCCAGAAGCCAAGCACATGCCAGCATCATGCTTCCTGTAGAACAGTGCAGAACCATGAGCCAATTAGGCCTCTTTTCTTTATAAATTACCCCGTCTCAGGTATTTCTTTATAGCAGTGAGAGACTGGACTAATACAGAGAGCAAGAGAGACTGTCAGGAAGAGAATGCTAGTAAAACAGAAGTCACAGTCTTTTGCAACCTAATCACAGAAGTGATTTTTGCTGTGCTCTCTTTGTTAAAAACAAGTTAGGGCCAGGCACAGTGGCTCATGCTTATAATCCTAGCCCTTTGGGAGGCTGAGATGGGAGGGTCACTTGAGGCCAGGAGTTCAAGACCAGCCTGGTCAACATAGTGATACCCCCGCCCATCTCTTTAAAAAAAAAAAAAAATTAAAAAGCAAGTTATGGCCAGTCGTGGTGGCTCACACCTGTAATCCCAGCACTTCGGGAGGCCGAGGTGAGTGGATCACCTGAGGTCAGGAGTTCAAGGCCAGCGTGGCTAACATGGTGAAACCCTGTCTCTACTAAAAATACAAAAATTAGCTGGGCATGGTGGTGGACGCCTGTAATCCCAGTCACTTGGGAGGCTGAGGCAGGAAAATCGCTTGAACCTAAGGGGGGCAGAGGTTGCAGTGAGCCAAGATCAGCCTGGATGAAACAGCAAAACTTCGTCTCAAGAAAAAAAAAGGCAAGTTATTAGACTGAGCCTACGCTCGAGGGTAGGGGATGACACAAAAGTGAACACCAGGAGGTGGGGAGTCTTTGGGTGGCATCTTAGAAATCTGCCTACCACATTGGTTTTGAAAAAGATGGAGAAAATTCTGGAAACCTACTTTATGACCCCTGACCTACACGATCCTCATACTACCAGTTACTTTAATGGTTGCCAGCTTCAGGCCATCAAAGTTGGTGGAACCATTACTGATCTCATTGTGTTCTGAATTGTCAGCAAGCCAAATGCCGCTGGTCTCAGCTTAGACGAGAACGTTAATGCCAAATTTAATGATCTGATCTTTTACCTGGGTGGCATTTTTTATCTGTCCATCCTCAGTATTCAAGATGGAATTACTGAAGTCAAGTCTGCAACTGAGGATACCCACCTGAGTGAAGAGTACCTTGACAACTAAGTGGTCAGCTGTTTCATGGCTGAGATCAACTGCAGTTATAGAAAGGACACCCGTTGAGAACAAGCAGGCTGCCCAAGCCCCTTCTGCCTCTACTGAATGTGCTCTTCATTCTGGTATCGAGGCCAATTTGAGATTGAGTCCCTCCATGAAGGGGTTCACATCTATACCTCTGTGCACATGAGCAGCTGGAAGAATCAAAAGCCACCCCAGTCCCTGGCACCCTACACCTGTGGAGAAAGCCATAAGCAATGTCACCCAGACATATCACCAGTCCTTCACGGGTGGCTCTATTTATATCCCCAAGATTTAAAATCTCTTATAGGGCCGGGCATGGTGGCTCACACCTGTAATCCCAGCACTTTGGGAGGCCAAGGTGGGAGGATCGCTTGAGGCCAGGAGTTCAAGACCAGCCTGGCCAACATGGTGAAACCTGTCTCTACTAAAAATACAAAAATTAGCCGGGCCTGGTGGTGCATGCCTGTGATCCCAGGTACTTGAGGGGCTGAGGCACTAGAATCACTTGAACTTGGGAGGCAAAGGTTCCGATGAGCTGAGATTGCACCACTGCACTCCAGCCTGGGTGACAGAGTGAGACTTATCTCCAAAAAAATAATTAATAAATAAGATAAAGTCTCCTACAGGAAGAACTAGAACTGAATTTATTTACAGGCAGTATGATCTTGTATGTAGAAGACCTGGAAGAATCTACAAAGAAGCTACCAGAATAAGTGAGTTTATCAAGGTCTCAAGATCAATGTATAAAAACGGTTATCTTTCGTTATACTGCAAATACACAATTGGAAAATGAAATTTTAAAACTTCTGTTTATAGTAGCACCCAAAACTTGAATTACTCAGGTTTGAATTGAGTGATTCAACTATTCCAGAATAATATTAATTAATCAATTGGAGTAATCTGAGCAAGTAATTGTTCTTTATTTCATTCCCCAGTCTCACTGTGGGACATCTTTTTTGGTGTTAAGTCTTCTGCATGAGTTATGAAGCATACCTAAAAGGTCTCAAACTACCTTTCTCAGAGTTTTTTCTCAGCATCCCGAAGGCAGTTCAGACTCGTTGGATTATGTCAAGGTTATTTAGAAGGGGTTGAGAGTTCACCCTGCCTTAGGCTCAGCATAGTGCTGGCATTATACATAATACAAAAGAAAAGTAAGAATTGGTCCTGCCCTTCAGCCAGCTTTACAGTCTTCTAAGAAAACAGATGGAACAGGCCGGGTGCGGTGGCTCATGCCTGTAATCCCAGCATTTTGGGAGGCCAAGGAGGGCGGATCACAAGGTCAGGAGATCCAGACCATCCTGGCTAACATGGTGAGACCCCGTCTCTACTAAAAATACAAAAAAATTAGCTGGGCGTGGTGGCGGGCGTCTGTAGTCCCAGCTACTCGGGAGGCTGAGGCAGGAGAATGGCGTGAACCCGGGAGGGAGAGCTTGCAGTGAGCGGAGATTGTGCCACTGCAGTCCAGCCTGGGTGACAGAGCAAGACTCCGCCTCAAAAAAAAAAAAAAATGGAACAAAGAGTAGCGGGGTTTTTTATTCCCCCTCAAAAAGTAGAAGAAAGGGTCTTGAGAAAATAGGGGTGAGTAGGCATAAGACATGCTAAAAAGTTGAGTACAGAGGTCCAGATGCAGAGAGCAGTTACACAGTGTCATGGGACAGAAACTAGTTGGCAGTGGATCCCTCGCTCCATTTTCTCACGTCAGTATCCCCTGAAGTCCTGTCGCTGAGGCTTCTGTCCCCATGCCACCTTCTCCGTGAACACTTGTTTGTTGTCGTGACTTCTAATCCCACCTTCTCCTGGGGATTTTCAAATGTCTCTCTCATCCCAGTCTCTTGTCTGCCTTCCAGACTTTTCCAGTTGCCCCTCAATCTCACAGATCTTCCTCATTTACATATCTCGTCGCATCCTTTTAAAAATTGTGTGTACCATTTTCCACTAGAATGTAAGCCCCATGAGATCGGAGACCATGATTATTTTCTTGCCTGTTCTTGGCAAAGGCCTCACATACAGTATGTCCGCAAGAAATATTTGTAGAATTAGTCAATGATTAAAATTTCAAAATGAAACTTTTGAAATTCCCCCCCACCCCAGAAAATGGTAAACCTTTTCAGTTCTCTATTTCAGCTCATGGGAGGACCTTCTAGCCTCACCTATCTAGTCATTCAACCAGAAACTTAAAAGTCATCTGGGTGTCCTTTTTCTCCTTCACCTTCCATATCCAGTCAAACAATCTTTTTAGTTCCCTCTAAGTATCATGGATTCATTAGCAAACATTTATTGAAAGCCTGTATGATAGGCCCTAGGCTGGTGAAACAGGGGAATACCATACTGACCCGTCTTCAAGCCCCCAACTATTAATGTTCATCCACACAGCCCCTCATCTTCCTTTCCCACCTGGACTTGTCTGATTCCTTCTTGACTCTCTCAGTCTCCAGACTGGACCTTTTCCCAGTCTCTCTGCACCCTTTGGCTGCAAGACAGACACATGTCTATTTCACCATTCTGTCTCCTCTGCCCAGCGTAGTACAGTAAATGTTAAAACAAGTACTTCCAGACTGAACAAAGGCCTCCCCATTACCTGCAGAATGAAGTTCAGATATTCTAGCATGACATGCTACTTTCCTACTGCTGCTTAACAGAAATTTGTCATCTTACTGTTCTGTAGGTCAGAAGTCTGGCATGGCCTAAAGTTAAGATGTTGATTCCTCTTTGGAGACTGCGAGTGGAATCCATTTCCTCACCTTTTCCAGTGACTGGAGGCCACCCATATTCCTTGCTCATGGCCCCCTCCTCCATCTAGCAAAGGCCTGTGGAATCCTCATATTGTATCATTCTGAACTCTTCTGCCCCGCATTTCCACTTTTAAGGACCCTTGTGATTACATTGGGCTTACCCAGATAATCTAGGATTATCTCATCTTAAGGTCAGCTAATTAATAACTTTAATTTCTTATACAATCTTAATTCTCCTTTGCCATATTATATTCACAGGTTCCAAGAATTAGGACATAAATCTCTTTGGGGTGGGGGACATGGTTCTGCCTATACCATATGTAGTACACAGTACCTCTCACAATCTGGTACTAACTTCTTTTTTTCTGAGATGGAGTTCAATGCCGTGGTCTTGGCTCACTGCAACCACCGACTCCTGGGTTCAAGTGATTCTCCTGCCTCAGCCTCCCAAATAGCTGGGATTACAGGTGCCTGCCACCACACCCAGCTAATTTTTCTATTTTTAGTAGAGACGGGGTTTCGCTATGTTGGCCATGCTGGTCTTAAACTGACCTCAAGTGATCCGCCTGCCTTGGCCTCCCAAAATGCTGAGATTACAGATGGGAGCCACCGCCCCCAGCTGACTTACCTTCTTAACCTCACTTCCAAGCACTTTCTTCTAGGTTGTCCACAATCTAGCTATGCTTGTCTGTATGCTGTTTCCTATGCTTGACATGCTCCCTTCATCCCCCAATAACCCCACCAGCATCCCACCTTTTCTTCATGTCCACTGCCTTTTAAAGCCTAATTCACATTTCCTACCTCTGTGAAGCCTCTCCTGGTTTTTTCTTTGCTCCCTTAATCTGCATGCTCGACGCGTACATGCCTCTATACCTAAATAAATAGAAAGCATGCTGTGGTAATAGTGACTTTTTTTTGTGTGTGTGACGGAGTCTCGCTCTGTCGCCCAGGCTGGAGTGCAGTGGCGCGATCTTGGCTCACTGCAAGCTCCACCTCCCGGCTGGGTTCACACTATTCTCCTGCCTCAGCCTCCTGACTGGCTGGGACAACAGGGGCCGCCACAACACCCGGATAATTTTTTTGTATTTTTAGTAGAGATGGGGTTTTACCCTGTTAGCCAGGATGGTCTTGATCTCCTGACCTCGTGATCCTCCTGCCCCAGCCTCCCGAAGTGTTGTGATTATAGGCAAGAGCCACTGCACCCGGCCATAGGGACTCTTGCTTGCACATTTCAGTGTGTTGTCAGATGCTTGGATTGAGGTTCGAAGCTAAGTTGTTAGACTTAATAATAGACTTTGGGACGTTTAGGAGAGTTGTGGTAATATAAACTAAAGGAATAAATTGGATGATGATGAGGTAGTGGAGGAAGAAAATGTTGCCTGTTTTTTGGCCCAAGTTGAAAGAAAATGCAAGAGGCTGAATCAGTAGTCTGAAGAGAGAAGCAAGCTTAAGGATGAACATTAAAGACCAAGATCAAGCAGCCAATAGAAACAGACATTAAGAAAGGGCAAGAGGAAAGGAAAACAGGGAGGGGAAAGGAAGAGGGAAGAGGCATGCTCTACACATCTATACAGATTAGAAACTACAGGGTGACCATAACGCCTGGAAATAGGGGCAAATGGTGGAGTGTGGTTCAGTCAGTTAGTCCTGTGGTTCTGTGAGTAAGACAGTTTTTTTTTGGAGACAGGATCTCACTTTGGCACCCAGGCTGGAGTGCAGTGGCATGATCTTGGCTCATTGCAGCCTTGACCACCTGAGCTCAAGCAATCCTCCCACCTCATCCCTGCCAAGTAGCTAGAACTACAGGCACACACCACCATGCCTGGCTAATTTTTTTGTAGAGACAGGGTTTCACTGTGTTGCCCAGGCTGGTCTCCAACTCCTGAGCTCAAGTGCGCCTCCTGCCTCAGCCTCCCAAAATGCTAGGATTACAGGCATAAGCCACCGAGCCCAGCCTAGTAAGGCAGTTTAATGCTATGTGCAAAAATCGTAACATGGTGCAGTTAACGCATTCCAATCAACCCCTGAACACGTACCTGTGATTCATCTCTTAATGTTCACTGACCAAACCTGTAACTTCAGCATACCCATGAGACAAACTGTTTTAAAATTTTGCTTTCAGGATTTCCAGTAGCAAGTGATATATAAAGATATTAGGTAGGTATTTAACAGTTATCACATCCAGGCCTGGCACGGTGGCTCACGCCTGTAATCCCAGCACTTTGGGAGGCCGAGGCGGGCGGATCACAAGGTCAGGAGATCGAGACCATCCTGGCTAACATCATCTCTACTAAAAATACAAAAATTAGCCGGGCGTGGTGGCGGGCACCTGTAGTCCCAGCTATTTGGGAGGCTGAGGCAGGAGAATGGCGTGATCCCAGGAGGCAGAGCTTGCAGTGAGCCGAGATCCGCCATTACACTCCGGCCTGGGCGACAGAGGGAGACTCCATCCCAAAAAACAACAACAACAACAAAAAAAAAAGTTGTCACATCCAAATTTTGAATTCAGGGACTTTATTTTCTTTGAACCCCCACAGCCAGCTTGTTTGGAGGCATCGGAATGCAGAACTGTTGCAGTTCAGTTGAAAGCAATGCCATCTAGTGGTGTGTGTACAGCAGGTCAAATGTTAAGCGTAGATTTTCTAGTAGAAAGTAAATTATCTTTAGGTCTTGCTAAAAAACATTATGTTTCAAGTTTGCCTCTTTTAACTGCTAAAAAGGGCAGCTACTAAAAACTAGGACTCAAAAACCTATTTTTAGTTCTTCCATCAAAATCTTACAAATAGAAGAGCTTCAGTATGCAAAGTATTTCTTGCAGTTAAATTTGTACATTACAAAATGTCTCTGGACGGATTCACAAGAAACTGATAATGTTGGTGGCTGCCTTTGGGGAGAGGACTGAGGAGCAGGATTTTTCACTGTATAGCTATAGAATTTTTATGTGTATGACCGTATTAAATTGTTTAAATACATGTTACTGAAATTTTTCTTACATAGGTCATGAATGAAAAACTTCAGCACTGCATGGAACTAACAGATCTAATGCGGAATCACCTGAATGAGAAGAGGGCACTCCGCTTGGAGTGGATGATTGTCATCCTCATTACCATAGAGGTAAGATGGAAATGCTCTGTACTATGATCAGTTACCATCTTTTCACAAATACAGGGGCTATGCTAATAAGATAGTTTGAGATAGAAAATTATTAGCAGAAAAGAGGCTGACTTTGTTATCATTACTAACTCTATTTGGAAGTTTCAAATTACTATTTGCAAATGCATTAAAAGTAATTCTTGAAAAGGTTCCACTTTTTAAAATTTGAGAGTAGACCTCAAGGTTCTGCTTTTAAAGACAGCATTTGGAAAAAGTTCTAGCTGTAAATTTATAATGTACAGCTCAACATCAAATCAAGCACCCGTACCTCCAATTCATAGGTTGCCACGTGAGAAAGGGCAAACATTTACCTTACTTCAGGAGCATTTCTCATTAATCACAATCTTGGAAGTCATTTTAGTTTGTACCCATAATTTGCCCGTCATGAAATAATTCTCACTTTCTATTCTAAGGTAATGTTTGAGCTGGGACGAGTATTTTTCTGATCAAGTGATAACCAAAGTGTCACTGCAAGAGATATTCAAGTTCTACAATCAAAAATTAAATGTTCGGCCCGGCGCGGTGCCTCATGCCTGTAATCCCAGCACTTTCGGAGGCCAAGAAGGGTGGCTTGAGATGAGATCAGGAGCTCAAGACAAGCCTGGCCAACATGGTGAAACCCCATCTCTACTAAAAATACCAAAATTAGCCAGGTGTGTTGGCACACGCCCGTCATCTCAGCTACTCAGGAGGCTGAGGCAGGAGAATCTCTTGAACTTGGGAGGCGGAGGTTGCAGTGAGCTAAGATCACACCACTGCACTCCAGCCAGGGCAACAGTGAGACTCAGTCTCAAAAATAAACAATAAAATAAATAAATAAATGTTCACTACTGGGTGATCATTTAATAGGTGTTTTTTTAATCAAGAAATTATCTTTTTCAGCCCAGTATATCGTGTGAATAAAATTATGAAGAATCTAGTGTTTGTATCTACATCACTGACAATTCAAAAGGTAAATATTTCAGTTAAGAACTTTGGAAAACTAGCATCTAGGAAATCTTGGCAAATCTTGGCAGATACTTCTTAAAGTCACAGGACTTAGGTTTTAGACACCACAACTTAACCTATCCCCAGGGAATCCCATCATGGCCCTGGCTAAGAGAATCATACAGGAACTGAAGTGTTTAAATCAATATATACAGGCCGGGCGCGGTGGCTCACGCCTGTAATCCCACTTTGGGAGGCCGAGGCGAGTGGATCACAAGGTCAGGAGATCGAGACCATCCTGGCTAACATTACACGGTGAAATCCCGTCTCTACTAAAAATACAAAAAATTAGCTGGGTGTGGTGGCAGGCGCCTGCAGTCCCAGCTACTCAGGAGGCTGAGGCAGGAGAATGGCATGAACCCGGGAGGCGGAGCTTGCAGTGAGCTGAGATCATGCCACTGCACTCCAGCCTGGGCATCAGAGAAAGACTCCCGTCTCAAAAAAAAAAAAAAAAAAAAAAAAGAGAGAAATCAATATATACAATAACAAGACAGGCTTCTGGTGGCAGAAATGAAATCTTAAATACCTATTTTCGATGGCATGATTTGAGTATGGCTGTTCACCGGCACCTTTTATTAATACTTTGTCCTTTCACCAAGTTAGTCACAATATTCTTCCCACAGATGTTTGTTCCAGAGATATTTTGGGGAAATTTAAAAAATACCAAGCACAAAGAATTTAACATCTACATATTTACCTCCTTGGGTTGACAACATTTAAAAATCAAATCTTTACCTTCATTGCCTTACTTTTATGCATAACCCGATGCCCCACTATAGTCCTCACCTGTCAACTTTTTTTTCACACATATCCTTTCGTTTTGCAACTCACTTAACTGCTACACAGTATTATACCAAGAGAATACATTCATCTGTACTAACTGATGGACATATTTATCTGCAGTTAACAGTGCTAGGATAAACATCTGATGTCTTCCAGCGAGAGTTCTTCAGTAGCTGTCTTCCATTTGAGGTACCTACCTGTATGCCAAGGGTACCCACAAAAACTCTCCAAGGAGCATATAGGCACAGATAGTCCAAGAATTGCTTTTTAGGATGTGCATGGTGGCTCACGCCTGTAATCCCAGCACTTTGGGAGGTCAGGGTGGGAGCACTGCTTGAGGCCAGCAACCCTGTCTCAAAATAACTTTAAAAATTGCTTCCTAGATCAAGTTCCAATTTTCATAAAATCAACATACCTGTGTGCACACCTGCAGTGTATCCTGCTCTTCCCATCTTCCCTTATCACACTTACAGAAGCGGCGTCTCTCACCTATCCTCAATAGTTTGGTCCACTACATTCAATAACCTTTAAATACATTAAACCTATTTGTCAACACTTTTGGGAAGCCACAAAAACAAAAAAGGACAATTTGGAAGATTGGTAAATGCAGCCTCCTTTAATTGAAGCCATTATGTTTTCTCCCATTTTTTTTAGGAGGTACAATTCCAGTGAAATTTTACTGCAAGTATCAATGTATGCAATTTGCTGTTTTGGTCAACTAATCAGTACTAACAATGTGAAAATAGTCCAGAAAAAAACCATGAACATTTGATGCCTTATGATTACAGCAAATTAAACATTTCAAGTTATATACAAAAATTTACAAGAAATGAAAGGATCATCAAAAGAGGTTCATAAACATTTATTAGCATAAAGTGTTGTAGAGGAAATGTAACATTTTCAAGAAGAAAAACTTGTATTTGCATAGTTCACCTATGTTTACATGGATCATGGTGGACATCAGCTCAATACACTATTACAATGCACTAAATTACAAGGGCTTTCCTTAAAAGTGATAAAGCAGCTTTATTTTAAAATACCAGTATTTACGATACACTGGCAATTACATCTTTTTCAACTAATTTTAGGATTTAAAACTTCAAGTTATGAAAGTTTTAAAGAATTGTTTTAGTTGTAACATAAGTAAAAACTTTTAATTACTTAATAAAGTCAAAACTTTATTAAGATCACCACCTCTCTAAGAACAAAATGACCAAGAAATTACACAGAGTATTTAGAGCCTAAAGTAAGTACATTCACCACTGGCTCCCAAAGTCCTCAAAGTGGTATCTAATTTCTATCACACATGAGAGCTCACTATTAAGACCAATCTGGATTTGAATTCTTGTTTCACCACCAATTCTTGCTGTTATAACCTTGGGCGAATCACTGAACCTCTTGGGCCTCAGTTTCCTCATCTGTGGAGTAGGTTTAATTATTAAACTATCTCTCAGGTTGCTGTAAGGATTAATGAAATATGTGTGAATAGGAGGGTTTAATTATTAACCTATCTCACAGGGTTGCTGTGAGGATTAACTCCCAGATGAAATGGAGGCTAAATCAAATTCCCAGGATCCATCTTTGAATCTTTAAGAAATATCACAACTGAAACTTACAGAATAGATGTTACTGAATCCTGCACTGGAACAGAATGGTTAACTTAAATATAGCAATATTTTGACTGTATAAAATAGGGTGGCTCCTCAGTGCAAGCCCAAAAAGACTCTTTTAAAAACTACACATTTTTGCATATACCAAACAGCGGTGGCCAACAGGTATTCTGGGGTGCCTTCTTGGATAACCATAGCAGTCAGATGCAGACTTTTTTTTTTAAACACATAAAATCAGTATCTTTCTAGTTTTACCATTTTAAAAATAAACCATATTTGCCTATTTTAAATTACTGTCCTGTCTACTATCTAAAGCAGGTCTTCCAAAGTATGGTCCTCAGACCAGTTGCATCAGCAAATACTCAAGACTGTCCATTAATATTACTAACTCCTGAGTTCTACACCACACTAAATCAGAACGTCTGGGGCCGGAGCTAGGAAAATCTGTTTCTTCTAATTCTCCAGGAGACTCCTATGCTCCCTAAGCTCTGAGAAGCACTAACTTAGTCTATGTATTGGTTTACACTCAGGTTACACAGATTTTAAATAATTCATTAGCACTCTCTTGCTTACCAAGTACTAATCTCAAGTGACTCAGTTCTCTCTTTCACCAACCCAATCTCCTCAGACCCTGCTCTATGCCTTTACAAAGTGCCTGTGTTGGGAGAAGGTGATGTGTATGAGAAGTAGAGGGAATTTTTCCAAATCCAAATCTACTCTCACTTTCAGCTCTCTCCACTGGTTCTGAATTGCCATTTTAAAGGAAGGTTTAATGTCACCATTCTAAATTCCCTTCCCTCATAGAGGGTTAATGAAACAATTTTTTTTTTTGAGAGTCTCACACTTTCACCCAGGCTGGAGTGCAGTGGCACGATCTCGGCTCACTGCAAGCTCCGCCTGCCTCCCAGGTTCACGCCATTCTCCTGCCTCAGCCTCCCGAGTAGCTGGGATTACAGGTGCCTGCCACCACACCCAGCTAATTTTTTGTATTTTTAGTAGAGACGGGGTTTCACCGTGTTAGCCAGGATGGTCTCGATCTCCTGACCTCGTGATCTGCCCACCTCGGCCTCCCAAAGTGCTAGGATTACAGGCGTGAGCCACCGCGCCCAGCCTTTTTTTTTTTTTTTTAAGACAGAGTTTTGCTCTGTGGCCCAGGCTGGAGTGCAATGGCGCGATCTCCGCTCACTGCAACCTCCGCCTCCCGGGTTCAAGCGATTCTCCTGCCTCAGCCTCCCGAGCAGCTGGGATTACAGGTGCCCACCCCCATGCCCAGCTAATTTTTGATATTTTTAGTAGAGGCGGGGTTTCACTATGTTGGCCAGGCTGGTCTTGAACTCCTGACCTCAGGTGATCCACCCGCCTCAGCCTCCCAAAGTGCTGGGATTACAGGCGTGAGTCACCACACCCGGGCAACAAAATTTTTTAAAGACCACATTTTCACTTCCTCTGAACAATATCAAACAAAACGTGGACTTTTAAACGTTTTTAAAACAAAATCTTTCCACATCCCCTAGACTGTTAAAATAATCTGGGAAGCATGCAGCATTGTAAAACTGACTCATATTCATTTTCTCATCCAATTCCACAATTACTTATTAGAACTTATGATGGGCTGCTCTAAGATCTAAGACATAGTGGTAAAGATGACACATAGGGCCCCTGGCTTTCACAAAGCTTACATTCCAACGAAGACATCAGGAAAACTAAGTAATCTGCTTATAGACAGATGCTCTATAAAGAAATCTAGGGCTGGGCGTGGTGGCTTATGCCTGTAATTCCAGCACTTTGGGAGGCAGAGGCGGGTAAATCACCTGAGGTCCGGAAATTGAGACCAGCCTGACCAACATGGAGAAACCCCGTCTCTACTAAAAATACTAAATTAGCCAGGTGCGCTGGCATGTGCCTGTAAACCCAGCTACTCAGGAGGCTGAGGGAGGAGAATCGCTTGAACCCAGGAGGCAGAGGTTGCGGAGCCGAGATGGTGCCACTGCACTCCAGCCTGGGCAACAAGAGCGAAAATCCGTTTCAAAATAAAAAATAAAATCTACACAAGAGGTAGAGAGGTGATGTGAAAACTCAGGAAAATGGAACAGACTAGTTAAGGAACTTACAATATCCTTAAGATTTAGACATCACCAGTTGAATTTAAAAACTCAAAACAGAGATTCTGGTTAAGTAGAAACTTGACTTTTAATCTAGCTTCTACACACAAGGCTTGGGAAGTTGCTTATTCAACAATTTAACAAAAATTAACGATGTAATTCCAATCAAATCTAAACCTCTAGCCACAAAACCTTAAATTCAAGGTGCTGATCTTAATCTAAAAAACCTCATGTGGTTTGGGTTCTGGTTACCTTAGAGATTTGACTCTAAGCACCCAAAGGCAATTAAGATTAGATGAAATACTTGGCCGATGGTTCACTACTGAAACCTGATGAACTGGAATCCTCTGATTTTGTGTGTCTCTTTTCAGATAGGGTGACCAACCATTCTGGGGTTTTGTTTGTTTG
Organism: Homo sapiens; assembly: GCF_000001405.40. Taxonomy (NCBI): domain Eukaryota; kingdom Metazoa; phylum Chordata; class Mammalia; order Primates; family Hominidae; genus Homo; species Homo sapiens. The sequence continues at coordinate 151,399,790 of NC_000006.12, read as the reverse complement.
TTTGTTTTTCAGACACAGTCTCAGTCTGTCACCCAGGCTGCAGTGCATTGGCACAATCTTGGCTCACTGCAAGCTCTACCTCCTGGGTTCAAGCGATTCTCCTGCCTCAGCCTCCCAAGCAGCTGGGATTACAGGCGTGCATCACCATGTCAGGCTATTATTAGAGACGGGGTTTCACCATTTTGGCCAGGCTGTTCTCAAACTCCTGACCTCGTGATCTGCCCACTTCAGCCTTCCAAAGTGCTGGGATTACAGGAATGAGCCACGGCGCTTGGTCCCATTCTGGGTTTGACTGGGACCAAGGGGTTTCCTGAGAGCGGCCAGACTTTCACTGCTAATACTGGCAAAGTCCTGGGCAAACCAGGACTGGTCACGCTATCTTCGGCCACATTTTAGAAACTGATATTTTAACAGCCACCTTTTTCAACTCTGGACTTTGTGGCAACTCTACAGAGCTTTAATATGGATCAACTACTAAAAACAAGAACCTTCCCTAAAGAAAAGCATGTTAATGTCACACATGGTTTTTACCAATCAGGTGGAAGCAGTAATTTTTCCCTATATATTTTACCATTTATTTTACTTTTAAACACAAAAATCCTGAGCCAAACACTACTTGAAGAACTGTTAAGGAATTCAGATTCACGTTTAGGAAATAATGATTCAAAATTAAAATGTCTTTAAAGATCAGTTTTCAACGACTGATAGATGTAACAACTTGGACAAATCGCTCTCAACCCAATCTGGCTGGGTAAAGGAAGCCAGTGTGCAAAGGCGACATACTGTGTAATTCCATTTATGTAACATCCTAGAAAAGGTAAAACTATAGTGATGGACAACAGATCGGTGACAGCCAGGGGTTAGGGGTGGAAACAGCACAGGTCTATAAAGACAGCAAAATAAAGTGATAGACCTGGCCTATATTCTCGTGTTGGTGATTACAACAAATAAATACTATGTTAAAAATCACAGAACGGTATACTGAAAAAAAAAAGTCACTTTTACTACATAATTCTAAGGTTTTTTTTTAAATCAGTGATGATTTCAAAAATATACCGATTTTATCATTTACTGAGGTACTGTGCTACGGCCCCCCTCCTGTTTTTATGTTCACCCAATGTTATGAGATAATTACTATTAACCCTATTTGAGAAGGAAAACTTGAGGCTCAGAGGTTCAGTAACATGCCCGAAGCCATACAGTGTGTAAGGGACGGACCATAATTCCAACCCAGATCTGATTCCAAAGGCTATATTCTCAACCACTACCAAACACTACACTCTCCCCCCTCTGTTCATAAATATCAACCACTCTATCCCTCCCAATGACAATATCAGGAGGCTATTGTTTCCTAATTCTATTCTGAACTCAATACACTATTGATAACGTGAAAATAGGGAGAAGCAAAACATGATTCTAGAGCAGTGATGTCCAACTGAACTTTCTCCAATAATAGAAATGTTTTATATTATCTGTGCTGCCCAAATATGGTAGCCTCTAGCCACAGGTGGCTACTCAGCACACATGGCTAGTGTGACACTGAGTTGAACTGGACAGCACAGTTCTAGAGAAATGATGTGACAAGAATGTACATGTCACAGAAGGAAACAATTTATTAAATTATGATGGTAACTCACCAACGATAAAAGGAAAATAATTCAAGGGAGATGTATAGTAAAGGAATGAAGCTAAGAAATGCACCACCCCCAAAGCACATCACAAAACTAAGTCTATCTTTTTTTTTTTTTTTTTTTTTGATACAGAGCCTCGCTCTGTCACCAGGCTAGAGTGCAGTGGCAACATCTCGGCTCACTGCAACCCTCCAACTCCCTGGTTCAAACGCTTCTCCTGCCTCAGCCTCCCGAGTAGCTGGGATTACAGGCATGCACCACCACGCCCAGCTAATTTTTGTATTTTTAGTAGAGACGGGGTTTCACCATGTTGGCCAGGATGGTCTCGATCTCCTTACCTCAAGTGATCCACCCGCCTCGGCCTCCCAAAGTGCTGGGGTTACAGGCGTGAGCCACCGCACTTGGCCACTAAGTCTATCTTCTGAACACCTGCTCACCGACCAAGATTCAGCTTAAAGTTATCTACATACCCACAGCACTCTGCACATCTGCAGTATAGAATAAATTGTACTAAGTATCTGTGTTTTTCTCCCCCAGTGGACTGTGACCACCTGAAGAGCAGAGATAGGTATTCATATATGCACCACTAGCATCCAATACCTATACGCAGATGTTTTCTGCAACAATAAACACCTTTTTCACTCAGTTCGAGTGGGAAAATGATCATCTTAGATCCTTTAACTACAAATTCAACTCAATTCTGCAAGCAATTGAGTACCAGGAGTGTACATAAAAAGAAGTACCTGCCCTCAGGGAGCTTACAGTGAGAGTGAGAGATACAAGATATAGGGAGACAAGTAACAAGCAAAAAGGGTAATCAAAATTAATTGTGTACAAACAGTACTTTAGGTCAGAATAGAAACAGTCAGGAATCATAGTGGTAAGGGAAAACTGAAAAATGATTTAAGTAGCCATTATCCGGCCAGGCGCAGTGGCTCATGCCTGTAATCCTAGCACTTTGGGAGGCCAAGGCAGGTGGCACACCTGAGGTCAGGAGTTCGAGACCAGCCTGGCCAACATGGTGAAACCCCATCTCTACTAAAAATACAAAAATTAGCCGGGTGTGGTGGTGCACGCCTATAATCCCAGCTACTCAGGAGGCTGAGGAAGGAGAATCACTTGAACCCGGGAGGTGGAGGTTGCAGTAAGCCAAGATTGTGCCACTACACTCCAGCCTGTGAGATGGGAGTAAGACTCCATCTCAAAAAAAAAAAAAAAAAAAAAAAAAAAAGTAGCCATTAGCCCATTCCGTGAAGCAAAGGTGTAAGATAACTTATTGTATCCCAACCTATAATTTAGAAAAGCCTAATGGATTAAAAAAATTTTTAAGGAAGTCTTTAGAAATTTATCCTGCCTTCGCTCACTACCAATGTCATCCTATTCCTTTTATCACTAAGCTAAAACTAGTCTTAGAACAAAATCCTTCCAGATCCAAAATTTCTATGAAAATTTCACAGCATAAAGAAGTGTAGTCTTCTTTACACTTAAATTCTCATCATCTTTAAGTCACAACATCCTTTTGGGTTCTCAAAATGTGCTAATTGGAATTAGTTTGCACAGTACATCTCATAGTGAGTATACAGGCAGCATCTGGAATGGTCTATTCAAAGTAGTTTGAATTCATTTAATAAGTACATTTCCTGTTTCCTCTAAAAATGAACAGGAGGGGTGCTAGTATGAGGAATCTAGACACCAAGCATTATCTGAATTTTAAAGTGTATTATAATATGGAGGTCTGCAAACTAGAAGACTGGCGAACAGTTCTACAGTGTAACTTCTTAATTTTCTCATCTTTATCAGCTCACATGTTATTCATGACAAAGGTCAGAGAAAATTTGTGAGGTTTTCCTAGACTGAATGACCTTGGGCTGCTTAATTACTTAAATTCTTTGAGCCTGCTTTTTCAAATTGAAGACTGAGAAGGAAGTGTGACTAGATGCCCTCAGAGAAAAAAACTGACTTAATTAACTAAGATAATTACTTATAGGTTGATTTCAGCATGGCTTTTGGTGCAATCCTAACTCATCTTTAAAATGGAAAAACAGGCCAGGGTGGTGGCTCATGCCTGAAATCCCAGCACTTTGGGAGGCTGAGGCAGGTGGATCACCTGAGTTCAAGAGTTCGAGACCAGCCTGGCCAATATAGTGAAACCCCATCTCTACTAAAAATACAAAATTAGCCGGACGTGGTAGGGGGCACCTATAATTCCAGCTACTAGGGAGGCTGAGGCAGGACAATCACTTGAACCCGGGAGGCAGAGGCTGCAGTGAGCTGAGATGACGCCACTGCACTCCAGCCTGGGCGACAGAGCAAGACTCCATCTCTAAATAAATAAATAAATAAAATATAAAGTGGAAAAACATATAAATGTGGCAGCTATTAAACTATGTCCATAATTCTTTGATACTCATCCCCTGAGTTTGGGCTGGACTTAAGTGACTTCTTTTTAATAGAATATGGCAGAAGTGATGGTGTGTGGCCTCCTCTCTGCTCTTGCTTGAATCACCTACTCTGCGGGTAGCTAGCCTTCGCCACTGCTTGAGGACACTCAAGCAGTCCAATGAAGAACTTCCACCATCAGCCATAGCTGACTTGCCAAATGAGAGCCACCTTGGAACCTCATGAAAAACCCTGACCCAGAACCACCTAAGTAAGCTACTCCCAGATTCCTGACCCACAGAACCTACATGAGATAAACACAAGTTTATTGCTTTAAACCACTAAGTTTTGGGTTAATTCGTAACAGCAAGAGAACACACCAGTATTTTTTAAATAGTGGGTCCTGACTCATTAGTGGTTGAAAAAATCAATTTAAGGCAGCAATATCAACTTTAAAAAAATGAAATAGAAGATAGCAGAGTACATCACTCTTAATACAAGTACTACTTCGTAAAAATTTTGTTTGTTTTACATGTATGTCTATACTAGGTGCAATTTAAAATGTGTTTCTTACAACCACAGCTGAAAACATTAAAACCCACAAGTCTAACCAGTAGGTTTAAAACAAAAAGCTCCCTAAAGCATAGGGAGTTCCTTGAGGGACTCTCATCTCAATAACAACCAACTATAAAACAAGCATTTTCTATAAACTTTATGACCAAACCAACGAAATGTAAGACACTCTCACAATACATCTTTTCCTATGTATATGCTAAGCTTGATACACAACACACAGGGCATGGTTATCTGCCCTAGAGTTTAATGTCTAACATGTAAAAGTACGCCATTTTCCTAATTTAAGACATTACTCAAAAGGACTTCCTTCATAAAATTAGTGAAAAATGCTGCTTTGGACTCAAACCGCATTTATTTTTTCCTACTATTATTTTTTTTAAATCAATGTTAAATTCCACCTTCAACCTAAGCGCGCGCACACACACACACACACACACACGAGATCTAGTACTATTAAATTTTCTGAGCTGGGCACAATGGCTCACACCTGTAATCCCAGCACTTTGGAAGGCCGAGGCGGGTGGATCACGAGGTCAGGAGATCGAGACCATCCTGGCTAACACTGCGAAACCCCGTCTCTACTAAAAAAAAAAAAATACAAAAAATTAGCCGGGTGTGGTGGCGGGCACCTGTAGTCCCAGCTACTTGGGAGGCTGAGGCATGAGAATCGCTTGAACCCAGGAGGCAGAGGTTGCAGTGAGCAGATATCGCGCCGCTGCACTCCAGCCTGGGCGACACAGCGACACCTCGTCTCAAAAAAAAATTTTTTCTGCTCATTGTCCAAGTCTCACTGGAACTATCCTCTTCGGAATACAAGCAAGTGCATATTTTCATGGTTGTGTCTCAGCAGAACACAAATCAAAACTTTCAGCAACACCAGACTCTGCAGAATATTCATGTATAACTTTTGATGAATCCACTCAGATTGCTTGCACTGTGATTTTCTTTGAAGTAAAAAGTGTTAAAACTATTTTTGAATTCCTAATTTACCAGATTCTCAAAATACCAAAATAAATTGGCACATAATTAAACAGCGATTTAACTTTTTTTTTTTTTTTCCTTTTTAGAGACTCTGTTGCCCAGACTAGGGTGCAGTGATGCGATCATGGCTCACTGCAGCCTCGAACTCCTGGGCTATATGCGATCCTGCCACCTCAGCCTCCCAAGCTGAGACTATAGACCCACACCATCACGCCTGGCTAATTCTTTTTTTCTAATACATGGGGTTTTCTTACATTGTCCTGGCCGATCTGCAACTCCTGGGCTCAAGCAATCCTTCCGAAAGTCCTGGGACTACAGGTGTGAGCCACCACGCTCAGCCTTTTTTTCCTTATTACTGTACTAGGGACATTTGTGGCTTTTCCACAATGAGACTTAGTAGAGAAATGACAGCTTCCCTTGGCCCTATCCTGAAATACACTAACTAGCTCTTCTCTGCCAGGGCTACCGTTTTCTCCCTAACCTTTGCAGATGTATGTATCCATATAAATGTTTCTATTTCAACAAACTGTAGAAAGTATACAGTCTGTACAGCTCCCCTTATAATGCTATTACCTGATGATCCTGACTACAAGTTGGAATTATCTGCATACTTGGCAAAATTCAAGTGTGGCTGCCTATGCCTCGAGAGAATGAGCAGCAAACCAGCCCAGTCCTAAATTCGAATAGCAGCTCTTAAAGAGAATAGGATGCTCTTGATAGGCTTTCTTTAGGACTGATATTCAATTTCTGGGCTTACCCCTGGGTTTATTTCTACAAGCCTATATAGAGTGTAACGCTAGAAAATATTCAGTGATGTTAAAAATAAGCATAGTTACTTTGACTCAAGACCAATTACTCTACACACACAGGCAAATTTCTGCCCAATGGTCTCAAGTTTAGCATTAGTTTTGCCCACTTTTTCTTTTATTCTTAAGTCAGTTTCACTCTTCACATGAGCACTCCACCAACACCATAAGGTTGAAAATTTTCAGAATGGAATTCCAAAAGAATTAAGAACCTACAGATCTCTAATTACAATTCTCTACAAAACAATCAACATCATTTTAGTTCCCTAGTAAGATGAGACAGACCTCAATACTCAAGCCAATCCAAGGAACCAGGCACCAGTCTGAAGGCCAACTTTGATATTCCAGTGACAGCGGTGCAGTAGAATACTTAGATCAGGGTCAGAATTTGGTTTTGGAGGCAGACATTTACCCACTAAAGTCATTTATCTAGCTGATCAAAAAACAGGAAAGTTCAAAGCGAGTATACACTGAATCTATTATCCATTTGAGAGCCACTGAAGCTACACAGCTGCTTATTTTGTCTTCAAAGAAGGAATTAGTCATCAGTACCTGCAGGTATAACTGGATTTCTAAATCAAACTCAGATTTTTAGGAGGGACACTTCTATGTATTAAATTGTCTTAAGATGGTAAGCTTGCCTTAAATGATTTGTAAACTATGTGCCAGGCATTGTGCTAGTGGTCAGACTGTGTAAACCAAAATGGGTTAGACATCACAACCAAGTTAGCATGCCTTGAAACCAGAGTATCCTAGAAACTGCTGCCTCCACTTCCTTAGGAATAAAGCCATATCCTTTCTAAATCTCAAAAAATCCTAGATGTGTAAAGAAATCATTAAATTCTAGTCCTCAAAGGACTGTATTTCCCCAAAAAAGACACGGATTCTAGAAAAATGGCAACAACCAAAAAGTAAACTTTAAAATGTTAAAAATGACCATCAGGAAATTCTAACTTCCCTGCCATGTTTCCGTGTTTCAGGATCTCCCCGTTAAAAGATTTTCCACACCTCTAAATCTAACAGAATAGCCAACTCTGGAATCCATACCTCAAAGACCAAAACCTAACAGGAGAATAAACTGTTCTCTTAACAAACATGCGTTGCAGACTTTCATTTTTGGGGGGGCCAAAACTTCAAAAACGAAAATCGTTGCTGAAATAACCATGAAATTCAACCCTAACAGAAACATCTTACGCCGCTCAACTCATCTGCAAGGTAAAGGAAGCACCTCTGCCTCTGTGCACGCTACAGGAATCTGTACTTCAGCATGACTTTCAGTTACCATTGGTGACACAAAGATACTGCTGGTTTACAGTATCTCCCCGGTTCTAAAGGCCACTCCATTTCAAGTCTTAAAGATTAAAACAAACACGAAAAGTCAAGGGACAAGGGTAAAGGCCAAGAGATCTCAAGCAGAAGCCGGCAGAAGGATACGAGCAGTGGCTCTCCATCTCTACCCCGAGCATCTCAAGGACTTGTGCTACCTAAACACTTTATGTAAACAAGGGGCTTGTGACTCAGGCCTCCAGCCCCAATAGGTGGAGAGAAGTTTCCTCGCCTCGGCTGCACATGGTCTGCAGAAGTTTGGCTGGAGCAGAGCGCGGAGCCTGGGTGGGAGCGGCAGTGGAGTGCTGCAGGCGGCGGCGGCGGCGGCAGAGCAGCAGGAGGCGGAGGCGGGCGGGGGGAGGGGAGCGGCTGGGGGGGGGGCGGAGGGGGCTCTTGCCGCCACTGCTCTCTCGCCGCCTCTCCCCCCCGGCGGGAGCCGCTCGCAGCCTCTTTGCACTAGTCTCTCCGCTCTCTCGGTCATGTGACCTTAACGTAACCGGACAGGAAAAGCCCCGCCGCCGCCGCCGCCGCCGCGCCGGAGACACCGACCGCGGCGGCAGCAGCAGCAGCAGCAGCGAGAGGCAGAGGCGGCGGCGGCGGGGAGGACAGCACGGCCGAGGCTGCCCAGAGGCGCCTCCTCCACACCCCCCGCCGCAGCAGCACCGGCGACAGGTAAGCGCGCACCGCCTCCGCCTCCCGGGGCCGGTGCCCACGTGCCACCCCCAGCCCAGGGTCCGGGAAGGCGGTGGGGGGGCGGGGGCCACCGGAGCTCGCAAACGGTTCCGGCAGAGGCGGTGGCAACAAAGACGACGAATGACCCTCGTACCAGGGCTACGGGTGCAGGCAGGCGGAAGGCCCGGGCCACTCGGGGACCCGGTTCTGGGAAGCGAGGGCAGGGGCGCCTCGCGGGGGCGGCGGCGGCTGCGCCTGGCGCCGGGGCTCTGGCCGCTTGACAAAACCATCCCCCGGAGCCAGGCGGCGGCGAGTCGGCGGCGCCTCCATCCGGGGTTTTGTGGGAGGGGGAGGGGACGGAAGCCGAGAGGGCGGGCGGCGGATCGGAGGGAGGGTGGGAGGGAGGAAGGGGAGGGGGGCGATTCGCGTTCGGTTCCCCGTGGCCGGTCCCTCCCTTCCCGCCGCCACCGCGAAGTGCGCCCTGGGCGGCGGCGGCCGGTGAGCGTCCCGCGCTGGAGCCCTCAGAGGCGGGCCCGTCAGGTGCGTAATCCTTCCGACGCCTCGCCGCCGCCTCCTGCTGCTGCCGCCGCTGCTGCTTCGGCGGCAAGGCCGCGAGCTGCGGAAGTGGGTTTGGGGGAGGGGAGGGAGGAGGGAGGGGGAGGGGAGGGATCCGGTCCGACCGGAGCAGGCCCGGCCTCTCTGGCGCTTCTCCCAGCTGCAGCGGCTCCTACAGCTGCTGCCGCTACTGCTGCGGCTCCGCCTCCCGCTCGCGGGCGGGGGCGCGCACGCGCGCTTCCGGCCTCCTCGGGTCTCGCGCTGTCTCCGGCTCTCGCGCGCGCTCATCCCTCTCCCTCTCTCCCTGTCTGGGCCACCCCCGCCCCCGGCGCCGGGGCTGTTGCGCCGGCCGGGGCGTTGCGCACGGCGTAGGCGTCGGCATTGTGTTAAACTCCGCGGGACTTGGGGCGAGCGCGCGCGCGCACGCGGGACTGAGGGAAGCGGCGAGCGTGCAACGCGGCCGGAGTGCGTCGCCCCTCCCTCCCCCTCAGCCCCTCGGGGACGGGGACAGGGAGGGGGCGGGGCCGGCGAGACCGGAGGGGGCCAGAGGGCCCCGGCGCCGCGCCCCCGGCCCCGCCCCGGGGCGGGTGGGACGAGGTGGCTGTTGCGGCGCGCTCAGGCGGGCGGGGGACGCGTCGGCCTCTGTGGCGCCGCCCTTGTCGCCTGCTCGCTGAGGCTGCAGGCCGGGCCCCAGTCCCGGGTACGGAGCGTGTTGAGCCGGCGGCCTCCAGCTTCCGCCCGACGCGCCATCTGCGCCTGCGATACAGCCCGGTTTGGCCCCGAGCGCGCTGTGCTTTCGGCTGCTTAGCCTTGGGGCGTGGGACCCGCGCGGCCCTCACGCCCCAACCGGACTCCAAGGCGGGGAGGCTGCTTCCCGGGGCCGGCGTCGTTTTCTCGGTGTAGCGAAACCTCTAAACCCTTCTTGTTTAAACAAAGCCGCAAGAGAGAACTTTTTAGCCAGAAGCTGCAAAGGAAGCTGGGTTTTGCCGCTTTTAGCTGGTAGTAAAAGAGGCAATAAAGAAGCGAGGGTAGCAGAGCAGGCGAGTGCCTGGGCCGGGAGAAGCTGCAGCTACGCCTTTTACTGCAGGAACTTCCACCCGAATACGTGAACTCCTAATTATGCCTTGGGGATATAACCCGGCTCTCGCTCCCCGCCTCCCCCAGCTGCATTGTTCATTAGCTCTTTCATCATACAATGGGTCCACTGAGTTTGTGAGCCTTGATTCTATTCATTTTATCAGGGTATTGTTTTAGTAAAATAAAGCATAAAGAAGGTCAGAATTATCAGAACTCCAGGGGGTCTCTGGGTTTGCTTAAACGCGCTGCCCTGTCCTTGCTAATGTAAATCATCCATCTATGCCAACCCCGTTGGAGCACCAGGGCGAGTTGTACACACCACTAGCGTTTTAGTGTGGGAGTACCCTGAACGTTTAATAGAGAATTGGGACTGTGCCATTTTAATTCTCATTTGACTGATTTATCACAAACCAAAATTATAAATTGGTAAGGTAAATTCCACTGCATTTTGAATGATCTTGTTGTGTATCCAGGATGTTTTCAAACTGTTAAAAGGTCATTTTTTTCTTTTTTCTTTTTTCCTTTTAGTAAGAGGCAGGGATCTCGCTATGTTGCCCGAGACGGTCTTGAACTTCTGGGCTCAAGTGATCCTCCCGCCTTGGCCTCCCAAAGTGCTGGGATTACAGGGGTGAGCCACCGCTCCTGGACAAGAAGGCAGTTTTTAAAGGCATAGTAATTTACCACTAATAGGACATCCTTTTAAACTGGGCATTTCTCATTTAATAAACTTGTGGTTTGTTTGCTAGACAAAGAATTGTCCAGTTATTGAAGCCATCGTAAGTACAAGAAGTGATACGCCGGTGCCACTGATGGTCAACAGTGGAGGAGCAGTCTACACTACAGTGGAGTGTAGTCTACGCCCCTAAAACTTTGTCCTACAGTCCCAGTGCATACTTGCCAGTTTTAAAGCTTCTCTTCAAAGGGGATGTAAATACGTTGATGCTGAGCAATCTCTACCACTAGCAGCAGAGAATAAACGCTAATCATGTTTTAAGTTATAGAATAAAAGCTGCCACGGTGACACCTGCTTTTATATCTTAAACTTTAATATCAACTTTTCAGTAACCTCCAAAATCTGCACTTTTATAAGATAATATAAAATAATAGAAAAATGTGTTCATGGCCAGGGAAAGTGGCTCACGCCTATAATCCCAGCACTTTGGGAGGCCAAGGCTGGAGGATTGCTTGAAGCCAAGAGTTCAAAACCAACCTGGGTAACATAGATCCCACATCTCTATTAAAAAAGAAAAGAAAATGTATTCACCCCAACCCCATAGATATACTTTGCAATCCTGTGATTTCAAGTACCCACAGCATGCCCATGAGTAAGTGGATGTGCTTTCCCCAATTTGAGACTTACAAAATAGAGAAGGAAATATCTAAAGCTCATCTGTAGCATCGGCCTGGGATCAGCAGCTTTAGAGGTGGGAACTGCCCTTCCAGCTCTTACTGTTTCTTGGTGCTTCATTCCTAGCCCCACTCACCTTTCCCTGTAGGAACTTGGAAAAGCTGGGCAAGTCCCGTGGCACCAGCCTGCACAGGAGAGGAAGATTGAAAGAACTGGTTTGCTGGTAATTTTTTTACCATAAAATACCAAATGCACCTGGGAAAGGTCATTTATCATCACTTTTCCTATTTTCTTATGCTCTTTGGCTCTCCAAACATGACTGAAAACCTAAAAGGGAACTGAACATTTTTATTTCCCTGAAGAAAAAAAAAAAATGTAAACATTCTAAGCATTAGACTAAGAATATTTCTAAAACGTTCTTTATGCTCAAGTAGGTTATAATTTGTGCTAGCAAATTAAACTATTAAATAATTAAAATATTACTTCGAATTGATAGTAAATAAGATTCAGTATTTTTACAATGCCGATAGAGCCATTAAGATATGGAATCAGTAGCCACAGAACCCTTACAAGGAGTTGGCAGCCCAACATATGTAGATCCATTTTAGAAGCCAACTTGGAGGCTCATATTTATGCTCAAACTCATAACCCCCAGTTCACATGCTTGAGGTATGCATCACATGCCTTTGAGTGTCACTTTAAGAAAGTTCAGTATTCAAAGATAGGAATTTGAAAAATACTTTTATGTATCTGGCTAAGTACTTAGGGAAACTACTTTTTTACTTTTGTTAGAGATTTTAGTGTACTGTTCTCTTAAACAGGGGGCACTCGCTAAGTTCTGCACCAAGCAGGGTAAGCGTCAGAATCCTCTGGAATGAAGTGCGCATGTTCTCCTGCACCGGGAGAGTCATTTAGGTTCTCTGAGTCCCCAAAGTGATTCTGAACGGCGCTTGTCTAAGTGTGGTCTGCAGATCCTTTTGAAGCCCCAGGATCCTTTCAGGATTCAATGAAGTCAAAACTGTTGTCACAGTAATACTAAGTTGTTATGGCCTTTTCCGCTGTGTTGACAAAATGTCTTCTCAGTGTTGACACTGAGAAGATCTGCTTAATTCAGTGAGCCGATATTTTCCAAATGACCAACAGATGATGTTAAAAATCATGAGTGGGTAAATGATCCGTTGAAAGTGGATAGACCAATGAATATTACTATAATAGAGTAGGAAAAGTTAATTCAGTTATGTAGTTTTATATTACACAACCAACTTTTAAGAAAGTAGACTTGTCAAGTGTTGGTATAATATAAAAGAGGACTGTCCACAATTACCTGAAAAGGCTATTCAAATATATCTCCTTTTTCCAACTACATAGGTGGGTGAGGCTGGATTTTCTTCACTACTCAACCAAAACAGAGTTAATTGAGGAGTAAATGCAAAATCCAGTTGTCTTCTGTTAAAGAGAATTGCAAAAATATAAAAAGACACCACTTTGTTATTTTAGAAAATACAATTATTTTTTCATAAAAATGTTCTGTACTTTAACATGTAATGGCCTTATTGTTTTTAATTGAATTAAATATTTCTAAAATTTCTCCATTTTGGTAATTATCAGTAGTTAAAATCCATATAAACATATAATTGATGTTCTTAATAATTTTTAAGACCATTAAGGGATCCCAACACCAAAAAGTTTCAGAAGCTCTGCTCTAAAATATTGAAACATATTATTAAGACTTTGAGTTAAACACATTTGAAACTCACCTGTGTTATATACCCTGAACTACACATTTAGGTGATTATATTTTCTTCAGATTAATTTTACTAATCATTTTATGGTATATAAAAAACAAAGGCAATCTCCACTCTGGTGGATTATTAGAAGCAGATCAGTTTTTTGTTGTTGTTGTTTTGAGACAGGGTCTCACTCTTTCATGCAGGCTAGAGTGCAGTGGCATGACCATGGCTCACAGCAGCCTCAGCCTCCCTGGCTCAAGCAATCCTCCCACCTCAGCCTTCTGGTAGCTGGGACCATGGGCACATGCCACCACATTCAGCTAATTTTCTTTTTATAGAGACAGGGTCTCGTCATGTTGCGCAGGCTGGTCTCCGGGGCTCAAGTGATCTGCCCGCCTTGGCCTCCCAAAGTGCTGAGATTACAGGGGTGAGCCACTGTCCCAAGCCCAGATTAATTTTTTAATTTTGCCGTGTGTAATCATCTGTAAGTTTCCTTCAGGTTGATTGTAGCATAATGCCTTTAGAATTATTACTTTAATATGAACTCGTTATTAGCCATAAATCTCTGATCTACTTCTGTTTGACACCTAAGATGTCCCTGAATTGCCTCCTTATGACCCCAACTTACATTTGGAAACTAAAAACTAATTTAAGTGTAAACATAGGGAAAATATAATTGAAAACAGGAGTATTTTACAAATGCAGTGCTTTTTAATATGAAAATAAGTGCTGTTTATGCCTCTCTCTTTTCTAATTACTATGGAAGAAGGTTGACTAAGGAAATGTTAAGAAAAAAATGCCACTCCATTATCACAACTAAATAAGATGCATTTTCTACCTTCAAAATACAGTTTTAAAATGTATTAAAATTCAAATGACCAGCCTTCAGGTTTACTTCATGGGCCCTCCAATATTAATTATTAATAATAGTAATTGAAAAATCAGCTTTTCATCCTAGTAAGTGGTCTAAACTACTTGAAAGAATCAATCTTACTTGTGGGTAATGCCTCTGCTGTTACTGATTGTCCTTTGAATTACAATATTCATTTATGCTTCACTTAAATAAAATCAAGGACTTCAGAGGACCCTTTTAGTGCCCTTGAAATGGGTAGTGTAAGTGGTGTTTAGTGTCTTAGAACAGCTATTATCTTTAAAAACTGAATCAACAATTTCCACAAGCTGTTTTGATCTCCTATTCTTACACTGAAAATGAAGGAGGAACTTAGGTTGTCAAAATACAACATAATTGTATGTGCCCCATTCTTCTGCACTTCTAAAAGGATGAGTGAGTTGCTTACGGATCAGCCCACATGTGCTCTGTGATGAAAACTGAAAGCAAGTGACAGCTAGGTGGTCAATGTCCTGTTATCAAGGAGGAAACAGTGGCAATGAAAACCAAAGCATTAAATAATCTGAAAGGTCATTTGTATTTGGCTCTAGGAAGTGTTTTTTATTTTTTCAACATGAGTATGTCTTATAGTCTCTGAATTTACTTAAGAAAAGTAAAAGCTTTGTACACATACATATACAGAAAGAAGGCATTCCATGAAAACCCATTTATAGGCACTGCCTCCTCTCTCCTGTGCTACTTTTCTTCAGTTCCTCTCAGCTCACTATTCTAATTTAGAAAAGACAAATGACTTGTTTTTTATTTAGTTGGGTTTTTTTTAAGTTCATATACAGTGTTAAATGGTTAGGGATTTTACATAGGTCTTCAGTTTCATGTCTTGATTGTCGGCCCTTTGTGACTGCGATCAGTAAGAACTTTTAGGAATGCTCTGTAGGGCAAGGTAGTAGAGTGGAGACAACATGAACTGTATGCCCAGAAGACCAGAGTTCAATCCTGACTCTTATTTGTTGATAATTTTAACCTCTCTCAACTACAGTGTAGTGATTTAAGGACATGGTTTTTCTGAAGACGCAGACAATTCACAGTCAGGACTTCCAAGCTCCAGACCAGTGTAACCAACATATACTCTGCATCTCCACTTGGTTATCTCAAAAGTATCTCAAACCCAACATGTGTGAACCTAACCTCTTGCTCTTCCCGCCAAATTATTATTTGCCCTGTGTTCCCTCCTGTTGGAGGGCACCAAGATCTATGCGGTTATACAAATAAGAAGTCTAGGAAGTCATCTTGGACACTTTGATCTGCTCCATTCTCCTTCATCTGACTCAACCAGGTCTGTTGATTTTTTACCTTCTAAATATCTTTTGAATCCTGTCAATTTCCTCCATCTTTCTCAGTACCACCTGGGTCCATCATCTCTTTTGTAGACCACTAGCAGTTGTCTCCTCTAGACCACTTTCCAGCAGGTCTTCACTTGCCCGCTTGTTACCCCCTCCTCCCCAGCTTGATTAGTTCCGCAGTCTCTACATTGTAGAGATCTTATCAAGTCATCCTGCTTAAAATCCTCTTGGGTGGCTTCCCATTGCTTTTAAGATATGGACCAAAATCCTTAACATGACGTCTGTCTCCATCCTCGTTATTCTCTGGCTCTCTACCCTTCCGGGTTATTGTGAATTATAAAGCACTATTCAGAAATTAATTATTAGCATGAAGAAACACAAGGTAGTATTTTTAAATGGAAAAATTATTCCAAAACAGCAGGTGTTAAATTGATGAGAATTTTTTAGGTCAATCTAGGATAACTAGAAACTCAACTTCTACCCTCAGTCACCCAGCTGGTAAGAGGCTGAGCCTTGACTGGAACTCAGCACTCTTCTTCTCCCGGAGCATCTGCTTATTAATTTACTTAACAAATACTAAACCCTAGGCCATATACAAGGCACTGGGATAAAATAGTAAATGATGAGGAAGATTTGTTGCCAGCTTTCCAGAAGCATCAGGCAAGGTGTATAAACTGGCTCGTTCACACATGCACCAGGGCAAGGAGATTATGAGGGGCAGGGGCAGGGGCAGGGGTATGTGTGTGTGTGTGTCTGCCTGTCTGTCTGTCTGTCTCATGGTCAGTTCCTCTGAAAGCAGCATATTCAAAATCCTGGAGCAGAGGTTCTAAGCCTGTGTGCAGATGGGACCCCTCTCCCCTAACCCTTTAGAGTTCAGGCTGCCAAGCTGCCCAGCCTCGAGAGTGAAGCCTTTGAGCAGTAAGTATTGTACGCTGTCAGGAGCCAAATCATCACCAGGGTGTTCAGGACCTTCTGGGAGACGAAACTGCCATTCCTTGGCTTAGCTTAGCTTATCCAGAAGTCCCAAAGTGAGTGAAATAACATCATTTTGTCTCCATTATCAATATATTCAAATAAAACTGAATTTTTAATAATCCTTGTATTTCAAAACAAGCTGGACCCTTGATGATCCATTCGTAGAGCTCACCAAACTGACAATTGCATATAATTAGCTGGGCAAGGTGGCATGCACTTCTAGTCCCAGCTACTCAGGAGGCTGAGGCAGGAGGATCACTTGAACCCAGGAGTTCAAGACCAGCCTGGGCAACATAGCAAGACCCCATATAAAAAATTAGATACAGGCCTGGTGCGGTGGCTCACGCATGTAATCCCAGCACTTTGGGAGGCCGAGGCGGGTGGATCACGAAGTCAGGAGTTCAAGACCAGCCTGGCCAACATGGTGAAACCCCGTCTCTACTAAAAATACAAAAATTAGCCAGGTGTGGTGGGTGCCTATAATCCCAACTACTTGAGAGACTGAGGCAGAGAATTGCTTGAACCCAGGAGGCAGAGGTTGAAGTGAGCTGAGATCACACCACTGCACTCCAGCCAGAGCAACAGAGTGAGACTCAATCTAAAAAAAAAAAAAAAAATTAGATACAACTTAATGTATTAAAGTAACATTTTATGTTGTAATTTGTTTGCATTAGAAAAATATTTTTTCAGGGCAAGGTCCAGTGGCTCACGCCCATAGTCCCAGCACTTTGGGAGGCCGAGCGGGTGGATCACCTGAGGTCAGGAATTCGAGACCAACCTGGCCAACATGGTAAAATCCCGTCTCTACTAAAAGTACAAAAATTAGCTGGGCATGGTGGCAGGCGCCTGTAATCCCAGCTACCCGGAAAGCTGAGGCAGGAGAATCGCTGGGGGAAGCGGGTAGGTGGAGGATGCAGTGAGCCAAGATTGCGCGCCATTTCACTCCAGCCTGGGCAACAAGAGCGAAACTCTGTCTCAAAAAAAAAAAAAGACCAGGCGCAGTGGCTCATGCCTGTAATCCCAGCACTTTGGGAGGCCGAGGCGGGTGGATCATCTGAGGTCGGGAGTTCGAAACCAGCCTGACCAACATGGAGAAACCCCCTCTCTACTAAAAATACAAAATTAGCCAGGGGTGGTGGCACATTCCTGTAATCCCAGCTACTCTAGAGGCTGAGGCAGGAGAATTGCTTGAACCCGGGAGGCGGAGGTTGTGGTGAGCTGAGATTGCACCATTGCATTCCAGCCTGGGCAACAAGAGCGAAACTCCATCTAAAAAAAAGGAAAAAGAAAAGTATTTTTTCATACATAGTCATGTACCCATAATAAGATTTCAGTGAATGAAAGACCACATGTACAACAATGGTCCCATAAGATTATAATACCATATTTTTACGTAAGTTTTTTGTGTTTAGCTGTTTAGATACACAAATACTTACCATTGGATTATAATTGCCTACAGTACAGTAACATGCTGTCCAGGTTTGTAGCCTAGGAGCAGTAGATTACCATATAGCCTAGGCCTGTGTAGTAGGCTATACCAACTAGATTTGTGGAAGTACCTTTAGGATGTTCGCACAATGACAAAATTGCCTGACGATGCATTTCTCAGAACGTATCTCTGTTGTTAAGCAAGGTATGACTGCATTGAATATAGTGCCACCTGCCCTTCCTCTGGGAGGATAATACTGATACTGTGTCATTTCTGTGTATTTATGTGTAAGAGCCTACCAGGTTTGTGAATGTTTTGTGTCTTTGCTGGCAAAATAAAGAGGGAGCAACACTCTGTTGGACCCTAGTTTAGAGGTTTGTTGTTTTTAGTACGTCTGTGAAATCAGAAAGCCTGGAAAGCATTAGTTTAGGTTAGCACCAGAGTATGGGATGCAGAGTAAGCAACTATTAGATGGTGCAGGACCCTGGAAGAGGTGCAGCGGCACTGGGATTTTATCCTAGTGGCAGTAAGGAACCACAGAAGGATTTTATTTATTTATTTTATTTTTATTTTTATTTTTATTTTTTATTTTTTTTAGATGGAGTCTCTCTGTGTCACCCAGGCTAGAGTGCAGTGGCATGATCTTGGCTCACTGCAACCTCCACTTCCCAAGTTTAAGTGATTCTTCTGCCTCAGCCTCTTGAGTAGCTGGGATTACAGGCACTCGCCACCATGCCAGGCTAATTTTTGTATTTTTAGTAGAGACGGGGTTTCACCATGTTGGCCAGGCTGGCCTCAAACTCCTGACGTCAGGTGATCTGCCCGCCTCAGCCTCCCAAAGTGCTGGGATTACAGGCGTGAGCCACTGTGCCCGGCCCACAGGAGGATTTTAAGCAGGTGACATCAGGTTTGCCCTTTCGCAAGGTCATTCTGGCTGTTGTGTGGTGGATGCATGAAGGAGGCCAAAACTGGAGATGGAGAGATGAGTTGGGAGGTGAGGCTAAAGGTGTGGCAGGAGGGTAAAGTTTCAATTAATGGCAATTGGGGGCTGATGTGAGGAGTAAGAGAATGGAGCCCTGAGGATGAATTGAGATTTCTGGTTTGGCCAGAGGGTGGAAGCAGGGCCCTGCACTGAGCCAGGAAATAAAGAGGGAGCAGATTTGTGTACCTGGTTTTTATTGTCCTTTGGGGTAAATGGCAGTGAGAGGACAGGGAGGTATTGAGTTGAGTTTTACCTAAATCAAGTTTAAGGTTCCTGGGGGACAGCCAAGGAGAAGTGAAAGAGATCACCAAAGAGGCTACAGAATGAGGAGTAGGCTGGGGACCAGGCGCAGAGGAGACCAGCAAGTGGAACCCCTGGATGGGGATTAAAATAGAACAGCCTGTGGTGAGTCGAAAACCAGAGAGCTGCAGCCTGAAAACCAGAGACCAAAGATTTATCAGAGCGGGAGGAAGAGTACAAAATGCCGCCAAGAGGCTGAGTAAGCCACTGAGTCCCTGAGGCTGGGGAACAAGGTCCTTGGTGATCTTGGTGAGCAGAGCCGGGCGGGAGCTGGCCTGGAGGTGGGAAGAGCAGACAGCCATTCCCACAAAAGAGGGGCGGCCTCAGCCAAGCCATCCACGAGGATGCCAGGGCCCTAGCTGGCGTATTTTGGGCCAGTTAAGCCTCATGGAAATGAGTATGAAGGGAAGCCGTGATGAGAAAAGAGGAAAGAAAGATTTAAGAGAAGTCAGTACTGTCACTGGGCAGGGGCCAGGGTGGAGCCCATAGTACCTTCTCCACCCTTTTGCCCCATTTCCTCAGGCAGTTCACATATGGAACAGTCTAGGGGTTTTGGTTTTGGTTTTCTTTTTGAGAAAGGTTTTTTGGTCTCCAAAAGAAGATTTTTTTCAAGTTGATCTGTGTGAATTTTCCCCCTCGTGAATTTTGAACATGCGACTTGTTCTGTTTTTCTGCTTTTTCATTTTTTTTTTTCATTTCTCTGGTCATGCGCATGTATTCTTTCCTCTGTATTTGAATGCTTATGTTCAGTGTGTTTCCTGATCTAGGGGATGTTCCTAAATTGACATTCTAAAATAACTAGTAGACTCTCTTAAATTCCTAAATTGAGATTCTAAAATAACTGGTAGACTCCCTTAAAAAATATTGAGCGTTTCTATCATGACTTCATTCTTATGGTCTGAATAGAATGCTTATGTTAGTCCGTTTGTGGAAAGAGAGGGAGCCATATAGTTTGCTATATTGAAGGAAATAATATACACCCATTCATGTAAAAACCAAAACCTCAAAATCCTCCTATAAAATATTGACAAATTTGATGGCATTAAAACATAAAATTGTGTTTGTCAAAATCTCTATAAACAAATGCAAAGAAAGTGAGAAAATTATTAGAACATATGTGACACAGGGCCTATTTTCCTTATATACAAAGAGTTTTATAGATTTCTTTTTTTCTTTTTTTTTTTTTTTTTTTTTTTCAGACAGGGTCTCACTCTGTTTCCCAGGCTAGAGTGCACGCTAACATGGCTCACTGCAGCCTCAACCCTCTGGGCTCAAGTGATCCTCCCACTTCAGCTTCCAGAGTAGCTGGGACCACAGGTGTGTGCCACCATCCCTGGCTATTTTTTAAATTTTTTATAGAGATGGGGGTCTCTCCATGTTGCCCAGGCTGGTCTTGAACTCCTGAGCTTAAGCAGTCCTCCCACCTTGGCCTCCCCAAGTGCTAGGATTAGAGGCATAAGCCACCACACCTGGCCTGGTTTTATTAAATTGGTAAGAAAAAGACAATCGAATAGGAAAATGGGCAGAGCTCATGAAAAGATACTAAAGGAAATACAAATGGTCAATAAATGTAAAAATAAGCTTTACTTCATTATTAAAGGCATACAAAGTAAAAAAGCCATATTGGCAAAGAATACCAAGTATTAACTAGAGTACGGAGAAAAGAGTTACGGTAGAGGTGGATAGAAAAATCTCACATTTTGTGTGTCCATAATATTTGAATCTTTTATAATAAGTATATGTACTTAAAAGCAGCAGCAAATAATAATATTAATTTAAAACAAACACACTGTCATGTAGCACATTCCAACTAACCAAGTGAATCCCAGTTTAAAGCCTACTTATTGAATGTACTGGTTCTATAAGCTTGGGCAAGCCACCTACCCTCTCTAACCCTATTTCCTCGTTTATAAATGTGGGCAGCAATACTTCAAATATCTCAAGTTGATGTGAAATTAAATTAATAGCATATGTAAATGATGGCCAATAGTAGCACTCCATAAGAAACAATTCTTATCATTATCATCAAGGGATAAATAGTAATGTTTTCCTGTACTTGAAGCTACTGTTGATGAGCGTGACACCTGAAGCTGTGGGACCTCAAGCTGCCTAAATATGATCAGCATGATCAGAGTCAGAGGACATGGCAGGGAGCATATCACAGTTGGGTCTCAGAGGATACTTTTTTAATGAGAAAAGCAGGTTAGTAAGATGCAAAAGGAAGTATTCTGGCACTTTACGGAGAATAACCTTGAAGACAAGCTTCTAAGTTATGCCTTGGTGGAGGTCAGGTTAGAGTGATGTTTCTCTGTAATCCAGGTTACTTTTGCAACCCAGCAGTTCTCTGGCTTTCATCATGAACCCCATGCCTTTTCTGTGCCTCTCCTTCCTAACCTGAGTGCTTTCACCTTCTCTGGCATACACAGAAAGTAGTGGGGAAACTGATCCATACCATCTGTTTGCATGAGACAACAGTCTAGGTCTTTATACCCAAATGATGTGCAAAATTGGATGACTCTCCTATCTCGTGCTTAGATATGACTCGTGGCAGAAAATATGAAATTTGACATTCTGGATTCTTGATTTGTGACCTGATCAGTCTCTTAAAGTATTATTCCATTACATTTGTCTATTTTAGGGTATATTTGTTAATTTCTGAATCTGCCTGAACATCCCTAGAGCAGGAAGGGAGAGTAGGGAGTCCAGCACCTGCTGATTAAGAATTGCTGTGGATGGCTGGTGCGAAGATAGTGAGTTATTGCGATTGTTTGGTTACAGATCAAATGCCTTGTTCTACTTTATTCCCCCTTACTACTGCACTTGACTAGTCTAAAAATAAATAAATAAATAATTTTAAAAATTGCTGAGTCTACTTTGATTTTTTTTAAAGCTTATTGATAGTGCATTATCTACAGTGCATTCTTAACTCTGAAGTTTAGCATACTCACTTTTTAAAAATTTAGTCAATTAATGTGTAGTAGGCTTTTAAAAATTTAACTTGCCCGGGCACGGTGGCTCACGTCCGTAATCCCAGCACTTTGGGAGGCCAAGGTGGGCGGATCACAAGGTCAGGAGATCAAGACTGTCCTGGCTAACAACATGGTGAAACCCCATCTCTACTAAAAAATAAGCTGGGCATGGTGGTGGGCGCTTGTAGTCCCAACTACTCGGGAGGCTGAGGCGGGAGAATCGCTTGAACCCAGCAACGGAGGTGTCAGTGTGCCGAGATCACACCACTGCACTCCAGCCTGGGCAACAGAGCGAGACTCGATCTCAAAAAAAAAAAAAAAAAAAAAAATTAGCCAGACATGGTCGCGGGCACCTGTAATCCCAGCTACTCAGGAGGCTGAGGCAGGAGAATAGCTTGAACCCGGGAGGCAGAGGTTGCAGTGAGTTAAGATGGTGCCATTGCACTCCAGCCTGGGCAACAAGAGCGAAACTCTGTCTCAAAAAAAAAAAAAAAATTGAACTTTATTTTGAGAGCATTACAGAGTCATGCGGCTGCAAGAAATAGAGATCCCATATACCCTTTACCCAGTTTCCCCTAATGGAAACATCTTGCAAACTATAGTACAGTATCACAGCTGGGATTTTGACATGCAGAACATTCCCATCACCACAAGGATCCCTCATGTTGCCCTTCCATAGCCATGCCCACCCACTACCCCACACCCCCCCCACCACTAATCTGTTCTCCCTTTCCATAATTTTCACACATATTATATCAGTGTTATCATACAGTATATGATATTTTGGGATTGGCTTTTTTCACTGAGTGTAATTCACCCAAGTTGTTGTACGTTATCAGTAGGTCGTTTCTTCTTATGGCTGAGTAGTTTTCCTCTGTGTGGGCATACCATAGTGTGTTTATTTAGTCATTGAAGGACATCTGAGTTGTTTCCAGTTTTTGATTATTAGGAATTAAGCTGCTATGGACATTCCTGTACAGGTTTTTGTGTGAACATAAGTTTTCATTCCTCTGGGATAAACGTCCAGGAGTGCAGTTGCTGGGTCATGTGGTAGTTGCATTTTTAGTTTTTTAAGAAACTGCTAACTCTTTTCCAGAGTGGCTGTACCATTTTACATTCCTACCAGCAGTGTATGAATGATCCAGCTTCTCCACACTCTTGCCACCATGTGTTGTGACTGTTTCTTATTTTAGCCATTCTAATAGGTGCACAGTGATACTGTGGTTTTAATTTGCTTTTCCCTAGTGGCTAGTGGTTTCGAACATCTTTTCATGTGTTTTATTTGCCTTGTCATCTGTATATCCTCTTTGGTGAAATGTCTCTTCAAGTCTATTACATATTTTCTGATTTGATTTTTTTTTACTGTTGAGTTTTGAAAGTTCTTTATATATTCCAGTTACTAATCCTTTGTCAAAGGACTAGTTTGCAAAAGTTTTCAAATATTGACTCCTAGTCTTTGAGCTTGTGTTTTCATCCTCTCAATGAGGTCTTTCGGAGAGCAAAAGTTTTTAATTTTGATGAAGTCCAGTTTATCAAGTTCTCATTATGGATTCTGCTTTTGATGTCAAGTGTAAAAACTCTTTGACTAGCCCTAGATTTTAGATTTTCTTACTTTTTTTCCCAAAAGTTTTATAGTTTTGTGTTTTACATTTAAGTTTGTTATCCATTTTGAGTTGATTTTTATATAAAGTATGAGACTTAAGTGTCAAAGTTCTTTGTCTTTTTTCTTTTTTGCCTGTGGAAGTCCAGTAGATCGTGCACCATTTGTTGAAAAGCTTATTCTTCCTCCACTGAATTGCTTTTGTGCCTTTGTCAGTAATCAGTTGTGCATATTTATGTGTGTCTACTTCTGGGTTCACAGTTTTGTTCTATTAATTCACTTCTCTGTCCCTCTGCCAATACCACACAGTCTTGAATACTATAGCAATGTACTACATCTTGAAATTGGGTAGACTGGTTTCTCCCACTTTATGGTTCTTTTTTAAAAATTATTTTAGGCCAGGCGTGTTGGCTCACACCTGTAATCCCAGCACTTTGGGAGGCCGAGGCGGGTGGATCATCTGAGGTCAGGAGTTCGAGGCCAGCATAGCCAACATGGTGAAACCCCATCTCTACTAAAAATACAAAAAAAACTTAGCCAGGTTTGGTGGTGCGTGCCTGTGCCTGTAATCCCAGCTACCCCAGGGAGGCTGAGGCAGGAGAATTGCTTGAACCCAGGAGATGGAGGTTGCAGTGAGCTGAGATTGTGCCACTGCACTGCTACCTGCAACAAGAGTGAGAACTTTGTCTAAATATATACATATATAATTTTAGCTATTCTAGTTCCTTTGCCTTTACATGTACATTTTAGAATAATTTTGTCTATATCTACAAAAAAATGTTGCTGGGATTTTTATAGGAATGGCATCAAACCTATATGTCAGTTTGGGAAAATTGGTATCTTTACCATGTTGAGTCTTCCTGTCCATAATCATAGTATATCTGTTTGTTTATTTAGATCCTTTATTTCTTTCACCAGTGTTTTATAGTTTTCAACATGCAAGTCCTGCACATGTTTTGTTAGATTTACACCCATGTATTTCATTTTTTGAGTGATTTTAAATGGTATTATCTTTTTAATTCAGTCCACATGTTCATTGCTAGCATATAGAATTACAGCTGATTTTTTTTTGTATGTTTATGACTTGCCAAACTCGTTTATTAGTTCTACAAGGTCTTTTTTGTTTTGTTTTGTTTTGTTTTTTTGAGATGGAGTCTCGCTGTGTCACCCAGGCTGGAGTGCAGTGGTGTGAGCTCGGCTCACCGCAAGCTCCGCCTCCTGGGTTCATGCCATTCTCCTGCCTCAGCCTCCGGAGTAGCTGGGACTACAGGCGCCTGCCACCACGCCCAGCTAATTTTTTGTTTTTGTTGTTTTTTTTTTTTTTTTTTTTTTTTAGTAGAGACGGGGTTTCACCATGTTGGCCAGGATGGTCTTGATCTCCTGACCTCGTGATCCGCCCACCTCCGAAAGTGCTGGGATTACAGGCGTGAGCCAACATGTCTGGCCTTTTTTTTTTTTTTTTTAATAGATGCCTTGGGACTTTCTGTGTTACAATCGTGTCATCTGCAAATAGTGACAATTTTATTTTTTTCTTTTTCTTCTATATGCTTTTTATTTCCTGTCTTGCTTTGTTGCGTGAGCTAGAACTTCCAGTGCTGTGTTGAATATCGAGAGGGGACATCTTTGCCTTGTTCCCAATCTTATGGAGAAGGCATTCACCCTTTCTTACCATTAAGTATAATGTTAAATATAATGTTGGTCTGTGTGTAATGGGCTTTTATAAATGCTCTTTGTGGAAAAGGAGCAGACTAGTGATTTGATGAACCAGGCAATGTCAGGCAGCCTCTCTATTATAAATAGACTCAGGCCAGCGGGGTTTGCCAGGGTCAAGTGTGAATAATGAAAATCATAGAATTTGGAATCAGTACATTCACATTTAAATTTTGACCCTCCCACCTTTTGGCTAGAAGGCCTGGGGCAAATTACTTATACTTCTCAAGACCGGTTTCCTCCCTCCACAAGGAAGGAAGCAGAGCTCCAACCCCACTTCCTCCGTAAGTGTTAAGGGTCAGGGGTGATGGGGCTGTTACATCACCAGCAGGAGCACACAGCAGGAGCTGGACTATTGGCCCTCAGACTTATTGATTCTCACCCTGCCCTGCTGGGACCCCGCCCCAACACCTTAATTTATCTATCTCTGTGGAAGAATTGACAAACTCTGATGCATCATTAGAATTTCCATTTGGAATCTTAAACTAAAAGACTCCATTTGCATTTGGAATTTTAAACTAAAAGACTCGATGGTCCAAGATATTTGCTGTCTGTCTCCAGGACGTGATGCTTAAAGGCAGACCACCTGAGTTCATTTCCTGGCTTCTCCATTACCATCTGTGTGAGCTTGGGCAAATCACATAACTCCCTAATTTACTTTAAATGGCATCATCTGGTTTTTTTTTTTTTTTTTTTTTTTTTTTTTTTTTTAAAGGCATAATGACATAACTACTTCAGAGGACTGTTAGGAAGACTAAATGAGTTAATCTGTGTAACGTTTTTAGCAGTGCCTGACACGTTAGCTATGATGACATGTTAGCTATGATCATGACTGTTGGTGACTATAAAGGACACATTCTTATTTGTGAATCACCTTCTTAAAAATAAAATTGTTTGCTTTGCAGATTTTTTAAAAAATGGATTTGGCCAACCATGGACTTATTCTACTGCAACAGTTAAACGCTCAGCGAGAGTTTGGTTTCCTGTGTGACTGCACGGTTGCAATCGGCGATGTATACTTCAAGGCACACAAATCAGTTCTTGCTTCATTCTCCAATTACTTTAAGATGTTGTTTGTCCATCAGACCAGGTAACTAAAGTGGTTGCTAATAACCTAATGACTGTAGACTTCTTAACCTCCATGTCCCTGGCCCTCATCAAGACCATGGGTCTCTCTACGTCTCCTAGCTCCTAGGTGACCTGCTCCCTTGTGGCCTCACTCGCCCCCACTACCCTTCTTGTTACAGGTGCTTTCAGTAGCACTTGAGAATCACTGGACCTGCCAGCTCTATGCAGCCCTTCCACCTCCAGATGCCCTCGCTGGGTGTCACCTGCATGGTCAGGATCTGCAAAATCAGGTCCATTTTTTTTTTTTTTTTTTTTTTTTTTTTTTTTTTTTTGAGACGGAGTCTCTCTCTGTCGCCTAGGCTGGAGTGCAGTGGTGCAATCTCGGCTCACTGCAAGCTCCGCCTCCCGGGTTCACGCCATTCTCCTGCTTCAGCCTCCCGAGTAGCTGGGACTACAGGCACCCGCCGCCACGCCCGGCTAATATTTTTGTATTTTTAGTAGAGACGGGGTTTCACTGTGTTAGCCAGGACGGTCTCGATCTCCTGACCTCGTGATCTGCCCGCCTCGGCCTCCCAAAGTGCTGGGATTACAGGCGTGAGCCACCACACCCGGCAAGATCAGGTCCATTATAAAGCCAGCCACCCAACCTCAGCGAACCCTTCCAGCAGTAATCTTTCCTGGACTCATTATCTAAGCCCTATCTCTCATTCCTCCAGCCCCAGTCCCCTGAGTATCCCCCTGACTTTCAGCATTTATTCTTGTCTCCTCCTCTAACAAGAAGCTCGAGGGCATGAATTTCTCCAGTTTCCCTCTTTTCTATCTTAAAACAGCTCTATCTTTGCTCAGTTTCTTTCTTCTCATCTCTCCTGTCTTGAGAAAAGGGCATCTCAGTGTCTCTGGAAAATGATCTCCCTTCTTCCCTCATGCTGGGAGTTCCCACTCCTCTATTTTTATTCTGTTCTTTTTATCTGTTTTCATACACCCCCCACCCTGCCCCCAGCCCATGTGGGATCAGCACATCCTGGACACTGCTGTCTGCCTGAGTTACGGTGCTGCTTCTCCTTCACTTTACTATGAAAGCCCTTAAAAGGGTAATCGAGGTCCTCGCCTGCACTCTCCTCATCCCACACTCTTCCTATCAGTGCGCGCTGTGGTTTCCTCCCCTCCTTCATTCTGCTGCAGTCTTTTCTCAAAGGTCACCCCTCATCAAAACCACTGCCCTTCTCTCAGCCTTCTAGCATCCTGTCCTCCAGCATCTGCTGTTGTTTGCTTCCTTCTTAAGTGGTTGTCATCTGCATTTTTATAGCTGAATATCTCTTGTTTTTCTGCCCTCTAAACCTGGGCCTTTGGTAAATTTTGTCTTTTGCACCCTTCCTATGGGTGTGTGTCTTTTTCCTAGATCTCGCCTCTGCTGGAAACTTCAGTTTATAACTCTGGCCTTGACTGTTCTGTCTCCAGAACTCTATTCCCAAGGCCTCAGGCTGTGTGCTGGGCATTTAGAGTTGAGTATCTCCTTTTGTGTCTTTGAGGATGTACTGAATTAGGCCTTCTCCGAAGTTCCTCCTGCCTATTTTCTTATCTTCAAGTATCCCAAGCTTAACTCAGTCCCCAAATCATGTTTTCTTCAAATTACCTTTCACATTTGTCACTTCTTTTCCTTTCTCACTTCCATTACCTCATCACCCATTCTCCACATTACTATTGGATTCGTATTTCCAAACACTGCTTTGACTGTAGTGTTTGATGAGAAACCTACTATACTGGGTTATTCGTTGGATCAGAAACCCCGGGGATGCCCAGTGCATATTAAAATAACACACAGGCTCCTTATTCTGTCATCCAAGGCCCCACAGGCTTGGAGCCCAACCTCCTTCTAGTCTCATCTGCGACTGGGCCCTCTGGGACACACCACCCCTCATCTTCACCTTAACCAGATCTGCTTTCATGGCTTCAGCTCACCTGGACCGCATTTTGCTGGTATCCTGCCCACTCCCTGAGTCCCAGCTCATGCAGGACCCCTCCCAGTCAAGTGAAACAAAACAAACGACAGTGACCACGTCCTCGCTTATGGCTCATAACACTTTAATTGTGCTCCTTTATAAGAGTGCATATGTGTACAAGAGTGCAAATGTGCACCTTTCCCCTATGTTGTTATGTGTGTACCTACCCCCTTCTTCACTTGTAAGTTTCTTGAGGGCAGGGACTGGGTTTTACAAATCTTTGCCGCCACCACCCAGTATGACTGAAGTATTTGCACACAATAGAATAGCCACTTGATCAATGTCTGGAGGAGCAGATGGGACAACTGCAGAATAACCCAGGAGGGTTGGCTCCTCTGGCAATACTAAGGATGCTCCCTTTAACTCCAGTGTGTCAGAGACTTAAGGCCTAGTAGGGGTTTTGTACTGGGCAGTCTCAACACAGTGAATTCAATGGTATTGAAAAGGAGGCAATTTTAATCTTGAGGAGTGCAAAAATACTACGTAATGAGTTTTAATTCGATGCAAGAAACCCACCTTTAAGTATAGGGCAGTAAATAAATGCCTTTCTAACAAGGAGGTGTGATATTTGTGTAATACAACAGTGTAAAGCAACAGGTGTATTACTGCACCAGAGGTGACACATGCCTAGTGGCCAGCTTTGCCTGCCTCCTAGTGCAGAATTCAAGCTCCTCGAGGCAAGGCAAACTCAGGGTGAAGGCCAGGGGCGTACTTTTCAACCAGCACCTCCTCTGTGGGGCATGACACACTGCTGCCTGGCTACTCAGACATAGACTGAGAATACGGTCAGTTTTTTCAAGTTTGGCTCCAAGGGAGATTTCTGGCTGTAGTTACCACTAGATGTCCCTGTCTTATGTCTACTACTCCGAGTGGTATGTTTAAATCACAGACAACTACAGACTTTCAGCTATCAAAAATAAAACCACTGAGGGAGAGGCCTTTCTAAGTACAACCTTCTGACAATGCTAATGTTATTCAAAAATCCTTACTTTTAAAGTTGTTTAAGCCTATCATTTCTTTTAAAATTCTAGTGAAGGAATAATTGAAAACGGAAATTACTATGGAAGTTTATACGAAAGGGCTTATAGCTGTAGTAAAACTATATTCATCTTTTTCCTACATGAAAGTATGTCAACCAGCCTGGCCAACATGGTGAAACCCCATCTCTACTAAAAATAGAAAAATTAGCCGGGCATCGTGGCGTGCACCTGTAATCCCAGCTACTCGGGAGACTGAGGCAGGAGAATTGCTTGAACCCGGGAGGCGGAGGTTGCAGTAAGCCGAGATCGTGTCACTGCACTCCAGCCTGGGCAACAAGAGTGAAACTCCATTTCAAAACAAAAAAAAATGTTATGTCAAACATATCTGGAAACTACTTAGATGTAAGTATATTGTAGAGAACTATGTCCTTTCCACAGGACTGGGAAAAGACCAAAGTCTGGCGCATAGTGAGCTGAGTGATTGACAGAGGTCAAGCTGCCTGGAAATAAAAGCAGTCAGGGATGGAGATGGCTGAAATGTACATTAAGGAACTTTGAAAAATTCTACCTGTTTTTTGTTTGTTTGTTTGTTTGTTTTGAGATGGAGTCTCGCTCTTGTCGCCCAGGCTGGAGTGCGATCCCAGTAGCTGGGGTTACAGCTGCGCACCACCACGCCCGGCTAATTTTTGTATTTTTAATAGAGACAGGGTTTTGCCATGTTGGCCAGGCTGGTCTTGAACACCTGACCCCAGGTGATCCACCCACCTCGGCCTCCCAAAGTGCTGGGATTATAGGCATTAGCCACTGCGCCCAGCCTCCACCTGTTTTTTAAGTGTATGTGTGCACATGTGCTTCTGCTTTAAAAAAAAAAATTTTTTTTTAAGGCTGCGTGCAGTGGTTCACGCCTGTAATCCCAATGCTGTAATCCCAAGGCTGAGGCAGGAGGATTTCTTGAGCCCAGGAGTTCAAGACCAACCTGGGCAAGATGGTGAGGCCCTGTCTCTATAAAAGTTTAAAAATTAGCTGGGTGTAGTGGCATGTGCCTATAGTCTGAGCTACTCAGGAGGCTGAGGCTGCAGTCAGCTATGATCATGCCACTGCACTCCAGCCTGGGCCTACAGAGCAAGACCCCCTCTCTCAAAAAAAATTGTTTTTAATCAAAATAAATTGGTGTTTGGAGACCTCCTTGGGCCCTCGCATCCCTGGCTGTAAACCCCAGGGACTCGCCGCTTTCTTTTCCCTGGCCCCTTGGAGTCCTCCCTCCAGGCCTGCCTAAAGTGTGGGCCAAGGTGTCCCCAGCTGTGTCCCTTTTTTGCCATCTGAGACTGTACATAGTTCTTTCAAATTTGAGAGGCTTACCGTTGAGTCACCATTCATAAGTGATAGATAAGACAGCCTATCCAACAATGAATGAGAAAAGAATTACAAAATTTACACCAAAGTCAGCCAGGCGCGGTGGTTCATGCCTGTAATCCTAGCACTTTGGGAGGCCGAGATGGGCAGATCACTTGAGGTCAGGAGTTCAAGACCAGCCTGGCCAACACAGTGAAATCCTGTCTCTACTAAAAAAAATACAAAAATTAGCTGGGCCTGGTGGCGGGCACCTGTAATCCCAACTTGGGAGGCGAAGCAGAAGAATCACTTGAACCTGGGAGGCGGAGATTGCAGTGAGCCAAAATCATGCCACTGCACTCCAGCCTGGGCAGCAGAGCAAGACTTCGTCTCAAAATTAAAAAAAAAAAGAAAGAAAAATGACCAGGCGCAGTAGCTCACGCCTGTAATCCCATCACTTTGGGAGGCCGAGGTGGGCAGATCACCTGAGGTCAGGAGTTCGAGACCAGCCTGGCCAACATGGCAAAACCCCATCCCTACTAAATACACAAAAACTAGCCGGGACTGGTGGCACACGCCTGTAATCCCAGCTACTCGGGAGGCTGAGGAAGGAGAATCACTTGGACGAGGGGATGGAGGGTGCAGTGAGCTGAGATTGTGCCACTGCACTCCAGCCTGGTGACAGAGTGAGACTCTGTCTCAAAACAAAACAAAAAACAACAAAGTTGCCAGGCGCGGTGGCTCACACCTGTAATCCCAGCACTTTGGGAGGCCGAGGCGGGCAGATCACGAGTTCAGCAGATCAAGACCATCCTGGCTAACATGGTGAAACCCCGTCTCTACTAAAAATACAAAAAGAAATTAGCCGGGTGTGGTGGCGGACACCTGTAGTCCCAGCTACTCTGGAGGCTGAGGCAGGAGAATGGTGTGAACCCGGGAGGCGGAGCTTGCAGTGAGCCGAGATCGCACCACTGCAGTCCAGCCTGGGTGACAGAGCAAGACTCCGTCTCAAAAAAAGAAAAGAAAAGAAAATATTTGTTAATCAAATGAACATGATTGCTAAAAGGGCCAAAGAAGATTACAATACAAAAAGTATAATAAAAGAAAATTATAAATTCTAAAAGCATTCAAGGAAGCTGTCTTTGAATTTGAAATGCATTGTCTATAGAATATCCACTCAGTGGAATATAATATATACCTTGTGATATGTGGATATAGATCTCACTAATTTCTAATGATGCTTTAGAATTTGTTACTACCGATGGTCTGGGAAGAGTTCTTGGGAACCTCTTCATTATTACTGCTTGATCAGGAATGATGTTTCTGAAATGATAAAAGGAGTAGAATCTAAAGTTATAAAATTAATAGCATCTTCAACGGCTTTAGGTGCCTTAGATAAATCACTTAACTTTTTGGGACCTCAGTTTCCATATCTGTCAAATCGGACTAAATAAATCCACTTTATCTACCATACAGGATTGTTTTGATTCTCTAAAGGATCTTGCTGTGGTGGCTTTGGACTTAGACAAACATTGTTTCAAATACCAGCTCCACCTCTTACCAACTACATGATATTGAGCAGGTTATTAACCCTCTAATCCTCAATCCTTTCCTGTAAAATGAGAATGAATGACAATCAAGTGAGAAGGCATCCCTGTAAAGCCCAGGAGCAGTGCTGATGTTGATGGTGGCATTTGATAAGGAACTCCTGGAGTTCTGTATAAAAATAGAATACATAATATTTAATTTAACTTGGCCAGGCGTGGTGGCTCACGCCTATAATCCCAGCACTTTGGGAGGCCAAGGAGGGCTGATCACTTGAGGTCAGGAATTGGAGACCACCCTGGCCAACATGGTGAATCCCCGTCTCTATTAAAAATACAAAAATTAACTGGGCGTGGTAGTGAGCGCCTGTAATCCCAGCTACTCGGGAGGCTGAGGCAGGAGAATCACTTGAACCTGGGAGGCGGAGCTTGCAGTGAGCCGAGATTGTGCCATTGCATTCCAGCCTGGGTGACAGAGTGAGACTCCGCCTCAAAAAAAAAAAAAAATTAACTTACTAGGAGAAAAACTGCTCTAAGAATCTGTGGATTAAGATATCACATTTCTTTAACGTGAACTTCGTCTCTTGATTATTTCATCCCATTTTCATGAAACTTACTAAAAATCAAGGATAGGAAATGTTGTTTCCTTTGTTTTTAAGCATTCATTTTTTTCTTCAGGCTTTATGTTAACACCTAGACTGGCATTTACTCACGTATTTTTTTACTTGTTTCTTTCAGTGAGTGTGTCCGCTTGAAACCAACTGACATACAGCCCGACATCTTCAGCTATCTCTTACACTTGATGTACACTGGGAAGATGGCGCCTCAGCTCATCGACCCGGTTCGATTAGAACAGGGCATCAAGTTTCTGCACGCCTACCCGCTCATTCAGGAAGCCAGCCTCGCCAGCCAGGGAGCCTTTTCTCACCCTGACCAAGTTTTCCCACTGGCTTCTTCATTGTATGGCATTCAGATTGCAGATCATCAGTTGAGACAAGCCACCAAGATTGCTTCAGCACCTGAAAAACTCGGGCGAGATCCACGGCCACAGACCTCCAGGATAAGCCAGGAGCAGGTCCCTGAGGCCTCACAGCTCTCCCAGCTGACTTCAAATCTGGCCCAGGTGAATCGGACAAATATGACTCCCTCAGACCCCCTGCAGACCTCGCTGTCTCCAGAACTTGTTTCCACT
Organism: Homo sapiens; assembly: GCF_000001405.40. Classification (NCBI taxonomy): domain Eukaryota; kingdom Metazoa; phylum Chordata; class Mammalia; order Primates; family Hominidae; genus Homo; species Homo sapiens. The sequence continues at coordinate 151,366,438 of NC_000006.12, read as the reverse complement.
CCTGTTCCTCCCCCTCCTCCCGGGGAGGAGACCAATCTGGAAGCATCTTCCTCCGATGAGCAGCCTGCGTCCCTCACAATAGCCCACGTCAAGCCAAGCATCATGAAGAGGAATGGGAGCTTTCCAAAGTACTATGCCTGCCACCTGTGTGGACGGCGCTTCACTCTCCGGAGCAGCTTACGTGAACACCTCCAGATCCACACAGGAGTACCTTTCACATCTAGCCAACAGGGAGAAAGTCGCGTCCCCCTGACTCTCTGTAGCAATGCAGCTGACCTCGGGAAAGATGCCATGGAAGTGCCTGAAGCCGGGATGATAAGTGACAGTGAGCTGCAGCACATCTCTGATTCTCCCATCATCGATGGGCAGCAGCAGTCGGAAACCCCACCCCCCTCAGACATTGCTGACATTGACAACCTGGAGCAGGCCGACCAGGAGAGGGAGGTGAAGAGGCGGAAGTACGAGTGCACAATATGTGGACGCAAATTTATCCAGAAAAGCCACTGGAGGGAACACATGTACATACACACCGGGAAGCCTTTCAAGTGCAGCACTTGTGACAAAAGCTTTTGCAGGGCCAACCAGGCTGCCCGCCACGTGTGCCTCAACCAGAGCATCGACACTTACACCATGGTGGACAAACAGACTCTGGAACTCTGCACATTTGAGGAAGGGAGTCAGATGGACAACATGCTGGTGCAAACAAACAAACCCTACAAATGCAACTTGTGTGACAAAACATTCTCCACTCCCAATGAGGTTGTTAAACATTCATGCCAAAACCAGAACTCGGATGTTTTTGCCCTAGACGAAGGGCGATCCATTCTCCTGGGCAGTGGGGACTCGGAAGTAACGGAGCCTGACCACCCAGTGTTAGCTTCCATCAAAAAGGAACAAGAAACCGTCTTACTAGACTGAATGTCACTTATCTTTTTAAAAAACTCTCATTTTTACAAAGACTATCTTCCCTCCCTTCCCTGAATTCAGAACTGTAGTTCTCCATGGCATGATACAAACAGGTCCTTGTTCTCTTCTCCTCTTCCCCTTTTCCACATCCCAGCCCCACCTCTGTAAAGGCTTTGTGCATTATAAACCTGGAATGTATCGACTTTCTTTCAGGGGATATTGGAAAGATAATGGTCATTATACTTATAAACTCAAATTTTGAGAGGTTTTAGATTATTCAGAAGCATACTTGGAACTAATGAAGGGTATATAATAAAACAACTGGAATCCAATTTGGTAAGCTAAAATTATGACTTTCCCTGGGTAAAAAGTCTTCTCAGAAAAACAATGTCAGAAAATAACAGCGTGCTGCTTAGAAATACGGCTGGGCTCTGTACTATGCAAAATCTAGAAAGTGTGGGGAAACTTTAAACCCAAGAAAACGTTCTTAGTATTCATCCTCCAGGTGTCTTACTTCAGAATGCATCCTTTGAGATTATGTCCACTTAAGAGAAATCATCAGTTAAGAAATCTACTTTAACAAAACAAAAAGGAGAAAAAGTAATAATGTGATGGCAATCTTAATTTTTGGGTACAACATGACAAGCTGTGAGTTTGTGTGTTTGTAAGAGAAAAATGTGTGGGTACTTGCTAATAAACAGGTGAATTAATGCACATCCTTATCTCATTGCTGGCTTCTTTCCAAGTTGAGCAACAACAAAATGCTGTATTTGAGTTTCTGACAAATTTGTTTTAAAAATCAAATTTGAATGTACTATTCTATAAATTGCCTTTCTGAATAGAACATGACATGCCATTTTCTAGCAGCTGCCAGTGATAATTTGTTTTACACTAACTTTTAAATCAGTGTGTGTACTGCAGGGAAAAGGATATAGGAATACTCATCTTACAGGGGAATTTGTGACCAGAAGATGTAGTAACTTCAATGACTGAAAGTCAATGCTGATAGTTTACTGGCAACATTAATTGAAGCATCAAAAATAAATGGCAAAGAGAAATCAGGACAAAAAATCTAATTGCTGTTTGGGAAAAAACTTGATTTTGATGTTTATTCTCCAGGTTTTTGGTTGTTTTTTTTTCTTTCTTCTTTCTTAATGCCTGAAATTTTCTCCATTGGCCCGAAAGCAGTAAAAATTGTTCATTAATCTTCCGTTAGGCCAATAAAAGAAGGGCCTCACAAGACAAAACAGGAGCCAGAAGTAAGGACTGAAGGAGAAGGGGAGAATAGCTAATAGCTATAGTATATGTATATGTTAAAAACTGAATATCCCATCATCCTATTTCATGTATAGTTGAGTTCTCAAATTTGTAAGTTTTTATACATCCTTTCATTGAATAAACGTTTAATTAAATGAGTATATGATGTCATGTCATCTCTGCGTCTTTGTCTACCCAAAGAGATACAGGAAGGGGATGTGTAGTGGAGCAGTGCTTGAGAAGTCGTTTTCTCTTTTTTTTTTTTTTTTTTTTTTTTTTTGAGATGGAGTCTTGCTCTGTTGCCCAGGCTGGAGTGCAATGGCGTGATCTCCGCTCACTGCAACCTCCACCTCCCGTATTCAAGAGATTCTCCTGCCTCAGCCTCCTGAGTAGCTGGGATTACAGGCGCCTGCCACCATGCCAGGCTAATTTTTGTATTTTTTAGTAGAGACAGGGTTTCACCATGTTGGTCAGGCTGGTCTCGAACTTCTGACCTCAGGTATCCACCTGCCTCAGCCTCCCAAAGTGCTGGGATTACAGGCGTGAGCCACCGCGCCTGGCAAGGAGTCGTTTTCTTGCTGTGTCTTCTCGTCTGCAGAACTTTGGGCAATTGCTCTAACCTGAGTGGCATTTTCCATGCTTATAAAATGAAGATGTTGAAAACCGCTTTGGGTCATAAGATTGTGAGAATCAAATGAGTGAACTCTCTGAAGATGCTGTGATCATCTTGCCCCAACTTTTTATTTTATTTTATTTTTGAGACCAGCCTGGCTAACATGGTGAAACCCTATCTCTACTAAAAATACAAAAATTAGCTGGGCATGGTGGTGCACGCCGGTAATCCCAGCTACTCAGGAGGCTGAAGCACAAGAATCGCTTGAATCTGGGAGGCAGATGTTGCAATGAGCCGAGATTGTGCCACTGCACTCCAGCCTGGGTGACAGAGCAAGACTCTGTCTCAAAAATACCATCACACTGTGTAAGAAACTCTTCCTAGTGTTTTGCCGTTTCTATTTTTTTTTCTGTCTTTTTTTTTTTTAACAAATGAAAATGGACTAAAGAATTTTTTTCTCTTTCCAGTTAGATAAGAGATACCCACAAGGAAAGGTCTGAAAGCAGCCAGCCAGAGAGAGCCAAGATACTGAAACATACACAACCTGGGGAGACAGGAGTGACCGGGAAGAGACTGCAGGTTTGACCCTCTCGCAACTCCAGTCCCTCCTCCCCACTTGTCCCTCCGTCCCTCCCTCTGGAGATGTGCTAGCAGGCAACAATGCCCAAAAGGCAACAGGGAGAGGAAAGGAATGTGTATCACACACAAAGTAGACTTTAGCTTCTAAATAAGAGCATGTCTGAATACAATGTAGACTTGTGCAGTTTTTGTTTGTTTGTTTGTTTGTTTGTTTTGAGACAGAGTTTCGCTCTTGTTGCCCAGGCTGGAGTGCAAAGGTCCGATCTCGGCTCACTGCGACCTCCGCCTCCCGGGTTCAAGCGATTCTCCTGCCTCAGCTTCCCGAGGAGCTGGGATTACAGGCGTGCGTCATCACGCCCGGCTAATTTTGTATTTTTAGTAGAGATGGGGTTTCTCCATGTTGGTCAAGCTGGTCTCAAACTCCTGACCTCAGGTGATCCACCCACCTTGGCCTCCCAAAGTGCTGGGATTACAGACGTGAGCCACCGCGCCCGGCCGTCTTGCGCCATTTTAGGGAAGATCAGTCCCATTATTCTGAATCTACCAAAATATTCAGGGAGACAGTAGCAGTCATCAGCAGTCACTAAGTTGCTTCTGGAGGAAAGTTTTATCAAAATCTGTCTTTCTCTTGCAGTTACCGATATTAATGCTTTACGGTACATTTGCTTCCTCGTTTATAAAGCACTTTCACAATGGGAAAATCTTGTGAAGAACAGTCTTTAGTTACACATTCTGAAATGAGGAATGGCTGAGACAGGGCAGGTGAACTCTTTCTCAGTCACCAAGCTGAAGTTTGCACATGAGCTATTAAGAAGCGATGCAAGCATCTTGTAGATTGTCTTCTATGTGTTTCTAAGGACACAGAGGAGGCAAAAGAGTTGTCTCTCTGTCCCGAATTGTTTGTGAGACCCATATACTGAGCTGCCAACTCCACTGACTCTTGGATATCTCTTAGGTTTCTCAAATTGCCTCCACGCTCATGTCAGTATGTGCCTCCACATCCAGGTTGGCAATCTAGAAACTTCATTCTTCACCCCACAGTTCCCACAGAAGATAATCAGGTACCGTGCCCTGTCGATCTGCCTCCTAACAGCTCTTGATCTCACCCACGGATCTCCAGCCAAACTGCACCTACTTTAATATAGGCCATTATCAGTTCTTGTCTGGATTATTCTCTTTTTTTAAACTTTTATTAATTGTATTTTTTATTTTTTTTTAAGAGACAGGAGTCTCCCTGTGTTGGTTAGGCTGATCTTGAACTCCTAGGCTCAAGCGATCCTCCCACCTCAGCCTCCTACCTGGGACTACAGCTGCATCCCACCACACCCAGCTTGCCTGGATTATTCTAACAGCATGTAAACTGACCTCCTCTCAACCTCCAGGCCTCAATTCTCTGCAAGATAGATGCCACTGACATTTTAGGTAGAAACATCTGTCTTATGCAGGGTTTTTCTGTGCCATGCAGGATGTCAAACATCTGTGGCCGTAACTCATTACATACCGTAACATCCTAGCCGTTGTGGTAACCAGACACGTGGCAGCACAAACCAGGGTGGAGAGTGGGACCTTTCACTAGCCCAACACTGCGGATCACTACGGTAAGAGGATTGCATCTTTTCCCTGCCAAACTATTTCAATGACTTTGTAGGATAAATCTCATATCTTGAAATGGCCCCCTGGCCATCTCTGCAGTATTATTTCTATAGTCTTTAAGAAGGACCCTAGTTATGTTTAGATTTCAGATTCTAGAGGCAATTCCATCTACTTTTCCAAGAATTAGGTAAGCCCCTGAGGGTCACAGGGATAAGTAGAATCAAGCACAATGTGGTTTTAAAATTAGCCTTATTTAGAGTATTGCCTCTTTGTTCATTAATTATACCTAGTTATTTGAGATTATTAAAACAAATAAAAAAACACAGGGTTAAGACTAAGCACTGGGCTTTAGTACTCAATATTCTTTTGTGGGCACATTAGACTTAGGTCCTCATTTCATCATTTAGGTATTGTTATTCTACCTCTGGTCTCTAAACATAGGTGTTATACTCAGTGAAGCCTCTCTTGAAGGTTACATGTTAAACTACCCTTCTCCTGTTAAAACTTTTAATGTCGACAGGTGATAGAAGAAGAATATGCACAGTTGCAAGAAGACCTCACTCATAACTGTAGAATACTACAGTAAAGATGTCTCACACCTGTAATCCCAACACTTTGGGAGCCTAAGGCAGGAGGATGGCTAGAGTCCAGGAGTTGGAGACCACTAGCCTAAGCAACATAGGGAGACCCCGTCTTTACAAAATATAAAAAATTATCTGGGCATGGTGGGGCACACCTGTGGGTGTTGTAGAGGCTGAGGTGGGAGGATTGCTTGAGCCAAGGAGGTTGAGGCTGCAGTGAGCCACGATTGCATGACTGCACTCCAGCCTGGGTGATAGAGTGAGACCCTTTCTCAAATAAATAAATCATGATGATTTTCACCACCATGCTATCTTCAGATCCTGGTTAGCTTAGCCCAACCTGTGTTATCACTTCAAAGTCTCAGCTTTCTCATATTAAAAGAAGGGCTCAGCTTGTTTTCCTAATTCCAATTATATAGGTTGGAGACAATAAGCAATCTGTTAGGAGAAGCTCGCATTTGTATCAAAGTTATACCAGGTTGTCTGTGACCAGCAGATCCATTTCCAGAATCTCATTAGAAATGAATAGTCGGCCAGGCACGGTGGCTCACGCCTGTAATCCCAGCACTCTGGGAGGCCAAGGCGGGTGGATCACAAGGTCAGGAGATCAAGATCATCCTGGCTAACACGGTGAAACCCCGTCTCTACTAAAAATAAAAAAATTAGCCAGGCATGGTGGCAGGCGCCTGTAGTCCCAGCTACTCGGGAGGCTGAGGCAGGAGAATGGCATGAACCCGGTAGGCGGAGGTTGCAGTGAGCCGAGATCGCACCACTGCACTCCAGCCTGGGTGACAGAGTAAGACTCCGTCTTGAAAAAAAAAAAAAAAGAAATGAATAGTCATGGCCGGGCACAGTGGCTCATGCCTCTAATTCCAGCACTTTGGGAGGCTGTGGCGGGTGATCAGTTGATGCCAGTTCAAGACTAGCTTGGCTAACATGGAAAAACTCCGTCTCTACTAAAAATGCAAAAATTAGCTGGGCATAGTGGTGGGCACCTACAGTCCCAGCTACTCAGGAGGCTGAGGCATGAGAATTGCTTGAACCTGGGAGGCGGAGGTTGCAGTGAGCCTCAATTGCACTACTGCACTCTAGCCTGGGTGATGGAGTGAGACTCTGTCTCAAAAAAAAAAGAGAAAAAGAAAAAGAAAAAAATGGTCATGTTGTTTAACTGAAGTCACAAGTCTCTGATTCCAGAGAGCGTCCTGCCCCATGCCCCATGCCCGGAAGGAAGGAATGCGTGCTCAGAGAGACCAAGAAGAATCTAGACAGACAGGCCTTGCTGTGTTTCCCCACTCAGTCTGTTAGCATTAGATCATATCCCTTTTGTCCAGTCATATTTCTCCACGTCCATACTTTGTTGAACCTATATTAAAATGGACAATTTCCCCTGCATTTTTGGGTCTTCATTCTGAAGGCTCCCAGGTACACATTAATAAAATTTGTATGACTTTCATTTAAAAAAGAATAGGGCCAGGTGTGGTGGCGCATGCCTGTTATCTGAGCACTCTGGGAGGCTGAGGTGGGTGGATTGCTTGAGTCCAGGATTTTGAGACCAGCCCAAGCAACATACCAAAACCCCATCTCTATTAAACATGGATGTATATAATTCTCTATTCTTGACTAGGATTTCAAAACAAAAAAAAATAGAATACACTTTGGGGGGCCGAGACAGAATTGTTTTAGCCCAGGAGTTTGAGACCAGCCTGGGCAACATGGCAAGACCCCATCTCATGGTGGCACATGCCTGTAGTCCCAGCTACTCAGGAGATGGGAGGATCCCTTGAGTCCAGGGGTTCAAGGTTACACTGAGCTCTGATGGCATCACTGCCTTCCGGCCTGTGTGACAGAGCCAGACCCCATCTCTACAAAATATGAAATCAAAATACAAATAAATGTTTAAAAGAAATAGTCATGTAGATTTGAATTTATGTGACACTGATTTTGTGTTCCGGTTCCGAGCTCTGCTACTATCTGGGAATCCTTGGACTGCGTCCATTTCCTTTCTTACAGGGTTGGAGAAAGAGGTTCTAACTCTGGTTCTGGTTATTGGTTGGCATTTCAGAGAAGGTTTGTGTGACTATCCAAAAACTGTACATAAAACTTTATATTGGGGAGTCCGAGGTCAGCTAGAAGCTTAATGAGATTCTAATTAAAGGAGCCCAGGACCCAAAAAGGTTATGATCATGAATAGAGATCTTTGTGGACTCACGCCTATCCTAGATACATTCATTCCAAACTCTCATGATGCTCTATGAACAAAGGGTGCTAAGTAGTTAAAAGCAGAGCTTAAATGTATGACGAATATCACAACAGACAAGAGAAAAGCAATGGAAACTGAATCACAGTGAAATTACAGAAAGAAAATCCATGGCATTTAATTAGATTGCATTTTATTTAGATAAATGAAAATTTGCCCCAAACAGAACTAGGAATCAAATATTGTCTTCGACTAGAGGTAATTGCTAAGCTGGAAGCTTATATTGAAAACTAAAATTTCCAGCCCTTGACTATCTGTAGTTCCAAACATCAAAGGAAAATATTGGAACAATTTATCTATGTACAGAGAGAGGCAACTCATGGGTACCATAAGCAAAATAACCTGAGGGGGAACATTTGATATTACAAGAAGTGGTGAGAGTTTACAAGTCTTGCATTGCTTTCTATTGTACATGGCTCTGTAGTAATGCCAAAAATAACAAAATGTAGGCACTTGCTCTGACTTCTGCAGTTTACATTAGATTATTATGTACTTCATAAATTAACAGCAGCTTTAGAATTATAAAACAGTATTATATTTCATGCTACTGTTGGTGTTCTTCTTGTTAAAATAATGTTCTCAACGGACATAGATACAGAGCTTGTACAGAAGTAACTCTGGGCACATCCAGATAGTACAAAAAGCAGTCATAAAGCAGCTACTCATGGAATCGCAACTGTGATGGCCAGCGAGCACCTGGCCACAGGTGGTAGGAAAAGACAAACGCGGGTGGAATTTAAACAAAAACGTCAATTTCCCACAAACTACACAAATCTTTAATCTGTTCAAAACAGCACAGAATGTCTTCCTGCCATAGAGAGGAAGTCAATATGAACTTGTTATAAATTGCTGTCATTTCCAAAACTCTTTAGTTGATGTTCAGAACTAGAAACCAGCACTTGGATTTCAATCTCAGTTGGCCAAAAAAAAAAAAAAAAAAAAATTATATATATATATCAGAGGTTTTTTGAATTTGGGGATTTTAATAATGATGCATGGGTAGCTATTATATATATTTGAGAATAACTCCTAAAAGATGACTTCCAACTACAAACAAGACTATATATACACTGCTATCATGAGGTGTTTTACTAATATGGCCAATTATGTATGAAGTTAGATTTGTTAGCAAAAAGAAACTACTTTCAGTTTTAAAAGCAAACTTTCTTTCCATTAAAACTAGGCTTTCCAGCTAATCAGCAGTCAAAATTTAAATTTTCAAACTGGAGTACCAAGTTTGAGTAAAATCTGGAAAGCTATATGCCAGGCCAGTTCTGTGTGTCAAGAGTAGATAAGTGACACTATTCTTCGTGTGACAATTGTCTGACAAAACCCTTAATGTAGGCTGAGGCAGGAGAATCGCTGGAATCCGGGAGGTGGAGGTTGCGGTGAGCTGAGATCGTGCCATTGCACTCCAGCCTGGGCAACAAGAGCGAAACTCTGTCTCAAAAACAAACAAACAAACAAACAAAAAAACAAACCCTCAATGTATTAGCATGACTCATCATTTTGACATTTAAAAAATTTTCCAAGATTATTTCAGGAAAGGCATTTTTACTATTAATTAAGCTTTCTTAAAATTTCTTTCTAGAGACATTTGTTATTGTTTGAAACCAAAAATATTAACACAAAAAAATTGACATTTTCAGGAATTACCAGATGGTACAATTGTAGCAAGAACGTCAATCTGAAAAGCTACTGGTTTATTTCAGGAAAGCTATCTCGGCCATGGCTTCCTCTGAACACACAAACCAGTGACAAGGGGTTTCATGTAATGACTACATCAGAAAGTTCTAGCTTATCAATCATTATCTTTAGAATTCTAATGTGGTACACATATGTCCCAGGCTTCCTGGTATCTAATAAAACCAGCAAATCTAAGTGAAGCAAATATTTTATTTAAATCAGTCGTCAAATCACAACTTATCCAAATGAATGTGTTGCAACATTGTTCTTAAAAGAATGGCACAAATATGGCACAAACACAATCCAGTATCTATCAAAATACCATTTGTAAAGAACCTGACTTATTTCATGCCATGTGTGAATGCAGTCCAGCATATAAGAGTAGAATCAAAAACTTACAACAATTCTTTTCTTCATAACATATAAAACATATTCACTACTTTGCCTCAGGATTAAGCACACTTATCGGTCCAAACAACCATAACAAGTAGGAAAAAGGATGTAAAGTTAATTTGCTACCAGAATATAACTTCTTTCTAACCTCCACTGGGTTAGAAAGAAAAATTTCCCAATGACAATAGAACATTCTGTATGTTTCAAAATGCTTTTTAGTTTTAGCACACTCCGTGTAATAGGAAAGTGACCAATTTCAGAGTACCACTAAATATGGACCTCAATCATTAGTGAATTTTAAAGAATTGTACCTTGATCAGGAATGTTACATCTAGGAGGCTCTGTTTTTCGTGGGTTATATAACTGAGGCTTAAAGCTCCCCAAGCCTGCACTATGGCACATGCCCCATCATATACTGTGTGATACAAAAAGCATGTAGTATCCTGCACATTTCCTTAAACATTAAGAAAAAAATATACAATAGATACAGGAGGACTACTTAAAACATACATATAAATATGTAAAGAATGATACTCCAGTTTCAGAAGCAGAACTAGGTATTGCCAACTCCAGTTCCAGGTTAAGAATTTAGGACCTTAAATCAGAATTTATATGGTTATCAAGGGAAAATTGTAGGTTGGTCTTGGAAAGAGGAAATGTTAAATGGCTCTAGCTCCTGATGAAGCCTCAGGATTGTCAGGGGCTCTCTAGAAATGAGATCAGTTGATGTGCCTGCTCTCCAATTCTCAAAGTTCTGAAATACTGGTCTTCAGTCTCAGCAGCAGCATTCATTTTCTTCTACTACTTGTCTTCACATTCTGGTCTTCCAAACAGACAATGAGTTTAACTGTAGGAGGAGGAAGAATCAGCGTAAATAAAATCTCCTTTTTCTCTCTCATTTATTAACAACAGGATAGTTGTCAAAGTGACCTAATAATACCATAGTTTAACTCCATTAAAAAAACAAAGATGGGGCCGGGCGCGGTGCCTCATGCCTGTAATCCCAGCACTTTGTGAAGCTGAGGAGGGCAGATCATGAGGTAAAGAGATCGAGACCATCCTGGCCAACATGTTGAAACCCTGTCTCCACTAAAAATACAAAAATAAGCTGGGCATGGTGGCATGCACCTATAGTCCCTGCTATTCGGGAGGCTGAGGCAGGAGAATCGCTTGAACCCAGGAGGTGGAGGTTGCAGTAAGCTGAGATTGTGCCACTGCACTCCAGCCTGGCGACAGAGCGAGATTCTGTCTCAAAAACAAACAAACAAACAAAAAACAAAGATAGGGCTGGGTGCGGTGGCTCATGCCTGTAATCCCAGCACTTTAGGAGGCCGAGGCGGGCAGATCACTTGAGGTCAGGAGTTCAAGACCATCCTGGGGGAAACTCCGTCTCTACTAAAAATACAAAACTAAGCTGGGCATGGTGGTGTGTTATCTGTAATCCCAGCTACTCAGGAGGCTGAGGCAGGAGGATCGCTTGAACCTGGGAGACTGAGGTTGCAGTGAGCTGAGATTGCGCCACTGCACTCCAGTCGGGGTGACAGAGTGAGACTCTGTCTCAAAAACAAAACAAAACAAAAGAAAACGAAGATGGGTTGAGCACAGTGGCTCACGACTGTAATCCTAGCACTTTGGGAGGGTGAGGCAGGAGGATTTCTTGAGGCCAGGAGTTTGAGACCAGCCTGGGCAACATAGCAAGACCCCTGTCTGCAAAAAAATTTAACAATTAGCTCGGAGTAATGACATGTGCCTGTGGTCCCAGCAGCTATTCAGGAGACAGAGGCAGAGGCAGGCGATTTGCTTTAGCCCAGGAAGTCAAGGTTGCAGCAATCCATGATTGCACCACGGCATTCCAGCCTGGGTGACACAGCAAGGCTCTCTCAAAAAACAAAACAAAGATAGGGCTGGGCGTGGTGGCTCACACCTGTAATCCCAGCACTTTGGGAGGCCAAGGCGGGCGGATCACGAGGTCAGGAGATCGAGACCTCCTGGCTAACACGGTGAAAACCCATCTCTACTAAAAATACAAAAAATTAGCTGGGTATGGTGGCGGGCACCTGTAGTCCCAGCTACTCGGGAGGCTGAGGCAGGAGAATGGCGTGAACCTGGGAGGCGGAGCTTGCAGTGAGCCGAGATCGCGCCACTGCATTCCAGCCTGGATGACAGAGCGAGACTCCGTCTCAAGAAAACAAAACAAAACAAAACAAAAACCACAAAGATGGGGAGTTACTAGCAACTGCAAGTAACTAACACAGTGAGGGTCGGTCATTATATGCGCTGGAAAATTTTTAAAAATACTTGTTACTACTGCTAGGGGAAAAAAAATCCATTTTTTCTGAAAGAGCTATCATCAGCTATATTTCAGGCAGTTTAATATTAGCCCATTTGGGGGCACTAGTTTTTTTTGTTTGTTTTTTTTTTTTGAGACGGAGTCGTGAGGCACCACGCCCAGCCATTGGAGCACTAGTTATTTTTAAAAAAACTCAACAAGATAGTTGAGTGAACACAATGTATTTCTTATGCCTTTGGGTCAAACACGCACATGTGCACACACACATGCCGTTTTATTTTATTCTAAAGCAGTCACATTAGGAGGTAAAACGAAGTCGTTCTTTTCATAACATCGATAAGACTAAATGGCATTTCAATCACCAAAAACCATGAAACTATCCTAGATCTTTGAATCTAGTTGATAGTTATTTTCCTCAACTGAAGGTTCTACACGAAGGCATTAATTATTTGCTCCCGATTCCTTATGTAACAAATTTGCCATCTATTGGCATAAAAGAGAAAAATTATCTTAGAAGACAAGGAAGCTTACCTGCATGATGTTTTAAGATTCTGTAAGTTCTGACTTTGCAGATTCTCTCTCTTGTTTCTGTAACTCCTCCTGTGCTTGGGGTGTGATCGCTTTATCTGATTCACTGTGCACTTTTCCTTCCTGCAATTCTACTTCCTGGGCATCCTCCTTCTCTTTTTGTTTTGGTCCATTTGTATCTGGGGACTCTTTGGTTAAGCCTCCTGAGGCATCAGTATCAGCCAGGGCTGAGTTCTGGTTTTCAGGGTCATCAACATCATCACCTTTTTCATCTTCTTTCGGTTCAACTAGTGACTTCTCTATTCTTTCTGCTAACAAGGCATGACCATCATCTTCTGGCACAGACTTTGTTCCAGCTCCACCTCCCTCTTCCTCAGATGGGAGGACGACCTCTTCCAGCTGCTGATCATTTACAGTGGAACCTTCTACCTCAACAGTCATGGTCTTTTCTGAGGCTTCACTCATGTCTTTGGAAATATCAGAATGTGCTTGTCCCACTGCGGTTGACTCTGACTCCTCTTTGGCTGAAGTAATTGGTGTTTCATCCTGTGCAGAGGCCTGAGGTTCCTCTCCTTCTTTCTCCGTTTCCTGTCCAGCGTCCTGGCTGTCAGCTTTTATCACGTGAGCTTGTGTCTGTAACTCAGACGTCAACATTTCGGTGGCTGTTTCTTCTGTACGTACAAACTGGTCAACGGCTGTCTGGATGATGTTTTGGACAAGTTTACTGCTTTTGGTCTCAAGTTCCAAAATCCCATTTTCAGGCTCTAAATCCTCAATTGCTACACTCACTTTGACCTCCTGGCAAGCAACCTGCTCATCGACTTCATCTGACTTCCACTTCAGTGATGTGGTTTTCTCTCCTTCCAGGTCGGAACTTAAGCCTTTCTTGGTAGTAGCAGATACTATCACTGGTGTCGATTTTGCCTGACAGTCGGGCCCTGTGGGCACAGCATCTTCCCCTGGATGAGCGGCAAAGTCTTCATTTTTTTCAGAGGATTTCTCTTCCAGAACTAAATGTGCACCTGCAGGCTCCAACGTTTCACCTGTTTCTAAAATGTTGGCAGTTTCTCCTAAGACCTTTTCCTCCTCTGCAGCCGCTGTTAGAGTGAATGATGCCTCAGAGCTCTGAACTTGAATTTTGGTGCATACTGCCTCCTCTTGACCTAGGCAGGGAGGAGGGCTTCCTTCCAAACTGCTGACTTCCTTTGCCCCATCTATGATGGGCACATTCACTGTCTGGAGGAGCTGCTTACTGACCTCTTCAGATACGGTAACAGCTGTTTCGTGCTCAAGCTTCTCTTCATTCACATGGGTTGGCTCTGCTTCTGTTTTCTCCCTTTCGACTTGAACTACCATCTCTCTCTCCACGGGGGATGGAGGAGACTTAGCGTGACTCTGCAGTTCAAGAGCATCATCCTTTTTACATTCAGCTTCTTCTGTCCCTTCACCTTTAAGGGCAACTTCAGTGACCTTTTCCCGACTGACTGTTATGCCTGTGTCTATAGACCCCTCAAGTCCTTCGAAAAATGGTACGTCTTTGGTTTTCTCATCAGCATACTGGTCAGCCTCTTGAGTCCCCTCAGTCTTTGACAGAATGGATACAGTTTCCACTGACACCTCTTTATCTGTATGCTCTAGAGTGTCTTCCATCTTTGATTGTTCTTTAGTTTCTTCCTGGAACACAAAACTGGAAGGTGCTGGAGGCCTCTCTTTCTGTGCAGGAACTGCCTCTGCTTCTGTGCCCCCTGACTGGGTACCAGATGCGACCTCATTCTCCTCATGGATTTCCACAATCTCGTCTTTCTGGGTTGTGCCTGGTGCGTCAAAGTCGGCTACGGGGGTGCTTCCATCAGTCTCACTGTCTGTAGGGGTTTCCACCGAGTCAGGGGGGATAGCCTGTTCCATCACCATCTCCTGTGATTTTACCCCAGCTAAGGTTTCGGCTTGACAAGTGGTTACAAGCTCACTGGACTCTATGCTCTCTGTGACTTGAGGAGCTTTTTCAAAGCTTTCTGGGGTGGTCTGCCCCACCACCTTCCCTTGTGTAAAAGGCTCAGTTTTTGCCTCCTGAGCATCTACTTTCAACACTACATCCGTCTCTTTCTTCAGACCCGACGCTTCAGCCTGCTCTTCTGGTCTTTCTGCCTCTGCTCTCTGCACAGGCTGAAGCACATCTTCTGGCCCACCGGTGCCAGGCAGCTGGGATTCCTCTTTCACTTTTTCTGCCACTGCCTGGAGGACCTCTTGAGTCCGCCTCTCTTGCTCTTCTATGTCAGGTACGCCACCTTCCACCTCCTGCACCGGAGTGGCCTCCTCTGTGGTGTCTGGGGAGTCGGTTAACTGGGAGACTGCTGACACCATTTCTGTGGTCTCTTCAGCAGCAGATGCTTCGGTTCCTTCTTCGGCACCCAATGGCCCTGCAGTTTCTGCAGCTGTCACAGCTTCGGGGGTCAATTCCGCCTCACTAACGACCGTGTCGCCCCGGGCCTCTCTGTTCTCTGGCAGAGGTTCAGTAACCGTGGGGGGTTCTTCTTCTGCAATTACTTCTCTTTCCAATACCTCCTCAGTTAACAGTGCGGCTTCAGCTTCTACTTGTTCAAGAGGTTCTGTCACTGAAGCAGATATCCAAGAAGGAGACCTTTCTTCAATAATGGTAGCTGCCCTCGTCCCGTCAGCGACAGCTGCTGCCATCATATGAACCTGACTCTCGCTGAGCTCCTTGGACACCTCAGTGGCTGCCTTCTGCTCGGGCTGCTCTGCGCTTTTTTGGGCTTGCTGTGCCTCCATTTTCTCCCTTTCTACAGCATCATACTCAGACAGAGGGACCACGGCCGGGACATCAGAGTCATCTTCGTTGGCCCCTGTTGGCCCTGCGTCTTCAACAGGGGCTTGTTCTTGTTTCCCATCTGGCCTTTTCTTCCTTCGTCCAGGAATAAACTTCTTGATTGAGACCCAGGATTCTTCTTTACCGGGTTCAGTGTCTGGAGTGGAATGTTCTACACCAGACCCAGCTATGGAGTCTTCGCTTTTCTCTTCCAGCTTGGACTTTGATTTTTTTCTTGGCGTGACTAACCTTTTAAATGACTCCCAGGTGGAAACGCCCTCCCCTTCGGTAGGGCTTCCAGCTTGCTCCGGGGAGGAACTTCCCTGCCCTGGATCATGTTCTTGGGAACCAGCAAGGATCCCGTCTGTCCCCGTCTCTTTGTCTTTTCCGGCCTCATCAGCTTTCTGGTGGTCTCCTCCCATTGCTTTTGGTCCCCCTTCCTCATCAGAAGAGGACCCTCTCCTTGCTCTTTTCTTGGATGATCCCACACAAATTAAAGCTTCCCAAGATACTGAGGTATCCACCTTGCGCTTTGGTTCTTCCGGCTTTGGCTCTTCCACGCTCCCTTTCATTTCTTCTTGCATTTCAGAGGCTGTGCTCTCGGTGGAAGACAAGGTAGCGCTCTTGACCTTGTCCAGCTCATCTTCTTTATCACTTTCCGAAGGCCGTCTAACACGCTTCTTGGGCGTCACCATCTTTTTGAATGATGCCCAGGGAGTGACACCTTCTCTTTTTTTCTCTCCATCGGAAGTAGCTCCTTCTTCAGCTTCCCCATCCTGCTGCACCTCGGCTAAGCCCTTTTCCAGACACGTGATCTCCTCGGGCTCCTCAGGGGATGAGGCAGAGCTCTCGCCCTTTTGCTCCTCCTGGCTGTCCGGAGAATCGGCTGGAACCTGAGTGTGCTCCCCTGATTCCTCGTCTCCTCCTCCTCTTTTCCCTTTCTGTTTCTTTCCAGAAAGCTTTTTTAAGCCAGTGCTGGTAAAAAGCTTCTTTAGTGGACTTCCCTGCACCTTCATTCTCTCCTGTGATGACAGCATTTCCACCTCACTCACAACGCCTTCGGGGGGTTTGGACAGCACCTTCTCATCAGGACTGAGGTCAGCTCCCTGTGTAGGGTCCTCTCCGGAAACACACGTTTCTTTGAGCTTCACCAGCTCCTTGGCAGGTTCAGCTTCCTGAGGTTCTGCATCCATTTCAACCAATTCTTCAGCTGGCACAGACCCTGCTGTTTCTTCCACCTCCGTTTTCTGCTCTTCGGTTCTCTCCTCCACGGTGCTGACGTGGACTTCGGCCACAACCTCTTCTTGGTGGACTTCTATTTTCTCATCAAACACTTCTGTCGCCAACGGAGCAGGTTTCTCTTCAGAAGGTCCCTGCGAGCCACTGACTTGCTCCTCTGAGGGCAGCTCAACTTTCTCATATTCAGCTGATAACCGGGGCTCGTGGGCACTTTCTGCCGGCTCCTGTGGGTGGGCTTGCTCGGAGGCGGTCAGTTTCTCGGAGGCAACCTCTGCCTTTCCGTCTTCTTCTGTGTCTACTTTTTCTGGCTCTTGTTCCTTTTTCTTCTCTGAAGCTTCCACTTCATCCTCCTTCGGCTTCCTGAAACTGGTCTTTTTGCGCCAGCCGGCCCAACCTTGAGTGAAGAATTTTTTGAAGGTTGATCCTGTTTCACTGGTCACGGGACTAGTCGGAGATTCTGCAGACTTGCTAGGTTCTTTTTCTTGTTTCTCTTCTCCTTCCTCTTTGCATTCCTCCACTGCTTGGCCAGATTCGGCTGGGGGAGAAATTTCTGCGTGGCTTTGCTCACGCTTCAGGGTCTCTTCGGGTTTCTCTGTAGATTGTTTGGGTTCGCTTTCTTTGGATGCTGCTTCTCCAGCCCCAAGGCTGGGGTCCTTGTGGTCGCCAGCCCCTGCTGCTCCCTCCCCTTCATCTTTCTTCACAGTGAGTAGCTGGACAGTGTCAGGCTTCTCTGTCTTATCCTTTTTCACAGTGAATTTAAAGCCAACAAACTTAAACACCTTCTTAAATCCAATATCATTAGCCTGGGACTCAGTGGGTTGTGTTAGCTCTTCTAAATTGCTTTCTGAAGAAGGAATCTGTTCGATTATTTCGGGTGTCTCCTCCTGCCCATCATCTGTGATGTCGTGAACAACCGCTGACTTAGTAGCCATCTCTTTATCGGAGTCTCTTTTGCTCACATCTTCAGAGTCTCTCTGTCCAACTATTAACAAAAAGGGGCGGGGGGGTGGGGAGAAGAGAAAAGGTGATTACAATACAAGAAAATTGTTTTTCTCCGACAGGGCCTCACTCTCTTGCCCCGGCTGGAGGGCAGTGGTGTGGTCTCGGCTCACTGCAGCCTCAACCTCCCAGGCTCAAGGAATCCTCCCACCTCAGCATCCCGAGTAGCTGGGACTACAGGCACATGCCACCATGTCCAGCTAAGTTTTTTATTTTCTGTAGAGATGAGATCTCACTATGTTGTCCAGGCTGCTCTCCAACTGCTGGGCTCAAGTGACCCTCCTGTCTCAGCTTCTCAAAGCAGTGGGATTACAAGTGTGAGCTATAGTGCCTAGCCCAAGAAAATTAACTTTTTTTTTTTTTTTTTTTGAGACAGAGTCTCACTCTGTCGCCCAGGCTGGAGCACAGTGGCACGATCTCGGTTCACTGCAACCTCTGTCCTAGGTTCAAGTGATTCTCCCACCTCAGCCTCCTGATTAGCTGGGATTACAGGCGTCTGTCACCATGCCCAGCTAATTTGTTTTTTTTGTTTGTTTTTTTTGAGATGGAGTCTCACTCTGTCACCCAGGCTGGAGTGCAGAGGCACGATCGTGGCTCACTGCAAGCTCCGCCTCCTGGGTTCACGCCATTCTCCTGTCTCAGCCTCCCGAGTAGGGAGGCTAATTTTTTTTTTTTTGTATTTTTAGTATAGAGACGGGGTTTCACCGTGTTAGCCAGAATGGTCTCGATCTTCTGACCTCGTGATCCACCCACCTCTGCCTCCCAAAGTGCTGGGATTACAGGCGTGAGCCAACACGCCCAGTCAATTTTTGTATTTTTAGTATGGGAGGGGTTTCACCATGCTGGCCAGGCTGGTCTTGAGCTCCTGACCTCTAGTGATCCACCCACCTCGGCCTCCCAAAGTGCTGGGATTACAGGCGTGAGCCACTGCACCCAGTGAAAATTAAATATTTTAAAAATATGACCAATTAATACTTTCTTTAATGCGAGGCAATTCAAGGATAAAGTGAGATCTTACAGAGATTTGCAAATCTTAATAGATTAATGTCTACTTCTTTCCAATGACCTTCAAAAATTCAGGTTCAAAGAGAAT
Organism: Homo sapiens; assembly: GCF_000001405.40. Classification (NCBI taxonomy): domain Eukaryota; kingdom Metazoa; phylum Chordata; class Mammalia; order Primates; family Hominidae; genus Homo; species Homo sapiens. Next base: position 151,347,600 of record NC_000006.12, on the reverse strand, counting down.
TATCTGCTCTTTCTGTTGCTTGTTAAAGGGAAAGTTGACAAACTTAACTATCAAAAAATTAGTTCCACATAAGTAGTCACGGCACCTCTAAGAGTGAGTCAACGAGGTAGTGCATCTTCTGTTGCAATGTAAGATGGAATCCCACATCACACCCATATTTTAAACAAGAATCCATCAAGTTTTAGATGTAACTTCCCACTTAACAGGAAATATAGGGTTTGAGGAACAAGCTAAAGAACAAACAAGTATCTACACAAATCTAAAGAAGGGGACATTCTATGTGGTAACTAAGTCCGACCTCAACAGGTCCCCAAAAGGGACCAGAGCTCTTTGGAGAAATTCCAGGCTGGGTCAGAGGACGTATGAAGAATATTTTGTTGTAACAGAAAGGAGATGCTCAAAAGCTGATGGAGGTGTCAAAAGGACACAAGAACTGGCTTGAAGGGGCTCCCAATGCCCAAACTTTGAAGCATAGAAAAGAATAATGGATCCTTTGTATTTTATGAGAGTGACGATTGGGTGTTCATGTGCAATGTGTGCATTGTCACCACGATGGCACATTACTCGTCTGATGTGAAAAAGAAAAAGAAAGAGAATGATGACATTGATGGGTTACAACACATTGAATAAAAAAAGAATCCATGAATCGAGAGTGATACTAAAAAAGGTAAATGAGGAGAAGGGAGCGCTTCTTTAAGGAAAAAAGAAATGTCAATAAATATAGATATAACTTCCACTTTGATCCTCAAAGTCATTATTGTTAGAATTTTAGATTTAGAAAATCACAATTTACAGACACCATTGTAATAACTCATTCAGTCAAGTATCATAAACTGCTAAAACCATCGGGTAAAAGGCTGTCAGGAAACGTACATTCAGAATACCAACATACACATTACTTAATTTCAAAAAAATGACCTTGGCAATGGAGAAATCTGACAGGCACCACCTTAACCAAGTGATCACATTTAACATCCTCAATAATGGGACAGATGCCATCGCGCTTCCTGGTGTGAAGCACTGAGAAGGACAAGAATTCATCTACGTGGCATTCCTGACCAAAAGGTTTAATGGTATCTAATCACAACGACACAACCAGACAAATCCACAGCGAAGGGCATTCTGCAAAACAACTAGCCTGGCCTGAAATGTCAATGTCACAGAAGGATGAAAATCCAGCAGAAACACAAAAGGATTGTCTGCAAGTAACTTCCAAATAGCTTAGTGGGTGGTGGGGCGGATGATGTGGCTTTCCATAAATGGCGAATAGGTCAAGTGTATATAAGTGTTTACTATATTTTTCCGGGTTTGTAATTTTAAAATCACTGAGGGGAAAAGTCAAGTCAATGTGATTTAATGGGGGGAAGTAGGAGGGAGATGTATTGTGTTAAATTAAGAGATTTAAGGAACACAACAACCAGAGGTACCTGGCATGATCCTGAATTGGATATTTGTTAGGGAAAAACAGCAAAAGGACATTTTTGGGTCTTCTTGGAAAATACTGAGTATGAGATTTGGGATTAGATGAGATGAATTTTAATTGACATAAAAGGGTAGAGATTTGACTGCAAAAAGCAGGTTACCAAACAGTATATACAATGACCTCATTCTGGCTTAAAAACAACTGTCTCTCCTTTCTCTCTCTCTCTCTCTCTCTCTCTCTCTCTCACACACACACACACACACACACACACACACACACACATATACACACACATCCTTCACATATGATCTCTGGGGGATGCGAATGTCATTTATTTTAGTTTTGCTTGTCTGAATTTTCTTTTTTCTTTTCTTTTTTTTTTTTTTAAGACAGAGTCTCACTCTGTCACCCAGGCTGCAGTGATGTGATCTGGGCTCACTGCAACCTCCACCTCCCGGGTTCAAGCGATTCTCCTGCCTCAGCCTCCCGAGTAGCTGGGACTAGTGGCATGTGTCACCACACCTGGCTGATGTTTGTATTTTTAGTAGAGATGGGGTTTCACCATGTTGGCCAGGCTGGTCTCGAGAACTCCTGGCCTCAGGTGATCCGCCCACCTCAGCCTCCCAAAGTGCTGGGATTACAGGTGTGAGCCACTGCCCCCAGCCTCTAATTTTCTATATAGGACATATATCGATTTTTGTACTAAACAGGTCAATTAAAATGGACACCAAAAAGATCTTAACAAAACCTGAAAAAATATACTTAATGTTTTAAGCACAAATTGAAGGTTAATAATTATAACTAGCCAGGCGCGGTGGCTCACGCCTGTAATCCCAGCACTCTGGGAGGCTGAGGCGGGCGGATCACAAGGTCAGGAGATCGAGACCATCCTGGCTAACACGGTGAAACCCCGTCTCTACTAAAAATACAAAAAATTAGCCAGGCGTGGTGGCAGGCGCCTGTAATCCCAGCTACTCAGGAGACTGAGGAAGGAGAATGGTGTGAAGCCGGGAGGTGGAGGTTGCAGTGAGCTGAGATCGCACCACTGCACTCCAGCCTGGGTGACACAGCAAGACTCTGTCCCCCCCAAAAAAAAAATTATAACTAGTACATACAACAAGACTTAGAACACAGCAATAAATACTTGAAATGCAGAAATATTTAGAAATATAGAATGCTTCCCCAAATCCATACATTCCTTCCAATTATATAATCTTATTACTCTGAAAACAATTTAATTTTCTTATTTATGAAATATTACAAATCTATGTCTACAAATTGCCATCATACTACTTATTTGGTTTTATTTTGAAACTGAACCCCAGAAAGTTAAATAAAAAACTAGGCTGGGCGAGGTGGCTCATCCCTGTAATGCCAGCACTTTGGGAGGTCCAGGCAGGTGGATCATTTAAGGTCAGGAGTTTGAGAGCAGGCTGGCCAACATGGTGAAACCCCGTCTCTACTAAAAATACAAAAACCAGCCAGGCGTAGTGGCGGGTGCCTGTAGCCCTAGCTACTCGGGAGGCTGAGGCAGGAGAATCTCTTGAACATGGGAGGCAGAGGTTGCAGTGAGCCAAGATCATGCCATTGCACTCCAGCCTGGGTGACCGAGCGAGACTGACTCAAAAAACAAATGAACAGACAACAACAACAACAACAAAACTGCCTGAGGTACCCAACCAAGTCAGGGCAAGAGTGTGACCTAGAGTTTTTTTTTGTCCTTGTACCTTGTTATTCTCTAAGTTATGCTAAAGTTCTTTTTTTCTTTTCAAATATTGCTAGATTTTTTGGATATTCATAGATGAATAGGTTATCTGGGCCTCTTATTCTTCAGAGACTCAATAAGGGCCTTTGCTTCAGTGGTGATGCCATAGACTCACCATCTGTAACAGCTTCGATAATCAGCAAGGCTCATTTTTTCTGCCATCAGTATCTAAGATAGCATTTAAAACAAAACATTTTAGTTTTACCTCTGAGAACTAAACATTTCAGATAGCGAAGAAGATTTCAAGAAAAACCCAAGAATCTCATTATTTTGATCTGAGGCGCATTCCTAAAGGATTTCCCTTTTCTCTTTATAAAATACACATTTGTGACCAACATTAGACTTAACAAACAATAAGGAAAAATTAAACACTCATATTAAACTTTGAAGCAAATATTCAAAGAGAAAGTCCAGACATCGACGATTTAAACTACTTCTACATTTTAGATATATACACTCTTCCCATTATTTTTTAAAGCATGTATAGTATTCTGAAATAAGAAAATGCTTTAAGTTTCTATTTGTTCCTATTATAAACTGACACTGTGATGAATTTGTTTATAGTTAAATCCAAAGGCTTCCTTAAGTGTATTTCCATGAACTATTTCTTTTTTCTTTTTTTCTTTTTTTGAACCAGTCTTCGCTCTGTCACCCACGCTGGAGTGCAGTGGCTCGATCTCAGCTCACTGCAACCTCCGCCTCCTGGGTTCAAGCGATTCTCCTGCCTCAGCTTCCCAAGTAGCTGGGATTACAGGTGGCTGCCACCACGCTCGGCTAATTTTTGTATTTTTTGTACAGATAAGGTTTCACCATGTTGGCCAGGCTGGTTTCAAACTCCTGACCTCAGGTGATCCGCCTGCCTCAGCCTCCCAAAGTGCTGTGATTACAGGCGTGAGCCACCGTGCCTGGCGGTCACAAAAGAACTTTTTGCAAACACTTCTAATGCCATTTAAGAGATGTGACTTTCCTTTTGAAAAAGTTGGATAAAATAATTGGAAATATACTAGAGAAAAAAGAAAAATTCCAGTAACAAACTCTATTCTAGTATGATTTCACTAGTACAGAATACAAACATAAATTACATATCCTGCCAGCAAGCATGTGATTAAAAACAAACACTCATCAACCTCCCTGGAATCAGAAAATGCAGAGACATGTTGCTAATATAGGAGTAGAAAGCTGGTGTCACACAACCATTTCCCCCTCACTATTTTCCCTCCACTCTTAAATCTGTGTTTCCATTGGAAACACTTCTGCTTCATTCTGAAAGGGCCGACATGTTTATAGTCAAAACTAGGGAGATAAAGGTTCGTGAACCAGCTGCCAGCAGGCAGAACAAAACAGCTATTGGGCCGGGCACTATGGCTCACACCTGTAATCCCAGCACTTTGGGAGGCTGAGGCAGGCGGTTTACTTGAGGTCAGGAGTTCAAGACCACGCTGGCCAAAGTGGTGAAACCCCATCTCTACTAAAAATACAAAAATCAGTCGTGCATGGTGGCGCATGCCTGTAGTCTCAGCTACTTGGGAGGCTGAGGCAGGAGAATCACTTGAACCCGGGAGGTGGAGGTTGCAGTGAGCCGAGATCACACTACTGCACTCCAGCCTGGGCGACTGCCATCAGTATCTAAGGTAGCTGTTACTGAACAGCTATTGATAGTTCAGTACAGCTTAACAATAATCAAATGCTCTCTTTATATAGAGTAAGTGAGTTATGAGTTGAACACATAATAAAATGTATATAGAAAAATTTTAAGTTGTAGCTGGTCAACTAGTCTGCAGTCTCTTTTAACATAAGTAATCCTAAGAGCTACAATTGTCAGAACAATCTTCGGGCGCCTCCATGCTTTGTGCTTCAGCCTGATTTCGGCCTCCACGTACCCTCTGTGCTGGGGCAATCTACTCACTCCATACAAGGTACCTGCTAAGCAAAGCCTCCTAAAATACCGCTTCTATCACATCAACAGGCTGTGGACTCCTAATGGCTTTAGGGCCTAGAGAATAGTCTTCTAACCTACCTAGTCTGGCAGGTACCTATATCTGTACCCGCGCTGTTGAGATCCTGACCCCAAAACACATGCGATCGTGTGGCCACCCACTGGGCTTGGAACCCGCATTGAAGCCTAGACCGTACTTTCCAGCCTGCCCCATCACTGGGCTTCACACTCCCCATGGCGCAGCCCAAGTGTTGAGGCCTGTTCCATTCTGTTCTGCGTCCCACACTTTGCCGGCCTCCAGGCCTTACAGTGAGGGCAACTTCGCTAAATCCTGGTGACTTTTTGAGGCCTGGGTCATCCTCGACCTGCCCTGCCGCCCACCTCCCCAGCTGACCGCAGCCACAGCCATGTCCATTCCAACCCCCCGACTCCCCTTTCAAGCCAGAGTCTTCGGGGAGGTAGGCTGCTGGCGCAGAGCGTTTTGGCACCTGTCACGGGACCCAGAACGAGGCCTTTCCTTTCTAGGGCTGGGGGCTGGGGCAAGATCAAGGGCAGCGGGCGGCTCTACAGCCTGGGCTGGGATGCCACGGGCGCAGGCCCTTCCCGACCTGTCCCTGCGCGCCTTGGCCAGTAGAGAGGCTTTCCCAAGCCTGGGACGGGAAGGAAGGAGGCTGGAAAACCCACACACACCCATCTCGGGCCGGTCCTAAGGGACAGTTGGTGGCCCTCGGGATTCCGTGTCCGCCATCGCTGCGGGGCGAACTGCCGCTTGGGTGCACGTGCTACTCACTGCAGAGTTTACTCCACCAGGGCATGGCGCGCGCAGCCCGCCGGCAGGGGCAGCCCAACAGCCGCCCGTGAGGCCCAGCGCGCCCCTGCCGGCTGCCATAGCTCGCGAAAGCCTGGGCCCGGGAAGCCAGCCGCGAACATCACAAAAGACGCAGCCTCCCCGCGCCCGGCGCCAGCCCTCGACCTCCCAGGAAACCCCCGGGGGTCCTGCGGACCGCCCCAGTGGGGTCTCTTCAAACCCAAGCCTGCTGAGGCCGAAAACCATCCTGCTAACCAACTGCCAAGCCGCCGCTGAACTTCCCTGACACTTAATTTAAAAGAAAAAGGGCCTCGAGGCCTGGCGCGGTGGCTCACGCCTGTAATCCCAGCACTTTGGGAGGCCAAAGCGGGCGGATCACCTGAGATCAGGAGTTAGAGACCAGCCTGGCCAACATGGTGAAACCTCATCTCTACTAAAAATACAAACAAATTAGCCGGGCGTGGTGGCACATGTCTGTAATCCCAGCTACTCGGGAGGCTGAGGCAGGAGAATCGGTTGAACCAGGGAGGCGGAGGTTGCAGTGAGCCGAGATCGTGCCACTGCATTCCAGCCTGGGAGACAGGGCAAGACTGTGTCAAAAAAAAAAAAAAGAAAAAAAAGAAACAAAAACAAACAAAAAGGACCTCGACAATGGAGAAATCTGGCAGGCACCACTTTAACCAAGTGATCAGACTTATCCTCGATAATGGAACAGATGTCATCGCGCTTCCTGATGTGAGGCACTCAGAAGGACAAGAATTCATCTTTGCAGCTCTGCTGATCAAAATGTTTAACGGCATCTAATCACGAGGAAACAATCAGATGAATCCACAATGAAGGACGTTCTGCAAAACAACTAGCCTGGCCTGAAATGTCAGTGTCACAGGACGAAAATCAAGCAAAAACACAATGGGGTTTTGTCTGGCAATGGCCAAGGCATGGTGGAACCTGCTCGTGGGTTTGGCTTGGTTGTAAAGAGCTTTAAGTTCTTGAGTATTCGCCCATGAGGCTATCAGTCAAGTTCCCATCACATTCGCCCATGAGGCTATCAGTCAAGTTCCCATCACAAAGCCATCACTTACAGAGCCTTATGGGCTAGAAGGTGGAGCTCACCTGCTCCCTCCAACTGGGACTTCAAAAATAGTCATCTGTGAGAACGCAAATGGACAGCCACTTGGGAGGACAGTCTGCGGTTTGTTTTCATACTGAACATACTCTTACCATATGATCTGGCAATCATGCTCCTTGGTATTCACCCAAATGAGTTGAAAATTTATGTCCACACAAAACATCTGCACACAGATGTTTACAGCAACTTTATGCATAATTGCCAAAACTTGGAAGCAATCAGATGTCCTTCAATAAGTGAGTGGATAAAGTATGGTATATCCAGACAACATAATACTATTCAGCACTAAAAAAAAAAAAAAAAACCACCGCTGGGCGCGGTGGCTCATGACTGTAACCCAGCACTTTGGGAGGCCGAGGTGGGTGGATCATGAGATCATGAGTTCAAGACCAGCCTGGCCAAGATGGTGAAACCCCGTCTCTACTAAAACAAACAAACAAACAAAAATTAGCCGGGCATTGTGGTGGGCACCTGTAATCCCAGCTACTCGGGAGGCTGAGGCAGAGAATTGCTTGAACCCGGGAGACGGGGCTCGCAGTGAGCTGAGATCGCGCCACTGCACTCCAGCCTGGGCAACAGAGCGAGACTCTGTCTCAAAAAAGAAAAAAAAAAAGAAAAATTAGTTATCAGGCCATGAAAATACACGGAGGGAACTTAAATGTATATAGCTAAGCAAAAGAAGACGCTCTGAGGAAGATACACAATGTATGATTCCAACTATATGACATTCTGAAAAAGACAAAACTTTGGAGACAGTAAAAAGAGCAGTGGCTGCCAGGGGTTGGGGGAGGAAGGGATGAATACATGAAGCACAGATGATTTTTATGGCAGTGAAGCCATTTTGCATGACACTGTAATGGTGGGTACACATCATTATGTATTGGCCCAAATCCACAGAATGTACACCACCAAGAGTGAGCCCTAATGTAAACTATGGACTTTGGGTGATAACCATGTGTCAGTGCAGGTTCATTGATTGTAACAAATGACCCATTCTGGTGGGGAATGTTGATAAGGGTTGGGGGAGGCTATGCAGACGTTGGGGCAAGGGACACATGGGAATTCTCCGAACTCTCCACTCAATTTTGCTGTGAACCTGAAACTGCTCTTAAAAACAGTCTTTTTAAAAACGGTCATATGACTTGACCAACGTCATATAGGTGTGTGGTATCTCAGGAGGGCCAAAGGCTGGCTGGGTAGTGCTTAGAGTGAAGGCACTAAAGGAGCAAAATACACAGTTTGTCTTTTTGAAAGAAAAGTCAATTTCATACACTTTTAAAGCATAAACATTCTTATTTTCCATAAATCATTACAACTTTTTATAGTTCATAAGCGCCACTTATGGCAAGAACAAGTATTTCGATATGTCAACTCCTACACTTAGATGGAAAAACTGCTTTATGTCTAATGTGGACAGCAATTTGAATTCTATTTCAGTGTGAAAGGCAGAGTTTATTCACAGTTACAGTCATGCATCGTTTTGAAAAGAGTGCATAAATCCTACCCACCCACTCACAGATAGTGATTCAAAAGATCGGCCCGAGCATCCATCAAAGTGAAAGCTGGATAAAGCAAGAATCAATGGGTGCTAAAGTGCTAAATGGAGGAGAGGAGAGGATATTTACATGCTTATTGTTGAAAGGGAGGGAGAAAAGCCCAATTCTACAGTGGAGAAATTGGAAAACACCTTAACATCAGCCTACAAGGGACAGATGGACACCGCGTGCAATACCCTGAGAAGGACACAACATCACCTCTGCAGGATTCTGGCTTAGAATGAGTAACCTATGGCCGGGTGCAGCGGCTCACGCCTGTAATCCCAGCACTTTGGGAGTGCAAGGTAGACGGATCACCTGGAGTCAGGAGTTCGAGACCAGCCTGGCCAATATGGTGAAACCCAGTCTCTAAACACAAAAATTAGCCGGGCGTGGTGGTGGGTGCCTGTAGTCCCAGCTACTCAGGAAGCTGAGGTGGGAGAATCGCTTAAACCCGGGAGGCGGAGGTTGCAGTAAACCCAGATCACGCCACTACACTCCATCCTGGGCAACAGAGCAAGACTCCATCTCGGGGAAAAAAAAAAAAAATGAGTAACCTAACCTAAATTGATATAGGCAAAAGAAACATCAAATAAGGAATGAGTAGAAACGGGGAGGGAACTTATACTTTGAACATATCAAAGTCTAAAAGACAAAAGCTATAGAAGTCTTCCAGATTAAAAGAAGCTAAAAAGACACGACAACACAAAATCTCTGACCCTAGGGTGGATATTGTAATGCAAAGAGGAATGCTTTAAAATGGACATAATTAGATTAGCTGACAAAATTAGAAGCAGATTATAGAAAAGTTCTGTAATAACGTAAATGTATGATATTGATAACTGTCAATAACTGTACTGTGGTTATGAAAGGGAATATCCCTATTCTTGGAGAATACACACTGAAATATTTAGGAGTAAAGGACCATGATGTATATAACTTACTTTCAAATGCTTCCCTAATTTTTTGAGACAAGGTGTCCCTCTATCGCCCAAGCAGGAGTACCATGGCGTCATCTTGGCTCACTGCAGCCTCCGCTTCCAGGGCTCAAGCGATTCTCCAGCCTCAGCCTCCCGAGTAGCTGGGACTACAGGTGTGAGCCACCAACTCCTGGCTAGTTTTTGTATTTTTAGTAGACACAGGGATTTTGCCATGGCTGGCCTTGAACTCCTGAGCTCAAAGCAATCCGCCTCAGTCTCCCAAAGTGCTGGGATTACAGGTGTGAGCCACTGTGCCCAGCCTTCTCCAGTGAATTTATTAATATATCTCATACCTACATGACTTATAACAGAAACCCGTGGACTGATGTTTGTTTTGTTTTCCCAACAAAAAGAAAGTAAATATAGCAAGCGAGGGAAAATGTTGACAATATCCCACTATTTGGGATAGGTGAATCTGAGTAAAGGGTATGGGTGTTCTCTGTATTCATTTTAGTTTTCCAACTTTCTGTATGTTTACAGTTATCTTTCTTTCTTTCTTTTTTTTTTTTTTTCGAGACGGAAACTCTTATTGCCCAGCCTGGAGTGCAATGGCGCGATCTCGGCTCACTGCAACCTCCGCCTCCTGGGTTCAAGCGATTCTTCTGTCCTAGCCTCCCAAGTAGCTGGGATTACAGGCGCCCGCCGCGACGCCCGGCTAATTTTTTGTATTTTTAGTAGAGACGGGGTTTCCACATCTCTACTAAACTGTAGAGACTGGTCTCGAACTCCTGACCTCAGGTGATCTACCCACCTTGGCCTCTCAAAGTGCTGGGATTACAGGTGTGAGCCACCGGACCTGGCCTGAAGTTATTTTTTTTAAAAAATCACTTGGAAGAATGCACTCGGAATTGCAGGTAACTACTAAAAATTATAGAAAACAACAAAATATAGAGTGATGATTTACCCAACCTGATTTTAGAGGAGGCTATCCGATATTTGCTTCACATTACATACCATAATATAAATTTTATCTACGTATTAAACAACAAGAAAACGACTTAACTTTCCCCCACCAAAGAGAGAAAAAAAATTCAGGCAGAGGGGAAGAAAATTAAAGAGCAGAAGTTCTGGGGACAGACTGGTGTTTAAATTTTAGCTGTACCACTTACTAGCACCGGGTCCTTGGGCAAAATCTCTGTTCTTAGACATTTCTCAAAAGAAGACATACAAACGGCAAAGAAACATACAAAAACATTCTCAGCATCACTAATTATCAGAGAAATGCAAATTAAAACCACAATCTTGCACCAGTCAGAATGGCTATTTATTATTTATTTATTTTGAGACAGAGTCTCGCTCTGTCGCCCAGGCTGGAGTGCAGTGGTGTGATCTCAGTTCCACTGCAACCTCCACCTCCTGGGTTCAAGCAATTCTGTCTCAGCCTCCCGAGTAGCTAGGATTACAGCCACATGCCACCGCGCCTGGCTAATTTTTATATTTTTAGTAGAGACGGGGTTTCACCATGTTGGCCATGTTGGTCTTGAACTGCTGACTTCAGGTGATCCACCTGCCTCAGCCTCCCAAAGTGCTGGGATTATAGATGTGAGCCACTGTGCCTAGCCAAAATAGCTATTATTAAAAAGTCAAAAAACAACAGATGTTCGCACAGATGTGGAGAAAAGGGAATATTTATACATTGCCAGTGGGAATGTAAATTAGTAAGAGAGCTATAGAAAACAATATGGAGATTTCTCAAGGAACAAAAAACAGAACTACCATTCCACACAGCAATCCCATTATTTGGCATCTACCCAAGAGAGATAAAATCAGTTTATCAAAAAGATGCCTGCACTTGTATGTTTCTTGCAGCACTATTCACACTAGCAAAGTCATGGAACCAACCCAAGTGTCCATCAAAGTTTGACTGGATAAAGAAAATGTGGTCCATATACACCATGGAATACTATGCAGCCATGAAAAAGAAGGAAATCATGTCCTTTGCAGCAACATGGAAGGATCTGGAGGCCATTATCCTAAGTAAAATAACTCAGAAACAGAAAGTAAAATGCTGCATATTCTCATAAATGGTAGCTAACCAATGAGTACACAGGGACATAAAGATGGAAATAATAGACACTGGGTACTCTAAAAGGGAGGGAGGGTGGAAGGGAAGTGAGAGTTGAAAAATAGTATTGAGTACAATGTTCACCACTCCGGTGACGGGTACACTAGAGCCCAAACCTCACCATTATGCAATATATCCAGGTAACAAACCTATATATGTATCCCCTGAATCTAAACGAAAAATAAGGCCAGGTGCAGTGGCTCACGGGGCTGTAATCCCAGCACTTTGGGAGGCCGAGGCAGGAGGATCGCTTTGGGGTCAGGAGTCTGAGACCAGCTTTGGGCAACACAGTCAAACCCCGTCTCTACTAAAAATACAAAAGTTAGCTGGGCGTGGTGGTGCATCTTATAATCCCAGCTACTTGAGAGGCTGAGGCAGGAGGATTGCTTGAACTTTCGAGGTGGAGGTGGCAATGAGTGGAGATCGTGCCACTGCACAGGTGACAGAGTGAGTCTCCATCTCAAAAACAAACAAACAAACAACAGTAAAAATAAAAATAAAATGAAAATCTCTGTTCTTAGTGTCCTCACCTATAACATAAGTCACTTACATTATAGGTGAGGACACTAAGGCTGGTTATGAGGATGAAGTATCAGTTGGCTTTCTATAAAAATAACAAAAACTTTAATATTTTTGCTTGTTTTCTTCAGAATAGAACGACTTATTTTACTTTTTGCCAATTCCAAACATAATCAGTATAAATTGTAGAAGACTTTAAAATACAGAGAATAGGGAAAATTTTTCATAAGTACAACATCCAGATAATCACTATTTGTGTTGTTTTCTGAATAAAGTCTTCAAAACTAAGACCTAATGGCTGCACAATTTGTTTTTCTGTCCCCATGGTTAGATAATGTCCAATTTTCACCATCACGCTTTGTCAAAAACATTCCCGAGTATAAAATCATTGTCCAAATGCCTGAATGAGTTTTGGACAGAAGAGGGCAGTATTGAACAGCTTTCAGCTCTGCTGAACCAGAAAGCTCTTGATTTTCAGGACCAGAAGTCACTGAAAATCGCCAATACAAAATGTTGAAGGCCGGGCGCGGCGGTTCACGCCTGTAATCCCAGCACTCTAGGAGGCCGAGGCGGGCAGATCACGAGGTCAGGAGATCAAGACCATCCTGGCTACCACGGAGAAACCCCGTCTCTACTAAAAAAATACAAAAAATCAGCCGAACATGGTGGCGGGCGCCTGTAGTCCCAGCTACTCGGGAGGCTGAGGCAGGAGAATGGCGTGAACCCGGGAGGCGGAGCTTGCCGTGAGCCGAGATCGCGCCACTGCACTCCAGCCTGGGCGACAGAGCAAGACTCCGTCTCAAAGAAAAAAAAAAAAAGTTGAGATGCACTCTTTTTTATTTTTTTGAGACGGAGTCTTGCTCTGTCGCCCAGGCTGGAGTACAGTGGCATGATGTCAGCTCTCTGCAGCCTCTGCCTCCAGGGTTCCAGCGATTCTCCTGCCTCAGCCTCCTGAGTAGCTGGGACTACAGGCACTCACCACCACGCCCCGCTAAATATTTCTATCTTTAGTAGAGATGGGGTTTAGCCATGTTGGCCAGGCTGGTCTCGAACTCCTGACCTCAGGTGATCCACCTGCCTCGGCCTCTGAAAGTGTTGGGATTACAGGCGTGAGCCACCGCTCCCAGCTGAGATGCACTTTCAAATCTTGTGAAGCTGAATGTGACATTGTGCCTATTTTTTACCACCCTGACTTCCTGCATCAACATTTCAAGGGGAGAAAAGGAGCACATAATAGTATGTCTCAAGTTAACTCCCTATCTTCTAGTTTTCTTTATTTGCACCATGTAAAGATGCAGATCCCTTTTCTGTTTTTGTTTTGTGTTTGTTTTTGTAGAGATGGAGGAACTGGCTATGTTGCCCAGGCTGGTCTTGAACTCCTGGCTTCAAGTGATCCTCCCACCTCAGCCTCCCAAAGTGCTGGGATTACAGACATAAGCCACAGAGCCTGGCCAGATGCAGGTCCTTTACCCCAAGTATGGGTCAAAGGTGGCCAGGACCCTTCTTCCTGTGCTGACCTCCCCCTCCTCACCTCCTCTTCTTCACTTTTTTCGCTTTCCCCAGCCCAACTGTACATGACACACCAAAATCACCCCCACATTTCCCAGGTTCTTGCTGCAGGTAAAGAGTCCCAAACAAGACCACCATCATTCCCTTCTAGTTTGTGGTGAGCAGAAACCTTTCATTTTTTTTTTTTTTTTTGAAGTCACAGTCTTGCTCTGTTGCCCAGGCTAGAGTGCAGTGGTGCGATCTCGACTGCAGCCTCCACCTCCCGGGTTCAAGCAATTTTCCTGCCTCAGCCTCCCGAGTAGCTGGGACCACAGGCGCCCGCCACCATGCCCAGCTAATTTTTAGTAGAAACAGAGTTTCGCCATGTTGGCCAGATTGGTCTCAAACTCCTGACCTCAGGTGATCCGCTCATGTCGGCCTCCCAAAGTGCTGGGATTACAGGCGTGAGCCACTGCGCCCGGCCTGAGAAAGTATTTTTACATGCTCCCTGCATGCTGGTTGTGAATGAGTTAAAGACTGTAGCTTAGTGAACACAGCGGGAGGCTGTTAAATGCATTATAAAATAGCCTAAAAGATGTGGGGGCGGCAGGCAGGAGAGGCTCAGACCAGAGGCTCAACCCACTCCCACTGCTGGGAGTGAAGGGAGTGATTGATAAGAGGCCTCTAAAAATAATGGAGGGGGCTTCCAGGACAGGCAGCCAGTGCTAACCCGTGCAGGCCTGGCACAGTGGAATCCATTCACAACCACCCTTCATCACAGCTTTCCGTTAGGGCGCTTCTTTTAATTCAAAACTCCTATGGAATTTTCATCTGCCTTAGATTTGTCCGACTGGCTACAAAGAGGAAAACCAAAAAGCTCCATCTTTGATTTGGGATCACTGATATGTGGATGTACTTTTTGGTGCCCCTAAAACCTCCTCTGATTTTGGAGTGGTCTTTTCCACACAATGTATAGTTTTTTAACTCATGTGTGATTGAATGACCCCGCCATTTTTAAACACGCTGCTATCCGCCCAAGTCTCTCCCATGCCCAGAAAGCCCAGTCGTGGTGCTCACGTACTCACTGGTGCTGAGGTTCGGCCAGAAACAATTCCAGCATCCCACTAGGTCACAAAGATGGCCAAAATGTTAAAGGGAGTGGTCGGTGTGTCCCCCGTAGAAGCCTCTGGAGCCCGAATTCACAGGCACCTCCGTCTTCGTACTGTCCTGCTAGTCACTGGTCTTTTCCCACCCTGTAGACACTTCAAAGCGCAGGAAAAAGACTAATCCTTCCAACAGGCCACATACCCATGTGTGATACAGTCTTGTATTGACAGGGCTTTCGACATCAACCATTAGTGAAACAACATCATCCATGCCTTGTTTCTCAAGAGAATATTACTACAGAAACCAAATATTTCTATACCCTTCTTCTGGGTGGAGACACCTAATCACATGCTTGTGTGAGACAGGGTCAATATGCTGAAAACATTACTTGGAAAAGATATGATAATTTTAAAGAAGATGTAGAGAAAGCTTTCATTCACTTAATTTTCTGAATATACCCAAGAAGGAGGGATCTCTGCATGGATATAGTGCATATAAGATGCAGGGCTGGGCCGGGCGCGGTGGCTCACGTCTGTAATCCCAGCACTTTGGGAGGCCGAGGCGGGCGGATCACGAGGTCAGGAGATCGAGACCATCCTGGCTAACACGGTGAAACCCCATCTCTACTAAAAATACAAAAATTTAGCCAGATGTGGTGGCGGGCGCCTGTAATCCCAGCTACTCAGGAGGCTGAGGCAGGAGAATCATTTGAACCTGGGAGGCGGAGGCTGCAGTGAGCTGAGATCATGCCACTGCACTCCAGCAGCCTGGCAACAGAGCGAGACTGTCTCAAAAAAAAAAAAAAAAAAAAACAGACCCAGAACTGGACGTGCTACTCAGTAGGGTCCCAGCTACTTGGGAGGCTGAGACAGGAGGATCGTTGAGCCCAGGAGTTCCAGGCTGCAGTGAGCTATGATCGTGCTACTAGTACTCCAAAACAAAACTTTTTTTTTTTTTTTTTGAGACGGAGTCTCGCTCTGTCGTCCAGGCTGGAGTGCGTTG
This sequence comes from Homo sapiens, assembly GCF_000001405.40. Taxonomy (NCBI): domain Eukaryota; kingdom Metazoa; phylum Chordata; class Mammalia; order Primates; family Hominidae; genus Homo; species Homo sapiens. Next base: position 151,331,843 of record NC_000006.12, on the reverse strand, counting down.
GTGCAATCTTGGCTTACTGCCAGCTCCACCTCCCAGGTTCATGCCATTCTCCTGCCTCAGCCTCCCGAGTAGCTGGGACTACAGGTGCCTGCCACCACGCCCGGCTAATTTTTTGTATTTTTAGTAGAGATGGGGTTTCACCATGTTAGCCAGGATGGTCTCGATCTCCTTACCTCGTGATCTACCCACCTCGGCCTCCCAAAGTGCTGGGATTACAGGCGTGAGCCACCGCACCCGGCCAAAACTTTTAAAAAGATGCAGTAAAAATAAAGGCTGGATATGGATGAAGCTACTTCATGCTACAACATTCCGGAAGGAAAAATAACTTGAAGTTATCACTGCCAAGCGAGACCTTGGGTAGGCTTTTGCTTTATGTTTTTCTAAGATAAATGAAAGTTATCCTTAATAATAAGTGTGGAAAGTGAAATAGAGGAGATACTTCCTGGACTGAACACCTCTCACCCTATTTTTAAGAGTATAAACTATTCTCAATTACAACATTATAAAAAAAATTATAACACTTATTCAATAATAACAAACTAGGTGCTTTTTAATATTTTAAACAGCTTTGTCATAACAAGCCCCTTCAAGGTTAAAAAAAAAAGTCCTATGGAATATTAACGGAGTCAAATAAATGTGAAAATATATGAAAAGTTACATCTTTAGTGATGTAGTAAGAAATCAAAACTTGAAATCATTTCATGTACAAAAACCTCACTTGGGCCAAGAATTACTGAAGTGTTTCACACTGAGGTGTTGTTACCTGCTATTAACCTGGGTTTATCTCCAGATAAATGTTCTGTGAATCCCGATTTATAAAATCAGTCTCCAGGTCTATAACGTGTATGTGCAAATACACATTTTCCTTTCGAAAATCTCCATAATCTCCCCGTCCCCAAAGCTGCAAACGCTCCATGATCCCAAGAAGGGCTAAGCTACAGTGGTCCCTGCTGGCTATGTGTTCCCCATCCGCAAGCTCCATATAATGTAGAGACAGCCCGTGTGTTCAAAACCTGGAGCATCATCTTTTTTTTCTCACTTTTCCAAATACTTAGCGATTAAGAGATAAATTATAAATTGTTTTCTTTTAGAGGCTTAAAAGAAAAAAAAACTTTAAAGGAATATGTTGATTATATACTACAAAATATTAATGTTTTTATCCAAAACTTAGCTATCAGGTTTCAGTGACACCAGCACCATCATTTTTGGTTGAGAAAAAGAAGTACGATACTGCAGAAACGACATGTTCATTTTTCAGGCTGAGAATCACCAGTGCTCCCCATCCCCAGGCACATCAGGACGGCTTACAGTAACATCTGGAACTAGTTATCTTTCCCCCAAGATTCGTAGCATTGTCCTGGAATTTTTCCAGGAATTCTCTGCATTCTAAGTCCATCCCTTATAGGCTACACACCCAATCTCCCTTGTTCTAAAGCTCATTAACCAGAAAACCTCCAAGCGGAGATATATGCAAATTCATAAAAGCAAGGATCCCATACTGGAGCATATAGGTGACATCATCATTGGACCTGGTGTGTTTTTTGGGGGGTGGGGTAGGGACAGGGTCTTGCTCTGTTGCTCAGGCTGGAATTCAGTGGTGCAAGTGATTCTCCTACCTCAGCTTCCCAAGTGACTGGGACTACAGGCATGTGCCACCATGCACAGCTAAATCTTTAATTTGTTGTAGAGAGGAGGTCTCCCCTACGTTGACCATGCTGGTCTCAAACTCCTGGACTCAAGCGATCCACCTGCCTTGGCCTCCCAAAGTGCTGGGATTACAGGCATAAGCCACCGTGCCCAGTCCCAATCCCTGGTCTTGATATTGATGTTTCACGATCCCTTAAACATCTGGGCAGGCATGTAAGAATGTGGGTCACTAAACAAGTATTAGCATCTTCACAACGAGAAAGAGGTCTTTTGCAAGGTACTCTACAGTTATGCTCTTTCTAGCTGTGAAACCTTGGGTAATTATCAAATCATGAGAAACTTACTTTTATGATAGAAATGGGGTTACAGAACCACTTTTTGCAGGATTATTGTGAGGAATACATGATAATGTCCACAAAGTGCTGAACAACACCTGCCAGACTAGGCACTCAGGAAGTGGTAGTTATTAATCCAGCAGTTGTGAAAGTATCAATTTCGTGTCTCCAAAGTCTCTTGACAAGGAATCTGTCTCCATAGCAGATGTGAAACACCCATGTGCAAGGTATTTTTTTCTCTTGTAAAAATTATTTGCATCGGAAAGTGCATTATAAATAATCTAGAACTAACATGAACGTTGGAGGATTGATTCTTCCCCAGTTTCTACTTTAAAGAATAATGTCCCTGTTTCTCATGATACTTCACAGTTTGCAATGTATCAATATTATCAGTTTCAGTAATGTGGGTGTTAGAGAAAAGCGAAAAGATACTTGCTTAATTCAAAAAGCATTTTTTTGGCCGGGCGTGGTGGCTCACACCACTTTGGGAGGCTGAGGCGGGTGGATCACCTGAGGTCAGGAGTTCAAGACCAGCCTGGCCAACATGGCGAAACCTCGTCTCTACTAAAAATACAAACATTAGCGGGGCGTGGTGGCAGGTGCCTGTAATCCCAGCTGCTTGGGAGGCTGAGGCAGGGAGAACTGCTTGAACCCGGGAGGTGGAGGTTGCAGTGAGCTGAGATCGCGCCACTGCACTCCAGCCTGGGTGACAGAGTGAGACTTCATCTCAAAAAAAAAGGCATTTTTATGCTGGCACGCCATTTACAGTTGAGTGGGGAAGGGGATGATCATCGTGTCACATCACTTATTTCTTGTCTCAAAGCTAACTTATTGCAAATGAGATGTGAGAGAAAGAGACCCCAAGAATGGCAACAGTATGTAATGTGAATAAGCAATCATTTCATAATTCAATTTCCACTGCATTCATTTTAGTGGTTTGTGTAAACTGGGTTGTGTGTGTGGCAGGGGGGAGGGGGATAATAGTATTAAGTGACAGCTTTTCCTTACTTTCAGAAATGCAAACTTGTTCCTAAGTAGTTCCTACAAAATGCCATCAGTCCTGTTAATGAATTGTAAAATTTAAACACAGGCCTCCTAAAATAACATAGTACTAAAGATAACTACAATAACCTTCTATAGTATTTAAGTGAATAATCCCAAAGATGCAAAGACCTTTAAGATTTCATTAAACCTTACTGTCAATTTAATTTTTTTTTTTTTTTTTGAGACGGAGTCTTGCTCTGTCACCCAGGCTGGAGTGCAGTGGCACAATCTTGACTCACTGCAACCTCTGCCTCCCAGGTTCAAGCAATTCTCCTGCCTCAGCCTCCCGAGTAGCTGGGATCACAGGTGCACACTACCACGTCCAGCTAATTTTTGTATTTTTAGTAGAGACGGGGTTTCACCATGTTGGTCAGGCTAGTCTTGTACTCCTGACCTCGTGATCCGCCCGCCTCCGCCTCCCAAAGTGCTGGAATCACAGGCGTGAGCCGCCGCGCCCGGCCACCTTACTGTCAATTTTTTTTTTTTTTTTGAGATGGAGTCTCGCTCTGTCGCCCAGGCTGGAGTGCAGAGGCGCGATCTCGGCTCACTGCAAGCTCTGCCTCCCGAGTTCACGCCATTCTCCTGCCTCAGCCTCCCAAGTAGCTGGGACTACAGGCACCCGCCACCACACCCGGCTAATTTTTTTGTATTTTTACTAGAGACGGGGTTTCACCGTGTTAGCCAGGATGGTCTCGATCTCCTGACCTCGTGATCCGCCCACCTCGGCCTCCCAAAGTCCTGGGATTACAGGCGTGAGCCACCGCGCCCGGTTGTTACTGTCAATTTTTAAAGCTCTCATGGCTTTTCAAGATTCTGAGCAACTATTTAAAGATGATGATTATGAATCTTCCCCATCAGAATAACTTGCGGAGCAAAAACCAAATGACAGCTGAAACTCCCTTTCATTTTTACTTTTTCCACTACGTAAGATTTCTTGCTGGTAAATTTTTGGAGTTAAGATTTTCTGTGCACTTTCTTCTTACCAGGAAAAAGTGCAAAATTTTGCCATATCCTCCACACCCACATTGTAAGAAAAGTAAATTTAGAAAGCAATAGAGCCAATTACCTGATTTTGCCTTAAAAGTTAGTCCTTCCCACTATTTCCATTCATTTATCACTCCATTGGGATTATCTGAGCCAACTATTACAAGCCCCCTCAAGTGCTCCCAGTTTATTAACCTTTAATTACTGCTAAAACTTTAGACCACCTCCTTTTACCATAGGAATCTCAGTATGCGACTAATTGAATAGTGAATATAATAAAAATCATATTGTACCCAAAAAGTACTCAGAAAAAAGTCATGATCTCAGAAGCACCACCCCAGCTGTGACTCCCTACAATACACATTTGCATATTTCATTCATAGAAAAGTTAATGATCTGGGGGAAAAAATGGAGATTTTTGTGTTTTAAATTTTTTTCATTTTGTACAGTCTATTTATTAATAGTTTCGAGATATGGCATAAACTTTCAAGCTGAGTAAATGGTAGAAAGGTTAGCCAAGTCAACTTGGGGGTCGAATTTTAAGGAAATCTCAAAGTAAACAAGCTAATCTATAGGAAGTGAGAGATAATTTTAGTATTGCTGAACTTTCACATTCTTGTAAATTCCACTGGAGCGCATGGCTTTGCAGGAGCAGTTGCATTGAGAAAATTTTAAGTCCTAGAAATTCTACAGTTGATTAAAAAAAAAAAAAAAATGTAGGCCAGGTGCGGTGGCTCACGTCTATAATCCTAGCACTTTGGGAGACCAAGGCGGGCAGATCACAAGGTCAAGAGATCGAGACCATCCTGGCCAACTTGGTGAAACCCCGGCTCTACTAAAAATACAAAAATTATCTGGGCGTGGTGGCACGTGCCTGTAACCCCAGCTACTCGGGAGGCTGAGGCAGGAGAATCGCTTGAACCCAGGAGGTGGAGGTTGCAGTAAGCCAAGATCACACCATTGCACTTCAGTCTGGCGAAAGAGCAAGACTCCATCTCAAAAAACAAACAAAAAACAAACAAACAAAAAAAAAGATTTGGCAGCAATGATCTCAAATATTTAAAGAATAAAGAAGTCCTGTTCCTATAAAGTTAAATTCACAAACGGAATTTAATTTTCTTGATGACAGGAAGAGAAAATACGCAGGTTAGGCCACAGTACAATGGCATAAGACTATCAAATGTCAAGTTAGAGGAGCTGTAAGAGCATTCTAAAAGTTTGATGCGTGTAAGTTATTTGCTAGAAGTAGGCAGTAAATATTATAATTCATACTCACGGCCAGATTCCTAGAAAGTAAGCTAAAGAAACATACTTTTTTCTTTTTTTCTTTTTTTTTTTTTTTTTACTATTTGTTGCCTAAATAGTGTTGCTTCCTAGCCACCGATTTTATAATAACTATGGCTTTATTAAAACCACCACTTAAAGCAGAGCTTAAATGTTAGTCCCCTAAACCACCAAGTGTACCTTTATTCAAAGTTCCTAGTAAACAAGTCAAAATGCAAACACTTGTAATTTGCCCAGAAGAGGAATGTATTCTGTCTATGACTACGGCAAGAGATTAAGCTTTCACAGCTTATTTTCAAATTCACACAAATCTGACATATTTCTATTCAGTCGGCTGCTGTTGTTCCTCTCCACATCCCTCTCTCCCTAAGGGGAAGGGTACAACCCCGAACAAAATATACTAAAGGTCTCCCATAGGCACAGTCAAGAAGATTCCAGCTCAGCCAAAAATGAAACACTGAGGTTGTCTGATTCTTGCTGAGCCCAAGGGAGAATGTTCTTCTGAAGAAAAACTCAGTACACGGAGAGAAATAAATGCCAATAACGGTCCCGCCACTGACCTCCCGGGCTCCCCACCAAACGCTCATTCAACGGAAGAAAGCCCCTTTTCGTGCCCCGTGCCTGCCGTCCAGGGAGGACAAAAGCGACCTGGCTTGTGCCTTACCTGTGATGGTGATGGTCCCCAGCATATTTTAAGTAGCACTACTGTACAGGAGATCAGCTTAGCGGGTCCCTGCCCTCCCCGGCAGACGCCTAGTCTCCTGCCTGCCAACCGCAGGTGGTTTCGGCGGGATCAGAGCGGACTGAGCGCCCAGACACTCCCGGAGGATGGGGGAGAACCGGAGGTGCCCTCGGAGCTGCCGCAGCGAAAAGCAGAGCGCGGATGCATTTCCCCAGATAATTATAGGCGGACCCCCACCCACGCCCCCACCCAGCCACCCACACGCGGGCTGGCGCTGGCCCCTCCCTTGCTGAGCTCCAGGACTTCGGGAGCGCAAACTTCCCCGCCCGGGCCGCACAAGCAGGGGGTCACGTGCTTCACCTTAAAGCCCTCCCCCGAGCTGGGCTCTGTGAGTGGTCAGCGGGTTCTGCAGAGTCCCGGGAGGGTTTAAAGGGTGCTGGGCATGAGTTCGATGCTGGAGCCGGCGCATTGGATCTAAACGGTTACTTCATTCCTGGCACCGATTTACTAATACTTCTGTATCTCAGCTTTTTAAGTCATTTCAAGGAAATAGCCACACAGACAGTAAATTCTCCCTCCATTTTAAAGACTGCATTCTGCATCCTTATGTTTGTTTAAAGGTTGGTGTGGTGCCAACACCTCCCTTCTTGGCATCTGTAGCATTTGATATTTTCACCATCTGTGTCTTACGCATACACACACGTTGCACTGCTCTGAAGACTGGCAACTCTCAGTAGTGCTGTTTCCTAAACTCTTTGAGAAGGGCTCTCAGAAGTGAACTTGTTCCTTCTAACAAGTGCTGTCTTCAACACTTGACCAAGGCAACTTTTCAAAAGCAGACTTGAGCATGGGGTCTTTTTCTAAATGGCAGAAGTTAGCTAACTTTTTAGATCAAACTATGCCATGTTCCAATTTTTAGACACTATCATATCTCTAACATGCAAGCACACAACTCGGAAATCAAAGCCTATGTTAAAAGTTCAGAAGATTTCAGGCAGCCCTAGAATACTTCAATTCTTTCTCATTGAAGCTTCAGGTTTGTTCTTTGTAAAGACACGAGTGACGAATGAGTTGGTGTGGTCTCACAATTTTAATACACTTTTTTTGTACTCCAATTTTTTGTTAGGGTGGGTCCGTTAGGTCCCCTGGGTTTGTTCCCTTCTTTCATCCTTTCCCTATTTATCACTTCATGCCTTGCCTGCCTGACCCATTAACACCAGCTCTTCCCCTACACAAACAAAAAGGAAAGTTTTACTATTGCACTTCTCTTCAGAGAATGAAGATCTTGTTCATTATTGCTTGGGGCAGGGAGGAGGGAGGGGAGCCTCGGCGTAGACCACAGTGGGCACAGCAAAGAGAAGGGTGGGCGAGGAACAGGAGAATCAGGGAAAAATGGAAGTCCAGGAGAGCTGGCTGGCATGGCACGTAGTTGCACTTTTTGGGCACCAGGGGGCGCGATGCACCACACTCGGGCCCAGAGTGAGCAACGTGAAAACCGCTTCCTTGCTGGTAACCAGACCTTGTTACAAAAATCAGCTTCAGCCTCTCCAAAAGCCTGGCTTCCGTTTCACATCCTGGCAAATACCCGGCCTGGCGGGAACAGGGAATGATGGGCCTTGTCCTGACTCAGTGAGATATTGCCTGGAAGCTGACTCCCAGACCCAGCCACTGAGCTGCTTCCCAACCTTTTTTCTCTAGAGAAGTCTCAACTCTATTTCACAAATTGCTCCAATTTTAATAATGAGGCTGGTGTGTGTGAAATGCTGCTGGTACTGACCATCCTTCTGGAGTCCACAGAGCCAAGGGGGCAGGGCAACTTGGCCATTCCTCTCCTCCCAATCCCAGCCCCAGAGTGTCCTGGCTGTGCAAATCATGGATAAAGACGACTTGGGATGTTGCATCAGGGTCTACATTAATAAGTCCCTTCCCCAGAGATGTCCCAGGAGCCGTGGGTGATCTGGGATCTGAGGGCTTGGTTCTGCATCATTTCTCAGCACCAGTGGTTGGGGACAACACAAGGCTATCATCTGGTGCCACTTCTGAAATCGAGTCTGCCCTTGCAGAGCAGAATGAATCTCCAGCTCCTCTCCTTTCTATCAGTCCAAATTCTAACACTGGGACAAGCAACAGCTATTCCACTGAGCTGGATAGGAAGAAAAAGAAAAACACACAAAATGTCACTAGTTACACATTTAATACCCTAAACAACATTTTCAAAGGTCACTGTACTGCTGTTCAGTTTTGGCACTGAAACATTTCTTTTTATGACATTCATGAAGACGCTAACACATCTGATTTGATTTTTTTTTTTTTTGAGATGGAGTCTCGCTCTTGTCACCCAGGCTGGGGTGCAATGACGCGATCTCGGCTCATTGCAACCTCTGACCCCCGGGTTCAAGTGATTCTCCTGCCTCAGCCTCCCAAAAGTAGCTGGGATTACAGGCGCATGCCACCATGCTCGGCTAATTTTTGTATTTTTAGTGGAGACGGGGTTTCACCGTGTTGGCCAGGCTGGTCTTGAACTCCTGACCTCAGGTGATCCACCCGCCTCGGCCTCCCAAAGCGCTGGGACTACAGGCATGAGCCACTGCGTCCGGCCTGATTTGATATTCTTAAAGAGGCAATTAAAATCACAAGGCAGAGCAATAGATCATGTGGCAAGTTGTAGACTCTCTCAGCCAATGGGTCTCCTTTGATCTCTACCTCTAAGAATGATCAAGGACAGGGTGCACGGCCCAGCTGCCCAGCGAGCCTCTGTGTGTCTGCATTTACAAAGAAAAGTCATCAATTAGGATAAAAGCAGGAGTAAAGATGAGACCTAAGGTCACTGTCCAATGCAGGAGACTTTCTTTTATCATTTCCATTCTCTGTTTTTGTTAAATTAGGATTTTTAGAGGAAGACATCACCACCCAAAGCAAGAATTATAGGAAACATTTTGCTGTATAATACATAGATGGATGATAGAAAACGTGTTTTCCCAAATCAGAATGGTTCACTCAACAAATATTTACCAAGTTGTTGCTCCATATTTATTACGCAAAACACCCAGGGATCTAAATGAGATACTATCCCTGGCCTCGGGAGCTCAGTCATGGATGGTGCACACACCCAGTGGCAGGAGTGGGTGGTGGACACGCCCAGTGGCGGGAGTGGGTGGTGGACACGCCCAGTGGCGGGAGTGGGCAGCTCTAGTTTGGCTCACCTCTGAGGTAGCCTTGGAGCTGGTCTCTGAAGGGATGAGGGGACACTCCCTACCTGGGGCACAAAGGAAGGCGGTCCATAGGGACAGACGAGCATGGGCAGAGGCAGAGATGCCAAGAGCAGGACATTTGGGCAATCATGAGTGGGTTCCTCACAGCTATGAGGTTCGGAGTTTACTTAGGGAGGTCCGGGAGTTGGGGGCTTGGCGGGGAAGACAACACTGGAGATGAAACTAAAAATATTTATAAAGGGTCTTGAATGACATGTTAAAGACTTTGTAACAAATTATCCATTAAAAGTGAGCAAAGAATCTGAGTAGCCATTTCTCTAAAGAAAATATACAAATGACCAATGAGCACATGAAAATACGTCCAACGTTATTAGCCCTTAGAAAAATGCAAATCAAAACCACCTCACACCCACTAGGATGACTATAATAAAAAAGAAAAAAGACAACAGGTTGGGCGCGGTGGCTCACACCTGTGATCCCAGCACTTTGGGAGGCTGAGGTGGGCAGATCACGAGATCAGGAGTTCGAGACCAGCCTGGCCAACATGATGAAACCCCGTCTCTACTAAAAATACAAAAATTAGCCGGGCGTGGTGGCGGGCGCCTGTAATCCCAGCTACTCAGGAGGCTGAAGCACAAGAATTGCTTGAACCCAGAGGGGTGGAGGTTGCAGTAAGATGGTATCGCACCACTGCACTCCAGCCTGGGCGACAAAGTGAGACTGTGTCAAAAAAAAAAAAAAAAAAAAAAAAACATAAAGCTGATGTGCCTGGTTTAAAAAACAGGGGCAGGTGGCGGGGGGCAAGGAAGACCACAATAACAAGGAATGGAGAAGGTGGAACCCTCACACATCGCTATTGGGAAGGTAAAATGGTACAGCCACTTTGGAAAATAGGCTGGTAGTTCCTCAGAATGTTAAACATAAATTTATTATATGACCCAGCAATTCTCCTAGACATATAACCAAGAGCAATGGAAATACACACCCACAGAAAAACTTGTCCATCAATGTTCATTACAGCATAATATTCCTAGTAGCCAAAAGTGGAAGCAACCTAAATATCTATCAGCTCATGCAGGGATAAATAAAATTGAGCTTGTTTAATGGAAATGGGTTAGTAATAAAAAGTAATAAGAAATAAAGTACTGAAACATGCCATAACATAGATGAATATTGAAAAAACTTTAAGTGAAAGAAGCTAGTCACCAAAGAGCATACACGGTTTAATTCCATTTATTTGAAATGTCTACAAGAGGCGAATCCATAGACATAAAGTAGTTAGTGGTTACCTAAGACTGGGGGTTTTGGCGGGAGAGGGAGTGACAGCTAACCAGGATGGAGTTTCTTTATGAGGTAATGAAAATGTCCTGGCCAGGTGTGGTGGCTCACACCTATAATCCCAACACTTTGGGAGGCCGAGGCGGGCAGATCACTTGAGGTCAGGAGTTCAAGACCAGCCTGGTCAACATGGTGAAATCCCATCTCTATTAAAAATACAAAATTTAGCCAGACATTGTGGCGCACGCCTGTAATCCCAGCTACTCGGGAGGCTGAGGCATGAGAATCACTTGAACCCAGGAGGTGAAGGTTGCAGTGAGCTGAGATCGCGTCATTGCACTCCAGCCTGGGCAACAGAGCAAGACTCCCTCTCAAAAAAAAAAAAGAAAGAAAGAAAAGAAAATGTCCCACAGTTGATTGTGGGGGTGGTTATACAACTCTGTGAATATAGCAAAAACCACTGAACTGTGTACTTTAAATGGGTCAACTGCATAGTATGTGAATTACAGCTCACAAAAGCTGGTTTGTTTCTTTAAAAAAGAACTTTGTGCTGCTGGTTCTGAAGACTATAGGGAGCCATTGGAGGCTTGAGGCAGGGGATGGTGGCACCGAATTTGACTGTGATTTAGAAAAGGCAACCAGGCTGTGATGACGGGAGGAAGAGACTGAAGCAACAAAACAGATGGATGCAGTAGTGACGAAGGTGAGGGAGGAGTCCAAAGTCACGGTGCCCACAAGATGAAAGATGCAGTGCGAATCTGTGGGATCACCCGAACGGAATGATGTCCATGAAATAAGAATGGCCTGGAACCCTGAGGAAGAGGAATCTGAAAAAGGACCCTGGGAATGGACAGGGATTAGGGGCAATGAGGGAGAAAGTGGCAGCAAAGCCACATGTGGAGAGGATTAAAACATGGAAACAGTGGTCCACAGTGTGACAGCACAAAGTAGTGACACAGGCCGGGCGAGGTGGCTCATGCCTGTAATCCCAGCACTTGGGGAGGCCGAGATGGGAGGATTGCTTGAGGCCAGGAGTGCGAGACCAGCCTGGGCAACACAGCAAGATCCCATCTCTATAAAAAACAAAAACAAAAAACCAAGCAGTGACACAGGAAGAGAACGGGAGAGGCCTCGGAGTGGGCAGTCTGGAGGCGGGACCAGTGGACAGATGGCTGCAATAAAGCAGGCTACTTTCCTCTATTTTTCCTGAAAGGGAGGGGACAGGGACCACTACACTCAGAATTAAAACCAATATTAGGCTCTCCAACTTCCTCCAAGGATGCTTAGGTATTTAACCCAAATATGAGTGTCACGGAATGGAAGAATGGACTTGCACACTAAATTCAACCCTCCCTGGCCTCCTCTCCTCTCATTTTCTCTTTAACCTGGCATCGCCCTTGGAGGAAAAGAAGCCAAAAACCAGTAGGGTCTCTTTTCTTCTTGCTGGAAAAGGACAGATGAAATAGAACAGAGAATCGATGCCACTGTTATTCCTTTAAATGGACCTTGAGCGCGTGTTTGGAGGTTCTAGCAGGGGAGCGCAGCTACTTGTACACCCTTGACCGAAGACCAGTCCTCCTCTATCAGGGATGGTCATCCTCTTCAACCAAGTGTGCAGCTTCGGGAGGGACGCCCATGGAGTGGTGAGGGAGGAAGGGGACACCCGCCTAGCCAGCCCGATCAGCCAAGTCAACCCTGGCAATCAGTGGGGTGACCTCACCTCCTGTTATTCCTTTGAAATGCTCCAAGATAATTTAAAGTTGAGTGAAATACAGCTCCAAATTGGATAACTGTAAAAGAGGAGATATATCTCTATATAGATATATATATCTATATCTATATATATATATCTATATAGAGATATATCTATATCTAGATAGTTATAGATAGTAGATAGATAGATAGATAGATAGATAGATAGATAGATAGATAGACAGACACCTGTCTTTTAGATTCAGGGTGTGTATAGATAGATATCTGTCTGTATCTATCTATCTATACACACCCTGAATCTAAATGACACTGTCAGGTTATCTACAGGATGGGCAGGCTCTCTGCTGCATGCTATGCACATAGATAAATATCAACTAATTGAGTTTTATGGTCCAGTTGAACTGGACATGTTTGTATAGACATGGTTATTGCTATTCAAAATCCAAGATAAATACTCTGAAGAATAGTTCCTCAAAGGAATTGTTATGATACAACAGAAACACTAAAAGAGAATTTTAAAATCACTTTAAAAAGCAACGGGAAAATAAACATTAAAAACTCAAATAATAAAAGTGATGTAGAATAAATATTATTTCTCTCCTTGAGTCCACATATATTTATTTCTTTACCTAGGCAACTCTATGAAATAGACCAAATGAAAAGGTATAGATATATGTAAAAAAATTTCCCAGAAATGAGGTACATGAATTTTTCTTTTCTTTTCTTAGAGACAGGGTCTCACTCTGTCACCCAGGCTACAGTGTAAATGGTGAGATTCATTGTAACCTCAACCTCCTGGGCTCAAGCGATTCTCCTGCCTGAGCCTCTGGAGTAGCTGGAACTACAGGCATGCAACACCACACCTAGATAATTTTTTTATTTTTATTTTTTTGTAGAGACGGGGTCTTGCTGTGTTGCCCAGGCTAGTCTCAAACCCCTGGGCTCAAGTGATCCTCCCACCTTGGCCTCCCAGAGCACTGGAATTACAGGCATGAGCCACTGCATCCAGCCAAGTGTATGAGTTTCTAGACCGAAAGAGCTCAAAGAACCCCGCACATTGAATGGAAACGGATTCACGTGGAGAGTCCTCATTACAAGATATTCAGAAAACTGAAGACCAAAAGGAGTCCATGAGCTACATAAGGGATGAAGACTCGAAACAGCATCAGATTCCAATGGCCAGACATCTATCAAGATAACACTGACAAAGAATCCTAAGGTATTTGAACATACTCAACAGAAATGGACTTGATTAGGGGAATACTTAGGACCAGGATTTTGACAAGCATGAGAAGACATCATACTTTTTGTTCATTGTCCTAGTCCATTTGGGCTGCTATAAAAGCACCATATAAACCAGGTGGCTTATAAACAAGGAACACTTTTATTTTCCACAATCCTGCAGGCTGAAAGTCAGAGATCAGGAGGCCAGTGTGGTTGGGATCTGGTAGTCCTGGATTCTTCTGGACTGCAGACTGCTCCCTGTAACCTCACATGGTGAAAGGGAAGGACACTAATCCCATTCATGAGGGCTCCACCCTCATGACCTAAGTACCTCACAAAGGCTTTCCCTCCAAATACCACATCACCTTAGAGTTAGGATTTCGACATGTACGTTTAGGGGGACACAAACCTTCAGTCCATAATGCTAAGCTTACACGGTGAGGTCACAGGGCTTGGCAGGAGGCTGCTTGAGAGCAAACCTTGGCTCTGCTCCCTGACTATTTGGTTGGACACTATCAATCTGCCACTTTATTTACAGCTAACAGTTATCTGGAAAGCAGGAATTCTCTTGCTCTAATCTCTAGCTACTGCTTTGTGTAAGGCTGTATGCTAATCATCTTGTTGAGTGAAGTACCAGAAGGGTGACTGATCATTCCAGGGTTAGGAATCCATGTCAACATATATTGATGTTTTCTTCACTTTATTTGACTTCAGCTCATTTTGCAACATCCTTGAGGTAAGGGATTCCCTTATACCAGCAGTCACATACTTCAGTATCAATGACTCATGTCCTCCAGTCAATTCTTTCAGTATATAATATTTGGCTTAAAGCAAACTAAGTTGTTCTCATGTTTTAAAGAGTCTGAGAAAGAAATGGTTCTTAAAACTGGGGATACTGAAATTGAAACCCAGTGATGTTTGGCAAGCTTCCATCAAGCACATTCCTGTCTGAAATATATATAAGCCCTGGAGTTTTTCTTTTAATGTGAGACAGGTTATTTTCTCGGGAGATGTTTTGCCTAGAGAAGAAAAGATTAAAGGAAAGACATGATAAATGTTTTCAAATACTTAGAGGGCTGCCATGTGGAAAAAGGAGGTGAGTTTATTCTCTGTAGTTCCACAAGGCAGCCCTGGGAACAGAGAAGAGCAGTTGGAGGGAGGCATATTTTAGCTCCAGAGGAATAAATGGCTTCCTTTTATGGAGAAAACTCCGCAAACCTTCAAGTGGTTAAGCAGAAGAGCCTCCTGCACAGGGGTAGGCTCCTGGTTCAGAGCCTCAAAGCTCCCTTCTACTAACATTTCTCTGTTCCCAAATGTGAATTTCCAGTGGATCACTCATGGAGGCGGTGTTATGAGCTGAACTGTGTCCCCCACAAAATTCACATTTGAAGTCCTAACTCCCAGTACTTGAGAAAGTTACTGCATTTGGAGACAGGGCCTTTAACGAAGTGACTAAGTTAAAATGAGGCCATTAGCCTGGGCCCTAATAAGAACAGGAGTCCTGGCCGGGTGTGGTGGCTCACGCCTGTAATCCCAGCACTTTGAGAGGCCAAGGCGGGCTGATCACTTGAGGTCAGGAGTTCGAGACCATCCTGGCCAACATGGTGAAGAGTAGAACCCCGTCTCTACTAAAAATACAAAAATTAGCCAGGTGTGGTGGTGCAAGCCTGTAATCCCAGCTACTCAGGAGGCTGAGGCAGGAGAATTGCTTGAAACCCAGAGGTGGAGGTTGCAGCGAGCCGAGATCGCGCCACTGCACTCCAGCCTGGGTGACAGAGCGATACCGTGTCTCAAAAAAATTATAAGAACAGGAAATTTGGACACACCAAGAGACCAGGAATGTGCATGTGCACAGAGGAAAGACCATGTGACGATACAGTGAGAAGGCGGCCGTCTGCGAGCAAAAGAGAGAGGCCTCAGGAGGAACCAAACCTGCAACACCAAGATCTCGGACCTCCAGCCTCCAGAACTGTGAGAAAATAAATTTCTGTTGTTTGAACCACCAGTCGAGTATTTTGTCATGACAACCTTAGCAAATTAATACAGGGGGATAATGACCTTATGCCTGCGGTTGGTCTAAATATTGCACGTCCATGTTAAGACACATGAAAGCAACCAGTTCACTCAATTAATTCAATCTAGCACATAGCACTTTTCACCTGAATGACTAATGCATGCACTGGTTAACACTAGAGGTCGGAGGAAAACTACCTGATATCAGGCTATACTGATACTTGAAGTAAAGAGCAATTTGAAAACAATTCGAAGCATGATATGCAGGAATAAATCTTGATTAACAGGCTAAACAGTTGTTGAATTTTAAGCCCAGAGAATATATCTTCAGACATTATCAAAGCATCCTTTTCTATATGATATGGTTTGTCTGTGTCCCCACCCAAATCTCATCTTGACTTGTAGTTCCCATAATCCCCATGTTTAATGGGAGGAACTCAGTGGGAGGAAATTTAATCATGGGGGCAGTTACCCTCATGCTGTTCTCATGATAGTGAGTGAGTTCTCATGAGATCTGGTGGTTTTATAAGGGGTTCTTCCCCCTTTTGCTCGCCACTTCTCCTTCCTGCTGCCATGTGAAGAAGGATGTGTTTGCTTCCCCTTCCGCCATTATTGTTAAGTTTCCTGAGGCCTCCCCGCCCCTGCAGAACTGTGAGTCAATTAAACCTCTTTCCTTTATAAACTACCCAGTCTTGGGCAGTTCTTTATAACAGTGTGAGAATGGACCAATACACTATAATACAGGGACATCATGCTCTAGACTATATCATTGCCTTAATCATGTAAAAGTTACTATAAATTAGGTGACACTGAAATTGTTTTACACTCAAGGTGAGTCAGTCCTTGAGAAAATGCCTAAAAGATTTTCATTCCATAAATAAAACAGCCACTACAGTCTGAATGTTTGTGTCCCTCCCCACAAAAAATTTCATATGTTGAAACCTAATCACCAAGGTGATGATATTAGAGGGTGGGGCCTTTGGGAGGTGATCAGCCTCAGGATGGAGCACTCATGAATGGGATTAGTGCCCTCATATAAGAGGCTTAAGGGTGTTTGTTTGTCCCCTCTGCCCTTCTGCCACATGAGAACACATAGGTGGCACCATCCAGAGAAAGTGGGACCTCACAAGACTCTGATTCTGTTGGTGCCTTGATCTGGGACTTCCCAGCCTCCAGAACTATAAGTAATAAATTTCTGTTGCTTATAAATTACCTGGTCTAAGGTATTTTGTTACAACAGCCTGAACGGACTAAGACACAGCTAAAATAATTGCATGTCTCCATTAGTGGCTTAGTTACAATCAGAGAGCCACTCCTTGTGGACCACCTCAGTCCCTTCAAGGAAAAGGGCCTAAATCTTTTTTTTTTTTTTTCTTGAGACAGAGTCTCACTCTGTTGCCCAGGGTGGAGTGCAATGGTGTGATCTCGGCTCATTGCAACCCTCGCCTACCGGGTTCAAGCGATTCTCCTGCCTCAGCCTCCCGAATAGCTGGGACTACAGCTGCATGCCACCATGCCGGGCTAATTTTTGTATTTTTAGTAGGACGGGGTTTCACTATGTTGCCCAGGCTGGTCTCGAACTCCTGACCTTGTGATCCACCCACCTCAGCCTCCCAAAGTGCTGGGATTACAGGCGTGAGCCACTGTGCCCAGCAGAAAAGGGCCTAATTCTTAGACTGTTACTTGGGCAAGCCTACAGGCTGACTTGCCTGGCTCCTTCTCAAATGGGCCAGAACATGGACCCAATTTGAAAGTGGACTTGAGTGGCCTCCGAACTATAGAGATTTATAGGTAACATCTCCAAGGCTGACTGAAAATCTTTAGGGCAAGCAGCTATGGCATTTACCAACTTCTTTCCCCCATCCCTGGCTATAACCAATCCCTATTACATAGTCCTGACCGCCAGTCATTCAGCAGAACACATATGGGGGGATGAGAGGATGACGTTTAGTGGCCACATTTGTGAAGGGATTTATCTTATTCTTTGACACCAAGAGGATTATGTTTCAAGATATTTTTGAATAAAATTCCCCCCTTGAACTTTTTGTTTAATTAAATTAAAACTTCAAATATAGAAAATGGCTTTTAAGATCAGATTAGAGGCCGGGTGCGGTGGCTCATGCCTGTAATCCCAGCACTTGGGAGGCTGAAGTGGGTGGATGACTTGAGGTTACGAGTTTGAGACCAGCCATGGTCAACATGGCAAAACCCCATCTCTACTAAAATACAAAAATTAGCTGGGCGTGGTGGTGCACGCCTGTAATTCCAGCTACTCAGGAGCCTGAGGCATGAGAATTGCTTGAACCCAGGAGGCAGAGGTTGCAGTGAGCTGAGACTGCACCACTGTACTTCAGCCTGGGAGAGTTCGGAGACTCTGTCTCCGAAAAAAAAAAAAAAATTAGAAAAGCCATAAAAGTATTTTTATAAAAAGGCATAACGGAATTACCAAGTGGATTGCTGCCTGCTTCAGGTCGCTTGGGTGTCTTCATTAGCTAATCCACTATTTCATTTTTAGTACCCATATAACTAGTCATATTGATATTAGCCACAGAATTTCGGAGATGGGTGGGGATGCTCATTTCATAGATGAAAACTGACTTGCAATGAGATAAAGAAATGTATTCAAATCAAGATCACGCAAAAAGTAGTAATTAAAGCAGTCTTAGCCGTGTCTAGCGCCCTAGAATTAGTTGATTTACGAAGGGGAGAAAGGGTGAACAGAAGTCTTGCTGTCCTTCTTCCTCACTCCTTTTGTTAAGTCAGAAGGAAAAAAAGTTCACTGCACTGTCAGACTTGAATATAGTTCAGAGAAAAACATCTTGACTGCTGATTACAGGAAAATAAATCTCTGTTTCTTTAAGGATGAAGGCAGTGAAATATTTGGACCAGAAATTTGTCAATGACATAAGTAATTTCAGTGCAGCCACACTAAAAACAATTGCTGCAGAGCAGGAGAATGAATTAAAACCAGTTCCCAGAAATCGCATAGCATAGTACTTTTACCTAAGTTCAAGGCCTATTTTGTGTGTGTTCCCTCCAGTCTTCAAAACATTACAAAACAGGATACAGCTTGAGAAAATGTCATGCAATAATATTGTATTTGAAATACCAAAGTGTGTGCAAGGGGACCCCTCTCTTTATCTATTGGGCACTTGTGTTTGATAGCGTTACTAGGAATCCACATTTAATCACGTGCAGGTCAGGGTCCTATTTCATGTTTCCAGGCAACACCTGGCTAACCAACAGCAAGCACCTGTGAGAACCCAGCATGGTGCGATCCTGGAAAGGGTCTGGCTTTGTCAGTGCTGATGCAACAAAGGAAAGAGAGCCTTGGATAAAATGTACAAAGCCGCAGTCTTTAAGCAGGAAATGAATTGATACAGAGTTAAAGCCAACAGCTCCTCCTCACCTAGATGATTATAAATGTAATACTGTGAACTCCAACTGAAAACTGTGTCTTCATTTATTCATATATTTGCTGAGCGCTACCTCTGTTCCAGCTACTGGTCCAGGCTCAGAGGATTCAGCACTGAACTAAACAGCCCCCCTCACCCCATCTCCTGCCATGGACCACCCTCCGAATCCCCATCCCAAGAAAACTCTGCCCTCATGATTCTTTTTTTTTTTTTTTTTTGGAGACAGAGTCTCCCTCTTGTAGCCTAGGCTGGAGTGCAGTGGCACGATCTCGGCTTACTACAACCTCCAGCTCCCGGATTCAAGCGATTCTCCTGCTTCAGCCTCCCAAGTGGCTGGGACTACAGGCGCCCGCCACCACGCCCGGCTAATTTTTTTGTATTTTTAGTAGAGACGGAGTTTCACCGTGTTAGCCTGGATGGTCTGGATCTCCTGACCTCGTGATCCGCCCACCTCGGCCTCCCAAAGTGTGGGGATTACAGGCGTGAGCCACCGTGCCCGGCCGTCCTCATGATTCTTATATTTTATTTTATTTTTTGAGACAGGGTCTCAATCTGTTGCCCAGGCTGGTACAGTGGTGCAATCATGGCTCACTGCAGCCTCAAACTCCTGGGCTCAAGTCAAGCGATCCTCCCACCTTAGCCTCCCAAGCAACTAGGAATACAGGCGTGCACCACCACGTCCAGCTAATTTTTTTAAACGTTCGTAGAGACAAGGGTCTCACTATGCTTCCCAGATTGGTCTCGAACTCCTGGGCTCAAGTGATCCGCCCTCCTCGGCCTCCCAAAGTGCTGGGATTACCGTTGTAAGTCACCGCACCTGGGCTTGATTCTTATATTTTAGCCAAAGTGTGGGTGAGAGACAGATGTCAAATGCCAGATGTTAACAACTGGTGTAGAGAAAAGGAAAGGAGGAGTGGAGGGCTGTAATGTGGGTGACAGGCACTTCTAACAAGATACCAATGATGTCACAATTTGAAAACTGAAATAGAAAAGGAATCAAATCATAAAAATATTCCTTCTGGGCAGAGAAAGCAGCCTCTTGCAGAGGAAACAGGTATGGGGTGGGGGAGTCATCTTTGAAGAGGCTCAGAGCAGGTCTTAGGGTGCCTACTATACAGATAAAGTTATTAAATGTTCAAAGCAAAGAAGAACGACTTTTAACTCAGAATGGATTTTCTGTAAGGTAACAAGATCTTTAGGGAGGGCTGGGATTATCTGGCGGTAATCTTTCGGCCTTTCTGTTTCCCAGAGGAACTGTACACCAGGAGCTGGTGGGTTCAAATGGCAAATTTAATAAAAGCAGACGATGACATTAAGCGCCATTAGAAAAATGAAATTCTCTAAAGTGTTGTATTTGTTACTATATCTGGGGGAAAATACTCAGATGTAGAAAAGTGGAATCCTGTAAAACGTTAAGAAATACATCCCCTCAAAGACTTCTGCTTTAAGTGACAGCATTTTGAGGGTTTTTGTTTCTCATTTT
This sequence comes from Homo sapiens, assembly GCF_000001405.40. Taxonomy (NCBI): domain Eukaryota; kingdom Metazoa; phylum Chordata; class Mammalia; order Primates; family Hominidae; genus Homo; species Homo sapiens. The sequence goes on along the minus strand of NC_000006.12, from coordinate 151,311,528 downwards.
TCCCCGGGGGTGGGGGGTGTGATCACAGCTGGTGTCACAGTGGCGGTCCACGTGCACACACCGGGAGCCGCCTCTATACCGTTATCTGATTAGTGTAACAAGGCCTGGTTCATCTGGTCACTGGCTGACAGTTTTAAAGCAGCTAGCCCCAGAGTGGCAAATGCCAAGGTCAGAGCACCCAGCTGCTTCCTGCTCCATTGCTGCTGGTGTAAATATCCTCAACTCTGGGTACACAAGAGGTGTGAACAGAAATTACTTAAGGCTGGCTGTGGTGGCTCACTTCTGTAGTCCCAAGACTTTGGGAGGCTGACGTGGAAGGAAGCTTGAAGCCAAGAATTTGAGACCAGCCTGGGCAACATGGCAAGAACCTGTTTCTACAAAAGCATTTTAAAGAACTATCTGGCGCAGTGGCACATGCCTCTAGTCTTAACTACTGGGAAGGCTGAGCCAGGAGGATCACATGTGCCCAGAAGTTTGAGGCTACGTCGAACCATGATTGCACTACTGCACTCTGACCTGGGTGACAGAGCAAGGGCCTCTTTAAAAAAAAAACTTTCTAAAGCTAAGGAAAAGATTGCCATTGTCTGTTTGCTCACAGAAACAAATGTGACCTGTGAAGGTTGGAGAAAAGCTGGTTTTCACATGCTTTAAAATGTTTGCTGTACGTACTCTGCAGAGACGCAAATCTCAAAAAGAAAACAAATAACTGCATTGTAAGTGATTAATTCAAATGGATGAAGACCTGAGATAATCACTGGATTACTTGTATATGGCAATGAGTTTTGCAGACACTTTATTTCAAAATCAAATATGCTATTATCAAAATAAATAAGGTGTTGCTTTTTGAGTAACTGATTTTCCTCAACTGTTCGGGGAAAAAAAAATCATCTGCCTAACAGATACTAAGATTGAATTTCACGTTTAAATTTCAAAGTTGTTCTAATTACCAAAAGTTAAAAAAAATATAGAGACAGGGTTTCGCCACGTTGGCTGATCTCAAAATCCTGGACCCCAGCCTCGACCTCCCCAAGGGCTGTGATTACAGGCGTGAGCCACCGCCCCCAGCCTGCAAAACTTTTAAATCTAAAATTGGTCTCAGCCCAAGATACAATGTTTTAAAAATCATTCCTGTTTGGGTTTCTGTTTTGTTTTTGTTTTTTTTTTGAGATGGAGTTTCGCTCTTGTTGCCCAGGCTGGAGTGCAGTGGCGTGATCTCAGCTCACTGCACCCTCCGCCTCCGGGTTCAAGCGATTCTCCTGCCTCAGCCTCATGAGTAGCTGGGATATCAGGCATCTGCCATCCACGCCCAGCTAATTTTTTGTATTTTTAGTAGAGACGGGGTTTCACCATGTTGGCCAGGCTGGTCTGGACCTCCTGGCCTGAGGTGATCCACTCGCCTCGGCCCCCCAAAGTGCTGGGATTACAGGTGTGAGCCACTGCACCCAGGCTCTTGTTTGGGTTTTTAACAAAGAGAAGACCGTACAAGCCATAGACTATAAAACGATTGATAATTTGGGTTGCGGAAAGGGAGCTTTTCTTTTTCTTTTTTTTTTTTTCATCTTTTCGGTAGAAGCAGATTTGCCCCAAACCAATGGCACTTGTGCAGTCTCTGTGAATGCTGGGAACAGCACAGCATGACAGCACTTTTTAGTTAGGGAGAGGAAGCCCAGTTGCATTTCTATATAAGCTGTTTGTATAAACTGAAAATCCCAAAGCTCAGAAGAAAGGGACTGCTCGCCAAGGCTAAGGTAATTAGTTGTGTTTATTTTCATTATAAATAAATGTTTGTGTCCATGCCTCATTGTGTATGCTCTTATAGAAGTCCACCAAATGACATAATCAAGCCCCCTCCCCAAATCTACATATATCAGACCCTGCTGTAGAGTTTAGACAATATTTATATGCGGTTCCTTCTTTCTAACATTTAAGAAAGTTTACAAAGAAGCAGAATTCTGTTTTCATTATAGGAGGAGGGTTGGTTCTGAACTACCAGTATTTCCAGTTTTAGAAAGAGCAAGTGAATCAAAATGGGAAAAAAAATTTCACCTCTAGCTTTGTCTGCCACTGTAAAGTAAAAACCCTCCAGTAGGAATGGCCCTTGTTCATTATTTTCTCCCATCAGTTGATCTTGCTATTTTATCTACAGCAGGACCAAATTCCACTGTGGGCCAGTCCTCCCAGGGACCAAAATGGGTCAGTTCTCTTCTTATTTAAGTGGACAGTGGTAGAAACAAAGGTGTCCCAAATCCTACAGGTCAGTGTCACATGCCAAATTATGCCTTTGTCTATCCTACAGCAAACTGTCATATAGAATTCTGATTTCTGGAAGCAACCATAAAGCCTAATCATGAGCGAGCCGGGCACGGTGACTCAAGCCTGTAATCCCAGCACTTTGGGAGGCCGAGGCAGGCGGATCACCTGAGGTCAGGAGTTCGAGACCAGCCTGGCCAGCATGGTGAAACCCCATCTCTACTAAAAATACAAAAATTAGCCAGGCGTGGTGGTGCATGCCTGTAATCCCAGATACCTGAGAGGCTAAGGCAGGACAATTGCTTGAACCCGGGAGATGGAAACTGCAGTGAGCCAAGATCACGCCACTGTACTCCAGCTTGGGTGACAGAGCAAGACTCCGTCTCAAAACAAAACTAAACAAAAACCTAACCATGAGCTGTCACTGATGTCAAAAGCACGGAAAAATGCTGTTTAATAAGTTAACACGAAGATTCTGTCTGTATTTACATTGTCAGGCTATTAATTATCATCTGCCAGGCAGAAAAAAATAGAGAAAGAAAAAAACAGAAGGAGTATGCCAAGTTGCCACAGAGAACCTAATAAACCAAGAGAATAGCAGTTGGACCTAAAACAGCAAAAGCTCACCCCAAAAGTAAGGCCTCCAGAAACACCTCTGGTGGGTAGCCTCTGTAGCCCTGGGCTATGGTATGGAGGCACATCTAGTTCTTTTTTCCTAGAGGTCAAGGCCTTTTCAAGATCTTGGGAAGGACAAGGTATATTAATTGGCTGGTCACGGTGGCTCACGTCTGTAATTCCAGCACTCTGGGAGGCTGAGGCGGGCGGATCACTTGAGGTCAGGAGTTCAAGACCATACTGGCCAACATGGTGAAACCTTGTCTCTACTGAAAATACAAAAGTTAGCTGGGCATGATGGCAGGCACCTGTAGTCCCAGCTACTCAGGAGTCTGAGGCAGGAGAATCACTTGAACCTGGAAGACAGAGGTTGCAGTGAGCCGAAATCATGCCACTGCACTCTAGCCTGGGTGATACAGCAAGACCCTGTCTCAAAATAAACAAACAACAACAATAACAAAAAATGTATAGTAATTACCACTCTTCCACAGCTGGGCGTGGCGGCTCACACCTGTAATCCCACCACTTTGGGGGACTGAGGCAGGCATATCACTTGAGGTCAGAAGTTCGAAACCAGCCTGGCCAACATGGTGAAACCCCATTTCTACTAAAAATACAAAAATTAGCCAGGTGTGGTGGCACGTCCCAGCTACTCAGGAGGCTGAGGCAGGAGAATCACTGGAGCCGGAGGCGGGGGATGTGCGCGGGGAGGCAGATGTTGCAGTAAGCCGAGCTCAAGCCACTGCACTCCAGCCTGGGCGACAGAGTGAGACTGAGACACCATCTCAAAAAATAAAAAATAAAAATCACCACCCTTCCTGCATGGGGGATTTGATATTTGCTCAGACCTCCGAGGCCATGGTCAGAAGCCTAGGTCACCTCAGGGAGACGATGGAATAGTCACAGGGGAGGGACTGAATCACTCACTGTGAAAATCAGTGTTTACCCACGTGGCTGAAATGTAAAAGAAATCACATCTGGACTATGGTAAGATAACCTTAAGACCTCCAGTAAACATGCCACAGATTAAAAAAGAATTTCCAGGCTATTTGGGATTCTATGAAAAAAACTGTGTCCCTGCCCCATCCCTCCCTCCTCTTATACATCCTACAGATCACCTAAGTCAGACAAGAAGCCTCCGGCACCCCTTTGGTGGCATAGTTCAGTGATCACACGTTGTCCACTAAATACTTTCTAAACTCCACTCTGCTTTCAGGGCCCTGTTATCTGGCCCCTTTTCCCTTCTGGGCTTTCATTCTACACCCTTCAATAAAAACTCTTTGCAGGGGCTAGGCTGTTCCAACACACCAGCCTCCGAACCTGCCCGGCACAGTGAGAGCACAGTGGTTAAGTGGTTTTGGAATCTGCTGATCTGGATTTGCATCTTGGGAACAATATCACCTACTTCATAGGGTTGCTGTAACTATTAAAGGTGATAACGCACAAAAGGCACCTCTCTGGGCCCTATAATAAAAGCACATAAAGTGTTGGCTGTTATTATTCTCCTCACTTTTGCTGACATTCCTTGTTTACACACATCTAAATCCAGCCTCCCCCTAATCTCCCCTCTCACCTCAAGTGACTGCTCCACCTGAACCCTGCAGCTCTCATCCCTTGCACAATTCATTTGGTAGTCACCAAGTTGCCTTGTCTTAACCTTACAGACTTGGTCATAGTAAGCTCACATGTTGCTGGTGCTTGACTTGATTCAAAAGTTAACATGGGAAAGACAAAGCTTTGGACTTGGGAATTTGAGTTGGGTCCATTCCAATCATTTGGGTGAAAATTATTTGAAACTCTCACACTAGGTCATGCAAATACTCCGCCTGTGAGACTGTGTATATTTCTAACTTTATATTGTGCCTGTGGTGCTATATACAGATAAGTATTCCCACCAACTTCAAAAGCAGCTCCCTGCTTGAAGCAGCTCTGTGGGGGCATCAAACAAGAAGAAAAACAGGTTCCACATGTTTGAAGAATCTCATCTAAGTGAGGCGATGTTGAATCTCCTGTGAAAGGACTTTTCCCTTCATTTGTCTCTCTTATTCATATTACACGAATCAATTTACCGTATGCCGAATCATCATTTTACATATATTTGATAGCAGTTATTGGTTATCCCTTTATTTATAATTAAATGGAACAACGAGCTCAAGGTCCTTCTTCAACATGCAGCCTTTCGCTTTTCACAAGAGACTTACTGGGCCACATGCTCTCAATTCTGACCTCAAGATACGGTTCCTCACCCCCTATATGGGTAAAAATCAAATCCCAATACTGTGTCCAAACGGTCACTCTTCAATAACCATTCCTCGAAGATCTCTAGGCTCAAGAGCTATAAAACACGCAGCACATCATAGTTTAAGCAAAGAGGGGTACGTGCCTTGCAATGCGCCTATCAGAAAGAGTTGTACAAGTATAGCAGGCTCCTCTCTAGAGGGAGAGATAATGACTCTTTTAAAGCAACCATGACTTCTGTTTCCAACAAGAATTCACATTCAACTCCAGACAAGCAGTTGGGACAAAGCAACAATAATTTAAAAAGCATCAAGTTCCAGATAAGAAAAAGGAAACATAACTTCAAGGTCTAAGTATAGGGGGTATCCAAATGGTCAGATAAATACTTCCTTTTGTAACCAATTGATTGTTTTTGCTGTTAACACCAATCCACCACCAGGCAGTATGACAGAGTATTTTCTGCTGAGTCCAAAGTTTGTTGCAAGTGCTGTGTGCCTTCCAGTTCCTGGAGGGGCGGCTTACCCTCTGTGACAATGACTTCTTCTTCCTCCTGGCTGTTTAGGGCTCCTTGACCGTTCAGGGCTCCTTTCTGGCCATTTAGGTCACCCTCCTGGAGGCTGAGCTCATCTTGCTCAGCTACGCCATTGATGGTGGACAGCTGACCATTCTTCTGTAGGAGCTATGGAAAAGACAAAGCCATAGAAACTTAATTTCAGTCCTCATGACCAAGTCAGAAACAAGGCATTAACTTCCAGAATACAAACCAGTGAAAGAAGAAATACAGAGAAAAGGAAGTTCAAAAACAATGAAGAGTTAAGTCTTATATTTGTCTGAAAGATCCAGCTACCTTACAAGCAGATAGGGCCTTGTATCTGGGTAAGTGTGCCCATCAGCCATTCATCCACTCATTAATTCATTCATTGGAACACCAGATACATACATTCACCTTTCCAGACCTATTTCAAATATAACCATGAAAAAATCAGATGTGTTTCCCAGAGCTTTGAGCTTACAAATTACTATGGAAGGCAGACTTAAAAACCTCTTTTTTACTTTAAAATAATAAATAATGTTTCCTTGTGATTAGATGCAGGTTAAGCATAATTGACTGAACAAGTCAGAAGGCAGACTTTTAAACAAATAATTACTAAACTGCAGCTGTGGAAACTGTCATGAAGGAGGCATACATAGAACAAATAACAATAAACAGAGCCCTTGAGAATGAATCAAGTAGGTTTTAAAAAAAAAAAAAAAAACAGCCCTGACTGAGGCTGGGGGTGTCCAGGACTTCTCTGAGGAAGCAATGGTAAAGCTGAGATCTCATTTCCACAGGCAAGGGCTGTGTAAGAAAAGGATAAACGGGGTGCAGAGAAGGGAGGCCGCTTGGCGCGAAGGCCAGTGCTCCCAGAGCCCAGCAAGCAAACAAGACACATATAACATGTCCATTTGGGTCATTGTTTTTTCCTTAAAAATATTACTACAATGGTCATTTGCAATCCTCCCCATAGGATGCCCTGTGCAACTGATGGCATCAGTTTCAAAATCAGCAGGCATGGCCGGGCGTGGTGGCTCATGTTTGTAATCCCAGCACTTTGGGAGGCCGAGGCGGGCAGATCACGAGGAGTTCAAGACCAGCCTGGCCAACATAGTGAAACCCCGTCTCTACTAATAATACAAAAAAATTAGCCAGGCATGGTGGTGCATGCCTGTAGTCCCAGCTACCTGGGAGGCTGCAGAAGGAGAATCACTTGAACCTGGAGGTGGATGTGGGAGGTGGAGGTTACAGCGAGCAGAGATTGAGCCACAGCACTCCAGCCTGGGTGACGGAGCGAGAAAAACAAAAAACAAAAATGAAAAAACCCACAAAATCAGCAGGCATGTAGGCATGCCCTTGGTCATATAATCCTTTTTTTTTTTTTTTTTTTTTTTTTTTTTTTGAGATGGAGTGTCACTGTTTCACCCAGGCTGAAGTGCAGTGGCGTGATCTCGGTTCACTGCAACCTCCAGTTCCCAGGTTCAAGTGATCTTCCTGCCTCAGCCTCCCACATAGCAGGGATTACAGGCGTGCACCACCATGCCTGGCTAATTTTTGTATTTTTAGTAGAGACGTGGTTTGCCATGTTGGCCAGGCTGGTCTCAGACTCCTGACCTCAAGTGATCCACCCACCTCTGCCTCCCAAAGTGCTAGGATTACAGGTGTGAGCCACTGTGCCCGGCTTGCTCTTGGTCGTATTTTTAATCCTGAGAATATAGGTAAAAAAATTTTAAGCCAATAGAAACAATAACCATTAGGAACCTAAATGTTTCAACAATGTAATATACAGCAATGTTATATATACAGATATCTCATTTATCTTAAAACCAACATAGGCAGCTGCTATTATTTCCATTTTATAATAATGACACCGGGACTCAAAGCAATTCTGGTGGGGTGGGGTTGTCTTGCCCCAGGTCACACAGCTCAGGAATGGGGGCATCATGGCCCGAAGCCAACTCTTGCCACCAACTATTTCCAGCGTTTTTCTGTTTGAGGCTCTCAACATAAAGATAGGTGCCATGTTTTGAAGGTCCTGTTACTACACACAATTATAAAGATAGGTGCCATGTTTTGAAGGTCCTGTTACTACACACAATTACAAAGATACGTGCCATGCTTTGAAGGTCCTGTTACTACACACAATTATAAAATGACTTAAAGGGTATTCCAGGTCTGGAACCGGTCTGGAAAAGGTCTGGTACAGACCTGCATGCTACAAAGCAATCTCAACTCTGCACTCCATCTGACATCATTCCATCCTGCTTCCAGGCCAATGAATGACTCTGGACTCACCACTGACTTAGACCCTGAACGCTGAAGGGACAGTGGGTTCAAGACACGCAATCCAGAAGCCTTAAGTTGTGCTAAATTGATTTCACCTGGCTGTTCTCGGCTCCCAGCAAGGCTGTCCTTCAACTGCATGAGCTTCCTCCTGAAATAATACCACTGTAGTTTAATACTTACACTACAGATGGGATTGTTGGCTTCAAAATGCCCATGCTGAGTCCATTTATTAAACAGAATACTCAGATTACATTTCCACTTAAAGTCTTCTCTTACCAAAATATGAAAGATGGGCATTTTAAATGAAACCTAAAGACAAAAGCAGGGGGTAGGGAATGGAGAAGGGGGCAGTGTGTCTCCACAAAGCCCATCTGCAAAAATGTCAGAGTATTTCTTTTTTTTATTTTTATTTTTGAGATGGATTTTCGCTCTTGTCCCCCAGGTAGTCCAATGGCATGATCTTGGCTCACTGCAACATCCGCCTTTTGGGTTCAAGTGATTCTTCTGCCTCAGCCTCCCGAGTAGCTGGGATTACAGGTGCCTGCCACTGCGCCCAGCTAATTTTTGTATTTTTAGTAGAGACGGGATTTCGTGTTGGCCAGGCTGGTCTCCAACTCCTGATCTCAGCTGATCCGCCCGCCTCAGCCTCCCAAAGTGCTGGGATTACAGGCATGAGCCACTGCGCCCAGCCAAATGTCAGAGTATTCTAACTAAATATCATTGAGTATGTACACAGGACTTAGATTTGATTAGTAACAGGAAGAAAAGTTGGGGGAGGAAAGCAGGAATCACATATTATCGTGGGCTACATGGTAACCCAGTGAATCTTAAACCTAGAAACTGTTGACATACACAGTTTCATGATATGGCAAACTAAACAGGGAACATAAAAAAGCCATCTTAATACCTCAATTTCAATGCAATAAACTTCGGTCAATTGTGCCTCTTATTTAGGAACCAGAACTCTGAAGTTCTATAGAGTTTAGGGTTCTACCAAGTACCTAAAATTATTGAAAAAATTCTTATAATCCTCTGTGAATTGCCCAATCCAAGGTATCTTTAGTTGGAGCCAAACTGAGTCTCTTTAAACATGAAGACTATAGCACACAGGCACAAATTTCCGTCTACTCTTTTAGAAATGTTACTGAGCCGGGCACTGTGACGTGCGCTGTAGTCCCAGCACTTAGGAGACTGAGGCAGGAGGATTGCTTGAGCCCAAAAGTTTGAGGCCAGCCTGGACAACATAGAGAGACCCTCGTCTCCAAATAAAAACATCATTTAAAAAAGAGATGTTACACCAGGCGCAGTGGCTCATGCCTTTAATCCCAGCACTTTGGGAGGCCGAGGCAGGCAGATCATGAGGGCAGGAGATCGAGACCATCCTGGCTAACATGGTGAAACCCCGTCTCTACTAAAAATGCAAAAAATTAGCCAAGTGTGGTGGTGTGCGCCTATAATCCCAGCTACTAGGGAAGCTGAGGCAGGAGAATCACTTGAACCTGGGAGGCGGAGGTTGCAGCGAGCTGAGATCACGCACTCCAGCCTGGGCAACAGAGGGAGACTCCGTCTCTTAAAAAAAAAAAAAGAAAAAAAAAAGAGATGTTACACACACATAGCAAAGTACATTAGATGATAAAAAGAAGGACCCTTAAAAACTGAGGTCAAATGCTACACATCCTTACATCCTAAGTATGATAATGAATACATTATGAGATACTAATTTTCAGTAACCACAGGGTAACTGTCCCTACTTGAGAAAGGCCGTAGATACATTATTAACTTCGGTAGAAAACGATTTATGACAGTGACGTTACTGAACCTGAGTTTTGAGTCTATTTTACTATGTGAATAGCTTGCGTCCCGCCAGGGTACCCAAGCTTTGACCTCAAGGGTGATGTCTCAGGTGAGCTTTCAGAGCCTATGAGGCACCAACATCCGCACAAAATGGGACTTCATTCCTAGTCAGATTGTCACATTCAGACATGTCCACACTTTTGCAAATCCCACGTGTTGTTAAAGATGGATAATTCCCTTTATTTCACTCCAAATCAAAAGTGTTTTTGTTTTTTCTTCCATCCCCAAACCGTCTAAATAAGTCATACCGTTGTTAAAAATTCACGGACTTCTGAGAGTTATCAATAAGTTAAAGTCACCTCAAATAGAGGAAATCAAACCTACATTCATTTAAGTCTTTTCTGTGTTTTCTACGTGTGTATATATACAGGCACAAGCATTCACTTAAAAAATAATGGGGAACACGTGTTATTTTATGACCTGATGGTTTCATACATTGTGGGTACATTTCTTTATTAATAAACACGCACCTTGCTTAACTTCAATCAGTCTCTCCTGTCTGCAACTCAAATGGCCACAGAAGACAGGATTTACACACAGCTCTGCCCAGAGAGACCCTGAAAGATGCAGACACAACATAGTGGCACATGGGACAGGAGGCGGTGGAACCAGATGGGATTCATTGGAGCCAGATGGGATTCGAGGACCACCCATTTCAGGGAGGAAAGTAATACTGGGACTTAACTGTTACCAAACAAGAAAGAAGGAGGAAATGTATATTTCACTTTTTCCACTCCGAAGCTTCCTCGCATAGCTTTATCCCTCCACCCTGAACTTAGTTTTATAAATAGTTATTTCTTTTGAGATGAGAACTAGACTTGAAAGACACGCTCCTTACACTTAAACATGGTAAGCACCAGAAAACCTATTTTCCCACTGGATTTGTGCTTCAAAAAGCACAAATGCCTCCTTTGAACAAATCAAAACCCTAAATGTTTTCAAGCTTATATCCTTTGAGTGGGTCAGCCAGAGTTTATTCCCATGAAGTATTACCACATTACAACTAAACAAGCTGTTAAAAAAAAAAAAGACCCTAAAAACCTCAAATGTTTCCAGCAACAGTGTTTTCCTCTCATTTCTGTAAGAACAACAACCAAGAATGTCCAAGTGGTAGCCAAGGCACCACAGAAAAACTAGGAGACTTCTCCATCCACTTCCTTCTCCACAGGAGTCCACAACGTGCTAGGGACCTCCTTTGCAGAGTAAGAAACAGGAGTACCAGGCTGTTTAATGAAGTTGTGAAATGATGAGCCCTTGACAGCTGTCAGGATGCCAGGGGCAGAGGAGGTAAGCCAACCAAAGCAACCCTTTTCACTGCAGAAGTGATACTCCCAGATCTACATCCTCATTGGACGACCGGGTGCAAGTGGCCCAGCACTCCTGCAGTTCACACAGTAGACGAGGCTCCAAAGGGGCAATTCGTCCCACCCCGGGCAGTATGACCAAGAAGCAAACCTGTAAGTGGCCTTCGTGGGAAGGAACCAGAAGCCAATATAACCAGGACACACCCACAAATGATCAAATCATCAGACTTAAAGATTATCTGGAAGGAATTTTAAATCCCACGACAAAACTTGTAAAGAAACCTCTTCATTGTGTTTTCTCCTTCATTCTAATAGAAAGTGTTTTGAAAGTAAATCTTTAAAAATGTCAAACAAAAAAAATAAAAACCAGAGTACAAATCAGTAAACAATATCCCTGGAAGGCAATTTGGAAATAGGGATAGAATTTTAAATACGCAAACCCATTAGCTACACCATGCCATTCTAATAGATATGGCATTACATATTTATGAGGTGCAACACATAATAACTTATAATAGGGTTGGGCGTGGTGCCTCATGCCTATAATTCCAGCACTTTGGGAGGCTGAGGCAGGAGGATGGCTTTAAGCCAGGAGTTTGAGACCAGCCTGGGCAACAAACTGAAACCCAGTCTCTACAAAGGAAAAATAAATAAGTAATAAATACTTCATAATAGCAAAAAAAAAAAAAACCCTTAAATGTCTATCAGTAGAGGGGAGTAGTTAAATTATGAAATGTTCATGCAATAGACAACATCAAAAGCTATGAGGTAGATTTAGACACACTCATGTGTGAAGATGTCCCTGGCTTAAGGGGGAAAAGAAGCAAGTTGCTGAGAATGATTCTTTTATGTGTTTAAAACCAAACTAAACAAAAATAACCCACTGACAAAGAGGGAGAGGAAGAGGAAAAGGGAGAGAGAAAAGGAGTCAATGTTTGTGTAAGCATTTTTTTTAAAGTCTGGAACAATATGTACCAAATCTTTAATAATGGTTACCTCTATGGCATTGTTGTTGTTTGGTTTTATCCTCTTAGAGGGAAATTGGGAGAACAGACACGGTTTCCTTTTTACTCACTTTATCACTGTAGAAGTGAAAATACATTGAACCCTAAAACTCATAGATTCTTAGGCTTCAAGCATGTTAATAACCTTGCTTGCCAGGGTTCATAAATCTTTTAAGATCATCTAGGCCAACAGGCCACACTGCTGGAGCTTTAACTCCTCTGTTTATATCATCTCCAAATGTAAATAACATATTAATGTCCTCAGCTAAGCCATTCATCAAAAACATTGAACGGGACGGAGCCAAGCATATCACAGTTCTACAGCAGGCCACTACAGGCTCCTGACAGAGAACACATGTATCCTATGCATTATGTACCCATTTCACAAGTGTGTTTCATATACATTTGCTTCCGCCTTAAGGAAGTTACTTTCACGACCTTGAGCACATTTCTTACCTCCCTCATATCTTCCCCATTCTCTGTAAAATGGAGTTAAGAATTCATTTTTAGGCTGGTCCGATGGTAGTGGGTTATCAGAAATTAACATCAGTGTTACTAAAGTCGGTATACAACCCTACACTGCTAAACTTGACTGGCTTTTAAAAAGAAAAAAATTTTTTCATTTTTCTCTCTTGTTTTTTTTTTTTGAGATGGAGTCTCACTCTGTTGCCCAGGCTGCAGCATAGTGGTGCCATCTCGGCTCACTGCAACCTCCGCCTCCTGGGTTCAAGTGATTCTCCTGCCTCAGCCTCCCAAGTAGTTGGGATCACAGTCAAGTGCCACCACGCCTGGCTAATTTTTTTGTATTTTTAGTAGAGACGGGGTTTCACCATGTTGGTCAGGTTGGTCTCGAACTCCTGACCTTAAGTGATCCACCCGCATTGGCTTCCCAAAGTGTTGGGATTACAGGTGTGAGCCACCTCGCCTGGCCAAGAATTCATTTTTATATACCTCAAAGAATATTGGAAACATCACCAGGAACATATTAAGTTCTTAATAAGTCAACTATTAACATAAATTTTAGCTGTCTTTGTTATACTATTTGTTCTCAATAATTGTGGTCTTGGGAATTACTTGTTCCATGCCTGCGTTCTTCTCTAAAATGAAAGCTCTGGGAGTTATTACCTGTGTCCTTCCTGCTCTGCACTCAACAATAACACCTGGCAAATGGCAAAGGCATCTAATCCTTCTGATTTTCTAGGACTGGGCAGGACAAAGCGGGTAAAGGTGGTTTATATAAAGATCTAAATGGACGAGGGCCGCCTGTGATTTTTCTTTTCTTTTCTTTTTTAAACTATAGAAAGCATGGGGGAAACAGAAGACAGCACAGCACATACAACGTCTTGGTTAGAGTCCAAGCTCCTCTCAGCTATGGAACTTTACTCTGAGCTCATCTTCCCAGTTACAAACTGAGACTAATACTATCTCTGTTTTTGGATTGTGTGAGATTCAAATGAAACCGTATTGGGGGAAATTCTCTTTCTAAATAGAAAAGCACTCAGCAGCCATTTTATGAGACTTGGTCCATTTGATCAAATCAAGGTCCACGTGCTATCCCAGTACTTTCCACCCCTTATCTCACACTACGGTCACCTTTTATAAATGGTCCTCATGTTTCTGTTAAGGAGGGTTTCAAAGGAGGCAGCATTTGGCTTGAGTCTGAGATGTGAAATGAAAAGGGAATCCAACAAAATTAGAAACAGCTCGGTAGAGGCGACACATCTCACTACATCCCAGGACACACATTCACACGGGGCTGCACCTCAAGACATGGGTACGGCTACACGTAACATGGCCATAGCCTTGAAATCACAGACTTGCACACAGGAAGAGAAAAGAAGACACAGTAGCCTTTTTTTTTTTTTTTTTTGAGACGAACTCATGCTCTGTCCTCCAGGCTGGAGTACAGTGGCACGATCTTGGCTCACTGCAACTTCCATCTCCTGGGTTCAAGCGATTCTCCTGCCTCAGCCTCCTGAGTAGCTGGGATTACAGGTGCGCACCACCACACCCGGCTAATTTTTGTATTTTTAGTAGAGACGGTTTCATCATGTTGGTCAGGCTGGTCTCAAACTCCTGACCTCGTGATCCACCCGCCTCGGCCTCCCAAAGTGCTGGGATTACAGGTGTGAGCCACTGCGCCCAGCCCATAGCAGCCCTTTTTTTCCTGAGGTTCCTGGTTGGTTCAGATCCTCAGGTTGCGAGGGCAAGTGATCCTGCCCCCACAACACACACACACATACACATACACCCAGAGTTGTGTGGTGTGTATCAGTGAGCCCACCCATCAATGTAACTCAAAGAGCTATCATTAAGACTGATGATTTATTTCATACAAGTCAATAGCTGTAGCTCTTGGTGTATTCACTCTAAAATTGAATACTTCAAACAGCAATCCAGACTGGCAAAAAAAAAAAAAAAAACCCTTTTATTTCAACCTAGGCATACAATATATTTTCCAATGTATATTTAAATTTCTAGAAGTAGGCTGAAAATAAGACGGAGGCTAAATGCAGAAATGGATTATTCCACTGGTGATCCAGATTTATGAGAAGTTTAGATGAACAATAGCCCTAATTTTTGTGAGGGAACTGGATCAAATTCTTTAGTCTCTCCATTCCTTCCCCGACAGTCATGCTTTCCAAGAAGTTCAGCCTGAGGATGCTGCATCTCAGCTGCAGGCTAGAGTGCAGGCTAGAGTGCAGTGGCGTGATCTCGGCTCACTGCAACCTCCACCTCCCGGGGTCCAGAGATTCTCCCGTTTCAGCCTCCTGAGTAGCTGGGATTACAGGCATGTGCCACCACACTCGGCTAATTTTTGTATTTTTAGTAAAGATGTGGTTTCGCCACATTGGCCAGGCTAGTCTCAAGCTCCTGACCTCAGGTGATCCGCCCACCTCAGCCTCCTAAGGTGTTGGGATTTCAGGCATGAGCCACCGCACCTGGCTGATGTGATTTTTAATTATCTCAAGATATATAGTAAGCACTGCTAAGGCAATCAGGAGTATACATTTATATTCCATGAATTTAAAAAAAGATTTAAGGCAATCTGCAAAAGAAAAATATGAGGAGGCCTTTTAACTAGCAAGGTTTTTAAAAGAGAGAAAATGAACTGCTTATCGGGTTTCAGAGCTATTATCAAAGCATAGAGTCAAAAGCTCTCTCCAACCACATGAAATTGAGAAGAGGATGCATCCCGGGGTGGGCATGATTGTAGTGATCTCTAAAAATAAGAAGCCCTTATCTCTGAGAAATTGGCCTCCAGAGCTCTCTTCCTGCTGCCAGTTTTCCTCAGGGAAGAGGCAGCAGATCCTCTTGAGGGTGGCAGCAGGTCCCAGGTCTTAACCTACAGATGCTATGAAGTCTCTGATCTTTAAATAAAGCCACTGCTCGTTATAAATTTCATGATATTTCTTTCCATCCATATATTCAGCAAACAAAACCAACAAGCCAAAAAAGTTCCCTTACTGCTTGGTGACATCACTTTAAGCTCGACTGAGTTCATCTGAAGGACTCAGAAAAGGGGGTGAACATCTCCTCACCATCACCCAGAGTCCCTGTGGCCCCTTCCCTCCAGCTCCACAGGACGAAAACAGGGCCCAGCTGTCTGAACCCCACGTGTCCTACTGCACTTTATCCTGCAGGTCTTTATTCCAAGATGGGGTTTACAGCCTACGCTACATCATCCCACCAACTGCCGAGTAGGAGCTATTCACCCAACAGCAACATTTATCCACTTTCAATACCTGATTGGCTTGGTTAGACCAGCTTTGTCATGCTGTCACATTCGTTTAACTAATTTAATTTAATCCTAGTGCAAAAATGCTAATTTCCAGAATGCCAATATTAATTTTATCTTGTGTTTGAAATGGCAGTGCTTGCTATTTAAGGAAGGCGGCTGGAACGGTTTCTGCACAGCAGCAGAGCTTGAGGGCCCAGGAGTGCTGCTTGGTGAGGGGTATAAATACTAGACAGAGAGTTTCTCGCCACTGTCTACAAATCCCAGATTTTTCTGTTTCTCATCATTTTCAGTAAAATTCATGAAAGTTAGTTAACCATAATTTCAGGAGAAATAACCCAAACTCATCTTTAGACATGAGAAAGAATGATTGTTAAGAGAGATCCACTAAAATCATCAGTTGGCTTTTAGCATGCAAAATTAATTCCATTGAACATTAATATTCAAATTGTTGGATGTCTTATTAGAAAATAATGTATCTCACATTGCTTATGGAAACCCCAAAGGACTGGCCACTACAGGTGAACTCATTTTATCAGGAATGTTGTCTACAAATTAGGCCTCTAAATTCTCAAAGATCGGCATTTATCAAACCGGTCTCTGAGAGCATGAGTATACTGCGTGTATCAACACCAACATACCACGCATTATCTCAGAAGTGTTCTGTGCTCCAGGTTAGCTTGGGAAACTCTGACGCAGACAGAGTTAAGCAGATTTACTTAGAATTTAAAGACTCTTTAATGTGCATTCTGAACCACTAAGGAGGAAATCACTGCATTTTCTAAAATGAGTTCCTCAAGGAACCCTCTCTGAGTCACATCTACTAACATTCCCCATAACTAAAGACACCACGGATGCATGCAGTATGTTTTAACACACAACACTTCAGTCAAGTATTCCCTACTTTATAAAAAGTTATAGTTGTTTTTAAAAGTATTAAAACTCCCGAGTTCTCTGGGAAAGTATGTTAAAGAAAACAAAGCACTCTAAATCTGGTTAGGTGGGAGATCAACCATGCTGATTTCAGGCAAAGGGAATTTATAAGATCTCTGCTGGAGATGGGGGCAATAAAAAGCACCACCTACCAATGACAGCAATTCACTGCATGAAGATGGCCTGCCAGAATTCCGTTCTGTGAAATGCCTACCTTGTAATGTTGGCAAACCCCACAGCATTTGGGTCTTAGGACAGAGAGAAGCTCATTAAATCCAACTGGAAGAAAAACCTGTGAATCCTAGACCAAGTCTCTGATACAACCGGTATCTTCCTGTGTGGACACTGTGGACAGTAATTACAGGACATGGGGCATCCCTGGTGCCCCCAACCCCGACCCCCCATATCAAGAAATGTGCACCTCCCCTGAGGTGGTGGTGATAACATTCCTGGTTAAGAACCACTACTCACAGCCTCATAGAATCAGGAAAGAACTCCAGGCTGAACATGGTGGCTCACGCCTGTAATCCCAGCACTTTGGGAGGCCGAGGCGGGTGGATCATGAGGTCAAGAGCTCCAGACCATCCTGGCCAACATGGTGAAACCCCGTCTCTACTAAAAATACAAAAATTAGCTGGGCATGGTGGCACTCGCCTGTAGTCCCAGCTACTCGGGAGGCTGAGGCAGGAGAATTGCTTGAACCTGGGAGGAGGAGGTTGCGGTGAGTCGAGATTGCGCCCCTGTGCTCCAGCCCGGCAACAGAGCAAGACCTCGCCTCAAAAAAAAAAAAAGAAGAAGAACTCCAAGGTTGAACCTGAAGAATTTTATTCTTTTTTTCCCCTAAGGTAACTTAAACCAAGAAAATGCATCTCTACTTAATTATGCTGGATCCATGATATGATCTATCTAACACAGACCTTAGGCATGTGAGCCATGCTTGCACTGGGTGTCCTCTCAGGGGAGAAGAATATGTAATCCGGCAATTCCAAGAATTCTTGTGTTAAGGACAGGGAACAAGCCCAATACCATGTTACTTACTCTCTCCTTAAGCTTCAGAGGAATACTGGAGTTCCGTGTTTAACAAAAAAGCACCTGACTTCTCTTGATTAGTTATTTAACTTTGGGTCCCAGATCATGTCAAGTTACAGAGCACAGAATACAGACCCCTAGAGCTACAGCTTTATAGTCCAGTGTCATGACCTGCATCGTGAATGTCTAAGACAAGTTCCCCACCACCCGCTGCTCTGAGCTGATGCACCTACCAGCTGTCCTGGGCAAATTAATTACCATCTTGACTTCTTGGACCTCCACAAATTCCAATTGCAAAATAAGCAAAATGTTATTGTGAAGAGTTAGAATAATGAATATAAATCATCTCAAAACACATTTCTGACAATTCTGGCAATTCTCATGACTAGTTTTTTCTGTGGCCCTGCACCAGCAAATTCATAGTAGGTTTTATCTACAGCATACGTGCAAGTCAAGATCTCAGTTCTCACTCAATTCCTACACACCACTTCATATTCAAGCAATTACTCTCACGTTAAGTGGCTGCTTCTCTCAAAAGAATCCTCATTTGGTAGTAAAATAATTACATCACATCCTTGCTTAGAAATCTGATAATACCAAATGTTTTGAAATCCACTGTGTGCCACAGAAAGGCTAAATAGTTTCTGAGTCCAAGAGATAAACAATTTCAACAGAGGAGGAAACCAGCGTTATCCCAAGTAAGGTCTTGATTTTAAAGTTCAAAAAATTTTAGAGGCTAATATTACTTCTTCTAATCAAAGGTGTGTCCCTAAGATAGGAGTATCAGAAGCTCCACCATGAAGACAGATATGAGAAATACGTAGTGGCTAAACACTACACAACTGTCACTTGCTTATGGGGGCAAAGGCAGAGACGGGCAAGAGGAAGACAGAAGAAGGTCTCATAAAAAGCTCTTCTCCCATCCTGAGAAGGGATGTTTGTTTGGTTTGTGTTAGGCAGCCCTAGGCAGCACACATCAACACGCCTTGCAGGCTCTTCACCATGCTGACAGCTGCAATACAGGGAGGTGGAGACAGAAGTTTACTCCAAACTTTGCCAAAACAGGTAACATATTACCATTCAATGAGGAGGATAATCGAGACCCCTGTTGAAATGAAATACAGTCAGCCTTCCGTATCTGCAGTTCCTCATCCGGCAAAAACTATCTTTTCAATCCTTGGTTGGTTGAATCTGAGGTTGGGAACCCCTGGATCCAGAGGGCAAACTGTGGGACTTGAGCATCCTTGTATTTTGGTACCAACAGGGGTGGGAGGGTCCTGGAACCAATTCGTCTAAGATACTGAAGGACAACTGTACTACACACTGTCTGCAAATTTGTAGCTATACTGCCTTTGAACCAGATTGCTTAAACTGATTGCTGATTTTTAACTAAAAACCCAGTTAGAATGTATTGCCCACCCCATTGCAACTTCAATTCTAAGTCCATGCTCCATTCGACTGAAAGAGAAAAAGAACAAGCAAAATTGCTTGTCTCCTTTTCAGTAGAATGCACTTGATTTGCAAAGATGGCCTAAGATAATGTGATTTAGCCAAGAATCAACAGTGATTATCCTATTATGTTCAACTCCAAATATTTGTAGCACAATCACCAAAATGTAAGATACAGAATGAAAAAGTAGCAAATTTCAAATCCACAAACAACTGTCCTGTGTTTGCTGACGAGCATCTATGGGAATTAGCAAATGGAGGCTGAATTCTAAACTGCTTTTCAATTGAAATGTCTCTGCCTCACAGGCTCCTTTCTGAAGCCCACTAGGCAGAGGGTTCCACTGCCAGAACCTCTGCTGGCTGCAGCATTCAAGATAGAAGGCACTGCACATGGAAGGAAGGGAAAGAGGCCACAAGTCAGCTGGCAGGGATGAGCTATGTTAAGCCATCCCAAGTGACTTCGAGAAATGCCTCCTTATATGTGAAAAAAACTCAAGAAAGTTTCCTATACACTGTGGCATCCATCGGTTACTTAAAAAACTCATTAAACATTTAGCTGATAATGGACTTGCAGATGCCATTGTGGAGAATCCATTTAGGGTCCGTGGATGCTTAATAGCAAAATTAAAATGATAAATTGAAATGGCTTTCTCTGACGTGTGTGCTTAGCTCCCTGCGCCACGGAATACAAGCAGCCTCCTGCATACCAAAGTAAGTGACGCGAATCCAGCCCTGCTGCTGCTTGAGCACAGCCAGTGTTTATCAGTCTGCTTGGAGGAAAACAGGGACTTCGCCTAGGGCAACTGATTCCTAAGGGGCAGGCAATGGTAAGACCCCTTCTTAGCTGGTAATGATCCTGCCGTGCTTCTCTGGATCTGGCATAGCCCAGGACAGTCAACAGAAAGAGCACAATCTGCAAGCTCACCCATGAAAGGAAATCTCAGCTAAGCCACTCATCAGCTGTGAGACATGTGGGCAAATTTCTCACCCTCTGAGCCTATAGAACGAGGGGTAATACTTTTGTGGGGCTGTTGTTGTGGTTATATCCTAACCCAATTAAGTCAGAATCTCTGGGAAAGGACCCACATATTAGTAGTTTCCAAGGCTCCCCCAGGTGATTCCAATGGGCAGCTGCTGTCTCAGAGGCATGATACTGACCAAGGGAACCTGACAGGTGGTGAAGGGGACACTGGATGAGGTGATCTGCAGCAACTGGAGACCAGCTCTCAAAAGGAAAGTAAATCAGAAAGCAGCTCCGTTTATGTGCAGAGAGGGGGAGTTTCTATGCAGGTAAGGTTACAGGGAGAACCTAGAAGGACTAACTTCTGAGGAAGAGAAGGGGATTTAGTAGGGGAGAGGGTGAGAAGGAAAAACAAGAATCCAGGCTGGGCAAGGTGGCTCACGCCTGTAATCCCAGCACTTCGGTAGGCCGAGGCGGGCGGATCATCTGAGGTCAGGAGTTCAAGACCAGCCTGACCAACATGGAGAAACCCCGTCTCTACTAAAAATAAAATACAAAATTAGCCTGGCATGGTGGCGCATGCCTGTAATCCCAGCTACTCGGGAGACTGAGGCAGAAGAATCGCTTGAACCTGGGAGGCAGAGGTTGCAGTGAGCCAAGATCATGCCACTGCACTCCAGCCTGGGCAACAAGAGTGAAACTCCATCTCAAAAAAAAAAAAAAGAATCTGGTGAAGGCTGGGAACCATCAGTGAGGGGGATGGGAGAGGAAGCTGGCCTGTGAGAGGTAAGAGGTCTTCAAGGAGTCGTAACTGAACTTCAGGGCCTCATTGTCAGGGGTCAATCTGCTTGGCTTCAGATTTTTGGGGTAACACCCAGTGGCATGGATGTCTAAGTGGAGAAAGACTGTAGTTGGGTGAGGGATGTGCTAGGAGAATGAGATAACGGTGAGTGCTTCTCCATTCTGTCTGTCTCAGTCACCTGGGACTGAGCTCGTCATGGTGTCCAACTGATGCCACTGTGGGAACTTCCACCCACCCTCCCTGTAGGGTGTGCAGTGAAGATGTTGGCCTTTCCAGACACTGCCCAGTTTTCCTATCCTCCAAAATGGCCCCAATCAAGCTACCTGAATTCAGTGGAGAAGGAATTCAACAATTCTAGTCCCTATAAGCATTAATAGGTGCCAGAATAATGTTTCCCACAAAGAAATGATGACTATTCTAAGAACACATTTGTGTTAGTCCACACATTTCTCCAGTCTCAAAAGGAAGCTTCCAAACCATCTTGTTCAGATGCCTCGTCCCATCGGATGCGTTACCTTCTAAACACGAAAGTGTATCAAAACACAACAAAAGCAAAATGCCAGCCATAACCATGCTAGTCATCATGTTACCCAAGGAGGAAAGAATTACAATCCAAGTTCCACACCTGAAGGATTTGCAAATTAAACATCTCTCAGTCTTTGCTTTGAATGAGCTAAGAGCCAAGCTAAAACCTCACAAGGGAAAGTACATCTGGGAAAGCCCACCACCCTCCCTTTACAAAGTTAACCTGGTGACAGTGTCTCTATTCAAAATCCCTGTGCTTCTTTTTCTTACAGGCCAGCCTAGAATGTATTGATCAAGACATTCTAAGAAAGACAAATAACAGCTCTAGTTTCTTTTCTTTCTTATTTTCCTGGTTTAACAAAATTACTCAATAAAACAGTTATATTGCACATCTTGCAACCTTCTTATCAAGACCTTACTCTACTGAGAAAAAAAGGGAGAGTGTTTCTTAAGAAGTGACTATGTACGAGAGGCAAAGCCCTATGGAAACCACATCAACCACAAGATGGGTTTTTGGCTTTTTGCTTTTTTGTTTGGCTGGTTGGTGTTTGCTACCAAATCTATTTTTTCATACTTCTGCTTCTGAAACATGCAGGCTGGTCAGAATATTCACTACTACATAACCCAATGCTCTAAAAATCAGTGCCTAATTAAAAATACATTCACAGTCTATCCAAGTATGGTGAATTTGCAGAGGACCTTGAAGCTGCATAACCATCTCTCTCAACATTAGGGGTGGAGAGTATCAGTTTGAATTTCCCCGTCTGCGCTCGAGGGCTGGCTGGTGTTGGTTCTGTCGGAGAAGGGCAGTGACTGTGAACTTGACATTCATCTCTCACAGCATGTTTTCAGCAATTCTGGTGATTTGGGATTTGTTGCAAATTTTAAAAAGAAAAGAAAAACCTATGTCCAGCAATATCTACTAAAAACAAAAATCCTCCAGCAAAAAATACAAGCCTCAGGAGAAAGCACTTGCAGTAGGTACTGATTACGGCTTGAATAAGTGATCTTACACAAGTGCATTTTCCATTCTAACAGGAATCCATTAACCTCATTTATAAATCATAAGTTATAGCTGTCAGAAGAGCTTTTAGAGCTGCCAGCCGCTACAGGGCGCATCTAGCGATGCCATTAATCCCTTAATTTTTAGCTTCATCAGCAATACAGCGGAACACAGACCAGGCCTCGTTCCCCAAATAAGCACACCTGAAAAATGTGGTCCTGATTTAGGAGGCAGAAGACAGTAATTTGGGAGAAATTCACTCTGTCCTCCAAAAGCATGAGTTGTGACTTCTGAACGGGGGTAGGGTGGGAGTGGGAAGAGTGACAGGCAGTTCAGCTGTACCCCAAATCCCACAAAATATTAATTAAATACTTCAGGGGCTCTCTGTAATCCTTCACTATAACTCTATCAATTTTATTTTAGCACCTATTGTTTGGAAAGTCCATTTAACCAATGTGCTCGTGACTCTTTTTCTTTCTTTCTTTCTTTTGAGACGATGTCTTGCTCTGTCCCCCAGGCTGGAGTACAGCGGCGCGATCTCAGCTCACTGTAGCCTCCGCCTCCCGGGGTTCAACCTGCCTCTCAGCCTCCTGAGTAGCTAAAATTACAGGTGCCTGCCACCATGCCCAGCTAATTTTTTTGTATTTTTCGTAGAGTCAGGGTTTCTCCATGTTGTCCAGGCTGGTTTCAAACTCCTGACCTCAAGTGATCCACCCACCTCGGCTTTCCAAAGTGTTGGGATTACCAGCATGGGCCACTGCACCCAGCCATAATTCTTTTTTTTTTTTTAAATACTTTAAGTTCTGGGATACATGTCCAGAACACGCAGGTTTGTTAGAGAGGTATACACGTGCCATGGTGATTTGCTGCACCCATCAACCCGTCAACTACATTAGGTATTTCTCCTAATGCCATCCCTCCCCTAGCCCCCCACTCCCCAACAGGCCCCGGTGTGTGATGTTCCCCTCCCTGTGTCCAGGTGTTCTCCTTGTTCAACTCCTACGTATGAGTGAGAACATGTGGTGTTTGGTTTTCTGTTCCTGTGTTAGTTTGCTGAGAATGATGGTTTCCAGCTTTATCCATGTCCCTGCAAAGGACATGAACTCGTCCTTTCTTATGGCTGCATAGTATTCCGTGGTGTATATGTGCCACATTTCCTTTATCCAGTCTATCATTGATGGGCATTTGGGTTGGTTCCAAGTCTTTGCTATTGTGAACAGTGCTGCAATAAACATACGTATGCATGTGTCTTTATAGTAGAATGATTTATAATCCTTTGGGTATATACCCAGTAACAGGATTGCTGGATCAAATGGTATTTCTGGTTCTAGATCCTTGAGGAATCGCCACACTGTCTTCCACAATGGTTGACTAATTTATACTCCGACCAACGGTGTAAAAGCATTCCTCATAATTCTTTAAAATATTAATAAGTAAACATGGCCGGGCCTGATGGCTCACGCCTGTAATCCTAGCACTTTCCAAGGCCGAGGTGGGCAGATCGCTGGAGTCCAAGAGTTAGACACTAGCCTGAGCAACATGGTGAAATCCCAACTCTACAAAAAATGCAAAAATTGGCTGGGCGTGCTGACTTGTGTCTGTGGTCCCAGCTACTCAGGAGGCTAAGGTGGGAGGATCACCTGAGACCAAGGAAGTTGAGGCCACAGTGAGCCATGATTGTGCCACTGTACTCCAGCCTGGGCAACAGAGCAACACCCCGTCTCAGAAAAATAAAATGAAATCAAAATAAAAAAAAGAAAATAGACCGGGCGTGGTGGTTCACACCTGTAATCCCAGCACTCTGGGAGGCCGAGGCGGGTGGATCACAAGGTCAGGAGATCGAGACCATCCTGGATAACACGGTGAAACCCCATCTCTACTAAAAATATAAAAAATTAGCCGGGCATGGTGGCGGGCGCCTGTAGTCCCAGCTTCTCGGGAGGCTGAGGCAGGAGAATGGTGTGAACCCGGGAGGCAGAGGTGAGCAGTGAGCCGAGATCACGCCACTGCACTCCAGCCTGGGCAACAGAGCGAGACTCCGTCTCAAAAAAAAAAAAAGAAAGAAAAAGAAAATATGCTTACCCCATCGCTGCCACCCCAACAACTGTGGGACCTTGGTCAAGTCAACAGCAGTAGCTTTGGTTCTCACCTGACTTGTTTTGTTTTGTAAAAGACCTGAACTCTCTCGAGCTCTGAGCTCTAACCTTCTCTGACTCAGACCACATTCGGGACTCAGTCAAGAGGGGCAACTTACCCTGCTTTGACGCCTGGAAAGACAGAGTACAAAGTGGCTCGTTTGGTTCATATGCGCTTAAATAAATAATAATAGATAACGGATACCTCAATGGAAAGGATTCATTCCTTAACCACTTGGTTCAAGATCTGTAAGCAAACTAAATGATTTCAAGAAGTATAGACTATAACTGCTAGTGAAACAGTCTCCAATATTCACATGTGAGTGACTAGAAAGGGAGAGTTTCTTTGTTTTGTTTTCTGTTTCCGAAGAATGCAAGCCGACGCCCCATCCAGCGAGGGTTGGCGCTTCCTCATGAAGTCGTGTGGGCTTCTGGGAAATGCCCCCTCCCTGCTGTTACTGATCTTGAACCTTGACAGCAAGCAAAGTAGAACGTATGTGTGTAGTAACAGCACAGAAATGGAGCAGACAGGTGCCAGCTTTCTTGCCAACTTTATTTGAAATGCAAAGAAAATGCTTTCAGCCTGATGCCATTCCTGAAGCAAGTTTGCTTCTGCAGGAAAAAGGGCTTTCCCTAAACAAGTGTCCCATCAATGACTCACTCTCAAATTGCTGTTGCCTTAATCTTTTAAAAAAATTATCACCTCCATGGCTGTAATCCCAGCACTTTGGGAGGCCAAAGCAGGTGGATCACCTGAGGCCAGGAGTTCAAGACCAGCCTGGCCAACATGGTGAAACCTCGTCCCTACTAAAAATACAAAAAAATTACCCAGGCATGGTGGTGCCCCTGTAATCTCAGCTACTTGGGAGGCTGAGGCAGAAGAATCGCTTGAACTCAGGAGGCGAAGGTTGCAGAGAACGGAGATTGCGCCATTTCACTCCAGCCTGGGTGATAAGCGCAAAATTCCGTCTCAAAAAAAAAAAAAAATTATCACCTCCAGAAGATAATCATGTGATAGATGTAGATGATCAATCATAAAGCCTTTGCACTTTTGAACCAAATACTGACTTACAGGAAATGATGTGCTTTAAGTTTAGAGCATACACAGATTATCTTAGAAACTAGAAAATACATTTATTTCTTCATCAAACTGTACAAATGACTTCTTTTCCCCTCCACAACTCACCCAAATGATAGACTGTGATACTTTAAATTTTTTTGTTTTTGTTTACATAATCCTCCCCCCTTTTTTGCATGAAATTGATTTTTTTTTTTAACCCAAGACATTACAACCAGAGAAGTCACCGCAAGAAAGGACTTTGCTATAATACTCAATTGTCTCAAACTTTCTGGTTATTGTTCTTTAAAAAAATCCTTTTTTCATCTTTTCCACAAACTCTCCATTAAGAATTATAAGCTCTTTGGTAATCAGTAGATTGAAATAGATACACACACACACACACACACACACACACACACACAGTGAAATGCAGCTCTCTGATGTGTACTTCCTGGCAAGGAAAAAATAGTTCAATAGCAAACTCAGTAATGTGAATCACTGCCAAGACAGGAAAACATTATTTGGTATCCACTCCTATGACAATGGGAAAAATAGTTCTGAGAGTGAAAAGTTTTTATACCAATTAGGTTATGTCCTCTAAAACTGTTTCCAGTTATTGCTTCTGGGGACAGAGGGGACAATATATTTGCTTTGATATGTAAGTTTTCACAATGGAGCATTAGTCTTACTTGGTCTCAATACACTCCCCACTCTGTCGTTCATAAATCATGTTCTTCACATTAACTATTCCTAAAATAAAGTGCCTGAATCTTGCAGTCCAGACCCACCACATGCTCATACTGCATCTTGCATTTCATTCTCTTTGTTGACCTCCAAGTTCACTCTCCAAAGCCTCTGAATGTTCATCATTTTGCAAAAGCTTTGGTTCCACCCTGGGTCCCCATGCGTTAGTCAACATTTGATTAATCCCTGTGATGGGTTCCTATGTCATCTGGATGCGTCAAGTCAAAAGGAAGTGCCACACATCAAAGACAGAGTACTAAGACACATAGTACTAACAGGGAGGGGTCTCTTTCAGTTCTGTTGATAAGAGAAAGTGTACCAGAAAAAGTTGAGTTTTGAGCTGGATCTGAATAGGCAAAAAGTACCAATGGCAGGGAAGAGAGAAATAAGACATCGACATGTGTTCATTCTTTGTTTTTGGTTTCGGTTTTGTTTGAGACAGGGTCTTGCTCTGTTGCCCAGACTGGAGTGCAGTAGCTCAGTTATGGCTCACTGCAGCTCTGACCTCTCAGGCTCAAGCAATACTCCAGCCTCAGCCCCCCAAGTAGCTGGGACTACAGGCGCACACTGCCACACCCAGCTAATTTTTTTGTATTTTTTGTAGAGACAGGGTTTCGCCATGTTGCCCAGGCTGGTCTCAAACTCCTGGGCTCAAGCGATCCTTCCACCTCGGCTTCCCAAAGTGCCGGGATTACAGGTGTTAGCCACCACACCCAGCCATGCATTCTTATTTATCTCATGTCAGGCAATGGCAAAGAGTGCAATGTGGAAGTGATGCCAGGAGTTCTGGTAACGACATGACTCAACGTGCAGGTTTCAAAGATCACTGCATACCTGGTGAACGATGTGTGACACTGATCTGTGCAGACAGAAGTCAGAATGTAATGGAGCAATAACCAGGAGGAGATGCAAGGGAGGCTTCTGGGGCACTGGCGAGGTTCTCCAACCTGACCTGGGAGAGGGTTACTCGTGCGTTCACCTTGTAAGAACTCACCAAGCTATACGCTTAAGACTTGCTCGCTTTATCAGATATAAATTGACCACAGACAAACCCTAAAAACCCCCAAACCAGCAATCTGCCTGCAGAGAGGAGCTGAAGGAGAGCAAGCTGGAGGCAGGAAGGCTGCTGCTGTGTCCATTCAGGGGAGAAATGAAGCCAGGGAAGGCCCTGTGGACAGAATGGGTCGATGTGAAATGTCTTTGGAGATGAGGCCTGCGGGACTTGCCAACGGAAAAAGAATGACTCCCGGATTTGAGGTTTGGTTATGTCAGTGACAGCTTCTGAGCTCTCAGAAAAACACCTGACATTGCTTTTAACAGTGGGCTTTCTGTCTTTATACTGAATTCTGTCTCTGTCTCTCCCTCTCTTAGGCATTCTCTGATCAGAATGCCTCGCCTTGAGAAGAGGCCCTACCTGTAAGGTTCCTTCACCTCTAGGTGCCTGCTTCCTCATTGGTACAATGGGGATTTATAAGTGTCTATCACAAGTGTACCAAGCGCGTAGGACAGACAGCACCTGACACAGTAAGCACTAGTCAGTGTCAGCCATTAGTATTACAGAAAACAAATCACTGCTTTTGTTACCCTGTCCCTCTATTTTCTGGGTCAACAGTGAGACCATGTCTTTACTTGATAATACTCTTTTTCAGGCAAAGAATTAGCATCCTCGTTGGAAAAGCCTAGAAACCTGGAGACCATCTTGGGCTTTTCTGCATCTTGGTCATCCTCATGCTCCCTCAAATCCTACCATTTCTTTTGTGTTCAATGCTGTCTGTACCCATTGCTTGATTTCTGCCCTAGTTCAAGCTTTAGCATTTCATGGTTGATTTAATGCAATATCCTAAGAGCTGATCTCCCTGCCTTTGAGTGCCTCTTGTTTAGTTCTACCTTAACGCTCAATCTGTCATGCTGGTCTCCTTTAGTTCCTAAAGTGTGCCTCCTCACCGTCATTAAATGGAGCCCAGCCTCCTTATACAAGGGCCTCCACTTTTCTAAAATCTCCTGCTACCCACTTTCATAAAGGCTCAGTCCTGGGCCGAGAAGTAAGAAAGAAATCCTGAATACTCTTCAACAGTCATCTAAATTTTTTCATAACATGAGTGCAGGCTATACTGTGGGAAATTAGCAAGAGCTTAGCCAAGATAAAAACTAAACTCCATGAAGATGAAGATAGCAACTTTCTTACAAATCTAGCACTTTATACATAATACACTTTATATAGTTAATGATTTCAAGTTTGACCAGCCTGAACATTGACAGTAATCAGGAATGAATAACCTGATAGGTAGACAGCAGGGAAAACATTATTCAACCAATAGACAAGAGAAGTCGGGGAATCAGCAGCTGCTTCAAAGAATCCCTGTGAGCAGTAACACCATCAGACCCAGGCAGAGCCCCTCACTGCGGAGAGCCCCATTCTGGCCCTCCTCTGGCTACATCCTTCCCCCGCAGCAACCAAAAGGGCAAACCTTCCTGAAATTAACATCCACCTGTCCTGGGGGCCCAAGATTTGGAATTCTCAGAACCTATGCAAGCCTCTTCCCTGGGCACCTCTAGACCAAAGGGCTACAGCACATTTGTTTTGGTGAAGGTTGGGCATGTGGGCTGGAAAACCCCCATGCGTGAGCTGGAGGTCCCTTAAGATGTATGGGCAGGCTGGGCACGGTGGCTCACACCTGTAATCCCAGCACTTTGGGAGGCCGAGGTGGGTGGATCACCTGAGGTCAGGAAATCAAGACCAGCCTGGCCAACATGGCAAAACCCTGTCTCTACTAAAAATACAAAAATTAGCTGGGCGTGGTGGCACGCGCCTGTAGTCCCAGCTATTCAGGAGGCTGAGGCAGCTACTACTCGGCTCACTGCAACCTCTGCCTCCCGCTCGAACCTGGGAGGCGGAGGGTGCAGTGAGCCGAGATAGCACCACTGCATTCCAGCCTGGGCGACAGAGCAAGACTCCATCTCAGAAAAAATAAAAATAGATGTATGGGCAGCTGAGAGCGGGAACAGGAGGGGGAAGAGGACAGCCCGCTCCTGCATCACACATTCTGGCATGGGAGGTCATGCCAGACTGCACTTGGTGGG
Source organism: Homo sapiens (assembly GCF_000001405.40). NCBI lineage: Eukaryota > Metazoa > Chordata > Mammalia > Primates > Hominidae > Homo > Homo sapiens. The sequence goes on along the minus strand of NC_000006.12, from coordinate 151,281,981 downwards.
TCACGCCTATAAACCCAGTGCTTTGGGAGGCCAAGGTGGGAGGATCTCTTGAAGCCAGGTGTTTGACAAGCTTGGGCAACACAGGGAGACCTCATCCCTACATCAAAATTTAAAATTAGCTGGGTGTTGGGGAAGGGAGGGTATGGTGTAGGCCTGTATTCCTAGCTACTCAGAAGGCTGAGGCAGGAAGATCTCCTGAGCCCAGGAAGTCAAGGCTGCAGTGAGCACCACTGCACTCCAGCCTGGGTGACAGAGCAAGACCTTGTCTCAATAAACAAATAAATAAAACAAACGTGTGTGGAGAAAAGAATGAAGCCGCAGGAAATTGGGTCCTAGCCTCACATAGAATGCCCCAATTCCAAGACTTAAAATTCTATATAGCATCATCAAAATACAATGGGTTGAGTTAGGATTTGGGAGGCTATTCCCTATGTGTAGGAGAAATTCTTGCAAATGTGAAGTATCAACCATGAGATCTGAAGCATATAAGAAGACCTCAAAAGATAAAGTGGGCACTAAATCTGCTCATAACCTGAAATTAAAATAGCGAACCAATACATAGACCTACAGAATTACAGTTATCTCTTCCCATACGTTACAGAAATGCAAAAGTCAAGGCAAACTTAAAACACCATCCTTCACCTGTCAAAGTAACACTACCAATATCACTGACGTGGCCAAATCTGAGCACTCATTTGTTCTCAGTAGCATTAAAATTAGCACAACTTGTAAAAACATATTCTTTAGCAACCTTCATCCAGTTTGTAGAGGGAGGCTCGCAAGTTAAGTCACTTATCTAATGTAAGTGGCTGAGTTGGGGATTCAAATCCACATCCTGAACACCACGCACATGCCCCTTCTACTTTGCATGAAGCCTAGATGTTTACCCTAAGGAAATAACAGGATGAAAGCACAGAAACACAGCCACTTCCTGCAGAATGGAAAGAAGCTGCCAATGTGTTTACTGGTAAATTTAAACATGACCTTGTTAACTGTATATATCTTTAGAATTACACATAAGAAATGGTAATTCTCTAAGTGAAAGCAAAACGCGAGTGTTTCAAGCTAACTGCAACTCAGTCAAAAGTCAAAGGTTTGTGAAATATGATTGCCAAAATGGGGCATTGTGAGTATTCCGTAAAGTATCTAATATTACAATATTTTCAAAAAGAAAAGAGCTGGGCGTGATGGCCTACAACTGTAGTCCTAGCTACTCGGGGGGCTGAAGTGGGAGGGTCGCTTGAGCCCAGACTTTGGGGTTACAGTGAGGTGTGATTGTGTCCCTCCAGCCTGGGCAACAAGAGGAAGGTCCTTTCTCAAAAAAAAAAAAAAAAAGAAAATGAAAAAGAAAAAGAAAGAAAAGAAAAGAGCGCTCGTTTGGTTTGGCAGCACAGACACTAAAATGGAAACGATACATGGCCCCTACTCAAAGATGAGACCCAAATTTGTAAAGCGTTCCATATTTTTATATACAGTGTGTGCTGTGAGCTATTGAAAGCTGAATGCATTAAGCATATTTTGAAACTTAAGTCATTCCTTGGTTAACAAGTAAATGTGTCAGAAATTTATCATATAGAAAAGGGTGGAAGGGTGGGGCATTCCCTTTCATCCAGGAATTAGTCCTATAGAAATATTTGCACAAGCATAAATGAATATGTATATTATACATAATTTTCATTTTATATATCAAAATTATATTATATATGAAAGGATGTTCATTTCAGCATTACTTGTAATAGGAGATCATCAGAATCAACTTAAATGTCAATCAGTAAAGAGACTGGTTAAAAATATAGAGTATATCCATGTCACTGAACATATAGCCATTAAGCAGTGAGCCAGATCTGTGTATACTGAACCAAAAGGTGCTTATGATTTCCTATTGAGTGAAAAAGGCAAGTTACGCAACAGTATTATCTATATGCATATTTAAAAAAAAAAAACAACAACCGAAAGGATATGTTTGTTTGTGTATGTAAGAAAAATCTCAGAAGACAAGAGGGAATGAAGGAACTTTTTTCTTATATGGTGGCATTTGCACAATGACAATATACCACTTTTATGCTTAAAAAAAGATATTTATTTAAAATTTTTTCAAGTTTGATTTCACTTGCTTATTTATTTACTTTTTTAAAGAGACCAGGTCTCACTCCATCACCCAGGATGGAGTGCAGTGGTGCAATCGTTAGCTCACTGCAGACTCAACCTCCTGGGCTCAAGCAATCCTCCCACTTCAGCCTCCCCCCAGTAGCTAGGACTACAGGCGCCTGCCACCTCGCCGGCTTTTGCTTGCTTATTGTCTCCAGCCCGTTTCTATTATTTAAATGCCTCACCGAGCAGTGTTAAGGGTCAATTTTAAAAGAAACAGAGAGAAAGTAAATTTTTAAAATGTTATAGAATGCCTTCTCCATGGTCAGATTTTTCCCACCTTTATCCTTTATCGTATATTTCTCGTTTCTTCTTGCATACATATTAAAAACTGCTGTACATTTTTTCCTAAGTCAAGGAGAGTTGTATATAAATACACTCACCATTCTTAAGTTAATCACACACACACAAAAATTTAAAACCTGAAGAGCTGTTCTTCAAGATCACCTAAAACAGTCCCTTCCATGACACTGACGAGAACCAAATCCTGAAAGAATGTTACTTGCCAAGCATCACAGACCTTGTTAGGATTAGAAACCATGCCAGAGAAATTCCTTCTCTATCCCTACTTTCTTAAAAAAAGATAACATTTTGATGAGACCAGGGAATACAATCTTTTAAAACACTAAAACAACAGAGAATGTCTTCCTAAGTAAGTCCGACTCAGGTTCTGGGTGTGAGCCCTCCAGGCCACTCAAGCAGTGTAGGCAGTAATGACACTCCAGGTGTGTTCTCTATTTCAAATCCACTATAACTGCTTATTGAACAATTTATTTTAGGAATTTTAGAAAACAGAAATGAAGTAAGTTTTAATGAAGAACACTTTAAAAACCATTGTTCTATGCTAAGTTAAGAACTAGATACTACCGCCGGGCGCGGTGGCTCATGCCTGTAATCCCAGCACTTTGGGAGGCCGGGGCAGGCGGATCACAAGGTCAGGAGATCGAGACCATCCTGGCTAACACGGTGAAACCCTGTCTCTACTAAAAATACAAAAAATTAGCCGGGCATGGTGGCAGGTGCCTGTACTCCCAGCTACTCGGGAGGCTGAGGCAGGAGAATGGCGTGAACCCGGGAGGCAGAGCTTGCAGTGAGCGGAGATCGCGCCACTGCACTCCAGCCTGGGTGACAGAGCGAGACTCTGTCTCAAAAAAAAAAAACTAGACACTACCGTTCATTAATTGCAGTACCAATAACATCATCTCAGAGAGAAAGTGATCTCCAATACAACAGTAGTCAAAGAACAGAACTTCCCAGAAACTGACCTCCAACTGGATTTACGATGCTATGATTCTTCTTTGATAAAAACACATGACACAGCCAGGTGCGGTGGCTCAAGCCTGTAATCCCAGCCCTTTGGTAGGCCAAGGAGGGAGGATCACCTGAGGTAAGGAGTTCGAGACCAGTCTGGCCAACATGGCAAAACCCTGTCTCTACTAAAGACACAAAAATTAGCTGGGCATGGTGGTGGGCGCCTGCAATCCCAGCTACTTGGGAGGCTAAGGCAGGATAATCGCTTGAACCCAGGAGGCGAAGCCTGCAGTGAGCCGAGATCGCACCACTTTACTCCAACCTGAGTGACAGAGTGAGACTCCGTCTCAAAAAACAAAACAAAACAAACAAACAAAAAACCAAAAAAAACACAACATCTGAATTCCCCTTCATTGTAAATCCATCCACATTAATAAATTATAGACCTCAAAGAAAGTTAATACAAAATTAATCCATAAACTTTTTACCTACTACCTTAAGTGATACATTTTCATCATTGTAGATTTTAAATAAAATATAAAAGAGGACAAATTCTATTATTTCCCTTCCACAATAGTAAGACAAAGGTAGAAAAAAATAAACAGACAGACACACACACACACACACACACACACACATAAACCTATTAGCTATTGCCTAAGGATCTGAAAAGGGAAGACGTAACATGTCTTACGTATTTCAATGATTAATGCTGTATTTAACATTAGGAAAAACATCAGCACCAGAAGAACCAATACAGTTGAAGAGTAAATCCTTACAAAATCCACATATTACTCTTAAAATTTGTTCCTGATTATATTCTTATTCACATTGAAAGTGTCTTTTATATTTGTTGAAGAACAAAAGAAAAAACTAAATAAAAAATGGGATTTATATTCCTGTTAAAATAAAAGATTACCAAAGAAAATACAAAATAGGAGGCAAGAGTCTGCTTGCAGGTTTAAACCTGATCATTTTGTAAGCCCTAATAGTTAACTCATTCAATAAATATCTATTAAACATCTATCATTTACCAAGCACCAAATTTTGAGGTAAAGGAATTTAGCATGTATTGTTTCAAATTATTTCAGTTCTACAAAGTTCTCCTATTGGAAACATCTAGATGTTTAGAAACAATACGCCTTACCATCCATTTTGCACTTAAAAAACACTTCTTAAAGAGGAGTAGAGACAGGAACCAGGATTTTTGTCTATAGGTGTGGTTATCATACGAGTACTCCTCTCCCCCAAAAGATAAAATCCAGGCTGTCTTTTAAATCAAGAGCATACATATTGCTTACTAAAGCATCCCAGTCTACGTGACATTCATAACTGACAAAAGTATCTTGCAACCTCATTAATTAATAGCCATTTTCAGACATTTGCTCAATCTCTCCATCTGCTACGGTGGACATCTGGAGCCCCAGTGTGTAGAAACCCACCTTTAAACAGCTGCAGAAGTAATGACACCTAGGAAAGGATGGATTCCTATTCATTTTCTTCGGTATCTTCAAGATTGCACAGGTTGTTGTATTTGTTTTTAGGTTTGTTTGTTTTCTTGTTAACTAAATGACCAAGAGCAAGATTTGACTTAAATTGCTTCAATTGATTATGTGCCCGTGGAGATGCATACACAAAGAATTCCACCTCAAACTGCCAAGAAAAACTCAATCCTTCCATACCATTCCATAAAAGATAGACTTAGAGGACAAGTCCCCTTGTATTCTTACTACTAAACAGATAAATCAAGAAAAAGGGACAGAGGCATCAATGGGTGATCTAAAGCATTCATAAAAGCATACGATCGTGATAAAGCACAATCAGTGACTTGCTAGGGGGAACAGGCAAATAAATAAATAATAAATACATAAGTTTCTTCAAGTCTTGGATCCCCTAGTGTTTTGTGCTCCTGGAGCCACTCCCAGCTGCGCTGGCTTCTCTTTGTGCGAGGCTCAGGGAGGCTCCGTCCACTGGGAGATTGCTCTGCAGTGACTGCAAGGCTGGTCAGCACTGGAGGAACCAAATCCCTTCAACAGCCAGACCGTTGACTAAGCAAAGTTACTCTAATTAGCCATCCTTTCTCAATTCCATTACAGCCCTAAGCAAAAACTACAGACATGTTTTGATGGGTAGAGCAAATGTCTGATGCAACTGAATGTACTGGCAGCTATGAAAATGTCTTAATCACTTTCAAACATGAAGCAAATTCCTGGAGGAAGGAATCTAAATTTGCCACTCATTCCTGGCTCTATTAGCAAGCACTTGCAATCAGTGACTATAACCACCAGGACACCTTGCTATTAAAATGAACTTTTACACAATTTTAGCTTTGCTACATTTAAATTTTATTCAAGATTTTTTTTTAAAGGGTGTTCAGGAACATGGAAAGATTTTTTATTTAAGTACAAGATTTTTTGTTCTACACTGAAAATTGCATTTCAAGGTCTCCTTAGGCTCAAAACTACACCAAAAGTATGTTTACACACAAAACTCCAATCTGATCAATGTGTTAACCAACAACTGTTAGACCAAGGCAAACAAATGCTTAGTGGTGACATCTATTAATAATTATGTTCAGTCTAATTTTTATTTACCAGCGATTTTCTTTCTGCAAAGATAAATGCTAACCAATTAAATGGAACCAGTCTGGATGTCCAGATGATAAGAACAACTTTCCAGATCAACGAGGTATTCAATTGATTTCATCAGCATAAAACCATTCAACAAAAATAAGCATAAAAACAGCCTTTCTGCAATCCCACACTGGAGTGGAAAATACAAAGGCACCACTTGGCGGCTAAGTCATACATTTGATGGAAGGAAAATGATACGCAGGTGGTCCTGCTGACAACAGATGGTAGGAAAATAATCCCAAAAAACCTTACTCCTTCCAGTGATCATGCCATCGTAAAAGATTTCTCATTTTTAACATCCAAATTCCTAAATCAATGTAAAATGTATTAAAGTATTCTGATAAAAAAAGACTGTCAATGATTCACCCAAATGTCTTCTACAACAAAATACGAACATGAGAAAGGTGACGTCTGCTATCGTGGAATTTCTGAGTGAAGGTCTCAGTCACGCTGTTTTGTTGACCACCTTCTTGGAGGGTAGATTTGTTTTTCATAATCCATTCTTCTACAGATTTTTTTTCCCCTTTTCTAGATGGAAAATGTACAATTTTAGGGCATCTGTTACTCTGAGGGCTCAACATCCCGAAAGCAAATAGCATTGGAAACCTCAGCCTTTTAAACTCCAGGGACACCATCAAGCCCCAGCCTCTCTCGAATGCAAACCTCTCGCCTTTCAAATGTGTTTTCCAGACACAGCAAGCAAGAGCTGGGAAGAAAAACGGTTTAGATCCCCTTGCTGGGGAACAGAAACAGTGGTTGGGGAGTACAACCAGTGTCACCACGTTATCACATATGGGTCAAACATGTTTGTGAGAAAAATTACAATTAAAAAAAAATTTTTTTTTTGAGACAGGGTCTTGCTCTGTCACCCAGGCTGAAGTGCAGTGGCGCGATCACGGCTCACTGCAGCCTCGACCTCCCAGGCTCAATCGATCCTCCCGCCTCAGCCTCCCAAGTAGCTGGGACTTCAGGAATGTGCCATCAGGCCTGGTTAATTTTTATATTTTTTGTAGAGGTGGGGTTTCACCCATGTTGCCGAGGCTGGTCTCCAACTCCTCAGCTCAAGTGATCCATCTGCCTCGGCCTCCCAAAGTGCTGGGATTACAGGAATGAGTTACCTAGCCCAGTGACAATTAGAAATTCTTACCTCCATTTTTATACTACTGTTTCTATGACCTTGAGGTTTTCTCAAAAATGCCTTTGAAGTTAGAAACTGCCTATAAAATTGTGAGATGCCCCCAACTCACAAACACTCCTTTTTTCTAAGAACACACAAAAGTGATAATGGTTGTGTTAAATAGGAACTTCTATTTTTTGTTATATTTTTAAATCTTTCTATAATTTCTAATTTCCATACTTACAATGCTTAAAGATCCCTACCTTCTCAAGGACAGAACTTTTTTGCATGATTTAATTCATGACTTTCTTCAGGAAAACATTCCCAACAAAATGTTTCTGATACACTTTAACGAAATCATGATCTATAATTTTAAACCACTTCCCTACTACCCAACCCCCCCACCTCCTCCACCATCACCACACCCCCAGGTGATCTTCAAGAACTGAAGGTAGGCCGGGTGCAGTGGCTCACGCCTGTAGTCCCAGCACTTTGGAAGACCAAGGCAGGTGGATTGCTTGAGCCCAGGAGTTCCAGACCAGCATGGGCAAAATGGTAGAACCCATCTCTACAAAAAGAATACAAAAATCAGCAGGGCGTAGTGGCATGCCCCTGCCCCTGTAGTCCCAGCTACTTGGGAGGCTGAGGTGACAGGATTGCCTAAGCCCAAGAGGCAGAGGTTGCAGTGAGCCGAGATTGCGCCACTGCCCTCCACCCTGGGCAAAAGAGCAAGATCCTGTCTCAAAAAAAAAAAAAGAACTGAGGGAAACCATTTTGACCTCATTCTTTTTTGTTTTTGTTTTTGAGACAGAGTCTTGCTCTGTCGCCCAGGCTGGAGTGCAGTGGTGCAATCTCGGCTCACTGCAACCTCCACCTCCTGGGTTCATGCGAGTCTCCTGCCTCAGTTTCCCGAGTAGCTGGGATTACAGGCGCACGCCACCATACCCGGCTAATTTTCATATTTTTAGTAGAGACGGAGTTTTCACCATGTTGGTCAGGCTGGTCTTGAACTCCTGACCTCATGATCCACCCGCCTCAGCCTCCCAAAGTGCTGGGATTACAGGCGTGAGCCACTGCGCCCAACTGGCCTCATTCTTTTAACTAGTCTAAAAGTAACCACCTAGCCATTCTTTTTCCATTAAATATGTCTACCAAAAGAGTCTTTGAACTGGCCTGCTGGAGGTCTCTTTCCTTAAGTTTGACATAAAAGTTGGAAATACGTTCAATAACTTCATTGTTGGAAAAAAGATGTTTAACTTTTAAGGGAAAACAAAGGGAGAGATGAGGGTAAAAGGAAAAAGCTCACCTATATGGAAGAATGCCAGATGGAGAAATATAGAAAAGAATAACAGATGAGAAAGTCACCATTTCACAGTGATTTACGCGAGAGTCATCACTGGATGTGAATATACTGGCAATGGAATCACCGGTATGAAACTACCATAGTACCCCACAGGGAAACTCAGCCCTTACTAGCATCTAACAGTCAAACTCAGTATCAGCAATAACAGGAGGGACAGGCATTGTCTGTGATTGCTGGTGTGATACAACAGTAAAGACTCACTATCACCGCACCATCACGACAGCATCACCTAAGTGGTATTCTTGCTAAGAATGTCCAGCCTGGGCGGGGCGCGGTGGCTCACGCCTATAATCTCAGCACTTTGGGAGGCCGAGGCAGGCGGATCACAAGGTCAGGAGATCCAGACCATCCTGGCTACCACGGTGAAACCCCATCTCTACTAAAAATACAAAAAATTAGCCAGGTGTGGTGGCAGGCGCCTATAGTCCCAGCTACTCAGGAGGCTGAGGCAGAAGAATGGTGTGAACCCGGGAAGCGGAGCTTGCAGTGAGTTGAGATTGCACCACTGCACTCCAGCCAGAGCAAGACTCTGTCTCAAAAATAAAACAATGTCCAGCCTGAATCTAATCATAGATAAATCTGACAAATCCACTACATAAGACAACTGGCCTGGGCTCTTTATAAAAATAAATCTCATGGGTTGGGTGCGGTGCCTTACACCTGTAATCCCAGCACTTTGGGAGGCCAAGGCGGGTGGATCACTTGAGGCCAGGAGTTTGAGACCAGCCTGGCATGGTAAAACCCTGTCTCTACTAAAAATACAAAAATGAACAGGGCGTGGCAGCACATGCCTGTAATCCCAGCTACTGGGGAGGCTGAGGCAGGAAAATCACTCAAACCCAGGAGGCAGAGGTTGCAGTGAGCCGAGGTTGCAGTGAGCCGAGATCATACAACTGCACTCCAGCCTGGGAGACAGAGTGAGACTCCATCTCTATCTATCTATCTATCTATCTATCTATCTATCTATCTATCTATCATCTCATGAAAAACAGGAAGGCAAAGGGAGTACGAAAAACAGAAAGGCAAAGGGAGTATTCTAGTTTAAGAAACTAGAAAAGAAACATGACCAAATGCAATTTGGTTATATGCTGGACCCCACTGTTTTTTTTGTTTTTTTTTTTTTTTGAAACAGGGTCTCACTGTGTCACTCAGGCTGGAGTGCAGTGATGCAATCATAGCTCACTGCAGCTTCAAACTCCTTGGCTCAAGGGATCCTTCCACCTAGTCCTCCTAAGTAGCTAGGACTACAGGCCTGCACCACCACACTGGGCTAATTTCTTGTATTTTATTTTTATAGAGCTGAAGTCTCATTACGTTGCCCAGGCTAGTCTTGGACTCCTCACCTCAAGTGATCATCCCACCTCAGCCTCCCACAGCGCAGGGATTACAGCATGAGCCACCATGCCTGGCCAGGACCCAATTTTTAAAGCAGGTATAAAATATATTTAAGGTTAACAGAGGAAGTTTGAATACGAACTCTATCTTAGATGATATCATTAAATTAACGTTGGGCTGGGTGTGGTGGCTCACGCCTGTAACCCCAGCACTTTGGGAGGCCGAGGTGGGTGGATCATTTGCAGTCAGGAGTTCGAGACCAACCTGGCCAACATGGTAAAACCCCGTCTCTACTAAAAATACAAAAATTAGCTGGGCGTGGTGGCAAGCGCCTGTAATCACAGCTACTCAGGAGGCTGAGACATGAGAATCACTTGAACCCGGGAGGCAGAGGTTGCAGTGAGCCGAAATCGCACCACTGCACTCCAGCCTGGGCGACAGAGCTGAGACTCTGTCTCAAAAATACACAAATAAATAAAATCAATTAATGTTAAAGTTTTTCAGTTGTGGGCTGGGGGCGTGTAGTGGCTCGCACATGTAATCCCAGCACTTTGGGAGGCCGAGGTGGGCGGATTGCTTGACCTCAGGAGTTCAAGACCAGTCTGGGCAATATAGTGAGACCCCATCTCTACAAAAAATACAAAAATTAGCTGGACTTGGTGGCACAGGCCTGTAGTCCCAGCTACTCCGGAGGCTGAGGTGGGAGGATCACATGAGACTGGCAGGCAGAGGCTGCAGTGAGCTGAGATCATTCCATTTTACTGTAGCCTGGGCGACAGAATGAGAACCTCTCAAAAAAAAAAAAAAAAGTTTCTTCGTTGTGATAATGGCACTGGGGGTAAGCAGAAGAATGTAGGGATATATTCCCAGGAGACGATGCTGAACTATCTGGGAGTGAAGTGTCTGATATCTAAAACTTACTCTAAAAAAGTTCAGCAACAACAAAAAGGATGCAAACAGGAGAAAGAAAGCAAAGATGGCAAAAAGATTCTGACCTGTAACTAACAGAAGAAACTGCTTCGGCATATTTGGTGGGAAACATACTTAACCAACCACCAGCAAACCTCCTCACCATCACCCCTCCCTACCATGGAGACATTTTATTATTTTAGCAACTAACTCCCCAAACTAGAAGCAGTAACTCTATCCAAATACTAAATTAGAACTCTAAGAACTGTTATTCAGAAGCCAGAGAAGTCTGCTTCGATTGCTACGAGTGCATAATGCTCACTTGGATTCATCATGATGTCTGTCATATACACATTCATTTCAGAAGTCATTTTTAATTTTTAGCTTTAGTTTGGCATACGAGACTACCAGATATTTCATTCACTAAAAGCAAAAGGGATCCACACAATTAGCTATCAGGGAAATGCACATCAAAACCACAGTGAGATGCCACTTCACACTCACTAGGATGTCTCTAACCAAAAGGGCAGATAACAAGTGTTACCAAGGATATAGAGAAATTGGAACCCTCAAACACTGCTGGTTAGAATTTAAAATGGTGCAGCTGCTTTGGAAAAGTCTGCCAGTTCCTCAAGAGGTTAAACAAAGGGTTAACATACAGCAATTTCATTTCTAGATAAATACCCAAGAGAAATGAAAACATTTACGTTCAGGCAAAGAATTGTACATTAGTGTTCATAGCAATATTATTCATGACAGCCAAAAGGTGGAAGCAACCCCAATGCCAATGTCTATCAACTGCTGCATGGATAAATAAAACGTAGGATATATCCATACAACGGAATATTATACAGCAGTTTAAAAAACCAGCTGGGCTCAGAGGCTCACGCCTGTAATCCCAGCACTTTGGGAGGCCGAGGCGGGCAGATCACCTGAGGTTGCGAGTTCAAGACCAGCCTGACCAACATGGAGAAATTCCATCTCTACTAAAAATACAAAAAATTAGCCCAGCGTGGTGGTGCATGCCTGTAATCCCAGCTACTCGGGAGGCTGAGGCAGGAGAATCACTTGAACCCAGGAGGCGGAGGTTGCAGTGAGCCAAGATCTCGCCACTGCACTCCAGCCTGGGCAACAAGAGCGAGACTGTCTCAAACAACAACAACAACAAAACAGGAAGTACTGATGTACGCTATAACATGGATGAATCTTGCAAACACCATAATAAATGAAAGCCAGACACAAAAGGCCACATATTGTATGATTCCATTGATACAAAATGTCCAAAATAGGCAAATCCATAGAGAGACAGATTTGGCTCTGTGGTTACTGGGAATGAGGGGAGTGGGAAATGCAGAGTGACGGCTACTGGGTATGGGGTTTCTTTGGGGAGTGAAAATGTTCGAAGATCATGACAGTTATGCAACTCTGTAAACATGCTAAAAACCACTGAGTTGTACTCTTTAAATGGTGAATTGTACAGTACGTGAATTATTATCTTAACAAAGTTATCTGAAAAACCTGGAAGAATTAATACTTTTCCAGCAATTGAGACTAGGAAAATATCTCAGAGGAAGAGTGCTCGGAGGCAAAGTGATCCAGAGATATCTTCCTGGGGTAAATGTATCTGCTCCAGAGTATTCATTTCCTATTAATCATAAACAAGAACTACAATGGAACTACAATGCCTCTTGAGTTGAGCAACACTGAAGTGTCATGGCAAATCAGATTCAAGTGCTGTTGATTCCTAAAGGAAATAAAATACATTCTTTAATTATGAAATCCTCCCCAGATGTCTTGGCAAGTTCTATGAAAGAAAGAAGTTCCTTTTCCACTAAATTTGGAGAAGACAAACAGGATGACAAACAAGTCTAAAATGCTATTGAGAAAAATTCTGCACTGAATAATAAAAAATTTTAGAAAAAAATATAAAATTGAAATACACACAAAAAAACTGAAAATGCCACTGACATTTTGGGATTATCATCCATCCTTGAATGGGACCGTTACTAATGGGCTACAGCTGTCTTCAAAAAGACCTGCCTCAAAATTTTAAAAAAGCCACTTGTACTGTCTACATTCAACTGTCCACAGAAAACTTTTGTGAGAAAGATTTCACCTAAGACTGAACATCTTTCATCTTGACCATGAGATTTAATCATTAGATATTAAATGTTTCTCACACCTGGTTTAAGCCCAATTTTCAACTTTCCCTCTGTAATATTAAAGTAAGGGTTTAGATGTTGATTAAAAAAAAAAAAAAAAAAAAAAAAAAAAAAAAAACAGGCCGAGCACGGTGGCTCATGCCTGTAATCCCAGAAATTTGGGAAGCCAAGGCGGGTGGATCGCTTGAGGACAGGAGTCCCAGATCAGCCTGGCCATCATGGTGAAACCCCGTCTCTACAAAAAATACAAAAATTAGCTGGGCATGGTGGCACATGCCTGTAGTCCCAACTAACTCAGGAGGCTGAGGCAGGAGAATCACTTGAACCCAGGAGGCAGAGGTTGCAGTGAACTGAGATCAGGCTGCTGCACTCCAGTGTGGGTGACACAGTGAGAATCTGTCTTAAAGAATTTAAAAAAACTCAAACAAACAAAAAACCACAAGTCTTTTCCAAAATGGAAACGTTACATAGAATTGGAAGTTTCCATATAATATGGGTATTTGGTTAGAAGTCTTATCTTCCCTTGTAAGCAAAAAGAACAGATTCATGCTAAATCTAGTTTTATATAGCTGCCAAGTGTTATTTTTGCCTTAAATACATATATTTGAGAACATATAGTCACACTATTTTTTTGTTTGTTTGTTTTGAGACGGAGTTTCACTCTTGTTGCTCAGGCTGGAGTGCAATGGCGTGATCTCAGCTCACCGCAACCTCTGCCTCCCGGGTTCAAGCAATTCTTCTGCCTCAGCCTCCCAAGTAGCTGGGATTACAGGCACGTGCCACCACGCCTGGCTAATTTTGTATTTCTAGTAGAAATACAAAAATACATCTCCATGTTGGTCAGGCTGGTCTCGAACTCCCGACCTCAGGTGATCCGCCTGCCTTCGCTTCCCGAAGTGCTGGGATTACAGGCATGAGCCACCCCACCCAGCAGTCACACTGTTTTAATAACGGTTACTTGTGGGTCCCGTGAGGGTTCCTAGATCCAGCTTAGAAGGAAAAGATAAAATGGGAGTTGGGGATGGAAGGGTATGGCATCTGTCAGGTAGGAAGGTGACACTCAAGGAGCATGCATAGGAGTCAGGGCAACTGAAGAGGGCACAAGGACGATGACCATTCAGCCCACTCTATCAGCAAACGCCGAGAGAGACAGGTTTGGGTGCCTGAGGAACGATGTCTGTCTCCCGGCAATGGAAAAATCCGGTGAAGAAACCACATCCACCTTCCATGGAACCTTTCACACTGTAACTTCCTGCCATTATCCCTGCTATTTTTTGCCTATGAAAAGCCTTCATTAACCATAGTGATACATAGCGATGGTGTCTTTTTATGGCTACATTCTAGAAATGTAATAGGTCCTGAAAACAGGGATCAGAAATGGTAAATAATAACTATAGACACAAAATCTTGTTGTTTGTTCTACATATCTATGACTGTCTTTGCAAAAATCGTCAGAGGAAATGGATTGGTGCTCTGAAAACCACCCAATAGCCCTACTCCACACCCCACCCTCTCTCTGTTGGCCAGGGTTTGGCATTCTGTGGACTCTTCCACACTGTGATGTGTCTACTGATGCTTTGACAACTGTCTCTCAAACAGCTGAAAACTGAATGAGTCTTTTAAGGTCCAAAATCTACATGTCTGACTTTAATGCAGCAATGCCTGACATTAAAATGTGACTATGTCAATTAAGTACAATAGTCCAAATAGATGCTGACTGGTGCAAACAACAGTATGGTGTTATTTCTATTAATATGGCATAAGAGTCTATTCAAAATGCTCTATATTAACCACCTTCTCACAGTTGAGATTACAGTGAATATAAAATCAATTAAACTCCCAGCTAATTTTTAACCTTCTCCCCTACTTATAAGCTATATTCTCCCTCATCCTCAATTCCTTCCCGTTGATCTGTCTGCTGGTTTTTTTTTACAAAATCTCAAGAAAGAGAAATGAAAGTTTTGAAAAGATGAAACAATCTAAAACCCTATCATTCCAACACTTTGTGATTTTCATGTTCTCCTTTTTTTTTTTTTTTTTTTTTTTTTTGAGATGGAGTCTCGCTCTGTCCGCCAGGCTGGTGCAGTGGCGCGATCTCGGCTCACGGCAGGCTCCACCTCCCGGGTTCACGCCATTCTCCTGCCTCAGCCTCCTGAGTATCTCCTTTCAACCTTCAGCCACATACATGCGTTTTTTAAATACAATTACTATTGTGGAATACAGTTTTGCATATTTTCCCATTTCACAGCCATAAACATTTCTCCTAGTAGCTAAAATTTCTCCTGTGCCCCTGAATGACAATGATCAGGTATATGTACCATACATGATTCACTGAACTGATCTTTCAACATCTTCGACAAGGCTATGGCAAACATTTGTAACAAACATTTTATGGAATACAGTTTTCCTTCCCCTGTGTTATTTATTTGTTGAATTTCCAGAATTAGCAGCACTGGAGCAAAGGATATGAACACTTATATGGTGAGACATGTTGCCAAATTGCTTTATAATTCGATCTTCTAAAATGCACAGGAATTGATGCATTTCATCAGGGTGTTTTTCTTCTATTCTACCTAGACTCCTCCCTCCTCTGTCCTTCCACAGATCCAGTGCCTTCCTCCTTACGCCATCTTCAAGTCTGACTGCTCTGCTGCACTGAGAGCTAACACTGTCTTTCCTCTTTATACCAAAATGCTGGCACCATATCTAAGTTTGAAAAATATTTAAATAGGAGTAGTGAAAGAAATAAGCAATGACAGAAGATAATTGAAGTAAAGATCAAAAAATTTAAAAAAGAAAGAAGAGAAAAATATGTGATCCAGCATCAGCTATCTATCCTAACTTTTAACTTTTTAAATCATTTGTCACTTTGAGATGTCCGTCTTCACTTCTCATGCAAGTTGATAAAGAATTAACCCTGGCAAGGCCAAGGAGAGTTTTACAGCAGACAGCTCTGACCAGGATGATCAATTACATTTATTCCAGATATTTTGATCAGCCCACATTTAGACAGAGCTGCTGAATGACTCAATTTTGTCAAATCACTTTGGTGAAATGCAGAATCACCATCATCAGTCCAGTCCCCCAAATCCTGGAGTCCAGGAACCTGAAAACAACAACAAAAAGACCAACTAAAGGAAGAACGAAAAGAATATTACATAAATGTCATTGTTGGGCTCATCCTTAGTGAACCCACACTGACTCCTAACGATCACCAATTTCTTTTCTCACACAGTTGTTGAGTAATCCACTGAAGCCCAGGAAGGTTATTATAATCATCATTAACTATGGTTCCTCTGGTGACAGACTGATGAGGGATGGATGGGAAAGGACAAAGAGCAGCTTTTATATACCTTTGCATGTACTGTTAGATTTTTAACAAGCATTATTATTCTTGACTTTTAAAATATTGAATTTAAACTAAGTGGTCCTTTTTCCCTAAAGGTATAATACTGTATGTTTATTTTCTTTTTTCAAGTTGGTTTTCTTCTGTTATGTTTTAAATCTACTGGATTGAAGTCAGTTTAGCTAATTGATTTCCTGGGTCACTATATCCCTACAGTGACTATTTAAAGTTCAAAGAGCAATAGCAGTTCCCTTCCTACATTCTGATTTTTGGACCATTTTTAGAATGGGCTAGCTGAATTCCTGCAAAGGAAAAGTTTTAAGCAGTCATATGAACATAAGTCAGACCAGTTAACAAATATCTGCTTCCAGTTGTTCAATAACACTTTTCAACTAAGAATGCTTTGATTACTAAAACCCACTGACCTGTACACTTTAAAGGGGTAAACTATATGGTATGTGAGTTACAGTATCTCAGTAAAGCTATTGCAAAAAAAAAAAAAAGAGGCTTGATTTACATGTATAAATTTAACTTTGTCCCTAAGATATAAACTTTTTTTTTTTTTTTGAGACGGAGTCTCGCTCTGTTGCCCAGGCTGGAGTGCAATGGCGTGATCTTGGCTCACTGCAACCTCCACCTCCTGGGTTCAAGCAATTCTCCCGTCTCAGCCTCTCGAGTAGCTGGGATTATAGGCACCCACCATCATGCCCGGCTAATTTTTTGTCTTTTTGTCAAGAAAGGGTTTCACCAGTTGGTCAGGCTGCTCTTGAACTCCTGACCTCAGGTGATCTGCCCACCTCAGCCTCCGAAAGTGCTGGGATTACAAGCGAGAGCCACTGCGCCCGGCCAACATAAACTTTTAGACAAAAATTATTTTCCCACAGATTTAAGCTTTCAACAAAATCATCCTTTGCAAATGAATGAGATGTTTGAAGCTAAATTAATTTATTTTTGTCAAAAACATTACAGATATATTACCTAAAAATGTACCTCTAATATGAATTTTTACATCATACTATTTATCTTTAATTCTTTTTTTTTTTTTTTGAGATGAAGTCTCACACTCTCACCCAGGCTGGAGTTCAGTGATACGATCTTGGCTCACTGCAACCTCTGCCTCCCGGGTTCAAGCGATTCTCCTGCCTCAGCCTCCTGAGTAGCTGGGATTACAGATGCCTGCCACCACACCTGGCTAATTTTTCTATTTTTAGTAGAGACGGGGTTTCTCCATGTTGGTCAAGCTGGTCTCAAACTCCTGACCTCAGGTGATCCACCCACCTCGGCCTCCCAAAGTGCTGGGATTACAGGTGTGAGCCACTATGCCCAAGCTTTTTTTTTTTTTTTTTTTTAAGAGGTGGGGTCTTGGCCAGGTATATCTTATTCTTTTATGATGTCAGTGGCACTTTGAGCAAAACTAATAATTTGCTTTAAACATACTAGTTTTAGAGCCAGCAGGCTTTGGCCTCTTGTCCTCAAGGAATGTCAGCAGTTCATTCACGTCTCCTTCCCAAGGCCGCACCCTGCTCCACTTTCATCTTGGCATGCTTGGATATTGAGCCCCAGCCAAGCGGATGTTCTCCATTCTCTTCCTTTCTTTTATTCAATCCCTTCTGCATACCATTAGCTTTCCTCATGAAACAGTGCCCCCTCCACCTGCCCCAAGCTGGAGAGTGCATTGACAGGGATGAGAACAGACAGTGTAGATTTGAGCTGGGTGGGCTCAGCTTAAAGGGGCAAGACAATGAAGTAGAGGCATCCTAGGTGGAGAGATGCAGAGGTTTGGGATTCATCAGCACATAGATGTAATGGAAGCCAAGAACATCGGTAAGATCTCTCAAGAGCTGGGCGTGTTGGCTCATGCCTGTAATCCCAGCACTTTGGGAGGCTGAGGCAGGAGGATCACCTGAGGTCAGGAGTTCGAGACTAGCCTGGCCAACATGGTGAAACCCTGTCTCTACTAAAAATACAAAAATTAGCCAGGTGTGGGTGCGGATGCCTGTAATCACAGTTACTCAGGAGGCTGAGACAGGAAAATTGCTTGAACCCAGGAGGCGGAAGTTGCAGTGAGCAGAGATCACGCCATTGCACTCCAGCCTGGGCAACAGAGTGAAACTCAAAAAAATAAAAATAAAAAAGAAAAGAAAAGAAAATCTCTCAAGAGAGTATAGTGAGTAAAAATGAAGAATGTGAACTGAAGAAGGAATTTATTATTATCTGTTGAATGGATGTTTCAACAACCAGTTTTGCATGGATACAGAGTTAGAGGAAGAGTTCTGAGTTAGTGGAAAAGCAAAGCTTTCAGGAAGTTAAGTGGTAATTCTCCTGCCACTAAGTTACCTAGACTCTCACAAAATCATAGTGAGAGTCAAAGAGAAAAATTAAGGCCCAGAAGTGGTGACTCATGCCTGTAATCCCAGCATTTTGGGAGGCCAAGGCAGGGGGATTGCTTGAGCCCAAGAGTTGGAGGCCAGCCTGGGCAACATAGCAAGACCCTATCTCTCAAAAAATGTATAAATTAGCCAGGCATGGTGGTACATGCCCATAGTCCCAGCTACTCAGGAGGCTGAGGTGGGAGGATTGCTTGAGATCAGGAGATTGAGGCTGCAGTAAGCTAGGATTGCACTACTGCACTCCAGCCTGGGCAAGAGTGACACCCATCTATAAAAAACAAAATAACCCCCGAAAAGGAAAGAAATCCAAAGGTTAACTTAACTTCAGCTAATCAACTACCTTTTACATGCAGGCAAAGAAAATGTGCTTGAACTCTGGAGTATAAGGGAATTGAGACCCAGAAAACCTTAGATTTGAAGTTGTAGAATGTCTCTCTTAGCTTTGAAAAAAGAACAGCAGGAGGGACCAAGCAGGCCTGTGAGATGGTCTTCACTGGTGAAACAGTCCTAAGGAAGGCTTCAGCATGATGCTCCCTGTACTAAGTCTATTATTTTGTGATAAAAATTACAAAAAGCTTTAGGAATTTTCTTCTTTTTGGGGGTGGGGAGGGAAGAAGAAAAACAAAGATCTTCTAAACTTTAGTTAATTCATGCCAGATATTCACTTGCTAAAAATGAAAATGCCAACAAATGAAGTGTTTGAACTTGAAGTTTTTGAACTTCAAGTGTTTGAACTTGAAGTTGAAGTCATTTAGCCATGTTTCTGATGCAGACAGAATTCCCAAAATAAAAGCCAACCTGATAATGGGATAAATTTAGAGCCAAAGGACAATCATATATAAATATGATCAAGATTCTGTAGTCTGCATTTCTTAGAGGACACCCAAGGTGTGGGAAAGTTGACTGCATTATGTAGACATTTATCTGAGGCCATGACACCGCACTACGTGAAAAAGTACTTAAAATAAACAAAAGCAATGAGCAGAGCTTTTATTTATTACTACATGCACTGACTGAACAGAAGAAGAACGTGTAGCAGACCAGCAAGAAAACATCTAAAAACCATTGTTTTGGGCCGGGCGCAGTGGCTCATGCCTGTTATCCCAGCACTTTGGGAGGCCGAGGCGGGTGGATCACCTGAGGCGGGTGGATCACCTGAGACCAGTGTGACCAACATGGAGAAACCCCATCTCTACTAAAAATACAAAAAATTAGCCGGGCATGGTGGCACATGCCTATAATCCCAGCTACTCGGGAGGCTGAGGAAGGAGAATCTCTTGAACCTGGGAGGCGGTTCAAGATCTCGCCATTCCACTCCAGCCTGGCTGACAGAGTGAGTCTCTGTATCAAAAAAAATTTTTAAAAATAACAACTCAGCCACCCACTTGCATTAATTTATTCACTAGTCATTCATTTGCTATTACTTTGCTCCCATGTGAGTTTTTTAAATTATTATCTTAACAGGCTAAATTGCTATCTTAACAGGAGGTTGCAGTGAGCCGAGCTCACGCCATTGCACTCCACCCTGGGGAACAAGAGTGAAACTCCATCTCATAAATAAATAAATAAATAAATAAATAAATAAATAAATAAAATAATAAAAACCACTGTTGTTCTTGTTTGTTTTTGAGATGGAGTCTGGCTCTGTCGACAGGCTGGAGTGCAATGGCATGATCACGGCTCACTGCAACCTCCACCTCCCGGGTTCAAGTGATTCTCCTGACTCAGCCTCCTAAGCAGCTGGGCTTACAGGCACCCGCCATAATGCTCGGCTAATTTTTGTATTTTAAAGACGGGGTTTGTATTTTTTAGAGACGGGTTGTATTTTTGCGTGGTCTCGAACTCCCGACCTCAGTTGATCCACCCGCCTCTGCCTCCCAAAGTGCTGGGATTACAGGAGTGAGCCACTGTGCCCAGCCAAACCATTGGTTTTTATTTTATTTTATGGGTTTTTTTTTAGATGGAGTCTCATTCTGTCATCCAGGCTGTAGTGCAGTGGCACAATCTCGGATCACTGCAACCTCTGCCTCCCGGTTCAAACGATTCTCCTGCCTCAGCCTCCTGAGATTGCAGGCGCCCACCACCACGCCCAGCTAATTTTTAGTAGAGATGGGGTTTCGCCATGTTAACCAGGCTGGCCTCGAACTCCTGACCTCAGGTGACCCACCCACGCTGGTCTCCCAGAGTGCTGGGATTACAAGCATGAGCCACTGAAGCCGGCCAAACCATTGGTTTTTAGATGCCAACCCTCAAGATGCAACCTGAGGAGTGAAGGATAAGGGAATGCACAGGTGCATGCTGGAAGAAAAAGAGTTTAGGAAAAGTATGGAGGAATATAAACAGAGGGTCCTGAGTCACAGGGCTCCAGGGTGCAGTGGCACGATCTCGGCTCACTGCAACCTCCACCTCCCCGGTTCAAGCGATTCTCCTGTGTCAGCCTCCCGAGCAGCTGGGACTACAGGTGCGCACCACCACACTCAGCTAATTTTTGTATTTTTAGTAGAGACAGGTTTCACATATTGGCTAGGTTGGTCTCGAACTCCTGACCTCAGGTGATCCGCCCACTGGGGGCCTCCCAAAGTGCTGGGATTACAGGCATGAGTCACTGCACCCAAAATAAAGAGAAAAATGTGCAGTATCAATTCTCGTTTCAGACGTACGATCTGCATCCAAACTCAAAGAGCTCTTACAGCCTGGCATTAGCCACCTCTAAACCATGACGGGCTGGGAGAAGTGAGGACAGGGTCTGAAACAAGGGGCTGGCCTTATTAGATCATCATTCACCATTTACTTGACAGCAGATCTTAGTAATACATCCTGAAATACCTAGGAAGGCAGAGTGCACAGGGATCTTAGGAGCTGTCTGACATCCCAGAAGTTAATAATGAGAGACATCTCCTATTCGGCAGCATAGCCAAGGCCCCTGTCACACTGCAGTGATCTCATCATACCCATGAGCTCCAAGTCTGAGAGCTGCCCAAACAGGAGTGAGACCTCTAGCATTGAACTCAAGAGCGATCGAATCAAAAGCTCCAACTCCTAGTTAAATTTCCACTCTACTGGCTCATTTTAAAAACGGGAATGATACCAGTCACCTCACAAAAGTCATAAACTGTTGGTAACATAGGGAATAGCATGTGTAAGTGCCCAAAAACAACTGCTTGGTACCTAATAAGCACTCAAACCCAATAAACGTTAGCGAACTGACAGTAAGAAAAGAGACTGTATGTTTATATTTCTATATGCACCTGATTCTTTATTAGTTGATTCTCTACAAGTTTCAACCTTGTAATTAACACAAAAATACACAGTAAAACAACTGTGTTAGGAACCCTCAGACACAGGTGGAATGCCCCAAATTGGCTCATCCAATCCCATGTCCTTCATTCACATTGTTAATGCTTTGTGCAAGGAAAAAAAAAAAGAGAAAGTTACATTGAAGAAAAGGGTCGGCTGGGTGCAGTGGCTCATGCCTGTAATCCCGGCGCTTTGGGAGGCTGAGGCAGGTGGATCACTTGAGGCCAGGAGTTCAAGACCAGCCTGGGCAACATGCTGAAACCCCATGTCTACTAAAAAAACAAAAATTAGCTGGGCATGGTGGCATGCAACTGTAGTCCCAGGAACTCGAGGATGAGGCACAAGAATAGCTTGAACCTGGCAGGTGGAGGTTGCAATGAGTCTTGACAGTGCCACT
The DNA here is from genome assembly GCF_000001405.40 of Homo sapiens. Classification (NCBI taxonomy): domain Eukaryota; kingdom Metazoa; phylum Chordata; class Mammalia; order Primates; family Hominidae; genus Homo; species Homo sapiens. The sequence goes on along the minus strand of NC_000006.12, from coordinate 151,259,633 downwards.
GCACTCCAGCCTGGGCAACAGAGTGAGACTCCAATCTCAAAAAAAAAAAAAAAAGGAAAAAAAGGGCCAATAAGTGGGCATATTAAACGTGTGTGTGTGTGTGTGTGTGTGTGTGTGTGTGTATATATATATACATGTATATGTGTGTGTATATATATATATACATGTATATATGTGTGTATATATATACACATATATACACACACATATATATATACATATATAAATATATATGCTATTTTTTAAAAGAAGGAGTACCTAGGAAAATATGTTATTTTAAAAAATATAGGCCGGGCGCCGTGGCTCACACCTGTAATCCCAGCACTTTGGAAGGCCAAGGTGGGTGGATTACCTGAGGTCAGGAATTTGAGATCAGCCCAGCCAACATGGTGAAACCCCATCTCTACTAAAAATTCAAAAAATTAACGGGGCGTGGTGGCAGGCGCCTGTAATCCCAGCTACTTGGGAAGCTGAGGCACAAGAATTGCTTGAACCCAGGAGGTGGAGGTTGCAGTGAGCCAAGATTGTGCCACTGCACTCCAGCCTGGGTGACAGAGCAAGACTCCGTCTCCAATATATATATATACACACATATATTTATTTTGTATAAATATATATATATACACACACACATATATAGATACATTATGTGTATATATACATATATATATAGTGTGTATATAAACACACACACACACACACACACAGGCTGGGCACAGTGGCTCATACCTATAATTCAGCACTTGGGGAGGCTGAGGTGGGCAGATCACTTGAGGTCAGGAGTTCAAGACCAGCCTGACTAACATGGTGAAACCCTGTCTCTACTAAAAATACAAAAATTAGCTGGTGTAGCAGCACACACCTGTAAGCCCAGCTACTCAGGAGGTTGAGGCAGGAGGATCACTTGAACCCAGGAGCCAAGATAGTGCCACTGCACTCCAGCCTGGGCAACAGAGCAAGACCCTGTCTCAAATAAATAAATTAATAAAATAAAATACATATAGTTTAGTAGATATTTATTAAGAAGCAGGAATCAGTAGAATGAGCTCTTCCTCTTTATGTGGCCAAAAGTAATCTTACAAGAATAGCCCTATGTTGATTTTTAGGTTTTACAAAGAAACAACCTTCTTAAAAGTTTAGTTTAGTTACAGTCTCAGAATATAGTTATTTGCTTTTCTATGAGACTGTCAGTGATCAGACTCAAGGAAAAAATAAATCAGTGTCCTTCTCAAGTTCTTCTCCAATGCTGAAAAAAGCCAGCTGGTCAGCTCACAGCAAAGGAATCACAAGCTTTGGGGATTTTTCCCTCTTCATGACCATAAAAAGCAACAAACTCGTGACATTTCCCTTTACTTGTATTTGCCAGAGGAAGAATTTGCAACTCCATTCAAGAAGGCTCTGTGTGACCTTCCCCTGATCTTCGTTCAAGTTCACATACAGTTACAATACCTCCAGTATTCATTGCAGGAGCGGCAGAGAGTTTGAGGACACAATAATCTACAGCTTTTCACTCCACAGTAGTCCAATTGTCTCTGGCCCCAGAAAATATGGTTAAGGGAGAGTTTGTAGGCATAAGTGGCTTGCCCCAGGAGGGTTAGCTCCACATGCAATTACGTGCCATAGAAATTAGTTCTACAAACAGTTGTTACTGGAGACCAAAAAATAAAAACTAAATCTAATGCAAATTATCAGAATTATTTGAACAATGAAATCCATCCAAAGTGTGCTCAATGCAAAAAAATTTTACTTATCCTCATTTTCTACTCCTCTTTCTCTTCCACCCAATCCCCAAAGTATCAGCAAGTCTAGACAGATGTAACTTAATAAGGAGATTAAAAATATGAAATCTTTCATCAGGATAATCTAAGGCACTTCCCACATACTGTAAATTTAAAAGTTGTGACATGCAGCCATAAAAAAGAATAAAATCATGTCCTTTGCAGCAACATGGATGCAGCTGGAGGCCATTATCCTATGCGAATTAAGCCAGGAACAGAAAAACAAATACTGCATGTTATCACTTGTAAGTGGGAGCTAGGCTGGGTGCAGTGGCTCACGCCTATAATCTCAGCATTTTGGGAAGCTGGGGTGGGTGGATCGCTTGAGGTCAGGAGTTCAAGACCAGTCTGGCCAACATAGTGAAACCCTGTCTCTACTAAAAATACAAAAATTAGCCAGGCGTGGTGGTGCACAACTGTAATCCCAGCTACTCAGGAGGCTGAGGCAGGAGAATCGCTTGAACCTGGGAGGCAGAGGTTTCAGTGAGTTGAGATCACGCCGCTGCACTCCAGCCTGGGCGACAGAGCAAGACTGTCTCAAAAATAAAATACAAATAAATGAATAAATAAATAGGAGCTAAACATTAAGTGCTCGTGGACAGAAAGATGGCAACAGTAGACACTGGGAACTACTAGACAAGGGAGAGAGGGAGGGGGCAAGAGTTGAAAAACTACCTATTAGGTACTACGCTCAGCACCTGGGGGATGGGATCAATTGTACCCCAAACCTCAGCACCACACTATATACCTAGCTAACAAACCTGCACATGCATCCCCTGAATCTAAAATAAAAGCGAAATTATTTTTTAAAAAGTTGTGGCATATTTCATATCTTTCCATTTAACCAAAGATTAAAGAATAAGAATCTCTCTATATTTGGTTAATTTAAAGTTTATATATATATATAGGCCGGGCGCGGTGGCTCACGCCTGTAATCCCAACACGTTGGGAGGCCGAGGCAGGCAGATCACCTGAAGTCAGGAGTTTGAGACGAGCCTGGCCAATATGGTAAAACCCGTCTCTACTAAAAATACAAAAATTAGGCAGGCATGGTGGCACACGCCTGTAGTTCCAGATACTTGAAAGGATGAGGCAGGAGAATCTCTTGAACCTGGGAGGTGGAGGTTGCAGTGAGCCGAGATCGCGTCACTGCACTCCAGGCTGGGTGACAGAGTGAGACTTCATCTAAAAAAGAAATAAAAAATAAAATAAAATAAAATTTATACATGTGTATATACACACACACACATATATAAAAAATACAATCATCTTTATAGGAAGAAAATGAAATTCCACCCTTTCCCCTTCCTAAAGAAGAGAAAATTTTCTTTAATATCTTAAGATTATTTTCTCAGTCCCAGATTAGAATATAAAGTTAGGTAATTATTGGCTTTATATTGCAGATCATAATAAATGCAGAAGTCACACCCTACTGTTCAAAATTCTCCACAGCAGAGCCACAAAATACTACTAAAGCCTTCTGAATTGCTATTCTAATTGTGCTCTCTTCTCTAGCCTGGCCTTTCCAAACTGTATTTGGGTAAAGATGCACATTCCATTTCCCCTTTTGAAGATTAATAATTAATAATATTAACATATTAAGGGTTCTGGAAAGTTCTGCAGTCTGGAAAATCCAAGCTTTAACTCAACTTTTCCTAGACTATTTTTCAATCAGTATTTCTTCCAACAGGCTGAGGTTCCTTCCTGCCTCATTATTCAGTGGTTCTTTCTCTCGTGCATCTCCATTCTGCAAAGACTCAGCACAAATTTCTCTATGCCACCTTTCCTGGTACTCAGTATCTCTGAGCACTGTCGGATTGGTGCCTCTTGTCCAGCACTTGGATGCAATTCAGGGCAAAACCTGGTACATGAGCATGTTTAAGTCCACAAATGGCTGGGTACATGCTCAGCTGGGTCCCCTGCAGTGCTGAACACTGGCAGCAAAGAAAGACCCCAAGTTCAAGTTCAGTTAAAAGGCTCTCTCTGGTTTTCCCTTCTTCCTAAATTTATTTACACATCAATTGTCCATTAGCGCTTGCTTTTTGCTCTTTAAATAATTTTTTTGTTTTGTTTTTGGATAACCTGTCATCCAGGCTGGAGTGCAGTGGTTCAACCACGACTCACTGTAGCCCAGACCTCCCTGGCTCAAGCAATCCTCCCACCTCAGCCTCCTGAGTAGCTGGGACTATAGGCACATGCCACCATGCTTGGCTAATTTCTTGTAGAGGCAGGGTCCCAGTATGTTGGCCAGGCTGGTGTTTAACTCCTGGGCTTGAGTGACCCTCCTGCCTCGGCTTCTCAAAGCACTGGGATTACAGGCATGAGCCACTACGCCTGACTCTAAACAATTTTTATTCCAGGATCCCACAATAAAGAAACAACATTTATCAATCCCAGCCAGGCGCGGTGGCTCACGCCTGTAATCCCAGCACTTTGGGAAGCCGAGGCAGGTGGATCACCTGATGTCAGGAGTTCGAGACCACCCTCAACATGGAGAAGCCTCGTCTCTACTAAAAATACAAAATCAGCCGGCGTGGTGGTGCATGCCTGTAATCCCAGCTACTCAGGAGGCTGAGGCAGGAGAACTGCTTGAACCCGGGAGGCAGAGGTTGCCGTGAGCCGAGATCGTGCCACTGCACTCCAGCCTGGGCAACAAGAGCGAAACTCCGTCTCAAAAAAAAAACAAAAACATTTATCAATCCCATCTACTGTTTTTCCAGTCACCTGCCTATAACTGTAACTTCATTTTTGTTGACAAGGGTGCAGGCACATGTGCTGAATCTGTGACTTTCAGTCCAGCCCTCCTAGCGGCTGGGAAGTTAATTCAGCCCCCAAATTTGCCTACAACTAAAGCATTCTGGGCGAAGAACAAGCTGGGTTCTGAAGATCACAGGGACTGCTTGAGAAACTTTCTCTGACAAATGTAATACTTTAACATGACCTACTTCCCTGAATACTTAAGCATTCTTTGCATTCCTCCCTGTCATGCAGAGATTGTTTATCAGGCACAGTTCCAGAAGTGACTTGAAATCTCTGTCATTGTTGCGATTCAAGATAAAATTGTAAGCCCTCTTCAGTCACCAGATTCTCAGTTTAGGACAAAAATTCAAAAACCTCAGTAAGTCTTTAACGAATATCAAACGAATAACCGATCGTTGTCTTAATCAAGGCTAAATGAGCTTTCTGTATTATCAACAAAATGAAGACTGATCTAAGGCCAGGCGCAGTGGTTCACACCTTTGATCCCAGCACTTTGGAAGGCCGAGGTGGGTGGATCAAGAGTTCGACATCAGTCTGACCAACTTGGCGAAACCCGGTCTCTACTAAAAATACAAAATTAGCCGAGTGTGGTGGCGCATGCCTGTAATCCCAGCTACTTGCAAGACTGAGGCAGGAGAATCTCTTGAACCTGGGAGGCGGAGGTTGCAGTAAGCAGAGATCACACAACTGCACTCCAGCCTGGGCAACAGAGTGAAACTCCGTCTCAAACAAAAAAGACTAATCTAAAACTGCCATCAAACTGAGTTCAGACTAAACTTTAGTTCCTGAAGGTTTTACAAAGAAAATAAATCAGCTATAAAACCAATCAACTGGGTTTTTGCCCACATTAAGGTCAACTATTTTTTGTTTAAATTTTATTCCACTGCTTTTGTCAGTGGAATACAAAGATTGTAATGGTCAAGACTAATTTAGTAAACTTTTGTAGTGACATGTTCCACTGCTTTTCAATAGCTTATTTCATGTAAAACAGAGCAGAACAAGAACAAAAATTTCCATTTAAATATTTAGGTTAACAATATAGGAATCAGGAACTCATGTCTAAGTATTGGATAAATACGTCATTTCTGGCCGGGCACAGTGGTTCACACCTGTAGTCCCAGCACTTTGGGAGGCCCAGGGAGGCAGATTACCTGAGGTCAGGAGTTGGAGACCAGCCAGGCCAACATGGTAAAACCCCGTCTCTACTAAAAATACAAAAAAATTAGCCAGGTGTGGTGGCTCACACCTGTAATTCCAGCTACTCAAGAGGCTGAGGCAAGAGAATTGTTTGAACCCAGGAGGCAGAGGTCACAGTGAGCACCACTGCACTCTCCAGCCTGGGTAACAGAGCAGGACTCTGCCTCAAAAAAAAAAGTCATTTGTGAAAAAAATCATCATAGCAAAATTGGCTAATTCTTAGCAATCTCTTGTAGACTACAATCCTATTCCCCCTCTCCCTCCCAGTTTGTACTGCAGTGCATATCAAGTGTAAGTTCAAAGTAGATAGGCCACCTAAGGTTGAAGTTTCTATAGGATTCAATATATTATTGATGTTGAATAAGACTGTTTTGGCCGGGTGCAGTGGCTCATGCCTGTAATTTTAATTTCAGGAGGCCCAGGTGGGACTATCCTTTCAGCCCAAGAATTCGAGACCAGCCTGGGCAACACAGCAAGACCTGTCTCTTTTTATTTTAAAAGAAAAAAAAATTAAAACGAACAAAAGACTTTTACATATGTATCCAAATGAAAAACAATTTCAAACGAAAGTTTCTAAAGACATATTCTTTGAGTAATTTCCTATAACTTTGTGAAAAATTATCACCAAGAACTGAAAACATAAAGAGGTTAAAAACTGTGAAATGCATCAACAATCTTGTCTTACGTATCACAACAAAATATACTTTACAGAGTGAAGAAAACTAGGAGCCAATGAAGCATGTCTTCACTAAAAGTGGTCAATATCAGGGAGTGACAATAGAAATTCATCATTGTGGCAGGTAAAACCCAGGGCCTGTAATGGCTCAATTCAATAAAAAAATCATAGGCTCAGACACAAAGAAAAATAAATCATAAATTGTTTTCTGAACAACAAACCAAAGGGCAGACACTGGGGATGGAAAAATTACAAAGCGAAAATGTCTTCTCTGGAGGGAAAGACACGCATTCCCCAAGCAACCTCATTTCTTTGCCTACAAATGGAAGGAATACAGTCAATGACCAGGCTCTTTCATTTTTTAGGTGCACCCAGCCATGCTGGGATAGAACAGTCACTGTGGCATGATGCCATCACGATCTGCCAACTGCTCATCCGGCGGCATCTCTTTTATCTCGTTTTCTCATCTTTTTTTTTTTTTTTTTTTTTTCCCAGAGACAGGGGTCTTGGTATCTTGTCCAGGCTGGTCTCAAATGCCTGTAGTCAAATGATCTTCCCACCTTGGCCTCCCAAAGTACTGGGAATACCAGGTCCACCATGAGCCACCATGCTCACCTCTAGTCCTCTCTTCTACTAAGACTCACTTTGGTTCCACCTGCACTTCTCCATAGCCACTATCGGGGCCTTCAGTGTTGATCATCTCTTTTCCTAAAAAACTTGACTTTCTGGCCAGGCACGGTGGCTCATGCCTGTAATCCCAGCACTTTGGGAGGCCAAAACAGGTGGATCACCTGAGGTCAGGATTTTGAGACCAGCCTGGCCAACATACTGAAACTCTGTCTTTACTAAAAATAGAAAAATTAGCCAGGCATGGTGGCCTGCACCTGTAGTCCCAGCTACTCGAGAGGCTGAGGCATGAGAATCTTGAACCCGGGAGGCGGGGGTGCAGTAAGCTGAGATCGCGCTGCTGCACTCCAGCCTGAGTGACAGAGCGAGACTCCATCTCAGAAAAAAAAAAAAAAAGAAAGAAACTTGACCTTCAGCTGTGCCTCCCTTGCCCAATACTCCAAAAGCCTCGATGGCCTCCAATGCCAGTGGTCTCTGCTGTGACGCAGACCACTATTAGAGAAATGCTTTGAGTTCACGGAAGCCCTCTGTCATTATCTAGAGAGTCTGCCTCAAACCTCTGCTTTACTTCTATTTATTTATTTATTTGTTTATTGAGGCAGAGTCTCACTCACGCTGTTGCCCGGGCTGAAGTGCAGCAGAGCGATCTCAACTCAATGCAGCCTCCGCCTCCCGGGTTCAAGGGTTTCTCGTGCCTCAGCTTCCCAGGTAGGTGGGACTACAGGCGCGTGCCACCATGCCTGGCTAATTTTTGTATTTTTAGTAAAGACAGGGTTTCACCATGTTGGCCAGGCTAATCTTGAACTCCTGACTTCAGGGGATCTGCCCGCCTCGGCCTCCCAAAGTATTGGGATTACAGGCGTGCGCCACTGTGCCCGGCCAAACCTCTGCATTACTTTAAAGTCCCAAGTTGTTATTATCAAGTGATGTTCTCTGTTCTAAAGGTACCCTTAGTATAAATTTTTTGGCATGGTTTGTTACACACCAGTAGATAACTGAAACCAACATCATGGAGTAGATGTTCTTGTCAGACTATTGGAGAAATAGAGGTACTCCATCTTCCAACTCTTAAAATCTCATTGTTTGTGACTTACCCCCATGCCAAGCCTCTACCCTGTGCCAAATCTCACTGCCCCACTGATATCTGAGATGTCACTACCACACTGTGAAAATGCTTGCCAACATAATCTCCCTGAAGTCACCCTTTCTAGTCACACTTCCCACCACTTTACTGTGCGGATGTTATCTCTGCCTTATACAAGAGGGTCTCCCAGGGGTTCACGACGCACTCACCTGGTATTTCTGAAACTTTGTTTTGTTCATTGTCAAAAGCCGGCAGTGGCTCTCTATTGCCTCTGCAGCTCTTAACATCGACGGGCTGCAACTTATCCTCTTTCATTGTTTCCTTAAGAACTACCAACTCAATACGTCTTGTACCAGAAGGCCTCCTGACTAATGGCCTCTTATCTGCCTAGAACACTTTCCCAAAAATTCTTTTTTTTACAGTAGTACTAATGGCAATTCTTCTATTACCTAGCCAACTTATTGGAATCTTTGCTGTTGAATATTTCATCTAGAAAGGCCTTACCTCATCTCAATTATGAGGTGTTCAAGGGTAATGTTTTTATTTCTTTATCTCCCAAAGCATCTAGAACATAAGTATGTGGTTAGAAAATATCTGACCATTTTTGGCCGGGCGCAGTGGCTCACGCCTGTAATCCCAGCACTTTGGGAGGCCGAGGCGGGTGGATCACGAGGTCAGGAGATTGAGACCATCCTGGCTAACACGGTGAAACCCCCATCTCTACTAAAAATACAAAAAATTAGCCGGGCGTGGTGGCGGGCGCCTGTAGTCCCAGCTACTCGGGAGGCTGAGGCAGGAGAATGGCGTGAACCCGGGAGGCGGAGTTTGCAGTGAGCCGAGATCGCGCCACTGCACTCCAGCCTGGGCAACAGAGCGAGACTCCGTCTCAAAAAAAAAAAGGAAAATATCTGACCATTTTTAATGAATGCTATTACATACCAAGAAAACAAGCTAAGCTTAAAAGAACACACGATTCCCATTTTCTTATTTTATTTATTTATTTATTTATTTTAAGATGGAGTCTCACTCTGTCACCCAGGCTGGAGTGCAGTGGTGCAATCTCGGCTTCACTGCAAGCTCCGCCTCCCGTGTTCAAGCGATTCTCCTGCCTCAGCCTCTAGAGTAGCTGGGACTACAGGCAGGCGCCACCACACCCGGCTAACTTTTTTGTATTTTTAGTAAAGCGGAGTTTCACCATGTTGGTCAGACTGGTCTCAAACTCCTGACCTCAAATGATCCACCTGCCTCAGCCTCCCAAATGCTGGGATTACACGCGTGAGCCACAACGCCCAGCCTATTTATTTATTTTTTTGAGACAGGGTCTCTGCAGCTTCAACTTCCCGGGCTCTAGTGATCTTCCCACCTCAGCCTCCCAACTAGCTGGAATTACAGGCATGTGCCACCACACCCGGCTAATTTTTAAATTTTTTGTAGCAGTGGGGTCTCACTATGCTGCCTAGGCTGATCTTGAACTCCTAGGCTCAAGTGATCCTCCCACCCTCACCTCCCGAAGTGCTGGGATTATAGGCATGAGCCACCATGCCCACCAGGTGTGAGCCACCATGCCCACGAGCCACATGTTGGTATTTATGTATGTATGAACTCACCATAGCCATGAAAGAGACAAGGGTAACACTTGAGATGTAGAATATAAAACTATTTTAAACCATGGGCTTGCTATTATAATTGATCAGATGTTTAGCCACTCCCACAATGCTTTCAGTTTATTGCACAAATAGACACAGCAGAAAAAATTTAAAAGTAAAAGGAAATCAATAAACAGGTTTATGCATATATGGAAACTTGAGTTTTAACAAGAGGTAACTTTTTAATCAATGGTACTGGAGCAATAGGTAACCCATATAAAAATGAATTTAAGATTTCTCCTTCTAGACATCATCAGTAGCTAGTGGAATAAAGATCTAAATATATGAAAGAGAGAACTTTAACTTTTTTAGAACTGAACTTCTGTTTCCCCAGTTCCTAGCACAGTTCCTGGAGTACAGAAGCTAGTAAAGAAGTATTTATGAAATGGCCAGGCGTAGGTGGCTCACCCTGTAACCCAGCACTTTGGGAGGCCAAGGCAAGAGGATCACTTGAGCTCAGGAGTTCGAGACCAGCCTTGGCAACACAGTGAGACCTTGTCTCTATTATATTAAAAAATAAATGGAAGAAATTAAAACAGAAATATTTATGAAATCAAGATTGAATAGTAAGTGGCTGAGAAAGCCAGAACTCTATTCTTCAACAACTTGGTAGGTTTTAAAATTTCTTTACAGATTTTTGGACCAGTCAAATGCCATAAACTAAGCCCTTAGCTACTGTCTACTTATTCAGCACAAGGGAAGTTTTAAAATGATAAATAAGGGAAGAGGGCTTAGGAGGCAATGAGATGGAAGGGGAACACCGAAAAGTCACAGCTTCTGGCTCAGTAGGGATACGGGCATTTCACTGAACACCTACTTACCTTGAATGGCACAATCTATTTTAAAAAGCCTCCGTTAGCAATCCACTTTTTTTTTTTTGAGACAGAGTCTTGCTCTGTCGCCCAGGCTGGAGTGCAATGATGCGGTCTCGGCTCACTGCAACCTCCACCTCCTAGGTTCAAGCGATTCTCCTGCCTCAGCCTCCCGAGTAGCTGGGATTACAGGTACACACCACCATACTGGCTAATTTTTGTATTTTTAATAGAGATGGGGTTTCACCATGTTGGCCAGGCTGGTCTTGAACTGCTGACCTCGTGATCCGCCCGCCTCGGCCTCCCAAAGTGCTGGGATTACAGGCGTGAGCCACCATGCCCGGCCAGCAACCCACTTTTTAATATAGTCAAACAAAGGAATGAAATTATGTGGAAGAAATATTTTCCTTTATTTTATCCTCCAGATGTGTGAAGGAAAATGCTACTCTTTCATCATGTGAAACCGTCCCTCTCACCCACACAAGTTCCAATCTCAGTGAAATCTGCACATGCTATCACCCAGTGTCACCTAGACCTGAACCTCTCCCTGGCCCTTATTCAGCTCTTACGCCTACTCCTTCCCCTCCCTTAAGGTAATGGAGCCCACACCCCACACATTAGAATATCTGATGAGCATTTTAAGACTACAGAATCCCAGCACAGTGGCAGGAGCTGGTAGTCTCAGTTACTCAGGAGGCTGAGGCCAAAGGATGGCCTGAGTCCGGGAGTTCAAGACTAGCCTGGGAAACACAGTGAGACCCTGTCTCTCAAAAAAAAAAAAAAAAATCACAGAATCCCAGACCCTGAGATTGCCTGGGATTCTAATTCAATAAATCCAGGATGAGGTGTAGGGGTGTCTTTGAAAAGCTCTCTAGGTGATTCAATAGCACCACCAGGTTTGGGAATTAGGAAAAATTTAATCCTTCAATACTCCCAGTTTGCAGTATTTGCATATAACAAATAGATGGTCAGCCAATAAACTGCAGTAATCTCTCCTTCTTAAATTTTGGTTTATTTCGTTTTGAAATCAAACATGAAACTGACATGCTACTACAACTGGGATTAAGATTAGGCAGAGAGAAACTACAGGGTTTCCCCCATTTAAAAAACATCACAGAGAAATCACAGGGAAGACAAAAAGCTTTGAACCTGAAATGAATACTTGTATTAAGAGGTGCCTAATGGTGTCCCGGTGTCCCAGATGGTTTCCTGTGCTTTGAACACCTACATTTTTCTCAGAAAATCCATGTATACCATCCAGTTAACAGAGCCAGGCTGTTTGCCGTGAGAACGGGAGAGGATCCCGGGTAAGCCTTCACTCTATTGTTTTCCCAAGAGGTGGATTTCTGCTGCTTCCAATCCCTGATCTCAACATTTCACGGATCATGACCACAAAGTAATTTCTGGCAACTAAATGATTTTAGATTGTTCCAAGAGAAGAAATTTTAAAAGTGATAGCTAAAGAAGTAGGTCATCCTCCAAGCAAATAAATTTAAAGATGGTTCATTAATTTGGAAAGGAAAAGGAGCAAAGGAGAGTAAGACTGCTCTACCTCAGCTGCGTTTTTATTCTTGAACTTGCTTTTTTCCAATTTGATTAATTTCTGGGGAAAAAGTTTTTTTGTTTTTTTGTTTTGTTTTGTTTTTTTAAATAGAGATAGGGTCTTGCTCTGCCACCCAGGCTGTAGTGCAGTAGCATGATCATAGCTCACTGCAGCCTCATACTCCTGGGTGGAAGCAATCCTCTCACCTCAGCCTTCCAAGTAGCTAGGACTACAGGTACACGTCACCGCACCCAGCTAAATTTTTTATTTTTTGTAGAGATGGGGTCTTGCTATGTTGCCCAGGCCACTCTTGAACTTTCTCTCAAGTGATCCTCCCTTCTTGGCCTCTCAAAGTGCTGAGATTACAGGTGTGAGCCCCCACACCTGGCTAGAAAAAAAAATCTTTAAAAATTAATTGGGCAGGGCATGGGGGCTCACACCTGTAATCTCAGCACTTTGGGAGGCAGAGGTGGGAGGATCACTTCAGTCCAGGAGGTCCAGACCAGCCTGGGCAACACAGTGAGACCTTGTCTCTACCAAAAATAAACAAAATTAGCCAGGCATGGTGGTGTGCACTTGTAGTCCCAGCTACCTGGTGGTGTGTGCCTGTAGTCCCAGCTACTCAGGAGGCTGAAGTAGGAGGGTCATTTGAGCCCAGGAGGTCGAGGCTGCAGTAAACCAAGATTGCACCACTGCATTCCACACTGGGCAACAGAATGAGAGCCTATCTCAAAAACAATAAATAAATAAAATTAAAGTTAAATGAAAATGAAAATGAAAATTAATTAACAGTGAAACAAACCATAGCCTTTCATGCTCTGACAGCCAGACCAGTGCATGATCAGATGGCAAGCACATGGCAGAGAAACATGATGAGGCATTCAACTTCACAGTTAAAAATGCACCAAGGAAACTGAGGTACCATTCTTCACCTAGCACATTGGCAAGTATTGGAAAATCTGATACCCATGAAGGCAAAGCATGGGAAAACGAGTGCTGATCTCCACGGTGGAACTGCAAAGTGGTAGAACCTCTTTGGAAAGTCAATTTAGGAAGGGTTAAATTTTTTGTTTTTGTTTTTGTTTTTGTTTTTGAGACGGAGTCTTGCACTGTCACCCAGGCTGGAATGCAGTGGTGAGATCTCAGCTCACTGCAACCTCCCCCTCCCAGGTTCAAGAGATTCTCCTGCCTCAGCTTCCCAAGTAGCTGGGATTACAGGCACCTGCCACCACACCCAGCTAATTTTTTGTGTTTTTAGTAGAGACGAGGTTTCGCCATGTTGGCCAGGCTGGTCTCGAACTCCTGACCTTGTGATTCACCTGCCTCGGCCTCCCAAAGTGCTGGGATTACAGGCGTGAGCCACCGCACCTTGCCGGGTTAAATTTTTAAATGCATATAAAGCTTGCAATTCAGCAATTACACTTATGGACGAGGACAATCTAAATATAAACCCAAGGAATTGGTTAAATCGTTACAGGGCTTCAACCCACAAAAGGGAAATTTATGCACCCAAATTAATAAGAATGGGGGCAGTTATTTATGTCCTGATATGAAAAGACATCCAAAACCTAAATCTATATGTGATATGATCTTTTTCTTAAATGGAAAAGACTGTGCCATTTTTATCTACTTTCATGTGCATGAAGTTTTCGAAAGAATATGTAAGAAGCCATCATATTGGCTTCAAATTTTACTTAAATTTGTGAGTAATTTACCCTACTTATAAATTTAAGTTCTCAATCATTAATTTTTTTAAAAAATAAACATTAAATGAATATTGCTATGCAATGACTTTAAATAAAAATCATTAATAAGGGTAAACACATGCTTTTGATTTTTTTTTTTTTTTTTTTTGAGACGGAGTCTCTCTCTGTCGCCCAGGCTGGACTGCAGTGGTGACTGCAGTGGTGCCATCTCGGCTCCCTGCAAGCTCCACCTCCCGGGTTCACGCCATTCTCCTGCCTTAGCCGGGTGGATCACGAGGTCAGGAGTTTGAGACCAGCCTGGCCAACATGGTGAAACCCCATCTCTACTAAAAATACAGAAACTTAGCTGGGCGTGGTGGTGGGTGCCTGTAATCCCAGCGACTCGGAAAGCTGAGGCAGGAGAATCGCTTGAACCTGGGAGGCAAAGGTTGCAGTGAGCCAAAAAAAAGAATTCGGTTCAAGGAAATTTAGTTGCTTTTTTTTTTTTCAAGAGATAAACGTACTGGCTTAATTTTTCTTAGAATGCTTAGTGCTATAAATTCTAATTTCTAACTTCGCATGAATGGCTACTGCATATAGAATTATAGAGATGGGGGATGATGCCATTTAGTTTGAGTTTTCCTGCACTGGTGTTCTTTAAGCACTGAATATGTATTAAAACTAACTAAGACAAAGGAAAATAAATAATTTATTAGCATTTTTAAAAACAAAACATTTTATTTCCATTTTGTTAATTATCTTACAAGATCCAAACTAGAATAATCTTATAATGTCAGCTTAAAGCTGTAAAGGCATAGAAATTAGTCAACCCAAAGAGGATGCACATTTCAAGGCCTTTTCTTCATAGAAGGAAATATTTCAAGAGAAAATCTCCACTTATCTTATTCATCCACTAGCCTATAAGCTGTAATGGATTTAAAGGAAGCCCTGCGATTCCTGCAGTCTATCGGTACCCAAAAGAATCATCCCCACATCCATATCTCCAATTTTTGGTCTCTGTTCTGATCAGAAATTAGCAGCTCTTATAATCTGGTAAAAATCCACAGGAATACAAGTAGCCACACACAGAGAAACATCCCTCTATTAAGAAACATATAATTCTTGCCTTAAATTCTGGCCCATTTTTGTAACACTGGTGATGTAGTCACTTTGAGGCCATCTTCGTTCTCCATTTCCATTGCTAAACAAGTGGCAAATAGGAGGAAGCTTATGGGAGGAATTATGAAATGCAGCTGGCCGCCTCAATTGTCTGGTTTTGTTTGTTTGTTTGTTTGTTTCTTTGAGACAGAGTCTCGCTCTGTTGCCCAGATTGGAGTGCAGTGGCGCCAACTCGGCTCATTGCAAACTCCGCTTCCCGAGTTCACGCCATTCTCCTGTCCCAGCCTCCCGAGTGGCTGGGACTACAGGCGCCCGCCACCACGCCTGGCTAATTTTTTGTATTTTTAGTAGAGATGGGGTTTCACCGTGTTAGCCAGGATGGTCTGGATCTCCTGACTTTGTGATCTGCCTGCCTCAGCCTCCCAAAGTGCTGGGATTACAGGCGTGAGCCACCGCACCCGGCCAATTGTCTGTTTTAATGCACGAGGGTCAAACACATCCTTAAATTTACCAGTCAGACAACGGACTCTTCTATTCGAGTACATCTTTATGTTTTGGTGATTCAAGGCTCTTGTAATCAAATGGAGCTAACAAGAGCCCCCATCTCCCCACCTGCCAGAGACAATGGCCTCACCCTGTTGCAACAGACCATTGTTCAATGTCCAGCATTGAAATCATTCATCAGGCAATACATATAGAAAGGCTAATTAATTGATTGTCCAGACTTAGTCTGGAGCCTGGCTCCAGAAATCAAGATTAGCCAGAGACATGGAAGTCAGTTTGTCACTGGTCACCCCACCCTCTGTTGCCACCTGAATATGTTGCCACCTTAATATTTTTTTAAGACAAATTTTTAAAAACAGACAATTAAGGAATAATGTGAAGTGTGAGGCTTTACTTACCACCAGCATTCAGGTCATCTAATCTTCCCGCACCCTGCAGTTGTGAAACGGCCATGTCTCAAAATTAAACCCTGGCAGATAACAGACCAAGCCATTCCCCCTGCCCCCGCCTGGATCTTACATATAAAGACTGTAAAAGATTTCCAGTCTATCTCTGGATCTAACGGAAAAAATAAAGATTACAAAAGATTGAATAGAAGATAAAGACTCCTTCCATTTTACAGAAATGAACCATAGATAAAACCAAGACTTCTGCTTTAGTGCATCTAAACGTTAAGCCTGAGTAATCAAAAGCTTGTTTAACTCTCCATTTGACCTAATACAAGTGATAATTCAACCAGTGTAATGTCTGTTCAGATAAGGGCACTTAGTGAATAACTGGTAACTAAAACTAGCAGAAAAAAAGGAAAGTAAATCCAATTGCTAAATAGATAGCATGCATGTGATATAAATGTCAGCTATTAGATAGAAAAAGATCTGCCTACAACCTTTAATTAATGACCACATTCTATCCAAGGAGGGAAAAATGATGTATTAGCCTAAACCTCCCCAACCGTCCACAGACACATCAAGGAAGTTCAAGATGTAATCCTAAGTAACTCAGGGTATGAAATGGACTCATTTGAGCCATATGCACTTCATATATTTGTCTATTTAAGATAAAACGCAATTTGAAATTGCAATGCTAACAAGTCACTCTATATCTAGAGAAACAGAATCCAAAGCCCCCAAATCTGAAGTTTTTGGTCAAACTATTCACTTGATCTATTAATAACCGAACAGACTGACTTGCCTTAGTCACTATCATAATCAGTCTCACGTGATAATGAAATGATCAAGGGTTAAATTGTAGTAAAATCAGATAGGTCAAGGTATTCTCCAACTTGATATTTTCCAATCAAAACCAAGGAGCCAATATCACCCCTTCCTCTTTCCACAAGTATTCCTGAGAGCTGCCTCTGTGCCAGGCAACATGGCACGCATGAAGGAACACCGTTGGTCGGCACAACCAGGCGTGTTCCCTGCCCCTGCGAAGTATTCACAACAGCAAGAACACTAAACCCACACATGTGAAAACTGCTGGGACGGGTCCATGGTGCCACGGAGCCTAGAGTGGGAGATGGGATTACTTGGAGGTCAGGAATTGGAGCTTAACAAGAAGAGGGGAGGCAAGGGCCATGGTGCTGAGTCATTCTTAATTGGGGAGTCCTTTTGAAAAGACATTTGTGTTCAAAGCCTGAGTGATAAATTTGGCTAGTTCAAATGAAAACTAAATACATTCCAAGGATACATGTAAGTGCACTGATTTGTCTCCAAATTGATAACTGGGCATTATGCCAACAAGTTCAATGATATTCTGGATGTCATTTAAGTGATTTTTTAAAAGGAGGTTGTTTGGTTGCTTCAAGACGGTTGGCAACTTGGAAAGAGGAAAAGGATAAGGTTATGGAAGACGGAAAAAGAGAATGGAAGGAATATTTTTAAATAAACAAATTCAAGTTTACTGGGAAGGGATTAAATCCCATATTTCAGGGTGAACAGTTAGTAAGATCTGAAGGAGTATAAAAGCCGGGGCGGTGGGGGGAATGTCACCCAACTGCAAGTTTTTAGCAATTATACCTTAAAATTATTTTCATCGCTAGACTCTGACCACTGGTTACAGAGCCACTTTGACAGTAGCTGGCATCAAAACATTATGTGCATACAGTAAGTATTAAAATGCGACTTGAATCTCAAAAGGACAGTACATTCCTCAGGCCAGAAGCTTAAGCATCTCTTAGAAAAACCTACATAGCACAGAGACACAGTTAGTACTTAATATCTAGGGACCATGGATTTTACAAGTAGTTATGAATCAAAGACTGGCGGTAAAAACTATATTATTAACAGCAGTCTCTCAGCCCAAAAGAGACTAGGGCAGCTAAGGAGGTCAAGGCAATTAGGTCATGGTTGTAGGTTCCTTTTTTTTTTTTTTTTTGCATATTGTAAACATCTACACCTCCTGCGATAACTCACGTACTCTATCCTCAAATTTGACATACCGCAAATTTAACTATTAAACATGGTTATCCACATCTTTCTACAAGGTATCACAAGGGTACCTTTGTGATACAAGGGTATCACAAAATCAGTAGAGTGAAGCCTTGCTAATGAACACATGCGCTGGAAAATAGATCTAAAATACCACGACCAGAACAAGCCACAGTCTTGGCGGCTGTCCTGGCCCACAAGAAATATTCCAGCCTTGAAGACTGAAGCCGATAAAATGCAGTCGTTTCAGCACTGCGTCCAGGGAAGAGTACCCGGAATGCTCGTTACACTGACCCCATCCTTTGAGAACTTCTAGCCACTCTAGCGTGTGTTTGGCCAACTGAGTCTGCAGGCAAAGCGCTGAGCGAACGCGAGGGCGCTGGCTGGTTTGCGAAACCTGTCATTCCTTCTGGAAACGCAGCGCCTGCCCAGGTTTTTCCTGGCTCTGAGCGAGCTACACCCCAGGCTTTCTCTGCCTCGGGAAGGCGGTGCCTGCTCGGGCCGCTGCCGCAGGAGGACTGGGTACCAAACCCGCTCGCTCCAGGCACCGCTGGCATCCAGGGCGGTACGCGACGGGGAACCCGAGGGTGGCTGGGCTCCCCGGCGGGCTCCACCACGAGTCCTGGCCTCACAGCTGACTTTCCGCATCTCGGAGCTCCGGAGGCCCGGCCCGGGGTCCATTCTCCACGGATCCCCCTCCGCGCAGCTCCTCCGCCTCGGGCTGCATGGCTCCCACCGGAAGAGTGCGCAGAAAGGCTCAGCCGCCGTGGGCAGGGCGCGGGTTTTATTATTGCGCATGGCGCAGTCGCCTCCCCTGGAGACCCGCGACAAAGATGCAAGCCCCCCGCCGCGCTCGCCGCTGCTCTGGCCCCGCCCCGGCGCGAAAGACCCTGAAAAGCCTCCAAAGAGGGGTTCGCACTCCTGAGTTTGCAGATGCGGCTGGATGGGCTGGGAAGTTCTCTCGGCGGAAATCGGAGGGACCCCCCCACCCCCACCCCCACCCCCAAAGACCCGCGCCTCCCGGCGCAGGTGGCCCGGCACGCCCGTACCTTGGTGGCGGGGTCCGAGGCAGCGATGGCGGGGTCCGCGGTGGTGTCTGGCGCCGCCTCGGCCGAGGGGCCGCCGCCGCTGGGCTCGGGCTCAGCCGGCGTGGAGCTCCCCTCGGGCGGCTGCTCCGGGCTGCGCTGCTCGGTGGAGCTCCCGGCGCCCATGGCTCCTCCGCACTTCTCCCGCGCCTAGCCGCCGGGTTACGCCTTCCCCAAGCCGCAGGGACAGGGGCAAGAGCCAAAAGACGCGCGCCCGCGAGGTCCCGAGAGCGCCTTCCTTCGCCGCCAGCCGACTGCGAACGCGCCCAGCCTGCGAATGAAGGAGACGCGCTCGCGGCAAACTCCTTAAAAGAAAAGGAAAAAAAAAAAAAGGCCACCTCTTAGCCTCCGCCCCCCTCCCCCCGGTTTTTCCCTCGCTTCATCACATGAGCACAGCCCCAGACACGCCCTGCAGCAGCATCTGCCCCCAGGCTGCCGGGACCAGAGGCGCTGCGACGCGCCAGCCCAGGTCCAGGCAGCCGCCCACCCGGCCCTCGGGCGCCTCCCGTTTCTAACAGGGCGACTAGAGCTGCGGGGACGACCCAGGGCCTCAGAAGGCAAGAGAGCAGGGGAGCAAAAAGCCTGCCGGGGACACTGGATTCTCTGGGGTTTATTAAATGATGGATCACCCAAGGCAGGAGCTTCTGCTGCAGCCGACTTTCAGCTCGCCCAGGAGCGAGTCCGAGTCCCCATTTGCTTTCCTGCAGATTGTGTTTAACTCCAAACATTTGTTCCAGCCTCCTCCCCATTAGCAGGAGAAAGGCAAGCGCTCCCTGGCTCCTCCTGAGTCCGACCATATTTGGGCACCTCACGTGGCAAGAGCAGGGAACCGAGAGGTTAACGCAGTCAGGCCACGGATGAGGTGGGCCACGCAGGCCCACGCTCTCCTATCCTCCGGAACAAGTGATGTCAGGCGATGCCATCAGCAGTGCTAGCCGCCCCCCTTCCCCCGGGGAACGGGGGGAAATGAGGCTGTTACCGGAAATGTGCCCGTCCTTCTTTGAGGGCCTGTGCTGGAAGTTACCCATCCAGGCCACCTCTGCTCCGCGCGATGCCGACACATGACAGCATAGATCTGTTCCTTTGCCGTCAGCCTTTCTCAAAAGATGAAGACTTTAAATAATACCAGCACAAGTGGCTTGCATCCTTTCATTTCCGACCCTTGAATATAATATGTATTACATGAGCATGGCAGCCAATCAATAAGTATTTGAACTAAATTAAATTTGTAGCTGGATTGCTTGGCGCAAAGCATTAAGGCTTTGGGGCTGAAAGACAAAATTTATTCCAGTTGTAACTAGCAACCGAGTGCCCCAGTTTTCACAAATACTTTGAATCTCCATTAAGAATGAAGAAACCAGCCTGGTTAACATAGCGAGACCTTGTCTCTACAAAAAATAAAAAAATTAGCCAGGCGCAGTGGTGCACCTGTAGTCCTAGCTACTCAGGAGGCTGGGGACGCTGGGGTAGAAGGATGACTTCAGCCCAGGAATTCGAGGCTGCAGTGAGCTATGACTGTGCCTCTGCACTCCATCCTAGTCGACAGAGCAAGATTCTGTCAAAAAAAAAAAAGAAAGAAAGAAGGAAGAAACTTTCGGAATATTCACACCAAATTCCAGATAAATATCTCATACTCAGATTTAGTACAATTTTGTAGAAAGGGTGTAAGCAGTAGTTCAGCACTAGGATGTTTCATGCCTAATGAATTGCATGAATCGAATGGTACCCTGGGAACCATAGGTTAGTTACTCACCATCAAATTTGTTTTCTGAATTAATTTTTTTTCTTTTTCTTTTTTTGAGACAAGGTCTCGCTGTGTTGCCCAGGCTAGTGTTGAACTCCTGAGCTCAAGCGATCCTCCTGCCTTGGCCTCTCAAAGTGCTGGGATTATAGGTGTGAACCACCACACTGGGCCTGTTTTCTGAATTAATTATTTTTATTTAAAGGACTACACGAAGGCCAATTTCTCTGGAGTTTATCTCTTAAGAAACAGTATATTTGCAAAATGCTTAGTTTTAGGAATTTATACACATTTCCCCCATTTTGACTTAAATTTTGACTATTTAGGAAACATTAGAATTCTTACTCTGTACCAGGCACTGTTCAATGCACTTTACATAATAATCTTTACAATAACCCCATGGGATAGATAGTATTATTCTCATTTTACCATTGGCAGGAGGGGGAGGAGTAGGCCCGGAGAAATTAAATTGTGTGCTTCAGGTTTCACAGCCAGGAGTTGGAAGAGCAGGAAGTCCAACTGGCATCTGCTTTCAGGGTCCACGCTTCACCACCGCATGGCACTCCCCTTCCCTTTCAATCAACTGTGTTCTCTCCTCTCAGAGGTGTTACTGAAACGTGGCATTTGGACCTCACTTAGGATTTTAAGAGCAAAAAGCACTGTTAAAACCTACTTGAGGCCAGGTGTGGTGGCTTACACCTGTAATCCCAGCACTTTGGGAGGCCGAGGTGGGTGGATCACCTGAGGACAGTAGTTCAAGACCAGCCTGGGCAACATGGTGAAACCCCGTCTCTACTAAAAGTACAAAAATTAGCCAGGCATGGTGGCGCGTGTCTGTAATCCCAGCTACTCAGGAGGCCAAGACACGAGAACTGCTTGAACCTGGGAGGTGGAGGTTGCAGTGAGCTGAGATCATGCCATTGCACGCCAGCCTGGATGACAGATTAAGACTCCGTCCCAAAAAAAAAAAAAGAAGAAGAAAAAAAAAACTATTTGAGAATGATTAACGTCAGCACATTTGAAAATGTATCAGTAAGTAGCACAAATACTATCAACATTTTCACATTCTGTGAGATTATATTTACTTTGTTCCTGGGAAATTCTTAGCAAAGCTTTTCACATCTACTACCCTTTAAATTTTCAGAAAGGATTGCAGGGTCAAGCCAACAGTGTACAACCTACGTGCTGAGGAAGATATCAGCATCTGCTTAGATTAGCAGTTACTTGCTTTTTGTTTATTTTCCAGGCCATGTAAATGTTCATACTCTTATTTGTAAAAAGTAAAATCATTGCGCTGGGCGCGGTGGCTCACGCCTGTAATCCCAGCACTTTGGGAGGTTGAAGTGGAAGGATTGCTTGACACCAGGGGTTCAAGACCAGCCTGGGCAACACAGTGAAACTCCCATCTCTACAAAAAATAAAAAAAAATTTAGCCAGGAGTGGTGGTGCATGCCTGTAGTCCTAGCTACTTGGGAGGCTGAGGCGGGAGGATCACTTGAGCCCAGGAGTTCCAGACTGCAGCCTGGATGACATAGTGAGACCCTGTCTCAAAAAAAAAAAAGAGAAGAAAAGAAAAGTGGTTGTGTTATTAATGACCTCTAGCGATGAAATAGCCCAACCTTTTGGGTATGCCACTTAGTGCTTCAGAATGCTACAAAGTTTGTTACTTTTTTTACTTTTCTTTCTTTCTTTCTTTTTCTTTCTTTCCTTCTTCTCTGTTCTTTCTTTCTTTTTCTTTCTTTCCTTCTTCTCTTTCTTTCTTTCAATAAATTTCTATCAAGTACCTATTATGTGCCAAGCACAAAGTTACCACTCTAGTTTCCAAGGTTCTAAATCGAGTCACTGAGGTTTTCTTTTCTAGGGCTTCCAAGATGCCTTCGGAATTGCTTGGATTGGCATCAGAGTAGAGGGGAGGCAGGTGTTCTCTATTTTTCACTTCTCAGTCCAAGGCTGTTGGTTCAATGTCTCACCAGCAGCTCAATTTTTCTCCAAATAGCAGGATGCAGGTGTCCCCACACATCCTCTCCCATGGGGCAGTCGTTGGTAGAGCTGTTTCCCTGAGAGGGTTAATTCTCTCATAAACACAGTTTGAGATTTCTCAAAAACAAATACATGTTGCCTGTGTAGCAGGCTGAACCTGTACTTCGCACACATACTTCTCCAGAAAGACGGGTCACATGAGGTTTAACAATAAAATGTAGAGTCATAGTTGGGCACCTTGTGCATGCACCAAAACAGTTTCAAATATAACATTAAAGGAATTCACAAATGTCAAACATTTTACAACTGAGTTCAGACACCCCCTTCAAAGTGCAATAATAATTTTAATTATTAAAACAGTTTAAAATCTACCGTTAACTCTACCCTAAAGATTCATTCTCTAGTTACAAAGCCTTCGCTGAGACTGGCAACTCTTCACCTTCACCTTTGAAACTGCTTCTCTCTTGATTATAACTTCTTTGTTTTCCCTGGATAAAACACCTACTTCTTTCTAAACCAGTTGTTCCCACAGAGATATCCAGTCATCTAAGAACCTAATTCCCACTCTATCTTGTGCTCGTGTGAATTTGTTATTCTTAATACTCCCTTATCACAGAGCTGTTTCAGGCAGAATAGAGAGTACTAGAATGTGCGCATGCATCTCTTAAGATATGATTTTACTTTTTACAAATAAGAATATTAACATTTACATGGCCTGGAAAATAAATAACCAAGAATAATGTTATTACCCTGTTGAGAAGTCTATGGAAGAAACTGTGAGTAAATTATTTGAATTTTACTTTCTATGTGAGGATTTGAGACGGATTATTTTAGAGCATTAATTATAATTTGCTAATTATAAACTAGAAGAATTAACAGTTGTATTCAATTCATGAGTACTTAATAATCTAAAATTCATATGGAAGCTACAGAAAATGTTCAATTTACAGATGAAGTTTAAAGCTCAGCCGCTTGTAGACATACATCACGTATATATATATAGGCAAATGCTATCCTTGTAACTCTTAAGGAATTTATTGCTTTGGAGTTAAGTATAAAGCCAGCTATTTGGATCTCAGTTTCATTTACCAAGGTTTAAGATTGGTGCCTGACTCAAATTCAGGATTACTCTCAAGTAACAAAGGAGGGACTGGAACCAAGATAGAGTAAATGATGTGTCCAATATGGAGAAAGAATTTCTCAGGATGCACTGTTAGAAGATACCAGAAGGTATGTGGAAGGTGTCTACATTCCAGGGTAGATCAAGTGGCTGTAATCCTCACAATTTCAAATCCCTTCTACAAAGGACCCTATAAGTATCCAACATTAAAATATATATTTTTCACATATTAATTAAATAAACTTTCACTGAGTTGAGTGCCAGGCAAAATGCAGAGGACTTTTCAAAGTTGGAAACTTTGCTTCAATAAGTCAACATTGCGCACTCAAAACAAAGCTATTATACAATATATTATACGATGTGAACTGTAGATTTTATGTTCCTCTACCAACTTAAATCCCTTTGTGGCCTGGTGCGGTGGCTCACATCTATAATCCCAGCACTTTGGGAGGCGGAGGCGGGTGGATCACCTGAGGTCAGGAGTTTGAGACCAGCCTGGCCAACATGGTGAAACCCCGTCTCTACTTTAAAAAGATACAAAAATTAGCCAAGCGTGGTGGTGTGCGCCTGTAATCCCAGCTACTTGGGAGGCTGAGGCAGGAGAATTGCTTGAACCTGGGAGATGGAGGTTGCAGTGAGCCAAGATCGCGCCACTGCACTCCAGCCTGGGCGAAAGAGTAAGACTCTGTCTCAAAAAAAATAAAAAAGAAAAAAAGATTAGGTTGTGAATTGATAAACATCTCAACTAGCAATACACAAAGGAAAGGTGGATAACCTGATCTAATGTTTATTTTGTATTCCTTTAAGTTAGCTTGCTAAATGCTTTTAAAATCATAACAATAGCAATAAACCTATATAAACATGCCCAAATGATTTTTGACAAAGGCTCAAAAGTATTCACATGGAGATGTCACTAGTAAATAAATAAATAAATAAATAAATAAATGTATTTTTTAAAAAGACAAAGGTGCAAAAGTAATTCAATGGTGGATGACAGCCTTTCAACAAATGGTGCTGAAGCAATTGGACATTCATGGGCAAAAAGTTAACCTTGACTTATGTCACACATCTGATAAAATAATTAACTACAAATGGATCACAGACTTACACGTAAAACACAAAACTGTAAAACTTTTAGAAAAGACAGGAGAAGGCCAGGCGCGGTGGCTCACGCCTGTAATCCCAGCACTTTGGGAGGCTGAGGTGGGCGGATCACAAGGTCAGGAGATCGAGACCATCCTGGCTAACAAGGTGAAACCCAGTCTCTACTAAAAATACAAAAAATTAGCCGGGCATGGTGGCGGAAGCCTGTAGTCCCAGCTACTCAGGAGGCTGAGGCAGGAGAATGGCGTGAACCCGGGAGGCGGAGCTTGCAGTGAGCCAAGATCTCCCCACTGCACTCCAGCCTGGGAGACAGAGCGAGACTCCGTCTCAAAACAAAAAAAATGAAAAGACAGGAGAAAATCTTAGGAAGCTAAGGCTAAGCAGGATAGTTCTTAGACTTGATACAAAAAGCATGATCCATAAGAGGAAAAACTATAAATTGGACTTCACCAAAATTTAAAACTTTTGTCCTACATAAGACCCAGTTGAAAAGATGAAAAGAAAAGCTACAGATTGGGAGAAAATGTTTGCAAACCACATATCCCACAAGGGACTAGTATCTAAATATAGAAAGAATCCTTAAAACTCAGCAGTAAAAAAACAAGCAAACAAACAAAAAATCAACAAGAACACAGGTAAAATACTTGAAGCAACATTTTATCAAAGAGGATCTACAGGTGGCAAATAAATTGTGTGCAATTTGGGAAAAGCAAATTAAAACCACAGTGAGATATCACTACACAATGATCAGGGTGGCTAAAGTGAAAACAATAGTGACAACGCCAAATGCTGATGAGGCTGCAGAGAAACTGGATCACTCATACACTGCTGGTGGGAATGTAATATAGCATAGTCACTCTGGAAGACAGTTTGGCGGCTTCTTTTTTTTTTTTAAACTGAGTCTCACTCTGTCGTCCAGGCTGGAGTGTGGTGTGCGATCTTGGCTCACTGCAACCGCCACCTCCGAGGTTCAAGCGATTCTTGTGCCTCAGCCTCCCAAGCAGCTGGGATTACAGGCGCAAATCACGCCCAGCTAATTTTTGTATTTTTAGTAGAGACAGGGTTTCACCATGTTGGCCAAGCTGGTCTCGAACACCTAACCTCAAGTGTTCTGCCTGCCTCGGCCTCCCAAAGTGCTGGGATTACAGGTGTGAGCCACTGTGCCTAGCCGGCAGCTTCTTAAAAAACTAAGAAGCCAAAAAACAAAAAAGACAAGAAACATGCAACTACCATACCATATGACCTTACAGTTACACTCCTGGAGCTTCACGTAACAACTTGAACATGCAGTTTATACCAGCTTTACTTGAAATAGCCCCAAAATGGAAAACCTAGATGCCCTTCAACATGTTAGTTAAACAAACTGATCTGCCCATACCATGAAATACTAGTCAACAATAAAAAGAAACAAACTATTAATATATGCAACAACCTGCATGAATCTCCAGAGAATTCTGCTGAAAGAAACCTGTCAATCCCCAAAGGTTACATACAAATGATCCCATTTATATGACAGACTTGAAATGGCAAAATTACAGAAATGAAGAAGTCAGTGGTAGCTAAGGGTTAAAGAAGGGTAGAGGGTGGAGAGAACTGGGTGTTGCTGTAAGAATGCAACAAGAGGGATTTTTATGGGATGGGAATGTTCTGTTCCTTGACTGTATCAATGTCAATATCTTGGTTGTGATATTGCACTCTATTTTTGCAAGATGTTACTATTGGGGAAAACTGGGTGAAGGGTATACGGGATCTCTCTGTATTATTTCTCACAACTGCATGGTAATCCACAATTAACTCAAAATGAAAATTTTAATTTCTGAAAAAGAATGATAAAATATGTATTTTCAGACGGGCTAAAATAAAGGTCCAAGGTACCTGTTTATGTTCAACTTACAACCTCCTTCACTTTCCAGTATATTTGAAATACCCTTTTAATATTAAAATAAGCCAAGATAGAGATCAACACCTTATTAACAGGTTGGTATTTTGTTTTGCTTGTAAGCTTGTTAACTCTGAAACAATCAGACTTGATAAAATACAGAAACAATAGATTTCCTGACTCTGCAGTGCTTTGTACAAAGCTCCTTTCACTCCTTGGCTTCATCTTGCCAGTGAAGAAGTAGTGGACACAACTATAATCTTCCTGGCTGATATCATTTCCAAATGCTCCTGCAAGAGTCTCTCACCTCTCTGTTTCTCTCCTCACCAATGTGTAGCATGGCTCTAGTTTGTAAAATGCATGTTGGAATCTAATGGATCATGAAGATGTGTTCAGAGTCAGATAAAGAAAAAAAGGGCCAGGTGCGGTGGCTCACGCCTGTAATCCCAGCACTTTGGGAGGCTGAGGCGGGTGGATCACCAGAGGTCAGGAGTTCGAGAACAGCCTGACCAACATAGTGAAACCCCATTTCTACTAAAAATACAAAAATTAGCCGAGTGTGGTGGCGCACACCTGTAGTCCCAGCTACTTGGGAGACTGGGGCAGGAGAATCACTTGAAGCCAGGAGGTAGAGGTTGCAGTGAGCTGAGATCGCACCGTGCCACTGCACTCCAGCCTGGGCAACAAGAGCGAGACTCTATCTCAAAAAAAACCCACGCACACACACACAAAAAAAAAAAGAAAGAAAAGAAAATTAAAAAAGGGATGACTTTGGGGTTTTAAATGTTCATTTTCTAGACTAAATTTAATTTGAACAAAATTGAGCATGGTTCATACTTTCTGAATTTAGAAAATCCATATCATTCTTATGGCCTATATTTAATAACAACTATTATATATTCACTTGCCTGTAAACATTTGCAACACTCAAGGTAATGCAGCAAGATGCTCTCCAAGATTAACACATAAGTAAACTTTTTTTCTTTTTAGAGTTGGGGTCTCACTATGTTGCCCAGGCTGGTCTAGAACTCCTGGGCTCAAGCAATCCTCCTGCCTCAGCCTCCTAATATAACTATTCTCTAATTATATTTTTTAAAAGCTTCAATAATGATTAAAGCTGTCAGCACATAGTGTTCACCAACATTAGAAGCTATTTTTTTTCTTTTTCTTTTTTAGAGGCAAGGTCTCACTGGGTCTCACCCAGGCTGGAGTGCAGTAGTGGGATCACATCTCATTGCAGCCTTGACTTCCTAGGCTCAAGTGATTCTCCCACCTCAGCCTCCTGAGTAGATGAGACTGCAGGTGTGCACCATCACACCCAGCTAATTTTTTTCATTTTTGTAGAGACAGGGTCTCCCTATGTTGCCCAGGCTCGTCTCAAACTCCTGGCCTCAAGCAATCCTCCCACCTCAGCCTCTCAAAGCACAGGGATCAGAGGCATAAGCCACCATACCAGGCCAGAAGCTGAATTTTTTTTGTTTTTTTTTTTGTTGTTTTTTTTTTTTTTGAGATGGTGCCTGGCTCTGTCGCCCAGGCTGGAGTGCAGTGGTATGATCTTGGCTCACTGCAACCTCTGCCTCCCAGGTTCAGGCAATTCTCCTGCCTCAGCCACCTGAGCAGCTGGGATTACAGGCGCATGCCACCAAGCCCCAGCTAATTTTTGTATTTTTAGTAGCGACGGGGTTTTACCATGTTGGCCTGGCTGGTCTCAAACTGCTGACCTCTATGAGATCCTTTGAGATCTATGAGATGGGCTTGGTTTGAAAAAACTAGCAATTAAGTTGAAGAATAATTTCCCCCCAATTCTAACACTGTTTTTCTCAGTATAAGTTGCAAGAGCAACTTCCTTTATTTCTTTATTTTAGAGACAGAGTCTTGCTCTGTCACCCAGGCCAGAGTGCAGTGGCATGGTTATGGCTCCCTGCAGCCTCAACATCCTGGAATCAATTGATCCTCCTGCCTCAGCCTCCCCAGTAGCTGGGACTAAAGCATGTGACACTATACCATGCCCAGCTAATTTTTTTTTTTTTTTTTGAGACAGAGCCTTGCTGTTGCCCAGGCTGGAGTGCAGTGGCACAATCTCAGCTCACTGCAAGCTCCGCCTCCCGGGTTCACGCCATTCTCCTGCCTCAGCCTCCCGAGTAGCTGGGACTACAGGCGCCCACCACCACGCCTGGCTAATTTTTTGTATTTTTAGTAGAGACGGGGTTTCACCGTGTTAGCCAGGATGGTCTCAATCTCCTGACCTCGTGATCTGCATGCCCAGCTAATTTTTTGTAGTCACGGAGTTTCGCCATGTTGCCCAAGCTGGTCTCGAACTCGTGGGCTCAAGGGATCTGCCCACCTTGGCCTCTCAAAGTGCTGGGATTATAGGCCTGAGCCACTGAGCTCAGCCTAGAGCAACTTTCTTTAAATATATTGTCATCCAAAACCTTAAAACCATGTAGATAATTAAGTGGGAGTCTCTTCCCTCCCACCCAAGCCATAGTGGGATTCCGGAAATTGTTTGGAGCAGGTAAAAATGTTTGGGCTTGGCTCTCATTTGAGTTCTTTCTTAAAGCTGCAAATGTTTCAGTCACTGCCCATATACTACTTATTTGTCATATATTCATCATAGGAGCTGCTGATCTGATTTGAAGTCCCTTATCTGCCCCACCCTTTCCAGACACCCACTCCTGCTCCCTTCTCATGCATTCTCCTCAATTCCTCTGTAGCCCCGGGAATCTCAGGATAATGGAGGCAGTTCGCTGCGAGGAAACTTGCCCCAGGGCTTCCTTGGTCTTCCTGGAGCCTCTAGCAGCCTAAGTTATGTGTCCTGGAACCCCTAGACCCTTGGAGAAACTGGCACAATTATTCATCCCTTTGTGGGGTGGGGGTGAGGGGGGCCTGCCTGGGAACAGGCCCCAAGAACAATGAAGTTACTCTCTTGATAAACTGGACGTATTTTAAACCAGTGCATTGTCTTTTTTGTTTTGTTTGTTTGTTTCGGTGGGGCAAGGGGTTGGCCACAAAATAGGAAAACTAATCAATGTGATTTAAACCAGATAGGGTGGCGCACGCCTCTAGTAGTCCTAGCTACTCGAGGGCTGAAGCAGGAAGATTGCTTGAGCCCTGGAGTTCAAGACCAGCCTGAGCAGCATTGTTACCCAGAGGGGTCCTGATCCAGACCCCAAGAGAGGATTCTTGGACCTTGCACAAGAAAGAATTTGGGGCGAGTCCATATCAGACAGTGAAAGCAAGTTTATTAGGAAAGTAAAGGAATAAAAGAATAGCTAGTCCACAGACAGAGCAGCAGCATGGGCTCCTCGTTGGCTATGTCATTTCTTGATTATCTGCTTAACAAGGAGTGGATTATTCATGCGTTTTTCTGGGAAAGGTGTGGGCAGTTCCAGGAACTGAGGGTTCTTCCCCTTTTAGACCATATAGGGTAACTTCCTGACATTGCCATGGCATTTGAAAGCTGTCATGGTGCTGGTGGGAGTGTCTATTATCATGCTAATGCATTATGATTAACATATAATGAGCAGTGAGGATGACCAGAGGTCACTTTCATCGCCATCTTGGTTTTGGTGGGTTTTGACCAGGTTCTTTACCACAACCTGTTTTATTAGCAAGGTCTTTGTGACTTGCACCTTGTGCCAACCTCCTGTCTGATCCTGTGACTTAGAATGCCTAACCTCCTGGGAATGCAGCCCAGTAGAGCTCAGCCTTATTTTACCCAGCTCCTATTCAAATTGGAGTTGCTCTGGTTCAAACACCTCTGACAGGATGGTGAAACCCCATCTCTACAAAAAAAAAAAAAAAAAAAAAAATTAGCCGGAAGTAGTTGTCCACACCTGTAGTTCCAGCTGCTGGGGAGGCTGATGTGGGAGGATCCCTTGAGCCTGAGAGGTTGAGGCTGCAGTGAGCCATGATAGCACCACTGCACTCCAGCCTGGTAAACAGAAGGAGACTCTGTCTAAAAAAAACACAGCAAAAACAAACAAACAAAAACAATAACAACAACTACGAAAAACCAACATTAAACAATGTAATCTATCTCACTGGTCATTGTGGAATCAAAAGCTTCCACCAATTCAAAGTGCGAGTTTTGTCTGTGAATCAATAGCTGATGAACAAGAGATGAGATCAATTAACATGACAGACTTAGCCACTTGGGGAACTTATTTTCTAGAGGACAAATTGATGGAAACAACAGGAATTACAACCCATTAATCTGTCCTTAGGACCTAGAAAATGAGGAAAACTATTTATCTTGAAAATAATCATTGGGTATGATCATTAAAGCCCCCTTAATTCAGATTCTCTCTTCTGGTTGCACTCTAAGCCTATCATGATTTCCCAAGAATGCAAGAATCCTGAGACTGAGATTCTCTAGAATTTTCCATGAGCAACAATTCTAAGTAATGACAAAGGTGCTGCACACAGGGCCATGCCCAACCAGCAGGCTCTCAGAGGACTCTTGAGGTGGAAATGAAAACAGGTAACTTCCATTTATATGTGTTTCATCTCATTCTATTTTAATTACTAATTTGAGTACAGTCTGCACCAGGTAAGATGGTGCACAATGAAGGGCCACATATATGATGGTGGTCCCATAAGATGATAATGGAGCTGAGAAATTCCTATTGCCTGGAGATGTAAGAGCCATTGTCACACATTACGCATGTGTCTGTGGTGATGCTGGTGTCAACACACCGGTCATATAAAAGTCTAGTACAGGCCGGGCGCAGTAGCTCACACCTATAATCCTAGCACTGTGGGAGGCTGAGGAGATCAGGAGTTCGAGACCAGCCTGGGCAACATGGCAAAACCCCGTCTCTACCAAAAATATATATATACTTTTTTTTTGAGGCAGAGTCTCACTCTGCAATGGCGCGATCTTGGCTCACTGCAACTTCTGCTTCCTGGGTTCAAGTGATTCTCGTGCCTCAGCCTCCGGAGTAGCTGGGATTACAGGCGACTGCCACCACACCTGGCCACTTTTCGTATTTTTAGTAGAGACAGGGTATCACCATTTTGGCCAGGCTGGTCTTGAACTCCTGACGTCAGGTGATCCACTCACCTTGGCTGGGATTACAGGCGTGAGCCACAGTACCTGGCCCCAGTATATTCATATACATTTATTTAGAGCATGTTCTTCCTATTAATCCACAACTTTGAGCATTAGTGCTATGAAGTAAAATGCTACGTATCATATTTTACCAGGGTTGGACTGTGTGCCCAACCCTGGTATCACTTTTGAGGTTAAAGACTTGGGCTACCACCTTGGATCCTCCCTCTCATCTCTCAGTCTGAGGAAAGCAGGCTGCCATCTTGTAAGCCACCCAGTGGAGAGGCCTGTGTGGTAAGGGGCTGAAGCCTCCTGCCCTAGCGAGTTGAGAACCAATACCTATGAACAACTACGACAGTGAATTTGGAAGTAAAGTCCAGTGTCAAATGATCCTTGAGATGACAGCCCCTGGCCGACAGCTTAAATGCAATCTCATGAGAGTCCCTGAGTCAGGACCAACCAGCTAAGCCATTTCTGGGTTCCTGATCCTCAGAAAATGTGAAATAATAAATATTTGGGGGTTTTGGTGTTTAAAAAAATGCTATGTGTTTGTGTTTAAAGGATGAATAAATTACATGTAAATTTGCAAGTCTAAGGATTTTCAGATGTTTTATAAAGAGGACTGTGGTAGATTCTTCTTGACTTTAGCAAATACAAATTCTCAGTGGTTACTGTTCCTATCTGAGCTGAGGCCTCAGTGTTTCTCATGTCCGAGTTTGGCTGAAGCCCTATTCTGTGAGGCTGCTGCACTGCTTGGTTTCCGAATAGGATCAGCATCAAGCTCTCAGAGGCAGGTGTGTGAGTGGGAAATGAGTTCATTTAACGGCAGGCAGAGTCACAGAACAACTTCACAACGAAGACGGTGCTACAAGGAGAACCTGTACTGTGACCACAGAGGCAGAATCAGCTATGATCATCTCATCTGCAAATAAAAAAACCAAGAGGTGCTCAACCAAAAACAACTGAAATTGAACTGTAGGTACAATGGCCTTTTTTTCATGCTTGGGGCTGAGAGGATCCAGAATTTTAGACAATGACACTAAAACACTACCTACATTCAGACCTAATAGTTCTGAATGAAAATTTCAAGTTATTTTTTGGAGTGGCAAATTAGATGTACATTTAAATGTCCAACTTCAATATAGGACAGTCTTTGGCTGGGCACGGTGGTTCATGCCTGTAATCTCAGCACTGTGGGAGGCTGAGATGGGTGGATTACGTGAGGTCAGGAGTTCGAGACCAGCCTGGCCAACATGGTGAAACTCCATCTCTACTAAAAATACAAAAATTAGCCAAGCATGGTGGCGGGCCCCTGTAATCCCAGCTACTTGGGAGGCTGAGGCAGGAGAATCACTTGAACCTGGGAGGCGGAGTTGGAGTGAATCGAGACCACACCATTGCATTCCAATCTGGGCGACAAGAGCAAAACTCTGTCTCAAAATTAAAAAAAAAAAAAAAAAAAAAAGAATAGTCCTCGGATCTGAAAGATGTTTCCCTAGAGGCCCAAGAGGCTTTTGCATCAGAAACAGAGAGAGGTAAATAGCCCATTGTGGAAAGAACGACTTTGCAAGGGAGGCCGAAGAGAAGTTTCCAGTTAATTCCACTTAGATGGAATGTCGAAGCAGTAACTAAAGTCAGTGCAGTAACTAAAGTCAATGCAGTAACTAAAGTCAATATTGTAAAAGTCAATATTTGTAAAAGACACAATAGGTTGGCTTGGCAATGGTAAGAGGAGGTCTCTCAGATCTAGGCAGAAATTTTTAACGCGCTAAGAATTTGAGGCTCTTTCCCTGCCTCTGCCGAGTCGTGCGGAGGCGGAGGCTTGGGTGCCTTCAAGATTCAGCTTCACCCGTAATCCACCGCCATGGCCAAGGAAGGCATTGCTGCTGGAGGTGTAATGGACGTTAATACTGCTTTACAAGAGGTGCTGAAGACCGCCCTCATCCACGATGGCCTAGCACGTGGAATTCACGAAGCTGCCGAAGCCTTAGACAAGTGCCAAGCCCATCTTTGTGTGCTTGTACCCAACTGTGATGAGCCCATGTATGTCAAGTCGTGGAGGCCCTTTGCCATGAACACCAAATCAACCTAATTAAGGTTGATGACAACAAGAAACTAGGGGAAAGGATAGGCCTCTGTAAAATTAACAGAGAAGGGAAACCCTGTAAAGTGGTTGGTTGCAGTTGTGTAGTAGTTAAGGACTATGGCAAGGAGTCTCAGGCCAAGGATGTCATCCAAGAGTACTTCAAATGCAAGAAATGAAGAAATAAATCTTTGGCTCACACACACATACACAAAAAGAATTTGAGGGGCCACACATTTTTAGAACTTTTGAGGCCCCATCATTTCACTGAAGTAAATGCTTTGGCCAGGCACAATGGCTCACACCTGTAATCCCAGCACTTTGGGAGGCCAAGGCGGGTGGACCACCTGAGGTCAGGAGTTCAAGATCAGCCTGGTCAACATGGTGAAACCCTGTTCTCTACTAAAAATACAAAAATTAGCCAGACGTGGTGGTGCACACCTGTAGTCTCAGCTACTCTGGAGGCTGAGGCAGGATAATTGCTTGAACCCAGGAGGCAGAGGCTGCAGTGAGCAGAGACCGTGCCACTGCACTCTAGCCTGGGTGACAGGAAGACTCTGTCTAGGAAAGAAAGAAAGGAAGGAAGGAAGGAAGGAAGGAAGGTAGGAAGGAAGGAAGGAAGAAAGGAAGAAAGAAAGAAAAGAAAGAAAGAAAGAAAGAAAGAAAGAAAGAAAGAAAGAAAGAAAGAAAGAAAGAAAGAAAGAAAAGAGAAAGGAGGGAGGGAGGGAGAGAGGAAGGAAGGAAAGAAGGAAGGAAGGAAGAAAGGAAATGCTTTAAAACACTTCCACTTTTAAATGCAAGAGTTTAATCATATTCAGCTCCAATTTAGTGAAGACACAATGCCTGTAGAATATGACCTCTGCTGACACTTTGATCTTTAATAATAGGTGGTCTCCTTTTTTTCCCTCATATCGTAATTAAATAGTAGATCTCTCATATGAAACCATTGTTTAGTTTGTAATGTTGGGCCTTGTATTTTTGTCCACCATTTCATTTTTGTGCCCTCTATAGTAGATAGCTGTGATGAAGAGGTCATTGGTCATGTTGTCCTCTGTGCACTGCATGCCCATCACGCAGATTTCTCATCCACTCCGGGAGGTTTGTGCCTCTGTCTGTGTGTCCAGGTAGCATCTCTGCAGGTAGGAACTGTTAACACACTGGAAAAGAGTCACTTTGGGTTTTCCAACTTTTTAGCCCCAAACAGAGCATTTCCTGTCTTTCTGCTCCACTGGGATCTCATTAATTCTCAAACTCAACCATACAGGTAACTCTTGTATCTTTATTGGAGCATCCTGGTGGATGGAGGTAACAGAAGCTGCTATTTGAATACTAGGCTAATGCCAGTACATGGGTTCCATGGATAGTTTCACCCACCCCCATCTTTAATCACTTCCTCTATTGACTTTATCTTTTATAGAAATGTTGAAATCTATTTTAGGTTTAAAAATAAACAGACAGAGGCATCCAAATTGGAAAGGAAGTGTTCATAGATCATCTGGGCTTACATGCAGCAAGCCCTAATGATTACACACATACAAACACACATACACAGTTAGAATGAATGTGTTTAGTAAAGTTGTAGGATATAAAGTCATACAAAAATTAGTTGCATTTTTATATGCTAACAATGAACAATCTGAATAGGAAATTAACAGCAAAATTATTATGAAAAAGAATGAAATATTTCAGAATTTACTTAACCAATGAGGCAAAAAACTTGTGCATTGAAAACATGGCTGAAATAAATGAAAGAAGACACAAATAAATGAAAAGACTTCTCATGTTCATGGATTGAAAGACATGATATTGTTAAAATATCAATACTACACAAATAGGCTGGGCGTGGTGGCTCACACCTATAATCTCAGCACTTTGGGAGGCTGAGGTAGATGGATCACCTGAGGTCAGGAGTTTGAGACCAGCCTGGCCAACATGGTGAAACCCTGTCTCTACTAAAAATACAAAAATTAGCTGGGTGTGGTGGCAGGTGCCTGTAATCCCAGCTACTCGGGAGGCTGAGGCAGGAGATCACTTGAACCCAGGAGGAGGAGGTTGCAGTGAGCCGAGATTGTGCTATTGCACTCCAGCCTGGGCAACAAGAGTAAGACTCCATCTTAAAAAAACAAACAAACAAAAAACCACACACACAAATAGATCAACAGATTCAATGCAACCCCTATCAAAATCCCAATGGCAGAAAAGTCTATTCCCAAATTTATATAAACTCTCAAGGGACCCTGAATAGCTAAAATAATCTTGAAAAAGAACAAAGTTGGAGGTGTTACACTTCTTGATTTCAAAACTTATTATAAAACTACAGTAATCAAAAGAATATGGTATGCATACAGACAGGCATATAAACCAGTGGAATATAATAGAGAACTCAGAAATAGACCCATGCATGTACGGCCAAATGATTTGTTTAAATTCTTATTATTTTTTTGAAATGGGGTCTTGCTGGCCTTGAATTCCTGGCCTCAAGCAATTCTCCTACCCCCACCTCCTGAGTAGTGAGGACTACATATGTCTGCCACTTCACCCAGCTAAATGGCTTTTGACAAAGATGCCAAGACCGTTCAAGGAAGAAAGAACAGCCTTTCAAAAAATGGTGTTGGAAAAACTGTATTTCCATATGCAAACAAATGAAATTGAGTCCTTCTTTATACCATACATGAAAAGCAACTTAAAATGGATCAAAGAACTAAATATAAAACTTAGAACTATTAAACTCCTAGATGAAAACAGGGGAAAAGCTGACGTTGGATTTGGCAAGTGTTTCCCAGATATGATACAAAAAGCATAGGTAACAATGGTAAAAATGCGTAAATCAGACAGCATCAAAACTATAAACTGGCTGGGCATGGTGGCTCACACCTGTAACCTCAGCACTTTGGGAGGCAGAGGCCAGTGGATCACCTGAGGTCAGGAGTTCGAGACCAGCCTAGGCAAAATGGTGAAACCCCATGTCTACTAAAAGTGCAAAAATTAGCCGGGTGTGGTGGCACGTGCCTGTAGTCCCAGCTACACAGGAGGCTGAAGCAGGAGAATTGCTTGAACCCAGGAGGTAGAGGTTGCAGTGAGCCAAGACTGCACCACTGCACTCCATCCTGGGCAACAGGACGAGACTTTGTCTCAAAAAAACAACAAAAAAAAACTACAAATTTCTTTGCATTAAAGAACACAATCAAAAGACTGAAAAGGTAACTGACGGAGTGGCAGAAAATATGTACAAATCATATACCTGAAAAGGAGTTACTATCCAGAATACAGAAAGAACTCCTGCAACTCAACAACAAAAAAGTCAAATGACCCGATGTAAAAGGGCAAAGGACTTGAATAGACATTTCTTCAATAAATAGAAATGATATTCAAATGACTCACCTCACAACCACTAGGATGGCTCCTTTTTTTTTTTTTTTTTTTTTTTTTTGAGACGGAGCCTCACTCTGTCTGTCACCCAGGCTGGAGTGCAGTGGCGCGATCTTGGCTCACTGCAAGCTCCACCTCCTGGGTTCATGCCATTCTCCTGCCTCAGCCTCCCGAGTAGCTGGGACTACAGGCACCCGCCACCACGCCCGGCTAATTTTTTGTATTTTGTTTAGTAGAGATGGGGTTTCACCGTGTTAGCCAGGATGGTCTCGATCTCCTGACCTCGTGATCCGCCCGTCTTGGCCTCCCAAAGTGCTGGGATTACAGGTGTGAGCCACCACGCCCAGCCTGGCTACTTTCAAAACAACAGAAAATAAAAAATGTTGGTGAGGATGTGGAGAAATTTGAACTCTAGTGCACTGTTGGTGGGATTGCGCAAAAGTAATTGTGGGTTTGGCCCATGAATTTTAAATCATTATAACTAGGCCCAGACACATCTTTATTAATCAAAATAGGAACCACTACAATCAACACATTTTTGCCAACAAGAAATAAGTTTGTTTATTCCTGTAGCATAAAAATCTGTACTTTGGGATTCAACGAACTCTTGGAAAGCATTTTCTGAACCCCGCTGGTTGTGGAAGCATTTTCCTTGCAAAAAGTTGTCAAGACGCCTGGTAGTCAATTGGTGAGAGGTCAGGTGAATATGACGGATGAGGCAAAACTTCGTAGCCCAATTCTTTCAACTTTTGAAGCATTGGTTGTGCGACATGCAATCCTATGTTATTGTGAAGAAGAACTGAGCCCTTTCTGTTGACCAATGCCAGCTGCAGGTATTGCAGTTTTTGGTGCATCTCACTGATTTGCTAAGCATACTTCTCAGATGTAATGGTTTCGTCAGGATTCAGAAAGCTGTGGCGGATCAGACCAGCAGCAGACCACCAAACAGTGACCATGACCTTTTTTTGGTGAAAATTTGGCTTTGGGAACTGCTTTGGAGTTTCTTCTCAGTCCAATCACTGGTTGTTGTATAAAATCCACTTTTCGTCTCATGTCACAATCCGATTGAGAAATGGTTCGTTGTTGTTGTGTAGAATAAGAGAAGATGACACTTCAAAATGACGATTTTTTAAAATTTTTGCTCAGCTCATGAGGCACCCACTTATGGAGCTTTTTTCACCTTTCCCATTTGCTTCAAATGCCAAACGACCATAGAATGGTCGACAGTGAGTTCCTTGGCAACTTCTCGGGTAGTTGTAAGAAGATCACCTTTGATGATTGCTCTCAGTTGGTCGTCGTCAGCTTCTGATGGCTGTCCGCTACCCTCCTCATCTTCAAGATTCTCGTCTCCTTTACAAAACTTCTTGAACCATCACTACACTGTATGTTCATTTGCAGTTCCTGGGCCAAATGCATTGTTGATGGTGCAAGTTGCCTGTGCTGCTTTATGACCTATTTTGAACTCGAATTTGCTTTTTGTCTAACATCTTTTTTTTTTTTTAAGATGGAATCTTACTCTGTTGCCCAGGCTGGAGTGCAGTGGCCCAATCTCAGCTCACTGCAACCTCCGCCTCCGGGGTTCAAGCAATTCTGCTGCCGCAGCCTCCAGAGTAGCTGGGACCACAGGCGCCTGCCATCACGCCTGGCCAATTTTGTGTGTGTGTGTGTGTATTTTCAGTAGAGACGGGGTTTCACTGCGTTAGCCAGGATGGTTTTGATCTCCTGACTTTGTGATCTGCCCGCCTCAGCCTCCCAAAGTGCTGGGATTACAGCGTGAGCCACCACACCCAGCCTTATTTATTTATTTTTAATTAAAAAAAAAGAAGTTCTGGAAGTTGGTTGCACAACCATGTGAATGTACTTGACACAACTGACCTATACGCTTAGAAATGGTTTAAGATGATAAATTTTGTGTTATACATTTTGTTACCACACACATACATTAAAAAAAAAAATTAACCGCAAGACTTTGCTCAGTGACCAAAGAGATTGCTTTTCTTTTACAATCCAGATTCTTGAAAGAACAGTCTATATAGCACTAGGTTTTCACCTCTGCCTCATTCCCCAATGCTCTGCCATATGGTGTCTGTGCCTGCCACTCCAGAAGGCTGCTGTCTGTCCCGGCTGCCACATACGGAGAACACGTCTCTGCCTCTATCTTTGTTCATACCCCGCAGCATTTGACGCTGTTGACCACTTCCCTTGGGAAATCTCTTCTTCCCAGTTTTGTCTATCTCTAGGCCACTGCCCTTTGGACTGTTTTGCAGACTTATTTTTGATTTTTTGTTAATATGGCTCTTCCTCAAGGCCCCATCCTAGGCCTTCTCCTTTCTCTCATTCTCTATCTCCATTTATTTATTTATTTATTTATTTATTTATTTATTTATTTAGAGACAGAGTCTTGCTCTGTCACCCAGGTTGGAGTGCAGTGGTGCAATCTCGGCTCACTGCAGTCTCTGACTCCTGGGCTCAAGCGATTCTCCTGCTACAGCCTCCCGAGTAACTGGGATTACAGGTGTGTACCACCACACCCAGTTAATTTTTTGTATTTTTGTAGAGACAGGGTTTCACCATGTTGTCCAGGCTGGTCTCGAACTCCTGACCTCAAATGATCTGCCCACCTCGGCCTCCCAAATTGTTGGGATTACAGGCGTGAGCCACCGCGCCTGCCCATCTATCTCCTTCTTAAGTGAACTCAGCCCCTTTTACAACTTTAGCAGTGTTTGGGAGGAAAAAAATTTATTTTGCCCTTTATTTATTTATCTTACCTTTATTGAGGTCTGTGAGTTAAACAGACAAAAGACAGATCTGCAAGAGAAAAGACAGATTTTTATTCACATATGTATGGGAATGCCCAGAAAAATGTGACTCAAGGAGGCTATTAGAATTGCGGGCTTGTGTATTCCCTTAATAGAAGGAGGGAGGAGGTTTAGGGATACTTGTAGAAAAATCTATGACTCTTAGGAAAGATAAACTGCCCTTAGAAGACTAGATGTAAGATGTGATCATTTTGCAACAACGTCTGTCTGGGTGTGGTGCTGACATCCCTTCTCTGCTCCAGGACAGGGAATTTATGACCTCTTTTGGGAAGCTTTGCTTTTAGGCAGGTAAAGGAGTTTGGAAAAAAATCTATTCTCAAATGCCTTCAGTTCGAAATAACCTTTATTTGCCAAAGTGGCAAAATCTGGAATCTTCCAGTAGCCACTTACTTGCTGAGAATGCCCGAAAGTGTACCTTAGCCCAGTCTCTTTTCTGTGATCCAGAACACACTATCCAGTTGCCTCAGCGCACATCAACAAGAACATCAAAGTGCATTCACCTCCTTTTCCTATAAACCTATTTTTTCTCTTGTATTTCATATCATGCTAGTTCATCAAGCCAGAAAACTTCAAGTCATGCCAAACTCCACATCTCCCTCATCCAGTAATGAAACCTGATTCATTCTGTCTCCTGAGAGCTTTTGGTACTTGTTTCTCTCCCACCATTGTCACCGCGGCAGACTGTTATCATTAGGCCCTTACAATCTCCCCCTTATTATATTGTCCTAATTTACATTACAGCACAGATGTCCAGTGTGACATATGTATGTTTGTGCAGGTTAACTTTAATCTACATTCTAGGAGCTGTTAGTTAACATTTCCAAGACCCTGATCCTGATATTTTTCAACCTTTACAAAGAATACAATTCTGATACAGGTTACAACCTAGATGAAGCTTGAAAGCATGCTAAGTGAAATAAGCCAGACACAAGAGGACAAATATTGTATGATTCTACTTATATGAGGTATTTAGAATAGTCAAATTCATAGAGACAGGAAGTAGACTGGTGTTTCCCAGGGTTTGGGAGGAGGGGATAATGGGGCATTTGTGTTTTATAGGTACAGAGATTTAGTTTGGAAAGATGAAAAAGTTCTGAAGATGGATGGTAGTGATGATGATTACACAATAATATTCATGTACTTAATACGGCTGAATTGCACACTTAAAAGGATTAAAATGATAAATTTTATTAGCATATTTACCACAATAAAAAAAAGAGTGAAGGCTAGGTGCGGCGGCTCACACCTGTAATCCCAGCACTTTGGGAGGTTGAGGTGGACGGGTCACTTGAGTTCAGGAGTTTAAAATCAGCCTGGGCAACATGGCAAAACCTTGTTTCTACTAAAAATGCAAAAATTAGCCGGGTGTGGTGGAGTGCACCTGTAGTCCCAGCTACTCAGGAGATGAGGCTCGAGAATCACTTGAACCCGTGAGGCAGAGGCTGCAGTGAGCTGAGATCGCGCCATTGCACTCCAGCCTGGGTGACAGAGAGAGACTGTCTCAAAAACAACAACAACAACAACAAGCCCAGGCCCTAATCAAAACTCCACCCACAGAAGGTACTTCAGATACCTCATTTAATCTGTACTAGAGGGGCTGGGCACAGTGGCTTGCACCTGTAATTCCAGCACTTTGGGAGGCTGAGGCGGGTGGATCACCTGAGGTCAGGAGTTCGAGACCAGTCTGACCAATATGGTGAAACCTTGTCTCTACTAAAAATACAAAAATTAGCTGGGCGTGGTGGCGTGCGCCTGTAGTCCCAGCTACTTGGGAGGCTGAGACAGGAGAATTGCTTGAACCCAGGAGGTGGAGGTTGCAGTGAGTTAAGATCGTGCCACTACAGTCCAGCCTGGGGGACAGAACAAGACTCTATCTCAAAAAAAAAATCTGTACTAGAGGATTCACTGATCAGCAGAAGGGTGTTAAAGAACATTTTCTTTTACATATATATATATATGTAAATATTTTTTGTATAGGGACCACTGCAATGGGGCCTTGCAGTGGGGTAGAGAGGTTGGGTTCAGCTGCCAAAGATCATTTTCTTTTTATTTGATTGACTGAAGAAATAGGGCCTCACTTTGTTGCCAGGCTAGCCTTCAACTCCTGGCTTCAAGTGATCCTCCCCTGCCTCAGCCTCTCAAATTGCTAGGATTACAGGCATGAACTGCCACCGCTGACCCCATTTTTTAAGAGATGGGGTCTCGTTCTGTCACCCAGGCTGGAGTGCAAAGATCATTTTCAATTGGCAAACGAAGTGATAAAGACAGTGCCTGCTAGAAAGCTACATAAGCACTTACCCTCTTGTACAAATGTGTGCACAGATGAACGCAGTAGCCCAACACCTTCAGAGTGATTCCTTAGTATAGAAATTCTAGAAATCCGGTAGCGTGTCCCCTCCATTCCCATCCCCACTCAGTCACATTTAATGAAGGATTTTTGTTAGAGAAGGCTTGCTGACAACCTGTCCTCAGAGCGTTGTCATATTTGTCATGGGTTGGGTCTTTTGTGTGAGCTATCTCTGCTCCAACAGGCTAGAGAGCTAGGATTTCACCGGTCTTGCTCACACAACAGCATGTATGACTGTTTCTGTGCCTGCTTGCTCCTGACGTTTGTATCTGCTTAAAACCCTGGGGACCTCTTGGCTGCCTCTAATCCTGAGAGGCTGCTGAATTTCTCCTGTCATCCCCCTACAATGCAAATCAGGTCATGTCAATTTCTCACTCCGAATTCTTCAGTAGACCCCTCCGCTCCCTCCCATTACATTCAGAGTAAAATCCCAACTCCTGCCCTCCAGGATCTGCACCTACCTTCCTCTCCCTTCTTCACTCCAGTGTGGAAGCCCTTGAATCTGTCCACACCTCTCTCACCTCCATACCTCTGCGCATGCCATTTGTTCTGCCTACAAAGCTCTTCCTCTCCCTACACTCTTTGGTTTCAGGGAACACAGCTGAATTCAGGGATGCCAAGTCCTTGCCTAGAAGGATATCATCTGTGCCTGGAATTTTCCTTTTTTTTTC
Source organism: Homo sapiens (assembly GCF_000001405.40). Taxonomy (NCBI): domain Eukaryota; kingdom Metazoa; phylum Chordata; class Mammalia; order Primates; family Hominidae; genus Homo; species Homo sapiens. The sequence goes on along the minus strand of NC_000006.12, from coordinate 151,216,522 downwards.
AGCACACTTTCAGCAGCAATGAAAGAATCCAGTCTGCATAGAAAGAAGAGTGAAGTAGACACAGTAGAGAGAAACAGATGACTTCTCAGAAGAGGGAAGAGAGAAACCCAGGGGGCAGCTGCCTTTGTTCATAAACCGGTCCAGTTCCTGGGTTCCTTTCCTTCTGGGAGGCATCTGAGCCTCCCGTCCTTGGGTTCTGGGAGCTGGTTGGGAAGCTCTTTTGTAGCCAGTTGAGTCTTGACCAGGATACAGGTCTGCAGACTTATCCCTTTCCTGGTGGTGAGGCCAGCCACAAGCCACCCTGGAAGACCTGCTGGGGGTGGGCTACAGGGGGAGCTGTGGCTGCTCCCCACTCTCCCAGGGCTGGCCACCTGGGGCAGCCTGAGCTCTCTGCTTTTGGAAGAACTGGTTTAGCAATCTGGTATCTTAAAGTCAAATTAGGTAATTTGACTTTCAAGTCCACTCAATTGATCATCAAGAAATAATGTAAAAGGCCAGGCAGTGGCTCATGCCTGTAATTCCAGCACTGTGAGAGGCCGAAGCAGGTGGATCACCTGAGGCCAGGAGTTCAAGACCAGGAGGGAAAACATGGTGAAACTCCATCTCTGCTAAAAATAAAAAGATTAGCCAGATGTGGTGGTGCACACCTGTAATCCCAGCTACTCGGGAGGCTGAGGCAGGAGAATCACTTGAACACGGGAGGCAGAGGTTGCAGTGAGCTGAGATCGTGCCACTGCACTCCAGCCTGGGCGACAGAGCAAGATCCTGTCTCAAAAAAAAAAGAAAGAACGTTAAAAGAGCGTTAAAAGAAATTACTAACAATTTCGTCAGGAGGAACATATCTAACCTCAAAAGACAAGAAGGAAGGGTACCCAATGTAACAGCAGAAACCATAAGAAATGTTTGCCAGGGACAGGTTACACTGAAACTCAAAGCTAATATTAATATGGCATTTCCTTGGGTAAGTTACAGAAAAGTGTTTTGTCCTAGATTCTTCACCTGCATATGCTCCAACCTGAGGCTCTCCTTAGGAGCTTAGGTAAAATGGGAAGTGTGAGTAAGCTATACTCACACTTTTTAAGTTTTTAAGTTAATAACAGCAAGAAAGACCCAAATAGGATTTTCTTTTTTTTTTTTGAAACAGGGTCTCTCTCTGTTGCCCAGGCTGGAGTGCACTGGCACCATCCCAGCTCACTGCAACCTTGGCCTCCTGGGCTCAAGTGATCCTCTCACCTCAGCCTCCTGAGTAGCTGGGACCACAGGTGTGTGCCACCACACCTGGCTAATTTTTAAATTATTTGTAGAGATGAGATTTCACTATGTTGCCCAGTCTGGCCTCAAACTCCTGGGCTCAAATGATCCTCCTGCCTCGGCCTCCAAAGTGCTGGGATTACAGGCATGAGCCACATTGCTCGGCCCCAAAATGGGATCTTGAAGTCAATAATTATATTCTTTTTTTCTTTTATAGTATTTTACATACTTATGGGGTACATGTGAGTATTTGTTACACACATAGAATGTGTAATGATCAAGTCAGGGTATTTGTGGTATCCATCACCCCATGATGATTATTTATTTTTTCTTTTTTTGGGAAGTAGATACTGTAGAGTATTTATTATTTCTATGTGTTGGTAATACTTTAAGTCCTCTCTTCTAGGTACTTTGAAATATACAATAAATTGTTGCTAACTATAGTTACCATCATCTGCTATTGACCATTATAACTTACTTCTTTTATCTAACTGTATGTTTGTACCCATTAACCAGCCTCTCTTCATCTACCCTTTTCCACCTGCATACCCTTCCCAGCGTCTGGTATCTATCGTTCTACTCTCTTCTTCCACGAGATCAAGTTTTTTAGCTCCAACATATGAGTGAGAACATGCAATTTGTGTCTTTCTATGCCTGGCTTATATTACTTAGCATAATGACATCCAGTTCCATCCATGTTACTGCAAATGATATGATTTATGTATGTATATATATATATATATATATATATATATATTTTTTTTTTTTTTTTTTTTTTTTTTGAGACAAAGCCTCGCTCTGTTGCCCAGGCTGGAGTGTAGTGGCACGATCGCCACTCACTGCAACCTCCACCTCCCAGGTTCAAGCAGTTCCCCTGCCTCAGCCTCCTGAGTAGCTGGGCGAGTAGCTGGGATTACAGGCGCGCACCACCATGCCTGGCTAATTTTTTTGTATTTTTAGTAGAGACAGGGTTTCGCCGTGTTGCGCAGGCTAGTCTCGAACTCCTGACCTCAAAAGATCTGCCCTCCTCAGCCTCCCAAAGTGCTGGGATTATAGGAGTGAGCCACTGACCCCAGCCACAAATGATATGATTTTATTCTTCTTCATAAACCAATAGTATTTCATTGTGTATATGTACCACATTTCCTTTATTTGTTCATCCACTGATGGATACTTAGGTTGATTCCATCTCTTGGCTATTGTGAATAGTGCTGCAATAAACATGCAAGTACAGGTATCCCTTTGATATACCGATTTATTTTCCTTTGGGTAAAATATTCAGTAATGGGATTGCTGGATTGAATAGTGGTTTTGTTTTTGTTTTTGGAGAAATCTGTATACTGTTTTCCATAATGGTTGTACAACTTTACATTCCCACCAACTGTGTACAGTTTCTTTTTCTCAGCATCCTCACCAGCATCTGTTATTTTTGGTCTTTTTAATAATGTGATTACCTGACAGATTCTTCCTGTCTGCTGCACAGACAAAACCAATTGCTGAGACTGTGGTGTTACAGTAAAGTAAGAGTTTAATTAACACAAGGCCAGTCACGTGAAAGAACTAGTTACCACTCACATTGATCTCCCTGAGAACTCAGAGGCTAGAGTTTTAATGAATAATTTGGTGGGCAAAGACCTAGGGAATGGGTGCTGCTGATTGGTTAAGGATGAAGTCCGAGGGGTGTGGAAAATTGTCCTGTACTGAGTCTGCTTCTGGGTGGGGCCACAGGACTGGTTGAGTCATGAGTCACAGGTCCAGGTTGGGTCAGTCGGTTGCCAGAACACCAAAGTCCGAAAAACATCTTAAAAGACCAATCTTAGGTTCTACGATAATTATGTTACCTATAGAAGCAATTGGGGAAGTTCATAAATTTTGTGACCTCTGGCCACATGGCTTCTCACAGTAAGCAATTGTAGAAACTATGTCTACATTTTAGCGGAATTCAGGCCCCTCCTTTAATCCTAATCACCTTTTTTTTTTTTTGAAACGGAGTCTCGCTCTGTCGCCCAGGCTGGAGTGCAGTGGCACAATCTCGGCTCACTGCAAGCTCCGCCTCCCGGGTTCACGCCATTCTCCTGCCTCAGCCTCCCGAGTAGCTGGGACTACAGGTGCCCGCCACCTCATCCGGCTAATTTTTTTTTTGTATTTTTAGTAGAGGCGGGGTTTCACTGTGTTAGCCAGGATGGTCTTGATCTCCTGACCTCATGATCCGCCCACCTCTGCCTCCCAAAGTGCTGGGATTACAGGCGTGAGCCACCGCGCCCGGTCAATCCTAATCACCTTTCACAAAGGTGAGTTTTGGCCCCTGAGCAAAGAGGGTGTCAGTTTTAAGGAGGGACTATTATCATCTTTGCTTCCAAGTTAAATGTAAACTAAATTCCTCCTATGGTTAGCTTGGCCTGTGACCAGGAATCAGCAAAGACAGCCAGCTTGCGAGGCTAGAAGGAAGGTCGAGTCAGCCATGCTAGATTCTCTCACTGTCAGAATCTTTGCAAAAGCGGTCTCATTAATAGCCATTCTAACTGGGGTAATGTGATTATCTCATTGTGGCTTTGATTTACATTTCTCTGATGATTAGTGATAATGAGCGCCTGTAATCCTAGCTACTCGGGAGGCTGAGGCAGAGAATCGCTTGAACCCAGGAGTTGGAGGTTGCAGTGAGCTGAGATTGTGCCATTGCACTCCAGCCTGGGCAACAAGAGCAAGACTCCATCTCAAAAAAAAAAAAAAAAAAAAAAGGTCCCGTTAAAAAGTGGGCAAATGGCCAGGCATGAGGGCTTATGCCTGTAATCCTAGCACTTTGGGAGGCTGAGGTGAGTGGATTGCTTGAGTCTAGAAGTTTCTTCATGTACCTATTGGCCATTTGTATGTCCTCTTTTGAGAAATATGTTGTCATTCGCCCACTTTTTTTTTTTTTAAACAAGGTCTTACTCTGTTGTCCAGGCTGGAGTGCAGTGGTACTATCAGGGCTCACTACAGTCTTGATCTCCTGAGCTCAGGTGATCCTCCCACCTCAGCCCTCTGAGTAGCTGGGACTACAGGCATGTGCCACCATGCCCAGCTAATTTTTTGTATTTTTAGTAGACACAGGGTTTCACCATGTTGCCCAGGCTGGTCTTGAACTTCTAGACTCAAGCAATCCACTCACCTCAGCCTCCCAAAGTGCTAGGATTACAGGCATGAGCCCTCACGCCTGGCCATTTGCCCACTTTTTAATGGGACTTTTTTTTTTTTTTTTTAGATGGAGTCTTGCTCTTGTTGCCCAGGCTGGAGTGCAATCGCACAATCTCAGCTCACTACAACCTCCGCCTCCTGGGTTCTAGTGATTCTCCTGCCTCAGCCTCCCAAGTAGCTGGGATTACAGGCGCCCGCCACCACACCTGGCTAATTTTTGTATTTTTAGTAGAGACAGGGTTTCGCCACATTGGCCAGGCTGGTCTCGAACTCATGACCTCATGATCTGCCTGCCTTGGCCTCCCAAAGTGCTGGGATTACAGGCATGAGCCACCGCGCTCATTTTAAACATTTTATTGTTGACTCATTTGAGTTCCTTGTGTATTCAGGATATTAATCCCTTGCAGGGTGAATGTTTGCAAATAATTTCTCCCATTCGACAGGTTGTCTCTTCACTCTATTGTTCCCTTTGCTGTGCAGAAGCTTTTTCATTTAATATAGTTCTATTTGTCTATTTTTGTTTTAGTTTTTTGTTGTTTTGAGATCTTAGCCATAAAATCTGCCTAGACTAATGTCCTGAAGTATTTTCCCTGTGTTTTCTTCTATTAGTTCTGGGTCTTATATTTAAGTCTCCAATCCATCTTGAGTTGATTTTTGTATATGGTGAGAGATAGGGTCCACTTTCATTCCTCAGCACCGTTTATTGAAGAGAGTGTCCTTCCCTCAGTGTATCTTCTTGGCACTTTTATTGAAAATCAGTTGGCTATAAATACATGTATTTATTTCTGTATTCTGTATTCTGTTCCATCAATGTATGTGTCTTTTATACTAATACCATGCTGTTTTGTTTACTATAGCTTTGTAACATATTTTGAAGTCAGGTAGTGTGATACCTCCAGCTTTGTTCTTTTTTCTCAGAATTGCATTGGCTATTCAGGCTCTTTTTTGGTTCCATAAGAATTTTATGATTTTTTTTTCTAATTCTGTGAAAAATGATATTGGTATTTTGATAGGGATTGCATTGAATCTGTAGATTGCTATGGGCAATGTGGTCTTTTTTTTTTTTTTTTTTTTTGACGGTCTCACTTTTTCCCAGGCTGGGGTACAGTGGTGCTATCTCAGCTCACTGCAGCCTCCAGCTCTTGGGTTCAAGTGATTCTCATGCCTCAGCCTCCCAAGTAGCTGGGATTACAGGCGCCTGCCACTATGCTTAGCTAATTTTTGTATTTTTAGTAGAGATGGGGTTTCACTGTGTTTGTCTAGGCTGGTCTTAAACTCCTGACCTCAAGTGATCCACCTGCCTCGGCCTCCCAAAGTGCTGGGATTACAGGCGTGCGTGAGCCACCACGCCTGGCCAATATGATAATTTTAATGATATTATTTCTTCCAGCTTATGAGCATGGGATGTCAGTCCATTTGTATGTGTCCACTTCAGTTTCTGTCATCAGTGTTTTGTAGTTCTCTTTGTAGAGCTCTTTCACCTCCTTTGTTGAATGTATATTCCTGAGTGTTTTATTCTTTTTTTATAGCTACTATAAATAGGATTGCTTTCTTGATTTTTTTCTCAGCTAGTTCATTATTGGTGTATAGAAATGCTACCGATTTTGTACATCAATTTTGTATCCTACAATGTTACTTAATTTATTTATTAGATTTAAGAGTTTTTTGGTGGAGTCTGCGTTTTTCTAGATATAAGATCATATTAGCAGTAAAGAGGGACAATTTGACTTTCTCTTTTCTAATTTGGACGCCTTTTATTTATTTCTCTTGCCTTATTGCTCTGGCCAGGACATCCAATACTTACATTCTTTTTTTTTTTTTTTTTTTTTTTTTTTGAGACAGAGTCTCCCTCTGTCTCCCAGGCTGCAGTGCAGTGGCGTGATCTTGGATCACTGCAACCTCTGCCTCCCCGGCTCACGTGATTCTCCTACCTCAGCCTCCCAGGTAGCTGGGACTACAGGTGTACACCACCATGCCCAGCTAATTTTTGTATTTTTAGTAGAGATGGGTTTTCATCATGTTGGCCAAGCTGGTCTCGAACTCCTGACCTCAAGTGATCTGCCTGCCTTGGCCTCCCAAAGTGCTAGGATTACAGGTGTGAGCCACCTCACCCAGCCTACAGTACTTATATTCTTACACGGCTCATATCTGTAGCTGATTTCCAATGGGAGAAACCGAGGGACTGTTGATATAAAGCTGCACATGAAAACAAGAGGTACCATTATCTCATGAACAGCTTCCAACTGTGCAGAGTCCAGGCATTCTCACCTGATCCTCCAGAAACACTACCCCTGGTCTGCAGGCTGATTTGCTGCTGACACAGAGAGGCACCCAGCAGAAGCAAGGACTCACGTCTACAGAGAACACTTAATCACATTGTCGGGGCTAGCTGGGCTCCTTGGGAAATGGAGGGTGCAGTGGGCGCCAGGGCAGGGGAAAAGCTTATCGAGAACAAGAGCAGGATGCAGGGAACGAGCAGAAAATAAACCTGAACTCTGTCTCGATTACAATTAAGTGTTTGCCACCGGAAAGCAATTTAAACAGACAGCAGCCACCTCAGCTGCTAGTGCCTGTGGGCTCGTATGACCAATCCCGGCCGTGTAGCTATTCTTAGTCACAGTTTCTCCCGACTCAATCTGCAGTAGAAGTGAAGAGACTCTTCTACCTGTAATACAGAGCTGTCCTTCCTCCCTTTATCCTTGATTTTTACCCTTTGTTCTGCAGTCTCTGTTAGTGTGTGTTCTGGACATAATAAAATATGGCTAGTTAATTCAAGCAAAAGCTTGCAGTGACTTGGCAAAGCATTATCAAGATGAATGGGAGGACAGGCAGAGGATAAAATGAGGTTGAAACTGGCTTGCCTTGTATTCAAAAATCCTAACTCCTCTTTTTACTGATTATCTTAGCTATGCATTTTTTTGTAAAGCCTCTTGAATTCAAACTGGATAAAGCTTTCTTTCTTTCAAATGTGCTTAATAACTAGGACCTGCATCTGACATTCACTGTGTCATTGCAGTGACTATAAATGCTTCCTTTAAGTCTGTGTAATTTCTAAATCAAATGTTCAGAAACCAACAGAAATGTTTATTCTTGGATAAATTAACTATGATTCAACAACTTTGTGCTCTAATTTATGGAAGAGATTCTCTCTCCATCAGTGACTTTGGCTGGGTTGTGTTAGAGATGAGCAATGCGCATCAGTGAGGCTTGCCTGGATCTTCCTTGTCAGGTTGGGTATGTCTCATAAAATTAGTTGAAAGGGCTGGGCATGGTGGCCCATGCCTGTAATCCCAGCACTTTGGGAGGCCCAGGTGGGTGGATCACTTGAGGTCAGGAGTTTGAGACCAGCCTAGACAACATGGCAAAACCCTGTCTCTACAAAAAATACAAAAATTAGCGGGGCATGGTGACATGCGTCTATAGTCCCAGCTACTGGGAAGGCTGAGGCAGGAGAATGACTTGAACCCAGAGGCGGAGGTTGCAGTGAGCCGGGATCACGCCACTGCACTCCAGTCTGGGTGACAGAGCAAGACTTTGTCTCAAAACAAAAAACAAACAAAAAAAGATTAATTGAAACGTAAAGAGAGAAATTGCAAGTGACAGGAGCACCTGAGTCACAGGGGTGGCACATATACAATGGGTGTGGACTTTGTGAAGGGAAGGATGAGAGTGTGTCATACTGTGGCCAAGATCACAGCCTTTACTGCCAGACAGATCCGACTCTACTGCTGTGTGACCTTGGATGGATTGCTTAATGTCTCTACACTTTCATTTCTGTTTTATCATGTGTGAAGTGGGGATATAAAAGACAATCTAGGCCGGGCGCGGTGGCTCATGCCTGTAATCCCAGCACTTTGGAAGTCTGAGGCAGATGGGTCAGGAGTTCAGGAGTTCGAGACCAGCCTGGCCAATATGACAAAACCCCGTCTCTACTAAAAATACAAAAAAATTAGCCAGGCATGGTGGCAGGCGTCTGTGGTTCCAGCTACTTGAAAGGCTGAGGCAGGAGGATTGCTTGAACCTGGGAGGTGGAGGTTGCAGGGAGCCGAGATCACACCACTGCACTCCAGCCTGGGTGACAGAGCGAGGCTCCATCTCAAAAAAAAAAAAAAAAGCCAATGTACAAAAGATTGTTGAAAGGATTCCATGAGATAAAAGATGCAAGGCATTAAGCCCAGGAGAGAAACATTAGCTGTTGCCATTTTTTTTCTTTTCCTTCAAGAGTATGCTAATTTATTTTGTTACTGTTCTAATCCTAGCTCTACCTTATGACTGTGGAAGCTTGGGCAGGACTGCTGAAACCTGGTTCTTCCTTTCTAAAATGGGGCTGTTAACATCTTCTTGATGGGATTACTGTGAGAATGAACAGACAGAATGATGTGTGTGAAGAATGCCTGACACAGACAGTGCCTGGCAGAGTGCATGCAGTCAATCAATTTCAGGGCCCCCTTCTCACTCCTGACCCCTTCATGGAGAGACCACAGGCCGAAATCATAGACGCTCTGGATGTGAGGTACTATGATGAAAGCCAAAAATCAGGGCATGGTGGCTCACGCCTGTAATCCCAACACTTTGAGAGACCAAGGCGAGCAGATCATCTGAGGTCAGGAGTTCAAGACCAGCCTGCCCAACATGGCAAAACCCCACCTCTACTAAAAAAAATACAAAAAATTAGCCAGGCGTGGTGGCAGGCACCTGTAATCCCAGCTACTTGGGCGGCTGAGGCAGGAGAATCACTTGAACCTGGGAGGCAGAGGTTGCAATGAGCTGAGATCGCACCACTGCCCTCCAGCCTGGGCCACAAGAGTGAAACTCCAAAAAAAAAAAAAAAAAGCCAAAAAACAAAAAACAACTCCCCCGATGATTCTGATGTGAATGAAATCAGGGTAAGACCCTACATTGTCTAGAGGTTTGATGGTAGATCCTGGGACAGTGAAACTTATCTACTTCTATTTTTCTTCTTTTGAAACAAGGTCTCGCTATGTTGCCCAGGCTGGACTCAAACTCCTGGGCTCAAGCGATCCTCCGAATTCAGCCTCCAGAATAGCTGGAATTAGAGGTGTAAGCCACCACACCCAGTGCTACCTACCTCTATTTTCACCACAGACATAGAGTGTAAGTTCTCTTACTCACAAATGCCAGCCATTGGTCATGAGGAAAATCAAGCTCATCTTTATTCCTGAAAATCCATTTTCTTAGTCAGCTGGCGCTGCCATGAAAAAATACCACAGGCTGGGTGGCTTAAACTACAGTCATTTATTTCTCATAATTCTAGGGGCTGGGAAGTCTAAGACCAAGGTGCTGGCCTATATGGTTCCTGGTGAAGGTTCTCTTTTGGCTTGCAGATGGCCCCGTCCCTTTGTTTCCTCACGTGGAGAGGAAGAGAGGGAGAGAGAGACCAAGCTGTCTTGTGTCTCTTCTTATAAGGGCACTAATCCCATCATGAGCGCCCCACCTTCACGTCTGCATCTAAACCTAATTATTAACACCTCACAAACGCCCATCTCCAAATGCCATCACATTCCACATTGGGGGTTAGAAATTTTAGGAATATAAATTTGGGGAGGGCAGAACTCAAACCATAACACCAACTCCAAGAGCAGGCTTTGCTAAGTAAAGGTTGGTTGTGCTTTAGAGCTCTAACAGTTCTGGGAGGTCATTGTGAAACAGGCCTATTGTCACTTGTTGAAGGTTGTGCAACTCCTAGTGGCTGAACCATCAGATTCCAAACTTCATTCTTTTCATTATATCAAATAAATGGCCTTGAAAGATCTGTAATGAGGACAAGAGTGACCAGTCAGAAAAGTGGCAAAGAAACCAGTAACAAAAGGGAATATGACAATTAAGTGCATAATAAATCGGGTAGGGCAGATAATGAAAAATAAACAAATAAAAGAAGAATGAATGAATGGGATTTAGGGCATGCATCGATTACTTAAAAAAGAGACTGAAAAGTCTGAGGGAATCTTTTGTGAAAATTAATGAAATAGGCCTAGCATTTTCTGACCCGTGTTTTATATGTGTGCAAGGCTCATGTTTACAGTTATTCTTGAACACTCCTTGCTCTACCCCACCCTCCCAAGTCTTTTGACCTCAGGAAAAATCAGTCTAAAGAGATTTTGTCATCTCCAGCTGTCCCAGTTGCCCATCAAATCCAGCCTTTGTTTCTCTTGCAGCCTCATTGTCTCTGATTGCAACTTTAACCCTGTCTTGAATTGTCTAAGAGGCTGGGGGCTGACAGCTGAATCCAAGTCTCAGACACACAGACTTTGACCTTTGCAGTCCACTGACCTGCAGAATACATCAGTTAATACACATAGGAAGAGATGCAAGAAAGAGCAACATGAAAGTGGGTAAAGGATTATCAAAGGAGGAGTAAAGAGACGGAGAGCAGAGAGGCTGAGCAAAGACATCTAGATTAATGATAAGGCGACCAAGGGACAGCTTTAATGCAGGCTGGGAAGGGTTCTGGAGGCAGTGTTAGCAGCCATTTCTTTTCCTTTTTCTTTTCTATTTTTCTAGCTAAGACTGAAGGAAAGGCGTTAAATACAATCTGGGGTGCAGTGGCTCACACCTGTAATCCCAGCACTTTGGGAGGCCGAGGTGGGCGGATCACCTGAGGTCAGGCGTTTGATACCAGCCTGGCCAATGAAACCTCGTCTCAACTAAAAATACAAAAAAAATTAGCCAGGCATGGTGGCGGGCGCCTGTAATCCCAGCTTCTTGGGAGGCTGAGGCAGGAGAATCACTTGAACCCAAGAGGCGGAGATTGCAGTGAGCCAAGATCATGCTACTGCACTCCAGCCTGGTTGACAGAGCAAGACTCCATCTCAGAAAAAAAATAAATAAATAAAATAAAAAATAAATAAATACAATCTGGAATTGAGATTAAATATAAGAAATAACTTTCAGAGAGAACTATTTATTTAATAAAGGAAAAGATTATTGACAAGGCTATGTAAGTCACCCTTACTGCATAATACTGAGGCATAATTATGATCAAGCCCTATCTAGAAGTTTGGCAGTCTCTTGGGCACTTCAAATGCATACATTACTTAATTTAATCTTTTTAGGAACTCCCTAAAGTGAATAGTATTACCCCCATTTTACGGAAAAGTAAACTGAGGCTCAAGGATGGTAAGGGACTTACCAGGGACCTATGCAGTGGGTGGCACAGCTGAGTTTAGGCCAATTTACATTGGACTCTAAAGCCAATGCTCTTGCCACTCGATCAGCAGGAACCATGGTCTTGAATCGCTTCAGACTAAGCCCAAGGAATGATCAAATCATCTTGGTGGGCTCCAAACCTGCCTTATCTCAGGGACTGGGTGAAAGGTAAGAGAAAGGAGGAGGGAGGAACTGAGAGTGACCTCACAGGGTGACGTCTCCTAGTACCGCCCCCAGCATAAAGCCAAGAAAAACTTTCATCAGTTTCCCTCAGAGTAAATCCCTTTGCATTTGAATTAATGATGTAAGAAGTCCAAGATCAGGGTGCCTGCCTATTTAGTTCCTCAGTGAGGGCAACTTCCCAGCTGCCAGAACTGTGAGAACTAAATGTCTGTTGTATGAGCCACCCAGTCTATAATATTTTGTTACAGCAGTCCCAGCAGACTAGGACAGTGATGTTCAGAGAAAAGAGGCCAGAGGCCTTGTCCCAGGCCATGAGGATACCACTGAGCTGAGGGAGGAAAGCTCCCACCAAGGTTTGAAATGCAAGAAAAAATGATGTCTGGCAGGGCGCAGTGGCTCACACCTGTAATCCCTGCACTTTGGGAGGCCAAGGCGGGAGGCCAAATGAACTCCTCACTTGAGGTCAGGAGTTTGAGACCAGCCTGGCCAACATGATGAAACCCTGTCTCTACTAAAAATATAAAAATTAGCCGGGCGTGGTGCCAGGTGCCTGTAATCCCAGCTACTCCGGAGGCTGAGGCAGGAGAATCGCTTGAACCTGGGAGGCAGAGGTTGCAGTGAGCTGAGATCATGCCACTGCACTCCAACCTGGGTGACAGAGTGAGATTCTGTCTCAGAAAAAGAAAGAGAGAAAGAGAGAAAGGAAGGAAGGAAGATGTCAGCAAAAATGTCAGAGAAAGGACCTCTGAAAAATTTCTCCTCTATGAAAATAATGAGAAAACTGGCAAAAAAGGGAAGAATCAACTTTTTTAGGGCTCTAGAAATTAATCAAATTCTGGCAGGAATTCAGGAAGTATGCATTCAAGAAAAATGGCTGAATCTCAGTAATTAGAGAAATTAGAAAATAGTTTGAGATGAGTGAAAATAAAAACACAGTATACCCAAACTTACGGGATGCAGCTAACCTGCTGCTTAGAGGGAAATTTATAGCTGTAAATGCCAATATTAATGAAGAAGAAAGAGCTAAAATCAATAATCTAAACTTTCACCTTAAGACACTGGAAAAGGAAGGGAAAACTAAACCCAAAAACAAGTAGAAGGAAGGATAGAATAAAGACTCTAATGGAAATAAGTGAAATACAGAATAGAAAAACAAGAGAGAAAATCAACAAAACAAAATGTTAATCTTTGGAAAGACCAACAAAATTGACAAAATATTAGCTAAACTAACCAAGAAAAAAAGAAGACTTGATTACTTCCGACTCTACAGAAATAAAAAAAAATTATGAGGGGATATTTTGAACAATTGTATGCAAACAAATCAGACAGCAGATATGAAATAGACAAATTTCTAAAGAGACACAAACTATGTAAACTGATCCAAGAAGAAATGGAAATCTGAAGAGACCTATCACAAAGAGATTGAAGTAATAGTAAAAACAAAAGCAAAAATAAAAAAAAAATACTTCCAACACATAAGAGCTCAAGATCAAATGTAAGAAAAGAAAGGATTAATAGACCAATGGAAGGATTGACCAATGGAAGGAAAAGGTGTTAGAATTTCAAGCCCTCAATTATCCCACCTTCCTGTTAAAAAAAAACACTGATGCTAAAAAATCACATAGCATAAATTATACCATCTTAGCCATTTTTAAGTGTGCAGTTTAATATTGTTAAGTGTATTCACATTGTTGTGAAACAGATCTCCCAGTCTTTTTCATCTTGCAAATTCAAAACTTTATACCCATTCAATAATAACTTCCCCTTTCCTCCTCCTCATCCTTTGGTACCCACCATTCTACTTTTTGTTTCTATAAATTTGATGACTACTTCATATTAGTGGAATCATACAGTATTCATCTTTTTGCGATTTGCTTATTTCACTTACCGTAATATTCTCAAAGTTCATCATGTTGCAGCATGTAACAGGATTTTCTTCCTTTTTTTTTGTTTTGCTTTGTTTTTGTTTTTGTTTTTGTTTTGAGACAAAGTTTCGCTATTGTTTTCCCAGGCTGGACTGCGATGGCGCAATCTCGGCTCACAGCAACCTCCACCTCCCGGGTTCAAGTGATTCTCCTGCCTCAGCCTCCCGAGTTAGCTGGGATTACAGGCGTGTGCCACCACGCCCAGCTAATTTTGTATTTTTAGTAGAGATGGGGTTTTTCCATGTTGGTCAGGCTGGTCTTGAACTCCCGACCTCAGGTGATCCGCCCACCTTGGCCTCTCAAAGTGCTGGGATTACCAGTGTGAGCTACCTACCGTGCCCAGCTGGATTGTCTTCCTTTCTAAGGCTGAATAATATTCCATTGTATGCATAGACCACATTTTGTTTCTCCAGTCATCCTTTGGTAGACGCTTGGATTGCTTTCACCTCTTGGGTACCATGAATAAATGCTGCTGTGAACATGGGTATGCAAATATCTTTTTGAGACTCCTCTTTCAATTCTTTTGGATGTATACCCAGAAGTGGAATTGCTGAATCATAATAGTGCTATTTTTAATTTTTTGAGAAGCTGCCTACTGTTTTCCATAGAGGTTGCAACATTTTATAATCCCACCAACAGTGTGCAAGGATGCTGATTTCTCCACATCTTGGCCTTGTTATTTTCTGGGTTTTTAATTTGTTTTTAATTGTACTTGTCCTAATGAGTGTGAGGTGATATCTCATTGAGGTTTTGATTTGCATTTCCCTGGTGACTAGTGACATTGAGCATCTTTCCATATGTTTGTTGGCTATTTGTGTATCATTTTTGTGTGTTTTTTTTGAGACACGGTCTCACTCTGTCACCTAGGCTGGAGTGCAATGGTGTGATATCAGCCCACTGCGACCTCCACCTCCTGAGTTCAAGCGATTCTCCTACCTCAGCCTCCCAGGTAGCTGGGACCACAGGCATGTGCCACCATGCCGGGCTAATTTTTGTATTTTTAGTAGAGGCAGGGTTTCACCATGTTGGCCAGGCTGGTCTCAAACTCCTGATCTCAAGTGATCCACCTGATTTGGCCTCCAAAAGTACTGGGATTACAGGTGTGAGCCACCACAGCCAGCCTTGTATAGCATCTTTAGAGATGTCTATGATGTCTGTTCAAGTCGTTTGCCCTTTTAAAAACTGGGGATTTTTTTTGTTGAGTTTTAGGAGTTCTTTATACATTCTGCACATTAACCCCTTTTCAGATATGACTTGCTACTATTTCAACCCATTCTATAGGTTCCCTTTTTACTTCATTGATTATGTTCTTTGACACACAAAGGTTTTTAAGTTTTATGTAGTCCTATTTGTCTATTTTTTCCACCTTCCTTTTAAAAAAATATTAGAATGCTTCACAAAATTGCATCTCATCCTTTTGCAGAGGGCATGCTAATCTCTGTGTCATTCTAACTTTAGTGTGTATGCTGTCAAAGCTAGCACCTAACTATCCTTTTAAAGTTGATTTTCTTTTATTTATTCCAATCTTACTTTTCAAGCAGATTTCTGACGCCAGGTATCCTATACCTTGATTCAGTGACTTCCAAACTTGAATATGCACCAGAATCTCTTGGAGGGCTTGTTACATCATAAATTGCTGGGTCCTACCACAGAGTCTTTGATTGAGTAGACCTGGGGTGGGGTTTAAGGATTTACATGTGTAACAAGATATCAAATGATGCTGGTCCTGATGGTCCAGGACCACACCTTGAGCACTGATGCTCTAGTCAAATTCAATCGCTCCATGTTTTTTAGAGATTATTGCCTTTGCTCATGCTGGGCTTTTTTTGGTTTGTTTGTTTTGTTTTCTGCCCAGAATGCCCTTTATTCAGACACCTCCTCTACAGGCTTTCACTAAGCCCTCCAACTGGAATGAATTGCTCTCCTGAGTTTCTATGTCACTTTATATTTATTTTTTCTCTTATCACCTACCTTTTACTTTTTTTAATTTTTATTGAGACAGAGCCTTGCTCTGTTACCCAGGCTGGAGTGCAGTGGCGTGATCTCAGCTCACTTCAACCTCTGCCTTCTGGGTTCCAGCGATTCTCGTGCTTCAGCCTCCCAAGTAGCTGAGACTACAGGCACCTGCCACCATGCCTGGCTGATTTTTGTATTTTTAGTAGAGATGGGGTTTCACCATGTTGGCCAGGCTGGTCTCGAACTTCTGACCTCAAGTGATCCACCTGCCTCAGCCTCCCAAAGTGCTGGGATTACAGGTGTGAGCCACGGCACCTGGCCACCTTTTACTTTTGATTTGACTTATTTACATACCAGTCACACCGTCTATTAGGATAATAAGGTTTTGGATGTCAGTGCTCATGTTTAACTTATCTTTCTACATCCTACAGTGCCTGGCAGAGTTTCTCACCTATACTAGGCATGCAATGGATATTTGTTAAATGAATGAAAAAATAAGGAAATACTCTGTGAAGAAAAAGACAGCAATATTAAGGAAAGAAAAAATGAATAAAAAGAAATAGAAAAAAGGAGATGATAAATGTGGTGGAATAAAGTGGGAATTCCTCCAGAAGGGAGTTTTGTTTTGCCAACTAAATGCAAAGCAAAAATAGGCCAGGTCTTCCCAGCTGTTCTTTTTGTCTGTTTTCTTGCAGCTGTGCTAGAATTTTTTTTTTCCAGGCCAGAATTGCTAATCACCATGCCAGTACGGCCCTTGTGATTTAATAAGAAGAAAAAGATTGGGGGACTTTAATTCCCAAACACTTAGGGTGTGAATCTGGAGGGGTACAATGTTCTATCATGTTGACTGAAATCCAGACTGCACCTTTCATCTGATGAAAGACCATGACACTTTTCCCTGTGGAGAATTGGACAGATGCCATTGTAATATTAAAAAAAAAAAACAGTATTGAAGAAAGTTACGAACTCTAGAATTAGTTGATTATGCATAACTTTTTTTTCAGACAGGGTCTTGCTCTGTCACACAGGCTGGAGTGCAGTGGCATGATCATAGCTCACTGCAACCACGAACTCTTGGGCTCAAGCAATCATCCCGCCTCAGCCTCCCGAGTGGCTAAGATTAAAGATGCGTGCCATCATAACCAGCTAATTTTTGTAAATGTTTTTGTAGAGATATAGGATCTCGCTGTGTTGTTTAGGTTGGTCTCAAACTTCTGGCCTCAAGTGATCCTCCTGCCTTGGCCTCAAAAGTGCTGGGATTATAGGCATGAGCCATCATGTCTGGGCCTATGCATGAAATTTTAAATTAATTGTGTGTGTGTGTGTGTGTGTGTGTGTGTTTTGAGACAGAGTCTCACTCTGTCACCCAGGGTGGAGTGCAGTGGCATGATCTCGGCTCACTGCAACCTCCACCTCCCGGGTTCAGGCAATTCTCCTGCCTCAGCTTCTGAGTAGCTGGAATTACAGGCATGCACCACCACATCTGGCTAGTTTTTGTGTTTTCAGTAGAGGCAGGGGTTTCAGCATGTTGGCCAGGTGGTCTCGAACTCCTGACTTCAAGGGATCCACCCACCTCGGCCTCCCAAAGTGCTGAGATTACAGGCATGAACCACCGCACCCGGCCTTTAAAATTTATTTTTATAAAACGATCCCAGTCTACAATTCTTTATTAACATTTATGATCCTACTTCTCCAGCAGGTTGGATTGGGCATACTTCTAACTTTTGCATCTTAGTTTGATTCTTTATTTGGTTAGCCTTCATTTAAACTAGCAATCTGCAATAGGGTGTTTTCTCTACCATGCTATGCACGTGGCCTGGCAGAGAGCTTTTCTGGTGCATTTTTGAAAAGGCCCATAACCTGGGAATACGGTCCCACTGCAAACACTAAGGAAAGAAGCAAACCACAAAGGGATCAAGGATTTCTCATGGAACATGTGCCCTGAACACCCTCTGGAAGTTTCTGTGATGTTTGCTGTCATGGCAATGGATTACTCTGGATTAGGCTGCTGCCCCGGGATTGTTCTGTTCACCTGCTTGCTGTTTTCATTTTTGTTAGCTTGCTGTTTAGACACTTAAGGTGGATTCCATTTTGTTATCCAGATGTTTCTATGCCCAGGGGCACTAGCATGCATTCTAATCACTGGGCATGTATTGCTCTTTAATAGTATGTAGAAAATTGAGAAAGCCTTGAGAGCTGGCCTGAAAAATTTATTAGTCCCTCACTAAAACTTCATCTTTAAAATCATGTCTCTGTGGTGTGATTGTACCTGGAAGAACTAGAACTCAACCACTCAATTATGAGCTCAAGAATGTATGAAATTGAACATGTTCAGAAATTAATCATTTTTCTCATCTCTTCTGTGAATGATATCTCAGCAGTCAAGTTATCTTTCACTGCTAGGGGATATTCAAAAGTAAGAATTTGGAAGATCTTACTAAAAGGCTTTAGACAGAACCTGGAAATAGATTCTCTGCATTTGTATGCAAGTTAATTTTTGAATTCTCTACATATGCTGAGGGAAAAGATTAGGATGTCTAGATGGGCCTGGATAGCAAAGTCAGGGCCTGATTTTTTTCTGGTTAGTGCCTTGGGGAGATTAAGTGTGGCTATCACTGAATAAAATTTAACCCAAATGCTGAAACTTTTAGAGGAAACTGGATACATCAAACAGGAACCTGTTCTAACATCAAATGAGTGACTTATTTTCTTGCTTAACCAGGGTAGGTAACACTAAGCTGGCTATCAATAGCCCCCTGTTTCTTAGGGAATTTCTAATACGGTGTGACCATGTTTATTCGTAGATGGGACAGAGCTGCTGATGGCATTCTAAGACAGAGTAGAAGTAAAACGAAGAAAGATGGGGCTTCTGGTACCTACAATTATTTTTTTCCTTTTAAAAGTTATAGTAATTTTTAAATTTTGGAAATTTAAAATTTTGGAAAATAAAAACTACAAGTACACTTATAGTAGACTTCCTTCCTTCCTTCCTTCCCTCCCTCCCTTCCTCCCATCTCTCCCTTCCTTTCTTTCTCTCTTTTCTTTTTCTTCCTTTCTTTCTTTTTTCTTTTTTCTTTTCTTTCCTTTCTTTCTTTCTTTCTCTTTTCTTTCTTCTTTCTTTCCTTTTCTTTTCTCTTTCTTTCTTTCTTTTCTTTCTTTCTCTCTTCCTTCCTTCCTTCCTTCCTTCCTTTCTTCCTTTCTTTCTTTCTTTTTCTCTTTCTCTCTTTTCAGGGTCCCACTCTGTGGCCTAAGCTGGAGTGCAGTGGCAGTATCAGGGCCCGCTACATCCTTGACCTCCTGGGCTCAAACAATCTCTCATCTCAGCCTCCCAAGTAGCTGGCACTATAGGTATGTACCACTGTGCCCAGACAATATGTGTGTGTGTGCATATATATATATATATATATATATATATATATATATACATATATATATATATATATATACATATATATATATATATATATATATATATTTTTTTTTTTTTTTTTTTTTTTTGTAGGGATGGAGGCCTCACTTTGTTGCCAGCTGGTCTCGAGCTCCTGGCTTCAGGTGATCCTCCCATCTCAGCCTCCCAAAATGCTGAGAGGGCAGCTGTGAGCCACTGTGACCAGCCAGCATGTCTTTTTTTGATCTGCCCAGTACCAACCCTCATTTGGGAATCGCTCTTTCTGTTCCTTTAACCTGATGATTCCTGTGGGAGCAGCTGTGCTCTGACATGGCCTGGCCCTGCCTAGGGCTGATTAGAGAAAAACAGTACCAATGATCCTCTTCTCTGGGATATTTGAACCTGATTCCAGGGGTGATTATCAATATCTGCAACAATCAGGGAGATCCGGGTACCCACCAATTAGGACAGACATTGGCTGAAAAACAATTGATATGGGTGCAGCAGTGCACGCAGGCTGAAGAGCACCCTTGTTTGAGAAGAAGGAACATAGGGATTCCCTCTTTGGGGGCAGAAGTTGGAAACTGTGCATTGGGGAGCCCTGTTTTCTTCCTGTAGACAAATCTCATTGTGGTGAATAGGAATGAGGCCAACGGCAAGATCTGGAGATGGAAGAAGCTCCTGAAGATGTTGAAACCCCTGGTCCCAGCTGTTCTGTGGGCCAGCTGGATTCCTGCCCTTCTATAGCTGTATTGCTCAATCCTTTCCTGGGATCTGGGAGAAAATAAATTTCATTTTTGGCCCAAGTTAGTTCAAGTTCAGATTCTTTTCCCCCATAACAGTAACAAAGAGTCCTAACTGATTCAACATTAAACTGTATTCTTTTTTTAAAAGCTTTTTTGTTTGTTTGTTTTAGAGATGGGGTCTTGCTCTGTTACCCAGGCTGGAGTACGGTGGCAGTATCACAGTTTACTGCAGCTGGAACTTCCGGGTGCAAGGGATCCTCCTTCCTTAGTTTCCCCAGTAGTTGGGACTACAGGCATGCACCGTAACCAGCTAAATGTTTTTACAAATTTTTTTGGAGACAAGGTTTTGGGATGTTGCTCAGGCTTGTCTCAAACTCCTGGCCTCAAGCAATCCTCCCATCTCAGCCTTCTGAGCAGTTGGGATCACAGGCATGAGCCACCTCGTCCTGCCCAATAAAGCTTTGTAAAAAAGCCAGGCACGGTGGCTCACACTTGTAATCCCAGCGCTTTGGGAGGCCAAAGTGGGAGAATTCCTTGAATCTAGGAGTTAGAAACCACCCTGGGCAAAACAATGAAACCCCTGTCTCTACTTTAAAGGAAAAAAAAAAAAGCTTAGTGGAGTATAATTGACAAATAGAAACTGTATATAATTAACAGGTGTAACTTGATGGTTTGATATGCGTGTACATTGTGAAATGATCATCACATCAAGCTAGTTAACATATCCATCACTTCACGTAGTTACCTCTGTGTGTGTGTAGGCGTGTGTGTGTGTGGTGAGAAGACAAGATCTACTCTCAGCAAATTTCAAGTATACAATACAGTGTTAACTATAGTCACCATGCCGTACATTAGATTCACAGAATTTATTCATCCTGCATAATGGAAACTTTGTACCCTTTGACCAACATTTCCCCACTTCCCCCATCCTCCAACCCCTGACAACCACCACTCTACTGTGTGCTTCTGTGAGTTCAACTATTTTAAAATCTACATAAGTGAGATCATGCACTATTTGTCTTTCTATGTCTGGCTTATTTTACTTAGCATAATGTCCTTCAGGTTCACCCACGTTGCAAGTGGCAGAATTTCCTTCTTTTTTTAAGGCTAAATAATAGTCCACTGAATATTACGTGTACATATATGTGTATATATATATGTATATATGTATATATATATATATATATATATATGCACATACGCACACACAGCCCTCATTTTCTTTTAAGGCTAAATAATAGTCCATTGAATATTACATATATATATATATGCACATACACACACACCCTTCATTTTCTTTTTGATTTCTTGAGGGTCTTGCTCTGTTGCCCAGTCTAGAGTGCAGTGGCATGACCACAGCTCACTGCAACGTCTAACTCCTGTGCTTAAGTGATCCTCCCGTTTCAGCCTCCCAAATAGCTAGGACTTTAGGCACATACCACCACGCTTAGCTAACTAAAAATTTTTTTTACTGTAGAGATTGGGGGAGATATGTTGCCCAGGCTGGTCTGCAGACAGAGGTAATTATACCTCTTCTTTTCTGATTTCAGTGGCTTTTATTTCTTTTTCTTGTCTAATTGTTCTGGTTAGGATTTCTAGTACTATGCTGAATAGAAGTGGTGTTAGTGGGCATTTGTAGCTAAGATAAGATATTAGAGAAAAACCTTTCAGTTTCTCCGTATTGATTACAATGTTAGCTATGGCCTTTCATATATTTTTTTTTTATTTTTGTGAACTGTTCATGGAAATACATATGTGATCTTTATTATGTTGAAGTATGTCCCCTCTATACTTATTTTGTTAAGAGCTTTTATCATGAATGGATGTTGAATTTTGTCGAATGCTATTTCTGCACCTATTGAAATGATGCAGTAGTTTTTGTAGATCATGTAGTTTTTATATTTCAATCTGTTTTTATAGTAGAACATGTAGTTTTTATAGTAGATCATGTAGTTTTTATATTTCAATCTGTTAATGTGGTATATCACATTGACTTGCATATGTTGAACCATCCTTGCATCCTAGGGATAAATCCCACTTGATTGTAGTGTATGATCCTTTTAATGTGCTGTTGAATTCAGTTTGCTAGTATTTTTTTGAGGAGTTTTGCATCTCTGTTCACCAGGTATATTGGCCTGTGGTTTTCTTCTTAGTGTTATTCTTTGTCTTTGATATTAAGGTGATGTGAACCTCATAAAATGGTCTTGGAGGTTGTCTCTCTTTTATTTTTCAGAAGAGTTTAAGAAGGATTGATAGTAATTCTTTTTTTGAATGTTTGTTAGGATTCACCTGTGAAGCCATCTGGTCCTAGGCTTTTCTTTGTTGGAAGGTTTTTTGTTTTTCAGACAGGGTCTCACTATGTCGCCTAATCATGCCCAGTAGTGCAGTGGCATGATCTCAGCTCATTGTAGGATCAACCTCCCAGGCTCAGGTGATTCTCCTACCTCAGCCTCCTGAGTAGCTGGGACTACAGATGCACACCATGCCCAGCTAATTTTTTTGTGTTTTTAGTAGGGATGGGGTTTTGCTACGTTGTTCAGGCTGGTCTTGAACTCCTGAACTCAAGCAATCTGCCCGCCTCAACCTCCCAGAGTGCTAGGAATACATGCCTGGGAATACAGGCATGAGCCACTGCACCCAGCCTGTTGGAAGGTTTTTGATTACTGATTTAGTCTTATTTGTGAATTGTCGGTTTTGGCTACTTTTTCCTGATTCAGTTTTGATAGGTTGTATACATGCTTCTAGGAATTTATCAATTTCTTCTAGATTATCAAATTTGTTGGCATATAATTGTTCATACTAGTTCATTATAACTTGTGATCAATCCTTTTTCTTTCTGAGGCATCTGTAGTAATGAATAATGATATTCTTATCTTTATAATGCCTTCAATCATTTTTTTTTTTTTTTTAGGTAGGGTCTTGCTCTGCTGCCCAGACTGAAGTGCAGTGGCATAATCACAGCTTACTGCAACTTCTGCCTCCCGAGTTCAAGTGTTTCTCATGCCTCAGCCTCCTGAGTAGCTATGATTACAGGCGTATGCCACCATGCCTGGCTAATTTTTGTATTTTTAATAGAGACAGGGTTTCACCGTGTTGGTCAGACTGGTCTTAAACTTCTGGGCTCAACTGATCCACCTGCGTCGGTCTCCTAAAGTGCTGGGATTACAGGCTTGAGCCACCTCGCCCAGGCAGATTGCATTTTGATCTTGTTAACAAGTATGCATAATTTCTTATATTGTTGTATAACTAGCAGTTTTATATAATTTTTATTCTGCTTTCTCTAATTTAATGGTGTATTATTAATATGTAATACATTTATAATTTTATTATAATTGGTATGTTAAATTTTTTTTCTTTTTTTGGGGGACGGGGTCTCACTTTGTCACCCAGGCCGTAGTGCAGTGGCGTGATCTCAGCTCACTGCAGCCTTGACCTCCTGGGCTCAAGTGGTTCTCCTACCTCAGCCTCCTGAGTAGCTGGGACTACAGGCATGCACCACCACGCTTGACTAAGTTTTTGTATTTTTTGTAGAGACAGGGTTTTACCATGTTGCCCAGGCTGGTCTTGAACTCCTGAGCTCAAAGCAACCCGCACACCTTGGCCTCCCAAAGTGTTGGAATTACAGGCGTGAGCCACCTCGCCCAGCCAAATATCTTAAATTATATACTAACAATAATGAATCAGCAAAATACATTTACTGATATATAACAAGACGTGTTGCTACATGGTCTTCAGAGTAATCATTTTAATGTTTGCATAATATTTCATCTTATTGCTATAACAGTTAAAAGTTATTTTTTATTGAGGGCTTCTTCTGTTTCGGGTACCCTGTATATAGCATATATATATATACCCCATAACAATCATAGGGGAATTACTGTCTTCAGGGTAGTGATGTGACGACTGGCTTTGAGAGGCAAGCGTACTTCCTCAAAATCACAGAAAGTTATAGGCTACGTTTTGGCTGTGCCCTTCCAAACCCATCTCTCCCATGCAACCTGGCTCCCTATTACCGTGGTTTACTATAGCAATTTCACCCTTGGTTGACATCTGTGTTACTTCCTGGATTTTGGATACTTCAGATTGGGTTAGACGTTTGGCATCTAATTGTTTGCTTCTGCTGACTTCAAAATTGCTGTTTTTAACTGCAAAGAGCATTTAACCTAAAGATATACACACCGTGTGAGGTTGTTGGACTCTAGTTTTTTTTTTTTTTTTGAGACAGAGCCTCATTCTGTTGCTCAGGCTGGAGTGCAGTGGTGCAATCTAGGCTGACTGCAACCTCCGCCTCCCGGAGTCAAGCGATTCTCTTGCCTCAGCCTCCCGAGTAGCTGGGATTGCAGGGGCCTGCCACCATGTCCAGCTAATTGGTGTATTTTTAGTAGAGACAGGTTTCGCCATGTTGGCCAGGCTGGTCTTGAACTCCTGACCTAAAGTGATCCACCTGTCTCAGCCTCCCAAAGTGCTGGAACTACAGGCATTAGCCACGGTGCCCGGCCTGTTGGACTCTATTTTATGTTGTCTTGTTGGGTCCAGTTATCTCCCTTTATTAATTTACTTAATAAATATTTATGGAATAGCCAGCATGCATTTGATGTTAATATCTGGTGCAAATGTGAAGAAATATGATATCTTTGGGAATATCAAGGTGAATCATCCATGAATCTTGTCTAGAACTCTTACTCTAGTTAAGAAGAAAAGATGAAAAGCACTAAAAATTATAATAAAAGGAATAAACATTTAAAGTAAAGTATACTTTAAGAGATGTAGAGATGAATATTGTAGAGATTCAGAGGACAAAAAGATGACTTAGAGCTGGGGAGACTGGGGAAGACTTTCGAGAAGAGATGCCCTTTGAGCTAGAATCTGAGCCATGGGTAGCATTTGAACCCCTGAAGGACAAGGGCTGATGTCAGCATCAGTGCTGCGCATGTCAGACAGACCTGGAAGGCCAGTTCCCTCCAGAAGGAAGCACTAAATGAGGTCCCAGACATCCCCCAACAGGAGGAGGGAAAAGAGGTCAGCACCGTGATTTATCAACCTCAAACGTATTATTAAGTCAGAAGATGGAGTTGTTTTCCTTTCAGATAATATCACCCTACTTACTAACTTCCCATTCTTTCCTCCATCCACTGCAATCTGACTGCTAAGGTCAACAGAAACCTTCTCATTACCAAATCCAGTGGCTCCTACTAAGCTTGCATCCCACTTACCTTTTGTATTATATGTGATTATTCTCCTCCTTGAAACTCCCTCCACCACCCATCCCAGCATCTGCGACACCCCTTTGTCCTAGCCACCTGTCCTCTCCTCTCTAGTTTCAAGAATTTTGAGACCATAAATTTCTGTTGTTTTAAGCCACCTCATTTGTGCTACTTTGTTACGGCAGCCCTAAAAAACTAAAACATCATTTCAAAAATCATTTACAGGTGTAAGATTTTTTTCCCCCATGTTCAGCCTTGTCTAACCAGAGTTAGGCACTGAAGTATCTATTGGAGGAATACATTCATTAACAAGTGTATTCTTCTCAGTAGATGGTCTGTCTATTTTAGGAAACAAATGTTAGCATCTACCACTGACCTTTAAATCAATATTTATTGAAGTAAATTTACTGAAAAGTAACTTGTGATTGTGCAAAATAATGGATATTTAAGGATATTTATTGCAGCATTGTTTATAATAGCAAAGGACTGGCAACAACCCAAATGTCTGTCAATAGAGGAACTAATTAAATGAGGGATGGTTTTACATCCAATTGCTTTTTTTTTTTTTTTTTGAGATGGAGTCTCATTCTATCACCCAGGCTGGAGTGCAGTGACATGATCTCAGCTCATGCAACCTCTGCCTCCCCAGTTCAAGCAATTCTCCTGCCTCAGCCTCCCAAGTGGCTGGGATTACAGGCGCATGCCACCACACCCGACTAATTTTTGTATTTTTAGTAGATACGGCATTTCACCATGTTGGCCAGGCTGGTTTTGAACTCCTGACCTTAAGTGATCCGCCCGCCTTGGCCTCCCAAACTGCTAGGATTATAGGCGTGAGCCACCGCACCCGGGCTCAATTGCTCTTTTGAGACGGAGTCTCAGTCTGTCACCCAGGCTGAAGTGCAGTGGCGCAATCTTGGCTCACTGCAACCTCTGCCTCCTGGGTTCAAGTGATTCTCCTGCCTCAGCCTCCCAAGTAGCTGGGAGTACAGATACGGTCCACCACGTCTGGCTAATTTCTGTATTTTTAGTAGAGATTTCACCATGTTGGCCAGGCTGACCTCGAACTCCTGACCTCAAGTGATCTGCCTGCCTTGGCCTCCCAAAGTGCTGGGATTACGGATGTGGGCCACCATGCCCAGCCCTTTTTTTAATATATATATATATATATTCTTTATTTTCTGTAATTTATAATTATAGAAAATCTCTGAAAGGAAACAGAAGAAAATGCAATTAATTGCTTTTGGGGAGAAGAATCTGATAGTCATTAAATAAATAAGTAAATAATAAATAAAATTTAACTCTTGAGCCCAAGAGTTCAAGACCAGCTGGGGCAATATGGTGAAACTCCATCTCTTATTAAAAAATTCAAAAAATTAGCCAGATGTGGTGGTGTGCACCTGTAGTCCCAGCTACTTGGGAGGCTGAGGTGGAAGGATCACCTGAGTCCAGGAGGTCACGGCTAGAGGGAGCCAAGATCATGCCACTGTACTCTAGCCTGGGCGACAGAGTGAAACCCTGTCTCAAAATAAATAATAATACCTAAAATTTAAAAGTAGAGTCTGTGAAAGGGTATATGTTTAAATTTATTAAAATGTACCATGATGTTTGGTGGTCTTTCACTAGATGTTTCTATTCTGGCCTAAGGGGAACAGTCTGTGATGAAAAATCAGGGTTGGGTGCAGTGGCTCACACCTGTAATCCCAGCATTTTGGGAGGCAGAGGCAGGTGGATCACTTGAGCTCAGGAGCTCGAGACCAGTCTTGGCAACACGGCAAAACCTCATCTCTACAAAAAATACAAAAATTAGCAGGGCATGGTGGCGTGTGTGCCTGTAGCCCCAGCTACTCGGGAGGCCAAGGCAGGAAAATCGCTTGAGCTCAGGAAGTCAAGGCTGCAGTGAGCTGAGATTGCACCACTGCACTCCAGTCTGGTTGACAAAGTGAGACCCTATCAAAAAAAAAAAAAGAAAAAAGAAAATTCAAAGGGTAGCTAAACAGTAAAAGGAAAAAAAAATCACTATTATTAGGCCGGGTGAGGTGGTTCATGCCTATAATCCCAGCACTTTGGGAGGCCAAGGCGGGCGGATCACTTGAGGTCAGGAGTTTGAGACCAGCCTGGCCAACATGGTGAAACCCCGTCTCTACTAAAAATACAAAAATTAGCCAGGCATGATGGTAGGCGCCTGTAATACCAGCTACTTGGGAGGCTGAGGCAGGAGAATTGCTTGAATCTGGGAGGCAGAGATTGCAGTGGAACCCGGGAGGCAGAGGTTGCAGTGTGCCAAGTTGGGCCACTTCACTCCAGCCTGGGTGACAGAGCAAGACTCCAACAAAAAAAAAAAAAAAAAAAAAAAAAAAAAAAAAAATTCACTGTTATTAATATAAAGTGGCTTTAGTTTAAATTTTTTAAAGTTTAATAATAAAAACAGAGAGCTTCTTTTTAAAAAATTTAAATTATTTTTATACTTAAAAAAAATAGAGGCTGGGTGTGGTGGCTCATGCCTGTAATCCCAGCACCTTAGGAGGCTGAGGTGGGTGGATCACCTGAGGTCGGGTGTTCGAGATCAGTCTGGCCAACAGGGTGAAACCCCGTCTCTACTAAAAATACAAAAAAAATTAGCTGGGCATGGTGGCATGTGCCTGTTATCCCAGACACTTGGGAGTCTGAGGCAGGAGAATCACTTGAGCCTGGGAGGTGGAGGTGGCTGGGATTACAGGTACCTGCCACAATACCCGTTGCTAATTTTTGTACTTTTAGTAGAGACAAGGCTTTGCCATGTTGGCCAGGCTGGTCACGAACTCCTGACCTCAAATGATCTGCCTGCCTCAGCCTCTCAAAGTGCTGGGATTACAGGCATGAGCCACTGTGTCTGGCCCTCCCATATACTTTAGATCATTCCTAGATTACTTATAATACCTAATACAATGTAAATGCTATGTAAATAGTTATTTTGTATTTTGGCCAGGCATGGTGACTCACTCCTGTGATCCCAGCATTTTGGGAGGCCAAGGCAGGTGGATCACTTGAGGTAAGGCGTTCGAGACCAGCCTGGCCAACATGGTGAAACCCCATCTCTACTAATAATACAAAAAAATTAGCCAGGTGTGGTGGTGCACACCTGTAATCCCTGCTACTGGGGAGGCTGAGGCAGAAGAATCTCTTGAACCCAGGAGATGGAAGTTGCAGTGAGCTGAGATCCTGCCTCTGCATTCCAGCCTGAGTGACAGTGAGACTCTGTCTCAAAAAGAAAAAGTTGTTATACTGTATTTTAAATTTTGCATTACTTTTATTGTTGTATTGTTATTGTTAGTTTCTTTTTTTCCAGTATAGTCATGTGATGAACATATCTTTTTGGTTAACAATGTGCTACATATATATGGTGATCCCATAAGATTATAAACTGTATTTTTAATGTACCTTTCTATGTTTAGATAGTTTTAGATACACAAACACCATTGTGTTACAATTGCCTACTGTATTCAGTGCAGTCACACGCTGTGCAGACTTGTTGCCTATGGGCAATAGGCTATACCGCATAGCCTAGGTATATAGTAGGCTGTACCAACCAGGTTTATGTAAGTACACTCTACGGTGCTCACAGGATGATGAAATTGGCTAACGATTATCCTCATCATTAAGTGATGCTGTGACTGTATTTTCGATGGAGTTTGGTTGAATCTGAGGATGCAGAACCCATGAATACAGAGGGCTCACTGCATTGTGCCTGCCACAGGTGTATACCTGGGAGGGTTGGGTCATACGGCGTGCATGAATTCAAGCAGTATAATCAATACTGCCAACAGTTTTTACAGTGGGCCAATTTACACTCTCACTGGCACTGCGGGAGAGTCCAGTTTATCCACACCCTTGCCAATTCCCAGTATTGTTTGTTTGTTTTTCTTTTCTTTTTGGAGACAGAGTCTTGCTCTGTTGCCCAGTCTTGCTCTGTTGCTGGAGTACAGTGGCACCATCTTGGCTCACTGCAGCCTCTGCCTCCCGGGTTCAACTGATTCTTGTGCCTAACCCACCCGAGTAGCTGGGATTATAGGCACACACTACCACGCCCAGCTAAGTTTTGTATTTTCAGTAGAGATGGGGTTTTGCCATGTTGCCCAGGCTGGTCTCAAACTTCTGCCTCAAGTGGGCCTGCCTCAGCCTCTCAAAGTGCTGGGATTACAGACGTGAGCGACCGCGCCCAGCCTGATCCCCAGTATTGGCAGCTTTTATCAATGTTAGCCATTCAGTTGAGCATGTAGTGGTCAATAAATGTGGATTGAATTTGCATTTCCTTGGTGATTAACCATGAGCACTTTTAAATGTTGTTTGTCATTTATATGACCTCTTTTGTGAAGTCCTTGTTCAAGTCTTTTGCCCATTAAAAAAAACTGAGTTGGGAGCAGACAGCTTTTTAGACTGTGAAAATATTTATCTGGGTGAGACTTTCCATCTGAACATGTTAAAATATGTAGAAAAAACAGATCATTCTAATGCGTTTAGAATGTCAGTAAAGGAAGAAAATGAGCTCACTTATGCAGTTCTCTAGGCAACCTTTTTTTCTTTAAGTAAAGCTTAGCAAACAATGGAATCACTGAGAGTAACTCACTTCTATATAGTGCTTTAGGATTTACAAAGTGCTTTCCTCTCCATTTTCTCATTCTGTTTTTATTAGAAGTAACACGTGAAATATTGCTTGCTAGTCTTGTTTTCATAGCAGATATGACTTTCACCAAATGCAAAAATCAAGGCAAAATGCATATATTCAACATAATTGTAGTTGGGTAAATTAGCAGTGTAATTTGTGAATTTGATCATTTTTCTTCTGTGCTCACAATTACCTCTAATTTGGTGATAAATGCAATACATGCTTGCAGAATGTCTAAGGAACCCTCCATCCTCTGATGCTGAAATGTAGACTGCCTTCTGGGAGTTGCTGTTTAAATCAGGAAGAGAGCATAAATCCACAAGAGCTTGGTGATTGGAAATATGTCTGTTGCAGAGAGGAGAGCAAATCTCTATTGTTGAGGGCAGCAGAATGACACAAATCAAGCAGACATCTTTTCAAGAGGCAGATAGCAAATAACCTTTCTGCATTACAGATGCTATGCTGTTTTCATTCCTTCCAGACTGGACGCTAATTAAATTAGCCTCTTTACTCTGGTTCTTTAGAGAAAAACTGCTTCTGATTTGATGCCACATCTCTCCCAGGACTAAATATGTGTGTCCGATGGTGGCGGGGGTGGAGGGGGGAGGTCATGTCTTTGTGTACGTGTGAAATGAGAGGAATTATTGAAGAAAAGCAACGAACATGCATTAAAATTCTCAGGCTAAAAGGAATCCTGATTTTTTTTTCACTTCTTGGCATTTTAAATGCCAACATGCTATTAAAATATATGACCTCTTTCCCATCAGGTTTACAACCCTCAAAGATCAGGCAGGCAAATGTAAGATAGAAATAAAATATAAATTTAATGACTTTTTTTTCCCATGGCTATCTCAAAATTAGAACCATATCTCAGAAGAAGTGAAGTTGTCTCCTTGTAATTCTAGTAAAAGCCACTAAAGATAGAGAATTTCGCTGGGTGCAGTGGCTCACGCCTGTAAACCCAGCACTTTGGGAGACCGAGGCAGGCCGATCATGAGGTCAGGAGATCGAGACCATCCTGGCTAACACGGAGAAACCCTGTCTCTGCTAAAAATACAAAAAATTAGCCGGGCATGGTGGCGGGCGCCTGTAGTCCCAGGTACTCGGGAGGCTGAGGCAGGAGAATGGCATGAACCCGGGAGGCAGAGCTTGCAGTGAGCAGAGATGGTGCCACTGCACTCCAGCCCGGGCAACAGAGAGAGACTCCATCTCAAAAAATAAGATAAATAAATAAATAAACAATAAAGATAGAGAATTTTACTTGCAAATATGGTACCTAGAGCAGCTATGTGGTACCACCACCTTCCTCAACACAGATTATTGTCCTGTGCCGTTTCTTATGTTTTGTCCCTCTCTGCTATTATATTATTGCACTGGACATTGTGGTGTCACTGAGCATGAGTTTTCCCTTTTCTTGACTTGGTGTCCACGACTCCTCTCAGCTCACGAGCTTCTTGGAAAGTTGACTGACTGCCCTTGTGATTCCAGGGAAGTCATTTGGCTCAGGCCCAAATTCATCAACATAATTCTTTTCTTAGCCAGGGATGAGCACATACTCCAATTTTGCAAAGGTACTTGCAGGAGCTCTTGGGAATGAAGCTGCCCATTCTTCTCAGACAGCTTCCAGAGGAGCCCTGGTCTCTCTCCCTAGGCTTGGAAGGAGATGCACGTGGGCCTGGGAGTAAAGGATCAATCTGCTGTTCCAGAACCCAGATGACAGATGGACAGTAGGGCCTTGAAGACATCACCAGAGACTGAAATAAACGAACCCTGGAGGCTGCCCCAACTCTCAATCCACATCCTGTCTCCTTTATGGCTTAAGGCAGTTTGAATTGGGTTTTCTGTTATTTACAGTTGAACATGTCACTGTATATTGTCTGTGTTTTGGTATATTGTCTGTGTTTTGTTTTTTGTTTGTTTTTGAGATGCAATCTTGCTCCATCACCCAGGCTGGAGTGCAGTGGCGTGATTGCTCACTGCAACTTCTACCTCCCGGTTTAAGCGATTCTCCCACCTCAGCCTCCACAGTAGCTGGGACTACAAGCGTGGGCCACCACACCTGGCTCATGTTTTGTATTTTTAGTAGAGATGGGTTTCACCATGTTGACCAGGCTGGTCTTGAACTCCTGACCTCAGGTGATCTGCCCACCTTGGCCTCCCAAAGTGCTGGGATTATAGGTGTGAGCCACTGAGCCCGGCCTTAATTGGTATATTGTTATTAAAATATAATGTAGTAATAGAAAATCTTAGGTATACTAAGGCCAACAGATCAGGAGATGACTGCCATTGAAAAGACAGTTTGATACTCACAGTTCCCAAGAGAAAGGGGCACATCGTGCCATTGGGGGCCACACAGGGAAATGCCAGGGTTGGTCAGAAGGCTAGAGGTAGGGGGCTGGGGGAGTGGGGGAGTGATGATAGAAACTGTGGGTAGCAAGAGCCTTTATTGTGGTTTCCAAAGGAAGAAACAGATGAGGCAGAGCAGGCAATTTAGGATTGGCCAGTTTAAGTAAATTCTTTTTTTTTTTTTTTTTTGAGACGGAGTCTGGCTCTGTTGGCCAGGCTGGAGTACAGTGGCGTGATCTCAGCTCACTGCAAGCTCTGCCTCCCAGGTTCACGCCATTCTCCTGCCTCAGCCTCCCGAGTAGCTGGGACTACAGTCACCCGCCACCACGCCCGGCTAATTTTTTGTACTTTTAGTAGAGATAGGGTTTCATGTTGTTAGCCAGGATGGTCTCGATCTCCTGACCTCGTGATCCGCCCGCCTTGGTCTCCCAAAGTGCTGGGATTACAGGCGTGAGCCACCGCACCCAGCCCAGTTTGAGTAAACTCTGTGAGCTATGGAGCACATGGGCTGTCCCTAGCTGTCTGGTACCCAGCCCTGGGGTGGTAAGGGCAGGTGGGTGGTGGCCTAGAGTATGAGGGCTCCATAAAGGAGGTGGTTAGGTTTGGGCTCTGGAGTTTTTGGTTTACATTTGAGAAATATGCTTACCACTGAGTTGTTTAGTATCTCTAGGAATTGACCCTTCCAGGGTCAGCAAGGCCCCAGATGTCAAAGCATCAGATTACAGAAAAGAAGACATGGTTAATAGATAAATTCACTAAAAGTTTAGGCCAGGGGCAGTGGTGTGTGCCTGTAGTCCCAGCTACTTGGGAGGCTGAGGCAGCAGAATCCCTTGAGCCTAGGAGCTCGAGGCCAGCCTGGGCAACATAGCAAGAACCCCATCTCTAGATACATACATACGTACATAAAAGTTCAATAACGCTCCTAGGAGATCATGTTTTTACTATTAATATTGCAAAAGGAACAGGAAAACAATGCTGATTTTTCATGATGTCATCACAGATTTTCTAACCAAAATGTATACACTGACTATGCATCAATTTCAGGGAATGAAGCATTCAGGATCCCCAAGCTCCCCACAGAATGATTAATTACTTGGACATGGTTGCCGAGACAAGCTCGGTCAGGGAGACCCTAACCCAGTGGTGCTAGAGGAATTAAAGACACACACACAGAAGTATAAAGGTGTGGAGTGGAAAATCAGGGGTCTCACAGCCTTCAGAGCTGAGAGCCTCGAACAGAGATTTACCCATGTATTTATTGACAGCAAGCCAGTGATAAGCATTGTTTCTATAGATTATAGATTAACTAAAAGAATTCCTTATGGGAAATAAAGGGATGGGCCGAAATAAAGGGATGGGCTCTGGCTAGTTATCTGCAGCAGGAGCACGTCCTTAAGACACAGATCACTCATGCTATTGTTTGGGGTTTAAGAACGCCTTTAAGCAGTTTTCCACCCTGGGTGGGCCAGGTATTCCTTGCCCTCATTCCAGTAAACCCACAACCTTCCAGCATAGGCGTCATGGCCATCATGAACATGTCACAGTGCCGCAGATATTTTGGTTATGGCCAGTTTTGGGGCCAGTTTATGGCCAGATTTTGGGGGGCCTGTTCCCAACACATGGTTACCTTTATTTTATTACAGAAATCTCTGATATCCTTTGCTCTTTCTCTTTTATTCATTAAACAATGTTTCTGGGCACCGAGTATATGCTAGGTAGGTCCTGTTCTGGCTACTAAGACATGGTGAGGAACCACCTGAAGGCCCCTTCATAGCACTTATAATCTGGAGGTGGTGGGGATGGAATATTAAAGTAATTAAACAATTATATAAGATGATTTCATATATTGATAAGTGCTAGGAAATAGAGTGGACAGATGGTAGATGACATAGGATGAGGCTGGTGGGGGCTAGAGGGAATCTCTCTTTTTTCTTAGAGACAGGGTCTCACTTTGCTGCCGAAGCTGGAGGGCAGTGGCATCATCATAGCTCGATGTTGCCTTGAATTCCGAGGCTCAAGCAGTCCTCTTTAGCATCCCAAGTAGTTGGGACTACAGTCACGTGCCACCCTCCCTGGCTAATAAAAAATTTTTTTTTTTGTAGAGACAGGATCTCACCATCTTGCCCAGGCTGGTCTTGAACTCCTAGGTTCAAACAATCCTCCCGTCTTGGCCTCCCAAAGTGCTGGGGGTGGGGGGTGTCTCTAGTGCTGGGGGTGGGGGATGTCTCTAGTGCTGGGGATGGGGGTGTCTCTAGTGCTGGGGGTGGGGAGTGTCTCTATTTTTGGTTAGGTGATCCAGGAACGTAACACGTTGCTTGCCCCTCCTCTTACCTCCCCTCCCTTCCACACACACATTCTGGAGGTAACTTATCTCATACTTAAGGCTTCAAGTGCTTCTGAATCAAAGCTCAAGTGGCCTTTGCCTCTCCACTCTCATCTCCCTGCCCTGGAAGTCAGGAGTTTTTTGCTCTATGTCTATTGTCAGAACAAACAACTCACCAATACCACAGAGATTCTTTCTTCTTCCTTCTGCTCATTTTTGATAAATTCATCTAGCCACTGCTTCCTGTGTGTCTGCTATGAACAGAACAGAACACTGCATTAGGCAATGTGCCTTCCATCCATCCTGACCCTACATGTCTTAGCTTTGCCCAATAAGGCTGGCTACTTGGAGTGTCACTGGCCTTCCCATAGATAACTGACAAGTTGCAGAGCCTTTGTGTAACTGCACCTTTGATTTGTGGGTTCCTTGGTTGCAATTCTTCCTTTTGTTTATTTGCTTGGTTTTGGCTATGCACTGCCATTCCAGTGGGCTGAGCTTTCTGGAAGCCTAGTTTCTCTAGAAGACGGATTTAATTTTCATGATGGCAGGTTTCACTGATTTAGAGTGTTATATAAAAATTAGCAGGCCGGGCGCGGTGGCTCACTCCTGTAATCCCAGCACTTTGGGAGGCCGAGGCAGGTGGATCACCTGAGGTCGGGAGTTTGAGACGAGCCTGGCCAACATGAGACCAGCCCGTCTCTACTAAAAATATAGAAATTAGCTGTGTGTGGTGGCAGGTGCCTGTAATCCCAGCTACTTGGGAAGCTGAGGCAGGAGAATCACTTGAACCCAGGAGGCGGAGGTTACAGTGAGTCCAGATCCTGCCATTGCACTCCAGCCTGGGCGAGAGAGCAAGACTCCGTCTCAAAAAAAAAAAAAAAAAATTATCGGAGTCCATTGTTTTGGACTGAGCTCCTGCAAAAGCCCCCACCAGACCAGACTAAAGATCAAAATGATGTCACTAATGCTGAGGTTCCCAGGCACCAAACTAAAACTGTCAAGCTGATCTTCTGAGAAATCAGGAGAGAGAGATAACTGGCAATCTCCCTCCCAACCAGGCCAGTTTCTGTCTTCGATCGGCATGATAATGAATGCCCCTCTTTTAACCCTTAATCTGAAGTAAACTGATCATACCCAGTCAGTAATTTTTCTATTGTTCTGTCCCCACCTTACAAGGGAAATAACTTTGAAATGACCAATCTGCTTTTTGTTCTTTGTTTCTGCTTTCTTCAGCACTTTTTCTGCCTATAAATCCACCCTTCTCTGCTCAGCTCATCAGAACACTCATTCTATTTTATGGAATGAAGTGTTGCACGATTCTCGAATCGCAAATAAAGCCACTAGAGATCTTTAAACTAAATTTGTTGTAATTTTGTCTTTTGACAAGGATCATAAGGAAGATTTGCTGAGAACTGGCTGCTCACACCATCCAGCTGTAACTACTGCATTTTTTATAAATGTATAAGAAATCCCCAATCCATGCATTTCATTACTGCCCTTTGGACAACAGTGAGTGACATGGGCTGAACTGGGTCCCCCCACCTAATTCACATGTTGAAGTCCTAATCCCCAGTACCTCAGACTGTTACTATAGTTAGAGATAGGGCCTTTGTAGAGGTAATCAAGATTAAATACGGTCCTATGGGTGGGCCCTAATCCAATG
This sequence comes from Homo sapiens, assembly GCF_000001405.40. Classification (NCBI taxonomy): domain Eukaryota; kingdom Metazoa; phylum Chordata; class Mammalia; order Primates; family Hominidae; genus Homo; species Homo sapiens. The sequence goes on along the minus strand of NC_000006.12, from coordinate 151,180,551 downwards.
TGACTGGTGTCCTTATAAAAAAGAGGAAGTGATACCGGGGACACATGAGCAGAGCAGGGCAGCAAGAGGGAGGCCATCTGCAAGCCAAGGAGAGCGGCCTCAGAGGAAACTTGGAACTCCAGAATTCCAGTCTCCACGATAAATTTCCGTTGTTGATGCCGCTTATTTTGTTATGAGAGTCCAAGCAAACTAGTGCAGCAAAGAAGAAGGGGATCCCCTGGCGGGGCTCATGCCTGTCATCTCAGCACTCTGGGAGGCCGAGGCGGGTGGATCACCTGAGGTCAGGAGTTCGAGACCAGCCTGGTCAACATGATTAAACCACGTCTCTACAAAAAATACAAAAATTAGCCGGGCATGGTGGCTACTCCCACCATGTGGTAATCCTAGCTACTCGGGAGGTTGAGGCAGGAGAATCACTTGAACCCGGGAGGCAGAGGTTAAAGTGAGCCGATATTGCGCCACTTCACTCCAGCTTGGGTGACAGAGTGAGACTCCGGCTCAAAAAAAAAAAAAAAAACGAGAGAGAGAGAGAGAAATAATACAAAGGAAGGTGGTCCCTTGCCAGCACTTGTCTTGCCTACTTGAGTTTTCTCTTCCATTCAGCTCATGTTATTCCACTCATTCTAGACTTTCTTTCTTTGCTTTTTCTCTCCTCTGCCATAACACTCGAATAACATTCCTCCCAGCATCAACTCCCCTTCTCCTGCCAATAGCACCTCACTTTTCCTTTTGGAAAACCACCCTTTTGGAACTCTTAATTCTTGCAGTTTGGATGGGGCTGAGGCTACATTCTTCTGCCCCTATCCACTCCAGGGGTGGGAACATGACCCAGGTCTGCAGAATCAGAGGCACAGGGAGTCAGGTAGGTTGAGGGTTTCTCTGCAGCCCTAAGGAAGAAGGTATTTTCCACCTGGGTTGCTGAGCTGATAGGATGTACATCCACAGCTGCCAGACACCACTCCTTGCCTTATGAAAATGCAATGAACTCAGGAAAGCAGAGCTGAGACCGCATCCTAATGACATCATTTGGTCTCCATCCAGCCTTCCCTGAGCTTACTTCTTGCCTTTTTAATTACATGATTCAACCACCAACCTCCTCCCCACCCACTTTTTTTTTGTTTTTCCAAACAGGGTTGATTTTCCATAACTTGTAGTTAGGAGTCATGACTTGCATACCAAATCGGATTCATTTCTTAACACCCCACTCATACTTCATCTCCCTCATCAAACCTTTAATCATTTACTGCAGCACACAAATTTTATCAGCTCTGAATCTACAAAGAACTTAATGTCTGTGCTACATGGTTTTATTTAATTAAATAAATAAATAAACAAACAAATAAATAAATAAATTTTTGAGACAGGGTCTCACCCTGTCATCCAGGCTGGAGTGCAGTGGCATGATCACGGCTCACTGCAGCCTCGACCTCCTGGGCTCAGGTGATCCTCCCAGCTCAGCCTCCCTGGGACTAAGGCTACACAGTTTTAGAAATTATTCTGCACATGCTGACCGTGAAGCACTTCAGGAAATTGTGAATTGATGAGTCCTGGGTATTAGTTTTCTTCCTTTGTTTCCCCCAGTCACACTGCATCACACAGGCCAACTCAAAACCCCGCGAGCTTTTTCCTGGTCTCTCATGGGTTGATCTCACTGGGTTCTCACAGCCACCCTGGGGAAGGTTAAGTCACTTGCTGAATGAAGGTCACCTGGTAGGATTTGGGGGAGGTGGCGAGTGCTTATAGAACTGTACCTTTTTAATAGTTAGGATTAAACTTGCTTACAATGACAAAAACCCAAAATAACAATGGCTTAAGTTAGATTGAAGTTTACTTCTCTTTCACATAAAAGAATGGAGGTGGGCAGTCCAGGGTAGGAGCTGCACCCCTCAGAGTCAGATCCCCGGGATTCTCCCATGGGTAGTTCTGCCACGAGCGACTTCCACTTCCAAACTCACCTCCTGATTCAAGATGGCTGCCAAGGCTCTAACAGGCAGGGAAGAGGAATGGATTGTCCTTTTCCTTTAAGACTCCCTGTCAGAAACTGCACTTGTCCTTTCTGCTTGCATCCCACTAGACAGAATTTACTTACATGAAACTGCCATAAAGGATTCCATAAGTACAGTCTCTGTTCCACATGGCTACAGTCTTATCTAGTGGAAGGAGGCAGGAGGGTTGTCTTACTGAAGAAGGGAAATGGGCATTGGGGCATCACTAGAAGCTTCTGGTCCTGGTTGCTCAGCCCAATTCCACCCATAGGTTGTTTATTGTTTCATATTTGTGTTCTCTCTCCCAATAGTCTGTGAATTCCTGGCAAGCAAAGGTGGTAGGCAGTTCTCTCTTGCGTTTTCAGCTCCTTGGATTGTGCTTTTTACATTGTATGTTTTTCCTTTTCTTTGGGACTGAGTCTTGCTCTGTCGCCCAGGCTGGAGTGCAATGGCATGATCTTGGCTCACTGCAATCTCCACCTCCCTGGTTCAAGTGATTCTCATGCCTCAGCCTACCGAGTAGCTGGGATTACAGGCGCCTGCCACCATGCCTGACTAATTTTTGTATTTTCAGGTAGAGACAGGGTTTCACCATGTTGGCCAGGCTGGTCTCGAACTCTTGACCTCAGGTGATCCACCTGCCTCGGCCTCCCAGAGTGCTGGGATTATAGGCGTGAGCCGCTGTGCCCAGACTACATTGTATTTTGATGATAATAAATCTATAGGTGTTAAGGAGAGAAGTTGTAAAAGGAAATCAAAAGCTACATGTTACACAGCTTAATTATCCCCCAAAAATACCACCAGTATGAAGCTGGGCTCATGGTCTTGCATTGCTAATTTTTTTCTTGAGATTGGTTCTTGCTATGTTGCCCAGGCTGGACTCAAACTCCTAGGATTAAGGGATCCTCCCACCTCAGCCTCTTTAGTAGCTGGGACTACAGGCGTGCACCACTTCCCCCTTGCTCAGGCTTTGAAATCAGATGATTCAGTTCTAGAATCCTGGCTTTACATCTTAAGAGCTGACTGGTCCTGGAAAAGTGAGTAAAAGCTCTCTGAGATTTGCTTTCTTTATCTGCTAAGATAGGGATAATGGTATCTTCCTTGCATTGTGAGAATTCCAAAGATGATTTATGTAAAATGCTCAGCACATTACAGGTTTCATTTATTCCTTTCTTTGGTCTTCAGTCTGTGATAATGGACTGGGGTTGGTCTATGCCAGGCTGTGTGTCTAATTTAGCAGATCAGAATTACTCAAAGGCATCAGAAATGTGTCTTCTCCTTCTCTGACTTGTACACTTAAGACTTAATCTTTGTCCATCTAAAGCAAAACAAAAAATGATGCCAAATATAATTACAATGTTAATGTAAGAAATATCTAGTTTTGCACACATGGCTGAATAAGTAGCATCTACTGGAAGATTTCCTTTGCAGTGACTTGCAAATAGCAACTGTAACTTAATTACTCAGAAAAATTCCGGGAACAATCCCTTTGCCTTTGTATCTCCCTCTTCTGGAACATCAACAAATAATTCCCTGGGTGACTTTCAGCAAGCTGTTTAGAAAGTTATTGCAGCTTGAATGTAGGAGACTCTGATATATAATATCAGAATTATAATAGAACCAGCCCCAGTCATAAAATTGTTGTCTGCTGCTCCTTAACATTTCTCCAAAAGAGCCAACAGATTTATTATTATTATTATTATTATTATTTGCAAAAGTGTCTCGCTCTGTCACCCAGGCTGGAGTGCAGTGGCATGATCTTGGTTCACTTCAGCCTCTGCCTCCTGGGTTCCAGTGATAATTCTGCATCAGTCTCCTGGGTAGCAGGGATTACAGGCCTGCACTACCACACCGGGCTAATTTTTGTATTTTCCATAGAGATGGAGTTTCACCATGCTGGTCAGGTTGGTCTCGAACTCCTGACCTCAGGTGATCCACCAGCCTCAGCCTCCCAAAGTGCTGGGATTATAGGCATGAGCCACTGCGCCCAGCATAAATTTTGTTAAATTCATATTAAGTCAGGTTGCCAGTGCTTGCAACTGGAAAAATCTAATGCATAGGGATTATAACTGATCTCTTTTTTTCCCTTGTCAAGCACATCTCTTCTGTATTTTAGGTCAGGGCTCCATCCATCAAACATGAGCCTGTCCTCACAAGTTTGTCTCAATGCAGAAAGGAGTCAGAAATTTCTCATGTATAGAAGGAAAAAAAAACTACTCACAAGAATATTCTTATTTAGACTCAGCCAGGAGCAAAATCATTTAAGCAGATAAATGCTGCACTCCTACCTATGATACTCTCTTCCATTCCTCCCACCAACGCACTTCCCGTCTTTCCTTTAAGCATCTTCTTAAGACTCATCTAATTTAGCACAAGGCACTTCCAAAGCTTTCTTATGCCACTGCTCTCCTGTGAATGCCGTGCCTATTGCATATGCAGGAACGTCAGCACTGTGACCAAAGAGCAACTGGGGTCCTTTCGACTGTCGTCATCCTCTGCTCTCACCCTGTGACCACTTCTGCAAAGAGGGCCCTCTTTTTTTTTTTTTTTTTAATTGTCCCAGCACCCTTTGGATTTGAAATCGCCCATCTCCTTTCCATGTGACTAGAGCATGGCTGTCAATTACAAAGTCCTGCATTCCCTCCCACCAAGATGTGACTCGTGTGGGTCAGCGTCCCCCATCCCCTCAAGGTACAGTCATCAGACCAGCTAGGGGCCAAGACACCGGCAAGGCCAGGCTGGGTCATTCTGAGAGACTGAGATGGATACAGGGCAAGAGACTTTTCTTTTTTTTCCCTCCTGGGATTGCAGTCTGCAGGGACTGGAGACTGAGCACCGGCAGTGGCCATCTTTCCCACGATGTGGAAAGTGCCTGACAGAGAAAGAAACAACAGAGAAGAAAGTGGGACTGAGGGGGTGGTGGTGATCAACACAGGGGCTTCATCCAAGCAGGAGCCAAGAGTTTCCTTTTTTGCTTCATTCATTTGAAGTCAGGTTTCTGATGCTTGCCACTAGAAGACTCAAATACACAGGGATGATAAAGAATATTTTCCTCCTGATCATCCTGGCCAACATGGCAAAACCCCATCTCTACTAAAACTACAAAAATTAGCCGGGTGTGGTGGCACCCACCTGTAATCCCAGCTACTCGGGAGGCTGAGGGAGGAAAATCGCTTGAACCCGGGAGGCAGAGGTTGCGCTGAGCTGAGATTGCACCACTGCACTCCAGCCTGGGCCAGAGGGCGAGACTCCATCTGTCTCAAAAAAAAAAAAAAAAAAAAGAATCTTTTCCTCCCCTCTGGTCAGACACATCTCTTCTGTATTTTAGGTCAGGACGCTATCCATCAAACGTGATTCTGTATGATTTGGGGCACTCGCATATTAAGTAAACATTCATAGGCAGTGCTGTAGAGCCATTCACGTCAATATAGACTAGGACTATATGCATATTGGCTTAATGGTGTATTTGAAAGGTTTAAAGCTTTTCCTGTGCACATATCTTGCCATTTCAACTTTGGTTGTGAGTTCCTGTGCTGTAGCACACATATTTCTATATTTTTGGCATCCCTGGCTGCTGCTCAGTATATTACAGATACATAATCTCTTGCCCAAAGCCTTGGGGACTGTTTCAGAATTCATAATATTTTGGATTTTTGAAAGGTAACACAGAGCATAAAACCACCAGGAGTGGCCGGGAGCGGTGGCTCACGCCTGTAATCCCAGCACTTTGGGAGACCAAGGTGGGTGGATCAGCTGAGGTCAGGAGTTTGAGACCATCCTGGCCAACATGGTGAAACCCCGTCTCTACTAAAAATACAAAAATTAGGTAGGTGTGGTGGCACATGCCTGTAATCCCAGCTACTTGGGAGGCTGAGGCAGGAGAATTGCTTGAACCTGGAAGGCGGAGGTTGCAGTGAGCTGAGATGGCGCCATTGCACTCCAGCCTGGGTGACAAGAGTGAATGAAACTTCATCTCAAAAAAAAAACAAAAACCAAAACCCAGGGGTCCTCTGGAAGATCCCTGTAATGTAATGCAATAACATATTTTCATATGATATGAATGTTAATCCTAATTGGGGTGAATAAAGGCTGAATAGCCTTATATCATTTTAGGTTAAGGTTTGTTACCAAATTAGTTTTAAAACATTTTTGTGTTTTGGAACTTTTTATGGTCAGGCTTGAGTCTCTGTCCTCTGACCCAGGTGAAATGCTCTATCACCATTCTCACAGCAGGGACTAAACTTCTGCCACAGTAATACAGGAATTCCCTCTGTAGGATCACTTTACATAACAGTCAATGGCCATATAATTAGATGTAAGATGTTTGGAATAAATATATTATGTGTACAAACACATAAACATACACACATATGTGCAAAAACATAAGGAAAGATATAGACCAAATTGTCATTTTTTTTACTTTAAAAATTTTTAAGAGATGGGGGCTGGGGGGGGGTCTCACTATGTTGCCCAGGCTGGTCTTGAACTCCTGGCCTCAAGAGATCCTCCTGTCTCAGCCTCCTGAGTAGCTAGAATTACAAGTGCATGCTACCGTGACTGGCTCCAAATTGTTCATTTTTAACAGTGGTTTCCTCTGGCTAGAGGGATTATGGATGATTCGCATTATTTTCTTACTGATGTTCTGTGTTTTTGATGTTTTCCCCTTAAGCATGTCTTTTTAAAATAGAATGCTTCTCTTGGATTTTCTAGGTAGTCAAACATACCATCTTTAAATTGCTTTTTTGTTCCTTCCTTCCTAATACTTGTGTGTCTTTGTTTTCCTAGTCTGATTTTATTGGCCAAGATTCCAGAAGGATATTCAGGAGTAATGTGACAGGGACTATTCTTTTCTTATTCCTGACTTAAATAGGAAAGAACATATTTTTAGAGTTAACAATTTTTTAAAAATAGAAACAGTGTCTTGCTGTGTTGCCCAAGCTAGTCTGGAACTCCTGGCCTCAAATGATCCTCCCACCTTGGCCTCCCAAAGTGCTGGGATTACAGGTGTGAGCCACTGCACTGGGCCAGAATTAACTATTAAATAAACATCATTTTTAAAAGCTTTCATAATTTTGATTTATACCATATAAGAAATATAAATGGAATAGAAAAAGGATCTTTTCACATAAAAGGATCCAAACAAGTGTGTGCCATAAGGAATTTCACAAATACAATCTTTTTTTTTTTATTATTATACTTTAAGTTTTAGGGTACATGTGCACAATGCGCAGGTTAGTTACGTATGTATACATGTGCCATGCTGGTGTGCTGCACCCATTAACTCGTCATTTAGCATTAGGTATATCTCCGAATGCTATCCCTACAAATACAATCTTTATCACTGATTCTCTAGAGGATTGAAAATTAAAAATGGAAATAGGTCAGTAGTCATCCAAACACTGATTTATTCTTTATTTAACTATATATTGAAGAAGTATTTTTTCAAGTAAATTCAAGAAAATATAATCTGAAAGCTAAAATGAAGACACGTGTCTAAAAGGAATGGGGAAAAAAAAAAAAAAGCAAATAGCTGCAATAATGTACTCCAGAAAGAGAACTGGGAAATCGTAAAACAACAACAAAACTCTGAAGTGGAAAAAGATCTAGACAGAGTCAAACAAGAGTCACCAAAAACCAAGCCAAAAAGCACAAAACAAACAAAAAGCTCTAGGAAAAATATCTTTTTTTTTTTTTTTTTTTTTTTTTTTGAGACAGAATCTCGCTCTGTTGCCTAGGCTAGAATGCAGTGGCACAATCCTGGCTCCAAGACTGGCAACCTCTGCTTCCTGGGTTCAAGTGATTCTCCTGCCTCAGCCTCCTGAGTAGCTGGGACTACAGGCGCCCACCACCATGCCCAGCTAATTTTTGTATTTTTAGTAGAGGCGGGGTTTCACCTTGTTGGCCAGGCTGGTCTCAAACTCCTGACCTCAGGTGATCCACCCACCTCAACCTCCCAAAGTGCTGGGATTACAGGCGTGAGCCACCGCACCCAGCTGGAAAAATATCTTAGGTATTAATGACTAAGGAACAGATATGAAAACTGTATTAGGGAAGTAAGACACATCTGAGATCAGTTTAAAGTTGATAAGACCAAATTGAAAAGCTACTTGGGAGGCTGAGACAGGAGAATCGCTTGAACCTGGGAGGCAGAGGTTACAATGAGCCGAGATCGCGCCACTGCACTCCAGCCTGGGCGACAGAGCAAGACTCCATCTTGAAAAAAAAAAAAAAAGAAAGAGAAAGAAAGAAAGGAAGGAAGGAAGGAACGAAGGAGGGGGAGGGAGGGAGGGAGGGAAGGGAGGAAGGAAGGAAGGAGAGAAAGAGAGAAAGAAAGAAAGAGAGAAAGAAAGAAAGAAAGAAAGAAAGAAAGAAAGAAAGAAAGAAAGAAAGAAAGACAGACAACCAGGCATGGTCGTTTGTGTCTGTAATCCCAGATACTTGGGAGGCGGAGGCTGAGGAGGGAGGATCACTTGAGCCCAGGAGCTGAAGACTAGCCTGGGCAGCATAGGGAGACCCCATCAGAAAGAAAGAAAGAAAGAAAGAAGGAAAGAAGGAAAGAAGGAAAGAAAGAGAGAAAGAGAGAAAAAGAGAGAGGAAGGGAGGAAGGGAGGGGAAGGGAGGGGAAGGGAGGGGAAGGGAGGGGAAGGGAAAGAGAGAGAGAGAAAGGGAAAGAAGGAAAGAAAGAGAAAGAGGGAAAGAAGGAAAGAGAGAAAGAGGGAAGGAAAGAAAGAGAGAGGGAGAGAGAAAGGGGGAAAGAAGGAAAGAGAGAGAAAGGGGGAAAGAAGGAAAGAGAGAGAGAAAGAAAGAAAGAAAGACAACCAGGAGCGGTCGTTTGTGCCTGTAATCCCAGATACTTGGGAGGCGGAGGCTGAGGAGGGAGGATCACTTGAGCCCAGGAGCTCAAGACTAGCCTGGGCAGCATAGGGAGAGAAAGAAAAGAAAAGAAAAGAAGGAAGGGAGAAGGAAAAGAGAGTGAAAGAAAAAGAGAGAAAGAAAAGACAGAAGAAAGAAAGAAAAAGAAAGAAAGAGGAAAGATAGAGAAAATAAGAAAAATGCACCCCACCATCCAAAAAATAATGACTTGTACATACATCACAGACAAGTGTGCTGCAATTATCTACGCATGGCAGTGCAAGAGCTATGATCCCGGTTTGCTCGAACCCAGGAGGCAGAGGTTGCAGAGTGAGACTCTGTCTAAAAAAAAAAAAAAAGCTATGATCCTGGATATCCTGTCATTCTGTAATTCAAGTCCCCAATTCTGACCCTTGCCCCACCCACCAACGGGATTTATTTTGGGGTACTCAACTCACTGGCTTCTTGCAATCCAGAAAGGAGCCAGAAATATTCACTCAGAACTTACCTTTTTTCCCCCCACGGGCCACGAAATTGGTTTTTATTCCAGGAATGTCTTTGTAAAGACAAGGAAGTTCTATAGAATCGTGCAGATCATAACATCATAAAAGGAAAGCAAAATTATATTTTAAGGGAAACTTTGCTGAAACAATGCTGACACCAGCTATTTTTTGGATCACAAGATAATTTTATATCTTAAGGGAGAGACTATCCTGTGACTATAGCGGTTTACAGGAAATCTTAGCGTTAAAAATTGTTGCAATTCTATTGTTTTACTTGTTTTCTATAAATAACTTTCCTAGCTCAATCTACTATCATGATAACTTATCTTCTAGTGTTTAAAGTGTTATGTTTTAGCACGGCCAAAATATTCAAGTGATGACGTTATCATGACTTGCTTTCAGGTGACTGTTTTTTGCCTGGAAAAGTCAGGTTTTAGCTCTTCCCAGAAGCAGCGTGACTTCAGGAGAGAAAGCTCTTTTGCAACTCAAAAGGATCCAAAAAATGAGGCAGAAGTCTACCTACAGACATATACATGAGGCGTCTATAACCAAGCACCTTATATCAATAAGGCAGCCTCCTCACGCCCACCCTTTTCTCACCGCAGACAGCCATGGGACCAAGAGGTGTGGCCTACCTTCCCCACGAGAGCCTGTGATGGGATTCTCTTCCGCAAACACAGGAGCTGTAGGACTAAGAGGCTGAGGACCAGAGGCTGGTGAGGAACCTCAATCTGTTTGAGAACAAAACCAATGGACAATATCCAGTTTGAGGAATTGTGTTGGAAGCTCCCACTGAAGGAATAAAGAAGGGGAATTCAGTCTGAGGAATTGTGTTGGGACCTGGGAGCATACGGCCTCCCACTGAAGGAATAAAGAAGGGGCCCCAGCCTGAAGAACATCTGTCTGAGGGCTGCTGTGAGCATTAACCAAAAAAATAAAGGGTGCCACTTTTAGATACATGCCCCAAATAATTGAAAACAAGGACTCAAACAGGTACTCAAACAGCCATGTTCGTAGCAGTATCATTCACAATAGCCAAAGGTGGAAACACCCAAGTGTTCATCAGCAGAGGAATGCATAAACGAAGTGTGGTCTATACAGATAGTGGGATATTATTCAGCCATAATAAAAGGGAATGAAATTCTGATACAAGCCGCAACATGGATGAACCTTGAAAATATTATGCTAAGTGAAATAAGCCAGGCACAAAATATTGTATGATTTCACTTACATGAGGTACCTATAATAGGCAAATTCATAGTGGCAGAAAGTAGAATAGAGCTTAGTAGGGGCTAGGAGGAGGGGAAAGGGGAATATTGTTTAATGGATACGGTTTCAGTTTGGGATGATAAAGTTCTGGAGGTGGATAGTGGTGATGGTCGTACAACACTGTGGCCGTATTTACCGCCACTGAGTTGTGTACCTAAAAATGGTAAATTTTAGAGTTTTTGTGTTTTTTTATTTTATTTTATACTTCTTCACTTTATTTTGTTTTTTTCTTTAACTTTTTATTTCCACAGGTTTTTGGGGAACAGGTCTATTTGGTTATATGAGTAAGTTCTTCAGTGGTGATTTGTGAGATTATGGTGCGTCCATTACCTGAGCAGTATACACTGAACCCAATTTGTAGTCTTTTATCCCTCACCCCCGTCCTACCCTTTCCCCCTGAGTCCCCAAAGTCTACTGTGTCATTCTTATGCCTTTGCATCCTCATAGCTTAGCTCCCTCTTATGAGTGAGAACATACGATGTTTGGTTTCCCATTCCTGAGTGACTTCACTTAGAGTAATAGTCTCCAATCCCATCCAGGTTGCTGTGAATGCCATTAATTCATTCCCTTTTATGGCTGAGTAGTATTCCATCATATGTATATACCACAGTTTCTTTATCCACTCATTGATTAACTGGGATTTGGGTTGGTTCCACATTTGTGCAATTGTGAATTGTGCTGCTATAAGCATGTGTGTGAAAGTATCTTTTTCGTGTAATGACTTATTTTCCTCTGGGTAGATACCCAGTAGTGGGATTGCTGAATCAAATGGTAGTTCTACTTCTAGTTCTTCAAGGAATCTCTACACTGTTTTCCAGAGTGGTTGTGCTAGTTTACATTCCCAACAGCAGTGTAGAAGTGTTCCCTTTTCACTGCATCCATGCCAACATCTATTATTTTTTGATTTTTTGATTATGGCCGTTCTTGCAGGAGTAAGGTGATATCGCATTGTGGTTTTGATTTGCATTTCCCTGATCATTAATGATGTTGAGCATTTTTCCACATGCTTGTTGGTCATTTGTGTATCTTCTTTTGAGAATTGTCTATTCATATCCTTAGCCCGCTTTTCGATGGGATTGTTCATTTTTTTCTTGCTAATTTGTTTGAGTTCGTTGCAGATTCTGGATATAAGTCCTGTGTCAGATGTATAGATTGTGAAGATTGTCTCCCACTCTGAAATTTTAGATTTTGTATAGTTTACCACAATGAAAAACCAAAACAAAGGATATAAATATTCAAAACGTTCCTCAAAAGGTACTTCAAAGTTCCTATGTCTGCCTGGCACAGGGTTACTGCCCAATACATCCTAGTTCCTCTTCCTTTTATCTTGCTGCTTCTCCTCCCACCTTCCCTAACCACTCCACATTCATCACATTCAGCTTTCAGTGTGCCATTAGGACTCCGGGCCACTCCACACCCTACTCACTCACTTCTTACTTCAGAGGAGGCTGCGCTTAACATCCCTGAAAGAGGTTGCAAGTTATTACAGGACTTCATTCCAGCAATTTCCTTCCTGTATCTGGTGTCATCAATTTTTCCCTCTCCACTGGGTCATTCTGATCGATAGACCCATGAGTATCCCATAATTAAAAACAACCAACCGGCCGGGTGTGGTGGCTCACGCCTGTAATCCCAGCACTTTGGGCCAACCAACAGGCTGAGGCAGGTAGATCACCTGAGGTTAGGAGTTCAAGACCATCCTGGCCAACATGGCGAAACCCAGTTTCTACTAAAAGTACAAAAATTAGCCAGGCATGGAGGCAGGTGCCTGTAATCCCAGCTACTCGGGCGGCTGAGACAGGAGAATTGCTTGAACCCGGGCAGCAAAGGTTGCAGTAAGCCGAGATTGCGCCATTGCATTCCGGCCTGGGTAACAGAGTGAGACTTTGTCTCAAAAAAAAAAAAAAAAAAAAAAAAAGACAAAAAGAAACCAACCAAACAAAAACCAAAAAGCCCTGAACCCATATTCCCCTGTAGCAACTGCCCCAATCCTTTGCCCTTGCTCTTCTGCACAGCAAGAGTTCTTGAGAATTATCTGTGCTGTTTCTACTCAACTCCATCCTCAACTCACTGCCCTTTGGCTTCCATCTCCACCAGAGAACTGAAATTACCATCGTCAAGGTTACCACTGATCCCCATTTGCCTAAACCAGTGGTCAATCCTCATCGACTTGGTTTCACTATGGCATTCAGTGGCTGACCCCTTCCTCTAGACGCATGACCTTTTCTTGGCTCCGTGGGCACCACTCTCTCCCGGCTTTACTCCTATCTCATTGCCTCTTTTGCTGGTTCCTCCTCTGGTTGAAGTCCCTTGTCTCAGTACTTTCACCCTTGGTGATTTCATCCTGCCTCAAGGCTGTCAATGCCATTCAGATGCTGATGACTCCAAATTTTATCTGTAGCACTGACCATTCTCTTGAATGCGAAACTCAGAAATCCACCAGTCTGCTGGACTTCTCCAAGGCAGATTGACAGGCATCTCCAGGTTAAAACATTGAAAGTAGAACTTTTTATCCCTCCCTAGGCTTTCCCGTCATAATCATCCTCTTCTTCATCTTCCCCATCTTAATAAATGTTACCATCTGGCAGGTGGCCAGATCCAAATCCTCCTGAGCGGATTCTGCTTAAAATTCTCTAACAGCTTCCCATTGCAGTTAGAAAAACAGCACGGTGTGATCAGGCACAGTGTGACGTGGCCTCCACCCTGGGACGTCATTTGGCTTCTCTCGGTGTGCTACATCATGAGTCTTTCCTGCTCCCAGGACACATTTTGCTTGGTCCTGGGTTTGTGCTGGCTGTCTCCCCTCCCCGGAAGGCCCTTTTTCCAGATCTTCACCTAGCACAATCTCCTTAATTTATAAAGAATTCTTATAAATCAATATAAATTACTAACTTCCCAGTGAAAAGGTGGCAAAGGATACAAAGAGACAAACCACAGAAGAGGAAAACCAGTGTATCTCCTCTTCTGTGGCTGAAGTCAGGTAAAATGATGCTTTTTATTTATTTATTTATTTATTTATTTTTGAGACGAAGACTTGCTCTGTTGCCCAGGCTGGAGAGCAGTGGTGTGATCTGGGCTCAATGCAACCTCCGCCTCCTGGGTTCAAGTGATTCTCCTGCCTCAGCCTCCCAAGTAGCTGGGATTACAGGCGCCCGCCACCACACCCCGCCAATTTTTGTATTTTTAGTAGAGACGGGGTTTCACCACGTCGGTCAGGCTGGTCTCAAACTCCTGACCTCAAGTGATCCACCCACCTCGGCCTCCAAAAGTGCTGGGATTACAGGCGTTAAGCCACCATGCCTGGCCTAACATGACGCTTTACCTGATTTATAACACAAGATATACAAAGGCACAAAACTAAAATGAGGTCACATGGGTTACCTATTAGATTGGCAAAGGTAAAAAGCTGGTAACGACTGTGTTGGCAAGAGGTTGGGGAAGAGACACTATCACATGTTTTGTTAGTGGGAATACACATTAGTACATTTATGGAAAGTAATTGATGGTATTCATCAAAATTTGCAATGTGCATACCCCTTGCCCCAGAAATGTTATTTCTAGGAATTTTCCTGCAGATGTGCTGGCACATGTACAAGATTGTGGATATACAAGTTTCTTCATTGCAGCTTTGTTTGTAATAAGTAAAAGATTTGAAACAATCATCCATTAATATAGGACTAGTTTAATTCATAACTAATTAATAATACAATGGACTACAAGGCAGTCTTTACAAAAACTAAGCTGTTCTACATGCTTTGCTATTAAAACATCTCCAGGATATATAATTAAATAAAAGAAGCAAAATACAGACTGAAGGTGTAAAGCATGATATACCTTCATTCTGGAAGCTGGATGGAAAAATTATGAATTTTTTTTTTTTTTTTTTGACATGGAGTCTTGCTCTGTTGCCAGGCTGGAGTGCAGTGGTACAATCTCGGCTCACTGCAACCTCCGACTCCCTGGTTCAAGTGACTCTCCTGCCTCAGCCTCCCGAGTAGCTGGGATTACAGGCACATGCCACCAGGCCCAGCTAATTTTTGTATTTTTAGTAGAGACGGGGTTTCACCATGTTGGCCAGGATGGTCTCAATCTCCTGACCTCGTGATCTGCCTGCCTTGGCCTCCCAAAGTGCTGGGATTACAGACATGAGCCACCGCACCCAGCCGAATATTTTTGATTATATATGCATAAAATATCTCTGGAAGAAAATATAGGAAAGTAACAGTCTTTGGGGAGAGAAATAACATGGATGGTAAGGAAGAGAGTCTTAACTTTTACTATAAACCCTTTTGTTTGTTTTTTTTTTGAGACAGAGTCTTGCTCTGTCACCCAGGCTGGATTGCAGTGACGCGATCTTGGCTCACTGCAAGCTCCACCTCCTGGGTTCACGCCATTCTCCTGCCTCAGCCTCCTGAGTAGCTGGGACTACAGACGCCCGCTACCACGCCCAGCTAATTTTTTGTATTTTTAGTAGAGACAAGGTTTCACTATGTCGGTCAGGTTGATCTCGATCTCCTGACCTCTTGAGCCGCCCGCCTCAACCTCCCAAAGTGCTGGGATTACAGGTGTGAGCCACCATGCCCGGCCTATACACCCCTTTTTACCTTTTGTTTTGTACCATGTGTGTATTACCTATTCAATTAATAAATAATTGAAAAAATATATATAAAAGGTGTGTAAGAAGAAGGGTCCATGAGAGGCTGAGAAACAATGACCTGCAAAGTAAGAGGAAAGGCGAGAGAATTGTAGCTGTAGTCAGGGGTGAGACTTCCAACAAGTTTCCTGTAGGAACCCTGAGCCCACCCATAGATAGCACAATGAGGCCAAGAGGATAAAGCCTGAAGAGTACCCTCTGGGCTTGGTGATTCCCGTGCAGATTCTTAGGAATGATTTTGGTTGACACAAAATCCTACTCTGTAATTTTTATTTTTATTACTTATTTATTTACTTATTTTTGAGACAGAGTCTCGCTCTGTCACCCAGGCTGGAGTACAGTGGCACAATCTCGGCTCACTGCAACCTCCACCACCCGGGTTCAAGCAATTCCCCTGCCTCAGCCTCCCAAGTAGCTGGGATTACAGGCATGCACCACCATGCCCAGCTAATTTTTGTATTTTTAGTAGAGACAGGGTTTCACCATGTTGGCCAGGCTGGTCTCGAACTCCTGACCTCAGGTGATCTGCCCACCTCGGCCTCCCAAAGTGCTGGGATTATAGGCATAAGCCACCGCACCCAGCCCTCTGGCTGTACAATTTTTAAAATAGCCAC
The DNA here is from genome assembly GCF_000001405.40 of Homo sapiens. Taxonomy (NCBI): domain Eukaryota; kingdom Metazoa; phylum Chordata; class Mammalia; order Primates; family Hominidae; genus Homo; species Homo sapiens. Next base: position 151,164,674 of record NC_000006.12, on the reverse strand, counting down.
CCAACATCTTTTGGACAGTTTTCCTCTCTTTGGGGAATTTCATGCACTGTGAATCTTGACTTCCCTTGGAGGAAACAGGAAACTCACTTTCCCTTGGGGTTAGGGCTTTGTCATTGACACAGGCTCTGTCAATGAGACGAGCCCAGCCGAGACTTCATTTAGAAAGAGGGTAATGCAAGGAAACAGCTCTTGTGAGAGGGTGGTGTGGGTGCCTGGCTTTGGGGCAGTGGCGGTGGAGATTCTGGCACACACTGGCAGTGCCCGGGCCTGGCACGGCATTTCATCTAAGCATTCTGAATGAAAAACACATGGCCTGCCACATTTGTGCATAATTGGTCCGGAGTGGTGCTAGCTGCAAAGCCCCACACCTGATTCTTGGACTCCCACGGAAATCTTGGTAGTATATTTTAAAATATACAGGTGGTGGCTCACGCCTGTAATCCCAGCACTTTGGGAGGCCGAGGTGGGTGAATCACCTGAGGTCAGAAGATCGAGACCAGCCTGACCAACATGGTGAAACCCATGTCTGCTAAAAATTCCAAAAAAAAAATTAGCTGGGTGTGGTGGTGGGCACCTGTATTCCCAGCTATTCAGGAGTCTGAGGCAGGAGAATCCCTTGAACTCAGGAGGTGGAGATTGCAGTGAGCCAAGATCACGCCACTGCACTCCAGCCTAGGCAACGAAGTGAGACTCCACTGCAAAAAAAAAAAAAAAAAGAAACTCAATAAATTCCTTTTTTGTTTTAAATAACTTACAATGGATTTTGTAGTGATTTTTTTTGGAGGGCGGATGTAGGTTAGAAAGACATCAAGCAGCCTGGGCAACAAAGAAACACTTCATCTCTACAAAAAATAAAAATTTGCTGGGCTTGATGGTGTGTAGTAGTAGTCTCAGCTACTTGGGAGGCTGAGCTGGGAGGATCACTTCAGCCCAGAAGTTGGAGGCTATAGTGAGCTATATCACACCACTGCACTCTAGCCTGGGAGACAGAGCGATACCCCATCTTAAAAAAAAAAAAAAAAGTCAAGGGTAAATACGGTTGTTGGAAGCCAGTTTTCTCACTGTTGGAGTGGGAGATTACAGGTAAGCAAGGGAGGGTGTTAGAATGATCCAGATGGCACTGGATTAGCATTGGAGACATCAGTATAACTCATGTTTAGCTTAATACTGATATAGATGTACATACAGAACTATTTTTAGATATATGGATATACATAGGCAAATATAGTACATGGACATATATTTCCTTGCTCTCTCAGCTGAAAGGCTTAGAGGCAATAACACCCCAATAGCAACAAGCACCCCAATAACTGAGCAATAGCAACAGGACTAGATCTTAGTTTCTTTCTTTTCTTTTCTTTTCTTTTTTTCTTAAGACAGAGTCTCTCTCTGTTGCCCAGGTTGGAGAGCAATGGCACGATCTCGGCTCAATGCAACCTCTGCCTCCCAGGTTCAAGCAATTCTCCCATCTCAGGCTTCCAAGTACAGGCGCCTACCACCATGTCTGTCTAATTTTTTGTGTTTTTACTAGAGACGAGGTTTTGCCATTTTGGCCAGGCTGGTCTCGAACCCCTGACCTCAGGTGATCCGTCTGCCTCAGCCTCCCAAAGTGCTGGGATTATAAAAATGAAAGAGCCAGACACAGTGGCTCAGTTTCTAACACCATTTTCCAATAAAAGGAACCAAGGACTCTTAGAGAAATGGCTGATTCAAGGAGTGGGGCAGGAAAGATGAACCTGGAGGCATCACAACTACATGAAATGTGCAGATCTTTCTTGGCTACTAAGGAAACTTAACCAACTAATCGAGACAATTTTATGAAATACAGGAAATCTGATATGGACTGTGATCTAGATAATATCAAGGAATTACTGTTAATTTTTTAGGAGTGACAATGACATTGAAATTAAGAAAATGTCTATATTTTTAGAGATGCGTCCCGAAGGATGAGGGGCTAAAATGACATGATATCTGGAATTTGCTGTAAAGAAAGGGGAAAATTGGGATAGATGAAGAAGTGTGGCAAATCTTGGTAACTGCTGAATCTCGGGTTCATTGTAGAATGTCCTCTGCTTCTGAGGATGCTTGAAATTTTTCATTAGCGCATTTCTTTTTTTTTGAGACAGAGTCTTGCTCTGTCACCCAGGCTGGAGTGTAATGGCTTGATCTCGGCTCACTGCAACCTCCGTCTCCCAGGTTCAAGTGATTCTCCTGTCTCAGCCCCCTGAGTAGCTGAGATTACAGGCGCCCACCCCTGAGCCCAGCTAATTTTGTTGTATTTTTAGTAGAGATGGGGTTTCACCATATTAGCCAGGCTGGTCCTGACCTCAGGTGATCCATCCGCCTCGGCCTCCCAAAGTGCTGGGATCACAGGCGTGGGCCACTGTGCCAGCCTCATAATGCATTTTTTTAAAAAGCTAGAAAAAGATTTGGGTTGAGAATAGAGTTAGCGATGTTCATTCCACCTGTAATCCCAGGCTGCGTAGGAGCTCCGATGTGATGGACGCTGCTGTGGCTGAGAGAGAGGTGTCGGTGGGTGGGCTGCCCCTGATCCAGGACTGAGCCAGGAGGGCCTCTGATCCCAGATCTGGAGTTGAGAAAGGGGAGTTGACTGCTGGAGGACCCATTTTTTTCTCTTATATCAGTGGCTGGCTGGGAAACCTGGGGTGCCTTTTCTTGATGTTGCCCCGCGCTCGCTAGCCCATGGAAGGCACACTAAACAGCAGAAGAAACAGAAGCTCCCACCCCACTTGTGTGTTTGTGGCTACCTAGCAGTTCTTGCTACTCTATTGTAGGGTGTGAGAAACAGTGATTACGGTAGAGTTTGTGATGTTTGTTTTTCTCAAGATCAAAACCCCATCTCCCCTCTGTTAACATAAACCATCAAAAGTCGATCTGTATTTAATTTTCCTTGGGTGGTCCTGGGTTGACATCTTGCCCTTTTGTCTTACCATAAGAACTTGGGAACCCAATCCTTTGTTCCATCTGCTCTGAAGACAGCCCACCTCCCGCTGCTGGCCTGGCGGTTCCAGCATGGATTCTGTGTTTTGAAACCTCATCTAAAGTTACAGGGAACAAGAGATCCTTACATTTCAAGTGAGCATTCTGAGCGAAAAGCATGTGTCCTGGCCACATTCGTGCACACTGGTCTGCATTCATGAGAAAGCCCGCAGAGCAGGAGCGAGGCCAAAAATATGACCCCTCCCTGCCCCCATGTCTTAAAGCCTCCCCTGCATTGAACAGACTGTCCTGCTGCTTGAAGAGGGGTAAATGAAGCCCACTTTGGAGAGAAGGAACAGGGCTCTGATGGCTTGCGATCTGGCTAGGGCTTGCTCTGTCGCCTGCCTGGCCCATGGTGGCTTCTTCCCTTCTTCCCAAAGTGGAATTCAGGGGAACGGAGTGTCGAGACAAAAACTGCCGTAACAGCTCCTGGAACCTGAGCTCACTGCATTTTGAAAGTGCCTCTGCAAGCTGGAATTCTTCAGGGAGGCCACTCCTTCAATCTGAGCACAGATGCATGACCAATCTGACCCTTCTGAAGCACGTGTTTCTCTGGCACCTGCAAGGCAGGGCTATCCCAGAAATGCAGAAATGTACACAAGCCCACGTGCTCGCTTGCTCACATGACCAATCGCAACCCACAGGGGACACCTAGAGCCAATGGAAGGAGCACAGGAAGGCCAAGTGTCCCTCCTACCTGGGCATCTCTCAGCCTGGGACAATCCACTCACTTCACCGCACACAAAAAATGCACCCGCTTGGTGACTACAGGACAACAGTGCTGGAAACTTAGCGGTGACGTGAAACTTCACATCATTATCCTTCTTTTCATTTCCCTGCAGTCTGGAGTCTGGTCCTATTGAAAAATCCTAAAAAGGCTGGATACAAATCATAAAACACAGCTTGCATGCAGAATTACTATGATGTGGGCATCTTGAATTCATTACTCCTGTGGTTTATAGGGTATATTTAAAATGTATACACTAAAGTGAATATAAACTTTATGGTTCATTTTGCCCAAGAGAAAGGGACGGATGAGAGGAAATTAAAGCTGTGCTCTGGCACACTCACCATGGAGCTTCACCCGCTCAAGGCAGCTGATACCGCTGGGTCCTGGAGGTCTGCACAGCGCCCCTTCCCGGGACTACCTCCCTTTGGGTGGTGCTCAGTTCTCCCGGGGCTGACAATTGTGTTCTCAAAGTTTCCCAGGCATCACTTGAAAATCTGCTCATACGAAACCACCTCAGAGCTCGGAGCGAAATTGCTCACGTTTTTCAGGTGTATGGATGCAATTATACAGCTAACAATCTGGGGCTGTTGCTCACCTGTGCATAGGCATTTATCAATCATGCCTAAACCTTCCAGGAGATGGGTCCAGAGATAAACGACTTCAGGTGTGACCATGACATTCAAGGCTGGGAAAGCAGACTTGAAAAGTTTCATTTAAGGGATCTTGATTTTCAGGTGAGGCAGAACCCCCTAATGTAGAGAAGCTCTGATGAAATGCAGGGCAACCCCGGTTGTCGTGGCAGTCTAGCTCTTGTTAAAGTTCTTAAAGTCACTTGTGGTCACTAAGTTGTCTGGATGAAATAAGCAGTACCTGCTAACTTTATGGATAAAATAAATCATAATATTTAAAATACTCAGGATAGTGATTGACACATAGTGTTGTATGCTATTTGTTTCAAAGTCTGGTTTCCAAAGCAATGTCATCTCTCTCCTCTTCTCTCTCTCTCTCTCTCTCTCTGTCTCATCTATGGAGAGACATTGGTTTTGAATCGAGGCCCTACCACATTGCAACTATGCAATTTAAGGCAGGTTAAATAATCTTTCTTTGCCTCAGTTTCTTCATCTGTGCAATAGAAATACAAATTGTACATTGCAATAATATTTTGAGGATTTCATAAGTGACTATTTAAACTCTTAAAGTCTCTATAAAATAAGAGCTGCAGGCTGGGTGTGGTGGCTCACTCTTGTAATCCCAGCACTTTGAGAGGCCGAGGTGGGAGGATTATTTGAGCCCAGGACTTTGAGACCAACCTGGACAACCTAGTGAGAGGCTGTCTCTATTAAAAAAAAAAGAAAGAAAGAAGAAAAACTCTGTAAGTGCTGGGTATTATAATTCTTATATCTGGATCGATGTTAATAATAGTATTTCTGAGTGGTAGAATCATAGATGAATGTCTACTTCATATTATGTTTGGTAAATTGAAGCTTCCCCTGGCTGGGGTACATTTTCTTGGTCTTCCTATGCTTTGTGTGCTTAACCCTGTGTCTGGCTGATAGTAGCTGCTCAATAAATGTTGAACTCAGCTGCTAAGATTGCATTGCATGGGCCAGGTGTGGTGGCTCATGCCTATAATTCCCAGCACTTTGGGAGGCTGAGGTGGGTGGATCACTTGAGCTCAGGAATTTGAGACCAGCCTAACCAACGCGGTGAAACCCCGTCTCTACAAAAAATACAAAAATTACCTGGGCGTGGTGGCGCACGCCTGTAATCCCAGCTACTCAGGAGACTGAGGCAGGAGAATTGCTTGAACCTGAGAGGTGGAGCTTGCAGTGAGCCAAGATTGCACCACTGCACTCCAGCCTGGGTGACAAGAGTGACACTCTGCCTCAAAAAAAAATAAAAAATAAAAAATAAAGACTGCATTACGTAATCAGTACTTCTCCCAGATACCATATCCATGGTCATTGTCTCATGTTTTCATAGCTTTCTAGGAAGTTTCTGGAACAAAATTGGTATGAGATGAAATAAAGCCTAGTAAGTACCAATTCACATGAACATATCCCTCACAAAATTGTGTCTCTTTTTCAAGACTGTGGAGGGCTTAGATAACAGGTTCTGGGCTTGTGCTCTCAAGGGAGGACCCTCTGTAAGCCTGTGCTATGTGATTTGCCATAAAAACAACAAACAAACTACCAGTTAATCATCTGCATATGTGGCCCATGTACTGCTGGCCCCCGGGAATGGTAAGTAAATGGGATTTTTATGGAAGTCAGACCTCTGAACAGGCAGTGAAATTGGCAGTCATGGAAAACATAAACAGCAAAAAACACGATTACAAGAAAGCATTTATGGTATGATTTCATATGCATGTAAAACTACATATATAAATCTTATATGCATATACGTAGGGAATGTCTTCAAATACAAATGGTAGTTATCTTTGGTAGTGGGATTTAGTGCAGTTTTTTCTCTTTGTTTATACTTTTTCTATACAGAAAAAATACACATGATTATATATGAGGAAGAAAAAAATAATCATGCATCAAGGGAACTGATTTGTTCAATAGACTTCAAAAATTAACTGTAAGGGGCTGGGCGCAGTGGCTGACGCCTGTAATCCCAGCATTTTGGGAGGCTAAGGCGAGAAGATCACTTGAGCCCAGGAGTTCAAGACCGGCCTGGGCAACAAAGTGCTACCCCCTACCTCTACAAAAAATTTCAAAATTAGCCAGGCGTGGTGGCACACATCTGCAGTCCCAGCTACTTGGGAGGCTGAGGCAGAAGGATTACTTGAGCCCAGGAGGTGAGGCTGCAGTGAGCTGTGTTTGTGCCACTGCCATCTAGCCTGGGTCATATAGCCAGATCCTGTCTCAAAAATATATATCTATATAAAACAAGCAAACATTAACCATAAGGATTTGAAATCTGTTGTCTAGTAGGTTTTCTAGACTTAGCAAATAACAATACAGGACACCTAGTTAAAGTTTGATAAACAATTGTAAGTATGGCCCCATATAATATTTTGGGCATTGCCTCTTTTTTTTTTCTCCAAAAAATGAAAAGAAATGTAAAGTAGGAGTATAACTTCTTCTACACTTCTACCATTATTTATATTTCTTCTCATTCTTTTCTCTGTAAGTAGGTTTTACATGGTCTGGAGTCATACCTTGTGTGTGCAGTTTTCATTCACTTAACAAGTCATATTGGTTCCCTATTGGGGACCAGGCGCTGTGCTAAGCACTGGGGATACAGTAGGAGTAACACAGGTTTGCTGTTGCCTCTACTCAACATAAAATCATTTTGCACAGTTTTTGCATTAAAAACTTTAAATGGATGCATAATCTGCTATCAAGTTATTATATTCCATTTTACTTAACCAATCTTCCATTGTGGCTTAATTTATTCATTTGTTTGCATATTAGCTTTTTGCTGTTGTAAATAATAGTGCCCTGAATGGATTTGTACATCGAGTTTTCTCATGTTTTTGAATTATTTTATTTTAAGGATAGACACTTAAAAATACTATTTTAGGCGGGGCACAGTGGCTCACACCTGTAATCCTGGCACTTTGGGATGGGGAGGCAGCTGGATCGCCTGAGGTCAGGAGTTCGAGACCAGCCTGGACAACATGGTGAAACCCCGTCTCTACTAAAAATACAAAAATTAGCCTGGCGTGGTGGCGCATGCCTGTAATCCCAGCTACTCAGGAGGCTGAGGCAGGAGAATTGCATCATGAACCCAGGAGGTGGAGGTTGCATTGAGCCAAGATCGCACCACTGCACTCCAGCCTGGGCAAGAGTGAGATTGTCTCAAGAAAATTAAAAAAAAAAAAAAAATTATTTTTAGGCTAGTTGGAATTTCATAATAATTTCTTTAGAAAAGGTTAATTGGCCAGAATGACAAAAAGAATCAAAGCCTATATATTTCCTTTTACTTTATTTTTATTTTTATTTTATTTTTTTGAGACAAGGTCTCATTCTATTGCCCAGGCTGGAGTGCAGGTGCCATCTTGGCTCACTGCAGCCTCAGCCCCCCAGGCTCAAGTGATCCTCCTGCCTCAGCCTCCCAAGTAGCTGGGACTACAGGTGTGCGCCACCACACCTGGATAGTTTTTTTGTATTTTTGGTAGAGACAGGGTTTCACCGTGTTGCCAGGCTATTCTCAAACTCCTGGGCTGAAGCAATCCACCCAGCTCATCCTCCCAGAGTGTTGGGATTACAGACGTGAGCCACTGCATCCGGCCAAAGTCTATATTTCTTTGCCTGCAAATACGTTTAATTATCTTTCCATATATGTGTTCACAAATTTTATTTGGCGGGTTGTCTACTCATTTTGTGGGGAAGGTCTTGGTGATGTTTCTTACTTTATGAAATCATATAAAAAGGCTATTAAGTTTGTATAATATTTATTTTTGCACTTTTCAGCCTATTGGTGCCTTATTTTTGGTTATTGATTTTATTTTTATTTTTTACTTAGGGCAATTTAACATTGTATCTATTAAAATCTGTTCATCTTTTGATTTCAAGTGTTTCTTAGTATAGAATGTCATTTTTCTATCTAGATGTTTACCACCTATTTAATTTATTTTATTCTTTTTTATATTTTAAAATATATTAAAACCTTAAATCATCTGGAACTTATTTTGGTATAGGTTTGTAGTGAATAACAATAGGATTTTTATTCCAGATGACCTATATATTATTCCCAAAGAAAACTGCATTTTTCTTTCTTTCCCTTTGACTTTTATAATGGCTTTTTCTCATGTATTTAATTTTATTGTATAATAAGGCTTATCTTTGGATAAGCCTTGTATACCATTATCACACTGTTCTTTATTATGAAATCTAATAGCATAGTATTAGAAAGTATTATAGTATTATATGATAAAGTATACAGAATGCAAATTATTACAGTTTTACAATATACTGTTAAATGTTAGAGTAATTCTCCTAATTCTAGAGTCTTCTTTCTGAAAAAAATATTAAGTTCTACAAAACTTCCATGGGGATTTGAGTTGGAATAGCAGTAAAGGTATACATTAATTAGATAACAATGGACACTTCTCCACCCAGGGACATGAATGTCTCTATTTATTCAATTCTCCTCCTATCTATATTTGTTAACCAAACCTTATCTTGATTTCAGTTTACATTTCTCTTATGAAGGTTACACATGGGTCTCTCATACCATCATGGCTGGGTCCCACTAGATCCACCCTGATCTACTCAGATCAGCTCCACTTTTGTCTGCTTTATATATTGTCTCTAAATCATCTTTTAGAGTTATGCAATTTAACATGATGTGAAAAATCACTGGACTAACCAATGTGTTAAAATCCCTTCCACTCAGAAAAGCTTGATTCTATTGTCTCCAAAATGCAGGGTGCTTTCTTGCCTCTGCCTTTGCTAATATTGTTCTTCCTCCTACCTGAAGTGGATACCCACTCCAAATCTACATATCCCCAGCTATTTGGGAGGCTGAGGCAGGAGGATTGCCTGATCCTGCAGAGGTAGAGGCTGCAGTGAGCCCTCCAGCCTGCACTCCAGCCTGGGCAACAGAGTGAGACTCTGTCTTAAGAAGAAAGAAAGAAAGAGAAAGAAAGAGAGAAACACAAAGAAAGAAAGAGAGAAAGAGAGAAAGAAAGAAAGAGAGAGAGAAGAAAGAAAGAAAGAAAGAAAGAGAGAGAGAGAAAGAAAAAGGAAGGAAGGAAGGGAAAAAGAAACAACAGGACCAGCCTGGGCAACACAGCAAGACTCTATGAAAATTTAATTTAATTTAACTCAAAATAATAATAAATAAAATATATAAATAAAAAAAATAAATAAAAATAAACACCTTCATCAATGTCGCTCCTAAATCTTTTGGAGATTTCATGTATTACTGACAGACACACTCGTGGTTAGCATGAACAACTTAAGATTTACTGAAACATCCAGATTTATCCTGTGAAAATACAGTTAACTTCTTATATTCCAGTGAGTGAAAAGGCATGGATTTGAAGATTTGTCCACAGAGTGATGAATGGCTGTACTCTCAGTTTCTATCTGTGTGAAAATCTACTCGTCCTCACAGTCACAAGTTCTTTACATACTAGAAAATGTGTGAGAGATGGAGGTAAGGGGTGGCAGCTGTGGAGGCCAAAGTGGGTTTTTTTTTTGGTTTGTTTACCAACTAGATTTTGCTCTGGTTAAGACCGCATGGTACAAACCAAGAGAGATTTGTGTTTTCCCGTGTAGCAAGACATTCTAAATAAATGTTCCTTGAAGAGGGGACTTTTACAAACTTTGGCCTGGAACTTTGGCAAAAATCCAAAAAAAAAAAAAAAAAAAAAAGAAGGAGTGGACAGGAGCAGCATGGAACTGGGCTGGGGGGTGGAGTCAGCAGTTGAGCTCACAGCAAACAGCTTTTGAAGGTATTTTTTCAGCTCTTCTTTGTATTAATATAAGATATAAAGAAAAGCAACCTTTTTTGAGGGTCTGCTGTATGTCTGAAGTGCCCCCCTAACCAAGTCTCAGTGTGTAACCTCAATTTGACAACTGTTGGATACAAAGCCTTAGGCTAAAAGTCTATAATCCCACAGTCTGTAATCCCCTCCCTCATCCCTCTTGCCCCATTTATCAGGGCATCCATCTGAACTTCACAAGGAAAAGAACTTGGTACCTTTGGCCCCTTCTCAACCATATAAAAGCACCAAAGCAGGACAATGTAGGGATAGAAAGTATCTTAGAAACTACTAGTTTGCCAGGGCTACCAAATAATGTATGCCAAACTGGGTGGCTTAAAATAACACAAACACATTGTCTCAGAGCTCTGGAGGCCAGAAGACTGAAGTCAAGGTTTTACCCATGTTCTCTCTGAAACCTGTAGGGAAAAACCTTTCCTTGCCTCTTCTAGTTTCTGGTGTTTTCCAGCAATCCTTGATGTTTTTCGGCTTGCAGCTGTATCACTCCACTCTCTGCACCTGTCACCACATGGTCATCTTCTCTCTTGTTTCCCTGTCTCTGTCTCTGTGTCTCTTCTCTTCTTCTTCTTCTTTTTTTTTTTTTTTTTTTTTTTTTTTTTTTTTGAGGCAGAGTCTTGCTCTGCCACCCAGGCTGGAGTGCAGTGGTGTGATCACAGCTTGCTGCAACCTCCGCCTCCAGGGTTCAAGCGATTCTCCTGCCTCAGACTCCCGAGTCGCTGGGATTACAAGCGTGCGCCACCACGCCCAGCTAATTTTTGTGTTTTTCTTAGAGACAGGGTTTCGCTATGTTGGCCAGGCTGGTCTTGAACTCCTGAGCTCAAGTGATCTGCCCACCTCGGGCTCCCAAAGTGCCGGGATTATAGGCGTGAGCCACTGCACCAGGGCCAGAACTTTTAATATATCTCTTGCAGGGAGGGGACACAATTCAACCGGTAAGAGAGAGCATCTTCTTCCGCTCATTCCTTTTCGTTTGGTTTTGAGGAAAGTTAGGATCTCAGAGGTTGAGTTGGAGAGTCAATCTGTATGAAATGGTACATTATTATTCTTGGCAGTCCTAGTTTCAGGAGACTGGAAACCCATCTTGCTCTAGAGTAGGCTGAAAGGAGTTCTTGGATCACAGAACCTAAAGAAGAATGAACCATCCGACTGTGAGAGGTCCTCATTCCAGCCTGGCTTCCGAAGCTACTAGAACTAGGGGCGCCAGTGGGTCAGGATGTTTCTTATTCTCTTATTTGGGCTTCATTCTCTTTTGAAAGGATTTCTTTTAATGGTAGGTAACGTAGTCAGTTCCCAAGTTTTATCCTGGGAGTTCTTAGTTCTAGAAAAGGATTGCCTTCAAGGCTGGATCCCAAAGGCAGATGCCCTTGGGGAGAGAGCTGGTGGCCCATGGGGATAGGCGAGCTTGATCTTGGACCAGTGAACTTCCACCAGAGGAAGGGAGCACCATAAAAACAGGCCAGTTTCTGACCAGGCACAGTGGCTCACGCCTGTAATCCCAGTACTTTGGGAGGATGAGGCGGGCGGATCACTTGAGGTCAGGAATTTGAGACCAGCCTGGACAACATGGTGAAACCCTGTCTCTACCAAAAATACAAAAAGTAGCCAGGCATGGTGGTGCATACCTGTAATCCCAGCTACTCGGGAGGCTGAGGCAGGAGAATCACTTGAACCCAGGAGGTGGAGGTTGCAGTGAGCCGAGATGGCGTCACTGCACTCCAGCCTGGGCGACTGAGCGAGGCTCTGTCTCAAAAATAAACAAATTAAAAAAAGGGCAGTTTCTGCAGGAGTCTCACAGGGGAAGACAAGGGGAACAGGAGGCTGAGGAGACAATATGAGAGATGTCCACTATAAAAAGATAATTCAAGGGCGAAAATCCAATTTTTATGTAAATTATCCAGATGGGCTCCAATGCTTATTCATATTCACCAAAGAAATTGCTCCGTTCTCTATTTTATGTCATTTAGGAGATCAGGTTTATGTCTGTGCCCCAGGGAAAGGACCCATGACATTTACTACATTTGAATTCAAATAGTAATTTTAGATTAATTTGAAAATTGATTAGGTCAGATGTTTCTACAGACATGTTTTTGCCCTTTTATGCTATAGGGGGTCAAATATCCATTTATGGGTCCAGGATTTATTTGTAAAAACAGACTTTCAAGTCAATTACTAACATCCACTGGAGTTTAAACATGACCATTTTTAAAGTGCATATTTTCTCAAAAATATCCTTCTTTTAATTTCTTTTAAAGCATTTGTTTATGAGAAACAGGTAACTATGCAAACTCTAGGACTGTCATAAATGAATTAAATGTACTTATTTCTGGATTATCACTACTGATTGTCAGGCTTAATCAGTTAGAAAGTAAAAGTAATTTTTACCTCTTTCTGCTAAACTAGAGGACAGAGTGAGTATGGGAAGATGACCTTTTTCCTAGCAAAACGGCAAATTCTCAAGGTCCTAAATGACAGATTGCTCTCCTGAGTCCCCGGCTTGGCTCCCAGTTGCCAAAAGGCCATCTTCATCGGGATATGTGCGGACACCGCACACTCAGCTCGTGCAGAACAACTTCACCCCAAGGCTCCTCCAGCACTCGCTCCGTCAATGCCATCATCATCATCCATGCTGGGCAAACCTAGGACCCAGACTCCTCTTTCTTTTCCCCCCTTTCCCTGCCTTCCATGTGTCCTCCAAGTTTGACTCAGGACACTACCTATGTCAGTGGTTTCCAAACTTGTCTGAGGATCCGAATCCCCTGAAAGACTTTTTTTTTTTTCTTGAGATAGCTGGAGTGCAGAGCTGTGACGTTGGCTCACTGCAACCTCCGCCTCCTGGGTTCAAGCAATTCTCCTGCCTCAGCCTCCCGAGCAGCTGGGATTACAGGCACATGCCACCATGCCTGGCTAATTTTTGTATTTTTTGTAGAGATGGGGTTTCACCATGTTGGCCAGACTGGTCTTGAACTCCTGACCTCAGGTGATCCACACGCTCAGCCTCCCAAAATGCTGGGATTACAGGTGTGAGCCACCGCACCCGGCCCTGCTAAAGGACTTCTAATGAATTCAGATGTGGAGTCCCCTCCCTAGAGACTGAGTCAGTACATCTGGAAGTAGCCTGAGCATCTGCATTTTAAAGTCCTCCCCAGCCTCCTAAGGCGATTTAATAATGACCAGGATTTAGGACCAGCTGTCCTAAGCATCTCCATCCCCACTACTGCTGCCCTGGTTCAGCCCCCAGCACCTGCAGCCCCGCTTCTGCACTCAGGCTCTGCATTCTCTCAGCCATCCTCTACCGCATTCAACAATACCACAGCACACACATTGAATGCCTATTTTTTTCCAGGTACTTTGTTAACCAGTGGAAGCACAAAGATGAACAAACCATACTCCTCCCCTCAAGACAACTCTTTCGTGAGGGAGATAACCCAGGAAATAGGAGTCTATTCATGAGACCGCTGCTCTAACTAGAAGAATAGGAAGTACCAGAAGGTCACAAAAGAGGAGCTGATTAGCTCAACCTGAGAAAGTCTCCCAAAGCTTCACAGCGGAAGGAATGCTGAAGTGGGGATGAAGAGGTGTTGATCAGAAAAAAAGTAAGGATGGGAGGGAGGGAGAGGACATTTCAGACAGTGCTAAGCATGGGGGTAATAGGACTACACTGGTTTTTTTTCTTTGTTGACTTGTAGTAAGCGTAGTTTCTGTTCTTATAGGCAAATGTTGGGTTCCTTCTTTCTTTTTCTTTTTGTTTTTGTGGATACATAATAGGTCTATATTTTTATGGGGTATATTAGATTTTTTTTTGAGACAGGGTCTTACTCCATCGCCCAGGCTGGAGTGCAGTGGTGCAATCTCAGCTCACTGCAGTCTCCGCCTCCCAGGTTCAAGCGATTCCCCTGCCTCAGCCTCCCAAGTACCTGGGACTACCAGGTGTGTGCCACCATGCCCAGCTAATTTTTGTATTTTTAGTAGAGATGGGGTTTCAGTCCTAGCGCAGTGGCTCACACCTGTAATCCCAGCACTTTGGGAGGCCCAGGTGGGCGGATCACAAGGTCAGGAGATCGAGACCATCCTGGCTAACACGGTGAAACCCCATCTCTACTAAAAATACAAAAAACTAGCCAGGCGTGGTGGTAGGCGTCTGTAGTCCCAGCTACTCAGGAGGCTGAGGCAGGAGAATGGCATGAACCCAGGAGGCGGAGCTTGCAGTGAGCCGAGATCAAGCCATTGCACTCCAGCCTGGGCAACAGAGTGAGACTCTGCCTTAAAAAAAAAAAAAAAAAAAAAAAGATGGGGTTTTACCATGTTGGCCTGGCTGGTCTCGAACTCCTGACCTCAAGTGATCCACCCGCCTTGGCCTCCCAAAGTGCTGGGATTACAGGAATGAGCCACCACATGGGGCCCATTCCGTGCTTTACAACTCCCAGCTGTGGCAGTCAGCTAGGCAAGCCACTTAACCTTTCTGAATCTGTTTTATCATCTTGTAAACCAGGTTTAATAATAATTACCAAGTAGGCTTGAGGATTTAAAGAGAAAAATGCTTATTAAAACATTCCCAGCCTAATGTTCTCTTTCTTGACATGGGTGGCTACACAGGCATCTGCTTTGTGAGAATTCATTGAATTGTATGTTTTTTTGTGCACTTTTCTGTTTGTGTGTTGATGTCAATTAAAAAGATGTCAATTAACAATTGTCTAGCTTGCTGGCGTCTTAATAAATGTTCTAGATATTGGTTCTCTTTCCTCCTTGTTTTTTCCTGTTGGAAGCAGATTACCAGAGCTGGGTTGGATGGCTAATGCAGGAATGACATGCCAACATTTGCAAGAGGTGGAATGTGCTGTTACATTGAAGTACAAAGAGCAGTAAGATGAAATTTAATAGGAACCAACATGCAGGAGGTTCAAAAAGAAACAGCACAAGTAATGAGTGGAAGATGTGATTTAAGAGGAATTATGAAAAAGCTCAGAGATTTTAACTGACGCAAACGTAATCTGAGTCAACAGCCCAGCTTTGCCACTAAACTCTGCGACCCTCTGCAAAACAAGCAAGCGGATAAACCCAAACTGTAACCAAACCAAAACAGAAATCTCAATACAAGGTTAGGTTTCTGTAGTGGGGTAATGCTCAAATCCTAGAAATAAATACACCCATTGATTTCTTCATCCATCAGATCATATCTACATTGTAGGCTTTCAGTCATGGAAGCCTCTTCTTAGGATGGGCCTAGACCATTGACCATGTCCAGAGTTCAGTGACTAGAATCCTGAGAGATCTTAAAACCATGGCTGGGCACAGTGGCTCACACCTGTAATCACAGCACTTTGGGAGGCCAAGGCGGGCAGATCACTTGAGGCTAGGAGTTCGAGATCAGCCTGGCCAACATAGCAAAACCCTGTCTCTACTAGAAATACAAAAATTAGCTGGGTGTTGTTGGCTCACACCTGTAATTCCAGCTACTCCAGTGGCTGAGGCACAAGAATCGCTTGAGCCTGGGAGGCGGAGGTTGTAGTGAGCTGAGATCGTGCCACTGCACTCCAGCCTGTGCAACAGAGCGAGACTCTGTCTCAAACAAAACAAAACAAAAAACAAAACAAAAAACCCTCATGTCAATCATATAAAGATCTGGAGAATTTTTAGCTTTAAGAAAATATTTGGAGGCTGGCTGGGAGGGCTTCACATATTTGAAAAGATTTTGTCAAGAGTGATTGGATTTATTCTATGTAGTTCAATAAAGGAAAACAGTTCAACAGGTGAAAGTCTGGAGAAGCGTATTTTGGGCCATTTTAAGGAATGAGGTAGCTCATGACTGGGGCTACCTAAAAATGGAATGGATTCCCTGCCTGTTGCTGGCAGTATTTAGCAGAGGCTCTGTGGCTACACATCATGGCCATTATAGATTGTATTTTTATTTTAGGTGGGATGACAGATTATATGCCTCTGTTACGGGTTAAATTGTTTCTCCAAAAAAAGATAGGTTGAAGTCCTAACCTCTAGTACCTGTAAATGTAACTTTATTTGGAAATAGGTGCTTTGCAGATGTGATCATATTACGATAGGGTCATTAGGATCCAGTAAGACTGGTGTCCTTATGAGAAGAGACACATGGACAGGGAGAAGGCCATGTGGAGACAGGCGTGCAGAGGGGAGGTGGCCATGGAGCACCGGAGGCAGAGAAATGTGTCATGCAGCCGCAGGCCAGGAACGCCAAGCATTGCTGGCAACAACCAGAAGGCGGGAGAGAGAGCACAGCTCTGCTGACACCTTGATCTCAGACTTGCAGCCTCCAGAACTGCGAGAGAATACATTTCTGTTGCTTTAAGCCACTCAGTTGGTGGCACTTGGTTTTCCTAGCAGCCCTAGGAAACGATTACAGCAAAACCCCTTCCCTTTCACAGCCTTCAAATCCTTATTAGCCAGATGGCAACAATACAGGCAGGCCTGCCCCACCAAGTTATCTGACATACAGATTGCTCCGGCCTTCTGCAGCCACCCCCATGGTGACCGTCTTGCCCCTCAACCCTCTTGTCCTTGGCACCCCCTCAGCAATGCCCATGACTGCTGAGTGCCTGGGAGACCCTGTGCCCCATTTTGCCCTTCCCTTCTAGCCCTGCTTTCAAGCCCAGTGTTGCCCAGGGCTCTGAGTCTGGGGGCTCTGCGAGGCCCACGGTGGAGGCCAGCCAGCTACAAGAGCTCTGTCTTGCTGTCTGTAACAATCAATAGACATTGAGATCTCTAGCCCCCGACAGAGGGAAAAGGCTTTCTGAGATGCAAACAACTCACCTACAAATGAACTTCTGGAATACACCGTCATTTGTGAGTGCAGGAACAGTCTGTGTCGGACGCTCGGGCCCAGTTTGTAGATAAAGTTGTAGCAACACAGCATATTGTAACATTCACCAGTCCAGAAAGGTGCTGAGAGGGCTCAGAAAGCAACTCATTTTTCCTCCCACTGAAACTCAGGAATGTCCTTTGAGGACTTTTGCTGAGATATGCGAATGATTTGCTTTTCAAAAAAACTGTAAGTCAGGACCTCCGTGTGATTCTCACCCAAGTCCTTCTTATCATGTGCAGAACTTCTCTGGGTGCCTGATTCTCTCTGTGGTGGCAAAGAGACGGGGCCTGTGTGGGCCAAGGCGCAGAGCCAGAGAGGGAGGGTTTGGGGCGTTCTCCCAAGGACAGCAAGTACAATGTGGCCCTCCCTCTGACCTCCTTTGAAAGACATCGAGGGCTTGGAGTCCTTGCGTCCCCTACAATCCAGTGTGTCCTTGATGGAGTGATGCTGCTCTCCCTGCATTCCACCTCAGCCAAACAGCTCCACTTACCCCCTTTATATATTGGGGTGTCACATAAGATTGTACTTGGTAAGAATGTCCCCTGCTCACATATGTATGCATGTGTGTACCAGTTTGAAGGCCACTCTTTCTAGCCTGGAAGCACATCTCAATGGGTTTCATGGTGGCCCCTGCAAAGACATGCCTTGCCTTAATCCCTGGAGCCCATAAGGTGATGTTCTTTGGAAAAAGGATCTTTGCAGATGTAATTAAGTTAAAGATCTTGAGCTGAGATCATCCTGACTTATGTGGTGGGCTGTAAATCCAATGACAAGAGTCCTTATAAGAGAGAGAAGAGAAGAAAACACAGATCGAGAGAGAAGAGGAGGAAGTCTTGTGAAGACAGAGGCAGAGATTGGAGTGATGCAGCCACAAGCCAAGGAATGCCTGGGACCACCAGAAGCTGGAAGAGATGAGGTAGGATTCTCCCGTGGAGCCTTCAGAGGGAGTGTGGCCCTGCCAATCCTTTGATTTCTAACTTTTTTTTTTTTTGGATGGAGTCTCGCTCTGTTGCCCAGGCTGGAGTGCAGTGGCCCAATCTCAGCTCACTGCAACCTCCGCCTCCTGGGCTCAAGCGATTCTCCTGCCTCAGCCTCTTGAGTAGCTGGAATTACAGGCGCTGGCCACCATGCCCAGCTAATTTTTTGTATTTTTAGTAGAGATGGGGTTTTGCCATGTTGGCCAGGCTGGTCTCAAACTCCTGACTTCAGGCTATCCACTGGCCTTGGCCGCCCAAAGTGCTGGGATTACAGGCATAAGCCACCATGCCCAGTCTGATTTCAAACTTCTGGCCTCCAGAACTAAGAGAAATTTCTGTTGTTTGAAGCCACCACGTTGGTGGTACTTTGTCAAGGAGACTAGCAGAAGCATTGTGGGGCACGTGAATGTGCCGTCCCTGTGAGAAGGGAACAGGGGATCCTGCCTGTTCCTAACCCACCACTGGGACCTACCTGCACACACTTGGTGCTTACCCGTGATCTCAGCACCATGTCAAAAGGAACATTGTAATTCTACTTCCGGGAATCTACCCTGAGGAAATAACTGAGAAAACGTGCAAGGCTGTAACTCTAAAAATGTTCATCACAGTTCTGCTTGGAATAAAGGAAAGCTGAAAACAATCCACATGTCTCACCATAGGGGATCAATTAATTAATTATGCTGCAGTCATACAAAACAATCCTATGTAGCTGTTAAAATAACATTACAGAAATGGAACTCTCGATGTGGAAAGATGTTACTAATTTACTTGTATAAAAATACATTATGGTGAGCTTCAAATCACTGATAAGTTAAAAAAATACATTACGGTATGAACTCATAAAAAAATACGTAAGCACATGTATTACACATTATACCTAGAAAAATCTAGAAAGAACGGCTGGGCGCGGTGGCTCACGCCTGTAATCCCAGCACTTTGGGAGGCTGAGGCGGGCGGATCACGAGGTCAGGAGATTGAGACCATCCTGGCTAACACGGTGAAACCCCGTGTCTACTAAAAATACAAAAAATAGCCAGGCGTGGTGGCGGGTGCCTGTAGTCCCAGCTACTTGGGAGACGGAGGCAGGAGAATGGCATGAACCTGGGAGGTGGAGCTGGCAGTGAGCTGAGATAGCGCCACTGCACTCCAGCCTGGGCGATAGAGCCAGACTCTGTCTCAAAAAAAAAAAAAAGAAAAATCTAGAAAGAAATGTTGACGGTGGTTTTTGTTGAGAGCGTAGATGTTTTACATTCTTTTGCTGCTCTGTATTGCTTGTTATTAATATATAATATAATAATAAATTATATAATATATAGTAATATGAAAAATAGTTGTAATAATAATAAAAAGCAATCAAAGACATTTATTTCATTTGGGGAAAGAAAAAACCCTGAAACTTGTCATCAGCAACATAGTGAGGAATATCATTTTGCCACGTGGAGGATTTAGGGAGACATGTTGGTCCAGCACCAGGAAAGCCCTTGCTCCCGGGAAGTCAGAAAGAGATGCTAGAGGTTGCAGTGTCAGGAGTAGGCTAGTAAGCAGGGCAATACTTAATTAGAAAAATGCAGACTTCTCGCAGCCTTCTACATGCTACCATCATTGTAAATCTCCAAGAGATGTCTGCATTACCACCTCCCTTCCACCTAATTTGATCCCTAAGCCAGGAACATAATCTAATACTCCTGCTCTGAGAAACATACTTTAGGAAATTTTGGGATACCATTTGACCTAAAGCAGCTCAACTGAGTTAAGAGTAAAACTACCCAGATACAAATTAAGGAAGAATGTTTTCAGTTTTTATATTGCTGAGAAAGACAGACTTCTCTGAAGTGAACATAAGCAACAGTGAGCTGTAAACTGAATGCAAGTTAACTGTGTCTTAAAACAATATTAAAAGTCTGGCAAATAAGAACAGGGAGTTTGTTGTTGATTAGATCCTTTTTGCTGTTTGGGCTCTGTGTTTAGAAGGAATGCAGAAATTTTACAGAGGGTCTTGAGAAGGGTGGCAATCAATAAGGATAGGAGCAGGCTAGGTGCGGTGGCTCACGCCTATAATCCCAACACTTTGGGAGGCCGAGGCGGGCAGATCACGAGGTCAGGAGATCGAGACCATCCTGGCCAACATGGTGAAACCCCGTCTCTACTAAAAAAAAAAAGAGAAAACAAAAAATTAGCTGGGCGTGGTGGCAGGTGCCTGTAGTCCCAGCTACTCGGGAGGCTGAGGCAGGAGAATGGTGTGAACCCGGGAGGCAGAGCTTGCAGTGAGCTGAGATGGCACCACTGCACTCCAGCCTGGGTGACAGAGCAAGACTCCATCTCAAAAAAAAAAAAAAAAAAAAAAAAAAAAAAAAAAAAGGATAGGCGGCCAAAGAGGAGAGGGAGAGCTGAGGAGAAGGAAAATATTGACAGGTTTAGCTGATAGTTTGAACACGGTGGAAAGTGTCAGTGTACATGAAAGCTACCTGCCAACAGGTATCTTCCTTGTGCTCGCTGGTAGGTTAGAAAATGGGCCCTTTCCTGAAAACCCTGATGCCAGGAGATGTTCCAAGTGTCGTTGCTTGATGACGGTGACTCAGCTGGCCTTCTCTTTCCTGCCCAAACTCACAACAGTTCTAAGTTTGGTCCTTTTTTCTTTCTCTCTTTCTTTCTTCCTTTTTCTTTTCCTTCCTTCCTTTTCTTTCTATCTTTTCTACTCTCTTCTCTCTCTATTTTTCCCTCTCTTTCTCTGTTTTCTTCCTTTCTTCTGTCTTTCCTTTTCTTTTTTTTGAGACAGGATCTCAATCTGTCACCCAGACTGGAGTACGGTGGCACGATTACGGCTCACTGCAGCCTTGACCTACTTGGCTCAAGCAATCTGCCCACCTCAGCTTCCCAAAGTGCTGGGATTACAGGCATGAGCCACCACATCCAGCCCCTCTCTCTTTCTTTCTCTTTCTTTTTCTCTCTCTTTATTTCCTTCTTTTTTCAGAATGAACCTTTAGGAATCAGGAGACATGAATTCTGTTTGCAGCTTGGCTGCAAGCTTGCTGGGGGTGGAGGTCAGGCAGGGGCTGATGTCAATTCACAGCCTGCACAGGACGCAGGGGGCCCTTTACGAAAAGAATGTGATGGGACATCCTGCACGGGTAGGACACTCCTGGATTTTAACTTCCTGCCCCACAGCCCAATGCCCTCTGTTCCCAGCAGAGTCCTGGCTTTGCTGGCTCCTTCTTCCTGCCGTCCTTTCCTCTACTGCCTGTTCTTTCTCTATCTCTGCACAAGCCTTGAATATGAGGGCAGCCCTGGATGCTTTTATGAAGGTGGTGATTAGTTTTTGTGTGTGTGTGGTTTTTTGTTTCGTTTTTTTGGAGGGGGGACAGTGTCTCACTCTGTTGCCCAGGCTGGAGTGCAGTGGCACAATCATGGCTCACTGCAACCTCCATCTCCTCGGTTCAAGGGATTCTCCTGCCTCAGCCTCCTATGTAGCTGGGACTAAAGGCACACACCATCATGCCCAGCTAATTTTTGTATTTTTCGTAGAGACAGGGTTTCACCATGTTGGCCCGGTTGGTCTTGAACTCCTGGCCTCAAGCAATCCACCCACCTCGCCCTCCCAAAGTGCTGGCATTACAGGCATGAGCCACCTTGCCTGGCCTGGTGATTAGTTATAGTTCTTACTTTATTTTCTCTCCCCACTCCCAGGAGCAGATGTCCTCCTCTGCCCCTGGATACTCAGAGCAGACTCTGTGGGGCCTGCGGGCCTGTCCCTCAGCAGACACAGCATTGGAGCAGAGCTGCTATGCCCCCCTCCTCCTACCTCATTCAGGCACCTGTTAGCTTGGTGATGTTTCAGTCTGTGGTTTCCATACTTTGGAGCGCATGAAAATGATCTGGGTGGCTTGTTAACCCTACAGTTTCCGCAGCTTCTCCTCTAGAGAGTCTGACTGAGTTAGGGTGACTGTCCATTTTATGAAACCCCAAGTGATTCTGACGCAGAACCCCTGAAGCCGGGTGTGGGCAGTTACATATGTGCACAACTGGACTCTGATTATTCCTCCTCTTCCCAGGTCAAATCTACATTCTATTGATCTTATCATCTTTTTTTTTTCTGAGATGGAGTCTCGTTTTATCGCCCAGGCTGGAGTGCAGTGGCAGGATCTTGGCTCACTGCAGCTCCGCCTCCCGGGTTCACACCATTCTCCTGCCTCAGCCTCCCGAGTAGCTGGGACTACAGGCGCCCGCCACCACACCCGGCTAATTTTTTGTATTTTTAGTAGAGATGGTGTTTCACCATGTTAGCCAGAATGGTCTCAATCTCCTGACCTCGTGATCCACCGGCCTCGGCCTCCCAAAGTGCTGGGATTACAGGCATGAACCACCGCGCCTGGCCTATCTTATTATCTTAACATTCCTCTACATTTGCAATGCAAGTGGTTGGATGAAGTTCAAGTCCTTAGTCTATATATATATACATATATATATGTATATATATGGTACATATTACATAAATATAAATAGGATGTCTGCATAATTGATTGGGATGCTCTAGTGAGTAATGGGAGACTATTAATAGCTATGCCAAAATGTAGGGCGTGGCCTGGCCCACCTGGACCCTGTCTGTATACAAACCCTCTGTGATCTGGCCTCCTTCCCTTCCCAGCCTCCACTGAAGGCACTCCTCCTGGGGCCATTCCTGGGACTACTGTAGATTCCAGCCTCCCCGCACTACTGGAAATTCCTTTAATCCTCCCACGCACACGCCCAGATTGTCTTAGGCTGTCCTGCCCCGTGTTCCCATAGGGCAATGCTATACACACCCACTGTGGCTTTATTTTTCTGTAATTATTTGCTTACTAGTCTCTTTCTTCTCCCAGTAGGCCGGAAGCTCCTTTAGGACAGGAACTAGATTACATTCTTTGCTATATTTAGAGCCTAACAGACTAGGAGGCTAAAGCAATCACTCAACAAAAGTTTGTTCTCATAAAACAAGGTACATGAAACCATTAAATACTCACCAAGGTTCATTCAAGAAATACTTACTGAGCACCCACTACCCGATACCCTGCTTAGTCCTGGGCATGCAGATAAAGAAGGTCCTGGTCCTCTGGGAGCTCTCTTTTCAGGCCTGAGTTACTCTTATCAAAGGTGTTTGCATTTAAAAGGAGAATGTCTATGCGCAGTGATGCCGTGATTGGAATCTCTCCAGCTTTGGCTTCTAGAGGGAAAGAAGAGACTGAATGGCTTTAGATAACTTTCATGTATTAAACTCTTTTTGTATGTTGGCAAAACAAAAATGGCTACAACAGCAAAAAAGGCAAGAGTTGGACAAAAGCAACATAGCCTTGCAGCTAAGCATGCCGCCT
The DNA here is from genome assembly GCF_000001405.40 of Homo sapiens. Classification (NCBI taxonomy): domain Eukaryota; kingdom Metazoa; phylum Chordata; class Mammalia; order Primates; family Hominidae; genus Homo; species Homo sapiens. The sequence continues at coordinate 151,141,330 of NC_000006.12, read as the reverse complement.
CTGCTGCCTGCCTGCCTGGCAGCAAGTCTGGGCCCTGCCATATTTTTCACAAGTGACTTAATCTTTCTGGGCTTCAGTTTTTGCATCTATAATATGGGGATGATGATGGTAACTTCTTCCTTGGGGATCATGTGAGTATTAAATGAGTAACTGTGCCCGGCACATAGTAAGTGCTCAATAAATATTACTGCCACTAGATGCGATGGTCCAAAGACTACATCTTTATCTGGTTCCTGCAGGGTCCCAAGCATGTAGAGTAGACTCCCCTTGGGTCGGCTTCAGGGGAGCCTCTGAAGCACCGTGTGTAGGCCAATCCCCTGTCTCTGTGATTTGGGCTGTTGTAGAGAAACATCTGTAGCCTTAGGACCAGCTGGGAACAGCTTTAGGTTTGGATAATGGCCATTTTCAAGTTTTCTCCCAACCAGAGCAATTTTGGCACTGAACTTGGGACAAAACCAATAGGAATACATCAGGGATTACAGGAATCCCTGTAATCAACAGGAATAAATCAACTTATTTCTGTTAAGAACAATCCCTCAAATCAACAGGAATATAGGGGGAGCTGGCATGGTGGGGAGAGTAACACCGAGAATGAAGACCCTCTTCACGTGGCATTTTTCAAAGATTAAAGAAACCTGTTTTTAAAATTTCTTTTGGGGCACCAATATTACATGCCAATCACTGTCAATCAACAATTATTAATTAACTCATAGTGCTTTGTACACATTTCTTCTTTCACACAGAGGGCAATAATAACTTTGACAGTAGAAACTCCCTTTAGTGGACAGGCTAAGTAGGGAATCCTGTTGTGTGAGCCGAATGTGCCCAAATGCCCTTGTTTTCTATTACTTGGGTTTAATTAAACCTAGATCTCTCTTATTAGGAAGAAACTTTAAAGTCGGAGCAGCGTATTCACCAAGTACAACGTGAGGGCTGGTGGAGAAAGGCAGATGAGAGGCCATGAGCATCTTTAGGGTGTGTTTCTGACTTCAAAAATCTCCTAGGTGTGGGGGCCTCCCTTGCCCTGGGCTCCTCCCTGGTCTCCCTGCCCGCAAGTAGCAATGGTCAGTGTGAAAAGGACCGTGCATCCACCTGTTTCCTCTACCCTCTAAATAATTGGAATTTTGTCTCAGCCAGGCACTGTTCTAGGCACTGGGGATGCAGCCGTGAACAAGGCACATGCTCTCCAAACCTCTTGTTTCTGCCCTTCTGGGCAGGTAGAGATGCACTAAATAACCAACCACACAGGTACTACAGATCTGGGCCTCTGGTTCTCCTGGTTTGCATACTCCCCTAAGAAGTGGTTCATGAGTCCGGAGCCTGGGAGACGAGCTGCCTGAGGCAGAGGCTGGATAAAACCCTGCCCCTGCAGATCTGCGCTGTGGGGTCCTGAAACAGGGGTGTCTGAGGCTCTGCAAAGCTCTCCCCCCAGCTGACACTCCTCATTGTTGACCCTTCAATGCAGACAATACTTCTCATGGAAGCCTTTTCTGCCTGTCCAGGTTTGGGTTGGCTGCGCTGCCTGGTGCCCCCTCGGCCCCCTGCGCTCACCCCGTCACACCCCTGAGCACACGGTGCTCTGATTGCTAGCTTCCTGCCTGCCTGCCAGCTAACGGGGCGCCATCAGGCAGGCTGGACCGTGCCTGTGGCGCTCCACCGGATCTCCAGCTTCGCACAGGGCCTCAGCATGTCACAGTCACTCAGTAAATATCAGTTCCATGAAAAGGAAAGGAGGAAGAGGAGATGACAGTGACTAAAGACAAAGGATCAAAGCTGGGACTCCATTTTATTTCACCCATGATCACTCCGCTATCACTCAACAACCTGGCTATTTAAAGAAAGAGTGCCCAGGCTGGAGTGCAGTGGTGCAATCACAGCTCATTGCAGCCTCAGCCTCCTGGGCTCAAGCGATCCTTCTGCTTCAGCCTCCTGAGTAGCTGGGACTAAAGGTACATGCCACCATGCCCGGCCAATTTTTAAATTTTTTGTAGAGATGGAATCTTGCTCTGTTGCCCAGGCTGGTCTCAAACTCCCAGGCTCAAGTGATCCTCCTGCGTTGGCCTCCCAAAGTGCTGGGATTACAGGTGTAAACCAAAGTGTCTGGGCTTTTTCAGCTTTTAAATGAGGATAATACAAGGAATTAACAAACTTGTGGTGAAATTCAAATAAAATAATGAGTGCAGTGGGGTGATCTCGGCTCACTGCAACCTCCACCTCCCTGGTTCAAGCAATTCCCCTGCCTCAGCCTCCTGAGTTGCTGGGATTACAGGCGCACGCCACCACACTCAGCTAATTTTTTTGTATTTTTAGTAGAGACAGGGTTTCAACATGTTGGCCAGATTGGTCTCAAACTCCTAACCTCAGGCAATCCACCCTCCTCGGCCTCCCAAAGTGCTGGGATTACAGGCGTGAGCCACCGCGCCCAGCCCTACATGTATTCATTTTTAATGTTTATGTTTTTTAGAGACAGTCTCACTGTGTCACCCAGGTTGGAGTACAATGGCATGCTCACTGCTCACTGCAGCCTCAACTTCCCTAACTCAAGTGATTCTCCCACCTCAGCCTGTTAGCTGGGATTACAGGTGCGTAATTTAAAAAAAAATTTTTTTCTTAGAGGCAAGGTCTCACTATATTACTCAGGGTGGTCTCAAACTTCTGGTCTCAAGAGATCCTCCTTGGCTTGGAACCTTGGCTTGGAACCTTCCAACACTTGGAAACCTTGGCTTTCCAAAGTGTTGGGATTACAGCACGGGGTGAGCCACCATGCCTGGCCTGGTTATTACGTTTACAAGATTATAATAAAAATGAAGAATATACCACAGAGACGATATGTGGCTTGCAAAGCCTAAAATATTTACTGAAAGAGTTTGTTGAGCCCTGGTCTGTATTCAAATGTGTACACATGATACAGATCTCTCTCTCTCTCTATCTCTATCTATCTGTGATAGATAGATATCTGTATATATGTGTACATATATATGCGTATATTTCTGGCCCAAAGGTTTTATATATATGTATAGACATACAAAGGTTTTATATACACATATATACATATATAACCTTTGGGGTATATACAAAGGTATATGTACATACATACATATGTATATATAACCCAAAGGTTATATATGTGTACACATATATATAAAACCTTTGCATGTCTATACATATATGTATGTATACATATATATAAAACCTTTGGGCCTGAAATCCTAGCATTTATCTCTACAGTCATGTGCCACACAACAATGTTTTGGTCAACAACAGACTGCATGTATGACAGTGGCCTCAGAAGATTATAGTACCACATTTTCACTCTACCTTTTCTATGTTTTCATACACAGATATTAAATCTTATTAAATCTTACCACCATGTTATAGTTGCCTACAGTATTCAGTGCAGTAACATGCTGTTCAGGCTTGTAGCCTAGGTGTGTAGCCGGTTATTCCATCTAGGTTTGCGTGGGTTTGCTCTATGATGTTCACACAATGACAAAATTGTCTAATGTTGCATTTCTCTGAACGCATTTTTTAGGTTAAGTGATGCATGACTGTATATTTATTTATCCCCTCCCTCATTCCACAAAGGGTTCTGTCAAAGCAGATGACTCCCAAAGGTTTCATAAATCTTCCGGAAAATAAGCTCCTTCAGCTATATAATCATGGCACCCACGGCTTAAAAGTTGACAGTGAGAACAGCATTGAACAGCCTGCTGCATTCAGCAAAAGGTAATGAGACATGATGAGAGGCTCAGAGGAAGAAAGCTGATATAGAAGAGCAACCTCCGCTAGGAAAGATGATTTACAATTTATATAGAACTTTGTATTTTAAAGTGTATTTTAATTCCCTGGTATCAATTTTGCAGTAACTCCTAGATGGTCTGTATGATGTTAACTGTAGACAAATCAATGCAAAAATAATAGTCTAAGTAGACACTAGGCTGTGATCTGTCAGTCTAAAATTTGTTTTCTGGTGTCATAGCAATACCAATTTTAACTATTCCTGCTTTCCTCTAGAGGTAATTGAACAGTATTTTTTTTTTCGAGACAGAGTTTCACTTACTCTGCCGCCCAGGCTAGAGTGCAATGGCAGGATCTCAGCTCACTGCAACCTCTGTCTCCTGAGTTCAAGTGATTCTCCTGCCTCAGCCTCGTGAGAAGCTGGGATTACAAGCATGGGCCACCATGCCTGGCTAATGTTTGTATTTTTAATAGAGACGGGGTTTCGCCATGTTGCCCAGGCTGGTCTCGAACTCCTGGCCTCAATGGATCCACCCGCCTGGACCTCCCACAGTGCTGGGATTACAGGCAGGAGCCACTATGCCCAGCTGAACAGTATTTTAATGGCCATCACTGTTATCTTCCTTTGAGATTTGGGAAAGTGGTAGCCAAGTTTTTAGGGTCCCTCAGCTGAAGTGGAGGACCCAAAGGTCGGAAAGAGAGGAGGGGCAGGGCTGGGAGGGAGAAAATGGAAGAGACACATTCCCCAAAGACCGAAGATCTGCACAAAATATGGCTTACTTGAGAGGAGGGGGTCAGAGAATAGAAGAAAAACAACACACTAGAAGCTTGGTGCAGCAGCCGGGGTTACAGGAGCAAACACACCAGAAGTGTTTTCCTAATTTTCCTGGAATCAGTATTCAGTACACTCACTGGCCATACCAGTAACTCCTCCCCTGCGGACCTCGTCAACTCTCCCCAAAGACAACTGCAGACAATTTATGCATCTAGCTCTCCGAGAAGATAAAGTGGTTTCTTAGGCAAATTGCTCAAGTAACACTGTTCTGTGTGTTGTTTACTGCTTTGATGTCTCCCTTCCCAGCCGCTTAATGATTAGACTGCTGGCTGCTGGCAAACGATTCTTTATGTGCCAGGTGGAAGAAAGGAAACGTTGAAGTGTGAGAACCAGATCAATGGTTAGCCTGGAGTGAATTCTTTTAACTCTGTGAGCAGCAGCGCCCTGTTAGTAAGAGAATCCCAGGGATAGACAGAGGACGGCTCTGTGGTCCCTGTATTAGTTTGCGAGGGCAGCCTTAAACAAACTAGATGACTTAAACAACAGAAATGTATTGTCTCACAGTTCTAGAGGCTAGGAGTCCAAAAATCCAGCTGCTGGCAAGGTCGGTGTCTTCTCAGGGCTGTAAGGGAAAGCTCTGCTCCAGCCTCTCTCCAAGGTGTGTAGAGGCCGTCTTCTCCTTGTGTCTCTTCACTTCTTCCCTTCGTGTCTGTTTCCAAATTTTCCTTTTTCCCTTCGTGTCTGTTTCCAAATTTTCCTTTTTTTTTTTTTTTTTTTTTTTTTTTTTGAGATGGAGTTTCGCTCTTGTTGCCCAGGCTGGAGTGCAGTGGCACAATCTCGGCTCACTGCAACCTCCACCTACCAGGTTCAAGCGATTCTCCTCCCTCAGCCTCCCGAGTAGCTGGGATTACAGGCATGCACCACCATGCCCAGCTAATTTTGTATTTTTAGTAGAGACGTGGTTTCTCCATGTTGGTCAGGCTGGTCTCGAACTCCCGACCTCAGGTGATCCACCCACCTCGGCCTCCCAAAGTGCTGGGATTACAGGCATAAGCCACCACGCCGGCCAATTTTTCCCTTTTTATAAGGACACCAGTCACCCTAATGACCTTATGTTAACTTGATTATATCTCCAAAACTTTGTCTCCATAAAAAGTCACATTCACAAGTCCTGGGATTAGCATTTAAGCATGTCAACTTTTGGGGGAGGCCAAGGCAGGCAGATCGCCTGAGGTCAGGAGTTGGAGACCTGCCTGGCCAATATGGCAAAACCCTGTCTCTACTAAAAATACAAAAATTAGCCGGGCATGATGGCAGGGGCCTGTAATCCCAGCTACTCAGGAGGCTGAGGCAGGAGAATCGCTTGAACCAGGGAGGCAGAGATTGTAGTGAGCTGAGATCTCGCCATTGCACTCCAGCCCGGGGAACAGAGTAAGACTCCATCTCAAAAAAAAAAAAGAAAAAGAAAAAAGAAAAGAAAGAAAGACTGGTCAATTTAAAAGAAGAGAAGACAGAGAGACACAGAGGATAGGTGGTCATATGAGAAGGAGGCAGGTATTGGAGTGATGCAGCCACAAGCCAAGGAATGCCTGAGGCCGCCAGAGGCTGAAAGAGACGAGGAAGGACTGACTCTCCCTTGCTGGTTGCAAAGGGTGCATAGCCCTGATTTCTGTCTTTGAGCCTTTAGAACTGTGAGAGGATAAGTGTCTTGTTTTAAGCCACCCAGTGTGTTTGTGCTATTTTTTTACTGCAGCCACAGGAAACGAATACATTCTTATTCAGTGGGTGAAAATAGAGACCATTGGTTGTGAATTCTCTCAATTTCCCACAGTGTCCTCTTACACTTACCCATAAGCACACTCCCTAACTTTTTTTTCTGAGGTGGAGTCTTATTCTGTCACTCAGGCTGGAGTATGGTGGTGCGATCTTGGCTCACTGCAGCCTCCATCTCCTGAGTTCAAGCGATCCTCCCACCTCAGCCTCCAGAGTAACTGGGACTACAGGCATGGGCCACCACGCCTGGCTAATTTTTGTATTTTTAGTAGAGATGGGGTTTCACCATGTTGGCTAGGCTGGTCTTGAACTCCTGACCTCAAGTGATCCACCTGTCTTGGCCTCCCAGAGTGCTGGGATTACAGGCGTGAGCCACCACACCTGGGCCAACTTGTTTACATCCACATCATCCTTACAATTTCTCTCCGGTCTCAGGGACTGGGAGGAAGAGACATTTTTCCTATTCAAGGTTAATCCTTCCCTTCTGTTATTCTCAAGTGGCCTTTCCAGCTCCTCCCAAGGCCTTACTCTTTCAGTCTCTCTCTCTGTCTCTCCCTGGCTTATTTCTCAGTTCATAAATGCTCTGTCCCTCTAGCCCCTTCCATGCAGTCTGCATCCCATATGATCTGTCTTCTGTCTTCATTGCTTCAGCAACCGGCTACTGCCAAGGTCATCAGTAAACACCAAACTACCAAACCCAACGAACATTTGCTGTGGTTCTCTTACTGGACTCCCAGTGGCATTTGCCTTTGCTAACCATTCCCTTCTTCTGGAACCCTTCCTTTCTTCGCCTCGGAGACACACGCCTGGTTTATCCTAGTTTCCTTTGCTGATTCGTCTACCTCTATCTATAATTCCATGCTGGTGTTTCTCGTGGTTTCACCCTTTTTCTTTCCAGTCTATAGTCTTGTGGGCAATCTCATACCCACAGTTAGAACTACCCCCTATATGGTGCAAGGCAGGGCAGAGACGTGGAGGGAAGCAGGGTCTTCAGGCCTGAGCTGCTGGATCACATCAGCCCTTCCTTGGGTCTTTTCAAATACGTAAGCCAATCAGTTTCCTTTGTTGTTTCGGCCTGTTTAAAATGAGCTTTCTGTGTCTTGTAGCCAAGCGTCTTGATACACTGACCTAGTCTAGTTAATTTTGTGTTCTACATGTAACTCAGAACCACCATCTCCCTGTCTTTCCTAATCTCTGCATTCCCATCCTTCCTGCTCCTAAAGGGGAGAGGCATTTTTCTTTTTATTTATTATTAATTATTATTATTATTATTGAGACGAGGGTCTTCCTTTATTGCTCAGGCTGGAGTGCAGTGGTGTGATCACAGCTCACTGCAGTCTTGATCTCCCCAGCTCAGGTGATCCTCCCGCCTCAGCCTCCCAAGTAGCTGGGACTATAGGTATGTGCCACAACATCCAGCAATTTTTTTGTATTTTTTTATAGAGATGAGGTTTTTGCCATGTTGCCCAGGCTGGTGTCAAACTCCTGGGCTCAAGCAATCCACCCACGTCAGCCTCCCAGAGTGCTGGGGTTATAGGTGTGAGCCATCATGCCTGGCCAAGAGAGGCATTTTTATTAAAGCTATTCTCCCCGCACCCCCTAAAAGTTGTATTGCTTTCTTCTTCTAGGTCAGTGGGAGGAGCTTTAGCTTAGAGTAATTCTTTATAGAAGAAGGCATATTTGCTTTAAGGTGGTCATCTTTAGTCCCTAAAACAGGTGGTGAGATGAGAAAAAACAAAACGTGATTGCTGGGAGTGCCTCTTGGCAGGGGCCATCTGAGTTTCCTCTGGCTGCTGCAACAGGAATTTAAGCAACACATTTAGTGGCTTTGTATTCGTCCATTTTTCATGCTGCTGATAAAGGCCTACCTGCGACTGGGTAATTTATAAAGGAAAGAGGTTTAATGGACTCATACTTCCACGTGACTGGGGAGGCCTCACAGTTATGGCGGAAGGCGAAAGGCACATCTTACACGGCAGCCCGCAAAGAGGGAATGAGAGCCAAGCAAAAGGGGTTTCCCCTTATAAAACCGTCAGATCTCATGAGACTTATTCACTACCATGAGAACAGTCTGGGGGAAACCACCCCCATGATTCAATTATCTCCCACCAGATCCCTCTCACAACATGTGAGAATTATGGGAGCTGCGATTCAAGATGAGATCTTGGTGAGGACACAGACAAACCATATCAGGCTTCAAATAGCAAGAATGCATTTTCTCATAGACCTGGAGGCCAGAAGTCTGAAATGGAGCTTGTGGACATGGCTAAGTTTCCTCCAAATGTTCTAGCAGAGAATCCACACTTGCCTCTTCTGCTGCTGGTGGCTCCAGGCATTCCTTGGCTTGTGGCTGCATCACTCCAATCTCTGCCTCCATCCTTTCCTGGCTTCTTCTTTGCGTGTGTCTCTGTGTCTTCTCCCCTTCTGTGTCTTATAAGGACATCTATCATTGGACTCAAGTCTGACCTGGTTAATCCAGGGATGATCTAATGTTGAGATCCTTCATTGCATCTGCAAAGACCTTTATCCAAATAAGTTCACATTCACAGGTTCTGGGTGGTCATACCTTTTGTGGGGAAAGGCACGATTCTATCCACCACAGGCACCCTACTAATGTGCCTTGGAAACTGTCTGACACTGTCTTGGATCACCTCCTGGTCATTTCTTGGCCAGCTTATCATAAAAGTTGCCTTCCTGCCCACAAGCGGTCTTTTTTTTTTTTTTTTTTTTTTTTTTTTTAGATGGAGTCTTGCTCTGTCGCCCAGGCTGGAGTGCAGTGGCATGATCTCAACTCACTGCAACCTCTGCCTCCCGGGTTCAAGAGACTCTCCCGCCTCAGCACCCTGAGTAGCTGGGATTACAGGCACCTGCCATCATGCCCAGCTAATTTTCGTATTTTTGTAGAGATGGGGTTTCACCATGTTGGCCAGGCTGGTCTCGAACTCCTGACCTCAGGTGATCTGCCCGCCTCGGCCTCCCAAAGTGCTGGGATTATACGCATGAGCCACCACGCCCGGCCACCTGCTCTCTTCTAGGCCCTCCTCTGGTTAGCATCAAAATGATCTTCCCTATAATGGGAAACTGATCACATCATTCTCCTGCTTAAAAAGCATGCTTCTAGAAAGTGAGACTGCATCAGCACTATAATTCTGAATGCTTCAGAAAATATGTTGTAATGGAAGCATTGCCAAGATTTCAAACTGCAGAGACTTTGCTTCAATTTGTAAATTAGAACAATTTAAATGCATTCATCTGGATGATGCCTGCATATAAAGCTCCCAGTCTGATGCCCAAATGAGTGCATTAATATAGGGGCTGTAGTTTCTGCCCAGCTGCTTTATCTAATTGGATGCAAATTAAATATGCATACTTAGTAAAGTGAATTTGGAAACTCCACAGTCCTTCAGAGGAAACAAACTTACAAATGTTCAGTATGGCCAACCAGTTCCCTTAGACTTAGCATAAGATAATTTTCTTAAGCATCTCACACTTCATCATGAATTGAGAACATAGAATTCCCATTACACATGAGCTAGCAAAGGATGAAGAAATGGTGAGCGCAGGCCCCAACCTAATTCCCTTGAGACCTTGCAAATCTGCTTTACTTCAACACATGCAAAAAAGTCAAGTTAAAATGGACAAAACTATTTAAAGATGTCTTGGTGCTCCTTATAAAATGCTAATCTCCAAGAACGCACTGGGAGTCACCCGCAGGAGCACTTAGATTTCCAAAATCACTACACAGTCTAAACTCCTAATGACTTATGAGCCTTCCCCATTGGAACACAAATCATATTAAAAAAAAAAAATTTATCTCCGAAGTCTAGACAATACAGGTTTAAGACATGATTAGGTCTCAAAAGTGTCACTAAGTTGAGCTGTTCTCACTGGGTCTATTCAAGGCAGCCCAGCCAGACCCCTTGCATGTGCCACTATATGGATTAGGATTGGGTTCTTTATAATGTGCCATCACAGCTTGGCTTTTGCTTTGATTTCTTGTCACTTGAGAGAGCAAATGACAGAAATTTAACGCAAATGGGTGTAACATAAAAAAGTGTTTCTATTGGCTCAGACTGAAGAGTTTGGGGAATGGTTTGGCTTGAGTCATCACTGAATCCAGGGGCTTAACAAATGTCATCAGGACGTGGTTCCTTTCTTCATCATTCACTATCCTTTCTTTTTTGTCGGCTTCATTCTCAAGACATCTCTCTCTAGGTGGTACCGTAGTAGGTCCAGGCTTACTTCCTACTAACTCAGCAACTTGAGTTGAAGAACTAGTACTTTGTTTCTCCAAAACCTCCTGCTATCCCCAGAAAAGTCCTAGGATTGGCTTCCACCAGCCTAATTTGGGTTACATTTCCATCCATAAACCATTGGCATATGTATTAGTTCATTTTCACAATGCTATAAAGAACTGCCCAAGACTGAGTAATTTATAAAGGAAAGAGGTTTGATTCACAGTTCGGCATGGCTTGAGAGGCCTCAGGAAACTTACAATCATAGTGAAAGGGGAAGCCGGCTCATGTTACAATGGCGGCAAGCGGCAAGTGAGAGAGAAGAGCAAGCAGGGATGATGCCAGACACTTATAAAACCATCAGACTCACGAGAACTCACTCACTACGATGAGAACAGCATGGGGGAAACAGCCCCCATGATTCAATCACCTCCCACTGGGTCCCCCTCCCTTGACATGTGGGGATTATGAAGATTGCAATTCAAGATGAGATTTGGGTGGGAACACAGGCAAACCATATCATTCCCTGGCCCCTCCCAAATCTCATGTCCTCACATTTCAAAACACAATCATGCCTTCCCAACAGTCCCCCAAAGTCTTAAGTCACTCCAGCATTCACCCAAAAGTCCAAGTCCAAAATCTCATTTGAGACAAGGCAAGTCCCTTCCACCTAGGAGCCTGTAAAATCAAAAGCAAGTTAGTTACTTCCTAGATGCAATGGGGGTACAGGCATTGAATAAATGCTCCCATTCCCGATGAGAGAAATTGGCCAGAACAAAGGGACTACAGGCCCCGTGCAAGTCCAAAATGCAGCAGGGAAATCATTAAATCTTAGCGCCAAAATAATCTCCTTTGATTCCATGTCTCACATCCAGGTCATGCTGATGCAAAGGTGGGCTCCCATGGCCTTGGGCATCTCCACCCCTGTGGCTTTGCAGAAGGCAGCCTCCCACCCTGGCTGCTTTCATGGCTGGTGTTCAGTGTCTGTGGCTTTTCCAGGCACATGGCGTCCGAGTGAAGAGACTACCAAACAGGCTTTGTGTGAGCAACAAGGCTGTTTATTTCACCTGGGTGCAGGCGGGCTAAGTCCGAAAAGAGAGTCAGCAAAGGGTGGTGGGATTATCATTAGTTCATATAGGTTTTGGGATAGGCGGTGGAGTTAGGAGCAATGTTTTGCGGGCAGGGGTGGATCTCACAAAGTACATTCTCAAGGGTGGGGAGAATTACAAAGAACCTTCTTAAGGGTGGGGGAGATTACAAAGTACATTGATCAGTTAGGGTGGGGCAGAAACAAATCACAATGGTGGAATGTCATCAGTTAAGGCTATTTTCACTTCCTTTGTGGATCTTCAGTTGCTTCAGGCCATCTGGATGTATATGTGCAGGTCACAGGGGATATGATGGCTTAGCTTGGGCTCAGAGGCCTGACACATGGTGCAAACTATCAGCGGACCTACTATTCTGGGGTGTGGAGGACAGTGGCCCTCTTCTCACACCTTCACTAGGCAGTGCCCCAGTGGGGACTCAGTCTGGGGGCTCCAACCCCCCTTTTCCCTTCTGCACTGCCCTAGCAAAGGTTATTCATGAAGGTTCCGCTCCTGCAGCACACCTCTGCCGGGTCATCCAGGCACTTCCATGTATCCTCTGAAATCTGGGTGGAGGTTTCCAAACGTCGATTCTTGTCTTCTGTGCACCCACAGGACCAACACCATGTGGAAGCTGCCAAGGCTTGGGGCTTGCACCCTTTGAAGCAATGGTCTGCACTGTACATCAGCTCCTTTTAGTCACAGCTGGGATGCAGGGCACCAAGTCTCCAGACTGCACAAAGCAGCAAGGCCCTGGTTTGTTTGTTTGTTTGTTTGTTTTTTCCTCCTGCTAGGCCTCTGGGCCTGCAATGGGAGGGGCTGCTGTGAAGACCTCTGACATGCCCTGGAGACATTTTCCCCATTGTCTTGGTGATTAACATTTGGCTCCTTGTTACTTATGCAAATTTCTGCAGCTGGCTTGAATTTCTTTCTAGAAAATGAGTTTTTCTTTTCTATTGCATTATCAGGCTGAACATTTTCTAAACTTTGATGCTCTGCCTCCCTTTTAAACGCAAGTTCTAAATTCAAACCATCTCTTTGCGAATGCATATAACTGAATGATTGTAAGAGCACCCAGATCACATCTTAAATGCTTTGCTACCTAGAAATTTCTTCCGCCAGATATCTTAAATCATCTCTCTCAAGTTCAAAGTTTCACAGATCTCTAGGGCAGGGGCAAAATGCCACCCATCTGTTATAAATAAAAGTGCCACAAAAGAAATACCACTCAAATATAAAATTTTCTTTTTAATTCTCAGCAAGGCAAGTTACTTCTATAGAGGGGTGTGTCCTTACAGATGAAGCAATGATGAGCGCACACTTGGACAAGGGAGGGGAAGGGGTTCTTATCCCTGACCCACGTGGCCCCTGCTGCTGTGTCGTTCCCCTATTGGCTAGGGTTAGACCGCACAGGCTAAACTGATTCTGATTGGCTAATTTAAAGAGAGTGACGGGTGAGTGGTTTGGTGGGAAAAATGGTTATGACAGAGCAGGTAATCTGAATGAATCAGGGTGGAGCAGGTGATTGAAATGAGTCAGGGTGGAGCAGGTAATCAAAAAAGGTTGCCTTACAAGGTAGTTAAGTTTAAAAGTAGAATGCAAAGAATTGAACATACTGACATTGATTCTTTGAAAAGAAATTTAGAACTCCTATCTAACACATCTCTTTGCAAAGTATAGCAAGAGTGACCTTTGCTCCATTTCCCAACAAGTTCCTCATCTCCTTCTGAGACCACCTCAGCCTGGACTTCATTGTTCATATCACTATCAGCATTTTGATCAAAACCATTCAACAAGTCTCTAGGAAGCAATAAACTTTCCCACATCTTCCTTCTTCTTCTGAGCCCTCCAAACTATTCCACCCTCTGCCTGTTACCCAGTTCCAAAGTTGCTTCCACATTTTCAAGTATCTTTATACAGTACCCTATGCCTGGTACCAATTTACTGTATTAGTTCATTTTCACACTGCTATCAAGAAATGCCTGAGACTGGGTAATTTATAAAGAAGAGAGATTTAATTGACTCAGTTTGGCATGGCTGGGGACACCTCAGGAAACTTACAATCATGGCAGAAGGGGAAGCAGGCACATCTTACATGGCAGCAAGCGAGAGAGAGGAGCAAGCAGGGGAAATGCCAGATGGTTATAAAACTATTAGATTTCATGAGAACTCACCCAGTCTGATGAGAACAGCATGAGGAAACTGCCCCCATGATCCACTCACCTCCCACCAGGTCCTTTCCTCAACATATGGGGATTAAGGGGATTGCAATTCAGGATGAGATTTGGGTGGGGACACAGCCAAACCATATCAGCATACCTAGGTTACTAGCTCATATCCGGAGCCAGCGATGGCGTTTGTCCCACCAGAATCACTCAAGCGTAGAGTGATGAGGTTCCCCAAAGGAAAACTAAGGTGTCATTTCTAGACAAAGAGGATTCAATGCTAGGAAGGCAAAAGCAGTATATCTATTCCACAGTAGGATGTGAGTCATCAGTACACAGGAGGTAGTAAGAAGGCTAGGAGCAGTGGCTGACACCTGTAATCCCAGCATTTTGGGAGGCCAAGGCAGGTGGATTGCTTGAGTCCAGGAATTCAAGACCAGCGTGGGCAACATGGCAAGGCCTTGTCTCTACAAAAACAATACAAAAATCAGCTGGGCATGGTGGCGTACACCTGTAGTCCCAGCTACTCAGGAGGCTGAGGTGGGAGGATTGCTTGAGCCCAGGGAGGTCAAGGCTGCAGTGAGTCGTGATCATGCCACTGCACTCTGGCCTGGGTGACAAAGTGAGACCCTGTCTCAAAAAAACAAAAGAAAAGAAAAATGATAACAACAAAAAAACCCAGAAAGAAGTAACAAAAGCACTACTGTTTCATCTCTGTATTTTTACTTTCTGGTAGTTGAAAGAGAAGAAATTGTTGGCCAAAATAATATACATACATATATCCTTAGATCTATATCTATGTCTATCTATAACTATATCTATAGTCATATAGTCATTTGTATTAGAAGATACAGCTCCTGAACTTTATTGCTCTTTAGATACTGATCCATATGAGATTCAGAAGAGACCAGGTAATGCATTTCAGGTTTATTTGTGATGAATATATAGCACCGAGCTTCAGGAACTGATTTGCTTCTCATGCGCATTGGTACTAGTCTGACTGTCATCACTCTGTGACATCGGTCCTCTCTGAAGGACCAAGAGCTCCCCTTCTCTCCTCATTGCTTTAGGCCTGACCTTTACTGAGATCCCCCTCCTAATAGTCTGTAGTCTACGACAGATTGGCAAAGTAAACTTTGGCCATTTCTATGTTTGTTTTTTTCTGCACTGGCAAGAAACAGTCACTGAACATTGATTTATTGAGTATAATTTGTCTGTGTTTTAAAAGTTTAGAAATGTGTTCTTTGGACTACACACTTGGCCTAAAACACCCAGTGGATTACCACACATATACCCCCACCACTTGCCCTACGTCACCAATGGTAGGGTGGCCACATCCACTGTTTACAAGGATCTATTGTTTAGGACTGAGTCATTAGCACAATCCTGTCTTCCTAGGCTTATTAGAGAAATCGAAGACAGGATATTTGAATTGAAAGGTACCTACAAATCCATCTTCTTTGCCACTGATTGATTGAATCCCTTTCATACTGTTTCTTGAGGATGGTCAATCAGTCTTGCTTAAGAACTTCCCCCAGGAGGAAAATCACTATTTACAGATTCCCCAGCCCCTTGCATTGCTAACAGTTTGTATCATGAGAAAGTTCTCGCCCATAGAGTTGCTCTCTCGTTAATAGTCACCTCTTCTTAAAGCAACAAGGCCAGTTTTGAGGAATCTCTTTGTGCCCCTTTTCAGTAGTAGATCAGGGTTTGCACTTCAAAGGATATCGTGGGTGTCTTTTTATGAGTCAAAGGCTTATCATCTTTATTGCAGATCAGTAACAAGGCAGGTTTCTGGAATGTGTATATGGTTTCCGTATAAACAGTCCCCAAACTCATGTATCAACCTGACAAAGTCTAGACTCAAGAGTTTGTTTCAGGAAGAAAAAAAAGAGCCAGCCATGATAGAAAGAATCGCAAGCCTATAAATTGTGCTGAAGTGTGTTTATATAACTAGATTAGAGTTTAAATAAAGCAATTCAACGGTAAACTAAACTACAAGTCCTAGTGGTAAAAGCAACCTCTGAAGAGTCAGTGGAACAGACAGGTTACACTTGTTTTGATTGTGCACACAAGGGAATACTGATTTCCAAACGGATGGCTAGCACCTCAGGACACTGCTTCCAGAGGGCAGTTTTCATCATTGTCATTCTCATTTTGAGAAACTGAAGTTCAAAGAGATGGGTGACTGCCCTAAGTCAGACAGAGCCCTTATTTCAAGGGCCAGGGATACCTATGACCCCTCTGACCTAATCCAGGTGACAATTTACAGCTGATTCATATGACCCTGGTGACTCAAGCCAGTACCCCAAAGCTATTTCCCATTTAATGAGACAAAAATCTCACCTGAGAGTGCCATACTAGCTGTGAATTTTCATCAGATTCTTAGAGATGCCTGCGACTTTCTGCCTTCTCCTCCCATCAATATTTAGAACTCTTGAATCATAGTTCAACTATCAATCAAGTTTTCTAGAGAACCAGGGATATAATTTGCTCAGTGATTTTGGCTTATGCTAAGGGTTAAGTCAGTCAGAAAAGAAAAACAGAGGGACCAAAGTAATATATTCAAGCAATATACTCAAAACCAGTCGAAGAAGAAGCTGAAGGAGGAAGTTTGTGGGGTTTATTTTTATTTATTTATTTATTTATTTGAGACGGAGTCTTGCCCTTCGCCCAGGCTGGAGTGCAGTGGTGCAATCTCAGCTCACTGTAAGCTCCACCTCCCGGGTTCACTCCATTCTCCTGCCTCAGCCTCCCGAGTAGCTGGGATTACAGGTGCCCGCCACCATGCCCGGCTAATTTTTTGTATTTTTAGTAGAGGCAGGGTTTCACCATGTTAGCCAGGATGGTCTCGATTTCCTGACCTTGTGATCTGCCTGCCTTGGCCTCCCAAAGTGCTGGGATTACAGGCGTGAGCCACCACGCCCGACCGCTTGTGGGGTTTATAAGCAAAATCAATGCTTTATAAAATTGTATAGCCATGTGTTAAGTAAGTGTAATTTTAAGGCAAACTGCTTTATACTGTATGTGTACGGTTACAGATACAAAACTATACAATCATATATCACTTAATGACAGGGATATGTTCGGAGAAACACATCGCTAGGCATTTCTGTGCAAACACCGTAGGATGTACTTACACAATCCCAGACAGTATAACCTACTAAACACCTAGGCTATACAGTATAGTCTATTGCTCCTAGGCTACACACCTACACAGCGTGTGACTGAACTGAATACTGTAGGCAATCGGAACACAATGGTAAGTACTTGTGTATCTAAACATAGAAAAGGTACAGTAAAAATACAATATAAAAGGTAAAATAAGGCCAGGCATGGTGGCTCACACCAGTAATCCCAGCATTTCGGGAGGCCGAGATGGACAGATCACCTGAGGTCAGGAGTTCAAGACCAGCCTGGCTAACATTGTGAAACCCCATCTCTACTAAAAATACAAAAATTAGCCGGGTGTGGTGGTGCACACCTGTAATCCCAGCTACCTAGGAGGCTGAGGCAGGAGAATCACTTGAACTCGGGAGGTGGAGGTTGCAGTGAGCCGGGATTGCACCACGGTACTCCAGCCTGGGCAAGAGGAGTGAAACGCCATCTCAAAAAAAAAAAAAAAAGGTAAAATATGGTCCACCTGTACATGGCACTCACCATGAATGGAGCTTGCAGGACTGGAAGTTGCCTGGGTGAGTCAGTGATGAGTGGGGAGTGAATGTGAGGGCCTAGGACGTGACCGTACACTACCGGAGACTTCATAAACACTGTACACTTAGGCCGCAATAAGTTTATTAAAAATATTTTCTTTCTTTTGCAATAAATTAACCTTACCTTACTGTACCTTTTTAACTCTATAAACTTTTTTTTTTTTTCTGGTACTGCTCCTTGCAGAGCAGGGCTAACCCATAGGCAGCATGCCCAGAGTTGGCCTCTATAAACTTTTAATTTTTTTAACTTCTTGACCCTTTTGTAGTAACGCTTAGTTTAAAATATGAACACACTGTACAGCTGTACAAAAACATTTTCTATCTTTAACTCCTTATTTTATAAACTGTTTTCTATTTTTAAATTTTTTTTTTTTTTTTGAGACAGAGTCTTGCTCTGTTGCCCAGGCTGGAGTGCAGTGGTGCGATCTTGGCTCCCTTCAAGCTCCACCTCTCGGGTTCACGCCATTCTCCTGCCTCAGCCTCCCTAGTAGCTGGGACTACAGGTGCCCACCAGCATGCCCAGCTAATTTTTTTTTAATTTTTAGTAGAGACGGGGTTTCACCATGTTAGCCAGGATGGTCTCGATCTCCTGACCTCGTAATCCGCCCACCTCAGCCTCCCAAAGTGCTGGGATAACAGGTGTGAGCCACCGCGCCTGGCTGATTTTTGTATTTTTAGTAGAGATGAGGTTTTGCCATGTTGGCCAGGCTGGTCTCAAACTCCTGGCCTCAAATGATCCGTCCACCTCGGCCTCCCAAACTGTTGGTATTAGAGGCACGAGCCACGGCACCCGGCCCTCACCTAGACCACTTTAAATAACTCCCAATTGGTTTCCCTGACTCTTGGTTCTCCTTTCTCTAATCCATTTTCTCTAGGGCCATGAGGCAATCTTTGCTAGAAACACTTTTATGGATCGCTAGTGCCCCCGGAATAAAGCCCACACTTCTAATGTGTCATTCTGGACTTTCTGAAACCTGGTGCTACCGTATTTTTCTTTTCTTAAATTTTTTTTTTCATGATCCACATTCATATCGTAATATTTTTCTTTTTCTTTTTTTAGAGACCGGGTCTGGCTCTGCCGCCCAGGCTGGAGGGCAGTGGTATGATTATAGCTCACTGTAGCCTCAAACTCCTGGGCTCAAGCAATCCTTCTGCCTCAGCCTCCCAAGTAGCTAGGACTATAGGAGCATGCTACCATGCCCAGCTAATTTTTTAATTTTTGGTAAAGACAGGGCCTTGCCATGTTGCCCAAGCTGAGCTTGTGCGATCCCCCCACCTTGGCCTCCCAAATTGCTGGGATCACAGGCCTAAGCCACTGCTCCTGGCCCCTTACATACCTTTCTAATCTCGTCTCCCACCACGTTACCAGAAACCAAATATTCTTCCATTCATCTGTTAGGATCCACCTAAGACTCTTGTTTATAACTTATTGCATCATGGACATCCCTACAGAAGGCAGCTTTCTGTATGGGAAGGTTGTATTTTCCAAAGAAGGTCTTACCTATAGATGTATCCCCATCTATGTGCTCTTCTTAGGGTGTGATTGATGTTCATCCCACAAAGATGTGGGTTGATGTTCCTTCCCTTTAAAACTGAGTAGAGGCTTGTGATCAGCTTGGTCAGTGAAGTTTGGTGGAAACAGTGCTGGGTGACCTCCAGGTTAGGTCATAACAAGGATACAGCTTCTGTCTGGCTCTCTCCATCTTTGGATGCTTGCCCTTGGATCCCAGCCACCAGACCACATGGAGAAGCCATATGTGAGTGTTCCAACCAACAACCCTATTAGTCTCTCAGTTGACAGATGGCATCAGTGGTCAGACAAGTGAGGGAATGAGCCTTCAGAGGATTCCAGTTCCCACCTGTCAGACTTCCAGCTGAGCCCCCAGACATTGTGGCGCAGAAATAAAACTGTTCTCCCTCTGGGCCTCTCCAAATTTCTGATCTACAGAAACTATGAAAAATAATAAGTGACTGTTGCTGCTGTAAGTCACCAAGGTTTGGAGTAATTTGTCCTGCAGTAATAGCTAACCGATACAGTGTTACTTACCTGGTTTTACCCACTCCAGGTAACAGATCTTCGTTATCAATAGATAGTATCCAATGCAGAAATCTACGTTTAACGTTACCAGCAAAAGGCCTTTCAAATTTTGGATTTTGGCCGGGCGTGGTGGCTCACGCCTGTAATCCCAGCACTTTGGGAGGCCAATGTGGGTGAATCACTTGAGGTTAGGTGTTCAAGACCAGCCCGGCCAACATTGTGCAACCCTGTCTCTACCAGAAATACAGAAATTAGCCAGGCATGGTGGCACGTGCCTGTAATCCCACCTACTCAGGAAGCTGAGGCAGGAGGATCTCTTGAACCCGGAAGGCAGAGGTTGCAGTGAGCTAAGATGGCACCACTGCACTCTAGCCTGGGCGACAGAGCAAGACTCCGTCTCAAAAAAAAAAAATTGGAATTTATAGGGAAAAAAGAGAGTGAATATTTGAATCCTGATGAGAAAATGAAGGCTATACATGTGTGCATGTGCGTGTGTGTATCTTATGCATAAATACATAATGATACGAATGCTAGTCAGTGGAGTTCTGATTACAACTATCAGTTCCACCTCTGTGAGTTCTGGTAAGGAGCTTTAGCCAATGTGGCATTGAGCGGAAAGGTGAGCTTGGGTTTAGATTTCTGTTATTTGCACTTGAGCTACTCCCCTATTGAGTCCTACGCCATTATTTTCCCAGGTTGTTAGTTGTGGCATTGGATGCTCCTTGTTTAAAGACCTAATATTATTTTCAAATCCATCTCTATCTCTGCAAGATGATTGCTCTATTTGGCTTCAAGTTGCAAAGCTCTGTCATTGATTTAGACAATGATTTATTCCATTAGCGATCTCCTTCATTCTTAATGGCCACATAATGTCATTGTACGAATGTTCTAAGGTGGTTTTATTGTTGTTGTTATCAATATCTAGGTTGATTTTCAACAATTTTAGTCAAGGAAGGTAAATACCCCATGGGCAGCCAAGGCTCAATTGTACTCTTGCTGCCTCTTCTTGCATTTCTTCCTGCTTCTC
This sequence comes from Homo sapiens, assembly GCF_000001405.40. Taxonomy (NCBI): domain Eukaryota; kingdom Metazoa; phylum Chordata; class Mammalia; order Primates; family Hominidae; genus Homo; species Homo sapiens. The sequence goes on along the minus strand of NC_000006.12, from coordinate 151,120,781 downwards.
TGGCTGACGGTCACTGGGCAGAGCCCTGATTTTTGCCGTGGCTTAGAGAGACAGAACGAATAGTGGTTAAAAACAGACTTAGAGAATATTTGAAGGTCAGTGAACCTTCATTGCATCCTGAGAGTTAGCTGATGTCTGCTTCAAGGTCTGGAAGCGCAGGAGAGTCAACTCTTGATTGTATTAATGATGAGAAATAGGAGTCAGCACAATCTAAAATGATGCCTGTCTTCTCACTGTACTTTAATTACATAAGAAAAGTGTGTGTCTAATTTGAGGGGATTTCAACTTGTTGAGACAGAAATAAAGGAACCTACTGTGAAGACCTGACTTTGAAGGAGCCAGCAGGCTGACGAGCTGGCCTGTCTGTAAGCCTCCCTCCCTGAAGAGATGACAGCGCCATCCGTCACCCAGTAGGAAACAAAGTGCAGCAGAAACGGCGGCTCTTTTTGCTGGACTTAGGTCTTCTATTATGGGCTAATCGCTTTTTCAGGGAGAAAAGTTCTTTGTAGTTTGCTTCAGATGTTCTTCCTGCTGCAGGGCTGAGCAGCGGCTGAGAGCACGGGCTCGGGGCTCCTCCAGTCCAGAGTCCATAGCCCACTCCACCCACTTGCTCACTGGTCAAGGACAAGTCCCTGGATCTCTGTAAGGCTCAGTCTCTCTCTCAGATGAGGGTAATCACACCACCCTCATGGCCTCCTCAAGAGTAGTGAATGAGGTAATGCTTATAAGATGTGCAGCAGAGAGCCTGTAAGCTCTCATAAATGGCAGTTGTTATTAAACCTAGAATATCAGAACTGCAAAAGATGGTAACAGACTTTTTTTTTTTTTTTTTCAAAAGTTTCATTTTGTAGGCCAGGCGTGGTGGCTCATGCCTGTAATCCCATCACTTTGGGAGGCTGAGGTGGGTGGATCACTTGAGGTCAGGAGTTCGACACCAGCCTGGCCTACATGGTGAAACCCTGTTTCTACTAAAAATACAAAGATTAGCGAAAGGTGAGATGACTTATTCAAGGTCGCATAACTAGTTTGAGTAGAATTCAGGTCGTCAGAACCAGGGCTCACTTAAGCAGCAGAGATAATATGGTTAAGAATGAAGTGACAAATTTGTGTCAGATGAGTCAAAAGTTTTGTAGGTGTGCTAACGAATGTACTTAAAAACATTTTTTTTTTTTGGCAAGGTGCGGTGGCTCCCATCTGTAATCCCAGCACTTTGGGAGGCCAAGGTGCGAGGATCATTTAAACCCAGGAGTTCGAGACCAGCTTGGGCAACATAATAAGACCCCATCTCTACAAAAAATTTTAAAAATTAGCTGGGCAAGGTGGTGCACACCTGCGGTCCCAGCTACTCAGGAGGCTGAGGCGGAAGGGTCATTTGAGCCCAGGCCAAGAGAACGAGACCCAAAACTGTAATATGGCAAAATATATGCAACATAAAACTTACCATTTTAACCATTTTTAAGTGCACAGTTCAGTGGCATTAAGCTCATTTACACTGTTGTGTGACCGTCACCACCATCCATCTCCAGAACTTTTTCCATCCTTTCCAACTGAAACTCTGTACCCAGTAAATAATAATTCATGAACGTTTATACCAGAATTAAAATATTTTGAATTGGAAAATTAATTTCCAGGGTGTCCTAGCATATAGTTATGACTTAAAAATCTCCTAAGTTCTCCTCTTCGCCTTCAATGATCAGTGTATCATCACATCATTTTTTATCACTTTTACTTAGAAACAATTTATTCATTTTTGGCTCATGGGGAGCTCTTGGTCTTCCACTCTCCACCCCTGGATGTGTCCTTGGTCTGACCAGGGCCTGGCTGGAGAGGACGTCCGTGTCCTCTTGGACTCTTGGCCTTAGAGCATGTATTCTCACTCCCAGCCACTGCCTTCTCCACCCCCACCCCATTTTTCCAGGATTCTTCAGGAACCTTGGTCCCTAATACAGAGTGTCTGACATTGACACCAATGTAGTGACTAAGGGAAGCAAGAAATGTGCTCTCTTCACAGGAATGGGCCGAGTCCTATACGATACGTAGAGAAAAAAAAAAAATAACCTCAAACCAGTAGCTGTAACTCACACCTGGGAAGCTGTCAGGGCATAGTGACAGCCTAATAGTGAAAGTGAAATCTTTGCATCAGGAAAACTTCTGCCACGGGCTGAGCTCCTGGGAAGCAGAAGCTGCACAGGCTGAGAGGTCTGTTCATGTGGAGAGACTGTTTCTATGCTCAGCACACTCTTCTCTCGCAGAATGATTTCATCTCAGACCTGACACCTTCAACATGCCACTGGGGTATATTCAGGAGAGCCTCATGCTCTTTCTCACTTCCCAGTACAGAGTTTCCTTGTAGGCCTTTAAGCCATTCCCTATAGTTCTTTCCTTTGGAATTATCAGTGCTTCTTAATCATTTTTTCTCTGTTAAATCAGGCCAGGAGCGGTGGTTCATACCTGTAATCCCAGCACTTTGGGAGGCCGAGACAGGTGGATCACTTGAGGTCAGGAGTTCGAGACCAGCCTGGCCAATATGGTGAAACCCTGTCTCTACTAAAAATACAAAAATTAGCTGGGCGTGGTGGCACGTACCTGTAATCCCAGCTACTTGGGAGGCTGAGGCAGGAGAATCCCTTGAACCTGGGAAGTGGAGGTTGCAATGAGCCGAGATCATGCCACTTCACTCCAGCCTGGGTGACAGAGGGAGACTCCATCTAAAAAAAAAAAAAAAATCCCAATCACTCACTAAAAAAACTAAATTCTGTAATAATAATATTAAGAATAGCTTAACTATAAGCACTTAATACCTGCCAGGCACTGTATTAAACACATTACATTTGTAACACATTTTATTAATATGTTCATGGTAACCCTATAAAACTATATTATTATTACTATTACTATTATTATTAAGAAGACAGGGTCTCCCCCTTTCATTCAGGTTGGAGTGCAGTGGCGTGGTCATAGCTCACTGTAGCCTCAAATTCCTGGGCTCACATGATCCTCCCATTTCAGCCTCCTGAGTAACTGGGACCGCAGGTGTGTGCTACCACGTCCAGCTAATTTTTTTATTTTTTTGCAGAAATAGTGTCTTGCTTTGTTGCCCAGGCTGGTTTTGAACTCCTGGGCTCAAGTGATCCTCCCATCTTTGCTGCCCAAAGTGCTGGGATTACAGGCATGAGCCACTGCACCCGGCCACAATTATTATTATATGACATGGAAACCAAGGCATCGTGAGGATAAGTGACTGAGGTTGTATGGGCAGGAAGCAGAGAGTTGGCTAGAAGGCCAGGCTGTTGAGGCTCTACCCTCACTCCTTCTGAATCTGCTCTCCCCAAAAAGGGCAATTCTAGCCAGTCTGCCATTGCCCAGCTACGTTTGAAAGATGTTCAAATTTGGGGCAGTATGTTGAAAATAAATGATATTATAATGCCTTTAAACATAGCCAATAAAAATGTTAATCATTCTAGTAGCCAAAAATTGAAATACTAACAAAAATCCTTATTTTTTCAATTTTTGAGCAAAAATATATGTAACATAAAATGCACTGTTTTAACCAGTTTAAAACATTATTTATTTATTTGTTTATTTATTTTTAGAGACAGGGTCTCACTCTGTCACCCAGGCTAGAGTGCAGTGGCATAATCATAGCACACTGTAGCATCAAACTCCTGGGCTCAAGACACCCTCCTGCCTCAGCCTCCTGTGTAGCTGGAAGTACAGGCACATGCCACCATGCTCAGCTTGTTTTAACCATTTTTAAATGTACGACTCAAAGTATTTTTCTTTTTTTTGAGATGGAGTTTTGTTCCGTTGCCCAGGTAGGAGTGCAGTGGCACGATTCAGCGCACTGCAACCTCTGCCTCCCAGGTTCAAGCAATTCTGCCTCAGCCTCCCTAGTAGCTGGGATTACAGGCACCTGCCACCACACCTGGTTAATTTTTGTATTTTTAATAGATACGTGGTTTCACCATGTTGGCCCGGCTGGTCTTGAACTCCCGACCTCAAGCGATCCACCCACCTTGGCCTCCCAAAGCACTGGGATTACAGGCGTGAGCCTCCGTCCCGGCCCAACCCAAAGTATTTAAATACATTCATGACATTGCATAGCCATCACCACCATGTAATCCCAAAACCTTTTCATCTCCCTAAACAGAAACTCTGTACCCTTTAAGCAATAACTCCCCATTAGCCCCCTCTGATAACTTTCAATCTCCTTTTTATCTCTATTCATTTGCCTAAATTATAGACGTTTTATGTAAGTGGAATCATATTCTATTTGTCCATTTGTATCTGGCTTATTTCACTGAGCATGTTTTCAAGGCCCATCTACATTGTAATACATGTCAGAATTTTACCCATTGTCTATCTGTCCCCCGTTTGGTTTATCCATTCATCTGTTGAGGGACACCTGAGTTGTTTCTAGCTTTTGGCTACTGTGAGTAATGTTGCTATGAACGCGAGTGTTCAAGTGTCTGTTTGAGTCCCTGTTTTCAATTCTTTGGGGTATATACCTAGGAGTAGAATTGCTGGGTCATATGGTAATTCTATATTTAACTTTTTACACATTTTTTTTTGCTATGGAAATAAAGAGCTTTTAAAAAAGGAGCTAGACTGCAATTGTATGAAGTAAACTTCATTGATACAATTGAAATCCAAATAAATGATTCCATTTGTGGTTGAGAATGACAATGATATTCTTATTTTATTGTATTATTTTACTTACTTTTTTTTAAGCAACAGGATCTCACTATGTTGCTCAGGCTGGAGTGCAGTGGTTATTCACAGACGTCGTCATCATAGCTCACTGCAGCCTCGAATTCCTGGGCTCAAGTGATCCTCCCAGCTCAGTCTCCTGAGTAGCTAGAACTACAGGCGTGGCCCACTGTGCTCAGCTGATAATGATATTCTTGACAATATATTTTTAATTTTATAACACAAACGCAAGAAACACTTGAATTGTGAAAACCATAATACAAATTCAGCCTAATGAGAGTGAATTTGTGCTTGCATTCCAAGGATCAGAGTCTCTGCATTCTTGGGGTGATGTTTGAAACACAGGCTGGAAGAGCTGGCCACCTCTGCCATGAGCAGTGTCTATACGGAGGTGCTGGGTCTGGCATGGGACCTTTATGCTTGGGAGGCCAGGGGCCCGGCTGAGGGAGGGCACGGTGCTGGGCAGAGAGAGCCGCGGGAAGGGGCACTTCCAGATGCCAATTTGGGGTTGGGGGTTTGGAGCAGCAGAAACACCAGCTTCTGTCGGAATTTACTCCTTGGCCACCAGTGGATCAGAGGAGACATAGTTCAGAGTTGCAGGTGGTCTAGGGTTTGAGAGAGCAAAGCTGTTATGAAAACCCTGAGTTTCACTCTGAAGGCGACTAAGAGAAGTCTTGGCCAAACCAGGAAGGCGAAAGGTGCCTCACATTCCTCGTTTCCTCTGGAACACCTCGTCAGAGCTTTGTTGTTGTTGTTGTTGTTGTTGTTGTTGTTGTTTTTGAGATGGAGTCTCGCTCTGTCGCCCAAGCTGGAGTGCAGTGGCGTCATCTTGGCTCACTGCAAGCTCCGCCTCCCGGGTTCACGCCATTCTCCTGCCTCAGCCTCCCGAGTAGCTGGGACTACAGGCGCCCGCCACCACACCCGGCTAATTTTTTGTACTTTTAGTAGAGACGAGGTTTCACTGTGTTAGCCAGGATGGTCTCGATCTCCTGACCTCGTGATCCGCCTGCCTCGGCCTCCCAAAGTGCTGGGATTACAGGCGTGAGCCACCGCGCCTGGCTGTTCTTTTTGCTAAGTTCAATACACCTTTTTCTGCTTGCACCACGGCAGGGTCAGTGCCTGGGTGGGAGTGTCTCTCTGAGGAGGGAGGCTGGTGGTGTGGGCCGTGGGGGAATGGCTGTGACTTTGACATTGCTCTCCTGGCCGGCCTGATGACCTCCCCTCTGCCCTAGAGTGACTGCTACGGGGTCCCGTTAAAACAGAAGCATCCTAAGCAAATGAATAATAGAGTTACACTGGATTCAATTTCTTAATAAAGTACCCCAGGGAATGAGTTTTCTCTCCAACTCTTTTCTAAGGGCACCTTGGGTGGAGAAAGAGGAAGAGATTGTTCTAGAGTCAGGGTGCCCTCAGGCAGGGCGCCATGCTCATCAGTGTTCCACGGAGCCCAGGCCTGGCCCTCATGTTGGGCTTCGAGTCCGCAGGGTGGGGCCTCTGTGGGAGCCGCCATGGGTTTTTCCTCACAATCATTGTGCGCATGGGGGTGTCCTGCCCACCGAGGCCTTGGCTCACGCCTGTACTCATAGCTCCTGGGAGCTTTTGGTGGAGACCCCCAGACCAGGCAGGAAGTTTTTACAGCTTTCTGGGCTCGGTTTCACCACCCAACTCCCTTCTCCCCACCTTGAAGACTTTGGAGCTTGTTGGATTCAGCCCCTTGGGCTTGCAAGTCTCAACTGCATTCAAGCAGGTGGAACAAGTCTTTAAGGAAAAAACCTTATTCCTTTCACTTTATAGATTGTTAATTCTGCATTACTATTGAACCCTGGGCCTGTTTCAGCAAATGTGAAGTGACCATACCCATCCTTCATTGCCATTTTCTACCAACCTCAGGACAAAGTTTCACTTTCCTTAATGGCACCTGGCTCATGGGTTCTCTTTGTGCTGTTTCCTGCTGCCATCTTGGGCAACGGTAATGTCCATGTTGATAATGAATTGGTGAACTCATTCATCCCATGAAAGAATTATTGAGCAGCTCCTAAAGGCTGCTAAGCAGGAATATAAATAACACTACTATTAGTAATCATGATAATGATGATACTAACACTCAATGAGTACCATATCTGAAACCCAGTACTGAGCACTTTATTCACAAAGTTCTTCCTTCATAACAACGCTGTGAGGCTGGTGCTGTTGTTATCCCCATTGTACAGATAAGGCAAATAAGGCCCAGAGAGGTTAAGTATTTTGCCCAATGTCACACAGCTAGTGAAGGTTAGAGCCAGGATTCAACCTGAACTCTGATCCATTATTCTATACTACACTCCATCACGAAGAAGGAAGGTGGTGATTTACCTAGCGTCCCAGTGTCGATTGAACCCAGCTGTGTGAATCTTTCCCTAATCCACATGGTCACGGTCTCTCCATCCACCACCTCCCTCACCCTCCAGTCTGGTTCTTGCACATTTCTGCAGCATCACTTCCTTTGAGAAGCTTTTTCTGACTCTGCTCCAGGCTCCTCCCTTCTGCTACCTCCCTGCCTCCACCTCTGTCTTGGGTCCTATGACGCTCTTTTGCCTACTCAATAGTGAACCTCCTGAGAGCAGACACCTCGCCCATCATCTTTGCATTCTCAGGGCTGGGTGCAGGGTCTGCCACATCGTGGTGCTCTATAAACTGTGGAAACAAAGACAGGAGGAATCACCATTCTGCATTCCATGGAAGTTGTGTGCTTATCTGCCTGCAGCGAGGAGTCCTTACTCCTAGAACCAGGCTCAGTATCATACATAGGGCAAGTGCTTAAAAGTGTCATAATTTGAATCACACACCCCATAAGACATCTATTCATCTCTCAGATGTAATAACTCAGAGATGATTTCATAATACCACCACATTTTAATTTTTATTTATTCATTTATTTTTTTGAGACAGGGTCTTGCTCTGCTGCCCAGGCTGGAGTGCAGTGATGTAATCTCGGCTCACTGCAACCAACTTCCGCCTCCAGGGCTCAAGTGATTCTCATGCCTTAGCCTCCCCAGTAGTTAGGATTACAGGAATGCGTCACCACACTTGGCTAATTTTTGTATTTTTAGTAGACACAGGGTTTTACCCTGTTGGCCAGGCTGGTCTTGAACTCCTGGCCTCAAGTGATCCACCTGTCTTGGCCTCCCAAAGTGCTGGGATTACAGACATGAGCCACTGCGCCTGGCCTCTGCCAGATTTTTAAACAAGATTCTCCTAAAAAAAATGTCTGGATGGCAATATTAGCAATTTTAAAGTTGACTGATTTTTCTGCTTTGATCCCACGCCTCAGTTCTAGGACCAGCATTGGGGCTGTGGTTTCTAGGTGGGGTGTGTGGGGTAGGCTCACTGCATGCCAGTGCCTGGTGTGGGTCCATTGGTCACTGTGAGGCTGAGGGGAGGCTGGCCTCCCAGGACACTTGCCCCATGGTGACATGGAGGTAAGCCCCCGTGTGACAAGGCTGGTGCTCATGTATGAGAGGACACAAGCTCCATGTTAAAGTCCCTGTCTTCTTACACATGTTGGACACAATCTGGAGGTTCCAGGCAGTCTGTCTGGGTTAGTACTGTCATCCCCACTCAGGGGTATGCAGACTCTATGTTTCTTTACTTACTCTTCCCAAATCACCTGCTACAGAAGTGGCTTCTTCACTCTTTGAGCTTTCGAATTCCCACCATACAGCTTGGTTGGCTCTAGTCCAAGAACCCTCAGAGCCTCTCAAAGCTTTCATTCCTCTGCATACAGCTTCATCCCAACCTGGACAGCCCCCACTGGATTCAGGCAGAAGTGCTCAGTGCATTGCGCATGGCTCTGCAGTCAGGCGGACCAGGCTGAGTCCCAGCCGTCACTTGTGGATGGTGGCATCTGGGGCATGTTCCCTTACCTTGTTGAGTCTCTGTTTCCTTAATTACAAAATGGGGAAGGAAAATTTTAAAAAGCAACTACGTACCTACTTTCTAAGGTTGTTGTAGGATTAAATAAAAGAATCTGTGCAAGATGATTGGGATAGTCCCTGGCAAATGTTAATCTTTCAGTCAATGTTCACTGTTAGAATCAGATGTTAAATAACTGGATGCCCATCTTGACTGGCTTACTTCCTGTTGCTACTGTTATCTGATTGCTGTGAGCCTTCATTTAGATGGCTTTTTGAAGAATCTAGTCTCCACTCTCAGTCCTCACCAGGCAGCTGACCTGGGCTTGGAACAGAAGCTGCCAGCCGCCACCAGATGTCTGTACATACGGGGGACACGTGCTCAAATCTCTGCTCCCATTTCAAACTCTGCTAAGAGGCTGGGACGGTGGCTCATGCCTGCAATCCCAGCACTTTGGGAGGCCAAGGTTGGGAGGATCGCTTTAGTTCAGGAGTTTGGGACCACCCTGGGCAACATAGTGAAATCCCATCTCTACAAACAATTTTAAAAATTGTAACTGGGCATGGTAGTGCATGCCTGTAGTCCCAGCTACTCAGGAGGCTCAGTGGGAAGGATCACCTGAGCCCAGGAAGGTCGAAGCTGCAGTGAGCCATGATCGCACCACTGCATTCCAGCTTAGGCAATAGAGACTGTCTCAAAAGAAAAAAAAATTATGCTAAGAGCTGAACTTTTCATGAGTAACTTAGGTACGTTAACTTAGGAATGATCAATATTGCAGCCAGTATTGGACTTTCATTCTCAGGTTGCTTTGCTGACTTCATTAGGGTTTCCATAGAGTTTCTTTTTGTCGGTTACCTTTGAGCAATTGAAAGGGAACACACTGCGGTGGCAAATAAGGACTGGGGGGGCCTGGGAGAACATCATATTCCTTAACCCTTAAAACCTTCTGGGTTCTAAATAGCTGCTTTGAACCCCTATTTTTTTTTAAATAGGGGAACCTCAAACCATTTGCCAATTAGCATATTCTTTTTTTTTTTTTTTTTTTTTTGAGACAGAGTCTCCCTTTGTCCCCCAGGCTGGAGTGCGGTGGTGTGATCTCAGCTCACTGCAACCTCTGCCTCCCAGGTTCAAGAGATTCTATAAATATGTCTCAGCCTCCTGAGTAGCTGGGATTACAGGTGTGTGCCACCATGCCCAGCTAATTTTTATATTTTTAGTAGAGACAGGGTTTCACCATGTTGGCCAGGCTAGTCTCAAACTCCTGACCTCGGGTGATCTGCCCACCTCCAGTTAGCATATTCTTATTCCCAAATTGCCATCCACTACAGGAGAGTTGCTTCTAAGAACATTTTGACCCCCTGCTCATCCGCAGAGAAGCGAAGGGGCCCAGCCCTGGGGTGGGAAGCTGCAGATGTGATGTCACTTCCCTGTGCTCTGATTGTTGGTTCCCAGAAGACTCCCACCATCTCATCTGTAGCGTGCTTTCTTTTTTTCATGTTGACCAGGGTTCCATCTGTCACTTTTGCCTCTCTGAGTTCAGACTTGTCAGAAACCAGAACCCACCACGGATTTATCTTTCCCTATACAAGCTTTGCCCCTCAGCCCTCGCCAAGCCCCTTCCTCTCAGCCAGGTCCCCTCCCTCCCCTCCAAATTGGCTCCCATCTCTCTGGCTGTTTGCAGAATAGTCCCAACTCGCCCATCACTCCGGAGCTATCGCCTCCCGCCTTCCTTGGCTTCTCTCCTCCCTAATTATTTAGCGCTTAAGTGGATTTTTCTGTCCATCTGTAATTTGATGTGGATGTTTCTGTTTCTGTCACTTCTGTTTATGCATATTTATAGCTACTTCAATTATCTGTTCTAATGGGGAGCTAGGTGAATGAATAATTTAAAAAGAATTTACATTTGGCTTTGGAATGCATTTCTGTACTCACATTTGAGTTTGGGGGTGTCCGATATTCCGGGAATTTAAATTTCAAACTAAGTAATGAAGCCACAATCTAAAATGTCTTGGGAGGAGTAGGGAAGCTATTCACCATTTACTTTCCCCTGGTCCCCAAAATCCTTTGGTGTCCAACTCCATGAAGACATGAAGTTGGAAAGTATCACTTCTCATATAGTTGGCTTGTTCTGAACCCCAGAGAGCGCTTGCAGTTCTTTCAGGGAGTCTGTCTCCGCTGTTTGTCTGGTACATGTTGTCTCTATCAAGCGGGGAGGTAATCAGAGGCTGACTTAGAGGAAAATTATCAGGGCTCATGTAATTATCTCTGGAAGAAAAAAATCCTTAATTGTAAGACTTTGCCAAATGAACATTCATTAAATGTGTCTGCTCATAAGCACATATACAAATGCAACCAGTCTGATTTTTTGGAAAACTTGTCTCTTCACAATCCCGATTGTAAGATGCGTAAGCAACACGATGTATGATTGAAAATATTAACTGGCTTTAAACGATCAGGGTCCTTTCACATAAACATCGATGCCCACACAGGGTTGAATAAACAGATGACATTCATGCTGCTGTGCTGGGCGAATGTTTGCAGCCCTGACCGCACCACAAGAAATATTTAAGTTGAGCTGATTTCTTACATAAACACTCTAACCTCAAACTCAGTCTCTGCAATTACACTGCCCTCCTCGGAGGCCCGCCACACCAAAACAGAGGGGCACAGGCACAAACCTGTCTGGAGTCTCCTTTTAATCCTGGGATGAAATATAGTTAATAATGTATCGGAAAGTTTGTATTTTTAAAGCATTTCAGGAGACTAAAATGCAAACCTAGGGCGCTAAGGAGAAGAGAAGCCTAACCACTGCTTGTGATTTTATAAAATGAATCGGCTGAATGCGGTGACTCACGCCTGTAATCCCAGCACTTTGGGAGGAGGAGGCGGGCGGATCACAAGGTCAAGAGATCGAGACCATCCTGGCCAACATGGTGAAAACCCGTCACTACTAAAAATACAAAAATTAGCTGGGCATGCTGGTGGTGCACCTGTAATCCTAGCTACTCTGGAGGCTGAGGCAGGGGAATCGCTTGAACCCGGGAGGCGGAGGTTGCAGTGAGCCAAGATTGCACCACTGCACTCCAGTCTGGTGACAGAGTGAGACTCCATCTCAAAAAAAAAAAAAAAAAAAAAAAAAAGAATCAAAGCGTGGATACAAGGCCTCTGGCAGGCAGGTGAAAAGCCATCCCCCAGGGCTGGCCTCAGGCTGCTTGCAGGAGCTCCTGCCAGCCCAGTCTCACCGCCACCCCCTCCGACCCCCACCCACTGATCCTCTCAGTGGGTTCTGAGACCATTTTAGAAGCACCCCTTCCCAAACTTGTTCATCTTTCTTCATCCACTGAGCCTAGTGTGATGCCTGGCCTGGGAGGCACTCAACTCTTAAAGGATTGTTAGACAAGATCCTGGAATGGGAGCTTCTGAGCTCAGATGACACTTCCCTCCTCTGCTGCCAATTGCACCTTCCTAAGAGGACTGTGGTTGCTGAGCTGGCGTAAGAATTAAAGTTGGGGAGCTTGGGAGCCTAGCAAAGCCTTAGCTGAGAAAGGTAGGGGCGAAATGCCATGAGAAAAAATTTAAACGACTTGTCTCCAAAGGAATACAAGGAATTGAAGGGGCGTTAATGGGGGGGGGGGTTGGGATGCGGTGCATAAATACGCAGTGGGTGGGGCACACTGGGCCGGAAAGTTGACAGCTCTCAACATCTCTTCATCCTTTCCAGGAGGATTTCTCTAGCACCTCCCATGTGTTTAGCATTGTGCTAGGCAAATGGTGATACAAAAGTGGAGTTTAGGTTAACTCCTAAACTTCAGTATGCAGAATGACCTTGTGAATTTGTTAAAACACAGATTCCCAGGATTATCGCCAGAGAGTCCAATTGATTAGATCTAAATGGAGACAGGAAGCTGCATTTTGTAAACAACTCTCTCGGGTGATTCTAATGAAGATGATCCCAGGGCCAGTTTTTTGTTGGTTTGTTTGTTTTTGATTTGTTTTAAGACACAGGGTCTTGCTCTGTTACCCAGGCTGGAGTGCAATGGCACAATCACAGTTCACTGCAGCCTTGAACTCCTGGCCACAAGCGATCCTCCTGCTTCAGCTCCAGAGTAGCTGGGACTACAGGCACGTGCCACCATGTCCAGCTCCTGGGACTTTTTTTTTTTTTTTAAAGTTGCAATTCTAAAACCTATGAGTAAAAGCTACCCTAAATGCCTGGGGACCTGCTATTAATTGCCCAGAGAGGATTTCTATGGGCACCTGCCTCCTGTGGTTTTGCTTAACTTGAATACGCTGGATGTGGCCAGTTACGGGTGCTGCCTCATGAAAACTGTCCATTGTAGTTGAAACAGGGCACCTACAGCCTCGGACACAGGAAAGCACCTAAGTTAGGTGGCCACACTTTGGACCTGGGGAGGTTGCTATCCCAGAGCTTAAGTAGCACAAAAGAATAAGGATTAAAATACCTAGGGTGGCTGGGTGTGGTGGCTCATGCCTGTAATCCCAGCACTTTGGGAGGCAGAGGTGGAGGATTGCTTGGGCTGAGGATTTCGAGACCAGCCTCGGCAGCATGGCAAAACCCTGTCTCTACAAAAAATATAAAAAACTAGCCAGGTGTGATGGTGCCTGCCTGTAGTCCCAGCTACTCAGGGGGCTGAAGTGGGAGGATCACTTGAGTCTGGATGGCGGAGGTTGCAGTGAGTCAAGATTATGCCACTGCACTCCAGCCTGAGTGACAAAGTGAGACCTGGTCCCCCAACACCCCCCAAAAAAGAACAATAAAAAATACCTAAGGTGATGACCTACATTGACAAGGCTGAGATCACAGGAGGGTGGTGCAGTTAAGAATTTCATTCTTTGGCCAGGTGCAGTGGCTCATGCCTGTAATCCCAGCACTCTGGGAGGCCGAGGAAGGCAGATCACCGGAAGTCAGGAGTTCGAGACCAGCCTGACCAACATGGTAAAACCCCGTCTCTACTAAAAATATGAAAATTAGCCGGGTGTGGTGGCACATGCCTGTAATCCCAGCTACTCGGGAGGCTGAGGCAGGAGAATCACTTGAACCTGGGAGGCAGAGGTTGCAGTGACCCAAGATCGCGCCACTGCACTCCAGCCTGGGTGACAGAGACTCCATCTCAAAAAAAAAAAGATAATAATAATAAAAGAAATTCATTCTTTCTTACTCATATTGAAGGCTTAACTATATGGTCCTACTCCAATTCGTGAAGTATTTTCCCCATCCTTTGTGGTTCATGATATGCCTTTTGTCCTAGAAACCAACTGTTTTACCAAGACCTTTAGGAAGGCCCAGCACTTATCAATTGCAGTTCCCTGGACAATCCACTGACTCCATGGTTATGTACATGCATGTTTAGGACATGGTGCTCTCGTAGGCAGCATTCCACCCACAGTTGCCAAGTAGTTGGACTCTAGCCTTTCAGGAATGGACACTGGCTATTCAGCTCTGTCCCATCTACCGTGAGCAATGGCATCTGACCACCAATATGCAAGCTGTGGCCCTGTGTGAGCTACGGGGAGGAACCAGGTCAGGTGAGAACTCCATTGCTGGGCAGCATCTAAAACCATGTGCAGAAGCCTGGCCTTAGATCAGGGTGGGGTGGGAGCTCAGGGGCTGGCTCGGGGGTGGAGTTGCTAACCAAGGCTTAGGCACTCCAGCGTCCAGAGCTTCTTGTGTATCCTCTGAATCAGGCTGGAGAAACTTTGGTGACAGCCGCTGCCTGTGTTACCATTACATACATACCAAGACTCTATTATAGGCACACTAGGCACCCTGGATCAGGGGACCTGTAGGGATAGACTGAGGCGCAGATGTAGAGGTAGCAACATCGGAGACCAGGTAATGCTGCCACAGAACCAGGACCTAGGCTGTTAGCATCTCATCTAGTCCAGGGGATTCTAACCTTTTATGTGCCTTGGATGCCCATGGACAAAGTGGTGAAGCCCATGGACCCCCTTCTTAGAATAATATTTTTTAAATGCTTAAATGAAAACACTTATGATTATAAAACAAACCAATGATAGTAAAATGCTTGTTTTTTTCTTTGAGATGGAGTTTTGCTCTTGTTGCACAGCTGGAGTGCAATGGCATGATCTTGGCTCACTGCCACCTCCGCCTCCCTGGCTCAAGCGATTCTCCTGCCTCAACCTCCCGAGTAGTTGGAACTACAGGTGTGTGCCACCACGCCCGGCTAATTTTTGTATTTTTAGTAAAGATTGGATTTCACCATGTTGGCCAGGCTGGTCTCGAACCCCTAACCTCAAGTGATCCACCCGCCTTGATTACAGGCATGAGCCACCGTGCCCAGCCTGAAATGCAATTATTAAAGTATAGAAAAGGTACCACATTTGGTTATAGCAATGTAGGTGCCTCTTTATTTACATGGATACAAAGACAGTGGGAGATCTAATAACTACTATAATTTTGATGCAGTGAGAAGCATAAATGCTACTGTATTTGTAGAAACTGTCATGTAATATTAAAATATCTACGACAAAGACATAGCTACTGTTTCCCTGGAGGTCTAGTGGCTAGGGAAGAAAAAAAAGCCACACACGGTGGCTCATGCTTGTAATCCCAACACTTTGGGAGGCTGAAGTGGGATGATCACTTGAGCCCAGGAGTTCGAAACCAGCCTGGACAACGTGGCAAGACTTTGTATCTACAAAAAATAAAAAATTAGCTGTGTGTGGTGGTGTGCCTGTGGTCCCAGCTACTGGGGAAGCTGAGGTGGGAGGATTGCTTGAGCCTGGGAGGTGGAGGCTGCAGTGAGCTGTGATTGTGCCACTGCGCTCCAGTCTGGGCAACAGAATGAGACCCCTATCTCAAAACAAACAAAAAAGACACAGCACTGTCGATAGTGCTGTGTTTTGTTGCTGACACTCATAGGGAAGGAAATGCTACATTATAGCCATAAAGATGTTACATTTTTTCCCTCAAATTCAGACCCCTGAATTCTAGTCCATTCTGCTGTTCTGAAGTCGCTGTTAGAGTTTTGGGTCTGTCTCTGGCTGCATTAGAGTTTACGGTGCTACATGAAGATCTGTTGATTGACCAGTGGTTTTGTCATAATGCTTGACTTTTTCAGAGGATATGGATTATAGGTTTGTAACAAATGCTGTAAGAATGCACTTGTTGGCCAGGTGTGGTGGCTCATGCCTGTAATCCCAGCACTTTGGGAGGCTGAGGTGGGTGGATCACGAGATCAGGAGTTCAAGACCAGCCTGGCCAAGATGGTGAAAACCCGTCTCTACTAAAAATATAAAAATTAGCCGGGCATGGTGGCAGGCACCTGTAATCCCAGCTACTCAGGAGGCTGAGGCAGAGAATTGCTTGAACTCGGGAGGTGGAGGTTACAGTGAGCCGAGATCCCACCATTGCACTCCAGCCTGGCGACAGAGCGAGACTCCTCAAAAAAAAAAAAAAAAAAAAAGAATGCACTTGTTACTGAATTTTTATTCCCTTGTGCGAACACATTTATGAAAAAGCAATCTACAAATATGTAGTATGTGGATTTTCTGGGAATATATACGGTAAATTATCATAATTTACACATGCCACAATCTTATTTGTGGGCATGTGTAAATTATGATTAAAAACAGGCTGGGCACATTGTAGTTAAACAAACGAAACCGTGGCTACTCTCAGATGGGAGGGAACTAGGATTCTCTTTAAATATCTATTGTGAAAAATACTCCTTATAGCTTTAAGTGTATTAAACATACACACTCTAGTTAAACAAAATAACCTTGACAATAGAGGAATAAAAAGAATATTAATGAGGCTGGGAGTGGTGGCTCACGCCTGTAATCCCAGCACTTTGGGAGGCCAAGGCAGGTGGATGGCTTGAGGCCAGGAGTTTGAGACCAGCCTGGCCAACATGGCGAAACCTAGTCTCTACTAAAAATGCAAACATTAGCTGGGTGTGGTGGTGCATGCCTATAATCCCAGCTACTTCGGAGGCTGAGGCAGGAGAATCATTTGAACCTGGGAGGTGGAGGTTGCAGTGAGCCGAGATCATACCACTGCATTCCAGCCTGGGCGACAGAGCAAGACTCGGTCTCGGAAAAAAAAAAAAAAAAAGACAAAAAAAAAAAATACGAATGAATGGGTTGGCTCATTGCCTTGCTGATGTTTTCCGAAGTTCCTATGCATCTCTTCTCCAGTTAATTCCTATAGTGTGTTCTTCAGGCAGCTTTCACAGAGGATTCTTCTGGTCTGGGACTTCACCTTGGCAGGTGTCACTACTGCCAGTCCTCAAGCAGAGAGGGGGCATGATCACACATTTCTGTGCCACAGTGGGTAATTGGAGCCACTCACCATCTCTGGCCTATTCGTTTTTTACATTTCAATTAAAGGCAGAAAGAAATCAATATCCACTCTTCTTGGGAAGATTTCTAACTGAAACCCACCATGCCAAAGGTTATGTGATTTTTCTTTTCTCATGCTGTGGCCTCAGAAAAGATGGTTGATAACTGGCTCCTCCCAGTACTCCCCATAATAATACTTCTTTTTCTCTATGAATGCCTCAAGTCATCAGGAGTTGATGAGCCCATTAATTAACGTTTCTTCTTAGTGGAGACTGCATATCACTCAGCTGGAGTCAAATACACTCTACCATCAGTAGGGTAGTGAATGAGCAAAAACAACTCCATCAGAGCCCGAGTTATGACACCCAGAGGACTTCGAATGAGCCTACATGATGGGAAACAGTTTGCGGTTTCCAGCAGCACCTGGATGATAGTCCTTCCAAAGTGAGCAGTGGAAAACTCTCCCACACTGGTGTGCAGGATGTTTACTTACATTTTGAGTTGAGGAGTTGTCTGGTAAAAGTAGGTAAGGAAAGGAGTCCCTAGGCTAAAGCTTTTTGAATGGAGACTCCTAAAATATTTATTTAAAAAATGTTTTCAAAAATAGAAACTTAACCTTTCAATGCAGAGGAAAAGAATAAAAACATGAGTAGCAGAAGACAACTGCTTAAAAATCAATTCACGGCCAGGCACGGTGGCTCACGCCTCTAATCGCAGCACTATGGGAGGCTGAGGCGGGCGGATCGCTTGAGTCCCGGACTTTGAGACCAGCCTGGGTAACATGGTGAAACCCTGTCCCTACCAAAATACAAAAATTAGCTGGGTGGGGTGGTGCGTGCCTATAGTCCCAGCTTCTCAGGAGGCTGAGGTGGGGGCTTCACCTGAGCCTGGGAGGTCAAGGCTGTAGTGGGCCATGATTGTACCACTGCACTCCACCTAGGCAACAGAGTGAGCCCCTATCTTAAAAAAAAAAAAAAAAAAAAAAAAAAAAAGACAGCTTTCTGAGTGGAATATATAGGGTTTTCAATGTATAAATCTATTGGAAGATTATAAGGGTTTACAAATTTACTGTAAAGGGAGAGGGTATGCCCTTTATTTGGGAGTACACCTCTCCAAATAAACAGTAAAACATCAGTTAACTGTATATTTGGAGAGGTGTACTCCCAAATAAAGGGCAGGGATGGGGAAGGACACTTCAGAATTGCCAAGTGAAATTATTCTTGGGACAGACAGCTTTTGAGTGGGAGGCTTTTGAGTTACTAAACAGTGTTTTGGGACAAATTGTGCATAAAGGTGCATTATGGGCTGAGCAATGGCTGAGCAGGGTCACTGGAGGGTGTAGGACAAGAGGATGCAGAAAAGATCCTGCAGGATGTGCCTGGGGGGCATCTAAGATATTTATGGTGACTATTTTCCTTACGCTGCCTAGAGGACAATCACTGCTTGTTTCTTCCTGAATCCTTGGTTTTGTTTTAACTTTTACGTAATTTTATATTATTGTAGGAAAAACTGGAAAACAAAGAAGGGTCAGGAACTCCCAGAGAGGGGAATAGGCCACAGAACATTCTCTACTACTAATTAAGGGTTGGGCAAAAGGAAAAACATTTTCCAAACACCTGACCTTTAAGAGCGACTTTTCCTAGCCCTGTGGGCCTTAGAAAGTTTAATGGCCATCGAGACTCATTCCTTGGTGGAAACTAGCATAAACCCATTTGTTTTAGGTAAGAGCAACTTCACTGGCGCTGGAAAATAGTTTTGGATACACAGTGCACTTCATTCCAAGAGATCTTACTAGAGATCCCCGACAGTCAGAAGATTTCCCGCTTGATCAGATATTTCTCGACGTGTGTTATTGCTTTGCTTGTCACAGTTTTCTAGGAAACTGGTGTCAGGTAACACTCCTAGCTGCCTCCCATGAGGAGTTACCTCTAGAGCGCAGAGTTTTATCTGGCACTGAAAACTTGCTGGTTGGTTTTCTAGATCCATGTTTATTTTCAGTTCAAAGACAAAGTAGAAAACTTGAGAGTGGAAAATGTTACCTTTTAGTTCACACTCCTAATCCCTTAGTCCCCATAAAATAAACATTCTAAAGTGTAAGCAGTAGAAATAATGGAAACTCCACAGAAACAGAAATAAATTAGTTTCTTTCAGTCTTGGTGGAGGTCCTTTTGCCGAACACCATACTCCACTGTGAACAGAATTCATCTTGAACGAAGAAGAAATCTTTGGCCTATTTCACCATGTCTCCAGCATTGCATAACAGACATTTTTCAAATTCAGTTTCTTCTCCAACTGCAGCAAAAAGGCAAAGAGTAGTCTGTTTCAGGAGTCTGAAAAATAGAAAAAAAAACCATGTTTGAGTAGTTTAAGAATAGCTTTCTCCTCTGGTGTTAAACCGTTAACATGTTATAGCTCTAGAGTTTGAGGCCAAAAGAAAATTCAAGAGCAGAGTGATGGTTCGCTAGATAAGGCTGATCTGTGTTTGGAATATTTTACTTAGCAGACGTGGAGAAGCAGAGTCTGCACCACTCTATAAGAGCAGGCACAGCTACGCCATGCAGCATTCTAAACTTCCCAAGAGATTTACTTGGGGATACTGGCAGAATTCCCAGAACTTCCAAGTTTGGGATCTACAGTTTGCAGGATCCTGTGGAATGAGAATATTTAGGATTTAAAAAAATTTTTTTTTAATTTTTTGAGACAGAGTCTCACTTTGTCGCCCAGGCTGGAGTGTAGTGGCGAGATCTCGGCTCACTGCAACCTCCGTCTCCCGGGTTCAAGCAATCCTCCCGCCACAGCCTCCGGAGTAGCTGGGATTACAAGTGTGCACCACCATGCCCGGCTAATTTTTGTATTTTTAGTAAAGACGAGGTTTCACCACGTTGGCCAGGCTGGTCTTGAACTCCTGGGCTCAAGTGATCCGCCTGCCTTGTCCTCCCAAAGTGCTGGGATTACAGGTATGAACCACCACGCCCAGCCTTGTTTAGGATTTTAGATAAGGAATACTGTCACCTTGGATTTTTAGGTTTTATAGAGTAGGCACAGAAAGCAATGTTTGAAAAATGCATTTAGGACAACATGGAAGTTCATGGTCCTGGAACTTAGTATTAAAGCTTTGCTGCTTTCTCCCAAAGGCTATTAAGATTCATTGCCATTCTTGAATCCTGTAATCTCTTAGAAAGAGAAATAAACTACATTAAAAAAAAAAAAAAGAAACAAAACAACACTTAAGTCCCAGAAAATAATGTGTTCACCTCTCTAAAATGTAAATGCAATATGTTGCCTTTAATCTGAACTTACACATGGAAGGACTTATCTTTTAGGCCTAGAAAGTGCAAACTCTGCTGAAATCCTGCGAGTTGGCCTCCCACAGATCACTGAGAGGTCTGGAGCCAGATAAGGTGCTTGGTTAGTTTCTAGACAGAAGATATTGATGAAGAGAGGGAACGAGGAGCTTCAAATACTCCCCTAACATCTGGTTCAAGTCAGGGGAATAAACAGAAAACAGGAGTATTATAAGCACAACAAAGATGAACAAAAATAAAATATTTCAGGCCAGGCGCGGTGGCTCACGGGTGGATCACGAGGTCAGGAGATCAAGACCATCCTGTCTAACACGGTGAAACCCCGTGTCTATTAAAAAAATACAAAAAAATTAGCTGGGCGTGGTGGCAGGTGCCTGTAGTCCCAGCTACTCTGGAGGTTGAGGCAGGAGAATGGCGTGAACCCGGGAGGCGGAGCTTGCAGTGAGCCGAGATCGTGCCACTGCACTTCAGCCTGGGTGACAGAGCGAGACTGCGTCTCAAAAAAAAAAAAAAAAAGAAAAGAAAGAAAATATTTCTTTCTTTTCTTTTTTTTTAAAGGAAGATGCCAGATGGCTGTTTTTACATTTATTTAAACAGAAAATGTGCACACGAGCTGTCTACTCATTTTCTTCGCTGCACAGCCTGGCACTGGGGTTGGTGACTGTGATGGCCAGTTGGGCAGCTCTTTCCACGATGGCTTTGCGGTTCTTGGAGGAAACATTGTGAGCGATCTCGGCACAAGTACGATTGTTGCACATCAGCAGCACTTCCAGCTCCTTGACGTTGTGGACCAGGAACTTCCGGAAGCCACTGGGCAGCATGTGCTTTGTTTTTTTGTTGCTCCCATAACCAGTGTTGGGCATCAAGATCTGGACCCTGAATCTTCTACGAACCCTGTTGTCAATGCCTCTGGGTTTCCACCAGTTACGCTTAATTTTGACATAATGGTCTGACTGGTGCCGGATGAACTTCTTGGTTCTCTTTTTGACGATCTTGGGCTTCACAAGGGGTCTGAGGGCGGCCAAGATGCCGAGGAGGAGATGGCTGCCACCTCCATAGGCAGCGCCGAGGAAGAGAGAAGGGCAAAAAAAAAAAAAGAAAATATTTCAGAGACACGGCCAGCCTCACTGTAGTGGCTCTGGTATCCCTTGACCTGAGGGTCAATGACTCTTGGGACAGGAGGGGTGCTAGGGTAGAGGGTGGGCTCAGTGGACTAGAGATGACCCTTGGCTTGGCAAGGCAAGGCTGGACAAGGCCTTCCATGCTCCAGAGGTGGGTGGTGGAAGACCAGCTGATTAGCCACATTACATTTGTATCCTGTGGTTTTGTCTAAAGGTGCTTAGAGTATGTGGTCCCACTTTTTTTTTTTTTTTTTGAGATGGAGTCTTGCTCTGTTGCCCACACTGGAGTGCAGCGATGCGATATCAGCTCACTGCAACCTTCGCCTCCTGGGTCCAAGCAATTCTCAGGGTTCAGCTTCCCAAGTAGCTGGGATTACAGGTACCCGCCACCATGCCCGACTAATTTTTGTATTTTTAGTAGAGATGGGGTTTCACCATGTTGGCCAGGCTGGTCTTGAACTCCTGACCTCAGGTGATCCGCCTGCCTCGGCCTCCCAAATTGCTGGGATTACAGATGCGAGCTACCGTGCCTGGCCTGTGGTCCCACATTTTAAGAAAAACAGAAGGACTGGCCAAAGTATAGAAAGTCTCATTATAGATGAAAACAATCAGAGATGCAATAGCTAAGGTGAGAATGTAAAAACGAATCTGTTGTTTATTGCTTATGCGTTGGAAGAAGCAATTTCAGAAGTTAACTCAGTGGGAAAATATCTTGGAAGATACCATATACAAAACAGTCTATTCTGGCATGGGAATAAGAAATCAAAATGTGCTCAGAAAAAGTTTGTTTTGGGGGGAATTAAGAATTTCAGAATTGTTACCTAAGCTTTAAAACATTCCATTTTAGTTAGATAGGAGAGATTTAATTATCACTATCTTTTAGATGTTGATGAGGATTATTTAAGTATAAAGCTGGAGCTTCCATCCTACTTGGAAGCAGAAAGGAAGAAGGCACACAGCACTCCTCGGATGGCTCAGGGTGATGCCTTGGCGCCCCTTTTCTCGGAACACAATGGTGATGAGCAATTTTTGAATTGCTTTGTGAAAAGATAAAGTTTCAAGACTAAAACCACAGAGCTCAGGCACCCTCCCAGGGTACTTTGTAACCCTGTGGTTTGTGACTTGGGACTGAACAAATCATGTTCACAGAAGGGCTGGCAGGCAGCAACCCAACTCAAGATTAATTTATGGTTATTAAATATCATTGAAAATTTCTGCCCATTTTTCCCTTGTATTGATACATTATATATATTTTTGAGACCGAGTCTTGCTCTGTCACCCAGGCTAGAGTGCAGTGGCATGATCTCAGCTCACTGCAGCCTCCACCTCCTGGGTTCAAGAGATTTGCCTGCCTCAGCCTCCTGAGTAGCTGAGATTACAGGTGCGTGCCATGACGCCTGGCTAATTTTTCTATTTTTAGTAGGGACAGGGTTTTGCCATGTTTCCCAGGCTGGTCTCGAATTCCTGGGCTCAAGTGATCCACCCACTCGGACTCCCAAACTGCTGAGATTAGAAGCATGAGCCACCACACCTGGCCTAATATTTTATATTCTTATGGGGTATATATGAGTGTTTATTATGTGCCTGGAATGTGTAGTGATCAAGTCAGGGTACCTGGGGTGTCCATTATCTTGAGTATTTATCATTACTACTGTATGTTGGTATCATTTCAAGTACACCCCACTCTCTTCCTGTTACTTTGAAGTATACAAAATATTGTTGCTGAGTATAGTCATCCTAGTTTGCTATCAAACATTAGAGCTTATTTCTTCGTCTAACTGTATGTTTGTACCCATAACCAACCTTTCTTCATAACCTCCTCCCAGCCACCCATCCTTCCCAGCCTCTGGTATCTACCATTTATTCTGTCTATGAGGGTAAGCTTTTTAGCTTCCACATGAGAGTGAGAACATGCAGCATTAGTCTTTCCGTGCCCAGCTTATTTCACATAATAACTTCCACTTCCATCCATGCTGCTGTAAATGACATTATTTCATTCTTTTTTAATGGCTAAGTAGTATTCCACTCTCTATACATACCACATTTTCTTTAACCATTTGTCTGTAGATGCCCTAAAGCCAGTTTAGGAAAGAAACTAATTTCTTTCCTGAACTTATTTCTGTGTATGTAATTCAAGAAAAAGCAATTCTTTTGTAAATAACAAACATTTGTAGCAGGACTGGAGTGAATCTGATTCCGTACTCAACGTAACTTTGCACAGTACAATAAAGAAGTAAGGGAGTCCTTGAATTCTTCAGGAAATTTGCCAGACTTTATTGTGTGTTCATTTGAATGAATCTTGCCAAAGCTCAGAAATATGATAAAGTTTCCAAGTGAGAAAAAAGAATGGGGGGAAAAGTATCAAATCCTTCATTCCAATAATCTTTAAACAAAAGACTCAACAGCCGGATCAATTTCACTGGGACAAAAAATCTATTTTAATTAGTTCTATTTAGTGACATCCAAAAGAATGAGTCATGCCCTTATTCTAACCACAGTGAAGGCACTACAGAGAAGTCTTGGGAAGAGGGAGCAAGGAGAGCTCCAATTCTGATGTTTTTTGGCATATAATGTTCACCTTTGGTTTCACACGGTTTCCTAGGAGGTGAGACAGGCTAGAAAGGTGAGGAAGGGAAGGACAGAAAGTTGTCATCAACCAAGCACAATCTTCTTCCTGAGTGGAACGCGCCTTCAACACTTTCCTGGGGGAATAATGAGTGTGCTGCTCCGCACCTGGGTATGCACACCATCTACGGTGTGATCCCTGAAGGAGCAACGTCAGCAAGCCAGACATTTCCTTTCAGATGCCCACGTTTGTCCAAGCTGTCACCTAAGCTTTAACATTTTTATTTTATGCATTTTGAATAGCCGCAGACCTCTGATTATTAGTAGAAGTGGTCCCTGATGGCTATAGTGAGAGGCACGGGAAACAGACAATACTTGCTGGGTCATTACCGAGGAGCCACTGAGAGGGAATGTTTGCTTTGTATAGTGGTTTTATCTTAGGACACTGGATCTGTTTTTGATTGTTCAAGCAGGGTCAAACGATGGGTTTTGAACCACTGCCCACTAGCCCAGAACTGTATTTAGCAATTCACAAAGAAGAAAGAGGCCTTGGATTGGGGGGTGGGTAAGGGGTAGAAATGCCATTCCATTAGAGAATTAGGAAAGAGCTGGCTCTATTATACTTGGACTAAAAAGAATTATGACAAAATCATAGCTTTTAATACCCAAACAATTATCTTTACTTATTAGAAAAAATTACCTCATTATCCTCAAGTACCTGTCTGTTCAAATAGCTGGTATCATCTTTCGGAATGGGCCAAAGTTCATTTTACCCGTGACTGAAATGAAAAGGGCATCCTTTGGTTTGGGGCATAAAGGTTGGGGTAATACTGAGAGTCAACAGATCTGAGTTGAGTCTTGGCTTTTGTAGTTATTAGCTGCACAACTTGAGCAGGTTGTCGACTTCTCTGGGCAGAGTTCTTGCAGCTCTTCAACAAAAATACTACCCACCTCCCTGGGTTGATGCCAGCATGACATGTGATGGGGGTGGCAAAATGACATGTGCCAGCTATGAAATGAGAGGCAGTGCCACAGGGTGGCAAGGCAGTTCTGTAGCCTTGCAGACCAGGGCCACCCCTCAGTGACCAAGGGGTAGGCTCCGTCCTCTTGAAGCCTTGTGGCCCTTATGGGACAACACTTGGCTCCAGAGGTGCTGTGACCACCCATGCAAAGTGCTTAGCACAATGCCCGATACATTGGAAGTAATTACCATAGGCCTGTGTCCTGCCCTGCAGGCCCCGTATATAAGATCTGGAGGAATTCTTGTTAGGGAGTAGGTAATAAAGGATTTAAGGGTATGCATTAATAATGCTAAGGATGTATCCCTGAGTAGGACCTGAGTCCTAACTACAGTGATTAAGGTATAATTGGACTTATATGACCTACTTGGAGAGCATGTGAAAACTCACCAAAAGCTGGAAAAATACTGTCCAAGAGAGATGGGAGAATCAAACACACTTATTCTGGAGAAAAATGACAAATGGCAGAAATGTAACATAATGGGTTCCTGACATAAAAAGAGAATTGCTAGGCCAACTAGCAATTGGGGAAATAGCAATTATTTCCCCACAGCCTTACTGGGGAATGGAAGACATTGGCAACACACAAGCTCACACCAAAAGATGAAACAACATTTTATCAACACTTGAGTTTATGGGTTTCTTTGTTAAACTAGTCTCCCTTACTTCATTTTCTAGAGTTTTATTTTTTCTGAAATAACAAAGATCAAAGATGCAGTTATGGCTCAAACTTAACACAGCTCCCGCTCCTCAGCAAAAAACACATACAAACACCCCCAAACAACATCCACAACTCAAAACAAACAATTTCACACTTTGTTTTAATGTAATTTCATTTATGGTTCCCTTATCTTTCTCACCATAGCCTAGGTCTTTAGTGTTTTAGCAACAAAGCCTCAACAAAAAAACTTGGCCAGACGAGGTGGCTCACTTGAGGTCAGGAGTTTGAGACCAGCCTGGCCAACACGGTAAAACCCCATCTCTATTAAAATACAAAAATTAGGCTGGGCGTGGTGGCTCCCGCCTGTAATCTCAGCACTTTGGGAGGCTGAGGCGGGTGGATCACCTGAGGTCAGGAGTTCGAGACCAGCCTGGCCAACATGGTGAAACCCTGTCTCTACTAAAAATAAAAAAACTAGCTGGGCATGGTGGTGGACGCCTGTAATCCCAACTGCTTGGGAGGCTGAGGCAGGAGAATTGCTTGAACCCAGGAGACAGAGGTTGTAGTGAGCCCACACAGTGCCGCTGCACTCCAGCCTTGGCAACAGAGTAAGACTCTGTCGCAAATAAATAAATACATAAATAAAATACAAAAATCAGCGGGGCGTGGTGGCACACACCTGTAATCCCAGCTACTTGGGAGGGTGAGGCAAGAGAATTGCTTGAACCCGGGAGGCGGAGGTTGCAGTGAGCAGAGATCACGCCACTGAACTCCAGCCTAGGTGATAGCGCGAGACTCTGTCTCAAACAACAACAACAACAACAAGTCCTCAAGTGGACTCCTGGTAGTGAAACAAATGAAATGAGAATCCTGGGTGCCTGGCTTGGAGCCGTAACTCAGAGATGGTTGAAGAAGAAGGTCTTTAGGCCACAAAAGCTCATCTGCAAAGGCCGAGAATATGCTGGCAAGAGGGAGAGGTTCTGGGCTCAGGAACAGGAGTCAGTGGGGAGAAGGAGGCGGGGTGCTTGCGGGGAAAGAATGTGTCTTTAGAATATGGTGAGGACATGTTTGATCCCTGGGGTAGGAGAAGCAGCCCTGAGCCTTTCAAGCTTCTGATTAGGAGTTGTCTCCCAGGGAAGAGGTTTAGGAATGTGGTCATTTTTCTTCACGATGGGGAGTCAGGATAGAAGCCAGCAGGTATGGCTGCAGTGCTGTGGCGTGGACATGAATAAGACCGAGAGTCCCCAGGTCTGGGCTGCCTAAGACAGCTCAGAGTCAAAGCCCAACCTGAGACTGTGCAAACCCGAAGTCATCAAGTGGCCTACTTTCTGCTGCCCTGCCCTTCCTGGAACCCATGGGGCCCTCTAGTTAAATGGTCTGTCCCATGGCTATGTGTCTGTCCAGGGACAAGAGAGCCGAACACACCTGTTGTGCCACACAGTTGAGTGTTCTGGGTTGAACTGTGTCCCCTAAAAGATATGCTTAAGTCCTAACCCTGAGCACCTGTGAGAGTGATTTTTTTTTTTTTAGAAGGAGAGTCTTGCTCTGTCGCCCAGGCTGGAGTGCAGTGGCGCAATCTCAGCTCACTGCAACCTCCGCCTCCCGGGTTCAAGCAATTCTCTGCCTCAGCCTCCCGAGTAGCTGGGATTACAGGTGCCCACCAACACGCCCAGCTAATTTTCGTATTTTTAGTAGAGACGGGGTTTCACCATCTTGGCCAGGCTGGTCTTGAACTCCTGACTTCGTGATCCACCCACCTCGGCCTCCCAAAGTGCTTGGCTGAGAGTGATCTTATTTGGAAGGAGGGTCTTTGCAGAGTAATCAAGTTAAAAGGAGGTTCTTAGGGTGGGCCCTAATCCAATAGGACTGGGGTCCTTATAAGAGGTGAACATCATGTGAAGACACAGACACAGGGAGAACGTGGTGGGACCACAGAGGCTGAGACGGGAGTGACGCAGCTGCAAGGTGGGAACGCCAGGGAGTGACAGCCACCACTGGATGCTAGGAAGAGGCCAGCAAGGATTCCACCCAGAGTCTCGAGGTGGCGTATGGCCTGGCTGACACCTTGACTTTGGACTTCTAGCCTCCAGAACTGTTTCAAACTTTCCACTGTTTTAAGCCACCCAGTTTGCGATACTTTGTCATGGCAGCCCCAGGAAACGGATACACCAAGATTCCTCTTTCACATGATTCTAGCTCTGTACCAAGAGATACGTGGCAGGAAGGTAGGAAGTTACTCTTTTAAAATTATAACAGACGCTGGTTTTAATCCTGGAAAAGAACAATGAGTTTACAGAGTTCTGTTATGGTCAGAGATGCTCTAAACACATCTATATTCAGGGATGACATAACTTGGCTTTCACTGGACTCGAGCGCAGGACACTAAGGGTTGTGTACTGAGCATCTGAGCATGTAACTCACAGCCACACCCAGGAGTGAACTCCAGTCACGGAAAATCATTTGGTAGGAATTTGAGTAACAAAGGAAGGAAAGGATTTATCAGATCACTTCTGTGGTATCAGAAAAAAAAAATGACAAAAAAAGGATATGAACTGGAAAAAAACAAAGAGAGAAAAAGTTGAAGCACATCAGCCTACCTGCATCGGGTCCTGTGAGAGCCTTGTCCACTTAGAACAAGCCTTTAACTTGTTCTGTTTCGGTATCAAGATCTATGTCATAAAAGCAGGGCCGGGTGGGCAGTCCTGGCATGGTGCTCATCTGGGGGAGAAAACCAAGCGTTACAGATTAGCAAATGCTACAAAGCGGCCACAACATCTGATGATGCAAATTAACTCTATCGTTCAATACAGCCTCATAGAACTTTAGGTTTTATATGGGATATATCTCTTTAAATTTGTCATCTGATATTTCAATTTTTGTTTAAGGAAATGAAGTAGAAAAGGCAAATGTCAACTTCCTGAAAATTGAGACCATTTACCTTCCCTGTGGCCCCATAACACACCCGAACTACAAAACAGTGATCTTCCAAACTCCAAACCTTTTCTTCTCAATAAAATCTTCATGCTGAACGCCAACAAAGACAAGCCCATCAGGTTGAAGGGGGCAGCAGGTGTGGGCAGGGTGAATAATGGCCTCCTTCTCACCCCCAAGACACATTTTTGTAAAACCTATAGCTCCTGGAGCACAGCTGGAAAACTCCTGTTCAGATGCCAGTCGTCACCCCGGTCTCCCTCAATAACAGTAACTGATATCTACTGAGAGCTTGCTTTGTGATGGGCACTGTGCTACGTGCTTTCCTCATTTTATCCTCTCAATAATATAGCAGGTAGGAACTTTTATTATTTCCATTTTACAAGGGAAGAAACTGAGGTTTGGAGAGGCTAAGTCACTTGCCCAGGTCACACTAGTAAAAAGTTGCAAAACCAGAAATTTGACTTTAGGCCTATAATCTCAAATTACTCATTTCACCACTACCATACCGCCACAGCCACCCCTACGACTGCTTTTGTGACACTTAATGGACAGTCTAAGGGTTTTACAGAAATAATCTCATTGAGCTTCCCAGCACCCTAATGAGGTAGGTACTCATTTTAGCCTTACTTTACGGATGAGGACAGAGGACACTTAGGCATGAGGGTATGAGCTCAAGGACACATGGCTAGTTAGTGGTGGAGACAGGATGAAAACTGGTTCTTCACCGCCTTGCTGTGTTGGGATGAAAGATCTTCAAACCGCACACTCTCCTCCTGCATCAGAAGCCCCCTGTGTGCTGGGGCTTCTGATGCTGGCCCCCTTGACGGATCCTCAGGCCCTGAAACACTGCTCCAGGGTCTAGATCCTGGGGCTCCCGGATGACCCATTCCTTTTCCATTTCAGCATTTCCTACTGTGCTTTAATAGTGAGTGTTTCATACAAACCATGCCCATGGAGCAATATGCACCCAGTCACATGGAGCAATGCTGCACCCAGTCGCATGGAACGATGCTGCACCCAGTCACATGGGGCAATGCTGCACCCAGTCGCATGGAACGATGCTGCACCCAGTCGCATGGAACGATGCTGCACCCAGTCACATGGGGCGATGCTGCACCCAGTCACATAGAACGATGCTGTACCCAGTCGCATGGAACGATGCTGCACCCAGTCGCATGGAACGATGCTGCACCCAGTCGCATGGGGCGATGCTGCACCCAGTCGCATGGAACGATGCTGCACCCAGTCGCATGGAACGATGCTGCACCCAGTCGCATGGGGCGATGCTGCACCCAGTCGCATGGAACGATGCTGCACCCAGTCGCATGGAACGATGCTGCACCCAGTCGCATGGGGCAATGCTGCACCCAGTCGCATGGGGCGATGCTGCACCCAGTCACATGGAGCGATGCTGCACCCAGTCGCTTGGAGGAGACATTCAGGTTCTACTGTGCCTGCTCTCCCGAGGGTTAATGCCATATCATGTAGAACCTCCACAGGCCCTGGCCAAGAACACCTTGCATGAGATGAGGCTGCGATGTGCCAGCACCTGATGGCATCCAGGGTTTGCCTGCTTCTTCCCATGTGGCAAAAAGTTCTCAGTGTAAAAGGGACCTCCCTAAGGCCTAGAGAATAGAACTCAGCTCTCACCCTCCACTGCCTTTCAGTCGTGACTCGAGGTTTCCCTCTTCACCAGCCTCTCCTCCCTGCATGGTGTTTAGAGACTCCTGTTACTCAAATGGGGCCTGTGGGCCTGTGCATGGGCATTACCTGGGAGCCTGTTAGATATTCGGAATTTCAGAGCCCACCCCAGACCTGCTGCATTTGAATCTGCAACTGGAGCAAGTCCCCAGGGGGTTCTGATGTGAACTGCACAATGTGGCCTCAGCCCCCAACAGCTCCAGCCACCCTTCCTCACTTCACTGCCCAGCCCCTTCAGCACAGGGAAAGGGAGACTGGGGGTGGGGAGAGGGAGAGAAGGAATGGTGAGAGCGAAGGGGAGGGAAAAGCCGGTTTAACCCCTGCAGATGCAGCAGGTGGGGAGTAAATCTGTGCACCTGCAGGCCTCATTAACACCCCCTTCCCTGCCTAGCTGGGCCAACTGAGAGTGGGAGTGGGGAGGCTGGGGGAACACATAAAACATTGTGATGGATGATGGCTGGTTCTTGTCTTGCTAATTGCACATGACTGCACTTCAGGTATATAAATGGGCTAAAAAGGCTTCCACAGCTGCCTGGAATACAGCTGCCGTTCATAACACGCCTATGGGAAAATCCATTCCGGGTTCCAGGCAATAAACTGCAACTACACTTTTGACATAAGACCTGCTTGTAGGTGGGGACTTGCTATATGTTAAAACTTTAGGTATGAAGATGGGTATCACAGCCTCGGAAGTTAAGGTTCCCAGCAGGAAGGTAACATTTTCCTCTGGTTACTACAGTGAGTGCATACAATGGGGGAGACCCCAGAAAGAAAACCACACTTATACTGTTCTACTACTTGAAACATCAAACACAAGGGTAACTGGTGGACACATATTTTTTTCCAGTTGCCTAGGTTACAACTCATACCAGGTAATTTTCCTGCCTAACTGCATTTTGAGATGGCATTTGCCGGCATCTTATGGCATTTATAGGAGGTTTTTGTTTTTGAGACAGAGTCTCACTCTCACCCAGGCTGGAGTGCAGTGGCACGATCTCGGCTCACTGCAATCTCCACCTCCCGGGTTCAAGCGATTCTCCTGCTTCGGCCTCCCGAGTAGCTGGGATTATAGGCACCTGCCACCATGCCCGGCTAATTTTTTGTATTTTTGGTAGAGACAGGGTTTGACCATGTTGGCTAGGCTGGTCTCAAACTCCTGACCTCAAGTGATCCACCCGCCTCAGCCTCCCAAAGTGCTGGGATTACAGGCGTGAGCCACTGCACCCAGCTATAGAAGGCTTTTTAAGATGCCTCTATAATCTGTGCCTAGCTATGGATTTGGAAAAGAACAAGCATTTTATAGTTTAAGAAAAAGAAATGAATATTCACATTTAGCCACACTGATGCTGCCCCACCCCTGAAATGAACTCTCTAGGTCAAAGGTATCTTACTGGTAAGGATGTCACTGGACTCTATGGCTGCTGCTGCTTCTGAGACTGTGACATGATTCACAGCAAGGGCAGAATTCAGTACAGATGAGGCAGTGTAAATTCAAATCTCTACTCACGGTGACAAACCAAGAAGAACCCTGAAGGCAGTGTATTTCAGCTCGTCTGACCAAAGCTACCAATGGAAGACTCTACTGCAGATAACATAATTTACTGCATGCTTGTTTACACGCACTATCTTTACAAACAAGAAAACCCAATTCTCCGCCTTTAACTATCTGCTGATGAAAGGCGATGCAGGATTTGTGCGGTTCCTGGAGCTGTATTTGTTAGCTGCAGTGGATCGGAACATGAATCTTCTAGTCATTCTGATTCTTTCACAAAACCAGGATCTAAACCTGGCCAGGCCGGGCGCAGTGGCTCATGCCTGTAATCCCAGCATTTTGGGAGGCCGAGGCGGGCGGATCACTTGAAGTCAGCCTGGCCAACATGGCGAAACTCTGTCTCTTCTACAAATACAAAAAAAAAAAAAAAAAAATTAGCTGGGTGTGGTAATGAGCACCCGTCGTTTTAGCTACTTGGGAGGCCGAGGAAGGAGAATCGTTTGAACTCGGGAGGCAGAGGTTGCAGTGAGCCGAGAGTGCACCAATGCACTCCAGCCTGGGCAACAGAGAGAGAATCTGTCTCAAAAAAGAAACAAACAAACAAAAACTAGCCGAAATATTAAATGCCAGAAAGTGTGAAATGTCTTTCCTCTTGTTTCAACTTTTCTTTCTTTCAGATGGGAGAAAAATGAGTTCAATCAGTAGACTCCCATGACCCCTTCAAGTGACGCAATCATCTCTTCCAAGAAGTGCAGCTACTTATTTGGGATAAGCGACGACAGACGAGAAACCACAAAGAATCTGCAGACGCGAGACTCCCTGACCTGCAGATATACAGCCATCTCCAATAAGTCTACATTTAAACTAAAACTTCTCCTGTTGAGCAAGCATAATGTGGAATTATGTTAGCAAGACCTTATGCATTCCCACAAATTTTCTCCCAATAAAAAAAACTGTTATCAAAGGATTGTCACCCCCCCAGACATACAGCACTGCAGGGAAAAAGGAGCCCAGACAGCCGTTGGGAGTTGACCTCTGGCCGCACGCCTGGGGTCAGTGGAGATCTATGTTGACTTTATCTGTGTGCCCTTTAAGGAGGCCTCTTGCTTAAAATAACTAAGGAGCCACTAAATTACACTTACTTGTAATGCTGCATTAATGGATTCTTCTACAAAGGCTGAAATACCTGGGCTTTTGCCCTTCATGACCCTAATTTTAACTACAATGAAGCTTCTGAATCTCTACCCATTTCGGGTTAACTCCATTTTGGAGAAAGAATGAGTTCTATCAATAGCCTTTATGAGCATTAATTAAAAATCTGTACAGAGAGAATAGTCATATATTTAAAACTAGTCATTAAGAAATAAAAGAATATCCTTGGTATAAGCTGAAAAATTATTAAAGATTCTGTTTCATAAAGTGATAGAATCATAATTTCTAACCATAATTTTCTTAACCAAAATATCGTTGTACTTAGTTTTGTTGTGTTTCTGAAATAATTTATTTTCTGATTTTGCCTGAAATCTACTACCTTTTCCAACAACAACCACAACAACAAAAATCTAATTTTATTTTGGTTCAGAAAAGGAGCAGCATTTTTACACATATCTATTTTGTTCCTACAGTTCATGATCTGAAGCAGAAGACAGTCCTTCTACATATTTCTTTCCTTCTCTGATGGATGGCTGATATACAGCGTGTTGTTTCAAAAATTTAAAAATAACTGAAAAGATTATACCAGTTAACTACATCACAATTTTATTATTTATTTATTTATTTATTTATTTATTTATTTATTTATTTATTTTTGAGATGGCCTCTGGCTCTGTCGCCCAGGCTGGACTGCAGCAGCGTGATCTCAGCTCACTGCAGCCTCCGCCTCGTGGGTTCAAGCAATTCTCCTGTCTCAGCCTCCCAAATAGCTGGGATTACAGGTGCCCGCCGCCATGCCTGGCTAATTTTTGTATTTTTGGTAGAGACAAGGTTTCACCACGGTGGCCAGACTAGTCTTGAACTCCTGACTCAAATGATTCGTCTGCCTCGGCCTCCCAAAGTGCTGGGATTATAGGGGTGAGCAATTGCGCCTGGCTGACGATACAATTTAAATAAAAAGATTTTCTTTTCAATGAAGTAACTAAAAAAATTCAAGTCTTTATTTATTAAGCAGGAGTATTTTCTGAATTGTTAACACGGTGCCTGGCAATATTAGACCCTCAGAAAGTATTTTTGGTCAGGCATGGTGGTTCACGCCTGTAATCCTGACACTTTGAGAGGCTCAGGTAGGAGGATGGATTGAGCCCAGGAGTTCAAGACCAGCCTGGGCAATATGGCAAAGCCCCATCTCTACAAAAAACAAACAAAAATTAGCCAGGTGTGGTGGTGCACAATTGTGGTCCCAGTTACTTAGGGGGCTGAGGTGGGAGGATCTCTTGAGCCCAGGAGGTCGAGGCTACAGTAAGCCATGTGCACCACTGTACTCCAGCCTGAGCAACAGAGCCAGACCCTGTCTCAAAAAAATAATTAATATTTAAAAAAACAGATGAGTAAAGATGGAGGACAATTACAAAATGGGAAACAAACAACAAAAATTGCTCAGAAATTAGGCCTTTTCTTTCTGTCTCTTCCCTTTTCTTTGGATGTGAGGGACGGAATTGTTTATATCAAATGGCCATGTTGATAATTATACAAATGTAACTCTAAGATGATGCACGAGGATAAATGGCCCAGTATCAATGTCAAGTGACCGAGGGGAAAGGAGAGAGAGAGAGAGATGAGGGGAGAGAGAGACACACACTATATAATGAAAATAGATTGTGCTGCTACAGTTGCAATTTCTATTTGCTTGACTTAGTAGAGATGGACTCTCCTGGGATTTCTTTGGGGTAGCTGGGAACCTGCACCGCTGTAACTACATTCCTGGTCGGCAGGGATGCTCTGGGGTTGATGGTGTGTGCTCTTAGAGTATACTTCTCTCTCATGGTGGCTGATCAACCCTACAGCGTGGACTCTCTTGAGTGCCTGTTACTGTACCAAAGGACCGAAACGGTGAAGTTCATTCGACTCAGCAACCTTTGCTAAGAGCTTACTACAAGGACACCCAGGTGACCAGGACCCAGTCCCTGCTAAGAGCTTACTACCAGGACACCCAGGTGACCAGGACCCAGTCCCTGCTAAGAGCTTACTACAAGGACACCAGGTGACCAAGACCTGGTCCCTGCTTGTAGAGGGGCAGACTACACAAAGCAGACCCTTGGGACATTCAGGTCAAAGTCATTGTTTTTTTTTTTGAGACAGAGTCTCGCTCTGTCGCCCAGGCTGAAGTGTAGTAGCACAATCTCTGCTCACTGCAACCTCTGCCTCCTGGCCTCAAGTGATTCTCCTGCTTCAGCCTCCCGAGTAGCTGGGATTACAGGCACCCACCACCATGGCCAGGTAATTTTTGAATTTTTAGTAGAGATGGGGTTTTGCCATGTTGGCCAGGCTGGTCTCAAACTCCTGACCTCAGGTGATCCACCCGCCTCGGCTTCCCAAAGTGCTGGGATTACAGGCGTGAGACAACGCGCCCGGCCAAAAAATGTTTTGCTTTCTTTACTTTTCACTTCAAAAGAACGAACAGAATAAATTCCTAACTTATGACTTTCTAAGACGTAAGTCATGTTCAATTACTATAAAAATTACCACACTGTGTTTGCATATTGTGACAGTACTACAGAGCTCAAGCTATGCCAATTATTTCAGTGGCCTTGAATGACTGAACAAGTACAATTATTTCTCTTCTTTTGTAAAGAAGACTATAAAGTTTTTTAATGGTAGAAAGCCTGTTCCTGATTAAATTTCTATTCGTTTTTAAAAATTTACTTAAAATATTTTCAACATAGAAGAAAAAAGTCCTCCACTTCTAATACTGCTTCCAGAGGTAACCTCTGCAAATAATTTTTATGTAATTATTAAATTACATAAATAAAAATTACTCACAGGTAATTTTTGATTCCTATATAAACAATGTGCTTATCTAATGTGTGTGTGTGTGTATATACATATATAAATATATACATATATATATATATATATATTTTTTTTTTTTTTTCTTTGAGATGGAGTCTCACTCTGTCACCCAGGCTGGAGTGCAGTGGCGCGATCTCGGCTCACTGCAAGCTCCACCTCCCGGGTTCAAGCGATTCTCCTGCCTCAGCCTCCCGAGTAGCTGGGACTACAGGCACCCGCCACCACGCCTGGCTAATTTTTTGTATTTTTAGTAGAGACGGGGTTTCACCGTGTGTTAGCCAGGATGGTCTCGATCTCCTGACCTCGTGATCTGCCCGCCTCGGCCTCCCAAAGTGCTGGGATTACAGGCATGAGCCACCACGCCCGGCCCGTCTAATATATATTTCTATAGTTATATACAGAAATTGAATAGTTCTACATGCACAGTTCTGGAGTTTGACTTTTAGAAAGATTAATATTTAAAATCAGTAATTAGGCCAGGCACAGTGGCCCACACTCGCAATCCCCACACTTTGGGAAGCCGAGGTGGGAGGATCGCTTGGGGCCAGGAGTTCAAGACCACCCTGGGCAACATAGAAAGACCCTGCCTGTACTTAGAAAGCTTCCCCCAGCCCCGACCCCAGGTATTACATTACTTCCATTTCATTCTTCATGTTTTCAGACAACGTCCTGCTCCGGTGCCCGGAAGACACGCGTGCCAGGCTTGGCTGAGTCCTGCAGCCCCAGCCATTTCTCTCCACGGTCATTCTCAGGCTTGCTGACCCATGTGAGCAGTTCCGGGCCAAATATCCACATCTCGTGTGATCCAGTGTAAGACAGAATGTCTTCTTTGGTAGCACCTTTTTCTTTTGTCTTGATTCTTTTATTTATCTATTTTCAAAGTAATAAATTGGTGCCCTGGCAACTCCAACAGTGACACTTCTGAGGGAGGCATTTAACATGTAGAAAATGTAGCTATAGATGTAGCCAGGCTCAAGGAAGGTTTCTGAGGAAGTGAATTTCTTGTATTTCGGGACCTCATTTATAACTTGTGTTTGTTAAGTTCTGACCATACTCCAGGCGCCATGCTAAGCACGTTGTATGCACCATATCTCATTTAATCCCAAGAACCCTGTGAGGTCAGGGTTATTGTTATTTACATTATCCCCATTTTGCTGATTAGAAAAATGAGAGATTTCCAAAATGATACAAATACAGTAACTACTCGAGCTTTTTTCTTAAAAATAACAGGCTTGCTACTCTTTCATGGCCAGCTAGAATACACAGATTTTTTGTACCTATCTGAAAAGTGTAAATGGTCACCATTATGCAATGAAGTAACCAATTTAGTCAAAGTAACATATTTAGTCAAAAATTAAAAAAAAATCAATCATAGTTATGTCAGAAATGTGCTTTGGTAACTCTCTAGTGGGTTGGCAAAATCCAATACAGACAATTGTGAAACAATGCCACTATTGATCAAGTAGCTGGTTTCTCTGTCACTTATATGCTTCATTTTTATTCATTACCAGAAAGATAAAAGAAAGGCCATGACTACAAGGGTATAAACTTATTTGTGGCCGGGCGCTGTGGCTCACGCCTGTAATCCCAGCACTTTGAGAGGCCGAGGTGGGCAGATCACGAGGTCAAGAAATCGAGACCATCCTGGCCAACATGGTGAAACTCCATCTCTACTAAAAATACACAAATTAGCTGGGCATGGTGGCAGGTGCCTGTAATCTCAGCTACTCGGGAGGTTGAGGCAGGAGAATCGCTTGAACCTGGGAGGCAGAGGTTGCAGTGAGCCGAGATGGCACCACTGCACTCCAGCCTGGGTGACAAGAGTGAGACTTCGTCTCAAAAAGAAAAAAAAAAAAATTGCATTTCATTCTTCGTATTTGGAGAACGATGGAGATTCTTCCCTGCCTTTCCTTATTTCACTGTAATGATCACACCTGAGCCTTTCAACAACACTATGAGACAAGTGAGTCGGGAGAGACTTGCCCATTCCCATCTACAGGTGCAGAAACAGCCTCCAGGCAGTCATGTGAGTTTCCCTGAGCCCATTAGGAAGGAGAACTGCAAGTGCAAAGGTTCTACTGGGGACCCAAAGTCTGAGGGGTAATGGGAACCAGATCAAGACTTTCAGGTGTGGGGCAAAGCATTATCGGGAGACAGGGGACTCTACCCTATACGAATTGCATCTTGCTGGGTGAGTTACTTCGCTCAGCCTTCACTTCTTTTGTTTTGTTTTTTTTGATTGTGATTGTCAAAGGTCAGCCCTCGTTCTTTATCTATAACTACAGCATGAGTATAACAATATATTATGGAGTCATTTCAAAATTCAAATGAGATGAAGGACCCTAGTTTAGAGTTTAATACACAGTACCCATTGTTGTTATTTTATTATAGAATTGATAATTGCCTGGATTAAAGGAGAGTTGTAAATTATTTAAGATAGAAATAGGAAAAGATAGCTTAAACCAAAAAAAAAATCTTCTATATCTAATTATGTATTTATTTTATGGGAAAAAAGGTTTCATTAGTATTATGAGATTGTTCCCTAATTTTTCTGGGTCTACAATTTTACAAGTCACGCTTTCTGTAGTTCTTATTTATGGCAATCAAATGTTAAGCTAAACCAATAGCCAAGACCTAAAGTATTTAAATGAACAGGGGTAGCTTGATTGAGGTCAGATAAGGCTGTAAGAGAGAAAGTTTCAGAAGCGTGACTATAAACTCAAAACAGGTGTGATTCTAAATGGCCCTTCAGTCCTTAGGAGATGAAAGACTACCAACTCTTGTGCAGCCCAAGAAGATGCTGGGAAGAGCTGAAGCACAAATTCCATTCCTCATGTGTCATATTCCCACCTAGAGTTTTTGCGACATACTCATTCATCAGCCGTTTGACCGACAGGTAGCACACCATGAAAATCTCCACTACGTGTGGAAAACAAATCAATTTAATAATATATTTTATTGTTTGGAAACTCAAAATTAAGTAATTAAATTCTGGTTTCTGAGAAGCTCATCCCTTGAAAATCAACTGTGATGTTGTGGGCTGGGTTTTATGTCAAGGTCCTACTGGCAAGGAAATCATCATTCGGTAGTCCCTTTAAGGAGAAGCTGGAGGAGATGGGAAGAGGAGGAAGCAGGAAGGAAGGGGTGGGGAGGATGGACAGTGCTTTCACTCAGCCGATCTGGTCTTTCTCTTCAAGCAGCTTGTTATCAAAGGCGCAGCTGCCTAGACCTTGCTTGCTGTGCCATGTCATTTAGCATTTCCCTTTTGCTTTCACCTCTCTCCCTCACAACTAGACCCTTGCCCCTCCGACCCTGGGAAAGCTCCTGCCCAGAGATAATAAGCTGTGTAGTAGAAAAACATAAGACAGGGAAATCATTATTATTTTTGAGACAGTCTCTGTCACCCAGGCTGGGGTGCAGTGGCAAGATCTCAGCTCACTGCAACCTCTGCCTCCCAGGTTCAAGTAATTCTCCTGCCTCAGCCTCCCAAGTAGCTGGGATTACTGGCGTGTGCCACCATGCCTGGCTATTTTTTTTTTTTTTTTTTTTTTTTTGCATTTTTAGTAGAGGCAGCGTTTCACCATGTTGGCCAGCCTGGTCTGGAACTCCTGACCTCAGGTGATCTGCGCACCGCAGCCTCCCAAAGTGCTGGAATTACAGGTGTGAGCCACTGCGCCCAGCCCAAGTCAGGAAAATTACATCCATCATTTAAACTTCCCCTTTATGGTTTTCTTGGGACAGTGGCAAAGGAAGAGTTTGGAGAAGGGGGAGTCACCTCATCAGTGCTCATCACTACCCTGAAACTCGGCTGGCCAAGACTGGCTGAAGTAGGAAAGAATTCAGGACTACCCTGTGACGTAATTAAACTATTTTAAATACCAGAGGCCTATATTGTTCTGTAATGTTTCTTAGGTGATCCACTCCAGATACCAGCTGAATGCTCAGGACTTCAGACTGGGTCTAGAAGTGGCTTACTGTATATAATGGACTGAACTGCATCCCCTCAAAACCCCTATATTGACATCCTAATCCCCCAATACGACTACATTTGGAGACAGGAAGTCGAGGCTGTAGGGAGCCATGATCGTGCCACTGCACTCCATCCTGGGTGACAGAGCAAGACCCCATCTCAAAACAAACACAAAAAACAACCCAAAAAGGTCATAAGCATGGGGCCCTAATCCAATAGGACTGAGTGTCCTTAAAAGAAGAGGAAGAGGTCACAGGGATGTTTGTGTACAGAGAAGACGACATACAGGGAAGACAGCTGTCTGCAAGCCAAGAAGAGAGGCCTCAGCAGAAACCAGCCCTGCCAGCACCCTGATCTTGGACTTCCCGCCTCCAGAACTGTGAGAAAATAAAATAAACTTCTGTTGTTGAAGCCACCCAGTCTATGGTCTTTTGTTACGGCAGCCCTAGCAGACTAATACACTTACTTATGTGGACATTTCCTTTCTTCTATGTATGTTTTCCTCCTGCTTTAGCACCTTCAATTCCTGGACCGAAAGACTCCTAACTATGCTACTTGCAAAGGCTTCTATACACAGAACACTCTTTTTCTAACTGCAAGGGCAGAGGCAGACAACAATGAAAGGACCAGGTGGGCACAGCTGTCCCTCCTCCTCTGCCCTCTCCTGGGTTTCTCCTCCATCCTCTCACTGGCTGCCCTGATACCCGCAACACTGCTGGGACTCCGCAGCTGCCCTTCTTCCTCTGGATTATGCCACAAGTATAAGTGGGAGAAAAAAACGTGGACCAAAAGTCCTCAAATCGTTCACAAATCACTTCTCTTTCGGTTTCTCATAAGCACATACACAGTATATTAAAAATACAGAGAAACACTATGAGACCAATAGGATTATTTTTTTCTTTTTTGGGCCAGAGTCTCACTCCGTCATCCAGGCTGGAGTGCAATGGCGCAATCTCGGCTCACTGAAATCTCCACCTCCCAGGTTCAAGCAATTCTCCTGCCTCAGCCTCCCGAGTGGCTGGGATTTATGGATGTGCACTACCACGCCCAGCTATTTTTTTTGTATTTTAAGTAGAGACGGGGTTTCACCACGTTGGCCAGGCTGGTCTTGAACTCCTGACCTTAGGTGAACCGCCTACCTCGGCTCTCCAAAGTCCTGGGATTACAGGTGTGAGCCACCACGCCTGGCCTAATTTCTTTTTTTTTAATTTAATTTTTACCAAAGTAAATCACGTGCTGGCTTAAGAGATCACACTGCTCTTTAGGGCTTACTATGCAACATGACTGTTCCCATGGCCAGGCGAAGTGGCTCACACCTGTAATCCCAGCACTTTGGGAGGCCGAGGTGGGCAGATCACATGAGGTCGGGAGTTTGAGACCAGCGTGACCAACATGGTGAAACTCCGTCTCTACTAAAAATACAAAATTAGCTGGGCGTGGTGGTGCATGCCTGTAATCCTAGCTACTTGAGAGGCTGAAGCAGGAGAATTGCTTGAATCCGGGGGGCGGAGGTTGCGGTGAGCCGAGATCACGCCATCGCACTCCAGCTGTGAGCCGAGATCATGCCATCGCACTCCAGCCTGGGCAACAAGAGTGAAACTCCATCTCAAAACAAAACAAACAAACAAACAAAAAACAAACAGAAAAACCTGTTCCCTGCCCCCCACTGCCCTGCCCCCAGTGGCATTCCCACTCCTGAAAGGCAGCCACTGTCAACACTCAGTGGTGTCTTTTTGCCTTTCGCTGCTGTCCTGGTCTTGCCGTTCAGATGTTACCCACTGGATTTCTAATATCAACAATGGGGACTTAGCTCCTTCATATCCTACTACCCCTACTCCCCACCCCCTCCAGCTCCCAAATATCGAGCTGTCATGACTTTTGGTTAGATCAGGATTTATCAGAGCTATGTAACCGTTCACAGCAAGGCCATCTGATTTATTGATTACACTCCTGTTCTTCTGCAGCTTGTTTCTGCTGGAGTCTTGTATCTTTGTTGCTCATCTTGCTAGGGCGCTGTCAATCACATACCACCACACTGGCTGAACTGTAAGTCAGCTTTCAGTACGTTCACGTATAGGCTCAGTCTTTCATGGAGCCATCCTCCTGGCACCCTTCATCCTGCAGGCCTACTGAACAAAACACTTAGTGGGCTCTTTCTTGACCATAATCCTGGGGATTCCCTGCACCTCTGCAGTGTGGTAGTTTCCATTCCTGGAGCCACACTGTGGCGGCGACTCCCAGTGAGTCCCTCCCTGAGTGCAGGTGAGGCCTGTGACTTGCTTCTCACCAGCAGAATATGGCACGAGTGACAGTGAAGGGAGGTCACTTCATCTAACAGATTCCAGAGAAAACCCATCCCCCCTGCTGGCTTTCAAGAAATAAGCTGCCATGCTGTGAATGGACGAAGGAGAAGGTCTCATGGCAAAAACCCACATGGCCTCTGGGACCTGGGTGTGGCCTCCAGCTGACAGCCAGCAAAAAGCTGGGCCCTCAGTCCCACAACTTCAAGGAATGGAATTCTGCCAAATGAGCTTTGATGAGGAACCCAGGCCTCAGATGAGACAATTTTCGCAGTCTGAAGCAGAGAACCCAGCTAAGCTGACCCAGAGAAATGGAAGATAATACATGTGAGCTGTTTTAAGCCACTAAATGTGTGCTCATTTGTTATGCAGCAGAAAAAAGAGAAAATTAATATTCTTCTGTGGTTTACTTGCTCATTTACTTGCAATTCTCCTACCTCATCCTCCTGAGTGAGTAGCTAGGACTACAGGCCACCACACCTGGCTAATTTTCTTCTTTTATTTCTTTGTAGACATGGGGTCTCTGTACATTGCCCAGGCTGGGCTCAAGCAATCCTCCTTCCTCTGCTTGCTCATTTGAGTGAAATACTCCTCTAGTGGCTTCTTGAGAAAAAGGGCGCTAGGGGTAGATTTTTCTAAAATGTCTGGCTTCGTCATTATTCTTATCACACTTCATGATGGTTTAGCTGGGTATATTATTTTCCTTGATTTTTTTTTTTTTTTTTTTTTTGAGACAGAGTCTTGCTCTGTCGCCCAGGCTGGAGTGCAGTGGCGCGATCTTGGCTCACTGCAAGCTCCACCTCCTGGGTTCATGCCATTCTCCTGCCTCAGCCTCTCCGGAGTAGCTGGGGCTACAGGCGCCTGCCACCACGCCCGGCTAATTTTTTGTATTTTTAGTAGAGACAGGGTTTCACCGTGGTCTGGATCTCCTGACCTCGTGCTCCGCCCGCCTCGGCCTTCCAAAGTGCTGGGATTACAAGCGTGAGCCACCGCGCCTGGCCATTTTCCTTGAATTTTGAAGATATTGCTCTATTGTAATCTAGCCTCCAGTATTATGGTTTTGTTTTTGTTTTTTGATAACTTTTATTTATTTTTTTCTTTTAAGACACAGTTTCACTCTGCCGCCCAGGCTAGAGTATAGTGGCACGATCTTGGCTCACTGCAACCTCTACCTCCCAAGTTCAAGCAATTCTCATGCCTCAGCTTCCCGAGTAGCTAGGATTACAGATGCGTGCCACCAGCCCAAGGAAAAAACCATCCCCCTTGCTGGCTTTTAAGAAATAAGCTAATTTTTGTACTATTAATAGAGATGGGGTTTCATCAGGTTGACCAGGCTGGTCTTGAATTCCTGACCTCAGGTGATTCACCTGCCTTGGCCTCCCAAAGTGCTGGGATTACAGGCGTGAGCCACTGCACCCAGCCCAGTATTACCGTTGAAAAGTCTGATGCCATTCGGGTTCCAGATTATTTGCATGTTTTGTTTTTTCCCCCTCTGAAAGCTTTTAGTATCCTCTTTTTGACTCTACTGTTCTTTTTACTATTATGATGAAGTGTGTTGGTGTGAGTCTATACATTTATTTTGCTGACCCTTTTGATTTGGGAGTCCTTCAGTTCTAGGAGAGAAAATTTTGGGTGGAAGGCTGAGGATTATTTCTCTGATAATTTCTTCCCTTCTGGTTTCTTCTGTCTTATTGGAATTCCCATTAGTTAGATGTTAGGTCTCCT
Organism: Homo sapiens; assembly: GCF_000001405.40. Lineage (NCBI taxonomy): Eukaryota > Metazoa > Chordata > Mammalia > Primates > Hominidae > Homo > Homo sapiens. The sequence goes on along the minus strand of NC_000006.12, from coordinate 151,077,057 downwards.
GGACTGACCCCTCTAACCTTTGAAACTTTTTCCTCATTTTTCTACTTTTCACAACTTTATTTTGGATAAAATTGTATTATTTAAAACTTTTATTGAGGCAAATTACATACAATAAACTGCACATGTCAAAGTGTAAAGCTTACTGTATATTATTACAAAAAAGCTGCTACGAACATTCATGCACGGATCTTTACATGGACATATACTGCATTTCTCTTGGGTAAATATTTAGAAAGAGAATGTCTTGACTATATGGCAGGTGCACTTTAACTTTTTAAGAAACGACCCCAAATTGATTTCCAAGGGGGTGGTACTGTTATATATTCCTACCAGCAGTGTATGAGGGTTCCAGTTGTTCCACATCCTTGCCAACATTTGGTATGGTCAGTCTTTTTTTTTTTTTTTTTTAGACAGAGTATCACTCTGTCACCCAGGCTGGAGTGCAGTGGTACAATCTTGGCTCACTGCAACCTCTGTTTCCTGGGTTCAAGCAATTCTCGGGCCTCAGCCTCCCGAGTAGCTGGGATTACAGGCGTGTGCCACCATGCCCAATTAATTTTTTGTATTTTTAGTAGAGTTGGGGTTTCCCCATGTTGCCCAGGCTGGTCTTGAACTCCTGACCTCAAGTGATCCACCTGCCTCAGCCTCCCAAAGTGATGCAATTACAGCTGTGAGCCACCGTGCCCAGCCCAATCTTTTTTTTCTTTGGGACAGGGTCTTGCTCTGTCTTGCAGGCTGGAGTGCAGTGGTGCAATCACAGCTTACTACAGCCTCAACCTGGGCTCAAGCAATCCTCCCACCTCATCCTCCCAAGTGAGCAGCTAGGCCACCACAACTGGCTAATTTTCTTTTTCTTTTATTGTAGACACAGAGTCTCCTCCCTATGTTGTCCAGGCTGGGCTCAAGCCATCCTCCTGCCTCTGCCTGTCAAAGTGTTGGGATTACAGGCATGAGCTACTGTGCTTAGCTGGTCAATCTTTTTAATTGTAGACATTCTAATAGCTATGCAGCGGTATTCACTGTGGTTTAAATTTCCATTTCCCTAATGCCTGTGATGGTAAGCATATTTTCATGTATTTTCTTGGGTGAAATATGTGTTCAAATCTTTCAGTCATCTTTTAAAAGCGTTATTTTCTCATTGAGTTTTGAGTTTTAGTATTCCATATACAAATCCTTATATCAAATAGATAACTTGCAAATATTTTCTCCCACTCTGTAGCTTATTTCCAAATATTTGGAGTGTTTCCAGATGTCTTTCAGTGTTGATTTCTAATTTAATCCCACTGTGGTTAGAGAACATATTTTGTATGATTTGAGCCCTTACAAATTTATTAAGACATTTTGTGACTCAGAATATGGTCTATTTTGGCAAATGTTCTGTGTACGTTTGAAAAGAATGCGTAATCTGCTGTTGTTGGGTGGAGTCAAGCTGAATTGTAGCATTGTTTAAGTCTTCTAAATCCTTATTGATTTTTACTCTACTTGTTCTGAGAGGGGTTTAAAAAATTCTGACTATATTTGTGGATTTTCTATTTTTCCCTATAATTTTATCTTTTTTTTTCTTCATTTATGTTGATGCTCTGTTATTATATGCTTAAACACTTAGAACTGCTATGTCCTGTTCGTGAAACGGCCCCTTTGTCATAATGAAACAAGCCTCTTTTATATCCTTGGTACTACTCTTTGCTCTAGTTCTACTTTGATATTGATATACCAATTCAATTTTCTTTTGATTAGTATTAGCGCTTTTCCATCCTTTTACCTTTAACCTACTTATGTCTTTAGATTTAAAAAGGGTTTCTTGTTGACAGTAATAGTCGGCTCTTGCATTTTTAGCCAATCTGACATTCTTTGCATTTTAATTAGTGTATTTAGGACATTTATATCTAGTGTGATTATCGATATAGTTGAGTTTAAATCTACTATTTTGCTATTCTTTTTCTTATTGTCCTATCTGTTCTTTGTTCCTTTTTCCCTTTTCTGCTTCCTCTGGATTATTTTTAATGATTTCATTTTATCTACTTTGTAGATAACTATATATTAACTTTGTTAACTATAACAAGGTTACAACTCTTTAACTATAACGTTGTTGAATTACTGAAATGGTTACCTTGCATTTACAGCACAGTCCTGTGTTGCTTAAAGACGGGTACATTCTGAGAAACACATCACTGGGTGATTTTGTCACTGTGTGAACATCATACAGTGTACTTGCAAACCTAGATGGTATAGCCTCCTACACACCTTGGCTGTATGGTACAGCCTACTGCACCAGGGCTACAAGCCTGCATAGCATGTTATTGTTCTGAATACAGTAGGTGGCTGTAACAGAATGGTAAGTATTTATACATGCAAACATACAATAGAAAGGGTACAGTAAAAAATACAGTATTATAATCTGATGGAACTGCTGTTGTATACACGGTTTGTTTTTGACCAAAACGTTATTATACAGCACATGACTACATACACATTTCACTTTGCACAGTCTACCTTCACATATAATTATACTACCACACCACATATAGTTATACTACTTCACATATAGCCTAAGAATTTTACAAAAGCATGCTTCTATTTCTCTCCTCTTAGACTTTGTGTTATTGTTGCCATATATTTAGCTTCTAAATGTTTTTAACGCTATACTACATTTTTATTATTTTTGCTTTATGCAGTAATTACTGTATACAGTAATAGCTTTTAAGATAAACAGTAAGAACAAGTCTTTCTATCCATGCGGTTACTATTTTTGGTGTTCTTCATTCCTTTGGGTAGATTCAGGTTTCCAACTGGTATCATTTTCTTTCTGCCAGCAGGAATTTCTGTAACACTTTTTGTACTTCAGGTTAGCTAGTGATGAATTTTTTCAGCTTTTACGTGTCTAAAATAGTCTTTATTTCAGCTTTGTTTTGGAAAGATATTTTAACCAGGTAAAAAACTCTAGGCTGTGAATTTTCTTTCACTGCTTTAAAAATATTGACCTACCACCTTCTAGTTTGTGTTGTTTCCAACAAGAAATCATCAGCCAATTTATCTTTGTTCCTCTCTACATAATGTGTCATTTATCCTCTCTTTTTAAAATGTTCTCATTTTTTTGAATGTATGAGTTTATAGTTTCTATCAAATTTGAAAACGTTTTGCCCATTATTTCTTCAAATATTTTTCAGTTCCTTTTTTCCACTCCTGTGGGACTCTAGTTTTACATATTTTTGGCTACTTAAAATGATCCCAAAGCTCAATGTTGCTCTCTTGCTTCTTTTCAGCCTTTTTCTGTTTCATTTCAGATAGTTTCTACTGCATGTCTTTAAGTTAACTAGGCTTTTCTTTTGCAATGTCTAATCTGCTATTAATTAAGAGTTTTTTTTTTTTATCATTTCAGGCACTGCAGTTTTCATCTCTTCAGTTTGATTTATATCTTTGTTATATCTTCTTTGTCTCTATTTAACATGTTAAATCCTTCTTCTAGTTTCTTAAACATGCAAACTACAGTCACAACAACTACTTTAATGTCCGTGTCTATGAATTCTATCATCTGTATAATGGGTTAGTTTTGATTGACTTTTCTCATTTTAGGTGGTATTTTCCTAGATCTTTGCATGCCTGCTAATTTTGGATTGGATGTCTGGCAAGACCCTTCTTAGTATTCTAACCAGTGCCCCTGCATTCAGAGGTTTTCACTCTAGCTGTTGGCAACAGGCACCTCTTCTTGGCTACTGTGTGGGAGGCAGGCACTGTTCCCTCATTCTTTCGGGTGATCCTTTCTCTGGTGATGGGTAGTTTTCTCACAACCACACTTTGATCAGTACGCACTTGCATGCTCAAGGAGGACTCTGTACATCCGCAAAGCTCTCTCTATGCAGTTCTCTCCTCTCCGGTCCTCCACCTCTGCAAACTAGCTGCCTTGGTTTCCCTTGATGTATCCCCAGCTCTGTCTTCAACTCAGGGAGACAGTTGAGCTCTTTCTCCTGGGTTCCTTCTCTCTACACAGTAGCCAGGAAACTTTTTCTAGATAAGGACAATTATAGGACTCACTTTGTTTCCAATTTCTCAGGGGCCACTGTTTTTTGCTGCCTGGTGTCCAATGCCCTGAGTGATGTATTTTTCATATACTTTGTCCAGTTTTTTACTTGTTTCAAGTGGGAGGGTAAAGTAAGACCCTGTTACTCTACCTTCTCTAGAATGCAGTGTGCTTTTAACATAACATTATGTATCAATGGGTGAGATAATATTGTGTACTCTTTTTATTTTTTGAGACAGAGTATCACTCTGTCATCCAGGCTGGAGTGCAGAGGAGGCACAATCTCCGCTCACTGCAACCTCTGTTCACTGCAACCTCTGTCCCCTGGGTTCAAGTGATCCTCCTGCCTCAGCCTCCCAAGTTGCTGGGATTACAGATGTGCGCCACCATGCCTGGCTAATTTTTGTATTTTTGGTAGAGACGGGGTTTCAACATGTTGCTCATGCTGATGTCGAACTCCTGGGCTCAAGTGATCTGCCGCCTCAGCCTCCCAAAGTACTGGGATTCCAGGTGTGAGCCACCACACCTGGCCATATTGTGTACTTTTAACATAACATTATGTATCAATGGGTGAGATAATATTGTCTTATAAATATAAGTGTGAATTTTATAGACTATGAAGATTTTTTAGGTTATTATTCAACTGCATCTAATTAAAGTGTAACATTATGAGAAGCATTATATGATTACATATAATGACAGAATTCGATTTTCAGCTAAGTAGTTCAAGAATAAAATTAATAAAAAGTCCAATGACACAGTAAAATGAGCTTAAAATGAAATTGCTTTCTAAACCTAGAGCCAAAATTTCATTCATTTACTAATGTGTAAAATAAATACAGGAAAAATAATTTTTTTTTGGTATAAAAAGGTTTGCAGTCTTTAAAAGGGGCCATAAAAAATTCTGTACTAGCCGGGCGTGGTGGCTCACGCCTGTACTCTCAGCACTTTGGGAGGCTGAGGTGAGTCAGGAGTTCGAGACTAGCCTGGCCAACATGGGGAAACCCCATCTCTACTAAAAATACAAAAATTAACCAAATGTGGTGGTGGGTGCCTGGAATCCCAGCTACTCAGGAGGCCGAGGCAGGAGAACTGCTTGAACCCAGGAGGCAGAGGTTGCAGTGAGCCAAGATCGCGCCATTGCACTCCAGTCTGGATGATCGGAGTGAGACTCCAACTCAAAAAAAAAAAAAAAAAAAAAATCTGTACTTACAATGTTGCTTAATATTTAGAATGTTTTAAAAGAAAGTTATCTGTAGAAAAGAAGAGGAAATAAGGCAACACACATTTTCTGTTTAGGTTTATAAATTGAGCAACAACAATAATAATAAAAAAAGAGGATTCTTTAGTTACTGCTCCGTTATCTGCCTTTTCCAAACAAAACAAGTCCGTTTTCTCTGAACTTGTAATTTTTGGGCAAGTCAGCTCCTTATTTCCTTGCTTTGCTACTGACACGAGTGGCCAGAACCATGCGAAGTTCAACGTGCTTCCCTGGGCTGCCCTCTCGGTGACCTTGGTGAATGAAAGCTTCCTATGATGGCACATTCTCAAATAAGTATGTGGTTCAGGCATCTGACAAGCGTCTGAGCAATTCTCTTGCATGTTGAAGTAGAGCAGTACGATCAGCCCATTAGTGATTTTTCTCACAGAAATCAAGCCAATAAAGCCTCATTTTAAAAGTACATAAAACACAAATTATCAATGTAGATGCACTGTATCACAGAAAACAGTTCTGCAGCACCCCTTATCTCCCGGCTTATTAGGGTGGTATCCAATTTTGACCAAAATTTCACTTTCACTTCTTCTCCCTCTTTCTATCTCCATCACCCAACACAACCATTGTATCAATTGCGATGTAATTTTCTATAAACCTAAAGTAAGTCTGGAGCTTACACAAAAGTTTAACCTCAAGCACATACACACCTACTAGACTTGGTAGGATTATAAACAACATTTATTTCATTTGTGGCTGTATTTTAGAGTTGACGCAAAGTGATCTGGAACTGGGCTTAGAATTTTCTAAATAAACGGACTGGCTGGCAGCTTCCAAACCAGTTGCTTCTCCTCCCTGTAGGCAGAGGGGATTTCCACAGGGAAAGAAAGAGGGTTGGCTATCTGCTTTAGGGAATGGCATGCCTGGCCCTTTTTATCTCATTCCCACCAGTACTTGGGGATACTGGGAAAATAGTTCCCAATGAGGAAAAGGTTAGGGATTCCTGAGATGGTTTGGTATGTTTATTTTATTACCCAAACATTACACAAAACTCTTTTCTTCTAGATCAGGGGTTGGCAAACTAAGACCCACACAGCAAATCTGGCCAGCTGCTTATTTTTATGAAGTTTTAGTGGAACACAGCCACAGGGTCATTCATTTATATATTGAGTACGGCTGGTTTTGTGCTATAACGGCAGAGTTGAGTAGTTAGGACAGAGACCATGTGGTCTGCAAGTCCTGATATATCTACTATCTAGTCCATTAAGGAAATGTTTGTTGACCTCTGTTCTCAAAGACAATGTCACAAAAGGGTTTACTAAAAACCAAAAGACTTGAAGAACTTGAGAAGAATGTGGGTATTTTACAACTTTCCCTAAAGACAACAAAAACTAAACAGTAAAGTGCAGATGGCAACTGAAAGAGAGAAGCTGGTTGGTGATGGTGTCCGAATCTAGATTAGAGGTTCAACAATATACACATTTTCCAAAAGTGAAAGGTCAGATATCAACCTGGTGTGGTTTCAGCATTTTTGGGGACTTCTAAGGGAGAGTAACTCTCAGGTTGAAAGACATTTAAACATAAATTATAGTACTTTATAGTATTTTAACTTAGAATCTACTTTGTGGATTATCATTTGCCAAACATAATTTATAAAACCTAATCTGCAGATCCTAAATACAAGCTATATGTGGAATCTAATTCTCCATGATCAGAAAAACACCCGAGTTCTTGGAGACGTGATGTATCTTGCACCAAAGGGCATGCATAACTGTGTGGTCCACTTGGGCCAGAGGTGGTATGTGTCAATTGAAACTTAAAAAAAAGACACCTTGCCGATGAAGAGTCAACACAGGTCCTCTGCGTCAACATAAAAGCAGCATGTACTCATCGACATCTAAGAGGTAGTGTTTTACTGTGTGCTGAAATAGAAAAACATAGCTTCTATGGCATGTTCGGTGTCTCACTGGGACTCGTTGAGGGATCTATAATCCGAGAACTCTGAAATGGTGGCTGGGGTGATCGAGCACTTGGACCTGGCCCTCTGTCACATGGAGTTGTCTGGCAAGTAGCCCCAAAGGCACCGCTGAGCTCTGAGATGAGGGTCACCAGAGAGATCCCACCAGGGAAGTGATCCCTGGACAGGCTGGTAAACAGAACCAAGGACACCTGATGCTAACTACAGAAACACCGAGGCAAGCTGGAAGAAGGAGCGTTGCCACTGCAACATGGTTTAGCTAATAATGCAATGGGAGCACTTTCTTCTGATGAAAGTCAAAGTTGTATATCTAGCAGGGAGGACTGCAATAAGAAAATAACACAGTCAGAAATTTGGTCAAGGGTAAGGAGGGGTGAAGAGAAAAAGCACAGAGAATCCACTGTATGGATTCTGTATTTAGTTTTTGCCATGATCAGCCAGCATCCAGAGGCCCTCTGGCCCACTGAGCTATCAAGGGGGTACCTCACTTGTTTTTGACAATACCTTACCCTTCCTGGCTGTACAACCTGGAGGATTAGGGAGGTCCCTATGACAGAGAGAGGGAGGGAGAGAGAGAGAGAGAGAGAGAGAGAGAGAAAGAGAGAGAAGATAGTTTTGGGCCTTATGACTGTGGTCACTTTGGAATGAAGCCGTGGCTAAAAAGTCATGAGGCTGAGGTGGCTGTACTTATGATATAAAATAAGTACTCACTGCATTCCATCCCTCTTGCCCCCTGGACCTGCCTTGCCCAGGATCCCAGTCTGAATTCCTCATCTTTCACCAAGACTGCTCCAAATTATGATTGATGTGAGGACTGCAATAAAACGATACCATAGTTTTAGCTCTTTCCAAAAATGTAATGAAACTGGGCAAACTGGCACTAGTCTACAGAAAAGGAATCAAAGCGGGATCCCATGATCAATGCTTCCAAGAAATTGAGCCAAGTTCAAAAGAAATCAGGCTGTGCACGAGTACTGCTACTATTTTTAGGGATATTGATGAGTCCTCCAATGAATGTGTCATTGCTGACCGTGCTGAGTGTCAGAAAAATGGTAAAGTTCGTGCCTACTGAAGAAAGCTCTGAAGTTTACTAGCTTTCAAATACTCTCAAGTTTAACTGTCTTAAGTTGTAAGTAAATGATTTTTAAGTTAAAAAATTTATTCAATTCATATCAAGAAGTTTCTATTAAATTAGCTTTTCAAAAGTAATTGGGCTATGTATACTCAGAATATTTACAGAGTCTCCTGAGATTAGTGGATGGAAACATTAAGAGCCTGAAAAAGTACTGAAAAAAAGAACAAAGGTCAGAGAGTGGGCTGGAAAGCATACGGATGTTGTAATTGAACCCTCGGTTCAAGCAGAATCTGACCCGCAGCAGCTACTTGGAGCTATGAGGAAATGCCTCAGCATTTGAAAGACCTGGCAGCGTTATTAACTATGTCCAAGAACAAAAAGTGAAAAACGATACTGGAAAATCCTGAGGTGTCTCCATCTCCATCACTGATAAGATCTTGGCTCAAGTTCCTCTTAAAGGGTCACCAGACGAAAGGCTTCAGGCCCGCAAAATCACAATGTGGCTGTTCCACTGCAGTGTGGTCAGGCGGGCAGGCCCTTGTTGCTACAGATAGGACCAGCAGAAACTTTTCTTTGTCATCTTTAGACTGAATCAAAACACACTGCTGTGATCAGATCTGCATTCTAGCTGTTACTTTGGTTTGTTTACCCAGAAGTCTCCTCCATTACCAATGGCGTGAATCAGAATTGTGTTATTTGTTTGGCATTACTCATCTCTTTCATGTACCAGTGCCCGAGAATAAATCTGTTATTCAAGTCCTCTTGCTTCTCCCTTAGAGCCTCACTAAAAATCACAAATGTGCAATCAAGAATAACCACCCTCTGTTTACATGCACCAGAAGTCCACATGCATTACGTGAGACACATCAGAGTTCATTTGGCTGGTGTCCCCATGACATCGGCAGGGGAAGAGAATAAGAATTAATGGTAACGCCAAGCTGGCAGGCTGCCACCATGTTTCAATTCCTGGAGAAGAATGAACCATACAGCGAGGCAGGGTCACTGGGGTGGGGAAATTTCACTCTCTGGGTTGAGGAGATATGCATTTGTATACATGGTTACCCATCTACATTTATGTTTAACACACAACATTATTTCTGGCACCCATTACTCATGAACGTAACACAAATTGTGATTTAAAAAAGTGATTAGCTGGCCACAGTGGCTCACACCTGTAATCCCAGCACTTTGGGAGGCCAAGGCGGGTGGATCACTTGAGGCCAGGAGTTCGAGACCAGCCTGGCCAACGTGGTGAAGCCTGGTCTCTACTAAAAATACAAAAATTAGCTGGGTGTGGTGGCGCACACCTGGAATCCCAGCTACACAGGAGGCTGAGGCACGATAATTGCTTGGACGTAGGAGGTCGAAGCTGCAGTGAGCTGAGATTGCACCACTGTACACCAGCCTGGGTGACAGAGCCAGACTCTGTCTCAATAAATAAATAAATAAATAAAAAGATTAAATAACCTGTGATGTTTTTAACTGGTCAAACCAATATAACCTGATTTTATAATAATCAAATCGATGGCCGGGAGCGGTGGCTCATGAGGTCAGGAGTTCAAGACCAGCCTGACCAACGTGGTGAAACCCCGTTTCTACTAAAAATGCAAAAATTAGCCAGGCGTGGTGGTGCACGCCTATAATCCCAGCTACTCAGGAGGCTGAGGCAGGAGAATCCCTTAAACCCAGGAGGCAGAGGTTGCAGTGAGCCATGATTGCAACACTGCACTCCAGCCTGGGCTACAGAGCAAGACTCTGTCTCAAAAAAAAAAAAAAAATCAAATTGATACATTTTTAACACTTACTAATATGGACTACAGAGACCTACAAACTGCTTTAATGAGCTGAATATGAAAGGAAAATGATGAGTAACTCTAGGAATTTTGTGGGAATAAGATGAGAGCTTATCCTTGACAGGACCCAGGTTGGGAGTTCCTAAAGCATCAGCGAAAGGATGGCTCTTTGGAAGAACCAACAGTAGACTAAAGGACACTTTTTTTTTTTTTTTTGAGACGGAGTTTTGCTCTATTGCCCAGGCTGGAATGCAATGGCGCAATCTTGGCTCACTGCAAGCTCCGCCTCCCGGGTTCACGCCATTCTCCTGCCTCAGCCTCCTGAGTAGCTGGGACAACAGGCGCCTGCCACCACGCCTGGCTAATTTTTTGTATGTTTAGTAGAGACGGGGTTTCACTGTATCAGCCAGGATGGTCTCAATCTCCTGACCTCGTGATCCACCCGCCTCGGCCTCCCAAAGTGCTGGGATTACAGGTGTGAGCCACCGCACCCGGCTAAAGGACACTTTTGCCATGGTTCTTTTTTTTTTTTTTTTTTTTTTTGAGATGGAGTCTTGCTCTGTCGCCCAGGCTGGAGTGCAGTGGCATGATCTCAGCTCACTTGCAAGCTCTGCCTCCTGGGTTCACACCATTCCCCTGCCTCAGCCTCCTGAATAGCTGGGACTACAGGTGCCTGCCACCACGCCAGGCTGATTTTTTTGTATTTTTAGTAGAGACAGGGTTTCACCATGTTAGCTAGGATGGTCTCAATCTTCTGACCTCATGATCCGCCCGCCTCGGCCTCCCAAAGTGCTGGGATTACAGGCGTAAGCCACCGCGCCCAGCCTCCTGTGGTTCTTTTAAAGCCAAAACATTGTTTTTAAAAGCCCAAAGCTATTCAGTGTTTGTGAGTATGGAGATCACTTTTGATGAAGAAAATTAATTCCCATGGGGGCAGAATCCTATCAACATGAAAATATATAATGAGGAGCTACTATAAATTTAGTTATGCTTCTCAATAACTTTGTATTTCATGGACTCCAACATACACCTGCAATTAAAGGAATTGAAGAGTAGTCTTTGCCTGTGTGAGACATTTAGTTCTTCTACTCTACAGGCCAGGTATGGTCTGAGCAACAGCCCTTGGGGTCTGGCCTGATCAGCACTCCTATCCTGGTCTTGTGGTCATGGCGGCCACCGCATGTGGTGCAGGTGGGTCTGCTCCTGCCCTATGCACAGGATGGGCATGTATGGCCACACCCTGGCTGGGCACAGTGGTGGATTAGGACAGGGCACATGAGGCCAACAGAGCCTGGCAGGGGATTCCTGAATACTGCTGTGCAGATGGTGGGAGAGAAAAGATTCCTCTTCCTCTGGATAGGGAGTTTTGAGTATGAAGCAGATCACACTGTGAACAGAAGGCATCACTCCCAGTGGGGCAGGGCTGAGGAACGGAGCACAAATGCCAGAAGGCTGGATCCAGCTGTGGCTAAGGCCAGATCTAGCCTAGCACTTTTCTGTTATCTGGGTCAATCCATCCCCTCTTTCTGAATAAGCTCGAGTTGAGTTTCTCTTACTTGCAGCCACAACCACAAGAGAGTTCTGACAAACACAGCGAGCATAAGGCCCCATTGTCTGGAGAAGAGGAAGAGGCCAGGGGAGCAGTGAGAGGGAGCCTGGGGCAGGCAAGTCAAGATGGCGTGAGTCCCTGCTAGGCCTTCCCTCTGGATAGGAAAGATGGTCAGCACGGCTATGCTCACCCACTCACCTGAAAAATGCCCCCTTTGCTAACATGCCCCTAGCTGTCAGACTGGAGTGGCATGCCAGATACTCCTAAATTAAACGCCATCACCAGGCATAAAACTACAGAGATGTGCAGAAGGTCACTTAAGAATAGTGGCCGGGCATGGTGGCTCACACCTGTAATCCCAGCACTTTGGGAGTCCAAGGCGGGTGGATCACCTGAGGTCAAGGGTTCGAGACCAGTCTGGCCAACATGGTGAAACCTCATCTCTACTAAAAATACAAGCAAATTAGCTGGGCGTAGTGGCACGCCTGTAATCCCAGCTACTTGGGGAGGCTGAGGCAGGAGAATCACTTGAACCCAGGAGGTGGAGGTTGCAGTGATCCAAGATCACACCACTGCACTCCAGCCTGGGTGACAGAGGGAGACTCCATCTCAAAACAAAAAAACAAAAAAACAAAAAAAAAACAAAAAAAGAATAGTAACACATTTTAAGATTAGCAAACACTTGCTACCTTGAAAAGTTATGAGCTATGAGTTGGTTTAATATTTTAAGAGTTTTTTGGGAACAATAGTGAATATTAAACCAACCTTCAGTAAGTTGTGGGACAATTATTTCTAACAAGTTAAAAATAATTTAACACTGGCTGGGCACGGCGGCTCATGCCTATAATTCCAGCACTTTGGGAGGCCGAGGCAGGCGGATCACAAGGTCAGGAGTTCAAGAACAGCCTGGCCAAGATGGTAAAACCCTGTCTCTACTAAAAATACAAAACATTAGCCGGATGCAGTGGCAGGCACCTGTAATCCCAGATACTCGGGAGGCTGAGGCAGGAGAATCACTCGAATCCGGGGGGGCGGAGGTTGCAATGAGCCAAGATCACACCACTGTACTCCAGCCTGGGCGACAGAGTGACTCCATCTCAAATAATAATAATAATAATAATTTAACACTTCAAGAATATTTATCAGGACTTAAAAATGGCATAAAAGCAAAACATTTCAGATTTATGACATACGTAGTACTTTTTTTGGAAGCAAGCTCTATAAGTGAAATCAGAGATTATAAAGAGACAACTCTTCAAATTGACTTTTTGCCAAGTATTGGCCGATTTTCATTTAAAGTTCATTGATTCTCCAGAACTTTAAAATAGCATATTTTAAAAGACAATTTGATTTTACATTTTGAGAAGCTCTCAATCTGTGAGTTCATCCAGGAGTGGCCTGGTCCCAGTAGAAAGATTCATGACAAAGATACACTGAATGTCCTTTAAAATTCTAAGTAGCATGTGCTGAAAATAAGCACTTCCAGAAATGCTCATAACTTCCTGCAGCAACTATAATATTATACTCTGCTTTATTCAAATCTGAAAAAAAAAAACCCAAAACACAAATTCATGTCTTTGATTTTAAAGGTATATTTTCAAATATTTCATTAACTTCCAACATGAGGCCAGTTACTTCTTCCTATCCCATTCTTGACATTTGGATGTTTAATTATTTAATTCTTACATTCCCTTAACAGTCTAAAATACATTTGCATAAGTTTGCAACAGTATCAGATGGAAGGCTTCATGAATTTGTCAATATTATTTTTGGCTAGCTCAATGGAAAAGAAACATGCTATGCTAGGCTAATAGCATAAAATTTTGAACAGGGAAATAAGCAAACCGCCCTTACATCTGCATAAGACACATTTGTTGGTAAAGTTGAAAAGAAAGATGGGCGTTTAACTAGATTACTCATCATACAAAATATTCAGCCTTTTCCCTGTGCTATGCTGCACAATGTCAATTAATCATGTTTGAAAGCTGAAAGAACAAAGACCATTTAGATGACAAACGAGGCAATAAATGAAGCTGAGATAGGAATAAAGATTCAAGAGGGAAAAGTTTTGTTTCTTTTAATATATATAGAGAGAGAGACTACACAAATGACCTGTAACTTGTTTTAAAATTTACAGTCTACCATTAAGTTTTACTTGACACCTACTTGATGATATCCTCCAAGACAACTTAGAATATTGCAATATTATTATGGGTAGGATGTGTGACTGTAGAAAAAACAGCCAGCAAACATGTAAATGTATCCAATCTAGTCCTAAAAAGGCTGGAGTGAGCATCAAGGAAAGTCAGTTCTTTAGGCATCCAAATTAACACCAAAGACCAAAGCCAAATCACATGTGCTGAGCGAAGTGGATCTCTTTTCTTTAATTTTTTTTTTTATTGTACTTTAAGTTCTAGGGTACATGCGCACAAGGTGCAGGTTTGTTACATATGTATACATGTGCCATGTTGGTGTGCTGCACCCATTAACTCGACATTTACATTAGGTATATCTCCTAATGCTATCCCTCCCCCCTCCTCCCACCCCACAACAGGGTGAAGTGGATATCTTAAAGAGCAACAGCTGTATATATATATATATATGGCTGTCTTGTATCCTTCTATCCAAGTTAAAGGCCATCCAAGAATGAAATCCAAAACTGGAGAAATGTGTAGCAGCAACTTCATTTTACAGTTTGCAGGTTTCACTTTATCTTTTACCAGAGCTTCAAGCAAATAATAAACTTGTTTTGAGTTTGATTTATTTTCATTTCCCATATCCAAAGGGTTACTCTGCCTACTCCTGCCCCCAACACAGTCCTAATATATAAGATGTGTTCTTCATCTATCTCTTTCTTGGCTCTAGAATATAAGTAACTTGAGGGCAAAGACTTTGTCCCATTTATCTTTTTATTCCTAGTGGCAAACAGAGTGCCTGTTAACATAAAAATCTGTTAAACAGACACAAGAGCAAAGAGGAGCAAAAGGTCTTTTTTTTTGAGATGGAGTCTCTGTTCTCCAGGCTGGAGTGCAGTGGCGCGATCTTGGCTCACTGCAAGCTCTGCCCCCCGGATTCACGCCATTCTCCTACCTCAGCCTCCCGAGTAGCTGGGACTACAGGTGCACGCCACCAAGCCTGGCTAATTTTTTTTGTATTTTTAGTAGAGACGGGGTTTCATCGTATTAGCTAGAATGGTCTCGATCTCCTGACCTCGTGATCCGCTCGCCTCGGCCTTCCAAAGTGCTGGGATTACAGGCGTGAGCCACCGCACCCGGCCTTGGAGAGAAAGGTCTTAATGATTCACTGTTCTTTGTAAATCAAGGTGGACTGAACATGAACAGTTGACTTAGAGGCTGCTTAGAAATTCCTTCCAGGTAGAGGCCTTGATGTGATCAGCTCTCCTTTTGAGGGTCTGAGGACCAGGATCTTTGGGAAATAAGTTGTATTAACCAAACTTACAAGGGCCTGATTTATAACCTAAATGCCATTTTGTTCTTTTATGAACAATGCCTGACTTTGTCATTTTGTGAGGCAGTCTGGTATGATGGAAGGAGTAACAGACTTGAAATAGAAAAATGTGCAACCAAGCCACATCGCTGGGGACTCAGTTTTCTCATTTTTATAATGTGAAGAACTAGATGGTCTCTATGGTGGTTTAAAGGAATACAGGGTTAGACTTTCTCTCTAGAAGACCTGGTTTTAATGACCCTTTGAGGGGCTAATGACTCCAGAAACTTTCATTGATAGCACAGATGTCTCCAGTGAACCTCAGACTCAATACGGAACTGTGCAGTGGACATCTTCACTGTAAATTACAACAAATGCTTCAGATCCAACATGTTAGTAACCAAATCCACTACTGTGTAGGAAAGAAATAATGTAGCAGGCCTGAGTCTGAGAACTTGGATTGTGGGAGGGTTTCAACTATCCTCTAACTGACAAGAGGGGCTCACTGTGCCTAAATTTCACAAACAAAATGGTCTATGCTGAACATTTGCTTTTGTTCTGAGAGACTGAAATTTGGTACGTGACCATTACCCAATAAAAACCTTGGGGACTGAGTCTCTAATGAGCCTCTTCTGCAGACAATATTTCAGGTGTCGTCATAGTTCAATGCTGGAGGAACTAAGTGTATCTTGTGTGACTCTATGGGGAGAGTACTCTGGAAGCTTGCGCCTGAGCTCCCCTGGACTTGACCCCACGTGCTGTTTCCTTTTGCTAATTTTGCTTTGTATCCTTGTGCTGTAATAAATCATGGTCTTAGGGGCTCCCAACACAACTATCTTCCGCCTAAAATTGTTTCTAGGTTCTTTATTGCTTATCTAAACAAATGACAACCCCAGTCATTAAGCGAACAAGTCAGAAATCTGAGAGCCATTTCTGCATTCCCTCTTCCCCGCTCCTGTTCATTGAGTTTAGTTCATTCTAGTTCGGTAATTGCTCTCATTCCCATCCCCTGCCTACACCTCAGGTTAGGCCCTGGGTATTTCTTGCCTACTACTTTCTAAATAGGTCTTCATGACTAATTTCTCCGTTTTCCACTCCACCTTCCAGACTGCTGCCTGAGTGATCTCTCTGAAACATGAATGTAATTATGATATTGCTGTACTTAAAATCCCCAGGTCCTGACTCCTAAGCTTGACGCTCAAGGCCTCACAAGACCTGGGTCTTGCTTTCCTGCCCAGTGTCACAGCTCATTCCAAATCTCCTGTTTCCTCCCCATGCAGTGGCCATGGTAAAGGCTTACAGCAATGTTCTCTCCTGCCTTCATGCTGCGGACTTGCTGCCTCCTTGTCCCTCGACCCCTGGTGAGTCTGTTCTCGTCCTTCATGATCCGGCTTAGGTAACCCCATTCCTGGCCTGACTTCCCTATCCCTGCCAGCCCCCCATGGCATCTGCTCCCTGGCTCCTGGAGCAGGGGGCTCCCTCTGTCCCAGACGTCAGCTCTTTCAGCTGTCTCTATATTTAACTTGTGTGCCTCTCTAGCCTGTGAACTCTGCAAGTGCAAGGTCCAGGCCTATGTTGTTGTTGTTTGTTCTTCTAATGGCCTAGTACCCAGCACTCCTCAATAAATATTAAATGAGTGAATCAGAAATGAGGCATTTGCGTGGTTGCACAGTGATGCATCCATTAAGCTAGAATGGCCTAATGAATCATCTCCGTTCATCTGAGGATTGTGTACCAAAAGGGAGAAGGTTAGTCACTTACAAGGAGAGAACTCTAGCACCTGGACTCTCCTGGTAAGAACAATAAAATCTCATTCTTCAGGGCTCCCTTTTCTGAATTCCACATGGTCCTATACCTTCTGGCGTCCCTATTCCAGCCCAAGGCAATGCAATTATTTACTATGTAAACGTTAACTGAGTTGTTTATGGCAGGGTTGCTTCCCACAAATGCAGTGCTGTTCATCTTAGAGATGTCCTCTTGCTGACCTTGGCCTGCACTGCCCTTCCCTTAAATCCCAATATCCTTGCTCAAGTCTCTCTTGTACCCGCCCTACATTAGAGGAAGGGCTTGAGTCTGGAACCAGGCAAAGCCAAAACCCACTGAAAGCATCAACTCGCTCGTAAATAAAGCGGGCGACTCCCTAGTGCATGGTGTAAGACACCGAGTTAGAGCCTTCCCTTACCATCCCGTAACTGAGCAGCACAGACCCACCGTGCAGAGAGCACAGCCACCCTCCAGACTGTGGGTAGGAAATGCAGCATCATTTCCACTTTCGAAACTGCTCTGGGAAACGCCAGTCTCCGGGCAGCTTGATTAGCAAGAATACTTCATATCACAAAGAGTGTTAGGAACAAAACTTATTTAACAAAATGGTAAGAGCAGAGCCTCAATACTGTGGGAAGGACCTGATGGCTTTTAGAGCATTTTACTCCTTTGGTAGTTCTCATTTCTCACCAAAAAAGAACATTTTCAAATTTTATATTCTGATTTTATAAAAACAACAATCATGGCCAGGTGCGGTGGCTCGTATCTGTAATCCCAGCACTTTGGGAGGCTGAGGTGAGCGGATCACCTGAGGTCAGGAGTTCGAGAGCAGCCTGGCCAACATGGCAAAACCCCAACTCTACTAATACAAAAATTAGCTGTGCGTGGTGGCGCAGGCAGGAAAATCGCTTGAACCCAGGAGGCGAAGGTTGCAGTGAGCCGAGATCATGCCACTGCATCCCAGCCTGGGGAAAAGAGTGAGACTGCATCTAAAACAACCACCACAACCACCACCACCACCACCACCACCACCAGTTTAGAACTGTAGCAGCCTGGAGCTAAAAGGCCCTGGAGAACATCATCCCACCTCAGGGGGAAGGGAGCCACTCTGTGGCCAGGGCAGGACTTTGGGCCCAGAGAGCCCGACTCCTTCAGCGCGCTTACCACTGCTCCAGCCTGCCCCTCACTGAGGCACTGCCTCAACTTTGATTAAAAAACCAACACATTTCCTTTAGAAGCTCTGTGGGCCAGGTGCGGTGGCTCACGCCTGTACTCCCAGCACTTTGGAAGCTGACACGGGGTGATCACCTGAGGTCAGGAGTTCAAGACCAGCCTGGCCAATATGGTGAAACCCCGTCTCTATTAAAAATACAAAAAAAATTAGCCTGGCGTGGCGGCACATGCCTGTAATACTGATGAGATGCTATTAAATAAGTTAAAACAGTAAAAAACAACCCTTTGGTCCATACCACAGGGGTCCCTGACTGATGTGCACGTGTCCACAAGACTCACATGGCCAGGCCAGGCCAAGCCACTCAGGCAGGGGCAGGAGTCCTTGAAAAGGAGGGTGGCGTGGGCCCTCCTGAGCCATGGCTGTCCCTTGTCACAGAGGCAAATTACACAGACTCCCATAAATAACAGTCTTCACCATACAGCTCCACCTCGGGGGTTAAATGGGTTTCTGTAGGCTAATTGCCGTCTCTCATACTGAAAATCTGCAAATGTATATGGAATTAATTCTGGCTGGCTGTCAGCCAGTAGGTCATCCTTCAAAGCAAGCAAAACACATTTCTGTACAGTGTACCCACAGCTTTCTGAAAGATCAGAAATGCAGCCTTTGCCAGGACAAATGCCAAAAACGGATGTGACAGAGCCCGAGCATCAGTGCTCCCACGCCACCTCCTCCACTCAGAGCCCCGGCACGGCCCCAGCTGGCCCTGACCCACCCAGAGGGTCTTGCTGTACTAGATACTCCTCTTTCTTATCTCTCTGTTGAGAAGCTATTTATATTTCATTAGAATGTCAGTGCAATAAACCAGCTTAAGCTCTTGCTAGGTATGGAAATGAGCAAGAGAAAAGGCAAAGCTTAAGCCCTCCATGGATAAGCCACAGGTTCTCTGAATAGCAGTAAAAATAAGGCCTCCAGCTGGGCATGGTGGCTTATGCCTGAAATCCTAGCACTTTGGGAGGTGGTGGCAGGCAGATAATGTGCGGTCAGGAGTTTGAGACCAGTCTGGCCAATATGGTGAAACTGTCTCTTCTAAAAATACAAAAATTAGCTGGGCATGGTGGCACGCGCCTGTAATCCCAGCTACTTGGGAGGCTGAGGCAGGAAAATCACTTGAGCCTGGGAGGCGGAGGTTGCAGTGAGCCGAGATGGCACCACTGCACTCCAGCCTGGGCCACAGAGCCAGACTCCGTCTCAAACAAACAAACAAAAGGTCATGCATACGGCTCTCCTCGAAGGTAAGACTGTTCTGTGGAATGTTTTGAGAAAGAAAAGGTAGAAATACTATCTTATCGTATATGTGTGTGTGTGAGTATTTTTGACAGGGGGAGTCTAGGTCTCATGGGTCTTTTTGTTTTTTTAAGACAGGGTCTCACTCTGTTGCCCAGGCTGGAGTGCAGTGGCGCAATCACAGCTCACTTCAGCCTTTACCTCCTGGGCCCAAGCGATGGTCCCACCCCAGCCTCCTGAGTAGCTGGGACTACAGGTGCACACCACTGAGCCCAGTAACTTTTTGTAGAGATGAGTTTTCATTATGTTGCCCAGGCTGGTCTCAAACTCCTGGGCTCAAGCAATCCACCCACCTCAGCCTCCCAAAATGTTGGGATTACAGACGTGAGCCACAGTACCTGGCCGGTCTCTCAGGCCTTAAAGCAGTCTGAGTCACCACCATTATTATATTTTGCCTCCAATTTTCCATATGTCCATTCCAGAAAGGGGAGGTTGATTTCAGCGAAGAACATGAGCAGGTTTGCCTTAGAATGAAATTTAAAAATTAGATTGACAGAAATCAGGATCATGGAAAATACATAATGGAGCAGAGTCAAGATTCAGTTAGAAGGCAGGCACTGGGTCCAGCAAGCCTACAATTACCAGAGCTGAACTGTTCATTAGTTATAATTAGAGCAAACAACAAAGGACACTCAGCCCCAGCCCCAGGATATGTCTGGTTCATATGGAGAAGGCATTTTCATTCCCTGGGGGAAAAAGCAAAAAACCCCAAAATACAAATAAAACAGACAATAACAACAAACAAACTAAAGAACCCCAACATTTATTGTCAGGACTGAAAAAAATTCATTCCACAACTGGAACCCACTGTGTGCCAAGTGCTAGGCCTGGCATTTAGGATTCAGAGATGAATAGGATTCCGTCCCTTCCCTCCCAGGTCAGAACACCTTGTGGGGAAACAGACAAGCACACAGGCTTGTAACTGGAGCTGTAAGTCTACAGTAGAAGTCCTGCTTGGAAAAGGAGCAACCCAGGAAACCCTCTCTGTGAGCTTTCCAGAGGGGATGGCAGGTGAGAGAACAGGGCCCTGCTGTTGCGTATTGGTGAGGATCTTCCCCACAGCACCAGTGTCCCTCAAAAGGTGACAAGAACACGACGTTATAGAACACGTCGCTGAAGGCAATTCCACACAATATAAATGCACAGCTCTAAGAGGTTCAGCTTGGTCTGGGGATAAAAACTAGACCATCTCCAGAGGAATGGACAGACTGCATTCTTCAGATAATTCTCCAGGCATCATTGCCCAAGCAGGCCTTTCAGAAAAAGCCGGGTGGCTGTGGTTCAAAGTCCTATTCTCTGGCAATGGCATGGAGTGAATCCACTCTGCCATGCCGATGGAGTGTGCTCCCATGCCCAGCACGTCAGTCACTTGGCCAGCAGGGTTGACAATACTTTTGTGAAACTGTGTACCCAAATCAAGTCTCTCACCTAAAAAGGTGACTAACCCACCCAAACACAGAACAACAGCCAGGGAATCTCTCAGAAAATAGTTCTAGACTTGCTTCAAGAATATGAACCTAACGGATGACAGAAAGTCCAGGATCCACACCATGCCACGTGGTGGGCCGTATCTGGTTTAGGAGAGTTCCAGAGTGCAAGTGACGGGTCAGCCAGAAAAGCTGTAGGAAAATCTCCACAAGGCACAATAGACATGTTCCCCTTTGAGCAACACAATTTTCTAACAGCCAATAGGAAATAACAGTTCGAAAATTTATCCTAAAATTTACTAAACTTTTAAAGGCTATGTGGAATTAATGCATTATCAAGCAAGAGTAGATAATTGGAAGCTACCCTTTCCTATTATACAGTTCTTGGAATCAAGAGTTACTTACAGTAACTGATAGGATGTGAAAATAAGACTATAGAATCAGCACAAAGGCCAGGTGCGGTGGCTCTCGCCTGTAATCCCAACACTTTGGGAGGCCGAGGCAGGCAGATCACCCGAGGTCGGGAGCTTGAGAACAGCCTGACCAACATGGAGAAACTCTGTCTCTACTAAAAATACAAAATTAGCCGGCGTGGTAGTGAGCACCTGCAATCCCAGCTACTTGGGAGGCTGAGGCAGGAGAATCACTTGAACCTGGGAGGCGGAGGTTGCGGTGAGCCGAGATCGCGCCACTGCACTCCAGCCTGGGCAACAAGAGCAAAACTCCATCTCCAAAAACAAAAAAAAAAAAAAAAGATTCAGCACAAACATAGTATATAATATTTCTGGGGTTGAATCCTGGGTTTGCTACTTTCTATCTTTACTAGGAGGGCAAGTTCCTGAAGCTCTTCCTGCTCTGGTTTCCTTGCATGTAAAACCGAGATGGAGATTTTAATCTACCTCAAGAGGTGCTGGGGGCATTAATGAGTTAATACACACAAAGCACTCAGAGCACTAGCTGGCACCTAGTAAGTGCTCAATAAATGTTCTAGTTAAGTTTTTTTTTTTTCCTTGAGACGGAGTCTCCCTCTGTCACCTAGTCTAGTCCAGTGGCGCGAACTAGGCTCACTGCAAACTCCATCTCCTGGGTTTAAGCGATTCTTCTGCCTCAGCCTTCTGAGTAGCTGGGATTACAGGCACCCAACACCATGCCCGGCTAATTTTTGTATTTTTAGTAGAAATGAGGTTTCACCACGTTGGCCAGGCTGGTCTCAAAATCCTGACCTCAAGTGATCTGCCTGCCTCAGCCTCTCAAAGTGCTGGGATTACAGGCATGACCCACCAGGCTCGGCTGAATTACGGTTTTAATTTTTATCTTTGTAATTTATTTAAACATTCCTTTATTCCTGCTTGCTTTTCTATGTATTTTTACACTGTTGACGTTATGCTCTACTAAATCTCATTTTTCTCCACTCAACACACTATTTCTCCAAGTCATTAAACATTTTAAACACGTAATCACTGTACATGTACATATTTAGAGACAATCATTCTGGTCCCGAAACTACCTAGGCATTACTATCTTTAGCTTCCTTTTGATGGGTCTTTTTTGGATTACCCATTTTATTTAGGGGGAAAGAACTGATTATTTGGGGGTAGAAAGATGTCAGTTCATGTGCTCAATAGAGAAGATGCAGGGGAAAAAATTACAAGTCAAGATCTTTGAAGATGTACTGAACTGCTGCTGGCCGAGTTTTTGTTTTTAAAGTAATGACGTAGAGAGCACTGACTGCATGTTGATAACACTCCGGAGAGGGGCCGGGAATGTCAGAGTCTGCTGCAAAGGGGACTCGTGCACTTCGGATGAACTGGAGCACTCCATCATTGTCCTCAGCTTGACTCTGTGATCACAAAGAAGTGCTAGAGAAGGATTTATGGACGCGTGTTTTTTCAATGCTGCAAAGATCCCCCATCATGGTGTCCCTGTACCATTAACCATTTACTGTCCAAATAAGATTTCCCATCTGAAGCTCTAATTCATAAACTTAACTTTATTACTCTTCATGAAACCTTCTGTTCTTTTTCGTGATGTTGTTGTAGCAATCATTTTTTTTCTGTCTGAAATACTTCCTACTCCAAAGAAAGATATAAGTTTCCAATTTATGCCTCAAATGAAAACTAACAATGCTTCAAAGACGCTGAATGAATCTCCCCTTGGAACCTGGCTGTTAGGTGGTTTGGTGTCTCTCTTCTCTCTCCCTGCCGAAATGTTTCCATCTCAAAATAGGAGCACATTCCACTCTTTTATGACAAACATCATAAAGTTAAAATTAAAAGTTAAAATCATAAAGTTATCAAAATTAAAATAACCTCCAGATTCCAAACCAGCTTTAACAAAAAGTCAGTTACCGTTATCATAAATAATAAAAAACTGTACAGCTATCTGTGCAATGATAAGCATTTTTTTTTTTTTTTTTGAGATGGAGTCTCACTCTGTCACCCAGGCTGGAGTACAGTGCCACAATCTCGGCTCACTGCAACCTCCACCTCCCGGGTTCAAGAGATTCTCCTGCCTCAGCCTCCCTAGTAGCTGGGATTATAGGAGTCCAACACCATGCCCAGCTAATTTTTGTATTTTTAGTAGAGAGGGGGTTTCACCATGTTGGCCAGTTTGGTCTTCAATTCCCGACCTCAGGTGATCCACCTGCCTCAGCCTCCCAAAGTGCTGAGATTATAGGCATGAGCCACTGCGCCTGGCCAGCGTTTTAAACTATATATATTTTTAGATGGCACAGAGGATCACAAATGAATAATTTGCTAAATTCAGTATGTATTTACTTGGGAGGGAACACCAACAACAGCATGGACCCAACTAGGAGACCTGACCTATAAGTATTTTCAGGCCCAAAGTAAAAACTCTCTATTATTTTGAGCATTGTAGTTGGGAATTACACTTCTCTTGGATGCTAAAGTACAAAAGAGAACTTTTCACTTATCATTGTGATTTTATAGCTCTGATGACAAGTTAACTCTTTGCTACTGGAGGTAGTGTCAACCATGCCATAAAAAAAAACAGAGCAAAGATAATGGAAACCAGGCTACTGGTCTCCATGGCCTTATAATAGTTGGGATATAGCAGCAAGTAAGTTGAAAGTGGAGGATTCTCATGGATCAGAACTATTTGTACAAGTTGGACAAATACTGCATGGTATCTCAAACAGAGAAGAGATTACTTCCTTTATTTGCAGGACAATTCTATTTATCTGTGTAATATAGTTTCCAACAACTTTTGATCTGTAGCAAATAATAGTCCATTTAGAAACCAAATTATTGAGGCTTAATGACTAGATGGGTATAGACCCACCCCACGACGGGCGATCTCAGTGCAGTAATGCTTCATTTGTCCCTTTATTCAGCCTGGAGCTACCTCTTCTGACACTTAAGGCCTTCTTGGTTACCTAGGACAAGATCCATCCTGGGGCTGGGCTCAGGCTCACACATTTTGGGTAGGGGAAAACAGCTGGAAGTTTTGCTTTTCTGCATTAAAGAGTGAAGAATGGCCTAGAGCCCTTGCATGGTGGGCATGTAAGAGGGGACCATCATTCACACAGGCTGCTAGTAATGGTGCTGCTGGAGCTATGCAATGGTCTGATCCCCTTATTCCCTTGGTTCCTTAACCCTAATTTATGGCTTACCCTACTGCCTTCAGGGTCCAGCTCAACTCCCAGCGGCAGCCTCTAAGGCGCTCTGGAGTCAGGCTCCTGCCCACTGCCGTCTGGAATGTGCCACCCTGCCTGAGTCATAAATGCTCCTCTTTTTAAGACACCTCAGGGCACTCCTGGGTAGAGAAGCAACCATCCTTCTTCTGTATCCCTTGGCATCCTGGCACCTGTGAGCCCTTTGTTTGCATGTATCAGCTTGTCTGCCTCCTGCCAACACTAAGCTTCCAGGACAGGGATTGGGTCTTTCCAGTCTTGGTAACCTCAGTGCACAGTGCATAGCAGACACGCAAGAATGTTTTGAACTGGATGGAAATGTAGAGACTGTATATCACTCCCAATGTAAACAACTCCCCAATTTTCAGCTCTGGCCTCTCTCCTGAACTCCAAAATTGATTTCTAACTGTCTGATGGCCAACTTGGCAGGAAGTCAAATGTCAGCCTCGGTGCAGGGCACTCGCGGGTCAGTCACTTCACTGCCGTGCCGGTTTGAAGTCGTTTATCTCTCTGGGTCCATCCTTTCAGGTCCCCAGGACTCACCTGGACTCCTTGCTCACATCCCATCCCTTGTCAGTTCCGGCGACTTCCACTCCACTGCGTCTCCCGGCACACATGCCATCCTCTCCACTTCCAATGTTATTGCCCCCACTGGAAGCTCCTTATCAATGAGCCCCCAGGCTCACGCACAGACCTCTCCAGGCCTCCCGCCTCAGTCCCTGCCTCCCTCAGGAGGGCGCAGCCAGGGTGATGGGCCTGCAGTGTCTCAAATGCCCCAGTTTCACCCCAAGCCCCACTCCTTAGGCAGCATTCTTGGCCTACCCTGCCCACTGTGGTCTCTGCCGTATTTGAACATCTACTGCATTTAGCACTTACACCTTTCTCTTGGCAAAGGCTGCACTAATTGTACTTGCTTTAATTCTCCAGGTGTTTATGCCTTATTTATCCAAACATCCTGCTGCCTCTGGGGGGGTATGGCAGCAGGTTTTCACTCCCTTGTGATGTGTCTCAATGCTCAGCATGCACGGCCCTGTGAGTACATGCCGACTGACCTACTGAAAAGAAAAGCCAAGATGTTTAAAGTCCAGTTATTCCTGCGCAAAGATCCCATAAACCATAGTAGCCACAGAGCGCTAGAACTCTACCTCTTATCCCTGACTATGCTCCCAGGGTGAGTATGGGGAGTGATGAGCTAATCTATACAAAGCATTTGGAAGGTGTGCGACCTTTGCTAAGAACAGGTGATGGTGATGATGATGATGACGCAGCCTGAAATGAGAATGGCAGTGCATGGGCGGAAAATGTGGTCAAGCAGCTTCCACACTAAAGGCCATATGGCCCCACGATCCAATCTGGTGGGTGTGCTATCATACAAAATATATTTCATCTTTGTCCTTGGTTCCAGTCACAGGTTTCCTAAAACTCTTGAAATTTCTGATAGGGGTGATTTTGCTCTATTCATAAGGAGCTCCTTCAATAACACCTGAGCTTAAGGTAATGGAGTGACGGGGTGGGCCTCCAGCTAGCCTCAGGATGGAAAGACCAAGTAAGTAGAAGATTGGAGGGCTGGAACTTTCAGCCCCACCCATCAACCTCCAGGAAGGGTGGAGGGCGGGGAGTGGAGATTAAGCTCTACAAAAATCCTTGAACAAGACTTGATGAGTTTCTGGGTTGGTGAAGGCATCCTTGTGCCAGGAGGGAGGTGAACCCCAACTCCACAGACCATGCCCTATGCATCTCTTCATCTGGTGTTCATCTGTGTCTTCTATAATAAACTGGCACACATAAGCGTGTTGGGAAAAGCTCTCCTCAAACCGTGTTTTCCTCTGCTGTCGCACCACAACAGTCATCAACATAGAAGACTTCTGTGACCAAATGTGTATGGGGTTTCCCCATACACCAAGCAGCAGACACCAGGTGGGGTGGCTTCCAGTTCAGTTCCGACCCTGTCTACCCAGAGATAGTGTCAGATCCCACAGGGCCGAGTGCCCCCCACCATACCAGTCGCAAGTCTGGGCCTCTGGAACTTCTGACCAACTGGTTTCAAATTGGAGTTCCTAGGACTCCCCTCTTTGGGTTTGATTAATTTGCTGGAGCAGCTAACAGAACTAAAGGAAACACATGCTTAACATTTCCAGTTTATTATAAAGGATACTACAGGCCAGGCACGGTGGCTCACGCCTGTAATCCCAGCACTTTGGGAGGCCAAGGCGGGCGGGTCACCTAAGGTCAGGAGTTCAAGACCAGCCTGGCCAACATGGTGAAACCCCGTCTCTACAAAAATACAAAAACTAGCCAGGCATGATGGTGGATGCCTGTAATCCCAGCTACTCAGGAGGCTGAGGTGGGAGAGTCGCTTGAACCCAGGAGGCGGAGGTAGCAGGGAGCCAAGATCATGCCATTGTATTCCAGCCTGGGCAGCAGAGCGAGACTCTGTCTCAAACAAACAACAACAACAAAAAGATATTGCAAAGGACACATATGAAGAGGTGTGTAGGGCGAGGTATGGGGGAAGAGGTGCAGAACTTCCATGCCCGACCTGGGTGCCCTGCCTTCCAGGAAGCTCCACATGTCTGGCTATCTGGAATCCCCTTGAACCCTGTCCTCTTGGGTTTTTATGGACACTTCATGACATCCACATTCCTTCCCACAAGGTGTAGGGTGGGACCCTCTCATGGGAGGGTCTTAAGACTCACAATCAGAAATGGGGGAAACATTACAGTGCAAGGAGGGCAGGGAAGGTCAGAGGCCTGCCCCTGAGGCGTGACACCCCCAACATTATAACAAAAGGCTGTAAGAAGGTTTATGGGATTCAGGAACCAGGAACCATGGACGAAAATCAATATATATCATAACACCTCTGTAAATAAGTGTTTCTCTCAGTTCTGTGAGCCATCCTAGGAACTTAATTGAACCCAAGGAGGGGGCTCATGCGAACCCATTTTTTTTTTTTTTTTTTGAGATGGAGTCTCACTCTGTCTCCCAGGCTGGAGTGCAGTGGCAGGATCTCAACTCACTGCAACTTCCGCCTCCTGGGTTCAAGCGATTCTCCTGCCTCAGCCTCCCTAGTAGCTTGGCTTACAGGAGCCCGCCACCACACCCAGCTAATTTTTTTTTTTTTTTTTTTTTGAGACGGAGTCTCGCTGTCTTGCCCAGGCTGGAGTGCAGTGGCGCGATCTCCGCTCACTGCAAGCTCCGCCTCCCGGGTTCACGCCATTCTCCTGCCTCAGCCTCCTGAGTAGCTGGGACTACAGGCGTCTGCCACCACACCTGGCTAATTTTTTTGTATTTTTAGTAGAGACAGGGTTTCACTGTGTTAGCCAGGATGGTCTCAATCTCCTGACCTCGTGATCTGCCTGCCTCGGCCTCCCAAAGTGCCGGGATTACTGGCGTCAGCCACTGTGCCCGGCCTAATCTTTGTATTTTTAATAGAGATGGGGTTTCACCATGTTGGCCAGGCTGGTCTCGAACCTCCGACCTCAAGTGATCCACCTACCTTGGTCTCCCAAAGTGTTGGCATTACAGGCATGAGCCACCGTGCCCGGCTGTGAATGCGGTTTTTAGCCAGGCAGTCAGAGAAGTATGCATGGCCTGGATTTGCAATTAGTGCCTGAAGTGGGGCTGGTCTCATGGGACTGAGCCGTCAATCTGTGGGATCCGACACCATCTCCAGGTAGACAGTGTCAGGATTGAATTGAATAAGAGGACACCTGGTTGGTGTTTGTGAGAAATATTTGGTGTGTAAGGAAAAGCCCCCACACAGCCAGCCACAGAAGCGTGCTATTGTTGAGTGTGAAAGTACAAGGGAAAAACAGTTTGCTGTTTTGCTTTACAGTGGGATATTTGATCCGTAGGTCCATATCTAAGCACATGAATAGAATGTGTTTGGGCCTGGTTTTTTAGTCTTGCTGGTCAGTAACTGGTTCGACAAGAGAGACTAGCACATTGATCCCAAAAGAACTAGGCCAAGAGCAGATAGGATTTGTGGGCACTTGAGCCTCTTATTACCTCCTTAAAAGATGTACTTTTCTAGACTTCTTTGGAGCCTGGGATTCTAGTACTGGTGAGTTTCACTGGCAGCAGACTCCTTGAAGATTCCCTAGCCCTCTGCAGGGTTGGCAGGCCACTAGCACATTTAGTTGGCTCCTAGGGTATGTTCTACACTGGACTTCCCATTGTGGGAAGGCCAAGAGAACTGAAGACACAGTCTCTACTCTGGAGGTGGGAAGTGGGGGAGGTGGTAATTTAATTAACAGTAGATGGTGGGTGAGGCGACTTGGTAAGGTAAGAGGACACACAAAGGAAGTAACTGCAGTAAACCTTAGCTGGCGGCACAAGTGAAGAGGTGTGCTTGAAAGAGAAATGGAGTGTCTGGAGGTGGGTGAGTATATTCTGGTAGGTGTGACAAGGGCACCGTTCCTCCATCACCAGTCCTGGGAAAGGCATGTGCTATGGTTTGGCGCTGTATCCCCAGCCAAATCTCATGATGAATTATGATCTTCAGTGTTGGAGGAGGGGCCTGGTGGGAGGTGACTGGATCATGGGGGTGAATTTCCCCCTTGTTGTTCTCGTGATAGTGAGTTCTCATGAGATCTGGTTGTTTAAAAGTGTGTGGCACTGCCCCTTCACTCTCTCTCTTTCCTGCCGCCATGTGAAGATGTGCTTGCTTCCCCTTTGCCTTCCACCATGATTGTAAGTTTCCTGAGGCCTCCCCAGCCATGCTTCCCGTATAGCCTGTAAAACTGAGTCAATTAAACCTCTTTTCTTTATAAACTATCCAGTCTCAGGTAGTTCTTTACAGCAGTGTGAGAACAGACCAATACAGCATGGGATCCCAAGTAACTAGGCATTCAGAGAAGAAACACAGATATGTCTGGGAACTGGATGACGGAAGGTACAGGGAAGCACAGTAAGTAACTTTCATGGGTCCTACACTCTACAACATATTCTTGGGGTTGGAATGAGTCAAACAGGAGACTGATGTCTAGGATGGAATTGGCTCTTTTTGTTCCCAGCTGTAGGTCTCTTCCTTAACAGATCACGGTACCTTCATTACAAATGGCCTGGGAAGCGTACTTAATGCAGAAACCCCAGCAAATTCTTAGGGGTTAGTCATGCAGTTATACATTTTCATTCTGGGACTTCTAGGGGCTTAATAAAATCCCTTCATTGGATCATTTAATCCAACATAAATTATTTCCCTACACCTACTTTATACTTGCTCCCTGATTTTATACCAGTGAGTATAGCCTGATGTAATTAAACATTCTGAATTTTCAATGATACCCAGAGAAGAGTGTGATAACCAATTCTCTCAAAAGCAATTTACTGCAAATATTTTCATATACGGTAAGTCCTTACTTAACATTGTGGATAGGTTCTTGGAAACAGTGACTTTAAGCCAAACGAGGTACTGTGTGGCTGCATAACTTAACTCTTTTTCCTATCAATTAGACTATGGGAAAACTGGTTTCATATGCATCATGTCTTTTTGCTTAAAGTGGTAGTTTCCAAGAACCTATCAATGACATTAAGTGAGGACTTATTGTAATCTGATATCTGCGGGTGGATAATTTAAGGAACACATACATAGTTAAGCCTGTAAACTGCCGCGAGTTCCAGATATTATCCGTTATATTTCTCCACAATTACAATTCCAGTTTTGGGGTTTCTTTTTACTCATTAGATTTGAAAACCCAATTCCAGTTTTAAAGCTTGACCCTTTTCTTAAAAGTTTAACTTCTCTTTTTATTCAGGCTTCCCACTATACCCTCAAACTGACTCTGAGGGTGGCCTGGCTATCTAATTTACAAAACCGGTATCTTGGTTTGCATTCATTTTATTTCCCTTGCATATATTGCTTAGCTGCTTCTGATTATACGCCTCTTAGCCATGGCTGGGATAGAAAAGTGTAATAAGAGAAAAGTGTAACTAAGAGACATAGAAGAAAGAGCAATTCCATGAGCACCAGATACTTTTATGGGTGCCTTTTGGAAGCTCTAAATTGAGATGTATCTTTGTTGTCAATTTATGCTATGAATCCATACGAAAAATGGGGGGAAGAAAACAAGTAGGCTGTAGATGAAAGTGGAAGAAAAATGAGTCTATATATATATATATATATATATATATATATATATATATATATACACACACACATATTATATATATATATATATTACCAGTTGTATGAAAGTATATGAGTCAACATCTCATCAATACCTAGAAAAAATAATAGATCAATATGCTGATTTTAGGGGTGGACACAAAAGTGTTATAAGCATCTTTTATCTTTTCTTTTTTTCCCTCCTTGACTCTGAAGAGAAACACCATTTTTCTATGTATGCAAAGAGTAAAAAATCAGAACTAATACACAGGGATTAATAGCAGTGAATTACAAACTCAACTCAGTGGTATAGTACCTGGCAACATTATTACTCAGCATATTTCCCTGGCTGAGGCTGATTTCATTTAAAGTAGTTTTATACTTGTGCTAAAAATAAGTGCATATCACACTAGGGGAGAGAAGATCCTCTACACAAATGGATTGGACCTAGATAACCTTATGTACCAGAGAGGAAAACATCATTCTCATGAGTCACAAAGCTTTCTTCTTCTTGTCAATATGATAAACAGTTTCTGGAAATTGAGAACGACGCTGGTTACTTTCCTTCCTCCTGAACACACCACACTGAGGAGACAGGGATGACTCCTTCCCTATGGGACAGACACACACGTAGCTTTCCCTGGGTTGTGGAGGAAGGCACGGCCACAATACCATCAGCAGCCTGCGGCAGGGACCTCACGATGAGAGGAAGCAGTGGATGCCTGGGCCAGGGAAATGCATATTTGGGAGAAAGCAGGAAATTCTGATGTAGAGATAGGGAAGAACCCTGGGGAAAAGGACTCATGCTGGGAGGGGAGGAGGAAACCACCAGGATCCCAGGATGGGAGACAAAGGACACAGGGACACAAACAAAGTGAGGCCAGATGGAGAGGACAGGCTCATGGGGAGGGCAAGCTCACCGGCAGAGCATGAGCCAAACCTGGCTTATTTCACACTCATCAGAGAGATTGCACAGATGGGGCCAAACCAGGACCCAGGAGCATTGGAGAGACGAGGGCCATTTCAAAGACTTTTGTAAAATAAGCTCAAGGTTTCTTTGTTTATTTGTGGGTGTGGGAGTGGAAAAGTAGTAGGGAAAGTGGAGAGAGGGGGAAAAAGGGATGTGTGATTTTGCAGGCAAGATGCTCCCTGCGGAGGTCCTGGCGGACCTGCTGGGGGGAGTGGCGTTCTGCACGCTCTCACATCATGGGGAGCGCATGACTACATTACTGCTTACACATCTCCAAGTGCAGCTTGGCGGGGGGGTGAATGTTTAATTGTCTCATTGTAACTGGCCGTAAATCTCTGGAAAATGTGAAGGGTCATGCATTTGATTTAAACCTATGAGGGCTGAATGAATTCTCCTCCATGCCTAACCGAGTGAAGCAAGCGTATAACCAACCGTGCATCCCTAAGTAGGGCCGGTACAAAGGGGAGGAAACACCTCCCCACTGAGTTCACAAATAACTTCATCACTGACCTGAATCAGATCCAGCAGGAAACGAAACACTGAGTACATACTTTTACAGTAGAGGGAGGGGGACGGAAAACAAACCGAGCTGAACTGAAACGTGAGAAAGAGCAGAATGGCAGTGAGTCCACGGGCCGGGGCCGCAGCTTTCTTTTTTCATGGCCCTCAGTCCAGTAACCCCACCCAGCATTTGTAGCGGGTGACATCACTGATGCCCCAAACACGCTCCAGCAGTTTCCTGCTTTCCAGAGTCCAGCCAAGCGATGATGTCAGTGGTGCACCTGGGTAAAGATGTGGCAGGGCCGGGTCACAGGGAGTGGGGACAAAGGCCAACCCAGTTAAATAAACTGCTGGTCTTCTAGGGCCTGGTCCCTGGGCAGGTTTCCACCATGAGATAGGTACAGCCCAGGCCAATCCCGACAGGAGGAAAAAAGCATGTAGTTGGCCGGGCGCAGTGGCTCACTCCTGTAATCCCAGCACTTTGGGAGGCTGAGGCAGGTGAATCACGAGGTCAGGAGTTTGAGACCAGCCTGAACAACATAGTGAAATGCCATCTCTATTAAAAATACAAAAAACTAGCGGGGCGTAGTGGCGGCCACCTGTAATCCCAGCTACTCGGGAGGCTGAGGCAGGAGAATCGCTTGAAACCCGGAGATGGAGGTTGCAGTGAGTCGAGATTGCGCCACTGCACTCCAGCCCAGGTGACAGAGTGAGACTCTGTCTCAAAAAAAAGAAAAAAAAAAAAAAAGAATGTACCCATGCGGTGCCTCCTGTCACCCTCTGCCCAGAAAGGGCAGAGGGGCCAAAGTGAAGGAGTTACAGGAAGACAGAGGGAAGGAAACGGCACAGAGATAACCACATGGGGGGCAGGCCCTAAGCTGCTGGGACCTCCACAGTGTATCCCTTTCCTCCGATTGGGAGAAGGAAGCACCAGTCGTCTTTCTCCACAGTGCCAGGAGCCACCCTGCCCCCAGAGGTGCCCTACATGGCACTGACTACCATCTAAATGCTTCTGGATAGTTTCATTCCTTGTAGATGATATTCCAAATATTATCAGTTGTATTTCTCCACAATTACAATTCCAGTTTTGGGGTTTCTTTTTCCTCATTAAATTTGAAAACCCAATTCCAGTTTTAAAGCTTGACCCTTTTCTTAAAAGTTTAACTTCTCTTTTTATTCAGGCTTCCCACTCAACCCTCAAACTGACTCTGAGGGTGGCCTGGCTATCTAATTTACAAAACCGGCCAGGCTGTCTAACCCCTAGATTCCAGCCCAGAGTGTTGCCACAAATTGCTGTCAAGACACGCCTCTATGTCCCATGTTTGCCAGTGACAAAAGGGTGCGTATTCTAAGTTCTTCAAGTCTCTCTCACTGCCTCAATGCGAAGTCAATGGAAAACAGTCAAATACATCAAAAATTAACTTCCAATGGATTCTACTATGAATTCCAACTTGGTCGGACACCTCTCCAGGCCAACTGTTATGAAAATGCATTGTTGTTTTAAAAAACACTGTGAGAGATGGCCGGGCGCAGTGGCTTACTTGAGGTCAGGAGTTTGAGACCAGCCTGGCCAACATGGTGAGACCCCAGTCTCTTTGAAAAATACAAAAAATGAGCCAGATGTGGTGGCATATACCTGTAGTCCCAGCTACTTGGGAGGCTGAGGCAGGAGTATCACTTGAACCTGGAAGGCGGAGGTTGCAGTGAGCCGAGATCATGCTACTGCACTCCAGCCTGGGCGACAGAGCAATACTCTGTCTCAAAAAAAAAAAAAAAAAAAAAAAAGAGAAAACACTGTGAGAAGAAAGAAGTCAATTATCCCCTCTCCAACTCCCAACACAGTAAGCAAGAAGGGCCCAGGAACAAATGAACAGGGAAAAACAATCTTGCATTTGCTTAGTGGAATGTGGGGTTTGCACACATTAGTCAGAGCTAGACAAATCATACTGAATACACTTCTTATGGAAACGTTCTAGCTCTTATGGCCTTTCTTTGCTGTCCCAACTTTTGAGGTGCGAAAACACAGCAACACAGCCAGGACCGGCCAGGTGATGGCATGGAGCCCGCTCCCACAGGCTGCGTGTGTGTTCTCACTCTCTTGCAACTGGCCTGAGTTAAGCATTCTCCCCAAGCACTTGCAGTTTATCATCGCCCTATTTACTGTATTTTCATGTTATAAAAGTGATATACGCCCAATGTAGTAATTTGATCTATATGGAAAAAGAGAAGAAAAAAAGCTACTCATAATAACACTGTCTAATTTAAGGTTTTGGTGTTGTCTTTCTAGTCTTTTTCTACATGGAATGTAATTTACTTCTCAATAATATTGTTTCATATACTTTGCTTACATATTAGTATTTTTGTCATGAAATTTATGCCAACTGATTAAACAGCCCTTGTAAATTATAGAAACTTAAAGACAATATCAAAACCATGTGACCACAAGACAAAGACCACCTACTACTAAATTATTTTTGGCATGAGATTATTTTTTGAGAAGTTTTATAAACTATTAGGTTTATTGAACTCTATAAACCATAATCCTTGAAAGAATTTTGGAAGCATACCATAACAGGGTAATTTGTAGTAGAATATAGGGTTGGAAAACCTTAAAAAACAACTTGCTTGTTTCTTCCCATATCAAAGATTTGTATTAGAAAAACTATCTCTTACAAAAAGATGTACTAAGTGGTATTATGTCGTTCAAGAATCTTGCATTATTTCCTAGCTTTCAATAATATGTATCATGTCATAAAAAAGAGGGAAGAATACATAAAATACATATGAAGCTTACTAGGAATGAAGAAAGTTATTTTAAGAAGGAAAAATTGGCTACCATCAAGGAATATGGAAAACACTAGCAATGCATGTAAGAATGACCTCAAAGGTCTTAGATGACCACGAGCTGGGAATGCTTGTGCTGGGGGCTTCAGTTACAACAGCATGGGGCAGTGAAATAGACTAGTGAAGCTGTTACACCAGTTAATAGTATTTATTATTATTTGTGGTCACCAATGCCAATTAAAGCAATAATTAAATAGAACATGACGAAATAATTCAATGGTAGGAAAAAAAAACCCTGGCCTATAAGTGAACATGGAAAGTAAAAGTAAATATTTAGAAGCGAAATCTGGAGCGGAAAAAAGCTCCAGCATCTCACCATGGGGTCTTCCAAAGCCAGCAATGCTGGAGATGTTTATTGTTTAAGGATGGACTTGCTTGGGTTGGGATTCTCCAACTAGAGCCAGAGGGGAGCTTCTCTGCCTCCCTTGAGGACACAACAAGAGGGGCTTTCTGCCTTTGTTATAAAGCCCGCCGCATTCTGTGCCTGTATGGTTTTATTTACTGGAGTCTATCATAAGGCCTGTGAGGGAAGGACTGAATCTTTCTCATAGCTGTGGGGCTGATGGC
This sequence comes from Homo sapiens, assembly GCF_000001405.40. Taxonomy (NCBI): domain Eukaryota; kingdom Metazoa; phylum Chordata; class Mammalia; order Primates; family Hominidae; genus Homo; species Homo sapiens. The sequence goes on along the minus strand of NC_000006.12, from coordinate 151,041,632 downwards.
CCTGCGTGCTGTAGGCATTTAATAATTCACTGAGTAAATGAATGAACCCTGCAGGAGAATGGGAGGCTTTCTGATCCTGAGGTCTCAGTTTGGACTATCTTTCTGGAGTGGATAGATGAATATGTATTTCAGCAGCACCCTAATAAGTGCACATTGGGTGACTAAGCAGAAGAGTGATTCATTTTGCTAGAATTTTCCCACCTGCAGGAGCCAGTCCCCCTGGTGTCCCCATTCCCCGTCCCCTCAGTCATCTCAGCAGGAAATTACTATCCTGTCTCCCACACGGGTGATGAATGTTCAAGGCATTTCAGCAGACTGTGGCAAGGCCCAGAATGGGGTCAAGTAAAAATAAATACCAGTCCTTATTAGGAGATCCTGGCCCCTCTGGTGCGTGTGTCCCACTACACATGCAGCTTCCTGCTCTGTCATAGAAAGCAGCCCTCTAGGGCCACCGCCTCCAGTGAGAGTTTCCTGACCTCCAGGAACTTCTGTAGTCAGGCACCACTCCCTTCCTCATGCCCCACACCCGACTGTTCCAGGAGATTTCATCACTGTGCACTGACGCTCACTGCGACCCCGTGTGTGGCCACAGGAGGAACTCGGCTGAGGGCTGAGAAGACCAGATAATGACACAGAGGGCTCACTTCAGGAAACCAGGGAGCTGCAGCAGCTATCCAGGGCCATTCCACACATTCATTTTCTAACAAGTCGTAAGTGAAAGAGTGACGTCAGGAGCGGACAGCCTGGTGTCCAGGCATGAGCCATGGCAACAGATTCTGATTTTCCAGAACGGCTTTGGTCTTTACCTAGTGTTGGATATGGTGGCGTTAGCTGGAGTGAGAGGAGATTCACATTGTATATTTGTTTAGTGACTCCAAAGATTTTAAATTATATTGTGTTTTTTATTATTTTATTTCATTTTTTTAGAGACAGAGATCTCACTCTATCTCCCAGGCTGGAGTGCAATGATATGATCATAGCTCACTGTAGCCTCAAACTCCTGGGCTCAAGTAATCCTCCCATTTCAGCCTCCTGAGTAGCTGGGACTCCAGGTGCGTGCCATGACTCCTGGCTAATTTTTGTTTAAGTAGAGACAAAGTCTGGCTATGTTGCCCAGGCGTCTCAAACTCCTGGCCTGAAGCAATCCTTCTACCTTGGCTTCCAAAAGTGCTCGGATTGTAAGTGTGAGCCACTGTGCGGGCCCTGGTTTTTATTTAATGGCTATTAAATGCTCAGTAGTGAATTAAGGTTTCAGTTAAATGCACAATTTTTACACCAAACTATTCTCTTTACTAATTCACTTCTATCTGCGTCTACCACCTGTAAACTACCTGAAGCAGAGAAAGCTTCTTAAAGTTGGGGCTCCCTGTAGCCCCGAGCTGAGTGCCTTATGCAGCATTGGCCGAGTGAATGAATTTGTTGGGTGAACTACTGCGGGGTTTAGAGTCCTCAGAGGGTAGGACAGGACAGATCGTGACTGAGGCTAACCTTCTCAGCTACTCTACCATTTCATGCTCTGTTTGGGCACCTCCGTCACCCCTCACCTCCCCTGATGGTCCAGTCTCTCTGGGCCTGCACTGTCCAGCCGCCCTCTTATCCCTAAGCCAAGGCTTTCACCAGCTAAAGCTCAGGAGTAAAGTGGCCATCACTGAGGCCATTCTATGTATGCATGTATGCATGTATGCATGTATGTATGTATGTATGTATGTATGTATTTAGAGATGAAGTCTTGCTCTGTCACCCAGGCTGAAGTGCAATGGCGCAATCTTGGCTTACTGCAACTTCTGCCTCCCGGGTTCAAGCGATTCTCCTGCCTCAGCCTCCTGAGCAGCTGGGATTATAGGTGCCCACCACCCCGCCCGGCAAATTTTTGTATTTTTAGTAGTGATGGGGTTTCACCATTTTGGCCAGGCAGGTCTCGAACTCCTGACCTTGTGATCCGCCCGCCTCGGCCTCCCAAAGTGCTGGGATTACAGGCGTGAGCCACCGCACCCGGCTGACTGAGGCCATTCTAACGAATATAAAGCAAGCTCTTCAGCACCCATTTTTGTTAACTGAGGTATAATTAAATTATACACAGGCCTGGCACAGTGGCATGAGCCTGTAGTCACAGCTACTTGGGAAGCTGAGGTGGGAGGATTGCTTGAGCCCAGGAGTTTGAGTCCAGCCTGGGCAACACACGTGAATAGGTCTATGAGTCTGGAAGAATGTATATAGCCATGGAATCACTACCACGTCAAAACATAGGGTATTTGCATTATCCCAAAAAGTTCCCTCCTGCCCCTCTGCAGTCAAACGCTTCCCCTCCCCCAACTCCTGGCAACCACTGATCTGAACTGTAGACCTGAAAATGTCATTCAGAACCCATTTCATCCAGGCCCTTCTCCCTGTGCCAACACTGCTACGAGCGGTGTCTGTGGGATTTTTCTGGACGTTCTCTGCCATGCCGCTGCTCCTTCCTTCCCGCCTCCTGGAAGGCACCCCTGCTAGGAGTCGGCTGCATTAACGTGGGTGTTTCAGGGGTGTCTTCCTTCACTGTCTTCTCACTGATTTCCAGCTATCCCTGTGTCTCTTGTTTAACGACTGCCTTCACCCATATCCTTAAACCCACCAGGGTGACCTTCCTGCCTCTTTCTTTGAAGCACTGTGTCTGTATTTCCAGTGGAGACACAGACTATTCCTTAGATCCTATTAACCCTCTGAGCTCTCTCTGTTCAAGCCAGGCTCATTTCTGGCTCTGCCAATCTGCCTTCTCCCGTGTCCTTTCCATGACCGATGGCATCACTAGCCAGAGTCACCAAGCTAGAACGGTCCCTTCCCCCGGCCCCCACGGTAGGAGGATACTTTTAGAGTATGTCTGCAATTCACCCCCACTCTCTGTATCTACTTCTGTGGCCAAAGTGCGGACCTTGATTGCCTCTGGCCCGAGCTGAATTAACCCACCTCTCTGGGCCTGGTTCTCTTTTCACTAAACATTCTCCATATTGCTGCCAGAGCTATTTTTCTAAAATACACATCAGACCACATTCTTCTCCTCCTTATTTAAAACCAAAAAAACAAAAAACCAAGAAACAAACAAACAAAAAACCCACCCTACCGTGGCTCCCCAGTGTGTAGAGATCAGATTCAAGTTCCATGAGATGGTCTTCAAGATCCTTGGCCATGTGACCCTGTCCTGCTATCCCAATCCCATTCCCATTCCCATCCCCAGCCACCCCCCCTCATCCAACTCCAGCCACATCGGATCACCCCAGGAGAGGATGTCATGTATTAGTACTTTGGTGCCTTTGAGTCAAAACTCACTGTTTTGCCAGTTCAGAGGCTGAGCTCTTTTTGAAGAATCCCCTCTTCTTCCACATCCTGGGTAAGTTCTACCCCAGGCATAATGAGCTGTTATCCCCCTGGGCTCTGAGGGCATTCAGAATACCAACACAGTGCTCTCCAGATACCTCTGTGCTATTCAAACCCATGCGTCTCACACCTGCTCATCCTAAAATCTCTGTGCCTCACATGCAGGAAGAATTCAAAAAATGCTGATTGAAAAAACATTGTGTCCAATATTAGATGAAGTATGTAAATATCAAGGCAAGAATCTGCACTTTTTATCTATCTATTGCTTGTTTGCACAATAAAGCAACATGGTTTATTATAAAAAATTATGATAATGTATGCTGTTTAAGCTCAGATCACTTTGCACTAATGATGACGATAATGATGGGTTAGAATATTTTTTTCTTTGCTTGCCATGGGATCTGCTAGGTTGTAAGAATTCTTTTTTGTTCTAAACCAAATTTAGGAGCACTCCCAAAGACAAGAAGTCAAATTTAGGCCACTGACGGTACCAACGGAAGGCTATCACTGTGTAGCTGTACCAAATGAAGCCCATCTTCATGGATTTTAAGCACTTTGATAAGCTTTTATTTATCTGCCCATCTCCTTTACCCCCATAGATAACACAAAATAACAGAATAATCATCCAATAGCAACATGATCCCATCACAACAACATCAAAAATGAGAACTCCTATGATTCAGTAATTTCCTAAGCCAGAGCTTCCCACCTGACGTGCTGGGGAAGTGAGAGAGGGTGAGGACTGCTTTCCCCAGCCCTTGGGGTGACTGGGCAGATCCTGTCTGGTGTGAGCAGTCAACCCCACCGTGATGACATCATTTTGGGTGCTATGTGTGATAAAGGTTGACAACCACTGTCTTAAGCCATTCTACCATTTAAATAACAGACTGAATTCTCCCAAGTTATGTTCTTACTCACCTTAGGAAGGAAATTAGTATTATGACTCTAAGGACCCTGAACACATGATCTAAAAAAAGAAAAATCCAAACCACAATGGCAAAAGTAGGTGAGACACAGTGTTTAGAAAAATAGCGAATACTGTACTATTAATTACTCCCAATTTTCCCTAATCCATGATTTTTAAAGAGCGGGCGGAGCATAACGATTTGAGGCACCACAGCAATGCAGAATGGGGAGGGTTTTTGGAAAATGTGACTCACTCACCGTTCCGACCAAAGGGTAAATGAACCCAGCGCCTATGCTGGCCCGGACGTCACTGATAGGTAAGATGAAGTCCCTTGGCACACCTTTTTTGTCAGGTTGGTGAGATAGAGAAAGGTGGGTCTTTGCCATGCAGATGGGCAAATTTCCAAAACCCTGTGAGAAAGGAAAGAAAATGTGTTCACTGATACAGATGTTAGTCTCCTGTGCTTTTCAATTTGCACTTTATACAGTCTCGGCAGCAATGGTATGCCGGCTCAGATCGAGGCACACGCAGGAGCTGCTTGTTACTACTTGTTCACTGAAGAAGCAAGAAGGTGAGGATAAAAACTCATCTCCATGTGATGACTGTTTAGCAGGTCAAGGGTGACTATTGTTTATTTTGGAGGCTCTCTTTAAGAGAAGGCAGTGTTATGTGCATGTTTGGGGAAAGCATGGCTATTTTCAGGCAAAGCAGCAGCTGTAGAAACCACTTTCCAAGACTATTAATATCCGGGACCCAGCAAGGTAGTCTGGAGAAAGGCTCTGCGACGAGGCTCTTACTCATGTTGTTCACTCATTCTGGAGTCAGTCAGGAAGCAAAGGGTTCCTTTGTGTTGGTTTATGAATCATGGCTATTTGATCTGCAATTACATTATAAGAACTAAGATGAGGTCACTATTTAAGCTTCTTGTTTTTAAGGACCAAAGTCTATGTCTGACCCAGAGTTCCAAAGGTGAAAGAGCAGGAAGTCACATGTGGTGTCTCACAAAAAGCACAGTGTCCTCAAAGCCTGGTTCTGATTAAATGGCACACAGTGTTCCTTTAGAGGCTTTGCTAATTCATTGCAACCACATACTTGACACTAACTTTAAAAAAAAAATAAAAATAGAGATGGAGGTTTTGCTATGTTGCCCAGAGTGGTCTCAAACTCCTGGCTTCAACTGATCCTCTGCCTTGACCCCACAAAGTGCTGGGATTACAGGTGTGAGCACCGTGCCCGGTTGACATCACTTTTAAGGAATATTTCCTTGATAGAGATAAAGGGAATGAAATCTTTAGTTAAATTTTCATAAGACTTAGCCTAAAACTATTTGGAAGATCTTAGAGTCTTATCAACTCAGGGAGGACTTGGACTTGGGGCCATTTTCTTTTTGAAATCTCCACTCTTCTATACCGATAAGAATTTTGCTGAGTGACAATCACAACTGTCTTTCAGAAATGGTGCCAGAATTTTAAATTTCAGACATGGTTAAATATTGAAGTAATTTCTATGAACTAATACAGGTTTGCTAATGTAAAAATTTTGTCAGTAGGCATATTAAAAAGAAAAAAACCAACCAATATGCCATATACTCTCACCAGATTACTTCATAAAAGAAATACCATTTTAACACTGAAAGGAGAAAAGACTTAATATTAGAATAAATGATAGTCTTAAATATCATTATTAAAAACTCACGGAAAAAAAAACAAACCAACCTTATGAGAATGACCTTATTTTACTTGGTTCATTGCACATGAATGAAAATTTCACCACAATGCCTGTGCACAGAGCAGTGCTTGGGAATCCTTTTTGTAAAGGATAAGCCAAGAACATACAGGGAAAATTCTAAGAATTTAGAACTTCCTGAGTTGCTGACTATTTTACCAAACCTAGGAGAACAAATACCCTGGCTGGCAACGGCAGCATTTAACAAAATTTCAAATGGGTTTACAAAAAAGAATAAGGAGTTGGAGATTTTTTTTAAAGAAAAGGTCAACGCTACCCATCATGAAGTTCTTTAGCCAGCAGGCTCTTAAAGTGTTCTGACTGCTATCTATCCGACTACACCAAAGTAGGAGGGACACTCGAGGCATACGGTCCTTTTGGTGAAGGTGGCTGAGCCTCCTGTAGTGGAGTTGATTGATCATGACTGTCACTGGACTAGATGGTGATGCATGCTGTCAGATCACAGCCACCTTCCCAGCTGTTTGCCTACTTGCCTTTGTCAGTGGCTAGAGGTAGAAGATGATGGAGCCTTCAATCTCAGCGGACAAGCTCAGTAAAAAGCCAGTGAACCGCTTGCATAAGAAGAACAGCAAACATTCCCATCTTTATAGGCTGCACTCCTATCTGCCTACCCTGGCACCACGCTAGCATTTTTAAGGTAGTAAGTAAGAGGCCTGTAAGGAAGAGGAAGCATTGCAATTCATCTAAATCTGACTCCGCAGCTCTACTCCAAAGGATAGCTTCAACATTCAGGGCTGAGTGGGAGGGATGAAAGATCACACATCACCTAAAAACAGGGATACCACCCATATCAGACACATTTATAGTCACAGAAGTAAATGATGCATGGATCAGAGGATATATGCCTCACCATAAAGTTCTAAATATAGTCTACACTCTACCCGAGGATATTACCTTCATCTTTGTTAACCATACAATAGATTAAGCAAAGGTTAGCTGGTGCGATATGTACAAATCCTCAAGTCAAGCTGAGTATTCTGAGAGCCTAAGGTGAATTTTTTCTTTTCCCCTAAAAGTAGAACTTTTACCTGTTGAGTGTAACGATCTATTTTGGCTTGTGCCTCAGGAGAGAGTTCAATATCTTTGGCTCCATAGACAGCCTGAGCAATGGTCCTTATCTTGTCCACAATTGGAACCTGGAGAAACACAAATTATAACAAAATTGTATAAGTTTAATCTGGTTAAAGATTTTTTAAAAACTTTAGTGAGATGTTCTGTAATTGCTTAAAATTCCCTTATCAGAGTACCCCCTCAGCAACTGCAGGATTCCTAGCAAACCCTCTTTTTTCCTTTTAGCACCCTAAAGCACTGAAATTTTCAGTGTCAGAAATAGATCAGATGTCAACTAGCAAATAAGTCTTAGGTGTTCAGGCAATTTAGAGGCTTCTTATCTAGTTGTAACCATTTTTATCCATTGTAGCATTAAAAAAATATAGTTTACTATAATTTCTTTTTTTTTTTTAAGACAGTATCACTCTGTCGTGCAGTGGCACAATCTCAGCCCACTGCAGCCTCAACCTCCCAGGCTCAAGTGATCCTCCCATCTCAGCCTCCTGAGTAGCTGCGACTACAGGGGTGCACCATGACTCCAAGCTAATTTTTTTTCTGCATTTTTTGTAGAGACTGGGTTTCACCACGTTGCCCAGGTTGGTCTTGAACTCCTGGGCTCAAGCAAACTGTCCACCTCGGCCTCCCAAAGTACTGGGATTACAGGCATGAGCCATCACGCCTGGCCTGTTTACTATAATTTTCAAATAATCATATATGTCAGGACAGGAGTCTCCCAACGAAATTGTGAGTGCTGGTTTTTAAGTGGGTCTGAATACGGGTTCATAGTATTAAAAACAAGTATTTTTTCATGAGCAGTAATGGATTGAGATTTTAACATAAATGCTGATGTGATCAAACACTATATTGGAAAATCAGAGGTTGAACCTACTGTCACTTAAGCAAATTATGAGAAGTCATGTGGCATGGAAGAAATGTGAGAAGACTAGATACAGGCAAATAAGTGTGTTGGAGGAGAAGATTTCCATAATGTTAGATTGAAAACCAGGACACAGACTATTGATAGCATACGGCAAGGGATCTTCAGAAACAAGAATGATTCATTAGGAAAATAATATTCCACAGATAAAGTAATTCTAAATTTAAGAAACACATTTGGCAAAATTATCTACAATCCTCCTGTGGGTAAAGATGCATATGTGGCCAGGTGCAGTGGCTCACACCTGTAATCCCAGCACTTTGGGAGGCTGAGGTGGGTGGATCACTTGAGGTCAGGTGTTCAAGATCAGCGTGGCCAACATGGTGAAACCCCGTCTCTGCTAAAAGTACAAAAATCAGCTGGGTGTGGCAGCGCACTTCTGTAATCCCAGCTACTCAGGAGGCTGAGGCAGGAGAATCGCTTGACCCTGGGAGGCAGAGGTTGCAGTGAGCCAAGATCGCGCCACTGCACTTCAAGCCTGGGTGACAGAGCAAGACTCTGTCTCAAAAAAAAAAAAAAAGAAAGCATATGCATGATGCAATTAGTGGATTTACTGTTTGGTGAACAACTGCTGAACCAAATGCTGATGGAACAGATGTCAACCAAGGGGCACAAGTCTCCCGTGATGTGCCTCAAGGACTTTGCTTGGCAACAGCTAGTGTCACATTTGTATGAAATACTATTGATACAAGAGTTACCCAAGAGAAAATAAATAAAAGCTAGCACTCTTCCCCTCCCAACCCTGATAGAACCCAAAACTGCTTTAAAACGTGTTTTTCATTACTACAGTTTTTATTACTGTAGAGGTGTTCTGTGGTCTGGAACATAAATATTGAATATTCTAACAAATAAAAAGAAATGAAGGTGCAAGCCTTATAACCTTTCACTGAGGGACATAAAAAGAGTCTGAGTCAATGGAGGAAAATAGTTTGCTCATGGATGAGGAGACTTAACACTGTACAGACGTCACTTCTCTGAAACTTACTCAGTTCAATGCAAGTCCAATAAAAATCCCAAGCTCATTTTTGGTTACTTGGCCAATTAGTTCTGAAACTTACAATAAAGGGTTGATGTGGTTTGGATGGTGGTCCCCTCCAAATCTCATGGTGAAATGTAATCCTCAATGTTGGAGGTGGGGCCAGGTGGGAGGTGTTTGGATCACGGGGGCGGATCCCTCATGAATGGCTTGGTACTGTCCTCACGATAATGAGTGAGTTCTCACTCTGAGTTCTCAGGAGGTCTGCTTGTTGGCACCTCCCACCCCATCTCTTGCTCCCGCTCTTGCCATGTGATGCACTGGCTCCCCCCGCCTTCACCTTCTGCCCTGAGTGGAAGCTTCCTGAGGCCCTCACCAGAAGCCCAGCAGATGTTGGTGCCATGCTTGCACAGCCTTCAGAACCATGAGCCAAAATAAACTACTTTTCTTTATCCATTAACCAGTCTCAGGGATGCCTTTATAGCAACTCGAGAGTGAACTAACACAGGGTAATGGCATAAATAGTCAGATAACTTTAAAAATAAAACAAAACCAAAAGAACAAAGAAAGAGGACTTTTCTACTAGCTATCAATCATACCACAAAACTATGCTAATAAATTCCATGGGTACTGGCACAAGTATAGACAAATTAATCAACGGAAAAGAAGAAAGAACCCACAAAGACACTCAGCATGTGCAGGATAGTATATAACAGAGGTGACACAAATCAACAGAGAAAGGCTGACTACCATCTGACTTTTGGCTGGAGAGAAATAAAATTATATTCCTACCACATACCAGGCCTCCAAATAAACCCAATATGGAACAAAGGCATAAACTTGAAAATTATAACTCTACATATTGGAAGAAAACAGTGGGAACTCTATTATTCTGAAGTAGAGAAGGATTTCTTAAATGAGGTAACAATAGAATAACCCATAAAGGAAATGATATATAGATTTCACTACAGCAAAATTTAAAACTTGTTTTAAGAAGACATTATAAATAAGGTCAAAAAATAAGAGACAGACTGGAAGAAGATATATGCAAGTATTTATAAAGTCAAAAGATTAGTAATCTTCAAGGACCAATCTTTGTTAAAACTCTCTGAGCTTTCTAAGATCTATCCCAAAAGCCACCTCCTCCACGAAGCCTTCATGGATGAACCTTAGGCACATGTGAGCATCCTCTTCTTTGACATCTAGATGCCCTTGGGGCGCTCCTACCTGCAGCTTCAGAGGACAGGGATTCACTGGGGCCTGACTGTGAGTGGCTGCAGCAAAAGCTCATGCAATCTTGGGGTGTGTGAATGGAGCCCGAGTGTGTGAACAGTCACACAGACTTGGCAGCACCACACTGACACTGAAATCTCTTGGAGGGCCATGCCATACAAAAAATCGAAAGGAGGGCAGAATGTGAACCAAGGGACAAACGTTAGAAGGAAGTCGTTTTGAGTGCAGTGTTTAAGGAAGAACTATAATAACCAGAGCTCTCTCACTTAGCAGTGACCTGTCCTTGCCTGGAGGGTTCTGTATAAGCTGAATATGGTGCCAGGAATGTTGTACAAAGAGTTACTGCCTGAGTACAAAGTTGAGGCTGGGTTAGAGAAAGAAATTTAAGGGTAACTTTTTTTAAAATTTATTTTTGGTAGAGATGAGGTCTCACCATGTTGCCCAGGCTGGTCTCAAACTCCCGGCCTCAAGTGATTTTCCTGCATTGGCCTCCCAGGTTGCTGGGATTACAGGCGTGCCCTGCATGGGCAACTTCTAATGTAAAAGATTCAATGTTCATATTAGCTGAAGAATAAAGAATGGTTGATAAACTCTTTGAGCCTCGGGACCATCTCTTATTTACCTAGAGGCAAGATAGGATACAGCCCCTGGAATATATACAAGGCCCTCCCTATACAGTTGAACCAATGAATATTTCTATATTTCCTATTGACTAAGCTTGGGTTCCCTGTGGTTCAATAGCCACACAAGATGATAAGAAAATTCAGGTGTTGATGTGCTGCAGGCAACAGCGCAGAAGACTTTTTCCATGAATCTTAGATCATGAGCAGCCTATGTTGCTGGGCACTCAAGTGCTTGCTCCCAACACTGCACTGAAACTAATGCGAGCTCCTCTGCTGATCAACCAATGCCTGGCAAGGAACAACCTTTTTTAAGAAATAAAAGTTGGTAGGATGCTGGAAGATACTTCTTGCAGGAAAGAAGCCGCAGGGCAAGTCCAAGGACCTTGCTTTGTTAGAAGTCAGCTCCCAGAAGGGTGTGTTCTCCGGGCAGTAGAACAGTGGTTTTGGGAAGCAGGCAATGTTCCTGTTGCATCCAGTCTCTGGCCTGCACCTACCCCAGTGTGGCCACTCCAACCCTCCATGGGCTCTGCACAAAGGAGCTTGGTGGCTGTGTGAGGTAGAAGGGCTCAGAGAGAATGCAGCCCCTCCTTATGTGTGGTTAAATCATGTAACCTCCCTGAATTTATTTCCTCATTTCTAAGATGAGGATGTGAATACTTCACTATACATCACTGTACTGCACACGTTGAGTCAGTGTAAAACGCAAGCACGTTGTAAACGTCATGCTATACAAACCTTAAGTCATATTATTATGGAGTGAGAACGGTAGGGAGGACTGAAAGAATTACATTTTGCTTGGAAGTACAGCAAAACAAGATACTGTTACTCATAACACATTTAATCAACAGAATGCATTCTTTACTGAACTCAAGATCATAATTCAAAAATAAAGAGTGTGATTTTTCTGTTAATAATTTAAAAAACTCACATGGGAGCAAAGTAATAGCAATCGAATGACTAGTGAATAAATTGATGCGAGTGGATGGCTGAGTTGTTATTTAAAAAAATTTTTTTTATACAGAGACTCACTCTGTCACCCAGGGTGGAGTGGAATGGCGAGATCTTGGCTGACTGCAACCTCTGCCTCCTGGGTTCAAGTGATTCTCCTGCCTCAGCCTCCCAAGTAGCTGGGATTACAGGCATGTGCCACCACGCCCGGCTAATTTTGTATTTTTAGTAGAGACAGGGTTTCACCATGTTGGTCAGGCTGGTCTCAAACTCCTGACCTCAGGTGATCCGCTTGCCTCGGCCTCCCAAAGTGCTGGGATTACAGGCGTGAGCCACTGTGCCTGGCCTGATTTGTTATTTTTAAACACGAAAATGTTTTGTAAGAAATCTATCTATCTATCTATATAATATGTATATATATATTATTTATTTATTTATTTGAGACAGAGTCTCACTCTGTTACCCAGGCTGGTAGTGTAGTGGCGCGATCTTGGCTCACGGTAACCTCTGCCTTCTGGGTCAAGCAATTCTTTCTGCCTCAGCCTCCCGAACAGCTGGGATTACAGGCTCCCGCCACCACGCCTGGCTAATTTTTGTATTTTTAGTAGAGATGGGGTTTCACTATGTTGGCCAGGCTGGTCTTGAACTCCTGACCTCAGGTGATCTGCCTGCCTCGGCCTCCCAAAGTGCTGGGATTTCAGGTGTGAGCCACTGTGTCTGGCCTAAAATATATATTTTTAAGAACTTTAATTTTGGTAACGTACACATAACATATAATTTACCATCTTCTTTTCTTTTTTTGTGACCCAGGGTCTCATTCTGGAGTTCGGTGATGTGATCACGGCTCACTGCAGCCTCAACTTCCTGGGCTCAAGTGATCCTCTTACCTCAGCATACTGTGTAGCTATGACTACAGGTGTAAGCCACCAGCTAATTTCTAAAATTGTTGTAGAGATGGGGGTCTTGCTATGTTGTCCAGGCTGGTCTTGAACTCCTGGGCTCAAGTGATCTGCCTGCCTCAGACTTCCAAAGTGCTGGGATTACAGCCGCAAGCTACCATGCCTGGCCTAATTTACCATTTTAACCATTTCTAAGTGTACAGTTCAGTAGCGTTAAGTCCATTTATGGTGTCGGGCAACCAACCTCCAGAACTCTCTGTATTTAGCAAAACTGAAACTGTACCCATTAAGCAGCAACTTTCCATGCCCCTCCCCTTGGCCCCTGACAACCACCATTCTACTTCCTGTCTATGAATGTGACGGCTCTACAGGCCCCTACAAGTGGAATCAAGCAGTATCTGTCCTTCCGTGTCTGGTGTATTTCATTTAGCATAATGTTCTCAAGGTTCATCCGTGTGATAGGAGGTGTCCTTCCCAAGGCTGAATAATGTTCCATAGTATGTGTGTGCCATATTTAGCTGATCCCCGCTGACAGACAAGGGGGTTCCCACCTTTCAGCTACTGGGAACAATGCTGCTATCAACAGGGCTGCATGAGTACCTGCTTGAGTCCCTGCTTTCAATGCTTTTGGGCGTAAGGCAACATACATTTTTTTGTTACCAACTAAACTTTCTTCCTTTCCAATGTTTATTGGAAAGTGTTTTGGGAATTCCAAGGAGGTGCCGGGCTGACTGTGTGAGATGAGTAGTTGTGGTTTACTTCCTGTAGGACAAGCGCGACCACCCACACATGACGGTACTGTGAGGGGCCAGTAGTACGAATGAATCCCAACTGGGCGGCCCTGCTTCCCTGCCTCAACCCAGGGCTGTGTGCTTCCCAGCAGGCACTGCCATCTATCCAGCCCCACAGTTTCCCAGCACTCAGCACTTCTGATGCTTGGCCTCAACCTCGCCACCACTGGAGAAGATGAAGGTGCATTCTGGTGGCTTCCACAGGTATGACACTGTTTCCTGGGACCTGAAGAGAATGCACTGTCTACAACCTGAGCTACAACCCTGCAGCCACATGCTGAATAAAGTGCTTCAACTCACAGCTCAAAAGCCCATGGCCAGAGTGCTCTTGGGACTCCTGCTACAATTTTTGTTTTTCACTCACAAGTACAATTAAGGAAATAATCTTTTGGGTTTAGTGTAAATACTAAAATCTGCCCTGATAAGGTCCTTCCCCTTGCATGCAATCTATTTATATTCTGTTAGCAGGCAAGGAACTTCCTATGGTTAATCTGCTTGATTTGGGGGAGAAGTGTAATCTTTAAAGAAAAAAAAAAAAAAAGCCAAGCTCAGTCCAAAGGTCTTGATCTGAGCTTGATATTCACTTGTACTTCTCTGTAGTAAATGATAGCTTTTATAAACAAATAAAATGGCCAATTTATGACTGTTTATGCATTAATCATTGCTGGCTTTCTCTTGGTTCTGTAAATATTGACTAATATATTTACTTGCCACATTGTGCCTTGGAGAGTGGCCTGCACAAAGTAGGATCCCAAAGGCATCTGCTAAGTGATCAAATAACCACCTATGGCAAGTCCTTTCAAGACGTCAGGGCATTGTTCATACAGCTTCAGGGACTTTGTGTACCAAGAACTTCTGATGGATTGGGGACAATGAGACACAACAAACAACGATGACAGAAGAGAGTGTGCAGTCAAGACTCTGTATAAACATTACTATTAAAGTCAAGAGATCACAGGTTGCAGAGGGAGGCATGAAAATCAGCAAAAGCTGGCAAGATATTAAAAAAAAAGCTGGAATAGTGCATTAAAGAAAGGACAGGAGGCCTGGTGCGGTGGCTCACACCTGTAATCCCAGCACTTTGGGAGGCCAAGGTGGGCGGATCATGAGGTTAAGAGATCGAGACCATCCTGGCCAACATGGTGAAACCCCATCTCTATTTAAATAATACAAAAATTAGCTGGGAGTGGTGGCGCATTCCTGTAGTCAAAGCTACTTGGGAGGGTGAGGCAGGAGAATCACTTGAACCCGGGAGGTGGAGACTGCAGTGAGCTGAGATCGTGCCACTGGACTCCAGCCTGGTGACACAGCAAGACTCTGCCTCAAAAAAAAAAAAAAAAAAAAAAAAAAAGGATAGAAAGGACAGGAAAAATCTCAATAGGCAAAGAAGGGAAAGAAAGGCAGAAGCCAAGGTGAAATGGTGTCAAACACAGGGCTGAGTGGGACATAGTGAATATTCTGTCTATATAATGCACAGCTGCTTAACATATTAGCTACTTCAAAAGCCTGGTGTCTACACTTGTGTCTTTGGTCATTTTTGAACTAACATTATGTTAAATCTTCATATTCACCAAAAATGTAACCCTTCTCATACTCTACACTAATTCCTTTCCAAACTTCTTAAACATGTATTTCAGAAACGGAAATACTCTAGAACAAAGCTGTCCACTGCCACTTTCTATCACAATGGAAGATGTATCGTGTGTTCACTGGCCTCATGTGGCTATTAAAAGCACTGGAAATGGGACTGGAACAATCCAGAAACTGAACTGTCAATCTTAGCCACATGGGATATCAGGCAGTATGGCTCTAGAAAATAACTGTGACCAGTGGTTATATTGGTGGCACAGTCTCTCGCACAGAGCAGGCACAACATAAACACTAGCTGAATGACTCCACGAAGAAATAGTAGAGGATTTGGTGACCTTCATGCTTTATTAAATTCATTTTGTAGGTGTGGTGGACCAGGGTCCTAGAAGCTGAGTCACTCAAAGTTAAACAGTATAGCTTTCTTGGAAAGGCTCTGGAAATGCTCACTAGAATTCTTCAATTAAATTATTGAAGTCCTGTTTTTTAGTGGAATAAAATTGATCTGTACATTCTAGAAGAGCTGTTACATTTTAAAATAATTTTTTGATGACAAAAAATGGACAAAATAAAATGAAATGGAACAAAAGTTTAAAAATGAACTGTTAGAAATAAAGATCCATGAAGGCTTTATAACGTAGTAGGGGCGTCTCATCTTACTCAGAGGCCAAATTCTTAAGTCAGCAACTCTGAAAAATCTTTTAGAAGACCTATGAAAAACACTATGTAACACTCCACTCTCAATACCCTAGCATCTCTTAATGAGGCCCCACTGTTGTGAAGTATTGGAACACACTGCCATTTCTTCAGCCCTGCACCAAATGAAGTCGTTGGCATACATCGGGGGCCACAGTGAATGACAAATACATGGTTCTTTTCTTTCACCAAGGCTACAGAGTTGAATTCATATGGGTTAAATCTTCCTATGCTGTGATATTAGCAAAGTGTATTCCAAGTCCCGTAAAACATGTAAAGAGAAGGATCAATTAATAAACTTGTAAGTTGAATAGACATTTCCGGATACACAGTAATTATTTCCATTCGTATTTTGCATTTTAAATGAAGCATAAATTTTAAATGATCTACAAATACAGTTTGGCAAGCAGCCTTTCCTGTACTTCAAATTAAAGTACAACATGAAGCTGTCGATATTAATTTATACTGACCACACCACACTAGGTGCAAGGGCTTGCATTACCAATACCAACTGGAGTCCCGGGAGCGGCTCTGCCCTTGTTACTGAGAACAACAGGCCCCTGTATCGTTGACACAAAGCATGTCCTTGGCTGGAAATCAGCACATCTGAGCTACGTGCCGACGTCCACGAGCCTGCTCAGTGGGCATGGAGCCCTGTGGGCTCGCGGGCCCTGAGCAACAGGTTCACTCTGAAGACGCCTACATGTAGGGAATCTCATCCTTCTACGGCAAACCTGGGGTGCGGTGAGGGTAACCGGACTCTGGGAAATGGAAGAAAGGCTCGCCGCTAGAAAAGCTGCATTTCTCCACATGAAATAGTAAGAAATCCACATGGGTAATCTTTTATTACTCTCAAATAGAATAGTGTAGCAATGCCAAAAAACGGAATATATGGGAATAAGTGATTTTAAAGATCTCATCTCACCCAAAAGAGGGCAAAGTGCTGACTGGTTCGAGCACTCTGCTGGGCCCAGGAACACTCATGTACAGTGTTCTGTTTTGTTTTCTTTGAGACAGAGTCTTGTTCTGTTGCCCAGGCTCAAAAAAAACCCAAAACAAACACACACAAAAAAAACAGGCCGGGCATGATGGTGTGTAGTGG
The DNA here is from genome assembly GCF_000001405.40 of Homo sapiens. Lineage (NCBI taxonomy): Eukaryota > Metazoa > Chordata > Mammalia > Primates > Hominidae > Homo > Homo sapiens. Next base: position 151,024,786 of record NC_000006.12, on the reverse strand, counting down.
CATGTTCTTGGCTCACCGCAACCTCCACTTCCCAGGTTCAAGTGATTCTTGGGCCTTAGCCTCCAGAGTAGCTGGAATTACAGGCACGCACCACGATGCCCGGCTCATTTTTGTATTTTTAGTACAGATGGGGTTTTGCCATGTTGGCCAGGCTGGTCTCCAACTCCTGACTTCAAGTGATCTGCCCGCCTCAGTCTCCCAAAGGGTTGAGATTATAGGAGGGAGCCATCGTGCCTGGCCTTTTTTTTTTGAGCTTGGCTCTGTTGCTTAGGCTGGAATGCAGTGGGGTGATCTTGGCTCACTGCAACCTCTGCCTCCCAAGCTCAAGCAATCCTCCCACCTCAGCCTCCTGAGTAGCTGAGACTACAGTGCATGTGCCACTATGCCTGGCTAATTTTTAAAATATTTTTAGTAGAGACAGGATCTGCCATGTCACCCAGGTTAGTCTTGAACTCCTCGATTCTAGCGATCCTCCTACCTTGGCCTCCCTAAGTGCTAGGATTACAGGCATGAGCCGCCGCGCCTGGCCAAGCACAGTGTTCTCATGATGCATCTGCTCGTTCCTCTTCTACAAATCTGACTTAGGAACATCAATGTGTTACAAGAGCGAAATGAATGAATACAGGTGCAACGCTCGTTCCGTGTTCATGTTCAAGGAGCCCTTGTACTTTATTAAAAAAAAAAATCCCAACCTCTCAGAGACTGGGGAGACTGGAAGCCTGTGCTGTTTGAGTGTTTTTTTCCCCTAAACCCTAAGATCGTAGTTTTCTGTCTTAAGTGGTCCATTACGTGTGGTACCTTTAATGTTTGTTCCTGTGATCATATTTAATGGTCTTCACGAGCTTGCTTTTAGATTGAGAAAGTGGACACTCTCTCCACTGCAATGGTCTCATGTGATCTAAATTTAAGTCAGAAAGCCTGGGGAGGGATGGAGTGAGTGGTAGAAGGCAGCCGGCCAACATGTAGTGTGACTTTGATAGTTCATCATTTTACCTTCTCTCATAATTTTAGATGAAATAAGGCATTTCTAGAAACTTACATCATAGTGACAATCATTTTGCATGCTAGAAGAAAGCTTTCAATGACACTACAGGGATTCTTGTGACATGTGTAAGTATAATAAATACAGGCCACTGTTTTTTTCTCATTGGGTGCTATTTCAACCATCGAGGAAAGAAAGCTGGGGCAAGCTTTGCCAGAATCACAGGGATGAGTGGGATGCTTTGAGAAGGTTGGGCCAGTGCTCATGACAGGTGCAGATCCCTCGAAACTGTCTAACACAGCTGAATGACGTGCCTGGCAGGCTGGGTGGTGGGTTATATACTGCCGGCCAGCAGAGGTTTCATAAAGAACCTAGAAGCCAGTGTTGGAGAAGCATCTAGATTTGAGAGGGATCTAAGGTGTGTTTGCAGAAGGTCTGGTCAAGCAGGAGGTATCCGGGGCTTGGTGCAGTGGCTCATGCCTGTAATCCCGGCACTTTGGGAGGCTGAGGAGGACAGATCACTTGAGGTCAGGAGTTCGAGACCAGCCCAGCCAACATGGTGAAACTCTGCCTTTACTAAAAATACAAAAATTTGCTGGGCATAGTGGCCCACACCTGTAATCCCAGCTACTCAGGAGGCTGAGGCAGAAGAATTGCTTGAAACCGGGAGGTGGAGGTTGCAGTGAGCCGAGATCGTGCCAATGCACTCCAGCCTGGGTGACAGAGCGAGACTCTGCCTCAAAAAAAAAAAAAAAACCCAAAAACCAACCAACCAACCAACAAACAAAAAAACATAAAAAAAGCAGGGGGTATCTGGAGATTTGGGGTTGGATCATGGAAAGGGGGCCAGGGGATAAGAGGCTTATGGGAGGCTTGTTGAAGCCACTCACATTGAACAATCTAAGACTGTTTAAAGGCAGCTCAACCATAATTAAGAAAGCAGAATATTAAAGAGCATGGGGGAAGAAACAGGTTTATGAGTGAGATGCATAACTGACTGGAAAATGTAAGGACCAGCTTTCCACAGAACACTCCAAACATTCTAATGCACAACAGGAGAAGAGGGAGCGCTGAAGAAAGGGCTACTGACTCAGGCTGGCCCTGGGCGTGTCTGAAGATGGGAGGGAGAGCCGGGGGAGGTCAAAGGCCCTGAGGGGGAAGACAGCTTTTCCAGGGACAAGGACAACCAAAAGAAAGGACAGCCTTTCAACCTAGAGTGTGTTTTTTCCCTTCTAATTACTGTGAAATGTAAAAGGCAACAGAGATGTGCATCAATACCCTTTTAAGTTTTAAGATCCTATTAATTAAACCCTGTATGTACAATGTGAATGTACTTAATGCCACAGACTATACATGTAAAAGCGATTAAAGGGGAAATTGTATGTTATACATATTTTTACCACAATGGAAGATCCCCCACTGTATATCCATAGATATGCATTTTTAAATGTTTATTTCAATGTGGAGGCTCTAGTTGCAAATGCTCCAAGTCCATGTAAAGGATAGTTCTCACACCCCACCAACAACTGGTGTAGGTTCCAGCTGGCATTTTCAAGATGTAGAAAATAATTTCTTAAGAACCAACCAGAAAAACAACAACAATAACAACAAACATCCTGCCTTAAAAAAGACCAGCAGAGGAGGAAACACCCCTGGCCATCTGGGCAGTGAGAGCGTGAAGTTCAGAAGTCAGCAGAGCTGGCTGCGGCTCCAGGCTGTCTTCGTGGTTTGTTTTGCTCTTCCTTCATCCAGCCCCCACTGGGATCAAGAGAATGGCTTCACGCAAGGAACAGGAAAGACCTTTTAATAAAAACAAACACTATCCTGTCTTGCTGTCAAGGCTACACCTTAAAATGTTTGCAAGGCTAGAGGAAGGATACAGAGATGATTTTCAACCTTAACTCCTCATTTAACAAACAATATTCCGACTGAATGTCAAGCTGACTTCTCCGGGTCATACCTCCTTCTTTGCAAAAATGACTGATGTTTTATGATATCACTAAGGGCTCCCAATTCTCACGGAGAAGGAAAAACGTCAGTGTCTTGGTTTAGTTCAGTAGTGCTTTAGGAGACTTGACTTCTAATTCCTGGTTTTAACCCAGAGCAAAATAAACCAATCTTGGAGTTTGACAAAGTTACCTTGAGTTACAGGAGAATTCTTGAAGGTGAATTCAGGAGGCCCACTCTCTTTCCAAGTGAACATGACAGGAGGAAGAACCAGCATTGATTGACTACTTTCCTCCATTTTTTTCTTTTTGAGACAGAGTCTAACTCTGTTGCCCAGGCTGGAGTGCAGTGGTGTGATCTCAGCTCACTGCAACCTCTACCTCCCAGGTTCAAGCGATTCTCCTGCCTCAGCCTCCCGAGTAGCTGGGACTACAGGTGCGTGACACCACACCTGTCTAGTTTTTGTATTTTTAGTAGAGATGGGGTTTCACCATGTTTCCCAGGCTGGTCTCGAACTCCTGGCCTCAGGTGATCCACCTGCCTCAGCCTCCCAAGGTGCTGGGATTACAGGCGAGAGCCACCACTCCTGGCCTTCATTGCCTGCTTTCTATGTTCCAGCATTTTACTCTGGGGCATTTCATTTGGGTCTCACAGCAACTTGGTGAAGTTGGTGTCACTGTCAGACACCATTGTACAAATGAGGATGCTGAGGCTCGAGAGATTAGTCAGCTTCCCCAAATTGTGTCCACAGTAGGAGGCCTACTCAAGGTTTAAACTTAATTTGCATGATCCCAAAGCTTTAGCCTGTTAGCTCTATGTAATATGTTCCTTCTCCTATCAAGCGTCCATTTCTTATGGACAAGTCCATCACCTTCCCATCTATAATGCAGAGTTGAGCCCACATAGCAGATGGGATGTGCGGAGGCATGCCTGGAAGAACGTATGGAGGAGGGATTTCTTAGCTAATAAAGTGCGCATGTAGATTAGCGTTTCTTTCAGCCATCATATTTCCCTGCATCCCTGCAGACATGGAGATATTCTCTTAGTGAACGATAAAGATATAATTGTCAAAAGTCACATTAGAAAGGAAAATTCAAAGAGAAGATGATCTTGAGGGGGACTTTTAACAGCTTCTTAAAAGGGACTGCAATCACCCTCAAGGGTAGAGAGGAAATGATCCTCTGTATTTCAAGTTTAAACACATTCATTTTCACACAATAAAACTTCTTCTGAGCAATTAGTCTACTACACCTTATTCCATATTTTTCAATCTTTATTCTAAATTATTCATTGCTGCCTCCATCCGGTACCATAATTAAAAGTTGCCTACTCTTGAGTTAGAAGTTACTCTGGCAAAAAGAGATGCCAAATTGTTCTCTAGACAGCAGTTGCTGCTGAAGTCAGTTTTCTATAAAGTTCAGCAGAGACTCCCAAGTCAGAAGTGCAGCCTGTTTCTCACTTAACCTGTGAGCTCGCCATTAGGAAGTCCAGCACACTGCTGTCTGGCCGCACAGTGCCTCTGAGAGCCAGGTGCCCCACTCTCTCCAGCTGAATCACTCTCCAGTGGGGTTCCGAGACAATTTCTACTTCACATTCAAATGCAGTCATGCCCTGGGCTCTAGCACTATTTCCCATTACCCTAAATCATCTCCGGTGTTTTCCTTCCACAAGACTGGGGTGGAGAAAGAATAGCACACAAGATGCCATTAGTCTTGTACTGAATACATTCTTGGGGATATAAAGTCTGGGGAGACACCAAGGGGCACACAGAAACCCAGTTTGCTTTGAGAAGCAAAGGTGGGAGAGTGTCATATGCAAAGCATTTATAACTTCTTTCTCCTATAGAGCAATGCCATATCTTTCTCACTGCCCAGCACCCAAGGGTTGGTTGTGAGGGTGTGGGGTTGTAGGGGAGGTAAAAAGGGCTTCCAGAAAACCATTACTTAAGTTACTAAAGTTTTACCAGCACCAATCAATGCAAGAAATCCGGGGCAAAGAAGGCTTGAGCTCTATTACTGACTGCACCAATGAATTCAGATTTTTACATGGTGACAAGACAAGACTGTAAATGGTCTTAGATGATCTAAATCTTGCTGGTGTGAGGAACACAGCTAACAGGCAGACAGTACAAAGAGAGCCAGCAGCAGCAGCAGCTCTTTTCATGAACTGTCATGCTGCAGTAGGCTGGGAGGCTGATTATCTAACAAACAATTATGCAGCTCAAATCGAATTTCTGTTACAAGAAAAGCGAGAAGTGTGTTGGCAAAGGAGGCAGGGATCCTGGCCTTGAGGTCGCCTATCAATAGAGGACTTTAGACCACATTATTATTAAACATTTTCCTCCTTTCAGAAGAGAGCTGACATTTTAGCAGCATTATCTGCATGAAGAATGGGAATTCAGAAAAAAAAATTGAAATATCAGTGGAAAGGAAAAGGGTTCATGTTAGGGTTAGTGCATGTCTGAGACAGCATAACTCAGAAGCATTTCTTCTGATTACTGACCTCTTTTTCACCTGGGATGTTTTCCTTGAAAAGAGCCGCACTTTGTGAAATCATTCATGAAAATAACTGCCTTTGCTATGCAGAGTGGGGTGGTTCATGATCAGACGGCAAGATGGCATGATCAGATGGCATGATCAGAGGCACACTCACAGCAGGATCTGGGGGTGACTCTCCCTACAGTGGTTTATGTAGAAAGGCTCTGGCATGTGCCAAGGGTTGTAGGTACCCTGGCAAGCCTTACCCAGGACCAAAGAACAGGAACCCAGGGTCTCCTTGGCCACCTGCCATCTGAGTTGGCTTCAATGCCTCTGACTTGCCCACAGCAGGGCTACATCTATTTTGCGCTGAACACCTCTAGGTCTGAGAACTCAAAGCTTCCAACTGGAACATTTTTCTTTTCACTCATCCAAAATCTTCTCCCTCAATTGATCTCTACCGCCTCTGTAGTCCAGAATATTCTAGTTCCTCATTCACAAAATGGCCTCATAAAAATGAAAAACCTTTTATGAGCTAGCCTCCAATTAATTCCCTGTGTCCTTCCTTCCGTAAACACTGACTGCGTGCCAGCGATGATGTCCCCTGTGTGGCATGGAATCTGTGCCTATGCCCATCACTGTCACCCTTTCTCTTCAGGGGGGTCACTCAGTCACTGTCCCCTTTAACTATGTCTCCCCCCAGACCTCCAATACACACACACTTTTGAGCACAGTACTTAGCTCTGAAGAACAGAGCAGGGTGATGACCTCAACCATCTGGATATTCTTTCTCCCAGCTCTGCCTCTTCCTAGCTATGGGACACTGAGCAGTTGACTTAGTCTCTTCGTGCTTTAGTTTTCTTGTCTGTAAAATGGGAAGATATCACCAGTTTCCACCTAAGAGGGATGTTAGGACCAAAGAGGTGAACATGTGCAAAGCGCCCATATACCCAGCTCACAAACAACTCCTTAAAAGCGAGAGCTGTGGTAATATTAAATATTAATACATCAGCCCCGTTCTCTCACCACTGTGACTCCAGGCTTATCAACAACGCTGCTAAGCTCTTGCTTCACGGATTTCTTCTTCACTTATGCTATTGATTTATGCCACTGAACAGGAAAGAAGAGTGTCTGTGACATCTGAGTGACTCAACAATAGAATATGTGAGGGATGAAGGAACAGGAGAAGCAGCAATCAGCTTGAAGCCTGGGCACTCCACAATCATGCACTACCCCTGAAGACAAATCCATCAGCCAGAATCGGAACCACAAAATTCAGAATGGAGATGTCAGACGGGTGCAAAGACAGACGATCTGAGGAGGAGAGTGAGCCCTGGGAAGCTCAGGTCTTCTGACTGAACCATCGACATGTGCTTAAAAATATCCTAGAGGACCCAGCAATCCCACTTCTGGGAATACATTTCCAAAAGAATTGAAAACATGGCATGAACCCGGGAGGCGGAGCTTGCAGTGAGCCGAGATTGCGCCACTGCACTCCAGCCTGGGCGACAGAGCAAGACTCCGTCTCAAAAAAAAAAAAAAAAAAAAAAGAAAACACGGTCTTGAAGGGATACTTGTACATATGCCATATGCCATAAACACGCATGCTCATACAGCATTACTTACAATAGCTGTGAGGGGGAGCTCAAGTGTCCATCCACAGATGGACAAAGAAACAAAATGTGGGATATCCAAAGAATGGGAGCGTATTCAGCCCGAAAAATAAAGGAAATTCTGGCCGGGCGCGGTGGCTCACACCTGTAATCCCAGCACTTTGGGAAGCCGAGGTGGGTGGATCACAAGGTCAGGAGTTTGAGACCAGCCTGACGAACATGGTGAAACCCTGTCTCTGCTAAAAATACAAAAATTAGCTGGGCGTGGTGGTGCACGCCTGTAATCCCAGCTACTCGGGAGCCTGAGGCAGGAGAATTGCTTGAACCCGAGAGCAGAAGGTTGCGGTGAGCTGAGATGGTGCCTCTGCACTCCAGCCCGGGCAACAAAAGCGAAACTCCATCTCAAAAAAAAAAAAGAAGGGAAATTCTGACACTCTACAACATGCACGCACATTATGCTAAGTGAAATAAGCCAGCCACAGTATGATGCTACTTACATGAGGTCCCTGGAGTTGTTACATTCATGGAAATGAAGGAGAATGGTAGCTGGCAGGGACTGTAGGGAGGGGCATGGGGAGTTGTTCAGTGGGTACAGTTTCAGTTTTGCAAGATGAAAAGCGTTCTGGAGATTGGCTGCATGACAATGTGAATGTACTTAACACTACTGACGTGCACTTAAAAATGGTTAAGATGGGCCAGGTGTGGTGGCTCACGCCTGCAACCCTAGCACTCTGGGAGGCCGAGGCGGGTGGACTGCCGGAGCTCAGGAGTTCGAGACCAGCCCGGGCAACACGGTGAAACCCCGACTCTACTAAAATAAAAAAGAAATTAGCCAGGCACGCTTGCTTGCGCCTGTAGTCCCAGCTACTTGGGAGGCTGAGGCAGAAGAATTGCTTGAACCCGGGAGGTGGAGGTTGCAGTGAGCCGAGATCACGCCATTGCACTCCAGCCTGGGCAACAGAGCAAGGCTCTGTCTCAAAAAAAAAAAAAAAAAAAAAAGGCTAAGATAGTAAATTTTGTTATATATATATTTACCACAATGAAAATAAATAAATATATTATGTATGTATATATACACACACATACACTAGACATAGTTCAATAAAACCACAAGAGAAAAGAACCATAACAGAAATGAACAAGCAGAGGCCAGGTGTGGTGGCTCATGCCTATAATCCCAGCACTTTGGGAGGCCGAGGTGGGTGAACCATGAGATCAGGAGTTTGAGACCAGCCTGCCCAAGATGGTGAAACCCCGTCTCTACTAAAAATACAAAAACTTAGCCAGACGTGTTGGCAGGTGCCTGTAATCCCAGCTAGTCAGGAGGCTGAGGCAGAGAAGTGCTTGAACCTGGGAGGCAGAGGTTGCAGTAAGCCGAGATTGCACCACTGTACTCCAGCCTGAGCAACAGAGACTGTCTCAAAAAAAAAAAAGAGAAATGAACAAGGAAAATACCTCCCATGGTTTCCCAATCCTCACGAAATTGCTCTTGTTCCTGTGCAACTCCTGAAAGCGTCAGCTGTCAAATCCTGTTCGCTAAAGTACCTCCTCACTTAGGACTGCGATTTGGGAGTCTTCAAAAGCACAGGCTTTGGGACAAGGAGCTAGGGTCTGTACTTGGAAATGTGACTTTGTCATATGGCTTAAACTCTTCTACCTTTTTGTTTGTTTGTTTGAGACAGGGTCTCACTCTGTCGCCCAGGCTGGAGTGCAGTGGTGTGATCTCGATCTTGGCTCACTGCAGCCTCCACCTCCTGGGTTCAAGCAATTCTCCCACCTCAGCCTCCCGAGTAGCTGGGACTATAGGTGCACGCCACCATGCCCACCTAATTTTTGTATTTTTAGTAGAGATGGGGTTTCTCTATGTTGGCCAGGCTGGTCTCGAACTCCTGACCTCAAGTGATCTGCCCGCCCTAGCCTCCCAAAGTGTTGGGATTACAGGCGTGAGCCACTGCACCGGGCCTAAACTCTTCTATCTTTAGTTTTCTTATCTGTAGGGTTGTGGTGACAACAGAATGGGACAACCCATGCTAAGGTGTAAGAAATGTGAGCCATTGTTTTTACTAGATCTTACCTGAACATCATACAGGAACTGGAATCGGCTTCTTTTACTCGCAGCCTCTCTCACAGCCCGAGCCAAGTCCACCGATCCTTTTCCACCAACGGACCAGTGATAGCAGGGGACTGCATCAAAGGCACCAGCCCGCTTTGCAAGCTCACACACCAAGTCAATCTCAGCGCGGGTGTCGGTCCTAGTGAAGAAAATGTTTGTGGTTTTGCATCTGTATCCATTTAGCTATGTTTTCAAAGAAAGACTCACCATTTATACAGAACTTCGCTCCCTAACACTGAATACATTTTAAACATCAAAAGTGGTCACATCGTGTTTAAATAAATCAGACTTAAAGCATGGAAAAAAAAAGTCCTCTCTAAAGTGACTCAAATATTTCAAGTCGTTAAGGGTGTTATCAAGAAAATTCCATAACATATCCCTTTGATCATTCACAGTTTGTTTCAGACAAAAATGCTGGGTAGAATTAAAAAAAAAAAAAAAAAAAAAAGCCAAGGAGATAGTAACTCACTATATATAAATTTCACTTCCTTAATAACATTGTGAGAACACATTTGCTAAAATGAAACCAAACCAAATAAACAAACAGAAAGAACTGGGTATTTCTGTATACTTTTAGATGAAGCACAGAAAGACCAAATACCCCAAGACACAAATATCGTTCACAGGGTGGCCTAGTGATAATGCCCACATTTAAAGGAGGAGGCTGGACTTACTTGAAGACATTCAGAGCCACCACAACGGGAACCCCAAAGAGCTGAGTGATCTGAATTTGCTTCTGGAGGTTACAGCAGCCGTCTGCCACCAGCTGGATGTTCTGTAAAAAAGAAAAAAGCAAAACCCAGACCCCTGTGTATTGTCTCCCACCAAACCTGCCAAGCTAAACTGCCAGCACCTCTCTGGCAGGATTTGCTACATCTTTTTTCACTTTTTCCTCCAAGAAAGATGGCTGCAAGAATAAAGAGGTTCGTCTTCAAAATAATTTCTAAAATGATTCTGGATCCAATGGCATATGGGTGGGTCTGAAGCCTGGCAGCTCACCCTGCTGAGGACAGGCTGCAGGGTCTATGCAATGCGCCCATGCTCTGCAGGTTGAGGCCTGACAGGCACAAGGCCCCAGGTGGGTGAGGAGCTCTGACCAGGTATTCCTGGCTCAGATCCCTGGCGCCACCTGTAGGAGCTAAGAGGTACTGCTGCCAGCAAATCAAAGTCTATTTACAGAAAAGAGTAAGCCACTCCTGTAAATCATAAAGCCAACTGTATATAGACCTTCCATGACAAAAGAATACAGAAGTGTAAGCTTCATATTTGTTTCTGACCTGGAGACCTTGAGTTCCTGCTCTGATGGCTACCCTGGGAGTACACAATAGTAGACAAAGCCTATATCCATCTTTTCTTGATATTTAAGAGTTAACTGAATGAATTTTATCCTTTCATCCCATCCATTTCCTCTCGGATTCTTAGAACGGCACTTTTCTTTTCTTTTTTTTGAGACAGAGTCTCACTCTGTCGTCCAGGCTGGAGTACAGTGGTGCGATCGCAGCTCACTGCAACCTCTGCCTCCCAGGTTCAAGCGATTCTCATGCTGGGACTACAGGCGTGAGCCACCATGCCCAGCTAATTTTTGTATTTTTAGTAGAGATGAGGTTTTGCCATGTTGGCCATGGGTTTTGCCTGGCTGGTCTTGAACTCCTGGCCTCATGTGATCCGGTCGCCTTGGCCTCCCAAAGTGCTGAAATTACAGGTGTGAGTCACTGCGCCCGGACAGAACAGCACTTTTCTAAGAGGCCACTGAAGGAGGGCTCATTCACTGAAAGCCAACGAGTCACTGGATTTAAGAGATTCTTCACATAAGCATCTAAACAGCTCCTCTTACCTCCTCTGTATATTCTTTCTTAAGAGGAACACCAGCCGTTACCTGAAATAAGGAGAGAAAACATGAAGAATAATCCTATAAAAATGCTTACACAACCGATCTGAAAGAAAGAACAACATAATCACATTCAATTTTTAGAAATGTACCTCTATGTTTTGTGCTTTTAAAACAGTAGCTGGCAGCACTGGCTAAACCTAAACTCCTGCGGGAAGCTTTTAGAAAACACTGATCCCTGGGCTCCACCCAGACCAATGAAAGCAGAAGTTCTGGGAGGGGAACCTGGGATCAGTAATGTTTAAAATCTCCCTGGATGATTCTAATTTGAGCCAATGGAACAGTATGAAACTTCTCAAACATTGGTTCAAATTAGAACATAAAACTAATAATATGTTTAATACTTGATTTATACAGAGTACATCACCATTCGAAATCATTTTACGGTAATTGCCATAAAGTTCTGTTGTCCAGGCTGGAGGGCAGTGGCACAATCACAGCTCACTGCGGTCTCAAACTCCTGGGCTCAAGTGATCCTCCTGCCTCAGCCTCCCCAGTAGCTAGGAATACAGGTGTGTACCACCACACCCAGATAATTTTTTATTATTTTGTAGAGACGAGGTCTTGCTATCTTCCCCAGGCTGGTCTCGAACTCTTGGGCTCAAGCAGTCCTCCCACCTCGGCCTCTCAAAGTGCTGGCATTACAGGGTGAAACACTGTGCCTGGCCTTGTGGTTAATCTTATGTGTCAACTTTGCTGGGGCCATAGGGTGTCCAGTATTTGTTCAAACATTATTTTGCGTGTTTCTGTGAGGGTGTCTATGATGAAATTGATATGGAAATCAGCAGCCTCTGAGTAGGCAAGTTGTCCTACATAATGTGGGTGGGTCTCAACTGACCAGTCAAAGGCCTTTTTGAGTACAACAAAAAGACTGGCCTCCCCTGAGAGCAGGAGAATTCTCCAGCAGACTGCTGCCTTCAGACTGCATTAGCACCACTGCCTCTCCTGGGTCTTCAGCTTGCCAGCCCACAGTGCAGATTTTGGACTTGCCAGCTTCTGTAATCATGTGACCCAATTCCTTACAATAAATATCTTTCTCTATATATACACACATCCTTATTGGTTCTATGTGTGAAGAATGCTGATTCATACAATGGTTAGTTTAAAGATCTAATTGTGAAAGAATCTGTGGATCCCAAAGCATAGCACAATATTAGTTATTGGATTGCACTGGGAATGGCCGAGCACTCTGGGGGACAGGATGTGAGTTTAAAATGACTGAGGGCAAATTTAAAATGGGCAAATTCAAGGGCCACAAGATTTTCCACTGTACAAATTATGGAAAAAAAACAAGCTGAATAAACATAAGAGGCAGCCATGGTTATTTGTGTAATGATCAAAAGGAAGTCGATCCCAGCGCAGTATTTGTAGCAAAAAAGAAAAAAGAAAACAGAAGTAGAAATGAATAATCATGGTTCAAAAATACAGAGCTATTCAATATGAAGGAAGGACACCGAGATGAGCACTATGGAATAGAGGATTAAGAGGATGAAAGTTCATTTATCTTGCCATTATTGAAAACACTCCCTGCATATAGACCATGCCAGACACTTGGACCATACCAATTAATAAGACACAGTCCCTAAACTCAAGGAATTGAGAATTACATAGGGAGACACAGAACAAGGCATTCATGAAACAATGTGAGGCAGAAGGTACTACTGGAGCCCAGGAGAGGGATGCCTAGCTTCACAGGGCTTCCTGGTCCCTGCTGGTTTTTTTTTTTTTTTTTTTTTTTTTTTTTTTTGTTGTTGTTGTTGTTGTTGAGATGGACTTTTGTTCTTGTCACCCAGGCTGGAGTGCAATGGTGCAATCTCAGATCACTGCAACCTCTGCCTCCCAAGTTCAAGCGATTCTCTTGCCTCAGCCTCCTGAGTAGTGGGAATTACAGGCGCCCGCCACCACTGGTCTTGAACTCCTCAGGTGATCCACCTGCCTCAGCCTCCAAAGTGCTGGGATTACAGGCATGAGCCACCACGCCTGGCTGGTCCCCACCTTTTCTTATCCTCCACCCATATCTGTGCCTACTAACCCTGTTCCATGTTACCATGATCACTGGCTGAGAACCATGACATTAAGCAGCAGTGGAAGAGACACAAAGGATTAATGTGGCACGAAAGTGCAACCACTGAATAACAGAGCACATATGTTAAGATGAATGAAATAGGATTGTAAACCATGTAGAGAATTTTTACAGGACAGAGACCAGAGTCTGGAAAACTATGGGACTGATGTCAAGAGACCAGGACTGTAGATCTGATCAGTCCCTGAAATAGATGTGTGACACCACTCAAGTCACTGCGTCTCCCTGTGCCTCAGAGATTTTCTCTTTATAAAGACTGAATGAGATCAGACAATCTCTAAGCCCTTTCTATAATTTTCAGGGTGGCAGGGCAGGGAGGGAGAATTCCAAATGCATCCTACATGGGCGGAAGTAGTTTTTAAAAATAGAAGTTGTTATACAGATTCAATGTCTAAAATCCAGGAAGGACTGTAGCAACAAGGGGTGTTTTGAGTGAAGTCAGAATTCTTTATGATTTACTACTTTTAATCTGTATTATATCATTCTTGCATTTGAAATGATGATGAAGCTTTAGGCAAAAATGAAGTGCTTAAGTGTCGGGTATTAGGAGTGGATTTGGATTTAGAAAACTTCTGCCCTTCATTAACATCCAGCTCTGCATGGTGGACATAGTAGGAGATTTAGATCTGAAGTTCTCGGCTCTCTGCTGGCCTGCTGACATTGTCCATATTCCCTAAGCCTATCAAAACTCAGCTTCCTTATCTGTAAAATGGTATAAAAATCATGTCCACCTCTCCCAGGAGAAAGAATTGCTTTACAGCGTTTCATGATGGCAAACCTGCTACTTGTTTTGACTATGCAATAATCATTGAATATATGACTTTTGTCACATACACAGTACAGTATACCAATTAAGAAATCAGATTTGGCAGTTCGTCTCATATGTGAATATTATGATAGAGAAATTTTATTTTATTTCAAAATGATTAATCAGTATAAAATGTCTTATTCTCCACTTGGAAATTCCTAAAAATGAAACAAAAAAACAACAAACAAGCAAACAACAACAAAAAAACCCCCAAAAATCTATGCACAGGTTTTCTGTGGAAAGGAATATATTTCCTTTATAATGTCTGTAATTTCTATATATATTAGGATAGGTAAATATAAAAAGTCTTTAAAGAAGTTAAAATCGAATTTGTGTTTTCCAAGCAAAGCTCTTAGAAACAATCCAGTATTATAACAGAGTTGTGAGGAGAAATCATAATAAACAGAAAGAGAAGGAAAATAGTTTTAGATGAAATCTGATGAGTTGCAGCATCAGTGAACCGAAAAACTATCTGTACAAACAATGAAAAATCTCTGTCATCAAAGAACTCACTCTAATCCTCTTGTTCTTCGTTCAGGGACAAGAGCCTCTAACCTCCCATTACCATATGGTTATACAATCTTGGCCTGAGTATCAGATGTGAAGCTTGAGACTAAAAAGTGGTTGCATTATGCTCCTTTCCAAAATATTGTTTAGAAAGAACTGTGGGTGTTACTGTTTACTCGAACTTACTAAACTCAAAGTGCCCTATGGTGGTGTTGGGAAAAAACAAAAAACAACACAAAACAAAAAACGTTTTAGATGTCCACGAGGGAGGTCTACAGGAAAAAAAAAGTTTTAAGAAAAATACTCTAGAAAACTATAGTCATTAAATGGGCAGGAATTTTTCAAATGCTCAATTCTGTTTTAACATAATGAAATTTCTTTGGTATTAGGAAGGCGGTGTGGGCACTTACACTTGGCCCGCCTCCATGCATCTTCAGAGCTCGCACCGTTGCCACTAACACAACCACGTTGGGCACCAAGCCGGAAGCTCGGCACTTGATGTTGAAGAATTTCTCCATTCCGATGTCAGCACCAAAGCCAGCTTCGGTCACTGTGGGGAAGCAAGTGGAATATGTGCTATTATCTTCTAAAAACAAAGGTAGGTTTTGGCAATCACCACTATGATTCGAGCTCAAAGGACAGCTTACATTCCTTTTGTTTACCAACACAAAGGTGAACTGATTTCCCCATTGTCATAGAAATGTTCTTCACTTTCTGCCCTAAAGAGACTGCGCCCTCCTCTGCTTCCCACCGCCAGGCCTGAGGGATTCCTTGTGGTGGCCAGGCCAAGACTTTTCTTCCCATATCATAACTCACAGTGAAGCTTTTTTTTTTGGAGATGGTGTCTTGCCCTGTCGCACAGGCTGGAGTACAGCGGCATGATCTCGGCTCACTGCAACCTCTGCCTCCCGGGCACAAGCGATTCTCCTGACTCAGCCTCCTGAGTAGCTACAGGTGTTTGCCACCACACCTGGCTAATTTTTTATTTTTGTATTTTTAGTAGAGATGGGGTTTCACCATGTTGGCCAGACTGGTCTCAAACTCCTGACCTTGTGATCCACCCGCCTCAGCCTCACAAAGTGCTGGGATTACAGGCGTTGAGCCAAGGTGACCAGCCAGTGAAGCTTTTCTTCATACAGATGGGGATTTTCAACTTTGTAATCAGGTTCCAAATTGTTTCAAAAGGCAATGATAGTATGATTACAATGGAAGATCCTTTCTTACTCTTTTTTTTTTTTTTTTTTTTGAGATGGAGTTTCGCTCTTGTCCCCCAGGCTGGAGTGCAATGGCACAATCTCAGCTCACTGCAACCTCCGCCTCCCGGGTTCAAGCGATTCTCCTGCCTCAGCTTCCCAAGTAGCTGGGATTACAGGAACCCACCACCACACCCGGCTAATTTTTTTTTTTTATTGTTAGTAGAGACGGGTTTTTGCCATGTTGGCCAGGCTGGTCTCAAAGTCCTGATCTCAGGTGATCTGCCCACCTTGGCCTCCCAAAGTGCTGGGATTACAGGCATGAGCCACCACACCCGACCCTTTCTTACCCTTTATATTAAGAATAATTTATTTTAGTGCCACCCAGTAATTTCTGTTAACTGACAAATTTCAAGTTAGTTGAAGGGCATAAGGATACTGATGGTCAATCTGGATACAAGACAGCAGCTTTATTAGAGAAACACCAGAAAACACTCGTTTCTAGTCCCCACCCCCTCAGTTGCTAGAAAGGTCACAGCTGCCTTTCAAGATAGCGAGGCACTGGGTCAGTAGTATCTTCTTCATACACAAAGAGCTCTAGGACCTTGCTGCTCAATGCGTGATTCGTGATCAACAGCATCAGCAGTATCTGAGAGCCTCTAAGACATGTGGAATCTTGGGCTCCCCACAAAGTTTACAGAATCAGAATCACATTGTTACAAGATCCCCAGGTGAGATGATTGTCCATTACAATCTGGGAAGCAAACCACTCTAGGAAGGGAATACTACTGAGTTAATACAAAGTAAATGTTTATGAAATACATACTTATATGCTGACGGTATGACCAGGACACCGATCGGAACTGGCGGGAGAAAAATTAACTAAGATATCAGAAACATTTAACATGATCAGTTTCCTTGCTGTGCTACAAACTTTCAAAATTTACAATTATAAGTGGCAGCTTATAATTTTGTTAAGTTGCTGTAGCAAGATTTACAAAATTGTTCCCCCTGTTACTGAACATTTGGGTTGTTTCCAATATAAACAATACTGCACTGAAAATATTTGTGCCTATGTGCTTTAATCTCTTTCAAATTACGTTCTTGGAATAAATTCCCAAGGGTAAGGTAATAGGGCCAGAGGACATAAAAAATTTTTATGACCATTGATATGCTTTTGACAAATTAAAAAAATTACATCAAAAATGTTCAATTTGGATAAATATAGCTACAAGCCATTTATCCTTTATTATGTGTTATTTGAACAAACAAAGTGGCAGAACAATTTCGAGAAATAAAAGACATTCCTCTTTATATAGTATTTGGGACAAATCTTGTGATTTTACTTGTAGTGGTCAAAATCAGAGAAAATCACTTACAGTAACAATCCTTACCTCAGTGGTACCTCCTGGTAATGCATTTGTTAACTTTAGCCGTTGGTGGCATCATGGACCCCAAAAGAGGGATAATCCGGGTGACTTTTGTCAAAAGTCATCACTGAGTGGGCTCCTGGAGGTGGAAGGCTGGACAATAAGGCCCCAGTACTGGATTATGCGGCGCTGTCCTGCAGGTTAGCACACGGACGGGACCCCGGATCCCTCCCAGCTGTGCACCTTGGCAAGTTCCTTGTTGGAAGGGTTAAGTGAGACGGCACAGGTACATTACTGAGTCACTGGGGTTTTTCTTGGTGCATACTGAGAACTCACAAAAATAGTTCACATCTTTGTAACCAAAAGGATAATTCTCCCACTTGCTAAAAATCATATTGAATTCCTAAGCATTTGTGGGAATTCCTGCTCCATCCAGGCGTTTTTCTCACTGGTAGAAGCTCACTCTTAGGGTCACTACCCTGAAGCCCTGCAGGGAAGTGGGAGAGAGAACATCTGCTATTCAACTAGAGAGAGCTGGAGGGCGGCACACTGGGAGGGACGGAGTTTGCCTGGGAGGGTTGGAGAGAGGGGGTGATGGAGTCAGGCTCTGAGAATCAAGTAGGATTTTTCCAAGCAGAGAAATGTGGAGTTGGGTATGGCAGGCAGAGACCAAGAGGAGGAAGGAGAGGGAGGAAAGAAGAGATTCATAGGTAAAGGCAGAGCCAGGGAAGAAATGGTCATGATGAAGGGAAATCATCCATCATGACTGGAGAAGTCATTATTTCACCAGCAAGACTGGTTCACTGGCCTGATTAGTACCGGGGAGTGGGACTGAAGTAACCCAAATGTTACGCATTTTTTTCAATGCCATGGTATTTTGAAAAACTGTTTAATGTCGCCCTATAGTTGGAGGTAGATTGTTGCATACATTTTACATAACGGGGGCTGATCAAGTGATCTCTAAGTTCTTTCCAACTGGATGCATATTTATGTGTTAAACTACCCTGTTAGATTGCAAGCTCCATGATGATACGGACCATGTGTTTGAGACATTAACATGTCAAGACACATAGAAGGCACTGAAGGAAAGTCACCATCTATCTCCAAACCAAATAAAAAGAGAGTAGCAGAAAAGCACATCTAAAAACACTTGGACACAAATATATTAATGAAAAGTTTCATTTATAACCATTGAATGCCCTTGAAAAATTGCAAGCTCAAATTCCCTTCAAAAACCTAGCTCCTCCCCCCTTCAATGCGCCCGTGTAGTCACCATGTTCTCCTGTCTTCAGTGGTTCCTGCTTCCCTAAAGTGCCTTAATATAAAAGTCAAGGCCACCCTTGTGTAAACTTCCTTCCCCTACCTTCATCTTCCTTCACACTCCCTGCCTCAGACTTCGTGCCTCTGTAATATCAAGCTTCCGGCACAGCCCACATACTCTATGTTACTTGTTGTCACCTCCAGACCTCTTTTCCCATGTGGAACATTCCTCTCTCCCCTCTCTGCCTCTTTAACCCGCTGTCCAAGACTCAGCTTGGATGTGCCATTTCCTGGAAGCTTGTCCTGATGCTTTCGGGCAAAGTTGGCTACTCCTCCCGCCCATCCCACCCTCCCGGCCCTGTGGTGTGCTCCCTTGCAGGGCCCTCATCTGTCACCACATGCAGCATCCTAAGTACACTGACGTGCCGTCTCCCACATGGAGGGCGGGACCACGCCTTATTCATCTGGTAGCTCCACTTCCTAACGCAGTACCTGGCACAAGCAGGTCAATGAAAAAACAGGATGGGACTTGGGAGCCAGTGATGTCAAGGCCACACTTCAATGGAAATAGACACATAAAATAGCATTACATAGAAGTACAAATATGTTCTTAGTCCTCCCTATCATACTTCCCTTTTTTTCTTACAATACTACAATGGTTTTACTGAAAGGCATAAATGTCATATCCGATAAAGATATGACCATCTAAAACATCTACACAGGCTAGCTAAGCTTAATTTCATATTTTAATTTACTTATTCATTTATTTTTGAAACGGAGTTTCACTCTTGTCGCCCAGGCTGGAGTGCAATGGCACGATCACAGCTCACTGCAACCTCCGTCTCCTGGGTTCAATTGATTCTCCCACCTCAGTCTCCCGAGTAGCTGGGATCACAGGCACCCGCCATCATGCCCGGCTAATTTTTGTATTGATGGGGTTTCACCATGTTTTATTTTTAAAAAGAGACCAATTGGAAACAAAAAAGTAGTAATAAAGAGAACTCTAGCTAGGGGACGAAAACAACATGCAGAAGTAAAGGTTCGAGGAGTTTGGCTTCCAAATGCAAAGGAAATAGACGAAGAATGGGAAGAAAATAAAAGAAAGTGCCAAATTCTCTCAGTTTGAAAACTGTCCTGAAATGCTGCATGTAATCACTTTTATGTCGTTTGTATTCAAATATCAGGCTGCCAAGGAAACAGAACATGGAAAAGGTATGCTGATGTGTAATCAGTAATTATGAAAGTAAAAACTACTTTAATAAGGTGCCACCAATTACTACGAACTTGGACACTGTGGAGTGCTGTGTATCTGTGCCTTAGGGGGCCTTGATATGAAGACCCATCTCGTGAGAAGGGGACAAACCACTCTTATAGGAAGGTTCCATTTCCTAGGTACTTCTTGGGAACTGCCAACATATATAACCTATAGGTTAGGTTTTCTTAGTGACTTGAAATGAGCAATTTATTCCCTTATCATATTTGCAGTTCTTAACAAAGCTTAAAAGAGATACAGGCCAAATAATTATTTAATGTTAAATTCAATATAGACTTGTTCTTAAGTCATGAAGCAAGTCCACATAGTAGGATTTAGCTTTGCTGAAAGGCATATCACGTAGACTTCTGAAAGCTGCATATTTAATAAGGCTTGTAATAAATTGTTTGCACAAGCCATAAGAATTATTTGTCTTGGCAATCTCTTTCCCTTTTGTTACAGCTATTCAACTTACAATATGAATGAAAACAGGAAACGCTGACTAATACTCTTATTGTGCAAGCACAGAAGCTGCTAGATAGTGATTCTATAGCATGGTTTGATTCAAACTTAAACCCGTAATCAGCTGAGAAAGGAAGGGTCAGTGGGTCTGAGTTGGGAAGGGACAATTTGGGTAAATACTGCTAGCAACCTGTACAGGAAACAGAGCTCTGGGTTCAGATGGAGAGTCAAAACAATTCTGGAAAGCCAGGCAGCTGCCTTTCCATGATCATCCACGGGTGCGGCCAGAGTTGTGTTGTAAAAATTAAGCAGAAACAATGATAACGGCAGAAACGAGAACACCAGAACAACACAACATTCCTGGCAGGCAAATGTAGTATCCATGATATTCTTCAGGGAGGGAGAGACGATTTCTACATCTTAAGTTATTCTGTATGTCCCCACCTTACTGCACACATTAAAGAAAGCTGCAGCGATAATTAGGACTTGGATTTTTTTGTTTGTTTTGAGATGGAGTCTCATTCTGTTGCCCAGGCTGGAGTGCAGTGGTGTGATCTTGGCTCACTGCAACCTCCGCCTCCCACGTTCAAGTGATTCTTCTGCCTCAGCCTCCCAAGTAACTGGGATTACAGGAGCGTGATTTTTGTATTTAGTAGAGACAGGATTTCACCATGTTGGCCAGGCTGGTCTCGAACTCCTGACCTCAAATGATCTGCCCGTCTCAGCCTCCCAAAGTGCTGGGATTACAGGCGTGAGTCCTGGCCAGGACTCAGATTTTAAAGTAATCACCAATCTCTCTCTCTCTTTTTTTTTTTTTTTTTTTAAAAAAAAGCATTAACATCCTCACTTCATTAGAAGGCCCTTTAAAATATGGGTTCATAAAACCCTACAGCTATGTGGGAACTGTATGGACAATGTACTCTAACTTTCTCCTGTGCACCAGGCCAGTTACTTTCTGGAGATAATGACACAAAGCCCAGTGTGGTGCCCCCGGTCCCTCTGATGCCCAGCCCAGGGTTCTGTCTGCTACATATGGCATTCTCCTCAAAAACATCATTAAACACTCACATCACAGAATTCAAGAACAACCTTTCTTTCTTCTCATTCAATAATTACTGAACCCCTACGATTGTGCCTAGTGTCTTGCCTAGTGTTTACACACAATCATCTGTGTGCCAGTGTCTTCATTTAGTGGAGAAACAGCCACAGGCACATTTTTAACATGACAAAGATGGGAAAGATTAATTCATCACCTAGTGAAAAAGAACGTCTTTCTGACCTTTCCCCCCTTTTTTTTTGGATATGGAGTTTCACTCTTTTTGCCCAGGCTGGAATGCAATGGTGCGATCTCGGCTTACTGCAACCTCCGCCCTCCAGGTTCGAGCGATTCTCCTGCCTCAGCCTCCCGAGTAGGTGGGACTACAGGCACCCACCACCACGCTCGGCTAATTTTTGTATTTTTTGTAGAGTCAGGGTTTCACCATGTTGGTCGGGCTGGTCTCGAACTTCTGACCTCAGGTGATCCGCCCACCTCGGCCTCCCAAAGTGTTGGGATTACAGGCGTGAGCCACGGCGCCCGGCCAACTTTTCTGTTTTTAATGTGTTTTTTGTTGTTGTTGTTGTTTTTCTTGAATTCTGTTTGGTACTTTCAAAATTGTGCTTATTTACCTGGATCCAGGTAAATTTGAATTCAGTTCTGTGCCACACTGATTTTTGGATGTTCTCATGCTTTAGTGCATTCACAGAACCCATTTCTGCAGAATCACAAATCCTAAGTACAGTTCAGCCCTTCTCGACTGGAGGCGGTTCTGCCTATTCCGCTCCCCACCTGGACACTTAGCAATGCCTGGAGACATTTTTGATTGTTGTAAATGGCATCTAGCAAGGATGCTGCTAAATATCCTATAATGCACAGGACAGCTGGGACCCTCCCCCCGCCAACAAGGAATAATCCACCCAAGGTCTCCATAGCACTGAGGCGCCGACAGCTTGCAGTGGCTCACGCAGGAGGAAGGAGCCTGGCGCTTTCTAGACGCCTCCTCTGAGAATATTACGAATGCACTACATGCTAGGCAGAAAGATTGTGCAAGATCATTATGCTAATCGTTGTAACCCTGTGCACTGTAAGATCCTGGAATATGAATTATCGCAGTAAAAATTCCGTCCAGCGTGGTTGGGATGTGTTGCGTCAACAGTATGGTCGCTACAACCCAGCACTCTCTGGAGAAGAAAAACAGTGATGAGGTGACTGCTGAACCAGCTTCACAGGGAAGAAGGGAAGGTCAACAGAAATGCTCTCAACATGGGGCAGCATGGGCGGCGGCAGCTGTCCGCCTTACCGCTCAATGTGCACACGATGGGGAAAAACCATTCTAAGAGACCGAGGCATGGGGAGAGGGCCTCAAGTTAACATTTGTGAAACATTTTCTATGTAGCCAGGCAATGTACTAGGTGTCCTGTCTCACTTCACCTTCAACATCTGTGAGGCATCTTTCTCCTCCATTTACAGTTTATGATACTAAGGACTGGAAAATTTTATAATTTTCCCCAAGGTCACACAGCTATTAAGCGATAGAGCTTGGACTAAAACCAAGGCCTGTCTGCTAGCAACCTCTGCCAAAGTCCCTGCTCCATACTCCTCATCAAACAATCAACTGATCACATAGCATTTCCCTAGCTGAGCTGCTTGGTCAGTTTTGCTTTCAGTGAAAATCTTAACACTTGGTACTTCAATAATACTCCAGCATTTAACAAGTAGCTCTAAATTATTTTCCTGAACTGAGAGGTAAGTGTGTCCAGGCTTTTGTTCTAACTGCAATAAGGCCCTGCTGTGATTACCAAAGTATGCAATCTAGAATGTTCTTTATGATCCTCCTTCCTTTCCACCCACCCTCCCTTCCTTTACTTAAGTCAGAGTGCTTGTTGTCTCTTTTAGAGCAATTCATTTAGAGATTATAAATCACCTCCTCTGCTAGTTCTTGGTCCATGTGTCAACAGTGATGAGTTCTGGGGCAGCAGCAGGGAGTATTCTGTTTGACAAAGAAACACTTCAGAGAGAGGATGCTCCAGGGACCACTTCCACCTGGACTTGGTACCCAACCCCAGGCAGGAACAGGCCACACAGGTAGAGAACACTGGCGCTGCAATCCGGCCTCCTGAGGTCCAGGTATTTTACCCACTCCCAGCCGAGTGATCAGATCCCAAGACTTGCCTTCCTAACCTCCCCCAGCCAGGCACCAGCTCTCCCTTCGCTGGATGGGAAATGAGTGACCCCAATGCTCTAGCCTGGGTTTTCTTTTCAAATTTTACTTTCTGTTGTCAGCACATGTGCATGGAGGGAAAAGAAAAGGCAAGAACCGCTTTAGATCTGAAATTCTCATTTCTGCTTTTACACTGGGGAAAACCCTCCTTGGACTTTGAAAAATAGTTAAACTGAAGTGCTGAGATAGTTTTTCCGTAAAGTTTTCTTAATTTCTACTTGAAATACCTGGATGTTGCCACCAGAATTGCAAATTAAACTTCTGCCTTGCTATGGCACTAAGAGGTCCTTTATTCCATGGGTACTCAGAAGATAAAGAAATTAGAACTGTCGGATTTCATGGCTACTTCACAATGGTAGCAACTTTTCTCTCCATGTGTGCAACAAACATATATCAAATATACAACATATTGAGTTCACCATTACGTCTGGACACGAACTTGAATTTATGGACTGCCAGAGGTTTCACAGAAGAACTAGTCCTTGCAACTAGCTCAGCTCAAAATAGGTTAAGAAATATGAGCGCACGGGGCGTATCTGGCTAACTTAATCATCAAAAGAATTTCTTGTAAATAAGAAAGAAAAATAAAACTGTAGCTTTCATTCAAGTAAAGGCTACACTTTGCTTCCTCACAACAAATCAAAAACAAAAATAGAAGCTTTGTAGAGGAACAAGCAAGGTGTATGCTGGACAGTACCTCATTCTGAAGCGCTGTTGGTGTTAACTGCCAAACAGTGCTAAAAGAAATAGAAAGTAGAATCTTCAGGCTGCCTTTTTCTGCCCTATATAAACATGTTTATTCAATGGCAGCTGTCTGCAGATAAACTCAAAAAAAGTCACAGCAACACATGAATTCTGAACTTGAATTAAAGGGGAGAAAGTGAGGATTGTAATGACTTTTTCAGTGACTACCAGGAGACAACACCAGGATAAATCATTCAATTAACTATAAGAGAAATTCGGCATTATTACTGCAGCTTAAAAATAGAACTTTGTTTAGAATATATTAATTTTGAGGATCCAACTCATCTTAAGTCAATGAAATTTCACTAACCACTAAATCCTTTCTGCTCTTTAGGATTTGTCTATTCAACATATAACCCTGTTTAGTTTTATTAAATATCTTGGAGTCGAATTTCCAGGAAGTATATAGAACTAACTAGACACATATCAGGAGACCTAAAGGAAAAAGAAACTGGCACAAACCTCAATTTTTTTCTTTTTTTTTTTTTTTTTGAGACAGAGTCTCTCCCTGTTGCCAGGCTGGAGTGCAGTGGCACGATCTCGGCTCACTGCAACCTCCACCTCCCTGGTTCAAGCAATTCTCCTGCCTCAGCCTCCCGAGTAGCTGGGACTACAGTTGTGCACCATCACACTCAGCTAATTTTTGTATTTTTAGTAGAGACGGGGTTTCACCATGTGGCCAGGATGGTCTCAATGTCTTGACCTCGTGATCCACCTGCCTCGGCTTCCCAAAATTCTGGGATTACAGGCATGAGCCACCACACCCAGCCCAAACCTCAATATTAATATTAGCACATGCCCTTCTTCCTTTCCACCTCTTTGGTGATGACCAAGTTCATACACATTAGGGGAAGATTGGAGGTGGTGCACAGAACATGAGGAAGTTACTGGGGACGTATTTGGGAAAAGCGATAGAGAAAGTAAGCAGTGTAAAGAGGAGACAGGTACACGTGAACATATTTTTGGTTGTAGTAAAAGCTTTGAAAATACCAATACCACTTAGACGTGCTTTTGTGTCAGAACTCAGAATTTCCTTCCTCCAGAGCATTAATTAGTTACAGACACCGGTTTACATTATTTAGAACCATCATGAGTCATCTTGTTTTGTAAGATGATTTTGACCAAAGTGAAATTTAATTTCCAAAAAGAAATGTTTCGATGAATATTATAAATTATACACATTTAAAATTATATGATTATACATGTAATAAATTATATAGGCTTATTTTTAGCTCCTTTATAAAAATCCATCAGAATTAAATTCATAAATCCATTATCCAAATAGTTCCCATGTTCTTGTAGGGAACAAGAACAGTTTGTACAGTGCCATGACTATGACCAGAGCTTTAAGCCTTCTGCTCTTGGCCAACAGTGGTGTTCCCCAATCCTGGTTAGAGGCCTGGGATTTTGGATGATTGCATGAGGGAAGAGCTCTATTCTTGCAACTCCTGAGAACTGGACACCAGGAAGTTAACTCAAAACAAATGAATTCTGACAGGCTTGGCCATTAACATGATTTAGCCCAAAATAATGGAAAGATGACACAGAACACTTTTTACTGAGCAGTTATGAAAACAAACCCAAAAGGGAAAGAAGTACAGAATTATGCAAAATGGTTGCAAAATGCAACATGGAAAATGCAATTATGCAAAAATGGTTGGCACCAGACTGAAGTGATTTTTGGCTTTTAAATTTTTTCAGATTTTGTAATATTTGCATATACATAACGAGATATCTTGGGGTTGGGACCCCTGTCTAAACATGAAATTCATTTATATTTCATATACTCCTTATAGACATAGCCTAAACTATATATATATATGTATATATATTTTTTTAAGACAGGGTCTCCCTCTGTTTGCCCAGGCTGGAGTGCAGTGACATGATCTTGGCTCACTGCAACCTCTGCCACCCAGTTCAAGTGATTCTCCCACCTCAGCCTCCCAAATAGCTGGGACTACAGGTGTGTGCCACCGTGCCCAGCTAATGTTTTTTTTTTTTTTTTGTATTTTTAGAGGAGACAGGGTTTCATCACCTTGCCTAGGCTGGTCTCGAACTCCTGAGCTCAAGTGATCTGCCTGCCCTGGCCTCCCAAAATGCTGGGATTACAGGTGTGAGCCACTGTGCCTGGCCCTGGACAATAGTTTTAATAATTTTGTGCATATATGAAAGATTTAACTGCATGCTGACTGCAACCCGCCACACGAGATCAGGTGTGGAATTTTCCACTGGTGGCATCATGTTGTCACTCAAAAAACTTTGGATTTTTGAGCACTTCTTTGGATTTTGGATTTTTGAATTAGGGATGCTTAACCTGTGTAAACAATAAAAGGTAAAAACATTTTACTTTAAAACTTCCTAGGAAAGAACAGTTTCAAAAACCATGCAGTAACTTTTTTTTGGTACCATTAATGTAACTTAGCAAGAGAAACTATGATTATTGAATTCAAAAACAAAGTAAATATGCCAGCATTCCTGGCAGGACAACTTAGATTACAGAATAAATTAAGACAGACAGAAGGAAAATATCTTAAACTTTACAATTATAAGATCGTACAATGTAGTAACTCAATACAAGCAGGCTGATCATGGACTTTTGAACCAAGATAGAGTCCCAGTAGTTTGTCATTATATAAATTTACAGAATTTCAACCAGCATTTAAAAAAAGGAAATAAAATAGGATAGAAAATTATTAGACTACATCATATATAGTAAGTGAAAGTAGCACTGTTTCACAAGATTTTGATTCAGTTTTTGCACACACATGGTGTCATATAAAATGCAATTGCTGCTCTGGATTTCAGTTAAACATTCAAGAGTCACAGGCACAGAGTCTACCTCTGGTGATTCCTTATTTAAGAAGGGAAGAGACGGACCTGCCACTTTGTGCTCATGCCTAGACCTACCGGTTTCTCACAAGCAGATCGATTTAATGATTACTCGGGCCTGGCCTAAAGAATCTGCTCAGTTTTGGTACAAACAGCAGAGGCAGCTCCCATGAAACAATATTGCTGGTGTTATTAGTCAGTGTATGTATTTTTTTTGTTTTGTTTTTTGAGACAGGCTGGAGTGCAGTGGTACGATCATAACTCACTTCAGCCTTGATCTCCAGGGCTCAGGTGATCCTCCCACCTCAGCCTCCTGAGCAGCTGGGACCACAGGTGCACACCACCACACCTGGCTAATTTTTGTATTTTTTTTGTAGAGATGGGGTTTTGACATGTTGCCCAGGCTGGTCTCGAACTCCTGGGCTCGAGGCATCCACCTGCCTTGGCCTCCCAAAGTGCTGGGATTACAGGTGTGAGACACCGTGCCCAGCCTCAATGTATTTATACTTAGGATCACAAAGCACAATCATAGCCCAAAGATGAAGAAAAACATCTTCACTGTTACTCGCACTGATCCCGTGACCCATTGTCACAGACTTGGAGCCGGACAGCAAAAATGTAGCATGAAAACAAATGAAGTAAGAAGAATCTTCAGTCAAGCTCTGTTCAGTTTGAACGTTATTTTGTAGAATATTGGGAAGTTGTTTTTTAGAGCAACCTACACCCTTGTCCAGGGCTCAGCACAGTACCAGCAGTGCACTCATCGGCTCAGGCACTAGCCCGTGGCCCTCACTGCCCTACAGGAAAGACAGGTCTTGGTCCTCAGTATGGATAAAGGAAATGAGCCCTCAGGGCTGACCAGGACACAGTGCTGAGAAGCTGGGACAGAGCTGGGACAGCGCCCAGGAGAACATGTCAGATCAATGACAGCGGTAAGAGTCAGGTGATCAAGTGAGAGGTTAAGGGCCCCTTTGGACCCATCTCAGCCCCTGAGGTAGTGAGTCTGGGATTCGGTCAGTGTTCTACCCTCTCAGTGGCCCCTGGGAGCAGAGGTGGCTCTTTTCCCAGCTTTCTCCACCGCACCTAGAAAGCAGGCGAATTCAAGGCAGAGGGGATGAAAGAAGCATAGCATTCAGGATCTTTCAGAGATAAACAGAGGGCCTCTGCCATCAGAGGAACCTGCTTCTACACGCCTACTTTCAGGGGTCCATAGGCAAACCTCTATCTTGGAATGTGAGAGCCCAGTTCCCCAGCTTAGGTCTCCAACCCAGCTGGAGAAATGTTTTGCCTTGTGAGGAAGTCATCTTGAGACTGAGGGTAACTTGGCCCAGCCGGCTGCTCAGGCCTGGGGCTGTAGGCTCAGCAGGAACCAGGGCTGAGCTGCAGAGTTTGAGAAGAGTCCACAAATGTAATATATGGGGGACAACAAGGGAGTGGTTTGTGTAGAACACATAGATCAAGGAGGAAATTAACATTGAAGGCTAAACAGGGGGTTTTTCTGCTGCTGCTGATGTTAAGAATGGTGACAAGAACCAGGCATGGTGGCTCACACCTGTAATACCAGCACTTTGGGAGGTAAAGGCGGTAAGATCACTTGAGCCCAGGAGACCAGCCTGGGCAAGATAGTGAGACCTCACCTCTGCAAAAAAAGGAAAGATGACCTGGGTGAGCAGATGGTTGATCAAGTCAAGGTCTCCAAACTCAACCCATAACACACCTGCTATTTCCTACCCCACTGGTGTAGTGGTCCATTTTGGGGCATGGAGACAAGAACAGGCCACACTATCTTCCTTTTCCTGGGTCCTTCCGGTGTGCCCAAGAAGGCACCCTGCTGCCTGTTCAGTGGTACTGGATGGTAAAAGCATTAACAGAAGCAATGAGGACATCCTGAAGAGGCCCGCAGTTCATATCTACATTTGATAAAACCTCAAACTACAGATAATAGCCTTGAAAAGCAGGGATGAGCATTTTTTGTTGTTTTGGCTTATTTCCAAAATAACTTCTGTTTATCAAATTAATATATTATTAGAAATATGTTGGCCAGGCACCGTGGCTCACGCCTGTAATCCCAGCACTTTGGGAGGCCAAGGCAGGTGGATCACAAAGTCAGGAGTTCAAAACCAGCCTGGCCAACATGGTGAAACCCCGTCTCTACTAAAAATACAAAAAATTAGCCTGATGTGGTGGCAGGTAATCCCAGCTACTTGGGAGGCTGAGGCAGGAGAAATCACTTGAACCTGGGAGGCGGAGGTTGCGGTGAGTCGAGATTGCACCACTGCACTCCAGCCTGGGCAACAAGAGCAAAACTCCGTCTCAAAACAAAAGAAATATGTTATTAGCGATATGTTATTGGAAAATTTAATGTAAGGAAGAAAACAAAAAACCATAAATCATTTTCACTTTATGTCTCAGGTTATCTTTGTACCGTTGACAAAGGAATGATGTCCTTGAGATGTCCCGGTAAGCATTTTTTTTTTTTTTTTTGAGACGGAGTTTCGCTCTTGTTGCCCAGGCTGGAATGCAATGGCGTGATCTCAGCTCACCGCCACCTCCGCCTCCCAGGTTCAAGTGATTCTCCTGCCTCACCCTTCCTAGTAGCTGGGATTACAGGCATGTGCCACCACGCCTGGCTAATTTTGTATTTTTAGTAGAGACAGTGTTTCTCCATGTTGGTCAGGCTGGTCTCGAACTCCCGACCTCAGGCGATCTGCCTGCCTCGGCCTCCCAAAGTGCTGGGATACAGGCGTGAGCCACCGTGCCCGGCCTGGTAAGCATATTTTACAGGACAAAAAGTAACAAAAATCAGGAATAATTCTCATGTTCCCATCTCCCCACCCCTCCCCCATCCCTAAGTCCAGAAGTAATTTGTTATAATTGCCATCTGGTATAAAAGAAGAACAGACCCTCAATTTGCCACCTTTCCCTCCTCTTGAGATGTCCTCAGCCTGACAAAAATATGATTAGTTGTATTATACAGGAAAATACGAAAGATATATAAACATTTAATTATTATGTTTATTATACTGGCAAAAGATATGCATTAAAAACAAGGTTTCATTATGCCTAATTGGCTTGCAAATCTCGGAGAAAGGTTCCTGAAGAGCAGTTTGGGGCTCTCCCCAACAAAGATATCATTCTCTACCTACATGCTTTATCTGCAATGTAACGATGCCATGCTCTAAAGACGGTTCTGTATCCCAATCGATTCAACTAATCTAATATGAAGCTTTTCTCCATGACACTAACTACCATATAATCTTCCACTGTAAGACTGAGTCCTGATTTATAAAACTACACTCTTACTATTGGATGTGTCCTAAACTCTTTTTCAAAAATGATCTGTGATGCACAGAAGAATGAAAGGGTGGGCTGGTCAGTTTGGTTGATTTAGAAGATAATCCTAATCATGTCTGTGTAGAGAAGTCATAGGTCTTCTTGCCTAAACTCTGGTTGACCACCTGACAGATGCTGTCAAAATAGAGACGATGACACAGATGACGGGATTAACTCAACTCTGTGTCTAGGAAAACCTCTTGAACTGTCGTCACGCTGACAGTGGATTGGCAACTCACCTTTCTATTTCAAGAAGAAGAGGTAGAATCTGAATGTCTTCGCTTGTCTTGCAGCTAAGTATGGCTGTGTGACTAAGGTCACTGATGAGATGTAACCAGGTATGTTGTATGTGATTTCCAGGAAGCCTCCTGAAAAGGGGGTATGCCTTTCTTCCTTTTTCTTGCTGATTGGGATACAGATGCAATGGCTGGAGCTTGTGCAACCATCCTGGACTACCAGGTAGCACAGAACCCATGATGATCAAGGAGTTGCTAAACCAGCCCAGACTGGCTACCCTGAACTTCCTTGATGTGAGAGAGAAATAAACTTGTATTATAGTGCTGGGTCACTTTCTTTCTTTCTTTCTTTTTTTTTTTTTTTTACTGTTGTTGTTATTTGTGGGTAAAACTAATCCTAACTGACTCATTTGCAAATACAGAGACTACTGAGAAACATCATAGCATTTTTCATTTGTATCATTTCAGTTTGCAAACTGCTTCAACACTGCGCAGTGTTTTCTTTTTCTGCACAATGTTAACTCTGAGACTAAAGTCAAGGTTACAATTCTAATTTAGAAGAGGTGAGACTTGCTTAAAGTTTTGCTGATGAATAAGCTAAACTTTCAGAGGCTGAGATCTTGCAATAACTCTTTAATTGACACCCCCAAGCTACGCCACTGAAGGAAACAGAGAGGAAGGATCGTAAGCTCCAGACACTGAGTTAAATCAAGACAGCAGAAATCGGTACTTACGGCACTTTGGAGGGGCACAAGATCTATGTGCAGGAATCCAGGAGCTTTCCTGTTCAACTGTCCTTAAAAACTGCTTTCACACTAGGCCGGCTGTGGTGGCTCATGCCTGTAATCCCAGCCCTTAAGGAGGCCGAGGCAGGAGGATCACTTAAGGCCAGGAGTTCAAGACCAGCCTGGGCAACATGGCAAAAACTCGTCTCTAATAAAAATACAAAAATTAGCTGGACGTGGTGGTGTGTGCCTGTAGCTTGAGAGGCTAAGGCACAAGAATCGCTTGAGCCTGGGAGGAGGAGGCTGTGGTGCGCCGAGATCACATCACTGCACTCCAGCCTGGACAACAGGGCAAGACTGTCCAAAAAAAAACCCACCCAAATTATCTAAATTCTGTCTCTAAATTACTCTAAATTCTGCTCATTTGTTTGTGTATGTGCCAAATGAAGAAATGGTTTTTTGGAAGAAAAAACTATTTTCATACTTGTTTAAAATATTTTTAGAAGTTATATCATGAAATTGTTGCCTGTCCCTGAAAAGTAAAAACAATCTACTCTCAACCAAAACATCTATGCAATTTCATAAAACAAACAAAGAAAAAGGGACTAAACAATATGGAGAGAGAAATCAAAAGAAGGTACTCAGATTGCTGGTGTTTACAATTCAGCATCTTTGTTTGCATAAACACTCAAACATACGAAAAAATTTAAAACCTCATTAAAACTTAACCGAGCATCACAGTGCTGAATCAGAAGCACTGGGTGAGTGATGAAGCCATGCTTGCTGCCCTTGGAAAGCAGCCTACATGGGAAACCACTGAGAAATCTCAGCACTGTTCATGTCTCTGGGTTTCGTTTGCAGAGAGAGTCGTAGCCCTGCTCAAGTCAGGTGGTTCACCCAGTCACCAACTGCCCGCATCCCTACCATTCAACCCAAGGGAAATGCAGGAATTTGTGCAGCCTCAAACAAAAGCCATCAGTGCTGCAAGAAAGTAATGTAAGGCCCCTGGCCCACTAAACATGGCCATTGACATCCAGATTTAGTTCTAAAAAAAGTGAAGATGTAACCACATACTCATCACAACTGCCAATCTTGGCTCTGGCCTCAACCTCTCTCCTAAATTACAGACCTAAATTTCCTTCCCCACCCTGAAATGGACAAACATTAACATTTTACCATGATTACTTAAGATTGTTCCTCTTTCAGAGAAGTAAAGCAGCATAGCTGAGTTCAGTATCCCATGCGCTCATCCCACCCCTCTACTTCTTCCCATGGTCATAACTCCTATGAACTCAGAGCTTATGCAGATCAGGTTTTCAGACTTTTTCTACATAAGCACACATGCATAAACAGAATATAGCATTGTGTTATGTGTTTTTCAAAAATGTAACAGATTGTATACACACTTCCACAACCCGTTTTGTTTTTTCATTGTGCATTTCTGAGCTCCAGCAGTGTGGACATACCCAGAAGTAGCATTGTTGGTTATACCACGTGCACATCTCTTACTGACGAAGGAGTCCTTTCCTGGGGAGGGAGCCCTGTTAGATAACAATTTGTCCACTCTTTCCCTTCACTTATTCGACTTCAGAAAAGTGGTATGACTTATCTGATGGGGGGTTGGAAAGAAACAGTATCTTAAAGTACAGTCCTGGCAAAATCATTCAGGAAGTCCTCATGGATTAGAAACTATACTAACTCTTCTCCATGACTTTTAAAGACATTGAATGAGACTCCAGTCTATTTGCTTTACCCTGTCTCTGAACTAGCGAACTATTTTGATTCCTTGAACACAGGCCAATCTTTCTCCCCTCTCACCTTCTTCAAGGCTCGCCTCAGTGCCATCTTCTCAGGAGAGCCTTCCTGAAACCACTATTTCAAAACTGTCAATTTCTCCTCACTGGCAATTGAAAGCATAGTATTTCAGATTAGCATTTATTCCCCTCCAGAATATGACTTCATCTAATGATGAAACTCATCTCCCCCAGATGTCTTAGACTCTAAACTATGCCCACAATCTGCTGACACTTGTCAGCTACAGTCACATGCCTGTCGTTTGCTCTCTGCCTCGAATGTAATTTCCCTGTGTCTACATGTCAAATTACTTGATTTTTCAAGTCATTTTTTCCTTTTATAAAAAAAACTACTACAAAAGTAATACACAGTAATTGTAAAAATTTGAGAATGCCAAATCACAAAGTGTGAAGTGAAAATCACCATGATTCCATTACCTCCAGGCAAACAAAAATAATCATTTGATATACTTCTATATCTCTTCATTCCATATATAGATATAAATCTCATACAAATTGGAGATATATTATTTTACAACCTGATTTTTTTAACTTTATATTTTGTGAATGTTTTCCCATGTTCCATGTATACATTTATCTATTCTTTTTACTAGCCTTGATAGGATACCAACAATAATTTTTTTTTTTTGCTTTTTCCTGGAAGCTTTATGTTTAATTTGCACACTAAAAAGTAAAAAGTCACTCTATCTTTATTTTGAATATATTGTGATACAAAGCTCTATGGTTTATATTTTGGCAGGGCATGGCAGCTCATGCCTGTAATCCCAGCACTTTGGGAAGCAGAGGCAGATGGATCACCTGAGGTCACGAGTTCAAGAGCAGCCTGGACAACATGGCGAAACTCCGTCTCTACTAAAAATACAAAAATTAGCCAGGCATGGTGGCATGTGCCTGTAATCCCAGCTACTCAGGGAGGCTGAGGCAGGAAAATCACTTGAACGCAGGAGGCGGAGGTTGCAGTGAGCTGAGATCGCACCACTGCGCTCCAGCCTGGGTGACAGAGCGAGACTACATTTCAAACAACAACAACAACAAACTCTATGGTTTATGTTTTAAAATTATTAGTCAAATGTTCCAACATCATTTAATCAGTATCCCATCCATTCACCACTAATTTAAAATGTCATCTGGCCAGGTGCAGTGGCTCATGCCTGTAATCCCAGCACGTTGGAAGGCCAAGGCAGATGGATCACCTGAGGTTGGGAGTTCAAGACCAGGCTGGCCAACCTGGTGAAGCCCTGTCTCTACTAAAAAATACAAAAAAATAGCTGGGCATGGTGGCGCATGCCTGTAATCCCGGCTACTCGGGAGGCTGAGGCAGGAGAATCACTTGAACCTGGGAGGTGGAGGTTGCAGTGAGCTAAGATCACGCCATTGCACTCCAGCCTGGGCAAGAAGAGTGAAACTCTGTCTCAAAAAAATAAAAGAAAAGAAAAAAATAAAAATAAAAATAAAATGTCATCTTATCAAATTACTACTGGAAGAAATCTATCTCAGGACACTCCAGGGTATTCCTCTGCTATTAACTGTTTTGCTATAGGGTTATCTTGTTCTGATACTTACAATTAGTTTAATCATCCATCATGGTTCTTGAAAAAGCCTTTTTTTTTTTTGAGACAGAATCTCACTCCGTCGCCGGGCTGGAGTGCAGTGGTACAATCTAGGCTCACTGCAACCTCTGCCTCCCTGGTTCAAGCGATTCTCCTGCCTCAGCCTCCCAAGTAGCTGGGACTACAGGCACGCACCACCTCACCTGGCTAATTTTTGTATTTTTAGTAGAGACAGGGTTTCACCATGTTGGCCAAGCTGGTCTCGAACTCCTGACCTCAAGTGATCTGCCCACCTTGGCCTCCCAAAGTGCTGAGATTACAGGCGTGAGCCACTGCGCCCGGCCTTGAAAAAGCTTTTAAATCCATCCTCATGAATTCATTCTTGCAGAATCTAGACAAATGCTGTGATTAATTTAACCACGAAGTTCATTTTCCTCTGCAGTTTTTACAGTAAATACAGTATAGTATAGTGTGGCATGATATAGTATAGTAATTTTATAGTAATTTAGGTGTTAGTTTGACAGAGGAAGGATGATTAATACCAGTTATTCCCATCTAAGAGTATGTCATGTGTCTTACCATTTATTCAGGTCTTGTTGTTTGTCTTTCAATAAAGTTTTATAGTTTTATTCTATGTGCTCATTTCTTGCTAAACTTATTTCCTAAGTATTCTATCCTTTGGGGGACATGTATAAGTAGGACATTTTCTCTATTACAGTATGTATTTATGGCTAACAAAAAAAGAAAACTATTGACATTTACATATTTACATTGCATCCACTAGCAAACTAAAACTTTTATTACTTAAAATAAGTTGTCAGTTGCCTCTCTTGAATTTTCTAGTTATATAATTATTCTGTACATAAATAATAAAATGTGTCTCTTCCTTTCCAATATTTATAATTTTTGAAATTGTTCTTATTCATGCTTCAGAATAATGATGAATAATAACGGTGAGTATAGGCACTGCTGTGGTGTTCCTTATATACTGGATGCGTCTTCAGGGTTACACTATTTAATGCCATGATCACATTAGTTTCAGTTTTTCAGTTTTACTTAAATTCTTCTGTTGCATGAAGTCTTCCTTTATCATTCCACTTAGATACCCTTTCATTCCTAAAGTTACTTCTTTGCTCTGCTTTATTTTGATCTAGATACCCAAGCAGTTTGTAATTTGCATAGTACTTTTAAATCTTAGGCAGCTTTTAAATTGATATTATTTATACTGAAGCATTAATGGTTAAGACAACATTCACAGCTATGGCTAGCAAGAGGCTTGCGGCTTTTAGAGATCCCTAATAGGCCAGGCGTGGTGGCTCACGCCTGTAATCCCAGCACTTTGGGAAGCTGAGGTGGGCAGATCACCTGAGGTCAGGAGTTCGACACCAGCCTGACCAACATGGAGAAACCCCATCTCTACTAAAAATACAAAATTAGCTGGGTATGGTGGCACATGCCTGTAATCCCAGCGCTTTGGGAGGCCAAGGTGGGCAGATCACCTGAGGTCAGGAGTTCGAGACCAGCCTGACCAACATGGAGAAACCCCACCTCTACTAAAAATACAAAATTAGCCGGGTGTGGTGGCACATGCCTGTAATCCCAGCTACTTGGGAGGCTGAGGCAGAAGAATCACTTAAACCTGGGAGGAGGAGGTTGTGGTGAGCCGAGATTACATCATTGCACTCCAGCCTGGGCAACAAGAGTGAAACTCCATCCCCGCTCCCGCCCCCCCCACAAAAAAAGAAAGCCCTAATAATCTGTTTTTCTACACCCCACAAAAGATGTTAAGAGGTACATAGAAAGATACACTAAATGCATCTTCCTTTAGCAATGGCTGGTTTCCCAATATTCCTAGCTCAAAATTCTGTTATGTTTTCTTTGTGTAAGAACAGCACAATATTGTAATTATACCAAACGTTGCTAAAAACTTTAAAACGACCTCATATAATTGCAATATCCTAAACTATAGCTTATACAAGGAAGGGGTAATTTGACTCTTTTTGAGTATCCTCAGGCTGAATGCTCTTGGCTAAGATGGGGTAAGATAGCAATCATATAACGTAATTTTAAAGTTATTATGTAACGGATATTTTTAAAAATTCTCAAAAAGCTTATGCATTTTATGAATTTCAAAACTTCAGTTTAACCTCTGGATCACATTTTAAAATCATTTAATGTTAACTTTCATAGCACTAATCTCTGCATGACAATGTTTTGACAAGGATCTTATTTTAACTCCACATTTTATGATGGTAAGCAGAACTACATTCTAAGCATATTACTTAGAATATATATAAATCATAAGCAGGGATGGGCTGAATATCTCATTGAAAATCAATCTGCATCTTACAGCACATAGAGAAACAGTCAAGGTCAGGTTAGACAGCCCTAAACCTCAAAACTCCTTCCAAAACGTTTTACCTTTTAAATTTAATTACTCTTTTACCTGATTTATTTAATTGCTGCTTCAACACAGCACATGGAAAATATGCCTGTGTTCACCATAAAAAGCCTAGTGGCCATGCAGACAGGTTTACCAGTAGTTAAGTCATTCAGCTACCAGAAGTGTTACTAGTTTCTCATTTAACAAACGTGCACTTCCTGTTATGCACAGGGCTGTATGATGCTGCTATGGAATGAAAGTGAACATTCAGAGGTGGCAAAGCACGGTGGTAAAAGCAAAGGCTGTGGGGCCGACACTCAGGTTCAAATTCCTGCTCCCCCTTGCGCTAGCTGCCTGCCTTTGAGCAAACTACTAACTCACTCGGATGCTCAGTTTTCTCACCTGCAAGATGGGGGTAATTCTGGTAAACTACTCATGGTGTTGTTTGAGCAACTGAATGAGTCACAATGTACAAAGCACCAAGCAGGGTGCTCAGCACGTAGCCAGGTCCTCACAGGAGGTAAACTCTTACGACTGTTAGCAAAGATTTATCCATGCCTGGAACAGCACCATATGCATTACAGAAGTCACTTCTGCTGTCCTCACACTGCCTTGTATGTTAGGTCATATTATTTCCTACAGCTTTACAGACAAGAGAACTGGGGCAAGAAAGGGCTCTCAAACCTCTATAAAGGGGTCTCAAACCTCTAAAGGGTCTATAAAGAATGGATAAATAGCCTGCTAGATGCAACTACCCGAATGACTCGTAGAAGCCTAATTAAATGTAAAAAGCAGGTTAGGGAAGATCCTATACACAATACTATATTATTTTTGCAAAATTGAAACATTTTGCCTATTTCAGTAGCGAGAAAATAAGACTTTAACATTAAAAGCCTTGTTTCTGTTTTTCTTCATAATGCATTTGGCATGGTAAGCATATTAGAACAGAGGTCCCCAGCCAGGCGCGGTGGCTCACGTCTGTAATCCCAGCACTTTGAGAGGCTGAGGGGGGCAGATCACTTGAGGTCAGGAGTTCGAGACCAGCCTGGCCAACATGGTGAAACTCAGTCTCTACTAAAATGACAAAAATTAACTGGGCATGGTAGATGCCTGTAGTCCCAGCTACTTGGGAGGCTGAAACAGGAGAATCACTTGAACCTGGGAGGTGAAGAGTGTGGTGAGCCGATATTGTGCCACTGCACTTCAGCCTGGGCGACAGAGTGAGACTTGATCTCCAAAAAAACAAAAACAGAGACCCCTAACCCCCTGGTCTGCAGCCCCTGTAAGGAACTGGGTCGCACAGCAGGAGGTGAGCAGCGGGCAAGTGAGCATTACTGCCTGAGCTCCACCTCCTGTCAGATCAGCAGTGGCATTAGATTCTCATAGGAGTGTGAATGCTACTGTGAACTGCGCATGTAAGGGATCTAGGACCCACGCCTTATGATCTGAGGTGGAACCGTTTAATCCCAAAACCACGGAAATGTTGTCTTCCAAGACACCGGTCCCTGGTGCCAAAAAGGTTGGGGAGCAGTGTTTAGAACACAGCACATACATACAGATGTAGGTCTTGGGATTCCCCATGACAGTTGGAATTTAAGGGTTATATCACAATGCAATTTAGAGTTTTTCTTTTTTAAATGAAAAGTCCTTGATTGGGCCCTTAGATGATACCCTGACTTAATAAGACTGGTTGTAAAGCAAACATATTTATAAAACTTGCCCAAGTTCTGCATTACTGACTAGCACTTTCATTAAAGGAAAAGAATTTAGAGTAAAGATCAAATTCACTGTGTAAAACTACAGACTGTACTTGGCTGGGTAAAAGTAACATATACAAAATGACTTAGCTACTCCATTTTTCAATAAGGTTTGCCTCTGGTTTCTCTCCCCTTGGTAGTCATGGTCTTTCCCAAATAAGGAGTCAAATCCCTCAAATTTTGCTTAACATCCCTTTTGGCACCAAGAGTATATCTGAGGTGTCAAGTATATCAGCTGAATTTAAGACCATGTGTCTTTAATTTTAATGTTTAATGCCACCGAAGATTCTCTGCATTGTTTGTCGACAATTTTCACGTTGGAGTTTCTTCTACTCTTTTGCATTCCACAGTGCAAGGCTGAGGCAAGACAGGGAAAGGCACGGAAATGGCACGAGGCACCAGTGACGTGCTATTTCCCAGTGCTTCCTGCTCTCTCCCAGGTAACAAGGAAACATTTTAAACAAGCCTTTCAAGAAGGATTACCTTAATTCAAAGGAGAGTTTTCTTTTTCTTTCTTTCTTTTTTTTTTTTTTTTTTTTTGAGACAGAGTCTCACTCTGTCACCCAGGCTGGAGTGCAATGGTGTGATCTTGGCTCACCGCAACCTCCACCTTCCAGGTTCAAGCAATTCTCTTTCCTCAGCCCCCCAAGTAGCTGGGATTACAAATGCATGCTACCAAGCCCGGCTAATTTTTGTATTTTTAGTAGAGACAGGTTTCATCATGTTGGCCAAGCTGGTCTCAAGTGATCCACCCGCCTCGGCCTCCCAAAGTGCTGGGATTACAGGCATGAGCCACTGTGCCCGACCTCAAAGGAGAGTTTTCAAAACAATCAGAGCCCCTCCGATTTCTCAGATCACCTCTAAGTATAATGGTCCCAGACACCTTTGTACAAGGAGAACACATAAGCAGCACTGTTTCCCATTATCAGAAGTCAAATTTCTCAGTGAGTTTCATTTACCAAAAGAAAAAAGATGGAAAAAAGTATACTCACAGAGGTATTCAGCACTTGAAAGACCAAATTATGTTTCTGAAGGCTTATCCTATAGGTAAAGATCCTTGGCATCGTACAGTGGGAATAGGAGCTGCCAACCCCTGACTCTTCTATTTGTGCCACAGTCCATGCCTTCTCCATCATCACTGCACTTCATGCCTAGAACAAGCCTGGAGGTAGGTATTGGAGAAACCTAGATTTGGGGGAGGTGAAGTGACCCACCCAAGGTCACAGACAGCACATGGCAAAGAGCAATTCAAAACCAGGCAATTGGAGCCTGAAACCTAATATGCGTGGCTACTCAGAAGAAAATCCATCTCCATTATCTGGATTTTCATTGTATTATAGCGGAAAATGACACATGAATTATATTGGCATCAAAATGCAATTTAAAAAATGACTCTAAGTTAAGTCTATTGAAACTTTGAAAGACAGATTGTAAGATGTATTAGTACCATGTTGATCTTTAAGAAATTCTGTTCCTAATTTTATAAAACATTTTTAATTTTATGAAATATTTTACTTATACAGAAGAATATGTGTAAGTTCAAAAACGTGAACATCATCATATACAAAATTTGGGACGGTAGGTACTTTTTTACTTTTACTTTATTTATCTTCCTTTTTTTTTTTTTTTCCCTTGTTTTTGGTTCCTGTGTTTAGGATGGTAGGTACTTCTAAGCACTGACTTCTAACAGCTTACTATTCCCAGTGCACCGTGTAGAAAGACAGAAACCAGGCTTCTCATTAAAAGTCTTCAGTTACTTTATCTGAATAAAGGGGGGAAAAAGGCTTTCTAGCTACTTAATTCTCATTTGTTTTGCATGTTTCTTCTGAAAAATCAATTCTAAAAAATTGCTAACATCATATACTCCTTTTTCTGCTGAGCCAGGTCATAAAAATCTTTCAATTTCTATTATCCTGACAGGCGAAGGTTCCTCTCTCCTTATGTCATAAACATCTTTCCATTACTTTCATATTTAATGAACATACTAGCCATACAAACAGGACCTACCTGCCTCTAATCCAGTAAGTACATTGAAGGTATTCCAGGTAAAGACATTTTATTTAAAGAATTTTATAAAAATATTAAAGTCAATAGACAATGTAGAATTTGACCATAAAATTAAATCCTTTTGGATGGGCGCAGTGGTTCATGCCTGTAATCCCAGCATTTTGGGAGGCTGAGGCAGGCGATCACTTGAGCTCAGGAGTTTAAGACCAGCCTGGGCAACGTAGTGAGACCTCATCTCCAGAAAAAAATTGAACAATTGGCTGGGTGTAGTGGATTGTGCCTGCAGTCTCAGCTACTCAGGAGGCAGAGGTGGGAGGATCGCTCGAGCCCAGGAGGTAGAGGTTGCAGTGAGCTGTTAGCCTGGGGGATAGAACGAGACTCTGTCTCAAAAAATTAAAAACAAAACAAAACAAAACGAAAAGAAGAAAATTAAACCCTTTCTTTTGTTTTCAAAGTTCCAAGGAAACTTCTTTTATGACAACTGCTTGGAATTGAACGTAACAGTTCCTAGGATTGACTTAGGAAGTAGGAAGACAAGAGAGACTTTCTTTTTCCTGGGGACTGCACAGCCATGTCAGGTGAAGCTCAGAAGGAGCAGGTAAAGAAGAGATGATGGTTTTGGAAGAACAGCTGGCCCCATCTGCACTCGCCTTGGATGCTGCAGAGCCTGGGACAAAGGGGACAGCACTCTCGGCTGCCTTAGATCTATGGAGGCCAGCTGGCCCTTTTCATAGGGCTGGGCTAACAACCACTGATGCACATATCACCAGGGCAGAAAAGTCTCACAAACTGTAAGAGTTAAGGAAAAAAGACACCATTACACAAACAAATTCTAAGATGATTAAAGGCCTCAATGCAAGAGACAACAGTTATAAGGCAATACAAATGATTATCTTTATAACCTCCAAAAGCAGAAATCATAAAGAAAAGGGTGGACAAGAAAAGGTACAACAAGCATATTTAAAAGATAAGCCATACAGGGGAGAAGATATTTGTAACTCATAATGGCAAAGTATTCGTATTCGGAATCTATAAAGGATTTCCATTAATTAGTAAGAAAAAGGTAAATAGCACAATACAAAATAGACAATTCACAAATGCCCAGAAACAGCCATAAAGATGCTAAATCTCACAACTATAATGAACTACCATCAGATTAGCAAGAGCTAAAAAAATCTAACAATAGAAGCGTTCAGCCGGTCATAGTGGCTCATGCCTGTAATCCCAGTACTTTGGGAGGCCAAGGTGGGTGGATCACCTGAGGTCAGGAGTTTGAAACCAACCTGGTCAACTTGGCGAAACCCCATCTCTACTAAAAATACAAAACTTAGCCACGTGTGATGGTGTGCACCTGTAAGCCCAGCTACTTGGGAGGCTGAGGCAGGAGAATTGCTTGAACCTGGGAGGTGGAGGTTGCAATGAGCTGAGATCATGCCACTGCACGCCAGCCTGGGCAACAGAGAGAGACTCTGTCTCAAGAAAAAAAAAAAAAAGAAGTGTCAGGACAAACGTGGAGAGGTCAGAAATCTCACACACACAATTGGTAGTGATATAAATTGGTATTACGTTGCAGAACAATTTGGCTTTATCTATTAAGTTGTTGCTAAGCGTACTTTTAACCCCCCAAATCTCACTCCTGTATATAGTCCCTAGAAGACCTTTTAGACTAAATCTCAGAGACATGGACAAGAATGTCCCCCGTAGCATTATTTGTAACAGCAGAACACTGGAAGCAATCTGAAAGCCCCTTGACAAATAATGCACAAATGCACGTGCTACATGCACGCACAGAAGGCTAAACTGCAGGCAAAATGAGGCTTTTTGGATCACAGTGACATAGAGAAATGCAAAACTGTTATGTTGCACAAAAATATCAAGTTATAGAGCAGGGGTTGGCCAGTATGGCTAGCAGGACAAATCCAGGTGCCTCTGGGTTTTGTATATGGTCTACATCTTTTTTTTTTTACATGTTAAATTATTAAGTTTTTAAAAATTATTTATCCTTTTAAAAAGTGTTCTCTTTCTTTCTTTTCTTTCTTTCTCTTTTAAAAAGTATTATCTCTCTCTCTCCCCCTCTCCCTCTCTCTCTCTCTTTCTTTCAAGACAGGG
This sequence comes from Homo sapiens, assembly GCF_000001405.40. Classification (NCBI taxonomy): domain Eukaryota; kingdom Metazoa; phylum Chordata; class Mammalia; order Primates; family Hominidae; genus Homo; species Homo sapiens. The sequence goes on along the minus strand of NC_000006.12, from coordinate 150,982,084 downwards.
TTTCACCATGTTGTCCATAGTAGCTTACCAAGTAGCTAGGTGTGATCATAGCTTGCTGCAGCCTTAAACTTTTGGACTCAAGTGATCTTCCCACCTCAGCCTCCCGAGTAGCTGGAACTACAGGCATGTGCCACCAAACCTGGCTAATTAAAAATTTTTTTTATAGAGATGGGATCTTGCTATGTTGCCCAGTCTGGTCTTGAACCCCTGGGCTCAAGCAATCCTCCCACCTTGGCCTCCAAAAGCAGTGGAATTACAGGCATGAGCCACTGTGCCTGGCCACCTTTTAAAATGTTGCCAACAATATCAGAAGAGTATTATTACACGTGAAAATTATATGAAATTCAAATGTTAGGAACCAATAATAACATCTGTTGGAACACAGCCAGACTCATTCCTAAACATGGACTAGTTTATGAATTCATGCTTTACCTATGGCTGCTTTCTAAATTGAGTACTTGGGACAGAGACTCTGTGACCCAAACTATTTATGATCTTGCCATTTACAGAAAAAGTGCAGTGACCTCATTAGAGAACAATGCAGTCAGTTAATATCTATTAATATATAAAATTTGAAAACACATAAAAAATACCAAGAAAAGCCGCACATCTGTGATTCTAATGTGCAATGAGGTGCCGTGAGGCATTGCAGCAAACTCAGAGGCACCGTGGGGTATTTTAAATTTTTGACGGAAACGCGGTAATACAGGACATCCGTTGGACACTGCAAATACTACTCATGTGAGGTTTTTCACTGCTTCAACAATAGTGCTCTACATCCCTTTCCATGACATCATATATTTGCAAAGCAAAGTTTTTGGCAGGTACCGCAGCAAAATGCAAAAATCGTGTGAAAATCAACGTGGAACAGGAAATGAGGTGCGGGTGTCAACTGGTTACAAAGGGTCAGAAGTTGTCTGGTGCCTGACAAGGACACACATCTCATTCATAACATATGGTGGTAATTTAAAAATGAAATGATGTTATTTTTTCCTTCGAATTCATATGTATTTTTTTTTCAGGTGGCCACTTAGTTGTAAGGACATAAATACTCATTAAGTTGTTTGGACCTATTTAATAAATGGACATGTTAGGTATTTCTCTTGCCCGGGCGGTACCATGAAAAAAATTGCTGGGCCATTAATGGTCACGAGCAGAGAAAGTCTGAGAACCTCCGCTACAGATCTCTAGTGTACATATATGTGTGTGGTCAAAGTAGAAACACACACCCGGAAACGATAATCACTCAAATCAGGAGAGAAGCAGAAAAAAGAACGGGATCAGGAGGGTCCACGGGAACTTCAACTGTGTCTCTAATATCTGATTTCTTCTCTTCTCTCTTTTCTTTTCTTTCTTTCTTTTTTTTTTTTTTTTAGAGACAGGGTCTCACTCTGTTGCCCAGGAGAATTAAACTGCTGGGCATAATTGATCCTCCTGCCTCAGACTCCCAAGTAGCTAGGACTATAGGCATGCGCCACCATGCCCAGCTAAACGTATCTCTTTAAAAAAACAAAAAAACTAAAGGACACACAGCGACATGTTAAGATTTTGATGAAACAGAGTGGTGGGAACATGGGTGTTTGTAACATTACTTTGCATACTTTCCTGTTTAGTGTATATGAAGAACATTTTGCTTTTTCATTTGTTTTCAAAGGACAGAGGAGCAGCTTGAAAGAGGGCTACTTTACACAAAAGCGTGGAAAGAGAAAGGGGAGGTAGGACAAGGGCCGAACAGACAGCGAGGGGACGAATGAGCTTCGGCACCAAGCCACACAGGAGAAATGAGAGCTCTGGAGATGACACAAAACAACCCTCCCTTAGAGTTAAGCCTTCCTGAAGACAGGGGCTGAAAAACACGACCTGTGATTAGCAGTTTCCTGAGTTCGCACATGACCTTCAGCCAGAGTCTCTAATAAGCCAGCACTTCTCAACCTTGATTTAATTATGAATAAATTTACTAAAGACAAAAAACCTGGAAGCATCATAATAACAAAAGTGGAGCCCAGGCTGAGATCAGTGTTTTTAAATAATGTAAACAGGGCAAGGTCTGGGAGAATTACAGCTTAGAGCTGCAGGATCACTTGACGTCAGATTTTTTTTTTTTTTTAAAGGTGGATGAAATCATGAGAATGTTTAGTTTGGTCTGGTTTTCTTCTACCAAAATGATGGAATATTTAGAATTTCAGGGCAATAAAAGTGGAAAGAGAGAACAAGCCACTAGCTGGGTATAGCCACCAGCAGAGTCCTCTGAAGGCCAAGAAGACTGATTATAAAACTGTCCCCTAGGCTGGGTGCAGTGGTGCACAGCTATAATCTCTACACTTTGGGAGGCAGGGGTGAGTGGATCGCCTGAGGTCAGGAATTTGAGACTAGCCTGGCTAACATGGAGAAACTCCATCTCTACTAAAAATACAAAACTAGCCGGGCATGGTGGTGCGTGCCTGTAATCCCAGCTACTTGGGAGGCTAAGGCAGTAGAATCGCTTGAACCCGGGAGGCGGAGGTTGCAGTGAGCCAAGATCGTGCCACTGAACTCAAGCCTAGGAGACAGAGTGAGACTCCGTCTCAAAAAAGGAAAATAAAAAAATTAAAAAACTGTCCCCCAAAAATACAGGTTGAGAGGTAGAGCAAGGAAACAGTGGGACTCGATAAGGTCATCTTCAATCAGTAACCTACTTGGGAGGAAGAAATGTTAAAGTAGAACACAGAAAAGAAAAAAAGGACCAAAAAGGACCACCACTGTTGGCGCACATTACGATATATTGGTACAATATAGTTATATTGGTACTTCCTGTAACTGTGACCATCTGCTGTAGACAGCTCACCCAAAATTCTTCTTATTTTTTTGAGACAGAGTTTTGCTCTTGTTGCCCAGGCTGGAGTGCGATGGCACAATCTCAGCTCACTGCAGCCTCTGCCTCCCAGGTTCAAGCGATTCTCCTGCCTCACCCTCCCAAGTAGCTGGGATTACAGGGCCCACAACCACGCTCGGCTAATTTTGTATTTTCAGCAGAGACAGGGTTTCACCATGTTGGTCAGGCTAGTCTCGAACTCCTGACCTCAAGTGATCCACCCACCTCGGCCTCCCAAAGTGCTAGGATTACAGGAGTGAGCCACTGCGCCCAGCTAAAATTATTTTTTAATGGGAGAGGGTGGCAACCAGGTAAAGAGCATTGAGAAAAACACTGAGCACAATAGCCGCCTGATCACCCACAAGCTTTGGCGAGGAGGAGCCCTCAGGTCACGTCCTCTGTCACTTACTCTCTGATTGATCGTGGACATGTATCATCATCTTGCTAAGCTTCTGTTACATCATCTGTAAGATGAGGATAGTAACACTGATCCCACAGACGGTTTTAAGGATTGAGTGAGAAGGTATATGATAGTCTCAGCACCGGTCTAATGCTCAGGAATGGCTCAGAAACGGGGGCGTTTTTAATGAAAATATTAACAAGGCTTTGTTTCCCAATCCCATTCAATTTGTCTTGGAACTGCTAAGTCGATTCATTCTGATTTCTAAATCCTAATCCTGAAATGTCTGAGGCAAAGATCACCCTGTGTTTTAATTGGGCACTTGTCTCATATTTCTCCTCTGCTGCATGAGTGTTTATGCTCATGTACCCAGGAAGCACCTGGGGAACACAGCCAGGTCTGTGTGATTCTCTACAGAGAGCAAGCAGCAGAGTTGCAATCAATTAGGTAGCTTCTTGACAAGCACCTCTGGATAAGGATAATAAATGCCAAATGTGTATGGGACATCGAAAGCTACCGTCAAAAGTAGAGCTAGGCTTTGAGATATGCACCAACAGTTCTTTCTCTCTCTTATGTCATGGTCCCCTGTGAGAATCCAAGAATTGTGTAATTTTCTCCAGGTTAAAAAAAAAAGGTGGCCAGGTGCGGCAGCTCACACCTGTAATCCTAGCACTTTGGGAGGCCGAGGCGGGTGGAACACCTGAGGTCAGTTCGAGACCAGCCTGGCTAACATGGTGAAACCAGGTCTCTACTGAAAATACAAAAATTAGCCGAGTGTGGTGGCATGCGCCTGTAATCCAAGCTACTCAAGAGGCTGAGGTAGGAGAATCGCTTGAACCTGGGAGGTGGAGGTCACCGTGAGCTGAGGTCACGCCACTGCACTCCAGCCTGGAAGACAGAGTGGGACTCCATCTCAAAAAAAAAAAAAAAAGGTGTATATATATATGTCTCCATATGCACGAACCTATATTTAATTATGGGACAGAGTTGTAGATCGAAGTCTATCCAGGAGTCCACCAGTGGCTGGTGACCCTCAGTTAATGACACCTGCCTATAAGGATACACAATTGCATTCTGCACTCCTCTGCAAAGACAAGATCTTTATCTGAAAACTGGAATCAAAACCAACTGAGAGAGCAGAAAACAAATTAAAAAATCCTAAGTTAATGGGTAAGTTTGAAATTCCTACAAATAGTTTAAAGATGAGATAATAATGTTTTTAAAATCCAGGAACTCAATACTGCTTTTTCCTTTCTTTCTTTCCTTTTGCTTTATTTTTTAAATGTAATACATGATTAGAATTCGATGCCAAATATCTGTTTGCCTTTACAGCATGTAAATGGAAGTTAGGTGAACTCCCATGAGGACTGCTGACTAACGGAAGAAACAGCCACAACAGTGATCACAGCAGTTTTTGAAAAATTCTCATAAAGTGTTTTGCAAATTCATGCTTTTTTAAAATAAATGTCACTCTGTTTTAAGTCTAAATGGACTACTGATTCTATTATCTTAGACTAATTATTCAGAATAGACAAAATAATTCCTTCCTTGTGTATGCTTTTTGTTAGAACAAAAATTAGACTAAATCAGCAAAACCAGTAATATGGAGACAGTTCTATCTAAGAGATGCCCATCATCCCTTGAAATTCTTAGTTAAGAACCTTAACTAATATAGTACTTAATCAAGTGCATTGTACTTACCATTGAAGTTCTTGTCTCTCACAGCACATCATCAATTACTGGAGGGCAAGAAACCTGTCTTATTCATATTTGATTCCCAGCTCCTAGCAGATAGTACTTGACATATAGCAGAAGCTTAATAAATGCTCATTAAAGGGGTACTGAAGTCAATTATTTCAAAGGACTTAAATATATTTTTGACTACTTCTTTTCCAGAGTATACATAGAAGTGAAATTGCTAAATCATTTGTTCATTTTCAGTTCTACCTAGAAATTCCACCAAATTGCTCATTTGCTGCGAATCACCTTTTCAAATTCTCTATTTTTGTATTGGATTATTTGTCTTTCTCTTATCAGTCTTTAGTCTTTAGTGTTTTACATATTCTCAATGCTAATCATTGTCTACTATCTTTGCAAACGTTTCTTTCCAATCTGTCACTTGTTTTTTATCCTTGTATCTTTTATCACATACAGTTTACTTCTTAATGCAGGCCAAATTATCGACATTTTTCTCTATGGTTTGAGCTTTTCATATTTTAAGAGATCCTTCCCTATTATGAGGTCATAAAGATAGTCTACTATAAACGACAACTTTTTGAAGAACATGAATTCCTGCTCAGACTTCAGATACACCTCAGATGTGCCTACTCTATTTAACTTCTGTAGAAGGATGTTGAAATGAACGTCTTTTTGTCTCACTTTTGTTTCGGGCCTCAAATTGGTGTCAATTTGCTCACATGCCAAAGGATGGTGCTGGCTGACCTGGGAGGGTTTGCAAAGCAGTTTGAAATAGATTTTGTATGCCTTAGCCCATTGAGGCTTCAAAAGGGTTGACGGGTTAGAACCTGGGAAAGAATTTCTTCAAAGAAAGTTATCAGTGTGCCACATCCAGCTCCCCTCCCAGCTCCCAGTGAAGAGCATGCGAAGCTGCTTCCCCCTTATTTTTATTTTTTGAGACAGAGTCTGTCTCTGTTGCCTAGGCTGGAGTGCAATGGTGTGATCTCAGCTCACTGCAACCTCTGCCTCCTGGGGTTCAAGCGATTCTCCTGCCTCAGCCTCCTGAGTAGCTGATATTACATCATGCGCCACCAAGCCCCGCTAAATTTTTTTGTATTTTTAGTAGAGACGGGGTTTCACCATGTTGGCCAGGCTGGTTTTGAACACCTGACCTCAGGTGATCCACCCGCCTTGGCGTCCCCGCTTCCCCCTTAAGCCACAAGTGAGGACCAGAAGACCAGTTGGCAAGGCTCAGGGCGTGTCCCCAGCCAGAGGTCAGAGGTCTGTGGTACCCGAGACCAGGTGTGGAATCAGAGGTAGGAAAGTCTAAATGAGGTACTGCTCAGGGGGCTTCTGCCAAAAGTGTGAGGACGTCTGCTGGTAGAGGCTACATGGGCACCATTTCATGCCAAAGCTTCAACCTAGGAGGGGCCAGGGCGAGCCCAAGTGCAAGACAAGGGTGGCAGAGAAGCAAGCAGCCACCTTCCCCTTCCCACTGTCAGCCAGAGGAGGCCCAGACAGGGGAGGAGAGGAGCTCAAGTCTGAGTGACATTTGGAGTTTTTGGTTTTGATATACAACTGGATATGCATTTTTAATTTTAGGGGCTATTCTTATGATTGAAAGTGACCAGAGGAATTAAAAAATATATGTGTTAGAGGGACTAGATATTAACTGAGAATGAGAGGGAACTATTATAAACTTCATCCAAGGGCAAGGAATGAACGAGCCCCACAGTGCAGGCTTGACCAAGCAATGGGCAAGGAACACTGTCTCCTGACCACACCCCGTTCCCACTGTGCAATACACTGGCTTTGCCACCAGCATTCCAACAGAGCCACAGCATGGACACACCACCTTCGGGAGAGTTCAACATTACAGGGCTAGAGTTCCGTGGTACGTATTTGTGAATATAAGTCATTGCCATCACATATTTAGACATCATAGAGCACGATTTTTAGACATTAAAATATATTTGTACATCTATGTTCATAGCAGCATTATTCATAAGAGCCAAAGGTGGAAACAAGTCAAATGTCCAATGTAGGATGAGTGGATAAACAAAGTATGGTCTATCCATACGATGGAATATTATTCCGCCTTAAAAAGGAAGAGAATTCTAGCCGGGTGTGGTGGCTCACACCTGTAATCCCAGCACTTTGGGAGGCTGATATGGGTGGATCACCTGAGGTCAGGAGTTTGAGACCAGACTGACCAACATGGAGAAACCCCATCTCTACTAAAAAATACAAAAATTAGCTGGGCGTGGTGGTGCATGTTTGTAATCCCAGCTACTCGGGAGGCTGAGGTAGGAGGATCGCTTGAACCTGGGAGGCGGAGGTTGCAGTGAGCTGAGATTGTGCCATTGCGCTCCAGCCTGGGCAACAAGAGCGAAACTCCATCTCACAAAAAATAAAAAAAAAAAAAAAAAAAAGGAAGAGAATTCTGACGCCTGCTGCAACATGGATGAACCTTGAGGACATTATGCTAAGTGAAATAAGTCAGTCACAGAAGGACAAATACTACATGATTCCACTCACATGGGGTATCCAGGAGTCAACTTCATTGAGACAGAAAGTAGAAGGGCACTGCCAGGGGCTGGAGAATGAGGAATATTTAATGGGCATGGGACTTCGGTTCTGCAGCTTGGTTGCACAACAATGAAGGTGTACTTCACTAATGAACGTACACTCAAAAATGGTGAAGATGGTAACTTTCATGTTACGTGTATTTTATAACAACTATAAATAAAATCATCCAAAAAATAAAAAGATCCAAAGAAAAAAGAAAATGTAACCTTCATCAGTAGTGTATCAATAGTGGGGGTAACAATGACAGCCAGGAGTGGCCAAGAAGGATTGAGTCTTACCATGTGTCAGGTGCCAGGACTCAACCCCATGATCTCATTGATGCCTCATTTCAAACCTACCAAGTCCTTTCGAGAGGGAAGCCCTATCCAAAGCCCTATTTTACAGGTAGGGAAACCAAGGAAGAGAAGGGTTCATGTGCCCAAGGTTATCTGTGACTTGAAAGCAGTTGAGGTAAAACCTCTGACTTAGGGCTTGCCCTTTGAACCATCTGGCAACGGACAGATTTCATCCTCATGAAAAACCCCCCCACTTACGGCATCTTAGACTAGATGAGATCATAGAAAGAATTAGTATAATTGCTGACCTGAACATAGTTCATATTTTACAAAGCAGTTTCTCACTTGATCCTATTCATTAAAATACAGAAGTATTCTTTTTATTAAATAAAAAATTGAGCCCTAGAGAAATGAAAACACACTACCAGTCAGGGCTCCAATTCCACAGTGTCTAACTCTGAGTCCACGGCTACACATCCACATCCAACTCCTCATCTGGTCCAACTTCTCATTTTTCAGATGAGAATGTCTACAGGGGACACACCCAGAGAGGCTAATGGCTTGTTCAAGGTCACACAGAGGGCTCGTTTGCTTTGCATACATCATCAGTTTATATCTTTGAAAGTATTCTGCCATGATAACATGTATTTTATAAATATGTGTTTGACAAAGTAAGAACTGGTATGGGCAGAGATCTCTGTCAGCATAAAATAGAGTGCTTCCTTCTAGAAGCTACTTTATTTGCAGAGCTGATGCATCAGAACCACCACTTCACTTAAGCACCCAACTTTCCAGTGCCCGCCCTGACCCAGCCTCCTCGTCCATTAGCTCTACAATTAGGCAGCGATCAATTGAGCAAATCCACTTAGACAGTATGTCTAGCCACTCTTGCAGTGGATTTGCTACCGAAGGAGCAAAGTACATGAGAGCTGCAGAAAACAGATCATGGAGGAGTGGAGCTCCACCAAGCCTCATCTGATCCTGACTGCCAGTCCACAAGGAATTCTTAAAAGAGTCTCAATAACACTGAATGAACTTTGTGATGTCTGAGCATAAAATGCAGTGCCAAGTTCTTTTGTCCAGCACACTCTCTTCTAATAAAATAACTCTTTTGAGTTTGATCCAAAGCTGATGATAAGAGTGAAAGAAGAGATTGCTGTCTCCGATTATAGGTATACGTGTGGTTAATGGGAATTACCTGTTAGCATGGGAAATCTGCCAATGCAGTCCCTCATATGTCAGATTAAGGGACTCCTCCATGAATGCCTGTGTTTTGGTTTTGTCTTTTGTTTCCTTGCTGCCTTAGTATTGTGGGTGAGACTGGGGCTGGCACTGACTTAGTAAACTCTATGAGAGTTGCCCCTTCTTTCTAGCTGGAATATGCAAGAAAAGCCAAAGAGGAACAGGTTCTGCAAAGAACTTGACAGCAGCAAAAGGTGTGCAGTACTACCAATTAACATTTCTAAGTCTACTGGTTGGGAATCTCTCCTATATTAGCTCACAAAAAACAAGGAGAAACTGTACATGGAAATAAACCCACGACTTCAAGTTATCAGTACTACATAGTAAGGGTAGTAATGGCTGACAGTCAATGAGCACTTTCTCTTATTCAATTACCATTAGACAGTACGCTCCACAGGAGCAGGGGCTAAGGCTGGTTGTTTTAATTTTAATTTTTTCACAGAGGCAGGGTCTTCTATGCTGCCCAGGCTGGACACAAACTCCTGGGCTCGAGCAATCCTCCTGCCTCGGCTTCCTGAGTAGCGAGGCATGTGCCACTGCGCCTATCTGTTTTGCTTACCACTGGATCCCTAGCTAACATGCCTTCTAAGTGGTAGGTTCTCAAAAAACATTTGCTGAATGACTAAAATATCTCATTCAGTTTTCATAACAACCCTAAAAGGTTTGATACAGTATTGTTATCACTATTTTACACACAAGAAAACCGAAGCTCAGTAGTAATTAAAATGTGTCCAATGTCACTCAGTTTGCAAGAGTCAGAGTTTATACTCAAACCCATATGTACTTGATACCAGACTCTATGATTCAAGCACAAGCATAATTTCACGAGTATAGACCAGACCTTAGGGCTTTTCCATTATTGAGACCCTCTATGAAAGAGGGTGCCTGAAAGAATATGTTTCATGTCAGGATGGATATCACTCCATTCCAGTCATCAGCTTTTAGATTTCTTCAATATTCTACAACAACTAAATTTAAAAGAAATAACTTACCTACAAATCCTTCTTCACCAACCAGTTTCAGGGCAATTTTATCAGCCAACACTGAAGAGTTGCCGTGAGCAATGTTAGCAAAAGGGCCCGCATGCACGAACACAGGTGTCCCCTAGAGAAGTGAAAAAGCAAATCAAAATCCCAAAAGACAAACAGAAGCATGGAAACCAAGATCAATTTGGGGCAAATGGGGTAGGAAAGCTTTTATGAATACTGCATATTTAATGCATAAAATATTTCAAAGACAGTCAAAACACCCTGACTCAATCAAAGGACCAAATTCCCTCCGGATTCTAGAAAAATGTTATTCTACATTTAATGCTGAACCTGAGAGACAAAACTGTGAGAATACAGTCACTTCCTTCCAAAATATTGTTAAACCATTTTGTTAGTTGCCTCAATGACCATGAAATAAATTATTTACCTTATTTTATGTTGCCATGCACTATATTTTTTTAAAAGAATGAAATTAAACCCTGATGGTATAAAAGGTATATTTATTTTTTTAATTAAGAAATGATTCCATTCAAGAAAAGGTAACCATAAAAATCATTACAATTGGCTGGGCACAGTGACTCACGCCTGTAATCCCCGTACTTTGGGAGGCCAAGATGGGCGGATCGCCTGAGGTCAGGAGTTCAAGACTGGCCTGGCCAACAGTGAAACCCGTCTCTACTAAAAATACAAAATTTAGCAGGGTGTGGTGGTGTGCTCCTGTAAACCCAGCTCAGCTACTCGGGAGGCTGAAGCACAAGAACAGCTTGAACCTGGGAGGTGGAGGTTGCAGTGAGCTGAGATCGCACCACTGCACTCCAGTGTGGGTGACAGACCGACTCTGACTCAAAAATGAAAAAAATAATAAATAAAAATAAATAAATAAAACCTAGGGACACATGTTTATGAATACACAGGTGGTGTCTAACTGGAATTTTGTATTATTTGGTCAACTTCTCCATCCCCCACTGCCTCTGATAACCACTATTCTACTCTTTACTTTGCAAAAGCACTTTATATTTTTGTATAAATGTAGCTTTAGCTAGAAATCACAGAATCAGATAATGTTGAGAGCACGAAGCAGCCAACTTCTTTATCCAGAAATTTAAGGCCCAGAGAGGCTAAGGGAATTCTTCAGGGCCACGGAGGAAATTAATAATTAAGTCAAGATTAGGGCTCTGGTTTTAAAACTCCCAGTATGGAGTTGGTGAGAAAAAAATATTGGAATGTCATTGTTAGACTTCCAAACACAGGTACACACACACTTGCACACTCAAACATGGATATAGCTATAAGATACAGTACATCAAATTAAACATGTTGCTTAAAAAATTCTATGACTAACTCAAAGGCATACACACATTTATCTTGAGTTCTGGGTTTTATTTTACATGCAGAACACTCAGGAAAATAAGGCAGGAACTATCTTGCTATGAATATTCTCCATAATGGCCCTTTCAAACATTTCATAAGATTAATATTTCAAGTAATTTCAAGTAATTGTTAGCTTACCAGAGTTCTAAGCACTTAAATATGAACAGTAAAATATAAACAAATAAATGCATAAATGGAAATGTGGCTAAAATGACTGAAGAACTGAATTCCAAATTTTATTGAAGTTTAGGTAATTTAGATTGAAATGGCCACATGTCCAGTGGCCGCCATATTGGACAGTGTGCTCTCGCATGTGAAGTTTCCATCAACACCACACACGGCTAACCTGTGGGAAAATGTTAACAGCTCTCACTGTTTTCTTGTCTTAAGTCTTCCTCAGTCTGGCAATACATGATACCCAAGCCTTATCCTCAGACATTACGTTCACTGGGTCTGATGGGGAGCCCGGCATCAATCAATCAATATTCTTAAACCTTCCCAGGAGCTTCTCAAGTGCAGTCAGGATTAAGAACTACTGGTCTCCTGGCAACCTGTAAGGATGTGGCCCTTGATGACCTCCTACCAGACTAACAACCAGGTGTGTTCAGATGTGAGCGGGAAAGCATAATCTACCAACTAGTCAAACTAGATTTTTGGATTATCTGCTGAGATAGATTCCTAGTCAATGATTAGATACATAAAACCCAGAGTGACAACATAGGATCAGGGTACAAGAGTTCACGTCTGCAAATATTTTAAGTGAATGCAGTGTTTTATTTTGTAAAAAGGTCCATATCTTTTAAAGTAATCTTAAAACAGCCTATGCCTTAAATGAAATCGATGACACGGAACATCCTGAAGATGGTATCTTCATTTGCCAAGTGACAGATGCAGAAACAAAACCCAAGTCCATATAATCATCTGGTGGAAGTGGTTTCTCTATGGAAAGCTTTGTTTGCTTCCTACAAATGCATGCTTATCCTTTAAGGGATGTATTATAGTTACTGTGGATTTCTCTGTTTTCCGACTTACAAGAAACTTGTCTATGTACCTTCATACTTTGTTTAGGTTGAGGAGTTCTTGTGTCCTTGTAAAGTAGTCTGAAGAATTCCCCCTTCTTTCCCTAGCAAGCCCAGTCCTGTATATGAACAGTTTGAGGACTCTTTTTTTTTTTTTTTGAGGCAGGGTCTCAGTCTATTTTATGTCTCAATCTGTCGCCCAGGCTGGAGTGCAGTGGCATGATCTCTGCTCACTGCAACCTCCACCTCCCCGGTTCAAGCTATTCTCCTGCCTCAGCCTCAGCAGGTCTTATTGCCCTTACTTTTATTTGCTTTTTAAGGGTTCTGAATCTCTGATTTATTAGGCAGCAAAGAAATAACAGGTTTAGATTATGTTTTAAAAAGTGCTCAGGCCGGGCACGGTGGCTCACACCTATAATCCCAGTACTTTGAGAGGCAGAGGCAGACGGATCACCTGAGGTCAGGAGTTTGAGACTGGCCTGGCCAACATGGTGAAACCCTGCCTCTACTAAAAATACAAAAATTTGCTGGGCGTGGTGGCCCACGCCTGTAATCCCAGCACTTTGGGAGGCCGAGGTGGGTGGATCATGAGGTCAGGAGTTCGAGACCAGCCTGGCCAACATGGTAAAACCCTGTCTCTACTAAAAATACAAAAATTAGCCAGGCATGGTAGCGGGCGCCTGTAATCCCAGATGCTCAGGAGGCTGAGGCAGGAGAATCGCTTGAAACCGGAAGGCAGAGGTTGCAGTGAGCCAAGATCACACCATTGCACTCCAGCCTGGGCAACAAGAGCAAAACTCCGTTTCAAAAAAAAAAAAAAAAAAAGAATTATTTAAAACAAGAAAATGATTATCCTGGCTGGGGCATGGTGGCTCACGCCTGTAATTCCAGCACTTTGGGGGCTCAGGCGGGCAGATCACCTGAGGTCAGGAGTTTGAGACCAGCCTGGCCAACGTGGTGAAACCCCATCTCTACTTAAAAAAAAAATACAAAAATTAGCCGGGTGTGGTGGCAGGCGCCTATAATCCCAGCTACCTGGGAGGCTGAGGCAAGAGAATCGCTTGAACCTGGGAGGCAGAGGTTGCAGTGAGCCGAGATCCCACCATTGCACTCCAGGCTGGGCGACAGGGAGAGACTCCGTCTCAAAAAAACAAAACAAAACAAAACAAAACAAACAACAACAATAAAGAAAATGATTATCCCTAATAATAAGTATTCATCTTTGAGGGAGAAGTGTTATGAAGGAATATCACATCACTTCGTATTTTTTCTCTTATTCAGTTATTTATTAATAAATGTGTATTTTTAGGAGAATGTAGTAAAAATAATAAACATTCACTTAATTATTCAACAAGTCTTTACTGAACCTCTAATAGGTGTCGGGCACTTTCTAGAAGCTGGAGATACGGTGGTGAACAGGATGGAAAAGGTCTTGCTGTCATCTCGGTGGGAGGAGAAATACAGAAAACAGATAAGGAAATAGGAAGCTCTCAGCATTCTGTGCCATGTACTGCAATGACAGCAGAGGGACGGGGGCTGCACATTCCTGTGGCTTCTCTGAGCAGCTGATGCTTACATGACATGAGAACAGAGGGAGGCGAAGGAGCTGGACATGAGAATATCAGGAAGTGGCCCAGGTAGTGGTGTTAGCCGTGCAAAGGTCCCCCAGAGGATGAGAGATGAGGATAAGGGACAAGGAGCGGGAAGGGGTGAGAGCCAGATCCCTAGGGCTTTTCAGACCGGGGTGGAAACATGGGTAAATCATGGAAGAACTCTAAGTAGGAAGGCAACAGGGCTTCATTAGGTTTCAGTCTCTATGGCTGCTGAGGAGAGAGTATTTTGGAAGAAAAGAGTAGCAGCAGAGAGACTGGTTGGGAGGCTGCTGCACTCGTGCAGGTGGGGCGTGCTGGCAGCTAAAGCAGGAAGGAGGGAGGCATTGAGCATCGTGGACAGGGCAGAGTCATGTAACCAAGGACAACTCTGCAGGGATGGACACAGGAAGAGGGGAAGGGAAAACAGGCCTCTAGGATCATCCTCGGGTTTCTGCCTTGAATGACTGGGAAGGTTTCAGGGAAGCAGCGAGCTGGAAGGAAGTAGGTAGGAGGTGGGTCCTGGTTTATGTATCAGTTTGAAATGGCTTTTCCCCACCCACGTGGCTCCTGGTAACTATACCTGCAAGTCTGAAATTCCAGGTGCATGATATTCCAAACAAGAGTTTGGGAGTCATCACCTGGCTAATTCTGGAGGAGAACGGGGCAAAAAAGGTGAGGGGTCATCAGAGAAGCCAGCAAAGCGGAGGAGGAGCAGCGAGCAGGCCTGGGGAGGGGGGGACCCCAGACGCCAGAGGAACCAGGTGCTCCTGAAGGAAGACAAGGGCAGCTGTGTCAAACTCTGCTGAGCTTCTCTGAGGAGGGCACAGCAACAAAGACTTGGTGTCTCCAAGGGAAAAGTGACCTGGACAAGGGCAGTCAGGAGAGGTGGAACCCGAGGTCAGTTAACATGGAGACCCCAGTGACAGACAAGAGCTGGGCAGAAGCTAGATGAGGATGCAGGTGGGGGCAGGAGGTTTTTGAAATGTTTTTGTTTGCTTTTTAAGATGGCCTACCTCTGAGGATACGTGCATGCTGGCAGAATGATCAGGGGAGAGGAAAGACGGGAAGGACAACCTGCCGCAGAAGGGTGTGGCCTTGGCACCTGTGCATCCTGCACCCCTCCCCCGGGGCTGCAGACACCTGTTCAAAGGCGTTCAGTCCTCCCTTCCTCAGCTCAGGGGACACCTGCAGTCTGCATCCTCACTGGGCACCTTCAGAAATGGTCCCCCCATTTTTTTCTATTCCCTTTTTTTAAAAGATAAGAGGCTCACTCTGTCGCCCAGGCTGGAGTGCAGTGGTGCAATCTCAGTTCACTGTAATCTTCGCCTCCTGTTCAAGTGATTCTCCTGCCTCAGCCTCCCAAGGAGCTGGGATTTCAGGCACGTGCCACCATGCCCAGCTAATTTATTTTGTATTTTTAGTAGACATGGGATTCACTATGTTGGCCAGGCTGGTCTCGAGGTTCCTGACCTCAAGGGATCTGCCCGCCTTGGCCTCCCAAAGTGCTGGGATTACAGGCTTGAGCCACCGTGCCTGGCCAATCCCCCCATTTCTGTCATATTGGTTCTGATATGGTTTGGCTCTGTGTCCCCACCCACATCTCATGTCGAATTATAACCTTCAATGTTGGAGGAGGGGCCTGGGGAGAGGTGACTGGATTCTGGGAGTGAATTTCCCCCTTGCTGTTCTCATGATTGTGAGTGAGTCCTCATGAGATCTAGTTGTTTAAAAGTGTGTAGCACTTCCTCCTTCGCCCTCTCTCTCCTGTTCTGCCATGTGAAGACTTGTCTGCTTCCCCTTCGCCTTCCACCATGATAAGTTTCCTGAGGCCTCCCCAGCCATGCTTCCTGTACAGCCTGCAGAACTGTGAGCCAATTAAACCAATTTTCTTCTTAAATTACCCAGTCTCAGGTAGTTCCTTACGGCAATGCGAGAACA
Organism: Homo sapiens; assembly: GCF_000001405.40. Lineage (NCBI taxonomy): Eukaryota > Metazoa > Chordata > Mammalia > Primates > Hominidae > Homo > Homo sapiens. The sequence continues at coordinate 150,966,141 of NC_000006.12, read as the reverse complement.
AACTAATACAGGTTCCTAACCAGATCCTCGCTCTTGCTGTCTGAAATTGCAAAACACCTTGCTGCCCAAGGCCCCTGCACTAAAGGTAACCCTCTGTCCAAATGTTCTTCAAGACACGTGCATGGCTCACCCCCTTGGTTTACTCAGCTCTGTGCTGGTACTGCTTTAACAGGCGGGCAGGCACAGACACACATACCCCACATCACTCTGCCCCTCATGACCTCTGATTTTTCTTCTCCAGACCTTACCACCAACTAACATGCTGTGTGTTTATTGACTTGCCTTTGGCAAATGCTTTCCTGGAAAGTCTTGGCATTTATTGTATTTTGCTTGGAAACAAACAAACAACAATAAAAAAGCAAACCAAAAAATCCACAACTCAATGATTATGAGAGATTAAGGGAACACAGAAAATAAATTGTAAACATGGCCATACAACCTATTGAAATGTTAGACATTGACTTTCTCTTTTTTTTTTTTTCAGACGGAGTCTCGCTCTGTCGCCCAGGCTGGAGTGCGGTGGTGCGATCTCAGCTCACTGCAACCTCTGCCTCCCGGGTTCAAGCGATTCTCCTGCCTCAGCCTCCCAAATAGCTGGGACTACAGGTGTGTGCCACAATGCCCGGCTAATTTTTTTGTATTTTTAGTAGAGATGGGGTTTCACCATATTGGTCAGGCCGGTCTTGAACTCCTGACCTCATAATCCGCCCACCTCGGCCTCACAAAGTGCTGGGATTACAGGCATGAGCCGCCGCGCCTGGCCTCAGACATTGACTTTCTAAGTTTCTACTCGGGTCAATTAAGCCAAGACATGACTTATATTAAAGAAGCTATGAATACACTTAAAAATTTTTTTTTTTGGTTGGCCAAGAAGTTATTCTGATGCTTCTTCATAAATTACCCAGTCTCAGGTAGTTCCTTGTAGCAATGTCAAAATGGACTAATACAGGTTCCTAACCAGATCCTCACTCTTTCTGCCTGAGATTGCAAAGCACACTGCTGCCCCAGGCATGCTCTATGCCTGCCTCATATTGGCTAAAAATGTTCACATTGTGTGGCAATCCAGTTAATGCAAACAATTACTATAAGAAGAAAACCACTTACTTCCAGGGTCTGCATCAGGTTTGGTTTTATTGCATCTTTCATCAAAACTGTCAAAGCACCTGTCACCCCCTACAGGAGAGAGAAAAACATTAGATTCCTGACAAAATATCATCCAGGCAATGGTTAACCCCTTGGCACTTCTCTCCAGCCTGCTTCTTGGGTGGGCGTCCCCACAGGCAACCCTGGGCCACAGGGGACAGTGCTGCTGTCTCTGTCCACCTCTCCCCACCAGAGCTGAGAACGGATGTCAGTCACACTAAGATGTGAATGGTGATGGGGTAATAGCATTTTGAAGGACATTTGACCTTCTTCCAAAACCTTCCTTGATGGTGTTTATGAGATTTTCCATAAAACAAATCTTTCATTGCAAGAAAATGTGTTTTCTGGCTATTTATGCACAGTGTATTTTCATAATCAGAGGCTTTACTCTTGCTCAAAGAAATAAGGTGAAGAACAGAAACAAGGCTCTGTACAGAGCAGGAATGAAGTAGGGTAAAGGGAAATGTCTAAAATCACCCACTCTGATTTCTCACCATCTCTACATCATTCATTCCACAGAGAGAGAATAACTCAACAAACTACCACGTTTAAAAGCTTTCTAGTTTAGATGTGAAAGGCTTCACGCTATCTCTCTTCCTACAGTCAAGCTGGTGCCACTTATACATGAAATAAGGCAGCTTCCTTCCAATCCTAGGAAGTACTGGGTTGAGTTCCTTCTAAGTCCTCTTTCTCTGTTCCTGGATGAAGAAAAGACAGAGAAGAGAGAGAATAGGGATGATGCATGAGAACTAGCGGAAAACATGTGCCAAAAAAAGGCCACAAGGCTAAAGTTTGTTATTATTTTTTAATGTGATGTCAATATTCACATTCTTTTCTTTCTTTTTTTGAGAACGGAATCTCTCTCTGTTGCCCAGGCTGGAGGCTCACTGCAACCTCTGCCTCCAGGGTTCAAGCGATTCTTCTGCCTCAGCCTCCCCAGTAGCTGGGACTACAGGCATGCACCACCACACACGGCTAATTTTTTTTGTATTTTTAGCAGAGATGGGGTTTCACCATATTGGCCAGGCTGGTCGCGAACTCCTGACTTCATGATCTGCCTGCCTCGGCCTCTCAAAGTGCTAGCATTACAGGCGTGAGCCACCGTGCCCGGCCTTTGTTTCTTTTTTTCCCAATTCCTTCTCACTTTGTAAAGACCTTAAGTGGTGTCTTGGTGTTTTCAACATATTAGTTATTGGAAGGCTATAACATAAGCAAATGCTTGTAACGGTAGCTCTAGGGGGGGAAAACAGGGCGCTATCCCTTGCTGTACATAGCATCGGAAAACAGTGCCATTTTACCACAGTATGCCATGGCGCTAACAGATGCAGTGGTAGAATCCAGAGAATCTTCCTCACTCTAAAGTGCGTTACATTCTCCCCGTACTTTTATCAACAACAGTAGTAAATGTTTCTCTCATGTGATTGGTTTCTATTTTTATAATATTTAATCATTTAAAAGGTGTAAGAAAATCCAATCTATTTTCTTCCTTAACTTCAAATTGACAGATAAAACTGTATGTATTTATTGTGTATAACATGATGTTTTGAAGTATATGCTGTGGAATGATTAAACCTAGTTAATTAACATATGCATTACCTCACAGTTATCATTTTGGTGGTGAGAATACTTTATAACCACTCTTAGCAATTTTCAGGAATACACTATTACTAACTATATTCCTACGTAACTGGAATCTACCTCAGTGTATAAAACACACATGATATGAATGCAACCCACTCATTATACATACACGAAGATGGTTCACTTTGAAAGCTGCAGGACAGGCTGGGCATGGTGGCACACACCTGTAATCCCAACACGTTGGGAGGCCAAGGCGGGTGGATCACCTGGGGTCAGGAGTTCGAGACCAGCCTGGCCAACATAGCAAAACCCCATCTCTACTAAAAATACAAAAATTAGCCAGGCATGGTGGCAGGTGCCTGTCATCCCAGCAACTCGAGAGGCTGAGGCAGGAGAATCACTTGAACCTGGGAGTTGGAGGTTGCAGTGAGCTTAGATTGCACCATTGCATTCCAGCCTGGGCAATAGAGCAAGACTCCATCTCAAAAAAAAAAAAAAAAAAAGAAAAGAAAAGAAAAAAGAAATCTTCAGGACAGGAAGGCTCAGTGAGAGTTGTCCTGTTGTGCTAATGCAGAGCAGGTGGAAGAAGAGGAGTAGTTTTCCTACTTCTCTGTACACTATCCTTGCTTACACTTCCCAACCAAATAAACTGATTCAAAACACTAAAGGAGGAAGGAAGTTAAGAGGGATGTTTCTGTTGGATGTCTCAGGTAGGCTTCTACCTGCTCATTTTTCTGGGACACATCTCAGCGCCTGTGCTGTCACGTGCAGGGCAAGCTCTGCCACCCTCTGTGTGCTGCTAGCATTCCACACTCTGTGTCCATGTGGGGAAGGCTCAGATGGATTCTTCCAGGGTATATCAGAATCATGCATGTGGCAGAAACCTTCAGCAGTTCCTAAAATCCTCCCTCAATTTTCTATGGGTGGCCAACTCTCAATAGCTCCCACTGGATGAAGCACAATTTAATAAATTAGTTACTTTTTGCAAACAAGAAACACAAAAGATAACTAAAAAGAGTTTATTAAAAAGATAAATAAAGAGTTTATTTAAAAAGGTAACTAAAAAGAGTAATCTTTGGGTTTGTTCCAGATCCAAGATTTTTATCATACACTCACACAAAAATACATTTAAGGGCTGGGTGTGGTGGCTCATGCCTGCAATCCCAGCACTTTGGGAGGTCGAGGTGGGCAGATCACCTGAGGAGTTCGAGACCAGCCTGGCCAAAATGGTGAAACCCCATCTCTACTAAAAATACAAAAATTAGCCGGGTGTGGCAGTGGGCACCCATAATCCCAGCTACTTGGGAGGCTGAGGCAGGAGAATCACTTGAATCTGGGAGGCAGAGGTTGCAGTGAGCCAAGATCACGGCATTGTACTCCAGCCTGGGCAACAAGAGCGAAACTCCATCTCAAAAACAAAATAAATAAATAAAAATAAATAAATAGATTTAAGGAAGCAGTATTTGAGGATTAAGTTTTAAAACTGTTCCTGACACATATTTATTGCCATACAAATTAATAAAATACAGAGCAATGTATTTAGACAGAAACTGTAGTATGTCAGTTTAGATAGAAATAGTGAGATTTTGGTAATTTTAATAAAGCAGCACTTTTATAGCAACCTGAGGGTTTTCTCTTCAATTTTTATACTAAGTATTCCATAGGCTGCGACATACGTTGATCTATTGAATTTACTTGACAAGACTTCTGAGATGAGTTAGATTCATTTCTTCAAAAGCAGCTGAAAAACAATCCGGACACTTTGAAAAAGAATTCAAATTATACCCTAAGCCCTTGAAATTAATAAAATATGACTTTGCCTCTCTCTGTTCACAACTGCTTACCAATCACCAGTGTGCATTTTAAGTTCCATTATTGTAGGAGATTCAGTATATGGGAAAGTAAACTTAAATTTGGAGTAATGGCTATCTTAGAGGCCTGTGTCCACACCCATGCACTTATATACAAAAATGCAAGCAAACAAAACACCTATGGAATATGTGGAGTTTAAGTTAACTGGAAAAGGCCAGGTGTGGTGGCTCATGCCTGTAATCCCAGCATTTTGGGAGGCCAAGTTGGGTGGATCACCTGAGGTCAGGAGTTCGAGACCAGCCTGGACAACCTGGTGAAACCCCATCTCTACTAAAAATACAAAAATTAACTGGGCGTGGTGGCGTGCGCCTGTAATCTCAGCTACTCAGGAGGCGGAGGCAGGAGAATCGCTTGAATCCGGGAGGCAGGGGCTGCAGTGAGCTGAGATCGTGCCATTGCACTCCAGCCTGGGCAACAGAGCCAGACTGTCTCAGAAAAAAAAAAAAAAAAAAAAAAGTTAACAGGAAAGGTTGTTATTATACCAGAAAGACGAAGAAGAAAAGAAGACTAGCATGCCAATTAGAAAAAGCACTAAAAAAGGAAATGGTGTTCCATGGAAGCTTTACAGAAAGCACCACAACTACTCAAAGGGGAACTAGAAAAGCAAGACTGATTGAGGCAGAGATTTGCTTTTATAATACAAAACCCAAATCTAAGGCCCCAAATTAAATAATAAGCCAGGCTGGTGCCAGAAATGTGCCAATTTTAACTTTATCTTCCTGTTCATGGAAGCAGAGCCACTTCCTTCTGTTCCTTGGAAAGGTGATTTGCCCTCAATTTCAGGCAGGCATAGAAGGTACATTTTTTAAAAGTCACCAAGTGACTGCAGGGGGGTGACTCCTCCCCAGCCCAGGCAGAAGCAGAGATCAGGATTGGCAAGGATGGTGGAAAGCTCCTGAAATAAATTTCACATGTTTTTGTTGCAGCCAGGCATAAGCACGTCATATATGACTATGAGAACATTAGGAAGCAGTTAGGCAAACATGCTTGTCGGGGAAGAAATGTGTGTGTGGAAACTTTTTCTGTATCCTCATTACACTCACTGATAAAAGGAAGAAAACCTTTCTTTTTCTGGTAACGAAGAACGAGGACCGTCCACTCCCTGAAGCTTCCGAGTTGGAAACACTCACCAAATCATCTGCTGTCACAGGCTGCCCGCTTTTGTCACTGGCCACCACCATCCTTCCCAGCCGTGCCTTCATGTCTGCGAGGCTGTCCGTCAGGGCCAGCACCGCCATGATCTCGCTGGCCACTGCGATGTCAAACTGCGCCTGAACCAGCCCAAACACAGGTAGTGGTCAGCGACAGTGCCAGTGGGATGGCCATTCCCACAAGGAGCTGGACTTCAGCCATGAAGCAACCACAGGCCCAGAGAGTCTACCCTCAAAAGGCCATGCATGCAATCCCATCAGTTTTCTGCGTGTCTGGACCATGCAGGGTTTGTGCCTGGTGCTCCCTAGGGTGGCCTCCCAGGCGGAATGTGCTCTTTGCCATGCTCTGCTCAGCAAAGGGTGGGCTGAGTTAGGACCCCTGTTACACCCGCTCACAGCACTACCACATGGTTTGCTGTTGTAGCATGTCTCAGACTTAATTGATTACTAATGTCATTATCAGTCTAGTGTGGTCATTATCAGTCTACCACTGGACCGTAAGTGCCATGACGGCAGGGACTATATTAGGCAGGTTCACTTCTGAATCCCCAGCACGGAGCATGAGACCCAGTAGGCATACAATATGCATCAGATGAATTAATGACTAGCCTACGGGCCACCTCCCTTGTTAGTAATAGGTCTGTCAAGAAGGCTGCATTGTCTGTCTGGCACAGAGATAAGGGGCAGTGAAAGATGCTGGCTTCCTGCATGTGAGGCTACTTTCCCAGAGCTGGATCTCAACACAGCAGGGAGGGCAACCCAGTCAACTGGTGGCACAGACTCAATTTTCAGCTGCCCAGGAGGATATGGCCACATCAGATCTTGAAGCTTTCAGTAGTGAAAGCTAGAGAGCACAGACTTTTTGCAAAAAGTTCTAGGACTTCCTATTCCCATCTCTTGGCTGTGGCTCCACGTTGTACGAAGTCCAACATGGAATAAAAGGGACACAGGAATGTGTACTTCCTCCTCCTCATAATTCAGCCACTAGGAATGTTTCTCTGGACAGAACCACTTCATTACGCCCCAGCTTAATTCTCTTCTTCCCAAGGGGAGTGTGAGCCAGACAAGTTCAAGCTTACGCAGAGAGAGAATGGCTGTGCCCTGGTGGGATCACCTTATGAGACATTTTATTATCCATTTCCATCACTGACAAGTAAGGAAAGGAAGGAAATAAGGAGCTTTCTGGCTACTTCCTGGTTGAGATTGCATTAGTCACTGATTTAGTGAAAAAATATTACCTGAAAGTCAAATACAACTATATTCAATTATTACATTCTCAATATAACTCATTCCAAACATAAGTGGTCTTTCATTGTATGAAATTTAGGGTTCTCTATACTACCATTCTATTATAAACAGTGCATATGAGAAAATGACTAAAAAATATGGAGATTTTCTGTACAAAACATGAGACTAGAAACATTCTTGAAATATTAGCTGTGTAAATAAGAATAATATATAATCGATATTCAAGCTCTTCATTTGTAATTGTTACAATTACAAAATTTCACATCTTGAGCATAAAAAAAATGAAACACACTGGGTCAATTAAAGTATCACTGTCATTCACTTTAATGACTAAATGACGTGCATAGCGGAAGGCTGCTCATTTCTGTTTTGCAAATAAAATATTTCAAAATCATATAAAGATGCCAATGAAAACGTTATTGTTCATCAGCTTATCACACATTTATTGATTTAGTATTTACCTTTTCATTTTTTTAGGTATATAGTAGGTGTATATATTTGTGGATTGCATGAACTATTCTGATACAGGTATGCAATGTGTAATAATCACGATAGGGCAAATGAGGGATTTAGCACACATTTAAACAAAGGCCAATATGGGATATTGGCAAGGATGTGAATTGGTATGAATTTCCTGGAAGTTAATGTCAAAACATATGTCAACATTGGAAATTTGTATCCTCTTGGACTCTGCAATCACACATCTGGAATAATATCCTAAGGATAGTATCAAGTATACACACAAATATATGTGTATACTTACTACAGCTTACTTGTGATAGCCTGAAACTGCAAACACTCTACATGTTCATTAACAGGGAAATGGCTGAATCTACTATGGTACCTCTATGAGATATGATGTGGTCATTAAAAATGAAGATACAGGTCTACCTTTATCGACATAAAAAGATGTCTTCACTACAGTCTTATGATAAATAAAAAGCAGTTAAAGCTCTTAAATACACTATAACCCCTTTTTACTTAAAAATATCTATGCACGAAGCAACACAAGATATAACCTTGGGCAAGTTTTTTTAACATAACATCCCAATTTCCTCATTTGCAAATCAGCTTTACAAATGAACTGTGCTAATATATGTAATGGAACTATCAATACAATGCACAGAGTAGGCACTGAAATCAAGGCCACTGTGAATCTTCCATCTCTCCAGTACCTAAACAGTAAAAAACTATGCAGAGAAAGGGCCTTTTCAATACTCGCTTTTATTACACAGGCAACTAATGCCAACAGTTGGCATACATCTTTCTACTTTTCATTCTAGGCACTTATATACACAAATAAGTTGTAAGTGCCTATAATGTAAGTAAACACGCTGGGTTTTTCTTAACATAAACAGGTTTACAATATCAGTATTTTACTTCAAAGTTTTAAAATGGTTTTTACAACCTTTCCAATGGTGTATGAGAGCTCTCTACTCATGTCAAGACACCCATACGCACATTTATTAATTTCAACTCTCCCATGGGACAAAATGGCGGACCAAATATATGCAACCATCTCTACTGTTGGACATTTGGATTGTTTCCAATTTTCACCGCTGCAAATAATGGCACAACAAATATCCTAATACACAGAATTTTTTCCTGTACGTTACACATTTTCTTGTTCTTTTCATTAAAATATTTTTAGTTCCAAAGTTGTAATTGTTGGGTCATTTCAAATTTTAGTAATAACAAACTCATCCAAAAAGGATTTCTACTCCCACTAACGCTGCATAAATGCCCCCATTTCATTGCATCCTCACTAGCATTTAGTACCTACTATTTTCACTTGACAAGCTCCTAGGTAAATGATACTCCATTGTTTCAATTTGCAGTTTTATGATTATTCATGAACATCTTTTTATGTTGGCATTTTAGTTCTGTATCCATAAATTGTCTTTTACTTATTCTACTCATTTGTTCAACAGATATTTACTGAACACTTACGACTATATGTAACAAAGTTCTGTTCTGAACATAGGGAACACAGCAGCAAATAAAAAGGGGAATAACCTCTGCTTTTATAAAGCTCCCACTTTAGCAGGAGAGGCTAAGAACATGAAAAGCAAGAATGCTTGTTAAGGATGGAAGTCCACCATATTTTGGGCTGTCCTTTTAATCATCAATCTAATTCCATCTTCCTATTTTTCAGAACTATCTAAAACTTCATGGCAATGATTCCAGTTTGCTAGCATGGATATTTGAAATCTGTTTGTGTGTGTGTGTGTAAGTTACAGGACTGGGAGGAGACGAGGTCCACGAACTTAAGTTTCTCTTCTTAATCCAATACCTACATTCACTTTTTAATTCAAGACACTTCAAAAGGTCACAAGTCTATTTGGCGTAAGGATTGGTTATTATAGTAAGGTGACTCTTTTTTCACTAATAAAAACTTAACATAAAGGACAGAAATCTAAAACTGTTCTTAAATGTACAGTTTATAATCAATTCAAAAGAAAAAAAAACACAACACAATTTAGAAGCCCACTGTGCCTGGATGAAAAATCATAGGAATTAATTTGTATTCCCTAAGTGCCATTGACGCACATCCAATATCTATTACAATGAAGTCAGACATAATTTTTCTTCTGCATTCTCTGTATTTTATTAATAAGCCATTTTTGTATTAATAAGCCATTATCCTTTAAAAAATCCTCATGCTATTAAGTCTAATAACTAGGTGTTTGTTCTTTGATATATGAAATTTGAGTAATGTGTCTGAGATTTTCATTTATCAGTTATGCAGATGTAGTATTACCTGGATGGTTCCCAATAAAATAAGTGAGAATTTATATTCAAAGAATACCCTGAGTGGCTCTTCCTGGAAACACAATTGGAAACATACATGAAAAAAAGAAAATGAAATAAACATACATAGAAAAGATGGTAAAAAGACACTGGAGCCTCTATGTCTTCTGATCCTCTCCCAGCCCTGCTGAGCACCCAAAACAGTGAGAGAACCACTGGCCACAACAGGTTGGGGATGAGACAAGAAAGGCAAAGAGTGAGCTCCCAGGCCAGTAGAAATGAACGTAAGAACAGAGCCACACCCGGGAAGAAAGCACCACCTACCTGCCGGTAATGGCCCTTCTCTGTGTTTCCCTGCCCGATGGTTATTTTTCGTAGAAATCGGTCATTTGTATCCAATACTGAAAGAGAACAGATTAGTCATTCAGTCGACAAATATGGACCAGCCACCTGGTGTGTGTCTGGCATTGTTCTGATGCTCAGGAAGTTGCAGAGGGTGAAAGAGAAAAGGTCAGGCTCCCCCAAGCTGACCATCTAGTGGGTAGACATAGAGAAAGAATCAAATAAACAACAAACAAACAAAAAAATCCACTAGAGGCCAAGCACAGTGGCTCACGCCTGTAATCCCAGCACTTTGGGAGGCTGAGGTGGGTGGATCGTTTGAGGTCAGGAGTTCCAGACCAGCCTGGCCAACATGGTGAAACCCCATCTCTACTAAAAATATAAAAATTTGCCAGGCATGGTTGTGTGTGCCTGTAGTCCCAGCTACTCAGGAGGCTGAGGCAGGAGAATTACTTGAACCTGGGAGGCGGAGGTTGCAGTGAGCTGAGATTGCACCACTGCACTCCAGCCTGGGCGACAGAGTGAGACCCCCTCTAAAAAAAAAAAAAAAAAAAAAAACCCAACCAGCAACTTCCCTTCTTGGCATTACCCGAAAGAACCAAAAGGAGACACTCAGATATCTGTACACCCATGTTCATAGCAGCACTATTCAAAATAGTCAAAAGGAGGAAGCGACCAACAGGTGAATGGATAAACAAAATGTGGCACAGACAGGCAATGGAATATTAGACGGCTATAAAAGAAGGTCATGTTGATACATGAATGGATGTTGAAAACATGGTGCATAGTGAAATATGCCAGACACAGAAAGGCAAGTACTATATGAGTCCACTTATATCAGGCACCTAGAATAGGCAGGGGCAGAAGAGGGGAGTAATTATTTAATGGATAAGGAGTTTTTGTTGGGGATAATGAAAAGGTTCTGGGTATAGATAGTGATGATAGTGCAATCATTGTGAATGTATTTAATGCCATGAATTGTGTGCTTACAAATGGGGAAAAATATTTCGTTATGTATATTTTACCACAATTTTAAAAAGCAAAAGTAAATAAAGTAGAATTGTGGGGGGTGGCGGGGGTGAATGGTGAATAGAGCAAGTACCAGTTCTCTTTATTTTCTTCACTGGCTTATTAGAATTTCAGTTATTGGCTGGGTGTGGTGGCACACACCTCCCAGCACTTTGGGAGGCTGAGGCGGGAGGGTCACCTAGGAATTTGAGAACAGCCTGGGCAACACAGTGAGACCTTGTCTCTACAAAGAATACAAAAATGAGGTGGGAGGATTGCTTGAGTCTTGGGGGTTGAGGCTGCAATGACCATGATTGTGTCTCTGCACTCCCATTTGGGAGATGGAAGTGAGACCTTGTCTCTCTTTTTTTTTTTGTCATGCAGGCTGGAGTGCAGTGGCGTGATCTTGGCTCACTACAACCTTCGCCTCCTGGGATCAAGCGATTCTCCTGTCTCAGCCTCCCAAGTAGCTGGGATTACAGGCGCCTGCCACCATGCCTGGCTAATTTTTTGTATTTTTAGAAGAGATGGGGTTTTGCCATTTTGGCCAGGCTGGTCTTGAACTCCTGACCTCATGTGATCCACCTGCCTCGGCCTCCCAAAGTGCTGGGATAACTGGCGTGAGCCACTGCACCCAGCCAAGACCCTGTCTCAAAACAAAACAAAACAAGAATTGCAGTTATTTACATTTTGTGAAAATTAGGTTTGGTTTAGTGAATACCAATGCAACAAAACAAAGCCAGTACACTGACTTTGTTAATTTATGCAGCTTCAAATAACAAGCTGTCCACATTGACAATTTAGATCCACTTTACTCAATGTATACGATACAGCACTTATGAAAATGGTGATGGAAATTACGTATTTGGTACTATAGGCATCCGTAGGATGAAGAAAGTTAACCTTTTCTTTCATACGCAAAGCACCAGCAGGCCAGCTTGCCCTCTTGGCCTATGGCTGTTCCCTGACTCGGCTGTTGTTAGTCTTTATAACAAGCTCCCTCTCTCTCAGACACACTCACACCCTCACACAAACACCAACTGACACTCATATAAACACACAGAAACCTTCTTTATGAGTTTTTCAGCTATAAGCAGAGCATATACAAAATGAAAGGCCTGCTTTTCAATAGTATCCTCAGCCACCACTGTTCTTCCCAAGATGTACATGGGGTGCAAAGTCAATCAACTAAAAACCTCTTTCCTGCTCTGTAGTATACACGATCTTGGCACCAGATTGAGGGAATCTTTTTATCAAATTTCTTTAAAATCAACAAGAGAAATTCAGCTGTTTTTTATCTAGCAAAGAGAAAACAAGAAAAAAAAATGTCTGGCAAGATCAACTAGAATCAGTGGCCTCCAAAGCCCACCTCTGCCTTTAACATGGCCCGGTAAGTGATGCATCAGTGATACATAAGAAATGTGAAGGTTAAATTCCAGCCCACAAGAAAGATACTAGAAAGTAACCCTAAGTTAGTGATCCAAAATGGAATTCCTGGTCTCTGAATGATAGAACTAAAGGTGGAATAAGAAACACTTATTCACTCCTGGAGTATGTATTGAGGGGCTACTTGTGCCTAGTCCCGAGCCAGCTGTACAGAGATATAGTGAAGACAGTGCCAGCCTCTTATGTAAGGCATGCTAGGACAATGCCAGTGGGTGTGGGGGTGGAGGCAGCCGGGGGAGATCTGTTTGCTTATTTTTTGCTCTGGACCATCCCTTTTAGTACTACAGTGCTGACTATACTACAGTGCTGACTATGTCCTAAGGAACATCCACAGTATGCCTAATGGCTGATGAAACAGCCAATATTGGCCAAGAGCCTGGCAGTACAAGGTGTTCAATCAGGGGCAGGTCCACTGTTTCGGCCCCAGTGGAAGACACGGTACTGATTCCCTAGAGTGTTGTTGGGGCAAGGAACCAGCCACTTGATGGTTGATTCCCTGAGGCTGAGGGAGGCTTGTGGGCCCTTGGTCCATGGCCAGGAGTTGGGCATGCGAGGGAGATGGAGAGACGGCAAGCCTGTGAGGCCCCGGGGCTCGGACAGGCAGAGGCTCATCTGTGCAAAATTATGCTCTGTAACAAAATGGCTGTATGTCTATATTTTCTTCTGCTTATGTTAAGTATTTCTGGAAAGGTCTGTGGGTTCCTTGTTCCACTCTGGGTCCAGGAACATGAGGCCTTTAAACTTTCGGTATGAGGCATAAGATGAAACAATCTGCTGGACGCGGTGGCTCACGCCTGTAATCGCAGCACTTCGGGAGGCCAAGGCAGGCGGATCACGAGGTCAGGAAATCGAGACCATCCTGGCCAACACGATGAAACCCCGTCTCTACTAAAAATACAAAAATTAGCTGGGCATGGTGGCGCATGCCTGTAGTCCCAGCTACTCGGGAGGCTGAGGCAGGATAATTGCTTGATCCAGGGAGTTGGAGGTTGCGGTGAGCCGAGATCGCACACTGCACTCCAGCCTGGCAAGAGAGTGAGACTCTGTCTCAAAAAAAAAGATGAAACAATCATCAGATTTTGTACACAGGCTGAAAGGAAGGGGTGGTCATTAAATGGCGCAACATCCATATGGCCTGAGAAGAGGGTCTCACTCCCACCACCGTGCACCCTGACTGTCCTGCTCTAGTTGTCAAATCAAATAAGGATCCAATTTCATCACAAGGGTTACATTAGTTCTAGGTTTAAGCCAAAAAACCCTACTAGCAAATGTTCTCAATTCTTTTGATGAAGAGTCCTATTTCTGTTATTAATTCATGGTCATAAGAGCCAAACTACTTATCAAATGTCATTCCAAATTCCTCTGACCCAGGTAGCTTGTCCACAGCAATAAAGTTTTCTTTACTTCAGTGCCCTGAACAATAATGGAATTCAAATTTTTTTCCGGAAGAATTTTGTAAAGTTGTCACTTCCATTAAAAGTGATTCACAACCACAAAACACTTCAGTCCTTCCTGGCTCCAGAGAGAAACCAATTGCAGACCAGACCCAGGTATAAAAGATGATGTAGCCTTTCTCTTCCAAGATCCATGTCTAAGCCATTGCCCTGTTTCTGATGGCTGCTCAGGCTGGAACCCCAAAGCAGACACCAAAGAATACCAATTGGCATAAAACTTTCTCTTTTAGCACATCCATATGCTTGGTTTAAAATACACTAATTTCCACCTTCCTGATTTTCCTATCATCAGTAAACCTCCAAAAAAGTTTTGAAGAGTAACACAAAATCACAAATGCTTTGAAAAAAAAAAAGATGACAATACATTTTGGACATGATGACATTTTAATAATAAATCTTCCTAGTTATAAAAAAAATTTTCAAAGAAAATATGTAGGCTTCTCAATAAAATGCTTAAAGTATTCATGTCCATTATTTAAAATGCTGTTGGTGTTTTCAAGAACTGAGCCTTGCTTAAGTAAGTTGTGGTTCATCCACAAAGGAATATTCTAGAGTATTTAAAATGGCCATTACAACAAAGAGCTAACAAAATACAAAATGCTTATGATATAAATGAATGAAACTCGTAGGATATAAAATCTATACACTAAAGTTATAACTAGAGTTATACCAAAAAACTAGATGCACACAAAAAACTATGAATAGTAGTTTTATTAGTATAGCAAGGTTTTTAAAATTCTTTTGAGACATTTCCAAAATCTCTATAATGTTATTACTTATTTCAAAATGAAAAATGTATCCTTGAAAGTTTCTAGGCTGGGTGCAGTGGTTCATGTCTGTAATCCCAGCACTTTGGGAGGCCGAGGCAGGAAGATCACCTGAGCTCAGGAGTTTGAGACCAGCCTGGGCAGCATGATGAAACCCCATCTCTACTAAAAATACGAAAATTAGCTGAGTGTTGTGGCGCACAGCCTCCAGCTACTCAGGAGGCTGAGGCAGGAGAATTGCTTGAGCCTGGGAGGCAGAGCTTGCAGTGAGTGGAGATTGCACTACTGCACTCCAACCTGGGTGACAGAATGAGGCCCTGTCTCAAAAAAAAAACAAAAAAAAAACCATAAAGTTTCCAAGGAGATTTTAGTTTAGTTTGGGAGACAAAGACACTCAAAAAAACTACCCAAGCCAGGCACAGTGGCTCACGCATGTAATCCCAGCACTTTGGGAGGCTGAGGTGGGCGGATCGTTTGAGGTCAGGAGTTCCAGACCAGCCTGGCCAACATGGTGAAACCCCATCTCTAGTAAAATACAAAAATTAGCCACGTGTGGTGGTGTGTGCCTGTAATCCCAGCTACTCGTAAGGATGAGGCAAGAGAATCGACTGAGCCAGTGATGCAGAGGTTGCAGTGAGCCTAGATCGCACCACTGCACTTCAGCCTAGGTGACAGGGCAAGTGAGACTCTGTCTCAAAATAACAACAAACAAAAAACTCTACTCAATACAGCTATCACCACAGTGACTTCTGATGATCGTGTGGGCAGAGCTTTTGGGTCTGGAAAGGATGCTTATGTTTCAGTGAAGCCTCCCAGCAAGGCAGCTGGAATTATGATTCCATTTTAAAGATGAGGAAACTGAGTGAGCAGTCTGTCCAAAGTTGTGCAGCCCATAAACCGCAGAGCCAACGCTCAGTCTCTGGTCTTTGTCTCTCTACCTCATGGTTTGTGGGACTACACTAAATTCTTAATGGACTGGCTGGGTGGATTCCCAGAAGGGAAGCTCCCTGAAGGGACGAGACCTGGGTGCATCTTAGAGGGCAACACTGGCCTAGGCAGGAGACAGGATGGAGATGGCCCAGCTAGGGCTGGCAGGAGGATGGAGGTCGGCACTGCTGACTAGAAAGCAGGCAGGGAGCAGAGTGAGGGAAGCCACTGCGGGTGTCCTGAAGACCAAGCTCTGCGATGGCAACTGTATCACCCAGGATGTGGGGAGCCACTGGAGGCCTCTGATCACAACGGGATATCTCTGTTAATGTGAACCCTCTGAACTGGGGGATGGAAACGGAAGCAAGATAATCTATTAGTCGGGAACTGCTATAAAATGCGCATCTGATAAATATGTTCCAAATGTGAGCATAAAGAGGTAAATGAGGGCACAAGTATGAGAAGAATAATCCAGGAAGAATCAGGGATCCATGCCATTGAACATTTCTGCAGTTGCACAGGGTTCATAAAATGTGGTTGCCGTGTTTCTGTGCAGCGTATGTGACCATCTCCATCTCCAACGCCAAGAACATGCATGCGACCTGCTCGAGATCATGCAGTGAGTCAGTGGCAGGGGAGACACACACTCAGGGCTCCTAACTTCCTGTTTAGTGCATTTCCCTCTGTCTCATCCCATAGTGAGCGATGAGACTGAGGGCAGTGTGGGAGAAGGAAGGGGACTTCACAACTGAGAGGGAAGCAGGGAAGTCGAGGTGGTGGGGAGCTCACGGGGACTCCACCTGGATGCATGTGAAGCAGTGGAGCGATGCCTCGTTAAGTGGGTGAAAGCACATATCAGACTTGGAGGAAAATCCAGCACTGGAAACACACAGAGAGCTGCCGAGAGCCAGTGGTAAGGAAGTGAACAGAAGAAGGTGGGATGGTGGGTGGAGGAGGAGCAGGACAAAGCCAGGGAGGCGTGGTCTTTAAAAAAAGTTTCTTTTTTTTTTTCTTAATATAGATACAAGAGGCCAAAGGAGAGAGAAACAGAAGAGAAAATTAGGTAATTTTCCTTGGAAATTTAGAAGACACAGGAGTAGATGGGATTGACCCTGGACAGAATTTTTGTTTTAATTGGAGGCAAGGATAAGGGAGGGTGGTACGATAATAGTAACTGAAATAAATGGTGGGAATATGAAGCACAGGCTGGGAAGATCACTGGACAGGATCAAACTGTAAGTTTCTGAATTTAAGCGCTTCGGCTCGAACACGCCTCCCCACCTGGCCATCAGCCTGCTGGCATCTCCCCAGCACCCACCTCTCTGCCACGTGATGGTAGATGGGTCGATGTCGAGACGGGCAAATTTACTCACTTCCTCTTCTGTCAGTGTGCTCGGATCAGTCTTATTTATTCCCAGTTTCTAATGATTAAGAAGAAAAAAGGTGAGAAGTTTGAGAAGAAACAGAAAGCAAAGGGTCACCAAAATTATCCCTCTAATTTTATTTTCTCCATGATTGGTAAAGCCTTTTAAAAAACTAAACTGGCACTTTGGGAAGCCAAGGTGGGCAGATCACCTGAGGTCAGGAGTTCGAGACCAGCCTGACCAACATGGAGAAACCCCATCTCTACTAAAAATGCAAAAATTAGCTGGGCATGGTGGCGCATGCCTGTAATCCCAGCTACTTGGGAAACTGAGGCAGGAGAATCGCTGTAACCTGGGAGGCGGAGGTTGCGGTGAGCCAAAATCGTGCCATTGCACTCCAGCCTGGGCAACAAGAGCGAAACTCCATCTCAAAAACAAAACAAAACAAAAAAAACACTAAACTGGGCCAGGTGCGGTGGCTCATGCCCGTAATCCCAGCACTTTGGAAGGTGGAGGCAGGTGGATCACCTAAGGTCAGGAGTTCGAGACCAGACTGGCCAACATGGTGAATCCCCGTCTCTACTAAAAATACATAAAAAAATTAGCCAGGTATGGTGGAGAGCACCTGTAATCCCAGCTACTTGGGAGGCTGAGGCAGAAGAATCACTTGAACCTGGGAGGCAGAGGTTGCAATGAGCTGAGATCCTGCCACTGCACTCCAGCCTGAGTGACAGAGCAAGACTCTGTCTCCAAAAAAACCAAAAAACAAAAATCAAAACTAAGCTGGGCGTGGTGGCTCACGCCTGTAATCCCAGCGCTTTGGGAGGCGGAGGTGGGCAGATCACCTGAGGTCAGGAGTTCGAGACCAGCCTGACCAACATGGAGAAACTCTGTCTCTACTAAAAATACAAAATTAGCCTGGCGTGGTGGCACATGCCTGTAATCCCAGCTACTTGGGAGGCTGAGGCAGGAGAATCGCTTTAACCTGGGAGGCAGAAGTTGCAGTGAGCCAAGATTGCGCCATTGCACTCCAGCCTGGGCAACAAGAGTGAAACTCCGTCTCAAAAAAAAACAAAAAACAAAAAACAAACAAAAAAAAACTAAACTAAACTGAACTTTGAGTGAATTATAGGTTAGGCCAAGTCAGACAAATACCTATGGCCAGATTTCTTCTACGAGTAAGATACTGTGAGTTCGTAATAGACTCTGAAAAGGATTGATCTGAAGATGTCCTGCAGTGGACAGCATACAGCTAACTACCACTTGTGCCTGCTGCTGGCTGCGTTAGCCAGGGGCTCCTTGGGCTGCTCTATGTGGCCACCATGTACGCTGCTCAGAAGAGACATAAACTGCTGTCTGTCCATATAATTGATGCCGCAGTTCTTTAGTTTTTCAAATACAAATACCAGTAATTCAAGTTAAGTTTATTCCTATGTTTCAAAGTAAGTTATTCCTAATTTATGGAGGAGAAAAAAAAAAATTAAAACTTTTAATGCCCAGCCAATTTTTAAATTTTTTGTAGAGACGGGGGTCTTGCTATGTTGCCTGGGCTGGTCATGAACTCCTGGGCTCAAGCAATCCTCTTGTCTTGGCCTCCCAAAGTGCTGAGATTACAGGGGTGAGCCACCACACCAAGCCAAGAAATCTTCCTATTTATTTTGTGTAAATAAAACATCTTAAGAAAGTGATTTTTGGCTGGGTGTGGTGGCTCATGCCTGTAATCCCAGCACTTTGGGAGGCTGAAGCAGGTGGATCACCTGAGGTCAGGAGTTCGAGACCAGCCTGGCCAACATGGTGAAGCCCCTTCTCTACTAAAAATACAAAAAATTCGCTGGCATGGTGGTGGGCACCTGTAATCCCAGCTACTCAGAAGGCCGAGGCAGAACTGCTTGAACCTAGGAGGCGGAGGTTGCAGCGAGCCGAGATCGTGCCATTGCACTCCAGCCTGAGCAACAGAGCAAGACTGTCACACACACACAAAATAGTGATTTTTCTTTTTTTTTTTTCTTTTTTGAGATGGAGTCTTGCTCTGTTGCCCAGGCTGGAGTGCAATGGCACGATCTCGGCTCACTGCAAGCTCCGCCTCCTGGGTTCACGCCATTCTCCTGCCCCAGCCTCCCGAGAAGCTGGGACTACAGGCGCCTGCCACCACGCCCGGCTAATTTTTTGTATTTTTAGTAGAGATGGGGTTTCACCGTGTTAGCCAGGATGGTCTCAATCTCCTGACCTCAGGATCTGCCTGCCTCGGCCTCCCAAAGTGCTGGGATTACAGGCGTGAGCCACTGTGCCTGGCAAAATAGTGATTTTTAATGAAGCATAAAAAAGATCTGGGAAACAGAAACTGCATGTTGTTATAGCTGCCGAGGATGGAATTACTCACTAATTCAACACACTGAACTTGGTTCAGTAAGAGGCAGGAGGTGAATTTTTAAAACCACTTAATACCAACCAGTAAGGTTGTTAAGTTATACCATTTAGGGTTATTTTTTAGTCTCTGAAACAGGGCTAGTAGCAAGCAATATGATTAGAAGACCAGAGGCAGCAAATGGCATCAGAAAAAAGATAAGACAGGTTTTAAGAATTAAGATGGCATACGCAAGTATAATTGTAGTGTTTGCTGCAACAAAAACGTAGATGAGGCTGGGCGCAGTAGCTCACACCTGTAATCCCAGCACTTTGGGAGGCCAAGGTGGATGGATCACTTGAGGTCAGGCGTTTGAGACCAGCCTGGCCAACATGGTGAAATCCCATCTGTACTGAAAATACAAAAATTAGCCAGGTGCGGTGGTGCGTGTCTGTAATCACAGCTACTTGGGAGGCTGAGGCAGGAGAATCACTTGAACCAGGAAGGCAGAGGTTGCAGTGAGCCAAGATCATGCCACTGCACTCCAGCCTGGGCAACAAGAGTAAAACTCTGTCTCAAAAAACAAAACAAAACAAAACAGAAAACCACAAATGAGATAGATGAGTTTTCAAAGGTTATCCTATAATTTCCTAGAAATTTAACAAATTTCATAAAAATATTTCACTTTAGAAAGAGAAGGACTCACCAAAAATTCTAATTTGTTATTTTTTTTTAAGAGATGGGCTCTTGCTGTGTTGCTCAGGCTGGCATGCAGTGGCTATTCACAGGGGCCATCATGGTGCACTATAAACCTTGAACTCCTTGGCTCAAGCAAACCTCTCACATCAGCATCATGAGTAGCTCGGACTACAGGTATGTATGTGCTCCTGTGCCCAGCTAACTTGTCAGTTGACTAGAGTACTCATAAATTAGCAAAACAGTCCTCTCATTTCATAGACGAAGAAACTGAGACCAAAAAAGGTTAATTAATTTGTCCACCTGGCTCTTTCGTGTAGAACCAGGGTTCAGGCTTCCAACACTGTGCTCTCTCTGCTCCAGTGTTCGGTCTCTATAGAGTTTAATACCCAAAAGGATATCTGAAAACCAAAATCAAACCAAGTTGAAAATTTCAGGCTTTGACAATCTTTCTGATGCGTTTCTACGATATTTTCTTTTTAAAGAATTGCTAACTGGAAACTTACTTTTAGCCGAGCAAGCTGAATTTCTGAAAATTCTCTGACACCATTCACTAAAGGAACCAGCCGATTATACAGAGCCTAAAAACACAAAACAAAAATGAGACCACACAAAAGTTAGTTGTCCATGAACTTGGACAATTCACAGGATATGACAAAAATTCATTGCATTTATAACCGAACTATTTAGATAAAAGACCCTATTAAAATTTGTGGGCTAATATAAACAATGTTGACTTAAATTCTGTCATTTTCATAAAACTGACAAGATCTGAAATAATACACATTGCAAAGAGTTTGCATAAATATATTTCTTGATCTATATCGCTACAACTACCATATGAAGATGTATCTGGATTATGTAGCAAAGACTCACTAAGGAACTACTTTAATTAAAGAAAGTGAGGACCCTTGTTGTAAAATGTGCCAGAAGGTACCCCTTTTATCTATGTCCTATATCTGTGAGGAATTAGCTTCTGGTGGGCTGTCCCCTTTGGGGGTGTGGTTTAACTCTTAACCTACAAGCACATGAAGCCCAATAAGGGTCTCTGACATCTTTTCAGCACATCTAAAATAGCTCCACATAACATTAGTCTTAAAACGACATCTGTCCAATCCCCTTAGAACAGATCAGAGATTGGACCTATGACCAGAATGAAGAGAACTGGTCTACCTACCATCTTTAAAACTAAAGACTCATCTTAGAGAATATTTGGCTTTTACAACATACTACAATTCTCCCAATAACTTGGCAGTGCTCATAAACCCATTTGAGAATCTGATCAAAGGATGGCTCCTTCTCCTTGGGAAACAGGGACATATGTAAAAATCACAAAATTGAATTGAATAACATTTCAGAGTTTGCAGACACCAGAATTCTTTCCACAAACTCCTTAAGAATCCAGGAATTCCAGGATACAATACCCAAAATGGCTAGCAAGGCATCCTTCTCACCTTATCTGTTTGCGTGTTTTCATGAAGAATCCTCGTGTCGATGGCGGCAGCCAGCAAGTTATTGGCAGCGGTGATGGCGTGGATGTCTCCAGTCAAGTGAAGGTTGAACTAGAGAAATAAGATATCTTTCTATTTATTTATTTTCAGAAATAGGGTCTCGCTTTGTTGCCCAGGCTGGAGTGCAGTGGCATGATCATAGCTCACTGTATTCTCAAACTCTTGGGCTCAAGCAATCCTCTCACCTAAGCCTACTGAGTAGGCTGGGACTATAGGTGCACACCATTGTGCCTGGCTAATTTTTGAATTTTCTGTGGAGATGGGGGTCTTGCTATGTTGCCTAGGCTGGTTATGAGCTCTTGGGCCACTGTGCTCGGCTAAGACATCTTCCTATTTGTTTTAAACAACTATGGAATTTAAGGACTGAATAAATAAAATAGCATGCAAATTACATATCCTTATAATGAGCTGAGTCTATAGGAATGCCTAAATCAGAAAATCAAGGTCAAAGCCTTCCACGTGACAACAAAGAACCTTTGAGCAATTACTCAGATCATAAATTCTTCCATCCTCAGGTTAAGGCAAAACATTCTGATGCATTTAATAATGAATCTCCTTATAGTCACTCACTACGTTTATTCATTGTTTTATTATCTAGAAAACAGTATCATATCAAATATACTTTGGAGTGAGGCAGGGCATAAAATAAACAGTAACAATAAAATAATATGAAATATTACAGAACTTTGGAGAAATAGAGTATTTTACCCTCATGACTCTACTCATTCTGTTATTTTCCTTCCAGTCTCATGAGCACACTCGATTATCATTTGTAGAATCATCTTCCTACAAACTTCCAAGTTTCGTTTTTCACAAAACTTTTTCTATAATAATCTTTTGTATAGTTTATAGAAGCTGTATACGGTAGATGTACCAAAAGTTTCAGGCTGGATATATACGCTACTACCAAATGTTCACTTTTACAAGAAAGGCCACAGTTATAAAGAATATACACAAATAGCTTTTCCTTTTATTAAAAAAATTAATTGCTAATGAGTAATATATTTTCAGGAGGTAGTTACTAGGTTAAATGAGCTCTCTTTCTTTTCTTTTTTTTCTTTTTTTTTCTGTAGAGACACAGTCTCACTATGTTGCACAGGTTGGTCTCAGATTCCTGGACTCAAGTGATCCTCTCGCTTCAGCCCCGCAAAGTGCTAGGATTCCAGGCATGAGCCACCACGCCCAGCCCTTGGGATCTTGATAATATCACCAAATTGCTTTTTGAAAGGGATGAAGTATTTTTATTTTATTTATTTTTTTTTGAGACGGAGTTTCGCTCTTTCACCTAGGCTGGTGTGCAGTGGCATGATCTCAGCTCAATGCAACCTCCGCCTCCCAGGTTCAAGGGATTCTCCTGCCTCCCAAGTAGCTGGGACTATAGGCGCCTGCCACCACACCTGGTTAATTTTTGTATTTTTAGTAGAGATGTGGTTTCACCATGTTGGCCAGGCTGGTCTCAAACTCCTGACCTTGTGATCTGCCCACCTCAGACTCCCAAAGTGCTGGGATTACAGGCATGAGCCACCACATCCGGCCTTTGAGATCTTGATAATATCACCAAATTGCTTTTTGAAAGAGATGAAGTGTCATCTGCAAAACACTAGTAGTAGATCAGTTACTTCAGAAATAAAGTAACTTTTAGACTAAGAAATAATTTAATAGTTGAGAAAGTGTTATTCTTTTTAAAGCTGCATTTCCTTAATTTCTTGGAAGGTTAAATATTTTCTTGTTAAAATTTTACTTTATAACATAAAATAATGTTAACTGGAGAAAACATGAAAAATTACATATGTATATATATTTTATAAATATATATTTGTACTTTTAAATATTGGAATCATAACATCGTAACAGTTTATACTTTAGCTCTTACACTCTCAACATAGCAAGCATTTTTACATCATTAAAGATTCTTCAAAATACAGTTAACCTGATGTCCTATTATTATCCCCCCATTTTTTAATGTTATAAACTATGTGAGGGTATATTTAATTTAAAATGATCTATATTCCCATACATTCATTTTTTCCTTAGGGTACACTAAAAATGAATTTATTTGGGCCAAAGGATATGCACGGTAAAACACTTAATATGTATTTCTACTCTTCTTCCTGAAGTGTTTTTATCAACATACACTTTCCAGCAGTGTGTGGGAGTCCATTTCAATTTCTTTGCCAAAATTTGGTATCATAACTATTTTGAAAAATCCAATTTTGTCAATTTGACAAGTAAAATGGTAACTGATAGTGGTTTTATTTTTATTTATTTATTTATTTGGAGACGGAGTCTCGCTCTTGTTGCCTGGGCTGGAGTGCAGTGGCATGATCTCGGCTCACTGCAACCTCTGCCTCCCAGGTTTGAGTGATCCTCCTGCCTCCGCCTCCCAAGGAGCTGGGATTACAGGCGCCTGCCACCACGCCCAGCTACTTTTTGTATTTTTAGTAGAGACAGGGTTTCCCCATGTTGGCCAGGCTGGTCTCAAACTCCTGACCTCAGGTGATCCACTCGCCTCAGCCTCCCAAAGTGCTGGGATTACAGGCATGAGCCACCGTGCCCGGCCTGATAGTGGTTTTAATGTAGATTTATTTACTTGATTATTGGTGAAGATGAATATGCATTTAGTTAATATTTCTTTTTCGATGTTTCTATTGAACTCTTTGGCCATTTCACAACTGGAATGTAAGTTTTTCTTTCCAGCCGTCTACTTGATGTCCACCTGCATGTTTCATAGGCCTCTAAACTGACTCCCTCCTTCTGACTACCACCCTCCACCACACCCCACACCACACAGTTCAAACCTCATACCATCACTCCCCTGTTCTCTGCCTCAACAAATGAGTCTACTGAGTTGCTCAAGCCAGTACCCTGGATGTCGTCCTTGAATCCTCCTCTTTTCTAACCCCCAACATCTAATCCTGCAAACATCAGCAAACAAATCTTAAACTGTTTTTTCCTCTTTTCCATCCTCACTGCCCCCATCCTGGGCCAAGTCACTGACATCTTTCCCTAGGCTACTTCCATAGTCTTCCTCCTGGATTCATCGTGTCTACTGAGAGGCCCCTGGTCCTTTCATCACACAGAAGACAGGGTGATTTTAATAAAACTCAATCTGCATTGTGTTATCTGTCAAGATCCCTTCAATGGCTGACCTTGGCACTTCAAATAAAATCCAGGTTCTTGGCTACAAATTGCAATCGCTCGACAGAGCTGGCGCCTGCACACTTCTCTACCTCAACCCCCCCAACTCCCGCTGGCCCACGGGGCTCCAGCCACCCTGGTGTCCTCCAGTTCCCTGAACAGGCCACACCCTTTCCTGCCTCAGGACTTTCCCACCAGCAGTTCCCACTGGCTGAATGCTCTCCCTCATTCTTCACAAGGCCGGCTCCTTCCCATCCTTCCAGTCATAGTGTTTTCACTTTCAATTCCTCAGCCCATCTGGAATTTATTCTAACATTTTCCCCTATGGTGATTTATTATGTTCCGTCCAGTACATATTGTCTGTGCCTGGCACACAGTCAACAAACATCCACCAAGTGTCAGGCACGGTGCTCAGAGCTGGGAGGATACAGATGAAGAAAAGACTGGAGGCACTCAACTTCAAGGAACAAATTGCCTGAGTGTGTCTGGCCCACTCTACCCTCATAAGGTAGTCTTCTTGGCTGGGCGCGGTGGCTCACGCCTGTAATCCTAGCACTTTTGAAGACCGAGGTGGGTGGGTCACCTGAGGTCAGGAGTTCAAGACCGGCCTGACCAACATGGTGAAACCCCATCTGTATTAAAATATAAAAATTAGCTGGGCATGGTGGCAGGTGCCTGTAATCCCAGCTTCTCGGGAGGCTGAGGCAGGAGAATCACTTGAACCTGGGAGGCAGAGGTTGCAGCGAGCCGAGATTGCACCATTGCACTCCAGCCTGGGTGACAGAGCGAGACTCCATCTCAAAAAATAAAATAAAATAAAATAAAAGTAGCTCTCTCCTCCAAGCCACGCAGCTGATGCCCTAAACCAGCGGGACACCAATGTCCTTCCAATTTGCTGGCTAAACCCGAGCCATTCCCCTGTGTATGCCCCTTGTACACCACCTCTAATTTGGCCTCCTGGTTCTGGGTCTTGCTGGCTCATGAATGGTACCCATCCCCATTCTGACCTGAGGCCTGGGACGATTTTTTTCAGCAGTGCCTTGGACTACTCTTTCTCACCCCCACTCCCAGTACTTGAAGTTCCTACAGATTTTCTCTTTAGCTTCCCTGACACTCAGACCTCCATGGGTAAACACTTCTATTCCTTTAACAAAGTCAACAAGTACTTTCTAGTGAGTTCCTACTATGTGCTGGGCACTCTGCTCAATGCTGGGACCTGAGACCTCAAGAAAGGCCCGCAACTCGCCACAGCCAACTGAACCAGATAGCCGTAAACACAGAGGGAGTCTGTGGGGTAGAGAAGAACCTTGACAAAAAACCTTGACTAAACTGGGTAAAGAGGACAGAAAAGGAAGAATGTTCCAGGCATGGGAAAATCCTGGAACCAAGAGAGAACAGGAAAAGAGTCTGCAAGGGCTGGGCACAGTGGCTCACGCCTGTAATCCTAACACTTTGGGAGGCTGAGACCAGTGGATTGTCTGAGCTCACGAGTTCCAGACAAGCCTGGCCAACATGGTGAAACCCCGTCTCTACTAAAATACAAAAAATCAGTCAGGCACAATGGCAGTTGCCTGTAATCCCAGCTACTCAGGAGGCTGAGGCATGAGAATTGCTTGAACCTGGGAGGCAGAGGTTGCAGTGAGCCGAGACTGTGCCACTGCACTCCAGCCTGAGCAACAAAGCAAAACTCTGTCTCAAAAAAAAAAAAAAAAAAAGAGTCTGCAAGGAGCTTGACGCAGTAGAGAGAAGGCAGGTGGGGACTTGTGGACAGGGAAGCAGGAGCAGCCACCCACGAGGACCTCCTGTGCTGTGCTGGAGGGTGACAGGCAACGGCGGAAATGACAGAACAGGAAAGTGACCTGCTCAGATTTGGGTTTTGGAAGATTGTCCAGGCCCTGAATGATAAGGCTGATGCAGAGAGTGAAACTGAAAAGAGCTGGTCACTGGTTAGTTACAGGCAACAAAGAGGTTATGTGGAACAAAGGTGGAGTTCTTACAGAAGTGAGAATTAACAACGTCAGTTCTTTTTGCCCATTTTCCTCTGGAACTCTTTTATTTTGGGGTCTTTTATTTTTAATGGGACACTTCACAAATTTGTGTGTCATCCTCGTGCAGGGACCATGCTAATCCTCTCTGTGTCATTCCAGTTTTAGTATCTATGCTGCCGAGGCACGCACTAGAGCCTGAATTGACAGAGGGGAAGCGTCAAGTCTTCGTGAACTTGGCAGTACAGCAGATGATCAAGGGAGGCACAGACCCACATTCTCTCATCCAGACCCGCAAGGCCAGCAGGGTTTCAAGATTCTGAATTTTTTGAAGTTTAGGAAGGCAGTGTGATTTACATGTAGTTTATTTGTAAAACACCCCAAGCAGGGGCTAGGTCAGCACCTGTTAATCAAAAATAATTTTTCCACAGCAATGTATATGAATATTCACGCCAAGTAGCACGTACAAAATCCATATAATTATAGCTCATCACAGTAAATACTAGGGTTTGTCACTGCATGAGTTATGCAAACATTTTGGGGTTTCAGAGCCTTAATGACTTTGGGATTATGGATGAGGGTCTGTGGGCCTGTGTGGATGGGAGCAGAGACAAGATGTCAGGAAGGAAACACAGTGATAGCTGACCCGCATCTCTTCAAGGTCTTACCTCCTCCATGGGGATGACCTGGGCATATCCACCACCCGCGGCTCCTCCTAAACAACAGAGCAAGAGGCATTTCAAACGGGTCACCAAGTACAGCTGCCACGATGGACACAGGCCAAGGGACACAGCTCCCCAAACCCAACAGAGAGGCGTCACACCCAAGATGAAGTAACAAAAGGCAGTGAGAGACACTAATGGTTATATCCAAGCAGAACAACAACAAAAAAAGTTGACACTTTGTCTAACTATACCTCTGTTTCTTTGCTTAAAAAAAAAAGGTAAAAATAGAGCAGATGTCATTACTGTAAAACATACCAGGATATGAGAATATTTTGATAATTTATTATTAGATCTCTGTGACTATACTTTATCTAAATCAATTGTATATGATTTCATATCTGAGCAAACTTTGTTTAAAAAAAATACACTGTGGCTGGGCGAGGTGGCTCATGCCTGTAAACCCAGCACTTTGGGAGGCTGAGGCAGGCGGATCACTTGAGGTCAGGAGTTCGAGACCGGCCTGGCCAACATGATGAAACCCTATCTCTATTAAAAATATAAAAATTAGCTAGGCATGGTGGCGGGTGCCTGTAATCCCAGCTACTTGGGAGGCTGAGGCAGGAGAATCACTTGAAACTGGGAGGCGGAGATTGGAGTGAGCCGAGATTGCACCACTGCATTCCAGCCTGGGCAACCAAGTGAGACTCTGTCTCAAAACAAAAACAAAAACAAAAACAAAAAAACCACCGCATAACCACCTCAAATGAGTAAATTATAAACTTCAATTTATTTCAGATAATAGTATGTGAGATTTGTCATGCTGCGTATCCCTCAAAATGTTGGTTGTTAGAGTAAAAGGACTGCTCTTTCCTAAAGCAGAACAACACCGCCCATGTGTGTATCATTTGACAGTAGCCCTCGTTCTTTACGTGCTTTCTCATTTGATCCTCACAACAACTGGGTGAGCCTGGTGCCGCTCTCAGCATTTTGGACTTTTAGAGATGCGGCTCCGAGAGGTTGTGACTGGCTCAAGTGGCCAAGGGTCACATGGCGGTAGGAAACACAGCTGTGACCAAAACCTTGGCTTTCTCGCTCCAACCCTAGTGTTCATTCCACTACACGATGCATGACACTCTGTGCGTTATCAGTACTTTATGAGATACGTTATTAATATGTTTAACAGTAATACAAATGCAATATTCTTAAAAAATCACGAAGTGCCAAGGACAAACTGTAATTGCAGCAATAACCACCACTGTAAAGTGAGCTAAGGAATGATTTCATGATAAATCAGGGAAGAAAGAGTAATGAATGGGGAAGTGCCAGATATCAGCCCGACCACGGCCAAGGAGGAATTTCATCACGACTCGCTGTCCACAGCCAGTCCGTCTCCAGAGAGCTCTGCGGGCCCCACACAGCAACTCCAATGAGCCGAGACTAAAGCAGAGGGAAAGACCTTTCCCCGGGACTGGGATGATCAAACACCGATATGGATGGCCGTGTTTCAAGATCACTTGGCAAAGAAGGCCCTGATGAAATGGGAGACCGCACTCGAGGCGGGAGCCTTGAGCAACGCAGCCCCAGGAACAGGCTCCTGAGGCATCCAGTGAAGCCCTGGCGGCTCCCACTGCTCTTTTTCATGCCCGGGGGAACCAACATGGGGCGACCACTATGTACTGAGTGTGCAGTGAAGAAATGTACCAAGTCCCCTGAAAAGTCTTAACTCTTTATCTGTTGACAATGTTCTTTTTACAATTCTCTCCCCCCAACTTTGCCCTGAAAAGTACACTAGTTGTTAAAGACAGTACCTTTCACTCCAAACGTCGGTCCTTGGGAAGGCTGCCTCAAGCAGGCAAAGGAGTTGACATTCAGGTGTGCGGTCAGAGCCTGCACAAGCCCGATGGTGACTGTGCTCTTCCCTTCTCCAAGAGGGGTGGGTGTGATCCTGAGTTCGGGGGGAGAAAGTGAATTTTATAATATTTCCCAGACAACCTATGCAAAACCAGCCGAAGACACCAGAATCAAATCTGAGGGTGCTCATTTCAAAATGCACTCCATAATTTAATTTTCTCGGGCTATTATGGTCTACTCACATCACACAGGACAGGCATAAGCTAAAGTCAAGATACAGACACACCTTTACCAAGAAACCAAAAAAGGAAAAGGTATTAGGCAGTGCTAATAACAACATCAGTTTCAAGAAAGGCCATAAAACCACTCATCAAAATGGTTTAAATAATTCAGCTGATGGTGGGGCATTTCTTGCTGATGAGTATATAGCAGTTGTTCTTCCTGAGCCATTTATTGGGGCAGGGTGTGGGCACAGGGCCTATGGTTTGGGGACAGGGCCTAGCTCAACGGTCCTTGGGTGAGTAGGGCACTGCCAGACTCTCAGGATTAGAAGGGACCCTAAAGTCCCCACTTGTCCTTCTCCTTCCAGATATCCCTGCCCAGGGCTTCTCCCTGCCATGCTTGAACACAGATGGTGATAAGGTCATGACCTCTGGGGTGGCCCACTCATTTACAGACAGCTGTTACAGTTCAAAAGTTCTTTGTTCTAGAGAGAAGGCATCTGCATTCATGTTGTGTCCTAGCTCTTGGAGTCCTACACACTAAGCCTGATCCCTTTCCATATGACAGTCCTTCAAATATTCAAAAAGTCCACAGGCCCTGTGCATACTATGGCGGAAACTTCTGCTCTTGAGAATCTTATTGTTGATGACAACACTTTGCAAAACCAAATGTTCCCATGTTCATAACATCACAGTATTAGGTATTGAAGAGAGCCTATTACATTACCAAGTAAGGCCTCATAAAATTGTTCTTTAGTACATCACAAGCATTGTTAAAAATTTTTTTTTTCCACTCTTTAAAGTTTTATTTCACTAACTTCAGGCCAAATTCCCACAACTGTGTTCTGATCAATTTACTATCCTTGCTTGGCTTCCCCAAATGGTAGTACCAAAAGATGTGTGGGGTAGGGAGAAGAAACCACTTTAAGAAGCACTGCATTTACTCATCTTCCACAAGGCAACAGAGTTGGGCATCTGATTGTTCAACAAAACAAAGCTTTAATAGCATCCAGGAGGGCAGACAGGCAAACCACGCTGTAGACACTCTTCTATTTGTCAAAATCAGACCAGAGAAAACCTACTCCACACAGATATAATAGATATTGATATTCATCTTTTCTTTTTCTGTTGCCGCAAAATTTTTCTTTTAATGATCATATCATGTAGTTTCTCAAGTCCTTCCTTTAGGCCATCTCCTATGATTGCACAGGTAGGCTACAAATGCCAAGGAGCTGATGAGCTCAGTTCACCCATTGCTAACAATTTCTCAATTTCTGAAAGAGACAATGAGTTCCTCAAGTCTTGTTTGTTAGCAACTATAAGTACAGGGACTCCTTGATTTTCTGATATCCTAGTTATTTTGTGAAGTTCAGTTTTGGCTTCTTCCATCCTTTCGACATCAACAGAGTCCACAACAAATACAATGCCATCTGTGCATCTGGTATATGACTTCCACAGTGGCCTTAATTTCTCCTGACCACCTACATCCCAGAAGTGAAAAGTGACTGTTTTAGAATTTCCCAAGCTTACCTTAATTTTCTCAGTGTTAAATCCTTTGGTAGGTATGGTATTTACAAATTCATTGAACTGCAGCCTGTATAAGACAGTTGTCTTTCCAGCACAGTCCAAACCCAGAATAACAATGTGGAAGGACTGAATGAAGGCAGGTTGGACAGGATAGAAGTCTGGTCTGATAGCCCATTCCCCATTTCCAGGTGCAAATAAATGTCCCAAATTGAAATGCTTTTCTCTTCTTGCTTTAGAATTTCTCTTGGTAGCTGATCCAGCTATAAGACTGCTCCCGATCTGGAGTTTGGGTCCAAATGAGAAAGCATTGGCAGGCATTTCTACGAGGGATAAGCACCCCACGTCCTTCCAGCTTAGCTCTCAAGCATCGTTAAAAAATTTAAAGGCTGTCATTAGGGTTTACAGTTTGGTCTTCCATGAGTTACTGTCAGCCATGTTGTCAAGGATACTCAACCACAACCAATCTAATAGAGTTTTCTGATCTACAAAACCTAAGGATGTAACCACAAAGAAAGAATGTCTTTAGAGGCGTCATCATACCCTACAATTCCATGAGTCATTCATTCAGCAAATATTTGTCAAGTACTGCTATGTACCAGGCACTGAGCTAGACGCTGGGGACAAAATGATGATCCAGTCAGACTTCATCTCTATCCTCACGAGCTTCCAGCTGATCTGAATATATCAGCAATTACGATAAATGTGACAAACACTAAGACAGGGAAATAGGGCAGTCAGACTGAATTATGAGGGTACATGGAAAAAGGATCTAACTAGATTTGAACATCTGGGAATGTTTCCTGTAGGAAGTAACATCTTAGGTGAGACCCGGCAAATTAATAAATGTTAACTAGATAAAACTGAGAGTGGATTGGGGCAGTTAATAGGAGAGGTGCTATGCTTCATATTTATGGGGTTAATTATTTGTACGCTCACTTGATAGATGAGGAAACTGAGGCACAGAGTGTAAGCAACTTGCCGACAGTCACACAGCTAGTAAGCAGTAGAGCTGGGAGGCAAAGCCAGCCATCTGACTTAACCAGGTTCTCCATGGATGGAAATCATAACTATAGCCATTTAAAGCATGGAATGGGTAAGATCACCCAAGGACAGTGCACCGAGTGAGAAAAGGGATAAGGACAGAAGAGTTAAGCACATTTGCTTGTAATGAGTTGTCAGAAGAAGAGAGTCCAAAAGGAAACTAAGAAGGCGTAGTATAAAATAAGAGAACCCGGCTGTGTGCAGTGGTTCATGCTTGTAATCCTAGCACTTTGGGAGGCCAAGGTAAAAGGACTGCTTGAGCTAGGGAGTTTGAGACCAGCCTGGGCAATATAGTGAGACCCTGTCTCTAAAAACACAAAAAATAAGAGGACCCTGGAGAAGAAGGCAGAACATGACAGGAAGTCTCAGAAGGAGGCCAAGGATGAGACTGTTTCCAGAACAGGAAAGTCAAACGCCACTGAGGCAGGAAGCAGGATGAGGACCGAGAGTGGTCGGTGGATTCAGCAACAAGGAGGTCGCTGGTACCCACTGTGGCCAGGAGCTGGTGAGCCTATCCTGACACCGCTGCATGGAGAAACCTAAGACTCCTGAAGCCACATGACCCCGGCTTATCAGTCACCTCTGCATCTGTCTAAACAGCAGATCTGCAGTGGGGTCAACGTGAAGACTGAAAGTTATACAAAGATATTAATACTTCTGCTTGGAGTCAACTTTCTGTTTTCTTGGATACAACATCAATAAGGGCAGTTAAAAGCCCACAGGCATTACAATCTTAGAAGAGCCTGTAAAGAAACTGTGGCATCAAATATGGTGTCATTTAAGTACCGCACTGAGCATTTGGTGTTTGCAAAGGACTAAGTGGTTTACCTAAACTGTGTCACATGAAGGATTACATTTTCATTCCCAAGGATATGCTAGCATAGCTGCCCAAGAAAGCCAAAAGCAGACACGCCCAGAGATGACCTCCTCAAAACTCCAGCTAACCATCCAATTCTTAATTAGAAACACAGGACTGCTCAGCTTTCTGCCAACTAATACAGTTCGGGAAAATCACAAAGTAGGAAGTATTTATTGTGAGCAATAAAAGGAGAGCTACAATAAAAAAGCTTATTTCACCTCCTTCCTGTATTTGGTATCAAAATTTGGTTTAGTTTTCCCCCCAGTATCTTTAGCTCAGATTCCAAATCATCAACGGGGATATACGAAAGAATGAGCACCAAGGTAATCTAATTTCTCTTTCTTTCTCTCTTTTCCTTCCTTCCTTCCTTCCTTCTTTCCTTAAGGTAATCTAATTACTCTCTCTCCCTTCCTTCCTTCCTTCCTTCCTTCCTCCCTCCCTCTCTTCCTCCCTTTCTTCCTTTCTCTTTTTTTTTTGGAGACACATGGAGTTTCGCTCTTGTTGCCCAGGCTGGAGTGCAGTGGCACAATCTCAGCTCACTGCAATCTCTGCCTCCCAGGTTCAAGCAATTCTCCTGCCTCGGCCTCCTGAGTAGCTGGGACTACAGGCACGTCATCACACCTGGCTAATTTTTGTATTTTTAGTAGAGACGGGGTTTCACCTTGTTGGCCAGGCTGGTCTCAAACTCCTGACCTTGTGATCCGCCCACCTCAGCCTCCCAAAGTGCTGGGATTACAGGCGTGAGCCACCACGCCCAGCCCTCTAATTTCTTTTTCTATGGGAGCTTAGAGTTCATAGAGATGGAACTGTGATTTTTGTTCATTACATTCCTCCACTTCTCCCGGCAGATTTCTGTACCCCCTCTCTGATATCTAGAGCATTGATTATATGATTATTCTAGAATTTTTCAGATGGCTTCATGATAAGCATTCTGACATGCCTGTCTCGCCTACCAGGCCACACACTTGTTGAGGTAAAGGACAATGCTCACCCTCTTTGCACCGCTATCACATCACCTGTTCAGGGCACAGAACAGCAAAAAAGGGTTGACAATGGAATGATGCTTTTTTTTTTTTTTTTTTTTTTTTGAGATGGAGTCTCACTCTGTTGCCCAGGCTGGACTGCAATGGTGTGATCTCTGCTCATTGCAACCTCCACCTCCCGGGCTCAAGCAATTCTCTTGCCTCACCCTCTTGAGTAGCTGGGATTACAGGCACCCATCACCATGCCCAGCTAATTTTTGTATTTTTAATAGAAACAGGGTTTCACCATGTTGGCCAGGCTGGTCTCGAACTCCTGACCTCAAATGATCCGCCCGCCTCGGCCTCCCAAAGGGCTGGCATTACAGGCGTGAGCCACCATGCCCTGCCAGAATGATGTCTTTTTAAAGATGAGTATTACTTATTGGCAGTTACAGTAAAAACTGTCAAAGTACCTGTGACCATTTGGACACAATCTGAAAAGAAGTTTATAATTTACTCAAAGGTCAAAAAGATGGCTTATCCAGAGAGAAGTGGTAAAACTTTGAACTATTCTAAAGACCCAGAATCTTGTTGAATAGCACCACTGCCATTAGCCATGGGCCTCACCATGCACTCCAAAACTACATGCTCAAGTAGCATATGAACATAAATCATCCATCCCAGGCATCTTTAGGGTCTAGGGGCTTTTTAAGCCTTTTATTATCTAACAATAAACCCCATGGTGCATTTGGTTATGTTTCTCATTACACTTGACTTAGGTAAACGGTTCAAAGGCCCTGTGGGAAGTGGTTTCTTCTAAATACCTCTGTTTTGTTCTAGAAGTAGCACAAATAAAAGAAAATCACACAGATATTTAAATAGTTACTCAAGGCAGAAAAGCCAAATCATAGAAAAGTCAGATTATTTTAACATTGTACCGAAATAAAGGGTTGAAACATTTTTAAAAAATCCAATCGGGTATTTGGCCCTCTGCAGAAAAAAAAAAAAAAAAAAAAAAAGATGAAATGATGTGAATGATTCAAATTTTTCTTTAATGTGAAATTCAGTCTATTCCCAGATCAGTTTGGGCTGCTTTTTTAGCTGCTCTGTCCAACCAATTCAGGGAAATTCTAGAAACTTCTGCACAGAAATGGGTGCAGGCCTGATGGAGACTGAGATTCAAATGCCCTGCAGCTGCACTCCAAGTCAAGTTCTCAAACAAAATTCCTTTTCATTAGTGTAACTGGGAAAATATGTAAAACTCATGAGTCCCTAAGATTCTTTTGGCATATTTCCCTGAACAATTCCCAATACTTTTCATTTTGTCAGGCAAAGCAAATAAAGTGATGTGTAGGTGTAAATACCATGCGATATGTAGTTGATGAAATGCAGATGATTCTGACTGAATAAGAAATCCTAAAGTTTGAAGAATGGCTTTTTAAAAGAATTAATCTGTTCTGCATTTGAGTTATTAATAATAGAAGATTTAAAAAAATCTCATTGTTTTATATTTTAATCCCATTGCTGATATATTTAAATCACATTTCTATATAAATTAAAATATGTAATAACAAATATATTGTTATTTAGTATTATTTAAAAATTACTTGGGTATTTGAATTCTTCTAAAGCATGGAAAAAGATTTATGTTACAGTGTTCAGAGAAAAAGGCAGGACAAAAATGATATTTATAGCATGATCTCAATGTGTAAAAAGATGAATATATAAATAAAATATTGAGTTATGAGAGACCTAGTTATCTCCTTTTTACTTTATGTTAAATTTTTTACAATAAGCTAATATTATTTTCAGAATTAGAAAAGACTTTTAGAAAAAGGAAATAATTCTCCATTTAATGGAGGGGTCATTTATATTTTTAAAGAAGTTGCAACAGTGCATATAATGGTTTGATAACAGTCATTTCCCCCTAACGCTTGACCTGGTCAAATGTAAAAATATGAAGATGATTTTTATTTCAAATTGACTTTTCACTTTAGATTACAAATGTTGCTTTAAACCAGTGCTGCTTTTTGCTGTTTGTTTGTATTTTTTAAAGATGGGGTCTTGCTATGCAGCTCAGGCTGGTCTTGAACTCCTGGCCTCAAGTGATCCACCCACAGTCTCCAGAGTAATTGGGTTATAGGCACAACCCGTCATGCCAGGCCCACTTTAGGCTATCGATAAAATAGTTGCCTGTGATCTAAACTGATATCAATATTCAGCTATTAAGGGATTAGATACTGATGACAGTTTACAGCCCTAAAAAATATATCATTTGTTGTGTTGGGGAGAAGGGGCTGTTCATTCTTCCCTTATAGAATCCAGTGTGGCTATTTCCTAAAAATCTTCAAGCTGTGCCACAAATGCATACATATATCATAATCTTACCAGCACGGTTATTTTTTTCCACTACAGTTAAAAAAGAGACAGGCCATTTAATTTTTGTTCCTTCAAAGGTCTTTGTTAGGTAAAGAAACTTAGAATTTCAGAAAAAGAATTGTTGATCCCTTGGTGTTTAATCTGTTCTTGAAAATTCATCTTTAGTCTTCTTTTCTATTTACAACATGGCAGGCCAATTTCAGCTTGATTATACATATTAATGCTAGCAAAAAGCCAGCGTGGAGAAATGTTCTACTGGCCATGGACTGCATTGGCTGTAACCCCAGGCAGTCGTGCTAGCTAGCATTCTCCAGCATGAGGCTGGAGGCCCAGCTTTGTTTACAAGTAAGGAACCTGAAAACAGTATCATCACAGCTTTGTTTTAGAAGTATCAGTTTTGTGTTCCAAGCTAAGGTCAGAGCCATCCATATCTGGATTTCTGATTTTATTGACAAGCCCAAAATGGAGTAAAGCACAAGGACTGGATAAGAAAATCTGCTGCAGGATTCTTCCTTCATAAACAGACAACACATCCTACCAAGTTTTCCTTAAGTGTTCCTATCTGAACAGGGTGAGAAAGCCTGCAAACCCACCTACCAAGATCATCTGAAGCCTGGAAGAAAGGAACCAATTTCACAAATCAAATGCTTTTTCAAGGTCTTAATGGCCAAGAGTTTGTTTATTAATTGCAGACAAATATGCATCAAGCATACTGCCATAAAACAACCCTGACTAAACTGTGCCCTAAACTCAGAGACCCCGGAGCCAATCTAACCAGAGGCAGCTCCTTGCAGGGTGTGGGCCCAGAGGGTGCCTGCAGGTGGAGCCAACCCCTCCCCTCAGCCAGGAACTTTCCCACACTCGATTATGGGGACATTAAGTTTGGGGTTCTAGGTTGGAAAGGGGCTCAGGAATCTAACTGCAGTGAGCCTGGAAGCCTGCGGGAGAAGGGTGAAGCCACAGGCAACCAAGGTGTGGAGCAAAGGATGAATTCCTTACAATGCCAACTGCTGAGGGATTCAGAGAGGCCCTGGCTGTCTGTCCCTCTTACAAAAAAGCTACAGAAGCTGGGCATGATGGCTCACACCTGTAATCCTAGCACTTTGGAAGGAGGAGGCGGGCGGACCACTTGAGGCCAGGAGTTCAAGGCCAGCCTGGCTAATGTGGCGAAACCCCGTCTCTATAAAAATACAAAAACAGTTAGCCAGGCGTGGGGGTGCATGCCTGGAATCCCAGCTACTTGGGAAGCTGAGGCACAAGAATTGCTTGAACCCAGGGGGCAGAGGTTGCAGCGAGCCAAAATCGCACCAGTGCACTCCAGCCTGGGTGACTTCATCTCAAAAAAAAAAAAGAAAAGCTACACAAAGAGAAGGAGAAAGAGGAGGACAGGAAAGTGGGACAGGAGGAGGGAAAAAGGATTTGAAGAAATCACTATATCATTAAAGAGGTGATTTTTTTTTTTTTTTTTTTTTTTTGAGACAGTCTTGCTCTGTCACCTAGGCTGGAGTGCAGTGGCGTGATCTTGGCTCACCGCAAGCTCCGCCTCCCAGGTTCACGCCATTCTCCTGCCTCAGCCTCCTGAGTAGCTGGGACTACAGGTGCCTGCCACCACGCCTGGCTAATTTTTT
The DNA here is from genome assembly GCF_000001405.40 of Homo sapiens. Taxonomy (NCBI): domain Eukaryota; kingdom Metazoa; phylum Chordata; class Mammalia; order Primates; family Hominidae; genus Homo; species Homo sapiens. Next base: position 150,928,280 of record NC_000006.12, on the reverse strand, counting down.
GGTATTTTTAGTAGAGACGGGGTTTCACCATGTTAGCCAGGATGGTCTCGATCTCCTGACCTTGTGATCCACCTGCCTCGGCCTCCCAAAGAGCTGGGATTACAGGTGTGAGCCACCGCGCTTGGCCTGTTTTGGATAATATTTTTGCTTTATTTGTGGTTATAAATAATTGAACTCACTTCCGGGGATTTTTCCTAAGGAGATAATTAAACAGATGCACAAATCCACATGCCCAAGGTTGTTAATTCTAGCAGTTTAAAATGGCAAAAATTGGGAACACTTTGATTGCCCATCAATAGAAAATTGGTCAAGTAAGTTGTGGAACATCCCTATTCTATGTTCAAATTATTTTTCTGCATCAGTGCACTTGGACAATTAGAAACACTCAGAACTACCAGGGTAGCACTTATTGATGGAACTAGAGGTGCCAGAAGATGTGTAAGATGGGATCTCCACCCTCATCCTGGGCATTTTGCTACTCCCCCAGCCCCTGCTTCCCCAACATGTTTAAGAATCTGGGATGTGGCCAGGTGCGGTGGCTCACACCTGTAATCCCAGCACTTTGGGATGCCAAGGTGGGTGGATCACTTGAGGTCAGGAGTTCGAGAAAAGCCTGGCCAACATGGTGAAACCCCATCTCGACTAAAAATACAAAAATTAGCTGGGCATGGTGGCGCATGCCTGTAATCCCAGCTACTCGGGAGGCTGAGGCAGGAGAATCGCTTGAACCCGGGAGGCAGAGTTTGCAGTGAGCTGAGATCACACCACTGCACCCCAGTCTTGGCAACAGAGCAAGACTCTGTCTCAAAAAAAAAAAAAAAAAAAGAATCTGGGATGTGAGTGATGGAATGTTATGTTGTCATGAAAAATGGTGACATAGCTCAATATTCACTCACATGGAGCTCAGTATGCCACATATGCTTGAATAATCAGGTTGCTTACACAATAGCATGTGAGTGTGACCTCATGGCTGAGAGACTCTATCAGCGTCAAAACAGTCCTCGCAGGTCAACAGTTGTTTCCTCTGAGTGCTTGGGTTTGGGATGTTTTACTTTTTCACTTCTGTTTTCTGAATTTTTAGAATATTTCTACAATGAAACTACATTCTTTTTATAACCAGAAAAAGAAATAAAGAAAAAAGCACTTACATTAATAATTAAATACGTAAAAACAAAGTTACCTAGGAGTCAATTCCAATTACAAGAAATGTCTCTGCCTGACAAATAGGTTTTGTGCCTGAAGCTTTGTATACATCATAAGCAATAGTCACTGAAATGAAATTTCAAGGCAGCAAAGGAATTTATATGGTCTCATGATGTTCCCTCAGGTCACACTGAATAAATATTTGAAATCCCTTGCTTTCTATCATCTTTTCAGCTAGTGAATGTACTTCTTTTTTTAAAAAGAAGGGGAAAAAGGCAAACACTCCTTTTCACAAAAACTATGAATTTGTCTTTTATAAAATAACCAACACAAATGAAAATGGCCCAACATTAGTTTTGAAATGCAGAAAAAGGGAAATAATGAGCTTTTGAAATGTGAATATGTAGGTAAGATCAAGGATATTAACAGGAAAACATGTTTCATATGATTATCTGTACCTTTTCCACGAAAATATTTCAAGTAGAACGCACAAAACAAACTGCTCAGTTCAAAATAGTTTACTTTCAATTCCTATTTTGATTTTTATAATGAAAAATGAAATTCAAAAAGTCAAGGAGGAGCAGGGGTAATAACAACATAATATGAGAAACAAAAGATAAAGCACTGCAACTTGTTTGACTTTATCTTGTGTAGAGTCGACTAGTTTGCTCTGCACTGAAAATAAAAACTTATCTCACACCAAATAAAGAAATGCCAAATGAAATGGACGAAATGTCAAATGTGAGAATAGGATGGATTGAGGGGTACGAGGAGAGAGATAAATAGGGAAGAGTTTTGTAAATATGTCTGCTTGATCAAGTAGATGTTAGATGGTGTCTTACCCAGCAACTAAGACGTATTTTCCATCTGCTTGATCCTTTAACCTTTCTAGCACGGACAAACGTACTTTGGCTTTGCTTTTGCCATAGATTTCAATTTCATCTGCAAGCAATCCAATCTCCTTGGCAAGGACATCCACAGCTTTTGGAGTTTGTCCTCTTGAAATCTCAATGTCACTGAGGGGAAAGACAATACGAAAGAGAGAAAAGGCTTCTCAGCTTAGGTGGTCACAACTGGAGTGAAAACAGCCACACATCACGCCAACGATGAAATCAATGCAATTACTTTGGGGTCCTTTCTCCCAGGCAGTAATAAGCACAACTGCTAATAATTAACGTGTATGAGAAAATGGTGTATCATTTTAGAAATGCAACTCCAAAAAACTCACAAAGATCCTAGAATTGTGTCCAGGTGGAAGTATAACACCTATGGCATAGAGACAAGAACAGCATATTATAATGTGTCCAAAACCCTCCTGCAAGTGTGATTCGACTACAGAGCAAAATGCTCTGTATGGGCCATCATGGTATTCATTAGCGATGAATAGAGGGTCATTGCATAATAATCTCCGATCGGGCTGGCCACATGTTTCTCTTGGCTATTCAAAAATGTGAACATTACTATCACATTAGAGATTAAGTACAAAAAAAAAGAAAAAATGTGGAAATGCTATTTCGTTTTATCTGTGTCCACACTTCCCCCTCTCTATTTACAGTCTAAAATCATATTTCAAAATGTTTTATTAATTACATAACTGTCGGTAAAAGGACCTAGTGCCCTGAGCCCAAGTTCAGACAGGAAATTGTAGGAACTCCAGAGAGTCATTGGGCACGTAACTGAACTCTTCTATTTTACTGGCCACCACTGCTCGTCTTACAGGAGTGGTCTGGATACCAGCATGTGTAATGCTGGACTCTTTCCTCTGGGGCTCATGTGCTCAGTCATTTCTTTGCTGGGCAGTCAGGCCCTTCATGTGTCTGAGAGTGAGAGATGGAAGGCACACCTGTTCCCCCAGCAGCAAGACTAACCCCGGGAGACCACGCGGCGGGGGACTACCCTTAAAGGTTGCATCAGAGAGGACAGCTATTCCTTCACTCACCCCAGAACACTTATTTTTGTTGTGGTCTGCCTCCTTGCGGTGGGCAGATCAACCCCCTCAGTGGACTTTAGTCAGCCCCTTGGCCCTGACTGTTTCTGTAGCTACTGCAGGTAATCTACCCTCAGTGTTCAGACCACCCTAGACTCTCCTCCAGGATCCTGTAGGGGCCTGACCCGGGGGTAAGAGGCAACAGCAAACACACCTCCACCCAGACTTCTCCAAAGGGCACCAGAGAAACTAGGAGTTCAGGTTACCCCCCTCAAGTACCGCTGAGTATTCCTTTCCAGGCCTCCACCTATCCGACCTTTCCTTTCTAGCCTCCTACTTTGTTTTGCCTTCCTGGCCATAGTTTTTTTCTGTCTCTCTCTTCCCACAATCTCCTAAATTGAAGAGCTTAATCTTGAACAATGTGTAAGCTTTTGGCAGGCTGCAGAGGCTCACGCCTGTAATCCCAGCACTTTGGGAGGCCAAGGCGGGAGGATCACTTGAGTCCATGAGTTTGAGACCAGCCTGGCCAACATAGCAAAATCCCGTCTCTACTAAAAATACAAACAAATTAGCCAGGTGTGGTGGTGGCACCTGTAGTCCCAGCTACTCGGGAGGCCGAGGCAGGACAATCACTTGAACCTGGGAGGCGGAGGTTGAGGTGAGCTGAGATTGCACCACTGCACTCCAGCCTGGGCAACAGAATAAGACTGTCTCAAAAAACAAACAAGCAAACAAAACAGGCCTGGCATGGTGGCTCATGCCTGTAAGCCCAGCACTTTGGGAGCACAGGAGGGCAGATCACTTGAGGTCAGGAGTTCAAGACCAGCCTGGCAAACATGGTGAAACCCTGTCTCTACTAAAAATACAAAAATTAGCCAGATGTCCTCGCTTGAACTCAGGAAGTGAAGGTTACAATGAGCAGAGATGAAGCCACTGCACTCCAGCCTGGGCAACAGAGCAAGGCTCTGTCTCAAAAACAAAACAAAACAAACACCTGTAAGGTTTTCTCTTTACTAGCTAGTCACAGAGACATCATCCGATTTTTGGGGTGATTTATAAACTACTCAGCCTGCTTCTCTTTGCCCAGTGGGTCTAGAAATCAATGATTTCAAAGTAAATTCTTCTTGGGGGAGAAAAGGATTTAATTATTTAACAAGAAGAATTTACTTTGAAACTTTGGTACACAATTTGGTGGAATCTATCTTAATCTTTTTTAGCACTTTGTAAGTAGAAATTATTGATTTACTTTTAAAATCTAAGGTCTTATAACAACAAAAATAACTCTAAAATAAGATATTTTATGAAACAGATTGCACAAGCCCAGGGATGATATTACAAAGAATAACATTCCTCATTGCAACTTATATAATTAATGAACAGAGAGCATAACTGAGATGTTTCGTCTATTGCAGGGATGAAAACATGTCCAGGAGGGTCACACCCTCCTAGTGGGTAGAACTGAACCAGGGTGTTCATCTGACTGTCCAAGGAAATGGAGTTCAATTCTATAAAGCAACTGGTTATCAGGTAAAAAATGAGTCAGCCCCGGTGCGGTGGCTCATGCTTGTAATCCCAGCACTTTGGTAGGCCGAGGCAGGTGGAACACCTGAGGTCAAGAGTTCAAGACCAGAGCAAGACTCTGTCTCAAAAAAAAAAAAAAAAAAAAGAAAAAATAAATAAATAAATAAATAAATAAATAAAGTGTCAGTTACTAGAGGGATTTTATCTCCTCGGCACTGTGTGCATTCCAACGTTGCTGGATGAGATTACCTGGGGATGCACACCTAGTATTATGCACACCTGGATAATGGGGGTGGGGCCAATTCCTTGGAGTGGGACAGACACAGATGACTCATCATCAGGCTGGAAAATGCAGCTGTCTGATTCAGACATCATCCCTACCCAATCATTCTAAACCACAAGCTGAGACTATGACCTACAGTTTATATTTCCAAATTTATAGATAGAATATGTAGCTCAGACCTCATCAGAGAGCACTCTGAGGAAAATATCCACCTTGACGAGCACAGACTATTCTATCAGATCGTTCTGAAGAAAGCTGAGCTCAGTTCCCACGTGGAATAATGTTTGGTTTGGACGGTCCTTTATCCCCAGAGTAGAAACCTATATGGCCCTTAACACCAGGCGGATATATACGTGTTGGGCATTTCTGACATTGAAAAGCATATTCCAAATATTACATTACCATATTTTGTCAAATTTAAAACCATTACTTCATGGACCACTAAGAAGAAAAACCACTGCCAGGCCAGGCGTGGTCGCTCACGCCTGTAATCCCAGCACTTTGGGAGGCCAAGGTGGGCAGATCACCTGAGGTCAGGAGTTTGAGACCGGCTGGCCAAAATGGTGAAACCCCCATCTCTACTAAAAATACAAAAATTAGCTGGGTGTGGTGGCGTGCACCTGTAATCTCAGCTACCCGGGAGGCTGAGGCAGGAGAATCGCTTGAACCTGGGAGGTAGAGGTTGCAGTGAGCCGAGATCGCACCATTGCACTCTAGCCTGGGCAACAGAGCAAGACTCCATCTCAAAAAAAAAAAAAAGGGTGGGGGGGGAAAACACTGCCATTAAATATAGGAAACATCATTGAAATTAAATTAATATAAATTAATTTTAAAACATCATTAAAAAACTGCCATTTAATATAGAAAACATCATTGAAATAAAAAAATATGCCTTCTTAGAATTGACAGAACACAGTAATACATTCATTATGATTTAATTTTGGAGAATTTACAATAGAGAAAATAGGGTGGCAATTTAATGAATAGAGAAACTTATCTACCATCAAAACCACAGTACCATGAGTTGTGCTTCTCCCCCATGACTAACTAGGGCTAAGGCACTGTGCTGAGCTGACATCAGTGTAAATAAAACACCAGTGTTACCTTGGCACAGGGGAGAGAGGCTGAAGTTTCAAGCAGTGAAGTCTCCACCGCCTGTGCTGCTGTTCACGAAGCCATCTCCTTCCACTACTGACCATGTTCTTCAGCAGGGATAGAGGGGAAAACATGTTAGAATGGTAAAAGCTGACAGGGCACACACTTAAACCATGGAAATATTGTTTGTGGATGTTACAAAACAAGATTATCGAGTCGCACAATAAGCCAGGAGGATATTAGGAATATTTTTATTCACGTGTAACTAGGTTTGTAGGTTTTTCTTAAAAAGGAAAACGTGAAAACCACTAGTTAGATATACAACTATTCAATATCGCACTGAAGAGTTTGATAGTATTAAAAGAAGCTGCTCTGTTTCTTAAATATGCATGCATGAACTTGATGATCCAGCTTAATTCTATAGTTCCCTTGCAGACTATTAGCTCTTCATACTTACAGCAATGAATCTGAGAATGTTTTTAAAAATGTACATCCAGGGTTATTTCAAGTCACAGGCCAGAACTTCTGACTATGTTCATTGTTTTTGTTAAATTTTAAAAAGAAAAACAGGAAAATGTGAGAAAATACACTATTAAAAAATCCAGGTGTGGTGATGCGCACCTATAATCCCAGCTACTCGGGAGGCTGAGGTGGGAGGATTGTTTGAGCCCAGAAGTTTGAGGCTGCAGTGAGTCAAGATCACACCACTGTACTTCATCCTAGCTGAGATTCTGTCTCTTTAAAAATAAATGAATAAATAGGCCAGGTGAGGTGGCTCATGCCTGTAATCCCAGCACTTTGGGAGGCCGAGGTGGGCAGATCACTTGAGGTCAGGAATTCAAGACCAGCCTGGGCAACATGGTGAAACCCTGTCTCTACTAAAAATACAAAAATTAGGCCAGGTGCAGTGGCTCACGCCTGTAATCCTCTTTGGGAGGCTGAGGTAGGCGGGATCAACTGAGGTCGGGAGTTCGAGACCAGCCTGACCAACATGGAGAAACCCCGTCTCTACTAAAAATACAAAATTAGCTGGGTGTGGTGGCACACGCCTGTAATCCCAGCTACTCGGGAGGCTGAGGCAGGAGAATCACTTGAACCCGGGAGGTGGAGGTTGCAGTGAGCTGAGATCGTGCCATTGCACCCCAGCCTGGGCAACAAGAGCAAAACTCCATCTCAAAAAATACAAAAAATTAGCCGGGCGTGGTGGTGGCATGTGCCTGTAATCCCAACTACTCAGGAGGCTGAGGCGGGAGAATCACTTGAGCCCGGGAGATGGAGGTTGCAGTGAGCCGAGTTTGCGACATTACACTCTAGCCTGGGCAACAAGAGCTAAACTCTGTCTCAAAAAAAAAAAAAAAAAAAAAAAAAAAAATTATCTGGGTGTGGTGGCATGTGCCTGTAATCCCAGCTACCCAGGAGGCTGAGGCAGGAGAATCACTTGAACCTGGGAGGTGGAGGCTGCAGTGAGCTGAGATCGTGCCACTGCATTCCAGCCTGGGTGACACAGTGAGACCCCGTCTCAAATAAATAAATAAATAAATAAATAGATTAAGTGTTCACAAAAGACATCATGTACATGGATAAACTTATACTGAATAGGTTCGTCATCCAATTTAGAAAAGAAAAATGAAGAAAATATAGGACTGCGTGAATGATCAGCTTGGATGCCCAGCTTCCAAATACCATCCTTCCATAGTTGGTATAAAAGAGCAAGCAAATTGAACTACTGAGTAGTGTTATGTATGCATATAAATTATAAGTAAATGAAATAAAAATAAATAAAAATAAAATTTGGCTTTGATGGAAATGTAACTTATAATCCTTACAAAAATGTCTAATGACCCATTTTGAGGTAAAGAGTTTCAATTGTGTATTACCCTGTACATAAGAAAGAAATGAACTAAATGTCACTGCCAGAGGCCACCACTGCTGCAGGCTCCAGCACCATGAGAACACTCAGCTTATATGGTGGAACACTGATGACCTTCGCCTTTAGGTCACACAGGTGGTGGTGGTTTGAAAAAATGCCTCCAAATACTTTAATACTCCTGTCTTGAAGAAGTGAGGACAATTCTCCTTCTCTTGAATGTGAACTGGACTTAGTGATCTACTTCTAACAAACAGGATAAAAGGAAGTGGCGGCACATGAGGTTAGAGCCCAGGTCATCCACACTGCAGACTCCTCCTGGTTGCCTCCCTTGGATTGCTCACACTGGGGGAAGTTAGCTGCCACACTGTGAGCAGCCCTACAGAGAGGTGGACATGATGAGGAACCAAGGCATCCTGCTGATGGCCAGTGAGGAATGAAATACACATGCCCACAGCCATGTGAGTATGCCATCTTGGAAACAGATCCTCCAGCCCCAGTTAATGCCTCAGATGACTGCAGCCCCAGCTGACATCTTCACTTCAAATGCATGAGAGATCCTGAGCCTAAACAATTTGATATAGTTTGGATGTGTGTCCCTGCCCAAATCCCATCTTGAAATGTAATCCCCAGTGTTAGAGGTGGGGCCTGGTGGAGGGTGATGGGATCACAGGGGCTAGTTTCTCATGATGGTTTAGCATCATCTCCCTCGGTAGCGTCCTTGTGATAGTGAATGAGTTCTCATGAGATCTGGTCATTTAAAAGTATATAGCACCATCCCTCACTCTCTGCTCCTGTTCCCGCCTTGTGAGATGCCTGCTTTCCCTTCACTTTCTGCCATTCTTGGAAGCTTGGTGAGGCCTCTCCAGAAGCAGATGCCTGTGTTATGCTTCCTGTAAGGCCTGCAGAACTGTGAGCCAGGTCAGGCGCGGTGGCTCATGCCTGTAATCCCAGCACTTTGGGAGGCCAAGGCGGGTGGATCACATGAGGCCAGGAGTTTGAGACCAGCCTGGCCGACATGGTGAAACCCTGTCTCTACTAAAAATACAAAAAATTAGCCAGGCGTGGTGGTGTGTGCCTGCAGTCCCGGCTACTCAGGAGGCTGAGGCATGAGAATCTCTTAAACCCAGGAGGTGGAGGTTGCAGTGAGCCAAGATCGCACCACTGCACTCCAGCCTGGGTGACAAAGTGAGACTCTGTCCCAAGGGGAAAAAAAAGAACCGTGAGCCAATTAAATCTGTTTTCTTTCTAAGTTAACCAGTCTCAGGTATTTCTTTTTTTTTTTTTTCAGTCTCCCTCTGTCACCCAGGTTGGAGTTCAGTGGTGCAATCTCAGCTCACCACAACCTCTGTCTCCTGGGTTCAAGCGATCCTCCTGCTTTAGCCTCCTGAGTAGCTGGTATTTCTTTATAGCAATGCAAGAATGGACTAACATACCACCTAATCTGCTAATCTACTACCAAATCTCTGACTTGAAGAAACTGTGAGATAATAAATGCCTTGTTGCTTCAGTTGCTAAATTTTGGGATAATTTATTACACAGCACAAGATAACATACACAGTCCCCAGGATGGGTCCCTGCCCCACACTGCCATGTGATCATAGGCAACTCACTTCATTTTTCAAAATCACCATTTCTTCACTTATCAAATGGGCCTAACACTGTGTGTGAAGTGTTTAACACTGTACCTGGTAAACAGAAACCACTTGCAAAATGTTAGCAACTATTAATCAAACTTCCAAACTCAAGATTCTCAGACAGCTATGTTGAACAAACCTGAATTCGCAGAGCTGCAGCAAGGAGAATCACATCATCTTCCTCAATGAGTCCACCAAAATGTATTCTTGGAGAGCCACACCCAACCTTCCCTGTAAAAAATTGGAGGGAAAAAAAAGACTTTCAGTACACTGTCATTTCTAACCAATTGCTCCTTGTAAACAGCTAGCACACTGAATAGTGGTCTCATTTTTCACCAAGGAAGTTAGGATGTCGGGGCACGGCTGCAGACTGGTCACCTCTGGCACAGGCTTGGGGCCCTCCATTGGGCCTGCTTCACATTTTACATTAGAGAAATGGCCATCTGGCCGGGTGCAGTGGCTCACACCTGTAATCCCAGCACTTTGGGAGGCCGAGGCAGGTGGATCACCTGAGGTCAGTTCAAGACCAGCCTGGCCAACATGGCAAAACCCCATCTCTACTAAAAATATAAAAATCAGCTGGACATGGTGGCGTGTACCCGTAGTCCCAGCTACTTGGGAGGCTGAGGCAGGAGAATCGCTTGAAGCTGGAAGGTGGAGGTTGCAGTGAGCCAAGATCACGCCACTGCACTGCAACCTGGGCGACATAGCAAGATTCCATCTCAAAAAAAAAAAAAAAAAAAGGCCATCTAAGCTATTAACCTGGGATAAATGGATTTAAAAAATGTAATGAAGCACATCATGTGCTTTCAAAATCATATCTCACACTGAGCCAGGAAGAAACATCTAGGCACACCATCTCTTCACACGAGCCCAAGTATTCTGATTTTTAAATTATGGCATAATTAGAGATAGAAATAATAGCTCAAGAGAATTCATAGCGAACATTTAAAACATGTGGATGCAACATAGACTGCAGATTAGGCCACAGAATTCAGAGTCAGACTTGCATTAAAAGCATACCTCTTCCTCTTGCTAGAAATTGTGATGTTGGGCCTGTTAATTAATGTGAGTAATATCAACCTCCTAAAATTTTGTGAAAATGAAATATGATAAGGTATATAAAGTTCTTGGCATATAGTATGTAGTTTAAACTATTAACATGAAAGTAAGGCTCAGAAGAAAGGAACAGGGATATATATTCTTCCACAGCATAATCTGTCAGAATGACTTCATATCCTAACCTTTAGATTTTTTTTTGACACAGTGGGCTTCATCTTATTAGAAGGATCTAAAAAAATTTTTTTTTTTTATTTTTGAGATAGAGTCTCTCTCTGTCACCCAGGCTGGAGTGCAATGGCACGATCTCAGCTCACCGCAACCTCCACCTTATTAGCAGCTGGGATTACGGCACCTGCCAACACTCCCGGCTAATTTTTGTATTTTTAGTAGACACAGGGTTTCACCATGTTGGCCAGGCTGGTCTCAAACTCCTGGCCTCAGTGATCTGCCCACCTCGGCCTCCCAAAGTGCTGGGGTTATAGGTGCGAGCCACCATGCCTGGCCTAGAAAGCTCTAAAATCTTTACTGTACAATACATAGAAAAATAGAAGCACTTTCACTTGTGGATGCAAAGCGTGAGAAGGCAGATGAAAACACTCACAGGGTAAGACTGGTCAAAGTGTTACATGAAAGATCAGGCTTTTTTGATAATTTAAAAATTCTCTATCATAGAAGTTATAGAACCGGCCAGGCATGGTGGCTCACGCCTGTAATCCCAGCAATTTGGGAGGCCAAGCCGGGTGGATCATCTGAGGTCGGGGGTTTGAGAACAGCCTGACCAACATGGAGAAACCCCATCTCTACTAAAAATACAAAATTAGCCAGGCGTGGTGGCACATGCCTGTAATCCCAGCTACTCAGGAGGCTGAGGCAGGAGAATCGCTTGAACCGGGAGGCCGAGGTTGCAGTGAGCTGAGATCGTGCCATTGCTCTCCAGCCTGGGCAACAAGAGCAAAACTCCACCTCAAAAAAAAAAAAAAAAAAAAAAAAAAAAAAAAAAAAAAAAAAGGGATAGAATCAATTTTCCATCAAAACTAAAAAATTGCATTTTAGGGTATTAACTTTAGGGATTACCTGATTATCAACCTAGAAAGATGTTGATAAGAATTCTACTTCTGGCAGGGCATAGTGGCTCACGCCTGTAATCCCAGGACTCTAGGAGGCCGAGTAGGGTGGATCACCTGAGGTCAGGAGTTTGAGACCAGCCTGGCCAACATGGTGCAACCCCATCTCTACTAAAAATACCAAAAAAAAAAAAAAAAAAAAAAAAAAAAAAAATTAGCTGGGCGTGGTGGTGCACACCTGTGATCCCAGCTACTAGGGAGGCTGAAGCAGAGAATCGCTTGAACCTGGGAGGCGGAGATTGCGGTGAGCCGAGATCACACCACTCACTCCAGCCTGGGCAACAAGAGTGAAACTCTATCTGAAAAAAAAAAAAAAAAAAAAAAAAAAAGATTCTACCTTCCTTCCTTCATCACTTAGAAAATTTATAAAAGTAAACACACATGCTAAATACTTTAGCCTGCATCCTCCCTTAGAGAAAAGAAATATTTCTAATAGCAACATTTTTGAAGACACTATTTTCTCCTTCTTTGGATCACTCTATTCTTAAACTGTATTAGGGTGTTGGGTAATCATATAATCATATCCCTTGGGTGTTATTTAAAGATTAGCAACACTTCAGCTTTATGAATCATATTTAGGCAAAAGCCAAGAGTCTAGAGGATGAGAGAGAATTGTTGTGTTTCGTTTTAACCACTAGAGATCTGTACTTAAGATCGTGTCCACAAACGGGCCTCTCTCAATCCTCTATCTTTAAGCGATGGAGAAATGAGAAAAAGCATCCGGGTGCGGTGGCTCACGCCTGTAATCCCAGCACTTTGGGAGGCCGAGGTGGGTGGATCACTTGAGGTCAGGAGTTCAAGACCAGCCTGGCCAACAAGGTGAAACCCTGTCTCTACTAAAAATACAAAAAAAAGTTAGCCAGCTGTGGTGGCAGATGCCTGTAGTCCCACCTACTCAGAGGCTGAGGCCAGCGAATTGCTTGACCTCGGGACCCAGAGGCTGCAGTGAGCCAAGATTGTGCCACTGCACTCCACCCTGGGCAACAGAGTGAGACTTCATCTCAAAAAATCTAAAAAAGAAAAAAAGAAAAAAGAAAAAGTTACATTCCAGGAGCTGGTATCAACTTATAAATGCATATTTCCAGAATTTAATCACAAAATACCCTTGCGAGTGAAGAATATTTCACTTCCAAGTTTACAAGATAAGTCCTGGTATAGTTCAGTCACTTGCATAGCATAGAACTTAGCAAAAGTGTGGATATTTTATTTTGAAAAGCTATATGATTCCTGATACATCTAAAGTTTTCAGCAATGTGTAATCTTTTGGCTTCCCTGGGCCACACTGGAAGAAGAATTGTCTTGGGCCATAGCCACACATAAAATACACTAACACTATGATAGCTGATGAGCTAAGGAAAAAAAAAATTGCAAAAAAAATTTCGTGTTTTAAGAAAGTTTATGAATTTGTGTTGGGCTGCATTCAAAGCTATCCTGGGCTACATGCGGCCCACAGGCTGTGGTTTGGACAGGATTGGTTTAAAGCATCTTGCAAATTTCAACAAGCATAATGAGCCATGTAAGAAGATATAATTAACAAAACAAACTCTTTGAAAGTGTCTAGCTGAAGATGGTAGGTGGTACACACAACACTACCCTCTATTTCCAGTCGAAACTCCATTCAAAGTGAATAAAAGATATGTTAAAAACAAGTAAGTCCGTAAGAGTTAAAAGGGTACCATGAATGACATTTGAGAAATTTGTGGAAGAGAGAGGCAAGTAGGGTCGGATTGAGTAACCACAGGAGAGGAATTTAAAACACCCCAAAATAACAAAAGCCTGAGATAAGGAAGAGCCATTTCTTCTTCATGGACCCTGGATAAGCCCAAAGCTCACAGTCAACAAATATCGAAAGCAGGAACGCATAAAAACTAAGTCCTTGAAACACCAAAGGCTGTCCACCGGCAGCTAGGTAAGGTGACTTTATTCACATACAGTGTTGCTTTCTGATTATTACTGTTATTATTTACAGAGGGTCTTGCTCTGTTGCCCAGGCTGGAGTGCAGTGATGTGATCACGATCATTGCAGCCTTGACCTCCCAGGCTCAAGCAATCCGTCCACCTCAGCCTCCTGAGTAGTTGGGATTGCAAGGGTGTGCCACCACACCTGGCACATTGTTAAGTTGTTTTATAGAGACGGGGTCTCACTATGTTGCCCAAGCTGGTCTTGAGCTCCTGGACTCAGGCAATCCTCCTGCCTTGGCCTTCTGATTTTTACGTACAGTAGGCTAAGGTTTACTACCTGCAAAATTAACTTTTGGTCCTTTTAATTACTGTTTTTTAATTACAAGCAATTAAAATTACAAGTAATTAAAAACACTTTTTTTTGAGATAAGGTCTGGCCCGATCACCCAGGCTGGAGTACAGTGGCACCATCTCAGCTCCCTGTAACCCCCGCCTCCCAGGCTCAAGCCATCTTCCCACCTCAGCCTCCCAAGTAGCTGGGACTACAGGCGCATGCCACAATGCCTGGCTAATTTTTGTTTTTTGTTTTTGAGACGGACTGTTGCTCTGTCGCCCAGGCTGGAGTGCAGTGGTGCGATCTTGGCTCACTGCAGCCTCCGCCTCCTGGGTTCAAGGGACTCTTCTGCCTCTGCCTCCCATGTAGCTGGGACTACAGGCATGTGCCACCACGCCTGGTTAGTTTTTGTATTTTTTTAGTAGAGGCAGGGTTTCACCACGGCCAGGCTGGTCTCAAACTCCTGACCTCAGATGATCCACCAGCCTTGGCCTCCCAAAGTGCTAGGATTACAGGCATGAGCCACAGCACCTGGGCTTAATTTTTGTATTTTTTGTAGAGGCAGAGTTTCACTATGTTGCCCAGGCTGGTCTCGAACTCGTGAGCTCAAGCAATCAGCCCACTTAGGCCCCCCAAAGTGCTGGGATTACAAGTGTGAGCCACCAGACTCGACCAAAAACAACACAATTTTAAGACACAACTTAAAACCCACACTCTCTTAATTATATATAACTCTAGCCTGCACTCAGATTTTCTAATTCAGTTTTAAGACTGCATTCAGGCTGGGCGCAGTAGCTCACACCTGTAATCCCAGCACTTTCAGAGGCCAAGGCAGGAGGATTGCTTAAGTCCAGGAGTTCGAGAGCAGCCTGAGCAACCTGGTGAAACCTCGTCTCTAGAAAAGGTACAAAAATCAGTTGGGACTGGGCGCGGTGGCTCACGCCTGTAATCCCAGCACTTTGGGAGGCCGAGTCGGGCGGATGACCAGGTCAGGAGATCGAGACCATCCTGGCTAACACGGTGAAACCCCGTCTCTACTAAAAATACAAAAAAAAAAACTAGCCGGGCGTGGTGGCGGGCGCCTTTAGTCCCAGATACTCGGGAGGCTGAAGCAGGAGAATGGCGTGAACCCGGGAGGCGGAGCTTGCAGTGAGCCGAGCTCATGCCACTGCACTCCAGCCTGGGGGAGGGAGCGAGACTCTGCCTCAAAAAAAAAAATTAGTTGGGCATGGTGGCATATGTCTGTAGTCCCAGCTACCTGGGGGCTGGGGCAGGAGGATCGCTTGAGCTCAGGATGCAGTGGGCCTGCAGTTGCGCCACTGCATTCCTGCCTGGATGACAGAGCGAGACTCTGTCTCAAAAAATAAAAATAAAAAAAATAAAAATAAGTTCTGAATCCAGAGAATCTCAAGCAATTAAGACTGGCAACTCAGAATCAGACATACATTTTTAATAAATTTCATGGCTAAAGAAAATTAAGAAAGGGAATCATTATTTCACCCCCTGCCCGTGTAGGGGCAGGACTCCATTGGGAGGTTGTCTACGATCTGGGCCTGGGTAATATCCTGGGATCACAGTCCAACGAGGATCTCATCCGAAACCGTGGACGGGTCTTTTCACTTCCCACTAAACACTCTCATCTAACTCATGATTTCTCCAGGGACAAGTCAATGAATCACTTTAAAAGATGGCCATTCTTCTAATGATAATCAAACTTTCTGCAAAAAGAAAATTTAAGGCCAAAGTGTTATCATGCCTTCCTCAGAAATCAGAACCACCCTTTCACTAATATGAGCAGTGCAGAGACCACCCTGGGAACTTTGCCAGAACAATCACTGCAGTGGGAGGGATGCAGGAAAATTCTTCAGCCTTCATGCCATCTCGGCTCTGCGGAAACATCTCAGCTTCTATGCAGTCTGGCCAAGGGCATCCTTCTTATCAAAAAAGCATTCTCCAAGCCCACAGACTTAAATATTTTCTCGCCATCTAGGAGAACAAATTATCCCCAAAATGTATGCGAGGTTTTAAAATCAGGAATGGCTAAAAATTAGAAATCAGTACAGGTAGAACTTGAAAAAAAAAAACAAAAACACTGGTAGCCAGTTTTTCAGTTAAATATATTGACTTTGTAGGATATAAAGTAAAATGCAATAAATAAAATGAGTATCATGATATGGTTTGGTTCTGTGTCTCCACCAAATCTCATGTTCAATTGTAATCCCCAGTGTTGGGGGTGGGGCCTGGTGGGAGGTGACAGGATCATGGGGGTGGCCCTTCATGAAAGGCTTAGCGCCATCCCATTGGTGCTGTTCTCATGATAGTGAGTGAGTTATCCTGAGATCTGGTTTTTAAAAGTATGTAGTATGCACCTCCTCCTCTGATATGGTTTGGCTGTGTCCCCACCCAAATCTCATCTTGAATTGTACTCCCATAATTCCCACGTGTTGTAGGAGGGACCCAGTGGGAGATAATTTGAATCATGGGGGTGGTTTTCCCCATACTCTTCTCATGGTAGTAAATACGTCTCATGAGATCAGATGGTTTTATCAGGGGTTTCCGCTTTTGCATCTTCCTGATTTTCTCTTGCTGCTGCCATGTAAGAAGTGCTTTTCACCTCCCGCCATGATTTTGAGGCCTCCCCAGCCATGTGGAACTGTAAGTCCAATTAAACCTCTTTTTCTTCCCCGTCTCGTGTATGTCTTTATCAGCAGTGCGAAAATGGACTAATACGCCCTCCCTCTCTCTTGCTCCTGCTCTGGCCATGTAAGATATATGTGATTCCCCTTCCCCTTCTACTATAATTGTAAGTTTCCTGAGGCCTTCCAGAAGGCCTTCCAAGCAAATGCCAGCATCATACTACCTGTACAGTCCGTGGAAGTGTGAGACAATTAAACTTCTTTTCTTTATAAATTACCCAGTCTCAGGTATTTCTTTATAGCAGTGTGAGAATGGACTAATACATATCATTTGGTAAAATTTTTGTGACAGTGTTCTTGAGAGTTGCAATCCTAGTTTAAATTATTTGAATTCTTACTGTCAAATGACAGCATATCACTAGTTTTTAAAAGAATGCAATGTAAGACATGATTAAAAAAATTAAAATATTAGTAAACTGATACTAATAAGCTATTAGTAATAACTTAATTTGGACCACTGAAACCAAATTAACAAGGAAATTTATACAGTGCTGCATATTCTAAATGACATGAACCTTTACTTTTTTTAAAAAAAGCAAAATATTAAATACATTGTATTGAGAACTAATTAAAATTTGAAATGGAAAACTGGCAATATACTTCAGGGATAGATCTAGAATATCCAGAATTTACAGGAAAAAATAAATAAAAGAAAACAGTGATAGGTACAATGGATTTTGGAATTACTAAAGTTCAAGAGTCACAAGCAAAGATCCTAATTTTATATCAATTGCTTTGGCATAATGAAAATTACACGGATGTCCAATTTCTCTAAAGCTGACTTTTCTTACATGTTCAGAATTTCATTGGACTTCTTCCTTTCTTGGGTTTGATTTTTCAAATATAAATGTATATTGTGCCAAGATGGAGTCTGAAAGCTGTTTTGTGTGCAGGTGACATGGCAACAAGGAAGTGGAGGGAGGAATGCAGGAAGTGGACCAGCATTTATTGGCAGCTACCATCAAAGAGGCACTGCCCCGAGGTATCATCTCAGTCATTCCTCCCAACAGCCTTGCTCCCAATTTACCCACAAAGAAATTGGGAATCTTATTAATTAATCAGAGAGCTTATTTCCTCAAAGTCACACAGCCTGTAAGTGCAATGCAATTAAGAATTTCTTTTTTTTTTTTTTTTGAGATGGAGTTTCGCTCTTGGTGCCCAGGCTGGAGCGCGATCTCAGCTCACCGTAACCTCCACCTCCTGGGTTCAAGCGATTCTCCTGCCTCAGCCTCCTGAGTAGCTGGGATTACAGGCATGCGCCACCATGCCCGGCTAATTTTGTATTTTTAGTAGAGATGGGGTTTCTCCACGTTGGTCAGGCTGGTCTCGAACTCCCCACCGCAGGTGATCCGCCTGCCTCAGCCTCCCAAAGTGCTAGGATTACAGGCGTGAGCCACCGCATCCGGCCAAGAATTTTTTTTACAAAAACAGCTCCCTTGTCCTTGAGTTAGGTTAATCCTGACTCCAAAGTCCATGTTCTTTCCACTACATTTTTTTTTTAATTTTTTGAGATGGAGCTTTGCTCTTGCTGCCCAGGCTGGAGTGCAATGGCGTGATCTCGGCTCACTGCAACCTCTGCCTCTTGGATTCAAGCGATTCTCCTGCCCCAGCCTCCCAAGTAGCTGGGATTACAGGTGCCTGCCACCATGCCCGGCTAACTTTTGTATTTTTAATAGAGATGAGGTTTCACTATGTTGCTCAGGCTGGTCTCGAACTCCTGACTTCAAGTGATCCACTGGCCTCGGCCTCCCAAAGTGCTGGGATTACAGGCATGAGCCACACCACGCCCAGCCTCCAGTAAGTTCTAATGTCTCCCTTCAGAGCCATACGAGAGAAAGTCTCAAGGTCCCTCGGGACCCCCAGCACATCAGCATCCCAGGGCTCTTCCCCTCTTCCACACTAAATAGAATTACATTAGCTTAAAATGATGCTATAAATTACTCTGAGCCACAGAGTTGCTGTTTTGATACTGTTTTCTGAGCCTAAGACGGAAGACCAGCTTCTCCTTGGTCCCATTTGTTACATCAGTAAATAAGTCCTAATATTTAGGGTACAAAATGATTTTGCTTATGATGAAATCTGCTGTTTAGCAAGCAGGGCACTACAAGAGCAGTGCGTAGTTTTTTCATTTGAAATAATTTTTTTAGGCCAGACATGGTGGTTTACACCAGTAATCTCAGCACTTTTTGGAGGTGGAGGCGGGAGGACTATTTGAGGCCGGGAGTTCAAGACCAGCCTGGGCAACACAGTGAGAACCCTGCCTCAACAACAACAAAAAAAATTGTTTTAATTAGCTGAGGAGGGAGGATTGCTGGAGCCCAGGAGTTTGAGGCTGTGATCGTGCCACTGTACTCTAGCCTGGGCAACAGAGCAAGACTTTTTCTAAGAAATAGGTTTTTTTGGTTGTCTTTTTTTTTTTTTTTAAAGTAGTTACTCTTACAGCTAGAAAACAGAATGTTGAAATTTCCTTGTTTTAAAATCTAAACATTGGACTCATGCAATAGTAGAGTGAACAGAACCAACTAGCTGGGTATAATTGTTTTCTGAGCTCTGTGTCTGGGATATTAGCCATCAGGAAAATCTCTCCTAGGATTACGTATTCCATAAAATGTCTCTACAGAATTGCCTCATCATAAATCACAACATCCCATCTATTTTTACGGGGGTAAGGAGGAGGGACTCTGTACCATGAAGGTAAGAATAAAAATTTCATTATAAAACTCTGTCTTCACCCAGCCACAAGTTTATTAAAAGTTCTTCTCATCTTAAGTTTAAATAAGAGCTCTTTTCTTTTTAATATTTCAAAAAGTTTATTCATTTCTTTACAGTAGTGGGATTATGAAAAAAAGAGGGGAAAAAAAACCTTTCTCCATTATTCCTAGATCAAATTTTCATACTAAACAAAGTTGCTAAAATTAAAACTTGTAGACTATTTAGAAATGTGCTATTATGGGTAGCACCACCCCGAAACTGTTCATCTGTTTCATCAACATAGCATTCCTCATCTTTATCTCAATGACTGCCTAGTTGAGCCCATTTTTTTTTCTTTTCTTTTTTTTTGAGAAAAAAAAAAAAGCTCTTGTCATCCAGGCTGGAGTGCAATGGTGCAATCTCGGCTCACTGCAACCTCCACCTCCTGGGTTCAAGCCATTCTCCTGCCTCAGCTTCCCGAGTAGCTGGTATTACAGGCACCTGCCACCAAGCCCAGCTAATTTTTTTGTATTTTTAATAGAGACAAGAGTTTCACCATGTTGGCCAGGCTAGGTCTCAAACTCCCGACCTCAGGTGATCCACCTGCCTCGGCCTCCCAAAGTGTTAGGATTACAGGCGTGAGCCACTGTGCCTGGCCATCAGCCCCATCTTTAAGTGGGAGACAAATTCAAGGAAATGTTTCTAAACATGCCACTAACTTAAAACTACAAGCAGAGTAGAATTTTGATTCATGCTTATTAACTTGTCAAACACTCAATATTCACAGAGTTAGCCAGGCCCAGTGGCTCATGCCCGTAATCCTAGCACTCTGGGAGGCCGAGGTGGGTGGATCACTTGAGGTCAGGAGTTCGAAACCAACCTGGCAAACATGGTGCATCCACACTTCTACTAAAAATACAAAAAAAAAAAAAAATTGGCCAGGCGTGGTGACAGGGACCTGTAATCCTAGCTACTTGGGAGGCTGAGGTAGGAGAATCACCTGAACCCAGAAGGTGGAGGTTGCAGTGAGCCAAGATCACACCCACTGCACTAAAGCCAGGGTGACAGAGCAAGACTCTGTCTCCAAAAAAAAAAAAAAAATTTCACAGAGCGGTTACTAAGCGTCAGGTACTATTCTGGACACTGGGCATTCAAAAACCAACAAGAAAACTATTACAGTTGGGCCAGATAAATTTCAAATAAATTCTACTTATAGAATCATTTTGAAATACACAGACCATCCCTGATTTACAACCTTTTCACTTACTATTTTTCCACTTTATGATGGTGGGAAAGGGACATGCATTCAGTAGAAACTGTGCTTTAAATTTTGATCTTTTCCCAGGCCAGCTATACAAAGAACAAGGCTGTCTTGAGGCGCTGGGCAGCAGTGACAGCAAATCGTGGTTTCCGGTCAGCCATGCAATCACGAGGCCAAACAACCAATACTCTACAGCGTACTGTGCTGCCAGCATTTTTGGACGTTGTTTTCTGTTTTCACATCCCATCCTGGCTACAAATGCCCATTTTTTACTAATGATATTTTCAACTTCTGATGGGTTTATCTGTGCATAACCCCATGGTCAGTCGAGGAACATCTGTAACGCCTTGGTCTTTTTTTCCCCCAGAGAATCATTACATTGATATCTAATATTTCAGGGAATACTTTTTTTCAAAAATAAGGGTCCTAAAAGGAAACCTTATTAAAAATAAAGCACTTTCACTAACAAAATATATGTCACTGTCATATAACCACAGAGCTCAAAGAGATTCCAGAACATCAAAGTAGACTCCTATCTCCAGCCATGACTGCCAAAACTGTCCTACATGAAAACTTTAATAAAACACAGCAAGTAAATATTACAGCAAAGCAGCATTCATTTACAAGAAACAAATGTTGGAACTGATTTTCCTAATCTGACTGGGATGCTGAACAGAGGAAGCCCTGTCCACTATTAATAGGTTAGGCTTTGTTTTTTTTTTTTTTCAGGGGAAAAAAAGTTATATGAATAAATTACACATATTTTTAAAATGTTATTTAGTACATGCTTTCTGTTTGTTAAAAAGAGCCATTAGGGCCACAGCTCTTAATGCCTCTTTCCTTGGACTCTGTTCCATTCCACCCTCTCCAGCCCCCAAGGGGTTTTTAATCTGATCGGTCAATTCTGGCAGGAGCTACATTTCCTAGAGAGGAGGGTCAGTAACAACCTCTGGCTAGGGCTCATGCTTTTATGGAGCTGCCTACAAGGTTTCAAGATTTCAACCTCAAGTATGGTCCTGGTGGAGGAGAAGGAGAGCAGAGGCTGCCAACCTTGGTGCATGTTCTGCCCAGCTTTAGGGATAAAAGCTGCCCCTGTCCTCCAGCCCAGCTCAGCACAGTCCTCTCTTCCACACAAACATTTGGAGGCCAAAGCCAGAAGGAATCAGGAAGAGGGGCTCTCCTCTGCCTCCCTGTGCCATCGTCTCTGGCTCACCTGTGCTACTCAGGGACTTGCTGAGGGCCTGGGTGTGCTCCAAGGCTTTCTTAGCCTCAGTCCTTCTACGAACTGGAAAAAGGAACCCACTCTGGGCCGGCTCCTGCTGGACCCGGGGCTGCTGGCTGCCCTGTTGCGGGCACTGCTTGGGCTGCCCCCAAAGTGGGCCTGGTGTGGTCTTGAGTATTCCTGGATACCTTGGCAAAATGCCATCAAATAGCAGGACCAATCCTACAACAGTTTCTGCATCTAGTGGTGATTTTCATACTGTTCTGAGATGACTCTGGGGCTCCAAGGATGTGCTTCATGGGTCAATGCAAGAGGAAATCAGGGAGACACACAGGCTGATCCTATTCCCATCCCTCCCAACAATCCGGCGCTCATCTGCTTTTACATAGTGAGATTCCACGAAGATTTCTTTGGAAGAAAGGGTTTTACTAATTTTTAAGAAACTGTGAAAACCGCTATTTCTAGTTTACCTCACACACATACAAATCATCTACTTGAGGTCACAACTGACCTGACTGCTAGAGGCCAGTAGGGGGCACTTCACTGTGGGAGCAGACACCTCAACCGCCATCTTGGTCTCTCTTTGCTCAACAGCATGGTTCTATCAGGTAGCCCACAGTCTAAGTTTCCTACCCTATATATTAATGTTGACGACTGCTAACATTTCAGAAACATAACCTCTTAGGAAAAGGTTAACATTTCTTTGAACTATCTGACCTAATCAGTGGCTCAACACCAATGTGAAGACATTTACCTGACAGGAAGTCATGGGAGCAGTTGAGAACAGTAGTTCCTGGTTGTATCCAAGTAAGGGGAATCTCTTCTGGCTTAGGTGAGCCTAGGACCACAATGTCAGCCTCGTGAAGCTAAAAGGAGAAAGAAAAAAACACGCACATCTTGATCTGAGGCATAAAGACACAAGTAACTACTGATGTCAAATGAGTTCTACACAATCCCAGATCCACAGCTTTGTTCCAAGCTGCTGACAAGGATGGAATCGCTTTACTAATTCCTTTCAAGCATGTATTAATACAAACAGAAAATGATTATCATATCCTAGAAAGAAAAGAAAATAGGACTTAAAAAATGTCTTCAGGGTAGTCACTTCAGCATACATACTGCATGGAGTATTATCATTTACATGTTTTCACCACTAACTATAATATCAAGAAAAAGGATGGGGCAGCCGGGCATAGTGGCTCACACCTGTAATCCCAGCACTTAGGGAGGCTGAGGCAGGTGGATCACGAGGTCAGGAGTTCGAGACCAGACTGGCCAACATGGTAAAACCCTGTCTCTACTAAAAATACAAAAATTAGCCAGGCGTGCTGGTGGGGGCCTGTAATCTCAGCTACTCAGGAGGCTACAGCACGAGAATCACTTGAACCCAGGAGGCAGAGGTTGCAGTGAGCCGAGATCACACCACTGCACTCCAACAACAGAGCGAGACCCTGTCTCAAAAAAAAAAAAAAAAAAAAAGAGGAAAACAAGGGCTAAGGCCATGAGGTCTGGCTCACACAGGGGGCTTGCTGGCCTGTATAATGGCACCATCACAATGAGACCCCTATAGAACTGTTACTATACCCATGAAAGGACTTTCAGGAGCTTGAGAAAGAATTTCACTTTCTTTGAGGCCTTGGTTAGTCTCTTGTCCAACCATTCATTTTTTTGCCCTAAGAAAGTAGAAAGAATGCAACCACTCCAACAAAATGCATTGATCGTGTCCATCCTATTTGCATTTTGATCATCCAGTGCGGGAGGAACATGTCTGGTAGGAAGTTGACATTAAGACAAAAAGGTAGGCAAAGAGGTTGGCTTTGACTTTAACCAAAGAATGACCAGCTAGCTCCCCAGGCCCTACTGAGCAACTGATGATTTCAAACTGGATCCCTATGCAGAGGGAGGGGTGAATAGGAATATTAGACTTGCAGAAGAGAATAGCTATAATTGTACAGGTCAGCTAGATGTTGTAAGTATTACACCATTGAATATTCCAAAGGAGTGAGATTGGTGTTACTATGCTCATTTAACAGACTAGGAAACTGGGGCTCTCAAGACATAAACAGCTCTACGGTATGTCCTGTGTCTCCTAGTGAATTCAGTCTTAGAGATTCTAGTGAACCTAGGCAGCAAGAGGGCGACTGATGGTCTCTTCCCCCACTGTCTTTCCTGCGTATTTTGATGTCCTGCAACTAACCACAGAGTCTCTGGGGTCAAACAGACAGAGGGGCAGATTACAACACACAAAAGCATCCCCAGTGTCACTACCCCCACCAAACCACCAAATAAACGTGTTGGGGACACCCTTATCCATTCTCAGCTTAGACAGGCTGATCATTAAAGATCCTGTAGAAGAACCAGGACAGCTCCTCAGCCTGAGGACTTTTAACACTATTTGGGCAAAAGGGTGCATCAGGTGATGCCTTTTAGAAATCTTGGGACAAGAGATGGTAATGGGAGCAAACCCATGACAGTCCTACCTGGTTTATGAACAGAAAAGCCAAGATCAAGGACAGATCCAAGTCCCCTGACAGAGGAGGAGCACGATAAAAATGTAAATGCATGTCTTTTCATAGAGCTGACAAAGTCAACTTTTAAAAGCTAATACCTTGGAAATATTTGATCAATTTGACCATGTAAATAGGGAAAAGTGTATTAACACTGATTGATTATCCATTAATAAGCCAAACAGTATTCCCTGCTTTTCAGCTTCTGGCTGTATGAATCTACTGTATTAATCATCTTCAAAAGAAAAGAGAAAGCCCTACTAAAACCTTTGCCGAGGCCAGACCTGTTGGCTCATGCTGCCATGCTGGGTAATCCCAGCACTTTGGGAGGCCAGGGTGGGAAGACTGCTTGAGCCCAAAAGTTTGAGAACAGCTTGGGCAACATAGTAAGGCCCTGTCTCTACAAAAATAAAATAAAATAAAAATTAGCCAGGTGTGGTGAGGCATGCCTGTGGTCCTAGCTACTTGGGAGGTTGAGGTGGAAGGATCGCTTGAGCCCAGGAGGTCATGGCTGCAGTGAGCTGTGATCGAGCCACTTCACTCCAGCCTGGGCAACAGGGCAAGACCCTGTCTCAAAAACAAAACAAAATCAAAAGCAAAACACATTTGCTAAATAACCATTCTTCTGTGCCACAGGGCCAAAATACCACTAAACCTCACTAAGAACTTTGCAGCCAAATGAGAATCACTTGAACCTGGGAGGCAGAGGTTGCAGTGAAGCCAAGATTGCACCACTGCACTCCAGCCTGGGCGATGGAGCAAGACTCTGTCTCAAAAAAAAAAAAAAAAAAAAAAAAAAAAAAAATTTTGCAGCCAATATCACCAGCAATCTAGTCCCTTAAGCCACCTATGATCTCTACAGATCTGAAAAACAGCTAGAGTTCCAGGTAATAGTATATTTAGGGAGAAAGAAATGTTCTAGTGGAAAGAGGATTTTAAACATCTGTATAAAAAATTTTATTTCTTCATTTATATATAGTACTGTCAAAAATTCAACCACAGTAATCCTCAAGAGAAATACAAATGTTTAAGCTTTGTCGCAGTTCTGCAGATAAGAAACGCCATTTTGCTAGATTTTCAGGCAGAATAGCAGCAAAACCAGAACACGGTAAAACAACTGTAAAAAGGAGGTTAATATGAACAAGGCTGAAATGTTCATTTTGGAGAAAGCCAAGGATCACAGGTTCACACAAGTCCCCTAAGAACAGTTAGTTTCCTACACGTGGTGTCTTTGATACAACCTGTTCTTTTCATTACCTATAAATCTTGGAAATCTCATTCCGACCCCTCAACTCCATACCTACACACAACTCTAAAGTGGGCTGTGCTCATCTGCAACTGGAGAACAGCTAATTCCACAGAGAAAACACAAAAACCTCCTCCCTTAGCAATGATTGCATCATAGATGTTAATTCTTTCTGGAAAGGAAAAGTGCTAGATGCTTAAATCAGTAAATAGCCTGCCCAGGACAAGGGAAGATTTTAATGAGCTAAAATTCAAGGAAAATTATCATCTCACTTGTTCCTATTTTCCTCCTCCCAAATGGGAGAGACCCTGGCCAAAGCTTGGCTTAAAACTCTATCTCATAACAAATTATTGCTTTCTCTGCTGAGACTTGAGTGGAGCAGCTTAAAGCAAACCACCCCACTCCCCAGGCAGACAAGTGAATTTTAAACAACAGTAAGACACAGATATGCAGACACTTAACAGGGAGCGTGTGGGGGTGCAGTAGTTTAGATAACATGAAGACGAATTTTCTCAAAGTCATGAATTTTTAAGCTGGAGGGACAAGCATCTGAATATAAAGAGATGGGGGAAAGGGAGGACAGATGAGATTTGGAAAGTTATACAGAATATTATAATTTTGTATTTAGCAAATAAAATGCATTAAAATGTTTTAAACTAAATACAGCGCTACCCTCTTGACTAGAAGACAGTATGTATCTTCTGCTATCAATGTGTTTTGAAACAGTTCATATCATATGAGAATCTGAGGTATGAGATCTGTATATATTTCAAAATCCAGAATGGGTAAAAAAAAAAAGATATTTTCTAAAGAATTGTGGTTTATATCACTTGAGACCTATGAAAACTGTTTCTATGTCCTTCAAATGTTACCAACACAGTTCAGAAAACCAAGTTAAATTCCTCATGAGGGTCAGCTGAATAAAAAAGAAAGAAAACAATGTTCAAAATGATGAACATTACTTTAAAAAATTAACAGGTAGGTTCTTTGTCCAGCAAGGATGTGCTTCTGAAATTACAATAACTAAAGACATTGGCATTCTCAACTAGTGCCTGAGTGATGGCCAGTCAATGGTCAGACACAGAGAACAGAGCAGGGTCTGGAGGGCAGGGAGGGGGCTCTACCACACTGAGGTGGTCCCTTGCTTGATTTTCACTCTCAATGAACTGGGACACACTGTAGTTTATGTAGTTTATGTGCGCCCAGTTAAGTGGCTTTATGGGTTACATTATGCTCCACGGCAGATTCTTCACAAGGCTTTATTTAATTAATTTATTTATTTTTGGAGACGGGGTCTCACTCTGTCCTCTAGGCTGGAATGCAGTGGCACTGCAGTCTCAGCTCACTGCAGCCCTGACTTCTGGGCTTAAGCGATCCTCCTACCTCAGCCTCTAAGTAGCTGGGACTATAGATGTGCTTCACCATGCTCAGTTCATTTTGTTTTTTAAATATTTTTTGTAGAGACAGGGTTTCACCATGTTGCCCAGGCTGGTCTTGAATTCCTGGGCTCAAGTGATCTGCCCGCCTGGGCCTTCCAAAGTGTTGGGATTACAGGCGTGAGCCACTGTGCCACATGCTTTATGATCAGACAGGGCATGTCCATGAAAATCTTAGGTAGTAAGGGGACTCCTAGACTACCTTGTGGCAAAGTTTCTATAAAGAGTTAGATGTCACTTTTCTAAGAAAAACATCACTTTTCTCAGATGTCAAAATGTGTGCACTTTTTCTTTTCTTTTCTTTTTTTTTTTTGAGACGAGTCTCACTCTGTCGTCCAGGCTGGAGTGCAGTGGCGCGATCCCGGCTCACTGCAAGCTCCGCCTCCTGGGTTCATGCCATTCTCCTGCCTCAGCCTCCCGAGTAGCTGGGACTACAGGCACCTGCCACCATGCCCGGCTAATTTTTTGTATTTTCAGTAGAGACAGGGTTTCACCATGTTATCCAGGATGGTCTCGATCTCCTGACCTCGTGATCTGCCCGCCTCAGCCTCCCAAAGAGCTGGGATTACAGGCGTGAGCCACCGCGCCCGGCCGCACTTTTTCTTAATATAGAAAAGAAGCTGTCAGGTTGGGCTACAGTATGTGGCTCACACAGTCAGATGTGTTTTAGGAAGATTCCTCTGGAAGCTGGATTGAGAATGCCTTAGAAGGGGTAGGAGGAAAAGCAAGATACTGAGATCTCCTGGAGGAGGCGTCTGCAGGAAGCTGGGGGCCCGGGTCTGGAACTGAGAATGGCCTGGGAGCATGCGGATGCGGGTCGGGACACACAGCATTTAGGTGATGGTTAAAACCAGAAGTGTGGATTCCCCAGGGGAAACTGGCAGAATGGGAAGGAAAGCAGGTTAACAGACATCCTTGGGGAGCACTAATCTTAAATGGTTAGAGATAACGAACAGATGATGGAGACCACCATGTCCTGGTGGCTCAGGAGCTACGAAGGGCAGGAAGGGGCATTTTCATTCAGGCTAAGGGAAAAGGGTGTGGCCAACAGGTTTATATGACAGCTGTGGTCAAGCAAGATAAAAGCAAAAAATACACTTTTGGCAATTAGGAACTACCGGTGACTCACTTTTGGCAATTAGGAACTACTGGTGACTTTGCTACAGAAATGGGCATTAGGAACCATGCCTAATACAGTCCTGCCATTACTGTAGACTGTGTTGCCTGCAAATGGAGATTTCATTCAGGCAGACTGTTTCATAAGCAGATGCCTTGTTTATTCATTTATATATATAAAAATATAAATATATAATATATAATATAATATAAAAAATATATATATATCTATTTTTTTTTGAGATGGAATCTCACTCTGTGGCCCAGGCTGGAGTGCAGTGGTGCAATCTCAGCTCGCTGCAACCTCTGCCTCCTGGGTTCAACGATTCTCCTGTCTCAGCCTCCTGAGTAGCTAGGATTACAGGCGCATGCCACCACACCCAGCTAATTTTTGTATTTTTAGTAGAGATGGAGTTTCCCCATGTTGGTCAGGCTGGTCTCACACTCCTGACCTCATGATCCGCCTGCCTCGGCCTCCCAAAGTGCTGGGATTACAGGCGTGAGCCACTGCACCCAGCCTATGCATTAATTTTTTTTAACTCTGAATGTCTAACTTTGTATTTGAAATTAAATGAACATTGATCATAAGAGTATTGCTTTGTAGCTATGAATCTGTATCTACCTTTCCCCTGCAGTATTAAAACATATCATTAAATAGGAATGTTAAAATAATAGTATAACTACTCTAAACTAAGAACATCAAACCATCTTCATTCAGATGTTGTCGTACTTTGGCAAGATAAGGGGATGACAATTGCAGCAAAAGGTATTTTACCCACTTCACGTCCACCCAGTGATCTCATCCTGGGAGAATTTTTTTCCTTTCAGGAATTGGGTGTGTTTCTTTTATTTCTACTCTCATCTGTGATTAGTAGAACAAATTATTGGCTTTTAAAATTTGAAGACATTTCTTATGATTATTTCATAAATCAAAATGACTACAAGCCAAATGGACATCTGGGAATTAGGATTACAGCATTTTTCTACCAAACTTTTCCCCTGAAAAATAATAAATGACCTTCCTTTTTCTAAATGTTCCTAAGTTCACCTCTGACTTCACCATTCAACTTAATTTACTGCTCAACATATGAGAAGAAAATATCAAAGATATTTAGTTGTGTCCAAAATGCTAGAAAAGACAATTCCTCTGGAAGTAAGCTTCACACTTAAAAAAGTCATGACAGATGATAAAAGGAAAAATGCAGCACCATTCTGGGAATGGATATACTTTAATGACTCATCAAAAATAATTCCCTTTCACAGGAGAATCACTTCAACCTGGGAGGCAGAGCTTGCAGTGAGCCTAGATCACGCGCCTGCACTCCAGCCTGGTGACAGAACGAGACTCCGTCTGAAAAAGAAAATAATAATAATAATAATAATCTTCCCTATACTTTAGGAAAAACATAAAATTCAAACGTGGGGCTAAGAAAGAGAATGTGTATGTAGATGGGGGGTGGTAACAGGAAGCTTCCTTCACATGACAAAGACTTAGAACCAAAATACCTCATTTTGGTTCCTTTAGTACAAAATTAAGGAAATGCTCAAGTTGCAGTTCTCAGGGCAACACCAGGCAAGTCAGGCTCCTAGACGAACAGCAGCCCCGAGGATTTATGCTCATGCTGCAGCCACAAACTTTCATCCATACAGCGTCTTCATATTCATGCAAACTGCCGTTGCAGGGGAAAATTCTGCTTTGCATTTCCTGACATTTATGGTTTTCAGTTCTGAGCCTCACATTGCACACAGACAGATTTCTGCATTCCGTTTCCTTTGAGAAACTCTCCAGGCTTCCGCTGCCTCCTTTGAAAAGTGAGGAATTGAGGTGCAGTGGGGAGAGCACCATGAGTGGAGTCCTGCGACCTGCGTTCAAGTCCAGACACTGCTCCTTGCCAGTGACAATCAGGGTCAAGGCTCTCTGGTGAGTATAACATCCAGTTTGCAGGGTTGCTGGGTGAGTGCGAGGCATATATGAAAAGCCATGAAAAGGAAATCTCCACACACTTATAAGGTGCTTCATTGTTATAGGTTATGTTTAAGACGTTCCCATTAAAAGATTCTAATACTGGCCAGGCGCGGTGGCTCATGCCTGTAATCCCTGCACTTTGGGAGGCCGAGGTGGGTGGATCACCTGAGGTCAGGAGTTCGAGACCAGCCTGACCAACATGGAGAAACTCTGTCCCTACTAAAAATACAAAATTAGCTGGGCGTGGTGGCGCATGCTTGTAATCCCAGCTACTCAGGAGGCTGAGGCAGGAGAATCATTTGAACCTGGGAGGCGGAGACTGCGGTGAGCTGAGATTGCACCATTGCACTCCAGCCTGGGCGAGAAGAGCAAAACTCTGTCTCAAAAAAATTTTTTTTTTAAATTCTAATTCCACGACCTTAAAAAGCATTCACATTGGAGAGGGGGTGGAAAAGGAAGCCAGACTCTGCTGATAGTGCAGAAAAGCAAATGGGAGATGACCTGCTGCCAGTGGGCTGAAGGTGATGCTTCCTGCCTGTTCTTTGTGGGACACAGGCCTGCAGCCCTTCTTCCAGAATTGGGGTAGGCTCTCTTTTGTGCAGTATACACTTCACTGGCCCCTGATGACCACAAAGATTTATTTGTGGTTGGCCACAGGTGACTACAAAGTAACACAAGCGTCATGGAGGCTGAAACTTACCCCACAGCTAAGAAGTGCATTAAAGCTCCAGATGAAGTTTCCCACAGAAAAATCGGAAAGCAAGTCAATATGATTCTACTGCAGTGGAACTGGCTTCGCAATCCCATGACCCTAACACCATTTATACTATTATATCTATGAGAAAATACATTCCATGTTCAGACCAACCTTCAAACATTTAGAACATAATCCAATGAGACTGAAATTAGAATATTTTGCCTAATAAGGTACAGGAAGGGCATCATAAAAGGGAGGTAATGTTGGGAAAACTGGAGATAGATGGTGTTTTAATTATGTTTTTACTCACATATTTGATATAACGACAATACATCATTTCTTCTCAATCTTAATTTCTCAGCTTAAATTCTGAGCCACCTAAGACCAATCAGTCTGTTAATTACATGCCCCCACCCCAACCGGCTTTTTTTTAGATGGAGTCTCACTCTATTGCCCAGGCTGGAGTGCAGTGGCGCGATCTCGGCTCACTGCAAGCTCCACCTCCCGGGTTCATGCTATTCTTCTGCCTCAGCCTCCCGAGTAGCAGAGACTTCAGGTGCCTGCCACCACACCCTGCTAATTTTGTTTTTGTATTTTTTTTTTTAGTAGAGACAGGGTTTCACCGTGTTAGCCAGGATGGTCTCGATTCCTGACCTCATGATCCACCTGCCTCGGCCTCCCAAAGTGCTGGGGTTACAGGTGTGAGCCACCGCGCCCGCCACACAGCCCCTTCTTGGTCTCATGCCCATTAGTTTGAATATATCGTCTCACAAATCCTTCCCTCAACACTGCTAAGTATAATGAATGGCATAAAGTCTAATAAAGTTTTTTTGGCTCTCTAAAAAGTTCTATTCACTTTCTTCCTTGGTATTAACAAACAGAGCAATGATCAGACAGAAGCAAGAGGGGAAAGTGGTGAGCTGACCCCCTAAATCTGTCAAACAAAGCTCAGGGGCCAACACTATTCAGTGCACTTAATTCCACACTACTGATGACCTGGGCTACTGATGACCTCAGCCACTCGCTAAGTACAAGGCTGTGATGCCCAGGAGGGTCCAGTGCTTTTTTCTCCATCTCACCCACAGCAGGCAGGGGAGGGGATGAACTCACATAACTGAGGCTGTCTTGTGTGTCCATCCCTGCCCTCTCCGAAGGTGCTCACCATCCCCTCTGAAAGGGGAGCCTGGAGAGCTGATGATGAGCCCCAGGCCTCAGGGAGGGGACAGCATTCACTCTACTTCAGCTCATTAACAAGTATGGCTCTGGGATTACAAACATCAAAACAAAATAAGAGTGAATTCAACACAAGTCGAATGTCTAGGGTCTTGGTCTCTCTTATCTGAGGTGGCAGGTGCTTTTCGGTTTTCAAGATTAGAGATTAGACTTTATGTGATGATCTGGAATAAGAGCTGACATGGGACAGTGTTAAAAACACAGGCTGTTTTGCCACCTCTACCATTTTTTAATCACATGATCTTTGCAAAGTCTCCTCTCTAAGCCTCAGTCAGTTTCCTCATCTGTAATGTGGGGAGGATGACAGTCCTGCCTAACAGAATAAGTGTGAAGACCACTGAGATAACAGGAGTACAAGACAGTGCCTGGTTCAGAGTAGCCATTCTGTCAATTAACATTGTCTGTCATTACTGTCACCATAGCACATTACTGCTTTAAGTGCATTCCATCCTGTTAAAAGGAGAATTGTCATGTAACTCACTAATGTAGTGCAGTTTAAAAGCTAGAGTTCCTTCCTTCTCCCGTTTGGGACAGACATTATTCTTTTTTTAAGAAGTCATCCTTTCACATGTATAATACAAGTACATTTAGAATTTTCCAATTCACTTTTAAAAGTCTTTCATGAGCCATGCCATGCACTAAATTTAAACTGAAAAGGACTTTGTAATAGTTCAGCTTTGTTCAAAAAAAAAAAAAAAAAACCACAAAAAACCCTAGACACTTTGATCCTTCAAAGGTGAAAGACCTATATTTTTTCCTTCTGTGAATACCAGTTTTGAGGGTCTCTGTGCTCAGGAGGAGAGGGAGAAATGAGATCCTCTGAGAAAAACAAAATAAAACGGTTCTCTGATTTCTAGGTTATTTCTTCGGCATGCAGCTGAGGTTTACCTCATCTCCCAGCTGGAGACCATTTCAGCATTGTCCAGCTGTGCCCTAACCACAGGTTCAGAGGAGACTCCCGAGGGAGCAGGGCCCTGCCGTACCTGCCCACCTCTCCCTTCCGTGCAGAGGGCACCACTCCACCTTGTAAACACCAAATGCAAAACCACACCCACTTCAGACTGGTTTTGGCATCAGAGTGAAATCATCGGGGTCAGGAAGAGGTTACCTCCAAATCTAGGCTCATTCCTGAGAGTGAAACCAACAGTGTCATTCCCCTGCAGGGCCCAGGACGCTGGGTGTGGGGGCCTGCGTTTGGGTGGAGGAAAGGCGGGGGGTTCCCTAGCCCTGCCCAAAAACACTAGCTCCAGTGCCTTGGCTTCCTGACATGTGACACTCCACAGCATATGGCTAATTTGGACAAATGCCCAGGCGTTCTTCCCCTCCCCACCTCTAGGGTCTCCGTGGAAATGCTCAACGCATCTCCAAGCCTGGAAAAGATGCTCAGAAACAGAACAGGAAATTTATTCTCAATTTTCAACCGTACACCTCAACGGGCGTAAGTTACAAAGCTACCAAACACAGAAGTCTATTCTGGTTTCTGTGGAACCCTAAGAAGGTCAATTCTTCATGCTCAGGCTCCGTGGAGATTTTATACCTAATCAGCGTCCACAGAATATCCTTCCGTTTAGACAGACGGACAGAGAAAGGATCGATTTCTATTTGTAACTAACTGGATATAACCATTCTTTAAACCTACAGAGCCTGAAAGTAGTAACTGGCCCATCAGGGATCTCCAGCCGACATGTTTGGAAGTAGAGTGACTTCCAAGTAACAAGAGGCATGGGAAGGAAGAGGTCCACAGCTTTGGAGGAAGGGAGTCTGTGACATCACTTAAAGTTGATAATAATCTACTGAGGACTGGAAGATGAGCCTGACTGGCCAAAGCTGGGCACCTGCTCTGGTTAGTCCCTCCTTTCTCTGGAACGTTGTCTCATGGTAGTCTTGCTTCTGGTTTCACTCCCTTGGCCAATATTCGGCTGGGAGACCTCACAGACAGAGAGCTGGAGACACTCTCTCCTTCCCCCACCCACACAATGGAAGCATTAATACCAGGCTTCCAGTGAAGGACCCTAAGTCACGCTATTTTACTAGTATATCTACTTACGATCTGAGTGATTTGCCTAATTGACCCATATATTTCTCTTCCTCCAGCCTGCACTCCAGGTTGCAGTGCGGTGGTGCAATCTCAGCTCACTGCAACCTCGACCTCCCCAGATTCAGGTGATCATCCCACCTCAGCCTCCAAAGTACCTGGGACTACAGCCACCACGCCTGGCTAATTTTTGTACTTTTTTAGAGATGGAGTTTCGCCATGTTGCCAGGCTGGTCTCAAACTCCTGGGCTCAAGCAATCTGCCCTCCTCAGCCTCCCAAAGTGCTGGGATTACAGGCGTGAACCACTGCACCCGGCCCACATTAGCATTTAATTCCATTCCCACAACTGCCCCATAAAGTAGGGAGTATTATGATTGCCTTTCTACGCGAGGGAACAGGCTCAGAGCAGCAACAGCTAAGGCTTGAGCCCAGAGCTGTGTGTCCCCAAAGCCTATGCTCTACTGTTTAATGAGAACACAAATGTTGTGCCGGACTGGAAACCTTCAAAGGCAGTTTCTAGTGGTTGCAGCAGGCTGCCTGATAACCGGAAGGTCAGCCCACACCGGTAAGACTACCTGTAGTTTAAGAGATGGTAGATAGAACTCTAGTGTTACACAGTCACACCGATGCCCAAACCTTTCACCCTCAGCTTTGGAAATCTCTAGCCAGATGTCCCACAGCAGGTATGTGTTGAGGGGATGGGGGGGTCTTGTTCCATGTCAGGTACAAATAAGCACAACAGAAATGCCCGTCAAAGATAACGTCCTTCTACTTAGTAGCCATAATCCTAAGCTTATTCTCTTTTTTCCTTAACTCTTTTACCATTGCCAATAAGGAGAAGTTAAATAGATTATAATCTTAAAATGCACTTTTATTCTTGGTTGATTAAGCTGGGCAACAAAAATCCCCATGTGGGCCAGGCACAGTGACTCAGGCCTCTAATTCCAGCACTTTGAGAGGGCCATGTGGGTGGATCACTTGAGGTCAGGAGTTCGAGACCAGCCTGGCCAACATGGCGAAACTCCATCTCTACTAAAAATATAAAAATTAGCCAGGCATGGTGGTGCTCGCCTGTAATCCCAGCTACTCAGGTGGCTGAGGCATGAGAATCTCTTGAACCCATGAGGCAGAGGCTTTAGTGAGCCGAGATCGCGCCACTGCACTCCAGCCTGGGTAACAGAGTGAGCCTCTGTCTCAAGGGGAAAAAAATCCCTATCTGTTGTTAAAATTTTTACTTCCAGTGTTTTTCACAGTGAAGCTTTTCCAAGGGTGTGCCAGGTGTCCTGTCCTGATTGGGTGCCCCAGGACACTAACCCATGCCTAGGTGGCTTTTTGCACCACTGTGGCCTCCAGACAGCCATTGAGTGGTACAATCCACATATTACCATGTCTCCATATTACCACGACTCCAAGGAAGGCTAGAATTCCTACTCAGGAAATGAATGGCAAGGGTTTTCTGCCCCATACATTCTTCTTGTAAAAATACAACAACAGAATAGTGACAATTCAAACGTCAGGCAGACACAGGGAGGCATATGGGTTACGGGGAAGTATGTGGCTAGTGAAAGACTAGCTGCTAACATGAAAGACACAGGCTGTCATTTGTGGTGGGACAGGAGCCTGACGTAGGTAGGTAGGCCAGGTAGAGGGGGACAAGTATGGGGCGGGGCTATGAACATTTCTTCCCATATTTTTGGCTACAAAGATGAAGCAATAATAAGAATGAAAGTTGATAGCCTCTAACATTCGCAATGGTGCCACTATAAATACCAAGGACTTAGGGAAAAAAACGTGTGTGCAACATCAACTATGAAAGAGAACCTTCTGGTCCATATGAAAACAAGAATGTTACCCAATGACCAGATTCTCCAGAAAGTGAAGCCACTTAATCGTTCTCAAAGTTCAGATGAGATTCATCCCAAAGTACAGAGACAAGGTGATTTATTCCCGTAATAAAAAAGTACTTTGAAAAATGTCTTTGTTTTTCAAAAATATAGATACAACTAGCAAAAGTATCTGTGACAGCTGCGAAAACATTCAATTGCCAAGGAAGGTATTTTCTCTCTTCACCACAGCTGTTCAGTGCAGGGCACGGTTTATTTTCCTCTTCCACTGAGCTTCCAAATCAAAATTTCTGGGCTCTCAAGTGCAAACTATTGCCCTTGAATTTTCTTGGATAGGCTGCCACCATGTGGTGACTGCTAAAAACGCACACAGGTTCACGTTTCATTGCAAGGCTGCCTTCCTGAGCTGTCTTAACCCAAGCATTACATAAATTGGATCCACCTGCCATGCAAAGATTCCAAATCTGCTGAGACACCTGGCTTCCCTGGCACGATTAC
Source organism: Homo sapiens (assembly GCF_000001405.40). Taxonomy (NCBI): domain Eukaryota; kingdom Metazoa; phylum Chordata; class Mammalia; order Primates; family Hominidae; genus Homo; species Homo sapiens. Next base: position 150,891,936 of record NC_000006.12, on the reverse strand, counting down.
AATTTACTCCTCATTTCCATTCTCACCCTGCAACATGAGGAACATGTATTTTTAGATCACATTCTGTAGTTACTGATTGTACTTAATGCATTCATTTAAAACTTCACTTTGCTTTAGATCTGTGAGCTGTACCATCATTTTTTAAAATGAAAAACAATCATTTCAGACATAGAAATGGAAAACAATAACCTAACATACCTAGACAACACCTATTGCCCAGTTTAAGAAAAAAGGCATGAAGGTGTCTAGGTTTCCTTTCCATCTATATCCACATCCTTGCCTCAATAAATGCTTTTCGGATTTGGTTCGTAGTTTGCATTATTTCTTTATATTTTTACTTCATTTGCATGGAATCCTAATATATATATAAGGATTATATAATTAATACATAATAATATAATATATATTATATATAATCCTAATATATATATTAAACAGTGATCTAAATGTCCTGACCTAAATATATATATTAAGATTCTATATATATATAAGGATTATATGTAATACATATTATATGTATGTATGTATTAGATTACATATATATATATATGTTGTGTTGCTTTCAGACACATATAAATGGTGTTGTATGAAATACATCCTTCTGCAACTTGGGTTTTTGTTCACTGAACAGTGTTTTAAAAAATTCTTCCAGCCCGGGCGCGGTAGCTCATGCCTGTAATCTCAGCATTTTGGGAGGTCGAGGTGGGCGGATCACCTGAGGTCAGGAGTTCCAGACCAGCCTGGCCAACATGGTGAAACCCTGTCTCTACTAAAAATACAAAAATTAGCTGGGCATGGTGGCGCACACCTGTAGTCCCAGCTACTCAGGAGGCTGAGGCAGAAGAATCACTTGAACCCAGGAGACAGAGGTTGCAGTGAGCCGAGTTCGCGCCACTGCACTGCAGCCTGGGGGATAGAGGGAGACTTCGTCTCAAAAAAACAAACAAACAAAAAACAAAACAAGAAAACATGTTGCTATCTACAGCTCTAGTTTATTAATTTTCACTGCTTGTATATCATTGTTTTATGAACTATGACTATGCATACTCTACATGCAACTATACTGATTTATCCTTTCACCCTGATGGGCATTTAGATCACTGTTTAAATACTTGTTGCAGTGCACTTGGTTTTTCAAGTCGCCTGCTTGGCTCTCTTCCAAGTTATACTTTCCTTCTTTCCTTTCCTTACTGTTCTAGAGCTTTTTGCTAGACTTTCCGTCCTGCTCTGAAACTTGCCTCAGTCTCTCCTTCTGCCTTATGGCCCTCAGTCCAATTCTTTCTTCCGAGGAGGCAAGAGCTGAAGTTGCTGCAGAACTGTACGGATACACCAGCACGAACTCGGGATAACTCGAATAGCTGCCACCGGTAACATATTTGGTGCGCGTGACTCAGATACATTCCCTAGTGGTCATCAAGCTCCAGAAGATGCTCAGGGAGGGATACTGTCCTCTCAATATTCAATAGTCACCGTTCCACAGGGGACCGCTGGCCTGCCCATCAGTGAAGGCGAAATCCTGCCCCTGTCTCCCTTGAACCTGGCTAGATACCGCTTTCACCAACTCATGGAGCCAACTCAGCCCTGACAGCAGAAAGGGGCCAAGACCCACAGAACCACCACTGCCCCTCTGTCTTAAACAAACAAACAAAACTTTTTGCACTATAAACATGCTGCTCTGACCATTTGTAAACACACCTTTGTATATATATGGGCAAGTTTTGTCTATTATATATATATATACACACACACATATATATACACTTTTTATTATTATTTTTTTGAGACGGAGTTTCGTTCTTGTTGCCCAGGCTGGAGTACAATGGTGTGATCTCGGCTCACCGCAACCTCTGCCTCCCGGGTTCAAGCAATTCTCCTGCCTCAGCCTCCTGAATAGCTGGGATTACAGGCATGTGCCACCACATCCAGCTAATTTTATATTTTTAGTAGAGATGGGGTTTCTCCATGTTGGTCGGGCTGGTCTTGAAACCCCAACCTCAGGTGGTCTGCCTGCCTCAGCCTCCCAAAGTGCTGGAATTACAGGGGTGAGCTATCATGCCTGGCCATATCATATATATTTAGAGTGAAATTCCTGGGTCAAAGAGTAGCTCAAACTCCATTAAACTGCTTTCCGAAATGCCTATTTCAAATTTAAACTCCCGCCAGCAATATATGAATTCCCATAGCTCCAGACATTTGTCAATATGGCTAACTGGCACTTTTTACCTACTGCCAATATGACTGGTGAGCAAAAACAGCAGGAAACCAGACAGCTTTTCACGTGTCTTTTAAACCTCGGGTTCCTCACCTGTTAGTGGTCTGTCATGTGTCCATTTTTCTAACAGATTGTCTTTGTCTCACTGATTTGTAGGAATCTTTTATAAGACACTAATTATTGGCTAAATGTTTGTTGTAAATATCTTCTACACTATAGCTGTCTTTTCACTTTTTTAAGAACTTCTTTTCAGAAAGAAAAACTTTGGGGTTTTTAAAAATTTGGATGCAGTCAGATTTATATACCTTTTCTTTAGCAATCTGTGCTTTTGGGGTCTCTTAAGCTATCCTTCCAACGCCAACCTCTTAAATGCATACGCCTATATTTTTTTCTATAAGTTTTACAGTTTTGCTTTCCACATTTAGGTATTTTAATATAGAAGTGATTTTTATATGTAGTGGCAGGTTAGTAATCCTATGCTAGACTCATATACATAACTAGTTAAGTCAGCACCATTTTTAATAGTTAATGTTTTAGCTTTTTTTTTTGAGACGGAGTCTCACTCTGTCGCGCAGGCTGGAGTGCAGTGGCACGATCGCGGCTCACTGCAACCCCTGCCTCCCGGGTTCAAGCGATTCTCCTGCCTCAGCTTCCCGAGTAGCTGGGATTACAGGCTTGCGCCGACACGCCCGGCTAATTTTTTTGTATTTTTAGTAGAGACGGTGTTTCACCATATTGGCCAGGCTGGTCTGAAACTCCTGAGCTCAAGTGATTTGCCCGCCTCAGCCTCCCAGAGTGCTGGGATTACAGGCATGAGCCACCACGCCCGGCCTTTAATAGTTAATCTTTTCCCCACTGATCTGTGGTACCTGCTCTCAAGCTTCCATATATGCATAAATTTCCACTTTCTTCTGTTCCGATCGTCTGTTTGTCTACCATATTATCCTAATTACTGTAAGTGCATAATAATTCACACTGTGTGGCTGGGAATGTCTCCCACCTAGTTTTTCCACAAAATTGTCTTGACTCTCTTTGTCCTTTATGCTTCCATTTGGATTTCAGAATCAGACTGTCAAATTCTACAAAATTTGCAGACAATTAGTATCTTTAAGATATTGCATCTTCTCCATGAAGATGATACCTCTGCTTTTATATGGGTCTTCTTAATAATTTTCATCAAAATTATAATTACTTTCAAAAGGTCATAATGCATATTAGATTTACCAAATGACTGTTCTGTACTTACTATGGTGAGAATTTAGTTTTTAATCACAATGTGGTGAATTACAGTGACAGACTTTCTCATGTTCAATCACCTGGAAATCCTAAAATAAACCCTACTTCCTGCTGTATTTGGTGTTCTCAGATTTCGCTCACGATTATTTCATTTATATTCATAGCTGAAACTGGCCTGTTAATTTTCCTTTAGCATGTTACCCTTCTTTGGTTTTGGCACTCATAAAGTCTGTTAGGCCACGTTCCTTCTTTTTCCATTTGCTGGAGAAAAGGATTGTATTAGAATGATCTGTTCTTTGTTTGATAGAGCTCATTTGTAAAACCACCTGTTGCCTTTTCTTGTTTGTTTGTCTGGTGAGTAGACTCATTCAATGTCTTTAATGGATATGGGTCTATTCAATTTTCTTCCTCTAATTTCTTGAATTAAGCACTTAGCTTATACATTTCTAGACTTTCTTCTGTTCTAACAGAAGCCTTCAAGATGTATGTTTCTAACATGAAATTTACCTTGCTTTGAAGCTGGCGTGTTTTCCACTGGATGCTCATTGTCATGGACCCTTTTCTCTGGAACAGGCATTGTAGAGCAGCTTCCAAAGACCCATGGGCCCCCACTACCAAAATCTTCTTTCCATCTAGGTTGACACCTACTAACCAAATGAAAATTCAATATTATACTCAAAACTTCAGATCCTTCCTTTAAGAACTTTATCTTAAGAAAAAAAGACCCTTTTAGGCTGGGTGTGGTGGCTCATGCCTATAATTCCAGCACTTTGGGAGGCTGAGGCAGGCGGATCACTTCAGGTCACGAGTTCAAGATCAGCCTGGCCAACATGGTAAAACCCCGCCTCCACTAAAAATATAGAAAATTAGCCAGGCGTCATGGCACATGCCTATAATCCCAGCTACTTAGAAGGCTGAGGCAGGAAAATCACTTGAACCTGGGAGGCAGAGGTTGCAGTGAGCCAAGATCACGCCACTGCACTCCAGCCTGGGCAACAGAGCAAGAATGTCTCAACAACAACAAAAAACCCTTTTAAAACTTGAACTTTCTCAGCACCAACCTACAATGACTAGGAACTAGGAGTGGGGTGTTGTAATCAACAAAAATTCTCTATTCAAACCCTTTTGGTTCCAATTCCTGTTGCTGAATTTCTTTCCACAATATGTAACTATAACTCACCAGCCTAATTTACTCTTTTCTTTGAGTACTTTCTAATGAAGTGGCTCAGAATCTTCATCTTGATAATCCACGTAATGAAAAAGCACTGTATATATGGATTATTTCATAGATTTGAGCTTAATATTACTGTCCAAAAAGCATATATATCCTGAATGTTAACCTTTTAATAAAACTTTGCCATATATTTTTGAAATTTTTCTTTGATTGTTGGATGTTCAGGGGTAGGGAGGGGCATTTGCTTCATTTCTATTCAAACTGGAGTAGAGAAAAAGATTTAGTTCGTTGAATTTTTTCTTTTCTTTTTTTTTTTTTTTCAGATAGGATCTTGCTTGTTGCCCAGGATGGAATGCTGCGGTGTGATCACAGCTCACTGAAGCCTTGACCTCCCAGGCTCCAGCCATTCTCCTACCTCAGCCTCCCAAGTAGCCGGGACTACAGGCACAAGTCACCACACCTGGCTAATTAAAAAAAAAATTTTTTTTGGTAGAGATGGAGTCTCCCTATGTTCCCCAAGCTGGTCTCAAACTCCTGGGCTCAAGCAATCCTCCCATCTTGGCTCCACAAAGTGCTGGGATTACAGGTGTGAGCTACTGTGCCGGCCCAATTAGTTGAATCTTTATGTTCTCAGAAAGCCCTTAAATATATAAATACTTGGTAGTAATTTACTCATTAAACTTAATAATGAAGAAAGAGAAAATATTCATTTCTATTTCACTGACATAAAAACGCCAAGTCAAGGGGACAACAATGGAAATTAAGTCCTGACTACTGAAAAGCAAGCTGCTCACCAATAAATCCCAACCTAGGCTCCTGTGCCCTAAACTACATCTACCGGCTTCTTCTTCTTCTCTTTTTTTTTTTTTTTTTTTTTTTGAGGCAGGGTCTTGCTATATTGCCCAGGCTAGAGTGCAGTGGTGCAATCACAGCTCACTGTAACCTCAAACTCCTGGGCTCAAGCGATCTTCCCGCCTGAGCCTCCAGCATAGCTGGGACTACACGTGCACACCACCATACCCAGCTAATTTTTAAATTTTTTTTGTAGAGACAAGGTCTCAGTATGTTTGCCCAGGCTGGTCTCGAACTCCTGGCCTGAAGTGATCCTCTGGCCTTGGCCTCGCCTAGCACTGAGATTATAGGCATGAGCCGCTGTGCCTGGCCTCATTTAAGTCTTCAACGTAAGTCTTATCTAAGGCTACATATTGATAGATTTAGTAAGCTGAAACTGGAAGCATATTTTACTGTGGTTATTTTGACTGTTTCATGAGAGAAATTGAGCATGTTTAAAACAGGGCTAATCGTTTATCTCTACTAATTTCTCTTTTAATTTATAAGATGGTCTTACTAGAAAAAGTTTCTAGGTATTCATCTGTATCTCCCAAAAGATGAGAAAAATAAAAAAAGTCAACGTGAAATATCACTTCTATGTTCAATTAGAATCTTCTAGAAACATCCTAAAAGGATATCAGAATAATAATTTAAAAAAATTTTTAATTCTTCCCCAAACAAATCCTTATTAAAAATAATGTAAATACCAATAAATAGAAATCAGCGGCATTTCTCAAGGAGCATCCTACCTGATTTTTCAAGAAGTTCAATTACAGCTTTGGCAACAGGTGAAACAAAACATTCATGGGCATCCCCTCGCACCAGCTTCCCCAGGTTTATGTCTGTTACTCTGAATCAGAAAATAAAGAAGTAGGTTAAGTCAAAGCCCAGCCAAAAAAATCACTCACGTGTAATGTACATATATTAACCCCAAATAACATCCAAGTCAATGTTTGATAGACAGAATACATAAAAATGAATTAAAGAGGACCAGGCATGGTGGCTCACGCCTGTAATCCCAGCATTTTGGGAGGCTGAGGCGGGTGGATCACATGAGGTCAGGAGCTCGAGACTAGCCTGGCCAACATGGCGAAACCTCAACTCCACTAAAAATACAAAAGGTAGCTGGGCGTGATGGCACGTGCCTGTAATCCCAGCTACTAGGGGGCTGAGGCAGGAGGATCGCTTGAACCTGGGAGGCAGAGGTTGCAGTGAGTTGAGATCATGCCACTGCACTCCAGCCTGGGCAACAGAGCGAGACTCCATCTCAAAAAAAAAAAAAAACCCATAAAAAATGAATTAAAGAGAAAGCAGGCAATAAAGGCCATTCAATAAAGGTCTTAGAAAATTCTAAGGCAGTACCTTAGGAAACTTCACCCTGGCCCTGACATTGGGTGTTCCGGTTCTGCCAATATACCAGGACACAGCCTAAAGCCATACAGGGCTTCACTTCGCAACTCCAGGGAGCTCCTTTCAATGGACCCCAATGGACTAGCATCCCTAGAGTTACACAGAAGCATGGTCCTGCAGTCCACTCAAAACCCAGAACCAATCCTATAAATCTGGAGTGACCCAGTAAGACCTGGGATTGAGGCACAGGTCACAGGTCTGATTTCAACTTGACCTCGATATTTATCTCCTTGAGAAGTCGGGGTGGGGGGCAGTGGAAAAAATGAGTGACCACACACTTCTGAAGGGTTCTGTGCCTTTCCCTGTTCAAATCTAGGACAAAACATTCCACAGCTATCTAGCCTAAACTGAGCACGTCAATCTCAGTAACAGAATGGAGACATTTAGAACCATTTTCGTAATTTCTCCTTTTACTCTCTGTTGTTTTTGTTTGGTTGGTTTTTCCTGGCTGGGCCTCAGCATGAATTCCCCTCCTTTTATGAAAGACTTGAAACTATGCCCTAGGACCTTCAAGTTCTGAAAGTTTTCTCATGGATTAGTGCTTCTTCTCCTTTTACAGTTAGTCTACGACAGGACTGGAGATTGTCGTTTTTTAAAAAAATGTTTAATTATTTACTTAAAAATAGAGACAAGGGGCCAGGCGCGGTGGCTCACTCCTGTAATCCCAGCACTTTGGGAGGCCGAGGCAGGCGGGTCACGAGGTCAGGAGATCGAGACCATCCTGGCTAACACGGTGAAACCTCGTCTCTACTAAAAGTACAAAAATTAGCCAGGTGTGGTGGTGGGCACCTGTAGTCCCAGCTACTCGGGAGGCTGAGGCAGGAGAATGGTGTGAACCCAGGAGGCAGAGCTTGCAGTGAGCCGAGATCGTGTCACTGCACTCCAGCCTGGGCAACAGAGTGAGACTCTGTCTCAAAAAAAAAAAAAAAAAATAGAGATGAGGTCTCACTATGTTGTCCAGGCTGGTCTTGACCTCCTGAGATCAAGAGATCCTCCTGCCTTGGCCTCCCAAAGTGCTAGGATTACAGGTGTGAGCCACTGTGCCCAGCCAGGACTGGAGGTGTTCATGACACCTTTTCAGCCTGTGTTTGGGTCTACTCAAGTCACAATAAAAGGCTAGAATGGAAGATTGCTGGGTGTCTCAGGAAGGTGGTAGCCTCCCCATCCAGCCCCTGCAGGGTCTACCGGATCTGGAATCTAACTTTATAAATCTGCTTACAACCTATAACCATTAACACATTGTGTTCTTTTTGGCCACAGTACAAAACACTTCCTATATTTCCATGGAGGAAAATGGGGTTTTAATCCCCAGGAAGCATGCTTATCCCCCACTGGAGACGGCCGGTATCCTTTGTTCTATGAAGCTTATGTCACTCCATGACATGAATCACAGGCCAACATTACAGCACCCAATAGTTATGATGTTCCCCTCCAAATTTCAAATAAAACCTTGTGTCATTAAGAAAAGTATTTATTTTGCTTTTCTCAACTGGCCTGGGACTAAGACAGAATATGGTACTGCTGGGGAATCAGGTTTCTAAGTTTTCTTCTCTGGTCTGGTAGAATTACCAAGGAAAAAACTATTAGAAGAATAGAGCTGGCTAAAGATTGTATAAGTCAGACCGGAATTTATTAAATGAATCTGATGGTGTAAGATCATATGGCATTGAAGCACTATAAAAGGGCTAATGTATTTTCCAAAATATGTAACTTTTGCATGCAGAATTTTAAAAGGCTACAGATGGCCAGACACGGTGGCTCACGCCTGTAATCCCAACATTTTGGGAGGCTGAGGTGAGTGGATCACAAGGTCAGGAGATAGACACCATCCTGGCCAACATGGTAAAACCCCGTCTCTACTAAAAATACAAAAATTAGCCAGGCATGGTAGCGCATGCCTGTAATCCCAGCTACTCAGGAGGCTGAGGCAGGAAAATCGCTTGAACCCAGGAGATGGAGGTTGTGGTGAGCCAAGATCACGCCACTGCACTCTAGCCTGGGCAACAGAGCGAGACTCCATCTCAAAAAAAAAAAAATCCTATAGACTCCTGAAATATTTAAAATGATTTTTTTATCCAATTACTGACACAGTTGAAATAAATAGAAGAAATTTAGAAAAATAAAAGCAGGCACAATAGAAAAAGTGATTTAGCCATAAAGGTTGATTATTTGATTTTATTTTCTTACCCATCCACATCTTTTTCTGGTTTCAAGGCATTGAGGACTTTGTTGCTAAACAAGTTCTCAGAGATCTGAAGGGCAAGGCCATGTACTCTGGTATCTTCATTGATCTTTAAGATTTCATCTATAATCTAAAGAGAAAACAAAAAAACAAAATAAAAATTAGTTTTGTGAAAATGAGACCCAACAAAGGAAGCTTTATATAAAAAGTGGATTCATGAAAATGCATCTGTTATAGTTTGTTGTTGTTTTGCTCCTTGTTGGAAACTTGGTGTAAAGCATAATAAAAAGCCTATTTTTTTCTTTTCATCATGTGTACAAGGCTCAAAAAAAAAATTAAAAGGCTTGGCTGAATTTTTTAGTGACTTCTCTGCCTTTCTATGGCTCTACTCTGTGCCAGAAAAAGACAAAACAGAACAAAACCAAAGCTCAACAGCTATTAAGGTTTAGATAGACAAAGGACACTTCTCTGTCAACAAGCATACTTTAAGCCAAACACACTGCCAGTTTTCAGGAAGGACAGGAAGCATGAATCTGAAGCATTCCAATCTGGCCCAGCTAAGCCTGTGCGTTTCAAACACAATGTGTTCAACACAGCTCACTAATCATGACGTCCAAGCAGTCACAGAGGCCCTCGGGTTATCTGGACCTCAATGACACACAAGAAGCCTTTCCAAAGGCTTATGCTAGAAAAATTCTTAGCATGCACAGCTCCTTTTATGGGAAACACTAAAATAATTCACTATTTAGGAAAAAGACCAAGCTACATTTTGGGAAGCTAATAAATGTCTGGGTGTGTCTCTAAATAAGCAATGCTTTGTCCTCTCTGTCTATTTTATGCCAGGAGATAAGATCCTGATTCATCTCACTTAACAAAAATATTTGCTCACAAGTGAGAAGATACTTATCTTTGCATATAGATCTCACTCAGAGGCTCTGGGGAAGGGTTGGTTTACCATTTTTGTTTCATTGCCTAGCAAAAATCACTACCTGTGCAGTGGCAGGGGAAACCATTTGAGGTACAAAATCAGAAAGAAAGCTTTGTTTCATTCATTTGGCATTCTTTCATTCATTCAACAAATGGTTTGAGCACTTACTCTGTATCAGTTCTAAGTAAAGGAAATACAGCTATAAACAAAACTGTCCTCGTGGATCTTATACTCTAGTGGAGGAGGGAAGTTCCTCCCTTCCAAATAATAATAATAATAAAATCACTGGAAAGAATAAATGACATGCAGAAAAATAAAGGTTCAGTGGGGTAAAAGGCTAACAGAGTGATGATGGGTGGAGGGTGGTCAGAGGCCACGATGTCCAAGCAGAGACCAGAATGAAGCGAGGAAACTATTGCCACCTGTACCAAGCATTTGGTAGAAGCAACAAATGCCAACACAAATCTTAACTAATAAATTAAGGTACCTACTCTTTTTCAATATAACACCATACAAATTCACTCTATGAGAATTTTCCCAAAGAAAAATACGGAATAAATGATTCCTTGTCAAAAAATAAGTCAAGGCAAAGGTACTAAGAACACACATTGTGGAAAGAGAGCCTCTTCAATAAATAGCACTGGGAAAACTGGATATCCACATGCAGAAGAATGAAAGTAGGCCCTCATCGCTCACTTCTATAAAAATCAACTCAAAAGGAATTAAAGACTTAAATATAAGGTCTCAAACCATAAAACTACTAGAAGAAAACACAGGGGAAATGCTTCATGACATTGGTCTGGACAAGGTTTTTTTGGATAGGACCTCAACAAAATAGGCAACGAAAGCAAAAATACATCAGTGGGATTATATCAAACTAAAAACATTCTTCATAGCAAAGCAAACAATCAACAAAGCAGAGACAACCTACAGAATGGGAGAAAATATTTGCAAAGTATGCGTCCGACAAGGGGTTAACATCCAGAATATATAAGGAACTCAAATAACTTAATAACAAAAAAACAAATAATTCAAATAAAAAATGTGCAAAAGACGTGAACAGACATCTCCCAAAGGACATACAAATGGCCTGCAGGTATATGACAAAACACTCAACATCATTAATTATCAGGGAAATGCAAATCAAAACCACAATGAGATATCAAGCTAGAATGGCTATTATCAAAAATGACAATAACAAATGCTGGCGAGGATATGTGGAAAGGGGAGCTCTTGTACACTGTTGGTGGGAATGCAGATTAATATAGCCATTAGAGAAAACAGTATGAAGATTTCTCACAAAATTAAAAAAACAACTACCATATGACCCAGCCATTCCCACCACTAGGTATATACGCATGGGAACTGAAACCGCTATGCTGAGAAGCCGTCTGCATTCCCATGTTTGTTACAGCACTATTCACAGTAGCCAAGAGATGGAACCAATCCAAATGCCCATTAATGGAGGATAAAGAAAGTGTGGTGTGTATACACAATGGAGTATCATTCAACCATAAAAAGGAATGAAATCCTGTCATTTGTGGCAACATGGATGAACCTGGAGGACATAACATGAAGTGAAATAAGCCAGGTGCAGAAAGGCAAATATCATAGGATGTCACTTACATGTGCAATCTAGGAAAGCTGATCTCATAGAAATAGAGAATAGAATGGTGGTTACCAGAGGCTGGAGAGGGATGGGGGAGGGGAAATGGGGAGAGGTTGGTCCATCAGTAGGTATAAAGTTACACTTAGATAGGAGGAATAAATTCCAGTGTTCTCTTACATAGTAGAGTGACTAAAGCTAATGACAATGTATTGTATATTTCCAGACAGCTAGAAAAGATCTTGAAAGCTATCACCACAAAGAAATGATAAACGTTCTAGGTGATGAATGTAACTAACCTGATTTGATCATTACACAACATATGCAAGTACCGAAACACCACACTGTACCCCACACACATGCACAATTATTATGTGTCAATTATAAACAACAACGACGAAAATCAAGGGCTATTAATACCAGTGTCAAGGCCAGGTGAGGTGGCTCATACCTGTAATCCCAGCGCTTTGGGAGGCCAGGGAGGGCAGATCACCTGAGGTCAGGAGTTCGAGAACGGCCTGGCTAACATGGTGAAACCCCGTCTCTACAAAAATGCAAAAATTAGCTGGGCATAATGGCGGGTGCCTGTAAACCCAGTTACTTGGGAGGCTGAGCAGGGAGAATCACTTGAACATGGGAGGTGGAAGTTGCAGTGAGAGGAGATTGCGCCATTGGACTCTAGCCTGGGTGACAGAGTGAGACTCCGTCTCAGAAAAAAAAAAAAAAAAAAAAACACCAGTGGCAAAACAACCTAAAGAAAAGCAAATTCCAGCTGGGCGCAGTGGCTCACACCTGTAATCCTAGCACTTTGGGAGGCAGAGGCAGGCCATCACCTGAGGTCAGGAGTTCAAGACCAGCCTGGTCAACATGATGAAACCCTGTCTCTACTAAAAACACAAAAAATTAGCCAGGCATGGTGGCGGGCGCCTGTAATCCCAGCTACTTGGGAGGCTGAGGCAGGAGAATGACTTGAACCCGGGAGGTAGAGGTTGCAGTGAGCCAAGATTGCACCACCGCACTCCAGCCTGACAGAGCGAGACTCCATCTCAAAAAAAAAGAAAGAAAAGCAAATTCTGCTGCAGACAGTGGGTATCGTGCAAATGAACAACAACTTCCTTTGCATGCTGTCACTGCTGGTATCATAGGTATTTGTTACATATTTAACACTTCATATTTGTACCACGCTACAATGGCAAGTGTGGCAAACACTTATCGCCCAGTATATAGTTTCCTTTCTCTTCTTAGTAATAAACTCTTGGTTTTTAGCTTGCTAATAAATGATCTAAGGCTTCCTGGTATAAAAACTACACTTCCCAGCCTCCTTTGCAGTTGGCCAGGCAACTAAGTAGGGGACAACGGGATGGATGTAGAACTGTGACTTTCAGGAAATGTCTTTAAAGACAGCAGGGGCCTGTCTTTGTCCTTCCTTTTTCTTCTTGGTGACAACGAACTTTACCTGAGCCCTGTGATCCTGGAAAAGAGGGAAGGTTAACAAATCCCTGCAGCCTCTGTGTACTGCAAAGAACTGCTCTTCTCCATAGGACTCAAATAAGACTCACCAATGCCCCCTTGTTTACATAGCACAAGGCCAGATACAAACTCTACAAATTCCCATTCTTTGTCTCACAAATGACTAGCAGACCTGCTGGGCCTCACTGATCAATCAGAACAAAGTGCTTGTTAACCAAACCACAAAGGCGGCAGAGCAGAGGGACAGGAGCCTGAGCTCCTGCGACTTGGTGATATCACCAACCAGGGACTGCCTACTTCCAAACTTTATTCATGTCCCAGAAAAATACACTTCTAGGCCGGGCACAGTAGCTCACACTTGTAATCCCAGCACTTTGGGAGGCCAAGGAGGGTGGATCACTTGAGGTCAGGAGTTCAAGACCAGCCTGGCCAAAATGGTGAAACCCCATCTCTACTAAAGATACAAAAATTAGCCAGGCGTGGTGGCACGCACCTGTAATCTCAGCTACTCAGGAGGCTGAGGCAGGAGAATTGCTTGAACCTGGGAGGCGGAGGTTGCAGTGAGCCGAGATGGCACCATTGCACTCCAGCCTGGGCAACAAAAGTAAAATTCCATCTCAAAAAAAAAAAGAGAGAGAGAGAGAAATAAACTTGTACATTATTTAAGATTCCATTATTTGAGGTTTTCTGTCACATGAAGCCAGTAGGAAGAAAAGCTAACCACAGAAGGGCCGGGCCCTGGCACAGGGATCTGTGGTCCAAGGTCCAGTTTCCTCGCCTCGGCCTGACAATTTCCACTAGATGACGCTGCCACCGCAGCTGAAGAAACACAACCGAACTCAACAAGTCGCAACTCAAGTCTTCAGTAGAAACATACAAATGACAAGAAACAAGGATATCATGAAGCATTTACCCTAGAGAAAAGAAGTGAAGTCTTCCCTCTAACATTCAGTCACAAGCAAATCTTAGATCTGTCCCAGCCACCACTAAGAGACGCCAATGGGCCTATTAAGTCTCAAGAGGAAAGAAGAAGCAAGAGTTTAGAGCTCTGCCATTATTACCTCGGCTTCACTGCTATCTGGAGGGAGGCAAATGTGAGTGATGTTCAGACCAGCCTGAAAAAGGAACACAAGGTTATTCGTCACTATAAGAGAATGTATTGTTAAAAGTTATAGTGAATTTTTTAAAAGCAGCAGTCCTCACCTCCTCAGCCAAATTCTGGTTGATTTCCTGCATCAAGTTGTCGTCACCTGCCTTAGGAAGGTAAAAACAACATAACAACATAAAAATAGCTTGAAAAGGCACAAAAGATAATCCAGAGATGAATTTTGTGATTACAGATGATCTAATTACAAAGATAATATGGAAGGTGCAGAAAAACAATCTTGCTGCTTATAAAAAGGGACTTGGGGCCAGTATTTAACAGAGTAATTCCTCAGGCCTTCAAATTATGTCACTTTTTTAAGGAAAATAATATCCCTCCTATTAGAAGACATAGTAACCTAGCCAGCTTTCCTCTCTAAAAATGAGGACACCGACTGGGCACAGTGGCTCATGCCTGTAATCCCAGCACTGCAGAAGGCTGAGGCGGTGGATTGCTTGAGCCCAGGAGTTCGAGACCAGCCTGGGCAACATGGTGAAACCCCATCTCTACAAAAAATACAAACATTAGCCCGGCGTGATGGTGCATGCCTGCAGTCCTAGCTACTCAGGAGGCTGAGGTGGGAGGATCACTTGAGCCCAGAAGGTCAAAGCTACGGTGAGCCAAGATCATGCCACTGCACTCCAGCTCAGGCAACAGAGCAAGACCCCATCACAAAAAGAAGCCAAAAAATGGGGATACCAAAGGTAGGAGTTGAAATGGTTTGCCTTTAGATGGAAAGCCAGGGAGTAAGCAGATTCCCAGGAGGCCCGAGCCCTAATCTAATTTTCTTTCTATTGTTCTAACTTGTCTTTCTTTGTAACAAGATGTGGCTACAGATCCCAGAGAATGTAAGTAACTTGAGCACAGCTCTGTAATCCTGAAATACGCAGCACGGTGGAACCAGAGGCTGCTATTTTGATACGCTAAGGGCATGCCAAGCCCTGCGGTAGCAGCCCAACTGTCAGGCTGTGTTTGCTTCCAGGCTTGGCTCACCTCCTTATTTCTCAGCACCTGCCATCACACAAGTGTGCCAAGCAGGATGGCAACTGGGGCCAACTGTGGCTCAGAACCAGAGCCTGCAGCCAAAAGAAGTATGTGGAATGCAAAGCCCTTTTGACAGGGTAATGACTTTTGTCCCATTAAGTTTATGGCAGGTTTTAAAAGATAGAGTAAAAAGATTACCAAATATCCATGTTTCATCTAGCATCTGTGTCCATTGAAACAAAGTGCCACTTTTTCCCCCAGCACCTTCAAATCACATTTGGTAAGCATTTGTGAGGACACATGGACCACGATATATCCTGTGTAATGCAATGCATGTAAGTGCTTACCTCCTAGACCTCTGAAAGCTACCCATACCTCAGAGAGGAAAATTCACAAAAGAAGACACACTCAAGCAGGGCAGTACTTCACCCGTGACCCCAAAGAAGCAAAAGACCAAAGAAAACAGCATTGCCAACTGAGCCCTCTCCTCTTTGGCAAGAAATGCAGCTGCTCTTTTGTATACAATCATTTTCTAAATTGAAAGGCATCCTAAAATAGTAGGACTGAACCTTGTTCTCGGCTTACCTGGATAATTGCAAGAACCGGCTTGAAGGCAGGGTTTTTTTCTTGCAATAAACTTAGAACTTCTTTTGAATTCTGAATGACTTCTCTACATTGAGAAAGAAAACAACATTGTGATTTCTTGGTTAATGAGTAGAAAGGACTGACACAACACATTTTCTGTGAAAGTTCCTTCCTCCAAGTGAAAATAACTAGACCACAGAAGGACGCACTCCAAGTGTACACTGTGGAGGGGGTAGGCGGCGTAACAATGAAATCAAGACACTAACACAAGGTAAAATGCGGCAATCCAGTTTTTAAAATATGCAGAGGGAAACAAACTAGATGTTTACAATAATTTTCTAGGGGTGAATTTTTCTCTTGTATTTTCCAAGTTTACTATAATAAAAGCTTTGGGTTTCTACTTTAAATAATCGCTCTCCTCCACCATACTCCGCTGCCATCCTCCCAAAACCCTGAGTATGGGTCCATGGGGAAAGCAAATAAAGTGGGAAGAGGGATGTGAAGACAGGGGATTAGGGGGGTGAAGACAGGGGGCTCACTGTTGGACAAGAAGTGTCGAGACAGGATAAATTCCAGGTCCTGGAATTTAAAGAAGGAATTAGGTAAGGAAGGAAGGGGAGGAAAGTTCCAGAAACACTGGAGACCCACTTTGATAACACTATCAAAGCCTCCTAGAGAGAGAGACAGAGAGCTTCTCAGTCCTCTGAGAATCCACAACATAGTCTGCACCTGTACCTCCTAAATGCCCAGCAGCAGCCACCTTCACCTCCCACCTCTGAGGGAGGTGCCAGCCTGGGGTGAGCAGGCCTAGGTAAAAGTGGTAGAAGGCCTGGCATGGTGGCATGCACCTGTAGTCCCAGCACTTTGAGAGGCCAAGGCGGTAGGACTGCTTGAGACCAGGAGTTTGAGACCAGCCTGGGTAACATAACGAGATCCCATCTCTATAAACAATTTAGCTGGGCGTGATGGCACGTGACTGTAGTCCCAGATACTTGGGAGGCTGAAGCTGGAGGACCGCTTGAGCCCATGAGTTTGAGGCTGTAGTAAGCTATGACTGCACCACTGCACTCCAGCCTGGGTGGCAGAGCAAGACTCAATTTCTTTTTAAAAAAAGAAAAAAAAAAAAAGTCCAGGAGCGGTGGCTCACGCCTGTAATCCCAGCACTTTGGGAAGCTGAGGCGGGTGGATCACAAGGTCAGGAGTTCAAGACCACCGTGGCCAATATGGTGAAACCCCGTCTCTACCAGAAATACAAAAATTAGCTGGGTGTGGTGGCAGGCGCCTATAATCTGAGCTACTCGGGAGAATCTCTTGAACCTGGGAGGCAGAGGTTGCAGTGAGCCGAGATTGTGCCACCGCACTCCAGCCTGGGCAACACAGCAAGACTCCGTCTCAAAAAAAAAAAAAAGTGTTAGGAGCTCAGCTCTTTATGGAACCTTCTGGGATGAGTGACTGCAGAGGCTACCTTCGCCACCACCCTATGATATGTTCTCAGCAGCACATGAGCACTGGGAGCTGGCTTTTCCCCCTCTCACAATAGACCAAAGGCGCAGCCACAGGAGCCCCCAGGCTTCAGTGCTAAGACCACCTTTACATTTTGTTTTCAGTCTCCGACAGGGTCTTGCACTGCACCTAACAAAAATGCGGGGTGAAGAAGTTCCAGCCAATGCCATCAACGGTACACTGCCAAGAGCAGAAAGGCATCGGGAAGCTTTCCCCAGTTTTCAGAGAGACACAGCTGACAAATGGAACCAGAGGCACTGCAGTTCCCAGGCGGGGCTTTAGGGGAGAGAGCTGCTCAGATTCACAACCAGGACCAGTCTTTCTACTGCCAGCTGGGCCGGAACAGATGGACTGGGTGCAGGCAACTGTCTATAACCTGGGAACATTTCAGTTAGTTTTGTTTGGAAACACTTGGGATAAAGCTACTTCATTCCCAGGGAATTAATTGTATTATTGTGCTGAATAAATGTGACCATATGGGAAAGTTTACAAATCACCTTATAAATAAGCACTAAAATCCATCCATCCAATAATGGGTGACTGAGGCCCATATACCGCACTCTTTCCAGCCTGTCGTGACTGTTAATTTGGCTATGCTGGGTTCTTATTTTTGTCTGGGTCCAGGAAAGCACCGGAGTGTGGGACCCAAGCGGTTCATGGTATAAGGATCACTGGAGAGTTTGGTAAAAGTAAAGGTTCCAGGCCAGGTGCAGTGGCTCACACCTATAATCCCAGTACTTCGGGAGGCCAAGGTGAAATGGATCACTTGAGGTCAGGAGTTTGAGACCATCCTGGCCAACATGGTGAAACCCCATCTCTAGTAAAAATACAAAAATTAGCCAGGCATGGTGGTGCACACCTGTAATCCCAGAGCTACTCAGGAGGCTGAGGCAGGAGAATCACTTGAACCCAGGAGGCAGAGGCTGCAGTGAGCCAAAATCATGCCACTGCACTCCAGCTGGGTGACAGAGCGAGACTCTGTCTCAAAAAAAATAACAGTTCCAGCCCTAGAAAGTCTGATTCAACGTGTCTCAGTGGAGCCCAGAAATGTGCATTTTTAACAGAGTCCAGGTAATTCTGAGACACTAAGTGGAAATACGGCCCAGGATTGGTACTGGGCATTTCATTTACTAGCGTGGACAAGTCTCTAAGAGTCTCAGATTCCTCATCTGTAAAACAGGTATACTACAGTGGCTCTTTCCCCTTTTTCTTATAAATGTACGTTTGTTTTTTTCTGTGCCCCAAAGCTACCCTTAAACACTAAAAACATTCTTACTAACAGCAATAATTTTCTCAGAAACATTCATAGTCTTGATCCATTCATAGTTGATGAAAGGAACACTTCTTTTTATTTTTTTGAGACGGAGTCTCACTTTGTTTCCAGGCTGGAGGGCAGTGGCACGATCTCGGCTCACTGCAACCTCCATCTCCCAGGTTCAAGCGATTCTCCTGCCTCAGTCTCCTGAGTAGCTGGGACTACTGGTGCATGCCACCACGTCCCACTAATTTTTGTATTTTTAGTAGAGACAGGATTTCACCAAGTTGGCCAGGGTGGTCTCGATCTCTTGACCTCGTGATCCGCCCACCTAGGCCTCCCAAAGTGCTGGAATTACAGGGGTGAGCCACCTCGCCGGGCTGAAAGGAACACTTCTATAGGTAAGTCGGCAATCGTCAAAAAGTAATTAGACTTTTAAAATAGTTGGGGATGGGGGCTGGGCGCAGTGGCTCATGCCTGTAATCCCAGCACTTTGGGAGGCTGAGGTGAGAGGATCACTTGAGCTCAGGAGTTCAAGGCCAGCCTGGGCAAGATAGCAAGACCTGGTCTCTACCAAAAAAAAAAAAAAAGTTGGGGGGTGGATGTGGATAGAAAAAAAAATACAGGCATACATCATTTTTTGTGCTTTGCTTTACTGCAATTTACAGATACTGTGTTTTTCTACAAATTGAAAGTTTGTGGCAACCTGTGTTTTAAGTCTATGGGAGTCATTTTTCCAATGGCATCTGCTCAATTTGTGTCACATTTTGATAATTCTTACAATATTTCAAACTTTTTCATTTTTAGTATGTTTGTTCTGGTGATGTGTGATTGACGATCTTTGATGTTACTGTTGTAATTGTGTTGGCCAAACCGTGGCCATGATGGTTCATGATGGTGTGTGTTCTCACTGCTTCACTGGACTGGCTGTTCCCCCTTCTCTCTCCCTCTCCTCTGGCTTCCCTATTCCCTGAGAAACAACAATATTGAAATTAGGACAATTAGTAACTACAGTGGCCTCTAAGTGTTCAAGTGAAGAGTTGCAGGTCTCTCACTTTAAATAAAAACCGAGAAATAATTAAACTTAGTGAGGAGGGTGTATTGAAAGCCAAGATAGGTCAAAAGCTAGGCCTCTTGAGCCAAACAGTTAGCCAAGCTGTGAATGCAAAGGAAAAGCTATTGAAGAAATTTAAAAGTGCTACTCCCGTGGATACACAAATGATAAGAAAACAGCCTTATTAGGCCGGGCGCAGTGGCTCACACCTGTAATCCCAGCACTTTGGGAGGCCGAGGCGGGCGGATCACGAGGTCAGGAGTTGGAGACCAGCCTGGCCAACATAGTGAAACCCCGTCTCTACTAAAAATAAAAAAATTAGCAGGGCATGGTGGTGCACGCCTATAATCCCAGCTACTCGGGAGGCTGAAGCAGGAGAATTTATTGAACCCGGGAGGCAGAGGTTGCAGTGAGCAGAGATCGCGCCACTGCACTCCAGCCTGGGTGAAAGAGTGAGACTGTCTCAAAAAATAAAATAAAATAAAATTAAATTAAAATAAAATAAAATAAAATTAAAATAAAATAAAATGACAACAAAGGATTTATAAGATTACAGTAGTTAGGCAGGCACAGTGGCTCACACCTGTAATCCCAGCAGTTTGGGAGGCCGAAGTGGGCGGATCACAAGGTCAGGAGTTCGAGACCAGCCTGGCCAATATGGTGAAACCCCGTTTCTACTAAAAATACAAAAAAATTAGCCAGGCGTGGTGGCAGGCGCCTGTAGTCTCAGCTACTCAGGAGGCTGAGGCAGGAGAATCACTTGAACCTGAGAGGCGGAGGTTCCAGCGAGCCGAGATCGCAGCACTGCAGTCCAGCCTGGGCGACAGAGCAAGATTCCATCTCAAAAAAAAAAAAAAAAAAAAAAAAGATTACAGTAGTTGATATCAAGTACTTGGTAAAGCAGTTGCAGGGTTTGAGAGGATTGACGCCCATTTTGAAAGAAGTCCTACTACTGTGGGTAAAATGTTACCATTTTCTCTGTAGCACTGCTACAGAGAAATCTTCCAGGAAAGGAAGAGTTCCATCAATACAGCAAACCTCATTGTCTTACTTTAAAAAACTGCCACAGCCACCCTAATCTTTAGCAATCACCCTGATCAGTCAATAACCATCAACATCTAGGCAAATCCTCCACCAGATCACTGGCATTTCTTGGTAATAAAGTATTTTAAAATTAAGGTATATATATTATTATTAAGGTGTATATATATATTACCTTATATATATATATTAAGATATATATTAATATATATTATATATATATTAAGGTGTGTATATATATAATTAAGGTATATATATTAAGGTATATATATTATAAGGTATATATATAAATTAAGGTATATATAATTATATTATATTATAATTAAGGTATATTATATTATATATATTTTATATATATAATATATATATATATGTTTTTTGGGTTTTTTTGTTTTGTTTTGTTTTGAGACGGAGTCTCGCTCTGTTTCCCAGGCTGGAGTGTAGTGGCTTACCACAACCTCCGCCTCCCCACAACCTCCACCTCCCGGGTTAAAGCGATTCTCCTGCCTCAGCCTCCCAAGTGGCCAGGACTACAGGCGCACACCACCATGCCTGGCTAATTTTTGTATTTTTAGTAGAGACAGGGTTTTACTATGTTGGCCAGGCTGGTCTCGAACTCCTGACCTCGTGATCCACCCACTTCAGCCTCCCAAAGTGCTGGGATTACAGTCATGAGCTACCACGCCCGGCCTTATATATGGGTTTTTTTTTAGACAAAACGCTAGTGCATACTTAATAGGCTACAGTATTGTCTAAACATAACTTTTATATGCACTGGGAAACTACAAAATTTGTGTGACTCGTTTTACTGCGATATTCCCCTTATTGCAGTGGTCTGCAACTGAACCCACAATATCTTAGGGGTGCCTGTACAGGTATGTAAAGGAGTTCAACGCTACTACCACCCAAGCTAATAAAACAAAATAGGTTCATGCTCCCTACAACTTGTTATATGTGTAATGTTTCATTTTTTGGGGTTACTCATTCCTACAGTGACAAAGCAAGAAAGAAAAAGGAGTCATTAGGCTCAATAAATCCAAAAAGTAGCATAAATGTTTCTAATCAGAGATTTTCATGTCCTTGGGGCAGAAAAATGGCCTTGTGAGCTTCCACTTTGGTTGAGGACAGTGGGAAGGAATGTGAGCTCTCTAGCTAGGTTGCCATGTGTAGCTAAAACTCAGAACTAAGCCATCAGCAGCAGCTTTGTTATTTTCACCATTACTGTGACTATTATACAGAATGTATTATTACTGGCCAGGGGCAGTGGCTCATGCCTGTAATCCCAACACTTTGGGAGGCCAAGGCGGGTGGATCATTTGAGGTCAGGAGTTCAAGACTAGCCTGGCCAACATGGTGAAACCCCGTCTCTACTAAAAATACAAAAATTAGCTGGGTGTGGTGGTGCCTGCCTGTAATCCCAGCTACTTGGGAGGCTGAGGGATTATGGTCATCTAGTCCCATCACCAGGAACAACAGGTCACTATGCTTTTGAGGGAGCTCATTCTTTAATTTTTCTGACTAATACACTTCCGCTCCTGGATGTCTATTCCAGGTGACTTCTAGCTGACACACACCCCCACCCACTTTGCTCCAATCCTCGGAGAATCAATTCAGGGCTAGAGTTTCAGTAAACCATGCACATAACTCAATTGAAAGGTACAATATAGCCAGGCGTGGTGGCTCATGCCTGCAATCTCAGCACTTTGGGAGGCTGAGGCAGCAGGATCACTTGAACCCAGGAGTTTGAGACCAGCCTGGCCAACATAGTGAGACTTCATCTCTACAAAAATAAAATTGCAGCCATAAGAAAGCATGAGTTCATGTCCTCTGCAGGGACATGGAAGAAGCTGGAAACCATCATCCTCAGCAAACCAACACAGGAACAGAAACCAAACACCCCATGTTCTCACTCATAAGTGGGAGTTGAACAATAAGAACACGTGGACCCAGGGAGGGGAACATCACACACCAGGGTCTGTCAGGGGGTGGGAGGGCAAGAGGAGGGAGAGCATTAGGACAAATACCTAATGCATGTGGGGCTTAAAACCTAGATGACGGGTTGATGGGTGCAGCAAACCACCATGGCGCATGTATACCTATGTAACAAACCTGCACGTTCGGCACGTTTCCCAGAACTTAAAGTAAAATAGAAAATAAAAATAAAAGTTATGGTTACCCTATACTGCCATCTATTAAGTGTGCAAAAGCATTGTCTAAAAAATGTACATACCTTAATTAAAAATACTTAATTGCAAAAATAAAAAATAAGGTCTCACTCCATTGCCCAGGCTGCAGTGCAGTAGCGCAATCTCCGCTCACTGTAGCCTTGACCTCCTGGGCTCAAGTGATCCTCCTGCCTCAGCCTTCTGAGTAGCTGGAACTACAGGCACGCGCCACGCCCAGTTAATTTTTTAAAATTTTTTACAGAGATGGGTGTCTCACTATGTTGCCCAGGCTGGTCTTGAACTCCTGGGAATGTGATCATCCCACTTTGGCCTCTCAAAGTGCTGGGATTACAGGCATGAACCATGGTGCCTGGCCTAAATTTGTCTTTTCTCTTGTTATAAATGTACCTACTAATAATTTTGATTTGCCTCTAGGATCACTAAACCTAAAATATTTACTATCTGGCCCATTATATATAAAACGTCTGTGGACCCCTGGCTTAGTGAATTGTAAAAATATTGCTGGGCATGGTAGCTCACACCTGTAATCCCAGCACTTTGGGAGGCTGAGGCAGGCAGATCACGAGGTCAGGAGTTTGAGACCAGCCTGGCCAACATGGTGAAACCCCGTCTCTACTAAAAACACAAAATAAGCCAGGCGTGGTAGTGCGAGCCTGTAATCCCAGCTACTCAGGAGGCTGAGGCAGGGGAATCGCTTGAACCCGGGAGGCGGAGGTTGCAGTGAGCCGAGATCCCGCCACTGCACTCCAACCTGTGCGACAGAGTGAGATTCCGTCTCAAAAAAAAAAAAAAAAAATTAATAGCCACCATTTGTTGAGGGACTTGTCTTGTATGTGACAGTCCTGGGCTATGTATTTTGCATGTGTCCTCTCACATAATTGTTTCCATAACCCCTTGAGGTAAGTACTGTTACTCCTCCCATTTTCCTGAAGGAATTGAGTTTGGAGAACCCAGTGCAGGCCCTAAAGCCCCCTACTAACCTCTTTACTCATCTCTAAGGCAGTCATGGCTTTAAACCTAAAAGTATGCATGAATAGCCCAGGCGCGGTGGGTCACGCCTGTAATCCCAACACTTTGGGAGGCCAAGGCAGTCGGATCACCTGAGGTCAGGAGTTCAAGACCAGCCTGGCCAACATGGTGAGACATCCTGTCTTTACTCAAAATACAAAAATTAGCCGGGCGTGGTGGCGTGCTCCTGTAATCCCAGCTACTCGGGAGGCTGAGGCAGGGGAATCGCCTGAACCTGGGAGGCAGAGGTTGCAGGGAGCCAAGATCGTGCCATTGCACTCCAGCCTGAGTGACAGAGCAAGACTCCGTCTCAAAAAAAAAAAAAAAAAAAAAGAATATGTATGAATAAAACCCACAGATGACCCCAAATCTTGAAGCATTCCTTCTGTAACCATTTCACAAGTGCTTATTACATGCTGGGCACTCTCTCCAGGACCTAGGATATAGCACCGAAGAGACGGCTGTCTCATGAAGCTCATATTCCAGGTGGGTGAGACAGACAAGAAATGAGCAAAGAAGGAAGTTTCAGGTAATAATCAGTTTACCTAGAAAATAAAACAGCATGACGGGAGAAGTTTTTTTGCCGCCTATCCTGGCTTCAGACTCTAACCGGTAAGATGAGTCTCAGCAACGTGCAGGTTAAAACCTAATGACCTGACGTGTAATTAATCCCAGCGCTTTTGGGGGCAGGGATGATGGCTTGCGCCCAGGAGTTCCAGACCAGCCTGGTAACAGAGTGGTGCTCTGTCTCTATGAAAATAAAATAAAATAATCCGGGCATGGTAGCGCACACCTGTGGTCCCAGTTACACTGGAGGCTAAGGCGGGAGAATCGCTTGAGCCCAGGAGGCGGAGGCTGCATTGAGCCGAGATGGCACCACTGAACTCCAGCCTGAGCAACAAAGCGAGACTCCATTTCTAAAAGAAAAAGAAGACAGAGAACAAGAAAAACTAAATAAATGGCCCCTTAAAATCATCCGCCACATAATAAAGAGCCTAGGAAACGTATTTTACTGAGATGGGAGAAGGGGAGTGGGGAGGAAAATGGGAGAGCAGAGGGAGGAAGGAAAGGCAGAGAGAAAGGCAAGCAGGCAATGACTAAGAAAGAAGGCTAGAAGGAAAGGGAAGAGGATGTGAATGGAGGAGGTGGTCCGCTGGCCGGGGAAACCGCATCCTGGAACTCGTTCCTAATCCCAGTTCCGAGGGAGGCGGAAGGGGCTTTCTTGCCACCCCCAAGTTGTCCCGAAGGGCTCGCCCTGCAAGGCCCGAGACCCGTGCGCCCCTCTGGGCGAGGGCGGGGAAGGCTGGAGCCCAGGGGCGGGGACCGGGACGGGAAAGGCCGGGCCCGGGGCTCCCAGTTCGCTCTGGGCCCGCAGAAAACCCTGCAAACCCAGCTGCGCGGGGACTCCGTGGGCGCTGCGCGGCGAAGCTGGAAACCAGCGCTGAGACCTCTCGGATTCCCCCCGGCGGCTGTCCCGGGGGCCCGGCTCCACCTTTGCCGTTCCGGGAAAAGCGGACGTCAGCCACAGACCCCAGCCCAGCAGGAGGGGCCGCGCGCGGGGAAGGGCGCACAACACCAGGGAGCTTCGCGCGGGCGGCGCTGGGCCCGAGCCCGCCTCTCCCGAGCTCCGCTTGCCCTTCCCGAACCCCGGGCCAGCCGGCGCGCCGAGCCGCAGCCCCGCCCTCCTCCTGCTCCTCGCCCCCTCCCCTGGTTTCCGCCCCAGCCGCACCGCCCCTTTACCGTCTGGGTCGCGCCCGGCGCGATTGCATCAGAGCCGGCGGCCGGCTGCGCACGTGGAGCCGGGCGTGCGGTCCATGCCGCTAGGCGCCCATTGGAGATGCCCACGCCCACCTGCGCTGCGGGCCCGGTCGGGTACTGGATCCCCCGTTCTCCGCCAGCGCTCCCGGCCGCAGTGCCCAAGCCCGCGTTTCCCGACACACCGCCCGGCCCCCCTAATGAGTTGGCACCAAACACTCGCAGCCCCGCGCCCCGCTCCCCACGGCGGTCCCGGGCGCTCCGCCCCTGGGTCGGGGCCACAGCCGCTGGAGACCTGGGCCAGGGCCAGACCCGACACTCACCTGACGATGGAGTCCCGCGCCGCGGGCGTTCGGCCGCCGGGGCTGCAGCTGCTCCGGGCCTGGCCATCCTGCGGCCGCCGCTGTCCAAGCAGGCCCTCCCGGCCACCGCCGCCGCCTCCGCCGCCGCCGCTGCTAGCGCGACAGGGCACACGGAGGCGGCGCGGAGGGCCCGGGGGCTGGGGCGGGCGGCGGAGCTGGCGCAGGACGAGCGGCAGACGCGTGCCCATGGCGCGGGACGGCTGGTTCTCAGGGGACACGGAGCTGCGGCTGCCGAGGGCGGCGGGGCGCGTGCCAGGGGAGCAGGCGGCGGCGGCGGCGGCGGCGGCGGGAAGGACCTGGCGCTTCCTCCTCGTCCCAGGGGCCCCTAGGGGGCACTGCACCCGGCGGCCGTGACGTGCGGAGGGCGGGGGCCTGCGAGCCGCCGGCCGGGATGTCACGGCTTTGGGCACTTTGGTTTGGTAAGCTGTACCAGACAGAGGGTGGGGTGCGGAGTGGGACTCAGACTCTGCCCTGAGACTCAGCCTCCCTCCCTTCAGCCTGAAAGGCCGAGGTGACCCTTGGTACTCAGGGCGCCAAGTTTAGACGGGAGGGCTTGGATTTGCTGTACTGGAGGTGGCCTGAGGATAAGAGGCTTTGTAACCTTAGGCAGGGGCACTTAATCTCGGTGAGCTTGCGGGGTCTTCGTCAGTACCACAGAGATAACAATGCTCTTCTTAAAACCTTAAAAGGATTTTATAGTCCTGATTGGTTCCAGGGCCCCTCCAGGGGACCCACGTCCACAAATGCTCAAGTCCTTGGTAAAAAAAAAAAAAAAAAAAAGTGTTTGCATATCACCTACACACATCTTCCCATCATAAACTTTAGGTCATCTCCACATTCCCTAAGTCCTCACCTAACATCGTGGAGGGGTTCTTGGAAACTGAAACTTTAAGCCAAATGACTGTAAGGAAAACAGTTTGACCACAGGCTAATTGATATGAGTGAAGTTCCTACAACATATCTGTGGTCACAAAATCGCCCCTAAACTTCGAAATAAAGACCAAAACACTTCTAATATTAAACATTGAAATAAGTGTGAGCCATGCATATATTTAAGGAAGATTTTTAGCTCACGCCTATAATCCCAACACTTTGGGAGGCTGAGGTGGGCAGATCACGTGAGGCCAGAAGTTCAAGACCAGCTTGGCCAACATGGCGAAACCCCATCTCTACTAAAAATACAGAAAATTGGCTGGGTGTGGTGGCGCGTGCCTGTATTCTCAGCTACTCGGGAGGCTGAGGCAGGAGAATCGCTTGAACCCAGGAGCCAGAGGTTGCAGTGAGCCGAGATCATGTCACTGTACTCTAGCCTGGGCGACAGAGCACAGCTCTGTCTCAAAGAAAAAGTTTTTTTTAAACACCCCCTATCCCTCTCGCTTAGAGAAAAATAAAGATTAATAAAAGTGAGATCATTTTTACCGGCTTATTCCAACTCAGGGCACCTCACAGGGTGTGCTCACACACACCCACACTCACACTCGGATCGTGTAGATGCACCAATTTACCTAAAGTGCACTGCACGGCTTTGGGATGTGACAGGACACCAGAAGACAGAGAAAATCCACACAGACATGGATAAAACGTGACAGTGGACCCAGCCAGAAATCTATTTTTTTCTCATCATTATAAGAAAACCACTGAGCAAAATGATGAAATGATGTTATTCCAGGACCTGCTGTACTTATAATACCTAATACAATGTAAATGCTATGTAAATAGATATTACACTGTACTTTTTTATTTCTATGATTTTTTATTATTTTTTGTTATTGTAATTTTTTCAAATACTTTCAGTCCCAGGTTGATTGAGGATACAGAGGGCTGACCATAAGTTCCAAGTAAAGTGGATATCAGATTGTAATTTTATGATTCCCAAGTGAGGGTCAGATTGTTAACTTTATATTTTTACAACCTTATACCCTTATAATTCCCAGATAAGGTGGGAATAAAACTAGTCCAAGTTACAGAGATTGGTTTTCCATTAGCCGAGCACCATACTGGGACAGTGCTGGAAGGACCCTTCATACAATCCTAACAAAAGTAGGGAATTGAGAGCTATTGTCTTGACCTTCAACCTTTGGAAACTGGGGTCCAGAGAGGCCCATCTGTTTACTGGCAGAGCTGGGAGATTGAGGCTGCAATGAGCTGTGAGCGTGTCACTGCACTCCAACCTGGGCAACAGAGTGAGACCCTGTCTCAAAAAAAAAAAAAAAAAAAAAAAAAGGCTTCCTGAAGAAAGTGAAAGAGGTGGCAGCTGGAGGCAAGACCTTAGCAGTTGAGCTAAGGGAAGGTCAGCTAAGGGAAGGAAATGAGCTAAGGGAAGGTCAGTGTTGGAAAAGTGGGAATGTTGGAAATGAAGGAACAACATGAGCAAAAGTCTGGAGTAGAAGAGAGCATGATGAATTTGAGATACTGAGAGCTGTTCAGTCGAGTGGGGAGGGCAGGGGAAAATGAGTAGCAATGGCAAGTAAGAAGAGCTGGGCAGGGCCACGTTGTGGCAGGTCACGAAACCATTGCATTGCATTTTTTTTTTTTTTTTGAGATGGAATCTAGCTTTATTGCCCAGGCTGGAGTGCAGTGGCGCAATCTTGTCTCACTGCAGCCTCCACTCCCAGGTTCAAGCAATTCTCCTGCCTCAGCCTCCCAAGTAGCAGGGATTACAGCCAACCACCATGCCTGGCTAATTTTGTGTTTTTGGCAGAGACAGGGTTTCGCCATCTTGGCCAAGCTGCTCTCAAATTCCTGACCTCAGGTGATTTGCCCTCCTCGGCCTCCTCCCAAAGTGTTGGGATTACAGGAGTGAGCCTCTGCGCCCAGCCCATTGCATTGCATTTTGAAAGCAGTGGAAAACAACTGAAGGATTTAGAATTAGGAGAGTGGCAATCTCAGATGTGTGTTGTAGAAGGATCACAGCAGCGACAGCGTAGACAATAGAAAGTGAAGGCAGCAGACAAATCCGAAGACTGTTTCAGTAACAGGAGAAGAAACGAGAAGTTCCTGAGTATATCCTTGACCAATGGATTGGTGAAAAGTGGATGGATTCATGAGATAAGTAAGAGGAACCATTGGTAGCCTTTAGGATTTGATTGATTTAGAGGGTATATGGAAGGAAGTTGTCAAGGATGAAGCCCCACTTTCTGGCTTGAAGTATAGGTGGTGCTATTCCTAGAGGAAGACCAGAGGAGAGAAGCAACAGGCTTAGCCCTATCAAGATTGGCATGCCTATGGGATATCAGAGTGGAGATGTGGAGTAGGATGTTGGATCCATGGATGTATAGCTCAGGAGAAAGTTCAAAAATGGAGATACAGATTTGATAACCATGGTTATGGGTAAGATCACCGAGAGAGTGTATAGAAGACAGGAGGACCTACAATAGCACCAAAAAACACAAACAAGAAAGAAGCAGAGGAAGACAATGCCACAAAAGAGACTACGGAGGGAAAAACAGTAGGAGAAAAAATTAGAAAGTGGGCCGGGTGCGATGGCTCACACCTGTAATCCCAACACTTTGGGAGGCCAAGGTGGGGAGATCACCTGAGGTCGGGAGTTCGAGACCAGCCTGACCAACATGTGAAGGGGGCCTGCCCCTCCACACCTGTGGGTATTTCTCGTCAGGTGGAGACGAGAGACTGAGAAAAGAAATAAGACACAGAGACAAAGTACAGAGAAAGGACAGTGGGCCCAGGAGACCGGTGCTCAACATGTGAGGACCTGCACCGGTGCTAGTCTCTGAGTTCCCTCAGTATTTATTGATCACTATTTTTACTATCTTGGTGAGGGGAGTGTGGCAGGGCAACAGGGTGATGTGGAGAAGGTCAGAGGGGAAACATGTGAGCAAAGGAATCTGTATCATGAATAAGTCCAAGGAAAAGTACTGTGCCTGGATGTGCATGTAGGCTAGATGTATGTTTCCCTTTACACAAACATCTCAGTGTAGCAAAGAGTAACAGAGCAGTATTGCTGCCAGCATATCTTGCCTCCAGCCACAGGGTGGTTTTCTCCTATCTCATGATCAGCTTTACCCTGAGACATTTCATTCCCAGGGACGTGCAGGAGACAGAAAACTTCCCCTTATCTCAACCGCAAAGAGGCCTCCCTCTTTCACTACTCCTCAGCACAGACCCTTCATGGGTGTCGGGCTGGGGGATGTAAGGTCTTTCCTTTCCCATGAGGCCATATCTCAGGCTGTCTCAGTGGGGGAAACCTTGGACAATACCCAAGCTTTCTTGGGCAGAGGTCCCTGCGCCTTTCCGCAGTGCATTGTGTCCCTGGTTAATAGAGAATGGAGAATGGCGATGACTTTTACCAGGCATACTGCCTGCAAACACATTGTTAACAAGGCACAGCCTGCACAGCCCTAAATCCATTAAACCTTGATTTGATACAGCACGTTTCTGCGAGCACATGGTTGGGGCTAAAGTTACAGATTAACAGCATCTCAAAGCAGAACAATATTTCTTAGTACAGATCAAAATGGAATTTCTTATGTCTTCCTTTTCTGCATAGACACAGTAACAATCTGATCTCTCTTTCTTTTCCCCACATTCTCCCTTTTGTTTTTGACAAAACTGCCATCGTCATCATGGCCCGTTCTTGATGGTCGCTGTCTCTTCGGAGCTGCTGGGTACACCTGCAGACTAACAACAGACAGAACAGGCACACAAGGATTAATATGAAATTTATAATAATGGAACTTCTGATGGTTTTAACCCAAGTGACTGGGTTAAGATTTGCGAGGCCATCAGTAGCTTCCGTAATTGCTTCAGTTCCTGGCACCAAATTTAAATGGGCTTTTGATGCCTCAAAAATTTGTTCTTTTAATTTTGAAATGTCTGAAGTAAGATTATCTTCTCTTCCTTGTAGATGGCATCTAACCATGTCCCAGTGAGGCTCAGACTCATTACAGGCTTGGGGTGTAATACAAAAATCTGACGTATTCCAGTCACACTGTAACTGAAAATGATGTTCCAAGCTCACGAGCTTATCTCCCATCCAAATGACATTTTGTCTAAGATCATTAATCTAATTTGCCAATTTTTGATCAATACCAGATTGTGAATTCCACAATCTTGTAGAATTTTTTTTGCCAATTGTTAACAAAGTGTACCGTCTGAACAGAAGAGTGCAATGCAACTCCTGCCACAGCGGCCATAACTGTGACTGCACTTAATCCCGTAGTCACCGCAATCAAAGTAAAAATGAATCTTTTGGATCTATTTAGAACTCCTTTTAATACTTCAGTTAAAATATGGATGGATGGCGAAGCCTCCTACAGTTGGTCCATGGACACAGGGATCCACATGGCCTCTCTTGCTCTCACTGGTAGAATACAGTGCTGCCAATTAAAAGTTGAATCAATGCAAGTAAACAATCTACAATTTTCACAGGTTATAGTTTGGGAATCTGGGTTAATAACTATTTTTCCTACAACTAGCATATAAGGGGGCTTTACACAAATTTGCAAAGGAATTGTCAGACTGGAATTTAGGTCGATAGTATAAGATGGCTTACCATCTCTTGTTTTTATAGCTTAATTTCCAGACCAAATTCTAATGTGGTGCGAGGCCACAGTAAGCTTCCAAAGTTCCGGACGCTTAGGACCAGTAACAGGACTAACTAACTTTGGTCGAGGTGATGAGATTCCCTTTTCACCCCATTCCCAAGGGTATAGAGACTCTAACCTTTTATACTTATTTTTATCTAAACCTTCTGTTAAGTCACTGTCCACAGTTGGACTCACATGTGCACTGGGACACGATTGAGTTTGTCCTGTGCAATTGCAGTAGAATTGACCTCGAGGTGCCCAATCTATAATGGTTCCGAATTCATTGTTTTGTAATATCACCGTCCTATCAGCCACACATTCTTCTCAAACTAAAACTTCTGGGCCTTTTGATCCTTTGGGAATTTCTTTGGGGCAAGGCTTCCCCTTAGGCCTAGATTTTAATCATCTTTGATAAGAAGGGTCCTGCAAATAATTTACCTGTGGCCTGAGTGACATTCCACTTACCCTGTGATAAGTAAATCCACTGGTGGCACTGACAGTAGGTACTTCTACCAACCAATTTTGGGTTGTAGGCATTAAGCATCCTGGTGCCCTCCCCAGGCAAATAGGAGGATAACAATACCCAGTGGAAATAATCATCATCATTCCTTCTTCCTTGGGTTGGGCAGGGCAACGATCATCCGTGGGGCCAGGTACCCATGCACTATTATTAACATATACTTCAATAGAATTATCCACCCATGTAACTGCCCGAATTAAGGGCAGGAAAGGCACATAGGCCCAGTAAGCATAATTAGCTGCAGCTGCTCCTGCAGACATGGGAAGACTTATCACCGTTGATACAATCATCAAAGCTGCAAGCAGCATATTCTCTGGAGTTTGTGTCACCTTTGTGAATGTACTTAATGCCACTGAACTGTATATTTAAAAATGGTTAAGATGGTAAATTTTATGTGCATTTTACCACCATCTTAAAAGTCAAGAAGGAGGTGAAGAAACAGCTCAAATTGGTGATCTAAGTTTGCTAGAGTCAATTACTATCATTTACAACAAAGCACTCTGTTGTGTACAGTGGTTAAAGTGAATGCAGGTGAAGGTCACTGGCCATGAGCAAGTCAAGAAAATAAAGGGCTGGATGTTGAGAAGGTCATCCATCGAAATATCCATCAAATAGGGATTTTCTAGATATTTTCAAGGTGGTGGTAGTATATAGGGGTGGAGAGTATAGGATGATAAGGAGACTGATTCTGAGGTGTGGGCTCACCTTCACTGAATGAGGCCAATTGGTAAGAAGGTCAATGGATGATAGGAGTCAGGTGACACAAAGATTTGCATTCCAGGCTGGGCACAGTGGCTCATGCCTGTAATCCCAGCACTTTGGGAGGCTGAGGAGGGCGAATCACCTGAGGTCAGAAGTTAGAAACCAGCCTGACCAACATGGTGGAACACCGTCTCTACTAACAATTCAAAAATTAGCTGGGCATCGTGGCATCTGCCTGTAATCCCAGCTACTGGGGAGACTGAGGCAGGAGATTCACTTGAACCTGGGAGACAGAGGTTGCAGTGAGTCGAGATTGCGCCATTGCACTCCAGCCTGGACAACAAGAGCGAAACTCCATCTAAAAAAAAAAAAAAAAAATTGCATTCCAAATAGCCACCATGCAATAGTTCATTCATTCATGAGGGCAGAGAAGGAATGGTCTCCAGCCACAGCATGGATCCATGAAGCACTGACTCCACCTCTCGAACTTGAGGTGTTGGATTGTGGGAGAATGAATAGCCTTCCTTTAAGAGATCCCCAGGAGAAACATCCTTAAGGAAGAGCTAAGTGTTAGTTTAAAAAAGAAATGAATTGGCCGGGCGCGGTGGCTCACGCCTGTAACCCCAGTACTTTGGGAGGCCGAGGTGGGCGGATCACAAGGTCAGACTGAGATCATCCTGGCCAACGTGGTGAAACCTCGTCTCTACTAAAAATACAAAAATTAGCTGGGCGTGGTGGCACGAGCCTGTAATCCCAGCTACTCGGGAGGCTGAGGCAGGAGAATTGCTTGAACCAGGGAGTTGGAGGTTGCAGTCAGCCAAGATCACACCACTGAATTCCAGCCTGGCGACAGCGAAACTCCATCTCAAAAAAAAAAAAAAAAAGAATGGAGGGAACTGCTTCCATTAAAATATAGGGAATGTAGAGGAGTTCAACATGGAACTTAAAGTGACCCAGAGCACGCAGACAGAAGATGTGGGAAGAACAGCAGCAGTGAGAAGGTGGGTCAGGAGGGAGACTAACCAGGAAGGATGGTCAGAGGAGCAGCAACCCGGGGTAACAGCTTGAAGCCTGGTGGTTTATGTGGCTCCCAAAATGCCAAAGAGACAGACCCAGCAAATACTGGAAGGCTACAAATGTAGACAGGACACTTGGATAAAACAAGGGTCAACACAGTTTGCACTTCTATGGGAGTTTGTTCCATGAAAGGGCTGTATTTACACAGCAACCCCCAAATGCAGAAGGAGCCTGGAAACCAAAGGAGGCAGAGAAATCCAATGTGTGGTTCTGGGTGATTTATTAGGGAAATTTACAAACAGAAACGTGGTCTTGGGCGGCTACAAGATAGGTAGATCTCTGCACCACAACCCCCTAGACCCAGGGCTTATATCTTGGGGAAAAATATACGTGTTCTAGAAGGAATGTGTAGGTGGCTACCAGCGTCACAGCCTATGATTTCTGCAACAGCAACGAGGGTTGTTTTGAAGGAAACTTACAGTAAATGGGTGTTTCTACATAAATAATAATACATCAACTCAACATTTTGGAGGCATTCCCAGACTTGGGATTAGTCAGTGGATTGGTATTTAAAGTAAATTCACTCTTGTCCCCACCAAGAGTTTTCCTCTTCAATGAATGAGGAGGCTTTGTGTAGAAAGCAAAAGTTCCTCTTCAAATCCCTTTAAATCATAAATGTTATTGATATCTTTTCTCAAAACTAACTTTAAGTTTCTTATTTTATAGTAATAACTCTCTGTTAAGCCTTATGTAGCAAAGGTAACAGAATAAGCATACTCTGACTTCAGTATCTGTTAAACATGCTCACAGGCATGTAGTACATTCTATGTCCTTGTACCTTAGTCAGAATATTCGTGCTGGACATGCCCAGGCATGTCCCAGCTTGCAGCCTACCCTCCTCCCTTATTTGGGAATATTATTACTTTTCTAAGTCCTTTCATAAGCAACTTCCTTTTTTTCCTTTGTTCCTCACTGCCTTTACCTATTTTAAAAAGTTTTGAACTGTTAGCCAATCGGGTTTTAGTTTAGATTGTGAGGTCTGGCTCCAGCCAATGGAGTCAGGACACAGCAATAGGGACCTCATGTGTAAGGCAAAACTATTCTAGTATCTTTTTTACTTTGTGGGTACTCCTGGCAGGATTGCTGACAGGCACCACCCTTTCTGCAAAGAGTAAAAAGAGTTTCCTGTTGAGGAAACATTTTGTCTAATTGCGGATTCTTCTCTGTAACATCGGGGAATAAGCATTTACTTCCAACACTTTGGTCTTCCAGGAAGGACTACCTGAGCCATGAGTGGTTTGCTGGGCTTGGGGAGAAGCTCTGGTTTGATGCAGCTTTTTCCAAAGCTCCCAGGGAGTGCAGTCTGGGCCTGATCTGTGATTGTTTAGGCTGGAAAGCATGGCCCTGGAAGGTGCAAGCCTGGTCGATAGGAGTATGGGTAGCATACGCACCAACAATGCTCTGCAAAATCTGTCTTATTATTAATATCAACCAGCGTATGGCACTGCAGGTGAGGCATGCATGGAGACATTTTGTATCCGGAATTGGTTCCTTCCAGTGGGTTCTTGGTCTCACTGACTTCAAGAATGAAGCTGTGGACCCTCGCGGTGAGTGTTAAAGTTCTTAAAGATGGTGTGTCCGGAGTTTGTTCCTTCAGATGTTCAGATGTGTCCAGAATTTCTTCCTTCTGGTGGGTTCGTGGTCTCGCTGATTTCAGGAGTGAAGCCACAGACCTTCGCAGTGAGTGTTACAGTTCATAAAGGCGGCGCGTCCGGAGTTGTTCATTCCTCCCGGTGGGTTCATGGTCTCGCTGGCTTCAGGAGTGAAGCTGCAGATCTTCGTGGTGAGTGTTACACCTCATAAAGGCAGCGCATCCAGAGTTGTTCATTCCTCCCGGTGAGTTTGTGGTCTCATTGGCTTCACGAGTGAAGCTGCAGACCTTCGTGGTGAGTGTTACAGCTGATAAAGGCAGTGCGGACCCAAAGAGTGAGCAGCAGCAAGATTTATTGTGAAGAGCAAAAGAACAAAGCTTCCACTGTGTGGAGGGGACCCAAGTGGGTTGCTGCTGGTGGTGCAGGTGGCCTGCTTTTATTCCCTTATTTGGCCCCACCTGCATCCTACTGAGTGATCCATTTTGCAGAGAGCTGATTGGTCCATTTTACAGAGTGCTGATTGGTCCATTTTTATAGAGTGCTGATTGGTGCATTTACAAACCTTTAGCTAGACACAGAGCACTGACTGGTGCATTTACAATCCTTTAGCTAGACAGAAAAGTTCTCCAAGTCCCCACCCAACCCAGAAGCCCAGCTGGCTTCACCTCTCAATTTCCCCTCTAAACAGGACACCCCAACTGCTGTTTGGAATTTGGCCAATGACTGCTCTAGCTACTTCCTGCTGGATAGGGGTGAAGCAGGGGCCCTGCAGTTGTGGTGTCCTCCAGAGGGAAACTCTTTAGGCCAGTGGAAGGGCCAGCGGGTCGGTCCAGGGGTCCTCAGTAGAAGTTGTTAGTTGAACTCATTCGGAGTTCCATTTGTAAGACCATCTGTAGCTTGATTGCCTTGATTTTAGAGGAAACAAATTTGACAAGAAGGTTAAAAATACAGGGCCCAAAGGCGAGTAACAGCAAGATGGCTGCCACGGGACCTAGAAAGGGGAGAAGCCATGTTGCCCAACTCCGGAGGTTGGTATAAGAGTTTGAAAGGCGTTGTCTGATTTCAGAAGCCTTTTCCTGTAAATGCCGGGCGGCATTTAGTACTATCCCTGACTGGTTAGGGTAAAAACAACACTCTTCCCCTAAGAAGGTGCAGACTCCTCCTTTCTCAGCCGTGAGGAGGTCTAGGCCTCAGCGCTTTTGGAGAGTCACTGCTGCCAAAGAGTCTATTTGGGATTGTAGAGTAAGGATAGATTTCGTGATTTCTTGCAAACTGTCTGAGAAATCCTTTGAGAATGTGTGGTAGTAGGATAATGAAGTAGATAAACTGGCTATTCCAGTTCCTGTAGCAGTAGCCATTCCTGACCCTATAAGTAGGGGTATTAGTTGTATGGCTTTGCGCTGACGGACTTGAGCTTTGAGGGGTACTGATAAGGTCTGACTTCCCGGGGCAATATTAATGTTGGGACTTAGAAAGACTAAGGTGCAGGTGCCTGTCCAGTTAGTGGGGAGGCAGATATAGGTCGACATTCCACATAAGAAGAGTATACCTTAGCTGGGTAGACAGAACTGGTTGTGTATGTTAAAAAGATGTGTGAATTTGTTGTTTTCATTTTCCCATACTCCTAGAGTACTTGCCAAGGTAGCTCCAGTGAGCGGCTGGAAAGGGGTGTTGGGAGCAAACTGAGTGGCTCCCTGTGTTCTATTTTCCCATTGGAGAAAAAAACATTTTATATCTACTAGGAACCACTCGAGAGAGTGATTGAAAGAGGGGATGAGAAGGCATTCACTAGTGGTGGGGGCGCTGCTGCAGGGGGTGCAGGGGTGAATGGTCATGCAGGGAGTATGTTTGCCATTACAAACCCTGGACTATTTGTTAAGCAGGGAGGAGGTGATGATTTTTGGGGGCCCCAAGAAGCAGACAAGCCATCTAAATGGAGCTGTTTGGGTGACTCAGAAGTTACTATGATCAGTTGGGGCTTGAAGTTGTAGCGTGTAATTACACTGATGGGGTAGTAAGTGCCCCAGGGGCAGGCCTGATAACAGGTTGCGTTGGATGCATAAAGGGGCTTGGAAAGTTAAGATAGTATTTGTAGTTACAGGGCCGTGTATGGGCTTTTCATTGCTTGTGTAATAGGTGAGGTTGGAAATGTAAGAACGTAAAAGTTGGATTGCACATCCTGTTAGGGTATTCTTGTTCCTATCAGAGATGGGGAAGTTGGCTAATGATTGCATATTTAAAAGTCAGAAAGGGTCTTTTCCTTCATAACGAGGGTGGTAGGTTAATTTGGTAAAGACCCAGTTTTTTGCAGGAATGGGAGTGGCAGTGTAAGCAGAGGTTGATAGAGAGATACAAAGCCAACAGTCATTTGCCAGGGAAGGATTGGACTGGTTTAACAGAGAGTAGGTTAAGTTGAGAGACTTGTAGAGGTAATTAGGAGCTAGTGGAAGGGGAGGGGCAATTGTATGAGGTATCCAAGGAAGCAGGAGGGATAGATAGGCAAAGAGTAAATAGGAAGGTAAAGAGGGTGCTCTGGAAGACGAGACCATTTTATCCAGTCTGAGTTAAAGGCAGGAGTAAATTGCTGTCAGAAGGAAGGAAGATAGAAGGTTGATGTGATTAGGATTTTTCTCCCAGCAGGAGCTACAGTATACAGTCCTATCGCAAAGAGTATGGTTAGTATGCTGCTTAATAATATGATGAAATAGTAAAAGGATTCCATTAAAGGGGCAAGGAGAGGTGTTAAAGATTATGTAGGTTTTCACTTATCTTTTTTAAGGAGAAAGGGATTTTTCTTCAGGATCAGCGGTAGGAGCCTTTTTAGTCTGGGATGTTTCCTTCCGAAATAGGAGATGCAAGTCCTCCAATGGTTCGCAGGTGTATCGAGGCTGGTCTGGCTTGAGACTCCTGAGCTGACAGTCCTGCAGGTTCCTCAGGGGATGTCCAAAATGTAACTCGGGTGTGGTGAATCCAAGATTCCACTCCTGCCACCTTAACTGCAGTGGGGTTAGAGAGGATTACCGAGTATGGTCCTTCCCACAAAGAGTTCATAGATGGGGAGGTAGAGGGGTGAGATTTGACCAACACTAGATCTCCTAGTTGAAACAACTCTGTTCCCTTTTCTCTGTGACATCCTTCAGGTAGGTTTTTAAGGTTTTGTTGATATTTTGCCAAATAAGTTGTATCTTTGACCAAGTTGGCCATTTCCTGATCAAGTAGGAGGTCATTTGTGAGAAAAGGTCGTCCCTACAGCATTTCATGTGGATTAAGCCCCATTTTGTGAGGAGAATTTTGGATTCTCAACAAGGCCATGGGCAAAAGAGTAGGCCATGGGAGATGAGTTTCTTGTATTAGTTTCCTTAAGTGCCTCTTGAGTGTTTCATTTGCCTTCTTGACCTTCCCTGAGGATTGTGGCCTCCAGGTGCAGTGAAGATGCTGTTGTATCACTAGTGCCCTGGAAACTCCCTGAGTTATCATGTCTTTAAAAGTCAGACCATTGTCACTCTGTAAGCTTTGGGGAAGCCCAAATCTAGGAATTATTTCATGAATTAGAACTTTAATCACTTCCTGAGCCTTCTCTGTCTTGCGGGGGAAAGCTTCTATCCAATTTGTAAAGATATCAACACAGACCAACAAGTATTGAAATCCCTTTGACTTAGGCATATGGGTGAAGTCTAACTGTCAGTCCTCTCCGGGATAGTGACCTATTCTTTGTGCCCCCACAGGGGCCTTATGATGGACCAAGAGATTATTCCTTTGGCATACCTCACAGGCTTTGACTACCTGTCACATGGTCTGGAGGAGATTTGGCCCTGTAAATAGGGATTTGGCCATTTGATGAGTGTTTTCAATACCCATATGAACAGTTTGGTGGAGAGTTTTAAGTATTTTCCACTGGCTTGCTTTGGGAATAAGTACCTTTCCTTCTTCTGTCGTTAACCACCCTGAGGGGAGAAAACTATGTCCCCGTGAAAGTCCCCATTCTGTTTCAATCGGGGAATACTGGGGCTTAATCTCCTGGAGGGGGTTGTTCCATACCAAGGGTCCTTCCATAGGTATTTCTAATGGGAGATTCCACCTGGCAGCAATTTTGGCCTCAGTATCTGCCCAGTGGTTTCCTTCTGCCTTTTCTCCTTCACCTTTCTGATGGCTTTGGCAGTGTAAGACTGCCACCTCCTTGGGTTTTTGCACTGTGTGCAATAACTCCATAATTTCCATGTGGTATTTAATGCGGGTCCCCCAGAGGTTAGAAGCTCCCTTTCTTCCCATATTGCAGCATGGGCATGTAGGATTAGATAAGCATACTTGCTATCTGTATACACATTTATTCTTTTTCCCTTTCCCAGTTCTAAGGCTCGGGTAAGTGCCACTAGTTCTGCTAAATGGGCGCTGGTCCCTGAGGGAAGAGGCTTACTTTCAAGTACAGCTACATCACTAACTATGGCATAACCTGCCCTTCGTATCCCGTTCTCCACAAATGAACTTCCATGGGTATATAGGTTAAGGTCAGGATTAGCTAAGGGGACCTCTAAGAGACCATCTTGGGCAGCATAAGTTGGACTATAATTTGTCGGCAGTCATGCATGATTGGTTCCCCATCCTCTGGGAGAAAAGTGGCAGGGTTCAGGGCCATGCACGTACGTATTTGAAGCACCGGTCCCTCAAAGAGTAGTGCCTGGTATCTAAGTAGGCGGTTGTCTGATAACCATAAACTTCCTTTGGCACCTAGTATGCCATTTACATCATGAGTAGTCCAGACAGTGAGATCCTTTCCTTGTATTATTTTGATAGCCTCTGACACTAAGACAGCCACCGCTGCAACTACCCTTAAACAGTGAGGCCAGCCTTTTGCTACTACATCAGTTTCCTTACGTAGGTATGCCACTGGTTGTGGGGTTGTCCCACGAGTCTGAATAAGGACTCCAAGAGCTATCCCTGCTCTCTCTGTGACATATAAAGAGAAGTTTTGTCCTGTGGGAAGGCTTAAAGCTGGAGCTTGTACTAGGGCCTTTTAAGGTTTTGAAGGCTGTTTCTCCCCCTGGTTCCCATTCTACTAGATGAGTATTTGCCCTCTGGGTCTCCTTGATTAGAGTATATAGGGGCCTGACTATCTCACTGTATCCGGGGATCCATAGTTGGCAAAAGCCAGTAATTCTAAGGAACCCCCACAACTGTTTTAATGTCTTAGGGTGAGGATGAGCCAGTATGGGCTGTATTCGTTCCTTGCTGAGGTCCCTGGTCCCTCTGGCTAAGATTAGGCCTAGATATTTGACCTGTTGTAGGCAAAGCTGGGCCTTTGACCTAGACACCTTGTACCCTTGATTAGCTAGAAAGTTCAAGAGATCTACAGTGGCCTGCTGGCACGAGGCTTCTGAACTGGTAGCCAAAAGTAAATCATCCAGATACTGAAGGAACAGAGTGCCTGGACTTGAGACATGGCCTAGATCTTGGGCCAGTGCCTGACCAAACAGATGAGGGCTATCCCTAAAACCTTGGGGCAAGACCGTCCACGTAAGTTGGGACATGTGGTCTGTGGGATCCTCAAAGGCAAAGAGAAACTGGGAGTCAGAGTGCAGGGGAATACAGAAGGCATCCTTGAGGTCCAGAACAGTGAACCATTCTGCTTCCTCTGGTATTTGAGAGAGCAGGGTATAGGGTTTGGGTACAACTGGATATAGATGAATTACTGCCTCATTGATGAGTCTAAGATCTTGCACTAGTCTCCACTGACCGTTTGGTTTTTGTACTCCTAGAATTGGGGTGTTGCAGGGACTGCTGCATTTCCTAAGCCTTGAGCTTTTAAATGTTTAACAATATCCTGTAATCCTTTATGAGCTTCAGGCCTTAAGGGATATTGCCTTTGATAAGGAAAAGTGATGGGGTCTTTTAGCCTGATTTGGACTGCGCAGGCATTTTTTGCTCTGAGGGAGGGAAGTGATCTCTAGAGTTGGAAGAGTGATGCCTTTTGTCCTCACTTATATGAATAGGAAGGATACAATTTCTGAGGCTCCCCATATCCTAGCTTCAGGAATAGCTTTTGTTAGGCCCACTTGTCTGAGGAGGTATCCTAAAATTCCAGATAGTATCCCCTACGATGGGGCTTTGGGAAAAATTATGTTTTTCTGATTGGTGAGCCCAGGTGCCGAAAGAAGGTAACAGAGTCCTGGAGTTTGAACTAGAAATCATTCTTATAGGAGAAACTAGAAAAGCACCAGAGACAGGGAGTGGTTTTTAGAAGCGGGACTAGCCTCGGAGAAGAGAGGTGAGAGGGAGTTTGTCTGGCAGGCATTAGGACCCAGGAGGCAAGGGTCAAGGTAGATAGAATAGATGAGAGAGTCTGGCTTGGGCAACATGACTTTGAGAGTTCCGCTCATGGCTGCAGGGTCAACCAACTTGTTCTCAGGACCTCGGAGCTGAATGGCTTTCCTCTCTGTCAACCCTCAGCTCAGCCCGGAAGTACAGGAAAAGTGGCAAACCAATGCTCCCAACTCCAAAGAGTGGGGGCTTGTTAGAGAGCCCTTTCCCAGAAATCCTGACATCCATGTCTTTAGTCTGGTGGCCATGCTAGTTGCTTTTAACTGGCCGACAGGTGCCTGATATTTAGCCCTCAAATGCTAAGGAAAAATAGGACAGAATAGCAAGCAAAAGGGGTCCGATGGTACTCACTGCTTGGCAATAGTCAATGGTCCCTTCGTGGTCACCAAAATGTGTCCAGAATTGATTCCTTCCGGTGGGTTCTTGGTCTCGCTGACTTCAAGAATGAAGCCGTGGACCCTTGCGGTGAGTGTTAAAGTTCTTAAAGATGGTGTGTCCAGAGTTTGTTCCTTCAGATGTTCAGATGTGTCCAGAGTTTCTTCCTCCCGGTGGGTTCGTGGTCTTGCTGACTTCAGGAGTGAAGCTGCAGACCTTCGCAGTGAGTGTTACAGTTCATAAAGGCGGCGCATCCGGAGTTGTTCGTTCCTCCCGGTGGGTTCGTGGTCTCGCTGGCTTCAGGAGTGAAGCTGCAGACCTTCGCAGTGAGTGTTACAGTTCATAAAGGCGGCGCATCCGGAGTTGTTCGTTCCTCCCGGTGGGTTTGTGGTCTCGCTGGCTTCAGGAGTGAAGCTGCAGACCTTCGTGGTGAGTGTTACAGCTCATAAAGGCAGTGCGGACCCAAAGAGTGAGCAGCAGCAAGATTTATTGTGAAGAGTGAAAGAACAAAGCTTCCACAGCATGGAAGGGGACCCAAGCGGGTTGCCGCTGCTGGCTCAGGTGGCCTGATTTTATTCCCTTATTTGGCCCCACCACATCCTGCTGATTGGTCCATTTTACAGAGTGCTGATTGGTGCGTTTACAAACCTTTAGCTAGACACAGAGCACTGATTAGTGCATTTACAATCCTTTAGCTAGACAGAAAAGTTCTCCAAGTCCCCACCCGACCCAGAAGACTAGCCAGATTCACCTCTCAATTTGATACATAAATCTTTAACTGCCGTTGAATTTATTCTCTTAGAATAAATTTCCGGAAGTCTAATTAATGGCTCAAAGAGGATGAATTTTTAATGTTACTGATTCATATTGCTAAATTCATTTATAATATTCTATACCAATGTGTATTCTGATTCATTTGGGATTAACAGTCTTTCTCCATCCTTAATCATACTGGATAAAAATTAAAAAAAACTTGTATGTCACAAAATTAGCATGGTTTTGAGACCATTCTTTAGGGGTCTCATGATTTTGTATTTCTTCATGTCTTGTATTATTCTCTTACCCCAGACTATCAATTCAAGGACATTTTTAGAGCATACAGCCTTGGAAGATAGAAATAGTATCTCCCCTTAGGGCAGAAGGCAGATTTGTTTGCCTCCACAGAATAAAGATAATGTCTCCCTCCAGGGGCAAAGGTTGGGCAGATTTGCTAGTAGCTTCTTTTAAGTTTGGGGATTTCTGAGCCCAGGGCTCCTCTGCTGTGGAATGAACCACTGTGTGTACAACAACCCCCTGGGCTGCTCTGAGACTAGCGGGGTGAGGGGAAGCAATGGAAATGTAAAGCTCATGCTACCGGCTGTGCTGTAATCATGTCCTTCCTCTCTTACCCAGGAGTCTTGTGTCTTCTGCCAGTATTGATGAAACTGAGGCAGGTTACCTTGTTAGCTTGCAAGCTG
Source organism: Homo sapiens (assembly GCF_000001405.40). Classification (NCBI taxonomy): domain Eukaryota; kingdom Metazoa; phylum Chordata; class Mammalia; order Primates; family Hominidae; genus Homo; species Homo sapiens. Next base: position 150,848,426 of record NC_000006.12, on the reverse strand, counting down.
GGTAAAATCTCACAGTTCTTGGCAATCGTTTCTGAGCTGGGTTTTGAGGACTTAGCGGGTTTCCCTTTGGATAGTAGGGGAAGGGTATTGCAGGCAGAGGGAGCAGCTCTTCCTCATATAAAGGCAGAGACAGATTATGGGGGGCTTTGTGGAGGATTTTTTTTTTCTTTGAGATGGAGTCTCGCTTTGTTGCCCAAGCTGGAGTGCACTGGCATGATCTTGGCTCACTGCAACCTCCGCCTCCTGGGTTCAAGAGATTCTTCTGCCTCAGCGTCCCGAGTAGCTGGGATTACCGGCTTGCCCACTAAACCTGGCTAATTTTTGTATTTTTAGTAGAGATGGGTTTTCACCACTTTGGCCAGGCTGGTCTCGAACTCCTGACCTTAAGTGATCTGCCTGCCTCTGTCCCCTAAAGTGCTGGAATTACAGGTGTGAACCACCGCACTCGGCCCTGGAGGATTTTATTCTGTGTTTAAAACACAGAATAAAAGACAGGAAGTGGGGAAGACAGTGGCAGGACAACTAGTTAGGACGCTGTTATAGTAGTCCAACAAAAAGACTGCAAACTAGAGGAGGAGCTTCTGAGGAAGAAAGGAGTCGTACATGGGGAAAAATGACATTGGCTCTGGACAACTCAGAGATGTCCTGCAGGAAAAATCTTGCACTGAAGAGGGGAGTTTGACCCTAGAGATGGTGTTTTGGGAAACAGAGTATATATAGTAGTGAATTCAGGTGAATTCATATTAAAGGAGAATGGAGTGGAGATGATTTGGTATCACAGACCTGAAGCCTCTGGAGGCTTCTAGAGGATGGGTAGATAATACAGTATTAACTAGGGAAGTGGACCAGGTATAAAACTTCCCCCAAAGCAGCTATACGTTCTAGAGATCTTTGTGACGTATGTTTATTTTATCTTAAAAGGAGAGATTTCTTATTTTCTACCTAAAGCATCTGTATTTCAAGTGTACCACGGTTGCTTTAAATTTGTTGACGAAGTCCATAATGAAGGATAAAGGAACCATTTCCCCCAAAGGTCAAAGCAAGTGTCCACCTTTTAGGGTGACTTTCACCTTTAGATCCCCTCCTTAGATCTCATAGCATTGGCCTCACCAGAATCCAGGTCCACACAGACCACATCTTTTTTTTTTTTTTTTTTTTTTTTTTTTAAGAGGTGGAAATTTGGATTTTATGCTTAAGCCTTTCTAAAATTGTAAAAGCCGAGGGCCGGGTGTGGTGGCTCACGCCTGTAATCCCAGCACTTTGGGAGGCTGAGGTGGGTGGATCACTTGAGCCCAGGAGTTTGAGACCAGCCTGGGCAACATGGTGAAACCCTGTCTCTACTAAAAATACAAAAATTAGCCAGGTGTGATGGCACGTGCCTGTAGTCCCAGCTACTTGGGAGGCTGAGGCAAGAGAATTGCTCAAGCCCGGAACGTGGAGGTTGCAGTGAGCTGATATCACGCCACTGCACTCTAGCCTGGGCAACAGTGCGAGACTGTCTCCAAATAGATAAATAAATAAATAAAATTGCACAAGCCAGATTGAGCCCCTGGGCCAGCAGTTTGCAGCCTCTGACTTAACTGTGGTTTAGTAGCAGGAATCTGCTTACCCTGTGGTCTTGATGGTTCCATGAGAACTATGTGGAGAGGCATACATTGCTATGTAAACAGGAGGGCAAATTGGGGGCTTATATTTGCCCGTTAGAACAGATGATTTGATCACCATCCAAGCCCTGTTGTTTTATATTGAGCTTGATAAACATGGTTTTGGAACCAATGAGGTGGAACTGCCTGCTTGTCTTTCTTTCCTATTGTACGATGCATGTGAATAAGCCATTGTCAGGAAAATAAGACTCTTGTTTTTCACAGATACATAAGGTGGACTTTGATCCACAGATGTGTACCAAAATTGTAAAGTGGGCAAGTGTGTTTTTTGGCACCCCAAATCGAGGCATTCTGGGCCTTTTCCTTCCACCTTATTTGACTTCAACCCCACATCTACATGCTAGGGTGCTCTATGATCTCATCACATCAAAAGGCGGGAAGTAACAACAGCAGCAAGTAAGTTGCTTTAAAAAAATTCACAGCGCCCTCAGAAATCCAATATGATCAAAAGCAGTTATCAGGACAGGCAGTGGTCTACATGGAATTTTGAGGAGGGTCTGATAATCACACCTTCCTGTGCCCATGTAGATGCTTAGCCTAAAAGGTTACTGGAAGTCTGCAGAGTAAATGTCTCTGGAATTCTATCAGCCATGAGATGGGAAAGGCGCAGAGAGTCTTTCCAAAATGCCACCTCCCATGACTTACCTAATAAGAGCTCTAGAGAAAGTTGATACCACCAGATTTCTGAGTGTGCTGTGAATCTTTTTAAAGCAACTTATTTGCTGTTGTTGTGACTTCCCTCCTTTGTGTATCTGGTTTGAATATTTTTCACATGCTTTGAGCTCAGACGAATTTTTAACTCTATTCAATGATTAAAATGTATGGAACACTACAAGTTGCCCAGCACTGTGAGGGGCTGGTAAAGCCATTTCTACCTCAACTGGTCAGACAATGGTTGCACATGCTAAATTTTAGAATATATTTTTCTTTTTTTTTAAGATGGAGTCTTGCTCTTGTCACCCAGGCTGGAGTGCAATGGCAAGATTTCGGCTCACTGCAACCTCCCCCTCCTGGGTTCAAGCGATTCTCCTGCCTCAGCCTCCCAAGTAGCTGGGATTACAGGCGCCCACCACCATGCCCAGCTAATTTTTGTATTGTTAGTAGAAACAGGGTTTCACCATGTTGGCCAGGCTGGTCTCGAACTCCTGACCTCAGGTTATCCACCCGCCTCGCCTCCCAAAGTGTTGGGATTACAGGCGTGAGCCACCATGCCTGGCCTAGAATATTCTTTCAAAAAGGAATTTTTGATCTTCTGTTAAAGAGCTTTCAAATATGCTATACACCAGACATTCCAAATTTTATTAATTTACAGTTATATAGGTTGTGCAATCATATTTTGCATTAACCTTTTTAATACAGCAAAATTTCCACAGTATCTCTCTATATAAATATATATAAGCGCATATATATATGATTTTGTTAAACAGAAAACATTGAAAAAAAGGGTAGGTATGATAGCTCATGCCTGTAATCCCTGCAGTTTGGGAAGCCAAGGCAGGAGGATCACTTGAGGCCAGGAACTCAAGACCAGCCTTGGTGAGTCCATGTCTCTTTAAAAAAAACACCAACAAGGCCAGGCACGTGGCTTATGCCTCTAATCCCAGCACTTTGGGAGGCCGAGGCGGGAGGATCACCTGGGGTCAGGAGTTCGAGACCAGCCTGGCCAACATGGTGAAACCCTGTCTCTACTAATAGTACAAAAATTAGCTGGGCATGGTGGCATGCACCTGTAATCCCAGCTACTTGGGAGGCTGAGGTAGGAGAATCGCTTGAACCCCAGGAGACAGAGGTTGCAGTGAGCTGAGATCATGCCACTGCACTCCAGTCTGGGCCGATAGAGTGAGACCCTGTCTCAAAAAAAAAAAAAAAAAAAGAATTGAGTGTAGTTATCACAATCCAGATAGAGAAAGTTATACAGCATTAGAGGATCTCAGAGTTCTTGAAGTATTAACATTTGCTCTTTCAAATAGAGATTTTTTATTGTTTTTACTAAAAAAAACCTTAATAGACAAATCTTATTAAGTATTCATGTTCAACAGCTGTATTTATAGCTCATTATAAGCCTGCTCATTAAAATTTTTCTTTAAGGACTGAATTTATGTTTACCATTTACACGGGGCATGGTTATTCTCCTGTTATTTGTTTCTCTAAACTGAACTTGGAGCGAACCCATCCATTTTCCACCTCAAGGTGGAACAGGAAGATAAGGCAGATCTGAGGGCTCCTCAGTGTGAAGTTGGAAAACTCTTCTCTCTAAAATACACTAAAAGCCGAAGGCTGTTTCTTCAGTCTGAGGAAAGTCAGGTAATCCACATTTTCATTATAATGGGGTAGGGCTTTTTGCTTACATTTGGAAAGAGTTGCTTTGGAAAGTGTCTGTAATTATCAACTAATAGCAGCATATTTTTGTTCCCTGTAAACTTTCTATTAAAGAAAATTAAGAACATGAAGTTACATGAAAAAACCCTCAATTTGTACCAAAAACTTCTATAGTAATTTTCTTTTTTTTTTGAGACAGAGTCTGTGTTGCCCAGGCCAGAGCGCAATGACGTGATCTCAGCTCACTGCAACCTCTGCCTCCCTAGTTCAAGTGATTCTCGTGCCTCAGCCACCTGAGTAGCTGGGATTACAGGCATGCACCACCATCCATTTTTAGTGGAGACAGGGTTTCACCATGTTGGCCAGGCTGGTCTCAAACTCCTGGCCTCAAGTGATCCACTCACCTTGGCCTCCCAAAGTGCTAGGATTACAGGTGTGAACCACCATGCCCGGCTATATTAATTTTTTGATTCAATAATAAAAGTTAAAAGAATGTCTTCTGTTACTTACTGCAAATTTTTTCAAAAGGTAATTTAGCAACTGATCTAATTTAGCTTTCGCTCAAGACAACAAAAATCCTAGACACCAAATTCACTGTTTCAAAGGTAATCCAAAGATGTAGAAAATGGTCTATCATGGGCCGCTGAGACATAGTTATATCATTGTGACCCTGCACCATTTTCTCCATGGTTCACAAGGCAAGAAAAAGTATTATAGCTAAATGTAGTTTGGAAACATCTTGATGTTCTAAAATAAACACATTAATTCACACTATAAATTACCTTGTACTTTACAAACTTTATTAAATAATGGACGTTACTAACTTTCATTATCTTATATACAGTATTTAAACTATGTTTTTCTAGATGCATTTTTTCCCCACAAAGAATAGAGCAGGTGAAAAGTAAACTTATATAAAAAAAATTGAACCTTCAGTACAGGAAACTAGTAAGAACTTGACATACTTTAAAGTACATATAACTTTTCCTCGTTATATACATCCCCACCCCACCTCTAAAACAAACTGTTTTAAACAAAAGCAATTGATAACTTTCAGGAAAAAAATACAAACATGATTATATATATATACACACAGCTCTCAAAATCTGTGTCCTGGCCAACAGAAATGGTCTATAAATCTACACATTTGTCCTAAAACCTAAAGCCATGTAGACCTTTTATACAGTAAGATACCCACTTACGTGCAGTGAGGTGTATTCCTATAGGTGACATCAAAGTCATGCAACAAGACACTGGCGTGAAGAAGTAATTTCTGAGAGTCAGACAGAACAATAATATGAACTACATAGAACTGGATAATACCAATCAAAAAGCGAAAATGCGAAACAGCTTTCCTGGGACAAGAGTCAGGTAATTTTGTTCATAGGTAATACAAATGCACTTACACACACCTCTAAAAACATACTTTCTTGGCCGGGCGCAGTGGCTCATGCCTGTAATCCCAGCACTCTGGGAGGCCGAGGCAGACGGATCATGAGATCAGGAGTTCGAGACCAGCCTGGCCAACATGATGAAACCCCGCCTCTACTAACAACACAAAAATTAGCCAGGTGTGGTGGCGGGCGCCTGTAATCCCAGCTATTCAAGAGGCTGAGGCAGGAGAATCGCTGGAACCGGGGAGGTGGAGGCTGCAGTGAGCCAAGATTGCACTCCAACTTGGGCAACAGGGAGAGACTCAGTCTCAAGAAAAAAACAAACAAACAAAAAAACCAACCAAACAAAAAAACTTTCTTGTGGTACTTATCTTTTTTGATCATTTCATCTTGGAAACTCATATCATGTTCAAATAAACACAATAAAGAAGGAATGTTCCCAGACCATGCTATTCAATGTGGACTTTCTTTTATAAGCTATGAGAAGAATACTTTGGAGAAGCAAGAAACTTGGGTTATTTTTTGTTATTTAAAAATAAAATCACATGCCTTAGGTACCTATTTGTAAGATAAAAACGCTCATATTCTATGTTTTACAGTTAAGAAAAAGAGGCATAGGACTTAACAAAGAGAAAAAGAATTATGTCACTTACTCAATATTACTGCTTACCTTTAAATGAAGAGCCCAGGCCCCTTTCCCTACATATATTATTGTATCTTTTAAAATAGAAACTAACAGCATGGGGGAGAGGCCATAGAATGTACACCTGATTAAAATGAGAATACAAAGGCCACCGCTTGAGAAAGCATTCTTGCTGCATTAATTGCAGTCTTCAATAAAATAGAATATGTTATAAAGTTGCAATATATCTGCCTTCATTTTTCTCTTTAGCTTCTTTGATTTTGCTTTTTATTCAATGTCTTATTTTTGTTTGTTGCCTTTCATAAGGAGTTAGATCAGTATACAGTATCACAATGAAATGTGACAAATGGTCAGAATATAAAAGGTGTTATTTATTAGTCAGCACCTAGTAACCAAAGATTTCATTCTTTAATATACCTGAAAACAACGAAAAAAAGGCTCCCATGTTATGTGTAGTTTAGGAAATAGATTCTTGCCCTATTCCTGCAGCCAATGACTCCTCAGGGCCAGGATCAAGTTGGTCATTTGGCAGAATCCCAAACTCAGGAGGGTGCATGTGCAAAGCGCTCTGGAAAGGATAAATTTAAAGTGCTTTGTCTGATTTTAGCTCATGCTTAACTTTGTATCGATTAGAAACAGGCACACAAAATGGTCTGGTGGGATTTCAGTTTTGCTTTTTCTCTTTCAACAGTCATTTGAAGAGTTAAGTGGTTCCCAGAAGTCATCCCATCTTTTCTAATAGTTAAGTCAATCTGCATTTTATTGACCTTGGTTTTCTCTAAGCCAGTAAGGAAATCATTCATTTCACCCCAGAAATTATATTAGAAACATGATGAGCAGCTCGTTCTCTAGGCCTTGTCCAGGAATACAGGTAAAGGGTTCTGCGTACAGAAAATGGGTCCCGCTACATTTTAATTTTCAACAGTCACACAATTTCTGCATCAAAATGACATAAAAGAATACTAGCACAAAAACCCTAAAATGGGCACCTCAGACTGCAGTCCAATTTACAGATCTCTGGCTTACGTTATCCTAAGGTGTTACCACAAATATAACCAAAATGTGAGATATAAGCATAATTCTTTCAACAGCTTTCGTTGCCTTTTAAAATGTGAAAAAGTCTCCTTGCTGCCTTTGAGTCACAGGATAAAACTACCTGGGCCTTCTGGATAACAGGAAAGGATTATTGCATTTCTTAAGGTGTGGGCACTATTGTCAGGTTATGGCCATCGTGTTAAAAGTCTAAAAACTTTCAAGTAAGATTGACTTACATGAAACATGAAGACACTCAGCATGAGAAAATATACTGTTGATGCCAACATGTGCTACAGTACAATCCGGGCTGCATCGTCAGCCATTTCCAAAAGTTGTGCTGTAAAAGAAAGTATATTTTACACCTCTGGTTCTTACAAAATTGTTTTAATCTGGTATACATAAAACACCTCATCAGTATCTGTAACGTTTTATGAGCAAAATAAGAAGTTGATTCAAGCAGTTATTATGAAGAACCTTAAGCAAAGCTGCTTGAACTGAGACACTGAAATTTTTCCCTTAGAGACTGGACAATATTTTGTTGATTGGGAGATGGCCCCCTCCAAAGATAGTCATTCAGTTTGTCAGAATCATTATATGGTGTCAGATATGGTGAAAGGCCAAGTTTGCTGTTAACCGGCTTTTTTGGAGTGCGCGGACTATTCAAAGAATGCAATGTGTTGCCGCTGCAGACATTATCAGAAAAGTCAGCATCCACAAACTTTGAGTCAGATTTCCTTCTACGATTGTGAGATAGCTCCAACTCCGACTCATCTTCTTCTGACTTGATTTCCACATAGTCATCTTCATCTCCATCAGTCTCTTTGAAATTGGAAAAATAATTCTGTGTTGCAATTTGGGCATTTAAGGGTAAATTTCTATTGACCACCACAACTTTCTGTGAGTCTTGGAGTGTGAGATCTGAGAGTTTTTCAGTGCCCTGTTGATGCGAGTCAGCAATATCTGGCAGCAAGTCCTGGTGACTCTCACACCTTGAACTTCTGTGTAAAGACAGCAGCTGCTGCTTTCCCACATCACTAGGGTAGTTGATGGAATCCATTGATTTGTTGATCAAGACGGAGGAAGATGACTGGGACCTGTGATAAGGCTGAGATTTAGCGCTGATCCCTTTCCGACCCAAGGAGTTGTAAAGATGGTCCTGACACCAGTTCTCTTTGTTGGGCTGACTTACTACCACGCTGCATCTCTGCACAGAGCCTGGCAGAGGGTCAGAGGTTTGAAGAGAAGGCACAGAGCAAGCTGCGGACAATTGCCTGGGAGTACTTTTTGTATTGATCTCAAACGTGGGATATCTTGACCTCAAGTCTTGCTCTGGTGGGAGACAGAAATCTGCTAACTCTCCATTACTATAGGTTGAATGCAGAAGCCAGTCTCCACTACCATGGTGGACCTGGGAAGGTGACACAGACCTCAGGAGGGAGGATTCTTGAGGGCTGGCCCAGCCATCCTTCTGAATTTTCAAGGGAGACTCTCTGAATACAATCTGGTCATACAACTGGGAATACTCAGCAATCCTGGCACCTGGAAGGCAAATATTGAAACAGTAAATACACACAGGATAATTCCTATACGTGAAGATTAAAAATAAGAGAATAACATTCTAACCAACGTATTTTAAAATTTTGACAGTAGACAAGACTAACTGATGTCTAAGGATGAGTAATCTTTGAACTCTGAGCAACACACACACACAAATCCATGGTTTAATATAAATAAAAATGCCACCTAAAAGTTCATTTAATTTCATCTAATTGTCCATTATTTTGTTTCAACAGCAGGTCTGCAAGTGTCCACTATATATAATGAAAGTTTCTAGTGTTCTTTATAAGCATAAAACAGTGTCAGTGCTGAAAACATGCATCATAAAAGTAAGAAAGTCAGCACTTCAGCCTGGTCAATGAAAAATCATTCAAGCAGTCTTTAAAAGCAGCATCGCAGGGCTGGGCGTAATAGCTCACGCCTGTAATTCTAGCACTTTCGGAGGCCAAACCAGGTGGATCACTTGAGGTCAGGAGTTCAAGACCAGCCTGGCCAACATGGTGAAACCCCATCTCTACTAAAATTACAAAAATTTAGCCAGGCATGGTGGCGTGCACCTGTAGTCCCAGCTACTTGGGAGGCTGAGGCAGGAGAATTGCTTGAACCTGGGAGGCGGAGGCTGCAGTGAGCCAAGATCATGCCACTGCACTCTAGCCTGGGTGACAGAGTGAGACTCCATCTAAAACAAAAACAAACAAACAAAAAAAGCAGCATGGCCACAATCCACAATGCAATGGCTACCCCTGGCTTCCCATCATTCTTTTTTTGTCTCAGACAGCTGCTCCTAGAGGAGTCAGCTCCTGGCTGTTGCTGCGCTTCTTGCTTCCAGGCAGCCCTCCACTGCCATTGTCTGGGGAACCAATGTCTACTAAGTAAAGTTCTCCCCTCAAGTGCTTCAAAACCACATGTATTGACTAACTCACATCTCATTTCACATCCCCAAGAAGCAGAGCACTAAAGCCTAGGCCGCCAAGACATTAAGAAGGAACCGTCTGTGCATGTACTCAATAATCTAATGCTCTCTACTACTGGTTCAAGAATAGGACCTAACAGTTACTTCCACAAAAGCTTTTGCCGCTTAAAATTAAGCCACAAGTCCATTCTCCCCTTTGCCCTGATTCTGAGTACAGATATTTCTAAATATTAATACATTAACCATGCTATGGGTAGGGGATTCTCTTCGGCTAGCAAAAATTTAAGATGGGAGCCCAGAGATGACAATTTCAAGATCTGCCACCCTCCCCAATCCAGGTATCTGCACAACCACCCTAGAATCAAAAAACTCTAATGCAGGGGTGTCCAATCTTTTGGCTTCCCCAGAAGACATTGGAGGAAGAATAATTGTCTTGGGACACACATAAAATACACTAACAGTAGTGATAGCTGATGAGCTTTTTAAAAATCTCAAAATAAAAAAAACCCTTAATGTTTTAAGAAAGTTTACAGATTTGTGTTGGGCCACATTCAAAGCTGTTATGGGCTGCATGCAGCTGTGGGCCATAGGTTGGACAAGGTTCCTCTAACGCATCCTATAACTTGCTCAGACCATATTGACACAATCTTTATGAAGGAAATGTATCCTATATATGACAACCAGCAGGTAACACTGTTTTCTTCTTCTTCTTTAAGCTATTTACATTTTTAATGATGTGTTATCAGTAAATTATTTCTTGAACTTAAACTACTAATAAATACTCATTTAGGTGAGTTTTGTCATTTCTTTTGAGTCTATCTTCTATGAGGAGAGAGAAACAACCTGTTATTGTGTGACCTTTAATTGCAACCCCAATCCCTCACCCCCTATTCCCTGTGATCAAGGTAAATAGTCTAACTTCTCATTACAGACCTATACTCAGATCCTTTGAGTTTTCAACTCCAAATTCCTTGGAAGAACAGAGATTATTAGTGTTGAAATTTCTAGTTACAAAAACTTGAGAAATGATTCCATAAAAGGCGCAGTAAAGACTCTTAATACTAATTAGGGTTTAGCAACATCTTAAGAGAAAGAGTGTAAAAGTCTCCACAGACACCAGTGTGCCCATGGTAGCCATCCTGAAACTATAATATTTCATTAACTATGAAACCCAATCAAAATCAGCTGGACCTTTAATATAGTCATTAGTTAGCAGACCTGCCTGAAAGGCAGATGGTCTGCTCAAGCCATTCTCACATACAGTATAGCCCTGAGCCTGATCCCACAGCTGTATCAGGAAGGCTCTGAACTTCTACAAGGTTCCAAGAAGATGACAATTTTGGAAAATGTAGTAGAACTTTAAAAATTCAAACAAACTATTCCAGTATCAAAATTTAACCATTAAGTCTTGTAAGAACAATCAGATCTTGACTTTAGCCCAGATAATCTGAAATCACATATCATCCAAAATATCCACAGTATTTCCCATGCCTTTGTCTTATTATACACTCCTTGTCCTTTGCTTAATCAAATCCTACTCATCTCTCAAGATTCTCCATAAGCCCTATCTTCTCCTTACTTGAATCCTTTTCTGATTTCTCTTCTCTGAAGTCTTACATAGTGTGTACCTAGCTGTTGCCTGTGTGTGCACACACACACACATGCAGACACACACAATTTGTATTGCTGTGTTGCTAATTATTTTATGTAGGTTACTTTATTTTCATTTTATGTTTTTTTGAGACAAAGTCTCACTCTGTTGCCCAGGCTGGAGTGCAGTGGCAGGATCTTGGCTCACTGCAACATCTACCTCCTGGGTTCAAGTGATTCTCCTGCCTCAGCCTTCCTAGTAGCTGGGACTACAGGCACCCACCACCACGCCTGGCTAATTTTTGTATTTATAGTAGAGACAGGGTTTTGCCATGTTAGCCAAGCTGGTCTCGAACTCCTGATCTCAAGTGATCCACCAGCCTTAGCCTCCCTAAGTGCTGGGATTACAGGTGTGAGTCACTGCACCTGGCCATTTTATGTAAGTTACTTTATTAGTCCCTGAGCTTTTCTTTTCTTTTTTTTTTTTTTGAGACAGGGTCTTATTCTGTTGGCCAGGCTAGAGTGGAATGGTACAATCATAACTCACTGCAGCCTCAGACTCCTGGGCTCAAATAATCCTCTTGCCTCAGCCTCCTGAGTACCTGGGACTATAGGCATGAGCCACTGTGCCTGGAAATTTTTAACTTTTAAATTTTTTGTAGAGAGAAAGTCTTGCTATGTTGCCCAGGCTGGTCACAAACTCCTGAGCTCAAGCAATCTTCCTGCTTTGGCCTCTCAAAGTGCTAGGATTACACGTGTGAGCCACCTCGCCTGGCCTCTGAGCTTTTGGTCTGGGAGAACAATGCTGTACATTTTGTTCAACTCCCTATAGAGGACCTAGCATGGTTTAGACAGAAAGTGGTCTCAATAACTAATTCATTACTCAGAATTTTTTTCACTCCCTTCTTTATTTTACTTATTTTTTAATCTTTTTGAGATGGAGTCTCACTCTGTTGCCCAGGCTGGAATGCAGTGGCGCAATCTCGGCTCTCTGCAACTTCCACTTCCCAGGTTCAAGCGATTCTGCTGCCTCAGCCTCCAGAGTAGCTGGGATTACAGGTGCCCGCCACCACGCTTGGCTAATTCTTTGTATTTTTAGTAGAGACGAGATTTCACCATGTTGACCAGGCTGGTCTTGAACTCCTGACCTCAAGTGATCTGCCCGCCTCAGCCTCCCAAAGTGCTGGGATTATAGATGTGAGCCACTGCACCCAGACTCCTTTCATTTTAAGCCTACTTTTAAAAAGGGATGCACTTTCCTGAGACCATACCACTGGGAGTGGAAAGGTGGCCTGGAAATCAGGTCATAAGCAGAAAAAGCAGAAGCAAGAAGACAGCTAAAATGCTTCCTATAGATAACTCATAATGGGAACAGTTTATCTTTGGATGATAGAGTTGACCATTTATCAATTTTGAATAAAAGGTATCTCACTAGTAGGCAATAGAGGTGTGAGTCACTGTGCCTGGCCATACAGGTGTGAGTCACTGCACCTGCTGATCTAAGGGGCTTTTTGTTTCAGCTTGACCTTCTAAGAGAGTCTATAGCTTGTGTGACATCTATGTGAACAAGAGACAAGCTTCCAGAGCTCCAGCTGTAATTAAACAGATTCTATTAGCCAGATGTACAGGGAACAGCCAGCCTGAGATGACACCTCTGGCCTAAAAAGCTTAGTATTAGTCAGCTGAGTTGAGGCTCCCCCATATCCTTAGTTCTAGTATTAACAGTTGTATAGAATATATACATTATGACTACATGACAATCGCAAGAATGTCTCTGGTTTATTGCCTTTTTTGAGATTTGAAAATTGGAGTTCTTATGATCTCAGACAAAAATTTAGAATAATGTTTGCCAAGGGAAATATCAAACAACATTTTAATCCTCCAGACAGAGGATTAAAATAAATGTTTCTGATGTTGCTCGAGATGCAGACAAAAGCATAAAATTGTGCCTTCCCTACTCTACACAAGGAGGAAAATTTCTCAAGCCTGTATGGAGTTTTCTCCCATGTGAAACATCACCAAAAAACCCAGAAACCCAAAGGCCTCCTTGCTCTCAAAGACTATCAGGAGGAAGGTCTGATGGAACAAGATGGCCAGCATGCTATGACAGGCTCTAAGATATGGGAGCAACTGGACCTGGTTGGGTGATTTATAGGCAGAAATCTGACCCAGGGCCTGGAGACCCCGGCTAGAGAGTTCAATAAAGATGCTCGAGAGTTTCGGCAGGTGAATAAGGTGCTCCTCCTTCCGCACAGCACCGAGAGCAAGCTCCTGGCAAAGCGGCAAGGCCCACACGGAGAAGTCTGGAGAATCGGTCCATTCGATTACGACGTCCTGTGCCCAGATAAACAAGAAAGAGAAAAGGAGTCATCATGTCAACTGACGGAAAGCCTAGTGGGCACAGGAAGTGGTCTCGATCACCCAGCTGGACGAGGTGTGGATATAACTCATCAGGTCCTAGGGACGTGCCTCTGCCAGATGGCAGGGAAGACAGCACTCTCAGAAGATGACTCGGGAGAGATTTCCTCCTCCTTGCTGGGGAGAACGTCGACAGGAGCCCACCATGTCAAGAAAGGACCCAGACGCAAAGCTGAGAAAAGATCCTGGGGCATCCCAAGACAACACCAGCAGGCAAAACAAAAAGGAGAGCCAACCAAAAGTGAAAAGAAAACCCCAATGTGAAATCATTTAATACTTAAAAAGGTGGGTAAAAAAGAAGACTACTCGAGGTAGTCGTAGGCCCTAATGATTCAGTATCAAAGGACATGCTTCTGTCAAGATTGGAGCTTTGTATTTTAACAGATGGTCCATATTCAAAACAACCTGGCCCAGGGAATTACTACTTTTTCAGTGGTAGTCTGTGGGCATAACCCATCATCATCAAAAACTTCAGCATTACATTTCCTCTTATGCTGAGGAGCCCCAACCCAGACTTAGTCAGTGCTTGCAATTGCCAATATACAACTGTTTCTAAGGCCATATATATTCCCCTACCCCACCAAAATTGTCCTCCTGCAGCGGGAACTCAGTCACTTTCCCTGTAACAGCAAACCAGCTTAGCAACGCTAGCATCAGAATAGGGACTTGAATTACTCATAGTGCATCATGGCAAGGAGAAAAATACATGCATTCTAGTCTCACATGCATACAAAACCTTCATTTGATTAAAAAGAAGAACTCAGAGTCTGTGAAATCCTTCAGGCATCAATTCCAGCACTTTGTTTCCCTATCTGTTAAGAAATTGTACTGAAGATTAAAACTTTAGACAATTCTTAAATACTCTCAAACTTAAAAAAAAAAGTTCCCTACAGATTCTTGTTATGTAACTTGTGCATTCATTTAAGATTTGGATATGCCCTTCCTATTCTTCAGTTTCCATGGATGTCAATGTCAATCCCAAAGACAGCATTTAATAGTTAGTGGCATCAACCTGTCCCAATGTGCTGATAATGAAGCTAATGATCAGAGCCTGTCCTGATACTAAGCCATCACCCAGCTTTCACTTTTAATTGTAGAATAGACTCCTCTCATTTGATACTAAGGTGGTCCTTGGTTAGAAAATCTGGGGCAGGATTTCTTAAAATATGATGAAAAGGGCATACTATTTGAAAGGCATATTCCTGAGCCTATAGCCAGAAATCTCTCTGTGCCTGGAGGTAAAAGCTCCTCAGGCAAGAGCCACTACCTTTGGACTTTTCTTTCTATGACAATCAGGGGCTTTATTCACAGCTAGGCTCTTCCCCAGAGATCAGTGTTAAATTTTGGCCTTCAAAAAAAGTCTAACCATGAGCATCTCATTCCCATAGTCCTGATCCTACAATATCACACCTAAGATTCTGGTTTGGTTGTGCTCCACAAAGGAGTCTAACTAAAGCATTAAACTCAGAAGCATATATGAAAATACTAAATGAGATAGTGTTGAATGCATTACAGCAGCTATTTTAAAAAATTGAGCAGTAGGCCAGGTGTGGCGGCTCACGCCTGTAATCCTAGCACTTTGGGAGGCCAAGGTGGGAGAGTCACTTGAGCCCAGGAGTTTGAGAGCAGCCTGGGCAACACGGTAAAATCCCATCTCTACAAAAAAACCACACACACAAAAAAATTAGCGGGGCGTGGTGGTACACACCTGTAGTCCCAGCTACTAGAGAGGCTGAGGTGGGAGGATCACCTGAGCCCAGGAGGCAGAGGCTGCAGTAAGCCATGTTCATGCTACTGCACTCCTGCCTGGGTGACAGAGCCAGACCCTATCTCAAAAAAAAAAAAAAAAATTGAGTAGTAATGGAGATATGTGAGAAAACCATTGATTTATAGTGCGAGCAACTAAGGAAAGTACAATGGCTGGCGTGGTGGCTCACACCTGTAATCCCAGCCCTTTGGGAGGCTGAGGCAAGAGGATTGCTTGAGCCCAGGAGTCGAGACCAGCCTGGGCAACATGGTGAAACCCCTTCTCTACAAAAAATGTAAAAAGTAGCTGGGCATGGTGGTTAGTGCCTCTGGTCCCACCTCAGGAGGCTGAGGTGGGAGGACTGCTTGAGCCTGGGGAGGCTGAGGCTGCAGTGAGCTGTGATTGTGTCACTGTACTCCAGCCTGGGTGACAGTGAGATCCTGTCTCAAAAAAAAAAAAAAAAAAGTATGCAAAAAAACCCCTCTTTTTGTTAGCACGAGTTGGCATTTTTGTTGAGATCCTGAAGCCAGAAACAATGTTATTCTATATGCTTCCAAACCTCAGAAGATCATACACACTCCTCCTCCTCCTAAAAAATTACTGATATACTGGAAAAGTTGGAGATAGCACAGGTTAAAACTGATTGCGTTTTTCATACTTCAGATCACCTTAGAGAAAACTCTTTCTTAAAATATTATCTCTGCAGTTACGATGTTACATGCACACCACCACCCTCTGAGGCCAAATCATGCTACAATGTGGATAATTCACAGGAGGCGATGTGAGAAAGGCCAGTATGGCTTTGTCTGTGGTCTTACTTTGAGATGACAAAGCTTGAGTGTCAGTGTTCTCACAGGTGTGTCCGTTTTAAGGACATCTGAAATCTGAAAACCGCTCTCCCCTCTTACTTTGGAGAAGGAAGAAGGGCAGGGTGCACATACCAATGGCGGGCCCTCCTTGCTTCTTCTCTTCCAAGATGGCAGCCAGGTCTTTGTGCATGGATTTCTGATGCTGACTGGCCGGCGGCTGCTCCAGCTCCAGACTTTTCACTTTTAAAAGTTGATTCGCCTTCTTAATCTTCTGACTGTACTGCCGAGCCATCATAAACACCCTGCTTTTTGTCTTATCTGTGGCCTCCATCCCCAGGTCAGGGTTTTCTGGGTCTGTTTGAGACAGGCCACTGTTGGCCAGGTCGTAGGGATTGTCCATGAGGGGCATTTCACTAGCCAGAGAAAGCCGGTTAAGGCTCATAAAGGAGCCTTCTTTAGAAATCAGGTCTTCCTCAAAGGGGCAGTTGGCGCGGCTGGCTCTGCCAGCCCTGCTCTTCACGGGCGTGAGGAGAGCCTGGCTCTCAGGCAGGGACAGCGTGGACACAGAGCGCCCCACGTCCCGGCTCAGCTCAGGGGTGCTCTCTGCGTGCAGCCTGTCTGGCACATCATCCTTGCTCACAGGAAACGCTGCCAGGAGACGGTCTCTGGCCTTGTCTTCATTTTTCTTGATGTAATTTTCCAGGTCATTCCAGATTTCATCTACTTCTTCGGACAGTTTATCAGATACAGGCTTATGAGGCATAGACAAGTTACCACTGGGAGAGTCATACAGCAAACTCAGATAACCATGATCGGGAGTGGCCTGATGGTAAGGGGCTTCGTCCTCACTGAGCTGGAGGCTGTCTTGGGAAACAAATGGCCTCAGGCTGTCACAGCACACGAAGTCGGCCTCCAGACCCAAAAAGGTGCTCCGCTTTGCACGCTTTAGGCTGCTGCACTTAAAACCCAGCGACGGAGGATCTGGGAGCCCTATGGTGTCATAGATGTTCTCCTCAACCGCTTGGAGTTCATGCGTGCTTTGGCTGGATGCCTCTCCACCTGAGAGGGTGCCATCTGTTTGTGCGTAAAGAGAGCCCTTACTGTGGCCAGCTTGCCTCTTTGTGAAGGCTAACTCTGGGGTGCTCTTGGGGCGAACGGAGTCCCTGGCTGATTTAGAGGGAGTGGATTCAGCTTCTTCCCGCTTAGCAACCATTAGTTTTAAGTCCTCATAACTGATGTTATCATAGACATGGTCTATGTCATCAATAGTCAACTCTATGGATGACCCAAAGGGAGTCATCTCCTCCTGCCCTTCTGTTTTGGGGCTGTTCTGCAGTTCCCTAGTTCTGTCACTAGTTCCTATTTCAGGAGGGCATGTGTTGCTCTCCCCAGCACTGCTGGCCCGCCTGACAATCCTGTGACCAGAGCTGGAGGTCTCTGTGGACTCCATCTGTCCCATATGCCAGCTGCAAGGGCGACTAGAAGTGCTATCTTCACATAGTCTGGTAGAGTTCAGATCTGAGGAGGAAAATGACGGCACGAACATCTGATAATCATCTTCATCATCCTCATTCTCCTGCGGGGACCGTCGGCTGGGAAACAAGGCTTGCCTGATCTGGTGATCGGTCCAGATGTTTCTGAGAGCTCCACCCGCTCGAAGCACGCTGATCATGGTAGAACTGCTAGGCTGACTATTTCTCTGGGCAGGAGACGGCCTTGCTGAAGACAGCTGGGGAGATCCTTCCTCTCTAGAAACCTGAGGAAGATGGAAACATATCAACTGAATCACAGCACCATGGAGAAGACACATAACTCAGGAATTTCTCCTGTGTTTACACACTGCCTCCCCCACTAGGCTTTAATATTCTTTTATTTTTTTCTGAGATAGGGTCTTGCTGTGTTACCCAGGCTAATCTCAAACTCCTGGGCTCAAGCAATCCTCCCACCTCAGCCTCCCAAGTAGCTGGCACTACAGGTGTGAACCACTACACCTGGCTGAGTGTTTAACTGACTTGAAAAGCACTTCAGATATTTTCAAAAAGGGAAGGACAGGAACTAATATATACTTAGAAACTAGGCTGGGCAATGTGCAGACATTCTCCAAACTTAATATTCACAATCATTTTATGAAATTAGGTATGATCGTACCAATTTCACAGTAAGGAAATCTAGGTTCCTAAAGGTTCAGTAACTTGCTCTATCTAGTCAGTAGTAAGACTACTGCTAGAACCCAGGTCTAACCCCAAACCCCTTGCCCCAAAGCATGATATAAGCTAAATACAGAAAATTCTTAGATTCTTCAAGTAAGTCTGGTGTACATTTGGCAAATATTCATTGCATAAATTAATATGTATAGAAGTTAAGGGCCATGCTATCTGTTCTATTTGAGACTTTCTAAGGAGCTTTAGGGCCAGTGCTTGTCTCCTAGCAGTTTTATCGTGGTTTCTGGTATACGAAAAGCCCCTTCTGCTGACCCGACCACACACTCCAAGGATTTCTCTTAAATCTGCAGACCCACCACGAACATGGCCAGCATTACCTTGGTTTATAGACTCTAGGCAAAGAGTTTTTATTGTAGGAGTGTAATTTAATCCTCTGTTCATTTAATGACATTTTTACTTATTTCAAAATACATTTAATTAACATTTAGTTGCCTATAAGGAAGTAAAATAGGAACAATATTAATAATTTTTTAATTTTTATTTTTTTGACACAGAATCTCGCTCTGTCGCCCAGGCTGGAATGCAGCCTGGGTCCCTTGGCATGATCTTGGCTCACTGCAACCTCTGCCTCCTGGGTTCAAGCAATTCTCGTGCTTCAGCCTCTGGAGTAGCTGGGATTATAGGTGCCCGCCACCACGCCTGGCTAATTTTTGTATTTTTAGTAGAGACAGGGTTTTGCTGTGTTGGCCAGGCTGGTCTTAGACAAACTCCTGGCCTCAAGAGATCCGCCCACCTTGGCCTCCCAAAGTGCTAGGATTATAGGCCTGAGCCACTGCACCCAGCCAAATTAGTGATTTCTAATCAAAGAAAACAATGAGGTCTTTTATAACTTGGAACCCTTCTGGATGGAGCTCAGTGGTGCAGACAGGAGCAGATTACCCTCTGATTCTATTCTGCAGACAGGATTAACTTCAAAGGCTTGAAAGGGTTAAGACCTAATTAGTACCAGAGACATATATTCTAATAAAACACTATAGTAACCTATTGGAAATGTCAAATAAGCAAGAACTTTTCATCACATGTCAATGAAAATGGGATAGATGTTAATTGGAATATCTATTAGAGAGGGAAGAGAGGAGTAGAGAGACAATAATGGAATTTCATCCTAAATGTTATTTTTCTATTAAAACTTAAGCAATTCAATTAGCCATTTATTTCTTTTCACACATACATACACACACAATATTTATACCTAATATTTGTTCATATATATGTTTTTCACATTCTTTAATATATCTTTCTCTTCACCTTACTCAGACTGCACTGGTTTAATGTTATAAAAATATAGGCACCCAGTAACTACTTTTTATAAAGTAAAACAAGGTTAATATTAACTAAATTATGACAAAACATTTTTAAAGTGTAATAAAATTATTTTGTGTTTCTCACAACAGCCAAAAGTGATCCTTCCTAAGATCGTCCATCCCAGAAAATTCCCATAGGTTTTAGAAAATTAGGAAACCTGAATTGTTAATATTGAAGTATCTTTTTTTTTTTTGCCATACAAATGGCTGGTTTTAATTTTTTTTAGAGGAAATACTATAATTTAAAAAAAAGAGTTCCAAAATATTTAACAGAATCTCCAGCAATGATTATTTCCAAAATGTAAAGATTTGAAACATAATTTATACAAAACTAAAAACCACAAGGATTCATTCTTGCTTTTTCCTTTTTTAAAAAATCCAGACAATTTGTCACAAGAAAGTTCGGCATGGGATAGCAGCTGTAGCCTCAGTCACCCTTGGAATCGCTGTCCCTCTTCATGAGGACAGAGCGCCGCACTGAGGAGAGCAACACGTCTTCAATCGGCTTCTTAGGGTTTTCCTCCAGGTCTGTCGTAATTGCTCCAGATTCAGACAGTTTCCATTCCAACTCATCTCTTGTCAGGTTCATGCCGCCAAACACTCAGAGGACCAATAAACTGAGCCTTGATATCTCCTTCCAGGTAAACAAATATCGTGGGCAGATTCCTATCAGTATAATTGGGTATGCAGGTTGTTGAAATGGCTTTGATAAATTTGACATCAGGAAACTTCCTGGCAAGTCCACTGAGGTGCTGATTTATCAGGGCACAGAGGGGAATTCCTTGTTTGTAAAGGTGCAAGATGACCCACAAGCCCTCGCCAGCTTTGGTAACTTCTTGAACATAATCCTTCCCTGAGATCTCCAAAACTTTTCCAGATTTATTCTTCAGTTTAGTTGCTTTCCACTCAGCCAGTCTCTGCTGTCTGTACATTTCAATAGCACATTCATCCTCCTCATTAAACTCGCCTTCGTGATCCTCCAGCTCTTCCAAAGTCATATCTTCATATGTTTTCACCACTGACTGCTGGAGGATGCGCTGCTCCTCTTCTGCCTCCTCTTCCAATTCTTCCAATTCTTTCCTTGGCGGGTAAGAAACCCTTTTTGCGTAAGATGTCATTCCACTCAGTGTCTGCGTTGGGGTCCTGCATCTTGTTTCCAGTTCAGTTGCTCAAGCCAGCTGTGCCGCTGAAGTATCTTTTTAAGGTAATTACACTTGAAATGAAAATAGCAGTTTTGGCCAGGCACAGTGGCTCACGCCTGTAATCCCAGCACTTTGGAAGGCAGAGGCGGGCGAATCACCTGAGGTCGGGAGTTCGAGACCAGCCTGACCAACATGAAGAAACCCGTCTCTACTATAAATACAAAATTAGCCGGGCATGGTGATGCATGCCTGTAATCCCAGCTACTTGGGAGGCTGAGGCAGGAGAACCGCTTGAACCCGGGAGGCGGAGGTTGCAGTGAGCCGAGATTGTGCCACTGCACTCCAGCCTGGGCAACAAGAGCGAAACTCTATCTCAAAAAAAAAAAAAAAAAGAAAGCAGTTTTTTGGAAGCTGTAAATTTACATCAAATTAATCATTAAGAAAACTGAAGACACTCTTAAATTAAGAAGTAATCATCTGGGCACGGTGGCTTATGTCTGTAATCCCAGCACTTTGGGAGGCCAAGGCAGGCAGATCACTTGAGCCCAGAAACTAGAGACCAGCCTGGGCAACATGGTGAGACACCCCATCTCTACAAAAAAATTTAATAAAGAAAGAAGGAAGAAAAGAAAGAGAAAGGAAAGAAAGGAAATAAAGGAAGGAAAGGAAGGAAAGAAAGGGAAAGGAAAGGAAGGAAGAAAGAAACAGAAAGAAAGATAGAGAGAGAATCAGGCTGGACACGGTGATACACACCTGTAATCCCAGCACTTTGGGAGGTGAAGGTGGGAGGATCACTTGAGTTAAGGAGTTTAAGACCAGCCTGAGCAACATAGTCAGACCTTGTCTCTACAAAAAATGAGTTAGCCGGGCGTGGTGGCGCATGACTGTAGTCCAGTTACTTGGGAGGCTGAGGTGGGAGGATTCCTGAGCCTAAAGTGAGCTGAGATCGTGCCACTGCATTCCAGCCTGGGTGACAGAGCAAGACCCTGTCTCAAAATAAATAAATAAATGTTTAAAAAAATAGGAAAGAATCAGCATATGTTGGTCACAATACTGAAAGTCATGGTAAAAAGTGCAATTACTTTTGCACCAACCTAATAATTTCGATACGGCAGTTTTGCCACAGCCTGAATGAACTTTTCTCCTGTCCTTCCACATTCTCAGCATTTGAGCTATTTAACAATGATATTAGCTATCATGTTTTTATTTTTTGAGACAGAGTCTCACCCTGTTGCCCAGGCTAAAGTACAGTGGCACAATCTCGGCTTACTGCAACCTCAACCTCCCGGGTTCAAGTGATTCTCCTGCCTCAGCCTCCCAAGTAGCTGGGACTACAGGTGCATGCCGCTATGCCCGGCTAATTTTTTGTATTTTAGTAGAGACGGGGTTTCACTGTGTTGGCCAGGCTGATCGTGAACTCCCAAGCTTAGGCAATCCGCCCGCTGTGACCTCCCAAAGTGCCGGGATTACAGGTGTGAGCCACCGCGCCCAGCCTTTTTTGCTCTTGTTGCCCAGGCTGGAGTGCAATGGCACGATTTCAGCTCACTGTAACTTCCACCTCCTGGGTTCAAGCAATTCTCCTGCCTCAGCCTCCTGAGTGGCTGGGGATTACAGCCGCCCACGACCACGCCCTGCTGATTTTTTTGTATTTTTAGTAGAGACAGGGTTTCACCATGTTGGCCAGGCTGGTCTCAAACTCCTGACCTCAGGTGATCCAACCACCTCAGCCTCCCAAAGTTCTGGGATTACAGGCGTGAGCCACCATGCCAGGCCGATATTAGCTATCATTTATAGAACACTTGCTTTGTGCCAAATATTCCATTAATAAGCACTTTTAAGAACATGTTGCATTTAATCTTTTTAACAGTTCTGTAAATTAGGAAACTAAGTCCTGGTAAGGTTAAGCAATTTGCCTGTAGTCACACAGTTTATAAATGGCAGAAACAGATTTGAATCCATGTCTTAATCCACGGCTTATACATGAGCTTAACCACCTCATACACACATATACGCAGCCTCAGAATATATATTCTGGGAGAAATATTAAGCTATTATTAAGGAATAGTTCCTGTTATAAACTACTTGTTAATTTATTTATGAGACAGAATCTCACTCTGTTGCCCAGGCTGGAGTGCAGTGGCACTATCTCAGCTCATTACAACTTCGGCCGAAGTGATTCTCCAGCCTCAGCTTCCCAAGTAGCTGGGACCACAGGCACAAGCCACCACACCCAGCTCATTTTTGTACTTTTTTTTTGTAGAGAGGGGGTTTTGCCATGTTGCCAAGGCTGATCTTGAATTCCTGAGCTCAAAGTGATCTGCCAACCTTGGCCTCCCAAAGTGCTAGGATTACAGGTGTGTGCCACCACACCTGGCTGTTACAAACTCTTTAATCATCAGTAAATCTGCTCTCCTTGAATTTAATATACCTTCAGCACATTACTATTAGGAGATGGAATTTTATCACAAAAAAAGCATGGATGTTTTCTTTCTTGCCTTTTTATTTCATAAGGTTTGGTTATGCCCATATGGACCTGGCTTGAGCACTGCTGTAGAAAGTTTTCAAGCAGCTCCTGAGACTGAATCTCTAGAACTCTTTGATGGGGAGATTCCTTCTTTTAGCACTGAGAGGGCATGGCTCCACAATGCTACTGTGGCTGCTTTGAAGAGCAGGGAGCCCTCTGCAGTGACCCCACTTATGAAACCAAAACCTTATGCCATATTTCAGGACAATGAACCAATTAATAAGTTTCACACGTTTCCAAACAAAAGCATGTACTACCTGAAAAAAAAATGCGCACACCTCAGCCATGACAATCACTTAAAGGTAAGATTATGTTCAGCCGGGTGTGGTGGTTCATGCCTGTAATCCCAGCACTTTGGGAGGCTGAGACGGGTGGGTCACCTGTGGTCTGGAGTTCCAGACTGGCGTTGCCAACTTGGTGAACCCCCGTCTCTACTAAAAATACAAAAATCAGCTGGGCCTAGTGGCGGGTGCCTGTAGTCCAAGCTACTAGGCTACTTGGGAGGCTGAGGCAGGAGAATTGCTTGAACCCGGGAGTCAGAGGTTGCAGTGAACTGAGATTGCACCACTGCACTCCAGCCTGGGCAACAGAGCGAGATCCAGTCTCAAAAGAAAAAAAAAAAAAGACTACGTTGATTTTTAGACATTTTCTTGGTTTTAATGGAAAGATACAACGTTTATCAACAAGGTCGCTTTGGTTCTGTGCTAAGCCATGGTGGAAATGAGATTATAGGGAGAGGTTTCACAGCCATATTCTTCTAGATACAGAACATTAAACAAGGAGCCATGATCAGTTCTCTAAGAATTGTTAATTAAGCCAACTGATCAGTAGCCACACTGGACAAACCACTCAGGTCAGGAGAAAATACCTATTCTTCATAGGCAATACAGTTGGATATAATATCTTCCAATACAGTATACCATTCTTATTCTCCCTCTCCTAAGCTTTTCTCAGGGGAAGAAAAATCAAAACTTGATATGACAAAGTCTCATTCGATCATACGCCATCACCTCTTACGTCAGCAGCAGAACCATATTCTTAGAAGGGGGCCCCTCGCCCTTGTGAATGAAGGCTCGCGCTTGGAGGAGGGAGTTATATCCAGGAGGCAGGGGCATTGGTCTTACACTGGTGGTGGCAAAGGACAATGTGAGGTGGCTCACGTGAGCACCGGGCAGGTATTACACCCTAAGGTAAGGTTACAGCCTCTGAGGTGTGATATGGGGCAGAGGATGAATAAATAATCACCATGGTTCTCAGATGTGGGCTGGGGAAAGGGAAGAAGTTGATAAGGATGAGTCTTTGCTTAAATCAAATGTAAATAATTCAAAATGTAAAATACCATATTTCCAAAATGTAAAATAACTGTTGACACTTGGAATACGGGCTGGAGATGACAGAGATGGGGAAGGGACACCTATGAAAGGTGCCTGAAGTGAACATTTCCAAGTAAGAAATGAGATAGAGCTTACCTTTTGGATGTCTTGTGCTGTTTCTGAAAAATAAAAGTTTTTTTTCAAGTTTGAGAATGAAAATGTACCTCCTATATAAGTAAGCACTAATATTTTATAGAACTTAGAAACTTATTACTAGTAATTGAAGCCCAAGTGACTTCTGGGCCCTATAGATCTAATTTTCAGAAAATCCCTGTCAGCTCTCCCAGCTGCATACCCCCACACTACATCAAACAACCTTACATGCATCTGAGCACTAGTTGTCTTCCTTAATCCCTGACAGCCATTAACTAATTCATGTTCAAGATATTTCAAAAGCTTCCGAACAAAAATGTGTTGTTTCCTGAAAAAGAAATTGCACATGCCCCATGCCATGACAATTATGTAAAGATGATATTGTTTCTGCTGATTTTTTGACATTTTATTGGTTTTAACTGAAAGATGCAGCCTTCTTGCAAAGAAGGGGTGTTGCCAGTGGAATTGTGGGGAGAGATTTACATAGCCACATCCTTAGAGAAGACACCCTTAGAGCTAGCCTAATTATGGGTGTCTCCCCTTTAAAGATGATTACGGAAGCATATGAAGTCCTTCCCTCTCCACAGATCCCATCCTCCGAGGAAACAACAGTTAACAGCTGAATGTTTATCGTTCCAGCTCCTGCACTACTCCCATCCCACCATAACTGTTTTGCTTTTATTTATTTTTTATTTTTTTTGAGATGGAGTCTCGCTCTGTCATCCAGGCTGGAGCGCAGTGGCACAATCTCGGCTCACTGCAGCCTCTGCCTCCCGGGTTCAAGCGATTCTTGTGTCTCAGCCTCCCCAGTAGCTGGGATTACAGGCATAAACCACCATGCCTGGTGAATTTTTGTATTTTTAGTAGAGATGGGATCTTGCCATGTTGGCCAGGTTGGTCACGAACTCCTGACCTCAGGTGATCCACCCTCCTCGGCCTCCCAAAGTGTTGGTATTACAGGCGTGAGCCACCACGCCCAGCCTGTTTCACTTTTAAAATAAGGATTCAATATGCAACTTTGTATATTCTGCTAAATATACGTGGACACTCTTGTGAACAGGTAGAGATCTTCTTTATTTTTGACAGCTGTAGAATATTCCATTGTGTGTATGGATGTATTACAATTTCTTTAAGTATATTTCCAACTGCATGGGCATTTTTATAGAGTGTCCTGCTACAAATACTGCAAAGAACAAACTCCCACATAAATCCGTCTGCATGTGGGTAAGTACATCTCTGCAGGTGAAACTGTTGGGTTAAGAGGATATGTACATTTTTAAATTCAAACGACTATTACCAAATTTTGCCCCTGAAGCGTTGCAAAAACTTACTCCCACCAACAGTTTTGGAGTGACTATTTTTCTATATGTTTTGGCCACGTTCATAGTTTTTTCCCTTCTATTTATTTCATTTAAATGTATGGATTTTCTGATTATGAATATGGATGGCCATTTAAAATTTTTATTGCCAGTTTGTGTGTTTTTGTGAAACTGCCCTATTCTTTTTTTTTTTTTTTTTTTTTTTTTTTTGAGTCCTTTGGGCTGGGCGTGGTGGCTCACGCCTGTAATCCCAGCACTTTGGGAGGCCAAGGCGGGTGGATCACCTGAGGTTGGGAGTTCGAGACCAGCCTGACCAACATGGAGAAACCCCATCTCTACTAAAAATACAA
Organism: Homo sapiens; assembly: GCF_000001405.40. NCBI lineage: Eukaryota > Metazoa > Chordata > Mammalia > Primates > Hominidae > Homo > Homo sapiens. The sequence continues at coordinate 150,822,010 of NC_000006.12, read as the reverse complement.
AATTAGCCAGGCGCGGTGGCACATGCTTGTAATCCCAGCTACTCGGGAGGCTGAGGCAGGAGAATCACTTGAACCTGGGAGGCAGAGGTTGAGGTGAGCCGAGATCGCGCTATTGCACTCTAGCCTGGGCAACAAGAGCAAGACTCTGTCTCAAAAAATAAAAAAATAAAAAAAAAAATAAAAGAGTCCTCTGTCTTTTCTTTTTGATGTATGGAGTTTCTTTATATAATAGGAATAATAATCTTTTTATGCCTGTCAAATATATTACAAGTATTTTATGTCATTTGACTGTATATTTTATTTTAAATTTTATTATTATTATTTTTTGTGACACGGTCTCACTCTGTTGCCCAGGCTGGAGTGCAATGGCGTGATCTCGGCTCACTGCAACCTCTGCTTCCCAGGTTCAGGCGATTCTCCTGCTTCAGCCTCCCAAGTAGCTGGGATTACAGGCACGAGCCACTGGGACTGGCTAATTTTTGTATGTTTAGTAGAGACGGGGTTTCACCATGTTGGCCAGGCTAGTCTCGAAGTCCTGGCCTCAACAGAGCCGCCCGCCTCGGCCTCCCAAAGTGCTGGGATTACAGGCGTGAGCTACTGTGCCTGGCTTTGACTATATATTTTATAATGGGACACTTTTATTTACAGAAGTTAATCTTTTTGTAATCAAATCAAATCTGTCAATATGTAATTTATCTGGTATTTATTTATTTTTGTGTGGTTTGATTTAGTGAATATCAACAAGAATGAAACAGGAAAATATATTTTACGACTTACCACTGGTCTTCAAAACTTTATGTGACCGTGAGGAAGGTTCTGGGAGACAAAACAAAGCCAGCATCATTGGCAAAACCAAATCAAACCTTTTTCTTTATTCTTTATAAGAGGATTATGAGCCTATTGACAGATTAACAGAGCTCTATAACTTTTGTATCAAATTTAACAAAATCCCCATTGCTCAGAGATACACAGGAGCAAGACATTCACTCTGCTAAAATGGTAGAATAAATGTTATGCTGTGTTATCAGGAGTCACCCAACAGAAAAGCAAAATCTGACTTTTTCAGTCCTGTCAGTAGCAGAGCAGCTTCCTCAGCTTCACTAACACCTATAAGCTGATGATGTTCAATTGTACATTCTTTTTTGGAGACTGAGATTCACTCTTGTCTCCCAGGTTGGAGTGCAATGGTACGATCTCGGCTCCTTGCAACCTCTGCTTCCCAGGTTCAAGTAATTCTCCTGCCTCAGCCTCCCGAGTAGCTGGGATTACAGGTATCTGCCAACATGCCAGGCTAATTTTTGTATTTTTAGTAGAGATAGGGTTTCACCATGTTGGCCAGACAGGTCTCAAACTCCTGACCTCAGGTGATCCTCCCACCTCAGCCTCCCGAAATGCTGGGATTACAGGTGTGAGCCACCGCGCCCGGCCTTATTTGCATTTTTTGTCTCTCGCACCATGAGCTCCTTGCAAGCAGGAGTCACGTGGATTATTTATCCTTGCATTCCTAGTCCTTAGCAAAGCATAAAGTGGGTAATGAATAAAGACTGCTTCAAATAAAACCCCAAACCTGTCTGAACTAAGACAATAGTTCATGGAGTCTGGTGCAGCAAATATGAATTAAAATTTTAGCTTTGGATAATCTTTTGTGTGTGTCACTCATAGGACGTGATTTTTCATTAGCAACAGCAAATACAGCTTAAGTATCTGCATGTCAATGGTAAGATGTACAAAGCAAAATTAGTTGACTGGCATGCTTGATAGTCACTGGGAAACATTAAGTAGAAAAGAGGTTTTTTTTTTTTTAGACAGAGTCTCACTCTGTCGCCCATGCTGGAGTGCAGTGGCACGATCTTGGCTCACTGCAACCTCCGTCTCCTGGGTTCAAGCGATTCTCCTGCCTCAGCCTCCCAAGTAGCTAGGATTATAGGCGCACACCACCACGCCTGGCTAACTTTTATATTTTTACTAGAGATGTGGTTTCTCCAGTTGGCCAGGCTGGTTTCGAACTCCTGACCTCAGGTGACCCACCTGCCTCGGCCTCCCAAAGTGCTAGGATTACAGAGAAAAGAGTTTTAGATCAAAAGCTCATGAGTCCCATCTTAAGGCAGCCGCAAATGTATTCAGACCGGCAGTGAGCTGAGAAACCAGACAGAACATTCCCTTTTGTCAGACTCAAAGGGACTTTCATTGCCAGTCCCCCATTAGAATTAAATTTTTATGACAACATCTTACTTACCAGATTTTCTTCTCAGCCGATATGGAGCAGAACCTTCTTTAGAGCCGAACAGTGCTTTCGTCCCTCCCTCAGGACTGTAACAGAAGCCTGGATGATCTGTAAAGATAACCACGTGCATCAGTGGGACTGTGGTGTCAGGGGCTTCTCAGAAAATGGTTATGGCTAGTGTAGATTTATATGGATTTATTATTATTATTATTATTATTTTTGAGACAGAGTCTTGCTCTGTCACCCACGCTGAAGTGCGGTGGCATGATCTCGGCTCACTGCTGACCTCCACCTCCCAAGTTCAAGTGATTCTCCTGCCTCAGCCTCCCGAGAAGCTGAGACTACAGGCGCGTGCCACCATGCCTGACTAATTTTTGTATTTTTAGTAGAGATGGGGTTTCAACATGTTGGCCAGGCTGGTCTTGAACTCCTGACCTCAGGTTATCCACCCACCTCGGCCTCCCAAAGTGCTGGGATTACAGGTGTGAGCCACCATGCCCGGCCTATATGGATTTATTCTTTTTCATCTGACATGGATATGATCCTCCTCCCATAATTGCTGCTGTATATGTATCTCAGGGCTTTTTGTTTACATTGGGACTTCTAGGAGTCTATTAGCTGGGATGACAGGCGTGAGCCACCACACCCGGCCAAAAAAAAAAAAAAAAAATCCGAAGGCAATTTCTGCAGGTAAAATGTTGATGTCTAGAGAATACAGCCTAGCACTCCGCTGGGGAGCTCTGGGCATCATTTCTCGGGTCTGTTGGATGCGAGATGGGAGCCTCAGCTGCAGCGATGGTGGGAATGCACCTGTTTCCACTTTGCTGATGCTGCTTTTCCCCCTGGGGAGTTAACAAGTGCCAGGCTGGAGGGAAGGGAATCAACGTTTGCACTTGATTCCTCGAAGTAAGGTCTTATGAAAGGGTTAAGTAAAGTAGAAGTGTTTTCAGTACAAGTTTCCAGCAGACCTGACTGCATTTAAAGCCACTGTTTTCTCTTTTTATTCTATTTAATCTGAAAAATAACAAAGATGTGATAACTGCTGTTGAATAAGGTCTTATTTAATAGGAAGGACCTGTAACATTTATTCTCTCCTGCTTTTGTAAGCCTAGAAATATATGCACATATGTGGGGTGGTTGTGATTTTAGAAGTTTCTGCTGCATCAGGAAAACCAATACTACGAAGTGATTGCGATTCTTGCAGATAATCAACATTTTGTTAGGGATGAAGTGAGAAATGCATTGTTAAGCTCTGGTTTTTGGTGGTGGTAGAGGTTGGGGCAGGGGTAGGGGTAGAGTTGACCCTGGAGACATAACTGACATTGTTAGTTGATGCAGAAACCCCAACAGTGGCCAGCCATCAAGGGACTCAGATAAACCTGGGAGAACCAATGTAGAAACAAGTCAATGTGCTTAGAAGGGATTATACTGTCTACCCAATTTGTGAAAACAGTGAATAGAGAGATACTATTTTCTAACAATCGACATTTTCATGAACTTTAAGATAGAAAATGTGATAGATACAAACAGACAATGAAATTTCAAATTGTTTTAAGGAAATAAAACTTACGAATGGCATCCATTTCAAGGATTGCTTGCTTGGCCTGAAAGAGAGAAAGTAGAGCTGTAATTCCAATTGCTTTTTTTTTCTTTAAACTCCAAATCTCAACACAGATCTTATCCCACCTGAATAAATAGATTTTTAAAAACGTTTAAAAACTCGCTATTTATGTTAAGCATTTACACACAGTGCAGGGAATTCAAGCAGATGAGCGCCCTCAAGTGGGTAATAGCTGCTACACCATCAAGGCACCGGAGCTAAGACTGCACCCCCAATCCTGTGAAAGAGGAGGGAGGGAGGCTGGTTCCGAAGCCTGGCTGATCATCAGCACTCATTGGCCAGCTTATTAAAAATGCAGATTCTCGGCTGGGCGCGGTAGCTCACGCCTGTAATCCCAGCACTTTGGGAGGCTGAGGCGGGCAGATCACAATCACAAGGTCAGGAGTTCAAGACCAGCCTGGCCAATATGGTGAAACCCCGTCTCTACTAAAAATACAAAGATTAGCCAGGCATGGTGGCGGGTGCCTGTAATCCCAGCTAACAGGGAGGCTGAGGCAGGAGAATCGCTTGAACCCAGGAAGCGGAGGTTGCAGTGAGCCGAGATTGAGCCACTGCACTCTAGCCTGGGCGACAGAGCAAGACTCCGTCTCAAAAAAAAAAAAAAAAAAAAATGCAGATTCTTGCCACCCAACCCTGATCTACTGACTCAAAAGCTCAAGGCACGGAGCCTGGTATCTTTATCACCAGCCCTCACCATGACACTATGGCCTTGTAACTATTTTGAGTTAATTGCAAAATGGCTGCTGGAAGTTTCCTCTCATTGTTGTCTTTCCTCCTGCAGAATGCTGTGATTATCATGAGCTAAGTCTCTCTGTTTCCCCAACTCCCTGCACCTCCCATCTCTTCTGTGTGCCCCAGAATCTCCCAGAGTGAGACGGCCCTGAAGGACAATGTCTGTGATCCCAGCTCAGGCACTTCACTAGGTGGGTGCTCTCCGAGCTCAACTGGACAGTGGGATCAGGGAGCCTCTCTTTCAGAATGGTCATTAGGATTCAATGATCAGCTCAACTGGTGAGTTCCACCCACTCTCCTAGGGCAGGGGTCCCCAACCCCCGAGCCACAGACTAGTACTAGTTCGTAGCCTGTTAGGAACTGGGCCGCACAGCAGGAGGTGAGTGGTGGGCAAGCGAGAGAAGCTTCGTCTGGATTTACAGTGGCTCCTCATGGCTCGCATTACAGCCTGAGCTCTGCCTCCTATCAGATCAGTGGCAGCATTAGATACTCATAGGAGTGTGAACCCTACTGTGAATTATGCATGCGAGGGATCTAGGTTGCAGCACTCCTTGTGAGAATCTAATGCCTGATGATCTGAAGTGGAGCTGAGGCAGTGATGCTAGCACTGAGGAGCAGATTAACGTTAGCAGAGAGGTTTGACTGCACAGAGACCATAATAAATCAATTGCTTGCAGATTCATATCAAAACCCTGTCAGTGAGTGTCAAGGAGCAATTAAGCTGCATCTGGTGGCAGGCTTTATCGTGGCAAGTGAGTTGATGTACTTCAATTGTACAGCTGCATCTGGTGGCCTTAAAAGTATGTTTGAGGCCGGGCGTGGTATCTCACGCCTATGATCTCAGCACTTTGAGAGGCTGAGGCGGGCAGATCACGAGGTCAGGAGTTCAAGACCAGCCTGACCAACACGGTGAAACCGTCTCTACTAAAAATACAAAAATTAGCTGTGCGTGGTGGTGTGTGCCTGACATCCCAGCTACTCAGGAGGCTGAGGCAGGAGAATTGCTTGAACCTGGGAAGGCAGAGGTTGCAGCACCACTGCACTCCAGCCTAGGCAACAGAATGAGACTCCATCTCAAAAAAAAAAAAAAAAAAAAAAAAAAAAAAAGTATGTTTGAGACAACTTCAAACCTCCTTACATTCTGGATTAAAGTCCAGGCGAATATCCTGAGATTGCCACAAAAGCACAAAAGCCTGCTTCCATTTCCAACATCCTATCTTTGTGAAGCAGGGTTTTCTGCAGTGACAGTGACCAAAATAAGATGAGAGCAGACTGGACATAAGCAACACACTTGGGGTGTCGCTGTCTCCCATCACCCCCAGATGGGACTGTCTAGTTGCTCAGGGCTAGAACAAGCTCAGGGCTCCCACTGATTCCACATTATGGTGAGCTGTAGAACGATTTCATTATATATTACCATGTAGTAATAGAAATAAAGTGCACAATAAACGTAATGTGCTTTCATCATCCCAAAAGCCTCCCCCTGCCTCCATCCGTGGAAAAATTATCTTCCACAAAACCAATCCCTGGTGCCCAAAAGGTTGAAGACCACTGTCCTAGGGGATTGTAGCCTTTCTTGCCTCTTTAAAGTTATTTTCATTTTTTAAGGGTAGTATAATTTAACCTACAAAACACTATGCTAAAAATAACTTTTAAAATAATTTTACTCTATTTTGCTACCATCTGTGATATCCCAGTACAAATATTTCGGCTAAGTGGCGATCACGTTTAGTGAAAAAGTGTGGGGCTTGGGGGAGCCTCAACACAGTCACCTTAGAGAAAACAAATGCTTCAATTTTTGTAACCTGATAGCTATCTCTCTCATACATTCAGAGTTTGAGATTATGAGTTGAAATTACTTGCAAACACAAATGTTAGCTCAGTCTCTCTCTGGGAAGTGCAATTACAGAAACATACTAATATATAAAATGCAAAATACCTTCACCTTTATTTTCAATTAATTTGGAGAAGAGTTAAATTTATTTACCACATATACTAATGGGCAATATGGCTATTTCCAAGAAGTTCCCTGGTATCTGTAAAGCTGACTTCAAGAATTTTTTTTTGTCTGGACATTTAATTTTTAAAGTACTGTTTCCAGGATTTCCACTAGGTGTCAGCCAAGGACCATCATTGAATTAAAAGAACGGAAGGCAGCTGGGAGGCTGTAACTAATGAGTTTCCCACAGCTGTGTTGACATTATTAGACTGGTGATACATTTCTTGATGTTTAAAATTTCCCACTATGCATTCATTTCACAGAAATAATAGAAATACATTTTGAAAACTTTAGGAAAATAAGAAATAATCTCGAGGAAAGATGTGGAAAGTTCACTTTAATGATAATCCTGCTTAAATAGAAAATTATGATTACATTATAGTGAATAAAGTATATTAGACAAGCGTGTTTGAGGCTGGGTGTGGTGGCTTGTGCCTGTAATCCTAGCACTTTGGGAGAGGCTGAGGCAGGTGGATCACTTGAGGCCGGGAGTTCGAGACCAGCCTGGCCAACATGGTGAAACCTCATCTCTACTAAAAATACAAAAATTAGCCAGGTGTGGTGGTGTGCGCCTGTAGTCCCAGCTACTCGGGTGGCTGAGGCACAAGAATACTTGAACCCAGAAGGTGGAGGTGGCAGTGTGCTTTTTCTTGTATGGAGATTGCACCACTGCACTCCAGCCTGGGTGACAGAGTGAGACGCTGTTTCAAAACAAAACAAAACAAAAAAAGGTGTTTTTATTGCCAGTGGGAATAATGTGGTTAGGATGCTCTTTGGAGCCAGATAGACCAATCCAGGCTTGGTCATGTACTAGTTATATAAACTTGGGCAGTTTATTTAATGTCTCTCAGCCTCTGTTTTTATTTTTTCTAGAATGGGAAGAATAAGAACTACCTCATAACATATTTTGGTGAGGGTGAAATAAGAATATAAAGTACTCAGCACAGTGTGTATGCTCAATAAGTTGTAACTGAAAAGATGTTTTTAGATAGAAAGGATCGACAACTTGGGGAGAAAGTACGATGTTATATTGACTATATTAACCATTTGAATACTTAAAGGGAACTTCCTGAGGCACACACGCCTAGCGTGGGAGAAAGACAGGTATGTAAGGGGGTCTCATTTTGTAACTGCCTTTCAGAATCTTGTTAGCAATTTTGATTTTCCCAGCAGACAGGTAAACAATGGGTGGGGCCCATCAAAGATACTCTGCCATTGCTCAGAAGGGCATTCTAAGGCACCAGGCCAGCAACAAAATGACTAATCATAAAGAAAATGCAGTCCCCTCTCTGCATGAGCTCCCTTTCATCTCATAACACCCTGACGAAATGAAAACTCATGCTTAGGTCCAAGTCCACACCTATGCACATTCATTTCCTGAGGACCAAATCATTGCTGGCAGTCCTGAGAACAAGCTTCAAATGCTTGTCAAAATATACAGAGAACAAAACAGACTGTCCCCTTTCTCAGAAATCTCAGCCCTTATTTTCCACCCAGTTCAATTTTCATGATCATCATCCCATTGTCTGCTCCACCTCACTCCTCCCAGCCCCAACTTGGACTGTTTCACCATCCATGTGAATAATCCACCCACCACCCTAGTTCCTTGACCACTTTCTAATGACCTTTTCCTCCACTCCAGAGCAGCAGCACAGAATCAGAGCCACCTCCAGAACCTGATCACACTCAAAACCGTCCCACCTCTAAGGCAGGACTCCAAAAGTCCCTTCTTCAATTACAGATTAGGGTATTTCCTTCTCTCTCACATTAAGTCCTGCTGAACCGGGCTTTATGACAATACTGCAGTCCCTCACCCCACGCCTCTGTCGCCAGCTGGTTTTCCTCTTCACTCAGCCTAATGTCATGCCCAATTACTGCAACTGCGTGCTCACTGGCACCCTCCCCACCCCCGCCCTGGGAACCTTCCCCTACCAGCTCTGCCGGTTCCCAACCTGGAGGAACCCACACACACCACGGTTTTCACCAGTAGTTTCCAAGCTGCTGAGCAGATTTTGAAATGACGTCATCACACTGATTCATGGGGGCCAGCCTCAGTTGGGTCTTTGATGTCTTTCACAGGCTATTCTAGTCATCTCTAGTGACTGGTCCATTTTGTTTTTTTTTTTTTTTGAGACAGAGTCTCACTCTGTCGCCCAGGCCGTAGTGCAGTGGCGTGATCTCGGCTCAATGCAAGCTCCGCCTCCCGGGTTCACGCCATTCTCCTGCCTCAGCCTCCCGCGTAGCTGGGACTACAGGCACCCGCCACCACGCCTAGCTAATTTTTTGTATTTTTAGTAGAGATGGGGTTTCACCGTGTTAGCCAGGATGGTCTTGATCTCCTGACCTCGTGATCTGCCCGCCTCCGCCTCCCAAAGTGCTGGGATTACAGGTGTGAGCCACCGCGCCCGGCCAGCAAGTGTTCTTCTGATCCTTTCCACTTTCCCTCAGACACCCCTGCTCTCTGCTTCACTCACTCAGCAGATGACTTTATTATCTGCACGAGTGAAATCGAACCCTTTGTCTTCCCCCAAGTCCACCTCAAAGTTCCTCTGTCTTTCATCTTTTTCTCCCTTGGTTCAGAGAGATGCTTCCAGCCCTTTCCAAGATGAGCCCCTATTCCTGTGTGTCCCATCCTCTTCCTTCCCACCTCCCCAGGCCCCGTTCCAACAAGAAGTGAGCCACTGTCTCCTCTCCCACCTTCCTCCTCCTTCCCTGCCATCTGCTCATGGACTCGGCATTCGAGCCAGACGAGAAGTCTTGCTTTGCTCTTGCCTTTCTCTCCAAACTATCATTTTTTCTTCCTTTTGTGAACTTTACATATAAAAAAGTCTATACCCATTCCGTTCCTTCTTAATCCCCCTTTTTCTGCAACCCACTGTGATCTCTCCCTTTTCTCTTAGTTGCCAAATATAAAATCTGCTTTTCTGTTTAAATCTCCTTGACCTCGGCAGCCTTTGAGACTGTGTCTCCCCCATCTCTGAGATGTGCTTTTTCCTTGTTAGCGCAGTGCCTTCTCCTCAGACATCCTCCCTGCCTCCTCTGCTACTCTTTCAATCTTTCTTTGGCTGTTCTCCAAATCCCCCCACCCGCTTGCTGATCACTTAGATGTTGGGATTCCCAAGGGTTCATCTTTCCTTTGCACATTTTTGTGGGCCATCTTATTAAACCTTAGGGCTTCAATTACTGCCTCTAGCAAGAGTCTCCTGATCCTTAGCTTCCAAGACCTGAATTTCCACCTGTGGCTGACCCTGCCCAGCAGCACGGGTGCCAGTGAGAGCAGAGGGCTCCTCTCTCTCACTCCCATCTCACAGGTTCCTCTCCCTGCCTGTCTCAGAACTCACAGTACCATGCTCTCCTTCAACCCCTGACTCAGCCTTGACTTTTAGTGGGCAAAATCCTGCCTCCTGCCTCAGTGGCACTTTCTGCATTTGTTCCCTCTGTCGCTGTGGCTCCACGGCAGCACTGCTCAGCTCCTTTCTAGGCCATGGTGGTGGGTTACTATCTTCTCCAGCCTCCAACCTCACTCCTGCCACTTATTTGTCACCTTGTCCCCAAAGTTACACTCTCAGAACACAGGACTGACTGCGCCATCTCCCCTTCCTCCAAAGCCTGCAGTAATTTCCCAGTGTGAACGCGTCCAGATTCCTCAGAGCACATGCTCACAGCCCTCCAGGGGCTCCTGCCCTTCCCGTCCCTGCCCCAGCCCCTGCCTCAGTCCCTGAGAACTCAGCCCTCCCATCCTGGCACCGTCTGTGCGCCCTGAACACAGCGCATACATTCTCTCTTTTTTTTTTTTTTTAATGCAGGTCTCTAGGTCTGGTTTCCTTAATTCCTTTTTTCCCACTTAATAAAAATATTCCTAAGACTGGGCACAGTGGCTCATGCCTGTCATCCCAACACTTTGGAAAGGCTGAGGCAGGCAGATCACTTGAACCCAGGAGTTTGAAACCAGCCTGGGCAAGATGATGAGACTACACCTTTACCAAAAATACAAAAATTAGCTTGGTGTGGTGGCACAAGCCTGTGGTCCCAGCTATTCTGGGAGGCTGAGGTGGTGGGATGTCTTGAGCCCAGGAGGTCAAGGCTGCAGTGAGCCATGTTTGCACCACTGTGCTCCAGCCTGGGCGACAGAGTAAGATCCTGTCTTTAAAAAAAAAAAAACATTCCCTATCCTTTAAGACTGAGGTAAAAGATGTTTTCCTTCCTCTCTCCACTCAACGCAATTGAACACTTTATTCTTCCACAACACCTGGGTTATACTCTGTTATGTCTTCATGGTTGGCAAACGGTTCATGGCTTGGCAGCTGGCTCCCCATCTACAGATTCCTTCTTGGCCGAATCTGTATCTTGTCTCCCGAGCACCCTCATGGGACCCAGCACAGCTTTACACCCATAGGTGCTTCATGCACCTTTGAATAATTCTCATAACTTGATCTTCTTTTAAGCCCCAAAAGGAAAAACACCACCACCTCCACAGAGCCTGCAATTCATGTGAATCTTTTTTTTTTTTTCTTGAGACAGGATCTTGCTCTGTCACCCAGGCTGGAGTGCAATGGCACGATCTCGGCTTACTGCAACCTCCGCCTCCTGGGTTCAAGCGATTCTCCTGCCTCAGCCTCCTGAGTAGCTGGGACTACAGGCACGTGCTACCACACCCAGCTAATTTTTGTATTTGTAGTAGAGATGGGGATTCACCATGTTGGCCAGGCTGGTCTTTAACTCCTGACTTGAGGTGATCTGCCCACCTCAGCCTCCCAAGGTGCTAGTGCCTCCCAAAGTGAGCCACTGTGCCTGGCCCCATGTGAGTCTTTTTGATGTTAATGGCTGGTTTAGCTGAGATGTAGTTCCTATATATTCTATCTCTCAATTTTCTTTCTTTCTTTCCTTCCTTTCTTCCTTTCTTTCTTTCTTTCTTTCTTTTTCTTTCTTTCTTTCCCTCCTTCCTTCCTTCTTTCTTTCTTTCTTTTTTTTGAGACAGGGTCTTGCTGTCTCTACTAAAAATACAAAATTTAGCCAGGTGTGGTGGTGCGCACCTGTAGTCCCAGCTACTCGGGTGGCTGAGGCACAAGAGGTTGCAGTTTGCTTTTTCTTGTGTGGAGATTGCGCCACTGCACTCCAGCCTGGGTGACAGAGTGAGACCCTGTCTGGACCCTGTCACCCAGGCTGGAGTGCAGTGATGCAATCTCAGCTCACTGCAACCTCCGCCTCCCGGACCCAGGTGATCCTCCCACCTCAGTCTCCCAGAGTAACTGGGACTACAGGTGCGTGCCATCATGCCGGGTGCTAACTTTTATATTTTTTGTAGAGATGGGGGTATCACTTTGTTGCCCAGGCTGGTCTCGAACTCCTAGGCTCAAGTGTTCCACCTGCCTTGGCCTCCCAACGTGCTGGGATTACAGGCATGAGCCACATGCCAGCCTCTTTATTATGAAGTTGAACATTTATCCTATCAGGATGCCTTGCTGGGCTTCATTAGTAATTAAATGATCAGATTAACCGTTGTCACTCCCAGATTCTAATTCTAAACTCTTTTTTTTTTTTTTGACCCAGTCTCTTTGTTTTTATTTTGAGACAGTCTCACTCTGTCGCCCAGTCTGGAGTTCAATGATGTGATCTCGGCTCACAGTAACCTCCACCTCCCAGGTTCAAATGATTCTTGTATCTCTCTCCCATTTCACTGTGCATTATTCAGTGTCCTACCTTAGCTGGAATCTTGGCTGCATGGTTCTCCAGAATCAGTCTCTTTAGGTGCAGAACCCAGAGGCGTTTGTCTTGCTGGGATTTGGCCTGCCAAGACGAGATGTAGACAGTCAGACAACTTGATTCCACCACCCACAGGACCCTCTGATGAGATGGGAAATGACCATGTGGCCAGAACGCTCTCAAAAAGCCACATGGTACACAGCACTCATCATTACACAAAGGGGCCTTGCGGAGAGGCCAGGGCCCGGCTGCTACCTGGACTGTGTGCTGCAGCTTGGGATTCTTGTAGTGGAAGACGCTGAAGCTGAGCGGCTCTTTTGGAATCACCTCCACAAGCATGAGGTTGCCACACTAGAGCAGAGAGAGCAGAGAGGGTGAGGCACACTCAGGAGGGAACAGAACTGGGGATCTGAGTCCCTGCCCATGGCCAGCGTGCAGACCTACCAGGATGTGAGCTTTGTATGTAAACGTGTCATCTCTCTTCTTCGTGATGAGCAGCAGCTTGTCGAAGAGGAAGAGCGTCCGCTCATTCTTGGCTCGCTGGATGCGGAAGGTTCCCTCAAGCACCAGTTCCCCGTAGCTGGTCAGGTCTGGCCCCTTCCAGTTAGTGAGCAAACTCTGTATCTCCTGAGAAAGGGAATGGGCCATGGCATTTACAGGAGGCAGAAGCCAGGCACCAAGGGCTTGGTGGCCCATCTGTTGAGCCTCAAGAATGGTGCCAAATCGTCCCTGAGGGGGTCTAACTATCTACGTGGTATCTGATGGTCTATGACATAAATCTGCATTTACAAGTGGTGCCACTTAAGGGTTAACAGCAATGAATCAGGCTGTTAGCTGACAAGCTGCTAATTACTTATTTCCATTCCTTAATCATGCCATGCTGTGGCTCACAGCAGCCCTTACATCGTTCCAAAGCCAGGTCCAGGGGCCACCAGTATGGCCTCTTTCCCTTGATTTTCTTTGTTTTGTTTTGTTTTCTTGAGACAGAGTCTCGCTCTGTCACCCAGGCTGGAGGGAAGTGGCGCGATCAGGGCTCACTGCAACCTCCACCTCCCGGTTCAAGCGATCCTCCTGCCTCAGCCTCCTGAGTAGGTGGGATTACAGGTGCCCATCACCATGCCTGGCTAAATTTTTTTGCATTTTTAGTCGAGATGGGGTTTTGCCATGTTGGCCAGGCTAGTCTTCAACTCCTGACCTCAAGTGATCTGCCCACCTATACCTCTGAAAGTGCTGGGATTATAGAAGTGAGCCACCGCACCCGGCCCCTTCCCTTGATTTTTCTCACCCCTCCTCTCTGGGAAAAAAAAAAACTCCTTCAGAGCTGTTGACTTGAAGACTTTCTTCCGGATACTGAAGTTCATACCACACATAAGTAATTCAAAACTAAAGCCTATATAAAATCACCCACATCATTTTCTCAGAAATTTCTTGAGTTTAAATTTACTTACTCAGGGAAAGGAAATGAACCTTTCTTTGCCCCTAACTTATGTTTTAGTGCTTTTTTTGTTAAAATTTTAAAATTTTATGGGTACACAGTAGGTGTATATATTTATGGGGTACGTGATATATTTTGACAGGCATACAATGCATAATAAACACATCAGGGTAAATGGGCCTCCGTCACCTCCAGCATTTATCATTTCTTTGTGTTACGAACATTCCAATTATACTTTCAGTTATTTTATAAATTACTGTTGACTGTAATCCTCCTGTTGTGCTATCAAATGCTAGATCTTATTCATTCTTTTTCTTTTTTCTTTTTTGAGACAGAGTCTCGCTCTGTTGTCCAGGCTGGAGTGCAGTGGCACAATCTCGGCTCACTGCAACCTCTCCCTCCTGGGTTCAAGCGATTCTCCTGCCTCAGCCTCTCAAGTAGCTGGGATTATAGGCACCCACCACCATGCCTGGTTAATTTTTGTATTTTTAGAAGAGATGGGGTTTCACTATGTTGGCCAGGCTGGTCTCAAACTCCCAATCTCGGGTGATCCACTTGGCCTCCCAAAGTGCTGGGATTATAGGTGTGAGCCCCGGCGCCTGGCCTAGATCTTATTCATTCTCTCTAAGTAAAGTTTTGTATTCATTAACCACCCCCACTTGCCCCACTCCCCGTTTTAGTGCTTTTAATGGAAATTGATAAATAAACTAACATGACTTTGACATTTATGTGGGATTTATTGTATATGAATATCAGTGTTTTGAAGGAAGCTGATTTTATTATTTGAAAAATGAAAATATTCACAAGCACCGTTTAATTAAGGAACCCACAAGACAACAAAAAACTTTACTGGTTGAAAACAGAAATGAACAGAAATGGAGTATTAGTTTGAGCCAGAGTCTGATTTAGTAATGACTTCAGAATATCAAGCAGCTTCACACAGTATGAAAAACCAGCCATTCAGACATTTCTGAATACAGCAGTCCCTCTTATCTGCAGGGGATATGTTCCAAGACCCCCAGTGGATTACCGGAACTGGGGATAGTATTGACCTCTAAATATACTATGTTTTCCCTACAAATACATACCTATGATAAAGTTTAATTTATAAATTAGGCATAAAGATATTAACAACAATAACTGATAATAAATTAGAAGAATTATAACAATATGTCAGCATCACTACTCTGTGCTTTGGGGCCATAATGAAGTAGAATAAGGTTGACTTGAACACAAGCATTGAGAAACATGACAGTCGATCTGATAACCAAGCCAGCTACTGAGTAACAGGTGAGTGGCCGTAGGCAGTGTGGATACACTGGACAAAGGGGTGATTCATGTCCCAGGTGGGAGGGAGAAAGGCAGTGTGAGATTTCATCATGCTACTCAGAATGGTGCACAATTTAAAATTTACAGATTGTTTATTTCCAGAATTTTTCATTTCATTTTTTTTTTTTTTTTTTTTTTGAGATGGAGTCTTGCTCTGTCTCCCAGGCTAGAGTGCAGTGATGTGATCTCAGCTCACTGCAACCTCTCTGCCTCCTGTGTTCCAGTGATTCTCCCACCTCAGCCTCCCAAGTAGCTGGGGTTACAGGTGTGCACCACCACGCCCGGCTAATTTTTTTTTTTTTTTTGAGACAGTCTCGCTCTGTCACCCAGGCTGGAGTGCAATGGCATCCACCTCCCGGGTTCAAGCAATTCTCCTGCCTCAGCCTCCCAAACAGCTGGGATTACAGGCGTGTGCCACCACGCCCAGCTAATTTTTTATATTTTCAGTAGAGACAGGGTTTCACCATGTTGGCCAGGCTGATCTCGAACTCCTGACATCAAGTGATCCGCCTGCCTCGGCCTCCCAAAGTGTAGGGATTACAGGCATGAACCATCACTCCTGGCCCTCATTTAAAAATTTTCTAACCTTGATTGACCATGGGCAAATGAAACTGCAGAAAGTGAAACTGCGGATAGGGGGGATGACTGTATTCAATAGATTCCGACATTATGTCTGCAAAACACTTGTATGATAAAGTATTAAACTTTTGTTGCTGTTGCAAAAAAAAAAAAAAAAAAAAAAAAGCAGCCTGGAAGATTAGAATGTCATCTTCCTCTGATTTTTGATAGTCAGTGGCATCACACCACACTCTGGCTGCCTATACCTGAAACCTACAGAGTTTATTCTGACTTATGAGCCAAATAAGGTATCTTTTTTCCCGAGTTAGGCAAGGCCACTCTGTATAGTGTGGAGTCACTTTGGGCTTTTCCATCTCACTCTAGGGACAGCCAGGAGCCTGGAACTGGCCTCTGGGCCCATGCAGCCTCTTGTTTTGTTTTTAATAGTGCATCTATTGAGGTGCCCAGGGCATGATCACTGGCCCAACAGCTGTCAAAAGTTCCTTAAGATTCAGGGCTCAAAATGTTTGTGCTGGATAGGCCTTTAGCAAACTTCTCTGTCTTATTTTAAAAATGAGGAAACTGTCAGGTGCGGTGGCTCACATCTGTAATCCCAGCACTTTGGGAGGCTGAGGCAGGTGGATCACCAGAGGTTAGGAGTTCAAGACAAGCCTGGCCAACCTGGTGAAACCCCGTCTCTACTAAAAATACAAAATGAGCCGGGCGTGGTGGTATGCCCCTGTAATCCCAACTACCAAGGAGGCTGAGGCAGGAGGATCGCTTGAACCCGGGAGCCGAAGGTTGCCGTGAGCTGAGACTGTGCCACTGCATTCCAGCCTGGGCGACAAGAGTGAAACTTCGTCTCCAAAAAAAAAAAAGGAAACCGAAATGACATGCTGGAGGGTCAGGTCCCAAGTGACTGTAAAGGAGCTGGTTCAGCCTTGGCTCCCCTTACTCTGCGTCCCCTGCCTAAGACCACCCACGCACCACCTCATGATTTTGCAGGAACTGGTGGCAGAGGAATAAAGGCTTAAAAAGTCTTTACATAGTTTAGGGAAAGTTGCTTTCAATAAGAATTACTAAATTTGCAATTAATAGAAGTGGGAGGCTCAAAATTGTAACTTAGACCATCAAAGGGGCTATAAGCAAACAATTAGCTTAAAAGTTATAATGTCGGCCGGGTGTGGTGGCTCATGCCTGTAATCCCAGCACTTTGGGAGGCCAAGGCAGGCGGATCACCTGAGGTCGGGAGTTCGAGACCAGCCTGACCAACATGGAGAAACCCTGTCTCTACTAAAAATACAAAATTGGCAGGCCGTGGTGGCACATGCCTGTAATCCCAGCTACTCGGGAGGCTGAGGGGGAATAACTGCTTGAACCCCAGAGGCAGAGGTTGTGGTGAGTGGAGATCGTGCCATTGCACTCCAGCCTGGGCAACAAGAGCGAAACTCCATCTCAAAAAAAAAAAAAAGTTATAATATCCCTTTCTCTTAAATAGCCATACTAGACAATGATGGGTATTACTGATGTCCTGAACTTTTTTCAGGGAGAACTACACTGAAGATGATGAGTGTAGTGCAGTACTTGAGCAGCCTTAATATTTTATTGGGAAAACAGTAAGTCACTACACCTGCAACCCTGCCGGGCACCGACACCTCGCGGGCTCACCTGTAACCGGACCGCGTGCTCGTGTTTCCGCTTCATGTCATTGATATGCCAGGCGACTCGCTGCATTGTGTCTATAGCATCAAGCACCACATCATAGCCTTCTGTGTCCTTATCAAGGTGGTTTTCTATTTCCTTAAACAAAAAAGAACGAGGGTTTTTTTTTTTTTCATTTTATTTTCATATAGACAGTGAAACAAATGGCACCGCTATGATTAGTTCCTTATATTTTATTTTTGCTTATTTATTTACACACTATCAGCTGGGTGCGGTGGCTCATGCCTGTAATCCCAGCACTTTGGGAGGCCAGGTGGGTGGATCACCTGAGGTCCAGAGTTCGAGACCAGTCTGGCCAACATGGTGAAACCCTGTCTCTCCTAAAAATACAAAAATTAGCTGGGCGTGGTGGCACATGCCTATAGTCCCAGTTACTTAGGAGGCTGAGGCAGGGAATCACTTGAACCTGGGGGACAGAGGTTGCAATGAGCTGAGATCAGGCCACTGCACTCCAGCCTGGCTGACAGAGTGAGACTCTGCCTCGAAAAAAAAAAAAAAAAAAAAAAAAAAAATATATATATATATATATATAAAATATTTACACACCAGCATCATTCTTTAAGATTTTGAGGCCAGAGATACCTGCAACAAAATGGTAAGACAAGGGGAAAAAAAAAAACAAGGATAGGAAAGATAAAAGTGGAATAGGATTCCAGGATAAACAGGATAAAATACAACATACATGTAGCCCATTGAGTTTCATAGCGATATTATAGTTATTATAACAGACGTGGAAATTGCTCTTATAGCTCTGGAGTTCTGAGCTTCCTGGTGGCCAATGTTATACAGTTCTCAGAAATATAGTTCTCACTCTCACAAGATAAAATGCATACTTATTTTTTTCCCTTATTTATTTAGGAAGCAAAATGTTTCATACAGGACCTTAATATTTAACAGACTCAAAAATATAGCGAAAACTATCTTTACAAAATTATCTCCATAGCAAGTAGACATTTTAGCACATTTTCCTGTAGTCAAGGTTTTAAAGGCCAAATGAAGTTGACTAAAGACAATCCTTGAGAGTGTTGAGAAGGATCTCATGGTTTCAGTACTCAATTCTCTGATGGTCAGAAGTATGTTAGATTAGCAATCATCTTACCACTGGAGGCCCACACTCCCAGGAACGTGAGAGAGGGACAGGATCTTTGTTCTAGTTCTTTTGAGCACATAAGACACTTGTTCCTAGATCCTCAAGAGTCTAAGGATAGAGAATATTGTATATAGTTCCTTTGATTCTTTATCTTCTCAGTGCCCAGCAGAGAGCTGGGTGGTGAATAAGTGCTTATTAAATTGAAACTATTGCCTTTTTAAAGACAACAATAACAGTAATCCTATATTAGTGCCTAAAACAGTAAGAAAACATTGTAATCAATTAGATGGTTCTTGTGACATTTATCATACATAATCAGCTAACGGGTGGAGGTTAAATGTTATGGTGCAACTTGAAGATTAGTTCCATTATTTTGTAGTAACAATGTAAATCTTTGTTTACTTTTACTGAGTACTCAAGTTTTTCATCTAGCTAGAAACTGTAAAAGAATTTACATTTTCTTTCCGTGCTTGGACTAGCTGTTAACAAGATCCTAGATGGCAAATTTAAAAACATAATGATTTCTTCTTTTAGCCTGAGAGACAACTGTGCTCATCAGTAAACAGACTGGGAGGTACAGAGGATATTTCTGTGGGGATTTTCATGGATAGCTACATAACTTTGAAATGATGTGAATGGGCCAGGCACGGTGGCTCACTCCTGTAATCCCAGCACTTTGAGGGGCCGAGGTGGGTGGATCATGGGGTCAAGAGATCGAGACCATCCTGGCCAACATGGTGAAACCCCGTCTCTACTAAAAATACAAAAAATTAGCCAGGCATGGTGGTGCGCGCCTGTAGTCCCAGCTACTCGGGAAGCTGAGGCAGGAGAATCGCTTGAACCCGGGAGGCGGAGGTTGCAGTGAGCTGAGATTGTGCCACTTCACTCCAGCCTGGCAACAGAGTGAAACTCCATCTCAAAAAAAAAAAAAAATGATGTGAATGACATAGAGGGAGCCCTCTAATCAATTATAAAAGCAGAAAACACTTCAAAAGCAACCAGAAGTTAGTTTTGGATTAATCCAACCACTGTTTTTTTTCTTCATTGCCAGCCCTTAAAATGTAGGATAAAGGCTGTTTTTCCTGTTAATTAACTTTTTGTAAGGATCTTGACTTGTTTCATATGCTTAACCGAGATCTTAAACTTTCCTTTTGACTGAAGGCCATCTTACTGTCTAGAAGACCATATTAGAGATTTTTGGGACACACCAGTCTTAGACATTATATTAACAGAATTCAGCAGAGATGTGTCCTGAGACAAATATTATTTAAGAGTTATTTGGACACTGATTTAGCAAATAAATCCCACTAAATCTAAGAGGTCATACGGATCAATTTAAAAATTAAAATAATATCCCTGATGTGACTTCATAGAACATAAGATTCTCCAAAGATGAGCTACCCAGGCAAACAGACAAAGCTAAGAAATTGCTAGTAAAGATGGACAAAGTTTTCAAAATTTTAAATGTATATGAACCAAACAAATCTGGAATAATTATCCAAATTAGAAACCTGGAATCACTTAAAAAGAGATACCTATAAACTGCAGGCCTGTTGACGTGGAGAGGAACTCTGAATTAAAATTCCTTTAAAAAGGGGATTTTAATGTATCATAAAAATAATAAAAAACAATAGCTTACTTTTATCAAGTGCTTGTGAGCCACAGTGAATGTGGGCAACGTATAAGATTTAGACCCAGGCAGTCTTTCCCAGAGCCCTGTTTCTAACCACTCTGCTGTACTGTCTTTCTCCTGCTACAAAAGTAAGCAAGCCCTACTTACAGAATGAAAATTACTTGCGGTAATACTTTTTTTTTCCATTCGCATCAGTTTTTTGGAGGGTAAGAAATAAGAATTTGAGGACGGGCGTGGTGGCTCACATCTGTAATCCCAGCACTTTGGGAGGCTCAGGCAGGAGGATTGCTTGAGCTCAGGAGTTCGAGACCAGGCTGGGCAACATGGTGAAACTCTATCTCTACCAAAAATACAAAAAAATTAGCCAGGCATGGTGGTGCACACCTAGAGCCCCAGGTACTCAGGATGCTGAGGTAGGAGGATTGCTTGAGCCCAGGAGGCGGAGGTTGCAGTGATCTGTGATTACACCACTGTACGCCAGCCTGGGCAACAGAGCCAGACCCTGTCTCAAAAAAAAAAAAAAAAAAGAAAAGAAAAGAAAAAAGAATTTAAGAGCTATGATTATCGTTGTTTCTAAAGCCTTCTTGCATTTTGCAAAAGTAGTGGAAAATAATATAAGAGGAGATAACTGAAGTGACGCTAAGCCCAGCTTGGAGATCACTTATCACTCTGCTCATCTGTCTTCTCCCTTTTCAGCCCCTTCTCTTTGCTCTCCATACAAAAGCCAATCTATGACAAATAGCTTTCCCTTCCAATTGCCTACTGAATCGGGGCTGATGGAAACATTACAAAATCTGTTTTTCATTCGCATGATAGCTCCCTGCCTGAAACTGTCAGTGCACAGGGCGAGGCACTCCTAAGCCCCATCAGAATCAGAGCTAAGATTAATCTCTTCTCTTGGCTGTTGTCAATGGGGCTACGGGCCTAGAATATAAATATCTCCAAATCCTCAAAGCAGATTAGTCAGTTGTGAAATATGAGTGTGGGAAATGTTTCCATATGTCCATAGCATTTTCTGGTATTTTCCACCAAACTTAATATATACACACAAAACTCCCATCCCCTGGAAAGTGCTCATGCCAGGCAGAAACTTACATGCAGAAGGAGATGATACTTGAGAATCCGCTGAACTGGTTTCAAGAGATAGGACCCCAGAGGCAGCGAGTGTTTCAGAGTTTCCTGACGCTCCCTGAAGAATTTGGCCAGTATCTTGTTCCTCATACACTCTGTTAGCACAGCCACGGACCTGCAGGAAGAGTCCATGTTTTTATCTAAATTGTAATGCTTTATGTGGGTATTCAAATTTTAAATGCTATTGCAAGTGTAAATGCCCTAAAATGAGTAGGGTAGCTCCAGAGCTGTGGTCAGATCAGCATGCCTTTAGGCAAATTGGAGAAAGGGTTCCCTCTGGGAGGGTGAATTAGAAAAAGGCACCGGACCCACTGGCAGTGGCACCCTGGGCTCATGGCTTCTAAGTAACAAGTTCCTTCCTTCTAGGAGACGCGGCCTTGTGCCAGGGCCCATGGCTTGGCAAAAGTTATTGGAGAGGGATTTTAGCCCCTAGCTGCGCCCAATCTGGGTATCTCTGTGCAGTGCTCACACAGCACGTCGGTATTCCATTTCCACGCGTTAGATTATAAAGACTAGGCACTTTTTGTACTAAGAAAAAGGAGTTCCTTCCTGCTGGAAGATCCAGCCCCCCGTCAGAGCATTTAATCACCCCCTCTGCTGGCCCCTTTTATATGATGCACAAACTGTGACCCTATGTGGTAGGCTTGCTTAGAGACCTCTTCCCCTGGGTAACTTCCCTGTGAGAATCTTTGAAGAGGTCTCCCTTTCTACCTCCAAATTGTTAACCTTATAAGTGATACAGCTTCTGGGAAAGCCAGATAGTCTTGCTCCTACGGAGTGCGCCTCAGATGAGGGTGTTCCAAAAGTGGGTTAGAATTCTTTCCGCAACCCAGATCCCCCCGAGGTGATGAGCACAGACGAAAACATCTTAAGGCAATGGTTGAAACAATGCTCGTATCACAAAGCCAGCTAACGGCTTGTGCAGTCACACGCGTGTAAATTAAAAATCTTTCGTTCGCAAAATGTAGAAGGAAGCAGGTGGAAATAATTTCAGCCCTTTTCTCCCTAAGTCAGTGACATTTTCAGGATTAATTGAGAAAATCAGACAGAGCCAAACAACAAAATAAGGCTGTGAGGAAGGAAGTTAAATGGAAGTTTCGTAATTAAACCATTAGAATCCCTTTTGTGCCAATCTACTTTGAGAAATATCTATTCACACTGATTTATTTTCCCCTTGAGTCAAGATTTCAAAACTCTCCATCATGTAACCTAGGAACATTTCTAAGGTTCTTTAGAGTCAGAATCGGCTGCTCTGTAGCCCTTTGGCCACCTAAAGGCTTGGGTTCTTGCTCAAGGGTAAGAACCTGCAACAAATTAGGAGCATGCTGAGCTCCAGGTTCCCGGAAGTCTTGGGTACAGGCAGGCATCTGAGGACAAGGACCTGGCTGGGTTTGCGTCCCTCCCTGGGGAACAGAGTGTGGGAGCTTGTGGCTCTTCACAGCAAAATCACTGAGGTGTGACTGGTATGAAGATAGTGGACACTGTCAAGATGTGCCTGTGACATTTAATATCACCAGACAGGATCCAAAGGGGGAAGGAAAATTTGTCAGATGGGCTGAAATACCTGGCATTTTTGGCTTGTTAAGTGGGAGAAGGGAACTTTGGGTCTCAGAGAGTAAAGTGATGGGATACAAGTGGACAAGATAAAATATTTATCTATGAATATGAAAACCACACAATTGGGCAAGAAATGGACATGTCTTCTTCACTGAGAACAACTTTTGAGTACCTCTCTGCTAACACTTTTCTTCAAAGTCAGACTCAATTTTTTTTTTTTTTAAAGACAACTTTCTCACCAGGCACAGTGGCTCATGGCTGCAATCCCAGCACTTTGGAAGGCCGAGGCGGGTGGATCACTTGAGGTCAGGAGTTCGAGACCAGCCTGGCCAACATGGTGAAACCCCCTCTCTCCTAAAAATACAAAAATTAGATGGGTGTGGTGGCATGTGCCGGTAATCCCAGCTACTTGGGAGGCTGAGACAAGAGAATTGCTTGAACCCAGGAGGCAGAGGTTGCAGTGAGGTGAGAACATGCCACTGCACTTCAACCTGGGCAACAGAGCGAGACTCTAACTCTAAAAAAAGACAACTTTCTCCAGAAAATTATCCTTAACCTTCAGCTTTTACTACACATTACTGAGTTTGTCCTGTGTTAATTTATATTTATTTGATCTTCCAGAACATGCTCTTCCACCATTGCATTTAGTTGCATCTGACCTTCAAAAGAACAGAAACTGCTTGAAGGCAAGGGTATTGTTTGCTATTTCCTGCCAATATACACCAGGCTTGGGACGGTGCTCCATGAATGACCAGCTCTTAAAAATGTCCTTGCACAAATGATTTGCCTCTCCCCTGGCTCTGAAGCAGCCTGCCATATAAAGAAGCTGTTTTTATTTTGTACTCTTCTTAATAAATCACAAAATCTTCTGAATTTGCAATTTTGGAAGTTTAAGAATTATTTCTTTAAATGATATGTTTATAATGAGATTTATAGAAACATAATTCCCCAAACAAGCTCCTGTATCATTTTAGATTCTCATAATTGGATCTGGAACTTTGATGATTCTTCAGAATCTGAATGTTTTTTTTCCTTCCCTAAGGAAGAAGTTTTGTGGAGAAGATGAGGGCTGATTCTGTGATTTCTCTGAATTAGGGTGTGAGGCAAGCTGGCTTTTGGTTTAGAACCATGGGATTTAGCTGGGGCATCCTGCAATCGCCTGATGTTTTCAGCATTAAGATGGAAACAAATACTTTAAGAGAGAAAATTGCTTAAGTGAAACCATGTAAATTAACTATGGGTGGGTCTACAGATAAGGATGTGTAATAAATGTTCTAATATGCATGTGGTTCTATTTATTTATTTTGTTTTGTTTTTTTTAGGGGAAACTGGGGAAAGCAGGGGTCCTCCAAGGAAAAGTATTTGCCAGAGTAAGTTGAGCCTCTAAACTTCTAGCTTCTTGGGTCTTTTTTTTTTTTTTTTTTTTTTTTTTTTTTTTTTTTGAGACAGAGTCTTGCTCTGTTGCCAAGGCTGGAGTGCAGTGGTGCTATCTCAGTTCACTGCAACCTCCGCCTCCTGGGTTCAAGGAATTCTCCTGCCTCAGCATCCCAAGTAGCTGGGATTACAGGGATGTGCCACCACGTCTGACTAATTTTTGTATTTTTAGTAGAGACGGGGTTTTGCCATATTGCCCGGGTTGGTCTCAAACTCCTGACCTCAGGTGATGTGCCTGCCTTGGCCTCCCAAAGTGCTAGGATTACAGGCATAAGTCTCTGTATCCAGCCGCTTCTTGGGTCTTTAAGAGACAGGATCTTGCTCTGTTGCCTGGGCTGGAGTGCAGTGGTGCAACAGTAGCTCACTGTAGCCTCAAACTCCTGGGCTCAAGCTATCCTCCTGCCTCAGCCTCTTGAGTAGCTCTAGGACTACAGGTGCACACCACCACATGCAGCAACATCCCGGGTCTTTTAATCCACACTGGCTTTCTGGGGTTACTCCTGACAGTGGGGAACAGGGGACCTATTTGTTTTTCCTTCCAGAAGTAACACTCAGGGCTCAGCGTGCTGCCTTCTCTTCTAGGTGGATCCCACCATCCACTTTATCGTCAGGGACCTGTCTACCAAGACTGGCTACAGAGTGTGTAAAGTCTCCCTAGCTCTCTTCTTCCTGGCTGGTCCTTAAGATAACTCAAAGTCTGGTGGGGTGCGGTGTAATTACAGCTACTCAGGAGGTTGAGGTAGGAGAATCACTTGAACCAGAAGGTAGAGGTTGCAGTGAGCTGAGATCGCGCCACTGCACTCCAGCCTGGGTGGCGGAGTGAGACTCTGTCTCAAAAAAACAAAACAAAACAAAACAAAAAAACCCCATAACTCAAAGTCTGCTAATCATGTGGAAAAAAAGGAAAATAAAAAGGCAGGGGGAGAATCACAAAGTTTCAGAAACTTTTCAAAGGACATACTCATAGCAGCACGAGGTCTTAAAAGTCAGAGAAGAAACCTTGGTTCAAATCCAAGCTGGGCCATTCATCAGCTATGCACCCCTCAGAGAATCACCTTACCTATCAGAGCCTCAGTTACTTCATCTATGAAATGGGGAAGGGGCAGGGGTGATGGTGAACTAGCACTTATGAAGAACTTAGGAGGGGCCAGGCACTGGGATAGGTGCTCTGCTTAAAAAAAATCCCTCAATGTCTCTGGATTGCTTTGAAAAGTTAAATTCAGTATTTTGTATTTACAGCATTTAGCACAGGGCTTAGGAATTAGTAAGTGCCCAATAAATGTCTTCTGGAGAAAAAAAGAAATTCCTACCGTTGTAGCCCATCATCTTAGGCCCAACTCCCTTACTGAAATGGTTAATACATTGTCCAAGGATGCTTCCTACACTGCCCTTGTGCCATTGATTTCCAATGCAAGGAAAACTGAACCAACAACCCAGGCGAGATGACGATGCCCCTCTTCTCATCTAGGCTTATGATGATCTGTCCTTCCTCTGAACTCCATTAAACTTATATAGTTCATAAAACTTATTTGGAAAAAAATAGAATCTGTTCTCTCCCCATCTAGATTATAGAAACTCATTAGCAGTGTTTCCTAAATTCTTAAAAACATGACACACACAGAAAAGGGTGAGCAGGCAAGACTTGCGGCCTGATGCAATAGCTTGCTTAGTTTCCTTTTGGAGATACCTAGTCATCTTTTTGGTTTCTCCATAGACTTTTACAATTTTTCCCCACACTGGCTCTGCAGGGAGCCCCAAAGCCCAGACGGATCCATATCTGGGTGCCCCTGTAATCTGTTCTCAGCACGTTTTGCATTCTTCCCATAGTATTCAGCACAAGGCCAGGCACAGAATGCCTAACAACCATGTGTACTGCACCAGCTGACTTGAAACAATGTGAAAGTGAACAAAAGTACTCTTGGCCCATTCTCGATCCATACCTTGGATAGTTAGTGCAATACTGGGTATAAATGTGGAACTCTTCACTCTGCAAGGAAACAAAAGAAATTTTTATAGGCAACAAAGCACAAACATAAACATTCATTTGAAAACAATAAAAAGAAATAGCATTCGGGCCTTGACATTTATATATATATATATATGTTTTTTGTTTTTTTTTTTAGGCGGAGTTTTGCTCTTGTTGGCCAGGCTGGAGTACAATGGCATGATCTCGGCTCACTGCAACCTCCGCCTCCCCGGTTCAAGCGATTATCCTGCCTCAGCCTCCCGAGTAGCTGGGATTACAGGAATGCGCCACCATGCCCGGCTTTGGTGGATTTCAATGTCTTTCACAATGTTTTCCTAGACTGCCAAAGAAACGAGGTATGTAGACAGGGAGGGGAAGTGGCCAGAACTTTTGATAAGGCTTTCAGTCAGAATAATTAATTCAAGGCCAATAAATTACTAGCTTTTGCAAAATCTAAAATAAAATTACTTTTTTTTTTTTTGAGATGGAATCTCGCTCTGTCGCCTAGGCTGGAGTGCAGTGGCACAATCTCTGCTCACTGTAGCCTCTGCCTCTGCCTCCCCGGTTCAAGCAATTCTTGTGCTTCAGCCTGCTGAGTAGCTGGGATTACAGGCATGCGTCACCGCGCCCAGCTAGTTTTTTGTATTTTTAGTAAAGATGGGGTTTTGCTATGTTGGCCAGGCTTGTCTCCAATTCCTGGTCTCAAGTTATCCGCCTGCCTCAGCCTCTCAAAGTGCTGGGATTACAGGCATGAGCCACTATGCCTGGCCTTGAAATTATATTTTGAAAAAGAGCCACAGATTATTTTGGTGGGGTTTCACATTCTCCAATTTTTTTTTAACTTTTACTTTTACTTTTTAGACCACTTAATGTGGTCTAAGATTCACATGTGACTCTAAGTGCCTATTTTTCAGGTAGCTTTAATTTTTTTAAATTCTAAAATCTCTACTTAGAATCCTTCCTGTTAACCTCAACTGGAATTAGGTTAAACTTTTTTTTAAAATGGAAAGTTTCAAGCATATATAAAAGTAGAGAGGATGGTATAATAAATCCCCAAGTTTCCATCGTCCAACCTCAATAATCATTAACTCCTCGTCTCTGCCCCACCCCCCATTCCCCTGCTTCCCCATCATTCTGAATTAAATTCTAGACATCATTTTCCTTGTAAATATTTTAACATGTATCTCTAAAATAAGGACTTTATTTTTTTGAGACGGAGCCTCACTCTGTTGCCCAGGCTGCAGTGCAGTGGCGCAACCTCGGCTCACTGCAACCTCTGCCTCCTGGGTTCAAGCAATTCTCCTGCCTCAGCCTCCTGAGTAGCTGGGACTACAGGTGTACGCTATCACACCCAGCTAATTTTTTGTATTTTTAGTAGAGATAGGGTTTCGCCATGTTGGTCAGGCTGGTCTCGAACTCCTGGCCTCAAGTGATCCACCGGCCTTGGCCTCTCAAAGTGTTGGGATTATAGGCATGAGCCACCATGCCCAGACTAAAATAAGGACATTAAACATAATACCATTGTTACACTTAAATAATTCAATAACATCATGAAGTTTCACCAGTCACTATTCATATTTCCTTTTTTTCTTTTTAAAATCTTTTGCCTGTTTGATTTGCAAATAACAATCACACAGAGCAAATGGTTGATATCTCTTTAGTAGTCTCTTTTCATCTTTAAGTTCTCCCCTATTTTTCTTCCTTTTGCAAGTGAGTTGAAGAAACCACACTGTGCGGCACAGCCCCAGTTCCACTATTACCAATGACATCTCTAGAGTTTCTGTTTTATTTTTTTGAGATGGATTCTCGCTCTGTTGCCCAGGCTGGAGTGCAGTGGCACGATCTTGGTTCACTGCAGTCTCTGCCTCCCAGGTTCAAGTGATTCTCCTGCCTTAGCCTCTCAAGTAGCAGGGATTACAGGCATGCGTCACCATGCCTGGCTAATTTTTGCATTTTTAGTGGAGATGGGGTTTCACCATGTTGGCCAGGCTGGTCTTGAATTCCTGACCTCAAGTGATCCACCCACCTTGGCATCCCAAAGTGCTGGGATTGCAGGCATGAGCCACCACGCCTGGCCTGGTTTCATTTAATATGCCCTGTCCATTATACTCGTACTGGTTTAGTAGAGACTTGCTCAGATTTAGGTTCCGTAATTTGGCACAATACACTAGCAGCTGTTTTGTGCTTCCTCTAATGGAAGTACAATGGAAGTCTAATGGAATTGGGAAGTCCAATGGACATAAAGTCTGGTTGTCTCTCTTCTGTGATGCTAACAACCATTGGTACTTATTGGCTAGATCTATTAATTTATTAGGAGTTGGAAAATGGTGGTATTTCTAATACTTTATTCCTTCTTTATTTATTAGCTAGAATCTTTCCAAAAAAAGAACCTCCTTCTATGAACTCTTGGTTACTCTGCAGTTTATGATTTGTATGGGAAAGGCAGAATAAATGTTTAATTCTTTCCTTTTTATTTCAAGACAGGGTCTTGCTCTGTCACCCATTCTGGAGTACAGTGGTGGTCACAGTTCATTTCAGCCTCAACCTCCCAGGCTCAAGTGATCCTCTCACCTCAACCTCCAGAGTAGCTGGGACCACAGGCGTGCCACCACCTCTGGCTAAGTTTAAAACTTTTTATGGAGACAGGGTCTTGCTATATTGCCCAGTCTGGTCTCAAACTTCTGGGCTCAAGTGATCCCCCTGCCTCAGCCTCCCAAAGTGTAGGAGATTACATGGATAAGCTACCACACCCAGCCAATTCTTGCCTTTAATTTTCAAAATAATGTATTGGTTCTCCAGCGTCATGCAAAGGTGATCAATTTGGTGTTTTAATATCACTGCAAATTCATTAATATGAGCCTATTTAATGAGTTTCCATTGTTTTCAGTTAATTATCTTCACTGATGTTCAAATTATCCCATTTTTGGCTAGTAGGAGCCCCTTCTTGAGCATTCATGACCTGGCCTATGGTCTTTTGTAGCTTGTTTCCTGGTGTGACAAGATGTCCCAGACTATCTTGTATATTTTGTGCCCCACACTCATTCTTCATGGAGCCCCTATTCCTTCTGGCAGGAAACAGTGTTTGGAGACCACAATCTGGGTATCAGGGATACTCTTGCTGTAGGGCAATCATCATTTCTGGGACTTTTCAGTGGACAGAGTTAGGAAGTGGTGTGGTTTTTTTTTGTTGTTGTTGTTGTTTTGAGATGGAGTCTTGCTCTGTCACCTAGGCTGGAGTGCAGTGGTGCAATCTCGGTTCACTGCAGCCTTTGCCTCTTGGGTTCAAGTGACTCTCCTGCCTCAGCCTCCTGAGTAGCTGGGACTACAGGCACTCACCACCACACCCAGCTAAATATTTCTATCTTTAGTAGAGATGGGGTTTAGCCATGTTGGCCAGGCTGGTCTCGAACTCCCGACTTCAGGTGATCGCCTGCCTTGGCCTCCCAGAGTGTTGGGATTACAGGTGTGAGCCACCGCGCCCAGCCAGGAAGTGGTGTTTTTTTGGTTTTTTTTTTTTTTGGAGACTGAGTCTTGCTCTGTCACCCAGGCTGAAGTGCAGTGGTGCAATCTCAGCTCAATGAAACCTCTACCTCCTGGATTCAAGTGATTCTCCTGCCTCAGCCTCCCAAGTAGCTGGGACTACAGGCATGCATCACCACGCCCGGCTAATTTTTGTATTTTTAGTAGAGATGAGGTTTCTCCATGTTGGCCAGGATAGGAAGTGGTGTTTTTTTTAAAGGATAAAATACAACTTTAGTTTATACTAACACTTACATTAATAATTCAGATACAGGACTACAGCACTTTTGATTAGCTACACTCATTCTTTTGTCTGTGTTTTCTTTCTCCTACCAATTCCATTTCTCAATGATGCTAACATAAATACTTCTTTGCTTTATCTTGCAACACACTCAATAATTTCAGAATAACAATAGCAACACCACCATAAATAGTATCATTATTAAACAGTTAGAGATGTATTTGCTGTGTTTCATCTAAAGCATATTTTCAAATCAACTGAAATTCCTACTGCATGGTTATGCCACCAACCGGATACAGTTTAATTTTGCTTTCAGTTTGTGGAGACTGCTTTTTGGAACCTTAGTTTTGTTCTATAATTATGTAAAATATTTACATGGCTTCAAAGTCAATTCTACAAAGAAATTCATATTCAAAGAAGCCTCTTTTTTTTTTTTTTTTCTTTTTTGAGACAGAGTCTTGCTCTGCCACCCAGGCTGGAATACAGTGGCACCATCTTGGCTCACTGCAACCTCTGCTTCCCGGGTTCAAACAATTCTCCTGCCTCAGCTTCCTGAGTAGCTGGGATTACAGGCATGTTCCACTACAGCCCAGCTAATTTTTTTATTTTTATTTTTTAGTAGAGATGGGGTTTTGCCATATTTGCCAGGCTGGTCTCAAGCTCCAGGCCTCAAATGATCCACCCACCTTGGCCTCCCAAAGTGCTGAGATTACAGGTGTGAGCCACCGCTCCCAGCCTCCAAAGAAGCCGAACCTCTATTCTTTTCCCTTCTAGTCTGTTCCCTCCATTCCTCCATTGGTAATCAATTTTTAATCTTACAGGTTTTCCTCTCCTAGATAAACAAATCATGTTATACCAGTGATCCTCAAACTTGAGTATCAGAATTACCTGGAGGGACTGTTAAAACATAGATTGCTGGGTTACTGATGTAGTAGGTCTTAGAGTAGGGCCTAGGAATCTGCATTTCTAACGAGTTCCCAAGTGACGCTGATGCTGCAGGTCCAAGACCACACTTTGGGAACCACAGTGCTGTACACACACTTTTATCCACTCCCTCCCCAGAGGAGTATATATTCTTTTTTCTTTTGTTTTTGAGACGGAGTCTCACTCTGTCGCCCAGGCTTGGAGTGCAGTGGCACGATCTCGGCTCACTGCAACCTCCACCTCCTGGGTTCAAGTGATTCTCCCGCCTCAGCCTCCCAAGTAGCTGGGAATACAGGCGCCTGCCACCATGCCTGGCAATTTTTTTGTATTTTTAGTAGAGATGGGGTTTCATCACGTTGGTCAAGCTGATCTTGAACTCCTGATCTCAGGTAATCTGCCCCCTTCGGCCTCCCAAAGTGCTGGGATTACACGCATGAGCCACCATGCCCGGCCGAGATATTCTTTACTGTTACTGCTTCACAGTACTTCATTACGTGGATATACTACAGTTGATTCAAACAGCTTCTTGTTTAGGGACATTTGGCTGTTTCTAGTCTTTTGCAGTAACAAACATTACTGCAAAGAACAGTATTATGCTTACATGAATTTCTGTTAAGTGTATCCTTGGAATAGATCTCTCGATGTAGGACTGGTGGGTGAAAGGGTGAATTCAGATGCTAGACACACAGCCCAATTCCTCTCCATAGGGGCTGTGCCATTTTCTTTTCCTACAGTTATGAGTGTCTGTTTCCCCATGGCCTTGCCAACATTTCAAGCATTGTACCAAATTTTCAAGCATGGTATTTAAAAAAGTCTAAATTAGTTGTCAACTTTTAAAAGTTGAAAGATATAAATATTTTGATTTTGGCCAGGCACGGTGGCTCACGCCTGTAATCCCAGCACTTTGGGAGGCCAAGGCAGGTGGATCACCTGAGGTCAGGAGTTCAAGACCAGCCTGACCAACATGGAGAAACCCCATCTCTACTAAAAAAATAAATACAAAATTAGCCGGGTGTGGTGGCACATGCCTGTAATCCCAGCTACTCGTGGGGGCGGAGGCAGGAGAATTGCTTGAACCTGGGAGGCGGAAGTTGTGGTGAGCCAAGATTGCACCACTGCACCCCAGCCTGGGTGACAAGAGCGAAACTCTGTATCAAGAAGAAAAAAAAATATTTCAATTTCTAGCTTCTCCTGAAGAAGTATAAGACCCACCAGCCCTGGGCCTGCAGTTTCACATGGCAATGACCATCCCCAGGAGACCAGGCAAACACCTCGACTGCTATAGACTCCACCTGGGCCCCTTTGTGCACTTGAGTTCACTTATTGGTTCTTGAAGCCAGCCCTGGCTCCATGGATGAAAATGCCAGAGTGACTTGCCCAAGGTCTGTGAGCAAGTTAATGTACCAAATGGGGACTTTTCTCTGATTGGCTCATACTTTTTGAGTTTCTTGCTTTTTCTTTCCTGCCTCTTGCTATACTCAACCTGGAATAGAACAATATCAAGTTGACTTTCCTTACAATTTTGGACCTGTAGGATCATTTGAAATACAAATTAGAAAACAATGGTTTCAATGAAATTAGGTTGACATTGCATAATATAGTGACTTACTCCTAGCCAGCTATCATAAGACCTCATGACTTCTGCACGATTGAATTTCTGTGCATTTTGTGATATCATGGCTCTATTCCTATTTTAAATTGGAGGGCTGTGATTTAAATCAGTTATATATCTTTAACTGGAATTAAATGCAAGTTTGCCCTTAGGTTTGTGAAGCTCTGTGGACCTTACAAATGATGGTTTCACATAAAAGTCAACAGCTCCTAGTTAGATACCATTAGTTATTAAATATGCCACCCCAAATCGGCTTAGAAGGATTTAAGGGAATGTGTTATACAAATATATATAAATCATAAGAAAAGATATTTCCTTCTAGTTCTTCAAATCTTTCAAATTGTAATCAGAGATGACATAGAAATGAGACATTTAATTATGAAAGAGCCAAAATATGATATAATCAGTGCTGACCAATCAAGCACCTAAGTCTCTCAAATATTTATTGAATAGGTAGCCACAGTAAAGCAATATGTATGATTTTAGGGTTTCTTCTGCCCCAGGGTCCTCCTCTCCCTCTCTGATTCCTGAGAAGTTTTCACTGGACACTACAAGAAAGACTTAATATGTAAACAGCATACGGGTAACTTTGACTTAAATTCACTCTAATCATATGACTATCCAATATCCACACTTCCTTGAGGATAATTTCAGTAAGTGGGTGGTACATGTGCATGCTTGTGTGTGTGCATGTGTGTGTGTGTATGCGTGTGTGTGTGCACACACACTCACTCCCTGGGCTCTAAAAGGAAGAAGGCACCAACAGAGAGAGAGCCACACAACGAGGGAGAGTAGGCAGCTAAGGGGAGGTTGAGGCTCTAAAGACAGACTTTGTCTCCCTCCTAAACGTTGCCCTGGGTCAGCCTTGCTGCCAGTCAAGATGAGAGGTGGATGTGAAGGTGGAGGTAAAGGCAGCAAAGTGAGCCATTCTAGGTGTTTCCAGAGACCTAAAACAGACAAATGTTTACTGGGAGAAGGTTTGGCCTGCCCAGCACGAAACTTTAATTTCTGTCCTTCAGGAGAACTGTGGGTTCATTCTTCCATGAGCATCAGGTAAAAAGCAACCATGTTCTCCATCTGTCGATAAGGACTTCTGTAACCTACACATACCACGACAGTAAGCAAGGTCAAAGATGAATCTCTGTGCAGGCCCCAGTGGTTCAGATAAAAGCAGAAGTCAACTGTCAGCTTCACCTCTTTCATTAACGGCCTCCCAATTAAAGCAATTTTCCATTCCTCCCTAGAGTTGAACAGCTGGTTGTGTTTCAGAAGACGTAACATCTTCTAAATGTCAGGCTGCTGAGTGAAAGGCAGGCAGTGCCTGAGCCCAGCACTCCCTCAGGATTCCCTGTTTCCATGCGAAAGTGCAGAGAGCTCAAGTCAGTCTTCTAATTAAACTTGGCAATATTACAATGAAAAGGAAGATTTGGGAGTTGGCAACGTGGCACATAAACAAACTTTTATGTGAATAATTAAGCGAGAGCTAAGCATACGCTGGAACATCTTTAATCAACTTGTGATTACAGTTACCAGTAAAAGCCCAAACGTTTCCGAAAGCTTCTACGTTGTTTATGTGCTGTGGTTATTCTAACATATCTCCTTTGATATACCCAGCATATCTTTTTAGCCATTTTGCCTTCTTTCATTTTTCTTCTTTTTTTCAAATCCCTGCTCAATTTTGACACAGGCAACTTGTGAAAAGGATTGTATGTGTAAGCTTACACACAGGTAAACGTGTGTGCACACTTTACATGTGAACACACACACACAAAGTCAGGAGAGCCCATGGATTGTGCCTTTACATATAAGCCCATGGATTGTGCCTTTAAGGAACTTTGCTCCAATAAAACCCAGGGTGTTGTGTTTGGAAGCCATCAGGATGCATCTGCCACCATCAGAAATGACCCTGTGGAACAGTCCAGAGCCAGGTCAGACTGGAGCGACATCTCCCAGTTCACACCGGACTCCGCGTGTGCTAATTCCCAGTGGGTCTCAAAGCGCCATCATGAACTTTTATTAAACCTTCGTGCATTTCAAACTACAAATGCAGAAACCACATGAAAGTTTGCTGCAAAACAATTTCTGCTAAAGGCTTTCCAAACAAAAGCGGTTGAATGTTTAAGAGAATTTAAACAAGACAGAAATCTCTATATACTAGGCAGCATGCTGAGAAAGCAATGTAGGAAAGGCCACATTGTAGGAAAGGGTAGGTTTCAGAATTCCATCACCTATTCCACTTCGGAGCACGAGCTCACTGTCATTTAAGCTTTGAAAGTCAAATCCTTTCCTTGTATTTTTCGAAACCACTGATGCAGCTTAAGAAAACAGTGGAAGAGTACATTTTTAAAATGTAGGAGATTAATTCTGCTTCTCTCTATCCCTCAAAAGAAAGATAATTATAGAGACTAGGCTAGTGCCACATATATTATACGTAAAATATTTAGATTCTCTTGGACTTTCACTAAAACTAAACTTTCACTAAACTAAACCAGTTCAGTGGTATTTTATATTTTTCTAACATTCATCTTCTTTTTTTTTTTTTTTTTTTTTGAGACAGAGTCTCACTCTTGTCACCCAGGCTGGAGTGCAATGGCGTTATCTTGGCTCCCACTGCAACCTCCGCCTCCTGGGCTCAAGTGATTCTCCTGCCTCAGCCACCCTAGTAGCTGGGATTACAGGCACACCACCACGCCTGGCTAATTTTTGTGTTTTTAGTAGAGACGGGGTTTCACCATGTTGGCCAGGCTGGTCTCAAACTCCTGACCTCAGATGATCCACTCACCTCGGCTTCCCAAAGTGCTGGGATTATAGGTGTGAGCCACCATGCCCGGCCCATTTTTCTAACATTCTTCTACTCCGGACTCTCCCCTCCCAAGCTTTAAGTTTTTCCCAGCAAAGAGTAACATTATTCAGTTACTGTACAAGTTCTAGAACAACTACTAGATTAGCATCTCCCTGGCTCCAGGAACAATACATTTTTGCTACTCAAACAAAGAAACCAGAGAAAGATTAGTGGCTAACTCTATCTGATATGAAACAAACCAGTCATTTTAACTTTAAAATGAAAAATTCTGTACTCTGTATCTGTCTCAGTTGGCCCAGAAGGATGAACCCTGCTTACCTTGGACACAAAACACTCTGCTATGGCCACAGGATCATTTTCACAGTTTTCCAAATCTTGCAGAAGTTCACTAATAAAAAAATAACAGCCAGGAAGTATTAGATTGTAGTCTTCTGGGTGAGTACATTTTGTATAATTTAAAAGTTTAAACATTTCCATGGCATTTACAAGGAATCATATAATTGGATAACTGAGGATCTGCTGTCATTGTATCCAAGGCTTAGGTAAGGGACTTGCCCAAGGTCATGGTGGAGCAGGGGATTAAACCCAGGTTGAACCCATAACTCTCCCACCAGAGCTAAGCCCTGCCTATCTTTAAGTTTTGCAGACGTTTGTCATCATCTACTTGAATGCTCACCCATGCTCATTCAGACATCAAATAGCTGCCTAGGTACCAGGTACAGTGTACCTGTACTAGGAACACATCAGTGAGCAAAGTAAGACATGGGCTCTCGGAGGTCCCCAACCTTTTTGGCACCAGGGATCAGTTTCGTGGAAGACAACTTTTCCACAGACTGGATTGTGGGGATGGTTTTGGGATGACTCAAGTGCATTACACTTACCATTAGATTCTCATAACCTAGATCCCACGCATGCACAGTTCACAATAGGGTGTGTGCTCCTATGAGAATCTAATGCTGCCACTGATCTGACAGGAGGTGGAGCTCAGCTTCACTTGCTCTCACCTCCTGCTCTGCAGACCAGTTCCTAACAGGTCACAAACTGGTATTGTCTGTGACCTGGGGGTTGGGGACTCCATGGCTCTGGTCTTATGGAGCTTCCAATCCATTGGAAGAGTCAAGCATTCAATGAAAAATCACACTAATGAATACAAAATTATAATAGAGATAGTGCTTTAAAGGAGAGATATGCTGGGAAGGGAAATATCTTTCCTCAAATGTAAATTCATGTTATTTTTTTACTAGGAGTATCATTATTTTAAGTAACAGCATAATACTTCATTGTGTGACTGTACCATAATTGATTCAATGAATCTCACACTGTTGGATAAAATTCTACATATGGAATTGATGGGTCAAAGAACATTCTCAGTGTAAATGTTAACACATTTCTAAATTGCACTCCACATGAGTTATACTAATATACACCTTACTATGCTAAGTATTTATTTTAATGAGTCATATGCTATATATTTAATAAAAAGTGAAGTAGTTCTACAGGAATTATGATAAAAACAAGCAGTTTCTGGTTTTCAGATTCTCATTCTCGATGGGCACTGCCCAGAAGCATTTTTGATTCTTTAGGCTATTTCTGCTCTAAGAAGGTCCATGCTTCTAACCATGCTGATAATGTGTTTTCATTATTTTTCAACTTTAGGTATTATTTACTCTCAGTTTCCTCAAACTTACCCTTCTGTCTTCTCAACTAGTTCTAAGATGTCTCTCTCTCTCTTTTTTTTTTTTTTAATTTTAGAGACAGGGTCTCACTCTGTCAACCAGGCAGGTCTTCCTGGGCTCAAGTGATCTTTCTGAAGCGCTGGGTAGTGTGAGCAACCGTGGCCAGCCTTCTTAACTAGTTCTGTTATGTAATTTGATTCGATTAAATGTCAGAATTTACATCTTTAAGACTATGTAAGTATTATGCCCTGTTAGCCTCAGAGTATACTATGATTTCATTTCCTTTCTTAGAGAATCATGTTTTCCCTGGAGTTAAAATTGTTTCTCTTTTTTTTTCTTTTTTCAAGATAAAGACCATTAATTTATTAGCAAATTGTATGCCAGAAGTATCAATCTTGTCTCACTGTGTTCAAATATCAGATATTCTATGCTTTGCATTTCTTTCTTGGTGACCTCTGCTCCAACCTGGACAGGCTGCTGTCCAGGCCTGCTGGTTGTTTCTTCAACACCATCCTAATGATAGCCTTTGCTGGTCTTCTGTATTGCTATTTCCAATGTATTCCTTCCTTTGGGAGATTACAAAATCGAGCAATAGTTTCTGAGTAAGAGTAACAGAAGGTATGCTTTCTGAGACTCTTCCTGTTTCAAAAATGTTCTCCCTTCGCACTTGGCTAATGATGTCAGTAGATATAAAAGTCTTGGTTGGAAGTAATTTTCTCTGAGTACTCAGGGAGCTATTTGTCTACCTGTGATTTATAGATTCCAATGCTGCTATTGAGATTCCAGTATCATTCTGATGACCCCCAGCCCATTCTGAAAGCTTTTAAAGTTTTCTCTTAGTTGACATAATTACAAAATTTTGTGATAGTAGGCTTTGGGTGGGTCTTTTTCATGCACTGAGCAAATGTACAAATTTGGGAAATGATCTGGATAGCAGTTCTCCAAGTGTGGTCTAACGACCTCTGGGGTTCCTGAGACAAGACCCCTTCAGGAGGTCCACAAGGTTGGACCTCATAAAAATACTGAGACATTATGAAATTCTTAAACTTTCATTCTCTCATGAGAGTACAGTGAACTTTTCCAGAGGCTACATGACGTGTGATATCACAACAGATGGAAAGTTGAAGCAGATATGAGAATTCAGCTGTCTTCTAGTAAGTCAGGCAGTAACAAGATCTGTAAAAATGTAAAACAGCTCCAAAACAAACAAAAAAATTTAGTAGAAAAAGTAGTAAAATTATTTTTCTAGAAATATGTGGGCTTGTTCTTTTTTAGTATTAAATAAATAGACATCTTAACAGGTTCTCGGTTTTCATTTCTAATGTGGCAAACAAAACATAATAAAACATAAACAAAAAAGCTTTTTCAGTCCTTAGTAATTTTTAAGCATGTAAGAGATCCTGGACCAAAACACTTGAGAATCTCTGCTCCTGGCTGGATGTGGTGGCTCATGCCTATAATCCCAGCACTCTGGGAGGCCAAGGTGGGCAGATGACCTGAGGTCAGGAGTTCGGGACCAGCACGGCCAACACAGTGAAACCCCATCTCTACCAAAAATTCAAAAATTAGCTGGGTGTGGTGGCACACACCTGCAGTCCCAGCTACTCAGGAGGCTGAGGCAGGAGAATCACTTGAGCCTGGGAGGCAGAGATTGCAGTGAGCCGAGATTGCACCATTGCACTCCAGCCTGGGTGACAAAAGTGAGACTCCGTTAAAAAAAAAAAAAAAAGAAGAATCTCTGCTCGTGAATTATGTCTTTGATATTTCCTCCCTTGCAGTTTTAAAGTTCCTATTACTCACATATTGGATCTCCTGGTCTAATACGCTAATTTTCCTTACTCTTCCTCTTCTACTCTCTATCTTCCTGTTTTCATTCCTCCATTTTTTGTGGGGGGAGACCTCCCCTTTATTTCCCTTTTTTTTTTTTTTTTTAGTTTTTTTTCCCCATTTCTTTTATTGATTTTTTTGTTTTGTTTCAACCATCAGATTTTCAATTTCAAAGTTTTTTTTTAAACATGTGTTTTGGATGTTTCTTGCTTATGCTTTTGTTCTTATTTCATGCGTGCAAAATCTTCCCTTATTTCCAAACTCGCCATGATGATGATCATAATGATTTTGTACTTTTCTTTCCTGTTCTTTGTTTTCTGCTGAGCTCCCTTTTTGATGATTTTAGCTTCTGTCATTCATGTTAGATGCTCTTCTCAAATTCTGAGTATCTTCATTTGTCCTTTCATATTTGAAAATGAGCCACAACGTCAATCATGAACTCTTCGCAGGGATGGAGTTTATTGTGTGGTGTTCCTCATTCCAAGGCAGTGGTTCTGAAACTTTTGGCATCAGGACCTGTTTATACTCTTAAAAAATTTAGTGAGAAGAGTAGCATTATTTCCCCTTTTTGCAAATTTGTAATCTCTAACTTAATAGAACATAGCTGGATTGTCCTATCTGCTTCTGCATTCTATCTGTTGCAATCTGTTGTTTTGGTTGAAGTATATAGGAAAAAAATCCAGTCGCACACAGATATGTCACTGGAAAAGGAGGGAGTATTTTAATGGCATTTCCAATAAGTATGGATATCTTTCATAGCCCACTAACATCCTTCATATTACACTGAAACTCAGCAAGTGGTAATGGGTTGAAGGCCTGTTTGAGTCTGAAACCATATCAATGTACTATACTGGTACTTTATTTTATTTTATTATTTTTTTGAGACAGAGTCTCGCTCTGCTGCCCAAGCTGGAGTGCAATGACGTGATTTCGGCTCACTGTAACCTCTGCCTCCTGGGTTCAAGCGATTCTCCTACCTCAGCCTCCCACCACCATGCCCAGCTAACTTTTCTATTTTTAGTAGAGACAGGGTTTCACCATGTTGGCTGGGCTGGTCTTGAACTCCTGGCCTCAAGTGATGGGCCTGCCTCAGCCTCCCAAAGTGCTGGGATTACAGATGTGAGCCCCCACGCCTGGCTACTGTACCATTACTTTAAAATCCACTGGCCTATCTTGCACTTAGAAAGGATCTTTTAAGGCCGGGCATGGTGGTTCACACCTGTAATCCCAGCACTTTGGGAGGCCAAGGCGGGTGGATCACGAGGTCAGGAGATCGAGACCATCCTGGCTAACACAGCGAAACCCTGTCTCTACTGAAAATACAAAAAAAAAAAAATTAGCCGGGCGTGGTGGCAGGCACCTGTAGTCCCAGCTATTTGGGAGGCTGAGGCAGGAGAATGGCGTGAACCCGGGAGGTGGAGCTTGCAGTGAGCCGAGATCGGGCCACTGCACTCCAGCCTGGGTGACACAGTGAGACTCCATCTCAAAAAAAAAAAAGAAAAAGAAAAAGAAAGGATCTTTTAAAACAGTCCCAATTCCAAACATTCTTCTCCATATTCCTATAAAAGACTCCCTTTGAAAGATCAGAAAATATAGTTCTGATATTTATATCATTTTCTTTTATAGAAAGATGGGAGTGATTAAATTAACTCTTTTCCCGTTTAAAAAAAAAGTTCAGCTCTCTGCCAGCGCTCTTTTAATTTTACATAAACATGCTCTTTGAGGCTGAAACTAATCTTACTGATTTTCTTTTCTTTTCTTTTTTTTTTGGAGATGGAA
Organism: Homo sapiens; assembly: GCF_000001405.40. Lineage (NCBI taxonomy): Eukaryota > Metazoa > Chordata > Mammalia > Primates > Hominidae > Homo > Homo sapiens. Next base: position 150,781,495 of record NC_000006.12, on the reverse strand, counting down.
TCTCGCATCTTCTCCCAGGCTGGAGTGCAATGGCATGATCTCGGCTCACTGCAACCTCCGCTTCCTAGGTTCAAGCAATTCTCCTGCCTCAGCCTCCCCAGTAGCTGGGATTACAGGCATGTGCCACCACGTCTGGCTAATTTTTGTATTTTTAGTAGAGACGGGGTTTCACCCTGTTGGTCAGGCTGGTCTTGAACTCTTGACCTCAGGTGATCCACCTGCCTTGGCCTCCCAAAGTGCTGGGATTACAGGTGTGAGCCACCGTGCCCAGCCTAATCTGACTGATTTTCAATGTGAAAATAAAATATAAAAACTGTTCTTGGCCGGGCGCGGTGGCTTACACCTGTAATCCCAGCACTTTGGGAGGCCGAGGCAGGTGGATCACCTGAGGTCAGGAGTTCGAGACCAGCCTGACCAACAGGGTGACACCCCTTCTCTATTAAAAAATACAAAAATTAGCTGGGCGTGGTGGCGCATGCTTGTAATCCTAGCTACTCAGGAGGCTGAGGCAGGAGAATTGCTTGAACCCGGGAGGAAGAGGTTGCAGTGAGCTGAGATAGTGCCACTGCACTCCAGCCTGGGTGACAGAGTGAGACTCTGTCTCAGAAAAAACAAACAAACAAACAAAAAACCCCCTGCTTTTGGAGTAATCTCTAAACAGAACATCAGAATCATCTATTTCAGAAAAATTGGATTCATCAAATGAATCTTCGGCCAACAAGCATTCAAGAACGACGTTAACATCATGCGTAGGAATGCTATGTTTTCTAAGATTTGACATTTTCAGCAATTGAGAATTACTATATTTTGTAAATGGAAATACCACTACTAAAAACAGAATGCTATAAAGAGAATGATGTCTTTTGTTTTTAAAGTCGATATACTAGAGTGATGTGAAAATAATAATAAAAGTGAGATATGTCATGGTAAAGTTATCTCGGGGTAAATGCTACACCTGTGAGAGCCACTGTCCAGTATTCTCACGGAAAAAAGGAAGAGTTTAAGGAGAGTCGAAATCACATCATTCTGACCTGAATACCAGATGAGGTAAGAGAAAAGGTCTGAGGAAATGAAAGCCAGAGGGCCAGGTGCAGTGGCTCACGCCTGTAATCCCAACACTTTGGGAGGCCGACGTGGGCAGATCATGAGGTCAGGAGTTCAAGACCAGCCTGGCCAATATGGTGAAACCCTGTCTCTACTAAAAATACAAAAATTAGCCAGGTGTGGTGCTACTCGGGAGGTCGAGGCGGAAGAATCACTTGAACCCATGAGGTGGAGGTTGCAGTGAGCTGAGATCATGCCACTGCACTCCAGCCTGGGCAACAGAGCAAGACTCTGTCTCAAAAAAAAAAAAAAAATTAAAGAAAAGGAAAATAATAGCCAGAGAGAAACATTTCTGGGCCAGTGTTTTCCATTAGTAGAGGATGGGGTGCTCTGGATGTATTGTGTCCTGGTCTTTCAGTATAGGCCCTCTCTCTGAGCAGAGAAGAACTGTGAGCGGACTCCATCATGTTATTTCTTTCTTTTTTTTTTGAGACGGAGTCTCGCTCTGTCACCCAGGCTGGTGTGCAGTAGTGTGATCTCGGCTCACTGCAACCTCCACCTTCTGGGTTCAAGCAATTCTCCCTCAGCCTCCTGAGTAGCTGGGACTACAGGCACGTGTCACCATGCCTGACTAATTTTTTGTATTTTTAGTAGAGACAGGGTTTCACTGTGTTAGCCAGGATGGTCTTGATCTCCTGATCTCATGATCTGCCAGCCTCGGCCTCCCAAAGTGCTGGGAATACGGGCGTGAGCCACCACGCCCGGCCTTGTTATTTCTCATAGCACAACAGAAACACTTCTTGGCAGGCCAGGCATGGTGGCTCATGCCTGTAATCTTAGCACTTTAGGAGGCCGAGGCGGGCGGATCACCTGAGGTCAGGAGTTTGAGACCAACCTGACTAACATGGTGAAACCCTGTCTCCACTAAAAATACATAAATTAGCTGAGTGTGGTGGCAGGTGCCTGTAAGCCCAGCTACTCGGGAGACTGAGGCAGGAGAATCACGTGAACCCAAGAGGCAGAAGTTGCAGAGAGCTGAGATCGCGCCATTGCACTCCAGCCTAGGCGACAGAACGAGACTCTGTCTCAAAAAAAAAAAAAAAAAAACTTCTTGACAATATTTAACCCCCTGTGTTTTAAATTGTATGTTCGGATTGCCTCCAAGCTTTAGTTTCATCTCACGAGTGGACTTCCTGGTAGGAGGAAGTGTCTCGGGGACCCAGCCAGGCTCCAGGTGTACCTCATCTGTGAATGAATGCCTGGCACTCAAGAACCACAGAGCTGGGAGGGCACTCAGATACCTTCAGTTCCGATCCCTAATTTTAAGGTGAGGAAACCATGGCTTATTAAAGGATGTAGCTTACCTTAGGTCACACTGCCAATAATGCATGGCCACAGTCATGGTTAGATTCAGGCCTTCTGAATCCCAGTCCTGCACTCTCTTAGAAACACATCTATTGAAAGATTTGTTTGCTGTTCCACTCAAAGCTGAGGGCCAGACTCCACACTGTCATATCTTCAACATGGTACTGCCTACTAGACAAGTCTTGTTTGAGTTACCTGGTCAGCTTTCCTTTACAACCTTTTTCTAGAACAGGATAAACACAATAAAAATGGTACTAGTAAAGAGAAAGTAATGGCATTTCTCTCATCCTCTTGTCACTGGGGCTATCATCCCCATGAAGCTGTTCCTATCCACTTTGTCTGCTTGCTATTCAATAAGCAATTGCTAAAAGACTGGATGTCAGGCAAGAAGGTTACAGGGGTAAAGAAGGTGGACAAAGGCCCTGTCCCATGTGTTTATGATCTGACCAGGGGTGAAAAGTACTAATAAGTGTGAATAAACAACATAATATCACATTGTATTATGTGATATGAAGGAAATAGAGGGTAGTACGATAGAGAGCAACTGAGGCTGGGCGAGGGTGAAAGAAGGTTGGGACAGTCAGGGAAGGTTCTCTGAGGAGGTGATATTTGAGTGCAGGAAGTCTTGGAAGAGAAAGTCATTTAAGAATGTGATTGCAGGCTGGGTACAGTGGCTCATGCCTATAATACCAACACTTTGGGAGGCTGAGGCGGGCGGATCACCTGAGGCCAGGAGTTTGAGACCAACCTGGCCAACATGGTGAAGCCCCCTCTCTACTAAAAATACAAAAATTAGCCAGGCGTGATGGTGAGCGCCTGTAATTCCAGCTACTTGGGAGGTTGAGGAGGGAGGATTGCTTAAACCTGGGAGGCGGAGGATACACTGAGCCTAGATTGCATTACTGTACTCCAGCCTGGACAACAGAGTGAGACTCCGTCTCAAAAAAAAGAATGGAATTGCAAACCAGGATAGAATGAGCTTGGTGGGTTCTCCTGTGAGGTATACAAAGGAAGCCACAGTGGCTGGAATTTGGTGGGCAACAGAGAGTGTGGTGGGATAGAGGAAGACATCTCGCTATAAAAGATATGCAAACACGCAAAGTACAATGGGAGCACAGTCGGGGCCTGGAATGCAGTGCATCAGCCACTGAAGACACTCCTAAATACCAGACACGGGATGATTCTACAGTTACAGCCTCGGGGGTGGAGACTACGGATTTCTCATTGAATCAGTGTAACTAACGTGCAACAGCACATGTGCACCAGGATTGCATCAGTGTGGCTGATGTGCAACCGCACATGTGCACCAGGATTGCATCAGTGTGAGTAGTGTGCAACCACACGTGCACCAGGATTGCATCAGTGTAATGTGCAACCGCACATGTGCACCAGGACTGCATCAGTGTGAGTAATGTGCAACTGCACATGTGCACCAGGATTGCATCAGTGTGAGTAATGTGCAACCACACATGTGCACCAGGATTGCATCAGTGTGGCTGATGTGCAACCGCACATGTACACCAGGATTGCATCAGTGTGAGTAATGTGCAACCGCACATGTGCACCAGGATTGCATCAGTGTGAGTAATGTGCAACTGCACATGTGCACCAGGATTGCATCAGTGTGGCTGATGTGCAACCGCACATGTGCACCAGGATTGCATCAGTGTGAGTAATGTGCAACCACACATGTGCACCAGGATTGCATCAGTGTAATGTGCAACCGCACATGTGCACCAGGACTGCATCAGTGTGAGTAATGTGCAACTGCACATGTGCACCAGGATTGCATCAGTGTGGCTGATGTGCAACCGCACATGTGCACCAGGATTGCATTAGTGTTGAGTAATGTGCAACCACACATGTGCACCAGGATTGCATCAGTGTGGCTGATGTGCAACCGCACATGTACGCCAGGATTGCATCAGTGTGAGTAATGTGCAACTGCACATGTGCACCAGGATTGCATCAGTGTGACTGATGTGCAACCGCACATGTGCACCAGGATTGCATCAGTGTAATGTGCAACTGCACATGTGCACCAGGACTGCATCAGTGTGAGTAATGTGCAACTGCACATGTGCACCAGGATTGCCTCAGTGTGGCTGATGTGCAGCCGCACATGTGCACCAGGATTGCATCAGTGTGGCTGATGTGAAACCGCACATGTGCACCAGGATTGCATCAGTGTGAGTAATGTGCAACCACACATGTGCACCAGGATTGCATCAGTGTGGCTGATGTGCAACCGCACATGTACGCCAGGATTGCAACAGTGTGAGTAATGTGCAACCGCACATGTGCACCAGGATTGCATCAGTGTGAGTAATGTGCAACTGCACATGTGCACCAGGATTGCATCAGTGTGGCTGATGTGCAACCGCACATGTACGCCAGGATTGCATCAGTGTGAGTAATGTGCAACCACACGTGCACCAGGATTGCATCAGTGTAATGTGCAACCGCACATGTGCACCAGGACTGCATCAGTGTGAGTAATGTGCAACTGCACATGTGCACCAGGATTGCATCAGTGTGAGTAATGTGCAACCACACATGTGCACCAGGATTGCATCAGTGTGGCTGATGTGCAACTGCACATGTACGCCAGGATTGCATCAGTGTGAGTAATGTGCAACTGCACATGTGCACCAGGATTGCATCAGTGTGAGTAATGTGCAACTGCACATGTGCACCAGGATTGCATCAGTGTGGCTGATGTGCAACCGCACATGTACACTAGGAGTAAGAAATAACTCACAGATTGTGTTTTGTATTCTAAGCTAAATTAGAGTCATCTTGCCTTCAGGATTTGGATCTTTTCTCGTTTCCTTGAGTATTTTAAATATTTTCTTCTTTTTGAGTAGGACGGTTAAAACAATTATAAAATTTCCTACTTGAGCTCAGGTCCCTTAGTTGGGTGGGAAATGAGAGGAAACACTGTTCTCTTTTACAGAACATATCCCATGTGAAGCTTTTCTGACCCCTGATGCGAACTTTGAGGCAGGAATTGTATTATGACCTTGAACCTTCTATTGCTTTACACTGAGAGAGATTCGAGGATGCGGCCCCTCCCCTTCCGGTCTGAGCAGCACTTCCCTTTCCCGTTGCCTAATCAGCTGGCATTTTAACCCACTGCATCCACAGAGACACATATGCATGGAAGAGAAATTACTCCAATAATTTCACTCATACTTTCCAGGCACTGGCCTGGAAAAGTCCAGTTGAAAAAAGCGTGGGTAAAAATATCTCTACCATTGTGCAGAAGTCAGACATTTTGGTGGTATGAAAATGCACTAAAAAAGAAAACGATTCCACCTTCCTTTGCCTTGCTGTTGTACGAATCCCATGATTTCACTACTTAAATTACATTGCAAGGAGAAGAAAAAGCGTGGCCCAAAGAATTTCTTTTGTCTTCAGACATGTGTTAGTTGCTCTGTAAAGTCCCCCTCAGACAAAATTAATTGCACATTCCTCAGCATTCACAAAGCATTCTGTTCCTTCCTTGATTATGTGGCTTATTGCCTCTGTTGTACAATGGTGTCATTCATCCTTACACTATTAGACTAGTCCAGGGTTTCATACAGAGTAATGACTCAACATAGGTATACTGAATAAAGAAAAGAGTTGAAGGAAAAAGGAAAGTTTTACTCTGATCTTCTGAGGGAAGGAGAGAGCTTAGATGATTTTAATCTCCTAAGAAACAATTGAATGTCTAAAATCAGACATTCAATATGGAGGAATGATCTTTATTTCCTCACTCTTCATTCTTAAAGAAAGGCTCAAATTACTGTTTAGGTAACGTTTCTGTATTCCAAGAGAGGGGTACTTTCTTTTTAAAACTTGGCATTTCTTTTTTGGTTTGCAGTAAAACACGCTGTTGGATTTTAGGGGGCTGGTTCAAATGAGGAAAGTGGTTTCTTTTGACTAACCCAGTTTCCTGACCTTGTGGTTGTTTATTCCAGACACCAAATCAGAGACTTAAATTTCTAGGTTATCATAGGGATTGTAAGAGAAAGAGATATTTGGGTATCAAAAAGAACACAAAAATAAAATTTCAATTGTATTCCAAAACATTTCATGATGGAAGATTTTGTGAAACAGCAATTTAAATCTAGTCATATACCAATACTGAACAAAGACAGGACAAGGAAAGAAATTATATACTATTGTCATTTATGAACATGTCTGAAAAAAAATTTTTTTTAATTTTAAAAAAGAATTTTTAAAAATTCTTTTAAAAATATAAATAAATTGGGATGGCACAGTGGCTCCCCCCTGTAATCCCAGCACTTTGGGAGGCTGAGGTGGGTGGATTAAGGAGTTCGTGACCAGCCTGGCCAACACAGTGAAACCCCGTCTCTACAAAAACACAAAAATCAGCTGGGCGTGGTGGCCTGTGCCTGTAGTCCCAGCTACTTGGGAGGCTGAGGCAGGAGAATCGCTTAACCCGGGAGATGGAGGCTGCAGTGACCCAAGATCGTGCCATTGCCCTCCAGCCTGAATGACAGAGTGAGACTGTGTCTCAAAAAAAAAAAAAAAAAAAAAAAAAAAATTCAAACTAATCAGTGCCTAAATAGACAAAACATTGTGACTGGGTAGGGTTTATTCTAGTAATGTTACATATGATTCAAATCAGGTCCCCTATTAATATTTACCACATTATGAATAGAAAGAGTAAAATCATATGCTAACTTTATTAAAGGCATACTAAGCAATGAATAAAACTCAATATTCACAATAAAATTTTAGCAAAAGAGGAAAAAAGTGTTTGTCTAAATCCATAGCAAACATCACACTTAAGGGTAAAACATTCCTGCTAATGCCAAAAAGAAGATAAGGACGCCAATGTCTAAACAATATTGTATAGGAAGACTTACCCAAAGCAATAAGACATGAAAAAGATAATAAAGGGTAGAAGAACTGTAAAAGATGACAAAAAAGCTTCCTCATTTTCAGACATCATTGTCTACACAGAAATCCAAGAGATCTATGAACCACTCTTAGAACAGGAAAGTTGAGAAAGTTTGTTACAGTATTGACATATAAAAATCAAAAGCATTGCTAGATGAGGATAATATCCAATTTAAACAATAGAGAAAATGTTCTAGTCCAAATAACATCAAAAGCTGTAAGTATCTAGGAATAAAGTTTTAAAAGTTACATGTATTTAAAAAAACATAAAAGTTACATGTATGAATCTGATGGAGAAATTAGAAAATATTAAAGGAAATTTTAAAAGCTTGCTTGAAGACATGTTTATGGATGGGATGACAGTAATGTAAAGATGTCAATTCTGTTGAAATTAATCTATAAAATTTAATGCAATTTCAATAAAAATCCCAATAGAGTAGTTCAAAGAAATGACAAATTAAAAAAAAAATTCCTTGACAGGGCAGAGTCAAGAAAATCTAAGCCAGTGTTGAAGAAGAGCAATGTATGTGGGCTTGATCATCAGAGGAGTGTGGTATGGGACAAGAATGGGTGGGCCAGTGAAAGAGAACACAGACCCACACATCCGTGTAAGTCTTGTTATTTTTATTTTTATTTTTTGAGACGGAGTCTCGCTTTGTCGCCGAGGCTGAAGTGCAGTGGCAACATTTTGGCTCACTGCAGCCTCTGCCTCCCGGGCTCAAGCAATTCTCCTGCCTCAGCCTCCTGAGTAGCTGGGATTACAGGCACTCGCCACCACGCCTGGCTAATTTTTGTACTTTTGATAGAGACAGGGTTTCACTGTATTAGCCAGGCGGGTCTCAAGCTCCTAACCTCAGGTGATCCACCTGCCTTGGCCTCCCAATGTGCGGGGATTACAGACGTGAGCCACTGCACCCAGCCGAGAGAAGTACTTTTCAAATCAGTGGCTAGCCATATGAAAATAAGAGTTTAGATCTCCTTACTATACACCATGCCTCCATCAATGTTAGGCACATTAAGGACAAATGTGAAAGACAAAATTTTAAGACTTTTAGAAAAAAATAGAGTATATTTATGACCTGAGATTGAAAGGACTTTTTAAAAAAACACAACACAAAACCTACGCACTATAAAAAGTATACTTAGTCAAACTTACACGTTATACAATTTATTTTCAAATAAACCATAATTAAAGTTAAAAGGCATGTCTCACGGTAGGAGATATTTACATCTCACATAATCTGCAAAGATCACTGGCCAGAATTCATCAAGAACTCCTATACAACAATAAGAAAAAGAAATATCCTAATAGAATGGGCAATGGATATGAGCCAGAAAACTGCAGAGGAAATCAAAATGGCCAATAAGAAAAGATGCTCAATCTTAACGCAATTGGCAAAATACAGAGATAGATCATCACCAATGGATAATATACACAGCAGTTAAATGAACTAGAGCTATAAATCCCAAAAACAATGTTGAGTGAAAATAACCTGTAAGCTGACACCATGTATGCCATGTTTGAAATAGGTGAAAGCATATGACTTATTTTTTGAGACAGGGTCTCACTCTGTTGCCCAGGCTGGAGAGCAGTGGTGCCATCATAGCTCACTGCAGTCTCAAACTCCTGGGCTCAAGCGATCCTCCTGTCTCAGTCTCTTGTGCAGTAGGACCACAGGCATGTGCCATCATGTCCTGCTAATTTTTTGATTTTTTGTAGAGATGGGATTTCGCCACGTTGCCCAGGCTGGTCTCAAACTCCTTGGCTCAAGCAGTCCTCCCACCTGGGCCTCCCACAGCATGTTACACATTTTAAATAAATACTTGTATATATAGTAATGGCAACAAAACCATGCTTGGGAAAGAAACAACAAGTTTTGGATGGCAGTTCCAGCACAGTTGTGTACTAAGCCAGGTTACACTGGCTTCCCTGAGCCAATTCTGCACATCTCTTCTTAATTCCATGTTCAGTGATGTTGTGTTAGTAACTTGAAATCTGCTGTGATGGGAGTGTTTATACCACAGAAATCAAAAAACATTATAAATTCCAGATCCTCCCTCCCCTTTCCCCATGCTGGAGAACTGGTTTACCAACACATCAGGGTGCCATTCTCCACAGAGCAGAATGTGACTGGGGAAGGGTATATAACTGGATTCAATATTGTTTATAATATCTTTATGCTTCAAACAAATGTTAAAGCAAATAAGACACAAAGAAAGGAGTAATATGACAAACTCCCATGAGCCACGCCTGACTCTTTGACAGAATGTCTTTCTGTGGTTTTCTGTATTTTGGAAATCTTTACTGAAAAAAGAAACCTAGTCAGTTGAATTTTTCAGGCCAGCATAATACCATTTCTTTATGCCCTCTTTAATTTTAGATTTAAGTCTTGCCTAGTTGGCCACAATACATTATTTTGAAAAACTTGGACCTGAACTAATAGGAGCTGAAAGTTATTATTTCAAGCCCCAACCACAGATTTGCCAGATAGGTGTATCTTTGAAATCGATACACCTATTGATTTGTTGAACCCGGGAGGCGGAGGTTGCAATGAGCCGAGACTGCGCCACTGCACTCCAGCCTGGGCGACACAGTGAAACTCTGCCTCAAAAGAAAAAAGAAAAAAGAAAAGAACAGAGATGTGATTCAGGAATGTAAATCTCAGTCATCTAACTTCTGCAGACGGGGGTCCACTGCAAAGATCTCTTCTTGCCAACTCGTTCGTTCGTTCATTCATTCATTCATTCATTCATTCAAGATGGAGTCTCACTCTGTTGCCCAGGCTGGAGTGCAGTGGCGCGATCTCGGCTCACTGCAACCTCCACCTCCCGGGTTCAAGTGATTCTCCTGCCTCAGCCTCCCAAGTAGCTGGGATTACAGGCATGTGCCACAACACCCAGCTAATTTTATTTGTATTTTTTAGTAGAGATAGGGTCTTGCCATGCTGGCCAGGCTGGTCTTGAACTCCTGACCTCAAGTGATCCACCCACTTCGGCCTCCCAAAGTGCTGGGATTACAGGTGTAAGCTACCATGCCCACCCTCATTCTTATTTTTCTTTAAATTAGGAGACACGTAAAGATTTAAACTCTAGCGATTAAGAGCCCCTCCTGGAGTAAGCCACAACTTCATGAACCAGAGAAGCAGGGCTCCACTCTGGCAGGAGGGCACGTGGCTGAATGCCTGGGGTTTGGAGTCAGAGAGGCTGAGATAATGCATATGAAATGAAAATGTATCTAAAGCTCTACGGCCTCTGGCATGGAGCAAGCACTCTATAAATATGCCCTACCATCAACTCACAGCCAAACCACAGAAGACCTAGGCCAGGGGCCTCCCAGGATCTAGCCCTCTTGCCTCTTTCTGGGTTACAGGACCATTAGTGGACTCTGGAAGGAGAAACTGTGCAGGGGCTCACAGGATTTTATCATCAGCGATTGCACAATGAGGGCTGGCTTTCACACCAGCACATTACTAATGAACATGTAGACTCTGGATTCTCTAATTCAGTTTCTATGCCCTTTCTCTATTTTCTTTTTCTTTCATTTTATCTAGACTGTGTATCTCAACCATGGCTGCACATTCCAAACACCTGAAGACCTTTGAAAAATTCTGATGTTCTGGCCCCACCTCGACCAACGAGTCAGAATTTCTGAAGGTAGGATCCAGCTTCCCAGGTGATTCCAGTGGGTAGCCCAGGTTGAGAAATACTGATGCAAAATACACAAACTGTTTTTCAAAGTCTGAGTCAAATGAAAAAAGTTCTGTTGTAACACTGACACTTCCTACATCCTAGGCTTTCAGAATTAAAGGATAAGCTATTTCAAGTCAAGGAACATTTCTCCCAGAGGTCAGGCTTGTGCTAGGTGTTGGGATTCAAGGATGGCAAAGGATATGTGAATCCTGCCCTCAAGGAGCTCACATTTACCAATTTTAGTAAGCCAAGATGGGTAGGACTGAGTTTGCATTTATAGCTGAGTCACAAAATGACAGGGCATTGCAGAATTTTATAATGGGATTTCACTATCGCAAAATCAAGAGCATCGTAGGCTTATATTTTGGTACTTCCTCTGTGCCGGCACTTTAGGTTTATCAGTTCACGGGAGCTTCACTGTAACCATATGAGGGAGATTTTCCTATTATTTCCATTCTTTCCTTCAATACAAGTTTGGATGCCTCCTATGGGCCTGACACCATTTTAGACATATAGACAATAACAAAACAGACTCCTGTCCTTGTGGAGCAAATGTTTTGTGAGTCAGGGTGGAGAGGAAAGGAACAACAGGCATAATATAAAAGTCGATCATATAGTATGTTAAAAATTGACGAGTGCCATGAGAAAAAGGAAAAGTGGAGGAGGTAAGGTATGTGTGGATACTCAGGGAGCCTCAGCGAGAAGAAGGATTTGAGTAAAGACTTGACATACAGGGGTTAGTTAGTTTCATTCCATTTAAAGATTCACTCAACACATACAGGGGGCTTTGCTGGGATGCAAACTCATGTATGTTGAACAGCAGCTTCTGTGCTGTTAACCAGTCTACGAACTTATGTTTTTCTTTTTCTTTTTTCTTTCTTTTTTTTTTTTTTTTTTTGAGATGGAGTCTTGCTCTGTCACCCTGGCTGGACAGATTGCAGTGGTGCAGTCTTGGCTCACTCAACTTCCACCTCCTGGGTTCGAGCAATTCTCCTGTCTCAGCCTCCTGGGTAGCTGGGGTTACAGGTGTGCACCACCATACCTGGCTAATTTTTGTATTTTTAGTAGAGATGGGGTTTCACCATATTGGCCAGGCTGGTCTCGAACTCCTAACCTCAAGTGATCTGTCCACCTCGGCCTACCAAAGTGCTGGGATTACAGGTGTGAGCCACCATGTCTGGCCCTAACTTTACTTTCAAGAAGTATTAATATAATAACTTATTCATTCACTCTCTGTCTTGTTTACTATTTTAATTTTCTAGCCCAGTGTCTGCTACATACTTACATTTTTAATTAAACTGATTATTTAAAATTATCAATTCAATTGAATTAATATGTTATGACTTGAAGTATGTATTGTGTGTTTACTGTGTCCAGCCCACTCCCCAGGTAGAAGAAAAGTTATAGAAAATTCAGTGTAGCTGGGGATCCTGGAGACTAAGCAAGTACATATTCTTGGATGTCATGTTCATGTCATATTGTGGAAGAAAAGATGTCATTGCCCCACCAGGGCAAATAGGTTTCTTCTCTGAGCCAGGAGGATGGAGAGAGAGAGAATATGGAATACATGTGAGACTCATAAGGAAATAAGGATACTTCCAAGCAGAAAGCTTCTTGGCACAACAGCCCACAAAAATATATGAAGCTGAGTCAGGGGTTACAGGTAAAGTTTCTTAGGCTGCATTCATTTGAGAAATTTTCATAATGCTCGTATGTGAGAACAATCTTTTGAATATTAACTTACCTATTGAAGTGGTAGATATCCTGTATGTTTCCAAAAAGGGCTGATCTTTCTTCGGTCCCCAGGGGAAGTTTTGTTTGGTCCCTGATGCAGTCAAGGTAATCCTGTGAGATCAATGAGAAGGATGCCTTAAACACTCCTGTCCTTTCCAAGTCATCTTTAATTATGCCCAGTGCATCTTTCATATCTGTTTCAAGTAATTATTTTACTAGTGTGCTCATTAACTCTGAGAGTACACAGTTGCTCTCTTATTACTGGCCCTAATACTCACCTATTTATAGAACGAAGAGTTTTAGGAAAGAGAAAGAGTGTGGTATACATTCTGTCTACTCCCTAAATATATTAGAGCTTCCCCAGATGGGGCTACAATGACCATAGTGCCAATAACGTCAGTTTTGGTATAACCACATCGTCTGCTTTTTCTTTGACTGATTTGTATGATTAAAACATACTCTAAAATTCATATAGTGAAAAACCAGAAATAAAAATTCTGAACTGACAGAATTTGTTTTAAACATAACCTTAAGTCACAAAACTATCTGTTGTTAAAACTATAGAACCAAATTCTTTTTCAAATACCAACTTATTTTTTTAAGTGAAAAAAATAAGCATATAACTTACTATGCTGTGTTAATTAGCCACAGAAAACTCTCAATTGATTTTGTATGTTTTAACATAGAAACAGCTCCCAAACAGATCTGCTGTGGATTGAGACCCATAGTGGGTTAAACTGACATAGCTTAGAAGTTATTTGAACTGTTGAGAAAGAGGAAAGCTGCTTTCTGCCCCTTGTGTGCTAAAGAGTTCATAACTGAGTGTTCCCCTTTCCCTAGCAAGACTTGAAAAAGGATTCTGTAGGAGGCAGGAAAACAATACAGAAAAAAGTGAAAACAGCTGAAATAACGTAAAATAAAAAGTAAATACAGTCCTTGCCCTAGGCTGAACAATGAAGTGTGGCTCCCTCCCAAACGTAACATGGCGATCTGCAGCATTTAGAGGAAGTAACCCTGTGAAAAGCCAAGCAGACCATGAAAATCCCAGCACCGCAGCCGCATTCCAATGTCCAACAGCAAACACTGTCGTGTTTAGATGCAGCTAGAGAAAGGAGAAGCTGAAATGTAAGATCCATTAGATAATTGTTTCTTACGCCTTTTATTAATCCACCTTCATTCTCTCATGTTCTTTAGGTTCCTCCAATGCAAAATAGGCAAGGCTTTCATCATTAACTTTCTCAAGTGGCACATTTCACAGTTTGCATCAAATTAGGTTTCGTTCTAGTGCTTTCATACTAAAATCATTGTCATGCATAAACCAATGTACATAAACCTTTTTTCAAAACAAGCTTTGTGGTAACAACTTTTCTTCTTAAGAAAGTAGTCACCTCGGTAAGAAACTAGATTCAAAAGATTTAAAAGTAGTTGGCATTAAAATCCCCAAATAGCTTGGCCTATTCTCCTTACTGTTATAAATGGAACAATCATAAGAGCTTGAGTACCTGCATAGGACAGACAGGCCCAAAAAAGGCCCAAAAAAGAAAAACAAATGGAGGCCAGAATTGAAAGAATGGTACATTTTGAACAACACATAAAACCTACACTCCCTCAAAATAAAGAAATATATTCATTGATATTTCTGTTAAATTACACATGGTCCAAAAGGATGGACTAATACTCAATGTGCAGTGAATGTCTGTATTTAATAGCAGCTTAAGACTTTGCTGGACATTTTGGAGGGCATATTGTACACAAAATTAAGAAGGTAAAACAGAAGGATGTGGATGGGCATGAGCCACACACAGCATGGCAGGATGAGGGGCGGGGCAGGGGTGGAGGGTGCAAGCCACATTCACCTGGCTGAATTCAGAGGCTCTGCAGTGGGGCTTAAAGAGAGAATGAACAATCCTTTCTCTCACTTCAAGAGCGAAGCTTGCTCATTTGCAGAAACCTGATACTAAATTCTTCATGTGAGAGAAAGGTTGAGTTAAGGGGCTTAAAGAATTTCATCTGGGGTTACAGACAAAGAACCATGGCCAGCATCCAACAACTGATGGCCCATCGCCAGCTCAAAGAGTTTCAAAAACCTCAGAGTCCATGGCAGAGAAACTAAATTTTAAAAGTTGCTTGTTTTCAGAAATTATTGAGAAAACAGATCGTGAGGAGTCCACATTTTTGTAGACCACTCTAGAAAACAGATCAAAGTTGTATGGTCATAACTTGTTCCCCCCCACTGATCATAAGTACATCTTTTAAATCTAATACTTTAACCCTAGACTAGCTCCTGAAAACTAAGGCAGCATGCCCTGCATTCACAGCTGTAATCATCTGTAGCCAAATGAGTGGTTTGAAGCTCAGTGATAATAACAGTTCATTCTGCGCCCGAAATGACAGTGTAAGGACACCAACGAAATTTATTAGAGCCTGTCATGCTGCTTATTAATTTTATTGGCTTGATGTCAGCACCTATGGTTACCCTGCTGTTAACAACTATGAAGGATCAATTTAAAACTTTTGCACTGAAAACAATTATTCTCCAAGAGGATCAAAGAATTTACCCTAGTTTGGTGAGGGAAGGAGCAGAGAGTACACACAAAAAAGGGCTTTTCACCATTTGAATGATGTTCTGTGATTTAAAATTTCTCCTATTTACTTTCTAATCAGTTTATGTCCTTAAGATCTCTACCATTATAAGATTTGCACACGAGCAGCCTCCTCTAATTAACTTTTTCATTCCTTGTAATATGTGTTATTGAAAATATCCAAGTAGATATCCAAGTAGATCTGACTTGGTCCTATTCAAAGTATGGGAAGTGGGCAGGAGCCAATTTGCAAACTGTTTGCTGCTGATCTACAAGGAGATAAGTACAGACATCAAGTAAGCATGCAGAAACTAGTTTACAGAATGATTTAATATCAATCTAATAATAAATTTGTGCTTGTACTTTGTACATCTTATTCTTCTTCTAACTTTTCTAGTATTCTTTTTTAAATTGTATTTTACAAAAGAATCGGTGTGTGATAGATGGAAAGAAAACACACACACTTGCCCCTCACCATGGATAGTTTGAGAAGCTCTGATCTACATAACCATCCAGCAGGGACATGCTATAGAAAGAAGAACTGAGACTGAAGGCAAATTCAGCGCCCTTCAGAGCTTACCTTATTTCTATGAGATGCCCGGAAATAGGTTAGTTAATAGCTCCTGCACTTCCCTTCTTCTTCTGATATCACATTAAATTTTTTTTTTTCTTTGAGACAGAGTCTCACTCTGTCACCCAAGCTGGAGTGCAGTGGCACAATCTCGGCTCACTACGACCTCCACCTCCCAAGTTCAAGCGATTCTCCTGACTCAGCCCCCTCGAGTAGCTGAGATTGCAGGCACGTGCCATCATGCCTGGGTAATTTTTGTATTTTTAGCAGAGACGGGGTTTCACCATGTTGGCTAGGCTGGTCTCAAACTCCTGACCTCAGGTGATCCACTTGCCTTGGCCTCCCAAAATGCTGGGATTACAGATGTAAGCCACTGCACCTGGCCCTGAGAAATAATCTTTTTTCATTTCTCCAATCCCTCTACCCTTTCTAGAAAGTAGTCTGTTTACCCAAAAATTTGCCTTTCAAATTTCATGTATTACGTTGGGATGCCTCTGAAACTAGAATAACTTACATGTGTATAGTAATTTACAGTTTAAAAGCACATTAACATTCATTTATACAAGCCTTCCTCCCATCTTTTTATTTTGAGGATGTAATAATGTGTGCCAAGTGCTGTTTTACAGGATAAGAATTAAAAAAAAATGCATAAAACATGATCCCTTCCCCCAGCAAGCTCCCGGTATAGTTGAAGAGCCAAGTGTAAACAAATAAATAGAATAGTGTTTTGGCAGCAAGACTGATAGAGATTCAGTTCACAAGAGAGGGCAGGAAAGGCGGAAGTGGTCCGTTCCAGGGAGGGGAGAGGCTTCACAGGGAAGGTGAGGGTGGAGCTGAATCTTGAAGGATGGAGTTTCAACACAGCGAAAGGAGGAAGAAGACAACATCTAGGAGGCCAGAAATGGGTAAACAAAGGCACAGGGTAACAAAAAGGACACTAAAAGGAGTTGAAAAGGGCTAGATTTCAGGCCAGCCAGATGTCAGGGTTGAGACCAGCTGGACAGAGCAGGGCGTGCGCCTAAACACACAGACCCTTGAGGGTGGGGCTGCACTGCTAGATGAGGCTAAATGGGGGCCGGGACAGGTCATGCAGAATCTTCCACGCTACATAGCTGGTGGTAACCACTGAAGCGTGTGGTGAGATTAAAGATGGTTCCATCATCAATAAAGAAAACAGGGCCGGGTGCAGTGGCTCATGCCTGTAATCCCAATACTTTGGGAGGCAAACACAGGTGGATCATCTAGGGTCAGGAGTTCAAGACCAGCCTGGGCAACGTGGTGAAACCCCATCTCTACTAAAAATACAAAATTTAGCGGGGCATGGTGGCAGGCACCTGTTAATCTCAGCTACTCGGGAGGCTGAGGCAGGAGAATCGCTTGAACCCGGGAGGCAAAGGTTGCAATGAGCTGAGATTGCACCACTGCACTCCAGCCTGGGCAACAAGAGCTAAACTCTGTCTTAAAAAAAAAAAGAAAAAGAAAAAGAAAATAGGAGAGAAGCTATAAAGCTGCTGGGGAGGCTGGTTAGGTGATGCATGCAGCAGACAGGTATGTGCAGACCAACTCCTAACCCTGAGTCAGGTGGAGAGGAGAGGTATTTAATGGGATGTGGAGAATAATAGAAAGCATGGAGTCCAGGGTGACAGCATGGTTGAAGTGACTGATCAGCCATGTGGGCTTTCAGTGGAAGGAAGTCTGGGGCTCCTCTCTCTTCGTCACTTCCCACCTTAAGGAGGAAGCTGCTGTTTCACCAGCTCCCAGGAAGGATGCTTTCTCATCCACTGTGGCATGAGTGAGTTAAAGTCAATGAGTACATGGGGACCCATCTGTCTCCTCTTCCTTTTGGCTGTAGCATGGAGACAGCTGGGCTGCTCCCTCTGCAGAGAAGGACCCATTGGCTTCTCTCCTCTGATTTTCCTTCCTAGGTGGCTGGTGAGGTAAAACCAAGCCAGGGCCAGCTCTAGCAGGCCCCATCTGCAGAGGCCTGGGCAGGGCTGTTCTGAGGTTTGGTACCCCCTGGACTGGACTTCTTCAAGCCAAGATGAAAGGTTGAAAGGCATCTCTGGGGGTTTGTGGTGACAGGAGACAGGCCTACTTTTGGCCTAGTTAATCCAGATCGTAGATTTCCATGTGCTCAGGCTGGCTCATTTTGTTCTTGCTAGGGCCCAAGCTCTAAGAAAAAACATGGGTTTGATTTTCCAGCCATTGTCCTTTGCACAAAGAGTGCCCTTACAGAACATTGTGACTGATAAGATATTGGTTAAGGCCCGGGCACGGTGGCTCACACCTGTAATCCCCACACTTTGGGAGGCTGAGGCAGGTGGATCACCTGAAGTCAGGAGTTCCAGAACAGCCTGGCCCAGCATGGTGAAACTCCATCTCTACTAAAAATACAAAAATATTAGCCAAGTGTGGTGGTGGGCAGCTGTAATCCCAGCTACTTGGGAGGCTGAGGCAGGGGAATTGCTTGAACCTGGGATGCGGAGGTTGCAGTGAGTTGAGATTGTGCCATTGCACTCCAGCCTGGGCAACAAGAACAAAACTCCGTCTCAAAAAAAAAAAAAAAAAAAAGAAGCTTTATCCCTCCTGTTGGTGCTCAAAGGAGAATGAGGGAGAACATGTAAAAGAAGTTCAGAGTTTGACCATTTAAGTGCTACAAGAATTATTTACAAAGTACTGTGAGAGTACAGAAGAACACACTGCAAATGAAAGAAGCCCTTTATCTTTCTTCCAAATAAGCCACTGAACAGGGTATAATAAAATGTCCTGCTGTAGCCTATAGATAAAAGTATCAGAAGTCCAATCTTAAGTGAATCTCTTTTCTCTTCTTTCTCTGTGAACACCTAGGGAGGAGGAAGTTACAGCCAAAGAAACAGGATCTGGGGAATGGTGGTCTCCGGCCACTGCATTAGGCTGGATACAAAAGCTCTTACTATGGAGATAGAGTTTTCCCTGGGTCCATACAGTCTAGACCCCACACCACAGAGAAATGTACTGAAAATCCAATGTAGAAGGAATGGGACACAATCTTTCTGGCAATAGCTTTGGGCAGGGGGAAGGAAGGAGAAGAAAGGGAAGAAAGAAAAAGAGAGGGTTGGGCCGGGCACAGTGGCTCATGCCTGTAATCCCAGTACTTTCTGAGGCCGAGGCAGGCAGGTTATCAGAGGTCAGCAGCTCGAAACCAGCCTGGCCAACATGGCGAAACCCCGTCTCTACTAAAAATACAAAAAAAAAAAAAATTAGCCGGGCTTGGTGGCGGGCACCTGTAATCCCAGCTACTTGGGAAGCTGAGGCAGGAGAATCGCTTGAACCCGGGAGGCAGAGGTTGAAGTGAGCTGAGATTGCGCCACTGCACTCCAGCCTGGGCAACAGAGTGAGACTCAAAAAAAAAAAAGAAAAAGAGAGAAAGAAAGGGGAAGACAAAGGGGGAAGAAAGATATGACAGAGGCTGATCTTACTGGTAATGTGATGTGTGGAACTCTGTTAACGGCTCTGAGATGCCTGAGTAAAAGAATAAAATATCGGGTGGTTTCAGCCTCATTTACCAACTATAATACTTGCAGTACATAAACCATTGGTAAAAAATGTCAGGAATGGCCTTCTTGTTAAGCTGTGACAGATGATACATGCGCCTGTTCAGTCCCCTCTATTGTTTTGCTACCTCCTCCTGAAAGGGGGAGAGCTGTGAGCTTTCTCATAGTGAGGAGATGGGCCAGCTGGGCCTAGGAAGGGGCAGGAGGTGGCAGCTCTTCCCAGAAAAAGAAACTTGGAACAGGAATTCTGTTAAAAATAGAAATGATGAGTAGAAAGAGAAATACATCTTTGCTTGAAGACAATTAGGAATATTTGTTTGGTTTTCCCTTAAAGACTTTAAGCAAAAACACATCTATGAACAAGAAATTAAGAAATAGAATTAGTATTAATATGTTAAAGTTCTTAAAGCAACAGGACGCCCATCTTTTCCTACACTTCTGACAATCATTACCGAAATCAATTGTCTTAGGCCAGGTGTGGTGGCTCACCCCTGCATCCCAGCACTTTGGGAGGCCGAGACAGGTGGATCACCTGAGGTCAGGAGTTCGAGACCAGCCTGAAACCCCGTCTCTACAAAAATACAAAAATTAGCTGGGTGTGGTGGCACAGGCCTGTAATATCAGCTACTCGAGAGGCTGAGGCAGGACAATCGCTTGAACCTGGGAGGTGGAGGTTGTAGTGAGCCGAGATCGCACCACTGCACTCCAGCCTGGGTGGATCACAAGGTCAAGTAATCGAGACCATCCTGGCTGACACGGTGAAACCTCGTCTCTACTAAACATACAAAAATTTGCTGGGCATGGTGGCGCATCCCTGTAGTCCCAGCTACTTGGGAGGCCGAGGCAGGAGAATCGCTTGAACCCAGGAGGTGGAGGTTGCAGTGAGCCATGATTGTGCCACTGCACTCCAGCCTGGGCAATAGAGTGAGACTTTGTCTCAAAAAAAAAAAAAAAAAAAAAAAAGAAAAAAAGAAAGAAATCAATTGTTTTCATTTACTTCACAGTGATGTCATTTATTGACTTCATGTGGATGTGTATAAATGTACTGAAACCTAAAAAAGTTATAATAATGGAAAAGCAGTTTGGTATAAACATAACACTAAAATCAGTTCCTTATATTACCTTTCGGTATAACAATTAGAAAAGTCCTTATAAGAGGCCTTTTTACAATAATAACGTAGCAGAAAAACTTAATTTTGTTGCCTTGTTAAATATTTATTTTCGAAATTGCAGTTTCCAAATTACATTGACAACGTTCTCATATGCCAAAGTGCTTCTAAAACTGACAGAGGTAGACAGTTGGCCATGATGAAGTCCTGTTGCATACTGAAATATCTTTCCAGACCTATTTGCAACCTCCCATTACTGTTTTTTCTATAGTGTAAATCCTATCATTATTTCTAGCTACCAAAAAAAAAAAAAAAAAAGCAAAGCATTTCTGAAATAATCTATGTGCTGTTGAATGCATGTAAATACAAAGTCTTCGAAGACTATGTATTTTAAAGTCTTCAAAACGGGCCACCACCGTGTTTACCAGAATCCCCTGGAGTAAAGCTCAGTATGAGGCTGCTGTGGGCATTCACTAGATAGAAATTTGAAGCAAGTTTATTAACCACTCCTTTGAGAATGATCCCTCCAGTTGACTTCCTTTCCTACAACTTTGTCTTCCTTGTCATCAGGTTAACTTTACACGCTTTTTATTTCTTTTTTAAACTACCTTTTTACTCTCCAGGTCCCAGGCCAGGTAAGGAAGCAGACAGACACAATTAAATGTGGCTATAATCCTTAAAGTGGAAAATGGGAATGGCTGGTGAGGTGGTGGAGGAATGCAATGTCTTGGCAACACTTGACGCATCTGAAAATAAGAAACTGATTCATCTTCATTATAATCAGAGGACTACTGGTGTAATTTGAAACATGGTGATTAAGGAAAATTAAGTAAAGCCCAAAGGGTTTTTAATATGGGGAAAAAAATCAGTAAAATAAATGTACATTATTACATAATCTGAATTTTAACTCCTCACTGCTATTTATCATCATTATTGGTTTCTCTTTTTTCTTTATTTTTGTTTAGAGACTGGCTCTGTCATCCAGGTGAGAATGCAGTGGCTTGATCACAGCTCACTGCAACCTGGAAATCCTGCCTTAAGCAATCTCCCGCCTCAGCCTTCCCAGTAGCTGGGGTTATAGGCTCACACCACCACACTGGGCTAACTTTTCTATTTTTTTGTAAAGATAGGGTCTCACTATGTTGCCCAGGAGACTCCTGACCTCAAGTGATCCTCCCACCTCAGCCTCCCAAAGTGCTGGGCTTATAGGCATAAGCTACCACACCCGGCAATCATCATTGTTGTTATTTTAAAGTTTATTGCTAAGCACTGAGCTGTCTGCTTTATATGCATTCTCTCATTTCATCTTCACCGCAACCCTAGGAGACGGGTCCCACTCATCCCATTTTCCCGGAAGCTGAGAAAGGCTCCATCACTCCCCTGAGGTCACACAGAGAGTAAATGCCTCAAGCCATGCTCAAACCAGGATCTGCTGACAATAGCCTGGGCACTGAAACCCTACAGGGTCACTTCAAAGGTTTTATACCTTAACACAGTATATTTAAACAGGAGGAGGGGTTTGCTGATGATTAATTTTGAGAGTTAAAGGTAATTTTTATCAGGTGTCAGGTAGGAGCCAACCAAAAACAGCCACCCTGATTGACTAGGCACCTCCCACCTGCCAAGATCATCACAGGCTATATCTGAATTAGGATCAGTCCCATTCACATGCGGTACCCACTGCCTTCATGTTTTCATATGTATACATCCCATGGCATGTTTTCCTTCAGCCAAGCACACCAGCTTTCAACCATCTGCCACGTTCAAGACTGGCTCATGAGTTCTCGTCCTTCCTTCTCACTAATGCATGCCTTTACACTCCTTTAAGACATCCCATTTCTTGCCAGCCACCACACGGTGGGCCACTTGATCCCTCTTTATGGACAAGTCTCTATATACCTCGTCCCACAGAAACACACTCCTTCCCCAAACCAGTCACAGGGAGTCAGGGCAGACGCATTCGATCAGCTCTCTGAGCACCATGCTACTTTCAAGTAATATGAAATCATGACATGATGGGGAGCCTGGAAAGCAGGGTGTTTTAGCTCTAGAGAATTAGGAATCATTCTGAAATGAAGACAAATCAGAAATGAAGAGAAAGATGGAAGCTCTGAAGAGAGCCTTCAAAGGAAAATGCTCACGTATTGAAATGGAAACATACAAAGAGGTTCAGGAGCTGTGTAGAAGAGCATCCGTATCACAGACAACATATGAAAAAAAGCTCAACACCACTGATCATTAGAGAAATGCAAATCAAAACCACAATAAGATACCATCTCATGCTTAGTCAGAATGACGATTGTTAAAAAGTCAAGAAATGGCCAGGTGTGGTGGCTCACGCCTGTAATCCCAGCACTTTGGGAGGCCAAGGCAGGCAGATCACCTGAGGTCAGGAGTTTGAGACCAGCCTGACCAACATGGTGAAACCCCATCTCTACTAAAAATACAAGATTAGCCAGGCGTGGTGGTGTGTGCCTGTAATTCCAGCTACTCGGGAGGCTGAGGCAGGAGAATCACTTGAACCTGGAGGCAGAGGTTGCAGTGAGCCAAGATCGTGCCATTGCACTCCAACCTGGGCAACAAGAGTAAAACTCTGTCTCAAAAAAAAAAAAAAAAAGTCAAGAAACAGATGCTAGCAAGGTTGCAGAGAAAAAGGAACACTTTTCCACTGTTGGTGGGATAAATTAGTTTAACCATTGTAGTGATTCCTCAAAGATCTAGAGGCAGAAATAGCATTTGACCCAGCAATCCCATTACTGGCTATATACCCAAAGGAATATAAATCATTCTATTATAAAGATACATGTGTGCGTATGTTCAATGCAGCGCTATTCACAATAGCAAAGACATAGAATCAACCCAAATGCCCATCAATGATAGACTGGATAAAGAAAATGTGGTACGTATACACCATGGAACACTATACAGCCATAAAAAGGAATGAAATCATGGATGGAGCCGGAAGCTGTTATCCTCAGCAACCTAACTCAGGGACAGAAAACCAAACAGCAAATGTTCTCACTTGTAAGTGGGAGCTGAACAACACATGGACACAGGGAGGGGAACAACACACACTGGGGCCTGTTGGGAGGGGGTGAGGGAAGGGAGAGCATCAGGAAGAATAGCTAATGAATATTGGGCTTAATACCTGGGTGATGGGTTGATCTGCACAGCAAACCACCATGGGACATGTTTACCTACGTAATAAAACTGCACATCCCGCACATGTACCCCGGAACTTAAATGTTGAAGAAGAAGAAGAAAAAAAGAATCCCTATCACTATGGCTAGGTGATTGTGGCAGGTGTTCTAACACTTCACACAGGAGTGTGTGTAAGGAAGAAGCTTCTTAGAGTAACTTCTGACACACACATACACACACACACACACACATACTTGTGTGCACCACAGACAATCTGGGTTTTTATCAGGGCTGTTCTCACTTCATCCATGAGCTCTGCATGCCATTTTAATACACTGATGGCTTAAAAGCCTTCACCAAACATCAAAATGGCAATTGATTATTGCAGGAAAACATTTCCTGTTCAGAAATCAAGTAACAACCCACACTTCACCTGAGGACTCTTAATTCTAGTGAACAAGAAATTTTGAAATAAGGACACCAAATAATGGCCCATTAAAACATTTACAGCAGGTGGGGTGCGGTGGCTCACGCCTGTAATCCCAGCACTTTGGGAGGCCAAGGAGGGCAGATCACCTGAGGTCAAAGTTCGAGACCAGCCTGACCAACATGGTAAAACCCCGTCTCTACTAAAAATACAAAAACAAAATTGCTCGGCGTGGTAGTGGGCGCCTGTAATCCCAGCTACTCAGAAGGCTGAGACACGAGAATCGCTTGAACCTGGAAGGCAGAGGTTACAGTGAGCCACTGCACTCCAGCTTGGGTGACAGAGCGAGACTCCATCTTAAAACAAATAAACAAAAACAGGTACAGCTTTTCCACATACACATGATCAATTATCATATACTTTACTTAAACATGTGTTGGACAATAATTACCTATATGACTTATTTAATAAGTTGGAACACTTGCCCATCTAATTTTACTGAGACAGGAACAGTAGTATAGATTATCTCACAGCAACTGGTCTGCATACAGTACGTACTCAAACAGTGTTCATTTGGTGGATAACAAGGCCTTAAAGACAAAAGCCTTGACTTATTTGTGCTAAATGACTTGAAACTGTAACCCTCAATCAAAATCAAATTTCAGCCAGCCAAAAAAGGCAGGGGTTACCTGGACAATATTAACTGGAAAAGGCTGGAAGTCATTAGCTCAACTTCTCATCTCCTGAGTCACATAGATTGGTAATGCCCCTCAAAATCAAGCTATTTTACTTGAAAGTCGCGATGCAATGCAGTTGTATATATTAAAATAAAGAATCTACACAAGGACCGACCTCTTTATGGGCGGTTTGTCAAGGCAGATGAATGTGATTACACCCTGGCGACATTAGGTAATCTGCTGCTAAATATGGAAACTCATGGCTAAGTTATTCCGCTCATTGTATCAAAAACAATGAGGAGCCCTTAGGATATATCTGATTGTCTCGCTGACTATATTGCTGTTGATCTCATCACAGAAGAATCTTAACCAAAAGTTATGTATTGATCCAGAAACAGTCACAGGCTTGAGGATCTGCAGGGGAGCAGGCAGAGGCACCGTGCAGATGGAGCTGGAGGGTGTCTGCAAGGTGCGTGGGCCAAAGTGATGGGATGTTCCCCAGAAACTTGACTTTCTCAAAGAGCATGGGGCCAGGGGGTAAACACGAAGATGTCCTTCTGTCATACTGTCCAGGAGGCCTGGTCCTAATTCATGCCCCACAGGGTGAAAAAGGTGATGTGGGGAAAATTTTCTTCCCTCTTTAACCTAAGAGAGTGGACTCTTACGGACGAGGTTTCCATAAGTGATTTTTCAAGAGATATGAATTTCCACAGCAGCAATTTTATAATCTGAACAGAAGTGCCCTCTGCTTTTTCTTGTAGTAAATGCAGCTTCTATCTACCACAAGATGGAAAAAAATAAATTTTTTTAAATTAAAAATTAAATCTTTAATAAAAACATTAAATTTACTGTCCTGGGAAAGTAAATTTGCTTTCCCAGGACGGATTTATCTGAGGACAGGGTAAGGCACTGCCGGATGCAACATGAAGGCCTCAGCCGCAGGGCTGGCTCCCGATGTAGCGAGGTGGGAAACACATCGGCCTCAAGGTCAGGCAGTCTGGGTCTAGGACTCAGGCCCTGGGCGAGTTACTTCCTTGCTGAGGCTCCGTAGCTTCAGCGTGAAGCAGAAAGAATACAACCACCAGTGTCTCCTCATCATTCCAGGGGTTAAACTGCACACATGGTCCATTCAAGGCAGCTCAGCACACATGTGCAGGTGTTGGTGCCTGCTGTGTGGCCGTCTAGGTCCCAGGTTCCTTCCCAGAGCAGCAAGGTAGGTCAGATTGGAGCCTTTTTGGGTTCAAAAGTAAATGAACTCTATATGCTGATAAATCATAATAAAGAATTATCCCCCCACCATTCTCTGCCACTGGCAATACCAGTGCCGTAGGAAGGCTAATTTACTTAAGCAGCTTATTACTAACCATCAACGTTGGCAGAGAGTCTGAAGATTATTGTCAGGGGAGACCTGTGCATAAAAAGTCCTGGATGCCGGCCAGGCGCGGTGGCTCATGCCTATAGTCCTAGCACTTTGGGAGGCCTAGGCGGAAGGATTGTTTGAGGCCAGGAGTTCAAAGCCAGTCTGGGCAACAAAGTGAGACCTGTCTCCACAAAAAAATTAAAAAACTAGCCAGGCGTGGTGCCATGTATCTGTAGTCCCAGCTACTTGGGAAACTAGGGCGGGAGGGTTGCTTGAGCCCAGGAGATCAAGGCTGCAGCGAGGTATGATCACGCCACAGGACTACAGCCTGGGTAACAGAGCGAGATCCTATCTCAAAAAAACAAAAAGTCCTGATGCCGGCCAGGCACAGTGGCTCATGCCTGTAATCTCAGCACTTTGGGAGGCCAAGGCAGGTGGATCACCTGAGGTCGGGAGTTTGAGACTAGCCCGACCAGCACAGAGAAATCCTGTCTCTACTAATAATACAAAAAATTAGCCGGGTGTGGTGGTGCATGCCTGTAATCCCAGCTACATTGGAGGCTGAGGCAGGAGAACTGCTTGAACCCTGGAGGCAGAGGTTGCGGTGAGCCAAGATTGTGCCATTGCCCTCCAGCCTGGGCAATGACAGTGAAACTCGATCTCAAAAAAAAAAAAAAAAGAAAGAAAGTCCTAATGCCATCTAAAAGTTTCCAAGACCCTTGCCCTCTTGCTGTGACCACCCAAACAACAAATCCCGCCTCTCCTCTCCCACCTATATCTTTTTTGAAACTGACTTGTCCTCTCTCTCATCGCTGCCTTGACCTTGTTCTCATCTCTCACCTGGACTACTGCAAGGACATCCTAACCCAGCTCTCTACTGTGGGTCTGATTCCCCACAACTTTTCAAACCTATCTAACATGATTTTCTAAAACGCAAATTTGATGTCATGCCTCCTGGGTAAAATCCTTCAAGGACTCTTAAATCCCTCCCGACCTTCCTGGGCTCATCTTTGACCACTGTCTTGCTCCCCCTCAACTCCCTCACCTCTACCAACACAGGCACTCACTCACTGCTCTTTCAGGAATGTCCCTGTTCCCTGCCCTCTCATGTCGTTTTATTATTGTCTATTCTTTTCTCACTGCCAGTATTGGCTGTCCTGCTCATCACCACCTGGCTCATTCATCCTTCAAGATTCTTCCCAGGAATCCTCCTCTGACCCTTCCTGTCCCCTGTCTGGGTCAGGTATTCTAAGTCTTTAAGCACAGGGTCATCATCATGTAGTGCTATAAAAATATCTTTGTCATTCCTTCTCTCCCTGAAACTGGTATCAACAGTTAGTAGGCACTGTGCTTTAGTGTTCCCAGCACCTAATGAGTGTAGACTCTGCAACCTCATGGAGTGAATTCCCAGAAATGAGCAATGTGCAGAGCACAGGAAGGCAAGGGTTAACGGTGCCCCCGCTGCTCCCTCTCTAGCTAAGAGGCGAGGGCTGTACAGAATCTTGACCCAGCCCAACATTCCTCCCTTGCTCCCAGCCTTTGTCGCAGGGGCAGCATTTTTTTACAACACCACCTCTTGAAGATGACAAAGGTCCCTAAACTATGCATTTCGTTTTTAACTCTCTTCCCACCCACCTCACTCCCGCTTTGCACAAGAAACGCTTCTCTAATCAAAAGTAGATTAACTCTCACCCTTTTCTCTCTGTGCATTTGCATTTGGAACAGCATTTACGAGGCCATAAACAGACCCCTGGGTTGAGTAATTTATCCACTGCTTTATGGAAAATCAGACAAAAGCAGCAGTCTTTTCAGCAGTTGTGTATTTATGGTCGGCAGCTGCTGGGCGGCCAGCTCGGCAGGTCCCCTCCTTACGAGGCACCCACTTCGGGCTTTCTGAAAGGTTAAGGGCATCACCGTAAGCCCCATTATGAAACTGAAGGGACACTTGTAACATTTCTTGTGGATCCAAAGAGATAAAGGCTTTTTTCAAAAGAAAATATTTTAAAGTATAAAGGGATGGCTCCCCCTGCCTCTCCCAACACACACACACCCACCCCACAATGTCCTTCAGGGGTGATTCTGCCCCAGCGAGATCCTGCCATTTGAAACAGCAGACTCTCTCCATTTTTAAAGTGGTCTACTTTACGGGGGTGGGGGTGAGGGGTGTTGGTCATTAGGAATTAATTTATATTAGTTTAACAAAACAAAGAATCTTTCATAAAAATTTTATTTTTTTGAGACAGGCTCTGGCTCTGTTGCCCAGGCTAAAGTGCAGTGACATAATCACAGCTCACTGCAGCCTCCACCTCCCGGGCTCAAGCCATCCTCCCACCTCAGCCTCCCAAGTAGCTTGGACTACAGGAAGGCACCATCATGCCTAGCTAATTTTTGTATTTTTTTGTAGAGACAGGGTTTCGCCATGTTGCCGAGGCTGGCTTTTAACTCCTGAGCTCAAATGATCTGCCTGCCTCGGCCTCCCAAAGTGCTGGGATTACAGGCACGAGCCACTGTACCACGACTAAAATAAAGAATCTTAACACTCAGTTTTGCTTTGGGTTGGACGGAGGCTGGCAATTTCTCATCATGTCTGCATTATTTTCATAAAACCTCCTCCCCTTACAGAGTAAGGAGGATTCTTTGTTTTTATAAAGTGTCATCTTACCTCGGTTAAGGGATCAGTTATTGTACAGGAATCTTTCCTAAGTATTAAAAGGTAATTCTAATTAGTTAAATCCTGATGCAGGTTGCAACATGAATGAACCTTGGAAACATGCTGAGTGAAATGAGCCAGCTGCAAAAGGACAAATCCTGTAAGGTTTCACTTACATGAGGGATCCAGAGTGGGCAAATTCAGAGAGACAGAAAGTAGACTGGAGGTTGCCAGGAGCTGGGGAGAGGGGAATGGGGAGTCAGTGTTTAACAGGTACAGAGTTTCTGTGTTGGGATGATGAAAAAGTTCTGGAAATGGACAGTGGCCATAGTTGGGCAACATTGTGTATATACTTAATGCCACTGAATTATGTATGTAAAAATGGTTAAAATAAGTTTTAAGTTATGTATGTCTTCCCACAATGAAAAACCTTTACAAAGTTCATTATAATTAAAAACTTACTGTTTTATGAAGGCCAGCCAACAGACAATATATTTTATTTTATTTTTTTTTGAGACAGAGTCTCGCTCTGTCGCCCAGGCTAGAGTGCATTGGTGTGATCTTGGCTCACTGCAACCTCTGCCTCCCAGGTTCAAGTGATTCTCCTGTCTCAGCCTCCCGAGCAGCTGGGATTACTGGTGCCTTCCACCATGCCCGGCTTTCTGTATTTTTAGTAGAGACAGGGTTTCACCATGTCGGCTGGGCTAGTCTCGAACTCCTGATCTCAGGTGAATCAGCCACTTTGACCTCACAAAGTGCTGGGATTACGGGCGTGAGCCACCTCGCCCGGCCACTACAATATATTTGAGATACTACAGCAAACATTATACAAATTTCCCTTGCTATTTAGGCTCATCGGTAAGGATTTCAGTTTTGCTCTGGGCCATAATTCACAAGTAAAAACTACCAAGAGGATCAAGGTGAGTCCTCACCCTTCCAAATGGCCTTATATTAATTGGACTACTAAGGAGTTCTTTCCTCTGGCTCCTTGGTGCTGTCACATCCACCTCCTCCTACCCCCGTCCATTTGCCATGGGCTAAGAAACCAAATAATTAAGCTTATTTTAAACATGTAGGGTAAATAGGCTCTTAGTGAGAGCTCGGGGCCTCTCCCTGGGGAAAGACACAGGCCTCACTGTTGGGCATTTGAAATATCTATTTTGGCTGCTCAAAGGACTTACTTATTTCCTGGTTGCATTTTTGAGGGCTGAGGCTGGTGGAGATGCCATCGCTAGTCATCAGTAGACTTATGCTTCTTGAATTAGACTCATTTACAGAGGATGAAGCTGAGGTCAGAATGGTTATTTGTCCATGGGCATACAGCTGACTGTCAGCATGGGTCTGAAGCCCAGACCTGTGTGCTCTGTCCATTAAATTAACTCCAATTTGACTCAGCTCAGATCAAAATTCTGAAAAAAAAAAAAGTATTCATTCCACCATTGCAGCCCTCTATTACAGTGGAAATGAATTCCAACTACATGAAGACACGTCAGGTAAATTAAAATTGCAACAAAATATCTTTTTTATTTGTAAAGTTAAAATAATTTTCTGAAATACCTTAACATAGATTAGGAAGCATAACAATATTACAATACTTTAGAACGTACTAGAAATTATTGGTCTTGTCCAACTATTATATGAATATCTCTCATTTGAATGCTTACTATACCTAGCATTGTGCTCAACATTGTACACGGATGATCTAATTTTTGCAACAATCCTATTATTCCCATGTTACAGATGAAGACACTGACAAATTGAAAAGTTTAGTAACTTGTCCAGTCAAACAGGGAAATGGCTGGGCCAGGATCTGGATTCAGTTCTTGGAGATTTTAAAGTCTGTTTTCTGTCATTTTGTTACTTTCCATGGGGATCAGGAGGTAATTTGTGCCGCCTTTTTTTTTTTTTTTTTTTTTTTGAGATGGAGTCTCGCTCTGTCGCCCAGGCTGGAGTGCAGTGGCGGGATCTCGGCTCACTGCAAGCTCCGCCTCCCGGGTTCACGCCATTCTCCTGCCTCAGCCTCCCGAGTAGCTGGGACTACAGGCGCCCGCCACTACGCCCGGCTAATTTTTTTGTATTTTTAGTAGAGACGGGGTTTCACCGTTTTAGCCGGGATGGTCTCGATCTCCTGACCTCGTGATCCGCCCGCCTCGGCCTCCCAAAGTGCTGGGATTACAGGCGTGAGTGTGCCGCCTTTAAAAGTTTGTTTGCTTTATTAAAAAAACATTCCTGTTAGGGTACTAAATCTCAACACTGATCGTCTACTGGAATCTGCAGAACTTCAAGGAAAACGGACCCCGGCCCCAGAGACTGGGATTTCGCTAGCCCAGGGTGCAGCTTAGGTGGAGGGAATTGTACAAGCTCCCCAGGTGACTCCCATGTGCAACCTCGGCTTTAGAAAGATTCCTAGTTTTCAGCTGTTCCTCCTAACCAGATTTCTTAGGCAATAGCCTTTAGTCGCTTAAGTAATAGCCCCTCTAAACCGGTGTATGTAGGCTTCCTATCCTTGGTATTAATATAACTGATGCAGTTAATTGTGTATTTCTCACAAAAGACATTATAATATTTTCTTTATTCCTCCTTTTGAAGTAAAAATGTTCTTCTAGTAGATATTTTCTTTTTTTTTTGAGACAGAGTCTTGCTCTGTCACCCAGGCTGGAGTGCAGCGGCATGATCTCAGCTTACTGCAACCTCAGCCTCCTGGTTTCAAGCGATTCTCCTGCCTCAGCCTCCCAAGTAGCTGGGACTACAGGTACCTGCCACCATGCCCGGCTCATTTTTGTCTTTTTAGTAGAGACGGGGTTTCACTATGTTGGCCAGGCTGTTCTCGAACTCCTGACCTCGTGATCCACCCACCCTGGCCTCCCAAAGTGCTGGGATTACAGGCATGAGCCACCGCTCCCAGCCCTTTGGGTGCATTTTCTTACCAAAAGTAGTCCTTGAACATTCTAGATAAATCTGAATACAAGTAAATTTATGTATTTTATCAGTAGTCTTCTTTTCCTCATCCCTTTTCACATAGGACCTGAAACTTCAGAGCCAGCTCCTACTTTAGAACAGGAGGTGGCAAAACCAGGTCCCAGACTATCAACTGGTCCTTTAATTATCACATACAGATGAGCCTAGAAAGTCTCTGTGGTCTTACAGGATAGCGGGTGCCAATTTCTCACCCTCAGAAGGCTACCTATATTTCTGCTAGGGGAAAAAAGGGTAATGTCACAGATTGCTTTAGACTCATCTCAAAACATTACCAAGGAAGTGACCTTAATTGTTCCCCTAGCTCAGATTTCCCTCTGTCTCAAGGCTCTGGTTTTGTCTGAACCACGTGGCAGCTGGTCGTAGATGAAGTGGCCAGCTCTTCCCTTCACACCTGTCCACGCTGGATCTCACCCTGGTCAGTGGCTGAGATGTAGACAACTGGGCAATCAAGTATGTTTCCAGAAAATTTCATTGACAAGTATGTTTGAGGACCCGCCTTAACTGGCACGTAGGAGGCACTCAATAAAATGTTTCAGGTTTTTTCCAGTTGTCTCCAAATGAAACGGCTGGGAGGCAGGGCTAGGATGCATCCCGGCACTGCCAATATTTAGCTGCAGGATCTGGGGTGTGAGCAGCTATCAGCTGTTGAGTGTTTATGTTATGCCAGGTCGGTGCTAATCACTTCATGTGCATTAACTTACTGAATCCTCATACCATTTTAAAAGGAACACAACATCTCCCCCATTTTAAGATGAAGAAACTGCAGGTCATAGAAGGAATTATTCAACATCAAAGATAGGTGCAGTGGCTCACGCCTGTAATCCCAGCACTTCAGGAGGCCAAGGTGGGTGAAATCACTTGAGGTCAGGAGTTCCAGACCAGCTTGGCCAACATGGTGAAACCCTGTCTCTACTAAAAATACAAAAAAAATTAGCCGGGCATGGTGGGGGTGCGTCTGTAATCCCAGCTACTCGGGGAGGCTGAGGCAGGAGAATCACTTGAACTGGGGAGGTGGAGGTTGCAGTGAGCCGTGATCGTGGCACTGCACACTCCAGCCTAGGTGACAGAGCAAGACTCCGTCTCAAAAAAAAAAAAAAAAAAAAAGGTCAAAGGTAGTAAGTGAGAGCCAGGATTTGCTTCCATTTGGAGAAATCACTGGCATCTCTGGATCTCCATTTCCTTGTGTATAAAAATGACAGCAAATACTAGAAAATTTACTCAGCAAATATTTACGAATGGCCTATTAAGTGTCAGACAGTGCTGAGTGTGAGGAATATAAAACATATAAAATTTTATAAAATATCAAATAAAACACTCCTTACTCTTTCAGAATTTATGGTGAGATTTAACTGAGTTATTTCCAGTTCTAAAACTTGGTGTGGTTCTAGTAAATTGAAAATCCCATGCCATTGGAGGTAACCTAAGTGTGCATCAATGGATGAATGGATAAACGAAATGCAATCTACACACACAATGAAATATTACTCAGCCGTAAGAAGGAAAACAATGGACACTTGCTATCACATGAATGAACCTTGAAGATAATATGCTAAGTGAAGTAAGCTAGTCACAACAAGACAGATAGTTTGATTACACTTATATGGGATACCTCAATTAGTCAAAGTCCTAGTGACAGAAAGTAGAAAGCTGGTTCCCTGAGGCTGGGGTGGGGAATGGGAGTTATTGTTTATTGGGTGCGGAATTTCAGTTTGGAGGATGGAAAAGTTCTGGAGATGCATGGTGGTGATGGTTGTACAACAATGTGAATGTACTTGATGTACTTGGTACCACTGAACTGCATGCTTAACTTTTTTTTTTTTTTTGAGACGGAGTTTCGCTCTTGTCGCCTAGGCTGGAGTGCAATGGTGCGATCTTGGCTCACTGCAACCCCCACCTCCTGAGTTCAAGCGATTCTCCTGCCTCAGCCTCCCGAGTAGCTGGCATTACACACATGCGCCACCACGCCTGGCTAATTTTTTGTATTATTAGTAGAGACAGGGTTTCACCATGTTGGCCAGGCTGGTTTTAAACTCCTGACCTCAGGGGATCCACCCACCTTGGCCTCCCAAAGTGCTGAGGTTACAGAGGTGTGAGCCACCACGCCCGGCCAAAAGTTGTTGTTAATTCTGATGTATATGTTACCACAATTTAAAAAACGGATTTAAAAAATTTCATGAAAGCTGCTATCTAGAACAATTGCCATTCCCTTTAAGTGGCAAAACAATCTTAGTGGGAAGAGGAAAAATCAGAAACATAAATGATAAGAAAACAGTTAACTACTAAGTTATGTAGGTTAAAAAGTCATGAGTTAGTCCAAGCTGTCTTTCCTGTTCTACGTGTTACAGAACAGGGCTGCCTGGACTGTCACACTAACTCTCGGCTTATCACGTGACCCAGGTAAATCTTCAATGTGATCAGTTTTCGAAGGTGCAAGTAACACTTCACTTTGGAAGAAATTTCTGGCCATGGGAAACTTCTCCCAACTGAAGGCTGGTGTGTTTAGAAGATAATTTTCTGAATTCTATAATTTTCTACCCACTCAGTATAATTGAATATTCAAGATGGCACACACTTAAAATGCAGCATGATTCTAACCCAACCGAACAAGACCTGTTTTAGCAAATCTCCAATAGAATTTTGCCTACAGGCGGTCTTTGCAATATATCAGCAGACCAGTAATAATAGCTACTCAATCACCTGAGTTAACTGAAGTTTTTAAAATGCCTGTTCATTAAAAGTCAAAATGTTGCCTTAAAAGCAAAGCCTAAGAGAATAAAAAGGAACTTTGCAGTTACAGGCATTTTTGAAAGTGTTTGAGCTTGCAAATGAACTGAACTCACCTAGTTATGTCCATGAAAATAACAGCTATCTATATATTCTACTTCCCTCCCATTACACTGTCTGTCCTCTCCTTTAATGCACTCACTCTGAAACTACAAATGTAGGTGGAAATTTTAGCATTAGAAACTCACTGATATGTTAAGTCTCCTTGGCATACTAAGAGTTTCACATTCATAGCAAATGCTATAGTTTATGCAAGAATATTTGACCAAATTATGCAAATCCTTTCAGTAAAAAACTTCCTACAACTATTTACAAGTAATCATGCTAGTTTTCAACAATATAAATCAACTCTCATACTACTAAGAGTTTAAAATTCTTTCAAGCCATTTTGTTTTCTTATAAGATGGAAATTAAAAGTGAATTAAGGATATTTGTGGCAGTTTTTATTAGTCTTATTTAACACTAACGGAAGACCATGTTTTTTTGGCAAGGGTCTATCATAGAACTCTTTAATCTTCTAGTCTGAGTAAAGGGGAGGAAGAAGCGGTGAAACCTATTTGTAACAAGTCATAATACTCCAAAGAATAGGTACAGTCAGTTCTGCTATGATGTTTGTTTTGAAAACATGAATTTGTTCCCACGAGATTAATATGTTAGGGAACAATTTGAACATAATTCTCATTTCTGAATTTTGCTTTTGCAAGATTTCACCCATGAGAAACACTGGGTGAATGCAGAAAATTGCATCTAGTGACAGCAGCATAGGAACAAAACACGAAGGCTCCCGACAACCTAGCGGCTATCTTGGTCTCCCCTGAGTGCATTTGGAACCTGGCCCATTCACATCAGTCTGTCAACTCCCAGCCCGTGGCAGGTGACCCTCCCCGTTGACAAGGCATAAGCTGCAGCTCTGCCCACAGCCTCCCCTCTTTAATTTTCTCTTTCCTCTCAGTCTATCTTATATTTTTCTTCTTTGTTCTCTATTCTTTTAATCTTTTTCTCCCTCTCTTGCTTCCTTTTGTTCTCCAGGGTGGCCGGTGTGGGCAGCTGGTGGCTTCCATAAACTTCAAATCTTTTTCAAGGTGAAGTTCCCTATTTACTATAGCATGTATGTATGTCTTAATCATTTGTCATGTATAAAACTATGCCTCCATTTTTGACTTTTTTTCTATATGTGTCATGGATGAATTTTTGAGTGTTGTTCTTGGTACCCCATTTTTCTCCGCATGTGATTTTGCTTTTTTTTTTTTTTTGAGATGGAGTCTCGCTCTGTCACCCAGGCTGGAGTGCAGCGGCGTGATCTAGGCTCACTGCAACCTCTGCCTCCCAGGTTCAAGCGATTCTCCTGCCTCAGCCTCCTGAGTAGCTGGGATTACAGGTGCCTGCCACCACACCCAGCTAATTTTTGTATTTTTAGTAGAGCCGGGGTTTCACCATGGTGGCCAGGCTGGTCTTGAACTCCTGACCTGAAGTGAACCACCTGCCTCGGCCTCCCACAGTGCATGAGCCACAGGCATGAGCCACTGTGGCTGGCCAAAGTGCGTGATTTTTGAGAACACATATGTTATGCGTCATAGAGTTCAAGCACCACAAAACGACGTTTTGGTCACTGATGGACTGCAGATATGATGGTCCCATGTGATTATAATACTGCATTTTCACTGTACCTTTTCTGTGCTTAGATACACAAATGCCATTGTGTTTTAGTTGCCTACATTATTCAGTATAGTAAGATGCTGTATAGGTTTGTAGCCTAGAAGCAAAGGGTTATACCATATAGCCTAGGTGTGTGGTAGGCTGTACAATCTAGGTTTTGTAAGTAAACTCTATGATGCCTGTATAATGGTAAAATCACCTGACATTTCTCAGAACACATTGCTGTCATTAAGTGACACATGGCTGCATTACTGCAGGACTGATCATAGGTACTTTGAAACTCACATAGCTCTTTCCCTCTATCATCTATACTCTCCTTCTTGGGTCTTAGACATTTGATATGGGAGTAAAAACAATCCCTGTGTATAATATATTTTCAGATCATGCATTCTTGCAACCGGGGAAGAATGGCCTACAAAGCCTGATTGGGACCACATATATCCCGGATTTCCTTGGACTGACTCAACTATTTGTCCCAGCTCCAAGTTTCAAGAAGCCAGTCAAGATTGTCAGGAATTCAAAGGTGACCTTGCCATTATCTGAGATTTAGTGTTTCTCAGGGTGACACTGAGGGATGTCACCACATTCATAATTATCATACCAAGAAGTGATTACACTATGGCCACAAAGTTCTTGGTAATTTGAAAACTGTACCACAAGTAAAGGTTAACAATGTAAATTTGTTCTCTAAAAGTCCACCTCTGAAAAGATGTGAGCTGACTTCAATTTCTTATGGAAAAGCATCCACAACAATGTGGGTTGATTTGGGGAGTGCAAGTCTTAAAAATGCAGTAAAAATTTTTTAATAATTTGTTTTTTTTAACTGCCTACTTTTTCTTCTGGTGCCCACGTTCTCATTTTGGCTTCTTGGAATGGCTACAGAAATGAGGTTAAAAGAAGGGCAGGGGCCAGGCGCGGTGGCTCACACCTGTAATCCCAACACTTTGGGAGGCCGAGGCAGGCAGATCACGAGGTTAGGAGATTGAGACCATCCTGGCTAACTCGGTGAAACCCCATCTCTACTAAAAATACCAAAAATTAGCTGAACACGGTGGCATGCACCTGTAGTCCCAGCTACTTGGGAGGCTAAGGCAGGAGAATCACTTGAACCCGGGAGGCGGGGCTTGCAGTGAGCAGAGATTGTGCCACTGCACTCCAACCTGGGCGACAGAGCGAGATTCCATCTCAACAACAACAACAACAAAAATAAAAAATAAAAAGTAAGATGAAGGGCGAGGCAGTACAAGGGAGGGCATTCAGTTTTCTTACAAACTTTATCAATGTGACAATGAACCTTCAGCTTCCAAGCATCGTTCTATTAGGTATCTGATGGCTTTCGTCCATTACCCTTATTGATTCCCTCCCACTCACAAGGTTTTCAGAATGCTACCAAGATAAGCACAATCCCTGCCTTTGAACTAGGCTAGACCCAATATTTATTAGCCTGAAACACTAACTATGGTGTTAAATAATTTCACAGAGCCCTACTGGCAGGTCAAATGAACTGGAATGAGTAGAAAAAAAAGGAGGGGGTGGGAGGTAATCAGGAATGATGGGAGAAAGGGTAGGGAATAGGGGTGGAGACATAGAAGAAGGGAGAGAGGAACAGTAGGAGATACATTGGTCTGAAGCCCTAAATAAAGAATGCATTTAAAACATTTTATGAGGTTATTTAGTAGAGACAGTAATGTTCATCTCAGCAGGTAAGCACCACCAAAATCTTTCTTACTTTCTTCCTTATTTATTTATTTTTTGAGATGGAGTCTTGCTCCGTTGCCCAGGCTGGAGTGCAGTGATGCAATCTCAGCTTACTGCAACCTCCACCTCCCGGGCTCAAGTGATTCTCCTGCCTCAGCCTCCTGAGTAGCTGGGACTACAGGCATGCACCACCACTTCCGGCTAATTTTTTTTTTGGATTTTTAGTAGAGACAGGGTTTCACCATGCTGGTCAGGCTGGTCTTGAACTCCTGACCTCAAATGACCTGCCTGCCTTGGCTGTCCCAAAGTGCTGGGATTACAGGCATGAGCCGCCACACCCAGCCTCTTCCTTTTTATTTTTAGTGAGGGTGGTGGGGGATACACCATCACTAAATGATAGGTTTTACAATGAGAATGGCTTTGTTATACATAATGCATGCCAGAAACTGCAGGTTGTTTACAAAAATTGTTTCCTACCTTCTTTGGACACACGGCTAGACTGCACCTCCCATCCTCCCTTATAGGATGTAGCCAGGTAACAAGATTCTCATTGGGAGTTTGAGAAAAGGGATGTGCATCAGTTCTGTCTGTCTCAGAAACCTTCCCCGTATGTATCTCCATGTCTCCTTGCCCGTCTAGTTGACTGGGATGGCAACCTCAGAAGCCATGTCCTGAAGACAGCAAGGCCTCCTCAGCCTGGGTCCTTGAATGACTGCATGGAGGAGTGCTGCTCCTCCTCACCTGAACACTTGCAAAGGATGGTTACAGGACAAAGAAAGAAACTTGGGTGAAGTCACTAGATTTGGAGATCTGTATGTTACTGATATAGTTTGGATCTGTGTCCCCGCCCAAACCTCATATTGAAATGTAATTCCCCGTGTTGGAGGTGGGGCCTGGTGGGAGGTGACTGGATCATGGGGGCGGATTTCTCAGGACAGTGAGTGAGCTCTCGTAAGATCTGGTTGAGTGTGCGGGCCCTCCCTGCGCTCTTTTTTTTTTTTTTTTTTTTTTTTTTTTGAGATGGAGTCTCACTCTATTGCCTAGGCTGGAGTGCAATGGCGCTATCTTGGCTCATTGCAACCTCTGCCTCCCAGGTTCAACTGATTCTCCCGCCTCAGTCTCCCCAGTAGCTGGGATTACAGGTGCACACCACCACACTCGGCTAATTTTTGTACTTTTAGTAGAGACAGGGTTTCACCATGTTGGCCAGGCTGGTCTTGAACTCCTGACATCGTGATCCGCCCACCTCGGCCTCCCCGAGTGCTGGATTCCAGGCGTGAGCCACTGCACCTGGCCACCACGTTCTCTCCTGACATGTGTCATGCCTACTCCCTGTTCGCCTTCTGCCATGGTTGGAGGCTTCCTGAGACCTCATCAGAAGCAGATGCTACTGTGCTTCCTGTAAAGCCTGCAGAACCATCAGCCAAATACATTTCTTTTCTTCATAAATTACCCAGTCTCAGGTATTTCTTTATAGCAACACAAGAATGGCCTAATATAGTTACTGTGGCTTAGCCTATCCTTAATGAAACACTATGTGTTCCAGATATTTAAAGCTGTCATTTTCAACCAGGGACAATTTTGTCCTCCAGGGGGCACTTGGCAATGGCTAGAGACATTTTTGGTCGTCACAAGTGGGGACGGTGGTGGTTCTATTAGCTTCTAATGGATAGAAGTC
Organism: Homo sapiens; assembly: GCF_000001405.40. Taxonomy (NCBI): domain Eukaryota; kingdom Metazoa; phylum Chordata; class Mammalia; order Primates; family Hominidae; genus Homo; species Homo sapiens. The sequence goes on along the minus strand of NC_000006.12, from coordinate 150,741,903 downwards.
AGCCTTGCTGCTAAACGTTCCTACAACGTACACAACTCTCCCTCATAGCCAAGAACTATGCAGTCCAGAACGTCTATGGTACTGCTGGTGCCTGCTCTAGAGAGATTAAGAAGAGGGCTGAACTTTGAACCTTCTGTTATAGTCAAAGGGGAGGTATGCAGTGAAAGCAGTGGGTTTCGGAGAAAGGCCTGCTTTTCAGTTCCAGCTCAACCACTAGCCAACTATGTGACCTGGGGGATAAGTCACTTTGTCCTCTGTACATTCAATATTCTCATGCTAAAATAGGAATTAAACTAGTACCCACATGATGGGACAGTGAGTGAGCAAATTAAGTGCCTAGTGCCTGATACATGGTAAGTGCTCAAATATTAATTGCTGCTAATGTTATTTTTTAGTGTTTTTGTATTATTGAGGCGTCTATCTAGAAAATTTAGAAATGGTAGCTGAATAGTATGTTTATAGCTGCGGGAATCTATTGAGGTGATGGGGATGGTTACAAAACTTAAGATGTCACAAGACACTCATTGCCTACATTTTGACTCAAGATCTAGCCATAAAAGTTTGGAGCAAATAACCCAACCTGACATCAGTCACAAAGTACACATGAACTCTTGTGTTCAGCCGACAGCTACTTTTGCAGAGCAACTCTGCAAATCTCAACTCATTTTGCTCTCACCGAATGCTGCCCACCTTGAACTGTTTTCATTGGTCATTAGCAATCAATCAGCAGGTATTTATATCACATTCAAAATGGGCAAACCCATTAGAAATGAAAAGAAGTGAAAGATCAGTTCTCCCTGCCCTCCTTCCCAGATCAGGTTGCAGTATGAAGATATGAACACTCAAAATCACTCACTGTTGCCACCTTCTAGGTTTGTGCTGCTGTTGTTGAGGTGGTGAAAGACGAGAGTAAGGTTAAGGTAAGGTGGGGAATAAGGGGTCATAATAACAACAACAATAACACAGAGATATGGAAATATGTAGTCAAAGTGAGATTTTTGAGAGATTATGTAAAATGATTAGATGTACTATTTAAGGAGTGACTCCGAAATAAGCAGAAAACTAACACGTTTGTCTCCAAATTATCATAGATATTAAATGGTTTTAAGAAAGATCTCATTCACCCGTTACGATAAAATCCCTTGGAGGAAAAAAATAGACACATTCACATAAAAGTGCTCAAATGCCTCATAAAAAAGTACATTAAATGATGCCAAGTACCACAGTGTAAGTTCCTTATTAAATCCACCCACATAACGAGCCTTCATTTAAAACAATCCCTACCAACTCCTACGCTTGAGCATGGAACACATTTTTCTCCCTCGGTATTTAAAAAACGTTAGTCTAAGTGAACCTTGTAAGAAGTGTCCAATAAATGTTATTTAAATTGGAGGGAAAATATGGAGAGAAGATATCTGTTAAGTAAAAAGACAATAAAATCTGCGACAATTCCCCTCTTCTCAACAGCCTTCTTTCTTGGTGCAAAACCTGCCTCTTTTAGTCCAGCATCCTAAGCAGGTAAGGCTGGGCCAGGGAATGCCTATGCACAACCATTCCACTATGGCTAAGGAAAAAGAGTAAGATGCACACTGCCCTTTCCATACCAAACAATTTTGTCTCTCTAGCAGGATCAATGGGAAGACAGGCTTAATCAGAAACCACCTCCACACTTGACAGTACTGTCCTCAAGGGAGGGGTGCCCCCAGGACAAAAGCCAACTCAGATTCCATTTCATCCAAGTCACAGACATCTCACAGGGCTAAGAGCTAAGTGTCCAGGCAGAGTATGTGCTGAAATCACTGCACAAGCTCTCTGGGCCTGAATCCTGGATTTCCTTCTTTCATTCTGCACAAATTTTGGAGAAGGTTTGCTTCCCCAGCATAAGACAGTTTTCAATTAATTGGATATCACCAGTACAAAGAGAAGCCTCTTCTAGGCTATGGCAGTGGGGAGAATAGCTTTCAATGTGTTTCAGGGCACTAAGTGTGTGAAAAACACCCTTCTCTCTTTTATCTTCCCTGACACTGTCTGTACGATCACTCAATAAACAAAGAGTCCACATAGACTAACGAACACAGAGCTTGGGGTTGGTGATCACCATTCTAATCCTTGTTTAGCTACAGTTTTGAATAATGCTGAATGCTTCCCATAAAGATATGCTTATGCTTCTGCTGTTTAAATTTTGAACATCAAGGCTAGAATACTTATGGTTTTTTTTGTTTTTTTGTTTTTTTTTTTGACAGAGTCTCACTCTGTTGCTCCAGCTGGAATGCAATGGCACGATCTCGGCTCACTGCAACCTCCGCCTCCTAGGTTCAAGCCATTCTCCTGCCTCAGCCTTCTAAGCGGCTGGGACTACAGGCATGCACCACCATACCCAGCTAATTTTTGTATTTTTAGTAGAGATGGAGTTTCACCATGTTGGCCTGGCTGGTCTCAAACTCCTGACCTCAAGTGATCTGCCTACTTCGGCCTCCCAAAGTGCTGGGATTACAGGCATGAGCCACTGCTCCTGGCCCCATTACTTAGCTTTTTTTTTAAAATACACTTTATGGATAAAGGTCCATGAAAAGGATATTAGCTCTCTGGCATATAATGGAAAGAGATAAAATCACGTTGTAATTAACAATTCAGCCCCTTTTTTCACTAAATGTCCTCAATATCACCAAATATGGCTTAATTTAGTATCTCTCAGAGCTCAACGATGCCATTCTGTAGTAGAAATGTAACTTCTAATTACACAGCATTAACATTATGAACTATTTTAAAACTTTACTAACAGGTTACAACAGGCCGTGAACTATATCTGAGGCCAAATCTTATGAGGTTCTCAAAAGCTCTTTTATAGATCATTTAGAAAGATTAAAGACACCCACCCTACCCCTGACAGCCCGTGCCCAGTCAATCGAAGGTCCCATTAAACATTAAACAAACCCTTATTTTCTGCTTTCCAACTATGGATTTCTATCTCTCCACAAATTGTATCATTGGCAATTTAACTTTTAAAACTTGCTTTCATATTTATCATCTCATTTTATCTGTGAATGCAGTTAGGGGCATATATAAAATAGAAATAACAGCTCCATTGTTCCTTTGACTACGGTTCACAGTCAAGATCTTACCTCTTTCTCTAAAATGTCAAGTGTACAAAAGTAAATGACTAGGAGCAGAGGACGGAAGAGCCACGGCTGGGGAGGGGACAGGGGTTGAGAGAGAAGGATCTGGGGAAGAATGAAGAGCAACAGGAATAAGAACCACCACATTTTGGGGTTCAACTTTCAGAAAGCATTAGGAATTCATTTCTGAATTCCTAAATGGCATAGGAAAGAAAGATACCTAAATATGTGAGATTATTTTAATACGATGTCTCCACATATGGGAAAGAAGGGCATAACACACTCTTTACATGTGTAACCAACATCTGGGAATCCTATTGCTCAACTGGGGTTAGGAGGATCTCTTCTCAGAAATAAGCTGCTCTGATATTTGCGACTGTGTTGAAATGTCAAATCATCATTCCTGCTCATGTTTTTTAACTCGGTGTATACACAAAAATGTTGCTGTTCACAAGTCGTAAAAATGAAATCTAAACTTGAGTGGTAAGGATTATGTATCTATACGGCATGCAGATAAAATGTACTACTAATGGGGGTAATTAAGTTGGGAGGAGATTCAATAAAGCAGAGTGTACAAAGTCAGAAATCATGCTACTGTAGAAATTAAAAGTGACTTCAATTAGACGAGCTTCTTTTCCCCCAGAAATTATTTTTGCTTGGAAAGAGCCAGCTAAGGCTGGGCTCAGTGGCTGTCACCTGTAAGCTCACCATTTTGGGAGGCTGAGGCAAAGGGATCTCTTGAGGCTGGCAGTTTGAGACCAGCCTGGACAACATATTGAGATCCTGTCTCTACAAAAATTAAAAAAAAAAAAAAAACTTAGCAAGGTGTGGTGGTGTGCACCTGTAGTCCTAGATACATGGGAGGCTGAGGCAGGAGGATTGCATGAGCCCAGGAGGTCGAGGCTGCAGTGAGTCATGATCGTGCCACTGCACTCTAGCCTGGGTGATAGGGTGAGATGCTTATTCAAAATAGATAAATAAAGAGCCAACTAAAAAAAAGTCCGTCTTTTAGGCAGGGTAAAAGTTTTATCATAGTAGGCTGTCAATGAGCAGCACTTTTCTTAATTTAAAATTTTGCATTTGAAAAATGGAGAACATTAGAGAAGTCATTTACAACATTATACAAATAGGTTAGAAATAGATCAAGGAAACAGATTTTAAAGGAGTTGATATTCTATGTTTTAAAAGAATACCCAGGCCGGGCGCGGTGGCTCACGCCTGTAATCCCAGCACTTTGGGAGGCCGAGGCGGGTGGATCATGAGGTCAGGAGATCGAGACCATCCTGGCTAACAAGGTGAAACCCCGTCTCTACTAAAAATACAAAAAAATTAGCCGGGGGCGGTGGCGGGCGCCTATAGTCCCAGCTACTCGGGAGGCTGAGGCAGGAGAATGGCGTGAACCCGGGAAGCGGAGCTTGCAGTGAGCCGAGATTGCGCCACTGCACTCCGCACTCCAGCCTGGGCGACAAAGCGAGACTCCGTCTCAAAAAAAAAAAAAAAAAAAAATACCCATATGACAGCCTTTTATTGGGTAGAGTTACTGCAGGCTTGACAATAATTGTTTACTTTTCATTAAGAAAAGAACTCGATAAAAGTGGTCTAGCCACTCTGATAAAGTTGTGATCTGGAGAAACAGAGGTGGTCTCATAGCCAAAACAGATGAAGAGGCTTCAACCAACTAATCCCTCATATGAAACAATTCTAAAGTTTTCTAGGAGGACAGGGTAAATGATGCAAAGCATTCTAGTGACTTCTGGAACAGAGGAGCATCTAGCTCTTCCTGCCTGGGTCCCTCCCTCTTCATTTGGGACTCTTTCTCCCCAGGCACGCTTCTTTCCAATACTCACCCCCTTCTGGGCCTCTCCTTCCCCTAATTTCCATCTCAGATTTCCAGTGGGTTCATTAGAAATAACCAAAACAATAATGGTAAAATCACTCATTAAGGTTTTTTTTTTCTAATTAAATTTCTGCTGTAGTGAATTGGCTAATCTGATTTTTTGTTTTTGTTTTTGTTTTTTAAAGATGGAGTCTTGTTCTGTCACCCAGGCTGGAGTGCAGCGGTGCAATCTCGGCTCACTGCAGCCTTCGCCTCCCAGGTTCAAGCGATTCTCCTGTCTCAGCCTCCCAAGTAGCTGGGATTATAGGCATGCACCACCATGCCCGGCTAATTTTTGTATTTTTAGTAGAGATGGGCTTTCACCATGTTGTCCAGGCTGGTCTCGAACTCCCGACCTCAGGTGATCCGCCCGCCTCGGCCTCCCAAAGTGCTGGGATTACAGGCATAAGCCACCGCATTCAGCCTAATCTGATTATTTTTGTGAAAGACTTCAGGTAAAACATAGTGTATGCAGTGATCACTCTCAGCTAGCAAACTTAGAGAAGGCTGGCAATAGTGACAAGTGTAGTTTCCATTTACTAATTGATTACTATGTGCCAGGCATGGCTGCAGAGCTTTTTATGCTATCTTATCCAATTCTCATAATAACCCTATGAGGCAGGTCCTACTTATTAGTCCCATCTGACAGTTGATGAAACATGGCACAAACTTATAGCCTAAGACAGGGGTGAGCAAACTGTGGCCGTTGGGTCAAACGAGACTCTAAAGAGGTACTGGCATGTCCAGGCCCCATTATTCACAGTGTACATGGCTGCTTTTGAGCTTCAGTGGCAGAGTTCATCAGTTGTGACCAAGACCTTAGGCCCCATAAGGCCAAAACTATTTACTATCTGGCCCTGCCTAGAAAAAGCTCACCAACCCCTAGTGTAAAACACAGTTGATTCATGAATAAAGAAAAAAGGCAAGAACACGTGGACAGCTTCACATAGAACTTACATTGAAATTTCTTAGAAAAAATAAATTCTGTCTTTATCTGTTTTCTTTCATTCATCTCTTACCTGTTTCTTCTCACCTAAGGTTTATCAACCAGCCTCAGGAAAAAATAAATGTTAATGGAATACTAGTTCAGTAATTAAAGGTTTCTCTCTATAAGGTGAGTTTTAGATTAGGTAGACTAGTTTCCAAGAAAGAAAGGAAAAAAAAGCATAGCCCAAAGAAAGCTTTAATAACCATATGTTTCCTGAGAGGCTGTAAAATTTTTGGCTGTTTTACAGGTATTTCTTCTCAAGTACAAATGACATCATTGTTGAACTTTTTAAAAAACAGGCCTACTTTATTCTACATTTGGTACCACATATTGTTTCGGTTGACCATCAATTGACTTTTCTATTTTTACTGGGAAGGTACATCATAACTATTTTTAGTAGACAGTCTGGTTCTATCATTTGCGGATCACACGTAGTCATGCTTTAGAATTCTTTTTCTAAAGCTATGAGAATGTATTTGGGGGAAGAACATGCTCATTGGCAATATTCTACTGTACTCTGAAACATACTCTAGAGTCAATGTCTAAAACAGGAAACAGGTAGTAACAAATGAAAGAATCTGGTGTATTAGTAGGCAGCAAAGCAAGTGTAGCTTTATAATATATAAATCTGCCCTTGAGGCCAGGCACGGTGGCTCATGCCTGTAATCCCAGCACTTTGGGAGGCCGAGGCAGGAGGATCACCTGAGGTCGGGAGTTCGAGACCAGCCTGACCAACATGGTGAAACCCCATCTTTACTAAAAATACAAAATTAGCTGGGTGTGGTGGAGCATGCCTATAATTCCAGCTACTCAGGATGCTGAGGCAGGAGAATTGCTTGAACCCGGGAGGCGGAGGTTGTGGTAAGCCAAGATCGCACCATTGCACTCCAGCCTGGGAAACAAGAGCTAAACTCCGTCTCAAAAAAAAAAAAAAAAAAAAAAATCTGCCCTTGAGATAGTAATATTTTTAACTACAATTGAGAGTGAGTTAACATCTGAGCTCCTCTGATAATTCTTGCTTTATCCTTTAAAACGACCCAGAAAATCAAAATCGAATAATTGAATTTCCAGAGGATGTGACCTGGCACATAAGCTGAGCTCAATTCACATGAAATAATTTGTGCAAGTAATTTATAATCATAATAATAACATATGCAAAATAATTTATATAGGATTACTCACTGTAAAAGTGAACAGAAAGGAGACACGAGACAAGACAAAGCCCACGACTTTTCTCTACCTTTCAATCCTTTCCCCAAACACCAACCAATACAGGAATAGCAGACAGCAGCGGCTGCAAACCTCTCTGCACATTAAAATCACCTGTGCATCTTCAACAATTCCACCACCCAAGCCCCACCCAGGCCAATGAAATCACAGTTGCTGAGTATGAGATTCACGTCTCAGTAGTTTTGGAAGCTCCCGGATGCCAGTAGCGAGTGGTGATTAAGGTAAGGACAGCTGAGGGGTTTAGTCATACACCTGACACTCATGCTCCAGGAGACTTGAGTCCTCCTCCATCCTTATCTGCCCCACTGCGTGTGAGTCACTCTGACATCTGGGGTGTAGGATTTATTAACACAGCATCTTGGTATGGGTACTGTATCATCATTCTTGCTCCTCACTCATAACTAATTTGTTAACGCAAATATTAAGAGGATGTTAACACAGTGGGTTACGGCCTTAGGGTTTCTCTTATTACTCTCTCTTTAAACATTCACATCCCTTCCGCCTCTTAGAAGACATCCCCTACACCTGGCTTGGCTTTGTCATTTCTTTTGCAAGCATATTTCTCCTGCATGGCAAACATTAAAAGCGAAGTCGGTCTTACCTCTACGATGCTTTTTAAATCTTGTACATAAGTCCTTTCGGTTTCCAGAATTTCCTGAACAACTCTATCCACATAGAGGAGCTTGGGGCTCGTGGCCGAGTCTGCGATCGTCTTGGGTGCCCCGTTTGAGTCCACTCTCCACTGCGCTCTGGGTGGCCTTTCGCTGCCCTCATCCGCGTTCTGTTGCCCCGTGGCGGGGTTGTCCCTCTGCAGCTCGCTGCTGGAAAACGGCCTGGCAGGAATCAGCTCCAGTTTTATGGCCCCTACCTCCTTATCCTGGTTAAACAAGCCCATGTGGCTATTTGAAACTAAGGTCATTCTGCTGCCGAAGGAACCATGGCTGTCGCGGGAAGAGGCCGAGGATGATGTGGAACCGAAGCTGACGGGTCGGTCACTATCAGAGAGCTCCATTGTCTTCAGTTCTTGAGGGCAGGAACGCCTGGCTGTCGTCTTGGGATGTGGAACTTTGGTTACAGCTGATGGCACTTCAAGACGCAACTGGTGCCCATCTATATGCATTAAAGAAAATAAAAAGGACAAGATAAGCAATTCTATCAAGCAGAGGGTTGAAAGGAAGTAAAAACCTAGCTCAAATAAATACAGTCAATAACAAGGTGGCCAATTACAGAAGGGATGCAAAGGTACCTGTGGTGGAGTGAGATGCAAAATCAGTGTTTCTGAAGCATCATCTGGGTGCCTGTTAGAAATGTGGTGTCTCGGGCTCTGACCTCGACCTGCTGAACTTGAGTGTGCACTTTAATAAAATCCCAGAATGACTTAGAAGCATTAAAGTTTGAGAAACACTAGACCTGTTGTCTCAAAAGTGTGACCACCTGGAATGACTCATATGCAAATCAGTCTAGATTCACTAAATTAAAGGCTGAGCGGTCAGGGCACCAGGAATTGATCACTTTAACAAGCACCACAAGTGGTTCTTAACGAACTTAAAAGGGACCCGACGTGATTCCTACGGAATTTTGAAAAACCTTGATCTAGATTTTAAGTATTTCACCATAATTCCACAAAATTTTAGGCTAGCATCCTGGAGCCACCACTACTTGATTTAAATAATGCTGGCAACTTTACATTTTACTTGCATACAGCATTAAAGAAAGTGTCACATAGACAATAATTTTCTAATACTAGGCAAGAAAAAGATAGAGTCATACACAGCATAATGATGTTTCAGTCAACAATGAACTGCAGACTGGGCGTGGTGGCTCACGCCTGTAAATCCCAGCACTTTGGGAGGCTGGGGTGGGCAGATCACTTGAGGCCAGGCGTTTGAGACAAGCCTGGCCAACATGGCAAAACCGTGTCGCTACTAAAAAACACAAAAATTAGCTACTCGGGAAGCTGACGCACAAGAATTGCTTGAACCCGGGAGGCAGAGGTTGCAGTGAGCCGAGATCCTGCCACTGAACTCCAGCCTGGGCGACAGAGCAAGACTTTATCTCAAAACAAAACAACAAACAGCATGTATGACAGTGGTCAGAGCAATCTGCCATCTCGTCTAGCCTAGATGTGTAAAGGGCTATGCCATATAGGTTTGTGATTATACTCTGTGATGTTCATACAATGATGAAGTTGCCCGACAACATGTCTCAGAATGTGCCCTCATGCTGAAGTGATGCATGACTGAATTATTAAGACTCACACCCCATTGAAAACTTATCCTCTCAACACAGCACTTCTCCAGATCACTTCTTAGAAACTGGCATTCCATTTGTGGCATATATGGAGTTATGATACTATTAGAGAGCATGCTTGATTAACTACAACTCTCCACAAGTACAGTTATAAAATCATGTAATTATATGACGCATATAGGAACTAAATTATAAGAACAATTATGAGAAAATGGCACTGTCTGTTTAGAAAAGGCCAAAAATAAAAACTATCTGCAAAGTCAAAAGGTCACTTAATGGTGAAACCTCGTCTCTACTAAAAAAAATACAAAAAAATTAGCTAGGCGTGGTGGCGGGTGCCTGTAGTCCCAGCTACTCGGGAGGCTGAGGCAGGAGAATGGCGTGAACCCGGGAGGCGGAGCTTGCAGTGAGCCGAGATCGCGCCACTGCACTCCAGACTGGGCGACAGAGAGAGAGTCCGTCTCAAAAAAAAAAAAAAAAAGTCACTTAATACCCACAGCATTTAAATATGATGTTGGGCCCCAAAAGGACCCATGTGAAAATTAAACATTCAGAAGCTATTTGGGTAAAACACTCAAAATTCCAATCTTCCTCATTTCTAAGGCAGGGTCAACATTTCTCCCTCAAATAACGAGATTCCACATCTCATTATTTCATAGAGAAATTGTGTTTATAGAAACAAAATGTCTTGTGATAGAGAAGGTGATTAATAAAGAAATTTGCTTAATTTTGCTAGGTTACCTTACCACAAAAACATGCTTACAGGTTTTACTAGAAAAATGGAAGAGGGAAACTTATGTTTGGAAGGTTATAATGTGACAAACACAGTAAAAAGAATACATAGTAATGATCATTTTTCAATAGTAATGTAAATTTGGTTTGATTCTATAATAAAGATCACTAAACAGTTGGTACTAATATTTTTAGAATATAAAGTATCCAACAAGTCTCTCCTTCAACATACCTAGTTTATATTCATGACAAGTATTAGTACAAACAAATGATGCAAATATTAAAGTTATGAAAATAAAATGAAGGAACTAATTCCGAGTCAAGAAGGAGTGGTAAGACATGTAGGAAATGAGCAGTTTATCTGCATAACCACTACCACATGCTAGAGTTTGCCACACATTTTTAAAGCTTTTGCAATATTCTTTCTGCTTGTTCTATAACAACTTTATGGCCTATAAAACATGAATTGGTTATAGTAGTTAAGATGCACTTGACCTAGAAAGCCTGATCCAACTTGGGTGCGGCAAAAATCCAATCAGCAGCCGTGCATTTAGGTATGCTTGCAGCAAAGGATGCTTACTCACGTTTGGGACTGGTGTTGAGAAAGTCATGGCAGTCCAAAGTAGGGGTGGACACAACAAGGTTTCCTTTCCATTCGCACCCTCCATAACCTAGACCATCAGGTTGATCTCACTGTAGGAAATGGGCACTCACTTGGGAAGTATCTGAGGATATTTTGAGATCCCAAGGGTCCAATGAGGCTATGATTTGGGACTAAACATAAGTTGAATATGTTCTTTTTTTTTTTTTGAGACAGAGTTTGCTCTTGTCACCCAGGCTGGAGTGCAATGGTATGATCTCAGCTCATTGCAACCTCCGCCTCCCAGGTTCAAGCGATCTCCTGCCTCAGCCTACCTAGTAGCTGGGATTATAGGCATGTGCCACCACGCCCAGCTAATTTTTATATTTTTAGTAGAGACGGGGTTTCACCACGTTGGCCAGGCTGGTCTCGAACTCCTGACCGCAGGTGATCCACCCACCTCGGCCTCCCAAAGTGTTGGGTTTATAGGTGTGAGCCACTGCCTCTGGCCAAGTTGGATATTCTCTATAACAGGGGTGCGGTACCGGTCCACGGCCTGTCAGGAACCAAGCAGCACAGCAGGAAGTGAGCGATGGGCAAGCGAGCATTGCTGCCTGGGCTCTGCCTCCTTTCAGATCAGCAGCAGCATTAGATTCTCATAGGAGCACGAGCCCTATTGTGACCTATGCATGCCAGGGATCTAGGTTGCACGATCCTTATGAGAATCTAATTCCTGATGATCCGAGGTGGAACCGTTTCATCCTGAAAGCATCCCCACTCCCCCACCCCCACACCCCCACCACCTCAACCCACCCTTCATCCTTTGAAAAATTGTCTACCATGAAACCAGTCCCTGGTGTCAAAAAAGTTGAAAGGCCAAGACATCTGGAAAGGTCTACCCCCTACAGATCTGCACATACTGTCTCTAGGGCAAGTTCTGATTTTGTAACCGGAGAAGAATCTATCTCTCCAGAATAGAAAACTGTTTTTCACACAGTTACAAAACTCTTGGCACTACATTGATGATCAGGACTAGAGAAAAATGGACACAACAGAGAGACACATTATTTTCTTATCATCATTTCTTTTCTCTACTTACTTTCACTTTATATTAGATACCCAATATTGGGACAGAAGGATTAAAGAGGAATAAAAACTGCTTTTAGAGGATCCTAGGTTGGGCTGCTAGAAATGACAATGTCTTTAGAAATACTTTCAAAGGTGGGAAAGAGTGGAATATAAAACTCAGATCAATAGGGACCCCTTCATGGATAGATCTTAAATAGCAACATGGAGGGGGCACCGCTGCGGGGAAAGCTTCAAATGTTCCAATGCCAGTCCACGTACAGGCCTGGCTGCCAACCAGGCATTTTCTAAAATAGACCATTTCAGAAGTTTGGTGTCCGTAGCATTTAGCCAAGCTTACCACCCCAAACTAAAGACCTTCCAAAATTACCAATGACAGAAGTGAAACATTTAAAGTCAGGTCATATAATGGCACGTAATATGAGACCACACTTGCTAATGGCTAACATTTTTTATGTTGATTCATTGCTTAGAAGATAATTATAGTTTCCTCACGTAGGAAAATGCACCTCATAAAAACTGTCTAGTCTTGTTCTCACTTTCCTCAAAATAATTTAAGATTTCCACCCTGTCTGGCCTATTCTAATGCAACTCACCAATTATTAACATTTATCTCTAGAGCTGTGTTGCTCCACACAGTAACCAGTGGCCACATGTGGCTACTGAGAACTTGAAACGCAGCCAGGCTGGGCACAGTGGCTCATGCCTGTAATTCCAGCACTTTGGGAGGCTGAGGCAGGCGGATCACTTGAGCTCAGGAGTTCGAGACTAGCCTGGGCAACCTAGTAAAACCCCATCTCAAATACAAAAAATACAAAAAATTAGCCAGGTGTGACGGCCTGTGCCTGTAGTCCCAGCTACTTGGAGTCAAGGCTGTGGTAAGCCATGATTGTGCCACTGCACTGCAGCCTGGGTGGCAAAGTGAGACCTTGACCCTAAATAAATAAATAAACAAACAAACACAGTCAGTCTGAATTGAGATGTAAGATACACACCAGATTTCAGTAACTTAGTATAAAACTAAAAACATGAAATAAAATACCTCATTAATAATTTTTGTATTTGTGTATTGAAATAATATTTTGGATTAGGTTAAATATCTCACTGAGATTATTTTCACTGGTTTCATTTTACTTTTTTTTCTTTTTTGAGACAGAGTTTTGCTCTTGTTGCCCAGGCTGGAGTGCAATGGTGCAATCTCGGCTCACTGCAACCTCCACCTCCTGGGTTCAAGCAATTCTCCTGCCTCAGCCTCCTGAGTAGCTGGGATTACAGGCGCCCGCCACCATGCCTGGCTAATTTTTGTACTTTTAGTAGAGATGGGGTTTCACCATGTTGGCCAGGCTGGTCTCGAACTCCTGACCTCGTGATCTACCCGCCTTGGCCTCCCAAAGTGCTGGGATTACAGGTGTGAGCCACTGAGCCCGGCCTACTTTTTTTATTTTAAATTTATTCTTATTTTTATTTTTTGAAACAGGGTCTCACTCTGTCACCCAGGCTGGAGTGCAGTGGCACAATCATGGCTCACTCCTGGGTTCAAGCCATCCTCCCACCTCAGCCTCCCAAATAGCTGGGACCACGCCACCATACCAAGCTAATTTTATTTTTAATTTTTCTAGAGATGAAGTCTTTCTATGTTGCCCAGGCTGGTCTTGAACTCCTGGGCTCAAGTGATCCTCCCATCTTGGCCTCCCAAAGTGCTGAGATTATAGGTGTAAGCCACTGCCCCGGCATCATTTTACTTTTTTATACTGTTGCTACTAGAAAATAAAAAATTACATAAGTAGTTCATATATATTTTAGTCAGACAATGCTGATCTAGAAGTCTTTGATATAATTACATTATTCTTGAAGATTTAAATTTACCTCTTTATCAATCTTTGTTCAAATAATAGTGAATGCAGAGATACATACAACTCAAAGTTTGCATTTTTGTTTTTTACTCCACTTATTAATGCACAATATTGTTAAAAATTAGCAAAAATAGAGTTGGGAGGTCATCTCTGTGTAGCAGATACTGGGCTAACTGATTTTCCCTGACAAACTGAAACATCCAGATAAAAATCTGTAGGGCAAGAAAGCTTTTTCACTTGCCTTGAGTGAAAGATGTTAGCAGGTTGTATTAGCATTTGGGTAAGTTGCTGCTTTTCTTCTCATAACTTCTGTCTATTCCAAAATCCCAAGCACAGGGCCAACAATGTAAGAATTTCTGGGAATTTCTGGCCAAACCTTGCGAATGGCTTATATCAGGTATATCTTTTGACCCTAAAATAAGCTGGTTCCACCCACTTAGAGGATTGTGATCAATCTCACCTTTGGTAAACCTGGAGGTGGTGGGGGTGGAAGTATCCATAGAGGAACCTTAGAGACTTACTGAGTCGCACAATGAAAAGCACTGGTTAGCCTAAAAGCCAACCAAATAAAATATTCTTTTTTTTTTTGTGCCATCCTTAATAAAAGGAAAAGATGCCTAGACAGCTTCTATGTAGCTAGACTTTCATACTTTTTACTTCATGACAAATCCCTCTAATTTTTTCTGGGTGAAAACATTGGAATTCCATGGCTTTTCCTTCTTTGCTCTTCCAACTTCCATTATTTTAATTGCTCTCTTTTGGAATATCACTGCCAGAATCAAAAGCAATGCTTCTTGGCTCTGGTTTCTTAGGCTGATTTAGGTTTCATGCAGAACGTTCCATGGCTTCCTGTGACCATATTTACATGGAGAACGGGGACATCTGATGGGTCCTACAACCTACAACTCCCAAGGAGAAACTTAGGAGGCAAGACAGAAATTCTACTCACAGCAGGGATTGAGGGGTGATCAGGGTTTCCAAATTCTGCTCATTGCTATTCTAGACATCAAATACCTAGTCTGAGTTCCTTGGCAGGACAACCATGGAAATCAAGAGAATGTGCTGTGTTCAGTACCAATGAGTAGCTGAAATTATGTAGTTCCTTATTACACCTCCTGTGAATTACTCAAAGAGGGGAGGCCACAGAAAGACTAAAGTATACAGAAATAGTTACTCTACCAGTTAGTGATGTTCGTTTAATATACAGCGCAGTTTTGTTAGAGCCTCAACGTTGTAAACAACTGACTTAATGCTTTAAAAAATGTTTAAGAGTCCAAGTTAAAAAATATACATTTATATATTTCAAAGATGACACTAGGTATTTGAGGAGCATCTTTTATTCCCTCACAGCAATATGGATTTTCACTTCTTGGTTTTCTAAACTATCAACTTGATTCCTGTTTAATGGTAGGGCCAGGACTAGAATTCCTCATGTTCTCTAGTGTTCAGCATGTTAAATTCAGGGAACATGATTTTCATATTTATTTGTAGTTATTTGGTGATGAAGGAACCAAGGAGTGAAAAAAAAATCTTGTTACCCTGTTAATTTCTTAGTTTTACCATGTAAATCTATTAGTCTTTAACCAAGGTTAAATAAGTTTTAAACAAGGTACTACAATTACACAAGATGTTAATGTTAGGGGAAGCTGGATGAAAGACATATGGGAACTTTGCACAATCTTTGCAACTTTTTTATACATTTAAAAAATTTTCAAAATAAATAGCTCAAAAATGTTTTAAATTAAAAAATGTATTTTATTGGGGTATGATTAAATAGAAAAAGTTATACATATTTAATGTATAAAACTTGAATCTGGAGATAAGTATACATGTGAAACTATCACCACAATCTATACCATGAACATAGCCATCACCTCCAAAAGTTTTCTTATGCCTCTTTATTATTATTAAACATTTTACAATAACAATACTTAAGATCTACCTCCTTAGCAGTATTTTAAGTATACAATATAGTATTGTTAGCTATAGGCACTATGCTGTGCAGATTTTTTGGACTTACTCATCTTGCATAGCTGAAAATTTGTATCCTTTCACTATTACCTCCCTGTTTCTCCCTCTCCCCACTCCCTGGCAAGCACCACTCTAGTCTTTTCTTGTATGAGTTTGATTATTTTACATTCTTCGTAAGAGTGGTGTCAGGTGGCATTTGCCCTTCTATGTCCAGTTCATTTCACTTAGCACAATAGGCTCCAGGTTCATCCATCTTGTCACAAGTGGCAGGATTTCCTTCTTTTTTTTATGGTCACATAATTTTCCCATTATGTGTATGTGCCACATGTTCTTATATCACATGCAAAAAGAATAAAAATGAACCCTTATCTTATAGTATACACAAACATAAACTCAAAATACATTAAGACCTAAAAATATGACTAGAAACCATAAAGCCTCTAAGAAAAAAAAAGAAAAAAAAAACATAGGGGAGAAAAGCTTCATGACACTGGTCTTGGCAATGATTTTTTGGATGTGACACCAAAAGCACAGGCAACAACAGCAAAAAGCAAAAACAGACAAGTGAGACTACATCAAACTAGAAAGCTTCTGCACAGCAAAGGAAATCATCAACTGAGCAAGGAGATAACCTACAGAATGGGAGAAAATATTTGCAAACCATGCATCCAACAAGGCGTTAAAGCACATATTTGTACAAGAAGATCAAGAATGAGAAAAGATATTTTGCAAAAATATTTTCATTCAAACAGGAGGTGAGGGGTTGAACGAAGAGGAACAAAGATTCCTTCAAGCTGTAAAGTCAGATACTAAATACTCAGATAATTTACCGATTGATTCCTATATTAATTGCTATGGTATGAATGTCTGTGCCCTTCTCAAAATTCATATGTTGAAACTTACTCACCAAGGTGATGGTATTAGGAGGGGGGGCTGTTGGGAGATGATTAGGTCATGAGGGCTCTACCCTCATGAATGAGATTAATGCCCTTATAAAAGAGGACAGAGGGAGCTTGTTTGCTCCTTCTGCCATGTGAGGATACACAGGAGGGCACCATCTAGGAGGAACAGGCCCTCACCAGACACACAATCTGTTGGCGCCTTGATCCTGGACTTCCCACTCTCTGGAACTGTGAGCAATCAATTTCTGTTCCTTGTAAGTCACCCAGTTTAAGCTATTTTGTTACAGCAGCATAAATGGACTAAGACACTAGTCAATGGAAACTAAGAGGTATAATGGCTACCTCAGTTGAGTAGGGATTAAGCATCTACTTAAGGCAGCTAATGCATTAGATAAATTGCCTTAGCTAAGGGGTGTCTCTGGAGCAGTCTGGTGAAAAAGAACCTAAAGAAATTCCCTAGGCCAGGCGCGGTGGCCCATGCCTATAATCCTGGCACTTTGGAAGGCAGAGGCAGGTGAATCACCTGAGGTCAGGAGTTTGAGACCAGCCTGGCCAACATGATGAAACCCCCGTCTCTACTAAAAATACAAAAATTAGCCAGGCGTAGTGGCAGGTGCATGTAATCCCAGCTACTTGGGAGGCTGAGGCAGGAGAATCACTTGAACCTGGGGAGTGGAGGTTGCAGTGAGCCGAGATCACACCACTTCACTCCAGCCTGGGTGACAGACTGAAACTCCATCTCAAAAAAAAAAAAAAAAAAAGAAAAAGAAAAAAGAAAAGAAAGAAATTCTCTAAAGGCTTTTTATGCAAATGCAGCTGTTTTTACTTTTGTTGTATGCTTTTTTTGTGTGTGGTGACTTAGTGTGGGGGATGAAGGAAATTATTTGGGGCACCCAGAACCATCCACTGTGTTACCACTCAGAGAGGGACTGTTAGTTGTCTACCAAAATCCACTCTACCCTTTTCTTTAGTGATGGAGTTTTCACTGAGCACATTTCCCAGCCTCCTCTGCCTTTAGATATTGGCCATGTGGTCAAGTTCTCACCAGTAGAAACGATATATGCCCCTTTGGGAGTCTATTTCTCAAGACATTAGATTTTATTACTCCACATTCTTTCCTCTTCATGCTGGAACCCAGATGTGGCAGAAACCTTGCCTCCACTCTAAGAAGGATACCAGTGCCCTAGGGTATGGCAGAGCACAAAGACAGGCAAAACCTTGCAGTCACTGGTGCTAGACATGCCCTGAGGCACCACATTTAAAAGTCTGGTTATCCTGACTCTGCCACACCACAGAAACCACATGATGAGACCGCAGTGATACACAGAGGGATGCCCAAGGAACCCTGGCTGTTACAGCCCCTGCTGTGTTTCCAGCCAAGACATTGGACATGTGGATGAGAAGCCTTTCAGATGACCCCAGCCCTGTCATGTCTGAGTACAATTTTATGACGGTCCCCAAGCCAGAATCACCTAGCACAGCCTTTCCTGAATTCTTGCCTCACAGAACCCTTGAGCTATTATAAATGTTTGTTGTTTCAAGCCATTAGGTTCCAGTGTGATTGGTTAAGCAATAAGAGAGAACCCAAACAGTCTCTATTATAACAGGTGAGCCTTATTATGATACAGCTGCTACAATTCTATGTCAAAATTATCCTTAAAAAGCCCCCAAAACCAACCTCAATGCTCTTTCATGTGTCTCATTACTTTTTGAAAACTGTATAGATGGGGAAAAAAAAGCAGAGATTATATAACATCATGCTCAAAGTTGAACTATGAATCAGAGACTAGATTTTCTAACTTCTAGTCCATCCTTCCTTGTACTCATAAAATAGTAGGGTAGAAAAGGAACTTAGAGATCAGGAAATGAAGGACTCAACATAAGCTGCTTGTCTAAAGCACATGGTACCATATGCCAAAAGGGACTACACAGTGTGTGGCTATGTGTGCACAGGAATGCATATATCCACAACCCTCTGTATAAACACATTTCAGAGAACCAACCGGAAATTAAATTATGTCCTAATACTCCCTTTTGGTCAGAGGATTTGCATGTTTGCCCTGGCTCTGCACCCCCCGGGGTTTGTACTGATCTTTGCATCTCTGGTTTCCTTGTATGTGAGGCAGCTGGACTAGGTGACTTCTCCAAGTCTCATCCAATCTTTGGGCCATGACTCCAATCCTGAAAACCCAGCAAACCACTGGCTGTCACGACTGCACGGCCTCTTCCCAGCTGGAGGCACAGCACAAGCAGTGGCCCTCTAATAGCAGTTTCTTCTACATCCTACGAATGCCAGGTCTTGGATGATGAAAAACTGTGTATCACCGAGTTTTTCAAAGGCTAAAAAAATCTCTATTTGTAATTTAGATTAAATAATAATCTATGCTCCAGCTTTGCTTTGAACAGTACCTTCCTGTTAGTGTAAAATTATCAGTCTCAAGGCAGTAACTAAACAGTGATGGTTATATATACAAGCTCCATCTGTATGGAACGCACTCAGTTCCAAAACATCCCTGCACAGCTGGGAGGGAGGCACCAAGAGAAATAACATTTTCTTAAAGAAAAAGGAGGAGGAAGAAGAGGCAAATTCCAAGTGACTAACAATAGCACTCCAAACAAATAAATCCATGAAGTACATTAGACATGTTCTTTTAAAAAAGGAGGAAGAGGCAGGGCGCAGTGGCTCACGCCTGTAATCCCAGCACTTTGGGAGCCCAAGGCGGGCGGATCACAAGGTCAGGAGTTTGAGACCAGCCTGGCTAACATGGTGAAACCCTGTCTCTACTAAAAATACAAAAATTAGCCGGGCATGGTGGCGCGTGCCTGTAATCCCAGCTACTCAGGAAACTATGGCAGGAGAATCGCTTGAACCCAGGAAGTGGAGGTTGCAGTGAGCCAAGATCGTGCCACTGCACTCCAGCCTGGGTGACAGAGCGAGACTCAGTCTCAAAAAAAAAAAAAAAAAAAAAAGAAAAGAAAAAGAAAAAAGAAAAGGAGGCAGAGAAATTAAAGTGACTAGTAACAGAGATCCAAGTAAATAAAGCCATTTAGAAGGTACAATGTAAAATGATTAAATGTCACGTCTTCTCAAATCTTTAAAAGTATAGAAAATGGTCATAATATACAGTGAGTAAAATGGGTAGTTTAAAAAACATATAATACGATCCTAATTTTGAATTTAAAATGCGGCTTCTTTATTGTCTACATTAGAAATAGATTGAAGGAATATATAATAAAATGTTAACATCGGTTTTACTGAGTAAAACGAATAATTTTGTTCCTTTCATATTTCTCTGTAAATATCTCTTCTTCAATAGCTGTATTACTTTTATAATCTGAAAAAGTTATTTAAGGAAATTAAAATCACAATGTCAATTGGTGTCAGATATCTAAATATTTTAAATTAAAATAATTTTTATATTCAATATGTGATTAAGGAATGCTGAATATAAATATCTTTCAAAATGCATCATTAAATTCAAATAATGAAGCCAAATGAAATCAGATTCCAATGGACAACGGCATTGAATACAATCCACGCCTCCTTTGCCCCAATCATTGTTCCTCACAAAAGTGTTTCTTACCGAGAAACACTCAAAATGGAAACTGCATTTTCTTAGGCAACTTTGGTTGCCACTAGACTCAGACTAAACTTCATCACTGCAGTTGCTAAGCATACATTTGCAAACATTTATTTTGTTCCTCCAACTTTGACTGCATATGAACCTCAAAAAGAAAGCATATGAAAATGTTGGGCATTCGGCGCGTGACAACTGAGGATTTTAGAGTTCTCCCCAGAGTCAGATACATCAGCTCTCTAGATATTTCAACCTCACTTTAAGGAAAGAGCAAAATCAGATGAAACTAAGACAAAAACTATTGAAGACAGGCTGCAGTTCAGATGGAGGGGGAGAAAAAAATCATCTTCCAGACTTCAGTCTATCGCATTTGTAACAGAGAGTTTTCCTTGATCCAGCCAAGCTTCCGTCCCTGCACACTTGTGAAGAAAGCCCCCCCTGCGACCCCTTCTCACCTCGGTGGACCTCTCTGGCTGCTCCCAGAGGGAAGGAGCGTTTGTTCCTGCATCCTTTCTTTGGGGACACTCACATTAGCACCTACCTCTGCTCCACTCAGGCTTAAGCACATCGTCTGCCTTCAGCTGATGCAGTGACCTCAGTCAGGTAAAAGAAACAGCCTTTGCTAGTCTGTGCAGCGCCTTCCGTAGAAATATTGCATGAGTCAGCTTTTATCTCCCAAACCCAACACACAAAGGCTTTACAAAAACCTGATTTGCAACTTTCTCACTGCCTTTTTCCCCCTAGTGTGCAGACCACAGACTTCAGCATCACTAAGAGCCTTAAATGAAACATGACATCATTCAATTGAGAAACAGGACAATAGACACCACTGTGGGTAACTCGAAAATGCACACTTCACTGAGCAACACCCTACCACTTCCATTCTTTTGTGAACATCAAATACAACCCACACTCGCCCAAAGCTGCTGGGTTTCACCTTCCTGGCTCTGGCCACAGTTCTCATTAAACTCCATAAAATAAGCAAGATCTTTGGAGCTCTGAAATTTTTAAGTTCACTTCCTGAATCATGGGCTTGTTTCAAAGTAAAGGGACACATCTTTTCACTTTCAAAGTAAACGGACACATCTTTAAACTGAAGTTTTAAAATGCAGGTTGGGGTGGGGGTGGGGTGTGAATAACAGCCAGTGGAAGGCAGTTTGGATAATTAGTTTCTGTTAACAAGACACTTGATAGAATTTTAGGTGAACAAAGTTTAAGGAGAAAACATTTAAGGCTGACATTTAAAAAACATTTAAAAAGCGTATCTGAAGACAAATACCTAAAATTGGTATGTACATGCATTTCTTTGGAGAACAGTTAAGTTCTGTGATTATATATTCATAAATACTAAGTAGTAAAGACAGAATGATCTAGTATTCATACAATACTTTAGTAAGTGAGACCTTCCAATTATTTTGGGTTTTTGATTTCTCTAAGACCACCAGTCCTTCTTAAAATGCTATATCTATTTTTATAGAAAGATTCAGAAGGCGTATATTTGACAAAGATCTTGAGTTCTTTAAACGAAGGTCTCCAGAAGCACAAAAATGCTATTGAAAACTGATACCACTGCACTGTGGAACTCAAATTCAAAATATGGATTATGTCTTTGCATAGACATCTAAAACTGAACTATTTCAAAGGATGAAAACCCTTTAAATAGAAGTTCCATTTAAAGCATTCATTTGTGGTTATGGAAAACACCACTAGCAGATCATTCTTAACATAGCTATTTCTGTCATGCCTATTAAGTGATTTTAAACTAACAACATAATAGGATAATTTGTTTTAATGCTGATTTCCTTTCAAATCAGGCTGAACCTACACATGGCTATTTAAATAAGTGATTTTTAAAGGAAATAGTTCAGAAGACAACTTGTTGGAATTTCTCACAAAATTCACCAGTTTGATGGAAATCAGTAAATCCAGCATGCTGAGAAGGCAGTTTGAGAGGCAGGGTCCTCCCTGGGCTGTGGAGACTCTTCATCCTCTATTCTGGCCTCCACAGCAACCCCTGTGGCTTCCCACATCATGTCTGTGTCTCCCATACCAGTGCCTAAGCTGGGCTCTTCCCTCCTGCTCAACGAAGAGCCAGCTCACATCAAGCTCCCGTTTGATCTGCTACAACCACTCCAACCCACAGCTCTTTCCATTACTTTAACAGCTGTTTATTACACTTAGAGTAAGGATCATGTGGTCTCATATTTAATCGTTTTCTAAGTGTCTCACTCCTACCCTGCATGGTAGCTGTTGGGGGCAGGGAACCTTCCTATACCATAGATTTGATATTCTCGAGGCAGACACAAAGCTCTAAACTCTTAGATGGGATAAAATACACAGAGGTTCTAGGCTTCCTAATGACTCATCCATCGTGCACAGCCTCAGATCACAACACAGCTACTTTTAACTTCCAATAAAATTACATTGTACTTGGATTTTTTTTTTTGCTTTTTGCCAAGAAACATGTTTCTAAAGTGCTATTTCTGAGAGATTCCATGTATGTTAAACGTAAACAAAGACAGCAAAGTTGCTGTGTGTGTGGATGGTGGGCAGTTTGCTAAGCTTACCCACCAGAAAAGTGACAGTCCTGAAGGACAGCTTTGAAGTGACAGCGGGGGCCATATTGGGTCCTATGGGACAGTCATTTATTAGTTCATCCGCGGTTTCTGCTTTAGCAAAATCATCAACTTGTGTAAGTAAAGACCTCTCCTATAACTTGCAAATAAGTGAAAGCACCTAAACTGCATCTACAAATATCAAAGATTTAAAGTATGTTGAATTTCATTTTTTAAATATTAAGCTTTTTCAGAGCAGGGAATACACACACACACAAACACATTTTTTTTTTTTTGCCTTTATATTGATCCTAGTACCAAGTATTTGCTTGAATAAATTAACCAATGGATAGCGCATGAGGCCTGGGGAGGGATAATACATTCACATACTAGCAGGAAGGAAAAGAAAAGGGAAGAAAGGCCAGGCGCGGTGGCTTACGCCTATAATCCCAGCACTTTGGGAAGCCAAGGCAGGTGGATCACGAGGTCAGAAGTTCGAGACTAGCCTGACCAACATGATGAAACCTCGTCTCTACTAAAAACACAAAAATTAGCCAGACGTGGTGGTGCATGCCTATAATCCCAGCTACTCGGGAGGCTGAGGCAGGAGAATCACTTGAACCAGGGAGGTGGAGGTTGTAGTGAGCCGAGATCGTGCCTCTGCACTCCAGTCTGGGTGACAGAGTGACACTCTGTCTCAAAAAAAAAAAAAAAAAAGTAAAGGGAAGAAACACCTCCATTTATTGAGCAATGGTCCAGGTTCTTTCACACCTGAGAGCAGAGGCGCCTTCTACACTTCAGTATTTTCTTAAGACCCTGGTTTCTCCCCATTTAGCTCTGCAGTGGTTCTGCGTTCCAGTGCTCCCCACCACATATTCCACATGCTGGACACACTGAACCGTTAACATTTCTTGGAGGTGCGCTGCTGGTTTGCCACCAGGCTTTTGTTCATGCAGGGAAAATGAACAATCTTAAGACACACAAAAGGCACAGATGCTGGTATCCTTGCCACTTTTTGCTGTATAATTTATTTGCCCATACTAACACTGGGTGAAAAGATTATTTTTGCTCAGCAACATTTAATTTTTTATCTAATTAATTTATTTTTTTGAGACAGAATCTCGCTCTGTCACCCAGCCTGGATGCAGTGTCACTATCTCGGCCTACTGCAACCTCTGCCTCCCAGGTTCAAGCGATCCTGCCACCTCAGCCTCCTGAGTAGCTGGGACTACAGGTGTGCACCACCACACCCAGCTAATTTTTTTGTATTTTTAGTACAGACAGGGTTTCCCCATATTGTCGAGGCGGGTCTCCAACTCCTGATCTCAGGTGATCTGCCCTCCTCGGCCTCCCAAAGTGCTGGGATTACAGGTGTGAGCCACTGTGCCTAGCCCAAAATGTCTTTTTAAATGATAGAGTGGCCACAGATAAAATGCACACGCGTGCCTTGTTAGGTGATAAAGATACCCTTGCTGGAAAGCAGCTTTGTTTACTCCCTGCAAGCACGGGTTACACAACCAGGAAGTTCGCATTCCATTCCCAGTGTCCCCACCTGGAGTGGGGAATCAAGGCGCAGAAGAGCAGCACCCACAGGACGTAACTATAGCAACCAGAACACAAACCAGCCAGCAAGGAGGTGCAGGTGGCCTTCTGGCCTAATTGAAGGAAGACCAGAAAGTCCCTGCCACTTAAAAAAATCCCTTCCCAGGCCGGGCGTGGTGGGTCATGTCTGTAATTCCAGCACTTTGGGAGGCTGAGATGGAAGGAAGGATCACTTGAGGCCAGAAGTTCGAGACCAGAGTGAGCAACTTAACGAGACTCCATCTCTACAAAAAAGACAAAATTTAGGCCAGGTGTGGTGGCTCATGCCTGTAATCCCAGCACTTTGGGAGGCTGAGGTGGGCGGATTACTTGAGGTCAGAAGTTCAAGACCAGCCTACCCAACATGGTAAAACTCAGAATCTACTAAAAAAAAAAAAATACAAAAATTAGCCAGGCGTGGTGGCACATGTCTGTAGTTCCAGCTATTTGGGAGGCTGAGGCAGGGGAATCATTTGAACCTGGAAGGCAGAGGCTGCAGTGAGCCAAAACTGCACCACTGCACTCCAGCCTGGGCAACAGAGTAAGAGTCTGTCTTAAAAACATAAATCAATAAATGAATACAAAACTTAGCTGGGCAGGGTGGTGTATGTCCATAGTACTAGTTACTTGGGAGGCTGAGGTCGGAGCATGGCTTGAGCCCAGGAGTTTGAGACTGCAGTGAGCTAGGATCGCACCACCGCACTCCAGCCTGGGTGACAGAGCAAGAGCCTGTCTCAAACAAAAACAAAAAAATCCCTTCCCAGAAGTCTGCCATAGGGCCTGGAATTCCAAATCTTTTTGGTTTAAGGTAAAAGTTGTCAGTTAAAACCCTGATCTCCTCTGGGAAGGGCGAAGGAGCCACTGCCACAGTAGTGTGAATTAGCTTCACCATCCTTCCAAGGAACTATCCAGGTTTTCTGGGAATGAGACCACAATGGGGCTGTCTAGGAGGGCTGGGGTGGGGATGAGGGCAGGAAGCACAGACAACACACACATCTAGGGACTCAGCAAGGCCTGAGCTAGTTGAGGCACCTTGCTGAACTGTGCAGCCAGGCAACAGCTCAAAAAGCTGGGCAAGGAAGAAGGAAAGGGCGGCCCAGAGACAGGAAGACGGATGGGCAAAGGCATGCAGACATTTTTGGGTTCAAGGAAATATTTTGCTTCATATAATCAACATTGGATAAGGCAGGTTTAGAAAATAATCTTAGACTTTCATATGCAAAGGTGCTAGAAGTGAGAAGGGGTATTTGAAAACACAAATAGTATTTTACACAAGGAGCGTAACAATTTAAACCCTGGAGGAGGTGTGGCCTACTTATCTTGTAATTTAAGATCTTGCCATTGTGGAACATTTTTCATGGAAAATGGCAAAACCAACCATTTTTGGAAGCACAGGCCATTGACAAAAGACTCTTAATGTATTTTTAGTCTATTAGAAGTTTTTTCTTTGAAAGAACAAGGCATGCGGTCACATTTTCTTTTCTTTTTTTTTTTTTTTGAGACGGAGTCTCGCTCTGTCGCCCAGGCTGGAGTGCAGTGGCGCGATCTCGGCTCACTGCAAGCTCCGCCTCCCGGGTTCACGCCATTCTCCTGCCTCAGCCTCCCGAGTAGCTGGGACTACAGGCGCCCGCCACCACGCCCGGCTAATTTTTTGTATTTTTAGTAGAGACGGGGTTTCACCGTGTTAGCCAGGATGGTCTCGATCTCCTGACCTCGTGATCCGCCCGCCTCTGCCTCCCAAAGTGCTGGGATTACAGGCGTGAGCCACCGCGCCCGGCCGCGGCCACATTTTCTATGAGCACATGACAGCATAAATGTGAGGGGCCAGGCATGGTGGCTCACGCCTGTAATCCCAGCACTTTGGGAGGCTGAGCAGGTGGATCACCTGAGGTCAGGAGTTCGAGACCAGCCTACATGGCAAAACCCTGTCTCTCCTAAAAATACAAAACAATTAGCTGGGCGTGGTGGCGCATGCCTGTAATCCCAGTTACTCGGGAGACTGAGGCAGGAGAATCACTTGAACTCAGGCGGCAGAAGTTGCAGTGAGCCGAGATCATGCCACTGCACTCCAGCCTGGGCCACAGAGCAAGATTCCGTCTCAAAAAAAAAAAAAAAGAAAAAGAAAAAAAATAGTGATGAACGTTAAAGTCAATTGCACGCCAAAAGGTGTCACACTTCCGCACTGAAGTCCCTCAGAAGAACACGCTGACCTTCCTCCTGTAAATAAGAGCTAACGTACTAACACCATTCTGCATTGCAGCTGCTGTGATTTATTAAAAATCTATACACATTCTTCCAGACTGTCTACTCTAAACCCGGAAAATATCACCAACTACAAATTCCACCTTGCTATTGTTATACAAACCAAATTACATACTTGTTCAAACAAACAAAAAAGCTAACTTCTTTTTTTAAAAAAAATTATTTCTAAAGGCCTTTTTTCAAAGTGAAATAATTTTAGTGGCAAGTGAGTTTGTTTTCACAAATTTAAAAAATACCTGTCAGTAGGCCAGGCATGGTGGCTCATGCCTGTAATTCTACCACTTTGGGAGGCTGAGGTGGGTGGATCATTTGGGGCCAGGAGTTCGAGACCAGCCTGGCCAACAGTCTCTACTAAAAACACAAAAAATTAGCTGGGCAATGGTGGTGCACGCCTGTAGTCCCAGCTACTTGGGAGGCTGAGGCACGAGAATCACTTGAACCTGGGAGGTGGAGGTTGCAGTGAGCTGAGATGGCACCACTGCACTCCAGCCTGGGCGACAGAGTGAGACTGTCTCAAAAAAAAAGAAAAAAATTCTGTCAGCAAAAGACATAGGTCTAAAGCAGACAAAAGCACTCAAGTATAGAAGAAATTAAATGAAGCCATTTTTCGTTAGTCCTGGGGTACTGAATCTAACAATAGAAACCAAACTAGAAATACTAAATAGTTACCAGGACTTCAGTCATCCAACTGAAA
This sequence comes from Homo sapiens, assembly GCF_000001405.40. Classification (NCBI taxonomy): domain Eukaryota; kingdom Metazoa; phylum Chordata; class Mammalia; order Primates; family Hominidae; genus Homo; species Homo sapiens. Next base: position 150,714,649 of record NC_000006.12, on the reverse strand, counting down.
ATGTAGTTTCTCAGCCCCTACTGAACTAAATGTCAGTATTGAGGCATGGTCCTAAGAATTTTAGAAAACAAATGAACAAACAAAGCCTATTATTCACCACACTGTTGTGCATGGCCTGCCTTTCCCTTGCAACCAAGTTATGATTTGACATCTCCATCGTATACCTTTCAACAGTCGGCCATGACATGAACTGAGATGGCCTTGAAGGGCACACGTTCCAGACTCTAAAATCTTGCTGTTTCAAGCATTCCTCCCTGGGTTCATTTTTCTGCTTCTGTGACAATCATTAGCTCAATTTGTCACTCCTTTCTTTGATTAGGATACTTGGTTTTTATTTCCCAGAGACAATACAGTCAAGTCTTAGTTATTTTTGAACAATTTTTAGATATCAAGCAAGCAAATATGTTGCAAAAAGCCTCTTGCTTTCGATAATCTATCAGTCCCATCTCTAAGGACACCATCGGAGGACTGGCTGTGCTCAGCACAATGAACTAATTATCCCTGGAAGAATGCAGTAGGCTTCCAGACACATTTTTCTCCAGGAGATAACACACATCTAATCCATTCATAAGTAAAGGCATTCAACACAATCTATACTTTTGAAACACTCTAAAAAATGTACTGGAAGAAAAGGCTTGGGAGCTCTGTTGAAATCTTACAGCAGTACGTATTTTCCAAAATACCAATTAAAACAAGATTCTCTTATAGTTTCAGAGTAACAGCCATTGAGACTTAAATCACCTTTACGGAGGCTTGCAAAGGAATTTCTCATCCTGGCAGAGGAGAGAGGCAAACTCCAGTTGCTAGCCTTTCCTCCTCTTTTCTGGACACAAACCCACAGCTGCAATGGAATGAAGGAGAGGGCTCAGCTCCACCTTGCCAACTGCCCCCCACCCCTTCCCATAGACCCAGGGGTAGTAGGTTGAGAGACAATTCTCAAGAGCAGCAGAGGAGGGAGTGTAGCTTGCAGGGGAGACACAGAGAAGCTTCTGGGAGCAAACAGGAATCAATCTCCGAACTGGCTCAAACTCCCACACCTGACCCTCAGCAATTACCATCCTTGGGGTCATCACAATCAGTCTTCTTCCCCCACTCCTAAGGCTACGTTCAACATCATAAGGTTGACAGCTTAACCTCTAAGAAGTAAGACCTGTGAGCAAATGATTTATCTCAGGGGAGCCCATATGCTTTCTAGAACTGACGTGGGTGGTTTGCACTGATATTCACTTGGTCTCCTGTACCAAGTCATGGGAACAATCCCATTGACGGAGATATTTATAAAGGCCAAATATAGATTCCACCCCAGGAAATCAGAACTCACTTCTCTCTAAATGAGTTGAGATGACTTACTACTTTCCAGGATTTTTTTTTTCAACTAAAGAAGGCAATGAAGGCCACTGACCTTAGTATATCAGTATTACAATGGCCTTAAATACCCCTCTGTTGCCACAAAGTTCTGAACTTCGAGGCACAGAGCAACATCCTGCTGATCTTTCTTCCTTCACAAAACCTTCTCTCCACTTGAACTGGCAATCACCTCTTACTCGCCCTCATGTACCAGGACCTACTGATCAGGCCCCATGCTGGGCGCAGTGAATGGACATGGGCTTTAAGTTTCAAACAAAAAATGACAAGTATGATGAGTGCTGTGAAGCAGCGTGGGACGTTGCCGATGTAAACTACCAACAATTGTGTACATAAGCATTTGCACTATTTTCCTAAATTCTCTTTCCCCTTAGTTTCAAACTGTCCTTCAATTAAAATTAAAAGTGGATAGCAACTTTATGTTGACAGTAAAATCAAGCTACATTAGGCTGCCTTCACTTATGGTTCACTTTCTAATCTTAGAGAATAAGCCCAGTCGGACTCATCTTTCATCTTATGTTTAATTACTTGGTATCCAAGCTGACAGCCAAACTTGCTGAAAGTTTTTGAGAGTCTAAACACTTGCCTAATTCCCAGTTCCCACAGAGGTACATGAAGTAACTTGTTTATGTTAACAGAACAAAGGAAAGGAAAGAGAGCTCTGTTCCACTGCAGGTTGAATGGGAATTAGGTCAAGAAACAAGTGTAACCAAACTTATTTCTGTTTATTCTGAATAAACATTACTGAATCCTTTACAAGTAAATGAAAGAAGAGAAAAAGGAAGAGGAAGAAGCTAAAATATGAAGACTGGTGGTTTGATCTCTACATTTTCTTTAATGAATATGTATTATTTGTGTGGTTAAAATATAAGAAGAACAGAATGAATTTACATGGCAGGTCTTGTTCCTGCCACACCCCCAGCCCAATCTTTCCCAGTCTTGCTTTGTCTAAAGGTCTGCACACTCCGCTCCCTGCCTGGCTGCCTTCCAGGTAGGTTTGGCTAGAGGCATCAATAGTTTGAAGCAGAAAGAGAGGGAAATAGGGGCATTTCCTCCACTCCCTCATTGATTTGGGGCAGCTCCTCCATGGTTCCAGCCTTTCTTGCGCTCCCTTAACTCTATGTTGTCCCCGATCCCTCAGGGATCCCTATAGATTGTCCCAAAAGCAGTGGCTAAGGCTTCCCACTGTTGTCGTCTCTCTTTGCTTCACATACACCCTTCGTTTGAACCAGCTGAGCTAATTCAGTTTCTTGCCAGGTCCCCGGCTGATGCAATGTCACACTAACTCCAGAATCATTGGTCTAAAATGGTGATAGCAGTTTGACTTCATATGCAGTCAGAATACTGGCCTGAGTTTTTTACACGGTGATACAATGCCAAATTGTAGCCCCGTTTTGACTTATGGCCTGCTTGATCCAGGTCAATGAAATAAACACTTAATTAGAGCCTATCTTATACCAGAAAAATATTGTGAATTTGATATCTGCTGATATATTCAATTACTTAATATTTATTGAGCAGCTACTATGTTCCAGGCACTGTCTTGGGCACTAAAGACACAAGAGTGAACAAAACAGATAAACACCCCTGCCTTTATGACACTTATTTTCTAGGGGGAGCTGCATGGACTAAAAATAATCCTATGATAACAGCATGTCAACATTGCAAAGATACTCTGGGGCTTTCTAATCCAGTGTTTCAATTAACACTTACAACATCTCACCAAGTGTGTCCAGTGTCTGCTTAGATACTGTTAGTTACCAGACATCCCATCCCTGCACAAATCATCGATCATACCCTGGAGTTCTTTAAAGACCCCTTTAGGAAAATACAAGAGAAATCACACCTCACCTCCATTTTGTAGTTCCTTAATTATTTGAGCTGTCCTATCAGTTTCCCATATTTATTTGCATCTTTGTTCAACTACTGATGGAATACCTAACTGAAGGGATTCCTGGAGGCAGGGTTCAGTGATGGGGAGCGGTGCAGGGAGGTCAAAGGGGAGAGCTGCCCCTTGTGGCTGTGGGGCGCATAGGGTAGAGCGGACTTAACACTGTCACCACCCTATGATCACCTTCTCCTTGTATGTCAAGAACATACTTTCCTACTGCTTCCACCAAAGTGGCTTCAGAATTTTAAGTCCTCATGCCAACTTACTATTAAAAAACGTTAAAAAGACATCATTTTTGGAGAACATCCTCTGGGAAATAAATATTCTCCCCACTCCTCCCAAGTCAGACTTTCAGGTACATCAACATCGCTGCGTCCTCAAAAGGCACAGAGTTTGGCCAGGCAGACACACTGAAGGATCATCTGAACAGGTGACTGATGACTGTGTGACGTGCACACTGGGCTGGGAAGGCACAGGCACTATGGAAACGTGTAAAGGGGACCAGGCCTAGTTTGGGGTGGTCTGGGAAGGTTTCCCTGAGGGAGGGATGTGTGGACTGACATCTGAAGGTTGAGAAGAGGTCAACCAGGGGAAACCAGCCAAAGAGAAAAGACCATCCAGGCTGCTTTACTTCCCACTGGCATAGACTGCTGGTGTACCTGGCATTATATCCGCAGAGAACACCCAACCTAGATTTTTTTTTTCTGGGCAATCTTGTTTGCAAATATATTGTTACATACCACAATTAATAACTATGTTTACTGCAACAACGCCCCTTTATTAAAGTAGGTACTACTTTCCTTCTCCACTCTGGGGTAATGCCGTCCCCTCACCTGCATGTATCAGTCTTCTCTGGTCTCACCTTTTCTTTCTCCTCCAGACAGTGGGCAGAGCTGCTTGGGCGGTAACCATGACTCTGTTCCTGCCTCATCGCTTGGACTGGGTCCTTAAAAGGTGTGGTTATAGTAAATCACAATGTAAACTTCCCTGCCCGGCATTTCCATCTGGGTATTATCAGATTAAAATGAACATCAAAGGAGCCCTAAAAGAAGGGGTCACAAAAGGACAGACTGACGGCTGGGGGCAGTGGTCAGGCCACTGTTTGTCTGGCTACTTCCAGGGGCCTTAAGAACTGACCATGTGCATTTGAGCCTTGAGTATTTCCCAGGATCAGCTGGATACATTTCCTGGGGGACCCAAAACCAGGGACAACTGGCTGGTTGCCAGTATGGATCAGACATAAGATATCTGTTTAAGAGTCTCTACAAATTAGGGCATAACAAAATGGTAAACCTAACGAATTATGCTGCTCTAAGAGTTTTGAGGAATTATGTTTTCATAATGACTATTGGTTATCAGCCTAGTAATTTAATAATAAAAACCATCCCCACCAGCCTGGGCAACAGAGTGAGACCCCATCTCTACAAAAAAATAAAAAAAATTAGCTGGGTGTAGTGGCATGTGCCTGTGGTCCCAGCTACATGGGAGGCTGAGGTGGGAGGATCACTTGAACCCAAGAGGTTGAGGCTGCAGTGAGCTGTGTTGTACCACTGGAGTCCAGCCTGGGCAAAAGAACAAAACTGTCTCAAAAACAAACAAACAAACAAACGAAAACACCATCCCCAAAGCCAAATTAATTTTGTTCAATCTAAACCATCACCTACGGCTCATGAAATGATGTGTGGAAAGGACACAAGATCTGAAGTTGAGGTGGGTAGAATCTCAGCTCTCCCAGACAATTTTATCTTCTTGGACAAGGCACTAACCTCTCTGTGATTCAAAATCCTTCTGGATTAGTAAAATGAGAACTCTGGAGTCTCTGACATTTAAGAAGACTTTCCAAATCTAAAAATCTAAGGTTCCATGATTTGGGGTGAGGGTCCCACCAATCCACTTTTTAACTCCATAGACTCTCTTGAGGCTCTCAAATAACTTTAGAATTGTAAAACATGGTCCCACGATTATGGTCAGATAACCACAGGTTGATGCAAAACCAGGAGCATGTGGCCTTTGTGCAGGAAAATGCTTTTTATTCCCTGTAATTCCGTTTTTGTTTTTTGAGATGGAGTCTCGCTCTGTCGCCCAGGCTGGAGTGCAGTGGCGCAATCTCGGCTCACTGAAACCTCCACCTCCTGGGTTCAAGTGATTCTCCTGCCTCAGCCTCCTTAAGTAGCTGGGAACTACAGGCTCCCACCACCATGCCCGGCTAATGTTTTGTATTTTTAGTAGAGACAGAGTTTCACCGTGTTAGCCAGGATGATCTCGATCTCCTGACCTTGTGTTCCGTCCGCCTCGGCTTCCCAAAGTGTTGGGATTACAGGCATGAGCCACCGCGCCCAGCCCTGTAATTCCTTCTGTGGCAGAATTTGTGAAAGATGTCTTAACTATTATCAATAGAAAACTCCCTGCAAAATTTTTCGACGACATCATCTGACAGTAAGCCAATGTCTAGCATCCAGGTCATGCTTTTTACCTGTTCACTGACATCATCTCCACTTTCTGCAAAATTGCATTCTGGAAACCAGGTTATAAAGTAGATTATGAAACAGCTAATTTTACCACAGGGGTATTGTCATCATTTGTGGTTGCATCCCAAATAAGCACCTGCCATAAGATATCCCTGACATAGCAGTAGCACAGCAGCTGAGCTAACTGTACACCTGCAAAAATTATGCTCCTATGATATATAGATAATATAAAGTACAGTTAGTTCTGAATTATTCAAGGAACTCTTATACCTTAAGTTTATATACAATTATGATTATTAGAACACATTCACTGCAGTGAGATGTCCTGGATGAGCCTCCATAGAAATTGGGTGAGTGAGACTAGAAGGGTCTTTGTAGCTATCCCCTAACCCATTTACTTACTTTTATGGAATGACTGACTGATTTACAAGGGGCCTAAGGGGGGATCCTAGAAAAAGTATTCTAACAATATATAAAACTAGGATTCAGATATTTTCAGGCACATATCACAGATTCTATGTGGGGAATGAAGGTGGGGCTGGGGCTGAGATCTGATGGCAACAGAAGCCTTGGTGACCCTGGGAGAGAGAAGGGGAAGGAAGTCTGGTAGGACAAGTAGAATAAGCAGAAGGCCATTCTTCTGGTGAGAGGAAGTTCTGATTTAGTATGTGGCAAGTACTCAGGCTGGCCTCACCTGGCCATTTGGACAGCCTGAGAATGACCTGAAAAAGAGACTGGGTGGCCGAAAAACCAAAACCAAGAGATGTAATATGCCAGGCAACTTGGCTGTGAGATCCTTCTGTCTAACAGCAGGAAACACAAGAGGAGAGGAATCCTTTTCCCATAAGGAAAAGAACAGGGATTTCTTAGCAGCCTGGGGGTAGAGATTTGGGGGGCCCACTAGGAGAATTCCTACAGGGAGCCTGGGAATGCTGAATATCCGGGGCAGGGGTCCCTGGAAGGATCAGTACAGTGTGGGTGGAAGGGCAGTGACGGGTCAGGCAGAGGAAAGGGGAGCCAGGAGGTGCTGCCTGGGAGGTCCTGTCTTTATGTCTGTGTGAAGTGACAGCTGAGCTGGCCAAGTCTGATCTTTTAAAGTGACTTTACCTGTACCCACAGGGCTGGTGAGGCTTGACGGAGCTGAGGCTGATTAGACAGAGTGTGACCTGTGGACCTGTTGTTTGGTCAACACAGGGTTTAATTTCTTTGTATTGATGACCCAAGTTTAAACAATCAGGATACTCTGCATTAAAAAAACAGATTTTTGGGGGGCTTGGGGTTGGGGTGCCAAAAAATTAAAAAGGGATCAACATGAGTTAACACTAGTCTAATGCTCCTGCACAGCAGCAGTGGGTAGAGCTAAGCTTGCTCACGTCACCCTGGCTGTGCACTTCCCAGTGTGCCACAGTCCTCACCATCCCCTTTCATATTACACCTGTCCTCCGCCACTCCTTTATATGATCTGCCTGGCCCTTGAGGTGCATGACTCTGGATTATACACGTGGGCACATCCGGACACTGTACTGTATATTAGGTTACTAGTCCTAGAAATTACCAGACTATATGATCTGATAAGAACAATTTATTCCTCCTATGTGTAAGCTACATGAAAATGAAACACAGGCCTGGCATGGTGGCTCACACCTGTAATCCCAGCACTTTGGGAGGCTGAGGTAGGTGGATCATCTGAGGTCAGGAGTTCAAGACCAGCCTGGCCAACATGGCAAAACCCGTCTCTACTAAAAATATAAAAATTAGCCAGGCATGGTGGCGCGCACCTGTAATCCCAGCTACTCGGGAGGTTGAGGCAGGAGAATCGCTTGAACCTGGGAGGCAGAGGTTGCAGGTAGCCGAGATTGTGCCACTGCACTCCAGCCCTGGGTGACAGAGCAAGACTCCATCTTAAAAAAAAAAAAAAAAAAAAAAAGAAAAAGAAAAAGAAAAGAAAAGAAAAAAAGAAAATGAAACATATGCTAGAAGACCAATCTTCCCATCATGGAAAAATTTGGTGAGGGGAGGGAAGAAGGTTTACAGTGGAGGGGTGGGGAAAAATTCATCACGGATCAGGAAATGTAAATTGTCTTTGCCATTTATCCTAATTAGCTCTTATTTTCATTTTTTTGGTCTCTTTATATTCAAAGTATCTTATCCTATCAGTTCTTTTGAAAACCTCCGTTTAAATAAAACATTAGAATTTGGTCAGGGTTTCTATGAAGGAATTAAGATAGAAGAAGCAATTAATTCTGCCAAACCAAACAGATAACTGGTGTCATAGTTCCTGTTTTGTTTTTGTTTTTGATTTTTTTTTTTTTGAGACAGAGTCTTGCTCTGTTGCCCTGGCTGGAGCAAAGTGGCATGATTACAGCTTACTGCAGCCTCAACCTCCCAGGCTCAGGTGATCCTCCTGCCTAAGCCTTCTGGGTAGTTGGGACCACAGGTGTGCACCACCATGCCTGGCTAATTTTTTAAATTATATGTGGAGATGGGGTTTCCCTATGTTGCCCAGCTGGTCTCAAACACCTGGGCTCAAGTGATCCTCCCACCTTGGCCTCCCAAATTGCTGGGATTACAGGCATAAGCCACCGCACCATGCCTGGCATAGTTTTTGAAATTGACAACTTGATGGAACATCAAGACAAACCACAGCCCCCAAAGAATGACATACTGAGCTCGCTGGCGAGACTCAGGGGTTGCTAACATTTACCCACCCTTATGGAAGTACTGAAGTGAGGATTTGTTTACAAGCTCTTCTGAAAAATAAGACAAGATCTACTATAAATGCCAACATTTACGTATCACATCCTAATCTCATAAAACACTTGTTTTGTTGTACCTTTTTAGAAAATAATAGGACAGGAGTGAAGACTTAGAATTGGAGATTCTAGTCCCATCAAAATAAACAATGACTATAAAACTGGATTTACGGGCAAGGAAAAAAGAGGAATAACTTGGAAGAGCATTTGTGCATTTTGACATTGATCATTTAAGACGGCACCTAGAGGCATTAGTTCATCAGCAGCATTTTTCCTAGAAAGGGGAAGCCCTACCCTGCATGCCATCCCAGTGTTTATTTCTTTCTGAACCCCAGAGATAAAACTTTTAACACACCGAGGCCTCCAAGAGGATTTGTAGACATACCCAAGTCTTTCTGAAGAAGAATCGCCTCTGATACGTGATATCTTCCCTCAGGAGCATAAGGAGGAGGGAGTGGGTGAGCGGGATAGAAAAACAAAACCAACCATTTTCCCCTAATCCTCATGAGGAAGAAAAAGCAGAAGCTAAAAGCTTCCCCCAGGGAAAAAGCTACTCCAGACTGGAGGTGGATTGAGCAAGTCTAGTAACATGCTTAGTTTGCAAGGTCACGTGCTTGTTTCCAGCACACCTCCTGGCAGGTGGGGCGACTGGGCTCAGGGGGCCCTGTGCGTGGGCAGTGGTGGCTGGAGAGGGGCAAGGGTTGAGTGGGACAGGCGGTCCCCGCCGCTTTCCATGTTTCTCTCTGGAAACCCCATGACAAAGACAGTGTCAGAGAACAGGGGATTCTTGTGCTTTTCTGCATGGATAAATCCCATCCCAGGATTTTATTTTTTAAAAGTTTCCCTGAAGATGAGATAAACCATTTACAGCTTATAAAAATGAGTGTTCCGATGGCATATCTTTGAAATATGCTTTACATTTCATTCTTCTGCAGACACTTAGAGATTTTAATCTATTTAGACATTTTAATACATCAATTATCATAATGGTATTGTTAACCAAAAAACTGGTGATTGTTAGTACACACCCTAAACCATTATTTCTCCAGGTGTTACCTAACACCTCCTAAATTACTGCTATGGACTGAATTTTGTCCCCCCGCCCAAATACATATGTTGATGTTGAAGCCCTAACCCCCAAAGTGACTGTATTTGGAGACGAGCCCTTTAAGGAGGTGGAATTAAATGAGGTCATAAGGGTGGGGCTCTAGTCCAACAGGACTGGTGTCCCTATAGGAAGAGAAGGAAATACGAGAGATCTTGCTCTCTCTCTATGCAAAAGCCTATGTGAGAATACAGCCAGAAGGCAGCCGTCTGTAAGCCAGGAAGAAAGGCCTCACTGGACACCAACCCCACTAGCACCTTGATCTTGGACTTACAACCACCAGGACTATGAGAAAATAAATGTCTGTCATTTAAGCCACCAGTCTGTGTTATTGTTATGGCAGTCCAAGCTGGCTAACAATCATCATCAGCAAGATTTTCAACAAGCAACCAGATTGCTGGGCCCTGCCCAAGAGCACAACATCAGAATTTTCAGGGACAGGGCCCAGGAATGGGCAAAGGTACCTGAACTCTTTGGGTGATGTAAGGTTGAGAACCAGTGCTCCACGGAGAGCTCAAGGCTGCCTGCAGCCCCTTACTCCACCTGCCTCAGCCTTCCCCTAGTCCATCATCCCAATGAAAAACGCTTTGATGGGGTCAAGGATGACAGACTTCAAGGATTAGACTCTCCAAAGGAGAAATAAAGGATTGTGAATAGAACTAGGCAGGAATCATGCTGGGGTCCAGGGTGAGGTGTGTTATAGGAAAAGCCCCTTTTGTCTCTGAGTTCAGAGGGGGCTTGTTCAGAAGGGACAAGAGGGGCCCTTGAGACCTGTGTGAAATGCTGCCAAACTCCATGGGAAGAAGACCAGAGGAAGGTTTATGTCTGAAGCCCAAGGTTAATGAAGAGTGCGTTTATGCTGACTATTCCCTGCCCTCAGAGGACAGCACCAGCAAACATCGCCCCCCTCACTCCAAAGAACCAACTAAGATTCATTCTCAACATGCTAACAGGTCAGTCGGACCATCAACCATTGAGGATACTTTCAACTCCGAAACTCAGCACCGATAAAGTTGTTATTTGCAATTGTTGCACTTTGAATCTTTTTGTAAGTCCTGATCTTCACCAGAGTGAAAGGCTCTACTATGTCAAACTGAAAAGACTTAAAATTAGTTCCATTGTCAGGGATAATAATATATAAACAAATTCAAAGTCACCAAGTACGTTCAACTATGTAAAAATGCCACATGAAATTCTGCAAGTTTTCAAAAATCAAGGTGCTAAACAGCAATCAAACACTATTTTAAAACAGCATATTCACTGGAGGGCAAGACCAGAGTATTTTTTCCTGTGATTCATATGTATTGCCAGGGTAGAGAGACACTGCTGTGACACAAGAATGTTCCATGCTTCCAAATTAAGGTACAATTTAACAGAAAAGCAGAATATATTCTAGACTGATTTTTTTTAATACTGTAGGAAGTAGCTCTTCAAGTAGAAAAAAGTTGTTTTGTTTTTTTTTTTTTTAAGATGGAGTCTTGCTCTGTCGCCCAGGCAAGAGTGCAGTGGCGCAATCTTGGCTCACTGTAACCTCCACTTCCTGGATTCAAGCGATTCTCCTGCCTCAGCCTCACGAGTAGCTAGGATTACAGGCATGTGCCACCACGCCTGGCTAATTTTTGTATTTTTAGTAGAGATGGGGTTTCACCATGTTGGCCAGGCTGGTCTTTAACTCCTGAGCTCAAGCGATCTGCCTGCCTCAGTCTCCCAAAGTGCTGGGATTACAGGCCACCATGCCCAGCCAGACAAGAGCTTTTCTAACGGACTGAATAAAATTATATTTTAAGTATTAAGCAAGTCAGAATCTAAGAACCCTTGATGGGCAATCTGTACATCCTCATCTGCTTTCATTTTGATAAACTTACAAGAAGGAGTTAGGAAGGAGAGAAGTGGGAAGGGATTTCATGATTTTCTTTATTATGAGGCTAAAACCTGGGTCTGACTCCCCTGCCTCCCTGACAGCTTGTATCTCTCCAAGTACCTTGGCCATTTTTTCATCTAAAGGCCTAGGCAGATAAAGGGAGAATGATGGAGATGAAAACACAGGCCTTGCTGAGGTTTTTTGTTTTGTAGGAATAAAATGAGAAGCATTGGTACCACTCAGCTATGCCACTAAAGATGCAGAAGTGCGAGGCTGCTAGCCCACGGGAGGAAGTGGCTGCTTCCTCGTAAGGAATGAACGCAGCAGGTCATCAGCTACAGAGTGGGGGAACTTCAGGGTTCAGAACAGCCCTGAGGCAACAAGGAACAAGTCGGAAGTTGACCCATTATGGAGACTGCCAGGTTCTAGATAGATTTAGAAAGTCTGTTTGTTATTGGTGGTTATCTTCGGGGTTATTATTTCCCCAACAGCTTTTGCTTATGTTTTTTATTTATGACAAAATAAAATATAACTACATGTTAAGGGATTACACTAGGTGATTTAAATAACTGTTAGAAGGGTACAATTTGGGTACTGGATGACATATATATAAGTACACACACACACACACACACACACACACACACACCCCAAAACAAAATGAGAAGTACTGCTGATGGTGAGAGGTTCCCAATGCCCTTTATAACGTGATCCATACATCAGAACTTTTTTTTTTTGAGACGGAGTCTTGCTCTGTCACCCTGGCTGGAGTGCAATGGCATGATCTTGGCTCTCTGCAACCTCTGCCTCTGGGGTTCAAGCGATTCTCCTGCCTCAGCCTCCTGAGTAGCTGGGATTACAGGCATGTGCTACCACACCCAGCTGATTTTTGTATTTTTAGTAGAGACAGGGTTTCACCATGCTGGGCAGGCTGGTCTTGAACTCCTGACCTCGTGATCCGCCTGCCTCAGCCTCCCAAAGTGCTGGGATTATAGGCATGAGCCACTGCGCCCAGCCTACAACATAACTTTAACAACCACTCTGTTGTCCAGTTGTATTTCTGAAGTGGCAAAAGATGTTCATGTCTCATTTGTTGAAAATTTAGTTTTATATTTTAAAAGTATAATCGCTCAACTAGTGAGATACTAAAGGGTGAATTATGGAGTGAGATACAAGTTTCCAATCTTTGACTTGTGACTTACTGTATGATCATAGATTTTAACTTCAGTCGATCTCAGTCTCTTTAAAATCAGGGGAACCGTCTCATTTGACAGAGTTACCTTTTGATTTAAATGACATAATGCTTGGTCAACATTCATCATGGTGCATGCATGGCCCCTAAAAGACACCCATTCATATTAATTTACTTCCTATTATGGATAGACAAGCTTCAAAAGGCTTAAAGAGTCCCAAATACAGGTAAGTTGAAACTAATTTTATTCTTTTTTTTGTTTTTTAAGTTGCAACATGGAAACAGTCACAGGTCTCACATACATCCCCATCACTAGATTTGTATGAACATTCAATGCCTTCCTAACAGTGAGAACACCTGGACACAGGAAGGGGAACAACATACACCGGGGCCACTGTGGGGTGAGGGGAGGGGGGAGGGATAGCATTAGGAGATATACCTAATGTAAATGATGAGTTAATGGGTGCAGCACACCAACATGGCACATGTATACATATGTAACAAACCTGCACATTGTGCACATGTACCCTAGAACTTAAAGTATAATTATATATATATATATATATATATATATATATATATATATATATATATATAAAGAATTACTGCTTATTCTTTACAAATCCAGCTTCCAGGTCATCTACAGATATAACCCAATGTAGGGCCTTCCTATCAATACATTTTTTTTTTTTTTTGAGATAGAGTCTCACTCTGTTACCCAAGCTGGAGCACAGTGGTGTGATCGTGGCTCACTGCAAACTCTGTCTCCTGGGTTCAAGTGATTCTCCTGCTTCAGACTCCCGAGTTGCTGGGATTATTGGCGCCCACCACCACACCTGGCTAATTTTTGTATTTTTAGTAGAGTCAAGGTTTCACCATGTTGGCCACGTGGGTCTCAAACTCCTGACCTCAAGTGATCCACCCACCTCAACCTCCCAAAGTGCTGGGATTATAGGCATAAGCCACTGTGCCCAGCCTAAATATAAAATTTTAACACCAGTGATTTCTTATTTCTTTAGCAAGTATTTAAGAACATTTTTAATATATAACCCAAATATGGGAAATAAAGCTATACAAGCTATAACCCCCATCCTCAAAGTTTCCGAATTGTTTAGAGAGAGAGGGAAGTACCCAAACCCTAACCCTAGCTAATGTGTGAGTACTTTCTAAGTGCCAGGTGCTGTTTTGCCTGTATTAGACTAATTCCTCACAACTCTCTCCTAGGACAGAGGTGCTACCGTCTCCACTTTATGGATGAAGAGCTCAAAGCACAGCAAGCTCATCAGATGGCTTGGATGTGCAATGCTAGGAAGTAGAGGCCCCCGAATTTGAACCCAGGCGGTTAGATTTCAGAGCATAATCACTTTTCAATACTGCCAGATATGTGTGTTTATATCACAGATGTACAGAATTAGAGAATCTCGAATATGTGACTTGGGGGTGAAGGGGGGCCCGAGGTAAATATGTTTAACCAAAATCTTTCCTTTCATAGACTCTGAAGCCTGGAAAGAGGATCACCCCAGGTTCTTTAGCCCTGGGGTTCTCACACCTTGGCTAGCATGGGAGTCCCCCCAGAGGCTTGCTAAGACACAGACTGCTGGGTCCTAGACCCAGGTCTCTGATTTGGTGGGGCTGGAGTGGGGCCTGAGGATTTCTAGCAAGTTCGCAGATGGTTGATGTTACTGGTCCTGGGGACACATTTTGGGAATTAGTGACTTCCTCAGTCTGTGGCTGCTCCAGAATGAGGCTTCTGCATGCCTCACTGTGCATCTTCCAGATCAATGGTAGACACCGCTGCTCTGTAGCAGTAAGGGGCTGAGGGAGGCTGGTCAGCCTGGCAGGGTCTCCTGGCCTCCTTCTCTCCCTGTAGCTGAGACATACAGGAGGCTTCTCTCTGGCAGGTTCACCCCGATTCACTGTAATATTGGGTCCTTCCATATGTCCCTCTCCATCTTCCCCAGCGCAAAACCAATTTGAAGCAATAGGAACCCACTGTCTGCTGAGTAAACATTAGTCTCACTATGAGCTATTTACCAAAACCAGTGATCTAAAATTTGGCTCTATTGATGTTAAACATAGCAGGAGTTAGCAAAAATAGCAGGGGCCATGGATAATTGCCAGTCTTTATCCTCAGAAGGGAAGGACGATCAGACAATTTCAAAGTTTTCTTTTGTTGACATTGTAATTCAAAAGAAATTTAGTTTATTTGTTTAGCTAAGAGGATCCATGGCCTTCATTAAGATCCCTAATAAACTATTTTGAAAGTAGAGACACCACCGAATTATTGTTTAAACTTGCTGTGTTTAAAATGGCTTAATTTTCATGGCCTCGCGGGGTGTTCTGAGGCTTAAGTGATTTAATAGGCCTATGGTATGACTGAGCCAGACACATACTAAGGGCTCATAGAACATCGCTTGTTCTCAATGTCACTGTTCCTAATATTTGGGGGAACCCAGGGCTTGGCCACCTACCTGGGCATATAGGCAGGGCAAAGGGTGTGACCTGAGTAAGTACAGACCTCAGAGTCTAAAATGTCTCTTCCCCATTAGCAAGGTAGTTTGGAGACAATGGCACTCAAGGAGCACTCCCGGAGCATCAACGTCTACAAGACAATATCTGTTGCACGAGGGAAACCTCACAGGACTTAATGCTTGGCAGTCACTTAAGGTTGAATCAGAGTGTCTTTTCTGAATCCCTGCCAGGCACCAGAGACTTCAGGTAAGAGTTCTAGAGAACAGTTACTTTTTGTTGTTTGCACTTTTTATTTTGAAATAAGTATAAATCTATAAGAAACTGCAAAAACAAAACCAAACCAAAAACGTACAAAGGGCCCTCCTGTACCCTTTACTCAGTTTCCCCCGACAATAACATCTTGCATACCTGTAGTATAATAACAGAAACTGACATTGGTCCAGTCCACAGGGTACATTCAGATTTCACCAGTTTTAAGGACAGTTATATTTCGGTCGTGAAGACGTAAAAAGGTAATGTAAAAGCAACAAACAAGATCACCAATTTCATCTCATTTAATGTTACTTTGAAATATGCCTTTGTACCAGCTATGAGAAAACGATACATATTAAGCAAATGCATTGGTATTAATAGAACTCCCTTAAACAAACTTAATTGTTTTTCAGAGATTGAGCTTAACAATTATAATCAAATCAACCTGTTTTTGAATCATTTGCAGATACAAATGCTTATTAGTGAAGACACTTAGCGTCTTTTAAAGAGGTGAACTGGAAATTTAAAATACACAGATTCTAAACCCACCTAACCCTGCCCAGACATACAAACAACCTGCACAACTGTTGGAAAAGAACACACAAGGAGAGCTTTAGAACTTTATGTATCGTCTGGCCTACAGTTGCGTTACAGGAGGTACTTGTGTTTTGTTTCATTTCCCCAAATACTCTTTAGCAGCTCCCGTTACTGTATTGTTATAGTGTAATCAATTTGTTAAAAGTGCCAAAATAGTCTTCCTTGAGCATACTTTTTCATGTACGTGTGTGTGTATATATAGTATTGTATACACACGCAATCAGGTTAGGTAGTCAAACCCTTTATATGCTAACAACTTCCTTAACTAACAAAATTGTCATAACGTGATCAACATTGGTATCTTTCAAAATTGATATAACCTGAGGTACCGCTTGAGCGTCCCTAATCCAAAAGTCCAAAATCCAAAATGCTCCAAAATCCATAATTTTTTGAGCATCTACATGACTCCCAAGTGGGTAACTGCACACATAGGAAACACTACATGTAAGTACTTAACAAAAAGTTTGTTTCATGCACAAATTTAAAATATGTATAAAATTACCTTCAGGCTACATGAATGAGGTATATAGGAAACCTAAATGAATTTCATGGTTAGACTTGGGTCCCATCCCCCAAATATCTCATTATGTAAAGCAAATATTCCCAAATCCAAAAAAATCTGAAACCCAAAACACTTGTGGTCCCAAGCATTTCAACCCATACTTTACAACTGATCTACTTGTTTGATGCATTAGCCAACATTTGGTCTTTATCCATAACATTCTTTAAAAACAAACAAAAAAAAACCCAACAACAAAAAAAAAAAAACACCACTGCCAGAATAACAAAATGTCTTCAGAAACTCTTAAGCAGATTCTTCAGGATCTATCAAAGAGGACCAGAATCACTTTCTTAAGCAGGTAGTGATGTGGGGACATTTGTGATTCCTCACTGTAAGAAAGCTGCTCTGGTATTAGGAAACAAAACACAGCATCTTCCCTTTGCACAGCATGGGACTGTCTGTGTCAATCTTCCAGCAGGAGGCTGGCCAGAGTAAACAGATGTCTCAATACATGGAGAAGCCAAACTCTCTTCCAGTTGTACACAAAAAGCTGATGCCCCTGCTGGGACCATCTGAATTCTGAATGACCAACCAAACTTCTGGTTTGGGCTCCCCTCCCAGGGCCGGCCCTCAGCGAGATTCTCAATTAGGAGAAGCTTGTTCAGGACCACACCAGGACCACTTGCCCAATTCCCAGGCACCCGACTTACTTCCCAGTTGCCTGTCCTTAAATCTCCCCCACTCAGGGTTCGCTTCTTTAAGGCTAGTGCCTTAAGCTCCACGACCTTGCAAAAATTCCAAGGAAGCTTCAAGAGCTAAGATAGTCTTCCTAGGCACAGGACTGAGTCCAAGCTCACTGCTCTCTCCATTGCCTACAACATGACATGCTCTTTGGTAGCACTCAGCAGTGGAAACTTTACCATTTTATCCACCTTCTTAAAGGTTGAGAATTTACAAATTGTTTGTAATGGTTCTACTCTTTCAGAATCAAATCATCACATATATTCTATTTTATCTCCTGGGGAAATTTTAAAATGCTCAGAAGCATTCATGTATTTAAAAGTACTTCTTCTTCTTCTTCTTTTTTTTTTTCTTTAGACAGAGTCTCACTCTGTTGCCCAGGCTGGAGTGCAGTGGTACCATCTTGGCTCACCGCAACCTCTGCCTCCCAGGTTCAGGCAATTCTCGTGCCTCAGCCTCCCAAGTAGCTGGGACTACAGGCGTATGCCACTGTTTTTGTATTTTTAGTAGAGATGGGGTTTCACCATGTTGGCCAGGCTGGTCTTGAACTCCTGGCCTCAAGTGATCCACCTGCCTTGGCCTCCCAAAGTGCTGTGATTACAGGCATAAGCCACTGCGCCCGGCCCTATAGTTTGATTTCTAAAGCCACCATACCACCACCAGGGGATTCAGTCTCATGCACACGGGAATACTTTTAAAATATACTTACCTTGAGACATTTTCCCTCTCACAAATAATTTTTGGTATCTCTAGACTTTAAAAAAAATCACTTGTAAAATTATGCTCATGAGCCAATTATTCATTTCCAACTTCTGGTTGGTTGAAGATTCCTTTTGTGCAGTTTGCATGGAGCTGCTGTTGTTATGAAACACACCCACAAAGTCAGATTAACGGGGCTGAAGAAGAACAGACCACCAGAACCAATGCTAATGCATTCTTGAAGAAGGGAGAAAGTGCGTGCGTGCCGTGTGTGTGTGTAATGAGATATTCACAGTGTTTAATGCAAGATGATCAAATGTCTAAGTGTCATCCTCTAATTTCAAATGGAAAACTGCAGATTTTCTTCTGAAGCTGGCAGGCTGCCATCGCTGCAGGCCCTGAAGTGGCTTTGGGCTTCAGGGAGAGGGGGAAGCAGACGTCGCTCAAAGAGCCCTCTGCTTCTCCCTGGCTGCAGCTCTACCCTGGGTCTCCTGGCCTAAGGACGAGTTCCTCTGCCAGGCTTCCCAGGGACTTTCAACCTAAGCTGTCAAATAAATCATTTAAAGGATATGTGGACTTTAAGAACTATTGACAGAGGGAAGACATCCTAAAATAGTCTCTTTGATCTGAATTCTTCCTCATTACAACATTGATATAGAGCTAGGGTTTTGGATACCAGTCTTCTGCCCCCTCCATGTAACTTCTATAAAGAATATCTCCATTTCATTTGACTTGTTGTGAAAGTGGCCAAGAAAGTAAAAAATTAACATTTTTAAGGTAAAGATTCTAGGTCTGAATTATTTTTATATTTTCCTGCCCTTTCTTCCTGACGAGTATGACTTAACAACATCTACTTAGTCATTTCACAGCTATTTACGACACAAAATCCTCCTCCATTCAAGGAGGGCCCATCTTGTTACAAGAAAATATCAGCAACCAGAAATACAGCTCATGAGAGAAACTCTGGAGTCAGACCTCTGTGAAACAATAATAATGTCCATTTGGGTGTGCATGGCTTTTTTGTTTGTTGTTTGTTTTTCTTTTGACTTTTTTGGTGTGCATATTTGTTAGGCACTGCTGCAAGCAACTGACATACATGGTCTCATCCAGTCCTCAGGAGAATTCCATTGTTCCCGTTTGAAAGATGGGTAATTCGAGGCTTAGGCAAGCTACACAAGTCCAAGATCACACAAATGTTAAGTAGAAGAGCCAGGATTTTAGTGTTCTTAACCACTGCCCTATACTTTAAATTTTCAAGGAAAGTAGAATCAGCTCTTTTCTCTATAAGGAAGAAACACCCAATACAGCCTAGGATCCTAGTTTGTAGAACAGAGATATATTTCTAGTGAATTCCTAATATTTTCTAAACCCTTATCTTAAATTAAAACCAAATTAAGCAGCTCACTACCTAAAAATCAAAGGACAACGTGCTAGACTTGGAGCTTTTAAGTTTTTCAAAATTACCAAATATGAAAAATTGTATTTGCAAAAACATCAAACAGAACTCAAGTTCTAGAAGCACAAACCATTGAGCAAAGAAAATGGAAATCAGAGTAGGTTTAAGTAGGACAAATATTGTTCTTTGGAATAGAAACTTGTTGCTGAATCTCACCATGGAGCAAAAGACTTACAAACTTTTGAAAAAACAGGGTTCACATGGAAACAGAAACATAACAGGAACTATGATATCAAGACTGACAGATGCCATGTGTCTTCCTAATTCTTTTAAAAGCCATTCTTGGCTATTAAAATGTCAATGTAGGAATAATAAAATACCATTGATTCTAGTTTTCCAGGGGGAATGTTTATGCAGAGGTTTTAAAACTTTAGATGTATAAAAATTTACTAGCACAGAAGGCAGATATGTTGATAACTCCAGCTACTAAGAACTACAGCTCCAGTTACTAGGAATTGACTAGAAAACACTTAAAAAGATGGTAATCACACAGTCATGAGGACTACTTAATAATATAAATCATTATAGCTAACATTTTTTGAGTACTTACTATGTGCCAGGCACTATTTTATTTTTTATTTTTATTTTTTTTTTTTTTGAGACAGAGTCTCACTGTTGCCCAGGCTGGAGTACAATGGTACCATCTCAGCTCACTGCAACCTTTGCCTCCCAGGTTCAAGCAATTCTCCCGCCTCATCCTCCCAAGTAGCTGGGATTACAGGCGCCCACCCCCACACTGGGCTAATTTTTGTATTTTTAGTAGAGACGGGGTTTCACCATGTTGACAAGGCTGGTCTCCAACTCCGGATCTCAGGTGATCCAGCCACCTCGGCCTCCCAAAGTGCTGGGATTATAGCTGTGAGCCGCCGTGCCCAGCCAGGCACTATTTGAAACATTTTCTCTTTAAATTAATTCATTGAAAGCTCACAACAATTCTAAAAGGCAGATATTACTATCATCCCTACTTGAGAAAAATGAGGCACTGAGAGATGAAATAATTTTCAAATTCACACAACTAGTAAGGAGTGAAACTGGCATTTGAACCTAGACAGTCTAAGTCTGGGACTGGAACTCTTACTCTGTATGCTATAATAATTTCCGGTAGCAGAGTCCTGCATGCCAGGACAGGGACAGTCCCCACCTAACAACTAATGGCAGACATAAAACAGAAAATTCTGCCATGTTCATTGGCAAAGGTTCTTATAAACTAGATCCATGCTGCCTGTCTTTGAATGGATCACAGTCAAGGATTCAAAGCCTCCCATGTAAACTCCCAGAAGCATATACAAAGATGAAGATGAGGGAAGCAATAACTATACACAAAGCCTGTACCGACTTGGCTGGGAATGACTTCTAAACTATCACGCGACACAGCTTCCATTCTCTTGAAGCGCTGTTTGCATCTTTTGCCATTTTGCTCTGCCTCTCGAGGTAGTCATGAGGTCCCTGCCTCCTGACCTGGGCCACTCATGACTGTGCATTCCTCTCATAGCCTTGTGCAAAGATTTATGTATGATTTATGCATGATTGGTGCATGATTTATGAACATAACAACATGGGCCATATATGCTTTCCCAAGGGCTGGGTATCGAGCTGGCTCTGGAAGGAGGTGATGGGTGAGGATGTGCTTAGAGCGGGTGAGAAAGCAGCCAAGTGTTGGAGAACAGAGCCAGGCCAGGAGAGACGAAACACATGGGGGAGTGGTTAGCCTGAACCACGGAGCTGTGCTCCAGTGTGACCAAAGAGAGGGTGGTTACTGATGCAGGACCTCAGAGTCTATCCCAGGGAATTCAGAGATTATTCCAAGGGCAATTTGAATCACTGGCTGATCATTCAAAGGGTAGAAGGAAGCTGCTGTGGATTTTGTTTGCTGACACAAGAGCTTCCAAGTCCCAGAGTTAGAATGATCAGAGAGAGAAGCCAAAAGTTGAGAAGCGACTTCCAGGAAGCAGAGAGACACCAAATAAGTCACACATAGGTTTTTTGTTTGTTTGTTTGTTAATTTTTTGAGACAGAGTCCTGCTCTGTCACCCAGGCTGGAGTGCAGTGGCGTGATCTTGGCTCACTGCAACCTCCGCCTCCCAGGTTCAAGTGATTCTCCTGTCTCAGCCTCCCGAGTAGCTGGGACTACAGGTGTGCACCACCACACCCGGCTAATTTTTGTATTTTTAGTAGAGATGGTGTTTCACTACGTTGGCCAGGCTGGTTTCGAACTCCTGACCTCAAGTGATCCAACCGCAGGAACAGTTCCCTGAGGTCTACATATTAAATCCAAGCTCCTTATCTTGACATTTAAGGCCTTCTATGTTCTGACCTGGAACTTCAGCCATATGGACATCTCAACATTCCCCCAAATGTCATTTGCTTTCATTCCTCTGTGCCTTTGCTTATGCTAACGCCTGCCCTTGGATGGCCTTTCTACTGTTTTCTACACAGAGAAATCACCAATGCACTCGCTCTGACAGTGTAACTAATTAATTTCAGTTTGACTTAGTAGAAACTTCATGAGTTAAAAGAGACTGAAAGTGTGACAAAAGCAAGTACTTACTTTCTCTTGGCCTAAATTTCAGAGTTGAAAGTATCCTCAATGGTTTGGAAGGCTCCATTCAAATTCTGCTTACTCTATACTCTCCCTTAAAATTAGCATTTTTTTCCCTCTGATATTCATTTAGTAATTATTTAATTCTGCCTATTCATATTATACTTGCAGCATTTCTTTAAATTTGTCTTCTCTAGATCACATATGCTTTTTTTGAGGTCAAGGACAAGCCTTAGGAAAAATTCTTTTCTTTCCAGCATGCCATTAGTTTTCCACATAGCAGCTGCTCAGTGAATATTTATTGAATCATCAGCCCATGATCATATTATTCTAATTAAAATAAGAGGCTTTTATCAAATGATAATTACATAGTTAATTATGAAGAAATCTGGGAAAAGAGTTGTATTGTTGATCTGAAGTAAACTAAGAGTACAAGAGTCTATTAAATTCCATCAGAAAAGAGTGACAGATACAGTAAATTATTTTAAAGCATTATAGTCATTGCCATTATTTATAAAATGGGTTAATTTTGAGTTTACAAACATAAAATACTTTCAGTACATAAACACAACAAACATTAAGTTGTGATGTGCAATTTCTCTGTCTTTATTTTACTCATGCCTGAAGTTGCTAGGCCTTATATGGGGTGAGGTTAAAAATTCCTCACCCCATATAAAAAGTGACTTCAGTTGGGATTGACAGATGCCTAACCAGGCTTCCTCAAACTGCTCCCAGGCCTAACAAAGGAAATGGGCCATGTCCCAGCGGGACAGGAACCTGGATCCACCCCTGGTCTCTTGTTCCTTCAAGCCTAGGCTGGAAGTGAATGAGGAAACACAGTTTGGGTAGAACTTACAGTGGTTCAGTCATATTCTCTCCAATGGCTCCCCAAAACTTTTCCCAAGTCCTCAGTAAATATTTGGTGATTAACTGATTTTATCATCTGACATTTCTCCTAACATCATTGTTGAAAAAGAAAGTTGGCTGAGATTTACAATGACCCCTTCTCACAAGGTGGGTGGTTGGACTTGGGAAGGAATGAGAACCATTCTATTGATAGAAGAAGAGGCTCTTCCCCAGCTGACATAATGACGGAAATGGTGGTTTAGAAAAAATCTTAAAAATTGCTCAGAGATGATTATAGGCTGTCATTAAGAAATGAGGAAGGAAGGGCTTTCTTTTCGACTACAGGGTGTACAGCTCTACAGACAGAAATTATTATTTTATATTTAGGCCAATGGTAGTCTGTAGGCCTTTGAAATGTAAAAAGCAATAATAACTTAAGTATCTGGTTTGGCTTACAAAGCATCAAGACAGATTACACAGGCCATATATAAAAACCAGGCTCTGTCCTTTATAACATTATTTCACTCATCCCTGAAGTATAACTGAAAATAAATACCTTCCTAAGAGTCTCTTCACACTTAAGTTGTATTTAAATAACTTAAATATAAAAATACCAGTAGATTGAAAAATACTTAAAGGATTTCATGACCAGGTTGGAAGTTCAAGTGTATTAAAAGGAGAGAGAATGAAATAAAAGGGAATTAGAACAGACCATCTCATTAGTCATAAAAAGAAATGAACTTCTGATATGGATAGGTCTTGAAAATACTATACCAAGTGAAATAAGTCAAACAGAAAAGGATAAATATTAGTATTTCAGGTTTCTGAAGTCACTGCTATATTCACTGTGTGCCAACTCTGTGTAGGACAACCGCCATGGTGGATTTAGAGAGTATCAGGCCATGGAGATCTAACTGGGTTCATCATCCAGATGAGGGAGGACTATGGGGAAAGTGAACAATGCATGCGCTGGGTTGCGGAAGAGCAACACAGCCCACATTCCAGTGTTCACAGGAGGCAGGGATCTGTGAGCTGAAGCAGCTTTCCAAAAGCAGGAGAACAGAATTCCTGAAATCACACAGGCACGAAAATAACCGTGATTTCACTCAACAAACCAAATAACTTGTTTGCAACATAAAACGTGCAAATGTTTGTTCCTGATTAGATCTTTGAGAGAGTGAGTGGGGAAATCATCTCCAGTAAAGACATCCTATGATAATTTTCACTCCTAATCCAGAGTTTCATTTTGCACCCTTCCTCTCACATCCTCCACACCTTTTGGAATAGCTGAAGCCCAGGAAGGGCATGTCTTAGTGTGCTGAATGGCAGGCTACTCATACACAAATATATGCATGCTTACTTTATTTGGACAGAAGCACTAGAGAAGTATAGTTACATTTGATATTTGGAGGTGAAAACTATGAACCACTGAAATAAACCTCTATGTTCCGTTTCCTCACTCTAGTGAGGTATGAAAAGCCTTCTTGAAGTAGTAGCAGCTTCTGTTTCGGTTGACTGCTGTCAGTTCCTGAGCCCAGCACCGAGAAACAGTAACGATGTTGGTGGGGCCAAGATGTGGTGCAGTGTATGCTGCTTGGGTGATGGGCGCACCAGGATCCCACACATCTCCACTAAAGAACTTACTCATGTAACCAAATACCACCTGTACCCCCAATTACTTATGGAAAAATAAAATTTAAAAAAATCCAAAATAAAATAAATAACAGTTATGAGTTTAAAGAACCTGTCTCAAGTCACACTGTTGAGCAGCCAGGAGACTCCCATCACCCTCAGTAATAAACACCATCAAAAGGTCACTAAAGGCAGGAACTAGCCATTGTCAGATTTCCTGAGTTCACTTCTGACATGGTACAGTAAAATGCTTATAATATTCAACACATGGCCATTTTATATTTACCAATTCTATGGAGTGGGAAACAATTGCAACTATAAATTTTAATGTCAAAAGAAAATATTATTCCAGAGAATAAAGAACTAAAGCTCAAAGATCATATTACTTCTTCTTCTTCTGTTTTTCTTTTTTTTTTTTTTTTTGAGACAGAGTTTCGCTCTTGTTGCCCAGGCTGGAGTGCAATGGCACAATCTCAGCTCACTGCAACCTCTGCCTCCCGGGTTCAAGTGATTCTCCTGCCTCAGCCTCCTGTGTAGCTGGCATTACAGGCATGTGCCACCATGCACGGCTAATCTTTTGCATTTAGTAGAGACCACCATGTTGGTCAGGCTGGTCTCGAACTCCTGACCTCAGGTGACCCACCCACCTTGGCCTCCCAAAGTGCCGGAATTACAGGCATGAGCCACCATGCCCGGCCAAAATCTGTTTTCTGAAACATAAAAGTAAAACCTTAAGAATCATCCATCTGTCCATCTCAGGATAAATTTGTTAAGTATTTTTTCTATGCCAGGTCCTGGACTAAATGTTAGAGACAAAAAGATTTTTTTAACAAAGATTAACATATGGTTCCTGCCTTTAAAGAACTAACTGAAAAGAAATACCTTCCTAAGAGTCTCTTCACACTTAAGTTATATTTAAATAACTTAAATATAAAAATACCAGTAGGTTGAAAAATACTTAAAGGATTTCATGACCAGGTTGGAAATTCAAGTGTACTAAAAGGAGAGAGAATGAAATAAAAGGGAATTAGAACAGACCATCTCATTAGTCATAAAATGAAATGAACTTCTGATATGGATGGGTCTTGAACATACTATACTGAGTGAAATAAGTCAAACAGAAAAGGACAAATATTAGATAATTCCACTCATACAAAATGTCTAGTAAATTCCCAGAGGAGAATGGGCAAATTCATAGAGACAGAAAACAGATTAGAAGTTATCAAAGACAGGACAAGAGGAGAACAGAGTTACTGCTTAATGGTTACAGAATTTTTGTTTGGGGTGATAAAAAGTTATAAAAATACTGGTGATGGTTGCATAACATTGTGAATACAACTAATGCCACTGAATTGCACATTTAAAATGGTTAAAATGGCAAATTTTATGTTATGTATATTTTACCACAGCTTAAAAAGTAAATAATGTAATATACCAAAAACCATTGAATTGTACACTTTAAATGGTAAATTGTGTGGCACCTGAATTATATCTCAAGACACTGTTTTTTAAAAAATCTCTTACATGTTAGCATAGTTTTTACTATGTTTTTACTTTGTTACCTTGCAAAGCTCTGAATATTGTTACAGAAATTTGTCAAATTTATCAGGAGAGTATGAGATAAGAGAGAAAATGTTAGATTAAATGGTTGGGCTTGGTGGCTTATGGCTGTAATCCCAAAGAGAGAAGGCCTCTTTGGGAGGCCAACGCAGGTGGATCACCTGAGGTCAGGAGTTCAAGACTAGCCTGGCCAATATGGTGAAGCCCTGTTTCTACTAAAAAATACAAAAATTAGCCAAGCATGGTGGAGCATGCCTGTAATCTCAGCTACTCAGGAGGCTGAGGTATGAGAATCACTTGAACCCGGGAGGCGGAGGTTGCGGTGAGCCAAGATCACGCCACTACACTCCAGCCTGGGTGACAGAGTGAGACTCCTTCTCAAAAAATAAAATAAAAAAAAAAACAAAGGAAGAAAATGTAAGATTAAGAGTCTGGGACATGTGATTCCAGGCCTGCTTTGCCACTTTATTGACTGTGCTGCCTGAAGCTCAGTAATCAACTTCCCTGAGCTCTGTTTTCTCATCTGAGAAGCAAAGGAGCAAAATCAGATGATTAATTTTTTAAATACTGTGATTCGCACTTCTTACGGAATGCCTAGGTTTTACAAATAATCACTCATCCTTTGGCAGTTAAGAACATAGAACAGCCTTGTCTCGTTTGGATACCTGGTTAAATGACAAATTTACTATTTTGCAGTGAATACTTATCAGGCTATTTTCAAAAGAGTTTCTTGGCTGGACTCTTCTTGAATATAGCCAGCCTGAAAAGTATGGCTGGAAACCACTGTCCAAACAAAACAGATGATAACATTTGTTTTTTATACCTCTTAAAAGTAGATTAGCTATAGATCAGAGCATGCCGCTGCCTAAAAAAATGTCTGGTATATATTTGCTTTCAATACATATTTGTTGAAATGCAAGAACACTCGTGTTTACTCCCTAGGAGACTCTCAGGGCGTGGGGTCAGATGAGAGCATGGAGGGGCAGCAGGCCAGCTCTGAGAGCCCCTGGGAGTCTATGACTTCTATGCTCAGACTTGCTTCCTCAGCTGGCACTGTGTTCCTCCCATGGGTCCATCGTCGGCAAGACCAAAGAGCTCCCTTCTAGTAAGTACCATTAAGGAGTCCAAGGTCCAGACAGAAGAGAACGAGGTCAGGTATTTCCAAAGTATTTCATTCTAATGAAAATTTATTTCAGAAAAAGGCCATAATAACCCTTTGAACTAAGTTAACAAGAAAGCTATATTTTTGTCACTAGTTCTATTGTTGCCTCAAAACGATAGTAACAAAACAGAAAATAAAAAGAATTACTGAGAAAACCCAGAAATTAAGTACTCTCCACATCTCCCATTCCAGACATAATAAAGTGATGCAATTTAGACTAAAATTTGCCAAAAGCCAGTATACCTTTTTCATCCTACTAGGCAAACACAAATACCACAGAACAAGAATTCCATCTTAAAGTAAAAGCTCTGGAAAAAAAGAAGGTAGTAATAATCTTTTACTATGTGACTACTGAAGGTATTACGTGACTACTGAAGTCTTTGATTAGGAAAGGAAAATAGACCTCCCACAAGTAAAATTAGTCACAATTTATGATAACCTGAGGAAAAAAACAGATTCTGGATTTGTCAATTCCATTTGAAGGTGGAGAAAAGCTTATAAGCTCATGATCACCCTCTGAACCCTTTACAAAGGGCCACACAATCACATCAAGGTGTCAAACATACCCTGAATTGCAATTCCATCTTGGCTCGGTCGGATAAGAAGTTTTGACTCAGCCCTTTGAGGAGAGCTTCGATTCCTCCATCCTCTGACCAAAGCCCCCACCATAGCTGCTGGCAGCATGCTCCCCAGGTCGCCGTGGTCCTGCCTTGGTGGGTGGGGGGCCCGGTCAGGCTGTCACCGCAGGAGAATCATGTCCTCCTTGCAGGTGCTACACCCAAGGCTGACAGGTCCGGGCAGTTCCTCCCGCCCTCATCTCCCGCCCACATTCTCATCCTTCTTGCGTTATCAGACCTCCCTCGGGAGGCCCAGGGAAAGAAAGCTTGGGAGGTGAGACAAGAGAAAAACAGACAACAGGAAACATAAAAATGAAGAATAGGAATAAAGTCAATCAACAGAAGAGAAAGGCCAATATCATAAAAGCACAGTCTCCTTTATATGAGTGATCATTCTCGATGCTTCATTTTTTACTTAAAGTCTAATTTTTCAACAAGCAAAAATGACCACGTGTGGGAGGGCTGAGGCGGGGCATGTACCTGCATACCTATTTCTCTTTTCTCAGACTATTTTCCTTGCTAAATTGGAAGAGCTTTCAGGCATTGTTTTTCCAAAGAGAACCATCTTCTACATAAACAGAATTTGTTTACAATATAAGAAAAGTATTTCTAATGTTTGGAGTGTTCACAGAATTATACTGGCATTTGAGAATGACGAAAGTTGGTTAAGAGATTTAATAAAAATCCGAATCAAGTAAACTCTCAAAGACTTTTAAAAGATGAATCGAATCCAATGACCTAATTAGCTCTCCTGTGGAGCCCAGGTAGAGGTGCCTCATCCTGACCAGCTGGTGCCTGAGCTGAGCTCATACACAACACTGCTCCCGTGTGCCCCCTACTGGTCAGGTGCCAGGTGCACACTGGGCAGTGACCAATGACTGCATTGAAACAGGGGGAGGAGCAAGTAGCTCTAGAAAGTTCTAGAATCCCTTGGCCATCTCTGTATGCTATAGTCATTCAGCCTAGGTGGTAGAAGTTGAGATTGAATTGGCTGTAGGCAGCCTGAGAGGTTTTGGTATCATTTACTGTTGTTATGACTTTTACGGGTTACACAGATGGAATGATCCATGCCTGATTTCACTCTTTTTTCCCCCCTTCCCTAGTTACATCTTATTTAATTTAATAAGATCAAGATAGTTTCTGCAGGAGGTAGGCAAATTCCCCGTATCACCTAAAACTGATCACATTTAAATAAAACTACAATTTACCAAAGAAAGAGTATTCTGAGGATACACACCTTACATATTCATTTTGTTGACATTTACCTTATTATTTTGACCTTTCCAAAATTCAGAAAACCTTTAGTATCACTGTGGTCAGAGAGAAAGTCGAAATGCAGGATGGGATTTTAAAATGGTAGAAGAGTAGGAAGCTATTGGCTCTATTCTCTCCACACCCCAATCTCAGGGCGGGATTCCTGCAGCACCATCTCAGAGGGGCAGCCCTTGATGAGAGACACATGTCCTGGGCCTCCTTGTTGGGTGCCTCTCCTTCCTCACTGGAGTGGGATTCCTCTTTTCCACGGGAAGCTCCTTCTGCCACAGAGGGCTGAGCTGGGCTCAGATGGGTTCAGCGGATTGCTGCTCAGGGGCAAAGCCACCTACTCTCTAGGGAAAAGGGCAAAGAGGCCTTCAAAATCTCTGTTCCTGTCACACCCAGAGTCAATAAAACAGGCTGAAGCTGTCTTCTGCTGGGGCCACGCCCTGTGGGAGTGGGGTGGCATCAGGGAAGAGAGCAGGGGAGCCCAGTGCTCAAGTGTGGGGTTTGGTCCTGTCTTGGAAGAGGGGGTTAAGGAGAGATCTTGAAGAACGGCCCAGTGTCACTCATTGGAGACAGGATCAGGAGGTGGGAACACAGCTGTGCATTCACCTGGAACCATCTCTTTGGAACTTCGTGTTCCACTGCAGGAAACTGCAAGGGCTGAGAATTAGGAGTGGTAGGGAGTTGAAGAGAGCCTCTATCAAGAGAAGCAGAAGCAACTTTGACCCCATCCTTAGGGTGAAGTGGCAGAGAAAACGCAGCGATGCTGAAAGCACACACGTGCTTCCTTAACCGGACCTGCTGCGGGTGAACCACGCCTTTCCCGGAGATGCAAAGGGAAGCAGCTCAACAGCAAGCCCATGAAGTCATTTCCCCCCATCCCAAACCTGTCTTATTGTAAGATACACCCCAACCCCCCGCCATGAAAAGGGACACACTGAGAAAAGAAACACATCTAAAGGACTCGGTATGAAGGCTATTAAAAATCTACTAACACCCTCCTAGTGGTGCTCTTCTTGGAGGCCTCGATCATTACTGCTGCCACAGATCCAAAAATCCTCATCCCCCATGGGCCAATCAGAAGTCCAAGGGGAGACACAGGGTTGGCCAGAACCATTTCGGAAGCACAGCAAACTGCCCAAATTCAGACACTGAAACCCCTGCACAGCTGCTGCCATCAGCCACCAGACAGCATATGGAGGTATGTGAGAAAGTAGGCAGATGGAGCCAGTTGAAATTTCAAATACTAGTCCCCAAGCCGCACCTGGATTTCCCACGTAGGAGAACCTCCTTTGTGCATTCGTCATTCCCGAAACAGCCAATCACAGTACTTCTCGCACTTTGTTGCGATGATTTACTTGCTACAGTTTGTCTCACGCAACTATCTATCCCCAAGCCTCAGGGGGCACTTAATGGGATGGAGATTCCCAGGACTTGCTCTGAAATGGCTGTTCTATGAGGTCTAAGATAGTGCCAGGGAGCCTGCATTTTCTAACGCTTTCCACATTTGCTTACATTGTCAGCCTGGATCTAAGGATAATATGAAGATGCCAATTTACTAGCCTGAGGGCTTCTTGAAGTCATGGACCACAGCCTTCTTTGTGCCCAGCATAGCGTATGTACCCAGCACATAGACTGTTGGGTGAAGACAGTCCCAGAGGCCAGGGACATCTACCTGCGGTCTCCGCCCGAGGAGGCTGCCTGATACTTTTATCCTTCCATGAAACCCACTACTTGCCACTGCCCTTGCCACCACCCTGGCTGCAGGTGCCAAACCATAGGATCGCTCCATCTTACCTCCATCCCAGGCCCCTTCAATATTCCCATATTTCACTCGCCTGTGATGCTTTGGCCCAGAACACGATTTGTCCAGGCAGCAGTTTCCTGCCTCTTCCGCCCCACCAAGAATGGCTCCATCTTTCCTTCAGACGTCCTATGCCCTGGATACTAGCGCAGAGGGGTCCGTGTGTCAACTCAGGGTTCAAGTTGAACAGCATCATTGAACACTCTGTCATCCTTAGTTTGCCAGTTATAGCAGGTGGATGCACAGTGTCCAAGGTTTTCCCCAACAGGAAGCTAAGTGATGACCGTGACTGCTGTGGGAACAGCAGTGGTCAGGAAGAGGAAGAAGGGTAATGTCCTGTCTGGGAGGTCAGCGCCACCCTTCCACACACACACACGTGCTTCCTTCACCGGACCTGCTGCGGGTGAACCACACCTTCCCCCGAGATGCAAAGGGAAGCAGCTCAACAGTGAGCCCATGAAGTCATTTCCCTCCGGAACCTGTCTTATTGTAATATACACCCCCTCTCCTCTCAAGAAAAGGGACTCACTGAGAAAGGAAACACATCTAGAAAACCAGAATCATCCTGAAGGCTGTTTAAAGACCAGTGTGGCTCACAACAAACTTTCGTTCATGGGTGTTTGTTGCTAATGTCCTATCATGACGAGTTGACAACTATTCTCTAAATTTCATAAATATAAATACTGTCCCCATCTGCCCTCTACAGAGGATAAGGTTGACTCGGGCCATGTGTCTCTCTGGAGTCTCTTAGGGCCTAATGTGGTTCTGAGCACAAAGAACACATGCCAATTGAAGAAACGTGTGTCAAGCTGTGATGATGTAGTTGTCAACTGTTAAGATGCGCACGAAGCCATCAGCATTAAGTATGACATCCAACCCTGTAGCAAATACTTGACCTCCTACTATAACGTCAGGGAGGAGTCTTGGGGTAAGGGTGGGGCTGTGTGTGGCATGTTTCATCCTCACTCCTGCTGTTCTCTCATGTGGGTGGTGCTCCAGGAGCTCCTGGTCTCTCTTTAACCCGCATATGCCTCTCTTGGGGGCAGGACTCAGGAATTAGACTGGCATGCATAGGAAGGGAAAACTGGGCAGGCATGATCTGGCTGCACTCTTGCTTTCAGGGCACAGAGCTGCCCACTGGTAGCACCTGCTTTGCCTCCCTCCTGCAGGTGCAAGGTCTGCTCCCGTGTGTGAAGGGCTGCTCAGGTCAGCCTGCCATCTAGGAAGTTTCCGATTCTGAGTTCGGTATTAGGATGGCTGCACACCCAGACATGAGACACAATCTCCGATGTCAGCTTATCAGCAATAAAGGTGAGAGTTTAGTCTCCCTCTGCCTTCCTGCTTGGTTTCAAATTCTCAAACTGGGCAGAACCTGGCCGGGTGGAAAGGGTCTTCACTGCCCTTTCCCCAAGCCTCCATGTCTGGTGGACTGGCTCAGGGACATGCACTTGAGGAACAAAATGACCCCCGGAGATGGTGGCTTCTGACAGATGCGGCACTGTGGGTGTGGGCCATTGGTTTCTCATGTGGCCACTCGCAGCACAGTGTTTTGTGCCACACTTTGCTTTTGCAGTCTTGCAGGTGGCCTTTATCGTGGCCTGGTAAGCAGCTTTAGTGCACTTTTTACTTTGGCAGCTGACTCAGCTGCTGACAACTTTGCCACAGGTGAGTGGCTCTTTCTGGAGTGTCGCTGGGCCTGCCAGCACAAGGCCCAGACATGCAGGCTCAGGCCTCACCATGCACAGAGGCTGCATGGCCTCAACAAGGTGGTCTTAGCCTAACTGTGGGGGAAGGGGGAATTTAGGGAGCAGGCATCACGCTTGCCCCTCATCAGATGTACTGAGGCAGAGTCAACTGTAGGTAAAGCAGAGTCTTTGTGTTAATAGGCTTTTTAGAATCGGGGTGGAGTCATATTGCAAAGCACCATGCTCTGTGCACACTGCAGAGTGGGGTTTAGCTTTAAAGGATCACTGCCTGGAGCATTCAGCCATACTTCATCAGCGGCTGCAAATTCCATTCTGTACTCAAGGCCAAAAAGAAATTGAGGAGCGGCAAAGTTTGGGTTCAGGAAGCTCATTCACAGGTTTCAGGGTCTCCCTGCACTACAGGGCCTCAAGTTGGCTCCGAATCGCTGGGTTCTCTCAGACACCACCGGGACTCTGCTCCTGGCTGCATTTAGGGAAGGATAGCTGTGCAAAGCTGACTACTCCAGGGGATGGGGAAAAAAGGTTTTCTAAATTTGGAGGATGTGGAATCATCTGTGTATATAGAATTCTCAATACAAAGAACATGGAGGAAATTCTACAACTCTTTTTTTAAGAAGGGAAATAAAAAAAAAGACGATCTACTATTATCCTTTCTTTTTTTTTTTTTGAGACAGAGTCACGCTCTGTCGCCAGGCAGTGGCACAATCTTGGCACACTGCCACCTCTGCCTCCTGGGTTCAAGTGATTCCTCTGTCTCAGCCTCCCGAGCAGCTGGGACTACAGGCACACGCCACCACGCCCAGCTAAATTTTGTATTTTCGGTAGAGAGGGGTTTTCACCATGTTGGTCAGGATGGTCTTGATCTCTTGATCTACCCGCCTCAGCCTCCCGAAGTGCTGGGATTACAGGCATGAGCCACCACGCCCGGCCTATTATCCTTTCTTTTCTCCAAGTGATAACCACTACCCAGGCTGAATTGTTCTGAACTGGATGTTGCACAAAATTCACCCGACCACTCGCTAACTCCCATGCTGTCTTTACGGTCCTCAGCATTGCAGTGGCCATATATATGAGAAAAGCAGGGGAAACACCAATGCATGTATGGTTTCTGCTAAAATAAGTTAATCCATGAAAAATGTAATTGTAAATTCATATAGAATTTGGACTCTATATGAGCATTATGCCTAGAGATTACTTCCCAAGGGCACCTCCTCTTTGTCTGTCCTAATGGTGGGAAAATGTGCTTCAACTTGCCCATCTAAGGCAACTTTCCCATGATTCTCAGTGTGTCCTCCTCCAGCTGTAGCCCTCTTCTTCCTTCAAGTGTAAAAGCTACAAATGGGTTATCTGTACTCACTGTCTTCATCTCTTCCCCAACTCGCTCCAATCTAGTCTCTTCCCCGCTTCACCGCACACATCCCCAACCAAAACAGTTACCTGTAATATGATGCTGCTTAACCCAACTGGTAATTATCAGTCTCTTCTGCGTATAACATCTTGGAAACATCTGACACTTCTGGCCACTGTTTTCATACTAAGCACTGTCCCGCTTTGGGGACCATGGCCCCTTAGAATCCTGGTTTTCCACCTCCCTGTACCAACATCCCTCTTCAATCTCCTTTGCAGGATCAGCCAATGACTCATTTATATTTTCAGCCCAAACTTCTGAGCACCAGACCAGTATATCCAAGTGACTATTTGATAGCTCAGCTTTGAGATTTCACAGGAAACTGAAATGTAATATAACCAAAATGAAACACAACTTCCCTCCCAAACTGGACCCTCTTCCAAGGAATGTCACTATCATTTGTGGGGTTCTGCAAACCAGAAATTTCAGAGCCATCCTTTCCACCTTTTTTCCATCACTCCACATATTCAAATCATTACCACCTCTAGTCAATTTCTTTACTTCTTAATTCACTTGCATGTCACTTCCTTTTCTCCATCTCTACCCTGGTCATCTTCCATCTGTACTAGTATAACATTCTACTAAATATTCTCTGGAGGGGAGAACTATAGTGCCATGATCATTCAAATGGCAGACCTGATGTCACCCTATCCTTACCCCATCAGCTGAAAACTCTTCCATGCCTCTTCATTTCTTCTAGAATAAGGATCACAACCTGTATGTAACCTGGCCTCCAGCACTCACATGTTCCCATCCTGGCCCCCTTGCTGACTTTACTGGCCTTCTCTCCCATACCATGCCAGACACACCACTCATCTCTAAGTCCCTCCAAAGCTCACTGTCTCTCCACATTGCTTTTCTGCCCCCGCCTCAGTTCCTGCTCACCTGTCAGACCTCAGCATGGCGATCACCTCCTCATGACAATGCCTACCTGTATTTTTTTTTCCTTTATGGCATTTATAATTACAATGAATATCTGGCTTACAGCCATCTCTCCTACTAGTCTAGTTTAATATACTGATGGGGTGGCAGGGAAAGCGCATGTGTTTTTTTGCCTGCATCAAATTCCCACAGCCTGAAACAGCACCTGGCACAGAGTACATACTCAACGAATGCTTGCTGAATGACTGAATGAACAACTATACTGCCCTGAGGACTTTGGTATAATTAGTGTGGGTGATATTTCTATCACAGCTGTTGTAATTTTTTAAAGTATGCTATTGCTTATAATTAGGTAAAGAAGCAAGCCTGTAATTATGAACTCATTCCCATGGGAAAACATGATTTGCTTTATGATAACTACTTTATTTTATGGATTCTTCAAAGAGAACACTTTGGTGAAAAGTGAGCTGCCTGTATTTCTCCCTTACTTACATTTAATATTCACATCTTCTCTGCCCTGAGAAATGCTATATTGCTGAACATAGCCATGAAGTTCAAGAAATTTAACAAATAACTAAATATCTCTTTGGAGCTTAATATTTATTATATGATTACAACTTACGTTAAATTATATTAAAAGCTATTATTAAGAACAGAGCGACTCAGAAAAGTCAAGGCAATGGTGCTTACTCATGCCAAACCTTTAAAATCCTACAAACATGATTTCTGTATTTATTTTCTCCTCTATATCAAAGCAAGGCAAGGCTACCATACATCATTATGGCACTTTCACTCACACACACAATTTAATAAGAGTTTAAAATTTTGATTTTGTAGAAAATTGCTCATTAATATTGTTTTTTCAGAGATTTATTACTTATTTTCTCAGCAATGAAAGTTAATGAATTTAGGCTGATTTCTAGTTTATAATTAATTGATATTCAGAGATTTCAGGTTTTAAAACTGCAATATCAGTGATAACCTAATATGATAAAACCCAGGTTTTCTAATCATATTTAAAAATCACCTAGAAATATTTTGTCTTTAATTCACATATTCATTTGCTCATGATTGGTTAGAACCAATTCCTAACAACACCTCAAGATTTGGCCATTGGAAATAACCATCTTTAGCAAAGCCTTTGTTATTTGTAATTCAACCCTGAAATGTGAACACTATAAAATTTTAGAACTCTACATTAGATTGGTGCAGAACCTTAAGCCAGAGAGTATGCCAACATTTCTTTCTCTATTTTAAAGAGTATGTGGATTAATTACAAGGTGCTGACTGACCTGGATTAATCTTTACCCCTGCCTGCACAAAATTAATTCCTACTATTTACATCAGTTAGATTAGGTCAAGATGGGTAATTCAGGCTGAACCTAATATAAAAACTCCTGTTTCCTAGGGCATCTGAAGTTAACACAGATCTAGTGAAACAATTCCTGCTTATATATTAATGGCATAAAGAGTTAGATTTCTCCCTGCTCACTTTGTAGAGTTGTGAAAGCTATTCAGGCACTGCTTAAATTTAGGTGTTCATTGGGAATAGTTTTAAAACACTCAGCTATGGTGGAGGGGCCTGGGTGGGCAAGGAGAGATGTTGTTCAAGTGGTCTGAAGTTTCAGTGGGACAGGAGGAACAGGCTCTGGTGATCCATTACACAGCATGGTGACTGTAGTTAATGGTAACGTATTGTAGACCTCAAAAGAGCTAAAAGAATGGATTTTAAATGTCCTGACCACAAAGAACAGCCTGATTTGATCATTCCACAACATATATATATATATATATATATATATATATATATATATATGCATCAAAACATCACATTGTATCCCATAAATATATACAATTATTATCAATTAAAAATAACACTAAAAAACACTTTGCTACAAAAAGTCAGGGAACACATTGACCTATGACCTATTTTGTTGCATTTTGCCTTTATGCATAATATAATACTTGTACTGACTTATTTATTTATTTGTTTATTTATTTTGGAGACAGGGTCTCACTCTGTCACCCAGGCTGGAGTACAGTGGCATAATTACAGGTCACTGTAACCCTGAACTCCCAGGCTCAAGTGACCCGCCCTCCTCAATCTCCCAAGTAGCTGGGACTACAGGTGTGCACCACCGTGTCCAGCTAATTTAAACTTTCTTTTTCTTTTTTAGAGACGGGATCTCACTATGTTGCCTAGGTTGGCCTTGAATTCCTGGCCTCAAGTGATCCTCTTGCCTCAGCTTCCCAAAGCACTGACAGCATTCTACATGAGGGGTATGTATCAGGTGTGTGAACATAAGTGGGCCCCCAACTGAGTCTTGTGTCTGCATGTGTCAGGAAGGGACCTAGATCATAAAGATGTCCCTAGAAGGGATGACATATGAATTGAGTCTGGAAGAACAAACAGGCATAAATAGGAGTCAGCCAGCCTGGAGTCATGGGATGGGGTGAGAAATCAGTGTAGGCTTTTAAGGAGAGGGAGTGCCATGTGCAAAGACTCATGGTGCCTATCCAGTGAAACTCCAAGCAATGCAGTAGGGTAGAAACTGGTGGTGTGTGTGCGCGCGCGCGTGTGTGTGTGTGTGTGTATAGGGGAAGAAACAAGAGACAAGACTGTAGAGGTTAGTAGGCACCAGGCCACATAGGGTCTTATGTATCCAGTAAAGACTTTGGACTGAATGTTTTAAATGGAGGAGTACCATAATCAATCAGATCTGCATTTTGAAAAGACAACTCTCAATGAAGTTGGAAAACAGACCAGAGGAAGAAACAATGCAAGTATGGAGATAGACACCTGCTAAGGAAGAGGTGGTGGCAGCCTGGATAAAGGCAGCGCAGGGAGAATGCCTATAGTTTGAGAATTGATGAGGTGGTGGCAGCCTGGATAAAGGCAGCTGCAGGGAGAATGCCTATAGTTTGAGAATTGATTGGATGGGGCTGGGCTATGAAGGAGAGGGAGGAGGGAGGGAAAGGCTGAAGCTTGTGGTTAAGGCACCTTGGGGCTGGCATTGCCATTCACTCCCAGGGTATGCATAGAAGAACGGGAGAGAGTTGGTTATAGGGTGGTGGGTGACTCAGGAAAATAATGAGTTCTACATTTTTAGATATGTAGGCTGTCACTAAGTATTTTTTCTCATTATAATTAATTCCATGAAGACATTTTTGAACATGAATTATGTTAGTGCCTTTAAGTTGCACCAGCTTCACCTTCAGGGTAGAATCTGTCTCCTTCATCTCCATTTCTCACAGCTTCTAGCACTGCAGTTGCTCAATAAGTTCTTGTCTCATGACACCGTCGGGATAAACTGCCAGGAAGGAAGAGCTACAGCAGGTTCAAAGGGTAAGACTGTCATCATCCTTATTATATACTGTCAGGTTTTCTCCAAAAGGATTACATAGTTTACACGGTTAACAGTAATGCATGAATATAACCTGTTTCTCCACAACCTGTCCCTTGTTGATTTTTGACTTCCGTTTATTTGATAGGTGTAAAATGTTTCCATTTTAAAATGTATTTGAGTGTTATTTTCAGATTTGGTTTCCTATTTGTTTTCCT
This sequence comes from Homo sapiens, assembly GCF_000001405.40. Lineage (NCBI taxonomy): Eukaryota > Metazoa > Chordata > Mammalia > Primates > Hominidae > Homo > Homo sapiens. The sequence goes on along the minus strand of NC_000006.12, from coordinate 150,676,317 downwards.
TTGTGTAATAGCCGGTTTTATCCTTGGACCACTTATCCAATTAGAATCTGACGTTGTGCTCACATTTATATAAATTCTTGTGTGGGCACATGAATTAAGTCTCCAATTGTTGCTGTGCATATTTTCCCATTTTGTTGCTTTCATTACGTTCTAGTTCTAAAAGGTTTTAAACTTCATATCAATAAATATGTGCATCTTTGCCCTTTTCAATTTTCTCCTCCTTCAAAAAAATTTTCTTCTTTACAGCTGAAACTGTGCTACTGCAAATCTGTAATTCTTTAGTTCATTGGGAGTTCACTGTGATATATTATATGGCTTGTGGTCTGAATCTTGAATTTTTTTCTTTTGAATTATATCTTGTATTAGTAACTATTTTTACTCACTTTTTACTCGTTTCATCTATGTTTTGTAGGTATTTAATGATATCTGCAATAAATGTTTATACAGTTTCTTTTTTGCTACTTAATTTCATCTTCTTAGATTTAAATAATCCTCATGCTTTTCCCCCCACTAAGAAAAGTAAGTTTTATCAGCCAGGTATGGTGGCTCATGCCTGTAATCCCAGCACTTCGGGAAGCCGAGGCAGGTGGATCACTTGAGGTCAGAAGTTTGAGACCAGCCTAGCCAACATGGCGAAACCCCATCTCTACCAAAAATACAGAAATTAGCCAATCACACCTCTGCACTCCAGCCTGGGTGACAGAGGGAGACTCCGTCTCAAAAACAAAAACAAAAATAAGTTTTATCATTAAAGACAAGAGGCTAAAATAAAACTATCTTAGGAAGGGGATAAAAGACCCTCCAAATATAACTGAAAGATAAGGTTGTAGGGAGGATCTCCCTTTGCCTAACTTTCTCCACTAATCCAGAAAGCGTGAGAGAAAAAGCAAGAATGGATGAGCATGTGTGATGAACGCACAGGAGACAGTGCACACAGCTGAGGGCACACACTTTGGTGTACAAAAGATCTGGGTGTGAGTCCTGGTTCTGCCACTTATGAGCCGCGTGTCTTCAGGTAAGCTCCTCAATCATGCAAGTTTGCCCATCTGCAGATTAATAAATGGTGTGAACAGAGAGGGGACTGAAGGGGGAAGGAAGACTAATCAGCAGCTGATTATAGGTGATATAGGAAAAATGATCGTGTTCATGCAAAGAACTTGCCCTATACTGTCTGCTGGCATATGGTGAACTCCCAAAATGCTGCCTGTGGTTATTAAATATTTCTCGGCTAGGTCACTATATAAATCCATACCAAAGTTTTGAGCTTATTATTACATTTTTAAATAGCAAACGGTTTGCAATTTGTGTGTGTCTTTTTAAAGAAATGTTTGAGGTGGCCGGGCATGGTGGCTCACACCTGCAATCCCAGCACTCTGGGAGGCTGAAGCAGGCAGATTACTTGAGGTCAGGAGTTCGAAACCAGCCTGGCCAACATGGCGAAACCCCATCTCTACTAAAAATACAAAAATTAGCCAGGCATGGTGGTAGGTGCCTGTAATCCCAGCTACTCAGGAGGCTGAGGCAGGAGAATCTCTTGAATCCAGGAGGTGGAGGTTGCAGTGAGCTGAAATCATGCCACTGCACTCCATCCTGAGCGACAGAGCGAGACTCCATGGAAAGAAGAGAAGAGGGGGGAGAGAGAGAGAGAGAGAGAGAGAGAGAGAGAGAGAGAGAGAGAGAGAGAGGGAGGAGAGAGAGAAAGTTACAGGTGTAATCTGGCATTAAGTAACTTGAAACAAAAGTGAAACTCAGGTGCCATAAGTGTAGGTCTATAATAACTGATAACAATGCTTTGAACCTGGCTAGCTCTCTACTCTTCATTTAGGTGGATATAATTCTTAGAAGAGTTTATATCACTTCCTGATTGCAGGTTAATTCTCAGAAAGAGAAGAGAGCTTGGACTCTGAGGTCATTCTTTGTCATTAACAGTAGAGTAAAAGAGCAGTTATCCAAATTCCTTAAGAGATGAAAAGTTCTGCTTAACTGAACTTTCTGTTAACTTTAGAGTTAACAATAAAAACCTTTTTCAACGCTTGTTCATTTTTTTTTTCCTAAACTGGGTCATGCATATCCCTAACTTGATAGGTAAAGGCAGTATACAAACTATAATTTAACCTTCCCCGATGATTCAAACTGTTGCCCTGCCTCAGGGTTGAATCTATAACAGAGAGTAGACTAAGAAGAAGGTGGAGGAGCTGGGATTAATAAACACTGATAGGCTGATACACATTCAAAGATTCTTTTTTTCCTTAAATAAATTCCTCATGTCTACACACTTTGTGTGTGTGGTGTGTGGTGGAGAGGGAGGTCAGGCTCTCTTCTACAAACTGAGCTTAGAAAAAAACAGTTCATAGGGTGAGCGCGGTGGCACACGCCCATAATTGCAGCACTTCGGGAGGCCAAGTTGGGTGGAATGCTTGAGCCCAGGAGTTTGAGACCAGCCCGCAGCAACATAGCAAAAGCTCATCTCTACAAAAAATACAAAAAAATTTAGCCAGGCATGGTGGCTTACGCCTGTAGGCCCAGCTACTTGGGAGACTGAGATGGGAGAATCACCTCAGCCAAGGAGGTTGAGGCTGCAGTGAGTCGTGATTGTGCCACTGCACTCCAGCCTGGGTGACAGAGTAAGACCCTGAAAAAGGAGGAGAGGGAGGGGAGGGAAGAGGGAAAGAAAGGAAGGAAAGAAGGAAGGAAGGAAAGAAAGACAGGAAGAGAGAGGAAGGAAGGAAGGAGAAGAGAAAAGAAAGAGTTCATTAAGGGCTTTGGCTTTCCTGAGTTGTACTTGACTACAAGTGTACACAATGCTCTAGAATCTGGTGAGCTGAGAAGTGTTCTTGAATATATTTAAGGATTCGAAAGCAAGCATTGCCTATAGACAGGCCAAAGAAAATGAACTTTGTCTACCAAGATCTTCAGCTAAACACCTGGGGATCCTTCCATGTCTGGCTTGGGGGCTGAGTTAGCTATGGCTCTGCAGAGGTCACAGATTACACAGAATATTTGAAAGTAACGCAGTACTAGAGAGATGTGCATTTGCTTGAAGACAGAAAAATCTTTTATTAGAAGGAAGCTTACCTTAAAAGTTTTTTTTGGAACTTGTATGCATGATGATTTGCCCTTTTAGAGAGGATGCTAAAGGTTAATTTTCTATGGCATAAGAACTGCAGATACATGCCAAAATTCTATTCCCAGACCTAAATTATATAATCAGAAATAGGGCATCCAAACTGAACATCAAATAGTCTTGCTTTCCGGCCGACTATGAAAAAAATCAGTTTCAATGTTTGAAGTAGGTGTTTGTTTATATAATGCAACCAACCATGACTGCCAAACACAGTAATTAAATGCTTTTACAAGTGAGAAATCTTGCCAGAATATGCAATTTGAAGGGGGAAATAAGCAGAGAGTTGATATGCAGTAGAAAATGCTGAATTATTTATTTCATTCTGCTCAAAAGTAGACACTCATGCTTTCAGTCTACCTGCAGAAATACTGAGAGAAATGAGAGCATCAGAAGGTGGCAGTTACTTTATTTAATCTTATCTTTTTTATCTATAAATGGTACACTTTCTTCTCACTCAAACTTGAAAAATGAGGACTCTCATCTTCCTGTCGTTATAAAATGACCTGGTTGGAAATGAAATTAAACATCTACAAATAACAACAGATAACTATATTTTTCTTTTTCCATTCCTTTAATTATCCACTAATTTTTTCTATCCTCTGATTTCACCTAAATGCTCCTACTGGTGAAATAGAGCATCAATTTAATATAGGCTAATACTTAGAATGAGCAACTAATGAAATATTTTCAAAGGATTCCACTTCTAAGACAATTGTGAAATCATCCTTAATCTCAATTTTCACTCATCTCCATGATCAAACAATATAAATGCTGTCTGGCTTCCCCTGGGAACTTAACGGGACATCGAGGAAAGCAGAGGAGGTAGCAGCAACTGCTAGACTTTGCACTGGACTTCCAAGCACCTCATAGCATTAATTTATTCATATGAACACCCGTGGAATCAGGCTCTAATTTTCTCCACTATATAGAGAGAAGGAGGGAGTACTTGCACAGCAGATAAAAGGTGAGTTAGGTGGGGGAAATATTGGGATTAAGACTTAGCATTTTCTTTTTCCATTACCCAAAGAGGGGTTCTTTGATAACATCTGCATATTTTTTTGTGTCCTGGAGAATAACTTCTCTATTATCAGGGACCCCTTGGCCCAAGGGACCACCACCAGCTCTTGACTGGCCTGCAGCACAAGGCTTCTGACTTGTCATCTCTTTACCACCCCACTTTCTGTAATTCATTCTCACCCAATAGCTAGTGAATCTTTAGAAAGCTGAACTGGATTCCATCACCCTCCTGCTTAAAACCTATAAATATAGTCCCATTGCATTTAGAATAAAAACCAAACTCCTTAACATGGTCTGCAAGGCTGTGCAAGAGCTAGTCCTCATCTCTCTCTCCAACCCCATCCCCACTGCTCACTGCCTCCAGCCTCACTGGTTTTCCATTCATTCACTCTTTCATTCATGTCCCAACTTCATGTAGGTCTTCCCTAGTCTTTTCCTGTGACTAGAATGTGATCTCTTAGAGCATCCTGGTCTCTTCATTCATAGCACTGACCACAATTTAAAATAATATACTTGGGGTTTTTTAAACTGTTATCTTTCAGCTCCACTAGACTCTAAGCTTCTTGCAGGTGTCACTACCAATGTAAGCACTGTCTCCTCAGCACTTACTACAGTGCCCGGCATATGGAGTCCTTCCATAAATGTTGGCTCAGAGTGAGCAAGTGATTTCTGACTTGACCAATTCCTCAACAGTCTGGGGCACTGGTTCCTTCTTACCCATAATGGCTCTGTCCTTTCCTCTTTTAAGGAATACTCTAGGACGGAGGAAAAAGAAGCAACATATGGTGTGGATGCAGTGAACAGGGAACACTTCTACACTGCTGGTGGGAATATAAACTAGTACAGCCACTATTGAAAATACTGTGGAGATTCCTTAAAGAACTAAAAGTAGATCTACCATGTGATCCTGCAATCCCACTACCAGGTATTTACCCAGAGGAAAAGAAGTCGTTATTCAAAAAAGATACTTACACAGGCATGTTTATAGCAGAACAATTCACAACTGCGGAACCAACCCAAATTCCCATCAATCAATGAGTGGATAAATAAACTGGTGTGTGTGTGTATATATATATATATATATATATGATGGAATACTATGTAACCATAAAAAGGAGTGAATTAACAGCATTTGCAGTGACCTGGATGAGATTGGAGACTATTATTCTAAGTGATGTAACCCAGGAATGGAAAACCAAACATTGTATGTTCTCACTGGTATGTGGGAACTCAGCTATGAGGACGCAAAGGCATAAGAATGATACAATGGACTTTGGAGACTTGGGGGAAAGAATGGGAGGGGGGGGCAAGGGATAAAAGCCTATAAATATGGTGCAGTATATTCATGGGTGATGGGTACCACTAAAGAACTTACTCATATAACAACAACAACAATAATAAAATAACACAGAAAAAGAAGCAACATAAGCGTTAACATTATGTCATTTCCCTCAGCCAAATGGACTATGTGGGGTCAACAACCAACAGACCCTTTAGCTATCTATGTATGCTCATGTGGCCCAGGGTTTCCCCACTCTTCCCAGGATAAATAGGGAACTCCAAAGTTTTGCTGAATGAGCACAAGAATGCAAAAGCATTTTTTATTACCCTTAGTTCTAGGACTGACATGTTGGTACAACTCCAGGGGGCGCCCATGCTCAGATTTGTGACTGGTACTGGTAGCGCATGCTGCGGCTGTGTAGCGTAGGTGGCTGCCCTGCTCAGGGCTTCGATGTTGTCCTTCTGGGTTAGCCTTCCATCTCTGTGCCTTGTTCTTAGGTTTACTCTTTATTACAAACGCAACGTTTATCTTATACATGGCTTTAAAAATATGAACAAATATGAACAAAATAGAACATATTCCTTATAAAGTCAATGAAATAAAGGTCAGTGGAAGGCTATGAAAAGAAAAACCTGTGTAAGTTGATTTTTTATTAGAAAAAAACCCACAATGTTACTGATTTTTGAAAATTGATTCCTCATTGTTTATTTACTTTGAAAACATAAACATATGTGAAAATACTGTATAATCAATATTTTTCTTCTATCAAAATCCATGGGGCTTATGAAGAAAAATAAACAATTATCTCATTGAGGACCAAGGGTAAAAATTAATAAAGCCACTGTTTTCTTTAAACACAAAAATCCCTTAGTTATCCCAGGAATGGTTTGAAAAGGAAATTAGAAATACATTTTAGGATCAAAATCTGGGTTATGGCAATGTCCACATGAAGAGCATTTTTGGTAAGGACCTGATTGAAGTTTAAGAAATCATTCTTGGCCAGGCATGGTGGCTCACGCCTGTAATCCCAGCACTGTGGGAGGCCGAGGTGGGTGGATCGCCTGAGGTCAGGAGTTCGAGACCAGTCTGGCCAACATAGTGAAACCCTGTCTCTACTAAAAATACAAAAAATTAGCTGGGCGTGGTGGCAGGCGCCTGTAATCCCAGCTACTCGGGAGGCTGAGGCAGGAGAAACGTTTGAACCTGGGAGGTGGAGGTTGCAGTGAGGCATGATCGCGCAACTGCACTCCAGCCTGGGCAACAAGAGCAAAACTCCCATCTCAAAAAAAAAAAAAAAAAAAGAATAATTCTTTACACAGCATAGGATGATGCCGAAAGGACTAAATACACAGTTCCAGTAACTTTGACATCGAGTAAGGTATTAAAAGTAATTTAGGCAAAAATTTAACCCCAAAGAACGTCGCGTTATTTTATCCATTAGCTAAAGGGTTAATTCTCCCCACAGACTGAAGCCTTATGGGTTCAAGCTGATGCAATTATAAGGGAGTTAGACATCAAACTAGGTCAGAGAATGACCTCGGTAGGCAATCAAAAACCATCTCAGAAGCCTCTTCAACCCCCCATCTATCCAGGCAAAAGTCATCTTTTCTCCTCACTCCTACTCATTCTGTACAGCAAAAACACATCCCAGCTATCTACAGTGATGTGTCTTCAAGGCTTTCTCCCCTCTCTATTTGAGGGCTAGATCTAAGTCAGGAGCCTCCTTTTGTCTTTCCTGAACCCACAGTGGGGCTGTGCAAATGTTTGAGTTAAAAAATGAACATCAGTGTTTACAGGGATCTTATTTTAGGCTTTCCTCAGAACTAAGTAGGGGAGAAACAAAGAAAAGCCTGCAAAAAAAGGCCCTAGTTAAACTGTTTAAAAATAAATCCAGATTAACAATGGCATGGAGTCATCACTGCAATAAAATGCAAAGATGACGGCCAGATACTTGAGCTACATTGCTCACAATAATTCAGCTGCCATTTTATTTATATTTAAGGTCAAATAAGACAAATCTTGTTTTGTATTACTTTGTACAAAGCAGGGGGACTAGAGAGAATTTTACATTTCATATCATCAGAAGACTAAAATATTTTTCCAGAAACAAATCAAAATTTAAATAAGTGAAACATGAAATTTTTAACCTTTACCATACTCTGCCCTACAAATAATCAACTTATTTTCAGTGATTACACATAAAGCATTCCGGTTTTAAAGTCCTTTGTGCTAGAGTTTCAGGTCCGGCCTGATTAGGAACACTGCGCCCAGCTGAGTGGAATGTGGAACTCCTACTTGGTCATCGGCCAGCAAGACTCCATGGCAACCACTATGTTTCGACAGATCAAAGGAGAGTTGAGCACTCAGGAATTGTCTCAGACTACCCAATAATAGACACTACATTTAATATGAGTACACTTTCTCAAATGGACCATTAAATTTTATTGTAGAAGAACTCAAAATATCATGTACAAAAATTCCAGAAACTTACAAAGGGAACTGTTGGCTCTCCAAGAAAACCATCATTCCTTTTTTTGGAACTGGACTACAGGGAGTTGAAAAATCTTTGAGGGAGCCATAAAGAATCCAATCACTTTTTACTTTGTTTAGATGGTGTTCTAGCTGTTGAAGGCTCCCATGATAATTTTGTGTTCTGTTTTTAGCAGAAGTTACAGGTAGGGCAGCCAATGCTTTATGTCTGCTTTTGGCAAGCACAAGCAACAGTGAGTTTCTCACTTCAGGCTATGTGTGGGCACATGAAACCTTCACTAATTCAAAGAAAGCTTTCACAGCCAACAGCAACCAGTTTAGAAAAACAGCAATGAGACTTTCGGCATCAATCTTCACTTTCATATTCCTGGAAAGACCTATTGCACGTATTTTAGCCGCCCTTGTATACAAGATAATCTTCAAACCTTCTGCTCTGAATTCTTTTTTATACACACATCTTACAAAAAGACAAGAGGCCTTGAACATTTTAATACCTGCTGATGGGCTGGAAAAGCTTTTAAAGGAATAAGTAGCACTCTACCACAAGAAGACAGTATTTTTACTTGTGACTGCTGATGGATTCACTATCCCTTGTAGTTCTAAAGGAGAGTCACCTCTACTTTTCACAGTTTCATTTATTTGCAGACTTCTGAATTCAGCTTTTCTAAAAGTTCTCTAGCAGCATAGAGGGTGTGTGAGGAAAACCGGGTAATATTATTTCCTAGGCAATTTTAATGCAAATTCAATGCAGGAAAATATTCCTGCTTGAATTAATAAAACATTGTTTAGCCAAATCTGTTGCAAATAGGAAAAAGTAGACTGCTATAAATAAAAGTAATAAACCACAGGAGGCTGTCCTTGGATTCTGTACTTCAGACTACTATTTTCCAAGATACCTTATGATCCTAAATTGTAACAAACAGAAGTATGTTCTGCCTTGAACCCCATTTTAGTGTCATATTAAGACAACATAATGCTGTTTAGTACATATATGTTGAAAACACAAGACTTGGCTGAACAGATAATAGAAACAGCCTTTTCAGAGTCAATCCTTAGTCAAAGGCTAAGTATTCACAAAATCATATGTAGAAACTCTTTTTAAAAAAATTATGTCCGCAGCAATATAATATTTAAAAAGACTGGTGAGCAAACATTTTAGGGATGCTAAAAACTTGAAATATTAGTAGTTAGCTAACTAAAGGTGATGCAGACCCAACCCTAATATATGTTTAGACAGGCCCAGTTTTCATGCTATATGATTTAAATAGCTTGGCATCCCTAAGCATTGTACACACACACACAAACACACACACACCCCCTTTTGGAGAAAATTTAAAAATCTTATCAGGCTGGGCGCAGTGGCTCACGCCTGTAATCCCAGCACTTTGGGAGGCCGAGTTGGGTGGATCACGAGGTCAGGAGATCGAGACCATCCTGGCTAACGCGGTGAAACTCCATATACTAAAATATAAAAAAATTAGCCGGGTGTGGTGGTGGGCACCTGTAGTCCCAGCTACTTGGGAGGCTGAGGCAGGAGAATGGTGTGAACCCGGGAGGCGGAGATTGCAGTGAGCCGAGATTGCGCCACTGCACTCCAGCCTGGGCGACAGAGTGAGACTCCATCTCAAAAAAAAAAAAAAAATTATCAATGCAGCTGGTATGATGGCAACTGTATGAAGCTAGAAGGCAAGATATCTTGATTCCAGCTCAGTCTCTGACATGAACTTGCTGTGCACGTTTGATGGTATTGCCAGCTCTCTCCAGACTGCAATTTTCTCATCAATAACATGAGATACTTAGGAGTAGGTCTTTTCTGTGTCTGCAATGAACACCTAGGTACTGCAGAGGTGAGCAAAGGGAGTGGTAGAGACACTGGGCTCATTGGTTATCTGATCCTGCCCCAAGCAGAGAAGATGGAGCAAGCTGGCAAACAGACGCAAGTTAGCAATGAACGGACCAACACAGCCGAAGCAGAGGGAGTGTGGGATGGGGAAGTGACAGGAGCTGCAGCTGGTCAGACCATGGAAACCCTTGAGGGTGGGAGACAGTGTTATCCTGTGGCGAACTCAGTGTAATGAGAGGAAGGCCAAGTTTATGCTTGTTCCTAAACTCTCTTCCCTGGGCGCCATTCCAACCTGAATGCATCAGTTGACTTCAGACAACCACAACTCCATTGGATTGCAGAAAGTGGAACATCTGACCCTTTTAATACATTTTGTCCAGGAAGCTGCATTATATTTATAGAACTTGACTCTTTTCATCCAGAGTACTGCCAGGGTAGAGGAAGGACTCAGAAGAAACCACATATTTCTGTTGCTATGCTTTTGTTTTTTAACAGGAAATTGTTGTCTAAACGAGAGCATTTCCAACGTGGAAAGACATGAGGGGGACATCAGACCACCTACAGGATAACCATTACACAGGAGAGATGGAGGCAAGGCCCCACCCCATCATGGGCAGATGGCTCAGTGAGGCCAAGTTTATACATTATGGATTCCTTTAGCCTTAACTGTGCCTTCCCCTTATGACTGAGCTCCTGTGGGCTTCCCATGCTACCCCAACCAACTCCCCTGGTTGGCCAAATCATAGGGAATAAAGGGACAAATGCCAGAAGCAGCTGGGAATTTTACCACTGATTCTATAGTTGACAGAAACCAGAGCATTTCCCCAAGAACCTGTGCTGATGCAGTAAAGAAACTGAAAAAAAAAAAGTCCCCCTGCTCAGCCTTCATATTAATATTTTTATTTTTATTTTTATTTTTATTTTTATTTTTTGAGATGGAGTCTTGCTCTGTTGCCCAGGCTAGAGTGCAGTGGTACGATCTTGGATCACTGCAACCTCCGCCTCCTGGGTTCAAGCGATTCTCCTGCCTCAGCCTACTGAGTAGCTGGGACTACAGGCACGTGCCACCATGCCCAGCTAATTTTTTGTATTTTTTGTAGAGACAGGGTTTCACCGTGTTAGCCAGGCTGGTCTTGAACTCCTGACCTCGTGATCTACCTGCCTCGGCCTCCCAAAGTGTTGGGATTACAGGCGTGAGCCACGACATTCATTATTAAATCAAATCATTACTGCCTTGATACAGGCAGGAAGAAAAGTTCTATTTTTTCTATTATATTAGCTTTCTCTTCTAATGACGTAGTGTTTTGGGGAAGAGTGGGTGACAATAGAGGCAAGAAGAGCGATAATTTATTTAAGTAACTTGCAACCTGCAAACAGATTGTGTTCTAAATCATTCTGAGCCCAGACTTCAAGTCTGGAACCCAGTTTCTCACAGATCATGCATAAGGATAAATGTGTTCCCAGATCACCTATATTGGTCTATTTAACTCGGGCACTAAATACCCCAAGGAGCCTGTTCTCCCGGTTGCAACCTATCTCTACCCAGCTGTCCTCGCCAGCAGCTTGGAAGCCATTCTCAGCAGCCCAATTATTGGCCTTATTGTCATCTGGCTCTGTTCCCACAGCCTATGTCTAAATCCTAAAGACAAAGGAATGGAAAGCAGAAAGTAACAGAGTAATCTGATAGAGTAACTGTCACTTAAAACTCCCCGAGATAGAAGCATCTCCCCCAATTCTGCGATGAATGTGGTATGATTCTTGCACGTATCCCAAAGAACAAAGCCCCAGTTGGCCCAGGGCGGGCTCTTGTGCTTGAGTGATTCTAGATGGCGGTGTCAGCTGAACTGCCAGCACCTTCCAGTCAAGGAGATTCAGCGACCTGGACCAGAGAAGAAGACACCACCACAGCCCTTCACAACACGAGACACCCCCACCACAGTGCCATGAAATGCCTTGAGGGACTCTGAAGAAGGAGGGAGAGTCTGCAATAGTGTGTAGAGATAAGAGCCAGGGATTCACAGATTATATTCAGAATTTGTTTTATTTAGAGAATAAAAAGAATAACACAATGAAGTACAATGGCCCCATTTTAATGGTGCTATTGGTTTCTTACCCAGCATTTGTTCTCTACTTCTCCCCAAGGTAACCACTTCCTTGTTTCTTCTACACATAGTCATATGGCATAGCTGGAGCTAAGCCATCCCCAGCCCTAGAGGTGGATCCTGCCGGATGTAAGCCCATCAGTGCGGGCATTGAGTATGGTTACTGCCCTTCATGATGTAAGTGGCCACATCAGATCAAAAGAAGGGACAATATGTATTGAAAGGCTGTGAAGAGGTTTCTGTCTCCTGGTGCACATGGACAAGGGAACCTCTTATTCCATTTGTGGCTAGTAGACATCTTGTGACCACTTAGGGGAAACTGCCTGAGAAAGAAGCCAACCCCACGGATGGTGGAGCAGAGAGATGGGAAGAAACTGAGTCCTCAGTGATGTTTCTGAGTCACTGAACCAATGAGTCTTAGAGGCTGTACTCCTTCAAGAGCAATTTACTCATTTCTGTTTGTTTTACCAAATTTGAGTAAGAGTTGCTATCACAGTACAAAGTGTTCTGATAAAGTACCAATGAAAATATAAACCTGGAGATGGAGAGTGGGAGATAAAAGGTACAATAGATGTGAATGTGCTTTGAACATTAGTATAGAAAGTGCCCGCCAGGCGCAGTGGCTCACACCTGTAATCCCAGTACTTCGGGAGGCCAAGGCGGGCGGATCACGAGGTCAGGAGTTCGAGACCAGCCTGGCCAATATGGTGAAACCCCGTCTCTACTAAAAACACAAAAACTAGCTAGGCGTGGTGGCGGGTGCCTGTAGTCCCAGCTGCTCAGGAGACTGAGGCAGAAGAATCATTCGAACCCAGGAGGTGGAGGTTGCAGTGAGCCAAGATCATGCCACTGTACTCCAGCCTGGACAACAGAGTGAGACTCCATCTCAAAAAAAAAAAAAAAAGAGAGAGAGAGAGAGAGAAAAGAAAGTGCCTGAAAAATCTCTAGTCCTTTCTTCCTGCAAATATACTGAACCATAAAAATAAAAATATGAACTTTAGAGTATGTCTTCATTGCACTATAAATCTAAGATATAAAAGATGCACCATTTGCTCTAAATGGTTCATTTGTGAGCCACATTTTCCTGAATCAAGAGACCACATTATTTAAGCCATTTGCTAAACAACTGTTCAGTGTATGAGAATAAGCAAAACTAAATAACTTGCCTTTAAGGCTAAAATCTGGTGGTAGGGGGCAGAGAATGAATTCTCTCTATATAGAAATGTAAACATTTAATGTTTAAAATCAATATTCTCAAAACATGGATAATTTGTTTAATTGCAGGTCTGAATGAACCTACAATAACTGGAAATAATTAGAAGAAAAAGCTTTCTTGGCTATCTTTCAAGATGGTCAGAAGAACGACCATGGGGGAAGAAAAATAACGTGTTCAATATCTCACAGCAGGTCAGCAGGTCAGCATTTCATGTCAACAAACCTCTTCCCGTCTGTTTTCTTGTGTACTCTAAAGTGACCCCATGAGTATCATCATACTTTTCATAAGTGCTTTAAAGTTCTTCAGATAGAAAAGCTCATGTTCATAAAATATCATAAAACATAAAAAGCTTTCAAATTTTTTGTCTAAAAAATACATAGTTGACACTTGTCTCGAGGTGTAGGAAGTGGTAGAACAGTTCATTGCGTTTCAGAGGAAAAAGCTTTGAACCCCCGTGAGAATGCAGCGTTTTACTATTCTCTTCACAGCCTCACCGGTTCCTGCAAGCACAGGCAGAACACATTTAAAGATGGAGCTTGGGCCGGGCGCGGTGGCTCACGCCTATAATCCTAGCACTTTCCGAGGCTGAGGTGGGCGGTCAGGAGTTCAAGACCAGCCTGGCCAACATGACGAAACCCTGTCTCTACTAAAAACACAAAAATTAGCCAGGTGGGGTGGCGCACACCTGTAATCTCAGCTACTCGGGAGGCTGAAGCAGGAGAATCACTTGAGCTTGGGAGGCGGAGGTTGCAGTGAGCTGAGATGGCGCCACTGTACTCCAGCCTGGGCGACAAAGTGAGACTCTGTCTCTACAAAACAAAACAAAACAAAAAACAGAAGATGGAGCTTGTTCCAAAACACTCTTTGTAAATGGTTGTTTATTTCTACAGGAAAATCTGTTCCGGGTTCCAATGGTATATATATGGTTCCTAGCCCTGCTTAAAAATGCTTTTTAGCTCAACATGTTCCTCAAATGCAGGAGCTGACCAAAGGTTATCAATGTTTTCTAGAAGAATGTGTTGAAGACACCAGAAGGAAACCATACTGGGAAGATTAGGAGCTGACTGACAGGAGGAGAAAAACATTTCCTTATCCCCTGCCTTCTCTCCTTCAACCTAACACTATCCACATTTGGGTTCTCGCCTTGGGATACACGGTGAGGGTAGGATGGTCCTGTGGTCCATGACACACTCTTCTGAACTATCCGCCTCTCCCTCCCCTCCCTCAGGCCCTCATTCTGACTGTCTCCTCATCCTTCTCTCGGGATCCTGGCCTCTACCTTATTGTTTATTTCAAATCATTCCACCTAAGCTCTTGCCACAAAACAAACAAGAATGCTTGGGTCTCAGAGTTTCAAAATTAAAATGGGGACAATACATAAATTTTTCAAATGTTCAAGTGCTACATAATCATAAGGTGCTTCTGTTATTGCTCTGATATACACATGAAGCTCCCCTGAATCATTCTTATACATGGTTACTGATTTCCATATCACTATAGTTTCACAGCTAATAGGCGTATCTCTAAACTCTAATATCAAGATACATGGCCTAATAAAGAATGTTTCCACCACATTCTCTAGTTGCAAGAACCACTCCAGAACATGGTTTTTCTCCACAAATATTGGAATTTCAGTGTTTACAGGAACAATGGGAAGAACATCAGTAATGGGAACTGGCCCCCAGATGGCCCTAACTGTATTTCAGGCACAGGATGAGTTAAATAGGCTCTGTGTGCCTGAAGACTTCACATGCATAGCTTTATGTCTAACAAGGAAAGAATCCACTCCAAAATGTTTTTCAAATGAACTTTTGGGAAAAAAAACCCTGGCTTAAGTGGAAGATTGCCTGCATATAACATCTGTTGTATATATGCATGGCTTTACTGACTGAATCCTGATTTGTTCTCAGTCTTTCTCTATAAAAAATCCTAATCCTGAAGGTTCAAATATTCTTAAAAACTTTTTGAAGATTTTCTTCGGAATGTTGTTGAGAGAGATATTTTGGTGGATTCTAATGTTAGTGAGCGCTGGACCAGCCTATGCCCTACACTGGCCAAGGCTTCTTCTAGCATCACCATGTAGACAAGGCGAGTGAGACCAAGGGCCCAAAGCAACACATTCAAATTCGCTCACAGAACCATGCATTCTATTCCAGGGGAGGAAACCTTTCCTCAGCTGAGGGATCCAGTTTCCACTATTCACTCCCCCTCCTTGACCCCACGAAGGAAGAATCCCATTCTCCTTGGAAAGGGCCCATCCAAAGGATCTCCCAGCACAGTTCAATTTAGCAACATTAAGCTTGGCAGATCAACAAGACATCTTTCATCCTTAGGTAAGTATTTCCACAAACACCTTTTTCTATGTAGGCAAAACACTGGCAAAATTAATAATATGTCTTTTGTTTAGAAATAGACTTTGTGCAAATGCACTGAAATGTGACCAGGATAAAACACACACGTTGGCAGGTGAGACTTACCTACAACTTGTTCCAAATAATTTTTCTTTCACCAATGCCTCTATGGTTTAAGAAGAGGCCTTCAAAGCTCCAGTTGGAATTATAGATAAAGTTTGGAGTTTTTAACAACTGGCTCTGAGTATGAGGTGCTTAAATAAACTAAGAAGCCCATACTTAATGAAATTATTTTGTCAACTGAAAGATGCCACATTTTTATCTCTAGAAGAGCCCTTCCTCAGACATATTTTTAGAGCATCATCCTCTCCATCAGACTCTCCAAAGGAAAAATTTGGTAGGGAGGAGAGAAGAATTATTTATCTGGATTGGAGAGGCTGGAGAGAAACATGTAAATCCACCTGAGAAAAATTTACACCTGGAAGATAATCATCATGAAAAAATTAGAATGTTTCCTCATTTAGTGGGTTAACTCTAAGAAAATAAAACATGTTTCTATATACAGCCATGTTTTAAGGTTTCTCAGAGTTTAAAAGACAGTTTTATCAAACATATTGGAGAGTAAAATTACTTAGTTTTAAAATTTTACCCTGTAATATTTTTCACATTAAGAATTATGAACAGGCCAGGCATGGTGGCTCATGCCTGTAATCCCAGCACTTTGGGAGGCTGAGGCAGGCAGATCACTTGAGGCCAGGAGTTCAAGACCGGCCTGGCCAATATGGTGAAACCCTGTCTCTACTTAAAAAAAAAAAAAAAAATTATGAACAAAGACATTTGGGCTAATTGCCAATGTACACACCTTCCTGGGAACCCTCTGTATCTGAAACCAACTTAGCTTATTTTTATTGATTTCTTATGAATGCGTGTGAAGTTTCTAAATTTTGGATCAAAAAAGTTTGTGAGTAGTTACATGTAAGGCACCAGACTGTGTGCCATGCATAAAACCTAGTCCTGCCTTCAAATTACTTTAGTCCGTTAGAGCAGGAATTAACAGCACTCAGGAAAAGCAACCAAGTACGTATTTGAAGCAGAGTTTTTAAGATCACAAAGCAGTGTCAAGAAGCAATATATAATTAAAATTGCTAAATGAATTGTTCAGAGGCTAACTGATACAGCAACTTGGAGGCAGGGGCAGGTAAAATCAGGTTGCAGTAATTTAAAAAGGAGAAGGAATCTGAACTGAGTTTAAAAGGACCGATAAGGTCTAGATAATAATATTACTCCCGCTGCTGCTCCATAGCTCCATTTGACAGTCTGCCAAGGGCCAGGCACTCACTATGGCAGGCATTGTATACATATGCTCTGATATCCACAACTAAACTGAAATGAGCTTAGCATCATGCTTTTGTAGGTGAGGTTGGCAAATAACTTGCCTGAGGCCTCCCAATGAAGAGGTGAGCTGTGATCCACATCCAGGTCTAGCTGACCCCAGAGCCCACTGTGTTCCTTTCACACTGACTCCAATCCAAGGAGCAGAGAGAGTTCTGGTTGTACCCAAAATACTTTTTAGAACACTTGAATTAAAACTGAAAAAAAAAATGCCTTGGAGCTTACAGAGCAAGCAACAACATGTCATTGTAAGTTTTAGACCAGACACCTGACATAATTAACTCAGCACTTTGAGTAGACCAGCCTGGTGGACTGAATGAACAGGAGGTTCACGAGTTCAGAGAAACAAGAGAGAGAGAGAGAGAGAACCCAGTCCCAACACGGGTGCACACAGCATGGCTGGGCTGCGTGCACATCTGACGGCTGTGAAGATGACACTGGGCTTGGGGTTGCAGTTGGGTATTTAGATCTCAAACTGTTTCAAAAACTGCCAGTTGCATGAGTTATGCAGTGACTTAGATTTCTGCAAGCTTCAGGCTCCTAATCTGTAAAATCCAATTAATGATAACTGCACAAGGCTAAAAGAATTAAGAAATAATATATAGCATGTAGCTTATCGTAAATGTGCAAATGTTAGTTTTTTGCTTTCTGAAGGCAGTAGAAATGAAAAAGCAGAGATGAGACAGCTGGTAAGGTAAATATAGTGAGATTTGCTAACAAATTTGATATTAAGGGCAGGGTGAGGAGCAGGGAGGAGGAAAGGAGAGAGATATCAAACACTGCTTCAAAGTGATGTGGCTGTACTAAAATCCCTTCATTTCCTCAAAGAGGAGAGTTAGGAGTTAGAGGCAGCTTTAAGAATATGTGATCACAGAGGTGACTGGAAGTCCTCAATTGAGAAGACTTAGAAATGAGGGCAGGGGCTTAGGAATTAAAGGGAAACCATAGACAAATGATTTGGCAAGCATTTGACTAAGAGTCTGGTTACTATATTCCATTTATGAGGACCTGGGAAATTGCTGAACTCCGTTTATCTTTGAATGACTATGCTTTAGAAATCAAAAGAATGTATATGAAGTTACAACACTATAAGAAGCCAGGCCTCACATTTTTTTTTAAGACAAAGAATATTAAAAGAAAATACTCGCCTTAATACAGGACTTAAGATCAATTGCAATTCCTTGTCTTTCTATTTTAAAACACAATGATTGCTTTAATACCCTACTTAACTCTAAAAGTTTTTATCACAGATGTAACCTTCCTCTAGAACAGGCTTTCCTGTGGCACAGAAAAGGCATGACGGTATAATGCAATAAAACACAGACTTCTGAAGTATGCCTACCCTGGACAATGCAACTGAAATGAGGACGACTGGGATCTGGGATGAGACAGGAAGAAAGGAGACAAGGCGGAGGGGAGGTAAGGTTGGCTGTAGCTCAGTCAACATGAATGTAGGCTTTGACTACCTAAAGCCTAAAGGTGGGTAATTTTGTTTTATTGACTTCTTAAGCTTGGGGAATCTGGTCCAGTGCTTCTACAAGTTTTTCAAATATTATAACTAAATGTCTGTTCCAGACACTGGATTCCTTATCCACAGCTGCTAAAAGCAGATCTGGCACTACTGGGCGCATCTGGTCCTTTTGACATTTTAGGTGACAGTCTTTCCGTGCCTATTAGAGATGGTCCCTGAGCAAGCCTCTGGTGGGTCTATCCAAGTTGATCATCAGCTACAGATGTTAAGAACATGAGACATCCATGATTCCGTACTGCATGGGGCTATGACATTCTATCTGGTTTTTAAAGTACAACAATGATCTTGTACCTAGCTTTATAACAAGTGAATAACTTGCTAACCATTATGCATCTGAAACATAGCCTTGAAACATATTAAGGGAAAACTGATACAACTAAAAGCAAATACTGATAATCTACCAATACAATGAGAGCTCTAAAGCAGCTCTCTCAGAAAATGACAGGTCAAGTCGAAAAGTTAAGGATGTTGATGATTTGAATAACAATTAAACAATTTTGACTTAATTAATAATTGTAACCAACCAACAGAAAATAAGCAGTATTTTCAAAGACATGGCCCTTTCACAAGCGAAGCCCATTGCTTCTGATCACCTTTCTAACTGCTTTGGTACCCTAAATTTCAGATTAATTTCTAATTTATTGGCAGAAGCCTTGTATCTTTGCCTTCATATCCTTCACAGTACCTTAGCTCAGTGCTTTCTACAAAGCAGAAATTCTTGATCATCCCACACAGGTCACTTTTAATGAAGTTATCAATAACAACTTCGGCTAAGTAATTTTATGCCACTTCTCCTTGAACCACGTGTTGCCTAAGGAGTCCATCAGGATCTGTCAAGTCTTACTAGATTGGAGGTAGTTTGATAGCAAAAGGTCTAAACAAATTTTCACCTAAGAATTTGAGATGACTGAAAGTCATTCTTCATTGGTCCTGGAGCCAGTGCTATAACTAAATGTTTTGGGATACCCTATCACTTTTATGCATGGAACACAGAGTCAGCCCAACAAGATAGCAAAAGGCCACAGACTCCCTAACTAGCAAACATGAGGGTTGGTGCCATTACAAGTTACCCAGCTAGAGTGAATGGTATATTGTATAGAACTTTGTCCTCCAAATGGTCTTTCTCTGAGCTCCTCCAACAGGGGCAGAATGCAATTATTGCTTCAATCCATTCATATTTCTTCCTGTAACCCATTTCTGTGTTTGTGCTGGCCACTTCTCTTCGCCATAGTTGACCTTAAATCTGCATTTACCAAACTATCTTCCACAGAACAATATGGTAATAGGTTTAAAAACTAAAGTAGTTTAAAGTAGTTTTTAGTAGTTTAAACTAGTAAAGTAGTTTAAAATTAAAGGAGTGGTAGCATGAAAGGAGGTGCTCCATGCTTAATGAAGTTTGGGAAACCCTGCCTATAACACCTCCTTGTTGAACAGAGGCCATTCAGGGCAGCATGTAAAGAGTCTACAGCAACAGAAACCAATTAACCTTACTGAAATCCCAAACTTACTTGACCACAATGTCCCCTTCCCCCTCCTCATTTTCAACAGAAACCTATTACCATAATTCTACAAGACTGAGGACAGACTGTCCAAGAGGCTCCTAATTCCTAGTTCCAAGGACAGGAACAGGAGCTACTTCCTTCCTCGTTCCAAAGGTCACCCCTTTGAGAGAAAACAAGTATTTTTTTTTTAAACTCATATCCTTTTTCTCTCAAGAATAGTTAGGGACCCCCTCAGATTCTTCACCAGCTATAACTAAAGGGTCTACAATGAGGAAGTCTCCCCCACAAAATGTCTAGTCCCTATACCACCTTAAGGTATTCAAATTTCTAGAAGAGTTTTTTTTTTATTGGTTGATTTTTTTTTATTTTTTATTATACTTTAAGTTCTGGGATACATGTGCAGAATGTGCAGGTTTGTTACATAGGTATACACGTGCCATGTCGGTCTGCTACACCCATCAACCCATCATCTACATTAGGTATTTCTCCTAATGCTATACCTCTCCTGGCCCCCCAACCCCCCACAGGCCCTGGTGTGTGATGTTCCCCTCCCTGTGTCCATGTGTTCTCATTGTTCAACTCCCACTTATGAGAACATGTGGTGTTTGGTTTTCTGTTCTTGTGTTAGTTTGGTGAGAATGGTGGTTTCCAGCTTCATCCACGTCCCTGCAGAGGACATGAACTCATCCTTTCTTATGGCTGCATAGTATTCCATGGTGTATATTTGTCACATTTTCTTTTTTTTTTTTTTTTTTTTTTTGAGATGGAGTCTCACTCTGTCACCCAGGCTGGAGTGCAGTGGCACAATCTCAGCTCACTGCAAGCTCCACCTCCCAGGTTCACACCATTCTCCTGCCTCAGCCTCCCGAGTAGCTGAGACTACAGGCGCCCGCCACCATGGCCAGCTAATCTTTCGTATTTTTAGTACAGACGGGGTTTCATCGTGTTAGCCAGGATGGTCTTGATCTCCTGACCTTGTGATCTACCCGCCTCGGCCTCCCTAAGTGCTGGGATTGCAGGCGTGAGCCACCGCACCTGGCCATGTGTCACATTTTCTTTATCCAGTCTATCACTGATGGGCATTTGGGTCGGTTCCAAGTCTTCACTATTGTGAGCAGTGCCGCAATAAATATACGTGTGCATGTGTTTTTAGAGTAGAATGATTTATAATCCTTTGGGTATATACCCAGTAATGGGACTGCTGGATCAAATAGTATTTCTGGCTCTAGATCCTTGAGGAATCGCTACATCGTCTTCCACAATGGCTGAACTAATTTACACTCCCACCAGCAGTGTAAAAGCATTCCTATTTCTCTAGGAGACTTTTTTAAAGGAAAAGAGATGTTCAATACTTAGGTAGAGTTAATCTGCACATTTTCTGAATGCTGTAATTCTGTGCATATTTTTATAACTTCTATATTTGGTTTGTATAATGATTTTAAACTTTACATATTTTTAAAAATCATTTTCATAACACCACCAAGCCAGGCAATAATCAGGAGGTTTTGCAATGGAAGAATCTGAAGGAAAGCACTTCAGTGACTTTCTAAAGATCAAACACTGCATTTCCATCCCTGTCCTCTGGCATTCTGCCAAGAATCCCCCTGGATGGTTATATTCTTAGCAATGTCTAGCTCAATACAACAAGTTACTTATTCATAATGTGAATCCTTTATGCTATAGCCACCAATCATTCTTCTATTAGCTGCCTTACAATAAATCCATCAGCCCCGAGGAAAACAGTTACAAGGCCCTGGGACACAGTAGCAAGGTCACCTAGAAGACATGTGAAGGGCTGAGCGGTGTTGTTTCCTTCTTGAGCATGCCTTCGCCATATTATTTCTAAGTCTTAGAGGTAAAAAGCAGTCATATTTCAATCCCACAAAGCCTTCAGTGTTGAGATTATACAATACCAAGGTACCACAAAAGTAGCAACTGACCTGGGATGGGCTCAGTGTGGTCCTCCTGCACCTGCTCATGAGAGGGCAGTGACAGTGCCTCAGTCAGATGGGGATGGAAGAAACTGGAGGGTGATGCCTACCCTCCAGGGAAGAGCGCTGCCGCATAGTAGGGCCACAAGGCACCACGGATTACTGAGCACCGCTGTGCTGAGCAATGGCAAAATCTAGGCTGGAAAACATACCATTTCTAATCTTTGGTGTCTCTAATAAAAGGCACACTACTATCCTGTTACCCCACTCACCAGTGCAAGGGGCTCAGGAAATGCTAGCAAGAACAGCAAAGATCAGGACGCCCTCAGCACCCGGTGCCTGGACGTGCCTTGGAACATGAATGTGCATCTTTCTGCCGCCCGGGCAGTCCTGTGCTGTGTGCCCTAAGTGGCAGCTCTACCCTGATGCCCTTCCATCAAATAACCAGGGTAGGTGAAACCCTGGACAAGAAGGCACACAGAACAAAATGTAGAGACAATTTTGTTCAGAAAATTATCTCTGTATCTATCCATCTAGGAGTTTTTGTAGTACCGAATAAATTAGTCATGTTACAAAGCAAACAGAATATCAATGATTATGGAAAGGGAAATATTTATTTGATTTTAGGAAAACAGAAGGAACAACTACGGCCATCTAACCTAACAACATGCCATTTCTTTCTTCCTTTGTTGATATAAGCATGCATCTCTCTGATGAGCAGACATATCTATGGACTCATTTACAGAGAAGATCATTTCTAAAAAAGAAAATATTTACTCTTTTTTTTTTGCGATAGGGTCTCACTCTGTCACCCAGGCTGGAGTGCACTGGCACAATCTTGGCTCACTGCAACCTCTGCCTCCTGAGTTCAAGCAATCTCCCCACCTCAGCCTCCTAAGCTAGGACTACCAGAGCTCACCACCACGTCCAGCTGAGTTTTGTATTTTTTGCAGAGATGGGGTCTCACCGTGTTGCCATATTGCCCAGGCTGGTCTCGAACTCCTAGGCTCAAGCGATCCACTGGCTTTGGTCTTTCAAAGTGCTGGGATTACAGTCGTGAGCCACTGCGCCCAGCCTGTTTACTTTTATTTTTTTTTTGGCATTCAAATCACTGAATCTCACATACACGTGGGGGGTGAGCCTGACCTATAACACAGGTGGGGCCCCATGATGACTTTTGTGGCCCTTGGACAATTTGGCCTTTGTGAGCCTCTTCCTCCAGGAAAAAATATTAAATTTTACAACTGCATTGGTATAAAGACAAATATAATACAAGCTAGGTTCCATATTATATGTTCCTTATTACTATGTTCATTTTTTTTCTTCTGTTTTTAAAGTAAAGTTAAAACAATTCCATAGGCCACTGAAAGTATCATGGGCCCTGAGCACTGTGACTAATGAATAAGTCAGCTCCAGACCAGAACCTATTGATTTTCAAGCTACTCAGCATTCTAGTCATAAGTTAGAGAAAAGAACTTCTGGGACTTTCTTGCCAGTAATAAAGATCTGCAGTAAGAAAACCATTGTTTTACCAGTTAGCAAAACACTGATGAACTCTGACACAAGCAAAGTAATCTTGACTCTACTAAAATACTGTTTGTCTTTGTAATAACTTTGAGTACTTCAAGAATAGTTCAGTGTTTTAAATATTTATGTCTCCAATAAAGCATTATTATTTTGTGAGTTAAAGGCAAGGCTCTAACCCATTGTTGCACTTAAGCTTTTAATTGTTTTAGATTATTGCTTGGTTAAAAAAAAGACCTGGTATAAAATTGAAAGTATAAACCTTTTTCCTTTTTTCTTTTTTTTTTTTTTTGAGACACAGTTTTGCTCTTGTTGCCCAGGCTGGAGTGCAATGGTGCGATCTCGGCTCACTGCAACCTCTGCCTCCCGGGTTCAAGGGATTCTCCTGCCTCAGCCTCCCAAGTAGCGGGGATTACAGGCATGAGCCACCACGCCCAGCTAATTTTGTATTTTTAATAGCGACGGGGTTTCACTATGTTGGCCAGGCTGGTCTCAAACTCCTGACCTCGTGATCCACCCCCCTCGGCCTCCCAAAGTGCTGGGATTACAGGCATGAGTCACTGCACCCAGACGAAAATATAAACTTTTTTATCAGTAAAAAGTGATACCACTATGCTTACCAGACTAAATTTCTTCATCTATTCCTAACACTCTAATAAGCATTTGACGTATAAGCATAAGCGTGGAAATAGTTTACCATTGCAGGCCTTGACAAATAGTTCATAATGTGGTCAGAGCCTGATGAGTTAAAGTACTTAGGAAAGAAACAGAGTAAAATAATTGCCTGGACCTAACAGAAAGGCATATCTCCTCTTCCTTCTTTCCCTTTTAGTGTCATTGTGGTTTTTCAAGAACCAACACCACCAAGTTAAAATGAGATTTTCAATCTTAAAGAAAAATACGTTAAAAATACCACAGAACTTTTCTAGCCAATGAAAAGGATTTAAAATATTACCTAAAGACTAATTCAATAAAACCAGAAAGCCAATGGGAAGAAATGACTCTGAAATGGGTCATGTGCGATTACACTTGATTCCATTTTGAGTCTTTATGTATGTTAATCTGCAGTACGCATTTTCTTTAATTTTTATCCTTTGGTAACAATATTTGTCATTATTCTATACAAAATAGTTAAAGACTTTTTTTTTTCTTTTGAGAGAGAGTCTTACTCTATCCCCTAGGCTGGAGTGCAGTGGTACAATCTCCGCTCACTGCAACGTCTGCCGCCCTGCTTCAAGTGATTCTCCTGCCTCAGCCTCCCGAGTAGTTGGGATTACAGGCACGTGCCACCATGCCCAGCTAATTTTTATATTTTTAGTAGAGATGGAGTTTCACCGTGTCGGCCAGGCTGGTCTCGAACTCCTCATCGCAAGTGATCTGCCCACCTTGGCCTCCCAAAGTGCTGGGATTAGGGGCGTGAGCCACTGTACCTGGTCTAAAGACTGAGAATAGTTTTTTCTGTTTTAAAAAAGACTACAGGGCTGGGCATGGTGGCTCTCACCTGTAATCCCAGTACTTTAGGTGGCCGAGGTGGATGGCTCACTTGAGGTCAGGAGTTCATGACCAGCCTGGCCAACGTGGTGAAACCCCATCTCTACTAAAAATACAAAAATTAGCCAGTCATGGTGGTGCGTGCCTGTTATCCCAACTACTCCGGAGGCTGAGGCAGGAGAATCACTTCAAATCGGGAGGAGGTTGCAGTGAGCTCAGATCGCACCACTGCACTCCAGCCTGGGTGACAAAGCGAGACCCTGTCTCAAAAAAAGAAAAAACTGACTACAGTAGCTCCTCTAATAGGTGATTTCACTTTCTGCAGTTTCAGTTACCTGCAGTCAACTGTGGTCTGAAAATATTACAGTATTTTGAGAGACAGAGAAACTATATTCACATAACTTTTATGACGGTGTGTTGTTATAATTGTTCTATTTTATTATTCGTTGTTGCTAATCTTTTACTGTGCCTAATGTAGACATGAAAACTTATTATAGATATGCATGTATAGGAAAAACAATTCACATAGAGTCAGTACTATCCATGGTTTCAGGCATCCACGGGGCGCTTGGAACATATTCCCCACAGATAAGGGGGACTGCTATACTTGAAAATCGAAAAATGTGACTTACAGAGTACACTTATACAAAAATACTAACAAACTGAAATTATGAATACGTTCAGCTTTTAACATATGTTTCATACTCAAGGGGCAAAAAAATGAAAAGAGCTCACTTTTATAGTTGAAACCTTTTCAATGTCTTCACCCACAGACTCTTCTCATCAGTCTTCACCTGTAGTAAAAACAAAAAATAAATTGCTTTTTACTTAAATATTGCTTTCTCAGAATTCTTTTAGTGGAACATGGATGAGCTATCAGGGCTAATTTTAAGTTGTTTAAAAGGAAGACTAGATGCCAAAAGGCCAGGATATTCCCAGGAAAAGGCCATATCATGCTACTGGACTGTAATAGGCCTATAGCAGTAATCATAAACATTTAATTAAAAAATGAAAAAATTCACAGGATGTGGTATTAGAAAGTTACTGAAGTCCTATCATCCTTGATTTTCCCTTTCCCTTGAAATAATACTCAGATAATTCAAAAGGAGACTTGAACATACAATAGCTCTGTAAACAGAGGAGTTCAGTGACTTGCCAGAAACCAGGAAGAATTTCCCCCAACAAAGGAGAGAGAAAACGCGAGGCCATGAAGCAGGGAATGGAAGGAGAGGCTCTGATTTCAATCCTTCTCCACCGCAGCATCCCTAGCTCCAAAACACAAGTCCTCCAACAATTGCCTAAGGCCACAGCCACTCTTCTCTGAGTTCTTCTCACTTTCCATCAGTGCAAGAGAGTTGAGGGGTCGAGCTCATTGGGGTGAGGCTTACATCTGGTGAAATTTGGGGCTGCAGTTTTTCTGGTCACTGTTTTGGTTTTTTTTTTCTTTCTTTTTTTTTTTTTTTGAGACAAAGTTTTGCTCTCGTCTTTATTTTTATTTATTTATTTTTTTGAGACGGAGTCCCGCTCTGTCGCCCAGGCTGGAGTGCAGTGGCGCCATCTCGGCTTACTGCAAGCTCCGCCTCCCAGGCTCACGCCATTCTGCTGCCTCAGCCTCCCCAGCAGCTGGGACTACAGGCACACGCCGCCACGCCCGGCTAATTTTTTTGTATTTTTAGTAGAGACAGGGTTTCACTGTGTTAGCCAGGATGGTCTCGATCTCCTGACCTTGTGATCCGCCCGCCTCGGCCTCCCAAAGTGCTGGGATTACAGCCATGAGCCACCGCGCCTGGCCATTTTTTGTATTTTTAGTAGCGACAGGGTTTCACCATGTTGGCCAGGCTGGTCTCGAACTCCTGACCTTAGGTGATCTGCCCGCCTCGGCCTCCCAAAGTGCTGGGATTACAGGCATAAGCCACCGCGTCCAGCCTGGTCACTGTTTTTAAAAAGAAAGAACCGCAGACATTTCAACATTTGCAGAGTTTTAAAATTAAAAAAAAGTGCCTAGAAATTTCTCAGCTGGGTATCTTCATGAAGAAAAGTTACTCGAATATATTCCAGTTGATTGAGGGATGAATCAAAAGAAAAACTTCAGAGTGAAAAGGTAGATACACAATAGCACTGGTGGGGAACATTAAAGGCAGGCACAGAATGTGCTAATTATTATTATTATAAAAATAGCCCAACTAGAGTGCCGGATTCCAAAATTTTTGAAAAACAAAAAAACTTAATAAAAAGCTTTACTATAATTAGCTCCACCTAGGTCTGAAATCCTAGCTCATATGATCAAAAATGGGGAAATGAGTGGGGATAATGAAAATTAGCTAATTTTATTCTGCATAGGAGGAGTAAAAACAATGCAGTTTCATTTGTAACACGAGTACTTTTTCATTGAAGAGAATAAAGAAATTAAATGTTTAAGCTCAGTTAAGTCTGAAATAAATATGATATAGGCAAGACAAATTAAAAAAAAAGCAGGATTCTGTGATTTAAATATTTAAAAACAAGTAGGTGGTTCATTGCAGAATGAAATACTTCATGGGCAGATTTCTGACAAATTTGGTCTTAACATCCAACCAAAAACTAGAATTATTAGAGGACTATATCACAGAAACAGAAAAGATGAAAAAAATCATGAATACTATATAAAAATATCCTTGTGAATAAATTCAAACATTTCATTGGAAACAGTTTTATAAGGTGATATTTAATTATCAACACTGAACCAAAAATATAAAGGCTAAACAACTAATACATACAGTTTACCTCAAGGATTAGATAATTCCCAAACTATATGAAAAGCTTTCAAGATAGAGGGAAAATGAGGCTCCCCAATTTGATAAAGCCAGCACAAATCTGATAAGGTACAAAGAGAGAAAAGGAAGAGGCATGTTTGACTTAGATAAGATGTAAGAACCCTCAATAAAGTGCTCAGAAAACTCAATTTCTAGTATACAACACATCTCCATAAATAAGGTTTATTCTATAAATATTATATAAATAGATCCATTATGCCCTATCAATAGGTCACAAAAGATCAACACTTATTCTTATCTTCAAAGATGACAAAATGGCATGGGGTAAACTCAGCACCTACATATGGTCATCTCTCAGTGTATGGAGAAATAGGATAGTTTGCCATGATTTTTAAGAAGACCTGAAATCAATAGACATTTTTATTAAAAGTCAGGAATGAAAGTCTCACTGTGCAACAGTGAAAGAAAATAAACAGCCAAATTATCCCCATCAGCAGGTGACGAGGTTGAATACCTAGAAAGATACCATAAAAGAAATATCTTTTTAAAACCTATTAGAAATAGTAAAGGTTAAGATCATTTAAAACAAATTATTTAAAAAGCACTGGTTTTTATCCAGTGGCAGAAATGATGAGTCACAAACAAATTAAAATGAAGACAGTCTGAAAATAGATCATATTCAGAAAAATAATGCTTAAAGAATCTATATAGAAGACATTTAAAGAAATCTTTAGACAATGATTCCCTCATGAGAAATGATGAAAAATGCAAATGTACTTTTTTAAAAAAAGAAAAAAGCATCATCTAGTCAGGAAATTCAATATGAGGTAAACCAATGAGTTTATAATTTCAGTTATTATAGGAATATGAGAACAGCAAGAGGGCTTTTACAATCAGCAATGTTTATTTATAGGTGAATACTTGAGAACCTCAGAGGCTGTTCTATAAATTCAAAATAGGATTTTTTAAAAAATTAAGAATATTTGATTGTCTGGCCTTAAGTACAACATCCACTAATATATTATACTCAGGACATAAAATCCAATTAGAATTTTACGTCAAAACAAAACTTCATTACACTTCTGAAGGTTGGGGAAGTGTTAAAAATAGCCATCAGTGTTATATTTGTGAAAAGAAAATGCTGACTGCACTTCACTGAATCACGGTGAAACAGGTCATATTTTATTGCTTTTGGCCAAAGAACAATGCTAAACTTATAGTCTACACTATAAGCAAGGTGATGTTTAAAATAAGTTACATAGGCAAAACACAACTCGTGATTTGAGCATAAAAATAAATAAAATGTCAGGGTTGATTTTGTAAAAAGGAGACCAACCTATCACCATGTCCTTTTAACTACAGTGTCTAAAATAGGCTTACCTTTAATTTTAGACAACAGACTCAAAGCTATGTGTCCCTGACAATAACTGTGGATCAACTGTATTATTCCAGAATGAATGTTAACAACAATTACCCACGAAAGAGACCAATCTTGCTTTTTATATGCAGGACAAAATAAAAGGCCATTGTTATTCTATGTGACTAGGTAAAGTGGCTTTTAATGGTCTGAGTTAGGCATGGCTTAAACAAGGAATGATTTAAAGTCATGTCTGATAATACTTCTATATACGATACTGACTACACAAAGACCCAAAGCATAAAAATTTTCCCTAAAATGTCAATTATTTGATATATAGGAGCCCAATAAATTTGTTCGTAAGCACAAAATATGTTGTTTCTTGAGTAAAACACATGAACTTTGTAAAAGAAACAAGGAAACAAAGTGAGGGGAGAAATCCATATAAGGGGCTACCAGAAATGACAGGACTTCAGATCAGTGTCGAATTGTAATAATGCCAAAAGGGTAAATCTACCAATGTTCCTCCCATGAATTTCCAGAAAATATGATTTAAGTCCGTAACGAAGATGGTCAAGTACATGAAAAGAAAGGGAATATTTTTGAGGGGATATAAAATCTGATCACGTAAATCTCAAAAGAATCACTATTTGGAATAGATTCTTGCTGCTGCCCCTACCTGTCATCTTGGAGAGCCACATCACATTTGTCCATTCCAATCTGGGAATGTCAGCTAGGTAACCTGTGACTCTACATCCACTGCAACATAAAAACCCCTTTCTTGCTTCTACCTGCCCTTCTTTGAGCTGTTTCATTTCATTCATAGACATCAGCAAGTAACAATGGCCTGTGTAATACAAACTGGCTTCTATGAAGTGGGTGGAATAACATCATCTGTTGGTTTTGAAGCCTGACATCCATCTACCCTCCTTCTGGCATTCGCACCAACATTTTCCTCTCCCTTGCCCTACTCCCAGCCCATGTGCTCTGAATGACATTAATTAGGCTAAGCCATTCATCATGTTTCATCCCCCTAATTACTGTGATTAGTTCATGGATTGGCACATGGCCCACACCAGACCAATCAGGGCCACCGAGACCTAATTTTTGGGTTTTATGAAGAATAAAACAGAACTTTTCCCACTATTAGATAAGAACAAGAGAGGGGAGAGCTGCTGCAGCCATCCTGCAAACACGTAGGGTTCAAGGATAAGCCAACATGTAGAAACCCCATTCTGACAAATTTTGTGTGCTTTTGAACTGTAAAACAGGCTTGTACATACACGATTGTAACTTGCTTTCTCCCATTCAATATTGTGTGAGATATACCCGTGTCATTTTGCTAATTATGTAGTTCAACTGTTTGTACTGGTGGATAGTATGTTATTGAATAACTTGTGGTATATTTATATGCTCTGGTGTTTAGACCTGTAGACTATATGTATCCAGTTTGGGTTTTATTCCTACTAAAAGCAATGTTGTACATTTCTTCTGTATTCATGTGCTGGAGATTCTACATTGTATTTATCTGAATTGAAAGTGTTAGGCTGTTCATCATACACATGGTGAACTTTACTGGTAATTCTAAAGTTTTTCAAGGATTGTACCAATTTACACTCCACCCATAGTGTATAAGAGTTCCACTGGCTCTACACTACACTATGGCCAACACTTGGTGCTACACAATTGTAATTATAGCTATTCTCATGGGTGTGAAATGGTATTATTATGGTTTAAATTTGCATTTTCCTAATTACTGAGGTTGAGCATATTTTCATATGCATCTATGTTTCCTTCCCTGTGAAAAATCTGTTCATGCATTTTGCCCATTTTCTACTGAATTGTCTTCTGCTTATGAATTTGTTGGAGTTCTTCATATATTCTTCAATATATAAATCCATAGGTCTGTTATGGATTATGATTTATCTTCACTCTCAACAGAGGATCTTAAATATAATGCAGTTACATATGTCTATGGTTTAAAGATTTTTGTCTTGTTTAAGAAATTCTTTTCCTATCCCAAGGACATGAAAATATTCTTATATATTTCTTTTAAACACTTTGTAATTTCACATGTAAGTCCTCGATCCAGTTGAAATTGATGACTGTATATGGTGTGAGGCAAGGATGCATTTTCATTTTTTCCATAAGGATAACCAATTACCCCAGAGTCATTTACTAATTTATTCTTTCCACTTATTTGCAATGCACCTCTGTTACATATCAGGATTCTATATAAATGTGGGCCTGTTTCAAGATTACTATTTTTTGGTCTAACTGCTCATCCCTATTGCCAAAATCACACTGCCTAAATAACTATGATTTTGTAGCAATATAAATAACATTGCTAAATCCTTCTATGTGTTTCTTCAGAATTATTTTGGCTACTTATGAATCTTTGTTCTGTATACATTTTAGAATTAATGTAAGTTCCACCAAAAACATGTTGAATTTGATTGGGGTTACACTAGATCTACATATGAGAAAATCAACATCTTTATATTATAATAATGATATTGTCTATGAACATGTTACCTCTCCACACTATTTAGAGCCTTAAAAAATAACTTCCAGTGATGTTAAAATTATTCCATTTTCTACATAAAGGTCTCATATATCTTTCACTAGATGTATTTCTAGGGATCTTTCTGTTGTTCCTGGAGAAGTTACCTTTTAAAAAATATCCTGTTTTTTTCTAGAAAGGATATTACTAACTTAAAAAAATATATTTGGAAATACCAAGAAAAGTTGTAAAAATAAGAAGAATACAAAAAACACTATCGGCTGGGCACAGTGGCTCATGCCTGTAATCCCAGCACTTTGGGAGGCTAAGGTAGGTGGATCACAAGGTCAGGAGTTCAAGACCAGCCTGACCAATGTGGTGAAGCCCTGACTCTACTAAAAATACAAAAATTAGCCGGGTGTGGGAGTAGCCTGTAATCCCAGATACTCAGGAGGCTGAGGCAGGAAAATCACTTGAACCCAGGAGGCAGAGGTTGCAGTGAGCCAAGATTGCGCCACTGCACTCCAGCCTGGGTGACAGAGTGAGACTCTGTAACAAAAAAAAAAAAAAAAAACACGAAAAGAAAAAAACCACTCTCTTTTCCTAGCTCTTCCTTGTCAAATGTTTATTGACTTTATTAGTTCTTTAATAGGGCCAAATTCTGGTTCTGGCATGCTATAGGCACATATAATTCTTTGGCTATAAGCAAGAAAATCCACCAGCTACAGAATTCACAATGGAAACTGGCTGACCAAAGTAGGAAGGGAGAGAATGTCAACTCAACAAATCACCTGAATTTTTCATTCATGGAGGTAATTTATTTAAATACCTCAAAATTCGTTTATCCACTTAACAAATATTTACGATTATGTACAAACATCCATTTCTATTCTCAGAGACCTCCAAAGACAGACACACGCTCTATAGCTTTCCTTGCAAATTCAAGTCAATTTTAATTTCTAATTTGATATTTGCAAACGGCCATTTCTTCTTTTGAAAAAAAAAAAAGTGGGTGTCAATCACTTAGGGGGAAAAAATCCTAGAATTTGAAAGTGGAAACCACAGAGGAGAGGTACAAATCTTTTAGTAGCTATTTCTTAGCCTCCTAACCAGTAGATACATGAGTTTTACTCATCATTTGATTCAATTATGTAGTGAATGCCTGGTATGAGCCGGGCATTACGCAGGCATGAGGAATTGCAAAGTGAATAAAGTATGGTATCTTCAAGAAACACGGCTCACATTTTGGAAAAGCTACATACATCAAGCAGTTTTTAATCCATTGAATTGTTTTCAGTGGTGCTTTGACAGATATATCAGGAAAGATTTGTCAAAAGAAAGGTTCTCCCCACCCAATCTAGATATTGTATATCAGATTTGCCTGTCTCATCAGGCACCACATGCTGCATGTAAATGCAATTTATGAAATGAGTTGAGCTTTTAAGATGAGTTCAGTTTCCAGTTTGTATCAATTCCTAGGTTCCACAGGACACACACCAATATGAGGCAGGACTGATTGAGGTTCTTACTACATTATTAAGATGTGTTACACTGATACCAGATACTTCCAGAATCTGGGCTAGATTTCATGGTAAGTTGACTGTGAGCTTTTAAAAAGGAAACTAAAAGCAGACAAACAGCAAGAACTCAACACCAAATTTTGATGGTCCAGACCTTAGATTTTTACCATTTCCTGTTTATTTTTTTTAAACAGGCTAAAAGTTGGCATAGTTACCTGGCAAAGGATAATTAATTCTAATACTTAATTAGAGATGAGGCATTCCAGTAGGTGACCTCTTCCTCATATTCCTTGGTATGTCTCTCTGTTTTTCATACTTACAGCAAAGACGGCCTCTTAATAAAGAAAAGCTGGCCAAAGAACTGGGGATTCCGTCACTATTTTCCTTAAGTTTTTAAAGTTGGAGGGGATGCTGGGCAAAAATGCAAAAAGTAGGGAATGTTTCTTCAATGAATGAGCTTCACTTAAGTACCGCTACTATTACAGGTGCTGTTATAGGCACTGGGGTTACATAGAAAAATACTGAACCACTGCCTAAGACATCAGGTTCTTGAAGGGTTACATACCAGGAGACAAACTGGATAGCAGCTATATTACAAGTGCTGTAATACAGTTATCAATGCTTTTAGTTGAGCAACCTGTGCTACTCCTAAAATGCCTTGAATGCATCCAACATTTGAGCACCAACAGCATACCAGTGCAGGTGCTAAGGATGCAGCCATGATTGGGACAGATTCAGTCCTTACCATCACAGGACCTTTAGCCAGTGGGATGGCTGGCACAGCATTAAAGACAATGCCCAAAGGCAACTGTAGTTATACAGTAAACTTTTAAAAGCATAACAAAATACAACTTTAATATTAAAATCTTGGTCTTGGCAGCATTCCAGTGGAGGAAAATTATGGGTAAAACAAGATTTTCCAGAGATACTCAAGTCCAGGCATAAATAAGGAAAAGGAAGGTGATTATGAAAGTTAGCAAGGTTTTGGCAGATTCTACACGTAATAAAATGGAGGAAGCCACAGAAACTGAGCAACATTTTCTAAGCAGAAAAATTTTATAAGCACCACCTTTTATAGAGTTCAAGAGCTTCTTTCAATCTAGGTCAATAACTTCAAGCAATTCAGAATGTGTTAACAAGCAGTGAAAATGAATGTTAATTAAAATAATAAAATTCCCTCAAATGAACAGAATTCAGCTGGCTGTGGTTTCCAAAGTTGTACTATCTCATAAGTCAAATAGATTTAATAAGGGGAAACAGGACATTAGGTTTCTTGTGCCACTTATTTAATAAACTAATATTTTAGGAGATAACTTTAAAATCTGAATTTGTATTCACCCATTTATTTAATGGTGAAGCACAGTTTTTTTTTACCCAGGCTTCTGTAAAAATATACTTTATTCGGGAAATGTGTTACATCACTTGAAAAAAAAAAGGGTTACTTACATCACTTGAAAATATTCTATTTAGAAAGGTAATTTCCTTTTGCTTTTTTTTTTTTTTTTTTTTTTTGCCTTTTCACATCAGTCAAGTAAAACAGGCTTTGACATATTGGTTTTTTAAAAAGAGAACTTCCAAATATATCACAGAGTTTTTATTTAACATCTATCCTGAGGCTATTTCAGATGAGCTTTCAGTTTCAGGGGAGGGAAAAAGGAAACATGGATACGAAGGGCTGGCTTCCAATAAAACGTTTTACACTTACTACCAAACAGTGATTTATTCATCCACACGTTCCACAGCACCACAGCCACCAGCACTTCCTGGAAATCTTTGGTTTTGCTAACATGGACCATTTTTACTTCTAAAAAAAGGGGAACTGTTCATATTGAATATTGTAGCCCATGAGGAAAGTAAGAGAGACAACTGACATATGCAGAAACACCTTGCCATTTTCAATCCGGACTTGAGAAAACTTTTACTTTCACTAAACCTTCATTAGCATATCTAACATGTGCTTACACGGTTATTTTGCTGATCTTAAAATGGTTCAAAACTGAATATGATTACCATTTCAAAAATCTTTCATAGAGTCTGAACTTCACAGATCATCTCTTTTGCACAATATTTTTGCTTTCCTTCACAGAAACCATCAGGGTTTTCGTCAATCTATCTTGCCAGTTTAGACTATATTAAACTTGTTTATTTTAGAATAATTTTATTTAGAATATAGATATGTATGGTTTCTAGTTTCTAACTCCATGAACAGAGTAATATTTCTCCAGATTCTGTTTATGTGCATGTTCAGCCAAGATATCTTCACTACATAAAACGTAAAAGAGCCTCTAATAGTGGGGGCATTTGGCTGTGTGTGGAGTTAAGCCCAGATCAAAGGGCAGGACACTTGTAGTGCACAGATAAGCTAGAGCATTCTCTAGCCACAAGTTTTTCACTATGAAACTGACATTTAGTGCCCACTAAACAACTGACATATAGTACTCCTGCCATAAAATTAGTTAGATTTGCACTTTCTGATCTAAATATTCAGCAACTATAGGTATTTCTTTAACATCTGTCCCCAATATTAGACCACAGGAGACCCCATTTCTCTGTGTACCACAGCATGCCCGATGCCCAGCACATGGCAGATGCTCACAAATAATTGTTAAATGAATAACCAAGCAGAATGTGCTCACTGGATTTAGTGGCATGAGGTCAGTGAGAGCAGTTTTGGGAAATTGTAAGGGCTAAAGTGGAAACAGTTCAGGGCGACGAGTGAAACACCATGTATCTTACACAAGGCCTGAGAGGAGGGAAGTAGAAAGAGCTAGCGTGGTGTGGGTATTCCAAGCAGGGTTTTGCGTGGGAGAGTCCGGATGATATATAAATGGTGACAAGATAGATCTTTTAGAGAGGAAGGGGTAGAAAATACTGAAAAAGGAAGAGTAAGCCAAAGCATCCCTGAAAATACAGGAAGAATGAGGACCCAGGGACCAGTGTTAATTAAGATGGGGACACGTTTGCTGTTATGACAAAGGCAGGAACATGATGGTTCTTGGTAGATGTGGTGGCAGGCCATGGCCCTGTGTGTTCTCAAGTGATTTCTATTTGCTCGGAGAAGTAAAAGTCAAGATCATCTTCTGAAAAAGTTGGGCAAGCCTGCGCATTTGGGAAGAGTTGGGAAAATTATAATTAAGTCATTTAGGAGAGTCAGTCATGAGCTGACTAGAAAAAAAATAGAAAGTCTGTCAATATCACATTCTGCACCATCAACAATCAGGTGATCGGTCCTACTGGCGGGACGCCGGCCTGGGCATGTGCTTAGCAGACAGCAGGTAGGGCCAGATGGGTAACCCTACAGGGAAAGCAGTGGCTTTGGAATCGAAAGATTTGGGCCCAAGGCCAAGATCTGCTATTAAGGAGCTGTCCGACTTGGAGGAGTCATTTCACTTCTTTAGGCCTTAGGGTTTTTCCATTTACAAAATGACAGAGTTGCGTAGAAACCTCCGAGGTCCCTTCTAGCCCTAAAAGGACTCTTTATAAAATAACCAGCAAATTAGTCTAATGGCAGCATCATTGATACAGAATAAAAGTTCAGAATTGAACAGGAACCATAATTCCTGCCTGGTCCATGGCTCCATTGCTTTCCGACATGCATTACACAAGACCTCCCCTCTGGTCTGCCTCCCAGTCTACTTGCACCCTGACAGCTACACGATAAACATGATCATATGGAGTTCTTTGCTTCAATCCTTCCCATGGTCCCCATCACTATGTAGATGAGCCCAGACTCTTCAGGCCAGCCCAGGAAGCTCTTGGTCATCGGTTCCCACTCACCTGCCTGCTTCATTGTCTCATTGAAATACTAACTGCAAAATTGTTTTTCAAAATAAAAAAAAAAAAGGATAGGAACAGATTTGTTAAAGGACATAAAATTACAGCTAGACAGGATGAATAAATTCTAGTGTTCTAGATCACCAGAGGATGACTGTAATTAACAATAATACGTAGTTCCAAATAGCTAGAAGGATACTGAATATTCCAAACACAAAAAAATGATAAATGTTGCAGATGATGAACATCATTATGTATTCCATGAATATGTTCATTGTCAATTTCTTAAAAATTAAAAAAGAAAAATAGAGAAATATATAGCATTTTTAAAAATTAATGCATTAATAAGGGTTATTTGAATCCCTTAAACATACCCATCCTCTATTCTAGTGGCATATATATTGTCTTGCTATTTTAAGACAGTTCAATTTTAAAACACTGTACTCAGAGATTGGGGCCAAGCGGTTCTCAGCAGCAACAGTGAAAATTTTGTGGCTGGGTTAAAATATACTAAAGTGAATTCTTTTCACTTTCTAAGGTGAGTACAATATAAGTTAAAGCCTTCCCAAAAGAAATGGGCTTTCCAGAGGAAGTGAAGACAGAATATAAATAACATTCCCCACTCATTAAAAGAATGGTATTCAATGATGTTTACACATGTGGTTATCACTCTTTAAACTTAAGTCTAAATATACTTTTAAAGCTGTAGGTAAAGTAGTAATTTACTGAAGCCAAACCACAAAGAAATTTCAGGAATGCATCCAGGTTATATAATTCTATTCCCTGCTATATAAAGAGAATTCTAATAGCTTCTATTTTGGTCATCTATTCACCAGTTTTGACTTAGAACTGATTTTTGGAACATAAAATAATTTGAGAAATTAAGTTTCAGTTTAATTAAGTTTTTAGGTAAGAGGCAGAAATGTAAGCTCCCCACCACTGAACAGCAATTGTTACACAAGGGGTACCTGGCAAGGGGGCTTCTACCTGCCCCCAGAACTCTCCATCCTCTCCCTCTCATGTTTGGGAATTTTCTTGTCCTCTTGACACCTTTATTTACCTTCATTTCAGAAATTCTACACTAGCAGGAGTGACCCTGGCAAGAGAGGGAGGGGCAATGAGAAGAAAGGTTCAAGCAAGGGTCAATGAATGTTAGGAAAAAATCAGCTTCTGGCTGAGTGGTAGGGGGAGGGGTGGTGTTCCAGAACCTTCTGTGTACTTGAGGTGGAAGGAGGGCAATTGGACTAGCTTTTACAGAAGACTTGGGAGATGGAAGGAAACACATTAAAAAACGACATGAGAGCACAGGAGGTAGGAAAGACTAAATTATTCCAGGGAGCCATAAGACACCTAACTTAGCCGGAGCTGCGGCCTTGGTGGAAAACAGAAATACATTCTATCTAAAATTTAATAAATTCAGTATGTGCTTCTGATGCTGGAAAATAAAAATTCTAAGCAATCCAAGAAGATCATCTTTGAAGAACAATACCTTCTTAAGGGCCAGGGCAATATCCATAGATATTCACTCTCCTTTCCTGGAAAGAATAACAAGAATGAGAAAGCGCTCAGATTTTAAACAAGTAAGTGCCAAAATATAAATCTAATGGACTAAATGATAGCATTTATATGGCTAAGCCCTCATTCAGTAGGCTGGAAAATTTAAGCCAAGGAAATCTCTAATACATACAATAAAAAACAAAGAGAAGGAAAATAATAAAGAATCGCTTTCAAGAGGCCTAAAATCCACCTACTCGATTTCTAGGTGAAGATACATTAATATTAGTGGGGAGAAAATATCCTAAGCTAGAGAAGACTTCAGATAGTAAAGCTCAAAAATAAAAGGACCGATGACAAAAAGATAGTGGTGAAATTTTAGAACTAAGGATAAAGCAAAAAGTCCTATATGGTTCAAAGAGGTAAAAAGACACACACACACTCACACACACAATCAACTATGTCGTAAGTCTAACATCAGACTTATTGGCTACACTAGATTGTAGGTATCAGAGGTGCAATGCCTTCAAAGTTCAGAAACAATAATTTTGAATCTAGACTGAAATAATCAAGTGTGAAAGCAAAATCAGACATTTTCAAACATGCAATAACAGTGCTTACCATCTATGCATATTATACATCAAAAGTTACTCAAAGGGAGGAGCCTACCAAATGAAAAAAGGAATCTAAGGAAGAGGATGACATGAAATTAAAAAAGTAAAAAAAAAAACCCAAAAACAAACAAACAAACAAAAAACAGTAAAAGCTAAATATAACCCCAAAGCAGAGAAATGTCTATAAAGAAGTGAAGCTACTGGGAAAATCTCCTTCAAGTGGCAAAATTTCATGACCCACGATGGGAGTTCTTTCTCTATGGATCTAATTCTATTACTCGGCTCCGCAGTGAATAATATTTGCATAATGGCTTTAGGTTTTCAGAAGCCACTCAGAGACAAAACAAAAAACATATTCATAGTTTGGCTATAGAAATAAGAAATAAGTGTATTAACTGTGACACTGTAATAGGCAGAGTCTAGCTAATTGGGAGGTCATGAGTAGGGTGACAGACCCTCTTGGGACCAAGGGGGTTCCCGCATATGGGACTTTCAGAGCTAAAACTGGGAAAGTCCTGTGTAAACCAGGACTAGTTTGACATCTTAGTCATAGGGTAGAAGAAATGAATAAAGGATGCTAATGTCATTTTTCAGACCAAGGTTCAATAGATGCTTTAGAAAAGAAATAAGTTGGAGACAAGACAAATATAGCAACTGTTAGCAGTGACTGTACTTGAGGAATAAGTTTTTTATATTTGATTTCACCCTTTCCAAACTTTAGATTTTTAAAACAATACATCCACTTAGAGCACAATGGGTCAACTCTTATTCACAAGGTATCTAACTTCTAACAGAGAATATTTCAAAATGAGAACAACCTAGAACTCCAAACATGTGAAGCCAACTAAAAATAATTAAATAAGAGATTTTTATCTAAACTCTGATATGAAAGCAAGGGTATAAACAAACCAAGGAAAGGAAGGTCTGCTCTCCTGTCCAGGGGCCATGTCTGTACTCTTGTGAAGGATGAATGATCACAGAAAAGGACAAGAAGAAGACCCTAGTGAACCAAAAAACAGAAAAAAAAAAGGGACCAACTGAGCCACGTTAATTACAGTAATAAGCCATTTATATTCCACATTGCCACCACAGCTACTGCTGGAGAAACCAGAGTTCATCCACGTCAGAACGGCTCAAAAGACACAATGCTGTTTCTCTCTCCCTCTCAAAAGGTGTGGCTGTGTGTGTCATGTGTTACACTAGCTTTTTTTTTTAAAAAAAGTCATGAGTTACATACAATGATCTGGCCATTTTATGGCAAAACTGTTACTTATAGAAAAAATTCAAAATAGAGGTCTTTTCATGAG
The DNA here is from genome assembly GCF_000001405.40 of Homo sapiens. NCBI lineage: Eukaryota > Metazoa > Chordata > Mammalia > Primates > Hominidae > Homo > Homo sapiens. The sequence continues at coordinate 150,636,199 of NC_000006.12, read as the reverse complement.
CATTAATACTTTGAAGTTTGTGTAATGACCCTGAAGAGGTATCTATAGATACAATGTTTTTTTCTTTAGAGAAAACTCAAGTCTTAGGTATGCTGACTCCACAGTTATTTGCACAGGAAGCCATTAACTTATCTGCAAATAGTAACTCACCATAAAGATAATAATTGTTTCATACCCTTCAACTCAAAAATGCCTCTGTTAACACCCAAAAGATACAATATTTATTTTAAATTCAAAATACAAAAAGCCCATAGTCCTGCTTTCTGTAAGCCACTAGTTACCAAGCATATAATCAACACCCATTATGAGTGTTGTACAGTGCATGAAACCAGGGGCCTTAATATATTTAACTGCTTGACGAGTCCTGGCCAGATCACTGCAATTCTATCAGGTTTCGTTTTTTTAAGATACACAGTGTTTTAAAAACATACCTGAAATCAGGATGTAGCTTATAATTAACATGAACATTTAACAGTTTATTTATGCTCCCTGAAAAGTTGTTAAATCAATTATCTTAAAAATCCAGAGTCTAGCAACTAAGAAAACCAAAAAATGCCACATACACAGCTCACTGGAAATGCATGTGATAATAACTAATATAATTGAACTTATGAAAATAATGTTTTATAAATGTGGCTCCAGGTAAGCTCAGATATTGTCCTATAAGTGAAGACAGCTGAGATTAGAAACATTAAGAAGAACAAAATTAGCTCAAAGTAGATGCTTGTTTCCCAATTGTTTTTAATTACAAATTACACTTAGTGTATCCACAAATTCCAAAACAAGAAACAACAGAACTACACTCCTAAAATGTCCACTCATGACTTTTCTATTTTTCATTTTAATTAGAAGACTATTAAGATTCCCATTCATTATCTCGGGGCATTAAAAACATTTCAATGTCATTTATCAAGAGCAAAATTTGCAGCACAGTCTCCACAACTCCAAAAACAAAATTTAAAAAGAAAAAAAGTCTGTGAAAGCTGCAATTTACTTGCTTGCCAGGAGGCTAATTGGAATGTGCTGGAGTAAAGGTAATGAAATGATGTAAAACATTTGTGTGAAAGTCAAAGCATTCTGTGATAAGCCCGTGAAGGGTAGGAACCATATCTGTCCCTCATTTTCATTTCCTTTGGTTCCTGGTGATAGCTCTATTGAATATTCAAATTAAACAGGTTTGAGAACTAATTATTTTTCCAGAAAAAGAGTCCCTTAACTACTTCAACACCTGGATTGTTTTAAGTTTCTACATCCCCCAAAAATGCTCCCAACTCTTCTTGGAAGAATAACATCCTGTAAATTCCTACCCACTCCTACTCTGAGGTCGGCTACAAACCACAGCCTTGTAACTTTTAGGCAAAGATGCTGGTGTCTGTATGAATCCACAAGCATGAAAATGATGACGTATCTCCAAGCATTTGTTCTGTTCTCTACAAAATCAAGATTTATTGTTCAATTGTTTTATTACTTCATTACTTTAATGGGTTTTCTTCCAGAATTAGGCTTAAAGCCTGGAATTGAAAATTAAATTTTTCCATATGTCTGAATTTAAACCATTGGCTCTAATAATGGGGAATCTATTTTTTCTTTCAGTTGAAATATTTTAGATGTTTATTTTTATTCACTTAATTCTTTACAAAAAATGCTTTATCCCAAAGCTGAGTTTCTGACCTCTATGCACTTTTCAAGTTAGTCTTGAGTGTGGTTTTCTTGTGGAAGTCAGTGTGGCACTGGATAACATACTGAGGGCATACTATGTGCCTCCTGAGCTTCCCATCCTTTTTCTCCCCAACTACTGCTTTAAAATTTCTCCAACTCCATCAAGCTCTCCTAGCCTACCCTAGGCCACATATTTTACTACATTCTCATATTATTTTCTACCTCCCATGTGGCTGCTTGATCACAGTTCTTTTTTTTTTCTTCTTCCTCTTTTTTTCTTTTTTTTTTTTGGGGGGGAGATCGAGTTTTGCTCTTGTTGGCCAGGCTGGAGTGCAATGGCTCGATCTCAGCTCACTGCAACCTCTGCCTCCTGGGTTCAAGTGATTCTCCTGCCTCAGCCTCCAGAGTAGCTGGGATTACAGGCACCTGCCACCACGCCCGGATTTTTTTTTGTTGTTGTTAGTAGAGACGGGGTTTCTCTATGTAGGTCAGGCTGGTCTCCAACTCCTGATCTCAGGTGATTCGCCTGCCTCGGCCTCCCAAAGTGCTGGGATTACAGGCCTGAGCCACCACGCCCAGCCTCAACTTCACTCTTTTTCCCCTCCTCCCTCAGGTACAGAAAAGGGACAGTCAGAACTGTGGAGGGGCAACCTGGTCACCAGCACTCTCCATCTCGGCCATTCACTGCTGCCTCCCATACATCCAAACTCACCCTCTGCACTGACTCTCAGCCTCCACGGAGGATGATACAATGGATCATTCCTAACAAGCTTCCCCTTTAGAGCCTACGCTCCCTCTCTCCTCCCCTCGGCCATTAGTATCTTCTGCCTCAACCAAATTGGTTTAGAATCACTGTTTCTGACCCTCTCCTTCCTCATCTCTGACCCCAGTCAGGCTTCTACCCTCTGCACCACCTCTGAGATGACTAAGGCCCCCATCGTCAGAGGCCCCTGCATCTTTATCTGCAGCTGCAGCCAAAGCCTCCAGACTTATGTTTCCCAGTGCCCAGAGAGCAGCTCCATGACAGGCTCTTGGCTAACCCTGCCCCAGCTAAAGCTCTGCACTCTGCCTGATTCCCACCAGCTTCACCTGCGACTCGGATAAGTCTCAGGATGCACAGGCCAGCAATACTGAGCTGCCTGGAATCAGCTCTGCCCAGACTCCCGCTTCCCTGCTGCCCTGGACTGGGGTCCTGCTCCCTGCTCTGCCTGCCAGGTCCTTCCAACCCATCTTTACCTGGTGACTCCTCTCACCCTGCGAGACCCACTTCCAGCATTCATGACTTCCGTCAGGACGGCATCCCTGAGCCGGCACTTCCAGATGACACTGTTGCCCTCCGATTAGACCTGTGGTTTCCTCAAGTGCAGAAATTGGGTCTCATCTTTGAAACCCAAGACCCACTGTCATTATTCAAAAATGTTTAACTGAATGATGAGTCCTCAAAGGAGAGCAAATCTGTTATTTGGTTGCTCCCAGACGTAAAGTGTGCTTTCAGCTTAGTAAAAGTAAACAAATGGGGCTTTTAAGAAAGCACTGCATAAGGTATTTTCACAGAACAGTTTTAAAAGCGAAACTACAGAAGTCATTAGCAAAATATCAGCTAAGTTAGAAAGGGGAAATTCAAATGAAATCATACTAGACATATATGCAAATTTTAGTCTTTGATCCTCAAGCTCGTTTCCCCAGAAACTTTTTGGCAAATTAAACCAGCGATTAGTGACATGTATCATTTCACGGCAGAAGGTCTTATAAAGTATTCTTTAAAACATCACTTGAAGTTAAAGTTCTCCTCAATTACCCATTCCTTGTCTTTTAACTATCAGTATCCTGTCACCAAGACTGCCCATGTAAGAATAGATGTTTGTGAAATTATTCTCTCCTTTGTTTTTTGCTCCTGAATAATGGCCCTAGGACATTTGTTACCAGCCTGCATGTGTTCCTGCCATCCTGTTGAGAACAGGGCATGGAGGAAGCGGGAGAGGCCAGGTAGAGGGGTATGGCCAATGCAGGCAACACTCGCCTGGGGGCCTCTCCAACCTGCCCACCTTGCCCAGGACCAAGGCCCAGGCCACCAAGTCTGACTGTCCTCCATAGACACCCAAGGCCCTGAGAGCAGCCCTAGGTGTGTCCGGTTGGCCAAGGCCGATGATAAAAGCAGACAAAAAGACAAACTTTGGAAGAAATCTTTACATTTACTTTTCAAGTTATAAAAATCACAACTCCCTACTGTTAAAAAAAGTCCAGAGAATAAAGAAAAGCAAGGAAAAACCATCACTTGTAAGCCAGAGACAATCGTGGCCCATACCCTGGTGATTTCTTCCAGCTTTGCTTGTGTGTTTATAATAGAGAATGGAGATTAAACAATTTCGTGTACTCTGACCTTTTCCTTTTTTCACTGAACATTACGACATGCACATTTTTAGGAGCAAATTTTAAACTGTTGACCTTTTGCTACTTGTAGCAAAAATTCTTCAGAAAATGCCAAATGCCGCGTGCTTGTTGTAGGAACCAGAGTCCTGAAGTTGTGAGACTGTTCTCTCAGAAGGCCAGAAAGCCTAGAAGCTCTGGTGGACAGGTTGGTGGCAGTGGCCGAGGAAGCAGCCAGCCAGCCCCCGGGGCAGGACAGCACTAGCAGGAAGGAGGCCGCTAGAAAGCCTGATGCCCAGTTCCCCATGCCCAGTTCCCTGGGGCTTCTCCTTACTTGCTCGCAGCCCTCCACTAGCCCACATCCTCTTCTCCTCCCCCAGCTCTGTCCTACCCTCTGTTCCCCTCCTTGGGAACCCAACCGTGCTCTACGGATGCTCTGAAGCATCTGTAGGTGGGGAGCGGTTGCCAGCAAGGGGAAGGGGAACCCCCGAATCCACTGTAGCAGGTAAAGAAGAGTTCTGAAATGCAAGGTTAGAACTTTTATTTTCCTACAAGTCTTACTGCAAGTTTTCCTACAGGTAACTGAACTGCACAGTGTTGTTCAGTTACTTCCAGCATATTGACCTAAAGATGCTTCTGTTATGATCAGCGTCCAAGCCACAAGACTCTGTCCGACTCCACTAGGTGTAAGGTGTGGCTGTCATGCTGGGCTTTCAAGGTCCTAATACTCCCTGTGTGTAGGGGATGGGGTGTCCCCCAAAGGACAGCAGCACCCATTGCATCACTCCCCACAGTCCTGTCTGTCCATCACCTGAAAAGCTGCCTAAAACGCAGACCTGGGGAGGAGGGTGCTGGATGGAAAAAAGGTGGAACTGGTTTCGTGGTTTTAATTCAAAGACACAGATTGAGAGAGAGAGAGACAGGAATTGAAAAATTGGAGCTGCTGTATATATTTATTTCAAACAGGCTGGAGGATCTAGAAGCCTTGAGATGACACAGCCACAGAAGATGCAGAAACCTCTGCTCCACAAGTGAGCTTGTGGATTCCTGGGCATAGATTTTCTTGGCTCTCTTACTCTTCCACAGTATTTGCTCAAATCTTTGAGAGCTTCAGCTTTAGCATTCCCTTCTAAGAAGGATCATCAGACTTTGGCCCCCTCCACTCCATCGAAACGGTTTATCAAGGCCACCAATGACCTTCTCACTGCAAAATCCAATGATCGACTCTCCTTGTCTTTACTTTCCAGCTGCTAGGATGCACATTCTCCACTGAGCTTCTGGAAAGCCATGGGCTCCTGGCTTTCCTTCCTTGCTGGCAGCTCCTTCCCCATTTCCTGGGCCGAATCTTCCAAGTGCTGGGGTGCCCTGAGATCAGCCTCCTGACCTCTTCTCTATCTCACTCTGATACCTCATCTAGCCCGGTGATTGTAAATATCATTGATTTGCTGATAGTTCTCAGGTGTGTATTTCCACACCGGCCCCCTCTCCTGAGCACCAGGTTCACACATCCACGTACCTACCTGGCATCACCACTTAAAGTTGAGATGCATCTTTCAGACCTAGCGTAGCCAAAGCATAATTCTCAGTTTCTCCCCGTTGCTAACCTGCTTTTCCCATATTCACAACCTCAGAAAATGGTGTCAACTGTACTCAGATATTCAGGATAATATCCTTGGCTTCATCCCTTATCTTTTTTCTTTCCAATGCCCCACAACTAAGCCATCCACAAACCCTGTGGGCTGCACTCTCAGCAGACACTCAACCATGGTTCACCACTTCTTCAGTTTTCACCCTGATCCCAGATCCCATCAGCTCTCAGCTGGACTGGTACAGTCACCTCCTGGCCACTGATCTCCTTGCCTATATGCATGCCTCCCCAGCACTGATTCTCCGCAAAGAAGCTAAAGTAATTCTGCTCATATACAATATCACAGCACTCCTGGGTTCAAATTCCACCAGGGGCTTCCCATCACAACCAGAGTAAAGTCAATGTTTTAACCAGGACCTATTCCCCAGGTACCATTCTTTCCATGTACTGGCCTCCCTGCTGAACAAGGTACAAACTGCTTTAAAGAGAGCACTGTGGGCAGTACCGTTCAAATATAAAGAATGGCATCACCAGTAATCCCCTGTGAAATAGTCTATGGCCTCCATCACACTTGCTAGGAAAAGGCTGCCCAGATAAATATCTTTAACTTTTACTTTATAAATAAAATATTCTTTGTCTAATTGTAGAAACCTTGAAAAATATGAAAATCTCCCAAAATACAGAAAAGTATAAATAAAATAAAAATCAAAGTATGAAAGTTCAAAGATAACTAATTATCATTATTATTTTGGTCTGATTTCTTGTCATCAAAGGAAATACATCATAGAAAATCTATGAAGTATAGATTTTTAAAAAATGGATGATTCAGCCAGGTGCAGTGGCTCACGCCTGTAATCCCAGCACTTTGGGAGACCGAGGCAGGCGGATCATGAGGTCAGGAGATCGAGACCATCCTGGCCAATATGGTGAAACCTCCTCTCTACTAAAAATACAAAAATTAGCTGGGCGTGATGCCGCGTGCCTGTAGTCCCAGCTACTTGGGAGACTGAGGTAGGAGAATCACTTGAACCCGGGAGGCGGAGGTTGCAGTAAGCCGAGATTGCGCCACTGCACTCCAGCCTGGGCAACAGAGCAAGAATCCATCTCAAAAAAAAAAAGGATGGTTTTCTGTTGGTTTTGTCCTTTCCTTTGTCACATGTCTTAAAGGTTTTAATTTTATCATTGCTATAGGGAAATCTTAATTGCATATAATAGTTCCTTGTATGAATATTCCATAACTTATCCAACCCTCTAGTGTTGAGGCTTTAGGTTTAAATGTTGCCGCAATGTAGAATCTGGTGTCCAGAAAGGTTTATTTCTTTAGGGTATATCCGAAAAATGAGTCAAAGAGTCCCTTCGAGGCCTTGACAGATACTGTCAAATGGCTGTGAGAAGCATCGCTTCAAGCAGCAATGTGTTCCTCTGTCCAATCCTTTATTTCAGACTGGCCAAAGTACACACCACCTGTGTGTACCAAAGTCATCTCTCACTCTAAACTGCTGCTGGCGAATCCTACCCTTTACACCCAAACAGGCTCCATGGCTGTTTATTCCACTGTGGCCAATGGAGGTCTAGTCTTCCAGGCTAGAACCCTCAGTTTCTTCTCTCTCATCAGGTCCCCTTCCCCAAATCCCACATATGCACACACTCACTTGCTCGTGGATGAACTTCTCTATTTCCATTGCATTCCAGTCCTCTGCAAAGCCTCATTATCTTTGCATGTGGATGACAGCACTACATTCTTACCTGGAGTAGTGCTTCTCTAACCAGTGAATTACCTGGGGCTATTACTACAACACAGGTTCTTATTCTACAGGATAGTACAATGAATACTGTAATTTGTGCAATTGTTTATCCTCTCTGCTAGATTATAACATCATTAATAGTACGGGCAGAATATTAACCAACTCCATTTAACTAAATGAATTCAACCCTGAGTCCTTTCACTCAAGTCAAGTTAATACTTAATCCAGATATAGAGGGTTCAGTGCAGGAGGGCAAGGACGGGGTGTGTGTGTGTGTGTGTGTGTGTGTGTGTGTGTGTGTGTGTGTGTGTGTTTTCCTATCTACATACCATCCCAAAACAAATGTCCATTTGCTGAGGACTCTTTGAAAATTGATCTCAAAGGAATCTAAAGAGAAACCAGGACTGCAGTCCTATGTGTGGAATGCTGCCACTTTCTGCTCTTCTTACAGTGAAGGGGTTTTCTACTGGGTCAACATCCTCTTTGAAATTTATACCAAGAAAAATATACACATATTAAACAGCAGCAGCAATTTACAGTAAAACAGAAAATTCCACTCAGGGCAGAAAACAACCAGAAACATATAACATTTCAAAGCTCTGGAAGTGGGAGTTCACATGCTTAAATCATTGCTTCATTGCCAGTTTTACTGCAGCAACAGCCTTCCCTCTGACAATCATGTCAGTATTACCAAACCTTTAAAACATTCACTTGGAGTTCAATCTGTTGCCCATATGCCAGATATAAGAATAATTGAATTCACAATATTTATTCTGTACAAGAGTGGGTTCTATTTTAAAATCCCATTATTGTGTGGTTACAGGATATCATTTAAATAAATATTAATGTAGGCCCATATCAGTTCTTAAAACAGAATGAAGTCTGCATCCCATAAAACGCCCTGCATATTACTCAGCAGCACGTTTGGAAGACAAGGCAGCAGTTGTTTATTATTATCTATGTAATCTTGGATTTCAGTTTCTAATGATCACAGATGGCAATAAACTCTTCCACTAGTGCTCAAGGCAAGAGGGTGATGGAAACCTTTCCTAATTGTGGCAAACATATGTTGACACAGATATTTATATGCAATTCTGCCAGGCAGGATACATTTATATCCAGTTTTATTATACTTGTGATCCTAAAAAACAAAATCTATGTGTCAACGTTGGATTTTTCAGGTATGCAGTCATTCTCTTAACTTCCTGCTTGCGGACTAGTAAATACTTTTTTTTAAGATTACGGTTAAAAAAAAGAAGTGCAGTTTCCCAGAAGAAAACCAGATGTTTAAGTTTTATTCTCAAAAATGATGTTGGTGTTGATTTTTTTTTAAAGGCCACTGCTATTTGTAAGCTCAAGTTTTGTTTCTCTTCACCCTTGGGATCTGCACTACAATAATCTGTGGAAATGTCCACCCTTCTGAGTGGAAGAAACCCTGATAACCTTATTTTTGAAGAAAAATTTTCAATCAGAACAGAGAATATTGCAGTGTTAGCAAAATTAAGGAGTAAAGTGATGCTTTTGAGTCACTCATAAGTATATTTTAAGAATAGATTTTGCAGATTTTAAATACAGCTTAGGAAGAGAAATGATTAAAAACTTGACATCTCTGACTGCCACAAAAAGTGCCTTTTAAGACCTAAATATTTTTTATCTTTCAAATAAATATTTTGTCCAGAATTTGACACAGTATAAACAAACATGTCTGATATGGACTTGCTGATTTAACTTGTTGTATCACATCTCTTGAAACAGGGTTCACGAGCAAATTCTTCTTCCCTTGATCTATTACAAGAGATCACGCCACACCCCAGAGTCCCAGTGGTGGCCTTCCCTCGCCCCTTTTTCCCAGCATGTCCCATGCACTATAAAGAATGGTTTAGTTGCTACTATTCTTTCACAAGCTTTCCTGAGTTTACTAATGGTTGAGCACAAAGATATTTAACTTCAGGTTATAGTTTCATGTAACCTAGACCTACAATGGGGGTAAAAATACAAAACACACACACACGCACACACACATACACATACACACACACAGTGTGGTATGCAAATGGAATGGAACTACTCTTAACTCTTGGTAGGATATTGTCCTTCATGAATCTCAAACGATGGGCTTGAATTGCTTGTGTGCCTTTGAGCCCTTCTGAAATGGAATTTACACGCACCTCCCCAAAGAGCTTTACTTATCTTGGGTGGTGTCATGAATGAACCTTAGAAACAAAAAATGCTTGCCAGCAGGGTACATCTGAAGCCCTTAAAGCATCAGAAAATGTGAATTAACCAACATGGTGCAGCAGGCCGGAGATTTACCCTTCACTCCGGAGAGCCCGGCAGTAAACAGAGACAGAGCACATGTTCTGGTGTCCCCAACGCCCCTTCGCAGGCAGACACACAGATCGAGACAGACTCCTGATCCCGAGGCGTCAATGGAACGTCCAAGGTCAGCATGGCGAGTTCTCCTTCAGGAGAGACCACACTGAAGCTCAGCTGGCCATGGAACTCTGAGCCTTCGCCTGAAGGCCTCTGAAGATAACACCCTTTCTTTAGGCAAATCTACAGTGCCTTAGTATCTCTCTCTATTCCTTAACGGAAACAAAATATGAGCCTTCTTACAGACCCTTTTTGTCTTTCTTGCTGGCCCTCAGGAGATCTTATGCATTTTGTACAACAGACCCCCCGCCCCCCGCCCCACAATGGCCTATGTTGCATAACTTACTTGCCATCGTGGTGCCTTTGCAGTTTTTTCATCACCCCCACAAACACTTCTGCTGGTATGGAACCTTTGAAATTAATGTGCAATTCTCTATCACTCCTCATCCCAACATATTTCATCATGCATCCCCCCATGACATCTTCCTACAGAACCACAAGCCATTATGATACCTGAAAAAAGTACCAAGAATTCCATAACATCATCTAATATCCAGTTGTGTCTGTCATGGGCTGAAGTGTGCCTCCCCCAAATTCATATGTTGAAGTCCTAGCCCCTGGTAAATGAGAATGTAACTTTATTTGGAACTAGGGTCTTTAAAGAGATGATTGAAGACTGGGCATGATGGCTCATGCCTGTAATCCCAGCACTTTGCAGGGCCGAGGTGGGCAGATCACTTGAGGTCAGGAGTTCGAGACCAGCCTGGCCAACATGGTGAAACCCCATCTTTACTAAAAATACAAAAAATTAGCCAGGCATGGTGGTGCATGCCTGTAATCCCAGCTACTCAGGAGGCTGAGGCAGGAGAATCACTTGAACCCAGGAGGCAGAGGTTGCAGTGAGCCAAGATTGCACCACTGCACTCCAGCCTGGGTGACAAGAGTGCAACTCTGTCACTTAAAAAAAAAGAGAGAGATGATTAAGGTAAAATGAGGTCCTTAGGATGAGCCCTAATCCATTATGACTGGTGTTCCCATACTAAGAGGAGATCAGGACACAGACACACACAGAGGGACCACCATGTAACGACACAGGGAGAAGACAGTATCTGCAAGCAAAGGAGGCCTCAGAAGAAACAACCCTGCGAAGAAACAACCCTGCTAACACCTTCATCTTGGAATTCCAGCCTCCAGAACTGTGAGAAAATATATTTCTGTCATTGAAGCCACCCAGGCAATGGTACTTTGTTATGGTAGACCTAGCAAATAAATATACTCTTCTAAACTTATTTTATAGTTTTTAAAAAATCCATTTTTTTTTTTTGAGATGGAGTCTCACTCTGTAGCTCAGGCTGGAGTGCAGTGGCACGATCTTGGCTCACTGCAACCTCCGCCTCCTGGGTTCAGGCAATTTTAGTCTGGCTAATTTTCATATTTTTAATAGAGACGGGGTTTTGCCATGTTGGCCAGGCTGATCTCAAACTTCTGACCTCAAGTGATCTGCCTGCCTTGGCCTCCCAAAGTGTTGGGATTACAGAAGTGAGCCACCACGCCTGGCCTAAAAAAATCTTTAATTAACCAAATTTTATCCATTATACTTAGTTGTTATGAAAAAAATCACAGGCTTTTATTTCAGCCAAACTGGATTTCAAGTATGAAATTCGTACAAGGTGCCTTTGAAGTGAATTCCTTATTTCTAGGCTTCACTTTCCTCATCAGAGACACCAGCCAACACTGCCTGCTGTTGTTGAAGTGAGGCCGACTGTGGTGACAACTGAGAAAAAAAAAATTCTATGAAAGTGTTGGTGCATAGAAAGTTTTCAGCAAATGTCCCTCTCATTCCTTAATCCAAACAGAAATCCACAGGTTTCTGTTGGAAGTAAGGATGAAGAACTGATGGCTATGCCTCCAGGAGCCATCACGATGATAATCATCACCCTACTGTACTTTGCAAAGTAAAATCGTCCTGGCTGAATTTCTTAAGAGGCTGTCCTATAGCAGTCACATTGCTAGGTGCTCCATAGGACGGAAGACCTCCTTTACTCATGAAGAGTAAGAGTCCTTTACTCATGGGGCTCGAGTGTTGAGGATGTGGGAGGGAGAGGCAAGGTTGCCTGCAATGGGAGTCCCTTGTTGGGGAGGGGAGGATCCTGGAGACAAGAAGCAGAGATAGGCAGGGTGTGAGGGCCCCTGAGCGAAGGCAGCAGCACCCCCAAGGCCCAGGCACCTCCAGACTGCCTGGAGCACAGGGCTTTGAATAGGTCAGTATTGGGAGAAAGACCTGGAACAGGAGGTTAGGGTCTTATTCAGGGATGAGGCTCAGAATGAGAAATGTGTAATAAATTCTACAGCACCATGTAGTCACTGCAGGATCTTACATGAGGATTGTGCCTAACATAGATGATCCTTTTCAATTAGCCATCGCTATGGTTCCAGAAGCTTAAGAAACCTATAATCTAATACATTAATCTGATAAGGCGTTATTACTGCATCCAGCTCAACTGCTGTGACATTCTGTAACCACTGTGCACAGCTTAACTGGAGATTTAAGACACATTGAAGATTCTGTTTTCCTCCTTGAGTAGGTGTTTTTAGGTTGATATAAAACTTCATCATACATACACATGCACAGTGACCTCCAAAAGCCCAATACCACAGGGCAGCACGGTAAACAGGTCGCTGCAGCCTCGGATGCTCAGAGAGGCACATGACAAACGTGTGGGTCTGGCTGGGTGAAGACAGAGGCAGTGGCAAGGCCATGCGATCCAAACACAAACCTCGTGAATAGGCTGAAAAAGAGCACCACAATTGTACAGTGCACACGTGGGGGGCCTGAGGCCAACTCTGCTGTCCGTTTGCAGTACGCGCAAGGGCTGAACACTGGATTAGAAGGGAAGAGAACTAATTTCTAGTTCTGCTTCTACTACTTAATAGATACGTGAGTTTGAGACCTGGAGTTCCCACTGGAAAACTACAGAGAATGCCAGTTGACCTGCCTCATCATCTGATCATTACAGGCCGCCTGACACATAAAAGGCATGCGACATTTGTTATTTGCGTGATGTGCTTGCCCGTTAAAAGGGTGCTGATGGAGGACGCAGGTGCTACCTTCTCATAAAACACTACTGAAGAACCCAACAGCCAAGCTCTCACAAAACCAGGTCAAGTGTTTTTCCCCAAGGTTATTTAACTTGCAAAATGAAATGAAACAAGACTTCCCATCTGTTTTCCTCTTTCTGGCTGCACCTGTGTGGTTGAAGGCAATGATAACATCAGATGTGATTTCAGTGTCATTTGATGAATTATATTCAAGTGAGGCCTGGGGTAGGGAGAAGTGAAACCTCAAGAATGTGTCATTGACATACAGGATACTTAACACAAACAACAGAAGCAGAAGTGGCCTCAACAAGCTTCTGCGCTCATTTCCTACAGAGAAAAAAAAAAAAAAGATGCTCATTAAGAACCCATATCTATTGGACACAAAAGGAAGTGCCGCCTCCCCTCTTCTCTAATAGACTGGCTCAAACAATGCAGTTGACCAAGTCTTTTTCCCTGAGAGGGGGGATGCCACTACAAAACTCCCTCTTTGTTTTTCTATCTTCTAAAAGGGTCTTACATGGTATTACGAACTCAGGAGATCTTGAGAGAAACATTTGCTGATTTTAAATTTCAACTTATAGAAAAATTGTCCAATCTCCTGCAGTGGCAAAACACCATCAACACAACGAAATGAACCTAGGGCAGAGGATGCCTAGAGGAACACATCCTGTAGAAGTAACTTGTCCTTGAACAAAACCTGTTGGAGGTGATTAGGGGATCCGTCAGAGGTTCCTACTAATTCTGTCTACACTGGGAGGGGGAGGCTGGTGAGGGGTGGAAATGGCATCTGAGTATTGTCTTATTACTGAAGGGTGGGCTCTGGGGTTCATCCCAGTAACCTAACTCAGAACAGTGGTAGGGTGGGGAGAATTCCGGAGGTGGCTCTATGCTGCCTGGGAAGCTCTGGCACCAAAAGAGTACCCATGGGGAATGGGGTACAGGCACAGGATGGGTGACCCACCAAGCTGCCCACACACTAAAACACAGCCTGGTGTCTCTAGTCATTTTGATTTTTGCAAATTTAAAAAAAAATTAAGGCTGGGAATGTTGCCTCTTTGTTACTGAAAGTAGTATAACATACTAATTTATTATTCTTTACCTTTGGGCCAAAATTACCCCTCACCACAGCATGTAGAAGAGTGCCCATATAACATGTTGGCTTTTATTGAGATTCATTCACTTAACAAAATTATATACATCTGAGACCCCACAGCATGATAGGCTCATTCAGCTCTCTGCTCCCTTCCGTCTGATATAACACAAAGTGTTGGCTGGCACAACCAAGCTGACCCCAGGTGTGGACAGAGCTCTCGGAGGAGGAAATGGTATTAGGGAGAAGTAAGGGAATCAGAGCCTCAAATATGAGTTGGATTCAAATGTGCATCTCTTACCTACAGCTCAAGGTTAACTGCAACTCACACAACAGTTCTGGACGCAACACGGTAAGACCAGGTAATGAACTGTAACGTGTTCAAGTCATAAGATGTTACCTTAGCAGAAAACAGACATCGAAGTAAACAGAACAAGATGTGTAGCACAAATGATGACAGATGTACATTTGGACAGCACTCATAACCATATATTCAAATAGGTCACTAATGGTCCGTGTTATTGCTCAATAACATCATCTACACTCATTTAGTATTTCCCAGTTTTCAAATTGCGGGCTTATAGTGTTTAAAGTGATTTGTGCCAGCCAGGCATGGTGGCTCACACCTGTAATCCTAGCACTTTGGGAGGCTAAGGCTGGAGGATCACTTGAGGTCAGGAGTTCAAGACTAGCCTGGCCAACATGGTGAAACCCCGACTCTACTAAAAATAGAAAAATTAGCTGGGTGTGGTGGCATAGGCCTGTAATTCCAGCTACTCGGGAAGCTGAGGCAGGAGAACCGCCTGAACCCAGGAGGTGGAGGTTGCAGTGAGCCGAGATTGTGCCACTGTATTCCAGCCTGGGCAACAGAGTGAGACTCCATCTCAAAAAAAAAAAAAAAAATTGATTTGTGCCACAAAAGCCCCTGAGGTGGTAAAACTAATAGGAACCCATGTGTCAAAAAGGGAAGCTGATATTCAGAGAGGTTGTGACTTTTATTATCTCCTAGCAAAGCAACAGCCCCAGAGTCTGACACTCTGGAACACGGCCTTCTTGCACAAATGCTGGACCCTCACCAACCATCATTCCTGTACATAATTATATCAAGTCCTACTACTTCTACTTGTCAGGCCCCACTCTAAGCACATTGCCAGTATTAATGACTCTTTGCAACAACTCCAGGAGTTTGTGACCATTATTAAATTCATTTTAAAGGTAGAAAACTGAGGCACAGAGAGACTAAAGTCAGGAACTTAGAGATTCAATCCAAGAGAGGCCAAAGGTTTTCCCTTGTTGTCAGAGGCAGGATAAATTGCATTGTTTTATTTCCTTCTTCAGGTTATGAACAACCAAGTTTTATTTGGGTGTTCCTAAGAGAGACTCTCTCCAATCTCAATTCATTCTCTCTCCCATTCTTCATGGCACTGATCATTTCTCATAATATCTGATGTTCCCTTGTTTGTAATGTCTCTTGTAGAGATTGCAAACCCCACGAGGGCAGAGCCTCCGTTCTGTCTCCCTTATATCCCAAATGCATGGTGCAACTGATTGATGCCTGGCACAAAACGGGTATAGAGATATTTGCTGAATGAACACACATATAGACATACAGTCCTCCTAACAGCAGAAATAGACCAATTTTTGAAAATAGGTAAGTCAAGTCAGTAAGATCTGGCAATTTAAAAGACAAGCAAAACAGAACACACAATTGGCTCTGTTTACCCTCCAGTTGGAATAAGTGGGTGTGGAGGGCCCGATGGCCATAGAGGGAGTGACAGTGTTTACATAGAGCCCTTCCCCTCTTGCACAAATACTGAAGGGGTCTGGGGGGACAAAGGACAGGCCAGGTTGCAGCAGCAATCTCTTCCCTGATCAAGACCCACTAGGTCTGGCCTGGGCACAGCCTGGAGTCAGCAGAGCTGAGGTGCTTCTGAGTAGCGGTGTCTTCCTTGGAGAGAAACGCTGTCAGGCCTCCCAGTATTCAGGGCTCCCTGCCCAGGGCCAGTGAAGGACTTTGGGAAATACAGGCTTAGAATTATTTCTAACAATCAAACCGAAATTGTTGTTTTTCTTTCCATTCACCCACACGAAAATCCCCTTTCAGATTAAAAACACAATAAAAGTTATAAAAAATATACACAAGAAAATAAACACAATAAAAATAAACACAAAGACAAAAAACAAAAATATGAAATGTGTAATGATTGTGTGATTGTGACCAAATAAACGATAATACATATACAGAAAATGCAGCATCATAAATGCTGGTGTTAATGAGATAACAAAAACGTGTGGAAACACTCTCCTTAATTCAAAACACACCTTTTAGGAAAAAGACATCAATTTATGCCCTCAAACTATAAGCAGTCAAGCAGTAAATGGGCTGTTGTCTAAAAGACCTGTCATCTCAGCCAAAACTGAGAGCTGGTTTTTACCATGTGCTCCTATGAGAAGTGGAGTAGCGCTATCCTAAGCCCTGGTCCCTGGAGCTGTGAAGAACATAATGTAGAAGGGTGAAAGAAAAAAGAACCTTTTTTCTTTTATGACTGGCTAAAGAAAGCATCCAGAAGCACACATTTTATTTTCTTTACCCCTGTACTTCCTCTCACTCCTGCTCCATAAAAGCTGCCTTATGTCTGCAAAAGCTCCCTGCTCCCAAACTGCCTTCTATGCCCTTCATCATCTGTTCCCTTGGTATGAAGCATCTCAGTGGGTATCAGGAATAAAGCAGTCAACACTCAATTAATTCAGATGAAACTGTGTCAGAAAAACATCTATGACCAGTTGTATGAGTTTCTATTGCCCTCCAAGGCAGCAGGAATTTGGAGTCACTGGTTTCCTGAGCTGGATGATGGACATCAGAAAGACACAAGGATGAAGAATGCTTTAAAAAGACTCTACAAGGCAGAAGAAGGGAGAATGAAAGAATGCAACAGCATTTATGGGGCAGAGGGCAGGGAGGTGCGGAGGTGGGAAAGGCGAACGCAGGCAGGGGTGCTAAAGTGCAAAGGAGACCACTGGAAGGAGAAACTGAGTGCAAAACTCAGATGACCTTTGAACGCCCTCCCCTAAACCCAAACGTCTCTAGCTCAAATGGATCTCTCGTTGAATTTTGAGAAAGGGCCATCATTTGAGTCAAATTGTCCAGGATCTGTTCCCAAAGTAAGTCTGAACTGTTTTTTCTTTTTCTTTTTTTAGAGACAGGATGTTACTCTATTGCCCAGGCTGGAGTGCGTGGTGCAATCACAGCTAACCACAGCCTTGACTTCCCGGGATCAAGCAATCCTCCAGTCTCAGCCTCTGGAGTAGCTGGAACTACAGATACTGCCACCATGCCCAAATAATTTAAAAAAAATTTTCTTTATAGAGACAGGGTCTTGCTATGCTGTCCAAGCTAGTCTCGAATGCCTGGTCTCAAGCTATCCTCCCCATCTTGACTTCCAAAAGTGTTGGGATTTTGAGCATCCAGCCTGTTTTTCCCTTTCCATCATTTCTTCCCTTTTATTTCTGTACCAACTCACAAGAGCCAGCTGTTAAATGTCAGAAATTTTGTAAGCCAGGTGTTGAAGCCATTATTAAAGAGTAAATAATATACATTTAAAATTAAATAAATCCTATTAAAAACAAAGGTATAATGCCCAAAACTCATCACTTCTTAATTATTTCCCTGCATTTTACTATCATCTATGCTCTTAGGGTTATTTACATCTATTGCATCTATGTGGTAGAGATACTAGACAAACGGTGCAATACTGCACATCTCTTCCCCACTCTGAATTTAATGTCACACTGGCAGCTTGATATCAGCCACAGTGGGAATATTTCCACACCATGGATATTGGCAAACATTACGAATCAGGCCTGGAGAACATGTTAATAATACAGATTAAACATAAAGATGTGCTGTGTCTGTAGCCACCATGTTGTATAAATAGCACACACAGAAAAAGCCAAAATATTCATCCAGCATTCAAAAACAATCATTCAATTCAGCAGAGGAGTCACTCGTGTCACTGGCAAATGAGTAAAGTTCTGACATCATCTTCATTGTTTCACTTTTGTCTTACTCATTAATGTAAAAGAAAATATCAAACAATATTCAGGTCAAAACTACATTCACCTATTAATAGGTCAGTTACTAACATAAAAAGTTTGCAAACATCAACAAGAGCTTCTATGAGAATCAATATAAATTACTATTTGCAAATTGTATCACACATTCTATGAGTATAATTTATAATAAACTTATATGTATATGTGTGTATATGTAATGGCTCATGTGTGCATACACACTCACACGCATGCTGAGTCTCCCACCTCCATTCCAGTAGGTTGTTAAACATTAACCAGCACACACCATATAAGCTTTCCAGTGCTCCTGTGTTTCAATGTATTCTTGCTCCCCTTAAGACCTGTTCCCACACCCCAGGCCTTACACAAAACAATGGCTGCTGATATACCCATCAATAAGCTGCAATAGGTTTGTCTGTCAAATGTCCTCAAAGAATGGAAGGAAATCCTCTGCATTTTAAGCCCTGGTGAAGGCTCTCTTGCCTGGCTTCACAAGCTGACTTAGAGCAGTTGGCAGCTGTATTCACCGCTCACCATCAGGATCACTGTTCTCAACTTTCTTCGGCAGCCGGAAAGAGATAAACACCTTCAAATTAGCCCCAAACCTTACTGAGTTCTATGGGAAACAGAGACAAGGAGATTTGGAGGTCTCTACTTCCAAAGGTTCATGACATTAACAGTCTTCTTCTAAAAGCCTCCAGACTTTTGAGGTCATTAAAAACATTTAAAAGTACAAGTGGATTCTGCCACACTCGTAATTAACTGGTTAATTACTTCTCATCAATTTACTTTTAAATTTCACTAGGGCATCAAGTTTGATTTTGAAATTCCAATAGAAACAACAATTCCGTTGACTCAACTGGAGGATAAAAGCGCTGTCTTAGCAAAAACTTTTTAAAAAGGAAGTCTCTTAATTCTTCTCTGGGCCACCATGAAAACAAGTGTGATTAAAGTGATTGTTATTCTTCAAACTCAGTGAAGCATAATGGATTCTATAATCTTCACCAGAAGCATACCACCAAATGAGTGTTTTTTTAACTTAACAAACCCTCCAAACTCAGGATACCCTGTTACAAAGGATTTCCTGTAATTCTCTGGGAATATGCAATGCAAGAAAATTCACAGAATTTAAATATCTGAAAATATACAACTTACATTAATTGCACTTCTTCAAATTCTTAATGTTGGTAAAAATCATTATATTCCAAGTTCTTGATTTTCTTTTTAATCTTCTTGATATTTAAATCACATCTCCCTCAATTGAGGTCATAATTCTAGAACTTCAACATTTACCAGTGATTTTTATAGATTGAGAATACTGCAACCTCAATCATTTCTTTAACAAATTCAGTCTTTCAAACAGGAGTCTGATTAGTACACCTCTTTGTGAGATGAACGTGTTCTTACAAGACAGTAAGCTGAAGCAGGCAAGTAGTGCATATTACTTTTCAGGGTTTCCTGATGTCACCATGAAAGATTGATAACCCAAGAAGACTCACATCTTTAGACGTTTCCTCTCCAGAAGAGAATGCTTCTGAATTTTTCAGTAAACAACCCTTGCCAAATGAAATCTTCATTGGAAATGCCTAGTTGTTAATTAAATACTAGCTCTAGTATTTATTTGTACTTAAGTGGGGCATCCCACCAAAAGTTGAACATTTTAAATATGGCTTTTTTTCTCTAGAGAAGACACCTCAATAGTTGATCAAGTACTTTAATAGCCAACATGAGCCCCAGCTTTGCAAGGCACATGAGCAGTACAGTTCAGCAATGCTGGCCAAAGGCATCCTTGCCTCCCTCCCAACTGCCACATCTTCTAATGGTACCTTCCTTTTCTCTTCCCAAGTGAGTGGTCTGCCAGCTACTCTTTCCTTCTACAACAATACCATCCTCAATTTTAACTAGGTATGTAGCTGCCTATAACAAAGATGGCATGTCTCAGGGCAATAAGATAAGAGAACTTGGTCTCTAATTGCAGAGAGCCACCTACACTAGCCTTGGAGTGACTAAGATCTGTGGGGCAAAAAAGTGAATTTCTCTTCTCAACCACTGTTTGTTTTTTTTCTCACTTGCAGTCCTAGCTCATAACACCAAGCATACTATGAGCTTCAGATCTGGGGCCAGTCTGTTGGGCACTGATCCCAACACTGCCATTGATTAGCTGGGTGTCTTTGGACAAGTTACCTCATCTTTTGCTTGCCTCAGTTTCCTCATCTGTGAAGTGGAAATAACTGCATATATTCAAAGTTCTTGTGAGCATGAAATTAGTAAACATATGACAAGCCTCTGGAACATCACCTGGACTAGTGAGTGCTCAGTCATCACCTGGACTAGTGGTGATAAGCTATCATCACCACTGTACCAATCAATCCAGCATCTGCTACTTCTTGGTACAACAGAAAACTGCAAGGCAGGAGGCCAATGGGAACCATAGGTAAAGCTTCCTAACCACCTCCTCCCCTCTCCATTGCCCTCGTTGTCCTCATATCCGGTCTGCTTATTCCTCGGTAGAATTTCCATTCTACTCTTTCTAGTAGACTCGGCCACTGAAATCCCTCCTCAGTCTGATTCTTCTCACAGGAAATTCTAGCCTATGTGATTTTATATCTGTATAGTATTTTCTGTTATGAGAATTTAAATCAATATATAAGATTTATATTCGGGAGATTTAGAAAGATGAAGGGGCTGCAATGCAGGAAAATGAGAAATAAACCAGGTGCCAGCTTTTGGAGGAGTAAAGAAGGCCAAGGGAGAGTTAACAGAGAACTCTGGCTTTGGGGTGCATTTGAGGGTAGGGCCACAGACATATCAGAGAAGAAAGCTCAATGGTGTACATTCCAGTAGAAAGTTATCAGAGTTGGTCTAATGCTTTGAATCCCTCTGTGCTATGGAGGGGGACTGAGCTCTGCTGAGGTTATAGGTTATCCAGAGCTTTATTCATCTCAAATACCGGATAATCTGCCTCAGACCAAGGTGTGGTCCTGGAAGTACAGAGCAACTTCTTCAAACCATGAAGTCGCAAAGGCATTTCTAAGCATCAGATGAATGCCAGAGAGGAAAAACAAACCTTCTATCTAAACTGATTTAGAGAAATGATTTGCCAATGTGTTACTGATGACTACTTGTGACCTTGAAATTTTATTAAGGAGCCCAATGTGCCTGACAACAATTTCACCTGGATATGAATCTAAAGGGTAATTCGGTCATTCATTCGGAGGTTTTTAGGAATACAGCTCTAATTTCAGAGAGGTGATACAATCCTCCAGACCTACAGGATAGCATAAAATCTGATTTTCATGTGACTAATTTTCCCTAGTGTTTACTCAAAAGAGAATATATAAGTGTTTCTTTAAGTCTCCTCAATAGCAGTAAAAACTATCCAGTAAAAACTCTCAGAAGGGTGGTGCACTGACCAGAAGTAAGACTGTAACACAACTTTTCCACTCCGCAGGAGACCACAGCAAAAATGAAGAATGCCGCAGAGTCAACCCTAAAGAGCGAATGAGAGAGAGGGAGGGAGAGTGAGGGAGAGCCAGGAGTGTGGACGGAGGGTCTGGGAGGCCTGGGGAGATGACACTGTTGAGGACCAACTTCTGCTTGGTAGCCCTTTGACCCAATCAACTGTCAGGGGCCTTCCCCTCTGTCTTGGGAACTCTTGATTTGGTTGCCAACAACAGTGGCTTGATGACAGTGGAAAGACCACCACTGTCCATAAAACAGCTGCTAACGGCCAAGCACTGTGTAACACTTTCTCCATTATTATTACATGTTCATCATGATCCTGTACAGTAGTTATAATTATCTCCCATTTTATGCATGAAGAACTAGCTAGAAAATAGTACGGTTCCTAGTCAAAAGAGTCCATCCAACTCTGTGAGTGTGAACTACGTGACCTTCATTGCCTGTTCAAGAAGGGGAGGAGAGGTGGGATTTCAGACCCTTCTGAGGCAATAGAGTCAGGTTCAAAGATAGCCTAGGCCAAGTTAGAGCTCTAAAGGTGTTAGCTCTACAGCACTCATAAACATTAGAGCTATCGTACGTCTCTGCCACATTGTGAGTCAAGTAGGTTTTCTTTTATGAGCTCAAGATCACAATCAGCATTTATAATATTTTTTGTGGTGCTGACTTCCAAAAATAACTTTCCAAATACAACCCATTCATTCATCCATTTAAATACTGCAGTGCCTATTATACATTTCAGGTGTGGTAGTGAACAAAATAGACCAAAACCCTCTGCTTAACAGGGAAATCTGACTAACTTATTTTTATTAGAGGTGTTAATTGTGTGGTAGTTATAAAGAAGATTTCTCAGTTGGATAAACGAGAAAAAACGCAGACCTAGATAAACCAGTGGCCTGATGTTTTCGGGTGTCTGCCATTCGTGAGATGCTGTTTGGTGCTGGAGGATACTAGAGGGGAATAAGGCACAGTAAGAAGGAGTAACCTGAATGGAGTGGAGGGAAGATTCGGGGAGAGCGATGAGTAAGGCTTTCTGGGTAGGACAGTGCTGGAGAGCGGACTCTGAGGCCAAGAAGCCAGGCGGCCCTCCTATGGAAGCCTCTTCAGAAGCCAGGAGGGTATGGGCAAGGATGGAGGAAGAAAGTGGATGTTTTCTACTGCTTCCCCTCGCACCCACAGCACTTAGGCTGCTGCTCTCTGTTCTAGAACTTGGTATCACAGAATCAGACAATCAGAACGTACTCAGAGGCATGAGAGGGCAATTGCCAAAGTGATGTTTATTTAGTCAACAAGTGTTTCAGCATTTCTCTGCACTGGGCACTCTTTTAAGGCACTGGAAATATCATAGCCACACAAAGTCTCTGTTTTCACTAAGCAGATGTATCCTAGGTTAGGTGTTGATACATGCTATACATAAAAATGAGTGGGGTAAGAAGGATCTGACTTGCAAGGTGCAGGCGTTTGCATGTTATAAAGTATGGTCAGTAGGACTTCTTTGATAAGGGGACACCTGGGCAGGGAACTGAAAGAAGTGAGACAGCAAGACTCTGATATCTGGGAAAGAACATTCCAGGTAGAGGTAATAAGAACACTCTGATGCTGGGGCTTGTTTGGAGTACTCAGGAACCACAGAGAGGCCAGTGGGCTGATGCAGAGTGAGTATCAGGAGAGGAGCAGGAGATGAGATCAGAAAGAGCAAGACAGCAGAGCAGGGGCCAGACTAGGGAGGGTCTCACAGGCTACCCCATGGACTTGCTTCTGACTCTGAGATGAGAAACTAGTAGAGTGGATTGAGCTAACCGACATATGAAACGATTGCTCTGGCTGGTAGAAGGCGAGGTCTAAGCAAGGAGACCAGTTAGGAGCCTACTGCAATAACCAGGAAAAGACAGTGGACTGGACCAAGAGGGAGCATGGATCAAGGACCATGAGAAGTTATATAAATCTGGATGCTGGAGGTAAAGCCTATGAGGTTTTCTATGGATTGGACCTGAGGTATGAGAAACAAATGTGACCAGGGAAGCCCTAAAGGGACTTTGATATCTGCCTTAAATTGCACCCTCACCCTTCCCTTTGGGTTGAACCGTTAGAAGAAGTCTTCATTAAAACACATTCAGGCTGGGCGTGGTGGCTCAAACCTGTAATCCCAACACTTTGGGAAGTTGAGGCGGGTGAATCACCTGAGGTCAGGAGTTTGAGACCAGCCTGGACAACATGGCAAAACCCCGTCTCTACTAAAAACACAAAAATTAGCCAAGTGTGATGGCAGGCGCCTGTAATCCCAGCTATTCGGGAGGCTGAGGCAGGAGAATTGCCGGAATCCGGGAGGCAGAGGTTACAAGGAACCGAGATCATGCCACTGCACTCCAGCCTGGGCAACAGAGAGAGAGACTCTGTCTCAAAAACAAAACAAAACAAACAAACAAAACCCCACAAAAAAACACACATTCAATGTCAGGTTCGTGTTCTAGTTATTAATATATCAATCAACACTGGCTTCGCAGTTCTTCCAAAAGTCTAGGCAAGAGATAAGAGTCTAAAAGGCTGGGAAGGGGACTTGAATAAGTGAACATAGATTGAGAACTATTCAAGCAGTTATTGCTAACTGACTGGACAAGGCAGGAAAGGGAAGGAAAATGGCTTGCTGTGACCACTGAATTGTGGTGCTATTAACTAAGAACTAGAAAAGGGGGGGGGGGGGGGAACAACACCAGGAAGCTGAAAGTAGGTCTGGAAATAGAGATTATGAGTCCAGTTATGGGTGGTGACTTTGAGTCAATTGTGCAAAAGCCAAAAAGATAAATCCCCAACCCCATTTCAGAGTTTTTCTCTTGACTTATTTTGAAACACAATAGAGCCTCACTATTTGAGCAGAAATGTTAAATCAGCATATTCTATGAGAAATGTCATTATTTTCTTTCTTTTTTTTTTTTTTTTGAGATGGAGTCTCACTCTGTCACCCAGGCTGGAGTGCAGTGGTGCAATTTCCACTCACTGCAACCTCCGCCTACCGAGTTGAAGCGACTCTCCTGCCTTAGCCTCCCAAGTAGCTGGGACTACAGGCACCCACCACCATGCCCGGCTAATTTTTGTATTTTTAATACAGACAGGGTTTCACCATGTTGGCCAGGCTGGTCTTGAACTCCTGACCTCAGGTGATCCACCTGCCTCGGCCTCCCAAAGTGTTGGGATTACAGGCGTGAGCCACCTCGCCCGGCCACCATTTATTTTCTAATAGGCACGGCAACTAAAAGTAAGCCATCAGAATCCATCCCTTTTTAATAGGAAGGGGCTCTTTGGAGATCTGTCTCAATAAACTGGATTTACAATCACAGAGCAATTGTTGTACCACTTAACATTCTACAATGCAGTTTAGCTAATTTTTTTGTTTGTATGCTTGTTTTGGGTCTTTTTGCCAACAAGAGTGCTACATTCTGAATATGAGAATAACAAACACAGACTTCTCAGACTTGTTTTTTCATTTCTAAGCTGGTAAACCAGAAGTAAGGTTTTCATTCAGAACCCACACAATTAGCATTGAACATCAGATCTGCAAATTCCACTATACAGTAGACATAAAGAAGTGGACCAAAATTCAAGGCAAACAACTGATTAAAGGTCAATGGTGTGCCAGTTACCATGCTCTCTAGTGGGAACAGAAGGATGAGTATGGCATGATCTATATGCCCAGGTGATTCCCACCTTACCAAAAGGTCTATGATGCCCTCCCCATATATCAGAAGGTACGTTTGCAGGCTTGGAATAGGGCTGATATCCTATTTGGAAATGCCTAACACTCAAATGGTTTGGAATATTGGAGACTTCTTACCTCTACAATTTATCTGATAGCTGTGTCTGTTCCAGAATAAACACAATCCCTGTTGAGTTTGCAACTCTACAATAAACCAGTGAAAGGGAAGAAACATACATATTACAGAGCCCCACATTTATTATAGACCTATAAAACCTTTAAACCAATGGAGTTACTTGACTCCCATTACAGAAAATCATTCAAACAAAAACAATTTCTAAAGAAACCTTTTTAAAGAGTTAACCCAGGGCTCTGTTGGATTGCTCTAGTGGGTTTTTCTTTGCTTTCCTTCCTTTTCCTGCTCTTTTTTTTCCTTCCTCTTCTTTCCTATTTAAATATTTAGCTACCTACTCAGAATTGCTATTCCTCAATTAATTTGTGATTTTTTAAAACTTAAATTTCTTAAAGCTAATTTCAACTAGTAAAAAGAAAAATTATTTTGTTTCAATGCTTGCTATCAAGGAGCTTGTAGTCTAGTGAGGGAAGGTGGACAACGAAATGGTTACCAAAAATACCACATAGAAAGTGCTAGAATAGGTCAGATGCAGTGGCTCACACCTGTAATCCCAACACTTCGGGAGGCCGAAGCAGGTGGATCACTTAAGGTCGGGAGTTCGGGACCAGCCTGGCCAATATGGTGAAACCCCATCTCCACTAAAAATACAAAAATTAGCCAAGCATGGTGGCAGGTGCCTGTAATCCCAGCTACTCGGGAGGCTGAGGCAGGAAAATCGCTTGAACCCAGGAGGCAGACGTTGCAGTGAGCTGAGATCGCACCACTGCACTCCAGCCTGGGTGACAGAGTGAGAGAAAAAAAGAAAGAAAGAAGGAAAGAAGGAAAGAGCTAAAATAGAGGTACCCAGGATGCCAGGGAGCTGAAAGGAAGGCATACCTGCTTCGTAGGTGCTTGTGGTGAGGGGAGTTCACCCAGCATCGCGTCACAGCATCACCTGGAGCCATGAGCCGCTTTGGGTACTTTTCTTGGGGAACTAAAGGAGAGAGGATGCTGGACGTGGGAAACGGCGACCGTGAACAGGTGGGGCAGAGCCAGCAACAGTAGCTATGCTGTCCAAGCCCCACACGTTCTTTCTCCTGTGGCTGCCTTGTCTTGGCCGACATGCCAGTTCTGAACCAATGCATTTTTCACCACCTCCTCTGCTACCATCCTCCTTCTCTGTACCACTGCATGGATTCCCAACAGCTCCACCTGCTTCCAGAACTTTCCATGACAGCTCTTTTCCTACGCAGCAGGCAGAGTGGTAATTGTGCATCCATCAGGTTATGTTACTCCCCTGCTTCAAATCCTCCCGTAGCTTTGCATCACACTGCCAAGCTGTGGCAAAGGTCTTTGATGTTATAAAGACCTGCATAACCCAGCCATGCCTGCTTCTCCCACCTCATCTCCTGCTTACTGCTCCTCCTCCACACACACACACTGGCTGCCTTGCTTTTTCTAGAACTCATGGAGCTTATTTCTCTCTAAGGCCTGCCCTACTTAACTCTCTTCCCCAGTCTAGCATATTATTCCCTCGGATCTTCTCAAGATCACTCCTTATGATTTAAACCTTGGCTGAAATGTTACTTCTCCAGATAGGCCTTTCTGACCACCCAAGCAAATACAATGCCCCACCCCATTTCCCTGTGTAATTTTCTTCAAAGTACTTGTCTTATGTAGGGTTTCCTCTTCATTCTAGGTTTGGTCTGTTTTGTTCAACATTGAATCTCCAGAACTTAGAAAGGGACATGTGTTGAATAAACTAATTCTAATCTCAATTCCCAAGTGTAATGAACATTGGGTCTCTACTACAGTCAAGCAAAAATGTGTTCCCTTTGCCCCCTCTCACCATTGACTTTTGCCTTAGGAAACTTAACGCCCTTCTTCTAACACCTAGACTGTTTTCCCCAGTTATTTTCATGTTGGTTTATTATTCCAGCCATCTAGTAACAGAATAAAACTTATGTGTGACAACCAGTAAACACAATAAGATACCCACTATTTATCAAAGGCTTCCTTTGTACTAGATGCCATACATATATTATGCAGTTAAACCTCATAACGTCTTTACTGTATCATCTTATCCCCATTTTAGAAGGCATTTTCAAGTAACTTCCAAATAACATACAGACTGCCCAATTTCTACACTATTCCCGCATTTCAACTGAGTATTCAGATCTTAGAAAAACAAACTTATCTTTTCCATGCACACAGTTTTTTTCATAATATCCCCAAAACCAACTTAAACTAGTACTATAATAGGTAAGCAAATAAAGAAAATATTAGATTCAATTGCTGTCTGTATTATGCATATTGAAGCATCGAGTAATAATTTTCTCATTAAAGATATGGCATATAGTTTCTGAACATTTGCCAAGCATATCTTCTGCATATATTAGTAATCCAAAACCAGGGAGATTTTTAGAATAGTTATTGCTAGCTGTTATGACTTTAGCCAGTACAGAAATGTATTCTCTTCTTTATTTCTGTAAGAAGAATAAATACCTGTTCACTCCCTAGTTAGAAATGTCTTAAACTATAGTATTAGACAGTATCACATTCTGATACATGACAGATCATAGGGCAAAACCAGTCTCCTTCTGTTCCTCAGGGGCTTTCTGGATTTCAAAAGTCATTGCTGTGATAGAACTCATCACAGCTCAGTTCTCAGAACTTCATAATATTTGCTTCCATTTTCAGATAAGTTCTAAAAAGAAACAAAGAAAAATAAGAGTGTTTCATAATAAGGATGCTTTTTAGAAGCCATCTGAATTCTAAGTGGCTAAAGGTAATGCTTCATTGGGATGGGACACACCTGTGGACCATGAGGGTTCCATGTGTACAAAATCATTATCTTCACATTTCTTTCCTTGCTGTTTCAGCTTCAAGGTCAGATATCACTAAGTATTGTGATGAAATGATGTTCCTTTGAGTTGAATCTAAACAATTGTCAAAGGGGGAAATAGCATTTATCTCATATAGACAGCTACAAAAAAAAATGGAGAAAAGCCAAGACCACCAAGGTTTTCCTCCATGAACTATGTTCCCAAAGCTTCCAAATATTTCCCAAAGTGCTTTCCTCAAGAGAGCCAGTACTAATCAGCCCATCCATGCACCCATTTCCCATCTGCTCCCTGACCATCTCATTACCCTGGCAGCCCCACCCTCGCTATTCCTCATCAAGAAATTCCCTAAAAACTCTCACACATGTTGGGAAAGGCATAATGTAAGGAAACGCTTTTCCTTTAAAAAATAAACCTCTAAAGGCTGCATCTCCTCTAATATCACCCCTACCACCCACTCAGTAATCCCAGATCTTTGACTCTGACCTTCACACGGCATCGTTCACCTTTACTTGTTTCCAATTTTAAAAAGTGGGAGACATCTGAATACTGAAACTGTAAGCTGTTTCAGAACAACCATATCCTCCCCTTTGATGCAGCTCTAATACTTTAGCACAACATAGATGCTTAAACTAATAGCAGGTTACATGGTTAGAGGGAACACACAGGATCGTATATTTATGCCTCAGATTACAGCTTTTCCTCTCTCTGCAGCACATCAGAGAAGTGCAGATGTCAGTGTTTGAGGCCTGTCTGTAATCACACAGCCATGGAAAGCTGAGCTCTGTGATGGCTGGGGATCAGCCTCACCAGCTCTTCCATGGGTCCTCACCTCTTCCCCATTCTCCCTCTGCTGCAATCAGCTTGCTAGTCACAGGTCAGAGACGGCCTTAAATCATCCTGGCTAAGGCTGGACCATGGTCCAGCATCCCTGGAATGCTTACAAATGACTTCTCCTTTGCTTCTACTTGTTTCCAAAGACTCCAATTTCAGCCAGAGTTGGTGTCCGTTCTGAAGAATTCTTAAAACACAAGGGCCTTTAATCACACGAGAAGTTGGAGGGAAGGGAAGGGGGTAGCTCAGGAAGGAAAACGGGTCCATGCTTTGCTTCCTTCTTTCTTGGCCAAGTGCTGACTGACCCTCCCTGTCAGACAGGGTGCAGGAAGGGGCTTTGCTCTGGCTTCCCTAGCAGAGTTGGGAGAGGGTGGGAGGAGCTGAAGAATGCCCCAAAGGAACAGATTCCAGAAGGACCCAATCACCATGTGAGCCAGCATGCCCCTGAGTGCTGCTGAGTGCCAGGGGCTTGGGTGACATGTTGAACTGAAAATCAAAACAGCATGAATGCATACTTGATTACAGCCAGAAATAGCCAAGTTTTGTCAAGACTTCCACTGAATCATCCAGAAACTGAGGAGTTAAAGGGAACTTGGATACGAAGAGAAAAGCTAGAGAGGGTCAACAGGCTCTAAAGTGAGCGCAGAAAACAGGTCTTGACTAGGATTCAAGTTTAGAGGGTGGTCAGAAAAAGCAAAGACTTCAGCAGTATTTTACTCTCTAAACAGGGAGGAGGATGGGGAAATATTGGAAGAGAACCCTGCTTGGAGTGTGAAAAGCTGGAGGCTTGCCAGAGCTGGGAAGGGGTTGGATCTAAATGGAGCCTCCTCCATTTCACTGTTCCAAAGGACCTACTGGGTCAGAGGGACCTCAGCTCGTGGGATAGGGAGGAGAGAAGGAGTATTTATGTTAAATTAAATCTATAAAACAGAAGGAAGGCTGGAGCTAATGCCTTTGTTGCCCTTCAGATGGCATTTATGTGCATTAAGGTTTCACACATCTCTGCAGACAGCTGCCAAAAGGAATTATCCGGCTGCAAGAGCTGCTCAACTGCACTCCTACACAAGTTATGTGTAGGCCAATTTTACGTAAACAGGATTCCCTGACACACTTCGGCAATCAAAGTGAAGGTTTCACCAAAGTAAATGTTTTAAACTATTTTTAAAAATACATTAGATCATAAATGGCTTGCAATACTTTTATGTACTATATTATTATTTTTCTCAGGTCTAAGTCAACACCCCAGAGCTAAGAAACAGAGGAAAGAAATTCAATCACAGTGTGGTAGCAGAATGTTGTATGCAATCAAAGAGTAACACTCATTTATTCAATGGGTATTTATTGAGCACAAATACAATGAACACACTTCACTGATGCTAGAACACACTTTTCACAACTTATGGATGCAACTTACAGTAGATGGTGCCAATTTTATTGACAGTAGTTTTTCTTTCTTTGTGGTACATTTTAAAGTGGAACATTTTAAAACTGTATATTTCATTAAAAATTGAAATATTTCAAAGATATCTTAGATCTGATAAAACAGGAACTCATCAATATCATTAAGGTCTCAGTTTAAATGTTGCCACCTCCTCCTCCTAGAGGCTTCCTGGACCACCAATCAAAGGGAGCCCATCCATCACTCTGAGTCTCCACCACCTTACCGATCACATCTCCATGGAAACTGTCTCTCTTGTATTGGTCAGGAATTATCCTAGGCATAGTAGGTTCTCAATAAACGCTCTGGAATGAATAAAAGTTACCATTTATCGAGCAATTACTACATGTCAGACTCTGAACTAAATGCTTTACAGAGGGAAATCCCATTTATTCCTAATAATTGAAAGGTCATTCTTACTCCCTACTTTACAGATGGGGAACTTGCAGCAGGTAAGTGGGAAAACAAAGAACTAGAGCTCAGCTCAGCCTGACTTCAAAGCCCATACACGTATGTACTCTGCTACACTGTGTATCGCATCCAAGGCCCTGGAATTGTTTTGTGCTTGATTCTCTGGCTGGTTTAGAGATGTAAGGCAAGATGAAGTTATTATACAAAGAAGAATACAACTGTTCCCCCACTTTTGAAAGGTAATATTTGCCAATGGGGAATCACCACATTTCTCTAGACCTCTAAATGCTTCATTTATAAACTCCTGTGCAAACATAGAGATGGAGGTGACGGCATCTCTGTCCAATAAATGAGGAAGGGCTGCAGGGAAGAGACAGATATTTCAACTTTGTGTGGAACGACCCCACCACTGGTGAGAGAGAGTGCGGCCCACCCAGGGCTCTGCAAGTTACTTGAATGGCAAGGACACAGGGTATACATGAAGAGGTATCAGGAGAAGAGTAGATACAAGGGCTGTGGGTGCCTTGCTCAGAGGTTTGGGCCTCATTTCATAGGAGTTATCTGTGGTCTGTGTCAACCATGGACTTTATCCCAATCCAGTCCAACTTCTCTCCCCCATTCAGCATCTAACTCAAAGTAGAATGTTGACGTCTGGCACTGCCATTTCTATGTCAACTGATGGCTATGCTTAACAGAGACTTCTAGCCCCAGGGCAAAGATAAAATATAAAAAGGTGACTAGGAAACCGAGTGACGAAATGATCTTGATTATAAGTCCGTCTATGATGAGTCAACATAGATAGAGCCAATGAAACTTGTCATCTTGGGTCTCAACGAAAATACGGAAGGACACTACAAAACAGAATAGTTCATTTAAAACAGAGCCAGCAAACTATAGCTGCAGGCTACATCCAGCCTGTTTTTGTATGGCCTGTGAGCAAAGATTGGTTTTTACATTTTTAAAGGGTTGTAAACAAATAACCCTCATCTCAAATCAAACAGTATATGACAGAGACATGTGGAGCCTAAAATGCTACCTGGATTTTTACAGGAAAAGACTTGCCATCCCCTCACCTAGGACTTTACGTGTCTTTTCAATGTCTAGACAGTCACAGGCCATTTAAATTGGTGCTCAATGTGACTAGACCCAGAGAACTAGATCTATTCACCACTTCAAATATTAGAGCTCATTTAATACTATGATGATTTATGGATTAATAATTCCTCTTATGAGAATACTAAAGTTTTAGCTGTTATTAGACTCATGCTTATCTTAAATTTTTCTTTGATGATTTAAAAACATTTCCTTCTTATACATAAATGGGCTTGCTAGCTTTTGGCCAAATGCTATAATGGCAAAGGGTTTGCCCTTCCTAGTGCTGGTGCTAAGAGGCCTCCATAACACCCTGGTATTTAAAGCTTACCAAAACAACTTTCTTAATTAAAGACCGAGTGAAAGCCCTGACTCTCCTCCCATCAGGTTATTACAAGTGGGTGTAGATGGAATTTTTAAAAAACTTAGCCTACCATTAACACTCTTCAAATTGCCTTCCCTCTAGGACCACGAAGGGAGGGGAAAAGAAGAGGAGAGTTATGGATTTGCGGATCCACGAATCCAGCAGGATTTAGCTTTCCATCAAACGGTAATTCAATATTTACCAAAGGATGTTTAGATGTGGAAATTTTTACTTTGGCTTGTATCTCATCAGAAAAAGTGTTTTTGGTTTTGTTTTTTGTTTTTTTTAACCTTAGGTTTACATATTGAAAAGATACTCAGCCTCAAACATGAAGACTATTCTAGATACACAGTCAACTCCTAATCACTGGACTGGAAATCACCCAGGCATACCTGAAGCTGTTTTGCAGCATTAGATACGCTATGGCCCAGGTATTCCACAGCAAACCTGGGCCCCATCGCTAGGTGATTAGCCATATACTTCTGTCTTCTCAGCTAAAGCATTTATTGCTTTTCATCAGCATAGACAATATAAAGCTGAAGATGTAGTCATCTCTTAATCACTTGAAAGCTGACTCTTCTGTCAGTAAATTCTACTTGGCACAGACTGCCCGTGACTCTGAATGACCGAATGGATTGGGATCAGCTTTTAATTTTATCAAGCAAGATTGATGCAAGCCTGTGATGAAACATTAATATCTGAGATGCCTTGCCACACACAAGCATGAGGTTGCTTACAGACCCTTTGTCTAAAAAATGTTTTCCTTCCCATCCCTGCCTGAATACACCAACATTTCGCATTAGAAACCATATTTTTCCTAAGTCAAAAGAGACAAGGGATTATAATTTTTTCTTTTCTTTTTTTTTATTTTTTTTTTTTTTGAGACGGAGTCTCGCTGTCGCCCAGGTTGGAGTGCAGTGGCGCGATCTCGGCTCACTGCAGGCTCCGCCCCCCGGGGTTCACGCCATTCTCCTGCCTCAGCCTTTTGAGTAGCTGGGACTACAGGTGCCCGCCACCTCGCCCGGCTAATTTTTTGTATTTTTAGTAGAGACGGGGTTTCACCGTGTTAGCCAGGATGGTCTCGATCTATAATTTTTTCTTAAAGACTGAACCATTACATTTAATTAAAAATATGTCTCCATGCAACCAACATTTCTTAGGCAGTGCAGTTCAAGAGGGGCAGGGGAGAGAGAAGAGAACCTTGGTTAAATCACAGTTCTGACAGTCCAGAGCTATGTATAAACTTCTGCAAAATCATACACTCCTGGGACTTGGTTTATCAACAACAATCATCTTCAAAGCACACCATATGTGCCAAACACTGATACGAATCATTTCATTTAATCCTTGGCATAACTTGAGACAAGGGCGGAGAAGAAAGGAGGAAAGGTGTGAAAATGAGGAAAGGTGAGAAAACCGAGAGACACCAACTATGATTTTTACTTTTCCTGGTTATGAAATAATCCATATCTAAGTAATTTCCTTAAAGAAGTGAAGGTCTCAAAGCTACAGAGACGTAGATGTGAGCATCACACAAGTAGGCTAATTCTAGATCACTGGATCTTAACCAGACTTCCTAAATCTTTAAGATGTAGGGCTGGACTAGGTCATCCAAGAGCCCTTCTGGGTTTAATATTCCAGGGACCTAATCATGCTGCAGGAGGATTAAAAGATGACAACTGCTTGAAAGACCAACCACCAGCAATGAAAGGAGTGGAGAGGAAAAGAAATCTGCAAAAAAGTGAACGGCCGCCATTAAGATAATAGCTTCAGGAATTGCTTTTGGTTGACGAAGGGCTCAAGAGATTTAGTGCTACTCAAGCATTTCCCATATTTATGGGACAGACTATGAACCATTCGATCTTAATTAAATCACTGAAAAATCATATCCGCAAAGGGGGAACACAACATAGGACTGGTTATTCTTGGTTTTGAAAAATTATGTTGCCACTTCCTATTGTTTTAAAAATGATCATTTAACTTCTTTGAACTACAGCCTGAATCCCCCACTGAAATATTTAAGCCTGTATTCGGTGACAGTCACCTATATTAAAGGCATTGAAGGAAGCTGGTGCCCCTAATTCAGGGTGCCCATTTAGAGTAGGGGAAGCAGGAAAATGCCACCAAGGACGAGCAGAATCGGGGCAGTTATCTGGCATCTGATTGCCAGGTAACTGTTTCTCACTTTGCTTTGCCCTTTAGCAGAGGACTTGGGGGGCTGCTACACAAGGATGGGGAAGGTCGTGCAGCCATTGCTGTTGACTGTGGACTGCTACTGATGACCTATTTGAGGATGAAGCCAGGGAGGTGGGAGCACTCTGAAGAAAAAAGTTTCTTTAGTCAGGTGGTTTGGTGGCTTAGAATTGGGACCTCAAATGAGACAAAAAGTCAAGTCAGGAATTGGGAAGCCAGACTCAAAATGCTGAGAGAGTCAAACATCAACCCGTTACTTTTCTCTCTGTCTTAAATATTGTAGACCAAATTACAGGGGGTAGGGGTTTGGGAGGGGGATGAGGAATGAGCAGGAGGCCGTAGAAGCTATCTGGTTCGTGTGCACTGCTTTATAAGGGAGGCAGCCAAGACGACCAGAGGCAAGTATCTTGCCCAGGGTCCCACAGGGCAAAATTAAAGTTCGAAAATTTTCTGATCTCCTGAAATGATGGGCTTGGAAATGTTTTTAACAGCAATTTAATCAAAATCCAAAATCTCTACATTTTTTAGAAGTATGCTGTCTACAGAATCTGAGAATCCAGAAGATGCCGGTTTTAACACCTGGTTGTTATTGTACCGCATTACAGGACCTACCCAAGCCCGGAATTCTGTTAGATGACAAACTGGACCCTAGAGTTAACATTCTAGTCTTTCCCCCGGTCTAAATACAAAACACAATATAGTTCTGTATCCAATCTGTTCAAAACTCCTAAACCAACTCTCAGTCTGAGATGGTCCTCGCGGGGTGATACCTGCCCCAAACACCCACACTCGGTGATTTCGAAAATACGTGCAGTAGCCTCGGCCACCTGCGGGTGGTACAAAGGGCGCCTTGAGGACCAGAGCTGGATGAAACGCCGGCTTACAAACCCCGCTCCGCCAGCACATTCAAGTCAAGGATCCAGCTCATTGTTTCCGAGGAGCGGAATGAATTGACCAGCCGAGCGCCGTTCTCCCAGTTAGAGCGTTCCCAAGCTTCCGGCTTCGGAACGGGGCTCACCGCGAGGACACAAAAGGGGCGAGCTCGGGCATCACTGCGGTTCCCCGCCGCCCGCCGAGGCCAGAACGCTCGCAGAGTCGCGGCCGCCCAGGTGTTACCGTTTACCCCGTGACGGAAGAGCCACAGGCTCTTGACTCCCCACCCCCTGAAAAGCGCATCTGCAGAACGGGGGCGCCCCCAAGCCCTGAGCGCCGCAGCAGCTCGGCCGCCGCCCCCACCGCGCGTCCCCGGGTCCTCGGGCTCCCGGCTTCGCTGCTGGGGAGCTGACCCAGCTGACTGGCTGTGGGGTCCCGTTCTGGGGCTGTCCTGCTGAGTCGGGGGTGGGGAAGCGGTGGCTACAACTCCCGGGTGCTCGCAGAAACTCCTCTGCGCGCTGATGTTGCAGCCGCTGGGGCGAGGGGCGGGAGCACCGGGAACTTGGGGGCGCGGAACCCCAAGCGGGGCGGCGGCGGGCAGCATCCCCGACCCGACTCCGACCCCCGAGACGCGGCGCCCCCCAGCGCCCTCCGTCCCCACCGCGCGGTGCCCCCGGCGCCCTCTGTCCCCACCGCTCGGCGCCCCCCAAGGCCCTCCGTCCCCACTGCGGAGGGGCGCGCAGGGGGCCGGCGGGGCCCGGGTACCACGCTCCGCCCGGCCCCACCTGCGGATGTGGGGCTCCCGCCGGAGGTCCCCGGGTCCCCCCTCCCATCCCTGGAAAAGTCCCCAGGGCGTCCGGGCCCGACCGGCGCTTACCCGGGGAGGGACGGCTTCGCATGCCCGGGCGGCGCTCGCAGGTCGGGCGGGGAGGGTGCGGGCTGCGCTGCGCCGGCTCGGGCTGCCGGAGCGCCCTGCAGCCGCCGTCGGGCTCGGGCTCGGGCTCAGGCTCGGGCTCCGACTTCCTCTTCCTCGGGCTCGGCCCCACTGCTCGGCCGCGCCCCGGCCCGCCCCTCCCCGCGCCCAGACGCCAGCTTCGGCGGCCGGAGCAGTGGATCGCTCGTCCCGCCTCCCCTCTGCCCTGAGGGTGAAAAAGGTGGAGAGGAGGGGGGCGAAGAGAAAGAGAAATTAGGCACTTGGCCTTGTCTCTGGAGCCTTGCCAAAGAGAACAGTCAAATTACAGCTTCGGGGGGAATAAAGTTTTTTTTTTTTTTAATTCTGCTACTGTTTTCGCAGACACATCACTTTTTTTCATTTTCCTAGCTCTTCAGGTTTAGCTTTCCTTTGGACGTAATAATTTCCTATGTGAGTCCTTTAAAATAATACCCAAAATCATGGTTTTAGTGAACATTCTAGTTTTACATAGAAGCTTTGCCGGTAATCAAGTGAAAAGAGGGGGAAGCCCGGTGTTCTTCAGGCGTCATTACCCTAATCACCTCGGTTAAAGCACCAAACGACCTTTGCCTAGAGAAAGTAAAAGTGGAAACGGAGGTAAAGAATAACCGGTGACAGCCAGAGAGATGTTTAAAGGCACCGGCTCTGCAGTAAAGTTATGACTCCAATCAAAGGTGCCTGCAGCGACAGTTAAAGGCATGTGAAGTCATTTCTTAACACTAATCTCCCGCCAAAGTCGGACGTATCAGGGTCGCCTGTGGACCCCCTTAGGTTTGGTGGTGGATTTGATTGCACTCTTAGTTGTTAACAGACCTTCAGCCTTACCACTTGCTAGCTGTGTGGCCTTGAGAGAACGCTTTAACCTCTCTGTGTTCTGTCTGTTTCCTCATCTGTAAAATGGAGATGATGATGATGATGATGATGATAGTGCCTACCTCATAGAGTTGCTGTATGTGATTTAAATAAGAGAATGTGCGTGAAGGGCTTAGGAGACTGTCTGGCACATGCTCTACAGCCTGAATAAATGTTAGCTATTCTTGTTGATTTTTGCCTTTTATCTGCTTTTATGCATATACATGATTATGGAAATTATCATAAAGACTGGGAACAAAACAAGGTTTGTGCAGTAAGGCTACACAGCATCACAGTTCTCTACCACGTGGAGTTTATGTTCTGTTTTATAATTTGAGTCTCCACAACTGACTTGTATTACCTAAAACTATGGGACTGGGTTATGCTTGGAATACATTTACCACGGTAGATTTGCAATGGGACTAAAACAGACATTTGCCATCTTCAAAGCATTGTTTCAGTTGGCCTTGCGATAACCTTGTGAGGTTGACAGGACAGGTGCTAGTCGCCTTTCACAGACAGGAAACTGAGCTTAATTAAGACCCTGCCCAGCTTCTGGAGCTCACACAAAATCATGCCTGTTACCCCATCTCTCTATGTTGTGATTTGTGTTAGAAGTGTGCAGTATGTTTGTGAAATAGTACCACATTAATGGTTTCCATCAACCCTGTGAGGTAGGTGCCAGCCTTTATTTGACACTCAAAGCATCTAGGATTCAAAGAAGCTCATTGATGAGTGTGTCTGTGGCTGAGAGATAAGGGTTTCCGACAACTTGGAAAGGAAGGGAGGAGAATTGGGGATTCCTGTTCTCTGCTGTCTCCTCTTTTATTGATTGATTGATTGAGACGGGATCTCGCTCTGTTACCCAGGCTGGAGTGCGGTGGCACCAATCATAGCTCATTGTAGCCTGGAACTCCTGGGCTCAAGAAATCCTCTGGCCTCAGCCTCCTGGGTTGCTGGAACTACAGGTATGCACCACCATGCCGGGCTTACTTACCATTTTTTTTTTGTAGAGACCGGGGTCACGCTATGTTACCCAGGCTGGCCTCGAACTTCTGGCCTCAGGCAATCCTCCAGCCTCTGCCTCCCAAAACACTGGGATTACAGGAGTGAGCCACCATGCCTGGCCTCAGTTATGCATTTCTTAGCACAAGTGCTTCGAA
The DNA here is from genome assembly GCF_000001405.40 of Homo sapiens. NCBI lineage: Eukaryota > Metazoa > Chordata > Mammalia > Primates > Hominidae > Homo > Homo sapiens. Next base: position 150,597,927 of record NC_000006.12, on the reverse strand, counting down.
TGAAGCTGTGGATGAAGCACTATGATCTGATGAAAAGACTGGATCAGCTGCAGATGCTGCTGCTCAAGAGCACTCACCCTTAGGCAGATAGCTCTTCTGAATTTGGTACTGTGCTTATGGGATGGTTATAATATTTCCTGGCCAGCCCGCTCACTTCACCTCAGTTTATTAATGAGGTGGGAGGTAGAAAGTGGAAACAGGAACAAGAAATTTCTTTTGTTGAGACTGTATGCCAAGTATAGCACTAAGCACCTAAGTCCTGTGATCATTCCTGATTTCCAGGCAAATGAACTCTGCCCTTTAGATCTTTAGAATTTGAGCTCCTTGAAATCACCTGGCCTGACACATTGTGGGTCTGGTTTGTGTGTCCAGCACTTAGTTCAGCTCCTAACACACAATAGGTATACGATATTCAGTGTGTGGATTGTTGGATGGATGAACGGACAACATAAGAGTTGTGAAGATGCTGTAGCATTCTGTTAGTAAGAGTCTACTCTTCCACTTTAAGGAAAAGGACCCAATGGAATGGCTTTCTAATGGTGCATCCAGCATTGGGAAAATTCTTTTGGCGAGTGGTCTTTCTAATACTGCTCTATCAGTCAATGTCAAACAAAGGGAACAGAACCCAGTTCAAGTATTTATAAAAGAGGGACTTTAATGCAGGAAATTGGCTCTACAAGTGATGGAAGAATCAAGAATCCAAAAAGAGACAGTGAGGCAGCCCAGAAATTAACAGCAACAGAAAGTCACTACCACTCCTAGACAGAGGAATTCAGAAGACACAGCCTGAAGGAGTGTTCCCCCACCCATCCCCATAACCCTGTGATTCTGAGTGATTCTCTTCACAAGAAGAGGCTGAGGGCAACAGGCCCAGGCTTAGCCCACCCTCAAATTATACCTTTTCCTTCTCAAGTAAAAGTGGGTCTATCAATTAGATTTCTGTAGAAGAGAAGTTCTTGCTTTTTAAGATGACTGAACGTCCTAAGTGATGGGCTGATGGTGAAACAAACCACCATGGCACACATTTACCTATGTAACAAACCTGTACAACTTTTACTTTAAAAAGATTATTAAATGCCTCTTATGGTGTCTTATTTCTTCCTCGTACAGATTCAGTAAAGTAGATACTATAATCCCTGAATTATGCATAAGGTCACAGCTATTCAGGAAAGTTTGGTGACTTGCTCAAGGCCACACAGCTATGCGAGGCAGAGCAGAATGCAGACAGCTCTGCCTTCCGGTTCTTCTCATCTCACGAACTCAGCTGTTTGTCCTGAAAGGCAGCACAATTGCACAGTTTTGTGCAGTATCATATTTCAGGGTCACCAATCCACGCACATATGGGAGCTAATGTTTGCAAAGCTTACAGAGTTAAAAGGCTCGATCACACCCTGCCTTAACTTTATGACATATGGTGATAACTTTTATGATGCGAATAGTGACTATACTAAATTTATTATTACACAAGATCAGAAATATGTCCACTGGATTGTAGGAGAACTTGAGGGACAAAAAACAGGTAGCATTTATCCCTTTTCTGGCAGGGGATGGGGAAGCTATTTCAATTTCAAATTTGGATGTGTGAGGCTTAAAAAATACTCTCTAGAATGTCCTGAACTTATTAGAGGGATTAGGGTAAGAGAAGGGACTCACGTAGGAAAAAGTCTCACGTAGGGAAAATGAAAGACCAAGAGCATAAGTAAGTGCATATAGGATGACATGTGTCTTCAAATTCTATGGAGCCGGGAGTGGCCAGCAAAATCTACATTGGTGCTGCTGTTTCTCTCAATCCTCCAATTAGCTAGAAGATTTAAAAATCAAGAAGCTGTACTAAGCCCAAAGAGTCAAAGATACACTAAGGACTGTTCATGATTATTAGTGTCTAGTTGAGTTGGGCCTAAAAGTAGGTAGAAGAATTTGAGAACTTCTGGAAATCCTGACACTTCAGAGCATCCACATTGCTTGCTTGAACAAGAGTACCTAAAATCTCCATCACTAGTGACTTAGAAGGTTAAGGACTGATCTGCAGGAGGCAAGTGCAAATTCATTATCCATCAAAGATAATATAGTGAAGGATTATCACACGCATTATCAGACTAGCATAGTAAGCGCATCAGATCTTCTTAAAAAGCACAGCTCCCCCGGCACCTGCAAAGGAGGCCCTGGCATAGGAGGAGGACACCAAGTGTTGGCCAGGGCAAGAAACAGCAAAGGGACCAAGAGATGGAAAAAGGAAATGTAGCCAGGTAACAGACGTGTGAAAATAAGTGTAAATAGCTCATGGTCGACATCATCATTTTACCTATTACTCTAACTGCCTATGTTACCTTAATTTTGACCAATATATTAAAGTAAGCTGTGTGTGTACCTGCTTTACAAATATTGATATTTGCGAAAATAAAAATTCTAGAACTTGAAACTTTTAAACGTGGGGGCAATACATCTTAGAGACAAACAAAATCCAATATTAGGCAGACAGCCTGGACCTCTTGGTAACCGAGCACATCTTTAATTGTATTCTACTAAAATGTAAGGCAACACTGGCCAGTTTATGCTTCTGCTTCAAAATTCACTTCATTTTCAAGTTGATAATAGAGTATACTTTTGGATGCTCAAGTTGATAACAGAGTATACCTTTGGATGCTTTTGAAATTTAGTGTATTTTTTTGAGCCGTTTTCTTTATGTTGGATGTGCCGCAGGGAAGAGCTACTTCCAACTTTATTTCTCAAAAACATTATGTTTAGAAGTTATCCCCAGAAGTAGTAGAATCATTAGGAAATGTGTGTGTGTGGTGGAGGTGGTGAGGAGGGTGTTGATTGTCACTGTGGAAGGGGGAGCCTACTGGTATTTCGTGGTGGACTACTAGGGTTGCTAAACTTTCTGCAATGCACTTGTTCTGCAGTCTTGCACAACAACGAGTTGTCCCATCCTAGATACCAGTAGCATCCCCTTAAGTGCACACTGTGAGTAGTGCCTTTAGACAGGGTATCTCAAATTTAAATGCTTTCAGAGGCCAGGCCAGTAAAATAATGTGGTCAGCAGTTCCAAGTTGTCAGGATGTGGTACACACCTGAAGGCCTATGAATTCAAATTTTCTTAAGCACTGTTTTGGCCAAATACAAATATTCCCTGAAGCCAGATTCTTCTTGTGGGTTTCCAGCTTGCTCCTGTTTCACTCCCAATTGCTTTTGGATAACTTTTCAGACAAAAATGAAAGAAGGAATCGCTACGCCCTGCTCTTTCTCTTCCCCCTTCTTTTGTAGTCAGCTGTGTGAGTAAAGATGGATAGAAAATACTTTCCCCCTCCCTTAAAATTCAATGTCATGAATGCTAGAATTAAAGTAATAAAATAATCAGGAGGTAAAAAGGACTATTTTACCCATGAAAAATTAACTGTTAAAAATATTAAGCAATAAACTGGTGGCAGAGGCCTCAAGCATGTTCCTTCATTCTTCTGCTGTATTTCTTCTCTCTTCCAGTTTTAACGATGTAAAACAAATACGGTTGGCCCTCCGCATCCATGGGTTCCACATCCAGGGATTCAACCAACATTGGATAAAAAATATTCGAAAAAAGCAGTGGAATCTGTACTAAAAGTGTACATTTTTTTTCTTGTCATTATTCCCTAAACGATACAGTATAACCACCATTTTTTTTTTTTTTTTTTTTTTTGAGACAGGGAGTGCAGTGGCATGATCATGGCTCACTGCAACCTTGACTTACCAGGCCCCAGTGATCCCCCAACCTTAGCCTCCTGAGTAGCTGGGACTATAGGCGCACACCACCACACCTGGCTAATTTCTTGTATTTATTTATTTACTTATTTTTGTAGAGACAGATTTTTGCCATGTTACCCAGGCTGGTTTTGAACTCCTGGCCTCAAGCAATCCCCCCACCTTGGCATCCCAAAGTACTGGGATAACAGGCATGAGTCACCGCGCATGGCCTGGTATAACAACTATTCACATAGCATTTACATTGTATTATAACTAATCTAGAGATGATTTAAAGTATACACAAGATGTATGTAGTATATGCAAATACTATGCCATTTTATATTAGGGGCTGGAGGATTTTGGTATCCTGGTCAGGAAGGGGTTCTCTGGGGAACCAATTCCCCGTGGATATGGAGGGACATGTATATTTATGAGTTAGTAGACATAATGATTGCTACTGGTTTTTGAATACCTACCATATCCCAACTCTACATTACGTGCTCTGCATGCCTTATTTATTTAATCTTAACAAGTAGATGTTTTTTCTCCATTTTATAAATAAGGCTACTAAGGGTTAGACAGTTTAGGTAATGTGGCCAAGGTAAGGTTTTATAATTGGTAAGGGGCAATGCAGGAATTTGGAACCAACTCTGTGACCCCAGGCTGTCCCCTCAGGTACCATGTGCCATTGAGGTTTCTCAGTACACAGTGAGATTCTACATGAACCAGCCGTCTTCATCTCTCCTGGTCACCTTCTTCTTTGACTGCATGACCACCTGAGTTCTTCTGAACAATAGTTCGTGGGAAAATGCACACATGTGCTCTGGTAAGATACTCTATACAATAATTCACGGTCTTCTATCCTCAATTCTAAAGTCCAACAACCCTGCAAATGGGAAGTTTTTTTTTTTTTAATTGTTTGTGGCAAAGCCTGCCCTGACCTGAATTCATTTGGCAATAAAGCCACACCTGCAATGATTTGAGACTATTTATAGTTTTAAAAAAATCTTAGTTAGTTGAATCTCCACTAATTTAAATGCAGAAATATTAAGGTATTTGATTTCGGGGTATTGGCCCAGACTCCTGCAGGACTTTTGCATAATATATGATATATGCACTGTATGGCCTTTCTAAAATCCCCCTTCAAAAAACCCATAAAGTATTGAATTAGGAATTATGAATCTGAAATTTGAAAGACCCCATGCTGTACTGAACGGATACTATCAAAACTGTGTTTTCTGAGTGGTAAGAAGGAGTGCTGTGTTGCTGCTGGCTTGTACTAGTTTTTAAGAGTTGATTGTTAACATTTTTGAACTTTTGTAACTAACTGACATCACATTGGTGGCTTGAAATCAGCCATGGTGGAGATATTTACACCACAAAAAATGGCAAACACTCCAAATCAGGGACTTGTGTCCAGTTCCTGTAAGTCCACCCCAGCTGCTTATTTAAAATGTTATTTGTGAGCTCTTCCTATTTACCCTTCCCAGCAAGTTGGAAGGGCCAGGTCTCGAGCTGATTGGTGCTAAGGGAGGGTCTAAGCAGAGAAAGAGCAATTGTCAGCTTGGTTTCACTGACGCGCAAACCACTTTTTATAGACTTTTATCTTTTTGTCCTGAGGGTAATTGCATGAGTGCCAGAACAGGATTGTTTGATGCATTTAAGCTTATCAGGAAACTAAGGCTTAGAGAGTTTAGGTAATGTGGCCAAAGTCTGATAATTAGTAAGGAGCAGTGTAGGCATTTGGATAGAATGAGGAGCTATGGATTCGAGGTATGTGTGTAGATACGTCAATAAAAATAGGACCTGTGGCATTGCCTTAGACTCTCCATCCAAGTCCTCTTCTTAGAATTGGGTGTTGCAAAAAATTTTTGCTGCCATGATGGGCATGATCCCAATTTTACAAGAGTTGTGAGGAAGAAAGACTGAGATGTGAATTTCCATCCTCCCCTTTTAAAGGAAGACATGAAAAATAATAAGATTAAAGCTTTACTGTGCAAAGACGGTTCTCCAAAGGATACTGGAACCACAGGCCCTTGGGAATGTTGGGCAGAGGCAGAGAAAAGGACCAGTGAATGGTGCCACCGTCAGTGGTCCAACCACAGGGATCTGGGGCTCCCACGCAACCCTGGTAAGATGTGTGGACCTTATTCGTCAGCTGGAGTGCAGGGGCCAAAGGAAGAGTGCAGGGCAGGCTTGATCAGTGCAGGAACAAATACAAATTGGAGGGAACAAGAGTTTTAGTCCACAGAAACCCTCCCCCTTGTATGTGGCTACCATCTGATGAAGTTTTGTGATTGTCTAGTTCTCCTTTCTTCTCTGCATCTTCACATAAGGCTTTCTACCTACGAGGAAAGAAAGTTTACATTCAGGATGGGATCAAAAGCAGTAAAGTGGGGACTGAATCATGAGTGAGAACAAAGCAATCAGGGGAACGGAAAAAAGCCCCACGGTTATCCTCATTCATTAATGCCGAATAAAGGTCTGTGAGACTGCAAATTGGCAGTGTTCTTTCAGACACTACATCATCTTAGAAATAATAACCGAGGGCCATCACTAAGGTATCTATAGCAACTCTTCAGGAGCTGCTGGCAAATTTGGAGCCGTGTGATGGTCAGCGCTCTTTCTTTTCCATTTCCATGTCAAATGGTGGCAGGCTATGTTTCACGAAAAATAAAAAATGCCTTATTTCAAGCAAAAAACTCCAGAAGGAAAGGTTGCAATGAAGCCAGGCTTTAAAGGTTATTCTCTCATCAACTGCAAAATGTTGTCTAAAATGTTTGGAATTGGGCATGAAATGATCTAGACCTGGGTTTTCACATTACACGTTTAACAAGTTAAAACATGAACTTTGAAGTATAGTTTCATATAGTTCCACCCGTAAGAAAAATGCTAACTTTAAAAAAAAAGAAATCTCATACAATTCTCACAAATAAAAATGAAAATTCATTTTGGATGGAGAAACATTGATATTTGAAAATCTGAAGACCTGAACCTTAAGCAGAGTTTATTATAATAATGAAGGAGGCAGTTATCAGCAGGATCATAAACTCAGTCCTGGAAAAACAATGTGACAATATTGGGGAGCAGAGGGGAAATGAGCAGGGAATGGAGAAAATTCCTCAGAGAACTGAATTTCTACTTTGTCTCTGGAGGTCCCTGAAGAGAGAACTGAGGGTGACATCATTATGATCCCAACATACTTTCTTCAAGTTAGCATGATCAAACTTTCTGACTTGCTAAAATATTATGGGGAACTGAGTTTTTTTTCCTATGTGCCAATTTATAATAAAATACCTTAAACCCATTTTTTTCTCCAAATTCGTTGTTACTAAACTCAAGGAAATTTTATTCATTACCTTTAGCACCCAGACTCTATTACAATATTCTGGATAAACTTAGAAGTTATTAAGAATAAATGGGAAAAAAAGAATAAGTGAAATACATGTAATAGATATTAATTCCTCAGTGTTTGCTCAGTGAATACACCCTAAATATTTAGAATCATGTTTTGCATCAAAGACTGATGAGATCACCTTCTCCACCTGGGTGTATCGCTCTCTTCAGAACAGAAATAAAATCCACTTCCTCATCACAATCACATTTGCATACGTATTCCTGTCTCTGTACAGGTCTATCCTTCTAGCTTTCCTTTCTTTTTCTTTTTAATTTCCGAGTCACCTTCCCTCCAAAAAACTCAACTTTATCAAAACTCACATTATCAAAGTCCTTGTTCCTATTACCATTTTCCTTGCAGCCTAATTCAGCAAAACCTGATTATGTAATATCAATACATTACATATGAATTCCAAGCTCCACATTTCTTTGGAATTTTGCAATAGAATTAAATTAAATCAGAGCCAAAATAAATGTCATCCTTTTTTTCTAAATGTCTCTTCAAAAATCTTTCTTCTAAAAATTGATGCCTTCATTTTTGTTATTCCCCTTCGGCTTATTCACCATGGTTGAACAAATGACTTATGTATAGATAAAAACTGCCTACCAAATATCTAGACAGAAATATGAGAGAAGATTGAAGCCCCACAAATCACAGGGACTCAACAGCCTGTGTAGACTGGAGTCCTTTGTAATGTGATTAACTTCAGACACACTCAGTATACTGGTTTCAAAGTAACTATTTCTGTAATTACAGAAGGACTTCAACCAGGAAGAAACCAACTTCATGGTCACTTTCCAGCAACCAAATACCTTCCTGAGAGTTGACTCCCACATTCTCAGCAAGATGTTCTGAGCTCCTATTTCTTTTAGGAAATGTATCCTTCCAACTTTAGGAACAGAAGGGATCTTTTAAAACTATTCATCAAGTTAAAAAAGAAAAAAAAAGAAGATAGGCCAGGCGCAGTGACTCACACCTGTAATCTCAGCATTTTGGGAGGCCAAGGTGGGCAGATCATCTGAGGTCATGAGTTTGAGACCACCCTGGCCAACATGGTGAAACCCCCTCTCTACTAAAAATACAAAACTTAGCTGGACGTGGTGGAGGGCGCCTGTAATCCCAGCCGCTTGGGAGGCTGAGGCAGGAGAATCTCTTGAACCTGGGAGGCAGAGGTTGCAGTGAGCCGAGATCACACCACTGTATCCCAGCCTGAGCGACAGAGCAGACTCTGTCTCAGGTAAATAAATAAATAAACAAAATTTAAAAAAGAAGATAGCCTTGATATGGGCTAACTAAATGAACAAATATCTTCTGTAATCTTATAACGAAAAATATAATACATAAAGATGAAATGACCATATACCTTCTAGGGGTCTACGGTCTATTTCCTTCCTTCCTGTTCATCTACTCTGGCTTTATAGTTCAAGTCCTCCTCACTTAAGCCTCCGCCTGGGATATGCCCACTTTCAGGCTCTTATGCATTCTACATAGTGCTCTTACCAGCCTGGGCTCAGTGGGATACCGTTTGCCTAGCTAACAGCACACAAAGGACCCCTAAATGGCTAAAAGTGCAACCAAGCTGTGTGGCCAGAGAGAATTTTGTGACTGTGATCCAGAAAGTAAGCGAAGAATCAAAGACTTACGGGTAGTGGGGCGACTGGGCAAGAGGCCTGCAACCTGCACATCCTCCCTCCAGCTAACTCCTGGCCCCTGCTCTCCAGAGCCCTGGCGTATATAACCCTTCCCACTGCTGCAGTGCTGTCCAGAAAGCAGGCTGGTGCTTAGGCAGTCACACGGAACTGGAGCAGGTGATTTTGCAGGGTGCACATTGGAGGAGAACACATCTAATTAAATGTCAGCTTTGTCCAGACTTGCTCAGGGGCTAAGTGGAAACAATGTGGCTAGAGTTTAGGATCATAGTTGAGGAAGACTCTCTACTTACATACTCAATTTTGAGAAATTGCAAGCTTGAATGAGAATTGCTTCTCTGAATTTTTTCTTGTTTTACCTCCAATGCAAGGAAACAATCAATCCATTGTGGATTAGCATGGAATGTGGATCAGTTAGATACCTATAAGGATCACCAAGTTATCCTAAATTAGAAAAATGAAAGGAGAAGAGTTTGATAGGCCTGGAACAAAAATATTTCCCTTAAAAAAGGGTGACGGATGTAAGTCCTTACAATACCAGTTAGTCTTATTTGTTTCACAAATTTCTAAGTAAGAAGGGCTCAACGCTTATTGGAATATCTGCATACTATTTGAAGTTTTTTTTTGTTTTTGTTTGTTTGTTTGTTTGTTTGAGACAGAGCTTTGCTCTTGCCACCCAGGCTGGGGTGTAGTGGTGGATCTCGGCTCACTGCAACCTCCGCCTCTCATGTTCAAGTGATTCTCCTGCCTTAGCCTCCCAAGTAGCTGGAATTACAGGCACTCACCACCATGCCCAGCTAATTTTTGCATTTTTTAGTAGAGACGAGGTTTCACCATGTTGGCCAGGCTGGTCTTGAACTCCTGACCTCAGGTGATTCGCCCGCCTCGGCCTCCCAAAGTGCTGGGATTACAGGCGTGAGCCACCGTGCCTGGCCAAAGTTTTTATATATATATTTAGTTATATTTATTGCTTTAAAAATTATGTATAGGTCATCCCATAAGGTGGATGCATTAATTTTCAATTAATTTCTTGTTAGTTGACTTCACAAAATAATGTGCTCAAACAGTCTCTCAAGGATTGTTAAAGAAATATACTGGAATCAGGGGCACTTCACTCTCAGCTTGATACTCGGAGTGTGCAGAAAAGGTAAGGAACACCTGGCCTTCACAGAAGAAGCCCTGACTCTACCTCATGTATACACACATCAGCCATCCCTTGAGCACACTTCATTGATTCCCTAGCGTATAATCAAGTTCAAACTCCTTAGCCTGACTTCAAGACCTGTTCATCTAGCCCCTCTCTGACCACCTTGGCTTCCATCATCATCATCATCGTCACTATCACCACCACTATGATTTTTATTCCACCCAAACCTTTCAGTTAGCCCAATCTACCAATAAGTAGTATTCCTCAAGCCTACTATGTGAATGTCTGTGTTTATGGCGGGAATGTGCTTTCCTGTGTTCTTTGAGATGTACCCTTCCTCCAAGGAGAAGTTCCAGCACCACTTCCTATGTTAGGTGTGCCCCAAACATCCCTGGGATATGTCCCTCCTCAAAATGTCTAAAACCACACATTGTCCATCTGTCCTCTTCTGCCCCGACTCCAACAAGGACCAAAATACTTTACCGAGTGTGCACTCAAAGTGTGACTTTTGGTAAAGATAGAATGGAGTCAGTGAGATATATTGAATTTCATAATGGTCAAACGGGTGTGGACATGCTTTTTTTTTTTTAATGTCAGCAAACAAAATTGATATAATTGAAGGTAATTATTCATATAACAAAATGATTCATTGGCAGGCTCTTTAAAGTCATGGCCTCTCTACTATAGTATTTCTTAATGGACTGCTAAGTTCTTGGCAGAAGTGTAGGGAACAAATGAGCTGAAACTAGATTAAAGGGAACTTTGGTGCATCACTTACTACGTCTGAAGTGCTAAACCAGCAAATCTCAGACCGACAAAATTTTTCAGAACTGGAAAGGAACTCAGGCTGCCTAGAGCAACTTTTCAAACAATTTTCTAAATAAATAGCGCTTGTCAAGAAAGGAAAATAAAAATGCCAATTTATTCGTGAGTGGCTAACACATGACACAGCTGTTATGACCGAGTTCTGCAGTGAGAAGGAGATGGACTCAGCCACTGGAGCAGCGTCTGCACAGTAGCTTGCAGGGGGTGTCTTGGTTAGAGCCGCCTGGGAAGAGGAGAGGCTCTTCATCAGCAGATCTGGCAACAGAGCTGTTAGTGGGAGGAGGTGAGAAACAGCATCTGTGCCAGTCCGCGGAAAGGAGAAGTGTTCTGGTGGCGCACGGCGCATTCCAGTCAGGCCTGTGAAGGGATCTTAAGGGATTGGGGACGTTACGTTTTTCTGGAAAGGTCCTGCTCTCACTTCGTGGGTTTGGTGTAGGGATGGTGGAGGTAGAAAGAGGAGGTCTAGTGTTGCCAAAAGAACCCCCACAAGCTGGCCACTTGGAGAGGCTATCCTTGATGTAATGGCCGGCCTACCAGAAGACTAGCTATACCGCAATGCATGAGTGCATTCATATACATATATATACATATATATATATATATATATATATATATATTTTTTTTTTTTTTGAGATGGGGTTTTGCTCTGTCGCCCAGGCTGGAGTGCATGGCATGATCTTGGCTCACTGCAACCTCTGCCTCCCAGGTTCAAGCGATTCTCCTGCCTCACCCTCCGGAGTAGCTGGGATTACAGGCGTGCACCACCACGCCCAGCTAATTCTTGTATTTTTAGTGGAGATGGGGGTTTCACCATGTTGGTCAGGCTGGTCTTGAACTCCTGACCTCGGGTGATCCACCCGCCTTGGCCTCTCAAAGTGCTGGGATCATAGGCATGAGCCACCACACCCAGCCCAGTGCATTCATTAAGTCACCCATTATTTGCTGGGCCAGGCCATGCAAGGCACAGGGAACACAGTGTGAACAAAGAAACACTGATCCAGTCCTCATGGAATTGCCACATAATGGAGGAAATCAGCGTCCATGACATAATACCCAAATCAGTACAGTTGTGCGTTGCTTAGCGGTGGGTGTACATGCGATTTCGTCATTGTGTGAACATCACAGAGTCCACTTACACAAACCTAGATGACATAGCCTACCACACACCCAGGCTATATGGTACAGCCTATATGGTACAGCGTTCTAGCTCCTAGGCTACAGCATGCTACCGCACTGAATGCCATAGGCAATTGTAACATAATGGTAAGTATTTCTGTTTCTAAACATAGAAAAATTACCATAAAAATATGATATAAAAAATAAAACATGGTGCACCTTTATAGGGCACTCACCATGAATGGAGCTTGCAGGACTGGAAGCTGCTCTGGGTGAGTGAGTGACTGAGTGAGTGAGGAGTGAATGGAAAGACCTGTGACATGACTGTACACCGCTGTAGACTCTGTCAACACTGGACACTTTGGCTACACTAAATTTATACGAACCTTTTTTCTCTTTTCAATAATAAATTAACCGCTTACTGTAACCTTTTAATTTTATCAACTTTTAATTTTATTTTAAAACTTTTGACTTTTGTAATCACATTGTAAACACACATTGTACAGCTGTACAAAAATATTTTATTTCTTTATATCCTTATTCTATCAGCTTTTCTATTATTAAAATTTTTAATTATTTTATTTTTCATTTATTTTGTTAAAAACTAAGGCACAAACACACACATTAGCCTAGGCCTACCCAGGGTCAGGATCATCAATATCACTGTCTTCCACCTCCACATCTTGTCCCACTGGAGGGTCCTCAGGGGCAATAACATGCATGGAGCTGTCGTCTCCTGTGATCACAATGCCTTTTCCTGAAAACTTTCTGCAGGACCTGCCTGAGGCTGTTTTACAGATCCCTTTAAACAACAACACTAAATATATATAATATATATATAATATATTTACATATATTACATATATAATATATTAGAAGGAGAATATATCGGAAGAGTTGTCTCTAAAACCGTCTTTTGATCTGGGATCAGAAGAATGAGTAGGAGTTAAGATGGCAAAGAGAAAGGGGAGGAAGCAGAGTGTTCCAGGCAGACAACCTTGCAGCCAGTCAGAGGCCCTGAGGTGGGAGGGCAAAGCTCCTGCGAAGACGGTTCATGTGGCTGGGGGCTTGTGTGAAGAGGGACCCCAGCCAGAGGGCTGGTGCTTGGAAGAAGGCTGTGGTGCTGGAGTTGAGCCTTGGGCTCCAGGGGGAAGAGAAGGTAGGGTCAGATGACACAGAGGAATTCCAAGTTGGTGCGTGGGGAAACCAGGAATTATGAGGCCAGTAGGTACATGACCCACTGCATGCTGCTCCATTCCTCTGAGCTTTGGCCTCTTTTTTTTGTTTGCTTGAGACACAGTCTTGCTGTGTCACCCAGGCTGGAGGACATGATCACAGTTCACTGCAGCCACAACCTCCCAGGCTCAAGCAATCCTCCTGCCTCAGCCTCCCAAGTAGCTGGGACTATAGGTGTATACCACCATATCCAGCTAATTTTTAAATTTTTTGTAGAGACAGGATCTCACTTTCTCTCACCTCAGCCTCTTAAAGTGCTGGGATTACAAGCGTGAGCCACCACACCCAGCCTGGTTTCTTAATAATCTCAAGGGAAAGATTGTACTTGGAGGAAAGCCAGAGTTGGTTCCTGGCTATCCTATTCAGTGACTTGGTGACTATTAGAAAAATTAGTTAATGGCTTGCTCTTCACCTTTTTCAACCAGAGAGCAAGGATAATTATTCCTGTCTAGTCGGCTTTGCAGAGTTGTTGTGAAGAGAAAATGAGATAACAAACCTGAAAATGTTTTGAAAAACTGGGAAGCATGACCTAATGAAGGTAACAGTAATGACAGGAGTGCAATCGTGGTGAGTAGAGGTTCAGCAGCAGAAGCACGGCTGTTCCAGAGGATGACATCAAGGATTGGGGTGGAGGTAAATACCAAACTAAGAGCTCACCGTGCTATTCTGCTTTGGAAATGATTTAGTTCTTTATTCTGTATTAACCTATTTACGTCAGTTTTGTGATTAGGCTGGAAGTTTTCTTGTTCACTTGGTTGAAGCCAAGTGGAGCTGCATTTGGATTTCAGCTCTTCCACTTCCTTGCTATATTTGCTTTCTATTGCTGCATGACAAATCCCCACAAATTTAGTGGTTTAAAACAACACCCCTGGCCGTGCGCAGTGGCTCATGCCTGTAATCCCAGCACTTTGGGAGGCCGAGGTGAGCAGATCACCTGAAGTCGCGAGTTCGAAACCAGCCTGACAAATATAGAGAAACCCCGTCCCTACTAAAAATACAAAATCAGCCAGGCATGGTGGCACGTGCCTGTAATCCCAGCTGCTCAGGAAGCTGAGGCAGGAGAATCGCTTGAACCCGGGAGGCGGAGGTTGCGGTGAGCCAAGATCATGCCATTGCACTCCAGCCTGGGTGACAAGAGTGAAACTCCATCTCAAAAAAACAAAAACAAAACAAACAAGCAAACAAACAAAAAACACCCCTTTCTATCTCACGATTGCCATAGGTCAGAAGTCCGGTGTGGCCCAGCTGGGTTCTCTGCCAACAACCTCATGCTCAAGGAGTTCACTATCTGTAGCTCTGGGAAAGAATCACTTCCAAGCTCGTTCAGGTGGTTGGCAGAATGCAGTTTCTTTGGTTGTAGGACCGAGGTCCCTGTTTCCTTGCTTGCATTCATTTTCAGTTCCTAGAGGCCTATCTCTTATTCTGGCACATAGACCTTTTACCCTTTATCCTAGAGCCAGCAAGGGACATCCATCAAACCATTTCATGCTTTGAATCTCCCTGACTTCTTGAGTAGCAGGCAGAGAACACTTTCTGCTTTTAAGAATGTATGTGATTAAATTAGAGCCATGGATAGTCTCTTTATTTTAAGGTCAACTGAGCCACATGATATAATCCTGGGAGTGATATTGCATTAGATTCACAAGTTCTGTGGATTAAAGCATAAAATCTTTGGAGTCATTTTCAGAATTCTGCCTACCACAATTGCTCAAGGTGACCTTGATGAGATTGTTACTTAACCTCTCTTGGTCTTATTTTCCTCATTAATCATACCTTGAACCGTCATTGTGTTGATAAGTAAAATAAGATAGACATTGTACCTAAAACATGGCAAATACGTAGCAAACGAGATGCCTTTCCTATGCATCTCATATTCAGTGTTATGCATTGAGAACCCAGCTAGCCCCTAATACTTGAAGAGAGCTTCTGTAGAAAATAAGAATGAATCCTGTCCCTTGCAAGTTCAGATGTTCTTTAAGAATTTTATGCCACTATATGACATCATCAGGATTTGATTTCTCCATAGTAGCTGTAAACTGATGTATGCACACTGTATGTCAGCATAAATTAAGAACTTGGACAAAAGAACTTGCCAGAATTCAGCCTTGGAGTGTTTATGTCTGATCTAAAAAAAAAAAAAAGCCACATCTCTCACACACACACACACACACACACACACACACACACAGACATTATGTCTTGGCGGTAAAAGTAATTTCGTGGTGGTGGTGGTGGTGGTGGTGGGTAAGAAGAGAACAGGGCTTTAACATAATTGCTGGAGTTTAGTTTGTCCTGCAAATTTTATGGGTAAATTCCAACAAAGCATGCTTGCTTTTAAGACTGCAAAACCTGATTAAAGAAAGCATGGTTCTACTCTACTTCTTGAGCTGTCAAGACATAATAATCTTTGTGCTGTGATGCTTCATAGATTCTCTCCATGCAACAGTAAATTTTTATACAGCCCCCTTCTTTATTAATATGAATTAAACAAAAGAGCTAACAGCCCTTAAATCCATCAACTGGCCATAAATCTATCTAAGCAGCTGCGTTATGAGTCACTCAGGGATCAGCACAGTGAATGGGCTACTGTGCTTTCCCCTCGGGAGATGAAGCACACCCTCCCTGAAATGGTCATTCTCCCCTAAGTCAGTTATATTCAGCTTAAGGGGAAGTCAGAACTGCAGCTCTTTGCAAACCTTCAAAGGCAATGTGATAGCAAAGAGGCGATGAGGCATCCACAGACCCAAATTCTGGTATTAATGAGACAGGAGTAGCTCATGTTGTAAATTTCAGTGGCCCTTCAACTACTTACTGCTCCTCATCTCTCCAGCAATCAAAGGAAGTTAGTAAGTTCTGCATATTAATATTTGCTTCATAGAAGTATTTTCAGGGTTAATGTAATAGTATGAAAAAATGCTTTTAGTGGAGCATGTTATCTTTTGATTATATATTTTATGTTCCCTACTCTGAGGCCTAAACCATAGGTAAAGACTAATGACATGGTCTTGAAGGAGGACACAGGAAAAAGAATTGTGATGGATGCCAGTTCAACCACACATAGCCAGAAATCTTCCAATCCACAGACACTCTTCACTCACTCAATTCAATCAAGTCTGGATAAAATAAAACCTTGCAAAATAGGGCATTTTGGCTTGCTGAATTTTGGGGTCACTAGCATCCCCTTTCCTTTGCAATATATCACATAGAAAAGCATCAAGAATATTTGTACCTTAAAAGGTCTTCTTGAAATAATAGGGTCTTGGCCAAATGTGGTGGCTCACACCTGTAATCCCAGAACTTTGGGAGGCTGAGGCAGGCAAATCACCTGAGGTCGGGAGCTCGAGACCAGCCTGACCAACATGGAGAAACCTCGTCTCTACTAAACATACAAAATTCGCTGGGCGTGGTGGCGCATGCCTGTAATCCCAGCTACTTGGGAGGCTGAGGCAGGAGAATCACTTGAACCCGGGAGGCGGAGGTTGCAGTAAGCTGAGATTGTGCCATTGCACTCCAGCCTGGGCAACAAGAGTGAAACTCCACCTCAAAAAAAAAAAAATTGGGTCTTTTTCTCACCAATACAGACCTTGTAGTAGCTCAGGTTAATCTTTCTGAGTATTAATGAGTTCTTATTGTGTAATGTGGAGGTGATCGTGTTGGATGGACACTCAAGCCTCAACATGGAAGCCACTTTTAAAAATATACTGCTGCTCTATTAGGTTTCTTTTAGTTTATTGCTTTCTGCACTAATGGAATACCTAGAATTAATCTATTTAACTGATTAACCTGTTTAGTATCTGAATGATTGACATGTGCTCTAACATGCTATTAGCACATTTTCATAACTTGAAAAATGCACAAAAGTACATACTCTGTACTACAGGATGTGTAAGAGAACATGGGAGGTGGAGAGGAAACTTCATAACAGCTACTATGTATTGAGAGATTCTGTGTTGCTAGATAGTACCAAGTGGCTTGCTAGTATTATTTCATTTAATACAGTAAAGGACCCTATGAAAATAATATCAACATCATCATCATCACCTCCTCTGTTTTACTCATTTACAAAATTAGGGACTAGAGAAGTTGGGAAATCTGAACAGTCCGGTCCAGCTAGCTGGAGACTAAATTTGAGCACAGTTCTACTTGACACTGATGTCATCATGCCTGTGACTTAGGTGCTATGCCATGGTATGTAACATAATGGCATCTAATAGCCTCTTGGTATGACAGAAGCTGTGCTTAAGAGGCAAGCTGAACGGACTGAAAGGGCTTTTCTTTGGAGTGGGAAACCCTCACCAGATGGATAGGTGACACACAGAGACCCTTGGGTGGGGCTTGGGTGGGCCCCCAGCTCTTGATGGGGTGTGACTGCACAGGCCCTGTCACCCCTGGCTGTAGGCGCTTGAACAGGGGCTGTCAGGCAGCCACTTAGGGGAAGCTGCTGGGAACAGGGCGCTCATGCTTCCCTTCAGCCAGGCAAGAGGAGGGGTGGGTGGGAGCTGGGGAGGAGGGCAAGCAAGAGCTTGGCTGTGCTGCCTAGGAAGGAGCTGTAGAACCCAAGGGTGAGGATGATGTTCCTGGAGGCACTGCCACACTGCCCTTTCTTGGTGCTCCGAGAATGACAGCTGGGGTCAGCACAGAGTTCCACTGTTGGTGCGTTCCAGAACACTCCCGGAGCTGTGCTGGGTGTGCTTATGATGCACTCTGAGGCATCATCAAGGGAACACCAAGCCCATTTCCTTCACTCATGGGACTTACAGTCCACTGGAGAGAACTGTTTCCATGTAAATCTTTACCATTTTAACATGAAACTTTAAAAAGTAAGCAAAGCTATAGTTGAATGTAATTGGTACGTTGTCACTTGCACGACTGGATTCACAGAATATGCTATTTTAGTGTAGCACTATGTCCTCTGTTTTACAATATATTTTCTTGATGCTGCATGTTAGATCAGACCTCAGAATCCCATGTCTGAAGTGCTGCCTTGCACTCACTGGCATGTAAAAGAGTAGCTCCAGGAGCCAAGAGCCGTCTGGCGTCCAAAGCCAACAGTGCCTTTGGCAGGCCTTGGGGATACTGTCACCAGGCATGACTCAATGTATTGCTGAGGAACCATGCTTGGTGGCAGGCAGAGATGTGTCACTTCATGGCATAGAAAGACAGTGGAGAAAATTGCTCTTGAGGATTATAAAAATCATTCCAGAAATAAAATCTTTGAGGAAAGTTGGAAGGCAAATTCATTTTTCTTTCGTATAGAAAATCTCAGCATCTAAGACCTCCAGATGTCAATGGAAATCCTTTAAAAGAGGTGGTAGAGGGCTGGGCACAGAGGCTCATGCCTATACTCCCAACACTTTGGGAGGCCGAGGCAGGTAGATCACGAGGTCAGGAGTTCGAGACCAGCCTGGCTAACACAGTGAAACCCTGTCTCTATGAAAAATACAAAAAATTAGCTGGGCATGGTGGCACGTGCCTGTAGTCCCAGCTACTCAGGAGGCTGAGGCAGGAGAATTGCTTGAACCCAGGAGGCTGAGGTTGCAGTGATCCAAGATTGCGCCACTGCACTCCACTCTGGGAGACAGAGTGAGACTAGCTAAAAAACAAAAAACAAAAAAAAGAGGTGGCAGAAGGAAAACATTAGGCACAGCTGTCCTATCAATATTACCAAGCTGTGATAATATCTGTGCAATAACCTGTGGACGGCCTCATGGCTAGTGGAAAAGAAGCACCTGGAACCCATTAGAGGCGTTCATCATCTTCATAAAACCTGACCCCAAAGCAATTTATAATTTGTCTTTACAATGAAGGCAGAAGAAATTTTTGCAATGTTTGATAATGACCAACATGGCCTCTAAGTGCCACATGGAAATAAAAAGGAAGACAAATTATCAGAGGAGGATGACATGGCCTTAGTTTGCCCTAATGAAATGATCACTTATTAGGTTAAATCAGTTGTGTCACTTTAGGAAGCAGAAAAAGAATCAGTGCTTAATTCACCCAGAGTGAGAGCTGATCCTTGGTAACAGGTGACATGAAAATGCAGTCTAACTTTCTCAGTTTCACAGCATGGGAGTTAACACTTAAGACTTCATCTGCTCAAAAGGTGTCCTTTATCATCTGAGAGAAGAAACTTTTTTTTTTTTTTTTTTTTTTTTGTGACGGAGTTCAGCTCTGTCACCCAGGCTGGAGTGCAGTGGCGTGATCTCGGCTCACTGCAACCTCTGCCTCCCAGGTTCAAGCAATTCTCCTGCCCCAGCCTCCTAAGTAGCTGGGATCACAGGCACGTGCCACCACACCCATCTAATTTTTGTATTTTTAGGAGAGACAGGGTTTTGCCATGTTGGCCAGGCAGGTCTCGAACTCCTGACCTAAAGCGATCCACCCGCCTTGGCATCCCAAAGTGCCAGGGTTACAGGCATGAGCCACCCTGGCCAGCCAGAAATCTTCTTTATTGCTAAGTTTATTAATAATTCACCTTGACTTTTCCAGTCTATGAATTATCTAAGCAGCTTGCTTGTCTCTTTCTCAGTGGAAAGCCTCTATCTGCAAGGCTCTGTGTTTCCTGGAATTTTGAGTTAAAAGAATGCAAGAGAACTTGCACAATGTCTATAGAACTAGAGATCTGAGCAAGCTATGGGATGAATTCCCACATCCTTGGGTTGAGGGATACAGTTTCGTGTTTTTTAAATTGAAAAGGTAGATGCAAGTGTCAGGAGGCCCCAGTAGCCAGTGTCCTTCTGGTAGTATGAGGGGGTGGTGGGTATCCACCTCTGGCTGAGCAGAATGGGTGACAGCCTACCATGCTTGCATTTCTCCGTCTACGTATTCCTGGTAGACTTGCGAATGATTGTGTGAGGAGGGTTGATCTAGCAGAGATTTCCAGAAGGCACTAAGGCATCCAAGCAGGAAAATAAAAGTGTAACTTTCTCTTTCCACATCTTCCTGAGCATGGAAGGAAAATGCAAACAGGAGCTTCTTATTTCCACTTCATCAGGTACTCTGTGTTCTCTTCATTTTCTGTCCTCCGGCTTTTAAAACAAGTTCAAAACCACATAAGCAATACATTTAGGTGTACAAAAATACAAGTGCAATGCTGGAGTGGAGTGATGTGATCTTGGCTTACTGCAACCTCCACCTCCAGGGTTCAGATCCTCCTGATCCTCCTGCCTCAGCCTCCTGAGTAGCTGGGATTACAGGCATGCACCACCATGCCTGGCTAATTTTTGTATTTTTAGTAGAGACGGGGGTTTCACCATGTTGGCTAGGCTGGTCTCGAATTCCTGACCTCAAGTGATCCGCTGGCCTTGGCTTTCCAAAGTGCTGGGATTACAGGCGTGAGCCACCGCGCCCAGCCACAAGTATGCATTTTCTAAATTTGTAAATATATGGAAATAAATTCTGGAAGTATAGACGACAGACTGATATTGAAGGTCCACTCGATAGAGAGGATGGGGGAGGATGTGGGGAGGGCCGAGGCTGGAGCAGGGGTCCGTCAAAGGGGACTTTGGCCTTATTTGTAACATTTTAATATTTTACTTGGCGAATAGTTTGTACTAAATGGCCTTATTCCCAGAATCCTCTGCGGTCTTGCCAGTGATTCTTACACTTCGCATTCCCCACTTACGCATCCAGTTGAATCATTCAGGTTCTGGGGGTGCAGTGTGTGTGTTCTGAACAAAGGATTATGCCATTAACAAAAGAGAGCAGCCCACTGAAGTTTGATGTCATTAGGATGGTAACAATCCCCACGGAGTCTTTCCACAAATAGGTAACAATACCTTCTCTCCCTCCTCTAGGAGAGTGCCTTCCTGGAGCCTGATTTCTGGTTCTGAGCGGAAAGCCATTGTCCCAGGCTCCACTCAGTCTAGTTGCAAGTGCAGATCGGAGGCTAGGAAAGTCCCCTCATCCACTTCGCACAGAGGAATTGATTCTCGGAACCAGAGGAGAAAGGCAGGAGGCAAAACACAGAAGGCAGGGAGACCCCTTCACCCCGGCCTTCCTGCTTCCTGCGCCAGCCTGGCCACACCCTCCTCCCAGCCCAGCCCCAACACCGCACTTTCTCCGGGTCCTGTCGTTCTTCTGTGTGCACCTCGTACTCCAGCCAAAGGAAAGTTCCTCCTGTTTCCAGAACGTTCGCATGCTTTCCTGCAGCAGGTCTTGTTCACGCCTGTTCCTCTGCCTAAGGTAATCCTACCAGTCCTGCACGGCCACCTCTAATGCTGTCTCCAAGAATGTTTAGTCTCCCTTAGCCTGCCCACCAGATGTCCTTTCTTTGTGGTCCAACCCCCCTCACCACCTGAGGGCCCCCCATGTCTCGTGAGAAGTGCCCTTGTCTCCTCCTCCTGTCTCCACGGGGAGAGAGTGTAAGCCCCGTGAAGGCAGGGTGGTGCGTGACTCATCCATCCATCCTTCCTCCTTCCCATACGCCAGTCCTTATTCCAGGATTTGGAGATGTAAAAATGGACAAAAGATTGCCCCTATTCTCCTGGAGCTCATCTTAGGGACTCAGATAATTACCAAAGTCAGGGAAGGACCGTGGGCCCCTAGCCTCCAGGTTGACAGCTTCTACCTACTTGAGCATCTCGAGGAGCATGCAAGCCCGGCCTCTTCTTTGCATTCACTATATCTCAAAACTGAGAGGAAGCCTCATTCTCCACAGCGCCAGGGCCCTGAGTAGAAGGTGGGAGGGGAGCCTACCTTTCCAGTGCAAGAGGGAACGGAGGCCCATAAATTATACAGAGATGAGCGGTTCAGTCACGTCAGCACAAAGGAACACCTTCCATCTTCCTCGTGTAGACACTGGGGGAGAGGCTGAGTCACTACATGACTCTGTTCCCTGGGTGCGTGCATGTGTGTTTATGTGTGTGTGCATGTCTGCATGTGTGGGCACATGTGTATGTGCACAGGTGCATATGTCTGAAGAGAAGCAGCTGTTGGAAAGCCTTGGTGTGATGAATTGTCACCCTGTGTGCCTCCCTGGGAGGGTCAGAAGGGCCTGGTTCTGGGCACAGGGCCACTGGGTCCTGCTGGCCCTTCCCCATTGGTGGTTTTAAGGACTGCTCCTATCTCAGGATGGAGGGGAGTGGAGAAGCCAGTCCCCCCTGGCCAGCTCCTTGCTGTGGGCACTCCCTAAAACATCTGTGGCCTTTGGGAGAATGAAAGAGAAATGAGCCGCAGCCATGCGGTATCCCGGGGGCTGGCAGGTGAGCACAAGATGGGTCAGGATGTAGTTCTGGCTGTGTCAGTGTCCGAGAAGAGGGACCATTCTGTGGGCCTTACGTAAACCACAGCACAGGGGACTCAGCTTCTGGCTAAGAGAGTGAACCCCTGGAGTCCAAGGGCCTGGGTTCAAATCTTGGTTCTGTTATCTACTTGCTGAGAGCCCTGCAGCAGCTACTTTAATGGCTCCAGGCTTCCGTTTTCTCATCTGTGAAATGGGAAGAGCAAATAGACCTCCCTCAAAGAGTTGCTGTAAGGCTTAAATGTAAAGGACTTTGAATAGTACTTGACACAGAGTACGTATGCAAGAAAAGGTAGCTGGGTTTTGTTGTTGTTGTTGTTTTGTTTTTGAGTCAGAATCTCACTCTGTTGTCCAGGCTGGAGTGCAATTGTGTGATCTTGGCTCACTGCAACCTCTGCCTCCCAGGTTCAAGGCTGATTCTCCCGCCTCAGCCTTCTGAGTAGCTGGGATTACAGGCATGCACCACCATACCTGGCTAATTTTTATATTTTTAATAGAGATAGGGTTTCACCACGTTGGCCAGGCTGGTCTCGAACTCCTGACCTCAGGTGATCTGCCTGCCTTGGCCTCCCAAAGTGTTGTGATTACAGGCATGAGCCACCGTGCCCAGCCTGGTTTTTTTTTATTATAGTAGGACACAATAAATAGGAGATGGCACCTCCTACTTGTCTATCTAATACATACAGACCAAGTTCAGCCATATGTGGTGATAGCATTAGAGAACATCCCGCCTTACACGGCAGTGCTTTCTCCTCCTTTGAGGTGACTCCACCTCTCCCACCCATCTCCCCCACGCAGATGTCCAGCACCCTCTGTTGTCTTCTTGGCTGGCCAGGTAAGGCACTCTTACTGTACCTGTCCAGGGAAGCCCACACCAGACAGAAGCCCGACTCTGGAGTAAGCATGAGTAAGCGCGCCCCTTCGAACCTCAGAAACTCTTTGAGGCCAGAAGCAGTGTCTAACTGCTTCCTTCCTCTTTTTGTTCACAAAAATCTTTTAACCACTCCCTCTTCTGTGTCAGATGCATAAATAGTTGTTCTCTTCTGTACTATCTTCTAGAAAGTTGTTCTAAGTTGGACATGAGCTAGAGTTAAATCATGTCCATGAGAGAACATTGCTTGTCATTCTAGCCTGGTACTCTTGCCTTATTTAATTGATGGTGACATTTTAGGGATCACAAGTAGGCAAGAGAGAGAAATTTGGGGGGCAGGAGGTGTAAAGCTGGTCTAGAACAATTCCCACTCGCACTTAGAATCACCTCACGAAGCAACCTCGGACCCCACTTTAGTAAAAGCCACCCACGGTGCTTAGATCTGTTGAAGAAACATCATCTCCTGCACCCAACAAAGGCGATCTGACACAAAATTAGTGTGACCTGTTTCAATCAGTTGTAAGTAATATTTTTATGTCCTAAAGCAAAATATCTGTAATGCCCTGAAATTTTGAACAAAAATAAGATTTTGGTTTTGGTTTATACACATAAGCACAAAGCTACCTCTTTTCAGGGGTTGAACCTTTATATTTGTCTTAATTGCATTTTTACAAATATGATTTGCCCATATTACAGCAGATTTGTAAAGGGGCAGGTAAGCAAAGATGAGGAAGACAAGAAATAAATAAGCTGGGAGGCTAAAGAAAACTAACATGAGTACCGTATGCATGATGGTTTAGTAGCAATTTTTCATAAGCATTTCATTTGAGGCATAGAGCAGGTAAGTATTCTCCTACTCATTCTACAGATGGAGAAATCAAGGTGCAGGGGGGTTATATGGCTCTTCTTCAGAGCTTGAGGCTTTTTGGATGCCACACTTAGTGTCTATTCATACTGCCTCTCGTGGAAGGGAGCGAGGGGTAAGGCTGGGGAAGAAAGGGGTGCAGATGAACTTGGGGTAAATGCAGAAGACTGCTGGCACTGGGTCAGCAGGGGACAAAGCCAGAGCAGTTGTTGCAAGCGCCACCACCACTCCCGGAAAAGGCTGACAGGGCAGCCACCTGTGCACTCCTGGTCTGCTCTCAGCCCACTCTCTGTGAGCTCATCCCCACTGTGTGAGCTGATCTGACCCACTCACCAGGAAACACCTCACTGCAGTCGCCTCCAGCACCCCTTGCAGAGAGGCCCCTCTACCACTGCTCCCTCCTCCTGTTTCTTATGTTCTCCTCAGAAGCCACCACCCAGGACTTTGCAATGAAGGTTTTGATTTCGTCTGAGATTGCCCCCAGCCCCCCTGCCTGGGGCCCTGCCCTGCTCCTGCTGGCTGACATCGCTGGCCACTGCTCCCTGAGCTGGGTCAGTGCACAGCCTGGAGTGATTCCTGATGACGCTGGGAAATGGACCTATGACCCCTGCTTGTGAAGGGTCAGTGAACTTTCTGGTGGTGCACAGGGTGTCAGAACAGTGTCAGCAGGGCCAGCGGGGGAAAGTGCTGACAACTGTAGGCCCAGGCAGGACCGGCTCCTCCCTCGGAAGACTGCAAGCAGTGATAGCCATCTGTCCTTATCTCCGCCCCTCCAGCTCCCACAGCCATCCAGCTGACTTCCAATAGACAAATGGAAGTCAAGGGTGTCTGAAATTAACCAGTCATCTTCTCCAGGCCATTTTCTCATGGAAAGGGATTAACCTAAAGAAGGATGTGTGTTTTCTGGAAGGATAATAAATCTCTGCTCCTCTTGGGTTTTTCCTCCATTTTTCTCTTCCTTTTGTTACTTACACTCTTGCACCTATTCTAGGCTTTTCCACTTATATTTACTTTTCTATTTATACATTGAATTGAATACACAATTATGCTCTCATAGTGTATCTCTAAATACTACTCTATTCAAATACTATGTGTTAAAGTCTGTGCCAGGCACTGTCCCAAATACAATGAGAATTGGATCTGGTACACAAATAACCTCACTACAGATAGGGGGCAATAAATGTCATAAAAGGGATGCAAAGACATGGCTATTGGGGTGTAGACAAGAGTAGACCACTAGCAGATGAAGTGATTGGAGATGGTCAGGAAAATATGACATTTTAGCTGTGCAGTGAATTGGGTAGTAATAGGCAGAGAGAGTACAGCATTGAGGTCTTTTGCAGGATCTGGTGCAAAGTGGACGTTCCACAAATTCCAGGCAGAAAGGACAGCATAGGTAATAATGTAGAGACACCAAACAACAAGCAGCCTTGTTTTTACTGATGAACTGATTCGTTTGGGAAATGTTTGCTACTGTGCAGCAGGCATGGTTCTCAGTGTTAGGAATCCAGGAATAAACTGAGCACACAAAGTCCCTGCCCTCAAGGAGCTTGTGCTTTAATAGCAGGAGAAAGACACGAAACAAATACCATAATATGCCAGGTGCTGTTAGGCACTGAAAATAAAATTAAAGCTGGCCAGGTGCAGTGGCTGACGCCTATAATTCCAGCACTTTGGGAGACCGAAGCATGCAGATCACTTGAGTCCAGGAGTTCTAGACCATCCTGACCAACATGATGAAACCCTATCTCTACTAAAAATACAAAAGTTAGCCAGGTGTGGTGGTGCACGCCTGTAATCCCAGCTACTCGGGAGGCTGAGGCATGAGAGTTGCTTGGACCCAGGAGGTGGAGGTTGCAGTGAGCTGAGATCATGCCACTGCACTCCAGCGTGGGCAGCAGAGTGAGACTGTGTCTCAAAAAAAAAAAAAAAAAAAAAACAAATAAATAAATAAAAGCAGGATAAGGGGCAGAGAGTGACAAAGGACATATTTTTAAGAGGGTCATCAGGGAAGCCCTTCTAACAAACAAAAATCTTCTGGAAGTGACAGGGGCCACCATGCAGGTGTTGGGGGATGTAGCACCACAGGTGGAGCGACTAGCACTCTTAAAGGGCCTGCAGAGGGAACAGCAGAGTGTATCCAATGAACACAAATGAACCAACGTGGCAAGTTACCAAGCAGGTGAATTATAGAGATGAGGTTAAAGAGACCCTCAGGGCCAGATCATACGGGGCTTGGTGCACCACAGTAATGACTTGGGATTTTATCTTGAGAATGTAGAGCAAAGCATGAGCTCATTCACGTTACTGAAGGACAACTCTGGCTGCTGCAAGGAGAATTGACTATAAAATAGGTTGAAGCTGGGGATCAGCTATGAGTTGTAGGGGGTACCTTTTCCTGGAGTGTGGTACATGAATCCAGTATATAAGTTTATTTTTCCAGGAAATAAATCTAGAGAAGTAACTTGGAACCAGACCATGAGGGTTCCATCTTGAGAGCCAGGTTAATAAAATTAGACTTGGTTTCACTGACAGTGAGGGTCCACTGGGAGATTTCAGCAAAACAAAACGATCATTGTTTAGTTTCTGAAAGATACAAGGGAACTCTGGGCTCTGCCCCTGAGACTTGAGTGATGTGAGTCCTGCTTCTACCAGTCATCAGCTCTTAAACCTTGGGCAAGCATTGAACCAGCCTAAACTCTTGTTTCATTATCTGTGGTTAATTCATCTGTTCCTTTGCTCGTTATACTGCACAGGGCTATTAGGAGGACAATGTGGTAGGAATACACATGCAAGCCTTCGGTAAACTGTGGCACAGAATTAGGCTTCAAATCCTGGCCACTCGGACTCTGCTGTATCCTGCAGCCTGGACAGGAAGACTTGTGAGTTCTCTGGAGAGCTTATAGATGCTGCTACAGGCTGCTGCAATGCTAGGAGGAGGGATAGGTGTGGGAGATGAAAGATTGCCCTGGTGCAGGAAGAAGCAGTAGAAGGAGCACTGTTACAGGAGACATGGAAATCTCTGCCAAAAGGAAAGAAACCAAATGAATATCGCAGTTGGGGACGGGGCAAAGAAAGGCTATACCAAAGAGGGCTGTTGAAGTCAGAAACCTGACAGCTTGGATATTATAACTGAGGAATAGGAAAGAATCAAACGGTAGGGTTTTTCACTTCAAAGACAGGAAGCAGGATGAGTGATGACAGATAGGGGACCTATGGGAAGGGAGGTCATTTAGGAGGGAAGATACTAAGCACTGGGCATTTGCAGCCCACAGCACCACCAGGACAGATAGTGAGAGCGATCTCATAAGCAGCTGGGCACAGGGGTTGGCGCCCAATCTGTGTTGAGTTTAGCTGAATTGACTGTAGTCACATAAGAAAGTAACACTGGAGATGACGATTTGGATGGCGTCATAGAGTAAATGAAGGGTCTGCAGAGGAGATGGGGGAGAAGAAAGAGAGCTAAAGATAGAGACGTGAGGGCCAGGTGCGGTGGCTCACGCCTGTAATCCCAGCGCTTTGGGAGGCTGAGGTGGGCGGATCACCTGAGGTCAGGAGTTTGAGACCAGCCTGACCAACATGGAGAAACCCCATCTCTACTAAGAATACAAAATTAGCCAGACATAGTGGCGCATGACAGCAAACCCAGCTACTCGGGAAGCTGAGAGAGGAGATTTGCTTGAACCTGGGAGGTGGAGGTTGTGGTGAGCCAAGATCACGCCATTGCACTCCAGCCTGGGCAGCACGAGCAAAACTCCGTCTAAAAAAAAAAAAGTCCAAGATCAAACAAGGGCTGGAAAGAATGAGAGGTCAATCAAACCACTGAATTCGAATTGGGGAGAGAGGGCAGGCAAAGAGTAGAGGGGAGAAAGTTGGGGGAAGTGAGAGACAGAGAGAGGAGGAAGAAGAGGAGAGAGAAGGAGATCAGAGAAGCTTTTGAAAGTGCAGGTCCCATCCAGAGGTGGTGGTGGGAATTTCAGGGATTGAAGAAGGGAATAAATGGGTGAAAGAGTGGGGTCTTCAAACACAGGCTTGAAGACTTGAGCAAGAAAACGACAGAGCAGGACAGAAGGCAAGTAGCTAGGGATATAAGTTTAAGCAAGGGATCGCCTTTTGGGATCCCTAAATGTATCAACAGAGAAAGAGAAGAAAAGACTAGAGGCGTCCAGCAGCAGCTGGCAGTCCTGAGCATGGAACTGGCCATCTGCACTCTAAGCAGGGATTCCTTCCCTGCAGGGTCTTGTATCTCTTGGTGTTTTCGACTTGGGGCAGTAATAAATTATATTAAAATATCTTATGTGACTAAATGTTCCCATTAAGGTAAACTGACATAAACAAATACTGATTTATAACCAGAAAATGAAAACCTTAGCATCATGAAATAATCTTTCTTTCATCCTTGTGCCTACATCAGCTGCTGACAATTCCCAAGACTTCATCACAGACCTTTGATCCCAGCCACTAATCTTAAATGGTTCCAGCCTCATTCTGGCACCTCATTCCTCATAGTTTTAATGAACTGGGGCCTCTTGACATCTCTTGGATATATGGCTCCATAGATCCCCCCCCTTCCAGAAACAAAGTATTTTGTTTTCATTATCAGCTGATGAATGAAGGAATTGACTTCCGAGCAGAATATACCCACGCACACTCACTCTGTGTTGATTTGGAATCAACAAGCTCTCCTGCTCAATGCTAAGGGAAGTAATCACATTTTAGAGTCTTGCAGTCTAAAACCTTGAAACTATAACCACAGTGCAATAAAAACCATACAGTTTTTCCCTATGGTTATGTGAGGTCTTTTAGGGGTGCCCTCCCCTGACCTATGTTTCACAACATGAAAAATCCATGATTTTCAGAGATTCAGTAAGTGTTCCGAGAATGGACTTTATTGTATCTTAAACATACATTCCTTTTACTCAGTTGTAGTCAACGAAGGATTCCTGAGATGAAGTGCATATGTATGTCTACACATTTTTGTTTGTTTGTTTTTAAGGCAGGGTCTTGCTCTATTACCCAGGCTGGAGTGCAGTGGCATGATCATAGCTCACTGTAACCTTGAACTCCTGGGCTCAAACAATCCTCGCACCTCAGCCTCACTAGTTGCTAGGACTATAAGTGTGCCCCAGCAAGCCTGGCTAATGTTTGTGTATGTGTAGGGACAGGTCTCGCCATGTTGTCCAGGCTGGTCTCAAACTCCTGGTCTCAAGTGATTCTCCAGCCATGGCCTCCCAAAAATGCTGGGATCACAGGTGTGAGCTGGCATGCCCAGCTATACACATTTTGAAAGAAAGCCACACATTCCTTTCATGGCTTAGTGAGAAGGACAAACGACAACAAAAATATGGACTGCACTGCTTACCTACAAAACCATAGACTGTTTTCCTTAAACTGATGTGAGCTCATTAAGATGCCTGATTCCTCTGGGACTTCGGGTCACCAGCTAATCACATCATATTTCAGTCCAACACTACAGACCAGTCTACAATTTCTAATCCCATTCTGCAAGTCCCTCCCCACACAAGGAGGCCCTGCAAAAGAGTCCACAGGCATTGAGGGACTTTCTGTCCATGACTTGGAATACTTATGCCTGTCTATGACGCTGGCACCATGACTCACTCCTGCTGTGAGATGGAGCCTCTCATCCTTTCACCAGCTGGCATGGAAAGACTGCTGTGCCTCCTTTCCAGGCCCCATGCCTGTCAACACGTCTGATGATAATGAACAAGCCACAGGTGAATTGTGTGCCTGCCTACTGGATGACAGCTTCTGTCAAGTCCCCAAGGGGGGAAGGCCTCTGCCATCATCCCTGATCCACAGGCTGCAAGATGGGGGAACAGGATGTCCCTGCCTGGATAGGACTCTGCCCTTTTGCTTGTTGATATGTGAGGTGCTATATGGCCCTCCATTAGAAAACAGAGAAGTGTTGGTTCCAAAAGGATTTATTTGCAAAAGTTTCTCTGACCTATACGTACAGATTTGGGAATAATTTGAATTTACATACACAAGAAAAAGCAGAGAAATGAAGCAATTATCCAAGGGGGAAAAAGATAGCTTTTGTTTGAAATGCTCAGATAATTGAAACCAAAATATGTATGTGGGGAGGAAAGGGCGCACTTGAATTACAAGGATAATTGCCCCAATTCACTGCATTACTTTGTATGTGTAGACACAAAAGTGTGCAGTATTTAAAGGATCCGTTATCCTCAGAAATGCAACCCCAGCCTTTGTGAACTCACTTTATGTTAAGAAGCAGTGTTCAGAAACCCTGGAACTCTGCCAGTACCATTGTTTGCAGTCCATTTCAGTGTCACTGAAGTCAGAGAGAAATTTGTTTTAAGGGTAATGTACTATGTTTTTATGATAGGGCTTCCACACTGAGGCGTGGGAAGTTGAGATTTCATGCTATTCATGACAAGCCTTTAAGCTCTGTCTTGTGAGAAGAAAGAAGTACATTAAGTGAAAGAGCAGTGCCTATAAAACAACTTTCAAAGGATTGCAGCATTTTAGTTCGTAGTATGTTAGCACAAATCTGTGACTAAAGATAGTATATTCATCTTTGAACTAAGATTTTGAACTCGGACAGGCAAATTCTCCTACATGGTCAACACTATTCAAACTGATAAGGATTATGTCTACAATGGAATCTTAAGAGTGTCCCTTGATAGCATAGAAAAGGTTGTTGTAACCTCTAACTTGTTTTTAAAAAAATCCTGGAAAAAATGTTTTCAGAAGAAAAAGGGAAATAACACTTTAGAAAGGGAAAACAAAACTTCTGGGGCAGGAAAATCAATTCTTTAAACATTTCTTTCTTCAGATGATGAATTTCTTAAGAAAAGCAAGGGGTAAAAAGAACAAGTCTTTTTGTGCAAATGAGAATCAATCCAGCAGAGCAAGATAAGATACATAAAGGTGAAATACAGCAATCCAACAGAACAGGGTAAAATACATGAAGATAGTTTTGTGTTAAAACCAGAACTATAGAGCCTGGAAGAAGATGAAAATAGTATTTCAGGAGACCACTTATTTATAAAAATGGAATTTGCTCTCCATTTTTTAAACTTCCTAATACTTATTCCTAGCATTTAAAAATGATTAACCACTTCTCAAGACTGAGTAGGAGAGACAGAAACATTGGCACACCATTGAGCTTCCAAGTTTGGAGCATGAAGGTTGACTCATGGACAAGGAGCTGTTGCAGGAAGTTGGATCCCAACCAACAGATTGAGGGGAGGGGAGAATTCTGCTTCCAGACAGCATGTAGCACCTGGAACCAGAAGAAAAATCAACATTCAGAGCATCCCAGGCCATGCTGAAGGTGGCTTGCAAAAGTAAGATTTTGAACTTGGACAGGAAAACTCAAAGACAGAGATGCTGGAAGCCAAGCCAATGCCTGTTCTTAGGGTAATGGTTGCAAATGTGGTTTTGGAGGCCAATTACCTGGATTTGCATCCTGGTGTGCTCACTCTCTAACTCTAAGTGGGGTGACTTACTTGGCCTCTCCAGATCTCATTTTTCCTGCCTATCAAATGAAAAAATGAAAACCTACCCCAGATATTGTTGTGAGTCTCAAATGGGCTAACACACACCAGGTGCTTAGAACAATGCTTCATACATAATAAGTGCTCAATACCGGCCAGCTCTGATTAGTTTATACTTGCCTGGGTGAGAGCCTGACTGTGGGATGGGCTAGGGCTGCTGAGCTCATGTCTGGTCTATGAAGGTGTCATGTGCTCTTGATTCCATCCTGGGCTGAAATGAGAGGTGAACTCAGCTAACTAAGCTTTTTAGTTTAACTGGAAATCAATACCAGCAGCCACTGAAGGTCATTGAACACGGGCATGGCAATATCTAAGTGTTCTATTAGGGAGACAGAAATAAAAAGAAGAAACCAGAGGCAGAGACCCCACTGGGAAGATGTTCCAGGAGTTATATTTTCTCCGCCAGAGCCTCCATTACAGAAGACAGAAAGAGAAGGAGTGTTAGGTACGTGAAGATGGTGAGAGGAGGAATAAAACATGGTCATAAAACAGTGACTTTAAATTCTCATGCTCGGGTATCCGGGAGAATGATCGTGCCAATGAACACAGTAAGAAGTGTGTAGTTTCCACATTTAATTGAACCCTCAATAGGACTGAATTTTTCTTTCATTTATCTGAAAGCAGCTGCCCCTCACTTTCCTATGGTTAATGTGCCTCCTTCGGCCACTCTTTTCTGAAGATTCCAAACCAGATCCACAGCCTCTCAGCATGTGGCTGTGCTTTGTATCAGACCACAAACTCCCTCGGCATTTTTTCTCAAAATGTCCCACTCTTCCTTCATGTTTTCATCGGTTTCCTATGCGGCTCCCACCATTATGTTCTTTTTTTGAGACTTAGAGGAAAAAAAGCCAATCTTGTATAAGATTAGGACTTCCACAAAAACCCTCTTCCTTTCCCGTCTGAGCACCTGCTTCATAGTTTTGTTTTGTTTTTCTTTTTTTTTGAGACGGAGTTTTGCTCTGTCACCCAGGCTGGAGTGCGGTGGGGTGATCTCAGCTCACTGCAACCTCTGCCTCCCGGGTTCAAGCGATTCTCCTGCCTCAGCCTCCTGAGTAGCTGGGATTACAGGCGCATGCCACCATGTCTGGCTAATTTTTGTATTTTTAGTTGAGATGGGGTTTCAGCACATTGGCCAGGCTGGTCTCGAACTCCTGACCTCAGGTGATCCGCCTGCTTCGGCCTCCCAAAGTGCTAGGATTACAGGCATGAGCCACCATCTCTGGCCCCCTGCTTCATAGTTTTTTTAAAACAGTATTCATCATTTTAATAATTTATTTACTATAGTGTTATTCTTCTTTTTTACTGGCTTGAAAAATCAGAATATGAGCATGCTCAAATCTTTTCTAATCCAAAATATGTCTTTCAGTGGTAGTACTACATCACACGCTTTCTTTCTTTTTGCATTTTTCCATTCAACAGCAAACTTACCAACAGAAAGCTCTAGGCTTCTTCTACTTCCTTGATGTCCATTTACTCATAAGTTCCTTGCTATTTTAAAAAAGGTTTTATATACATGCATAAAGCATACATACAAAAAAAAATGCACAAACCGGAAGTGTCTGACTCAATGAGCCATTGCAAAGTGACCACACTCTGGTAGCAACAGGGATCATGAAATAGAAAGTTCCCAGCCTCCCAGAAGCTCCTTTCATGCCCCTTTCCTAGCTCCAACCCTCCCTCTTCTTCTCTCTTGACTTCTAACACCATGGATTAGTTTTCCATATTTTAAATTTGTATACAAATGTAATCATACAGTATGTAGACTTTTGTGTCTGCTTTCTTTTGCTCAATTTAAGATTTGTGAGACTCACCCATGTTTCTTGCACATATAAGCATTCATTTCCATTGCTGTATTCTAATATATGAATATATTACCAGTTATTAATTCATTCTACTATTTGTGGGCAATTTGGTTGCTTCCAGGTTTTAGCTACTGCACATGATGCTGCTGTAAACATTCTTTTGGTGAACATATGGACACATTTCTGTTAGGTATATACTTTAAAAAGGAATTTCTGTGTCAAAGGTTACACATATGATCAATAATGCCAAATGGCTTTTCAGAGTGATTTTTATCAATGTATACACTAATCAGCAGAGGATAGGATCCTTTCTTGCTAAGAGTAGGTAGTGTCAGTGCTTTTAATTTTAGCCATTCAAGTAGTTGTGTAGCAATATCTCACTGGGTATTTTTCTTCCTTTTAATCCAACCGTACTGAGTTGCAATTTACCAACAATAAAATGTACCCATTTTCAGTTCCATGTGTTTCAAAATGTGTATACCTGTGTAACCACCCCCTAATCAACGATGATGTGATGTAGAATATTTCCATCACCTCAAAGTTTGTTCATTTGTTTGTTTGCTTTTGCATCCCCTCACAGCGAATTCTCCCCATTCTTGATGCCAGGCAAACACTGATCAGCTTTCTCTCTCTATAACTTAGTTTCACCTGTCCAAGGTTGTCACAAAGTAAAAATCAGAGTATATACTCACCTATGGCTAGCTTCTTTTGCTCAGTATAATATTTGCAAGACTAATACAAGTTGTTGCATCTATCAATATTGTATTTTTTTTGGTGCCGAATAGTGTTCCAGTGTATGAATATATCATATATTGTTTTCTTATTCATCTGTTCATGGACATTTGGGTTGCTTCCACTTCTTAGAAATTATAAACAAGGCTTCTATTAATATTCACGTCCGAGTATTGTTGTAGACATGGCTTTCATTTATCTTGGGTAAATGCCTAATGGGATTTATGGTATAACGTAAGTGTATGTTCCACTTTCTAAGAAACCACCAACTGCTTTCAAAAGTGATTGTGCCACCTTGCACTCACCAGCGGCAATATATGAAAGTCCTAATTCTTTCATATACTTGCCAACATTTGGTATTGTGTTCCTTTTAAATTTTAGCCATTTTACCAGCTATATAATAGTATCTCATTGTGCTTTT
Organism: Homo sapiens; assembly: GCF_000001405.40. Classification (NCBI taxonomy): domain Eukaryota; kingdom Metazoa; phylum Chordata; class Mammalia; order Primates; family Hominidae; genus Homo; species Homo sapiens. Next base: position 150,563,367 of record NC_000006.12, on the reverse strand, counting down.
AATTTTCATTTTTCCAGTGAAAAGATAAAAAATATTTATCTTTTCATGTGCTTATTTGCTATTTGCTTATCTTCTTTGTGACGTGTTAATCAAATTTTCTGTCCCCTTTTTAAAAACCAGGTTATCTTCTTCTTATTGAGTTATAAGAGTCATTTACATATTCTGGATACAAGTCTTGTATCAGATACATGCCTTGCAATGTTTTTTTTCCAGTCTATCTTGAATTTTTTTTTTTTTTTTTTGAGACAGAGTCTCACTCTGTCACTGAGGCTGGAGTGCAGTTACACTATCTCGCTTCACTGCAACCTTTGCCTCCCAGGCTTAAGAGATTGTCATGCCTCAGCCTCCCAAGTAGCTGGGACTACAGGTGTGTGCCACCACACCCAGCTAATTTTTTGTATTTTTAGTAGAGACAGGGTTTCGCCGTGTTGCCCAGGCTGGTCTTGAACTCCTGAGCTCAGGCGATCCATCCACCTCAACCTTCCAAAATGCTAGAATTACAGGCATAAGCCAACGCACCTGGCTGTGTCTTGAATTTTTATCTTCTTAACCATGCATTTGGATAGTCAAAAGTTTTAAATTTTTATTGTCAAATTTATTATTCTTTTTTCTTTTATGGTCATGTTTTTGTGTCCTATGTAAGAAATCTTTCCTTAACATAATGATTTTTTTCTGTTTTATTCTAGAATTTTAGAAGTTTAGCTCTTAGACCTATAATCCATTTCAAATTAATTTTTGTGTATGGTGTGAAACATGTGTCAAAATTTATTTTTTCCCCTTTGTGAATATTCAGGTTTTCCAGCACCATTTGTGAAGACTTTTTTTTTCCTCATTGGATTCCCTCAGTAGAATTGTCAAAAATCAACTGACAATACGTATGCGTGTGTGATATTCCTACACTCTCTGTTGTATTCCATTAATCTATTTGTTCTTATGCCAGAATTGTTTATGGCTTTGATTACTGTGGCTTAATGGTAAATTTTGAAAACCCATTATTATAATTCCACTACCTATGTTTCTGTTTTTCAAAATGTTTTGTTTATTCTAGGTCCTTTGCATTTCCATATACATTTCAGATTGAGCCTATAAATTTTACAAAAACTTTGCTGGAATTTTGGAAGCAGTAATGTTAGATGTATAAATTAATTTGAGGAGAACTGATATGTTAAAATATTAAAACTTTCAATATATGAATATATTTCTCTACGTATTAGGTCTTCTAAAATTTCCCTCTGCAAAGTGTTGCAGTTAACAATGCACAGGTCTTGTTCATATTTTGTTAAATTTATCCTGAAGTATTCTATTTTTTGGTATTGCTTTATTTTGAGACAGTATCTCCTTCTGTCACCCAGGCTGAAGTGCAGTGGTGGCACAATTACAGCTCACTGCAGCCTCAAGCTCTTGGGCTCAAACAATCCTCCCAGCTGAGTCTCCCAAGTAGCTGGGACTACAGGCACATGCCACCTCACCCATCTAATTTTTGTATTTTCTGCTTAATTTTTGTATTTTTCGTAGGGATGGGTTTTTGCCATGTTGCCCAGGCTGGTGTTGAACTCCTGGGCTCCAGTGATCCTCCCACCTTGGCCTCCCAAAGTGCTAGGATTACAGACATGAGCCACTGCACTCCGTGGTATTGCTTTTTAAATTATATTTTCCAATTGTTTGTTGCTATAATGTAGAAATACAATTTTCTGGATATAGTGACTATATCTCATATGACCTTTTGAAATTCCCTTATAAGTTATCTTATTTATTTATAGGTTTAATAAGATTTTCTATATCATCTTTGAAAAAAAGAGTTTTAAAACTTTTTATTTTCAATCTAATTGACTTTTCTTTCTTTGTCTTGCCTAACAGCAGTGGCTAGAATATCTAGTACAATGTTGAATAGCAGCTGTGACAGCAGACATATTGACTTTGTTCTTAGTAATAGGATGGAAGTATTCAGGTTTCTACCATTACATTTGATGGCAATTGCAAGCTTTTTTTCTATATCAGGTTAAGGAAGTTTCCTTCTATTTCTGCTTTGCTTAATTTTTTAAGACTATGAATAGGCATTGCATTGTGTGAAATGATTTTGCTGCATCTATTGATCGTATGATTTTTTTCCTTTATTCTGTTACTATGATAACTTACCTTGATTTTTAAATGTTAAACCAACTTTGCATTCTCTGGAATAAACCTCAATTGGTCACGATATATTATTATTTTCATATTGTAGGGAATTGATGTGCTAATGTTGTGTAAGGAATTTTTGCAAATATGTTTGTTGTATTTTTCCTTTTTGATATGGAGTTGCCCAGGCTGGAGTGCAGTGACACAATGTTGGCTCACTGCAAACTCCACCTCCCAGGTTCACGCCTGTCTCCTGCCTCAGCCTCCTGAGTAGCAACTGCCACCACACCCGGCTAATTTTTTGTATTTTTAGTAGAGATGGGGCTTCACCGTGTTAGCCACGATGGTCTGGATCTCCTGACCTCGTGATCCGCCCACCTCAGCCTGTGTATTTTTCTTTAATTTGGTCTTCAGGTCTGTCTTGGGAGAATGGCTATAAACTAGCCCTGCCCTGACAGGGCTCTAGGGAATTTGGTCACGTATGTTTACAATGTGCCTTTCGCAGAATACTTCTTTGTCTTGGTAGATGGCCTAATGCCTAATTGTTTGACTCATGATCAGGTATTGCTCTCATAGGAAACTTGTTCATACTGGCAGATACCATGTGGCTCTTATCTGACCTGTGTCCAGTTTATTCCTGCCAAGATAGCCACTCTCTAGAAGAGCTTTGACTGGGAGAAAAGTTAGGACTAGATGTGTTGGTTGGGTGAGACATAGAGGAGACAACACAACCAAAATATTTGAAATAACAGAAGCAGTTTATTACTTACAGGTCTGTGGGAGAAGAGGGGTACTGATGGGGGCTGACGGGAAGGTTTCAGGGGCAATGCACTTACAAGCAAGTAGGCAGTGAGAGAGAGATGGACCTATGGGCCAACGCCTTTATTGAGGTCTGGGGTATCACCCTAGCTGGTTTCCCTTAGGGAGTTGTAATTGGTGGGTTTAGAGCAAGGAGGTGCACATTCTGTAGGGTCATGCTGTGACTGAGAAGTGGTCATTGTAGCATATCTATGCAGTCCATAAAGAGTGTGAGGATCAGTGGGGTGAGTCAGGTAGGTTGTATCTGTATGTGATGGTCACCACAGGGTGGTGGTCACCAGGAGGCAGCTGTTTAAGGCAGATATCTGGATAGACCACATGGAGGAACTAGGAGGACTAAGCCCTGCTTCCGGCATGAGAAAGTGAAACCTATTTTCCAAAGGATGCTGGGGTAGCATAAGATTTTAGAAATTCACTACAATGTTTATGAGGGATATCAGTTTGTAGTTTTCTTTCACTGTTAAATTTTTGTCTAGCTCCCATAACGTGGCGATACTGGCTTCATAAAATGAGTTTAGAAGTTGCTATGATTTGAATGTCTTTGTCTCGTCCAAAATTTATGTTGATCTGAATCCCCAATGCAACAGTATTGGTGGGTGTGGCTTTTGGGAGGTGATTGAGTCATGAGGGCTCTGCCCTCATGAATGGGATTAAGCACCCCTATAAAAGGGCTTGCTAGGCTGGGCAAGGTGGCTCACATCTGTAATCCAAGCACTTTGGGAGGCTGAGGCAGGTGGATCACTTGAGGTCAGGAGTTCGAGACAAGCCTGGCCAATGTGGTGAAACCCTGTTTCCACTAAAAATACAAAAATTAGGCAGGTGTGGTGGCAGGTGCCTGTAATTCCAGCTACTCGGGAGGCTGAGGCAGGAGAATCACTGGAACCCAGGAGGCAGAGGTTGCAATGAGCCGAGATTGAACCACTGGACTCCAGTCTGGGTGACAGAGTGAGACTCTGTCTCAATAAATAAATAAATAAATAAATAAATAAATAAATAAAGTAATAAAAGGGCTTGTTGGAGGAAATGCATCCCCTTCTTCCCTTTTCCATTCTGCCTTCTGGAGGATGCAGGGTTCAAGGTGCTGATTTGGAAGCAGAGACCAGACCCTTACTAGATAATTGAACCTGCTGGTGCTCGACTTTTTTCCTTATATTAGATAGGATCTAGGTCTGGCGTTTTCTTTGTGGAAATGTAAGTACCAAATGAATTTCTTTTATGGATCTAGAGCCTTTCAAGTTTTCTATTTCTTTGTGACTCAATATCAATAATTTATGTATTTCAAGGAATTTAGAAATAGATAAATCTAAATCTGCTTGGGATTTAGATTTAGCTAAGTAAATTTTCCTGTTTATCTAAATAATCCTGTTTAGGACTGTTGAGGGAGGAGTGTTAAAATCTCAAACTATAGATTTTGATTTATCTATTTCTTTTTTTTTTGCCTCTGTCAGTTTTTGCGTAGGGAGTTAGAAATTCTGTTACTAAGTACATACATATTTATAATTTTTATATCTTCTTAATGAATTGTTATTATATCATTATGAAAAGTCCCATATGTAAGACCGCTGTCTTGTTATTTGTTTTCTATTTATCACATCACCTTCTTTGTTGTTGTTTTCTTATTTCTCTTCCTTCTTTTGAATTCATGGTATACTCAGTAGGATTATTATTATTATTGTTATTATTATTATTATTATTATTATTAGAGACAGGGTCTCACCGTCACCCAGACTGCTGGAGTACAGTGGTGTGATAATAGCTCACTGCAGCCTCAAACTTCTGGGCTCAAATGATCCTCCTACTTCATCCTCCCAAGTAGTTGGGACTACAGGCATGTGCCACCATGCCAGGCTGACTTAATTTTTTTTTTTTTTTTTTAGAAATGGGGTCCCACTATGTTTTCCAGGCTGGTCTCAAGTTCCTGGCCTCAAGTGAATCTCTTACCTCGGCCTCTCAAAGTGCTGAGATTACAGGCGTAAGCCACCATGCCTGGCCTTTTTTATTCTCATCTATTGGAACATCAGCTTTATCCGTTTGTTTTTTAAAATGATTTTTTGTTCTGAGGATTTCAGTATGTATCCTCAACTTCATACAATCTACCCTAAATTAAATTAATACTACACGCCTTTATGTGTAAGAATCTTAAAACTGTATTTCCATCTGTCTCCATCTTTTGTTCTATTGTTGTCTTACATTTTTCTTAATAAAGCCCACAATATGCTGTTATTATTTTTGCTTTAAATAGTTCAGTTATCTCTTAAGGAAAATGAGAAAAGAAAAATTAGGTATAGCAAAGTTACTCTTTCTAGCGCTTTTCGTTTCTTCACATTGCCGTCGAATGGTATTCACTTTTAGCTAGAAGAAATTTCTTTAGTATTCTTGTAGTGGACTTATGCTAGAAACAATTTCATTCAGCTTTTTTTTTTTCGGAAACTGTCTTATTGCTTATTTTTGATAGATATTTTCTTTGGGTGTATTATTTAAGATAACAGGCTTTTTTTCTTCTTCTTCTGACATTATAACAATGTTGTACTATTGCTTCCTGTTTTTCACTGTTACTGATGAAAAGTCAGCCCGTATCTTTATGGTTGTTCCTTTGTATATAATGTTTGTTTATTCACTAAGGGCTTCTGTGTGAAATATTTGCTTAGAATTGTATATAGCACAATGAAATATCCACTTAGAGTTATGACTTGTGAAAGATTGAAGCTTTTAAATAGTCTTTGTATTTTTAGCTGTTAATGAATTCAAAGTAGTATTTCCCCCAGTTTGGCTGAAGTGGTGAAAGTTTACTGACTATATCTAAAGTAATAATTTAGGGTAGATTCTAGTTTAAAAACACGTTGATATGCTTGAGTTGGCTTCAAATGAATGATGTATCTGTGTGTAAGTATTTATATGCATATGACATTGATATAAGAATAATGGCTGCTTCAGAATTATTTGGACAGTTCTGTTTCAAGCAGTTTCAAGAGTGGAGCTGAGCATTTTTCTCTGGTTTGGTGGAACGTTTACATTGAGAAAATGCTACTACCCAAGATCTGGACTTTTTCCAAACCCTAAACATACTTCTACAAAGGATTTTGATGTACCATAATTAATAAAACATAAGAGGCAAGTTAAAGTATTAAATGGAAATTAATACAATTATCCTAAAAACGAAATCTCTGTGGAACTGGTACAGACATTTAAAATTGCCTGATTTTGAAATGCTACTAGGCCAGAAAAAAAGAATGGAATCATGTCTTTTGCAGCAACGTGGATAGAACTGGAGGCCATTATATTAAGTGAAACAGCTCAGAAACAGAAAGTCAAATACCGCATGTTCTCACTTATAAGTGGGAGCTGAACAATGTGTATACATGGGCATACAGAGTAGAATAATAGACATTGGAGTACAAAAGGTGGGAGGGTAGGGGTGCTGAGGGATGAGAAATTACCTATTGGGTACAGTGTTCACTATTCAGGTGATGGTTACACTAAAAGCCAGACTTCACCACTACACAATATATCCATGTAACAAAAATGCATGTGCACCCCCAAATATATTTAAAAAAATAAAATAAACATGAAAATGCAAATATCCTAGAATAACCAAGATGTTCTTGAAAAAGAAAAAATAAAACGCCAGTTTTGAGACAACCAGGAAAGATTGAACAGAAATTGATGGTATTGAGGACATGTTTGGGTTTGGGAGGTCTGATAATGATACTGTAGTTATGTTAAAAAATAGTCATATATAAAAAAATTTAAAAAATGAAATTGCCTGAAAATGTTTAGGATAGGACAAACACAATTTCCTTAACTCTTATTGCAGACTACCCAGCTCCTTTGGGATTATGATTACTAATCATGATTATTAATCTTCTCTAAGCCCTTTATCATGCAAATTCAAAAGCGTAATCCTCTCCTTTCCTTCTGTAAGTGAAAACAACTACTTTCTGTAAGTTAAAGGAATTTCCAAAATAAGATCTAAGGCCACAGAGTAGGAGAAAATATTTACAAAAGACATGGCTGATGAATGACTGTTATCCAGAATACACAGGCATACCTTGGAGATATTGCAGGTTCAGTTCCAGACCACTACAATAAAGTTAATAGTGCAACAAAGTGAGGCATACAAAATTTTGATTTTCCAGCGCATATAAAAGTGGTTTATACTATATTGTAGTCTATTAATTGTGCAACAGCATCATGTCTAAAAAAAAAAAACAAGGCACATAACTTAATCAATAACACTTCATTGCTGAAAAATGCTAACAATCATCAAAGTCTTCAGTAAGTCATAATTTTTAAGCTGGTGGAAGGTCTTGCCTTGTTATTGATGGCTGCTGACTGATCAGGGTGGTGGTTGCTGAAGATTGGGATTGCTGTGGCAATTTCTTAAAATGAGACAACAATGAAGTTTGCCGCATCAATTAACCCTTTCTTTCATGAAAGGTTTATTTTATGTGATGCTGTTTGATAGCCTTTTCCCCACAGAGTAATTTCTTTTAAAATTGGAGTTAATCTTGTCAAAATCTGCTGCTGCTGTATCAACTAAATTTATGTAATATTCTATATCCTTTGTTGTCGTTTCAATAGTGTTCACAGCATCTTCAGCAGGAGTAGGTGCCATCTCAAGAAACCACTTTCTTTGCTTATCCATAAGAAGCAACTTCTCATCTGTTCAAGTTTGACCATGAGACTGCAGCAATTCAGTCATATCTTCAGGCGCCAGTTCTAATTCTAGTTCTCTCGTTATTTCTACCATATCTGCAGTTACTTCCTTCACCGAAGTCTTGAGCCCCTCAAAGTCATCCATGAGGGTTGGAACCAACTTCTTCCAAACTCCTCTTAATGATATTGATATTTTATCTTCCTCCTATGAATCACAAATGTTCTTAATGGTATCTAGAATGGTAACTCCTTTCCAGAAAGCTTTCAATTTAGTTCGTCCAGATCCATCAGAGGAATCACTACCTATGGCAGCTATAGCCTTACAAACTGTATTTCTTAAATAATAAGACTTGAAAGTCAAAATTACTCCTTAATCTAAGGGCTACTGAATGAATGTGACCTTAAAAATATTCAGTAAATCATGCCATAAAGAGATGTGCTGGCTGGGCACGGTGGCTCACGCCTTTAATCCCAGTACTTTGGGAGGCCAAGGTGGGCGGCTTACTTGAGATCAGGAGTTCTAGACCAGCCTGGCCAACACAGTGAAACCTCGTCTCTACTAGAAATGCAAAAATTAGCTGGGTGTGGTTGTGGGTGCCTGTAGTCCTAGCTACTTGGTAGGTTGCGGCAAGAGAATCGCTTGAACCCAGGAGGCAGAGATTGCAGTGAGCCAAGATTGCGTCACTGCACTCCAGCCTGGGTGACAGAGTGAGACTCTGTCTCAAAAAAAAAAAACAAAAACAAAAAAAAGAGATATGCTGTCATCCAGGCTGTGTTCCATTTATAGAACACAGGCAGAGTCAATTTAGCATAATTCTTAAGAGCCCTGGGATTTTCAGAATGGTAAATGAACACTGGCTTCAACTTAGTCACCAGCTACATTAGCCCCTAACTAGAGAGTCATGTCCTTTGAAGCTTTGAAGCCAGGCATTGACTTCTCCTATCTATGAAAGTCCTAGATAGCATTTTCTTCCAACAGAAGGCTGTTTTATCACAGTGAAAATCTGTTGTTTAGTGTAGCCACCTTCATCAGTGATCTGAGCTAGATCTTCTGGATAACTTGCAGCTTCTGTATCAGCACTTGTTACTTCACCTTGCAGTTTTATGTTATGGAGACGGCTTGTTTCCTTAAACCTCATGAACCCACCTCTGCTAGCTTCAAAATTTTCCTCTACAGCTTCCTCACCTCTCTCAGCTTTCATATAATTGAAGAGAGTTCCGGCCTTGCTCTGGATTAGGCTTTCGCCTTAAGGGAATGTTGTGGCTTTGTGGCTGCCTTGATCTTACATCTAGACCACTTACATTTCTCCAAATCACCAAGAAGCCTGTTTGGCTTTCTTATAATCCATGTGTTTATTGGAGTAGCACTTCTAATTTCCTTCAAAACTTCAAAAACTTTTCCTTCAAAAACTTTTCCTTTGAATTCAAAACTTGGCTACGTGTTTGGTGCAGGAAGCCTAGCTTTTTGCCTATCTCAGCTTTTGACATGCCTTCTTCACTAAGTGTACCAATTTCTAGCTTTTGGTTCAAAGTGAGAGATGTGACTCTTCCTTTCATTTGAACGCTTAGAGGCCTTTGTAGGGTTATTAATTGGCCTAATTTCAATAGTGTTATGTCTCAGGGAATAGGGAGGTCTGGAGAGAGGGAGAGATGGGGAATGATGGTCAGTGGGGTGGTCAGAACATACACATTTATTGATAAAGTTCATCATCTTATATGGGTGCAGTTCATGGTGTTCCCCCAAAATTATAATAGTAACATCAAAGATCACTGATACTACTGATACAGGTCACCATCACAAATAAAATAATAATAATTTTTTTGAAATATTGTGAAGATTACCGAAATGTGACACAGAGACAAGAAGTGAGCACATGCTGTTGGAGAAATGGCACCAATAGACTTGCTCAAAGAAGTGTGGCCACAAGCCTTCTATTTGTAAAAAATGCAGTATCTGTGAAGCACAATAAAGCAAAGCACAATAAAATACCATATACCTGAAGAAAAAAAAACTCTTAAAATTCAACAATAAGAAAACTACCATTCAATTAAGAAACAGGTCAAAATACCTCACCAAAGAGAATATACAGATGGCAAATAAGCATATGAAAAGGTGTTCCACATGACATCGTTAGGGAATTACAAATTAAAACAATGAGATACCACTGCACACCCAACAGAATGGCCAAAATTCAAAACACTGACAACATCAAATGCTGGTAAGGATGTAGAGCAACAGGAAATCTCATTCACTGGTGGGAACGCAAAATGTTATAGACATTTTGGAAGACAGTTTGGCATTTCTTACAAAAGTAAACAACATATTCTTACCATATGGTCCAGCAATCACACTCCATGATATTTACCCAAATGAACTGAAAACTTATGTCCACACAAAAGCCTTTACACGGATGTTTATAGCAGCTTTATTCACAATTGCCAAAACTTGGAAGCAACCAAAATGTCCTTCAGTAGGTGAATGAATAAACAAACTTGATATATCCAGACAATGGAATATTAATCGGAGTTAAACAGAAATAAGCTACCAAGTCATCAAAAGATGTGGAAGAACCTTAAATGCATATTACCAAGTGAAAGAAGCCATTCTGGAAAGGATATGTGCTGAATGATTCCCACTATATGACCTTCTGAGAAAGGCAAAGCAATGGAGACAGTAAAAAGATCAGTGGTTGGCAGGGGTTAGTGGGGAGGGAAGGATGAATAGGAGGAGCACCAGGGATTTTAGGGCAGTGAAACCATTCTGTATGATGCTACAATGGTGGATGCATGTTAGTAGACATTTGGCCACACCCATCAAATGCATGATGCCAAAAGTGAACCCTAATGTTAACTCTGGACTTTGGGTGATTATGGTATGTCAACGCAGGTTCACTGATTGTAACAGATGGACCTCTCTGGTGGGAGCTGCTGATCTTAGGGGCTGTGCATGTACAGGGGGAGGGGGATATGGGAATTTTCTCTACTTTCCACTTAATTTTGCTGTGATCCTAAAACTGCTCTTTAAAACAAGTCTATTTTAAAAAATTAATAGATAAAAGATTAGATTTTGAAGAGTTCTAAAGCATCCTCAACCATATCTAAAAGCTCCTTGCTATTCTCAATTCTTATAAAACTCCCTTTGTCTCAGGTCCTAAAAACAAGCAGAAGGGGCTCTCATGTCAGGTAACTGTTGGTCCTGGGGGTCCATGAAAGTGGGAGAAGTGGGGAAGAGGCATCTAAAGCCAGTCACACATTGGTCACCTAATCCACTGAAGTAACACAAGTCTCTCTGGCTTTACACATTGTCATATCCCACCCCCCACCCCCCCACACACCTTTTTTTTTTGAGATGGAGTCTCGCTCTGTCGCCAGGTTGGAGTACAGTGGCACCACCTTGGCTCACTGCAACCTCTGCCTCCTGGGTTCAAGAGATTCTCCTGCCTCAGCCTCCCGAGTAGCTGGGACTACAGGGCGCACCATGCCCAGCTAATATTTTTGTATTTTTAGTAGAGATGGGGTTTCACCATGTTGGCCAGGATGGTCTGGATCTCTTGACCTCGTAATCCACCGGCTTTGGCCTCTCAAAGTGCTGGGATTACAGGCGTGAGCCACAGCCCCCGGCCATATCCCCTTTTATAGACAGAGGGGTGGCCTTAGCGCCCAGCATGGGCCACTGTTTACCACCCTCCCCACAGTCCCCCTGACTGTGCATTCTTCCGAGGCTACTTCCCTTTCCGTTTTCTTTCCTGGCCTTGTCAATGTGCCCTGCTGTCTCTGAGTGGGTGACTTCTGTGGCCTTTGGACTTGTTGACCTCCGTGGGTACCCACTGCTGGTTCTCCCACTGTGGCTTTAGAGAGTTCATACACCTCTCTCTTGTCATTCCTTCCAAAGCAGGTCCTTCCCTAATTCCTCACTGAACAGCTAAGATCTGGATGAAAACTTAACAAGACTTTCTGGAAGGCTTGAAGACAATGGAAGAGAAATAGAGAAAGTGACTTCAAAGCACCACTCATGTGGTCGTCGGGACCTATAATACACATCACGAGCATCAAACCTACCATCTTGTATGACACCCCAAATCACACTGGGCATCTCCACTCCAAGCCTGGCCAACATGGCAAAAACCCGTCTCTACTAAAAATACAAAAATTAGCTGGGCGTGGCTGCACACACCTGCAGCCCCAGCTACTTGGGAGGCTGAGGTAGGAGAATCGCTTGAATCTGGGAGGCAGAGATTGCAGTGAGCTGAGATCGCGCCACCGCACTCCAGCCTGAGCAACAAAGCCCGAGACTCCGTCTCAAAAAAATATATATATATATAAATTAATATATATATAAATTTATATATATATAAATTGTTGTTGTTTGGTTGCTTGTTGATTGTATTTCTACTTCACTTATTGCAAGCTTTGGGATCACAGGGACTCTGCTTTGTGATAAGCCTAGAAATGAGGATAGTTTTGACATTTAATCAATGCTCAGTAATTGTTGAACAATTGACTTAATAAACTAAAATGGCCCTGTCAAGCGGCTTTTCCCATAAAAGGGACATTCTGAAGTAAAACCAAGCCTTAACGTTAAAAGCAGAATCTGGTTGCAACTTTTTGGGGAGCAATTTTGCTCTAGCTTCAGAAAAATCTCAAGGATTGTCCTCCATGGGACACACTGATATACCAGGAAAAATAAGAAAGAACAATTTCTTGCCTTGAGGACGCTGAGTGACAGATTTCTTGCCTTAAAGGCCATTGAGAGGCCCTTTGGTTGAATTGCTCATTCTTACGAATTAGAAGCTGTCATTAATATCAATTAGGGCTGGGCTCGGTGGCTCACACCTGTAATCCCAGCACTTTGGGTGGCCGAGGTGGGTGGATCACCTGAGGTCAGGGGTTTCAGACCAGCCTGGCCAACATGGTGAAACCCCGTCTCTACTAAAAATACAAAAAATTAGCCGGGCGTGGTGATGGACACCTGTAATCCCAGCTACTTGGGAGACTGAGGCAGGAGAATCACTTGAACCGGGAGGCGGAGGTTGCAGCAAGCAGCGATGGTGCCATGGCACTCTGGCCTGGGCAACAGAAGCAAAACTCCGTCTCAAAAAATATATATATTAATTAGGCTCCAGGAAGGAGTACAGAGCCCACCTCGGCCCCTATGGGGTACTGTGGCTGTACAGGATGGTGGGTATGGTGCCCAGGACATCCCACTGAAAGGTTTCACCTACCCTAACACACTTGCTTCTTACCTGCGCTAGCTTCTGCCCGTCTGGCTTGCAGGAAGCACTATCAGAATCACTTATCTGGGTTAAACAACAAAATGCCCATGTGACAAATGCACATTTGGTAAAGAAGGCCCTGGGGCGATTATGTGCAGGCAGGCAAATCACACCCTTAACTGTTACTTTTGATTCAGAGAATGCGAGAGTTAAAAGGGATTTAGAGATTGAAAACACCAATCTGTGGACAGGTTAGAGGTCAAAGGCCAGCCTTTTGGGGAATGGGCCATATGCAGTGGGAAAAAAAGAGGCCCTGGGAACAAGTCACATCAGAGGACACCAGGCCTGGGTAACAGGGCCTGGTTTTGGGAGATGTGTCCAGTAGTGTGTGGCTTCACCGGGGAGCCTGGTCAGCCCAGGGCAGGAAGGGAAGGGAAGGGGCATGCAGTTTAACTTTACTTTCCTTCGCAACCCTCCTTCCCAGCCCACTCCTCCAGACGTGTACAACAAACAGGTACAGTCACTTGAGAAGAATTTTCCAAGGCAGCAGGTGGCTCAGGAGTGGTGAGCTTTATTAGAAAGCTCGTGGACTGGCTTCTGGTCATGGAATCATGGAGAACTGTGGTATAGAGTGTCATGAAGAATTCTCATAAACAGACGCCCTGGGAAATGAGGTCATTTATTGAAAGCAAGAGAACACAAAGACAGCTCAGCAGAAGCTCCAGGTCCTTCCTCCCTCTCTCCACTCTACAATCTTGCCCGATCTTTGCCTGTTTCTTACTCCCCACCCTTTCAAAATCTCTTGCAAACAATTGGAAGGGGAGAAGCTGAGGGAGAAGGCGAGGCAGTAATGAACAAAAATGGGAGAAGGAGGGATAAAGAGAGGAACAGGAGGAGGACTCGGGCCAAGAGACAGAGGGGAGTGGGAGGGAGCATGAGAGAGGCCCTGCCATGCGGCAGTCCTGTGACACACCGTCTAAGCTAGTGCAGCACGAACATAGCGCCACGGGTACTGCTTTGTTGGCAAAGGACATTTTCCTTAGAAAAGCTTTGGAGAATGTTGCCTAGTAGAAATCCCAGGGGGCCTGGCATGGATGCCTGGCATGGAGTCTGCTGCAAGGGGCTATGGACCTGGCAGAACTGTACATCCTTCAGACACTCATGGAGGGTCCCCTGGCCTTCTCTGATAACAGCTGGGGACATCACCGGCACCTGTGAACGGCAGTGCAGGCTGGAGGTGGTGTCATGGGGTGGATGGGGCTTGTTCTGCCTTCCATTCAGGCCATGGGATTAGCCTAAATGTCATGTCCATCTGCTCTGTAGCTTAAGAGCAGAGATCTTTTCTGCCTCCGGGGGCACCAACGGGGGCTCCCCTAGGACTGAGAGTGAGGCAGTGCCCTGGGTCACCTTCCTTTGCTCTTCTAGGTGCATTCTCATTCTTGTCCACCCTGCTCTGTGCCTCTGGGACTGACTCTTATGGGTTGCATTGGGGGGCTCCCTTGCTCACTGATACCCACTGGGCCTGGTCAATGGGCGAGACTGGCAAGAGTAGAGAGTGAGATCTGGTTATGATGCAACAGCTTCCATTTATCCCTCCAGATCCAGAATACAACTTTAAAGTGTTAGATAGTAACCAGTCACACACATCCTAAATGACATATGTGTCAGCCTAAATTAATCAAAAGGGTCAGAATCTAATTTAAAGAGAGTTTATTCAAGGGCAAAGTATGAAGGTGGCTGTCTGGGGAGTGGAGTGACACTGGAAATAGGTGATCAGTGTTCCCTACATTGGGTAAAATGAGGACCATTTATGTAGGCAAAACGGAGGTGCTGACTAGAATCACATTTTCCATACAAAAGCTAACATACAAATATAAGATTTGATTGGCTACTGTTGACTGTAAACTCTAAGAGGGTTGTTTAACATTTTATTGTAAAGAGGTAATCATCACAAGGGTCTCCATGTCCACATCATTTAGCCCAGGTTTGAATGAAGAATAGAGTCTGGTTAATGTATAACATCCCAGCACAAAAGTCAGAAAGCAACGGTGGCCATGCACCAGGGAAGGAAAACAGCCGTGTTCCCTGAGTCAGTTTCCAGGTCTTAATTTTTCCCTTTGGTGTAATAAATTCAGAAGGTCCTGAAATTTTATTTTCTTTTTACATATATATGTGTGACACCTACAACATTGACTCGGGGAATTCAGGAAGGCTGATTTGAACTGACTCGGACAGGCACCTTTGAAGAATTCTATTGGGCCTGTGCTAGCTGCCCACTTTTTTTCCACTGTCAATGTGCTTCAGGCAACAGAGGTAGAGCTGTGGGTCGTTCTGGGGACCTCCCTGTCACAATCCCTGGCTATGCCTTCTTGTCAAACACAGAATAGACCAACTTTTGATCTTTCACCTGACTGGGATGCGCCATTGTCAAGGGGCTTCAGATTTTGATTTCAGTTGGAACTATAGTCAAAGGCATGTGGTGTGGCCTTTGAGCTCGAAGCCCCAGAATCAAGGGTCTATTCATTCCTGACACAATTCCTGCACCGAACCTCCTACCCGTAACCTTGGCCAGGGCTGTATATTTTCTACTTGTCAAGGAGACGCAAGGATTGAAGAGGAGTCATTCCTCTAATGTCATGACACTCCCCCCCAACCAAAACACCAGTTCGAAGTTTAGTTTACCAAACGTTTCCCCAGGGATTGCCTTCAAGGCTACTTTCCAGCCACAGAGAAAACTAGTTCCTGGCATTCCAGTCACAGACACACGCTGTTGGTCTTCCTCTCCTTCACCTCTAGGGACTTCATGCTCCTCAATCCACCCAGCCCCCTCCTCCCTCCCTTTCCTCTTCCTCCCTCCCTTTCCTCTTCCTCCCTCCCTCTTTTTTGTCCTTTAGTCTCTCTCCCTCTTGGCCAGCTGCCTGGACACAGACAAGAGGGTCATAGATACGCGTTCCACAGATGTAGGCATGTAACTAAAGTCCATGCTGAGAACAGGACTGAAGGTCCCTCCCAGCTCCCTCCCAAGGGGCAGCACTTCCAGAAGCAGACCGATGCATCTATTTCCATGTTTTGCAAAATGTGCATGAAAATGACTGTCTGAGAGCAAGAAATCAAATCCTTAGAGCATTAGGAGGGAGCTCCTGGAAGACCATTCTTTCTACTTGTAAGATGCCTGCAAAAAGCAACTTCCAGACCAAAGGGAAAGAAGAGAATCCTGGACAAAGCATGAGGCAACAAACATGCAGCAACCCACCATAGCACTTTTCATCCCTTATGCTGGGACTTTGTCTTCAGAATGGACATTTTCCGGGCCAGATCACAAATCTGCTCATCCACTGGTTGAGTCTGCCTGTTTGCTTTTATTTCACCCTCCATCAGGTCTGGGCAGGTGAAATAAACAACTAGACACACAGTTTTCACTGCTAAGCAAAGACACAGGAAAAGAATAATAAGTAAGAGCTTAGTTATTGGTTGTAAATTACTGACACGAAAAGCTGCCTTGGAGGTGTTTGGAGACACCGGAAAATGTGCTGATGCCTGAAATCCAGCGGCTTGGTAGCTTTTGACCATGGTCAAAAAGCTGCCTCTGAGCCTCAGAAATTGTTCAGTCTGAAAATCAGATGGCTCACAGATGGAACTGCATTTTTTCCCCCTTCTTTCTATTGGGAGGGAGATGTTCTCTTAAGGGGGCTAAGTTATCTTTTGGCGTCGCACGTCAAGAGGATCAATGTCAGGAAAAAACAATGTTTGTTTCCTTTGTATTCTAAGATGTCCTATTTTTGGCATTCTTCCTTGAGGATGGCTTTATCTCGATGCAGAGACCAGGAAGTCAATTGTGTTGGCCAGAGCATCCTCCTGGCCAAGCTTCGTTCAAAGCTGCAGACGGCTCCACTTAGCCTCTGGCACCTCGTGCACTACTTGCCCAGGGCCAGCTCAGGCTTTTACCAAAGTCCATGTTTGAGGGGCCCAGATGGCTCACAACGCTTCCACCTTGTTTGTAAAATATTAGTTTTGTTCTTCAGATGAGAAGATTAAGCTTCATCTTATTCAATATCCTTTTAATCTGCCTCTGTTTCTGTGGCTCTCTTAGCCAGAAGTGGGTGGATGCTGACATTTGTGCCCCTGCAAGCAAACAAGATTTTCTCAGTTTTGTTACTAACAATAGAACAAATGACACTGTGAATGTCCAGGGAATTTTTGTGGCATCTAGTAGCAGTGGGTGGAAGGGGTGACGGGTGTAACTAACATGACTGCTTCGTTTTATTCTCCAAATTCAGTTGTTGCATGAAGATTTTAAAGAAATGTTACTCTTATTAAAACAACTCAGAAAAATTACCTCTTTTTCTTAGGGCTCATCTATAATACATGAATATTTCTCTCAAATTTAGCAGTTCTTTGATGTTAAAATTTTGATCCTTAGAATGTTTTCTTATTTTTTAAAAACATTTTAAGTTCTAAAAATAATGAATAGTATAATACCCTATGCATATTTCTATCACCCAGAAATATCAACTTAATTTTTAATATATTTGCTTCTAGCCTTTTTTCCCCCTATTTTAAATAATGAAAGCATCACAGAGGTAGCTTAAGTTCACTTCATCCTTGATCTCACCAACCTTGGTCCCTCACACCACCCCAACTATGCAATTATACCATGAGTGTGTTGAGTTTGGTGTGTATAATTTAAGATCATTTCCATATTTTACATGTAATACATACCCGTGAAATATAGAGTACATTTATATGTGTGTTTTGCTTTTTATTGAAGCAAAATGTGTATGTAAAAAGCATACATACTCAAAAGTTACAGCTCAGTAAATAACTATACAGTAAGCATATCTATGAACCAAACATCCATATAAAAAAAACAGAATTATTACCATCACTCAACCCTCATATTGTAACTTTGTATGTTAATTTTGCTTAATTTTGAATTCTATACTGGGTAATATAATCTTTCGTGTCTGGCTTCTTTTGCTCAACACTTAAGTGAAATTCAAACATGCTTTTGAATATAGCTGTAGTTCATTCATTTTCATTGCTGTATTGTTAAAAGAAAAACTTTAAACAAATCATATTTAACCAAGTTGAATAGAGAAAAGAAAGATTGAAGAACTGGGCAGCCCTCCACCTCCCAACCAGAATAGGTTCAAAGTGATTCCTGCTGTGTGGTCGGAGAGGATTTATGGACAGAAAAAGGAAAGGGAGGTATGGAAATTGCTGGGCTGGTTACAGCACAGTTTGAACCGATGGCCATCTTTGATCACCTGAAACTCAGTGATTGGTACAAGAGTAGGTTACAGTCTGCTTATGCATCCAGTCAGGTTACAGTTCACTTTGTATGGAGAAACTTTTATCCTGAACTTAAAATATGTAAGGAGGCAGCTTTAGGCTAAACTTAATTTAACAGTATTCAATAACATTAACATACTACAATTTATTTAACCATTCTTCCATAGGTGAACATTTGGGATGTTTCCCAATTTCCAAAGTTTCCATTTATTATGAGTAGTGCTACTATGAACATTCTTGAGCATATGTTTTGGTGTGCACATATGTTTCTATTGGGTACGTAACAAGGAGTGGAATTGCTAGGTAATCTGATATGATTATAATGAGCTTCAATAAGACTTGCCAAACCATTTTACAATGTGCTAATGCCAATTTATATTTCCACCAGTTTGTATTGTTTCTGAAATGTGCTGAAGAGCACCGCACAGTGCTTATAATCTGAAACAGTACCATATATAGGTCTGCATCTTGTTTCTTTCACCCAGTTTTTAAAATAACCCATTCATATTGACATATAGAGCTATGGCTCTAAACCACTATGACTATTCCATTATACGTATACATCACATTTTATTAACTAATTCATCTATTAATACACATTAGGTTGTTTCCATCATTTTATTTTTGCTAAGAATGCTGTATTTAGCCTCCTTTTACAAGTCTTGAATTAAGGGCCAACAATTTCTTTACTTCAGTGTTTCCAAAATTTGTCTGATAATAAGAATCACCTGTAGTATTGTAGGACTGGTTAAATATTCAGATTCCCAGGCCTTTTCCTGGGAGCATCTGAGTCAGGGAGTCTAGGGGTCTGCAGGCATCTGCGTGTTTCACCACCATTCCAGGTGTCCTTTTAGTCAAGGAGGTTTTGGAAGGGTTGCCTTAGGTTACATATACTCAAAAGTGGAATTGTTTGATCGTAGGCTGGGCACATACACAGTTTTACTAGATACTACCTCATTGTTCTCTGAAGGCACTGTTCCACTGAATCATCACACCAGCATTGTATAATAGACATTTTTTCCATATCCTTAATGTTTTCTGTTTTCAGACTTAAACTTGTTCACCAATCTGAAGGATGAAAAGTGGTATTTTTAAGTTCTATTTCTCTGATTACCACCGATAATGATACTTGCTAGCATTTGTGTAGCACTTCCTATGCTATCTGCTGTTTCAAGCAGCTAACTTGTCTTAGCTCATTATACAATATATAGGAAAACTAGACACTGAAGTCAATTAACTGCCCAACGTCATTGACCATTCAGATTCCCTCTGCTGTAAATTTCCTATTATTGTCCATTACCCATTTCTTCTATTGTGTTGCTGATCTTTCTCTTATTGCTATCTTGGATTTTTAAAAAATATAGTATAGATACTATTTTTTTTCTATTATATGTGTTGCAAATAACATCTCCCAATCTGCCACATATTTATAGAGCTTGTTTTTGGTGATGCTTTTCACCTTTTCTAATGCACTTTCACAAATGATATTTCCACCATTCATTCATTTATTCTTCCATCAAGCATTCATTGCTCACAGTGCTTGGCACTATTTGAGTCACCAAGGTTACAGACATCTCTGCTGAAATAGGGCCCATGGTCTAGTTGGAGATGACAGAAAATACACCAGCAAAAAATAAAGTGCAGGTCAGCTGGTGATAAGTGCTATGAAAGATAAAGCAGGGAAAGGGATAGAGACTGCTGAGTGTGAGAGGGGTAGGGGTAAGGCCAGGAGGGAAGGGGGAGGGTCATTGCTGTTTTATATTGGGTGATTGGGGAAAACCTCACTGGTAAGGTGGCTCTTGGATGACCTGAAGAAGTGTGGGAGCAAGACTGTGGATGTCTGAGTGAAGAGTTGCTGTCCCAGGCAGAGAGGAGCCAGTGCAAAGGACCTGGGGTGGAAACACCTTGTGTGTCTGGGGAATAGCAAGAAGGCTAGTGGAGCTAGAATGGAGTGTGCCATGGGAACACTAGAGGAAAGCTGAGAGGGTAGAGAAAGGGTGGGTTCTGAGGGACCATGGAGGCCACTGTAAATACTTTGGCTTTGACTCTGAGATACATGGCAAGCAAATTGAGGTTATTTAATGTTCACAGCCTCTGGGAAGTTCCATAAATTGCCAGGCTCACCTAGTAAGTGGCAGACCTTGGCTTGGACTCAGGACTTCTGACTCCAGCATTACTTCTATCACATCGCAGCCGTCCGAAGTCCTCAGACCTTTTTTCTTCATAACAGGAAGAAACATCTGCTTAGGGTCACCAACTGTCTGTCCTGAGTTGCTGGGGACTGAGGGGTTCCCCAGGAGGTGCTAACACTGGGCACTTCAAG
Organism: Homo sapiens; assembly: GCF_000001405.40. Lineage (NCBI taxonomy): Eukaryota > Metazoa > Chordata > Mammalia > Primates > Hominidae > Homo > Homo sapiens. The sequence goes on along the minus strand of NC_000006.12, from coordinate 150,542,949 downwards.
TCCTATGTCCAAACACTGGGCAAAGAAGGACAGCTGGTCACGCTAACGCTGGCTGAAAATACAGCAGCATGTACCAATTGGCTGCTTCAACCCCTGGCATCTCCAGGGCCTTCTGTGCTGCTGCTTGTAAGGCTGCCCAAGCTCTGGAACCTTCTCAAACCAGCCTCAGACGCAGGACTCAGGGTCATTCTTGGTACTACTCTTTAGACTTCACTGGTATTACACAGGTCGCCTCTGGGTGATGGGATTATGTGAGTTTCCCCACCTCCTGCTTATGTACTTATTTTTAAACTTCAAAATTTTTACCATGAATATATAGTATGTTGATGCTGAAGAAAAATATAATATGGTAAAATATCAGTTCATCTTTATTGTCTTTATTCTGAATGTTTAGCTCAGTTCCTAGTATACAGTAAGGGCTAATGAAATGTTTTGAATCACAAATTACATTTATAGAGCAAAACACTTTATCGAGCCAGCAATGTGTGTGGCCTCCAAAGAACCAACACTATCTTAGAGGTTCTCAAACTTTAGTGCACCTGGATCACCTGGAGACCAGGTTAAACCATAGATTGCTGGGCCCACTCCCAGCGTTTCCAATTCAGTTGATCTGGGGTGAGGGCTCCCTAATTGCATTTCTAACAAGTTTCCAGGTGAAGCTATTGCTGCCGGGCAGGAGAAAACCACGCTTGAGAACAGCTGATCTATATTAATCAATTACTTAATTGGTTTTTGGTGCTAGCATGGACATTTAACCATCAGGTAAAATCTTGTTTCATTGGAAAATTTGGTTCAAATTCTAAAGTAATTTATAAACTGCTGAATTCACTCATTCCCTCATTCAGCAATCATTTGCTACCCTCTGTCATTAAGAACTGGTGTCACCTAAAGATGAATGGAACATAGTTATTGCCCTTTAGGTACTGAAAGACTTCAAGAAGCATTAAGTCATTTTTTTTTTTTAGTTAACTGCCAAATAAGGAATTAAACTTAGGAAGAAAATGAAAAACTTTAAATAGAATACGTTGTTCATTGTCAATTCAAGAAAATAGACTGACTTTGATAAACATTCTACAAGCTTAAATGCAGGGTTGTCCCTTATGAATTCAGCTGTTGAGAGCATAGGGCAAGTGAGGCCAGCTTCATGGACTCAAGCCAGCCACTCAGATGAAACCAGGGGTGGAAACAGGAATAAATGTAAACTCCTGTGTTTGAGCTTCAAAAAAAGAAAATCAATAACTCAAGTGCAGTTTATGTCAAAAAGACCTGAGAGTTTTAATTGGCTTCTATCCAAAATCCATGTACAGCAAATCAACTTACTTAGCTTCCGATGGATACATTTTACAACTAGTTTATGTTTGAGGGTTAACCAGGAGGTAGCATTGCTTAAAATTAGATTTCTATGGACCCTTTGTGTGTGTGTGTGTATGTGTGTGTGTGTATACACACACACACACACACACACACACATACACATCTATGCACAGCTTTGCTCTGAAAAATTTTCTTGGCAAAGTTATCACAGCCATACTCTGTGGTCATGTTTTTCAGAGTGTGGTCTGTGGACCACTAGGATGAGCATCACCTGGAAAGCTTGCTAAAAATGCAGATTCCTAGGTCCCACCTTAGGCTCTCTAAACCAGGAGATGGACCTGGCATCTGCTGGGCAATTCTTTTTCATGCTAAAGTTCTAGAACTCCTGATCTATGTCCAAAACAGTCTTTTCAGAAAAATCTTGAGCTTACCCATAGGTATAGTTTCAGCACACCTATGGTTATTCTGTCTTCTAATTAGGTTTCTTAATTTCCCTAAGAACATGCCAGCTATTTTTCTTAGGTCTCTGGGACAGTCTCAGGTTTAGAGCATTTACCTGCAATCACAGTTGTATGTGCTGAGATAGATTGGAAAACCACCTGATGAACCCTTAGCATAATAGAGACACTAAAAGTCTTCCCAACAAGGAGGCCAGGGCCATGTAAACTGAGAGAGGGATTTCTTCCAGGGCCGTTTAAATAACTCTATAGAGATGCCCTCGTATTCTTGTTCCTAATTAAAATTAGTTTAATATGCTCCCCTGGGTGGGCAGTTGTCCTTAATTCCTTTTCTCACTCCAGAAATCACTATGCCATAGAGACGTGTAAGCCCCGATGTGAGATGTTGGCGAAGTAGCTCAGGGGGCTGGGGAGCTCTGGACATTGAAGTTTGTCCCTCACCTACTTTGAAGTCCTGGGACAGTACTAGAGTCTGAAGAGGAGAGAGATGAGTCCTAGGAAGGAATGAATTAAGACAAGGTTTACTGATGATGCAGTGAAGGGAATTGCATTTAGGAGGGAAGAAGCATTTCACTTTTATACCATTCTCTATAACAGGTTCTTGTTATAGCCAGTTACTGATGCCTACCCAAACTACCTCTATGATCCTAGGTAAGTGTTACAGATAGCCAATCCCTATTTTTAAGATCCTGATAAAAGCTCTTAATTCATCACTTATTTTGCCACCTAATCAGGCCTCCTCCTGTTTGTGATCTTTTCTCAATTTTAACATCTGCTTCAACAGCTTGTTGCTTACATCTCTCTCACACTTCCTGACATTTCTAGACTCCAAGACTTTCAGCTCCTCCCCTTTGCAGCCACCCACAGGAAACACCCATATCAATTAATGTGATGGGGGCCCGGCATTGTGCTAAACCTTTTGCTTATATTATTTCATATGCATTAAACAAATGCATGATAGGGGCTGCCCTTTCCCCAGTGTTACAAATGAAGAACCAGGGTTGGAGGGTGACTTGCCCAAGTCACAGAGTGAGGCATTTGTCGATTTTGCTGTGCCCTCCCTCACCGCAGCAGAAGCACTGCCTCATTCTGGATTTCTGAAAGCACCAGGCATGTCACCTCCTTAGTATTTCCTCCACTCTCCATCCTTCCCTGAAAAGTCAGAAAAAAAGAGAGATTTCACCACTAGTCTAAAGTGGACCCACGCCCTTTGCCTCGGTTCTTTCCCTTTCTATTTTATAAGATTTTCCCCTTCTATTTCCTTTTCTGTACCTTTAATCTTGCATTATCCACTCATTCCTTTTCATGAAAAAGCTTTTGTCCATTCATCTCCCTGTGCAAAATAACGTGGAACTTGAGTAGGCAGTCCCTCTCAATGATTGACATGGCAGAGTGCTGACCTCAGGAAGCTCAGGCACTGAAAGGAAAGATGAGGTATGAGTAAGTGTTGCATGAACATGAGAGATGCAATCAGTGTGACTTGAGTTCAGGGAAGAAGGCATTCATCACCAGAGAGGTGGTAAAAAGGTTTCATGGAGGGCCTGGGCTAGAAGGCTAGGTCTGGGAGGATTGCTGAAGGCAGAAATTGGAAAGGGGGCACCAGCCAAGGGGAATAGCATAAGAAAAGGCATGGAGGCAGGAAAGCCTAGAGAGTATCTGGCAAAGGGGATTTTCCAGTTTTGAGGGGCACATGGAACATCTGGGGACTAGTAGAGGATAAGGTATATGGCAGAGGATTGTGAATGCCATCCTAGTGTAATGTCTTGTAGGTAATGGGTAGCAAAGTGACATCGTGAGAATGTGAATTAGGGAGGTTATTCTGGTGGCAAAGTTCAGGATGAACCAGAGTGTGGTGACGTGAAGGCCAGAAGAACAGTTGAGAGGCTGTTTCTAAAGTCCAGAACTGCTGGGCTCCTGTCCAGTCCTTGGATGATAGCAGCAGAAATGGAAGAAAACAATTGTTTGACATATTGGAGGTGAACATTGCTATTGTCTTGAGTAAAGGAGAAAGGAACATCAAAGTTATCTTTGAGCCTGAGCTCAGGTACTGAGAAAATGAAAAATGAGAAAAGGAGAAATGGGAAGCAATGGGGAAGACTCAGAAGCCTGAGAGGGGTAGGACATGAGTTCAGTTCTCACTGAGTCGATGTTTCAAGGTCAGTGGGACATTCAGAAGAGGCTGGATCCAGCCAGTGCATTGACATCTGGCTGAAGGCTCTGGAAAACAGAGTTGGAGATAAATAGTTGAGAGCATTTTGCCTGTGGGTGAAAGCTCTTTGGAAGTGCAGAGCTCTGGCTGGGGTGCTGGCTCATGCCTGTAATCCCAGCACTTTGGAAGGCCAAGGTGGGAGGATTGTGTGAGGCTAGGAGCACAAGACCAGATGGGGCAACATCGGGAGACCCCATCTCTACAAAAAAATTTTTTAAAAAAGTAGCCAGGCATGGTGGTACATGCCTGTGCTCCCAACTACTCAGGAGATTGAGGTCTGAGGTTGGAGGATTGCTTGAATGTGGAAGGTTTCAGGCTGCAGTGAGCAGTGATCATGCTACTGCACTCCAGCCTGGGTGACAGAGTGAGATTTGTCTCCAAAAAAAAAAGGAAAAGGAAAAGAAAAAGAATGTGCTCAGTGAATAGGGGCAATGATACTGAGCAGAAACCAATTATATTGACCTCTTTAACCCAACCCTATTTTGGCTTGTGATAGGTGCTCAAAACATATTGAAGAAATGAATGAATTATGAGATGCTCAATATGTTTGCTAAATGAATAAAACAACAAATGAAAAAATGACAGATGGATAAATTTATGGAACCCTGTATAGACAAATGAAAACAGAATAGGACTGAGAGCTCACTATTAGAAGTATCATGTGAAATGTATTTTTACAAAAGTTCATGAAGAACTTGAAAACATCTTTGTTAGACAAGTAGCTGGAGGCTGTGCTGCAAGCATGCTTCCTTGCATAGAGTAGCCAATGTGCCCTCTCTCTGCTCTGTGGGGATTTCTGGGACATTGCAGAGGTTTTCTGGCTTCTGAACCTCTGTTTCCTGGCTGCAGCTGGGTTCTGGGCCATCTTTTGTTTCATTCAGTTTCACATCAGAAGATCCTCTTGGATGTTGGCTCTCAGCTGGGAAATGGAAACTATTTGTGCTGTCATGAAGGAAGCTTTCTGCATCTGGCAGGGTCTCAGGGCTGGAACCAGCATAAAGAGAAAATTAGGAAATAATCAAGCAGGCTGTGGTCTTCGTGTGTTTTATTGTTAGTATTCCAGTTACTGGGAGGATGTCTAAAGCTCTTCCCGGTTTACTGTCTTGAAAATTAAAAGAAAAAGACTAGCAACACTCCATACAGCTCAAACTCATCAGCATAAGTGTCCCAGCAAGAAGGGCCATAAGAATCTGTGAATAAAGCAAGATGGCCTGGATGATCAATGCAGGCTGGCAGGATGGTTTTCCATTTGCTCACTGCTTGGCTGGCACAGGCTTGCAGCAACAGAACAAAGCCTATTTTGTGCTTCCCAGAGCACCCTGCTGTACTTTCGAGGGTTTTTCTTTTCCCCAGACGCCTGCTTTAGGGACCTTTAGCCCTTTCCTTCAAATTAGGCCACTGTTTAGCTGGCATTTGGCATAACAAGGGCCGATGTCTATTTGATACTTATAACTTTTGCATGTCCAGTGGGGAGGCAGAAACCCATGAGGTATACTTTAAGGATAGAGAGCACTCCCTCCACAACCAAGAGTCCCACCCAAAGGCTAACATATCTGAAATCCTCCCAGAAAATTTTTATAAAGCAGAGGTTGTTGATCCCACTGCTCCTGCTCTAGGGTCCCTTCTCTATCACCTCCAGTGAGTGGCGACCCCATATGGCCTGAAGACCTTCAAGGACAGGATGCCACCCCAGGAGGCAGCCTGCTGCATGAATCAACAATGCTCGCTCCTTATTTCAGAAAGTTCCAGCGATGACTGAATTAAAATCCACCTCCCTGGGTTGCATCTAATACTTCTTCCACATAACAGTTTTTTAAATATTTGAAGAGAACTAGTGTGTCACCATTTGCCAAACTAAATATCTTCAGCTGTTTCTCATTGGTCAAGATTACTAGCACAGATTAAAGCAGATATTGTCCTCCCGCTCTTCCTCCCTCCCACTTGCTCCTCTTTGAATTCCCACAAGTATTTCTGCATCTACATGCGCCAGAAACTGTGTTAGACATCATTTCCCTCCATCATATAACATGTACACTTTAAAGGGAAGTACAGAACTAACACATAAGCTGTGTGAGGTCATGAAAGAGCCCATACTTCGGAGTTATGTAGATTTAAAGGATCTCAATTCCAGTCTCAGTGTGTCTTTCCTTTGATTTGATTTGCTTAAAGTTTTTTCTTTATTTGTAGTTATTATGGGTACATAATAGTTGTCCATATTTATGGGGTACATGTGATATTTTGATACAAGCATACAATATGTAATGATATGTCCTTCCTTTTAGCTGTAGGATCCTTTCAAGTTTTTTTTTGTTGTTTTTTTGTTTTTTTGTTTTGAGACTGAGTCTCGCTCTTGTCACCCAAGCTGGAGTGCAGTGGCACAATCTCGGCTCACTGCAACCTCCACCTCCCAGGTTCAAGGGATTCTCCTGCCTCGGCCTCCTGAGTAGCTGGGATTACAGGCGTCTGCCACCATGTCTGGCTAATTTTTGTATTTTTAGTAGAGACGGGGTTTCACCGCGTTGGCCAGGATGGTCTCGATTTCCTGACCTCGTGATCTGCCTGCCTCGGCCTCCCAAAGTGCAGGGATTACAGGCATGAGCCACCACGCCTGGCCCCCTTCAAGTTTTTTTAACCAGGATGAACATCAATTTCCTTATTCATAATATGAAGGCAATAATCTATCTCTTTAGAGAGAATATGTGCAAATTGCCTGGCACATCACCTGGACTGAGGGGGAACTCAATCATGGAATGATTTGGCCCATTAAACCACACCCTTATGTCAAATAAGAGCATGGAATAGTCTTGATCATCAAAATGTACCAGCTACAAATCCACCATCTGTGAGCTTGTTCAGCATGCCATCTGTGTTTTCATTCATGTTACTGATAAAAGTGTTGACCAGGATGTGACCCAGTGCCCCTTTCCAAGGACACTACTCTCTTGCACCTTTATTTTGTTAATAAGTATTTTTTGGTCAAGGGCATTGAACTGATCATAAGCAGAACTGGGCTCCTTCCAGTCTATATTTCTCCATCTCTTTCACATGGATATTTTGAGAGCTTTTGTCAACTGCGCTGCTGAAATCCAGATAATCTATGTGTATATCATTCTCCTGATACAGTAATCAAAAGATTCTATTTCTCTCCCATGCATTCTCTTTTGAAAGGTAAACACCCCTGGGAAGGCTAACATGTTGTATTAATCCACACTAAATTGTTAGTGGCCTAAAACAGCCCTTTCCATCTGACTCAGGTGGGACTAGGAAGGTTACTGGATGCTGGGGGAGGTGAAGGGGGTTTGTTAATATAAAGGCAAAAAGTACGTAGCCACAGCAGAATGGGGAAAGTAAACAAGTCTTATTGACTCAGTAAATGAGCTCAAGAATGAGCCCATGCACAGATCCACATTTTACATGGAGAAAAAGATGTGTAACTAATGACATAGCCTCTGAGGATTCCAGGACACTCACAGATATGTACTTCTCTCCCTTTCTGTTCTGAGAATCACCACATTCCTCAAGTGTCAAATGTACCTTACATCCCAGCCCCAACAAGAGAGGTGGTAAGTCCTTATTGCGACAGATGTCCAAGTTCAGCATAATCCTAAGATCCTCATTAACAGTAAAAATAGCAGTCAGCATTTATGGGGGGCTCACGATGTTCTGGCTGCTGTGCTAGGCACTTTACATGCATTACCTCATAATTCTCACAATAAGCCTATGAGGAAGGGATCGTTATCATTCTTGTCTTACTGTTGGGGAAACTGAGGCTCAGAGATCCTAAGCAATTTACTGAAAGCCACACAGCTACACAGAAAACAGAACCAGGGCCCTGTCCCAGTACTACTTAACTCCAAAGAGCTTTTAAATCTTTAGACAAACTGTGGCTCCTAGTCTTGTTTCAGGGATTTATTATTTGACAATTGTGGCTGCACTAGCATGGACTCCAGGGTTGGCCCCAGAAAGATGGTGCCACTGGGCCCCTTTTGGTCCCCCTCCACCTGCTTTGTGGCAGCTCTCACCTCCTGGATATTGTGTGCTACTATGGTCCTCCCAGGTGGCCTGGCCACAGCATCGATGGCCGTGGTGCTGCCCCAGTTCAACTTGCAGCTCACACCCAGGGAGACATCTGCTCTCTGGAACTCATACTGCTGGGAAGCCGCCCTCAAAATTGTTTTGGAAATGGGCGGTGGTGTCTTGGAACGGCTTGACTAGGGGCTGAATCTCATTACTGACAGAATTGTGACCTTTCAGCAGAATATGGAAAATGGCATGGATAGAATATGCAAAAATGATGTCAGTGCTGTGATATGGGAGGGACAGGATGGCCCATGTGGGATATTTATTTTAATGATATCATCACTATTTGTTATGTGGTTTGAATTAAATAGAAGTCTTTGAGTCTAAACCCTACCAATGATCTCTCAAAACATTCCCTTGTTTTGTCTAGTGTCATTTAGCCCTCAATCTGCTGCGTTTCCTGGATGAGCAGAGCCCTTGGTATGACTTCTTTGTTCTGATGTCTTAAACTCAGAAATAAGGGGACCTTTATTTTTAATCTAATTGTACCCATATTGATCCAAGATACCGGCATTCTTTAATGAGAGCAGGAAGGAATGTGATGTTTAAACTAAGGACAGGCAAGATGGAGCCCAAATTCTAGACAATCTGCTGAGAGTTGGAACACACACATAATCCTCTGTCTCTCTCACTCACATGCCCTGAAGTGGAGATGAAAGTGTCTAGTAACAAACAGATTACAAAAATATAAACGTGACTATTATAAACGTGTATATTAAATATAAACGTGTATATTACAAAAATATACAGGACTTTTTGGCAAGTTTCCAAAGGATTGGCTGCCTGTTGAAGCTGAGGGCCCTTCAGTTCTACCAGGTGACTGAGCTGCATGAAGCAGATGCCTCTTCTGGGCTCCCAGCTGCTGTTCTGTCCAAGCTGCACACCTAGAAAACGTTTGCTAATCACAGCCCTAATGGCAAAGTGAAAACAATAGTCCATGACCCCACCTTCCATTTACAATGTATTTTCATGCTTTACGTATATTGCTTCATTTGATCTTTTCTATAGGGGTGAGAAAGAGACTTGTCAATGTTAAGGTCACTAATGTCTCCGTTTTATATATAAAGAAACAAACCCAGAGTGAGAGCCTTTCCCAAAAATACACCTGTAGCTAGTGGTAAACACTAGAAGCCTAGACTCTTGAGTGTCAGGCCTGGTTGGACATCAGGACCCAGGTGATTACATTCTCATCAGAGGCAGAACTGGGCTCAGGTGTTCTGCACAAATGGCCCATTGCAGAAAATCTGGTGAACATCCCCACTGCAAAGGCCAGTGGTGTGCTGCTGCAGGAACTAGCCATCACTCTGGGCTGAGCTCTGCGTGAAGCACTTCAGGCACTTGAGGGCAGAGATGGGGAGGGTGGTCATGTGCTAGGGCTTCCACAACCCAGTACCACAGACTGGAAGCTTCAAAACAGAAGTTAATTGCTCACAGTTCTGGAGTCTAGAAGTCCAAGATCAAGGTGTTGACAGGGGCGGTTTCTTGTGACCTCCCTCCTCAGATCGTAGATGGCTACCTTCTTCCTCTGTCTTCACTTGATCTTTTCTCCGTGTATGCCTGTCTCCTAATCTCCTCTTCTTGTAAGGACCTAGGCATTGGATTAGGAGGCCACCCTCATAACTTCACTTTAACTTAATTACCTCTTTAAAGACCCTATTTCCAAAAAGGATTCCATTCTGAGGTACTGGGGATTAGGACTTCAAGATATGAATTTTGGGGAACACAATTCAGCCCCTAACAGTTAAGAGGAAGTTTATAGGGTACAAGCAGATGCAGAAGGTACCCAGGGCTGTGCCAGGTGCATTCTTTCCACAGCGCTGCTCTGTGCCGGGCCCTGAGCTCAGCCAACCATCTGCCCCATCACAGCCAGGCAGGGCACTTTGGGAGCCACGCAACCTTTACAAGTCCCAGCAAATTGTCACCAATGCTGGTTCCACAGGACCGAGAGAAGGAAGACAGCCTCGTTTGTTCTCTTTGGTATGCATAAAAATCCCTTGGAAACCTTGTTGAAGCCAGATACTTGGACTTCAGAGATTCTTGGTGGCCCAAAGAATCTGCATTTCTAATAACCTTCCAGGTGAGGCTGATGCTATAGGTCCATGGACCACACTTTGAGTGGCACTGCCATAGACACTCTGGGAAATTGTCTTCCTTAAATCCAGCTCCACTTTATTATTTAGCAGCCTCTGAATGATGAATAATACGTGTTCTAAAAGCTGTCTTCCTCAGGTTAGGCCAAGAGTGCAAACCAAGATCTCATGGTTCATTTTACAGACTTGGGTGCTGTGGTTGTACAAAAGCCACATCCAGTCCATTCTCCTAAAATGTTTTTAGTTCTCCTGTCCTTGTAGAGGAGAAGACCATGAGGAGTAGAAGAATGCTTGTCTCCATGAAAACGAAGAGCATGTGACCGACCACGCTCTATTGCTGGGTACTTCCATAGTTATTCTTTTGCCTTTATACGATAACAAGACAATCAACATCGCCAATGAAGGAAAACATCATGGCACTGGCAGGACACACTTCCTGAGTGCTTAGTCTTGAGTATTTGTAGCTAAAAGAAGGGTCTGTGTTCTGAAATTTCATTTGAAAGCACGTCATTTTGTATTCAGAACAACTCTTCCAAAGAAATAGTTATAAATAGTCATTTCACAAAAGCCCATTTAACCTGTAATGTGACTGAAGTATTTACATCATTCCTAACCACTCTGTCTTAGAGGAAAGTGCATGCCAAGTTTCAACCAAGAATACCCAAAGCAAATATTTCCCTCAATGACTTAGATGGGGGAAGGGAGAAGAATGAAGCAGTGAGTAGAGCTAAGATGCCAGGGAGTAACTTGTGAGAAAGCAGGAACAATTACAAAGCAGAAGTCAGGACTGTGGGTACTAGACTAAGTACTCTTGAACTTATTCCCTTGTTAGAGATATTTATTGTATTTTGTTTGTTTGTTTGTTTTTGTTTTGTGTTTTGTTTTGAGATGGAGTCTCACTCTGTCGCCCAGGCTGGAGTGCAGTGGCGGGATCTCCGCTCACTGCAAGCTCCGCCTCCCAGGTTCACACCATTCTCCTGCCTCAGCCTCCTGAGTAGCTGGGACTACAGGCACCCGCACCACGCCCAGCTAATTTTTTGTATTTCTAGTAGAGATGGGGTTTCACCGTGTTAGCCAGGATGGTTTTGATCTCCTGACCTCGTGATCCGCCCGCCTCGGCCTCCCAAAGTCCTGGGATTACAGGCATGAGCCACCGAGACCGGCCTATTGTATATTATTTGCTAACAGAAATTATATCATTTCCTGCTGTCCAATTCCCATGTGTTAATCTTGTCTCCTCAACCAGATTATGGTCTTTATAGTCTAGCGCTATGTATGGTATCTCCACTGTCTTTTGAGGGGCCCTGTTGAAAATCAATTGATTATCCTTTTTTAGGCTGACTAGGTCCCAGCAGGGCTCAGCGGCCCAGTTATAAGGAGCAGTGAAATCAGATTGTAAAATTGGGATGAGGTTTAGCAGGCAGGGGCCAGTGAGGGGGCTAGGAAATAAAGGAATTGAAAGTGCTGCCAATGGCAAGAGGACAGACAAACGTATCACTGGGCATGCTCTGCCAATAGTTTAACTCCAAGAAAAGAGGAAAGGGTAAAATCATTTCCTTTGATCTTACAGGAGATTAAAGGAGAGGTGTCTAGAAACAGTTCTATTCACCTGTTTGTGTGGTACCAGGATAGGTTGATGTAGGACCATGGAGAACAGTCAGTGGAATTACTAGAGATTCCCAAATTGAATAGGTCTGGTGCCCATTCTGGGTGCTCCCTGGAGATGTGATAGGCTGAAGCTCTAGTGGAATGAGTTGGGCTTATCCAGTGAGGCCTCCCTGTGTTTGGCTTGACTGTGGTTGCCTTGTTAATGGCATGGCCTGCAAGTTATTCAACTCCAAAAGCTCTGAACTTCATGGTCTCCCTAACTTTTGGAGATAAAAAGAACTTGTCCTAATTGTATTCCTTCTTCGGAAAGCCTTTCCTGTAGGAGAAAGAGCACTAAACTAGTAGTTAGAATATTTCAGGTTTAATCCCTGTTTTTGCTTTCAATGTGTGGCATTAAGGAATTTAATTCACTTCTTGGTATCTCCACCAATGGCCCTCAAGATTTCTTTCAGCTATAATTCTATTATTACACTTTGAGCTAACCAGAGAAATAATATTAGGGAAAATAATAATAGGTAAATAGCATGAGAGAAAGAAGCAAGTGCGCCCATTGTCACCATTTCTATCCAACATTAACCTGGAGGTTCAAGCTGGTGCATTAAGGGATGGTAAAGAAACAAAATGTACAAATACTGAAAAGGAAGAAATAGGTCAGGTGCGGTGGCTCACTCCTTTAATCCCAGCACTTTGGGAGGCCGAGGCAGGCGAATCACCTGGGGTCAGGACTTCGAGACCAGCCTGGCCAACATGGTGAAACCCCGTCTCTACTAAAAATACAAAAATTAGCTGGGCTTGGTGGCGGGCACCTGTAATCCCAGCTACTTGGGAGGCTGAGGCAGGAGAATCGCTTGAACCCGGGAGGCAGAGGTTGCAGTGAGCTGAGATCACGCCACTGCACTCCAGTCTGGGCGACAGAGCAAGACTCGCTCTCAAAAAAAAAGAAAGAAAAAGAAAATAAATAAATAAAACTGATGACATGATTATATGCAGATATATGGAGGAGTCCGAAAATATTCAACAATATTCTCATTAATAAAGTGAGTGTAGCACTAGCAGGACCTTGTGGCAAATTACAAAAACCAGAAATAAACAGAAAATGTTATTTTAAAGATTCTATTTAAATTGTATCAAAAATATAAATTACTTAGGAATAAATCTAACAAAGATGCATAACACTTCTTTGCACATAAAGAAGCATAAGATAAATTAAATCTAAATCTATTGGGGGTGGGAATACTGTGTTCATACATTATCAGTATTGTAAAGGTGTTAAGCTCTCCCCAAATTGATATATGTATTCAATGCAATTTCAGTTCCACTAAAACAACACAATTTATGAAGAAGAAAAAATGTGGAAAGACTTGTTCTCTCGGTGGTTACCAAGACCTGTTTTTCTTTTCTTTTTTTTTTTTTTTTTCCCCTGAGAAGCAGTCTTGTTCTGTTGCCCAGGCTGGAGTGTAGTGGTGCGATCTCGGTTCACTGCAACCTCTGCCTCCCAGGTTCAAGCAATTCTCCTGCCTCAGCCTCCAGAGTAGCTGGAATTACAGGCGCGTGCCACCATGCGCCGCTAATTTTTGAATTTTTAGTAGAGATGGTGTTTCGCCATGTTGGCCAGGTTGGTCTCAAACTCCTGATCTCAGGTGATCTGCCCGCCTCGGCCTCCCAAAGTGCTGGGATTACAGGCGTGAGCCACCGCGCTCGGCCCAAGACCTGTTGTAAAGCTTGACATTGGCACAACTGTAGTCAAACAGCATGCAACAGCACAGAGCCCAGGAGCAGACACACATGTGCTTACACTATGGTATTTATGGCAAATAAATACCATAAGCAGTGGGTAAAGATGGTCTTTTCCTAAACAGCACTGCATCAAATGAATATCCATGTGGAGGAAAACAGATTCATCCATTTCTCTCACCAGAGAGAGAAGTTCCAATTGGATTGAGATTTAATGGGAATGGCAAAACAACTGAGCTTTACAAGATAATATAGAATAATATCTTTTTGACGTCAAGGTGAAGAAAAATTTCTTGAACAGAACAGCGAAAGCACTAGGTACAAAGAGTATTGATAGAAAAGGAAGAGAAACCAGGACAGAGGCCCAGTGAACAACAATTAAAGTCAGAGGAAATGCAGCAGCAGTTTTAACTGAGAAATGACCAGAGTATGGAGAAAAGTCAAGCAACTTTCCTTAAAAAAAGTTTCCTTAAAAAAAGGGGAGTGTGAGAAGCTGAGGGAAGAGACTGCTGTCAGGAGGGGGTGTTCGCAGGGCCACATGCTGCGGGGAATTCCAGTGCTATGAGGTCTGGGATGTGTCCGCTGGGTTTAATGAGACGAAGGGCCGCTGGTGAGAGCAGGCGGAGGGAAGTGGAGGAGGAACCCCAGAGCAGACTGCAGGGGCTGAGGGCGGAGACAGGCAGAGGAGGAGCCCAGAGTGGAGACGATGCTTGCAAGCTTTTAGCCTTTGCAGAGGTGGTGAGAGACGAAGTCATCATTACAGTGGCAGGGATTATTGTTGATTTTTTTTTTTTTTTTTTTTTTGAGACGGAGTCTCGCTCTGTTGCCCAGGCTGGAGTGCAGTGGCACTATCTCGACTCACTGCAACCTCTGCCTCCCGAGTTCAAGCGATTCTCCTGCCTCCCTCCTGAGTAGCTGGGAATACAGGCTCCCGCCACCATGCCCAGCTAATTTTTGTATTTTTAGTAGAGATGAGGTTTCACCATGTTGGCCAGGCTGGTCTCAAACTCCTGACTTCGTGATCCACCTGCCTTGGCCTCCCAAAGTATTGTCGGTTTTTAATGAGAAAGTCTTGTGTGTGCTTAATGCTGATGAGAGGGATTAGAGTGAAATTGGGGTGGGACTTAAGATATAGGAGAGAAAGAGCAGGAGGTTATGGTAAGAGGAGACACCTGAGAAAGCAGGGGTCATGGGACGTCTCTGAAGCACAGTGTGAGGCACTAGCCTTAGCCTGAAAGAACCTCTCCTTTCATGATAGGAGGATGGAGGAAATGATATGAATGAATGCAAGTTAATGTGTATGTTTGGTGTCAGGAGTCGAGAGATTTTTCCAGTTGATAGAATTTTATTTTTTTCCTTAATATTACTTACTAGCGATTATTGATACTTGCTGTGTTCTACTCTACTGCAGTCATTCTGTCTATATCAACTCATTTTATCCTGGGAACAGCCCTGCTGTCTCTATTTTACAGGCAAGGAAAGGGAAACACGGAAATAGGATCAGTAATCTGCTCCAGGTCACAAGGAACCCAGAGTCACACCAGGGAAGCCTGGAGCCCCCTGTCAGCCACTGCCTCACCCACAGTTTGTCTTTACTTTCTGAGGAGAGGGTTCGATGATAGAAGACAAGGGAGAGTCCCCTCTATCTAGGGAGACCCACAGAGCTTTCCAGGTGGGGTCGGGGGCTGGAGGGAGGCTGGGGACCATGCTTTGTTGGCCCCAGGAAGGAGAACTGAAAATATTTTAGGTCAGCAACAACCAGAACTCAAACTGGCTTCTGAGCAAAGGAAGAGCTCCAAGAAGTATAGCGCTCCTCCAAATCCAACCGCACGAAGCTGTTTAAAGATGCTACCCAGTGCTGCTTCTTGATAATTATATTGCTAATTCTTCCTTTTCTGATTGTTTTTTAAGGAAAGAATGTGCTCTTCTTTAGAATTACCCTTGGAGAAAAGGCTAGAGGGAGATTCCAACTCCTAAACTGTCATTTGAAATGGGTAAATGATGGATAAACATAGTAGACCTGTGAACAGAAGAGGTGAAGCCAAGCCATTAGGAAGAGGTGGAATGAAATTGTGGACTTACTGACCAAATTATGCAAGTTTAATTTTATAGGAACACTGTGCTTCATAGAGAACTGCTGAACTGTCAGGGTTATTTGTATCCCCAGGCAGGCACTCAGGGGCACCCTGTGAGCCAAAAACGATGACTCAAACTTCCAGTCTCCACAAGCCGGACAGACATAAACACTCCCCCAATCGCCACACTCCCCGGTACGTTAATGCACATTCTCAATAAACTCCCGTGGATTGACTGGTTGACCAAATGACTGGAATCTTTCTCACACTCAGCCTAGATTTTAAAATTTGAAACAAGATTGGAACAACCTAACAAATTGTCCTATAAAAACAAAAGTGCTCCAGGAATTTTCAAAGTGTGCAGGGGGTACCAATCGTGTTTATATAGTCAGATGGTACTGAACCAAAAGATCAACAGGGATTCAAACATTGGCCGGAGGAGTAGTATTGAGTTTGCATGTGGTTAGATGCAAGTGAGTGCATGCAAGGGAAATGAACCTATCTTGTAAATGACTGTGAACCAAAAGTATCTGAGATAGGCCTCAATCAATTTAGAAAGTTTATTTTGCCAAAGTTGAGGACGTGGTGTGACACAGCTTCAGGATGTTCTGACGATGTGTGCCCAAAGTGGTTGAGGCACAGCGGGGCATAGCTTGGGGGGACTATGGGGCTCCTAGGTCATGGGTAGATAAGACAGTCAAATTCTTTCAAGTCTCTGATTAACCTTTCACTGAATATACAATTTACATGTGAAGTAGGGGTTAGAGGAATAGTCACTTTTGTCTTAGTCTGGCTTAGCGAATCTGCATTTTTAACCTAAACATAGGGCAAAGGAAGCAATCAGATATGCGTCTGTCTCAGGTGAGCAGAGGGATGGCTTTGAGTTCTGTCCTTTGTCCCGCACCTGTGAAGATAAGCTATGAATTTACATTGCCAGGGTGAAATTCAACAGAACTGTTACAGGGTAACCATCTTGAGGCCCACAAGGAATTTCCCTGTGGAAAAATTGTGAGGGAGGCATGTGGCTTTTTAATCTTTGTAGCTGTCTTATGTAGGAATGAAATGGGAGGCAGGTTTGCCTGACACAGTGCCCATCTTGACTTTTCCCTTTGGCTTAGTGATTTTAGGGTCCCGAGATTTATTTTCCATTCACATGACCAACATTGAAATAATTGTCACAACCTAGGAGAGGGCTTAGGAATCACCTAGAAAATGTTCAACCCATTGACCTGCTGGAACCAGAAAAAACAGCCAAATAGTAAACATTTCTAGGAATGGTGTTTAAAAAAAAAACAGAAAGATTGTTCTATTCTACATCATTTCCTACACACTTGAAATTCTACAATGAATAAGTTGTACTCATTATCTCCGGGAAATAACAGAATCCATTTTTACGATTTGTATGGGCTAATTTCTGCAGGAAGGGCAATGATACACAATATGGTTAGGAAGGTCTAAAGCAGAGACAGCTTGAAAGGGATTTCTTGAGGGAGGGTAGCTAATTTGGGGAACCAGAATCTATGGAAAGGAGACAAGACATGGGATAGACAAATTGGGTAAGAGAAAGTAGGAATGGAAACTTGAAAACCTCAATGAAGGCTAAGGGACAAAGGAAGGTTGGAATGGCTTGGATGAAGAAGAATGGCTCAGCACTAAGGTCATGGGCTCTAATTCTCTTTTGTGATACAATGTGGTAGCTGAAAGGACAGGGGATTGAGAAGGTCAGGACCATGTTGGTTTGTTGAGGAAAATGGGCCCTTTCACTTTATAATCCTAACTTTTGAGAAATGATAATGATTTCTTTCTACAAGATGTAATTTGTAGTCTTTGTCAGATACCAAGCCCTGAACTGGCTGAAACAAGCTCTATGCAAGTATGGAAATTATTATGGTAACTCAAAATGTGAATTTCTGGAGACTAAGACAAACCCTTATTTGAATATAGACAGAAAACATCTTTGGAAATCATTGTAAATGATTTGGCTGTGCATTTGTTTAGATGCTTCACATGCTTTCTTCATAAGAGCAATAGAAACAATGGAAAATCATTTTCCCTTCGAAATCATCACATGCTTTTGCCATCTCACATGAAGAGAGAAATATTTTCTCTTTTCTACTCCATTAAAGAGTTGTTCAGTTGTCCCATCTGTCTTGTTTGTGGCAAATCGTATGTAAAGAGAACTGATGAAAAGACTAAATTGGCTCTAAAAAGCCCACACAAAATTCCTCAGATGGACATCCTCTGCTAGAGGAATGGATCATCAAAAATGATGTGATATTTTATTTAAAATCTTCTGTGAACTAACTACCAAATATGATGGTTTTAAATTATTTAGCAAAGGTCTCTGCCCTTATGATTAATTTCTTCTACACATTTCTTTTTGTAAGCATTGCTCATTGTCAAACATTATAGGGAAACAGTCCTGCTCTTTTTGAAATGTCCCCATTTTATTTTTGCCTCTCAATTGTATTTGAGAGTCAGAGACTCTTTATTGTCTCTTCAGTTTCAGAGTAGCAGCTATTTCTGGATTTTATTTTATGTGTTATTTTTAATAGGAAGACTATTTGATGGTCTCTTATTTTTATAGAAGGAAATAATTTTAATTTTTTTTTTCCAAAAGGGAAAATGACTTCTCTCAGAATGCATATCTACTTCTTAAATCTGGGGGAATCTCATGCCTGATGGCATATATAGCTGGTTTTTCATTTTTTTTTTTTTTTTGAGCATTAGAATTAGTGGAAATCAGAATCTTGGGGAAAGAAAATGATTACACAGGCTTTGTAGTATAAGACCACCAGAATAGAATTAAGAATCAGAGTTAATATTCTGAATAGATTTTATTTGAAAAAAGAAAGTTGCTCTTTTGGAAAGAAGTAATCCAGGTAGAGCATCTCTGCCTTGTGTGGGGACTTGAGGGCTGTTCCAAGTCCCCACACCTCCTATATTCCTTGGAGAGAGAGAGAAGGGAACTACCTGTGTGGTTTAGTTCACAGTGGAAATTATTAAGGTGTAAATAATTACAGAATCCATTAGGTCTGTATACCAGATATAGATGAGGGCACAGGAACCTGTTACACTCAGTAGCATACTTCTTATATGAAATGTGTATGTTTGGATTCTAGGACCCCTGCTGGTATTTGCAGTTACCAAGGTAAACCTGCATTGACTATGAATAACCTACCTGCCCTGTGTGTTGGCTCCCAAAGCAAGATCTCTTTGGAGAATGGAAGATGTCTAATGGGGGGTATTAGCAGCCTCAAAGAAGAGAGTCTGGGGCCTCAGGCCCTCTTGCTGGGTTGGGGAAGAAGAGGAAAGGTGGGTGCTCCTTGGGGGACTGTGAAGAGATATGGGGTCTCAGGACTAGACTAGTCAAAAAGAAGTGTAGACCTAGGATGTTAGTAGAGCAGGTAAATGGGAACAAGCTTCAGAACTTAGGCCTGAGTTGAGACCATGAATAGAAGAATCATTAAAAAGGGAGCACTGTGGTGCCAGGGACCAAATTTGAGTGTGGTAGGTATTCTAGGTACTCTGGGAGACAGAAACTGGACCTTTGCCCGTAATGTGGGGGTCAAAACTAATACAAGACAAATGAGACATATTTGGGAGCATAGAGCA
This sequence comes from Homo sapiens, assembly GCF_000001405.40. NCBI lineage: Eukaryota > Metazoa > Chordata > Mammalia > Primates > Hominidae > Homo > Homo sapiens. Next base: position 150,523,766 of record NC_000006.12, on the reverse strand, counting down.
TGGTCTCTTCTTTCTTTATTATTATTATACTTTAAGTCCTGGGATACATGTGCAGAAAGTGTAGGTTTGTTACATAGGTATACACACATGACGTGGTGGTTTGCTGCACCCATCAACCCCTCATCTACATTAGGTATTTCTCCTAATGCTATCCCTCCCCTTGTCCCCCACCCCCAGACAGGCCCTGCTGTGTGATGTTCCCCTGCCTGTGTCCATGTGTTCTCATTGTTCAACTCCCACTTATGAGTGAGAACATGCGGTGTTTGGTTTTCTGTTCTTGTGTCAGTTTGCTGAGAATGATGGTTTCCAGCTTCACCCATGTCCCTGAAAAGGACATGAACTCATCCTTTTTGTGGCTGCATACTATTCCATGATGTGCCACATTTTCTTTATCCAGTCTATAAACATTTGGGTTGGACATTTGGGTTGGTTCCAAGTCTTTGCTGTTGTGAACAGTGCCGCAATAAACATACGTGGAGCACAGTCTCTTCTTAAGTGCCAGATGATGTGTCTATGGTTTTGTTTTCTTCTTAAGGCTTGCTGGGTTAGCACTGCAAAGCCTGTCCACCCTGACATGGACAAGCAGGTCAGCAACTCCTAGCAGGGCCCATGCAAGAGCCTCTTCATCCACACTTCTTCTGGACGCAGGTCTAGACAATTTTTTCACCAATGAGATATGATTTTTCAAACAATAAAATGTTAATTAAGTACAAAGTTTGTTAAAGTTTCTAATCATTATATTTACCTAGATCATGTATGTATAGAAAAATTACAAGAAACACCCATGAAAGATAAACTATGGTTTAACTTTCTGATTTTCTGCTGTTATCAATTACTGTTCAATATAACCACTCTTAAATGTGTTTAATGGGTTCTAGAATTTCCTGGGATTTGTTCCTAACTCCCAAATTTGTGGGACCTCCATGCAATTTGGCTCCCAAAGCACTCACAGAAATCTTCCATCTGCATTTGCCATGGGTCACGAAAGACCATAGGTGTAGACTTGTCAGGGAAAAGACCTCATCCACTCCCAGTTGCTTTTTTCTTCTTTTTTCTTTTTCTTTCTTTTTTTTTTTTTTTTGGCCTAAGAGGAAGAGGAAGGAAAATTTCAGTCTTGGAAAGAAAATCTATTTTGCTGTTGTTATTGTCACTCAAAACAAACATTTTACCTCTTAATTCATAGTAAGCCTCCTCCATCCCATCAGCTATCTAGAAATACTGCTCATGTCCTTAACCATGGCTCTCAGAGGGTCCTGGTACATAGAGAGTTGGTCAGATAAACTGATTTCTATTAGGGTTTTCACATTTTAATTTTGTTATTATTGTTTTGTTTTCGAATTAGAAACGGAGTCTTGGCTTTGTTGCCCAGGCTGGTCTTGTCCTGAACTCTTGGGCTCAAGCAATCCTTCCTCCTCAACCCCCCAAAATGTTGGGATTCCTGGCATGAGCTACCACACCAAGAAGTAAAATTTGCATTTTAAAATCACCTTTATTGAGGTATAACTTAGCTAAAATAAAATGCACCCATTCAAAACGTACAGCTTAATGAGCTTAGACAAGTGTGTGCCTGGGTCATTTGATAGGAGCGTGGACTCCCATCAAGGTGTAAATCATTTCCATCATCCCAAAATGTTGCATTTGCCCCTTGCAATGATTCCCCAGAATCCAGAAAACCAATGCTTTCTGTCACTGGTTTGCCTTTTCTAGAAGTTTATAAAAATGCAATCATGGAGTATTTACTCTTTGTGTCTGGCTTCGTTTGTTTAATATACTGTTTTTGAGATTAATTCATGTTGTATTCATTAGTAGTTCATTCCTTTTTATGGCTGTTTATGTATATACAGAGGGGAAAAGGCTACCTTATGCAGCTACCTGCTTGCTACTGGGGAGATTTTAATAAAGATCTGACTTTAGTCTCCCAGAACACTCTTGCATATTCTATTAAGGCAGAATAAAATCCTATAACATCTCCTTTGGCTGAAACAAACTGAGATTTCTCTTTAGCTTAAGTTACAATGAAAAACAAATTAAAGCATTGGCTTAAAAACAAGACATATGTGTTGAATTGTAAAGCACTGACTGATTTTAGAACATATTTCTACTGTCAGTTAAGGGTATTCATGACCTGACTTTTTCACATGAAACTTTTGATCCCAGAAGAATTAGCAAAGGCTAGAATTCGTGGGTGTGATCTCACAATCTTTCTCTTCAAGTCTTTAGGCTTTGTGTTAGAGTACTTGGCCCCAAGATTTTTGTCAGCAATTTTTAAAGTTCTTGTGTTTTCTGATCAATTATAAGGCTTTATAATATAATTTTAATTTTAATTATTAAAGTACTATTGAGAAGGAAATTTTAAAAATCCAAAAAATATTTATTAATCATTTGGTTGAAATATAGACTGGTAAGCTATTTTTCCTTTTTCAACAAATGTGTAAATCTGGTAGGGGTAAAAGACATGTCCAGAAAGAACTGTAACACAGAATTATAACAATTGCAGGATGCAATCAAAGAACCTGCTATGGGAGCTCACCAGGGAGAAGAGTTGACATTTGCTCTGGATCTTAATAGAAGAGCAGAACTTTCAATATATGAAAGAATTCAGGACATTCTGGGCAGAGTTAAGCTGCCTGTTATCAGGAGCTTCTCACATGTCACATGGATGAGGCATGCTGCCTCAGGTCCAAGGGCCACACAGCCACCCACACTCTTAATACCATTTTCTCCAATAGAGGATTGTGTCATTATCCTTTCCTCTCTTAAGTCTTTAATCCTTCCCCCTCTATTTTATTATCTCTTTCTTTTCAGCCTTTAAATATGCACATGGATCTTGTCTTAGTCCTTTTGTGTTGCTGTAAAGGAATACCTGAGGCTGGATAATTTATAAAGAAAAGAGGTCGATTTGGCTCACAGTTCTGCAGGCCACATAAGAAGCATGGCACTGGCATCTGTTCAGTTTCTAGTGGGGGCCTCAGGCTGCTTCTACTCATGGCAGAAGGTGCAGGGGAGCTGGCCTGTGCAGAGATCATGTGGCCAGAGAGGAAGTGACACACACACACACACAGAGAAGGAGAGAGAGAGAGACAGAGAGAGAGAGAGAGAGAGAGAGAGAGAGAGAGAGAGAGATTGGGAGGAGAGGGTGCCAGGCTCCTTTTAACAACCAGCTCTTGTGGGAACTAATAGAACAGGAACTCACTCATTATTGGAGGACAGCACCAAGACGTTTATGAAGGACCCACCCCCATGATCCAAACACCTCTCATTAGGCCTCGCCTCCAACATTGGGATCAAATTTCAACATGAGGTTTGGGGGACAAACATCCAAACTCTAGCAGATTTCCTATCCTAAATAGATATTAGGTGACATTTTGTATCATTCTAGCTATAGCTCCATGTCTCCCATTTCAAGTTTCTTGAAAGACTATTCTATATTCTACATTGATTTTGTTTCCTCATCTTCTTCCTCTTCAACCCTCTGCAATCTAGGTTCCACCTAATCACTTCATGGAGATTTCTTTGATAAAAGACATCAACAATTTCCAAAAGCAATGGATATTTTCCATCTCCTATCATCCTGGCTTTCTCTGCCACATTTACTCCCAGTGACCACTTGCTTCTTGAACTCTGTTCTCCTGAGTCTTGGGACACTGCTCTCTTGACGCCCCTCCTTCCTCCTGCTTAGAGTGTCTATCTCCTTTGGGGCACCAGCCTCCTCTGCCCACTCTAAACTCCAAAACCATTTAAAGGCCCATCACCATAGCGCATCCCAGACAGAGTTCTCTTTCACCCCCTTAATCATCAATAATTGATCCAATCAAGGAAACCACTCTCTCCTCTCTACCTTGATTCCCTGCCTGGTCATCATGATTTCTCATCTAGATTTTTGCAGAAGCCTCCAGACTACCACCCTGCATCCTCCCTTTTAATCGTTTTTCCACACAACAGACTGTATATTAAGAAGCCATTCTGACCTCCTACAGGCTCCCATCACTGTACAATGTAGTGCAAGCTCCTTGTGGTGTGGTATGAGGTTCACCATGTATTGTGGTTGCTGTGCTCCCAGCTTGACCACTCCACACACCCCCTTGCTCACAGTGTGGTCAGTAGAGCCTGATGACTCCAGGTCTCTGCAAACGCTAAGCTGGTGCAAGCCCTGTGCCTCTGCTCAGGTGTCAGCTCTGCCTCAAAAGCTCATCTCACCTTTCTCCAACAAGCATGTCCCTATCAATGCTTTATGACTCAGCTCAAGAGTCCTCTCCTTAGGGGGCTTTCCTGCCCCCCAGTTTGACCTTCAGGCATTCCTCTATAGGTGATGTACTCTGTGCCTATCCTACTTGTCAATTATATAGAGGTATCAGCTTCTCCCTGAAGGTATAGTTTCCACAAGAGCAAGGTCTCTGTCTTATTTGTCACTGCATCTCTGCACCCAGCAAAGAGTAATTGTTGACCTGAACAGTCTCCAAGTCATGCGGTTGGCCCAGTCCTTGGCTGCTGCCTCACTCATGAGGCTCACTGGCCCTGAGTGCCCCCACACTCATAGTGCAAAGGCAGCTACAGCTGAACCAGGAGAAATCTGTCCTCTTCCTAGTGCCTCAACCTGGGACTCTACCCAGGGGACCTTTGGACATGATCCTAAGGGTAAGGAGTCAGGGGCTTCCCAATTTCTACCCCTGAACCAAACTTGATCCCCACTTCCGGTGGGCTCTGGGGAGGAGTAGAGTGGAAAAAGATGGGAAATTGTAGTCAGACCTGTGGTTAGACCCCTACTGCTATTTGATGGGACTCAGTCAGCTCACCCTGTTCCCTATTTGGAGACAGTTAGTTAATAGATGCTGAAGTCAGGAAGATGGAACTCAAAATACCAGCCTTGTTACTGAGAAACGCTAATTTGAAGGATCAGGGTAGGGGTGTGTGTGTGTGGGTGTGGGTGTGTGTGTGTGCACAACAATGGCTTTCTTATTCCAGTCTCCAACAAGAGGCAGACACAGACACACACAGTTACAGGTAACACTGCACCATAACCCCACCCAGGGCTAGGATCTCCACCCCGCCCCACCACCTCTATTTATGGCACAGAGCAGGATGATCTATGCAGACAAGGCTGATCCCAAAGAGAGACAAACTGAGCTGGCAGGTCCAATCCCAGGAAGTGGAGACAGACCCAGGATATTATTCTAACCCACCCACTTGGAAAGAAACATCAGGGATCCTTGCCATTCGACTGCCCTGCCAAGCCTCAGCTTCTTCATCAATAAAAGTGGGGATACTTGTGTCTATTTCTCTGGGTTGTGGTGAAGCAGAAAGGAGAGGCCCGTGTCCTCACCAGGCCTCGGACACAGTGGAGCCTCTTCATCACTGGCCACACCTCAGGATGGGGGGCCTTCAGAATGTCTCCCCTACTCTAAGAGTGAATTCCACCTGGAATCCAGAAGAACTTCCTGTGCTATCTCATTCATTCCCTGTTACTGTTGGTATGGACGTCTCTCTTCCTCATCATATCTGGCTGCTAGATACTGTCCCAAGCACCCCCCACCACCATGCACTACCGCACACTAACAGGTGCAATGAGACCCTTAGAATCAGTGCCTTCCTGTGGAGTATGAGTAGGGCAACTGGGAGGTAAAAATCCTACCAGGGGCCAGGCATGGTGGCTCATGCCTGTAATCCCAGCAATTGGGGAGGCTGAGAGGGGAGACCCTGTCTCTACTAAAAATGAAAAAAAAAAAAATTAGCTGGGCATGGTGGCATGTACCTGTGGTCTTAGCTACCGGGGAGGCAGGAGGACCCCTTGAGCCCAGGAGGTCAAAGCTGCAGTGAAACATGATCACAGCATTGAACTCCAGCCTGGGCAACAGAGTGAGACCTGTCTTTAAAAAAAAAGAAAAATCCCACCAGGGGATAGCATAGGTGAGGAGGTACTAAGTATGTGGATATGCAACTTGGCAGTGGGAAGAGAAAAGAGGAAATGATTTCAAGGGATATCCCAGGGAGGGGCTGAGAAGACTTGGTGATAGAGGGAAGGGGGCCCAAGGTGAGGAGGTGACTGAAGGGATGACAACCTCCCCACAATTGGAAAGTCAGAGTGGGGAGTTGTTTTGGGCACTGGTTGAGGGCAGGGATAAAGGGTTTGGTTTGGGTTGATTGGATTTTAGCGGTCAGCAGAATGAATGAGTGAAGATTTCCGTCAAGTATTCTGAGACATAGTTCTAAAAGTAGGGGAAAAGATGGGGCCTGTGGGAATTTGGAAGGCATTTCTGAAATATTTCTGTCTGAAGTGATGTCTTAGTCTACTCAGGCTGCCGTAACAGAATACTACAGAGGGGGTGGCTCAACCAACAGAAATGTGTTTGTCATAGTTCTGGAGGCTGAAGTCCAGCATCAAGGTGCTGCAGGCTTGGTTTATCTAGAGGCCTCTCTCCTTGGCTTGTGGGTGGCTGCCTTCTCGCTGTGTCCTCAGATGGCCTCTTGAGGCCTCTTTCTTTTCTTATAAGGACATGAGTCATATTGAGGGCCCCATCCAGTAGGCCTCACTTTATTTAATCACTTCTTTGAATGCAGTATCATCAAATGCACGAATTAGGGCCCACCTATATGGCCTCATTTAACTTTAGTCACCTCCATAAAAACCCTCTCTCCAAATATAGTCAGATTGGGGGTTAGGGCTTCAACATAGGAATCTGGGGAGACAGAATCCCGTTCATGTCAAGTTGTCTTCAATGTTATGTCTCTAACATAAATGTAACCTGAATATTCTCCAGCCTGCAGGACTTATCCTTTTTAAAATTCACAGCAGAATTCCAACTGCACCCCTCAGTAGGAAGCCCACTCTTCCTGGAGGCTCCCTCCCGGCTCGCTCCTGAGCCTCCTCCAGGACTGTCTGTATGTTCCCAGCAGCTACCCGGTCATCATGGTCATCTCTTGCTCAGACATCTGTGCCTCCGTTGGTTAGATCATGTGTATCTTCCTCAAGTTCTGCCCTTCCCCCTCCTTGATTTACCCAAAGCATGGACACAGCTTCTACCTCAATTCCATAAAATACAGCTTAGCAATAGACTTAAGTGTTCAAAAAGAGTCTAACAAGGGCTTGGCTCTTACATGATGCAGGAAAGACATATCTTATTATCTGTGTGACCTTGAGCAAGTTACCTGATCTCTCTGTACCTCAGTTTCCTTATCTGTAACGTGGATATACTAAAAGGACTTAGAGCTGTGAGGGTTAAATGTGCTCATTTATGTAAAATTAACAGCACTTTATAAGGATTAGCCTTTATTATTCTTGTTGTTCATGGTGATTGTGTAGTATTTCAGGAAAACTTAGGTCAAAATCAGATATCACTACCAGAATCCAAGAGCCATGCTTCTCCCAGGGGGCTCCTGTTGGCCGTCATTCTGTTGTGTTTCCAGAGTGAGTATCTTAAAATTGTTGAAGTTGAGAAAGCTGGCAGGTTCTCCAGTGGAAGTCCTTTGTCCCCATCCTGTCTGAGTCTCTGCCCTGCTTGAGTCCAGTCTGATTGGGGAGGGGACACTCAGCACCCTCCTCATCTCTGCAGATGTCCCGCTCTGCCCACAGGTCAGCACTCGCTGTCTCAAACACCTGCGCCCCTTGGTCAGGTCTTTCCCAACCACAGAGTGGGCTCTTGCCTAACACCCTCATGACAAAGAAAACAGGTTTCCTTCCAGAGCAAAGAGAGGGAAGCTAGTTCGGCCTTTACCCCAAAATGCAGAATCACTTGCAGTCTCTGAAATAACAGTTTTTCCAACTTTGACAATTTTAAGATACTCACTCTGGAAACAAAAACAGAAGCTTTCCTGTATGCATTTTTTTCCTACCACCCCAAGCACCAGGAGACAGAAGCAGAGCATTTTACCCATTCCATCATGCTGCAGGTGTGCGTGTTTACTTCTGGTGAACATACATAGGTCTTGAATTTCAGCAGCAAAGAAACAAGGAGTTGATGTGGATGGCCAGTGCAGGCATAGTGGAGACCCAATCCCCTTCACACATGACAAATGTGCTGCCATGTTCTGGGTGAAAACTCTAAGCTAAAAAGGGATTTATATATTTCTCAGTGATAATATTCTGTATTCACTGAAGGTCTGCTGTGAGCCAGAAAGTGTGCTATGCTATGAATGCGTTTCATCTCTGAATTTCCCAGGAGTAGGCATTAGTATCCTTAATTTACAGGTGAGGAGGTGTAGAGAAGTTAAGAAAGAACGCTCAAAGCCACAAAGATTGTAAAGGGCTGACTGAGAATTCAGATTGCTGTCTCTCTGACTGAGAAACCTTCCTTTTTCCTGATACATAACATTGTTTCACCTCCCATAAATCAGAGTGGAGCCATTTTCAAGCCACCTTGGACAAACGGCGACTCTAACGGCTACTCTGAAGATGTAGAAGTTAGTGACAAAGATTGAAGAAGACAAGACATTCCTTCCAGGATTTTTCTTGCAAATTTGAACAGCATCTTAGCTTATCTTTGCGTTTGCCTTTGTTGTGTCTCCTTGGGGACAGGAGAATTAATGTTCCCTTTCCTCTGTGCATGTAAATATTCCCTAATAAATTATACTTGTTGACAGTCTGAGAGAAAGTCTTTCATCATCCTACACAAGTTTGCTTAGGATAAAGCCACTAAACCGGTTCACACAGAGTGCACTGTAGAGGGAGGTACAGGTTTGATGGTTGCAGGTTTAAATGCCATCTTTAGGCAGATGATATGCAAATTTTCAGCTAAGTCTTCTGCTCTGAACTCTGGATCACATCTCTAGCTGGCTCTTTGATGCCTCTGCTTGGATATTTCACACTGCCTAAAATGTAATGTGTTTGAAATGAAACTTCTGATTTCATTCTTCCCCCTCCATAAACATGATCCTCCCCATTTTTTTTCTAATTTTAGCAGCTGAACCACCCTACACCAAGGAGACATTGAAGAGTTTTTAATGACATGACCAGATTTATTTATCATCCTGGCAACAATGCGTCATCAGGATTTTCACAAATGAGAGAAGTGAGTTGGTGGTTAGTAAGAAGGTCAATCTGTAAAGCTTTGTGACTGATTGAATGCCTTTTTAAAATCTTAACAAAAATTATATGTAAGTATAAGATAATGAAATGTGTTTATAGAAATTTCTGGCTGGGTGCAGTGGCTCATACTTGTAATCCCAGCACTTTGGGAGGCCAAGGTGGGCCAATCACTTGAGGTTAGGAGTTTGAGACCAGCCTGGCCAACATGGTGAAACTATATCTTTACTAAAAATACAAAAATTAGCTGGGTGTGGTGGCAGGCACCTATAATCTCAGCTACTTGGGACGCTGAGGCAGGAGAATCGCTTGAACCTGGGAGGCAGAGGTTGCAGTGAGTTGATATTGTGCCACTGACCTCCAGCCTGGGTGACAGAGTGAGACACCGTCTCAAAAAAAAAAAAAAAAAGAAAAGAAATTTATATTAAGTCTATCCATATGAAATAGTCGTTTATAGGTCAACAGATGTTGAAAAATGGCAATTTAATATGTTATGGCACAACAGACAGGCATCTCTGTCCCTCAAAAGTATTAAAATACCTAGTTTCGGTAAAAGCATCAGAAAACAAACATAATCATATGCTGCTGGTATAAGTTGTGGAAAGCTTTCTGCAAGGCAATCACATTCAAAATCTTGGAAGGGTAAAAATCTACAGTGTAATTTTACATCAGACAATATGAAAATATCAGTGTAAAAGGATATTCATTGCAGTGTTGTTTATGATAGGAAAAGTTGGAATTAATTCCAATGTTCATCTACAAGAGACTTTAAATGAGGGTCATCTGTTCCATGAAATAGCATATAACTATTAAGACAATAATGTAGCATTAAATCTCATGTCATGAAAAGCTGTCCACAACATATTGTTGAGCAAAAGGGCAAGACAGAAAACAGTATGTATAATATGATATCACTTTATTCAAAAATATAAGATTCTATATCTAATTATTATAATATGCAGAGAACATCACCTGGAAGAAGATATTTCTAAATATTAACAGAGGCTACATCTGGGTCCTGAGATTTTAGATCTTTCTTTATATATACTTTTTAGCATTTTCTAACAATTTTGGGACAGTTTATATTATTTTTGTAATCAGACAAAAGCTACATTCAAAAGAAAAAACCAACTAGCTAAAAAAAGAAGCATCAAAAGTATTTACATACATGGAGGAATGATCACTTGTTGGGGAAGATACTAGTGTTTAAGATGAAACCCCCTAATCTTTGATATTAGCAATGATGACACCTTCCTACATTTTTCATGATGCAAACATTACAGACAGAGAGTATGTTCTTCTAGAAGACAGTCCATGAGTGAACAATGATCGTACCACAGGTTTATACCAAACACAACTTCTAATGACCTCTGAAGATATCCGCGGGTATTTCCATTTTCTCACAGATCCAAATGTCTCTGTGGGTTGGATGCTCGCTGTGGATTTTAATACCATTAAACATCAATTCTAAGTTCTGAAGAAAGGCAGCTCTTTCCTCAACAATTTGGTTTTTTTTTTTTTTTTTTTTTTTTGATTCCTGATTTCCTAATTTCTAGTCTAACAGCATGTGACTTTGTTTGCCTAACTTGGGATTTGGGGGCTGAGTAGATCTAAGAGTGTGACAGAACCTTTTGTGAAACGAAAACCCCCCCTCAGAAAAAAAAAAAAAAACAGGGTTTCTTTTGTTGCTCAAGCTGGAGTGCAATCATGGTTCGCTGCAGCCTCCATCTACTGGGCTCCAGCAATCCTCCCACCTCAGCCTCCCGAGTAGCTGGAACCACAGGTGCATGCCTCCACACCCAGCTAAGTTTTGTGTATTTTGTAGAGATGGGGTCTTGTTATGTTTAGGCTGGTCCTGAACTCCTAAGCTCAAGTTATCCATGCGCCTCAGCCTCCCAAAGTGCTGGATTTATAGGCTTGAACCACCACACCTGGCTGAGAACCTCTTTGAATGTCAATGAGCATTTGTCTCAAATAGTCTTATTAGTCCATATCACCAACATTTTCTCATCTGGGAGTCCATGCCCTTTCTGCTGGCAAGGTGGTGTATATGTTGATGAGAGGGCATCTCCTTGGCAGTTCTCTCCAATAGGAATACGAGAGACACACATGTAATCAAAATTTTCCAGGAACCACATTACAAAAATAAATAAAAAGAAATAGATGGAATTGATTTTAATACTGTATTTTATTTAACCCAGTATGTCCAAAATGTTAGCTTTTTTTTTTTTTTTTTTTTTTTTTGAGACAGAGTCTAGTTCTGTCACCCAGGCTGGAGTGCAGTGGCATGATCTCTGCTCACTGCAACATCCGCCTCCCAGGTTCAAGCGATTCTCCAGTCTCAGCCTCCTGAGTAGCTGGGATTATAGGGGCCCGCCACCACACCCAGCTAATTTTTGTATTTTTAGTACAGATGTGGTTTCACTGCGTTGGCTAGGCTGGTCTCGAACTCCTGACCTCGTGATCCGCCCCCGTCAGCCTCCCAAAGTGCTGGGATTACAGGCGTGGGCCATTGCACCCGCCCCCAAAATGTTAGCATTTCAACATGTAATCACTACATACAATTACTGATATCGTTAACATTTTCATTAGCTTTATGTCTTAATCCTGCCATTACTTTAAACAATAGGCAAGCAAATACTTATAACTGTTTAATTCCCCTTCCCTTCTTAGATAAATGGTGGCATGCTGCTGTATTGCTCTGCATCTGGCTTTTTAACTTCATACATGTGGAAATCCCTCAACTGCAATATATAGATATCTTCATACATTTTTATAGCTGCAGAATACTGCATTGTGTGGGTGTTCCATTTCAACCAGTTTCCTACTAATGAGACTTAGGCTGTTTTCAGTCTTTCCTTATTACAGGTAGTTTTACAATAAGTAGCCTTAAACAAATGTCATTCATATTTTTGTCAGTATACTGTAAAGACTCTTTAGAACTTACAACTTTTGGGATTCTATGCCTAATATGTAAAAGATCTGAAAGAAATTCAGGATGTGACCTTGGCTCTCCAGCGGTTTATCAACAAAAAGAATAAAATGATGACATTTACACTTGTGTTTTGCATGAACTCTTGCCGTTGTTTCTCACCACTCAGAAACAATCTCAATAGGCTGGCATCATTTCTAACAAACTGTGGGAGGATATGGTCTAGATTTGCCCCTGTGAAGCTAGTAGGTCCTGGCCAGGCCTTTTAAGTGCAGTTTCTTCTTTGCCTCGAAAGGATTGTACTCCTCAGATGGGCCACCGCAATGGTATCACAAGGGAACTGAGCATGAATAAAGATAAGCCATTCTTTCATAATGTGTGGCCATCCAGTGCTGTGGCAGAGAAAAAAATTGTTTTTAAACAACATCAGACTGGCTTGCCTAAAGGTAAGTGTGCTGAAGGTTCAGGGACATGTGGTTGGGAATAGTAGAGTCTTGGACGTTTCTGAGTTTGGGCAAGGCCTCACTGTGGCCATCACCACCATCCAACCATAGGGTGGGAGACTCAACTGGGGAGACAGGAGAAGTCATCTCACTGAGCATCCCCTGGCCTCTTTACGGCAGGCCCTGCTGCCATTGTCTCCTTTCAGACTGGTGGAATAGCATATCAGTTACAGCATATGACTGTAACTGATCATTTTCACCAGCAGACCTTAAATCCAGCACTCAGGAACCACTGCAGAAATCTCAGCACATCACTGGTGCTGGAAAGTTAATAATAGTAACAAAATTGTGGGCACTAGAACTTTGTATTAAGCAGAAATTAAATTGACTTAACGAATCCCAAACAGTAGCAAATTTTTCATTGCGTATCCCTCTATTGAAGAACTTTTGAATATTTCCAAAATTTGACAATCCTAGGTAGAGGACACTGGCGGGGGAAGAAAGTCTTGGCCAAGTGTTTCTCCATTATTGCAACAACCCTCAGAAGACACTAATCTCCCTTCCAGAACATCACACCACTGAGAAGGGAGCCAGTGGTTGCTTTGAGCCAATAAAAGGATAATTCTCCTTCTGTCTGATTTATCTTTACTCTAAGCTTTTGAAGGGGAAGGAATTCTTATGATCCTGGAAAAGTGCCACTTAGGACTACATTTTAATTCTTTAGGACGGTTTGAAGTAAGGACCTCAAGGGTTGAAATAGCTGTCCTTATACACTAATTATAGTTAATAGTTGAGAGGAGATAGGCTATTAAAGCAGTGGAAGCTGGAAGACAGCCCACAAACAAATTTTAAAAGTTCACACCACTGCACTGCAGCCTGGGTGAAAGAGCAAGACCCTGTCCAAAAAGAAATAAATGAAATGAAAGTTGTTCATTGACTCTTGAATAGGTGGAGTTTTTTTCTTTTCTTTTCTTTTCTTTTTAAGTTCCTCCTTGGAAAGTCCTGAGCTCAGATTTTAAAATAAATTTCCAGATATATCTCAGCTAGTCCCAGCTCCCTCTGCTTGTAAAGTCACATGGCCTTGAGAAATGTCTTGGTACTGGAGTTGGTAGGAATTTACTTCTTCTATCTGTGAGATGATTTGAGCTGACTTTGGAGCCCAAGTGGTTTGCGTGGATTGAGACCAAAGACATGTTTGAGTCAACGAACTGGTAAGTAGTCACTGGCTCTAAACCTGAAAACTCCAGAAGGTGCTGCCGTCTTTGAGGAAATTTGCCTACAGACCAATACGCCAAGAGATCCTTTCCCAAGAGGGGCTCTAGCTCGGGGCAAAGGGAAACTTTTGCCGTAGGAGATGTTACACAAGAATCCAAGAGTCACCTCTGCTTAGGTTTCTACTGGAATGCATTTATCCAGTAAATATTTCCAAAGTGAAGTCATGATATTAACATTTTGGCCTTTTCTAGTGTGTTGGCTAGAAACACAAGAAACCATATGCACCTCCAAGTGTCCTCGTTCCTTCGGTTGGAGGGTTCTTGGGGCAATGGGTAAGCAATGGCTGTTTTTGAATGTGCCCAATCTGCCAAGGGACAAACAATGGATGCAAATGTGGTAGGGAGGTACAGCATAGGATAGTTCTGCCTGTGGTATAGGTAGGATGCCGACAATTTTAATGCAGACAAAGGGAGAAAATCTACATCATGGTGGTGTACCCTTCAGGAAACGTGTCATACCTCTCATGGGAAGTTCATGGCTATGGGGGCTTTGGAAGCACCCATCTAGGAGACATTTATGGAAAGATTGCATCTTGACCCTTTGAAACTTCTCATGCACCTGCTGAGGGGAATAAAAAACCCCAAAAGCTTTGTAAAATATTTAAAGAGGTTTATTCTGAGCCAATAGGAGTGACCATGGCCCACGGAACCATCTCAAGAGGTCCTGAGAAAGTGTGCCTGAGGAGACTGGGTTACAATTTGGCTTTATACATCTTAGGAAGTCAGGAATTACAGGTAAAATCATAAGTCAGTATGAGGAAGGTGTATTTTTGTTCAGCCTAAAGAGGCAGGATATCTTTTCTTGAGCTAAGATAAGGGGAGTTGTGGAGCCCAAGGCTCTTGTTATGTAGATGAAACTCACAGGCAGCCACCTGCAGAGAAAATAGATGGTAAGTGTCTCTTTTTGGACCTTAACGGTGTCACACTCTCATTTAATCTCCTAGATCTGGGAAAGGACTAGAAAGGGGAAATATGGCTGCATTAATGGAGATTCTATAACAGATGCAAATTTCCCCCCACAAAAGATGGCGTTGCAGGGCCATTTCAAATATGTCACAGGAATATATTTTGGGGTAAAATATTTTAATTTGCTTCAGGGTCTGCTATCTGTCATGTAAGGTTACACCAGACTCAGGTTGGAATGTGGCATCTTATTTCTAAAAAGTCTGTTTTGTCAGCCTCATGACCTCTATGTTAATGGTAATGCTGGTCAGTTATGCCTACTCTCCAAAGGGAGGGGTACAACAGCACATGTCTGATCTGCCTTCCTGTCATGGCTGGGAGTTCAGTTTTTCAGGTTTTTCTGGGGTCCCCTTGGCAAAGAGGGGCATCTCTTCAGTAGGTTAAGGGGTTTAAGATTTTACTTTCGGTTTACACACCTGAGTTCACTGGATTGGCCAATGCTGCATCACTTTGTGCGGACATAGGCTCTAAGAAGACATGTGCACAATGGTGCTAGATCTTTGCAGAATCAGATGCCTGGGTGAGGTGGCTCATGCCTGTAATCCCAGCACTTTGGGAGGCCAAGGCAGGTGGAACACCTGAGGTCAGAAGTTCGAGACCAGCCTGGCCAACACGGTGAATTTTTATATTCACTAAAAATACAAAAATTAGCCGAGCATGGTGGTGTGCATCTATAATCCCAGCTGCTTGGGAGGCTGAAGAAGGAGAATCACTTGAACCTAGGAGGCAGAGGTTGCAGTGATCCAAGATCATGCCACTACACTCCAGTCTGGGTGACAGAGTGACACTCCCTCTCAAAAAAAAAAAAAAAAGAGAGAGAGAATCGGGTGCATGGGTGCCACCTGTTCTGTCTTTTGATGGTATTTCCCAACTCCTGAAGAATAAGGAGCACACTTAAAAAAATTTTTTTTTTAATTTTTTTAGTATTTATTGATCATTCTTGGGTGTTTCTCGGAGAGGGGGATTTGGCAGGGTCATAGGACAATAGTGGAGGGAAGGTCAGCAGATAAACCTGTAAGGACTCTGGTTTTCCTAGGCAGAGGGCCCTGCCGCCTTCCGCAGTGTTTGTGTCCCTGGGTACTTGAGATTAGGGAGTGGTGATGACTCTTAAGGAGCATGCTGCCTTCAAGCATCTGTTTAACAAAGCACATCTTGCACCGCCCTTAATCCATTTAACCCTTAGTGGACACAGAAGATGTTTCAGAGAGCACGGGGTTGGGAGTAAGGTTATAGATTAACAGCACCCCAAGGCAGAAGAATTTTTCTTAGTACAGAACAAAATGGAGTCTCCTATGTCTACTTCTTTCTACACAGACACAGTAACAATCTGATCTCTTTCTTTTCCCCACATTTCCCCCTTTTCTATTCGACAAAACCGCCATCGTCATCATGGCCCGTTCTCAATGAGCTGTTGGGTACACCTCCCAGACGGCGTGGCAGCCGGGCAGAGGGGCTCCTCACTTCCCAGACGGGGCGGCCGGGCAGAGGCGCCCCCCACCTCCCAGACGGGGCGGCTGGCCGGGTGGGGGCTGCCCCCCACCTCCCGGACGGGGCGGCTGGCCGGGCGGAGACACTCCTCACTTCCCAGACGGGGCGGCTGCCGGGCGGAGGGGCTCCTCACTTCTCAGACGGGGCGGCCGGTCAGAGACGCTCCTCACTTCCCAGATGGGGTGGCCGCGGGGCAGAGACACTCCTCAGTTCCCAGACGGGGTCGCGGCCGGGCAGAGACGCTCCCCACCTCCCAGACGGGATGGCGGCCGGGCAGAGGCTGCAATCTCGGCACTTTGGGAGGCCAAGGCAGGTGGCTGGGAGGTGGAGGTTGTAGCAAGCCAAGATCACGCCACTGCACTCCAGCCTGGGCAACATTGAGCACTGAGTGAGCGAGACTCCGTCTGCAATCCCGGCACCTCAGGAGGCCGAGGCTGGCAGATCACTCGCGGTCAGGAGCTGGAGACCAGCTGGGCCAACACGGCGAAACCCCGTCTCCACCAAAAAATACGAAAACCAGTCAGGCGTGGCGGCGTGCGCCTGCAATCCCAGGCACTCGGCAGGCTGAGGCAGGAGAATCAGGCAGGGAGGTTGCAGTGAGTCGAGATGGCGGCAGTACAGTCCAGCCTCGGCTCGGCATCAGAGGGAGACCGTGCAAAGACGGAGAGGGAGAGGGGGAGGGGGAGGGGGAGGGGAGGGAGAGGTAAAAAATTTTTTTAATTTTTTATTTTTGTAGCTACATAATAGGTGTATATATTTATGGGTTACATGGGATATTTCAGCACAGGCATGTAATGTGTAATAATTACATCAGTACAAATGGGGTATCCATCACCTTAAGCACTTCTTTTTTTGTGTTACAAACAATCTAATTATACTCTTTTCGTTATGTATTTATTTATTTTTATTTATTTATTTATCTATTTATTTTATTTATTTATTTATTTTTTGAGACGGAGTCTTGCTGTGTCACCCAGGCTGGAGTGTAGTGGCCCTATCTCGGCTCACTGCAACCTCTGCCTCCCAGGTTCACGCCATTCTCCTGCCTCAGCCTCCCGAGTAGCTGGGACTACAGGCACCCGCCACCACGCCCAGCTAATTTTTTGTGTTTTTAGTAGAGACGGGGTTTCATTGTGTTAGCCAGGATGGTCTCGATCTCCTGACCTCGTGATCCACCCGCCTCTGACTCCCAAAGTGCTGGGATTACAGGCGTGAGCCACCATGCCAGGACTATTATTTATTTTTTTGAAACAAAGTTTGGCTCTGTCGCCCAGGCTGGAGTGCAATGGCTCGATCTCAGCTCACTGCAAACTCCGCCTCCCAGGTTCAAGTGATTCTCCTGCCTCAACCTCCCGAGTAGCTGGGATTACAGGCATGCACCACCATGCCTGGCTAATTTTTGTATTTTTATTAGAGATGGGGTTTCACTATGTTGGCCAGGCTAGTCTCAAACTCCTGAACTCAGGTGATCCGCCTGGCTTGGCCTCCCAAAATGCTGGGATTACAGGCATGAGCCACCGTTCCTGACCTATCTTTTAGTTATTTTTAAATCTACGATTAAATTATTTTTGACTATAGTCACTCAGTTGTACTAGCAAATACTGGGTCTTATTCATTCTTTCTAACTGTATTTTTGTACCTATTAACCATCCCATTTCCCCTCCCCTCCCTCACTACCCTTTCCAGCCTTTGGTAACCATCTTTTCACTCTCTATCTCCATCAGTTCAATTATTTTAATTTTTAGCTCCCACAAATAAGTGAGAACATGCCAAGTTTGACTTTCTGTCCCTGGCTTATTTCACATAACACAATGTCCTCCAGTTCCAACCATGTTCTTGCAAATGACAGGATCTCATTCATTTTATGGCTGAATAGTACTCTGTTGTATATATGTACCACATTTTCTTTATCCATTAGTCTGTTGATGGACACTTAGGCTGCTTCCAAATCTTAGCTATTGTAAATAGTGCTGCAATAAACATGGGAGTGCAGACATCTCTTTGATATTCTGATTTTCTTTCTTTGGGGTATATATGTAGCAGTGGGATTGCTGGATCGTATGGTAGCTCTAATTTTAGTTTTTTGAGGAAATTCCAAACTGTTCTGAATAATGGTTGTACTAATTTACATTTTAACCAACAGTGTATGAGGGTTCCCTTTTCTTCACATCATCAACAGCATTTGTTATTGCCTGACTTTTGGATAAAAGCCATTTTAACTGGTGTGAGATGATATCTCATTGTAGTTTTGATTTGCATTTCTCTGATGATCAGTGACGTTGAGCACCTTTTCATATACCTGTTTGCCATTTGTATGTCTTTTTTTGAGAAATGTCTATTCTTTTCTTTGGCCTATTTTTAAATTGAATTATTATATTTTTTCCTATAAAGCTGTTTGAGCTCTTACGTATTCTGGTTAATAATCCTTTTTCAGGTGGGTGGTTTGCAGTCTTCCTCTCCTTCTGTGGCTGTCTCTTCACTTTGTTGATTGCTTCCTTTGCTGAGGAGCACCCTTCTTTTATCATGGGCCAGCAAGATGGGACAGCCCCAGTGTTAGTTTTATTTCTTTAAACAACACCAGCCTCTGTGGACACGGGAGGTGGAGCTTGCAGTGAGCTGAGATCGTGCCACTGCACTCCGGCCTGGGCGACAGAGTGAGACTCCGTCTCAAACAACAACAACAACAACAAAAACAACGCCAGCCTCTGGCCATCCCAGAGGAACTCTACTCCTAGGAGAACACTCAGAAGAAATACTCAAAAAATATGCATTTTGCAAAGAAAAAATAGCCCAACTCCATGCTTCAAGAATCACTAAAAGCAGTAAGTCAACAGTTAACCTAGAATATTTAACTGTAAAATAAACCTGTTTGATGAGTAATCCGATAAATTTTAATTGATGTGTAAGATTTGGGGAAAGTATAGGTGCTTTTGTCTGAGAAGAGTTCATTTCTATGTTAAGATAAAATCTCATGCTTTCAGAAAATTTAAAGACTGTTGGCATGTTTTAGTTTTTAGCCTTCTATAATTTTTATATCAAATACTTAGGGTTTATATGTATTGTCATTATTCCCATTGTAACCCCAGCCAGTTCTATATTTGATAGCTATTATATATGAAGTAGTTTTAAAAAAATTGTCTGGAATCTGGTAATTGACAGAGGTTCCTACATGATCACATTAAAAAAAAAATCACTAAACTCCATTTTTTGGGGTTTGCACTAGGAGAACACAGAGAAGGCATGATTTAAAATGTAATCATTACACACAGTGTGTTTCAAGGTGGGGCAACATGGAAAGATTACTCCTAGATGGTCACACTTTAACAAAATATAAATATACATGAAGACCCCAAATCCAGTATTGTACATTGCAATGCACCAAGAAGTCTGTACTTTAACATATAATGAGTATATGTAGGTTTTTTTTTTCTTAAAAGGGTAAGTGGTGTCCTTTTTCCTTCCCTTCCTTCCTTCCTTCCTTCCTTCCTTCCTTCCTTCCTTCCTTCCTTCCTTCCTTCTTTCCTTCCTCCCTCCTCTCTTTCTCTCTTTCTCTCTATCTCTCTTTCTTTCTCTTTTTCTTTCTTTCGTCACACAAAATGATTTCATCTTGCAACAATGGTCTCTTCTTTTGAAGTAGGTTTTCTTGGGGAATGTGCCTGATATAGTTTGGTTGTGTGTCCCTGCCCAAACCTCAGATTGACATGTAATCCCCATTGTTGGAGGTGGGGCCTGGTGGGAGGTGATTGGATCATGGGGCAGATACCTCATGAATGATTTGGCACTGTTCTCTTCATGCTGTCCTTGCCCTAGTGAGTGAATTCTCTGGGGATCTCGTTTAAAAGTGTGTGGCACCCCCGTCTCGCTGTTGCTCCTGCTTGCATCATGTGACGTGCCTGCTTCCCCTTTACATGCTGCCAAGATTGGAAGCTTCCTGAGGCCTCCTCAGAAGTAGATGCCGCTATGCTTCCTATACAGCCTGCAGAACTGTTTTCTTTATAAATTACCCAACCTCGTGTTTTTCTTTCTAGCAATGAATGGCCTGATGCAGTGCCTTGCTTTATTCTCTCCATCCCTGTGGATTTTTAACTTTGCTGCCATGCCACTGTTCTGAGCACAGTTCAAGCAGACAGACTTCTTTTCCCTCAAACTCAAAGTGCCTTCCACTTTTTATGAACTATGGGAGTTTATGTACAGCTTCAGTAGATTAACACATACATTTTTTAACAAGTAAAGTTCATATACTGGATAAACCCATTTTTGTTCTGCACTGGAAACACTGAAGGGGCACATTTGGCAGACTAATGTGCTGACATGGTCCCCTGTCCTTGCAGCCCTGAGCCAGGGCATTGCTCCCTCATCAAACAGGTAGACAACTGAAGACATTCACCATTCAGCCTCATCTCTTTTAATGTTAATCAGCTCAAAATATACTAACACTATTAATATTAATAACAGTATTAATTAACACTATTAGTATTAACGTTATTAGCAACACTATTAATATTATCATTAATAGTATCATTATTAATAGTATGAATGTTAGTGTTAATAATATTTAATATCATAATATTAAATGATATTTAATAGTTAATTAAATAATATTTAATACTACAATATTTAATATATAATATTAATTATATTATATATTAATTATATAATTATATATTAATTATATAATATTAACATATAATTATATATTATTATATAAGATTGATTATATAATTATATATAATTATATAACATTATAAATATATAATTATGTATAATTATATAACATTATAAATATTATATAATTATATTATTATAATTAATAGTATTAGTAATAGCATTAATAACATGATTAGTATTAATTAATAGTATTAATAACACTGTTAATAGTATTAATAACACTATTTGTATTAATAGTATTATAATACTAATTAATAGTACTCATAACACTATTAGTGTTAATAGTGTTAGTATATTTTGAGCTGATTAACATTAAACGAGGCAAAGATGAATGGGGAATGTCCCAGTCTTCTCCATTAACAAGACTTCTATTTATTTTTCTTCCTCTTTCTTTAAACCAACTACTCTGTGTGTGTGTGTGTGTGTGTGTGTGTGTGTGTGTGTGAGAGAGAGAGAGAGAGAGAGATTAGGCATCAGAAAGGATAAACACAGAAATGGACTTGTAGAATTGTGTACAGGTCCAAGGAGTGCCAGGGAAGAAATTGTCAGTTCTCCTGGGAGGGAAAGATGTGTCATCTGGGGGCTGTTGAGGATGGACTCTAGTGTATTTTAGAAGATGAGTGGTTGTATTTCCCCTCAGAAGGAATAACATGGGTAAAGTCCTAGAGGTTGAAACAAAGTGGCCTTCACCAAAATAGGATTATATGATACACAATATCACTTTTTTCACTGAACAGTATGTCATGCAGTCTTTCCTCCAACAGTTCAAATAGACCTGTCTCTTTCTTTTTAATAGTCGCACATTATCACATATGTGGATTTGCCATAAGTTGAGTGCCCAATTCCCTATGGCTAGACTTTAGGTTGTTTTCAATTGTTATAAACAATTGATCATTTAAGAAACATCCCTGGAAGAGAAATTGCTGAGACACAAGGTACCCACATGCTAAATATATTTTGATATATATTGCTGACGGGCCTCCACAAAAGATATACAAATTTATACCTCCCTCAGTAGTACATGAAAGCGTTTCTTTGCATGCCTACAACACTATGAATGCTACCTTTATCTTTGCCAATCATTTCAATAATGATCTTTATTTTGCTTTTCTTTAAATGTGTTTTTCTAGATTACTATTGAGATTGAGCATCTTTTCATATGTTTATTGAACGGTGGTATACTTCTTTTAGGGAACTGACCATTTTTGACTTTTGTCTATTTTTAAATTAGAATGTCATCTTTTGATTGTTTAATAGAAATATTTTGTCTACCATATATGCTGCTCATATATGGTAGAAAAAAATCTCATATATTTTTTTCAATTTGATCTTTTTCTTTTGATTTTGTTTATAGAATTTTTGACTGTGCCTAAATTTAAAATGTTTATGAAATCAATTCTGTTAGCATTAAATAATTTTAAAAAAACCTACTCACCATGGGAAATTGCAAAAATGGCTATAGTTTTTCATTCTCTGTATCCATGCCCAGTAATACAACTTTGCTGCTTTGTCCATCAAAAGATGCCACCCATCTCCCTGTATGTGGCCTCCATTGGCCAGTGAGTGGCCTGTGGTAGAAGAGATAGTGTGCACCATTTGCTTCTTTCCAATAAGCCAGCCTAGATTTTCATAAGGCACTGCCAATTTGACCACCTTCCATTGGCCAGTGCAGACTGACTTATTGGAAAATAAAAGGCATGTGGCCCAGTCATTCTCATGCCAGTATCCAGCCAACCAGAAGACACAGTGGGTTAGGCCATCCTAGATAGCCTGCTGACCACATCCACCTGCAGACCACAGCCTTGTGAGCAAGCCCACCTGTGGTCAGCCCCATCTGGCCCAGAACAACAGAACTGCCCAGAGGACCTGTAGACTTGTGAGCAACAATAATTATAATTGTAAGGCACTGTTTTAGGGGAAGTTTGCTATGAGGCAGTAAACTGATTCATCTATATTTTCTTCTAACATGAGGTTTTATTTTGGGATTTTTGGTTCTTAACTCTTTAACCCATATGAAGTTTACTTTTTGTGCATGATGTGTGTATTAATTCATTTTCACACTGCTGATAAAGACATACCCGAGAATGGGTAATTTAAAGAAAAAGGAAAAAGAATTTAAAGGACTTACAGTTCCATGTGGCTGGCAAGGCCTCACAATCATGGCAGAAGGCAAGGAGGAGCAAGTCACGTCTTACATGGATGGCAGGAGGCAAAGAGAGAGAGCTTGTGCAGGGAAATTCCAGTTTTTAAAACCATTGGATCTCATGAGACTTACTCACTGTCACAAGAACAGCATGGGAAATACCTGACCCCATGATTCAATTACCTCCAACTGGGTCCCTCCCACACTTGTGGGAATTCAAGATGAGATTTGGGTGGGGACACAGCCAAACCATATCAGTGTTTTAAGGGGTCTTTATTTCTTTTGCTAAATGTATAGCCAATTTTCTCTCAATTTTTAAAAAAATTTTTTAACTTTTATTTTAGGTTCAGGAGTACACATGCAGGTTTGTAAATACAGGCAAACTCGTTTCACAGGGTTTTGGTGTACAGACCATTTCGTCACCCAAGGCAAATTTTCTCAACATTATTGATTGAAGTTTCTTCTGCCACCAATTTGAAATGTCTTGGTTTTCATGAGCTAAATTCCCATATACACAAGGGTTTCCTTCTAGAGTCTGTAATATGTTCCACTGATTTATTTTCTTATTTCTGTGCCAATAACACAATGCTTATTACTTAATTTTAGAGTATGACTTGATATCTAGAGTCCTCCTAGGGAATAATGTAAGAAGCCAATTGTTATAATTCAAGGGAAGGGATATCATCTTAAATAGTTTTGTATTCCCCCCAGAATCCAGCTAACTTGTGTGAACATGGTGGCGATTGCCAAATATTTTTTGAAAGAGGAAACATTTGGTCTTCAATATCCTAGAAATAAATCCAGGAGGCTTGCGGTTTACAAGGATGACATTTATAGTTCTTATCTCTTGTTATCTTCACAACAACTCTCTAAGTATGAGGTAAGCAGCCTGAGAAAGGCTACATCAGCATGACCATGGAGGAGGAAGAAGAGGAGGAGGTGAAAGCTAACGTAACTGAGTGTTTACTCTGTGTTGGGTCCTAAACACTGTACATGCCTTACCTTATTTAACTCTCTTAACAGAGAGGTGAGGTTAGTACCATCTTTATATCCATTTTTCAGAAAAGAAAGTGAGATTCAAAAGAAGTGACTAGACCAAAGACACACAGTAAATGAGAGAGTCAATATTCTTTTATTTTTGAGACAGAGTCTCACTCCGTTGCCCAGGCTGGAGTGCAGTAGCTCGATCTCGGCTCACCGCAACCTCCGCCTCCCGGGTTCATGCCATTCTCCTGCCTCAGCCTCCCGAGTAGCTGGGACTATAGGCACCTGCAACCACACTCGGCTAATTTTTGCATTTTTTGTAGAGATGGGGTTTTGCCATGTTGGCCAGGCTGGTTTCGAACTTCTGACCTCAGGAGATCCACCTGCCTCAGCCTCCCAAAGTGATGGGATTACAGGCGTGAGCCACCGTGGCTGGCCGAGAAAGTCAATGTTATAAATGCCTGTTAACACAGAAGCAAACACACAAAAATAACAGTGAAAGAAAATACTTCTAAAGGTCAGCAGTAGCTTTCTCTGGACAGTGGAATGACGGCAATCTATGTTTTCTTCTGGACTTTTTTTCTATTGTCCAAATTTGCCCCAGAGCTTTCTTTCTCACACTTAGCCTGGCTTGGTTGGGGTCACCGAGCTAGGAGAAGTGAGCAAAGGTCCATGTGAGTAATCTCCATCCTTCCGTATTATTACCCAGCTTGCATCTTCATGTCCTCCGATGTGCACTTTGCACTGAAACGTTGCACCCCTGCGTGGGATCCTACCTTGGGGTGACTCTAGTCCTTACCTTTATAGGGACAAAACCAGATCAACAAAGGAATTTCATCCAAGAAGCATTAGATCCTAAGCAGCTGACAAAGATGTTTGGAAGGCATAGAAATAATTCATTTTTACTCCCTTTTCCTTTTCTGCTCCTCAGCCCCTCTCTGCTGCATATGTGTGAACAAGTTTCGGCATCGATGTTTTCTGGCCACATTAGTTTTATGGTAATAGTAGGAAATAAGGCTTGGATTGTGACTATAGGGACAGTGAAGGTAGCCTCTAGCAAATGGTAAAGCAGAAAAGAACTTCTGAAAATACGAAGAAATGGGAAAGAGATAATAACTTGAGTGATCCAGGGGAAAGAAAGAAAGAAAAGGAAGAAAGGAGAGACTAAAAAAGTGAAATAAATAAAAGTCATAAATCAATGGAAGGAATAATATTCAGCTTATTGGTAGTTCCATTAAATGTAAACGGGCTGAATTATTCTACTAAAGGACAGACCACGACAGACATATATATGAAAAAAAAGAATAAATAAATATTTTATTTCATATATATTTCATTTATATATGTCAAGTAATAAAATTGCCACTCGTATTCAGTGCTGATGAGGATCAGGAAGAAATCATTATCATACATAGCAGGTGAAAGTATAAATTGTTACGTTTCTTTTGAAAAGCAATCTGGCAAGATAAGCAAATAGAATTAAAATAATTGAACCAGCACACAATTCTTTATTTATGAAATTACTCTATAGAATATAAACGTAGGTCCCCCAGGATATATGTGAAAATATGTTGAAGCATTAGCTGTAGTTGCAAAAGAGTGCAAAAAGTTGAAGTCCCATCAATAGGAAAAAGATTGAATAAACAGGGACATATCCATGCCATAGAAGCTGTTGAAAATGCTGGCATTTTACAATTATATTTATTGTGATGGTTTTCATACTGGTGAACTCTGAAAACCATCTAAAACTTTAACCATATGGTTTGTAGTAATTAATTATGTACAGCCAGCAAATAAAACCCTCTGTAGCCATAAAAATTCGCTGGACATACTCCCAGCAACTTAGGAGGCTGAGTTGGGAGGACTGCTTGAGCCCAAGAGCTCAAGACCACTCTGGGAAACACAGCAAGACCCTGTCTCGAGAGAGAGAAGAAAAAAAGGCATGTAAGTATAGCTATTTTCATGTGGTGTTTAGAGTGTCTCTTGTTAAAGTGAAAATCAGTTTACAAAATAGCAGTTATTTTTATTTAAATCTCAAAGTCTTATAGGACTATCAGATGCTGTATAAATATAGTGAAGACTATCAAAAATCAATCACAATTTAATCCTAAATAGCATATTCATAAAATCATTTCAGTTAAAATTGGTCAATAAACAGAAATGCTCCGTTTTATCAAAAAGATCCAACACTGCCTCAAGGTTCTTAGAAATTTTTAGTAAGATAAGAAAATGAAATTACATTATAAACATTGAAAACTAGAGCTTACTGATTATACTACCATGTAGCTATAAACATCTGAGACTAATAATTGAATTAATAAAAATCATGTTAGGTTTTTAGATATAACCTAAATATTCAAAATCAATATTCCCCCACCTCCAATTTAATCAAAAAGCACCAAAAAGAAATGGCTAAAATATCCCACTTATCATACAGACAGAAACCCTAAAACATAGAGGAGTAACAAAAATACACTGGATTTCAAAGAAGAAAACAATAAAATCTTATTAAAGGACATGAAAGAGTTTCCAAACTAGTAGAAAAATGTTACATATTCCTGGGTGGGAAGCCTTACTACAATAAAAATATTGATATCCCTAAATTAGCATTTGGACATAATGCAATTCCAGTTAGAATTCCATCAAATATTTAAATTAGATTAAAGGATCTTAAAATTTATAGAGGAGAATAACTATCTGTGGTCAAGATACTTTAGAAAAATAATTGCCTTACCAAATATGGGAAAACTCTAAAGCATTGTAATCGCATCAATAGGGTATTCATCTAGGAATAAATAAATAAGAGTGAGACAGAAAGAAGAATGCAAAAATAAAGGCAAATAAATAGAGCATAGCTAATAATTTAAGTGAGATTTAAATTTAGTGGGAAAAGAATGGATTATTTAAAATAAGCACTGCTACTATCTGTAAAATAAAATTGGGCGCCTACTTACTTCATATAAAAAATAAATTCCAGATGGCTTATAGACTGAATGCCAAAAGAAGTAAATAAATAAAATAAGCAATAATTTCTGCAGAAAAATCTAGGAAAATCTGTCTAATATTGGGAGAGGAAGATGTTATTAACAAAGACTAGAAACTCAGAAGGTAGAAAATTAAAAACACATATTTGACCCATACAAATTGTACACTTTTAAAAACGGACAAAACAGCAGATCTGGAAAAATACTTCTAAGGCAGAGAATAGTGTCTTACAATATCTGTAATACACAAAAAGATCTCAGGAATTGATGAAAAGGGAAATGCACTCTAACAGAAAAGTGAGTAAAGAAGATGAATAATCACTTCACAAGAATAAATCCACACAGCTAAGATGAATATGGAAAATGATCAAACCACTAATTGTCAGGGGGAGTCAAATTATAATAACAAGTCACCTTTCATCCATACAGGCATGTTTATGTGTGTGGGTGTGTGGAATTAGATAAACTTAGAAAAGTATGGAAAGATAATTATGAGGTTGTCTGAGTAGTTCATATGAGATGATGGGTTAAAAGGTGGGATGGAGAATCAAAGGAAAAAAGTAAAGAAAAAAGACTAAATTTGAAAACACTGCATTTAAGTAAATTACATCTATTTCTTGAATAAAAAATGTTTAAAGATTAAATCAATAAGCGTCTCTAAGAAGTACAGTGTTAAGGCCTCAGGCCCCGGCACCAGGCCCCTTATTGACCTTGACCCCTCATGGTCTATGTGACCTTGGGCAATTCATTCATGCAACAGAAAATGGGGATAATAATGGCACATATTCATATGATTGTTTTTAGGATAGGTTGAAATTATAAACTTAATTGACTTGTCACAGTTCCAAGTACTGTGCGTAATAAATGCATTGCAAATGTCAGCTACCATTATTACCGAACAAGTGTAATCTTGAACAAAGACTTACTGTACTTTTTAAAGCAACTTACTTGATGAAAGTTAGCATATGTTTACAAATTCTTTTCTCTTCCATCAAAGAAATGGAGACTGAGGACTAGAAATGATAAAAACGAAATGCTAGGACCCGCCACCAATTGTAGAATTCACATAAATGATGACAAAACTGCTCCAAAATTATAATGGAAGTCAATGAGAAGATAAGAGAATAAAAACTTAATTTTCTGCAACTTTCCAAAATCATAACTATTTTTTAAAGTAAGGAACATCTGCTCAATACTGAAAATTATAGTTTCTTTTAGCAACAGAAATTAGTACAGTATCCTATCATCATTAATGCTCCTGTAAGCTCCTTCCCTGTCACCTGGACTGCCTGACTTGGTAGCGCCTGCTATTTATGCCCCAGCCACTTAACTGCTTAGCAGTTTTCCTTACTGTAAAAGTACAAGAACCCACTTAGCACAGCCCAAACCTTCTTCATGGTGTGCAACAATCTCATGGCATCTCCTACAAGTTTCCTAGTTATCCCAAATTAGCCATTTATCCATAGACAGTGTCAGTTCTCAAGCTTTAATAAGAATCATTGGTAAGCGTGTTAAATACAGATTCCTGGGCAATCACTGTAAACACTGGATTTTGTAAGTCTGTGGTGGAGCACAGGAATCTGTGTTTTTCAACAGATCACTTAGGAGATTCTCATACAAGTGATCCAATGACTGCACTTGGAAATGACTGCACTGCTTTAAGAATAGTGTAAACCTTGGAGCCTATTAGACATGCAGAATCTGGGGCCTTACCTAGGACCTGCTGAATTAGAACCTACATTTTAACAAGATCTCCAGGCGACTCATGTGCCTGTTAAGTTTTGAGAAGCACGTTAATTTTGAAAGAACATCCTCATTGTCTGAAATAACCTGGAAGAGTAAGTAGAGTCTTTCAGTTCCAAAGGTGTTCAGTTCAGTTCTAAAGAATCGCACGGAAGAATCACACAGAAGAAATGCATGGACTACATATTTTAGTAAGAGTTTTATCATTGCTTTCAGGTTTTAATTCAGTTTTACAGTTCTTGTTGAGAAATACCGTATACTAAACCTCATTCTCCAATTTGGTTGCCTTCTCGAGGACATAAGGGTTTCTTGCTGAGCTCTTTTTATCCTCTGTTTTACACAATTATTTTGGGAGGTTGCTGGCTCACCAGGGAAATAATGTGCTATTTTCTATACAATATAATTTTCCTAACTCTACATTTTACATATCGGGTTCATGCCCTCACTAAATTCAAACATTTTATTTGTTTGCTTAAGGCAAGACATTGGGGTCATTCCCCAAACAAGTATCTCATCTGATGAAATCAGGAAGGTGCTTCTGGTGTCAAAGGGAAGTGTCTCATCTCCAGGGAGGGACTCCAACTTTTTGGCCGGGGGAGCAAGAACATCTGTTTCAGTCGTGATCCGTCCTGTTGGCTGAGCTGTCGGTGGGGGTGTTTGGGATGCAGCCCTGGACCTTCATCGGAAGACACTGCTGTGGTCATCAAAGGATATTTGCCATGGAATCCAGGACACACCCATAGGGAATAAATACACAGTTATGAAAAAATGATTACCAATAAAATAGTGACCTAGAAAGGCCCACAAGCTGGCTCAGGCCCTGGCTTTTTCTCCCCTCTTCTATTTTTACTCATTGGAAATAGACAAGAACATTTCAGAAAGAACATCCTCACTGTCTGAAATAATCTGGAAGAATAAGTACAGCAGTTCAGTTCCAAAGGCATTGTGGATACTCCATGTGTATTTTCATCAGCTGGTAACAATTTCTTAAAAACAAGACTTGATATGTGGCATTTTGCTCCTCAAGTCCATTTTAAATTATCTGTCCTCTCACCTAACAGGTTATAGGGAACACCCAGGAGGCCATAGGTATGAGGAGAGGCAGAGGCTACAGTAGCTCAGAGATCAGCCACGTGGAGTTCTGAGGCACTGTATTAGTCTGTTTTCATGCTTCTGATAGAGACATACCCAAGACTGGGCAATTTACAAAAGAAAGTGGTTTATTGGACTTACAGTTCTACATGGTTGGGGAGGCCTCACAATCATGGTGGAAGGCAAGGAGGAGCAAGTCACATCTTACATGGATGGTGGCAGGTGAAAAGAGAGCTTGTGCAGGGGATCTCCCATTTTTAAAACCATCAGATCTCGTGAGACCCATTCACTGTCATGGGAACAGTAGGGGAAAGAAGATGATTGAATCATCTTCTACTGGGTCCCTCCCACAACACATGGGAATTATGGGAGCTACAAGATGAGATTTGGGTGGGGACACAGAACCATACCGTATTAGGCACCTTCTCATGTAGCTTACTTGAGGAGATTCCCTCTCCCCTCTACACACACACCTTCTCCAACCTGATCCCAAATGAAGCCTTTCCATAGCACCATCTATTGCAACTGGTCTGAGACCTTATGAATCGGTGGACCTAACATGCCCAGCTCATGGTCAGGGACTCCTCTTTCCTGGGACCCTTCTCGTTCCCACTGAAATTTATGTATCCAGTTTGAATCTATTTTCTAAACAATATAGCCATTGACCTTTTCTCTTAGGAAAATAACAATTAAAAACACAAAAATCTGCTCAGGCCGAATATAGCCTTCAGGAAATACCCTTAAGCTTTAACCAGTGCACAGCCAGTCACTTGGTGCTTGCTGTAAAGGAATTTATAATGGGAAAACAATGTTCCCCAGGAAACTGGTTTACTTTCAGACACGTTATTAGACAAAGGGAGTAAAGGAGAGTCAGGGAAGTGAGCCAAGAAACCTGTGGGGCCGAGGGCTGCATGGCTGAGTCACTATGTGGGCCTGGTGTGCCAGTCCAGCAAGAGTGGTGCGATTCTCTCACATCTGTGTCTGTCCCGAGCCAGAGACCTGACCTCCAGCAGACATCCTTAGAAGGGCGCCAGTCCAGTCTTCTCATTTCACAGAGGAGGAAGGTAAATTTCGAATCTCAGGGGACTTGCAGGGATCACCCTCGCAGCTAATGATGGTGCTGGAACCCTGTGCCACCAGAGGCACAGAATGTGGGAAGCCATGCAACCACAAGGAGGGAGGATGGAAGGACCTGAGGGGCCAGCAAGAAGGTGGGGCCAGTGAGAAGGCAGGGCCAATGAAAAGGCAGGTCAGTGAGAAGGTGGGGCCAGCAAGAGGGTGGGGCCAGTGAGAGGGCAAGTCCAATGAAAAGGCGGGTCAGTGATAAGGTGGGGCCAGGAAGAGGGTAGGGCCATTGGAAGGGCAGGGCCAATGAAAAGACAGGTCAGTGAGAAGGTGGGGCCCGAGAGAGAGGGTGGGGCAAGAGAGGGGTAGGGCCAGCAGAGGGTGGGACTAGTGATGGGGTGAGAAGAGTGATGGGGCAGGCCAAAGGCTGTATCTCTAATGTAGAAGAACCATTGAATTTTGAACAGGGATGTAAGGTTACTAGCTGTGAAATTTGAGGCACATCACCTAATGTCTCCAGTATTACCTGGAGCAGGCAACATCTTTTCCATCTACTAAACTTGGAACTTCTCAAGGGAAATTATGAGTCTTGGGATGTCATAAATGTCCACATACGAGGTGATTATGGCAGTCAGCCCTTGCATTAGCAGAGGTGAGTCCCATCACGAACCAGCAAGTCATCCTCCTGGTGTCATTTCTTCACCTACATACAATAAGGGTTGGATTAAATGAATTATGAGATCTTTTCCAATTCTAAAAAAAAATTCTGGTCCTGAGGTAAGTTTTCAAAATTTATTTTTAATTATTATACATTTAAAAAGAACAAAACATTTTGCTCTTCAATGGAGAGGAATCAGGCCAGACAGCTGCACAGGAAAAACAGATGTTTAAAAATACATTTTATGGATAAAGTGTATTTTTTTTTTCCTTTTCCTGGTTCCTTTTGACCTGTGGTTTTTTGGTTTGACCCTTGTTGTGAAAACAGAGCTGGATACACACGTATTTCTTAGGCTTCCTAAACTCCTGAAATAGAGCAATGCAGGAACACCTGCTGAGAACGTGGGGAGGGGGCAGGGGGCTGCAACCTTCCACATCCAGGAAGAAACCAGGCTGAGGTCTCTGTTCTGGAGCCATTAGTGACATGACCTCAACTAAACATGTGAAGGACTTTTTCAAACATCACTTATGTCCCCTGACCAAATGTGTCTTGGGGTCTTCAAAGGTTCAGGAGAAGCCTAGGTTAGAGCTCAAGTATTCACATTTGCCCAGGGCTAGCACAGGGTCCATATTATTTCTATTAAGGAGATAGTTTAAGCTCGCTTGGCAAACTGGGTTAATGACTAACTGGGTTAAGTGACTCAGATAAAATCCCCACATCCTGACTTGTGGTTAGACATTTGACTACCTTTATCTCAAAGAGTTTGAATCTTTTTTTTTCTCGTTGAAGGTTTTGTAAAATAAGGTGCGGATATTGCACTATTTTACCCATCTTGGGGATAGTGAAAGAGTCGTGGAGCTACTGTAAGTGGTACATTGAATGAGCTGAATTCAGCATGATGTCAGCCAAAACCTCTGGACCCCAGTGAACTCACTCTGGACCAGTTGCTCTGCCTGCCTCTGGACTGAAACCTGGCCACACCACCTGGGGAGGGGAAGGGAGGAAGGAACTCTGAGCTGCCATATAGTCTCGATGGAGCCTCAGCTGACCCCAGAGAGTTTTGAAGTTGGGATGACCCTTCAGAGATGTCCCCATTTGGCAAGGGGCCCAGGCCTTTGTTCTCCCACATCTGTTGGCCAATGGCTGCTGGCCTCCCCAGGAAGGCAGCATGGCCTCTGGGAGCTGATAGCTGAGGGCTGTCTGCAGGCGGCAGTCCTAGCGGCAGGGCACCAACCCTTCATCCTGCCTCAGGACATCCCAGTGTCCATACAGGGAACTGGAGAAAAAGGGCACAATCCTTAGCTGGTACAGGTGTAACCTGCCATCGGAGACTTCTGGCAGATGTGCAAGTGCAAGCTCGTCTTCAGTGAGGAGCTTTTGGGGTTTCCCAAAAGATCCCTCCAAGGACCTCTGACTGCAGTTCCTTGCACAGACAGTGCTTCTCCGGCCAGCTGCCGTGGCCCCACACAGGCCTGGGATTTTTGTGTGCACTCCTCTGTGGGATCCCTCCCCTCCCAGGTGCTCCTTTAGCATAGGAGCTCCTTAAAGATGACTCATGGCTAGACAATGTCCCCACAGTTCATGTCCTGCTCCTTGGAAAAAGGTACCTTTGTCTCACTCTCGGTGACCAACTATGCTGGTTTTTCCAGGACCGTCCTGGTTTTAGCACAGAAAGTCTCACTTCCCAGGAAACCTTTCAGTCCTGGCAAACCAGGGTGGTGGGTCGCCCTAGAACATATGGACCTGAAACAGCCACACCTCTGCACTTCAGCTGCGGTGTCACACAGGAGGCTTTTCAGGTGTGAATTAAATAGCATTTCTTATGCCCATCAAACTCCAGCGACTTATGGAAAGCCTTCCAAATGGCCAGTGAAGCCCCTCCTCAAGGCTTGCGTGGTAGGGGAAGTGCACAGGCTATGACCCTTGAAGTCAGGGGAAAACAGAACATGAGGGCTGATGCTCCAAAGCAAGCCTGCCTCTCCCAGAATCCTCAGTGTCTCCTGACACCTTATTTAGCCTGGAAGTGGGTCATGGGCTACGGTTTACAAAACCTATCTCAAAACCCGCTGGTCCAGCTGCTGGGGGTGGAGTGAGGTGAACTCTCTGGGTATAAAGTCCCAGGAGAACTTGTGCTCAGTGGGAAATGGTTCCTAGAGGGGCTGTTAACCATCTTCAGAGGGAGGCTGGACAGGAATCTGCTTCTCAGCATCAGCATTCATGGCACCCTTTTTTCCTTCAAATTCTTTAGCTTTAGGCCAGAAGCTTTAGAGAGTTATGTATATAAAAATCACCCAAGGATTCTATTAAAAATGTAGCTTATCTGTTCTTAAACTTGAAAAGATGCTAACCTCACTTATAATAAAAGAAGCACAAATTAAAACTATAGCAAGACAATATTTCTAACCTGTCAAATCAGCAAAACATCTGATATTTTCTGTTGGTAATGCTATGGTGGAAATCAACACTCTTATGCATGGTTGGCTTTGTCCCTGAGGAGAGGCATCTGGCAATACCCAACACAATTATAGGTGCGTTTACCCTCTGATCCAGAAACCCACATCTGATCATCTATACTAGAGATACACCTGTACGTATAATAAATGACACATGCAGACAATCATTTCTTTTTTTTTTTTTTTTTTTTGAGACGGAGTCACGCTCTGTCACCCAGGCTGGAGTGCAGTGGCGTGATCTTGGCTCACTGCAAGCTCCGCCTCCCAGGTTCACACCATTCTCCTGCCTCAGCCTCCCAAATAGCTGGGACTACAGGCACATGCCACCACACCCAGCTAATTTTTTTTAAAATATTTTTAGTAGAGACGGGGTTTCACCATGTTAGCCAGGATGGTCTCGATCTCCTGATCTCGTGATTCACCCGTCTCGGCCTCCCAAAGTGCTGGGATTACAGGCGTGAGCCACTGCGCCCGGCTGCAATCATTTCTTGTCTCATTGTTTGTAATAGCAAAGGAATAGGAAATAACCCAAGTGTAAAGCAGTAAGATATACGTAATTAAACCATTATAGATCCACACAAAAGAATTTTGTGTAGTATAAAAAAGGCAATGGGAATATTTACCTATATACTACTAACATGAAGAGATCTTTAGGAAATAGTGTTAAATGAAAAAAATTAAATAGCAGGTTGTGTATATATATATATATATATATATATATATATATATATATATATACATAGATACTTTTGCAACAAACAAGGAAAAATATATATTAATATTTATGTGAATTTGCATGAAAAACAAAAAATAATGAGCAATGTAGGGGATAAGGGAGAAGAGGGTGACTGGGGACAGGACCTTAAGGATGCTGTCTAAATGCTTTGCTGTATATATACTTTACACATGGATTTTCAGACCATGTAAACTATGAGCTACTCAATAAAACAGTTTAGAACTATGTAGATGTCCAAATCCCCTTTCTTGAATTCTAATTTACCGATTCCAGGGCAAGGCTCAGAATTCCGTACTTTTGTAGAGCTTTGGAAGAAAACGAACCAAGGAATACACGCTGAAAAAGTCTCTCGAGGTGCTCTTTCTCCTACATTATTTTATTGACATTTTCACCAGAGCATTCCTTTTGGCTGAATTAATAACTATTTTATGACACACTGGGCTCTAGGAAAAGCGACTGGAGAGGGGACCAAATGGAGGTGATCGGGAGGACCATAGTGGCATCAGCGGATGCATGCAGCAGTGTAGAGTCAAGTCAGAGGCCTTTCTGGAAAGTGGTCATGTGGCCAGGTTGGTCATCCCAGTGGTAGACCGTCCACAGGGATGTGTGCTACCATCTCTCCTTAGAGTCCGAGAAAGTTTCCTGGGAGTGTCTGCATTCTCAATGTTATGGAAGCAGCAGATCTGAGGCAAATTAGCAAAAAAGCAAGTGTTGACTGCTGGGATGGTGTTGGGGATTGAATTGTGTCTCCTGAAAAGATATCTTCAAGTCCTAACCTTTGGTACCTGTGTATGTGACCTTTTGTGGAAATAGGGTCTTTGCTGATGCAATCAAATTGAAATGAGATCACACTGGATTACGGTAGGCCCTAAGTCCAATGACCAGTGTCTGAGAAGTGGGAAATTTGAACAGTACAGAGCCACACGGACACACAGGACAGAAGGCCGTGGGACGACAGAGCAGTGATTGGAGTGACGCACTTGCCAACCAAGGAATGCCAAGGACTGCTAGCAACCCCCAGAAGCTAGGAAAAGGCAGGGAAGACCCCTCCTTAGGGCCTTCAGAGGGGACATGGCCCTGCTGACACCTTGATTTCAGACTTCTAGATTCCAGAACTGTGAGAGAATAAATTTCTCTTGTTTTAAGCCACCTAGTATGTGGTAACTTGTTATGGCAACCCTGGGAAACTAATACAGGTAGTGAGAGAAAAAAGTAAAGACACAAGTAACTCCAGGCCTGAGAAGCTGGAGAATGGTGTGGTTGAGACACCACGGGTGGGATGGGGTGTTTGGAGGGGTCAGGGAGGATGGGAAACTCGGTTTTAACTCTTCAAATTTTAGGCACAAGTGGAAGTGTCAGGGAAGATGTGTCAGAGCTGGCGGAATCGCTGAGTTGATACTCATGACGTTACAAAGGGCATCAGCGTAGATTTGATGCATCAACATCTATCACGCCTGTAATCCCAGCATTTTGGGAGGCCAAGGCAGGAGGATTGCTTGAGTCCAGGAGTTTGAAACCAGTTTGAGAAATGTAGTGAGACCCCTGCCTCTACAAAAAATAAAGAATTAGCCGGGCATGATGACCTGCACCTGTGATCCCAGCTACTCAGGAGGCTGAGGTAGGAGGATAAATTGAGCTTGGAATCTGAGGCTGCAATGAGTTATGATTGCACCATGACACTCTAACCTGAGTCACAGAGCAAAACTTAGTCTCAAAAACAAAACATAACAAAATCTATTAACCAAGTGCTCACTAAAGCCTTCTAGTTTCACATTGCTGAGTCTCTCAAAATGCTAAGCGGTAGAGGAATAAAATCCGCGACGCCCCCCAGAGAAATTTATGTAATATAATTGCGAGCTGGGGCCTGCACATGTGAAGAACAATCTTGAAAGGAAACAATACATTGCAAATGGATGCAAGTTTAAAATTTTAGAAGAACAGATTGTACTGGTAAGTGTTTAACCACTGGCTTTCTAAAAAGAAAGCCCTGATTTGTATTGCTTAATGATTTCTGAAGTGTAAATATTCCCCCACAGCCAATTCCAAGCCCCCAGCGTGATGCCACTGAACACAGAGTAGGAAGATATGCCACCAGCTGGCTCCTGCGAGTCAGTCTGAGCCAGTACAAGCTGGCTCCAGCATCCCACCAAGGGTGAGGGCTGGGGAAATTAGGGGTTCAAGAAGAAACTGAATCTCAGCAGGTTCTAAAAAGGGGGCAGATTGGGAGGAAGGAGAAGCGCCTTCCATAGCAAAACAGCCTGAGTGAGAAGCAGGAGAAGAAACAGAGAAAGGTCATGGACCCAGATGGAGCGGAGTTGGCATTGCAGCTCAGACACCTGTGAGCCAGGTGAGCTGAGCTTCAGTTTGCTCCTCTGTAAAGTGAGCACCTGTCATGCAGGATTATATGACAGAGGCATGCTACTCGGTACACAGTACTCAGAAATGTTAAGTTGCCCGCAGCAGTGAGCTGAATAATTTTGTTGCAGTGTTGGTGTAGGGCTGTAGTGGTAGGTAAGCTCCAAACACACACACACACCTGTTTATATGTGTACATATACACGAACATACACACATGTACTAATATATGTATATGTACATATGCACACACGTAGAATCCTCTACTTAAGACAAAGCTACATGGTCGGGCGTAGGGAGGTGTGTTATTCTCCTTGAACGCAGGTGAGAAGGCTTCTGCAGCATGACATCATCTCTGTTGAGTTATTCAAGGACATCTGAGGGATGAGAGGTCCTGAGATACTTGGGAGAGAAACATCCTGTGACAGCCTTTGAGGCTATAATCAACCGCAGCAGGACCGGAAAAAGCGCTCACATGGACGGGTTCCTTCCAGACTTATTGACAAAAGGGATTTTAGGTCAGTGTTTTTCCTTCAGGAAACAACAAGGAAACAGGACTCCTTCTGCTTTCTGTCAAGGAGGTGAGCAACCATTTCAGAAACTGGAGCAAATTCCTGACGTTGAACAAAAGAGTGTCCCTGGGGATATGACTCAGTGAGGCAGGGGCATCTTGAATGTGTCCTTTTATGACAGTTGAGTCGCTGGGTAGAAGGAGCTACTCTGTGTTATGGTTGTTTCTCCTTTAGCAACTTAATTCCAAATTAAATTATTTGGCTACAAACTCAACTGTGCACCTTGGCTCAGTCAGAATGGCTCTGGACCTCTCACTGCTTGAAATCATCCCTAGATACACAATGATAATAATCTTATGTTTGTAATCATATATATGTATATTCTCCTTGTGAGTTCAAGGAATTTAAAGCAGCTTCTTACCTTTGCATGGCTAGGTATGTTGAAATTTGTAATGATTGGTTGTCCCTGAGATGGTGCCAGCATTGCTACCAGCCAAGAATGATCTGTGTCAAGAACAAATGGGAAAATCAGTGCACAGCCAAGCCATTGAGGCTGTTCCCAGTAAACATGAGGCAAAATAGTACCTAAGACATGGAGGGTTGATCAGGAAAAGCAGGCAAGTGCAACAGGATTTTGAAAGACACATAGACTTTTGGGGAAAAGAGTAGACCAGGCAAGTGGCATGATCTGAACAGGTAGAGGGCAAAGGGCTCAACCTCCTCAGTCTGTGGAGTTTAAATTCTGTCTGACCAGCAACCTTCCTGTCTGAAAATGCAGTTACTGGTCAGACAGGAAGCCGGACAGGCTGCCATTATGGTTTCCAAGCTTAGCACTGTAAGCTCCTGGGTGGGCTTGACACAAAGGCCACACCAACGCAGGTGTTGGCCATGGGATACTATCCAGCCATAAAAAGGAATGAAATCCCGTCATTTGCAGCAACACAGATGGAACTGGAAGACATTATGGTAAGTGAAATAAGCCAGGAACAGAAAGTTACATATTGCATCTTCTCAGTCATATGTGGAAGCTACAAACAAGTTGACCTCATAGAAGTAAAAAGTAGAAAAGAAGATACTAGAGTCTGGGAAGGGAAGCAGGTGGGGGATATGAAGAGATTTATTAAAGCAGGGGTCCCCAGCTGCCAGGCCCTGGACCCGGTCTGTGGCTTGTTAGGAACTGGGCCACACAGCAGGAGGCCAGTGCCTGTGAGCTCACATTATTGCCTGAGCTCTGCCTCCTGTCAGGTCAGTACTGTGAACTGCACATGCAGGGGATCTAGGTTGTGTGCTCCTTATGAGAATCTAATGCCTGATGATCTGTCACTGTCTCCATCACCCCCAGATGGGACTGTCTAGTTGCAGGAAAACAAACTCAGGGCTTCCGCTGATTCTACATTATGGTGAGTTGTATAATTATTCCATTATATATTACAATGTAATAATAATAGAAATAAAGTGCACAATAAATGTAATGTGCGTGAATCATCCCCAAACCATCCCCCACATCCTGGTCCATGGAAAAATAGTCTTCCACGAAACCAGTCATGGGTGCCAAAAAGGTTGGGGACTACCGTGTTAAAGGATGCAGAATAACAGGTAGGTAGGAGGAATAAGATCTAGTGTTCTGTAGTACTGTGGGATCACTATAACTATAACATATAGTTTCAGATTGCTAGAAGGAGGATATTGAATGTTCCCAACATAAAGAAACAATAAATGTTTGAGATGATGGATATGCTAAATACCCTGATCTGATCACTACACATTATATGATCAAAACATCACTATGTACCTCATGAATATGTACAATTATGATTTGTCAATAACAAAATAAAATTAAAACAAGCAAACAAAAAACAGGCGTTAAGGCCGTGTATGGACCTCATGACCTCTGGCTTTCCACCTGGGATTTGGAGGGAGGCAGGACTAACACTTGTTCATGAGGTGGAACTAAGTAGAGCAGAAAATTTATGTGGGGAAAAACTAGGAGAGTTTGGTAGGATGGGGCCAAAGGCAGGACTGGGGCTCAGAAACAAAGCAAGGGAGGACAGGGGAGAAAATTGCAAAGCTGACAGGTAACAGAGATTTCTGTATCTTTGGCAGTGTTATGCTGAAACTGTGTATTTGAAAAGAATTATCTTTTCTAATAGAAATGTGTTCAGATCAGCAACGCAGAATAAACAAGCTGGACTTTGGTGCTCACATATGTATGTCTGTGAGCAACGAAGGCCTGATTTTGTTATTAATTATGGGAGGAGATGCCTGGGGCGGTGGCTTCTTCTGAATTCCTCTGATTTATTAATCTCAAGTGTTGTGTACCAAAGAAAGACCTCAAAACAAATGAACAGCTGGGCATGGTGGCTGGAGCCTGTAATCCCAGCAAATCGAGAGGCCAAGGTGGGAGGATTGCTTGAAGACAGGAGTTGAAGATTAGCCTGGACAACAGAGCAAGACCCCTTTCTCTCCAAAAATAAAATAAAATACTAAAAAATTAGCTGGGCATGGTGGTGTGTGCCTGTAGTCCCAGTTGCTAAGGAGGCTGAAGTGCAAAGATTGCTTGAGCCCAGGAGTTTGAGGCTGCAGTGAGCTATGATCACCCCACTGCACTCCAGCCTGGGTGATAGGGCAAGATCCCGTCTCAAAAAAAAAAAAAAAAAGAAAAAAGAAAATAAAAGAAAAAGAAAGCAAGAAAAAGAACAAGCAAACAGCAAAAAAGTTACCATGGACCAAGGACATCCATGGTGCCTATTTTAGTGGCTCAATTTTGACACAAGATCATTAGAAAGCAAAAGAGTTGAAGCCCTTTCTTTGGGAGAAACAATTTAGAGGGGGAAGGGAAAGGAAATTTTATTTATTATACTTGTCAAGTGCTACTTTTATTTACTACATATTTTAAATTATTTCACCTAATAGTCACCGTATTTTTAAAAAATTATGGATAAGGAAACAAAGACTCCATGTATTTTAGAAATTTGCCAGGATCACACCAGACCAGGTCATGTAACTGAAGTGATCAGAGCAGAACTTTCTGAGTCATCACAGGAGTGCATGGTTTTGTTTTGGAGCATTTGGTTTTGGTCACGACTTGATGCTGTAGTCCCACAGGTGGATTACTTCTTCATCAAGGACACCTCAGTTTTGCTCTGAAGGCCTTCAACTGATTGGATGAGGCCCACACACATTATCAAGGGTAATCACCTTTACTTAAAGTCAACTGATTGTACGTGTTAACCACATCTACAAAGCAACTCCTAGATTAGTGATTGATTGAATAAGTGGGTGCCGTAACCTAGCTGAGTTGACATAAAACTAATATCACCCTCCCCCAAACCTGCATAATTCTCTTTTATAATACAATAATACAAAGATAACCCTGACTGAGAAATCAAAGAAAGTAGAAGGTAGCGCTTTTTTTTTTTTAGATGGAGTTTTGCTCTGTCACCAGGCTGGAGTGTAGTGGCTCGATCTCGGCTCATTGCAACCTCCACCTCCCGAGTTCAAGAGATTCTCCTGCCTCAGCCTCCTGAGTAGCTGGGACTATAAGTACATACCACCACACCCGGCTAATTTTTGTGTTTTTAGTAGAGACGGGGTTTCACCATGTTGGCCAGGACGGTCTCAATCTCTTGACCTTGTGATCTGCCCAGCTCGGCCTCCCAAAGTGCTGGAATTACAGGCATGAGCCACTGTGCCCGGCTGAAAGTAGCACTCTTTTCTGATCTCAAGGATTCCCTTTGGGATCAGGAATGATATTTGGCTTCTTGCCACTTGATGTGAAGGATGGTCCCTCGTTGTGTCTTAGCTGTGACTTTGCAGCCCATGGCCCAGCCAGGACCACGGCTCCTTATCTTGGATTTTTAAAAAGAGGGTTTGCAAGTCTCCTGGTATTTTATTCCCACGACGTTTTTGGGGGATTGATTTGGCTCATAAATGAGTCCGTAGCCCTTCGTTTTCTATCATTGGCCCAAATGGGAGCTTCACCATTCAGAGCCAGGAAGTGTCAGTTGGCTCTCAAGATCCTCTGATTTCTCCTAGTTGCTTTCCTCTTGTAAGCACTCATTAATGAACATGATTTTGTGTGGCCTCATGCTCTGAAGACCTTCAGGAGCTTGGTGGAGTTAAAGCGGGTCAATGATTTAAATCACTAAATGTATAGCCCTGAGAACACTGGTCATGTCAGCAGGCTAGCTTGTCTATCTCATAACATCGTGTGTTCTGCTTACTTATAAACTTTCAAAATATTTTCTAGTGATGGTTATGTCCAAGAAACATCTGTGAGCAGTACTAAGTTAACGCGTAATTCTCCCTGATAAATTGCTGCCATTCCAAATGTGAGTGCACCTAGACATATAGTCACCAGGCAAAAACTAGTGTATTTTTTGTTTGTTTTTTGTTTTTGTTTGTTTATTTGTTTGTTAGTTTTTTGAGGCAGAGTCTCGCTCTGTCACCCAGGCTGGAGTGCAGGGGCATGATCTCAGCTCACTGCAACCTCCGCCTCTCAGGTTCAAACGATTCTCCTGCCCTAGCCCAAGTAGCTGGGTCTACAGGCACATGCCAACATGCCTGGCTAATTTTTGTATATATATTTTTTAGTAGAGATGGGGTTTTGCCATGTTGGCTAGGCTGGCCTCGAACTCCTGACCTCAAGTGATCTGCCCACCTCAGCTGTAGTGTTTTTGTTTTTGTTTTTTTTCTTGAGATGGAGTCTCGCTCTGTCACCCAGGCAGGAGTGCAATGGCACAATCTCGGCTCACTGCAACCTCCACCTCCTGGGTTCAAGTGATTCTCCTGCCTCAGCCTCCTGAGTAGCTGGGATTACAGGCATGTGCCACCATGCCTGGCTAATTTTTGTATTTTTAGTAGAGATGGGGTTTCACCATGTTGGTCAGGCTGGTCTCGAACTCCTGACCTCGTGATCCACCCACCTCGGCCTCCCAAAGTGCTGGGATTATAGGCGTGAGCCACTGCACCCAGTCTATTTTGTGTTTTTAATGTTGTCGTTTTTCTTTTCTGACTTTCTCCCTTTCTTTTTATCCCTACATTGTTTTCCTAGCCCTGCTTTGGCTCTTAAATGATTAAACTCTCCAATTATTGCAGGTGTGATAATATTCTTCCGATCCAGACTTTCTGATAAAATTCTTTCCTGTGGTCACCACTTTCAATGCTGCCATAGGCAATGATATGTCATCTTTCATCAAAGTATCATCTACTCCTTTGAACTGATGATAGCAACAACTGATAGGTTGGGATGAAGGATGGTGGAGCAGGGTGTTGCTTATTTTATTGATCTCCTACCATCAGGTGTGGAGAAAGCCATAGTATTTAGCACCGAACCAGATAGATCTGACCCCTGCCCCCCACACCAGTTGGTCCAGCCAGTTTTCCTTTTATTCCCACTCCTGGTCAGTTTCTTATTGTTTAGAATCTTACATTAAAATTTTTTGTTGTAACATAATAATTATATACATTTATGGAGTACATGTGATATCTTGATATATGCATACAATGTGCAATGATCAAATCAAGATATTTAGGGTATCCATCACCTCCAACATGTATCATTTCTTTGTGTTGGGAAGATTTCAAATCTTCTCTTCTAGCTATTTTGAAATATACAATATGTTGTTGTTAACTGTAGCTGTAGTCACCCTACTATGTTATTGTACACTAGAACTGATTCTTTCCATCTAACTCTATGTTTATACCATTCACTGGCTTCTCTTCATACCACTCCTCACCCTTTCCAGCTTCTGGTAACCCCCATTCTACTCTCTACCTCCTTGAGATCAACTTTGAGTCCTCACTCACATGTGAGTGAGAACATGCAGTATTTGTCGAATAAAGAATGAAATCCCATCATTTGCAGGAAATTGGATAGAGCTGGAGGTCTTATGTTAAGTGAAATAGCCATGCATAGATTCTGACATTTTAAGAAGGATGCCATAGAAAATTTAGAGAAAGTATAAAAGAAGGGTATATTGGACTGATAAAAAGGTAAAGTCTTTGAAATAATATTGAAAGCTAATATAATTTAGGTATAGTCATGTGTTGCTTAACAATGGGGATACATTCTGCATCATCAGGCTACTTCATCAAGGTGCGAACATCAGAGCGTGCTTACACAAACCTAGCTGGCATAGCCTACTACACACCTAGGCTGTAGGGTATAGACATTGCACCCAGGCTGCAGACCTGTACAACATGTTAATGTGCTGAATGCTGTAAGCAGTAGTCCTCTCCATCCTTTCATGGCAAATTTGAAGGACCTGAGTTCCAGATAGCAGTCCTATAAGACTGTCCTATAAGGCAGTCAGACCTGCCTCAGACTGCAAGATGAGTAAGCAATGTAAATTTCTTGTGTTAAATCACTGCAATTCCACAATTTATTTGTTACTGCAGCATAGCCTATTTTGTCCTAACTAAATTCATATCCTTGTCTAATTCCTTTGAGTAGATTATCCACTGAAGTCAAGGATATATACACATTTTTGTATATCTTGCAGCAACAAGAATAATGTCAAGCTTATAGCAGTCTTCCCCTTAAAAATATTTTAGCATTGATGTGGTTTATGAAAGTCACAGATATTCCAGGTTGAAAGAGAAACAGATAGAAAATTCCACTACTCTGGGTAGTTGAAGCAACTCCAAGAGAACCAGCTAAGTAGTTTTTAACTTCAATTTCCCACTCCCACCTTATGGCCCTCATTCTTTTTCTCAACTTGCTGGAGTTATTTTTCTAAGACCTCAGAAAACCAGTGTTTTAACTTTAGCAAACAAAATGCAAAACAAAACATGTAAGAAAAGGTTAATGATTATTTATGAATAATTATTGTTGCCAAATGAGTCCAATGCTCAGAGTTGAGCTAATGGAGTATAAATTAGCTACATTCCTGAATAAGCAAAGCCAGCGTGGAGGCTCTCTGTGTAGTGAGCCTGCCAAGCTATAGAGGCTCCGAAGAACACATAGCTTCAGACACGAAAACAGGAAATGGAGCAGGAGGTTTACTAGGGCAAGTGGAAGGAATGAAGACAAACAAAGAGAGCTTCCCCAAAGCTGGAATCCTCCAACTTATTATTTTGCAAAATGTCATCTGAACATTGTGTTTTCTCTTCGTTAGGTGTGCATGTGGCAGAGATATCAGTGGTCCCCAATGTATATTTTCTCCTTTTGCTTCAGTAACAGGATCATCAATACTTAGCTGGGCACGTGGCCATTCTAAAAATAAACTGTATTTCCCAGTCTCATTTGCAGCTGTTTGTAGTCACAGAACTAGGTTCTGGCCTATGCAGTATAAGAGAAAGTGATGTATACAAGTTCCAGGACAGGTCTCTAAAGGGGGATGGGGAGGATGGAGGCCCACTCTCCTCCCCTTTATCCATTCAGTATTGTAATGTAGATATGATGGAGCACCATG
This sequence comes from Homo sapiens, assembly GCF_000001405.40. Lineage (NCBI taxonomy): Eukaryota > Metazoa > Chordata > Mammalia > Primates > Hominidae > Homo > Homo sapiens. The sequence continues at coordinate 150,478,842 of NC_000006.12, read as the reverse complement.
AGAATGAGGACCAGACTCTCGGGTTGGTTAACAGAAAGCTGGATTCACCTGGGCTCAGATAATCATGGAGCTGCCGTGAAAGCTCTTGACTGCTCTACACCCAGACTTTTGCATGACAGAGAGTGCACTCTATGCTCTTCTATATGTTTAAGACACTATGATTTAAGATTTTAAAGTTAGTGGTGAGTTGGGTCTAACTCATATGGTGTGCAGTATTCTAGCTTGTTTAAATGTGTTGTTTATTGCCTAAAACGCACACACTTGGTCCATAATGCAGACACAGGCAAATGATGTATGTATGTTAATCTGGTTCACATTTTAAAAACATGGTGGGAGGGTGTTGTTAAGTGCTGAGAACTTTGTATTAGGAATCCTTCCACTGAATATTTGTACCTGAAAAGGTGTAAACACATGTCAAACTCACAATCCTTCATGGAAATAAATAGTTTATACTGTAATCAAAATTTTAAAAGAATTGGAGTTCGTGTAAAACTAAAAATCGGGTCATAAATATGTGATCTTTCTTTTTGAGGTAGGCTGTAAACTTCCCTCTTAACACTGCTTTTGGTATCTCCAGAGGTTTTGGTATGTTATGTCTCTCTTTTCACTTGTTTCAAATAAATTTTTAATTTTCATCTTAATTTCATCATTGACCCAAAGATCATTCAGGAGCAGGTTGTTTAATTTCCATGTCTTTGCATAGTTTTGAGCTTTCCTCCTGGTATTGATTTCTAGTTTTATTCCACTGAGGTCTGAGAAGATACTTGATATGATTTTGATTTGTTAAAATTTATTGAAACTTGTTTTGTGGTCTAACATGGCCTATTTGAAAAATGTTCCATATGCTGATGAGAAAATGTATATTCAGTGGTTGTTAGGTAGAAGGTTCTGTATGCCACACCTCAACAAACTGAAAAAACAAGAACAAACCATGGCTAAAGCTACCAGAAGAAAAGAAATAACAAAGATTAGAGTAGAACTAAATAAAATTGAGACAAAAAACAATATTAAAAAATCAGTGAAATAAAAAGTTGGTTATTTGAAAAGATAAAATTAATAGACTGCTAGCTAGATTAACCAGGAAAAAAAGAGAGAAGACTCAAATAAGCACAGTCAGAAATGAAAAAGAAGACATTACAACTGATGCCACAGAAATACATAAGACTATCAGAGACTACTATGAACATCTCTGTGCTCACAAACCAGAAAACCCAGAGGAATTGGATAGATTCCTGGAAACCTGCAACCTCCCAAGATTGTACCAGGAAGAAACAGAAATCCTAAACAGACCAGTAATGAATAGTGAGATTGAATCAGTAATGAATAAGATCTCCCAACAAAAAAATGCCCAGAACCAGACAGATTCACAGCCAAATTCTACCAGACATACAAAGAAGAACTGGTATCAATCTTACTGAAGCTGTTCCAAAAATCGAGAAGGAGGGAGTCCTCATTAACTCATTCTACAAAGCCAGCATCACCATGATACCATAGCTAAGCAAGCACACAGCAAAAAAAGAAAACTACAGACCAATATCTCTGATGAACATAGATGCAAAAACTCTCAACAAAATATTACAAACTGAATCCAACAGCACATCAAAAAGATAATACACCATGATAAAGTGGGTTTTATTCAAGGGATGCGAGGATAGTTCAACACATGCAAAATCAATCACTGCGACTCACCACATAAACTGAATTAAAACCAAAAACCATGTATTCATCTAATAGATGCATAAAAAACACTTGATAAAATTCCGCATCCCTTCATGATAAAAACCCTCAATGAGCTAGGCATGGAAGGAACACACCTCATAATAATAAAAGCCATATACAGCAAACCCATAGCCAACATCATACTGAATGGGGAAAAGTTGAAAACATTCCCCCTAAGAACCAGAGCAAGACAAGGATGCCCATTTTCACCACTCCTATTCAGCATAGTAGTAGAAGTCCCAGCTAGAGCAATCAAGCAAGAGAAAGAAGTAAAAGGCACCTAAATTGAAACAAAGGAAATTAAGTTATCTTTGTTTGCTAATGATGTGATCTTATTTATGCCTAGAAAATCCTAAAGACTCCTACAAAAGACTCCTAAGTTTGATAAATGACTTCAGTAAAGTTCCAGGATACAAAATCAATGTGCAAAAATCAGTAGCATTTCTATACACTAATAACAATCAAGCTGAGAACCAAATCAAGAACTCAATTCCATTTACAATAGCTTTTAAAAAAACCTTAGGAATACATTTAACCAAGGAGGTGAAAGATCTCCACAAGAACTACAAAACAATGATGAAAGAAATCGTAGATGACACAAACAAATAGAAAAACATCCCATGCTCAAGAATTGGAAAAATCAATATTGTTAAAATGATCATACTGCTTAAAGCAACCTACAGATACAATGCAATTCCTATCAAATTACCAACATCACTTTTCACAGAATTAGAAAAAAAATTCTAAAATTTATATGAAATAATAAAGAGCCCAAATAGCCAAGTCAATACTAAGCAAAAAGAACAAAGCTGGAGGTATCACATTACCTGACTTCAAATTTTTTTTTTATATATTTTTTTATTTTTTATTTTTTTAAATTTATTATTATTATACTTTAAGTTTTAGGGTACATGTGCACAATGGGCAGGTTAGTTACATATGTATACATGTGCCATGCTGGTGTGCTGCACCCACTAACTCGTCATCTAGCATTAGGTATATCTCCCAATGCTATCCCTCCCCGCTCCCCCCACCCCACAACAGTCCCAGAGTGTGATGTTCCCCTTCCTGTGTCCATGTGTTCTCATTGTTCAATTCCCACCTATGAGTAAGAATATGCGGTGTTTGGTTTTTTGTTCTTGCGATAGTTTACTGAGAATGATGATTTCCAATTTCATCCATGTCCCTACAAAGGACGTGAACTCATCATTTTTTATGGCTGCGTTTTTTATGGCTGCGTAGTATTCCATGGTGTATATGTGCCACATTTTCTTAATCCAGTCTATCATTGTTGGACATTTGGGTTGGTTCCAAGTCTTTGCTATTGTGAATAATGCTGCAATAAACATATGTGTGCATGTGTCTTTATAGCAGCATGATTTATAGTCCTTTGGGTATATACCCAGTAATGGGATGGCTGGGTCAAATGGTATTTCTAGTTCTAGATCCCTGAGGAATTGCCACACTGACTTCCACAATGGTTGAACTAGTTTGCAGTCCCACCAACAGTGTAAAAGTGTTCCTATTTCTCCACATCCTCTCCAGCGCCTGTTGTTTCCTGACTTTTTAATGATTGCCATTCTAACTGGTGTGAGATGGTATCTCATTGTGATTTTGATTTGCATTTCTCTGATGGCCAGGGATGGTGAGCATTTTTTCATGTGTTTTTTGGCTGCATAAATGTCTTCTTTTGAGAAGTGTCTGTTCATGTCCTTCATCCACTTTTTGATGGGGTTGTTTGTTTTTTTCTTGTAAATTTGTTTGAGTTCATGGCAGATTCTTGATATTAGCCCTTTGTCAGATGAGTAGGTTGCGAAAATTTTCTCCCATTTTGTAGGTTGCTTGTTCACTCTGATGGTAGTTTCTTTTGCTGTGCAGAAGCTCTTTAGTTTAATTAGATCCCATTTGTCAATTTTGGCTTTGGTTGCCATTGCTTTTGGTGTTTTAGACATGAAGTCCTTGCCCATGCCTATGTCCTGAATGGTAATGCCTAGGTTTTCTTCTAGGGTTTTTATGGTTTTAGGTCTAACGTTTAAGTCTTTAATCCATCTTGAATTGATTTTTGTATAAGATGTAAGGAAGGGATCCAGTTTCAGCTTTCTACATATGGCTAGCCAGTTTTCCCAGCACCATTTATTAAATAGGGAATCCTTTCCCCGTTTCTTGTTTTTCTCAGGTTTGTCAAAGATCAGATAGTTGTAGATATGCAGCGTTATTTCTGAGGGCTCTGTTCTGTTCCGTTGATCTACATCTCTGTTTTGGTACCAGTACCATGCTGTTTTGGTTACCGTAGCCTTGTAGTATAGTTTGAAGTCAGGTAGTGTGATGCCTCCAGCTTTGTTCTTTTGGCTTAGGATTGACTTGGCGATGCAGGCTCTTTTTTCGTTCCATATGAACTTTAAAGTAGTTTTTTCCAGTTCTGTGAAGAAAGTCATTGGTAGCTTGATGGGGATGGCATTGAATCTGTAAATTACCTTGGGGAGTATGGCCATTTTCACGATATTGATTCTTCCTACCCATGAGCATGGAATGTTCTTCCATTTGTGTGTATCCTCTTTTATTTCCTTGAGCAGTGGTTTGTAGTTCTCCTTGAAGAGGTCCTTCACATCCCTTGTAAGTTGTATTCCTAGGTATTTTATTCTCTTTGAAGCAATTTTGAATGGGAGTTCACTCATGATTTGGCTCTCTGTTTGTCTGTTGTTGGTGTATAAGAATGCTTGTGATTTTTGTACATTGATTTTGTATCCTGAGACTTTGCTGAAGTTGCTTATCAGCTTAAGGAGATTTTGGGCTGAGACAATGGGGTTTTCTAGATATACAATCATGTCGTCTGCAAACAGGGACAATTTGACTTCCTCTTTTCCTAATTGAATACCCTTTATTTCCTTCTCCTGCCTACTTGCCCTGGCCAGAACTTCCAACACTATGTTGAATAGGAATGTGAGAGAGGGCATCCCTCTCTTGTGCCAGTTTTCAAAGGGAATGCTTCCAGTTTTTGCCCATTCAGTATGATATTGGCTGTGGGTTTGTCATAGATAGCTCTTATTATTTTGAGATACATCCCATCAATACCTAATTTATTGAGAGTTTTTAGCATGAAGAGTTGTTGAATTGTGTCAAAGGCCTTTTCTGCATCTATTGAGATAATCATGTGGTTTTTGTCTTTGGTTCTGTTTATATGCTGGAATACATTTATTGATTTGACTTCAAATTATTTTACAAGGCTACAGTAACCAAAATAGCATGGTACTGGTACAAAAATAGACACATAGATCAATGGAGCAGAATAGAGAATACAGAGATAAAGCTCCATACCTACAACCAACTGATCTTCAACAAAGTCAACAAAAATATACACTAGGGAAAGGACACTTTATTCAATAAATGGTGCTGGGAAAATTGGATAACCATGTGCAGAAGATGAAATGGGACCCACATATCTCATGATATACAAAAGTCAACTCAAGAAGAACATTGGCCTAGGCAAAGAACTTATGACTAAGACCTCAAAAACAAATGCAACAAAACAAAAAATGGACAAATGGGACTTAAACTAAAAAGCTTCTACACAGCAAAAGAAATAATCAACAGAGCGAACAGACAACATGAAGAATGGGATAAAATATTTGTAAACTATGCATCTGACAAAAGACTAGTATCTAAAATCTACAAAGAACTCAAAACAACTCAACAAGAAAAATAAATAAATAAGTAACCCCATTAAAAAGTTGGCAAAGGACATGAACAGACATTTTTAGAGGACATACAAGCAGCCAACATACATATGAGAAAATGTCTAACATCACTAGTGATCAGAGAAATGAAAATTAAGACCACAGTGAGATATCATTTTATACCAGTCAGGGGTGATTAGAAAGGCAAAAAACAACAGATATTGGCGAGGATGTGGAGAAAAAGGGCCACCTATACAGTAATGCAAATGAGTACAACCTTATGAAAAACAGCAAGGAGACTCTTCAAAGAACTAGAAATAGAACTGTAATTTGATCCAGCAATCTCACTACTAGGTATCTACACAAAGGAAAATAAATCATTATGTAAAAAAGACACCTGCACTCATGTGTTTATCTCAGCACCATTCACAACAGCAAAGTCATGAAATCAACCTAAATATCCATCAACAGATGATTGGATAAAGAAAATATGGTACATGTATACCATGGAATACTACTCATCCATAGAAAATAATGAAATTATGTCTTTTGTAGCAACATGGACGGAACTGGAGGCCATTATCTTAAGTGACAATGCAGAATAGAAAGCCAAATACTGCATGTTCTCACTTATAAGTGGGAGCTAGACAGTGTATACACACGGACATACAGAGTGGAATTATAGACTCCTAAAGATAAGAAGGTGGGAGGGGTGAAGGATGAGAAATTACCTATAGGGTACAATGTACACTATTCTGATGATGGCTAAACTAAAAGCCCAGATCTCGCCACTACACAGTATATCCATGTAACAAAAGTGCACTTGTATGCCCTCAATCTATTTATAAAATAAAAAACAGGTTGTAATTTTGAGACTATAGAAACAAAAGCATCTATGCCCTCAGCACTATCTGGTTGCTTTAGTTGTTATTAAATTAATGCTTTGAAGACAAAAACAAAAGATGAATGAATCAAAGAGTGAGAGTTTCCAAACACAAACTCACATCTACACATACACACACACACACACACACACACACACACTCACAGACACTCTTCAACAGCTTGTAAAGGTATTAGGGTCATTTGTATTCCTGGTTAAATAGTTCCAATTCAGATAAAAGGAAGACGAAAAGATTTAGGTTTGTGACAGTTTTACTTTACAAATTCAGAATGGCAAATCATACCAGCTGATCTAGTTGTTTGAGCCCCATGTTTGGTGACAGCAAAAACATGTTTTATGGGAGAATAAATGTGTGCATCTCAGCCTGGGTTTGTTTCCCTTTCTTTACAGCATAATAAGATTCAATTAAATAAAAAATTTAATTCAGTAATCATTTGTTGAATGCCTGCCTCTGTTAGGCTCCGTGCAAACCTCTGGTGACATGAAGATAAATGAGACGTGGCCTGAACATCAAGAAATGCACAGCCCAGTTAGGGAGCCAATGAAATGGATGGCCAGGATATGATACACAGAATTCTTTCAGTTCTAAACTCATACAATGAACAAAATGCTCTAGAAACACAGAAAGAAGCAGTTAATCCTACCTGGGATGAGAAGAGACACCTAGGGAAGTCTTGCAGGATGACTAGAATTTCTTCAGGCATCAGAAGTAGAGGAGATATTCCAGAGAAAGAATACCAAGTGCAAAGAGTTGGAAATATGAAAATCCTGGTGGTTGGGACCAAGCTATGAGACTTCAGCAGCCAACACTTCTGGCAGCCATGAGAATGCGTGTTTCAGTCCCGAAGTTAGGATCTGGACAGCCCATTTCAGCACACAGTAGCCCCTTCGCTCTTAAAATGTTAGAAAACACTGTTTTCTGTTCGAAGCTAGTGAGAGAATAGAACACATGGCTTCCAAACCTGTAAGGTCTCCCCATTGTGTTCAGGATCAAGTTTAATCCCATAGTGAGCCCTTCAGTTCCATTAGCAACTTGCAACTAACCTACATTTCCAGTCTCGTCTTCTCACACACTCCCTCTCTTCATGCTCCAATTGCAGCTGCAATGCCAGATGTGTTTTATTTACAAGAGCAGATTCACACCACCTCAGGTCCATGGTATGTGGCCATTTATTTCCTAAACACTTTCTTTTCTACCCCTATTAGACAGAAGGCAGAGAAACAGCTCTTGTTCATATGGGATAGACAAGAGTATATATTCACAATGATGCCCCAGAGCTGTGTTAACTCTCTGGATATATTATACACCACCTGGATATCCTGTAGAATATCACACTAATCCATTATACCAATTACATTATCATATGATGATACTATGTTAATCCTTATGTTAATTATGTAGCAAGAAGTGGCTAGTACATTGGAGGCCTCGGTATGCTCCATAAAAGTGGGAGGTAAACTCTGTGAAGACTCGGGGGCCCGTCATGTCAGTGATGTGTTTAGGGATATGCCAGCACATCCCATCAAATTAAAGGACAAGTTATTACATCTGTTGCTTCTTAGCATAAAGAAGGTAGCACAATTCTCAGTGGACCTCTTCTTGTTCTAGAACCTGCATACTTCACAAGTGACAATGCTATTTACACGTGAGAATGACCCATTTACTAAATGCTCTGGAGAGCTTCAAGATCTGAATCAGGCCCAGAGCAGGAAAGGGTTCTGCATAAGTCAGACAGAAGTACAAGCCTCCCTGCCACTTAGGCCATTTGATGCAGCAGACACTATGGTACCAGAGATGTTCATGGTGGGAAAGTCACTATGTGGAGTTCCTGGTAAGCCACAGTAGAAGAATCTCAATGTAGACCTTGGAGTTATGGAGCAAAACCATGCCTTCTATAGGAGAGAATTCTATAGCATTTGAAGACCATCTTTTGGTGTGCTACTTGCCTCTGGTAAAGACAGAGCATTTGACCGTGAGACATTAAGTGGCCATATGTTTAGAGCTGTCCGTCATGAGCAAGGACTTGTCAGACTTACCAAGTTAAAAGTTGGGTGGGCCCAATTGCAATCCAGAGTATGACAGAGTAGTGCATTGAGGACTGGGAATGAGCAGGGCCAAACGGTGTAAGTAGGCTGCACAAGTAGGTAGCCCAGACCTCCATATCCTCCTCTGCTATTACACACGTTTTGCCCTTTGCTCATGCTTGTGGCTGCATAGGAATGTGTGTCTGGGGAGGGAAGGGTTCTTGTCACCAGCTGATAGAGGAGAGAAACACCCGAGTTTTATTAGAGGTGTGTTGGCTTGGCATGTGGGCAGAAGCCCAAAATGCACTGCTGAGACAGCTTTGCCCCACTCAGGGGTAGCCCTGAAACAGGGGTGAGGGGAAATCCTTCCAGCTGGCAGATCTTTGGGCAATGTGCCTGGTTTTCAACTTGCTGTGAAAGAGAAGCGGCCTGAGATAAGAAGATAAACGGACTCTTGGGCAGTGGCGAATGCATTTGCTATTGATCCCAGGTCTAAAAAGAGAAAGTTTGGAAGATAGAAGAGTCCTGGAAGAGGTGTGTGGATGGACCTACGGGAGTGAGCCCACCATGGAAAATGCCCTGAGCAGCCATGAAGACCCGATGACTAAGCCAGCTGATTTCAGCCAGGCCCCGAGATGGCCCACTCTGGCAATGGGATGATGGGTCCATGGACACAGCAGCCACGATGGCCGAATGGAAAATATCCATCAGAACATTAGCGCAGTCTCACACTCACCAAGGCTGATCTAGCTAGTTTACCAGCTAACATCCAGCTTGCCAGCAAGAGACTCATAAGTCTCTGATATATTACCCCTCGATTTGGTGAGAAATTGATTACATTGGAAGGAGCAATAATTTATCTGGGCTGTGATTTATGCATAGTCCCTGTGTGAGTTTGCCTTTCTACCCTCAGGGTTTCTACTAGTACCACCAGCAGAGGACTTGCACACCACTGGATCTCACATACTATCCCTTGAGACCAAAGGACACACTTTAGAGCAAAGAAAGTGGGAGAGTGGGTGCAAGACTCTAGAATCCACTGGTCCTTTCACATAACACACCACCCAGAAGCTGCTGGTCTGATATAAGGATAGAACACTCTTGAAGGCATAGCTGTTGTGCCAACTTACACATGACACTGTGAAGGGACATTCCAGGATTTAGTGTACCTCCTAAATCCACAACCACTATATGCTGCTGTTTCCCTGAAATGCTGAATAAAACGTCTAGAAACCAACAGGTAGAAGTAGGAGTGGCTCACTTACTATTCTCAGGAACCCATTGGAAATTTGTGCTTTCCATTACGAAAGCTTTAGGCCGTGTGGCTCTAGGGATCTTCGTTATTAGTAGGAGGACATTTCCATCAGGGGACCAGAAAGAATCCCTTTACCTTTTACACCATGGCAATCAGTCTACTGGTCTGAGGGATCAGACGACAAGAATAGGAGTCCCCACGTTCACAGTGGTAATTGATTCTGATCACAGGAGCAGGCAGGGCTGTAGTTACAAAATGGGCACAAGAAAGAAACAGGTATCCATCAAGTGGCCCTCTGGAGTGTCTCCTGCTACTCCTCTTCCCACTTTGGGGGGTAAATGGTTAAAAACAGCATCCATGGCCTGAGAAAGATGTGGTGACTACATAGATGGTCAACTGCTTTTCAACAAAGGTGCCAACATGGGAAATGTGTCAGTGGAAGAAATTAGAGTCTTTCCAAAAATAATGTTGAAACAACTGGAAATCTATCCTTTAAAAAAGTCAAAAGAATAACCCCACATTTATGGGGTATATCAAAGGGACACAGGAGCCAGCTGAAAGAGCTCCCAGTGGCCAAAGCTGGAGTAATTTGAGCAAGAACAAATAAAGTAGTATTAAACTATAATCAGAAGTATAAAATAAATGTTCAAAAGTCTATGCTGATATAAATAAAAGACTAAACAAACTAACGAATGGAGTAGGGAAGAGATAACTTTCCTATGCAGAAGAATTCTAAGCCAGTTGTGCTCACGCCTGTAATTCCAGAACTTTGGGAGGCCAAGGTGGGTGGATCACTTGAGCCCAGGAGTTCGAGACCAGTCTGGGCAACATGGTGAAATACTATCTCTACAAAAAATACAAAAAATTAGCCAGGTACAGCGGCTAATGCCTAGAGTCCCAGCTACTCATGAGGCTGAGGTGGGAGAATCACTTAAGTCTGGGGAGGTTGAGGCTGCAGTGAGCCAAGATCGTGCCACTGCACTCCAGCCTGGGTGACAGAGTGAGACCCTGTCTCCAAAAAAAAAAAAAAATTAAATAAGTTATGTAGATATCCACCCTAAAGAGAGAAGGAATAATGCTCTCCTCCTTAGATGTGTGCTGTGCACAGTGACTCCCTCCAAAGAGTATGGCATGGGAAGGGAGGGGAAAGAAGAGTGTCTTTATGGTGGAGAAGACTGGCTAACACTACCTCAGCCAGGCAATCAAGGTCACAACATCAACAGTCATAAATCATATTGATAATATGATATAAAATGACACTTTACCGCTGTGATCTTCCTCCCCAAACACATTAACTCCAGTCTTATCCTGAGAAAAACATCAGTCAAATTTCAACATAGGGATATTCTACAAACTACCTGACCAGTACTCCTCAAACCTCTTCGGGTCATCAAAAACAGAAAAGTCTGAGAAACTATCACCGCCAGGAGGAGACTAAGGAGATATGACATGTAGAGGTAACGGGGTGGATGGGATCCTGGAGCAGAAAAAAGACATTGGGTAAAAACTAAGGATATCTAAATAAACTGTGGACTTTAGTTCATAATAATATGCCAATATTGATTCATTCATTATAACAAATGTACATACTAAAGTAAGATGTTAGTAATAGGGTAAACTGGGTGTGGGATATACAGGGACTCTCCTTACTATTTGTTCAATTTTTCTGCCAATCTCAAACTGTTCTTTAAAAAGCCTATTTAATAGGCCAGACGCGGTGGCTCACTCCTGTAATCCCAGAACTTTGGGAGGCCGAGGTGGGTGGATTACCTGAGGTCAGGAGTTTGAGACCAGCCTGACCAACATGGTGAAACCTCGTCTCTACTAAAAATACAAAAATTAGTTGCATTATGGCACGTGCCTGTAATCCCAGCTACTCGGGAGGCTGAGGCAGGAGAATCACTTGAACCCGGGAGGCGGAGGTTGCAGTGAGCCAAGATCATACCACTGCACTGTAGCCTGGGTGACAGAGTGAGACTCTGTCTCAAAAAAAAAAAAAAAAGTCTATTAATAAAAAATGACATAACAACAAAAAAAGAACTTTGACTCTTATTTCACAACATATACCAAAATTAACTCAAAATGGATGATAGAACTAAATGTAAAATTAAAACTATAAAACTTCTAGAAGAAAGCAGAGGAGAAAATCTTTATGACCATGGGTTACGCAAAGATTTCCTAGGGCACTGAAAGCATAAATCATAAAAAAAATTGATACGTTGGACTGTCAAAATTTAAAATTTTTACTTTTCAAAACAAAATGTAAAACTTTTACTTTTCAACAGAAGAAAATGAAAAGATAAATGACAGACTAAGAGAAAATGCTCTTAATACATAAAACTACTACTAACATAGCATTTGCAAGTAGAATACAAGTCAAGAATAAGAAAACAAACACTAATTCAGTGGAGGAAAAGAACATCTTTTCAATAAAAGGTTCTAGCTAGTTAGATAGCCTGACAGAAAACAACAACGCAAAAGGGACTTTGACCCTTATCTCACACTACACAAAAATCAGTTTCAGGTGGTCATAATCCTATATGTAAAAATAAAAAAAAAGGTTTTAAAAGAAAACAAAGGACACAAACCATACAATTTGAAAAAAATGTAATTACAATTATATTAGTCAAAACAAAAAATTTCTGTTCTTCAAAAAACATGAAGAATAAAAACACAAATCACAAACTGAGAGAACATACTGTCTCTCTATACCATCCAGAACATTTTTCATCCAGAATATATGAAGAACTCTTATTGAACTGATGTTTCACAGAAGATGTATAAATGGGTAATAAGCATGTGAAAACATGCTCAACACCATTAGTCATCAGAGAAATGCACGTTAAAACTACAATGGGATGCTACTACACATCAGCAGAATTGCTGGTGGGAATGTAAAATGAGATACCACAGTGGAAAATGGTTAGCAACTTCTTATAAATATATACTTTGCATACGATTCAGCGAACCCGCTCTTAGGTGTTTACTTAAAAGAAATGAAAATCTGTATGCACATGAAAACTTCTACACGAATGTTTGGGGAAGCTTTGTTCATAATATCCAAAGACTGAACACAACCCAAATGTCCATCAGCAGGTGAGTTCACAAACAAATTGTGTCATCTCTGTACAACTCAATAGAAAGAATGAGCTGCTGTTACATGAAGCAGCATGAATGAATCTTAAAAACATGATAGTGAGATAGTGAAAGAAGCCAGACACAAAAGCATACATACACATGATTTCATTTATATGCAATCATAGAAAAGATAGATTTAATCTATAGTGACAGAAAACAGATAATGGAGAGCTGGGGTTCAAGGAATGGGGAGGATTAACTAGAATGGGGTACAAGGAACATTTTGTGGGTGATAGAAATGTTACATGTTTGTGGAGGTGATTTATGGGTGTATTAGTCAAACTCATTAAAACGCACACTTAAAATGGGTACATTTTATTGTAAGTGAGTCATACCTCAATAAAAGTTATTTTTTAAAAAAATGGTTGAAGCGGTTCATACGCCCACCAAGCACATTTTAATGTCCATTTCCTGATAGCCTCCCTGTCACCAGTTATTACTGCATTTTTATCTTTTGCCATTCTAGTGGGTGAAAAGCGTAATTTCCAACCTTGAGATAAATGTCTGTTGATTATGCGATAGGTATTTATGGAGAAGGCCAAACTACAGAGTTATATCCTGAAAGTTACTGCCAGTGAAGCTGTGGCTAATGAGAAAGTTGTTAGGATGATCACTTATGCTTCTTCATGTTTTCATTTCTCAACCAGAATCGTAATGTTCCACTTTTCTCCAGGAATTTTGACATTTTAGGTGCATTCTAGTCTTGCAGTTAATGTTCAGCTTTCATTTTTTGTCATTATGTTTATTCTTACCGAATCCTAGGTTTATAAGCTTTAGAGCTGAATCATGGAAATAACACTGCAGGGATGCTTTAGCCCCAGCACTTTCTGTCTGCACCCTGTCCTCATTTTCAGACATGGACAATTGCTGCTTCCTCAATCTTATAAAAAAGTGTTATGTCAATCAGCAGAATGACAGCTCATCTGAAGCATCCAGATGCGGGTACCCAAACTTGCAGTTATTTCACAGGGCAAAACTTTGAGAAATACTGAAAATGCATGATATGCTGAGCTTATCTAAATGGCTTTGTCTAAAGAAAACTATGTGCTTGTGATTTTTAGGATTTCACAATGAGACAATGCATGGAAGATTCCTCAATAACAGCTGTAAGGAGGGTAAACACATTTGTTTTCCTAGTACGATGATTATATATTTGCTTAGAACAACCCTGGATTCTGACTTTATCCTGGCATAATTTTTAATAGTGCTTTCTTTTACTCTGAAAAATGTCCTAGTTTGAAAGATAAATTATATTACCACTGTAATTACAAGGGGTTTCTAACTAATAAGCAGCATTGTCCCATCTGCTTGTTTTTCGTTACTAGAAATAAATGGGGAGTGTTGTGGGGGAATGACTTATAATTAACTTCTAAATCATGCTAGATTAGGAAAAATAGCACAATTTTCTATTTTACTATTTCAGAAAAAAAAATCTCAGCTGACTTAGTTACTCAGTTTGTTCAAGGATTACCTCAAAAACACTACTTTAGAAAACATCTAAGATTCCAAGTGCCCGTTCATCTGCTCTTCGTAAGTAAATTATACTCCTATTCTGAAAGAAAATATTTTGGCAGAATGTGGAATTAAAGTTAATTAAAGTTAAATGTCATCAACCACATTTAACTATGTACACATTGAAGGGTTTGGAATCCTTCTACACATGAAATCCTGTTTGACAGTACACATGTGTTGTGCGTGCGTTTTTGAGATCTCTTCTTGTTATAACTTTTGGCCTAATATGGGCTAAGAGGAAGGCCGAGCTTATTGCATTCTGGAGGTTGCATCGTGCCAGGCAGCCAGGTCTGCTGGGAGACATTCCTTCTCAGTGTGCCACTTCAAGTCACAGAGCTCCTTAAGACAAGGAATGGTGACAGTCTTTACTCTGAAGCCCCCATTTGCCCACCTTGGTGCTTTCAACCAGGAGTTTCTCCTTAGACATTGCTCCAATGACGGACACATTTGTTCTGCACAGACATTTATAAGGGTAAGACAGCGTGTGAGCTTCCCAGGGCTTCCATAATTAGTGACACGGATTGGGTGGTTTGAACAACAGAAATGTATTTACTCACCTTTCTGGAGGCTGGAAGTCCAAGACCAAAGTGTGGGCAGGGTTGGTTTCATTCTGAGCCCTCTCTCCTTGGCTCGCAAATGGTCATCTTCCGGTGTCTTCACATGGTTGTGCCTCTGTGTGTTTCTGTGTCCTAATCTCCTCTTCTTATAAGACCCCAATCATATTGGATTAGGATATACCTAATGACCTTATTTAAACTTAATTACCTCTTTAAAGACCCAATCTCCAAACACAGTTCCATTTTGAGGTACTGGGTGTTAGGACTTCAACATATGAATTGAGAGGCGAGAAATACAAGTCCATAGAAATTATGGCTAGGATGTTTTCACCACCTAACACTAAGAAGCATTGCCCAGTGCTGACTCGTACCCTTCTCCCTTGCCACACTGGGGAGTTTGTGCCAGACAAGAAAAGTTAACCTATTGATTCCCCCATGGTACAGAAGACAAGCCAGGAAGCACAATCAACTACGTGTACACCTTGAGGACCACAGGATGTCCTGGAACTCCACCCTGAGAGAAGAAATGGTGCTCACGGTCATTTAGTGCCTACTCATCCTCTAGGATGAGTTGCAAATGCCGTCTGAAATGGTTTGGATCTGTGTCCCCAGCAAATCTCATGTCAGACAGTAATCCTCAATGCTGGAGGTGGGGCCAGGTGGCAGGTAACTGGCTCATGAGGGCAGATTTCTCATGGGTGGTTTAGCACCATCCCGTTCCCACTGTCCTCTAGATGGTGAGGGAGTTCTCATGAGATCTGGTCCTTTGCAAGTGTGCAGCACCTCCCTGTCACTCTCTTGCTCCTGCGTCTGCCATGTAATAACCCTGATCTGCCTTTGTCTTCTGCCATCATTGGAAGTTCCCAGAGGCCTCCCCCAAAGCAGAAGATGCTATGCTTCCTGTTCAGCCTGTAGAATCGTGAGCCAACTAAACCTCTTTTCTTTATAAAAATGACCCAGTCTCAGGTATTTCTTTATAGCAATGTGACAACTGACTAATACACCATGTCTTCCTGAAAGATGCCGTGATATCTCCCCTTCCCAACTTCTGCTGTGTCCTGCCAGAGGCAGGAGAGGTTCTCATAGCTTCAATCATATATAGTATGTTTGTCTGGTTTTATAATTCTTCTCATAGTGATACAATGAATATACTTTATTTCTACTTGGTTCTCTTCTCAACGAGGCCATGGGCTTCTTTTCCATGTCCATAGGGTCTGTCCCAGCATCTGACACATGTAGACAATGAATACATGATTGAATAAATGAATAGGTAACTTGCCTTTACAGTATTCCTTCTCAACTTGAGACCACCCAGAGAAGACACACGTGTAGACAGAATGTGTTCACTAACAGGCCTACATCCAGCCACATGATCATTGTGAAGTTGTCGGAAGAATTAGAGAACATCCAAATCTCGTTCCGCACCACTGCTCGACTCTGATACACACAAGCGCTCCTATACCATGCCAAATGGTCAGGTCGTTTGTTTGACTGTCATGGTTAAGCCAGGCATGAGAATGGGCCCTTAAAACTGCAGCTCTACATCCTCTCCAGCACCTGTTTTTTCCTGAGACTTTTTAATGATTGCCATTTTAACTGGTGTGAGATGGTGTCTCATTGTGATTTTGATTTGCATTTCTCTGATGACCAGTGATGATGAGCATTTTTTTGCGTGTCTGTTGGCTGCATAAATGTCTTCTTTTGAGAAGTGTCTGTTCATATCCTTTGCCCACTTTTTGATGGGGTTGTTTGATTTTTTCTTGTAAATTTGTTTAAGTTCTTTGTAGATTCTGGATGTTAGCCCTGTGTCAGATGGGTAGATTGCAAAAATTTTCTCCCATTCTGTAGGTTGCCTGTTCACTCTGACAGTAGTTTCTTTTGCTGTGCAGAAGCTCTTTAGTTTAATTAGATCCCATTTGTCTATTTTGGCTTTTGTTGCCATTGCTTTTGGTGTTTTTGTCATGAAGTCCTTGCCCATGCCTATGTCCTGAATGGTATTGCCTAGGTTTTCTTCTAGGGTTTTTATGGTTTTAGGTCTAACATTTAAGTCTTTAATCCATCTTGAATTAGTTTTTGTATAAGGTGTAAGGAAGGGATCCAGTTTCAGCTTTCTACATATGGCTAGCCAGTTTTCCCAGCACCACTTATTAAATAGGGAACCCTTTCCCCATTTCTTGTTTTTGTCAGGTTTGTCAACGATCAGATGGTTGTAGATGTGTGGTGTTATTTTCTGAGGCCTCTGTTCTGTTCCATTGGTCTGTATCTGTGTTTTGGTACCAGTACCATGCTGTTTTGGTTACTGTAGCCTTGTAGTATAGTTTGAAGTCAGATAGCGTGATGCCCCCAGCTTTGTTCTTTTGGCTTAGGATTGTCTTGGCAATGCAGGCTCTATTTTGGTTCCATATGAACTTTAAAGTAGTTTTTTCCAATTCTGTGAAGAAAGTCATTGGTAGCTTGATGGGGATGGCATTGAATCTATAAATTAACTTGGGCAGCATGGCCATTTTCACGATATTGATTCTTCCCATCCATGAGCATGGAATGTTCTTCCATTTGTTTGTGTCCTCTTTTATTTCATTGAGCACTGGTTTGTAGTTCTCTTTGAAGAGGTCCTTTACAACCCTTGTAAGATGGATTCCTAGGTATTTTATTATCTTTGAAGCAATTGTATGGTGGGAGTGTAAACTAGTTCAACAATTGTGGAAGACAGTGTGGCAATTCCTCAAGGATCTAGAACTAGAAATACCATTTGACCCAGCAATCCCATTACTGGGTATGTACCCAAGGGATTATAAATCATGCTACTATAAAGACACATGCACATGTATGTTTATTGCAGCACTATTTACAATAGCAAAGACTTGGAACCAACCCAAATGTCCATCAATGATAGACTGGATTAAGAAAATGTGGCACATATACACCATGGAATACTATGCAGCCATAAAAAAGGATGAGTTCATGTCCTTTGTGGGGACATGGATGAAACTGGAAACCATCATTCTGAGCTAACTATCACAAGGACAGAAAACCAAACACCGCATGTTCTCACTCATAGGTGGGAATTGAACAATGAGAACACTTGGACACAAAGAGGGGGGAACATCACACACGGGTCCTGTCGTGGGGTGGGGGGATGGGGGAGGGATAGCATTAAGAGAAATACCTAATGTAAATGATGAGTTAATGGGTGCAGCACACCAACATGGCACATGTATACATATGTAACAAACCTGCATGTTGTGCACATGTACCCTAGAACTTAAAGTAAAAAAAAAAAAAGAAAAAAAAACCCGCAGCTCTAACTCTGGCCAGATTGCCTCAATTTGAGTCCTGGCTCTGCTACTTATGGGCAAGGTGGCATTGGGCAAGGTACCTATGCTCTCTATGCCTCGGTTTCCTTGTTTGTAAAACATAAAAATAACAACAACAATAACATACAGACAGACTTCAAAGGAGGAGGAAAAGAATATGTATGTGTTTATAGAAAAAGAACTTAGGCTAGTGCCTGGGATGTAACGAGTGTCATATAAATGTTTGCTACTATTGCATTATTATCAGTACTATTATTAATGAAAAGGGAGTCATTTAGTTAGGCTCTATGCCGCCATTATAATTCCAGTCGACCCCGTGAGCATGCTGCCTGTGAGGGGCTCCTCCTCGCCTTCTGCCCTGTTTCCTCCTGCGCAGCCCCTGGCTGGGCTTCCCCTCTGGGACTCCAGTCCTGCAGCCTTGGCGTCCGCTGCGGTTTCCCTCACTGAGATTGCAGACAGCTGCTGTCCTGGCTACAGGTGCTATGGGCAACAGAGCCCATTCCTTCTGGCCCCTTGTGTGTCATGTGGGGCTCGAGGCAAACACAGTAATCACAGTCACCACCTTCCCATCAGAAAAAAAAAAAAAAAAAAAAAAGAGGAGGGAGAAGAGGGATATCTTGGGAAGGAATACTTCGTGCTTTTTTTTTTTTTTTTTTTTTTTTTTTTTTTTTGAGACAGAGTCTTGCTCTGTTGCCCAGGCTGGAGTGTGGTGGCACGATCCTGGTTCACTGCAACTCTGCCGCCTAAGTTCAAGCAATTCTTCTGCTTCAGCCTCCCAAGTAGCTGGGATTACAGACACCTGCCACCACGCCTGGCTAATTTTTGGATTTTTAGTAGAGATGGGATGTCACTATGTTGGCCAGGCTGGTCTTGAACTCCTGACCTCAAGTGATCCGCCCATCTTGGCCTCCCAAAGTGCTGGGATTACAGGTGTGAGCCACCAAGCCTAGCTGACTTCTTCACATTGAAGCCCAAGCAGAGGAAGGAACAGAATGGAGAGAGGAGGGAGAGGGAGGAATTGAGGGGAGTGGAGGGGAAGGACAGGGAAGGGCGAGGAGGCAGCAGGTCCCACAAGACCCAGAGAGGGACACTCCAGGCCGGGTTTGAGAGCTTTCCCAATGACTCCCCCACATAAAAACAACCCAGGCCAGTGCAGCCTTGCAGCCCCAGCTGTTTCCACTTCCTTCACTTATGCTCGCTCACCTAAATTGTTTACTAACTTCACATCCAGAATGTTTTAAATAGAGGAAAACCTGGGGCTTGTCTACACCAACCAGAGAGCAGAAGATATGGGGGGAAAATTCAACAACAACAAAACAAAAAAGAATGATACTAGACGGCCTATGTTTGCCCAGAACAACAGATTTCCCCTCACTTTTACGGCTTCCTGAGTCAGTGACAGAACTGGTCTCCCCCATGCTGTTGTGCCAGGTTCCAGAAATGTAATGTACTGACTTCTAGATTGAGCTGGATAACCAAGATCAGGAAAAAAAATAGAATCGGTGGAGAGCGACTCGTTCTGAGAGTAGGAAAAGTACTGTATTTGAGAGCTTCACTCACAGAGAGTGGACAGTACAATTCATAACGTCTAGCGTAGATCTCCAGCCAGATCTACAGGTTTGAATCCCAGCTTATCCACCTGGGAGCTGTGTGACCTGGGATGAATTACTTACCCTCTCTGTGCCTCAGTTTTATTATCTATAAGTTGGAGAGAATGGTATTTACCTCAAGAGACGTTGTGGGGTTAAATGAGTTTAGTTTAAAGCACTTAGGATAGCGTCTGGCATTAACACATAAAACACTATGTGTTTGCTATTTTTATTATATATACATGTAGGTTTTCACTATTTTTAAAAACGAGAATTTATTATTACTCTGATGCCCATGGCCTAGGAATTATCATGGGATTTTGGTTTATATGCTCGGCTTGACATTCCTGAGGTACCTCCTGCCAGTTTCCATGACAACACTATTGCTGTGTCCTCACACGCCCCAAATAATAAAAGCATAAAAGCTTGTGAGTCTCCTGAACGTTAAGTATAAGAAAAGGCCACATGTGAAAGCAGATGGAATTTCTTTTTTTTAAAATGTAATTAATATTTTTTTTTAAAGACATGAAGTCTCACTGTGTTGCCCAGGCTGGCCTTGAATTCCTGGCCTTAAGCAATCCCCCCACCTTGGCCTCCCAAAGTGCTGGGATTACAAGTGTGAGCCACCGCACAGAGCCAAAGATGAAATTTTTATAAACAACATCATCCATACGAATGAACTGAGAAGTTCCTTCATACTTCTATCTTGTGGCTGTGGCCAGGAGAAGTGGAATGAATCGGAGCAAGCAAATAAAAAAAATGTTTACAATGTGTATGCACTAATTTTAAAATGAGAAGAAAAATCAATATTATGAAAATAATGTGCCATCAGGCAATTAGGCTAGAATTAATATGTGGGCGGCAAAGGTAAAGTGTGGGCAAATTTTACTGTAGAAGTAAAGATACAGTTGGGAATAAGATTGACTAAACTAATCACCCCATTTTCCTTGGTGTATCTCCTATGGAATCCACAGTGAGGTCAGGTCAATAAACTGCCAGTGAAGTCCTTGATGGAAGAGAAGTCCTTAGAGCCCCATTTTTTATTGCTTAAGCAGCAGTGTCTTTGACAAATATTTAGTGTTTTGGCTACCTAAAGACTGAAGAAATATGGCTAGAAATGCATCTTCTGTTCAGTTTGGGAAAAGAAATATTCTTTTAGAGTTTTCAACCAAATGGCATAATATATCTCGACATTTAACTTCTGTTTGATTTTGAAACTCTTATATGTTTTCCTTACAGGCATTTTGGAAGAGTGTGTATCCTGCTATGAGATTCAAGTGAGCCTCATACAATATTTCTGACAGTTTTTGTGAATTGGATATTTCTTTGAGCACAAATCTATGCTGCAATCATAACTGAGAATGGCTCAGGTCTAACTGCCTAGGGCATTAGAGAAGCAATTTTGTCTTGAAAGACACTACTCAGAAAAAAATCAATCTATCGAGATAGGTACTCTTGGAGGAGAAACCAGGGTGCCAGGTGCTTTGGGGTCCCATTGCCTCCCAACGACAAAGAGAAAAGAGCTTCCAAGTCACTGGCTCCTGGTTTGAGAGGGGGTAGGGAGTTGGCAGAGGCAGTTCAGGCAGATTCCTGGATCTTATACCAGATTCACCCATTTGTTCACTTTAACCAATATTCATTAACGAGCTGCTACGCACCTTGTACTGTTCTCAGCATTGAGGTCATAGAAATGAACACAACATAGACACCCTCTGCCCTCTGGAGCCCGTATCTCAGTCAGGGAATCAGAAAATAAACAAGCAAATAGACAAACAGCGTGATCAGTGCTTCAAAAACAAAGCAGGAAGGGAGATGGAGAGCAAGAAGACACCAAGTCCCATCAATGCTCTGCTCCGCATTTTACTCGGGCCAAATACTTTATTCTACAAGGTCCTACCTAATCTGGCCACCCTCCCTGTAATCTCTATGACCTCTTCTCCTACTTCCTCCTCTTACTTTCCCAGCTATGCTGGCCAAAATGCTGCACCTGAAATCTGCTGGTGTAAACCCAGAAAGTCCCAGGCAGATGGGATGAGCAGGTCACCCAATTGCCAGGAGTGTTACTGCCAGGAGTGTTACTGCCTGAGGGGTTTTGCTGTAGCAGGTCCTGCTGCCTGAGCCACTCTTCCCCGGGTATCTTCTTCACTAGTTCCTTTGCCTCATTCATGTCTTCACTTAGATGTCACCTTCTGAATGAGGCTTACCCTGAACACCCTACTTGATACTGAACATGCTCTCCTCTCCTAAATCCCCTGCCTCCAATCTCTCTTACTCCATTTTTTCTTTTTTTACAACTTATGTTCCTGCATGTCCCAAATATAATTATTACATATATAGATATACTTTTGGTGCTTTTGCTTCCAACGGCCCGTACCTACAATTCTTCAGATCCTGCCCTCGGGCTAATAGAGCCCTTTGCCTGCTCCCGCAAAGCCATAAATACCTGGGGGTGTGTATGCCCCTGGGCGACCCTTGGCCAGTGGCTGATAACTGCAGGCCCGTGAGAGACCAGCCCCTGGCCTGCAGGCAGGACAAATCTGGACTTCCTGCCTCTCCAACAGAAGCCACGCCCCAAGGGATTTTGTCTGAAATTGCACCCTTGCTTGTCTTCTTCTCTCTCCTTGTTGTGCTTTCTCCATGCCATTCCTGGTTTCTCCTGGGAGCATTTCCTTAAGAATTGCTTCACCCAAATCCTCATCTCAGGATCCACGTCTGAGGAACCCAACCTAGAACTCGGGAGCTGGCCTTAGTGAGTTCATCTACTGAAAAGGGAAGGCAGGGTGTGTGGTCAGATGGGTGAGTCTAAGCACTGGAAGGTGAAAAGCATGCCTTCTGGGGGTTTCTGTGATCTCAGCCAAATGAAAAACAAGGCCTCCAGCTGGGAAGGCAGGGATGCTGAAGGACTGAGGAGAAGGAAGAGGGTAAGAGAGAGTTGTCTGGGAGAGTCAGGGAATGAATTTTCTAAGGAGATATGAGAAGACTGCTAGACAGTGCTGACCAATATTGTGTGTTTGTCTCCAGCTGCATCAGCTGCCTGGGTGAGGCTAAGAGAAGGCAGGGAGTTGGATGTTACCAGGAGCGGAGGTATTTCCAGGTGAGTAAGCTGGAGAGAGGTGAGCGGGTGTTTGGGATGCAAGAAAGGGGATAATTACAGTGGTAAGGTATGAGATCTTTGCTTGGGGCAGAACGAGGGGAGGATGCTGAAGAGTGGGCTAGAAACGAGGGCAAAGATGCTGGATTGTGGGTCCCGGTAAAGCTCAAGGGTTGTTGGTGTAATGGTCATGGACAGTGATGCTGGGAAGTAGTGAGTGATGGTGGGGTGCCTAGACCTCAGGTCATGGAGCCACTGCCCTCGTGGTGAAGTCAGGTCACAGGTGTGAGCAGGGAGTGGGTGGCTGAGGCTGGGCAGAGCACAGGGTCACCAGCCGTCAGAGCTCTGCACAACTCAAGCTTGATAACTGATTCTTGAAATATTCCATATCTATTTCCTGTTTTGTGTGTGTGTGTGTGTGTGTGTGTGTGTGTGTGTGTGTGCCTGATCTCTTGTGTTTTGAGATCCTAGTGAGGAAATGAGGTTAGAGCAAAACATAAAAGGTCTCCCTGCCCCACTGAATCTGTGCCCTCCGTGCCCTGGTCACAGGTGGCACCCTCCACCACATACAGCACATGCAGATCACAGCCGCTTTCAGTTCCACAAGAATTTCTCTCATTTTCTGTTAATTCCTCAGATCTGTGATCTCTAATTTCCATAGATTTCTCCTAGCGTGGTTTTAAGCAAACGAGCCATGAGCCTGTGCCTTTTTCTCAACCCAAAGAGACTTTGATCAATTACTCTCCAGGCCCCCTTCGAACAATAGAGTATATGTCCACACTCCCCCTCATGCCCACAATAGTGCAATCTCCTAGAAGGAATTTGTCTCTCCTCCTACAAGCTGGCTGGCACTGCCAGGCCTCATTCAGGTTCCCTGATGATGCTCAGCCTCCCCCTCCCCACACTCTCACTAGTTCTTTCCAGCAGGGCAACACCAGGGAGGGATTAGAGCACTCTCTCCTCAGCATCTCGAAGGCAAACTTGACTCCCTGATTATATATACATATATATATATATAATTTTTAAAAATTTATTATTATTATTATTATTAGACGAAGTTTCAATCACCACCCAGGCTGGAGTGCAGTGGTGCAATCTCAGCTCACTGCAGCCTCTGCCTCCCGGGTTCAAGTGATTCTCCTGCCTCAGCCTCCTGAGTAGTTGGGACTACATGGGTGCACCACCATGCCCGGCTAATTTTTTTGTGTTTTTAATAGAGACAGGGTTTCAACATGTTGGCCAGGCTGGTCTCGAACTCCTGACCTCAGGTGATCTGCCCACCTCGGCCTCCCAAAGTGCTGGGATTACAGGCATGAGCCTCTGCGCCAGGCCTTGGCTCCCCGACATTTGCATACATGCACAAGGTCATGTGCACATACACAAATGCATGCATGCACTCATGTATAACACATGCAAACATACATACATGCACACGCACACACACACACATGCACACACACACACCTATGGCATTGTGGGTATCTGGCACAATCGAGGGAATCCATTTCCAGTGCCAAGCATCGAGCAGGATGACTAAAAGGTAAGGCACAGATTTAGAAGTCAAAAGAGATAGACACTCACCGACCCTCTCCCTGCTGGTTTTCCAGGTGAGGTTTAAGTTATACCACGAATCCTCAACTGCTGTGAGGTAAGAACATTTAATTTTTATTTTTTCTTGGAGTCTTGTGCATCCAGGTTGGACGAGGAGAGAAGGAGAGGCTGGCAGGAACTCTTTTTCTGGATCAGGTTGTCTGTAGCCCCAAGACTGAGTGCACACGTTTCCATCAAGCCAGGCAGAAGGGCCACCAGGTGACCGCAGCAGCCAACCCCAAGGGGTCTCTGGCAGAGCTTTGGGCTTCTCTGCAGATGTCGAGGTTGGATTTATTCTTCCTGCCCTCCTACCGAGCATGTCTTGGGGATTAGTGGGAAACTGACTGTAAAGATCTTTTGCTTCCTTTTTGCATATAGCTATGTAATCTGACTTCAGGTGAAAATTTATGTCTAAGTGGTAAATGTTTTTGAGAACCCAGTGAGGATTGTGAATCCCTTTGCCAGTTTCATGATGGAGGGAGTTAACATGGATCATAAAAGGGCTGAAAGAGTGTCTGAGGTTACCTCTACCTTGTATCACCATACGAAGTAGCCAACAACTCCATGAGATAAGTTTTTCTCCAGCAGCATCATTGGAGCTTGCAGCACAAGTTGGAAAAGATGGGGAAAACCCACTTTTCTCTTATATGAAAATGACTTCTCCCAATCCTGTTTTGTCTCAGCATACAATATATATGGTTGTTAATTTACTACCCACAGCATCATGGACTCATCCTCTTCCCTGAATCGCTTGTAAATATTTTCTCAAACTGAGTGTATTTTCCAATGTTTATCCAGGTATCTGCATATCCAACTCTTCATTGTCCCTGGTGCAGGTTAACCATGCTCTGCAGGGTACCTCTTTATCCCCTCAGCCTGTCCCAGGCCTCCTGCCAGTGTCCACAGTGCTGTGCGTTGGGTGTCTAATTCCACCTCCCCCTGAGAGGTAGGTGGCCAGCCACCCCTAGGAGAAGCTGACACCAAGGGTGGCCATATGGGGGGAAGGAAGAGGTTGGTGCTGGTTACCTCCCACCTTGGACTATGTTCATTTCTCTTTTCCTTACTGCAGGTCACTGACATGTGAACACATGCTCCTAACAAGTTGACCCCAGTCTTGCTGAAATTGCCTAGACTGTATTATTTTCTTCCCCATACTTGACATAGAGCATAAGCTGAGAGGTACATAATACATGCCATAATTTATGACGGTGCTTAGGTAAAGCCATGCAAACTCGTCTATCATTGCCAGGTTCATTTCCAGTGGTGTTCATTGAAGGTAAGTTGACTCATTTATACAAAACAATTCCCTCATTTCCCTTTGAGCAATTGTCAAGTGTGCTTGACGCAGGCCAAGTGACCTTCAAATGCGGAGTGGGGTTTGGCCTGGAATGTCAGTGTGCATTTGGCAGCATGAATTGCTCCAAAGAATCCTGATTTCTTATGCATGAACTGCTGACCCCAGCACTGGGGCCTGGAGAGCGGGACGGGAAGGAAGGTGAACTCCTGCTGATTCAGGGGCCCTCCCAGCAGCCTTTCCACGGTGTCAGCAGTATTCACATCACTTTCCTCTCCTCCCTCTTCCGCCCCACCGTAAGTCCTGTCCCTGGAAGCACTTTTCAGTTGCCAGGAATCATGAACATTAGGAAACAATCCAAAAAAACGGGGTGTCTACTTTATATTCTGTGGCCCACACGGTCACACATGGGCCTGGTTTTAACACCGGGTCATAGGTGTGGAAACAGCCTGGCCTAGAGGAAGGAACACTGAACCAGTGAGAGAGGCCTTCAGTGACTCCAGGACCAAGCAAGTGTGTGGCCTGGAGGCTGGCCTTTCTAAGAGGCCTGTCTCGGTGGAAACGGAGGAATGTTCTACTGCTGGCTTTCCAGAGCGCTCCTCTAGCCCCACTACTTGGAGCGATGCTTCCCGGTGTTGAAGCTGCAGATCTAAGGACCATGTTTCTTCAAACACAACCAGGCCTCTAGGGCAAGATCGTTTCCAGGAGATGTAATGAAATATGAAGGAAAACGCCCAGCAGGCAACATGCCTGCCTGCTGAGGATCACAGGAAACAGCCTTACTACCAATCTACCAATACTGGGCCCTGAGCTGGAGAAACAGCTCCTTTTTTCATTTCAAAATATCACTAATGTTCCATGGTGCAGGACATATTTCAAATGCCTCAATTGGAAAAAACAGGCTCCAAAGGCATCACGGTGTGCCTGTGGCTCTTGTCTGTGCTAGGCAGCAGCACAAGGGCCTGCTCATTAGCTCACTGATGACAGGTTTATCCGCAACTGTATATCAAGCAATGAGAAAGTCAGCTGTGCGAGCAAACGTCCCTCAGTCATATTGCACAAAGCCTTCGTAAAGGGATAGAGTGCTGAAAGCCTCCTAACTCCTCTCTAGCTGAACATCTTTTCCCCTCCGCTACCTCTGAACCTCTCATCCTTCCAACTCAGCTCAAGAACGCAGAAGCTGTTTGCCGACCCCTTCTGCTAGTGTCCTGTCCTTGGTAATTCAAAGACGCCCCCGGGATGGCCCACAAAGAGCCCTGTGTGCATGCACACGCGCCACTGTCACTGATAAGGCCACTGGGTGGTGAGCGGTTCTTTTCACACTTCACATCCAGAGGCTTTTCCTGTGATTTGTGTGTGAAGCACCTGTTTGCATGGTCCGTCCACCCTTATCTGAGATTCTGCCTCTTAGGCACCAGGGCAGGTTGAAGCCTTTTTCACCCACTTACAAAGCAACAGCTTATTCCTGAGAAGTGTGTCAAGCTGGTATGTCCACTGTGCTCCCCAGACTCACCAATAAGATCACTGACTTAATTGTTTTCTGCCCCTTACTTTTAGAAGAAAGAAGTTAGGCAATCTAAAGGAGTCAAACTGATAATGTTGCTTTTGAAAAAAAGTAAACAAATAATAAAACATCTCCCAGAGTGTATGGGGTCCAAAACACATTTAACCCAGTTTCTCACACTTTCCATATGAACATTTACTCAATAATCCTACGTGATGTTTAGAATGAATAATTACTGTGGGGCCCCTCATCAAACATCAGAAAGAGACCAATAGGTTCGATATTTTGCCGTAAAGCAGGAAATTGAACTAAGTATCAAGAAATAAATACCAACAGAGAGAATAACAAAGGAAGGAAGGAGGGATTAATTGTCATTGTTAGAGAAAAACTCATTTTCTGATGATGATGGTCAAGACCTTATCTTATAATCCTCCTAACTATAGCCTCCTTTTCTTTGCATTGGGTACCCAACATCCATTATGACTGTTGTCTCCAGAAGCCCAGAGACATTCATCTTTTTGCTCTCCTTTCACTGATGAGGAGACTGGACGTCACGTGATAATTCAGCTGCCCAGTCTTATGGCAAGCGAGAGAGACCTATTTTGAACTGAGGCATGCTGGACTTCAAAGTCCATGTTCTTGCTCTTAGAGCAAGTCTCTAAAACAAGATTTTCACTAATTCTTAACAATTTATTGAGTTCAGCAGTTACTGAGCATCTATCATGTCTTGGCAGTGATAGGGAATACAGATATAAAAAAGTTACAGCCCTACCTTCACTTGAGCCAAAAATATTTTTCTTTAGGGAATCTTTAGAACAAACACTTTCAGAAAATTTTTCTAATTGAGCTTGAGATGTTGACTTGACTCTCATTTTTAAAACTAACTAATTGGCTATCAAAATGGCAACACTTACAAGATAATGCTTTCTGTATTTCTTCATGCATTTAACTCCCTAACTAATGAAAAACTTCATGATATTTTCTCCCAAAGGAGGGGATAGAAGTGTCTTTTCTTCTCACACTGTGAAGACAAGTAAACGTAATTTAGTTTCAATACAGTTATATTAGCTTTAGATAATAATGAGCTATTGCCATATATCAGACCACAAAAAAAGAACCAAAACTAAACATTAATACAAGGTATGTTTTTATTTCTATTATACTTTAAGTTCTGGGATACATGTGCAGAATTTGCAGGTTTGTTACATAAGTATACACGTGCCATGGTGGTTTGCTGCACCCATCAACCCATCATCTACATTAGGTATTTCTCCTAATGCTATTCCTCCCCTAGCCCTCCACCCCCCAACAGGCCCCAGTGTGCGATGTTCCCCTCCCTGTGTCCATGTGTTCTCATTGTTCAATGTGTAACAGAGTTGGAGTATGGCTTCTAAAAATCATAATTTCATATGCATAATGGCAATTGCTAGACAAGAATTCTGTAACTAGAGCTAGTTACATGAGCAAAAACTGCCTCATAGTTCAGGTTGCAAAGTGGGCAGCCATTATAGCCCAGAAGACACTCCCAGAAGAAATTGGTGAGCTAACTTTGTATATTTATGAACATTTTTGGTATTTTCAGTCTTTCCGAAGCACCTGGTGATGGCCAGTGTGGAAGACTAGGTGGAGCATGACAAGATCATTGTCTGTAAGCACTCACTGTGCTGTTTCTAGAAGACGCTTCTGTAGGTGAATAAAGGTGGTTATTGCTGAGTCTTTCTTCACCAAAAAATAATGAAACTAATTTAATAGGCTGATTTGGAAAAGAGCCTAGTAAAATCCGCTGCAGAATTGGGATTTGCTTTGAAAAGTGTCTCTGTCCTTACAGGCACACTGATGGAGTATTGTTTTGTTCCTCATGTGGCATTTTTCAAGCCACTTCAAGTCTGTTTTCAAACTAAATTGGGAATTAAAAAATCATATGATAAGTAAATTGAAAAATGTAACTCACTAGTGTCCATTCTCTAGCATCCAAAGTATTTGACCTATTACAAATTTATCAACAGTAAATATTTCTTAGACTAATTTGTAACCTGTTATAAATTCACCCAAAGGAATAGTAATTTTCATAATAATGGAATAAAAGAGCTTTCAATGTCCCTTATGAAGCTGTGTTCAATGGAAATAAAGCATTGGGTGTAGCGGTGGGTATGTGAATGGATGGAGAACTGGCTGAGCAGCCTATGGGTTGATTAGCCATAGAAACATTGGGCCTTGATTGCTGCAAGCCCTCAGCCTGGGCCCAGTTTAAGAGCAGCCTGAGGGTAGGAGGGGCTTGATGTGTCTGAATGTGGCAGGTTGACAATAAATTATACTTATTTTGTAAACACTTACATAGACTTTATGCCAGTTCTGCTCTATAACCTTCGCAGTTATTAATGCATTTTGTCCTCATAACTCTTTATTTATTTATTTATTTATTTATTTATTTATTTATTTTGAGAACAGAGTCTCACTCTGTTTTCCCAGGCTGGAGTGCAGTGGCATGATCTCAGTTCATTGCAACCTCCGCCTCCCAGGTTCAAGCAATTCTCCTGCCTCAGCCCCCCAAGTAGCTGGGATTATAGGCTCCCGCCACCACGCCCTGCCAATTTTTATATTTTTAGTAGAGACGAGGTTTCATCATGTTGGCCAGGCTGGTCTCAAACTCCTGACCTCAGGTGATCCACCTGCCTCAGCCTCCCAAAGTTCTGGGATTACAGGTGTGAGCCACCGTGCCCAGCCCTTTATCTAGTTTAGAGGTAAGAAAACTGAGGCAGAGAGAAGATAAGTTGTCCAAGGTCACACACAGCGAGCACTGGAGTCAGGATTACAAATGCAGGCAGCTGGGCTCCAGAATTGTCACCTTTCAACACTGTGCCATGCAGCCTTCCAGGTAAGCCAGCTGCATGTTTGTGAACACTTGCAAAACTGGCTCCATTTCTAGGCGGCTGACTCAATATATCTGACCTAAGGTACCTCACCTGCCCACCCAACTCTTACCTTCAAAAGGTTCCTGTCTAGCCAGGCACAGTGGCTCACACCTGTAATCACAGCTACTCAGAAGGCTGAGGCAGGAGGATTAGAGCCCAGGAGTTGAGAACAACCTGGGCAACACAGCAAGACCCCATCTTTAAAAAATTTAATTAAAAAAAAAAGGGTTTCTGTCTGCAAGTGAAGGAAGCATTGCTTCTGGAAGGACGCTACTGTAATGGAAATGTGTTAATAACTGGGAGAATAAACCCTAAGGCCATCAGTGCTCTGTGACTTTCAGTAGGGAATTGTTTTCTTCTAAGCTATGAGTCATCAGAGAGAGGTTGGGTCCTTAAGAAACAAAGCACAAGATAACTCCATGAAGGTAAAGCTAGAAAAAAAATGGGCTAACATCAAGTCTGTTACCAGGAAGAGGTTTGGATAGGGCATCCTGAGAGGCCTGGAGAAAAACCTGGTAAGATGTTAAAATTTTGCCTATGAAAAATTCATTAAAGCTTTATTTTTAATAGTGAGAAAGATGGAAACACCCAAATATCCATCAATAGGTGGTTGATTAAATAAGTATTTTACATTCATGTAATGAGCTAATCCACAGTCACTAAAAGATAAGATTCTATACATTAGACAGGGTATGATCCCATTTTGTAAATATGTACAAAAACTAGTGCTGTACATATATCAAAAAATCTCAAGAGAATATAATGAAACTGACAATAGTGGTTACCTTGATGGATGGGATTACTAGATATTATATTTTTGTGTTTATACATTTCAGAATTACTAGCATTTTCATAATAAATGTACATTATTTTGTACAAATGAAAAAAAATTAAAGATTTTGGCTTTTTTTTCAGAGAAGGTAAGCCTATGTGTTACTGGGGAGAAAGGGAGGTTTGCAGTATCATTAAAGGGCTGCATCTTGGATATTAAGAAATTTCTTTGCCCTCTCTGCCATATTTCCTTAATCTCACAAAAATCCCTCTTATTAGACTAAACTTTGATATTATACCATTATTTCCTTTTGAGAAAAATAAGAAACAGTTGCACAAAATGTGTCACTGTATCTATTGAAGAAGATATTGTTGAGGATGTTGTCCATTATACTAGCTTTTCCATATGAGACAGCTTTCTCGGGCCCCCTTATCGTGAAAAGCTACCTTCCTGAACAGCTGGGCATCTTACCTTAAGGACACTGTGAATAACCTTGCATATCTCTTTGCTTTGGCTACTGGGAAGCTTAGAGACAGAATTCTCACCTGTCTGGCAGCTGTACAGAATTAGCTAGTGTAGATTTGGATACGCTATTCAAACAGCTAACTTTGCTCTAATTCCTTTCTCTTTTATTCTTTTGTATTTTATGTATCTTTGTCAGTTACCTCAAATAGATACATTTCAAGAGGAAGTCATTGTTGAATAACAATTTAATGACAGGTGTGCCACCTCGCTACAGCCTTTTCGAAGGACATTTGTTTGTACAGAGTGAAGCATAGTCCTTCGTGCAGGTGCCATGAGGACCACCTCCACTTTGATCTCTTTTACAGATTGGGATTGTAGATGGAACTTCCTTTAATAAAAAGATTCCATTTCCTTAAAAATAGTTCAAAAAACCCTCTAATACAGAAATGCAGTTGGAGGCATTTTAATGCATGTACTTGAATTATTTTACATAACACATTTCAAGCATGTAGTGTTGTATATGATAGTCTTTTGATATCTTTGCCTGTCATTATTTATATGATTTATTATT
The DNA here is from genome assembly GCF_000001405.40 of Homo sapiens. Lineage (NCBI taxonomy): Eukaryota > Metazoa > Chordata > Mammalia > Primates > Hominidae > Homo > Homo sapiens. The sequence continues at coordinate 150,446,956 of NC_000006.12, read as the reverse complement.
TTTACCCTGACCACATGTATCCCTTCAGCTAATCCCATTTCTTTTCTCTCGTTCAGAGCCAGACTTCTCAAGACCTGTCTTCACCTGCTGTCTCCACCTCCTGTTCACCACTCAACCCATTCCATGTGGCTGTTGCCCTCATCATCCTATTAAAACCAGCTGCAATAATCTCCATGTTAGTAAATCCATGTACATTTTTCAGGCTCTTGACTTCTCAGCAGCATTCAACACAGTTAGTTGACTGCGCGCTGCCATAAATCTTCTATTATTTCACCAATACACCTCTGGCCGTCCTTTTTCCTTATGAGTTTTTCCTCTTCTCACTGGCTATTAACATTGAGAGGCACTGCCTAGGACCTCTTTCCTTCTTTGCACAGGTCCCCTGGATAATTCCATGTGTGCCTATGTTTTCAATTACAATATACCATTGTCTTCCAGATTTGTACCTTCAGCCTAGACCCCTCATTCAACTCTAGACCTATGGGTCTGACTGCTTATTCAACATCTCCTTAGGGTGACTTCAAATTCAACATGATCAAAACTGCGTGATCTTCTGCTGAGCCTGGTTCCTCTACTAAGGTTTCCTACCTTACTGAATGACTCTCTTTCATCCATACAAGCTGGAAGAATAGAGCCTTCTTGTCCTTACCACTAATTCCTATCCACCCACCTGTATCTCACAAAACTTTCCACACCTCTTTGTCTCCATAGTCACCACTTCAATCCAAGCCACCATACTGTCTCACTGGAGTTCAATGGCCTCTTTTTTTTTTTTTTTTTTTTTTGAAATGGAGTCTCACTCTGTCACCCAGGCTGGAGTGCAGTGGTGCGATCTCAGCTCACTTGCAAGCTCCGCCTCCCGGGTTCACGCCATTCTCCTGCCTCAGCCTCCCAAGTAGCCTGGGAGCTGCCAGCTACTGAAACATAAAACAGATTCAAACGGGACTCAATCTAATACAAAAAGCATGTTCCATAGATGGAAACATTAAACTCCATCCAAATTAAAAGGTTCTGAAATTTTAAGAGATGCTGTTAAGAAAATGAAAAGGCAAGCCACAAATTGAAAAAATATTTGCAAAATCACAGATCTGATAAAGTGTCTAGAATATGGAAAGAATTCTCAAAACTCAAAATTAAGCAAACATCTCAATGAAAAAATTAGGAAAAGCTTTGAGTAGGCACTGCATCAACTCAGATAGACAGGTGGCAAATAAGTATATGAAAAGATGCTCAACATCAGTCATTAGGGAAATGCAAATTTAGTGAGATACTACTATATAGCTATTAGAATGGCAACAAAACAAAACTGACAATATTAAAGTGCTCTTGAGTGCTTGGAGTAACTGGAACTCTCATACGTTGTTGGTGCCAGAGGGCACAGCCACTTTGGAAAACAGTGTAGCAGTTTCTCGTAAAGTTAAACATATACTTTCCATGTAGCCCAGAAATCCAGCTCCTAGGTATTCACCCAAGTGAAATGAAATCTTATGTTCATGTAAGTGACTGTCTATGGAAGCTTGATCTGTAATTATGAAAAAGTTGAAAGAACCCAAATGTCTACGAAGTGGTGAATGAATGATGAATCTGTGATACATCTGTACATTGAAATACTACTTAGCAATAAAAAGGAATGAAGTAGTGATATGTTCAGCAGCATGGATGACTCCCTTCTGTGTTGCATGCCCCAGCTGAATGGCACATCAGAAGCTCAAGTTCACCTAGGGTGGCAAATGTCCTCAGAGCAAAGCAACTTTGGTGCTTCTTATTACCACTCTAGGCGTCAGCTTCCCTTAGATTTGGGCCTGATTATTCCTTACTATCTTCTCGATGCTTTGATGCTTTTAAGAAGATATTTAAACATTTTTTTATCCAGAATTTTTAGCTATCAGCAAAAAGACTGGTTTAAATAACATTGTCCACTGTGTCACCAGAGACAGAAGTTGAGTAATTGTACTTATATATCATAGTCAAAGGAAAGGATTGGTGTGGTGGGTTTCAGGCACCTAGATAGAGTCAGGAGACATGTTTCGGGAAAGGAGATGTTTTCCCCATGCTACTGGTATCTCATCTCAAAGGCGAGTACGTATTCATATGCTGGGTTATGGCAAGAGCAATGACATTGACTGAAAGGATATCCTTCAGGGCACAGCATCAGAACAATCTACCATGAAGTTCAACCCTAGAGTTTTCTTTAATTCGACACCACTTTTCCCATTCCAGGTAACCATATAGAAATGGGACTGTGGGGCCCTTTCCATTGGTAACCTCAGCCTGCCACTGTGGCACCGCCCCCTGGAGTGTCTCATCCTTAACACTTCAGACTCAGTTTCCTTTTTTCCCTTCTCCAGCATCTCTTCACTCTTCACACCTGATACCACTTTCTTCCTGAGCCTTGGCTCTCCTCCCCCAGCTCTGTGCTTCTCAAGCTTCCTGGCCCTACCTGGCCCTGGGCCTGCCTACCTGGGCATGACCCCTTAGAGGGTGGCACACGACTATCTCTGCCTGAGCCAGGGGCAGCACCCAGACACTACACGCAGATGCCACAGTTCTCAAGACAGAGCCTTCTATCCAAATTCAAATACGAAAGTTAAATCATTCAATTCCAAAACGTGTCTTCACCGTCCAGTGATCTGTTTCCAGGGTCAATGGCAATTTAAAAGCTACTAGAAAGTGCAAGCTTCCATTTCTTACATTTTTGTGTCCTGTATAAATGATTCATTTAAAAATTTCTTAGAGAAATTAATTATATGCCACTCTAACTTTAATACTTTCTCCTGGTAGTCTCTACATCACATCAAAAATAAAAATGAGCCACATCTGCAGAAAACATATTATAACTGATAACTCCTTTCCTTTCAGGGATCACTTACTAAGAGAGTTACAAAGATCAGCTTTGGGGACATATAAGGATAAATAATTGGAATAATACTGTGTTGGAGCTTAAATAACCCCATTTCCCAATATCTAACATTGGTTGATGCAATAAAGATGTGTGTGTGCGCTTCATAAAACATGAAGCCAGAGAGTGGGAGGTTCTGGGAGGGGTCAGTGTTTCAGCAGTGCCTACAGGCCCAGCCTCTTTCTGCTGCACCATCCTCGTGAGAAGCATCTGTCCTGGGACTTGCCTGGTACAGTCACAGGATGGCTGCCAGAGCCCCAAGCCCGAGGCTTCACATGCTATGGGCAAGGCGGTAAGAAGGGAAAGTGGCTCTCTTCCCACCCTCTCCTCTTTTCATTAGGAAGCAAATTTCTTCATTACTCACATGGACCAGAACATTCTGTATTAATTTCCAGGGCTGCCTTAGCAAAGTACCAGAGACTGGATGGCTTAAACCGCAGACATTGATGGTCTCACAGTTCTGGAGGCTGGAATTTCAGCATCAGGGTGTCAACAGGATCAGCTCCTTCTGAGGGCTCTGAGGGAAAGGTGTATTCCAGACTCTTTCCTGGGCTTGGAGATGGCATCTTCTCCCTGTGTCTCTTTACATGGTCTTCCCTCTAGAGAGGTCTCTGTGTCAAAATTTCCCCTTTTATAAGGATACCAGTAATATTGGATTAGAATCCACCTGAATGGCCTCTTTTTAACTCAATTGTCTCTGTAAAGACCCTATTTTTAATTAGGTCACATTCTAAGATACTAGGGGTTAGGACTCCAACATTTTTTTTTTGAGGGTGGATGGGGATACCATTCAACCCATAACACATGGCCACCCCAAACCAATCACTAGCATGGGGAAATTACTGTGATTGGCTCAGACCAATCAGATTCATCCCCCGAGGCTGAAAGTGGGGCACAACTTTCCTGAGCAGTGACCGCCTGAACAAAACTGGTTTTCCATAGATGAAGGGGAAGGAGTACGGTTAGTGGGTGCCAATTCAATCCAAATGGAGGCCCAGAGAGATGAAGCGACACATTTAAAGTCACATAACCAACCCATACTCCCTCTTGGACACCATGCTGAGATACATTGTGTCAGTATAGGAATTACCAGTGCTTGCTTTTCCTGGAAAATAAAATCTGTCTTCCTTTTCCTTCTCTCCTGACTTCTGTACCCAGGGAGTGGGGGAGAAAAAGATACCAATTACGCCTTAACCAATTTTTCTCTTTACTCCTGCCCCAAAGCTTTTTTGCTTCACTTCACCCAGTTACCCTTGAGATGCTACTTGCCTATAATCCTAAGTTTTGAGCACGGAAAACCAATATAACCTTAGAGTTTCTACCTGAAACAAAAAGATTAAAATGATCATGTCCTTGATGTCTCATAACTGAGATGAGGTAATACACAAGAGATTAACAAGGACAAGTATTGACCAGACTGTAGTATCCTGTGGCTGGGATATCTTGTGGTGAGAATCATTAAAATAAGATCATGCAATAGAGCTTTGCAAGATGTTCTCAAAAACAAAATCTCATCATGGTGCTGGACACGTGAACCAAAAAAAAAAAAAAAAAAAGAGTTTAAGCCTGAAAAAAAACAAAAACAAAATCTTCAAATTCAGCTGGAACTGAATGCTTCTCTTTTACTCGGTACAGGAAGCACATACATATGCAGTTCTCCAGGCTCAAGATGGATTCTCAGGAAAACCAAACAAGATAGGAGCAGAGGGCCAGCATGGTGGCTCATGCCTGTAATCCCAGCACTTTGGGAGGCTGAGGCAGGCAGATAACTTGAGGTTGGGAGTTTGAGACTAGATTGGCCAACATGGTGAAACCCTGTCTCTACTAAAAGCACAAAAATTAGCTGGCTATGGTGGCACACACCTGTAATCCCAGCTACTTGGGAGGCTAAGGCAGGAGAATCGCTTGAACCTGGGAGGTGGAGGTTGCAGTGATCCAAGATTGTGCCACTGCACTCCAACCTGGGTGACAGAGTGAGACTATGTCTCAAAGAAAAAGAAAAAAAAAAAAAAGGAATGAGCACAGAACTCATACACAATGTATTTATCTTTACAAGTAAAGTATAAGTACTTAATTAATGCAAGGACTTAAGGGTTTATTGAATTATCTCCTGCATGTGTGCACTTCTTAAAATAAATGGTGATTGGGTCCTAGACTATCCTCAAAAACCCTGTTCCATCTGTAATATTTCTGAAGTATAAAACTACATGTTGTGTATGTATATAGTTGACAGTTGAACAATGGAGGGTTAGGGGCATCAACCCCCTGTGCAGGTCAGAAATTTGGGTCTAACTTTGACTCCCCCAGAACTGAATTACTAATAACCTCCTGTTCACCAGGAGGCTTACAGATAATATAAATAGTCCATTAACACATATTCTATATGTTATATGTATTATATATTGTATCCATACAATTAAATATACTAGAGAAAATAAAATGTTTTGAGAAAGTCATAAGAAAGAGAAAATATATTTACTGCTTACTAAGTGGAAGTGGATTATCCTAAAGGTCTTCATCCTTGTTTTCACGTTGAGTAGGCTTAGGAGAAGGTGGATGAGGAGGGGCTAGTCTTGCTGTCTTGGGGCAGCAGAGGTGGAGGCAGGAAGGGCAGGAGAGGCAGGCACTCAGTATAAATTTATAGAAAGACATCATAATTTCTGTTTGACTTTCTTGCTTTTTTGTTTCTCTAAAAGTGTTTCTATGCTACAGTGCCAATTCTTCAACCATTTGCTTCAGTTTCAGTGCCAGTATCATGGAAGAGTCCATGTCATAAAAGAATTCAAAGCAGTCTTGAATAATCAGAAGACTTCTCCCAGATTGTCTAATGTTTTCTGGCACTGCTTCATCTGTCTTTCTCTTCATAGTCTGGCACTGGTTTGGCGTCACTCTTCTCCATCAAGTCATCTTTTGTTAATTCCTCTGGTGTGGTGTCTTTTAGCTCTTTAATTTCTCCAAGAACCGTATCTTGACACCCTTTACCCCTATCTTTTTTTCCATAATCCCTTTCATTATTTCCTTGATTGGCTCTGTTGTAAATCCTGTGAAGTCATGTACAACGTGTGGACACAGTTTTCTCCAATAGTAATTTCTTGTTTTGGGCTTGATGGCTTCCATGTTTTTTTTCTGTAACAGTGATGGCATCTTCAATGGCGTAAACCTTCCAGACTTTCATAATGTTCTCTCTAATCAGGGATCTCTTCCATAGCATTGACAACATTTCCCATAGAGTACCATGTGTAATGAGTCTTAAAGATCCTTATGATCTCCTAATATTGGGGCTGAATTAGAGACTTTGTGTTTGGGGGCATGTAGACCACTTCAACCACTTCACCTTTAAATTTCTGGGGTTCTCAGTGGCCAGAGGCATTGTCTAATATCAAAAGAACTTTAAAAGGCAATCCCTTACTGGCAAGGTACTTTCTGACTTCAGTGACAAACCATCAATGAAACCAATCCAGAAAAAAGGGTTCTTCTTGTCCAGGCCTTCTTGTTGTACAACCAAAAGACTAGCAGCTGGTGTGTGTCCTTTCTCTTTAAGGCTCAGTGGTTAACAGCTTTACAGATAAGGGCAATCCTGATCACAAACCCAACTGAATTTGCACAGAACAGTACAGTTAGCTACCCCTTCCTGCCTTAAATCCTGGTGCTTGCTTCTCTTCTTACTAATAAATGTCATTTGTGGCATTTTTCCCCCAGAATAGGCCACTTTCATCTGCATTAAAAATTTATTCAGGCAAGTCCTAATTACCTTCTTAATGGTGCCTGGGAACTCATCTGGTGCCTCTTCATCAGTAGAAGCTGCTTCTCATGTTATCTTGATGTTTTAAAAAGTCAAGCCTCTTTCTAAAATTATCAAACCATCCTTTGCTGGCATTAAATTCTCCAACTTTACATTCTTCACCTTCCTTTGCTTTAAGGTGTCATATAGTGACTTAGCTTTTTCTCTAATCATATTAGAGTCTGTAGGTATGCGTTTCTTACAGCAATCCTGCAACCACACACACAAAAGTTGCATTTTCAATACAAGATTAAAAAGGTGTATTTCACAAAAAGTACAAGGTTTTTGTGCCTGCTGACAGATGCAGGGATGGTTTCACAAATTTCCTTTTCTTTTTCTTTTTTTTTTTTTACAATGATCCTTACACCAGATTAATTTGTCTTGAAATGGCAGGCAATTGCAATGGCAGACATCAACCTATGATATACATAAAGTAATTAAGTTTTTTTTTTTTTTTTGTAATGTCATGACTTTGCTTCTTGGGAGCACTTCCAGCATCACTAGTGACACTTCCTATGAGTCCCATGATGTTATTCAAGGTTTATGGTATTGCATAAACACAATGAAAAATGCAAGAGAACTGTGAGAGATCACTTTTTACTGGTGTACACAACCTACTGGAGAGATGAACTAATCATACGGAGATAATTAGCATAATACAGTCTTTAAATGGATACTCACAACACTTGGGCTCACCTCAATAAAAACAGGAAGTGGCTACGAAATTATTACAGTAGTGCTGTATGTACTATAGTTAATTCTATGCTATATGATTTTTTTTTTTTTTTTTTTTTTGAGACAGAGTTTTGCTCTGTCGCCCAGGCCAGAGTGCAGTGGCGCGATCTCGGCTCACTGCAAGATCTGCCTCCCGGGTTCAAGCCATTCTCCTGCCCCAGCCTCCCGAGTGGCTGGGACTACAGGCGCCTGCCACCGCTCCAGGTTAATTTCTTTTTTTTGTATTTTTAGTAGAGACAGGGTTTCACAGTGTTAGCCAGGTTGGTCTCGGTCTCCTGACATCGTGATCTTCCTGCCTCGGTCTCCCAAAGTGCTGGGATTACAGGTGTAAGCTACCGCGCCCAGCCTGTATGATTTTTTTTTACTATAATTGTTCTTTTCTTTAAAATGTTTATTTCAATAGTTTTGGGGGAACAGGTGGTTTTTGGTTACATGGAAAATTTCTTTAATGATGATTTCTGAGATTTTGGTGCACCCATCACCCCAGCAGTGTGCACTGAACCTAATGTGTAGTATTTTATTTCTCACCCACCTCCCACCCTTCTCCCTGGCTCCCTAAAGTCCATTATATCATTCTTATGCTTTTGCATCCTCATAGTTTAGCTAAATGAGAACATACAATACTTATTTTTTCATTCCTGAGTTACTTCATTTAAAATAATGGTCTCCAACTCCATCCAGCTTGCTGCAACGCCATTATTTCGTTCTTTTTATAGCTGAGCAGTATTCCATGGTGTATACATTTTCTTTATCTACTCATTGGTTGATGGGCATTTAGGTTGGTTTCATTTTTGCAGTTGTAAATTGTGCTGCTATAAACATGCATGTGCAAGTGTCTTCTTTATGTAATGACTTCTTTTCCTTTGGATTGAAACTCAGTAGTGGGATTGCTGGATCAAATGGTAGTTCTACCTCAGTTCTTTAAGGAATTTCTATACTGTTTTCCATAGTAGTTGTGCTAGTTTACATTCCCACCAGCAGTGTAAAACGTTACTTTTCACCACATCTATGCCAACATCTGTTGTTTTTTGATTTTCAAATTATGGCCATTCTTGCAGGAGTAAGGTGGTACCTCACTGGTTTTAATTTGTACTTCTCTTACAGTGATGTTGGACATTTTTTCATAGGTTTGTTGGCCATTTGTATATCTTCTTTTGAGAATTGTCTATTCATGTCCTTTGCCCACTTTTTGCTGGAGTTATTTGTTTTTCCTTGCTCTTTTGTTTGAGTTCCTTGTAGATTCTAGATGTTAGTTCTTTGTCTGATGCATAGTTTGTGAATATTTTCTCCCACTCTGTGGGTTGTCTATTTACTCTGCTGATTATTATTATTATTATTATTATTATTATTATTATTATTTTGCTGTGCAAAGCTTTTTAGTTTAATTAAGTCCCTTATTTATTTTTGGTTTTGTTCATTTGCTTTTGGTTTCTTGGTCATGAATTCTTTGCCTAAGCCAATGTCTAGCAGGGTTTTTCTGATGTTATCTTCTAGAATTTTTATGGCTTCAGGTCTTAGATTCAAGTCTGATCCATCTTGAATTGATTGTCGTATAAGGTAAGAGATGAAGATCCAGTTTTATTATTCTACATGTGGCTTGCCAATTATCCCAGTACCATTTGTTGAATAGGGTGTCCTTTCCCCACTTGATGTTTTTGTTTGCTTTGTCAAAGATCAGTTGACTGTAAGTATTTGGCTTTATTTCTGGGTTCTCTCCTCTGTTCCATTGGTCTACATGCCTATTTTTATACCAGTACCATGCTGTCTTGGTAACTACAGCCTTGTAGTATAGCTTGAAGTTGGGTAATGGGATACCTCCAGATTTGTCCTTTTTGCTTAGTATTGCTTTGGCTAAGTGGGCTCTTTTTTGGTTCCATATGAATTTTAGGATTGTTTTTTCTAGTTCTGGGAAGAATGGTGATGGTATTTTGATGGGAATTGCATTGAATCTGTAGATTGCTTTTGGCAGTATGGTCATTTTCATGATATTGATTCTACCCATCCATGAGCATGGGATGTGTTTTCATTTGTTTGTGTCATCTATGATTTCTTTTTTGCAGCTGTTGCAAAAGGGATTGGGTTCTTGATTTGATTCTCAGTTTGGTCGTGTTGGTGTATAGCAGTGGTACTGATTTGCTTACATTGATTTTGTATCCTGAAACTTCACTGAATTCATTTATCAGATCTAGGAGTTTTTGAATGAGTCTTTAGAGTTTTCCAGGTATACAATCATATCATTGGCAATCAGTGACAGTTTGACTTCCTCTTTTCCAATTTGGATGCCTTTATTTCTTTCTCTTGTCTAATTGCTCTAGCTAGGACTATGCCATATGATTTAATACAATATCTTTATGTTTGCTTACATTTCTTTTGAATGTGAACGGTGCCATGTATGATCTGTAAGTGTGTGTGTACGTTCTGATAAATTTTCACTTTTTATAATAGATTTGTGTGTATTTTGCAGTAAATAAAAAATTAGATTAGTATTTACATATATTTTATACATTCATGACATAACTTCACTTAACCTTTTTTCTTTTTTTTTTTGATATTTTTGAGGCTCTGAGGTTTGTCTTTGAATTTTTTCAAATTGTTTCAAACCTCCAAAATTTTTTCCAATATATTTATTGAAAAAAATCTGTGTATAAGTGGACCCACACAGTTCAAACCCAGTTGTTCAGGAGACAACTGTACATACGTGTGTGCATAGACATATTCTGTATGTGAGAATAGAAACATGTAAGAAACAATGCACTATTTTCAATGACTTCTCTATGGAGAAATAAATATCAACCTAGACTGTCAGGAAGCTATTCTCCTTTCTTCCCTGCTCCCTTGCTTCCCCCATCACATCCTCCCAGCCACCAGCCTTGACAGTGACTCTATGGTTTGATTCTGTACCTCACCTCATCCTGTTAGGCGGTGGAAGGAGGGCTTCCCTTCCACCAAGCCCCTACTGGGGTCCCATGGAGAGGAGGAGCTCAGCAGCCCTGACAGAGTGAGTTGGGCCAGGCACCCGAGTCCTGAGCAACTAGAAAGGGGCTGGGGAGAGGGCGGATGGGCGCTGTTCCTGGGTCCCTTCCCACTGCCTGCCGTACCAGCCCTGGTGTGAGTGGGCACCTGGGCAAGTATCTCAGGGGCAGCAGGAACGAAACAGGATTTCCACTCCCTCCCTGCCTCCTTCCTCCTCCTTCACAGAGCAGAGACTTCCTATGGTGCGGAAGGGGGGCCGTGGGGGAGGCCTCTCCTCCCTTTTTCCCTCTTCATTTGACCTCGAGAAGTAAGGACTGAGGCTGCTACTCCAAAAGAGGGAGGAGAGGAAGAATTTGGAGAGGAGAACAGGGAAGAATTATAGCCATAAAAAGGAAGAAAAAGAGGAAGAGAAGGAAAAGTCCCAGGGGAATAGAAGGCGCCAAGGCCGGCTCCCATGGCCACAGCAAAGATGGCTGCCGGTGTGAGGCTCTGTCAGGGCCACCTCCTCTTGTTCTTTGTCCTTCATCACATCCGGTCCCGCCCTCACCTCGGTAAGTCACAGATGAAGGGGCAGCTGACTTCCCTATCCACATATTCTCATAGAGCCTGACTCACAAAACCGCAGAAGAAAGTCTGTAGCTCTCTCGGCTGGGCATGCCTGTAATTCCAGCACTTCGGGAGGCCGAGGTGGATGGATCACTTGAAGTCAGGAGTTTGAGACCAGCCTGGCTAACATGGTGAAACCCTGTCTCTACTAAAAATACAGAAGTTAGACAGGTGTGGTGGAAGGCACCTGTAATCTCAGCTGCTCAGGAGGCTGAGGCAGGAGAATCACCTGAACCCAGGAGGCAGAGGTTGCAGTAAGGCAAGATTGCACCACTGCACTCCAGCCTGGGTGACAGAGCAAGACTCCATCTCAAAAAAAAAAAAAAAAAAGAAAAGAAAGCCAGCCTGTAGCTTTCTAGCACATGCTGAGAGTTTTTATTTAGATGCAGACAAATGACGTTACACCTAATGACATCACACTTCCCCTCCATTATTGGTTTCGTTGCCCCATTTTCCATTCCATCATCACCAGTATTTTTAATATTAAGATCTGTTAGAAGGTGCGTAAAAGGAGGATTGTCCTCAAAAGGGAGATGATATCAAGAGTGGAAGTAACTGAAAATTTTTAAAGCAAAAAGAGAATATCTGTATTACACTGATATTGTCCACTTTCTTCCTTTTTTTTCTTTTTTTTTGAGACAGAATCTTGCTCACTGCAACCTCCGCCTCCTGGGTTCAACCAATTCTCCTGCCTCAGCCTCCTGAGTAGCTGGGACTACAGGCACACGCCCCCACGCTCAGCTAATTTTCGTATTTTTAGTAGAGACGGGGTTTCACCATATTGGCCAGGCTGGTCTCAAACTCCAGACCTTGTGATCTGCCCACCTTGGCTCCCCAATGTGTTGGGATTACAGTTGTCCACATTTGGCAGAGGCCACAGTTGGCCACATTTGGCACCTTATTTTTGAACCACCTGAAAAGCAACAGAAACAAGTGGTCAATTTTAAGTGTTTTTGAATTAGTGTAGAGTAGACTGGTGTATGCTGGGCCTAGTGTATTCTACCTAGAATTTTAAATTTAAGCTGCTATTTCAATATCAGAGTTGTATAGCCTAATGGTTCAAGTGTGCTCAGGGCTAGGAGTTTGGGCAGAGAAGTGCCCACAGATAACAGCTGAGAACTCTAGCCAGCCAGAGAGAGGTTCTTAAGTCTCTAAAACAGTGGTCCCGTAACCTTTTCAGCACCAGGGACCAGTTTCATGGAAGACAATATTTCCATGGATGGAGGTGGGGAGGGAAGGGGGATGGCTTTGAGATGAAACTGTTCCTCCTTACATCAATTAGATTCTCATCAGGAGCACGCAACCTAGATCCCGCGCATGTGCAGCAGTTCGCAATAGTGTTCGTGCTCCTAGGAGACTCTAATGCTGCTGCTGATCTGACAGGAGGCGGAGTTCAGGTGGTAATGCTTGCCCCCCGCCACTTACCTCCTGCTGTGCAGCCTGGTTCCTAAGAGGCCACGGACTGGTACCAGTCTGCAGCGGGGTGTTAGGGATGCCTGCTCTAAAAAAACTGACATGTTGGTAAATGAGGATAATGCCTTAGATAAATGAGGCCCTAAAGACCTAGGGTGGTTATTTAAGTCCCCTACCTCCTCCGACTCATTCATTCATTCGTTCTTTCATTCCATATATACTACTTGAGGATCTATGTTTTAGGATTTCTTAAAATTAGGCATGGGCTTTATCTGAGCCAGAACATATTTTGTTTCCTTCTTTCTTTTTTTTTTGATGGAGTCTAGCACTGTTGCCCAGGCTGGAGTGCAGTGGAGCCATCTCAGCTCACTGTAATCTCCACCTCCCGGGTTCAAGCAATTCTCCTGCCTCAGGCTCCCCAGTAGCTGGGATTACAGGTGCCTGCCACCACGCCCAGATAATTTTTTGTATCTTTAGTAGAGACAGGGTTTCACCATGTTGGCCATGCTGGTGTCGAACTCCTGACCTAGTGATCTGCCCACCTTGGCCTCCCAAAGTGCTGGGATTACAGGTGTGAGGCACCATGTTTGGCCCCCATATTTTGGTTCTTTTAAAAGCAATGAGATAGAAATTTTAGGACAGTGACACACAAAGATTGAAAAACGGTTTTCATATCCTTTTTAAATCCCCTTCAAGGGCAATTAATGCCTATACTACTTGGTGGTGTGGAGAAGACAGGGGTATGGTGAGGATAAGGGAGGGAATCAGGGGTTCTGGTTTTCCATATTCAATCTGAGACACCTGTCAGACATCTGAGAGGTGATGTCAAGCTGGCAGTTATCCAAGATCAAGGGAGAGATCAGGACAGGAGCTATAAGTGTGGTAACCATCAATGTACGAATAACATGGAACCCATGGCAGTGACTGAAATTGCCTTGGGAAGGCTGAGGACTGAGTCCTGGAACACAGCAAAGAAGATTGTGAGGGAGAGTCCAGTGAGATCAAAGGAAATTAGTGCAAGTGTGGGGACCTGGAAGTCAAGTGTTTTAAGGAGAAGTGATCAACTGGTTAACCGCTACTAAGAGGTCAAGTAAGATGTGACTGAGAATTGTCCATGGGATTTGGATGAAAATGGTCCAGGACATTGTCAAGGGTAGTGTCTGTGGAGAGTTGCAGGTGCAAACCTGATTGGGATAGGCCGAGGAACAAATGAGACAGGAAGAACTGGAAACATCAAGTGTGAAAAGTGGAGTGGATGCTGCCTCCAGGAGATGCTTCTCTTATGGGGAATGATCCTTTAATTTTCTCGTCTAAATCTGAGTGACTATTTTCTCTAAAGAGCTTCCTCCTGTTCTGTCTGTACTGCAGCATAGATTAAGGCACTCTGAAATTCCTCTCTTTTTGGTGGTTATCTTTGAGGTTGGATCCACACCAAACAATAAATTCCTCCCTAGACAGAAATCTGGACACTGTGACACTCCCTGAACAAGGCTATGTGTTCATCCCCTGCCTGGCTGCAGAGCTTGACGCTGGAGCACTTTCATGCTTCCTATCACAGGGCCTAAGGTAAAATGGGGCTGGATTATATATATGCAGTGTTATAAACTGCCAGATTTTATTTTGTGTGAATTTAAATATTTTCCTAAATTCTGTTTGAGGTAGACAGTTGAGTTCATTGCAATGCCTAAACATAAAGTCAGTCTATAGATTTTATCTTCTAGAAATAGGGAACAAATCTGGTTGTGCATTCTACTTCAGAAGAGGACAATAGAGTCTTAAGGAGCCTGTGAATGCTCAGGGCGAGTTAGGGGTTTTTGAAGTGCTGTCTCTCCTGTGGATAAGGCAACAATCCCAAGTGAGATCCTCAGGTTTTGACTGACAAGGCTCCTGGCACCTGGCAGGAACCCCTGCAGAAGGCAGACCACCTGGAGCTATCTCTGCCCCACACCTTCCTTTTCTTCTTCTTTCTTAAAAGAGACAGAGTCTCACTCTGTCACTCAGGCTGGAGTGCAGTGGCAAAATCATAGCTCACTGTAATCTTCACTCCTGGGCTCAAGCAATCCTCCCGCCTCAGCCTCCTGAGTAGCTAGGACTGCAGATGCGCACCACCATGTCGTGCTAATTTTAAATTTTTTGTTGTTGTTGTTGAGACAGGGGTCTCACTATGTTGCCTAGGCTGGTCTTGAGCTCCTGCCTCAAATAATCCTACCATATTGGCCTCCCAAAGTGCTGGGATTACAGGTGTGAGCCACTGTGCCCAGATGGTGCTTGTCCCCCACACTTTCTTTACAAACATAGGTAATTAAAGACATATAAATAGGATACTCTTCTGACTTTTGTGCCTTTGACCCTGTTAGTGTTACTGAGCAATGGGCTCACTGTCTAACACACATGGAAACCAATACCATGCAGAGGCTAATGAGAAAGAAAAAGCTTTCTTGTGAATCAACTGGCAAGGACAGGGGAGGCGATGCTCAAATCGTCTCCCCAGTTGCAGGTGTGGGTCAAGCTTCTGTGGCCTTTCTTACTGGTCCCAGGTGATGTCAATGCAGCTGGTCTGCCAGGCTGGTGGTGGTAACAATAAGGAGGTTAACACTTTTCCCATTGCACATGCCCGGGCAATTTTGGCTCTGCATTACCTGTGACAACTTAAGCAATGGCTAATCAGTCTCAGCTGGTCCCACAGTTACACTGGCATAAACCCAAGTACTATTTAGGAGTAAAATGAAAACTCAGCCAAAAGTAAGTAAAGGCATAAATACATAAATAGTGCCAAAAAGGAGCTGAGAGCCTCAAATCATAGAAGACTATTAGTCGGGGTTGCGGGGGATTGCCCTCAGAAATCATCCAGCCGAGCCCCCATATTCTGCAGGAGAGAAACCAAGGGCCAGGGCAGGAAGCCCTGAGCTCAGCCCTCCTTTGCCCCATGATCTGTCTTCCGCAGAAGGCAGCATCTGGCAGAGAAAAATGAGAAACCTGCCCAGAGAGATCTTGTGTAAAACCCCCTGATTGTCATCTTTCCTTCTTTAATTTTTTTTTCAGTTGTGAAAGATACATATTCTGAAGAACGTATATGGCAGGTATGAGTAGTTCCCCCCTCCTGCTTCTGGTTCTACATTTTTACTGGGAAAATAAAATCCTCAGCTGGGTGCGGTGGCTCACACCTGTAATTCCAGCACTTTGGAAAGCCGAGGCAGGCGGATCACCTGAGGTCAGGAATTTGAGACCAGTCCGGCCTACATGGCGAAACCCCCATCACTAATAAAAGTACAAAAAATTAGCCGGGCGTGATGGCATGTGCCTGTAATCCCAGGCACTCGGGAGGCTGAGGCAGGAGAATCGCTTGAACCTGGGGGGTGGAGGTTGCAGTGAGCTGAAATCACGCCACTTCACTCCAGCCTGGGAAAAACAGCGAGACATCGTTAAAAAAAAAATTCCTCCAGGCTGCAAAGAATGAGGCTTTTGAATTTCTAGGCTAGGAAGTGCGTGCTGGTGAAATGAGACCCTTCATGACATCATGCAAATATTAATGCCGACCCACCCGGCTGGCCTGTGTAGAACCACCACCTCCCAGCTTGGGCTGGCTTCTGGCCACTCACAGCACTGCTGGCAGTTCCTTTGCAGGTGGGGATGAGGCCCAGGGCTAGCTTGGCCCACCCAAGCCCAATGCCCCCTTGCAGCCAGCTCAGCAACTAACTGGCAGGGGCCTTCTTGTCATTGCTGTCGCTGCAGCATCTTCCTGCAAGAAATTCCACAAGGTTACATCCTGCAGGCATGTCTGCTAACTCTACACAGCCTAATCCAAACATTTAAAGGTGCCATGTGCATGTAAACTGATCATTCAATTCATTGGGGAAAAAAAAATTTTAAACCCTAGATCCTGACTGTCAGTCCGCATAGTAGAAGCCCTTTTATCCAAACATTATTGACTAAGGGATCATTATTGATTAGCTGGTCATCTAATTAGAAAATAATTCAAATGAGCGGATGGTATAATCCTAATGGCATGACAGAAGTGACCCTTTCATTGATTCTTAACAAGCTCCATGGTTCTTATTGGCAAAATGGAGTAGTTATCCAAATGGGTGGGGTGCCCACACAGCTTCCTTTTCTTCCCTGGGGTTGGCACAGATGCCAACCTTCTTGCCCAGTGCTCTTGAGTCCCAGAGCAGTTCGAGGCTCCTGTCTCTCAAACCCACTTGCTCCTTCTCTGTGGCTAAACTTTCCCTTAGAATCCACCTATGACCCAGCCTCGATGGATCAACTCCCCCCTTTCACTCCTAGGCCCATTTCCACTCCTAGGCCCAGCAGCCAGGCCAAAGCCCAGACCTGAGTTCACTGGCCTGGGGTGGGGCAGACAATTCACTCCTCACGTGCTAGACTTAGGGAAGCACTATTTTGCCCCCAGATAATCAGCCTGGCCTCCCAGGCTCAAGGTTGGCCCATGGCCTGGTCCTGCTGCTCCCCTAGATGCCCTCCAGGGGTGGAGATGCAAGGGATGAGACCTGTGATCGGAGCAGTAGAATAGGTCTTTTTGGCAAGCAGAGCTCTAACAACTAGAGGAACTGTGTCTGGGCATCAGAACCCACCAGAACCACACGCGCCAGCTCACCGCGGGCAACTTCTGCAGCTTCTACCACACTGAGATGGGCAACACGGCCTAAGGCCTTCCTGTACTTCCTCCCCACTGGTGGGCTTATATCAGCCACATTCATGGCCAAGTTGGCGAGGATGAGCTGGGAGGGAAGTGTTGCCTCTGGTGGGGAGTCCAATCCTGAGCGGGGGACACACTGTCCTCCTGGCTGCACTGTCATCAATCTGGATCATTCTCGTTTCTTCCTCTGCCATGTGACAGTGTGCTAGATGGGGGTGGAGCACCTGCTGTCACATCTGTCTTTGAGCATGACCATCTGAATTACTTTGGCCAATGGGATGTTAGCAGGCACAACATGACCAGAGGCTTGACTTACACGTGCTTGTGGGGATTGACTTGTCCTCTTGCACATTGCAGGGTCTGCTCTTTCTCTTCATCTTAGGCTACCTCTCTGTTGCAATAGCCTGGCCTAGGAGTCGAGGTAGGTGTGGGAATGTTTGCCCACTTAGGGCCTCAGCTTATTTTCTAGTTGGCTGCCGCTGGACCCTCCCTCTCCAGCTTCTACCCCCTCTAAGAGTAGAGCTCCTTGGAGTTGTTTCTCTTTGTGGAGTGACTCCTCTGTAGCTTCCTTCCCCATTTCCAGGGCTGCTGCTTCCTTTTTAAGTCTGATCCCACATCCATGTTGACTTTCAGAATGTGAAAGGTTTGCCTTATCTACTGAACTTTTGTCTTGTAGCTAAAATCACACTGTTTGCCCCTCCTACTCGCCTGTCAAATAACTTCAGTGAGACAGTATTCCACAGAAGCACCTAAGCAGACCAAACTTTTGAGGGTCATAGCAGACAGTAGTGAATAGATTCCTACTAAGGGAGAAAGCAACAAAGGAAGTGAAATTTTAAGAAATATATGTATTTTCAAAACTCCACATACCAGTTTTTCTACACAAAGGTAATATAATTCCAAAGAGTGTTAAATCCTTCTGACATCAGGACGTTTGCAAACACATGTGTGGTACTCAGTTAGGCACTGACAACTCTTCCCCCAGCAGCTCACTGACAAGAACTGGTTTGAACCAATTAGACATGTGTGTTCTAGGGAAATTCACTCCTTTGCAAGCTTAAAGAAAAATTATAGACAGTTTACTCTTGCTCTACTTAGACAAGACAAATTCTTAGTAAGTGAATGAACTCTTTTAGTGTAAATTAGACACATTTGGAAAGTTGCTTTGGCCAAGCACAGTGGCTCATGCCTGTAATCTCAGCACTTTGGGAGGCCGAGGTGGGTGGATCACCTGAGGTCAGGAGTTCGAGACCAGCCTGACCAATATGGTGAAACCCTGTCTCTACTAAACATACAAAAATTAGCCAGGCGTCATGGCATGCACCTGTAGTCCCAGCTACTTGAGAGGCTGAGACAGGAGAATTGCTTGAACCTGGGAGGTGGAGGTTGCAGTGAGCCAAGATCATGCCACTGCAGTCCAGCCTGGGTGACAGAGCAAGATTCCATCTCAAAAAAAAAAAAAGGTGCCTTGAACTTCCATGAGCATGTGATCTATGTAGCTGCGCAGAGCTCCAGAATGGTTTAATGCTTTGGGTTTAATGCTCTGCTCTCTTGAGTATAGAATTCTTAAATTTTGAACAGGGGGGCTCTGCATTTTTGTTTTGCACTCGGCCCCTCAAAATAGGCAGCCGTTCCTACTTTTAGGTCACGATTAAGAAGAGAAAGGTTCTAAGTGTACTTTCATAGCTTTTGCTCTCTGTCTAATCTCTTGTTAATTCACATGCATGGCTAGAATCTACTTTGAGACTGGAACCGTCTTCCACAGTAAACTGAGCTTGTAAAACTTTGCCCCTTTTAATTGTGGTGGGAAGGGTCATGGGAGTTGCTCTGTCTTAGTGGTTTTTCATGGCCAGTGGAAATATAATATTCCCTCCCACCTCCCCTACTCTATTCAGAGCAGCCCACAGCCATGGGTTTATGGCCACCACTCCAGGCCTGCTTTTCACCTCTGTCCTCCCAGAAATAAAACAAACGGTGAGATTTTGCTCTTTTAGGGGAAATGACAAGTTCAGCAAACTTAAGACTGCATTTGTGGCCATGGTTTGAAAAGAAAGCCCAAAAAGTGAAGGAATATGAACATGGTGGGCAGTGGTCCAGCCCCAAGGATGGTTAATTTGAGACGTGGGGTGGCTGGGACCTGAGATGGCCACCAGCAAACTGACTCCAGGTGAGATGGATGTCCCGTCCCTGAATCACAGGAAGACATCCCACCTCCCAGGATGCCTGCTAAGGATGTGGGACTGTGTTATGAATATTTAATCAGTGACTTTTAATGGTTTGGTTTTTATCATCTCTCTTATTTAAAAATAATTCTGACTTCATTCCTCCCCCCAAATATAAATAAAAGCAAAATAGCGCTGAGAGAGCATTTGCTGTGGCTTCTTAATCATTTTTCTCGTTGTAATGCCCAAGACTCAGTGCTCCCTGGGTGTACTTGAGGTTAGAAAGATTCTCTAAAGTGCTCCATCCTTCCTCATTCCCCTCCCTCAGTTCCTGGCCTTTGCAGGAACTAAAGTTCGTGCCTCTTTTACTGGAAGATTGTCCAAGTGATTAATTACCATATAAGAATAGAGTTAGCCCTGGATCTTTAGTTCCCCCACCTCCTGCAAGACATTGAGTATAATTATCTAGAGAGTTCATTAAATGCATGATAGTTATGCTAGTTCTCCCTGAACAGAGACAAATGGTGAGAAATGATTAAACTGCTCGCCTAACTAATAACTCATGGCGACAATTTTATACGGAAAGTCACATAAGGAGTGACACAGCATGAATCAAGAATAACCTCTGGAATAAACTGCAAATAGTAGTAAGTATTGAAGAAAAGACAACATTTAACCATCTAAACTGTCCTGCAGTGACCTACCCCTAATTTTGCCTCAGTTGATCAGTAACAGCTGACATTTATATGGCACTTCACTGGTTATAAGTGTCTTGTAGGTACACAATCATATTTTTCATGATCTGAGAAAATCCAAAAGGGTAACTTCCCACTGGAAATCCTCATTGTGGACTTGGACAATAAATAATGAAGATGAGACTTCATCATAGGAACCGAGTGACTGGAATGGCAGTGGGGACATGGCAGTAGCGCCTGGCACAACTGCACCTACATATTCATCCTCTGCAAAACTACCCAACACGCGGAGCTTCTTCACCCTTCCTGGCTTTTCTCTCTTCTACCTCTGGGCCTCCCTCCCCTCAGCCTGTTAAATGGCCAACTTGCCACCCCTCCCCTCCTCAGCTTTAGCTTTCAGTTCTTATTGCTGCGTCTCCCTGCTTTCCAGAGCTCCTGATTACACAGGAGCGACATCTAAGCAAGGCCCATCACTCTCCGGACCACATGGCCCCTTTGGTTGCCTCGGCCTTGCTGTCCAACGTCCTCTTCCTCACCCTCCTTCCTCTGAGAACACTGCTTAAAGCAGGCAGCTCCATGCACATACCACGGATGTGTCTTCTCACCTTGTGCCTCTGCCCAGAGCACCTTCCTATCTGGAGCAAAAGTTGGCACACTTTTGCTGTCAAGGGCCAGACGGTAAATATTTGAGGCTTTGCAGGCCACACAGTCTCTGTTGCAACAAATCAACTCACAAAAGCAGCCACAAACAATTCAGAAACAAATGAGCATGGCTGTATTCCCATACAACTCGATTTATAGAAACTAGAGTTGGAATTTCATGTTGTCATATGGCGTAAAATATTCTTCTTCTCTTGATTTTTTTTCAATTATTCAAAAACGTAAAAACTATTGTTAGCTTGTGGGCTGGATGTGGTCCAGGGGATGTAGTTTGCCAGCCCGTGGCCTAGACTATTACTAGTGTTTCACAGCCATGTCACATATCACTTTATTTGGTAAACTTCCCTGAGTGTTGGGCATTTTAAGCAAAAGGCCCCCTGTCTATGCTCTGATGGTGTTACGGGATCTTTGGGGTGTTACTTTTCTTGCTGGAAACCTGTGGCCGGTGGTGTCTTTGCCCGAGTTTTGCTTTGGGCCTGCTGGGTTTGTTCCACCCACTTGGCCATGTAGGCTGTGCTCAGCTCATGCTACCGCCCTGGATCCCACACCTCCAAGGGAGACTGTGAGTCAGGCATGGAGCAGCGAGGGCTGTGTGAGCAAGTGAGGGGTCCAGCCACTGTGCAGTTGGACACACCGGCTGCTGCCATGATGCGCGCAGCTCCAGGTGCCAGCATGGGTGCCAGCTCTCTGCAAGGCTGCAGCTGGACCAGGCACACCACAAGCAGCTTCCCCTGATGGCACCGGGAATTGCGATGGTGCCCAGAAGCTTGGAGATACCAGGAACCACAGGGTTCCAGAGAGGGAATCACAGCCCTGGCTCGGGGAGCTCACAGGTCTGGGCCCCCTGAAGGGCCACAGCTCTTCTCCCCTTCTCTTCACTTGCAACATGGTGAGCAAGGGGCATATTTCAACTCTGTGTGTGTTACAGCTCTTTTAGCCCTGCCATTTGATGGGTCCTGAGTTCTTGTCCTGCAACCAGGAAGAATGAGTGATGCAGAAAAGTGGAGGGTGTGCAAGACAAAGAGGAGCTTTGTTGAGCAATAGAACAGCTTAGAGGTGACATGCAGGGGTTAGGCCCTTTCTACAGCCAGGGCATCCCAACGAGTGTTCAGCTCCTAGCACAGAGGAGACCCTGGAGTGAGAAGCTCCTCTCTGCAGGCAGGTCATCCCATCATCTCTGCAGCTCTCAGCAGAGGCAGCACTGGATGGGGTCATTCCTGTCTACATGCAGGTCGTCCCATCATCTTCCCAGCTCTCAGCATAGAGGAGGTCCTGAGTGGGTAGCTTCTCTCTACAGCTAAGTCATCCTGATGTCTGCTCGGCTTTGGCAGAGCCTGGGGCTTTTATAAGCCACAGAGGGGAAGAAGTGAATGCCAATTGGCCCATGACCATGGGTGGGCCTGGAAAAGGAACCACAAGTTCCCACTCCAGTTGGCGGGACTGGCAGCCCAGCCCACAGCCTTCAGGCCCTCCCTGATGTGAAGGTAAGGCCTCACCAGGGACTTGCCCCCCTTCCGCCAAGGAACCTGTCTGCCTCCTGTCGATTTTTATGGTGCCAGGCTGTAGGTGCCAAGGGGCACCTGTAGGCCAGTGCCGAGCTGCCCTCAGCACCCCTTGGCTTCACACCTATACTCGTTGGCACCCAAAGTCCAGAGGGGGCCAAGGTGGAAGGGGCCTTGTGTGTCAGCACTGCCCTAAGCGTGTGCACACCCAGCCAGGCTGTAACAGCCCTGGACTCAGCCCTGACTTTGCTCCATGATCAGAGCAGGCACTGACAACAGGGAGAAACCAAGCAGCAGGAGCAGATATTTTGGAGCCTGTGAGAGCAGGGTTGGCCTTCATGGGCCTCCAAGAGCACAGAGATGTCTGGGTCTGCAGATTGATTTGGGTGGCTGCAGCTGCACCCTGAGGGGTGGGGCTCCTGCCTGCTCCATGGAGCAGGAGGCCTGGGTCTACAGCTGCAACTTGGGTAACTGCAGCTGCGCCTGGGAAGGTGGGGTTCCTGCCTGCTCCTGGCCCCTCCAAGAGCACAGGGATGCCCAGGTCCACAGTCATGGCTTGGGTGGCTGCAGCAGCACCCAGGGAGCTCCTGCCCCAACTTAGAAGGGGTGGGGCACCTGCTTGTCCCCAGTTCCCACTGACTCCATGGAGTGTGCATACCTGGCCGCACCTCCCTGCTGCAGCCAGCATGATGGCAGCGGCTGCTCCAGAAGGCCTGCCCCTGCCATCAATGGGACCCAATTCATACTTCTTTGTCAGCTCTTTCCATTCGATACTGATAATCTGCTTACATTTCTGACTGTCTACCAGCAACTAAGGCCCTTACGGGTAGGGCTGGTGATCCAGGCCTGGCCTGCTGCTCCCAGCAGCCACTGAGTGGAATTGGGCACTCTGGGATGGTGTCTGAGCCATCTTCTCTGATTCGCCTGGGGCCCTAGAGGACAACAGATCACTGATCGTGAGAAAGGGGCATGTGGGCCACAGTGGGGGCCAGACCCAGTCACCTGATCTGGAGAGAAGGAGGCAGTCATTATGGAAAACATGTACCATGGTCTGAATGAGTGTGTCTCCCCAAAATTCGCATGTTGAAACCTAATCCCCAAGGTGATGGCGTTAGGAGAAGGGGCCTTTGGGAGGATTAGAGGCCCCAGAGAGCTACCCTGCCCCTTCTACCATGCGGGAACAATGAGAAGTCACCATCCATGAATTAGAAAGTAGGCCTTCACCAGACACAGAAGTTTCTAGCACTTTGATCTTGGACTTCTCAGCTTCTAGAACTGTGAAAAATAAATTTCTGTTGTTTATAAGCCATCCAATCTATGGCATTACAGCATAGGAGCCTGAATGGATTAAGATGGCGTAAAACGATGCTTGAAACATGAAAACTCCGGGAAGGAGAGTAAGTCCTCCAAGGGGGGCATGTGAAGAGGAGGGCATTTCCCTGTTGTGGGAGTCTTCTAAGGCTTGGAGGTAGTTTCCTGCCTCAGAGTAACCAGCACTACCCCAAACCCATAGGCTCAGAATTTCCCACAGTTCCTGGGGATCTGCATTTTAAGTAGGTACACCAGGTGATTCTTCTACAAATCACAGCTTGAGAATGACCCTGCCCTGCTTGAGTTCAGACTATTTGGCGGTCTCTGAAGATTGCTTCGGGCTGCATCAAAGTTAGGGACATTGGGGTAATTGCCTGTTCAGCACTCTTATAGCTCTAGCAGGAAGCACAGATATCCCAAGGACTCCCAGGGGTCCAAGAACACACTGGCCACCATGTGTGCATCCACAGAGCAGTAGAACACAGTGCATCCATGCAGGTGAGCTCAGCAACGGTGGGAAGGGCCGGAGCAGCGGCAAGACACCGGTGGAGAACAAGACATGAGGAATGTGAGGAGTAGGGACAGCAGTGGGGTAGACACTAAGCCAGCAGATATAGGACAGGCCTAACTCATTAATCGAGCCACCTGGAAAGGTCAGACACATAGACTCTGCAGTCAGCCTCTCTGGTTTGAGTCCTAGCTCCACTTCTTACTAGCTGGGTGGGTGACCTTGGACAGGTTATTTCATCTCTCTTTGCCTTAGTGCCTCATCAGTAAAATAGCGACAATAACAGTTCCTACCCATGGATTGTTGTAGGATAAAATGGGTTAACACATGTGAATATATCAGAACAGTATCTGAGATGCAGTTGGCATCATGCTGTCATTGCTGTCATTGTTATTACCATCAAGAATCCACAGCCAGTAGGACCTAACAAGCATTTATGCTACCAAATTAGTGTTTGGCAAACAGTTGTTCAACTGCACTGAACTATGTCAAGCTGCAACCTGGGTCTCTCCTTGCCCAGCATGTACCAGGCTCCAAAACTAACTCTACCCTCCTCTTGGGGTCTCGACTCTTCACAGAGAAAAATGATTGACTTCAGGTAGGCTTAGGAACCAATATGGATGAAACGCAGCTTCTAGAATTGTACTACCCCGACTCTGCCATTTATAGTATAGTCAAACTATTTAAACTCCATAAGACTTCATTTTCTTATCTGTAAACATGGCAATAACCTCCAGCATATGGTTCTTGTGAAAATTTAAATAAATGATATTCTATTTAAGTTAATGATCTTTTCTTCTCAAAAAGAAAAGCAATCTAGCTAGGGTTATTTATATGGTAATGAACTTAATCTGGTTGAAGTGCCAGTATTTTTATGAACATTTTAAAAAGCAGAAAGCGAATCTATTTAAATCATATATATTTCTAATTGGTGGGATAAGATCAGGGGGTCCCCTCTTTTGCTTTTTGTCTGCTGTTAACCCACCATTCCAAAACCCACAACAGGAGAACAGATTGTCTGGATATACTGTATTTATTTTAGCTGTTCCTATGGAATAAATTACTTCTGAATTTAGTGGCTTAAAACAACGATAAACATTTATTATCTTACACCATTTCTATGGATCAGGAAATTGGGAGCAGCTTAACTGAGTGGTTCTGGTTCAGGGTGTCTCAAGAAATTGTAGTCAAAAGTCATCTAGGGCTGCAGCCATCTGAAGGCCTAATTAGAGGTGGAAGATTTGATTCCAAAATGGTGCACTCACATGGCTGGCAAGTCGGTGCCGGCTGTTGGAAGAAGGCTTCATTTCCTCATCATGTGGCCCTCTCTGCATGGCTTCTTGAGTGTTCTTACAATGTGGCAACTGGCTTTCCCAAGAGCAAGTAATCCAAAAGAAAGCAAGGGAAGCTGCAATGACTTTAGTGACCCAGTCTCAAAAATCACACTCTCTCATTTCACAGTATTCTATTGGCTGCACAAGTCAGCCTTATTCAAAGTGGGAGGAGATGACACAGGGTGGAATATCAGCAACAGAATCATTGGGGGCCATCTTGTAGGCTGGCTTCCACATTTACAAAGGACTTAAAGCCTGTTTTCTTAAGGACTAGATTAAATCAACTTTTAAAATATGCTGTTTTACTTTAAAATTCCCTTGGTCAACACTTCACCAAGATTCTTTAGTTTAAACAAATGCTGGAAATAGGAAGTTAATTCCCAAGGCCATATTTTGCTTATTCCTGACTGGGTATGGTATGAGTGGGCGGATTCTTCTGGGGGAGTACATCAAGGAGTGAGACATGGCATTTCTCACCCTGAAACAAATAGTTTAGTATCTTCTCAAACTTTGTATTGCTGGCACATGTGTGCTAAAAGAAAAAACTTAGACAAATTAAATTTAACACGGTTTAGTTGAACAAAGAATGATTTGCAAATTGGGCAGCCTCCCAAGCCAGAGTAGGCTCAGAGACTCCAACGCAGCCATCTGGTGGAAAAGTTATGGTCAGAAAAAGGAAAGTGACACACAGAAAACAGAAGTGAGGTGCAGAAACAGCTGGATTGGTTACATCTTGGCATTTACCTTATTTGAACATGGCTTGAACAGTTGGCCCCCTTTGATTGGCCAAAACTCAATGATTGTCACAGAAATAGGTTACAGTCTGTTTATACCTCCATTTAATGTATAGCTCACCATATAGGGAGAAACCTTTAGGCTAAATTTAGAATATGTAAGGAGGCAGCTTTAGGCTAAACTTGATTTAACGTGTGTGTATGGTAGATATCAGAATACTTTGCAACAATATCCATGTTCTCTTCTTCTTGAGATAGGTCCTTGGGACTAGTTCTTATGAATGGGATGTAAGCAGAAATTATGTATGTCATCTTCAGACTGAGGCGGTTGAGTGGAATGTGATTTATCCATTTGCCCTCTCTTTTGTCACCTGTTGATAGGATGCAAAGCATTGGTAGAGGGAACCATGGTACTAGAAGATGACAGAGCAACCAGTTTGAAAGAGCCTGGATCCCTGAATGAATGTATGGAGCAGGGCTCTCTCTCTGTTGAATGGTGATGAGAGTGAGAAATAAACCTTCATTGTACAAAGCCACTGAAATGGTTTTTTGTTACTGCAGCAAGTATTACTTGCTGCTACTAATGCCAAGTATAAATCATATTTAAATCTTTGCCATCCTGGGATTCAATTTAATTATACAAAACTAAATTCATGTCTACTTTAATATTCATGTTTTCTCATAGAAGATACCATTTTTTAAATAATAGGAGCGCCAAGCCCCAGAACATAGCTCTAAGGTGAAAATGTATAATGTCATAACTTATTACATGACATCTGGGTCAAGAGAATAGAGAAGACGGTGGGGTTTAAAAATAAAAAGTAAATAAGGGTTATAAAAAATGCAATACTATATAAAAATTGATCCAATGTATTCAAAAATTAAAGACTCTCT
This sequence comes from Homo sapiens, assembly GCF_000001405.40. Lineage (NCBI taxonomy): Eukaryota > Metazoa > Chordata > Mammalia > Primates > Hominidae > Homo > Homo sapiens. Next base: position 150,420,095 of record NC_000006.12, on the reverse strand, counting down.
ATCTCTTAATAAATACCAAAGTACCACAAGATTCTTTATATACACCAAGGACTAGGCAAGTAGAAAAAACAAACAAACAACTTTAACCTTATAATTCTAGAATGAAGGATCATCTCCAGAGTCCTCAGTAGGGCGCTTATAAACAGCTCCTAAAATCTTGTCAGCACAATCAAGGGCTGTTTCTCAATCTCTTTGTATAAAAAACTAGATTCTGTATTAGTCTGTTCTCAGGCTGCTAATAAAGACATACCCAAGGCTGCGTAATTTATAAAGGAAAGAAGTTTAATTGACTCACAGTTCCATGTGGCTGGGGAGGCCTCACAATCATGGCAGAGGACGAAGAGGAACCAAGACACATCTTACATGGAGGCAGGCAAGAGAGCGTGTGGAGGGGAACTGCCCTTCATAAAACCATCAGATCTCATAAGACTTACTCACTATCACAAGAATAGCACGGAAAAGGCCCACCCTCCCAATTCAATTACCTCCTAGGGGGTCCCTCCCACTGCATGTGGGAATTATGGGAGCTACAATTCAAGGTGAGATTTGGGTGGGGACACAGCCAAACCATATCAGACTTTATTCATTTTGGTTCTTCCTTTGAGGAAACTGAGTCCCATAAGGAAATGGAGGAAAACATGGCCAGCAGTGCCAACTCTCACCCCATTCACTTCCCGCCCTCAAGGGTGTGCTGCCCTTTCCTTAGCACCACCCACTCCAGGGCCGTCACCATCGCAGTGGGGGCTCTCCGTGTTTCCTGAGATCTCAAACCCAAGCGTTTCTTGGGGCAGCAGCGGGGGGCCTCGCCATGGAACTCCCGGCTCCCACGAGGGCTTCCGTGCCTGCTGGCTCTTCCGGCTTTGAGCGTCCGCACGAGAAGCCCCCTGCTGGCCACATTCATGGCGTGGGGACCTCGGGCTAAATAAATTTCATTTCTCTCTTCTCCCTCCTAAGTGTCTTCCACTATTTTCCTTTGTTGGCTCTGGACTTGTTCTAAATGCAGCCCTACTAAACTTTCGGGGGGCCTGAGTGTTTCTGGCATTAAGGGGTGCAGTGGGGCGGGGGGTGCAGAGGGGCTGGGGCTGCGCTGGGAGATGGCGTTGTGTTAAGTGAACGTGGACACAGTGGTATTTACAGCCTCACTAACGTGCCTTGTCTTGCTGCCCTAGCCTCTGACTGTGAATAAAACACTTCTCCTATTTTTTTTTTTAAGACAAATGACAAATAAAGCTGGGTGAAGAAAGTAATCATTTACTTTGTGTCTTCGGACATGACATTTCTTTCCTAACATCTTTCGGAAAGCTGGAGTTCCCTAATGCCCTGCTAAAGAAAATGATTGACATCTTTCAGAGGGCTAGGAAATTTATGCGCTGGAAAACAATTTCCAGGACGTTGGAGATGAGTAATTTCCCTCTCTATCACTATGTGTACAAAAGAAAAGGGACCCAGGGCGCTGATGTAACTGTATGAAAAATAAATGTGTGGCAAAGGAATAGTAAAAATACTTGAACTGAAAACAAAGAGAAGTAATCATTTTTTATAGTTTGGCTGTAGTCACTGAACAATTGATTTAGATGACTAAGTCTAACACATCTGTATTTACACGATCTGGAAGACATAAATTACTAACACGTAGAAAAATTTTGGAGAGGGGAAGTAAACTACAGCTTAAGTATCTGATGAAGTAATCTAGCAAGACTCACTTTTTCATTTCTGCTGAAGTCTTGATTACATCTAGCATGACTGTGCCATCTAGTGGTTTCACAGTAACTGCCTCGAGTTGGAGGATACAGTTCGGAAAATTGCTTTGAATATCCCATGAACTCTTGGGTAGGTGCAAAAGTAATTGCTGGTTTTGCCATTAAAACAGCAATTTCTTTTGCACAAAAATGGCCCAATAAGAAAGAGATTGAAAGAGTATTTCCACGGCACCCACACGCAGCTAGTTCTGAATTACTTAAGCCAATCATGGCATGAAAGCTCATGAACTTCACACAAATGCCTCAATTCAAACCACTGATTTCATCATCTAAAAGCATCTACTCGGTGTCAAAATGCGTATTGTGGCTGTATATCAAAGACACCATCAGGGTCTGTGGGCTTTGTCACTGTCCCCAGATGTTTATCTGCTGAGGAGAGGAGATGCAGGCTTCTCTTTCCTCTGTTTACAAGGTGCTAAGAGATACTGAGAATATCTGTAGCAACTAATAAGATCACAGAAGAACCCCCAAACTCAATAGCCATCCATCAACCAACCAAAGGCTGATGTTATTCACACAATAACGTTGACTTCCCCATATTTCTTGCTCTGAAATTTTGGGGATCTTTGATCATTTTAGCTTTAAAGTTGGAGCCCAGCCACACCAGCTTGTGATCTCTCTTCCTCTACCTGGAATCCCCTGCTCTCTCATCTGCGTTCTGGAGGCCACCAGTGCCCACCTAAGGTTGTTCCCAGCTCGCAAGTATCCCCAGTTCTGTGCAGTTCCCTGCTGAGCCACTCACATTCTCAACTGCGGGGACCTCAATGGCAATCACAGTACGAGAGCCACAAGAAACTCAGGGAAGAAAAATTAGAAAACAGCCTCCAGATCTCCAGGGAAGGAATAGTCATAGTTTATGTTACAAGTTGTTTTGAATAACTGCACACTTCATGTAGATCTATAAAAACGTCAATGTACAGAGTGGTAAAACAGCTAGGCTAAGAGGGGAGCAAGGCGGGGCCAGAACCCTCTATAACCTTTGGAAATGTTAGAGAAATGGAAAAGTGCCATAATTTTTTAAACATAATTCTACTTATTCCAAATCATTGACACGATTTTGAGATATAATTTACATTACATAAAATTCACCATTGAAAAGAGTGCAGCCGAGTGGTTTTTAGTATATTCGCAAAGCTGTGTAACCATCACCTCAAACTGATTTTAGAACATTTTCATTACTCCTAAAATAAACCCATATCCACAGCAATCACTCCCAATGCTCCCTTCCTGCTCCAGCCCTTGGAAATCACAAATGTACTTTCTATCTCTATGGATTTGCCTATTCTGGACATCTTACACAAATGGAATCATACAATATGTGGCCTTTGGTGTCTGACTTCTTTCACTCAGCATGTTTTCAAAGCTTGTCCATCTTGTAGCATCACAGTACTTTCTTTCTTTTTATGGCTGAATGATATTCTGTTGTATGGGTATACCAAACTTTACACATTCATTAATTGATGGACACGTGTTGTTTCTACTTTTACTATTATAAATAATCCCACTATGAACATTCTTACACAAGTTTTTTTATACATAATTTTTTTTCAGTTTTTGTACATGAATATTTTCAAATGCTCTTGGGTATGTATATCTAGGAGTGGAATTTCTGGTTTACATGGTAATTCCATGTTGAGAATTCTATGTGACAATTCTTTAACTCTGAAAAACTGTCCAGTTGTTTTCAGCAGCATCTGCACCATTTTACATTCCCACCAGCAATGTATGAGGGCTCTAATTTCTCTATATTCTTGCCAACACTTGTTATTTTCTGTGTTTAAAAAATATATTACCATTATAGCCATCTTAGTAGACATAAAGTGGTCATTGGTTTTATTTTAAAGAGCAAAAATTAATGCAAATACAGACTAGAAAACAAATCAATGCCCTTTGGAGATTGAAAAGATCCCATTATAATAAAGTCAACTACATGCTTCTGTCTCACGTAGCACAGAGGAGAATAATTACACAGCCTGTTCAGGTACAGACTTTGCTACTAGGGCATTTGTAGGATGAGGGTGTGAGTCAGAACTGTCTTCATTCATCCCACTGATGCAAGAAGTTTCTCTACAATTTATCTGACAGTTAATCATTTCATTCGATTTATCCAGTGGCAGGAAACTCTTTTCTTACCATTTTATTTATAATTTCTAGAATGCCCTTCTTGACATTTTCAATTTGTCATCTTATAACCTCCTGTAAAGTTTAAAACCAAGTGACAAATTTTAAAGTATACCAAGCCACCTCCCATGTCCTCAGTCTCAATATTTCTTTCCATGAAGCCACCTCCCATGTCCTCAGTCTCAATATTTCTTTCCATGAAGCCACCTTCACGTATTAACCTTTTCTATAAAGTCATGGTTTCCATTCTTATATCATCTCTGACACCTTCCTCTAGATACTACAATGTGTCAATATCCTTCTAAGCAGCTATCCTCAAATATGAACAAAATGTGCTGTGGCCAGTGGGGAATACCATGAGACCTTTATCGGTTGTGGTACTGTGTTTCTCTTAATAATACAGTGCAAGTCTGCAGGATTTTCTGCAACTATGTAAGATAGCTCAAATAGGGCTTCCACCAAATCTGCTAAAATCCTCAAGACTTTTTCAAATGACCTGCTGTTACCCTGCTGCTCTTGGCTAGTTGCTTTTTGAAGTTTATATTTCTCCATATTAAATCTCATTTTAAAAATTTTAGTCTATAATTCCAGCTTGTTATAATCTTTTGGATTCACCTCACCATGCCAGCTTTATGTCAGTTACAAATTAGAAAGATGTTTTTATTGATGTTTGATCAATTCCTTATTATGAACCATGTGGAAAGCCTCCTCTCCAGATAAGCATCTATTCTAGGAGGCAGCACCATCCAGCAGCAATGACAGAATAGCTGTTCACTTGTCTGCCTACTATTACATTGAAATCTTACTGTCCATGTTAAATACTAGTCACTTAATAAATATTTGTTTAATTGAATTGAATAATTTCCCTTTCAAATGTCAGCCTAGAGCTTTGTTGATGTCCCTTGATAAAAATCCCACTCTTTAGCTATCTTAAGACATGGTTAAAAAAAAAAATCAATGACACTTTCTGTACAGCTAACAATTCACTTCCTAATATATCCTCCTTCATCTTTCAAGTTCTCATAAAAATCACTTACATTTTTTCAAGCTTTTTTATGTGCCATGAGTTATGCCAAGCATTTTATGTAAATTAACTCATTTCATCCTTACATCGAACCTGTAAGTTCCATTTTTATTTTCATTCTAGGTATGAGAAAACTGAGGCACAGGGAATTTAAGTAAATCATCCAGGGTCACATGGTCAATTGCTTAGCAGAGTCAGAATCTGAACCCAAGTCCGTTCCAAGCTAGAGCTAGAAAGCCTTTCATGAAGTTGTGACCATCCCCTAAAAAAGGAGAGAAACTCCTATTGGTGATATCCTACTGACAGCATTCACTTTTTTAGCCACATCCCAAAGATTTCTGCCAGTAATTGACATCTTTCATTCAAAAGTGACCCACAGGGGAGTGGTTGCCTCAGAAAGAGGAGGGAATGAATTGAAACTGAGGTAGGAGGCAAGACTTTACTCCAAACTGGGTTGAAGGCTGGCTGAAATAGGGAGGAAGTGAAAACACCTCTCCGTAAGACATGTATTACTCAGGGTTCTCTAGAGGGACAGAACTAATGGAATATATATATATAGGAGTTTATTAAGTATTAACTCACATGATCTGTCTAGGAAGACAGAACTAATGGAATATATGTATATATATGTGTATATATATGTATATATATGTATATATATGTATATATGTATATATGTATATATGTGTATATATATGTATATATCTGTATATATATATATGTGTGTATATATATATATGAGGAGTTTATTAAGTATTAACTTACATGATCACAAGGTCCCACCATAGGCTGTCTGCAGGCTGAGGAGCAAGGAGAGCCAATCCAAGTTCCAAAACTGAAGAACTTGGAGTCCAACGTTTAAGGTCAGGAAGCATCCAGCACGAGAGAAAGATGTAGGCTAGGAGGCTAGGCCAGTCTCTCTTTTCACATATTTCTGTCTGCTTATGTTCTAGCCACGCTAGCAGCTGATTAGACTGTGCCTGCCCAGATTGAGGGTGGGTCTGCCTTTCCCAGCTCACTGACTCAAATGTTAATCTCCTTTGGGAACACCCTCACAGACACACCCAGGATCACTACTTTGTATCCTTCAATCCAATCAAGTTGATGCTCAGTATTAACCATCACACATGTCCACCAGTGCCATGTCAATTTATCGTTGCTATGGCAACACCCAGAAGTTACCACTCCTTTCCATGGCAATGACCAGGAATTTACCACCCTTTTTCTAGAAATGTCTGAATAACCTGCCCCTTAATCTGTATGTAATGAAAAGTGGGTATAAATATGACTGCAGAACTGCCCCTGCTACTCTGGGCACCCTGCCAATGGGGTGGCCCTGCCCTGGAAGGAGCAGTCCCTCTGCTGCTGCTGTGCACAGCCGCTTCAGTAGGAGTTGCTAACACCACTGGCTCATCTCTGAAGTTTTTCCTGGGCAAAGCCAAGAACCCTCCCAGGCTAAGCCCCAGTTTGGGGGTTCACCTGCCCTGCATCAAAACCAAGAAGAAACTAATGAGGTATTACCCATTCACATGTAATGTCTTGTCACTTTTATTTTTAAAAGAATGCAAAATTACAAAATGTAAATATGCATTTATTCCAAGTGCTGGATTCCTATGTGTTGTTATGTTCTGGATACTTGCCTTCATTTTTCCAGTTACCGAAATAATATTTTTAAAAGCGAATCTGAAGATGTGTGGACATTTTGACGCATGTGAAATTGCTGATGAGGCTGCCTTTTTGACATAGCTAAAGGAGGTAGGTCTGCAGATTTTTACATTTTATCACAACAAATTTAACATATGTCAGCACAATGCAATTGAAATCCCTTTAGAATGGTTATAATCTTCATAGTTTCTTCTAGAAGATCAATTTACCTTGCAACACTAGGGAGAAAACACCCAGAACCCCTTCAGGTCCGCTGATTCCTCTCAGTAGCTCCAACAATTAGCTTCTATTTAAAAAGCAACAAGGCCAGGGCATTAGGGAATGGCCTAATGATGAGATCTTAATGTATGCAAATTTACTGCACATGGTGGCAGCAGGAGGAAATTAAACCATTGTTGACTGATTATTTCTAAGATACAAGATCATGACGGCTTTTTTTCATATACTTTTCATACATGTTCCAAATTTTCCACAGGAAAAGAAATTATTTTAATATATCCTCCTTTGTCTTTCAATGTTTTAATTCACTTTGAAGTTTATCACTGAATGCATTGACAGCCTTAAACACTATTCAATTGGCAGGTACCCTTGAAAGTTTACTGTGCCCTGATTGCAGTGAGTGCATCTTGGCTTCTATCGTTCTGTCTGTTGCCTACCTAGTACACAGTCAGCTTTTACATCTTTCTTTATTTTATTTACTTGTTAGAGAGGGAGCCTTACTAATGTTGCCGAGGCTGGACTTGAAATGGACTCAGGCGATCTTCCCATCTCAGTCTCTGGAGTAGCTGGGGCTACAGGTGTGAGCCATCATCCACTTGGGCTCACATCTTTTGTAATGTTGTTTCTTCGTGTTTTTTTCTTCTTCTCTCACCTTCTAAATTCCTGTTTCTATGTTTCTATACACTGGGAAATTAAATAAGTGTGCTTTTTAGAATTGATGGTAAAATAGAATAAACTAACTCTGAGTAAATGTTTGAAGAATGTTTTGTTGTGGAGGATTGTTCTGCATCTTTAGGATGGGTTTCGTGACAGTTATTTTACGGATCTTAGAGGGAAAAATTACATGGGGGTTTGGAGCATCTGAACCAGAGGGCTGAGGTTTCTACAGATCCAAATATCTGTCAAGTGAGTCATTCTTATATTGATCTAAACTCTGCACACTATTTGTTTTACCCTTAGAAAGCCTATGAATAAACTATGTCTTGCTGCTGAAACTAGTGCCTTGAAAATCAAAACTAAGACACGTGAGCCATTGTGAAAAAAATAGATTTTTTTCCATTTCTGTTCTTTATTAGATGATGAAAGTCAATCTTCTGATCTTTTCAGTCCAACAATTTATCTTTAGAGCAAGTTCACAGAACAATTTGTGTCCCATGGTTAAGTCATTTGGATTCAACCTTATAGACTGATTTTTGAAGAGTGCTCTGTTTTACAAACTACAACTAATATATTATAATTGTAGTTGTTGGGTTCTTAAGACACACGTTATATGATTGCTTATATTAATATTGTCTCCCAAGAAGCCTGTAATCAGATCTATGTTGTTTTGAGACTGAAGATCATTGGGAAAAGCTTTTTTTTTATTTTCAGAGATTATTGAATTGTTTCAATTCCATTTTTAGAGTGGCTGTTTATTTCCCTTGCTGTCCATTGAATTAGAGAGAGATGACACTGACTCCATTTTATAGAAACATACTTTGGGTTATTTTTTAGGAATAAGAATAGTTTGAATTGAATCTCCAATATTTCTGTTCCCACTGTGACTATCACATCTAATATGTAAATGGTGCTTTATGGCTTCAAAATATACCTGATCTCATCTGGTTCTTAAATGAAGAAAGCAGGCATGGCTGATGTTACCCAAAGAGGAGGAACACAAAGGTTTTCTTCTGACTCCTGTAGAGGAGGCTTCTCACCACTCTGAGTGGCTGACAGCATTAGTCTTTGAGATGGCTGGTTTTTCCCTCATTAAAGAATCTTGGCCAAGGTTGACTTAGCAGTTTTTATCTGTATTTGCTTCCTAATTTTTAGGTCTGATAAAGAAGTCTCACTTCAAGGCTTCATTTTATGAATTAATGATTCCAAATGAGAAACAGTGAAGAGCACACATAATTTATTATATAGAAGAAAGCCAATGAGCTGTCAGAATCTCTCCATTCTAAACTTGACTTTGAAAAAGATAGATCTGAAAATTGGCTAAATATTCCAGCTTTCTTTTTGTGATCAATCATTGAAATATGGTTCATAAAAAGGAAAATGGCATTTTTAAATCATATCTATTTGTATGTAAGACTTGGAGAAGTTTTAATACCTCAATATAATTTATCATTTTGAAGTGAGTCATTTATCTCCATGGCTATGATCTATGGCTTCTTCTATGTCTGGAATGCCACATGTCATATTAAAATTAAGACTGCAGCTTTAAGTGATGAAGAACAAACACTGGAATATTCTTTAGAAGAGCCTTTCCACACTCAGGCTATTTTCAAGTGAGCTTATGTTTAGACAACTTAACGAAATGTGATCCTCTTGAATTAAGGTTTATATATTTACACACACAAGTGCCAGAAAAAGGGAAATAGCTTATTAGAACTTGCCTTCCTTATTGTTTTTAACTCGCCTGTTTTTTGTTTTTTAAACAAGTTTTAATAGTGCCACCTCCCTTAATTCTTGAAAGTAGACATATTTTTTAAAATAAGAAATATTCATGCAATTAACAAATACTCATAGTACCTCAAGTATGGACTTAGCCATTAAAACGCATGTTTAGATATGAATGAAGTCTTAAGGAATTAAAGCTACCACCATTAGCTTTCATTTTAATGTCCTGTATTAGTTTTAATTAATGGACATCCTGTCTCTTTTAAGCTATATTTTCTCTCCAGCTCCTCCCCCACAATTTCCCGCTTCTAAGGTCACTGCCAGAGTTCATGCTGGCTCTGGTTGAGTTTCTGCCTCTAAGCTAGGAAACTCTGGGTTTTGCTTTCAACGTGGGAAAAAAATCACGCATGGATGAAAACTGGCATAAGTTAAATCACCTAATTCCCTTAGTCCTTAATTAAGGGAATTGCAGAAGTGTTCATTTAATTACATTTAAACACCTAACTGAAAATCAGAAGTCCCCTAACTTCTAAGTTCACAAAGAGTCTGTGATAAAAGTTTCATAAGGCCCCATTTCAATTTTATGAACTGAATCCTTGCTTGATACGTTGGGGATCTCGTATATTTCATAGAGTCATTTTTTGTTTTGATGGTGAATATATGTTGTTATGGGATCACTAGCCCAATTTTCATTCTTTCAGAAATTAATACTATAACTTTGAAAGGTAAAGAAGAGACCACACAGGAACCAGGGAAAAAGCTACCTGAGAAACCAATTTGTAGTGTCATGGGCTTTGGAGGAGCTGGCCCGACCTGCCAACCAAATGACTGGGCCAATGCACTCAAACCCCTTCAAGCTACCCTGGCCTGGTGCTGGGTGGCCATGTCACAAGCTGGTGGCAGGGCCCTGATTCTGCAGGTGCAGGACATTAACCCTGATTTGTGCTGGGGCAGCAGCTGAGCCTGGCAGTCTTTGAAATGACATTTTGAGACAAAGTGGGGGGGCTTATTTTGTCTTTCCTACTTCCTCCTTCTAGTTTAATTGAGTCCTTGCCAGATGACACTTGGCAGGATGCCAAGCCAGCACTTGACTCTTACTGCTAGAAATAGTGTGTGTTTGATTAAAAGCTAAAAATTGATGATATTTGATCCCTAAGTCCAAATACTGCCCCATGGAGGCATGCCAAAGCAGGTTTTCTATTCTGAGGAGCCTTGCTGGAAGACGGCTGAGTACACAGGACCATTTAGGAATCTTTTCAAAATCACAGTCCTCATATTGTTTGCCAAGTGCTGTTCTAAGATCCCTAAATGTATTAACTTCATAATCCTTACACTGATTCCATGAAGTAGGGACTATTGTGATCACTTTCCCCTGTCTACTTGTAGATGTAGATCTTCGATGGAGGTGTTGAAACACTTGCCCAAGATCACCATTTAGGAGTAGGGCCAAGTTGTCTGGCTCCAGGGCCCATGCTCCTACCCACTAGTCACTGTGTGCCAGTGTCCCACCGCACCTCCAGTGAGATGGGTTCATTCGTCTGCAGTTCACATGGGTGCTTTGAAATCCGGGAGGAAAAGACATCATTCCTCGTTGCAGTCAGGGCTGCAAGGGCACTCTCTTTTTTACTTCTTTATTGTAAATGTGCTACTCTCTTTTCTAGAGATACTGGTGAGCTCTAGAAAAATGTTCCCTTCTCTTAAAAAAAAGTTTTTCTTAAAACAAAGACAGAGAAAGAAAGAAGGGAAAAAAGGAAAGGAGGGAACGGGGTTAATTCAGTCAATGGGAAGCACTGGTGGGAGGAAGAGAAAACTTAAGGTATGCCTCCTCCGCCTCTGCCTCGGGCGGCGTTGTTGGCTGTGGCTGCATTGCCCTGGCACCAGCCCTTCTTGGCAAGCTGTCTATGGTTCCACCTTCCTCCAGGTGCTCCCAGACCTTGGGCTCTAGTGAGGCCCCTCCAGCCCCGTCCCTCTAGTGCTGGGTAGGAGGGGTCAGGGCTAATCACTCTTGCCTCACTCTCCCCACAGTGCAATCAATTCCTTGTTTTAAATTCCCCTTCTGAAAATAATTAGCATGGTATCTCTCTACCTGGCCAGATCTTGTCTGAGCGGCCCTGTAATCTCTTAGAGTGCAGCAGCGTGGGGTGCATTTATTCCTTCCAAGAGCAGAAGATGGGCTTAGAAATAGCCTTTCAATTCGTTTTCCAGTCCAGAATTTCACAAAAGCATAATGTTTAGTCAGCTCAATGCTACCAGTCCGTGACCAAAACTATGTTACGAACACAGGGCGCCAAAGAGTAAAGAGGTCACACTAAGCGTAACCTCTTCCTGCTGCCCCAAACTCCTCACATCCCCCCCACCCCACAACACTCCCTGTAATTACGTGGGTTGTGTTGTAACTGGTTCATCCAGCTACTAAATCAGAGAGATTCAGGCACTCTTTTTTCCCAAGAGTTCTCCAGCAAAAATGCAGAAAAGCTTTTGAAGGCTTGTAACCATCCAGTGGTGTCATTCAAATTGCAAGGATTCTCTGCAATGACAACCTTACCAGCTGATACCTACCATGGCCCCCAGGAGCCCCAGGACACAGAGTTGAGGTAGACTGGTCTCTGCTCTCTGAGAGCTGAGAGTCTAGCAGAAGGCTTGGTCCAAGGAGAAGGGCAGCCAGCGTCATAGGCAGGGAGCCCAAGATGCTCAGAGGAAAGAGATGAGCTCAGCCTTCCTCTTTCCCTGCTGAAGTCTGATGGGAGAATCCAGGGAAGCTTTGACAAAGTGACATAACGCTTGGCCTTCAAGGATGGGGACGTAAATCTGGGAGAAAGACATGGAAGGGGATTCTTGATCTGAGCAAGAAGGGCAAGCCGGGGGCCCAACGGGCATACAGAAGGTTCAAGTTGATTCAATGGAACCCCCTGGTGGGAAGCAGACACTCTGAGTGATGGTCAGTTTCCCTGAAGCTAGGTTCATGGGCTTGTTCTATTTTATACTCCTTCTGCACACATGCTCCTTATAGCTTCTCCTCTCTGCCTCTCTCTCCAGGTACCCCAGTTGGCTGAGCTGATCCTTAGGAGACGAGGAGGCACAATCACAGCTCACGTCCTCAGCTTCTCTCTGCCTCCTGCCCGCCCATTCTCTCCCTCTTCACCTTTATCCAGTTGTCCTTCTTCAAACCCACTTTGGGGGTTTTCTTTTCCATCCTCTGGTGGCCCTGATGTTTGCTTGCTAGTTAAGTGATTTATACATTCCAGGCTGGATCCAAGACAGTGTGGAATGAAAACCAAATGCAAATTGGCTAGAAGGAAGGGCCAGAATAAACACAAACTGAAGACCCCAAACCAACGGTGTCCAAGCTTGTGCATGTATCTGCGCTGTCCCCATGGGGCCTTCCAACTCTGCTCAAAGCAATCTCCAGGGCTGTTCTCCAAGGACAATGGGTGAGTTAGAGAGAAGATCTCTTTGTGCTTCCTTCTTTGCTTTTTAAATTTAAGGTGGACATGATCTCAGGGCTTTGTACAGAAAACCTCTGAGGGTCAGTTGAGTGACCCACTTACCCTGCCATTCCCCACCCTGCTGGGGTCCTCCTGCTACTTCAACTCCATCACCACAGAGACTCAATTCCTGCGCTCTGAGGTTCAAATCTGCATCTGCTGAAGAATCTTCCAGAACTGCAACTCCCATCTGCACTGGGAGCATGTCTGGCCCACACCAGCTCAAGCACTGTGTGAAGGGTCCCAGTTATTCAGTGTGAAATTGTGTAAGACTTTCTCCTGGAGACAGGACCTTTGCAATCACAGCTTGGGGAATTGTCTTTACAATAACCACTTCCTCTTAGGGAGTCAGCAGCCTGGGCTCAAATCCTGCTTGGTCACTAAGATAGTTTTGTGACTCTAGACAAGTCACAGCACCCCTCTTAGCCTACATTTCTTCATCCATTCAACAAATATTCACATAGCAGCTACCGGCACCAGGAATAGAGAGGGGAGCATGATTGATAAATCATCTTAGAATTTATGATTGCATTATGGGAGTTACTCAGTAAATGAGTTTTTAAAAATCAGGGGGAGGGGGAAAACCTTTGAAGAACAATTTGGCAAGATCTAGAAAAGCTGAAATTTGACTTCTCTTTGACCCAGTAAGTCTACTCTTAGGTATATACCCTAGAGAAATTCTTAAACATTCCCACAGGACAAAGAATGAATGTAAAAGAATTTAAATGACAACTCATAAGAAAATGAAAAATGTGCGATATGTTCGTACAATGGTATAGAGCAGTAAAAATGAATGACCTAGAGCTGCACATTTCAACATGGACTATCTCATAAGCATAACTGAAGAATGTTGCAGAAAAATATGTAAAGTTTAATGCCATCTGTGTAGAGTTAAAATGGACAAATATTAGATACTATTTAGTGGCAAGAGTATTTTTTACATGCATGGGCATTAATAAGACCAAATTAGATTAGTGCTTTCTTCTGTGGAGGGAGGAAAGAGGATGGAACTGGGGAGTAATACATAGGCGGTATTAACTGTATTGATAATGTTTTGTATCTTAACCTACATTGTGGTTACATAGTTTTCATTATAATATTCTTAGGATTTTGTGTCTATATTTTAAATGTTGCCCTATAAAAATTTTAAAATTTATTAAATAATGATAAGTGCTCTGAAGAAAATAAACATCTGAAGTGATTGAGAGTGACTGGGGTTTGGTTGGGGGTACTGGAGATTGGGTGGTCAAGGAAAGTTTCTCAGCAGAGGTACTGGGTTGAGCTGAATCATGACTGACATGAAGGGAGCAGCCATAACAGTATCTAGGGGAGGAGCATTGCAGGTGGAGAGAACATCTAATGCCAAGGGTCGTGAATTGTAAAGGACCTAAGATTTTACCCTCCTCGCAAGATAGCAAGGTAGCCTGACTTAGTAGTGTGGATGCTGACAGAAGACACAAGACTACTGGGTCAGAGCAAGATATGTTATTATTCACAGCAGCAGGCAGCATGCTTTTCCTGTTCACACTGCTTCTCCTTGTTCCCCTCCCATGGTCAATATTCAGAGATAAAGTCAGTATAACTTGCTCATGGATTTGGATGTGCAGAATAAAAGAATCACAGAAATTTAAGATGATGATATGGTTTGGCTATGTCTTCACCCAAATCTCATCTTGCATTGTAGTTCCCATAATCCCCACATGTCATGGGAGAGAACTGATGGGGGATAATTGAATAATGGGGGCAGTTTCCCCCATGTTATTCTCATGAGAATGAGTGAGTTCTCATGAGATCTGATGGCTTTATAAGGGGTTTCCCCATTCACTCAGTTGTCATTCTTCTGCTTCCTGTCACCATGTGAAGAAGGGCATGTTTGCTTTTCTTTCTGCCATGATTGTAAGTTTCCTGAGGCCTCCCCAGCCATGCTGAACTGTGAATCAATTAAACCTCCTTCCTTTATAAATTACTCAGTCTCAGGTATTCTTTATTAGCAGTGTGAGAATGGACTAATACAGAAGATTTCTGGATTTGAGGCTCCATCCCAAAAAGTATGAATTGAGGGGCCAAGTAAGGGGTGGAAAGGACTCAAAAGTAGTATTTTGAGCATTAAAAGGTTGTGGTGCCTACTAACATCTAAGTGGAGGGACAGAGAAAGCAGCTGGGAGTAAGAGTTTGGCGTTTCAGGGCAAGGTCAAGGCTGAAGGTCTAGACCAGGGAGGGCCTGGCAGATGGAAGGTGCTAACAGCCCTGGGACTGATGAGCTCACTTGAGAATACTTGCCACATTTACCATACTCACCTGGTCAGCAGAATCACCTGGAACACGTTAAAAACACAGATTCCCATGTCCCTTTCAGATCTTGCATTCTAAAATTTTATGACTAGATTGAGATATATTTCTGCACACATTCAATATGTACTGAATATTTATTGAGCACCTATTATGTTCCAAGCACTGTGCTTGTTGTGATTGGTGAAGCTATAACAGCATCCGGTGGTTATGAAGAAAGACCAAGAGAACCACTGAGACTTTGGCACTAACTTCATTGAAGCAATAGACCAGCATCTAATATCTACCTCCAGACTTCTCACTAGGAGGGAAAAATAATCCCTTATTTGTTTGGGTTATAGTGAGGTTTTTTTGTTTGTATTACTTCTGTCAAAAGCATTCTGACCTCATACACACATTTTATTATCCTATTTATAAAACTAGTAAACAAATAAATAAAACAAATCTCTTTGGGGAAGGGGGGCTTTAATTAATGTTTGATTAACTCAAGTTGAATAAGCCAAACTCCCTTAAAGCATCAGTCTTAGTTATAGGCTTTGTTTATTAAAATCTTTTAAACATTCTAAACTTCTTGTGTAATTTATCATATTTAATTTTCTATTTTAGCACTTCAAATCATTGATATGACAAGATTATAACCAATTAAGACAAAACATTCTCATATATTTAAGCATCTCTTGTAAATCTAATACATTAAACTTATAGTAAATCTAGTCTAATACTTTTCATGAGCTAAGTTAAATATTCTTATACCTTTCAACTTCAAATCACAAACGTAAAATCAATTTCACATTTCAAATTGGAATCATAAGCTTTTTAAAGATTCAAATCACTTAAGGAGCATACACAAGATTAGTCCTAAACTTAACATGAAAGTATCAATATTATGGATTTGAATTATTGCATTATTTCCATAATGAATTCTACACATTCCCAGAGTTGGAAAATCATTTACCCAATAAGGGAACAGAGGTGCTATTTACTATTGTCAAGGACTCATGCCCACAATATGGTGGACAACTCAGATGAGCAGAGGTTGCTTAGGATCTCTGGTCATAAGACAGTACTCCAGCGCTGGGAGACAGTGCCCTGAGTGCTGTGGTTACTATGGGAACAGGAGGCTCCCAGTTTTCACCCTTCAGAGGGTTTTGATTTTAGAACCTTTATTCCAGTTACCTCCCAAGTATTATTTTTATTTTTAATTATTAGAGTAGAAGGAAGTTGGCGACTCCACCTAGGTTAGCTAACAACTTCCTTTATGATCTCATTGGCTTTTGCGTTTACTTGGCACTCTGCAGGCATTGCTAACATATTTCCATCCTGCTCTAAAGACATTTAAATGCTGTTGAATTCAATCCTGAACATTTGGCTCTGAGCCATGACTCTCAGGTCATGATAATAACATAAACCAATCCCCTGCCTCATGACTTTTTAGGAATTTCCCAAATGGGATTATAGCCTCTCACATTTCATTAGAACTACTGTATTTAGCTTGGCAGGATCTTAGCTTTGGGGGCTGTTCTCCCTTGAGCCTGCCCCTGGATGTGCTGGACGTCATTTGCTGAGGCCACCCAGATAGGGAGCAGACCTGGCATCAGCCTTAGATGCGTCAGCCCATTCCCTCCACTACCCTGCTGGGAGTTCCTTACCATTCCCACCTCCAGTTCTCTGCTATTCACCCTCTCTAAAAGGTAGATAAACGCAACGTTTTTTGAGTGTCCAGCCTATTTTGTGGGCTGAGTGGGGCAGGAGAAGGGAGGCACAGTAGCAGCAGAGCTGAAGCCACATTTCTTCTGGACCTCTCATTACTTGTATATATGTGTGAATTGAAAACACGATGTTACCTTTGTTTCCATTTCACACAAATTATAAGAGGGCACTCTGCTGATACCTAGCAAAATAAAATTATATTTCTCATGCCTCTCTGGCATAATATCCACTGATAACTATGTGTTTTTCTTCCACTTACTGATATTCCTAAAAGATGCTTACAAAATGTCTTTTAAAATATCACATCAGTTTGAATACTCTTTGGGAACTCCAATATTTAGAAAAACTAGCCTGGGTGTGGTGGCGTGCACCTGTATCCCAGCTACCTGGGAAGCTAAGGTGGGAGGATCACTTGAGTCCAGAAGTTGGAGGCTGCAGTGAGCTATAATCACACCACTGCATTCTAGCCTGGGTGACAGAGCAAGAATAAAGTAAATAGAGAAAACTATTGGTGGATCATCTTTGTAAGTTTGTAAATTTGGCTTAAAATGGGGTGCACTTTGCTGGGGTTTGAGCAAATGTGCAATAACTATTTACCCCCAATATCATGCAGCAGAGAAGTCACTCTTCCTTTCATAGGGAGGAGCAAATAAGAAGAAATACTGAACTGTCCTCCAGTACTCCTTGATGGAAGTTTCCATTTTGTGGACAGAGGCAGAGATGTCTAGGAAGAAGTCAATCTTAGTTCCACTTTATGTATGTTTATATCAATTTTCTTTGGCCCAAAGTGATACTCTATTTAAAGCTGTATTAGACAAATATCAACCGATCTTAGCGTTTCAGAAGAAAATCTTTATGCCTTTCACTGTCCTATTCTGATTTCACCAATTTCTTCAACTTTCCTTCTCCCCTCCTTTTCTTTTCTGTTATATCCAGTTTTGTTTTCCAAATCCAGAGTTATATGTTTTGGGGAAGAGACATCCAGCACCTACACACATCTGGGCCTCCTTCCTTGCAGGTGCAGGGGGATGATAACATTGACGACACTGCTCCACCTCCTGTGAGGTCACATGACTAGTTCTAGCCAAAGGGTTGTGAGACTGAGGAGGTCACTCCTAGGCCAAGGTACGATGGAATTGTTGGGGTGACCTCTTCCAGTGTTTTCTCCCCCTGCTGCCTCTAGGAAGGAGGCAGCCATGCCCTAGAAGTTGCATCCCACAGTATTACTGGGTTACCCCATGCAAGTAATTGTCTCGGAGGGTTTCCAGGCCTGCAGAGGACTTTGCCTGCCCAATAAATGAACTTTTATCACGTCAAGTCACAAGCATTGCATTTGTTGATTGCCAATGCCCCATGGTTCTCAAAATGTGGTACCCAATCACCAGCATCAGCAACACCTGGGAATACATTAGAACTGGAGCATTTGGGCACCACCCAGCAATACTGAATCACACAATCACACACCCTGAGGGTGCGGCCCAGCAATCTGTGCTTTAACAGACCACCAGATGAGGGATGCCAGCAAGTATGAGGACCATGGCTCTACCCCGTGCTGGCTGACACAACTTTGAGTTAAAAATTCCCTCTTGGCAAAGTAGAGTCTTCAGGTGAGTCCTATTAGTAAGACACAAACCATTTTCAACTTTCTTAATTAAGTATACTTCCTCGCAGTGATGCAATCATTCCATTATTTTTTTGGTTTTAAGGCCTCAGAACAGCAAGAGGATCTATAAGCCTCCCCGACCACTATTTCTAACTTTGAACACAGTTGTCACATGACTGCATTTAATGAACACATAAAAGAAGGTTAATAAGAGCTTGGGGCTGCAGTGAGAAGGAAGAAAATTATCCTTACTTTTCTAGACACCACTGATGGCTGGGGGGCTGTGCTGATTTGCCCTGATCGTGATGCTGCAGCAGAAATTAGTGTGGGGTGTGCTTGGGGCAGAAGAAGTGTCTGGTGTTTCTGGTCCCTAGAAGACCCTCCATTCCAAGGGGCGGCAGGCTGAAATGGATTTTACGTTCCTTCCAAGGGCTTCCTTCCTCTTCTTCATTACTCAGTCGGTTCCCTGCAAGCAATGTGAGCCTCTGGCCTTATTTCTCCTCCGATTCTCATTTCCATTCCTCAAACTCTCCAAGTGGGGGACATTCCAAAACAACCCAATGAAATAAGCATGATATCTGCACCTTCAGTAAATCGCTTAACCTAATGATGGACTTAGAGGGCATTTTTAGGCAAATTACTTATATGACTGAAAGAAATGCTTATTTAAATGTATTTCCATTCAGATTTGACTGTGTTCAAATATAAATTTAAAATAAGAGTATAATGAGAACTGTATATGCTCCACCTAACATTTTACCATGTTAGTTCTCGCTCACACTCTCCAAACACACACCTATACACACACCTTTTTTCCTGGAGTAAGTTGTCAATATGATGCTTCATCTCTCAGTACTTCAGCAGGCATCACTCACATCACTAACAATATCACCTACCACCAGATCCACATTCAACATTCCCAGTTGTCTTTTATACCTATGAGATTTTTCCTAAACCAAAATCCAATCAAGGCTTACGCTTTGCCTTTGGTTGTTGGGTCTCTGGTTATCTGCAACAGAGCTCAGACTTTAACAGGCATGCAGATCACCTGGGCATCTTGTTAAAATGCAGATTTTGATTCTGGATGTCTAGGTGAGGCCTGAGAGTCTTTGATTCTAACAAGCGCCCAGGTGGTCCCAATGATGATACAGGCCCAGGACCACTCTTTGAGTAGCAAGGACAAGACAGTCCCCCTCTTATTCTTCCCACAGTGACACTCACTCCTTAAATAGTCCAGGCCTATTTTTTTGTAGAATGATACACATTTTGGTTATTCCACCATGCCATTAACTTCTTTATCCTCTGTATTTACTGTAAACTGAAAATTAGGTGTAAGACTCGATTAGTTTCCATTGACATCTTTGGAAGGAATACTTCATAATTCATCCCAGCAGGAACACTTAATGTCAGTTATCCTACCATTAATGGTGTGCTAGGACTTTGTCACTTGGTTAAGGTGATGGCCAGATGTTTGCATTATAATTTTTAAAATAAAAATTTGAAGAGTGCCTGCAAAGAGTGAGAACCATGGGGCAATGGCAATCGATAACTCCAATGCTTCAGAAGTAAATAACCTGGCTGCAGATCAGATTGATAACACGAACTACACAGAGAAAAAAATCTTTCAAGTTGGTCTCTGATGGGGTAAGGCTGACTCCCTGCAGGCCAACTCCATCTGGCCCTGCAGCTGCCCCTGAGCCACAGGAGGGCTTCTCTGAAGAGGAGGGAGTCCCTCACCCACCCACGTTACATTTGTTCACCTGAATCCCAAGCAGGGCTGCCTTGCAGTGACAATGGTTTCTACCACAGTAAGGGCCCCCACCATTTATGAATGTTAACCATGTACCGAGCAGCATGCCAAACCCTATGAAGTAGGTGCCATGGACGGAATGTTTGTGTCCCCCGCAATTCATATGTTGAA
The DNA here is from genome assembly GCF_000001405.40 of Homo sapiens. Classification (NCBI taxonomy): domain Eukaryota; kingdom Metazoa; phylum Chordata; class Mammalia; order Primates; family Hominidae; genus Homo; species Homo sapiens. The sequence goes on along the minus strand of NC_000006.12, from coordinate 150,399,916 downwards.
ACCCTAACCCCCAATGTGATGGTATTAGGAGGGGGTCCTTTGGGAGGTGATGAGGTCATAAGGACGGGGCCTCATGATGGGATTAGTACCCTTATAAAAGGCATGCCAGAGGCTCTAACCCTCTTTCTACCACGAGGACACAATAAGAAGTCAGCAGTCTGCAACCCAGATCAGGGTCCTCACCAGCACCTGACCATGAGGGCACCCCGACCTTGGACTTCCAGCCTCCAGAACTGTGAGAAACAAATTTCTGTTGTTTATCAGCCACATACTCTATGGAAATTTTTTATAGAGAGAGTTTTCTCAAGGAAAATGAGGACAAGAAGAAGAAACGCACAGGGAAAGGGGAAAAAGAGGTGAGTAGAGTTGCTTGATGAGAAATCATCCAAGCTGTAAGAGTTTGCCTCTGTAAATATGACACCCCTGGGAGGACGACAGAAGGTGATGGGTGAAGACTACATCTAGCATTCCCAACCTGGCAACTGTGACCCTATCAGTCCCAAACAGCTGTGCTGTCATCTGGAGAATAGGGGTCAGTGTGTTTCAGGGGTTGGGGTAGAAGAGAAGGGAGACACTGTGGGTGCTATGTATGGTAAGCAGCTCTCTTTAAGAAGAAGAAAGCAAGTGCTGATTTGTAGTGGTTGTGATGTAAACTCTCCCACCATGGGCAATTTCAAGCTATGAATGTTTAATAACTGTCTTGCAAGATTCTTGAGTATTGAGCAGCTTCTATGAACTGCTTACAAGTCAGATCTACCAAACCACTAGGCAGTGCAACTGACCGTTTACATGCCAGCCAGGCCCGTGCGACCCAAGGGTACCCTGTCCTGTTCTGTGAAGGTGACATTTTAGTAACTTTGTTTTTGTTTTTTTTGAGACAGGTTCTCGCTCTGTTGCCCAGGCTGGAGTGCAGTGGTGGCATCTCAGCATCTTGACTCACTGCAATCTCTACCTCCCGGATTCAAGCAGTTCTCTTGCCTCAGCCTCCTGAGTAGCTGGAATTACAAGTGCATGCCCAGCTAATTTTTTGTATTTTTAGTAGAGATGGGGTTTCACCATGTTGGCCAGGCTGGTCTCGAACTCTTGAGCTCAGGCAATCTGCCCACCTCGGCCTCCCAAAGTGCTGGGATTACAGGCATGAGCCACTGCGCCTGGCCATGTTTTAGTAACTTTGATGGTTACTTATTCAAAACTAGCAGAGTGTCCCTGAAGTTTGGTAAAAAAAAAAAAGTAGTTCTCAAAAATTAGTGTCTAAAAGCCACCAGAAATCAGAGAACAGGAGACCATTTGATTAATCTAAATTTAAATTCGAGTCATCATGTAGCTGAATTCTTGGGACTATGGTAAATTTCTGATTGTCTCCTCTATGTGAGTTTTTTAAAAATAAAAGAAAAAAGCCAATAGTGATTGTCTAGAATAACTTTTAAAATGTAAAAACCCGGGCATGTTCTTTGTAAAGTGTTCATGCATTTCCAAAGTGGATAAGAAACAGGATTTATGGGACTGGAAGTGCCACAGAGTGTGGAGAGGCTTCTTGACATAGTGTGGCCACCTGAGAAGAGCAATGAGGGGACCTGACACCTGGAGAAAGAGCAGCCAAGAGACCCAAGAGGAGCAGGCGAGAGGCTCAGGGAAAAGCAGGGGCGCCATCTCCCTGCCACTCCCTTGGGGGGCCCTGCCTACACTGTCACCATGATCTGGTCCAGAGGTTTGCGCTTGAGGTCAGGCACCGTGGCCTCCTTGCTGGGGTACCCCACGGGGAGCAGCATCAGCAGCTTTTCATGTGCGGGGCGGCCCAGGAGCACCCTCAGTCGAGGGCCACAGTTGAGAGGAGTGGTAGTGACAGTCACCAGACCTGCATTCTAAAATAAGAGGACAAGAAAGCATTTTAAAGTCAGCAGGCAGAATGACTGCTCTCCCTCTAACCTGGGGACCTTCTTGTCCTGATTATACCTGCTCTTCCTATCATTTCCCTGAAGTTGGGCAGCAAAGAGGCTGCCAGCTCAAGTAATGGCATCGTGAACCTCCCTGCCCCCATCAATCTCCCCACCCCCTCCCTTCTTTTAACCAAGCAGTGGCAAGCTTTTGGAAGAAGAAAAATACTATTATTTTTCATTGATGCTTAAGAAATAGGAATGGTTATTTTACAGAAAAATACTGTAGGAATCCAACTACAGTAGAGGAAAGGCAAAAACAACAGGGAGTTCCTTTTAGCTAAGGGGTTGGTCTGTGTCCTGGTACAAGAACCAAATGATAAGAGAGTCCACCAAAGCAGTGTCCTAGCCCAAATGCGACATAATTTTCCTACTAAATATACATATTCGGTTTTGTTTTTTGTTTTTTTTTTGAGACAAAGTATGGCTCTATCACCCAGGCTGGAGTGCAGTGGCATGATCTCGGCTCACTGTAACCTCTGCCTCCTGGGCTCAAGCCATCCTCCCACCTCAGTCTGCTAAGTAGCTGAGACTATAGGCATGCACCACCATGCCTGGCTATATTTTGTATTTATTTATAGAGATGGGGTTTTGCCATATTGCCCAGGTTTGTCTCAAACTCCTGAGCTTAAGTGATCTGCCCGTCTCAGCCTCCCAAAGTGCTGGGATTACAAGTGTGAGCCACCATACCTGGCCAATTTTCCTGCTAAATATTCTTTCCTGAACTCCAGTGATCTGCCTGGAATCTATGATTTGTTATCAATAACTCTAATATTGGCATTTGAACCCATATATATTTATGAACCCATATATATATGAACCCATATATAGATACATGCACACATGCACATATATGAATCTAGAGTGACTCAATATAGTTTCTTGCTGAAGGTCTCTTATACAACATCATCATATACTATACCTTGATTAACGAAGATTTCACAATACCTGAGAGACTGTTCTCAAGAATACATGCATCAAAAAACCTAACTGATTTCTTCTTTCTGTCATTAGCTCTACTTTATCATGGCGTTTCTTCTCCTTGATCATATCTTCACATAGTATTTGAACTTGCAATGGATAAATCTTAATTTTTTTTTTTTTTTTTTGAGACGGAGTCTCGCTCTGTCGCCCAGGCTGGAGTGCAGTGGCGGGATCTCCGCTCACTGCAAGCTCCGCCTCCCAGGTTCACGCCATTCTCCTGCCTCAGCCTCCCGAGTAGCTGGGACTACAGGCGCCCGCCACCACGCCTGGCTCATTTTTTGTATTTTTAGTAAAGGCCGGGTTTCACCATGTTAGCCAGGATGGTCTCGATCTCCTGACCTCGTGATCCGCCCGCCTTGGCCTCCCAAAGTGCTGGGATTAGAGGCGTGAGCCACCGCACCTGGCCAAGTCTTAAACTTTTTTGAGAAAATATTTACACCTTAATTTAGTGTCATTTTATATCTTGGTCCTTTTCAAGACATAGCTTTTACTCCATACTGAATTTTGTATGTCTCTAGCAGTAGAAACCTGCAAATACACAGACCATATTAAACAATTCCTCTTATTAATATTATTAATGTTAAGTTGACTTCTATTATTATTTTATCTTTCACTCTCTCGATGTGAGTACTTTGGTCTTATTATAGGTCAGGATTTTTTTAACTGGAATCCTCAGACCCCCAAAGGGCCAAGGATTGAATTTAGCAGGTCCATGAACTTGAATTTGAAAAAAAAAGTTTTCATATTCACTAACATCTAACTGAAATTTAGCAGTTTCTTCCTTTATAAATGTAGGCAGCAAACCACAGTAGTGTTAGCAATATCTATGACTTTATCACCAATGAAATCCACAGTTATTTTCATATCATTTTACAGTTGTTATAGATATTTTAAAATATCATTACATTCATCACTACTTTAAAATTATAGAGCTACGACTAGCTCTTGGTATTTAATATATTAATAAAGGCTTGTATATTATATTCTAAACAACAACCACCACGGCAAGTTCCTATGACTACAGAGCCAACCATGGAAGCAGAGCATCCCCACCCAGTGAGATGCTGATGCCCGTTGATAGGGGACTCAGTGGCCAAGGGGTACCCCATCGACCTCTTTCCAAGCCTCCAAATAACAAACATCTAAGTAAAAGCAATGAGTAGCTTCCAGACACTTCCCCGCCTGCCCCTCTCCAGCTTTTCCAATCAGATCACCACCTCTAAACCTGACCAGGAAGTTCTGGAAGCTGCCTCTACAAGACATGCATGGCGCGCTTATCAGACCCAGTCACCATACTGGAGATGCGGGCTTCATGGAGATTTTTCTTTCCTCCATCACTAATCATAACCTACTCTCGGGATTATGCCTTATGAAAGCTAGGGGGCAGCAAACTCAATGGCAAAGTGAAAAAGACTGCCTGCTGCAGAGGCACCTGGGCAGCCTTGTGAGCTGAGCTTGCTGCAGGCTTCGCTGCTTCTTCCAGGACCCTCAATCAGGTGGCGGTGCCTCGCAGTCTGATGCCGCATGGTGATTCCATTATTTACCTGCTTACAGATTCAGGAAGGAAATCAATGCCAGCTCCTTCAGGATAATTTTTCCAAAAACCTAAAACACATTTCAATGACTACATTTTGGGAGGTGTTATTCAACATACATGTTTTTCTTTGAGATAGTGAAGAAGCTCTCTTTTTTTTTTAATCCATTGTCTCTCAAAAGTATGGTTACTTGCTCTTATAATCTTGTTTTCTACATTTATTTTATGGGTTTACCATCTCTCTCTATCCACTACCCAGCCCCCAGTCTCTGCTAGAATATACAGTTCATCAGACAACTATCCCCAGTGGCTCCCAGGAACTGCCACGTAGAAGGAGCTCAGAGGCCAGGCATGGTGGCTTACGCCTGTAATCCCAGTACTTTGGGAAGCTGAGAAGAGTGAATCACTTGAGCTCAGGAGTTGAGACTAGCCTAGGCAATATGGCAAAACTCCATCTATACAAAAAATGCAAAAATTAGCATGGTGGTGCCTGCCTATAGTCCCAGCTATTCAGGAGGCTGAGGTGGGAGGATCACTTAAGCCCGGGGGTCAAGGCTGCAGTGAGCTGTGATGGTGCCACTGCACTCCAGCCTGAGTGACACAATGAGACCCTGTCTCAAAACAAAACAAAAAGGAGCTCAGAAAATATTTGTGGAGTGAATGCACTGTTGAGTGAATGCATGAATAGTTTGAAAACTATACAGCAATCCTGCTCCATTTCATGTTAGCATTGCTCTCGTTCCTATGCAGATGGAATTTTTGAAAAGCACATGACCTTCTTCCTAATGCCATGCAACGCAAACTTCTCAGAAAAGGGCCTCTATGAAGAGCCCTTCTCATGGCTTTTTAGTCATTCCATCATCTCTGAGAGCAACAGTAAACGTATCCAGGGAGTTAGCCTCTGTGACTTTTAGGCTCCAAAGTACTTCATGTGGGTCTGCCAAAACCCTTGAAACTTCATGTTGTTACAGATGACTGCAAACACAACACCAATTTTTCTAACTTGAAATGATGTTATAAGTGAATTCCCAGCTTGCTGAACCATCATAGTCACCAATCCAGGTTTCCAGAGTCAGTTTTCACATCAGAGTTACCTCACTTAGGAATTCTACTTTAGATTAAAAAAAAATTTCCAAATGTCCCTGAATTGAAAACTCAGCTGAAATGTTCTAATAAGGCCACCCTGTAACCCTTGATGTCTCAACATACCTGCAGGGCAGCTAGCAGGATGCCACAAGCGATGGAAACACTGATCTCATTGTAGTAGTGGACTTTTTTCTTGCCATTTGCGGCGAAACCATGTACTTGTTTGAAAATGAGAATCAAAATAGGGGCAGTATCCAAGTACTCTTTAATCCAGTTGGTTCTGTGAAGAGAAAAGAGATTCAGGATAATATTTGCCCATATTTTTTGTTCTCTTTTACTACCTTAGCTTCTTTATGATAAAAATAAAAACATATTTACTCATCTTTTATATTTAAATTGAAAAGCTGCAGAATTTTTGTTTTTGTCTCATTCCACTTTTTCTGACCAGGATCATTCAATTTCATAAACATGTCTTAATAAGTGCCTAGTATGGCAAGACATATGAAATGCTGAAAGATACAAGGGCAGGTCCTATTACCCAGCATGCACTGGGTCAAAATTCAGCAAGGGAGAAGGCAAGGATGGCAGTGAGGTTTAGCCAAAATCACAGGTGGGCAGATGGCAATGCTGTTCACCCAGTTATAGAAAAAAGGAAGGGAACTTCTGTGGGAGAGGGAGATCATTCATGTAAGGTGTAAATGCAGAACTGAATTTTTGTTTTCCAGCTCAGAATATCTTTCTTGATTTCATTACCCTGGCCCACACATTTTGGCAGAAGTTTTATTCTAGCACAGATAGTCAAAGGACAGAGAGTCATATAATCCCATATATTGGGATTTTACCTTAGGATATCTTATATCATTCATTAGCAAGAGACAATCACCATTCATTTCATTTCTAGCTTGGTTATGCTTCCTCATTCCAAAGCACACGAAACTCACTTGTGTATTTCTCCATGGCTCCTCTTACGCTATGAATATCTGTATGTTACACTTTCAAAGCTACTTAACCATACTTCAACCAGCTTAGTCACATTTGACCATTATCATTTCTTTTCTCCCTATAAAGAGGGAAAATGGTAACGCTTTAGAAGATCTGCACTGGAGCTGGGCTGTCTTGGCCACTGGGCAAGCTACTTGGCCTCCCCTGGAGCTGTTACCTCCTCTATAAAATGTACTCTTGTGTACCCACCCCCTGTGGTTATTGCAAGGGTGAAAATAGTTAAAATACATAAAGTGGCTTAAAGCCAAGCATCAGAATTTCAAATCATGGAAATATCAACACAGAGGAGCCACTTGTAATCCACTTTCCTGACTCACTGGATGAACCAACACTCTCCATTCCCTCCACAGAGCACGCGGACTGTGCTTCGGCGCCCGGAGCAGACCCCGAGGGCTGCATTTGTTGAGGGACCACAGAGAAACTACTTACACTGAATTCCCCTCCACTTCTTTCCTGGAGTTGAGGAAGCCAAAAAGTTACTAAGGCCTCACAGATAACTACACTTGTGTTAAACTTGTCCTAAAACTAAAACCTGCTTAGTAAAATCATTTGGAAGACCTGATCACTTTAGCAAAATGTAATTTGCTTCATGCAAGATCTTGAGAAGAATTTTACCATTTTATGTTCCAGACGAGTGAAAAGTGAAGTAATTCCTCAATTATTTACTAAGCAAATAATTGAGTCAGAGCCTATTTACCAAACGCTCACATGGCAATACAGGAGTGAGCCCGGACTTAACTTCCGTAATTCCTCCAAGAGGCAGAATAGAATCAAGCTTTTTCACGCTTACAACAAAGCCAGGACATGGTGGTGGTGGTGATTTTATTTTAAGAGGCCAAGGCAAACATCCCCAGTTCCACCACTGTTTGTACCTCAGTTTCTTGAGGTCTGTGACCCAGCGATGTCCCATCCTTTTCATGTAGTTGATCTCCTCTTCCTCCTCAATGATCTTTCGAATCTTGTGCTTCACGTCTGGGTCCTTCACAACCACGAAGGTCCAGGGCTCTGTGTGAGCCCCACTCGGGGCTGTTCCTGTCACCCATTCCATTAAAATCAGAAATTAAAACTGCAGGAAAGTGTGAGACTGCTAATTAAGGAGAGGCTCATCCCTGTAGTCCAAGCACTTTGGGAGGCTGGAGCTGGAGGATCAAACAAAATTTTGCAGATTTTTTTTTTTTTAACTAGCAGGGTGTGCTGGTGTGTGCCTATAGTCCCAGCTGCTTGGGAGGTAGAGGTGGGAGGATTGCTTGAGCTCGGGAGGCAGTGAGCCATGATTGCACCACTGCATTCTAGCCTGGCAACAGAGTGACATCCTGTCTCTTAAAAAAACTTTTTTTTTTTTAAGGATAAACGTAGTAATTCATACTTGGCCAGGGGCAGTGGCCTATGCCTGTAATCCCAGCACTTTGGGAGGCCGAGGTGGGTGGATCACCTGAGGTCAGGAGTTCAAAACCAGCCTGGCCAACATGGTGAAACCCTGTCTCTACTAAAAATAGAAAAATTACCCGGGTGTGGTGGTGGGCGCCTGTAATCCCAGCTACTTGGGAGGCTGAGACAGGAGAATCGTTTGAACCCTGGAGGCAGAGATTGCAGTGAGCTAAGATGGTGCCACTGCACTCCAGCCCGGGTGACGAGAATGAAACTCTGTCTCAAAAAAATAAAAACAAAAATAATTCATACTTGCTCAAAATGAAGTTAGATAATCTGGAAAACAAATGCCTGGCAGTGAACCCTGTCATGCTGCTGCCAAGTTTGTTTTGTTCAGCGTCAGGCCAACTGATCAATGATCAAGCTCTGTAGTTCCAGGGTTGTGGGAACTCACCTCTGCTTCTCTAATTACATGGAAGAAAATGTCCCCAAGTAACTGCACCATGCCTACTAAGGAAAGAAACTCAGGGGAAATTTTGACAGCCAGAATTCTCCAGACTGTCATTTGTTTTAGTAATCTTGAAAAAGAATAAAGTTGTGAAGGTTATTGAAGGAGGCAAAATGTACATGGTAAGATGGTTTTAAAAACACTCTTCAAAAGGCAACTTAGCTATACAGTGTTTGGTCCCTGTATCAAAGCTATGAGTGTGGCACTGTGAGGTTTGTCCTTGGGGACACACAACAGTTGGGGAATTCTTTTTTTTTTTTTTTTTTTGATGGCGTCTCACTCTGTCACCAGGCTGGAGTGCAGTGTCACAATCTCAGCTCAGTGCAACTTCCACCTCCCGGGTTCAAGCGATTCTCCTGCCTCAGCCTCCCGAGTAGCTGGGACTACAGGCACCTGCCACCACATCCAGCTAATTTTTCTACACTTAGTAGAGACGGGGTTTCACCATTTTAGCCAGGATGGTTTCAATCTCTTGACCTCGTGATCTGCTCGCCTCGGCCTCCCAAAGTGCTGGGATTACAGGTGTGAACCACCACGCTGGGCCCAGTTGGAGAACTCTTAGACATGGGTACTCAATACGCACGGCCATGTGTCATTCTACTCCCGGGGGGACTTCGGGAACTCTCAGTCCACACCTTGATCAGTTCCAGTGTCCCAGGGCAAAGCTTCGCAGTGCATCATCTTTGTCCAAGGAGCCTCAATTCCTGTGGGATTCTGGTGAGAGTAGGGGCCAGCTTCTGATCTGGGTGTCGTCCCTCAACCCTAGAGATGGCCCACTGTTCCCAAGGGGAGACCACAGTGACTCATGGGTGGGATATTTCAGAAGAAACTGTTCCTTCCTTCCCATTGGATAGTTTAATGGAATAAGCAGCACCTATGGAGGGAGGAAGGGCTGCAGACTCTTGGTGGGGTTCTTGCTTGCCACACACCACTCCCAACACTAGAAGTCACAGCTGGCTTGGGAAATGCAAGTCAAAGGCTAAACATGAGGCCCAAATTTCTGCACAGAGTGATTCCAGTTAACTTTGTACCCATTTTATTTGTTTACTAAATATTTGTATCTCTAAACATAAGAAATAAATTTTTCCCTAATGTTTTTAGTTGTGTCAAATTTACCTTAACAGCATATGTGTACGTATACATATACAAATACAGATACAGATAAAGGCTAAATTTAGTAACTGCTGTTAGTTAGGCTAAGGACTCAACAATCTAATGTATTTGTATTTCTAACTGAAGTAAAGTATTTTATTCTTGCTTCCTTTCACATTGGACAATAGATTAATAACGGGCATGTGATAATTTTTGCAAATAAACTTAAATATGGTTTATGTAAGAATAAGACTCCAATCACAGGAGATTCTCAAGTAGGGAGCTTTCTCTTATTTCTCCTCCCCATTTTCTGTAGCTCTGATTTTTTTTCCTCAGTGGAAATATTAATTTACATTAAAAATGGGTTTTTTCTTGCTTTGTTTTACTGTGCAAATTTACATAAGTAAACTTTGCTAGTTAATGAGAATACTGTACTACAGCATCATGGTGTGTAATATAAGAAATTTGCTTCCAAAAAAAACAAATATAACTGTGAGTATGCGAGTGTGTGTATGTCTGGTGTGTTTTAAGGAGAGGGAAAGAAAGAAGGTGTATCTCCTCCAATATATTAATATAATGATGTGATCAGAAATCTTGGTTTTTAATTAAAAGATCATGAACTGAATAATTTCAGAAGTTTTGAACTATTGTCACATCTTCTTCCAAGAAGCTTGTAATAGTCAAAATGTGGAAAGTAGAAGTCATTGTGTTTCTGGCACTCACTCAGCATTTGGGTAAGACTTTATAGATAAACATATCACTCTAGGCTTTATTCGCTATGTTTAAACTTTGACATTTTTCCATTGTTGGAGTCACACCAGTAAGGTGACTAACATTTCCAAAGACCCCATCTGCAATTACAAACCTGCCGTTCTGATGACATTATCAATGACTTCCATTGGGACTTGCTCATTACTTATGAACCTGACTGACCGTCTCTTATTGAGAAGTTCATAAAATTCCTGAGACCTCTTAACCATTTCCTTCTCAGGATAGTGGTTATGAGAGAAGGGGATGTGTTCAACATTTTCTTCTGATTCTTGCCATTCATCAGCATCTGCAAATAAGAATAAGAAAGGTAACAAACTAAATGATCCCTTGGTCATAAGGTGACCGCTGGGGAGAAGAAGATAAAGTGCTTAAATGTGTAAGGTTATGAACTCAAAAAAATACTATAAAATGAAAAAAGAATAGATTTACAGAATCCTTACCACTGATCTTGACTATCCTTAAAACTCCAGCTGGGTGCAATGGCTCACATGTGTATTCCCAGCTGCTCTGGAGACAGAGGTGAGAGGATCGCTTGAGCCCAGGAGTTCAAGGCTGCAGTGAGCTATCATCACACCACTGCACTCTAGCCTGGGCAATGGAGACAGACCCAGTCTCTTTTTAAAAAAAGGAAGAAAAGTCCGGGCGTGGTGGCTTACGCCTATAATCCCAGCATTTTGGGAGGCCAAGGCAGGCGGATCACTTGAGGTTGGGAGTTCGAGACCAGCCTGGTCAACATGGTGAAACCCCGTCTTTACTAAAAATACAAAAATTAGCCAGGTGTTGTGGTGCACACCTGTAATCCCAACTACTTGGGAGGCTGAGGCATGAGAATCGCTTGAACCTGGGAGGCAGAAGTTGCAGTGAGCCGAGATTGCACCACTGCACTCCAGCCTGGGTGACAGAGTGAGACTCCATCAAAAAAAAAAAAAAAAGAGAAAGGAAGGAAGGAAAGAAGAAAGAAAGAAAGAAAGAAAGAAAGAAAGAAAGAAAGAAAGAAAGAAAGAAAGCAAAAACTCCAGACTATAAATCTAGAAAAAGAAAAATTTTACCAAAAAAAGATGAGGAATTCACATTTCTGTTAATGATGGACTAGGTTATTTGAAACAATCTCCTGTCAGTTGAAAACCACTCAGATCTCTAAATAAAGTATTTTTCAAAGTCTTTTTTAAAATCGTTGAGCCTACAACATAGCAAGAAATTTGCAGGCCAAAGTGAAGAGAAAATATGAACTCACACAGGTAGATAAGTGCAGAAGGTACATTTTTTTCTCTACTGTATTTGCCAATCCCTACACATTTGAATTCCATTTTTATATCTTCAGGGATTAAGGGTGACAGATATCAAAGCCCAGGCCCACACAGAATGTGAAGTCTAATAAGCTAGGACCCCAAAACTACATCCTTAGGGGAAGTGTCAATCATAAGTAAATTATTCCTCAACGGTTTATATCAGTTTGATGAGTCTTGCCTCAAACTTGAACTTGGAATAAACTTGTCCTGCCTGAAAGTACCCCAGTTGTCTAGCAGAAGAAAATGCCAATATACAAATAATTTTAAGTACAATCATCAGCAACCCATCAAATGCAATCAGGCACATAAAGAAGAAAACATATTGGACAAGAAACAGCAGAATCAATTTTAAAAAAATAAAGTCAGATGCCCAAAGACTCCAAATACTGGAATTATCAGACCCAGAAGATAAAACAACTATGATTACTGTATTTAGAGAAAAAAGACAAGCTTATATAAATCTGTAGGGTACAGGAAAGAATAAAAGGAAAAAAATTAAAAAGAAGAAAAAATAAAAACAACAGCAAAAATAAAGAATAAAAGCTAATATAAACAATCTGAAAAAATAGAGAACTTCTGGAATTGAAAAATAATAGAATTAAGAACTTAAAAGGATGGTTGACTAGCAGGTTACACTAGCTACAGAAAAATTAATGAACTGGGAGGTAAGTCAGAAGAAAACACTTAGAATTGGGCAAGGAGAGACAAAAAGATAGAAAATATAGAGGAAAGGGCAAGAAAAAATAGAGCAGAGTGAAGAGTGAGAATGTCTAATATACATTTGATCATTTGATTCAAAGAGTATATGGTGGAGGCAATATTTGAAAAGATAGCATCTGAGATTTTTGCAGAACTCATGAAAAATACCAGATCTACAGATTCAAGAGGGCTGGTAAATTCTTTTTTTTTTTTTTTTTTTACAAGAACTTTTTTCTTTCTCTTCTTTTAAAATTAGAAATGGGGTCTTGCTATGTTGCCCAGGCTGGACTCAAACTCCTGGCCTCAAGGGATCCTCCAGCTTCAGCCTCCTGAGTAGCTGGGAGTACAGGTGTGCACCATTGCACCTGACTATTTTTAATGACATTAAACACAGCTGCTACAAGGGGAAAAATGTGATTATAAAGAAGGTGCCAAACTTCAGGTTCATAATTGATCCTGACAACAATAAAAGTAAATCAGGGGCTGCGTTAGTTGCAAAACTACAAGTTATTTCAGGCTTCTTGCCTACAGGTAAGCTACGTAAATGGCACTTTTTTACTCTGAGGCCTAGTAAACTCAAAGAGTTATTTTTAAAAACTATAGTTTTTACAATAAAATATAAAAATATTGAAAGCAACTAGAGAAAAAGTTTACCTCGGGAAGAACACAGAAATAACTGAATTTTTAACCATGGCAAGAATAGTTGCATTGAATAGAAATGAACTAAATGTTCCCGATAAAGGCCAATGATTATTTTAAGTCCAAGTATGTTGTTTATAAGGGATACACCTAAAACATAAGCATATAGAAAGGTTGAAAGTCATACCATGCATCACATAACTATACTAGTTGAAAAAAAATTAAGGCCAAAAGCATTATTGATAATAAAAAGGGTCAGTTTATAATAATACAATTTAATTTACTGGGAAAACATAATTTTAAATATGTATGCAATTACATTACATGACCTCAAGACAGACTTTTAAGAAGAAATGTAAAAATCCACAACACAGTGAAAGATCTTAATGCATCTCTTTCGGTAATGATAGAATAAGCAGAAGAAAAAAATCAGTAAGGATACAGAAGATTTTAACAAGGTAATTGACAAAGATAACCAAATAGGCTTACATAGGACACTGCACCAAACAACTACAGAACACATTTTTTTTTAAGCAGACTTATTGGACCAGAAAATAACTCTCAACACATTTTAATGGCCCAATAGATAATGATCTCTGACTGTAATGCAATTAAACTAGTAACAAAAAGATAACTGAAAAAAACAAACAAAATACCTTAAAGAAAATTAGAAAATATTTCAAAATTAAAATATGAAATTATTACATATTGAAAAATCTATGCAATAACATTAACATATTATATTTAGAGGGAGATTCCAAGCCTTACACATACATACATTAGATAGGAACAAACTCTAAAAATTAATGAATTAAAAATCAATTTCAAGAAGTTAGAAAAAATACCCAAATAAAACCAAAGATAGTAGAAAAAGTAAATATTAAATATGACATATTAAGGAAAACAACAACAAACATGCAATAGGGAGAAACATCAAAACCAAAGCTAGTTCTCTGTAGAAACTGATTAAATTGGCAATCGTCTGTCAAGATTGATCAAGGAAAAGAGAAAGCACAAGTAACAAATATCAGGAATGAAAAAGGAGGCATCAGTACAGATGTTACTGTCATTCAACAAATAGTATGAGAATATTTATTATACCAATATATTAGAAAATTTATATAAAATAGACAAATTTCTTAAAAATATAACCTGCTAAAACTAACTTCAAAATAGAAAAACTGAAAAGTCTGCTGACTATTAAATAAGCTGAATTAGTAAGCAAAGATTTTCCTAAAAGAGAAAGCAACTCTAGGTCCAGATACAATAGAAAAAGAGTAAACACCCTCCAACTCATTTTATGGAATGACCACAACCTTGATACCAAACATAAGTAGGGCATTAAGAGAACAAAAAACTACAGGCTCAACTTCCTCACAAACATGGTACAAAAATCCTAAATAAAATATTAATAACAGAATTCAGCAATTTATAAAAAAAAATACATCTTGGCCAAGTTAGAATTATCCCAGGAATATGAGGTTAATTTAACATTAGAAAAACAATCTTTTTTTTTTTATCACATTAAAAAGCTGAAGAACGTAAACCACAAAAATCATTACAATGCAGAAAAGGTGTTTAGTAAAACTTGACATTTATCTCTTAGTAAATTTGGAGAAAGGAACTTTCTTAATCTGATAGTCTAACTATGGGGGGAAAAACCCCACCACATCCAGCTATGGTAATGATGTATCTTTGAAACCCTTCCATCAGTGATTGAGAACAAATAGGATGTTCTCACCACAATTCTAAATATGAAAGATTAATTTTTAAAGCTTTTAGAAGAGAATATAAGAGAATGTCTTCACGACCTTGGAGTGGAGAAGGATTTCTTAAATAAGACACAAAAAGATTAAACATGAGAAAAGAACTGTTACATTTAATTACATAAAATTTCTCATTATGTCTGCCTGCTTCTGCCACTTCTTCTGTTTTCCCCATTACCCTCCTGTTCAGAAAGTTCTGCAAGCTCATTATCAGTAGTTGAAGATCTTAGAGAAGATGAAGATGCAACAGAAGGGTCAATCACTGGAGCTAAAAATGCCAAAACTGAGGAGAAAGAAAATGAGCCCACAGATATGGCAGAAGATAAGAAGGATGATGTGTCTAGTGCACTAAAAGCTTCACCAAGGGCACACCCAGTTATGTTATTTTAGAAGAAGATTTTCCAATAAATAACTTTGTGAAGTTCAAGATAGTCTCTACAAACAAGAGTTCTGAAGACTGTATTGTCAAATTCCCAGATACTACATTCCAATATTCTCAAAATTGTTCGTTATATATCCAAAATTTCACAGCTTTTCTGAATACTGTTTCTTCATTTCACTTAAGCTCATGAAAAGACATACTTCTGAACTACAAAGATTTCAACAGAAAAAAATTCTAAGATGCTGTCTTCAAACAGTTAAAATTATTGAGGGGAAAATGTTTGGATGGCAAAAATATAATAATAATAATAGATATTCCTTGCTTGTCTTAGGCTGGTCTTGGGCTTCCAGTTGTTGCTGAGTTTTATCAATTCCTAGAACTTAGGAGGCAAAATATACCAAAATGAGGCCAGTACAGAAAGTAAACCTCAGTATATCAAATCAGAATGAATTGTTATGTGTTGGAATTTTTTCAGTGAAATTTGAATCGCATAAAGAAAGCTTCACTGAGAAGGCTGCCCATGGAGTAAACACTGAAAATATTGTTGGGATCTAATGAGTAGATGGTTCTTTTACACAATAATTCAGTCTTTAACAAACCTGCCCTAATATTTTGCAGCCTGATGGGAATGGGTGTAGAGAAGCCATATCACACAGAAAGCAACTCCTACTTAGATAAGAACAGATCATCAGTCTGCTGTGATATTGCTGAAAATGCTCAGCACTCACTTTCCTAAAATAACAAATTTAAGATGTTTTAAACCATTAAAATGTATGTGTGTGCATGTGTTTGTGTCCTACCTGAATCATTATTGTACTACCTAAATTGTGTCTTTAGGAAACTGAATATAATGTTGTTATATATCTTCCTCATTGACAACCTCCCCAAAACCCAATTATATGTGCTTGATATGATGTGTATCCCATGCCTTGAGCTGTGTGATGGAAGAAAATAACTTGTTACTTTTTTCTTTTAGTAGATACAAATCCACTTCAAGGGTTTTTTTTGGGAGGAGGTTTTTTTTAAACATTAATTTTTTTTGTTTTTGTTTTTGTTTTTTTTTTTTTTTAGAGACTTGGTCTCATTATGTTGCATGGGCCTCAAACTCCTGGGCTCAAGCAATCCTCCCACCTCAGCCTCCCAAAGTGCTGGGATTACAGGCATGAGCCACTGCACCCGACCATAAATCCATTTTGATCTCATTGATTAGCTGATGCAGCTGTGGTTATAGTTGCTGCAATTTGTGGTTGTGGCATCTGTTAAAGGATTTTCACTTTTAGTAGTGGTTAATTAGAGAATTTTTATGAACGCCGCAAGCTAGAAAACCAAAACAACTGAAATCCTTTGTAAGATATATTTTAAAACATTTTCTTGTATGCATTGGAATGCTCATCTGTTATTGTAGGAAATGACGGTCAAAATCTAGCTGAAGGTTAGTACCACAGAGGTAGACCAGCATTCAAATGCCCAGAGTATTATGTATTTTCCAATTACCAAGAAACAGCTGTGAGGTTGATCTGAGATAAAGGATGATGACAAAAGCCAAAATCCCAGGTCTACCCATGGAGACTTGACAGCCCCCTACACTTTAAGCTGGGACCCTGAAGGTCTACAGTCTCATAGTAAGGGGGGATTTTAAATAAACCAGCCCTGATATGTGCTTGCAGCCTAAGATAATATCATCTGAGTGATCCAGGGAACCACAGGGTTTGACCTTAGGTTAAAGTCATCCCAGAGTATTAGTGTCACACCATGTAAGCACAAAAGTGCATTTTCCCTGGAAATAAGTACCAATATCCTAGACCTCACAAAGTTTTTATAAGTACTTTTCCAAAAGAATGACTAGCAAACAATGAAAAATAACAATGTATTTAGGAAAACACAAAGTTATGAATAAGAACCATTAAAAAACTATGGGCATCAGAAACAGACCAACAATGACTTATGATACTGGAGTTATCAGCCACAGATCATGAAACAACTATGCTTACTATGTCCAAAGAAATACAAGACACACGACTTTGGCAGAAAAAAGTGACAGCAAATTTGGAAAAAAGAACTAAAAAGATCCTCTAGAAACAAAAATGAAAACAAACTAAATTAAACATTCAATTAATAGGTTTAACATCAGTGTAGGCACAGCTAAAGAGGAAATGAATCAATAGGAAGATAGTTTCTTCTAACCTATCCAAAATGTAGCATGGAAAGAGAAAGACAGAAAACATAGGTGAGAATGTAAAAGACATCAGAGGATACAGTGAGAAGGTCTAACCATTTAATTGGAGTCCTGAAAGGAGAAGAGAGAGAGGAAATGGGCCAGAGGCAATATCTGAAAAGGCAATGGCTGAAATTTTTCCAAAATTGTTGAAAAATACCAATCCGAGATTTTAAAACTCAGTATTGTCTAGTAAAATTGGATAGAGGTATACCCTACATGTCTCTACTTAGGTTCTCCAAGAAGCTGACTCAGAGACTGAGTCGTGTGTGGAATGTTTATAGGAAGTAGCTTTGGGATCAAAACCTATGGAAGGGAGAGGAAAGAAACAAGATTGGGCAGAAGAAGCCAAGCTGCAATGCAAGCTGAGAGACGGCCTCAACCACAGCAAGGGCTATTTTGAAACTAAAATTGTCCATCAGAGTTGTCTCAGATTAGGCCATAATGGCTGGACCTTTATACGACCACTGCAATCAGTCATTAGATGTGGGCCATCCTGGGAGGGGTGGGATCTCGGGAGAGATAGCTATCTACAGCAGAGGCCATTCCTGCAAGAGGCCGACAGTACTCGCAGCAATAGAGACAGCAAGCCCTTCCTCAAGGGGGGATCTGCGTGGTACATCATCAGGCCCTTCACACCATGACTCTGCAATTGCTTGCACACGCCAGAAAAATCCATGCACATATGTACAAGACTAGTATTAAAATGTTTACAGAAATAGTTGATAATAGTCCTAAACTAGAAATAGACCAAATGTTCATCAACAGTAGAATAAATTGTGATATAGTCATATAACAGAATACTATACAATAGTGAAAATGAATAAGCCTCAGTTACATGCCTAACCTGCTTTGCATTATATTTGACCCTTACAAATATAAAACAGCAAGTCAAAAGAATATAAACAGTATAATTTTAATGTTTAGGAATGTTTAGTTGTGTAAGAGTAATGCAACTAAGAAGAAAAGCAAAGAAATAATTTTCATAAAATTCAAAATAGAAGTTACTTCTGTTGGAAATAGAAGAGGTTGTGACTGGGGAAGGACATATGGGTGTTTATGAAATGTTGGATGTGTATATTTCTTAACCTAAGTGATAATTGTATAAGGTTTTGCTTAATACTTATTTGTTAAGCTGTTCATCTGTGTTTTATACACTTCTTCAGTGAGTGCATTTCACAATTAAGAGTTTTTTCAATGAGAAGAAGGCCATAGAGATTAATTACCAGAGGAATCAGGAATAAGTCAACTGTTCAGAACTTTTAAACAAAACTTCTAAAAAAGGAGAAAAGACACTTGACATTTTCTCAATGCAGTGAAAGTTCAGGTTCAGCAAAAGTAGGTAAAGTCTAGATACAGTGGAAACTTAGATCCTTAGAGATGAATTTCTTGCCATGTTACCATTTCTGTAAGTACAATAGCAAAACCAATATTTTTAAATTTCTGTTTCGTGTTTAAAATATCAATACTTTCAAGAAAGATTTGGAGTTTAATACAATGAGTAAGAACTTAAAAGTGTAAACAAAACTGGCCATAGGTACTTTTGCCTTTTGAGCAAAGTAGCATCATTTGTGGAAAATAAACTTCCTGTTGCTCACATCCCCTCACCAGGCTGATGAGGGAAGAAGACAGTGTAAAATTGTAAACCTCTGACGATTTTCCTGTGCTGCCATGTCCCTGGATTCCATGGACCACTCTTTTTCAGAGCATAGGCATGAGTCTTTGGGGGAGAGGAGCTGAGCATGATCAAGTGAGGGGAACAGAGTTTGGGGAGGGGAGCCCAAAGGGAGGCCTATGACAGTGGCTCAAAAGACCTTTAGAAGGAAGAAGGGCTGCCCCAAATGCTAACATGCTGTTTGAGGAGTTGGGAAGTGAGAGACCAAAGAAACAAACAGAAACAAAGGTTGATTTCCACAGATAAATTGGTGTGAGGTGGAAGAAGAAAACACATAGAGGAAATCGGGGGTCCCTTGGGCATGAACCTCAGAGCCAGAGGTGGCTCCATAGACACAGGTTCTGTGGGGATTGTCAAATCTTTGAGAGGGAATTGGCCTCCTCAAAGCATGTAGGATTGAGGATTCAGCCTTTTTTAAATCTTATTTTTAGTTTATTTATTTTTTTCTAAATAGGATGAGCTCAGCTAACCCTTGGGTTATGTAAGTATTACACATTAGCTAAAAGAACAAAGCATGAAGAAGCAGCGCAAGTCCTAAAGTTGATCTGTTTTATATTAGTGGAACTAAACAACTTTCTTTTTTTAGACATCTGCTCAGGAAATGCCAATAGCAATGATTTTGCAGTGGTTGTTGTTGTGGTAGTGGTAGTGGTAGTTGTGGTGTTTTAGGGAGAGAATGGTGGTACAGTGGAATAAAAATCTCTGGTGGGTATGATTAGTTGGGAAAAAACAAGTTTTCAGGTTACAATTGTAATTTGCAAAACACCAAATACTATGTATAATGCAAATTACATTTGGTAAAGTTCTCAAAATCTTCCTGGAAGATGGAAATATACAAGTCATTCAACAAGGCTTTTATTGAGCCTTTGATATATATATTAGTGAACAAGACAGATGTGACTTTTATACTATAGGGGTGAAGGGGGAAAGCTTCCTCCCTCACTCTCTGAAGATTCACTGAAAATGAATTCACAAAAGACAGATTAATAGGAGAAAAAGCCATACAAAATTATTCTAACATGCATAGCATGGGGCAATAGCAAGAGAATGATCACTCAATAACCCAACGGGGTCCAAATGCTTATACACCCTTCTTTATAGAGGAAGAGGAGATGGGAGGTGTAGGAGTAATGAATTTCAGGGGGAATGAATGGACCCAATGATCAGATAATGGATAGTCAATAATTCCCTTTGGGAATTGAATGGGACCTGAGAACAAACAATGGTTTATGACAAAGTTTGCCTGGGCTCTAGGTGTGGTGTTTAATTTTCACTCTCTTCCTCTATGATATGAATTTTAATCTTCTCCGATTAGTAACATTTTAGGGAAAGGATTGAAGGTAACAATTTTCCTCTTTGGAACAATAACCTTATTCCTTATATATTTAAACAAAGCAGCAAATGTATGTATGCATAGAATTACAAACTGTAATCACTCCTATGAGGACAATTAATTCTCTATGAAGTGACAGAGAATAAGAAGGGATGGTACAAAGAGGGAGGACACAAAGTGATTCCCAAGGGGATGGCATGTAATGTGAAACTTGAGGAATAAGAAAGAGGCTGGGGATTCAAGTATATTTAGCAGACAATGTGAAAAACGCAGATCCATACAGACGCTGTAGACATAGCTTGACTGGGGGACGATGCTGGCTTGGACCCTTGGAGAAGCAGAAAGAATGACAGGGGTGTGCAGATTCTCGAAACACCTTAGAAATAGAAATCGAAAGACTGGCTAACATGGGTGGTTGAGAGTGGCTGAGAGAGAGAGGGAGGAACCAGGAATCAATGCCAGGTTTCTGGCTTTAGTGCCTGGTTAGATGATGGAACCATCCACTGAGCCAGGAGGACTAAGAGATGAACTATTGGGGGTGGGCAGGAAGGAGGAACAGGAGTCAACAGTCTGCCTGATTCCAGATGCTGCAAGCCATTCAAGTGCAGGTGTCAAGTACAAAAGGAAATGTGTGAGCTTTGAAGGTGAGATCCCATTTGGAGCCCTCTGGAAGCGATGAGCATGACCAGGAGGAATGAAAGGAAGAGTGGCACATTTTCTTAATCCAGTCTATCATTGTTGGACATTTGGGTTGGTTCCAAGTCTTTGCTATTGTGAATAGTGCCACAATAAACATACGTGTGCATGTGTCTTTATAGCAGCATGATTTATAGTCCTTTGGGTATATACCCAGTAATGGGATGGCTGGGTCAAATGGTATTTCTAGTCCTAGATCCCTGAGGAATCGCCACACTGACTTCCACAATGGTTGAACTAGTTTACAGTCCCACCAGCAGTGTAAAAGTGTTCATATTTCTCCACATCCTCTCCAGCACCTGTTGTTTCCTGACTTTTTGATGATTGCCATCCTAACTGGTGTGAGATGGTATCTCATTGTGGTTTTGATTTGCATTTCTCTGATGGCCAGTGATGGTGAGCACATATACACCATGCAGCCATAAAAAATGATGAGTTCATGTCCTTTGTAGGGACATGGATGAAATTGGAAATCATTATTCTCAGTAAACTATTGCAAGGACAAAAAACCAAACACCGCATGTTCTCACTTATAGGTGGGAATTGAACAGTGAGAACACATGGACACAGGAAGGGGAACATCACACTCTGGGGACTGTTGTGGGGTGGGGGGAGCGGGGAGGGATCGCATTAGGAGATATACCTAATGCTAAATGACGAGTTAATGGGTGCAGCGCACCAGCATGGCACATGTATACATATGTAACTAACCTGCACATTGTGCACATGTACCCTAAAACTTAAAGTATAATAATAATAAAATAAAATAAAATAAAAAGAAAGGAAGAGTGGAAGAAGGTCAAAGACCCGCCCTGAGGGACTTGGCCATTCTCCAGGTGGAATTCAGGTAGAGAATTCACCTTCTGAGGAACACCAATAACAACGTTAGCAGGCGCTACTTTTGGCTTATAGCTCTTAGTGAGGAAACTTCCTTTTATATTTCTCTAGCAGGGACAGTTTGGGCCTATTTAGAAGAAAGTATGTGTGATGGGGGAGTGGTAATAAACATCTATCAACTTTCTAACAATCAGTCCTGGCCCAGCGAAATGCCAATGTCATGAACGTCACAGTGACAACTCTGAACTTTATCAAGGTGTCAATAAAGACTTTCAACACCAATGATACTTTTGACACCATTTAAGATGAAGTCTGGCAGCCTCTGTAGTTAATAAGTGGTATATAAGCAAATGCATTAAATGCTTCCTTAACTCTTTGAAAGGTAAGTTACTAAGTCTTAAGACCCATTCAGCACTTGTAAAAACTGAAAGCAGTCTAAATGCATGACTTGGCAGTTTCCACAGCTTCTAGAGTCCAAGGCAGACTCTCCTAATTAGCAGAAGGAAGCAAACTGTTACCTCATTATCAGTGCTAACCATTATCCCTGACTAGGGAATGGTCAAACAAATGATCCTCATCACCTCCTGATGGGATTGTCCTGAGTGCACTCTCGGAGCAGTGCACAGCCGGGCTGCCATTCCTGGAGCCTTTCACAGGGCAGAAGGTCTATACTATGGCTGGGGAATGAGACTAGCAGGGCTGGGCTAGGAGCACAGTGAGCTTCCACTTGTCCCCTTCTCTTGAACTCCTGACTGCTCCCGAGGAATGTGGCCCTCAGCCAGAGGCAAGAGAGCAGACTGTGTAACCCCTTTGTTTTCCTGCCTTCACTCTAGAGCAGTGGAGCCACTAGGGATTATTCAAGCTCGAAGGTCCACACAGTGCAAAGCAAATGTATACTATTATGGTCTGCTTTTTGAATGAAATCTTGTGCTGCCACACTTGGAACTTGCTATTGATACCAACAGTAACTTGCCTTGTATCTTTGCACTGGGGGTCTGCAAACAATACCCTAAAATACTGACACTTGGCACTTGACCTGGTGAACTGAAGAAGCACCTCCAGGTCTCCCTCTGACCTGCCTGGTCTCTGGTCTCTCTGATCCTTTTTCCTGAAGCACTGAGAGAGACTCTTTCTGGAATTTCGCTATCTGACTAGGGGCATTTCTTTCCAAAAGAAATGTAATTAGGATGTGCCCAGTGGCTCATGCCTGTAATCTCAGCACTTTGGGAGGCTGAGGTAGGAGGATTGCTTGAGCCCAGGAGTTCGAGACCAGCCTGGGCAACATAGAGAGACCCTGTCTTTACAAAAAGTCTAAAAATTAGGCATGGTGGTGTGTGCCTGTAGTCCTAGCTACTCAAGAGGCTGAGGTGGGAGGATAGCTTGAGTCCAGGAGTTTGAGGTTTCAGTGAGCTATGATCATGCCACTGCACTCCAGCCTGGGCAACAAAGCAATACCCCATCTATTAAGAAAAGAAAAGAAGAAGATGAAGAAATGTAATTGTCTTAAGATCCCTTGCCTGGGAATCCAGGCAGACAGAGACAACCTGGGGAACTTTACCTGCATAATGAGAAGACTTTTGTTCACAGTGAAGTTCCACCCCTCGCCTTCCCACTGCCTCTCATAAGCTCAAGGAACTTCATCCCAAGGCATTGTTCTTTGGACCCATTCATTTTCCCTGAAAGTCATTTACTCCTACACACTCCCACCATCCCCTCATCCCCTATGAAGAAGGATATATAAGCATCTGGACCCCACTGGGTTATTGGCGATTCCCCAGTGCTTATACATGTTAAATAAATCTGTATGCCTTTCCTTCTATTAATCTGTCTCTTGTCAGTTCATTTTCAGTGAACCTTCAGAGGGCAGAGGAGAAATTTCTTTTCATATTTCGCTAGCAGGAGCAGTTTTGGCCCAAACTGTATACTTTTAGTTAGAAGGAAGTAGATGTGAAGGGGGAGTGGTAATACACCTTATCAGCTTTCTAGCAATCAGTCCCTTGGTCCCTACAATCGCTTTAATGCCAAGGAATCCGTTAATTGTGCCATAATTAGGTTTAGCCAGCCAAGTAATTCTAGGTCACTTCTATCTTTTCACATTTAGCATGGAAGTGTTTTTCTGGTTACATCTCCAAATACATTGCTTTAGTGTTTTTACAGTTCTACTACACAGTCTTTGCAAATGGACCACTATTTTCTAATCAAGAAACCAAGGACAATTTGTGTCACATCATCCTTGTTCCCTTCTTGCAATTTTGGAAGCCTTGAGGAGTGATGTTACTAAGGAGGAGGGTGATGCAGATTTTGAAGGTGAGGATGGGAGCCACTTCAGGGCTCAGCATCTGCCCCGACAATGCCTCTTTCCCAGCTGCTTCACCATTGCTGTGCTCCCTACCTGGGCCTCTCAGTCATCCCACTTCCTGTGAGGCCATCCTCATAGGGCTAACAAGAATTATGGACAGAAGTAGTTATAATCAAGCATTCATCAGGCTGCTTTGACCCACTTCCTTGTTCTGAAAGTCTCATAGCACTAGTAGATACTGACCGTTTGCATCCCCGCTGTTCCTATGCATAGAATTTCTGACATGAGAGTCACAAGGCTTTTGTTTGAGATAGATAGGATCTATCCATCACGATCATAAGGCTTTTATTTAAAAACTACTTAAAATGTTTTTCAGATCCGAATTCCAGTGAAATAGCTGATGCCAACCAGTTTGAAGACTCCCATAATGCAGTGGAATCAGCATGAGAATACAGTTTCTTCATCTCCCTGTCCCATGACTTCACCCTGCGCTCTGACCAATCAGTGACCTCCACACTTTGGCCCACCCCAAAACTCTAAAAAATCCTAGCTCCAAACTCCTCAGGGAAATGGATTTAAGGTTTCCTCCTGTCCCTTCATTCAGCAGCCTTATGATTAAACCTCTTTCTCTGTTGCAACCTGATGTCTCAGTGTATTGACTTGCTGTGTGCATCGAGCAACAGAACTATTAAGGTGACATCTGGCTGCTGTATAGATGGATTATTTCATTAGTAGCACTGAGGTGGGTAGGGATTGGGAAGGCTGAAGGGTGCCCAGAAAGAGACACCTTGAATAGGGAAGTGCTTTCCTAAAGCCAGTGGGGTTCAGAACATATTACCCCAAAGCATGCCAACTTCAGAGCAAAAAGGGCTTTCTGACCTTCCACTGCCCTTCTTTCCTGAAGCAGGTCATAAAATCTAGGAAGAATTTCCTGACCCTCCCCTGAGGCAGGTCATATGGCACCCAAGTAAGAGGTGCCCACCCAGAGGAAAGGAGCATTCTCATCTCTGAGGATGTTAGGGACACAGAGAAGAATCTGAACAAATACATATTGCAAAGTGATATGGTTTGGCTGTGTCGCTACCCAAATCTCATCTTGAATTGTAGCTCCCATAATTCCCATGTGTTGTGGGAGGGACCTAGTGGGAGGTAATTGAATCATGGGGGCAGTTTCCCCCATACTGTTCTTGTGGTAGTGAATAAGTCTCAGGAGAGCTGATGGTTTTATAAGGGGAAGCCCCTTTCGCTTGATTCTCATTCCCTCTTTGCCTGCCACCACGTAGGCTATGCCTTTCACCTTCTACCATGATTGCGAGGCATCTCTAGCCACATGGAACTGTGAGTCCATTAAATCTTTTTCTTTATAAATTACTGAGTCTCAGGTATGTCTTTATCAGCAGTGTGAAAACAGACTAATACACTAAGTTTCCCCAGTTTATTGCCATTAGACCACGTTAGACCATAGCCCCTCTGTCCTCTTGTATGTCTCCACGACTGTTCACTTTTTGCCAAACCTAGCATGAAAACACACAGGTTTAACTGTTCCTTTGGATCTTCATTTCCCTATGAAGGCTCCTGTGTCACATGAAACTTATGCTAAATAAACATGTATACTTTTCTGTTATTCTGTCTTTTGTTACAGGGGCCTCAGCCATGAACCTAGATTGGGTAGAGGAAAAGGTATTTTTATCTTCCTCTCCAAAGCAGTGGAGTGAAGACAGGATTTGTCTTCTGAGACCCTTTATCTCTTTGGGTACCCCAGTGTCCCCTGCTGACCCTAACTTTCCCCTAGTAGGAACCCACCCAGACTTGATCTCAAGAACAATGTCTTCATTCAAGTCCTTTTCCTTTCCTACTCTTCTCTCATCTAAACTTGCCTGTCTCTTATTCTAAAAGCTTAAGGTCTTACAGGAGTCTAGCAAACCAACCTCTTAAATTAGCCATGTGAAAGTATTAATGTCTAGGTGTGTCTAAGACAAAGCTGATTGCATTGCTTCCCATAGTAAAAGACAACTATGTTGATCAAGCTCGACTCTCTGAGCAGAGTAGAATGCTGACTTAATATAGAATTTTTGGCAGTGGTGGGCTGGTAAGCCAACTCTTTGTGGGGTGGAAGGGAGAAAGCACTGATTCATAGCACTTGCCAGTATCCACTGATGTAAATAATCACACCATGGCGTGACTTCAAGCCACTAATGATTTAACAAAAAACTCCTAAATATTTAACAGTTGGCTCCTGCTAATCCCCAGAGACTCGCCCTAGTATGCTACTTGGTTGGGGAGCATGAAGTTCAGGCACTGGTGGACTTTCAGAGCTGCAAGTGGCACACATCATTTGTAGGATCAGTGTCATTTGGTTGAGACTCTGACACTCAGAGGAGCTGGCCCTGGAGTGAGTGCACCCCTGGTTGGCTGGCTTTCAGAAGCATGAGGCTGACACTGATTGGTTAGCTTGCCAAGTTTATTCTGAAATGAGTTGTCATTGATTCACTGCTCAGGCTTGGAACCAGTTTTGAAAGCTACTTGTTATTATGGGCACATAACAATCTGTTTCTCAAGTTTGTAGGAACATTTTTGTTCTCAGATGTTACTCACACTGGATAAAAAATTTTAACTCAGGCCTTTCTTAGAAAAGACTGGACAAGTTGGGTCACTTATTATTCAGCTAGTGACTTCAGTTAGAATAATAGCTTTTGGATGGCCAGTGAAGCTAAGTGCAGAAGAATCCCCCACTAACACTAAAACAGATTCATCTTGATGAGATGTGTTTCCTATCTTTTTCTTCTTTTCCCATTTCTATGGACTTCTATGAATCTGAGCCTAACTAGAGGATTTGTGGGTAGGATTTTCAGTTCACTTTACTGGGACAATCTGAGACTTATTTCTTTGAGATAAACTTCAGCAACTCTTCTTTCTTGGACCCTAACTGTAGACAAACAAGGTATTAACAGGACACCAACCTTGGCTGGTTTGCAAAGGGAGACTGTACCCTACATCTAATAAGCATGGTCACACAATGTTCCCTCACCACCCCCACCCCACCCACACACACATACACATGTATAACAAGCATGGTCACACAATGTTCCCTCACCACCCCCAACACACCCCCACACACACATGTCTAATAAGCATGGACACACAATGTTCCCTCACCACCCCCACCCCACCCATACACACACATGTCTAACAAGCATGGACCAACACAATGTTCCCTCACCACCCCCCACACCGCCCACACACACACATGTCTAATAAGCATGGACACAACATGACCCCTCAGCACTCCCCACCCCACCCCCCCACACACATGTCTAATAAGCATGGACACACAATGTTCCCTCACCACCCCCCACCCCACCCACACACACACATGTCTAATAAGCATGGACACAACATGACCCCTCAGCACTCCCCACCCCACCCCCACACACACATGTCTAATAAGCATGGACACACAATGTTCCCTCACCACCCCCCACCCCACCCACACACACATGTCTAATAAGCATGGTCACACAATGACCCCTCACCACCCCACAACCCACCCACACACACACATGCCGATTCTCTGACCTGTGAACATGCAGTAGGAATTCTTTGTGAATCAGAGCTGCAGGAGGTTGGATGGGTACCCATATTTTCCTTAACTCATGCTAGAATGGCCTACAATACTTATTTTACCATTTAATACCTTGTTAATATTAAAAATGGTTTCAATCTGGTATCTATTTGCAGTCAACAACACCAACTCCATGTGTCTTCAGTAAAGGAGTCCGTTCTCTTCTCCAGTTAGCTCCTGCTCAATCCCTTCTGGACCTAGAGTAATATCCCCACGTAGATCATGTCCAACCACCCTGTGACTGAGAGCAGGGACTTGGGGGGCTGAGAAGCCTGAGTTTAAGC
Source organism: Homo sapiens (assembly GCF_000001405.40). NCBI lineage: Eukaryota > Metazoa > Chordata > Mammalia > Primates > Hominidae > Homo > Homo sapiens. Next base: position 150,371,901 of record NC_000006.12, on the reverse strand, counting down.
ATTGGTTCTCACTGGTCACCTGTGTGACCTTGGCATGCACCACTTATGTAAACAACATAAGAGATGTGGAGTAAATCATTTCATCTTCATGACAATACAATGAGGTAGGCCCTATTAGAATCCCCATACAAGAGATCTGTGGACACCACACTCAGGGCAGACTTTGTCCCAGCTGCTAAGGACGACACTAAGGCTGTCCTGTTCATTCCTCTGTATAAAGATAAGACAAGGATGAGGATGGCAGGGAACAGAGAATGAAGAGGCAAAGCATTTTGCAAAAGTAAGTGATCAGGCAGAGAGCCAGAGAAAGGCCCTCCAGTTCTGCTCTATGTTCCCAGCCTCCAGGCCCAGCCCCAGGACCTGACCCTCAACAGCCTGCCCGAGCTCTCCTGTGTCCTCAAACCTCTTGGGTCTTCAAATCCAGTGGCCTTTCCTTGATGCACACTCTTTCTGGTCTCTCAGAGAATGTTGGTCCCTGCTGGCTATCTCCTGCCTCCTCCATTCTAGGTCATTCTCCCAGGGGAGAGGCAGCCCAGCAAACAGCTGGCTTGGGTCCTATCTCTGCAATCACCTTCCTGAGCTTACCCTATTGGGGCCTCAATTTCCTTATCTGTAATATGGGGATTCTAATAGTGCCTACCTCATTGTACTGTCATGAAGATGAAATGATTTACTACACATAATATGTGGCTGTGATTGCATACATTAAGAGCTATTAATATATAAGGGCTTGTTACTGTTATGATCCCAGAGCCCCCTTTCCCACAGCTCCTCCCTTTCTCTAGTACATTTTTCTTCCACAGTTCCTCTTAACCGCATGTGTCCCTCAAGTTCTATCCTCAGCCTTCTCTCTAGCAATGCCCACTTTGTGGATTCATTATTTCTCCAGGTTCCAAGTATCTTCCCCATACTGGTGACTCTCCAGTCAGTATCTGTGGCCTGGGCCCCTAACATAGACTGCTGTCTCCCTTTTCTGCTCAGGTGTGTCACTGTCGTCTGAAATCAAACATGTCCTCGATGGAACTCAACATCTTCCCCTTTAAGCTGGATCCTCATTCCCTCACCCACTTATGATAGCTTCCAGTCTCCAACTCTCCCTCTCTCCTCCTTTTCCCAATATCCAATTTACTAGCAAACCCTGTTGCTCTTCCATTAACTTTACTCTGATCCACGCCTTCCACTGCATTCCCACCTGCCCCCACCATCCAGGCCATCCTTACCAGCACAAACCATTACCCAGCTTCACAGCAGATGTTCCCTGGATTAAGGGAAGTGCTTCTCCGCTGGGTAGAATTGACGTTCTGAGTGGAAGAGGTTTCAATGTAGGAGAGCAAGAGGCAGCCCTGCTGAGAGGCTAGACTCCTGTACGGTGCAGTCAGCACTACAGGCTGTTAGCACTGAGAGCCAGCTGGACACCCTGCGCCCCGGTCCTGAGATTAGGACACACACTCATGCACACACTCTCTCACAAACACACTCATGCGCACGCACACACACATTCATGCATGCACACACAAACTCATGCATGCTCACACACACTCATGCACACACGTGCACACTCACACGCACACTCACCCACTCGTGCACACACACTCATGCACACACACTCACACATGCACATTAATGAACACTCACATGCACGCGCACACACATCCACTCTCATGCACACACACACACGCACGCGCACACACACATGCACATTCATAAACACACACTCTCACACACATACACTCACACACACTCACATGTCCAGGTGGCCTCTGTTTGGGGATGGGGGCATCATTAGCCCAGCTGAAGATCACAGAGCCTCTTCCAAATCGAACCCATCCCAGACAAAGCTTCTCAAACACAGATGGCTCAAGCTTCCTCCACGCTCTCTCCCTTCCTACCTGCCTCCTTCATCACCTCTTCTTCTCAAGGTGGCCATAACCTTCCCGCCCTCAATTCTCTACTTCCATTCTTACCCTCTCCCTCCACCCTCAATTCTCCACTTCCTCTCTTACCCCTGCCCCAGGCCTCCAGGTGCTTCTGCTCCTTTGGCTCCTTGTTGCCTGACAGGCCTCCCAGCACTTGCTATTTGTACCCTATTCATCCTCCCAGCCTGGTTTGTCCTTTCCCTGACTGCACCGTCAAACTCCCAGGCCTACTCTAAACACCTTAGAATCAGTTCCACCGGGTCTGTCTCTTTGTTACTCTCTCTGATTCTAGTGTATCATCTTGGCAGCTGAACTGGACATTCAGTTTGTTGAGGACAGAGGCCATCCCAGGCTTTCACTTCCAGGGCCTGGCACAGGGAAAGGTAGCAGCCTCCTAGGTGATGCCACTTGGTAGATTTCAAAGTTCCTGATCAAAACCTGGCCTCTTAGTCCCTGCCCACTGCCAGCCTGGGATGAATTCCTGCAGAAAGATTTTAACAACCAGAACAGAATTGTAGCCAGGGAAAACTTCAGCCTCTCAACAGCTTTTTCACTGGGCATCAAAAATAAAAAAGGGTTGGTCCCAGCAGGTGACAAGCTCATCACTGGAGAGAGATGACCTGTCTGTGCCAAGCACTGATTCATTAGCACAATAGAGGTTGATGTTGAAGCTGGCCTGTGTGTGTTTCTTCCTCTCCATAAGCCCTGCCATTGACTCACACTCATCATCAACACAACACGACAGCGAAGCTAAGCAGCATAGCTGGTGTCTTTACCTTCTTCTGCTTGGTGCAGGTCACTGCTGTCTTTTAAGTCTTCATCCACCCAGGGGCGAGCTTCGGCCCTGGTTCTAGGCTCCCCCTTCTTTTTCTCCATGCTTCTGTCGGCATTTTTAAAGATCCACACAACCAAAATGCAGAGAATGGCTACCAAGATGGGAGTCAGGAAATACATGGTCTGGAGTCTGACGTCACAGGCGTGCACACTTCCCACACCGGTTTTTAAACACACAGAGACAGGAGTGGAGAATGCCGGGAGATAGAAGGAATGCAGACACAGGTGTGCCAGGGAAGGAACAAAGTGCAGAACTCTTCAACTCTGTGAGGACTTTGCAAAGGAGCAAAGATCACAGTCACATGTGTGGGGTGTTGTGGCTTTGGTTATACACCAGTCCATTAACTTTTTAAAAGTATGTACTCTGTCGATATATTCTTAGACAACAATTGCCAGAATCTGAGTAAGAACTTGCATGTGCTAGATCTAGCTAGATCACCTGAAGAACTTGTTTTTGTTTTTGTTTTTTTTAAATAGATTTCCACACACCAACTCAGATCTGCTGGAAGAAAATGTTCAGGAAAGAGGTTTGGCACCATGCATTTTAAATGGCATATTTGTGAAAACAGCCCTAGGGTTTTGATTTTTTTTTTATGATACCTGAGCCAATATATGGAGTAAAGAGAATATCATGTTTTGCATCAGAGAAAAACTTTGATCCAGGAAAAGTGACACAAAAAATTAAAGTGACAACTTGATTATGTAATTACTTCAGTAGGGCTTTTTATGTGTTAGTTTGTCTGTCTGTTTTAGAAAGTGCCTTAGTCAGTTATGGCTGAAATAACAAAAATACTATGGACCGGGTGGCTTAAACAATATAAATTTATTTCTCAGCCAGGTATGGTGGCTCATGCCTATAATCCCGGCACTTTGGGAGGCTGAGAGGGGCAGATCACTTGAGGTCAGGAGTTCGAGACCAGCCTGGCCAACATGATGAAACCCCATCTCTACTAAAAATACAAAAATTAGTTGGGCCTGGTGGTACATGCCTGCAAACACAGCTACTCAGGAGGCTGAGGCAGGAAAATAGCTCCACCCAGGAGGTGGAGGTTGCAGTGAGCCGAAATTGTGCCATTGCACTCCAGCCTGGGCGACAAGAGTGAAAGTTCCTCTAAAAAAAAAAAAAGAAAGAAAGAAGAAGAAGAAGAAAAAGAAAAGAAAAGAAAGAAAGAAAGAAAGAAAGAAAGAAAGAAAGAAAGAAAGAAAGAAAGAAATTTATTTATCATTTATTTATCATAGTTCTGGAGGTTGAGAAGTCCATAATTAAGGTGCTGGCAAATCAGCTCCTGGTGAGGGCTCCCCTCCTGGTTTGCCAACAGGTGCCTTCTTGCTGTAACCTCACACAGTGGATGGTGGAAACAGATCATCTCTATCATCTTTTTTCTTATAAGGCCACTAATCTCATTAATGAGGGCTCCACTCTCATCACCTGTTCACCTCCCAAAGGCCCAACCTCCAAATACCATTGTACTGGGGCTTAGGGCTCCAACACATGAATTTTGCCAAGACATATTCAGTCTTTAGCATCAAGGTGCAAACGTATGTATAACATGATGCCATTTGAATAAAACAGAGTGGAAAATATGATACATTTATACAAACTTATATATGTATTTCCTGGAAAAGCATACTCTAAGGAGCGGTTATATCAGGAATTCTCTTTATTAATTTTGCAATTTCTTGTGAGTCTATATTATTTCAAAATAAACAGTGAAAAAAACAGTGGTTACTTGTTTTGGAGGGAGTGTGGAAACTGGATAGATGGGGGACAAGGGTGAGAGAATTTCTACTGAATACTATTCCATAATTTAAGTATTTTGAGCTGTTGTAAATATATTATCTATTTAAAAAATTGAATATGTGTTATTTATTTCAATACTCATTTTGATGGTTTTATTGTATCATATATTGTAATACTCCTTTTTGTGATAGACAGTTGTTTTTTAAGATGTATATCATATTGGTTCTCTAACTCCAGAGAACTCTGTAGAAGATAATAAACAAAGTTTATTATGGAAGCACTGGCCTCCACAGACCATTGAATTTGGTGGTGCTGCCTGCCATGCCGACAGCTTTTGTACAGGAAAGTGCCCTCCCTGTGCCTGCTGAAAGGGTGTCAGAGGGGACATGTCCAGTCCATGTGATCCAACCCCACGCAGGCAGCTGAAAATGGCAGAGCCTGTGTTGGGGCCCAGCTTCTCTTTACATCCCACTAAAAACACAGAATAAAGAAACCACTCCATAGCAAGAGAAGAGCAAGACAAATGTGCAGAGAGAAGCAAGGCCTGCAAGGCAGCAATGCCTCACAGCTCAGGGGAAGGACAAGGTGAGGGCCATGGGTGGCAACTGCCTCTGCTCCTAGGAGGTCCCAGGCCTGCCTCGGTTTCAGCCCATGTGTCTCCTTACCTTCGAAGAATCAGAAAGATCCTCGGTGCCTGTAACTACAAAAGCACAATTCATATCAGTGTCAGGAACAGGATTAAGCCCAGGAAAAATGGGGTGGTGGGAATTGGTTTTAGTGCACTAGTGGGTGAAGTCTGGGAGGCACCCCCATCTCAGAAGGGAATGCTAACAGCTGTGGCATGCAGCAGCTGGCTGGCTAATTGAGTATTGCCTGAGTCTCTTGGGTTTCAGACCATGTGCCCAGCAGAATGAGTCTGTAGGGGATTCTGAAGCCACTGAGAGCCCCGGAGGAGCTGAAACATAAGGACAACCATGCCAGAAGGCAGCTTTCCATCATGTTTGGTGACTTGCAATGGGAAAGAAAAGATTCTTGCTCTGAATTGCTTGGTTCAAGATAGAGAAGAAAAGCAAAATGACCATGCATTCCTTCATTCATTCATTCACTCATTCATTCAAAATATATTTTTTGGGATCCATGCAAAAGGCATTGCATTTGGGGCCAGAAATAGAACGGAGGGCAGTAGGGGCTGCACATGCTCATGGAGGCAGGAGCCACAGAGAGACAAGCGGATCGAATCTCATATACTAATGCCACATTCCAACTTCCCTAAGAGCTGCTAGGGAGCTGACTGGAGTGTGACTGGGCTGAGTTGGTGAAATCAGAGGCTTCCCAGAGGAAGGAATGGCTGAGTTGAGGTCGGAGCTGTGAGTGGGAATCAGTCATGGGGCAGGAGAGAGCCTTCCAGGCAGAGGTCATGGTGTGCAGCAGGATAATTAAGGCATCAGAGATGGGTTGAGGAGGAATTATTTAATTATTTAGGTGCACTGACCCAGTCAGATTAACATCCAAAAGACTGAGCCCCCAACAAAGAGTCAAGCTACCTTTTAAGCATTTTGTGGGGTGGGGGGAGATTTGTGCAGGGGGAAGTGTATTACAGAAACGAGAAACAAAGACAGTTATTCAATTAAGACATGCATTACATTATTTCTTACTTTTCAAGGAACAGCATGTTTTGTGACTTGAGATTATCTGTCTAGTGACCTTGCAGCTGCACAGCTAGAGAAACAGGGTCTTCACAATGCCTGGGAAAGGGGGAGATAAGGCTCACTAGCCTCAGAAAAACAGGCAGTCAATTTTTAAAGGATTTCAGCTCTTTCTCTTCCTCAGGGGGAATTGGTTTTTCTTACATACAATTGAGTTTTGCTTACACATTTTTAAATTTCTTTTAATTCCGTTCCAGGTGTGGGCAAAGGCCTATGCCTTGGAAGGAACAGGTACATATGGAGAGGATTGACAGGAGCTGAGCATTTCAGGAGGGCATAAACAGGGGATGCAGGAAGCCAGAGAGGTAGCAAAATGCCCGATGAGGCAGGTCTCTCTAGGTCATGCTGGTAAATTCTTTCTTCACCCTAAATGGAATGTGGGGAGGGAACAGTGACAGGTTGAGAATTGGGGACACATCTAGCACACACCATGTGGTACCAGGTTCTCTTCTTAGTACTTCTACATATTATCTCATATGTGCCTCACAACAACCCTGTGCAATAGATCCCATTAGTATCCTCATTTTTTCAAATGAAGAAAATGAAGTACAAATAGGCCTAGGGTCAGTGTCAGATAAATGGGCAGAAATAGCCCCTGTGTGTATCCCCCTGGAATGGCTACCCCGTTGTTCACTTCTTCATAGCAAGCCAGAGTCCTTGGCCAGAGCCCGTCAGTGCCACACCGGCCTGGCTGGGGAATGGAAAGTGGGAGGTGCAGGTTTCTTGCACAGATGCAAGAGGTACAGGTACTTGGCATCGTGTGGCTCCAGCTTAGCTTAGGAGAAATACAGAAAAGAGGTTTAAAATGCATATAGCATAGAGGAAAAGAATTGGCAGATGCTACCAGGGGGCAAAGGGTAGCAGGAACAGGTAGTGGAGAGGGGCAGGGCAGGTCACGGTGATGCCAGGACGGGAGGCACACAGCCCCGGAGCTCTGGTGTCCACACTGCTTTATATTCCAAAGCACCTGCAGGGCCAGTGAAGTGCTTCCTTCCCAGGACTCTCGCTCTTGGATTTCCACGATGCCATCCCTGCCTCCTTCTTGATGTGGATTCCCATAATGCTAACCTGAGCTAGACCCCTAGTTCTCCATATCCAACCCATCTCCATGGCCAGGCCTCTCTTTCACGGTCAAGTCAAGATAGCAAATGCCTTGTGGTCCCCACCAAGCTTGATTGGTAAAGGCCTCTGCTAATATCAGGGTTTCCATTTGGTTTTACCTTAGAAGAAGAGCTGTGGTTGGGGGCATAGTAAGTTGCCACACTGCTGACTTGTGGAAGGCCCAACTATCTCTCTACTCTGAGTAGCTCTAAAGCATCCTGGTCAACTTGTCTTCCCAATACGTTTTTCTCATCAGCTGAGGAAAAGGAAGGGTGTGCTACGGATGGATGCTTTGGAAGATGGTATGAAACACTTTCACACTGGTTGTGTTTCATTATTTACTTCAGATTGGTTGTCTGGTTTAATCATTTCATTTCCACTGATGACAGAAAATTTAATTTTGCTATCAAGACAATTTTGGCTAGGCACGGTGGCTCATGACTGTAATCCCAGTGATTTGGGAGGCCGAGGCAAGAGGATTACTTGAGGCCAGGAGTTTGAGACCAGCCTGTCAACATAGCAAGACCTCATCTCTACCAAAATAAAAAATAAAAAAATTAGCCAGGCATGGTGGCCCATAGCTACTCGGGAGGTTAAGTGAGGATCACTTGAGCTCAAGTGTTTGAGGCTTCAGTGAGCTATGATGGCACCACTGCACTCCAGCCTGAGTGACAGAGCAAGATCCTGTCTGATATGGTTTGGCTCTGTGCCCTCACCCAAATCTTATCTCAAATTGTAATCCCCTTGTGTCAGGGAGGGATGTGGTGGGAGGTGATTGGATCATGGGGGCGGTTTCCCCAGGCTGTTCTCATCATTGTGAGTGAGCTCTCATGAGATCTGATGGTTTAAAAGTGTTGTACTTCCCCCCATAAATTACCCAGTCTCAGGTAGTATCTTTATAGCAGTGTGAGAATGAACTAAGACATTGTCTCAAATAAGTAACAAATAAACAAATAAGTAAATGACCATTTTACCCCTTCTATTTTAATACAGAGACAAATATCATTCTGTCTCTTGCCCTTCCATTTCCCCGGGTGCCCACAGAGTGTCCTGGTACTGAGAGAGAGAGAAGCGGGTCTTGGTGTGGCCCCATCTTGGTGGGTCCCACGGAAGGGTCTAGTCCTGGTGGTCTTAGGCAACAGGCAGTGTGCAGGCTGCACCTACACCCAGACATAGTCTGCCTCCCACCACCTCCAAACCCAGATCACAGGGCCCTTCTGGCTGGTCCATCATCAACCAATCTCCATGCCCCTTGGGAGTAGTTTCCAAGTCTCTTGGGATATTTGTTCCCTTGCATTTTTGGAGACTAGGGGAAGGGGAGGAGGGTTGTTGCCTATCTCAGGCCTCTCTCACCTTTGCTATTTATATATACATACACATATATATACACACACACACATATATATACATATATACATATATATACACATATATACACATATATATACACATATATATACACACACATACATATATATATAATTTGATTTTTTTCAACTAGCATGCACTTAAATTTTTTTAAAAAATATTTTGAAAATTTTTGGGGGTACCTAGTAGATGTATATATTAACATGCACTTTTTGTATTTTTTATTGTGGTAAACTATATATAGCATTAAGTTGATCATCTTAACCGCTTGTAAGGGTACAGTTGGTGGCATTACAGTTACATTCACAATGTTGTGCAACCATCACCAGTATTTCCAAACCTTCTTCACCAGGCCACCAGAAACTCGAGACCCATTAAATAGCCCCTTTCACCTTCCCCCAGCCCCAGGTAACCTCCAGACTGCTTTCTCTCTCTGTGAATTTGATGACTCTAGGCACCTCGTATCATGTGAAACTACACAGCATTGGTCCTTTTGTCACCAGCTTATTTCACTTACCACAATGGCCTCGAGGTTCATCCATGTTGTAGCAGGTGTCAGAACTCTCCCAAAAGATTGCAAAAACCATAATCTCACACAAAGGTCATCACAACCTTACACAAAAAAAATACTTCTGGGAGGACATCTGCCCAGCAACAGCCTGTCCAATCTCGAATTGGCATCATTCTTATTATTGGTCCTTGTAGCCAAGGATAATTATCTCAAAATTTTGAGATAGTTATTTTATATCAAAATAAAATACGCATGCCATTAATAAGCTATGTTCATATTTGGGGAGGTAAGGGAAAATAATAATAAAATTTAAATTAGAAATTAAAAATACTAATAATAAAAGAAAGAAATGATTTTCCCTTACCTCCCTGAATATGAACATAGCTTATTACGGCATGCGTATTACCTTGCAATTTCCTAATCCTTAAGTAAAAATTATTTTTTTTAGAGAGCCTCTCTTTGTTTGTTAAACTGTGGGCTGACAATAGAATCGCACACACACAGAGTCCCTGATTTAGGCTAAGAGGGGACAGGACCCACGGAGGAGCTGAAGCTTTTATGTAGTCTTGAACTCATTGTCTTCTGGGACAGTGCTGCTCAAGGTGCCAGTCCAGAAAGGAGCTTGTGCCAGAATGTAATCAACGCAGCTTCCTTCCTCAGGAAAGTCTTGTCCCCTCTCCCCCACAAAAAGGCCAGTGGAACTAAACAGTGTGTGTAGAGATGTGGTTGGTGTCTCTGAATTTACATTCTAGTACATGTTTCTTATCTCATTTGGGGACTGGCAACCAAGAGTCATATTCAGAAGCCCATCTGCAGACCACATTTTGAATAGTACTATTCTAGAAGACACATTTCCCCAAGACACACAGGTTATTTTTAACTCTCAACGCTGACGTTAAATCTAATGATCCCCGTGTTCATTTTCCTTTTTGCTTTTTGAATATCCTACATGTGTATTCACCAAAGAAGCCAAATGTGTTTGAAAAACTTCCCACAAAAGAGAATTCTTGGGGCATTGAGTGAGTTAACTGTTCTATCCATTCACACAAGCAAACTGGTGTCAAGCATTTAAATCAACTGCTCATTTAGCAAGTTCAAGTTGAAGACTTGAAATAGGATATGCCTGTGTTGTACTCCATGATCTTATCTCTATTCCAACGCAAAACTGGAAAAACTTAAGGAATTCACAAATGCTTTAAAACCTAATTGGCCTTACCCTCACTAATATCAACCCACCAAGGGTATTTATCATATAGCTAATTGCTCAGAGGGTTTATAATGTTGACATTTATCATGTATTACCTACTATGTGCCAGCACTGTATTAATCCTTTATCTACATTACCCCAATGAATTCTCAGGATGAGGCATCCTATGAGAAACTCCACTGCTCTGAAAAGAAAAGTAAATGAAGAACTACCTACCGCGGCCCAGCCGCAGTGAGTGAGTCAGAGCTGGAGTCCTCAGAGTATGGTCCTGGATTAGAGCACTGGCAGCACCTGAGAACTTGATAAAATGCAGGTTCCCAGGCCTCACTCCAGGCTTACTGAATCAGAAACTCTAGGACCATGGCCCTGCAATCTGTGTTCTAACCGCCCTCCAGTGATTCTGATGCTGGCTAAAGTTTGAGAGCCACTGGGCTACATGAAAGGCTCTTTCTCACATGCCCTGCTTTATTCCAAATTCAGATTCTCCAAACCCAAGCCCCTGCATTATCCAGAAAAGCAAATTATCCTAAAGATAAAACAATTATTGAAAATTGTTCTTACATGGTGTCTTAATAAAGCACCATTTTGCTTTTCTGCAAATAAAAAAATAATCATCAGAGCTAGTAATTATTTCTCACTCTTATTTTTCCTCTAAGAATAAATTATTGGGACACTATTTTTGGTAAACAAGATGGCTCTTGACAAAGGCATGGCTGCTTGGCATTTAAGAAGATGCCTGGTGGCATCAGTTTGCTGGAGCTGCTGGGGCAGAGTATTGTAACCTCTATGGCTTAAAACAACAGAAAACTGTACAGTGTCTTGCACATAATAAACTCCCAATAAATAGATATTCAAAGCTTCAGTAAAGAATGGAAGTGATGTTTTTAAAACTATTTTAAGGCAAAATAATCTGGTCACAAAATCAGGGGCCAATAAAAGCTGTGGCAGGAAGGTGAGTCAAAGAACCATTGCAGCAGTTCAAATGAAAGCTAGCAGGGGTCTTATTTGGAAAGAAAACCATGGCACTGGGAAGAGGAACTGTTTGCATAAAATTTGGCGGTGATGCCATGGAATACTATGCCGCCACGAAAAAGAATGAGTTCATGTCCTTTGCAGGGACATGGATGGAAGCTGGAAACCATCATTATCAGAAAAATAACACAGGAACAGAAAACCAAACACTGCATGTTCTCATTCATAAGTGGGAGTTGACCAATGAGAACACATGGACCCAGGGAGGGGAATATCACACACTGGGGCCTGTCGGTGGGTGGGGGACAAGGGGAGGGAGAGCATTAGGACAAATACCTAATGCATGTGGGGCTTAAAACCTAGATGGTGGGTTGATAGGTGGAGCAAACTACCAGGGCACATGTATACCTATGTAACAAACCTGCATGTTCTGCACATGTATCCCACAACTTAAAGTAAAATTAAAAAAAAAAAATTGGTGTTGGTGGAAGTGACATGGTCCCAATGTGGAGGACTATGGGGTGGGAATTAAAAGTTATATCCCACCTTCTCCAAGCAAATCACGTATTCCCATCCTTTGCCTTACTCCTTACTTTCCCTGGGGAAAGGGTTTCGGATTTCCCCAGCTTCATGTACTATTCAACCTGATGAGCATTTAAGTGGAGGCATGATGGGTTTGGGGAGAGGCTTTTCATAGAAAGAGCTTTCAGGAAAAAAAAAAAAAGCTCAAAAGAAAATATGGGCCTCAGAAAGTTGAAGTTGGTTCTGGAACGTAACTCATCAAGTGAGTCTGTCTCTGTTCCAATCAAAGCATTAATTTTGAGGTTGAGGGGTTTTCTAAGTGTCTCTTTTTCTTACCCAAACAATATCTGAACATGCTGCTTGGGTCTTGGGTAGGGGCCTACAAAATAAAAATTATAGTAATTCTCCAACCACCATATTACATGATTTTTTGAAATCAATGCCTTTATATAAAAAAGCTTAACCACAAACAACATGACATGCATTCAAGAAAAGAGGATAGAAACTCTGTAGTGCTATTAGTCACAAATGGTTTTAATAGGAAAATGTCATGTTCCAGAGCAATATTATGTAAGAGTTATCAATAGTATATTCGCTTCTTATGGAGACTTAATTTTTACAAAACAAGATAGTTTTTTTTTTAAGACAGAGATAAGGTCTCGTTCTGTCACCCAGGCTGGAGTACAGTGGTGCAAGCATAGCTCGCTGCAGCCTCAAACTCTTGGGCTCAAGCAGTCCTCCCACTTCAGCCTCCCTAGTAGCTGAGACTACAGGGTGTCTCTCAATAAAGGCACTTGTTGCTTGGCATTTAAGGAGATGGCTGATTATATTAGTTTCCCAGGGTTGCTGTAACAAAGTATCAGAGTCCAAATAGCTTAAAACTACGGAAATGTATTATTCTCTCACAGTTCTGGAGGCTGGAAGTCCAAAATCGAGGTGTCAACTAAGAGGCAGGGCTCTCTCCTGATTACACTGGGGCCACCCAGATAATCTGGAGTAATTTCCCTAAAACAAACAAAGTTCCAAAACCAACCAAAAATCAGTGACTATGGTTAAAAAAATTACAAACATTATCAAATCATTTTATGTGAAAAGAAGTATCCCAGCTCAGATGGTGAACTTTTTAAAGATTCAAAGAACAGATATTACTCCTAAATAAAAAGTTTCAGAGTATATATAACCATGAAAAGCTTCCCAATTTATTGAGCAAAATTAGTATAATCTTAATTTTAAAATGTTAACAAAGATAGCAGACCAGAAAATAAAATTAGTCTCATTTATGAATCCTACTCATAAATTTTACAAAAAGAATTGGCCATTTAAATTTATTAGCATGTTTAAAATATATTTTCCATAGTCAAATGAGATTTACCCAAAGGATACGGGATAATTAAACAAGAAGAGACCTGTTACACGTTGAGAATCCCCAATTTGAAAATCCAAAATTCAAAATGCTCCAAAATCTGAAACTTTTTGACCCAACACGGCACTCAAAGGGAATGCTCACTGGAGAATATCAGAGTTTAGACTTTCAGATTAGGGTGCTCATCTATAACACAAATCTTTCAAAACCCCCAAAAATAAAAATTCCAGAACATTTCTGGTAAGAGGCATTTCAGTAGAGATGTTCAACCTGTAATAAATCACAACTGTTGGTCAAATTTTTAAATTATATAATAATATCCAAAGATTTCCAGAAGTTATCTGATATTTAACATCCACTCTGATTTTTAGAAACTTCTTTAGAAGCCAGTAATTTTAAAAATCTATCTTAAACTCAATCAACATTGTTACTGATAAAACACAAGAAGCAATTTTATTAAAATCAGAAATCAACATACAAAAGAAGGAAAGAAAGAAAGGGAAAAAAGCTCACCCTAGCATTTTTGTTCTTGAAATTCTGGCCAAAAAATTAAGAATGAAGTATATAATAGACCCACTATTATAATGAAATGCACTATAAGAACTGAACATTTTTAAAAATCAGATGGCCTGTATCTTAATTTTAAATCATTTTGAAGTGGATTAGAACAGAGATTTGCAAAGTCAACTGAGAGAGACACTGGCTGGCTTTGCTTAGCCAACTGTAATGATAATTATAAAATCATAACTCATGTTTTCATAAGCATTTCCTCTGTCAGGTACTGTGATACTCACTTGACAGCATTTAATACTCACTTCAGATCTACAAGGTAGATGTCAAGAAGCATTTTCCTCCCTCACTCCTTACATTCCCACCTAGAAAGAAAGAGATGTCCACTGGCTCCCAGGCCTCTCTCTCAACCTCCCCTTGCTCACTGCTTCGCAGAGGACTCCTGCAGGACTCTCGCCCCTCTGCCATCTCTATTTCCTTGAGGCCTGCCCAGATGCACGAATCATTTGTTCCTCCCAGGAGTAAGCCTACTGGAACAGAATTGGTTGTGGGATTGGCGGGTGAGAGAGATGGAACAAGACAGTGTTAGTTGTGAGGAGGAAGAAGTGGAAAGCCCGATTCTACCCCCAAATCCACCTGCATTCTTCAACTGAGTTTTCTCAGTAATGAAACTAGTGATTTGGGTTGATCCATCTAACTTCTGAGTCTACATCTGAACTCTGAGGAGCAGAGGGAAAGGTGGTAACAATCCCATTCAAGCCCCGCAGCGGGCACTCTTACTGTCCTTATTTTATTAAAGAAATCGAGGCCTGAAGAGTGTATTAGGCTGTTCTTGTGTTGCTATAAAGAAAGATCTGAGACTAGGTAATTTATAAAAGAGGTTTAATTGTCTCACGGTTCTGCAGGCTGTACGAGAAGCATGGCATCAACAACTGCTTAGCTTCTGGTGAGGGCCTCAGGAAGCTTACAATCATGGCAGAAGGCGACGGGGAGCCACTGTGTCATGTGGTGAGAGCAGGAGCAAGAAAAAGAAGGACGAGGTCCCAGACTCATAAACAGCCAGATCTCATGTGAACTAACTGAGCAAGAACTCACTCATCACCAAGGTGATGGTGCTAAGCCATTCATGAGGGATCCATCCCCATGATCCAATACCTCCCGCTAAGCCCCACCTCTAACACTGGGGATCACATTTCAACATGAGATATGGAGGGGACACACATCCAAACCATATCAGAGGGGTTAAGCAACATACATGAGCAGTCTTGATATGTCTCCAAGACAGGCCACTGAGAAAGACAGGAGGCAGCCAAATGCCAAATAGATGGGGGCGGGGCCCTGGTGAAACCCCAGCTCCAAACAAAGACAATCTAAAGCCTGAAAGCCAAGCTACAAGTTAAATCCTCGGACCAGATTGAGAACTTGTCTTCCTGTTTGGCATGCTTTCCTCTGATTGATCCCCACACGTCACCTATGTTGCATATACCTACACTTTCCTAATTGGTTTCCTATGCTATTGTGTGCACCTTTGGGTGGTGTCTTTGCTTTAACCTTTTTTGTATACTCACAAACCAATCAGCACACTCTTCCCATCCTGTGGCTATAAAGACCCCAGACTCAGTCAGTAGAGGAGGAGATGACCTGACTTCAGGGAAGAGACAACCTGACTTTGGGGAAGACGATCTACTCTTCCTGTCCCCTCTCTAGCTCCCCTCTCCATTGAGAGTTGTTTTCATCACTCAGTAAAATTCTCTGCCTTCACCATCCTTCAATGATCTGTGTGACCACATTCTTCTTGGACTCTGGACAGGAGCTCAGGACACACCAAATGCGAGTCCCCAGAAAGGCTGTCACACTGGCCCTTTGCCCTCACTGGTGGAGGGCAGCTGCCCCATGCAATGATACAAGGGGCCAATTGATCTACTAACATGCTGCTGTCTGTGGATGGCAGAATTAAAGGAGCACTGTAACGCCCCCTCTTGGGCCTCAGGGTTGCAGGCACCCTCACCTGGGTGCTGCTGCATTCCCCTCAAGGTGACACAGCTGGTCTGGCCACAAGCCCTGCACGGAGTTTGCTCCTGTGTCAGTGCCCAGAGCCATGGGCTGGATTTTGCACTCACTAGCTCACATGCACCTACCCACAAGGGGCTGAGCACAGTGGGCTGAGTAGATGGGCACCCCTTCTGTGAGTCCGGCAAAGGGGCCAAGAAAAATCCTGCATCACCACCATGCTCATACCAGCTAGACACCTGTGATGTAAAAGGCACCTTCCTGAAGTTGCACAGTGCCCAACTTCCTGCCCCACGTGGTGGCTGCAGTGGTCCTGGTACCCCTTGAGAAGAGTGTCCTAGGTGGGAGAGTGTGGTCATAGGGTAGGCAAACACTCATCTTTACAAAGTAATACCAAGCAGGCTTCCAAATTGTTCATCAATCTGCAGTCCTCCTGCAGTAGTCTACAACATTACAGAAAAATTCATCCTGAAATTTGTTGGATGGTAAGAAAGACTATTCAAGTGTCACCTAAACAAACAAAAAAATCAAGGTTTTAAAGAATTAAAGTAGTTTTATTCAGAAGTCTTGAGGACAGAGACTGAGGCCAATAGCCCAGGAGCATTCCTGTTAGACTGCCCAGAACAGTGTTTCAACCCACTGCTTACATAGAGATGGCAGGGTGTCAGAGTGTGCAAAAGCACATCAGACTTGCTCAGAAGTCACATTATCACAGAACTACATCAAAGTCTGGGTGTAAGAGCATATCTGGTTATAAATTACAGAGGTACAATCGCTAACTCTGTCAGACTTTTTATCTCCTATGTAGGAAGAGGCAAGGATTAGGGTTATTTATCTTTTAAGGAATACAGTGAGTCAGGGAAGAGATGTGGGAGGCCGTGTTCTCTATCTTGGTTTGTCTTCAAAGCTGCACATCATCACAGAGGCAGGGGTTTTGTGAAATTATGTGAGCAAGCAGAAATGAACAAATAAGGTTTCTTATGTTTGCTACTTTGTCTCACACAAGAAAGTATTGCAATGGGGGTTTTGCTATAGGGGAGAGAGATTGGGCTCAACTCCAAATACAACAAGGACAAGTGGAGATTTACAGCCAAGGAGTAGAGCAAGGGGTCAGTAGATGGAAAATTACTAAGAGGATACCTCAAGGCTAGGGGGATTATTGCTGAAAGCAGGCCAGGGTGATAAGACATCAAGGGTGGGGAAGAGGAATTTGATCAGATATCAAAGATGGTCAGAAACCAAGAGTGAAGTTTGAGGAATTTGGTCAGATATTGAGGGTAGGGGGAATCTTAGATAAACTGACCCAGCAGTATTCTTGCTAAACCTGGACTAAGTAGGCCAAGGGCAGAGTCCAAGGTCAGGACTTAGTTGAAAAGGGGGCCCTGAGGAGCTGACTTGAGTGTGGTCAAGGAGAGAGTCTTTGTCAATGAGTCTTTGTTAAAAGAGGTATAGCTGTAGCACATCTCAGCTCTGAGAGTGGCTGAGGTGGGAGGATTGCTTGAGCCCAGGAGTTTGAGACCAGCCTGGGTAACATAGTGAGACCATGTCTCTACTATTCTTAAAAAACTTAAACAACATTTTTTAGTGAAAAAAAAATGTTCAAACCCAACAGCAAAGAAATGTAAATTAACAACAGAATACCATGTTAAATTACTCTAATCAGTATACCAACTCAGCTAGACTCATGGAATTATATTAAAATATAATAGTCAAGTTTGGCAAGAGTGAGATAAAGTAGTCTTTCTCATTTCATACACATCTGGGGTATGTAAATTGATACAGCTTTTGTGAAAAGAAAATTGCCAATATTCATTAAATATCATTTGAAAGGTAATTTTAAACAAAAAAAAATTTAGAAATAAACCTCAAAGAGTCTGAAATGCAAAAGAAGCTTTTTGCATAAAAGTGCTCATTTCAGCACTACTTATAATAGCACAAAATTGAAAACAACAATAAACAGCAATACCAAAAAGGTGATTAAATAAATTGTGATGTACTATTAAAAAGCAAAATACTGTTTTGTGAAATATTTAATAATATGAAGAAATAAATGGGAAATTATAAAAGTAAATTGAAAATAACATTAGCCATAAAACTTTACATTTCAAAATTTTATATAAAACCTATAATACAATATTAAATTTTAAAGGACTATATGAGTATTAGAAATGTGCATAGAACAACTTAGGGCATGGATCAAAATATTAATACTGGTGATCTCTGAGTCATACTTGATTTTCAATTTTCCTATTTATATTGTTCAACACTTTTCATATTTTCAAAAATCAATACATAATATTTCTATAAATTTTAAAAGTTAAAAATATATATTATTTAATATATTAAAACTCCCTTACTGGTGTTCAAGGGTCTAGAGTCATTAGTGAAGAAACATAATATCATGTAATGTAGTGCATGGTCTGGGTCAAGCTGCCTGTGTTTCAGTCCTGAATTTGCCACGTGCCAGTGGTGTGAACTTAAGCAGGTTACTTAACTCCTTTGTGCCTCAGTTTTCTCCTCTGTAAAATGGAACAATCACAGTACCCAGCCCATAAGATGTAACTGAATTAATATGTGTAAAGTGCATAGAACAAGTTTTATGAAAGCAATGTTATTATTATATATAAAAAGAAAGAGTTATCAACCAGATTGCACATTTCTTAAAAACAAGGCCCATTTTTCTTAGCTCTTTTATATCTTTTATATCTTTATTACCACCTTCCCCCCAAAAAACTCAAAAGTAGTGCTGGGCCAATAGTGATGTTCCTTGCCTATAAAATAAGAGGCCAGCCCCTTCTTGCCCATTCCTGTTATTCATTTTACTTCAGTATTACAAATGTCAGAAGGGACCTGCCCAGCATGGACGGACTGTGAAAATATGGCTCTATCTTCAAAAATGTCATCATCATATTACCAAAGCACAGTATCATTATTGAACATTATAGGCAATGAGATGTTAAGGAAAGCAAATCTCAAGTAGCCACTTGGATTTTTATCAAAATGCTCTATACAACTTTTGCCCTTAGAGCAACAACAACACCTTCTGGCAGCACAAGGAACTGGGTGGTTGAGGGCCTCCTGTGGCTGTTGAGAATGAAGAGCTATTGGCCTTTGGGTAAGGGGCAAGGAATCCTAGAATGTGGCCCAAAGAAGGTGGTGGGAGAGTCTGATCTTGATTTTAGGAGTTGGTGAGTAGTAGGGGAATGGGATCCCATTCAAGGGAAGATGTAGACATCAGGAGAGAATCAAGTTATCCAAGCAGAGTGACTTTGAGGTTGGTAATGGGAAACTAAGTAGGAAGCTGAAGGGAGAGGGGAGGTCAGAGTGTAATTGCCCAACAGGTTCTTCCTGCCCACTGCACCGAGAAAACCAATTCACTGAGATGGCAGTATGGCAGTAAAGAAAGAGTTAAATTAACATGAGGTTAGCCACGCAGAAGATAGAGTTTATTACCCACAACATCCTTCCCAAGAACTCGGAAGCTAGGGTTTTTATGAATAATTTGGCAGGCAGGCAGGGGGCTAGGAAATGGGTGCTGCTGATTAGCTGGGGGTAAAATCATATGGGTGTGGGAAATGGTCCTCGCATGCTGAGTCTGCCTCTTGGTGGGGCCACAGGACTGGCTGAGACATGAGTCATGGGTCTGGATGGGGTTGGTGAGTTGCCAGAATGCAAAAATTTTAAAAACATCTCAAAAGACCAATCTTAGATTCTACAATAGTGATATTATCTCTAAGAGCAATTGAGGAAGTCACAAATTCTGTGACCTCTGGCCATATGACTCCTGAGCAGTAAGAAATTATAGAAACTATGCCTACATTTTAGCAGAATGCAGGCCCCTCTCATAATCCTAATCTTGTGGCCTTTCATTAGTCAGGGTTTAAGCCCCTGAAGAAGGAAGGTGTCAGTTTTAGGGAGGGACTATTATCATCCTTGCTTCAAAGTTAAACTATAAATTAAATGCTTCCCAAGGTTAGCTTGGCCCACACCCAGGAATGAATGAGGACAGCCAGCCTGTGAGGCTAGAAGTAAGGTGGACACAGCCAGGCTAGATTATCTCGCTGTCATAATCTTTGCAAAGGCAGTTTCAGGAGAACAATAGCCACCAAAACAGAGGCAACTACTGAGCACTGGTACTGTCCGCCTTGCTGGGGTGATGGTTGTGAAAAGGCTGGTTTGGAACTCATGGCTGATGGTGTGATGGGGTCTCCATCTCCAGCCAGGGAGTGCAGCCACCACTCACTAGTCCAGCTGTCATCCCTGCTAGGTCTTACCTATTTGAAGACACACTGGGTCTTGTTCAGCATCACTCCCTCTTTCTACATCCAATTATTGGTCACCAAGGGATCCAAAGGTCTGGCTCTCTAGCCAAATCTAGACAGTTCTGAAGGGTGATCCTATCTTCAGAACTCCCTGTAGGCTGAGCTGTGGCATCTGTGGTGATGACATCACAGCCCAATGTCTCCCTCTGCCCAGTCCTGCTTCTTCGTCTGCCTCCTGCAGTGTTGACCCCAAGAATTCTCCCTGATAAAGTCCTGTGCAGTTGATAATCTTCCCCTCAGAGTCTAGGACAGTCCCCTCCGGCGGAGGTTATATCCTAGTGGGACAGCTGGAAAGCAAACAAGCAAGCAAACCAGTAAATACTTTCAGGAGCTAGTAAGTACTAAGAGGAACAGAAAAGGGGTAAATTGATAAACAGTGATATGACATAGCTAGGGTGATCAGGAAAGGCCTTTCTGAGGAGACAACTTTGGGACTGAGAACTGAATGACAAAAAGCATCAGAGTCAATGGTCAAGATTAGCAGGCATTGGCAGAACAGAGAAGGCCGCTGAGGCTGGAGTGGGGTGGTTCAGGTTGAGTGCAGTAGAAAATGAAGTTGGAAAAGGGCCTTTCTAGATAGGAGCTTGTGGGCTATGATAAAGAGTTTGGGTTTTATGCTAAGTGAATGAAAGACTCTGAAGGGTTTAAGTACTGGAGAGACCTGATCTAATTTAGGTTTGCAAAAGATCACTCTTGCTACTGGGACAAATAAATTAGAGAGAAGAGTAGAGGCAGGAAGATTATTCAAGAAATTCCTGCCTACATCTACACTGTTTCTCAAAAGGCAAGTTGCAGCCCAGTCATGGGTAGTGAAATAAAATACAATGGTTTATGACCTTAAACATTTATTAATGAAATAGCATAGGCTGGACTAGACTATAAAAGAAAATTGAGTGCATGGCATTCTGTAACAGTAAAAGCTATTTCATGATTCTTACTGTAGTGAAAAATGTTCTTGGCTATGTGCATTGCTTCAGGATTAAAAGCAAACTTCTTGGTGGGGCACAGTGGCTCATGCCTGTAATCCCAGCACTCTGGGAGGCTGAGGCGAGTGGATCATCTGAGGTCAGGAGTTCAAGTCCAGCCTGGCCAACATGGAGAAACCTCATCTCTACTAAAAGTACAAAAATTAGCCAGGCTTGGTGGTGTGCCTATAGTCCCAGCTACTCGGGAGGCTGAGGCAGAAGAATCCCTTGAACCTGGGAGATGGAGGTTGCAGTGAGCCAAGATCAACCACTGCACTCCAGCCTGGGCAACAGAGGGAGACTCCATCTCAAAAAAATAATAATAATAAAATAAAAGCAAACTTCTTATTGTAGATCTTAGTAACAAAAGGTTGAAAGACACTGGTCTTGATTGGGAAGGCACACTGGCGTGTACAAGTTGCATTATGTAACCAAGGCCAGGAAAAGATGACTTAAGAAGGAACTAAGAGTAGGCTGTGGCCGGGTGCAGTGGCTCACGCCTGTAATCCCAGCACTTTGGGAGGCCGAGGCAGGCGGATCACGAGGTCAAGAGATCAAGACCATCCTGGCCAACATGGTGAAACCCCGTCTCTACTGAAAATTCAAAAATTAGCTGGGCGTAGTGGCACGCGCCTATAGTCCTAGCTACTCGGGAGGCTAAGGAAGGGGAATTGCTTGAACCCAGGAAGCAGAGGTTGCAGTGAGCAGAGATTGCACCACTGCACTCCAGTCTGGCGACAGAGCGAGACTCCATCTCAACAACAACAACAACAACAAAAGAGTAGGCTGCAAGGACAAAGGGAGTGTGGTGTCCTACAGTAGTCAGCGGAGTCAAAGACACCTCAAGAAGTAGTAGGGACAGAACAGGTGAAACAGTGCATAGGCCAGTCTCAAAAAGACCAGAGGAAAGACCAGAGCATAACTAGAGGGTCCAGGAGGGTGCAGAGCAGCTGCAGTGAGATGGTTTGCACTTTTGAAGCCATGTCAATCTTGGCAGAAGCAAAATATTCTCTCTTGTTTAAAAAAACAAAAAAAAAACAGACTCCACCACAAGCTGGCAGGCACACACTTAGAGAGGGTCCCAGTTTCCGTTTGAGAGAGCAAGTTCATGAGCTTGGAAGGAACAGGCCAATTGTGCAACCTCACTCAAAAGGGAGGAGTTCCTCTCGTGGGTGGCAAGCTCCATGGCCCTCTAGGAAATTGAAATGGAAGAATAAAGGTGTCACAGCCTGAACGACAAGACAGTGATGTTGACAGTAATATTTAAGGTGAGCTGGAGAAGTCTATGAGCAAGCATTTCGGAGAGCCAAGGGCATCCTTCTACCAATAGCTTCCACAGGTCTGTAGTTCCACACCATTCTCTTTGATCTTCGATCTCTGGGCCTGGTGCCATGGCTCATGCCTGTAATCCCAGCGCTTTAGGAGGCTGAGGCAGGAGGAGCCCAGGAGTTTGAGACTAGCCTGGGCAACATAGCCAGACTCCATTTCTCCAAAAAATAAAAAAAAATAAAAAATTAGCCAGGCGTAGAGGTGTGTGTCTGTAGTTGCAGCTACTTTGGAGGCTGAGGTGGGAGGATTGCTTGAGCCCAGGAAGTTGAGGCTGCAGTGAGCCGTGATGGGGCCACTGCACTCCAGCTGGGGCAACAGAGGGAGACCCTCAACTTAAAAAAAAAGTCCTCTGGACACATATGTCTAGGAAATCTTGGATTCTGTATTCTTTCTTGTTACGTGTTAAATTGTTCCCCCCAAAAATATGCTGAAGTCTTAATCCCCAGTACCTCAGAATGTGAACTTATTTTGAAACAGTGTCATTACAGATGTAACTAGGTAAAGTAGGCTGGGCAGGGTAGCTCACGCCTTTAAGCCTGGCACTTTGGGAAGCCAAGGTGGGTGGGTCACTTGAGCCCAGGAGTTCGAGATCGGCCTGGGCAACATAGGGAGACCTCATCTCTACCAAAAAGTAGTACAAAAATTAGCTGGGCATCATGGCATGCGCCTGTAATCTCAGCTACTTTGGAGGCTGAGTCAGGAGGATCACTTGAGCCTGTGAGGTTGAGGCTGCAGTGAGCTGTGATCACGCCACTGCACTCCATCCTGGGCAACAGAGCAAGACCTTGTCTCAAAACAAACAAACAAAACGAAACACAAAATAATTAGGTAAATTGGGATAAAGTCATACTGGAGTAGGGTGGGCCCCAAATCCAACATGACTGGTATCTGTATAAGAGACCCAGGGAAATGGGCCTGGTGTTCATATCAGACACAGGGAAACAGCTCTGTGATGATGGAGGCAGATTGGAGTGATGTGTCTACAAGCCAAGGAACACCCAAGGATTGTCGGCTGACACCAACAGCTAAGAAGAGGCAAGGGAAGATTCTCTCTACGAGGTTCAGAGGGAGTGTAGCTGATGTCTGGTTTCTGGCCTCTGGAGCTTGGAGAGGATCCCTGTTCTTTAAGCCACTGGCTTTGTGGTGCTTTGTCATGGCAGCCCCAGGAAACAAATATAACCTCAAGAGTCACAACTTACATATAGCGTCCAAAAGTCTAAGAAGCCCATGGTTTAAGACACAGAGACCTAAAATAGTGCTTAAGAAAGTTATTCTAAGGAAGATGTGCTTTCATCCCAATCTTGACACTTTGGTGTGCTACTTATATCATGCTACCTTCAAGGGTCCAACCAGAAAGGAAGAAGTTAAACTCTCAGACCAGATTTCAGAGAAACCCTGTAAAGCCAGAGGTTTGGACTCACAGCGTCAGGCCAGGCTTCTGTACCATTTTAAGGCCTCTCGGCTGTAATGATGCTTTCACTTCCCCTTATCACCTGCCTCCCGCGCTGTGCCCACCCCAGGTCTGTTGGCAGCAGAGAACTCACAAGAGAAGGTGCCTCAGCGGATGCTGTTTCTGTCTTCATCTCACAGTCTTAATCTGGGTGGAAGAAAGGCAGGAGAGAGGCCTTATCTCTTTTCTAGGGAATATTCCCATGCAAACAACAACAGGGTGAGAACCAGAGCCATCAACATTCTGGTGAATAGAAGTCAATCGGAGGAGTCCAGCCAGTGGCGAGGTGGCTCATGCCTGTAATCCCAGCACTTTGGGAGGCCGAGGTGGAAGGATTGCTTGAATCCAGGAGGTCGAGAACAGCCCTGGGCAACATGGTGAAGCCCCATGTCTACAAAAAAAAAAAAAATTAGTCAGGCATGGTGACACATGACTGTGGTCCCAGCCGCACGGGAGGCTGAGGTGGGAGGATTGCTTGAGCCTGGGAGGTAGAGACTGCAGTGAGTGGAAATCACACCACTGCACTCCAGCCTGGGTGACGGAGCTGAGATCTTGTCTCAAAAATAAATAAAATAAATTAAAAAATTAAAAAGTATATCAGAATGCAAAGTATTTCAACAAGCTTGATAGAACTGAACTGTCTATTAACTAAGAGGACTCTGGCTCACGCGTCTGTCTGTTTAGTAGAACATTCACATCAATTACCACCACTCTGCTGTAAAACAAGGAAGAGCTGAGTGATGTGAAAAGCAAAGTTGTCCCAGGAGAGGAGGAGGGCGTTGCTGAGGAGAGGTGGAGTGCCAGGGATGCCAGGAAGTTGATGATGGTGCTGGTCTTGCCCAAACCCATTTCCTCTCATGGATTTGACATGGAGCTTATGTGATATGATGTGAACCTATTCATTTGATCTCCCTTCTGGGATGTTACCATAGAAATCAAGGCAATATTCAGCATTCAGAAGGCTGAAGTGTCATTACCAACGAAAAAAACTCAGTTTGTAGAGTTAGGAACACTGGCGGAAGGCTACTGAAGGAAATGCAGAGGTGGCTTCAGTGGGTGACATCAAGTTCAAAGTAACCACAACAGGGCCGGGCACAGTGGCTCATGCCTATAATCCCAGCACTTCGGGAGGCCGAGGCAGGCGGATCACCTGAGGTTGGGAGTTCAAGACCAGCCTGACCAACATGGAGAAACCCCATCTCTACTAAAAATACAAAATGAGCCGGGCGTGGTGGCACGTGCCTGTAATCCCAGCCACTCGGGAGGCTGAGGCAGGAGAATCACTTGAACACAGGAGGCGGAGGCTGCAGTGAGCCAAGATCGCACCACTGCACTCCAGCCTGGGCAACAAGAGTGAAACTCTGTCTCAAAAAAAAAAAAGTAATCACAACACCCCAAATTCAGACTCTGTAACAGCCTCTCATTGCTCACACTCTAAAATGACAGTTTTCATAGGTGAATTTCAGGTAAAACACATTGTTGCTCTGCAAGCCATAACAGAGATTCCTGCCATGTTGTAATTAGACGGGCAGCTCGCCAGCAGCTTAGGACAAAGCCAGAGCTTAACTTCAGATTCAGGCAGCACAAGTTACTTCAGGAGGTTTGGGGCTGTCAAGGGATTTTGCTAATTCCTCAGTGATTTTTCACCATATCTGTACTTATAGGAAAGAAATAAATTCTCTCTGGAATGTATTAACCTCTATTCCTAATTTCCATAGCTTGAGTAATACTGGGGAGCATTGGGAGGGAAAAATGAATACCCACACTTCCCATCAGCAGAGAGAATCACAGAGCCTAGGGATCCCCCAGGTGACCCCAACTTCCTACTTTCCAGTGACAAGTGGTTACCATGGGATGCAGGAGAGTTACCTGCAGATCTAAAACATTAACCAGATCCCCAGATTCCCAGGTCAATGTTCTCCGCACTGAGCCCTGGAGTCAGATGACCCAGGATTAAATTTCTGCTCAACCACCTACAGGCTGTTTGGCCTTGGGCAAGTCAATTAACCTCTCCAATCTTATTTTTCTTACTCATAAAGTGAAGATGACAAAACCTTTTCTTTCTTCCTGCCTCACAGAGTGGTTACAAAGCTCAGGATAGATGAGTAAAGTCCTTAGAAATTGGCAGAAATGTTTACAAAGGGAAGATATTATTCGGAATTCTCCTCTGTGGTTGGGACTTCCCTTCACTAATGATGAATAATAAGATGGCAGATCCCAGGGCTCCTGAGTGCCTGACAGGAAAATAACAAAAATACACAAACTCTGGGTCTTTTTTAAAAAATACCCTCGTGTGCAGGGTTTGGCATGGGTTAGGAATGTCAGACTGGGACAGTAGATATGTCAGAATTGGTTCCAGTTTACATAATAATCAGGTTTGCAATCAAATCTCCTGAAAATCAAATCTCACTTCCTTTTTCCCACTTCTGGTCAGGTCTCACCTGTCACTAGCACCTGCCAAAGGGCAAAAGAGAAAGTGTTGGGGACCCATAAGGACATCTCCTGTGCCGTTGTTCCCACTGCTTATCCTTCTAGCCAGTCTTGCATCTTAACCTAAAATGTAAGAGAAAGAAGAGTTACTCTATGTGAAGGCTAAAGAAACTTAGCATGGTGAATGCTAAGCCACTATATTGATTTCTGATTAACCCAAGTTTCGGGAATGCCTCTAAGATTTCTATTTCCATGTGATTACCGTAAATCCTGTCCTTAAGTCAAAACAACATTGATGGTTACCAGAAACCCACATTTATCAGAAGTCCTTCCATTAGGCCAATTCCCTATGGTATATGAGCCCTGCACCTGGGGGTTGATGGTGCAGGGACATCTCATCTTCTGGCTGCCTAAGACATGGCTTCTGATCATAAGTCCCTATTAAGTGTTTTGTTTTGTTTTTTCCTGTGAAATTGGATTTGTCAGCCTCTTCCTTCAGCCTCTCAGCTTCCTCAGACGTTTTTTTATTATTATTTTTTGAGACCGAGTTTCGCTCTTGTTGTCCAGGCTGGCATGCAATAGTGCAATCTCGGCTCACTGCAGCCTCCACCTCCCAGGTTCAAGCGATTTTCCCGCCTCAGCCTCTCAGGAGTACCTGAGACTACAGACATGCACCACCATGCCTGGCCAATTTTTGTATTTTTAGTAGAGACAGAGTTTTGCCATGTTGGCCAGGCTGGTCTTGAACTCCTGGCCTCAGGTGATCCGCCCACCTTGGCCTCCCAAAGTGCTGGGATTACAGGCATGAGCCACCACGCTTGGCCTTCCTCAGCCTTAAGTGCTAGTTTTGCAGAGATCTGCCACTGCAGAATATTTGGTGAGTTAACCAGGAGCTGAGAGACCAAGAAATGAGTGAAGGGAATGAAGTATCCATGGGGGAAAATCCATGGGCGGCAGCCACTTCTATGTGGAGTGGTGTGGTTCCCCATGTAGATGCTTGTGGACCAACACATGAGTACAGGGACGCTCCAAAAATGCTGGCAGGTTTCAAGTGATTGTTAACTGAGAGCCATCTATCTCACTGGGGTAAGGAAAGGCAGCTAGCAGCTGCTGCAGTAGAATGGAAAATATTCTTTATAAGAACCCTTTAGTCAATAGTTGCCTTTTTTTGGCACCAAGCGACCAGCAGAGGTCTGCATGTCCTTTGTGGTGGCTTTTACCTTGTTACAATTTTTTTTGAGATGGAGTCTCGCTTTGTCTTCCAGGCTGGAGTGCAGTGGTGTGATCTCGGCTCACCGCAACTTGCGCCTCCCAGGTTCAAATGATTCTCCTGCCTCAGCCTCCCGAGTAGCTGGGATTACAGGTGCATGCCACCACCCCTGGCTAATTTTTTGTATTTTTAGTAGAGATGGGGTTTCACCGTGTTAGCCAGGATGGTCTCTATCTCCTGACCTTATGATCCACCCGCCTCAGCCTCCCAAAGTGCTGGGATTACAGGCCTTTTTATGACTTTTACTTCCTTTATAGTCAAATTCCAACGTCTTCTCAGTGCTCCACCAGGGCTGTGGCCAACCTGGGGCCCAACCAAGGGCCTCACTAAACCATCCAATCAGTAGGAGCCATAGACTACTTTATTTAGCCAAAGGCAAAAATGAGTCAACTGAATTCTGTTTTTCCATTTACTTCTGTCTGTTTTTCCTTCCTCTTGCCACCCTCAGTGCCACAAGAGGGGACCAAAAAACAAAACAAAACAAAAAAGAGATTTTCTAACAGCCTGAGATCCCTTAAGGAAAACAGAAGAGATGCTGAAGGCTCCTCTTTTAGGGGGCTCACAGGGACTTCTGATTTTTCCTTTTCACTTTTTAATGAAACCTCAAGAGTTGTAAAGAGACAGATTCCTCTCAGATATAAAATTCTGCTCTTTTGTATTGCATAACCCAGTCTCTTTGGCTTTTGGGGTCTACCAGAGGTTACTTTATACTGTTAGAGAACTTGACATTAGTGTGTGATGGCTGGTGAGTCACAGGCAAGAGCTACAGTGTTAGAGATGGCTAACAGCAGTTGTTCACAATAGATGGTTATTACTACAGAGGAATACTTGTTTCTTTGTGCATTTTGACATGAAAAGCATAATTTGGGCACCTAGAAGCTATGGAAACACCCCTCAGTGAGGGATGAGACTCCCATGGGGGATGGAGGATCACAGAGTGAGCTGATTGGTGTTGAATTGCCCACCAGCCTTGGGGGAATGTCACTGCAGTGAGGTGCACTATGGAAGTATTGCAGGGTCCAGCCCAGTGGCACTTTCCTCTTTTGGGGACCCATAATTCAGTGTAAAGATGGGATCCCTGATTTTGGGAGATCTAAGTGTTCTGCCTTCCAGCTACGCCTGATTTCCTTTGCCCTATTCATCAAACAGCTCAACTTTCATGCCAGTAATCTAATCAAGAAGCAAACCAACTTGAAAAGCCCACCTATCAAATTAATCAGTCTACATTTAGCTGGCTATTTTGATAGTCTTTGTAAAAGAAATTTATATCTGTAAAGGAAATCTCTATTTATAAGAGTGTCTCATTCTCTGTACCTAAACTACTAGAAACGTTTATAGTAAGAAGACAAAGTCTTAACATTTACGTTAAAAACCTTACCTTGTTTAAGACACTTTTTCTGGCAATATTGTCTTAACTGGGCTTTTACCTATGCCCTTTGTCTCAGCAAATAATGGTATTTAGATTAAGTTCTGTGCTTTTGAGATGTAAATGTTCCACCTTATTTTATCTAAGAACTATGTCTTTGAAAATGATCGCTAGTCTAAAGGAGAGAGGGAAGCTACTTGAAAACTGGCAAACAAAGAGTCTTATAAATCTTTAAGACCTGTTTCTCTCTGTGTGTCTCTATGTCTATATGTTGATATGTGTCATGCGTATGTGATATTGCACTACCAAAATATATGAAAGAGCTCCAGTTAACTGACTTAATGAGAAAGTAAGCACTTAAATCAATGTCATTTTTAGGAAAAGGGAAACTAACTCCAATGCTTTTTAGCTCACATGACTTTAGTAAGTCTTTGGTAAATAAAACTTTTTATTTACCAAAATTAATAAAATTTTTTTTTTGGTAAAAAAAAGTAAGTTTTAAAATAGTTGGTAAAATAAATATGAATGTCTTCAGAATTGTCAGAACTAAATACAGTTCAGACATTTTTGTCTGGGTCTGCTGGTCAAACAGGTTTAAGCTAGCTCTCCTAGATGTTTTATGTTCATAAACTTGACTCGGCGATATTTTTGGTAATTGTTTGACTTGTCTGTGAACTTATGTCTTAGAACCAGGCTCTAAACAAATAGCCATGGTAAGGCCTGGGAACATATGCAGAGTTCTCCCTGACCCAACTGTGCCTTCTGGCTATGTTGGAAAAGGTCAGGTGTTATCTCCACATCTCTGTTCATGGCCTCTGCATCTGGTATACAATTAGGATTGCTTACTTCCCAGTTTTTCAATAAAAATAAGAGTTACTAAGAGTTAATATTATAATTAATGTATGTAATTAAAACTACTAGATATAACCTGAGGTCAGGAGTTCGAGACCAGCCTCAACATGGAGAAACCCCATCTCTACTAAAAATACGAAATTAGCCGGGTATGATGGTGCATGCCTGTAATCCCAGCTACTCGGGAGGCTGAGGCAGGAGAATCACTTGAACCCGGGAGGTGCAGGTTGCGGTGAGCCGCGATCGCACCTTTGCACTCCAGCCCGGGCAACAAGAGTGAAACTCCATCTCAAAAAAAAACCCTACTAGATATAAGAAAAACAATTCTATATACAGAGTGTATAAAGAAAGTAGGATGGGTTTGGGTGAAGTTATAAAAAAAACCAGGAAGATGTGTTTTTTGCTAAAGGAGATGTAATTTTGTCTAGTTTAGAGGTCATTTAAAGGGTTTGTTTTTTTTTTCAAAATGAAGTTTAAGAAAAGATACAGATAAAGCTAAATGGATAAAAAGAGAAAGGATAAAAGGGAGCTCGCAGGGAGTTGGTTCACTGGACGCATGAGGAAATGCAAGCTAATAAGAAGTGCACTAAATACATGATCTTTTGGTTATTGCTATCTATAATAGCTAAAGTGAAGGCAAAAGAGGGTACTGAGCCAGGCCTCAGCCTCAAGGCTGGACCAAGCTCAGATTTCAGTCTGTCTGAGCTCAGGCCACTAGCCTCAAAGCCACTCCTACACAAGGGTAAGATTATGCCAGGGCAACACAAAGTACCTCAAAGCCATCCACAAACAGAAAAGTCATGCCAGGGTAATAGAAGGTACTTTTGAGACCCGTAGTTACCAAGAAGGTGGTCAATGTGAAAGACGGGCAAAACCAAGTAACTATACAACCAGAGGGCATAATGTGAAGAGATTGTTCCACTTTGTAGATTAGTATCATCAGCTTCCTGAGGAAACTTTAAAATGGATTATGAGAGTAACTAATTTAGGAGCAGTATCCATGGTTTTAAATGCTGCAGAGTGGAAGAACATATTTGGGTTCCTATTAATCCACTGACTATGCCCATTATCCAGGTCATGGTAAATGCTGTGGTTAAGAGGGCCCCTTCTACATGGTCACTCCATGTGATGTTCTGCAGGAATAATCCTGCAGAATTGAGCAATAGTTCAAGAAGACTTATCAAATTAAAGAAAGAAGATGAATGAAGAAAACATTGATGGGGTGAACCTAAGAAGAAAAAGAAGAGAGGGCCATGGGACTCAGCAGGGTGGAAATCTTTAGATAGTTAAAAAAAATGGACAGGGCATGGTGGCTCATGCCTACAATGCCAGTGCTTTGGGAGCTAAGGTGGGAGGATCACGTGAGGCCAGGGAAATATAGCAAGATCCCATCTCTACAAAAAATTTAAAAACTTAGCTAGGCATGGTGGCACTTACCTGTAGTCCTAGCTGCTCAGGAGTCTGACGCAGGAAGACCACTTGAATCCAGGAGTCTGAGGTTGCAGTGAGCTATAATCATGCCACTGTACTCCAGCCTGGGTGACAGAGTGAGACCCTGCCTCAAAAAAAAAAAAAAAAAAAAAGACAAGACAGAGGGAAAGAAAGATATTAAATGAATTAAATTGAAATTGATGGGGTTAAAAACAAAGGCACGATCATCGCTCACTGCCACCTCAAATTCCTGGGCTGAAGCAATCCTCCTGCTTCAGCCTCCCAAGTAGCTGGGACTACAGGCACATGCCACCATGCTGGGCTAATATTTTTTAATTGTCTTAAAATTTAAGGTCTCACTAACCTTAGTTAACCAAGCAACGAAGTCTCACTAAGTTGTCCAGGCTGGTCTTGAACTCCTGATCTCTAGCAATCCTTCCTTCTTGGCCTCTCAAATGCTGGAATTACAGGTGTGAGACACCATGCCCAGCCCAAATACAGCTACATTTATTCAACATATGAATGGAGAGGCATTCAGCGATAGGTATACTTAATTTATAAGCGAAAGGAACTTAAGGTCCCCTCCTCCGTGTCTCATTCAAAGACATACCAGTGGATCCTTGACCCTTTGAGGAATTCCAAATAGCAAGTTCCACTTATAGAGTATGATTTTCTTCATCAAATATGGTAAGCCTAATGGAAAAAGGCAAAGCGATCTCTTTGGACCATTATGGATAATTATCGTAAATGGGGAAATAAATAGAGAACAGATCACTCCAGTAGCAATGGACACGCTAGCAGCCAGCTAGGCTCATTCACTGGCCACAGGATTGTTCCTGCACACCAGCGTTAAAGCACACCCAATGCCTAGCCACAAGCCAGTCTATGTTGCTACATACCTTGGACTTTTCAGATCACTTGCAAATAAATTTAAACTCTGAGATAAAGGTCCATTGTACTAAAAAAAGAAAAGAAAAGAAAAATCATTTGAGACTTCATTCTTAAGAAATAAATTCAACTAATCTCTTCGGAAGATGCCACTGATCAGTCAGCAACTATATGTTGAGTCACTGCAACATCGCTGTTGCTAACTCCAGAGCAAGAAATGTGTCCTTCCCAGATTAGGGATGCACAGTTCTGGCACCTTCTTTAAAGGTTGGCATCACAGAATTCTACTCCCGATGCCACAGATGTTTGTCAGCATTTTCCATTCACGTCTGCTTTCTTGTATTCTCTTTTAACTGAAAAATGTGAAAACTGTATAATTAAATAATTGTCGCAAATGAAACATACAACCTGTACCATACATATGGAGGTGTCAATTTAGAAATGAGAAAGAATACATATAAATGAGAATCCTCTACCTCTTTCTAAAAATTTAAAGCACAGTCGGAAATAGAATGAGAAAATACCATCATAACTGGAGTAGGAGTAACATGCAAGCCAATAAAATCTCCCAACATCCTTTACTATTACTAGGAATATAACTGCATTGACTTACCTAGAATGACTCAGGAACTTTTTCTTATTGAACTTTTAAAAAAGAAGTTTAAGTACTATTCTTTTTTTTTTTTTTTTGAAACAGAGTCTCACTCTGTCACCCAGGCTTGAGTGCAGTGACACGATCTTGGCTCACCGCAACTTCCACCTCCCGGGTTCAAGCAATTCTCATGTCTCAGGCTCCTGAGGGACTGAGATTACAGGCCTGTGCCACCACGCCAGGCTATTTTTTTTGTATTTTTAGTAAAGATGGGGTTTCACTATGTTGGCCAGACTGGTCTTGAACTCTTGACCTCAAGTGATCTGCCCACCTCGGCCTCCCATGCTGAGATTACAGGCATGAGCCACCAAATGCGGCCTATTCTTATTTAAGTTTCATCCCACGTGCTCTACTGAAAGAATCAGAAATAGCTTACTGATCTATGTAAGTACAAAGACACAATAATATATTACACAAGGCAGGTGGCACAGATTTTTCCTGAAGTCATATGTACTTGCAGTCCCCCGACTAAGGCGAGTTGGAGCCCCTTGGTAAAAGCACTAGATTCTAAGTTTTCTCGTCTGCTAAAGCAAATTGAAAACCCCACAAAAAATAAACAAATTCATCTCTATCTAGTGTTAGGATTTTCAACATTGCTCACATTTTTGAAAATAAGTAAGTGGTACGTGTGTCACAAAACTCAAAAGGACAAAGAGCCAAAGTTTATCTCCCTTGTCACGTATTCCCTCACCAAAGACAACCACAGCCAGTGATTTTTGCCTATCTTTCCAGAGGTAGTCTATGCTTATAGAAGTGCAGAAATAAAAGGTCTCTCTTCCCCCACCTCCTTTCCTCTCTGTTATCTCGGTATGGTTGCATTTGCAAGAATCACATCCCAGTTAATCTGTAAATTTCACGCACCCGATTCTGCCTTCCCTGGGACTGGATCTACAGTCTAGGGGTCTCCCATGATGTGTATGGGGAGGGGTCCAGACAGAGGCCCAGATTGTCACGGGTCCTCCTGGGTCACTGCTGAAACATCCCTCATCCTGCCCCAATGGGACCACATGGTCTGCCAGGCTCAGTGGCTCTTTCTGATGCCCCTTAGCCATGTTGTGAGGCTGCCCAAGGCCCCAGCTGCCTGACCTTCCCGTGGGCCTTCCCCACTCCCACCTAAGCCCCCTGACCACCCTGGGTTCTCTAGGAAGAGTGGAGAGCAGGAACCCTCTCAGTGGGATCCTCTGCACCCACATCCACCCCTTTCCTCACCTTCCTCTTCCTTCCTCAGCCCCCAGGGAACTCTTTCAAGTTTAATGGAAGGAGACCTTCTAAACATTTTTCCTGAATTGGGAGTCCCTTGCATTCCCCTAACACATTTTATTTTATTTTATTTTATTTTATTTTTATTTTTATTTTTGAGACAGGGTCTCGCTCTCTCACCCAGGCTGGAGTGCAGTGGTGTGATCTCGGCTCACTGCAACCTCCAGCTCCTGGGCTCAAGTGATCCTCCCACCTGAGCCTCCGTAGTAGCCGGAACTACAAGCATGAGCCACAATGCCTGGCTTATTTTTGTATTTTTTGGCGGACAGGGTTTCACCATTTTGGCCAGGCTGGTCTCAAACTCCTGGACTCAAAGGCATCTGCCCACCTCGGCCTCCCAAAGTGCTGGGATTACAGGCGTGAGCCACTACACTAGGCACCCACTAACACTTTTTTTTATGAAAACCAAAGCCAGAGGAGCCTTGCAGTTCTTTTCTGCCTTGTCACATTCCTCTAAGCAGGAGATCTACTTACTTTCTGAGAGGAGCAGGGGAACAGAGCATGTTACCGATTCACTCCCGACACGGCCCTCAGAGCCCTGCATCTTCCAGGTCCTACCAGCTCACAGCCTGCGCCGCAGCCACACTGCTCTTTCACAGGCCCTTGTACTCACCGGGCTCCTCGTGCCACAGGGCCTTTCCTCATGCTGTTCCCACTACCTGCAGGACTCTTCTCCTCTTGTCTAGGAATTAACCCCTTTCAACCCAAGTGTCACTTTCTCAGGAGCCTTTCTGTGCCTATTTGTTCCTTTTAAAAATATTATACGGCACAGCTACCTCTCCTAGTAGCCATGGTCCCAGCTGACACTATTCATGTTCTTGCCTCCATCTAGGCTGAAGCTCCATAAACACAGACTCTCTGGCTTTGGTATCATTCTTGCCTAGGTGAGTACCTGCACTCAAATGAATGCTGAGCTGAATGAATGAATAGATTTAGGCACTCGATAAATAAATGCTGAATGAATGAATGAATGAATGAGTGAACGAATGTGCTCCACTGCCTCCTTTTTCCTTACCTCTCTGTTCTTCTCTCTGTGAGCCCATCTGATTTAGATTTTATATCTATTATCTATGAATGAAATATATGTTTTCTCCTGGGCATTAAAATAATCTTCCACATTACATCTCTTTAAACCTGCCATCTTAGCCACTCAGGGAAGTAGCTATTCAGGGACTTCTTGCTAAATTTTTGACTTGTTATTTGGTTCATTTGTGGTTATTGTAATTAGTCCCTTTCAAATCATTTTCATCTTTTCTTTTTACTAAACCTTTGTTTTAAATATGAACCAGGCATTTCCGCCAGATATTTTGAATACTTTTTGACCTCACATTAGCCTGCAGTCTTATGGTCATGGGAATGAGAGATCTGAATTGCACGCAGTTTGCAGCTAAAGGAAACCACCTTTTGAGTTGAGTCTGGCAGATCTCGCAGTTAAACACAATGAACAGCCTGCTTTGTTTAATGACTGGCAGGCTTGTGAGTCACACTAGAGTAATTAACTGGCTCACTCACCCAGCTGATGAGCACCTTGTCAATGTGGTATCCACTTGCCAGAAATTTCTTTAGTTCTCCAACCAGACGATCCATAAATGTCAACACTCTTCAGAAACCAAAATTATATCACTGAACTGGGGTTGAGGAGACCTTTGGCGAACTTCTAGAAGTCCTGTTAGGCAGGATGTTTAGAGATGGTGGCTCCACAATTTCTATAGGAGAGAGTTAGGAGCAGCAATTGGTTGGAAGACAGGACTTAAAGTTGCTTTGGAGTGGAAAATGTCAAAATGTAATCTCATATAATGGGAAAACCAATTGATGAAGATCATGGCTGAAGACTGAAGGTTCCCATTCCCGATCTCTTGACACCAACAAGTATTTGAGTTCTTGTTATCACTATTTACACCTAATAACAAACTGCTAATTTTTCCTATTTTATTTTTCCTTCTGGAATAATAGTAACTTTTAATAATGGTGTTGCTACTTTAAGCCTTTGGAATTAATCTGCTTAACTCACTTTGCACCATGCCTAGTAGGAAAAAAAGGCTACTTAATAAATACGTCTTGATCATAAAACTATACAGCACTTGATAGATGGGATAGCCATATATAATGCCTTCATATATTTGGAACAAAATATCTTACTTTTGTGCTATTTAAGATTTAGTGCTTTCAAAAATAGTTGGTTTTGCTTTTGTTGTTGTTGTTGTTTTACTGTTTGTATTTTATTAATTTTTCTCTTTCTTCCCCTCTCCTCTCCTCACCTTTCTTCTCTCTCTTCCTCTCTTTCTTTCTCTCTCTGTCTCTCTGGTTGTCTTGGTCTAACAAAACATGGCTGGAAAAAACACTTAAAAGATCCTTTCCTCTTTAGAAATCAACTCATGAAAACCACCTAAGCGAAAAGGTAATATTTTTCAGTTTCAAAAAACAGCCAGACAAAATGTACTGAGAAGTTTCCAGGGCTCCAAAGTACAAAAGATGTCCCATTCAACAGTTAGGCTGTCATTCTCTGAGACGTTTGGTAACATTTCAAGATACATTTAGATCTGCAAATTCATTTTCCAAGAGGATTCACCCAAGAACTGACCTTGCAACTCAGATAAATGGCCACAAGGTGGGGTGAGAGGTACAAACAGGACCAATTGAAGCTGCTGCAAAGTTTCCATGAAATGTTGAATTAATACATTTTATTTTTCCATGACACAATTACCTATTAGACAATAGATCCTACATGGTCCTATTAGATTCTATCTAAACAACCACACTGTATTCTGAAGATTTGCATAAAGGAAGATTAACATGAACCGTAGAAGTATGGCTATTTGTGCACCTACCTTCCCTGACAGATAGGAAACCCCTGAGGCAGGACTATCTCTTCTCATCCTTGTGTTCCTATGGATTGATGGCAGTATAGGAATGGAACCTACCTGCCCTAAAAGGTGTTTGGCAAATGCTCGTGGAATTGAGGTCTTGGTCACCAAGAGGAACCACAGTGTAGCCATCAAATCCTGACATGATCACACCTTTCCCCTCTAATTTCTCTCCTGGGTTTTTCTCTTTGGGGCTGTGTCTTTCCCGACCGACTAGTCAGGTGCTCCCCCAGGCCTTGGCTGTGGGATCCCTGGCTACCGTGAAGAGTGAAAACAATATGAACGTGGCAGTCAGAAGACCTGGAGTAGAGGCCTGCCTGGCAGGACTTTGGTTAAGTGGGTGCAGCTCAAGGACAGAGACTGTGCTGTGCCCCTTTGGCTTTCAATGTGAAAATCCCCCTACAACCAGACACACAGAAAAAAAATCACCATAATAAATACAAGAAGGCCATAGACTGAGACTGGCTGCGTTACTATGACTGGTAAAGTGAGGGCATTGATTAAGACAGAATAGAATCCTGTCCGTTGGATCAGAGATGTGTGGGAAGACCCTGATGAAGCTGGGGACACTGAGACCCTAAATTCTGATGAGTCTTTTCTGCCAGTGAAAGAGACCTCGCAACCATCAGCAAAAGTGGCCTTTGCAAGCCCCAGCAGAAGCGCTGTCCCCAACCCGGGAGATGTGGCCTTCCTACCCAGCAGTGATACCAGCCTTTCTACATCCCTACGAGGGGTTTCACCTTGCATGGCCAGAGGAAATGTGAATGGCCTCCCCTGAGGCAGTTGCCATGCAAGGCAATGCTGATTCTCCTCAGAACCCGCCCCCCTCACCCCTGTTTGCTTCTAGACCTATGACCAGACTCAAGTTCCAGCAGGTTCCTAAAGGTGAGGGTCGACGTGTGGCTTGTGAGGAGCGCACTACACTGCAAAAAACTACTTTATGTTTCCAATTTATACAGACAGAAACCCAGGGAGAGTGTGCAGGGAGGGATATCAAGGGTATGGGATAATGGTAGAAGGAACATCAAGTTGGATCCGGCCAACTGTATTGGTGTGGGCCCACCAAACAGAGATTCTGCGTGCAGTGTTGCACACAGGGAGAGGGAAAGGGCTCTAACAGTTTGCTGGGTTGATTGACTGAAATGTGGGTCAAAAAATGGCCCGCCATGAGCAAACTGAAAATGTCCCATCTCCCTTGATTTAAGGTAGGGGATGGGATTCCAGGGTTTAGGAAGATTGGAATGTCAGAGTGGATTTGCCATTAAAGACCTGCTCACCTCCACTGGGAGGAGCCAGAAGACATACCTGTGGCAAATGCTTTAAAAAATAAACCGGTGATGACAGTCCTTGGAGTGTCCCTGAAGAGTGCTGGGACTGGTCTTCTCTGTAGATCAGAACTTACAGTGGGACCCCAGTCACACAATTTGAAGATCTCAAGGCAATGAGAGTAATTGGATCTCAGGATGGCAGAAGCCAAATGGCAACACTCAATCACCAAAGGCAAGGTGGGCGTGGCCACCGCAACAGGCAGTGCAGGCAAAGCCAGTAATCAGAGTAGCCTGACTCATGCACCCTATCAATTCGCACACACTATCAACTCGCACGCATTATCAACTCGTGCACACTATCAACTCGCGCACAATATCAAATTGTGCACACTATCAACTTGCACACTATCAACTCAATCAACTCGCGCACTAGCAACTCATGCACACACTATCAACTTGCACACTGTTAACTCGTGCACACACTATCAACCTGCAACTATCAACTCGTGCACACTATCAACTTGCACACAATACCAACTCGTGCACACTATCAACTTGCATACTATCAACTCAATCAACTCGTGCACTAGCAACTCATGCACACACTATCAACTCACATGCTATCAACTGACACACTATCAACTCACACACTGTCAACTCGTGCACACACTATCACGTGCACACTATCAACTCGTGCACACTATCAACTCACCCACTATCACCTGGCACAAACTATCAACTCATACACACTATCAACTCACGCACTATCAACTCGCGCACACTATCAACTCACACACACTATCAACTTGTACACACGATCAACTCTTACACACTATTGACTCACACACACTATCAACTCGTGCACACAATTGACTAGTGCATGCTATCAACTGGCACACTATCGACTCACACACACTATCAACTGTTACACATTCACCTCATGCACACTATCGACTCATGCACACTATCAACTGGCACACACTATCAACTCCCGCACACTATCTACTGGCGCACGCTATCAACTCGTGCACGCTATCAACTTGCACACTGTCAACTGGCACACTATTGACTCACGCACACTATTGACTCGTGCACACTAGCACACTATTGGCACTGGCTAGTTGTGGTGCTCCTAGAATTAAAATAGATAGGATGCCTACTAAATTCTGACTTGATTTGTATAGGCAGAAAAGTTTCAGGTCAAGTGAACAAAAGTCTAACTTTAATTATAAAGAGAATCATAGCCTCTCAGTCAATTCCCAGATTTCAGCCAGTTTCTGTAAACCCAGAACCTCTTGAATGAAAGGAAGGCAGGGTCCCCTCAAGGAAGGACCCTGGTATACACCCAAAATGTCACTGTGGTTTCCCCACTCAGAGTATGGGCTTACGGAAGTCAGGGCATCAGTGGAGTCTTAGATTAGGTCCATCTCATAGTGGGGCCAGTGGTTCTTTGAACTTACCCTGTGTTTATTTCCCCATTTCTAGATACATCACTGGACCAGGCAGCAGCTGGCAGAATCACCACATTGGTTCCCTGACCTGTGGAATGAGGGCTTTTTTTTTTTTTGAGATGCCCAGGCTGGAGTGCAGTAGCGTGATTTCGGCTCACTGCAACCTCCACCTCAAGAGTTCAAGTGATTCTCCTGCCTCAGCCTCCCAAATAGCTGGGATTACAGGCACCCCCCACCATGTCCAGCTAAGTTTTTTATTTTTAGTAGAGATGGGGTTTCACCATGTTGGCCAGGCTGATCTTAAACCTTGAACTCCTGACCTCAGGTGATCCACCTGCCTCAGCCTCCCAAAATGTTGGGATTACAGGCATGAGCCACTGAGCCTGGCCAGAATGAGGGCTTTTATGGTAATAAAGGCAAATGGAAGCCGTTAGAACTGTCCTTACCTAGGAAAATGGTAAACCAAAAGCAATACTACAGTCCTGGAGGAAAAGCAGAGATTATTGCCACCATCAATGACTTGAAAGATGCAAAGGTAGTGATTCCCACCATGTCCCCATTTAACTGCTCTAATTGGCCCGTGTAGAAGACAGATGGAGCTTCTAGAATAACAGTAGGATAACATAAGAACCAATGGTGGCTTCAATTGCAGCTGCTGTACCAGATGTGGTTTTATGGCTTGAGCAAATTAACATATCCCTGGTACATGGTATGCAGCTACTGATTTGGCAAATGCCCTTTCTTCCATCCCTGTCCATAAGGCCCACCAGTATCAGTTTGCTTTCAGCTGGCAAGGCCAGCAATGCACCTTTACTCTCCTACTTCAGGACATAT
The DNA here is from genome assembly GCF_000001405.40 of Homo sapiens. Taxonomy (NCBI): domain Eukaryota; kingdom Metazoa; phylum Chordata; class Mammalia; order Primates; family Hominidae; genus Homo; species Homo sapiens. The sequence goes on along the minus strand of NC_000006.12, from coordinate 150,331,508 downwards.
CAACTCTCCAGCCCTATTTTATCATTTAGTTCACAGGAATCCTGATTACCTTTCCCTTCAACAGGATATCACACTGGTCCATTACATGATGACATTATGCTGATTGAACCTAGTGAGTGAGAAGTAGCAACTACTCTAGACTTACTGGTAAGACATTTGCATGTCAGAGCGTAGGAAATAAATCTGACTAAAATCCGGGGGCCTTCTTTCTTAATGAAATTGCTAGGGGTGCAGTGGTGTGGGACATATCCCCTCTAAGGTGAAAGATAAGTTGTTGTATCTGGCCCCTCCTACAACCAAGAAAAAGGCACAATGCCTGGTAGGCAAATTTGGATTTGAGAGCCAACATATTCCACATTTGGGTGTGTTACTCCAACCCATTAACAAGTGACCCTAAAGGCTGCTGGTTTTGAGTGGGGTCCAGAACAGGAGAAGGCCCTGCAACAGGTCCAGGCTGCCATGCAACCTGCTCTGCCACTTGTGCCATATGATCCAGCAGATAAAATGATGCTTGAGGTGTCGATGGCACACAGGGATGCTGTTTGGAGTCTTTGGCAGGGCCCTGTAAATCAATCTTATGGAAGCCTTTAGGATTTTGGAGCAAGGCCCTGCCATCCATGGATAACTACCCTCGTTTTGAGAAACAGCTCTTGGCCTGCTACTGGGCCTTAGTAAAAACTGAACACTTGACCGTGAGCCACCAAGTTCCCATGCAATCTGGGCTCTCCATCATGAACTGGCTGACATTGGACCTAACAAGCCATAAAGTTAGGCATGCACAGCAGCACTCCATCATCAAATGGAAGGGGTATATACATACCAGGGCCTGAGCAGCCCCTACAGACACAAGTAAGTCCATCACAGGGAAGAGACTTGGACCTGGTTTACAGGTGGTTTTGCACAATACGCAGGCACCACTTGAAAGTGGGCAGTAATGGCAGCATGACAGCAGCCCCTTTCTGGAACATTGCTGAAGGACAATAGTGAGGGAAATCTTCCCCATGGGCAGAAGTCTGGACAGAGCATATGGTTGTGCACTTTGGTTGGAAGGAGAAATAGCCAGACACGTGATTATATACTGATTCATGGGCTGTAGCCAATGGTTTGGCTGGATGGTCAGGGAATTGGAAGGTACATGACTGGAAAATTGGTAACCAAGACATCTGGGAAAGAGGTGTGTAGATAGACCTCTCTTAATGGGCAAGAAAAAAAAAAATGTGAAGACACTTGTGCCTCATGTAGATGTTCACCAAAGCACCAAAGGGTGACCAAAGACTTAATAATCAGGTGGATAAGATAACACATTCTATGAATACAAGTCAGCCTCTTTCCCCAGCCACTCCATCATCACCCAATGGGCTCATGAACAAAGGGAACATGGTGGCAGGGATGGAGGTTATGCGTGGGCTCAGCAACATGGACTTCCACTCACCAGGGCTAACCTGGCTATGGTCACCTCTGAGTGCCCAATCTGCCAGCAATGGAGATCAGCATCAAGCTCCCAGTATGGCATCATTCCCTGGGGCTGATCAGCCAGCTGCCTGGTGGCATGTTTGTTACATTGGACCATTTTCATCATGGAAGGGCAGCATTTTGTTCTTACTGAAATTGACAGTTACTCTAGATATGGATTTTCCTTCCCTGCACATAATGCTTCTGCCACAGCTACCATCCATGAACTTTCAGAATGCTTTATCCACTGTCATGGTATTCCACACAACATTTCTTCTATTCAAGGAACTCACCACACATCGAAAGAGATAGAACAAAGGGCCCATGCTCCAAGAATTCACTTTCTGACCATGTTCCCCACCATCCTGAAGCAGCTGGCTTAATAGAACAGTGGAATGGCCTTTTATAGACTCAGTTACTGGTAGGCGTTTTGAACCTATTCTGGTTCAGGAGTATGACTGGATAAAAAATAACAACAATAATAATTTTTTTAAAAAAAAGACTCAGTTATAGCATCAGGTAGGAGGTAATACCTTGCACAGCCTGGACAAGGTTCTCCAGATGGCTGTATATGCATGGAACCAGCATCTAATATATGGTTCTATTTCTCCCACAGCCAGGATTCACAGGTCCAGGAATGAAGGGGTGGAAATGATAGTGGCACCACTGACTATTAACCCTAGTGACCCACTAGCAAAGATTTTTGCTTCTCGTTCCCAAGGATTTATGCTCGCTGCTTGCCTAGAGGTCTTAGTTCCAGAAGGAGAAATGTTTCCACCAGCAGACACAAGTTCATTGAACTGGAAATTAAGACTGCCATTCAGCCACTTTGGACTCCTCGTGCCTCTGGGTCAGCAGGCTAAGAGAGGAGTAATGATGCTGGCTGGGGTGATTGATCTGCACTGCCAAGAGGAAATCAGACTGCTACTTCAACATGGACATAAGAAAGAGTATGTCTAGAATGCAAAAGGTCCCTTAGTGTGTCTCTTAGTATTAAGGTCAACGGAAACTACAGCAACCCAATTCAGGCAGGGCTATAAATGGCCCAGATCCTTCACGAATGAATATTTGGGTCACTCCACCAGGTGAAGAATCATTACCAGGTGAAGTGTTTGCTGAAGGCTTAGGGAACACAAAATGGGCAGTAAAAGAAAGTAGTTATAAACACCAGCTATGACCACGTGACCAGTTACAGAAAGGACTGTCATTTTCATGAGTATTCCTCCTTATTTTGTTCCCAATATGTTTGTGTGTATATATATATACACCTATATGAAGTAAATATCTTTATTTTCTTTCCTCTTATTCCCTTATCATGTAACATAAGATGTATTGACTTTATATCAGTATTGAAGTATTGTTAATTTTACATCATATTATTGAAGTTACAGGATATCCAAAGAGTAAAGTTTATGCAAGAACTTTACCTCCTCTTCCAGGGAAGGGATTAGTGAGTTTCAGTTGCAAGCAGGATAGTTGTATCATTGTGGGATAAATTATGACCTTGTTATTGTCTTTATTTGGAGATTAATTATGTTTTAAGGGACATATGGGTGTCAGGTTGATAAGAGGTGGATTTGTAATGGTTAATTTTATTTGTCAACTTGATTGTGTTAAGGAATGTCCAGAAAACTGGTAAAGCCTTATTTCTGGGTGCGTCTGTGAGGATGTTTTCAAAGCAGATGAGCATTTGAATCAGTGGACTGAGTGAAGAAGATCTGCCCTCACCAATGTCGAATTCACTGAGGGCCTGAATAGAACAAAAAAGCCAGAGAAAGGCACATTTTCACTCTCTCCCCTTGAGCTGGGACATCAGTGTTCTCCCGCCTTCTTCCTAACTGAAGCCTTTGGACTCAGTCTGAATTACTCCATTGACCTTCCTGGGTCTCTAATTTGCAGATTATATGTCATGGCAATTCTTAGCCTCCACGATTGCATGAGCCAATTCTCATAATAAACCTCATCTTATTGTTTTCGTTTCTCTGGAAAACCCTGACAAATATATATATATTTCTGTTAAGAGTCTACAACTCTTGTTCTCCCCCTGAGTCTCCACCACTACCTAATAGAAGAAATTGTTAACATTCCAGTCCAGTTCAACGGCGATTTGATCCAATAACAAAGAATCTTGCTATTCAAAGTGAGGCCTGAGCCCAGTGGCACCAGCCTCAGCTGGGGGCTGGCCAGTCTCAGGCCCCACTGTAGACCTACTGAATCCAAATCTGCATTTTGTAAGATCTCCGGGTGGCCTTCATGCAACTGGAACTTTGAAAGGCACTGAGCCAGGGCCTCCAGGGCAGGGTTCAGTCTCTGATAAAAATGCTAGGTCTCTCAGGCAGTGTCCTCCTCCTCTGCCTCTCCCTTTGATCCTGGGCCTCTCTGGCCGGTGGGGCTTCAGGGCTGAAGACTATCACTTACTCAGTGCGGTAGACCTACCAGAGGCCTGGCAAAACTCCCACTTAGCCTAGTTTGTGGTCCTTTGGCACAGGCTTTATGCTGCCCAGAAATAGAGCTTTCCTCTGGCAGCGCCCTCAGCCTGAGTCCCAGCTACTTTTGGGCCCTGCACAAGCCACGTCAGGACCTCAGGCATCCTGGTAAAATGATTCCTGAGAGCCTGCATCTGACTACTGGGGTTCTGACTGACTTATCTGTGACATCCCTTTGCCTGGTGTGGCAGTGGCTTGGATATCAGCCACTCCAGGCCCCTAAATTAGTCAGAGGGCAAGATCAACTACTTTTAAGTAGCCCTTAACTTATCCAAAATATCTTCTCCATGGCCAAAACCCAGAGAGGGGAAGTCAAGAGGCACACAGCAGAAAGCTTCCTCCTTGCTTTCCTGCTGTCCGTTTCAAACCCTCTCTATTAGTCTACTCTCAAGCTGCTAATAAAGACATACATGAGACTGGATAATTTACAAAGAAAAGAAGTTGAATGGACTCACAGTTCTACATGGCTGGGGAGCCCTCACAATCATGGCAGAAGGTGAATGAAGAGCAAAGTCACATCTTGCATGGCAGCAAGCAAGAGAGAGAGAGAGCTTATGCAGGGATACTCCTCTTTATAAAACCATCAGATCTCATGAGACTTATTCACTATCACGAGAATAGCACAGGAAAGACCCACCCCCAGGATTCAATTACCTCCCACCGGGTCCCAAAGAAACGCAGCAGGCAGCACCCACACTCATGCTGACTCTGATTGTCATCGAATCCTCTTCTCTCCAATTCCTAGTGGAGCAAAAGAGAAATTTCCAAAAAGCTATAGTGAGGAAAACAGGCATAGAAAAATGGGTAAGCTTTGCACAGTGACAGTATCGGAGCCAATGAGGTTTATCCGAGGGGCGATTATTGCTAATTGAAAACTTTTCCCAATACCCAGCCGTGACGACTTGAAATACAGTCGGCACTGGCAATTTTTGACAGTCTCTATGGAGACTGAAGTTTGTTGGAATAAAAAAGAAAAATGGATAAAAGGTTTTTAAAACAGAAAGGGGAAAAAAACAGGCCTAAGAGAGGGGTCTCCCCCAGATCTCAGGTTCTGTGAATTTTTTCTCCAGTACTTTCTTTCTGCCATTTTTTTTTTATTTTTTAGAGACGGTCTCACTCTGTTGCCCAGGCTGGAGTACAGTGGTGCACTCATAGCTCACTGTAGCTTTGAACTCTTGAGCTCAAGTGGTCCTCCTGACTCAGCCTCCTGAATAGCTGGGACTACAGGCATGCGCCACCACGCCCGCCTAATTTTTAATTTTTTTTTTTTTTTTTTTTGGTAGAACGTGGTCTCATTAAGTTGTCCAGTCTGATCTCAAGCTCCCGGCCTCAAGCGATCCTCCCGCCTCGGCTTCCCAAAGTGCTGGGATTACAGGTGTGAGTCACCACAACAGGCCCCTAGTCACATTTTAAATTGGGAGCAAGTAATTATATGGCCAATGGCTTTAACTGCCATTAAACAATGGCCATTCTTGGTTCCTGCCCCAAATAGTGAGGCAGGGTCTGCTCAACACTGAAGTCCTGTTGTTGTTGTTTTTTCCCAAACCTGCTCTTTCTGTGGTTTTCACCATCCCAGAAAAATAGTTTCTCCCTCTCTCTTTCAGCTTTCTTAAAATCACATCTGCTAACCCACTTCTCACCACCTCCCCTGCACCATCCTTGGTCCAAGCCAGCATCCTCAGGCACTAGCCTCCGAACTCTTCTCTGTTCTTCTGTTATTGCCCCTCCTGTTCTATTCTCAGGACACCAGCCAGTGCGATTCTTTTAAACATAATTTAGATGACAACACTCTCAAAACAGTTGGCTGGCTTTCCGTCTTACCCATCGTAAAAGCCAAAATCCTACAAGTTCCTGCATTATTTCATCTCCAGTTCACCTTTGGAACTTCATCCTCTCCTCATGTGTCCTCACTTCTTCTGCTCCAGACACCTGGGCCTTCTTGGCTTTTTCCTGAAAAGGCTGGGCCCCCTCCTACCTCAGGGCCTTTGCACTTGCTGTCTCCTGTGACTGTAGGTTGACATCTCTCTGCCCCTATATCTGCAGGCTCACTCCCTTCCCTTCTTCTTCAAGTCCCTGCCCGATGGCACCTGTTCACTATTTAAAACTGCAACCTGAAACCCTTCCAGATGTTTTACCTCTTTCCCAGCTTCCATTTTGCTTGTAACACTCATTGCCATTTGACAGTGAATATTTATTGTCGGTCTCTCTCTCCAGGATAGAAACTCTCTGAGAGCAGGAAATGCTTTTCCACTTTGTTGGCCTTTTTTGTTCCCGGCACCTGGAAGGGCTCCAGGTCACTTGGAACCTGAGGGAGCAAATGGGGAAAGGTAACTACATGTTTGAGATTAGAAGGAGTCACAGAACACCAGCACCCACATGGCTCTTTGCCCTGCCTTCCTGCTGAGCTGCCAGTGTGCCCTCCCACCCAGATGCCTCCAGCCTGCAGCAGGCAGCAGGGAGGAAAGAGAAATGGGGGCTGTGGCTTTGTGTTCCTCTGGACTCTTCAAATGTGCAAAGAAATAACTTAGCAAAGAGGATGCCAGGGAACAGAGGCTGGGCAGGTCAGGGTGTTTCCATTTTTGCAACCTCAGAGAGAAGCTGATGAATGAAATGGAGTGAATTCTCCTGGGAATACCTGAGGTTGGCCATCACCCAGCTGTCCTCCCAGCACAGGAAACAGGCCCTCAGCAGCCATGTGGCCCCAAGGGAAGCTAGGCCCACAGTCGGGGGTTAGGGGGTCTGACGGCTCTGGGGAGGCCTCCTGGCCTGCCCACACCTCTTTTTTCCCCCCAAGCTCCCTTCTCATTCTGCTCCACTCCCCCACCAGCTGCTGGGCCTGTCCTCAGTCTGCTTCTGGCCTGTTTTTTAGTTTTCTCAGTTATATGGTATAGATCGCTTTACTATAGGAACCTGACTCACATACTGCTAAGAACACCAGGAGTAGCTTTGTTCAGGCTTTACATTCAGAGGGCCCCAAGATGCAGAGAAGATCCATCTACTCTTTTTTATTTCAATAATTTTGGGGGTACAGGTGGTTTTTGGTTGCGTGGACAAGTTCTTTAGTGGTGACTTCTGCGGTGTCAGTGCACCCGTCCCCTGAGTAGTATACACTGTGCCGCCCAATATGTAGTCTTTTCTCTTTCACTTCCCTCCCACCCTTCCTCCCAAGTATAGTGGACTTTGGGGATCCATCCACTCTGGCTGTCACTCACTCATTCACTCAAGGTTGACTGTCGTGGTGAGTGCATTCCTCTTGGGTCACACAGTGCAGTTCTGCATCTGCAGAAGCTGCTGCCAGGAGACCACAGGGGAGCAGCTGGGCTTTGGAGATGATCCAGCTGAGTGATCTTACCCAAGATGGGAGATGCCAATAACCAGGCAGACACCGAACTCCTGGGAGGGAAAGGCTCATTTGGCTGTGGAGAGGCTTTGGTCACAGATGCCTGGGGGGGTCGTCTGCCCCATTGCGCTGTGATTGCTGCTCTTTTTAGGCTTCGAGGCGATCAAAGAAGCATTACATATGGTCTTAGCATTTCTTTGACTTTTATTTTTTTTTTGATATGGAGTCTCACTCTGTTGCCCAGGCTGAAGTGCAGTGGTGCTATCTGGGCTCACTGCAACCTCTGACTCCCAGGTTCAAACAGTTCTCCTGCCTCAGCCTCCCGAATAGCTGGAACTACAGGCGTGCGCCACCACACCCAGCTAATTTTTGTATTTTTAATAGAGACGGGGTTTCGCCATGTTGGCCAGGATGATCTCGAACTCTTGACCTCCGGTGATCCACCTGCCTTGGCCTCCCAAAATGCTGGAATTACAAATGTGATCCACCACGCCCTGCCATGGTCTTAGCATTTCTTTGTCTCTACTTTATGTTTTGTTCACATTTGAGGTCAGTCAATAAGTTGTATAATAACTAGTGTAGCTGACATTTCCAAAGAGATTTACAGTGCCAGATCCTAGGCTTTGTGCTGCACATGTGTAGTCCAAATCACTTGTGAGGCAGGCACTTGAATTGCCCCCATTTAGCAGGTGAAGAAACTGATTGTCAGAACAGTCAAGAAACAGGGCGGGGGGCACGTGGGGCAGATGCAGCCCCTGAAGTCCCTGCCTTGCCACCTCCGCACTCTCGTTTCTTCCTGGGCACCCGGTGTCTTCTAATCCTCCTGAAACACTCCAAGGAAGATAAACATACACTCCAGCCCTAAGCAGCCCCTGGGTCTATCTGCATTGCGCAATGACCTGAAATAGAGAAAGCGAGGCATTTCCAGCCCCAGAGTGCATCTGCTTCCAGCAATGAGATTTTTATCTTCAGTAGAATCACCGGGTGAGGAGAGAGCAATAGAAATGTCTGGAAGGAACATAAGCTCTTTATCAATAGTTTTCTTTCAGAATAAAGGGAGAACAAATGGCTTCTATTTTTCGAATTTTTAAATTCCAATGAAGAAAACAAGAGAAAAATCAGCAAAGTATGAAGTATACTTTAATAAACCTAAGGATAACCCTGGCCACCTCCCTCGTCAGGCGTCACTCAGTCACGGGGAGAGGATGGTGAACATGGAGACTGCAAATGGGGGCCTCTGCCAGGGTCTCCTCTGACTGCAGTTGGCTGTGCCCGGGCCATGCCAAGGGCCTGCCCGAATTTCCTGTCCTTGTGATTACATCTGGATTTTAGTCAAGGACACAGCAGGTGCAAGAGAAAAACCCAATACAGGGTGACTAAGGAGATTCGGGAGAGGAATCGCTCATTGCCCCTTGGTGACACCAGCTGCTGCTGCTTGCAGGGTGAGGAGAGGGGAAAGTCGGGCCTCCTGGGACAGTTTGTTCCACAGCTTGGTAGTAGGAGAGTCTTAATTGCCAGCTTTGATTTTAACTCAAAGAACAATTCAAGGAAGCTGACTCTCAGAGCTCACAACTGTCCCTTTTCCTTTCCCAGCTGGCTTTGCTGGGATGAAAATCTATGAGTCTTGGTTGCACAACACACATAACTGACAGCAGGACGGCAGCCTTCACGGGTTCCTGGGCTTGCCTGTCCACTTCTCTGCCCTCCCTGAGGGACCTGGAAGTTCCGAAATGGCCTGAACCTCCATGCCCTTCATCTTCTTATCCCCAGGGTCTAAGCCCAGCCCAGAGGTGTCCCAATGAGTGGGTGTTTAATGAAATAATGGATTAACACTGAAGTCCAGATTGTAACACAAGGAAACGTGGAACACATGAAGAGAGGCTGTCCCTGTCTGCCAGCTTCAGAGAGAGATGGAGCTGGAGAAAGATCTGTGGATGGCCCCGAACGGAGGGAACCTTGGGGAGAAATGGAAAGGCAAGTGTCTTCTACCTCTCAGTCTTGTCCAGGGCAGGTCCTACAAAGGAGGGTGTCCACCCACAGGGCATGATGTGATCAAGGAGCCTTCACAGAATAGCCTGTGTTTCCAATGGCCTGTGTCACCTCAGCAGACTCCCTTGGTTCAAAGTATAAAAAGAAAGTTCCCCCGTTCCGACAACATTGCCACCGGGGGTCCAGAGCTAGCTTCAGGAGCTTATTTGGGCTTCACAGGAAAAAGAGAGTTTCTGGGCAGCTACATTTGAAGAAAAATTAACCTCCATACTTAAAAATGATAGGAATGAATCCTAAGGGCTTGCGATGGAGAGAAAAAGTTTTGAAAGGACCTAATAAATCCAGGATATCTCATGTTGATGGCCAGGTGGCATGAAATCTTCAGCGTCCTTGCTTAACCAAGGGGCATTCTGAAGCCATGCATTCAGGACAAATCTTAAACATGGTCAGTCATGAAGTCCCCCTGCATGGGAGGGGCTGAGAAAGCTGAGGCAAATATAGGCAGCACAAGCTATTGGGTGAGCATACACTTTTATCATCAGGGCAACATTGTATTATTTGGGACATGTAGTATATAGAGAGAGATGGGTTTGAATCCTTCTTAAGGATACAAAACAGAACACAGAAAAAGAAAGACAACTATCTTAACATTTACCCAAAAAGTGATTTTTCTTTTGGCAACTCCCTGTGAGCCATAATGATTTCAAGATAAAAAGTTCAAAATTAAAAAAAAAAAAAACATTCTGTCTCAGTATGGAGAATGGATGGGAGGGCTTTTGCAACAGTCGAGGCAAGAAATGGCTTGTAACAGAAGTTTTACAGTGGGAGATGGATTTAAAATGCATTTCAACAATAGAACAGGACCTCCTGACAGATTAGATGTTGATGAGGAGGGGGAGGAGGAGGAATCAAGGCTAACTCAGAAGGTGATAGTTTATCAATGGTGGTGATATATCTTTTTTTTCCCTGAAAAAAAAATCCTTGGGAAAAAAGTTCCAATTGGCTGTCACTTCAAAATAACAAACCTGAATAAATATCTTGGAAAAAATGTATCATTAGTAACACTTGAAACCAAAAAAAAAAAAAAGAAAAGAAAAGAAAAAGTAGTTTCAGTCCAGGAATTGAACTGAAGTTAGAAAAATCTGCGTTCTTTTTGTTTTTTGTTTTTGTTTTTTAGCATCAAAATGTGAGATGAGAAGATCTGGGTTCTAATCAAGGTTTTACTACAAATCGTGTGACCCCTTTAGACTCACTTAATTCCCATAGCGCCTCAGTTTCCTCATCTGCAAAAAATGAACTAAATTGAAGAGCTCTGAAATTTTGTAAAACATGTGCTGTTAATTCTGAAGTTGGTTGGCTCCTTTTTACATCCTTACTGACTTTAGTCACGGTAAGTAGCACAATGGCTTGCATTTTCTCCAGATACTAATTCTCAGAACATAAGTTGTTTTTAATTTTGTATCTATGCCATCTTTGCACTCCAGGAAGAGCCCCCCCGTGTGGTTCCCAGTCCTAGAAAATCAGCACCTTTGCAAGGTATCCCAACGAGTGCACGGGCAGTGATAAAATACACCGCGGCTCCAGAGTGCATTTTATCTTGCGTAGGCCTTCCAAGCTCCACATGCTCCGTGCCAGGATTAGCTGAGAGGACACGGGGAAGCCACTGCTGACCAGGCTGAAACTATATCTGGGCTTGGGCTCAGTTGAAGGATACAGTGAGTTCCTTTTAGTGTGTGGCCTGGCCCACTGCCTGGACACACAGCTACATTCAGCCTCGTCTGCTGCTGTAACTAAACCATGTACCTCACTTCCTCAACTATAGGCAGGGTCATTTAGATTGAAGGCTGTATTTTGAGTCTGATTTGATTGACACACTAAATTTATTAAACAGTAGATTTTGTCTATCCATGTCACTATCTCTTATGAAGTGCAAGGAAGGCTCTGTTTTAAGAAGGCATGGCCTCCAGAAAGACACTAGCAAGGACCTCACATGCATAGAAAGGTCTTGAAGAAATCGAAACTCCATCCAAGTTCAAAATAGGCCCACCCCTTCTCCCCCTTTACTCAACAGACATTTGGTGATGTCCTTGCTGGACCTACTGTGTGACGAGCATGTGCCAGGTGGACAGGGAGCAGTGGCCACTTGCAGGGGTCTTGCTAATGCCACTTGTCCTAGAGAGAGACACCCAGAAACTCAGTCCTGGGAACCCTTTCCTCAATGAGCACAGCAAATCACTTTTCAGGTCATATGGAATCAGCTTTTGCAGGCGGTGGTCTCTGGATGACAATAACAGTCAAAGCACAACCAATCTGTCGAAGAGATGTTGCTCTTGCTTCTAGTGAGTAGTGTGAAAGGAAAATAAATCTCAGGACCCCAAAATCACTAAGCCCAAGGGAAAAGTCAAGCTGGAAACTGCATCAGGCAAACCTCCCTCCCATTTTATTCCTAAATAAGATAGCTACAAAGATTTTTTTTTTAAAGCTACCTACATCCCTCACCACTTGCCCACCAGGAAATTCCTTATGGGCCCCAAGATCTTTATCCTAAAACAATTCTGTTGAATTTCACCCTAACAATGTAAATTGATAGATTATCTTCACAGGTGCGGGACAAAGGACAGAACTCAAAGCCCTCCCTCTGCTCACCTGAGACAAATGCATATCTGATTGCTTTCTCTGATGCAAGCATACAGATTCAAGGAACTAGATGAAGGCATAAGTGACTTTTCCTCTAACCCCCTCTCACCTGTAAACTGTGTATTTGGTGAAAAGATGATCAAGGACTCAAAAGAATGCAATCATTTGTCTCTTATCTACCCATACCTTTAAAAAATGCCTTCCTCTTTCCCCAATGTCCACCCTTTCCCCTTTAAATATTGAAGCCTTCAGAATCATCTTTGAAGAAGGCACAGACCTGCCTCCCGGGCGCATGCTCTTAACCTTGGCAAGGTAGACTTTCTAAATTGATTGAGACCTGTCTCAGATACCTTTTGGTTCGTAGTAGAAAATCAGAATATTTGAAAAGAACTAGACCTGAATTTTTATAGTCCAAACAGTCCTACAGAAAAGTTCCTACTCATTTGCCTCCAGTGTTTTGTTTGTTTGTTTGTTTGTTTGTTTGTTTGTTTGCGATGGAGTCTCACTCTGTTGCCCAGTCTGGAGTGCAATGGCACGATCTCGGCTCACTGCAACCTCTGCTTCCTGGGTTCAAGCGATTCTCATGCCTCAGCCTCTGGAGTAGCTGGGACTACAGGCATGTACCACCATGCCCAGCTAATTTTTGTATTTTTAGTAGAGATGGCATTTTGCCATGTTAGCCAGGCCGGTCTCGAACTCCTGACCTCAAGTGCCTCCAGTGTTTTTAAGCTATTTTCCATATTAAATGCTTGCTTTGTGTCAGGCACTGTCTGAAAATTCTCATGTTGGAGCAATTCAGCCTGCATGACAATCCTATGAAACAGGCAATATTATCGTCCCCAGGAGAAAACCGAGGCACAGAGAACTGAAGTAACCTACCCACAGCTAGGAGGTCATCGAATGGGCACCTCCTGCAGTGTCTATGTGTGTAACCATTAGAAAGTCCTGCCACTAGGCCACAGAGCCCTGTGAGCTGTGGAGGTGAGCCCAACAATTGGCTCCCCAACTGCTGATTCTAGCTTGTGTGCTTTCCTAAGCCTAGAGGTAGATGGAAAGAAAAGTAGAGGGCCAGCTCAGTTGCGCTCTGGAGCTGAGATGCAGAAATAGTATTCCACTGGGGAGGCCACCAGGTGTGTCACATTCTTCGCTACATGCTCAGTTTTGTCAGGGATCTGTAGTCAGCAAACTACCAAGAGCACCAACCACACTTGCCTCCAGTCCCTCATGTCTAGCCCTAAGGCAGAGTCCAGACTGCCACACCGAGGTGCCAGCTGACTCCAGAGCGGCCCCTGCCCTGAGAGCTCAGAAGTATCAACACACGGCTGGGCACGGTGGCTCACACCTGTATTCCCAGCACTTTGGAAGGCCGAGGCAGGTGGATCACACGGTCAAGAGATCGAGATCTTCCTGGCCGACCTGGTGAAACCCTGTCTCTACTAAAAATACAAAAATTAGCTGGGCATGGTGGCACGCGCCTGTAATCCCAGCTACTCTGGAAGCTGAGGCAGGAGAATCGCTTGAACCCGGAAGGCAGAGGCTGCAGTGAGCCGAGATTGCACCACCACACTCCAGCCTGGCAACAGAGTGAGACACCATCTCAAAAAAAAAAAAAAAGTATCAACACTCAGATGGTCACTGCCAGACCCTGCTGTTTTCTGCTCATTGCATCATCTCCCACCAGAGGTGACAGGGAAGATGTTTGCTGGGAAGATTTGTAAACTCCTGCATTCTGTAGCGAGAAGACTTGAATTCAGTAGCCAGAGACTTCGGGAGGGTCCCCAAAAGGGAGACACCATCGAGCACCAGGTGGTAGTACTCTGGAGCGCCAGGTGGTAGTACCACATGGAAGCAGCGGCAGCTGACACACAAGCCACTTTTTTCCAGCCCAAAAAAGTGAAGTTTCTAGGGATCAAGTTTCCCAACTGCAGCAACAGTCTACGGAACATGAGGTCACTGAGGAGGGGCCTGTCATGGTGAAGACCCCCCACCCCCTGGGGCAACTGTTCTCCCCTCCCTCTGCCAGGCAGTGATGGACCATTCAACAATGAATGATGCCTGAATGTCCCCTGACATAAGCCAACTCTGCTCCACACCCCTATCAAGGGAGGTGGCCCACATCAGGAAATATAAAAGTAATCATGGGTCAAGTCAGAAGAGTTTTTAAAAATCAAACATCTGTGACATTCAAATCTTTAATTGACCTAAGCTATGGGGTCATTTCTTTCTTAGTGGTTTTATTCCAAAAGCAACTTGAACAGCCAGTGGTTTGGTTTCCCAGAACTAGTGTGGGCAGCCTGAGTCAGTTTCACTGGTGTTCGTGAGCCTGAGCCCAGGGACTCTGAAGGGCCCCAAGTGCCCGCTCAGAGGGAGCCCCCACCAGCTGCCTCATGCCTGCCACATGTCCCGGGTAAATCCCAGGACACCTTGTGGGGAAAATGGCCAACAGTAGGCCTCAGCAACATGTCACAAATTTGTCCAGATCACCTGTGAGGGTGGAGAGGGCAGATCCCAATGGAGTCAGGGAGATCTTCTGGGATTTGCTTCTGAATCCAGACCTGAAAGGCAGGCGTGGTCCGTCTGAATTGCCAAGGTGCTGAGACACTGGGCATGGATGGGTGGTTACTTCAAAATAGTGAGAGCTCTCTGGGCACCCCCTTTCTTCTGCATTTTGTTCCCTGACTGGATACGCTAAAGGCTAACACTCCCCCAGTCAGCGCCCTGATTTTTAAAGCAAAAAAGGAGAAAAAGAGACAAGTCTCAGGAGCAACTTCCCGCAATTCTCTTATGAAATCATCTGAGTTTCTATTTATAACCAGGCCATTGTTCAAATGCCAGCTACCTAAAATTGCAAACATATACACATATTCTCCCTCACCGTCATCAACATTTGACTCTTCTTCTGGGCATTAGCATCACCTAATATACCTTATTATTTATGCAATAAACAATAAGAATTAGAAATGTTGCCAGCACATCACAGGGGCTCAATAATCCTTGTTGAATGATGAATAAATGAATTAATAGATCAACAAAGATCAGGTCACCTGCAAATCCATTCAGAACGCACCTTGGGCTGGGCATTGAGGAGTCCCTTTTCTCCTTGGCTCCCTCCTCACTTTTCTCTTCCAGGACCCCTCAGCCTTGCTGGTTTTAGCCCCTGGCCCCCCAGGGTTCCTGCACAGCTCTTAGTTACTTGGTTTCAACCTGAGAAGCTAAGGTGGCTGTCTGGCCTGAGCTCTGCAGGTGGAAGCCTGAGCTCTTTACAGTGAAATATCCATCAAGTCTCAGTGTAACTTTAATGCATTATTCATCCCACAGAGTCTTTTTTTTTTTTTTTAAGACGGAGTCTCGCTCTGTCACCCAGGCTTGGAGTGCAGTGGCACGATCTCGGCTCCTGACCTCAAGTGATCTGCCCACCTCAGCCTCCCAAAATGCTGGGATTACAGGCATGAGCCACCATGCCCAGCCCTGTCCCACAGAGTCTTGATATCTTCTCCTAAAACAAACAAAAAAATCACAGTAAATGGGAATATTTTGGTGTAGAGGTGAGATGACAGACTGCCCCACCAGGAGTCAGGATTCAGACTCACTCTGCATTCAAGGAACAAGGACTTCATCTTTTTTTCTTCCAGTAATGTGATCACAGCACACTACAGCCTCCATCTCCTGGGCTCAAACAATCCTCCCACCTCAGTCTCCCAAGTAGCTGGGACCTATAGGCGCACACCACCATGCCCAGATTATTTGTTTGTTTGTGTTTCAGTAGAGATGGGGTCTTGCTATGTTGCCCAGGCTGGTCTCAAACTCTTGAGCTCAAGTGATCCTCCCACCTTGGCCTTCTAAAGTGCTAGGATTACAGGCAAAAGCCACTGCGCCCGGCCTCAGAACTTTACCTTAAGGATATGTGTGGGAGTGAGGAAAACAGGACCCTTGTCTGGACCTCATGGAAATCGGGAAAAGCTGGACCATCAGGCTCCTGGGCCCAGGGATGGGCAGCAGCCACTGGGCTTTGGCCTCACGTAGTGCAGAACCCACAGGGTGCAGGAGGTGGCAGGAGTTTCTGATTCGAGGCCACTCTAGTGACCAGATGGCCAGAGCGTAGGAATCCCTCTTATGGAGCCAGCCCTTCATGTCCTCCCCTTGTGCCCCTGGCGCCAGCAAAGAGTCCCTCCCTTGCCCACCTAGTGTGTCTCTCTCAGCCTCACCACTTGCTTCAGCCCCCTCCTGGACCTCCTGTGCAATCTGCAGGTCTTTTCAGGCAATCCAGCATTAGTGATGACCCCATTTCTCCAACGCAGATTCCAGAGGGAGAGGTTCTGGTTTTAATCACTTTGCCCCACTTCAATGAGGCTTCAGTTCCCAGCCATATCTCAAGTCGGCGGCACAGACTGGATGCCCCAGAGGCAGGCATCCTCCTCACGTCGTCATCTCAGGGATGAGGGGGGATTGAGGGTGCAGTGGGGTTTCTTGGAGGGCCCTGCAGCTGTTTCCTTGGAAGGAAGCTGAAGGTGACCACATGATGAGGCCAGGCCTGTCTGGTGCAGAGGAAGTGTCCAGGTGGTCACTTGGAAAGGCACTGCTGACCAGAGGGACCAGCAGCATGTCCTAAGGACAGGCCACCTATCTGAGTTCCTTTTGGGCTTGATCTCCATGACATGGAAATGCACCCAGGTTTCTTGGAGGAGGTAGACAAGAAACTAAGAAGCATGTCTTCCCTTTACCACTCTTTAGACATTCTCTATAGGAATGTGAAATGTGAAATACTCATAAGTATCAATAAGCAGGCTTTTTGTTCTGATTCTGAAGATACCAACTTAAACAAAATAGCAAAAGTCTGAAGGTCAGTGTGCAAAAGAGATGTGGCCCAGGAATTCCAATAGCTGCATCTCCATCCCTCTCCCAGCAAATGCTACAGCAGGCCAGACCAAGACTGCTGCAGCTAAGAGGAAACCTGAACCCTCTCCAGGGACGCAAACACTTCCACCTCCTCTTCCTGCCAGCATCAGAGACAACGGGGCTGATCTGACTTGAAGCCACTTCAAACTCTAAAAATGGCTGTTTCAAAATATAATATCATGGAAATCATCCAGGCTGGGCTTCATACCTGTCACTTGCAAAAAGAAAACCAGGTCATTCTCCTTTCCTCCTCCTTCCCTCTTCCTCCTCCCTTTCTCCTCCTCCTCCTCCCTCTCCTCCTCCTGTTCTCCCTCCTTTTCCCTGTTCCTCCTTCTCCTGTTCCTCCTCCTCCTCCTCCTCCACCTCCCCCTCCTCCTTTTCCTCTTCCTCCTCCTCCCCCTCCTCGTCTTCCTCCTCCCCCTCCTCTCCCTCCCCTCTCCCCTTCTGCAGGTGCTCTAAAATATGAGGCAAAATCCCCAACTAGCACGGGGCACTAAGGGCATTACCCACTCCATTAATGGATCAAGCACCCAGGGACAGCCAGGGATTTAAAACTCTCTGTGTGTGTTCTCTTCCTGAGCCAGTAAGTCCCCATTTGTCAGCAGTTTGCTGAGGTTGAGTCTTGTCATTAGCATTCATGTCCATTTGAAACATTTTAAGATGTTATATTTAACAAAAGCAACTTGTCCTTCATCACGAAAGAAGAAGAGAGCTGGCTTTTCTCCAGCCATTTCTTAAAAAAAATTAAATGGGTAAATATCTTCTCAAGACTTCCCAGAAATGAGCTCTTAAGTCCCTGCTGTTAAACAAAATTGCTATCCCCGGCAAAGAGAGATGCAGAAGCAGCCAGTTGACTGGGGGGAGATTCTCCTGCCATTCACTGGCACTTACCATGTGCCTGCCACTAGCTAGGGGTGCAGAGGGCATCACACATGGCTGCTGGTCTCAAGGGGCATCACAATATCATGGATAACAGCCAGCTCTTACCAAGCGCCTACCTGTGCTGGTGCCTTATAGACATTGCCCCTGAGCCTGAGAACAATCTTTGAAAGCAGATGATACACAATTTAATTGAGGAACAGGCCAAACACATAAATAATGAACAACAATATAAAGAATTATATCTAAAGTTCCAAACACATGGCAAAGAAAACAATGTTACTAGAGTTGCACAGAAGGAGAGGTCAACTAGGGAGGCCCTGCCAGGTTTCCAGAAAGTATCATTGCAGGAGAGGAAGGGAAAGACCATCCAGGCAGGGAAGGGCAGCCCAGGCCAGGATTCAGAGGCAAGATTTGTGCACAGGACCTGGAGGAAGAATTTAGGGGAGTGGAGGAGGGAGGCAATGTTGGGGAGATGTCTCTGGTGGCTGGGGGCAGGGAGGGAGCCCTTTCACTGGGTGGATGAGCGTCTCCCACATTTCTACTCCCTTGCCTCTGTGCTAAAGGGCTCCCCAAATACACTGAAGTCAACTCAGAACCCCCTGGGCCACCTTTCCCAGGCTGAGCTTCTCCCTCTTCCCAGGAAGCCTCCTGCAGCTGCTTTAACTCAGGGCATCGCTCTCCCTCTGACTGCCTACAGCATTTACAGCGTGGGGAGCCCAAATTACCGTGTGTCCTTTTTATAGCCATGCATCACTCTCTCATCTTTCATGATGCGTGTGTTCAGTGTCTCCAACAAGACGGCATCTCCTAGGGGTTGGGAGTGGTGCTTCACACTTTCCACCCTCTGCTCCCACCTCTGGCTTTGCACGGGGCTCAACCTTTGGTCCTCTGATCCTCTCCACATGGAGTAGTCCAGTTACTGGTTGAAGGTGTCCAGGTTCTTGGTGTTTTGAGCAAATAATTCAACAAAATGCACAAATAAAGCAAGGAAATAATGAAGCAACAAAAGCAGAGATGTATTGAAAACGAAAGCACACTCCACAGGGTGGGAGTGGGCCCGAGCAAGGGGTTCAAGGGCCCTGGTTACAGAATTTTCTGGGGTCTCAATACCCTCTAGAGGTTGCCCATTGGTTACTTGGTGTATGCCATATGTAAATAAAGAGGATAAAGTCAAGTTACAAAGTCATTTACTCGGTATGCATCCTATGTAAACAGAGAAGATGTTACTGCCTGTGTAAATGGGTAGGATGAAGTGACGTTACAAAGCCAGTCACACTCCTGTCATTGCTGAAGTGTTTCCATTTGATTTAGTTCCAGGAATTCCTTAGGTTCCCCGCCTCCAGGCCCTATTCTCCTGCCTCAGCCCCTTCGTGTGCTTTTTTTTTTTTTTTAAATGAATCTACCACTGATTTGCAGATAACTCCTATGCCTTCACTCTGATCTCAGTCCTTCTCTGTCACTCAGGTTCTACTCCCGAATCTCCCATTTTCCATGAGACAATTCCATGGCCATGTATTGTCATCACCTCAAATGTAATATGTATGAAATAGAATAATCTATATTCACTGCAAACCAGCTTCTATAATTAACGTCCTTGTCTTTGTCAAATATTTCACAAATCATTTCCATTATATACTCCTTTGACAGAAATACAAATTATAAATGAAATGTTTATTTAATTGAATTCCTGTATACTGCATCTGACTCCCAGTGGTCAATCTCCACCAAGCGCGGTAAGAGTTCCAATAGTGTCACTGTGTGACATCTCTCCTGCTCAGCCATCACTCACCCGACAGTCTCCATGGCCTGGAATGCACTGAGAGTCCAGAAATCAGCGCCAAGCATTCAGGACATCTTTACTCTTATTAAGTAAAATGAGTAGCCAAAGTGATCCCAAAAAGTTAATACCCAACATTTATAACTTTGCATCAGGAGAGCCTTCTTAAGGTCTCACTCAGCACCTATTTATTCTTACTTTACATTCAGTCCTAATGAAACTGGCTATTGGCTTACAACTCTATGGTAGAAGCACAAAAGTATAAGAGAGACAGGAACCACAGAGGTTAGCAGCAGAAGCAAGACCACACTCTGGGAGGGAGGAGATGATTTGAAAGCTGTGAGAGACGCTTAAAAGAATGGTGTTCCAAGACCATCTCTGATGAAGGCAGAAAGCTGTAGCTTATCTTGAGAGGTGACGCCAGCTGGGCTTCTGGGTGGGGTGGGGACTTGGAGAACTTTTCTGTCTAGCTAAAGGATTGTAAACACACCAATCAGCACTCTGTAAAAACACACCAATCAGCGCTCTGTGTCTAGCTAAAGGTTTGTAAACACACCAATCAGCACTCTGTAAAATGGACCAATCAGCGCTCTGTAAAATGGACCAATCAGCAGAACATGGGCGGGGCCAAAAAGGGGAATAAAAGCTGGCCACCCGCGCCAGAAGCGGCAACCCACTGGGGTCCCCTTCCACAGTGTGGAAGTTTTGTTCTTTTGCTCTTCATAATAAATGTTGCTACTGCTCACTCTTTGGGTCCACACTACCTTTATGAGCTGTAACACTCTGCGAAGGTCTGTGGCTTCACACCTGAAGTCAGCGAGACCACGAACTCACTGGGAGGAACAAACAACTCCAGATGCGCCACTTTTAAGAGCTATAACACTCACTGCGAAGATCTGCAGCTTCACTCCTAAAGTCAGCAAGACCACCAACCCACCGGAAGGAAGAAACTCCAGACATATCTGAACATCTGAAGGAACAAACTCCAGACACACCATCTTTAAGAACTGTAACACTCACCGCGAGTGTCCGTGGCTTCATTCTTGAAGTCAGTGAGACCAAGAACCCACCAGAAGGAACCAATTCTGGACGCAATCTGATAGCAGCCTGATCTTAGATTACAGCATAGCAATTATATAGAATAATAGCAAGTATTTGCCTAATGCTTTATATTTTGCAAAATGTTTAAAAAATTATTTTGTCTGCTTCCCTTAGGCATCTTTTGAAAGAAATAAGGCAAGTATATTCTGATTCTTCACAAAAGGAGACAGAGAGAGAGATGGAGTGACTCACCCAAGGCCAAGGAGGAAGTTAGCAGAGCTGCTGGGAGCTCAATCTCTCTGTCTTACACCCTCGACATTGGGGTAAGATATGGGGAGAGGAGGCTGGTTAATTTTTCCTTGTGGTTCTCTCTGTCCTCTCCCTTCCACTCTGGACAGCTCTGGAGGCCCTGCCCTTCTCCACAGCCCATGCTTGCCTCACCTGGACTTCTGTGAACCTCCCCCCTGGTTGCTTCTCTTGACCCCAGTGGACACCCCATCCACCAAACCCCCACTGCCAAATCAATGTTCCCCAAATGCCACCTTTTCTCAAAAGCCTACAGTGGCCTCCTTTCTCCTGAAGCTGAGTTCCTGAGCACCTGGCTGCTGAGACCCTCCAGGATCTACCCCCACCCACCCCCACACCCCCACTCACAGCCCCCACCAGCTTTGTGTCCCTCTGCTCTACCCACCGTGCCCCGGGTGGGTGGGACTCATTGCCTCTGGCTCCCCTTACTCACAGTCTCTGGGCCTTTTTGTAAATGTATCATCTACATCAGCAGGCCCCAACCTTTTCGGCACCTGGGACGGGTTTCATGGAAGACAATTTTTCCACGGACTGGGAGTCGGGGGGCAGTGGGGGAAGGTGGAGGTGGGATAGGAAGGTGGTGGGTGGGGGCGGGTGGAGGTGGGGTTGGGATGAAACTGATTAGATTCTCATAAGGCGCTCAGAACCTAGACCCTCGCACTCGCAGTTCACAATACGGTTCGTGCTCCTATGAGAATCTACTGCCACAGCTGATCTGACAGAAGGCGGAGCTCAGGTGATCCTGCTCGCTGGCCCCCGCACCCACCTCCTGCTGTGTGGTCCAGTTCTTAACAGCCCATGGACTGGTACTGGTCTGTCACCTGGGGGTTGCGGACCCCTGATCTAAATCACAGCCGTGCTCTCAGACCCAGTCAAATTGCCACCTTTTCCCAGGAACCTTCCTTGATTACCCCCAAAGTCATTAATTTCTCTCTTTTCAGTTATAGAACACTTTTTCTTTTCTCAGTACTTTTCAATCTTGCATTTCAGTATATGTGGTTTTGTTTGCAAGCTGCTTAATATATGTTTTTGTTGTCTGTTTTATGAGATGGAAAGTGTTTGCTAATGACAGAGACCACGCTCCTCCTCTCATGGCCCCTCCACAGCTCCTAGCACAGGCCTGGACACTGTATGTTAACCGAAGGATCCGCATCAGGTTCCCAAGGAACACACAGTTATTGTTTGAGATCGGGGCTTCAGGGACTGGATATATAAATCTGTCTCAAGTCAGTCTGAGTTGCTGTCACAAGTTTAGAAAAAGTTTCCAGGTTTGCACAACTGCAGGATGATCACTATGGGCTTTGACATGCTTAGGTGGGAAACTCGCAGACTGTCCCAATCCTGCCTGCCTTCCCTCCTTCCTTCTGTCTTTCCTTCAGTCTTTTCCTTCCTTCCTTCCTTCCATCCTTCCCTCCTTCCTTCATTCCTTTCCGTCCTTCGTTCCCTCCTTCCTTCCTTTTTTTCCTTCCTTCCTCCCTCCCTACCTCCCTCCCTCCCTACCTCCCTCCCTCCCTTCCTTCCTTCCCTCCCTCCTCCTTCCTTTCTTTCCTGCCTTCCTTCCCTCTTTCTCTTTTCTTTCCTTCCTTCCTCCTTCCCTTCTTTCCTTCGTTCGTTTCTTCCTTCCTTCCTTTCTTCCCTCCCTCTTCCTTCCCTTCTTTCCTGCCTCCCTTCCCTCTTTCTCTCCCGCTTTCTTTCCTTCCTCTTTCTTTCCTTCCTTCCTTCCTCTTTTCCTCCCTCCCTCCTTATTCCTTCCCTTCCTTCCTATCTTCCTTTTTTCTTTCTTTCCTTCCTTCTTTCGTCCCTTCCTTTTTCCTCCCTCCCTCACTT
This sequence comes from Homo sapiens, assembly GCF_000001405.40. NCBI lineage: Eukaryota > Metazoa > Chordata > Mammalia > Primates > Hominidae > Homo > Homo sapiens. The sequence continues at coordinate 150,308,875 of NC_000006.12, read as the reverse complement.
CCTCCCTTCCCTCCCTCCCTTCCTCTCTCCCTCCCCCCTTCTTTCCTTCCTTCCTTCCTTCTTTCCTTCCTCTCCTCATGTTCCACACCGTTGTTTTTAGGCTGAGACCACTACCCACACCCAGCTGGCCTGGAATGAGCAGAATTCAGTTCCTGAAAATGAACAACTCATTCTCCCAGTGAAGGCCATTCTGCAAAAGTTCTCTAAAATTTATGAGCTAAGGCACTTTACAGAAGAATCCAACCTAATAAACTATTTACTTTACCGCAAACACTCTTTCAATATTTAAAAGTGAAAACATGTTTTGTGGAGCTGTAATCAGTGTGTTTATGCTATTTTAAGTTCTGGATTTGTTTTTTAACTTAGATTATTTCAAATAGAGCATCCATATTAATCAACATTTTCACATAGCATCTCCTTAGCTATCTCATATTCCATTATGTTTGGTGACCATAGTTTGCTAAGTCAAGGAAATATCATTTAAATTATATTTTCAGCATCCTGGATGAAGGGGGATGGAGGATGCCATATGCCCTGACCCAACACAGCCCCACCAGGCAGGAGACCCTGACATTTCATATCTCTTTCACAGTCACTGCCACAAATCTTTTTACAGTAGCTGCCTCCAGCTAAATACCAGATTGCTGTTGGAGAATGAGGGCGAAAGCTCATTTCCACTCCTGCCTTTCACCTGTCTCTTTCTGATAGAGGCTCAACCCAGGCAATTTTATTGCTGAGCAAAGGAAGTTAAGCTGCTTGTTTTTGTTTTATTTTTTTTTTAATTTTTATACCCACCTGTGTCCGTTTGTCGTAAATGTCATATCCAAAGCCTGACTCATGGGTCATTTTCTTCATTAGCTCCTTTGATGCTGGAACACACTAACATTGCTGTGGGGTAAAAGGATGGGGTCTCCAGGCTCTCAGCATGGCCAGGGGAGTGACAGCTCCAAAGACCTCCCCACCATTTGCCCTTGTCCCACTTCTGATGCCCTAACATCTGGCTGGGGATTCACTCCTCCACCTCCATCCCCCACCCCATTCCCAGCCATGCAGGTGGGTGGGGCTGACTCTACCCCCCAGCTCCCAGGAGGCAGGGCAGCCTGAGTAGTTCATGCTAATTAGCATATCTCATCTTCTTGGCCTCAGCCATTGGTTCAGGGATAGACACGTGACCCGAACCCAACAGTCACTACCTCTGGAGGAAATTTGCAGAGGCTTCTGGGAAGGAAAAATGTCTTCCTTCTATTAGAACCACCGGAAGAAGCCCTCTCATTCCCTTTGGATGTGACTGAGAATGGATGTAATTGCAGGAGCTTTTGGCTGCCATCTCATGTCCACCTGGGAATGGGCCTGCAACAGGGAAGCAGAGGCACAGGAAGGAGAGAAATTGAAGCCTGTTACATTACATGAGCCCGGATCTAGCCAGACCCTAGGCCAGGCTGTGGCTGGACCTTTCAGTTGCATGAACCAAAAAATTACCTTTATTTTTTAAGCATGCTTGATTTGTATTTCCTCTTACTTACAACATAATAATATAATCTGATTGTTGTTTGGTTGGGAAAACTGGCAGGCAAGCATCTTGCTCTAATATGATGTGATAGGTGCCATGGCCCACAGAGGTAAAAAGCAAGAGGAGGAAAAGATTCACTGTGGCTCAGAGGGGAGGGGTTATTCTATGCTGGAGGATAGAATGAGGAGTTACCAAGGCAAAATATCCCATCTCAGATGCATCCATAGGCTTCTTAGAGCCCCTAGAGCTGCAGTTTTGCAGATGAGACAGCATGGGGCTGCAGAAGGGTGACTTGGCCAAAGTCACACTTATATGATAAGCTTGGAACTGGAAGGGAGATCTCAATTTTTAAATGGTTTTCTTAATTTTAATCCAATAAGGCTTTTAATATTTTTATTTGTAAATCCCCAAAGAATAATGTATTATTTAAAAATTATTATTATTCCCTTCTTTGATGAGTCATAAATCAAGCTTTCTCTTTACTTGGACTGATCTTTCTTGGGAATTCACAGATGAGGGGACTTACAGGCATTTTGTATAATGTAAAAACACTGTCATGAGAGCAGAGCTCCAAATTGCACTGAATCCAACCTTATACAAAATGATGCTGCTTTTAGGTGCTCGCTTGTATTTTAAAAAGCAAGGGACAAAGCCAGGTGATTTCAAGTCTCCATATCCCAGTAGTAAAGATGGAGGGTCTTGCAGAGTCATGAGGCTATAAACAGAAACTGGTTCCAGTCTTGTAATGCAACTTGGAAAAGGCAGCACATATTAGAGGGAAAAGGGTGGGAACTGTTATAAAGGAGTGAATCTGAGGCAGTGGAAAATTCTATATTCCTGGATAAGGTGGGTGGAGGAGGAGTCATGGGGAAGGAGAGGACTGAGTGGGAGAGGATTACCAGAAGAATGGATCAATCACCAGTGCCCAGTAAACATTAATTATGTTCCCAGAGAGTATAACTTTGCAAAAAGGAAAGTGAGGAAGAATAAGAGGAGGAGGAGGAGGAGGAGGAGAAAAGCCCTGGAAATAGTATTTTGTACATCACAGGAGACAGGAAGAAAATGATAAAGAAAAGAAATTGAGAAAAGTAGTTTTTTTAAAGATGGGGGGAAAATCCAAGTTAGGATTAAAGAACATAAGAATGTGGTGTATGGACATGCACATTGAGGAAGTGAATTAGGGCTGGGAGAAACACACACATAGCCCTTCTCCCAATAAAAAAAAGTTCACACCTCTTGGTTTTAATCTTTTCTTTAAGAAAATGCTTTAATTTAACAAGTGAAAAGTCAAGAGTGTTTAGAAGAAAATTCACGGTCTATAGGACACACGTGGGTAGGAAAATTAGAGCCCAGCAAGGCCCAGTGGCCCAGCCCTGCCAGCAAATCCTCTGAAAACATCTGAAGGTGTGGGTAGAGGGTCCTCAAAACCTCCTTGGGCTCTATGATCTCAGAATTAAATGTATAAGGCACAAAACATCTGAGATCTCTTCAGAGGCTACAGTCTGAGCTGGTGATAGATTCTGAACCGGATACCTTGAATGATATCTGCAGGATGAGTCCCCAGTGATCTATAGAGTTGCCTAAAAATAAAACAAAACTGTAACTTTATTCATGCATTCCACGCAGAAATAGCCAAGCCTTTGGGAGGAAAGTTATATTTTCTAATGTTCTATGCCACTTTGTATTTAAAGAAGATGCTAATGGTGTTACATATATGCAAATAATGAAGGCTGTATGGTACCTCAGTTTCCCCCTCCTCTAGCTTTATACTACCACTTCAAGAGCCTTTGTTTCTGGTTCCATTTTCTCAGGCATTGGCTTCTGTGATGAAGCAAATTAAAGCTGTCCAGGTGTCTTTTTTTTTTTTTTTTTGAGACGGAGTCTCAATCTGTCGCCCAGGCTGGAGTGCAGCGGCGCAATCTCGGCTCACTGCAAGATCCGCCTCCAGGGTTCACGCCATTCTCCTGCCTCAGCCTCCCAAGTGGCTGGAACTACAGGTGCCCGCCACCACGCCCGGCTAACTTTTTGTATTTTTAGTAGAGATGGGGTTTCACCGTGTTAGCCAAGATGGTCTCCATCTCCTGACCTCGTGATCCGCCTGCCTCGGCCTCCCAACCAAGTGTCTTTTGATGGCACCTGGCTACAGAACTTTAAACATCATTTCTGTTAGGCACAGAATTGGGGAGTTTCATAACTCAAACTTCCAGCAGGTTCCAAATAAGGAATTAAACCCCTTCTGTGCTAAACTGTGTAAACAAGCAGATGGGAGGGAGATGCAATTATTATTTTTAAAACCCTTCTAAAAATCAACATTCTTTTCTTCCCTCCAAATACAAAGCAAGTAAATCCTTGTGATGGCAGATAAGGGCTCAAATTTTCTAAAAAAGGTTAACTGTACCTTCATCCTTGGAGATCAGAAGGCAAATAAAATTGTCAAAAATTGTAGCATAGATGACTTCTAAGGGCATTCCAGGGCATTCCAGAACTCTCTCTATGGCTTCCCTGGTAACTGAGGAGAGTCTACTGGTGGGCTTTCTCCAAAGGTGGGCTCCCTCCCAGTAGTGGGCATCACCGTTGCCCTTTGCATGTTTCATGTTTGGTGCTTATTCTCTAGAATACTGTTTGGCCATTCTCCTGAGCGCATAGTCTCCACATTAGCATATCAGAGTCATCTTGAGAGTCTAGAATTGAAGGCTCACATGGTTGACCCAGCAGAATTGCTAGCAGCTGACCATTGCTCAATGCTGTTGGCTTTTGCTCATCAACAGTTGTTTGTTTAAAAAAATTGATGATGGCGATTCTGAGGTCCCAACAAACAGATTCTGTTTTTGTTGGCCTAGGGTGGATCCAGGAAACTGCATCTTTAACAAGCACTCCAGGTGGTTGTACACAGGTAGCTCAGGGACCACACTTTGGGGAACACTCATTCAGAGCCAGAAGCCCTGGGAGAAAATGTTAGCAAGGCAGATGGGCCTGCTTGGCTGCGGAGAAAACATCGGGAGTGGCTGGACCCCTTGTCCTCCTGGAGTTGACAGTCTACTGGTTACTAATGATTGGTAAAGAAAGATCACTCTGATTACCTAAGACAATATATTTTGTTTCCTTCACTGTTTTAGAGTAATGGTTCCCCCATCTTTTCATTATGAAACATCACTTTTATTATTTTCTTCCAGACAATGTATTAATGTGAGTAATAGTTAACAGAATAACTGAATGTCAGTAGTAACAGTGCTTCTCATCAGCAGGACACAACCTGTGCTTGAGAGTGACCTGAGAGAATTCAAGCCTAAAGCAAAGAATCTTGATGTCAGTGCTGGGTTGCAAACTCATATGCCAACTGGCAGGTAATACAAAATGAAGCCCCCACAGGTGTGGACCCAGTGGGGCAAGAATCATGACCCATGGTGTCTGATACTGTCTTAGTGATGGGGAAACAGTAAGATGTGGTCGGAATTGTGGTAAAGTGGAACAGGAGATGTCCCCTCTAAAGAAGGCTGCTATTGCTGGGCTCTGGCCACAGTTGCTTGCAGGGATGTGGGCCAAGAGTAGCCCCAAATCAGACATTTTATGTGAAAACTCCTTATTTTAAAATGTTGCTAATTTTTATAAAACACAACACTGCTGCCCAAAGAATGCACGTGTACAGCCTGGATTTGACTGCTCCGCCAGTTTGATATCCCTTGTTGTAGTTATTCTCTGTGGCCATTTCACACACAAATCCAGTTCGATTTTGGAATTACTGAAAAGACCTGACCCAGGGACCATTGCACTAGAGCAGAGGTCAGGAAACTTTCTTCAAGGGCCACATAGGAAATGTTTTAGGCTCTTGGAGATCATTTGGTCTCTGTCGCAACTACTCAGTCCCTCTGTTGTATCCTGAAAGCAGCCATATATGATTGATAAAATAAAGAGTGTGTTTCAATAAAACTTTATTTGTAAAAACAGGCTGCCAGCCTGGAACCACTGTTTGCCAACCCCTTCTCCAGCTTGTCTTATTCTGGAAATCTTTGATATTTATCTAATCAGTCTGCTTTATCTAATTTTAGAAAGAGAAATCTGTTTTTAATTGTTTAAGCTGAAATTCATTGTAATATCTTTCAGAAATAGCCTGGCTCCATATGTGCCATGTTGTTGAGATACATCACACAGGTGGTGCCATGAAAGGGAGAGCTGGCTCCCACAGGGCTCCAGCTGATCGGCCACTGTCAGTCCCAGCACTGACAGCTCGGAGACCTACTTATTAACAGCCCCCAGCTCTTCTTGTTCCCTGAGCCAAATAAGCTTCACAACTCCTGTTGTTTTCCAGCCTCCACACAAAGGCCATGTTGCCGGGAACTGTTCTTAGCATCCTGCTTCCGTGGGATACTGCTGGTCAACACATGCTAAATTTCGCACACCCCTGCCTGTGGGATCAGACAGAATTGACACCCGGTAATTGCAGTCTGCAGCACTTCCTAACTGCTTGATTCCTGCTGATTTTTCCTGTGTCAGGGTGAAACTCAAACTCTCACTTGCAATAAACCTGTGGCAGCCGGCTTTTGATCTTTGTCCCCAGAGCTGTTGAAGCCACTGGTTTATGCCAGCCAATCCCCCATTGCCTAGGAGCAGACCCCAATGTTTCAACTGCCACAGCTCTAGGCAGGAAGAGCAGCTTGAATTGCTGGGCCAAAGGGGCAATCAATACTCATAGCTATCCCTGTAGAGAGCTGGGTAGAAGACTAAGTCAGGGCCACACCTTTAAAGGGAATCTCAGTTATTGTCTTGTAAGAGATATCAGCTTGAAGCTGAGAAATAATTTGTGGCCAGGATTTAGGGGCAAACACCAACATTTAAGCCATCATCAACACCCTGTACATACACCTAAAGGGCCCATCAGCCTGGAGCAGCATATTCTGACTTTGAGGGCCCTGATGCATGAACAATACAGAAAAGCAAGTACTGTTTGTGAATGACTCATATTTAAAGTGTAAATGACTCATAAACCAAGGTTCTCTGGAGCCACTGTTCTCCCAACTCAGCCTTCACAAAGCAAGTCACTAATTCGTATTATTCACTGTCAAGACTGATTTGACATGAACACATCTTAATGTGATTCTGAAAAGCTGACATTAATATGTTCATGATGTCTGTCAACTCGCCCTCATCCGGGGATAACCTGGGGTCCCTGTTTCAGCCCATGTCAAGGCTTCAAAGACATGGAAAAGTAAAAATATGCATTATCCAGGCAGCAACAGGGTCAGCCTGGGTGGTCTGAGGTTGCCCACAGGCCCCCTGTGTCTGCAAAGATGGAAGAATGGACATGAGCTCTCACCTCCTGGAGTCACAGCAAGTCGAGCTTCCAGAAATCCAGGACAGCTGCACCAAGCCACCCGATGTCCTGAGCCAAAGGCTTTTTGCACAGATCTATTATTCCTTCAGAAGGGGTTGTCACTGTTAGCAGGCTTCTACTGTGTCTTATGTCACAATGCAAAGAAGGGCTTGCGGTGTCTCAAGGCATATGTTCAGAGAATCCATTAGCTGCCTAAGCAATTCTTCTCCACCTCCTTGCCCTCAGGTCTGCTAATGAAAGGATGCTCCGACTTGTGTTGCAGGTTTAAGTGGGGACGTCCTGCACTTTTGCTGGGTATATTTTGATGAGACAGCTTATAAAGGACATAGAAAACCTTGTCTGAAGAGTATAATGGAAAGAGCTCTGGCCTAAGGGTCAGAAGACAGCCGTTCCAGGAGCTGATCTGCTCACTCTTAACTCAGTGACCTTGGGGACACCAGTTAACTTGCTAGAACCCTGGTTTCTTACTTATAAGATGGTGTTATTAAATGAAAATGAGTCTTAAATTCCTTACTAGCAAAAACTCTGCTTATATGTTATATCTGGTGCATGTTAATGCCACTGCAGAATACACAGGGGTATGTCTGGTACGTAAAATCTAGAATACACTGGGATTCATAAGAAATGAAAAGGAATCCTTTAACACAGCTCCTCTGCTCATGAAGAGTTTTAACTGAATGGTATTTCTGACAGTGACTTACATGTGTTTCAGCCAACACTGAGCTGTAAGTGGAAGAAGCAGGTCATTCTCAAGTTCTGATCGCTGGTCTGAAGGCCTTTCATCGTACTCGACATCCTCTCCATCAAATTGCAAAACGTCCCACCCGGGTGTGAGCTCATTCTTTTACATGAGACCTTTTTGTCCCCAGAAAGACGGTGGCTCAGTAACTTGATGCTCTTTGGGATTGTCTAACCTAAATTTGTCTCCTCTTCCCTCTCGGGGGCTGCGTAGATTTTCCCCTACTCACTCTGCAGGCCGGCTTCCCAGCCTACTTTCCTCTTCACTAAGCCCACCATGCTGAGACCTACTCTGACCCTTGACAAGAACTAATGTTTCTGCTTAGAAGGCTTTCTTTCAGTATCAAACCCCACTGGGGCCGCTGGTTCCCTGATTTCAGAAACATTGCCAGAAGCTCCTCTGGAGAACTGTCTAGGTTCTTTACTCCTTGTCCTATTATCTGATTTGAAATATTGTCTGAGCCGGGCACAGTGGCTCATGCCTATAATCCCAACACTTTCGGAGGCCGAGGCGGGTGGATCATTTGAGGTCAGGAGTTTGAGACCAGCCTGGCCAAAATGGTGAAAACCCGTCTCTACTAAGAAAAAAAAAAAAAATTAGCCAGGCGTGGTGGCGGGTGCCTGTAATCTCAGCTACTTGGGAGGCTGAAGCAGGAGAATCCCTCGAACCCAGGAGGCAGAGTTTGCAGTGAGCCGAGATCACACCTCTGCACTCCAGCCTGGGTGACAGAGCAAGACTCCTTCTAAAAATAATAATAATGATAAATGAAATATTGTCTGACATCCTTCCTTCTCCTCTGCCCCAATATTACCTGTTAGTTTCAGGAAAGAGCAGATAATTCAAATCCACATCCTAAGGGTCTGGTGTCCAATGTGGGCCAATGGTCCAGGGGTGCACACTAAGGGGTGATGAGAGGGAGCAGTCCTTGGAGCTTCTCAGTAGCAGTGGTCCTTATCAGGCCATGGGGCCAGCGTTGCAGTTCAAGGAGCTCCATAGAGTTCGATGCAGGGCCCAGCCAAGGGCAGGCTCTGCCTCCAAAAAGACCTTCCTAGGCACTGGGCAAAGTGGTCAAGACGCAGCACATTAGGCGTGGCTGTCCCAGGTTCCCATGGGAGGAGGTGAGAATACCAGGGGCCAGGGCAGCATGCGGGTTAGTTGGAGAGACACCGGGGTTAGGCTCCAGCACAGGGCTTGCTTCAGTGACAGGGAGCTACAACCAGCCCAGGCCCTTGAGAGCTGGGTGACAGAAAACAGCTGCTCCTCCACCTGCTGCTGAATGTCATTTCCCAGGCTCAGTGAATGGGTAGGGCTCGGCCCGTGGGTGGGTCACCTTTCACGCCAACTTTTTACTAAGCCTTTTATTATTTCTTATTCCCATGCTTTTTAAGCTCTTCGTTTATCTCTGTCTTCTCTTTTAAAAAATATTGTCACTCTTAGTTTATGTTTTACTGTTTTGTTTCTTAATTCTTTTTTTAAAAAAAAATTCTAAATCTCTTTATTTTTTATCTTTTAAGACACAAAGTCAAAGGGAAAATGGAAATTTCTAAACCTCATTTTTCTCTCTTGCTTTTTACTTTCTGGTTCTTTGCTTTTTATCTTTGTATTTACCTTCTACTTTTTTTTTTTTTTTTTTTTTGAGACAGCCTTGCTCTGTTGCCCAGGTTGGAGTACAGTGACGTGATCTCAGTTCATTGTAACCTCTGCCTCCCGGGCTCAAGCAAAACTCCCACCTCAGCTTCCCAAGTAGTTGGGACCATAGGTGTGCACCACCACACTTGGCTAATTTTTTTTTTTTTTTTAATATGGAGTCTCACTCTGTCACCCAGGCTGGAGTGCAGTGGCGCAATCTCGGCTCACTGCAAGCTCTGCCTCCTGGGTTCACGCCATTCTCCTGCCTCAGCCTCCAAAGTAGCTGGGACTATAGGCGCCCGCCACCACGCCTGGCTAATTTTTTTGTATTTTTAGTAGAGTCGGGGTTTCACCATGTTAGCCAGGATGGTCTCGATCTCCTGACCTTTCAGCCTCCCAAAGTGCTGGGATTACAGGCATGAGCCATGGCGCCCAGCCCTAATTTTTGTATTTTTTGTAGAGACAGGGTTTCACCATGTTGCCCAGGCTGGTCTCAAACTCCTGGGCTCAAACGATCTGCCTACCTCAACCTCCCAACGTGCTGGGAAGACAGGTGTGGGCCACCGTTCCTGGCCTTAGCTTTAAGTTTTAGTTCTGTCTTTTACATTTCTTGATGTTATTCTTTTTTTTTCATTTTTAGCTTCATCTTTTTTCATATCTGGCATTTACTGCCATGTAGCTTCTTTGTATAATCTTGACTGAATTGCTTGCCTTCTCTGAGTCTAGAGTTTCTCATCCTAATAAGGGGCTGTGTCTAATGGCCGACTCATTGTGCTGTTCAAACAGTTGAATGAGGACTTAACACAGTTTCTGCCATGCAGAATGTGCTCAGTAAATGCTTCAAGATTTTTTGTTTTGTTTTGTTTTGCTTTGCCATATTGAATAAAGCTTAGCAAATATCCTCATACACATATCCTGGAATGTTAAGTCATAGGGTATAATCTTTTTAAAAATATTTACTAGGTTGCTAATAAGTTCACAAATGCTATAATTATTCATACTTTTCTCCTTGTTGATTTATAAAATCTCTTTGTGTAAATGTAATATCTTTGTCCTCTGCATTATCATTTTCCCCCAAATGTCCTGCTTGATGACTTTATGTTGCATTTTGCCATAAAAATTTCGTATTTATTTTAAATTTTAGAAATAAGTCTACTTTTTTTCATTTTAGCTTCTGAATTTCCAGTCTTGGTTGGGAAGACATCCTTATCCCCCAGATGGCTCACATGTCTTATGGGTTTTGCATAATTTGGTTTATGTTTCACGTGGCAAATTCTCGCTGCTGAGGTGCTGGATCTCCACCATCATTTGGAGAAAAATTTTGACGCAGACATTGCAATTGACAAGAAAACTTGGTCTAAGGCAGCAGTCCCAGCCCTTCACAGTCCCTCTGAGGATCACAGGGATCTCTGCCCCACCTCTCTGTCTGCTGCCCCACTAAGCAAATCACAATGAAAAGAAAGAAAAGCACAGTCATATCAACATGTCAACACATGCCTTCTTGCAACAGTCAGGTTGATCGCTCAGAAACAGCTCTCTTCAAGATCTTCATGAGGAAAAAAAATTTTTTTTTCTTTCACACAATAACAAAGTGTGAATTGTGTTGAACTGTCATAGAAGGGGTCAAGAGAGATGAGAGTGACAGCAAGAATAAGCATGAGTGAGGACTTTTTTCCAGGCATGGTATGTGGCATCCTGGATATGATGGCCGAAGAGTACAGTTTAGTTGTCCCTGTTAACCACTAGACCCTGGGCTCTGCTCCAAGAAGCACAGAGCATGTCATGTGGCCTCTTTGTTGCTATTGGCATCAAAAGAGCTGGAAAGAAAGATGTTTCCCTACAAACTGCATTTTCCAGTGTTCCCTGGGAACTGCAAAAATAGAGAGAGAGAGACAGAGAGAATGTAAGAGAGAGAGAGAATATAGATACCCATGGATCCTTTTTGCGAGACAGCAGTATTGCAGTAGAGAGTTTAATTATCTCAAGGCTAGCCAAGCAGTATTTGAGAGTTTATTATTCACATCAGTCTCCCAAGAACTCAGAGGCTAGGCTTTTATGGACAGTCTCATGGGCAGGGGACTAGGGAATGGGTGCTGCTGATTGGTCGGAGATGAAATCATAAGGGTGTGGAAAAGGGCCCTTGTGCAATGAGTCCACCTCTGGGTGGGGCCACAGAACTGACTGAGTCATGAGTCATGGGTCTGGGTGGAGTCTGTTGATCACCAGAATGCAAAAGTCTGAAAAACATTTCAAAAGACCAATCTTAGGCTCCACAATAGTGACATTACTAGGGAGCTATTGGGGGAAGTCACTAGTCTTGTGATCTGTGGCCACATGACTCTTGAGCAGCTAGGAATTATAGCTACATTTTAGCAGAATTCGGCCCCTCCCATAATCCTAATTTCATGGCCTTTCATTAGTTTTACAAAGGCAGTGTCAGTCTCTGAGCCAGGAGGGGATCTATTTTAGGAAGGAACTATTATCATTCTTGCTTCAAAGCTAAATTATAAACTAAATTCATCCTGTGGTTAGCTTGGCCTATGCCCAGGAATGAGCAAGGACAGCTAGCCTGTGAGGCTAGAAGCAAGATGGAGTCAGCCACCTAGACTTTTCTTACTGTCATAATCTTTGCAAAGGTGGTTTCAAGACCAGCTGAATAACTAACAACCTTAAGTCTCATCTCGAATCACTTTAAATTGCCCAGCAGGGTGGAAGGATGAAAGTACAAATAACTTGGGGGTCTGGTGGGTGCCTGGGTGGTCTATATCATACACATATGCCCTTGCTGGCTCCCAAAGAATTTTTTCGCAGAGTCCCAGACTTGCTCACAAAGGCCCTGCCGATGGTGTCTATAAACAGATTTGCCCTCGCACCAAATGTGGGTAATAAAAAGTAATAAAAACCTGGAAAGTCAAACCGAATATTTAAGAGAACAATCAGTTGGCCAATCTTTCCCTTGAGTTTCCGCGCCAGGCTGCAGGAAGCATCTCTGTTTCAGGGTGAGCCCATCTCATAGGTTCCCCTTAGCAGCACACGATTCCTGCAGAGCCCTCAGATGCCAAGGTCTGCCTCATGTCTACCTGCATCTGGGGTCCTCCAACACTGGGAGCATCCTCCTGCTGCTGGTACACTTGCCAGCGTCTGCTCCTTCTGCAGGTCTCAGCTCCTATGTGGTGGCCTCTGTCAGTCCTTCCTGTCCCCACAGGCCCCCTCCACGCTCCCCTGCTCTGCACACTTGACCCACACAAGCCTCTGACAAAGTAACTGCTGTGCTCTCTGTCACTGTTGGCCCACACATCTGTCTCCTGCAGGTTCAGGACTATTCTTTAAGTTCCTTGAGGGAGGATTTTCTGGTCTGGGCCAGCTGTGTAGTGCTGGATGGTCTCTGTGGCCTCCCTTGGGCTTCTGGGGCCTCAGCGGGCATGGTGTGGATTGCTGGGATAATTAGGACCTCTTATCCTTCATGTGATCAACCCAGTCTTGTTCACGTGGTGGCAGCAGTTTTCAGCAGCAAGACAGGGCAGGACTCGATGTGCACGCACGTTTCAACCCTCTACTTGTGTTACATTTGCTGTTGTCCCATTGGCCAAACAAGTCACATGGCTAAGGCTAGACTCACTTAGAAGGGGACCAGCCAAGAGTGTGAACCAACTGTGGGCAGCTGTTTACCCCAGCAGGGACTGTGCTTCTCATTTCCGTATCTCAGATGGTCCTCAAGTATGTCCTTTAAATTTTTAAAATTATTTATACAGTTTTAAATGCATAAATATATGGAGTCAGATCAGATATGCTATACAAGTGGCTCAGAGGAGGTGAACAAGCTGGATGGGCAGCAAAGATGTTGGGATGGTCCTGGAGGATGGTGTGGTTTCTAGAGGCTGAGCAGGAAGGTGCCATACAGGTAGGAGCCTGCAGGCTGCGGAAGGGCAGATCGTTTGATTCTTTGCATACATGTGTGCCGTTAGTCTCCCTTCCCCCTCCAGGTCTTCTACCTGCAGTTCACATCCTCGTTCTGTGCCTGGGGAATTTACAGGCTCTCGTGCGTTTCAGCCAGTGGGAGGCACTGGCAGGATTCATGAGGGTGGAGGAGAAAGAGCCAGGGAATTTATACCCTCTTCCTCCATAGGAAGCCTCAGTTATGATGGTAGCTGCTGTATTGGGCCACAGACCCTGTTTTTTGTTTTTGTTTTAGACAGAGTATTGCTCTGTTGCCCAGGCTGGCGTGCAGCAGTGCCATCTCGGCTCACTGCAATCTCTATCTCCCAGGTTTGAGCGATTCTCCTGCCTCAGCCTCCCACATAGCTGAGATTACAGGCATGCATGACAATACCTGGCTAATTTTTGTATTTTCAGTAGAGATGGGGTTTCGCCATCTTGGCCAGGCTGGTCTCGAACTCCTGACCTCGGTGATCCTCCCGCCTCAGCCTCCCAAAGTGCTGGGATTACAGGCATGAGCCACTGCGCCTGGCCTCAGACAACAGACCCTATTAAACAGCCCTTCCCATAGCTGGGCTCCAACCAATGTCATTCCTTCCTCCCTTTGTCTCTTCAGACTTGGAGGAGGTCGAAGCAGATGGGCTACATTATTTGCAGGGCCCAAGGCCAAAATGAAATGCAAAAACCCTTGTTCAAAAAGTATTCGAGATTTCAAGAATGTGACAGCAGAGGGTTAAACGAAGCACGGGGACTCTCTGAGCACTGACAGGTGACTGCACAGGCTGCACTCTCAGGCTTAGTGCTAGTGCTACTCCCCTCCCTGGGGCACCTCCACCCCTGGGGAACCCCATAGCCCTGCCCAGACCTGTGTAGATCATCTCATCTTTAAACTTGGCCCACTTATCTTGTGGAAGATGCCATCTTCCTGCTGGGACTCTGGCTGATATAAATACCTGTGAGCAAAAAGAAAAATTCTTCAAGATAAAACAGTCACAGCATAAAGAAAATCAAGTGGAAACACTGGGCCCCTTTGAAGCTACTATTATTAGTCATAATAATAACATCAGTAGAGTGATCTACCATCTACAATGGACTTTTATGCATGTTTGATCTTCATGGAAAATCTTATGGAGTAGGCAGGGTATTATGGGAAAAATAAAAAAACACTAAAGTCTCCTTATGGGGTAGATAACGGGGGAAAAGGCAGAGGAAACTGTGCAAGTCACACTCAGGCTGAGCATGACCCTGTCTTGGATGGAGCATGTCCTCCGTTCTGCATCTCTCTGGGGAGCCCTTTGGAAAGAAGAACGGGGTAGAGCAAATGCGTCCCCAAGGATCCAGGCACAGGGCCTCTGTCCCACTCGTGAGGGAAATAGACAGTGGTATGGACTGGGCAGGGCCCACTCCATGGGCTGCCAGAGAGCTAAGGTCCCTTAGCTTGGGGCCTGTGGCCAAAGCAAGGCCTTCTCTGTCCCTGACACTCTGCCTCCCAGGTAATGGAGGTGAGGCTTTCTCACACCTCTGATGACACCACACTCTCCTCAACCAAATAGTGGACCCCAAAGCCTTTTGCAATAATTAAGGGAGATGAGTGAAAGAGGTATGGGGTTGCCTGGCACCTGTATAAGCAACATTTCCTGCCTGAGTGAGCATTGGTGAGTAATGAGACTGGAAAATCTCAGTATTGGAGGATAACTTCCACTGTGTAGGCTGGCCAGGTCCCTTCCACCCACAATGCTAAGCATCCAGGGAGATGCTTAGACAGGATAAGGAGAAACAGAAGTGGCCACTCAGGGTTTCAGTAGCTCTTGTCTCTCCTTGTTTTACATGAGCTTCCTTTTGCTCTGTTAAAAAAAAATACTGTTGGCTTTAGATTTTTTTCTACAGAACTAAGGTGTGATGCTTGGGATTCAGGGCTTTCTGTGATTTTTCAGAATCCTGTAACCAGTATTATCAAGCTCAACCCACTGTTACCACTGAGGACAGCTGACATAAGCCCTTCCAGAAAGAGAGTCAGATGGCACCAGGCATGGAAATGAGGCCTAAGGTTTCTGTCATCGTGATATCAACCCAGCATGACTCAACATCACATCAGCCTGCCCTGCTGACTTCCGAGCTGGAATTAGGAAGTAGTTGTAAAAATTGTTTCCTTCCCCAAAGAATACACTCCCCTTACCACCCCCAGAGATATGAATAAACTCTATGTAAACAGCATCCACAAAGTCAGGAGGACTTGGGATACACTTAATGTTAACTACATTTTCAAATAATACACTGGATATATATTCATGGGAAGTACTGGATATATATTCATCTGAAGTACTCCACTGTATCTAACTATTCATCTGAAATAGCACAATAAATACACTATGAAGTATCCAAAAAGTCTGGAAATGGGGAAAAGAGCATATTAACAGTGTCAACCAACATACTGCTTAGGAATCAGCTGACCCCATTGTGTTAGGCCACTTTGCGTTGCTATAAAGGAATACCCAAGACTGGGTAACTTAATGAAGAAAAGAGGTTTATCTGGCTCATAGTTCTGCAGGCTGTACAGGAAGCCTATGGAAGAGTTGCCCATTCTTCTTTCCAGAGGACTCCATAGAGGGATGTGGAATGGATGACATTTCATAACCTGACAGGCTCCATCCAAGACAAAGTCACAGCAAAGCCTGAGTGCAGCTTGCACACATTCCTCCACTGTTCCCACCATTATCTCTCCCCTAAGGAAACTTTATTGCTGGCACCTGCTTCTGTTGAGAGCCTCAGAAAGCTTAAAATCATGGCAGAAGGTGAAGAGGAGCCAGTGTGTCACATGGCAGGAGAGGGAGCAAGAGAGAAGGAGGAGGTGCAGGCTCTTTTAAACAACCAGATCTCACATGGAGTGATAGAGAACTCACTCGTTATCGTGAGGACGGCCCCCAGACATTCATGAGGGATATGCCCCCATGACCCAAACATCTCCCACTAGGCCCCACCTTCAACACTGGGGATCACATTTCAACATGAGATTTAGAGGGGACCAACAACCAAATTATAACCCCTGCGTTTCCTGATGGGGAAACACCTTGTAGATTGCACACAAACCATAAGATCCAGCGTTTCTCAAGGGCCTACTGTGTGTGAAATCCTATTAGTTGCTTTATGGATGTTACTCCGTCTTCACACAAGAAGCTGAGTCATGCACCTGTAGTCCCAGCTACTCAGGAGCTGACGCAGGAGGATCACTTGAGCCCGCCTGAGGCTACAGTGAGCTATGATAATGCTGCTGTACTCTAGCTTGGGCAACAGAGCGATACCTCATCTCTAAAAACTAAAAATAAAAAAAATAGAAGAACCTATGAATTGAGGATAGTATGTGATGTGGTTTGGCTGTGTCCCCACCCAAATCTCACCTTGAATTGTAATAATCCCCATATGTCAAGTGTGGGACCAGGTGGAGATAATTGAATCATGGCTGTGGTTCCCCCATACTGTTCTTGTGTTAGTGAAAAAGTCTCACGATAACTGATGGTTTTATAAATGGAAGTCTACCTGCAAAAGCTCTGTTGCCTGCTGCCATGTAAGACGTGACTTTGCTCCTCCTTTGCCTTCCACCATGATTGTGAGGCCTCCCCAGCCACGTGGAACTGTGAGTTCATTAAACTACTTTCCTTTATAAATTACCCAGTCTTAAGTATGTCTTTATTAGCAGCATAAGAACAAACAAGTACGGTATGCTTATCTTGTGGATTAAGAAACTGAGGCTCAACAAAGTACAAGGTTGCAAACTTAAATGCCAGCAGAGACCGCATCATGATTAAAATAAAGGGTACTGCCCTCGATAAAGAATGATCAACGCAATTGTTTCTAGTCGGGAATTCAGGCCCAGTATTGCCAGATCTTTCCATTTTTCTAAAGAAGCCAGAAATCTGGATTCATGCTGAAAACTCTGATATTTAGATGTTAGTTACTGATTAAATTTTTATAAACCCTGCATTGCCCAAGCCAAAAAAAAGTATGCAAAGCAAATTCAGCAGCAGGCCTCTAGTTTGCAGACTCTGAATTAAAGTAAATTGCTCGTGGGCTCACAGGTAGGAAACAGTAATACAAATCAGAAGCCAGGTCCATCAACCTCAGCTGTGTCTTTTCTCTCAGGACACTACAGAAGTAGCTGCACTGAATTAAATGAAAATTTGTTTAAATAATTCAATTTCTTTTTTTTTTTTTTAATTTGAGACAGAGTCTCACTCTATCACCCAGGCTGCAGTGCAGTGGCATGATGTTGACTCACTGCAACCTCCACCTCCTGGGTTCAAGCAATTCTGCCTCAGCCTCCCAGGTAGCTGGAACTACAGGTGTGCACCACCATGCCTGGATAATTTTTATAATTTTAGTAGAGACGGGGTTTCACCATGTTGGCCAGGCTGGTCTCGAACTCCTGAGCTCAGGTGATCCACCTGCCTCGGCCTCCCAAAGTGCTGGGATTGCAGGTGTGAGCCACTGCACCCAGCCTAAATAATTCAACTTCTAAAGCCATTGGTCCAAGCAGCGTGGATTCTTGCTGGAATGTTGAGCAGTGCCAAGCAAGGAGCTGTGGCTGGGTTCTTGGCTCTATGTTGCAAATGCTATCTCTGTCCACCTCTGGATTAAAAACCAACAGAAGGAAAATCAAGAAGCTCCTTACCTCACCCGAAAGTGAATCTTACTTGAAGTCGTATCTAAAACTTCCAAATGCCTGAAACCTCCCACAAGTCTCTTTTTTAGAGTGTCCTTAACACACACTCCTCAAGCAGTGTGTTTCAGACAATACTAACAGAGGCTGAGGTTTTCGTTCAACCCGGCACCAGGATTACAAAGTCCCCCCGGACAAACACACAAAAACACCTGCAATCACAATACCACTAGTTTCAATGGACTGGAGTGTTTAAAACGGGATGAATGTTTTACTTGATTTTCTACTCCGTGACTGTGTAAAAGGGTCTCCGGAGCCAGCTGAGTGGACCATCTGACTTTATGGAGAATTCAGGGGCAGCAGCACGCGTGCCTGCACATATAAGCAGCCATTTCTGCAAATGCCTGAGACAAAATTATCGCTCAGCTGAACGGCCCAGAATGCTGGAAATCCTGCTCGTGAGTCAGACAGATCGGGGGAGCTCACAGAGGCACCTCCTCAGCTGCATGACTGGATGGCTCCCTGAAAGAGAACATGCCTTTGCCAGGAGATCAGTGGGTGTAGACATGAACAACTGAGCTCTGGGAACAGGAACGTGGCTGACACAGCCAACAGTGGTTGCTGAGTAAACCTGGGTGTGCATACCCCAACTTCACCCCCAGAGCCACAACAAAGGTCACATCCCCCAGTGCAGGCACAGGGCTCTCAGCAATCTTACACCCAGAAACTTTAAAATGTGCAGTTTTATGACAACCGAGATGATGACCCCAAACAGAACCTGATTTTGCATCACCTGTGGAGGAAATTCAGTTTCATTCTGGTGCCAGGCGCCACCTCCACAAGAACCAGTTTCCAAAGGAAATAAAATAGGAGAGGCAGTTACCTGGCCTTTCTTTATAAAAGCAAAGCAAAGCAAAACAAAACAAAATTCCAACCAAGTAGCCTTTTAAAATCACAGGTCCAGGGCCTCATCTAATAAAAATATCAAACGATTACACAAAAACAACAATACTTTTCCAAATAACTCCAACACCACCCTCTTAAGCATGGTGTCACAGGACAGAGGGAAAAGGCACCATCATGACAGGAGCCAGCCCAGGGCTACCTTATCAGATTGATGTCTGCAAAGAAACCTTTCTAAAGATGCGTATGGCAGCGTGTCCAAATGAGGGTGCTTTCCACCTTTTCCTCTGCATGTTAAACGGAACCAACAAAACCGGCTGATCATGGTCTCTGGACATCTCTGAAGTCTCCATTTGATATGATGGATGTCTTTCTAGCCACATTCCTTTGGTCCGCCCTGTCTCTTGCCCTCCCTGGGAGCGACTCCTCCCCATGGCCTCAGGAACTACCCAACATTCACTCCCAGCCTTCACCTTCATGAAGAACCACACTGCTGTGCTAGCTGCTCTACTTAGGGGTGGAGGCACCACCTCACGTGACACAGGAAAAGAAATCAGCTCTGCAATCTTGCTCTTTAACAACTCTAACTAGTAGTGTAGTGGTGAAGTTAACCTGGCAATCACTACTTGATAATTTTTGAGGGAACTCTGATCAACATCCTGATCACAACACAATGAACCCCACTCTACCACACCACGGAGAACACTTCTTCAGGTCCTAGAATCTCTGTACCCCACCCTCCCCTCTTCCCTCACCCTCAGCTCTCCAGTCCTGCTTCTCGGTGGTTTCTGCTGGTACCCAGAGGCTTCTGCCTTGATCTTTCCAGTTCCAAGACTTTGAACTCTCACTGTCTGTATTTTGAGATGCCTCTTCTTGATGTGACAGAGGCAGATATTCTAGCTTCATCACAAAGCTATATCCAAGTTGGAGTAGAGGATGATGATGATTGGACTCACCAATCATTTGTGGATTAATAGATCCGATCTGGCTGGGTGTGGTGGCTCATGCCTGTAATCCCAGCACTTTGGGAGACCAAGGTGGAACAATCCCTTGAGCTCAGGAGTTCCAGACCAGCCTGGGCTACATAGTGAGACCTTGTCTCTACAAAAAAATAAAAAGTAAAAAAATTAGCTGGTTGTGGCGGTGCATGCCTATAGTCTCAGCTACTCAGGATGCTAAGCTGGAAGGATCACTTGATCGCAGGAGTGCAAGGCTGCAGTGAGCCGTGATGGTTCCACTGTGCTCCAGCCTGGGTGACAGAGCGAGACCCTGTCTAAAGCAAAAAATAGGTCTGATCTTAGAGCCTGACCCATCTGACCTTATTTGAAAATTCACCTCATTTGTAGGAGGGCGCCATCTTTTCTCGACCTGCTACTGTCAGTTCAGCCTAGCAAGAATAAATTGAAAGGCACAGAGCATGGGTTTGCGAGTGTGGCCACCAACAGAGTCAAGTCCCAGCTCCACCATTTCCTAGCTCTGTGGCTTTGGGAAGTCACTTAGACATCCTGGGCTCTGGCTCTCTCCCAGCCCTACCAACCGTGTGACAAAGCAGAGGCTGCTCCCTCCCTCAAAGGACTGTAACAGGGACAAAATATGACAGCATGTGCTGTTAAAGGATAAATGCTCCCTTTTAAAAAATGCCTCAGATCTGGCAAGAGAAAGCAATATAACTTAAAACCAGGGAAAAGAAGACAAAATTTTAAAAGTTGCTGGCTCACACTACTAGGAACACAAAGTAGAAGGCTTGTTGCAAGAGTTCCCCACCAACAGCATCGAGTCTTCCATGCAATTTTACAGACTTACTCAGCTCCAAGTTGGGTGCTTCTTATGGGGCCTTGTTCCCTTTATCGGTTTTCTTCTTAGCAGGAAATATCCAGTGGGTAGCATCAAAGCTTCCTCCACCCAGTAAAATTCTGCCCTTCTCCCCAACCCAAAAGCTCAAATCTTCAAGGAAAAGAAGAGCATCTCCTCTCCATAAAATAGTCCAGACCTGATCTGACCTGATACACAGTGAACTCCCTTTTCCATAATACTCAGAGCTGCCAGGAATATTGAATCCCATTTGGCACCTTCTGTGTTCTGCATGGCAAGAATGCACTGGGTGAGCACATATTAGGACACATTGGTATACACAGCTGCATGTATGCTACGATCTCAATACTTCCATTTCATAGAAAATCTTTTATAATGTAATCCAGGTTTTGCTAGCAAGATGTCACTTTTCAAGCCTTTCTTCTGGGGTAACCCTTTCCTTTAATAACCAAACACAATGGTGCAATGGAATGGAAAGGCCAGGTACCATGCAGCCAGAAGAAATACAAGTGCTTCTTATTTGTCAACAAAATGGACAATATATGTACCTTATAGGCAAAAATAATGAATACATAATATATTTTTAAAAACTCATTGCTAGATGCCTGTAAGGTACATAGGAATGAAAAAGCAATGATCCCATCCTCAAGAGCCTTTATAATCTAGTAGTTTTCTTTCACCTTCTCACCAAATCTCCTAAGAGCACCACGCTGGGGGCAGGGAGAAGTTGATTTCTTATAGAGATTGAGAGTGCAAGGCCTCAAGAGGCAAAGTGACTACAGATAGTCAGGGGTGAATCTCGGACTGCAAGACAAAGCTTGCTTCTCCAAAACATCAGGATGGCCTGCAGTAGGAATAATCATACAAATTCATAAATAGGTTATCTGCCATTTCTTCAGGCATTCAGGACCATGTCAACTCCCTCCCCCTAGCTGTGAGCCTTCATCACATTTTGCCCACAGTAAGATTCGGCAAAACTGTAGGTGCAACTGGACGCCTCAGAGGCATGGCATTTATCTCTGCAGGGCTCAGGTTCCTGTGAAGAATGATCTGTCTCCAACCAGCATTCCTATGAGACTTCAAACATATCTCACTGGTTCCTAACAAATTCCGGGTGAAATTAGGTGAAAAATGAAGGTCCAGAAGAAAAAAGAAAGAGATATCTTATGCTCTTGACAGGGGTGAATGAAAAGACAGGAAGACTCTGCTGTTGCCAGGCAACCCCTGACTCTCTGAGCTTCCAGTAGGGGCCCTGACTATGGGAATGACTTCCTTTGTTTGTGCTTCCCTAGCTGCTAAGTGTCCTCTGGCAGCTGAGATCACCCCATATGTGAGACTAGAATCTGTATCCTGATTTGTGTCACCCTAGAAATGGTCTATTTCTGAGCTTCTTTCTTTCTCAGGAACCCAAAGCCTTTCTCTGTATGTCATGGATGTTATATAATCTATACGCAGGCAGTCTACGTGAACACATCATACATGCAGATTGAACCAGTTCCTCCGAAGTTCTCTGTTTCTCCCCTGTCAGCTGCCAACTTTAGCAGGCCAGCTGACACCCAGCCAGGCCATTTTATTCATTACTGTACAAAACCAGGGTTTGACCCCTCTCTTCCTAAGAATCACAGAATACAAAAGCTGGGAAGAGCTGGGGGATCCCTCGCTTCTGTCTTGACAACGCTTGCTCTTTCCTGGGGTTTAAATTAAGCATTTGACCCTAGCTATTGTAAAGCTGTCTTCCTTTTGATGGAGTACTTGTGGCTTTATTCTTTGGGGAGCACTGAAACAGTGCCCAAAGACCAGCTGGATGTGCATGAGGGAAGGCAGTCTCAGCCTCTAGGGGGAATGTCCATCAGGACCTGGGGTTTTCATGTGGCAGAAGGGTGTGTGGTATGACATGAATGTTTTCATTCATTTTGCAGAAAACTTGTGATGTAATCCAATTGTCTGCTATTGGGATGTCAATTCCCAAGTCTTTCTTCTGGGGATTACCCTTCCCTTGGATGTTATTTGAGAAAAATAACTTGAGCCCATTCCACATTCTTTATGAAGCCCATTGTCCCATTTCTGCTGGGAGTTTCCAAGGGATTAGGTTCCTCCTGGTGCATGCTCTCTCTCCCCTCTCTCTTCTCTCTCTCTCATCTTCCTTTTCCACTGAATTCTACATCCTCATGCCTTATCACTTCACCCTATGCTATTCCTCTTCTTTCTCTCCCAAAGCAGCACCAACACAAGATTAGTGTATCCGAAAGGCATTTTAGTAAAACTTGGGAGAATGGCGGGAGAATTATAGCACAATTCAGGCATCAAAGAGAGCAGGTGTATGATAGGAAAAACCAAACTGTCTGTTTTCTCCTACTACATTCTCAACACTCAACATGGATGTGTGTGTTTTTCCCCACACTGAACAATTCTTCAACAGTAACTGGGTGTCCTATAATTCAATTCAGTTCTGACACTGTTGACCTGGAGTCGGAGTGAGATCCCACAGGTTAAGGGCTCAGTTCCACAAGACCACCCCCACCCCACTTTGGATGCCAAATAAAAATCCAGGCCACCAGTACTTCTAACCAACTGGCTATAAATTGTGAGTTCTCACGAGCCCTGCCTTGTGTTGGATTATTTGCTAGAGCAGCTCACAGAAATCAGGAAAGTGCTTTACTCACTACTACTTATTTATTATAAAAGGATGTCATTCAAGAGCAGCCATATGGAAGAAATGCATAGGACAGGGTATGGGGGAAGGGGTGTGGAGCTTTCATGCCCTCTCAGGACATGCCACCCTCCATGTGTTCAGCAGCCTGAAGTTCTCTGAATCCTGTCCTGTGAGTTTTTCTGATGTTTCATTATATAGGCTTGATTGATTGAATCATTGGCTTTTGGTGATCAACTCAACCTTCCACCCCTCTCCCTTATCTAGAGGTAGGGTAGGGGGTGGATGGGACTAAAGTCCCAACCCTCTAATTACAAGGTTGGCTCCTCCAGCAACCAGCCCCATGCTGAGGCTATCCGGAGCCCTCACCCCACCAATTATGTCATCATTATACAAAAAACAAAGAAACAAACAAACAAAAAAACAAAGAAAAACACTACTTTGGAGATTCCAAGGGTATTAGGAGCCTTATGCCGGGAAACAGGGACCGCATATACATTTCTTATTATAAATCACAATGTCGCAGCACTGATACCACGGTCCTGGATTTCCCCAGCCACCACCACCCCCCGCCCTGCCCTGAGAGATTTTGCTCACGGGCATTCCTTCTTTTCAAATCTCCTGCCCACTGATATTCACAGGGATCCTGTGACCTTTCACTTGCCTGAAAGCTCCTACCAATGACCTCCTCTCTCAGGCTATGATGAGCCCCTAACCCAGAAATCCTGCTACTTGTACTGCAGAATTAGTTCTTTTTCTAAGCCTCTTGCACCCAGGCAAGTGAAATATTTCCTTTTGAATTAAAAATAATCTAACCAATTATTTACCCAGTCTAAAAATGAGATGCATTCTCATTCCTACTTATTATATTAATTACTTAGAAAAGCCTCCTCAAGAAAACTACTGTACAATCACTTGCAAAGTGAGGAGGCCTCCCTTTTCTCAATTAAACCGTTCTGCAGTCCAGATGATAAATGACATCCCTCCCCTAGAATGGAGACTGTGGCAACCATTGTTTTTGTATTTGTTTTTGCTAACTTGTAACTTTCAACTACATTGTCATAACACTAATGGAATAAAAAATCCCTCAAGAAAGTAAGTCACTTCACTTCGCTCATGGAGTAGGGGTCCCCTTATCTGATGAATGAAGGCACGTGGACCAAATTATCTCTAAGTATCTTCTAGCAGATCCTCCATGGTTCTTTAAATCCATCTGCATCTTCCCTTGCTGCAGACTTGGAGGCTGGAATGGAAGGTGGCGGTGGATGGCAGGGAGTGAATCCAGTGTCTTCTGATGTCCCTGTTAGTGCCAATGCACTGGAATGACTCAAAGAATCAACTGGAGAGTTTGTTAATTTTAAAAATACAGGTTCCCAAGTCCCACCCCTGAAGATGCTAATTTAGGAAATCAGGCAAAAGTCCATTACCTATATTTTTAAAAAATTAAATAAACACCTCCACAGGAGATCTCGATGAGCAAGAAAGGTTAGAAACCACTGAATTTTTACAACGATCAACAATAATAATCAAAATGCAGGTTAAAATAATCCATTTGAATCCAAAGAGGAAAACATTATATTAATCTTCATTAATCAATCTTAATAGATTTAGCTGATGTCTTGGGCACAGGACAGCACAAGATGGCTTTTTCCAAAGATGACATAAAAAACCAATAAGCTGCACTTTGGGAGGCTGAGGCGGGCAGATCACGAGGTCAGGAGATCGAGACCATCCTGGCTAACACGGTGAAACCCCATCTCTAACTAAAAATACAAAAAATTACCCGGGCGTGGTGGCGGGCACCTGTAGTCCCAGCTACTCGGGAGGCTGAGGCAGGAGAATGGTGTGAACCCAGGAGACGGAGCTTGCAATGAGCCGAGATCGCGCCACTGCACTCTAGCCTGGGCGACAGAGCAAGACTCCGTCTCAAAAACAAAAAAAAAACCAGTAAGCTTTCCAAAGGGTGTGTACATTAAACCTTTATTAAAATGTAATTGTGTCAGCAAGCCCAAAGGAAAGACCTGCAGCACCTCTAAATACATAGCTTAGAATAGCAACCAGGGGTTATCATGGTCTCTTCAATATTGATGAGTACCCTAACATAGCTCTTTAGCTGGTACTCCCAAACTAAGGCATTTTGGGGTAATTAAGGACATCTTTGCAAGTATTCTTTCTGGATTTAAACTAACCCAATCAACATTTTCCTACTCTTTTAAAAATAGTGATATATAAGTTATTCCTACTTGTATTACCTACTTATATCATTATCAGAAAAATCTCTTCAATGAAACTATAAAATTTGAAGCAAGCACAAAGCAAGACATATACAGCACAAAGTCACTTGCAAGTCTTTATATTAAACTGAGCAAATATTCATTGTTGCTTTAGATCTCAGTTGTCCTGAAAACAACAGAAATTCCCTCATTAATGTGGAAGAGATCATTTGAAAACAAGGAGATAAAAACTGATTTTGAAAAGACAAGTAAAATTTTTTGTTTCAAAAAGTATTTTTCTAGCTTTTGTATTAGTTGCTATATAACAAATTATGCCAACATTTGGTGACTTAAAATAATAAACATTTGTAATCTTGCAGTTTCTGTGAATCACAAATCTGGGAGCAGTTTAGCTGGGTGGTTTGGCTCAAAGTCTCTCATGAGGTTAAGGGCTGCAGTCATCTGAAGTCTTGACTAGGGCTGAAGGATCTGCTTTCAGGTTGATTCACTCACATGCCTGGCTAGTCAGTGCTGACTGTTGGCAGAAGGTCATCACCCTGGCTACATGGACCTCTCCATGAGACTGCTTGAGTGTCCTCACAACATGGCAGCTGGCTTCTTCCAAAGTGAGTGATCCAAAAGAGAACAAGACAGAAGCAGCAAGGTCTTTTATGATGCAGCATTGGAAGTCACCTGGTCATTTCCACAATATCCTATTCATCACACAGGTCAGTCTTATTCAGTGTGGAAGGAAACACACAAGGGTGTGAATATCAGAAGGCAGAAATCACTGGGGGCCACCTTGGAGACTGGCTACCACACTGCTTGAAACTAACATCAGACCTCAATAAATTATCATATTTTAATATAGGACCTAGAACACCATGAGCTGTAAGATAACTTTCTCTCTCTCTCTCTCTCTCTCTCTCTCTGTCTCTCTGTGTCTCTCTTTTAGACAGAGTCTTGCTCTGTCACCCAGGCTGGAGGGCAGGGATGCAATCATAGTTTACTGTACCTTGAACTCCTGGGCTCCAGCAATCCTCCTGCCTCAGCCTCCTGAGTAGCTGGAATTATAGGCATGAACAACCATATAAGAAAGAAAAAATGGCTAGTATTGAAAGACTCTACAAATAAACTGGGCTATCAAAGGCTATACCTTCATTGTAGGAGTAAATGAGAAATAAATCCACTCCACAAAAAAGAACAGCAGAAGACTTCTAAGTCTCACTGGCACTGGGTGAAGGTAGGAAAAATATATTCCCTGCAGAATTTGAACCCAAGTAGGTAAGACCACCAACTTGAGACAACTTTAAATAGAATTATCTGCAAATCCCCTCTAGAGAAACTTGATTTCAATCCATGTTGAATAAAATTGTAAGACACATTCCAATTTTAGAGGATGCTAAAATTTGGGAAAATGTTCATCTTAAAATCAAGAAACTAGTCAGTCATATCAGTGAAGACAGAAAAAATGTACAGAAATAGTTTAGAGTCAGCATTCCTTAGGGCAAGATTATAAAAATGGAGTCTTATTTATGAAAAAAAGAACAGAACCTCAGTCCATCTGTTGTGTTCTCTTGGCCAATACTGTGTCCTTTCTCACATTGGTTCCTTAGACTCAGCTAATTGCAGAAGCAGAAAATGAGAAAAAGCAGAAAGTTATGAAGGGAATCAGTGTAGAATCAGTAGAGATGGAATAATATTTTCTCTTTTTAGACAGATTCTCACTCTCTCAACCAGGGTTGAGTGCAGTGGCATAACCACTGCTCACTGCAGCCTCAATCTCCCAGCCCAACTGCCTCAACCTCCAGGGTAGCTGGGACTACAGGCACATGCCACCATACCTGCTTAATTATTTTTATTTTTGTAGAGACAGGGTCTTGTCATATTGCCCAAGCTGGTCTTGAGCTCTTGGGCTCAATCAATCCTCCTCCCTCAGCATCCCAAAGTGCTGAGATTACAGGTGTGAGCACCACACCTGACCTAGAAAGAATTTAGAATTAGACCCACTTAGGTCGAGACCTTTAATAGCTCTGTCATCTTGGGCAAGTTGCTTTACCTCTCTGGGCCTCTAGTCATATGACCTTCAGATAGGGTCAAGGCAACAATCTACCTTGCAGAATTGTAAGAATGAAATATCACATGTATGAAACACCTAACACAGAGCTTATACTATTTGCTTGTCTGAGTTCATTTAGTGTTGCTATAAAGGTATAACAAGCAGGGTAATTTATACATTAAAGTGGTTTATTCGGCTCTTGATTCTAATGGCTGGAAAGTTCAAAATTGGGCATCTGGTGAGGGCCTCAAGCTGCTTCCACTCACTGGTAGGTGAAGGGGAGCTGGCTGTACAGAGATCACATGGCAAGAAAGGAAGCAAGAGAAGCAGCAAGGAGGTGCCAGGCTCTTTTTTTGAATTTTATTTTATTGTAAGTTCCAGGCTCTTTTTAACAACCAACTCTTTTGGGAACTCACTTACCCCTGAGCGGGTGAATTAATCTATTCATGAAGGATCCACCCCTTGACCCAAACACCTCCCACTGGACCCCACCTCCAACACTGGGCATCAAATTTCAACATGAGGTTTGGAGGGAACAAATATCCAAACCATAGCATTGCTCAACAATGATACTCAACAATGATAGCTATTTTTATGATTACTCTCTGTTTCTAAGACTGCACTTCTTTTTAGAGATTTTTTTTAATGACTTAATAGGAAACACAGTACCCAGGAGAGACTACCTTCCTCCTGGTGCTCATTCAATAACAGCTATGAATATTGATGGGGCCATAGGTCTTCACTGAATGTGGGTCCTAGACTCAAGTGTTATTCCAACTGCACCAGCTAAGCAGCCCTGCCTCCTTCTTAATGAGCTGAAAAGAGAATAGAATGGTCCTTAGATGGGACTGCCTTCATCACCAAGAGGAGGCCCAGTAAATCTCCATTCTGGAGGAGTCAGGCAACCCTCACTGATGGGAGATTTGGAAAGACTTGTTTTTCATTCTGCAAACATTTGCTAAGAATCTCCTAAATTCCAGACTGTGGGCCAGGTTTCAGGGACATAGAGATTACTAGAACACCGCTGGTGTCCCTGAGGGGCTGACCGTCCAGTGGAGGAAGAGCAGGAGGAAGGAATTATGGCAGCCAAGAGAAAAGTCCCACAAGAGAGGCAGGTGGGGGGTTGTGTGAGCACCTGGGAGAACACAATGACTCTGCCTGGGGAGATCAGGGAGGGCTTCAAAGAGGAAGTGATGCTTGAGTGAACCACAAAGATGTGAAGTATTTTGCCAGGGGGATAATATTGAGGTCTTAGGGCTTCAATACATAACATCCATTTATTTCTTCCCTTCTCAAATATGGACTCAATTGAGAAATAAGACACAAAGAACAAACAGGCCAAAATGTCAGCTTTATTGCTAAGAAAGACCACTGGAGAACATGACTTTTGATTTTTGGTCAAAAGGGCATGCCAAAAGAGGAGGAACTTTACAGTGGAGGACCCTGACAAATACCACCTCAGCCAGGTCATCAAGCTCAATATCAACACCAAAAAGTCACATTGACAGCAAGTACCCTTGACATGATATGATGAGAAGGGCACTTAACCTCCAGGGTCTTCCTCCCCCAAAACCCATAACCCCAGTCTCATCATGAGAAAAACATCAGATTAATCCCAACAGAGGGACTTTCTGCAAAACCTCTGGGTCATCAAACACAAGGAAAGCCTAAGAAACCACCACAGCCAAGACGAGGCTAAAGAGACATGATAATGATGATGAAATGTCATGTGGTATCCTGGATGGGATCCTGAAACAGAAAGAAGGGATTAGGTAAAATCTAAGGAGATCTAAATAAACTATGGACTTCCATTAATAAGAATGTATTTATATTGGTTCATTAGTTGTAAATAAATGTATCATACTAATGTGAGATGTTAAGGACAGGAAAAACTAGGTATGAGGTAATGGGCCGTCTCTGTACTAGCCTCTCAGTTTTTCTATAAACTTAAAACTTTTCTAAAAAAAGTAAAATCTGTTAAAAAGAAACACATGGAGGGGGCATGTCAACACACCCCAGCCCCACCCAAGTACAGAGTGTGGTTCAGCTGCATGGGGACAGCAGGGAAGACTTCCCAACCCAGGGTTGCTGTGCAGGACAGTAAGGAGAGGGGAGGAGAAGAAACCAAACCCCAGGACTCAAAGGCATGTAATTGGCCCCATCCAACTATGAGCCCTGGGCTATGGACCCCCACTCCCTATCAGGTCACCAAGGCGGCCTCCACGGAGGGTCAGAGGAAGGTTGCAAGAAGCCAGGTGCTTTTCCAGAGCAGCCCTGTGGCAAAGCAGTCAGCGCCTGCGTGCTGGAGCTCATCTCTCTGAACCCCAAGCCTGGGTTTGCCACTTTCTATCTATACGACCTTGGCAGGTTGCTTAACCTCTCTGAGTCTCAGTTTTGTGAACTGTAAGATGGAGATTGTCATAAAACCTACTTCCACAGGCTGGGAGAAGATAAAATGAGATGCTGTGTGTAAAGTGGCCATGGGGTACAGTAAGGATGTGGATGCCAGCTATTATTATTACTCTTGTAGAAACATAAAGCCAGGGGAAGGTGTGCCCCTGCCCCCGGGGGGCAGTCAGTATGGGAGAGGACACTGGGGACCTGGAAGCAGCCCCCGGGAGGGTAAGGAGATGAGAGGAGCAGCCGTCTGGAACCTGTGGTCACGGCTGTTGCTGCTGCACAGGGCACACGTGAGGAAATCGCGTGGAATCAGACTATAGCAGAAGAGATGGGCTCAGGCGTGAAAGCCAATGAATGCCAGGGCTCTGGACTTTTCTACAGTGAGATGGGAATTTTTCAAAGCTGTGATAGGCAGACTTTTCCTGGAAAGGGCCAGATAGTAAATAGTTTAGGCTTTGTGGGCCGAGAGGCAAAAGGCTATTCTGTAGGTACTTTCACAACAAGAGAAAGCTGGGCAGACATTCTTGGGCATCAGATAGATATTTGAAAACAACTATTAGGTAAGCCCAACGCAATTTTGTAGCTTAAGCTTAATTCCATCCCATCTCAATTGTTAACCCCTATACACCTCAGTGTAAGAACGGGTTAAAAAAGTAAAGCAAAGAACCAAGGTGAATTGAGGAATTCTCACTGTGAAACCCCATCTCTACTAAAAATACAAAAAAATTAGCCAGCATGGTGGCATGTGCCTGTAGTCCCAGCTACTCGGGAGGCTGAGGCAGGAGAATCACTTGAACCCAGGAGGCGGAGGTTGCAGTGAGCCAAGACAGTGCAACTGTACTCCAGCCTGAGTGACAGAACGAGACTCCATCTCAAAAAAAAAAAAAAGAAAAGAAAAGAAAAGAAAAAGGAAAAAAATGAGGAATTCTGAGATCTACAGTCTTTAGCAAAATCTCCTCAGGAGTTGGAAGTGAATGCCTCAGACTCACTCACCACCTCTTCTTTTGTTCTCTATAGTTTAAAGTCTTTGGAAAAGCTGGTAATACAAAATAAAATGAAATGTTCTAGTACAGCCTGGGGGATAGCACTCCAGAGGCTGTCAACTTACGGCAGCATCGCTGCGATTTATTGTGTGCAGGCAGCAGAGAACAGCGCTGAGAGTGTCACGTGGGCTCTTTCCCAACTACTCTGCAGTTACCGTGGAAAGCAGCTGTGAACAACATTTAAAACAAATGGGTGTGATCTGTGTTCCACTAAATATTTATGGACATTGAAATTTGAATTTCATATCATTTTCACATGTCACAAAATATCATCCTTCTTTTGCTCTCCCCCCATAATCATTTAAAAAAGGAAAAATGATTCTTAGCTTCAGGACCCTACACAAACAGACAGTGGGCTGTATTAAAGGATGATTTTTTTTTTTTTTTTTGACATGGAGCCTTGCTCTGTCACACAGGCTGGAGTACAGTGGCACGATCTCAGCTCACTGCAGCCTCCGCCTCCCAGGTTCAAGCAATTCTTCTGGCTCAGCCTCCCAAATAGCTGGGATTACAGGCATGCACCACCACACCTGGCTAATTTTTTTTGTATGTTTAGTAGAGACAGGGTTTCACCATGTTGGCCAGGCTAATCTCGAAGTCCTGACCTCAGGTGATCCACCCGCTTCGGCCTACCAAAGTGCTGGGATTACAGGTGTGAGCCACCGTGCCCGGCCCTAAGGATGATTTTAAATAAGCAGCTGTATCAAGACATTAGCAAATTGCATACCTAAAGCATCTCTATGTCTTGTAGAGCTCCTGGTGACATCACCTCTGCATAGAGCAGTAAGGGTTTAGGGAAGCTGTTCGGTCTCCTCTAATCCTCCCCTTTCCTGGTGCAGTTTGCAGCATTTCACCCCCGCCCTTCAATCTTGGCTGCTGTTTCAGACAGCAGTAGGGTGAAATTCAGAAATACTCTTAATCACTCTAAACTGAGGCAGTTCTGGGCTCCTGCCACCATTAAGACAAAGCTTCTTTTTAGCTTCCTGGCTGTTGCCAGAACTCGAAGAGCTCAATTCAGTTGCTATAATTCACTTCTCTGGCACCTTCCAACTATGCAGGTCTTTGCAGTAAAGGAATCTGTAAGCTCCCAGCCTCACGGAAAGGGACTTATTATACACTGTGCTTGAGGAGAGCGGCATGTAAACAACTGAGAATAGAATACCGTATAGTAATGGCATGCTAACAATTAAAATCAATTTTGATTTCGTAATTGGGTCACTTTGCATGTTAAAACAGGAGTTTTGAAATTAATATTAATAACCACAGGTGCTGCAGTTCACAAGCTGATGCAAAAATGAGGACTAGGTGCTGGAGGAAAAGAGGGAGAAAAAGGAGAAAGGAAACGGGAACCCACAACTCCTTCATTAGTACAGAGCCCCAGAAATGATCTGGAAGGTCAGTCCATTTTACAGAGCAGGAGACGAGACAAGGGAGGCCAGCAGTTGCCCAAAGTTCATAGCTAAGTAGCGGTAGAGCAAAGGCTGGCCCCTCAGCCTCCTCTGGGCTGAGAATTACATGGCAGAAATATACATCTCTCCTCACTCCTCTTATCAAACTGGCCAGAGCCACAGAGTTTATCTTCATTTACACTGACCATCTCATATTTCTTCTCTTAAGAAAGTGAGCGTTAGATTGTGTGCCCAGGATAGTCTGGTATACATTTTTGTTCAATTCCACTGCATCCTTTTCACTCTCAACATTATGTGGTTTGAATAATTATATGGTCATCCTAGGGGTTAGCCTGTCAAACAGGGTGAAGGAGTGAAAGTGAGGGGCAGGACTGCTAGCATCTGCCAGGCCTCAGGGACAAATACAAGCTAAGGTGTTCTGGGATCTGCTTTAAGACTGCAGGTCCACATTCGATGGCTTGAAACATGTGTTAATAATGCACTGGTTTGGCCAGGCGTGGTGGCTCATGTCTGTAATCCCATCACTTTGGGAGGCCGAGGCGGGCGGATCACAAGGTCAGGAGATCGAGACCATCCTGGCTAACAGGGTGAAACCCCGTCTCTACTAAAAGTACAAGAAATTAGCCAGGCATGGTGGCGGGTGCCTGTAGTCCCAGCTACTCGGGAGGCTGAGGCAGGAGAATGGCGTGAACCCAGGAGGCGGAGCTTGCAGTGAGCCGAGATTGTGCCACTGCACTCCAGCCTGGGCAACAGTGCAAGACTCTTTCTCAAAAAAAAAAAAAAAAAAAGCACTGGTTTTATTCTCCAAGCCATTGCCATAGGCATCGATGAAGTTGAAAGGGTCTTTTGTCCTTTGAACTCCCCAGTGGTTTTCTCTGTGCACACAAGGCTCAGTGCTGGTTTCCAGTCCGAGCAGCTCAGCAGCAGCCTCAGGGCATGAACTGGCACCTTCAGCACATCTGTACCCACCGCTCCAACAGCCGCAGGGCCAGAGACAGTGATGTTGCATGGTCTAGAGAAAACCCTTGCCCCCTCGGAGGTATGGCTTTGAAATGGATTGTTCTGTAAGAAACAGAAAGGCTAGAAATGTTTACTTGGTGCTAAAAAACAAGGACCTAAGTCTCACGAGAAGACTCCACACACTCCTGAGTGTGACTCCAAGCATTTTAACATCTAGTTAATAAAAGCAGGAAGGAGGGGGAGGGACACGTTGTGAGCAGATTTCCAAAAGCATGCCCTGGGGATGGGGTGGGGACAGGGGCTGGTGAAATGCAGATTCCTGATCACCACCTGAGATCCCCTGGTCTTCGAGACGGCATCGGTACAGAGAACCCCAGGTGATTCCAGCATACACCGAACATTTGGGAGACTGACTGAGGAACGTTTTTCAATATACTCTGACCATTCCTGTCTCTTCCTGCCTTCTTTACTGCCTTGAGGTTGCTTAATGGGCTTTCTTCCCAGAGCTGAAGGTGAGATCCTTGAAGACAGATTTTGATTAATGAAAGAAAGAATCAATCAACAAAAGAAAGGCAAAAAAGGAGCAAGGAAGGAAGGAATCAATTACGTGAACGTGG
Source organism: Homo sapiens (assembly GCF_000001405.40). Taxonomy (NCBI): domain Eukaryota; kingdom Metazoa; phylum Chordata; class Mammalia; order Primates; family Hominidae; genus Homo; species Homo sapiens. Next base: position 150,275,012 of record NC_000006.12, on the reverse strand, counting down.
ATCCCAAGAAGAATTTCAAGCTGCTTTCGCTCAACAGCCTCCCCACTTTCCTCCTTAGGTGATGCAGGAAATTCACGTGCATCCTGGGTTCACATGATCCAGAATCACGCGTCTCCACCCTATATCCTCCCAATAGGTTCCAAGTCGAATCTCTCCACGGCCTCGCCATCTGCCTGCAGCCTTGTCCATATAATTCCACAGCACCTTCAGATGTCTTTTTCCACAGTGCCATGAAGTGGAAATTAGGAAACACCAAGATTATTCTGTCACAGACATATTTGCTAGCCTTCTCTTTAACTGATTGACACGGGGGAAAGTGCTTTCAGTTAGCTTGCTATAGAGTGGGACAAGAAAGCCACGTAGTCATAAACATGTGCCTTTTAAAAATCAAATCCTACAACCAGTACGAGCCTGATGGATGCAACGTCAGCGACTGCTCAATGGCTTCTCTCTGGAAGGTGCTTTTTGTCCCCAGGCGGCTGAAGGTCATAGCATTAATCTGTTCTCCAAACCCTCAATCTTAGGCCCCTCTCCTCCCTTCTGGTTTCTTTCTTTCCCAGCTCTGTTTCCTGGATGCTCTGACTGTCAGCAATAACAAGGACAAAGGTAGGGCAAGGGACCTAAAAGGACGAAGGAGTGTGGAGGAGGAGGAGAAGCGCTGGGGTGGCTGTTTCACCTTCAGCACACACTCCAGGCTGCTCTGACGGAAAGACCCAGGAAGGCCATTCATTGCAGACTTTTCTCACCCTGCCAAGCTGGACAGCTCGAGAACAGGCCATGGAAGTGGTTTCTCCCCTGAGACCATCATTTCAAGACCTATTTGCCCTTTGAGGCTACCCACGTGTGACCCTGGGAGATGTGTGTGGCTATATTTCACCTCAAACCCTAACCTCAGCAGCTGTGCTGTTTGGTTGCTCAGCCGCGGAGCAGCAGGTGGCCTTCTGCTGTTACCCATGAAGGGGTCAAGCTAGGCCAGGCCTGCTGGGAGCCCAGTGAAGATTTACTGGCAGTGATGCCTCCAACACTTCTTTCTCCAGAGCGAGAGCAACAGCAGGTGAGGCATCCATGACCAGCCTGTCACTTTCCTCGGGGAAAGAGAAAGGAAGCCATATGCTGACCTTTCGTGTGCAGAAGTAGCACAGTCAGAGCATATGTCCAGGAGCTGCAGAGACGCCATACGCATAGCACAGCCTTTGTCCAAACACTTTTCCAAGAATAAAAAGACTTCATTAATGCAATGCACTCCCTCACACCCCCCAGACGCCAGCTAGCCTCTTGATGATTTCACCGGCCAGTTTCTTTGTTGTCTGGAGAAGGTTGTGGGCTCTTCTGTCTATCTTCCAGATAGTGGAGGCCAGATGGGCAATAGACTAAGAATAGGGGCTAGCACTGCAGCAGTTTTGTTAAGCTAGCTATACAAAATAGAACTTTCTGGCTGGACACAGTGGCTCACGCCTATAATCCCAGCACTTTGGGAGGCCAAGGCGGGAGAATTGCTTGAGCTCAGGAGTTTGAGACCAGCCTGAGCAATAAAGCGAGGCCTCCATCTTTACAAAAAAAGAAAAAGAAAAAAAATTAGCTGGGCATGGTGGTGCATACTTGTGATCCCAGCTACTAAGGAGGCTGAGGCAGGAGGATCACTTGAGCCCAGGAGTTTGGGTTGTAGTGAGCCATGATTGCACCACTGCACTCCAGCCTGTGAAACAGGGTGAGACCTTGTCTCAAAAGAATAAAAAATAAAAATTTGTTGATGGAGTAATGAATATTGCAGTGGAAAGCAATGATATTGTCCAAGGTTGAGTCTCTGCAAGAGAATAGATCTGTATCTGCAAGATGAGGGCCTCGATCACATGTATGTAGATGTGGACAGACAGGCTGACTCATGCTCAGGTTGTTTTTAAACGCCTGTGGCTTTAGGGGGAAAAAGACAAAAAGAAGGAAAAGTGCCCAGATTTGACAGTGTGTGGTACAAGTTTAGGTGAGTTTTTTCTTTCTTCCTACAGGATAGATTTTCCAATATTCCTATAGGATAGATTTTTCCAGTCTCCTATGGCAAGCGTTTGTTACCATCATAATCAGAAAGAAGATGACACAGTGTCCCAACACTGGATTTACTATAGTCTACACCATGCAAATGAATTAACTCAGTGTCAGATGCCTCATCAAAGGTGGGGGAGAACAGGCATGGTTGAGTCATTCCCACAAATCAAGCAGTTGGAATCCATGAAGAAACTGTCTTCCACAGCATCAGAGCACCTTCCGCCAGGAACGTGCCTGAACCCGCCTGGCCCTGGAGGTAAAGTTTAGAAGCAGAGACTGGTTAGGAACCAACCAGCCACACTGAGACACCAGCTAAACGCCGGTTTCCATAAACCTCTTTAGGAGCTTAGGAACTTCAATTTTATTGACCATCAACCATCCAGTCTTAGATAAAGGGTCAGGGAGCAACATTTGAAGAGGAAGAAAGGGAGATGAATGGGCTCCCTCTGGCCCATTCGATTCTGTGCCTCTGACCCAGAAAACTGGTCATTGTCAGCTCTTCTCTTGGGGCTTGCCCCAGCCTGGATTAGCAAATCATTTCTGCAAACTGTGAATGCCTTGAGTACAGATTTGCTGGGATGTGGGGTTTGGGGAGGAAGGTAGAGTAGAGGATGTGTGCTCAGACCTTTCTGGGTAAATATATTAAATCATGTCTGTTTAAAATAGAAAGCTAGTGAGAATGTTCCCTCTTGCCAGCTTCCAGCATTGATCTTTCAGGGCATACACTGAACAAGGAATATCTAGGTCTTCTTCAGGGCAGCCAGTATTTTTACCAGGGCAGCCCTGATGACGTCACTGGGAAAGTTCCTTTTTCTATTTTCTTTTAGTCCCTTTATCTACAGGCACAGCTGCTTAATGAAACCAGAAGGCCTGGGATGGCACCAGAGCTTACTGACCACTGACCAAAGAGCAGAGGAAGATAAGATGCCACAAAACCAGCACAAACCGGAATAGATGACCCTTAGTTGCCTTCAGATCATTAACATATCATTATAATGCTAAAATTTCCTCCCCCAAAGGAAAATCTCCACCATTTTGTGTACAGGTGATATATGAACATATATATTTATGAATTAGGCATATCTGGAGTCCCGCCCTGCACATGCAAACACGCTTCTCTCGCCCTGCACCTGGTCCTTAAAACCCCACACCTTCTATTGTTTGGGAAGAAGCTACCTTTCGAGTGAGAGCCACCTTCTCCATTCCTTGGCTAGTGAATAAAGCCTGATTGCTTTTTCCAGCTGGATGTTCTTTTTTTGTGACTGACACAAAGTGGTGAAAAAACCCAGTTTATCAGTGACAATATGGCAGCTCTTTATCTATCCCAACCTTCTGCTAAGGGCTTTCTTATATTGCAAACTGAATATCCCAGACTCTCCTGCAACTGAGGTTTCCTTGTGATTGTGAATGGCCACCCAAAGGCCCTCATGCAGCCTTGAATTAGGAACTCATTTAAGTAGAAAGGGAGGCAGGGCTCACAGGAAGCTTTGTAGCCAACAGGTTTGGTGTTAGCTTTTGATCCCTGGATCACAGCTGGGTCAGCGTGTTCCTGGAACTAGCATTTGCAATGGCTTATTCCTGGTCCTTGGAGTGTGGCTAAGGAGTAGGACCCTGGAGCCCTGTAATGGTGCAGTGGCTTGCTGATCCCCAGATTTCTGGAGTTCCTGGTCACTACACCATTGGGAAAACTAATCTGCCTCTCTTCCTCTAGAGAGCTCAGAAAAATAAAATAGTTATCTTGGGAGCAAAGTGGGGTTTGGAAGGCTTTGAGATATATATTTAATCCACTCAATCTCTATGTTTCTTCATATAGAGTAGTGTATTTGATCAATGAAAAGGCCTTGTCAGCAGCTGATCTGAATATACTAAGAACATGGATAAATATTAATACCAAACTAGTGCAGGGAGACACATGGCTCTTAAACGAACGGAGATTTTTCTAGTTGGAATTCAATGGGCCTTGCTTTCAAAACAGACTCCTCTCTCATGCACCTGTGAGTCTCTCCCAGGGACTCTTGGGACTCTTCCTAGACGTCATTTATTCATCTGGATGCTCCCAAGACAGAAATGCCAGGCGCATGGGGAAAGCATTGTTAGATCAAGTTTAGCCTAAAGCTGCCTCCTTACATTTTTAAGTTCAGCCAGGTTTCTCTGTACATGGTGAACTGTAATCTAGCTGGCTGTACACAACTATAACCTTTGTGCCAAGCGCTGAGTTTCAGCCAATCACAGGTGGCCAAGTGTTTGAACCATGTTCAAATAAGGCAAATGCAGAGCTGTAACCCATCCTGCTGTTTCTGTACCTCACTTCCGTTTTGTTTGTCACTTTTCTTTCTCTATTCATAAATCTTCTTTGACCATGTGGCTGGGCCAGAGCCTCTCTGAACCTATTCTCATTCAGTGCTGCCCGATTTGAGGTTTGTTCTTTGCTCAATGAAACTCTGTTAAACTTAATCTGTCTAAGGTTTTTCTTTTAACAGCATTGCAACTCTCTGATGCCATCAGACAGTCATTCATCACATTCTGCCGATTGTCAGCCTTCAGAGGAGAAGGATGTTGTGGACTTGCTTGTGTGCCAAGGCTGAGGTGGGCCCCATGCCCACTGCGCCTTTAGATGTCCAGCATGCCTCCCCTTACACAGCACTCGACACACCCATGGGAGTCTCACAACCATCCCAGACACATTACTTCCCTCATTTTTCTAATGGAAAAAAGAAACGAACTAACCAAACAACAGCAAAACCCAAGTCCAGAGTTAAATACCTTGGCCAAGGTCACACGGCTAGGTAGATTCAGAATCTGTCAACTCTTTAGCCACCCCCACTTCCTGCAGGATAAAGTCGAACTGCTTAACTTTTGTGCAAAGCCCTTCATGATCCAACCATCCAGCTTCCCCTCCCCCTCACTGGCCACCCCCCTGCAGGCTCCAGCCCTGCTGGAGTCACTGATGTCTGAGACTCACTGTGCCCATTCTCAGCCAGACGCTTGACTCATGCCATTACCTTTGCTACATCATCCTCCTCCCACCTCCAACTCCACCTATGCCTCCTCATGACTCATGCCACTCAGCCTTCGGGTCCCAGCACCTCATTACTTTCATTGGTCAGTCCATCCACAGGCATTCTGCTAGGCTTATTCTGTGTGCATGGTACCAGGTGCAGGGAAGGCAGCAGTGAATGAGCAGACCTGCCCCTATCCACCAGAGCTTCCAGCTCAGTAGGAGATGCAGTTAAATGGCCAGTGCTGAGATGTTGTAACAGGCATTGTGACAGAATAAGAACAGGGTGTGTACAAGTCACGGCTCTCCAGGGAAACAACCAATAGGACGTGTGTGTGTGCAAATAAAGCGATTCATTATAAGGAATTGGTTCACGTAATTATAAAGGTGGGCAGGTCCCAAGATCTGCAGAGGGAGTCTGCAAGCTGGAGACCCAGGAAGAGTGGAGTGGATCCTTCAGTTCGAGTCTGAAGGCAGGAAAAAAAGCTGATGTCCCAGTTTGAAAGCATCCAGGCAGGAGGACTTTTACTCACAGGAGGTTCAGCCTTCTGTTCTCTTCAGGCCTTCAGCTGATTGGGCGAGGCCCACCTGCATTGGGGAGGGCAATCAGCTGTCCTCAGTCTCTTAATTTAGATGTTAACCTTGTCCAAAATCATCCTCACAGAAATACCCAGAATAACATTGACCAAATATCTGGGCATCCCATGGCCCAGTCAAGTTAACATAACATTAACCATCATAGGGTGCTGTGGGGACACACAGCTAGAACTCCAACTTTGGAAATGCTTTCATGATCTCCCTGCCCCCACAAGACTCCATCCAGTGTTATTTCCCTGTTTCCACAGCCTCATCACAGGCCATATATATCTTACCATATCATATTATCATATCATCATACCATATCATATCATCATATATCATTATACCAGATCATATAATATATCATATCACATTACCATATCATATCCTCATATCATTTCATATAATCCCAGCTGGCTTGTCTCTCTCTCCCACTGCACTGTGAACTCCTTGATGTCTTTGCAGACAGACCAACCTCGGAATCAGACCAACTCTGATTCCAAGACCTGAAGACCTTACTCTGGAATCAGACCAACTGGCTAACATCCTGGCTCTCCTGCTCTTAGCTGTATGCTTAAGCAACTTCTTTATGACCTGGAACCTCAGTTTCCTTCTCTGTGAAAAGGGACAGTAGCAGTACTAGTACCCACCAGCCTCACTGGAATGTTGTGGGAATTAAATGAAGTAATGTATATGAAGCACTTAGTGCTGAGCTGGCCATCGTAGCTCCTCAGGAAATATAAGCAATTGCTCTCATTCCCTGCTGAACTCCAGCCTCAGCACACCTCCCTGCCTAACAGAATCTTGATTAAATGCCCACAGCACTACTCTGTCCTGCCAGTAACTGGATGTGTCTGTACCCAACAGAGACTCAGCACTTCATCCTTCCAGAACTCTGCTGGCACTGCACAGTTCCCTACAGACAGGCTCAGGGGAAGGGAATGTGTCTGATCATGTCTGCAGGAAGAGGGTGACAAGATGGTCAGACATTTGTGGAAAGCTGGCGGGGGACTTAGAGCAGCTGGCCCAAGAACTGTTCCCAGCAGGGGCAGAACCAGTCATCTTTAGTGACCTGCGCCATCTGGCTTGATCTTTAGTTAACAGCAAGGCTGACTTCAATCAGGCAATTGATTTCTGGCCAATCTCTTTCAAAAGGAGGAGACCTCAGGACAACTCGTGCTCAGGCATTTGATCTCACTTCAAGGAGAAACATTGCAGAATGGATCCACAGTGGGTAACTCCATCTTTTCCCATCATTACGGATTTTGCTATCTTTCTAAGAACTTTGGAACCAGCTCCTTGAACACTCTGAACTCAGTGTTGTACACATGGAAGGGTTCTATTGTTCTCCCACGCTCTTCCACCGGAGGCTATGGCACAAACGGGCCCTGCCTTTTACTAGCCTCTAGGCTCTGTGTATCTCAGTAACTGCATCTACATGATATAGTGACAGTTGCCTCCCTATACATTTCAGGGTGATATCTCAGGAAATGATGTTTCATCCAATGGAGCCGCGGGTGAAGATGTGTGGGCGGGCATGCAGCATTCCATAAGTGCTGAGCTGGAGTGTTGCACCGAGGGACTCAGCCCAAAGTCCTTGTATAACCCAAAGTCAGTTTTACATGGAAATAAATGCAAGGAAGGGAAATAACTTCTCAGAGTGTGTACATCAACAACCATGTAATAATGCTTTGTAAAAATTATTTTGGCAGTGTCTCTGATATTTCACGGAGCCTCCTCTCCTCTGAAGGTAATAGCATAGTGTGTGTCATGGTTTTGGCCTTCATCATAGTTTTTTTATTTCTAGTTTTATTTCCAACCCATATTTTCCCACTAGCATCACCAACTAAATGAGGGCTTATTGTAAGATATAAAAAAGATATTGAAATATAACAACAGTAAATGTTAAAATAACAGCACATGGCCCTCAACATTAGTCAGCTGGAGTCCTCTGCACATAAATACCTTGAAACCAGGAATTTATTCACCAGTTAAAGGGCATTACTTTGGGGCCAAGATATAAGCACAGTTTACAGTTTACTGGGCCCAGTATGAAAGCAGGGTGTTATAGGTTGAACTGGTTACCCCCAAAAGATGTTAAAGTTCTAACCCCTAGCACCTGTGAATAGGACCTTATTTGGACATAGTGTCTTTATAGATGATCAAGTTAAGACGAAGTCATCAGGAAGACTCTAATCCAGTATGACTGGCATCCTTACAAGAAGGGGAAATTTGGACATAGAGACAGACACTTATAGAGGGAAGACGATGTGAAGACACGGGGAGAAGACAGCTCCCTACAAGCCAAGGAACGCCTGAGGCTAGAAGCTCAGGGAGAGGCATGGAACAGATTTTCCCTCAGAGCGCTCCGGGGGAACCAACCCTGCCAACATCTTAATCTTGGGCTCTGGCTTCCTGGACTATGAGACAATAAATTTCTGTTGTTTAAGCCACCCAGTTTTTGCTACTTCGTTTATGGCAGCCTGCAAACTAATACACTAGGCTAATCATGATTGTTTTAATTTGGAGGGATTCTTTTCCAGAAGGCAAAATCTTATTAATTATATATTTATCAATCTACTTCCAATGTGTACAATTATTCCTGGTAACCCAGGAATCTGGAAAATATCTGAGGAAGAACAATCTGTGAAGTCTGGATTTCCTACAAGTGAAGAATGTGGGGCTCAACACAAAAGAATTTAGGGCATATGTGTACATGATAATAGGAATAATAGCTTACATTTATTGGGTATTTCTATGTGCCAGGCACTGAGTGAGTTAAGTACCTCATATGAATCAACTCATTCAATTTGCACAACCACCCTATGTAGAAACAATGATCACCTACATTTTTCAAATGAAGGAAATGGAGCACAGAGAGGGTTAGGTACTCGCCTAAGGTGGCACAGCTGGAAAATGGAGAGGCTACACTTGGAACCAGACAGTCAGTTCCAGAGCACATCTCTTATGGCTGGAAAGGCCTGGCAGCCACTATTTTATAAGTTATGGTTAATTCCATGATAAGCATCTGTGAGATAATAAGGTGGGCTTAGACATATTCCTTGGACACATGGTTACTGATGACCTACCATAGCAGGCACTGTGCTGGGTGCTGGGATCCAAGGCTGAATGTGATGAAGACCCACCTTCAAGGGACACATTGTCAATGGAATACAGACCACTGCAGAAATCTTTAGTTTCACCTTTTATCCCTCTATGTGTTCATTCTTACTTCTGCCAGCCACAAAATTGAGACTTTTTTTTTTTGAGATAGAGTCTCACTCAGTCGCCCAGGCTGAAGTGCAATGGTGTGATCTCAGCTCACTGAAATCTCCACCTCCTGGGTGCAAGCAATTCTCCAGCCTCAGCCTCCCGAGTAGCTGGGATTACAGGCACCTGCCATCATGCCCAGCTAATTTTTGTATTTTTGTAGAGACAGGGTTTCACCATGTTGGGCAGGCTGGTCTTGAACTCTTGACCTCAGGTGATCCACCTGCCTCAGCCTCTCAAAGTGCTGGGATTACAGGTGTGAGCCACCATGCCCGGCAAAAATTGAGACTTTTACTAGGAGAATTTCTATGGTATACTTGTGATGGTTAGCTTTATGTATCAATTTGGCTAGGCTATAATACCCAATCATTTAATCAAACACTAATCTAGGTATTGCTGAGAAAGTACTTTATAGATATAGTTAACATCTATAATCAGTCAACTTTAAGTAAAGGAGATTAATCTCAATGACGTTGGTGGGTAGGCCTCATCCAAACAGTTGAAGGTCTTAAAAGCAAAAACTAAAGTTTCCCACAAAAGAGAAATTCTGCATCAAAACAGCATCATTAGCACTCACCTGAGTTTCCAGCCTCCCAGACTGCCCTACAGATTTTGGACTTTCCAGTCCCACACTCACATGAGCCAATTCCTTAAAATAATACATTTTTATAAATACACATAAGTGTGTGTGTGTGTGTGTGTGTGTGTGTGTGTGTGTGTGTGTGTGTGTCCTATTGGTTCTGTTTCTCTGGAGAACCCTGACCAATACAACCAATGGTCTAGTTAAAAAAAAAAAAAATCATAGGATTAAGTAATTTTTAAGATTTGGCCCTGAGTCTCAGATTTATCACATACCAGATCTGGGCCCTTCAAAAATTTCAGGAAGGCCTAAAATTGTCTTTGAGCTTTAAATTCTTCATCTATAAGGGGACAATAATTTTTTTAAAAAATAACAGTATTCGCTTCACCTGCTTCACAGAGTTGATGAGAATATCAAATGACTTTTAAAAAATTAAAACAATGAAATGCCACACTAATGTCAGTTATTAAATGCCAAGGGTATGTTTTTTACAGATGTTAGCCAAGGATTTCTTTTTCTTTCAGAGTTTACAAAATTGGCCTCAAAGTGGAACAATAAAATGAGGTGCTCATCTTCAGGTGGATTGAATGCAGACCATGCCCAGCTTGTGGACACCGTGGGCCAGCTCAGGAGGTAGTCACTATACTGCCACTGCCTGGGCTGTCCTTGCCCCTGGCACATGGAGGACAAAGGAAGACAGATACAGGGACCCGTTCCTGTTAGCTCACTGCTGGCATGGAGACAGAAGGAAAGGAGGTATTTTCCATTTGTCCTGCAATGTCTTTAGGAGGTGAGTGACCCGAGTCAGCATGGCTACTCCTCAGTCCTGTGGTGGAACTGTGTCCAGAACTGTGGCTGCACAGAATGTGTGTCCGGGGCTGTTCCTTTCCAGCAGCTGAGCAGGCCACTGAGTGATTTGAGAGGCAAGGAAGGAACCACCTGCACCTACCACATAGCCTGAAACAGGCCTTCAAAGATGTGCATGCTGTTTGCTGAGGTAGGCACAGTGTCATTTGGGAGAAGTGGTACCCAAATGGTGTCTCCTTGTAGAGGAACAGATGTGGGGAAAGTCAGAGGCAGATCCAGAGCACAGAATGCCAGTGGAGCCAGCAGAGTGTGAGCCTGTGAGTGTGGCATCCTATGCATACGGCATCCTGTTCACACAGAATCCAGTGCACAAAGCATCCTGTACATGCAGAATCCTGTTCACACAGAATCCTGTGCACAAAGCATCCTGTGCATGTGGCATCCTGTGTATGTGGTATCCTTTGCATGTGGCATCCTGTGCATGCAGCATCCTGTACATGCAGCATCCTGTGCATGCAGCATCTTGTGCGTGTGGCATCCTGTTCGTGCGGCACCCTGTGCATGCGGCATCCTGTGCGTGCGGCATCCTGTGCGTGCGGCATCCTGTGCGTGCGGCATCCTGTGTGTGCGGTATCCTGTGCGTGCGGTATCCTGTGCGTGCGGCATCCTGTGCATGCGGCATCCTGTGTATGTGGCATCCTGTGCATGCGGCATGCTGTTCATGCCCCATCCTGTGCACATGGCATCCTGTGCATGCTTCACCTTGTGCATACATGCAGGGGTACAGGATAGAAGGGGTGGGTGTAGCCAGTTGCGCAAAGCTGTCAGGCAGCAAGCAGCCCTCCTTGCTGTGTCTGGGACTTGCTCTAGCTATCTCCTTGTCTACATGACCCAGAGGCCAAAACTGCCTATTTTGCCAAGTTCCTCTGGCTGCCTGGTGGTGACTTTCCTGTTTGCTCCCACCTCATGCAGTACAGGGAGCTCAGCGGCCATTGTTGTCAGAAGGCTTTGTGGTAGCAGCCTCCAGTCTACCCCTTTGCCTTAATGAAACCAATGACATCACACCTGTAGGGCCACGGGGCCATGTCACATTTCCCTGGTCTTCCAGGATTCCAGGTTTTATTCAAGCCAACAACTTGATTTTGAGAACAAGGTGCTTTCTTCTCTAATCCAAACAGAGCCAACCCATTCCCCTCCTGTTATTCTAACTTAAACATTGTTAAGTGTGACTGGCATGAGCTTGTTGGAGGCCCCACTGCCAATGACCTGGATTCTTTCATTTTTTGAAAGTTCCTGACTATATGTTTTTCTTTACAAATATTGATGCTTTATTCATGGCTTTGTCAACATTTTCTTAATTTTTCAGGACTGCCTCCATTGCCCATACATTTTCTACCCTAGATAATCATAAAAACCAGAAGCCTTAATTAGCATCTCCCAAAAGAATGCCAAGGAATTCCAGCATGCCGTGGCTATGTGTTCAGTGAGAGCTGTCTGTCACATCTGTCCTGATAATGGCATCTGTTCTGGAGCTGAAACTCTTGTGGGGAGCACAGTTCCCACACTGGACAGCCTGACAAGGCCATACAGGTTTCTGGAAGCAGTGATGAGCTCATTGTAGAAGGATTTTTTTTTTTGACATGGAGTCTTGCTCTATTGTCCAGACTGGAGTGCAGTGGCACGATCTCAGCTCACTGCAACCTCTGACTCCCTGGTTCAAGCAATTCTCCTGCCTCAGCCTCCCGAGTAGCTGGGATTACAGGAACATGCCACCACACCCAGCTAATTTTTGTATTTTTAGTAGAGATGGGGTTTCACCATGTTGGCCAGAATGATCTCAATCTCCTGACCTCGTGATCTGCCTGCCTCGGCCTCCCAAAGTGCTGGGATTACAGGTGTGAGTCACCGTGTCCAGCCTGTAGAAGGATTTTATACAGAGAGAGACTGGCATGCTGCTCCTCAAACATAATCAATAAAAATCTGAGTTCAGGCAAGAAGTGCTTGTAATATAAAGAAACGGTGCAATGGGCAAACTGCATGTCAAAAAAAGGCAGAGTGAGAATGGTGGGAAAAGTGGTCACAGACGACCAGGAAGAAGAGGGAGGTCACAGACTTTGCAGCTGTAAAATCACCTGGGAGCATTTGACAATATCTAGTCAATGTAGAGACATGGAGCGTCTCACCTCAGCAATTCCCAGAGCAGGGTGAGCACACCGTGCCGGGCCGATCCAGCCAGCAGCCTGTCTTTGTATAGCGCTAGAGTTAAGAATGACTTTTTAATATTTTACAGGGTTATGAAGAAGGAGGGTGGGGAAGGGGTGACAGAGCTCGGATGAGACCGAAAGCTTAAAATATTTACCATCTGGCCTTTTACAGAAAGTATTTGCTGTGGAGTTTCCCAAACATGCAAGGTCATCTTAAGACTCACCTGTGGGCACTGAATGGCTCGTGGGTGGTGGATCTACCACGGAGTAGGCTCAGGGATCTGCGTTTTTAACAATGCCCCTACCCACCCCCACCGCAGGGGTCCTAGGATCAGGTGACTTTGGGAAGCACTGCCAGAAGGCAAATTCTCACTGCTGTGGACACGAGGCATCCTGGAGGCCCATCCTAGCATTGTGTCAGGAGACGCCAACGCATCCATCCGGGAGAGATTAGGCCTCTCCCTTAGAACAGAGAAGGTGGTCACAATGTTCAATACAGAAGACTCACATGTAAAAAGCAAGGTGCTCAGGCACATAAAGTATGATACTATTTTATGAAGTTTCAAATGCATAGGTGTGGACCCTTCAGAAGGAGTAAAAAAAAAAAAAAAAAAATGCATGGTAAGGATTCATATCAACTTCAGGTTAATAGTTACCTCTATGGAGAGAGAGGAAAGGGTCAGGGACAGGTACCAAGAGGTTTCTGTCTCATCTATAATGTTTCATTTCTTAAGTGAAATGTCAAGTAGAGAGAAATAGAGACATCTTTCAATATTATTTCCTAGATTTTTCTGTACATCAAAAATATTTTATTATAATAATTTTTAAAAAATTATTGCTTGCAGGCACAATGGCTGTAGTCCCAGCACTTTGAGAAGCTGAGGTGGGAGGACTGCTGGAGCCTAGGAGTTCGAGACCAGCCTGGGCAACATAGCCAGACCTAATCTCTAAAGAAACATTTTTTAAATTAGCCAGGTGTGGTAACACGTGCCTGTAGTCCCAGCTACTCAGGAGGCTGAGTGGGGAGAATTGCTTGAGCTCAGGAGTTTGAGGCTACAGCGAGCCATGATCATACCACTGCACTCTGGGCAAAAGACCAAGACCCTATCTCTAAAAAAAAAATTACTGAGTAATTTTTAGCTCTTAATTGCAGGAAGCTGGAGTCTTTTAGGGATAATATGTGGATTGCTGGAAAGAAGCTCCACATTTTCTGGTGTCTTTTTAAATGATTATGCATAAAGTGATGAAGTTTTTTAAAATCAACTGACTTTTGCTAATTGATTTGGAGGAAGGGTCAACAGGGGGGAAGCATCCTCTATCTCTTCTGCAAGACCTCCTCTTATATTATAGGAGGGAACATCACTTCCATAAGGTCTGGAGGACCGGGAAATGCCAGTCAGCATCTTTATTAAATACCATGGACAGGTGGAGGCAGATTCAGGGGAAAGGTAGAATATCCAGGGGTGGTGAGAAGCAGGCGGTGGTGATTTAAGAGAGAAAGCAGACTCTGCACCTAGTAGCAATCTCAACAACAAAGACACATCAAGAAAGGAAAAAAATATGCACCCTGAGACAGCATGGGAAGAAACAGTAGAGCAGGTGCTTCCAGACAAAATGAGCAGATTATAGCTAACAAAGAATGGTGAGACCTGCAAATAAAGCCTCAGGGCCAGGAGCAAGAATTCTGCTAATTGGAATACAGAATTTAAGAGGTGAACACAGCACACAGCCCCAAAGGGACTGACTACAGGTTTAATTAAAGATGATCTTCCATAACCTTGTCCTTGATTTAACAAACAGTGTCTCTGAGAAATGCTTGAAAAAAAAAAACATGTGTGCCTCCGTAGGTGGGTTTCTTGTCCTCTGAATCTTAGATATGGTGGGCCATTTTCCCACCTATAATTTGGCCCTCTGGGATGGCTATTGGATTTAGGATTCTTGCTCAACTACCACTCCCACTCCCTGGCCAAATATGACCCCAAGAGGGAGAAACAATAAAAACACATTTCAATATCAAAAAGTAGAAAGTGTAACACAGAGACGACAAAGATACTTTAAAATTTTTTATTTTTCCAGATCCTTCAAACTCTTGACTATGGAATGTGAGAGCTTGAGAATTCTGGGGTACAGACACTTGTCCTAGGGGACAGATGCTCTATTCCTGCTTCTAGAGACATCTAATCATGGCGTCACAGACTTAAGGTGTGCCGTCAGCTTCACTGAACTTCTGCTGGTTTCACACTCATGGTTTATCAGATCAGATGAATGATAGAAACAGCCCCAGAAGGACGAACAGGAGAAAAAGGAAGAAGGTCCTTAGTGGTCATTACTTTTCAAACTGGATATGAGCAAGAAAAGTATTCTAAGTAACTGCATGCAGGATCTTCCTAATTAGGTAAGAGTAGTAAGGTGCTTTATGTATCTATGCACTTATATACACATGAACTCTAATCTTGCTGTTGTTTACATTTTACAGACGAAGAAAACAAGGGGCAGATACCTAAGTCAGCACTGGGAACCACATAGAAAGTAAAAGCAGAGCTGGAGCTAGATTCAGATTTTTTTTTTTTAAAGATAGAGTCTTACTCTGTTGCCCAGGCTGGAGGGCAATGGCATGATCTCAGCTCACTGCAACTTCCACCTTCTGAGCTCAAGTGATTCTCCTGACTTAGCCTCCCCAGTAGCTGGAACTGCAGCTGTGTGCCATGGTACCTGGCTAATTTTTGTATTTTTGGTAGAGATGGGGTTTCACCATGTTGCCCAGGCTGGTCTCAAACTCCTGACCTCAGGTGATCCACCTAACTCAGCCTCCCAAAGTGCTGGGATTACAGGTGTGAGCTACCTCATCCAGCCCTAGATTCAGATTTCAAGATCACTGCTCTTGACTGACTGACTGATCGACGGATTCATTGATTGGCACCACATCTTTGTAGCTACTTAAGTTTCCAGACTAATGAACATGACCTTTCCCCTGTATGTGTTCACACTGTGCCAAACCTTTTCACATTAATTGCTCATTTGAGCCCTTCTACTCTGTGGAATTGTCAGGGTAAGTGTTCTTAAGTTTATAGATAAAGAGAATCCCAAGAAGGCCAGACAGATTAAATCACTTGCTCAGACACCAGGCTGGGCTATAATAGGCCCAAGTATTCTTTTCACTCTGTCAGTCTCCCGTAGTCCACTAGAGCCCCACAGAAAATCACAATGAAGACCATACCCTACTCCCCTGCCCCTAACCCCCTTGCAATGTGTTCTGGGCAAGACCCTTCCCTGCAATATATTTGCATGGTTTGATTAATGTGTTCTGTGGAGGAAATATTCAGATCAGTGTACCTGAACCACAGACTGCTTAATCTAGCACCTAATTTAGGGCTTACCTTAATACATATATGATATATGGTTTGGCTGTGTCCCCACCTAAATCTCATCTTGAATTCCCACGTGTTGTGGGAGGGACCTGGTGGGAGGTAACTGAATCATAGAAGCAGGTCTTTACTGTGCTGTTATCGTGATAGTGAATAAGTCCCATGTGCTCTGATGGTTCTATAAGGGGGAGTTTCCCTGCACAAGCTCTCTCTTTGCCTGCTGACATCCACATAAGATGTGACTTGCTCTTCCTTCCCTTCTGCCACGATTGTGAGGCTTCTCCAGCCATGTGGAACTGTAAGTCCATTAAACCCTTTTTCTGTATAAATTACCTGGTCTCAGGTATGTCTTTCTCAGCAGCATGAAAACAGACTAATACAATATACAAGATAAAATAAGAGGCAAAAGACATGATCACCCATGCCTCCCTATCCCAGGTAACAGTCTAACTTGGAGTCTAAGTTCCATGTATAAGCACTAGCTATACACAGTTTAGCAGAATTGGCTTTGTAATCAGATCACTGGCCTTGAAATAGAAGCTTTATCATCTACTGAATGTATGACCTTACAGTACTTACTCTCTCCAAGCCTCAGTTTCCTTATCTATATAATGGGAAAGACAATCCCCTCCTGAGGCAAGTGTAACTATGAAGATTCTGTGGACAATAAACTCAAGTGCACGGTACGTGGCACGGTAAGCGCTCAATAAAAGGTAGCTGATGGCCCCATTACTTGCGGTTTGAGCTTGCAGATTCTTTTCTTTTCCTTTCTCTTTCTTTTCTTCTTCTTCTTTTTTTTTTTTTTTTTTTTTTTTTTGACAGGCTCTCACTCTCTCACGCAGGCTGGAGTGCAGTGGCGCGATCACAGCTCACTGCAGCCTCAACCGCCGGGCTGAGTGATCCTCCTAGCACAGCCTCCCAGGTAGCTGGGATTATAGACACACACCACCATGCTGCTTAATATTTCATATTTTTTTTGTAGAGAAGAGGTCTTGCCATGTTGCCCAGGCTGGTCTCAAATTCCTGAGCTCAAGCAATCTGCCCACCTCGGCCTCCCAAAGTGTGGGACTATAGGCGTAAACCACTGCCCCCGGCTGGGAAGAGATTCTTGATTAAACCTGTGTGTAGTCATGTGAGCTGGACAGGCTGAATGGGTGCTGCATGGGGTCATCCAAAATTAATAGTAAGAGGGAGACTCCAGCTCTTCCTGGGCCTGTTCTTGCCACAACTGCTTTGGACCATTCTGCAGAGAAAAACTAAACCCGGCCCTTTTGTCAATATATTACAGAGGGAAGCCAATTCCACCCCGGCCCCTCATTCTTCAACATATTTTTATGGGTGTATTTACCACTCCACACTGTCAAGGGCCACCCTAATCCTTCCTGCTGGGGCTAGATAGTATTTTTGTCCAATTTTTTCACATTCCCCAGAGCCACCCTTGTAGATCAAGAGATTGGGTTCCCAGAGGCTGCACCTCAAGCCCTGTGGCTACTAAAACCTCATCCTGTGGGGGCCTGCTGACTTCATCACTTCTAATAACCTGAGCTCATTTCCTCAATGAGGAAAATCACTGGCACTACAGCTTGGCCTTGGGACCACAATTTAAGAAGAGTCGGGGCCAGCACTTTGGGAGGCCAAGGCAGGCAGGATTGCCTGA
The DNA here is from genome assembly GCF_000001405.40 of Homo sapiens. Classification (NCBI taxonomy): domain Eukaryota; kingdom Metazoa; phylum Chordata; class Mammalia; order Primates; family Hominidae; genus Homo; species Homo sapiens. Next base: position 150,257,512 of record NC_000006.12, on the reverse strand, counting down.
GTCCAAGAGTGAGACCAGTCTGGGCAACATGGTGAAACCCTGTCTCTACAAAAAATAGAAAAATTAGCCAGCATAGTGGTGCACGCCTGTAGTCCCAGCTACTCAGGAGGCTGAGGTGGGAGGATTGCCTGAACCTGGGAGGCAGAGGTTGCAGTGAGCCATGATTGCACATTTGCACTCCAGCCTGGGTGACAGAATGAGACTCCATCTCAAGAAAATAAAATAAAATAAAATAAAAGTCGGGAGAAAGATGGGGCTGCCACAGCATTATTACAAAAACCTGGAATGCGGCATCGTGGGCAAGCTTCATCCATCTCCTTGAGGAGACTCCTCTCTGACAGCTACAGGTAATTTGAAAGCTTTTATGAAGCCTTGGCTGGAAAACCAATGAAGCTTCCAAACTCAGGCAATGCAACAGAAGCGTCTAAACAGTTAGTCATAAAACATTCTTTCCTAATCCACAGAAGACATTAACATTTATTTTTCCAATTACCAATGAATAATCCTCAAGGGCTTTTCCCTAAAACTGACAACACAAAAATAATTACTCTCTTAGTAATGAAGTGGGTATCCAAGGGAGATGGTTGGGTTGATGAATGATGATCATTTTAAAGCTCCTTCATTTCTGCATGGTTTTTGCCGGATTAATCGTCATTGAAGGAACACTGAGTTTATTTGTTGTTGGCAACAAAATGGGAAATTCAGCTCTTGAAGGGTTTCTGCCTTCAGGCTCTGGCCTCATTAGAAACATGGCTTTCTCTGTTTCATCATATGGTTGAGTCATTCTTCATCTCAGGTGGTGAAAGGGTGAGCGGTACTTAAGCAACAGCAGTTTCTGTTCCTAAGGTTAAATGTGCAACCTACTTTCTCTGTACAATATCCCTAAGAAGTATCGTTAGTGTTTCTTCCAAATAAAAAGCGTAAGTTAAGGAGCAGTATCTTGGATCAAATGACTCTCATGATAAGACACGAGGAAAAAGAGCAACTGCCTTCCTTCTAAAAGTTATATTTTAAAGATTTTACATTTCCAGCCCAAATAAAATGCAATAGCTTTGTTTCCTTGCACAGCTATGACACAATAAAGAATGCACAAAGTGTTTTGTTAAGGAACAGGGCATCATTCTTACTCTTCCCGCCTTCATTTCTTCCTGGAGATAAGACGACAAAATATGGACTTTCCTCCCATCCATTGCTCTGTATTGCATGGCAGTATTCACATGTCTGTCTTAATTTGTTTGTCTGATAGCCTAAACAAGATGATGGAAGCATAAGGGAGTGGGTTAGGGCATTGGCAATTGAAGTTGACGTGATGCTGAACGGGTTGGAGGCAAAGTTACACCAAGGGCTTGTAAGCATGAGAACCCACAGGCGAAGCAACCCAACATGGAGTGCAGGGAGGAAGAAGAGAGCTGGAACCCACCTCCTGAACAAGCCAGTGTGTGCCTGTGAGCGGGTGGGGATGGGCCCGTGCAAGGCTCGCTGCCAGGCAGGCTGTTACTTGCTGCTGGGGCGGTGTCCTGGGGAGAAGTGATCATCTATGGAAGGAATTCAGCAGAGTGGATGATGTGGGAATGAAGGAGACCAGGAAATCCGATCAAGGTGAAGGCTGAGCCTGAGGATGGGAGGCAGAGCTTGACCCTGGCTATTCCTGGGACACCCGAGCCCTGGCTCCCTGGGTGGCTGCAGTCTCCTGTGGGCCTGGGCTCCAAGGCTCTGGGTCCTGGCTCTTCACCTGTTCGAGGTATGGACACTTTGAGACCCCAATGTGGCATGGACCCTCCCACACATGCTCATGCCTGTCTGCTACTCTCTGGCTCTCTTCATTCCAGCATCCTGTCTTGGGATCACCATCTCTCTCTGTTGCTCTATGTGTGGCTCACCTCAATCTGTCTCTCCTTTCTAAGTTCCATCTCCTACACAGTTTCAGAGATTATGAGGACCTCACTAAGTCCACATGAACTATAATTTTAAGACATCCTAGATTAAAGATTTAAGTAGCGAGTTTCCCAGCTCTCAAATAAGCACAGATGTTTCAGATAGAAAATAAGATTAGGAGAAAAAAAAACTATGCATTTTTTTTAAATCAGTTTGAGAGGTTTTGGTTAATTCTCTCATTACCAATTACAGAAAGAGGTGATTCTCTATGGCTCTGGGGTATTCCGTGAGGATGAAACACTATAGATTACACATACTGATTCCCCATGTTGAGATTACAGCCAAAAAGAGCAAGGTGCTACCCTAAGTGCTGTAGAAGGATATTTAAGAAAAGACAAATAAGCTTATTTGTCCCTTATCCATGAGCTATCAGAAAGGAGGTCTGAGTTAGAAATGTTCCCTTTTAAAAATCTAATCAACACCAAAGGAGTAATTTTGTGCTACTAATAACAGAAAACCAAATAGTAAATCACTCACCCTCAAGCATCTTGTGACCCGGAGGGTGTGTTGGGTTACACTTTATGTGAATCATTTAGCGACCTGAATAGAATCAATCTGGTAGCCTCAGATATTCCCTGACTTCAATTTCTATTTTTGGTAACCACTGGGTGGGCCGTGATACTGCAAGTAAGTTCACAAAACTGCTTCTAGAGATTAACTGGGGAATTTCAAAATTGCCAGTGATGATGCACCACTCATATTATGTAGATACATATTTTAAACAGAAAGATTCGAGGCAAGAATCTTTGCTTGTCTTCTCTGCCTCACTCTACTGGGTAATTTTGCTGTAAACTCCCAGGACAGTCCATCTCTCCATCTCTCTTTCATGAGTCTTTTCACCCCAGGCAACATTCGCTTCACGTTACCAACAACGAGGAAAAGAAAAGGTGGCTTTTGTGAAATTAAATTCCTTCCACAGAACAACCACTTCCAGGCATGAAATCTCTTTAAAGGAAACTTCCGACCCTATGCATTTGAAAATGATTAATCAATCAGAGTCTAAATATAAGAAAATGTCTATTAATGACAAAAATGATTCAAGTCCTATTGAAAGAGACCAAGACAACTGACCATTGTCAAGACTTGTATAGGGTCTAAGGTTTTACATTACTGTAAGCTAACAAATTAGCCTGTCAGTTTCATAGATGCTGGTAGAAGATGCTACATTCCTGAGTCAGAGAGGAAGGACAGTTACAGCAATAGCAGTGGCTAGAGTAGTGGCACTTCTCGAGCCCCAGTTCTCCTAGGGTGTTGCAAAGAAGGACAGATGACGCCCGTGCATGCAGTGGGTCGCATCCCAGGAAAGGGGCTCGACACTTAGGGAACCCATATCTTTTATAATAGACAGCTTTGCTCTGCATGGAGACACTATCTCTAACTTCCAAGACTGTTTGCTATACATATAAACGTTCTTGAAAAAAGGGTCTGGAACAAAGGCAGTCTCACTCACAAGACATGCAGAAACATGAGAACCATGTAGAAATGTCTCCTAACAACTTGAACACTGAATTACAATTAAGTCTATACAGCGCCTATGTTTAGAATGCACTCTTCTTTACCCCCTGTGCTTGCTGGAACTAATTACCTCCTAGAATCCACTGGAACAAGGTGAGCCCAAAGAAGCCCACCCCGCTAGTTTCATTTACACCCCACCAAGGAGACTGAGCATGAAGAAAACACACACCAGACACTAATCTGCCCTTATTTATCCAATTGACTCAATAAAACAACAGAAAAGCAGGTTTCTCAAGGACTTCGTTTGTAGCTGTTCTAGTATCAGTCTTATTGAAATGTCTGCTAATGTGTTGTGATGGGAACACCCACAGAGACACGGGAGGCAGAGAACAATCCAGTCTTAAAAGAACAATCCATCCCCAGGCAAGATGTTCCAGTCAGCAAGAGAGAACTGGTTGGCCTTCATGGCCGCACAAGAAGGCTATTAGTGAAGCATTTCCAGCATTTGTTTCTGAGTGGGGTTGGGTGGGAACTCCATGAAGCCTGCACTGTTCTTTCTCACTCATAGAAGACTGAGAAGCCACTCCATTTTCACAGGCAAATTACAAACACACAGTGGGTTGTACCCCAAGCCCTCAAGGAAATGAGACTAGTTCTGAGGAATAATTCTCCAGGACTATTTGGGTTAAAATTAATTCAAGCAAAGAGAAACCAGTAGGGGAAAATAGTGGTATGCTTGTGTCCAATTTGAAAATGGCTTTCAGAAAGTTCCAACTACCCGATAGGAGTTTTGTTTTCTTAGACAACAGACAAGGGTCCCTGCCACCCACAGCACTTCTCTCTTAGGCTATGCAGCAGCACTGAAGCGTGCTGACTCCTTGACTCTGAGCACCCAAAGACAAGAGTCAAAGGAAGTAGATAGGGGCCATAGAGGGACAGATATGACTCATGACTACACAGGCTCACTCTCAAAGTGGCTAGATTCCAGGAAAGGTTCCCAGGAAGCAGAGGGAAGCCCCAGAACCTTTCACTCAGAGGCAAAAATAGGGTGGCTGAGTAGGGATGGGGATGTGTCCAGTAGCTGTGGACCTGCCACTCTCTTGCTAAACAGCAGTCATGTCAAAAACAGCTTAGGTTTCCAAAAGCTGATTTTGCACAGCACACAATCTTTTATGGAGACTTTAGGTGATTGTCTTAGGCTGTTTGTGTTACTATAAAGAAGTACTTGAGGGCAGGCAATTTATACAGAAAAGAGGTTTATTTGGCTCGTGCTTCTGCAGACTGTATAGGAAGCATGGCACCAGCATCTTCTTTTGGTGAGGACCTCAGAAGTTTCCAATCACGGCAGAAGGAGAGCCGGCTTGTTACATGGCAAGAGAGGACGTAAGACAGAGAGGGGAGGAGGTGCCAGGCTCTTTTTAACAACCAGATCTAGAGGGAACTAAGAGTAAGTACTCACTCAATCCCAGGAGAATGGCACCAAGCCATTCATGAGGGGTCTGCCCCCATGACCCAAACACCTCTCACCTCCAACACTGGAGATCAAATTTCAAAATGGGATTTGGAGAGGACAAATATCCAAACTATGTCAGTGATAAATAAGTAAAAACCTGTTTAATTCCTGTGTTTCAGGAATTGAAAATCACCTTGTCCTGAGCTGCTCTTTCTCAGGAAACTGATGGCTGGATACTCCTTGCTCAGCTGCTAAGCCCAAGTCCAGGAGCTTTATGTTATGGGGAAAAGGCAAGAGGACTCTGGATAAGGAGGGCCAGCATCACAGGGCCTGGCTGCACTGCAGATGGGGAGCAGGGAGTCCCTCAGTTCCCAGGAGTGAGGAAGAGCCCCACAGGTGGCTGGGATCTCCTCCATCCACAAGGCCTCCTCCCCTACCCTGCCAGCTCAGGGACCTGGCTCACTTTAAATGTGGCTTCTGGGGTTCACTCTTGTGAGTGGGACTAAGAGTAATTCCCTAAGAGTGGCAAGAAAGTCTAATGGTTATGGGACTTTGGAGCCAAATAGGTTTGGGTTTGAATCTCAGTGTTGTAGCTGTGTGGACTTAGGTAAGCTGCTAAGCCTGAGTTTATTTTCTTATCTGTAAAATGAGAATGCCACCTGCCTCATAAGGTTAAGGTCAGGATTAAATGAGATAAAGCATGCACTTAGCACAGTGCTTTTATTATGATCGTTATAAATGGAAGCCACTCCATGAAGTTTACATTGAGATTTCCCAATGTTCAAGTGAGCGCGGCACTAGAAGTTGGATAATTTGGAGCCATTGCCCTAGTGAGAAGACTCTGTATGAGAAATAGTGAGTGTGCTAATACCACAGCTGCCACCTGCTGTAATAGCATAAACATGGAGAGCTGAGGTCAGGCTAATGCATCTGGCCATCCAATGGCACAAGAGTGACCCAATGGCCCAGCGATGCGCAAGCTGGAGAGCTTGAAAACAAACACCCCAGCTCTTGTCCTGGAGACGCTGATTTAACTGGTCAGAATTGACTGAGGCCTAGGCTTCCATTGTTTTTAAAGCTTCCCAGTGATTCAAATGTACACTCAGATCTAAGAACCACAACTCTAGCTGGGAAGAAAACAGTGGAGTTTTCTTGAATCTTTTGTCATTTTCATTCAACTGGCAAACACACAATCTCTTTGATGGGCCAAGCCTAGGACCAGATGCTTGGTGAAGTCCAGATTCCCAGCCTCGAGGATCCCAGATTCTAACAGAAGACACCAACAAATGGATAGGCAATAATGATACTGTGGATGCGTCTATGACAGAGTATAGGCTGGAGCTGAGGGGGAACACACCTAGGAGGGGGTCTAACCCAGCTCTCTGGATACAGCCTGTTGGCAGAGGGGGCGTTCTGGGCCAAGGCAACAGATTTTACAAAGCACCAGAGAAGAAAATACATAGAACACGCCAGAAACTCCAAGGAATTTGGCAGAACTGGGCATGAGCACAAGGCCAAAAGATGAGGTGGGAGAGGCAGAGACAACATTTCTCATAAGGCATGCAGAGGGTTCGGGTTTCAAGCAGGGGGTGGAGTCGTCAGACTATTCTAGCAACTGGGTGGAGGATGGATCAGAGGGAGACAAGCCTGGACATGGAGAATCTGTTCCCAAGGTGGTGGCAGCAATCCAGGAAAGTTGGACATGGGATAGGTTTGAGAAGTATTCACAGAGGACAAGCTGGGTGACTGGGAGCATACTGGGGAGTCAAGGAAGAGGCCCAAACTTCTTGCTGAAGCACTCACGGGGATCAGGGCAGGAGGGAAGGTGGGGAGGAAGTGTGTGGTGGGAGCAGAGGCCTTTGGAGGAAAAGTCAATTCTTACTTCATCTGAGACCATCACATGGGCTGGTCAATTAAGCCTAACAGAAATCCTGCCCATTCTGTATTTTTCCGACTTCCATGGTGCAAGGCATTCTAACAAGTGGAATAGTTTACTAATTTGAAATGTTTTTGAGGGTTCTTGTAAGATGGCAAAGAGGAGTTTTAATTAAATGAAAGGAGCATGGCCTAGGACAGTGCCAGGCTGAGCACACAGAGCTCGTCTTCTTTCTCAGCCCAAGAATGTGGCCCAGCTCCTTTGCTTTCACCACCTGATCTGAAGATGCCTGAGGAGAGGGCCAGGATTACATGCCTAGAAATCCTTGAAAATGAAATGAAACGAGGTGAGGTGCTTGGTCCTCACCTCTGCAGAGAAACTGACACAGCAAAACCATCATGTTAACGTGTTGTGCAAGCCACACATGTCAACAGGCTTGTAAGCAGCTCCATTTATTTGAGTAAATATCTTGTAAATAAATCATTGGTAAACAATACAAAATTAAATACATTTTCAAAAGCTTGCCAGTATACGCAAAATTCACAAACATAGTTTTTTTAAAAAATAAAATATGTTCAGAGCACCCTTGATATAAAATGCCTGACCCCCATCCTTGGACAAGGCCACCTGAAGACATCTTATGGTAGGTGGGTTTCTGTGGGAGTCAGCGGGGGCCTCCTGGAGGGAAGGGTTTCTACTCTCACCTATTACCCATCCCACATTCCATCTGAATTTTGATCCTTCTCCAAAGAGCTGGTAACTGAGAGGGCTAGAGCACGCCACCAGGCCTAGCTCCAAGCACGGGGATCAGGGTGCACAATTAGGGCCAGGAGCACCCAGAGTCCTCAACACAAGCCATTGAGAGAAGCCAGAAATGCAATCTCCACACTTCCAAACCAGCAACTCAGCTCCTAGAGCAACTGTCTTGAGAGAATGTGAGGCTTTCTCACCTTGACACTTAACACTCGGTTTACTCCCACTGGTCTGATACTACCCAGGCACAGAAGCTACCAGAACCTATTTCTAAGGAAGAAGACACTCGATCTGCTAACTTTCTTTTGATCTGCTTTCCTGGAGAGAGAATAAACACAGTACTCGGTGGAAAGCAGACAATTCACTGCTACACAGTGCTTCCTTTTTCCAATGCAAAATACCACTGAGATAGTGTGGATATTTCTCTAGAAATCAAGTTAGTTCTTCAAATTAAGGGTTCATACAACTTTAAAAGACTACAAAATGAGACAATAAGCACATGACCTGGCAAAGCATCCCAACCAATGAAATAATAGAAATTCCATAAATTAAGCCCTTGACCAACTTAACATTTCTGTGGTGTAGTGCATTAAAATAACGGATACACTGAATTCTTTCACTTTGGTGCATAAAGTGAACGTTGAAGTCAGCAGCACTCAGTGAAGAATGCCTAGTGGCCTCTTGAAAACACATGTGCTGGGACCTCCAGTTAAAGGACAACCACAAGTTTATTCCATCCATGTGAAATAAAACTCACATCAACATTTTAACTTAGTTGTGTGTAGATATATACAAGTGTGAGAAATTTGACAGCTGAGTCAAATGTACAACTTAAGAAAAAAAATATTACCAAACTACTTGTAAGAAAACTATCTTCCCTGTATCATAAGGTACTGAACATCTGAGTCCTTGCAGGAAACGCAGCCTGGCGTGGCCCTTCCTTGAGTGTCCACCTCCTTTGATAATCCTTGGTTAGGCTGTGGCTAGAGTCATGATATCTTTGCTATTAAAATATTACATTAACAAAAACCTTTAAAACCAAAAAAAGAACGCTCTTGAATAAATGTCTAATAGACCCCCCCACCTTCACACCAAAAAAGAAAAAAAAAAAAACAAAAACGTTGTTCATAAGGACACCTATTCTTTCACAAAAGTCTTCATGAAGTACAAATCCCAGGACTCTTTCTTCGTCTCTGGGAGAGTTTCACCCTGTTCCAGAATCATACACTCTTCTTCTGCGGAGGGCTCAGTTTCCTCATGCCTCTTATCCGAGAAAGCAGCTCTTTGATAAATTCCTAAAAGAGATCAGAAGAAGTTAATATGAGGGTCACTATTAAAATTCTGTGTTTAAAAATCTGCTTAAAGTAATTGATGTCAACTGCAGTTAACCTTAGTTGATGAATTTGGTTGAATGTGTTAACCCCCACTGGTATAATACAGGATTTTTAAAAACAAATCAAGAATACTAAAACTTCACACCACAATGCCTTCTTATTGTTCTACTTTCTTTACGGGGGAAACCAGGCTACTTTCACTACTGACATGACCTACTTGGCCCCTGAGGCATTTGTGTTGAGATCAGAGCTATTTAACATTACCATGCAAATAAATTAACTGGTGATCTCACAGATTCTGAGTGAGCCTGTCCAGGTTGGGGTCTGAGATTCTGCATTTCCAACTAGCTCACAGGTGATGCCAGTGTTAGTCCTTGAACCTCACCAAGAATGGCAAGGCTGGACTAGTGTGCCTCAAATTTGAGTGTGCATCAGAATCACCAGGGGGACTGCTATGGTTTGAATGTGTCCTCCAAATTTCATGTATTGGAAACTTAATCCTCAAATTAATATGTTGATGGCATTTGGAGGTAGGGCCTTTGGGAGGTAGTTCGGATTAGATAAGGTCATCAGAGTAGGGCCCCCAAGATGGGACTGGTGACTTTATAAGAAGAAGAAAGTCCTGAGCTGGCACACACTTGTCCTCTCACCATGTGACAACCTCCACCATGACATGACGCAGCAAAAAGGCCCTCTCCAGATGCCAGTGCCATGCTCTTGGACTTCCCAGCCTCCAGAACTGTGAGCTAAATAAACCTCTATTATAATAAAATACCCAGCCTGTGATATTCTCTTACAGCAACAGAAAATTGACTACTAAGACAGGGACTCATTAAGGACCACACAGTGCTGGGACCCACCACTAGTGTTTGTGATTCAGTAGATCTGGGTGGGGCCCAATAAGGTACATTTCTGACAAGCTCCCAGGTGACACTGATGCTACTTATCACTGGAGAATACTGCACACCACTGGTGTAGATCACACTAAGAGTCTTTGAAGTTTTTTGACAGCAAACTATAGATAAAAAAACCACACCAAAACAAAAACACACTTTATGTTACAATCCGGTACCTACAAACACACATCTGAAATTAAAACTTACAGGATACTTACTACATGCCATGCACTCTGGTATTTCTATTCTACTCTAATTTCATTTACAAAGTAATGCTAGGGAAGACTCACTAAAAGGATTTCATGACCTGTAAATCGATCAGAACCTAAAGACTGAAAAATGATCCAGAATGGTTCCCACTTTACACAATCAGGAATCTCTCATTGTTGCCTCCTGTTTTAAAATGTTTGGCCACCAGATAAGTCATATTTATTAGGTAACAACTACCTGGTCTTCCTGTTTTATATTTGTCAAATACAAAGCTAACAGCCAATCAGACTTTCTGATCAGCAAGCGACAGTCAGTAAGTGACAGAACTGAGCACATCAGGGACTATCTGAGAGCAAAAACACCGAGGAACTTTGCTGTCCATGGAGCCATCTGAAAAACAGCTCTCAATCTCCCTTATCAATTATAATCCTCACTCATGAGCTCCCAGACTAAATGAGCCCTGCACTACTCTCTGGCTATAAAGCACAGTAACCCTAAATATTTAATATTATATTAGCACCAAAATTTATTTTATGAATAATCTTTTCCCTATTATAAAAGTAATATGTGTTTTTTCTAGAAAACCTGGAAAATACAACCAGCAACAATGCAGTCCTCAGAATTAACTGCTATTAATATATTTTCTTCTATGGATATTGAAGAAAATATATTGTTTTCACCTAATTAAGATCATACCATATAAATATATCCTTTTTCTTCACCTAGCATTATGTCAGATGCTTTTTCCCACATTAAACAATCTTCCTAAAAATTAATGTTAGTGGTTATATAATCTTTTTGTAAGGATGTTATACAATCTGCTTAATTCCTCCCACCACTGGATATTTGGATGGCTCCTGACTTTTCAAAATTATAAAAAATGCCATAACTAATGTCTTTGTACATAAATTTTTGTCTGTAGCTTGGATTATTCCCTTTGGAGAGCTATCCCAGAAGAATGTAAAGTGACTTAAATATTTTAATCACCACCATTTCTGAACTTGTACAGAATGAAATACAAGTGAAGTAAAATGGAGGCCTTATTTTAATTTTCTGAACACTGTCTATTCTGATTTAAATAATTTTCTAGGATAAAATCATGCCACATTTTCCTATTTATATTCAATTTTCATTTTGCAAATGTAAATGCATTTCCTATTGCCTCCTGTGTTATGTGGTTTAACCAATACATAGTATTCTGCACATACAGTTTCAATTCTGTTGTTTTTGGAATCTGTTATGCATATGACTACTACAAAAAGTTTCAGTATTTGAATGTAAGCTTGTTTTTTTTTTAAAGCAAAGGTCAAAAATCACAAACCCTATAATTTATTTTGTTAATAACTGGTAATTTTTCTGCACTATTTTAATAACACATTTTCAAAAGTAAAGACTAAAATTACATAAGGAATAATCGACCCTACAGACCCTTTCTCTTCATGACAATCAAATTTAAATTTGGATAATTGAAATCAAATTTGGTAACCTAAATCAAATTCAAACTTTCTCACAAAGCTAACCATGATGTACATAAATTTCAGAGATTAAAAAGTTTAAATAAATGCTATTTGCCTTGTGCATATGATATATTCACATTAATGAAATACTCTCATTTTAAATTTTATATTAACATAATTTATACATCTATATCTTAATACACTATGTTGTGCATAATATGCATATTTTAAACTGCTCATTAAATTTGCATAATGGGGTGCTCAGTCGAGTAAGTTAAAAAATAGCAAGACCAATATTTATTCTCCATACAGAAACTTGGCAGTATCACTTGCACAGAAGGATTTTGTTGATTACAGATGATTTGCAAAGAAAATTCAAGGATCTCTAGTCAAGAATACTTTGATGGCTCTTGGCTCCTATTACTCAAAAGCACTCTATTTCAGTAACAATGTATCTCATTTACTCCTAAAATACTATCACTCCAACTTGGGTTACAGACACTGATTTAGTCAGAGAAGTGCTGCTCCTTTGAGGAAATCACCTCTGAGTTAAGACGAATTAACAGAGAGGGGCCATCTTGGGAAGATCTGGCGGGCCTAGGTCACAGCACATGTGCAGAGCCCTGAAGATAAATAAGCAAGGAAGTGGAAGTCCCTGGCACAGAATGGACAGGGTGACTGTGGCGGAGGGCTGGGCCCAGTCACCAGGGCCTCATAGGCACAGTAAGGTGACAACAGAGCATCACGGTGGAAAGCTCTTGGAGGCTCTGGAGTAGGGCAGCAGCAGCATCTGATTTATGGCTTTGGAAGATTCCTTTGGCCACTGTGGGTCTTATGAAGATAACAGTGAATCACAGACCAGTTTAAAGCTACAGCAGTACTCCAGGCAAGAGATGCCATGGGCTTAGAGTATGTTGATAGAAACCCAGATGGAAACAAGTGGGTAGACCCGGGACCCATTTAGGAGGCAGAGCCAGTAGACCTTGCTGCTGGACTGAGTGTGGGAGTAGGGTGTGGCGGGGAGGGGGAACAGGAAAGCAGAAAATTAAGGTCACTGTTCCGCATCAACTGGAGGAAAAGATAGTGCCATTTGCTGAGGTGTGGGAAAACTGGAGGGAAAAACACCAGGCTTACAGATTTGTGATGAGATGTCAGGATGACAAATATGACTTTGGGCCTCAGCTCATGGTTGAAAACATTAACATGGACATTACTGGCATCTAGATCAGTGCCTTTCAACTTACATACAAAACCAAACCAAAAAAACAACTATGTGTGAGCCCTGGAGATACCAGCCTGAAACAAATATTTTGTGAAAAATAGAATTTATTTTATTCTGAAAAAATAAAAGTCAAGACCAGCAAATGTGTTCCCACCCACAGTTTGTAAACATACAGTGATCTAGACCTGGACTATTCAATACGGTAGCCACTAACCATATGTGGCTATTTAAATTGAAATTAAATAAAATAAATAAAATTTGAAATTCATTTGTTAGTCACGCTAGCCACATTTCAAGTACTCCATAGCCACAGATGGCTAGTGGCTGCCATGTGGACAATGCCGATAGGGACTCTTTCTATTATCCCAGAAAATTCTGTTGGGATGTACAGATGCTGCTGCTTTAAATTGCAGGACTAGGTGGGATAACGTTGGAGCTGAGTAGAGTATAAATAGAGAGGAAGATAGGGTCAAAGGTGACCCTAACAAATGAGGTTTGCTAGAGGACTTGGAGCCACAAGAGCTAGGGGAAAAACCCAAGAGAATGTGCTGTTCAGAAGCCAAGAAGGAAAAGTGTTTCTAGCAGAAAGAGGTGCTCACCTAAGTCAAGTGCAATGAGAAGTTAAGTAAATCAAGGACAGAGACAAATATAATGGATCGGGCAAGAAAGGGCCAGTGTGTCTTAGATGAGAGAAGTTTGAGTAGAATGGTTGGGAAAGAGGCTACAAGGTTCCCAGTGAGTTTTTTTTTTTTTAGCAGCTTTATTAAGGCATAATTGAAATGCCATAAGCTGAACGTATTTAAGGCAGACAACAACCACAAGCATACTATCTGCATGATCTAACATCATGGAAACATCCAACACCTCCAAAAGTTTCTTCTTCATGCTTCTGTGCAATCTCCCTCCTCCCATTCCCAGGAAAAAATTGACCTGTTTTCTGTCACTCCAGATTAGTTTTCCTTCTCCAGAGTTTTACATAAATGGAATCATAACACTGTACTTTTTAGTGTGGCTTCTTTCACTCTGCACTATTATTTGGAGATTCAGCTACACTGCTGCATGGATTAATAGTTCATTCCTTTTCTGTTGCTGAGTAGCATCCATCATAAAGATGTACCACAATTTATCCATCCACCTGTTGGTAGAAATGTGGGTTGTTTCCAGTTTGGGGCTATTATAAATAAAGTTGTTTAAAACATTCATGTACAAATCTTTGTATGGAATATGCTTCCATTTCTTTTGTGTAAATATCTCTGAGTGGAATGGCTGAATCACTGATCTATTTATTTGTCTATGTTTATACCCATACCATATTGTCTTAAAAAGTACAGATTTATTTATAGTAAATCCTGAAATCAGGTAATGTTAGTCTGCCAACTTTGTTGATCTTTCTCAAAATTGTTTTGGCTATTCTAGGTCCTTTAAATTTCCTTAAGAGCTTTAGGGCTGGGTGCCGTGGCTCATGCCTGTAATCCCAACACTTTGGGAGGCCGAGGTGGTTCAATCGCCTGAGGTCAGGAGTTCAAGACCCGCCTGGACAACATGGTGAAACCCTGTCTCTACTAAAAAAATACAAAAATTAGCCAGGCATGGTGGCAGGTGCCTGTAATCCCAGCTTCTCAGGAGGCTGAGGCAGGAGAATTGCTTGAACCCGGGAGGCGGAGGTTGCAGTGAGCCAAGATTGTGCCATTGCACTCCGGCCTGGGTGACAGAGTGAGACTCCATCTCAAAAAAAAAAAAAAAAAAAGGAATTTTAGAATCAGCTTGTAAATTTCCCTGTTGGGGTTTTGACTGAGATTGCCTTAAATCTGTAGATCAATTTGGGGAGAACTGACATCTCAACACTAATGAATCCTCTCACCCATGGACATGATTTATCTCTACTCTCAGTTAAGAACTAACTTATCTCAGCAATGGTTTATAATTTCCAGTGTACAAATATTGTTCATCTTTTGTCAGATATATTCCTATTTAATATTGTTGATGTTATTGTAAACAGTATATTTTTATTTCCAATTGTTGCTGGTATAGAGAAATACAATAGATTTTCATATATTTATCTTGTATCCTGCAAGCTTGCTGAACTCATATTAGTTCTAGGAGATTTTTTTGTAGATTCTATTGAATTTTCTACACAGTCACATTGTCTATCAATAAAAACAATTTTACTTCTTCCTATTTAGAAGCCTTGTATTTCTTTTTGGCCTAACTGTACTGGCTAAAAGCTGCAATACTGTGTTGAATAAAAGTGGTGAAAGTGAATACCCTGACCATGTTACTGATCTTAGGGGGAAGCATTCAGTCCTTCACCAGCAAGTATGTTACCTGTAGGTTTTTTGCAGATATTTTTTATCAACTTAAGGAGGCTCACTTCTATTTCTAGTGTGCTGTTTGTATCAGCAATAGAGGCTGGGTTTTGCCTAATGCTTTTCCATTACTGACATGATTAGAGGGGTTTTTCCCCCTCCTAGTTTTTTAAAGTGGTGAATTACATTGATTTTCGAATGTTAAACTAATCTTGCATTCCTGGGATAAACCACACTTGATCATAATGGCTTTTTTACATATTGTTGAATTCAATACTTGTCTGTACATTTCTTTTCTTGTAATATCTTTATCTTTAGTATCAGGGTATTGCCAGCTTCATAGCATGAGTTGGGAAGTATTCCTTCCTTTTCAAGTTTCTGGAAGAGTTTATGTAGAGTTGGTAGAATTTCTTTCTTAAATGTCTGGTAAAATTCCCCACTGAAGCCATCTGGGCCTAGAGGGTTTTTGTTGTTGTTGTTGTTGTTTTGTTTTGTTTTGTTTTGTTGTGTGTTTGAGGGGAGGTTTTGAAAGGTTATACCTATTAAGAAATTTTCCTGTATGAGACAGCAAAAACAAAACTCTCTTTCCTACTCCCACACTCAACACAGAATACCTCATGTCACCAAAATGTGGGTGGGGGGTTTCCCCACATATCAAGTAATTCTCCAGAAGACATCAACAGAGTGTCCTACGATTCAATTCAATTCTGACACTTTTTTTTTCTTTTGAGACAAGAGTCTCACTCTGTCACCCAGGCTGGAGTGCAATGGCATGATCTCGGCTCATTGCAACCTCCGCCTCCCGGGTTCAAGCGATTCTTGTGCCTCAGCTTCCTAAGTAGCTGGGATTACAAGCATGTGCCACCATGCCCAGCTAATTTTTGTATTTTTAGTAGAGATGGGGTTTCGCCATGTTGGCTAGGCTGGTCTCGAACTCCTGGCCTCAAGTGATCCGCCCACCTCGGCCTCCCAAAATGCTGAGATTACAAGCGTGAGCCACTGTGCCTGGCTGATTCTGACACTATTTACCTGGAGCTGGCGTTAGAGTTAGATGCTACGGGTTAAAGTCTCAGGCCCACAAGCCTGACTCCAGCTTCAGATGCCAATTCTAGGTTCCAGGTTGTCAACCTATACTTCTGGCTGACCAGCTATGAATTGAGGTTCTCATGACCCTCTCTGAGGGTACAATAATTTGCTAGAGCAACTCCCAGAACTCAGGGAAACACTTATATTTACTTATTACATTAATAAAGGATGTGATAAAGGATACAGATGAACAGCAGATGAAGAGACACACAGGTCAGGGCTTGAGGGAAGGAGCATGGAGCTCTCGTGCCCTCTCTGGGCCCCTCTCCCAGCACATACATATGCTCAGCAACCCAGAAGCTCTCTGAACCCCACAGTTCTTCAGGGATTTTTATGTGGGCTTTATCATATAGGCATGATCAATTATTAACCCTATGTCCAGCCCCCTTCCTCTTTTTGGAGGATGGGGGTAGGGCTGAAAGTTCCAAGTTTCTAACTGTGGCTTGGTCTTTCTGGTGACCAGCACCCACTTAGGTGCCCACCAAGACATGCCTCATTAGAACAAAAGACACTCCTATCACCCAGGAAATTCCAACAGATTAGGAGATCTGGGTCAAGAACTGCGGTCAAAGATGAAATATTATAACAAAAGATGTACATAGCAACTGATTGCTCAGGAAATTGTAAGAGTTTTAGGAGTTCTGTGCCAAGGACCTGGAGCAGAGAGCAAATATGTATTTCTTATTATATTACAATGTTAAGGCAGGAGAATAGGGTCTGGAGGCAGGGAAACTAAGGCTGGTTTGCACAGACTGACTAGAAGTGAATCAAAAGGAAAACCCTAACTTTCCACACTCAGGTAACAAAAGGATCAGAGGCTGTTCTCTTTCCAACCCTCCTCACTTTCTGCATTGCAGATGAAAAATGGAAAGTACTTCTGATAGGTCCTCTCCCGCAAACAATCAGACTGGTCACAGGCCTAGCCTTCATCTGCACAGGGGTGTAACTTTGAAAATTCACTTCAGCCTCTGATTGGTCACCTTCTGCAACCAATCAGACTGGTTGCAGGCCACTACTTCATTTACATAGGGTCTAACCAAGTAACCAATGGGAAACCCCTAGAGGTTTCTGTAACCAGCACTCTTGAGCCACTTGCTCCAGCCCACTCCCAGTCTGTGGGGCGTACCTTCGTTTCAGCAAATCTGTGCTTTCATTGCTTCATTCTTTCATTGCTTTGTGTGTTTTGTCCAATTCTTTGTTCAAAACGCGAAGAACCTGGACATTCTCCACTGGTAACAATATCAGGCCTATTTCAACTAAGTTGTTGGATTTACTGGCACAAGCTTGTGCATAATATCTATAGAATCTGTAGTGATGTCACCTCTCTCATTCCTAATGTTAGTAATGTGTCTTCTCTCCTTATTTCCATTTATCATTATGGCTACAAGTTTATCAATTGTATTGACCTTTTCAAAGAATCGGCTTTTGTTTCACTGATTTTCTTTATTGGTTTTCTTTTTTTTATCTTCTTTTTTTGAGATGGAGTCTCACTCTGTCACCCAGGCTGGAGTGCAGTGGCACAATCTCGGCTCACTGCAACCTTCACCTCCCAGGTTCAAGTGATTCTCCTCCCTCAGCCTCCCGAGTAGCTGGGATTACAGGCATGCACCACCACGCCCAGCTAATTTTTTATATTTTTTGTAGAGACGGGGTTTCACCATGTTGGCCAGGCTGGTCTTAAACTCCTGACCCCAAGTGATCCACCCGCCTTGGCCTCCCAAAGTGCTGGGATTACAGGCGTGTAATTACACTGTGCCCAGCATGTTTTTCTGTTTTCTATTTCACTGATTTCTGCTTTTATCTTTATTATTTCCTTTCTCCACCTTGCTTTGGGTTTAATTTGCTCTTCTTTTCCTGGTTCCTAAGGTGGAAGCTCAGGCCATTGCTTTGAGACCTTTCCTGATGCAGACATTTACTGCTATATGTTCCCCCACCCCCAGCAGCACTAAGCATTGCTTTAGTGGCATCTCACACATTTTGATATGATGGGCTTTTATTTTCATTCAGTTTAAAATAGCTTCTAATTTCCCTTTTAATTTCTTCTTTGGACTGTGGGTTAGAAATGTGTCATTTAGTTTCTAAGGATTTGGAGATTTTCCAGATAATCTTTCTGTTACTTATTTCTAATGTAATTCCACTGTAATCAAAGAACACACTTTGTATGGCTTGAATCTTTTTAAATTTGAAAATTGCTTTCTGTCCCAGAATATGTCTGTCTTCATAAAAGTTCTGTGTACATCTTATTAAAAACCAGGCTGCCTCCAAGCTGATGTTTCACCACTACCTTTATACAGCCTCCTCCCATGTAACTTGTACGTATATTGGACATGCTGAAAGAAAGGATGAACACGAGTGTTCCCCTGTTGCAGGATATTCAAGTGAAAATGATATGTTATTTAAGGCAATTCTTTAACCACAACAGACATGATCTTTTGCAATATTCTAAAAAGGGAATCCATTCTTTTTTGAAGTTTCAGTCCCTGGCTAATAGGATGGGTGAGGATCAATGAGGAACTCCCTGGTGGATGTGGTTTCTGTATGGGGATCTGACACTGCTTACGCTCGACCGCCAAAAAAAAAAGAAGGAAACCCTGATTGAAGGCCTCCTCTATGTGGCCTCTTTACATGGTCCCGTATTTAATCCAATGTAGTAGAGGTTTTACAGTTCAAAAATACTGATATTCTAGTTCATTACAAGTCACTGCCTACGATCACCAAGCAAATGTTTGAATCCAGGCTTCTTGATGCCAACTGAATTTGATA
The DNA here is from genome assembly GCF_000001405.40 of Homo sapiens. NCBI lineage: Eukaryota > Metazoa > Chordata > Mammalia > Primates > Hominidae > Homo > Homo sapiens. The sequence continues at coordinate 150,238,766 of NC_000006.12, read as the reverse complement.
AGTATGTACTGAGCCCATGCTCTAATCTAAGTAGAGTCTATGCCAGACTCTACTCAAGTGCTGAGATGCAGAGCAGAAGGTGGCAGAGGCCCTGCCTTCCAGGAGCTCCCAGGCCAGCTGGGAAAGAAGACACAGAAACACAGGCCCTGCCAACATATGGCATGAGCTGCAGCTGGGGGTGAACGGGTGCCCTGCGGGCAAAGGACAGCCCCTGTCAGGCCAGTTCAGGCTCCTCCCATGCTGCCTCCCACAGCCAAAGACTGGAGAAGGCAGCCAGAGCTCTGAGAGGCCTCGAAAGACCTCTGTGTTCACTGAAAGGCCACAGAATCCGGAAATGACTGCTCTGGAAGGGCCAGCTCCCTCCCTTTCCTTCCTCCCACCCTCTCCTCTCTCCTTCCCCCATCACTCCTTCCGGGGAAATTTTTATTAACTGACTGCCTCTCCACCAGTTTCTAAGATCTGGCCATTCTAGTTTCCTAGCAGTTGAAATACAATTTCAGCTAACTGCCATAATTTTTAAAAGACAAACAAACATTTGCCTTGACCTAGCTTTCAAGACAAGCAGTATCTATTTTCTACACTGCCTCAGTAGCTTTTGTCCAAATATGTCTCAAAATACTACCTAAGAGATCCTGGGTCCACACCTTAGAATCTACCTCTCAGCAGAAGCATTCTCTGTGGGCTGTTGTGCTCAGCCCTGGGCAGGGACAGAACAGCAGGTGGACAAATTGTCGCATGTACTGCTTGTGATGAGGCTGGGGCCGTGTGTCCTGAGGACTATGGATCGTATAATGATGCAAGAAGGAGAGAAACAGAAGAAAAAGGTTTGGCTTACAAATATAGAAGAACCCTTTGAAACAGATGCCTAAAAAAAACCTAATGGGCTTGTTCCTGCCAGAAAGGAGTCACCCAATACATACCACACATGGTAAGAAGCAGTGTAGCCACATGCCTACGAGAGGGACTCTAGAGTCAGATGACTTGGGTTCAAATCCTTCTGCACCACTTAGAAATGAATCATTTTCTCCATGCCTCAGTTTTCCTCACCTATAAATAGGAGCAATGACAATAAGACCTCACCTCAAGGATGCTGTAAGGATTAAATGATGAGATGAATTACTGTATGTTACATGTTTGGAAAAGTGCTTAAAGAGTAGTAAGTGCTGTACAAGTGCTTGATACTGTCATCATCGTTATCATCATCATCATCAGACTACACTGAACTTTCCAGTCTACAAATTCAAATCAAGAATATGCTACTCTGGGCCAGGCATGGTGGCTCACGCCTGTAATCCCAGCACTGTGGGAGGCCGAGGCAAGCAGATCACCTGAGGTTGGGAGTTCGAGACCATCGTGACCAATATGGTGAAACCCTGTCTCTACTAAAAACACAAAATTAGCAGGGCATGGTGGCACATGCCTGTAATCCCAGCTACTCCGGAGGCTGAAGCAGGAGAATCACTTGAACCCAGGAGGTGGAGGTTGCAGTGAGCTGAGATCACACCATTGCACTCCAGCCTGGGTAACAGAGCAACACTCCGTTTCAAACAACAAAAAAAAAGAATATGCTACTCTGACCACACTAAGAAAAATGTAGCTTATATCCCCCCTGCCCCACCCCCGCCCATTTTCGCCATGGGAAAGGTTTGACATTGAAGACAGAGGAGAAGTATGTTGTGTGACACCAAGTGAGACCATGGGTGCTCAGGCTGGGGCATGGATGTCAGGCTGGGCGCAGCACACATGTGTTTCTTCTGAGGAAGCTGTCAGTGTTCCACCAGTGTTTCTCCCTCAGTGATGGTCAGTTTTCCCAGCTTAGACAACAGAGACTCTAACCGCTGAGAAAATCCACAGCAGGCTCTCCGTCCTGCCTGGCCAAGGGCCACAGTCCCTGTAGCTCCTTCCTCAGATTCCTGCCTGGGACCGCTCCTCCCCACAGCCTGAGCAACAGCCCAGGACCAAAATCAGCCACTCCAGAGCCACCCAGACTGTGCGACCTCCCGTCTCAAGGGACTACAAAGGAGATCGTATTTATTCTTCACATCATGAAGTGCTAGAATTGCACTTGAAAACATTCCTTAGGTGGCATTTCCCAACAGCTCCCTCCTGGCTAAACACACACACGCGCACACACACACACACACACACACACAGTGGCACCAACCACCTCCCTCCGCTTTCAGCTCCTCCTCCTCATGCTGGCTCCTCTGAGTCTTTGGATGTGGCCGCTGTCACACTGCAGGTGAAGTTTTACCCTCTCACGGAAAACAATGAAAAGGTCCTGTCTTCAGTAAACTCCTGGGCCCCTACCTCTCATCTCAGTCCTGGGCACTATTTTGGGATCTGAGAATGCACCGCATGGACCTTTTTAATGCATTCACTCACCCGAGACTATTCTTTCCTATGTGTGTGCATTTCTAGTTTGCTTGGCACAGTACCGTGCTCTCGCGGGTACTGAGTATCTGTCAGGGACTCAGATACAGCACATACTTACTGGGCACCTTTCATGTGACAGCCACTCTGTTTATTTTCACATACTGTCTCATTTGATCATTACAAGTATTATAAACCAGGCTCACAAGGGTTTAGCGGTTTGTCTGAGGTCACACAGCAGCTCAATGGTCAGACCAAGATTCAAACCGTAGGTTAATATAAAGGCCAAAGGGACCTGGGATGATCACCACCCTGGGGTGGAGGGCACAATTCCCTTTGCACCATGCTGCCTGGGGTGAGAAGTCTTTATTATTAAGCAACCGGGTTAGGTAATTATAGTCTAATTACAAACTAAACTAAAATGACCAAAAATGTGTTATGATAAACACAACAATCCTTTCATTTTCCAGTATGGGAGGAGGGACGAAAGACATGCAAAGGTCAGTGTCCACAGCTAGACTGGAAATTCTCCCCTGAGTACGACGAACCTTTTCCTCCAGTTCTGCCCGTAGCCTCTTCCCAAGGGGACAATAAAAATCTCCAGAGCCCTCAGTATCTCCCTCCTATTCTAGCTGTCTTATAAATTAGAAAAGAAGAATTTAAGAAGGAGGCAAAGCAGGGAAAAAAAGAAGAAAGAGGAGGGGAAGGAGGAAAGGAAGAATAGAGTGCGTGGAATGCTGACTTTTCTGCCCACTGAAATTCTACCCAGGCAGCCCTCAGAATCATCAAGACTCTCCTCATTGGCACGTCCAGTGCCCCCAGCCAGGTCCCTTGACACTGCTAAGGACCCCTATTTTTCCTTTTCTCTTTAAGTTATCAACTTCATTGAGGAATAAGTTAAGAACAATAAACTGCATCTATTTCAAGTGTATCACTGATCAGTGGTGACAATTGGTTACACCCAGGAAACCACCATGACTATCAAGATGCAGCACATTTCCGTCAGCTGGGTGTAGTGCCTCACACCTGCAATCCCAGCATTTTGGGAGGCTGAGGCAGAAGGATCACTTGAGGCCAGGAATTCGAGACCAGCCCAGGTAATAAAGCGAGATCCCATCTCTACAAAAAATTTAAAACATTGGCTGGGTGTGGTGGTGCGCACCTATAGTCCTAGCTACTCAGGAGACTGAGGCAGGAGGATCATTTGAGCCCAAGGATTTCGAGGCTGCAGTGAGCTATGATCGTGCTCCTGCACTCCAGCATGGACAACAAAATGAGATCCTGCCTATTAAAACACAACAAAGAAAAAACATTTCCATCACCACCAAAGATGTCTTATTCCCATTTAGAGCTCATCTGGTCCCAAACCCAGTTAATCTGTCACTATAAATTAGTTTGCATTTTATGTAAATGAAATCATTCCTCTTATGTATTCTTTTTTACTTGGCTTCTTTCACTCAATATTTCTGAGATTCACCAATATTAGATACTATTGTGTGCGTCCGCAGTTTGATTCCTTTTTTTTTTTTTTTTTTTTTTTTTTTTGAGACAGAGTCTCACTTTGTCGCCCAGGTTGGAGTTCAGTGGCGCAATTTCAGCTCACTGCAACCTCTGCCTCCCAGGTTCAAGCGATTCTCTTGCCTCAGCCTCCTGAGTAGCTGGGACTACAGGTGTGCACCACCATGCCCAGCTAATTTTTGTATTTTTAGTAGAGACAGGGTTTCACCATGTTGGTCAGGTTGGTCTCAAACTCCCGACCTAAAGTGATCTGCCTGCCTTGGCCTCTCAAAGTGCTGGGATTACAGCATGAGCCACCATGCCCAGCTGGCTTGATCCTTTATATTGCTGAGTAGTACTCTACTGTATAGCTAGACTGCTATTTGTTTATCCATTCATCTGCTGATAAATGTTTGGGGTTCTCGTCATTGCAAATAAAGTTGTTACGAATAAATTGCACAAGTAATTTTATGGTCTTTTTTTTGTTGTTTGTTTCTTTTGAGCCCATATTCAGTAATGCAATGGCTGAGTTGTGGAATGTGTATGCTCAACTTTTTCTAAACCGCCCCCCTCCCCACAGTTTTCTAAAGTGATTGTACCATTTTACACTCCCACCAGTGGGGTACGAGAATTTCAGTTCTTCCACATCTTTCCCAACACTTGGTGTTGTCAGTATTTTTCATATTAGTCATTCTAGTGAGTGTATAGCAGTACAATTTTGGGGGGAGTTTTTCAAGGAGCTTGCCTACTTCCCTCTGCAGCAGGGCCTCCAAGAACATTGGTTTGTTCCACATTGTTTTGACATAAGGTTGGGGAAAAAAAATAGACTCCCCCACAGAGCCACTGTCTGCGTGGGAATTCGCACACTCTCCCCATGTCTGCCTGAGTGTTTTACCAGTCCTCTGGCTTCCTCCCACATCCCAAAGCTGTGTGTGTTACGTGAACTGCCATAGCTACAACGTTCCAGTGTGAGTGAATGTGGGTGCAGGTGTGAGCATGCCCTGCAATGGGGTGCCTTCCTTTGCAGGGCTGGTTCCTGCCTGGTGCGTGCTCTGAGCTGTCAGGATGAGCTCCAGCCACTAGCCACACTGAACTGGAAAAAGAGGGGTGGAAAATAAATGAATACAAATTATTATAAAACAAAAATCATAAAGAATATGATGATCACTCAAAGGCATGGCAATCAACAATGCAGTCCGAAAGTGCCTGGCCAGTCTCCCACACTGGTTACTGATTATTTTGGAACCATGTGATGGGAGGGGGGCGCTCCTTACAATTTTCACTTTGCACACATTTGTTCCTGGATTTAACCCACTGCCACTATGATCACTATCACTCACAGATTCACCACAAACGGGGTGACTAATTATCAAATTTGATTTTATTAGTCTTTCTTAAATGTCTATATAGCTCACATTTATTTCAATGTTTAATATTAGAAGTGTTTGGGGGTCTTTATTTAGAAGTTTGGAAATGTTTTTGAGACCAGAAATATGCCGTAGGAACTTAACTCTCGTGTATATCAATTAGCCTATGGTCAAATTGGTTTTGTTTATATGTAGTTTCATTTAAAATCTCAGTTTCCAGGAACCTACCAATGATGTGAAGTGAAGATTTGCTGTACTTTCTCCACCTGGGTCTCTAACCGCCCCTCCTCACTCCCCTTTTTGCACTCCCACCCACCACCTGCTGATTAAATGCTGGCCTCCAAAGCTCTGTTCCCAGGCCCCTTGGGGCACTCTCTTTTACCAGCCACACTAGTGACTCAGATCTCATCTTTAGCTCTGGTTTCACCCTGAGATCCAGACCCACATTTTCTGGGGCTACCAAAGATCTCCATGAGATGTCCCATGGGCAGATCAGTCTCAAATGACCAAAAGTGAACTAACTCACTGTTACCCATCTGTTCCTACAACCTGTCCCTGCCCTTCAGGAAGTTACAGTGTCCATTTTTGTGTGCCCTGAACAAATCATCATCGAGATCTCTTCTCTGGCCAAATTAACCTATAAATTTAATGCAATTCTAGTCAAATACAAATATTCAAGAATAGTTAAGACACTTTGAATAAGGAATTGTAGACTTATTGGACCTTTATTAAGAACTTATTCTAAAGCCCTAGTAATTGAGACAAAATGCAGGGGTAGACAAATAGCCAGAAGTAGTCCCTACTTATAAGGAAACTTGACATACAACAGAAGTGGATTACAGAGCAGTGAGGGTACACTGAACTGACTGCCCAATAAATGGGACTGGGACAATAGGCCAAAACATAATTAGATCCCTACCTTACACCATATACAAAGACAAATTCAAGAGGGTTTGAATACCTAGGTGTAAAAAGTGAAAGTGAAAGCTTTCAAAGCCAAATACAAGGAAGACTGTATTTAAGACCTTACAGTCACGAAAGATTTCTTAAACAAGCCTTTTTTTAAAAAGCACAAGCCAAAGATGTCATTAATAAATTTGGCTTCAATTAAAATTTAAAACTTCTGTACACAAAAGATAACACAAGTGAAAATAAGCTCCACAGTTTGGGAAAATAACTTTGCAACCTATATCAAGGTCAAAGGATTGTCATCTAGAATATATAAATAACTCTTAAAAATCAACAAGAAAAACACCAACAACTCAAAAGAAAAGTGGGCAAAGATTTCAAAATGGAAATTCCCAGAGAAGGAAACATGAACACCCAATAAGCAAGTAGGAAAAAAAAAATGTCTCAACCTTACTAGCAGTCAGGAAAAATTTTGTTGAAACAATGAAATAGCATCAGTTGGCAAAATTTTTAACACTTAGCAATACCAGGTGTAGAAATCATGAGTTCAATAGGGAATTCTTATATCCTGTTGGTGGGCATGCATGCTGGTGCAAACATTTAAAAGCAACTCCATTTCTTATATATTCTTGGAGAAAGTCTTGTACACAAGGAAGGCAACAGGCCAATAATAGTTATTTTATTGCACCACTGTTCATAATAATGAAAAACTGAATACAGCCTGAGTATCAACAGAAGAATGGATAAATACATTACAGTGTATGAACAGAAAGAAATACTATACAGTAATAAAAATGAATGAACGACAGCTTTCTGTATTAACAAGGATAAGTGTCCGACACCTAATGTTGGGCAAAATACACAAGCTGAGAAAGAAAATTTGCAAAATATTCTTCACACAGTTACAATGCATACAAAATAATCCATGTGCATACTTGTCACCCCCACATGATTCCAAAAGTCTTACTCATCTTTGTCTTCCTAGCATAGTGAGTGCATAAGAAATAAGAGGAGCTGCTCAAAGTTTTGCAGAGTAAAGGATTGTACAAATGAACTGATTAATTCCTGTAACTCTGGCATAAAAGTGAAGAAAAAGAGAGAGGAGACACTGAAATCTTTAAATGTCAACTGAGTGAGGAAAAAACTAGACAAAGTGTCAACCGGCCCAGGAACTATGAAGGCTCCAGACATGCCCCTTCGAGCACTGGAAGCTAGCCAGACTTGGGGTGTGACGGAAGACACAGAGCATTAGGGGAAGGGTGGGCCTTGGATGTTCCTTTATACTCACACATACTAATACAGAGGAGACATCGAAGAGGCAATAGAAAGACAAGCAACATTTCCAGGGAGCTTGGAAAACTGACTTTATACAACATGCTGCTGAGAGACTTCTAAGAAAGAAAGAAGTCCAAACACGTTTCGGAGGGGATGCGGCAGCGGCCATGAAAACACAAGGTCCTTTCTCTCCCCCTGGAGTTTCTACCACATGGCTCTGTCACAGGGGCGTGGTATCACAGTGGCCACCCTCTACTCTGAGCTCTGCGCCCTGCACTAGTCCGTCTTGGGGCCCATGACTTTCATATTCCACCCTCAGCGCCCCACCTGCTCTAGCCAGTACCAGCAGCAGCAGATGGACACACATTTTGTAATTATCACCACAGCCAACTATCTGGTAGCCTTCCCTAGTCATTCAAAGTAATTCATCTGTTCCTCTCATTGATGATAATGTGCTGCTTTAAAAAGATGGGCCCGTTGGCAAGTAGGAAAAGGGGAAACTACAGTATCACTGCAAATCCCTGTTCTGTGCATTACCTATACTTATGTCCTTCTTTTAAGCATTTTGAGCCATTTAAAAAGCTAAACGAGATAAATGGATATTATGCAGTGGCCCTTGGATTGGAAATATTTCCTGACAAAAGAAGAAATGCTTAAAATCCCTGCTCAGGAAACAGTCTCACCAATGGCAGTGATTGTATACATTACGCAAGCTCTAATAAAGGGTGCCCAGAAGAACTGCGGATGCTCACCCAGCTTTTCCAAAAACAGACAAACAAACAACAACAACAACAAAAAAAGACCCATCCATTCCCTACGCAGAGGGTGGGGGGACGGGAGAGAAACAGCAGATGAGGATTCCAAAGGCTGGGATCCACATGGGCCATGCAACTCCCCACGTGTTGCCTCCTCTTTGTGCCCCTGATCAGTTACTTCCTTCAAGGTGCACATTCACAGGAGCCATCTGCCCTGGGCCTGGGGGCTGGCTGCCAACTTACAGCAAATTGAGTCAACTCCATGGTGAGTTTCCTGTGAAGCAGCTACCCGACACTTCTTCCAAAAAGCCTGACATTAGCAGATGGGTGGGAAGCAGGCAAAGTGTGAAGCGGGTGGTGGGAAGGGAAGAATTTCCAGATGCCCAAAGTTTAGATGAGTGAGGAAAATGGGCAGGTGGTGTGTGCCTCTTGGAAAAGGTGAGGATAACACCTGCAAATTGTTCCAAATGGCAAAATGTCCTCACCCAAAGAACCAGCTAGGCATTTAAAAATCACACTGAAAACTCCTGGATGAGGGCAAACAGGCAGGCAGTTGAATCAGTACTGATGAGCTCAGCTTTGGGGTGTTCCCCAACTCAGTGTGACACGGGGATTTGCTCCTGGAAGTTACAGGCATGAATCAGCTCCACAGCAAGCCCTCTCGCCCACCATCACTCACCACTGACACATTTAATTTCCCCCTTCTTTTTGGGGGGCAGGGGTTGTTTTTATCTTTCGAGAGGTTCATTTGCTGGCATGGCGCACCAGAACTGATCCTATTTTTCATTATCTGAAAGGAGGCTTATGGATCTGTTATGGGTAAGGGTTTGTGGCTGCTGTTGTTAAAATGACTTCTGTCAACATAAATTCCTGAAGGTCTTAACTACATCCTGTTTTTTCCCCCTCCTTTAACTTAAAACCACTGACACGATGTTTGTCCACTTATTTTCTAGACTATCTGCCTTTAAATAGTAATTTGTTCCACTGTGAGCGAAGTCCCATTAATCTATTTTATAGATTCAGTCCATTGTTCTTGGGCTAATTTATTTTTTTACCCAAATCCCAACCTCTATTTGTATGCAGCAGAACAGTTCATTAACCCTCCCCTAGATTCAATCTTACAGCATTTAATTCTCCCCTCACTTACTAACTGGTGTCTCAGAATCTTTACATTTTCAATTTGGGCAATGTAAAATAAAATTCACATATATCATCCAGTCACAGTAAATAATCAATAGAGTAAATTTGGCAAAATTATAATCTCCGACTTTAAAATCACTGAGGAACTAAAGTATAAATAACTTCACCAAGATTCTCATTCATTGTCAATGAGGGAGTGTATTATTTGCTACAAATAACTGAATTTTGCCTAAATAAAAGAAACCCATTTCCGGGCTTTTGGGGACTTTTGATTATAACTATCTCTGTTATAGACATAGAAATTAAAGTCATGTGTCACATTGTCTTTATTTTATATTCTTTCTTTTGTCTAGATAAGTCTAAGCATAGGAAGAGAGTGTAGAGCTGTTTCTAATACAGGGTTGGCCATTCTCAGTTTAATGAATAAGAAAAGGCCATAAAATCACAGTCAATCATTTGAAAATGCTAATCGGGTCCACTGCCCTTTAAAGCTTGTGCCTCCTCTATCGTGTCTCTTATAAAAATAACAATTATTAATTATCAAGAGAAAGAAGGCACCCAAAAGCAAGGCCCACGTGGCTTTTCCTACACTGCCATCTAATTTCTTCTGATCACTATTATTATTATTGTTATCATCACCATCTCATGGTCATCCTGCTTCTAAGAGTGTATAGTGAAAAATTTAACCTGCCCTCACCTCCTGAGAGGTGAGCTCTAAGCCCTTAGAATATCTGCCTGAAAAAAAAGCATCTTCGTATACTTGGGGTACGGTGCCAAGATAGATAGTCTAACGATGTGATTTAGAGTAGACGCTTTGAGTCATGTGGTATCAGCTGGAGACAAGGTCAGCCACATGGGTAGTCAACTATGTCTATGTGATTAAGCCCCAGTAAAAACTCTGGACTCCCAGGCTCAGGTTAGCTTCTCAGATTGCCAATACTTCCTGCATATTGTCACACATCACTGCTAAGAGAATGCTGTCCATTCCACAGGGAGGAGACAAGTGGAAGCTTCACATTTGCCACTTTCCTGGACTCTGTCCCCTGTGTCTCTTCCCTTGACTATAGCCTTTCCCTGTAATAAACCAGAACCATGAGTATAAAATATTTGAATTCTTCTTGCAAATTATCAAAGCTGAAGTTGGTTTTGAGGACGTGTGAACTTGTGATTGGTGCCAGAAGTGACAGCAGTCTTTTGGACAGTTCCCTAACTTTACAAAGAGTGCTGAATGAAGTCCAGGAAATAAATGCAGAGTTTTGCTTCATGACTGCATGTCTTCAGCAAGCTTACCTAACATTTCTGGGTTGATTTTCCTCAATTTATAAATCTTAATCAGCTTTATAAATATTCTAAAGTAGAGCTTGTGCTCAATTCATAAAAATTCAGGAAAAGGCAGTGAAGAGTTGACAGAGCATAGGATTTGGACTCAAATGTGGGTCCTATTCCAGCTCCAGCACGTACGGCTCTTTTACCTGGGGCAGATGAGGTCTGGTGCATAGAATCCTAATGAAAGTATGTGAGCAATTGTAATAATGGGACCAAAATCCTTTGGGCTATTAAGTAAAGCTACACATGTTTCTGGCTAATAAACCCCAATCCTTTAATACTTGCCTGCCCAATGACACTAAAACATTATAAGGCTTTTGTAGCCAGTGGCTACAGCCACTAAAATGTAGTTTTCATCTGATTCTGGTCTGTCCTTCTCAATTCCTTCTCTATTCAGAAACATTGTTCTAAACGTGACAACTTTTTAAAGGTGTCTTTTCAACTCACCAATCTAGCATTCAAGCTCTGTTCCTCATCCCAGCCCAAGATTGCCGTCTTTTTCGAGGAAACCCCATGACAGCCAGATGAAAAGGGTCTGACATAAGAAAGGAGTTCCCTGCCTATGGACACACACTCAGACCCATTGAAATGAATAATGTGACTGCTTCCTCTAGCAAGTGCAGATGCCCTAAAAAGCACATTCTGTCAAGCAATTTGGTTTCTAACTTAGAGAACCATCGAATAAGCTCACAGCCTGACATTTCTGTCCTTTCATTCCTAAATGTTCTTTGAACATTTAAATTTCCACCATAGTTTACTGTGGCCTTCCAAGAGGTTGCTTTAAAAATGGATGTAGAAGTTCCCTGCCAGGTCTCAGTTCCTAGATTAGTTACAGGCACACAGATATTCGATACACATTTGTTGAGCAAATGAATAAAGAAAAGATTGTAAAACACCAAGCTGTGTCTCTTTCAGTCATCACATGGTTTTCCTGTATTGTAAATACCACTTATATTCTCTCTACACTGTAAACAGCTCAATGCAGAAGGAATGTACTTCCATGTATCCATAAACTGAACAATGATTTTAAAAGATCAGTTTAAATGCTAAATAAATGATTGACAATGGCCATCACCAAAGCTAGTCTGAAAGTCAGTTACCATGAAATCATGGTAGAAGGAAACTCTGCCTTCTTACTGCCAATATGAGAAGAACAGCAGAGCAGGCCTGCCTTTTAGAAAACACTGCTCGATTTCTACTCACAAACCAGATCACACATGGCTTTCTGGTACCAGTGTGTGTCCATGACATTTCCATTACCTGGTAGATTACTGGAACCCAGAAATGCCTTTTGCCACCTACTCTCGGACTTAGTTATCCTGGATGAATGGATGCCTATCAATGTATAGGCTTTGATATCATTGTATAATTTGATACAATGATAGGTTCTATCAAAACCTCTAGTTCAAAAAAAAAATAAATGCATGGAAAGAAAAACCTGATGTTTATCAAAGAGCAATGGCATAGGTATCTTCAGCTATAAAAAGAGATTTTTTTAAAAAAGCTCATTGACTAGACAACTCCCCTAACAGACGGTAAGGCAGATGCCCTCAAGCCCACATTAAATGCATTTTCTGTTCATCCTCCCAGTACAATGGAGGTTCTATTTTGTAATCCCAAAATTGGAAACTGTGCAAAGATAGTGAGAAAAAGGAGAAGCAGCTCCTCCTAAGTCTGGCTAGCAGGCTTCCAGACCCCCATCTCTGATTTTTACCATGTCCACTAGGCTAACACTACTGATCATGCAAATACAAGTAATATCCAAAATAAAATTACTTTTGCCTCTTGCATTATATGGAAACATCCTTTTGCTACCTGTAAGTCAGATCTATTTTAATATTCACTACATTAGAAATGGCATTTACTTAAGGAAAAAAATGAAATCACCATTCTTACTAATCACTCACTCATACATTAGTGAGGTGCTCACAATTATACTGCTGTGTTTCCCAGCAGTCAGGAAGATTTACATGACAAGAGTCCGCAGACTGAATATGAATCAGTCAGGTCAGCTATGGATTTGGGGGGGGAATGAATATGAATCAAAATGGGGGCACACAAGTCCTTTCCCTATTGGCCAGTGGCCCATATAGGATGAAGCCGTAGACCCAAAGTATATGACAGAAGGTGACACACCAAAAACAATATCACTTCTGGGAAATTAGAAGATTCTTTAAAGTCAACTCTTTAAATGTAATAATCCAAGAATATCATTATTGGCAAACTTGGACTTCTTGCATATTTAACATGTGATAGGCAAGCATTACTTTATACAGAATAAGATTCAACTAGCATACTAAGGGCCTAATATGTGTGAAGCTTTATGTCATGTGCTTTAATACATAACCTGACTTCTCCGTTCATTAACTGTGTGAATTTAGGCAAATTACAGAACACTTCTATGCCTCAAATTCCTTAACTGACAACAATGGTGTCAATCTATTAGCTTTGTTGTGAAGATTAAATGAGACTTCCTGTTTCCAGTCAGGTATGTAAGAAGTTTGGAAATTGCCATCCCATCCTAACAAAAGTAAAAAGCTGAACAAACTCAAAAATCCACAACTCTTTTTAGATCCACAAGGGAAGTGAGGTCACTGAGCAAACAAATGCCCCCGAAGTAGAGGGACTCACAGGTGAATACAGAAAATCACAACTGCCTGGAAGAGAAACTCACAAGGAACAACCTTTGTGGGAACCAAAGGATGAGTAGAAAAACTTGAACTGGAATTGACAAATTGCTAGTCTCAGAGTGGACAAGTTTTAGAGATAAAAATTCCATGGGGATCCAGTCACGGGCAGAGGTAGGAGCATACCTTTGTACGAGTCTTACCTCTAAGAATTCTCCCAGGTCCTCACAGTGAACACTGGAGAAAAATTCCCCTGAACTTCCAGCAGGACGAGATAAAAAGGAACCATTTTGAAATACACCGGAGCATTCTGTTCTTCTTCTTTTTCTTCTTCTTTTTTTTTCCCCAAAGTCTAAAAGTTTATTTAACAAGATCTGTCCTGAGGAGAAACTAACCAGAGCCTAACCTGACAGGGTTTTAGTAGAGCCTGAGTGACCTGGGGGAAGGGAAATACCAAACTCCAGCTGGCTCTAGCTATCCATTCCACCTAAAGGGGCATGGGGGCGACCGAGAAGCACTTGTGAAGTTCACAGTTCAAGGACACAGGCTCCCTATATGACTGAGAACTAATCACAGGACTATGGATGCTTCCCCTCTCCTCACACCTTACTACCACACTACTTAAGGCCCATTTACAGCAGTTCCTTTTACCTAATTCATCATATTCAGATATCAAAAAAAAATTATAACACACAGTAAAAGGCAAAAAAATTTGAAGAGACAGAGCAAGCATTAGAACCACTCAGATACAGCAGGAATGTTGGAATTATCCATCCAGGCATTTAAAACAACTCTGTTTAATACGCTAAGGGCTCCGATAGATAAAGTAGACAGCATGCAAGAACAGATGGGGAATGTAAGTAGAGAGATGGAAATTCTAAGAGAAATGCTAGAGATGAAAAATACTATAACAGAAATAATGCCTTTGATGGGTTCATTAGTAAACTGCACACAGCTGAGGAAAGAATCTTTAAGCTTGAGGATATCTCGACAGAAATAATTGGAGAGGTATTCTATGTTCATAGATAGGAAGATACAATATGGCCAGTATGTCAGTTCTTCCCAACTTGATCTACAGACGCAATGAAATCCCAATAAAAATCCCAGGAAGCTGTTCTGTGGATAAAATCAATAAACTGATTCTAAGGTTTATATAGAAAGACAAAAGACCCAGAACAGCCAACACAATGTTGCAGGACAAAAATAAAGGTGGAGGACTCACACTACCAACCTCAAGACATACTTGAAGCCACAATAATCAGGACAGTGTGGTATTGGTGAAAGAATGGACACGTAGATAATTGGAATAGAAAAGAGACCCAGAAACAGACTGACATAAATATCAACTGATCTTTGACAAAAAAGCAAAGGCATTCAAAGGAGCAAAGGTAGGCTTTTCAACAAATGATCCTGAGACAACTGGAAATCCACGTGCAAAAAATGAACCTGGACCCAGACCTTACACTCTTCACAAAAATTAACTCAAATGGATCGCACATGGACCTAATGTAAAGTGCAAAACTATAAATCTCCCAAAAGGTAATGTAGGAGAAAAATCTAAATGATCTTGTGTTTTCCAGTGATTTGTAGATACAACACAAAAGGCATGATCCGTGAAAGAAAACATTGATAAGGTGGATTTCACTAAAACAAAAATTCCTGCTTTGTGAAACACCCTGTCAAGAGAATTAAAAGAGAAGCCACAGACTGGGAGAAAATATTGCAAAGAACATGTCTGATAAAGGCCTATTATCCAAAATATTCAAAGAACCCTTAAAATTCAACAACAAAAAAAAACAAACACACCCAGTTAAAAGATGGACCAGAAAACTTAACAGACATAGTTAACATCTATAGTTATATAGATGACAAATAAGCATATGAAAAGTTTCTCCAAATCATACGTCACCAGAGAAATGCAAATTAAAACAATAATGAGATACCACTACACACCAATTAGAATGGTCCAAATCCAGAACAATGACAACACTAAATGCTGGTGAGGATGTGGAGCAACAAGAACTCTCTTTGCTGGTGAGAATGCAAAATGGTACAGCTGCTTTGGAAGACAGGTAAGCAGATTCTTACAAAACCTAAACACACTTTTCTTACAATACAGTAATCCTACTCCTTGGTATTTACCCAAAAGACTTGAGAACTTATGTTCACACAAAAACCTGCTCAGGAATGTTTATAGCAGCTTTATTCATTAATTGCCAAAACTTGGAAGCAACCAAGAGTATTTCAGTAGGTGAATGAATGGATAAACTCTGGTACATCCAGATAATAGAATATTATTCAGCACTGAAAAGAAATGAGCTATCAAGCAATGAAAAGACCTGGAGCAAACTTAAATGCATATTACTAAGGAAAAGAAGCCAGTCTGTAGCTGCTAAATGTTGACATCACATTTTTTAAAAGCCATTTTGGGCTGGGCATGGTGGCTAATGCCTGTAATCCCAGCACTTTGGGAGTCTGAGGTGGGCACATCACCTGAGGTCAGGAGCTCAAGACCAGCCTTGCCAACATGGTGAAACCCAGTCTCTAGTAAAAACACAAAAATTAGCCGGGTGTGGTGGCACGCGCCTGTAATCCCAGCTACTGAGACTGAGGTAGGAGAATCACTTGAACCTGGAAGGCAGAGGTTGCAGTGAGCAGAGATCGTGCCACTGCATTCCAGCCTGAGAGACAAAGCAAGACCCCACCACAAAAAAAAAAAAAAAAAAAAAAAAGCCAGTTTGAAAAGGCTTCAAATGTTCATGCTATGGCTATTCTGAAAATAGAAAGGCTATATACGGTTAATTCCAAAGATATGACATTCTGAGAAAGGTAAAACTATGGAGACAATAAAGAGATCAGTGGTTGCCAGGGGTGAGTGGGGAAGGAGAGATGAACAGGCAGAGCACGGAGGATTGTTAGGGCAGTGACACTACTCTGTATGATGCTGTAGTGGTGGATACATGTCATTATGAAATCAGTCAAATCCATAATGTACAGTACCAAGAGTGAATCCTAATGTTAACCGTGGACTTCGGGCGATAATGATGTGTTAATGTAGGTTCACCAGTTCTAACAAATGTACCTCTCTGTGAGGAGATGGTGACAATTGGGGAGGCTGTGTACATGTGTGAGGTGGATGGGAGTGAGCATATTGGAAATCTGTACCTTCTAGTCAATTTCACTGTGAACCTAAAACTGCTCTAAATAATAAAGTCTACTTAAAATTATCTTTTAAAAGCTATGAAGAATTTAACAAATGTCAAGATTTTTCTGAAAAAAAAGATTAAATCTGTTAATACATGAGATGTGACTAGATCAGCACCCGGCATCTGCTAAGTGCCTAGTGATCTTTTAGCCATTATCATTGCTATCGTTACCACCACTAAAATTATCATTGTGGGTCAGGCTTGGCGGCTCATACCTGTAATCCCAGCACTTTGGGAGGCCCAGGCAGGTGGACTGCTGGAGCTCGGGAGTTTGAGACTAGCCTGGGCAACATGGAGAAACTTTGTCTCTACAAAAATAACAAAAATTAGCTGAGTGTGGTGGTGTGTACCTGTTGTCTCAGCTACCCGGGGGGCTGAGGCAGGAGGATCGCTTGAGCCCAGGAGATTGAGGCTGCAGTGAGCTAAGATTGTGCCACCACGCTGCAGCCTGGGCAACACAGTGAGACTCTTTCTCAAAAAAAATTAAAATAAAATAAATTTTAAAAATTATCACAGCAAATAATCCTTACCAATATGCAGAGACATGGTTATTATTACCTCCATTTTATAGAGGAGGAAAGGGAGACTCAGAGAGGTTGAGAACATTGCTTGAAGTCACACAGTTAGTGCTAGCATTGGCATAAGACTTTTGACTCAAATTCCAGTATTCTTTCCACCACTCACCCTACTTCTGCAATGAGGGATTATAAAATAAAAGTATCTGAATCAGCAAAGACATCTTCCTCACATTTCTAACTTCCAAGTGGCATAACAATTTTAAGTAAAATAATTTTGATCAATAACAGCACCTCTAGAGATCCCTGCTTAGAAAAGAACACCATTAATTGATAGGCATTTAGTTCAGACAGGGCAAAGTCCTATAAAGTTCTAAGCCTCTTGCTGAGTCAAGTAGCTTAGGAAGACTGGCAGATTGGAAAGAAAGAGCACAAGATCAGGTGTCAGAAACTCGGGTTGAGTCCTGACTCTCTTGCTCACTGCTCTGACATTACGGGCAAGCTACCCAAACCCTGTCTACTTAAAGTGACAATTGTGAGGATTAAATAAAGTAATGTATGTTAGTGCAATGTGAACTACAGAGCTCTGGAAAAATATAAGCTATTAATTGTCATTATCACAATCCAGATGCCAGTAAAATCTGTTTCCTGTGATCATATGCTCAAAGGCAAAAGTGTCCAGCCTTTTTGAAATGACCCGTTAACAGATAAGTGAACTTGAATGAAATTCCTCAGCATTTTACATCATTTCTCCATTCCTAGAAATGGGAGCTAAAAAAAGAACACAGGGATGTTCAGTTAGAGACTCCAGCTCCTTTTTCTGCTTTTGGAACTCTGAAGAGTGTTCAAATAATACATTCTTTCATCTCCTGACCCTCCGTATAGAAACCAGATGAGAAATATTTTTGCTCTGGAGGCAAGACCCACCATTTTCATTGAACAGCATGGCTCCTAACTAGTGTAAATATTGGTTCCCTAGACATTATAAAACCTAGGGAGAGAACGGGCTCATTTCCATGAGAAAATGCAGTGCTTTTACTGCATTTCACTGTTGGCTGCGAAGCCAGGCAAAAGAGAAATCTGCAAGTCCAAACTCTCTCACCCAAATAACCAAAGCATGAATTTCTTCACTTAGGTGGAGAACTGAAGAAAAAGGGATTGATGAAATTAGTGAATGCGTGTCTGCAGCGACCAATGGGGCCTCCTCTCTGCAGCAACCCCTTCCACTCCCATATTACATGTTCATTCATCTACATCATTCATCATTTTTCTTGACTACAATTCTATTTTTCTTGTCTAACCCATCACACAATTTAAAATCGCTTTCCTATATTAATTCCCCAACTACCTATAAATAAAGAAGCTTTAGTCCCCAAACAGCTAAATGGTAAAGTCTCCTGCCTTCTCCTCTCTGCTTCCAGAAAGCCTAAAGTCAGACCGTCAACCCTCACATAGGGAATTTGAGGGTCAAACTCTAAAAATCCTGAATCTCCAGAGAAAAAGAACCAAACATTGACATTTTTGAGGAGCCATCCCCTTCCACACATAACAGATTCAGAAGAAAAATCTGGCTTGCAACTTGGTCACTCCATAGTGAGACCCAGCAATAGCCAAACAGTCTTGGCCGGGCGCGGTGGCTCTTGCTTATAATCCCAGCACTTTGGAAGGCCAAGGTGGGTGGATCACTTGAAACCAGAAGTTTCAGACCAGCCTGGCCAACATGGCAAAATCCGCCTCTACTAAAAATACAAAAATTAGCCAGGCATGGTGCCCCATGCCTATAATCCCAACTACTCAGGAGGCTGAGGCACGAGCATCGCTTGAACCCGGAAGGCAGGTTTTTCAGCGAGCCTACATGGCGCCACTGCACCCCAGCCTGGGGTGACAGAGCAAGACTCTGTTCAAAAACAACAAAAAAACAAGCCGTTCTTATACACACAAATGCAAATCAGTTTACTGTCTCCCCATATTAAAATGTGACTATGCTACCAAAAATCAGCAAAGACATGAAAATAGGCAGAAAAAGGTAAGATTCAGAGAAAACAGAGACAATGCAGAGAGTAGAATAATTTAAAACATAAACACAAAGAAAAACTTCTCCAGATTGTTGTATAGGGGCTCCAGGAGAAAAGTCTGGGGGCAGAGGGATGGTAATGATGTGATTGAACAGTCAGGAAATATGTTACATGTTTGACAAACACACTGGAGAGTTCAACAAAAAATACCAATTGGTATTAGACAAAACCAAAGACAAGCGTTATGGCCGGGCACAGTGACTCACGCCTGTAATCCCAGCACTTTGGGAGGCCAAGGCAGGTGGATCACTTGGGGCCAGGAGTTTGAGACCAGCCTGGCCAACATGGCAAAACCCCATCTCTACTAAAAATACAAAAATTAGCTGGGCTTAGTAATCCCAGCTACTCAGGAGGCTGAAGCACAAGAATCACTTGAACCTGGGGGGCAGAGGTTGCGGTGAGCCAAGATTGTACCACTGCACTCCAGCCTAGGTGACAGAGCGAGACCCTGTCTCAAAATAATAATAATAATAATAATAAAGGCAAGGATTGTCAACTCCAAGAGAAACAAAGGGCTATACAAAAAGGAACCATGATCATATTTACTGTTAGCTTAACAGTGAAAAACATTTGTTTAAATCATAGTATTATAAACCTTGACTACTAATTTAACAAAATACTGTTAAATAACTGATGAGGGTATAGATGAAAAGGAATTGTGTGGAGAGAGAGAGAGTGATCATCTTTCTCCTAAAGTCAATAAATGAAAAAAAAACAGTAAATGCATATTTAAGAATAAAAGAATAAGTAGGCCAGGCATAGTGGCTCATGCCTGTAATTCCAGCACTTTGAGAGGCTGAAGCAGGAGGATAGCTTGAGGCCAGGAGTTCAAGACAAGTCTGGGCAACATAGTGAGACCCAGTCTCTATAAAAAAATAAAAATAATTTAGCTGGGTGTGGTAATGCACGACTGCAGTACTAGTTACTCAGGAGGCTGAGGTGGGAGAGTTGCTTGAATACAGGAGTTCGAGGCTGCAGGGAGTTATGATTGCACCACTGCACTCCAGCCTGGGTGACAGAATGAGACCCTGTCTCTAAAAGAAAAAAAGAAAGAAAAGAGCAAATAGCAGGGAAGGGAAACAGCCAAAAGCGCAAAAGTGTTGCTTATGAAAATATAGAAATACAATACATAAATATAATATAAAATAGGAAAAGGGCCTGAAAGGTGGAGAAAGTCACTGTTACCTTTTTAAAATAAGCCTCAGAATTTTTTTTTGGGGGGGGGGGTTCAGATGTATTAGTATTACATTAATTTAAATATATACATATAATATTGTTTTCTTTTTTCTTTTTTTTTCTGAGACGGAGTCTCGCTCTGTCGCCCAGGCTGGAGTGCAGTGGCGCAATCTCGGCTCACTGCAAGCTCCGCCTCCCAGGTTCACGCCATTCTCCTGCCTCAGCCTCCCGAGTAGCTAGGACTACAGGCACCGGCCACCACACCCGGCTAATTTTTTGTATTTTTAGTAGAGACGGGGTTTCACCGTGTTAGCCAGGATGGCCTCGATCTCCTGACCTCGTGATCCACCCGTCTCGGCCCCCCAAAGTGCTGTGATCACAGGCATGAGCCACCGCGACAGGCCAATTTTTTTTTCTTAAAAGACGAGATCTCGCCATGTTGACCAGGTTGGTCTTGAACTGCTGCACTCAAGTGATTGGCCTGGGATTACAGGTGTGGGCCACCAAGCCTGGTCTAAAAGTATATATTTTGGTGGCTAAAATTAAAATTAAAAATCTCTATGACTGCAAGATGTAATCAAAGCTGGAGGTTGGAAGCATAAAGCTCAAATAGGTAACTAGTCCCAAACCAAGTCATTGAAATCAGACACTTGTAAAAGCATGCTTTCCTCCCCCCTTTTAATTAGACCTCTTCAAAAATCAGAAGTCTTATCACCATTGCTTTGATGTTACAAACAGACTTCAAAACATCTGACGGATCTTATAATTTCTCCAATTTATCAGAGGAAGAAAGTACTTCTCTTGCTAATATTTTCATAACTGATTAAAACCTTAATTTCTACTATGTGCTGTCAGTCATGAGAGTCTACATGAAATGCTTTAGTCTAATCACATTAATGCTCATTTTTATGATAATGTTTATACATTACACTTGATAAATATCTAAACAAAGCATAACATTTTTTCCCAATAAAGGTAACTCTTTGGAAAGACAGACCTGCCTTTACGCTTTTAAAAAATACATACCGATAGGCCGGGTGCGGTGGCTCACACCTGTAATCCCAGCACTTTGGGAGGCCGAGGCGGGTGAATACCTGAGGTCAGGAGTTTGAGACCAGCCTGGCCAACATGGTGAAACCCCGTCTCTACTAAAAATACAAAAATTAGCCGGGCGTGGTGACGCACGTCTGTAATCCCAGCTACTCAGGAGGCTGAGGCGGGAGAATTGGTTGAACTCAGGAGGCGGAGGTTGCAGTGAGCCGAGATCACACCACTGCACTCCAACCTGCGCAACAGAGCGAGACTCCGTCTCAAAAAAAAAAAAAAAAAATACATACCAATAAACCAATAGAATATATAAACCAGTTATAAACCTAAAACTTTTACTAAAATGATTCCAAACCCTTTCACAATTTCCTTTGAAGTTTGGCTTTTATCTAACACAAGCAACACACTCTGCTCCATTAATTTTAAGTATCTCTGAACTAGACATGTTTAGGCTTAGAAATAATGAAGTTAGAGCTATTCAAACATATGCACTCATGGATAATAATTGCTAATTGGTATACACACACTCAAACCTACTTATTGTGGTTTGCTTTAAAAATAGACAAATTGATTTAATAAAAACCAGTTCAAACATGGCATTTAGGAAAAGTGATTTGCTTACCTCTGTTGGTTTGTAGCAGTCTACAAGAGCTTCCTAGAATTAAACACACAGAAAATCAGTTTTATTATTTTAAAATTCAGCATTATTTTTAAGGCAAAATTAAAAATCATTTTATATTCATAGTATTATTTTATAATGGTAAATCAAGATTTCATACTATCTAGAAACGCACTTCATTTCAGCACCAGTTGGTAGTCTGAAGATAGAAAACGTTTAACCTTCATAAATTCTTCAGCCTGCATACACATGTGCTACATAGAAGTTTTTTGAACAGGAAAATATTTATTTTTTTTTTTTGCTACCATAGCATTGAAAACAAAATATAACCCTTGACCAGTTTTGTTTGTTTGTTTGTTTGTTTTGAGACAGAATCTCGCTCTGTCACCCAGACTAGAGTGCAGTGGTGCGATCTCAGCTCATTGCAACTTCTGCCTCCCAGTTCAAGTGATTCTCCTGCCTCAGCCTTCCGAATAGCTGGGACTACAGGTGTGCACCACCACACCCGGCTAGTTTTTGTATTTTTAGTAGAGACAGGTTTTTGCCCTGTTAGCCAGGCTGGTCTCGAACTCCCGACCTCAGGTGATCCACCCGCCTTGGCCTCCCAAAGCACTGGGATTACAGGCGTGAGCTACCATGCCCAGCCCCTTGACCAGGTTTTGAATGTCTTGCTGAGGAAAAAAGCTTCTTTTAAAAAAGGACAGGGATGCTCAAGCATCCATTAGGTTGCAGACTTCAGAGAGATGTGGACTAATTTAGTAGCTCAAATCCAGGATGGCCTTCCACAGGAACCAAATCCCCCTTTCCGGTTTTCCTTCAATTAACTGGATATAACCCGGCAGGATCCAAATGGTTTCAAACCCACTCCTCTGGTCAATGACTTTTTACCTCCTCTGTATGCACACGCGCATGCACACACCTTTCCTTTGGCTGCCAACTTGGTGGATATTCAAGTTGAGCCAGCCTGTGCAAGATGGTGGCACCCACACTGCACTCAGGAAGCAAGGGGTTTAAGTGCAATGCAGCCATAAACCAGCTTGGGTCCTCACCTGGGAACTGGGGGGTGCGGGGTGATGATAGCTTAAAAACTCCTCTCAAGTTCTCAATTTTAAGAAAACTCTGTTATGTCATTACATTTTCTATAGAACTGATACCTGCGTTATCTTTTTAAAATTTTATAACTAGGATGCTATTGTCTCCCAGCTAAATCTAGCAAGAAGAAATAATTGTCATAATTGAGACTGTTCACCACTCAAGGGATGCTAGTAATAACTAATGCATTAAACACATTAATACATTCAAATGTGCCCTTTGATTGCCGTAGTGGCCATTTGCCATTTGTGGTCACCAACAGTCATTAACAGTAATTATCAGTGGACATTAAGAACAATGGCAAGTCAAAAGTTAATTGGTTTTAGAAACTCCCAAAAGCAGATTTAAAAATGATAGATTTGACCTCCTGTGGGAAGGGAAATAAGTACTGTACTTTATTGCTGTCCACTAAGGAAATACTAGACATCTCAATATCCATCGTTGTACTGGAATGCTATGAGGTGAGCACTGTCTATGAACAGATCGTCTACTAAATAGAATTATGTCATAAGCAATATTTAGAAATTAATTTCATGAATGATACAGTCCACAACTGTGAGACCAGAGCTCTAGTCTTGGATATTCCAGTGCTAGCTCAGTCCCTCTCTTTCTCATACAACTGTGGGGCATCACTTCCCTTCCCTGGCAAGTGGATCTTTGGAAGCAGAATCAGCTGTTTCTCCCAAGAAAATGGGGCTGGAGAAAGTTATACCCATAAGGCGCTTTGAAAATGGACTATAGTCAAGGGCTGCTTTATCCTCAGAGAGGCAGTTTAAGAGAGTGAACACTTAGCAGCCCATTGCTTTCCTCTCTGCAAATGGCCCAGGTCCTGGTGCCAACACCACCACAGGGCGGAATCAGTTGATGCCAAGCACTGAAGACCCAAGTAGACTCTCAAGTGTCCATGATTAGAAGGTTCTCAATTTTGGAAACTGCTTACCTGTAATTTTGAAGCTCTCTCTTCATCACTGTCTGCATCAAGAAGATCATCAATGTCAATTTCTACCTCTGGCATTTCTTCTTCCTGGGGGGCAGTGGGAGGATATGAAGGCATTTAATTTAGTAAGAAACCTGACTGTACCCCACCAGTTAGGTTAAGTTGAACAAACAACTAGATCATCAATTGAGAAGGGCTGACAGATAAGCAGGGGGAAGGAGAGGCTAGGGGGAGAGGAGGGAAGGAAAGAGAGAAAAGGGGAAACAGGATGAAGGGGTAAAGAGGAGAAGAAGGGAAAAGACAGGAAAAGGGAAGGAGGGATGGGGACAGATGAAGAAGGGAAATGAAGGAAGGAAGGAAAAGGAGAGTAGGGGAAAAGAAGAGAAGGAGGAGGGGGAGCAAAGGAGAATTAAGAGTCACAAAGCCATAAAAGTAATCTTTCAAAAAATGAGAATTTTCTACTTTCTAGCATTAAGCTGCATCTGTAAGTATATAAGGGGAGACTGGCAGATGATAGAGCCGGGAGATGACAGTTTCCTATCTGACAGCCACCCTTTGCTGGGTGATTACCCCAATCTTTATTTGGGGGTCCACATCTTCCTTCACAGCTCTGGGTCTATGGAAAACCTGATTCCACCATGGGATTTGGGGCATCAGTATGGCTTTAGCCCCAGTTACTGATTTAAGAGAAGACACGTGGTCCAACTAAGAACTAAGGGGGCTCTGGGAAAAGGCGCTGTTTTTACAAGAACGTCCCCTTCACTCCCTCTGAACCGAGGAAGTGTGGCACCGGAAATTACCGGTGGCTACCATACAACCCTGAAGAAAGGCTGTTTTGGATGAGGCTGACTCCACGTTAGGCAGAGCTGAAGAGAATAAGAAAACAGGGTTCTAGATAAAGTCACCACATCCCTGTGTCAAACCACCTCTGAAGCCTGCCTATCAGTGAGTGAATCAACCTCTTTCATTGTTGCAGCCAATGTGGGTCTAGTTTAATATTCCTGCCACCAAAGACCTCTAGCCCAAAAAGAGGGAAGAAGGGCCAGATGGATTTGGTGAAAGACCCCACTGATTTGGAATCTGAACTTCAAAGGAGATCTTGGCTATTTCTCATCTCTTCTGTTACCTAAGTCTTCTCTATACCTCTCAGAATAGCATTTTAAAATGTCAAAATAAAAGAGCATTTAAGAGAGTCCTGCAATTTTGCATTTCATCAGGAGTCATGGCAGCCCAACTCCTTCCAGCCACAGGGATGGCTGAGAAGCATCTGCAGGAGCTAGAGAGAAAGGTGTACATGGGGACACTGGGGACACCCGGGCATTCCCTGGGTGTGGCCTCTCTGTGTCTTGGCTCCAAGAGCTGTTTGTCTTGGCTTCCCAGAAGAGGCTGACTTTCTGAATGTTTCCTTCCTACTAAAGTGCATTTATTCAGTAATAGTACTCAACCTCTTGTGTGTGTGTGTGTGTGTGTGTGTGTGTGTGTGTTACAACACAAAAGTGAGGACCCCAGTATACTGAGGAAGTCAAGGAATATGATACACTATCCTCGCTGACATTAGCTCCAAGAACAGGCCCTCAATGGGCAGGAAAATTCCAGAAACAACCTCTCTAGTGATTTATTCTTGTTTCTGTGGAGAATTTCCGTTTTGATCCTTTGCTTGGCTCTTAAGGGGAAAAATCCACTTCAAAAGCAGTATTTATCAATGTGAACGTTTTAGATCTCATCTGTGCGGTTCTGCCTAATGGAAGAAAGATTTTGTACTCCTCGACATAATTTTCATATTTGTACTTAACAATCATGTAGCTATTAATAGAAGCAGATGATGTAGAAACAGGAAGTTGAAACGCTTTGATGATAATAAAGCTGAAGGATGACCTTTCGATGGCTAGGAGCATCGTTGGGCAAACATCACAGAGTGAACTTACACAAACCTAGATGGCGTAGCCTACCACACACCCAGGCTGTATAGCACAGCCTATATTGCTCCTAGGCTGTAAACCCGGACAGCATATTACCATACGGAATAATGTAGGCAACGGTAACACAGTGGGAAATATTTGCGCATCTAAACATAGAAACGGTACGTTAAAAACAGGGTATTATAATCTTATGGGACCACTGTCATATATGCAGTCCATTGTTGACTGAAATGCTGTTATGCGGTTCGTGACTGCACTCGCCAGCTATACCACTGTGGCTCCTTAAATCACAGCTAAGGGAGCTTGGTGTCTGCTATTTTTAAAGGAAATGAGAGAACAATTAGTAACTAATGCCCTCCGCAGAACAGCACAGCAATGGGTTTTTCTGCAAATATAATTCAAATAGTTTTGACGCCAGCCAAGTTAGGCCAAACAGGCTTTGACTTGCATAGCAGTGTAGAGCCTCGCCCTACACAGTAGGCATCTTCAGTTAGGCATCTTCCCCTTAGGACTGTGCACGGCTCTCTGTTAGGTATTGCACTGACCCATTTTCCCCAACCCCTGAGATCTGGGCTGTCCCATATGGTAAGCATATGTGGTAAGCACATTTGAATACATTAAAATGAAATACAACTCAGTTCCTCAGTCGCAATGACCACATCTCAAGTGCTCAATAGCTACACGAGGCAAGTGGCTACTGTGCTGGAAAGCACAGATGGAGAGCACTTGCATTGTAGCAGAAAGCTCTATTGGACAGTGCTACCCCAGAGTACACTCGCCCTCTGGCCCAGAAGTTGGGAAGCAAAGCCCCTTCCCCTCTCAAAGGGGCTTGACAGGAGTAAAGAAAAAAATGCCAGGCATCTCAAGGTCACTCCTACTACCCAAGGGCATGTGATGAGAAACCCTGAGCTTGGTTTTACCAGCCAGAAAGCTGATGCAAACAAAGCCCAGATCTCAAGGGTTGGGGAAAAAACCTCAAGTGATTGAGTCATCGTTAACAGCCATTAGGCATCTGCGCTTTTTACCAACCTATGCTGCTTCTCAGAAATCCCACCCTGATTTATCAGAGGCATAGGAAGAGAAAGGCATCCCGCTCCCAGCTCAGCATGCGTCCCGGGTGTTCTGAATGTCAGTGAAGCTGAAACAAAACCCAGGTGAGAAGAACATAGAGACCCAGAGGCTCTTGAGGGAGAGTCCTGGGAAGCAAAGACAGCACCTAGTACCAAGTAGAGAATCCTGTAAATTGGTACTTAATATTCTTAATGAGAAGTATGGAAATATTCTAAATTTGATTGAAGTCCTATTTAACTTTATCTTCTGTATGCTGATCTTAGAGCAGTATCACTGAATGACCTTAGTGATAGATCAAATCACTTACAAAGGAGGGAACATGCCCATGGCCCACCATGACGTCCCAGAGCTTAGTTGTGTTTGGGCATTTTCCCACATTAAAGGTGTGTCCCTAAACAGTGGCTCTGGTGACAAAAAGTGAAACAACTGTCTTCACAGCTGCTGGGGAAAGTTATCAGCTACTCCCTGCCCCACATTAGTGAGAGGCCCTCCTGTTGGTACCCATAGCACGAGGCCCTGGATCACCTCTACACATCTTTCTTGTCGTACATTTGTTGAGAACCCAGAGTCCGCAGAGTGCAAGGCACTGTGTGTCAGCCACAGTGAGGCCCTGGCACTGGGGGACGGGCTGTCTAAACACAGCTCTGACAAACACAATGACATGCAATGGCCCCAAAGCCACAGACAAACCTGAAGCGCTTTAGTGATTCAGGGAGAGAGAAAACTCCGCCAGGGGCAGGCAGGGAAGTTGCACACAGGAGGGAGGAGGTGAACTGACCTTGCGGAATGACAGGATTTGAACAGGTTTAGAGGGAAGGGAGAGCACTCCCAAGAGGCAAAATGGTAGCAG
The DNA here is from genome assembly GCF_000001405.40 of Homo sapiens. Lineage (NCBI taxonomy): Eukaryota > Metazoa > Chordata > Mammalia > Primates > Hominidae > Homo > Homo sapiens. The sequence continues at coordinate 150,210,990 of NC_000006.12, read as the reverse complement.
GAGGCAAAGAGACAAGATGAATTCTAAATGTGGGTGTAGAAAGGTCCTTGGCCAGGAAGCCAGTCAGCTCTGGGCTGCAAATATGCACGTCGATGGGGGCCAGACAGGTGACAGAAATGGAGCAGGCTGAGGGGCTATACAGTAGAGTGAGGAGTGCAGCAAACTGGAGAAAACATGGCCTGAGGGAAAGCAGCAGGGAACACGCCATTCCCACCTCCTGTCACCTTCTAGGAATATGTGCTCAGTGCTGCTGGATTTTCTACGTTTTCAGGAATAACTGAAAATAGAGTTTTTTAATGTAAAAAAATTCCAATTTTTAAAGCTGTCCGTCAACTTCTTAAAATATTGTGTAGGATAAACAAAACCCATTGGCCCATAGGCTGCCGGTTCCCCTTGTCCTGCAGAGACTGTCACACTGAAGGCTCCATGGCTCCAGAACAAGACAGGGGAATGACAGAAGGAAGAGATGGCCCCACTGCGGAGCCCGGGATAACAGGGAGGAGGCAGGAGGCTGTGGGAATGTCATGTATCAGGTGCGAAGCAACAGGGCTTGAAGATGATCCTGGCAAAAATAAGATTTTAAAATAGTGATAATAGGGAGGAATAAACAGATGGAGTTTGGAGATGAACTGGATGAGGGATCGGGGGAAAGAAAAGGTAAAGATAAGATCCAGGTTCTGAGGCTGAGAGGTTTTGGAGAAGGACAGTAATGACGGGAGCACACCGGGGCTCTGAAGACACCTCACAAACCAACACACAGTGTAGGCTTGGCCATCACCAGCCCCCTTGCCCCAACTTGCAAGCAGCAGTGGGACTCCGCATTGCCACTGCACTGGGAAGCGCTGCAGAACCTGGCGCTGGGCATGCCACGGATGAAGCTCAGAACAGGCTCAGGTACCAGGATGCAGAAATGCAAGCAAAGCAGGGTCCTGAAACACAGCTGGCCCGCAGTGACAACACACACACACACACAAATATATACACAAACATACACAAATATATACACAGACATACACACACATGAATACACACAATCCACACCACTCATACACACACATGCACACACACATACACAAACATATACACATACACACAGATGAATACACTCCACACCATTCATACACTCACATCCACACACACACACACACAAATATATACACAAACATACACACACATGAATATAAACACTCCACACTACTCACTCACATGCATGCACACACAAATATATATACAAACATACACACACGAATACACACACTCCACACTACTCATACGCTCACATGCACACACACACACACAAATACATACACAAACATACACTCCATGTGAATACACACATGGATGAATACACAAACATGAATACACACACTCCACACCACTCACATGCATACACACACACAAATATATACACAAACATACACACAGATGAATACACACACTCCACACCATTCATACACTCACATCCACACACACAAACACATACACAAACATACACACACATGAATACACCCATTCCACACCACTCATACACTCACATGCACACATACACACATACACAAATAAACACACAGATATATACACACACTTCTAACTAGCCAGAAAGTTTACACTGTCAGCCCTGTCTGATGTCACATTAGCTTTTAAAAAATATAAACGTTCACCCCTGCCCACAGCAGTGAAGGGAGCAGGCAGGAATGTTCAAGCTAAAACCTCACCTGAAGATGGATCATGGTCTCCAAGCTCTAGGAGACATAGCTTGGCAGCTTCCTGGAAATGACTGTGGCTAACAGCTCTCATCCGTCTCCATTTCAAAATAGGGATGGCAACGTAACACGGGATTAAACTCCTGTGCAAATTGTGGCAGCTGATGGAGAAACGTGGGGTGGCAGGGGTGGGGAGTGGCAAATGTCAGCTTATTATGGCCTGTTCAAACACTCATCTGAACAATAGCCACAATTTCTTATAGCTCATCTTTCTATAGGCCTATGGGAGCAAACTGGCATAGGAAGCGTATAAAAAGAACTGAATCCTTGGGACTATGTGAGCTGTCTATGAAAACATTTACATCTCATGTTTTCATTGTAATGACAATCCAAAATAATTCCTGTAAGCAAGCACAGTCTAAGAATAGTCTGGACAGCCGTGCTATAACCACGCTGTGCCGGGCTGCTCTGTGTTTACACATTGGCATCAAGCAGAATTATGTTAATTGTTGTGGCTAATGAGAAAAAAGCCACAGGGTAGATTTAATATATAAATGACTCATTCACGCCAAGTGAAGCCAAACGCTATCACTCAAAGGACACTGAGAGACGGCAATCTGTACCTAATTCCAGTGACAAAAGGAGTGAAGCCAGCCATCACAGCAAAGGGATGTTGTGCATTTGAGTTTCATTAGCTGGTACTTTATGTTTAATTTGCAATTTGGATGTGATTTTTATAACCATAGCATAAGGAATTTATACCCAGTTTTAAGTGGTATGTATTTAAATAATATAACATTAAATATTTAAATCAGCCCTGGAATCTGCAAAAAAAAATGTTCCCACTTAACAAGGGGCCCAACCTACCCTATGACACATCACTATATAATGTCAGAACACTGGGGATAAAGGGAGGATCCTGGAAGCTTTCAGAAGAAAACCAGGCCACACATGGAAGATAGAGAATTAATGTCAGTGGGTTTCCCTATAGCAACAGAGCATGGAAGCCAACAGCAAATATTCCAGAAACCCGAGAGGAAACCATTTCCACCCTCAAGGCCTACATCCTCCCTGCTATGGTTTGGATGTGGTTTGACCCCTCCGAAACTCAGGGTGAATTTGGTCCCCAGGGCAACAGTACTGAGTGAGAGGTAATGGGAACCTTCAGAGGTGATTAGGTCATGGGGGCACACCCTCATGCGTGCATTAACACTGTTCTCTAGAGACTGAGTTGGTTCTCATGAGGCGCTGGTTGTTATAAAGTGGATCAGCCCCCTTTGCCCCATCTCTTTTTTCAAGCGCTTGCCTGCCCTTCCAGTTTTCTGCCATGCTATTACACGGGATGAACGCTGTCACCAGAAGCCAACCAGATATGACCCCTCGACCTTGAACTTCCCAGGCCTTGAGGTTGGAAATTGGTTCCTCTTGGGATTCTGGAATCCCTGCTCTTGGCTTCCATTGGGAAGCCTGCTGACATTGATTATCTTCCTCCAGAACTAAAAGAAATAAATTTATTTTCTGTATACATTACCCAGTCTGTAGTCTTCTGTCACAGCAACAGAAAATGAACTAAGACATTCTCAGACTATCTATCAAGAGTAGAGAAAAAACCATAGACATTTTAAGACATATTAGGTCTTACATCTTCATGTATTTATCCTGTTTTGGGAAGGAGTGCTCCAGAAAAATAGAGAAATAAACTTTGATTTTCTTATATCCTCTACAGTTGTGGCTCATGAAGGCCAGAGGGCATGTCCCCAAATCCAGATTGAGGAAGGTACATGGGATGCCGGAGTGAAGAACGAAACAGATGGAGGCTTGACAAGCTGGGGAGCACGCAAGGCATGGAGATGAGCTTGCCTGATGCGAATCGAGGGCCCAGCCCCACCGGGCACCCATCTGCACAGGTGGCCAGGCCATTTAGAGTGGCTGGGGTAGGATGGCCTCACCTTGGGCCTTAGACAGAAGTAGCATGGGTAAACAAGCATATGCCTTTCCAGTGGGATCCTATATTACCAGTATTTCCCTAATACACATTTGTTTTTAAAGTTAAACCAATGGCTAAAGCTTGCTTAGAGCCAGAGAGCAAAGTCCTCCCAAAGCCCTTTTTAAAAACATCAAAATAGGCCGGGCACAGTGGCTCACACCTGTAATCCCAGCACTTTGGGAGATCGAGGCAGGCAGATCATGAGGTCTGGAGCTCAAGAACAGCCTGACCAACGTGTTGAAACCCTGTCTCTACTAAAAATACAAAAATTAGACGAGGATAGTGGCATGTGCCTGTAATCCCAGCTACTCAGGAGGCTGAGGCAGGAGAATCGCAGGAACTCGGGAGGCAGAGGTTTCAATGAGCCGAGATCATGCCATTGCACTCTAGCCCGGACAACAGAGCGAGACTCTGTCGCAAAAAAAAAACAAAAACAGAAACAAACAAAAAAAAACATCAAAATAGCCTGACTGAACCTGACTCCATTGACTCCATGGTGAAGTGAAGGAATGTTTTACATAATATTTACAGGAATCGCCTTTCTTGTCACCCAGGAGAGCAGGTCCTGACCTACCTATATCCTACGAAGGTTCACTTCTGGGGCACTGACGCAGATGCAAATGACAGCTGCGGCAGAGAGGAGAGCTCCCGGCAGGGACCATCCTCATGCCCCGTGTAGAACGCCTCCCTTTCCTCCTGCTCATGAAGACACATTCCAACACAAGTGAACAGGAGTGGCATTGTCTCACAAATCAACACTGTAAAACAAATACCAGTGCTCACACATGAAGATGCACATCACGGGTTACGTCAGATTATTCTAGAACTAGGCACATCTACATCAGGATCTCAGAACACCAGGCAAACCCCTGCAGCACCGATTTACTGAGCACCTACTACCTGCCAGGCACTGTCCTAGATGCCAGGGTTAAGGAATAAACAATTGACAAAAATATTTGCTCTCGTGGGGATTAAACTCTAATGGGGGAAGACAGACAATAAACAAATAAGTACAATACGTACAGTGGCAAAGATTGATAAATATTTTGCAGAAAAATTAGGCAGGGGAGACAGGGAGTATGGGGGCTGGAATTTTAAGTCAGGCAGTGACAGGGTAAGGCTCAGCGAGAAAGGTATCTGATTAAAGACACAGCATCAAGGGAAAACACGTAATGCCAGGCTGTGTCTAAGAAGCTGCCAGGAGCCCGGGGTCACTGTATCAGAGTTGGGGCCATGGTGGGGGAAGGGACAGAGCATGTGGAGACTCAGAGGCCCCTGTAAAGCCTCTGACTTGTACCGTGAGCAAGAGAAAAGCCATTGATGGGTTCTCATTCTTTCAGAGGCATGATGGGTTATGGTTTACCTGTTAGAAAGGAGGGCATACGCGAAAAGACCAGTTAAGAGGCCACAGAAATAAGCTGGGAAGAGATGACACTGGCTTTAACTAGGGAGTAGCATGATATATATATTTCTTTTTCTTTTTTATTTCCATTATTTTTTTTTTTTTTTGAGACGGAGGCTCATTCTGTCGCCCAGGATGGAGTGTAGTGGTGCTATCTCGGCTCACTGCAATCTCCACCTCCCAAGTTCAAGGGATTCTCCTGCTCAGCCTCCCAAGTAGCTGAGATTACAGGTGCCTGCCACCACACCCAGCTAATTTTTGTATTTTCAGTAGAGACGGGGTATCACCATGTTGGCCAGACTTGTCTCAAACTCCTGACATCAAGTGATCCGCCCACCTCAGCCTCCCAAGCATGATATATATATTTTGTTCTTACAAACGAACTCTTATCTGGGTCACTGCTGATCCAAACCTCAGAGAGCAAACTGGTATCTCAAGAGCTCCATCAGGTACTGTAGTTGGGTGAGCCATTTAGCACTTTGCAAGATCACAAGTACCAAGCTCACACCTATGCAACAGCAGCAGCAGGCCAGTGTGATGGGTGTGTGAGCCACTGACGATGCAGACCAGGTGGTAAGAGAAGTACCCAGGGGCTGTTGGTCCCAGAAGTTCAGTGAGGCTGCTAGACACTGACTAAGCCCAGGCTGAACTGCCTGGGGGCGGCGGCAAAGCAACAAGGAACTAGGCTGAGGAGGTCTTTTCTAGGTCCTGAACCCACCCACCAGGCAGGTTTCTCTTTCCCACCCACCAGGGAAGTTGCCAGTATCACTGGCACCCAGGGCAGGCTTAGTTCGTGCCCCCAAATCTCTCCCCTACATTTAGCAATTCATTTTAGCAAAAATGACTATCTCTGGAGAGATTATCAAAGTGCTCCAGACACAGTTTAACAAAAAAAAAAAAAAGACTCTGAGTTGGAGCAGAGGTTGTGTTCTATGCCCAGCCTTGATCTCAAAGGGCTCAAGAGGCCACTTCCTCCTGCAATGGGAGGACCCTAGGGAGTCTGGTGAACAGAGCACAGCATGGGAAGAAAGCGACTGAAGCCTCCGACTTCCCGTGTATGCCCCAGGCTGCCCTGCTTCTCAGCACAGAGTCGGTCCCTTGGGTAGGGGCCAAGTGGTGTTGTGCCCAGAGCATGGAGTTTGGAGAGAAGCAGACCCAGGTTTCAGTTTCATCTCTGCCTCTGACAACCCGTGAGAGCTGGGGCAGGGTAACGCATCCCCTAACCCTTAGTTCCCACACCTGTAAAATGGGGACTGCTAGCTAATTCTCGGGGCTGGATAGAAATCGGGCACAATCATGCCCACGCACGTTGTGCAAACTCAACAAATGGTGACAGGACCTCAGTGGGTGCTAAGTTGACTGGGCACATCCGATTCCTCTTCAAATAAATAAATATTCCATGTAAATGTCTCTTCCAGGGAATCGTGTACTCCTGATGCCTGAAAATCGTTAAGTGAAGACTTATCACATTACCGATTTGTTCAAAACCACAGCATTCAAAGAGAAAAAAAGAAAAGAAAATGTCAGCAAAAAAACCCAGATGCAGAGCTTCCTGGAGACAATCACACTTTGCTCTGCTTATGAACACTAAACACGCACAGCTGGTTGTTAACAATGCCCCCGTGACGAGAAAGTCGGCAGGTTGGTCCTCGTAAGACGAGTGAAAATAAGTGACGGCTGAGACAGTTGCTAAAGATGGCAAGGACAATCTTCTAAGCCGTGGCATAAACGAGGACACTGAGAACACCTTGAAAGCACTGGACACAGTGGCCAGGCGGCCGCCACCCTCACGGCTCCTGTGCCGACAGCAGCCTCTCTTCTCAGGGCCCTTCTTTCTCCGTGCAGCACCTACATGAAGATCCCCGGAAGGGAGAGGAACACCATGCGGAAGCTACAGGCTTGGCACTGGTCCTGGGCTACAGGCAATGGATAAGAAGACTGGGAAAGAATAAAGGAAGGGCTGGCGCCACCCAAGGACAGAGCAGCAGCAGTCCAGCCTGTCTCTAAGAAGTCACACCTGTCTACGTCTTGCTTGCCATTAATTTAGGGATTGAGCCTGAGCTGTCTCTGATAGAAGATGGTCCACATCCAGATTTGCAGTGGAAAGGCTTAGGGCCAAGCAGAATTCTCTTAGACTGGAAACACTCAAATTACCCGATGATGGAATAAAAGCAGTGGGCAGAAGCCCGTTCTAGCCAATTCTTGGAGAGAAGACGGTTCCCCTGCACTATCAACTGCTCATGACTGAGGCATTCGGGGTTGCTGCAGTGTTAGATTTCCTAACACAGAACACGAAATCCAGACCGTTTCACCTCCTGCCTCGGGAAGGCTCCTAGATCAGCAATGGCCAAATATGTCCAGTACGGGCAGGTGCACAGAAGCCTGAGAAGATGATACGGAAAAGCCGCTTGGAAGACACTGAGAGGAAATTGTGAATCCCATCGCAAGGCCTCCAGCCGGTGAGCAGACACACTGCACTTGGAGTATAAAAGACCATTGCTGATATGGGCCATCAAGCATGAAAAGACACGAAGGACCTTAAATGCAGATCCATAAGTGAATGAAGCCAAAATGGAAAGTTGCCATACGCATGATTCCAACTACAGGACGTTCTGGAAAAGACTAAAATATGGAGATAGTAAAACCATCAGGGATTGCCAGGGGCCAATGAGGAAAGAGAGATGACTAAGGCAGAGCACAGGGCAATTTTCAGGCCAGAAAACCTGTGTGATCTTATAAGGGTGCATCTATATCATCACACATTTGCCAAAACCCAATTAGAGGAAAATGACACACAACCCCAGAACCCACAGGATGTACAACACAAAGAGTGAGTCTGAATGGAAATGATGAGCTTTAGCTAATAATAATGTAGCAAGATTGTCTCAGCAATTGTAACCAAGATACAACACTAATGCAAGATGTTAAGAAAAAGGACAACCGGACTGGAGGGAGGAGAAAGAAAGGGGTAGATGAGAATTCTCTGTGTTTTTGGCTCAATTTTTCTGTAAATCTAAAATGCTTTTAAAAAATTAAGTGATTAAATTAAAACAAAACAAAACAAAAGACCAAGACTAATGTGTTGGTGGTGGCTGAACCCAGGAAGGTGAGGGCCAGGCCTTCCTGTGACTGGCTCTGCTGGTTCTTCTTACAGCCGAGGGCTGGGCAAAAGGTCCAGGTGTGAGTCATACAATGACCTTCAGCCAACTGAGGCACACCCAGGTCCTCAGCTTCAGCCCTGAGACCAGGCCAGGCTGTGTGGGAGGGCACCATGGGGACCCTCCCAGAGAAGAGCCTGCAGGGCTGTCCCGGCGGCAAAGGAGCGGCAAAGTCGGCCGAAGCTTCTTCTGCCCAATGGGGACTCCAGCTCCTGGTTGAGAGGAGCCAGGGTTGCTGCTGACAAGACACGGGCCTGCCCCAAACCTAAGAACGGCAAGGGTGCCAATGAGAAAGGGACAAACCTAAGAACAGCAAGGGTGCCAATGAGAGAGGGAGAAGCAAAGCCAGACACCAGGACAGCCTGAGGCAAGGAGGTGTGGGCTTGATCTGGGAAAAGCCAGCCGGAGCCAGGCAGTGCCTCTTCCGTGGGACCCAGCCTGCGTGACAGAGTGGGGGTACAGGGGAGGGACACAGAGATTAACAGAGACTCAAGGCTGGCAAGCCTTGTTGTGGGGTGGGCACCCACCAGGGATGTTCTGCATGAGGATGAGAAACTTGCTAGAACATTCCTTGCACTACCTTCCTCACACCACACAGCAGAGAGGCGAGAGAGGAGCTCACGCTTGATGCAAGGCTACACCAGGGTCAGAGGGCAGGCCCCCGGGGCACACAGGCTCAGCTGCCTTTGGTCTTAGGGAATGAGGCCAGTCCAAAATAAAAAGTCATTTAACCAGAGCTGCCTTGTGAAATGAGCAGAGCAAAGGGCATGCTTCTTTGTAAATTATTACCATAATCGTTTACCTGTAATGCATGTTTATGCAGGCAATGTGACGGTTCATGGAATACTTCACTCCTGACCCCTCCTCTCCCTGTCGCCACCATCCAATCCATCACCATAACTGTCAATTCTATGGCTTACCGTCTCCTGAACCTGCACTTTGTACCACCTCCACTGCCCCCCTAGTGAAAGCTAAATCATCTTTTGCATAAGCTATAGCAGGAGCCTCTTAACTGGCTTCCATAAACTCACCCTCATGCCTCCGCCATCCCAGTTTCCACTCTGTAGCCAGAGTAGCAACTTTAAGAACACAGATCTGTCATTCACCAGCTTAGAACTCACGGGTGGCTTCCTACCAGTCTTAGGACCAACAGTCTTACCTCTGCCTGGAAGGCTTCCCCTGCTGGGCTCCCGGCCTCCTCTCCATTCAATGCCTCACCCCAACTCCCTGAGCTCTAACTCCGCTGGTCTCCTCCGATCCCTCAGGACACTCCCCAGCCAGGCCTCCACAGGGCCTTTGCACGTGCTGGGTGCATGTGTAGGACACTCTTCTTGTTATCTCGTGTCAGCCATCACTTCCTAAAGCAAAATGTCTTCGCCAGACTTGTGATGAGGTCAACCTCCCAGCCCTGGAAACTTAGAATGCCCTGCACCTCTCTTTCGCTGCACTTTCCACACTCTTCCAATTCACATTTCTCAGTCTGCCTCCCCATACTGGAGGACCAAGAGCAGTGCCTGGGATAGCGCCTGACACATGACCCCGATAATCATTTTGTAAATAAAATAACAAACAATTCCCTGAGGTGAGTATTATCATCATCTCTATTTACAGATGGAATGTCTGAGTATCCTGCCCAATAGGGCCGATCGCTTCCTTAGTTCCAAACCTGGACAATCTGACCTCAAAATGTATGGCCCCTACAACTTGTGCTATGTGCCTTTCAGGATGCAGCATGGCTGGGGAATGATTTCTCCCTTTTGACTTCCGTGACTTTTGGAGCAGCAAGGGAGGAGAGCAGAGCCCTTCAGACATGCGGCTCCAGGCACCCAACACATTCAAGCCCTGGTATCCACAGCCAGCTGGAGCCCAGGAAACTCCATGGAAACTTAGAGGATGACGACAGCTTTCACACACTCAGGGGACCACACTCCTTGTGAGGCAGATATGAATGGATTCAGGCTCTCAGTGAAGACTTGGAGGAAAGAAGCAAGTTTGGGAGTAACTAGCCATTTCTGGAGAACATGTTAATCCCCCAGCTGGAGGTCTGGGCCTCTCCTGTTACAAATGTAGGGGATATGGCTGCTTCTAATCTTGCTCTTCTGCAGACCTGTTACAGAGGAGGCCACAGCTGCACCTAGGGGTGTGTCCAAAGGGAAGAGAGCCAGGGGCAGGGCCATGAGACGCATCACTGTGTCTCCTGCTCCAGTCTCTGCTCAGCAGTGGAAAAGGAGCACTCCCCAGACTGAGAACAGGAGCTGGCTGGTTCACCTTAGGGTGAGGACAAACCTAAGTCTGCAGACTTGGTTAAGGAAGGGTTGGATGCAAGATCACAAGGGAGGGAGAAAAGGGAGCTGTCCCAGAGAGGCGAGTAATTCGGACCCCGGCACCATGAGGGGTAGCCGAGACTACTGCCAATCTCCAGGGCTCAAATAGAGTCTATTTAAAATCCTGTACTTCAGAAAGTTAACTGGTTTTTCATTGTACATCCTACAGGTATGTGTGTATGTGTGTGTTGTGTGTGTGTGTGTTGTGTACATGTGTGTGTATGTGTGTGTGTATATATATATATCCTATAAAAGCCCTCAAATATTAATATATCAACTGGTTTCAATAATGCTACCAAAAATGTAAGGTGTTCTTCAAGATTAATGTTAAAGAGTACCAAGGGGATTACACGAGGTGTGACAAAAATTAAAGTGTGAAGCACCCCAGGTGTAAGAAAGTGGAAATGACACAGAGTTACCTTCCTCGTTGTTTATTCCCCACTTGGAAAATCCATTTCCAGAGCGTATCTGACTTAGTCCATCTGCACTGCTCTAACAAAATACAAAAGGCTGGGTAATGTATAAAGAACAGATTTTTTTTTTTTTTAGAGACAGGCTCTCGCTCTGTCACCCAGGCTATAATACAGTGGCACAATCATAGCTCACTGTAACCTTGAACTCCTGGGCTCCAGCGATCCTCCTGCCTCAACCTACTGAGGAGCTAGAACTGCAGATGCGTGCCACTAAGCCTGGCTAATGTTAAAAATTTTGCAGAGATGGCATCTCACTATATTGCCCAGATTGGTCTTGAACTCCTGGGCTCAAGCAATTCTCCCACTTTAGCCTCCAAAGAGCTGGGATTACAGGTGTGAGACACCATGCCTGACCATGAACAGAAATTTTTTTCTTGGTTCTGGAGTCCAAGATGAAGAGGCTGGTGGGTTTATTGTGTGGTGAGGACTAGGTGTCTGCTTCCAAGATGATGCCTCCTTGCTGCACCCTCCAGAACACAGTGTCCTCACACAGATCAGAGGAAGGTGAAATGGAATGCTGCATGAAGCCTCTTTCACAGGGGCCTTGATCTCATTCATGAGGGAGGAGCTCTCAGAGCCTAATCACCTCTTAAAGGGCCACCTCTTAATATTATCATTTTAGCCATTAAATTTCAACACCTGAATTTTGGAGGGGACACATTCGAATGATAGCCGTGCCTCAGCTGAAAGCCTGTTCTTTTTCAAGTTATGATTCACATTCATAAAATACCTGCCCCAGAATCACCCCCATGAACTTGTAAAAATGCAGATTCCTGAGAACCCCCTCCAAAGCCACTGACCCGTCATATCTGAGTGAGGTATCACAAGTCACCATAGTTGGGAGCCACAGGCATTAGCCTCTGAGAGCCAGTGCTTCCAAAGGTGTTGAGTTTAAGTAAAGGATGCCATTCCATTATAGATGGTGACAATAAAAAAAAAAAAAGAAGAAGCCTACCACTTCTGTCTGGTCACTGATTTCTGCACATCTTTTGGAGAAAACAATCGTGCATGCTGTGCTTCCTGGCTATGTTACCCCTACTGCAGGCAGGGCACTGTGCTAGGTGCTGAGGATTCAAAGATCTGCAAGACGTAAGAACTACCACTTGGCAGGTAAGACAAAATCATCACAACTGATGATGAGCGAGGCAGATGGCTGCTACAGAAAGACACCCTTTTCCCTGGCTGTGGAAGCCAAGCTCAGCAGCATAAGTGCCAGCGGGGCTGCCCGGACTATGTCAGCGGCACCATTCCTCGGCCACTGCTCATCTTTGCTTCTCCTGAGCCCCTCTGAGAACAGATGGCATTGCTGAGGTCCCTCAGTGTTTCTCAGCACCTGCTGGCACCTCCATTGCAAACAAGACCGTCAAGAAAACCATCTTCCACAACTTTTGTAATCATCCAGGTCTTAACCCATAGAATGTGGCAAGACTGGTCAAAATGTCAAGGAATGGGACATTCTGGCAGGGGAACAAGCCATGCACACCCTCCCTCAGCAAGGGGCAGCTCTCCCCTCCCTGGAGAGGATGGTCACCTGACAACCACGCAGCCACAGCAGGGACACACAAAGCCGGGCATCCAGGCCCTCCTCCACCGTGGCGGCCAGGGGCACACAAAGCCGGGCATCCAGGCCCTCCTCCACCATGGCGGCCAGGGGCACACAAAGCCGGGCATCCAGGCCCTCCTCCACCGTGGCAGGCAGGGGCACACAAAGCCGGGCATCCAGGCCCTCCTCCACCGTGGCGGCCAGGGGCACACAAAGCCGGGCATCCAGGCCCTCCTCCACCGTGAAGGGCAGGGGCACACAAAGCCGGGCATCCAGGCCCTCCTCCACCGTGACGGGCAGGGGCACACAAAGCCGGGCATCCAGGCCCTCCTCCACCGTGGCGGCCAGGGGCACACAAAGCTGGGCATCCAGGCCCTCCTCCACCATGAAGGGCAGGGGCACACAAAGCCGGGCATCCAGGCCCTCCTCCACCGTGACGGGCAGGGGCACACAAAGCCGGGCATCCAGGCCCTCCTCCACCGTGGCAGGCAGGGGCACACAAAGCTGGGCATCCAGGCCCTCCTCCACTGTGGCGGGCAGGGGCACACAAAGCCGGGCATCCAGGCCCTCCTCCACCGTGAAGGGCAGGGGCACACAAAGCCGGGCATCCAGGCCCTCCTCCACCGTGGCGGCCAGGGGCACACAAAGCCGGGCATCCAGGCCCTCCTCCACCGTGGCGGCCAGGGGCACACAAAGCCGGGCATCCAGGCCCTCCTCCACCGTGGCGGGCAGGGACACAGATGTCATGGCCAGATTGCCTCCACATTGGAAAACAGGAGGTGCTTTCTCTCCACCCCGCTACAGCAACCTGGATACCCACCACCAGCCTTCCCACGGCAGCCTGGAAATCAGCAATGTGCCAATCTTAAAGCATCCCATTAGCTTTTACGCCACCTGTTCCCTTCTCACTAATCTCACCGACCCCAGGCCGGCAGCGAATATTCAGTTCAACTCAAACATTTCTTACCTCTCCATGCAAGACAGGTGCCCTCTGGAGCCAGAGCTCTGAGGCCACCTCCAGGGAGTGACTGCGGTGGGTAAGAGGCCCACAGTTTAACTTCCTAGACCAACGACAGTGGCTAGAAAGTCCAGCTGTTCCCATGAATTGGACCTGTGGCAGGTGCAGGGAAGTGCCGCAGGCGGGAGCAGAGCCTCTCACACTGGGCTCCTCCCTTAGTTCTTTCCTCTTCCACAGACTCCCTCATCCCCCACCTCTGGGAGGCCTGAGGTAGGCAGGGGCAGAGACAATCCTTGTAACCTTCTCCAGTCCTTCAACAGAGACTCCAGCCAGTTCCCAAACTCGGGATCTATAGAGGTGCAGCAAGCAGCAGCTGGAGCCTGAGGGGAGGGTGGAAGGTTGTGTTTACTGGAGGGAGGGAGAAGGGAGGACAAGTACATTCCAGCCTTCCTGAGACCCAGGAAGTTCTTGGCATCTTCTGCAAATGCCATTGGCACTGATTAGGCTAGATTTTCACCTTTACAACAACAGCTTTGTAGCTTAGACTCCAGACAAGTAGTGTAGAATAAAATTCCAATTAATTTTAAAAACTCCAACTGTGTTATTCTGACTCGGCCATGAAGTAAGTTTCCACTGAGGCAGTAAATTGTTGTCTCATCTACCTCTGCTGCTTCTGCTACTAGAACAGACACTCAAATCAGATCACAAGTCACAGCAGATGGACAGGGAGAAGGAGAGGCCATGCTTTAATTTTAACAAATGAAGTGATTGAAACACATCTTTACTTTTCAAAGGAAAAACGGTGGCAAATACTAATGGGACAAGTTCTTTATGCTGATCTATGTTTCCATTCCCAGAAAGAGGTGTTAAATGGTACATGATTAAATGGTTAAGCCTCTCCCCAGAGCTTTATTTTCTCCTGAGCAGGGAACAATTTGGATTGAGGAGAACATACTCAAAACAACCTTAGAGATTCAAAAAAAAAAAAAGTCCTTAGAAGAGAAACTAGATTCAAGAATTGGATGCCTTGCTACTACTTCTGCTAAATATTGACATAAAAGAAAGGAGAAACAGAATGTCTCACACCTAGTGGGCGGTCCATAATTATCTGCTGAGTGACTGACTGAATGATTTACTTTGAGTCCCAGTGGCTCTGAACCAGCAAGCTTACACAGATGCTATAAAGGCAAGCAGGGCTGAAGATTTATTGTTGCCCAGTTGCCCTCAATGACCATAAATCTTTGCCAGTTTCTAGGCTGTTCCAGGCAGTACAGCTAGAAGCTCAGAAGGCTTAACAACAGTGTATTGCAATGACTTCCTTTGGAAGGCCCCATTGATGCTCCTATTTATAGAAAGGGGTGAGAGGTCTAGCAGAACTACGGTTTTAGTCTCTCTGACACAAGAGAGGAGAATCCCAGTCCCCCACTCACTGAGACAGGTTCTTCAGCCCAGACAGCGACCAAGCTGCAGAGTGGCAGGTCTTCAGTCCTTGGACACAGCAGAAGATGGGCAAGGGGCATTCAGGCCAATCACTGCCCATGACCTGACACTGCCTTAGAACTGGGAGTTTCCTGTCCTCTGGCCTCCCATAGCTCTGTGGTCCTAGGCATATTAAAACCCATCAAGAATGGGCACAGTGTCTCAGTTTGGGAAGATGAGAAAGTTCGGGAGATGAATGGTGGGGATGGTTGCAAAAAAAAATAGTAAATGTACTTAATGTAGCTGACCTGTACACTTAAAAATGGCTAAAATGTTAAATTTTATATTATGTGTATTTTACAACAATAAAAAAACAAAACAAGGGGCTGAGCATGGTGGTTCATGCCTGTAATCCCAGCATTTTGGGAGGCCAAGGTGGGCAGATCACTTTCAGCTCAAGACCAGCCTGGGCAACATGGTGAAACCCCATCTGTATAAACATACAAAAATTAGCCAGGCATGGTGGTGGGTGCCTGTAGTTCCAGCTACTCAGGAGGCTGAGGTGGGAGGATAGCTTGAGCCCAGGAGGCAGAGGTTGCAGTGAGCCGAGATAGCACCACTGCTTTCTAGCCTGGGCAATAGCGACACTCTATCTCAAAAACAAAACATGTCAATCCAGATGTGTATCAGTTGTCTCCACTAGCAAACTAAGAGCTCCTTGAGGGCAGGAACTGCATTTCATTTATTTTTTTAGCCCCCATGTATAACATGGTATCCACACACACACATATACTGCAATTTGTTATTGAGTGAATAAACCGGAGCTCTCTGCCATGTAAAATGCTTAGGCTTAAAACTACCATAAAACTCATTTTCTGAAATGTTCAAGTTAAGAATAAGAGTAACCCACATAATTGCATGAGTAACCTCCTCTTGAAATTGAGACAGATTTGAAGATGGTCATACAGGTTATATTCAAAAGGCTATAACTAGTAACTGCTCTAGGTATGTAAGTAAAGTACAAAGCAAAAGCAGACACATATTCTTTTTATAACTTTTGCCTTTATCAATTTATTCCAGACAGAATGCCTCCTGGATCAACTGTCATATTTATGAACTGAGTCAATCTCACCTTTAAATCAGTGTCAATAATTGTATTCAACATGTGTAAGTACTCAAACAAGTAGACTTCCCCGGTACTCACTGAGATGCTAAAGAATAACAAACATCAACCCCCAAGCAGTGGTCAAACAAAACAGGGTCTTAAACTATGCAACAAATTATAAGAGCCTCTTTTACGTTTTATAGCTGAACAAGCAAATCATTTTATCAGATTCACCAAGGACAGAACTGTTTGTGCTAAAGGCGAGGTGAGTTAGGAGTAGTCAGAAGCCAAGGTGGTTTAATAAAATGTAAAATATTTTAAATAAAACACTATTTAATCATTTTTGCATCCTACTGGTAGATAATCAAAGAGCTACTCCTTTAATTAATGGAAAAGCATGATTTATAATTGGCATACAAATTGTAGTAGAACATTATTTGGTTCTCTTCACTAAATTACACATGCCACTTAAAATCCTGTTTACAGTATCATTTTGTACATACTCTCAAGAGACAAAACAAACAGGGGTTGCCAAAGAAAGATAAATCTTGGCTCAAGCTGTGTCCAAATCCTTATAAGTGTTTTGAATTTGTTAAGTAACCATTTCTTGGGATAAGTGGAAGGTAACAGAAATGGAAGAGGGATTTAGAGAAAAAAACAAAATAAGAAAACCATGCCCACTGTATTAGTCTGTTCTCACGCTGCTGGTAAAGACATACCCGAGACTGGGTATTCATAAAGAAAAAGAGGTTTAATGAACTCACAGTTCCACATGGCTGGGGAGGCCTCACAATCATGGCAGAAGGCGGAAGGCACTGCTTTCATGGCAGCAGCAAGAGAGAAATGAAAACCAAACAAAAGGAGTTTCCCTTTACAAAACCAGCAGATCTCGTGAGACATTCACTACCATAAGAACAGTATCAGGGAAACCGCCCCCCATGATTCAATGATCTCCCACAGGGTCCCTCCCACAACACGCAGGAATTATGGGAGCTACAATTCAGGATGAGATTTGGGTGGGGACACAGCCAAACCATGTCACCCACATTAGGCATTCAATAAATGCCTGCTGAAGAAGTGGATGGAAGCCAGGATAAGGAGGCTTAGGACAGGGGGCTCCAGAGCTACATCCTATGAATGGTAGAAGGAAATGGGGAATGAGCTTTTATCAAGAGCAGCTGTTCAAAATCAGAATGGGCTTCCTTGCAAGGACATTCCAGATCTGAGTGACCCAGCAGAGGCAGATGTCATCCCCTCCCTCCTCCAGATGTATACAGCTACCTCCCACCCCTCCCTCCTCCCCTTCTCCCAGCCCTGGCCCTCCATCGAGGACTTCAGCATTTACTCATTATCTGCAGGATGCAAGCCAAGTCCATCTTCTCATTTCCGATCTCTTTCCCGTCGTAGCTCTCTTCTTCTTCATCTTCCTTTCTCTTACTCACTCCTGGAAATTCTTTTGAAAATGCAGACTCTGATACAGACATCTACACACTCCAATTCTAATAAAGAAAATGTACTTTTTTTCTTGTTTTCCTGTCTTTCTGAGTAGTGTGGCATTTGGGGACCACTGACATAGGCAACTTTCCATCTAGTGTAGCAGTCTCTGAGATTTTCTCACATGTGAGACATCCTTGTCTCTTCCTCCTCTTTTTCCTCCTCTTTTTCTTCTTCCTGTGTCCTGGAGATGCTGATTAAACAAGCCTTGAGTGACTTTTTAAAGCTCCCTCGGTGATTTGGATAATCAGGAGATTTGGGAAGCACTGGTCTTGGTAACGTCTAAGCTTCCTTCTCTCTATGAATCAAAGCTTGGCCCATATCTGCCAGGAACAGCCTATACAAAAAATGATTTATACTCTGTACTTAAACAACAGAGTAAGAAAAAGATAACTGGGAAAAGAGAACTGATCACTCAGAATATTCCAGGGTCTATCTCCCTCCCACTAAAAGGTCAGCCAAATGTGTGACTGTGCCATGTCATCCTCTAGCACAGGGGTCCCAAGACCCAGGCCATGGACTAGTACCAGTCCCAAAAGATGAGAGGCCCTGAAAGATGAGACACTGTGTGGAAACAGAGAGGGCAAGAAGCCAGACCTGTAGGTGAAGGAACCATCGTGGAAAACCAGCCCAGTCCAGTCTTCGGATGATTCCAGACCCAGCCACCATCTGACTCCGGCTGTGTAAGAGAGCCCAAGAGGGAACCATCCAGCTGAGTCCTATCAACCCCCAGAACCATGAAATATAATAACACATATTGTGTTAAGCTACTGAGATTTGGGGGGTGTTTTGTGGCATGCAACAACAGATACCTGGAGCAGATAGGTAATTTGCCAGTCTGAATTTCCTTTAAAGCACAGTGGTACTGGTCCATGGCCTGTTTGGGACCAGGCCACACAGTAGGAGGTGAACATGGGCAAGAAAGCATTACCGCCTGAGCCCTGTCTCTTGTTGATCAGTGGGAGCACTAGATTCTCATAGGAGTGCAAACCCTATTGTGAACCACGCACGAAAGGGATCTGGGTTGCATGCTCCTCATGAGAATCTAATGCCTGATGATCTGAGATGGAACAGTTTCATCCCGAAACCATCTGCACCCAACCCCCAGTCTGTGAAAAAAATTGTCTCCCGTGAAACTAGCCCCTGATGCCAAAAAGGTTGGGGACCACTGCTCTAGCAGACTCAAGTACAACACAAATAATATGGGCCAGAATTTAGAGACAACAAAATAACCAGGCAGCCCAGGCGGCATCCAAATCAAGCCCACAGAATGAATGGGAAAAGTCAAAACGGACCAGCCTAAACCTGCAGCCAATCAAATCTCATGCATGGAATTTCATGCTGTGTGAGGACTCCGAGAAGAGGATTCAGTAGTATCCTTTAGGGAGACATTGAGAAACAAACAGAATCTGGAATGGTGCTCATTCCCAGACACTGAGTCAGCAAGCTCCAGCCTCTGTGCACACAGTAATCTGTACCTGGAACCCTCTTCTTTCCCTATCTACACCTCAAATCCCAGTTCAGAGACCACTCCATTGCCTGAAACCATTTCCTTCATGAATAGTCAGCAGGGTAAGGTCTCCCTCTTTTAAAGTCTCACCTTTGAATTTCATGTCAATAACCACATTCAATGTGCATAAGTACTCAAACACGCAGATTTCCCCTATACTCTCTGAGATGCTAAAGAATAGCAAACATCCACTACCAAGCAGTTAAATATACAGGTACTATATTGCCTCCAGCATAAAAGATGACTTGACACTATATTGCAGATGAGACCAGAATATTTCCCCAATCTTCCACAAGGAGAGCAGAGTGTTTTCCAGATTCAATCAAGGATCTATGGTGCTTAAATGAAGATTCTAAGAGCAGGTGTTATGGTCCTTGCCCTCTGTCACACTGCTGCGGATGCTCTGAGAGACATACACACATCTGATGTACTTGTGTCTCTCCCAATTTCGAGAACTGTTCTTTGCACACAGTCAGTAAAAAACATCTGGTGGATACAATCACTCCACAGATACTTATTGAATGTCTGCTATATGCCAGGCATTGTTCCAGATGCTGGGAATAGAGCAGGAAACAAAATTGACAGAATCTTTGCACTCCTAGCTTTTAGATGTGCAAAATAATGTTAGCAGGAGATAAGTGCTACAGGGAAAAGCAACGCAGGAAAAGGAGCCAGGAAGTATGGAGGCTGCTGCCATTTCAACAACAGTTGATCCTGGAAGGTTCACTGGGAGCCTGACGTATGATAAGGTCCTGAAGGTGAGGGAGGGAACCATGTAGAAGAACGTTCCAGACAGAGGGAACAGTAAGCTGCAGAGCCCAGAGGAGAAAACATGTGAGGACCAAGGAGGCCAATGTCGGGAGCAGAGAGAGTGAAGGGCAAAGAAGTAGGGGATCAGAGAGGTAACCGTGTGGGTAGGGTGGGGGAGTCAGATCACACAGGTGGTACAGACCAGTGTAAAGACATAGCCACTGTACACCATTTGACTTATATTAACGGGATCACTCTGGCATCCGGGTTGAGGATAGGGAGCAAGAGAGGAAGAAGGGAGGGCAGGTAGGGGCTGCAAAAGTAATACAAGCAAGAGAACTTAGTGGTATGGACCAAGGTAGAGAAGGACAGACTCTGGGTCTATTTTGAAGGTAGAGCCAATGGGATTTGCTGACAAATTGACTACAGAATGCAAAATACGCTGGGTGTGGTGGCTCACCGCAGTAATCCCAGCACTTTAAGAGGCCGAGGAGAGTGGATCACGAGCTCAAGAAATCAAGACCGTCGTGGCCAACATTGTGAAACACCGTCTCTACTAAAAATACAAAAATTAGCTGGGTGTGCTGGCATGCGCCTGTAGTCCCAGCTACTTGGGAGGCTGAGGCAGGAGAATCGCTTGAACCTGGGAGGCGGAGGTTACAGTGAGCTGAGATCATGCAACTGCACTTCAGCCTGGTGACAGAGAGACTCCATCTCAAAAAAAAAAAAAGGCAAAATACAGAGATCTAGGATGACTTTAAGGTTTCTGCCTTGAACAACTGTTAGGATAAAGTTGCCATTCCTAACATGCATAAAGTGGGGAGGAAGTGCCGTGGAGAAAAGTGGGGTTGAAGATCAGGGGCTGGGCTTTGGGCATACTAAGGCTGAGCTTCTTACTAAGTGTTCAGGTGGAGACATTGAAGAGGAAGTTGGAGATATAAGAATAAAGTTTCATAAACGCGTCCAGGCTAGAGATATACATTTGTGATTCACCAGTATATAGACAGCATTTTAAGCCATGAGACAGAACCTCAAAATATAGCATGCAGAAGGATAAGAAAGGTGACATGGTTTGCCCTGGGTCAGGCATCAAGGGAGAATTTGACCAAAATCATCCTTTTCTCACCTTTAACTTACAAGTTGGAATCAAGGGCAGGCTACGCACCTAAGAAAGCCTTGCTGAAGGGTGACCATCAGCTTTCACCCTCCTGTAGATGCCTGGAGGGGTTCTGTGTTGGGGGGTTGGGGGACAGATTTATGTGACCCATTTAAAAGAACAGAAAGGTGAGTAGAAGCTGCTGGATTCAGTTAGAACTACTCAGGGTCAAGATTCCAAACTGTGGCTGTTGGTGCCAAGGAATCCACAGTTTTATCCAGAGGTGTGCTTGATAATAAAGCATTCTGTATCAGTCTGAAGAAAGGTTTCGAAGGTTTCAAATGGGAGCAATCCTAGAATATAAAGTCAGAAATGTTCTCTACCGAAAGAAAAGCAAAAGCAATCAATATCAAAATGACGAGTTTAGCCATCAACAGAAAGCCTCCAACATAAAAGATGACTTGATACTATATTGAAGATGAGACTAGAGTATTTCTCAATCTTCCACAAAAAAAAAAAGCAGAATGTTTTCCAAATGCAATCAAGGATAGCCAGGTGTCTTCCTTATCCAATCAAGAGGCTAGACTCTCGCTCAAATCCAATAACAGTGGCCCTGAGAAATGGGACTAGAATGTAGAGCAAGTCATGAAGGAACACTGACATCTGCTCTATTGCATTATGATCCCTGTCTGGGGTGGCGCTGTGTCAACAGAAATAGATTAAGAAATGGGGTGTGAGGGGTGGAGAGTGCTATCAAATAGTTTAAATGCATCACCCTTCACCTGGTGCTTTCGAGGAGAAGGGAGTACACAGACCCTCACGGATTGATCTCAGTGCTGTCCAGAAAAAAGAACTTACAAGAAGGAGGAATTTAGTGAGTGAACAAAGGTTAATTACAACATCCTGTAAGGGCCAGGTGCGGTGGCTCACACCTGTAATCCCAGCACTTTGAGATGCTGAAGCAGGCAGATCACCTGAGGTCAGGAGTTTGAGACCAGCCTGACCAAAATGGCAAAATCCTGTCTCTACTAAAAATACAAAAATTAGCCGGGCATGGTGGCGCACACCTGTGATCCCAGCTACTCAGGAGGCTGAGGCAGGAGAACTGCTTGAACCTGGGAGGCAGAGGTTGCAGTGAGCCGAGATCATGCCATTGCACTCCAGCCTGGGTGACAGAGCAAGAATCTGTCTAAAAAATTAATAAATAAATAATAATTAAAAAATTAAAAATAAAAAAATAAAAAATCCTGTAAGAAAAAATGTCCCATAAGAAGGTAATTCCTAGCCAGGCGCAGTGGCTCACACCTATAATCTCAGCACTTTGGGAGGCCTAGGCGGGTGGATCATGAGGTCAGGAGATCAAGACCATCCTGGCTAACATGGTGAAACCCTGTCTCTACTAAAAACACAAAAAATTAGCCGGGCGTGGTGGTGGGCGCCTGTAGTCCCAGCTACTCAGGAGGCTGAGGCAGGAGAATGGCATGAACCCAGGAGGCAGAGCTTGCAGTGAGCCGAGATTACTTCACTGCACTCCAGCCTGGGCAATAGGGCGAGACTCCGTCTCAAAAAAAAAAAAAAAAAAAAAAGGTAATTCCTGTTCTTCTGTTCCCACACCGATCAATCTTCCGCAGGACCCGCCCATCAGGAAGGCATGCCCTGAGCACAGAAGGGTCTTTTTAAAATTCCAATTCACCTTCAATCTCTTCTGAACAAAATGTATGATTTTAGAATGTGTTGTATAAACATTTGTCTGATCATTTAATTAAGCTATTACCAAAAGAAGATTCATGAAAATACATTATTTCACCATCAAACCAGCAAATCTAGAAGAAGACTAATTAATCCAGAAGACTAATCTGTTCTAAATTAGAGATCCTTAATGTTTTAAGCACATAAATACAAGGTTAAATTTTGACAAAACAACAAATTAGAACAACCACCCAATAAAATAAAGAAACCCTGATAATAAACAGACCTTTCTCCAACAGTGACTAAAACTATGTTAGAATATAATATTCTACTTCAGTTTTTTTACATTGTTGAGTCTTCTGTGTGAGTGAAAAAATATTGAAAAGGATCAGATTAAATGTGATGTGGTTATTCGGTGTAACATATATCTTTGGGATTAAAACAAATATTGTGAAAACCAATCAGTTGTAGAAATACAAATCATGCCAAGAAGTAAAGCATGTAAAAAATAAAAAACAATGACTAAGTCAAGTACCATTTAACTGTGGTCAAGGAATGTAAATCTTGTCAAGATCCTGTAGTCAAAAAATATAAATCGTTCTATCATAAAGACAGTGCACATGTATGTTCACTGCAGCACTATTCACATTAGCAAAGACATGGAATCAACTTAAATGCCCATCAATGATAGACTAGATAAAGAAAAGTTGGTACATATACACCATAGAATACTACGCAGCCATAAAAAGAAAGAGATCATGTCCTCTGCAGAAACATGGATGGAGTTGGAGGCCATTAACCTTAGCAAACTAATGCAGGAACAGAAAACCAAATACCACACATTCCCAAAAGTAGAAGCTAAAAGATGAGAACACATGGACACACAGAGGAGAACAACACACACTAGGGCCTTAAGGGTAGAGGGTGGGAGGAGGGAGAGGATCAGGAAAAAGTAACTAATGGGTGCTCATCTTAATACCTGGGTGACAAAATAATCTGTACAACAAACTCCCATAACAAAAATTTACATATATAACAAAACTTCACTTATACCCCGAACTTAAAAGTTGAAGTTAAAAGCATGCAAACACACACACACACACACACACACACACACACACACACACACACAGAGAAAGAGAAAGGCCAAGGTGGGCAGATCACCTGAGGTCAGGAGTTCAAGACCAGCCTGGCCAACATGGTGAATGAAATCTTGTCTCTACTAAAAATACAAAAATTTGCTGGGCATGGTGGCAGGTGCCTATAATCCCAGCTACCCAGGAGGCTGACGCAGGAGAATCTCTTGAACCCAGGAGGCGAAGGTTGCAGTGAGCCAAGATTGCACCATTGCACTCCAGCCTGGGCGACAAGAGTGAAACTCCGTCTCAAAAAAAAAAAAGACTAAGTCAAGCATAACTTAAAAGAAAAGTCAAACCTGACCACCCCACACCACTGCTTCCATGGCTCCTCACTCAGCTGAAAATTCTGACTCCCTGGCTTGGCCCACAAGGTCCTCCTGGTTGGACCCCAGCAACTTCTCCAGCTTTGCCTCATTCTTAGCAGCCACCCCCAGCTGGTATCCATTTCCTGAACTTTCTCCCCCTTTCTTCCCCAGGCTCTCAGTGCTCAGTCTTTGAGTCAGCCACCTACTGGTCCAGGCCGTCCCCAGCTTCAGGTCATCCCCCGCCTCAGGCCCTGACCCCACCTTGGCCTCTAGCAAACACTGTTGGTTGGCTTCTCCCTCTCTGAGCCGCCATGATGTTTATCAACCACTCTGGAGCCCCGGAAGCCCAGGTCCTGACACAGTGTGCAGAGGCGCTGCTCCCCAAAGCTTTTCCAGCTTCAGATTGTCAAAATCAAGTTGACAGGATGTGGAGCTCACCTATGCAATGACAAGCCTATGGATCAGTCAGTATTGAAGGTCACATAAAGTCCAAACACACAGCAGGGCTCAGCAAAAGCCCAGTGGAATAACTGAGTTTGCTGAGGGGACTGTCCGGTAACACACTCCCCTCTGAGGCCCAGCTCTAAATTACGCAGGGCATTTGCTCTTCAGACCAACAGTGGAATTATATCCTTCAAAGTGGATGGGAAAATTGCTCCTGAGGGCTTTTGAAGACCATACCTAGAGGAACCGCCTGTTTGCTAAGCTTCCTGGAATTAATGTCTTTTCTCCCTGATTAAATAAAACAATTAATTATCGGAACTGAGGGTGGAGATGTGGCAAGGGGCATTCCTTTTTAGAAGCCCTGAGAACAGTGGGGCCCCACTCCATTTATCGCAAACCCATCCTTGGTCACGGGAGCATCAAAGACCAGGCACGAATATTCTGGTGGCCTCCTTCCAGCGACAGGGTAGGGCTGGGCTTTGCTGCCCCTCTGAAGTTGGGTGTGACTAAGGGACTTGCTTTGCCCAGTGAACTCTGATGTGAAGTGATGTGTGCACTTCCTGGTAGAGGCTTTAGGAGCCGATAGGTGCCACGCCTGACCCTTGCCTGCCTTGCTAGTCATGGCCACATGTGTCTACACAGAGCCTCAGCAGCCTAGGTCCCTGAGTGATGGTGAGGGTAGAACCCCTACATCAGCCAATATAAGCTACACAGCACGAGTGAGAATATGACTTGCTCGGTTTAAGCCACTGAAAGTTTGGGTCACTCCTGAGTGTAACATAGCCTCGCCTATCCTCACCGACACACAGAGCTGATTTGTCACTGCTTGCTGGAATAATAAATGATCATCAGCTTCCTAATACAGACAGGGAGGCCGCAGAGCTATTATGCAGAGGTAGCCTTCACTCTGTGGAGCCCTGAGCCCTGCACCCAGCAGCCAAGGGTAGGCAGAAACACAGCATCTTCCAATCACACACATCATCTGTCAGACTCTATGCTCAGTGCTAGGAATATGGTAGTGGACTGTTGCTGGAAATTCCTGTGGTTAATGCAAGGATGGTCCCCATGGCAAGACGAGCAGTCAGGAAATCGATGAGGTAGCTGGGAAGGGCAAAGAGTAAAGGGCAGATTGCAGGAGCCTTGCAGGTCTGTGTGACTTTCATGAGACATGGTCGGTGTCAGGCTGACTACTGCTAGGCACTTCTCTAAGGGTTTCACCTGCATTTAACCCCTTCATCCTCACAACTACCCTGTAAGAGAGGCAATACCATTGTTGACATGTTATAGATGAGGAAATCGATAAAGAAAGAAGTTGAGTAAATAATGGACCCGTTGCAACCCAGTCAAACTGAAAAGCAGGAAGTGAGAATGCTACTACATCAGAAATAGAGGATAGTTAATAACAGCCGGAAATTAAAAGGGGGAAAGACCTGTAACTAAATGTGATAGCCAGGAGCCAACAACAGATGGTATGTTTAGGTGAGAAGGTCCTGGCTGCCCAACCATGGGCATGAGGGAGTGAAGGGAGAATTAGTCAATCCCACTGCCAACAGATGAATAAAGCCATAACTTCATGATCAAGCATATCTCAGCCAGGCTATACGGCTACCCATGTGTGTCCAGCTTTGGTTTGTTCAAATAGATAATTTCATTCATTCACCAACTCATTCACAAATCTTTCTGGGCACCAGCCCTGTGTAAGGCACTGTGTCTTACACTCCAGGACACAACAGTAAACAAAATCATGCGGTGGCTGCTCTCAAGGAGGCTTTCAATCAAGGGGAGAAACTAGACAGACTGGGAGTAAGGACCCACTGAGGGCAAAAGAGAGGCCACTTGTCCGCATTTTTGGCAGAGAGAAGTCCAAAATATGCTTAAAAAGTGCTGTCTCCAAGATATAGGTATAGTAACGACAAAACACAACATGTGGCCATGAAGAGGATGGGGTGGGGGAGGGGACAAAAGGGATATGTTCTGAGAAATGCATCCATAGGTGATTCTGTCATTGTGCAAACATCACAGAGTGAACTTACACAATCTAGATGGTACAACCTACTCCATGCCTAGGCTGTAGGGTATGGCCTATTGCTCCTAGTCCACACACCTGTGCAGCATATGACTGTCGTGCCAGATACTATCTACCAGGAGGTGGCTGGATATCCCCTTCCAAAGGAAGTTAGGCTCGCCTAGGAGCAAGAGGAGGTGGTATGATGGAGACGGCCCCTCCATGCTCCATTTGTGCCTTAAAAGCACAAAGACATGATTGGTCACAGGCTGAGTCCCTCCTATGCTCTCATCACATCCTACCTGGGATACTCGTTCTCCACGCGCACTTGGATGTGTGACTACACCTGCAAATTAGTTGCTAAGGAACCCACATATTAACTTCTGAATCTATGACAGAGAATAAAATAACATTCAACTTGCCTGATTAGCTCACGGGGTTGTCACAACTAATCCTTCTTCAAAAACCAAAAGAATCACTCACCTACCATCAATAGGAACTCCTTAAAACTTGGGAAATATGTGAACTGTCGGAAAGTAAGCGTTACACCATAGCAAGTCTCTGCTGTTTCTCTCAGATGTTTAAAATAAACATGCTTATAAATATACATCAACATGAGATTCTATATAAACCACTGAAACTTTTGTTTCACTTGCTCATCTTAAGAAATGTCCCAGTTTGGGCCGGGCACGGTGGCTCACGCCTGTAATCCCAGCATTTTGGGAGGCTGGGTGGATCACGAGGTCAGGAGTTCAAGACCAGCCTGGCCAAGGTGGTGAAACCCCATCTCTACTAAAAATACAAAAAACTAGCCAGGTGCAGTGGCAGGCGCCTGTAATCCCAGCTACTTGGGAGGCTGAGGCAGGAGAATCGCTTAAACTCGGACAGTGGAGGTTGCAGTGAGCCGAGATCGCACCTTTGCACTCCAGCCTGGGTGACAGAGTGAGACTGCGTCTCAAAAAAAAAAAGAAATGTCCCAGTTTGGTGACTTGGTAGAACCCGCAGTCAGATGTTAACCAGGTTCATAATAACTTTCTCTGTACTACGACATTTGGAAGCATTTTTCTGAACACTGAATTTCCCTGAAGTCCTAACACAAAATATGTTTATTTTTTATTCTACTTCCTTTTTGTACAGGTGGAGCAATAAAGTTGAATTTACATACCCGTTTTGACCAACTCATTTCCTCTTTATAATTTCAGGGATGATTGTACTAAAGAAAATTCAAGTAAACTTTATGACTAACATCAGCCAGAATTGCTTGCTAACAGTCCGAGATAACTCACTAAAAAAAAAAAAATCCCCTTCAAATATGAAAAGTCTAATTTGCCATAGCAATCATGAAAGATAGAATTAAAAAAACAACAGAATATTTGTACTATTTGTGCCAAGTGGATATTTATGGATTTCCAGCATAATAATATTTCCACCAACAGTGGACCACATATACAGCAGTGGTCCCATAAGATTAAAATACCATATTTTTACTGCACTTTTTCTGTGTGTAGATGTGTTTAGATATACAATTGCTTCTATTGTGTTACAACTGCCTACAGTATTCAGGATGGTCACATGCACAGGTTTGTAGCCTAGGAGTAATAGGCTGTGCCATAGAACCTAGGTGTGTCGTAGGCTGTACCATCTAGGCGTGTGTAGTTCACTCTATGATGTTCACACATCAACAAAGTCACCTAAGGATGCATTTCTCAGAACATATCCCCATCACTAAGCAAAGCATGGCTGGCTATTGTACCTACTTGGTAACAGCCACTATACTGTGCACCTCACATGTATTATCTCATTTAATCTTCACAATAACGTTATAAGGTAGGTCCATGTCTTTATTATCCCCATTTTATAGTTAAGCAAATAGAGAGTGCTACTATGGACTGAGTGTTTGTGTCCCCCAAAATTCACATAGTGAAGCCCTAACCCCCATAGTGATGACATTAGGACGTGAGACCTTTGGGAGGTTATTAGGTCATGAGAGTGGAGGCCTCATGAATGGATGATCTCTATCTTTCCATGTGAGGATACAGCAAGATGACAGCCATCTGCAAACCAGAAAGTAGGCCCTCACCAAATACCCAATCTACTGGCATCCTAACCTTGGACTTCCCAGCCTCCAGAACTGTGAGAAACACATCTATATTGTTCAAGCTACCCAGGCTATGGTATTTTGTTATAGCAGCCTGAGGCAATTAAAACAGAGAGGTTGAATAATTTGTCTCACGGTACACAGCTTGGAAATAGGGAGGCCAGATTCAAAGCCGGCAGGTCTGGATACAGAGTGCATGCCCATGACCACTACACAGACTAAAGCTGTTCTGCTGACCATAACATGAAAATTATAAATGCATACCAATTTCATGAAAATGGCTGAATTTAGTCAAATGACAAGATTAAGTTTTATGGCTTTTAAATATCCTTTACACACAAGTTAGTTAGCTATATAGTCAATTTGAAATTTGGCATATCCAAAAAAAACTAATTCTTATTCCACCACTGAATCCTATTTCCCACTTCAACTAGCAGCTGCTACGGACGAAGAAGAAGGGGATAAACATACTGCAAATCATTTACTGCAGTAAGTAATTCTATTTCAAGGCAAATTTGAGAAGCAATGAAAAAGAAAACCTGTCGTAGATCAAAATCATAAATAAATCAAGTCACATTTAATGAAAGATCTTAACACATATACACAAAAAGTATGCTATGTTTGTCAAAAAGATGGCTCACACACACTCAAAGCAAACCTAACAGCTTAGCTCTGCAGCAAGTACAATTAAGGGGAAGGACAAAGGCATCTTACTATGTTTAGAAACAAGAAGGCTAAGCGCAGAGCTGACATTTTCCCTAATTAAGATATCAGCAAAAAATTTTTTTAAAAAAACATTATGTGCAAGGAGCCAATTTGAGAAGTGGATTACTTGGGGAACAAGAAATAAAGTAAGCGAAGAGACAGGGCAGCAGAAAAGAACATTGATAGCTAATAATTAAATATTCGAGAACTTTTTTTAATGTTCTACCAGATCATTAGAATTTCTCCTCTAAGGACAACCTGAATCCCAGAGCAGAAATGCCCACCACTGTCCACCAGCTTCCTGAAAAACACCCTTGAATAATAATAACCTCTACAGAAAGATTAGCTGGGTGTGGTGGTGTGTGCCTGTAATTCCAGCTACTCGGGAGGCTGAGGCAAGAGAGTCTTAAACCCGAGAGGTGGAGGTTGCAGTGAGATGAGATCGCGCCACTGCACTCCAGCCTGGTGACATAGTGAGACTCCAGGCCAGCTAATCCTTACCAAGAACACCTCATAGAATGCCAGCCTAACCTGAAGCTCCCAGCCACTATGGATAGACAGACTAAAGCGGGGATAAATACCACACTTCCAAAGGCAGCTCCACTAAATTTCACATTTTAAAAAAGACATCAGTAACCACTCAATTTAAATCTGACCTGAGGGAGGAGCTGTAGTTTCTCTACCTTTCTCTCATCCAGTTAAGCCTACACTTTGACATTGGGTCCTTATTTTGGATGCACTGTAAGAAGAATGTGGACACTAATTTTTCCAGCAACTATGCAGATTTGTACCAGATTGTCTCTTATTTTGTCTAGAGCCCCTGTCAGACCTGCTGATGTAGTCCAGGGTCATCATTCAGCAAGAAAAATCATCTCTCCAAACAACTCAGCTCCAGGCTCCCTTCAAAGTCACACAATCTGAGGCTTTCACCCTTCACTCCGCCCCCACCCCAGCCATGCTCTTAGGGAGCTTCACAGACTGCCTCTCCTGTGTCACCCACTAAAGTGACCACAGGAAGGACCTCAAGACACATGCCTAAAACAACTCTTCCAAGAACAGCTATGACAACACTGACATCAGAGAAAACAACAGGAGGCAAACTGAGGAGCTCATGAGATGTACCCACATGTGCAGAGTTCCTTATATAATGCTGGATGAAACATGGAAGCATTAAATCTTACAGTGCTTAGATTTCATTAAACTACTTTCCCCAAGCCCTGCCACGTATAGCTCTCACAGCCACTCTTTCATGCAGATGCAACTAATATCCCCATCTTACAGATGAAGTAGCTGAGACTCGGGGTTATTTGCCCACAGTCACACAGCTAGAGCTGAGGCCAACACTTGTACCAATCCATACTATACTGTCTCAAACATAATAATAGCTAACATCCACTGAGTGCACCCTATCTACCAGACACTATGCTAATGCTTGACTGCATGAATCATCTCAGTTAATTCTTTCTTGTTTGTTTGTTTTTTGAAATGGAGTCTCACTCTGTCACCCAGGCTGGGGTGCAGTGGCACAATCTCGGCTCACTGCAACCTTCAGATCCCAGGTTCAAGTGATTCTCACGCCTCAGCTTCCTGAGTAGCTGGGATTACAGGCACATGCCACCACTCCCGGCTAATTTTTGTGGTTTTGGTAGAGACAGGGTCTTGTCATGTTGGCCAGGCTGGTCTCAAACTCCTGACCTCAGGTGATCTATCCCCCTCGGCCTCCCAAACAGCTGGAATTATAGGCCGGAGCCACCGTGCCTGGCCCATCTCAGTTAATTCTTACAACATCCCTTTTGTTATCTGTTTCCCCAAAACACACCTTACAAATGAGAAAAACCAAAAAACAGAGTCTAAGTAACTTGCCTAAGATCACACAGTCAGTAATGTGGCAGAGTTGGGACTCAAACTCCTGTCTTTCTCACTCATTCTATGCATGGATATAATTGCTCAGTTTTGTCACAGCTGTATTTGGAAAAAAAAGTTATTTATGTCACCTGTGTAAGAGAGCCTTCATGGATATTATCCCCTTTTTTTTTTTAACAGCCCATGAACCAATGGCAGAGATTAAACATGAGAAAGATGTTTGGGGATTCAGATTCTAATGAAGGGCAGGTCTGCAGAGTTCGTTTCCATTTAAAAACATAGGCCAACGTGGAAAAATCGAGACACTTATCTGGACTCTCTACACCTGGGCTGTCTGTTACCCTCGCTATATAGATAAAGTCTTCATGGCCGACCCTCCCTCCCTCCCTCCCTCCTTTCTTTCTCTCTCTCTCTCTTTCTCTCTTTCTTTCTGTTGGTGTCTCACTCTGCTGCCCAGGCTGGAGTGCAGTGGTGCAATTATAGCTCATCGCAGCCTTGAACCCTTGTATTCCAGCAAACCTCCTGCCTCAGCCTCCTGAGTAGCTAGCACCACCACACCTGGCAAATTTTTATTTTGTATAGAGATAGGGTCTTGCTATGTTGTCCCAGCTGGTACTGAACTCCTGGGCTCAAGCAGCGCCCCTAGCTTGGCCTCCCAAAGTGCTGGGACTACAGGTATGAGCCACCATGCTTGGCGACCACAGTCTCCTTCCTCCCTGGGTCTCCCCAGTGCCTTCCCAGGTTGGTTCCAGGCCTCCCTTCCTCCTAAAAGGAAAAGCATTATAAGGTGTTTTAGGAAGTAGAACAGGCTTCGAAAAACACTTCCATATTCGTAGTGACAGGGAGAGTATAGAAAGCAAAAAAATGCAGCCATCAAACTTTCCCTAGAGAGCTCCCTTCACCTCCAGCATCCATGTATTGAGCTGGTCATCCAAGAGCTACACAGATCCTGTTTATTTCCTCCTCTGCAGATGAAGAAATTTGTCCCCTGTGAGATCTGAAAATCTACACCTAGATGTTTCCCTATTTCAGACAAACCAAGTCCATCTCTTCACCTTAGATTGTCATTTTCATTCCAAGTAATGAAATAAACAACAGTATAAAGACCCTGGTTACTATTTCTGATGCAGTATTTTATGTCATCATGACAGTTGTAATGGCTGGGAGTAGTTTTATCTTTAATGATTCCAAAAAACAAAAGGAGAAATAAAATAGAGCTATGCTTAGGTTGGAGATAAACATCTCTTTGGTTGAGATACTTCACATAGGTCTATAGGTCTAGAAATCAATCGTATTGACTTTACCTGAACTGAAGAAATGAACTTCAAAGGCTGGCCCTGCATATTAGGAGAGGGACACAACCTCACCTGCTGTGACCGCCCTCCTCTCCAATCACACCCACCATCCCCTGACATGCTCCAGCTGGTCTCGCTCCTTGGTCGGCCCACAGAGCCAGCGTCCACTGTCCCCAGGGGCCTCTGTGACAGACTTCTCTGCCTGCATTCAGGGTTTCCTCCAGCCTCTTACACAGGCTAGGTTGTGGGAAAGACCCACTGGACCCCTAGGTCCAGACCTACTACCACTGTTCCCAGATGGGCCCAAGAAAGGTCACAGTAAACCCTGCTGAGGTGGCGCCAGCAACTGACGACAAGATACAGATGGAGTAGGAGGGCACACACAAGGGCAAGGCTCTGCACAAAAGGCCTCGCGGAGGCTGCATGGGGGGTGAGGGCCAGCCGCGGCTCCAGGAGACACACGCACAAGCCCTCTAGGAGACTGTAACTATGACACACAGCTGCCTGGGAACAGCACATTCTTGTGCGAGGTAAAACATTAACCAGTGAGCATCTGGACAATATTTATATCCCCGCTGGGGCTAACCACACAGTGATGAGGGAAAACACACATGCCACAGGGAAGCCCATCTTTCTTGCCTGACGACGGGGCCTCAGGAGATGAGTCTGTCCCGGCCTCTTGTTGGGACAGTCACTGGGGTTCTGCTGCAGTCCGGACTGGCTCAGAGAAAGCGGCCCAGGTCCCACTCCCTGCCTCCCCGACAGCTGTCCTGAGTTGAACCCCAGGCCTCACAGGGTGCTGAATCCAACTGGTCTCCGAGAAGGACAAAAGACTGTGGGACTTTGGGGACAACAATGAGGGAAAGAAGACTGACTCAGAGCTGCTCATGTATTTGCACCCACAGATATGTGTATGTTGAACCCTACCGGGGAGAGAGAGACAGAGAGGGACTGAGGGGGGAAAGGAACAGTAAGGCTATCTGTGACCACCGGATCTGCATGGAAGCTCCACAGGCCCCAAGGCCAGGCCTGAGAACGTGCTACACATGACCCTTCGCTTGCCTTCTCTGCTGTCAACAGACAGGTCCCAGCCTTTTGGTCACACCAGCAAGAATTTTCACTTCTTATCTACCAAGATAGTTTCCTTCCCAATATAAATCTGGCCCCAACACTCACTCCATTAAGTGAGGCCCATATATGGCTCTGAAACTATGACTTCATTTTTTCCCTCTCTTCTCCCCAGATCCTTTCACAGAAACAACAGGTAAAGACAGTCTACCTTAGTTTTTTTGGAGTTGTCAAGTGCACCCCTGTTTTCAAATGGCCACACGGTGCAGGGAAGATCTGTGCTGCTTCCACTGACAACAGAGACTGGCTGAATTGTGCCCAGAGAGCCGTTCACTGTCTACAACATCCACCACAGAGCTACACAGCAAGACATCTCTCAGGAACCAGGGCCAGGCTGAGCCGTGGATATTAGGATTTCTGGTATGGGGAAGGCAGCAAACAGGACGTGGAGTTAGGACACAGGCAGCCAGAAGGTAGGGAGAGACACACAGGGGGAGGCCGGATCACTGGAGGGTGGGACCGGCCCTAAATAACTAGCCCTTCCTCGTGATCTCTCCTCCCTCTTCCTTGAGTGGCCTCATCCGTATAAAACCCATCTCCTTGCCCACAGGGTCTCCCACACGATGAACAGGATTGTCCTGTTTGAAGCCACTCCTTCAGGCCCTCTGCAAACCCAGACACCTGCAGCCACGGCAGGACACTGCCCTTACCTGGGCCTCACTCATTATAACAGCTTAAAGGAAAAAAATCTCACTTCTGTGATCCAAAAGGGATTTGTTTGAATGTGGACTATTTGAGGATGATAATAAAACTCTTCTGGACCAGGGACGCCAATCCACAAATCCACCAAAATAGCAGTAGAAAGACACAGATCATGAATTAGACTAACAGCAGTTCCTTCAAATAAGCTAAGGAAGGTCTCACCTTTATTGAACCCTGAACTTATCTGGTATTTCAAGTAAGACAGCAACAAGATGTTCCTTCTCTGTCCTCTCTTTGACGCTGAGACATACAATGAAGGGGAAAGTTCAGCCTAATCCTAAAGGCATTGACTGGAAGCAGGAAACAAGACAAGAGGTAGTTGCCAAGGAAGCCAGACACAGATTGTACCACGGGCACCCCGCCTCCAACTCGATTGTTAGAAGCAATTCCCAGCTTGGTAACTCATGGAAGCCACGGGCACTCCCGTTGAGAAGATGGGAATCCTTCCAGGGCTGGCCTGCCCAGATAGCCAGTAGGGCTGGCTCCAAGCGCTGCCTAGGTTCTACTGCAATGCCCCACACTCCCTCACCCCGGGGTGCCCACTAGAGCCCTCCTGTTCACCCCAATTATAAGAACACTCTCTCTCCAACAGACAGGTAATTAATCAAGGGATAACCCCCAAGAAAGGGAAAATAACACAAGATCACATCAGCTCACTGTTCTAAGTATCCCCAGTGGAATTCTGAATTCCCCTTTAGTAGAGTCACTTATGACAGGTGTGGCCGGTTTAGAGATCCTGTTACCAGGGAGAGAAGTACAAGATATTCAGGGCCTGCTGAAGAAGACTGGCCAAGCAAACAGTGTTATAAAACACCACGGGTAGATTGCGCTTGTGGTTCAAACTGCATTTTCCCAAACAGGCCAGATTGGGATATGACATCTAGGTTTTATTTTAACTGGTTCTGCTGAGAAAACACCAGCCTCATACCTAGCACAGTCAAGAGCCATGGGTTATGTTATCCAATAACACTGGGTTAGATACTGTCAAATGATTAAGCCTTTGACTAGGGAAATCATACAAAGCAACAGTTCTGGTAATTACCCACCGTCTGTACCTGGGCACCACCAGGGAGATGTCAAAGTAACTTCCTTGCATTTGGAAATGCCCTCACCAGCCCCATGCTCAAGAGTTCACTTTTATTGTTGAAGTAATATTTTACAAAGGAAATTACTAACTAGTCATAAAGAGCAGAGAGTTAAATATTTATAAGGACTCACAATATTAACAGATTCACTTTCCCAAAAACATATTCAACATATCAGAGCTCTGCATCCTTAGTAAATGACCACTGTGATTTTACACAGAAAAAGAGGGAAGCACTGGGTCCATGTGTGACCTCTGCTAAGAGATCCCACTGAAGCAGATCCAAGAGACCCAGCTCAGAGTGGGGGCCCCTTCCAACTCCACCACCTTCTCCACGGCTCTCAGCAAGTTACTGGACTTCTTCCTGCCTGGTTCCATCGCTACAATGGGACCAGAAATAGCATCCACCTCACAGGTTTATTAAGAGGATGAAAGGAGTTAACATGGGCAAGCCTTAGAACAGCCCAGCACATAATAAGCACTATGTGAGCTACTACTGTTATTGTTGTTTCTGGTTTTATTATTTGGTCAACACGGATTAAATGTCATAGTGGTATCATAAACAATGTTCAAGCCAATTGATCATATGTTTCAAATATGAGAGCAAAAAAGAAACATCCTCTTCACTACTTTTTTTTTTTTTTTTGAGACAGAATCTCCCTCGGTCGCCCAGGCTGCAGTGCAGTGGCATGATCTCAGCTCACCGCAACCTCCGCCTCCCGGGTTCAAGCAATTCTCCTGTCTCAGCTTCCTGAGTAGCTGGGATTACAGGCGTGCGACACCATGACCAGCTAATTTTTTGTGTATTTTCAGTAGAGATGGCGTTTCACCGTATTGGCCAGGCTGGTCTCGAACTCCTGACCTTGTGATCCGTCCACCTCCACCTCCCAAAGTGCTGGGATTACAGGCGTGAGCCACTGCGCCCAGCTTTCACTACTTATTATTAAATGATATTCCAGGAAATTATATTTATTTAAAACACACCGTTGAACACTGAATATCTGCCAGGCCTTCCAGAGGACAGAATATATTATAAGCCAATGTTCCTACCCTCTAGGAGCTTACAGTCGAATTGAGAAGATAAAAATGCACACACGGCCAGGCGTGGTGGCTCACGCCTGTAATCCCAGCACTTTGGGAGGCCAAGGTGGGCGGATCACAAGGTCAGGAGATCGAGACCATCCTGGCTAACACGGTGAAACCCCATCTCTACTAAAAATACAGATTACCTGGGAGTGGTGGGGGGCACCGGTAGTCCCAGCTACTCAGGAGGCTGAGGCAGGAGAATGGTGTGAACCCAGGAGGCAGAGCTTGCAGTGAGCCGAGATCGCACCACTGCACTCCAGCCTGGGCGACAGAGGGAGACTCATAGCATTTCTTTGTAATTGATTTATAAATACCAAGAAGTATGGGTAAGTTAGTAAGTGTTCTCACAATTTAGAAAATGGTAAGTATGTGAGGTGATGAATATGCTAATTAGCTTGATTTAATCATTTCACAACGTATGCACCTATCAAAGCATCATGTCTGTACACTGCAAGTATATATAATTATTATTTTTCAATAATACCTTAACAAATCTCGGGGGTGGGGGGGAGGGAGAGGTGCCAAATAAGCAAATTGATTTCAGCCTAAAACAAAAGACCTCATGGAGACGGGGTTCAAGTTGGGCTTTGAAGGATGGGCAGGACTAAGACAGAGGAAGCTTTGAGGATGGGGGATCCTGGGAATGGCGTGAGCAGAACTCACGAGGCTATCCTGAAGTTGAGATGAGAGATTGGGGTGCTTAGGAGCCTCAGGTCTGCAGTCTTGGGCTCCCATGTCCTGGCTGAGTGACCATGGGCCAGTTCCATAAGCCTCTGCGGGCCTCCATTCCTAGCGCTGGCTGGCATCGGCATTATTCTGAAGACTGAACAAGATAAAGCACGTTAGGAAAACACAGTGAGAACCAGGCATCCTCAGGTATTAAACAGAGTTAAAGAGACTCATCTGTCTGCCAAGAGACCCACCTGTCTGCAGAAGAAGGCTGAAATTGGAAAGTAGTGCAAGACCAAGTTGGAAAGTTACAAAGGAGGGCTGTAGTGAGCTCAGACTTCATTCAGGGAGAGATCTGAGCCCCCTGAGAAGAGTCATTTTTACAGTGGCCTCTCCGAGCAGCATGTATACAGCAAGGTGGGAGAATCTGGGGAAGGGAGTCCAGGAGAGGGTGCCAAAGGCTCCACATGAGTGGAAAAGGCTGGGCCCGGGCACTCACCATAGGGATGGAAAAAAAAAAGGGTAAGGATAAGAGACCAGATTAGGTGGTGCCAAGTGTGGGAGAAAATGAGAGGAGCTGAAAACCAACTCCACTCATGCAATGTGGTTTCCTAGAAGACATGCTAGAAGAGACAGGGCATTCGTGGAAAAAATGGGGAGATCTCAATAAAGATTGTCATTAGCTACCTTGTACCATTGCTGATTTCTTAGTGTCGAGAAATGCACAGGAAAATGTCAACATTGGAGGAAGCTGGGTGAAGGGTACATGGGGAAAACTCTGTGCTTTCTTTGCAAATCTGTAAATTAAAATTATTTCAAAACACAAAAAAAACTCCAGGTCTATTTGGGTGGCTCATCACATCATCAATGAAGAGGGAGGCCAGGCAAGCAGCAGTTTGGAGGTGGATGGGGAGTTGACTGAGTGGCTTATAAGGCAGCATGGCTGATGGGAAGACCAAGGCCTTGCTCACACCTTGACTGTGAGAGCGACCTTGTAACCTACATCCAGCCATGTGAGGCCTCTGGATGCATCTGGCCTCCTGGGGAGGAGGAGTCATCTCCTGTTACTATCCTCATTCTTTGTCCCCAGTCGGTCTCCCCACATCAGTTACAGCACCCCTCAAACCCCCTGCTTCCAGTTTCAGCAACTCTGCCCACCAGGAGAAGTGTCAGATGGCACTTCCAAAGAACTTCATTTTCAGGCCAAGAAGCTTCTATTCTGAGGCCCACAATAAACCAAGGCTTCATAAGAAAAGAAAGAATATGCCTAACATCAGCTCTCAATAGCTAAATGATGAATTGAGTAAGTCACACACCCAGTGATGCTCAGAGCTGGGGATCTGCACTCAGCTGTACCTCGCTCTCTATCTCTACCCGCCTCCCCACCTGCACCACAGGGCCTTGCACAGTAGGCCAGGAATGGTCTGGTGCATTAACACACACACACAAAAACACAGCTTTACAAAAGAGCTTCACCTTGTCATAAAAGCACCAATGCTGGGGGTTACAGAGATCTTCTAAAAAGCTGTCTAGTCTCCCTGGCCTAGGGAAGGAATCTAATATTTCCCATCTAGAGTGACTTTAACCATTAGTTCTGAATGTCAATGCCATATAATGAATAGAGAGATTATCTATAACCCGTCTAATGATGAATTACCCATCTGCAAAGGGTTCCCAGCTATAACCACTTTATAGATAGGTGATGAATACATAACATAAATTCTTCAGCAAAGAAAGGGAGAGACTCTGGGCCGGGTGCAGTGGCTCACACCTGTAATCCCAGCACTTTGGGAGGCCAAGGCGGGCGGATCACTTGAGGTCAGGAGTTTGAGAACAGCCTGGCCAATGTGGCAAACCCCGTCTCTACTAAAAATACAAAAAAAAAGAGCAGGGCATGGTGGCGGGAACCTGTAATCCCAGCTACTCAGGAGGCTGAGGCAGGAGAACCATTTGAACCCGGGAGGCAGAGGTTGCGGTGAGCCAAGACCGCACCACTGCACTCCAGCCTGGGTGAGAGCAAGACTCCGTCTCAAAAAAAAGAAAAAAGAAAAAAAGAAATGGAGAAATTCTGAATGCTGATAAACATTTGTTGATTTCACTTAATGACATGGTTCTGTGATCTTTAAATTCATCCCTACTTAAATAAAATATGTCTTGTGCTAAATTATGAAATCAGAAATCAGGCTGTTTGCATGAGAATAAAATTAGAGAAGAACAAGAGAAAGAGACGAAATTCCAGTCCCAGTTTGCAGCCTGAAGAAAATCACTTAACTTTCAAATGTGTGCGTCAATCACAGATTCTGTGTGGAGACGTGAGAAATCTGAGCAGCAGTGGCCCTGAAAGATCCTTTTACCATGCTATAGATGGAATCAGTGTGTCAGGCAGAAAGGTCAGGACAGAAGATCTCTCGGGTCTCTTTTAAATGTGAGCTTCTGGGATTCTCCTTATAAAAGAGTTAGATTGTTGTTATGCTCAAACAAAATTACAGAGAATCCCTCAACTATAAGATATTAGGTATGTACAATGGTGTGCTGAATGGAGCTGGCTTGTACCAGCTCACTAGAGACCACTGTTAAATTTTCAGGAATTTTATAAGCCAGCTGTCAAACACAATAACGAGAGAATGTTCAGGTCAGTGGAACTCCTCTGTAAACTACCATGGTGGGTACATGTCATTAAACATTTGTCCAAACCCATGGAATGTACAGCACCTTGAGTGGACCCTCATGTAAACTATGCACTTTGGGTGATAATGGTGTGTCAACGTAGGTTCATCGATTGTGACCAATGTACCGCTCCAATGGAGGGTCACGCCGGGGGAGTTGGTGGGGAGGCTGTGTTGGGGGACTGGGCAGAGAGTACATAGGAAAGGTACCTTCCTCTCAATTTTACTGTGAATCTAAAACTGCTCTAAAAAACAGATTTAAAATTTTTTAAATGTATTTTGTAAAAAAATGTTAAATAAAAGTTAATTTTATAGTCATAAAAAATAATAAGACCATATCACTTCCCTGCATAAAAGCTATCATACTCAGGAACAAAATTCAAATTCCTTACCATTAAAAAAAAAAAAAAAAGAGTCGTACTGTAACCTACAAGGCTCTGTTTCTTCTAACCTCATCACGTATCACTCTTCTCTCTCATTTCCCTAGAATGTAAAACCCACAAGGAAGGGAAGTGATTTTTGTCTCTTTGGTCTACTTCGATATCACGGGTGCTTAAAAGGTAACTAGCAGCCGGGCGCAGTGGCTCACGCCTGTAATTCCAGCACTTTGGGAGGCCGAGGCGGGCGGATCACGAGGTCAGGAGATCAAGACCATCCTGGCTAACACATTGAAACCCCATCTCTACTAAAAATACAAAAAAATTAGCCAGGCATGGTGGCAGTCGCCTGTAGTCCAGCTACTCAGGAGCCTGAGGCAGAAGAATGGCGTGAACCTGGGAGGCAGAGCTTGCAGTGAGCCAAGATCGCGCCACTGCACTCCAGCCTGGGAGACAGAGTGAGACTCCATCTCAAAAAAAGAAAAAAAAAAAAAAAGTAACTAGCACATGACAAAAGTGTAATGAGTATGTGTTGAATTCAGTTCTCATCACCCATATTTTCTTATTCTTTCTTGTGTGGCAGATTGTATTTTCCAAAACTGGCTTCAACAATATTTCCCATTCCACTTCCCTTCCTCACAAGGTGATCTCACTTGACTTTCCTCCCATCAGAAGGTAAAATCTATGTTCCTTTTCCTTGAAGCCTTGTTAGAACTGTGATTAGAACAGAAGCAATACTATGTGACCTCCAAGGCAAAGTCATTAAAAGCAATACAACTTCTTCCTGATCGTATTGAGATGTTTACTCCAGAGCCCAGTCCCCATACAGCAAGGAAACCGAAATAGCACATGGAAAAGCCTGTATGCTGAAGAGCTGACACAATGGCCCATGGCCCCAACAGTTTGCAGAGTAAGTCATGTTGAAAATACATACTCAGGCCCTAAGTTTGCCACATCAATTAATTCCCCATGAGGCAGAGATGAGTCACCCCCAACAAATGATGCACAAATCAGATTTGCAAGCAAAATAAATGATAGTCATTTCTTAAGCCACTAAGATGTGGGGGAGTTTGTTGCATGGTATTGGTAATTAGTAAACCTTGGTTCATTCTACTTTCAGCTTCTTCCCGCTTCGGCCTTTTCATGTTCGATTTCATCAGCCTAGAATTTTCTTCATTCACAATTCACTTGTCCTGTGCCTTCACCTTATGCAGGTCTCTGCTTTTGACACCTTCTCTTTTACTCAACCATTGGGTTTAGCAGCATCTAACAACAACGACAACCTTTTAACAGCAGTTTGGAGACTAAATATGATTTTTTTTCTGCCATATACAGAGAAGTCCAACATAGTTGGATATTGGCATTTGTTCAACAGTTCAAAGACGTCATATGTAAGTTCTTATTTTATTGTTTCTATTTTTAATTTTTTTTCCTCTTCTACTTACATTTCAGGAAGTAAGGAAAAAGACAAGTTTCCCATGACAACAGAATCAGTTACCATTAAATTATTATTCAAAAACTCCATGCAGTGAATTCATTTCACTGGTCAAAATTTGTCATAGGATCACCTCTAACTATAATGGAAGGTTAGATATTTTTAAGGAGTGTAAAATATCTTATTGATAATTTTATATTGAGGCTGGGCACGGTGGCTCACGCCTGTAATCCCAGCACTTTGGGAGGCCACGATGGGTGGATCGCCTGAGCTCAGGAGTTCGAGACCACCCTGGGCAACATGGTGAAACCCCATTTCTACTAAAGTACAAAAAATTAGCTGGGTGTGGTGGCGCGTGCCGATAGTCCCAGCTACTTGGGAGGCTGAGGCAGGACAATGACTTGAGCCTGGGAGGCAGATGTTGCAGTGAGCCAAGATCGCACCACTGCACTCCAGCTTGGGCTACAGAGTGAGAATCTGTCTCAAATAATAATAATAATTTTCTATCGATATGTTAAAATGATAATATTTTTGATACATTGAGTTAAATGTTACTAAATTTTTAAATTAAATTATATAATTGTATAAGAAGAGTAATTATATAATAAAGTTGTAAATACTCAAAACATGACTTTCTGATTATTTGGTGTTATCTGCCTATTCTTACGCTCTTAAGGTTACTTCCATCTCCTGCATCTGTATGGAGGAAGTACTTGTCCCTGCTCCTCCCCAGGGACTTCACAATGGTCACCTGAAATCAACCATGGCGAGGACTTACACTAAGGAAACTGGGCTGCTGTGAATCAAGGGTTTTTTTGTTTTGTTTTGTTTTGTTTTGTTTTGTTGAGACGGGAGTCTCGCTCTTTCGCCCAGGCTGGAGTGTAGTGGCGCTATCTCGGCTCACTGCAAGCTCCGCCTCCCGGGTTCACGCCATTCTCCTGCCTCAGCCTCCCAAGTAGCTGGGACTACAGGCGCCCGCCACTACGCCCAGGTAATCTGTATTTTTAGTAGAGACGGGGTTTCACCATGTTAGCCAGGATGGTCTCGATCTCCTGAGCTCGTGATCTGCCCGCCTCGGCCTCCCAAAGTGCTGGGATTACAGGCGTGAGCCACCGCGCCCGGCCGAATCAAGGGATTTTTTTCTCCCATGAGAGCCAGTTGTTAAACTTTCACCAGCAACTCACTGCATATATGTGAACCTCAAAGACAAAAAAAAAAAAAAAAAAAAGGGACGCTGTATTGTGTTAGGGAGAAGGAGTGGGGGAGGGAAGTAAAAGGGGAAGTGAAAACGGAAAGGGAGAGAGCAAGGTGGGAGGGGAGTGGGGGAGAGGAGAGTCGGGAGGGGAGGGGCCGCAGAAAGGGTGGGAGGAAAGCAAGGGGGAGAGGAAGAGGGGAGGAGAGAAGGAGAGAAAGAGGGGAGGAGAGAAGGGGAGAACGGAGACATGGAGAGAAAGGGGGAGTTCTTTTATGTGTTTAGTATCCCAAGGAAAACAAGGGTTCTATATATGTAAATTATTTCAGATAACTAGTATTCAACTCTTTTTCTTCAAATCTCTCTAAGGGATTCCTCGTGTGCCTGCCTTTGGGGTCTGAATGGCTCAGGTCACTCCTGTGGCCAGGCGTCCTGCCACACTGCCTCTCGGGACACGCTCCAGGCTGCAACAGGCTCAGAGCTCTCTGCCTTATACAGTATATAAGACAGCTCTGGTCTTCCGAGCTTTTTATAGATGCTCTGTCTCCTCCCTTACTGTCAGGCTGTCAGCTGTCACTTCTAGATGTTCTCCCAGAACGTATACCTAGCAGCCTAGTTTGTTGCTTCTAAATCTAGTGAACTAAAAAAGCAGAAAACCAAACTTGTTAGAAATGTGGCTAAAGTAAGAGCACAGAAGCTCTACATGGAAGCCCAAGGACCTCTGTAATAAATCAA
The DNA here is from genome assembly GCF_000001405.40 of Homo sapiens. Taxonomy (NCBI): domain Eukaryota; kingdom Metazoa; phylum Chordata; class Mammalia; order Primates; family Hominidae; genus Homo; species Homo sapiens. The sequence goes on along the minus strand of NC_000006.12, from coordinate 150,167,451 downwards.
GAACATACCCCAGCATACCCCAAAATATCGTATCTCTTTAGGGTCTCAAAGCTACTCTTTCTGCTTTTTGTTTTTTTCCCCCCCGAGACGGAGTCTTGCTCTGTCACCCAGGCTGGAGTGCAGTGGTGCGATCTCGGCTCACCTCAACCTCTGCCTCCTGGGTTCAAGCAATTCTCCTGCCTCAGCCTCCTGAGTAGCTGGGATTACAGGTGTGTGCCACCATGCCCAGCTAATTTTTTTGTATTTTTAGTAGAGATGGGGTTTGCCATGTTGGCCAGGCTGGTCTCAAACTCCTGACCTCAAGTGATCCGCCCGCCTCGGCCTCCCAAAGTGCTGGGATTACAGGCGTGAGCCACCGCGCCCGGCCTAATGTTTGTATTTTTAGTAGAGATGAGGTTTCACCATGTTGGCCAGGCTGTTTTTGAACTTCTAACCTCAAGGGATTCACCCGCCTTGGCCTCCCAAAGTGCTAGGATTACAGACGTGAGCCACCGCGCCTGGCCTCTTTCTGCTTTCCTTTAGGTTCCTTCACTCGGTTCCAAATGACTGGAGTTACAAAATTCCTGACTTCAAGGTTGGTGAGGTTTCACTAAATATATAAAATATTCACCTGAGACAAGCTGAAAATGAAATTGGACATGATATTAACTAAATAAGAACGAGAATCACAGTCCCATCACGGAAGTAACATTCACAAGCACCAGCCACCCTGTTCCCTTAGCAATCTGCTTCCTCCTCCTGAGGCAGGCCTGCTAGGAGGCTGCCTCTCCCAGTGGCCTCAAAAGGCTTCAGAGCAGCTCAAACTGCAGCCACCAGACATGGGCAGTGGTGGACAATAAGTGCTGGCGGAGGCAGCCCCATTTTCCAACAGCTACCGCCTGGAGCTGGCCCCAGTTTGGGGATCTGCTTGTCCCCTGCCCCTCTTTGTTCATATCCCCAGAGGAAAGGAGGAACAAAGAGACCCTGGGACATAACCCCAGCCCCTGGTGTCACCAAGCAAGATGGTACCATGGGAGAAGCCTCTAGGGCTCTTTTGTTCCCCAGAGGGCAGTTACCAAGAAGAGCAGCATTTGGCTGGGCGCGGTGGCTCAGGCCTGTAATCCCAGCACTTTGGGAGGCCGAGGCGGGTAGATCATGAGGTCAGGAGATCGAGACCATCCTGGCTAACATGGTGAAACCCCATCTCTACTAAAAATACAAAAAATTAGCCGGGCGTGGTAGCGGGCGCCTGTAATCCCAGCTACTCAGGAGGCTGAGGCAGGAGAATGGCATGAATCCGGGAGGCGGAGCTTGCAGTGAGCCGAGATAGCGCCACTGCACCCCAGCCTGGACAACAGAGGGAGACTCAGACTCCGTCTCAAAAAAAAAAAAAAGAAGAAGAAGAGCGGTATGTGGCATGTGACACATGGTATATGGCACGTGGCCCACTCACAATGCGATCTGGTGTACTGGCACTGACTGGCACATCCAGAGTCCACACCAACCTCCTGAAAATGCATTCCTCTATTTTTCTAAACTTGGTCTTTGGTCTGGCACTAAATTTTGAAAATGAGAAAAGTACTTAACTTCTCGCTGAATTCACTGTGTGAAATACTGCACTTCACATTTATTTTCATCTCTTTTTCTTTGTAGGGTTTTGTTTGTTTTAAAATAGTCTGATAGCAACATAAAAGCTCTAATTCTTAGGCCTGTTGCCTGTTTATCTAGGCTGTCACACACAAAAATTTTAAATAACTATAACAGAACAATAAAGCTACCCTCAAAATAGAGGAAAATTCTCAAAATTACCCTCCTTGCACTGAGTGTTTAACTTGTAAAGAAAGAAACAACAAATGTTCTAAAATTAAAAATAGAAACTCTGGAAATAATCCTATTATTTTAGTTCTACTTTATGCCTGCCACATAGTAGGCCCATAAAAGATATTTATTGCATGACTGGCTGGATGGTTAAATAGATTCATTACTGCCAACTGGACAACCTGAGGTCAACCAGCCTTCCCCAAGGACTTTAGCCAGCAGAACTGGTCCAGAAACATATTTGGGCCTAGAGAAGAAATGTAATTAACTAGGCAAGTCAAGTCTTCTCTAACACAAAATCTGAGTATCTTTTCTTGGACTGGGAGCCCAGATATTTTAAAACTCTTGCCTAAAGGCAAGTTCAGACCTGTCCACCAACCAGCTGATATTTATTGAATATTTACAGCACAGGGGCCACTGCCAGGAAATGAAGATGGAGTATAGTGAGCAAGACAGAAAGGCTCTACCTAATATTAGAACATACTCACTAGAATCTATATAGAGCCAAACATACAAGGTCTCCTGTCTTAGTCAGTTTGGGCTGCTTTAACAGACTACCACAGACTGGTGGTTTAAACAACAGAAATATATTTCTCACCATTCTGGAAGCTGGGAAGTTCATCAAGGTACCACACAGATCCTATGTCTGGTGAGAGCCAGCTTCCTGGTTTGCAGATGGCTAACTTCTCAATGTGTCCTCCCATGATGGAGTGCAGAGAAAGAGAGCTCTCTTGTGTCTTTTATAAGGGCACTAATCCCATTCATGAGTGCTCCACCCTCAGGACATAATCACCTCCGAAAGGCCCCTCTCCCAATAGTATAATACTGGGGCTTAGGATTCCAACATATAAATTTTAGGGGGATATAAACATTCAATCTACGGTATCCCCTTATTTGTAACTACAGTGTAGTGAGGGAAGATGATCTTTAAATGAATGGTGCTGGGTCAACTGGGTGTTCCAAATTCAGGTCAGATGGGTCATGTGCCAATGTTGTAACAAGGTTCAAGGCTGGCACATTTCACACATGCATGTGAACACCCAATCATCATGCTATGAACTACAAAAGGATCATGAATCGTAATCTCTACATTATACCACACATAAAAATGAATTTCAGATGGATTACAGATCTATATATAAAAGGTAAAATAATGAAGCATCAAAAAGGTAACACAGAAAAACATTTTCATGACCTTGTAGCAGACAAAGTTTTCTTAAATAGGTTGAAAATGTACCAAATATAAAGGAAAAAGCTGACAAATTGGAAAATATTAAGATTAAGAACTTCTGTGCCTCAAAAGTCACCATTCAGAGAGTGAAAAAGGCAGTTCACCAAGTGGGACACATATTTCTGACAAAGGACTCATATCTAGACTGTAAGAGATCAATGTCCAGGATATATAAAAGACAACCCAAACCCAAAGTTGTTGTTTTTTCTCTTTGAAATGGGCAAAAGAATTGAACAAGCACTTCACAAAGAGGATATCCAAAGGCCAGTAAACATATGAAAAGGGGCTGGACTTGACTAGCCATCAGGTAAATGTAAATTCGAACCATAATGCAACACCACTATATTACATAACAGACGGCTAAATGAAAAAGTCAGAAAATAACAAGCGTAGGTAAGGATGGGAAACAATCAGAACTTTCATATAGTGCAGTGGGCATGTAGATTGGTGCAATTACTTAAGAAATCATCTGACAGTACCTAGCAATGCTGAATATACACGTACTCTATAAGCCAGCAATTTTGCCACTCTGTATATAAGCCAACAGAAATGCAGACATAGGTTCACCAAAAGACATACGCAATAATATTCTCGGGAGCTCAATTCAGAATAGCTCAAAACTGAAGGCCTCCCAAATGTCCATCAAAAGTAGAATCGATAAAAAAACAACTGTGGTGTATTCACACATGGAGTACTATGTGGCAACTGAAATGATCAAACCTCAAATGACATGCAACAATGTGGGTGTATCTCACACATCTAATGTTGAACAACAACAACAACAAAAAAACAGACATAAAAGCTTTTAAGAAGGTAAAATTAATCAGATGACCTTGGAGGGAGGGAAGGGGGCTGATAATGGGATAAGCACACACGAGGGACCCCTGCAGTGCTGGCACTATTCCATTTCCTGATCTGGAAGGTGGGTGGGTTCAATTTGACAAAATTCATCAACTGTGCACTTACACTTGGGTTTTGTGTACTTTGTATGTTATACTACAATAAAAAGTTTTTTGTTGTTGTTGTTGTTTTTGAGACGGAGTCTTGCTCTGTCGCCCAGGCTGGAGTGCAGTGGTGCGATCTCCGCTCACTGCAATCTCCGCCTCCCAGGTTCACGCCATTCTCCTGCCTCAGCCTCCCGAGTAGCTGGGACTACAGGCGCCCGCCACCATGCCCGGCTAATTTTTTGTACTTTTAGTAGAAACGGGGTTTCACCATGTTAGCCAGGATGGTCTCGATCTCCTGACCTCGTGATCCGCCTGCCTCGGCCTCCCAAAGTGCTGGGATTACAGGTATGAGCCACCGCGCCTGGCCTACAATAAAAAGTTTTTAAGAAAATACTCTCATTCATGTCTTTACCTCACAGTACTTTCTGTTCCTAGTCCCTTGGCCATGCCAAGATTCATCCTGCCAGAGGGTGTTTGCATTAACTGAGCCCAGTATGTCCCCCCAGGGCTTTGCACACCGCTGGTGCCATCTCTCATCATGCAGGCTCAGATACAAATGCAATGAACTTCCTCAAAGAAGCCCTTCCTGGCCCCACTAACCTGGCCACAGTCTCTCACTCATTATCCTATTAGCTTTATTTTTTTCCTAGCACTACTCGTGAGCTGAAGCCATTCTGATTTATTCATTTGCATTTGTTTTTAAGAGCACAGGGACTCTTTCGCTGTTGTATCCTAAGCACCTGTGTCCCTAGCACCTAAAAGTGCATGTGGCATTTTGACCTCACTAATTTCAAATTTATATCCAAACAAAAGTCCACCCACACGTGTTTATACCAGGCTTTCTCATAATCATCAAAAACTGAAGCAACCAAGATGTCCTTCAAGAGCCAAGTGGATAAACTGTGGTACATTTGTACAATGGCATCTTATTCAGCCATAAAAAGATGGAGCTATCAAGTCACAAAAAAACCACGGATGAATCTTAAATGTATATTGTGTAGTGAAAGAAGTTAGTCTGAAAATGCTGTATACTGTATGATTTCAATTATATGACATACTGGAAAAGGCAAAACGATAGCAATAGGAAAGAGATCAGTGGTTCAGGAAGAAATGGCAGAGGTTGGCCTGGCACGGTGGCTCACGCCTATAATCCCAGCACTTTGGGAGGCCCAGGTGGGCAGATCACCTGAGGTCAGGAGTTCGAGATCAGGCTGGCCAACATGGCGAAACCCCGTCTCTACTAAAAATACAAAAATTAGCTGGATGTTGAGGCGCACGCCTGTAGTCCCAGCTGCTCGGGAGGCTGAGGCAGAAGAATCACTTGAACCCAGGAGGCAGAGGTTGCAGTGAGCTCAGATCACACCACTGCACCCAGCCTGGGTGACAAACCAAGACTCCGTCTCAAAAAAAAAAAAGAAAAAAGAAAAGAAAATAAACGGAGGGGGGTAAATGGATAAAGCACAGGAGATATTTATAGGGGGTGCAACTGTTCTGTATGATACTGCAAGGGTGGATACGTGACACTCTGCATTTGTTAAAGTCCATAGGACTGACTACACAAAGAATGAATCTTAATGTACAATGTAAGCAAATTTAAAAAGTCATTTAGGAGATTGGGGGATCCCAGGATGGAATGCAGAATGTGACAAAACAATCTATCTATATTACAAATGTATGCAACAACCTCACTGAAGGGGATAGGGGAAAAGGGTACTGACCTAAGTAACTAGAAATAAGTAGAGTCTGTTAAAATCAAATGTAAAAGGAGTGCATATAAGCGCCATCTTCTAGTTGATAAAGTTGTTTCCCATAGGGATTGAGTTAACAATTCTGATATTGCTGTACATATATACTACAACTGAACAATTAAGGGAATGGATACGGATGGTGGGAACCACAGGTTTGTCTCTGTTGGAGTAGGAGTTTAAAGACAGGCAAAGAAAGGGGGCTAGTGCAACCCATGTAGTAATGGATTAGAATCGAAGACATCAAATGAGCTGATGTTTAGCTTGATATAGATGCTGATGGTTACAAATGGAAATATTTGTAGATATGTATACGCCAATAAGAATACACACATATATTTTCTTGCTGTCATGTGAGAGATCTTAGAAACAATTACATTTCAGTAGCAACAAGTACACTTGGCATCCCTTATCTTGGTTTCTTTTCTTTTCTTTTTTCTTCGTCTTTTTTTTTTAAACAGTCTTGCTCTGTCACCCAGGCTGGAGTGCAATGGCATGATCTCGGCTCACTGCAACCTCTGCCTCCTGGGTTCAAGCGATTCTCCTGTCTCAGCCTCCCGAGTAGCTGGGATTACAGGAGCATGCCACCACGTCTGGCTAATTTTTGTATTTTTAGTAGAGATGGGGTTTCACCATGTTGGCCAGGCTGATCTCGAACTCCTGACCTCAGGCGATCTGCCCTCCTTGGCATCCCAAAGTGCTGGGATTACAGGCATGAGCCACCGCACCCGGCCATATCTTGGTTTCTAATACCATTCTCTAATAAAAGGAATCAGCGTTCCTTGGAGAAATGGCTGACTCTGAATCTGGGGCAGGAAACATACAAGATAAGCCTAGAGTATTTTGTAGTGCTAGAAAGTAAAGTAGTATTAAATACATACACACACACGATCATGGGGGTATGTCAAAGAACACAGGAACCAATCGAAACAGCTCGCAATAGCCAAAGCTGGAATAATATGGGCCATGAAATAAAGTAATAATTGAATTATAATCCAAGACAAACAATAAATATACGTGAACCATACTGACATAAATAAAGCAGACTAAATAAACCAATGAGGAAGAAGAGACAAATCTCCCACGCAAAAGAATTCCATATAAATTATGTAGCTACACAATGAGGCAGAACATAACTTCCCATTACTTAAGAATGAGCTACTGGGCGCGGTGGCTCACGTCTGTAATCCCAGCACTTTGGGAGGCCGAGGCGGGTGGATCATGAGGTCAGGAGATCGAGACCATCCTCGCTAACACGGTGAAACCCCATCTCTACTAAAAATACAAAAAAAAAAAAAAATTAGCTGGGTGTGGTGGTCGGCACCTGCAGTCCCAGCTACTCGGGAGGCTGAAGCAGGAGAATGGCGTGAACCCAGGAGGTGGAGCTTGCAGTGAGCCGAGATCGCGCCACTGCACTCCAGCCTGGGCGACAGAGCAAGACTCCGTCTCAAAAAAAAAAAAAAAAAAAAAAAAAAGAATGAGCTACACATAGTGATTTTCTTCCAAAGAATATAGTGTGGAAAGGGAGGGAGTAGCTGTACAGTGGAGAAGCCTGACAGACAGTATCTCAGCCAGGTGCTCAAGGTGAATATCAACAGTAATAAGCCACGTTGACAGGATGTACCTTCACAGAATGTGATAAAAGTGTTTCTTCACCTTTTGGGTCTTCCTCCCTCAAACCCATAAACGCAGTCTAATCATGAGAAAAACATCCGACAAATGCCATGTGAGGGACATTCTACAAAATACCTAAAAAGTACTCCACAATACTGTCAAGGTCATCAAAAACAAAGGAAGGCTGAGAAACTGGCCTAGCCAAGGGAGTCTAAGGAGACATACCAGGTAAATGCAATGTGGTGTCCCAGATGGGATCCTGGAACAGAAAAAGGACTCTAGGCAAAAACTAAAGAATCCGAACAAAGTATGGACTTTAGAGAATAATAATGTATCAATATTGGTTCATTCATTGTGACAAATGTATAATTCTAACATATGTTGCTAACAGGTAAAACCTGTTGCAGAGTATATGGCAATAGTGTTCTGTCTTCGCAATTTTTCTGTAAATCTAAAACCATCTAAAACATAAAGCTTATTTGTTTAAAAAAAAAAAAAAAGAATGCCTGGCAGAGACAGACGAAGGGACTGGTGGGTGGATATTGGAAGGAGGGACAGAAGGACAGCGCACTGGCTGACAGAAGGATGGACGGATGCTGGGAAGGCTGATGGTTGGGTAATTGATAGAGTGGCTTAGAAAGCCGAGAGCACACAAGATAAAAACTGGAATGGGCACTTGGAATTTAGCAACATGGAGGTCATGAGCCTTCTGGGTGGAAAAGAAGGACAAGCCACACAGCAGTGGCTAAGAGGGGCACAGAAGTTGACAAAATGCGATCAAAGGATATAGACAATCTCTCTGTCAAATCTGGCTGAAGAGAGGAAGAGAAAGACAGAAAGGCTTTTGTGTGTATTTGTGTTCTAATACTTTACTGAGATATAATTTACATATCCTAAACTGCACAGATCTTCAGTATACGGTCCATGACTCTTGAAACAAAGGAATGGCTGATGATACCGGAGAAGTCAGCCCCTGAGCAGGTGGAAAGGGCTGGGCTCCAGAAGGAAGTTGAAGAGTGATTCAATCTTCCTTTTACCTTTCCTTCCGTCCTGTGGGTAGTGGTACCATCCTCATCCTCAGAGACTGTCTTTCCTGCCCCCCCAAAAATGAAGACACCAAAGGAGTCTTCCAAAGTGTTACGTGTTCTATCCAAAGTGCCATGTGTTCTATCCAAAGTGTTATGGCTGCTTCCTCTGAAAATATAAAGAAGCTAATATGAACAAATCTACTGGCTTTTTTTTCCTTATTTATAATTTTTTAAAAATTTAAAGCCCATCTTCCTCAAAAAGAAGATGGAAAAAACACCAATTGAGCTATTCCAAACATTGTAAAGCCCTGTGGCAGGAGAGGGCTTGTGCCCCTTTCTTACCCATGACAATAAAACAGTGGGATACTCATGCCCACCCCTTCTAAAAAACAACTTTGAAGTTATTCTCTTATAGGAGAAATACATGTGCATTGCACAAAACAGATAAACAAAATAAATTACCCATAATGATACTAAAAAGCACTACTGATAGTTATCATGTATCATCCAAATCTCTTTTCTAGGTACATATAAAAGATACCCTATGAAAAAAGAGTTTTACCTAGAATACATGTTATCTATTATCACTTAACTCAAATGTGATAGAGCTCCCATTGCAGAAAGGTAATTCTCTTGAAGCAACCCAACAAGATTTTCCATTCTGGAGTGTTGATTAGATTCTGGAGTGTTGATTAAATTATTCTATAGTCATAAAACCTGCTGTGTCACCAAATTTGCAATCAAGGTAGAAACTCCACCAAAATTATTCCATAATAAAAAAAAATCTCATAAGCCTCTGCCCCCCATTGGGTCAAAGAACAACCTTTAATTTGAATACTAGATTAACAAGGCAGAATTAGTTATAGCAAAAGCATAGTAGATGTTGCTAATAATACTTTCATAAATATTCTGAGCTTTTGGGGAGATGGTTTTTCATATTTATTAATCCCCAAAATTTCTCTGAAAGGATTAGATAATTTAAAAGTGGAAATTAAAGTTAGCCAAGTATGATGACTGAAATCACTCTTAATAAAGGTAGGTAGTGGGCAGCCTGCTCATCCTTCTAGATAGACCAAGCCAGCTCCCCCAGCCCAGGAAGGTGGGAGGGTCTATCTTAGAAGGCAATGTCTCTGCTATGGTTTGAGTGTCCCCATCGAAACGCACGTTGGAACCTTAATTCCCAGTGCAGCAATGTTGGGAGGTGGAAACTTTAAGAGGTGGAACTTAATGGGAAGAGCTTGGGTCACAGAGACTCCGCCCTCTGGGCCTAGGTGTCTTGGTGCAGTTCTCACTACAGTGAGTGAGTTCTTGCTCTTGTGAGACTGGATTCATTCTGGAGGTGACAGGTTAGTTCCCTCCAGGGCAGGGTCTGTTTTGACCCTTCACCTGTGTCCACTTCCCCTTTGACCTTCCATCATGTTATGACATGGCATGAGATTCTCCCTAGAAGCCCAGAAGCCAACGGATGCAGTGCCATGCTTCTGGGACTCCCCAGCCTCCAGAATCATGAGCCAAATAAGGCTCTTTCTTGATAAATCACCCAGTCTCAGGTATTCTGCTACAGCAACACAAAATGGACTAAGACATCCTCTCAATCAGGGCATAAAGGATGTGAAAAGAACCTGTGAGTATAACCAGTAGGCATCTCTGAAATGAGATAATGAGACAAACTGTTTCCCACCACCAGTAAGAAGCCATACTTAGAAACTTTTCTGTTTGTTTTGATTTTGTAAAGTGGGGCTAGAGTTAGGAAGACATTCACAAGCATGGATTCCTAGAGCAGAAGGCTGAGGTCCACACCCACTCCACCCCTCCTGTATAGACCACACTCTCTCACATCCTCGGAGTTGTGGTTTTAACAGCTGACATGAGAATTTCATTTTACTAAATATTTTATACATTATCTGTATCTCATTCTTTGCCTTCCTTCAGAGTTTATAGTAAGGTGTCAGTAGTTAACTAAGTAAATTCCTCATTTTGTTCTTCTTCAGAGTGATGAGTTAACTCAACCTTGGGATCATTCACCATTGAATGCAGCCCGTCACCTCTTTGAAACCCCAAAAGGGTTCTTAATCTAAGTCTAACATGGGATGTTCCCAAGGTTTAAGGCATGACTGGCAGCTAAATGCTTTGGAGTCTCTGGCTAGTTCAGGTGACAACCTTTCCATTTACCTAAGTACAGACAAGTTTTCATTATCTAAATATCTCTCCATGTAAACTGCTTCTGGTATAAGATTAGTAAATGCTGAACCATCTCGCATGAAGAAGAAATGGAATATCTTAACATAACAAAAGGCACTTGTCTAACAGAGATAGTACGTGTTGTTTTTTAGTTTTAATATTTCTAGGGTGCTTTCATTATAGCAAGCATAATCATGTTTTAGCACCAAATCAATTACTCATTTTCTTTTGACTTGTCAGAGAGCTGCCACACCCCAACACAAACATGAGAAAAACCAGTTGACTAATTTGAATTGTTATGTAGAGTATTAGCTCATAAGAACCAAACAGAAAAGCTATCTCTGCCAATCTGAAAACTCAACACCTCACCTACCTGGCTTGAAACAGATTTAATTCCATTAACATTAGCAGAAATGAATGAAATGGCTTTACCAATGTGTGCGCTATTGACATACAAATATAAGAGAAAAATATTAACAGATGATTGGCGGCAGTAGCTAAGGACTTGAGTGAAAACATCATTTAGCATAAGCAAACCAAGTAATTAATAGTTTTTTACATTGTATTTAGAAAAAGCATTACTTCTACCATGTCAATGATAATATCTGCTGCTTTCAAATATGTAAGATAAAATATATACTCTGTATCCCTTGCCTTATTTAAAGTGAGTTTCTAACTTTTAACCTCAAAAGAGATTGAGCATGGAGTCAATTCCATCTAAATAGATAGACCAAGAGTGCAAGGACTCCATGACCAACGGCTCATGCAAACCTGGCAAAGAAAGAAAGAAGTAGCTCACTCACTGGGGTGTCTACTTCAGAGATAATGGATTTGAATTTTTCTTTTTCTTTCTTTCTTTTTTTTTTTTTTTTTTTTTTTTTTTTGAGACAGAGTCTCACTCTGTCACCCAGGCTGGAGTGCAATGGTGCGATCTTGGCTCACTACGGTCTCTGCCTCCCAGGTTCAAGCGATTCTCTTGCCTCAGCCTCCTGAGTAGCTGGGATTACAGGTGCCCACCATCACACCTGGCTAATTTTTGTATTTTAAATAGAGACGGGGTCTTACCATGTTGTTCAGGCTGGTCTCAAACTCCTGACCTCAAGTGATCCACCCGCCTCAGCCTCCCAAAGTGCTGGGATTACAGGTGTGAGCCACCGTGCCCAGCCAGGATTTGCATTTTTCTTAAGAAATGGCTGACTCCTGTAAATGGTTCACTTGAGAAATAACAGAATCCTGTAAACTGTTCAACTAAGATGAAGCATATTTGAAAATGTATCAAGTAAATCAAACAAAAAAGATTTGCTCAGTGTATTGGCCAAACATGCTAGAATACATGGAAGGTATCTGGGGGGAAATGGTGCAACTGATGTTCACAGTTTCCAGGAAGCAAGTCTTCCTCTTGTTACTGGCAGTTTAAACTTGAGCATGTTACTAAGACTCTTGGAGCCTCCCCGTTTTCTCATTTTAAAATGGAGTAGCTACTTATATCACTGAGTATTTATGTGGGTCAAATGGGATTATCTGATGGTGCTTTATGATTCTATCATTATACCAAATAAATAAATATTACAAAGAATAAGTTCTGCTTTTCACTTCCTGCCAGAACTGTCCATAAAAAATCTTAAGTTTTTCTTGTTATCCCATCCTATTAGTCCTAAAACTAACTATAAAGAGACATTCCAGGAATAAACTCCCCAACAGAAAGTAATTTGCTTAGTATAGATTCAGTCATGCTCTTATTCAAGCTAATTTGTACATTTCACCTTGTTAAATTTCACTTCTGAAAGCTGCTGTGATTTTCCCTCTCAGATGCTCATTTCATATCTCAAAATGAACCTCCCTCAAGTTAAAATAAATACCACCATTAGTTAATTATGAGGTGCCAAGATAAAGGACAAATAATAAGAACAGAAAAGCACCCCCCAAAGCCAATATTATAGGTTATATGCCTAAAAATCTTAAGTCAAACATGCCATTTCTTAAAAGTTAACCCAATTAAATGCAAAGAAAAAGCAGCTATGGTGGCTGTGAGTGTCTGTGCTGTCAGATTCCAAACTTAACTTGAAAGCCAATAGTTAAGGAGAGGTTTCAGAGGAGGAAAAGATGATTTAAAAAAAAAAGTTATTAATCTAATCCTTACGTTCTAGTCCCTACCCAAGCCACTCACACAAGACATCATGCCCAGTGCAGGATGGATACGCTCCCACTTCAGCTACAGGAAATTAGCTCTGCAAATTCGATGGCCCTTTGGTGAACTAGTCTAATCCTTGTCTCAGGTTTGCCTTGAAGGGGAAGACACTTCTATTTCTCCTGCTTTCAATATCACCCTTTCTTTGATACATCTCACTTTCACCAGTGCAGCCCTGGCTTTAGCATAGAACATCTAAAGGTTAGAGCTAGAAAGTCCCAGATCTCCCTCATTTTTTTTCAAATCAAGAAAGAAAACCTGAAAACAAACTCTGTTGGTGAAAATGACTTGCCAAGCTCATCTAGCTGGTCAGCGGTGGCCCGACTAGGACGGAGCTCACAGGCAAGGGCCATTCCCACTACCTCACACTGGGAACAGCCGACAGGAATTAATCTCATAGGTGCCAGCAAGGTTCCCACAGCCACAAAGCATACATCCTGCCCTGGCTTATTCATTCCTGAAGCCCAGCCCTTAAGAGATTACTTTCTCTTACTTAAGATCTGACTTCCTATTAAAATGAAAGATAAGTAAGTTGTTTTTAGTCATTTGCAATCTAATGTCAGTGAATTTATCATATCCTTTCCTGAACACAGACTTTGAGTAAAGAAATATGCAGCCACTATGTACGAAATAACTGTGTGGAATATACTAACACAACTGTGAACAGGACAGAGTCCCTGCCCCAAAGAGCTTTCAATCATATGGTCTCCTCCATTCTTCTGCCATAATGTGAAGTGTTCGTTCCTTTACTTTTTCTACTTTTTCCCTTACACAGTTTAAAAGGGTGAAGCTTTTTATAACCCCTTTCCTGCCCTATGTTATCTGTTGAACAAATAAATGAATGAGTGAGTGAATGAATATTCCAGCCCTCCACAGCTCCTTCCACAGATTTCCCCGTGGATTCTTTCAAAATGAAGAAGCTGTTTCTTAATCACTTTATTCCTCAACCATAAAGTGATGATTTAGAGACCCACCCACGTTCTGGTCTTCTTTTTTCTAAGCTTTTACTCAGTGGAACAGATTTCCAAAATGCCAGTGCTGACTAAGAAAAACCTAGTGAGAATGTATTGGCCCCAACCTTTTAAGCAGAGGCAGGAATCCAGGCTTTCATTCTTGTTCTGTGAAGACTTGTGTGAGCCTGTTGCTCCAAGTCTTATCCACAGATGGAAAAGCACTTGCTACTTCCTTGCACAAGCATTTCTACTCACATAGAAATAAGCAATTCCTGTGCAAACAAAATTCTTGGACATGCTGAAGACTTAAAATTACAGAGAATGGCAGTAACTCGTGATCCCTTTCTTTGAAGACTTTCATTACCCCATACATCTGTGCCTTACGCCACAACTTCCTTTTAGTTCAGAGGTTCAAAGGACTCCATAGTTATAATTTATAACCAGGAAAAAGAACCATAACTTCAAGTTGACAGTGAAAGAGCAGGTTTTCAATACAGGCAGAGCCAAATTATATTCATATGCTTAATTTTGGGAACACATTTCTGAAATGCACATCATGTAACCAGAAGATGCAGCCACTGTCACTCACTGACAGTCAAATAAATAGCACAGACTGAGTGGCTCAACAACAAGCATTTCTGTCTCACAGTTCTAGAGGCTGGAGGTCTGAGATCAGGGTGCCAGCATCCTCCTCCTGGTCTACAGGTGGCCGTCTTCCATCTTCTTGCTGTGCTTTCACGCTGTGCCCTTGCATGGCAGTGAGAGCGAGCTCTGGCCCCTTCCTCCCCTTTTAAGGGCATTAATCACATCACAGGACCTCCACCCTCACGACCTCACCTAACACTAATGACCTCCACGAAGTCCTCCCTCCAAATACCATCACTCTGGGGACTAGCGTTTCAACCTATGAATCTGGGGAGACACAAACATTCAGTCCATAGCAGAGACACCCAAGTGCAGCCAGGTGTGTGAGAGTCACCAGGGCTGCAAAGGTACAAGATTCTGCCTTCAGGAGGCTGCAGTGAGGGTGGGAGACAGGATTACAGAAAGAGGGACCCTGGAAAGGCCACAGAGCCAGCCTGACAGCAGGAGATGGATCAGAGAAGCTCCTGGGAAGGCACTGCCAAGTACCAGGCTAAGAACAGGTGCAAGCTAGACAGCTAGGGAGTGGGGGCAGGGGAGGGGGTGGAGGTGATTATGGCAGAGGGGCTCCTGCTGAGCTGCCTTAGGGACTCAGCTGATAGCTGAAACAGCAGGGCTGGGGGTGCCTAGAGACAAGTCCAGAGACTGGGGCAGGGAAACCCCTGAGCCCTGGTCACGTGCTAAGGGGCTCCTGCTTTATCCTGAAGGCTGTGCGGAACAAGATCCCACCTGGATTTTAGAAAACACACTAGCTGCAGCCCATGGAGGTGGCTCTGAAGCACCGTGGGGAGCTGGAGCAGGGACAGAGCGGGAGGCCCAACCCAGGAACCAGAGACCCTGCCACCTGCCCGCCATGTGGCCTCTGACGGAGGCCTGCAGCTCAAACTCCCTGTACTTCAGTTTCTTCACCTACCTTGCAGAGTTACTGCGAGGATTAAATTAGCACCCATGAAGGACAAGGTTTGCAATCAGCACTTCTTTTTTTTTTTTTTTTTTTTTTTTTTTTGAGACGGAGTCTCGCTCTGTCGCCCAGGCTGGAGTGCATTGGCGGGATCTCGGCTCACTGCAAGCTCCGCCTCCCGGGTTCACGCCCTTCTCCTGCCTCAGCCTCCCAAGTAGCTGGGACTACAGGCGCCCGCCACTACGCCCGGCTAATTTTTTGTATTTTTAGTAGAGACGGGGTTTCACCTTTTTAGCCGGGATGGTCTCGATCTCCTGACCTCGTGATCCGCCCGCCTCAGCCTCCCAAAGTGCTGGGATTACAGGCGTGAGCCACCGCGCCCGGCCGCAATCAGCACTTCTTAAATGGAGCTACTGGGAGCAATGGGAGCATCATAGCTAAGTGACTTTGGAATCAGTGTGAACTTGGACAAGGACAAGGGACAACTTCTCAGATCTCAGCTGCTTTCTCCAAAAAATGAAGAAATGAAGATAACACCATCTCCTTCATAAAGTTGTTGGGAGGATTGATGGTATGAGGTAAGATGCATAAATCTCCTGGCTGTCACCTGAGAGCTGGGTTAGTCCCAGCAGTAGTAGAAACAATAGCAGCAGTGGTGGAGGGTGCAGTAGCAGAAAGAGTGGTTGCCGTAATTTGAAAGAAACTGGACTACAGTGACCATTGCTATTATACAGGTGAGAAGTTACAAGGAGCTGGATTAAGGCAGTGGCAGGGACCAGTGGGGACTCATATTCCAGAGCTGTAGGAGCATCAACAAGACTTTGTGACTCCTGGGTGTGACAGCAAGGAGGAGGCAAGAGATAAGCATGCCACGTAATCTTGGGCTGGGACAACTGTGCACAGCAGCGCCTGCCGCCCACTGAGGGAAGTGAGGAAGAGGAGCAGGTTTCCTAAGGAAGATGAGAAACTCATTTTCAGACCAGTTGAATATGAGGTTTCTCTGGGGTACTAAGTGGCACTGTCCATTTCAAAGTTGTCTGAATACATCTGGCACTCAGAAAACAGATCAGGGCTAAAAATACAGAGTCACACGTTGTCCGCATATGGACAGCAATTAAAGCCACAGGAAGGGTCTTATCATCCAAAAACAGCACGCAGGAGTGAAGGAAAAAAAAACAAAACAAAACAAACAACAAAAAAAACAGAGAGCCAGGGCCCGAAGACAGAGAAATGTCATCACTGAAGAGCAGGCAAAAGAGGAAAAACCCAGAAAGGGAAGGAGAAAGACGGAGCGGCATGTGCGGTGGGGGAATACAGGGCGGAGGAGGGGAAGGTATTTGTGTGGTAGTGGGGGATGGTGGTGGTTTAAACAGAAGAGAGAGACTTCAACTTGTGTATATGCTGAAATGAATGGGCCAGAGAGGTTGAAAACTCAGCCAAGAAAGGGGTGTCGTGAATGAAGTGCCTGGAGGGTGGCTGGTCTAGCTTGCAGAGGAGGAGACTGGGAGGGCAGAGAACAGAAGAGGTGCCTTGAAAAGACAGGTGAAGGCTTGAACTAGCCCAGTGCAGGAAACAAGAGCAAGAGCATGCACTACAAAGTAAACCATGTGGCCAAAGCATGTGCCACATGGAAAATAAAATTCAGATTTGATTCTTCCCTCCATCTAGAAAGAGACTTCTTGACAGAGAGCTGTGGGCTAGGCGAGGGAGACCAGGGGCTGCCAGGTTGTTTTAGGCTGAGAGGAAAAGGACAAACAGAAGACAGCAAAAGCAAACATGTACCCACAGAGATGAGAACAGCAGGCAGAACTAGTGTAGCAGGGGCACGTTAGGAGCAAAGGAAAAGACAGTGGGTGGGACTCAGGGAAGATCACATTTGCAAAAGAATTCTGTCAACCTAAACTTCAAAGTCAATTGGCTACCATTACCACCTTTCAGTTCCTGTTTGGAGCAAGTAAGTCAATGAAGAAAGGTGTATTTTCCAACAGCACTGACATAAAGCTGTAAGGATGCAAGAATGTGATATGACTACAGTAACAAAAACACAGATTGACTTTTGCCCTCGCCATGTCTATGATAAAGGAATATCACCAATTAGTTCAGATACAGAAACATCAATGACTTTTAAACATTTGCTGAACATTGATCCTTTTTCATTCATTCAAGCAAATGCTTAAATGTTGAAGAATTGTGTCCCGCTATGAACTTTTAAATGATGAAAATTAAGACAGTTCCTTGCCTTCAAGTTGTTACAGTCTAACTTCCCTGCACATATGTAAAAATCCACCAAAACATAGAGAATGAGGAAGGCTCTAGAAACAGGAGGAACAGTTTAGAGAATATTTGCCCATGTTCAAGTTCAAACATACACCAACACCCCTGACCCTAAAGTAACCCTATACTCTTCTCCAAATTATTGCACCAAATAGATGTGAATACCTTGTTTTCTTCACCCCTTTCCTCTGTCTCCATCATAGAGAATAACCAACAGTTAGTGGCAGCTTGTGGCTCCAATAACAACACTGACATGCTATGTCCTAAGTACTATGCTTGGTGTCTCACCAATCAGTCCTCCTGACAGCCCTGCAAAGGCACCAGGATGATTTCCTTCAACATACAGAGAAAGTAGCCGGGCGCAGTGGCTCACACCTGTAATCCCAACACTTTGGAAGGCTGAGGCTGACGGATCACTTAAGCCCAGGAATTCGAGACCAGCCTGGCCAACACAGTGAAACCTTGTCTCCACAAAAAAAAAAAAAAAAAAAAAAAGAAAAAAAAAAATTAGGTGGGAGGATCACTTGAGCCTGGGTGGTCAACGATGCAATGAGCCGTGATAGCCCCACTGCACTCTAGCTAGCCTGGGCAACAGGAGTCAGACTGTCTGAAATATACACACACATACACACACACACACACACACACACATATGTATGGAGAAAGTGAGGCTCAGAGGGGTGAAGGAAATTGCCTAATCACATATACCCACTGAATGACAGGGCCACATGTGAATTCAGGTTCATCGCACTTCAAAGCACACATTGTAACCACTGCTTCCACCCCGCATTTCCCTAACCACTGTTCCAAAGGGAATGTGTTAAGCAGTTTTCTTTCCTTCCTTTGGCAATTTAGAATTCTTTTATCTACTGACTTTTTTTTTTCTTTTTATTTGAGGCAGGCTGTTGCCCAGGCTGGAGTACAGTGGTGTGATCTTGGTTCACTGCAGCCTTAACCTCCCCGGGCTCAGGTGATCCTCCCACCTCAGCCTCCTGAGAAGCAGGGACCACCAGCGCATGCCACCATCTTTGGCTAATTTTTGTATTTTTTGTAGAGACGGAGTTTCATCATATTCCTCAGGCTGGTCTCCAACTCCTGGCCTCAAGCGATCCGTCAGTGCTGGGATTACAGGCTAGAGCCACCATGCCTGGCTTTATCCACTGACTTTTTGCATGTGTAATTTATTCCTTAGTAGTTGACAGGTTGAGTTTATGGAGTTCAGGGGGTTTTGTTGTTGTTTAAAAGCCTGTCCTCAAATACCTGAACAAATGGTGATTTACCAAACAATCCACAAGACGAGTTCTAAGTAGCAGTTTCTACCTTCCAGCTTGAGCGCTAATAAAGTAGCAAAGCCGGCTGATGTGATACTGTACCTGGAAAAGTCTGTGGAAATCCAGGATCTGCATGTAAAAGGAGAGGCCTCATCCAGGTGCAAGAACTAACCCGCTAACAGTGGTGTCCTCCACATGCACTCACAGTCCATTTACAAGGTATAACAGCAGCATCTGGGAACAGGCAAACCATGGGGTTCACATAGGTGCCAGGCTCTGCCCTGTCTCAGGAGGCAGGACAGGCCATTTGTTAAGGTGTGCCTGACTCCCTGGCCACAGCCTTGTTCTGTCACATCCCAGCTGAGAGTCCTGGGGCAACTTCTTAACTTCCCTGTGCCTGATTCCACCTCCACAAAATGGGGGTCTCAGAGTTGTTGCCAAGATTACATGAACCTTGCCTAGTACGTGCTAAGTACTCGGCCAGTGTCTGCTAACTCTATTACACATGTTTAGGCTTCTCCCTTTCAGAAGCAGTACTTTTAAAATTGCAGGTCACAACTCATAAATGCATTATGAAACAAATTTAGAAAAATAAAATCATTTTTCAGAAAGTGAGGAATAAAACATGGTATTTAAACACTAATGACGTTATGTTTCAGATTACTTTTATAATATTTTTCCTTAGCATACAGTAAGATTAAGTGGTACCCTATGACTCTCTGTTTCTCTGTATCCATGTGTCAGGCAGCAATCTATATATCCAGATGTATCAGGCAGCAATCAACAGGGTATTTCTTTCTGTGTCACCACCATCTCTCAGAAGACAGTTTTTATAAAATGGGGGTAATGGGGAGTCAGGGAAGACTGAAAGGTATAATAAGTCAGGAACCATTTTATAAAAAGCAGACACTGGAAGCAAAGGGAAAGACCTACTAAGGTGACAGTCAGAACAACACAGCAAGTACCCAAGGTACACAAGCCTGTTTATGGCTAGGATGCTACGGGCATTGCAATCATCTGAGCTTAGCAACATGTTTTTATTTCCAAAGCAAATTGAATTGCAAAACTGGAAGTACAGATGTTATCTTGATGCTGGGCAAACTTGGAAATATTCATATGACTTATCCAGTAAGTCATCTTGCAGTACTTGTTAAAGTAGATATTATGCCAGATTTCAAATGCTCTTAAAAACCACCAGGGTTGGCTGGGCGCGGTGGCTCATGCCTGTAATCCCAGCACTTTGGGAGGCTGAGGCAGTCGGATCATGAGATCAGGAGTTCGAGACCAGCCTGGCCAACATAGTGAAACCCTGTCTCTACTAAAAATACAAAAATTAGCCGGGCATGGTGGCACGCATCTGCAGCCCCAGCTACTCAGGAGGCAGAAGCAGGAGAATCGTTTGAACCCAGGAGGCGGAGGTTGCAGTGAGCTGAGATTGCGCCACTGCACTCTAGCCTAGGCCACAGAGAAAGACTTCATCTCAAAAAAACAAAAACAAAACAAAACAAAAAAAACCCACCAGGGTTTGGAAGAGATTAAAAAAAAAAAAAAAAGGTCTTTAAACAGAAATCCTTAAATGTGGATGTAGATGTAGATTTAGTCTAATGGTTACATTATAATCAAATTCCTAGCTGAAAATGTACCTGTATAAGCCTTCCCAAGAGAAGATGAGATGGAAAAGAACTATAAGCACATAACAAATCATTTTGGAATCCAATAAAAGCACTTATCTACGTATTCAAAAGGCTATTTGACGTGGTATTTTACAGTGCTGCCCTTAGACTGGGTAAGAGGGGACCACATCTCCGGGCCCCACTCCTGCCATAACCTGTCTTCCTGAAGACTTCCTAGGACAAAGTGGACACATCTATCCAGAACCAGTGCCCCTCCACTTGGTTTTAGTCTGTGATCCGGGTCCCCAGAATTCCCTTCTCAAATCCCAAGTAGCTTCTAGGGCATGAACAAGCTCCTCCCAGATCTGTTCTGGCCTAGGGGGACATCACCACTGGTGTGTGCAGAGGCATCATGGTCAAGGAGTGGCAGGTGCATACCAAGACTGGGCGTGCGAGTGGACACAGTGTCCTTTACCAGGTGGGACTGTACCAAGGATGGGAAGCAAAAGGGAAGAAACCCAGGCCAGGGCAGTCTCCTAACTGCATTTCAGTTCATGACTCTGGGAAGTAACATTTTGAATTCAAAATGCAAACCTAGACTTCAAGGTCATTATGAAGATGTAGCTGTCAAGATCAGTGGACAGAAGAAATTTTATACAAATGTTGTTAGTTTAACTCATAAGTTTTAAACATTTAGACAGATGTCTTGTAGACCTACATTTGCTCTCTTGCACGGTACAGACAGGCCTCATGGGTATACAGTGGACTCAGATTCCAGACTGGGTTCATCCTCAACCCCAACCCACCCACCAGCTACATGAGCTTGAAGCAGCCTTTTAATCCTCTCTGAGTCTTCACTTCTTTATTTACATTTAAACAAGGATAAAAAGAACATCTTCTTTATAGGGTTGTTATGAAGACTAAATGAATTAGCCCAAAGTACCTAGAAGAGCACCTAGTCACCTAGTAGGTAGGTAATAAATTCCCCTATGACATTATTCTCATACAAAACTGATTAGTCACTGCACACTTCCAGAAAAAAACACAGACAGAAAGTGGTTCTGTGTATTTCTTCTTTCCTCTTCCTCTTTCTAAATACATCACTTTACACTGCTCCAAAAGATTATTTTCTATTCTGAAAAGGTCAAGTCATCTGATTCCTAACCTGCTTGGGTCAAGTTCTTCTGAAATTAAAGATGTGTTCATATTCTACCCCAACTCAGCAGATAACTCAAGCCTTTGGCAGGTTTGAGGTTTGAAGGCTGGGAAATTGGCTGTGTCACTTTCATGGGCTAAACATTTGAAAGAATTACCACTTTTAAGTATAAAAAGGACATTTCCTAATCTTCGTATGCATGAAGTTCGGAGCTGTAAGCTAGGGTGCGTCCTTCTTGATTCACAAACCAGAGGCTGAAATACTTGAAGCTATCAACAAAGAAAGGTTACTCAACAAGAGAACCCAATGCTAAAAATAGAGCACTATCAGCAGAGAAATAGATGCAAAGAGACAAGCCTTTATTTGGCTACTTATTTGCCCATGTTTCTTTATTATTAAATGGAGGTACACCACCAGCATAGTGATTACAAATTGCCAACAACCTAATTATTTCTCTTCCTTCAGCCTACAATGACTGAACAAACAACTTGAAGAAAAATACTTGCCACGTTAATGACATGCAGGCAGCATATAGAGCATCTTGAATTATTTCACCACAAAAACCTCCCTTTCAAATGTCTAGCTGTTTGCTACGGGTTGAAGATTTAAAACCCAAGAAGAAAAGTACAATACAAGGAAAAGATTCAAGCTCATGTTTACCCTTTAAAATATATACCTAACCTACATGTTCCACACAGGAAACAATCAAACCTCCATTTTTTCTAATTATTCTGAAGTATTTTTTAAATATATTGTTTATCAGGCTACTCAGTGGGTAGAGCTCTTTCTAGCTTCCCAATCTAAGCCTAATTAGTCTCCCACAAAAAGAACCATGCTGGTGCACTGTTAATTTCAACAATGCTTTTTCTATTAATTCGAATCTTTTCCAAATCCCAAATGGAGAAAAAAAAAACAGTATGAAATAAATGAAAATTAACTGGATTCTACAGAGGCAGGACTGAGCACATCCACTCATCCAACAGTAATCCCATCTACATCAAATAATGTTTCTTTACAGAGTTTTGCCAACTTCCTATAAAAATCTCATGAATACTTCTTATGTTTGCCAGTTTTTATTTATGCAATTAAATTAGCTTTTTGTAAGAGCTGGACTGGAGAAACAACACATTTTTACAACCCCATTAGTCATACAGTCAAGCTTCATTATATTATAATCATTTATCAGTAGTCAGTAACGAGTATGCTGTTTTCTTGTGCAATGAGGGTGTTTAAGAAAACGTGTCTTCACAACAGGCCATGAAATGTGTCAAATACAGAACACCCGACATTAGTGGTAAAGCCTGTGAGTTCATCTGGTTGTCATCTCTGTTGAAGAGCACAACAGTTGAATGAACACAAACCTAGCTTTAGCTTAGAAGCCACATTCTTAATTATTAACCCCTTCATGCTTCCACCCTTTCCAAACTCCACTCCCTTAAGAGGAGGTCACTTCATTTAGAATTAATAACTGTTATTCAAGATGCTCATGAGAGATCATTTTGGCTTCAGTCGTTTTGCTGCAGTTTATTCTACATATTTCTCCCTAAATCAAATGTATACACGTCCCTGAGACTTGTGTATGACCTTAGTCCCTGGACCTTGGGAAGTCACGATGTCGTGGAGGAGAGGGGAGCTGGGAGCCTGAAGCTGACAGATCCCGGGATCCCGCAGGCCCCCCGCAGGGCTCCCGCCCTTCCACCGAGGCACCCGTCGAGGTTGCCCCAGATGCTCATTCTGCGCCCATCAATGGGAGTAACTGAGCTTAGAGAGGAAAAACTACGGCTTCAACAAAGCACAACGTGTGCAGCTCTGATAATGCAGGGCGGAATTATGGAGACACCGTCGGGGCTGGCTGGAAAGCGGAAAGCGTTCCATCTCAGGATTTTCACGGGGAATTTCAAGAACCAAGGGGGCCTCTGAGATCCCCAGAACCTCTCCTTTCCACGAGGCAGCTTCCTTCCTTCCCTGCTCGTTCTCCACAAAAATCAGGGCTGCCCGGATCCCAGCAGTGAGCGCTGCTCTCTTTGGCTGCTGTATCCCCAACCGCTGCTGAGGCGCAGCTGGAGTGAGCCCCTCCGAGCCCCGCTTTGCGCAGCTGCAGCTGGAGCCCAGAGGCGCCCGGAGCTCGGAGAAAAGCACTGTGCTCCGCGGGACCCAACCCTCCCCACGGCCACCAAGGGGGCCCGCAGATCCCCGGGCACCGGCAGCCGAACCCAGACAGGGGCGTCCCAACCGCTGAGCCCGACGCCAGAGGGCACCGCGGGGGAGAGAAGGCGCCGCGCCTCGCTCCTGGCACTTGGTCCCCGGGAGTCAGGGACATGCGCGCCCCGGAGCTGGAGCCCGGGAAAATTACTGCGCGGGCACAGAGGAGCTAGAGAGGTCCCCGACCCTCCCAGCCCCGCGCCCAGGTACCTCGCAGCCGTAGAGCTGACCCAGCTGCTCCACGATCCATTCCTCCAGCACCAGCCGCTTCCGAAGCTCCTTACGATCGTATTTCACTGTCACTTTTCCCTGCTGGTGTCGCCGCTGCTGTTGCTGCTGAACCTGCCCTGCAGCGGCCGCCGTGGCCACGGGCGCCGAGTCCTCCCGGGAGGAGCCTGAGCCGCTGCTGGAGCCGGGGCTGCCACCGGCGCCACCCCGGGGGCTTTGGAAGAAAACCCGTGCGCCGCCGCCGCTGGCCCCGCCGGCCGTCTCGCTGCTGCCCGTCGCCACCGACATGTCCCCGCGCGCCCGAGCCTCAGTGCGGCCCGGAGGAGGGGCGGGCGGAGCGCGCCCGGCGCCGCTACCACCTCCGGCCCGGCAGCCGCATGCGAAGGGCTCCCCGGCACCTGCTCTGCGCCGCGCGCGCCCAGCCGCCCGGCTGCTCTGGGAGGGCGGGAGGAGCCGCGGCGAGAGGGAGGAGGGCGGGGAGGACGACGGGGCGGGGACCGCAGCCTTAAAGAAGCCGCCGAGGACCCTCTCGGTCCAGCCCCCAGAGGCGGGATCTGGCGCCTGCGGCAGAGAGGGCCCGGGGCGTGGGAGTCTCCGCGGGGCGGGAAATGTGTGCGCCTAGACACGGGAGGTCGCCGATGTGTAGACTCCGGAAGGACGGGCGTGGGGCGGGGTGCCAGGGGATGCTCCTGCGCGGGTGTCCGTGGCCTCTAGTCTCGGAGACAGGGACTCACGCTTCTCCCGCAATCCCGGAGCGCAGGAAACGCGCCGCCTCTCGGGGCCTCCACCTGGCGCGGCCCCGGGCAGGACCCGCAGCGAAGGGGACACAGGAAAGGACCGCGCCGCAGGCTCCCCCAGGAGGTTTTCCTAGCCCCACCGTCTCCTCTGTTGGCTGGGTAGCGTCCCCTCCCCTCCAGCCCCGCCCCACGGCTCCAAACACACATTCCTATTCATGCCACGATGGATGCCACTTCCTCTCTGGATTGTGAGAAACATCGAAGAGGCGATGTTTGTGCAATAAGGCAGTCACGGCGCTTGAGAAATTATTTCCAGACCAATGTTTTCTTTCCTTACTAAGCGTCTGCTTAATCATGGGCACAGCATTCGGATATCTTCGTATCCAAAGGGCAGAAAGCGTGACGGCGCTCAGGCAAGGCGTCTGGGGGCATCCAGACAGTAAACATTTCTCTAAGAGGGTCGGCGACAGGGTCCTGGTTTCACATTTCTAGTGTTGCGTCCCGTGCACTGCCAGCTTTCTCTCCATCCCATTCCAAACAGCCCCTTCCACCCAGGAGGGCAACAGCACTGCCTGACTCTACTGCAAAACATCACAGCCTAGTAGTTACACATGAAGGAGCTTCTCAGAAGGGTTAGGACAATAAGGTGGGGAGGGAAGTTGTAAACAGAAAACTGCATGTGTAAAATTAGGGAGACACTAACATATTCTTCTTGTACACAACAATACATTCCTGTTCAGGAACTGATAGAAACCACAGAGACGTCCGAATGAATACAAGTAAGCGGCTTTTAGTAACGGTTTTGTTTTGTTTTGTTTTTTGAGACGGAGTCTCTCTGTTGCCCAGGCTGGGGAGCAGTGGCGAGATCTCGGCTCACTGCAACCTCTGACTTCGGGGTTCAAGCGATTCTCCTGCCTCACCCTCCTGAAGAGCTGGGATTACAGGCTTTCGCCACCACACCAAGCTAATTTTTGTATTTTTAGTAGAGACAGGGTTTCACCATGTTGGTCATTCTGGTCTCGAACTCCTGACCTCATGATCCGCCCGCCTGGGCCTCCCAAAGTGCTGGGATTACAGGTGTGAGCCACCGCGCCTGGCCATGAACTTTTTTTGTTTGTTTGTTGTTGTTGTTGTTTTTAAATAAAAGAGCCCTAAAGGTTACTGGCAGCTACTCAAAGAAGTTTCTCAGAGATAAAATAGATACCAAGTCAAATTCCTCGGAACACTTTCCTATGATGGAGAAGATCCTGTGTGGGGTTCTAGACTGACACTACAAAGACAAAATAAAAGTAACCAGCAGGTTTCTCCTGGCGCTTCAGGCTCTGCGATCCACCAGCGCCCAGCTCTGCTCTACCCAGGCTTAGGATCCATTGCCTTTGTACCCTCAGTCTGGGGTTTTCCAGTGAGAGCCTGAATAGGGATTTTCCCAAAGTGTTCCATGCCTGCGGCTCTTCACAGGGACATGTCAAGCCTCACAATGTGAAGGGGAAGGATCTGCGGAGATTGAAATAGGGTGGCTGGTGTGGGGCCCTGGACTCCTGCCATAATTACAAAGGGGTCAAAGCTGAACGATCTCTGCCCCGCTAGAAGAGGCCAGCTGCCCTTTAGAAGATGGGTTTTGCACCGAGCCTATCAGGGACAAGGGAGATGAATTACCTTGATTGCCCCTAGAGACCGATGACCAGTCTCTGCACCACCTCTGCCCCTCTGCCTTTAGGGTGGGTCACTGTAAACCCCGAACACACAGCCAAGAGAGTGACCACCTCAAAATGGAACTCTGTCTGCAAGGAGGAAGGGAAAGGAGGGCAGGAACCAGCCCCAGCATCTCCCACACAGAATCAGCTTATATGGCTCCAGACATCTGGCCAAGTCCGCTAGCACCAGCTTTGACCAACTGCACTAATCAGGAGAATGCAAATCAGAACGAAAACAGCTTAAATGTTATTAACAAAGGAGAAACTACATAAAATCTCTACCTCATTCTGGCCCTGGGACCTGACAATACCTATTGTGCCATCCCACAGTTTGGCAAAGTCTGGGGAATTCCAACTCCTTTCTTTAAGTCTTTGGACAACGAAATCAGTCATTCAAGGATAACGTCAAATAATTTTAAAAAATTCACTAAGTTCTTTCTGAGAAATTCTGATGTCAATTTTTTTCTCACAGCATAAGATGCTTTTTCCTTTATGCTTAAAACTCAATTTTCCCTTACAACTCCAAAATGACAGATACTAAAAGACATGGGTTTTAAGCATCTTGACTCACAGAAGAAAATCCAGGAAATAGTCTCTTTCCACAGGTACGCTGGCCTTCAGATGTTCAAGTGAGTCACCTTGACTGGCAAATAGAATTGAACCAGGGTTCCTCTTTCTTTAAATCCATTTGCTCCACCCAGTACGTAATTTATATTCAAAGTGAAGTCCATATCATCTCCTCTACCCCCAGACACACACACTTCATTCCAGGTTTGAATAATCAAAACTTAATGGCCTCATTTTGACAGATAGAAATACTGCTTTTGCAGATTTCAAATATTGAAGCCAAAATATTTAGGAATAAAGGAATTTTTCCTAGTCCAGAGACCCTTTACATAGCTGACTATTTAAATTCGGCAAAACCAGTGGTATTTCTCATCTACAAAACCAATAATATATACATTTATTCAAGGAAAACATTTTTATTTCTAGCCTATTTAGTCAAGTGTTTTTAGGTGCTGGTTAATCTAAGACAGTGAATAGCTTTCAGTGAATTGAATGGTCCGGAATCAACTTTTACCTGAAGGCAATTACTCCCTGCTATGAGAGGGCAGCCTAAGGATGTTTCATTTGAATCTTTTTCTTCGTAGTTTTGTGTTTTCTTAGCTTGGTTATGTTTTACTTGCTTCCCAAATTGGACAAAGTTTTTTGTTTGTTTGTTTAGGAATTATATAGGTCCTTTATCTCTGAATATGATCTTTATGCCCAAAGGTTGTTAGACAGGATGGATGACTTAATCAGGAGTCCTGGAACTTTTGTCACCCCCCAGGAAAATAATTAAATACACATGTTTATACTCAGATGCAAATTTCCTTAAACGGCACAATAATTATGCAACACCTGGTAATCTACTTTGACAATGTTATAATTGCATCCTGGAGACCCACAAACCTGAACATAATCTTCTTATCTTGAGTAATAAATGTCAAATGATAAGATGCCTATATCCGAATCCTCTCCAAGATTTGATGAAGCAAAAAGACAAATTAAAAATTATTTTCAGTCTGGTTTTCATTATAAATGTTGAAGAAACTTAATCTGTCTTTCAGGATTCCATTGGTTACCCACAGCATTTTCCATTTTCATTCCAATATTTCATTGTTCTTTACAGAGTGATAACAGCACAGCTGTTGACAGTATATCAGTGAAGTTTTTCTTTTGGCTACTGTTTCACTCTCCACTTTTTCTCCTTCTAATTCTGGACCTTTGATTGTATCAGGCTGGGATCAATTTAGGATCGTAATTCCAAAATAATTTGGCCGTTGCTTGCATTAAAAAAAAAAAAAGCAACAGCAATCATTGTTGCAAGTCTAAAATTTTGTCTCAAAAACTAACGTAAGTTCTCACCTCACTGTTCAGACATGATGAAAAATGGGTGAAAAAAAAACCATAGCTTTGTCCATCCCTTTAAACAAAAATTACATACCTCTGCCCATTTCAGTAAGCCTAACATGTGGGGTATATTGTCTCCTTCTGAAAAACTAGGTTCAAATTTGTTTCTAGAGGAGCAAATTATCCTCCCTTCTAGCCAATGGCCTCTTGTGCTCCTCGCTTTTACCACCAAACATTCTGGAGGAAGTGTCCCTTCCCCCACGTCTCTAGGTCTTCCCATCTCATCGTGGAGCCCTGCGCCCTCACTGAGGTCACCAGCCAGCTCTGTGTTGCTCAAGCACAGGTGCGCGTTTCAGCGCTTATATAACTTGACCTTCTGCCACATTTAACAATCTTGAACCTTTCCTCACTATTCAAACTCTCTCCTGTCTTGGCTCCAGGTACCAACACCCTCCTGATTTTCCTCCTACCTCTTTATCTATTGCATTACAGTGAGTGTTTTTTGTGGGCTCTTTTTCCTACACCCCTGCCCTCAAGGTAGGTGGTTCCCAAGTTCTGCCCTGGGCTCTTTCCTTACTCATTCACAGCCTCCCCAGGTGCTTTTGCTAGAGCTCCAACTTCCTGCAGCTTTGACTCCCACCTACCTGCCACAGACCCCTCAAATCATTACCTCAAGCAGATCTACGGCCAGAGCTTTAGATCTGCAGCATACCACATACAGTGCCAATGCACTCCACAATTATCTTTATATTTAAAGTATATCAGTACATAGCTACAGCAATTCATGAGAAAACAAAACATTACAGTAATTACTGTACTGTAATTACAGTACAGTAATGTTACTGTGCTGGGTGGCCAGCACAGTAAATAGTACTCAAGCCCAATGTTTTTCAAACATTTTTTTAACTACAAACCACAATAAATACATTTTATGTCATGACCCATATATATATCCACACACATACACTTACCCATTGTATTAGTCTGTTCTCACACTGCTGTAAAGATACTACCTGAGACTGGGTAATTTGTAAAGGAAATGGGTTTAACTGACTCACAGTTCCGCATAACTGGGGAGGCCTCAGGAAACTTACAATCGTGGCAGAAGGGGAAGCAGGCACCTTCTTCACAAGGCAGCAGGAGAGAGAATGAGAGAAGGAGGAACTTGCCAAACACTTATAAAACCATCAGATCTTGTGAGAACTCAATCACTATCACAAGAACAGCATGGGGTGAACCACCCCCACGTACCAATCACCTCCCACCAGGTTCCTCCCTCAACACCCAAGGATTACAATTCAAGATGAGATTTGGGTGGGGCACAAAGCCAAACCATATCACCCATATTTCATGTGATACACTCTGACACTTCCTACTCAATCTACTCTGTGTCTTTATGTTTAAAGAATGCTGGTCCCAGCATACTAAAGTTAGTCCTAACCCACTAAAGGATTGCAACTCATTCTTGCAAAAAGCCCACTGTTCAAACCACTGCTGGCAGCCATCAGTGCACCTATGAACATGAATCCTGGTTCTCCTTCATCTTAATGGCACACTCCAGGGTGGTTATTGATACGTTTGACATTCTGGGTTTTTTTCTTTTTAATTTTTTTTTTTTTTGAGACAGGGTCTTGCTTTGTCACCTAATCTGGAGTACAGTGGCTTGATCATAGCCCACTGCAGCCTCTAACTCCCAGGCTAAAGTGATCCTCCACCTCCCAGCCTCCCAAAGTGCTAGAAGATGCAGGCCACAATGCCTGGCTAAATTTTTTGTTTTGTAGTTTTTGCTTTTTGCTTTTAGTAGAGATAGGGTCTCCCTATAATGCCCAGGCTGGTCTGGAACTTCTGGACTCAAGCAATTCTCCTACCTCGGCCTCCCAAGTGCTGGAATTACAGGTGTGAGCCTCCATGCCCAGCACCCCAGGCATTCTCAATGTACCATTATTAAGTTTTTCAGAGTTCTGGTGAAGAACTTTGACCCCAAATGGCTGACCAAGGGCACGTGTGTGACCTCCTGGAGGTGCCACAGAAGAACCAAAGAGAAAGCATATTCTTGACATTAAGAGGCACCTTGGCTGGGCCTCCAGCCTCCCTTAGGAAATGCCCTCCAGAGTGCCCAGAGGGTGAAGATGAGAAGACAGCAACTGGGAGAGCCTCCAGCTTGAGAACAAGTGTATTGTGGTCACCAGCACAAACCCAGATCTCAGCTGCCTGGATCAAATTCACTCTCTGCCACTGAAGTACGGGGTGACCTTGGCAAGTTACTGAATCTCTCTGTACCTCCACTTCTCCATCTGCAGCATGATCAGTGGTGCTTGTGTGTGCGTGTGTGTGGGAGGGCTGAGTGAGTTACTGGAATAAAGCACCTAGGACAATGCCTGCTGTTATCTGCAGAGGGACCAAAAACACAGAAGGGAGGACTGGCTCACCATGGTTCCAGCAATTTCCCAAAGGAATTATGGCCAAGGACACACCGTGACTTCAGGAATGGGAAGAGAACAGCAGAAACCATCTCCATGGGGGTCCTGCTCCAACTCTCTATGCAGCAAATTCATTATTGCTCCTATCAACAAGCCCCAATAAATGGGAGGTAAACACCTATGTCCAACTGCTTACTCAGGGGCACCAACACCTAGATGACTGCAGTCACCTCAAATTTAAAGCAACTCAAGTGGAAATTACCATTGCTATGATCTGAATGTATCTCCCAAAATTCATCTGTAGAAACCTAATCACCAATGTGATCGTACTAAGAGAGAGGCCTTTAGGAGTTGACTAAGCCATGAGGACAGAGTCCTCATAAGTGGATTGGTGCCCTTGTTAAAGAGGCACAAAGGAGCTGCCTCTCCCCTTTTGCCCTTTCATCCTTTCTGCCTCATGAGGACACAGCGAGAAGGCCCTCACAAGACAGAAAATGCCAGCACCTTGACATTGGACTTCCCAACCTCCAGAACCATAAGGAAATAAATGTCTGTTCTTCACAAATCACCCAGTTTGTGGTATTTTCTTATAGCAGCACAAAGGGACTAAGACACCCATCTGCCCAGGCTGAACGTGCTCCTTACCTCCCTGACAAAGCTCTCCCTGACGTCCCTAGTTTTAGGGAGGTGTCCCCCTCATGCTTCTTATTGGCCACCACCCCTGGCTCTATCATATCACCCACCAAACCTGTGTGGGATCTGGTCTCTGCTCAAATGTTCCCTCCACAGATCTTCTCCCTGCACCCTCTATGTTCCTGCCCTCTTTATTTCTCTTTCTCGCTCTTATGACAGCTTGGAAACTATATATGCCTTTGTTCATTGTCTTACTCTCCCGACAGAAGGCAAATTTCATGAGGACAGGATGTCAGTGTTCACCTCAGTATCTCCACTTCCTAAAACGGTGTGAGACAAATAGTAGTACCTAGTGGACAGAAGGAGGCTGTCATCTGTCCCTCCCATTAGATTGCAAACTCCTGAAGACCAGAATGCAGCTAATTGGGTTATATTTTTAGGAAGAAGAATGATGTTTAGCACATAGCAGGTGCCCCCAAATTAGTGAATAAGTGAGACCATCTTCACTTGTAGCTGCACACATTTCTTAAGTCTACAATACAAATATACAAAAATATAGATCTGTTTCCTCTCTCCCCAATATAGATCCAATCTGGGGGTGGTGGTGATTTTAAATCACAGGAAGTCACACTTTTGCTGTCTACCAAGATGCTCCTGTGGGTTTTACTATGTTTCCATAGTAAACAAAAGGACAATAGTCACCAATTCCTCCAGGGCCCTACTCATGAGCAGAATCTCAGCCAGATGCAGTGGCTCACACATGTAATCCTAGCACTTTGGGAGGCCAATGTGGGAGGATCACTTGAGCTCAGCAGTTCAAGTACAGCCTGGGCAACATAGCAAGACCTCACTTCTACTAAAAAAAAAAGATTGTTTTTATTATCTGGGCAGGGCGGTACCCGGGAAAATGAGGCTTCGGTGAGCTGTGATTGTGCCACTGCACTGCACTCCAGCCTGGGTGACAAAGTGAGACTCTATCTCAAAAAAAAATAAAAATAAAAATAAAATCTCTAATCACCTTTTCCTCCAGTATTTGGTTTCAGCTTTCAATACCTTGTGAGTTTGAGCCACTCGAAATAGTGGCTGAGGAACCAGGTGTAAAATGAAATGGTAATTCCAGCTCTACTCTCACCTGGCTGTGAGCAGTCATTCTCAGATCTGCAAAAGTTGGAATGATTCTGAAGGCTCCTGCCTAAGGGCATCTGTAGTGAAGGACTAATTTTGCTGTTTTGCAGTTCATTGTGAAGAAGGGCGTGGTCCTAGAGCGCAACATTAATGTGTGGCCTCTGCCTCCTGCAACTCACCATGTGAGTCTACAACACTCAGGCTGGTCTGAGCCCTGTTCTGTGAGACTAGTTTATACCATTGGTCTCATGACAATGTCACATTTCTTTAAAACTTTCTGAATACCTACTCTCCATTTATGAGCTTACCTCACCATGGACCAATTGTAAACCACTCACCAACTGGCAGCAGTTCAGGACGCACTCTCTGGAAAGCACTGTGCTAAAAGTCTCATTGTGTAATTTACAACTGGCAATAACTATAATAACAGCAATAATTGGGCATTGCCCTCCAGCTTGAGAAAATGACACACTGGTTTTAATTTCCTCCTCCAGAAATCTTTTATAAAAATAGCTGATCCCAGTGACCCAGAAAGACGTGAACCTTCTGACCGAGGCTGTGTGGTTTTCCCACCGTTTGCCAGCCATGTGGTCTGGAGGAGTTCTCAAGAATCCTTTGAAATCAACATCCTCGTTCTACTGGGCCTCTTAGGACTGTTGGGGTGGTAGCACTGTATAAAGGTGCTACAATGGCCTCTGTGCCAGGGAACGGGGGCTGGGTATCCATGAAGGGCCTGATATTGCCAGTGTCATTTATCTGGAGATCTAAGAGGCCTTCTGGAAGCTGGAGCTCCTTAGGCACCAACAAGGGGAGGTGGGAGAAGCGACTTTACTGCGCAGCCTCATGATTAGACTCACAGGCAGCCTCATGATTAGACTCACAGGAGATGTCTAGACCCAGCTATGCTTGTGTGCGATCTCCACGAGGAAGTCAGCCCACAGCCAGGGTAAGAAAGTCCTGAGCTGGGCTTATCTGTGAGCAGTTGACCCAGACTGGTAATAGTCAGGGTCTAGTAATACCAAAAGCTGCCCATCACTGACACCTCTTATGTGTCAGCCACTTTATTATAAATGCTAGCTCATTAAATTCTCCCACAACCCTGTGAGGTAATCTACCTGTAGGCTGGTTTTTATATTCACTTGCAAGATAAGGAAACCAAGCTACTAGAAGTTATGTGGCCCCCTAACATTACCCTTAAGTTTTATGAGGAGTGGAGATGGGACCTTATTTTTAATCTGCTGGCCTAGTTGTTTGTAAAATCTTACTTATATGTTTCAGCCCCCTCTCAGTTCTGGGGCAGGGTCTTTAGGGCAGGGCTGTGTGTTTATGGCAGGGGTATATGGGCAGGTAGCAACCCCCACCCCCAACCTTCCATTCTAGCTTGGCTTGCTGGAGTCTGGGAACATTGTAGGAGAGCATCAGGGGACAGAGAGCCTCAAAAGGAACATGGGCCCTCCCCTCACAAAGATTGCTATTTCAGTTCCAATTCTGGACTTGCCAAATATTGTTCTAACTAATGAAGGCGGTTTTTCCTTTCCCTTTCTCTGCTTTAAGAACTAAAACCCTCTACAATTAATTGGTGATACTAGATGGCGTCTGGCAGATGTTCAGTACCATGTCCCTTGTCACATGGGCCCACCCAGACCTATTAAGTCAAAGTCTCTGGGGATCTGGCCTGGGCACTGGTGTTATTTAAAAGTTCCTAGAAGGCTGGGTGGGGTGGCTCACGCCTGTAATCCCAGCACTTTGGGAGGCCAAGGTGGGTGGATCACGAGGTCAGGAGTTCAAGACCAGCCTGGTCAACATGGTGAAACCCTGTCTCTATTAAAGATACAAAAAAAAAAGAAAAAGAAAAATTACCCGGGCATGGTGTCACACACCTGTAATCCCAGCTACTCGGGAGGCTGAGGCAGGAGAATCACTTGAAACCGGAAGGCGGAGGTTGCAGTGAGCCAAGATTGCGCCGTTCCACCCCAGCCTGGGCAACAGGGCAAGATTCCATCTCAAAATAAATAAATAAATAAATAAATAAACAAACAAATAAATAAATAAAAGTTCCTAGAGTCTGAGCATGGTGGCTCACGCCTGTAATCCCAGTACTTTGGGAGGGCAAGGCAGGCTGATCACCTGAGGTCAGGAGTTCAAGACCAGCCTGGCCAACATGGTGAAACCCCTGTCTCTACTGAAAATACAAAAATTAGCCGGGAGTGGTGGTAGACACCTGTAATCCCAGCTACTTGGGAGGCTGAGGCAGGAGAATCACTTGAACTCAGGAGGCAGAGGTTGCAGTGAGCTGAGATTGTGCCACTGCACTCCAGCCTGAGCAACAGAGCAAGACTCCGTCTCATAAATAAATAAATAAATAAATAAATAAATAAATAAATAAATACATTTTTCTGGGTGATCCCACTGTGCAGATAGAGTGGAGGACAACTGTCCCAGGCCATTTGAGAACAGTCTTAAGGGTGACAAGTGTACTCCACAAGCTCTGCCCTTTTTCCAGACCTCTCTCACTCATTCCCACGCCCAGCTGCTCTCCTCTGGGCTCTGTCCCACAGAAGCCTCAGGCCCAGCAGCAGCCACTCCCCTGCCAGTGCTTTCTCAGTCCCACAGAAACACACTCTTGCATCACTGCGCAGATTTCACTCACCACTTGAAATGGGTAAAGCAATTTGCCAACTATTTTAAAATATTAAGAGAGTCATGACTGTAATCACAGCACTTTGGGAGGCCGAGGCAGGCAGATCACAAGGTCAGGAGATTGAGACCATCCTGGTTAACACGGTGAAACCCCATCTCTACTAAAAAAATACAAAACATTAGCTGGGCGTGGTGGCGGGTGCCTGTAGTCCCAGCTACTCGGGAGGCTGAGGCAGGAGAATGGCGTGAACCCGGGAGGTGGAGCTTGCAGTGAGCCGAGATCGCGCCACTGCACTCCTGCCTGAGAGACAGAGCGAGACTTTGTCTCAAAAAAAAAAAAAAAAGAAAGAAAAAAAATTAAGACTGGACATTGACCGATAGGCAAAAAAAAAATTCTTCATTATAGAATAATAAAGGAATAAGATATTGTTATATAATTGTGTAAATAAGTGAATATCTCATGCCACCAAGAAAGCCTGTTAATTAAAAATAAAAAAAAAACTTAAGAGTACTGTATTAGGCTGTTCTGCATTGCTATAAAGATATACCTGAGGCTGAGTAATTTATACAGAAAAGAGTTTAATTGGCTCACGATTCTGCAGACAGTACAAGAAGCATGCTGCTGGCATCTGCTTCTGGTGAGGGTCTCAGGAAGCTTCCACTCATGGCAGAAGGTGGAGGAGAAGCAGGCACTTCACATGGCAAGAGCCAGAGGGAGAGAGACGAAGGAGGTGCTACACACTTTTAAAAACCAGGTCTAGAGATAACTCACTCGCTATTCCTAGGACAGCACCAAGCCATTCGGGAAGGATCCACCCCCATGACCCAAACACCTCCCACCAGGCCCCACCTCCAACATTGGGATTATATTTCAACATGAGATTTGAAGGGGACAGATATCCAAACAGCAGATGTGCCAAAAACTTGTGTAGAGAATTATGTTGATTCTAGAAATTACAATATGTTGAAAATGTAGAGAATGGAGGTGAGGTGCAGTGGCTCACACCTGTAATCCCAACACTTTGGGAGGCCAAGGTACAGATATCCCTTCAGAAAGTAAAAACTCTGGTAAGTTTCTGAATCTATTGAGCCAAGGAATATGGAGTCTTTCTGAAAAACAGGGTAAGAGTTTAATTTACCTATTATGCTGCTTCTTCTATTTTGTCCTTTAAAATCAGACAGGCGGCGCAAGGAACAAGCCAGACCCCACACCTGGGGAGGATCAGCCAAGCGGTCTGCAGCTGCCAATGCTGGAATGCAGTTGAGGGTTGATTCCTGGCCTGAGCCAAGCTGTGAAGGGGTGAACTGTGTCCCTCTTCCTAACTTCCAGGTCACCCACCTCCCCAGGTGCATACTCCAGGTGCCCGTCTTTCCACCACTGCCATTTGCCGGCAGAGTTTCCTGCGAGGCCCCAGTGCCACATTTCCTCCCCTGCCCTCTCCACCCCTTGCCAGCCTCTTCCTGCTCCTCCCAGACCAAGGCAGCAGCTAGTGATGGACTAACCCAGAGGTGTGATGACAACAAAAGGCAAAGGCCTGAGCTTGGTTGGACAGTCCACCAGCCCCCAATCTGTGACTTCCTGGAACCTCAGAATGTGGCTTCATGTGGAAAGAGGATCATTGCAGATGTAATCAGTTAGGCTGGGGTTCCATGGAGTAGGGGAGGCCCTCAGCCCAAATGACTGGTGTCCTCATGAGAAGAGAAGGGACACAAGCACAGATACACATGGAGGAAGACTATGTGCCATGCAGCCTCTCCTCAGGAGCCGTTCCTCCAGTCAGCATCTACGAAGGGCCCACCGTGTGCAAGTCCCCCATCTGCCATGAAGCTGAGACAAAGAAGCACCAAGGAGGCTCCCCAGAGAAGGCTCTTCCTGGTCATGGCCCCTCATATTCCTCCAAACCTGAATTCTGGCCCTCCACAGCCTCCTCCCTCAATCCGATCTTCACAACTCAGCAGGCTCTCACTCACCCAATCTCTCTCTCCTTGAGTCAGGCAGGTACAGGGAATCATCAAACCCACACCATGGGGGCAGGCGTAGCGGCTCACACCTGTCATCCCAAGTACTTGGGAGACTGAGGTGGGAGGATTGCTTGAGCACAAGAGTTCAAGGCTATACTGAGTTATAATTGCCACTGCACTCCAGGCTTGGTGACAGAGTGAGACTGTGTCTCAAAAAAAAAAAAATTGCACCCCAAACAAGATGTGAATCACGGTGTAGTTGGGAACAACCTAGAGTTTTGGCTGCTCTTCCTCAGGAGGAAAGTGAGTGTTTGCAAACAAATTAATTTAGCTTATTTTAAAAGCTGAACTGCTTGTTTACTTAGATAGCTATCTTGTCAAATGTCAAAATTCCCCTGGACCTGGCTAGCATGGCTGGGATTGAAAGGAAATGTTAACCACACAAGCAAGAAGATGGCAGTGATGGCTCTGTTTTCAGGACCAAGACTAATGACTTCCTGATACGGTTTGGCCGTGTCCCAACCCAAATCTCATCTTGAATTGTAATCCCCATAATCCACACATGTCGAGGGAGGGACCCAGTGGGAGGTGATTGGATCACGGGGGTGGTTTCTCCATGCTGTTCTCGTGATAGTGAGTTCTCAGGAGATATGATGTTTTATAAGGCAGTTTCCCCTGTTCTTGCATGCTCTCTCTCACCTGCCAGCACATAAGATGTGCCTGCTTCCCCTTCCACCATAATTGTAAGATTCCTGAGGCTCTCTAGCCATGCAGAACCATGAGTCAATTAAACCTCTTTTCTTTATAAATTACCCTGTCTCGGGTATTTTTTTTTTTTTTTTGAGATGGAATTTCACTCTGCCACCCAGGCTGGAGTGCAGTGGGCTCACTGCAGCCTCCGCCTCCTGGGTTCAAGCAATTCTCCTGCCTCAGCCTCCCAAGTAGCTGGGACTACAGGTGCCCGCCACCACACCTGGCTAATTTTTTGTGTTTTTAATGGATGAGGTTTCACCATGTTGACTAGGCTGGTCTCAAATTCCTCACCTCAGGTGATCTGCCCACCTTGGCCTCCCAAAGTGCTGGAATTACAGGCGTGAGCCACCATGCCCAGCCAAGGGTATTTCTTTATGGCACCGTGAAAATGGCCTAATACACTTCCTTTAGCCAAAACTCCTGGAGGTTACAGTACACACATTTTCTGTGTGTACATGAGAAATTAGAATGGGATTTAGGGAATTTGCTAATGGGACTATTTACCAGATGTGGTCAAGATAATATATGGATCACATTTTTCACGGGCTTTTGAAACTGCCCCCAGGACACCTCCCCAGCTGTAGCTAGGTAGCTGACCCTTTATTTGCATTCAATAATATCTGAAAGCTATTCAGAAAAACCTGAATCAACATTTATTTCTGAATAAACATTTGAAAATCATTAATTTTTCTGGGAAATCAGTAGTAGCATCAGCAGATCATGCCTGAGTTTTGTGGGGCACTTACCTCCATCTGGCCTGGAAGCCACACGTTCTGCTTATACACCTGCTTGTGTGTCAGTTACATAGCGTACATTTGTTAGAAAAAGCTAACTGCCATGGCAGAGACCCAAAATCTATAATGGCTCCACCACCATAGACGTTTATTCCGTGCTCATATATTAGTTCTAAATAGATGCACAGCCCTCCTCCCTGTAGTCACTTACGAAGAGGCCCAGGCTCAGGAAAGCTCTGCTATCTTCACCTTTTTGAGTGGAAAACGTTCTTGTAACTCTTCAAGTTGAAAGTCAAGTGGCTCTCAAGGTAGCCCTCGGTGTTGAAATCAAGTCTTCAGAAAAGGGACAGCCAGGGAGACAGCGTGGATGGGGTTTCTTAGGCCAGGTCAGGAAATGGTATCTACCCCTTCGGCATGCATTGTATTGGGTGGGAAGGACTCAGGGCCATGGGCCACTCCTAATGGCAAGGGGGCCTGGGAAACAGCTCAGCCATGGAGAAACATGGATTTTGATGATCCCTTAGCAGTCTCTGCTCCATAATGAGATATGAGATGATGGATGAACCCTGAACCTTATTCCCCACTTTCAATAAAAAGATACTATTCTGGACAATATAGGCTGTAGGAAGCCTTATAGTTAATATTTTTAAATTCCATTTTCAGGGATTTCCTAAACAAATAAAAAACTCACAGACAAAAATTGTGTGTATTGCAGTAATCCATATAAGGCCCTGGAGTCAGATAGCCTGGATTTGAATCTGGACTCTTGTCACCTTTGTAGCTGGTTGATCTGGGCAAGATATTAATTTCTCTTGGCCTCAGTCTCTTTATATGTAAAGGGGTACAAGAATAGTATCTGTCTCACAGAGATGGTATGAG
The DNA here is from genome assembly GCF_000001405.40 of Homo sapiens. Classification (NCBI taxonomy): domain Eukaryota; kingdom Metazoa; phylum Chordata; class Mammalia; order Primates; family Hominidae; genus Homo; species Homo sapiens. Next base: position 150,128,010 of record NC_000006.12, on the reverse strand, counting down.
GGTTAAGTGAGAAGGTGCACATGGACTGTATATTACAGTGATGAGCATGGGACCTGGCACAGAGTAAGCCCTGGGAACAGGAATCAAATCACATTTCACTGAGATTCCAAATGACAATAGATACCACTTTCCAAAGTAAGGCATGAGACCACCATGCAGGACTTGCAAAAAGGAAGGTGGAGGGGAGGAATCAGGCAACTCTCAAACCCTCTTTCCCATTAAGGGTATGAGTTGGGAGGAGTTGGGGGAAGACGGTTGCTGCTGGGCATCCCACTCTCCCATCCCCAGAGGAGGTGGGTTGGAGGTGCCTGATTTTAAGGTGGTGAGGGATGAGGGGTGGGCTGCAACAGTAGCACCTGGGGACACAGGGAGCTCGTGTCTGACCCAGGCCCGAAAAACTTGACAAATCTGGCAGGCTGGCAGCTGTGCCAATAGAGGCAGAAGAGGCACTGCATGGGGACGGCCACCTCCCAGTGTTTCCCAGGAACCAAGCGTGGAGCCCCAGTGAGAACCAGATGTGGCCGGAAGAGGGCAAAGCGAAAGAATGTCATGGATCCCAGTCGAAGGGGCCTCAGGGAGGGTTCAGACAAAGCAGCTAAAGAAGGCCTTCCTGGTGACAGAGGTATGGAGCCGATGGCAACCAGATACGATCGAGATGCTTCACCCATGTTAGAGAGCTGCAACAGAGATCCCAGTGACAGGAACTTGGCACTGGGCTGGGCAAGGGGACTTCCGCCAACTCACAAAAGGGCACAGGGGAACAAACTCATCTTTCCAACCTGCCACGCACAGAAAGGTGCTGCCGATCTTTCTGTTTAATTCAGAGTCTTCCAACAAACGTTCACTGAGCACCTCCTACTACCAAGCATCCTCTACCTGGGACACATCAGTGAACAAAACAGAGGCCCCGCCCTCGCAGAGATTCTATATCTGTGGGAGAAGACAGTAAACAATGAGCATAGCAAATAAGCAAGCTGTAAGGCATGTTAGAAAGTGATGTTCTAACGAGAAAAGGCAGCCGTGAACATGAGCAGGTGGGGCTGCCATTTTAATCATGAAAAGTCAACTTTCCGGTTTCTCTTCCTTGCTCTTCCTGCCCTGGACTCCAAACACCAGAGGTAGCTGACTGGGGAGGAGCCCTAGAGCCAAGCATAGGGATAGAGGGTGAAGCCCACCACACACCCCTGCCATTCCCACCACCATCACAGCTGGCAGCTCCTAGCCCGAGGCAGTCAAAGCTGCAGGAAGAGAGGAAGTTTAGGGAGGAGTCAAGCTTTGATGTTACACTGACCTGAGCGTATTAAGTCCTGCGTTGAACCTGGCCAACGAAAAGTAACCAGAAAAGCTCTGAAAATGACCAGGAAAGCTTCTAGTGCTTTCTCCTTGAGCAGGAGACAGGTGTAAAGGCCACAGAGGAATTTAAGGGACACAAGAGACAAAAATGATGCTGCTGTTTATATATCAGGCCAGGATTCCCAAATGTTGAAATGGCCACACACTCATTAATGACAGCTGATTTTTAACAGAATGATCCTAGAACACTATGGAATCCCTTCTTAGTACTGTATACCACAGTGTGTGTTAAAAATACTGAAGTTTACATGTGAGGCAAAAACTTCAGGAGCTTAAAATGAAGTGCAGATATCTAAAAATATGGAGTGCCTTGTTTTAAAAAATTGAAATGTTGACATTCAGAAAGAATTATATTTACTCAAGAAGGAAAAAAAAGAGAAATACCTGCATATTAATTTCCTAGGGCTCTATAGCAAAGCACCACTAACTGGGTGGCTTACACAACAGCAGTTGATTCTTGCTCAGTTCTGGAAGCCAAAAGTCCAAAATCAAGGCGCCCACAGAGCCACACTCCCTCTGACACCTGCAGGGCAGAATCTCTGCCTCTGCCTGGCGTCTGGTGGTATGCGTCCATCCTGGACATTCCCTTGGCTTGTGGCTGCAGCACTTCCATCTCGGCCTGTGTTTCCCATGGCTGTCTCCCCATGTGTGTCTGTGTGTTCTCTCTTCTTCCTATGAGGATGCCTGTCATATTGGATGAAGGCCCCACCTAAGTCTAGTGCAACCTCATCTTCACTCATTACCTCTTCAATGATGCTGTCTTAATAAGGCCTCATTCTGAGGTACTGGGGACTAGGACTTCAACATATTTTTTGGTGGGACTTAATTCAACCCATAAAAACCTACTAAGTCACTTTTTAAAGAAAATATACTTCTTTTTAGGACACTGTAAGAAAAGAAAGTTCTAGGCCCATGTCACTGATGAACATAGATGCTTAAATTCTCAAAAAATATATATATCATCAAAGTGTGGTGGGCTGTTCTTGCATTGCTGTAAAGAAATACCTGAGACTGGGGAATTTATAATGAAAAGAGGTTTAATTGACTCACAGTCCTGCAGGCTGTACATGCATGGCACATCTGCTTGGTTCTGGGGAGCCTCAGGGGGCTTTTAGTCAAGGCAGAAGGAGAAGCAGGAGCCGGCACATCACATGGCAGGCACAGGAGCAAGAGAGAAATGAGGCTGGGTGTGGTGGCTCGCGCCTGTAATCCCAGCACTTGGGAGGCCAAGGCTGGCAGATCACCTGAAGTCTGGAGTTCCAGACCAGCCTGGCCAACATGGTGAAACCCTGTCTCTACTAAAAATATAAAAATTAGCTGGGCATGGTGGTGGTGCGCACCTGTAATCCCAGCTACTTGGGAGGCTGAGGCAGGAGACTCACTTGAACCCAGGAGGCCGAGGTTGCAGTGAACTGAGATTACGCCATTGCACTCCAGCCTGGGTGACAAGAGAGAAACTTCATCTCAAAAAAAAAAAAAAAGAGAGAGAGAGAGAGATGGGTAGCAGAGGAAGGTGTCACACACTTTTAAACAATCAGATCTCATGAGAACTCACTCACTGTCATAAGGACAGCACCAAGAGGATGGTGCTAAACTATTCATGAGAAATCCACCCCCATGATCCAATCACTTCCGAGTCCCACCTCCAACACTGTGGATTACATTTCAACATAAGATTTGGGTGGGACACATATCCAAACCACATCACAGACCAAATTCAATAGCATATGAAACAGCACAATCGGGTGGGATTTATCCCAGGCATGCAAGGATGTTTCAACAAATGCATGTCTATAAATGTGATCACCACATGAACAGAATGAAGGACAAAATCTATATGATCATCTTAATAGATGTAGAAAATGCATTTGACAAAATTCAACATCCTTTCCTGATAAAAGCTCTCAACAAACTAGGTATAGAAGGAATGTACCTCAACACAATAAAGTCCATATATGAGAAGCCCACAACTAGCAGTGAAAAGTTGAAAGCTTTTCTTCTACGATCAGGAACAAGACAAGAATGCTGATATGATTTGGCTCTGTGTCCCCACCCAAATCTCACCTCGAATTGCAATCCCCATATACAGCGGAGGAACCTGGTAGGAGGTGATTGGATCATGGGGGCAGATTTTCCCCTTGCTGTTCTCAATATAGTGAATGGGTTCTCACAAGATCTGATGGTTTAAGATGGGCACTTCTCCCTTCTCTCTCTCTCTCTCTCCTGCTGCCATGTAAGGCGTGCCTTGCTTCCCCTTTGCCTTCCAGCATGATTGTAAGTTTCCAGAGGCCTCTCCAGTCATGTGGAACTGTCAGTTAATTAAACCTCTTTTCTTCATAAATTACCCAGTCCCAGGTAGTTCTTTATAGCAGTGTGAAAACAGACTGATACAGATGCCCACTCTTGCCACCTCTATTCAACACAGTCCTGGAAGTCTGAGCCAGAGCATTTAGGCAAGAGAAAGTAACAAAAGGCATTAAAATTGGAAAGGGAGAAGTTAAATTGTCTCTGTCTATAGATGACATAATCATACATATAGAAAACTCTAAAGGCACCATCAAAAAACTGTTAGAAATAATAAACAAGGCCAGACGCAGTGGCTCACGCCTGTAATCCCAGCACTTTGGGAGGTGAAGGTGGGCAGACCACTTGAGGTCAGGAGTTTGAGACTAGCCTGGGCAACATGGAGAAACCGCATGTCTACCAAAAATTTAAAAAATTAGCTGGGCATGGTGGCATGCGCCTGTGGTCCCAGCTACTCAGGAAACTGAGGTGGGAGGATCGCTTGAGCCTGACAGGAAGAGGTTGCAGTGAGTCGAGTTCGTGCCACTGCAGTCCAGCCTGTGTGATAGAGTGAGACAAGAAAGGGAAGGGACAGGAAGGGAAGGGGAGGGGAGGGGAGGGGCAGGGCAGGGAGAGGGAGAGGGAGGTAATAAACAAGTCAATGAAGTTGCAAAAATCAACACACGATGCAGAATCAACGTATGAAAATCAGTGACATTTCTATACACTATGAAGTATTCCAAAAAGAAATCAAAAGAACAATTCCATTTACAATAGCATCAGAAATTATTTAGAAATAGGGTCGGGCGCGATGGCTCACTCCTGTAATCCCAGCACTTTGGGAAGCCGAGGCGGGTGCATCACGAAGTCAGGAGATCGGGACCATCCTGGTTAACATGGTGAAGCCCCGTCTCTACTAAAAAAATACAAAAAAATGGCCAGGCATGGTGGCTCACGCCTGTAATCCCAGCACTTTGGGAGGCTGAGGCAGACAGATCACGAGGTCAGGAGATCGAGACCATCCTAGGTAACACAGTGAAACCCCATCTCTACTAAAAATACAAAAATTAGCCAGGCGTGGTGGCAGGTGCCTGTAGTCCCATCTACTCAGGAGGCTGAGGCAGGAGAATGGCGTGAACCCGGGAGGCGGAGCTTGCAGTGAGTCGAGATTGCACCACTGCACTCCAGCCTGGGTGACACAGCGAGACTCTGTCTCAAAAAAAAAAAAGAAAGAAAGAAAGAAAGAAATTATTTAGAAATAAATTTACCCAAGGAGGTGAAAGATCTCTTCACTAAATACTATAAAATGTTGATGAAAGAAAGTGAAGACCAGCATGGTGGCTCATGTCTGTAATTCTAGCACTTTGGAAGGACAATGCAGGAGGATTGCTTGAGCCTAAGAGTTCAAGACCAGCCCAAGAAACATAGTGAAATCCTGTCTTTACAAAAAAAAATAAAGATAACAAATTAGCCAGGTGTGGTGGTGTGCACCTGAGGTTTAAGCTACTCAGGAGGCTGAGGCAGGAGGATTGCTTGAGCCCAGGAGTTCAGAGTTACAATGAGCTATGATCATGTCACTGCACTCCAGCCTAGGCAACATGGTGAGACCTTATCTCAAAAGGAAGTAAGGAGAGAAGGAAGGCAGGAAGGCAGGAAGGAAGGAAGAAAGGGAGGGAGGGAGGGAGGGGGAAAATTGAAGAAGATACAAATAAATGGGAAGATATTCTGTGCTAATGGATTAGAATAATTTATATTGTTAAAATGTCCATATCCACAAAGCAATCTGCAGATTCAGTGCAATCCCCATGAAAATCCCAATGACATTTTTCACAGAAATAGAAAAAAAATCCTAAAATTTATATGGAACCACAAAAGACCCTGAAAAGCCAGAAATATCTTTATCAGAAAGAACCATGATGAAGGTATCACATTACCTGATCTCAAAATCTACTACACAGCTATAGTAATCAAAACAGCACAGTACTGGCATAAAAAAGATATACAGACCAGTGGAACAGGAAGCTCAGAAATAAATCCATGCATTTATGGTCAGTTGATCTTCAACAAGGGTCCCAAGAATACACAATAGTGAAAGGACAGTTTCTTCAATAAATGGTGTTGGGAAAACTAGATGTCCACATGCAGAAGAATGTAATTAAACCCTTATTTCACACCATATACAAAAACCAACTCCAAATGAATTAAAGACTTAAATATAAGACTTGAAACTCCAAAACTACTAGAAGAAAACATAGGGAGAAAGCTCCATGACATTGGTTTGAGTAATAATATTTTGGCTATGAGCTCAAAAGCACAGGCAACAAAAGCGACAATAGACAAATCAGACTGCATCAAGCTAAAAAGCTTCTGACAGCAAAGGAAACAACCAACAGAGTGAAAAGAAAATCTACAGGAAGGGAGAAAATATTTGCAAGTCATACATTTAATATCCAAAATATATAAGGGACTCAAACAACTCAGTAGCAAGAAGGCAACCTGATTTTTAAAATGAGGAAAAGTAGTTCCCAGAGGCTAGGAAGTGTAGTGAGGGTGATGGAGGTGGGAGCACTCAGAGGTAGTTACTGGATACAAACACTATAGTTAGGTACAATGAATAAGATCTAGTATTTGATAGCACAACAGGGTGACCACAGTCAACAATAATTTACTGTACATTTAAAAATAACAGAAAGAGGCTGGGCGTAGTGGCTCACGCCTGTAATCCCAGCACTTTGGGAGGCTGAGGTGGGTGGATCATGAGGTCAGGAGATCAAGACCATCCTGGCTAATACAGTGTAACCCCGTCTCTACTAAAAATACAAAAATTAGCCTGGCATGCTGGCAGGCACCTGTAGTCCCAGCTGCTCAGGAGGCTGAGGCAGGAGAATGGCGTGAACCCGGGAGGCAGGGCTTGCAGTGAGCCTGCCACTGCACTCCAGCCTGGGCAACAGAGTGAGATTCCATCTCAAAAAAAATAATAATTAAAAAAAGTAATAATAACAGAAAGAAGGCCAGGCATGGTGGCTCATGCCTGTAATCTCAGCATTTTGGGAGACCGAGGCGGGTGGATCACTTGAAGTCAGGAGTTCAAGAGCGCCCTAGCCAACATGGTGAAACCCCATCTCTACTAAAAATACAAAAATTAGCCAGGCGCAGTGGCATGGACCTGTAATCCCAACTATTCGGGAGGCTGAGGCAGCAGGAGAATCGCTTGAACCCATGCATTTGACAACATTCAACAGGCGGAGGTTGCGGTGAGCCGAGATCGCATCACTACACTCCAGCCTGGGTGACAGAGTGAGCCTCTGTCTCAAAAAATAAATAAATAAAACAGAAAGAGTATAATTGGAAGGTTTATAACACAAAGAAATGATCAGTGCTTGAGGAGATAGATATCCCACTTTTGCTAATGTCATTATTATGCATTGTATACCCATATCAAAGTATCTCATGTACTCCATAAATATATATACCTACTATGTACCCATAAAAATAAATAGTTAAAATTTTAAAAATTAGCAAAGGACTTAAATAGACTTTTCTCAAAAGAAGACATATGAAGAACCAATAGGTATATGAAAAGATGTTCAACATCACTACTCATCTGGGCAATGCAAAGCAAAACCACATGAGATGCCACCCCACACCTGCTAGCATGGCTGTCACTGAAAAGACAAAAGGTAACAAGAGTTGGCAAGGATGTGGAGGAAAGGGAATGTTAATTAATATAGCCATGATGGAAAGCAGTATGGAGGTTCTTCAAAAAACTATAAACAGAACTACCATATGATCCAGCCGTCCCTCTTCTAGGTATACATCCAAGGAAATGAAATCAGTATATTGAAGAAATATCTACACTCCCACACCTAACTGTACATCAACAGATGAATGGATAAAGAAATGTGACTTATACATAATGGAACACTATCTAGCCTTAGAAAGGAAGCAAATCCTGTCATTTGTGTCAACATGGATGAACCTGGAGGACATTATGCTAAGTGGAATAAGCCAGGCACAGAAAGAAAACTAGTTCATGATCTCACTTATATGTGGAATCTAAAAAAGTCAAACTCAGGCCAGGCGTGGTGGCTCACATCTGTAATCCCAGCACTTTGGGAGGCGAGGCAGGTGGATCACTTGAAGCCAGGAGTTTGAGACTAGCCTGGCCAACATGGCGAAACCCCGTCTCTACTGAAAATACAAAAAGTTAGCTGGGCATGGTGGCACACGCCTGTAATCCCAGCTACTCAGGAGGCTGAGGCAGGAGAATTGCTTGATCCCCGGAGGTGGAGGTTGCAGTGAGCAGAGATCACGCCACTGCACTGCAGCCTGGGAGACTGAGCAACAGAAGACTAGAAAGGTGGTTACGAGGGTTGCACAGGGGGAAGGTCTGGGGAGATGTTGGTCAAAGGATACAAAATTTCAATTAGACAGGAAGAGTCAGTTCAAAAGACCTTTTGTACAATCACCATGACTATAGTTAGTAACAGTAACGATGTAATGTATTCTTGAAAATTGCTGAGAGTGTCTAAACCACCAAAAAAAACCAACAAAAAAATCCAAAAAAAACAGTATGTGAGGTAATGGATATGTTAATTAGCTTGATGTAGCCCTTCACAGTGTATACAAATTTCAAAACATCATGTTGTAGATCGTAAATACTTGCAATTTTTGTCAATTAAAAATTATCTTAATTTTATAAAGATCACACATTTAGCCAAAGACTCCAATAGAACATACTTGCAGAAATATTACATTTTTTTTGGCTTAGTTCTCAAAGCATGTGGTTGAGCTGCTGCTGCTGTGCTGGCCAGATATTTACACTGTATTCATTTAGAAGAAAAGTAGCAACAGGAAGTAGACTTCTCCCCGGAGGTTTCCAAACCATTCACTTAAATCTGAGGGCCTCACAGCACTCACACCAGCTTCCTCCTGTGGTCCCTCCTGTGGTCCCAGCTGGCTCTGGCCTGCCGCCCATCCAACAGTCTGCAAAAAATCCGTAAAGCAGAGAAGAGATTCACTTCACTCCGTGTGAGAGCAGTAACATTCTGATCACTTAACAACGGATGCGTCCAGTTGTTCCCACTTTCTCCTAGGAGCTCTCTCATCCATTGAGTTGTTCCCTAACTTCACTGACAGTATTACACGAAATCACTCTGCTCAGAACCCCAGAGCTGCACAGCCTCCACCAACAATTTAAGTCTCTTTAAAGTATCCAAAGTCAACACTGTCTCCTTGGTGACACAGGAGATTCTGCTTTGGTTGAGCTCTGCCAGGACTGGCTACATAATCTGGGGAAGGTACACAGTGCAAAATGACCCTCATTGGCAAAGTATCAGTGAGTTTGAGACAGCATCAGCAGACCATTCCACGCAGGCCTGTGAGGCCGGCCCTCAACTCCAGCCTCCCACTCCCCGCACTGACTGTCCCTTGCTCCCTGAAGAGCTTCCTGAGTGATACAGCCTCTGCATTGAAGTGTTGACATGCGCTTCATTGTGAAACTATATTTACTCAGGTGCGATTTGTCACTTTCTTTTGATTCCAGGCATGCAGGTTCTGAGCAGAGAATCTAGACTCTGGCCTCCTCTGAACTTGCACCAGGCCCCAGTTGCCTGGCAGCCCCTTGTCTATGCCAGCACTGCCTTCCCCAGGCTGTGCCCGCAGGGCCCCCAGGCAGGGAGTGAAGCAGACGCGTGCGCATGTTAAACACAGGCACATTCTTCACTTCCACCAAGAACTACTCAGATCCCACGCTGCCAGCTTTCCAGGTTTCCATGAAAATTCAGATTTTAATGTGAAAAAACTTTTAAATGTTGACAACTAAATAAAATTTTTAAAAGAGACTGTGCAAGCAAAACAATGGATGGGTGTGAGCCCTATGTAGTCGTGAGCTGCAGTTTACCCTCTGCAGCACCTACGCTGTCTCCAGGTGTCATTCCCGGCAGCCCGCCCACGAGGACATTCACTTGTAAGGGAGGAAAATGTCCTTCTGCTGTCTGAGGGCTTCCAGCTGGGACTGACATAAGACAGATTAGCTGGACAAAAGCACACAAATTTGATTTGTGTGCAGTGGAAGCCCTCACAAGAAAGATGAAGACCCAAAGAAGCGGCTAAACCTATGTGCTTACATATTACATTGGACAAAGAATAACAATTGCAGAAAAGTAACTGAAATATATGGGAGACTAAAGAACAATAACGGTTATTTTAACAAGATCTGTTTGTGCAGATTTCTCTCAGCCTCAACTTCCGTTCTCTGCTGAAAAGAATGTTTCTCTTTGCTGGTACAAGATGGTCACTTTTTTTGTTTTGTTTTTTGGAGACGGAGTTTCGCTGTTGTCGCCCAGGCTGGAGTGCAATGGTGTGATATCAGCTCACTGCAACCTCTGCCTTCCGGGCTCAAGCGATTCTCCTGCCTCAACCTCCCCAGTAGCTGGGACTACAGGCACCCGCCACCATGCCTGGCTAATTTTTTATATTTTTAGTAGAGACAGGGTTTCACCACGTTGGCCAGGCTGATCTCGAACTCCTGACCTCAGGTGATCCACCTGCCTTGGCCTCCCAAAGTGCTGGGATTACAGGTGTGAGCCACCACGCCTGCCCAGTGGTCACATTTTATATGGGTATTTTATCCCCTGCTTCTGAAAACAAACAAAAAAAGATCAGAGTGCCCTTCCCACACCTGCTTTTTTCCAGTGTTTTTAACTTAAAATAGTTAATTTTGAGTGAATAGCAGCATATTTTGGGGTGGCGCATCCTGAACTCCTTCCCCCGCCACGAGGCTGTGCTTCCTCCCCTATAGGCCCTACTGGGTTTCACAGGTGCATGGAGCCACTGTTAAGATGTGTGTCCCTCAAGAGTGGCAGAGGCCTTGGGGGTGTGGCGGTCCCTCTGATTGCCACGTGGATAGGCAGGGTCTCAGCAGATGACGGCTGGAGGAGGTGAGAAGGCGGAGCGTGGAGCGTCTTGACAGGGTGGAGGGGAAGCTGGCATCAGATGTAGCCAGGTGTCCTGAATAGTTGGGGGCGAAGGCCGGGCGAGGTGGCTCACGCCTGTAATCCCAGCACTTTGGGAGGCCGAGGCAGGCGGATCACGAGGTCAGGTGATCCAGACCACGGTGAAACCCCGTCTCTACTAAAAATACAAAAAATTAGCTGGGCGCGGTGGCGGGCGCCTGTAGTCCCAGCTACCCGGGAGGCTGAGGTAGGCGAATGGCGTGAACCCGGAAGGCGGAGCTTGCAGTGAGCCGTGATTGCACCACTGCACTCCAGCCTGGGCGACAGAATGAGACTCCATCTCCAAAATAAATAAATAAATAAATAAATAAATAAATAAATATAGTTGGGGGCCAGTGGTGAGAAGGGGGTGGTCGGTTGAACAAGGGTGGTGAGAACAGTAGACCAGAGACCCTAGAAAGGATGTGCTGGGAGAGAAGCCTCAACGGAAAAAGACCAGTAAAGACAAGGCCACCCGCTCGCAGTTCCACCCAAGGCTTCCCCTTGACGTCCAGGTCTCAATGGAGAACTCCTGGATGGCCTTTGGGGCCGCTGGAGAAAAACAGCAGTCCCCCCAGATGCTCCCGGTGGCTCCTGGTTGTGACTCAGAGCCACCTTTTGGGGCAGGCCCCAGCATCTTTCAAGGGAAGAAGCACAGATTGGTTTCCTGCCCGGGCAGCCCCATGAGGTTTGCCTCCCAAAGGCGTTTGTGGGATTGGCCTCCTGGGAGCCCGAGAGGAGCAAACACTTGTAGAATTTGTTCATTTCTCTCATTGTAAGTTTCTGTTTGATGAATTCCATGTTCCCAGGAAATGCCCTCGGCACTTTCAATAACACAATAGCTCTTGTTGAGGTAGGGGGTGGGGGTGAGGGACAACTTTGTAAAGCCCCTTATTGACACCATGAATGGGGAAGGCAGTTGGCACCATTCCTTCCCAGAACTGGGGCCAGTCTGAGCAGGCCAGCCCTGGGGAGCCAGAGAAGCGAGGCAGGAGCTGGGGGAGCACACAGCTGGCCCTGCCCAGGCCCAGGGGCTGAACTCTATCCACAAAGCCTGACTTTGTGGATAGGACGTTAGGCCAGAGAAGTCCAGGCCCAGGCAGGCCCGGTGTTGACTGTTGACCCTCAGAGAGGAACTCAGCTTCCAAGGAGGCTCAAAGGACTGGCATCCTCTTGTGTCCATTAGCCCCTGGTAAGAAGTGACAACGTGCTAGCAGCCCTCGCTCACTCTTGGTGCCTCCTCGGCCTCAGCGTCCACTCTGGCCGCGCTTGAGGAGCCCTTCAGCCGTCGCTGCACTGTGGGGGCCCCTCTCTGGGGCTGGCCAAGGCCGGAACAGGCTCCCTCTGCTCTCAGGGAGGTGTGGAGCGGGAGGCGCCGAAGCCAGCCGGGGCTGAGCGTGGCGCTTGCAGGCTGGTGCGGGTTCCGGGCTGGCACGGGCTCACGGGGCTCCCTCACTAGGCTCAGCCGGCCGGCGCCTGCTGGGCTTGATCCGGGACAAGCTCCCTCTGGGCTGCTGGAGTGCCTGGGCTAGGTGCTGCGAAGTCCCCCGGCGAGTGCCATTGAGAGGTGAAGCCAGCTGGGCTCCTGGGCTGGGTGGGGACTTAGAGAACTTTTCTGCCTAGCCAAAGGATTGTAAATGCACCAATCAGCACTCTGTGTCTAGCTAAAGGTTTTGTAAATGCACCAATCAGCGCTCTGTGTCTAGCTAATCTGTTGGGGACTTGGAGAACTTTTGTGTCTAGCTAAAGGATTGTAAATGCACCAATCAGCACTCTGTCAAAATGGACCAATCAGCTCTCTGTAAAACGGGCCAATCAGCTCTCTGTAAAATGGACCAATCAGTAGGATGTGGGTGGGGCCGGATAAGAGAATAAAAGCACTCCACCTGAGCCAGCGTCGGCAACCTGCGGGGGTCCGTTTCCACGGTGTAGGAACTGTTCTTTTTCTCTTCACAGAAAATCTTGTTGCTGTTCACGTTTTGGGTCTATACCAACTTTATGAGCTGTAACACTCACGGCGAAGGTCTGCAGCTTCACTCCTGAAGCCAGCGAGACCACGAACCCACCAGAAGGAAGAAACTCCAAACACATCTGAATGTCAGAAGGAACCAACTCCCGACACACCATCTTAAGAACTGTAACACTCACTGCAAGGGTCCGTGGCTTCATTCTTGAAGTCATCGAGACCGAAAACCCACCAATTCCGGACACACTGGGATTTAGAGAAGTGACCAGGATTTCTTCAGACCACCTGAGGCCATTGGCAATGGACACCTAGCCACGTTTAACCTTTTCACACAAAGTGAGCATCAGTAGACTAACCCTAGGAGGTTTCGGGTGGACACTGACAGGTGTTGGGCATGTCCTTATAACTGGAATTATTGACAATATCTTTCAAAAACTATCTGTGCAACAAGGAGCCAGGTGAAGATTTGGCAACTACAGTACCTCGCAGATTCAATCAAAGTCGATGAAGTATGTCTTCTTGCCTAAATAACCCAGTGTGGTTTTGAACGCTGAATCCATTAACCAAGTAGATCCTTCCACTTTCATTCTCTCTAAATTGTGTATCTTCATAGCAAATGATTTCCTTTTGAGATGACTTGTGTTCTTTAACTTTACAGGAAAGATGTGCAGTAGTTCCCGTGTTCCAAAGTTTCACTTTCCGTGCTTCTAGTTACCCACTGTCATGTACAATCCAAAAACATGACCTATGATAGGTGGCTTTGAGAGAAAGAAAGAGGCCACATTCACGTAATTTTTTTTTTTTTTTTTTTTTTTTTTGAGAAGGAGTCTTGCTCTGTCGCCCAGGCTGGAGTGCAGTGGTGTGATCTCAGCTCACTGCAAGCTCTGCCTCCCTGGTTCACCCCTATTCTCCCACCTCAGCCTCCCAAGTAGCTGGGACTACAGGTGCCCGCCACCACGCCCGGCTGATTTTGTTTTTGTGTTTTTAGTAGAGGCAGGGTTTCACCATGTTAGCCAGGATGGTTTCGATCTCCTGACCTCATGATCCGCCTGCCTTGGCCTCCCAAAGTGCTGGGATTACAGGCGTGAGCCACCGCCCCCGGCCCACGTAACTTTTATTACAGCATATTGTTATCATTGTTTTATTTTATTATTAGTTGTGGTTGTGAATCCCATACTGTGCATAGGTGTATGTGTACAGTTTAGGAAAAAACACAGTATATATAGAGCCCAGTATTATCGGCAGTCTCAGGCATCTACTGGGGATCTTGGAGCGTATCCCCCACAGGTAAGGGGGACTACTGTATACACTTCATATATTTGCTTTTTTAGAAACATCTTCTAGAGTAAATGAATGAATCCTTACAGCCTTTTACATCGTGTGTTTCATCCTCCTTGCCTGCAAAGCAACGCAGAATTTCTGCTAATTAAGGTAGCTCTAAATGTGCTGTTTAGAACTGTAAAGATTAATTGTAGTAATTATGCTTAATTGTGCCAGTGGGTAAAGGTAGTGGGGAGGACGGGTGGAAGGGGAGGGGAAAAGTCAGTGTCTCTGCCCTCAGCTGGGGGAGGCTGACTTTCTCAGTTGGCAGACACACCTTCTGAAACAGACAGATGTGGGCAAGGCCCCCTTTTCCAAAGCAGAGGGAAGCAGCCCATGACTTTGCTCTAGCCGAGCCTGTCTCCACTGTACTCGTCAGAAACACTCTGCCAAGTCAGCCTCTGCGACTCTGTCTTGGGCAAGTTAGCTTTGGTGGTTTCACCTGCACATTGAGACATTGGGCGTCAAGGGGAGACCCCTCACGTGGGGCTGTGTCTGGAGCTAGTTGTGCGATTACAGGAATGACTGACTCACATTCCCACCCCTCCCCCAGTGCAATGGAGACTTCACAGCTTCAGCCTTTTAGTGTCAAGGTTCTGGTATCTTGAGGCTCTGGTCTTGCACCAGTTTCGGTGATTTTGCACCCATTTCTCAGCATGTTGTTTCTACTTCTAGTATTGATGAAGCAAGTATTTCACAAGACGCTTCAAAGTCACAGTCTCCCCATTGAGGGGTCAGGCACGGTGGTGGCTGCAAAAGGCACGGAGGTCCGTGCTGACCTGGAGATGGATGGGTGCCTCTGAGTCTTCATGGTAGATGGAGTGCGTCTATGCGAGAGGTGCTTTGTCCTGGAAAGTTGCTGAAAGGGGGAAGAAAGGAGGCTGGGGGTGGAGTAGGGAAGGGAAGCGTGTCTCAGGGCAGTACCAAGGGTCCAGGTGCACCTGAAGCAGGAAACCAAGGCAGCTCTCTGCTGAGCGTCTGATCAAACCATGGTGATCTCACTTTATACCAATGATTGTTATTTCTACCATACACAGTCATACGCTATAATTGCCAAAAATGTAGAACTGAAACAACAAAACAATGGATTTGCAAAGAACCAATAAAATCAAACTTTTTGTGCCATGTAGTTACTTATTGCTATATAGCAAATTACCCCCAAAACATAGTGGCTTAAAATAGATATAAACATTTGTTACCTCGTATGGATTCCACAGATCAGGAATTTGGGAGCAGCTTGACTGGGCCGATCCAGCTTTGGGTCTTCCATGAATTACCATCAAGATGTCAGCTACAGGCCGAGTCTGGTGGCTCACGCTTGCAGTCACAGCACTTTAGGGAGCCAAGGTGAGAGGATGGCTTGAGGCCAGGAGTTCAAGACCAGCTTGGCCTAACACAGTGACAACTCGTCTTTTTTTTTTTTTTTAACTGCAATGGCTTCAATATCTGAAGGCTTGACTGGGGCTTGAGAGCCGGCTTCAGGAGGCTTCACTGGCATGGCGGGCAAGCAGGTGCTGGCTGTGGGCATCAATTCCCTGCCACATGGACCTTGCCACAGGGTTACTTCAGAGCCTCACAACCTGGAGGCTGCCTTCCCCCAAAGCAAGTGATCAGTAGAGCAAGCTGAAGCCACAGGGCCTTTTATAATCTAGCCATAGACGTCACACTGTGTCACTTCTGTTGTTGACACAGGACTGGTTGCTCTATTTAGCGTGGGAGGGGATGACACAAATGTGCAAGACCAGGAGGCGAGGATCGCCAGAGGCCATCTTGGAGGAGGGTTGCCACTCCAGGGAAAATGAAAGCTACCTAAGATCACAATTAACACATATGTGTTCTTGGGGAAAATGATCAACTGATATTTTCAGAACATCCAATTTTGTTCAAGTTTCAAATCCTTCATCCTGCATTTGAACCATATGTACTTTAGCAGAAGTGACTGAATGCCACTTTTCTTTCTGCTTTCTGCAACCAAAGCTCCATGGAATGCTCAAAGGTGTGATTTGCAGGAGTAAAAGGAGGCAGGAACTCCATCCTTCTCTTTTCTTGAAATGTATGTTCCAGTTGAAACTCACTGGAACATACATTACCACATGTTTGAAAATACCACCAGGATAAAAAAAAAAGTGCCCTTAATTAATAAATCAAGACTAGGAAATAATTGAAATTCAGCGAAACTCAGTTCTAATATAAAGACTAAAGGAGCAATTTGCTAACATGACAGATAGCATCAAACTCAGAGAAGTGAGAGCAGATACAGGGATGAGTTAAAAAAATGTTCTGATATTAACAAAGTCGCTTTCATATGATGTGACTGGGGCCCACGTGAGAGGAGGTAACATTATCTTCCCTCAAGTAGCAAGGCATTCAAGGAAACTTTCAATTAAATGCAGGCAGCATTTGTAGCAGAATGATTGTGTGCAACGCACTGTGCTGCTTACTTGCAGAGGAAATCTACACACAGAGAAGCTTGGTCCCAGTGCTCAGGGTGCTTAGCCCTCGGGGCAAGAGATAGACACAGGCACAAATAAGAGGAACCTGAGTGCCCACGGGGAAGTACAGGCAAGGGATTATGGGAGAGCTGAATGAAGATGACCCCAAGGAGGGCTTCCCAGAAGAGTTGGCAACTGAGTGAGGCATTGCAGGATGCACAGAATGTTGATGGACAGGGCTAAGGAAGACAGGGGACGGGAAGCAGAGCAATTCTAATGGAAGAGCTTAGCAGTGAGACAGAGGTAGGCAAATGCCGGCTGCGTTTGGAGAAGACACCATCTAGACTCTAACTAGAGTGAAGGGTTAGAAGTGGACAGAGGTAGAGGGTTGTTCTTGATGGGAGAAGAGGCTGAGAGGGTACACTGGAATTAGAACGTGAGGGTTTGTTAAAGTATGAATTTATTCTGAAACAATGAAAACCACATTGCCAGAGTTCACATTCTGGCTCTGCACACTTAGCAATTGTGTGAACTTGAGCAAGTTACTTAAACTCCCATGCCCCAGTGTCTTCATTTGAAAAAGGGAATGATAATGGTACCTACTTCATAAGGTTATGAGATTAAATGACTTCATCATAGAAAGTACTAGGACAGTGCCTGGGACACTATTCCATCCTTGTCATCATCATCTTTGTCATCATTTGTTTAGGGAGATAACTATGACAGTTCTGTGAATGGAAAGTAGGGACGGGTCTGTGGAATGTTGCAAAAATAGAATGGCAAGGACTAATTATTAAAACCAGTGCATGGCCCCACCTAACCAGCAGGAAGGCAGGGCTTTCAGAAGGAATTACGTGGGTATTCAGTGAGCAGTAAGTGCCTCTGCCACAGAATGAATGTATTGGGCAGGAAATAATATTTGGTTCTAGATATATTAGTCAGCTAGCAAAATACTACAAACTGGATGGCTTAAACAACAGCAATTAATTTTTTAAATTTTTTATTTATTTTATTTATTTTTTTTGAGACAGAGTATTGCTCTGTCGCCAGGCTGGAGTGCAGTGGTGCCATCTCGGCTCACTTCAACCTCCGCCTCCCGGGTTCACGCCATTCTCCTGCCTCAGCCTCCCAAGTAGCTGGGACTACAGGCACGTGCCACCACACCCAGCTAATTTTTGTATTTTTGGTAGAGATGGGGTTTCACCATGTTGGCCAGGATGGTCTCAATCTCTTGACCTTGTGATCCACCTGCCTCAGCCTCCCAAAGTACTGGGAATACAGGCGTGAGCCACTGTGCCAGGCCAGTAGTTACTTTTCTGACAGTTCTGGAGGCTGGAAGTTCAGGAGCTACATACGGGCAGGTTTGGTTTCTCCTGAGGCCTCTCTCCTTGCTTTGCAGGTGGCCACCTTCTCATTGTGTCCTTACGTGGTCTTCCCTCTGCAAGTGCACGTCCCTGGCATCTCTGTGTGTCCAAGTTTCCTGCTCTTAAAAGGATGCCAGTCGGATTGCGTGAGGACCCACCCCAATGGCCTCATTTTAATTTAACCATCTCTTTAAAGATCCTTTCTCCAATACAGTCACATTCTAAGGTATTGAGGGTTAGGGCTCCACCATACACATTTGGGGAGTGGGAGAAGGGACACAATTCAGCCCCTAAAGGGTGTATTGAGTTTGACCTAACTGAAGAAATCACCTAACACTTGCCTTAAGAATAAATCCAGCCAGGTGCAGTGGCTCATGCCTGAAATTCCAGAACTTTGGGAGGCTGAGACAGGAGGATTGCTTCAGCCCAGGAGTTCGAGACCAGCCTAGGCAACATAACGAGACCCTGCCACTATTAAAAATAGCAATAATAAATAAATATAAAGAAAAGAATACATTCCATTTGTTAGATATTGCCAAGTTTTACCCTACATCAAATGAGTCCACCCAAACTAAGGAGCAATGATCATAAATGTGATTTCTGTTTAGTTTTTGACAGAACCAACACATTAAATTTCCTAAACATGAAATAAAAAGAAAAATTTCTTTTATAGAAAGAAAGAAAAGTCTGACATCTGAAATATGCATAACAAAGAATGAAACTCACTCACAGCCGCGAAGTAAGTAGTGGATTTAACCTGGCATTGGTTAAAGAAATTGAGGTTACCAAATTGATCCTATTAAAATAAAATTAATCTCAGCGTCATACAGTAAACACTGACAACAGGCAGCATGTCCATGATTTCGTTTACAGGATTCACTAATTAGAATTCTATGTTTTCCTGTGGCTCAATCTGCATATGCTGCCAAAAATTGGAAGAACAATTTAAAATTCAATCATACAAAGTAAGCAAAAAGCAAACAGATATGTTTGAGTTTTCCTGTCTTCATTCAACATGTTTTAGCATTCAGAAGAAAATAGCCAGTAAGTAGAGTTATAAGAAAATGTACCTTAAGAACTTTCAGTGAAACTTCAATCTGGTAAAATATTTTCTCACCATAGTACTTTTTGAAAAGCAGACAATAGGACACACTGTGAGCTGCAGTTCCAAAATAGAATATGAGCCTGGCTTCCCCCTTAGGTGGTTTTCCACAATGGGCTCTCAAGGATGCTGTAGGATCTTCTTCTTTTTTTTTTTTTTTTTTTTTTTTTTTTGAGACAAGGTCTCATTCTGTCACCCAGACTCCCAAATAGCTGGGACCACAGGTGTATGCTACCATGCCAGGCTAATTTTTATTTTTTGTGGAGATGGGGTCTTGCCATGTTGCCTCAGCTGATCTCAAACTCCTGGGCACAAGCAATCTACTTGCCTCGGCCTCCTAAAGTGCTGGGATTACAGGCATGAGCCACTGCACCTGGCCTGTAAAATCTTCTCTAGCGACCTATCTGCCTGCACTATACAATTAAGCAATTGGTTTTTTAACCTTGTATTCGTGATTCATATATATCCCCACCCCCTCACTTTAAGGGGTATCTACCTTACACATTTTACATCTTCCACAATGCTTCTCATGAGGTAGAACATGGCTGCCCCATGGGAAATCCTTATTACTACATTAGGGAATAATTTACATGTTGTAAAATACAGGGCTACTCTAGGTCAGTAGCTTTCAAGCTTTCACACACTAGTTTCCACCCATCACTCAGTTAAATTTTTCTTCACCTCCTCAGGGAGTGTGATCAAAATCATCTCCCCCCAACTCCACCTGCTCCTTAAACAGCAAGGAAGATAGGAAATCAAGGCCAGGCTAAGGTCCAGGCAGGCCCTGCTGAATGGACCTGTCTTCTTGGCATGCACCTTCCTGTAGTATTTGTGGAGGTGTCCTGTGTTATAGATTCAATGTCAACCCCAGCCACCACCAAACACATACATAGTTGACTTTTGAAAAACATGGGATTGAACTGCCCTGGTCTGCTTATACACAGCCTTTTCTCTCCTCTGCCAACCCTGAGTCAACAAGACCAATCCCTTCTCTTCCTCCTCCTCAGCATACTTAGCATGAAGACAATGTTGGGAGGCCAAGGCGGGTGGATCACGAGGTCAGGAGATCGAGACCATCCTGGCTAACACGGTGAAACCCCGTCTCTACTAAAAATACAAAAAATTAGCCGGGTGTGGTGGCAGGCGCCTGTAGTCCCAGCTACTCAGGAGGCTGAGGCAGGAGGGTGGCGTGAACCCAGGAAGACGGAGCTTGCAGTGAGCGGAGATCGCACCACTGTACTCCAGCCTGGGCGACAGAGCGAGACTCCGTCTCAAAAATAAGATAAAAAAATAAAAATAAAATGAATACAATGAAGAAGACCTTTATGATGATCCAATTCCACTTGATGAATAGCAAATACATTTTCTCCTCCTTACGATTTTTTTAAATAACATTTTCTTTTCTCTAGCTTACTTTATTGAAAAAATACAGAATATAACACATATACAAAATATGTGTTAATCCACTTTATCTTATCAGCAAGCCTTCTGGTCAACAGACTAGTAGTAGTTAAGTTTTTGAGGAGTTAACAGTTATATGCACATTGTCAACTATGCAGTGGGTTGGCACCCCGCCTCATGTCGTCCAAGGGTCAACTCTATACAGTAACAACTGCAGCATGTCATAAACACTTGTTTACAGGGGATCAAGAACAGCACTGAATGTCCAAGAACCCACCTACTAGAGGGATGTAGGTGGATAAACCACATACAGGAAGGAGGAACAGAAATCACATCACATTCATTGATGGACTTGGAGAACAAACAAAAGCCATTTCTGGTAGCTGTTATAAAAAACTTGAGGTCCACCTAAATGATGTCTTTATCTTGTTGGTTGAGAATCACTAGACCATGTGACTCCTCATGTCATCCCTTATCACTGGGCAGTCAGAGAAGTCTTCCCAGGGATTGGTGGAGGACAGGACCGGAGGCAGGGAGACCAGTTGAAAGGCCATCTGTGGCTCAACCCAGGCAAGAGGAGACAAGGGCCTAGAACTAAGCCACCACAGGGACCAGAACATAGTGACAGACAAAGATATCAAGGAGGTAGAATTGATGGGATTCCACAGCTAGCTGGATGTGGGGAGGGATATGAAGGAGAGAGAAAAGAGAGGAGGCAGGAATGACTCCCTCCTAGTGTTCTGACCCTGTGGGTTCCATTTATAAGACCGAGAAGGCAAGAGGGAAAGACTGTTGATTTTTGTCTTGGACAGGTTCTATTGGAAATTCCTCTTAGAAGATTCTTAAAGTAAGTGGAGAGAGGCTGAGTGGAAATTTAGAGCTGGGAATCCTACAGAGAGTGTTCAAAGCCAGGGATGGATTGGCTCTCTTGGGCTGGGTGGGGGACATTTGTGCCCTGGAATACTCCATTCTTGGCATTCAAAAGTGAGCCCTGTTGGGAACTCTTCACATGACTGAAAACTTGTATTCTTTTTTTCTAGTTCAAGCAAATATATTCAGACATCTTACACTATCACTCTATTACTACTAAGAAAAACAAAAACCAAGACTGAAGCCGATGTCTAAAAATTCTCATTCCCGCTCTTGCTGACCAAAATATTGTCCCAAGGAATAACTGTGTGGGGTCACTGTGTCACCATCTGGATTGGACATCTTTTTTTTTTTTTTTTAGACAGAGTCTTGCTCTGTCGCCCAGGCTGGAGTGCAGTGGCGCAATCTCGGCTCACTGCAAGCTCCGCCTCCCGGGTTCACACCATTCTCCTGCCTGACCCTCCCGAGTAGCTGGGACTACAGGCGCCTGCCACCATGCCTGGCTAATTTTTTTGTATTTTTAGTAGAGACGGGGTTTCACCGTGTTAGCCAGGATGGTCTCGATCTCCTGACTTCATGATCCGCCCACCTCGGCCTCCCAAAGTGCTGGGATTACAGGCGTGAGCCCCCGTGCCCGGCCTGGATTTGACATCTCTTATCCGCCACTTTGGGTTTTTTGTTTGTTTGTTTGTTTCTGTTTGTTTGTTGAGACAGAGTCTCGTCCTGTCGCCCAAGTTGGAGTGCAGTGGCATGATCTTGGCTCACTGCAAACCTCTGCTTCCCAGGTTCAGGCAATTCTCCTGCCTCAGCCTCCCGAGTAGCTGGGATGACAGCCACGTGCCACCACACCTGGCTACTTTTTGAATTTTTAGTAAAGATAGAGTTTTGTCATGTTGGCCAGGCTAGTCTCGAATTCCTGGCCTCAGGTGATTTGCCCTTCTTGGCCTCCCAAAGGCTGGGATTACAGTCATGAGCCACGGCGCCCGGCCTTATTCACCACTTTGGATCCTCCAGCCTCCTCTATCTGTTATTTTAGCCTCCATGGGGAGGCTACAAAGGAAAAGTCTCTAGTAGGCCAATTCAAAGATTTACCTGTATTTGGAACATTTTATAGAAAAAGAAGACATCTATTGTTAGACTACTAAAAAAAAAATGTTTGGTTAAACAAAGGTCTCCAGTCTCTCCCCATCTCTACTAAAAAAAAATACAAAAAAAATTAGCTGGGCATGGTGGCAGGTGCCTGTAGTCCCAGCTACTGGGGAGGCTGAGGCAGGAGAATGGTGTGAACCCGGGAGGTGGAGCTTGCAGTGAGCCCAGATCGCGCCACTGCACTCCAGCCTGGGCGACAGAATGAGACTCCGTCTCAAAAGAAAAAAAAAGAAATAATACCTACCTTTACTAAGTCCAAAGAGTTTGAATTTTTCTCTTATTTTCTATTTCTTAATTATTATTATTATTATTTTACTTAGAATACACTAATGATCCCCAAACTGCAGTATGACAAAAAAATCCTGCTGTGGACTATTCTGTTTGTGTCCCATAGGTAAAAATAATGCCTGAGACTGCACTTTATAATATCATTTACTTATAAGAATAATGTCATTTGAAATTAACATTATCCTTTAAGTTTGGAGGCTTTATTTTAAATGTTTGATGTTTCTCATTATGTGTCAAAGTCACGTTTTCTATGAAACACATCTGACGTTTTATAAAGATAAATTTTTAAAGAAAGGAAAGTTCATAGCCAATTTATTTTTAGCTGCTGAAAAACAGAAATAGCCCAAATGTCCATCCACAGTGGAATGGCTAGGACAGGTAATAGAACCGTGATATAGTCACACAAAGGGATACTCCTTGCCATTTTACAAAAGAACAAACCACTGATACACACAACTGGGATGACTCTCATAGTTATTATGAGAACAAAAGAAGCTGGACACACTGCACAATGCTATTTTTATGGAGTTAAAGAACAGGCAGGCCAGGCATGGTGGCTCCCGCCTGTAATCCCAGCACTTGGGGAGGCCGAAGCGGGTGGATCACCTGAGGTCGGGAGTTCGAGACCAGCCTGACTAACATGGAGAAACCCCATCTCTACTAAAAATAAAAAATTAGCCGGGCATGGTGGCGCCTGCCTGTAATCCCAGCTACTCGGGAGGCTGAGGCAGGAGAATCCCTTGAACCTGGGAGGCGGAGTTTGTAGTAAGCTGAGATTGCACCATTGCACTCTAGCCTGGGCAACAAGAGCGAAACTCCACCTCAAAAACCAAACCAAACCAAAACAAAACAAAACAAAAACACAAAAAGAACAGGCAAAAACAAATCAACGGTGGGAGAAGGCAAAGTAGTGGTTACCTCTGAAGGGGAAGGCTGTTAGCTATGACGGGTCAGGAAGGAGCCTTCTGTGTGCTGGAAACATTGATTTTTCTTTTTTCAGCTTTATTAAGGTTTACTGAACAAATAAAACTTATATATATTCTGGTGTACAACATTATGCTTTGCAACATGTATATGCAATAAAGTAATTAAATCAAGCTGATTGACACAACCATAAGCTCACTGACTTATTTTTTTATGGAGAGAGCATTTAAGATCTACTCTTAGCAATTTTCTGGAATATAATACACTATTTTTAACTACAGTCACCATGCTATACAATAGATCTGCAGAACTTATTCATCCTGTCTCACTGAAACTTGGACCAGTATCTCCCCATATCCTCGTTCTACAGACCCCGATAACCAACATTCTCCTCTCTGTTTCCATGAGTTCAACTCTTTTAGATTCTACATATAAGTGAGATTATGCAGTATTTGTCTTTCAGTGCCAAGCTTATTTCACTTAGCATAATGTTCTCCAGGCTCATGCATGTCACTGCAAATGACAGGATTACCTTCTTTTTTTAAGGGTGAATAATATTCATTAGATATATGTAACTATATATATGTATGACATTTTCTTTTTTTTTTTTTTCCCGAGATGGAGTTTCGCTCTTGCTGCCCAGGCTGGAGTGTGCAATGGTGTGATCTCTGCTCACCACAACCTCTGCTTCCTGGGTTCAAGTGATTCTTCTGCCTCAGCTTCCCAAGTAGCTGGGATTACAGGCATGCGCCACCATGCCAGGCTGATTTTGTATTTTTAGTAGAGACGGTGTTTCTCCATGTTGTTCAGGCTGGTCTCGAACTCCTGACCTCAGGTGATCCACCCGACATTTTCTTTACCCATTTGTCTGTTGATTGCATACATGGGCTATTGCAAATAATGCTGCAATGAACATGAGAGTGCAAATATCTCTTCCACGTACTGATTTCATTTCCTTTGTATCTATATGTAGAAGAGAAATTACTGGATCATATAGCTGTTCTATTTTTAATTTTTTGAGGAATCTCCATACTGTTTTCCATAATGACTGTACTAATTTGCCAACAGTGTACAAGTGTTTTCTTTTCTCCACATCTTTGCTGACACTTGTTATCAAAAGAGTCTTTTTGATTATAGCCATTCTCACAAGTGTGAAGTGATATCTCATTGTGGTTTTGATTTGCATTTCCCTGATAACTAGTGATGCTGAACATTTTTCCTTAAAACTATTGCCTCTATATGTTTTCTTTTGAGAAATGTCTATTCAGGTCCTTTGCCCATTTTAAAATTGAGTTGTTTTCTTACCATTGAGTTGTTTGAGTTTCTTATATATTTTCTATATTAACTCTTTATCAAATGTATGGTTTGCAGATATTTTCTCCCATTCCATAGGTTGTCTTTTCACTGTATTAAATTGTTTCTTTTGTTGTGCAGAAGCTTTTTAGTTTCATAAAATCCCATTTTTTGTTTTTGTTGCCTGTGCTTTTGGTTCACATGCAAAAATTCTTTGCAAAGACCAAGGTTGGGAAGACTTCCCCCTATGTTTTCTTCTAGTAGTTTTACGGTTTCAGATCTTTTGTGGTTCCATGTGAGTTTTAGAATCATTTTTTCTATTTCTGTGAAAAAGTCATTGGAATTTGGATAGGAATTGCATTGAATCTGTAGGTCATTTTGGGTAGTATGAGCATTTTAACATTATTGATTTTTTCCAGTTCATGAACACAGTGTAGCTTTGCGTTTATTTCTATCTTCTTCGATTTATTTTATCAATGTAAAACGTGATATAGTTTTCAATGAACAGATTTTTTTCTTCTTGGTTAAATTTATTTCTAAGTATTTTTATGCCATTGTAAATGAGATTGTTTCCTTAATTTCTTTTTCAGATAGTTTGTTGTTAACGTATAGAAACGCTACTGATTTTCATAGGTTGATTTTGTATTCTGCAACTTTATGGAATTTATCATTTCTAACAGTTTTTTATTGAAGTCATTAGGGTTTTCTATGTATAAAATCATGTCATCTGCAAAGACAATTTAATGTCTTCCTTGGACACACTTACTTTAAATCCTGGTGGTGGTTACATGTAGATAAAAATGTGTAAAAATGTGTACTTTTGTATGTCATATTGCCAAAAAAGGAAACAAAAACAATGTTCTGATTAGATACCCATTTTAAAGGCCACTTTTGAGGAGTGAATTTATGATAAACTCAAGTTTCTTTGATAGCATCTTACATTTTCTAATGCTGTGTACCTTTGCAACATACCTTTTCATATGGTACAGCCATAAAACCTTGATCATTGTTGCTTCCTCTCATTTCAGTGTCACGATAACTCTGGTGGTGTGGGCTGGCATCATTATTTTCATTTTATAAATAAGCAAATTGCAGCTCAAAAAGATTAAGAGACTTATTCAAAGTTATACAGCTGATTCATTACCAAGTCAGAGCCATAACTCAGATCTCCTGAATCCAGTGAAATAATCATTTCATAACAATCAGCACCACCCCTTTACCTAAGAATGGCTCCCAGGAAGAAGTTCATTGTGATTTCCCTTTGGTTGCTCCTGGAATTTAAGTGATGGCTGAAAATTACCTGGTAACAATCAATACATATGCCACATATCGTGCACATACGACGTGCAGTGTTTCCCATTGTCACAGTGGGTTTATTTCTCTCAACAAAATTATGGATAGAAATATCTATCCCCATCTTACATTTGTAATAGCTAAGACTTAGAGTGACTGGATAACTTGCCCAAGGTCACACAACAAGGAAATGGGAGGCCTGGGATGATTTAAACCCAGATTGTCCTGACTTCAAAGTCTGTGTGTTTAAACAGTAATGGTCTCGCTTCTCGAGCAAGTTTTAACAGAAAGCGATTTTCCTTAAGTGCAAGCAACCATGTCCCATCTCCAACATGTTTGTGGAGCCCCAGTCCTTCAGCCTGAGGACTTGCTGCAACATAGTAGCATCTGCCATATTTAGTTCCCAGGAGAGAAAATTCCTCACTTGCACCACAAAGATGTTAATGGGGTTGGGAGGAACACAGAACTTGAGGTGACACTCTTGTCAACATTTAAGTAACCTTAAACCTGTTTATTTATGCAAAATTAGAGAAAAATTATGCTTCTGTATTAGTAGTACCAGTTAGAGTGTTAAATCTAAATGTTACCTCCATAAAAAAAGTTATGCGTTAGAAACCGGATCTACACCTTAGGACCAAGCTTTTCAAAACCGGTCTCTTCACTTAGCAGTTCACATATCATCTCCCTGCCTTCTATGGTACACCAGGCTGAGGTCTCCCCACAGCTCTCTGTGACATGTTGCTGAGACGGAGAAAAGCTATTGGCAGCAGGAGCTGGCCTGGTACTCACAGCTAAGCCCTGATGTTCTGTGGGACATAATCTCATAGAACATCAACACCAGACAACAAGCACCAGCCCCACTCAGGATGGAGGAAGACGAAGACAAGACCTCCCATAATCATTGCAAGGCTCTTGTATCGGTTCGAACCCCAAGAGCACGCCAACAAACAGCACAAGGCGGTGTGGAGCAACACGCTGTTTTAATGAGCGCCTGGGTGCAGACAGGCTGAGGCCTAAAACGGCGTCAGCACCAAATGAGGATGGGGCAGGGGTTTTATAGTCTCCTGTAAACAGGACGTGTCTCAGTCTGATGTAACTGCTACGCAGTACCCGGACGGCCTCTCTCTCGGTCTTCAGGGGGTACGTGTCTTCCAGCCAGCTCTCTTCCTGCTTCTGCTATCCTGCTGACGCACGCTGCTGGCGCAGGTGGTCTTGCGCTTTGGGACTGGCCCTGAGAATGGAGGAGTTATTCACCCACCACCCCCAGCTTCCAGGCCCCGGGGAAAGTCTTTCATTCCTGTCTATTTCGTTACAGAAAAAGGGAAAAGGGACGACTTTTTCAATAACTGCTTCAAGCGTGACATGGGGTGACGTGGGCACCTTGGAAACAAAGAAAAACTGAATTTTGGGGATATTCTTGAGAGACGGGTTGGTATTCGTCGTGTCGTTGTAGCAGGAGCATCGTCTGGATTGTCTGGCGGTTAACTGTAGTTTCAACAAGACTTTTCATAGCTTTTATTATTAGTGGGATAATACAGGGAGAAACAGGAGGAACCCAATGATGAAGATTGCTGTCCCTACCAGCGTTCTAAATCCTCCTAAATTAGAGAACCACTCTCTAGAAGGTTTGTTGGGTCCCATCCCTTCCAGGTTTGGACTGGTCCATGGGCTACTTTTCTGGTGTTTGAAGCGATTTCTAGTACTGCTTTTCTGTTATCGTCTATGTTAAGACAACAATTGGAGATATTAAACTTACCACAGACCCCACCTTCTTCTGCTGATAAGTAGTCTGGTGCTGGCCTGTTTTGATAAATTGCCGGGGGTATTTGGTTTTGTTGTTGCGCAAGCGTTTCCAGGGCTGAAGCAGTTTGGTTAGTGATTATCTCTAGAATCGCCTGTAGTCTAATTATTCTATTTCGAATATATATGGGAGGTGATAACCCCATGAACCATCCTCAGCCCAAGTGGCAGGACCATAATATTCGATGATCCGTTGCAGAAGTCATTCGTCCCGTTGCCATCTTTGGCTTCCTCCTACCTTTAAGGATCTTTTTGTTGTTGTTGTTGTTTACGTTATTGTATACAGGGACTCTGAGGGTGTTGCCCGCTGTTAATGTTTTGGAGGAAGGAGTAGCCTTGGGGGTGAGATTGACCCTGGTACGATGGATCCAGCAGGGGAGTCCTTGGACTCTCACTGCAGTTGGTGTGCTGAGTATCACAGTGTAGGGGCCTGTCCACTTCGGCTGTAGGTTGTTGTGACGGTCGGGTTGGCAGATAAACACGTCTGTGCCTGCAAGACAGTTATGTTGAGAGGACAAAGAGGTGTTGACAGGAAGGGGCATGGCCTCATCTGCTGCTTCATGAATGAAAGACCGTGTCTGGATTAAGAAAGGGAGGTAATTCCTGAGTGGCTCAGTGTCTGGTAAGATGGAGGCCCCAAGACAAAAGTTTGGTCATACATGATTTCGAAGGGACTATAAAAAGAGGGTGACTTTGGTGTTGTGCAGAGTCTCATGAGGGCAAAAGGGAGATTTTTTCCTCCACGCCTGGTGGGTTTCTAGAGCCAGCTTGGTAAGTTGGGCTTTAAGGACAGAGTTAACTTTTTCAACTTTGCCGGAAGATTGAGGCCAGTAGGGTGTGTGGAGAACCCATTTTATACCTAAGGATGTAGAGACACCTTGGGTAATTTGGCTGATGAAGGTGGGCCCGTTGTTGGACTGGATGGATGTTGGGAGTCCGAAACAGGGAATTATATGCATGATGAGAGTTTGTGTGACGACATTTGCACCTTCTGAAGTTGTTGGGAACGCTTCTACCCACCCAGAAAACGTACAAAGATTAGAAGACAGTGGAACTGTGTATCAGGCGGCATGTGAGTGAAGTCTACTTGCCAATCTTGCCCGGGTACCCAGTCCTGGGCTTGGTGGGTAGGAAAAGGCAGTGGCCAGAGGGAGCCCTGGGGTGACACTGAGTGGCAGATAGAGCAGGACTGGGTGATTTCTTGAACGTGGCTGGAAAGGTGAGAACGAGTGAGAATAAGGCGGAGAAATTGTAAGAGAGGTTTGTAACCGACATGGATTGAGTTGTGGAGACTTTGGAGGATAGGGATTGTTTGAGAGTGAGGAAGAACAAAGCGCCCTTCCTTGACATACCATAGTCCTTGCTTTTGAAGGTTTTGGGCTCGGAAGTCCTCCTTTCCTCCTGAGGAATAAAGAGAAGAGAACAAGGACAGGGACAGAAACTGGCCTTGCATGGGTTGTAGGGCTAGTTTGGCCACCTGATCTGCTAGTGCATTTCTGGCCGATATAGAATTGTCTGGGGTTTGGTGACCCCTGCAGTGAACGATGGCAACTTTCTGTATCCGTTCAAACCCCGAGAGCGCGCCAACAAATAACACAAGTTGGTGTGGAGCAACATGCTGCTTTAATGAGCGCCTGGGTGCAGACGGGCTGAGGCCTAAAATGGCGTCAGCACCAAATGAGGACGGGGCAGGGGTTTATAGTCTCCTGTAAACGGGACGTGTCTCAGTCTGATGTAACTGCTATACAGTACCTGGATGGCCTCTCTCTCGGTCTTCAGGGTGTATGTGTCTTCCGGCCAGCTCTCTTCCTGCTTCTGCTGTCCTGCTGACACATGCTGCTGGCCCAAGTGGTCTTGCGCCTTGGGACTGGCTTTGAGGAGGGAGGAGTTATTCACCCACCACCCCCAGCTTCCAGGCCCCAGGGAAAGTCTTTCATTCATGTCTGAACATGGCCAAAAATAAGAGCATTCCTGAAATCAAAATGACCAGCGTCTCTCTGTCCTGGCCAATATGAGTGGCTGCTGCTTCTTTACCCAGTAGGGCTCTAGCTGCTTCCTTTTTTTTCTTTCTGGATAAGAATGACCAAGATACTCAGTCACAGAATTCCCCACTTCCTGACAGCATCCAAGGCAGAGCAAAGCTAGACTTCCTCAAGTCCTCCCCAAAACACAAATGCAAATTCTCTGTCTTTTCATACCCTCTTACTGAGACTGTCCAAGTTTCCCCATGGTGTGTGTCCTCCAGCACTGCAGTGCGTGGTAAACCCAATATGTTTAGCTCCGGTGTGATCCTGTGGGTCTTTGGCTAAAGACTGATGTCCTCAGCTACTTGCCTTCCAGTTCCTGTGTCATTGAGAAGTGCATTACATTTAGAAAACAAGATGAAACATACTTCAGTATAAATCACTTAATCCTCCTTTTAAGACTGAGAATTCTTTGTAATTATAACATAAACCAGAGTCAATGGTGGTCAGTGAAAAGACAAGTGCTTTTGCCTAGGAATACAAATTTTAATGAGTGCCTATTAAAACAGGCCCTCCTTTTAACTTCTTCCTTATTTAATACTTAACGTAAGAGGAAGGCCAAGGGGGCTGATGAAGAGTGTTCATGTCTGGAAGGTCAGACCCCAAGGAGGAACATGCAGAGAGCCTGATCCACAAATGCAAGGAAGGAAAAGGCAGGCTCCCCACTGTTCCAGGCAAGAACATAGCCATGAACCAGGGAGACAGGGTCCCTGCTCACTGGAGGCAAGTATTCTCATGAGAGGAGATAGCAAACAATGAACAGGATAATTTCAGAGAGTCGGCGGGGGCTGGTGGGGTGCGTGACATTAGAGGGTAAAGAGGGGTGGACTCATAAAAGATCAGTTCTAAATATTGCTGAAGCATTAGCAAAAGAAGATGAGCTATATCTTTTTTCTACAATGCATATATGCTGTCCAGATGCCACCAGACTTCTGGGAATTTCTATAATGAATTCCAGATAATGTAACAATACTTTGTAAAGCAGTAACTTATACATGGCTGCTGACTAGGAGCTCAGCTTGTGCCATTGACCAGGAACCCAGGCTGTGCCACATTTGGACCAAGGTTATAAATGCAGTTGCTGCCTACCCCTCCTCAGAATGAGTATAGGATGATGACACGCTGAACTGCCACTAAGGTATACAAATATTCAATTTCTAGGTAATTCTTTTTTTTTTTTTTGAGACAGAGCCTCACTGTGTCACCCAGGCTGGAGTGCAGTGGTGCCACCTCGGCTCACTGTAACCTCCACTTCCTGAGTTCAAGCAATTCTCCTGCCTCAGCCTCCTGAGTAGCTGGGATTACAGATGTGTACCACGACTCCCGGCTAATTTTTTTTTTTTTTTTTAGTGGAGACGGGGTTTCACCATGTTGACCAGGCTAGTCTCAAACTACTGACCTCAAGTGATCCACCCGCCTCAGCCTCCCAAAGTGCTGGGATTACAGACATGAGCCACCACACCTGTCCAATTTCTAGGTAATTCCTTATTGTAGCTATGGAATCACTTATCTTGGAAAAACAATAATCAGGAACATAGATAATTGGGTAATATGATCTGGGATTGTATTTTTCCATATTGGCTCAAAATCGCTTCACTGAGCCTCCAGAATCCCCAGCGTAGAAGGCCAGCGTGGTGGAGAGGCAAAGCTGCCACTCAGAGCAGCCACTGTCTGTGTGGGTTGGAAGTTTGCCTGCGGCCAGGCAGTTCCCTCGCACTTATGGGTGAGTGCTCCATCAAAGGGGGCCGTTCTGCTTCCAAATACTAAAGGAGCAAAGCATGAGCTGGGGCCAGCAGCTTCAGAGCAAGTTCCCACCATGAGGCTGCCCACAGGGTCAGAAGGAGCCATCGTTCATCCTTCTGTAGAGCCACCCAGCAATGCCCTTGACTTGCATAAAGTCTCTGGCACTCATAGCCTTCTCATCAGCAGCTGCTGCTGCAGCCTGCAACAGGCTAATGGTACCTGGGCTCACCAATAATTACACAGGTGACAGCTCCTCATTTGTAATAAACATCAAGAGAAGGGCTTTTGCTGTCACCCTCACCCCAAAGTGTCAGTCACAGCCACACAGCACTCCCCCAACCCCTGCCCCAGCCATCTGTACACAAGCCAAAGGCTTCCAATGACTCCCCAGTGACCTAAAAATGAAGGAAGTCAAGAAGCTCCGCACCTGGGCTCTGAACTTCGTTCCAACACAATTTTCTCCCATTCCATATCAGGCTTCCTTTGGTGCAGACTTTCTCCCTTCATTGAGCCTGCACTTTCTCATTCTATGCCTCTGCCCTCAATATCCTTCCCACCTAGGACCCCCTCCCCCAGGTGGGCAGGACCAAATTCCACCTGCCATTATTCAGGTCCTGGTTCTCAGGCTTCCTCCTCCCCAACACCTGCTTGCACCGTCCCAGCAGAGAGGAATCTTGCCTCCTCTGAGACCCTTGGGACCAGTTCTGGGCTTCTGGCTTTCATGTCTCATCATCCACCTGCAATACACAGTCCAGCTCCCTGAGAAACCCTGGGGTCTCCAAGTCTCACTCACACATGCTTCATCCATAGCACAGCACAGACCCTGGGCATGATAGGGACTTCATAAATGGCTATGGAATGAGTGGAAGGCTGTGATGATACTGTCTATAAGACACATGAGCTTGGAATAATAATTCTGTGTTCTCCCTTTACCACTTCTTCCTTTCTTCATTTGTTTTACTTATGTATTTTTTTTGTCACCTGCCTTTGAAATTGATTCTGCCTATTCCCAATTTTCCACCTCTAAAGTCCTCCACCCATTCCAAGAAATGTTTTCTGTTTTTCCTCCCTTTTATGTCTTTCCATAAAAAATAAAAGTCTTTCACTAGAACAGACAAAAATACAACAAAGAATGAAAAAACCAGAACCCAGGAGGAGATGTGATTTTACCAGGGATATGTCAAGACTCTGTGAACTTGCATAGTTCACAAGCACGTGGAAGCCCATGGTAGGATTCATAGGAGTGTGCTAGGGCCTCTCTAACATCGAACACACATAGGAGTGTGCTAGGGCCTTTCTCCTGCTCAGTGTCAGGGTCCTTTCAGAGACTCCTTATGAGTCTCCGGGCTTTTATCTCTTTCCCTGTTCTGGCCACCAAAAATCAGCCTTCATCCTCTCCTAACAAAGCAGCCCCTCACTGTCCCCTAGGGCCATTCTCTCCCCATCTGCCTAGAGCCAGTTCACCCATCACCTGCTTTCTCCTCTTTATCTCTTTTGCTGCCCAGGAAGCAAGTGTGTGGAACCTTTTCTTTGTGTGTTTTTGACAGGAAGCAGGCACTAGTCAGCAAGCACACATTTGCAGAGGTTCCGGAAGTTCTTATGCTCATGGTTCCTGAAGGACCCAGTAGACTTGGCCCTCCACTTACATCAAGCTTGAGGTTGGGGCTCACTTGTCCCCTCACCCTCTACCCTTCCCTGAAGGCCGGGAGTCCTTTCCTCCACCATAGTCCTTCTTCCAAGACAATCCGGCAGGACAAGTGTGATCCCCTGTATCAAGCGGGCGACTCTTTGTCCATTTCTACCTAAGGAGCAAATAGTTAGAAGTAATGTCAAGATTGTCAGGTGCAGTACTTGGATTAGCTATTAAAAATAATTTC
Organism: Homo sapiens; assembly: GCF_000001405.40. Taxonomy (NCBI): domain Eukaryota; kingdom Metazoa; phylum Chordata; class Mammalia; order Primates; family Hominidae; genus Homo; species Homo sapiens. The sequence continues at coordinate 150,094,533 of NC_000006.12, read as the reverse complement.
CCAATGGTTACACACTGCTTTCAGGGAACAGGGGGGTCACTTTCTTTTTTTTTTTTTTTTTTGAGACGGAGTCTTGCTCTGTCACCCAGGCTGGAGTGCAGTGGCGTGATCTCTGCTCGCTGCAAGCTCTGCCCCCCGGGTTCGTGCCATTCTCTTGCCTCCCGAGTAGCTGGGACTACAGGCGTGAGCCACCGCGCCCGGCCACAGAGGGGTCACTTTCTTTAGGAAACTTTTAAAACATGTAGAACCTCATGTATCTGGAATAATTCAATATCTGCCCAAAGCTGGGGAAATAAATGGACCCGCTGCTCAGAGCCCTGTGGTCTGTAGCAACCACCATTTTGACAGTGTTCTTTTATTTCTTTAAATAGTCACGCCTTCTAGCGCAACACAGTGTCTTCTTAATCACTAATTTGTCATAACATGTGTCTAAGCAGTTGAGAACATCCCAACAGAAACAACTTTAAGAATCCAAGACTCTCAAAGCAATGGATTCACTGGCAGAGGGGCTGGCATGTGGGCTGTGGGTTGCTGAGGAAACCGCTTTCTCCTGGAAGGCATCCCGAGAATGGGAGAAGCTCCCTTACCACTGAAATGTGGATTAAAGCCTAAACTTCCTCCCAGGCCAAAAGAAGAGAGGGGCCCTGTACTGAGAAAGTCAGTCTTCTCTCTTGTGAAGAAACATTTGGATGTTACTTAAAAAAAATTTGTTGCTACTGTGAAGGAACAGTAAGTTGTAAAAGGAGAGAGAGTTTCTACAGCACAGGAGTTAACAGCAAATGGCCTTTGGGCTCAGGTGACCATGGCTTGAATTCTGGCTGTGGCACTACTAACTACCTTGTCCCAGTTATTTACCCTTTGTAATGGGAATGAACCTGCAGCCATGTCACAGCACAGCTACACGGCTCCCATGAGAGGCGTCCATGTGACGTGCTTAGCACGGTTGCCCGCACACTGTCGGGGGTGGATTGAGGCTGGCTCATGCTGCTGTTAGGATGCTTATGATGATTATTGTGTTATGCATATGATGCTCCCAGGAAGTTCCAGTTTTTGAAGGGTGGGGAGGAAAGGAGGATTTGTCCCTGGACTAAATTAGAAAGCAGCAGTGAACTCAGAGACACAGAAGGGGCTGTGCTGCTCAGATGTAGGTCCCTGGTGTCTTAGTCCCAGGAAGTTCACAGCTGGACTCCTTGGGACTAACTATACTGCCCGGTGGCCAGAGGAGGATGTGGACGGTAGCCCCAGAACTTGAAGGGTTCTCTAAGCCTTTCCTCTCAAGGCACTCATTCTGGAGTTTTTGTTTTTTTGTTTTTTTGAGACGGAGTCTCTCTTTGTCGCCCAGGCTGGAGTGCAGTGGTGCAGTCTCGGCTCACTGCAACCTCTGCCTCCCGGGTTCAAGCGATTCTTCTGCCTCAGCCTCCCGAGTAGCTGGGATTACAGATGCGCACCACCACACCCAGCTAATTTTTGTGTTTTTAGTAGAGACAGGGTTTCACCATGTTGGTCAGGCTGGTCTCGAACTCCTGACCTCATGATCCACCTGCCTCGGCCTCCCAAAGTGTTGGGATTATGGGCATGAGCCACCACGCCCGGCCCATTCTGGAGTTTTAAAAGAGTAGCGCCTCTCTAATCAAGTACCACACGTAAAGAACTGCATTCAGCCAGACTTCACAGTCTCAATAAATAACTCCACTGAACCCCTACCCCTCTGAGATGTTGTGAAGGGTCAGATAAAGTAGCTGTCTCTTTTGCCAGGGTAAAAACTAAACTCTGCTTTCTCTTATTTAACAACAACAACAACAACAAAAACGAAAGCAGGCTGGATGCAGTGGCTCACCCCTGTAATCCCAGAGCTTTGGGAGGCTGAGGCAGAGTATCACAAGGCCAGGAGTTCAAGACCAGACAGGGCAACACAGGGAGACCCCATTTCTAGAAACAAAAATTAAAAATTAGCCAGGTGGTCGGGCTAATTATGAAGTGTACACAGTAGCCCCCTTATCTGTGGGGGATATGCTCCAAGACCCCCAGTGGATGCCTGAGACTGCAGATAATATTGGGCCCTATATGTACTGTGTTTTTTCCTAAATTGTACACATACACCTATGCACAGTATGGGATTTGCAACCACAACTAATAATAAAATAGAACAATGATAACAATATGCTGTAAGAAAAGTTATGTGGGCCAGGCGCAGTGGCTCACGTCTGTAATCCCAGCACTTTGGGAGGCCGAGGCAGGCGGATCATGAGGTCAGGAGATCGAGACCATTCTGGCTAACATGGTGAAACCCCGTCTCTACTAAAAATACAAAAACAAAATTAGCTGGGCATGGTGGCAGGCGCCTGTAGTCCCAGCTACTCAGGAGGTTGAGGTGGGAGAATGGGGTGAGCCCGGGAGGCGGAGCTTGCAGTGAGCCAAGATTGCGCCACTGCACTCCAGCCTGGGTGACAAAGTGAGACTCTGTCTCAAAAAAAAAAAAAAAAAAATTAGCCGGTTCTCAGGAGGCTGAGGCAGGAGGATTGCTTGAGCCCAGGACTTGCAGGTTGCAGTGAGCTAAGATTGCACCCACCACTGTACTCCAGCCTGGGCAACAGAGCAAGACCCTATCTCTAATATATATTAAAAATTGTAAAAATAAAAACAACAGCAAGGACACTCTCCATGGGGCAGACATCAACTCTGGAGCTTCTCCTCTTCTGTTTCCCAGACTGAAGGGAGTCAGGGAGCCGTGGACTCCTGTGGTGCCTCTCTGTGGGGCCTGGTGAGATATGTTTCCACTTCCACATCATTTTCAACAGTGTCACTATGAAGCACATGGGCAGATTGAAGTGGAGCTGAAAACTGGTCGGCTTCCAAAGAAAATTACCATAAATGGGAAACCTGAATATAGCTATTCATCCTCTAGCTTCAGGCTATGAATGGCTCATTAATTAGGGCCAGAAAACAGTGGTGCCGTCTCAGACAGGATGGCAAAAAGGAAATTCTTCTTAACCAGGGGCCATGGCTAAGATTGGTGTTCCCGGTGCCCAGCCCAGCTGTAGGCACATGGTAGGTGGTCCTCACGTGGGGAATGAAGAAATCAATACAAGGTTGGTGTCAAAATATTGGGGTTTAAGCCCCTGCTCCACCATTTCCAGACACCACAAGCCTGCAAAAATCCTTTCCAAATTGCAGATTTCCACCTCTGTAAAGCAGACAATAAACAACACACATCTCAAGAACATTGTGAGAATTATACAGGCTAATTCCAAAGAAAAGGTTTTTTTTTGTTGTTTGTTTGTTTGTTTGTTTGTTTTTTTAGACAAAGTCTCGTTCTGTCGCCCAGGCTGGGCTCACTGCAAGCTCCGCCTCCTGAGTTCACGCCATTCTCCTGCCTCAGCCTCCCAAGTAGCTGGGACTACAGGCGCCCACCACGAAGCCCGGCTAATTTTTTGTATTTTCAGTAGAGACGGGGTTTCTCCGTGTTAGCCAGGATAGTCTCGATCTCCTGACCTTGTGATCCGCCCACCTTGGCCTCCCAAAGTGCTGGGATTACAGGCGTGAGCCACCGCGCCCGGCCCAAAGAAAAGTTTTTAAGAGATACAGATTTTATATAAGAAAGAGAGAAAGGAACTGAACATTCCCTTAAAACCTGTATTTCACTAAGCAGACTGAGAAAGACCTTTCATATCCACTGCCCTGTGTAATAGAATACAATGTGGTTTATTATCAAATATTCATTAATGAAGTGTTGATTGACCTACTTTATAGTGGAGGATTCGACTGCTTCCTCCAAAGCCATCACTGCTCATTGGAGTGGTGGGCTGCTCCTGGACCAGTGCTGCTCACAACCTGCCTTCCTTCCACTACCCGGGAAGAGCCGCATCCCTGGGTGGGGAGCTCAGCGTGGATGCTTGGAACTGTAAGCCTTGCTTGGGTGGATTGTGCACCTTCCATCAGGGCCTGGGGCAATGTGACTGACCCAACTCAGAGGAATTGTGCCACCATTTATGATAAATGCTGAGTGTGTTTAATTTATAATAGACTCTTTATAATCTAGATTTTCTTGGGCACTCTGGCAGGCAAAATAAACAGGTTCAATTAACTGTTGACTAACAGATCAGTAATGGACCTGAAAACAGACAATCCAGGTGGCATTTTAGGGTCATATAAAACTTCCTAAACATCTGCTTGGCTTCCTCCCCATCTCACTGCTCCCTCTCCCTGATCTCATTCCCCTTTTAGAGGTTGGTGAGAGTATGCTGACAAGGAAGACTCCTAAACTTATGTAAGAAGGGACACAGCCAGTCAAGAAAGGACCCACCTATTAGCATTGCCGTGAGAGCTGAATTCAGCCATGTGCTTAAATAAAAGAAATAACTTCCATTTACTGAGCCCCCACCGTGTGCCAGGCACTGTGCTGGGCACTTTGCATGTGCTGTGCAGAATCCCTGTGAAATAGAAATTATTATCTCTATTCTGCAGATGAGGCTCAAACAAGATAAATAACGTGTCCAAGCCCCCAGAAGTACATTAAATGATAGAATTGAAATCAAATCTGTCTGACTCCTAATCTATGTTTTAACCAATACATCCCTTCCATAGCCTACCTGCTATGGTCTGAATGTCCCCCCAAATTCATGTATTGAAACTGAACTCCCATTGTGGCGGGGTTAAGAGGTGAGACCTTTTGGGGAGTGATTAAGTCGTGAGGGCTCCACCCTCCTGAGTGGATTAGTGCCTTGCAAAAGGGCTGAAGGGAACTAGCTCAGACCCTTTTCTGCCCTTCCACCTTCCACGCCATGGGGACACAGCATTCTCCCCTTCTGCCACATAAAGACCCTCACCAGACACTGAATGCCACACCCTTGAACTTGGACTTCCCAGGCACCAGAACTGTTAGAAATAAATTTCTATTGATTATAAATCACTCAGTCTGTGGTATTTTGTTATAGCAACACAAACAACAAAGACACCACCAATTGCCTCTCACATTGACAACCCAGTATGTGTGACTTCTGCTCTCCTCCCCTGGAAATGCCAGTAACATAGAGATTAGCCAGTTTCATTCATGACAACTAGCTCAGCAATCAGTTTAAACATCTATACATATTTAATCACAGACCTGCTTGTAAATCGATTTCCCATGAAAACTTAAACTGGACAGGATTTGACAGTCACTCAGATTCCGGTCACTTCTGGGGGTGCAGAAGAGCAAACAACAGGCTTATAGCACAGGAGAGGCCCCGTTTGAATCCTGACTCTGCCTCTTTCTGGCTGCATTGGTTGGGTTTTCATTTGCAAACAGTAGAACCCATCTGTAGCCAAAAACCAGCCTATTGAAAGGGAGCTTATCAAGATGACGGGAGGGCTGGAGATCCACGCTGGCCAACCGCAGAAGCCCGGTGAGGCTGGGCCCAGCCAGGGTGATCACAGGAACATCCTAAAGGATGCCACCCTTGCCCCACTGGGCAGTCGACTCCCTGCTGAGCAGCATCGTGGATTCTCCCCGCCTCTCCTTTCCAAGTCAGCGTCCCGGGAACAGCATCCAGTGCTCATGCTCAGGCCATCACCTGCTGCCTCCCTGTTGGAGGCTGAGAGAGAACATCTGCCCTGCAGGCTCCGCCCTCCCACTGTGGAGCTTAAGGGAGCGCTGTGCTTCACATGGTGCAGGTGTCCCATGAGTGGTAACCCCCTCCCTCTCCCCCTTCCCCTCCCTCCACCACTGATGGCTGTAGCTCCTCCAGTCTACCAGACCCTTGCAAATAGTCCAGCTCCTGCCCAGCCTTTGAGAAGCAGGAACTGGTGACGGTCATCCCATCCTGACACTTCCCCCTCTTCGCTGCTGTGGCCACTTGCTGTCCCCTGGCCACAAGATGTGAGCTTTTCATAGAGTCCCTGAATGGTTCTGTATTGCTGGTCACAAAAGATCTTTGTTTGTTTGGTTGGTTGGTTGGTTTTTTGAGTTTTTTTGTTTTTTTTTTTCTTTGAGATGGAGTCTCGCTCTGTCACTCAGGCTGGAGAGCAAGTGGTACAAACTCTGCTCACTGTAACCTCTGCCTCCCGGGTTCAAGTGATTCTCCTGCCTCAGCCTCCTGAGTAGCTGGGATTGATTACAGGCACATGCCACCACATCCAGCTAATTTTATTATTATTATTATTTTATATATATATATATATATTTTTTTTTTTGAGACGGAGTCTTGCTCTGTCACCCAGGCTGGAGTGCAGTGGCACGATCTCAGCTCACTGCAAGCTCTGCCTCCTGGGTTCACGCCATTCTTCCACCTTAGCATCCTGAGTAGCTGGGACTACAGGCGCCCGCCACCATGCTCAGCTAATTTTTGTATTTTTAGTAGAGACAGGGTTTCACCATGTTAGCCAGGATGGTCTCAATCTCCTGACCTCGTGATCCACCCGCCTCGGCCTCCTAAAGTGCTGGTATTACAGGCGTGAGCCACTGTGCCCAGCCAATTTTTTTATTTTTAATAGAGATGGGGTTTCGCCACGTTGACCAGGCTGGTCTCGAACTCCTGACCTCAAGTGATCTGCCTGCCTCTGCCTCCCAAAGTGCTGGGATTACAAGTGTGAGCCACCGTGCCTGGCCTGGTTATAAAAGATCTTATTAACACTGGGCTACAAGTGAAATGATGGAAAGACAGCAAATCAGTTGCAGGAAATATTCTGAGAATTTCTTTTAGAAGTCATAGGGACCCCAGAGAGAACATTTCATTTGATGACAAGCGATCTGGGTTCAAAAGCAACCTCTGTTACTAACTAGTGTGACCCTGGGCCTGTGCATTCACCTTCCAATGTTTCTTTCCTCACCTAAGAAATGTAGTAAATAATATTTCCTGAGCAACCTGCAACTTGAAAGTCAACAAGTGCCTCCCATAGAAAGAGCTGCACAAACAAAGGTTGTCTTTGAGAGGGCAGAGGGAGAGCTGTGCAAGGGAAGGACAGGACTGTGGAGGGTGTCTGACCTTCCATATGGCTCCTGCTCTGCTCAGTTCAGCCCAAAGGCAGAGCCAATACAGATTTCCCAGCCACAGGCGCCAGCACACCTACTTGTAGGGGCCTGTCCTTCCTACAACAGCAGTGGGTGCCCAGAATCCTGCCTCCCTAAAACTATATTCACTCTGTCTACATAGCTTTCAAAGTACATGTTCTGATGCAGTAGGTTTAAAAATCAGCCTTTTTATATGTCTTTTCCCTTTGCTGTGGCTCTATCATGCAAAGCCTCATTGGGAGCTGGCTAATACAGCTCACACTCTGTGAAAGACTTGCGGCTCATCCCAGATGACCACTTACACATTCTCACCAACCACATATGAACAGAGGAGCATCTTGTAGAAAGACCGAACCCATGCCCTCCCCTCTTCCCCAGCCTGGAATGAAGTAGCCACGTTTACAGAGGAAAAAGACATAAAAATCAGCTTTTTCAACACTGTCAGCACTATGGGTGGTTTCTTTCTAAAGCCAGAAAATTTGGTAAAAATGAAGGGCAGCTTAAATTTGACTTGGTGAAGCCAAGGGAGAGACAAACATAGTTATCCTAAGCAGTACTGCAGCAAAGTAAGGTATGATTGCTTCCATTCTTTGAAGATAACTCCAGCCACCATTTTTCTCAGAAGTCCTAACTTTTGCATTATGTGTGGGTATGAACTTATATACCCACGAATATTTATAATTCCAAGATGCAACACTCACGCTTGCATTTTCTAAAGTCAAAGGCATGGAAATGTCTGTGACGCTGTGCTGGAAATCAGATAACTTGCTAGCTGCGTATCACAAAGGAAATGCAAAGAAAACAAAGGATCTACAATTGTTAACTTAATGTCCCCTGTCACTCAAGGGACTTTTGAGAAACACAATTTATAACTGTATTAATCTTTTCCAAACACAGACTTCAAAAATAAGCAATAACCTACTCTGATAATAACTATATAGCTATGAAAAAAATCACTCATTGAATCATAATTTGATTAGTCCTTTTTCAGGAGGCTCTGCGATAAAACTTTGCTTTATATACAGGATCACAGACTTTTGGAGATTGATGAAGGCTTGTTCTATTCCCTAATTTCGTATTCAGATGAGCAAAGTTGACCTGGAACAGTCAACTGGCTGTTCCAGGGTCACCCAGCAATAGTGGGCAAGGGAGAGCAGAACCCGCCCACTACTCTGACACTGGCGTCCCTCCGTTGCCCCACCTGTATACAGCAAGCATTTATTTATTATCACCCCATTTGCTCCACGGAAGATGAAATACATAAAAGCCTCCATACCAGGACCAACAAAGCCTACCTAATGAAAAGAGACAGGTCGCAAAGCATTTGGCAGGAACGGAGTCATTTCAGGTGGTGACTGGTTTTAGTCTAATTTATTTCTGAGTGAGGAAGATGCATTGATTCATTTTTCTGTCAACCTAGTCATACCACTAGCTTTTCATCATCGTACATATCCATTTGTTACATGTTCTTACCAATGCAAGTTCCTGTTCACAAGTATTTCAAACATCAAGATTTTAAAATGTGTCTTGAACCTAAAACCATTTTTATCATTACAACCTCAACTTATAAACAGGTTGTGTTCAGAAGTCCATTTGCACATCATTTTTGTTTTATTTATTTATTTTTAACTTTTTTTTTTTTTTTGAGACGGAGTCTCGCTCTGTTGGTGGAGCTGGAGTGCAGTGGCGCGATCTCGGCTCACTGCAAGCTCCACCTCCCGGGTTCACACCATTCTCCTGCCTCAGCCTCCCGAATAGCTGGGACTACAGGCGCCCGCCACCACGCCCGGCTAATTTTGTTTTTGTATTTTTAGTAGAGATGGGGTTTCACCGTGTTAGCCAAGATGGTCTCTATCTCCTGACCTCGTGATCTGCCCGCCTCGGCCTCCCAAAGTGCTGGGATTACAGGCGTGAGCCACCGCGCCCTGCCTATTTTTAACTTTTTGAGACTGAGTCTCACTCTGTTGCCCAGGCAGGAGTTCAGTGGCATGATATTGGCTCACTGCAACATCTGCCTCCCAGGCTCAAGCAATCCTCCCACCTCATCCTCCCAAGTAGGTGGACCATAGGGGCACACCACTATGCCTGGCTAATTTTTTGTATTTTTGGTAGAGATGGGATCTCACCATGTTGCCCAGGCTAGTCTCGAACTCCTGAGCTCAAGCAGTCCACCCACCTTGGCCTCCCAGAATGCTTGGGATTAAAGGCGAGAGACACCACACCTGGCCTTGCACTTCATGTTTAGAACCTGGAACTTACTTTCTACCAGAAAGGATTCTAAAAATAGAAATTAGGTGCCCAGCCAGGTCTTCCCAGGAGTCTAACCCACAAAGCCCATAGAGTCACTCAAGCGGCCCCCCAAGCACTCACGACCCGGGAATCTGAGCCCCTCCTCTTTCCTGCTTCTCCTTCATTCAGGTGAGGACAGTAGTAGGAATCCAGCCCTTTTCCTCTCCCAAAGTCCACTAAAAGAAAACCCAGAGAGCACACCTGAAATGGAACCTCTTCCATGTGACTGAGAGCCAGTTCAGCTGCGGTGTGGCCAAGATTTTCATTTGGATTCCTCCTGCTGCTGGGGGACAAACGGCTCCCCTAGAGCCTCCTTCCTCAGACCAATTGGCTGTGGGCCTTTTGCACTGGAAATTCAGGAAAATCTCGTAGTACAAATCTAGCTGACAATGAAGGTTCCTGAAAGTTCTACCACTCTCTTCCTAATTCCAACAAGATAAACAGTTTATACCCACCTCAGTGAGATAAATATGGGCTTTGGAGCCAGACGAAACATGAGTCTAAATCTCTGCCTTCCACTTTCTAGTGAAGTGTCTAGTGTCTCCGTGAGACAGTGCATATGTGGACGCTTTTATCCCTGGTGTCTGGTGCTCCCCACGCTATGGCACCAATCTCCCTCAGGAGTCTCCCTCCTCCCAGCAGCATTTCCGGTCACCAGATGCAATGAAAACGGAGAGAAAGGTAAAGTGAGAAACACTAAACAAAGGAATGGTGATACGGCACAGGTTTCTCTTAGGGCTTAATTCTTCACAGTGTCATGGGGTGAAGAAGGGGAGCTCTCTTTCCCAGGAGGATGGAGGAAGAAAGGAAGGCAGGTTCTGTGATCCCCACAAGACCTGGGACTCCCTGCTCACCAAGCCCCATTCTCACTTGGCTTTCCCAAGTGTGCTGAAAGGAAGGATCACAAATACTTGGGAAGGTGAAAGAATAAAACACACTCCACCAGCCTGAGCTCCATCCTGCCTTTAGAACTACTGATAAACATCAGGGATTTTTCTGTGCTAGCAAGGAGGGACATAAGTCTAATCATGCACATCTGTTTTACAAAGTTATCCATCTCCTTCTCCCAGCAAACCCCTCTGATTTGAGTTCTACTGCAAATGCCAACCACCTCTGCAGGGTTTCCCATGATGCCTCATTCATTCAGCAGAGGCACATTAACCACCTATGATGTGTTCATCACTGTGCCCAGTGCTGGAGTCACCAACCACAGGCCATGCAGATAAGGCAGAGGGCAAGTGTGCTAGCTTGAGATTGGACTTGCTCCTGGGCAGCCCACCTCCGTTCCTTACCAAAGTGCCTTCAATCGCTGGACTCCAGGTTTCAGGCTCCACCACTTCACACAGCCCTTCACACTCCACTTTTACATGTCTCTGTCACCGAGGGACTGGGACATGCAATCCCTTGCTTGAGTCACATGGTTGGTTAGTGGCACAACAGGAACTAGAATCATGGACCCTCCTGTGCTCCTCCCTGGACCACTAGACCAGGCTTCCTTTGAATTGTCTACTTGGTCAAGGCTGAGGTTGAAAGTAGGAAGACATAGCCAAAGTTTAATGGAAGAAGGAAGGTGTATGAAGCCCAAATCACATCCACACATCAGTTTTCTCCTTGTGCTTTAGTTTCCTTGGATGTGAAATGAAATTGATAAATGAGAATCCGGTCTCCAGATGATTCTCCTGAACTGCCCCTCCTGGCAGAAGAGCAGGAGTGAGTATATGTTTTGCTCCTAAGGACCAAAACCCAGCCCACAGCAGCCCTCTACAAAGCAGTAATTTTTTGATGTTCCTTGTTTTCACTGAAAAAGAAAATCAAGTCCAGTTCTGCATTTTACACCGTAGTACAGTTGGATTTGTTTTAATATAAACAAATATGAATACGCTTATCCTGTACAAATTTTTGACCAAAATGAGTCTCTGGAGCAATGCACCAGCTGACCCTGTGGTTTCTTGCACTTTTGTCACTCATCTGAGTCCTAACGGGTACATGGCTCAGTGTGAGATGTGGAGACTTACACATCTCCTAAATCTCACCCGCACATCATGCAGGCGTACACTTGAGCTTCAAATAAAAAGCTGGGGAGTCACACTCAGGTTTGGATAATGAGTACCGAGAAGAGATCAATTCAATAATGATTTTTGCATTTATATGTGCTCCATATAAATGACCTCCCCCTTGCACCCACGCCAGCTTGGCCCAGGACCCAAGATACCCCTGGAAGAGGTTCAGTCAGGTGCCAGGCAGAGTTGTCCGCTGGAAAGAAACACACCTGCTCCCGCTTAACAAACTAGCATACCGTGGATCTTCACAATAATGTGGAACAATGAGGGATTGCTTTTCAATGTTTAAAATCACTCCATCATTTACTAATCACTAAAAAGTTTATTGTCAACTTCTTGTGAAAAGCAACCACACTTCTTTTTGATAGCTCTTAGTAACCAAAACTTTTTTTTTTTTTTTGAGACGGAGTCTCGCTCCATCGCCCAGGCTGGAGTGCAGTGGCGCGATCTCCACTCACCGCAAGCTCCGCCTCCCGGGTTCACGCCATTCTCCTGCCTCAGCCTCCCGAGTAACTGGGAATATGGGTGCCCGCCACCACTCCCAGCTAATTTTTTGTGTTTTTTTTTTTTTTTATATAGACGGGGTTTCACCGTGTTAGCCAGGATGGTCTCAATCTCCTGACCTCGTGATCCACCCGCCTCAGCCTCCCAAAGTGCTGGGATTACAGGCGTGAGAGCCACCGCGCCCAGCCAGTAACCAAAACATTTTAAAAATTGTATTTAAGCACTTCCTTTTGTAGGGTAGCTAATGCACTGTGCAGGTATCTGCTCAGATTTTGGAATTTTCATATGTTCTCTCTGTGGGATGGATGGATCCCTCATCCATCCACTGAGTTAGAACTGGTAAGAGTTTCCAGCCTTCTGATTTTCTGAACACGCAGTGCCGAGGTTAAGATGGAGGGCAGGAGTTAGTGGGAACCCTTTTGTTATCTATGAGGCTTCATTTGCCTAACTTTCATCATTTCTGAACCTCCATAAGGGCAGTTTATTGTATTATAAAAGGTTATTTGCATAAAAATCTTCATTTGTTTTCTTGAAATTATGTTAACAGAAAAAACAGCACACGACAGTATAAACACCTCTCACACAAACAGCTATCAAGAGATAATTTAAATGTTTTCTAGGGAGGCCGAGGTGAACAAATCGCTTGAGGCCAGAAGTTCAAGACCAGCCTGGCCAACATGGTGAAATGCTATCTCTACTAAAAATACAAAAATTAGCTGGGTGTGGTGGTACATGCCTGTAATTTCAGCTACTGCCGCGAGGGGGTGGGGGTTGGGGGTTGGGGGCTGAGGCAAGAGGATTGCATGAGCCCAGGAGGCAGAGTTTGCAGTGAGCTGAGATTGCCTGGGTGACAGAGAGAGACCCTGTCTAAAAAAAAAAAAAAAAAAAAATTTAAATTTAACATTTATGAGGGCCTTTTTTCTATGAAGTTGCCTGTATTTCCATTTTTTTTTTCAAAAAGTATATCTGTATTGGAGTTAAAAATGGTTTGATGGAATAATATTTCAACTAACTGAAATTATATTTTAATTATTATCCATCTCCAATATTTATTATAGTCCTAGTGTACAGTTTGTTGAGCCCATATTTTCCCTGAGGACTGAAGTCACTGTGAGTAAACTGCCACAAGGTTATTTTATTTCTGGAGGTTGTCTCCCCTAAGTACTGTGAAAACCTATCCTCTTGACGGGGTGCCAACATGGACATTTTCTCATTCACCGAGTAGGAGAAGTCTGCAGGCACTTTTCATTATTTAAGAATTCATGGCCCGGCGCGGTGGCTCATGCCTGTAATTTGGAAGGCCGAGGCAGGCGGATCACGAGGTCGGGAGATCGAGACCATCCTGGCTAACACGGTGAAACCCCACCTCTACTAAAAATACAAAAAAATTAGCCGGTGCGGTGGCGGACACCTGTAGTCCCAGCTACTCGGGAGGCTGAGGCAGGAGAATGGTGTGAACCCGGGAGGCGGAGCTTGCAGTGAGCCGGGATCCCGCCACTGCACTCCAGCCTGGGTGACAGAGCGAGACTCCGTCTCAGAAAAAAAAAAAAAAAAGAATTCACAGCAAAAGATAAAAGCTTTTATTTTTGTTATTTATTTTTGTTTTATGAACGTGGCCCTTTCAGCTTTATAAGAACAATCCATATCGGTGTGCGAAAACCACACACAACCACTCTCCCGAGGAACACACATCCAGGTAGCCGAAGCCTGAATGAAACAGTATGTTTGCCCTTGGTTTTCATGGAAGCCTCAGGTCCTCCTACCGCCTCCCCAAGGCCTGTGCTCATAGCTTTTCTAGACCCTAGGAGACTGGACCCGGGCAGCCCGCTCACCTCTGCCTCGCTCTTTAACTGCAGCGCCCTCTGGTGTACGTCTTGATTTTAGCAGCCGAAGTCACTGGCCCTGTGTCATGCTGCTGGTGCGTCCTGGTGGTAGTTTTATCTTCTGTTTCTCTCAGGTAGCATCTAGAGATAAGTTAGAACGACAAGAGTTTGTAAGAAAAAAATAACAATAAAAACTCTGGAAGCCAGATTCTCCAATGCCCACCATAAAATGCCAAGGAAATAACCTCACTCTCCCCTAAGGACCTGGAGACATTGGCTTAGGAACTCACCTCATTTAGGGCAACTGCCTCATCTGAAAGACAAGAAATGAACACCCGGAGGAGTTAAGTGGCTTGTCAGGCTGATACAGTGAGTTGGGTTGACCACCTAGGCCTTCTGCTATCTATGATGGAAAGAGCTACAATTCACTGAGTATTTATTACCACGAGCCAAGCACCATGCTAAGTCTATTACAGGCATTGGCTTATTTGAGGCCCACAGCAATATATTGAGGTGGGTACTATCATGATGCCTATTTTACACACAGAGAAGCATAAGCTTTGCAATCAAGACTGAGGAAACGTGCATGCTCCATGTCACACAAACACAGGTTTTGAAGCAGGCAGTCTGACTGCAGGGCCGGTGCTTGAAACCACTACTGATCTTACTGTCTTTGTGGCAATTGTATACTTAGATATGGATATGCACATATGTAGATACATGGATACAGGTGTATGGATGTACATGAATTTACACGTGTATGATATATCAGTAAGCAAGATATGGTATCATTTTGCATATTTTGAAACTTAAACCAAATGGTATTATAATTGTATGTACTTGGAGGGCAGATGGGGGAAGGATAAATCCATTCACCTGCTTTCTGCTGTGCCTTCCTATACTACAGAAACAGGAAAGCTAAAAACTACATTTCCCAGACTCCTTTACAACCAGAGTCAGGATGTGGTGCAGATTCAGTCACTCTAATGTGGGGGAATTGCAGCAGGGACCAGGCATCTGCTGCTCTTGCTGCCAAGCCCAGCAGGGGAGATATTCAGGTTTCTGGGCAGCATTAGCTGAGGTCTTGGGCTCTGGTCGCTGGCTCTGAGGTGCTGAGAGCAGGGCACGTGGCATCCACTTTGAAGCTGAAAATCTTCGCAGGCACAGTGGGGTCTGGAGCAGGCAACAGCGGATGTGGCTTCTGAGGGTGGTAGGTTTCTGATTATGGATGGATTCCTTCCTTGTCTTGGTGGCTTCCTAACTGTGGCAGTAGTGATGTGGTAAAGAGTCAGCAGCCTTTTGATCCTAGTGGCTCACATGGGCTTTGGATGGCTTCATGGGGCTATGCAAACAGATGTTGGAGTCCAGAGTCTGCCAAGAGTGGGACTGGACCCTCGGAGTAAAGGTGGACTGAAGATCAACCAGTCTTCAAACAGAAGGCAGTCCAGGTTCAAGGCTTCTGAATGTCCCAAAATATCTCAATTCCTGCAGCAAAATTCAAGCAATTTTATAGCTACAAAGTGCCTGATATAAGCAAATGAAATTCATTTCTGGAGGAAGGTAATATCATCCTATTTTTTTTTTTTTTGAGATGGGGTCTCATTCTGTCACCCAGGCTAGAGTGCAGTGGCACGATCACAGCACACAGCAGCCTCCACCTCCCAGGCCCAGGTGATCCTCCCACCTCAGTCTCCCGAGTAGCTGAAACTACAGGTGCATGACACCATGCCCAGCTAATTTTTGTATTTTTACTAGAGACAAGGTTTTACCATGTTGCCCAGACTGGTCTCAAACATCTGGCTTCAAGCCATCTGCCCCACCTCAGCCTCACAAAGTGCTGGGATTATAGGAATGAGTCACTATGGCCAGCCCATCCTACACTTTATATTCTGTCAACAGCAATTTTTAAAACATCGTATCCAGAACATAGACAAAGATAACCAACCACATAGGGAGATAAGATAGCAAAAATGAGAACCAGCTGAAATGTGCAACAGAGACAGAAGATACATGGAACCTCTAGATCAGTCCTCTGATAGAAATATAATGCAAGCCACAAGTGTGAGCCACACAGGGAATTTTAAATATTCTAGTGAACAATATTTTTATTGTTCACTAGAATATTCAATATTTTTATTGAAAAAATAAAAAGAAACAGATGAAATACATTTTTACAATATTTTTAACTCAATATGTTTTAACTCCATTTTTTAAACCAAAACTATTATTTCAACATGTCATCAATAGATAAATGAATAATTAGACATTTGACTTTTTTTTTTTTTTGAGACAGAGTCTCACTGTGTCGCCCAGGCTGGAGTGCAGTGGCGCGATCTTGGCTCACTGCAAGCTCCGCCTCCCGGGTTCACGCCATTCTCCTGCCTCAGCCTCCTGAGTAGCTGGGACTACAGGCACCCACCACCACACCCGGCTAATTTTTTGTATTTTTAGTAGAGACGGGGTTTCACCGTGTTAGCCAGGATGTTCTCCATCTCCTGACCTCGTGGTCCGCCCGCCTCGGCCTCCCAAATGCTGGGATTACAGGCGTGAGCCACTGCACCTGGCCGACATTTGACATTTTTATACTAAACCTTTGAAATTTGGTGTGCACCGTATACTACAGTACATCTCAATTCAAAGTAGTCACATTTCAACCTTTCAATAGCCTCATGTAGCTAGTAACTGCTGGGTTAGACCTCGCAACTTTAGATTTAAGAATTATCTGGCCAGGTGTGGTGGCTCACGCCTATAATCCCAGCACTTTGGGAGACCAAGGCGGGAGAATCACCTGAGGCCAGGAGTTCAAGACCAGTCAGGCCAACATCATGAAACCCTGTCTCTACTAAAAATACAAAAATTAGCTGGTGTGGTTGGGCACGTCTATAGACCCAGCTACTCAGGAGGCTAAAGCACGAGAATCAATTGAACCCAGGAAATAGAGGTTGCAGTGAGCCGAGATGGCACCACTGCACTTCAGCCCGGGCCACCCAGGAGACAGAGCAAAACTCTGTCTCAAAAATAAAATAAAATAAAATAATTATCAGGCAGGGATTTAAAAATAACTATGCTTACTATGTTTCAATAACTTTAAAAAAATGAAAAAACAACAGAAAAAAATTCATTACTTCAAATGTAAGATACATGGGCTATCGAATAATCTATAAGTATAAAACTAAATAACTGGAATGAAGAACTCAACAGATGGCTTTAATAGCAAATTAGACAGAGCTGAAAAGAGAAGTGTAAACTGGAAGGCAGGTCAAGAGAAACCATTTGGAATGCAGTACAGGAAGACCGAAGGGTAGAAAAATTTAGAAGAGACAGTAAAATTCAGAAGCCACAGCTGCTGTGGCAGACACTATGGAATGGTTCACCCCACATTTAATTGGAATCCTAAAAGCACAGGTAAAAGACAACACAGAAGGCATATTTTGAGAGACAATGGCTGCAAATTTTAAAAACTGGCTAGGAGGCTGTTATCAAATTGTCTTTCCTATTGATTGTATTTTATCAACAGTTGCTTTTAAATTTTTCTCTTTTAAGTTGTTCTCTTCAAAGATATTCTTCTTGAAGACGACCTTTAAGATATTCTGCAATTTCATCACAATGCACCTAGGAGTGAATTTATTTTTATTTATTCTAATTGAGATTTGTTATGTTTCCTAAAATTGAGAATCTATGTCTTTCATAAAATCTGAAAAGTTCTTAGCCATTAGCTCTTTGAAAATTTCCTCTCCCTCATTTTCTGCTCTCCTTTTGGAAGTCCAGTTAGAGGCAGGTTGGCCTTTTTCATTGTACATCCATATCTTTACACTTCTCTCTTGCAGTTTCAGCATGAAACTCTCTCTCTACCAAATTTTGAATGATTTCTTCAGATCCATCCAGTTCAGTGACTTCATCCTCTATTTAATATGCTGCTTCATCAGTGTGTTGAGTTTCAAATTTTAATTAACATATTTTTCATTGCTGTAAGTGCTGCTTGGTTTTTTCTATTTTAGATACAACTAGTCTTTTTTGACAATGTCTCAATATTTGCAGTGTGTTTTATTATGTCTTTAATGATTTAAGGATACATATTTTACTATTTTCTTTGTAGTTCTAATATCTGTAGTTCTTCAGGGCCGAACCTACTCTGTGGGATTGGCTCACTCACTTACTGTGGTTTGACTCGACACATTCTGTAGGTTTCTGAGCTTTTTGTGGCATGGCTTTCTTACTGCAGGAAACCTCTGTTGCCTACGTGAGGTTGTGTTCTGCAGAGATATTATGTTTGATTCTGTTCAATGCCTGTGGATCTCCACAAGCCAGGGATCATTTTTGTTAATTTTTTGGCTTGCACATTCCCGGATCAGTCAGGTAGAAAACATTCTAACCCTTAGGAAAGCTGCAGTGATGAATCCTCGGGGCAGAGTGCTTTACTGGATTTTACATGCACAGTGCTGCTCTCGCTGGTCATCATTGGTGCTGCTGTGGCTCTTTGTTAGTTTCTTGGGTGGAAGAGGCACCTCAGCAAAAAAGCTTTGAAAACAAGATTTGAAATAACTTTATTTTGAGCAAAAGCTTTTCCTGGTTTTCTTGCTCTGTTGTTGCTATGGCACGTGGTGCCTGCCAGTTACAGCTAAACAGTCAGTTTTGCCGTTTCTAGGCAGAAAAATGCTCAAATCCCAAGTAAATGTCCAGGCATCCCAGGAGGTGACTCTGGTAATGTGTATTTTCATTACTCATTTCCACTCTTAAAGGTACAATTCTCCTGACGTTTTAACATTTTCTAGGGTGCCATCCTGTATGTTAAATCCAAAACTGATGATTTCTTCTCAAAGGCAGTGTTACCATAATTGACACAGTTTAGATATATTATAAAAAGTATTGAAATCTATTCAACATTGTTCATTAAGCTTCTGTTAGGGTCATAAAATATCCTGTCACGTCTGATTAACTCAACTAAGTTCAGTTTTTAAACGACACTGCTGTTCTACAATGTGCTATTTGTTGTTAAAGCCTAGAATTTATAAGTGTTTCCAGTAACTGAAAGAGATTGGGTATTTTACTAAGATATCTATTACAATTATCATAAATTTAAGACTGTGGGCCGATTTTATGAAATCTATAAAATATAGAAATGATAGGAAGTAAAAATGAATTTAATAGAGTTCTAGCATTCATTTTGTCTAAAAGCCAATGTCCAGTGAAAACATTGTTGTTTTTCTCTCCTGCAAACCTGAAGCAAGCACTGCTAGAAATGTGATTTTCTACAGAATTGGCATGTTAGTAAGATGATTCATGACTGAAGTAATATCATTCATCTGTTTAATGTTTATAGCTTGGGAACATGCCTTATCATATGGCCAAATGCCTACATGTTTCAATATACTCCCAAAGATAAGAGACTTTAAGCTCCTATGTTCACAAAGGAGTATTGTCTGTAAATTACATCTCAATAAATTTAATATTTATAAAAGATAGAAGGAGAGAAGACTAGCAGTAGTCGAATAAGAGAAAACCAATAAACTTGTCCAATCTACAAGTGCTTCTATGAAAAGGTAGGTTAAACTAGAAACCATTCTCCACCTCTTTGAGACTGTGACTAACAGCCTGGAACGGTACAAATCCACTGGATGAAGACAGGAAAGAATCTCAGGCTTCTGGCTCCCTCCCCCATATTACCCCAGAGAAACAATGGAAGAAAGAAGGAAACATTTGGCTCTCAGACTACACAACAGCAACCCTGGTTGCAAGATAACAATGGAGTATTCTTTCTAAAATATGAAGGAAAAGAACTTCAGCCTAGAATTTTATATCCAGTCAAATTCTCATTTAAACAGGAAGATATCTTTTCTGTTGCAGCTATAACAAATTGCCACATACTTATCTGCTTAAATCTGTACATCTTTATTATTTCACAGTCCTCTAGGTTGCAAGTCTGAGATGGCTTGATTTGTTTCTCTGCTCCCAGTTCCTCAAGGTCAAGGTCAAGGTGTCCACCCGCTGGGCTCTGATTGGGAGGTTCTAGGAAGTATCTGCTTCCAAGTGCACTCAGGTTGCTGGCAGAATCCAGTCCTTGGACCTGTGGGACTGAGGTCTCAGCTTCCCTGCAGGCTGTCAGCTGCAGCCCTTCCCTAACTCCCAGAGGCCCCTCTCCAGTCTTGCTCATGGCCCCCACATCTCAGAGCCAGCAACAGTGCATGGAATCCTTCTCATGCTTAGAATCTCTCTGACATTAGACGCATATTTCTTGGCTCCAGCCTGAGAAAATTCTCTGCTTTTTAGAGCTCATGTAATGGCACTGGGCCCACTCAGAGAATCCAGTAAAATCTCTCTATTTTAAGGTCAACTGATGAGTAGCTTTAATTATGACTGTGCAGAGCCTAGACTAGAGGTACCTAGACTCTCAGTGCCCAGACTAGTGGTACCTAGACTCACAGTACCTAGACTAGCGGTGCCTAGACGAGGAGCAGCTGGTTTCTCTAGGCCCTCACCCCTTATTATCTCCATCCCCTTCTTCCTTGTCCCCTTTCCTTTCCCATTTCCATTCCCACTTTCATATGCATTCCTTCTTTGCTTAAAATACTGGATTTTCCTGCCGCTGGTATGCACCAGGCTCAAACAAACAGGCTAAGACAGCCGTTAGTTGTCCTATCATCAGTGTTTTCTAGAACATATTGTTCTAGAAAGGTACAGGAAACTTGAAGGGACAGCTGCCGAATCCTGCCCACCACAGTGTATTAGAAATATTCAAAACGTAGAAAACTTGAAGGATATTTGCCTCCTAAAGATCCAAGTTGGAAATAGTTTAGAGGAAGTTACCTCAATAGCGAGAGAAACACAGGAGATACGACAAGAGAACCGAGGAGGACAAGTGACTAAGGAATCTATTCCAGATTACTGTTATTTCACAACAAGGGGAAATGTGAAGTTAGGATCACAGAAACAAAGAAGTGTAGCTAAGAATAACCGAGAATTACAGCTAGGAAAGATATCAGGAAAATGGGGCTGGAGGTGGCACACGAAAGGGATAGGAAAACATGCTGAGACTTCTAAAATTAGGAATAAAACAAAACCAATAATACCAATAAATGTGACACATATTGGTATGAGTCATAGGTTAAGGGCAGCCACCCTGAGAAGAAAACTAGAATGTATAACTTTTAAACCAACAGAAAAAAAACCCTCAGTATACTAAATAGAACACAGTTACGGAGGGGAAATGCCAGCAATAAAAAACACAATAAATACATGTGCACCAGGCACAGTGGCTCACGCCTGTAATCCCTGCACTTTGGGAGGCCAAGGCAGGAGGATCGCTTGAGCTCAGGAGTTCAAGACCAGCCTGGGCAATATAGGCAGACCCCATCTCTACAGACAAATATAGAAAATTAGCCCAGTGGGTGGCGCATGCTTGTAGTCCTGGCTACTCGGAGGCTGAGGCAGTAAGATGGCCTGAGCCCAGGAGTTAGAGGCTGCAGTGAGCTATGACCACGCGGCTGCACTCCAACCTGGGCAACAGAGGAAGACCCCATATCTTAAAAAAAATAAATAGATAGGCTGGGCACGGTGGCTCATGCCTGTAATCCCAGCACTATGGGAGGCAGAGGTGGGTGGATCACAAGGTCAGGAGATTGAGACCATCCTGGCTAACAAGGTGAAACCTCGTCTCTACTAAAAATACAAAAAAAAAAAAAAAAAAAAAAAAAAAAACTAGCTGGGCGTGGTGGCGGGCGCCTATAGTCCCAGTTACTCGGGAGGCTGAAGCAGGAGAACGGTATGAACCCAGGAGGAGGAGCTTGCATCAAGCCGAGACCGTGCCACTGCACTACAGCCTGGGCGACAGAGAAAAAATAAATAAATAAAAATAAATAAATAATAAATAAAAAAGATGGCAGAGCTAAATCCTAAACAGTAGTAATTACAATAAAAGTGAACTACTAAACTTATCACATAAATCACTGAAACTCCCAGGTTGGATTTTAAAATATCAAATAATATACACTATTTTCAAAAGACAATGTTAAATGTAAAGATTAAAAATAAAACGTGCTGTATCTGCGAAGAAAGGCTACTTTTTAATTTTTTTTGTATTTGTTTCTTTTAGCGACTACAATATGCTTTATTGTTCTTAGAAAGGACTCAGGGTTTGGCTTTAAATCAGGCTGCACGCTTTTCATCAGTCTCGCATCGCTCTCCCCATGCCAAGCTGGCTCTAGCTAGCAATGTCGCATTAAATCCCAGGGCAACCTTCAGGAACTTCCAGAAGCCTCCCCTCTCCTGACCCCCTGCAGTCCAAGACCCCCATATTTGCCCACACCCCTGCTTAGGGTCCAGCCCTAGAACTCACTGCCCCGCCCCAACCTGCCCTGGACCAGCCTGGCAGCAGGAGCAGAGGCTGGAGGCAAACACCCAACTTCGCGCCAGCACCTGTGCCACTGGGGACCAGGAGCCCAGGGTGTGACACACCCAGAGGAAGCAGAGAGCCGCTGCGTGAGTCACCCTGGCCCTCAAGGCTGTCACAGCTCCAGTAGCCCTGCCCCGCCCACTTGCAACTCCAGGCCATGGGGCAGGAAATGCTTGAATCCTTGCTACCTCTCAGACCCCAACCCTTCTTTTCTCCTCTTTCCTCCTGGCCCGGTTATCTTTTCCCATTTCCATTCCCACTTTCAGACTCGTTCTTTCTTTGCTTAAAAGGCAAGTATTTCAGCCATGCGCGGTGGCTCACGCCTGTAATACCAGCACTTTGGGAGGCCAAGGCGGGCGGATCATGAGATCAGGAGTTCGAGACCAGCCTAGCCAACATAGTGAAACCCCATCTCGACTAAAAATACAAAAAACTAGCCGGGCATGGTGGGGATGCCTGTAATCCTAGCCACTCAGGAGGCTGAGGCAGGAAAATCGCTTGAACCCGGGAGGCGGAGGTTGCAGCGAGCCTAGATCACACCACTGCACACCAGCCCGGGCGATAGTATGAGACAACGTCTCAAAAAAAAAAAAAGGCAAGAAAAAGACAAGATTTTCCTGGCCCTGGTGCACTCTAGGCTCAGTCAAACCAACTGAAGACAGCAGTTTGCTGTCCGTCATCACACTATGTTTTCTAGAAGATTCTATCCTGATGAAGCACCCCCCAGACTGGTTGAAAACCAAAGTTACTCTTCCTTGGAAAATCTTTGTGGACACCCAGGTGGAGATTCAAATTTCCAAGTTGGGGCCAGGCGAAGTGGCTCACGCCTGTAATCCCAACACTTTGGGAGGCCGAGGCAGGCAGATCACCTGAGGCCGGGAGTTCGAGATCAGCCTGGCCAACACGGTGAGACCCTGTCTCTATTAAAATTGCAAAAATTAGCCGGGGGTGGTGGCAGGTGCCTCTAATCCCAGCTACTCGGGAGGCTGAGGGAAGAGAATCGCTTGAACCCGGGTGGCAGAGATTGTAGTGAGCTGAGATCGTCCCATTGCACTCCAGTCTGGGCGACAGAGTGAGACTGTCTCAAAAACAAACAAACCGGAAAACAACAAATAAAACCCAACAACTAAAAAAGGCAAAAAAAAAAAAAAATTACCAACCTCGATGCTGCCACCTTCAGGCCGCTGGGGGTTACAACCTCCGCTCCAGCTCCCCTCTGAACCTGTGCTATTCTTCTGAGTCCCATTCACTCCCACAACTGTCTCATTCATTCACTGGTTCACTCAGCTTCCAACCACCCTTACATCACGTCAGGCTCACCAGGTGATGGAGAGAAAAATCATCCTCTGTGGGTCTGAAAAACATGCCTGAGTCTTGATGGTGGGTCTTGTTTTCATTTCCTCCCCATCACAGCGCCCCCAGGGCCATGAAGAGGCCATGGCCTGGGCTCAGAGATCCAGCTCTCCTCAGGGTGGGCCTGGCAGTTGCTGACTTCAGGGAGAGCTGGAGGCCTCACAACTGAAATAGGAGACCTGCCCTGGGTCCTTAGCATGTGCAAGGACAGGGTTCCTTGTAGAATCTGCTCATTTCATCTGTGTTCATAGCATTTGTCATTTTCCACATGCAGACATCCATTCCTAGAAAGCTGAAGAAGCTTGCACAGGAATATTCAGCCACAATATCAGCTGAC